>NC_000018.10:35911206-40911206 GCF_000001405.40 Homo sapiens | reverse complement strand
AAAGCAAATAATTATCTTTAAAAATACCTACTGACATTTTATTCTGGAACTGGCTGTGGGACTAAGAATCAGCTGACTCTTGGACACGCTTTAACTCATGACATTTTTCAGGGACTATTTACATTTTCTAAATCTATTAATATATTTTCCCCTGCAGAATAAAAATAACAATATCAGCAGGGTGAACTCTATTAAGGTACTAATAAAATAATGTGTGAAAGCAAATTTAAAGCAAGTGGTATTATATTCCAGATAATCAAAGACAAATATGCCTGAAGATTATAAATTGTAACTCTAAAGACACGTGGTGATGATATTTTATTTTTTTAATCTAGGGAATAAACTAATTGCTGTTAACATTATATCACTATGGAATTATTAGAAGATAATTACACAAGGATAAAGAATCCATCGTCAAGTAAGCTATACACGGGCATATCTCGTTTTAAAGTGCTTTGCTTTATCACGCTTCGCAGATATTGTGCTTTCTTCAGAATTGAAGGTTTGTGGCAATCCTTCATTAGGCAAGTCTATTAACACATTTTTTCCAATATCATGTGCTCACCTCCTGTCTCTGTGTCACATTTTGTAATTCTCGTAATATTTCAGACTTTTTCCTTATTATATTTGTCGTGGTGATGTGTGATTACTGACATCTGATGTTACTACTGTCATTGTTTTGGGACACCATGAACCACGCCCACATAAGACAATTAACTTAATTGATAAAGGTTGTGTGTGCTCTGACTCTTCCACTGACTCTTTCTCCCCTCCACTTTCTCTCCTCAGATGTCCCTGTTCTTTGAGACACAACAATACTGAAATTAGGCCAATTGATAATCCTATAATGGCATCTAAGTGTGCAAGAGAAAGAAAGGGTAACACATCTCTCACTTTAAATCAGAAGCTAGGCTGGGGGAAGGGGCTTACATTTGTAATCCTAGCACTTGACAGGCTGAGGCCGAGGATTATTGAGCCCAAGAGTTCGAGACCAGCCTGCGCAACATAGCAAGGCCTCATCTCTAAAAAAAAAAAAAAAAAAAAAAAAAGGTTTAATTAGCTGAGTATGGTGGTGCATTCCTGTAATCTCAGCTACTTGGGAAGCTGAAGCAGGAGGATCTCTCAAGGCCAGGAATTCGAGGTTGCGGTGAGCTATGCTTGCACCACTGCACTTTAGCCTGAGTGGAAGAGTAAGATCCCATCTCATAACAAAGGAAAATTGATCAAAGCCTAGAAACAATTAAACTTAACGAGAAGAGGTCAAAAGCTAGGCTTCTTGTGCCAAACAAAGGACAATTTTTTGAAGGAAATTAAGAGTGCTACTCCAACGAATACATGAATGATAAGAAAGAAAAGCAGCCTTATTGCTGATATGGAGTAAAGCTTCTGTGATCTGAATAGAAGATAAAACCAGCCAAGACATTTCCTTAAACAGAAGCCTAATCCGGAGAAAGGGCCTAAATCACTTCAATTTTATGAAGGCTAAGAGGTGAGGAAGCTACAGAAGAAAAGTTGGAAGAAAAGTCAATGTCTGGCTTCAAAGCTTCAAAGAACAGGCTGACTCTCTTATTACAGGTTAATAGAACTGGTGACTTGAAGTTGAAGACTGTACTCATTTACCATTCTAAAAATCCTAGAGCTCTTAAGATTGATGCTAAATCTACTCTGCCTGTGGTCTACAAATAAAGTAACAAAGCCTGGATGATGGCTCAGCTATTTACAGCATGGTTTACTGAATATTTTAAGCCCACTATTGAGAACTATTCCACAAAATATAATTATCTCAGAATATTGCTGTTCATTGACAATACACCTGGTAACCCAAAAGCTCTGATGTAGCTGTACATGTGTTTCATGCCTGCTAACACATTTATTCTGGAGCTCAATGGATCAAGGCATAATTTCAACATTCAAGTCTTATTATTTAAGAAATACATTTCATAAGGCTATAGCTGCTATAGATAGTAATTCCTCTGATGGATCTGGGCAAAGTAAATTGAAAACCTGATGGGCTGGATTTATAATTTTGGATACCATTAAGATCATTCCTGGCTCAAGGGGAGATGTCAAAATATCAACATTAACAGGAGTTTGGAAGAAGTTGTTTTCAACCCTCATGATAACTTTAAGGAATTCAAGACTTCAGTTGAGGAAACAACTGCAGTGTGATGGAAGAGTACCACATTTGAAGAGAATCAAGAGATCTCTCTCTAGCAAGAGAACTAAAGTAAGAAATGGAGCCTGAAGTTGTGACTGAATTGCTACAATCTTATGATAAAACTTGAGGAGATGAGGAGTTGCTTTTTATGGATGAGCAAGAAAGTGATTTCTTGAGATAGAATCTGCTGCTGGTGAAGAAGCTCTGAACATTGTTGAAATAGCAACCATGGAGTTATAATATGACATAAAAATGGTTGATAAAGTGGCAGCAGGGTTTGAGAGGATTGACTCCAATTTTGAAAGAAGTTCTACTGAAGGTAAAATGCTATCTAACAGAATTGCCTGCTGCAGAAAAATGTTTAGTGAAAGGAAGAGTCAATCAATGCAGCAAATTTCACTGTTGTCTTATTTTAAGAAAATGCTGCAGCCACTCCAGCCTTCTGCAACCATGACCTTGATCAGTCAGCAGCCATCAACATGAAGGCATTACCCTCCATCAGTAAAAAGATCTCAACACACTGAAGATTCAGCTTACTAGTAGCATTTGTTTTAGCAATAAGGCATTTTTAACTTACAGTATATATATTGTTTTTAAAAACATAATACTATTGCATATTTGATAGATTATAGTATAATGTAAACATAACTTTAATGTGAAAAAAAGTCCTTAACTTGTTTTCTTGCTGTATTCACTTTATTGTAGGTCTGCACCAAACCCGCAATATCTTTGAGATATGCCTGTATATATACAAAATATTAAGAGAAAATTAAATGATTTTTCTGTGGTTTAGTAATTTTTGTCATTATTATTTTTATTTCTTTTTAAAATTTTGGTCACCTTACAAGTTATCCATTGTTCCTTGTAAGGAAGATTAGATAAGGGGTTAGAAGATGAGAGTGGAATTCAGACTAATTGGCAGCTAATGTGTTCATGTGTCTCAAAAATAATTGAGAACAGTTGTTAAGAAACCCTCATTCATGTCATCTAGCACTAATTGGTGGTAAAACAATCCACATATGGAAATGAAATTAGAAACCCAGGGGAAAAGAAGTCCAAGCTAAAATGAAAGCAAATTGCATAGCAAACATTACTTACACTACGATACCAAATAAAGGAAAACAGTACCAAGAATTAAGCCCACATGAGCAAAAGAGAAGAAATTCGATTTCTAATTGCATGCCAAAATTTCTTTTACTTAGATGCAAATCTATAAGCCTAACATTTAACACTTCTAGATTTGCTTATTTCCTCTTTCCCATTAGTTTAACTGTTTGTATCTTAAAAGCAAACAGACACCATTTTAAAAATAATTTGATGAATACAATTGTCTACTTATAAAATTCTATGAACATCTTAATAGTACACTCAGATGAGAAATGAACATTGCAATGAAAACTGCAAGACAGAACAAGAGGGAAGTGGTGTTTGTTGTTCTAAAGGATATTTAAGATAGACATTTGAGCGAGGTTTAAGCCATGAAATCTTGGAATTTGGAGAGAACATCCTTGCCCGAGCAGAGAGTAGGGGGCACTTCTATTACTTTACTAACAGAGGATAGGGAGTATGCCCCTAAAATACTCAAAAAATTATCATAGTCTAAAGAATGACAATAACATTTCACATTTACATAGTATTTTGCACAACTAGGCATTCTTTCTTGCATCCTGGTTTTTATTTTCAAAAGTATTAAGCCATATGAAAAATTATGGAATACAGAAATTTAAAGTTGTTCGCACAAAGAAAATCAGAAAAAATCAGATATTATACTTATGTTATTGCTTTTCCTACATTTGAATTTTTTGTTTCTAAATTGATTTACCTCTTCAGCTATTTTTTGTCCTTTCATAATTTTTACTGTTCCTAGATAATGTTGTTATTAATAACAATCAATTAAAATGTTTTTATTTTAGTATTTCCCCATTTCTCTTTTTAAATAAATTTATTTTCTTTCAATATGAAAAAATGCAGATTATAAAAATGTTGATAATATGAAAAGAACAGAATGAAGAAGACTCTCCTCCAAAGTTTATTTTTTAATTTTATTTCTTAGTTGACAAATAATTATTGAAACATCACTATGTACCGCATAATATTCAGGGGGTACATAGTGATGTTTCAATACATATAATGCATAGTGATCATATCAGGGTAATTAGCATAGTCATCTCAAACATTTATCAATTATTTGTGTTGGGAATGTTCAGTAACCTCCTTCTAGCTATTTGTAACTACATACAATTGTAAACTATAATTATCCAACAGTGCTATAGAACACTAGAACTTACTCCTTCAAACTGTAATTTTGTAATGTTCAGCAAATCTCTCTTCCTATCCCTGTCTTCTCCCTACACTCCTCAATCTCTAATGAATTATGTTTTAATGCACTGGTGCATTTACTACTGGGTTTTTGTCTGCACATGTCTGCACATTGGTATATGCAAAATTGGACCTATAAAGTACTGAAAAAATAATTTCTATTTGCCTTATAAAAGTCATCCAATATTATTTTAAGGTATCTAATAGAAAAAGAAAAAAAAATAGGTTGAGGAGAATTTTTAAACATTTTTCTCTCCCCGCCCCCCCAAAAAAACTTACTTATAAGCTGAAAAATATATCTAACAAGACTAAATCTAATGGGACATCTGAACTTGAGGTTCATATCATTTAAGGGATAATCCTTTATTAGTTTGTAACATCACTTTCTACATTTTGATTCCCTAATATTTATTCCACTCTCATTTGTCTAAAACGTTGTTTACAAAACTGTGTACTATAGTGGTCAGTGTGCCACAACTAGCTCACAGGAAAACTTCAGATTATCTTAAACTTTTGATAGAAACACAGTATCAACTGTTAAAGACTGCATGATCTATCAGCTCAAGGTAGTTCACAGTTTGAGGTAGTTAACATTAGATCACATACGTATCTTTATAAAACTGTCTGTTCATGGATTCTGTGATGTAAAACAAGTATTGCATGGCAATCATTTTGCCACAGAAAATAATGATAGTGGTAAATCTAATCTGACTAAGGATTAGGAAGTTGTACTACAGGTGGAAAAATGCCTGTAGTAAGCAATGGTGGCTATTTAAGAATGAAATACGGCCAGGTGTGGTGGCTCACACCTGTAATCCCAGCAATTTGGGAGGCCAAGTCAGGTGGATCACCTCAGGTCGGAAGTTCGAGACCAGCCTGACCATCATGATAAAACCCCATCTCTACTAAAAATACAAAAATTAGCCAGATGTGCTGGTGGGTGCCTGTAATCCCAGCTACTCGGGAGGCTGAGGCAGGAGAACTGCTAGAACACGGGAGGCGGATGTTGCAGTGAGCAGAGATTGTGCCATTGCACTCCAGCCTGGGCGACAGGGCAAGACTCCGTCTCAAAAAAAAAAAAAGAAATAAAATACTATTTCTTCTGATGTAGGTTTATTAGTTTTTTCAGACAACTACTAAGTTTTAAAAATATGAATACTCCTTAAGTTATTTGGACCTAACTTCTTAAAAAATAGACCATTCAGGTATTTATTTTGGTAGGGGTACAGTGAAAAAATTAATGAGAAAATAGATAGTCAGTACTGGAAAATAGTTGGACCCTCTGGCCTAGAGCTTGAAAAGTACTATATTTCAAAATTATTGATGAAGAATAATTATTTCCATTTTTATGAATTTAATATCTATTTCTAAAGCTCTCATGTGAGATAATTCAGTTTGGCATAAAATTCTGAGTTGTAAACTCTTCTTCTCTAAACACTATGGATTCATTTTCAGTATTTTAAAACACTGAATGAGGAGGTGCATTCAGAAAATAAAAGTATATTTAATTTTAGAAACCTCATTTAGTGTTAAGAAATATTGAACTTTTACAGAAAATTATTGACAGAATGGCACTTAATTCCAGAAACTTAAGGTTTCTAGAGAAACCTCTATTAAGGTTTCTCTAGAAGACAAGTTTTTTAAACCTAGAATTTGTTTGTCCACTGAAAAAGTATGTATTCTTGTATGATACACAGACATTTGTGGAAATGAACCATAGCTTTCATTGGTTTTTTAGTCAGTTCCTGATCAATCCTACCTTCCACTCCCAACATTTTTTTCCATCTAAATCTAAAGCTTTATAGCTGTTAAATCAATAGGTATATTCTATTTTATCCGATTTATTATGTTTTCAATAAACAATTTTATTTTTTGTTTCCTTCAATATAAACTTTTTTATGATAAGTAAATTGAATAAAAGCCATGCTTTTTTAAATCCTCTGGTTTTCTTCATTGGATGAAAGTAAATATGGAGAAGGAAATATCACAAGATAATCTTCCTGGTGAATTTAAACACTGTATATTCTTTCTCTGTGGCAAGGTCAGTAGCAATCTTGGAAAATGAGAAGCTTGAAATAGACTCACAAAGAGAAAGGATACTGTAGACGCAGGCTGTTATGGAAAAAGCAATGTGCTATTCTACACTTTGATCTTTAAAGCCAGTTGTCATCCTGCATAGGTTCTGGAGACTTTGTGGTTCTGGCAATGTCTATGCTGCTAAAACTCAGCATGCTGGACTCATTGAGATTCATTTAAATTACTCACTTGGATTCCCATGGTCCTGTACTTCAGTTTCATTTTGACTTTCAGGCATCACTGAACCAAAAATAAAAAGCAAAGAACAGCCAAAACCATAGCATCTCATTTCATTTCAAGATTGAATTTGGGAATTTGCAAGAGAAATGATTTTGACACAGAGGAATGCTCAGTATTGTTGGGAACGCTTGTAAAAACCAAGAACCTTTTCAGGAATTGAGCCTGATGATTTGGTTGATAAGAAAGTGAAGAAACCAGGTAAATATCAGGTGATTATTACCTGGTTTGGGGTTTTGCTGCAAACATTTTGCAGAGCTCTAACTGTGATGTGCATTAGTCACGCTACTGGAGCAGAAAATCAATAAAACGAGGTTCCAAAAATAAAATATTCTTTTGGAATGTTGCTCTGAACTAATTAGCAATGAGTCATTTAAAAGGACTTACCTGTCATTAGGATGAAAAAAAGGTATTTACTAAAATCCGTTTCCCGACAAAACATTTTTTGAGATTGAAAAGGAAAGATTAAAAACTTTGATTCACAAAGTGACTTTTATTTTAACAATAAATAACACACAAGTCACATTGTGAAATGAGAAACTTAATCATTTTTCTGTCACGTTATTTGTCAAAATATAGAAGAAAAAATGATAACTCATAAATAAAAGGTAACTTTATTATTTTTTTTTTTTGCTATTTGAAAGTTATGAGAAAAAAAGAAGCTACATCTGTTCATGATTTTGGATCACAGACCACAGTGAAAACAGGTCACAGTTGCTTACTTCTTAATATTTTTCAAGTTAAACTTTTTTAATTTTCTGAGCTCTCCAAGTAGATAAAAATTATTTTTAATAAAATAGTTCTTGCATTCTCTAATTTAAAAGTAAAATTTAGGATTAGATTGTGTAGATATATGGCCTTCACATTTAAGAATTCTATCTTCTAATAAATATACTTAGATATACATATATACAATTATACATTCATATATAGGTCCCAATGTTCTATGGTTAATAGACGAGTTGGATTTAGCATTATACACTGCTTTAAGTAATTTTAGATCAGTTAGATTTGCTTAGTCGGATCTGATATTTTTTCCATTTCAGGAAACTGTGTTTAAAATATGGAATTTCCATATGGCTTAGAAATAGTTGAAAGAAATACAGATATTGCTTTCTAAACATTCCAACTAATAAAAGAGATGAAGTCTCAGACATAATAAAACTTCAGATAATTGTATTTAAATACTTAGATTTGAAATTGAATTCTTTACACTTGTCTTCAGATAATAGCAGTGCTTGTAATATATTCTGAGAATTTGCCACTTCTCAAAACAAAATCACAACTAGTAAGCAAACTGTGAAACTGTGATTACTCAAGAGGTAAATATCACCTGTTATTTTATTGAATCAGTTATTCAAATCATCTCTAGGACTCGCCAGGTCACTTCCCAATCTGATAAAAACAAAACAAAACAAAACAAAGCTTAACATAAATCCCTCTTTCCATTTACTCTTCTCCCATTTCCTCTCTCTTTCTCTCTTTTTTTTTTTCTCTTTCATTTCCCCTTCTTCCTTTGATCCTGTTTCTCTGGCGGGAGGTTTCTGTTCTGATTCCTCATTTCACGCATTTGGACTTGGACTTGTTGACCCCATTACCACCCCCATCCCACCATCAAACTCAATATGACATCTATGCCCTGTGTGTGTGTGCACATCTGCTGAACCATGCCAATGTCAGGGAATCACTCAATTCCTGGCACAAGTGCAAAAATCCAAAGAGAGAAACAAAGCAAGTCCAGGAGAGTCATCAATAGGAAAGTTTGGGCAGAGGGGAATTCACATAATGAGCCCGAAAGGTAGCAAACAAAATAAGATGAGTCAGGATGGGTAGGCAATTGAGCACAGTGTGACTAGGCAGATAGTAGAGAAAATCCCTGAATTCTGAAGCTATTTCTGATAAAACAGCTGTCGTTTCAAACTTGGACAGCAAGAAAGCTGTCAGGACACTTATCAAGCCTGAACATCAGAAGCAACATTTCTATTCTCCTGTTCAGAATTATTTAATTTAAAAAAAATAGGACAATGGACCATACTAAATACATTAATTTATTAGTTTACAGTAGTAAAAAAGCAATTAAAGTACTATTAAAAGACTTGTGGGTCTATGCGAGAATGGTCAACTGGTATCTCATTTATTTTAAAATATCCCTTGTGTACTGGCTTCACAATAAGAAGGGCTGCCAACCTTTTTGAATATCAGTGGAATCAATTGCAAATCAGCTTCTCTTAGGATAAAAGAGAAATTTTATAAATTTATCTTTAAACACAATTTTGAAAGAACTCAAAGCCTGAGAATTGACAAATTAAGAATTCACTATCTAATTTATTTTAACAGAATGCAGCAAAGTATCAGAGGATGGGGAAGGAGAAGCAGAGAAAACAATGCCTTATGAGCAAGGAAGAGAACGAATATGTAAAGCATAAATTGTATCAGATTAAGGGTTACAAAATAAACTTATGAAAGAGAAACTCTATGGAACATATTTAGTTTTTAATTTACCATTTGATATAGGATATCATAAATGTTTGCTTGCAAATTAATTTAAAACTATTCAGAATTTCTTAAAAAGCCATTTAAACCAAGAATTGACTAAGAAAGAAAAGATAAACTAATGACAAATGGTAATATATGCATTTGGGAAAGGTGCCAATGTGAAATCCTGCCATAATATTTTAATGAACTAGAAATACATGAGATTGTGGATCAAATTAAGCTGGGGTGATTCTAATTCCCTAAAGACTGGAGAAATTTTCTCTGCTTGAAAATCTGAGCTTTCCTTTCAGTGTTATTTTTTAATGTCTGTGATTTCATTCTTACTGGTTTTGCCTTGCATAGAAGTGGACAGGCAAAGCTAGGTGGAAGAAGGAACTCAGGAAATTGTGTTCAGAATTCATGAACTCCTTATGAGACTCATTTCTTTATCGATTGGTGGTCTTGAATGAATCACTTAGATTTTTGGTATCAAAATTTTCTTGTATAATATGGGAAAAACAATACTTTTTTTAAACAAAAGCTTTTGTTATTAGGATAAAATAAGCAAAGAAATATCCAGGCCCATATTTTAAAGTACATGAAAAGAATTGTGAGTAGGTAGTGCTACAGCATAAATTTGATTTAGTTTATTTCCCCCCTTTTAATGTATGTGGTTCAAAATGCTCATTTTTCAATAAGGAAGTGAGAGCTCAGAGACACAAAGACCACTGTTTAAGTAAACCTGCTTAATTAATTAGAAGTCCACAGGATATCAAATGCCCTAAATGCTAGGCCAGCACTCTTCATTTTCCTATTTAATCCTTTGTTTTTACTTGTTTACTTTTCTCTAAAACTTTTTTCCCCCCTCAAAGCTCATGATGGATAAAAGCATTGCATTTTCTTCACATTAATCAGTTTTAACATCACAGGCAAAAGTCTTCACACGCTGGCATTCTACTTCATTACCTATAAGCCACATCTTCTCGAATGTTCCTAACTCAGGTCAAAATCACTGTTAAAAAAACAAATATCTTGGATTTTTTTCATCAAAGTCTTAATTTTCTCTCAAAAGCTTACATTATAATGAATATTATTTTTACACTACCTAAAAGAAATGCTTAAAGTTACGTGTAAACCTCTCTCCTTTATCAACGTATTTTCATGAAATAATTTGCATTCTATTGATTTTTGGATAAAGTTTTTTCCATTCATTATATTTCTATAAATAACACTGAATTCTAACCTCATCACATATCCAATTGTACAGTGGAAATATTGTGATACATTTTAATGGGTATCTTTTTAAATGACAAAAAATTATTTTCATGCATGATTTTCTCTCTTAATACTTCCATCTTTTAAAACTGACCTTATCAACTGCTGTAGGAAAGAGGCCACCACAGAACATCACAAACATTAATGACCAAGAAAGCTAATTTATGTTTGTTAATTTTTAAAACTCTAATTCTGAGGATAAATGATAGATTTGAAAGAATGTTTGCTGAGCAAGTTAATTTTATTTTATTTTCTGCCACTGAGGAAACATAATTACTTCTCTGGAATGGATAAGATATGATACAAATATGAGATAAATATGGTTCTGCTTCTATGTGGTTAAATACGGTTCAGCTCTTAACAGACCACAAATGACCATAAATTCTGAACAACACACACGGAACAAATTACCTGAAATCTCTGAAGAATGAGAAAAACCAGGTTGATTTGGTTTACCTAAATTTTGAAGAAAAGAGCAGTATGAAGTGAGTTTTACATTGTTACAGCTTTAGTGAAGGGCAAATCTTAGTCATGGAGCAGTGTGGCCTGGAGTGGCTGACTCCGAAAACCCATTGTCTATGGTCTGAAGAACCAGGGTCAACGCATTTACCAGAAAGTAAATATTGGGAATATCTTAAAGAAAAGAAGCAGAAAAGCAGAGACCCAAAGTCTGTATATAAACTCTGTCAATATATCTGGTTAATCTCTATGTTATAAATGACAAAGCTAATTCAATGCAACTTGCAGATGATAAATGAATTCAACTGCTTTTTCAGTTGCCCATTTTAAGTGAGTCAGATATTACAAATTTAGCTAAGTTAGTTTCTTTACAAAAGTCAATCACCCCTGTTTTGGAGGAGTAGAATAGAATCCAGAGTCTCCACAGACTAATAGTCATAATACCCAGGGTATAATCTGCAGTTTCCCAAAACACGAGAAACAGGAAAATGTCACTTATTCTCAAGGACAAAGATGATCAACAGAAGGCAACTATAAGATGACATTAGACTTATCAAACAAGAAGAAATCATGATAAAAATGAAATGAATGAAACAAAACAAATCTCAAGATAAAAATAAAAATATTGCTAAAAATGAAAATCTTATAACTGAAAAAATAAAATTGAAAATCGTCTGAATGGGCTTAATAATGTCAATTAAAATGAGAGAGGAAGTTGTCAGTGAACTTGAAGTTAGATTAAAAATTATCAAATCTGAAGAAAGAGGTTTTAAAAAGGCTAAAGAAATGAATAGACCCTGAGGGGCCTGTGAGACAATATAAAAAATATCTCATATAATTGAAGTTGGCATGTCAGAAATAGAGGAAAGTGAAAATAAGGTAGAAAATATTTGAAAAAATAATTGCTTAAAATTTCCCAGATTAGGTAATAGATATAAATTTTTAGATTTTAAAAGTTTAGTTAAATCCAAACAGAATAAATAAAAAAAGAAAGCCATGCCTAGGGCCAACATAGTCAAATGACTGAAAACTAAATATTAACACTGAATTTTGAAATAACTAGGAAGAAAATGACACATTCATTATCTACAAGAAATAAAAACTAAAATGACCATAGATGTCTCATCAGAAATTGTGAAGACTAGAAGGCAGTGAAACGTTAATTTAAAGTGCTGAAATAATAATAATAATAGAAACTTAACCACAAATTCTATATTCAAAATACTAACCTTCAAAGATGAATGCAAAATTAAATATTTTTAGGTACAAGAAAACTAAGGCAATGTAGTGAGAGCATACTGACCCAAAAGTAATGTCAAAACAAAATCCTCAGGGTGAAGGAAAATAATAGCAAAAGGGAAGTTGGATCTTCACAAAGAAATTTAAAAAACTGGAATTTTTTTAAATTTCTAGAAAAATTTCAGTTTTCTTCTGTACAAAATGGTAAAAATAATATATTATTAGAAGGTTATTACTAAGGTTTAAGTAAATAAAATGTTTGTAAATTACTTAATAAAGAGCTTGACATATAAGAACATTTGGTAAATGTGTATAATCCCCATAATCATCATTGTCACATTCATTATCAATACCATTATCAACATCATGGTCATCATCACTGGGACTGTAATCAATTTCAGATGATGTTTCTACTTTCAGAGTCTCAGGTTGAGAGTTTATTGTTACTAGTTTTTCCTTCTGGTTTCTAAAAGAATATCCTCTACTCTTTCAGGAAACTCCAATGTTTGCTGAACAAGTT
Organism: Homo sapiens; assembly: GCF_000001405.40. Classification (NCBI taxonomy): domain Eukaryota; kingdom Metazoa; phylum Chordata; class Mammalia; order Primates; family Hominidae; genus Homo; species Homo sapiens. The sequence goes on along the minus strand of NC_000018.10, from coordinate 40,898,448 downwards.
TGGATGGCTTTTGGTTTCTTGAGATCATATAAGACCTGTATAAAAGTCCCATTATTATAGGAGTTATTAAGAAATTATTTTAGGGAGCTAGAAAGGGTAAAAGAGTCTACAATAAGGCTTTTTCTTTTAATAAAAAAGCAGCCCCCACAACATTTATTTTCTAATAGAAAGCAGCTGGAAAAGCCAGAGCTGCAAGCATAGATATGCAAGCCAAATGCAGGTGGCTAAGAGCCAGGTGTACCCAATATGACAATTCCGGCTCCCTTTTCTGTGTCACCATGTGTGCGGGTGTCATGGCACTGGCCAGGTAGAGGCCACATGTGAAGGTGTCATGGAGACAGCCAGGTAGAAGCCGCATTTGCATAATAAAGGGTTAGCTTGGGAGACTCAGTCTTTTCATGGGCTATGTGAATGACACACCTGGTCAAACCAGTCCCCTGGGCCCTATGTAAATCAGACACCACCTCCTTAAGACTCTCAATATAACCTACTGCTTTCTGTTACAAGTGGGGTTATTCTGTTTGGAGCCCTCCTCCCCCAGTATGGGGGAGCTGTTCTCTTCTTTCTTGCCAGTTAAACTTTCTGCTCCTTGATCCATTCTACATGTGCGTCCGTGTCACTAATTTTCTTGGCAGGAGACAAAGAACCTTGGGTGGTTCCCCAGACAACAGAGCCATTTCACCATTTCCTCTTCAAAATGTACCCTTAACTAAAATCCACAAGTAGATTGTCTTTATTTCCTACACTTCACACTTATTCTGATATTTTCTCATGCTGACTCTTTCCGTTTTAATAACCTCTACTCCCTCTCTTTATGTCAGTAAAAATCCTACTCATGCTTACTTCAAAAGTTAACTAAAATGAGTTCTCGTTCATTAATTGACATCTGACCCTGTTTGTTCTCATGAATTACTCCTTTTTCTGAAAGGTTTTTCTGTTAAATATACCTGCATTACCATCTAATCATTGTGCATGCACATACTTTTAATTGTTCCTTAGCTGTTGTCTATTTGCCACATCTTATACCTCAACAAAAATGAAAGTCTCTGAAGATCATCATCAAGTTTTTGAATTGTGTCTTGTAAAATTATATTTAATAGCATAGAATAGGTCCTACAAATAACAGTTTATAGTTATCCAATAGTTAAACTAACTAATTAGATAAGTACTGCCTTTCATCCATGGAAGATCAAAATACAATATATGAGGTGAATTAATCAAGCAAGGAGAACAATGCTAGGGAAAATATGTAGTCAGGAATGTGAAAACTTCAAAGGAAATGAAGATTCTTTTTGGAAAGATAATTGTTTAAAGGTATCCAAAAGCTGACTACAATTTTTCCTCTCCATTAGCTATCTGTATATACTCTTTTATCTGTATCTGTTTAATTTTTGTTGTTTCTTTCAACAGATAAAATGTAAGTTGTTGTGTTGGAGGGGAATACTTGGTGTTTGTTTGCTTGTTTATTTATTTGAAACACTATATTTAAAAGATTATTTAAATTGTACTCAAAAGACCTGGGCTTACTTGGCCACTGAATTATTATATAAATTTAGACAGGCAATTAAACTCACAGAGCCTCACATATAGAAGAATGAAACTGGATTCCTATCTCTCGCCATATACAAAAATTAACTCAAGATGATTTAAAGACTTAAATCTAAGACCTGAAACTATAAAAATTCTAGAAGAAAACCTAGGAAAAACTCTTCTGGACATTGGCCTAGGCAAATAACTTATGACCAAGAATGCAAAAGCAAATGTAACAAAAACAAAGATAAATAGATGGAACTTAATTAAACTAGAAAGCTTCTGCACAGCAAAAGAAATAATCAACAGAGTAAGCAGACAACCTGAAGAATGGGAGAAAATATTTGTAAACTAAGCATTCCATGAAAGACTAATATCCAGAATCTATAAGAACAAAATAATCACAAATAAATTTACACAAATAAATCAGTAAGAACAAAACAAATAATCCCATTAAAGAATGGGCAAACTAGGAACAGAAATTTCTCTAATGAAGATATAAAAATGGCCAACAAATATATGAAAAAATCCTCAACATCACTAATCATCAGGGAAATGCAATTTAAAACCACAATGAGATACTACCAGACCCCAGCCAGAATGGCCATTATTAAAAAGTAAATAAACAATGGATATTGGTGCAAATATATTTAAAAAGGAATGCTCATAATGATAGTAGGAATGTAAATTAATACAACTTTTATGGTAAACAATATGGAGATTTCTCAAAGAACTAAATGTAGATCTACCATTCAATCAGCAATCCCACTACTGGATATCTACCCAAAGGAAAATAAGTCATTATTTAAAAAACACACCTGCATGTGTATGTTTATACAGCACAATTCACAATTGCAAAGATATGGAATACACCTAAGAGCCCATCAGCCAATAGGTGGATAAAGAAAATGTGGTATACACACACACACACACACACACACACACAGGAATACTACTAAGACCTTTAAAAACAAACAAAACAAACAAATAAACAAAATGATGCCTTTTGCAGCAACTTGGATGGAACTGGAGGCCATTATCCTAAGTGCAGTAACTCAGGAATGGAAAACCAAATACCACACATTCTCACTTATAAATGGAATCTAAGCTATGGGAAACAAAGGATGGAGACTGATATAACAGACACTGGAAACTCAGATGTGGGGAGAATAGGAGAGGGTGAGGAATGAAAAGCTAACTGTTGGGTACAATGTACACTATTTGGGTGACAGGCACACTAAAATTCCAGACTTCACCACTATACAGATCATCCATGTAATCAAAAAACACTTGTACCCCTAAAGCTATTGAAAATAAAATAAAATAGATAACTCACAGAACCTCAGTTTCCACATCTAGAGAGAAAAAAAGTATAAAATCTAACTGGACCATATAGATGCATTTATATTATGTACTTTGGAAAATTAGATTGTAAAATAAAATTATTTTTAGCTCAACAATCCTATAAAAAACTAATATTTTCTTAACATTTGATATAGGAAGCATAATCCTTCTAGTATCAATTATTTTAAATAAACTTAATGGCTTGCTTTGGAAAGTTTTTTATATCTAAGAGAGCTCAAGTTCAGTGTACTTGTAAAAACTATAAATAATAAATGTTTGCACTTATTTGATGCAGTCTGAGAAGTTGTTAGTATTCTGTAAGCTACTTAATTAAGGAAAGCCAATTAAGTGGCACTTGGTTAAAATAAGACAATTAAAAACAAGAGGTAAGTTCCAGGATTGATAAATTATATTTCCTCACTCTTTGAATTCAAAGCCATACACTTTTAAAATGTTACCTTTTAATACCAAGACTATCCTTCTATCAATAAAATCCAGGGAGTTCTCTTTAAAAAGCCTCATGGACTAGGCTTGCCCAAGGTCAGCCATTCTTTCACGCTGTAAACTAATTTTTAGAAATGACATGTTTTACTGAAGGCTGATAAAAATGAGGTCTTTGGACAAGAGTTCATGAATATAAAGAGGTTAAACAAACCTCACAAGAGTTTCAAACTCTTAACCTTAGGCTTCTTACTACTATATTTTAGTCCTTTCATAAAATAAGCCACAGACAGTACAGTATTTATAGATGTATGACTGTGTATAAATATGTACATATCGATATATGAACATACACAACCATACTGTCCAGACATATTAGAGATGGCTTTTTGAGGTGAAACACATCTTGACAGATCACCAAATAAAAAGTATTACTGCTTTTTATACACATGAATTCAGTGAAAAATGAGAGTTGGCATATATAAAAATGGTAATGAGTCAATTTTACTTAAAAACAAGATTTTTAAATAGATTGTAATACACTTATCCAATATAGCTAACATAATCCAGCATTCATTATGATGGGTGAGATTTAATATTTTCATAAATTGGAGACTGATGGTTATTGTAAAACAGGGCTTTTTTGTTTGTTTGTTAGTTTGTTTTTCCTTGATAGAATTAAGGTTTATGTATTCTCTGGTGTCCTAGTTTATTTTCTGTTGCTATAACAGAATACTTGTGATTGGGTAATTTAGAAATAGAAGAAGTTTATTTGGCTCATGATTCTGGAGGCTGGGCAGTATGAGGACATGGTAGCAGCCTCTGGCAAAGGCTTTGGTACTATTTCCTAATTTGGTAAACAGTGGAAAGGCAATTGAGCACATGCAAAAGAGATAGGCTGAGATTGCTTTAATAATAACCTGCTCTTGTGGGAAATAACTCCCTCCCATAAGAACAAATTCACTCCTGTGATAATGGCATTAATCCAATCATTAAGGCCCTCATGACTTGTATTAGTCTGTTCTCACATTACTAATAAAGTCATACCCAAGACTGGTTAATTTATAAAGGAAACTATGACTCATAGTTCAGCATGGCTGGGGAGGCCTCAGGAACCTTACAGTCATGGTGGAAGGGGAAGCAAACATGTCCTTCTTCACATGGCAGCAGCAAGGAGAAGTACAGAGCAAAGAGGGAAAAGCCCCTTATAAAACCATCAGATCTAATGAGAACTCACTCACTATCATGAGAACAGCATGGAGGTAACCAACCCCATGATTCAATTATCTCCCATCAGGTCCCTCACATTGAATGTGGGGATTATGGGTACTATAGTTCAAGATGAGATTTGGATGAAGACACAGACAAACCATATCATTCCATGCCTGGTGCCTCCCAAATCTCATGTCCTCACAATTCAAAATACAATCATGCCCTTGCAACAGTCCCTCAAAGTCTTAACTCATTTCAGCATTAGCTCAAAAGTCCAAGTCCACAGTCTCATCTGAGACAAGGCAAGTCCCTTCTGCCTATAATCCTGTAAAATAAAAAAGCAAATTAGTTACTTCCTAAACACAATGGGATCACAGGCACTGGGTAAATGCACCTCTTCAAAAGAGGGAAATTGAACTAAATAAAGATGCTATAGGCCCCATGCAAGTCTGAAATCCAATAGGGCTGTCATTAAACCTTAAAGTTCCAAAATTATCTACTTTGACTCCATGTTTGACATCCAGGTCACTCTGATGCAAAAGGTGGGCTTCCATGCCCTTGGGCAGCTCTGTCGTGTGGCTTTGCAGGGTATAGCCCCCCTCTCAGCTGCTTTTGCAGGCTGACGTTGAGTGTCTGTGGCTTTTCCAGGCACACTGTGCAAGCTGTCTGTTGATCTACCATTCTGGGGTCTGGAGGATGGTGGCCCTCTTCTCATAGCTCCACTAGACAATGCCCCAGTGGGGACTCTTTGTGGGGTCTCCAACCCCACATTTCCCTTCCACAGTGTCCTAGCAGGGGCTATCTGTGAGAATTCCACCCCTGCAGCAAACTTCTGCCTGGACATCCAGATGTTTCCATACATCCTCTGAAATCTAGATGGAGGTTCCCAAACCTCAATTCTTGTATTCTGCACACCCATAGGACCAACACCACCTGTAAGCTGCCAAGGCTTGGGGCTTGCACCCTCTGAAGTCATGGAATGAGCTGTACCTTGGCCCCTTTTTAGTCACAGCTAGAGTAGAAGCACCTGGGACACAGGGCACCATGTCCTGAGACTGCATAGAGCAGGAACCCTGGACCTGGCCCAGGAAACTATTTTTCCCTCCTAGGACTCCCAGCCTGTGATGGGATGGTCTGCCATGAATATCTCTGACATGCCTTGAAGACTTTTTCCCCATTGTCTTGGTGATTAACATTCAGCTCCTCATTACTTATGCAAATTTTTGCAGTGGGCTTGAATTTCTCCCCAGAAAATGGGTTTTTATTTTTTATTGCATTGTCAGGCTGCATATTTTCCAAACTTTTATGCTCTGCTTCCATTTTAAACATAAGTTCCAATTCCAAACCACCCCCTCAAGTTCAAAGTTCCACACATCATTATGACAGGAACAAAATGCCACCAGTTTCTTTGCTAAAGCATAACAAGAGTCAGCTTTGCTCCAGTTCCCAACAAGTTCCTCATCTCCGTCTGAGACCACCTCAGCCTGGACTTTATTGTCCATTTCACTATCACCATTTTGGTCAAAGCCATTCAACAAGTCTCTGGGAAGTAACAAACTTTCCAACATTGTCCTGTCTTCCTCTGAGCCTTTCAAATTGTTCCAATCTGCCTGCTACACAGTTCCAAAGTCACTTCCACATTTTTGGGTATCTTTACAGTAGCACCCCATTCTACCAGTAGCAATTTACTGTATCATTCTGTTCTCACGCTGCTAATAAAGACATGCCAGAGATGGGTAATTTATAAAGGAAAGAGGTTTAATTGACTCACAGTTCAGCAAGGCTGGGAGGTCTCAGGAAACATACAAACATGGCAGAAGGGGAAGCAAACACATCCTTCTTCCTATGACAGCAGCCGGGAGAAATGCAGAGTGAAGTGGGGGAAAAGACCCTTAAAAACCATCAGATCTTGTGAGAAATCACTCAGTATCATGAGAACAGCATGGAAGTAACCACCCCCATGATTCCATTATGTCCCAAAGGGTCCCTCCCACGTCATGTGAGTGAGGCTTATGGGAACTACAGTTCAAGATGAGATTTGGGTTGGGACACAGCCAACCCATATCATGACTCAATCAACTCTTAAAGGTCACATCTCTTAATACTGTTACATTGACAATTCTGTTTTCTTTTTCTTTGTTTCTTTTTTTTTTTTTTTTTTTTTTTTTGAGACGGAGTTTTGCTCTTTTTGCCCAGGATGGAGTGCAATGGCACAATCTCGGCTCACTGCAACCTCTGCCTTCGGGGTTCAAACAATTCTCCTGCCTCAGCCTCCCAAGTAGCTGGGATTACAGGCACCTGCCACCACACCCAGCTAATTTTTTGTATTTTTAGTAGAGACGGGGTTTCACCATCTTGTCCAGGATGGTCTTTATCTCTTGACCTCGGGATTCACCTGCCTCGGCCTCCCAAAGTGCTAGGATTACAGCCGTGAGCCACAATTCTGTTTTCAACACGTAAGTTGTGGGGGACACATTCAAACCAGAGCAACTGGCCTTACTTAATAGCTATTCATGATGCTATAGTTTATCATCGATTAGAACATTTTTAGAATTAATTTTTCTTGGGTGTGCAGGCCAGAAATCTGAAAGATACTCTCAATTTTTAATTTTCTTGAAGGACACTTCTAATATACCAGCAAATGCTTGCATCTCCATCTTAAAGCTGTATCTTAACTCCATCCAAGCCTATTCACCTGTACCTCTACTTCCCCTAGTTTAAGACACCATCACTGTTCCTTAGAATTCAGCATCAGCCTACTGTGGACTCCTTGTTGTAATAGTTCCCTCCTGGAAATTTTTTTTTTTCTCTTATTACTTCCATAGTGATTTTTTAAAAAATTATATTAAGAATGCTATTCCCTGTTGGTAATCTCTAGTGGTTTTTCATGACAAATAGAATGAAATCCAAAATCTTCACTATAGTTTTATGGTGTAGCACTTTGCTAGTGCTTTTTTTTTTTTTCTTTTTTAATCACTTTCTGTTCTGTCATTCCTCCCCAGTTGTAATAGAATGTCCTTGCCTTTCCTAAAACAAGAATTTTCCTAACTTTGGGCCTTTGCACTCTCTCTGTCTCTGTCTGTCTGTCTGTCTGTCTCTCTCTCTGTCTCTCCTATTCTTACTATTATTTCATTCAGGCCATTATTAAATTATTATCTTCTCAGAAAGGATTTATGTTACATCATATGTAAATAGTTTCTTCGTCTGTCTGCATCTCTTTTTCTTGATTCATTTTTCTTTAAAGCAACTTTTAATCTAAATTAATATTTTATTTTTTATTTATTCAATTATATTTTGTCTGTAATTTCCATATGGACATTGAATGTTCTGTTTTGTTCACTAGCCTTATCCTCCAGATCTTATCAGTAGGTACACAATAAGTATTTGTAGAATGAATAAATAAATTAACCTTTATCTTCTCAATGATAATTCCAAATCAAATAACTGAATATATATGTATGTGTATATATATGTATACATATATATGTATACATAAATACATATATATTTTGTATATATATGTTATATAGTTTGGTTTATCATTGACAAATAATATGGAATAAAAAGTTACAATTTATACATATATGTGTATATATACATATATGTATACATATATATAAATATCTATGTATATATACACATATATATGTATAAATTGTAACTTTTTGTTCCATATTATTTGTCAATGATAAACCAAACTATATAACCATATAAGCACCATTTATCAATTCATATAATTTTATCATGTTTCCTTTCAATATTTCAAACTAAAACATAACTTATTTGTGTTGCATTTTTCTAATATTTTTAATTATTTTGTTTACTTTTACATGCGATGTCTCAAACTCTGTCTTCCTTAGTATATAGCTGCTATAATTTCATCAGTTTTCTCAAATATATTTTATTTTAATCAAATGGGAAAATGTTCACTTTAGGTTGTTTTTTATAATCCTGTATCTTAGATTTCCAGGCTTTTATTTTGGTTTAAACATTAATCATATACATAAGTGAGGTCCTCAGGTTACCTTCTGACTCCTGTTTTATTGTCTTAGGATTCAAACCCTCTGTCCAAACTTCTTCATTTTGCAGACATTTTTTTCAGGTTCATTTTGACAAAGAGGACGTGAGTAATCTTATTAGAAAGTTCTTCTGAACAACTAGCCATTCCTCTGCATATTCCACATGCTTCTTATGCCCTTGATATGGATACAAGACCCATCACTTTTAAATATGATAGTATTTAAATCACTTCATATCAGCATGCTGTAGTATTTTGTAGCATTGGAAGTTATTCGTTTAGGTAGAAAATGGCACTTGGCCAGTATGCCTAGTGCAGATGCTCCTAACTTCCTTTAAAAATCAACTAAAATATTATTCAAAACCAAAAATGCACATGAAAGCCAATGAGGGAATGTAAATATTTTAATTTTTATATCGCAAGTAAACACATATCATAACAAACAATTTGCTACCAGAATTGATGAGTAAGAATTGGATAACTATATTAAAATTAATAATTAAGGGACTTTCAATACTGCATCCCTGAAATGAAGTATGTACGAAAGCAAGAGGATAAGGAGAAAATTCATAACTCACAAATTCATTGTCCTTAGACCAGAAAGGAAAGATTTATGACAAATAAAAAAAATCAGGTGTTATATCTGGTCCCAATGTTCTGAGTGTCCATTGTACTGCTCTTCTCTTGCTGTCACCTTTTAATATCCATTCAGAAGATGCAACTCCTTGAAAACCAGCAGAATGAATAGTGTGGAAAAGGAGAAAAAAATGTACATCATTACTGGAAGTCAATAGTCCCATAAGTAGGATGTTAGAGGAAATGGATACATATGAAGAACCTGATATTAGCACATATAACAAATACCAATTTTTCATTAGTTTATTGATTCAGACTACTGAAAACCATGGAAGTAGAGTTAGAATATTATCTTCTATCAGCTCAGTAGATCCACAGTAGATAGATGTTTGTCAGCACTTCAGAATCTGATGAGTAATTGTACACATTAACAATGTGCTGGTTGTGAATTAAAAAAAGAAACTCAACCATAATCAAATTATTAATGAATTATTAGAGGCTGATAGTGAACCTGTAGCTCTGCTTCTATCAGCAATGAGACAGTGCCCCATGTCTCTATCAGAGCAATTTCAGAGACATCCATCTAAAACTGAAGATTTAAATAAACTGGTAAAATTACGAAAATAATAGATGGTGATAAGTAATCTATATATATTGTAACAACCATTTAAAAAGCTATACAAAAATATATATTCAAAAACACTACAGAAAAGTTTAAAAATTTTAGAAATTGTTCAAATTGTCCATAGAAATGCAAAAAACTCACCAGAAAAAAAAAAAACAGAGAAAACAAACCAATATTAGATGAAATGCATTAAGCCCAGAGTTTCCAGACATTAGACAGAAGTGTTTCAGGTTTCAATAAAACAGTCACTCATCATGCAAATAATCAGGAAGATCTCAGACTGAAGGACAAAAGAACAAACAAACGAAAAAGCCAATAGATTGCAACACCAAGGTGACAGCATGTTTGCATATCAGAAAAAGATTTTAAAGTAATCATGTTAAAAGTCCTTCAATGAGCAATTATAAATATGCATAAAACAAGTGAGAAAATAGCCTCAGCAAAGAAATAGAAGATGTAGAGAAGAACCAAATGAACTTTTAGAGCTGAAAAAAATAATACTTACAATAAAAAGATCAGTGGATGGGCTTGATAGAAGAATGGAGGCTACAAAGAAAATAATAATGAACTGGAAAGTAGAGGAATAGAAAATACCCAATCTGAAGATAAAAATTACACAGAGTGAATAAAAAACAATAAACAGACACGAAACTGCGTGGAACAATTACATAAGCTATAATATTAATATGTTATTAGAGTTCAGTATATGAGATACAGTGAGATGAAACTGTACAAGGAAAACTAATGACTGAAAACTTTAAATTTGGCAAGACACATAAACCTTTTTATTCAAGAAACTAGGAAAATTCTAAACAAGATAAACCCAAATAAATTCAAGTCAAGATAAATTATAATTAAACTTCTGAAAACTAAAGGTGAAAAATATTTGAAAGCAGCCAGAGCCATACCTACAAGATAGGAAAACAATTTGATGATAGCAGATTTCTCATTATACAACATAGAGTCCCAAAGGAAGTAGTACACTGTTTTTCAGTTTGTGTACGTGTGTTGTGGTGTGTGTGTGTGTGTGTGTGTGTGTGTGTGTGTAAGAGGATGTGAAAGGGGAAGAGCTCTCAACTCAGAACCCTATCTCCAGGGAAAAGATCTTTCAGAAATGAAGGAGAGCAGTATATTCTCAAATAATGGCTAAACAAATTTCTTTAGATGGAAAGGAAATGATAAAGGAAGAAGTGTTGGAACATGAGAGGGGAGAAAGAATATAGAGATATAAAATCCGTGTAAATAAAATAGACTTTTCTTGAGTTTCAAAAATTATGTTTGATGGTTAAAGTGAAAATTATAACAATGTCATATGAATCTAAACACATTTAGAGAAATATTTTATATAATTATATTATTGTCTAAAGGAAAGTAAAGCAATGTAAAGGAGGTAAGGTTCTATACTTCACTTAAACTGGTAAAATTATGACAATAATAGACAGTGATAAGTTATTTATGTATAGTAACTTCTTGAGCAACCATTTAAGAAGCTGTACAAAAAGTTATATTCAAAAACACTACAGAAAAGTCTGTAAATTTTAGAAATTGTTCAAATTATCTATAGAAATGCAAAAAACCCACTAGAAACAAAAAAAAAACAGAGAAAACAAAACAATATTAGATGAAATGCATTAAGCCCTCAAACATAAATGATTACATTAAGTACTAGTTGTCTAATCATATTAATTAAAAGGCAGTGATTGGGAGAATGGATTAAAAGATAAGACCTGACTATATGTAGTATATAGAAAACTCACTTCAAACGTAAGGATATAGGCAGAGTGAAAATAAACAAGTGAAAAAAAAGTTTCATGTGAACAGTAATCAAAGGAAAGCAGGAGTGGCTACACTATCATTAGATAAAGCAGACTTCAGAGCAAATAAACTTACCAGAGGTAGAGAGCAACATGATAAAAAGTCACTCCATGAAGAGGACGAAGACATAGCAAGCTTAAAGTTTGTTGTGTATGTACAAACAACATAGCTGCAATATATGGGAAACTAAATTTATAGAAGTGAAAAGAAAAAGCGAAAAAAACACAAATATATATAACATTATATACTATATTTATATGACATTTATACATATATAAATACATATGGAAAAATTAATGTATCTCTCTCATCAATTGAAGAAACGTCTATCCCTAAACCAGCAAGAATATAGAAGAAAACAACATCAACTTAAAGTATTAAATTGTCATTTGTAGGGTAACTCACCAAATTCAGAATAAATATTCTTTTGAGTTGCCCACAAAACTTATATCAAAATTAACTGTACTATGAGCCATGAAATAAAGTTCAACAAACTTAAAAGTCTGTCTTTGAATGCTTTAAAAGCAAAAGAAGATTTGAATCAACAGATAAACCTATCATGTTTTTAAATGGAAAGATTAGATACTACAAACATAAAAATTCTTCCCACATCATATAAAAGTGAGTTCAAAATTTTAACCAAAATTCAGTCAATTTTTGTTTATTTTGCTTTTTAAGGACTTGAATACACGCTTTTGAATTTCATCTGGAGAGTGTGATGGTCACAGAAAATGTTCATAAATAACATGGACTTTCTGTCAAAAGAAGTTGGATTCTCATTCTGACATCACAACTTATTTCTGGTAGTTTTAGAGACACCAATCCTTTCTAGGTTTGTTCTATACAATATCTATAATTGGAATAATCAGTTATAATTTACAGTGCATTTGTGAGAATTAAGCTTGTAGAGAAAACATTTAGCACCTACAGTTAGCACCAATAAGTAGAAGAATTTACTTCCGATTTTTTTCCAAATTGAAAAAACAGCTACTAGATTTTAAAAGAAATTCAAGAAATTGTTGCCCTTAGGATAAAGACTAAAATTTGTACTTGGCTCATCTATAGCCCGAAGTTTTGGAAATGTATGTCATGGATTTTTCAATGCTCAAATGTAAAGCGTGTAGCAAAGATGTGACCTCTCACTTCTGCTTCAGAAGAGAATGTTAGTGTATTATCTAACAAACTCTATTCAGCATAATTTTTGGCAAAAATATCTTCAGCAAATTTTTTAAGACATTTTCATCATTAAATCTTGATTTAGACTGCCTTGGAAATGCATACGTACTGTCTTGTGAATGCTTTCGCAGAAGATATGGAATGTGGATTGAGAGGATAATGCATTTCCTATCATGCTGGAAAAATTAAAAGGCCATGAGTGACAAATTGATAGAATTGGTGCAGTGCAGCATGGGTGAAACATTTCACAAGATTGTGCTTTAAAATCAAACATCTTAAATCTAGGCAATATACTGTCAAACCAATGCCTTGGCAGGTTAGATTTTCCTTCATGCTAGTGGAAAGGGGATCTACCAGTCCTGGAAACGTGGGCTTAAAGAAATGATACTTAGTCAAGAGAGGAAATAATTTTCTCAATTTGTGAAACTAAGAAATAGAAAGCCCTGAAAAATTTAAAAGGCTGATCAAGATTGTTGGGGGACAGGGTGAAAGGAGAACAAGGTGAGTCAGGGAACTGATCTGGTGAGAATGTGGCCAGAACTATGTGACAGTATTTTGTCATTCTACTTCAATAAATGAAAAACTCTGTAAAGTTTTACTGTTTCAATCAGTTCTCTGTTAGCCTGTGGGAAATCGGAGATGGATGTAATATACAACCTTTATTGAGTCTGTTGAGACCTTCTATTGCCTATGTTTGGAAAATGTGCTTTCAGTCACTAAACAAGTGATTTCAACTGGTGTTACCAAGTTCCTTGCCTCACTCCAATCTTGCACACATTTGACTGATAAAAGCATGGATACCACAGGTCGCTTTAATTCTTTATCCCTAGCCACAGATGATAGGTAAGAGGGATAAATCAATCCATATGAGACCACTGGAATTTATAGGTAAGTTATTTTAACTTGAGTCCAATCCCATTCTGGCACTAGTCATAATGATATGACATAGAATCTTTACTCTTATTTCAATATTTTAAAATATGTTTCCTCTGTTGAAATTATAAAAACTATATGATATAATATGTTAACAAATGGAGAAACTTAGACACAGCTAGTAAGGGGCAGAGTGGGCTGGAATTCAGCGGTCTTTACTCTTAATTTAGTCTTTTTTGAAAACTCATACTGCTTCTCGACAGAAAATAAGAAATATATTTTAAAAATAAAAGTAAAACCCTAAGACTGTTTTGTATTTGTTTGAAATTTGGAAAAGAAAGGCATAAACTTATTTCTTATCTTGTGCTAGGCCTATTTAATCATTTTTAGAACAGAGTTATTTCTCTCCTTAACCCCTTGCCTGTTGCTAAAATAGAAATTGGTACCTGGAAGGTTATCAGTCTAGTGCTGAACCGTGACATTTCTGTATGTTCATTTAGGATACATCAATTTATGTAGATACATTAGACACTTCTGCCACAGCTCAGACAAAGTTATTAGTATGTTCTGAAAAACTGAACATCTCGGCCCAAATAGATTGTCTTAAAGTACATGAAAGATTCTGAGGAAAACTTTTGAAAGTCATAAGTACTGATTAGACATTATCAGTGTTAAGACTTAACTATAGAGAAACCAGATGTAGAGTTTGGTAAGGGAGAAAAGGAATGAAAGGAAAAAGAGGAAGTGGAAACTCCCAAATAAATCCTTATTATCTGAGGAAATGAATTAAAAGAGAGGAAATTTTTCAGGCTATATTCAATAGCAGTAATTGGAACTCATAAAGCAGAGGGACCGTTCATTGTTGGTTACGGAAAAGCTATGTTATAATGTGCTCTGAAGTTGGACTGTACCTTCTTTCTCTTTGCTTTATTTTTTGATTTAGTACATAGTTTCTCTATGATACTGCCCCTCTGTTGTGTGCATTTGACCAAGGGCGTCCTGCGAAGGCTCAGCTCCGTCATCGGAGTCCCTGGATTTGTGAGTCGTGCGGTGACTTCTTTCTGTGATGCATTTAACATCTCTTTCCCTTTCCTCACCTTCCTTAACATGAACCCAATTAAGGGAACTTTTTGCTTAATACAGAAAGATTGGGCTTGTTCTGAAGCCTGCATTCTGTCTAAGCGCTGGTGGTATTACTTTAGCATGTCTAACTCGTACAAAAAATAGAATTCTCTCCTCACAAAGGTGTTAGGAGAATTAATTAATGTTTATGAAGCACCTCAGATCCTTGGATGAAAGACCCCTGAAGAATTATCTCATTTGAATGTGGTATTATTGCATCATCTGATCTTGCGGTGAAGCAGAAAGATAAAAACAGTCCTTGCAAGTACAGTAACCCTGCTTTAATTCTGGGAAGGAGGTGTACTCAGTTTAGGGTCTGGGAAAAGGCATCTGCTAAATATTTTCAGGGACTGTAAGGCCTCTTACAAAGTCTTGAACTGCGCAATTTTCTTTAACAAGAAAATTTTCCATTCATATGCTCTTTATTTCATTGGTTGAGACCCTAATTCTTCTAGAAATATGAAGACCAAGGACCTACACTTTTTTGCTTCTCTTTCAAAATTTGATAGCAAAATAGTATTAGCAATTCAGGTACAAGTATAAATAATTGGTAAAACTTAAACTGGTACTTTTAGTGCAAGTACCAGTTCACATCATAACGTCCATACTCAAAAGAAAAAAAAATAAACAGTTCAATGGAGGAATTCTCAAATTAGGGAATTAAAGAGCATTTTGATTAGTTAAAGCGGTTTTGCTGCCCTTCCTAAATTCATAATAAGTTGTCTCACACTGCATAAAAACAAGTCAGAATTTTGGTGGCTAAATATTAATTGGAATTTAAAGTTTTCCTCTCCTGGAACAATGATTTTCACTATGCTAGGCTCTCTTATTTCAAGTCATAGGAATGGCATCTGCTTTATATTGGCAAAGTTTGTTTACTCACAGTACTTTCATGAATGAAAAAGAATAAAAATAAATTTATTAATAGTATTAGAAATTAAAGTGACACAGGAATTTGCTCAGTCGCTTTGCCAGCCAGGACCTCTGGCTGGCGACGCACCTTGCCTTGCTGCTGGAGGCGCCCCACCCACTCGACCCCCCTGGCTAAGTCTAGCTGGCACACCGGCTCAGCCCACGGCTGGGCCAGGCGCAGGCGCAGGCGCACCCAGCCTGTATTATAGCTTGTACCCTTGTTTGGTAGTTCCTGAGCTCTTGTTCTGTGTCCAAGAAGAATAAGGATACTCTGATAGTTGAAGGGTGAGGATGGGCAGAGAAGAATTCGAGTGGACCAGCTCTCAGTGGTGAGGGACGTGGGGTGCTGTGAGTGGGGGTGGGTTGGGGTTCCCCCACCCCTACAGTCAGATAGTTTTTCTCTGTGTGGCTGGGTCCAGGGCTTTTTATGGACTCAGAATGGGGAGTGTGTGCTGATTGGTTTGTGAGTATGCAAGAAAGTTTAAAGTGAAGACAACCACTCAAAGGTGGGCATGACTGTAGTAAACTAACTAGGAAAGGATAGGTATATGTAAAATAGGTGAACGGTGGGGATCAATCAGAGGAAAAGTGTGCCAAACAGGAAGACAGTTTCTCAATCTGGTGAGAGGATTTAACTTGTAGGTTGGCTTTCAGGCTTTAAACTGTCTTCGGCTTGGAGGTGGGATTTCGCATGGGATCCACCTCTATCTTCCTAGGCATTTGACTGCCTCCTGCCACTATCAAAAGTAGCATAATAAGTTCATTATTATATCTCAAGGATTGTAAGATAAAATTTAAGCTCATCATCAACACTATCTCATTTAATTATCATGCTAATCTGAGAAGTAATTTTTCCTATTTTACAGATGAAGAAATTATAGCACAAAAATATGGAGAAAGTTGCCAAATATTACAGGTGGGAGGTGGTAGAGGCAATATTCAAATCAGGCTATTTGACTTCATATTCCCTACAAATACAGTGGGGCTGTGTAGCATCATGAAGTTTTATTCAATAACTGAGTGTGAGAAATTATAAGCCATTTGTAAAGATATGACTCTTGAGAAATGCATATTTAAACAAAATATGGAAAAAGAAAATGCATTACTGTTCTCCCTTTAGTCAGTGGTATACCTCTCTGCCTTTCAAATATATTGGTCTCTATGAAGTAATAGCATGGCTTTTCTCCAAATGAGAATTTAGGGCTAACAGCAGGACAGGCTGTGAGCCCGCAGACAAAAGAGAACTGTTCATGCTTGTTTTTTATTTGGGCCTGTTCCATCTTAGCCAGACAAAATCATGTCCTTGGATTTCTATTTGAAGAACTCACAGTTGGCATTCTGTTATCGATTGTCTGGAGAAGTTTGGTGATCTCCCCACAAGGAATCCTAGGGCTGGACTTGTGACCTTGTCACAAAGACTAAGCCTTGTGCTTCCCCTGAAACAAAAATAAACAGATGTGTCTCCCCTGGTTAAATGGGGTGTAAAACAGCACTTAGGCTTGTCACTGTTCTTCCCAGTATTCGTCAGCATCACACTGTTAAATAGTGTGCTCCCAACTCAAGCAGCTGCCGTCAAGGTAGGAGGTGACAGGCTCTTGGATGGCAAGATGTGTTTTCAGATGGGAGTAGTCAAGGCACCAATATGAACAACCTGTAGGAGGATTTATCCATGGGACTCTTATTTTCAGGGTAATGAGACACAGGAAAGGGCCCACCTCTGTGGACTGGCATCCAAGAATGAGAGTCTAGCAGTGAGATTATACCTAAATAAATCTGTAATTTCTGAAAGAATTTGGGAAACTTGCTTGACTTCCCCATAGATCTACTTATCACATGGTGATAAACCAAGATTACTTCAGAAGCTTGTGTGGCACTGGAGACATGGGTAGCAAAATTGCCAAAGTGATCAGTAGCAGAATGGGGTGTCTGACCTCATGCAGTCCCATCCCTTTGGCTTTCTTGCCACAAGCTTAGGGAGGGTTATTCTGATCCTGTTTTTGGACAGAAGCCCAAGGAGACACTGCCCTCACGTCTGAGAAGGACTAACAATCAGAGAAGGAGGTGGGGGGAGGGAAATGCCTTCATTTCAGTCCTTTATGAGTTTTGGTTACGTGCACCAATACAAAATAAAGTCTAGGAAGTTACCTGCGGAACAT
Source organism: Homo sapiens (assembly GCF_000001405.40). Lineage (NCBI taxonomy): Eukaryota > Metazoa > Chordata > Mammalia > Primates > Hominidae > Homo > Homo sapiens. The sequence continues at coordinate 40,880,648 of NC_000018.10, read as the reverse complement.
GATCAGTGAGAACAACCCCTTGTCACAATTCTATAGCTTCTGTGCCTTGCATTAACTATTATGAAGATTTCCATTGATTGAATTTGCCAGAAAATTTAGAGATATCTATTGCAGTATGTGCTGCATGATGATAGGTTTAAGACGCTAATTAGTGATAACAGTTTTTCAGTAGTTAAAATGTCAAGGTTGAAATTCTTAAATTCTCTATAGGTATCCCAACTATGTTCAAGCTTTTGCCAATAAAAGATCAATCTTTCAAAACTTCTTTTCTCGGGCATGGTGGAAGTATGGAAGAAAATAAATATAGAATATGGTCGTTGAAATAAAGGAACTTACAATGTCGTTGGGGATAAACTGCACAATAATATTAAGAAATAAGTAAGGATGGAAGAGAAAAGGAAACAATATAAATAATACTTATCCTAGGCCACAGAGCACAGTGGTTCAGAATTTGGATTCAAGTAGTGTTAATAACACAGCAATAAAGGCTTACTACTTGCTATGTATTCTTATGCAAATTACTTTTAGCCAATGTTTTTTTATCTGCAAAGTGAACATAATAGCCTCTAAGAAATAGGGCTATTGTGAGGATTACATGAAACAATGCAAAAAATCATTGACAAGTACCTGGCCCGTGGTACATATTAAGCTCATATACAATATTATGGGCATTAGTATTACTTTTATTTCACCTTAGATGAATTATAGGTAAATGGTCCTATAACACTGAGAACAAAATAATACTTGAAAAGCTTACTGATGTTATCTGTGCCATTTAAAACTTAGGTTCAGATAGTAATAACAAATCATTTTACATATGCCTCTACCTCAATCTGGATACTTAATTTCCAACTCATGTCAATTCTTGCTTATATATGTTTCTATTTCAGACACAAATACAGAAATATACACACATAGACATACTGAATTGTTACCTGATGGTGGTATCTAAAACTTTACCCTTTATTATTTAGCTTATACATATTTTCTACTCTACCTATAAGGATCATGTGTTGACATGCATTGTCAATACAGTGGGAAAACAAGAAAATGTGTTGTTGAATTATTTTCCTTCTCTCCAATCTTACTGCTAACACCCTAGTTCCTGTTTCCGTCATCTTTAACCATGCTATGACAGTGACTCCCTTTCTGATTGTCCTCCATATAGTGATTTTGGTGGAAACTATTAATTGCAACTCCATATAACGCAACAGTCTTGGAAGACATAGACCATGAGTTACTCACTTTATTTTTATTTATTTATTTATTTATTTATTTTGAGACAGAGTCTCGCTCTGTCACCCAGGCTGGAGAGCAGTGGCGTGATCTCGGCTCACTGTAACCTCTGCCTCCCGGGTTCAAGCGATTCTCCTGCCTCGGCCTCTCGAGTAGCTGGGACTACAGGCACGCATTACCAAGCCCAGCTAATTTTTTTGTATTTTTAGTAGAGACGGGATTTCACCATGTTGACCAGGACGGGAGTTACTCACTTTAAATAATCTTTCACACAATTCTAGCACGGGATATTGCATTTGTCTATCTCTGTCTCTCTCTCCTTTATCTGAATAAAATAAATAAAAGAAAATGGGAAGTATTTTCTCATCAAGTTAGAATATTTTCCCAAAAGATGACAGATGACAGGGCATATGTAAATTCACAGTCTCACACTTAAAGTGAGTTTCCGTTTTGAAGTTCTCATTTTTTAAAAATTAAAAATTTCCACCTCACAGAAGTTGATCAGTAAAAATTTATTTTCCCTAACTATGTTTAAATTCCTTTGAAAATGAAATGAAATGAAAATACTCAAAAGAATTACATTACATTAACTTTGAATGAGAAATAATCAAGATTTCACTACTTTTTTCCTCGTATAAAGTGCCTGTTATACTGTTGAATATCAGGGTCTGGAATGCCTTGCTGCCAAAATGCAAACAGATGTAGGAGGGCACCTTGGGAACCATAGATTATTGAGTGTGGCTGAAGAACTATTTTCACACCTCTCTCAGCCCTGTCTTCACCTGTTTATGCAGGAAACAGACCTGTGGATTTTAGTTAATCTGGTTCCATGCCAATGGATTCCCAGTGGCTCCAGACAACTGCTTTCTCATTCGAAGCACTGTTCTTTATCTTCCAGATTTTGGCTGACAGTTGCTCATTTTTGGCTGCTGGCAGGATATCAGAGGCCTCTTGGCTATGGGTTGTCTTAGTTTAAGAAAAGTTTGAAAAAGTTTATTATTTCCTGTACATACATCTTCAGGAAAAATAATTAGAAATAAGGGTGCCATTATTTTAAATAAGGGAGGGACTTCGATGTAGTCACTCAGAAAGCTAGGCAGACATTTGGTTCTCCCCATGTTCGAAGGTGAGGAGGGAAAGCAGACACCTAGGCATATGTCCATGACCATCAATTAACAAAACCATACAATGTGACAGCATCTAAACCATGTCTTGTAACTAATGATTTCCATACTCACTAAATAGTCAAGTGCTCTGACAATCCCAGGTTAGTGTATTAAGTTATAATTTTACTTGTGTTGAAATCTAATACATAAAGGAGAATGAGCTATGAACTCGTATGAAGCTGAAAACTCTCAAACTTTGATGCTTTATCTATCGGTTATAGTGAATAGGAGCTAACAATACACTGTATAAAAATATAGGCCAAATTCAACATCTCTGTTTTTCATATCTTCCCTGGCATAAGAAACAGGGCAGCTGCTTTCCATGGAGTGTGGCAAATAGTACCACAAGGGCTCAGTTTATCTCACCTCTGGTGTTTTATTCCAGACAGGTGATGTGACATTTGTAGGACAGATGTCCACATTCACTGTTAGAGACTCTCTTTGGATGAAAAGAATATGAATAATGAGGCACATAGTTTCTTTCTCTTTTTCCATTTCAGTAGAGTGAGAATATCTCTGAAGAAACAAACAAAAAATGCTGCTAGACATTCATAACTAAAGCTTTAGATTTGACGGTGAACTATGTTTTAATATTTCTTGTAAGTATATCTTCAGGCTTTAAGGGACATCCCGTGGGTGGGGAAAGGAAGAGGGAGGATAAGTTGTGTAAGAGAAGATTTAAGAATTTTTTTCTTAATGCTCATGTGTGAAGACCAAATTGATGAAGTGTCAAGAGGTTACAAGAACAAGATCAAACATCTCCCAGGACCAAAGGTTAAGATTGTGAGCATCTTGATAATGTTATTTTGCCATTTTTCCCTTTATCACAGATAATTGCCTTAGGGAATGTGGCTCAGGAAGTCGTATTCATATTGTCACTTCCGACATTGTTGGAAACCACTTCCCCCAGTTTGAACCAGACTTGGATTTAAAACTTCGCCGTACTCTCTGAACATTGGAGGTAATACCTCAGCAAAATAAAATATTTAACATTCTGTGGTTATGACTGTGTCTTAGGGAATTGCTGTATGTTATGGCCTGCCTACCCTTAAAAGGCAATGTCTTCAGAGCATGTTGAAAGCCTGGAAGTAGAGCATCAAGGTCGTTGAAAGAATATCAAGAAGCCTAGACCAGAGATCAGCACACTTTTTTTTTGTTTGTGGTGACCCATACAATCTCTGGGATACCTATTCAACTCTGTTGCAGCACAAAAGCAGCATTTAGTAATACATAACACATGGCCATCACTGAACTCCAACAAACTTTATTTATAAAAATATATAGCCAACAGAATATAGCATGATGGCTACAGTTTGTGAATCCTAGGTCTAGACTCCTGCCCACAGTGTGTTTGTAGTACAATTAGGCAGGCATGGAAGCATGTAAAGAGAAAAAAGCAAAAGCATAAGGAAAAAGAAACCTTCGGTATAGATAATAAGATGTGCAAAAGTTCAGCGAAGCAAGCAATATTTGAGAATAATAATAATAATAATAATGTCATACAGAAGCCACTGGATAGAACGAGTGGTGTGCACTTAAGTTCTGTAATCCTAAAACATACTTTCATTTTAGGTTCTTCTCTGAAGTAGACCTCTTTTCCTGGTAACTATTCCTCATTAACAAAGGAGGGTACATTTGTATTTAGAAGAGGTAGGAGAAGATGGGCTAGAAGATAGATATAGAAAATCGAGGACTTCTAAAATTTAAGTTGATGTTTACATAAACTTTAAAGTACTTTAATATGAAGGTTGTGTAATTGTCATTTTCTCCACTTTGCCCATTTCATATCAAGTCTTGGGTGTCTCAAAGTTTGATGTTGTGTTGTTTAAGAAAAATATGTATGATGATTTCTGGAAATATTTTGGCTTTCTGTTTTCATTACTGGCAAACGTGGAATTCTTTTTAAACTAAAAATCAAACTTATAGCTCCAAGCAAATATTGTGGCCAGACACATTTATTTTTGATAAAAAATGAATGTCAATTTAATTGCAAATGAGGTACTCTCCTTAGACTCCTGGCAAATTGCAATCCTGACCCTCAGTGCTGGAAGTTTTGGGGTTTTTGTGCTTGATTTTCCTGACCTGGCTTAGAAAATAATGTCCCAAGTTCCACCCAGCAATATTTAAAAACATATCCTATGCAGATTGTTTTATGGAGATGTGAATAAAAATGAATTGAAAATGTCTCACAGCAGCTGTATTCTCTCATTCAGAGCAACCAAAGATATCAGAGATACTGCACAAAAGCAGAGGGCTTGGCCATTGTCCTTATTGGGGAGCTAAGTTTCCCATCATGGAAGTTTCTTTTCCTTAATGTGATCGAGATGGGTCTCTTGGGGTCAAAGTTGAAGTACGTTAGTGAAAGATTCAAACCTATCTTCTGCCCATTTATATTTAACCTGTCCACAAAAGATAAAAAGATTTTAGTCTATGGTATGCTGACTCATTCTCATTCTCTTTCTCTCCATGAACACTGAGTTTATTTGCAGCAGTATGATTTTCCTACTCAAAAACTGCGTCCTCATTGTCATTTAAATGTTAAAAAGGGAAACCAGATGCTATAGTTATTAACTTTTGGAATCAACTATAAGCTTCCTATTAAATTCTTCCATCCAGGTATGGGCAATTATTTGCTTGATCTAAAGGTGCAGAAAATGCAGGCACACAGGGTTTCAGAAAGTCCAGTTTAATAAGACAGGTGGGTAACTAATAATGTGGAAAATTACCTGCAGATTGAGGATATTGGGAATGACTAATGGCCAAAACTAAGTGAGTAAATTAGTTGCAAAATGATACCATTTGCAGTAGTTCTGTGAACGGGGGACGGGAAAGCACAGTGGCATGTGGCAGTGAGTGGAGCTGAGCAGAGTTTGAATGCGGCCCAGAGTCAGGAAAGCTTGCCATTAACTTATGCCTCTCCCCCTAACCCCCACTCCTTCAACCCAACTAGCCTCAGGCTCGTATTTATTTATTTTTGCCCATTTGGCATAATCTGTGCTGTGAGTGTAAGGTTTAATAGTGCAGGCTCTGGAGTCTAGTTAGCTTTGTGATGTCTAACACAAAGTCACTACCAAGGGGAAAGCCATCAGTTACAAAAACTTGAATTTGTTTTACAAACCCAGTAGATTTCAGACAATTAAACATGACCAATATTTGTAGAAAGGGGCAAAAGATGGGCTTTGGAAAAAATCAAAACAGGTTTAATTGTTGCTAATTAGTAAGGTGCTGGCATTAACCTCTTAGACAAAGTTGTTGAACAAATATAACATGAAACACCTTTGGTTGAAAAATATTTTGAATTGACATTCTGAGAGTAAGTAAAGTCTTACAATTGATAGATTTGGGTTATGTGCTGGTGTTTCTTTTTTCTTCAACCTATGTGCTGTAAATAAATTAATGACATGTTTTGCATTCTATGATCCCTTAAAATAGATAAGACATACATCTTATTAATAGTGGGCCGAGTCTAGAACAAATTTGCAGAAGTATCCCCCCCCTTTTTTTCCCCAGAATTTATTTGAGATATCATCTAGTACTAGCAGCACTAGCAGTTCAAAGCTGGTAATACATGCCATTTCAGTCCATTGTCTAAACTTGCCACAGGGAACGACAATCTAGTCAATTTTAACCAATAATATTATTATTATCCATTCTATAAACTGTGTAAATATGAGAAGTACTTCTCAGATTTAATGCCTAACTACTGAAGTGGTAGTTATCTGGAGGAAATGGTGAGTAACTACTGATTGTTTTCCCTAGCAATCTTTTAGTGAAATATTTATTAATACATGCCCAGCCCTGTGTGTGGTACTATAACAGGTTTAAGAGAAGCACAAGGCAAGATTTCTGCCCACTAAATATTTATAAAACTCACATGCCCAATTGCATAAGTGTTTTATGAAGTGCTGCATTGTGTAATACATTTCCTTACGCTACACAATAGGAGACAAAACTTCTCCATAGCTAATGTGAAGCTATGAAGCACATACTTTCTTTATACTCTCACTATCAAAAAATATTTTTAGCACTTTCTGTGTAAAGCTGAGAAATTATCTTATATCCGGGCCACAGAATATATACACATATATTTTGGCACTCTAACCTAACTGATTTAAGGCTCCCCATATTGACTTTACAGTAGACACCAAACTCTTTTCCTAGGTCATTTGGTCTATCTACCTAATAAAAGGGCCATGCCGCTTTCTGAGTGTTTGATAATTAAATTATTTATGTACTTTTGCAAAATGTCATGAAATACCTCGTATCAAAAACCTAAAAGCCATAAATTAGCTCCCCTTTTCACTTTCCCTCTACATCAATGGTGATGTAGATGGGCAAAGAGGAAAAGATGTCTTTTGCTTAATTCTTCTCTTTTGTATTTTTACAGTTATGTACAAAGGTATAGTACTAGAAGATTGGAGGCTGAATGAACAAAAAATCCTAGGCCTTCTGCAGCTGAGCATGGGCAACTCAGTTTGGTAGGGCAGTTTTAACCATGGCAATGAGCATGACATGAAGTAAAACTGCAAATTCTTTAGTGATTATTAAATAGAATATAATAACTTTAATACATACCTGCTTAAGACCGCACTGCTATGCAAATATAGCCATGTGACAAAATTGCACTTGCAACCCTTAAATTTAGACAATAAAAATGAACAATTAAATAATAAAACATACTTGCTAGTCCACCCATTTGTTATGAATTCAAAATCTTTCCCTTTGTAGTATATATGCTATAGGGTTGTAAAGAGCAGAGAAAGGTAAAAAGTAACTCACATTTGTAAAATTCTTAAATTTGTTAAAGGACTTTGATCTTATCTAGTTTTTAACTTTTAATGGTTGAATTCATAATTTTCTATCCAAAGCAGTCCCTTTGCTTGCCATTATTCCTGGTTATAGTTATTTATGCTTATGAACAGAAAACTATCTTGCTTAGTTATCAAGTTCTATTTATTCTACTTGTACAATGTCTCTTGCATCTAAAACTTTGTTTTAATTTCAATTGTCTTTATTATTTTACTATAAAAATGTCTTGAATCTTCTTCCATCATTTATTTACATATTTAAATAACTCTATAATCAATATTTCTAGAACTCATTTGCAGCAATATGATTTTTCGACTCAAAAACTGTATTCTCATTGTCTAAAAAATAAAGTTCACATTACTATCCAATTGCTCAAAGTTGATGAAATTAATCTTTCAGGAAATATCTTTTCATCATTCTTTATCTGTACAATCTGGTTGAGAATGAAAAGTTATATATATATATAATATATTTATATATAATATATATAACTTTTATATATATATAACTTTTAAAATATATATATATAAATATCTTTTCATCATTCTTTATCTGTACAATCTGGTTGAGAATGAAAAGTTATATATATTATATGTTATATTATATATTATATTATTATATATGATATGTTATATATATATACAATATGTTATATATATGTTATATATTATATATAACATATATATAATATGTTATATATAATATATAACATATATATAATGTTATATATTATATAATATGCTATATATAATATGCTATATATAATATGTTATATATGCTATATATAATGTTATATATGTTATATGTAACATGTTATATATAATGTGTTGTATATGTTATATATATGTTATGTATAATATCATATATATAATATGCTATGTATATAATATCTTATATATTATATATGCTATATATATTATATATTATATATAATATGCTATGTATATAATATCTTATGTATTATATATAATATGTTAAGTATAGAATATCTGATGTATTATATATAATATGTTATGTATAGAATATCTTATATATTATATAATATGCTATGTATATAATATCTTATATATTATATATGTTATGTATATAATATATATTATATATGTTATGTATATAATATCTTACATTATATATAATATGTTATGTTTATACTATGTTATATATTATATAATATGTTATATATCATAAGTTATATATTATATATGTTATATATCATATATTATATGATGTCATATATCATATGTTATACAATATGTTATATATCGTATGTTATATGATATGTTATATATTGTATGTTATATAGTATATAATATGTTATATATCATATGTTATATATTATATATAATATATTTTATATATATGTATATATATTCTCTTTTCTACCTCCCTTTACTCTTTTTCTCTTTCTCTTTCTGGAACATCTATGTTGTGGGTCTATCTTATAGTTTCCACAGAAATAGTGGCTGCCACTAAATGTTGCCTCTTCCTTTACCTGACACTGGCTGATTTAAACATGCACATGTATTATTTCTCCAATTCCAAGTAAGTAAGTCAGGGTTAGGAGACAGCAGAGTCTGGAATTGTCTGTTGCTTTTGTAACTTTCGTTAGTATTATAAACCAAATGGGATTTAGGAGAATATAGCTAGTTAGGATGGCATACATCCTACAGGTGGGGCACAGAGAAGCTCTCTGCCACTGTCCCAGATTTCTACCTATATAGCTTCCCTTCTTGAGATGAAATGATATTTCAGCACAGTAAATGAATGGATTATATTATGACAAACCATCGATTTCAGCCAGAAAAAAAAAAATGGTTTGCAAAGAAGAATGTGAGATTTCAGAATTAATGGGACTTACTAACTCAATTGCAGGAGACATGGCACAATGAAGTGGGGTCCCTGCAAAGAAGAGATAGGAAGTGGGAGGCAGAACAAAGAGGGTCCCATGCACATGTAGGAAGCAAAATCCAAGTGAAATAAGAGGAAGCTGATGGGGATAGTAATCGACTATTTATTTTAAACACCATTGGACTTTCAAAGATTTCTCTGTGAGTTATGTCTTAAATGGGGTTCTTTACAGTGCCTGACACTGTGGGACTGTTGTGGACACTTTACATAGACAGGATTGACCCACACACAAAATTTGATTTGGCTGTCTGATGACAGCACACACACACAACAAACACACACATACACGCACACACTCTCTAAAAGTGTATGCAACATAGCGAAACTCCATCTCTATTAAAAATACAAAAATTAGCTGGGCATGGTGGTGCGCACCTGTAGTCCCAGCTATTCAGGAGGCTAAGGCAGGAGAATTACTTGAACCTGGGAGGCAGAGGTTGCAGTGAGCCCAGATCATGCCACTGCACTGCAGCCTGGGCAACAGAGTAAGACTCTGTCTCAAAAAAAAAAAAAGTATGCAAACATTTATTTCTCATGAAATGGGGCTTTCTTGGGGACAGCAGGTGATCTCCCAAGCAGATCTGAAAAGAGACTAAGAGACCAAGGAAAGGAGGCTGACTGGGGTTTTTATGTTGCTTATGGGATGTAGCCAGTGTGAAGTTTCACACACATGTGTAGGGTCTTGCATGGTTTGAACTTCCCAGCTGTGCCAAAGAAAAAGGCACCCAGATTTTTATATCAGCTTGCTGAGACGGGAAGCACAAGGGGAAAGGTGAAGGGTGAGGATTAATGGCTGTCAGCAGGCTAGCATCAAAAGAATCAAGTCAGGTTCTCTATTATAGGGACAAAACTGCCTGGCAGTGGAATATTCAAGTGGGGAGGGTGGTGATGGAAATGGCTCACTCCAATGGGAGGAATAATTTTATCATTGATATTGTTTAAAATTGCTGGTGCATGGTGATAATAAAAAGTTGATAATTACATATCAACTTGTAATTAGGCTTTATTATTTTTTAAAATGTCTACCGACAAAGCATCCTATTAGTATCTGGAGCTACAAAATACAGCTCCCATGGCACCCTCCCCAACCCACCTTGGTATACTTCATGCAGCTAGAGAAACATAGAATCTCTGTTTCTTGCATACTAGTAAAACACTTTTCTATTATAAAGAAGGCCTGACACTCAGAATAGGTTCCTGATCTTACAAGCCTATTCCCCATGGAAAAATATAGGGTGGGATTTTATCCTGAATCCAAAAAGAAAATGCCAGATGGTTTGGGTTTGTAGAAGGGGGTTGCATAGGATTGGGATAAGCATTTGAAATAGGTCTTGCACACTGCTACAAAAGCATTCGTCTTCCATTTACATAGAGGTGGTATTCTCCACTTCCCAAGTCCCACAGAATTTTATTTCTGTCTTGTGACAGTTGTCATACTTTGAGTTGCATTATAGTTATTTTTGTGCTTTTTAATTTTTCCATAAAGTTTTTATTTTGGAATAATTTTACATTTCCAGATATGTTCCAAATATATTACAGAAAGTTTTCGTATAACCCTCATCCAATGCCTCCTAATGTTAGTATGTGACATTACCATAGCACACTTTTTGAAACTAGAAAACCAGTATTAGTATATTTCTTGAAGCTACAGGCTTTATTTGGATTTCAACAGTTTTTTCTTACTAATTTTTTTTCTGTTCCAAAATCTAGTATACCACATTGCATTTAGTCATCACATCTTCTTAGTCTCCCGGATCTGCAACAGATTTTCTGTTTTTCCTTGTTTTTCATAACCTTGACAAATTGAGGAGTACTGGTAAGATGCTTTTTAGAATGTTCCTCAATTTGGGTTTCCTGATATTCTCATGGTTATTCTGGAGTTATGAATTTGGGAGAGATAGAACAGAAAAAAATATGCTATTTTTATCATAACCTGTCAGGAAGAGCTAGGCTTTCTTGCCTTTTTATTTATTTTTAATATGTCTTCTGTAGGATCATACAAAAATTCTTTGAGGTGAGGGAAAAAAAATCTTACTAATTTTTATATCCTTCTATGATAGTTAATAAAATTTTTTCAACATACAGTAGTCCTCTCTTATCTGTGAGAAATGCTCCAAGAACCTCAGTGGATGCCTGAAACTGTGCATAGTACCAAACCCTATATGTGTTATGTTTTTTTTCCCATGCAGTCATGTGCAACATAAGGACTTTTCAGTCAATGAAGTACTACATATACCACAGTGGGCCCATAAGATTATAATACCGTATTTTCACTATGGAATAGTATGCAGCTATAAAAAGAAGAATACAATCATGTCCTTTGGGGCAACATGGATGGAGTTAGAGGACATTATCCCTAATAGAATAACTCAGAAACAGGAAATCAAAGGCCACATGTTCTCCTCATAAGTGGGAGCTAAAAGGCCACATGTTCTCCTCATAAGTGGGAGCTAAACAATGGGTACACATGAACATAAAGATGGAAATACTAGGGGACTGGAGACTGTAAAATGGGGGAGGGTAAAAAGGAGATGAGGGTTAAAAAATTACTTACTGGTACCAGGTTGATTATCTGGATAATGGGAAAACTAGAAGTCCAATCCCCAAGAGTACACAATATACTCATGTATCAAACATGCACATTACTCCCTGAATCTAAAATAAAATAAAAATTTTGAAGAAGTTTACAATACTACATTTTTACTGTACTTTATGTATATTTAGATAAATTTATATACACAATTACTTATCATTGTGTTACAGTTTCCTACAGTATTCAGTACAGTAACATTCTGTCCAGATTTGTAGCCTAGAAGCAATAGTATACCAGCCTAGGTGTGTCATAGAGTACACCAGCTAGGTTTCAGTACAATCTATAACGTTCCCACAAGAACAGAATTGCATAATCACATGTTTCTATGAACATATCACCATTGTTAAGCTTCATCATTAAAATTAAGAGTATAATACACACTTTGTAGAATCGTGTAGAGTTTTAGAAACAAGCTATTTTGTTTGTTTGCAATGATAAAATTTAATTTATAAACTGGGCACAGTAAGAGATTATCAACAATGACTAAGAATCTTACAGAGTCATTATAACAATATGCCAGCATCACTATGGTTGCACTTTGGGGCCACTGTTAAGTAAAATAAAGATGACATACATAAGCATTGTGATAGTGTGACAGTCAATCTGATAATGGAGATGACCAGTAAGTGACTCATGGGTAGGGCGTGTGCAGAGCAGAAACACTGGACGATGAGTTCACATCTCAAGCAAGACAGAGCAGGACAGGGTGAGATTTCATCACACTACTTAGAACAACACACAATTTAAAAGTTGTGAATTAATTCTAGAATTTTCCATTTAATATTTTTAGACTGCAATTGGCCATAGGTAACTGACACCACAGAAAGCAGAACCATAGATAAGGAGGGACGACTGTAGTAGCTACTCAACACACGTTTGCTAAATTAATGACCCTATTTGGGGAGAATATTAGGGAGTGTGTTATTTGAAATGAGAGTTAAGAAAAATGAGGCCAAAGCCATAAAGTTTGTAATTAGCCAATTAGCACAAGAAAACTCGTTTTTCTGACTTTTATATCTATGCCAAGACCAGTGAATCAAATTGCTTTCTATTGATATGTAGCACACCTAGTTCCTCAATTCCCAGAGTTTGCTTTTAAAAAGAAACTTATCAGTTTTCTGTTCAGGGAAACCTCAAAAACTCAGGGAAGCTTATCCTCAGGGTATTTTTAAAAGGTAAGGAACCTACAGTGTTAGCCGATGTTTTACACTGCTCAGATATATCCAGTTACAATAGGCTTTATGATGTAACATTAAGTGGAAATTTCAAGATTGCTTCTAGTCCAGGAGGAGCAGATATTTGTGACTCAGGAGTCTTTTAACTTCTGCTGACTTGTACATGCTGCCTCATCTGCCTACATAGCATTTGCCCAGACTTAGGATTGAAACTGAAGACACATCTGGTCTCCTAAGGGATTCAGAATTTGGGCGTTTAGCATTGATATTTTTAGTCCCTAACATACCAATTTTCCCTGTCAGCCAGACTTTTATATGGATACATTCTTAACCCATCTGATATGAACTAGGAAACTAAAATAAAAGCTTCTCATTCAAGAAGCAGACACACCGACAAAGAAGGCTGTCGTGAATGTGCATTTCTTGAAATACTTGCTATAATTCCCTGAAGTCCTATAACCTTCCCTGACATCAGTGAAAATTATTAGTTTTGTTCTTTGCTGTCATGTATCATGGTTACCTCTAATTGAAATGGAGGTGTTCCGAATAGCACAATCAGTTAAGAATCTTGCCAAGTGCCTCATTTGGATAATTTATAGCAGGATTCAAAGCTGATGAGTTTAGAGCCCATGAGTCCCTGGAGTCCTTAATCTTTGATCATATTTTGTGGTGGGACAATGCTTGATGAGACTGGAGTTTGAAGATAACTGCTTCCTGTAAATGTATTTATCAAATATCAATGTTCCCAGCAAAGTGATTTGATATGGGGATTACCGATCACTGGAAATGAACCACAAGGAGTATCTTAATTTGAAGTAAGTACAGGCTTGATACTTTTTAATAAATTCCTGATGTTGAATAAAACGTACTACAGCTCTCAAGTTTAAATGACTTTTTTCATCAGAGACAAGTAGGAAGTGGGAAAATGGCTAAGGAAGAAATGAGAAATTACCATCTTTGGATAAAATTCTGCTAAGAAATAACTTGAAAATGAAAACAACAACAACAATAACAATAATGTAAGTCTAGATGACGTCCAGGACACATTCTGTTGCAGAACTTTTCTCTTTAGTTCAGTTAAAACCTGGGTTCTTGTCACACGACCGGGAAAATTTAGGCATGCAGGCACATTGAAGGGTGAGTACAGCAGGGTTTTATTGGGCGAAAAAGGAAAAAAAAGGAAAACCTCAGCAGAGTGAAATAGAGTCCTGCTAACAGGGCCTTGACCTCACAGATGAATCCGGCGTCACCACACAGGAACTGAAGAGAGCAGACTCCTCCTCTGCATTAGTGTGAATTCCTGTGGCTCCGCCCACTTCCTCCAGTGCCCATGTCAGGCTCCAGTTTACTGTAGGCGTGCCCAGACAAGCCCTGGACAGGCTCCCTCATCTGCACAAAAGCATCTGATATAAACACCTGTGGGGTGGGTTGGAGATTCTCTGGGGACCCCTTTTTATCTGCCTAGACATTTGGCTGCCTCAATTCTAGGCTACTGCTTCTTATGCCAGGCTAGGGGTCTTCAAAGTGGAAATCCCTATTCCAGGAAATATGCAAGACAACCCAATAGGACATGAAAATAAATCATTACAACTTGTAAGTTCCTTTTATATCTTGCCCTTTTAAAATTTATATTTTTTGGCATCTGTTTTATAATAAATATAACATAATACCATAGGACTTTTGTAAATATGTACCTAAATAAATATACCTATATTTGTAGGTATATATTTCAATGTTTTTAACTTAGAAAGGTGTGTGATGAAAAAATTTTGGAGAACACTATCAGGCCATCTCCACATGATTTGTGATACTGTGTGACTGTTCTTAATGGGAACATGAGAACACTTTCTAAACATTCATGTTTTCTTTATATGTGGATTTTTACCATCCATGGATATACCAGAAAATTTTCTACATCTGTGTATTTAGCCTGTATTACTTACTGGAATTACATGATTTAGATAGGCTTGCTAAACTCTGAAAAGTAGTACTCCCATTGTTTATTATATTTTTTTAATTTCAAAATTTGGCACATGGGAATGCTTCCTCTCATTTTAGTGTTCTGGTTTGACACAAAATTCCAGATTTCTTTTATCCATTAATTTTGTAATTTTATTAACTATGAAATAAATAGTTTAACTTATAAGTCCCAGAATGCTTTGCAATGTTACAGATATGTACATGTATACGTGTGTGTGTGTGTGTGTGTGTGTGTGTGTGTGTGTATATATATATATATATATATATGGCATTGTCTTCCCAGTGTATGTCACCATCCATATTAAATAATGTCATGGTTTGAATTTTTGTTCTCTCCAAAATTCATATTGAAATGTGTTCCCCAATGGAACAGTACTAAGAGGTGGGGCCTTTATGAAGTGACTGGTTCATGAGGGCTCTGTCCTCATTAATGGATTTTTCCATTCATAGATTAATAGATTAATGAATTAATGGATTAATGGGTTATTACAGGAGTGGTTTAGTTGTCACCATAATGCTTCTGTTATGAAAGCCAGTTTCTCTGTACTCATGACCTCTTGCCATGTTACGATACAGAATGAGGCCCTCACCAGAAGCCAAACAGATGTGGCTGCCTGATCTTAGACTTCCTAACCTGCAGGATTGTAAGAAATAAAACTTCTTTCTCTAGAAATCAGGCATTCTCTCATAACAACAGAAAACAGACTAAGACAGATAGTAAGCCATTCATTTATTTAAAAATATTTGTGGATTGTCTGGTATGTTCTCAAAATGTGCTAAGATGTGATTTTTGGCTTTCTTGTTAGGGAGATACATAACTTTAATTTAATCAACTGTGAACTATGAAACAGGGTTTTAAAGAGTAAAGTCTGATTTAGTTTAGAGGGCAAAGATTTATTAAAGAAAGTCATTTGCAAACCAACAAGATGAAGACGATGCTCAAAATGATAATGCATAATGGAGATAAATAAAATAATATTAATATATATTATTTTGGGATATGGGTATCAGACACTCTCCTCTTTATGTGAATTAATCTATTTAATAATCATAAAAAAAACCTAAGAACTAGTTAGTATTATTATCCCTGTATTTTAAGTGAGGAGATTAAAGAACAAAAAATGTAGGAATTTGTCCATAGTTCTATAGTTATGAAGTACTTAAGCTATGATTTGTGTACTCTCAACCCGACTCCAGACAAAATTTTTAACCACAATAATAGTTATACTATAAAACAGAACTAAAAGATGATGGGAATAAGGCTGGAGGCAGGTGTTGCAAGCACTAAGAACAACATGTAAAAAGTTTTGAATCATAACGAACAGGGCATATGTTATTATAACTTACAAGAAGAATACAGGGGCGGAAATATTGAGAAAATGTTAGAGAGACATGTATGAAGTAGACATTGAATTAAATTGTAGTACATGTTAAGGATGTCCATTTATATCATAAAGACAATAGGTAGCTGTTTAAGGGTTTGATGTTTGAATATATGTGGTATACAAATGTGTGTGTATGCAAAGGGAGCAGGTATTCAAAAGATTATTCTGACCTCCATATTGGATTGTCTGAGGCCAAAAGTGGAGACAGACCAATGACAACCAGACCATTGCAGTAATCTTAGAAATAGACTTTGGTGACATAAAACAGGGTAGTGATGATGAAGTTAAAGAGAAGATAATCAGTTTTGATATTTTCTCAGGACCTAAAATCGAATGGATCACTGACGTATTGGATATGAGAGATGGGGAAAATAAAGATGTCAAAGAAAACCTTTGAGTATCTGCTTTGTGTAAGTGGATAGACTGTTATTCCATTGCTAAGTTCAAAGGATACAGGAAGAACAGGCTGCCAAGAGCAGCCACGAGAGACACAAGAAAAGCACTAGGCAGAACCATGAAGAATTCCAACTCCCAGGCTGGGAAGTGGAGAAGAAGACTATGTGGGGCTGAGAAGCAATGTTCAGGGATGTCACAAGAAAATTAGAGTGTAATCAATGAAACTTTAAAAGAAGAAAGTGTTTGAAGAAGAAGGAAGGGGTCAATACTCAATTGATTGAATGTTGCTCAGAAGTCAAGAAATAAGGGAAATAGACCGCAGGTTTAATGTCATAGACATCCTCATAAAACTTGCAGACTGATTAATGTCTAAAATGTTCTGAACTTCGACTCAGGACTAATAGGTGTGCGGTTTATGATCTAAAGCTTTTAACTTATTTGCCTATAAAAGGAGCAAGAATTAAGAAAAACGATAACTAGAATAATCTGCCAAGCTCTTCCCAGGTTTTAAGTTCTATGACAGCAGAATGATTGGATTTCAGAAGAGATATTTACATAAAAGTAAAAGTAACAATTGATTAAATGGGAATTGTACTGAGGTTATCAAGGGAAATTATTTACAGTGAGAGAAGGAGAGGAAAAAATTCATAGTATTTTTGGTTCTTCGTATCTGTGGGTTCTGCATTTGTGGATTCAACCAACTTGGGATAAAAAATATCCGGGTGCGGTGGCTCAACGCCTGTAGTCCCCTCACTTTGAGGGGCGAAGGTGGGTGGATCATGAGGTCGGGATTTCGAGACCAGCCTGACCAACATAGTGAAACCCCATCTCTACTAAGAATACCAAAAAAAAAAAAAAAAAAAAAAAAAATTAGCCAGGTGTGGTGGTGGGTGCCTGTAATCCTAGCTACTGGGAAGCTGAGGCAGGAGAATCGCTTGAACCCGGGAGGTGGAGGTTGCAGTGAGCCGAGATCGCACCACTGCACACCAGCCCTGACAACAGTGGGAGACTCTGTCTCCCGAAAAAAAAAAAAAAAATTGCAGAGAAAATAAATAAATAACAAGACAACAATGAAAAATACAAATTTTAAAAACATAGTATATAACTACGTAGCATTTACATTACATTAGATATTATAAATAATCTAGAGAGGATTTAAAATATATACCAATATATGCCTACGTTATATGCAAATCACACCATTTTATATAATATCCATGGATTTATATTTTATCAATGGAGATTCTGGATGGAACCAATTCCCCTCTTACTGAGGGAGGACTGCATTATAATATTTAGACAATAAGCAGAGGAATATAAAATGAAGGAAACAGAAGTAAGAGCCACAAAAATGGAAGGAAAATTTAAGTTTGGGGACATAGATGCCAAAAAGACAAAGTCTTTTAAGGAAAAGCGAGTGGTGAACAATGTCAAATCTGGCAAAGAAGACAATAATGATTGAATTTTTGCAATATGAAGCCACAAAGACTTTGTGAAACCAGTTTTGGTGGTGCTATGGTCATAGATGCTATGTTGCTTTGCCTCAAATCATAAGTAAAATGAACACTACGCAAAAAATAAAAGCACCATGTCAAGAAACTTGCCTGTTGGGTTATATTAGTCATTTCAGTACTGACAGTAGTGGTGCCTGTAGATAAAAAGCTAAAAGTAACACATGTGGATAATCAAAGAAGGAGTTATCTGAAGAAGAGTTAAGTTTTTCAGGAGGAAGTTTCCCTTCTCTGCACAAAAAAGGGAGAGTTGTATGCTTGGATAAATTATATCGTAATAACTGACTAGCTTGAATATTAAAGCAGTCTTATTATGTTCTTGGTTTGATTAGAAAGCAACTATTCCTTTAAATTGACTCAATAGCTCATTTTCATAGGAGGCTCTCCCTGAGGCGTCATAGAGCATCAAGAAGAAAGGGTGAAGGCCAACAGGAAGGTACAGACATACATGCACACACACACACAAACGCACACACAGAGAGCAGAT
This sequence comes from Homo sapiens, assembly GCF_000001405.40. NCBI lineage: Eukaryota > Metazoa > Chordata > Mammalia > Primates > Hominidae > Homo > Homo sapiens. The sequence goes on along the minus strand of NC_000018.10, from coordinate 40,862,002 downwards.
AAAATCTCTTTACATAAACAAATACATGTAGACCCACAATTTCACACATTTCTGAGCACAGCGCTAACTGATGAAAATACAAACAAAATGATTCAAGTATCCAAAGACAGTACACTGGTGCTCCTAACTTCAAGACAGTCAATCTATTCAGTTAAAATAAAAATCATTAACCTGGGTGTCTGGCAACATATAGGCAAAGCAGTCTGACAAACCTAGAGTTTCTATTTTACAGTTCATGGAAGGTTGTCCTGTAGACACAGATGAAAAGATTCATTTTATTAAACCAAGATTTCTTCCCAACATCTATCACAAAAATCTACACATTTTTATTTTTCTTGTGTTAAAATCTCCATAAAAGGCCAATTTATCAACTCCCCAAGTAAGGGTGGTAGAAGCCATAGGGAAAGAGAATGCCTTTTGTTTCTTGGCATAAGTACCCTTTTGAATTCACCACAGTGTGTGAGCACGCTTACAGTATTTTCAATATAACACTAGACTGTGAAAGAGAAAAGGCAGCAATCACCCTGAGAGAAATGCTATTGACAATAACTGGAAAAAAGTCATCTTCTTCATGGTAAGATTCACAAAGTAATTCCATGGCAAAAAAATCAAGGTAAATATTTACTCCAAGTTCCTTTGAAACTGCAGGAGGCTAAAACCTTCAGTGTTCCTATTTTAATATTTATCTCGTGCTTTTGTAAATTAGTTTTATGACCATCATTTCCCAAAGGGTCACTATTTGAGGAAATTTCTACACTGGGGCCACAGTCTGATGCTGAAAAGAAACAACAGCTTTTTTTTTTTCTTTTTTTTTCACAATAAGGAAAAAAAAAAATCCCCGTTAGTGCTTTGGCATGGAATAAATCCAACTTTTCTGCTTATGTCCTGGATTCCTCACCCAGAGCTGTGATAACTTGCATCACATGGGAAAAATAAAAGCTGTTTAGCTATTTAGTTTGCAAAGGAAATAGAAGGCAATCTTTTTGGGGAAAGGTTCAGAATGAAAGGGCTATGGCTAGACCATTGAAGAAGCAAACTTGAATATCGCAAAACATTGCGATTTTTCAGGATCTGACAGCACAAAGCTCCTGCAAGTGTTTGATTTCTCTTTCAGGCAAGGGTGCAAAGAAACTATGTGATTTTAAAAAAGTGGTTTTGGGTTTTACTCCCTAGACCATTTCCCTTAAACCACATACTTTAGCTGAATATATTATAACAGTAACTATCCATAAGTATTTAGTTTATTTTGAATTTATCCAAGGGTATGAAATTGTTAATTATTTATCAATCTAGAATTCAAAGAAAGAGCTTACTCTTATTAAGCCAAGTGTGTCTGGGGCATCGCGTAGATGTGTGTGACTGTATGGAGAAGGTACTCTTCACCATTCTAAAAATTCTTAAATCAGTGAATTCAAAAGTGAACCATATTTTGGAAAAGAATAAATGTAGCAGAAAGGGAATACAGTTGGCTATAGCCTCCTCTCTGCTAGTAATCAGGAGAAATTATGAAGAAAGAAATTCAAAGTTGGCCGGAAGGCAGCAGCAACAAGACTTAGGGGTACATTTTGATGCACTGTTTATCTGGATTACAGTTGGTTACATCATGGCCTTTGAGGCAAAAGTTTAAGATAACAGCGTAGATAAGATCTAGGATTTGAATTATGTCTTGGCCACTTAATATTAGTGTAATCTTGTGCAAGTTACTTTATCTCAATGAACCATGGTCTCCTTATCAATAAAACTGAGGTGATAATATCTACTTTATTGAGTTGTTAAGAAGGTCAAAATGAATAAAGCTTGTGAAAATCCTTTATAAGTGATAAAAACTATACAAATATTAGTAATATTACATGTTGAAAAATCTCCAAATAAATCTCATCTTAAAAATTCTCCCAACATTTGATTTATAAAATAAATACATTGAAGGCTAGATCCCCAAACAACTTTGTTCATAGAAAGTCCAGTGTCTCCTTCTTCTCCATGTATTAATAACAACGCCAGTGGGAATACCAAAACTTAAAAGGAGTCTGTATCTGTTTTAGCCTTTATATTGGGAAAGAATTGGCGTTTCCTCAGTGCACTACTGCCAGCGTTTCTTGCTGTGACTTGGTATTGCTGTTAAAAATTGATCACACACAGTCTGCCAGCTAGGGCTGGGTCACTGCTGATATCCTATTCAGATTGCTATGGCTTTGCAGGAAGGAAAATCATAGAGCTTTAATCTTTCCTTTACATGGGCTTCCATTTCCATTTCCATACCTCTCAGGATACAACCAGACGCTCAGGTCTGCATTCACTTCAAGTTCACTATCAACCACATCTGACGGAGAATTACCATTCTTTTCCTTTCCTGTCACTTCATGCTCTCAGGAGTAAACAGATTTTTCTCTTAAACTACTTGTACTATGCATGTGCTCTATTGTCCTTCAGTGGGACGCTAACTTCAGTGAATTTGGGATGATTTAGTTTTCTAAGAATACGTTCCAAAATGATTCCCATGAACTCCATACCTATCTTTCAGGAGGAAAACCTTGAGCTATGTGCAGATTTTCTGCCACCTTTTTCACTCAAGAAGAGAAAACAAAAATAAATTAAATTAAACCTTTAAATGTAATTATCCCTTCAGTAGGGTACATAGTTAATTCGGTTTGCTATAAATCAAGAATCTGAGGACCCTATGTATTAGATGGGTAATGCAAAATACTGTATCAAACAAACCCTAGAATTTCAGTGGCTGAACACAACCAACTTTTATTTCTTTACATAAAGAAATAATGTGACATGTGACACAGTGACAATCCAATGTGACTCCCTTATCCAATGGGCCTGGGTTTTCTGCCAATGCATTAAGGCAGAGAAGGCATGTTGGTTTCTTACTTGACTGGCCTCAGAAGTTATACCACTTACACTCACAGTCTGTTGGTGGAAATTACTCAACCTCTCCCAGATGCAGGGGCTAGGTATCAGGAGACTGGGAAATACAGTCTAACTGCTAACTGGCAACAAGCAAATAACATAAAAGGGAAGCATGAGTCTTTGATAGACAGCAGTGTATCTCTTCCATGTGATATTTATACTTCCTCTCTCTGAGTATTTTAAATTTTGTTCCAGAGTAAAACCAGCACCAACTATCGTAACTTATCTGCTCTCCCATTTTGATGTAGCAAGAGAGAAAAATCAAACCCTTGGTTCCAAATTTGGCAATAGAAGTTAAACATAATTAATGTAGCTTGAAGGGGGCCCAGCCTCATGTAGAATCCTAAGGAAGCTCTGTCCTTTGAATTCTGAATTTTGGGTTGCATGTCCTATGAGGGAAGATGTTACCAAAAGACTGAAAGTCAGAGAGAAACTAAGAAAGACTGATGCCCAGTAACAATCCCTGTGTCCCAATTTCGTGAGAAACATTGAAAGGTGTTAAGACTATTTTCAATGAATTGATTTAAATTAGCATATATTTATTAAGATATCTAGTTTGGCATTTGTATGGTTTAGGTGATCACTGCATTCACTATGAATAAAATGTGTGATAATTTCAAAATGCATTATCAGTTGTTTCTCTAATTTGTTTTCTGATAGAAAAGTAAACAATGTATGAACTCTAAAAGAATTCAATGCAAGCGCAGATAACAAAGGACATTTTTCCTTCTAGTGCTTACATTCTGTTGAATAACTGAGAGATATTTCCAAACTCATTTCTTAACTACTTGCCAGTTTTTTTCTTTCTTTCCTTCCTCCCTCCGTCCCTCCCTCCCTCCCTTCCTTCCTTCCTTCCCTTCTTCCTTCCTTGACAGAGTTTTGCTCTTGTCGCCCAGGCAGGAGTGCAGTGGCACAATCCCGGCTCACTGCAACCTCCGCCTCCCAGGCTCAAGCGATTCTCCTGCCTCAGCCCCGAGTGGCTGGGATTACAGGTGCCCAGTTTTCTCTTTAAGTACTCTGCACTCTTTCCAGGCTTCCAGGTTCTGTGCTTAGATTCCCTCTGCTGGACCTTCCCTTTTCTAGCCTCTTGGCATAGATGACTCTTCTCATCCTTTAAAACTGGTGTCCCCAATATTTTTGGCATTAGGGACTGGTTTCATGGAAGACAATTTTTCCATGGATTGTGGGGGATGGTTTCAAATGATTCTGTTCCACTTCAGATCATCAGACATTAGATTCTCACAAGGAGCACACAACCCAGATCCCTTGCATGTGCAGTTCACAATAGACCTCGTGCTACTGTGGGAATCTAATGCCCCTGCTGCTCTGACAGGAGGTGGAATTCAACTGGTAATGCTCACTTACCAGCCGCTCACCTCCTCCTGTATAGCATGTTCCCAATAAGACACAGACCAGTTACCGGTCTGTGGCCCCAGGCTTGGGGACCTCATAAAAGCCTCAAATTTTCTCTCCATGAGCCTACTATCTAAAGTAACAGCCTTCTAATCTTACCATTGCCCCAGAAACTTTCCAGCAACTTTCCATCATATTTGTTTCCTCTTTGCATTTATATAAACATCTATAAAGATCAGCAATTATTTAGGCAGGCATCAATCTCTGGCTACATATTCACATATTCAGTTTTTCTAGAAGTGTAACTTTCTGCTTTCTTCTAAAATGAAACTGAATTCCTGCTAAGAGTGTTCTAGGGCCCATTTCACTAGATGGAAGAAACGTTACTTCAGTACATTTAGGGACACCCTTGCCTATTGCCTCCTCTCTGTCAGAATCCCACTGAAACTAAATTTTAAGCGTTCACCAAATGCCCCTGGAGAGATGTCAGGATGTGGTGTGTGCCTGTGTGTCAGGGGGAAGGGGAGGATGGGATTCTGTTGTCTTTTTCTGTGAAACTACTGAAGCTGGACTTCGAGATCCCAGCCATGGCCTTGTATTCAATTTTGTATTTTTCTATTAAAAGAAAAAATCTTCAAATTGTGTAAGAGTTAGGCCCCGCAAAACCCTAATCTGCTCCTGATAATATTATTAGAAAGGCCATAGAGCTAAATGCTGTATTTTACACTAGTTTATTCATCCATACAAGTATCATTTTCATTTTGGGAGCTTCAAATTTAAAGAAAATGTAGCTTTTAGACAAATTGATTGCTTTGATATCTTTGTCACTGGAGTGATAATTTTTGACAGTTCTGATGAGACATTTATCCCTCAAAAAGGGAGCCTGTGTGATCATGGTGGCTGTGTTTAAAAAGCTAATGGACTCTCATGCAAAAGGGAGGTGAAATATGCTTTGGTAACTCCGAAAGAACAAACTAGACAAAGAAGAAAAGGAAGAAGGAAGCAGCATTATGAGGAGACCAGATATGTACCAGGGACTTACATTTCCTCATTACATCTCACACACTGAGAAATGCATGATAGGTATCATTCACACCTTTCTACAGGGTAGAAAACTTCAGAAGGATTAAAGCTTCTTCCCAAGGTCACGTCACTCATCTAGTAAGTAGCCAAGCAGACACACTCAGTTCCTTATGTGTCTGATTCTCTCTAGCTATAAGACCCTGTGGGATGTGTCTGCAGTAGTGTGATGTGTTTAAGAACAGCACTGTTTTGCAGTATAAACGTCGCATGTATGTTGTTAACAATAAAATAATGACGTTCCTTAGATTTTAGGTGGATTTTGTATTCTAGACATATTTTGGAAACATCCCATATATTTTGGCTGAACGACCAAACAAATAGACCAATGAAACAGAAACAAGTAGATGTCTACACATAAATTAGCTTTATATAAGTAGACGGGTGGGGGTGGGGGGAAACTGTATGTTATAATGCCACCTGTGGCCATAGGAGAACCATTCTGAAGAAAGATCAAGGAAATAAGAATGAATTACAGAATGTGAGTGGAGATGATGGGGGTGGGAGACTTGTGGCCAGAGAAGAAAAGGCTGCTTTAAAAAGAGGGACAGAGGAATACTGGGAGCAATCTAAAAAACAAACTCACAATGGAAGGTATAAAAATAAAATAAAAGGAAGCTTTTCCATTATTTTGAGTCCCACAAGAAACACGCAAAACAACGACTTGCTGTCAGAATGAAACTCTGAGTGTTCCCATCAGAACTAAGTTACATTAAACAGGAGCAGCTCTCATGGTATTATGCTGCTGTCATTTCTTGGTAAATCCATGTCATTAGCATTGATTTCTTGAGGAGAGATTAAAAGAGGTTTAGTTAGGAGAGTAAGGCAGGAGTGGATATTATCTAAGCCAATGCGGCTCTGGGTCTCAAAGATGACATTTTCCTCTCTGCTTCATCAACTTGCAGAGCTTGTTGAGCTTTGGCTGTTTCTAATTAATTCTTTTACTGGCTTTTTTTTTGAATGCGTATCATTGCTGGCAAACCATATAAAATGAAGAAATCTCTCTAAGGTTTTACCCTTTTAATTATTATTTTTATTGCTTAAATGAAGCTCCAGAATTGCAAATGTTGACATTTGGGATTATTCTAGTCATTAGAGTTTTCAAAGAGGGGAACAAAAAAGAAAAAAGAAAGAAAGAGGAGGAGGGAAAGGGTAAGAAGGGGAGGTGGCGTTGAGCAGGGGAAATGAGGTGAGGTTGGGTCTCAATTGCAGAGACAAACATTGAAAAGGGAAAAACAAACTGGTTTGTCAAATGTGACCTCCATGATGGTTTTGCCCTTTTAAAAAAGAGCAGGAAATGAAATATCACTAGATGTAATTCCTACTGGTCTCTTACACCAGCCAGTGCTCAGATTAAACAGGGCTTGCTCCTGTCTGTGCCATTTGCTTTGATTTGAGTAAGTAGTTCCTAGCAAATATGCTACACCTTTTTTTGTGTGTGTTTGTTTGTTTTTGGTCACTGTTGCTCTTGGATATTAGAAATAAGGAGAATTACTTTGGAAAAAAACAAACTTCAATCAAAGCAAATTAGTTGACAAGAAAATTTGCTTTGGTGATCCAGAGAGCAGTTTCTTAGAAAAGTCAGCCCTGGCAACCCTAAATCACTTTCAACTAATATTAATTGAACATCTATGTAAAAAAAAAATCTGTACTGGACATGTGTCTAAACGCTGGAGGATGTGTGTATGGGAGGAGTGTTATAAACAAATTTCAGAAAAAGCTCTCTTTTAGTATTTTACATTGAGTTTTTAATATAAGTTAAATTTAAATAAAAACAGTACTTGCTGTTACCAATAGTTTTCTTCCTAGATATTGAAGAGAAGTTTGATTTACGAGTCTGTTTTTGAAGTTGAGGCATTTTTTTTTCCGTAGAAATGTGTTTTATAACATGGTGTTCAGGTCCTCTAAGTGCTCACAAAAGCATATTTAAGTCATAATGTAGCTGAACTATAGTAATATCCTAATAACACTATGGAAACTAAATACAAAATGCAGCAATATTTCTATGGGATAATGCGTTCAGAATTTAAATTTGCATCGCCAGGAATGGCTCTCCACCTGCTGTGATGGGAGGGAAGTTATCTTAGAAACAGGCCATTAGAGTCCCTTTCACTTGCATGCAGAGCTTCAGCAGGGCAGGGGCTGTAGAAATATAGAAGTAGGTACAGAGGCAAGGTGGGGAAGTGTCGGAGCATCCTGGGGAGGTGTCCTGAGAAACTGAGGCTTCTGGTCTGCACTAAACCTGGGAGCGTGGCTTGGCCCAGCCAAACCTTGGCTGCTAGGTTGTTTTTCATCTGTGTACCCCAGGGAAATGTTGGGTTTCCCTTCTTGAAATCCCCCAGAATTGATCTCCCTGTTTCTCTCTCTCTTTTTATGCCATTCTGAAGGGATTGTATACTTCCTTTAAGAATTTTTTGTGCTTTGTTTGTTTGTTTAAGCAACTTATATGAAAGCTAAGATGATGTGTAAGAAAAGGCTCTTTCTCCTACTTCCATACCCATCTCTTCTTCCTTAACTGCTTATTCTCGTCTTGTAGCTTAGAACCTAGAGAAAAACACTAAATCTATACAGAATAATTTACATCTCAGAGAACAAGCAGAAATCACTCATGCCTTCCCTACCCAGGAAAGGAGGAAATTGAGGGATAATACAACAATTTAAAAACAAGCAGCAATAACACATATTTATTGATTATATATTGTGTGCCAACTGGTATTTTAAATAATTTACATGTATTAACTCATTTAATCTTAACAGTAATCCTAAAAGTAAGTACAATTATTATCCTTGGTGTACAGATGACAAAATTAAAGCACTACCTAAGGTCACAGATGTTCACAGGTGATGACAGATTTTTACACAGGGTTGAGGGGGTTTTATGAGGACAAATAAGACTGCTGCTAAGAGGACTAGCATTGAGACTAGGACACCCAAAATCACTATGCAAAGATAGGTCTTATGAAGATAATTTTCTGTGTCCCTCCAGCCTCCCTTTTGTATTAATCATCCCCTACATTCAATTTAGTCCCTGCTAATCCAAATTGGCTCTAAATTCTAGCAAGTTAACATGAGGGAAGATTTTCAAAGCATCACTTCAGGTGTGCAAGAAATACCTTTTCCTCATTTGTCTATAACTTAACTTCATTTTTAAATATAATTCCCCATTTCACCAGAATTTGGAGAATATAGCTTCGTTGTTCTTGAAGTCTCCCTAAGGTGATGTAGGATTCCAAGATCTTATTTACAGGTTGAAGGTTTGAGAAAGTGATGACACCCTATCATCTGTCCATGTAGGCTACCTCAGAGATATCCATTATTCCTGAATACACGATCTTTTCAGGTTCCCAGGTTCCATGCAGCCTCAGATTCATGCTTGGGGATTGGGAATTTTGACTGAGCCTGATAATCCCATGCCCAATGCCCACATACCCTACTGTCATTCTATTTAGGGAGCCTTGACATTAACCAGCAGTGCTGCCCAGATTCAGGGACTGGAGCCTTGTGGCTTTGGACCTCCATGATTTTCTCTCCTTACTTCCAACAAAGCTTGGGGGAGTCTCCTATCTCCCCTATCTTGGGGGAGGGGCACAAGTGGATTTTCCTTTGCACATTTCTTCTTACTACTTCTTTCAGACCATATCCTTATATCACTTAATTTTTGAAAACATCCTACCTGTTCTGAAGGATTTTGTCTTCTGGGAAAAAAGCTATCAAAAATATCTGTAGGTTCCTCTGAACTTCCACCCTGAGCATGTTAACAAGGGAATCAGAGAAGTCATTGTAAAAAGGGAAGAGAAAAGGGGTTGATGAGGAAGACACAAAAAGATTTTGTTTCCTTAATGTTAATATTTCAAATTGTTTACCAGTCACAGTAAGAATGAGAAGGGATTCCCAGGTAGAGGTAAAAAGGAAGTGTAAAAGAACATGTAAATGAAACAAATTCCATGTGGCAGCAGCAGGTAGGAAATGGGGATTTCTGCAGCCACAATTTCTAAGAAGGAAGAGTAGTCAGTCTCTAGTCATTATGTGTAATTTGGGTTGGGTCAAGTAGAGTTCACTAAGGCAGGAGAACAGAGTCAAAGCAGCCCTGGATAAGCATAGCTCTCAGACATGACTTCCCGTTCTCGCCCTACCACAAACTGATGATGATAACTTGTGGATGGAGGTTAGATTTCTTCTCCAGAACAGGGAAGTTTTATTCTTGGATTCAGTTGCTTCCTTCAATTTCTGAACCTGTAGTATGTGTATGCGGTATGTGTGAACTTGAAAAATAGGGTCCACCCTCTTAGATATCGAAAATGAAGATGTCAATCTTCTTAACTGGGAATTATGAAATGACAATATTCAATGTGTTTCCTTTACTCAAGGAATTGACATTCTCAAGGTAAAAAAATGACCATTAAAAGTAAACTCAGGAAAGCAAAATATTGTTTTCTTTGCTTTTCTGGCCTGATTGTAAATGTCACCCTCCCTTGCTTTTATTCTTGGCATGAGCTACAAAACTTATTTTTTAGACTCCCCCTCTCTCTTGCTCCTCTTTCCCATCTCTGTGAAATTAGTCCCAGTGAGACCATGGCCATGAGTACAAGTGTTTAGATGACCCACTGAGGAGCTGGTGCAGCTTCTGCAGCTGTACTAATGAACCTATTCTCTAAGTACAGAGCCATTGGCATAGAGCAGCCACGTGTTTCTATACAGCACAGATTAATTTTCCAGGGTTATTGAATGGCCCAACTCTAAATTGTTTACTTTCAATGGTCTCAGATGCTGGGCTCTGTTGTTCAGCTCCTTCTTAATAAAACCCAAGAGTTCCAGGCTTCAAACTGCATCTGCCTTTTTGTTTTGTTTTGTTTTTTCATATATTTCCCTTTAAGTATCTACAGCTTTACAAGGAGACCTGGCAAGAGTGGAGGATTTTTCATCAGTCAAAGTTATTTCTTTTCAATAGACCTTGAGATTGCGTTTAATTATTTTTCACCCGTGTGTTTTTATTTTATTTATTTATTTTGCCTCTGTTGGGAAGCAGAGGAGGATTAGAAAAGAGGATGAATCTGCTTGTACTTGGATGTGTCCTTACATAACCATCAGGTGTACTGGCAAAGGAAGATACTGAATTTGAAGAAATGCTGGAAAGCAGTATCCAGAAGATAATAAATTAGAGATTAAAAAATGTCTGGTTTTTTGAGTCAAACACCTTTGACTTTCATGAAGATCATAATGAATACAACACAGAAGTAATGCAGTGTTGATAAGTGCTTCAGTTTCGGAGGAAGGAGGTAAATAGGTGACTGAGGGGGTGAAATTTGCGGTTGAGTTAAACTTCTTCCAGGCAGGTGGCCAAACCTTGACAAACTGCCAAAGCAGTTAATAGCAGCCACTGTTGCTCAAGGCACTCTTCCATGCTTTTAACTTTTTCCAAACTGAAATATCTTGAGCAAAAAATGCTGCCGGTAATTGCCATCAAGAGGATTGTGTAAGTGACAGAAAGAGAGTTTGAGTAAGTGTCTGAGCCAGTTGAGGCAATAGGTGGGCCTTCTGGTGATAGAGAAATGGCAAGGAACAAGGTGAATGGGAGTGGCTGCATGAATATGAGTGTCTCAGGAAAGCAAAGAATTTGCTCTTTAATCTTCCTAGAGGTTATGTACAGAGTGAAGCCCTAGTAATCTTGAAAGCAGGAGTTATGCTCATTATTTTACTGGAGCATTTCCAGTGTCTAGTATATAGTTATTAATATTGAGTATTGATTGAAAAGGTGGAATAGGATCTAACTGGAGTCAGAGTGGAAAAGAAGGGCATAAGTCAGCTGAATCAAATGGTGACAAGCTGTGAGTAGTTCCACTTTGTCTTGAAAGCTGGAGTTCTTACTGTGGAGGACTGGCTTCTAGTTCCAGCTCTGCTGTGTCTGGCCATATTACCTGAGCCTCTCCAAACTTTAATATCCTCATCTGTTAAACAAAAATGACAACAAAGAATAATTCAATCATGTTTAGTGTAACTTCTGTGGGTGATACTGTATTTTCAAAATGGCAGCTTCTCAGAGAAATAAGAAAAGAGGAGTGTGTTATAAAGTTTAAAAATAATACAGAAATGTAAACATTGCAGTTAGAAATTTTTAGCATCATAGAGGTTACCTGTCCACAGGGGAAGGTTAGCTTTGCAAAACATCCCCATCTTCATTAACATTAACATGATTGAGAATTTCTTTTAAACTCAAGCAATATAGAATTTTACCTGTAAATGTTCCATGTCAAAATGAGAGCTTTAAGCAGGAGAAGATTTGAGAGAGCATGGGAGCTTTGGGTGAGTTTTGCAGGACTTATATTAATAGCCTTATTTATTTGTTTCATTAGTGTCTGCAAGATTATTTGTTGGGAATAAAATTGCCCTGAGTTTTTCTCCTTGCCCCTGTTTTCTGCTTTATTTACCCTCTTGGGAAGCTTATGTGAATTGGACACATATTCTTACAGACTGACTAAGGAAAATCTTAGTATGTAGCTTGGAACAAAGATGAAATAGTATCTTCTTTTGGAAGCCTAAGAATGCATAGGGAAGACTAAACATACGGCCACCAGGATAGCATGGTTACAAGTTATTCAGAACAGAGACCAGCCCTAGAAAACTCCTTATCTTCTCAAGCAAACTGCTTTACCATGAGCCAAAATATTTTCCTCTCAACATAACATTCTAATAGCTCAAATTCATACAGCAGAGTAAGTAAAGGGCAGCCAAATATTCTATGAGGATAATTTGTTCAGGGGTTGGTGGAGCAGTAGATGCCACTCCACAAGGTCCATATGATTAAAACTTACGATCTTTATCATAATCTTTTTATAAGCTGGTCTTAAAATAAAAGTTTATGTAGGAACTAGTCAGTGTATTTATTTTATTTAATTTGTCTTATTTTGTTTGAAAGTATTTATATACAATCTTAACAGGAAATATAGATGAAAATAATGATATTAACAAAAAAACATGGTACTTTGAATTAGAAGATTTAAGTTCTGGATGACTGCCTTTGGGCAATTCAATATCTATCAGGTTTTTTTTTGTTCTCTTCTTTTCTTTTTTTTTTTTATTTTATTTTATTTTATTTTTGAGACAGTCTCACTCTGTCGCCCAGTCTGGAGTGCAGTGGCCTGATCTCCGCTTACTGCAATCTCTGCCTCTTAGGTTCAAGCAATTCTCCTGCCTCAGCCTCCTGAGTAGCTGGGATTACAGGCACGCATCACTATGCCTGGCTAATTTTTTGTATTTGTAGTAGAGATGGGGTTTCACCATGTTGGTCAGGCTGGTCTCGAACTCCTGATCTCGTGATCCACCAGCCTCAGCCTCCCAAAGTGCTGGGACTACAGGCATGAGCTACAGCGCCCGACCTTCTTTAAAAAAAAAAAAAATTGTAAAATAAGGGAGACAAAAATAATTTCCATGAACCTTTTCAGTACTAAACTTTTCAACAGCCTATAATTAAGAATTAAGTTATATGTACAACATTTCAGATTCAAAAGAGCATCATCCCTTATTCACGGGATACTCAACATTCAGTTTGAGACTGTAGAAGATGTGGTTGTGTAAGTAGGGTTGAGTCGACCTATGGAAAACTCTAAATCCTGGAACAGGAATTCTGATTTGTTGGACTTAATTTCATCATCAAACTAATAGCATAGAATGGACTACCTGGAGAAGATGAATCTGAAAGACTAAAAAAGTGTTGATTATTAGTATGATAATTACTTTACCAATCTGGTTGCAGTCCTCACAGCATTCCTAAGATAGGACTCTATTATCATTTCTCCCCTTTTGATCAAAAATTATAGACCAAAGTGTCAAAAAATCTTTTCCTACATTCTCCAAGCAAGTTAAGTGACACAGTCAGGATTTGAGCCCAAATCTCACAATCAGACTTTCAAAGCTAAAATAATGTTAACAGTCACCTACTTTAATAATCAAAGTACAAGACAACTTTGACAAAATATGTGGTTTAAGAATCTTTTGTTTTAAATAAAAATGAAGACATATTTAGAAGAGAGATTTTGCAACTATATGACCAAAAGTTCCCTTACCAAAATACCTTTTATTTTTTATTCTGACATAACCTAAGAAGGGCATTCTCTAGACAAACAGTAACACTGTCAAAATCTGTTTCTTTTATCTCACTTCTTTTTTCTTAACAATTGTCTTTATTTGGTAGTAAAAAGTCTTCCCGCATCAAGTAGTAATACTAGTCACTTTTTTTCACTCAGAATATTCAATAATCTCTACTTCATGGTGTCTTGCCTCAGTGGCACAGTCTTACTTATTTTTATTTCTTTTTTTTTTTCTTTTTTTTTTTTTTTTTTTACATGTCAGGCATTTATTATCTCATTCATTCTTGTTTTTTTTTTTTAATTTTTTTTTTTTTATTATACTCTAAGTTTTAGGGTACATGTGCACATTGTGCAGGTTAGTTACATATGTATACATGTGCCATGCTGGTGTGCTGCACCCACTAACGTGTCATCTAGCATTAGATATATCTCCCAATGCTATCCCTCCCCCCTCCCCCGACCCCACCACAGTCCCCAGAGTGTGATATTCCCCTTCCTGTGTCCATGTGATCTCATTGTTCAATTCCCACCTATGAGTGAGAATATGCGGTGTTTGGTTTTTTGTTCTTGCGATAGTTTACTGAGAATGATGGTTTCCAATTTCATCCATGTCCCTACAAAGGACATGAACTCATCATTTTTTATGGCTGCATAGTATTCCATGGTGTATATGTGCCACATTTTCTTAATCCAGTCTATCATTGTTGGACATTTGGGTGGGTTCCAAGTCTTTGTTATTGTGAATAGTGCCGCAATAAACATACATGTGCATGTGTCTTTATAGCAGCATGATTTATAGTCCTTTGGGTATATACCCAGTAATGGGATGGCTGGGTCAAATGGTATTTCTAGTTCTAGATCCCTGAGGAATCGCCACACTGACTTCCACAATGGTTGAACTAGTTTACAGTCCCACCAACAGTGTAAAAGTGTTCCTATTTCTCCACATCCTCTCCAGCACCTGTTGTTTCCTGACTTTTTAATGATTGCCATTCTAACTGGTGTGAGATGATATCTCATAGTGGTTTTGATTTGCATTTCTCTGATGGCCAGTGATGATGAGCATTTCTTCATGTGTTTTTTGGCTGCATAAATGTCTTCTTTTGAGAAGTGTCTGTTCATGTCCTTCGCCCACTTTTTGATGGGGTTGTTTGTTTTTTTCTTGTAAATTTGTTTGAGTTCATTGTAGATTCTGGATATTAGCCCTTTGTCAGATGAGTAGGTTGCGAAAATTTTCTCCCATGTTGTAGGTTGCCTGTTCACTCTGATGGTAGTTTCTTTTGCTGTGCAGAAGCTCTTTAGTTTAATTAGATCCCATTTGTCAATTTTGGCTTTTGTTGCCATTGCTTTTGGTGTTTTGGACATGAAGTCCTTGCCCACGCCTATGTCCTGAATGGTAATGCCTAGGTTTTCTTCTAGGGTTTTTATGGTTTTAGGTCTAACGTTTAAATCTTTAATCCATCTTGAATTGATTTTTGTATAAGGTGTAAGGAAGGGATCCAGTTTCAGCTTTCTACATATGGCTAGCCAGTTTTCCCAGCACCATTTGTTAAATAGGGAATCCTTTCCCCATTGCTTGTTTTTCTCAGGTTTGTCAAAGATCAGATAGTTGTAGATATGCGGCATTATTTCTGAGGGCTCTGTTCTGTTCCATTGATCTATATCTCTGTTTTGGTACCAGTACCATGCTGTTTTGGTTACTGTAGCCTTGTAGTGTAGTTTGAAGTCAGGTAGTGTGATGCCTCCAGCTTTGTTCTTTTGGCTTAGGATTGACTTGGCGATGTGGGCTCTTTTTTGGTTCCATATGAACTTTAAAGTAGTTTTTTCCAATTCTGTGAAGAAAGTCATTGGTAGCTTGATGGGGATGGCATTGAATCTGTAAATTACCTTGGGCAGTATGGCCATTTTCACGATATTGATTCTTCCTACCCATGAGCATGGAATGTTCTTCCATTTGTTTGTGTCCTCTTTTATTTCCTTGAGCAGTGGTTTGTAGTTCTCCTTGAAGAGGTCCTTCACATCCCTTGTAAGTTGGATTCCTAGATATTTTATTCTCTTTGAAGCAATTGTGAATGGGAGTTCACTCATGATTTGGCTCTCTGTTTGTCTGTTGTTGGTGTATAAGAATGCTTGTGATTTTTGTACATTGATTTTGTATCCTGAGACTTTGCTGAAGTTGCTTATCAGCTTAAGGAGATTTTGGGCTGAGACGATGGGGTTTTCTAGATAAACAATCATGTCGTCTGCAAACAGGGACATTTTGACTTCCTCTTTTCCTAATTGAATACCCTTTATTTCCTTCTCCTGCCTGATTGCCCTGGCCGGAACTTCCAACACTATGTTGAATAGGAGCGGTGAGAGAGGGCATCCCTGTCTTGTGCCAGTTTTCAAAGGGAATGCTTCCAGTTTTTGCCCATTCAGTATGATATTGGCTGTGGGTTTGTCATAGATAGCTCTTATTATTTTGAAATATGTCCCATCAATACCTAATTTATTGAGAGTTTTTAGCATGAAGGGTTGTTGAATTTTGTCAAAGGCTTTTTCTGCATCTATTGAGATAATCATGTGGTTTTTGTCTTTGGCTCTGTTTATATGCTGGATTACATTTATTGATTTGCGTATATTGAACCAGCCTTGCATCCCAGGGATGAAGCCCACTTGATCATGGTGGATAAGCTTTTTGATGTGCTGCTGGATTCGGTTTGCCAGTATTTTATTGAGGAATTTTGCATCAATGTTCATCAAGGATATTGGTCTAAAATTCTCTTTTTTGGTTGTGTCTCTGCCCGGCTTTGGTATCAGAATGATGCTGGCCTCATAAAATGAGTTAGGGAGGATTCCCTCTTTTTCTATTGATTGGAATAGTTTCAGAAGGAATGGTACCAGTTCCTCCTTGTACCTCTGGTAGAATTCGGCTGTGAATCCATCTGGTCCTGGACTCTTTTTGGTTGGTAAACTATTGATTATTGCCACAATTTCAGAGCCTGTTATTGGTCTATTCAGAGATTCAACTTCTTCCTGGTTTAGTCTTGGGAGAGTGTATGTGTCGAGGAATGTATCCATTTCTTCTAGATTTTCTAGTTTATTTGCGTAGAGGTGTTTGTAGTATTCTCTGATGGTAGTTTGTATTTCTGTGGGATCGGTGGTGATATCCCCTTTATCATTTTTTATTGTGTCTATTTGATTCTTCTCTCTTTTTTTCTTTATTAGTCTTGCTAGCGGTCTATCAATTTTGTTGATCCTTTCAAAAAACCAGCTCCTGGATTCATTGATTTTTTGAAGGGTTTTTTGTGTCTCTATTTCCTTCAGTTCTGCTCTGATTTTAGTTATTTCTTGCCTTCTGCTAGCTTTTGAATGTGTTTGCTCTTGCTTTTCTAGTTCTTTTAATTGTGATGTTAGGGTGTCAATTTTGGATCTTTCCTGCTTTCTCTTGTAGGCATTTAGTGCTATAAATTTCCCTCTGCTTTGAATGCGTCCCAGAGATTCTGGTATGTGGTGTCTTTGTTCTCGTTGGTTTCAAAGAACATCTTTATTTCTGCCTTCATTTCGTTAGGTACCCAGTAGTCATTCAGGAGCAGGTTGTTCAGTTTCCATGTAGTTGAGCGGCTTTGAGTGAGCTTCTTAATCCTGAGTTCTAGTTTGATTGCACTGTGGTCTGAGAGATAGTTTGTTATAATTTCTGTTCTTTTACATTTGCTGAGGAGAGCATCCTAGAAGTAAATTCCATGAGTGCATCATTAGCTTGTTGGCCTTGCCATTTTACCATCACTTTGAGGAAATTGAGCTACTACACGGTGTGTCTCTCCTCTATGGAGAGAGCCACTGGATGAGGAGGACAAACAGAAGCTTCCTACAACAGCCATGTAGGTGAGCCACCTTGGAAGCAGATCCTCCAGCCCTATCAAGCTTTTAGATGACTGCAGCCTCAGATGACATCTTCACAGCAACATCATAGAAAGACCCAGAGCCATCCAGCCATGCTGCTCCCAAATTTCTAACCTACGGATTGTGAGATAACAAAATCTTACTATTGTTTTAGGCTGTTCTCTGGCCACATCTCAGTTACTTTTGTGTATCTTCTTTGTCTTCACCTTAATGTTGGTGTTTCCCAGCTCATCATTGTGGCCCTTTTTTCTTCTCCAACTGTAAAATGTCTTGGAGACATCTCTTCCACTCCCATGATTTCAATTACCACCATTATGTTGGTGTTTCCTAAATCTGTATTTTCATCCAAAATGTGTACTCTGAATTATAGATCATATATCCAGGTTCCTTCTGGATAGGGCCAATTGGGTACCTCAAATTCATGTCTAAAATTAATTTCAATAACAACTTTTCTTGCCAAACATATTTCCCAAATGGGTATTCACGATTTTGGGTGATCACTTTATCATTCAATCTATCATCAAAATTAGAAATTGGCAATTAAACTCAACTTCCACGACATATATAATGAATGTCAGCCCCTTCTGGTATTTCTTGCTTAATATCTTTTTCAATTATTTTATGTTTTTCGTTCACAAATTACCAAGATGTTTAAAAATTTTATAATTTTACTCAGAATTATTACTGTATCCCACTAACTGGTCGTCCTGACTCTTGTCTTATTCTTCTCCAATTCAGTCTTTATTGTGCTAAAAGGAAAATCTGGTCAAATCACCTCCCTGCTTAAACATTCTCTAAACCATTCATGATAAACCATAAAATCATTATTTAAGATACCCAAATTCTGGCCGGGCACGGTGGCTCATGCCTGTAATCCCAGCACTTTGGGTGGCCGAGACGGGCTGATCACGAAGTCAGGAGATCAAGACCATCCTGGCTAACACGGTGAAACCCCGTCTCTACTAAAAATACAAAAAAATTAGCCGGGCGTAGTGGTGGGCGCCTGTAGTCCCAGCTACTCGGGAGGCTGCGGCAGGATAATGGTGTGAACCTGGAAGGTGGAGCTTGCAGTGAGCCGAGATCGCGCCACTGCACTCCAGCCTGGGCGACAGAGCGAGACTCCATCTCAAAAAAAAAAAAAAAAATCCAAATTCTTTATAATGTATCGATTTCTTGGCCTATTCTGCCTGGTTACAAACCACCCCAAAACTTAGTGGCTTAAAACAAGAAACTTGTTTATGTTGCTCCACATTAAGTACAATTTTTCAGGGCTAGTCACAGTCAGACCACCTCTACTTTACTCAGGGTCAGCTGAGGCAACTGAAAGGCTCTGGACTGGATTCATCTGAGGGCATCTATGGGGGCATCTGGGTCTTTCTATGATGTTGCTGTGAAGATGTCATCTGAGGCTGCAGTCATCTAAAAGCTTGATGGGGCTGGAGGATCTGCTTCCAAGGTGGCTCACCTACATGGCTATTTTAGGAAGCTTCTGTTCGTCCTCATCCAGTGGCTCTCTCCATAGAGGAGAGATGCACCATGTGGTAGCTGAATTTCCTCAAAGTGATGGTACAATGGCAAGGCCAACAGGCTAATGATGCACTCATGGAATTTACTTCCAGGATGCTAAGAAATAAACAAAAATAAGTAAGACCGTGCCACCCAGGCAAGACATCATGAAGTAGAGATTATTGATTATTCTGAGTGAAAAAAGACTGCTATTAATACTTGATGCAGGAAGAATTTTTACTACCAAATAACGACAATGGTTAAGAAAAAAGAAGTGAGATAAAAGTGTATCTGTTGGTCAGTGTTGGCTGTTGGTAGGGAAGACTCACAGAGTTGGGTCAGTCGGTAAGAACACCTGCTCGAGGACTCTTCAAGTTGCTTCTTGGCTATCTCATAGCACAGTGAAAAAGATTCAAGGGAAATGAGAAAGCCAAGTGGAAGCTGTGGTCTTTTTATGACCTATCCTCAGAAACCAGTTATAATCACTTCCTTTATACTCCATTAATTTGAGAAGTCACAAGCCCTCCCAGGTTCAAGGGGATAAAAAAAGACTCTGCCTCTTGAGGGGTGAGTAGCAAGTTTCTGGAACTCCATGTGGGACCAGAAATATTGCTCTTGCTGTTTTTGAAGAATTCAATCTGATGCACAGTACCATTGTTTAATTCGCTGGGCATTGTATTTTTATACTATAATATTTCTGAATTAATTGCAATTTTCAACACAGATAACATGCTTGATATAGTTTCTTCCATACATGTTCATCCCTTTGAGTGAATTGTCTATCAATCACTTATTTCTTATCCCCCATTCATACTTCAAGATTTGGTTTGGCGAACATTTTATCTTAAATGCTCTCCCGACATCCCTTGCCTCCAAAGATCGCCCCTCTGGGATCTTTTAAAACTCTGTTTTTACTAATATCTTCTTTCTGTTTTCCCAATATTATATTTTACTAACTTGAATACTCCTCTGTTTCTTCTACTGGACTCTAAGCAACTTGAGGTCAGTTCTACATCAAATTTGTTTGTATATGTTCTTTGCTAAATGCCTAAAAGCTAGTAGGAATGCTATAACTTCCAGTTAATTATTGAATGCATGAGACTGCAAAGAAGCTTTGGGATCCTACTACCAAAGACCTTGTATGTCAGACAGGTGTTCAGAATGTATCCTGGGCCAGTCTACTAAATCTTTGCCTTCATGAATTAATGATGAGCATTTATTTTGATGGCATTAATCAAAGAAGGATGAAAGAACTAACATGATGGCAGAATGATATAGGATAAGCCAAGGGTAGGAGGTAGGGTGTCGCTGATGATCCATAAAAGGACAACAGCAACTCTCTCAAGCAAGGTATTATATACAGGTAGAGAAAAAGACTCAATGACCTTTAAAATCTAGTTGCAATCATATGATGCTATTAAGCATTTTTTTCTAAAGGCCTGTGGTTAACACTGTCAAGACAATTTCTAAACTAAGGAATTCCTGACCTGATTTTTTGGAAGCTGATGAGTCACATATTTATAGACTTAGAGGCTTTACTGGTGTAAGTCATTTGTAATGCTCAGTGCTTGCAGTTTAAATTAGCATGGCTTTTACAGATCCCTTAATGTGCATAATCTGAGCCAATAGTGAGATGGTTTTTAGAAAGATAGAGAGTTAAGGGAAAAATATATATGAAGTGATTTTTGAAGATTTCCCAAGTGCTGGCAGACTAATTTGAAGGACCTTAACCGAATTCTGATCAGAACCTCTCCAAATCTCTCTGTCACACCTAAATGTGGCCACCTGGCCACTCCATTGTAGTATTTTCAAATATGACTCAGCAATGGGGATGTTGAATTTGGGCTCAAACCCGACTTTACCCTGTAAAAGAGAAATGGACAGTGATAGAAAAAAGAACAAGTTTGATTGGCATTTCCTAGCAGAGAATCAGTGAACACATCAATCACGTGATTTTATGTGTATGTGAAGAAATAATGCTTTTATTCCAAATAACTGTTTAGCATTCATATACAGTATATAGTATTTTGATTAAAAAATGATATTCAGTTAGAACCCATTGTGATCTAGATAATGTAGAGATATAAAGCAAGATAAATAGTTATTACTCTTAAGACATTAACATGATTTGAAATATAAAATAGATGAGAAATTAGAATCCACAGCAGTGTCTGATTATCATATATAGCAGTACTATTGCAACACTAAACTTAAAAGACATTTTGAACAAAAGAGAACTGAGGCTACTTCAGCCAAGTACTATACATATTTTATTTCGTCTATCACAATAATGCTTTAAGGTGTTATCCCATTTTCAGGTGAGAAAATTGAACTCACTTGTTTGAACAAAGCTCAAATTGAGGCTTGGTTCTCACTCCAGAGATATTTCTTTTTCTAATTTGCCATACTGTCGCTTATTTTTTTTTTAATGATAGTATGGAGTGACAGTATGAGTAATACAGACAGTATGAGTGATATAGAAATGAATATTTTTGGAATATCAGATACTTTTTTTTTTTTTTGAGGTGGAATCTTGCCCTGTCGCCCAGGCTGGAGTGCAGTAGCATGATCTCTGCTCACTGCAAGCTCTGCCTCCTGGGTTCATGCCATTCTCCTGCCTCAACCTCCCAAGTAGCTGGGACCACAGGCGCCTGCCACCATGCCCGGCTAATTTTTTTGTATTTTTAGTAGAGACGGGGTGTCACCATGTTAGCCAGGATGGTCTCAATCTCCTGACCTCGTGATCCGCCCGCCTCGGCCTCCCAAAGTGCTGGGATTACAGGCATGAGCCACCGTGCCTGGCCAGATACTTTATTTTTAAACAAACTGAAATCAGTTTGACTTCATACCTGAGGTAGAAAATTAGCCCAGGCTTGAAAGATGAGTAGGTTTAGAGAGGTGAAAATGCAGATAGTAAAATGGGGAGAAAGATACGATTGAACAAATGCAGATGAGAAAGAATTCAAGTTGTTGAAAAGTGGGTCAATGGGAGTCAATGGGAATCCTTCCCCCCACATCAACAATCAAATAAATGAGTTGTTTAGGGTAAAAAAAAGTAAATAGTTTGAAAGGGAGGTACAGCCCATGGAGGGTCTTGATACCAGGCCAAGGAGTTGGTACCATAAAAATGTGTATGTTTTCTCTTGACAACAGATTATTCTTTTTTTTTCTTTTTTAGCTAAAGGTTATTTGATATTACATAGTATAGTGGAGGTACAGTCTTTATATTGCACATGAACTGGAGATGAAATACTACTTTTAAATTTTTAAATTAAGGTATTACTATTAATGGCAGCATTGAAATGAAGAATAATGACAGATTCAAATGTGGGACTGCTTCCCGCAAGAGATAAGCCCACTTTTTGTAAGTCATCATGGATTTCAAACCTTTCCCAAGCTGTGTTTCTATGTCTGCCTTTTGGGAGGACTTGCTATGTAAAACATTTAGGTCAAAAGTAACTCATTATAATATACAGTGAGGGGACAAAGGGAAAATGATTCCAAGATTCCATTCCAGTCTCACCATTATCATCCCCCTACCCTATATCCCCAACCATCCCCTACCAACTGCTGGGCCCAACAGTTCCATGCTGTAAATACAGCAAAACATCCTACTTTTCAGTTCACGCAAACACATAAGTACCTTCAACTCTGGGGGCACTTTAGATACCTGAAAGGTTCTTCTCTCCTTTCCTAACAGAAAAATCTAAAGTCAGCTAAATATTCTTTGGTTTAGCAAGCTTCATTACCCTATTCTCCTACCTGAGTATCTTCATATTGGTGCATAGCTGTTAAAGCCTTTATCGTATTGGATAACATTCACTTTTTTCTGCCCAAATCTGAGTCCCTTGGAAACAGCTAATTTTGTTAAGTTGTTTTTTTCTGTCCTCTTCCTCAGTGTTTTGCTGATGTTTTAGAATACATAAGTGTTCTGCAGTCTGTGAAATTCTCTGTATTTTAAATCACAATGATTGAGAGAATAATTCTAATTGATAGAAATACATATGAAATATAGAAGAAAACCATTCATTTATTTTTACTTTTAGTAAGATGATTTCTAAATGGGAATCTTGAAGGGTTGAACTGGAAACCTGTGAGCCTTAAGAAATATTATAGTTTTGCTGTCCATCTTAGGCAAAGTAAAAATGAAATCTGCTAGCCTGGGTTTTCCAACAGGCGTGTATGGGGAGGAGGTAATGAGGAATAAGAGAGAGAAAATGAAGGAAATTCCAGCATGAAAGTAACATATTTAGCTCAAGCAGAGAGAGCTCTTAAGTTAATGAGAAGCCCTACATGCTCTCAGCTTATGTTACTCATGGAGGAACTGGGTATAGCCCCGAGTCTGGAGGCAGTGCAGAAAGCCACAGGATACCCCATCGCCGCCCCTCAATAATCATATTGGTAGCACAGAGGGGCCTTTTTGATGTGGCTTCTGCCATGGAGCAATACAAAAACACCTAAATATGACTGACTCCAACACACAGGATTGCAGGCTGCCTCCTGGCTTCCACAACATAAATGGCCTTTCAAGCAGCAGGAGCTCGGGGGACCAGGCTGGCTTTTGACAAAACTGTAGAATCAGCCAACCTGTCTTCGGCACCCTCCCATCACTCACTTCCATTTCCATGCTGTTTCCCTCTCCTGGAGCTCAGTGCTCTTTCCCTGCTCATCTCTTCTCTCAGGAAGGGAGTTGTTCAGTTGCAGAAATATGGATTCAGAAACTGGAGCTCTCCTTCTCAGCCTACTGGCTAGGTTTCCTTGTTCAAACTTTGACATCTCTGTTCCTGGGATTTTTTTAAACACACACAAATAAAAGAGTGACACAGAGAGGACCTCTAAAGAATCTTCTGTCTCTTCTTGTTTAGGACCTTATTTGAATTAGTGGTGAAGGTGAAAGTCTCACAGTAAAACCAGCCCATTGGTCCATTGCTATTGGTTTAGAATTAATTTACTTTGTTTCTTTCTCTTCTCTTTTTCCACCACTAGGAACTGCCTTTGAAGCTCAGACCCACCTGTCTACTTCTTCTACTTTTCATGCTTTTTCACTGGAGGAAATCTAGGAGTCATCCAGCATCCAGGGAGAATACTCAGAGGGCGGGGGTGAGTCAAGTGGACCCAACCGGGCTTCTTCTATGGAGGGTTGAAGCCAAATCGACCAGCTACTCAAGGATCTGTTCAAAATTGCAAGTATGAAATAAATAGTACATCCTCATTGAGGAAGGAAGCAAGGGAAGATGGGGTGGGAAAGAACGTGTAGGGAACTAAATCAGTGTGGGTGATAGGCCAAGGTTAAGAAGAAAAAAGGCAGAGGACACTGCAGCTGTTCTGGGATCCACAGCAATATTCAGGATTTTCCCCAAGTAGATAGAATTGCTGCTTAAGAATTACTTCCCTTAGTGAGCTAATTATTTTTCTTCCATGTTGATACCTAGACCCAGGTTTCAGGACAACTGGCTGGTGGAGGGTGAGCAGAAGGGGTTAGATGGGTCTGCCCTTCTGGAGCAGGTGTCTGGCCGAGGCAATTCTGGAGTCTCTGAGTCTGTCCTGAAGCTACCTCTTTGAGGTGAGAGATGACTCAGCCAGGGACCAGATGGAACAGGGATTTTACAGGCCTGACTTTATTTTTTCTTTTTCTTTTTTTTTTTTGTCTTTGGCTTTGCCTTCACTTCTTCACCTTTGTTTTCTCACCAAAGTCAGCAGCATGTTGTCACTGAGCCCAGGTTGAGAGTGGGGTCAAGGTTAAGGTATAGCAGAGGAAATCATCATGACTGCTCTCTTTTCCCACATCATACTCTATGGCTTACTCTCCAAATGAAGAGCTATGAATATCTAACTGGGCGAATAAGCCTGGGGACTGGAGCTCAAGACTTTTTGGTGACTTAGGGATACAAGCTTAAGTTAGTAGTAAGAATGCCAGACTAGGACAAACATTTTTCCCTCTAGGTAATCATTAGTTTCACTATCTTCATTGGAAAGTTGTCTTCAGTACCTCTCATAAAAAATGGAACAGGGTGCGGACGTTGGTTTGACAGTTCTGACCCAGAAACACCTTTCTCGTCTGGCAACCTAGTTTCTCAGGGATTGAAGAAAGTTCATCAACACTTTAGAAAGTTCCTGGGCAAGATTAAAAGTTGTTTGAATCAGGCCCTGAAGGTTGATCAGTAGCTGCTGGTCTCCCTTTTCAGCACAGTGGCCTGCTTTTTTTTTTTTTTTTTTTTTTTTATCCCTGCCAGGGTCTGAAACCTGATAGGGATCATCTTCATATGGCTCAAACAAATGTTCTATCATGCATGGTACTGTATTCCCTCCCTCTCCCTCTTTCTCTATGATCCAGTAACTTTGCTGTGGATAAGGTAGGTAAGACATCATCTGAATTAAGTAATCAAATTAAAAATTCCGAGCAGAGGCAAATAGAAATAATGTGCCAAGTGATAAATTGCGATTAGAAGAACACAGTGTCTTTTCTGTGAAATTCCTTCTAAAAATACATAACCTGAATATTTTCATGAAGAAAAAAATAAAAAAAACTCAAATTGAGGACATTAAACAAAATAATTGGCTTGCAAATCTTCAAAAATATCAAGGTCAGACAAGTCAAGGAAAGACTCAGGGACTTTTCTAGATTGAAGGAAACTAAAGATACATTACAACTAAACCAACTCATGATCCTGCATCAGAGCCTTTTGCCAAAAAGGGAACTATTGGTACAATTGGCAAAACTTGAATGGGCATCTGTGTATTTGCTAATGGTAATATATCCGTATTAATTTCCTGCTTTCCTGCTTTTACAGTGGTTATGAAGGAGAATGTCCTTGTTTGTAAGTGCAACTTAAATATTTGAAGATGATTGGCTGTCACATCAATAACTTACTCTCTAGTGACTGATTCAGGAACATAATTTTTTTGGCTTTTTTATTTTTATTTTTTTGAGACAGAGTCTCGCTCTGTTGCCCAGGCTGGAGTGCAGTGGTGCGATCTCAAGTTTAAAAAGCTAAAAAAAAAAAAAGAAAAAGAAAAAGAAAAAGTCTCTATTCACAGACATAATGGTTCCAGGTATTGCAGGTTTTTTTTGTTTTTGTTTTTTTGTTTTTTTTTTTTTTTGAGATGGAATCTCGCTCTGTCGCCCAGGCTGGAGTGCAGTGGTGCGATCTCTGCTCACTGCAAGCTCCGCCTCCTGGGTTCACGCCATTCTCCTGCCTCAGCCTCCCGAGTAGCTGGGACTACAGGCACCCGCCATCAGGCCCGGCTAATTTTTTTGTATTTTTAGTAGAGACGGGGTTTCACCGTGTTAGACAGGATGGTCTTGATCTCCCGACTTCGTGATCCGCCCGCTGTGGCCTCCCAAAGTGCTGGGATTACAGGCGTGAACCACCGCGCCCGGCCGTTCCAGGTATTAAAGTTCCTTTAAGGGTCCCCTGTCCTTAAAAAGAGAATAACTTATGTGGGGTTAATGTGCATTTATTTTAGAAGGCAAATATTTAATATTAGGAAAATAGAACACTTTCATCGAAAGACCACTGAATTGGGACATCTGAGCTTTAGTTTCTTACTCTGCATGGGCAGAAGCATGTGTGACAGTTTACCTCTGACACTCAGCTTCCTCACGTGTAAATGGGTGGCCACTCTCAAGCTTTGACAGATAAATTTCACATTAATAGACAGAATTTAAAGCGCTTAAAATACCCCCACAGGTTGAAATAAAGGATCATTCATCTTTGAGAAAGCTATTTTAATTTATTTTAGATAAATAAGAATGGATATGTTTTACCTTCTTTATAATGTAACTGAATTTATTTCTTACTTTTATATTTTGCATATAGACACAGACTCAGGTTAATGTAAGTTCTGTTTTCAAAAACAAATGGAGTTGCTCAGTTTGACTAACATTCAAGACTTGCGGCTTAATGGTAAAGTTGCAATCATCTCTCATTTGCGACACCGACAGAGGAATCTACAAATACTCAGATTGTCCATGTAAACAATGTGTTTTCCTAACCTCTTTGTTATAGAAGAACCATGGATTGAAAAGATGACTAAGAAAGGAAAAGAGGCTTATCAAACTAATTACATCAAAGGGAGCTGAAGTTGTCCCATTTGTGCTCTCAATCAGAAAAGTAATGTTAGTCATCCGAGAAAAGTGATTCCCCTACCCACACCACCAGGCAACCGCATATCTGCTTTTGGCACCATAGATCAGTTGGCATTTTCTAAAGTTTTATAGAAATCACGTAATATATTATGTATTCCTTTTTCTTTGCTGGCTTCTTTCATTCAGCGTAATTACTTTGAGATACATCCAGTTTATATATATTGATAGTTTTTTCTTGTGGTTTTTTTTTTTTTTTTTGAGACGGAGTCTCGCTCTGTCGTCCAGGCTGGAGTGCAGTGGCGCGATCCTCGGCTCACTGCAAGCTCCGCCTCCCGGGTTCACGCCATTCTCCTGCCTCAGCCTCCGGAGTAGCTGGGACTACAGGCACCCGCCACCGCGCCCGGCGAATTTTTTGTATGTTTTTTA
Organism: Homo sapiens; assembly: GCF_000001405.40. Taxonomy (NCBI): domain Eukaryota; kingdom Metazoa; phylum Chordata; class Mammalia; order Primates; family Hominidae; genus Homo; species Homo sapiens. The sequence goes on along the minus strand of NC_000018.10, from coordinate 40,834,663 downwards.
GTAGAGACGGGGTTTCACCGTGTTAGCCAGGATGGTCTCGATCTCCTGACCTCGTGATCCACCCGCCTTGGCCTCCCAAAGTGCTGGGATTACAGGCGTGAGCCACAGCGCCCGGCCAATAGTTTGTTTTTATTGCAGGTAAGTATTACACAGCTATAACAAAATGTGTTCATTCATTCACCTCTTGAAAGACAATTGACTTGTTTCCAGTTGGGGGAACTCTTAGAAATAAAGCTTCAGTGAACTTTCTTTTACAAGTATATTCATGATCATATAATTTTTTTCTTTTGGTTAAACATCTAAAGACAGAACGGCTGAATCATATGGTAGGTGTATGTTGAACTTTTTAAGAAACTGCCAAAGTATTTTCACCAGCAATGTATGAAAACCTCAGTTTCTTCACATTCTCACCCAACTGGATATACCTTAGCCTTTAAAATGTTTGCCAATCTGACAGATATGTAGTAGTAAACCTTTATGGTTTTAATTTTGCATTTCTCTAATGACTAATAATGTTAAAAGTATTTTCCTATGGGTATTTGCTTTTTATACACAGTCTTTGGTGAAATACCTGCTGAAATATCTTACTTATTTTTTAAACTGGGATGTTTGGTTTCTTATTATGGAGTTTCAAGAATTATTAATATAGATATAAGTCAGTGATTGTACATATGTCTTGCAGATATTGTTACTGAGGCCGTGGATGGCCTTTTCATTTTCTTAATAGTAGCTTTTGAAAAACAGAAGTTAATTTTTGTGTGTAATATGAGACATGTATTTTTTTTTATTATTATGCATATGACTATTCAATTGTTCCAGCATCCTTTATTGACCTTCTTGGGTTTCCAAATAGATAAAATGCAAGTCTCAATTTCACCAAATAAATTTCCAAGTTTCATTACCATTATATTTTAATTTTAGTATATCAAATACTCTTTATAACTGTCTTCTGAAGCCCTCAATTGAAATAGAAATGTATTACAGGATTTTGGCATGGTTTTATAAGGTAATATATAACTTACTTTGATAGTATTGTTCTGAAATTAATAACCATTAAAAACACTATGCATGAATTTTTTCTTTCATAATATTTATTTTTATTCTATTTTTATTTTTAATTTTTTTTTAATCATCTTTTATGTTCAGAGGGTACATATGCAGGTTTGTTACCTGGCTATGTTGTGTAATGCTGAGGTTTGGGCTTCTAGTGAACCCATCGTTGAAACAGTGAACATAATAATCAATAGGTAGTTTTTCAACCCTGTTTCCTCTCCCGACCTTCCCTCTTGTGAAGTTTCCAAAGTCCATTTTTTTAATCTTTATGTCTATGTGTATCCATTTTTAGCTCCCACTTATGAGTGAGAACATACGGTATTTGGTTTTCTGCTTCTGAGTTATTTCATTTAAGATAATGGCCTCCAGCTCCATCCATGTTGCTGTGAAAGACATGGTTTTATTCCTTTTATGGCGGCATAGTACTTCATGGGCATATATATGTATTCATACTTTATATATGATATAGATATATCTGTATAATACTTTCTTTATCCCATACACTGTTGATGGGCACCTAGGTTGATTCCATGACTTTGTTATTGTGAATAGTGCTGCAATAAACATAAGACTGCAGGTACGTGTGTCTTTTCTGAAACAATTTCTTTCCCTTTGGTTGTATACCTAGTAGTGGGATTGTTGGATTGAATAGTAGTTCTATTTTTAGTTCTTTGAAAATCCCCATACTGTTTTCCATTGGAGTTGAACTAATTTACATTTCCACTAACAGTGTATAAGTGTTCCCTTTTCTCTGCAACCTTGCCAACATCGGGTATTTTCTGAGTTTTTAATGATAGGCACTCTGACTGGTGTGAGATGATATCTCATTTTGCCTTTAATTTGCATTTCTCCGATGAGTAGCAATGTCGAGCATTTTTTCATATTTTTGTTGGCCGCTGTATGTCTTCTTCAGAGAAGTGTCTGTTCATGTTCTTTGCCTGCTTTTTAATGGGGCTATTTGTTTTTTTTCTACTATGTATGTTTATTGTACTAAAAAATCAGTAACACACTGTTATCCACAAGAGTATGCCCACAGTAAATGCTTTTAGACTGTTGAAATGTTGTGGTTTTTAATGCATGAACTGAGTGTTCTATCTCTTCCTCATGGTCAGAGTGTCAGTTACAATTCTAAAATGCCCCAGTGTTCCTGTACTTAGCACAGTTAACTGAATTTTATTTCTTTCTTTGGGATTTCAGATCCTCAATAGTTAAATAGTAAACATCATATGCAAAATTTAAGTGAAGTTTTTAAGAAACAATATACAGCTTTAATGCAGAGATTGCATGATAGCCTTAATGGGAACTTTTGTTTTTTTCTATTTTTCTAGTAGAATTTAAGCTGGTTATCTGCCCAAACCTTGATTTGACCAAATCTGAGGAGAGGAAGTGGTATTTTCTTACCTGTAGATGGCACTTTGTATTTTACAAAATAATTACACATATTAACCCATTCAATAAGCATTACTATATATTGTCTATATTGTCTTACCTAATTTGCCCACCGCCATACAAGTGGGACATAAACAATCATATAACTACAATAAATATACACATTATATATATACTATATACATCTTCATATTCACAAATCTTGAACTGATGTTTAGCATTTCATTTAATTATGAATGAAGGCAACAAACCATAGTTCTGTTAACAATACCTTGACTTTTTCACCAACAGAAGTGACGTTTATTTTCAAATCACATCTAACTTGTTGCAGACATCCCAAAACATTGCATCTGCTAATCATTTTAATATAATAATTGTGGTTATTAAACTGCCTTGTAGCTTGCATTTTTAAATGTGTTAAAATATATATACTGCTATGCCACACATTTATTGGTTTAGTTTTTTTTTGTTTTTGTTTTTTGACACAGTCTGGCTCTGTTGCCAGGCTGGAGTGCAGTGGCACAATCCCGGCTCACTGCAACTTCTGCCTCCCAGTTCAAGCGATTCCCCTGCTTCAGCCTCCCGAGTAGCTGGGACAACAGGTGCACACCACCACGCCCAGCTAATTTTTTGTATTTTAGTAGAGACGGAGTTTCACCATGTTGTCCAGGCTGGTCTTGAACTCCTGACCTTGTGATCCACCCGCCTCAGCCTCCCAAAGGGCTGGGATTACCGGCGTGAGCCACGGCGCCCGGCTGGTTCAGTATTTTAGTAACTGCATTTCAGTATAATTGGTTTATTTTGAAATCTTATATATTGGGTTATAGCCACTACAAGTTTTAAATGCATTCGTTTCATAGCATTTCATACAATTTTATACTGAAAAGAAGTCCAAACTGCCAAAGGGGTCTACAGAGTAAGAATGTTTAAGAATTCCTAAAATATAGTTATATACAGGATCAAGTAAAGACATTAAAAACATAGTGTTGAATGTTGAAAGAACAAATTAGGTTGAAATCTAAAGTGCAATACCATTTATGTCCATTGAAAAATCAGTCACACCACATTAAAAATACATACAAACAGGCAAGCATACATATATTAAAGAGAGGAAAGCAATGAGTAACTGCACATGTGAGAGTGGGCTTTAGGTAGAAAGATTAGGTATATAAGACAAAAGTAATGAAATAAAGACCATGTAAAAATCTATAATGCTAGATGTCTGCATAGGAGGGTCAAAAAGGAAAAATAAAATGAAGATTTTTATGTTGGTTCGAGACCCATCACCTCTAGTAAGCCAGTCAATATCCAAAAAAATCCTTAAGAGAGAGAGTCCTTTATCTCTGGATTTACAACAGTCAGACTCTACTTATGTAGGATAAGAAGTATTTCTCTTTCTCTCTCTCTCTCTCTCAATAGCAAGGGGTCTAACATAGGTATGCTCTTGGAGTTTCCTTTTTCTGCTCTCATCAATGGAGCCAAGAATTTTTTTTCCATCAGTCACCACTTGTCACTTCATCAACATTGAAAGCAACCTTTTTTTTCTAAAATATGTGGGGCTTGTCCTCTCAGCACAAATGGCCTTTGAATAGCATGTAAACAAACCAAACATTGTTGGTCCATGCGTGTGCCTGTACATTGAGGCAAAGTGTAAGTATATACTATTTGTGTACTAGAGATCACATTCTGTATTCCACATATATTCCCCACAGCTCTTTACTTCAATCCTGACCACACAATGCATTGCTTCACAATATTTGTTAACTGAAAATACATTAGAATTGTTTGACAGCAAATAAGACATAATTTTCTTTTTATAAATTATGGATTTACATCTTTGGCCATGGGAAAGCCATATAAATACTTCCATACATGTCAGGATTTCTTTTAGTAGATTTGAATTAGTATCCTATATTCTCATTATTTATCAGAAATATGCCCTTTTCTCATGAATTTCATGAATTTGACCATGGCAGTTTATCTTGAGACATTTTATTGGCATATTAGTTTGTTGGCCACACTTTTCCCTTGACAAAGCTGGTTACTCTGCATTCAAATGTTTGTCTTGGGAGCTGAACAATGAAAACACATGGAAATATGGCGGGGAACAACACACACTAGGGCCTGTCTGGGGTGTGGGGAAGGGGGAGCATCAGGAAAAAGAACTAATAGATGCTGGACTTAATAACTAGGGGATGGGTTGATCTGTGCAGCAAACCACCATGGCACACATTTACCTATGTAACAAAACTGCACCTCGTGCACATAAGCCCTGGAAGTTTAAAAGTTGAAAAAAAAAAAAAGGAGTGTTCCATCTTTTTCTATATGAAATTACTACTTTTAATTCACCAGAATATAAGTGCTATGAGGACAGGGTTTTTATTACTCTTAATTCTCTTACATATCCCCACTGAGTTATTCCTCAATAAATAGGTGTTGAAGCAATTATATGAGCAATAAGAGAAAATACAATGTAAATTGCATTTATTTTTTTAATTTCCTTGTAGTTTATGTTTCTGTTATTTTAAATTTCCCATAATGTGTAAGGTTTCCCTTATAATTTTCTAATAAAATATTCAAAAACATCAGTTCATTTTTTTTCAGTGGTTTCCTTGCTTACAGCCTAGCAATTCTTGACAAACTATGGTGATTATTTTTAAAGCTTATTTAGGAGCTGATGAAAGCAGAATAACATTACCATCTCTAATTTGTTCTAATTATTTAGAAAAGAAAACTTATTACAATTTACTAGTTTAAATCACATACTGTATGCTGCTTGTTTAAAAAATATATTAATTCCAGTGAGAAAATATGCAAATTTTCAATATATTCTGTCAATCATTACTTAATATTTAAACTCATGCTGAGATATCTCTATATTGTACTTTTATGATATTTTATTTTAAAAATGTTTTCCTATCTAGCTGTTGAAATCAAGAATAGATATTTTATGACTAATTTCCATCATATATTGAATTCCCAATCCAGACCTTTTAATACCTGTATTAGTTACACAAGTTTTCTGTCATATAAACTAACCACATTGCCTACTATTAAAGTTCTTCCCAGAAAGTGATTTTGGTAGACTATATGGCTAACCAACTATTAAAATCAAAGCTATATGAATTATATACAATTTTTTAAAATAACTGATTAAGAATATTAAAGGAAACAAATCTACATGTATTTCAGGGTAACCAATGGATGTGATTTATTAGGGTATTGAAAAAGTGTGGGACAATGTTAAATCCAGTTATTCAAAAAGGACAAGAAAATGGGAATAGAAAACAAAAGTGTATGAGCTCCTAGAGAAAGTGGATAATTTAATTAGAAAGAAGACAGAAAAGTTCCATTGTAGGAGGGACAAGAAGAGTGGCAAGAGACCAGTTTTATTAGGTCAGTCCGTTGCTTGCCAATCTTATTTAAACTTCATCACTTTCCAGATTGGAAGGGTGAGTTTCTAATTAGCTCCTTTTTCATCAGTCAAGGCTCAATCACTCTAAACAATCTTTGGGTAATGATCATATCCCCACTTTGATCAACTTTGGGGAAATTTCAGAGCCAAATATTAAACAGGTGCTTATGAAATTTTGCTCAACCACCTGTTCTCTCGACCCCTGGCTGACCCAGTTAACAAAGACCAGTGTACTTCAATTACTCCAAGTGATATCAAATATAACCAACCCTTAATTAACACTGGGCACTTTTCTCTCAATCTTGCAATCTGATTTTCTCAAATTAATCTTCAGTATATTTTATATCTCAATGAAAGACTCAGAAAGAACCTGTAACTCAAACCTAAAATAATATACGTATAAGCTTGGCTACAATAATAAGGCCTATAATCCTCCCCCACTTAATTTACTATTCATTTAATTTGTTCATATTTCATTTGCCTTGGGGCTAAAACAACTGTTTGTGTAGAACTGTTAAAGCATTTTCCTTACGCTAAAAATAAATGTCTCAAACTTTGCTGTCCATAAGAATCATCTGGGGAATCAGTAAACAAGCAGAATCCCAGATTCTAGGTCTCACTTCAGAATTACAGAATAAGCTTACGTAGGATGCAGCCTAGGGATTGGTAGGTTCAACAAATTCTCCAGGTAACTCAAGTGTAGACCAACACCTGAGGATCATGACAACAAACTTTTATTTAGAGAAAACCAACTTTGAATGAAGCTTCTCAATTTTTGGTTGAATATTTATTTCATTGTTTAATTGTAAAATAATACTTTTATGTAGGGTAATGAGACTATTTCCAGCAAAGAAAAATCCCATAACAGGTAGATGAAAAGTGTCTGGTACAGATAAACAAAGAAATAAGAATTACTCTTTAATTTCTCTCCATGCTCATATCCAATTTGTTCATCCTTTTATTAATTGTTAAAAAAAATCAGTTTCTATCATTTTCCATGAAAAAATATACAGACATTTATTTATATATACACACATAAATGTATATATTTATATAAGTATATATACATATGTATATATTTATATATAGTATATATACATATATACTATATATACACATATATATATTTATATATAGTATACATATACTATATATACATATATATACATAAATATATATACATGTATATGTGTGTGTATATATATAAAAATATGTATATATTTTCCTGGAGAGTGTGTGTGTGTGTGTGTGTGTGTGTGTGTGTGTGTGTGTGTGTATAAGCACATTTAGAGACCAGATAAATGCCATCTCTACATGATGGAGTTAAAATGTTGCAGTGGTTAAAGGTTTGTGGTCCGGAGTCTAATAGCCTGCATTTGAAACCTGGCTCTACTGTGTACCAAGTGGGCAAAGTTCATTATCCTGTCTAAACCAGTTGCTGCTTTTTCACCTGGAAAATAGGGTTAATGGTACATATTTATTAAGATTAATGTAAAAATTAAATGGCTCATAGATATTGCTTCATGTATGATTGTTTACTGACAGAAAACAGTGTTCTGTCACTTCTTTTTACTGCTTATACCACTATATATTTAAAATTCCTCTATTAAACTTGAAGTTTTATTTTTTATTACCTGGTATTATAAGTATGTAATATGCATAAAAATTTCTATTTCTTAAAAAGGAATGTTTCTTCTTTAAGGGCAGACAATATTTATTACTACCTTTACGGTAGCCAGTAGAAAGGCAAATGCTTAATGCAACATGTGCTCATTAAATATGCATTGAGATGAATTATAATACTAACCAATTAAATTATATATGTGTGTGTGATGTGTGTGTGTCTGTGTATATTATCTACCATTGTATAACAAATGGCCTACAATTAGCAGCTTAAAACAGTGCACATCTACGACACATATTGATTATCTCAACATTTTGGTGAGTCAGGAATCTTGACACAGATTAACTGGGTCCCCTGTTTCAGGGTCTATAACAAGGCTGCAATCAAACTTTGGGCCAGGGCTTCAGACTCCTCCAAATGCCTGACTTGGGAAGGATTCACTTCAAAGCTCACTCACATGGTCGTAGGCAGAATTCAGTTCCTCCCAGACTTTTGGACTGAGGACCTACCTCTGTTCCTTGCTGGTAATTGTTCAGAGGCTGCCCACAGTTCCTCACCACATGTGACTCTCCAGCTTGCTTCATCAGAACAAGGAGGAAAGAAATTCCAGAAAGAGACTGCTGAAAGCAAGATGGAAATCACAGTCTTTTGTACCCTAATTATGACCATACTTTATTCTAGGCAAGTCTCTAGGTCCAGTCTATGCTCAAGGGGAGTGAATTACTCAAAGGCATGAATACCAGAAAGCAATGATAGTTGGAAGCCTTGTGAGTTTATGTTAAAAATACCACTATACAGGTACATGTTTATGGTAAGGCATACTTAACACTTTAAGTAGCTGGGGGGTGATTAATAGGGCCATTCTTTTTTGTTTGTTTGTTTGTTTTAATTTTACTTTCAGTTCCGGGATACATGTGCAGCATGTGCAGGTTTTTTTACGTAGGTATATATGTGCCATGGCGGTTTGCTATACCTATTGACCCATCCTCTAAATTCCCTCCCCTCACCCCCCACTCACCAGCAGGCCCTCGTGTGTGTCCTTTCCCTCCCTGTGTCCATGTGTTCTCATTGTTCAACTCCCACTTAGGTGTGAGAACATGCAGTGTTTGGTTTTCTGTTCCTGTGTTAGTTTGCTAAGGATGATGGCTTTCAGCTTCATCCATTTCCCTGCAAAAACATGATCTCATTCCTTTTTGTATATGTACCACATTTTCTTTATCCATTCTATCATTGATGGGCATTTGGGCTGATTCATGACTTTGCTATTGCTGCAATAAACATATGTGTGCATGTGTCTTTATAGTAGAATGATGTATATTCCTTTGGGTATATACCCAGTAGTGGTATTGCTGGGTCAAATGGTATTTCTGGTTCTAGATCATTGAGGAATCACCATACTGTCTTCCACAATGGTTGAACTAATTTTCATTCCCACCAACAGTGTAAAAACATTCCTAATTCTCCAGAGCCTCACCAGCATCTATTGTTCCTTGATTTTTTAATAATCACCATTCTGACTGGCATGAGATGGTATCTAATTGTGGTTTTGATTTGCATTTCTCTAATGATTAGTGATGCTGAGCTTTTTTTCATGTTTGTTGACCATTTAAATGTCTTCTTTTTGGAAGTGTCTGTTTGTATCCTTTGTCTACTTTTTGAGGGGGTTATTTTTTCTTTTCTTGTAAATTTAAGTTCCTAGTAAATTCTGGATATTACACCTTTGTCACATGGGTCGATTGCAAAAATTTTCTCCAATTCTGTAGGTTGCCTGTTCAATCTGACAATAGTTTCTTTTGTTCTGCAGAAGCTCTTTAGTCTGATTAGATCCCATTTGTCAATTTTGGCTTTTGTTGCAATTGTTTTTGGCATTTTCCTCATGAAGTCTTTGCCCATGCCTATGTCCTGAATGGTATTGCCTAGGTTTTCTACTAGAGTTTTTATGATTTTGGACTTTACATTTAAGTCGTTAATCCATCTTGAGTTAATTTTTGTATAAGGTGTAAGGAAGGGGTCCAGCTTCAGTTTTCTGCGTATGGCTAGACAGTTTTCCCAGTACATTTTATTAAATAAGGGATCCTTTCCCCATTGCTTATTTTTGTCAGGTTTGTCAAAGATCAGATGGTTGTAGAAGTGTGGGGTTATTTAAGAGGCCTCTGTTCTGTTCGATTGGTCTATATGTCTGTTTTGGTACCAGTACCATGCTGTTTTGCTTACTGTAGCCTTATAGTATAGTTTGAAGTCAGGTAGCATGATACCTTCAGCTTTGTTCTTTTTGCTTAGGATTGTCTTGGCTATATGGGTTCTTTGATTCCATATGAAATTTAAAGTAGTCTTTTCTAATTCTGTGAAGAATGTCAATGATAGTTTGATGGGAATAACACTGAATCTATAAGTTACTTTGTGCAGTACAGCCATTTTCATGATATTGATTCTTCCTATCCATAAGGATGGAATGTTTTTCCATTTGTTTGTGTCCTCTTTTATTTCCTTGAGCAGTGATTTGTAGTACTCCTTGAAGAGGTCCTTCACTTCCCTTCTTAGCTGTATTCCTTGGGATTTTATTTCCTTTATAGCAATTGTGATAGGGAGTTCACTCATGATTTGGCTCTCTGCTTGCCTATTTTTGGTGTAAAGGAATGCTTGTGATTTTTGCATATTGATTTTGTATCCCGAGATTTTGCTGAGGTTGCTTATCAGCTTAAGGGGTTTTTGGGCTGAGTTGACAGGGTTTACTAAACATAAAATCATGTCATCTGAAAACAGAAACAATTTGATTTTCTCTCTTCCTATTTGAATACCCTTTATTTCTTTCTCTTGCCTCATTGCCCTGGCCAGAACATCCAAAACTATGTTGAATAGGTGTAGTGAGAGAGGGTATCTTTGTCCCTTACTGGTTTCTAAAGGGAATGCTTCCAGCTTTTGCCCATTCAATATGATATTTGCTATGGATTTGTCATAAATAGCTCTTATTATTTTGATATATATTCTGTCAATACCTAATTTATTGAGAGTTTTTAACATGAAGGGATGATGAATTTTATTGAAGGCCTTTTCTGCATCTGTTGAGATAATCATGTAGCTCTTCTTGTTTAATTTATCCCTTTACCATTATGTAATGCCTTTCTTCATCTTTTTTGATCTTTGTAAGCTTAAAGTCTGTTTTGTCAGAGACTGGGTGTGCAACCCCTGCTTTTTTTTTTTTTTTTTTCCTCATTTGCTTGGTAAATTTTCCTCAATCCTTCTATCTTGAGCCTATGTGTGTCTTGGAATGTGAGATGGGTCTCCTGAATATGGCACACCTATGGGTCTTGACTCTTTATCTAATTTGCCTGTCTGTGTCTTTTAATAGGAGCATTTAGCCTATTTATATTCGAAGTGAGCATTGTTAGGTGTAAATTTGTTCCTGTCATCATGATGCTATCTGTTTTCTTTTGCACGCTCATTGATGGAGTTTCTTCATAGTGTCATTGGTCTTTATAATTTGGTGCATTTTTGCTGTGGCTGGTACCAGCTTTTCCTTTCCATATTTAGCACTTCTTTCAGGAGCTCTTTCAAGGCAGGACTGGTAGTAATGAAATCCCTCAGCATTTGCTTCTCTGGAAAGGATTTTATTTCTCCTTTGCTTATGAAGCTTAGTTTGGCTGGATGTGAAATTCTGGGTTGAAATTCTTTTCTTTAAGAACATTGCATATTGGCCCCCAATGTCTTCTGGCTTGCAGAGTTTCTGCTGAGAGGTTCACTGTTAGTCTGTTGGGCTTCTCGTTGTAGGTAACCTGGCTTTTCTCTCTGGCTGTCCCCAGCATCTTTTTCCTTCATTTCGATCTTAGAGAATCTGATGATTATGTGTCTTGTGGTTGACTTCTTGTGGAGTATCTTAGTGGTGTTCTCTGTATTTCCTGAATTTGCATGTTGGCCTGTCTTGCTAGGTGAGGGAACTTCTCCTGGATAATATCCTGAAGTGTGTTTTTCAGCTTGTTTCCATTCTCCCCATCTCCTTCAGGTACTTGAATCAATCATCGGTTTGGTATTTTTACTAAGTCCTATATTTCTTGGAGGCTTTGTTCATTCCTTTTCATTCTTTTTTCTCTAATCTTGTCTGCATGTCTTATTTCAGCAAGGTGGTCTTCAAACTCATATTCTTTCTTCCACTTGGTCAATTCAGCTATTGATACTTGTGTATGTTTCACAAAGTTCTCCTGCTGTGTTTTTCAGCTTCTTCAGGTCATTTATGTTCCTCTCTAAACTGGTTATTCTAGTTAGCAGCTCCTCTAACCTTTTATCAAGGTTCTTAGCTTCTTTGCATTGGGTTAGAACATGCTCCTTTATCTCAGCATAGTTTTTTATTACCCATCTTCTGAAGCCTACTTCTGTCAATTCATCCAACTCATCCTCCATCCACTTCTGAGCCCTTGCTGGATAGATGTTGTGATGATCTGGAGAAGAGGCACTCTGTCCTCTTGGGTTTTCAGTGTTTTTTTCATTGATTCTTTCTCATCTTTGTGAGTTTGTCTAGTTTCAATCTTTGAGGCTGCTGATCCTTGGAAGGGGCTGTTGTGGGGACTTTTTGTTGTTGTTGTCAATGCTGTTGTTGTTGCTTTCTGTTTGTTTGTTTTTCTTTCAATGGTCAGGTCCCTTTTCTGTAGGGCTATCAAGGTTTGCTAGGGGTTAACTTCAGGCCCTATTCATCTGGTCAGCTTCCACGCCTGGAGATGTCACTCAAGGAGGATGGAGAAAAGCAAATATCTGCGCCTTCTGCTTCTTCTGGGATCTCTGACCTCGAGTGGCACAAACCTGATGCCAGTAGGATCGCTCCTGTATAGGGTATCTGACAACTGCTGTCAGAGGGTCTCACCCAGTTGAGTAACACAGGGAATAGAACCCATTTAATGAAGCATTCTGTTCTTTGGTGGAGGAGGTGTGGTTCACTTTGGGGAAACCCACTTGTCTGAGTTGCCTAGATTCCTCAGAATTACCAGGAGGAAAGTCTAGGGCTGCTGGTCCACAGATACTGTGGCCTCTTCTCCCACTAGGGGCTCAGGCCCAGGGAAATCTGGGTTCTGTCCCTGAGCCTCTGGCTGGAGTTGTTGCAGTTCCTGCGGGGAAGCCCCTCCCAGTGAGGAAGGATGAGTCTGGGTCAGGCCTGAAGAGGCATTCTGGCCACAGTCTGCCACAGCCGGTGTGTTGAGTTGTGAGGGACACCTTTTGGAACCAAGCCATCCTGCCTCCCCAGCTCCAGCAGGGGAAAAGTGTGGCCTGGAGCTATAAAGATGGATGCCACCCTTCTCCTGCCCAGGGAGCTTAGCATCTTAGGCAGTTGTGAGTCCCAGTGCTGGCTGCTGCCCCTCCCCCAAGGATCTCAAATGGCTTAGACAGCAGGCAGTCTCAGCTATGTTGCTGATCGCCCTTCCCTTGGGAGCTCTGCAGGCTTAAGCAGATTCTAGCTGAGAGGCTGATGAGAATGTGCGCAGCTCCGAGGTTGGAACCCTAGGCCCCAGTGGTGTGGGATTGCCAGTGGGATCTTCCGATCTGTGGGTTGCACAGTTCCATGAAAAAGCATGATTTCCCTGGCTGGGTAGCACACTCACTCTCCACCCCCCTTCCCCATGTTGCTCTCAGGTGGCCGCTGCACCACTCTGCTCTTTTTTCCTCTCCGTGGATCACACAAGCCACCTAGTCAGTTCCAATGAAAGAACCTTGATAGCCTGGTTGCTGGTGAAGAATTCACACCCTAATGATGGTTCCTTGATCACTGCTGTTTCTAGTCAGCCATCTTGACCCCACCCCAATAGGTCCACTCTTTTAAAGCATTTATTCTCAAACTATAGGCTATCTTCAGAATCACCTAGAACCATCTACAGAGTTTCTGATTCAGTAGATCTGGTGTGGGGACTGACAATTTTACATGTATAACAAGTTTTCAGGTAATGCTCTTGCTGCTGGTTTGTGACAAAACTTCGAGTAACCCATGTTTCTAGCATATACCAGGTCTTACTGTACAAAGATAACCAGGACTCACCTCCTATCTGTAATGTGAGCTCATTTTTCAGTCAAACTGGCAGACTTCCTTCTGTCTGCTGAAAGAACTACCTATATATGCCAGCTAGGTCTATTTCTGAAAGAGACATTAAGGCTTCATTGGCTAGAGGGGTTTTCTTTATTAACCATATTCCTGATGAGTAAATGAATGGAGTGTAGAAAAATTACAGGCAACCCTTGTCCGAGCTTTAACAAATAGTTAAATTTAGGATGAACATTAAAGAATAAGAATAATTTTGAGAGACAGAAATGGAGATAAAGTGAGTGACCTAATAAGATCACTCTTTTGTTGTCCATTGCAGAACATTCTTGACCTCCAGATTAAAAAGAAGGAGAAAGAGAAGGAGAAGGAGAAGGAGGAGCAGGAGGAGGAGGAGGAGGAGGAGGAAGAGGAGGAAGAGGAGGAGAAGGAGAAGTGGAAGAGGAAGAGGAGAAGGAAGAGAAGGAAGAGGAGGAGGAGAAACCTGAAAGACTAATTAATACCATGGAAAGCACTTTGGAATTGCTTTCTAAACTTGCCATAGTGAAAACAAATGGACGTTTTGATTAAATGGATATCATTAGGATGGTATGTTATGATCTCAACCCCTGGTTTAATGATCTTATTAAGACCAAGAAAAATTCATTATGGACTCTCAGATCAAATAATTCATTTTACAGAGCCAAGGAAAAAAGACTATCTGTTTGCTCAGGATAGAAAGACTATCTTGAATGTAAGCAAAAAAAAAAAAAAAAAAAAAAAAGAAATTCAGCACTGAGAAGTGTATATAACTATCTTTATTTCAAAGTGGGGAAAAGCATAGTCAAAGACAACAGTGAAAAGCACAGACTGGGGTGGAAAGAATGTAGGTCATGGAGGAGCTTTTGCTTCCAGTCATTCTTTGCCATACTTTGCCTCAGCCCATCCACCCCAAAAGGAGGAACTGTGTGATGATGTGATAGGGTGGATAAACTGGGATAATTACAACCTCATCACTTTTACTTGGATTAAGCAAGAGGATTAAGACAAAATTGCCAAGGAGTGTAAAGAAGACAGATTACAGACAGGAAATCAGGAGAAGCAGTGGTGAGTAACTGGAAGAGAATAGCATGAGAAACAAAATAGGAGAAGGAAGTGGAAACGGAACGGATAAAAATTAAATCAGGGAGCATCCATGAGACTCATAAGGAATGCTACATGCCACCAAGAGACAGTGTTTGCCCCCAAAATGCTGTCATTGAGACCTGTACTATAAGGACTCGTTACATTGAGAAAGATGATGGAATGTCTTTTGGCTGAGGTCTTCACCTAAATATTTGAAGAAAAAAAATAAACTATTAGACTACTGAGGAGCTCCCACTTGAAAGTGTTTAAGATCAATTCACCTAAAACCTTAAGGGCAAAAATTTAACAACACTGCCTGTGGCTTTGCCAATGGCAATCTATTTTCTGTGTCTTGTCAGGGCACACTGAAGGGAGGTTATAGCTAACTGCTGGCAGTCTTCTTTCATGTCTCCCTTGAACACAATACTTCAAGCCAAACCATTTTGACATTGCTTTATCTGTTCAGGCTTGACTACATAGAGCATTAAGACCTCAGCCACATGAACAGGGAAGGGAAAAGATAGAGGTTTAATCAGGCAGGAGGATGGATAGAAAAATTAGACTAACTGTAAAGCAGCATCTTTAAAGTAGTCAACTACTGTGCAAACTTTGTAAATTCTGCTTGATTAGATTAAGAATTAATGTCTGAGAATGTCCAATGCAGAGTGAGGTCCAACCAGTAAATTATGCTCAAACTCAAATCAGTGGGATGCTACACGTTTTATTATGAGTGGAAACAATGGCTTAGGTTAGAGAGCAGGGGATGATAAAATACAACTAGAGGATAAAAAATGAGTACAATGTCAAAACTCTACCCTTTGAATAGAGCAATAAATGAGGATGATAGCTGAATCAAAATAACTGGGCCACATGACAGAGGAGTATATAAAGTTTGTGACCTTACGTACTCACAGATGCTAAGGTTTTACCCTCTAGCACAATGGAATGGTGATAGGTTCACTGTCTAGAGAACTGAGCCTGTTGATATCTTTTTGCCCATTTCCCATCTAGTTGAGATGGAAAAAGCATCCATGGGTAAAACTAGCAGGATGGGAAAGGCGGTAGTTGACAGAACACACTACCACATTTGATATAGGTCATTGCCTCTGCTTCTTTCTGCTGATGGGACTTCTTGTCTGCTAAACTAGACAGTCCCATGTGTCATGCAATTACTTCTTCCAGTCACCTGTATATTACCTTGTTACCACTTCCTTCACAGCCAGGGTGCAGAGGGATCTTCTGTCTTTCCTGAAGACTGAATTTCATAACAATCTTCCCAGGGGACCTTGTGGTACAGTAGAGAAAGCACAAGTTTTAGAGTCCGGCAGAAATTAAATTTCAATTACATAAATGTTACTTGGGTTCTGTGTTTTACATAAGGCTCAGTTCCTTATCTGTGAATGGATATAGTATTGTCTATCTTAGGATGCTATTGAGATAATTAAATGAGAAATAAAACATTTAAAATCTCTAGCTCACTGGCTGACACTCAACAAGTGTGAATTTCCTTCACCCCACCCTATATCATCTTTGCCCTTCTCTTACATAGGGTTTCATGGGACTCACCTTCTGCCGGTTAATGTACTCTATCTTTGTGGTCCTCCATGGCATCTTACCTTCAAGCACAACACATGCCATTGGGTATTGTTTTACTCAAGGATGGTCAGGTGTGTTCCTCTAATGGCTCGTGGGGAAAAACAATCTCTCTGTTTAATCAAGGGTGTCATTACCAACCAGATGGTTGAATATCTAGAATTAATCAGTTATTGGGTACCTGTAGAATTTAAAAAACAGAAGGCTGCCAAGTTAAGACAGCCTTGACAATTTGTGTATACCTTGAAATTTTGTATACACATTGGCAGAAGTAATACAAACTTTACATCATTTCCATCTTATTATAGAGTTGATACTAATTGGATCTCAATAAGCCTTGACTCTCGTTAAACGATGCAAATATAACCTACCTTTTCTTTCCCTTGCCAAGGTTTTTTTTTTTCTGCTGTTGTTGCTGTTTGTTTTGATGTGTTTTATGTTATTTTGTATTATTTGGATTTGCCATACCATGGTTACAAACAGAAGAGGTTAAAATATTCTTGAAAATGCATCAATAAATAATTTATGTTGTCTCTTAATCAAATAACATAATGTATCAGGATGTTTGCATTTAGAATGTTACCGTGTCATTGTTAAAATAATGTAAATTCGCTGATTGGTAGCTATGTTTCTGGGAATATGCGAAGTCTGAGAAGAGGTAATTGTTAAACATTTAGGACTATGTAAAAACCTGAGTAATGCTTGAGAAATAGTCACAGAGCTGGGCTACTCAACTTAAATCAAAATATATGAAGGAGGTCCCAGAACTTCTTTTGACAGGAGAGATAAACTAGTTTACCTACAGAAGTAGGCTTGTTCAGTTTCAATGGATATATGGTAAGAAACATTCAGAGAATCTAAATCCCTACTAGAAGAAAAAGTAAAAAATAATTATATTGTGAGATAATAGTAAGACATATGGGTATTTAATGAGGAAGCCTATTGGACTGTACACCAAAGAAACCAGCCTCTCATGGTGATGGGACCCTCAGAATAAAATGAAGAGGAAGCTCTTAGGTAGGAATATCATCAAGTTGGATAAATCAGCATGGAGCCCTAGTCATCTTACAAGCAGGGCTTGAGCCTTCTGAGAGTATTACTCTGTTGTTTTTCCCATTGAAAGTTTAATGCAGTGTCTCCGGAATTGCACATTGACTCAGAAAACCCGCAAAATCTCCTGGACTCCTGGCTGGGGCCAGGATGAGACTTTTCAGCAGGAGTGAGCCTCTGAAATTGAAAGGGTATCAGGTGGACTATGTAGGAGTTTAGGTGTAAAGCTACCGGGATGATTTCAGGGTATCTCTTTTCTAGAAGCTTTAGGAGAAAAGCAAGCAAAAAAAAAATATTTCTTGATTTATTGACATAACACCAGAAACAAACAGTGTCATATACCCTCTGAATATAATATTTATGAAATTCCCCTTCACATTGTATAGCAATCCATTGATAAGGAGGAGATTATTATATGTCTCTTCATAAAGTGGGTTGAGTGGTAAAGAATATAAATGAGTGCCTTATTTCTACAAAATACATGGGCTATTACTGGATGTAAAAATAATCTAGTTTTTCTAAAGTAGCACTATCTCATAGAAATATAACACATGGCCCATATGAAATTTTAAGTTTTCTAGTAGTAACATCAAAAATGAAAAAAGAAACAGGTACAAATTTTAGTTAAATATTTGACTTAGAGATAATAGCAAATTCATATGCAGTTTTAAGAAATAATATATTAAGATCCCTGTACCCTATAACCAGCTTCCCCCACAGATAATATCTTACAAAAATAGAGTACAATATCACCACCAGGATATTAATATTGATAAAATCCATCAATTTTATTCTTATTTCCCCTGTTTTACTTTTACTCATTTATGTGTGAGTGTATGTGTGTGTATGTGTGAATTAGTTTTATGCAGTTTCATCACATACTGGTTCATGAGTCCACCACTGCAGTCAATACACAAAAGTTCCTTCACCAGAAGCATCCTTCCTGCTACACTATTATAACCACAACCACTTCCCACTACCTCTCCTGTTTCACATTCCTAACCTCTGGCAACCACTAACCAGTACTTCATGCCTATAACTTTGCCTGGTAAAGTTAATTAATTTTAATAACACAATTTATTTAACCTAGTATATCCAAACTATTATCATTTTAACATGTATCAGTATAGAAATATTAAGACATTTTATAACCTTTATATAATACCAAGTCTTTAAAACTGAGCTGTATTTTTATAACACGTATCAATTTAGATTAATGATAATTTGAGCGCTCAATGGCTACATGTGTTTTATGGCTACTGTATTTAGCTCTGATCTAGGAGATGGATTTTTGCCCTAAGTCTTCCATGTTATCCAATTTAGAGGTGTAAAATTCAGGGAAATGTAGAAACCAGGGAATGTTGGAGAGTTAAAAACAATCTTAGTGTTTAGCATTAGGAATCTTATGTAAAACATTGTACAATACCCTAACAACATTAAAATTATGTTTACAAAGAAGACAAAATAACCTGATATAGGGTGACTATGTATTTCAGTTTGCCTGGGACTAAGGAGTTCCTTGAGACATGGGCTTTTCACTGCTATATAACCCCATGGGAACCCTAACCCTAACTTGATGGGAAAATCCTTGTAATGGTTAATATACATAAGTGCATATATAATATATATCGATATATGCACATAGATATGAACGATTTATATATGTTCTATACACGAGAGATCAGCAAAAACATTCATACAAAACTATTTTAGAAAACAATGTAGTAAATAGGGAATCATTTTTAAAAGTAAAGCTGAGGTATCACATTAAAATAATTGGCCTATGCAAAGCAGGCATAGAAAAATAGGGGATTGGGAGGGCTCTCAATTTTTTTCATTGTAGAATTACAAACGAGACTAGAAAATCTTAACATCTCCATTTTTAAAATTCTGTAATGATAATTCCAAATAAGCCTTTGTATAGTCTACAATTACTACCAAAATCAGGAAGCAATTTCAATACTCATGAAAATGTTCATAGAGGATCTGTGAAGCAAAGATGACTTTGAAAGACAGGTGAATTTAGTCTATGTGAATGGAAAAAGGAGGTAATTCCCAGAAAATGAACAATAGGGAACGCAACAAGGCACAGAAATGAAACAATTGAGCTAAAGTCTTTGTAGGAAACACTTCAAGCATGGAAAAAACTATTTTAAAAGAACTTTATTGGTAGGCCTTAAATAATTTTTCTCTGTATTAATAAATGAGCAGTTTACATTTGCCAAAGATTTTATAAACACAAGTTATGAGTTTAAGGGAAATGGTCACTTGTTTTAAAACTTATTTTGGTTTAGATCACATATCATTCAAAGCCTTTATCTATGTAGACAATAAATAATAAATAGCTTTTGATGCTGGTGGGAGATGTGGGAAGGGGAAACTTGCTTTTTATTATTATGTCAGTTTCAAAAAGTTAATTCTTCTAGTACACCATTGTTCAAGTTCATGTTTTTATCTAAAAAAGACTTTGATAACAGTCATAACAAAAATTCCACTGGTACATGGACAAGTCATTCCTTTACTGTTTTTGTGAAATAATGGTACCCAGTTACTTTTTCAAAACATATAAAGATATTGAATCTTCATATCCATGAGCACGGAATGTTTTTCCACTTATATATGTCCTCTCTTATTTCCTTGAGCAGTTCTTAGTAGTTCTCCTTGAAGAGGTCTTTCAGAAGCAATGGGGAAAGGATTCTCTATTTAATAAATGGTGTTGAGAAAACTAGCCATATGCAGAAAACTGAAACTGAACCCCTTCCTTATACCTTATTTAAAAATTAACTCAAGGTGGATTAAAGACTTAAACATAAGACCTAAAACCATAAAAACCCTAGAAGAAAACCTAGGCAATACCACTCAGGACATAGGCATGGGCAAAGACTTCATGACTAAAACACCAAAAGCAATGGCAACAAAAGCCGAAATTAACAAATGGGATGTAATTAAACTAAAGAGCTTCTACACAGCAAAAGAAACTATCATCAGAGTGAATAGGCGACCTACAGAATGGGAGAAAATTTTTGCAATCCATCTGTTTCACAAAGGGCTAATACCCAGAATCTCCAAGAAACTTAAACAAATTTACAAACAACAACAACAACAACAACAAAAACACAAACAATCCCATCAAAAAGTAGGTGAAGGATATGAGCAGACACTTCTCTAAAGAAGACATTTATGCAGCCAACAAACATATGAAAAAAAGCTCATCATCACTGGTCATTAGAGAAATGTAAATCAAAACCACAGTGAGATACCATCTCATGCCAGTTAGAATGGCGAACATTAAAAAGTCAGGAAACAACAGATGCTGGAGAGGATGTGGAGAAATAGGAACACTTTTACACTGTTGGGAGTGTAAATAAGTTCAACCATTGTGAAAGACAGTGTGGCAATTCCTCAAGGATCTAGAACCAGAAATACCATCTGACCCAGCAATCCCATTACTGGGTATATACACAAAGGATTATAAATCATTCTACTATAAAGACACACGCACATGTATGTTTATTGTGATACTGTTCACCATAGCAAAGACTTGGAGCCAACCCAAATGCCCATCAATAACAGACTGGATAAAGAAAATGTGGCACATATACACCATGGAATACCATGCAGCTATAAAAAAGTTCATGTCCTTTGCAGGGACATGGATGAAGCTGAAAACCATCATTCTCAGCAAACTAACAAAGAAAGAGAGAACCAAACAGTGCATATTCTCACTCATAAGTGGGAGTTGAACAATGAGAACACCTGGACACAGGGAGGGGAACATCACACACTGTGGCCTGTCAGCAAGTGGGGGGCTAGGGGACGGATAGCATTAGGAGGAGTACCTAATGTAGATGATGGGTTGATGGGTGCAGCAAACAACCATGGCACATGTATACCTATGTAAAAAACCTACACATTCTGCACATGTATTCCAGAACTTAGAGTAAAATAAAAAAAGAAGAAGAAGAAAAAAGTATAAAGAGAAACAGACAGAGACAGGGACATAAAGAGAGACAGAGATAGAAAGGGCAAACCTTGAAATGAAGCAATTTAGTTCGGTTCTAAATCATGAGCAAGAGAGGAAAAGAAAGATGAGGAGTGATGATTAAGATCCTAAATTTAGAATGAGATTCATATGTGGGAAGTGAAAAGACTGTCTTCTGTAAGTAAAATATTCTTTACAAAGTTGAAATGATAGAATAGGAGCAGATTGAGGAAAGTCACATCAATCTGAATAGTTTGGAATTTATCTTCTAGGTAATAAGAAAGTACATGAATTGTACATGAAGTGACATCATGGGAGTGGCATTTACTCTCAGGCTAGTTTAATGCACTGCTTATTCCTCAAATCAGAAAAATTCTTCTCATTGTTATTCTTTAAAATTATTTAAGAAGAGCCAATGCTGATAAAACAAACTCCTTTGGCCATGATTTTATCCTTGGATGATAGTTTTTTACTCAATACATGTCTCAGTTTTGGAAAAATAGCTCCATTCATGGAACATTTTCATTTCATTAATTTTGTTGCAGTATTTTGGCAAAGTTGAACACCTTAAAGCATTAGAGTATATTCTGATATATCAAAGGAAACGATGTGTTCTTAACATTGGATAGTATAATACGTAGCAGACAACACAGAGCCAAGTCATAGTCATTTACAGAAAAAGCACATTCAAACACATTTGAAATTTCAATTAAATACCCCCACTGAAGCCCAAATCACCAGTTGTCATTAGAAGGCAACAAGTCAAGCTTGAACCTTAGATACTATTATAGTAGTAAAAGTAACTGAACTCAAATAAACTTACATCTCCACCTTTTGAACATGCAAATGAAAATTTAAGGTAAAAATCCATAATTCTATTTATCCAGATGTGTGGATGATGCCTCTTTTAACATCCCAAATTCAAACAGTAAAAATAAAAGAATAACACATACCTTCTTATGAAATAAAATAAAAGTAAATTGTGATTAAGAAGAGACAAAGTAAAAAATACATGGTTATTGCTTGATGAAATAACTGCAATAAAAAGTTTCCAATGAACTCTTTGTGAGAGAATTTCTTCCAGTTTTCTAGAATATTACGGCTCAACGCCTGTATAAACACATTCAAGAATGTGTGCAAAATTCATTCAAAAACTTTATTAATTCCTTTATTCAAACATTCATTAAACATTCATTATATGTCAGGCATTGTACAAAGTGTGGGGATACAAGGATATAATACCATTTATCTGAACTTTGACAAGTGTGAAAACTCTGAATAATTAAACCCTATGGGAAGAAGTGCCTAGATTTTGAAATTAATGAAATGAAGTATGAATATACTGGATACATGAATAATACTGACACTTTTGTCATTAATCTAGAGAAATAAGCATTTGCAATATTATTTTCTGCTTATCTTCTGCTTACTGATCTAGGTGGAGAAGGAAGTAGCTGACAATGACATCTTTAGGTTTCTTACCCAATCCTCCCATTTTTTTTCTTTGTAAATTACCCATTTCAACTCATAAAATAGGCTCCTATAGCTGTATTGTAAATATGACTGTACCCTTACTTTACCACTCTGATTAGAGTGAAGGACACCTGATGTAGGAAAAGCAAGTCCATTACATAGGCTTAGCCAATCAGATTTTGTCTTCTGGAAATTTCTGTTGGGCCCCCCAAAATACCTCAGTTGCTATAGAAAATAAACTTATAAGAATATTTAGTGTTGGAGATACAGTGGTTGTGTTTGAGTTATGCTGAAATACAGTAGCAAGTAATCTGCAGGAACAGAGAACACTGACATGGAGGAGATTGGGGAGGCATGTTTCTAGAAGTCATATTTCTGTTAGTCAAAATGGAAAATGGTCCATGGCCACTAAGGCATTGGTCAGCTGAGGCATGTAAAGAAATAGTGAAATCTGGAGTCAGTAGGAAAAACAAATAAACAAAAAAAACCTAGCAATTGGACATTTTACTATAGTGTTGTTATTATCCATGATCATTACATGGACTAAAGTGGACTATGGAAATATGCTCTCTGGGTTTTTTTCACTGAATCAAGAATTTCCAACAATATCTCTATAGGACTGAATCTCTTCATTCACAAGTTCATTTCTTCTAGGTGACACAGTTGTCTTTGGCAAGCAGCATGACAGAGGTCAAGCATATGGTGGTGTCAAATAGGTTTTGTAGGATGCAGAGGAAACAAAAACTTACTCAAAAGTCAACATTACCTCTAGATTTGGAATACTTCTAGAAGAAAAAATTGAGTCTTCATTTTCTGTAGAAGAAATTTGCTCTTAAGCAACTTTGATATTAGAAAATCCAGGTATATTGGGTTACCTTTACAGGGAGACATGTTGCAGCATCTGCCCCAGGTCCAAATAATTTCATCTCAAACAATTTATCTTCCACCTAAGAATGAATGAAGATGTGGTGGTAAAAGTAAGCTGGGTAATATGACGATAGGCTGGGCATTGATTTCAGTTTTTTCTCTGCCTGTATGCAAGAGGTTGGTGTTCATGAGCTTGCCAAAGGACATAGACAATCCTCCTCTTCTAAACATCTGTGGGTGATCCATTCCCCCCAGATGACAGTATCTGTCTTCCTGCTAGCTGGCTGGAGAGCTAGTGTGCCAGGCTCTCACAGCTGTGGGGGCACAGCTGACTATCCATCTTCAAAATGCACCACATCCCAGTGGTTTGAAATAGCTTGGAAAAGTCACTTCTTACAAAGAAAAGTTTATCTGAGAGCTGATCTTCTCATAAGAACTATGTTTCACTTTCCCCTCCACTTCTGCTCATAAAGAGGGCAGCCCAGGTAGGAAGTACCTTTTATCAGATAATGACCTTGCCTCTGGGGACTCTTTCCATCAGATTTCAACAGCAAGACTGAGTCATCTAGGCTGCATGCTTTGAGGAACATTCACCACCCTGAATAAAGGTCATCCTCATTTTCCAAACATGATGGCAGCTAGACATTTTTAAAATTACAGTTATGTCCCATAAAAACTTCCCCTATTTTTGCTCACAGGAAGAATACAAATTTATAGAAATTCATATTTTGATATGAATGAATAGATTCTAGGTATTCACTTATTTAACTTATTTGTTGCTATTTCAAATTCTATGTTATATTTTGAGGATAACTCCTTATATTTATATGTTTTAAATATTAATGTACATAGAATCTAATCATTTAGCAAAATGTGCCCTAAGGCATCCAAACAAGTAATAGGATATATATATATATATATATATATATATATATCCTATTTTATATATATATGTATTTACATATATAAATTTATATACATTTATATAAATATAAATGTATATAAATCCTATTATACTATAATAGGATATATTATAATTATATATCATTATAATTAGATATTATATATAAATATATATATTTATATATTTATATATCCTATTTTATATATATACACATACACACACACATATGTGTGTGTTTGTATGTGTACATATATAAAAACACACACATGTATTTATATATGTATATATAAATACATATGTAAAAACACACATGTATTCATATGGTATGTGTATTCAGGCATATAAAGATATGTATGTACTCTGTAACCTATACAAAAATACTGTTTTGTTAAGTAACATGACATTTAATGCCCTAATTATATGATTTATCTGGAGGTTTTAGATAGATTTCCACTGCAATGTCTCTCTACCTTTTTTTAAGCACAAATTAATCGATGCAAAGTAGGCAAATAACAAGGAATCAGTGTAATTTCTAGTACCTTAAATTATGGCTAGGTTCATAAGATTGACAAATGCATTGATTGACAGTTCCCTACGTTAACCGGTTCTTTGAAAAAATTGATGAATCTTGCCCAATAACAGATAGTTACTTCTCCACCCAACAAATGGCTTTTCTTATAGGCAAGAGTGGTTTTTGATTTACCTAGTGAATATGATTTCTCAGTTCATATCTCAGATTATTTACAAATGCATCTTAATGTCTAGTGCTCATTTATTAATAGAATAAGGAAAGTAAAAAGGTTTATAATAAATAAGCATTTTATATTTTGATACAGATTTTTTTGTAAAATTAAAGTTTCCATTATATGTAAACTATTTGGCATAGTGGCATAGTTTTTTTTTTTTTTTTTTTTTTGAGACGGAGTCTCACTCTTATTGCCCAGGCTGGAGTGCAATGGTGCCATCTCAGCTCACTGCAACTCCACCTCCTGGGCTCAAGTGATTCTCCTGCCTCAGACTCCCTAGTAGCTGGAATTACAGGCGCACATCACCATGCCCAGCTAATTTTTGTATTTTTAGTAGGGACAGGGTTTCACCATGTTGACTAGGATGGTCTCAAACTCCTGACCTCAGGTGATCCATCTGCCTCTGCCTCCCAAAATGCTGGAATAACAGGCGTGAGCCACTGTGCCCGACCAGCATAGTTTTTTGCACAGAGAAAGCGCCAGTGAATGTTTGTTATTTTGTTTCATTAAAATGATGAGGTACCATGATAGCCATGCTAGAAAGGACAAATGTCATGTTCTGCTTTCTCTGCGTTAGGGGAAATGATAAGCAGAGAGACTGAGAGAGAAGTGAGTATGCTTCATATATGGATCCATCAAATGGATCCATGTACATCCCAAATGATTCATGCTGGAGTGCAACAGAGGTAAAAGACCAGCCTCTGGAGAGCAAAGAATCAGGCAAATAAATTGTTGATTTTAGGTAGATATGTCTGGAAATTGTTTGTTTAAGAGATGGGATAAAAAATATGAACTGATTTAAAACTCTTGTAGTTGTTATCCCCATCTAAGCAATATTGCCTTTTCAGTGGTTGAATCTTTAAAGAAAAATGCCATGTTTTAATATATAAAATCTATTTTTGGTAATGAGATTACCGTACTTCTTGAAGTTTTACATTAGATATTTGAAAAATTAAAAGAAAAACATTTGTTTCAGTTAAAACATTAAAAAAACCCGTTTTTCATACTAGTGTATATAATACACTAGTCTGGTCTAAAGACTAGTATATTGTATTTCTGACAAGATAATTACTGTACTAAAAGTAGATGGACACAGGATGTGATGTTAGAAAAAGGCAAGAAGAGATAGATTTCTTTTGCATAGTTTAAATAAAAAATTAGAGAACATATACCTCTCTTTTTACACACATCAGGTTGACCAAATGTGAATTGAGAGAGATTATCAAAAGTATTTTATATATGAAAAAATGCTATTTATAAGTATCTTGTTTAAAAAACAATTGCAAGTGTAGGGCTGCTTAGGATAGTACTTTGGTCTTTAGTTCTGTTAATTCCTAAGGACAATAATTGCTTATATTTGTGTATTCATAATATTTCAAAACAATTTCACATATCTTATATTTTTGTTTCTCAAAAGAGCCCTACTAGATGGAGAATATTTATAATTAAACTAATTTTGAATGAGTAAGTGGAACCATAGAAAAAAGACATAGTTTACCAGAGCTCACAGAGCAAATTACTTTCTAGAGAAGTCCTAGGGACGTGGAAAGGGACAGACACCCCCAGGGGCATCTTCCCATCAGAAATGGAAAGTTCTGCTTTGCCCCAACCTGCATCTGAAATACTGATTAATGTACTAGTTTTCCCTCTCCAGACACTTTTTCAGATAGCATCTGTCAAAAGCTGCCTTGGATAAAGCTCAGAAGGAAACTTGTGTATGCAAATCCTTTTCTTTGGAGAAGAGAGAGAGGGAGGGGATCTGTATGGCTTGGGTGTCTCTTCTTTCTCAGACTGATATCTCTATCTCCATTTGAGTTCTCCTCTGAACAATGAGGGATACTATCTCAAAACCAGCTTTTCCCTCCTCGGCTGACCTACAGAAACAATCACTACAACAAACTCCCAGTGAAAGGAATGTGTCCTTTTCCTTTTGACTGATAAGAGTTCACAGTATTTTCAGAATAAGCAGCAATTTTTTATTGTCTGTGTTAGTATGATGAATGTGTGTGGGGCAATAAGGATCGGGATAAACAGAGGAGACCGGCCACAGGGACTTGCTTAGGAGAGAACTGGGCTGTCGTTTGAGGAAGAGGATAAAACAGATGCTAACAAAGGGTCTTCTCTTCTGAAAATCATCCTCCTTTAGTATGTTGAAAAACTTCAAAATAAGAAGAGCAGCTTTGCCTCTTTAGCACTTTAATTTTCTGTAATTATCTTTGATGGAACAGCTGAACCACATAGTCACCTCAGGTATTGTTTAAGTGGAGATTGAATTACTTTTATACTACTACCAAATGTAAAAAAAAATTAAAAAATAAAAATTCATAAACTTTATTTTCACTACCATTTTCTTTCCTTATGCTTGTTTGGAATAGTAATTACTGATTTTAATCCTGTTTACACTGCCTTTCCACAAATATACTAAATATAAAATTTAAACACTTAGAAGATGCCATTGAGAAAAGCTGTGTTCATTATCTAACCAAAGAAAAGAAGTTGAGAAGAAAAAAAGAAAAGCCACAAATGCAAGACTTTGAAGAATCTACTTGTTATCTTTTCCACTCCGGTGATTTTAGACTTCCCCAACAAATTGAAACACCGTTTTCTAAACAATAGTGTAATGTCTTTTTGACATCACAAAAGAATGCTTTTAAGGCATAAAAAATGCATTTCCCTTATGTAATCAAAAACAAAAACCCTATAAATTATAATGCAATGAACAGTTCAATTCCTCTATTGAATGTATTTAAAGATTATGTGTTGATTAAGCTCTTAGTCATTTGTGTTAACTGTCTAGTGAAAGCTTTTTGAATCTGGTTTAACCCATGTTTAAATGCCCTAGTGGTACCCCTGAAATAAAAACGTGGAAAAGTAATCTTAGCCTTTGTTTCCGTATATATTTTAATAAATGTTGTTGCATGTTTCTAATAACATTTACGTCTTACACAGAATGCCAAATGGTTGAGTCTTTCAGGTGAAATCCCAAGAACAAATTTACACATTAAAATGTAAAGCAAATTGACAATGAGAGCAATGTTTTCCAGAGGAAGATGATGTGGTTTTTCTGTTTCATAATAACTCTTTGTAGTCATTTCAGTTTTACTTATAGATAGGTTTTGCTAAGAGTTTGCAGAGTATCTTTATTTTCCCTTTGTTATCCTCTGTACGACTGAGAGTCTTAAAACGATCTTGTGCTTTCATAGATGAACAGATTCCACTTTTTTAACATAATCATTTGCAAGTTGATAGAAACATTTGCTGGATAAAACAGATGGAATGTGATTCAATCACCTTTGCATGAAACTCCTGCATAGAGAGAAAAACCAATCAATCAATCAATTAATAAAAATAAAGAGAAGACCCCAAATTATTATTGGTGAGGATACAATTACATAACAGAAGGTACCAGAGGACATTGCTGTAGTTTGTGAGGTGCCCCTATTTGAGGCATCTTTAAATTAGGATAAAATAAAGGCATCTGACAACCAAAGGCTGCCCGTTGACAGTACAACATCCAGCTTTCTAGTTACCAACACTTTGATTTCAGGAAAAGGAACAGGGGGACAGCCATAATGCAGATGTAGTTTTCATACTTAAAAATGTAATTGTCTTTGGGAAACAAAAATGCAGCCAGCTCAGTTTATTATAGTTTAATAAGTCTTCTAAAATAGAAAATTAAGCAGGAGGCTCCTTTCCATGATAAAAGTCTGCTGCCTAGTTAAGTGGTAAAAGTGGAAACAAGAGAACATCCAATAAACTTGGATATATAGAGAGAAGGATGAGCACAGGGGACAACTATTGATCAAGCTCATGGACTCTGTAAATTGGGATGGGTTCTTTAAATGATCTACGTCTCACACTGTAAGTGGTTTGAAATACAATGAATCATGATGATCTCTTCCAGCATTAAGATTTTTGTTTCTGAGACTATCCCACCTGTTGCTGGGATGTCAGGTAAAGTCTGAAGGCCTTCCTTGAACTGTGCCTCAGTCCCACAGCAGGGACAGAATTTTGGGCTGGAGAAGCAAAGTTCCAACCATATGAAATATTAAGGATGTTTTCCAGCCTGAAAACTGTGCTACAGCCCTTCTTTCTCCATCCTAGAAATAATTTGCCACCTATTGTGTCTTCAGGCTAGGAATCTGTTTGGTTTTTAGATTGGGTAATTGAAATAAGCCTACCTATTTCAACAATGTAGATGAGTCCGGAGCAAGTAAAATTTTCTTATTCCCCCTGAATACTCATTCTTTTGTGCTTATAACTTTTCCTCTACATTGTTTCTTTTTCCAGTTCCTCAATTCTTTCCAATCTTAATATCCAAATTTATATGGATAATATGTATGGTAGGTATTTAAGAGAAAATATTATATCAAGCCATCACCTCCTGTTTTTATGTGTGAAAACAGGTCTAATTTTAGTAGTAGTAAAAGAAAGCTGACTATTCTTCTTATGAGAAGACTAATAAAAATAAAATGAGCATTTAAAAAAAAAAGAATTAAAGAAGTAAAAGAAATAAATCCATTGATGATATTTAGCCCATGGAAATGTTTTGTGTGCTATTTCCCCTTTAAATTAATGTCTTGCTGATATGATAATGTACAAAGTACCACTGATTCTCATTCATTGAACATTTACTGTGTGTTAGGAGCATGAGCTCTGAAGCCAGCACACTTTTTTGGAATCCTCAGTCTGCCACATAGTGGCCTTCAGTTATTCATCTTCTCTGTGTCTTACGTTCCATTTACAATGTGGAAAGAAAGGAGTAAAAATAATATAGACCTCACAGGATTATTGAGAATATCAACTAAAGTGATATTTATGAAACATTTAGCATTGTTCCTGAAACAAAGATAATATGAAAATATAATTAACAATTATTATCAATAATATTACTAATATTATAATTATATTTGCACACAGTAGGAATTTACTATGCATTACTGATTTTAGTATTATCCTAGTTAATTCTCCTCTGAACTCTATGAGTTAAATACCTTTAAAACCTTCATTTTAGATATGAGGAAACTAAAGCATAAAAGAAATAAGTACATCGTGCAAGGTTAGAGAATAAATGGTAAATCTCAGACCTGCTCAGAAATTCTCCTCTGTTCTGTCCCTCTTTGAGTTCTCTCTGGTTGGCCTACTCCTCACAATCCACACTTCTCATTTCATCTCTGCCTGGGACTGTGGATTACGAAAGTGAACCTGTCTGATTTTCAGAACTGTGTCTTCTTACATATAACCTGTTTAGTTTTGAGGACTGTCAATCTAAAAGCATAAGAAAAGAAATGTTAATATTTCCTAGACTTTCTGAAAACATTTAAGTAACTCTTAAATGTAATATCCTAGACTTCTTGAAAACATTTAAGTAATTATTTTTTACTCTTTCAGAAATTTAATGTTTATCAGTTGTCATTGTCTATAAATAATCAGAAATTATAGATTGTCCTTTTAGAAGATAATTCTACACACATGTGCACACACATACTCACAGACACATCAAATTCTAATGGTGGATTTTTAGCTTGTGTATTAGGGTAGAAATTTGTTGTTAAATTTTTATTTCTGAAATATCATCTGTTTCATTCTTGAAAATACCAGATAGGCTTCAATGCACATTAGAAATACTGGAATTACACAATGTAACCATGAAACCCCTTGAAACACAGAAGGCTTTAAAATAGTTTCTTTTACCTGTTCTTGTTCAATATCTGAATGAAAATAAACAGCGATAATTCCCCTGCTCTTCCCAATTTTATGATTTGTCTTCTAGGGGTTGGTTGACAACTGCAGATCTGACCACCTCTTCCCCTACTCCTGTTTTTGCAAAATGAGGGAGCTCTGGCATGTCTGAACCATGATCACCCAGGCTTCCTCCATGGGCTAATATCCACTATGTTGTAGTAAAGAGTTTGCACTCCTTGCGGCAAAAGTACACTCTGTCTTTTGATCTCTCTCTCTTTTTTTTTTTCACCAAGTTTCTTGCAATACAGCTCTTCGAAGTGTTTATACTTCAATGCAACCCCCTTTCTTTTACTTTTTGTTTGATTTTTTAATGTTAGTAAAATATACTTACCATTAAATTTACCATTTAAACATCTTCAAGTATACCATTCAGTGGCCTTAAGTACATTCATATTGTTACATAACCATCACCACGCTCTATCTCCAAAACGTTTTAAACTTCCCAAACTCAAACTTCACAATAATTAGACAACTCCTTATTGCCTCCTCCTCTTAGCCACGTGAAACTGGCACTCTACTTACTGTGTGTATGAATTGGACTACTTCAAGTTATGACCTATACATGGAATCATACAGTATTTGCCCTTTTGTCACTGGCTTATTTCACTTAGCACAATGTCCTCAGGTTTCACCCATGTTGTTGCATGTTCTAAGACTGAATATCATTTTATGTAGACAGTCATGTGCCTCGTAACAACTTTTCAGTCAATGTCAGACTGCATATACAAAGCTGGTCCCGTAAGATTATAATGGAGCAGAAGAATTCCTATCACCTAGTGACAGGGTAGCTGTCATAATATGGTAACACAATGTGTTACTCACATTTTTGTGGTGATGCTGATGTTAACACATCTACCACGTTGCCAGTTGTATAAAAGCCTAGCACATACAATCATGTAAAATACAGAATACCTGATAAAGATTGTAAGCGACTATGTCATTGGTTTATGTCTTTACTATACTATACTTTTAGTCATTATTTTAAAGTATACTCCTTCTGTGTGTGTGTGTGTGTGTGTGTGTGTGTGTGTGTGTGTGTGTAGATTTAAAAAGTTAACTGTAAAACAGCTTTAGACAGGTCCTTTAGGAGGTATTCCAGAAGAAAGAATTGCTGTCACAGGAGATGACAGCTCCATGCATGCTAATTGCCCCTGAAGACCTTCCAAGTGGGACAAGATATGGAGGTGGAAGACAGTGATACTGATGATCCTGACCCTGCATAGGCTGAGGCCAAATGTTTGTTTGTGTGCTAGTTTTTAAATAAGTAGTCCAAAAAATTTGAAAAAGAAACAGAAGTTTTTGAATAACTATTTAAAGAAAGAAAATATTTTTGTACAACTTTACAAGGTATTTGTATTTTAAGCTAAGTGTTATTATAACAGAGTCAAAAAGTTTTAAAAGTTTTTAAAGTAAAAAAATGTAATAAGCCAAGCTTAATTGCCTATTGAGGAAACATAAATATTTAAAATAAACTTAGTGCAGCCTAACCATACAAAGTACTGTGTTTATAAAGTCTACCATGTAGAGTATGCCATATTTTACTATTTTAATATCAAATGTTAATATAATATATAATATGTTAATAATATATTTTAATATTTCCTCAGCTATTTCATGCTTATATTAGCTATATTTTAATTGCTTATATAAGATTCATATGGTGTCTCAAGAAGACCTCATGAAAAGTAATCAAGATGGAATTTAATGATCTGATTCATGATTTTTAATAGCACCTTCATTCTGGATAATTTAATAGTCTAACTATAGACTTTCTGTGTATTTCTTCAATTGCCACATTAAAAATGTAAGGCCCTCAAGTTAAATATATAAACAATTGAAAATATGTATACCAGTATATGAGGTATGCTTTCTCTTTTCTCTAGTTACAACACAGGTGACCCTCAAAGATGTTCTGGCTCCCTTAGAATTCATCTTCTCCATCTTAGAAATCTATTCCATGTCTGAAATCCAATCAAGAAGAAAAGGCCATACCTTTGAAAATTACCCCTACCTGAGTCAGGCGTAGTGAGAATAAGACACAACTCAGAAAATAAGGAAGTTGGAGCTATACGTGTGTGTTAGTTAATTACTGATTAGAACCATGAACTCATCTGGAATTTTCCAGCGTGAATCATTTTGACCGAAGAATAGGCCATCCACCAAAAGCTATTTGTTTGCTTGCTTTTTATTTCATATGCAGTTTACAAGAATCAGGGGACAAAATGAAATAAATATCAATGACAATAAAAATCAACATTCTGCCAGACAGTTTATGGGTAAAAACAACTGCAAATAGATTGGAAATTGCCACTAAAGAACTTCAGTGTGCCTGTTCCTCTCTCTCTCTCTCTGCTTTTAAGGATGCTCCTTTCAACTTCAGCAATCAAGGCAAAAGTAATCCCTCAGGGAATTCATAACTCTCTATCAAAGAAGGTAATTTTCATTTTAAAAGAGAACTTTGGTTTTTCAAATTGGTAGACAGACACACATATATGAAGATAAAATGGTCCATACAGTTATAGGTCCATCTCACCACTCATTCACTCACTTGTGATTCACCCTGGGTAAATCGGATGTTTCCTCAGCAGTAATTAAAACATTTGCTCCTCCCACTTCTGAACTTGCTATATGTCTTCAATCACATTCTGAATATGAATGGTTTACAGCATCTGAACTTATTGGATTCCATTGCTAGCTTTAAAAATTGTTCTATAAGTCTCATATATAAGATTTATACATTCAAATAGCATTCAAATAATGGTAAAAATAATAACACAAAATTGCTTATTAATATGCCAGAGTAATTTTGGATTAGGAAAAAATAAACGTCATGTTACCTTCAGTGCCTCATCTGGAAGAGTTTCTACTTCTGGAAAAAGATATTTAGGAAAGTACTTTAGTTGACTGCCAATCTAAACATTCAAGTTAGATAGCAAGGACCCTATGTAGCATTTCACTCTGTCTCTGTTACTCAGAGGCAATCACTGCATCATAAGCTAATAGTTCTGACAATTTCTTCTTCTTTTTTTTAAATAAATAATGACTACCAACCTTCAACTGTTCACTATTTTTCTAAGAAAGACAATGCACCTTAATAATCTCTGAAGTCATCTTGAATGAAACAATATTGAGAATAATCACCATTGAAATGTGTATTAAAGGTGCAAACATTTGTACAGACATTACCAATAGTAATATTATAATAGTAATGATAAAAGCAGCATAGATACTACTTGAGGAAATATAACACAATTAAAAACCAATGTATAACATTTTTTATTTCCAAATCTATATCCATCCGTATGAATTCTACATCTTGTATTCATTTTGTTAAACTAATCCAACAAACATTATTTATCCCTAATAATGCTTCTTTCATATGTGCATGTCTAGTCATAAAATGTTACAAATAAGTATGTAAGCATCAGACTTAAGAGTATGATTAAGGAGTTGGAAACATGTTTAAAAATTCCTTAACATCACTTTAGAAGTTTACATCTATATCACTTAAAATCCTGTCAAAACTTTGCAAACAAAATGTAAAAATTTCTTGAACCTATACTTAATGTTCTTATTTTACTTGTTCCTGTAAATTTCATTTACAATTTTAATTGAATAGTAATATGTGATTTCTCCTGATAAAAATGAGTATATTATTTATTGTAGAAAATGTAGATGATCAGAAAGGCTGAAAAAAACAAATCAGAACTGTGTTAGTGTTCTCCAGAGAACAGAGCCAATATGTAAGAAGAGATTTACTATGAAAAATTAGCTCGTATGATTATGGAAACTGAAAAATTCTGTGAATTTCCCTCTGCAAGCTGAAAACTCAGGAAAGCCAGTGGTGCCGTTCAGTCCGAGTTTAAAGGCCTGAGGATTGGATGATGCCCACTCACAACCACATCTGGAGGGGCAATCTACTAAGTCTATGCAAGATTTAAATGCTAATCTCATTTGGAAACAACCACACAAATACACCCAGAAATAACTTTGCACTCATTTTGTCATCTCTAGTGGCTGTCAGGCTGTTGATTTTACTGTAATTGCAGGCTGATTTTCAAGACTACCATGAGCTGAATGGGGGTGGGTGGTGTGGAAAGAAATAGGGAACATTAAGATGCTATTAATCTCACTCTTCTTTTTTTTATTATTATACTTTAAGTTCTGGGTTACATGTGCAGATGATGCAGTTTTGTTATATAGCTATACACGTGCCTTGGTGGTCGCTTTTACACTGTTGGTGGGAGTGTACATTAGTTCAACCATTGTGGAAGACAGTGTGGTGAATCTCACTCTTCTTAAACGAATCAACTGTTTTCCTTGAATCACTGCTTCTTCAATTGTTGCAAGCCTCTGGTTAATTTCCAGAGTTCTGAAAAAGTTGATTTGAATAATCTTGCCAGTTTTCTTGTTTTTATGGATAAGAAAATTTTTAAAGGTCTTTAATTGATCTTTCTTGCTGACCACACATTTTGCTTTATTTTTTATTTTTTATTTAATTTTTCCTAGTTTTATTTAAGTATAATTGACAAACATTTTATGTATTCACAATGTACAATGTGATGATCTGATATATTTGTACATTTTGAAATGATTACTATAATCAAATTATTTAGCACATCTATCACCACACATGATTAGCTGTGTGTGTGGGTGTGTATGTGTGTGTGTGTCTATGATGAGGAAACTTGAGATCTCTCTTAGCAAATTTCAAGTAAGCAGTAGGCCGTCATTAACTATAGTCACTAAGCTGTGGATTAGATCCCTGGAATTCATTCATGTTATAACTGGAAGTTTTCACCCTTTGATCAACATCTCCCCAATTTCACCCACTCCTGGGCCCTGGCAACCCCTACTTTATTCTCTGCTTCTGTGAGTTTGAGTTTTTTAGATTCCACATGTAAATGAGACCATTTGTTTTTCTATGTTTGGCTTATTTCATTTAGCATAATGTTGTACATGTTTATCCATGTTGATGCAAATGGCAAGATTCTTTTCTTTTTTATGGCTGAATAATATTCCCGTGTGTGTGTGTGTGTGTGTGTGTGTGTGTGTGTGTCACTGTTTATCTATTTATCCATAACAAACACTTAGATTGTTTCCATACCTTGACTATTGTAAATAATGTGGCAAAGAACATGGGAGCAAAGATGTATCTACAATATATCTTTTCGATATACAAGAGATATATATCCAAAGGAAAAGAGGTCAGGACTTTCTTTCCTTTGGATATATAACCAGAAGCAAGATTGTCGAATCATATGTCAGTTCCATTTTTAACGTTTAAGGAACCTAGATAGTGTTTTCATAAAGGCTATAACAATTTATATTACCACCAACAGCGTGCAAGGGTTCTCTTTTCTCCATACCCCAGCAAACATTTGTTGTCTCTTGTCTTATTGATAATAGTCATCTTAACAGACGTGAAGGAATATTTCATAGTGGTTTTGATTTGCACCTTCCTGAAGATTACTGATGCTGAGGGACTTTTCATACACCTATTAACCATTTTTTATGTACTCTTTGGAAGAATGTCTATTCAAGTCCTTTGCCCATTTTATAATCAAATTATTAGTTTTTGTATTATTGAGTTATATTTTTAAATATATTTTGGATATATTAAAACCTTTTATCTTATCACATATAAGGTTTGCAGATATTTTCTTCTATTCTGTAGGTTGAATTTTCATTTCATTGATTGTTTCCTTTTCTGTGCAGAAGCTTTTTCATTTGATGTAGTCCCACTTGTTAATTTTTTCTTTTGTTGCCTGTGATTTGCTGTCATATCCAAAACAAAAAAATCACTGCCGAGACCTCTTGCTTTATTTTTTAATAAACCTCCATATTAACTTCAATATTAATTGAAGACTGTTTTGTATGTAAAAATTGACATTATAAAAACATTTCTTTTCAAAATCTATCTGGGAAAGGTTGCTGATTTTATTTCTGTAATTAAAAATCAAAAATATAAACTTTCCAAAATGTAATCTTTTATTAATATTTTTAATGCATGGTGCTCCTCATTGGTTAAATTGTCTTAGTTTCTGATTGATTTTTTGGTGGTAATTATTAGATGGCAATAACCACCCATTGATATTCTCACAGACTTTTGCAGAGCCAAAGAGATGTCCCCCTTCTCAAACAAGGTATAAACAAATTACTTGTATAAAAAGCCATAGCACAGAATGAGCACCTTGCTTTAACTAAGGAAGGGGCAAGGCTGGTAACCAGTGGAAACCACAAATCAAGCTGCATTCACAGACAGAATCTCATAGAATCACAGAAGTAGAGAGTAACCAGACTTCAAGAAAGAAATCTTATGTGCACATGGGATTAGATAAGTTTTATTGTTTTTCTTTTTAATAAATAGAGAAAACGCAATAACTGTATTCTTTGGTGGGCACTTTATAGCTCCACTTTAGTTAGGGGTTGCTTCCCCTTTTCATCTTTTTTGTTCAAAAATATGAACTTAGGAAAAGCCAGTTTCATGTGCTGTTAATTTAATTCTCAACAATGAAAACTTACTTCTGATGCAAAATGAAATTACCCTTTCTTCACCCTTCTTATCCGTCAAATAAATGTTTTTTACCCCAAAATAAACTCTGAAGATTATTTGTCCAATATCCTCATTTCGCAGCAAAATTAAAAATAGACAAGAAGTAATATATCGTGACGAACTTTGCCAGTCCCGTCACTTAAAGATGTTGTCACAATGACCCTGAAAGCCACCTACTCAAGATTCACACCTCCAGGGAGACGATAATTTTTTATGGGGATATGTGGTGTTACCTTTGTATTTAATGGAGTATGTAGAAGCATGGTAATTTTTGGGGCCAATTTGTAGAGTAAAAACACCTACGATGTTTTAATCCAGCTTTAAGTGGGTTTATGTACCTGTGTCTCATCTTCTTCAGCATTCTTGGTAGAAAAAGTCTGGAAGGTGAGTTTGTGAAATAGGAAAATTTGTCAGATATCCATTTCTATATGGTATTTTATATATATATAATACTATATAGTTATAATACTATATATAATACAATGCTATACTACATATAGTTATAACACCATATATAATATATAATACTATATAGAAACTATATAGTGTTATACAATAATTATATATTATGTTAATAGTATATAATATGCTATATATTATATATGTAGTATATATTATAGTATAATAGTATATTTCTATATACTATTATAGTATTATGCTATATAGAAACAGATTGTTCCCCCTTCAATTAAAAGTTGTCCACATGAGTTCAGAATATTTTAACTAAGAATGCACACCAAATATGTACAAACAAACATTAATATGAAATATTTAAACTTCTTGTTCTCCCTGTAGGCTTCAGATGTAGGGACATAGAGAAATCTATACCTACAAGTGTGCATATATGAGTGTGTGCATAAATTTTTTTTTATTATTATACTTTAAGTTTTAGGGTACATGTGCACAACGTGCAGGTTTGTTACATATGTATACATGTGCCATGTTGGTGTGCTGCACCCATTAACTCGTCATTCAGCATTAGGTATATCTCCTAATGCTATCCCTCCGCCCTCCCCCCATCCCACAACAGTCCCTGGTGTGTGATGTTCTGCTTCCTGTGTCCATGTGTTCTCATTGTTCAATTCCCACCTATGAGTGAGAACATGCAGTGTTTGGTTTTTTGTCCTTGCGATAGTTTGCTGAGAATGATGGTTTCCAGCTTCAACCCTGTCCCTACAAAGGACATGAACTCATCATTTTTTATGGCTGCATAGTATTCCATGGTGTAAGCCTTTGAAAAGAGTTGTTCAATAGATATGCCTTTGCTAGCCTATACTGGGGCAAAAAGAGGGAAAAATACTCAAAGTATAATTTTAATTAAATGTAAAAGAACATAAAACACAGATATAAAATAAAATACAATTATACAGCAATAATTCTGAAAATTTAGAAAAGGTCAATAATTTTCTGAAAACATCATAATTAGCAAAGTTCAGAGTAACAGGTAACTTGTATAAACTGATTGCCTTATGGAGACTGGAATGGCAATGAAAGTCTGCCAATTACACTCCAACCAACAGTGTAAAAGCATTCCTTTTTCTCCACATCCTCTCCAGCATCTGTTGTTTCCTGACTTTTTAATGATCACTATTCTAACTGGAGTGAGATGGTATCTCATTGTGGTTTTGATTTGCATTTCTTTAATGATCAGTGATGATGAGCTTTTTTTCATATGTTTGTAGGCTGCATAAATGTCTTCTTTTGACAAATGCTGTTCATATACTTTGCCCACTTTTTGATGGGGTTGTTTGCTTTTTTCTTGTAAATTTGTTTTAAGTTCCTTGTAGATTCTGGATATTAGACCTTTGTCAGATGGATAGATTGCAAAAAATTTTCTCCCACTCTGTAGGTTGCCTGTTCATTCTGATGATAGTTTCTTTTGCTGTGCAGAAGCTCTTTAGTTTATTAGATCCTATTTGTCAATTTTAGCTTTTGTTGCCATTGCTTTTGGTGTTTTAGCCATGAAATCTTTTCCCATGCCTATGTCCTGAATGGTAATGCCTAGGGTTTCTTCTAGGGTTTTTATGGTTTTAGGTCTTATATTTATGTCTTTAATTTATCTTGAGTTAATTTTTGTATAAGGTGTAAGGAAGCAGTTCAGTTTTCTGCATATGGTTAGACAGTTTTCCCAACACCGTTTATTAAATAATGAATCCTGTCCCCATTGCTTGTTTTTCTCAGGGTTGTCAAAGATCAGATGGTTGTAGACGTGTAGTGTTATTTCTGAGGCCTCTGTTCTGTTCCATTGGTCTATATATCTGTTTTGGTACCAGTACCATGCTGTTTTGGTACCAGTACCATGCTGTTTTGGTTACTGTAGCCTTGTAGTATAATTTGAAATCATGTAGCGTGATGCCTCCAGCTTTGTTCTTTTTGCTAGGATTGTCTTGTCTATATGGGATCTTTTTTGGTGCCATATGAAATTTAAAGTAGTTTTTTCTAATTCTGTGAAGAAAGTCAATGGTGGCTTGATGGAGATAGCATTGAATCTGTAAATTACTTTGGGCAGTATGGCCATTTTCATGGTGTTGATTCTTCCTATCCATGAGCATGGAATATTTTTCCATGTTTGTGTCCTCTCTTATTTCCTTGAGCAGTGGTTTGCAATTCTCTTTGAGGAGGTCTTTCACATCCCTTGTAAGTTGTATTCCTAGGTATTTTATTCTCTTTGAAGCAATTGTGAATGGGAGTTTACTCATGATTTGTCTCTCTGTTTGTCTATTATTGATGTATAGGAATACTTGTGAGTTTTGCACATTGATTTTGTATCCTGAGACTTTGCTGAAGTTGCTTATAAGCTTAAGGAGATTTTGGGCTGAGATGATGGGTTTTTTTGAATATACAATCATGTCACCTGCAAACAGAGACAATTTGACTTCCTCTCTTCCTATCTGAATATTCTTTATTTCTTTCTATTGCCTGATTGCCCTGCCTGAAATTCCAATATGATATTAAATAGGAGTGGTGAGAGAGGGCATCCTTGTCTTGTGCTGGTTTTCAAAGGGAATGCTTCCAGCTTTTCTCCATTCAGTATGATATTGGCTGTGACCATTGTGGAAGACAGTGTGGTGATTCCTCAAGGATCTAGAACCAGAAATACCATTTGACCCAGCAATCCCATTACTGGGTATATATGCAAAGGATTATAAATCATTCTACTATAAAGACACATGCACATATGTGTTTATTTCAGCACTATTCACAATAGCAAAGACTTGGAACCAACCCAAATGTTCATCAATGACAGACTGGATGAAGAAAATGTGGCACATATATTCCATGGAATACTATACAGCCATAAAAAAGGATGAGTTCCTGTCCTTTGAAGGGACACAGATGAAACTGGAAACCATCATTCTCAGCAAACTAACACAAGAACAGAAAACTGAACACCGCATATTCTCACTCATATGTAGTAGTTGAACAATGAGAACACATGGACACAGGGAGGGGAATATCATTCACCAGGATCTGCCAAGGGGTGGGGGGCTAGGGGAGGGATAGCACTAGGAGAAATACCTAATGTAGATGACAGGCTGATGAGTACAACAAACCACCATGGCACTTGTATACCTATATAACAAACCTGCATGTTCTGCACATTTATCCCAAAACTTAAAGTATAATTGAAAAAAAACTCTGCCAACTAAAACAGCCAAAGGACATGTGGTTTTACTATGAATTTTAAGTTTTAATGATTATACAATTTTAACAACGTTTTAAATGTCCTAAGTGTTATAACACAATAGATATCTTGTGAAGTCATTTTCTGAAGGCAGTGTAATTTCAATTAAAAAAACTTACAAAAATAAAACTAAAAACAAACAAAAATAATCTTAGCAAGGAACCTTGATTATAATTTTCTATGGAATTATTTGTCATATAATATTAACAAATGTAATGGTATATAAAAACGCTATGCCTAAATATTTATTCCAGAAACACAAGAATGATTGATTCAATATTAAGAAATCAAGCAGGGTGAGATGGCTGATGCCTATAATCCCAGAACTTTGGGATGCTGAGGCAAGAGGATTGCTTGGGACCAGGAGTTGGAAACTGGCCTAGTCTAACTAGTGAGACACCCATCTCTACAATAAATAAAGGCCGGGTGCGGTGGCTCACACCTGTAATCCCAGCACTTCAGGAGGCTAAGGCGGGCGGATCACAAGGTCAGGAGATTGAGACTATCCTGGCTAACACGGTGAAACCCCGTCTCTACTAAAAATACAAAAAAATTAGCAGGGCGTGGTGGTGGGCCCCTGCAGTCCCAGCTACTTGGGAGGCTGAGGCAGAAGAATAGCATGAACCCAGGAGGTGGAGCTTGCAGTGAGCTGAGATCACGCCACTGCACTCCAGCCTGGGCGACAGAGCGAGACTCTGTCTCAAAAATAAATAAATAAATAAATAAACAAACAAACAAGCAAAATTAGCCAGGTGTGGTAGTATAACCACATAGTCCCCGCTGTTAAGCTATTTGGGAGACTGAGACAGGAAATTCACTTGAACCCAGGAGTTACAGGCGCACTGAGCTATGATCACGTCATTTAACTGCAGTGTAGGAGACAGAGTGAGATCCTGTCCCAAGAAAGAAGGAAAATAAAGGAAGGAAGAAAGGAAGGAAGGAAGGAAAGGAGGAAGGAAGGAAGGAAGGAAAGAATGAAGGAAGGAAGGAAGGAAGGAAGGAAGGAAGGAAGGGGAAGGGAAGTGAAGGAAGGGGAGGGGAGGGAGGGAGGGAAAGAATGAAAGAAAGAAGGAAAGGAAGAGAGAAGGAAGAAGGAAAGAAAGAAAGAAAGAAAGAAAGAAAGAAAGAAAGAAAGAAAGAAAGGAAAGAAAGAAAGAAAGAAGGAAAAGAAAGAAAGAAAAGAAAGAAAACCAAACACCGCATGTTCTCACTCATAAGTGGGAGCTGAACAATGAGAACACATGGACACAGAAAGGGGAACATCACATACCTGGGCCTGTCGTGGGTCCGGGGCTAGGGGAGGAATAGCATTAGGAGAAACACTTAATGTAGATGATGGGTTGATGGGTGCAGCAAACCACCATGGCACGTGTACACCTATGTAACAAATCTGCATGTTCTGCACATGTACCCCAGAACTTAAAGTGTAATTTTAAAAAAGATAAAGAAAAAGGAAGGAAGAAAGAAAGAAAGAAAGAAAAGAAAAGAAAGAAAGAAGGAAAGAAGGAAGGAAGGAAAAAGAAAGAAAGAAAGAAATTTATGCATGCAATACATAAGGAAATTGGAGGTGAAACATTAATTAAATAGCAAATATTGAAAAGTAATTATTCATGGCATTTATCGCTGAACAAAAACCCACAAAATAAACAAAACACACGCACACACACACAGGCTCACAAAACAAAGCAAAAGACTCCAGGTAAACAGAAATGTAAGTACAGCATGTTAATTTTTATAAATAATTTTTCTTATATGATTAAACATTCTTCTTCATGGAGAAATGATGCAATTTTCATTAAATCAGAAATAAAAAGGAGAAGCCCTCCATTAACTATGATATTTAATCTTTATGGTTTTAGCAATTCTAAACCAATCATTTTTTTATTCAACAAATACCAATTGCAGATTTGGTATGTACCAGACACAGAATACCGCAGTGAATAGATGATCCAATCTTGAGTTCTTATAAAACTATTTCTTCTAGTGAAAAAAACAGAAAATAAATAAAGAACAGAAGATATAAGATACGATAAGTGCTATGGTGAAAACCAAAACAAGAAAACCAATCTTGCAAATGTTTCTTAAAATTAATGTATAGATTTGCTTCAACCTATTAATAGATATCCACTCCTGGAAATCTATTTCCCACAAACAAAAAGTTCCATTAGTGACAAAATAGCAAACACAATTAATGTCTATACAAAAAATATAAAGACTGAAGAAACTGTGGCAAGTTCTTTCCAGGGAGTACTATTCAATCATTTAAGTGAATGAATTAAATTTCTACCTTTTGACTTGAAAAAAAAAATTCACCTTTTCTAATTAAGAAAAGGAATAAAGACAGAGGTAGAATATTCTGTTCTTTTGATGGAAGAAACAGTCAAGGCAGGCAGATCACTTGAGGTTAGGAGTT
Organism: Homo sapiens; assembly: GCF_000001405.40. NCBI lineage: Eukaryota > Metazoa > Chordata > Mammalia > Primates > Hominidae > Homo > Homo sapiens. Next base: position 40,791,048 of record NC_000018.10, on the reverse strand, counting down.
CGAGAACAGCCTGTCAAACATGGTGGAATCCCATTACTACTAAAAATACAAAACTTAGCGTGGGGTCTCACTCCTGTAATCCCAGCTACTCAGGAGGCAGACGCAGGGGAATCACTTAAACCTAGGAGGCAGAGGTTGCAGTAAGCCACTACTGCACCACTGCACTCCAGCCTGGGTGACGGCGAGAGGTCCTGTCTCAAAGCAAAACAAAACAAAAAGAAAGAAACAATAACAAATAAACAATTATGCATATGCGTGTGGTTTATAGATCTATCTATATACATAGATAAATGCATATTTAAGATTATATGAGGGTTAGAAGAACATCTAATAGATAGTAAACAATGGTAACCTGGTGAATGAAGTTAATGATTGTGAAAGTAAGCAAAACAACAAAGCCAAAAAATCCAGATAATAACAGTGTGGTTTAGTATTTGTTCTTTTATGGGGTTAATGAGTATGTGTGAAAAGATTGTTATGAAATGTTCATAGTGGCAGTCTCAGGATGGTATGATTTTAAGTTGTTTTCCCATGTATCTTGTTCCCTATATTATTAAATAATAAAAATTGAAAGTAAACAAAATCCCACTAATCTGCTGATGTGGTACAAATGAGTTTCTGATTTTAGTGCAATATTTCCTACAATGTAATGTGTTACTTAATAAGTCCTTGCTCTGAAGAGTGAGTAAAAGTAAAAATCTGTGCTTCCTATATTAGTCGATTTTCACAGTGCTGATAAAGATGTACCTGTAACTGGGCAATTTACAAAATAAAGAGGTTTAATGGACTTACAGTTCCACATGGCTAGGGGAGGAGACCTCACAATCATGGTGGAAGGGAAGGAGGAACAAGTCACATTTTACATGGATAGCAGAAGGCAGAGAGAACTTGTGAAGGGAAACTGCCATTTTTAAAACCATCAGATCTTCTGAGACTTATTCACTATCATGAGAAAAGCATGGAAAAGATCCACCCCCATGATTCAGTTACTTCCCACTGGGTTTCTCTCAGAACACATGGGTATTGTGGGAGTTAAAATTCGAGATGAGATTTGTGTGGAAACACAGCCAAACCATATCACTACCTAAGAGAATACTTCAAGAAACATGTATTTTTCACATACCTTTATCCTACAATGAGATTCCAGTCTGGAAGCTCAAATAGAGAGATGAGATGTTTTATCCACCTTTGATGTCCCACCTTCCCTTCACCCTTAACAAGACCAAATTAAGCAGAATAACTTTATAAGTTGAAAAATCAACTTGCCTTTGCATCCCTTTAAGGCATTCCAAGCATGAATTTCAGGTACAGGATTTGTTACTCGAGAAACGGCTAGAGTAAATCATGGTGTTTAAGATGAAAAATATAGCCTGCACACCACCATTGCTCTCTTGCTGCAACCTCAGTTCAGGTTTTTTTATTCCTCATCAATATGCAAAATACTGTTTGAAAAATTAAGCTAGGCCCTGAGTGTTTATCATGAACTATATTTGTATCGTCAGCTCTCACATGCATTAGGCAGTTGGCCTAGTCTGAGCAGATTCCTCAGTGTTTACACGTCACCCACTACCTTGAGAGTTAACACGAGTGTGCCAGCAGTCTACCTACATGGGAAGCTCCATGAATATGCATCACTCTCTCGCACTCATGACTAATACTTTAGCTGGTTTCAAATCTTAAGTATAATAACAACCCCACATTAAAAGTTTGCCCATCAGACAAGCTGGTAGTTATTTCAGCCTCCCAATTCACCCACCATGTTTTAGAGGAGAGAGACCATGAAGCAGATAAGTCCCATCTCAGACACAGTCCTGGGATATGTATTCAGCTGTAACTTTAATGAGAACCTCTCATGATAAAATCCAATATGGTACCATACAGTGTAATACAATACAAAGCAGCACAATACAATACAATACAATGCAATACATTTTTCCTTGGTTGCGAAAAAAGTGTTTAACAAGAAATCTATTTTTTAAAATCTTACATTTCTATAATGTAAATGTTTCTTAGGGTAGTGAACCATGAGTAAAGTATCTATGTAGTATAAGTAAACAATAGTAATATTCTGAGAATAGTCAAAATCAGTTTTTTCTGAGCAGGGATTTTTCAGTCTCCACGTGGGTCCTGCACACGACTCTGAAGCAGGCTGCATTTGTTTCTAGCCTCCATTTCATCCAGTTCCCACATCCCTTGTGATGTGAGTTCAGGTGTTTTCAGTGTCCTCATAATGATAATAATAGTGTGGAAGTCCTCTCACTATGATTCTTTGTCAGCTAATTGTGAAAGACAATTATAGCTGGAAATCTATTTTAAATATATATAATCATATATTTATAATTTTTTAAAGCTTTTAGGGATGTTTCTGCCAATTCCATATTTTTTTATTATCTAAATTTGATCCAATTCTTCTAAAGATCCTGCTCAGAGATTATTTTCAAACACAAATTACATAACATTTAATTAAATTAATGCTGCCATAAACACTTTTGGGATCCAGCCCAATTTAATTTTGGTAAGTGTAAAATTCACCTGGTAGAAGCAGAAAAGCAGATGGTTTAGAGAGAAACCCACTGGCCTCAGCCATTGTGTGAGCATTAGTCCACAGTTTGATGGGGAATGAGAAGCATCAGTTAATTTGGAAGGTAGAAGTCACTTCTGAAAGAGCCTAATATAGTAAAACGGGTAGTAATAATAATAATAAAGAGCATATATTATGTATTAGGTGCTGTGCTAAGACTTTTACACATCCAAAGACTTTTTATATTCATGGAGCTAACTCTTGGCAGTTTGATATCCACATTGCATTCCCAATAACTGCTCTTGGTCTAGACACCGTTCACTAAAATGCACATAAACTTATTTACATCCACTTGCAAACATTTTTCTGGTTAATAGTGAAAAATCTTATTTTTGTTTGTTTGCTTTACATTTCTTTTATAATTTCAGTGGACAAGACACTGAAGAATTAGAAATTGCATCTCACTTCCCAATCAACCATTGAAGAACAATCTAAACCAGAAAGCTTGTGCTGGCATTTGGAACAAGAAAAAATAGAACACATTTCTGAAATCTGTTGGATGAAGAAGAATCAGGCAAGGACTCAAGTTAAGGGCAAGGGATTTTTCCAGTGGGGTTAAATTAACTGCAAACCTCGTTCTCTTCAAATAGGATATCATACATGTTCTTTACTTTTCTTATATAAATGTAAAATGCAAAAATATAATTGTTCTATTTTGTGTAGAGCTCACCAAGAAAAATGAGCTTCTAGAAAAGCAAATGCAATTTTGACAGAAGGCAGAGAAGGCCCCCTCCCTCCGGTGGAAAGAAAGGTCATCCTTGGAACTGTCCTACAAATGAACTGTGTGTCTTAGATGACACCAACATCTTTCCCAGTATAGTGTCCATATACGGAGCTTTCACTCAAGAATGTTTTGAGTGGCATCCACAATGTCAGTGCAAGTAATGGTATGATTAAAATAATTAAAACCAAGTCAAGGTAAATCAGACATTGTAACGATATCCCCTATGACCCATCACTGCAGAGTTAAGAAGTCTGGACAGGTTTCAGGGAAGAGAAGGGAGAAAATTCTTGAGGTTTCAGGGAAGAGAAGGGAGAAAATTCTTGAGGTGAAAAATGATTAGGACCCTAGGAAGTGTATCAGGGCTTTGAGGTACAACTGATAGAGGAGGAGGCCAAGATTGTGGTGATAAATCCCATTTACCTGCGGCTTTTAGGAGAGCCATTCCAGTTTTCTTCTATTTACGTATAGATAAGAATTTCTTTTATGTGTGCATTAAAAAAGAAAAAAAAGAAACCACTATTACTTAAATAAAAAGCCAACACTCTCACCGTCACCTCTCATCTAAGAATTATTTTAGAAACTTGTTAAAAATGCAAAGGCCACACTTTTAGAGATTCTAGTTCAGAGATCTGAAGTGGGTGTCCAAAAACATGTTTTGTTGTTTTGTTTTATTCTTTGTTTAAATAAACCCTTTGGTTGATATTGATAATGGTGGTCCCAGACCACACTTGGAGAAATACCTCTCAGGAAGCTCTATGTTTTCAAATTAAGATTCACACTCATCTCTCAATACTTCCAACACATTTTATGTCCTGGAGCTCTCCTTTATCTAATGCAGGTCTTCTTGCCTTCCTTGAACATATAAGAAATCTTATTTATTGGCTACAAACAAAATCAACTTCCACCATTTTACCAATATGAGAAATCTATCTCCATAAAGATTTGTTAATTATTTGTTTGTGTAGCTTTTATATAATAGAGGCTTTGCTTATGAATATTTACATAATTCTGTATCTCTGTAATTGAGATTGTGCCTACATCATTTCCAAATAAATTTCTAATGTATTTTATACTGTTTCTGTCTCCATATCCATATTGCTATGATGATATTCAGAAAAACCAATGTTTTTTGTTTAGGTTTCTGGTTACCTACTTATCTAACAAACATTAGTCATTTTAAAACCTTTGTATAGCATGATAATTTTCACATAAAATTGCAATAGGGACCTCAATATTGAAAAAAATATATAAATTCCCTAGAGACATTAATTTTTGATTGTTGAAAAGAAAAGGACCATCTCCATGGGCATGCTCAAGCACCCCCCCATGGAACCCTAAGTTTCTTCATAGAACAATTGGCAACTATTGCCTACAATTTTATAGCTTCTGTATTTCTATCTGAAAAATGGGCCTTGCCAGCATGCTGCTTCTACACAGGCTTTTCCAAGGACATTCAGTGAAGCTGTACATAATGCCAAGGATTTCCAGTGAGCCTGGAAATAGCAACACACTAGCATTTCTTTTTAGTCAATGTAAATCATAAACTTAAATTCTCTCTTGCTTGTCCTCTGCCCACCCTCTTTTGCTTTAGGTCCACATGTGTGAGTTGGGAGAAACACATAAAGTGGACTGTTCATTAGGAAAAGAAAACTACAGACCTTAAATCATGAATTTATGCAATTTTTAACTATTTTTAACAAGCACAAAATGGTTCACGGGAATTATGCAAGTGTAGATCATTTTAATTTGAATCATTGTGGAATCATAAAAGACTCAGTTCTTTAATTTTGTGCCTTCAAGTCAGCTACTTTGATTAAAAAATAATAAAGCATGAGAGCCGTAGGGTCCTCACAGGTTCTCAGCACTATCGTGGCTCCCTGATCTTCCATGCTAATTCTCCTCATTAATATTAATAAAAGGCTGATAGGCCATTGCAAAGCATGATACGAAAAGCCAGCAATTAATTGCTTGTAGTAGTTTTATGCTTATTTTGCACAATGAAAATAATGCCTCTGGACTATCAGCAAATCAATAATATCAACTGTGTTGGAAATGAACACCTTTGGTTTATTTTTTATACATGTCCATTAAATCTCAGAAACATAAACATGGAGTGATTTTTTTTTTAATTTACAGACTGAAAAATAAAGTATTTTACTTTATCTGGCACTCTTCTATTTGGGGAGATGAAATGCCATGCACATACAGATGTATATTTCAGATTGTCCAATCAGTTCAATTAGTACATTCTAGGTTGTTGCGCCCTTATTTAGATGCAGTTGAAGATTAGAAGACTGAGCACATGGTGAGATGGATAAGCCATTTTGGAAATTATAGATCAATCTTTTCAATTGATTTGATACATTAACCAGTTTTACTGATTTTTAAAATCTTTTATTAATCGATCACCTGATACTTTAAGGTCAAATTCCCTACTTGTCAGATGAATTTTAAAAGTTCTATCCAGGTTTAAAATGTCCTAGATTTAGAGGCAATAAGCATCCTTTCTTCTTACCAGAGACTGGAGAAGAATACTTCTGCTTCTGGTTTCTTACTTATGAAAATTGCATAAGGTCTGCTATAACTTTATCATTAAAAAATTTGTGTTAAATATATGAACTGATAAGTTTACTTAGACTTTGTCCGTGTTGGGGCCCTATTCATTTCCTCTGACATTCACTTTGGTGTCATGACAACGATCCCTGTGCTGTACCTCATAAATCTAATCATAGGTGTTTAATCAATAAATCAAGTTGTCTATATATGTGCATACATATTGTTTAGAAGAAAATACATTGAATAAATGATTTTCACTCTTTTTAAAAATGTCACTAACTGAAGCTTTCAAGACCCTGAAACAATAATGACTGATCAAAATGTGGTCATCATCTTTTATTCTTTCTCAAATGTGGCACCAAATAACATCTCGTTAATACCTATATTGCTCCAGCTTTTGTCATAACGGTGGTATGTTTTGTCTTAACAAACTTGGCCCCATGGTTAACAAATAACCAAGGAGTTATCTTGATGTAATAGTTGTCTGCAGGGACCAACAGAGGAACCAGCCAGAGTTGGGGCAGGAAATGGAGACTGGAAGAGAGATCCTTGGCTTTTTTATTATTTCCAATAGAAATATCTAATTAAGCAGTCTTTGTTGGTCAGTTTAACCTATTTTTCAGATCTTAAAGATGATTTTTATTCCTAACGTATTTATAAAATATGATAGACCAAATAATTTAAGCCAGGGAATTTGCAACAGATGGTTTGCAAATATGTGTTCCATTTGTTTCCCACAGATAAGCCCTTCTAAACATGTCTTTTGTGAGCCTCACTGAGGCAAAGTCAGGGTCAGTGTCAGTCAACTTCACCTTCCTCACAAAATAGGGAGATCATGGAAGAAAGTGGTTATGGTTTTAGATGACTTACATAGACATTTTCCGAAAGTTTTTCCTTGCACACACCCACCCACATGCGCTCGCGTGCACACACACACACACACAATACTTCCAGAGAAAGTTTTACTTTTCAAATGCACAGAGATAACAATTCTCCTATGCTGGTATATCCTATTTAACTCTTGCTCTTGCTGGACTCTTTTATTAAATGCAATGGGTTGTTTAGGAGGGGACATTTTATACTTTTGGTTTCCTATAGCTTTCTTTGACAGGTCATCTCAACGGTGTCAAGAAGGCCTAAATGGGGGAAATCAAAGGGTAGAGAGAACACAGAGATGAGGGGAAAAACTTTAACACTGTTACAATCTGCCCATTTCCACCTTAAGCTAGCCTTACCTACTCAATAAAGTGTTCTGTATATAAAGCAAAAAAAAAGTTTCATTCAGTTATGAATATAATGAATCAATCTTTGTGCTTGTTGTTGTTGGTGATGGTAATAGTGATGATATGAAATGTTCAAAAAATGTAGGGGTCATAAATCACAAATAGGCACAGTGCCTATCTTTTAAGAAAATGCTCTGTCTTAAGGTTAATGCCTTAACCTTGTTCCCTTCAGTGACTTTTGCTTCGAAAGGTCTTTGTAAATTTTGCTTATAGTGGGTTTTCAGCCTTAGAGTTTTACAGCACAGATAGCCTTCCCAAGGTATCAACATCTTCAAGCTGACTTTGACGTCATTCAGGTAGCAACATTATACCCTTGACATCCATAAAAGAAAGGCTATATGTGACTACACAGTAAACTCATATTCAAGTTTGGCAGTGTCATGTCTTAAAATGTTACAGTAAAAGATATTCTGGATTTCATGTGTCTATCATGTGTGGCTGGATTCCATAGTACATTTCCACTTCAAGTCTGGCCTTGTTTAGGAGAGAAGAGCAATTTGAAAGGGGAAAACACCAAAATTTCCAAATGTTAAAACTTTATATTTATATAAATTTAGTCACAAGGCATAGGATTTGTCTCTAATATTTCTTAAATTTATTAATAGAAGTAGTTAGTAAAAATATTCTTTATTCAGTTACCTTATTTTTAAAATACCGTAATACTGATAAAGTGTTATTTCAGCTTGCTGTGAATGGAAAAAAGTACCATGACAAAATCAATCAAAATGAAGATATACTAAATCACTAATTGTGACTCAGAGTGATCTCTAACCTCTAATACTCCAAACTCAATTATTTTGTGAATAGTTCTTAAGCCAGGAAATCTAAACTGTTGATTCATGTCAGCACTTTGTCTATAAAACATAACATAATGTGTACTTGGGTACTTGGGAATAGCTATTTTTTTAAAAGGTTGCCATCACCCAATTTCCCACCACAATATAAAGAAAACCTAGTTTCAAGACATTGTGCAATAGCACACTGTTGCTATAATTACAACCCATGACACTCTTGGTGAGTCTACTGGGTATCCCGTCTGTTTGTCAACAGCATCCTTGAAGTAGGATATTGCAGTGAAGCACATAAAGCTTCCATGGTCCCATTGTTACTGTAGGTCAGCAGGAAATGTTCTTTGAACTCAGCTCTTAAAATGTAGTGGGGATGGAGTTGAGTGCAAATGACCAAAGTCAGCAACTTGGCTCTTACTTCTTGGGACAGCTGCCTGAGATCTAGCACCAAGAACAGCAAATGCTTTGTAGAAATCTCCATAGCATTAGCATATTCACATGGAAGCAAGACGGCCTTCTATCAATATATGCATAAAAAGCATCCTCTCCGTGGAAAAACTGCAATAATATTTAAGAAAGAAGGCAATTCATGTTTTGTATATCAATGCAAGGTAGCATTTAATAAATGGCATAGGAATAGAGAAATTATGTACCATGGACTTCAAAGTAAATAAGATTAATTCCACCTGGGAAGACTCAAAGAGGCATCATGAAAAAGGTAAAATTTGACGTATGTTTTAGAGAACAGAGATGCCAAATATGTGTCTGTGACACTTGCGTATGTTTGTATGGCAAATATAAGAAATGTGCTCTGAGCAGCTTCTCTTATATCATTCAAGAATGGAATAGGATTGTTGCTAACTTTTGTGGACCTATACATAGTCCAAGCAAGCTTATCCATGGGGATTCATTTCATGAGAAGCATAAGAGGCTTGAAGGTTTGTTTGGGAATGATGGTACAAAACCTATTATTTAGGAGCAATCTCACATGTTTGATAAAAATTAATCTCATTAGTGCTTTAGAAAGATTAATGGGTACATTGGCTAAAAAGAGAAGACAGGGCATTAATTCAGTATTCTGTATATGAAATCATAGCGATTTGAACCAAAGTGTTGGTGACAGATGTTGAAAAAAGAAAGAAAAACTAAAGAAATTTCAGATTAAAAATTGTAAACAAACGGCAGAGGATATAAGTAGAGATTAGATTTGTGAATGAAGAAACCATAAGAAAGTTAGAACTCTGTGTGGATAAATGTTATTTTTGATGAACAGTAGAATTGTGGTTTAGATAAGGATTTAGAAAATGATGTTAACCTCTGTCTTAGGAAGTTGAATTTTTAAGTAAAGCATACAATTTTTTTTGTCTTTTATGCCCTTACTTATTAAACACTAATGAAAATGATCTCTGCACTGACAAGAAAAACATTATTTGAGGTTTTTTAATGTGTTGGCATATACTCCCAATTTAGTATTTCATTGCATTACTGCAGCCTACGAAAGCATCTTCTCAAAACCAAAAAATCTCCCTACAATGGTAAGAGCTGCAAAGTTTATAAAAATGCTAATTAAGGTAATTAGGAAATTAGAAAGAGAAACAGGCTATGTTCATGAAGAGAAAAGAGTGAATGATAAAAAAAATTTTGAATTTGCAATTCCTTGCAATATTTAGATTATATTGGATATGTATTTTAATTCTACTATTGCATTTTTTATTTTTCACAATTCTCTATCTTATTCATATATACTTACATCTAATTCAGTCTTCTAAAATTTATCTTTTTTTTTCTTTTCTGTGCTCAAAGGCAACAACCATAAAATAGGGCCAAAATTCTTAACTTGAAATCAGTAGGCTGAGGTGGGAAGATCACCTAAGGTCAGGAGTTCGAGACCAGCCTGGCCAAGATGGTGAAACACCATCTGTACTAAAAATACAAAAATTACCAGGGCATGGTGGTGCACACCTGTAGCCCCACCTACTAGGGAGGCCGAGGCAGGATAATTGCATGAATCCGGGAAATGGAGGTTGCAGTGAGCTGAGATTGTGCCACTGCACTCCAGCCTGAGCAACAGAGCAAGACCCTGTCTCAAAACAACAACAACAAAAAACAAAAAACAAAAAAAAGAAAAAAGAAAAAGAAAAAGGGAAGGAAAGAAAGAAATGTATCAGTAGACAAATGGTGCCTAGGGTACCTAGGAGGGAGTATGCAAAATGTTGTCCGGGTGTCAGTTTCCTGGGCAGACCTTTCTGCAGATTATAAAAATACTCTTCAGTTTTTTGTATGAGTATATGTTTGTCCATGTACCACTCACAGCACGAAAATGAATTTTAACTTTCTTATGAAGTGGGGAGTAGAACCTTGTCTCTGCAAATGGTTAAGTAGTATTCGCAATAAATTCTAAAAGCTAACTCCTAAAGGCCCCTTTTGACATTTCCCATTCTAAACACAGGTCCAGTCCAGCACATAGAATTGGTGACTGTCCTCCTGTTATAATGTTACTTCTTCGAAACTCTTCTCCTACTAGGTTGGCTCATTATGTGAAGTATCATTTGATGCCCTGATGAACAGAGTTACTTTAGGATAATTTCCTCCTTTAATTAGCACTTTACCTGCACTCCTGCCCTCTTTCCTCCTCAGCATACAGGCTGCATCAGATGGTTCCATTCTTTCATGTAGCTTTTGTAATTTCCTTGCTAACAAATTTTTATCTTAAGCGTTTACATTTCCTCAGGTCTCACATCTGAAAAACACTGCAAAACAGAATTCCTCCCTTGACCCACACATTTCCCCATAAAGCTTTATTTTTTAATCTCCCTTTTAAAGTCAGAATTTTCCAGGTGTCAGAAAATGTCACCCCTACTTTTTCATCTTCCATTGCATAATCACTCATCCCATTGAAATCCCATTCTGTTCCTACTCTACCAATAAATCTACCCTTTCCAAGAATGCCAGGTACCTCCTTGTTGCTGGATGAAATGGGTATTGATCTCAGTTCTAGCATGACTTGATTTCTAGATTACTTTTGGGACTGTTGGCATGTCTCCTCCTTCTTCCAATACTTTCTTCCTGCAGCTCCTGTAACATTTCTGATTTATTTTCTTTTACTACATGTGACTGGTCTTTCCCAGTCTCATTTGCAGGCTCCTCCTCCTCTGGGCATTCATAAAACTATTCTGTTCCTCAAGGTTAAATCCTAGACTCACCTTTCTTCTCACTCTTCACATTTTCCTTTATCACATTCAGCAATCCCTAAAGACGAGGAAAACAATAGGAGCAGCTGGAAGATAGCAAGACAGCAGTGCAGGTGAAGAGATTTAGAGACTTAGAGGAGTTATGCTATTTGCTGAATCACTGTTCTATTTATTGAGATAGAAAATATGATAGGTGGACTGGGTACAGTGGCTCATTCCTGTAATCCCAGCACTTTGGGAGGCCGAGGCATGTGGATCACTTGAGCTCACGAGTTTGAGACTAGTCTGGGCAACATAGTGAGACACAGTCTCCAAAAAGAATAAATTAAAAAAAAAATTAGCCAGGTGTAAAACTGGGGTTTATGGTTGTTACTTCAGAGCCAGTGGCCCCGAAGCTGTATATCATATTAATGGTATAAAGAATATAGTGGGCGCTCACTAAATTTTGCTGAAAGAATGAATAGATGAAATTGTGTTGTTTTCATCATTGCTGCTGTTGTGGCATATATAATACTTAATACGACCTTGATTACTCTGAATTCTCATCCTGACTCCTTGAAATAATGAAACCTGCAGAAAGTTCACTGTTTAGAGAATAAGTAATGTTGTTCTCATCCTCCTGCCCACCTCCAAAAAGTCATCCTTGATTCTGCTGGGTATTTTGTTATCACAAAGAAATGAATTTAATCAAATACTTTCTGCACATGGGACACAGATAGTCAATATGTGGTAAACAAGTTTGTTTCAATATAAAGCGGTGACACTGTGTTTCTGAGAAATGCGTTGATCTCAAATGGCAGAGTTAGTCTTCTTTTGTGAGAAGAATCTTTCAAATAAAGCTAGTTGAGCGTTTGAAGGTGTCAACACTTTCATGTTTCAAAGCCTCAATTATTCAGGTACCACAGAGCTCAGCATTGTATGTCTGCCAATGTCACATTTTACAGGCTCAGATGACTAAGATGCCATGTTCTGCTCAAGTCTTCTGATATTTGAAATTAAGAGAAGAGCCCTTTCATTTCAGCAATTCCTAAGGCTTTCCCATTCTTCATGCTGTCGCCCTGAAACTCAGCATTCATTAAATACTTGCTTGTAATTTGAATACATTGTTAATAGAGTGGACAGCTTCCGAGGTTGGAAGTTCAACATATACTCTAGGGCAGAGGAAAACTTTTGATAGCTCTGATTGAGATTTGTTGTTGAATCAAGGGCCTGATTTGGAGCCAGAGTTGTATTAGACAAGTTATCCAAGAGGAGTACATAAAATGTTTTTATCCTCTACAGCATCTGCCCAAGCTACAACCATGCTTCAGCATATGGCATTCAAAAAATATGCTGCCCTCCTCCCAGACGGGCTTGATAATCTCTCTCAAGAAATTAGTGCAAATACTGTGATTTTCTAACAACATTATAAAGCATTGCTTTATACCATTCATGTGATGTAAAGCTTCGGGGCCACTGGCTCCGAAGCAACAACCATAAACCCCAGGGCTACACTGCCTTTCATATGCCAGACAAATAGTTTTATATAAATTCCTAGTGTAATTTGTTTCAAAGGTAGCCTTCCCTAGCCTCAAAGAATCTGTCATTTGCATTGGTCTGAAGTTGCCTGAAAATGACATTTGAATTGAATAGACCTTGTGGTAAAAATTAATTTTAAGTATTTTGGGGAAATAATACAGGAAGCATATTAGATATGTGTTCAGTAATACTGACAAATGAAGTTGTGATCTCCACCTTTTGCATTCATTCCCCTGAAAAATCCAGGTTTTAATAGGTACTGAATAGGAAATTCCTTGATCAGGAAATTTAAAAAGTATCTACACTAAACATTACTGTAAGATGATTTCTTCTAGATACAATTTTCAAAAATGCCTAAAATTAAACATTCAAATAATCTATCTATACTACCATTATTTTTTGATGCCATACTGATGTCTTTTGCAGTCCAAGATGCATTTTCCTACCTTTGAGACTCTGCTCACCATAATGCTCAGACCCACATCAGCTTTTCTGCTATAGTAGACCTCACCTACTCTTTGGGAATCTGCTAGAATGAGTCTTCTATGAAGGATTTTCTTACTATCCAAACCAGAACAATCTCTCCTGCCTCACATTTATATTGCTTACCATCCACTGCATTTATCTGGCATTAAGGCATCCATTGCCTTGTGACATCTGTTCTATTTTTGGCTGATATTGCTGTTGACCTTTTTATGTACATATCTTGTCTCTCTAACTGGATGGAATGCTCCTTGAGGACGGGGTCATGAATTGAATCATAGATTCTTACACCTTGAAGACACTTTAAAGTTCAAACAGTCCAACACCTCATTTTATAAATGAGAAAAAAAGAGTCTGCTAGAAGTTAAACAACTGATTTAAGGTCAAACGATCATTTAGTTAGAGGGCCAGAAATAGAGTTCCTGGCTTAAAATATCCTGCTGTCCATTGTGTGCTCCACTATAACTTTCACAATGTATTAGAGTTGAAATGGGCATTCGTAATCCAACCTCCTCAATTTATAGAGTGGGAAACCGAAACCCAGAGAGGCTGTGAAATATTTGCCTATGCCATATATTGAGTTAATTCTAGCAGTCCCGGGGCTACAATTCAGATTTTCTGACTACTAGCACAATGCTTTGCCCACTGACCTAAACTCCCTTTATCTTCTGTATTTCTCAAAGTTCTGTATACAGAGTAAATACCTATTAAGCATCTACTAAAATTTATATATAAATGATGTAATTGTCTTTTATACACAACTTGAATCTCCTAAGACAAAATAGAGCGGAATACAGAGAAAGACTAGCTGTATGTAAAAATGGATAAATTCAGGGATACCACTGTTTGTTGAAAAAATATGCCTCCTTTCCTGTAGCTTTTTCTGGAGTCAGATCCTCACCTTTTTGTTTATGCCAGCAGGTCTATTTTCTCACAGAACCCTCAATCTGTTTAGGATTCAGGTGGGGTTATCTGTTCCTTTTCAACTTATCTTCAGCCAGTGGTTTTTGCTTAAGTATGAAGAATTCTTACTTTCCGAATCTTATATGCAGAAAAAGTCTATACCAGGAGTACATAATCCTTTGCCAGGTGAAGTGCATAAGAGGGTGCCAATTGTCATCACTATGACAATGCACTTGGCTGCCAGAAACACCTAAAGTTTTCAGGGTTTTTTTTTATATTAACATCATAAAATGAAAACTTCATGTTTTCAACTCCCAAAAGTCCATCATTCTTTCCACCTAAACTTGATTTATAAATTTTGTTTTGTTAATCCCTTATGTTTAATAAAACTGGATACTGGATTCAGAAATTTACTGTGATCCTGAGAAGGAACTGCATCTTATAAAAAGAAGCAACTCTGTCACTGATTAACTGGGCACTTCTAACCAAGTCATAAATATCTCTGGGCTTATTCCTTCATATGGCTAAAACAAACAAAAACAGACAAACAAACACAAATGCAAATGTTTGACTAACAGATCTCTGCTCCTTCTCTCTTGATAGATGGATCAAAATGGTAGACTGAAGATTTAAATCTACCTTCCCACTTGACAAAAACATTGAAAATGGTAGAAAAGTTAGTTAATACATTTCAATCCAAGGAGTTCTAGTAATAATGAAAGTTAAATTTGGGATGCCAGAAGAAGTTAGGAGATCTTGGAAGATAGCAGCTAATATTTGTGGAGGACTTACAGTTGCTTAATCTAATTACTCTAGCACAGCAATTCTATGAGGCAATAGCTGTTATCCTTATTTTACAGGTGAAAAATTGGAAGCCCTGGGTTTGAAATAATATGTCCCAGAGTGTACAGTGAGTTAGTCACAAGCTGTGCTTTGCAGTCAGATTCAGATATCAGATCCTGTACTCTCAACCCTTGCTTCCAAATGTCTCTCAGGGACAATCTTTAGGCAGCCCATGTGTTCAGGCTGCTGTAGAAAGGAGATCAGAATGACCTAAAGCTTCCCTCCTCACAGAAGAAAACAACTTCAGTGTAAGAAAGTGTCAGACTCACACTATAAAGAACTAGAAGGCAGGTTGGAGGGTGGACTGCTGTGGATACAAAGTGTTGGGTTAAAACCCACATAATCATTAACAATTCTACTTGAAACCTCAGGATGCTAGATCTAAGCCTGATGTTTATTTTCAATGAGCATATTCATTCTCTTTATTCCATTCTCAGTTGACATTTTGTTTTCTGTGCATTACATCCTGGCACCATTTTCACTCATCTCTTAGTGTCCTCTACCTTCCTTCGAATAATTCACTGCAGAATAATTGAGAATTCCAGTGTATGCCCATCACTACACTAGCTTCTAGCTACAAGAAATGCAAAATAAATATGAGACAAATACAGAATTCACAAATGTTATGATTTATCTGGAGAAAGAAAGTATTTGCTAGAGGACAATTGCACTGTGGCATGAAAACTTGAGTGGGACATTATGTCTTGGTTGGTGGTAGTGGTGTTTTTGAGATGTCACTCAGGCTGGAGTGCAGTGGCACAATTTTTGCTCACTGCAGCCTCTGCCTCCCAAGTTCAAGCGATTCTTCTGCCTCAGCCTTTCAAGTAGCTGGGAGTAAAGATACGTGCCACCATGCCCAGCTAATTTTTTGTATTTTTTTAGTAGAGACGGGGTTTCACCATGTTCGCCAGGCTGGTCTCAAACTCCTGACCTAAGGTGATCCACCCTCCTCAGCCTCCCAAGGTGCTGGGATTACAGGCATGAGCCACAGCACCTGGCCTGTTATACTGTAAATTCCATGATTGGAATGTTGATCCAAATGACATATAGTCATGTCTCTGATATTGAGAATCACCTAACTGGCTGATGTTTAGTTACTTTATTTGTGAAATGGGGGAACTGGACTGGTTTACCTCTAAAGTTCATGCCTTCACATTTGTGTTACATCTTGAAGGCCCCGTTTTTATTGTTTCTCTTTAGCTGTATTACATATTAAGTTTACAGTAGGTAATGTTCGAAGTTTTTGGTAAAGTATTTGGGGTTCCTCAAATAAATTGCAATTTGCAGAGGCTGAGCTCTTCAGGAAATGGTCTGCCATTTTGTAGCTAAAATTGATTTTTTCTAATCACTTACTTAGGAGAAGAGGGTTCTGCTTGACTCTTTCAAGTGGTCTTTGCCCAGTGAGGAGAAACTATAATTTTTAGGATAGCTTAGTAGATATTGAGAGTTTGTTTTCCTTAAAGTAAATGACAGAGTTGATGGCTGTGTCCTCTAAGGTCTATGCTGCTTATTGATTACCTTTTCTTTAATCAGTATATTCATATATTTAAACAGTATATTCATGTTTTTATCCATTTCATTTTGACTTCAAATGTCTTAGTCCTTTGTTCCTTTATCTTGATTTGTTCTCCCTTTCTCTCCCACATCATATTTAGTCTTCGAGCATTCTTAAGTCTTAGCTATTGTTTTGGCACGACTCAAAATAAGTTGAGTAGAAATTTGCTCTTTTCTGTTGCAATTGTCCTTGCTCAAATCTTTGATGCCAGATCCTCATATATTTCATTTGTTTATATGTATTATTATATATAATGAATAATCTTGGATTTTTAGCTTTCACATTATAGGTTTTCAATTTGTGGTTTACCTGTATCAAGTTCTTACCTTCTGTTACTTTGGATTTAGACACAGGAACATGACACGTGTTCGTTATAGCTGTACATGTACTTCAAGGTTTGAAGCCTCGCTGAAGATAATTTTGTTAAATTGAGTTTATCTTTTTTTATTGTTAATGGGAGCCATTAGAATAAAAGGGCTTATTTGGAATGACAAGAAAGAGTATTTGACAAAATTTCCAGCTTAAGACTATAAAATAAATCCCAGGGAATCATAATTATTAAGTATTAATATATTTCTTCAAAATTGATTATCTCAACCAGGCAGTGAGTTCAACACAACCACTGAGAGATTCCTTAATACTCTGTGGCTAGTAATACAAAACCATGACTTGCCATTACCAAAAATAATTCAATACCAAGGTTTGAATTGCTAATCAGAAAAATGTGAAGATTAAGATAAATTATAAATGTATTTTGTCAACTCTCTTGCATTTCAATTTATTGAATCCATGCTTCTGTGTACTAAGAGGCTTAATTTGTCTAAACTAGAGACCTTCTACAAATTTACCCTAAAAGAACTATTTGAATAGAGAATAGAAATATTTGTGATTTATTACACCCTCTCTCTCTCTCTAAAAAAAAAAAAAAAAGAAAAAGAAAAAAAAACACTTGGTTAATTAAAAAAGCTCCAGGTCACTATAAGTTTTAATTAATTTTTGGCCATAATTTTAGATTGTTAAAAAGGCCAGGGGAAGGTGGAAAATAAATATAGCCAGCAAGCTAGAGCCACTTTAATACTCCTGGTTTATTAAAATATATTCAAGCCTTTGATGGTCTATGAAATCATAGACTTCTATCAGTTATGATCTCAAAAGATTTCTGAAACATTTTTTAAGCAAGAAGTAAGTAAGTTATGGGTTTGTCTTTTAAAATGTGTTTTATTATGTCATTACTTCAAATAATGTCAGTAACTCAGTACCAGTTTGAATGGTTATGGAACATTTGTAATTCAAGGGGGTGTGATTATCATTGTATATTCTGGTATAAAAAAAGACTTTAGCCAGATTACTTTTTATCGGCTCATGAATTTAGATGCAGTTCTTTTAGTTCCATAATGCAGCTGTCTAGGGGTAGATATATGCAACTCTCCAGATTGGCTGCCATTGAAAACTTGTAGTCTGAAATTTGATAGTTCAGGGTGGGGAGGGATTGCAGGCTCTCATGGGGAAAACATTTTGAAACAAATAGCTACAACAATGACAAAAAAATGAGATTCGAGTTAGCTGTTTCCCAGGTGATATTTTTGTTTTCCATCTATACATATAATACAGGGGAAAAAAGCAGCCCTCTTTGCGTTTATTTCTACCGCCAGTCTGTATATGATAAATGTCAATTTCTCCAAACATCCAACAGAATAAAGCCTCCTTGCCACTAAGAATCATTCATTTAGCTGACTAATTCATGCTCTCCATTTAATGTGGCTTTATTAGCATTAGCCGTCAGCAATTCTGAGTCCATCGACTGATAAAGAATGATGCATTCTCCTTTCATTAATGCTCACTTAAGAAAATAATTCCTTATCTTCAAAGGCTGAACAAGCACACTGTATACTCTTCTTTAAAAAAGGTGTACAATGAGTAAAAAGAAAGTCATTTAAACAGATTTGATCACACCCTCCGAATCAGGGGTCCCCAACCTCCCAGGCTGCAGACTGGTACTGGTTGGTGGCCTATTAGGAACTGGGCCACACAGCAGGAGGTGAGTGGTGGGCAAGCTAGCATTACTACCTGAGCTTCGCCTCCCATCAGATCTGCACTGCCATTAGATTTTCATGAAAGTGTGAACCCTATTGTGAACTGTGTATGTGAGGGATTTAGGCTGTGCACTCCTTTTGAGAATCTAATGCCTGATGACCTGAGATAGAACAGTTTCTTCCTGAAATCATCCCCCCATCCCCCATCCATGGAAAAATGGTCTTCTATGAAACCAACCCCTGGTGCCAAAAAGGGTAGGGACCATTGCTCTGAATGATGGAAGAGTACTGGTACAATGGAGGACTGAGGTTCACAATTCATTCAGCTATTGTATCTTTTCATTTTAAAAGTTTTCATGCAATATTCTCAATCATGACTAATCACAGGTGTGCCAACTAGAAAGTAAAACTATTGGAATTATTGATACTATTAACTGTTAAAGAAAAAAAAATCAGTGATACTTGCTAAAGCATGGTAAAGAAGATTTTATGCATGACCATAGTGATAGGTATAGGGACCACTGCAATAGGATTTTGCAGAGAAATTGGTCTCAGCACCAAATATAGCATGGGGAGGTAGGAACTGATAGTCAAGGAGCAGCGTACAGGTCAGTGGATAGAAAATTACTAAGAGGAAACATCAGGGGTAAGTGGGATTCTGGTTAAACTGACCTTCAAGAGTTGCTGAAGACAAGCCAGGATGATCCTCCATATTTATATCAACCTGTATAGTATAGTCTACTACACCCCTAACCTACTGATCCTCCTCCATTACTGAAAACCTATGCGGAAAACTTTACAGGCACAAACCTGTACAGAATGTTACTATATTCAATACTGTAGGCTGTAAGAGGATGAGGAACCTAATTAGATATCAAGAGTGCTCAGATATCAAGAGTGAGATGTTCTTGCTAAATTAACTTGGCAGGTAGATTGAATTTTGCTCAAAGGATCTTTGTCAAACTCACATATGAGAAAGAGAAGTCATAACAAAACTATCAGTGAGACTAGGCGGTAATAAAATAAGACATCAGATGTGTGGCTTTAAGGTCCTGAAATCCTCAATCTGAGCCTTCTTTGGCATCCTTTCTCCCCATCCTGCCTCTCCTTGTAGAATCTAGTAGTCTTATAGTCTTCTGTTTTTATACTAGATGAGAGATATCTAACAAAGGCCCGATTGATGAGAGAGGGAATCCAAGGTGAACAAGGCCTGCAATTTTTTCTGAAGGGCCATGGAATTTGCTGCATAATAGTAGCTGGGAAATTAAAAAGCAAGCAGTAATGTCAAAGGATGGAGCCTGAATGTTAGTAAAGAGGTAGAAATCACACATGCGAAGAGAAGAGCAAGCCCTACTGCCAAAGGATATACAGTGATATGCCACATAACTTTTCGGTCAACAGTGGACTGCAAACATGGCACTGGTCCCATATGATTATAATACTGTATTTTTACTATTCCTTTTCGTTCAGATGGGTTTAGATGCATACTCACCATTGTGTTTCCATTTCCTACGGTATTTAATACAGTAACATGCTCTATAGGTTTGGGCCAAGGATCAATAGGCTGTACGATATAGCCCAGGAGTGTATTAAGCTATACTATATAGGTTGATATAAGATTGGAGCATGATGTTCACACAATGAAATCGCCTTAGGACACATTTCTCAGAACTCCTCGCAATCGTTAAGCGATATATGACCATAGTATCATCATTAAAATCAGATAAGTTGGCCAGGCACAGTGGCTCATGCCTATAATCACAGCACTCTGGGAGGCTGAAGCGGGTGGATCACCTGAGGTCAGGAGTTCGAAACAAGCCTGGCCAACATGGTGAAACCCCGTCTCTACTAAAAGTACGAAAATTAGCTGGGTGTGGTGGTGGGCACCTGTAATCCCAGCTACTCAAGAGGCTGAGGCAGGAGAATTGCTTGAACCTGGGAGCTGGAGGTTGCAGTGAGACGAGATCGCACCACTGCACTCCAGCCTGGGTGACAAGAGCGAGACTCCATCTCAAAAATAAATAAATAAATAGATAAATAAATAAATATAAAATAAAATAAAATCAGAAAAGTCATGTGTATTTTGTAGGAGTATGTGGACTTTGAAAACAAACTGTTTTGTTTGTATGGGATTTTGATGGTTTGTCACTTTTTTTTGCTATTATTAAGCAGGTATTCTGGTCAGTGTTATGAATATGTTGTATTATATGAAACTTGATCCAAGCCTTGTGGAGTTATAGTATTGGCCCTCTCTCTTTTTAAAAAATTTTTATTTTTTGAGAATGGGTCTCCCTGTGTCACCCAGGTTGGAGTGCAGGGGTGTGAACACGGTTCACTGCAGGCTCAACTTCCTGGTCCCAAGAGATCCTCCTGCCTCAGCCTTCTGTGTGGCTGGGACCACAGGTGCATGCCACCACACCTGGCTAATTTTTTGATTTTTTGTATAGGTAAGTTCTCATTATGTTGCCCAGGCTGATCTCAAATGTTTGGGCTTAAGTGGTCCTCCTGCCTCAGCCTCTCAAAAGTGCTGGGACTACAGGTGTTAGTCACTACGCCTGGCAGCTCTCTTAAAAAAAAAATCCAATTCACAGAGAGGAAGTGACTAGTTGGAGGCTCACAGTCAGTCAGTGGTGGACATGCAACTTGAGTCCAAGTCCAAGCATTTTATTTTTTCCTCTGGGCATGGAGCTTGCTAGGAGGGATGGTAAAAAGTGCAGTTGAAGAAAACTTCTTTACAGGCTGGAATGCTTGGCCAAATAAAATGTAATCACAGCAAAAACGTTTAGTTAAAATACAAACCACAAAAGCATATCATAAAGGTGGAAGACTTAAAAGCCAACGTGTCAAAAAAAGATAAAAGCCTTTAATTCACCACATGCTCAATGTATGCCAAATGTGCAATATACATCTTAAAAAGTGGCTGCTCTTTAGATTAATGCAATTGGTCTCATGCTTAATTCTAAGCATGAATCCAAGAGTCTTTGTCAGGGAATGATGAGGAGGTGGTCAAGACCTGATATGGTACCTGACTTCTGGGCAATGTAGTGATATAGAAAATGACCCAAATATAGAAACTAACTGTGTTGGCATAGCCAAGCAGGAGAGTACAGTTGACCAGTACTATAAGGGAAAGGCAAGGTAAGGAATGGTTCAGAAAATAACCAACATATGGGTTTCCAGTCATGGAGGAGGAAAATCCAGCCCATGGCTCGGTCTTAGGAGTCTTAAGAATATGTAACCCTCTCCTTGGGGATGCAATGTTCCTTTTCTACAAGCAACTAAGAGGGGAATGAAGGAAATGTCTCCATTCCAGAGTGATGGACAGAATAAGGCAAGATGGTAGGTTTTCTTATCCCTCAGTGGTAGTTGTGGTAGACTTCCAGTCTTTGAAACTATCTAAGATGCCTGGATGAACACATGTGTATCAAGGTCTATGGACATTTCTATAAACTGTATTATCCCCAGGAGAAAGCATGTGTAACTATTTTAGGGGACCCTGGCATTATCACCTGAACAAGTTGTCACATAAAATTAGACATGATACTGCCAATGAAAATGCAACAAAGAATTTTAAGTAAAACTGTCAAAGAATCATCATTCAAAGAAACAGTGTGAAATAATTATGTGGGAGAATAAAATATATGTTTTTCTGTATCATTTAAAAGAAAAGAAAGTAACAAAACTCAGAAAAGAACTTGAAAATCCTTTAGTTATGATTAGTTGTGATTTCAGCTGTGAAAGAGGGATCCTGTTAAGTCATTATTTATTTATTTATTTATTTAGTTTTTGAGACAGAGTCTCCCTCTGCCGCCTAGGCGGGAGTGCAGTGGCGTGATCTGAGGTCACTGCAAGCTCCGCCTCCCGGGTTCATGCCATTCTCCTGCCTCAGTTAAGTCTTTTTTTATAAGTGAGAAGAAGCAGAGAAATCATTGAAAAACTATCTTAAATATAATAACTGGAGTGTAGCCAATTTTTAGGTGGAGGCATTAAGGAAAAGATTGGAGAACCACGTAATTATGGTGACAGAGGAAAGAAGATGAAGAAAGAGAATTCTGATTTTAGCCTGCAGTAATAGAAGTGTAACACCTATAAGAAGAAGAACAACTCTCCTAGTTTGCTCACATAGGTGAGATCACATTGGTTGCATTAATTGCAAGGCACTATGCTCATTTCCAATCTCTACAATATCATAAACCATGCCTGGTAGTCTTTTGGGGGCCTATTCATCATAGCTGTAAAAAAATCACTTTCTAATGGTTAAGCACATATGTTACCTGTTAACGTATGTCTCAAAGGTTAGAATTAGACACACCACGGAATCTGAGACTTACTACCACATTTGATTGCAGCTTGTGATGCCAATGCTTGTGTGTGGCAGCGACTTAATACACTGCTCTCTTATTTCCTCAAGGTATTGGGAGCACAAGATAAGCACACCAACACCAAGGCAAGAGTAACATCATGCTATACTTTTCTCTAGTTTGTTTGTATTTTTTAGAAGGACTACACAGAAAAGGTGATGATGATTAATGGTAGAATGAAATGGTAAATTTTTAGACACCATGACATTTGCTGAAAAAAAATGTCCTTCAAAATGTCCCTGAAATGACCCCAAAGAGGTACCTAGTTCCTCTTATTATATATAAAATGATCCTAATAGAAACTGAGGATGTATTATAAATAATGACGCTGAATTTTAATAAAAATCATGTCTTTACTAATCTAAATGTTCATTCTATCAAGCTGAAAAGAATGTTATTCTAAGTGCTATTCTCCTGACATTTGGAAGCCTTGATTTATTCTATTAAAATTCCTCTCTACTCTTTCAATGCCCTAAAATAACAGAGAAACTGTGTTTATTTTTAAGCAAATAAGGAATTTTTTGAAAGCAATCTTTATAGGGAATGTTTTCATATATTCATACAATAGAGGAAAGTCCCCACCATAATAAAACATCAACATAGTCTACAATTGTACAATTTAGGATATTGGCTGGTGGAATAATGTTCTTTTCTCAATTCAGTCAAAGTAGTTATAGATTAAAAATTATATGTATAATATTTTGCTGGGTTATTCACAATATAGTATCCACCTTCAAGGAGCATAAACTCTACTTGAAGAAACAAGATATAATAAAATCAGGTAAATCATCATATAAAGCAGTGTAATAATAAATGTTATACATAATTCATTATTCACAAAAACAACTAACAACAGTTGCAGGGTCAAGAACAAGCACATAAATGGAGACCCACATACAATATGTGTAGGTATTTAAAAGGTATAAGCCCTCATAACAACCCAGAGGGCCAAGTTTGAATTCGGGATTTTCAGAGTCCTTGTAGTTGCATTAGGATGCTGGGCTCGGAGAGAGCCTAATAACAGCCCATCTTCTACTACAGTATTTTATTTCTATGCACTGCTGGCTCTGCACCATACTTCAAGTGACACCTCTTCTGCCAAAATAAAGTTACTACCTTAGTTCACATATTAAAGCTCCTTCCTCACTCTGCACAAACCACTACTCTTTGGTCAATGCACATGCTGGTGGTGGGAGCTACATTCTGGAAGGAGGGTCTGGAGAAGAAACCAGCTTTCTGCCTGAATTGAATATAGAAGCAGATCTCAAAAGAGCAGGATTTGTCCATTGTAAACAGAGCAAAAACCATCATCAAAACCATGGAGAAAGCTATTATTGCATTAGATATTGAGGCTGTAGGTGCTTTTCTTTTTAAATTGACTGACAAGAGCAGAGAGTTCATATTAGAAAACAGTGGCAATTAACACAAAAATTCTCCTTTAATGATCCTGCCCATTAGCTATAAAATTTTGTTACAAAGAAAATCCTGGAATTAAAGTAAAAATTTATCCACAATCGAATTCTAGAATATGTTTTCTCCCTCACTGACCATTATTTTCTTGTCCCTTAAGTCTTTTTTCTTTTCCTGAGAAAACAACATGATATTTTACTTGACAATAAAATTTCTCACTTAAATCTAGGAAAAGCTTAGATAGATATGCCAATATACATTTATATTCTATATAACCTTTCACATAAGCTTAACTCACTATTTTTCACTCATGCAATTTTTGACCTTCACATTTTAAGTTATGATGTTTTCATAGGTCAAATATATATACCTCATGTACTATTTAGCAAGCCTTCCAAACCTTTACAGTTCGTCTCAAATACTGACAAATCATAGAAACCTTTCTAATTTCCATGGAAAAACAAATGGGTCTTTATTCTCATAAAAATGTGTTTGACCAACACAAGAACAGAAAACCAAACACCGCCTGTTCTCACTCATAAGTGGGAGTTGAACAATGAGAACACGTGGACAAGGCAGGGCGGGGGGCGGGAGGGGCATCACACGCCGGGGCCTGTTGCGGGGTTGGGGGCTAGGGGAGGGATAGCATTAGGAGCAATACCTAATGGAGATGACGGGTTGATGGGTGCAGCAAACCACCATGGGACGTGTATACCTATGTAACAAACCTGCACATTCTGCACATATACCCCAGAACTTAAATTATAATTTAAAAAAGTGCTTGAACCATCCCATGTATCTAAATACATCTTATAAGTATTGGATTGCAAATGCCTTAAAGGCAAAGATTATGTCATATATTCAAATGCCAAAGCACTTGACATAATCTCTGATATATTAAGAATAATTATCAACGCAGTTAGTAGTTGTTCAATAAAAACTAAGGATGATGGACATTTTAACTTAATTTTTTTTTTTTTTTTTTGAGATGCAGTCTTGCTCTGTTGCTCAGGCTGGAGTGCAGTGGTGCAATCTCGGCTCACTGCAAGCTCCGCCTCCAGGGTTCACACCATTCTCTTGCCTCAGCTTCCCAAGTAGCTGGGACTACAGGTGCCCGCCACCACGCCCAATTAAGTTTTTTGTATTTTTAGTACAGACAGGGTGTCACCATGTTAGCCAGGATGGTCTCGTTCTCCTGACCTCGTGATCCACCCGCCTCCGCCTCCCAAAGTGCTGGGATTAAAGGCGTGAGCCACTGTGCCTGGCCGACATTTTAATTTAATCTTGGTATAATAAATGATGCCATGAACTCTTAAGTAATTAAGTCCTGTGGAATATACAAGCGTCATGGGGTACTTACTTCCTGAATCAAATTTCTTAAAAATGCCAAGAAAATAGTTCATCTATTTATAATCAGTCTTATATTCAGCAACAAATCCTAAAAGATTCTTCATCGCAGGAACTTAATACTGTGTCAGCCTGGCCGTGGAGTTGGTTTGAGGGAGATCCCACTGCAGTTTATGGTGCCTTCTCTAGTTTACGTCCCATTCATTACTAGATTCCACCTTATTTAAGGAAAACCACCAACAAACTGGAACGCTGCCTGACACTCTGTTACAAACTTCACAGAGCTTCAGCCATGACAGCAAACATCAACAAGCTCCATGAAGTGATTGGCACTGCCCATCAATCATGGCTCGGGTGCAAAGTGAAGGGGATGTTTTTCTTTATAGTGAATATACTAGAGAGAAAACATGGTCATTTTGGGTGGGTTTGTCTATAAATATCATGCCTCAATACTGTCAACACAAATGACTTCCACCTATTATTCATTTTTTTTCTTGTGAATTGTTTGTTTTGCTTCATCAAAGATAATAAAATATTAAGTGGCATAAACAGGTTTGAGGCCAGAAGGTAGCAACTCTGGTCATAATGCTGTTGGAATGATTGTATTCAATTAGGGAGGATCATACTTACAAGTTTAATTTGCTTCTGTTTCTGAATTTTTATGAAAATTGGATACAGGTGTAAAATATCACAATGTAGCATTTTAAGTTTCCAACTATCACTTTCCATGAAGTTTGCCCGAACTGTATAATTTTTTGACAATAAGGACATTACCTCTTGTTGCTTTATATTACTTTCCTCTCTTTTACTTTGACTGGGATTGAGATCTTTAAAGAATTTTCATTTCCTTTTGTAGGAATCAGTCTAGAATTTTGATTGACTGAGTGTGGTGGGTCACACCTGTAATCCTAACACTTTTGGAGGCCAAGATAGGCAGATGACCTGAGGTCAGGAGTTCAAGACCAGCCTGACCAACATGGTGAAACCCCATCCCTACTAACAAAAAATAAAATAAAATACAAAATTAGCTGGGTGCAGTGGTGCATGCCTGTAATCCCAGCTACCTGGGAGGCCAAGGCAGGAGAATCACGTGAACCCGGGAGGCAGAGGTTGCAGTGAGCTGAGATCACACCATTGTACTCCAGCCTGGGCAACAACAGTGAAACTCCGCCAAAAAAAAAAAAAAAAGAGAGAGAGAGAGAGAAAATAAACTGACTAGAAATTTAAACTGATAGCCAGCTTCTAACTTTGTCTCCATAATACCAAAATTACATAATGTAAAGATTCACGACATAGGAATATGAATCTACAAATTACCAAAGTTGTGTGTGTGAAATATGTGAGTTTTTCACATTCTGCTCTTCATCCAGATTTCCAGCATGATGGAGTTAAGATGTATGAGGCATAGAAGAGAGAATAAACATTTCATTTTATCAGTTTTGAGGCAGTTAATAAGTGATTAATTATATTTCTGGGACCATACAGCCATTTAAAACCAAAAGTAAAAATGGGATCTGGAAATGTTGACTCTCACTGTGGCCAGTTTGGCATTTTGCATTAAAAATTTATTTCAGTATCTATTTTAAAATAAACTTTTTTATGAGCCTGATGAAGTAACAATCACAGTTCGAGGCCTATTGTGGAGGTATTTTAGTTTTTCTCTCTTTCACTAACACAAACCATATCACCCCTGACCGTAGAGCTTACAAATGACAGGGATAACACTGAAGATAAGTTAAGGTATAGATGACTCAGGGTTGTTCTGTCCTCATCACTGGATAAATGTCCCCAAACCCACCCACAACTGCCACTGGATCAGTCATTTCAACTTCATATTCAAAGGAAAAAATATATAATATATAACCCTCAATGTTGTTTCTATACTATGTGGCCAAATCTACCATATCACTTGGGTCCCTATCTATGACAGACAGAAAACTCTTAGCAAAAATAAACCTTTTGTTACTGAAAGTACCTTTGACCTCTAGACTCTTTTTGGCCTTTGCATTGAAATTCTGTGTGTGGCACATGAATAAAAATCAGAGAAAACTGCAAGGTCATCAGGCGATGACAGAAAACAAACACTATCTGAGAGACAGAAGATGCTGAAACACAGGGAGCTCTGCTCTCTTCAGATAAACAGTCCCTCTTGGCTCTTCCCTTCCCCATCACCATGACTGACAGGCATCGTATGATCTCATAGAGAGGAAGGAGATAAGCAACCAGGGAACAGGGAAAAACAAGGGTTTTTGGAAGAATTTAGTACTCAGCTGTGTGATTTCTGGCTTGCTCAGATATGAACAAAAGAAAGGTAGCAGGACAAAGTTTAAAAGTGTGTCTTTTTCATACCAATAACTCTTTATTTAAAAAGAGTTTCTGTAAACACTTTCACTTATCCTCTAAATTGAGATGTAAAAGGTACCCAATGCTCTGGTTTTACCTCAGAGATGTAGAGAGTGAAAAAGATCCTCACTCCCACCCTTACAACAAGGAACAAGCTGAGCAAACCATAAAGTAACAGCTTTTCTTGAACTCATCACTTAACTAAGGTGATAGTGTAACTATCCCCAATTCTTAGGGAAGAATTGGTGCTTCCAGGAAGAAGCAGATCTTGAGCACTTGCTTACTGAGGACAGGTGCCTTAGGAAAGGGATGTTTCTGTTTTCTTTCAGATGTTTTCTCCTGCAAATCTCACCAGGAATTGTCAGGGAAAATCTGGAAGAATACTGAGGCAACTCCCCTGTGGTACATGGTGCTGGCTAGGGAAGGGGAACAGCGGCTACTAAAGAAAAACTGCTAGGACCCTTGTCCCTGTCTCCCCTACAGGCCAAAAGCCTTTGACTACTTGTAGAAACACACAAAGCTGTAGAAGAGGAAAAGAGAAAAAAACTTTCTGCATTGACCCAGTACTACAGGAGAAGAGAAGAAGATGAATTCAAGAGAGGTTTATCCTGAGACCCAGAAATATAGTATTTACCTAAGAGTGAAGCTAAATCAGAACATCAGAGAACATCCTTTCCTTCTCCCACTCTTCACTACTAGACTAACAAGCATAGAGTAAAAAAGCCGTGGAATGCAGCTGGGAGAGATACAAGAGGCAGAGTGCTTTAGGAACACAGCACAA
Source organism: Homo sapiens (assembly GCF_000001405.40). NCBI lineage: Eukaryota > Metazoa > Chordata > Mammalia > Primates > Hominidae > Homo > Homo sapiens. Next base: position 40,762,348 of record NC_000018.10, on the reverse strand, counting down.
AGGGACAGACCCAAAGCCAAGCCCGAGGTGATGGCAGACACTGAGAAAATCACCTCTAGGAATACAGCACATACCTTTAACATAAGGAATCATTAGACGAGTATAAAATCTGTGGGGCCCTGAGTGTAGCAATAGGGTCAGCAAAGCTCATGGACAACCTAATTCCTGACTATATTAAAATAAGCACACACACTAACTGTGTAGCAATAGGAAGTTGTGCTCATATGTATCCACTACAAAAAAAATGTATCTAAGTATTTACTATGTTACATAAGTTTTCCTGTTTTCAGTAAAAAAAAATCATAAACAATACAATGAGGCAGAAAATAAACACACTTGGAAGAGACAAAAAAAAAAAACCCTCACCAGGTGTTAGAATAATCAGAAAGTAAACTTTAAATAAATGTTATTAAAATATGAAAAGTTCTAATGGAAAATAAAGACAACATTCAAAATCAGGTGGGCAACTGTAGCAGAAAGATGGGCACCATAAGAAAGAACCAAATGAAAGTGCTAAAAATGAAAAGCATATTAACATATTATCTTCAATGACTTTATCAGTAGATTCAACACAGCTGATGGAAGAATCAGTGAACTTGAAGATATATCAATATAAATTACTCAAAACAGAGAGGAAGGGGAAACAGTTTTTCAAAAAATTAAAAACAAACAGAAGAAAGCATCCAAGACTTGTGCATCCAAGCAATTCCAGATGCTTTAATATACATGAAATTGGAATTCTATAAGAAGAGGTAGAAAACAGAGAAGATGAACTAATAGCCAAGAACTTCACAAAATTAGCGGCAAACCCCAACCCATAGATGCAAGAAGCTCAGAGACCTAAAAACAGAGTAATATTTTCCCTTTCCTCCTTATATACCTTTTCAGGAAAAGAAAATCCTGAAAGAAGACAGAGGAAAAGGACACTTTACCAACAAAGTAACAATTGAAATAATTATAGCTGACTTTTCTTGAGAAATTATGCAAACAGGAAGACAATAAAGGGACATACTTAAAATGCTGAAAGGAAAAGAAAGGAAACAAGACAAAACAAAACCCTGTCAACACAGAATTGTCTAACCAGCAAAAATATTCTTCAAAAGTAAGGGAGAAGTAAAGACTTGCTCAGACAAAGAAAAACTCAGGGAATTTGTTGGCAGCAGTGTCACTCTGTAAGAAAGGTTAAAGAAGTTCTTCAGGAAGAAAGAACACAATAGAAAGAAAAGAAACTATACAATAAATAAAGAGGCCTGGAAGTGGTACAAGAAAAGGTAAAATAAAATTTATTTATATAAATTTTTATTTAATTTACATAAAATAAAATTTATTTTATATGAATATTCTAATATATAATTGTCTAAGCAAAAATAGTAACTATTAGTGTTTATAGCATATGTAAAAGCAAAATACATGAAAACAACAGCACATGGATATAAAGAATAGCTTGAAATTCACTATTGCAAAGTCCTTATGCTGCATGGGAGACAGTATAACATTATTTGAAGGTAATCTTAAATTAATTAATAATATTTAAGCCCTAGGGTAAACATTAAAAAATAAAAGTAGGCATAAATAATAAGTCAATACAAGAAATAAAATAGAATATCAAAAATGTTCAATTGGCCCTAGGGGGGAAAAGAGAAAATAGTGAAAAAGAAACAACACATGAAATCAAAAAATTCCTAGCAAGGTAGATTTTAAAAAGATATCCAAATGAAAATGGCAATCAGTAGAAAGATGTTTTTAAGGAAATCCCTAAGGGTAACACACAGGAATTCTGAAGTTTTATCTGTTATTTCTTTATTTTATTTTACTTTTTTTGGCGGGGACAGGGTTTCACTTCTGTTGCCCAGGCAGGAGTGCAGTGACGCAATCTCAACTCACTGCAACATTTGCCTCTGGGATTCAAGCGATTCTCCCACCTCAGCCTCCGGAGCAGCTGGGACTACGGGCAGTCACCACCATGCCGGGCTAATTTTTGTATTTTTTGCAGAGATGGGATTTTGCCATGGTGCCCAGGCAGGAAATTATCTGTTAATTCTTGTATAGAATATACTAATCTCTTTTTTTCCCATTAAATTGTGGCAGTGGATATTGTTTGTACCCTGTCAGGTCCGATAACATGGGAATGCGCATTCCTTATATAACTTAGGAACACAGTATTTCACTACACCCAAATTATATTACTTTAAATAATATAACATGTCAAAAACTATTCTTACAATAATATAGTACTTGAGACAGCTGTAGCATGATGTGACATCTGAGATCATATGTTAGCTTTGCAATGTACACGTTGTGTGTTATTGAAGATGCTCCTTAACCATTTTTAGCATGTTTTCTCAGAGGTAAAATGGAGATTGTAATATGTGTCTATCAGGGCTGCTTTCAAAATTGAATTAGATTAGTTATCTGAAAAGGTCTCATACAAGTCATGGAATGAACCAACACAATCCTATTAACGCTGAGTTTAATTATTTTTAAATTCGAATTTAATTGTAAATAATTAAGTTTATTTCTATAAAAAGAGATAAATTGAGGCAGCTTTTGGGCTACTACACTAAAAATGCTTCTCCCTCTTGGACTTTATTTTTTATTCCTTAACAAGGGGTATAGCTAAAATAAAAGTGTTAGTTTAACTACTGGATTTATTGTGTTTAAATGTACATTGCTTAATTTTCCTCAATCACGAAACATTAGCCTTTGAAGTAAAAAGTTAATATTATCTTCTCCAGTCTCTTTGTTAGTAATTAATACCCTCCACCAATCTCTAATAGACAGTCATTCAGCATCTACTTGAGGACATTAGTAGTCAGTAACTTACTATTATATGGAGTTGTTAGTTCTATTTTGAACCATTCTTATTCATTCATTTTCTCAATGAATTTTGCACATACACAGTGTATAAATTATAAACGTGTAGCAGGGAAGAGATGGTATATACTGATTTTAATCACTGAGTTTGGAGTTAATTCTGAGAAAGAAAAAGGATGCCAGCAGGAAAAGGGAATGGCAGCAAGGGAAGGAATGAGAAGACTGGCTGGAGGAGGGTAGGGGCCCTGAGTCCAGTCAACACATTCGACACTTTTCTGCATCTGTGATATTTGGTTTTGATATACTCAAAAATAGCTAATTCCTCACTAGTTAAATACAGTCAGAAGAGACCTGAAATAATATGCATTTAGCTCCAAGTTTGATTTCACCATTATATAAAACCTGGGCTGTTTGAATAATCCTGTTGTGAGATTAATCCTTAGATTAATGATAGTTTTCAATATAAGGACCTTTGGGCATGGATGTATACATAAGCATTCATTTTAGAAATTAATTTGGTTCAATCAAATATTTATTAAAAGTCTACCATTTGCAAACTAAATGCAGTCAGTCAAATGGTTGGTTAGTCCAGAAACAGCATCTTATGAGACTAATGATTTGATTAAATAAACTGGATCAGCTGGGGAGCTGGTACCATGTGCAATGAAAACAGTATTCATCTTTCCCAGAGGCACTCACTTCAGGGTTTGTGGTGAACTTGCAATCCTAGAATCTTTTCAGAAATATGAACATTTTGACTGTACATTGATGAGTCTATGAAGCCCATTTGAATTCATCAAGTCCTGTTAATTTTACCTAAAAATACGTTGCAACTCTGTTCACATCTCTCCACATCGTATGCTCTAGTTATACAACATCATCTCCTTCCTGGACAATTTCAGTATTTCCTACCTGGTATGTTTCGTTTAACTCTTACTTCCTTCTCCTATAATTTCTTCTCATCAATGCATCCAGAAATAATTTTCTTTAAAATTGGATTTGATTCAGGTCCCTCACTCTCTGCTTCAATTATTAAATGATTTCCTCATTATATTAGAATAAAATCCAAACTGAAAAACATGGCCCAATGATCCTGCATGCTTGAGTCCTACATACTTCTTCAGTATCATCTTGTGCCTCTGTCTCCCATGGTCACAATGCTTAAGCCAATTGGCCTTTCTTCAAATTCTCAAACATCCCCATTACCTTCTGTATTATTCAGCATTCTTTGGATAAACTGAACCAATAGAAATAATAGATAGATAGATAGATAGATAGATAGATAGATAGATAGATAAATTTATTACAAGAATTTGGCTCATAAAATTGTGGAATCTGACAAGTCCCAAGATCTACATTTGGCAAGTTGGAGAACAGGAGGGCCAATGGTGTAGATCTAGAACAAGTCTGAAGGCCTGAGGATCAGGAAAACTGATGGTGTGAGTTTTAATCCAAAGGCTGGCATGCTTCAGACCTGGGAAGAGCCAATGTTTCATCATGAACGTGGAGGCAGGAAAAAACTGATCTTCCAGATTCAAAGCACTTATACAGAAGGAATTTCCCCTTATTCACAGCAAGGTCAACCTTTTGATCTATTCAGGCTTTAAACCTATTGGGTGAGGCTCACCCACATTAAGAATGGCAATCTCCTTTATTCAGCCTATTGATTTAAATGTTAATCTCATCCAAAAACATCCTCACAGAAACACCCAGAATGCTGTTTTACCAATGGACACCCAATGGTCCAATCATGTTGATATATGAAATTAACCATCCCACTTTCTCAAGTTGGAATCTTTCCTATGCCTGGAAAGCTCTTTTCTAAATTGATGGGAGGATGGCCTATGCCCATATTTTTCCTTCAGAATCACTTCCTTAGTGAGGACATCGCTAACTCCCCAGTGCTCCCTGGGTTCTCCCAGTTATCCACTCCCAAAGTACTGCCTCCTTTCTGTTATAAAGAGTAAATCATGTTCACCTTAGAATTAGGTGTTTATCTTTGAGTTTATTTATGTAATGTCTACCTTCTTTCCTAGACATTTGAATTCATGAGGAAAGATACTATATATACTATATCTCACACATACAGATATAGTATATATAGTGTATATACATACACAGATATAAATATAGTGTATATTGTATGTATCTACAGATATACTATATATGTGTGTCACTGAAAACTGTCAATGCTTAGTATAAAGTATGCATTCAGTGAATGTTTGTTGAGTAAATAAATGTGAAGATTAAAGGACTAGTAAGACCATTATGGAAGAGAGAAGAATGTGCCATTCATTACCTGTTTGCTTTCAGATTCATTCGTTGCCTTTTCCCTGTTTCATTTTCATCATGATGTCTGCCACTGCAGACTGCATTTTTCAAACTAAACTATTCCCTGAGTAGATTTTGGCCAATATGAGGCACTGGCCAGAGATAGGCAGTTGACAGACAGGGAGCAGCCAGGACAACTCTCTCCATTTGCACCTCCTTTGTGGCTCCAGCTCCTACCAGTCAGGACCTGTGTGGTCCTATAGTCACATTGAATAGCCCCAGTTCTGGTACTACCACTGCTTAAAGTGTCCCTTCAGGCCTGAAGTTAGTAGCAGTTTAGTGCTGTTCCCAATCTGTGGATTGCCTCATTACTATCTGATTTTCATTAGCTCTTCTATTTCTTGTGCAACATGTTTCTGTTATTTAAATTCCTTTGATTTAATAAAGTTTATGTTTTCAAGATAGCACTACATTAAGTTTTATGTTTTTAAGATCGCACTTTGGCTGATACAAGGGGTTTGGGCACTTGGTCTTCAATTGTTAAGTCCTATTTAAAAAAAAGATGAAAGAGCAGCATCTCTGTAGAGACATCAGTGCTGGAGCATTGTTTGATGGTGACTTGTTATTCCATACTTCTAAGGCAGTGTCACCATTTGAGCCAAGTCTTGTGGAATCAAGCTGCTTTAAACCCCTTCAGTCAAGCAGGGTGGGCTGTGATGCCAGTCTTTCCAAATTCTATGGATGATTCAAATGAGCTGCATTAGTTTCCTAGGGCTAAAAACTAGGTGGCTCAAAACAGCGTACTTTGATTGTATCATGACACTGGCAGGTAGAAGTCCAAAACTAAGGTATTTACAGAGACATACTTTTTTAAAAGGTTCTAAAGGAATATCCTTCCTTGTCTCTTTGAGCCTCTGGTAACCTCAGGCATTCTTTGGTTTGTGGCACTGTAATTCCAATTCCTGTCTCCATCTTCTCATGGCCATCTTCCCTTTGTGTGTATGTCTGCATCCAAATTTTCCTCTTCTTACAAGGACACTAATAATATTGTATTAGAGTCTACCTTAAAAGCCTCCTCCTAATTAGATTACATCTGCAAAGACCCTATTTACAAATAATGTCACATTTACAAACATGGGGCATAGGACTTTCAGCATGTTTTTATTGCAGGACACAATTCCACCTATATCAGGAGGGATGTGGAAGTTGCAAGATTTCCTTTTCCTTCTGCTCCTTCTTCTTTATACTCTTATTTTTTCTTCAACTTCCAAAAACTGTTTCCAGTATACAGAGGATCAGGCAGGTTTTCTCTTTACGTTTCTTCTGTAGGTCTTTGTCATCAAAACATTCCTTGAAATTCTTCCATGAAAATAATATAATAAGAATGTCTATTTTGAATCAGGCATAATAAATATGAAGACCCCCTGATCTAGAGCAGTCAATATGCCCAGGTCTTCTGTCCAACTTGACCAAGCTATTTCATGCTGCTCATTCCATGCCTGTTTATTGCCAGTCAACTATGTTAATTGAATCTTTCAAAGGGGCTGAAAAATAGATGCCTCATTGCAGTGTCTGGCAAGGCACAACTCACATTATAAATTTCTTAGTGATTCAGCAGTTTATATTGTAAACTATCAGAGTCAATGCTGAAAAAGACAATATTTTAATGGCTTCCTGGAGAACCTGACCTCAAATCCCTTTCTAACATTTTTCTAACCTAAAGAGAATTCATTTACTGTCTCTAAACATAGCCTCAAGTACATTATTTTAAGATCTATTATTTATTGTGCTGGTTAGGAAGCTTTTATCTCTTATTTATGATTAGGTAAGTTTTAATTGGAAATAGGTTGGAAGTCATCCAACCTAGGTGGGTACTGTGGTCCCTATTGTAAATTGATCTTGCAAACACCTGCTTGTTGTATGATGTTATGCAAAATAATCCTTGAGCTATTGCTATTTCTTTTTTTTCTCTTTCATTTTTAAACTTTTGAAGCCCTGTGGAACTTTCCAATTAAATCAAAAAATTATAAATAAATCTCTGAATTTTAAAGGTGTAGAATAATATTTATTTAAAACATAGTTTTCTTGGCTAAATTATAATTAATCATTTCCATGAGAATTTTTATTGTTCTTACCTACAGTGTTCTTGATTGAAATGATGCTAACCTAATTTTAATCAATGAAAAACAAGAACTTGGTAGTCCTATAAACTGAAGGTAAAAGGACAAATAGAGGAATAGAAAATTCGAAAAGAAAGTCATAAAAATTTTTTGAATGCCTATGGTCTAAAGTTCCTATTTTTAGAACATGTTGAGAGTCATTTTTTTCTGTTAGTCTATAAAACGAATATGAACAGATTACTTCCAGTTCCTCAATGTGCTTTCAGAATCTGTGAGTAAATGCATCGTATTAAGAGGTTTCTAGAAGTCCAAGTTAAGTCTTTCTGTCTAACTGGTATTTAACTATTCTTTATTATACATGTGCTGGTGACTTTATGTTGTTATATTATTTTATTACAAAACAGTGTAACTTGAGAATATCTGAATTTCAGTGTTGAAGTAGTCACTCATTTGCATACACATCCCCATCTCAATTACATGTGCTAATAGGAACAGTTGCATGACTGATTCAAAGAAAGAGAGATTATTCACATTGTCTTCAGATTGTATTCTCTCACATTTGCTGCAGCAGAAATTTCCTTCCTCATTCTGTCTTGCTTGGCTTCTGAGTTAACATGGGTTCATTGTGAGATGGAGAGACTGCCATGGTGGTTCCTTCTAGGTAGCCAACAGCTGGGAATTTATTTCTACAGACAAAACTCAGACTAATAGGTCTACATTAATTACAAGCATGCAATACAAACACACAATATAATACCTTGAATTTGTCCTTTCTCTAGTTAATTTCTGAAATGTTAGAATAATGGTCATTGTGGGAAGCCTCCATTCTGAGTTTTGTTCTTCCCCCCACTAAATTTATCCCCTTTATCCTTGAGATGGATAAAATTCGTCATGAAAAGTCAGGTAAAAATGACAAAGTGGAACAAATAATACGTCTGTTCTAGGATACCATGTGCAACAATTAAGATGTTTGGTGGATGTTACATGTGGATGTTCAGGCAAAGACTTTGATCTCTTGTATCTATTTCCTGATCTGTAAAATGGAAATAAAATTCCTCCATATTAGCTGCTCAGGACAGAGTTAGATCAAATAAATTATTGACTGGCACATATAATTGACAAAATGAACTTGAAAAACAGTTACAGAAGAAGATATTGTATCACTCAGAGAACACCAGCCTGAAATAAAGGCCGTAGGTTCTATTTGCCATGCTGCTATACATCCAAGTATATGACTAGAGGGTCGGTGAACATACTTCAGTCTGAATTGATTTGACTTTAGGTGTTGAAACTCAAAAAACCATATCTTCCCTTGTTTCTTCCCTTCTATTTCTGAGAGTCAGTGATTTTTCTTATTAAATTCTTTACCTTAAGTCCATTTCAGGAGTTTCCTTCATTTAAATATTGCCCAAATTTCTCCTAATTAAAAAAATGAATGTGATGCAAATTTCAATGAATGATATGTACTTCAAATCAGGCAGAGTACATGATGATACTATGACTGATATGTATATTTTGATTGTGGTTAGCGGACTTTATAAAATATTAAATCCTTTATTTCTCCTATTTATTAATTAACCTATTCATTTATTTGTTCAATTACTTAATGTGTGACATGTATTTTTAAAATTATAAAAACACTTAAATACATGGTATTGTGTTAAGCATAAGACAGGAAAAGTGATATTGTATTGGGACAGTTTACTTAGAAAGATAGTAAAGTTAAATATGTGGCAACATGACATTAAAATAAGAGATAGCACAAAATGGACTATAACTCATCTATCATTAGTAAAATTGTTGTAACAAGCATCGTGAATTTAAGTGAGAAGAGGTGGGGTGGGTGTAACTGGAAATAGCATTTGGAAGTCAAAGTAGAGATTGGAGATTTTAAAAAACAGATTGAAGAGTTTGGAATTTGCCCTGTCATTACTAGTAAACCATTACTGGCTTGTGAATAGGACATTATTTTCTTCACCTAGAAATAAAATTAAATGTAGATTCTCCCTAAGCATATAAATTTGGTGAAGAAAGGACAGGGAGAAAGCAGTGAAGTAGCCTGAAAGAAGAAGGAGATTTTAGTGAACATAAGGAGAGGGAAAATAAAACCTAGCAAAGCAGAAGATCACTCTCAGTGCATGTAACATAACCAAAACTTTCTACTGATAGAATGATGAATTACTAACTGGATAACATAATTTGAGCAGAAAACAAGTAGAACAAACACTTGAAACCATCTTGATATAAAGGAAATTCATGTTTGAAGTCCCCAGATTTTTATTTCTCATTTTATCACTTTTTAGTCACATCTTTCTCTATTTGCCCTCTTTTAAAAAACTCACTCTGTAAATAAAAATAATAGCTTCTGTTTGTTAAAACATTGCTACAATAGGCTAGGTAATACTGGGGTGACACACAATTCTAAAATCTTTGTGGTATAATTAAATATATATACATGTATGTATTTATAACTGAGTTTGCTGTGGCACTGTGTAAATTTCTGGGATAACTAACCAGATCATGGGTCCACATTCCAGGACACTTTGGTCTTACAGCATGCAGCAAGCATGTCATACATGACAATTGTTGCTATGAAAAGAGAGATTCTTTTGCTGGCTGTAAGACACGTCTGCTTTAAAAGACATACTTCACTTGAGCTCACATTGCATTAGTCAAAGGAAGTTATGCAGCACGGCCTACATTCAAGGAGTGGTAAGTGCCATCCCATTGTATATCCTGACAGGCGGAGTTCTAGAAACACCAGTAAGGAGCATAAATGTTGGCCAAAAACACGTATTACATGTCAGCCATGGTTCTCAGTAGTTTACATAAAGTATATATATATATATATATATATATATATATATATATATATATATATAAATTATCACCACATTCTATCATGTAGAGATGGATAGAATCTTTGCAGATGAGGAAACTTAGGGGACTTTGATTAACTTATTAACTTTCTACCAGCAGGAAGAGAAGATGAACTATGTCCCCAGATGATGTGGCTTCAGAGTGTCTCTTAACTATTATGTTATGATTTCCCTAAAACTATTACTTCTGCAAGTAGCATTTGTACTTGAAAAGGGAACAAAACTTTAAGCTAAAAGAATGAAATACTGGCAGGTAGAAATACATGGTTCTCTATGAGGAAAAAAAAATAATGACTTTGAGTTGTTCAGTCCCAATAGAATCCTGTTACATAGTCGGTTTCTGCTCCAATCTTGGTTGTGAAAATTTAGTTCTTATACAGAGAGACTAGATAAGCAGAATTCAACAGTGAAGGTGTAAAAACCATGATGTAGTTGAGTTTTTTTTAAAAAAATCTTAATTGTAGTCATCTACTTTATCAGGTTAAATAAGGGGGGAAAAGCCAATTATTATATCAGTTTGATAGAGAAAAAAGTAACAGAAAAAATAATTCAAATTCCATTATTTTTCTCCCCATACATTGTCCTTTGGCATGACAGGTGATATCATGTTAAACATTGTCAGAGGAAATGACTTAAGCAAGCCTCTGTTTATTTAGAAAAAAGTCCCACAAATTTATGAAATTATAATAAATGTAAAATAGTATTATGAATAAATCATACTGTGACATTATACTTGGGGGCTTCATCATTCAGGAAAGGCATATGCTGTCCAAGAAATATAGCCTCCAGAGTACATCGCTTTAAGATGGAGTATTTAGTGAGCACATTAGAGAAGCTTATTCTCTTATTTATGATCAGGTTGGTTTTAATTGAAAGCAGGCTGGAAGGCATCCAGGCAAGGCAGCTGTGATTACAGGATTTCTCAGAACTCGGCAATACTGCTCTTTTTGAGAAATCTGTACAAACTCCTAAGATATAAGGAATATCTAATCAGATGTCATGAAAACCAGAACATCATCCTCTTTTCATATAAAAAGGAATCCAAAGGAAGACTTTAATTAGAGAGGATGTGCCAAGTTCATCTAGATGGAAAGAAGTATAGAGCCTAAAGAAGGAGAGATACTGTGTTCTAATTATCCTCAGTGAAAGAGCTCAGACTCTGGATATTTACGTCTTCCCTGTAACTGTATTTAATCATATGGTAATAGGATATTAAGAAACTGTCTGACATGGCAGCCACTACCCCCCAAAGAAACCATTAGGACAGTACAAAAAAGTACCCATCAACTCCTACTTGTTTCGGGAAATGGTTGGCCACAGAAAACCTTCTGCTATAACATTGAACAATCTTTCCTCTTTTGAAATGTTCCCAAATTGCTTCCTTGCCCTTTTACAGACAACCGAGGACAACCAAATGCAACCAAAGACCAATCAGAAAATCTCCTCCACTTCGAAAAATCCCACTGTAATAGAACACTGGCCCATTTGAGAACATCACAGTATTTCCTCCGTTTGCTTTCTAATACTTTTGCACCTCTGTGAAACAAAATTAATTAAAGACCATTCCATGGCAGTAGGTTTATGAACAAATAGCCATTGTTAATTTTGTCTCTGACTCAGTTTTGTCTTTGATGGTTCTGTCCTTGCCGCACTTGGCTCCTGCCATATCTCCTTGTGGCTGGCTGCTGACCTTGGCTCCTGAGCAGGAGCCATACCCACTAGGTCCCTTGGACCTTAGCTGCTCCTCCAACTGCTCAAAACAGTAAGTCTTCTTCACTGGGTCTATTTTTTTTTTGTCTGAGTACCTCTGCTGTTTTATTCATTTTTTAATTCCTGAGAATTTGCATTTGTTGAAAGTTCCCTTTGGAGTTCATGTGCTTGGTGATTCACCTTTGTTTTCTGTGCATTTAGATACTGCTTCGTCACAAGTGGGTGCGTTGTGAGATCTGACTCTATCATTCTAGCCACTTTCCGAGACTTGGAAGTTTGGGGTTTCCTCCAGACTTGTGTCCTTCTGAAGGCAAACTTCGCTGTCGATAACCAATAAAACTGGAAGAGATACCCTTGCAACCTGACTTCATTCTAAGAGCTTGGTCTTAATAAACAACCAACATTTTCTTTGATTTTCCACTTGCCAGGTGGGGCGAGGGTGAGATACCGATTGTCAGATTGAGATATAGATCCTCAGATCTGTGTTGAGAGGTGACTGGCCTTTATGTCAGGGGGTTGGGACACAAGATGCACAAACAACCACGTTACACTAATTGTGACCAGCTGTATGAGATGTTCTTAGTCAAAATCTCCCCAACTCTGCAAAAAAATACTCCTGCTCTCTATCCCTACTCTTACCACAACGCTATCCCTTGTGCCTATTTTTCTAAATGTCACATTTTCACCAATGCCAGAGAACTAGAACAGCAATGAAGTAGGTCTTCAATGCAACTCTAGGAAGCATTGTATTTAATAAAAATTATTCCTTTGAGAGATGACAGGGGAAAAAAGGTACAAAATTGACTAGGTCCAATGGGTAAAATTTTTGTTGGTACACGGGTTTCTAAGTGAAATTTCAATTCAAATTAGATCCTGTAAAATATTTTGATGATATTAAACAAGGGACAGCAGTCATGAAAACCACATCCTCCTGTGTACCTGAAACTTCTTGATACACAACAGTACTTATTTTTTCTGTGCCTCTAGGACTTTAGTCCTACCTTGTCTGTCTCCTACCCAGACCCTTGCCTGATAAATTTTCTACCACTCCCATCTGCCTATTCCTTTTATGAATCCAGCCAACATATGAGCCTGGAATGTTCTCCACAACTGAAACTCACTCTTGGGAATTAAGAGCCATTATTAAGAATTTTCCTACTCCTGCGAAAGACAGACAACTATTCAATATAAAACTTAGAATCTCCCTCAGGGATGATTGGAATGAACACAACAGAGACCCCAGAAATAAAACCCCACATCTACAACCATCTGATCTTCAACAAACCTGACAAAAACAAGCAAAGGGGAAAGGATTTCATCCTTAATAAATGGTGTTGGGAAAACTGGCTAACCATATGCAGAAAACTGAAACTGGACCCCTTCCTTACATCTTATACAAAATTAACTCAGGATGCATTAAAGACTTAAATGTGAAACCCAAAGTCATAAAAACCCAGAAGAAAACCTAGGCAACACCATTCAGGACATAGGCATGGGCAAAGACTTCATGACCGAAACACCAAAAGCAATTGCAACAGAAGCCAAAATTGACAAATGGGATCTAATTAAACTAAAGAGTTTCTGCACAGCAAAAGAAACTATCATCAGAGTGAACAGGCAACCTACATAATGGGATAAAATTTTTGGAAGCTACCCATCTGACAAAGGGCTAATATCTGGAATCTACAAGGAACTTAAACACTGTACAAGAAAAAAAAAAAAAAGAAACAACCCACCAAAAAGAGGGTGAAAGATATGAACAGACACTTCGCAAAAGAAGACATTTATGCAGCCAACAAACATGATAAAAAGCTCATCATCACTGATCATTAGAGAAATGCAAATCAAAACCACAGTGAAGTACCATCTCATGCCAGTTAGAATGGTGATCATTAAAAAGTCAGGAAATAACAGAGGCTGGTGAGGCTGTGGAGAAATAGAAATGCTTTTACACTGTTAGTGGGAGTGTAAATCAGTTCAACCATTATGGAAGACAGTGTGGCTATTCCTCAAGGATCTAGAACCAGAAATAGCATTTGACCCAGCAATCCCATTACTGGGTATATATCCAAACCATTATAAATTATTCTGCTATAAAGACACTTGCACACATGTGTTTATTGCAGCACCATTTACAATAGCAAAGACTTGGGACCAACTCAAATGCCCATCGATGATAGACTGGATAAAGCAAATGTGGCACATATACACCATAGAATACTATGCAGTCATAAAAAAGAATGAGTTCATGTCCATTGCAGGGACATGGATGAAGCTGGAAGCCATTATTCTCAGCAAAATAACGCAGGAACAGAAAACCAAACACTGCATGATCTCACTAATAAGTGGGAGTAGAAAAATGAGAACACATGGACACTGGGAGGGGAACATAACATCACACACCGAGGCCTGTTGGGGGGTGGGAGGCAAGGGGAGGAAGAACATTAGGACAAATAGCTAATGCATGAGGGGCTTAGAACCTATATGATGGGTTGATAGGTGCAGCAAACCACCATGGCCCATGTATGCCTATGTAACAAACCTGCATGTTCTGCGCATATATCCCAGAACTTAAAGTAAAATAAAAATAAATAAATAAATGAAAGAATCTCCATCAGGGCCTATGACTTTGCCTTACTAGACTTTTATCAATTAATCCATGTATTAGTAAGCATCTGAAATGCCAAGCTCTGGATGAGTTGAAGCATTTTCTTTCTGAAAAGCTATAGCCTCATAGTCACTAAAAAGCTTATTAACCTGGTTATTCTAACTTGGACAAAGTTTTATATCAACTAAGGATCCACATAGTATACAGAAACTATTATATAAGAATTCTGTAAAGTGTTACCCCTTACTCATAAACTACACTGCCTTTACCACCCACAAACTTCTAAAAAGTTTGAAAGGACCAGTAACATTTTAAGGAGAAGCTATCAAACTCTCAGAAACTTCTGAACTCCTCTGACCTAACGCATAGCTCCTAGTTTTGGTGGCCATCCAGTTTACTTGTTTAGGGGCACATGAGTTATCTCCTTATGAATTGTGACTGAAAGACAGATGTGTGTAGCATTTCACCTCCAGTCTAGATTCTGCTCTGTTACATACAGACATGGCAAAATAATACAAGGGACTCATGTTCCAGTGTTATTACCAAAAGGTTAAGCTACCATCCCACATCATTTTTCTAAACAGCCTTTTCATGATCTTCAAACAGAAAATTTGTTTCCTAGAAGATACATCAAAGAAAAACTGCTCTTAAACCTGAAGATACATACCTTAAGACTGCTCTTAAAGATACTTAGCAGTCATCAAATCTGTCATTTCCAGGAGGTTAAATGCTCTAGGTGGGTTGCTGTCTCAATGGAGTGTATATCACTATCATCCAATCAGACAATGAAATAGACTACGAGAATAAAATCTTCATGGACAGTGCCTATAATGACATCTGATTGATTAGTGATGATGATACTGTCAAGGTCATCAACCTGAGTCAATATTACTCTCTTGATTCTGATAGAGGGAATGATTCAAAGGGGGAACTGAGAAATCACAAGCCATGGCAGAAATGTCCATAAGGATCATTATAATAGTTTGACCATTGACCATCTGCAAGCACTTCATCATTTCCCAGTTTTTCCAGAAAATGACCATTCACAGAAAACTCTTTATCCTAACACTGAACATCCTCCTACCCAAACAGCTTGCTTGTTCTCTTGCATTCAACCAAGCATGGTCAAACATGCCTGAAGGTGAATTAGAAAGTCTTCCGAGCCTTTATTAATTTGGTCTCTGAGTTAATTTGTCTTTGGCAATATCAAGTGGAGAAACAGCCAGATATTACTGAATATTCACCACTGCTAGATACTGCTCTTTTTCTCGGCTCTCATTTGATATAATGTTCTAGGTTAGGTATTATTTCTGCTTCATGGACAAGAAACTGCAGCTTTGGAGAGTCACAAGATGTTGGTAGTTGCATCATAAAGTAGAGAGGCCTAAGAGATTTGATGGTTAAATGGCAAATTGGAGGTAGATCCAGTAGTATATACTAGGAATTCTGATTAGTATTGGAGTTTTCTTGCTTTTTGACACCAAAAGCATTTTTATTCTGTATCTGCTTGGTCTGCTTTCAAGTTGCATGCATTTTTAGACTCTTGCCTATTTGGAGAAATTCAAACAATAAAAAACAAATAGATCTGTAGTTACTTCATTGAGCTGGGTTTAATAGTTCACAAGATTAGACATAGGAAATTACTTGAGGAATGATGAGGGCTGAGGAAAAGATGAGGAAGTCTTTCAGAATAAAAATCTATGCTACTTGGTCAATCAAGGAACATTGTTATCATGTCATTAGATAAGTGATTTTTAAAACTTTCAAGATGAATTGTCAAAATTTGATGAAAAATGATAACTCTTCCATAGTGAAATGAAAACAAATGTATATTATATGTTGGTAAATGGTACAAGGTATATAAACACACAGAGTACTAAAATTTTTGCACTAACAGTTTAGTTCAAATAAACGTAATATTCTTTGAACTATTTTAAACTTAAGTTCAAGAAAAGTTGTAACAGATTATAGAGAGGACCTATGTAACCCTCCTCAGCTTTTCTAATATGAACATCTTATAAAACCATTACATAGGTATCAAAATCCAAATATTAGAATTGGTGTCATACTATTAATTAAATTACAGACCTTGATACTATTGAATTTTACCAATTTTTGCTAATTATATTTTATTTTTGTGATTCAAGAATCTATATGGGCTTCCACATATAAAGTTGGTCCAAAAGTAATTGTGGTTTTTGCCATTAGAAGTAATGGTTTAGCATTTATCACTATTTTTCCTTAGTCTCCTCCAGCCTGTAAACAGTTTCTCAGCCTTTCTCTGTCTTTCATGATGTTGACACTTTTAAGAGTACTGAACAGTTATTTTTTAGACTGTCCCTCAAATTGTATTTATCTGATGTTTTATTATGATTGGAATGAGATTGTATGTTTATAGCAACAAAACCCCAGAAATTATGTTTTGTCTTTCTCAGTGCTTCATGTCAAAGAATTCATGATATGAACAATGAATTGGTGATGTTAACTTTCATCACTTCATTAAGGTGATGTCCCCTGGGTTTCTCTATTGTGAAGTTACCATCTTTCTCACTGTATTGAATACATTGACAGATATACTCTGAGAATACATATATTCTGTTACATTAAATTCTTGCCCACTACTTTAAGAATTCTTAAAACTTGTATGTGAGAATATTCAACTTTGGTTTATGTCCAACAGTGGTTTTCTATGTCCTTCCTTCCTTTTGCATCTATTTATTGGAAACCTGCCATAAGACAGAGTTGTCTTCTATCCTTCATTTATTCATTTTTCAAAATTTATGAACAAATATTAGCCTTTATGATGCATGAGTATAAACTCATGTATATTTATTTTATTCTATGGATTAAAATTCAATACTATCATTGTGTTTTCAGTTTTCTTTTTGTACATATACTTTTTCCACACTTATTTTTGTTAAAAATGATCATTTCTTGAAGAAAGGGATATAACAACATTATGCAAATGAAATAAAAGATCAGATGCAATTACATTAATAATAAAACTTGAAATTAAAAAGTTAAAATTTTCATATGGTTTTTGACATCGAAATTGGTATGTTACCTTAGGCAATCAATCAGTACCTTCCTTACCTTTGATGACAGCAAGTACAGAAATTCAAGATTTACAAAGGTAAGGTCACTATCAGTACATGAAGTAAGAGTACTCATATCGTACCTTGGAAAATAAGGGTAGGTCTGTGTCAAAGAACACCAGTAAGGTCCTCTGAAGCAAAGTGTCAAAATATGTTTTAAATGTTTATAGGTATCTGTGGATTACCTACCAGCAGAGAAATTCATAAAAAGAAATGCTTTTCTAAGATAGTTCCAGTAGGATTCCACCTCGAATATATTCTTCTAATAAAGTATCTTTCTCAAAAGGAAATAGATATTTTTCTCCTAGGATATCTTTGGTAGTGACTACAGCATTTAAATAGAAACCATCTTGGCTCACAATAGTTTTATAATGTAATAAAACTTAAGGCAAATATAATATTTGACAATTGCTCAATGATTCGCTTTAAAAAAATTAACCAAATAACACCTTTAATGAAATGGAAGATGTCATATGATAGAAGCCCTGCTTATACTGTCATCTTGTATGAGTCACAAACCAGCTTGATAATTTCCTAGTCACATATTTTCCTCAAGATTATTCCAATTATGCATGACTCCTTTTCTTGCCTATATTCTTAGTAATCATAGATTATGATGTGCCTCAAGGTTTTCCTTTGTTTGGGGGCAGAAGTGTTTTGTCTGTGTGTGTGTGTGTGTGTGTGTGTGTGTGTGTGTGTGTGTGTGTGTGTATTAAGCTCTGAGCTGTCAACAAGACGTTCCCTACTGAAATCACGCCTGTAATCCCAGCACTTTGGGAAGCCAAGACAGGTGAGCGGATCACCTGAGGTCAGGAGTTAGAGACCAGCCTGGCCAGCATGGTGAAACCCCATATCTACTAAAAATACAAAAATCGGACTGTTGCGGTGATGCATGCCTGCAGTCCCAGCTACTCGGGAGGCTGAAGAAGGGGAATCGCTTGAACCTGGGAGGTGGAGGTTGCAGCTAGTGGAGATCACACCATTGCACTCCAGCCTGGGCAACAGAGCAGGACTCCATCTCAAAAAAACAAAAACAAAAACAAAAAACAAACAAACAAACAAAATCTTGGAGCTTAAAGATTTTGTAAGTCAACATTCACCCCACCACACACACATGCGCGCACGCGCACACACACACACACACACACACACGCACACAGAGTCCAGTACCTTGTAAGGATGGAGGTAAGCACTTTTCACCCATTCTTTGGTTTGAATGTAGCAACAGAAGAAACACTGTTGTTCTGGTTTCTCATTTGATACAATGTTAAAGGGAAAATGAAAGGATTCATAAACATCAACATGTGTTCCTTTTCCAGAGGATTTTCTAATTTCAGCTCTGCCAATGTAAACCATAGCTCACATCCGTAATAACCGTGTTTCCACTTTCCCAGTAACTCTTGCCATTGTGATTTGGGTGTAACAACCAGCACGTGTACACTCTACCCTTCTATGATGCAAAACAAGACATTAATAACATAATCTGAGCATACTTTGAAGTTAAATTCTTTCTCCATTTGAATTTTTAAAAATTTGAGGAAAATATTATTGTGTATGTGTTTGTTAGATTTTTGTTTTGTTCTCTAGATCATATAAATACAATAATGTCCCTAATCCATAGTTAAGAAAAGCCCCTGCTTTGAAATACGGGACTTCCTTGTATAATACCATAGTGATGTATAGAAGGATTTATCCTATAAATCATCAATTATTTAATAAAGAAGAGTTGTGTCCTTTCTTGGATTTAGTGCTATGAAGAATATAAATGTATCTATATGTAGATATAATTTGAGAACTTGTTTCACAATAGCTACCTCGCAAATATACCCTTGTGTGCTTACATGTAGAAGTTTATCAATAAGTATTTGATGTGTAGGCCTTTGATTATGACTAAGAAGACATCAAGGAGAAGTGATGAGTGAGCTGAATTTAAGGGAAAAAGGAGATCCATGGAGAGAAACCAATATAAAGAAGATACGAGAAAAACTGTGATCTCAGTTGTGGTCTGTGCTCCGTTAGTGTATTGCGGGAGGGGTAGGGAAGAGAAGGGTAAGCACATCTAGAGGCACAGGAGAGCAGAGTGTCAGGAGAAGAACAGAAGCAACCCAGCTTGCATCAAACGTATCGTTTCATAGAGATATTGGAAATATTTCCTAACTAAAAAGAAAAGACTACATTTCATTATTCCTTCAAAGATGCCTCTTGGTTCACTCGTGTGAAGTAACTGGGGGAAAAATACAGTTTAAATAAAGTGCTTCAGAAAGTTTGTTCTGAAATGAATCCACAAATAACACCAACATATTCTTTTCACCACAGGTTATGTCTGTGCTTTACTTTCATGTGAGAGTGGCATCCCCAAATCGGGGATTTAAAGCTTGGACATGAATTTCCTTGTTGTGGCCCACACCTCCATCTTTCTTACTGAGTCAATAAAATTATAAGGTTACTAATTCATGTACCTTGCTAGCCTTATGAAGCCCTGGACCCAAGCTCATTGTCCAAACATAAAATGTCTTAAATTCTCCATGTTACACGCTGCAGTAGGTTTTTAAAACAGCCAGTGTAAAGGTTTGTGCGAGAGGAGGTACATTTTTACGGCTATACTGATTTAGTTGAAACTGGAGACACAAAAGGCTTTAAAATGCTACAAACTTTCTCAAAAGGGAAAGCACTAAAACCCTCTGCCCTTCCTCCCCTCTCATAATGTAGACAAAAATAATTTCCAGGATTTAAACGTGACCCCCTTAGGAACCTGGAGAACCATAAAGCATTTTGTTTTTGCTGCAACAAAAGCATTAAATCTCCGCCCAACCCCCCAGCTGGGCAAACTCTCTAATACCTGCTCAACACAAATTTAGAAATATAATGTATCACTCAGTACTTGTCATTACTCATTAAATAATATAAAAGGACTACTCTTTGCTTGGTGCACTAAAGGTTTTTAGAAATACATTTGTTGCACCTGAAAAAATGAGTGTGCCATATAAGATTAATATGCATAAGATACTGCCAGCTGCCCACTCCACTCAGAGAAAAATACATGCAAATCACTTTGGCTGCAGGTGGTACAAGGTTCTGAACCAACTCTGTCCAGGGGCAAGTCACCGCCTTAAATTGTTTAGCTAGGTTCCTGCCTCAGAATACCCCGACTGTGGCCACAGAAGGATAGACAAGACCATTAGATGCAAAAATGAAACCTATTGAGGGAGACATTCAGGCCCTTAAATCTTGAGCAGTTCTTGAAAATGAATGCCATTGTCAACTCTGTCTCTCTAGAAAAGTTAAATAAGTACCTTTTCAAGACAGTCATTAAAATGAAGGTATTTATGTATCTCTCCCCCAGCTGTTTGGAAATGAATGCTGTAAAGTAAAATGAGAAAATCTGTGCCTTTTAGGTTGCTGTTTAACATGAATATATTTGCTATAGAGTCTTTCCTACAAACTCTATTGTGAAAAGCTAGACCAACCCTGCCATAAATAATGTAATATTAAATTGCAAAGTATTAATATATAAATATATATTACTATAGGTAATATTAGATTGCAAAGTGTGTGTGTGTGTGTGTGTGTGTCTGTGTGTGTAAAATATTCCATCCCCTTTCACCCAAAGATGCCACTGTTAAAAAAGAGATAACTGGGGTTCAGGAGTTGCATATTTCAGAAAGCAAGAGGCATGGGAAAATATTGATCAACTGTAAGACAAGGCAGAAATAAATTGCTAATCTCCGGCATAAGAACAGGAGAAATGGGACAATGGCCCAAACCCAAGATCCATTCAGAAAAATGTTTTATATCTAGAAAGGCCTGAGGTTATATTTCCTCTTAAATTATTCTCACATATTAGGGACAAATCCCTAACAATTTGTGCATGTTTTTGAATGCTTATTTATAGTATTATATGATCCATTAACTTATTTAACTATTTCTGTATGCACTGACATTTTCAACATATGTTTATTAAATGTATGTCATCTGAGTGCGAATTTCTGATTGCAATACACATCACACATTCAAAATAATTTCTATTACGAGTGTTAAAACATTTTTCCCCTCTACCAAGCTTCAAGAAGAGCACAAGACTAGCAATCCACAAGCTGATATGCAAATTCTCATTAATTTCAATGAACTAGCCAAACTGTGTGTTTTCACAATTCTAGTTATTAGAGATGCTGCATCCTAAAATAGAAAGTAAATTGATAGTTTCATTTGGATGAAACTGTATTGTTGTCTTTCTCTTCATCAAGGTCTTGATCAAAATGTGGTTCCCATCAAATGTATAATGGACAAGTGTCTTTTATTCATGTGTATAACAAATATATATTGAACACATGCTATGTGTGAGTCATTGTGCTTAATTCTAGGAACACCAACGAGAAAACCACAAATTCTCTTTTCTAAAGGAGCTCACCAAGTAGTGAAGAGAAAATTATGATTAAATATATTGATTACAATCAATAGTAATATATACAGAGTGCCATGTAATCACTAGGGCTCTTTAGGCATCATTTTTGGGCCTCAGTTTCCCAAATGTATTGGGAGATGGTTTACCAGTGTATATGAGAAGTAGAGGAGATGAGGTAGGGATTGATTAAGTGGCATTGAATTGCCTTTGAAGTCATTGCACATAGACAATCACACCCATAGACATTTCTGTCAGGCTAACTAGCCAGAATGTACCTAGACCTCCAACTTGAAAGTCCATAAAACACCTTATTTTTTCTAATCTTCACTGATATTTATCTCATGTTGTACATATTTTATAATGACAATCTACTGGGAATTAAGTCCAGAGGTAGTAGCATATTATTGCACATTTTCCTTCCCATCTAATTTTTCTTCCCATCTATTTTGCCCCTACATTTAGAAAAAGAAGCACAGAGAGAGAGAGAGAGAAAGACAGAGACAAAAATAATCATAATAGAACATTATTCGAGTTACTAAAAAAATTAAGTGTCCTGCTTACTGAAAACAGCTAGAATATTTACTGCTAGACAATATTGTTTTGTGCAGGTTGGCTACATTTGAATTTATATTTCTGGTAATAATCTAACATATTATTGGTATCCCTATCATCACTCGTGTATGAAATCCAGCATTTTTGCTGATGGGAAATTTATCCATGTAGATATATACAAAGCATCAGAAACATAGCATATCTAAAATATACTCCAAATGGTTATCCATATATCAGTAAAGGCACACAGTTTTTCAAATGATCCCCTATTACCACTACCTTCACCTCCTTTCACATCCAAGCAATGAACAAATAATATAGGCTAACTTTTCCCATTATACATCCTGAATCTGTCGCTTCTCATCAACTGCATAGCTACTTTTCTAATATGTTTCCATCATCTCCTTTTCTTCCTCCTGAACAGTTGTATCATCTTCCTAACAGGTCTCTTCACTTCCGTTCTTTATCCCTTAGTCTCTGTTCTCAACACAATAGCTAGAGTAACCCTTTTAAAATGTACATTCAAAGCTCTTCCTAAAAAAATTGCTAAGGTTTCCTGTGGCACTTAATATAAAATCTAAACACAGAACAAATGTCTATGAAACCCAGTGAGATCTGGCTCTGACCACCCAGTGACCTCATCTCCCCAGACTTTCTGCCATACTCTTTGCTTAGGCCATGCCATGCCAGTTTTCTAGCTAATTGATTCTCTGTTAAACCAAGTTTCATTTTGTTTCACCACCTGTGCACTTACCTCTGATTAGTGACCTTATTTCCGAAATTACTACTAGGTTTATTTTCTGTTTCCATGTCTGTATTAAATTGTTACCTCCTTATCAAAGTTTCTCTGATCTATTTCTCAAGAACAATCTTTCTGTGACACTCAAATTTCTTATCTTGATTTATTTCTTTTTCATAGTTTTCACTGCCTAACATGTTATATAAATATGTGCTATTGTTGCTGTTGTTATTGTTTTGCTGCTTATTAGACCATAAAATAAGTCATATGATGTCATCATTTCCCCAGAATCCAGAACTTTCTAACACATAGTAGATGCTTAATAAATATTTGTTCTGTGACTGAAAGAACAAACAGATTTGAACATACCTATTCTCAAGCTAGAGTGTGATGAATGTGTTGAAAGACTCTGATCAAGTCAGAAGACCAAGATTCTAGTTTGGACTTGTCCTTATCTGGACTAGTGATGGTTTTAGAAAAGTTATTTCCTACTCCGAGCCCTTTCTCCATCAGTATGTAGCTCAGGTTTCTTGGGCTACAGCAATGTGAGAATAACTATAGATTCTAAAAATAGCCTGAAGACTTCACTCCAGAAAACCCCTTGCAGAACCAGACTGTGGTCTTCTTGCCTTGTTTCACTTCTCTCACTCTGGGTGTGTGATGCGTCCCTGCTGATGCACACATGGGAACACTCACCAAAGAGGGTGTCACTTCTCTACGGTCTTAATCTGAGGCCTAATCTGAGAATGCTGCTGAAAGTAGGTGGGTGCGATTTAGATTTCTCAAAACATTTAAAACTTGTAATGAAAACACAGCAAGTCTGCTGCATTTCTCTGCCATTCTAATTTCTTAATGCAAGTTTGGGTAGTTTCATATTTGCATTGTTAATAGCCCTCCCTCAAAGTGTGTTGACATTGTAGGTTTTCAATGTTTCTTTTGTTCCCCTTGCTAATGTGAGAAATCCTTTGCTAGGAGGCTAACATTATTATTATTATTTATTCGTGGTTGATACATAATCATTGTACAGGATGACAACTTTTTAATAAAGGTTTTAATGCTTTTTTTTCTTTCTAAGAAGTCCTTTAAAATCCAAGGGATTTGAGATTGTTCTTTATTTATTTGATTATAGAAGAATATCCTTTGGCAGTAAGTGGTGATAAACTTACTAGAAGCCACTGGAGGCAAGCACCTGCTTAGTGCTAATATTTGCTTCTCTTCCAACCTGCCTGGAGAAAGAACATCCTTCTAGAGGAAAACTGGAGGTTTCTGTCAATCAAGATGTCAAATGAGGTTCCACAGCCAGGGGCATCCTTCTCCTCTCCCTTTGCCAGCTGGTCAGGGTCTTCCCTTCAACTTGCTTGGAGGCCTTGGAAGTTCAAGAGTAGACTCTAGTCACCACTTCCCCTCCCAACGAGAACAAAGAAAAATGCATAATGTATAATAATGGCCAAACTAGTAAGAATTAAAGTAAATGGTGTGATATAAAAGGGTTTCAGACAGGATTAATAATTCTGCAATTTGTTATACCAAGTCAATTTTTTCCACTTGCAGAGCAAAATTGCCCAGTGGGTTTATTGGTTCACTCATTATTAGGTATATATCACTTTTATTGTTTTACATTTTTATAGTTTATTTAAAAAAAAGACATCACTCATGAATAAAACATTTTGGCTCCAGGCTGCCATACACTGAGGTTGGTCAGAGAGATTATACCGTCCTTGATTTAAAATAATAACCAAACATACAAAGCAGAAATTACATATAATCAGATAGTATATCAGAATATAGGGGGAGTCTCCCAAGAGAAGTCTGTGTCTTGGACAGCTCCCACAACAGGACTCCCCTTCTTTTCTTCATCCTCCTTCTGCACAAGATCTTCCTAAATGTAGCTTCTATTTCTTCCTTCTAGATCTTTCAGTGTCTATCCTCATGCTGGTCTGCACTGGATTCTTGAGGCTTCCCTTACCTCGTTCTTTGTCACATGGGATAATGGTGCCTCTGAGGTGCAGTTCATCCGCCGCTATGAATGAAGTGAAGGCATGTAGCTAGATGGACATATTTAATGTCAGTTTTTTAATCATTCTATACATTTGAGTGTTCATAACTAAGCAAAATTAAGAGTCAGTCGGAACTCTATGAGTAATATTTCTATGTATTCATATATTAATTTAGTTGACATATCTGTTATGCTTGTCCTGCTCTAGAAGCTGCTGAAGATGTCAACATGAGGATTCCTAAATGTCATCTAGGATCCTGTGGCTATGCCAGGAGAAACAGATCAGTGCATAGTTAGGCCGATTTGCCAGGAGCAGTTTGCTAATTCTGTGAGTCTGCACCAGGGACTCGGCTAACCATATGGTTTCAGCTCAGAGCTGTTCACCACCATTACAATGACTTTGTAGTGGCCTAAATCAGTCACTGGAGGAGACAAGAAAAAAGTAGTGAGGCTGAAGGTATTTCTCCACAATGTGTTGCCTTCCAAGCTTAGCATCCATGATTTCCATTCAGAGTAATTTTTCTACCACTGCCATGAAAATAAGAGAAAACTTTTTAAAGGAAAAATATCAATAAAACTTGATAAATTATCTTTTCTCCATGATTTGATAAATTTGACTTACATATTTCTGTTTCATGGCAGAAAACATGGGTAGGACAGGAAAAGAAGCAGACACATCAGTGACTGCAGTTGTTGCTTTTCAAACTGATGATTTTCCTCAGATATGTCCTTTATGTATCTCTAATTCTGCAATTATTTTAACTTTTCCACAAGTTTAATTACCATAGTTTTAATTTACCTTAATAAATTAGAAAGCTAAACAAAACGATGAATGCATTCGAAATTAAAGGCTAATTACATTGATACTGGCAGGACTATAAAGCAGCTCATTGTTTCATCTCTTTTTACCCATTCTTTAAGTAAGAAGATAGTTTTTGATTCTCAACTGATATTTTATCTAATTATTTACACTTGATTCTGGATTTTTGTTGTCATGGAAATACAGTAACATATGTGAAAACCTTTGGTAGATTTGTAAATTAAAAGACTCACCAGGACTGTAGAATATATTATTAGTTAGAGGTAAGGATTTTATTGGACAGATCACTATTTTTTTTCATAAACTACTAATATTGCATTTGCCTGTACATCTCAAGCTCACAGGCCCTACATTTCAATTTAATTTAACACACTAGGGCAATGAAATCCTCATTTAATTGGATTAATTTCTATTTCAAAAAGGAATAACTCAGTCATCCAGTCAGTCAAACAATAATCAATGCAATAAATCATTTTGACTATTGCTATTTACTGTATTCTTCTGGTATGTAACTGAAATGATGGACATATCTAATTTTGCATTGACATATATAGGATACAAAAATCCAATCACTAAAACCATGATTTGCACATTTTAGGGTCTTACTCAGACGTCCAAAGCAGTCACTCAGAGAACAGAAGATCCAATGAAAAGTGTTGGTTTTCAAACACCGCATGTTCTCAGTCATAGGTTGGAATTGAACAATGAGAACACTTGGACACAGGAAGGGGAACATCACACACCGGGGCCTGTCGTGGGGTGAAGGGAGGGAAGAGGGATAGCATTAGGAGATATATCTAATGTAAATGACAAGTTAATGGGAGCAGCACACCAACATGGCACATGTATATATATGTAACAAACATGCACATTGTGCACATGTACCCTAGAACTTAAAGTATAATTAACACACAAAAAAAGAAAAGGGTTGGTTTTGATGTTCTGGTTGGGCTTTGCCATACAGTAAGAAAAGGAAAGTACAATTTTCCATCATTCTAGATATTACCCGGCCTAATTGCAGATCTACCCTGTAATTGAGCCACTCTAGAGAAACAGCATCTTTGTAGTATTTATGAGAAGGAAGACACATAACCAGAACACAACATAGGGAAACCTCACCCTTGTGAAGCTTATTTTTGATGCAGCAAAGCCTGCAGCTTGCCTTGGTGAAGAGGCCAGTGGGCATCATACACAGAAGCAACTGCTAGAATCAGTAATGTGTCATAAGTGTGACTTGTCAAAACCTTCCCTGAAGAAGCAAAACTTAAAGATCTAACAGATCCTCAAGTGTCTAGAAAGGTGACTTTTAGTTTCAATTTCAAAATAATTCCTCAACTTCTTTGGAAAATATGTATGTGTTCCCCTTGAAGGTCTATTCTGCAGAACAGCCCAAAGTTTAAGACATATATATTAGCTAGATAGGGTTCCTCTATACCTTTTGTTGACATTTAAGTTCTTCATTGACTTCATAGTTATGTTGAGTCATGTATAATTAAGCTAATATTGATATATTGATGAACAAAGGCTGTTACTGATGAAACATTGTGAAAAGCATAAAACTGATGTATCATCTAATATATAATCCAATAGAGTTTTTGGAAAACAAACGTTTCTGGGTCATCCTGCAATAAACACATAATATATTGTCTGCATCTTTTCATTTGCAAGACTTTGGTTTAGAATTGCATTTATAAAGTTTAGGAAGTGATGTCTAAAACTTTGGTTTCATACATAGCACATGTAGGAAATATAGGAAAGTATTGTTCTTTGAGAGTCTAGGAACCAAATTATTTCTTATTCCCATTTTCTTACGTGTAAATCAAATAGAACGTTATAGAGAGAAAGAAGGCGGAAATAGCATTGCAAACTGGCTTATGAAAGAAAAATTCCCATTTTGATTTTTTACAAATAAGGTAAGACATTTGTGAATATAAATAGGGAATATAAGAGAATGTTGTTCATTGTTTCAGTATTCAGTCTTTGTCAAATTTCCATCTAAATGATAGACAGCAGGTGAGCTGGGTTCAGGGGCATAAAAGGCACAGACCCACTACCAGGAACACTAAAGAATATGCTGCTTGTCAATGTCCTGCCACTAGTTTTAAGTCAATTAAAAATCAACAAATTCCAACAAGCTCAAATTCATAAGATTGATCTGTCATTGCTTCATGCTAATTAGAAATATGAGGTTTATTATAAAATAATATATTTTAAAAGTATATTCACATGCATGTGCTTAAATATCAGACATTGAGAGTAAGCTCACAATTTCAATTAAATTTTCACAAACATATGTTCTTAGAAAGATTTTTTGAAGAATATTCTTTCTATTCTCATTTATAAAAAACTTAGAGACAATCTAATACCCCTATATAAGGGAGCAGAAAAACACAGGGAGCAGAAAAACATAGGTGTATGAAATCTGTAAGATGAGGTAATATTCTTCATCAAAACTCATACTTTAAAGATACACAATGGCCAGGCACAGTGGCTCATGCCTGTAATCCCAGCACTTTGGGAAGCTGAGGGGGTTGGATCAACTGAGGTCAGGAGTTCGAGACCAGCCTGGCCAACACAATGAAACCTCATCTCGACTAATAATACAAAAATTAGCCGGGTGTGGTGGCGCACTCCTGTAATCTTAGCTACTCAGGAGGCTGAGGCAGGAGAATCGCTTGAACCCGGGAGGTGGAGGTTGAAGTGAGCTGAGATAGCACCATTGCACTCCAACCTGTGTGACAAAAGCAAAACTCCATCTCAAAAGTAAATAAGTAAACAAATAAATAAATAAGAATAAACAATCTAGGACACTGTTGATGATATAAAATTGCATGGAGAATGACTAAAATTTGTGTATAGTGTGGTACAATTTTTACTAAATAAGTCCATAAAAATGACTGAAAATACAGGAATTTATAACATTCCTTATCTCTAAATCGAGATTATCAGTAATTTTCTTCCTCCTAATTCTTCTCATTTTCATGTTTCCCAAAACCCCTTTCTGCAAATATAAATTGCATTTGTAGTTACAAAAACTATTAAAACATTTTATATATATATATATATATACACATATATGTGTGTGTGTGTGTGTTATATATAGGTGTGTGTGTTTGTATGTGTTTGTATATATATATTCTTACAGGTGTACATATGTGTATGTATATTTATAATATATAATTACAGAAAAAGTTCAATAAGAAAATGTGTATGGGTGGTTCATGCAATTCTTATTTTCACTTTTTGGAGAAAGAATTCTGAGGTCATCTTTGATTTAGGTAGTGATGCTCCTTATTTTTTAATGAGGGATGGTAGCTTATTTTCTTAATTATCTCTATTGGAATTTTGGCTCAAAACATTTTGCAAAGCATTCTGATTTTTTAAAAAGTCATATATCATTTACCATGTGTTGGATATTCTGCTTGGAATCGGGGTTATATTGGAATAGAGACTAAGTTTCAGGATTTGCAGCACTTACATTCTAGTAGAGGAGTCTTATAAAACAATAAAAATGTCAAAATTATATATCTCTGTATTTATACCTCTATCTATAATTCTACATAGTAAATGTAGTGAATAAAAATAAAGGAGACTACACTGATGGAACCTGATAGGGTGAGGATGGGGTCAGGAAGGCTGGACAGTGAAAGTGTTTCTGATGTGTTAACATTTGAAAGAAAGAAAACTCAATGAGGCAATTGGATAAAAAATGGGAAGATGACAGGGTGTGGTGGCTCACGCCTGTAATCCCAGAACTTTGGGAGGCTGAGGCTGGTGGATCACCTGAGGTCAGGAGTTCAAGATCAGCCTGTCCAACATTGTGAAATCCCATCTTTACTAAAGATACAAAAATTATCAAGGCATAGCGGTGGGCCCCCTGTAATCTCAGATACTTGGTAGGTTGAGGCAGGAGAATTGCTTGAACTTGCGGGTGGAGGCTGCAGTGAGCTGAGCTGAGATCATGCCACTGCACTCCAGCCTGGGTGACAGAGTGAGACTCTGTCTCAAGAAAAAAAGAAAAGAAAAGAAAAGAAAGGAAAAAGAATGGGAAGAAGAGAGTTACAAAGGATAAATTCTTGAGGAAGATGGTTACTCCATTTACCATAATGTGATTATTATACATCACATACCCGTATCAAAAGATTTCATGTACCCCATAAATATATACACTTACTATGTACTCACAAAACCTAAAATGATTTTTTTAATGGGAATGGTTAGAATAAGAGCATGTTATGCAGCAAGTATAGAAGTAGAAGACTTTAAGGTAGACATCAGGTTCACATGTTCTAAAAACTAGTAACTAGCTCGAAGGAAGACATTATGGCTGTGCACAGCAAAGAGGTGAGGAATAAGGAATCAGTAGGGACATTATTATGAGTGTCTTCTAGACTATATTAAGAAGATAGAATCTAATTCTAACATTTGAGAAGCAAATGGTAGGTTTTTAATTAAAAAAACAAGTAAAACAAAATTATATAAATTATATATTGTGATACAAGTTATATCACAATACTACTTGTGAAATAATTTATGTGTTGTACAGATTATTGGCTCTTGGGTAGAGAGCAGAATATAAAAGGGACAATATCAAAGAAGAAAAAGTTACAAGACTTCTTCCTGTGGTTGAGAAAACAGGAGACATTGGCTTGAACAAAGGAAGTAGCATTGCAGGTGGTGAAATTTCTCAGGTTTGGGGCATATTTAAATATATATTTTATGTAGGATATAAGGGAATAAAAGAAGAAATAAATAATCTCTAAGATTTTTTTGTTTAAGCATCTGGGTTAATAATAATATATTTATGGAAAAGACAAGGAAAGATACAGTAGGGTGGGTTGAGAGGAATACAGAATTTTAAGCATGTTCATTTTGATACATCCATTAGATATTTATGTGGAGGATATTGAAAAGACATTGAAATATTTAGGTTTAGAGCTCAAGAGAAAAATCAAAGTAGAAATACATAAATTTGATAGGAGAAAGCATATAAGTAGACCTTTTGCAGAAACATGGAAAACAAATACGAATTTCTGTAATATAGTGAGAGATGTGGCTTTAGTGCATTTAACACCAAAGGCTAATGTTACTACAGAGAGAGGACACTCAAACTAGGAAGGTGAAAAGGTTTTTCGAAACAATGTCGGTTTAGCAATGAGAAAAGTGTCTACAGCTAAAGATAAGAAGAAATCTTGACCTAATCTTAGGTTTTCGACGCCTGAAAACCACATTGCCCAGGCTATTGAGTGAACTCACAACATAGTGTAAGTGCATATCCTGTCCCCAAAATGCAATTATTCTAATTACATGGCAATTACGGTTTAACCACAGAGCAAATTACCTAGTTATTGGCATCCTGTGGAATAAAGTAATCTAACAATTTGCTCTCAATGATAATTCTATATTACAGGGTTTTTTTGAGCAAGTAAAATGATTTCTTATCAGACATTGTCCCCTAATCCTCGAATTTCTTAACTGAAGCTTTTTTTCTAGCCTTCCACTCTCTTCCCCAAATGAAAAAACCTAGCTTTACAGAAATGTACCAGTTGATTTTTTTCCTACTAAGTCTTAAACATTTACTTTATTATAAATGTTTGTACATATTAAAGTGAAGCCATATAGGAAGATTAGAAGCAGTTTCTAAAAATGCTTATTTCTACTGAATTGGCCATATTAATGATCGACAGCTCTAAATTACTTTACCTTACTTTCTACTCAGTGTATTTTTTTATTGAGGTTATGCAGTCATTAATTTAGACTGCCTTAATGTATTAACTAATAAAATTCTCTGATGTACTAGAAGCTGGAACTCAGGTGGAAAACCACACTTTTATTGGAATGAGCTTGAGAACAAAAACCAGGGCTGCCAAATTGTTTGGAAATTGAAGGAGAAATCTCAGAATGAAGGTAGCTGCAGGGAGAGACGTCCCAAAATTTGCATGGAACTCTGCCTAACTCCATAGTGACTTTATACTTACATATACACAGAGGAGAACCTGGGAGCCCAGCAGAAAAAAAGCAGCTAAAAGAAGTAAGGAAACACTTTAGTTACTGACTACAACAAGGATGACAGAGCTTAGAATTTAGATACAGACAATTTAAGCATCTGCTAGAATGAAGATCAACATTTTTCAGAAGAGATCAGAACCCAGGGTCTCTAAAATATTCACATTTTCTAATATTTGATCCATAAATTCTAAATATATAATGGAAGAGTAAAATGTGACTGTCAAGAGAAAGACAATTATTACAGCCTGATAGTGAGATGACCTAGATTTTGAAATTAGTGACCCAGAGTGTTAAAGCTACTAGAAAACTCTTGCATATGCTCAAGGATTTAAATGAAAATATGGTTTTAATGAATGATTAGGTGGGGAATCTCAAAGAGAACTAATACATATAAATGGAAACCGTAATAATAGAAACCAAGTGGAAATTCCCAGAACTGAAAAGTATAAGGTTTGGGAAAAAAATCCTCAGCTTGACCTGGTATACTTATGAAATCAGAACAAAATAAAAAGTGGATTTGTAGAGAGGTCAATAAAAATACATAACTAAAAAATAGATTAATAAGGTTAATGAATGTATTATATTTTTCATATTTTTGCACATCTGCCATTGCTAGTGTTTTTATGAATTTCTATATGTTCACACTTTTATCTGATGTTATTTCTCTTCAGCCTAAAAAAGTATTTAAAAAGTATTTAGTTTAAATAGATCCCATTTGTCAATTTTGGCAACAAAAGCCAAAATTGACAAATGGGATCTAATTAAACTAAAGAGCTTCTGCACAGCAAAAGAAACTACCATCAGAGTGAACAGACAACCTACAGAATGGGAGAAAACTTTTGCAATCTACTCATCTGACAAAGGGCTAATATCCAGAATCTACAATGAACTCAAATTTACAAGAAAAAAACAAACAACCCCATCAAAATTGGGTGAAGTATATGAACAGACACTTCTCAAAAGAAGACATTCATGTGGCCAACAAACATTTGAAAGAACAAGCTCATGATCACTGGTCATTAGAGAAATGCAAATCAAAACCACAATGAGATAGCATCTCATGCCCATTAGAATGGCAATTATTAAAAAGTCAGGAAACAACAGATGCTGGTGAGGCTGTGGAGATATAGGAACACTTTTACACTGTTGGTGGGAGTGTAAATTAGTTCAATTAGTTCAACCATTGTGGAAGACAGTGTGGTGATTCCTCAAGGATCTAGAACCAGAAATGCCACTGGACCCAGCAATCCCATTACTGAGTATATACCCAAAAGATTATAAATCATTCTACTATAAAGACACATGCATACATGTGTTTATTGCAGCACTATCTACAATAGCAAAGACTTGGAACCAACTCAGATGCCCATCAAAGACAGACTGGATAAAGAAAATGTGGCACATATACACCATGGAATGCTATGCAGCCATAAAAAAGAATGAGTTCATATCCTTTGCAGGGACATGGATGAAGCTGGAAGCCATCATCCTCAGCAAACTAACACAGGAACAAAAAACCAAACAACATGTTCTCACTCATAAGTGGGAGTCAAACAATGAGAACACATGGACACAAATATCACACACAGGGGCCTGTCGAGGGGTAGGGGGTAAGGGGGGGGAGAGCATTAGGACAAATACCTAATGCATGTGGGGCTTAAAACCTAGATGGTGGGTTGATGGGTGCAGCAAACTACCATGGCACATGTGTACCCATGTAACAAACTTGCATGTTCTGCACATGTATCTCATATGTCCTGCACATGTATTTACTTAAAGTAAAATAAAAATATAAAAGAATGCAATAAGTTTTAGCTAAAATCCAACAGCAAAATTAAAATCGAATATGAAAACTAATATATTTAACCCAAAAGAAAGCAGAAAAGATAAACAGAAATAAATTATAACTAAGTGGCAAAATAGAAGAACTAAATCCAGCAGTGGGAATAATTACATAATATGTAATTGAGCTAAAAACTCCAGTTTTAAAGTCGATGTTTCCAAAATTTTGTACAAACCAAGATTTATTTTTATTCATTTGAAAATATGAAACATATAGGTTAAAAATAAAAGGATAATTAAAGTCATACAATCAAAAAAGTAAACAAAGGAAGCTAGTCTGTGAGTTTCTTACCACCATTGTAACAAATTAACAAAAATTCGATTGCTTAAAACAATTTAAATTCAGTATATTAAAATTCTGGAGGTCAGAAGTTCAATATGGTTCTCACTGGGCTGCAAAGTCAGCAATCACATCATTTCAACGTGACCTTCGATAGTGCTAATTTTTCTTCAGTGACTCTGACCCTCATGCCTTCCTTTTTTACTTATAAGAATTCTTAGAATTACATTGGTGCACTCGGATAACTTAGAATGATCTCTTCATCTTAAGGTCAGTTTATTCACAACCTTAACTCTATCTGCAACCTTAATTCCCAGTGGTCATAAGATGTTCACAAGCTCTGGAGATTAGTTCATGGACATCTTTGGCAAGCCATTATTATCCCTACCATAGGTGGATATACTATACTAATAATTAGACAAAATAAACTATTGAAAAAAATTTCAAGAGATGACAAACATTTTATAATAGTAAAATTTACTTCATCAGAAAAATATAACAATAATAAGTATGTATGCTCTAATGTCAGAGCTTTAAAATAAATAATGTAAAACCTTTTTTTCATATGTTTTTTGGCCACATAAATGTCTTTTTTTGAGAAGTGTCTGTTCATATCCTTTGCCCACTTTTTATAGGGTTGTTTGTCTTTTTCTTCTAAATTTGTTTAAGTTCCTTGTAGATTCTGAATATTAGCCTTTTGTCAGATGGATAGATTGCAAAAATTTTCTCCCATTCTGTAGGTTGCCTGTTCACTCTGATGATAGTTTCTTTTGCTGTGCAGTAACTTTTTAGTTTAATTAGATCCCATTTGTCAATTTTGGCTTTTGTTGCCATTGCTTTCTGTGTTTTAGTCATGAAATCTTTGCCCATGCCTGTATCCTGAATGGTATTGCCTAGGTTTTCTTCTAGAGTTGTTATGGTTTTAGGTCTTACATGTAAGTGTTTAATCCATCTTGAGTTCGTTTTTGTATAAGGTGTAAGGAAATGTTCCAGTTTCAGTTTTCTGCATATGGCTAGCCAGTTTTCCCAACACCATTTATTAAATAGGGAATCCTTTCCCCATTGCTTGTTTCTGTCAGGTTTGTCAAAGATCAGATTGTTTTAGGTGTGTGGCATTATTTCTGAGGCCCCCATTTGGTTTCATTAGTCTATATATCTGTTTCTGTACTAGTATCATGCTGTTTTGTTTACTGTAGCCTTGTAGTATAGTTTGAAGTCAGGAAGCATGATGCCTCCAGCTTTGTTCTTTTTGCTTAGGATTGTCTTGTCTATATGGGCTCTTTTTTGGTTCCATATGAAATTTAAAGTAGTTTTTCTACTTCCGTGAAGAAAGTCAATGGTAGTTTGATGGGGACAGCATTGAATCTATAAATTACTTTGGGCAGTGTGGCCATTTTCACGATATTGATTCTTCCCATCTATGACCATGGAAAATTTTTCCATTTGTTTGTGTCCTCTTTTATTTCGATGAACAGTGGTTTGTAGTTCTGATAAAATTGAAAACAGATAGATAGATATAGCTATGTAGATATGCAAAACCATAATTAAATGTTTTAACATATCTTTCTTAGTAATGAAATTGAATATCTGAATAACACAATTAGGCCCTATGAACTATTTGATATTTATATTATATTTTGCAGAAAATAACTGAAAAATACTTATGGTTTTCGAATGCACATGATGTTTTCCCCAAGATAGGTCATACACCAGACCATAACATAAGGCTCAATTTACTTGGCCAATTTTGAATTCTGCATAGAATATTCTCTGACATCAAAAAAATGCAATTAGAAAGTAATAATATGCACCTACGAAAGCCCAAATATTTGCAAACCAAATTACATACTTCGAAATGAGCTACAAGCAAACAAGAAATCACAAAAAATTATAAAGTATTTCAAAGAAATGATAATGAAAATAAAACATGAATACTTACAGAATGTAGCTCAACAGTGCTTAAAGAAAAATGTATATTGATATTTCAGTTCATCATAGACTGCATATATGATGGTGGTCCCATAAGATTATAATGGAGCTGTGCTGTGTAGATGTCATCTTTTATACCACATTTTTACTAAATCTTTTCTACTTTTAGGTATGTTTAGATACAGAAATACTTTCAATTGCATTGTAATTGACAAAAGTATTCAGTACAGTAAGTGCTGTACATTTATATAGACTAGAAGCAATAGGCTTTGCCATGTAACCTACGTGTGTAATCAGATATACCATCTATGTTTGTGTAAGTACACTCTAGGATGTTCACACAATGACGAAATCACCTAATGACATATTTATCAAAATGTATCCCCACAATTAAATGATGCATGACTGCATTAAAAGCATTCTCACAAAAGATTTTTCATGCCCATATGACTTGATTGTTAAATTCTATAAAATATTTTAAAAAGAAATTATAACAAATTAAAGACACTTTATTTCAGAAAATGAAAAGATGGGAACAATTTCTAATTCATTTTATAAGGCCAGAGAGCCATGATAACAAAATATATCATAAGGAAATATGTATCAGTGCATTTTATGAATTTAAGTGCAAAATTTCTTTAAAATATGTTAGTCATTTAAATATAGCAATATATGAAAAAGATCATGTGAACAAGTGGATTTTATCAAGGAATTCAAGGATGATTTACAATTTTCAAAACTAATCAACTGAATTTGCTTTTTCAATAGAACAAAAGAAAATAATTCCAGGATTATGTCAAATGCATTTATGATAAAATATCTTGACAAATTAGCAATAGAAGAAAAATATTTCAATATGATAAAGGGAAGATAAAATAAGCTACAGCTTACTTTATACATTTTAATATGTTAAGCATTCTGTGACATTTTCCATCCACATACTTTCTGCAACCTGACCTGTATCATCCAGAGGTGAAGTCTGTATCCCTCCCCTTAAATATTTTCCAGTATGTAAGTGCATTGACCAATATAGTAAAGTAGAAGTTATATTATTTTAATTCCAAAAGTCATAAAGGATTTGCTAGCCTTGCTGAATGCGATCTGTGCTTTTCCATCACTGAGGGCCTAGAAAAGTAATCTGATTACTCTACAGCTCTCATGCTGTTGATGCTTATGGAACAGGAAGAGGTCTTGTGTAGGTGCACATGTTAACAGTCCCAGCAGAGGCCCCAGCTGACAAAGCTAAAAGTTAAACATCAGACATGTGAGTGAAAAACACATCAAGATAATTATAGTCACTATTGGTAGAGTTTTCCTCAGCCTTGAGTCTTCCCTGCAAAAGCCCCTGAAATTTGTAGAACAGACATAACCCACATCCATTGTACCTTGATTAATTTCCTGACCAAGGAAATCTGTGATTGTAATACAATATTTGTTTTATCCTACATTTTGGAGTGGATTATAAAGCAGTAGTAGTAACTGGAACACCTCCCTTCTAAGATCAAATACAAAATAGTTATCTAATTTTGAAACACCTATTCTGTATTATTCTGAAGGCCCTACGCGATAACATGAAGAAAGACAGCAAAATAAAAGCATAAATTTTGGAAAAGGAAGAAGTAAAAATTTTATTTTCAGATAACATGATTTTAAAAATTTATAAGAAAACTGCAAAGCAATTATTAATACTTTAGAACAAATAAGTGAATTTAGCAAGGTCACAGAATAGTAGGACAATATGCAAAAAATTATTTATATGTACTAGGAATAGACAATTTGAAAATAAAATATAAAACAATATTATGTACCATAACATCAAAACCATAAAACAGCTATATATAAATTTAACAAACCATGTGCAAAATTTATATACTTAACTCTGTAAAATACCCCTTTGCTTATGTAGGTCTATTTTAATTTCAAAGTGATGTTTTTGTAACGTTAACCATTACAGTACTTTTAGTTTGTAGGTTTGCTTTTCCAGTTAAGTGATGGGATTGTTTAACAATTAGAAACTATTTTAGGTTCATTCTGGTTTTAAGAAAATAAAAATATCAAGGTTAGTGGGAGTTATATTTTGTGTTTGTTTTATTTTCTAAATGTTAAAGGTAACATATGTATTTTTCTTGTACACATGATGTTTGGAAGTATATATATAGCATGGAGTCATTACATCTAGCTAATTAACACTTGCATTATTTCACATGGGCATCATTTTCATGATAAGAGCACTTAACATCCACTCCCTTTGCATTTTTCAAGAATACAATAAATTATCGTTATTGTCACCTTGCTGTACAATAGATATCTTGAATTTTTTTCCTCTTATCTTCTTTTGTATCTTTGATTAACCTCTTCTTCTCCCTCCCTGTGGAAACCACTATTCTACTCTGTTTCTATAGAATCATTTTTTATAGTTTCCTTATGAGTGAGATCAGGTAGTATTTGTCTTTCTGTGCCTGGCTTATTTAACTTAACATAATGCCCTCTAGGTTCACCCATATTGCCACAAATGACAGGATTTTTTTCTTTATTATGGCTGAATAGTGTTCTATTGTGCATATATTCCACATTTGCTTTATCGATTCATACACTGATCAACACTTAGGTTGATTCTATATCTTGGCTATTATGAATAGTGCTGCAATAAACATGAGGATGCAGACATTTCTTCAATAATTTCATTTATTTTGGATGTGTACCTGTTAGTGTAATTAGTGGATCAGATAGTATTGCTATTTTTAATTATTTGAGAAATCTCTGTACTATTGTGTATCATGGTTGCACTAATTTACATTTCCAACAGCATTGTGTAAGAGCTCCCTATTCTCCATATCCTTTTCAGCACGTTATTTTTGGAAGGTGGCCTTTTTAATAATAGCCATTCTGACTTGAGTGAGCTGAGATCTCATTTTGGGTTTAGATTTGTGTTTTTCTGATGATTTGAGA
Source organism: Homo sapiens (assembly GCF_000001405.40). NCBI lineage: Eukaryota > Metazoa > Chordata > Mammalia > Primates > Hominidae > Homo > Homo sapiens. The sequence goes on along the minus strand of NC_000018.10, from coordinate 40,723,333 downwards.
TACTGAACAGTTTTTCATATACCTGTTGGCAATTGTTATGTGTTCTTTTGAAAAATGTCTATATAGGAATTTCGATCATGTTTTAATTAGGTTGGTTGTTTATTCTGCTATTGAGTTGTTTGAGTTTTCTACATATTTTGGATATTAACCCCTTATCAGATACACATTTTGCAAATATGTTGTCCCATTCTGGAGGTTGTCTCTATGCTCTGTTGATTGCTTCCTTTGTTGTGCAGAAGTTTTTAGTTTGATGGAATCCCATTAGTCCTTTTTTGTTTTATCACCTGTGTGTTCAGGTCTTATCCCAAAAATCCATGTCCAAACCAGTGTAACAGAGATACAAGAGATGCTATAAACAAGAGATATCTTTCCATTTATTTGTGTCTTTGGTTTATTTAATCAACGTTTTATAATTTGCATAAGAGAGATATTTCCCTTCACACTTAAATTTACTTCTAGGTATTTTTATAGCTATTATAAATAAGATTACATTCTGGACTACTTTTAAAGATAGTTTTCTATGAGTTTATAGAAACACTACTGATTTTTGGATGTTGATTTCGAATCCTGCATTTTTACTGAATTTGTTCACAGTATCTGACAGTTTTTTGATGAAGTCTTTCGAGTTTTCTATACATAAAATCCTTTCATCTGCAAATGGAACAACTTAAATTCCTCTTTTCCAGTTTGGATATCTTTTATTTATTTCTCTTGCCTAATTGCCTTGGCTAGGAATTCCACTAGTATTCTGAATAAATGTGGTGAAAGTAGACATCCTTGTCTTGTAGATATTAAGGGAAATCCTTTCAACGTTTTCCTGTTCAGTATGATGTTAGCTGTGAGTTTGTCACATATGGCTTTTATTGCGTTCAGGTACATTCCTTCTGTGCCGATTTTTTTAGAGATTTTATTATTAAAGGATATAAATGTAAACTCAATATGAATATTGAATTTTACCAAATGTTTTTTCTGTATCTATGAAAGTGATCATGTGTTTTTGTTCTTTATTCTCTTACTATGATATATCATGTTTATTGATGTGAATATGTTGAACCATCCTTGCATCTTGGAATGAGTCTCACTTGAAATAGGTAAAAAATCTTTTTAATATGCTGTAGAATTCCATTTACTAGCAATTTATTGAGGATTTTTGCATCTAAGTTCGACAATAATATTAGTCTGTAAATTTGTTGTTGTTGTTGTTGTTGTTGTTGTTATGTCTTTGTCTGCTTTAGGCCTCAAGGTAAATATGGACTTGCAGAATGAATTTAGAGTACTCCCTCCTCATCAATTTTTTGAAATAATTTGGGAACTGGTATTCTTCAAATGCTTTGTAGAATTCTCTAATGAAGCCATCAAAAACCTGGACTTTTCTTTGATAAGAGACATTTTATTATTGACTCAATTTCCTCATTCTTATTTAATCTTTTCAGATTTACTATTTCTTTATAATTGAATCTTGGTAGGTTGTATGTGTTTAGAAATTCATCCATTATTTCTTGGTTATTTAGTTTGCTGGAGTATCATTGTTCATAATAGTCTTCTATGATTATTTGTGTTTCTGTGGTTTCAGTGTCTCTTTTTTACTTCTGATTTATTTATGTGAGTCTTCTTGTTTCTTAGTTTAGCTAAAATTTGTCAATTTTAACTTTTAATTTTCTGTACATTATCCTACTCTGTATTTTATTTATTTCTTCTCTGTTCTTAAATATTTCTTTCTTTCTACTAATTTTGGATTGAATTTGTTCTTATTTTTCTAGTTACTGGAGGGTCAGTGTTAGGTTATTTGAATTTTTTTAATGTAGACATTTATTGTTATAAACTTTGCTCTTTTAGAATTACTTTTTTGTATCCCATTTATTTTAGAATATGTATTTTCACTTTCATTTGTCTCAATTTTTAAAAATTTTTCTTTCATTTTTTAAATTAACTCATTGGTTATTAAGAAGCAGTTATTACATTTTCATGTATTTGCCAAGTTTCCAAATATCCTCCTATTGTTTTTTTTTTTTAGCTTTATATCATTGTGGTAGAAAAGAAAGATACTTGGTGGGATTTTAGTCTTCTTATATTTACTAGGTTCGTTTTGTGACCTAACATATGATCTATCTTAGAGAATATTTTAAATGCAATTAAAAATAATGGGTATTCACCAGGCATTGGTTGAAATGTCCTATAAATGCTTGTTAGGTCCATTTGGTCTAGAGTTCCATTTAGGGCCAATGTATGTTGTTGTTTTTTTTTTTGTCTGAATGTCTATTGCTGAGAGTCAGATGTTGAAATCCTCTACTATTATTGAAGTCTCTCTCTCCATTTATATCTATTTACTATTTGCTTTATATATTTAGGTGCTCTGGATTGAGTTAATGTATAGTAACAACCGTACAACTGTATATCCTCTTGTCAAATTGACTTTTTATCATATGCACTGGCCTTCTTTGTCTCCTTTTGCAGTTTTTTTACTTAAAGTCTAATTTATTTGATATAAGTATAACTACTCCTCCATTACATTGGTTTCCATTTGCATGAAATATTTTTTTTGCATTCCTTCCCTTACAGTTTCTGTGTGTTTTTGCGGATAAAGTGAATCTCTTGCAGGCAGCATATAGTTTAGTCTTGTTTCTTTATCCATCTAGTTACTCTATTCTGTCTTTTACCTGGAGAAGTTAATTCATTTACATTCAGGATAATTAGTGATAGGCAAAAACTTACTTATTACTGACATTTTGTTAATTATTTTCTAGCTGTTTTGAAGATCACCTTTTTTTATTTATTTTTCTCCTACTGTCTTCCTTTGTGGTTAAGTGCTTTTCTCTATTAGCATGTTATGATCCCTTGTGAATAATTGCTAGTTGGACTCCTATGGAGAGTAGTGAAGCCAGGGTAATAATCTTATCTGCAGTAATGTTGGCATCACTTTCTATTGGGGGTCAAATTTGTCACTGTTGGAGCAGAGATTGATAAATAATGAAAATAAAAAGATAATAATGAATGCTTTCTTAAGAAAGAGCTTAGAAGATAGGCAATATGAGAAGAAAACAGAAATCAACTTGAAACAGCAAACACTTGTCAAATATAGGGCAATTTCATCTTTAATAAAATAATAATTCCATAAAGTATGATCCATTGCACAAAATAGAAATCAATAAGACCATATTAATATAAATTGATGAATAAATGAATTAATGAATGAATAGAGGGAAAGGTAAATATCTTTCTTACAGTAGAATATCAACTAATAATTACACAAGAAATGATAGGAAATCCTCAATGCTTGTTAAAATTAGTTGGCAAAAGTTTAATTAGAAAGAAGATGTTTACATAGTCTCAATTATTTCCATACAAATTATTTTTTACAAAAGAGAAAAATCATAATTTCCATGTAAGAAATGAGTTGGACTCTCACCTTAATAAAATCATTAAAGTAGCAGTACTAATATGATGTGTCTTCTCATATGATTTATGAGAAAGTATCACATTTCTGTGTTCATCCAGCCTAAAATATAAACACTAAATATACTAATCAGGATATGACAAAGATACCCATATTGTGGGAAAACCTATAAAGCAATTGATCTTGTACAATTATCAAGGTTAAGAAAGAAAAGAAATGTTGAGATTAAAAATATAAGAAGACATGAAAACTAAATTTAATGTGTGTTCCTGAATCAAAGAAGAACAGTTATAGAGAACAATACTGAGACAAATTTTAAAATAATAAACATAGGCTGTGGGTTAGATAATAGCATTATGATTAATGCTACATTTTCTGATTTTGTTAATAGTACGTGGATAATAGGATAGAATACCCTTTTCTTTAAAACTAAATAGAAATATTTAGTGGTATATGTTTATAATGTGATAATTGTACACTCAAATTGTTTTAAACAGAAATATGTGTACATACACACAGGCACACACACACACACACACACACATGCAGATGCAGAGATAGTGATTTAAAAAATGAGGCAATATGTAAACAACTGGTTATTTTGTTGGGGGGTGGAAATGTATAAGAAATTTTCCTGTATTATTCTTAAGTTTTCAGTATTTGAAATAATGTTTTAAAAAAGTTACACACACAATAACATCTTCTCCTAAGGCTACGGCTACTTTACTTGTTGAATCACACATATTAAAGCTCATTGAAAATTGGTCATTCTAAAACCAAATATCTGAAAATCATATAGTTTAATATTTTTTTTCTTTTAAGAAGAGTAGATACAGCTTTCATGAGGGTGACTGACAAGTCTTGAAAATGAATTTCTTTTTCTCCAGAGGACAATTGCACTAGCCCTGTACCACCTCTGTTAGTCTGCTTCAACCTTGGCCCTAGTTGCCACTGAAAATGAGAAGATAGTTTTGCCTTTGGGACCTATTCCATTCTTAGATCCTCTGCATAGACTGACAACTAGAAAGGCATATGAATGTGTTTTGTGATCTATATACTTGTCTACTGGGAACAGGGTTGAAACTCTGATATGTTTCACATGCCTCCTAGAAACAGGCCTGAGAAGGCAGTGATTCTACTGCACTATTCATTTAGGTTGAGACTAAATCAGAGTATGAATGCTGAGGAGGAAAATTTCTGTTTTAACTACTTTGGTCATGGTTTAACTCAATACACATTCATTGAGTACCTGCTGCATCACCATCTCTATCCAAGCACAGCAGAGACTAACAAGTGAACTTGAATATATGTTTCCACATTTTAACAGTGTAGATAAAGTTGGGAGGAAAAGGAGAAAGGATCTGACTAAAAACAATAGGCAATAAACTATATTTATGTGCTCAAAATATATAAGCAAATTTTCTATTTAGTTCGAAATCACAAACTAAATTATAAATTTCGACTTTCTCCCTTTTATATACATCTTATATCCTTAATCAAATTATCAAAAAGTTATATAGTAAAGAGAAATACAGTATCAGAGCTAGAAAGCAGGAATGAATATCTTCCACATACAATAAAGTCAAAAAATAACAATTGCTATTATTTATAGAGCAACTTTTATGCATCATGTTATTTAATGTTTTTATTAGTATCAATTTTACCTTAAAAAAGATATTAAATAGATTGAATAATTCATCCAAAGTCACAGAAGACATAGAGTTCTCTCTTACTTCACCATATAATAACTTGACATCATGGTTGAAGGGGAAGATTATAATTCTCCATGAATTATAATTTCATACCTAAAGGATAATTTGCACCAGATGGTTTTTTCAAATACTGATATAATTATGAATAAATGTAAACAAATTTTCATCAAAACAGAAAGTTAAAAAAAGTTAAAATATATCTTTTAAAATTTTTATTAAATAAGACAAAATAACTTTTTAAATTGTTTAAATCAAGTAGCTGTAAAAACCATCAGAAACAACAAGTAGACAGGAGGAGTAAATTAATGTAAAAAGGCAGAAGTCAATGGATTACCAAAAAGCAGAAACAATAACAAACTATTAAACTGAAAACTAAGTCCAAAATTAGGTTTCTGAAACAATAAAAAAAAGTCTGTTTATCTTAGAAAAAATACATAAAATTCAAATAAGAACAATGAAAACTTAAAAGAGATGAACAATGATAATTAGAAAATTCACAAATTACAATGTACAACATTCATTGAAAACAGATGATCTCAAGAAAATGCATGATTTTAAAGAAAACAAAATAACTGCACTTAAGCCATCCTAAGATGCACTTATGTTCAAATTTTAATATCTTTACCAGCAAGATGAATCTTATAATCAATTTGTTTGGTATAAGCCTAACAATAATTGTAATAGTTGTCATAACCTTGTGCATGAGCAAACTTATCTGTTATTCCTAGAGGCGTGATTGAAATACTCCACTGTCTGCTTTTATTATTCAACCAACTGTTTGAGCAAGTTTGAGAAAGAATTGTGTGTCTCGGTTGTTCTCTAAAAACTTCTCATTGACACCTCTTGGAAGATTAAATAAAAGCCAGCAACAAAGCTATTAGAATGTTTGTCAGTCATTTGGAAAAAAAAAAACCTAGCTACAACAGAAAAGAATTTTGTAAAGAAATACTGCATTATTAATATTCTTAGGCACCCAGAAGATTATACTATATGATTAAAATAATTGTATAGATGTTTCAGGGTCAAAAGGTATTCAAAAGATATTTTGAATATGAAAATATTTTAGGAATTATGAAATTCATTTATTTATATTTTTACATGCACAAAAGATATAGGATATACATCTACATAAATAGAAAAAAACTTCCACTAAATGGACAATAAAATATTAGGAAATTAAAAAATGTAAAATGTGTCATCAATTAACTGACAGTATCTTTTTTTCTTAGAAAATTCATACAGCAATGATGTGTATTGCAACTGATGGTAACTCAAGTTCAATAAAATTCAAGAAATATGATATATTACTAAGGTTTAAATGTGTCCCCCAAAGTTTACATGTTGAGAGCTTAATCCCAAACGTAACAGTGTTGAGAGATGGGACTTTTTTTTTTTTTTTTTTTTGAGACGGAGTCTTGCTCTGTTGCCCAGGCTGGAGTGCAGTGGTGCGATCTCGGCTCACTGCAACCTCCACCTTCCAGGTTCAAGCAATTCTCCTCCCTCAGCCTCCTGAGTAGATTACAGGTGCTCACCACTACACCCGGCTAATTTTTGTATTTTTATTAGAGACGGAGTTTCAACATGTTGGTCAGCCTGGTCTCAAACTCCTGACCTTGTGATCTGCCTGCCTTGGCCTCCCAAAGTGCTGGGATTACAGGCGTGAGCCACCGCACCTGGTGAGAGGGACGTTTTGGAGGCAATTAGGTCAAGAGCATTCTGCTCTCCTGAATGGATTAATGTCGTTATTGAGAGAGTTAATTATTGAGAGGGTTAATTACTGTTATGAAAATGAGGTCAACCCTCTCTTGTTCTCTCTCACATGCTGTCTCAGCATGTAATTGCTTTTGACATGTATGACATAAGAAGTTTTGCACCAGATGCCCAGCAGAAGCCAACACCATGCCCTTAGACTTCCCAGTCTCCAGAACAGTGAGCCAAAAAATATATATATTTATTTCAAATTACCCAGCCTGTGGTATTTTGTCATAACAAAACAAAATGAACTAGGAAACATCTTAATATTATAATACCCATGGGCGAAATGGAAGAGGATTACTTAATGTACAAGCTCTTTCTCCAGATGAAATCTCCAGACTGAAATCCAGATTATTTCAGAGGGCCACACTTTGAATTATGAAGGCATTTAAAATAATATATAATTTTCATGTGATTCAAACTTTACAAGAGCTTTGAATAAGTAGGAAACACACACACACATATATATATATAAATATATTTTTAATTAAGCAACATTTAGTTAGCAAATGGGTTGGATACAGTGATAGCAAATTCTGCAAAGATACAAGTTAAAAAAGAAGCCTCCATAATAGATGTAGGAATCCTAAATAAAATATTGCCAAATGAATTAATCTCCCTAGATGATGTACAACAAACAAAGATACTTTAATCTCAAGCAAAAGAGAACTCTATTAGTGTAATTTATCATTTTAATATGCCTAAGGGAGAAAAATAACTATCTTCTCAAGAGGTTCCTAAGGCATTTGATAAAATTTACATATATCTCCCCAAAACTCTAAAAATAATATAAAATCTGCTCAAACCATAAGAACAAGCACATATCTGCTTAAAACACTTTGTATAACATTTTTAGGCACATCTAATGTAATTACATTATAAAATAATAATTATAGATAGTGAGGAGCTGACGCAAATTATTGTTTCCAGATTATATGATATTCTACCTGAAAACACCAAAATAATAAAAATCTTCATTTGAACAAATAAATATGTAGGTTGTCTCTTCATGAAGTAAATATAACATCTCTATATAACAATAATTTGTTAGACAGTTTCATGAAAAATGTCCCCAATCACAACTGAAATAGAAAATAAAACCTTTGGATGGGAGTGTTGCCTTATTTGATTTTTAAGTTTATACAAACTTTTCACAAGGACTGAACAGGTGAAAATATGAAGGCATTCTTTTTCTATTATTTTCTTTTGTATTTTTTTCAAATTATTTATGTCAGTTAAATCAAGCACTGTTGGCCTAACTTTTATGATGTCTTGGGTTACAGGAAAAGTGGTTTTATTTTGAAAATGATACTGTTTAAAAGAATTGGCACATAGCTTATGCCACAATTGGTCCTGACTTCTAGATTTTGTGGGTGTTCATAATTGGTTAACTTACTGAATCATTAGAACTCTGAGACACATGAGAGGATTGATATTAGAGTAATAAATACAATTATAAGTTTTTGATGAATTTATATGGTTTTAAGGTTAAGGACTTTGGTAGGCAGAATAGTCCCTTAAAACTATGTATGTCCTAGTCACTGAAACCTGTTAATATGGTAAGTTAGACTCAGTAGAGACTTTGCTAGTGCATTTAATGTAGGTCTAAACTAATCACATGAGTCCTGAAAGCACAGAAATTTCTCCAGCTGGAGGCAGGAGAGATGAAGCAGAAGTGGAAGTCAGAAAGATGAAAAGTGTGAAAGGATTTCACTCACACTGGTAGTTTTGAAGATGAAGGAGCTCATGAGCCAGGTAAAGTGGACAACATCTAGAGGCTGAACATGATCCATGGGTGACAGCTATCAAAGAAACAGGGACCCAAATCCTAACACCACATGAAACTGAGTTCTGAAAAGCTAAATGAGACTAGAGTGGTTGCTTTCCCAGAGCCTCTAGCAAGGCCAGCGAACACCTTGAGATTGACCTCATCAGTCTCTAAGCAGAGTGCACCACTGAGCCCCCTGGACTTTGGACTAACAACACTATGAGATAATAAATTTGCATTGTGTTATCCCCTGTTTGTTGTTATTTGTTATAACAGCAAAAGAAATAAAAAGAAAGAAAAATAACCATGACAGAAGAAAAAATGAAAATATATGCACTTATTCAATTAAAAAAAGCAATAACAAAATAAACCTAAGGTGTGGGGTAAGAAAAAAATCAATGAAGATAAAAATAAAAATTGTTCGAAATAAAGAGAATGAGCAAATCCCCAACAGCTATTCATAAATAAAAACAAAGACCCTCGCAGCAAACAACAAACACCAAAATAAAATTTTAAAACCTCGATTCTTTTCAAAGACTAATTAAATCAACTATGTTGAGCAATATATCTGGGAGTGATTTAAAATGGGAAATATTAATGGGTACTAAAAGAATGAATAAGACCTACTAGATGATAGCACAATAGGGTGACTATAGTCAATAATAACTTAACTGTATATTTTTAAAAATGTAATTAGATTGTTTGTAACTCAAAAGATAAATGTTTGAGGAGATGGATACCCCATTCTCCATGATGTGCTAACTTCACATTGCATGCCTGTATCAAAATATCTTATGTACCCCATAAGTATATACACTTACTATGTACCCACAAAAATTTTTTAAAGTAACATTTTTAAAAAATGGGAAATAAAATAAATTGTTGTTCATCCATTCATTGCAGTTCTGTTTGTCTGATAGTGCCTATCAGAATTACTTAAGGTGTTTTTCAATATACACTAGACCAAATTACTCCCCTGAATATCTGAATTCAGGATCTGGTTTTGGATAAAGATGTGTATATAATAGATACCTTCTCAATTTATTCTGGTGTGCATACCCTTATATCATAAAGACCAAGAAAAACGGCTCCTGTAAGCAACATGGACAAAAAAACATTCAAATTACTAATGTAAGATGTTCTTCTCACCAATTCCGGTTAGGCAAATAGAAACAATAATATAGTTATTTCTTACGGTTTCATGCAGCTTCATCTGATACCTATCCTGATCACTTTTTGAGAGGAACAGACAGAATTATAATACAACACAGGTCCCTAACTAGTCAATTTACTGGAAGTGAAATGATGTAATATGGAAGCATAGCACGAGTTCACCAAAAATTCTAGAGAGAACTCAATAAGTTAGAGAAACTTTAATATATGTGTCAAGTGTTCAGTATTTATACTCACTTATTTACCACATTTTCATTGTAATGGTATGATACATTAGGTGGTAAATTAGTAGATATACAATTGCAACTAAAACAGACCTCGTCCCTACTCTTAAGGATCTTCCTCAACAAAAGGCTAAGCAAAGATATAAATACATTAGCTCAGACTTGGATGAATGTTTCCATATGAAGTAAATAAACTGTAGGAAAAGATTATTAAATAAGAGCATCTATATTTGGTGTACTCCCTATGACGTAGTGATTCAACGGGTGAAGATGGAAAGAGCCAGACACTGGAATGCTTCATAAGGAGAGTTTTTTGTAACATTTTCCACTTTCTTAAAGACAATGTAGCAAATCAAGTATCTGACTAAATCTGCTTTGATGACACATCCCAATTAGGCCAAATGGGACTCAGAGCTGGGCTCAGAAAAACAACCAGCCAATCATTCAGTCTATTCCATCCCAGACCTTTCCAGCTCACTCTTGCTTTTACTCCAAACTGATTGGGTAGAAAACCATTTTGGAGTTCAGGACACTTGCTCGGAAAAAAATCATGCTGCTTTTATTGGGATGTTTTCTGGGCTCTATTGTCTTGGGTTCCTGTGGCAATATTGAGTATCCATGGACAATCCAAAAAACTGAGATGTTTTCCACACTTTGTTTTAGAGAACATACTATCAGTTAGTAAATAAAATGAGATTATTAACATCATGTTGCATATTAGATGACAGAGTGTGACTATACAAGAGTTCAGTGGACTTTATATCCATGTAAGATAACATGGAGAAGGTGAAGCATTTAGTGAGTCTTGGAGGATCAATGGATTAGAGAGTGGAGTTTATGAGGTTAAATTATTTAATTTGCATAGAGAAAAATGTGGCCAGATCAAGAATGACTTTTTGGAAAAAAAAATAGTCAAATGAATAACTGTGGGTAATTTAGTGAAAACTTTCTCCCTCAAAGAAAGAGGTTCAACGAATACGTCTTATTGACAATGTATCAGTGGTATCATTTTCCTGTATGAAATATGGCCCATTGCATTTTTCTTACTTCTTCTTCTTTTGCTTTTTCTTTTTGGTCCATTGATTTTTTAGGTTGAAATGAGCTCATATTTCCCCCATAGGGTGAGTATTTCCTGGAACAAAAAGAAAAATAATTCATCTTTACGTAGTAATGAAAGTTTCTAGCAGTTTTGCATCTGTCAAACCTTGTCAGTTTGTTTTAAAATTTCAGCCATGGAAACTTAAATATAAATAAATAACCATTTTTTAGAAGCAATTATTAGTTTTCCCTCATTTCTACTCCTGTAATTTACTAATCCTTAAAGGAAAATTCTCTACTTTTTCATATGCAGTCGCATCATGAAAATGCAAGGTCAGTTCTTTGAAGTGACAATCCCAGTGCACCAGATAAATGGTCAGAGGGCAAAGTGCAGATAATAGACGACCTTGGGAACTAGGGTCTTGAAACTCTCAAGGAAACAATTATGAATGTTTTATATGATGGCGGTAAGTCATTGCCCTAAAGCTTGGTCTGTAGGCATGTGGTATTTTCCCAATAATGCGGGAAGAAAATGGAGGAATTAGCAAAGCTATGTACATGCTTACCCATAATACTTGCTGAAAAAAACACAAATAATTCAAGAGACGTCTTTAACATTCCACCTTTCCCCACTCTCCCAATCATATAAATAAAGATCTGGGGAAGAAGTTTGGCTTGTATCATGATGATAAACTTGTAGAATCTTATCATAAAATAACGCATTATCTTATCATTGCTGATGGTTTTTATGTTCAGTTGTGCCCTTTGGAACCATGATGCAGTTGTGAAAGAAAGTCATTTTGCTAAAAAAAAGACTTAGAGTTATGAATTACACAACCAAACTTTATCTATCTGTCAATCATCTATCACCTATCTCTCTCTCTCTCTCTCTATCTATCTATCAGCTACCTATCTATATCATTTTCTCAGTCTCTGCAGGTCTCTCTCCCTCTCTCTCATCTATCTCTCTCTCTCACACACACACACACACATGCATATAATGATATGTTAATGTTACTTTTTCGTATGTCAGTTTTACAGATTACTAATCATAAGTTTTTCCAAAAAGTATTTAATTATTCTAAAATTTGATTTCTTTATTATTAAAAACAAATGATGTCATGCGGAACTTTCTAAACTAACATGTCATTGTTTCCCTCTCTGTTGGCTAGAACCAACCAGCATCCATCAAAATCGTTATGTCTATCCTATAGCTATACAAGGACTATCTCTAGAGTGCCTGGGTATGAAGAATTTTAAGGAAATCAATAGCGAAATTTTCAAGTTCCATAAAACCAAGCTGCTGCAATTGAAGACTCATTCAGTTTCTCCTTTCCTATTTTCTCTTTCACAATCAGACCTTTTTCCATTTGAAAACAAAGCCACACCTCTTAACAACCCAAAACCTAATGATTAGAATTTCAGATATTCTGCTTTAGGCAAGGTATGAGAGTATTTTGCTTGGGAATGAGGGAGTAAGTCAAATATTTAGGGGCCAAAAGAATGAACTGTGAGAATCAGTCTACTCACTCACCAAGAATTTCTAATTTCACCCATCAAGCACATAGTAGCATGTGTATCTTGCCAATAATTTGGAAGTTGAAGGAATCTATTTTATGCGGTGCTGGAGCATTTAATTGGTGGTAATATTTTTCCTTTTGACACTCTGATTGTCGACTTTTAAGATGGTACCTTCTCAGGCAGCTTGGATTCTGAAATCAGAAGAAATAGACCAGTGCTCACAACTGACTTGTATTGAATACACAAAATATGAGATAAATAGATATTTTTGTTTGTTTGTTTGCTTACTTGCTTGCATTAGCCCCTAAAATTTAGGTTGCTAATTATCTCTTCATAGCCTAGTCTTTTTGGACTGATAGTGTGTTTCTTGATATTATATGAATAAAACTGAACAAATATAAAAAGAAAAAACAGAAATGATGAAGCATAAGTAACAGTTATGTAGGAGAGCAGCCTCTTCTATCTCGTTAGGGGGTACATTTTAAGTAATATTTATCTTGTAATGCATAAAAATTATTTATCAATATTTGTAGTATATATTTAAATTGTAAATAATTATATATTAATAATTGTTATAACTATCAAATAAATTTTATAGCACTTAGAAACATGGTTGTAGAAAGTTTAAAATCATATTTCAACTTCTACATTGGTTCTAATTTATACCAAAATATGATAGAATAATCAACAATAGGCTTTCTGCTGAAAAGCATGTATCTGGCATGAAGTAAAATATATATATATTTATATATATACACACACACATATATATGGTGGGCTTATCAGTGGAAACAAAAGAGAAATCATGTAAAATCTCCAAATTTTGAAGAATTTTTAGTGTATTTTTAAATAAATGTCAAGGGGCATCTCAATGGTATTGAGATTCTATTAGATGCATTAAAACAAAAATAAAATGTTAAAATCTGCAGCAGATTGAAAACTACATCCATTGCAACTTATGACAAAACATTTTAGATGTCAAAGTGGAGGTTTGGAAGGAGGCATATATGTATGCAAAATTATTTCAGTGTGTATGGGAGCCAAATACCTGAAGATGCTTAATTAGAAAAACAAGCCATGAGGCTCAAGAAATTCAAGAATCAGTGCTTTCAAAGCAAAAATTAAAATCTGAGTTGCCTAGGCTCATAACCAACCCTGAACTGCTGTGGTCCCAGTTCTATAAATTTTCATCATTTCTTTTACTGAAAAAATATAAAATATTAAAATTTATATACTGATAAAATATAGGGAAAGTGACAATAAAAACACAAGAAAATGTTAACCATTTTGGGGCTACTAAATATGGGCCAGAAAGATGATCATTTGTGATTTGTTTCTTGTCAACTTCTGGATGTTGAGGTCAGACCTATGCCTGGAGACATGTAGCAGGGACCCAGTTACAACGTCAAAGGGGGGTGTGTGCAAACTAGACCTAGAGATAACACTCAGAATTGAGGGTGAAAAACACCACACACAGTCCACTTTTATCAGTTGTCCTTTGACCTGGCCTCTATAATGTTATAATACAATGACTACAGGATGTTTTCAAAGGTAGGTTTCCACTTGAACTTTTGCTGCTACAGTAATCTCACTTAGAAGAGAAAGACAGTGTATGAATTTCCCAGGGATGCTCTAACAAGTTACCACAAATTGGGTGTATTAACAACAGCAATATATTTTGCAGCCAGAAATCCAAAATCAAGGTGTTGGCAGGGCTGTTCTTGCCCTGAAGGCTCTAGAGGAGATTATCTTTCTTGCCTCTTCTGGCTCAGCTTCTGGTGATTCCAGGCATTTATTGGCTTGTGGCTATGTCACTCCAATCTTTGCCTCCATGGCAACATTGCTTCCTCCTTGTCTCTGTGTCTTTTCATCTTCTTGCTATCTCAAATTTCCCTCTCCTTTTTCCTTTAGAATAATTGTCATTGCATTTAGGGTTTCAGACCCACCCAGAAAATCCAGGATGATCTCCTCATTTCAAGACCCTTAATTACCTTTGCAAAGACTTTTCCCCCTGCCCACCCCTTCCCCTAGCATGCAATAAGTTAAGATTATAGGTTCTGGAAATTAGGACATGAGCAGGTATTTTAGGAGATCACTGTTCAACCTATTATATGCAGTTAACATGGGTAGCTGCTTTCTGTACTTATGAATGCCTGGCCACATCTAGAAGTGAGGTTGTGCAGCAGAGTCACAGAAATATATGGGTAGGGTGGGGCAGCTTCTACAAAAATGGTTATGAAAAGCTTAGAAGAGGCTTCTCAATAACCCTCTCTTTTTCCACTTTTCATCATCCATTCCACTACAATCATACAGAAAAATTGAGAACAGTTTAATGGCAAAGAAGTTATTAGAATCCTAGAGTTGTGGCAGTTGTTAGAAAATTAAATAAGCTAAATTTTGGAAGATTTTAGATATGGACTCTTTTGGGGGGTAGATCCTTCTGAAAAATAAGAGAGGTAAGGACCACTGCTGCTTGGAACTCTGAGCAAACCTCAACTAGGCTGTTTGGATTGGCTTTTCTATGGGCATTATGGATGGCCCTCATGATCTGGCTTTTTCTGCTATCTGTGAAGTAAATCAAAAAAGACAAAGTTTCTGTTATAGACCTACAGGTGGTCTAGTGGCTCATTTTCAGCTATGGGAAGTGGTTCTCTGACTTAGCATGCCTCAGAATCACTTATACACTTTGTTAAACCCTACATTGCTAGGCCCCACTCCCAGAGTTTTTGACTCAGCAGTTCTGGTGTGGGACAAAGAATTTGCACGTTTAACATATTTGCAGATGAGGCTGATGTTGCTGGTCAAGAACTTACACTTTGAGAAACACTGGTCTAGGTTTTAGTCCTATTTTTAGCTTCCAAAAGGAATCCTAAGTGAGTCCATCCATATGTTATCATTGGTTGAAACTTTATCAAAAATAATCACATAAGAGTAGTGCAGAGGTTTTCAAATTTTAATAATTAAATTAATAACCTGAAAATGTTAAAACTCAGAATCCTGCCTGAGGGTCTGATTCAGTAGATCAGAAGTTGGTCCTAGATTTTTCATTTCCAACAAACTTCCAGATAATGCCAATGCTATTGGTTCAAAAACCACAGTTTCTCACTAGCAAGGTAATAGAGAACATTGATTTTCCTGACAGTTACTGGAAACTGGAGCAGAGCGCATGCCCAGACTATGGCAGCAAGTCTTGGTTTGAGTATATCATCTCTGGTATGTAATTAAATGGATCTTTTGCTTTCAGAAGGAACTCAAAGAGTCTCTGTTTTCTCACCTCCCTTAACTACATAATCCCATCCTGAGCTTATTTTTCCTCTTCTCACAATGAATCAGGATCAAGGACTGTGTATTTTATTTTGTCAAAATGTTAGAGGTGAAATTTTCATTAAAAGATTAGACTGGAGTTCAAAGCGGATTATTTGGCTTTTTTTTAATTATTTTGAACTTCTGTATAGAACTTAAGTTGGTAAAATAATGTTGAGACTTTCTCTTACCTGGAAGCTTCCCACTTGCTGCTGTACGGGTGACAGCAAACCTGTTTCCCTTTGTCTGGCTTGCTCATCTTTAGCATGCTGTTGTGGACCAACAGATCTTGTCCATAACCAGTAACTAGTAAGAAAGTGGGCAGAGATTCCTAAATGCAAACAAAGGGAAAGAAGAAAGAATATGTGCTTTTGTCTTTATTTTAGTTTTTGTTTGTTATCATTGTTCTCTTTGGTCACAGGATTACTTCCTAAGGTTCAACTGAGGCAGCTTCATTTGGTTATAGAACAGCAATTCTGATTAGGAATAAATTCTTTGACAGCAGCTTTTTTTTTTTTTCTGGCCTTAGCCTGAAGACACTTTTTTCTCTGAAGGCATAGACTTGGGATGGTGCAGGGTAAGGATAAGTGTGGAGAAATGCTATTGGTGAAAAAAACAATGGAGGTCTAGGACACCATTTCCTTGTTCTTTCTCGATCTCTATTTATCTTAACACACTGATTAAAGAACTAACCTGTAGGACAGATTTGTAAATTAAAAAAAAACGATGAAAATGCACTAAAGGTAGAGGAAGGAGGAGAAAGAATGGGAAGGGAATAAAGTCATATTGAGAAACTTTTGTTTCATGGGAGTAATCTCAAGTACTCTGTGTGTGTGTGTGTGTGTGTGTGAGTTTGTGTGACAATCTAATGCTCAAGATATCCCAAGATACAAGTACTTTTATTGACATTGTATAGACGAGGATTTAGAAATTCAGAGATACTAAGTAACTTTCACAAGATCACAAAATTTCTAAGTTTTAGGGTTGGAATTTGAACGGAAGTCTTTTTTTCACAAATATAAGACTTCATGGGTCAACCAATTTATAAATGTTAGCAGATAACTACAAATTACATAGAATTTATAATTAACTACTTAAAATTTCTTTATGCATATTAAAATGCAAGAAAGCAAAATGAATTAATATGCCATATGAAAATAAGGAAAGTGAAACTCCATCCTATGGGAAATTCCCAAATTCATACTGATGGGAAACTCTTGATGAAGTAGTAACTGGGTAGCAACAAGGTGTCCATCATCTGTCACTCTGTAAAGCAGCAGGGAATTCTTTCTTTGCTCTTTTACTTCTTTGTTCTTTTTTCTTCCTGCAGTTCTTTCTGGCACAGTGAATGTTCTTCTTTGACATAAGTTTGTTGTAAGTTCCTGCTAAATTTTTTGGCCCCTGAAAATGTGGTGGATCTTTATAGAGCAAATTGCACATTGTGACTTAAACTTAGTTCCTCCAAACTATAAATTAATTCTCTAAAAATGAATCCTCAATGAGAGCTACAAAATCCCTTGCTGGCTTTGTGCTGCACTGCTTCTTGACCATCAGTCTAGTAATTTGCAAAATGCACATAATTTTATTCTAGTTTAACTGAAGCACAAGGTAAAATGTAAACCAGTCACTGCATGAAAAGAATTTAAAGGACAATTAGAAAGCTTGAACAACAATAATATAAAAATGGTAATGTGAGAATTCCTGCTAGTATGAACAGTTCAGCATTGATGATGTTGTACCATTTTATAACAACATTAATACAAACAATGATAATAATATGTACATTTATTGAGTCCTTACTGTGTGCCAGGCACTATTCTAAAATTTTTGTCTATCTTCCCCATTTAACCTATGAGTTGGTTTTTGTGATATTTTTATTTGAAAATAAGAATTGTGAAACAAAGAGAGGGTGTGTAGTTTTCCCAGGATTATACAGATGAAAATAGATAAAAAACAATGTGTGCAGTATTTTTCAATGGTTACAGGTTTAAATTACTCCTATCCATAGCCAAATACAAGCACACATGTGTGCATACACACACACACACTCACTCAGGCCAAACATCCATAATTTTGTTTTTGAATGGCCCAAATCAATGGACTTTTATATTATAGCTGTACTTATTCTAGTAGTAAGGCAGTATTTAGATAGACCTATAATGATGTAAGTATAGCATCTTTATCTGCAAGTAACTTGGTGAAATATTATTAGTTTTTATGTCTATAAGTTTTACTGCTTTATCTTTGACAAAGTCTGAAATAGTACACTGGTGACATTTTTAAAAATTAGTCTTCCGCATTTAAAGACCACTTATTATTGTCATCTATCATTGTTCTGGAAATGTCACATTGATTTTATCCTCCTTGCAATAAATGGTAACATCCAAAAAAAACCAAATAATGGTCTGACACTTCAAAATCAGCTGCCAGTCTTGGGTAGAGCAAAAATTAATAAAAGGCAATTTTATTTGAAGGACAGGGAGCGAGAATAAAAAAGAGAGCGAGCAATGCTCTATCAGACACTGACAATATTGACAATGGTCCAAAGTAACCTAAATTATAATATTTTGTCTTTTCTATTTAAGAGATGTCATATAAATGATAAATATAGCATGTCATATCATAGGTCTATTAAATTTTGCAGATCATAGTAAATTTCCTGAAAATAGATTTAGATATAGAACCATAGTAAGGATTGAAAATTGCAAAATCAATATACATGGAAGGCAGATTACTTCTATATAACATATTCTGGAATTCACATGGATCATGTCACATTCATGATGTATAATCAATGATAGGGTGGCAGAATTATTTGGAATTTCATTAGAAGATTCTGATGTGAATAAAATGAATTTTATTCCTTGTGGGTACTCAAGGAATTGAGAAATTGAGCAAGGACTCCAGATCCTTAGAATTTTATTGTCAACTCTTCTAGGGATATTTGTTGAATTTGAACAGATAACTTGAATTATCTTTAACATAATTTCTTCATTTGTCAATGATACTAAAAACTAAGAACACTTTGACCATATCCCCAAAGCTTTTAATTCATTGTATATTGGATTTTGGCTCGAATTCCCTATGTGCATCTAATAATCAGTAAGGTTTAGAAGGCTTTGTTTTAGAGACACCACTACAGACACAGGTAGAGAGGAAGCTCGCAGGGCATCAAATGGACCCAGAGTGTCTTTTACCTCTCTGAGTAGACATAAGTTTCAAGTTTGTAATAAGCAAAGAAGTGTGTAGAAAAGTTATCTGTTACATTTTTCTTCCAAAACCTTCTCTAATGCCTATTTGCATATCTCAGTATATAGAAGAGCATGGGAATAGGAGGGTTAGATTTGGTTTGTAGGAGGTGTTGAATAACACTGTGAGGAAGGAGAGTGGATTTTTAATCTTTCTCCCAGCATGGAGAAGGACTGACCTTGTAACCATTCAGCTACAAAAAAGACTGTGTGTGTGTGTGTGTGTGTGTGTGTGTGTGTGTGTGTATGTGTGTATGTCTTTATATATTTGTATCTATACATTTTTTCAATATGTTATTTCTATCTCACTATAAAGAGAATACACTTTAAAAATATTGTAGTAGTTTGCAAAAAATGGCCACAATACTTTGAAGCTCCACTCTTAAGCAACTGAGTTGATTTTTCCAGTCTTGAAACTGACTTTGTACATCGCTTTGACCAATTGAATGCAACAGGAAATGTACGTGACTTTGAGCCCGAAATTCAAGAGGCTTTGCATGCTTCCCCTGCCTTTTCTCTTGAAAGCCTACTATCATGTTGAACATTCTGTGCTAATCTAATGAAAGATGAGAAATCCATGGGCTATACTTAGGAGGTCACAGCTTTTGAAAAATGTCTGTTCATGTCCTTTGAAAAGCTGTGACCTCTTTTTATTTTATGTTATTTTATTTTACTTTAAGTTCTGAGATACATGTGTGGAACATGCAGATTTCTTACCTAGGTATACATGTACCATGGTGGTTTTCTGCACCCATCAACCTGTAATCTAGGTTTTAAGCCTTGCATGTATTAGGTATTTGTCCTAATGTTCTCCCTCCCCTCGACCCCACCCCATGACAGGCCCCATTGTTTGATGTTCCCATCCCTGTGTCCATGTGTTCTCATTGTTCAACTCCCACTTATGAGTGAGAACATGTGGTGTTTGGTTTTCTGTTCCTGTGTTAGTTTGCTGAGAATGGTTTCCAGCTTCATCAATGTCCCTGCAAAGGACATGAACTCATTCTTTTTTATGGCTGTATAGTATTCCATGGTGTGTATGTCCCACATTTTCTTTATTCAGTCTATCATTGATGGGCATTTGGGTTTGTTCCAAGTCTTTGCTATTGTAAATAGTGCTGCAGTAAACATACGTGTACATTTGTCTTTACAGTAGAATGATTTATAATCCTTTGGGTATATACCCAGTAACAGGATTGCTGGATCAAATGGTATTTCTGGTTCTAGATCCTTGAGGAATTGCCACACTATCTTCCACAATGGTTGAACTAATTTCAACTCCCATCAACAGTGTAAAAGTGTTTCTATTTCTCCACATCATCTCCAGCATCTGTTGTTTCCTGACTCTTTAATGATTGCCATTCTAACTGGTGTGAGATGGTATCTCATTGTGGTTTTGATTTGTATTTCTCTGATGACCAGTGATGATGAGCTTCTTTTAATATATTTGTCAGCCACATAAATGTCTTCTTTTGAGAATTGTCTGATTATATCCTTTGCCAACTTCTTGATGGGGTTGTTTGTTTGTTTCTTGTAAATTAGTTTAATTCCCTTGTAGATTATGGATATTAGACCTTTGTGAGGTGGATAGATTGCAAACTTTATCTCCCATTCTGTAGGTTGCCTGTTCACTCTGATGATAGTTTCCTTCACTGAGCAGAAGCTCTTTAGTTTAATTAGATCCCATTTGTCAATTTTGGCTTCTGTTGCAATTGCTTTTGGTGTTTTAGTCATGAAGTCTTTGCCCATGCCTATATCTTAAATGGTATTACCTAGGTTTTCTTCTAGGGTTTTCATGTTTTTAGGTTTTACTTTTAAGTCATTAATTCATCTTGAGTTAATTTTTGTATAAAGTATAAGAGGGTTCCAATTTCTGGAAAAGCTGTGACTTCTTAAATCCAACAATGATATGAAAAAAAAAAGCTCAACATCACTGATCATTAGATAAATGCAAATCAAAAGCACGGTAAGATACCATCTCACACCAGTCAGATTAGGTATTACTAAAAAGTCAAAAAATATCAGATGCCGGGGAGGTTGCAGAGAACAGAATACACTGTCAGTGGGAGTGTAAGTTAGTTCAATCATTGTTGAAGACAATGTGGTGATTGCTCAAAGACCTAAAACCAGAAATACCATTTGAACCAGCAATCCCATTACTTGGTATACACCCAAAGGAATATAAATCATTCTATTATAAAGACACATGCACATGTATGTTCATTGCAGCACTAGTCACAATAGCAGAGACATGGAATCAATCTAAATGTCCATTGATGGCATACAGGATAAATAAAATGTGGTACATATACACCATGGAATATTATGCAGCTATACAAAAGAAAAAGATCATGTGATTTGCAGAAATATGGATTTTGCTGGAGGCCATTATCCTTAGCAAACTAATGCAGGAACAGAAAATCAAATACCACATGGCTCTCCCTTATAAATGGGAGCTAAATGATGAAAATACATTGACACATACAGGGCATCAACAGACACTGGGGCCTATCAGAGGATGGCTGTGGAAAGAGTAAGAGGATTAGGGAAAATAACTAATGGGTACTAAGCTTAATATGTGGATGATAAAATAATCTGCACAACAAACTCCCATGACACAAGTTTTCCTATATGACAAACCAGCACATATACCCCTGAACTTAAAAAATATATTAAATAAGAGGTCACAACTGAGGTCTTCCCTAGACCAACTGATCCCTTATCAATCTATAGCCACATGAGTAGCCAGACACATGAGATCTCAAGATTCATCTATCTGAAGAAAAGCCCAACTTGCCAACCAACAGAATAGTTAACTTAATAATTGTTTTCATAAGCTACTAAATTTTGGTATTGTTGGTATTGCAGTGTGTGCTAACTAGCGTAGACACTGTTTTTCAGGGTACATGACTTGTCCTCCAACAAACACATAGAGTTAGAAAGCATTTTTTGAATCTAATAAAGTAAAAATATTTATAACAAACCCTAAGCATGTCATTTTCTGTGTCCTCCATATTTAGCAATCTTTAGGAACTGAGATATAAAGAAGACTAATATAGATTCTCCACAGACAAAATTACCAAGTCCTTGCTTCCTCCAAGCCACATAGCCACATAGTTAGCCATTTCTGTGGAGGTAGTAATCAGTGAAAACTAATGCATATCCCTTGACTGTTCCCTCAAAACCCACGTATTTGTGATTATACTGAGACAGGCATTGTGCTGGGATATGGATATAAATCAATGAACAAAGTAGGCATATCCTTTGTCTTTGCAGCTCATACAACTTATCGGGCTTTCGTATATCAAGGGGAATAAATTCAAACAGTTGCACGTAAAAGAAAGAAAAAACATTCGATTAATGGAATTTTTCTCAGTTCATCACTTTAACAATTGCTGAACTTTTATGATCTAGAGACCTGTGATGGGTACCGGGAATGCCTTAGCAAATATACACCATCCTTACCCATGTGGAGTTTGTACTCTGTAGACAATGTCAGCATTCTCCTTCCTGATATAGACTGGAGCTAAGATTCTACATATAGGTGTGCATTTTAATAACCAGACGTTGGAGATATTAGGGATTTTCTCCAAAGACAACTGAAGATACTGAGGCCAAAAAAGCAAACTGAGCCAAAAACAAATCTGAATACCCAAATTCTAAAGCATCAAATACAAAAACTCCAAATGTGAGAATTAAAATCAGGCATTGAGAGCTAAACATTTAAACTATTATAGCAATACTCATCCAGGGAAAATAGGATAAGAGGATATAGGTAGCAAAAGGGATTTCCACATCTGTACAATACATTTTTAATCTAGTTTTGAGGTGCTTCAAAGTTAAGTAAGGGAGCTTAGGAGGTTAAGAAAAAACATAGTCAGGTAGAGCTTATGCCTCTACATTCCCACCCTAGCCTGATGACAAATGTTTCTACGACCAATAAACATGTTTAGAAGATACTGGCCTTCAGGATGGATGTGTTGACAAGGCTAGCATAGGCAACCTAAGGTACTCATATGTGTGTATGTGGCTTTATGGTATGATCTACAGATAGAAAGAGAAGAAAATTTGAAGAAGAAAAATAAATGAAAGTATTTATTCCCCAAATAGCATTAGAAATTGTAAAAACTCTAAATTGAATACGCAATGAAGATGAATATGAATTGTTATAATTAACCAAATCTTAGCCTAAATAATGAGGGTTTGAAAAGAGTAAGTTAATACTGTGGGGGAGTGAAGCCCAATTCTTCTGCCTGATGTTGAGATTTTTGCATTGTCACGGAGTCCACTCATATCATATGATAATCTCTCCTTTCAGATGATCTCCCTTTAGATTATCACTCCCTTTTGTCACTGCAAGTGAAAAAAAACCTGACTACCTGAATAATATGGGTTCATTTTACACGGCAGTTGTGGTATTCTTCAGTGCTTGAAGTAATCATATTTGTCAATGTCAAACAGGGAAGCAGAACTTCTGAGTTATAAGATAACTGTTCATTACAGGACGTAGATGTTACTAAACTGTGGCAAAAACTGGAGAAGTAAAGGTCCAGGAGGAAAGGTAAAGCATCAAAGGAGTGACCTACCAGATAATCTGGGATGCCAAGTCACTGAAGGGAATTGTGGAAGCAAGGCTAAGGTGTAGATCTGTGGGAAGTGGTGTTACTACAAGCATACCACAGAGATATTTTGGGTTTGCTTCCAGGCCATCACAATAAAGCAAGACACATGAATTTTCTTGTTTCCCAGTTGTATTGGTCCATTTTCATACTACTATGAAGAAATACCAAAGACTGGGTAATTTACAAAGAAAAAGATGTTTAATGTACTCACAGTTCAGCATGGCTGGGAAGGCCTCAGGAAACTTACAATTATGGCAGAAGGGGAAGCAAACACATCTTTCTTCACATGGGGGCCAGAAGAAGAGTAGAGCCAAGTGCGGGAGAAGCCCCTTATAAAACCAACAGATCTTGAGAGAACTCACTCACTATCATGAGATCAGCATAAAGGTAACTGCCCCCATGATTCAAATACCTCCCATTGGGTCCCTCCCACAAGATGTGGGAATGGTAGGAGCTATAACTCAAGATGAGATTTGGGTGGAGATACAGCCAAACCATATCATTCTGTCCCTGGCCCCTCCAAAATCTCATGTCCTCACATTTTAAAACACAATCATGACCTTCTAACAGTCCTACAAAGTCTTAACTCATTCCAGCATTAGGTCAAATGTTGAAGTCCAAAGTCTCATCTGAGAAAACTCAAGTCCCTTCCACCTATAAGCCTGTAAAATAAAAAGCAAGTTAGTTACTTCCACGATAGAATAGGGGTACAGGTATTGGGTAAATACACCCATTCCAAATAAGAGAAATTGGGAGAAATGGAGAAATATAGCCCCCCTTCTGGCTGCTCTCATGGGTTGGGCATTAAGCATCTTTGATTCTTCCAGGTGCATTGTGCAAGCTGTTGGTGGATCTACCATTCTGGGGTCTGGAGGATGTTGGCTCTCTTCTCACAGCTCCACTAGGCAGTGCCCCAGTGGGGACTCTGTGTGGGGGCTCTGACCCCATATTTCCCTTCCTCACTGTCCTAGCAGAGGTTTTCCTTGAGAGATGCAACCCTGCAGCACACTTTTGCCTGAACATCCTAGTTTTTCCATACATCTTCTGAAATCCAGGTGGAAGTTTCCCAAATCTCAGTTCTTGAATTCTGTGCACCCACAGGCTGAACACCACATGTAAGCTGCCAAGGCTTGCATCTTGCACCCTCTGAAGCAACAGCTCAAGCTATACCTTGGCCCCTTTTAGCCATGGCTGTAACAGCTGGGATGCAGGGCACCAAGTCCCTAGGCTACACACAGTTGGGGGTCCCTGGGCTGGCCCATGAAACCATTTATTCCTCCTAGGCCTCTGGGCCTGTAATGGGAGGGGCTGCTGCATAGGTCTCTGACATACCCTGGAGACATTTTCCTCATTGTCTTGGTGATTAACATTTGGCTTTTCATTACTTATGCAAATTTCTTCAGAAAGCTAAAATTCTCCTCAGAAGTTGGGTTTTTGTTTTACTCTGCATCATTAGGCTGCATATTTTCCAAAGTTTTATGCTGTGATTCCTCTTAAATGCTTTGCTACTTAGAAATTTCTTCCACCAGACACCCTAAATCATCTCTCTCAAGTTCAAAGTTACACAGATCCATAGGGCAGGGGCAAAATGCCACTAGTCTCTTTGCTAAAGCATGAAAAGAGTCACTGACCTTTGCTTCAATTCCCAACAAGTTCCTCATATCCATCTGTGACTAACTCAGCCTGGACTTTATTGTTCATCACCATCAGCATTTTTTTCAAAGCCATTCAACAAGTGTCTAGGAAGTTCCAAACTTTCCCATGTTTTTCTATCTTCTCCTGAGCACCTCCCAACTGTTCCAAGTGCTGCCTGTTACCCAGTTTCAAAGTCGCTTCTACATTTTTGGGTATATCAACACCCTACTCTATGGGTACCAATTTATTGTATTATTCCATTTTCATACCTATGAGGAAATACCTAAGACTGGGTAATTTATAAAGAAAAAGTAATTTATAAAGAAAAGCTCACAGTTCAGCATGGCTAGGAAGGCCTCAGGAAAATTACAATCATGATTGAAGGGAAAGCAAACACATCCTTTTTCACAAGGTAGTAGGAAGGAGAAGTGCAGAGCAAAGGAGGGGAGAAAGCCCCTTATAAAACCATCAGATCTCATGAGAATTCACTATCACGAGAACAGCATGGAAGTAACCACCCCCTGATTCAAGTACCTCCCACCAGGTCCCTCCCATGGCAAGTGGGGACTATGGGAACAACAATTCAAGGTGAGATTTGGCTGGGGACACAGCCAAACCATATTACTATAAAAATTATGTTTATACTATATCATGTTCTATTAAGTATGCAATAGCATTATGTCTGTAAAAGCAATGTACATGCCTTAATTAAAAATACACTATTGCTAAAAGTTGCTCACCATCATCTGAGCCTTCCATGCTTCTAGAGAGTCCTGGCTCAGTGTTGACAGTCGCTGATTCATCAGGGTAGTAGTTGCTGGAGGTTGGATGGCTGTGACAATTTCTTAATATAAGACAATGAAATTTGTCACATGTACTGAATCTTCCTTTCATGATAGATTTCTCTGTAACACATGATGCTGCTTGATAGCATTTACCCACAGTAGAACTCTTTCAAATGTGGAGTCTATCCTTTCAAACCATGCAGCTGTTTTATGAAAAAGTTTATTTATTTAATATTCTAAATCATTTGCTGTCATTTTAACAATGTCCACAGCCTTTTCACCAGGAGATTTCATCACAAAAGATCACTATCACTTTTCTTGCTCATCCATAAGAAGCAACTCCTCTTCCATTCATATAATATCATAAGATTGCAGCAATTCAGTCACACCTTCAGGCTCCACTTCTAATTCTACCTCTCTTGCTATTTTCTCTACATCTGCAGTTGCTTACTCCATGGAAGTCTTGAATAGCTCAATGTCATCCATTAGGGTTGGAATTAATTTCTTCAAATGCCTGTTAATGTTGATATGTTGTCCTCCCATTCACAAATGTTCTTAATGGCATGTATAAGGGTAAATTCTTTCAAAAAGTTATAAATTTACTTTGCCCGCATCCATCAGAGAAATCACTACTTATGGCAGCTACATATAGCCTTATGAAATTTATTTCTTAACTAATAAGACTTGAAAGTCAAAATTACTTCTTCTATGGCTGCAGATGGGTGTTATGTTAGGAGTCACTAACATAAAACACATTAGTCTCCTTGTACATCTCCACCAGAGCTCTTGGGTGACCAGATACATTGTTAATGAGTAATAATATTTTGAAAGCAATCTTTTTTTCTGAACAGTAGGTGTGAAGACTGGGCTTAAAATATTTAGTATACCATGCCATAAGCAGATGTGCTGTTATCAAGGCTTTGTTTTCGCATCTATGTAGCACAAGAAAAGTAGATTTGACATAATTTTTAACAGCTCTAGAATTTTCAGAGTGGAGGGGAACATTGGCTTCAACTTAAAGCCACCGGCGACATTACATACACCCCTATTAAGAGAGTAAGCCTGTTCTTTAAAGCTTTGAAGCTAGGCTTTGACTTTTTCTCTGTAGCTGTGAAAGTCTTAGAGGGCATCTTTTTCCAGTAGAAGGCTGTTTCATCTACATTGAAAATGCGTTGTTTAGCATATCCATCTTCATCAATGATCTTAGCTAGATCTTCCAGATAACTTGCTGCAGCTTCTACTTCAGGACTTGCTGTTTCACCTTACACTTTTATATTATGGAGATGGCTTCTTTCCTTAAACCTCATGAAACAATCTCTGCTAGCTTCTAACTTTACTTCTGCAGCTTCTTCACCTCTCTCAGCCCTTACAGAATTCAAGAGAATTGTGCCTTGCTCTGAATCAGGCTTTGGCTTATGTGAATGTTGTGGCTGGCTTGATCTTCTTTTCAGAACACTGAACCTGTTTCACTTTCTTATCATTTGCATGTTCACTGAAGTAGAGCTTTTAATAGAGCTTTTAATTTCCTTCAAGAACTTTTCCTTTTGCATTTACAAATTGGCTGTTTGTTGCAAGAGGCTTAGCTTTCGGCCTATCACAGCCTGGGACATGTCTTCCTTACCAACCTTGATAATCTGTAGCTTTGATCTAAAGTGAGAGAAGTGTAACCATTCTTTCCCCTGAACACTTAAAGGGAATTGTAAGGTTATTGTTCTATTCTGGGGAATAGAGAGGCCTGAGGGAAGGGTGACAGATATGGGAATGGCTGGTCAGTAGAGCAGTTAAGACACACAAAACATTTATCAATTAAGTTTTCCATTTTATATGGGTGCTGTTTGTGGCAAACCAGAATAATTACAACACTAATAGCAAGGATCACTGATCACAGATCACCATAATAGATATAAAAATAATAATAAAACTTGAAATACTGCAAAAATTACTGAAATGTGATAGAAAGCCACAAGGTGAGCACATGCTATTGAAAAATGATGTCCATAGATTTGTTTGATTCAGGGTTGCCACAAATCTTCCATTGGTTTTTTTTGTTTGTTTGTTTGTTTTTTTAAAAGCAGTATCTGCAAAGCACAATAAGGCAAAGAACAATAAAAGCAGGTATGACTGTATCTCTATTGATCTGCTCCCAAGCATGTGGAGATGAGCCTAGGGCTACTGTTGGCCAACAAAGTAAATGCAAAAAAAGTGCTAGATGTAAAGGAAAAGAAAGAACAGCTAGACTCTGCCACCATTTCTGCGACTGTCTTTCATCTAATTTAACCATGATGACCTTCAAAGAGCAATGGTTTCTGCTTACTTCTATCTTCCCAACGTCATGTAATTTCCTGTTTTGGCCAACTCTGATCTGGTACAATCCAGGGAAAAGATTTCAAAAGCTGTAATGTCAGCTAAACCAAATTGATGTGCTTCAGACTACCACAGTTGCTATAGGTTGAGTTGAACATAATGTCCAGGCAGTTGAAATCATGTCCTTGAATTCTGTTCATTTAAGCTGATAAGAAATATTTGTTAGTATGTCTTGATAATGGGAGACACAGATCTCAATTTTGTCACAGTACTATATCTGAGCCAAGAAAAGCAGATAAAGGTATTAAATCATTATTCTGAATAATAAATCTCTATGCCTACATTATCAAAGTAGCTTAGGAGGAAACTATGTAAGAAACATTTGCCTTAACTTGGTATCAGCTCTATTTTTTTTATTCCATTCTGATTGAACCCATACAAAACATTAATAGTCCTTTTATTTAAATTAATGAAAATAGTGCATTATATAACATCATTTCCTATGCATTTTCTATTACTTACTTACTTGCACCCACGTTCTTAAGTATAAGACCTAAGTAGTTTTTACAGTTTCATTATATACAGTCCTATTAGGACCAAAGTAATCAGATATAAAATGTTTCTGGATCTCTCCTTGAATTTTATGGTGCCCCTTTGTAGTCAGCTCCCCTCAACTCAGCCTCTAGCAACCAATGGCCAGTTTTCAGTTACCACAATTTTATTTTTTTGCTAATTTCAAGCAAATGGAAGCAAGTGTTTGATCTTTTCTGTTTGTCTTCTCCACTTAGTATAGTGCTCCAGACATTC
Source organism: Homo sapiens (assembly GCF_000001405.40). Classification (NCBI taxonomy): domain Eukaryota; kingdom Metazoa; phylum Chordata; class Mammalia; order Primates; family Hominidae; genus Homo; species Homo sapiens. The sequence continues at coordinate 40,694,047 of NC_000018.10, read as the reverse complement.
AGCCATATATGGAGTTTATACCTTTTAATTGTTAAATATTATTCTGTTTAATAAATATGCTACAATTTGCTAATCATTTTAACAGCTGATGGATATTAGGGTGTTTCTAGTTTGATGCTATTATGAATAAAGTTATTATGATAATTCAGTGCACATTTTTGTGTGGACATACATTTTTGTTTCTCTTGGAAAATACCTAAAAGTGGGATTGTTGGGTTATATAAAATGTGTTTAATTTTATGATAAATCACCAGGCAGTTTTCTAAAGTGACTTACAGTTTTGCATTCCTACCACTATGAAAGTGCATGGTGTTTCATGTTCTAAAAAACATTTATTTTTTGTGTATGTGTGTTGGTATGTATATGTGTGTCTGTGTGTGTGTGCATGTGTGTGTTTAAATTGGCCATTCTACTGGATATAGAATTATATGTCCTTGTGGTTTTAATTAATTAATTAATTTTTTTGATGGAGTCTTGCTCTGTCACCCAAGCTGGTGGCATGATCTTGGCTCACTGCAACCTCTGCCTCCCGGGTTCAAGCAATTATCCTGCCTTGGCCTCCCGAGTGGCTGGGACTACAGGCGCGCACCACCACGCCCGGCTAATTTTTGTATTTTTAGTAGAGACGGGGTTTCACCATGTTGGCCAGGCTGGTCTTGAACTCCTGACCTCAAATGATCCACCTGCCTCGGCCAAAGTGCTGGGATTACAGGCGTGAGCCACTGTGCCCAGCACTTGTGGTTTTAATTTTTACTTACCTCATGATAAATTATGCGAAGTATATTTCAATATGCACATTTGCCATTTATATAACTTCTTTGTAGAAATACCAGTTCGAATTTTTTGCTCATTTTAAAATCAGTTTATATTATTATTCATTTGTAAGAGTAACTCATATTCTGAATACAAGCTCTCAATTCGATATATATTTTGTAAGTAAATTGCCTCAGTTTGTGGCTTAGTTTTACATTCTTTAAATGCCTTTTGAATGATGAAATGAAGTTTGATGACTTTCAATTTGTCTTTTTTAAAGCCATATAATGTTGAGTCGTTTAGTAAGTGTTTAACATTATAAGAAACTCAAAGAGTAATTTATATTTTAATACATATATTAGAAAATAAAAAAATTGAAAATTAATGAGGTAAGCATTTATCTCAAGAATTTTATTAAAAAACAACAAAATAAACATAAAATAAAAAGAAGTAAATACTAAATATAATAGCAAAAATTAATAAAATAGAAAACATTTATTGTATTATAGAGTTTCAGCAAAGTTAAGAAATGTTCTGTAAATAGACTAATAAAATACATCAGCTTCAGACAAACCTGATTACAGAGGACAAAAGCTTAATTAACTTAATCAAGATATAATAAATGAGATACCACTATAGGCACTGTGGAGATTAAACAAATAATAACAGGGCATTAGGTACAAATTTATGTTGATACATTTGAAAATGTTGAATGGATAAATTGTTTTACTTACCAAAACTTATTCAGGCAGAAATAAGAAATAGAATATCCAAATATTCTTCTAATCATTTTATTAAATAAATTAAATTTATAATTAAATTTAATTATACAGAAAAAGAAGATAAAGGAAAAAAACAGTATCTGCTTCCAGATGGCTACATTCTTCAGTTCTATTAAATATTTAAGGAAGAAAAATTTCCAATATCATGCCAAATCTTCCATAGAATAGGAAAAAATGGTACATTTCACAATATATTTTAGTAAATTATCCTAATCTTGTTACAGAAACATCATGAGAATTTATAAAGAAGAAAACATATAGAGCAATATTTCTCAAAAGTACAAATAAAAAAGTCAACAATATGTTAGAAAGCTGCATCTAACAATACATAAAATGAGCAAAGTATAATTACTAAACTGGATTTATCTCAGAAATGTAAGGTCAGATTAACATTTAAAAGCAATCAATGCAATTTGCCATACTTTCAAAATTAAAGAGAATTATGAGATGACTATACAAACACATATAGAGAAAAATTGACAAATTCAAAATCTCATAATAGCAAATTAAGATTAGAAAAGAACTAATCTAAACAAAATTGTTTTTATCCAGTAAACGATCTCATTAAAACCTAACAAACACACAAACACTTATAGCAAAATTAATACTTACTGTTGAAACAAAGCATTCCCTATGAAATTGATAATTAAATATGAATAGTCTTTAAGTTCAGAAATAACCATAATTCCAGCTTCTCTACATTTTAATGATATGTCCTTAAACAAATAATATACATATGCATAAATACACATATAAATTTATAACTACATAAATAAGAAATGATGTATAAGGAAGTGAAAAGAAGAATTAAAGGTCTTATTATCTGCATATAATGCAATCATACACACAGAAGGTCCAAGAGAATCTTCAAAAACTATTACACTTGAAAAGGGGATTGTACAAGTTTATTATTATTCAAAAGTTAATAGTATTTTGCATATTACAATAAAGAGGACACATATGATGGCGCCACTGCACTCCAGCCTGGGCGACAGAGCAAGACCCTGTCTCAAAACAAAACAAAAAATTCTTTATTTTGATCTGGTTGGTAGTTTCATGAGTGTATGCATGTGCAAAAATTCATAGAATGTGTTTTGTGCACTTATATTGTGCATGTTATGTATCTCGAGTTTTTAAGCAATGAGAAACCATTGTAAGATTAAAAGGTGAATGACATGAAAAAGTAAAATAAATAAATAAGTAAAAATAAAACTTACACTATTTAAAATAACATAAACATTAAAATTCTAACAATAAATCTAGCAAACTATGTACTAGATCTTTACAGAGACAACCAAAAATCATTATTGGGAGATAATCGAAATGATCCCAGAATAAGCAAAAAATATTCAATTTTTTATAGACTAGGAGATTCAAATTTTACAGATGTCAGTGATCCTTACTTTATAGACATAATGTAACATCAAACAAAACCCAAGTCTTTTATTTATTATTATTTCATAGCAATAATAGGTTTATTTTTAAATGTATGTGATAAGGCAAAGTACAGAGAATAGTCCATGCATTCTTGAAGAACAAACAAGAAGATGGTTGGACTTATTCCACCAAAAAATAAATCCTATTGTAACACTTCAGTAAATGAGATACTAGGATTATTGCTCTAAGGGAATTTAATAGACCAATGGAAGAACATTGAAAGCCCAGAGTGATCCATCCCTTTGTAGACACTTGACATTTGATGTATGACAATGTTACAATTAAGAGCTCTGTCTAGGATTCTAGTTATGTAACATTCCCAAATAGGCAAAGCAAATCTGTATCATTTAGAAAAGCATAAGTCATTTGGTTAAAAGGACAAATAAAAAGTTGGGATTTGATATAATTTTTATCGTGGCTATTTTCCAAGGATGGGAGATTTTTATGAATGGGAGGAGCACTAGGAAAGCTTCTGAGGTACAGGGAATTGTCCATTTTTGCCTAGGTTGATAGTTAAACAGAGGTTAGCATTTTAGAAAAACCAAACTTAGTTTAATGTTTCATGAAATTATCTGTAGATAGATAGATATTCCACTATGAATATTTAAAGTCATAGACACAAAAACAGGGGACTTAAAGTTCGGAAAGAACCATGTTGTAATTTCAGCTCCTCTACATGTTGCTGCTATGTCCTTAAAGAATTGCTTAATAACTCCCAATGCTTAAGTATCTTACTCTGTGAAATAATGATGACATTTATTTGAATCATTGTTATGAGGATTCAAGATATTTGGCTATTCAGGAACTAGCTAATGCTGCCACTAAGAGTTATTATTTGTGATTGCCAGATGGCCTCTGAAATTCTTTATAGCTATGAACTCGTTTAATTCCCACATTCACCCTATCAGATAGGTACTATTATTATGGAATTTCCCTCTAACTATGACCCTTTCATTTGGAGTAAAGCTTCTGTGAGTTGTATTACAAATCTTTGTGAGACAGAGATATCTCTATCTTGTTTACTATTAAGTCCAGTACTGAATTAACATGTTTAAATTCTGACCTCAGGGTAGCCTTAAAACTAGTCACAGATACAGGTCACTGTAAATTATCTGCTTGGACTCACCATTTTTTTTTTTTTTTCAGAACAGAGCAATTAAACCTTAATTGAGGAAATAAGAATTCTCTAGGAATGGCATAAGATTAATGCAATTCTACTCTCTTACCACCTCATAAATTCCTCTGAGGAGGAACACAGTCTTTTCATTGGAATAAACTCCCTATTAGGGTGGGTGAATACTTGTAGAACAAAGAAGGAGTTGAGCTGGTGTCCAGGTTTTGAGAATAACATTACAAGTATTCTTCAGTAGGCAAGAAAAATGATTGTTTGCTTTTGAGAAGAAGAGGAGAATAATGAAGGGGAGACAGGGCAGAAAGAGGAGGAAAGGAGAAAAAGAAGGAGGAGGGAATCTGCAACTTTTCAATAACATTATTGAAGCTCACAAAATTCTTAATGCAGCAACTGTAAATTTTTGCAGAAATTATTTGAAGTGCTGCATTTTGTGCCCTCATTGATAAGGGGACAAAGCTTGTTATATCAATACAGAACCAAAAGACAGAACAGATAATAAGAAAGCAGAAACTCCAGAATTAGCAGATATCCTTGGGAAAAAGTTTGGTCAATTCATCACTATGGAACTAGGAGCATGAGCTAAGATCACCAAGGTGTCCAAGTGCCAGGAGGGCTTTAAATCACAACTGTGATCTAGAAAAATAAAAGCAAAATGCCAGATGAAAGATCACAGTGGCCTGGAGTTACCCAATAGATTCATGGAAGAAGTGGGAAATAATATTTCATTTCATGGGGGAAAAAGCAAACTTAAAATCATTGAGCTTACTTGCAAATGCAAGAGCTGAAGGCTTTCATAATAAACATAAAAATAAGTCTTATATGATTATTTTCTTTGTAATTGTCCCTAGAAAGTGACAGAATGAAAAATGCAGGATACTAACCCGCCTCCCCATTCTGCAATGCTAAGACTTTCCTTGGAGGTCATACACAACACTTAGCTAGGAACTCCCAGGATTATTGATGGCAGCAGCAAGCAGAATAAAAATTCCATAGGTAGGCAGTAAATATTTGAAAAGACCTTTCAGTTTCGGGAATGGTTTATATTGTTGCTTAAAAATGTAGTTGGAGATCCATGGGAACCTATGATTGGGTGCGGCATGTTTTACAAATGATCCCCATTTGTCCTGAGTGGGAAACATTCCACCCTGTAAATGTCAGTTTCACACTGACCAGATGTGATGAATGAGTACTCTGGCTCCTATTAATATGGAGGTCACACATTTGGAAAAAAAAATAGAGACCATTGCAAAATTAATTCTCCCTCAGTCTGGCTAAAATGATAGGAAAGGAAATGGGAAGAGCAAGTTAGCAAAAATATGAAACGTCAAGTTTCTTTCTGAATGTCTGAGTTTCCAACTTCATAAAGGAATTATCTTAATCATATTGAAAAAAAAAATGAGAGGGCTTGAAATACAATCGCAGATGGAAACTCCGACACAGGGAAGTATAGCATAAATATCTAGGCACTCAAGCCTGGGATATTGCAAGCATGATTCCATAGCTCAACCCCTGAAAGGAATAATTACTATTTGGCTATTTGTCAAGGTGAGGGTTCCACTGGGGGGAACGTCTTATTCAATTTGGGAGCTGAAATTACACAACTGGTGAGATATTAAATAACAGCACAAAGCTGAAAAGAGAAAGAAGGCAAGTAAGTAGTGGAATTGTAAGTGAGGCAAAAGTAGACATAAAAGTGAAAAGGGCCTAAAGGAGAGGGTGGTTGGACTCTCAGGTGCTAATTTGGGATTAATATGATTATATGCAAATTCACATGATATTTTTGTAATCCACATATATGTTTATTAATGATAAATGATGTCACCTTGCAATTAGTAAGTGTGGTCAACTGATTAATCAACCAACAAATATTTATTAAGAGCCTAATCAAAGCCAGTGTCAAGTGTTGTAGAGGATGTATAAATTATAGTCCTTGTCTTGTAATTTACTTGAGGAATAAGATTATACACACAAAATCTAGCAATATTAGACAAAATACGGCATATTCTAAGTGAGTGGTATTAATACTATAAATGTACCATGGGATTTCGCAAAGGGAAAACAGCCTGCGTGCTAGGTGAAAGAATTCATGAAGGTACGGGTGGGGGCAGAACACAGAGTATGTACTGCAGATTTGAACTTTGAGGATCAATTTGTATTCCTTTTTTGAATATACATTAGACAAATCATACAGTGTGTACTTTCAACATTCTGGAAAGGGTGCTAGTATTGGATACACAAAACAAGTTGAGTCTCTGGTATTACAAATTATCTTTCAAATTAGGTGAAGCATTTTTCATTGCTTGGTTTGGCAGAATGAGTCAGGAATGTCGGCTTCTGCCTTTAGGAAAGAATCAGCATATTCCCTGGGGAAAAATTGCTTTAGTGTGTTGTGGAATGTTCCTTGGTCCCTTGGCTTTAAATACAGCCCTCCAGTAAACCAAGAAATAGACAAATTGCACTAAATATATCTTAAATATTAAGCTGTTTTATCTGAAAATTGGTGTATGAATGTTGGGGGTTGGTGTTTAATCTCTCGTATTCTTAAAGAAAAGACCAGCTTATATATGAGATATCGCAAAAATATTTAGGCATCACCATGTTTTATGAAGGAGGCCCCTGAAGCCCCTGGGTAGGGGTTAGAGCAAGGACAGACACTTTTTCTTGGCAAAGGTATTAAGGTATCCATTATAACCTTCTGACCATCAAATTACTCTCTGTTTGTCATACCATTTTAAATTTAAATGGTACCAGGGCCTTAAATGTCAGGATTTCTGTTATAACTTAGACTCTAGTGTCTTTAATTAATGCTTCCTGTTCCTGTTATGGTTATTTAGAATTTGCTGAAATCCCTAGAGCCATAAATTTCTTTTACAGGTCTTAGCGGTATGAACTTTAACAAAACAGCTATAAAGGGGTAATAAGCAAGGGCAGTATATCACAGAGCAGCAACAGCAAGATGGGAGGAAGGAGGAAATATTTTGCAAACAGATTAAAAGATTTTGTTTTTGTCGAGGGGTTTGAAACAGGAACAAATTGGACATAAAACTTAGGCAAGAAAGCATGATCTCTTTTAATGTCTTGAGTAGGTGTAAGTTGCCACGTTTCACAATATATACAGTTTCATTGAACTCTCATTCCATTCAAATCAAGTTCATTTAACTGAACACATTTTCTTCCAATGCCTACTGTGTGTCTAATATTTTCTTGTTGCTATGGAAGCTATACAGAAAGAAAAAGCCAAGCTCCTGTCTCATTAATCTCAAAAACTAGTTTTGGAAGCAAGGTTAGCAGATATGAAGCAATTATAGACCATTACCATAAATCTGCCAAGGTGCATAGAATAGTCTGAGAATTTTGAATGCTACTGCATCTCACAGGGAAAGACCAAGTGAGAACCAGAATTATCATGGGATCAACCCCAAAGTAGCAAACATGAACTGTTTCTTGTAAAATGGAGTAGCCCTTGGAATGTGTAAGCACAGAAGACCATTCCAGAGGAGAGAATGGCACAAAAAACTCACAAAGACAAGAGTAAAAAATATGGCATCACATAGTGTATAAGAACGTGTTTTTAGATTCAGAGAGACCTAGTTATAAATTATTTACTGTTACTTTTTTGTTTATAAAAGTAAGGACTAGTTGAAGAGAAATAGTGGTATAGTGGTTGGGATTTTAAATATTTCAAAAATAGTTAACAATGATTGAAACTGGAATTAAAATCCACTTAGGGATGTTTTAAATACAAACTGCTTATATAAGGTTGGACAACAGGTTAATATGCTAAAGTTTTGTTGTTGTTGTTTGCGTGACAATTCTTCAAACTTCTGCTAGCTTTCCATTTCCATAGAATGATCAAAAAGGGAAAGAGATGGGGAGGAAGATGGGATGGAAATCCATTTATAATCCAGATGTATGGACTGCCAATAGGGCATCCCATTCCATTCCATCCCAAAGTGCAAATTATATATATTTGCACTTCAAAACAATATGTTTACAAAGGAAAAAAAAACTTGTAAATTATTTCTTTAAATACACAGACCTGCACTGATGAATGGTGTTTTTTTTTTTTAATTTTTGTAATTGAAATGTTAAGCACAATAGCAATAGTGAGATCTGCTGCAACAATGGATGGTCAGTATATCAAGACTTCTCATAGGTCACTGTTTCCATATTCCTTAATAAATATTTATTATTTGGTTTACTATACTTGATAATTTTCTAGGTATTAGAGTGAATTTGAATTTATTTATTTTATAAATATTTGTTAAATATTATATCACTTAAGTCAGGGCAGGGTGGGTTATGCTGCAGTAACAAATAACCATAAAACCACAGTAACTTAAAACACTGTGTGCTTACTTTTTCTCCAAGCTACATGTCCCCATTCCAAGTCACAGATGTTCTGTTCAGATAGTCGTTATTCAAGAAATAACATTAACAGAGCCTCGACTATCTGGAAGATCTTTAGTTTCTATGGCAAAGAAAGGATGGAGACATGGCAAATTGCATGCAGACTTTTATGGACTTCTTTCTCAGAGCAGTCATTCAATTCCAGTCACATGAATCATTCCTAACTTTAAGCTTGGTAGTGGAAGGGTGTAACAGTAACATGAGGCAAAGAAAAAGAAAACTAAAAATTTAAATAAGTGCTAATTAATGTAACAACTAATACTGAGACTTCAGAGGGAAAAGAAATAAAATTTCTCTGACCTAATGATGTTCCCATATTTGTTGGGAGATGGAGATATTAAGCATGTAAACTATAAATAACAATATGAAATAGTGGGTAAATGCCATGATAGAAAAAAAGGGCAGTAAACTATAGAACAATGGAGAAGGGAATGACTTATCTGTGGTAGTCAAGAAATAACCCTCTAAATAGTTGAAAATAAATCTGAAAACTAAATGCTTAAGGGTTATTTTGCTCTGCCACAATGTGTTATTCAGGTAATAGCGCTCTATACAACAAATTCTTAAACACTGTCTGGAAAAAGAGAGAGATACTGCCTCATTACCATCAGGTGGGGATAGAAGTCAAAATTCTTCCCATTGATTCTACTTGGGAAAGGTGCAAATTTATTGCTTTAGGGGTGGGATGAATGTGGAAGCTTTGCCCACAGGGTTTATCATGGAAGAGTACCTCCTCATTACTGAAAGGTGTGTCTGGAAGTCAGAATTTCAACACAGGTTGAGAGATGGGGGCTTTGCTATAAATTTAGTGTGGAGATTATATATGACAAGGTTCCACTCATGGATTCCACTGCTTCAGCACGCATTGGGGAGGGGAGGGGTGTGGTTTCTTTGAAGTGTTCACCTTAAGAACAGAATGATATTATTAAAATATTCTTTTATATCCTTGCTTTTCGGGTCTTTTGGTTAAATACGTTAAGCAAGCACAATGTTTTATCTGCAACTGTTGGAAATTCTGGCTTGAGGGCTTCTCTTAAACATTGAGATTGTTGATATATATATATATATCAAAAAAGAAAGAAAAAAAAAGACAGAGAACTCACCTGTCGTTGTTCCTCAATCTCCCAAATCCTTAGCCTGTCTGCACTTTTTCTCCATTTTTCAGAGTCTTTTGACTCTGGCTTTTGTGTTTTTTCCAATTTTTTTTTTTTTTTGTCATTAGCAGAAGGAATAAAATGGAATGTGCTTCCTCTGTCGTCTCAGAAATGAAATTTTCCCTAAATGTAGCTAAACAAACAAACCAGTAGCAAAAAGATAAAAGGAGAATATTTATATGTGATTGAATTAATGAATACACTTCTATATGGTCAAAAGAAGAATTATAGAGGAAGAATCATAGAAGACATCATAGAGGAAGTCAAGACAAATTTTAATTGAAAAATAAAGAAAATACTGTACACCAAAATACATACACTGCAGCTAAGGTCATGGTAATATGGAAATGTATTGCTTTAAATAAACATACTAATAAAGCTTAGAAGATGAAAATCAATTACTTAAGTATCCATCTTAAGAACGATTAAATAAAAAGAAGAACTAGGAAGGAAATAATAAAAATACAACTAGAAATTAACAAAATAAAGGACTTATATACTAGTCAAAATCAATAAGATCTTAACTTTTAGAAAATCTAATAAAATAAAAAATTCTTTAGTGTTTCTGATGAAGAAAAAGAAAAAAATAGGACAAATCAACGACAGTACAGATGAAAAGGAGACATAATTACAGATCTCTCTGATATTAGGAAGATTATAATATGATGTTATAAATAATATGTTTGAAAATTCAGTTGAAATAATTTCCTAAAATATAGAACTGATAAAACTGAAAACAGAAAGAAAGAATATGAGGATTTATATAACTACTGAAATTAAAGAAATGACGTCTATAATTAAAAATCATTACATAAAGAAAACATCAAGTCCAGATGGCTTCACCAGTAAATTGTACCAAACACATATAGAAGAAAGAACATCATTCTAACACAAACTCTTCCAGACAATTGAAAATAGGAAATGGTTACTAAATCATTTGTTGGTGCTAACAAACACCCAGATACCAAAACCTGACAATAGTATTTTCTTCTAAAGGCAAATTACTGGCAGTCTGACTCATAAACATTTTGTAAATTCCTACACAAATTTTAATACAGTGAATTCAACACCATATGTAAAGTTTAAACCAAGATATCCAAGTTAGGTTTATTTTTAGAAAACAAGATTGGGTTAAAAATCAAAAGACAAATTAACATAATTCAGGATTTTAACAGAATAAAGGAGAACATTCACAGACATAAAAAGATGCAGAAATTACATTTGATAAAATTCAACATCCTTTAGTGGGAAAACTCTTAGCAAAATTGTAAAAGAAAGAATTTTCCTTAATTTGATTTTAAAAATCTACAACAATCACATAACAAACATATCTTATGAGGAAATGTTGAAAACTTTTGAAAGTAAAAATTACTTATATTTTGTGTTTTATTAAAAGGCCTAACTAGTGAACCCATGTAATCAATAGAAGGAAAATAAATAATAACTTCAAAGGAATAAATAAAAACTGTCAAATTTTAAGATTACATATATATGTGTGTGTATATATATTTAAAAATCTAAAAATTAAATTCTACACATAAATAGATTGTTAAGTGAGTTTGATAAGGAAGCCAGGTACAAGGTGTGGTAGGTAGAATTTTAGTGATGTACTCTCAAGAGTCCCATATTCTGATTATTCAAGCAAACACATGTGTAGATACTATTGTGCATGAATTGTTTGGATGTCATTTTTTATTTTGTTATTTATTTATTTTTCGACGAGTCTCGCTCTGTCACCCAGGCTGGAGTGCAGTGGCATGATCTCGGCTCACTGCAAGCTCTGCGTCCTGGGTTCAAGCAATTCTCTGCCTTAGCCTCCCGAGTGGCTGGGATTCAGGGGCCTGCCACCACGCCCCGCTAATTTTTTTGTATTTTTAGTAGAGACGGGGTTTCAGCATCTTGGCCAGGCTGGTCTTGAACTCCTGACCTCGTGATCCACGCGACTCGGCCTCCCAAAGTGCTGGGATTACAGGCGTGAGCCACTGCACCTGGCCAGAAGTTATTAAGATTATTAATCAGTTAACTTTAAAATGGAGTGGTTAACCTGGGTTACCTGGTCGGGCCCAATGTAATAACTGGAGCACTTAAAAGCAGAAAAGGAAGGCAGAAAAGTAAGAGAGATCTGACAGAGAAGGAGGCGGAGAAGAGATGAAGCAGAAAAGAGATGAAGCAGAAAGTGAGGTCACAGAAACTTAAAACAAGAGAAGAAGTTGACTCACTATTGCTGGCTTTCAAGATGGAGGAATGAGCCAAGAATGTGAGTGCCCTCTCGAAGCTGAGAATAAACCCTGGCTAAAGCTAGTAAGAAAAAAAAGGGAAATCAGTCCTGTAACTCCGTGGAACTGAATTATGCCAATAATTTTCATGATGTTGGGAAAAAAATCGTCCACAGAGCCTCTAGAAAGACATCCAACTGAGCCACGCTGAGTCCAGACTTCTAACTGATTAAACTGTGAGATAATAAATGGGTGTTGTTTTAAAGCCACTAAGTTGGTGTAATTCGTCACAACACCATTAGAAAACTAATACGCGGATTGAATATTCAAAAAGAAATTCCATTTCTATGTATCGCTAACCAACAGAAAGGGAAAGTAACCATGTTTAGCATTTATAATAGCATAAATATACACAAGAACAAAAGTTAACCAGATATGTGAAGACCTCTGGAAAGGAATTGCACTTATTTATTTAGAAAAATTAATGATGTCCTAAATAATTAAAAGGATATTCCCTCTTCATGGCCTGGAAGACTCAACATTTTGAAGAAGTCAATACTCTCCATATTGATCTTTATATTCAATGCAGTCCCAATCAAAATCCCAGTACATTTTGTTTTAGTAATTGACAAACTGATTATAAAATTTATATAAATGCAAAAGACCAAAGATAGCAAATACAAAATAAGTAGCTGGAATAACTTTCTTTCTCAGATCTCAAAGCTTATAACAGAAGTTGCAATAACTAAGGCAGTGTCTTATCAGGGCAAAAAATATATACAAACAAACCAGTACAACAAAATAGCAAGTTCATAAACTGACCTGTGCATATATGGGTACTTGATTTATATCAATATTTCCATTGCAAAACAGTAGAAAAATACTTTTTTTCAATATGCGTGTACTGGTGGTGTAATTTGAATCCATATGAAAAAAATACTTGAAACTAGATTTCTAACAAGTTTGTGTGGTCACTTACACATACAAAAATTAATTCAAGACCATAATCCTTAAGGTCAAAGGCAAGACAATATAGCTTCTGGAAGATAGTAGAGTTAGATGTTTTCATGACCTCAGGATAAGAACAAATGGGCAAAACAACTTGTTTGCAACATAGTGGGGAAGAAATGAATGTAAATACACCTGAAATATAAGATATAAATTCCATCTCGGTAACATTCATTGAGGAAAGCATGTGGGCTCAGAAAAGGAGAAATAAATAGTTTAGCATTGTAGAAAGTGAAGATTGGGAAATAATTACTTTTATTATTTTTTAAGCACCAGAAAGTGAATGAGATAGGCATTGATATCCTGACATGACTAGGAGTCTATTAGTTGACCTTTGAAATCAGAATTATTTGTTTCTGTTTTTAAATTTTACAAATATTATTTTTAAAACTATGTTTACAAAGATGTCAAACATGCATATCAAAGTAAAGACCATGACAATCATTTATCTATCACCCAGTCTCAATGATTATCAAAGCATGTCCAATGTCCCTTCATCTAGACCTTTACACAAATTTCAGAAATGCTTTTATTGATTAAAGAAATCAATAAGGGAAATATTAAATATGTTTATTAAAATATGCTTTGCAAGTGTGCCATTTATGCTATTTAATATTTGTAGTAATCCAGAAACATAGGTGATATCATTACCATTTTACAGTTAAAAAACTGTGAAAGCTCATGTGTCACTTCAGGTCTTTGTGGGCACACATGTCTTAGTTAAAGCAGTTGCTTCAGTTTTACTCCTGCTCAGTTTGGACTCCCAAAAAGGTGCCACTTAACACTACCTTCCCTTATATCCATGTCTCAGGCCTTTTATCTCTTTCCTATGATTCCTTGTTGATGTCTTTGCTGGACTTCAACTAGACTTCCATGCATTCATAACCAGGAAAGCAAGGGACAAACTTTTGAACAGTAGGAAATACAAAAAAGATGATTTTTCTCCCATTCTCCTCTTTGATAAAGAGTCTTGAGATGCCACAGACCTTGCTCCCTGGGGATAATTCCATTAAACTGGGTAACTGGTTTCACTTAATGGCAACCACCCTGATAATATATCTTCCTCATGGCTCTCTCTTCTGCCCTGCATTTCTGTGCTTATCCATTGCTTTTGTTATCTTGCCCAGCAATCCATTATGAAAGAATAGAATAGAAACCCTCTACCTTAGGCTCTGTTCTCTGTTTAACTCAGGCTAAAGCATCAGCTCAATAACTGAAGAATTTTGACTAAGTTTACACAGCTATCATGGGTCAAAATTAAAATTCAAACTAAGGGTCTTCTTAATCCAAAGCCAGCGTTCTTCATCTGCATTGTTCAGCATCATAAGAGAATGTCAACTCTGTTTATGTGTAAGGTTGGCATTGATAATATGGACTAATTTCACTGAATTTTAGATAATTTTTGAATTTATGATATAGGAAATTAGGAATTATTCAATCTGGGGCCATATTAAAGGACTTTTTCAGGTAATCTTTGAGTGTCCATTCTTATTTGACAGTGGTAATAAATCACTGATTGGAATCTGTCATGTGTCTTCAGTTCTTGTTAACTGGTGAGCATCACTGCTATATGATTGGGAAGGGACCCAGGTATTTAATTGCAGAGATTCAAATATTAGTGGCTATAGGCTTTTTTTTCTTTTCTGTTTCTCTGAAGGAGAGCCCTCCAGCATCCAGTCTGGTAGTAAGAATTACTATTACTGTGCAGGTAAGGAGAACTGAGTATCTAATTGTTCATTCCAGGTTTTCATACAGTAATTCTGTTTCAGTATATCACCTCCCTGCCATCCCTCCTTTGCTTGATGTACACAACAATCTGGTTTGATTTTTATAGAAAATAATCTCTTATCCTCTATGAGTGTTTGGAAAGGGCAGCTGCTTAAGTGCTTGGAATGATGGAGAAGACATCTATGTATAATATCTCATCAAACAAAGTTTTAATTAATCCACTGCTTTTAGTCTCATATTTCTCTTTTACAGTTGAGGTGTGTGAATCTTCCCATTCTTGATTTATCTCTGAGTTGCCCTACTTTGGAAACTTCTCTCTATACAGAAATATTTTAAGGCTTTGTGCTTTGTCAAATCATTAACAATGTCTTATCTATTTTTACATTCCAAAAATTTGTTGGCATGTCTCATCCACTCTTATTAATTTTGAACTTGTGATATTAGACCATTTCATTTGTAAACAGTTATTATATTGGAGCTTGAAGTAGATTAGAAATAAATACATGTATTTAGTCTGCCATGCTTGACTAAAATTTTTATGGTGTATTTTCTATTTTTTTTAAAAGCTACAGCTCTCATATTTTACTCAGTTTTTCTTTCAAAATTAAGAAAGAATGGTATTTGTAAGTTGATACTATATATCCCAGGTGTTCCTATAGGGAATTCCAGGATTTGACTCATTGGAGATACTATGCAGGGGAATTGAGCATTTGATAGCAATCTGAAATAAAATCACTCATTCATCAATTAATTAATTCATATATATTGAATATTTACTAGCTGCTGGGTTTGGGTTTGCAGGATTGCAAAGAAGAAACAGGAGGATTTTGTGTTAGAGAAAATTAAAGAAGATAGGTATGATTCAAGGCATGATGAATAAAAGTAAACAGGAAGAAAGCTAGGGTAAAAGGAGTTCTTACATTTCTTAAACTAGGCTAAACATTGGTTTCATTCATTATATAAATAGAAAGCTAATGAAACTTTTTAAGCATAAGAGCACCACAAGTTAACATGTTTAATTAAACAAATAAACTTAATATTGGAAAATGGATTGAAGTAGCCGGGAGACGACACCCCAACACCACTTAGAAGATTACTATAATGATCTAATTGAGAGATGATTGAGACTTAGAAAAAATGTGGTAATAGAAAAGGTGACAGACTTGAGGTTTATTGAGGAAAAGATCTTAAAGAATTTGATCTATATTGGGCATGAGTGGTAAAGGAGACAAATTTTCTAGTAATGACTCTTGGTTATTTGCCTTTGGTGGAGAATAATAGCATTTTCTAAGATGAAGAAGGAGTGGCAAAATTTCTAGAGCAGCTTTTGGCAGAGAATATCAAAATTTAATTACTTCGGAACATGTCAAATTTGTGGTCACTTTGAGATGTTCATTTTGTGATTACAGGAAAACATTTGGGTATTCATGCATGAGGCAAGATATATAATGTTCAGAGTCATTAGTATATTTATGATACTTACATGTACGGAAATTGGTTAGAGTTCTACTGAAAGAACTGTGGCCTATACAAGAATCTGAGAAATAACAGTAAGAAATAGAATTTTTTAAATATGTTATGAGGGACAGTGTTTTAAGTTAGAGAGAATGGTGAACACTGCTGAATGGTGTTTAAAAGTTCAGAAAGAACTAATCTTTTCTATGGGCGCAGTGGCTCACGCCGGTAATCCCAGCACTTTGGAAGGCCAAGGCAAGCGGATCACGAGGTCAGGAGTTTGAGACCAGCCTGACCAGCATGGTGAAACCTCGTCTCTACTAAAAATGCAAAAATTAGCCGGGCATGGTGGCATGTGTCTGTAGTCCCAGCTACTCAGGAGGCTCAGACTAGTGAATCACTTGAACTGGTGAGGTGGAGGTTGCAGTAAGCAGAGATCATGCCACTGCACTCCAGCCTGGGTGACAGAGCGAGACTCCGTCTCAAAAAACAAAAACAAAAAAAAGTTTTGAAAGGTAAGGACCAACAATGCCTTGGCGGGAGGAATTGAGTAGGGTAGTGGGAACAGTAGGCAGGCTGGAGAGGGTTGACAAAGATAATAGGAGATAAAGAATTGGAGATACTGGTGCAGACAGCAATTACATGAAATGTGTATTCTTTTAAAGATGTGAGGTGTTATAGCCTATTTGTCAGTAGGAATTATCTAATTGAGAGACAGAGACAAAGTTGCTACAGTGGGAATAACTGAAGGAACAAATGTGTTGAGAAAGTAAAGTCCACGTTTGGAGAAACTGACTTCAGGGGACCGCAGGGTCACATTCTCTGCTGCAAAAAGGAGAAACAAGAAGAAATGAGATACAGAAGGTGGTGGTAGGATGAATTTCTGTTTCATGGCTTCCATTTTGTCAGTAAAGCCCTTCATACTAGTTATCCAGGTTGTTGAGGTTGAAGGGAGTGGGGAAGATGCTAAAGTATTACTGGTAATGAGAGGATAATTTTTTAAAATATAGTGAGATAGTATTGTTGTGTAGAGTTACGTGCCTATTTGAAGTTGGTTCTATGAGTAATAGAGTAACTTGTCTGAATCATCATCTGCCTCAGTAAGGCACAATCACAAGCAGTCTCCACTGAGCATGTGTGCAAAGATTAAAAAAAAAAAAAAGCCAGTAGTTGATTGCATATAAGGGTGTGGTTTTATCTGGTAGTACAATGATTTCAGAGAAAGACACTGAAGTTTGTATTTACTAACTACAGCATATGAGGACAATAATTATGGAGATAAAACAGAGTGGTGGAGGGGTGATTGATATAAAGAGAGAAGTAAATTGGGGCTCTTGATAAGTTGAAAAACAATTCCAGAGCAGATCTTAGATCAAGTGAGTTGCAAGGATAAGATGTCATTCTAGACAAGTGGATACTGGTTCCCTGACATTAAGATGTAGTTTCCGGTGCTGGTAAAGTTTCGGCAGTGGCCATAGGAGTAAATAAATGGAGCTGAGTGGAAGAAATGTTCATGATAGAAGAAGATGTCAAAGTGAGAGTCTAGAAATTGGATCCATATAGGTGTTGAATATATTAATACTAAACATAGTAACTAGTGTTTGGTAGAAACAAAGGCAGTGAGATTGGTCTAAATGACTGGTGTGATTCTTCCAAATTTTGAGATTTAATAATTCTGATTTTAAATTTTAATTATATCATTATATACTTTATCTTACTAAGAATTACTTTTTAATGATAAACTTAGGATAAAATAAAACTCTTCTGAAGATCATGACTAGCATCTTCTCATTGTTTCAAAAAAACTTTAGGTACAAATTTAAGGGAAAAAAAACACTACTATGAATAGCTGTCTTTTCATGAAAATTCTATAAGAATTGTATTAATATCTATTTATTAAATATTTTGATATTATTCACAGTGTGTATAAATAGGAAAATTACCTTTAATATTCATTTTTCTGTTAAAATTGTCATGTTTTTGAGAAATAAAGCTGTGCATTGTGTTATATCCATAATATAGAGAGAAACTAGGCAACATTCACTGTTTTTAATTCTCTAGTCTCTTACATTACTCCATCTATAGAGTTCAAGTGTCAAAGAAAAGAATGGATTCTTTCATGTGCAAAGAATTTGGCTTAAAGAAAAAGAAGCAAATGAAACTGGTTCCGTAGCACAGATTATACAGTATAATGCAATATAGTGGATCCACCTGCTGCAGGCTAACTGACTTTTAAGTCAGTCAGCCTTTTTAGAAACTTGAATTCATAAAGTTATTTGGGGAAATGCTGACAAATAGTATAAATGATTCCTTGGAATGTGGTTATATCTATACAAATGAAAACCTATGATAAATAAAAAAATAAGCAAATGAATTTCTGCAAGATACAATAACATGAGAGGAATAGTTGATTTTTTTTTGCTTATACTTTTAATCCAGTTGGTATGATTACATATCCATCCAAAGTTTATTTCAAAATTGTTTGCACCCAGTTCTATCAAGACTGTTCAGGGAACTCTGAGTACCAGATAATTCAAAATAATGTATAAAAAGATGTGAATGCAAGTGTGGATACATATATGTGGCAAAATGTGTATAACTTTAAAAATTCTAAAGCTTAACTTGGCTGCATGTTGGGAATATGTGAAATGAACTATTAAAAGGGTGTTTAAAACATCTGTTTAAAAGGAAGGAACAGTGTCAGATAGAATTACCGATGATAAAAGGAAAGCAGACAACTCCTTCATCATATACTTTGATTTAATATGTCATAAATGTTCTATAGTCTCAAATAGCCTCAAACAGTAATTATCCATGTTTCAGTGGCTCTACCTGTCCTATTAACAAGGAATCTCTTACCCTTCACTGTCATTCTTGAGTACAGTGATGACTGGAGCCAGCTAGAGTCACCACATGTGTCAGGCACCACTGACTATTTCTACCAAATCCACCAGGTCAGGCCAGGCTGAGCTAGCATGGCTGAGAAGTAGTGGACTAAGTTAATTTTATTGAACAGGGTATATTCAGAAGTTAGCACAATAACGGGAACAATATCATGTCCTCAGTTTTTTGGTTGATATATGCAATATTCAGTATACAAGTGAATAGAAAATGACAATGGAAATAATAAAGTCTGGTGTGATCCAGTGTTACAGCCTGTTGCTTCATGGGCTTATTGAGAGCTAGTCACAGACACTCTGAGAATCAAAAGGTACACATAGAATACTGGTTTATTTGCAATTGCTGGGACAGTGTATGGTTTTTGTCTGCTCTCTTCTGCTAGTTTCCTCTGGCTCCATTATTTTTCCCTTTGTCGCCTGTCTTTGTTTGCCACACTCAGAGATCCAGTGTGGCCATCCCATTCCATTCATTGGCTCAGAAACTCTTTTCCCTTAAACTCCTATCTCCTCTTTTCCTTTCCCATAGCTTTTGAGTTTATTTTCCAAGAGAGACAGAATCCCAGTGCCTCTAAGGGACAGGCAGTGTACTTGAATGAGTACAGAATCTGGAGGTAATCTAGGGGCGAATAAGAAATTCTAAGCCCTATGTCAAGGAGTATATGCCTTCAACTGCACTTGGCTCATGCCCTGGAAATACTGATTCTGTGCTGCTGGATCTTCTGAATTTCAAGAGTACTAAAAATATTTCCCTATTTAACATATTGGCAAATAAATCCTCAAAATCAACAACAATAAAGCATCATTGGAGACCAAATAGAACACATCTGTGACATAAACCAGTCCTCAGTCACCAAATGGAAATCTCTCTTTTATCCTTGTTGGTGTCTCTTCTCCAGGTTTCCACACTTTCTTATGCTTATTTTCAATCTGTAAACTGCACAGAGTTTTCTGACAAGTGGTACATAATTATTTTAAATGAGCGGCAGATGGAAAGTCAAAAGACCTTCACCATGGCCTAAGTTCTCTTGTGATACTTGTGAAATAATTATCCCTTCTGCTCTGGCCAACTGGTAATAGCATGTGCCTCTTCTGTGCACTACATTTCTAAGATCTTAATTTGTCTCCTGTTCTTACGATTCATGGTTTCCTTCTAGAGAAGGGAAGAAGAAAAACAGAGTCCTATCCTTCTTCCCATGTGAAACAGAGAGCACATGATTGGAACAGATTACACAGCCTACAGAGGAGAAATATTGATTGAGAGATTTGTGTTTCCTGCAAGCTGGTCAAGTTTCTAATCTTGGTGTGTTCAAGTAGGCAGTACACTATTTGTAAGATCGTTGTTCAAGATTGTGTGGGATGGGGTTTCAATTAGAACTGCATATATCTCAGATTACTTCTAACTCTGAGATTTGATAGAACAAACAAAAAAACTTCTTTCTGTAGCTCATATTCTAAAACTCTTATTAAGTTCTCTGCTGAAAATCAAAGTTGTAACTTACTGAATTGTTGGGGTCTGAAATAATTATTGTCTTGTTTATTGATAATATTTTGATATTATTTTATGACAATGTTGGGTAGGATACTAACACATAGTAGGTGATAAATAAACATTTGCAAAATCAAATTGGATTCATGTCTCCAGGTCTCATCTTACCGCAGTACACATATGGTCTTAATTTACGTTGGAGTCAGAATATTTAAAAAGACATTAAATTAAAGTGCCATCTGCCAAATTTCTAAAACCAAGGGAAAAACAGATTTGCAGAATAATTGGTATAGGAGATGAGAAAGTCAGCATAGAGGACAAAGGCCAGATTATATTCAATCCATTCAAATTTAACAAATATTAATGTGTCTAGTCCACAGAGGCTCTGTGCTAGGTGCTATGGTGATGTGAAACTATATAAATACGATCCTGGCCTTTCTAGTTAAAGTGTCTGTTACCTTCTGTTCAATTTTTGTCACTCCGGAAAGTATGAATACTGTATTTGCTCAAAGGGTAAGAGCTGTATGAGAACAGTAAAGTCCTGGTTTCATATTTAACCCGTTTAAGACAAAAATAGCTTCAACAGCTGTATTTCTGGGGTAATACTTTTACCAAGGTAGACATATCTTCAGCACAGTATTCTGGGATTGTGAAATTTGCAGACCAAACGGAAGGGTGTGATGGCGGTAATCACACCAAGTATCCTGAGAAGCTATACGACATGAGGCTTTCAGAGCAGCCCTTCCAAGGAATGCAAGCTTGATTAGATGGCAGCCTACCCTCACATTCTCATAACACCATGACTCTGTCATTATGCAGGAAGAAAGGCATTCCTTACCACATATGAATGGAGCAGTAATTCCTAGGATTGCTTGCTTCCAAAGGGAGAATTCTTATTCTAACCCATGGTCCCAAGTGGTGGGGAATTCTAACCAGAGGGAGGATCAGCCCTGGCAAGAATTCTAGCGTGAAAAACCCTAGTCTGTGAGGAAGTTTTCAGTGTTAGCAGAGGTGTTGCTATAGCCACTGATGCATAGGAGCCAGATACGATGGAAGGAAAATAATGAAAAATGCTGATTAGGAGCTCAGAGAAAGGAATGAAACATTTGTGCTCAATAATAAAATGTAATGCTCTGTTAATCTATTTCTTGCCTATCCTTACTCTGTAGGTTTTTAAAATACACTTTTGTTCCTCATTTAGATCTTTACACTATATTTCCCCCTTTCTCATCAATTTTCCTATATTGACACTGACTTTAATTGTGAATAGATTCAGCTCTGCAAGGGCCTGAATATGAAATATAATGTCAGCATCAAGAGAATCAACGCTTTTTGTGCCATATGTAATCAAGAATGTTAGATATGGATAGTGCATATTAGAACAATTCCCAGCAGAGGCTCTGGAAAGCTTCACTCTCAGAGCCATGCCCAGAGTTCTTGAATTTCTGGGGTACTTTAGGGAAATGTCTCAAGCCCTTCAATGTCTATGTCACAGATTTAAATATGAATACCTATGTATGCATATATAAATGCCTGTATTAAGTGTGCGTGTGTGTATGCAAAATTTATCAGGCGGATATATCTACGTAGATTTGGCAAGAGCAATATTAGGCCTGAGTCTGTATTAGCTATTTTTCAGTGATGTTCCAATTAGTTTATAAATAGAACTTCTCTACTTCAATTTAAGAAATAAGAGAAATTTTTAAATAAACATTTCCCCCAATATCTGGCCACATTATTTTTTTAATTTAGCATCTGTGAACCTTACAATCTGTAATATCCTGGAATTCTATTTTCCACCATGTCACTTTACTTCCATCTTATGTCACTTCTACATGATGGGAACTGTTGAGACTACCTTCACCATCCAACTCAAGTTCAGACATGTTAACAATTTGCCTTTTTTGTTTCAGGTCTGTCTTTCCTTAATTCAACCAGATGGTTATGTTTGATTTTACGTATATGTGTCCTTTACTCTCCAGGAAAGAAAAATATTTAAATATTTTAGCATTTTGAAATATTAAGATATCCAGGTTCCCAAATGTAATCTTCGTTCTCGCAGACTAAAAAATCTGCCTTTATTGGTAAGATGTCACCAGTGTTGATTTCCCTGTTGGTTAATTCCAGATCATGGTATGAAGCCATATACTTTAGCTAAAGGAGCTCTGCAAGCTGCCGGCTGATGTGATGAGGAGAAAGACTCCCTCATAAACTTTCCCAGAGAGCAGCCTGTTCCTGGTATCCAGGCTGCAAAGGACCAAAATGGAATATCTAAAACCTGAATCCCCAGGACATGAACCTTTTCTTCCAACACAACCCATTCTCTGAGGAAATAAAGAAATGAGCCCAGGCAGAGAGTACGCATGGCCAAATGCCACAGGGTGCCACTGCTATCAGGTGGCACAGATTTAATCTCCAGGCACAGAGCTGCTGATTTGATTTAGGATAGCAGTTGTTAAGAGCAGAAGGAGCTGTTGGCATAAATGGAGACCCTCTCGGCCAAGCATGCTTTCCAACTGTCCCGGACTTAGAAGGAAAAAAAAAAAAAAGAGCTGCAAGAGGAAGAGCAGGAGAGAGAGAGTGTGGTAGCAGACCTATTGAAGAGTTGGGCTTTAGCTCACTCAGAGGAATTCTATTAAATGAACTCATCCATCATCTTGCCTTTTATTGATGAGTGGCATTGCTTGGTGGCAAGTGACATCGCAGAACAAATAGTATCAGAGTCCTGGCTCCTGTTCCACGGTACACACAGATGCGCAGGCCCCAAAACAATGAGTCATTACTTATTACATCCATTATTAACTCAGCTCAGCCTCATTAGGCTTAGAAATTGAGGAGAGGAAAAAAAAATCAGAAGCTAAGTGACACCAAGTACCCACGCATTTAGGGGGAAGAGGGTCGTGTGGGAAAGACAGTGAACAAGTGAAGGGCAGTTAAAACCAGCAACTCAGCAATTGTGACATTTTCAAATCCTGAGAGTCACGGATAGTTGATTGTGTGTTTTTCCTCTTCTGACATGATTGTGTTGAGGACTATATCTTTAAGCAGTGGGGCTGAAGTTGAAGAATATAGGAAGTACATCATTAGCTAACATCAGCACTTCAAGATAAGGCTTATTAGGAGAGGTGCAGTGCCTTTATTAATGGGTGCTTGGAGGTTGCTATATGCTGAAACCTATATGCATGATCACATTTTCTAAAGGGACTTGTAGAAGTAACAGAGGCAAACTGCTTCTGCTGTAAAGCAGTTTGCCCCCTGACATATTGCAAGAATATGTCTTCTTCTTATTGCTCCTCACACATCTACCTGTGCTTTTTCAAAGTTGGCTGTTTCACCCAAAAGGAGACACATTTGCTGGAGTTTAAGTGTGCTAATAACAGAATCCAGGCAATTATAAGAGAAAATTGTGTCCATATTTTAGCAATACTGCTCAATGATGGAAATACTATAAAGAATAATTAGAACTAGTTCCTTGGAAGTGATTGTCTTCTGGGACAAAATATGGACTCATTTTAGAATGATATGTGAAAGCATCTCTTCTTTTACTGTTAACCATGAATAAAAATAATGTTTCATATTACTCCACGTGAGATTAATTGATCAACTCTGTCAGCTAAAATTCTTAGTTAATGAAGTCAAAATATTGGTTATATTTTTCTTGCTGAATATTAAGAAAATAAACTATTTTGCCCATATGGCCATGATTTCCTTATTCTGAATACATAATTATATATTTCTTGGGCTTTCAATTTTTAAGATAGTGTAAAAATACACTTTTTGAATATTCTTTCTCATTTGAGCAGATAAAATACCTATTTTTTTAAAATTATACTTTAAGTTCTGGTGTACATGCGCAGAATGTGCAGGTTTGTTATGTGCCATGGTGGTTTGCTGCACCCATCAACTCATGATCTACATTAAGAAAATACCTATTTTTCTACAAAGCAAGTGAAATATAATAATATTTATTATGCATTGTATGTACATTAGGTTATTCAATCAAAGTGTGTTTACAGATTGTCAGTTGATGAGTTGCAAGATCATCAGGTAAAGGGAAAAAAAGGCCTTAGTATTGAAGGCAAAGATTGAAGTTCTTTTTATGAAGTTTATGTTTGGCTACAATAATATTTTGGACAGGAAATAAAAGCAAAAGTGATCATTAAAATTGGTCAAATATATAGGTAAAGGAGTCAATGCTTGCCAATCTTAATTTTCCCTATGTGGTTTTCTATGTCTACATTTAATTATACATTTGAAAAAAATTAAATTTCTTTAAAATGTGGAATTATTTGTGCGCGACAGATTACAGAGTGCTGAATTTGATTGCGCACCTATTTGGGATATATTTTAATATCTCATAAAATCATTAAATTTTTAAATTATGCACTCATCTAGCTATTTAGTATGGTCTTATTTCATGGTCCTCATGATTATGAAACTATAAACAGTAAAACCACACTAAAACTTTCATTTTGCCCTATAAGTGAGTGATATTTTTCTACTGATATTAGTATGAAAGAAGAAAAAAAAAGAGACAAGATGGAGGAGAAGGAGAAGAAATAATAGAAGGAGAAAAATAAATATATATATTTTAAAATTTGTCTTGTTAATTTTGAAATTGAACTCTCTGCCTATTAATAATTCCTTAAAAGTTACCAAAGTCATTTCTTTCTGTTCTATTTAGAATATTTTATACATTTATCTGTTGGTCATGGTTTAGATGAAGGTATCAAGGCAGAGAAGATTGGATTAGGTATAAATGATATCCACTTATTTTTATTCTTGAGAAACTTCTACTTCAAATTCCTGTAATCAGTTATTCTCTCATTTGGACTTACCAAGACAAAAGAAGTATAAGAAGGATAGATCTATCAGTTTTATACATTTATAAACCTGTATTTTAATAATTCTGCCTTCTGGAATATTAGAAGAAATCTACCTTTTCTAGTAAACAGCCCTCAAAATTGTTCAAGGATAATTATCATGTATCTTAACATTCTTCTGGTTTTCATCTTATAAACACTCAGTTCTCTCAACTGTACTGTATGGAAGAATCATTTCAGGCCAAATCAACATAGAAAAAACTAATAGTTTATCTGTATTTGGAATATAGTTGCATCTCTATGGCTTCATCTTTTCTCCCTACTCATCTCTTTCCAGGCAAACAACTATATTGGTTGCACAGTAGGCTCTTTAATTTCTATTTTTCTAGTTTAAAAGGGCTAGACCCAAAGGATAGCTATCACAATTTTGTAAAACATTTTCTCAGGGAAAAGCTCTTTTTTCAGTGATGGGGTCATGTGCCTAGAGGCCACTACCATAACTGACAATTTTTTTCTGCTGCAGATGGAAGTTTCACTCCCACAGAACCTGGCTCTTGTCCAATCCATCTTATTTTCCACTGAAAATTGCCATGGTGTTTTACTTTCTTGCCCAGCAGATTTTTCTATGAGTTATTGAAGAAAAATGCCCTTCTCCCACCAAGAGTACCTTATGCTACAGAGCAGAACTGACATGTGTCCTCATTTTTCACATATAAGCTTCAGTAGTATAGATTTTCACTTGATTTCCTCTTCATTGGAGTCTCTTCTTCTTCAGATTTGTCCTGACCCAGAGAAGGCTAAGACACAAGAAAATGTAAGTGACATTTTACTACTATGTAATCAATAATCCTCTACCTCTAATTCTGACCCTTTTCTCCCATCAAGTTTAAACACAAATCTCCCTCTCAAAGGTGAACTCATCCCTCATCCAGAACACTGCAAAGACATGCAGCAGTTGCTCAAGTTTCTCACAGACAAAGGATCTTAGTCCTTTGGAATTCTTCAAGACCATATGCCTTTAGTGATAGTTGCCTAATATCTTCCTGTAAAAACTCCACCACTTCTAAATTTTCAGGGGAAATACAGCTTAGTCTCTTCCCCAAAATTCATTCCACATATCTAACATTGCAAACCACACATTGGCCTCATATATTCTTATAAGTCCTTTTGCTAGTAGCATTCTATTTTGTCAAGGATTCTCATCAAGTGCAGTGTACACTTCCAGGCAGAGATTTTTCCAAGCCTGCTCATTTGTTTGGGGTACAAGACATCAGCTTCCAGGCATCTGGGTCTAGCGGGAGGTTCATCGTTAGTTGCAGTGCAGCTAATCCAGTGAGATTACCTTGGGATGCATAACACTGTCTAATATGATGTACAGGTCCACTGCTCTTCTTGTACAGGTTGAACTTATGTCACTTCAGCCTAACAGAATTAAAGGCTTTTCTACTTTACATTTATTTTCTTTTTAATTTCCTGATGTAAATGATGGATATTTTGATGCTTGGCATAGCAAATCTCAAGAATCCAGCCCCTCTCTCTGACTCCACAGGTAACTACTTCTAGAAAAAGCAGGAGAATATACTCACCCCAATAGAGAACCAGAATAACATATGGCAAAGAGAGATTCAACACTATGATTGAGGGGGCTTTTGAATGGGACTCAAATATCCTCTAGGATTAGCCACAGGCAAAGGCTGAGTATGTGTCTGTCTGCAGGTATGATTGAGAAGTGACAGGCAATTCTGCTGCCCAAATGTATGCATATCCCCTAAACCACCACACTGTTATTAGAGAATCGCTCCTGTGGGTATTATTTCTAAAATGTCTCTGTAAAAATGCAAATACTTTACCTAGAAGTAATGGAACATTAAGCCATTTATAGTCATTTAAATTTTAGAGACGCTTAAAACATTGACACAGAAATAGAGTGAATCCAAAAAAACAGGATATATAAAATAATCATTGATTTAGAAGTTAGAAAGTCATTTATCAAAGAAGGCTGTGAAAACTTGAGGATGGGAGAGGTTGCATATTAGAGATAAGGATACCTTGGAAGGCCAATTCAAGAATCAGTGGGTAAAAAAGGGAAGTGAAGCAGCATCAAAGGTACCTTCTCTGTAATTTAGCAATTCACCAAAAGCTGACTTTGACGCTATAAACTAAACCAAAATTGTTGACTTTGAAAAATTATACCATACAGAATTTAAAAGATTTTAAAAGCTATTGCAATAAGGGAGAAGAATTGAACTCAAATTCACTGAAATTCAATACAGGAAAATTTTAAATACTGATTGAGCTAATGAAAAAATACTGAAAGATAGAAACTTGGGGGTGGGATATTGCTGATATT
The DNA here is from genome assembly GCF_000001405.40 of Homo sapiens. Classification (NCBI taxonomy): domain Eukaryota; kingdom Metazoa; phylum Chordata; class Mammalia; order Primates; family Hominidae; genus Homo; species Homo sapiens. The sequence goes on along the minus strand of NC_000018.10, from coordinate 40,666,413 downwards.
CTCAGGCCCATCTCCCACAACTTCTCAACAAGTTATTTTCCCTGCTTTTATTCACTCTTCTCCTGCTCCTTGAAACACACAAGATGAACCCCTAACACTGGATATGTTCAAATTCACGAATGAACGTTCATCTTCCACCTCTACTCAATTATTCCTGCTCATTAATGGAGGGTTCTTCCTGTGGTAGTGTGCTCCCAATCTTTTAAACACTACAATGTGTACAGTCGCCTTAAATGATAGGCATTGCTCTTTTCCTCACAGAGATGAGAAAATGAAAACTGAAATTAGATACTTGCTCTAAATCCTAAAAGTAGTGAAGGCAGAATCAGCACTCAGCTTTAGGTACCCTTTCTCTAAGCTCACTCCTCACTGAACTTCCCATTCTGCCAGGCTCAACATCAAATTCAAATCCTCTGTTTTGTCTCTTCTCATGCAGCTAATAAAGACATACCCAAGACTGGGTGATTTATATAGAAAAGATGTTTAGTTTACTCACAGTTCCGCATGGCTGGGGAAGCATCAGGCAACCTACAATCATGGTGAAAGGCACCTCTTCACAGAGTGGCAGGAGAGAGAATGAGTGCCGAGTGAAGGGGGAAGCCCCTTATAAAACCATCAGATCTGGAGAGAACTCACTCACTATCACAAGAACAGTATGGGGGAAACCACCCTCATGATTAAATTATCTCCACCAGGTCCTGACCTTGACATGTAGGAATTATTACAATTCAAGGTGAGATTTGGGTGGGGACACAGAGCCAAATCAACCATATCACCGGCCTCTGACAGACTTCCCTTCTTTGAAGTGCTAAACCACTTATATTTTATCCCCATTTTTGGCAAACCTTACTCAGTGTTCCATAAAATTATTTAAATATCATTTCCCTGAGGCAGGGCACTTGTTGAGCCTTCTGCAGGGGACAAAGTTGAAATAGATATAAAATTCCCTGGTGTATTTGATCACTTGCCTAATGTTTTCCTTACAATTTTCTCAGAGTAAGTAGGTTGCAATACACACTCTCAAGATTGCTCACGAAGATTGATGGAATATCTCAAATGAAACACTTGAGTTTACAGGGTGGTGGCTTCTAATATCACAGTCTCTGGAAGATACAGTTGGTCCATTCCACTCATTGTACGTCAGAAAATTGAAAATCAATGTTGAAGTTGTTTGTGTAATGGAACACAGTCTCCCGTTAAGCTCCTATCTTTAGAAACTTATAATTGCAAAGCAAAATAAAAATCAAATCTTAATAAAAGCAGTAAATGTATAGAAGTTGTTATTTATAGCTTTTAATGTACGAGAAGTGTGAACAGGGTCCTGATTAGAGTTCTGCAACCTGGTAAGCACAAAGCAGGTCTATACAAAATGGAATTATGAAAACTAGGAATGTTCAAAGTTTGAAAATAAATTCTTTCTTTCCCATAGGCATCTCTCCCATAGGTATTTTTGCCGTGTTAGAGACAGAATACTGGATTGACTAATGGTCTTATGTTTGCAAACTCTCATTGAATAAAATATTTTGAGACTGGCCAATGAAAGGATGAAACATGGAATAAATGTGTAATATCCTATATATTTACTTTGTATATATATATATATATACAAAAACACATATATGTATACATAGCAATGACATTTGACTGTATCCAGTTAATCTATTTCTCTGTAACATGATGACACTTTACATTTATAAAGCACTCTTATTTTTTTCAAATTCATCATAAAAAAAATTTATTTCCTTTCCTTTGCTACAAACATTAACAAAACAGGCATTCTACCTATTTTGTGACTGGGCCCATATTGTTATAAAATTATAACTACATATGGGTCCATATAGGTGATCACACGGGTTAGTCCATGTTTTATGCTTTGTAAGGTCATGCTGCAGTTGCTATCACTAACTGTCTTTGTTTAGCCTTATCAATGTCATTTTTTATTTACTCCAAAAACATTGTCTTCATTCTAATTCAAGAAGAACTGATACCATTGCTGCAAGTGGGGCCAGAAGAAGAAGTCTCTAGGAAAATGGATTGTGGAAGGGTGGATTTCCCTCATGATATTCTCTGGTGAGTTGGCTTCCAAGTACTTCTTGGAAAGTAAATGAGGATTTGAGTGTCTCATAGCACTAATTAATTCTGAAAAGAAAAGTAGAAGAAAGTGAAATTTCTTGACAGCTGCCCTGCACATCAAAGTGTCAATGCCAGTTAACAGATGCCACTGATCAGCAGCTTTCAACTTGCTTTCATAAATCCATCAGCAGAATAGAAGAAAGTTTGTATAGTTTCCTTCATGGTTTAGACTGAAGCAAAACGTACTTCTTTTAAACAATGTATGTTAAAAAATTCATACTTCTTTGTATATTATTTCCTTTAACGGGGATTGCTAATTTCCATGTACCCATGATTACCATCAGTAACAGCTACAAAATTTTATCAGGCACCTACTATATGCAGAAATCAGTAAGGAAAACTAAGTAGTATATACAGTGACATAGACAACAGTTTTACTCTTAAAGGGCCTAAAACCTGGGATGATTAAAGCATAGTAGTAGAGAAAAATACAAGGCAACATACACTAAGCATCAGAATTATATTCAAAACAAGACTGACTGCAGTTATCAAAAGTGATATTCTGATGGCTGACTTTTATAATGTTCTTTATTTTTCTGTTTACAGATATAGTTTTTAAAATCTTAGTACAGTGTTCCAACATACCTCTTAAAGCTAGAGAGCCGCTCCTAAAGGAGTCATTAATTGTTGTTAAAGAAGATTATTCTTGCCCTGGAGCAAAAAGAGTCGATTTTGAATAAAAGTGCTTCATCTGAAAAGTGACTGATCTTGTAGGTTAAATCAGAACCTACCCATTCTAAAAATTTTAATAATAATTGAATAATAAAATATTACATAGCAACGTATTTTAATATGTTCCTCATAATGTATAAAATATTCAGATATCTGTACGTTTATGTAATTTTGATTTGTGAGTGCTGGGAAGGGAAGGGCATGGTCCCTTTAAATGATATGGAAGCGGGGAAAAGAAGTACTATGTAGAAAAAGGCGGTCCTGGCTAGGGATCCACCCCCACGGACCTAGGTGAGGACAGGCACTCCTGCTTTCCCGCCCAAATGTTGCGTTTTCCAAGACCACCCTGGCCTGCCACACCCCTATCCTATAAAAACTCGAGACCCTGGCAGGCCGACCCACAGGTGGCCAGACATAGAGACGAACACAAGTGGCTGGAAGGGTAGAGGAAGTGGAGGGAGCAGGCCAGCGGAAAACACACACACAGACAGGCACCAGCACGCCGGCAGGCCATCCACCAGCGGGCCATCCACCAGCGGGCCATCCAAAGTGGACTTTGGCGAGAGCAGTTGCAGGAGAGCCCAGGCAGCCAAGCAGCCTGACTCCGGAGAAAACCATCTCCTTTCTGGCTCCACCATTGATGGAGAGCTACTTCCACTCAATAAAACTTTGCACTCATTCTCCAAGCCCACATGTGATCTCGTTCTCCAGTACACCACGGCAGGAACCCAGGATACAGAAAGCCCTTTGTCCATGCCTCCGTATCTACCTGTCCGGTAGAGGGTCCAATTGAGCTGGTTAACACGAGCTGTCTATAGATGGCAAACTAAAAGAGCACACTGTCACACATGCCCACTGGAGCTTCAGCTGTAAACATTCACCCCTAGACACTGCCATGGGGAAGTAGCCCTACAGCCTGCCTGTCTGTGTGCTCCCCTAGAGGTTTGAGCAGATGGGCATTGGAGAAGCAAGCCACATCCCCACCACACGCCCTGTGAGGGGGACAAGGGAACTTTTCCCGTTTCAGTTTTTACAAAAATTCTGTGAAGCAGTCAGAAGTTGCTATATTCCTTTTAGGAATTAGGAACCTGAAGCTCTAGATTAAGGTTGTAAGCTTGGATTGAAGATCAGAGTGCATAGTTTTCTCACTCTAATCACTGCTCATGTCATACTGGCACATTGTATCTAAAATGCCAGATCCCAAAGCTTATTTACTGAAGAATGAATTCTAAGATTTTGTGAACCATGACCTAGAGAAGACCAGCTTTATATATAATTATACATTGAAACAGCCTGTTTCTGGCAGCCGTAATTCCTATTCTGAAGTTTCTTTTCTTTTAACCCTTGATCCTCCATTGTTGTAATTCTCCAATCCCAACTGTCACCTCCTTCTATGTTGAAGGCTCTTTCATCGTTCCATCTTTCTTAGCAGAGACAAAGTAGAAGATGAAATGTACAGCCTGGAAAATTGCTCGATACTATCGTTGTGTATTTCTGTGCATAATTCCTCTGGTTCAGGTTTAGGAAGAGGACTTTGTAAGGGCTAAGGCTAAGAAGATGACAGAAAATTCTATTTATCCTTCATTGATTCACTAGAGTTACTTCCTCTTGGGTACTTCTCAGACACAACAAGGAAGAGTTGACATATCTTCCTGTATACTTTGATGGCACCCTAGACTTATGTCTATTGCAATGTAATATGTTAGACAGTATTACAAGATTTTGTTTGCTTTTCCTCCTAACTGAATATGAGATCTTTATCAAAAGGATTCTACCATCATTATCCTTATCCTAAGCCTCAAGCACAAATACCAGGTACACTGTAAGGGCAGAGTAAATACTTGCCAAATAGGAGGATAAATGAAATGGGATGGAATAATATTAGAATTGCCTATGTATTTAATTTCTCAAAATTTCTTGTAACATCTACATCATAATAATATTGTACTCATTTAAAAAATTCACATGCATGCTCATTCCTGAAAAGGATACTTAGGAAATTGCTTCTCAATGTAGAACAAAAGTAAACAGATAGAGACTTGAAATTGCAAAGGGATTCTTTGCCAATAATACGTAATTCTCAACTCAAAAGGAGATGAGAGAATTCACTCTGGATTGCACTTCGAACCATTAAAGATTAACTATTACAGTCCAGTTGTAGTTGTAGCTTAAAGCTGTTATTTTAAGATCCCTTAGTATAAGATGAACTGGATATGCATATGATATTATTATCACTCTAGCTTTGTAAGTACAAGCCAAGGTGAAAATGACTGGGAGAGAAAAGCTATGAAAAAAAAAGAGCAGATCCAAGGATGTGATTTATATCAACACTCTCCCAACAGCTTTTCAGCATTTCTCTTCTGTGCAACAAGAATCTTTTAGTTGCAATTACAATCAGTGGAGTTGAAGCAGTAGTCATACCACCCGGAGGCAGGCAAAGTGCCATTGGTTCAGGCCCTAAATACATATAATTTGGGTCTATATGTGGATGGTGGTACATTTTTTCCTGCAATTCATTTTAGCTTCCCCACTAAGACCCATGCCTCTCTTCCTCCCACCAGCAATTAGACACACATTTCAAATCAACTCGACTCTATTTCTAAATATGATTCAATAAATCAATGGCAATGAACAGCCAATTGAGGCTTTTGCTTTTCTTCCCAAGTTCAACAAATCTCAAGATTTAGAGAACATTCTCACAATTCTCAAAAGCTTAGTCTAATGCTTTAAGAGCCAGGAAACTTCACTTACTGAAAATAAAACATATATTTTTAATTTATATATTATTATACATTATATCATTTTTTCTTAATAAATTGTCTTGATTTCTCTCATAACAGCCTTGTGCGGTAAGACATGCATTATTGTGCCATTTTCTATCTTAGTAAACTTGAGCTTATTCGAATGTGTATCAGCTATTCATAGTTGTAGAAATCACCTAGGAACCAACAAGGGAGAGGATGTTACTTCTTGGGCCAAGATAAATGATTAAAAAATAAGAACATTAGTTATTGGTGGCCATAACATTAGAGGAGACTTGAGACCAGGGTATTTACTAGAATTGTGACATGAGGTTTTCGACCATTTGTGGGTTTACAACCAAAATGCAGAATATTCCCCATAAGCATCAGTCAGGGTTTGATCAGAAAAACAGAACCACTATAAATAATATATGCATATGTAAAAAGAGAGGGAGATTTAATAGCGACTTGACTGTATTCAATTTCAAGAACTAATACAAGGCTGTTTTGTTTGCATCCAAGCCTGACATAATCAGAGCAGGCAGTCGGGAAGAGATGACAGTAAAGTGAAGGAAAGCAAGGAAAAACTGGAAACTAAAAGGATGAAACAGAACCCAGAGGACGAATTAGAACCCACGTTTATCTTTCACCCTTTTCAGGTCTCAAACTTCAATGAGGTGAAGGAACTTATGGAAAATCTGGTATCCTTCTTCATGGAGCCAAACACACACATGGTCCAGAAGTTGGAAAAGCTAAAGAAGAGCCAGTGGGAGTTAAAGGAACTGCAGGCCCAGCTGTTGTCCCCATGCCCTGTGCACAAGATGAGCCCATCATTAATGAGGGACAGTGTGTGTGTGAGCTATAACAGCCCCTGGTATCTCTGCACTTACTTTCCAAACTTAAAATTTCAACTTTACTTTTTACCTTCCAAATAACAAAATGTTGTTTTGAGCTCATGCTATTTCAGAATTATGAAGGGAAGGGAAAATCTGGAAAATATAGTTTAGTGTAGCTATACTGAATCAATACAAATCTACTACATTACCATCGGGGTGTGTGTGTGTGTGTGTGTGTGTGTGTGTATGCGTGTGTGTATAAATAATTTTATATGTTTAAATACATATAAAATAGATGAAGAAGAAAATATATCAAATACATTATATTAAAAACTAATAAATACCCTAACACGAGGAAAAAGTGTTTTTTATTGACTATTTAATAGATGTAAGTGCTGTGATGAAAAGTTGAGCAAATATAAAACTTAAAGCGAACAGTGTATTTAACAAACTAGTATTTAGATTCCAGAAGGCTTCATGCTTAGCCTGAGGAAAAAAAAAATGACATTTCAGGTAAAAGTTGGAGACTAGTTTTTGAAATAATAAGATAATGGCAAAGATAGTTAATTTTCTCAAGCAATAGATCTAGCTTCTAGTTTTATCTGCTAACTTAACAATATAAATACAAACAACAAATTTAATGAAGAGGGTTAATAACACTGTGAAGATACTGTTTCTTCTAGAAAACATGGATATCACCAGATTATAATGAGATGGAAATGATGAAAATCAAAGAATGGTGAGAAAACACAAACAAAAACAGAACAAAACAAACAAATAAACAGAGGTAAATATTGAACAGAAACAGTGTTAATGGGAACAATTTAAACATTTTCCCATTAAGAAAAACTTTTTTTGTTAAAAATAGATATAGTTTATCAGAATAAAGAATTGATCTCATTCTGAGTTTAAGAATTGTATTAAAATAATGTTGAATTTTATGAACACGACAAAGCGGGACTCCATCTAAAAAAAAAATAGTTTATTTGATTTCTTCTATAAAACTGTCTGAAGCTAATGTTTTATTTCTGAGAGGATTTTAAACTACTGGTTCAAGTTATTTAATCAATATAGGACTATTTAGGGTTTCTATTTCTTCTTGATTCTATTAGGTAAATTATATTTTTCTACAAACGTTCCTATTTGCCTAAATATTTAAATGTTGTGGCACGTAATTATACTGAACATTTTTTATCTTTTTAAATATTGGCTCTATCTGTAGTTCTGCATTATTCTATTACTTTTCTCGTTTTTTTTATCATTGCCCTTTCAGTTTTTCTCCATTAATTTCATTAAAGTTTTGTATATATGGTTAGTTGTATAATAAATTTGGGGTTTTTGAACTTCTATTTCCTATTTTTGTTTTTGATGTTATTATATTTTACCTGCATTTTAAGTATCTCTTTATTAATGCCTTCCTTAGTTATTATTCCTTCCTTGCTTATTTTCCTTGAGTAGAATGTTTAGTACATTAATTTTCAGCTTTTCCATAGCTCTAATATAACAATTACAGCTGAATGTCCTGCATAGTAAAAATTTTAACTGCATTTCATAAGTTATGTTGTATATTTAATCCTTTAAATTTAAGCATTTTATTATGATTTCTTTTTAAACCCAAAATGGTTTCAAACTTATTTTAAAAATTCAAACTTATTGAGATTTTAATTATAATTTAACTATTGCCTCTTCTTTTTGTACTGTAGTAAGAAACAATAATAGGTCTGTATAATAATACATTTTTGAAATTTGATGAGACAGTTTATCTCTTTATATACAGTAATTTTTATAACTTCTCAATGTGTGTGCAAGAAAAATTCGTATTCACTACTCATGGGTTGACACTTTTGTACATGTCAATTGGTGAATATTAACTGTGCTACTCAATATTTCTGTACCTTTTTTGGGGGGGGAGCAGGAGACTGAATGACTTTTCAATTTTTGAGAATGGTCTTGAAATATTTTACTCTAATGATGAATTTGCCCATTGTTTCACCTCCCCTGAAAAGCAACTGTGCTTCTCCCATGGAGGGCAAGTATGGTTTTCAGGAGCACTTTTTTCTTTGCTATTAATAGAATACAGAAATATTCTCTGCTGCTTTCCTTAGCCTTTCTCACACACTTCTCCAAATGTGAAACAATTAATCTGTTGTCTGTACAATGAAAATATGTGCATTTATTCCTTCTTTTAATCTAATGAAACTCATGGATATTCTCAATCTAGTGTCCTGCCTCCCTCACCTTCAGAAGTATTAGCAGCTTGGAATGTTTTACCCTTTTCGTAGAACAGAACATTTATTTGTCTCTCTCTCTCTCTCATGAGCTCGCATATTTCTTAAAGGTATTTTTTTTTCCAGCACCATGCAGTACCGTAGCAGGGGCAAAGTAGATCTTTTATTTATTTCTGCAGAATAAGTGTGGGTTTTTTTCTCTGTTCCACAAACTCCCCCAAATATGGCTAGATTGGATAAATGCAGGCCTTGAAATAACAAGGGAAGGGGTCCTTCATCAGTATACTAAAATGTATGAAATCACAAGAAAGTAAAATAAAACAGTAACCACTAGCACAAGAACACTAAATATAGGTACATTACAATCATTGATTCTAACTCTCTCAATAACTCTGAAAAGTAGGCATTAATATTCTCATTTTATAAATGAAGAATTTTACTTCAGACCTATTAAATAAAATCTCAAAAGATAAATTATTTAGAGTTTATGTTAGGATACTGGCCTCCTAGAAGAGGGTCATTTTATCACAAATCGCAGCTTCCTTTAAAAAAAATTGGATTTGTTGTATATCATTTTTTCTTGTTATTGAAGAGCATTTTATGTTTTCATTTCTATAATTTCAACTTTCATTTCAGATTCAGGGGGTACATGAGCAGTTTTGTTACCTGGGTATATTGCTTAATGCTGAGGTTTGGGGTATGACTGATCCCTTCACTCAGGTACTGAGCATAGTACCCAATAGTTTTTCCACCTCTGTCGCCTGTCCTCCCTCAAGCGGTCCCTAATGTTTATTGTTGCCATCCTTATGTCTCTGAGTACCCAATGTTTAGCCCCTATTTATAAGTGAGAAATTTCAGCATTTGGTTTTCTGTTCCTGTGTTAATTTGCTTAGGGTAATGACCTTGGGCTACATCCATGTTGCTACATAGAACATGATTTTCTTCTTTTTTATGTCTGTGTAGTATTCCATGGTATATGAACCACATTTTCCTTATCCAATTCACTGTTGGTGGGAACGTAGGTTGATTCCATGTCTTTGCTATTGTGAATAGTGATGCCATAAACATACCAGTGCATGTCTCTTTGGTAGAATGATTTATTTATGTTTTAAAATACATCTAGAAATGGGATTGCTGAGTTTAATGGTAGTTCTGTTTTCTTTGAGAAATCTCTAAACTAATTTATATCCCCACCAACAATGCATAAGTTTCCATTTTCTCTGCAGCCTCACCAGCATCTGTTGTTTTTTGACTTTTTAATAATAGCCATTATAACTGGTATGAGATGGTATCTCATTGTGGTTAGGGTTTGCATTTCTCTGATGATTTGCTGTATGGAACATTTTTCCATATATTCTTGGCCACCTGTATGTCTTCTTTTGAGAAGAGTCTTTTAGTATTTTGTCCATTTTTAAATGGAGTTACTTGTATTTTGCTTGTTCAATTGTTTAAATTTTTTATAGATTCTAGATACTATAATTTTGTAGGACGCATAGTTGGCCAATATTTTGTCCCATTCTGTAGGTTGTCTGTTTACTCCGTTTATGGCTCCTTTTGCTGTGCAGAAGCTCTTTAGTTTAATTAGGTTCACTTGTCAATTTTTCTTTCTGCTCCAATTGCTTTCAAGGACTTAGTCATAAATTATTTCCAAAGTCCTATGTCCAGAATGGTGTTTCCTAGGTTTTCTTCTAGGATTCTTATAGTTTAACGTCTTACATTTAAGTATGTAATACGTCTTGAGTTAATTTTTGTATATGGTGAAAGGTAGGAGTCCAGCTTCATTCTTCTGCATATGGCTAGCCAGCTATCCCAGCACCATTTACTGAATAGGGAATCCTTTCTGCATTGCCAATTTTTGTCAGCTTTGTTGAAGATCAGGTGGCTGAAGGTGTGCAGCTTTACTTCTGGATTCTCTATTCTGTTCCATCGGTCTATGTGTCTGTTTTTGTACCAGCACCATATTATCTTGTTTAATGTAGTCTTGTAGTATAGTTTAAAGTCAGGTAATGCGATGCTTCTGGCTTTGTTCTTTTTGTTTGTGATTTCTTTGACTATTTAGGGTCTTTTATTGATTCTATAAGAATTTTTGAATAGTTTTTTCTAGTTCTGTGAAAAAAGACATTAGTAGCTTCATAAGAATAGCATTGAATCAATAGATTGCTTTGGACAGTATGGCCATTTTAATGATGTTGATTCTTCCAATCCATGAGCATGGAATATTTTTTTCATTTGTCTGTGTAATCTATGATTTCTTTCAACAATATTGTAGTTCATCTTATAGAGATCTTTCATCTATTTCGTTAAATGTATTCCTAGGTGTTTTACTTTTTGTGTGACTATTGTAAATGAAATTGCATTCTCAATTTGACTCTCAACATGGATGTTATTGGTGTATAGAAATGCTACTGATTTTTGTACGTTGATTTTGTATATATAATTGTAATATTTTTCTATCTTTCACAGCATATTAAAATTTCAAGAAATGTTGGGAGATTCTGTGGTTATCTGGCATGTGGTTGACAATACTATTGTCTGACTACACCTTAGGCAAAGAAAGCAATAATGAATTAGAGTGACCATTTTCAAAAAATGGAAAATAAATTTACGTCACTGAATTTTCAGTTTCCAATGTTGGGCTTAGGACTCTGTGTCTCCTATTGCAGAGTTATTATCTGAATGATGCTCTCTAGTGTCTCGGCCAGTCAAGTCTATAATTTTCCAAAGGAATTTATGTACCCCACCCCCACTTCAGTGAAAACACTCATTTATAACCTGAGAGATTTTCATGAGCAAGACTTTTTTTTTTTAGAATTAACCAAAATCATTTATATTTATGTGTACTTTCATCCTACCTCACTCAAATTTGTTCTGCCTTCATTGCTTAGAAAACTTGTCATTTAGGATGCACAAAGATGATATTTCAGCTAAAACATGCTTTTGTCTCAAATCATGGGTACTTCTTCAGAGTATGTAAAGAGCCAATAAACTAGAAAAGCATTGAATAGAGGCAAAATATTTTTTTAATATTGACAACAAATACTGAGTAACCTACATTATGTCCAATACTATAACGTCCCTGGGAAGACAATAGAATGAAGGTGAAGGGGCATTATTCCTACTCTCAGTGAGCGTTCAGGACAAATAAGAAGAGCTTAAGAGGTAATTAAAATGCAGGTTTACAGTTGCTTTATGAGTGCAAAAGATAAGAGGAATTACTGTAGATCCCACCGCAATGAACCTTTACCCTTCCCTAGGCTTGGGGGCTCTGGGATGACTTCCAAGAGGAAGTGCCATCAACTCTGAGCTCCTAGACACAGAATTACAAGAAAGAGCATTGTAGGAGGCGGAACAACAGGAGAAGTTTCATGACAAGAGATTATGTCAGTTTTAAGAAATTGAGAGTATTCAGTAAGGCCTAGGTGTGACTGGAAGAAATTGTGGTCCAGACCAATGTAGAAAACAAAAGAGACAGCAGAAAAGTGAAGAAGAACATTAGAAAAGTCTCCCTTGGATAAAAAAAATCCCAATACTTACTGCTACCTAATAATATATACCATTTGAACTTTATTTCTTTGACTCTTTTGTTACTTGCTATCTCCCAAGAGTCTCCCATTAAAATGCAAATGTGGTTGGAAGGTGTATTAATCAAAGTCCCTTACAAGCTAAAAACTTGGTGGATTTTAGAATAGCTAAGGAGTGTAGGTGGAAAGTTGCCAACGGAAACTTCACCCATTCTGCAATTTTGCTGCAGGCCACCTCCACTTATAATTATTAAGCCCCCCTTCTTCTCCCTGGGAGAAACAGTATTAATGCTTCAGTGCCAAGACCTTAAAGCATGGGCTTCCAGGCTGGCTGGAAGCAAATAGTAGAGAAAATGTCATAAGCACATTCTCAATAGATTTCCACCAATTTCTGCAGACTCTGAGATGTGATTCCAAAGTTTTCTGGGTAAGCATCCAACTCTGGCCCTCTGAGATTCACCCATCACCAGTCTTTAATCCTTTCAAATGTTTGGAAATGATAATCATATCCCTCTTCCCCTGAGCTGTGAAGATTGCATTTTACTTGGTTCTTCGTAACTCAATCCTTCCTGACACAGAGGCAATGCCTATGCAGCAGAAAGATTTATAGTTGCATTGTTAATTTAGAACAAGATCAGTATATTTCCACATACACGTTGCTTAAAAAAAGAAAACAAATAGATGGGAAGAACAAGTGTGTCATATTTAAATACAAAGTCACTGATTCTGAATATGTGTATTGGTTATTCATCTCTACCTCTTAACTTCAGGTATAGGATAGGGAACCCTTGAAACAGGATGTGTAATTAGTTCAACCTTCTCAGTATCCACAGTATTCTTTATTTTATGGTTTTCAGTGGCTATTCCAGCTGCCTATATGGAATTCTGAGCCTAAAGACACACAATTTTTTTTTCAGGAAAGGAAGAAAAGCGTAATAGGTCTTAACAGCCAAGTAATAGAAAGGGGAAGTAGAGATAAAATAATGAGAAAGAAGGACACTGAGTAAGTGATGGTGAAAATTTCTTTTGATGGTGGCAATAGGAACACCATGGACACCTTCATCTATTTTTCTGCTTCTTTCTCTGTCTCTCTCTTTCTTTCTTTTCTTTTTTTTTCTATTTCCTGGTACTAATGACTAAGGAATTAGACCAAAACAACTTGGAGAGGGTACCCAAAACTGTCATTTATATAAGATTTGGACAAGACTCAATTTAGTTTTCAGATGGCTATTTTTTTCTCAGTCTGGATTTATATGCCCAGGATAATAGAAGAGAACCTGAGTGATAAGAACAGAATGTATAGCATGCATTTTATTTATTTGAAACATGTGGCACTGTGGTAGAGATCGTTAAAATTCACTGTACCTAACAAGATCTAATAATTCCATTTTGAAATAGTAACAAAAAATTAGAATCCATTTCTGTACATGCAAACAATATAATTACCAAATTCATATTATTTTTACTCTCCCCTCTTCTCCCTTACAAAACCTTTTTTTGCCAGATTAGATATCTGCCTTTGGCTGTTGACTTTGATGAAATGAACCAGATAATTGCCACATTTTTACTTTATTATGTGCCCATGTAGACACAGTCTAATTGGACCATATAATGAAATGTTTAAATATATCCATACATTTTGCACAAAATGTAACCCCAAACCAATCCTCCTCCTAGAACGTGGCCACTAGGGTATTTAAGGATGCACAACTGCAGCTGATGCAGAAGTTCTTTCCCAGATGTTCAATTTGACCTGGGGCAGCTCAATCAAAGTTTGTAAGGTTTCCAACATTCCTAGTGGGAATTTTCAGAAAAGGAGGCATATGGATTATTCTGGCAAGTAGAATATGCAGACAGAAACTCATGTGCAATAATTTCAGAACTTGAAATCTCCCTGAGAGCAAGTAAAATAATAACATTATTTGTAACAATAATATTAATAAATAATGAAAAGAGCAGTGTTACTGCTTTTCAAGGAAATGAATCAATAATCCATAAAGCAATGGGAGTGAGGGAAGTGAGGCTACCTGCTGAGAGTGACAGCAGAGAAACAGAAAGGAGATAAAAACAAAAAAGCATACAAGGGGCTAAAGACATACATGCATGACAAACTTAGGGCAAGGGAGATAGGCAGGCAGAGGTTCAGGGGACAACTCTCCTCCTGAAGGTTAATGCCTACCTCCCAAATCATTTGGTTTTCCCTCCATGGCTTTATGCCTGGATGTCCAAGACATATCCAAGCCATGAGGAAAAAACCCTAATTTATATTTTGGATGTATTAGATTCAATTCCACAGTTACATCTCTAGTTTATCATGTGTTCAACCGTGTCCTAAACATTCTGGAGGAAGATAGGAAATTGAAGCTTTAGACCCAGTTCTACAATTAAAGTTTTCTGAGAATCCATAAGGCATTTGAATTTTAACAACATTTTGTTTATCTGTAAAAAAGAGATATTAAACATTGTATCTATTTATTTAATATGGGAAATATATTTGTATATACACATATATGTATATATTTATGTATACACATATATGTATATATGATGTATAAGATGTATACATACATACATACTCATAAACATTTATATGTCACAATATATGTCAACTTTTCCCCAGGTCACTAACAAACCTAACTGAGGAATAAAATATGTATTAACATTAAATTATTAGTAAAAATGACGATGATGTTCACATTTTGTGAAGAAATACTGTGTCATGCTGAAGGTACTGCATTTATTCTGAGAAATGATGGTGCAAAACATTGCAGGTGGTTTCCTGAAGAGTGAAGGTTAACCAGTGCCTAGAATACCTTGTTGGCTAAAGAGGAGGGCAGAGAGCGTCCTCCCAAAGGGGAGCATGAGCATGTATCAGTAGCACTAAAAAGATTGCGATGTCAACCTGGGTCAGAGACAAATTGTGCTGAGTATGGCAGATTGGAACAATGGAAAACATAACTGCATGAAGAAGGCAGAATTTCAGAAATTGCATTTTTACTAGAACAAACATGTTCAGAATTGTCTCTTTCCCCATTTCGTAATGTTCTAGGGGGTGCACCATTCTTGAATTCATTATAGCCTATACTTTTTGACCCCACCCACCCCATTACTTCAACCATTTCCTCCTTCACCTCTGTGGAAGTCATGAGGATCTGTGAGTGCACCTGTGGTGGCTGTTCTGCTGTGGTAACATACAGTGTGTCAGACACTGAAGACCTTGTTTCTTTGTCCTTCTTCTCCTCTTAAGGCAGGTCATGTCAAAGCACGATTTCACATACTGCTGCGTGGCCAAGTAGGATTGTTATCTTGCAAGGTAGGAAGAAGACAAGAAGAATGAATAAAATATGTGCTTGGGAATCATCTGTGCCTCAAATCTGAGAAGGAAAATCTATCATCAGGTCCACAGAGTACAGATAAAGCTGAAAATGAAATCAAAGTCCAAAGGCTGGAAGTGATACTGATGCAAGAATACAACAGGCTGGGAAAAGAAATGGAAAAGCTAAAACAAAAACAAAAACAAACTGATAAAAAAGGCATCCAAGGCATGTGCCATGGATGAGGTTAGAAGCTTGGATACTTGTTTTCTTAGTAGATAGCCACATGTTCAAGGGAGGAAGAGAATATTTTCAAGTTTCTTCTGAGAACTAGATTCCATGACATAGGTTGTGTGCAATCTATTAATGTTCTAGGATAAGTCTTCACCTAGTATTCTCATTTCCTTAAACTTTTCCCTTTGGAGCTGTGATACCATGGTGCTTTTGTTCTCTCTTTACCTCCTTAATAGATAGTACATGTCCTTTACAGGACTCACTTCCTCTTATGCTTCTTAAATTCTGATATTCATAAGAATGAAATGGAGGTATTGCAAAGAAAGAAGCCATGTCGTTCATACCAATGTTTTTTTTTTTTTAAAGTAGCCTTTTTTATCCTTTGGGATCTCATTTCATCAAATCTCTTTTCTCCAACATGTCATGCTGTATTTGCAAGAAAGTGTTTCAGTGTTTATTTACACCCCCAGTTTTGAATTTCTTACAGACATTGACAATTCATTGAAATAAGAAAGGAATCTATCAATGAATAAATTCATTCATGCATAAGTGGATTATTGTCTCCATGCAAGTTGTTCGGAAAGGTCCTTTAAAGATATATTTGAAATATAGCCTAGAAGCTTAATTCTTTTCAGAATTGCCTCTTTATCTCACTTATATATTCACATCATATATGATATCATCTATGCTTTCATCCTGTTAGAGGCCACCGTCATTTCTTGTCAAAATATTAGAAATTGGTCTCTGAGTCTATTTTGACTCCATCCAATCCGTTCTGACAATGAAGGTACAGACAGTTTTAAACAAAATCTGATTCTGCCAAACCTCCTTCCACCTCCCTCATTAAAACCTTCAGTTAATCTCCATTGCTTAGAATGAATTTAAAAATACTTATCATAAATCAAATAAGTATTTGAAATGTGTGGAGAGCAGCCTATTAGTACCCTTGATGTAATATTTTACAAGAAATAGAAGAGAAAGAAGAGAACATTCCAAAGGACATAATCCATATTTAAGATTATTATTTCAGAAAACGTGTGTGTGTGTGTGTGTGTGTGTGTGTGTGTGTATGTGTGTGTGTGTTTGTATGTGTGAGTGAGTTTATGCAGGGGTCTGAGTTTGCAATGTAAAATGCAACGTTTGCTATGTATTCTAGTTGAATGATCTTGTACTGGACTCCACCGACATTGCCATTTTGATTTCCTGGTATTCTTTGGAGCCTAGTAGCCACGCTCATCTTCTCTTCCAGCTTAGCCATTTTATCTTTTCTATCTCATGGATTTATTACATCATCTCTAAAAAGTTATTGTTTCATCTCTTTGCCTACCTAAATTTTCCTCTAGTTCATAGCATAAACAAAACTTCTTCAGTGAAAATTTATTGATCCAAAGATGACATTAGTTCTTCCTTTTTTATTTTATCCTAACACTCTAAATGTTAGTTTTTTCCTAACATGGTCTTCCTGGCTCATTATTTATTCAACAATGTTATATAATTATTGTGAACCTATTATTAGCCTCAAACTTTATTCATAGCTTTTAGTGCAAAAACAATGACCTTACCTTGATCTGTGAGAAATTTCAGGATATTTCTGTTGTAATGATGGGTGGTTTACATATATAATAAAAAATAATACTTTAGAGAATTCAATGGCTATAGATTATTTTCTTCTACTTTATCAAGCTATTCACTGCTAGCATGGAATATTTTCTTTCTTTCTTTTTAAGAAGTCTACTGCATCCTTCCAATTTAGTAATGAATCTGTCTCTTCTTTAAACTCTTTTGTGAAATCAGTGCCATAGTACCATTTCTATTTTGCTTCTTTAGGCACCAACCAAGTGTTTAGGCTCAAATTCCTTTAGTTCATGAATCCATTCATGCAAGCATCTATCTGTTCATTTGAACAAGTATTTATTACGCATCAATTTTAGTAGTGTTGGTGAAACTTCTGTAACAAAAAGTTCTCCAGAATCAGTGATTTAGGAAAGTAAAAAGCAAAGGTAACTTTTTCTTCACATAACAGTCCAAGGTGAGAATTGCAGGATGTCATTGGCTCTAAACCATGTCTTCAACATGTAGCCTCCAAAGTCGCTATCCTCACTGGCATACCCATTGGCACAGAGGAGAAAGATAGGAAGTTCCAAGCTAGAAAAATCATCTTAAATTAAGTCAAAGTTGCACATGTCATATCTGCTGATATTCCATTGATGTTAGTTCCATCGCAGGAACAAACATAGCCTCAGATAAAGCTGCCATGTTCCAGCTTCACCTCTATTACTATGGAAGAAGAGAAAAGCTGATTTATTCCAAATGGACAATGAGCAATCTCCACCACACCAAGTTTGAGAAAGCAGCCGTGAGAAATGTAAAGAAAACTGAACATTGGATTCTATTATAAAAATAGTTAAACGTAGTAGGAGAGGACAAAATAATATCAAAATAGCTATAATATTGTGCAAAATCCCTATAAAGAACATCTGAGAGAGGTACTATAATGTTCAGAAATTCACAAATATAAGAAAAGCTATTGGTTGTGTGACTGAAAAATTTCACAACATTGATGAAACTTTGGCTGTTTTAAAGGAGGAATGGGGCTTCAGCAGGTGAAAGTAATTGTGAGAAATTTATCTTTTATTCCAAGCTCTCTGCTGCTTAATCATTCTCTGTTCCTAACCACAAATTTTTACCCATTCCAAAATCTAAAATCATATATACAAAGTATACACACATTATATGAATGTATGTACATAAAATCAAGTATACATACATTATATATGTACAGTAAGTTTATATATAAATACTATATGTGTGTATATATATACATTTTAAAAGAAATAGGAAATTGTTTATTCATAATAGCTGCTTAGTATCCTATATTATATGAAACAATCTTTTTACATATAACTAAATTAATTTAAAAACACTCAAATATTTATATTAATATGATGGGAAAATACAGGCTTATGGCTGGGATCTGATTTTATCTATATGGAATTATTTGATCAATGGTAAATAACCTGGCAAATGAGTTGAGTCAAACACTGCTTCTGTGGGCCTGGAGCTGACAGATATTAGTCAAAATCAAAAGGAAGTCAGAAGGCTACAAGAGAAACCTGCTGTTCATTATGGCTAGGTCAGAGATGATGCCATTTTATCACATTGCCTCCAAGGTGACAAAGAGAATATCTACTTGCCATGTATTTGTTCAGGGTCAAGTATAATACAATGCTCATAGTACTGGATATTTAAAACCTTGTGTACAAAGATTTGATTAGTTAATAGATACTGAAAAGAGAAATTAAAGGGGACTCTCCCATTGTCTGTCACAGGAATAATAAATGGTTGGTTGTTTCTACTACTTCAACCAACTAAATGTTTATTCTCCTATAGAAAAATTGAGAATCATCTGTTTGACTTCCCACAGAAATTTTGATAATAGATGTGACAAATGGATTGAATTCCACTTATAATTTAAGCAGGCCTGACTTTTCAGGGGTCTGAGATGTTACCCGGGTCAGTTGGGTTCCTGCCAGTCCCTCTGTGCCCATTTACTGCCCCACAAACTCAATCCTTCACATCACTGGTACTTCAAAGGCATATTTTTCCAAATTTTCACCGAGTTTATAAATGACCACAATAACCCTGAGGAACCCTAAGCTATTCAACTAGAAAACTACCAAGGTTGAAGAGCTAGTCTCAATTCACATGCCTTCCCTCAACAATATTCATTGCCTAAATTACCTCTCAAAGCAGCTCACAGTTTTTGACAATGACATAGATTTTATTAACATAATCCCAGCCTCTTCCTCATGACTTGATTTTGATTTTTCTTTTATCTCTGGTTTGTCCCTGCTACTTTCTTACTTCCAAATAAAATTATATGACTTAATTCAGTATTTGATATAGTACAATACATGTGTGCCACCTACAAATACATTTACAGCTCAGTCTTCAGTATATAACAGTGTTTTCTATTATAAAAACTCTTACAAACCTGAATTGTATTACATTAATGAATAAAATCAAAGCAGACACATTGTCGATGTTATTTGGGATACCAGCAAATGTTTGTGAGGAAGAAAACCAAAAAAGGAAGGAAAAACAGACAGGAATAATATCAAGTTATATTCCAGAAGTCCGGGACCGGAAGCACTGCTGCCATTCTTAACACAAGTTTTCTGCAAGTGGAAGTTCCCCCAAAAATATACACTTTATATATTTTTAAATATATATTATATATTTAATATATAATATATATTTTTATATAATATATATATTTTTATATATAATATATATTTTATATAATATATTTTTATATAATATATATTTAATATATTAAATATATATATTTAAAGCATGTGTGTGTGTGTGTGTTTTAAAGATGTTTATAAACATGATGTGATAATTGAGCAGAATACAATTAGAACTTTTTTCCCCAAATCTTACCTTTTGTGCTAGCCTTCTGCTACACTAAAATAAAAAGTACCATACATTACACCAGCCTTTATTAAATATATTCTCTAGTTATTTTATAACTTTAATTGAACTATTAACATGATAATGTATCATAGGATTAAGGGGCAGATTTTGTGTTACATACAAAATATGCATATGGGTATTAATAGAAGAGAAACTTCTAAAAATTAGACTCTGCATCCTCTTTCTCCATATAGTGCCTCGTACCTAGTAGTTCTACACTAAGTATTTGCTGAATGCATTAACACTTTCTACTCTGAGTCGGAGCATTAAAGTCATTGGTGCTAAGTTGAATGAAGATGAAAGAAAAGAAGAGGAGGGACATTGTGCCTCTGTCTCAGGTATAAAAGAGGAGAAAGTGAACATCCAATGAGATAATACTGTATGAGGTCAAATTAACTAATTCAAAACAATTTTTGAAAAATTATTTTGTGGTTAGATTCTTTTATTTTGTCCAGGTGTTCAGAGCTGTTAACTTATCTTGAGATAGTCTTTGGCCTAGATTAAGAGGTGGAGATTGTTTTCATACCTTGGCTATTATGACTAATGTTACAATAAATATAAGAATGTAGATATCTCTCTGAAATTTGATAGTGATTTCTTTGGATATATACCCAAAAGTAAGATTGTTGGAAATTGTGATACATACTTTAAATGGAATATTATTCAGTCTTAATAAAGAAGGAAATTCTGTCATTTGTGACAACATAGATGGACCCAGAGGGCATTATGTTAAGCCAAATAATCCAGAAATAGAAAGAGAAATACTATATAATCATGCACTTATATGTGGAATCTAAAAGAGTCAAACTTATAGAAGGACAGTATAGAATGGTGGTTTCTCAGGCTTGCAACAGAGGAAAATGAGGAGGTGATTGTCAACAGATACAAGTTTTCATTATGCAAGATAAAAAGTTGTGAATATTTATTAGACAGCATAGTGCCTGTCTATAGTTAGGAATACTGTATTATATGCTTAAAATTTGCTAAGAGGGTAGGCCATATGTTAACTGTTCTTATCACACACAAAAATAATGATAGTAATAATAATAATAAAGGGGTCAATAAAATCTTAGGGAGGGATGACTGTGTATGGCCTTGGTGGCAGAATAGTTTCACAGGTGTATGCATGTTACCAAACTCATCAAGATGTATACATTAAATATTTACAATCATACCTTTGAAAAAGTAGTTTAAAAAAGGAAGACGAGGATAGGGCAAAAGCATTTCTTACCAAAATGCACACTACTTCACATGAGGATATGTGTAGTGACTTGTGCCTTTTTAAACCTCCTGGTGATAGAAGATTTCTCTAGATATATAGAAAGAAGGTGCTAAATTGGGGGATAAAAGAATTCGATCAACTTGGCCTCTCAGTGCAGTGTCAATAGAACGTATTAACTTTTTTCAGTGCACTCAATTGCCTTGTCCTTCATAACCGCATCACTATGCTGAAAAATGTGATTTTCATAGAAACGTTCAATTTTGCAGCTTAGAGTCTTTGCGAAGGGGGGCAAATATCAGTTTTGCACATAAACTGCTCCTCACACTGCTCACTTTAAAAACTTAAAATTGGCCTTGAATATCATAACACTGGAGCAACACATGTTGAAATAATTTTTAATCCTTTCACTTTTAGTCAACTCTGCTGTTCTTTGTCTAGCTCACAGCAAACATTCAAACAAGAATAAAATAAAGCCTTTCAAGCATCTAGCTTTTCCATTTTTTCCGAAACAATTCTAAGTGTTTGAATAATAAGAAGTGCTCCTCAGATAGTAGGTGTTTTCCTTCATTTGGCTACTTGAAGATGAGTAAGATTTTTGACACTGAACAGTACACATTAGGACTACAAAGCAACAGGGAAATCCTCCCATGAAAGACAGGCTGCTTTTAAGCTCAGTATCCTCCATCACTCCCCTAACAAATACACCACCCCCCGACACACACACACATCTATGAGTCTTGACTTCATTTTCATTCTCAGTGTGCTGGTTTACCAACTCCCTGTAAAAGATCTTCCTTTACTGCAGTTTGAAGACTAGGATAAAGCAGTAAGGCTTTAGTCATACATATTTAAAAGTGAAGTTGCAAGAGACTTCACATCAGAAGATAAGGCTGTATATTTATTTATCTTTTTTTTTAATCATTGAGTGGTTTCTGAAGTTCTCTTTGACAACTTATCTATCATGGCTCCTCCATTGAATATTCTAACACTGTGCCTATTTAATCTTCTGATGTAAACAAAAGTTTAAGTTTTTTTTTTTTTTACATCTCCTTCACTTCGTGAGAAAAATTTGAGACTGAATGTTGATTTATATTTGAAAAGCGACAATCCAAAGCAATGCAAAATACCCCCAATAAGCAAAATGCCCATAGCATGATGGATTTTTTCCTTGCCTTATCTCTCTCTTTCTTTCAATGGAGAACAATTCAGAAAGATTTATTTAATAGTCACTATAGATAAACACATTGTTTGGCACTGTGAGGAGAAACAAATGGGAATAAAAAATACAATCTGTTTCCAGGTGTGACTTATTTTCTCCTGAGACAGATTAGCCACACTTGCCTTTCCATATCTGCCTTATTAATATTATTTATATTTTAAAAGTATACTATGTTGACAAAATCCTACCCATACTGTCTTCATAATCCCTATCTCCATTCCCATTAGTAAGCTCTTATTTTCTATTGATCATCTACAGTAATCTATTGTATATAAAGGTGCAAACAATTGTAGATACTATCTATTCCTGCCTTTAAGTAGTTTACAATTCAATAGTCTAGAAAAACATCTGATTATATAATTCAGCAACTAAAATAAAATGAAATATTATTTAGTTGAGGTCCCCAAGCTTCTTAATCACAACAATCTCCAAAGTTTTCTGAGTCTCTCTGAGCTGGAATTTACTTCTCCATTTTGCTGTTAGGTGAAGCTACTAGTTCACTCTCCACACGCTGAGGGCCAAGAACCAAAACATACTGAATCTGATTTTGTAAGAAAAAGATCCAATAGACTGTATTTTTTATAAGGACTCCAGGTTTGATCATTCAGGGTTCTGTAACTCTAACCTCATTTTTACAGATGAGAAAAAAAATTGCTTCAGGCTCGTTAAATCAGTGTTTTCCAAAGCTAGCTATAGATCAAGGTGGCCTTTTGAAAAAGCCCTACTTTTCCATACCGAATCATGCTCTCTGGGGAGATGGCCTGAGAATTCCATTTTTCAAAGCTTCCAGATGATTGTTAAGCATAATCCGGTTGGGAAACTGCTCCAGGATTTGCCCCTGTCTATTATAGTGAGTTAGAGGTTGAGCTAAGGTCTTTTTCTCACGTAGAGGGGTAGTGTGTTAGGGTGCTTAGAGCCCACAGAGAGAAATGTGAGTCTGAATCATGACTCAGCTGTATCATCTCTGCTAAGTGTGATAGTTACTGGTACTGTTATTCTTCTAGGCACAGAATGGAATTGCATTTCCTAGATCTTGGGAAATGAGTTGAGCAAAATGACAAGCTCTTTTTATAGAGGAAGGAGAAAGTGAAATGTCAAAGTATTTTTCTAGCATATTTATTTGCCTGACTGGTGAGATCTAGAGCAGGTTAACCCCTTTATTACATGTAGTGTGTTAATAAACTTTCAGATACGTGTGTGTGTATATATATATGTGTGTGTATATATATTTATATATACAATATATTAATTTATATGCACATATATTTATACATACACAAATATTTATACACATATATTTATATATATATATACACACATGCTAGACACTAGACATGGCAAAGAATTTGAAAGTAGAAAGCTAAACATCTCTGCATAATCAAGGAAGAAGGACTGATTTTGAAAACACTAGTGGTGATGAAAAAAATATTCCACAGAAAGGAGAAGTAGGAAAATGATATGAAATGGTAGAAGAGAGAAGAGTCCAAGGTTGGAGGAATGGAGGTAGGTGGGTGGTGGAAACACACACACACACACGTACATACACATACGACAATAAAAATTATCAAAAGTTGAACTACATAGATAAGAATGGTAACCCAACTGGTTGGTGAAGGATGTTTAAGAAGAGGATGTTTAACATCCAGTTTTAGTAATTTAGATATCTGCCATATAACCTTTAGTAGATGGTACATTAACTACCTGTATGTGTGTGTAGGTGTGTGTGTGCTTGGGTTTGATAGGTAGGTATTGGAGACTTGACCTAAAGAAATTAGCTCTAAGGACCAGAAAATATACAGCTTGATAACTTAGTTTCAAATCTTTGCAAAATCAAAGGAAATAAAAATTATCTTTTTTTCCTGCTGATTTCCCTGTATAATCCAACTCACCATCGCCTATAGACCCACCTCTTTTCTTTCCTCCCATACTCAAAACAAACATCTGTAAGATATTCTGGGTCTTTTTTTCTATGACTTAATTTTCTATTGCTCTGAAGTCACCTTTTTTGGTGGCGGGGGGCTGTTGAAAGATTTTGTATTACTCCTCCAAGGGGATTTTCATATTGGGAAATTCATGAACCAACAAAGTTTTACAGCACATGGGCCTTTAAGGGTTATATTATAGGGACTGTGACAGGTAAGACAGATTGATACTTTGGCTTGGAAAAATATAATACAAGAATATCTAATAAAATTACTATAATGAATGAACTATTTTAAGGGCCAATACCGGAATCTTGGAAGTGGAAGAGAACGTCATTTCTGTGCCTTCTCTGAGACATTTTGCAGTTTATCACATGTAAACTTCTCAACGACCTGTGAACTTGGTGAGCTAAGTATTTTATCACCAATTTCTATAGGAAAACACAACAAAACCTCCAAAAATGATGTGAAGAGTAAAAATATTTGCCACACAACATACTATAGATGGTAAGGGGTAGAGCTCTGACCCAACATATGACAGTCTGTTTCTGAAGATCATTTTTCATTCGACCTCAGTCCCTGGAAGTCTGTTTTGCACCAGAAGGCAGATCTAGAAACCTGCATAGAATTTTAAAAGAGGAAGGTTTTATTAAAACTTTTTAAACATACAGCTATCCAACAATGAAATATGTTGCCTCAGAAGTAGTTTCTTCTGCCACACTGAAAGGATTCAAAGGGAAGAGAGATGACAATCAGCCTGGGATATTGCAGAAAGGACTCCTTCTCTTGTCTGAAGTTGGATTAGATGTCAGCTAAAATCCTTTCTAAATCCCCAATTCTATGCCTCCAGGGCCTTAAATGTTCTGTAGTGTGGTGCAGAATATAAATGAAGTAAGAGAAGTGATCAACCAACAGATATTTATTACATTCCAACAATGTGCAAGGCACCAGGATTTTCATCTCGCACGGTGAAAACAGCTACTTTTTCTGCTTCCTCCCTCCTGTCAGTGCGTGAGAATCAAGCTTGGTGTTAGGAAAGAAGTAACCAAAAGGAAAAGCTGTCAGAAAAAAGACTAAGAAAAAAAAAAGCCAAATGTTAACTTCTCACCACTTTCTCAAGTCTGGTTCTTCCATGAGCACCTTCTTAGAGTTCTATGATGACCTCTCCCCTTCCCCTGGGTGTCAGAATGTGTGGCAAGAATCCGGCTGATTGACTCATGAAACACATTACCAGAAGCTCTCTATTTTGACAGTTAAGGCCACAGAAGCAATTTGTACTTTACTTAGAAGTTTATTGCATTTTGATAATTGCTTTTCTCCTTGAACTGTAGAGTTTAAAAATATAATTTTTAACTGACTATAAAAAAGGAAAAAAAAATCCATATAACTTTAAGAGCATTTCCAAAGCTTTTAAAGTCTCCACTAAGCAGAAGCATCCCAAAGTTACCTTGTTGAGTTGTTTCAAGTTAGCATCATAATCATTTTTTTAACCCTCTAACAGCCAAAGCATCCAAAGGAAACGAAATTACAGAGACAGTATTTTCTTAAAGATCATTCTTTCTAGAAGAACACAGCAAAGAGAAGAGAACATCAAGTAGCTTATCAATGAGTTTGGCAGGACTGTACACACACAAACAATTAGTCTGAAGTGCTCAAATTTATAGAACTCAGTAGTCAGTCAAACAATGCTAAAGTAATAAACATAATGGATACATTTTCCTGCGGATGGTCGTTTTCCAAGCATGAAAATCCATATGGGCTGTTAATCAAATGTGTATACTGGTTTATAAACATTATGAAAATAACTTACCCAGACCAACTCCCTTACAGATTAAAATTACTTTCACAATTCTTCCATATATAGTTTCTACTGCTGTGAAATATTTGCCTTGTATAGATCCAGGCAAATGCTCAGGGATAATGAATACTTAAAACACTGTATACCATTCTAAAATGCTACCTGGGATTGCTTTTGAAATTGCCCACTTAAACTCTAGCCATGCCTGTATTAGACCTAGATATAATTAAGTAAGCTAGTTGTTTGGTTTCAACATAGCAAATCTACACAAGTGTTGGTTAGCAAACAACTTGAAAATCAAGAGAACCATCAGGTATTTGTCCCTAATTATTTCTATTCAGCCAATTATTTTCATAGTTTATTTATCATAACTGCCTTTTATGGTGTTAATAATTCTGTTTTCTGGAAGAGGTCATCAAGTTACCTGAAAGGTTTAATGACTTGCTGGAACCACATGGGTAGATAGTGATAAAGCCAGAATAGAAACAAGAATTGTTATTTCAAGATTTAAATTAGAAGTACCCATTATGACACTGGTGAGGCAAATTGTCTTCCACCAGAGTTGTGTCTGCTTCATCCCCATTAGTAAATATAAAAGCCTCAGCTGGGTGTGAATTTACATATTGAAAAGTTCACACACAGTGAGATAGGAGAGATTTTTCAAGAGAAATAGAAATATTTCAGGAAAGAGTCAATTTATAGAGGGCTTTCATTTTGGAAATGTTTTTTTCTTTTCCAATGCCACCAATCTCTGGTTTATTATCCCATCTATACAATAAATTCACAGATGATGACTCTATAATGGGTGATAAAGAGAAATTAAATTATAACAATAACTCTCATTTATCTAATGCTCTATACTTTTCAAAGGGCTTTCAATCATAAGTGGCATTTGATGAAACACCCTAGTGAGGTTGGCAAGGCAGAGATTTGTAGTGTTCTGGCAAGAGTGCTAGCTAAGTGACATTATTTTGTAAAATTGAAAGCCTTGTGAATAACATATACCCTATATACATAAATGTCCTAAAAGAAGAATGACAAGCCAGGTTAAAAGAAAAACAAATGAACTCTTCAGCCAAACCATGGTACCTGCACACATACATAGTGTGTGCTCTCTTTATTTTAAAGATAGAAAACAATGACAGAAAAGCAGACTTGATTACTCAGGAACTTAGTGCAGACCCAGCAATAGACTGCTGGAAGCTTTGAAGCTAAGATAACTAGCTTTACATTTTACTTTACTTTACATTTACATTTACATTTTACTTTACTTTACATTTTACTCCCTACGCTCTCTGTTAGAGGCAAATCTTTGCTAAATGGGCAGTGAGTCTGATCAGTGTGGAATTTCTTGTCATATTTGAGAGGAAACCATATCTAGTGGCATAAAACGCTTTTCTTTCTCCATGAATTTTGAGGAAGCTTTTTCCCTCTTCACATCACAAGGTTGTGCAATATTGTATTGGGAAGCACTTTGAACTCCTAGAAAGATAAGTGCTATTTAATTGCAAAGCGTTATTAGTGCTATGACTGTCATTATGTGCACCAGAACATTTTACAGTTAATACATCTCAATATTACTACTGTTGACATTCTTCATTTTTTTTAACTGGTTCAGGTGAAGGATTGGATGTCTCATGGGACTGGTTATTGGAAACTGGATTAAGAGTTGCTTCTAGATCTTTAATATCCAACACATTGTTATATTACCCCATGTCCAGTGGTATTTTGGCAGCCCCAATGCTATCCTCACACATGACTCACAATGCTGCAACATTAGCCATCAGGTTTACTTGATGGAAAAAGAGAAATTTCCAAAGTGAGGTAGTTTTTGCCCAGAGTTAATAATTTCAACATTTCTACCTGCAAAAATAATTGATTTTACCAATTGTATTCCATTTTTTTTCATTCTGTATAAAAGAAACACTTGCAGGTTAAATGCTTAATCTTTACTAACTTGAAATGCATTCTCATACTGAGACACAGATGTTGATACGGTTTGGCTCGGTGTCCTCACCCATATCTCACCTTGAATTGTAAAAATGCCCATGTGTTGGAGAAGGTACTTGGTAGGAGGTAATTGAATCATGGGGGTGGGTTTTTCTCGTGCTGTTCTCATGATAGTGAGTGAGTCTCTTGAGATCTGATGATTTTATAAAGGAAATTTTCCCTGCATATGCTCTCTTGCCTTCTACCGTGTAAGATGTGACTTTACTCCTCATTCGCCTTCAACCATGATTGTGAGGCCTTCCCAGCCATTGGCTTTAAGAGCCATTAAACCTCTTTCTTTTATAAATTGCCCAGTCTCAGGTATGTCTTTATTAGCAGCATGGAAACAGACTAATACAGATGTTCATGTCCAGTTTGTCATCTGTTGACAAGAAAGGCAGTAAGGGACATAAAACACATTAGATATTCTTTCCAATTTTACCATCTAACAACTCAGTTTTTTGCCATATTATGAACACTATGCTCCTTCTATTATTAACCTCTCACTCTATGTCATTAGCAATTATTCCTTGAATTGCCAAATTCCCTATTTTTTACCACACACAGGTCTTGGCAAATTAGATGGTTTAGAATAAGATTACTAGGAGTCAAGGAATCTTGGAGTGACAAAGGTAAGACTTTTGGGCAGAAAGAAAACATTTACAGAACTGAATATTAAATGAGCCACAAAGGTAAATATGAAGTCTCCCTCAAAAAAGCTACATACGAGAACCACCTTTTATCCTTGATATTTCTATTTTTTTCTGTCTGTAAAAATACACGCAAAAACTAAAACTATAACAAATTCTGGCAAAGGGAAACATGATATGTGGGGACAAAATATGCTCTGGAGTTGAAAAGAGTAATGGTACGTAACTTTCTGATAGGAATTTTATAATAAAATTATATTCCTTAATTGTTGTTGTGCAACAAATATAGTTTAATTTCATTGAATTGATTCATTTCCATATTCAATGGTCAGCCATCAGGGTATAGCACAATTCTTTCTATATTTGCTTGCTATCAAGGACTTTAAAGCATCAGTGGATAAAGAGAGCCTATATACTGAAAAAATAGTAAGTCAAAAGATACGGGTTAATAGATTGTATAGCTCAAAGCACTCTGACAAAACATACAGCATTATACAATGCAAATCAGTATTACTATTATGACATAATGAATTATGCAGTAAAAGCAAGCTGTACTTTAGGGAATCTGAAAGGAGATTCTAAAGTGATTTAGATGACAGTAGAAAAGCTTGAAGAAAAATATGTATTTTTATTTTGACTCTAAAAGTTATACTGGTCTTTGATATTTAGACATAGGAAGTTGATCTTTGTATTAGGTTGGATTTTTCCAGAAATGAGCCCTGAATAAGAATTCAAGTACACAAAGTTTATTTGGAAGGTGCCAGAATGGAAAATGATGCATGGGAAAAAAGTTAGTAAATTCAGGAAGTGACTAGATCATAGTTCTGGTGGGAAACTCAGGAAAATATGTTCCAAAATTGTCTCACCCAAAATACAATGGAGCTAGGTTATGTTTACACCTACTATAAAGAGTCAATGGTTGAAGGCTGCTGGTGAGGGGGTTAATTTTTGGGCACTTCTGGTCAGACAGAAGTTGCCTCTCAGAGTTCCAGAAAAAAAGCCTTCAGACACAGCCAGGCAATTTGCAGCCTACCAGAAGGACAGAAATGGTGAAACCAGAAGAATATCTGGGAAGTACCAAAAGTTTTTGTTAAGAGGTTTTTAAGCAAGAGTAGAGAAAAGCAAGCAAACATATAACAACAACAAAAAACTTCAACCAAATGAGAAAAGGTGAGGAAACTGTAAGAGGAAGGTGCATATAGAAACATTGATGTAAGTAAGTGTCAATAATTAAAGTAGTTCACCTATATGTAGATGCTTAAAATCATAGTTTCAAGGTAGTAGAAAATGTGAAACTGCTTTTTAGAAGTCTATCTGCAGTTGATGCAATCTTCCACTAATTGACCTATTTTTAAAATCATATTTTGCATAAAATGAAATGATAAATTATGCCACACAGTCTCTATCATATTTAGAAATATTGGGGGTGGGAGAGAAGGAGAAATATCTGGTTTAAAACTGAGAAATTGTTTTGAAGAGGGCAGGAGATTGAATTTATTCTTAGAAAGTGGGTGAAGAATAAACCATATGCCTATAAGTGTAATATTCTAGAAAATATTAATCAGTTTCTGAAAAATATACTATGTCATAATTTTCTCAAGGGAGAGAACATTTAATGAGATCAATTCTCGTTAAAAAGAAATTGGAAAGGTAAGAAAAAACTACCTCAACTAAAAGGTGTTAGAAATCTTGGTATTAATGGTAAGATTTACCAAACCTTCAAGAACAAATAGCAGATTTCATACGCATATTTTTGGGGGGAGGCATCTAATTTAACATTGATTCAAAAAAAGGGCTAAAGATAGAATTTAAAAAAGACAAGATTTTCTCACTTATGTATATAGACATAAATTTCTAAATAAAATGTTAAGTAACCAAGTTTCATAAACAATACTTAATAATGGCACATTATTATAAAAAATAAAATAAGGGATATCCCAGGAATATAAAGAATCATATATGAGGGAAAAAAAGATCTTGTTAGTAGTCACAAAAAAGCTTGTGATAGATTCTAACATCACTTGTGATGCTTAATAGTGAGAGGTGAAGCCAGTTGGACTTCTGGGTCAGGTGGGGACTTGGAGAACTTTTCTGTCTTACAAGAGGATTGTAAAATGCACCAATCAGCACCCTGTAGCTAGGGATTGTAAAACATACCAATCAGTGCTCTGTGGCTAGCTACAGGTTTGTAAAATGCACCAATCAGAGCTCCGTAAAAACGTACCAATCAGCTCTCTGTAGCTGGCTAGAGGTTTGTAAAATCGACCAATCAGCACTCTGTAAATGGACCAATCAGCACTCTGTAAAATGGACCAATCAGCCCCCTGTAAAATGGACCAATGAGCACTCTGTAAAATGGACCAATGAGCACTCTGTAAAGTCAACCAATCAGCAGGACATGGTTGGGGAGAAATAAGGGAGTAAAAGCTGGCCACCCCAGCCAGCAGCCTCAACCTGCTGGGGTCCCCTTCCAGGCTCTAGAGGTTTTGCTCTTTTGCTCTTCACAGTAAATCTTCCTGCTGCTCACTCTTTGGGTCTGTGCCACCTTTAAGAGCTGTAACACTGATCTCAAAGTTCTACCACTTCATTCTTGAAGTCAGGGAGATCAATGCTGATTGGTCCATTTTACAGGGTGCTGATTGGTCCATTTTACAGAGTGCTGATTGGTCAATTTTACAAGCCTCTAGCTAGCTACAGAGAGCTGATTGGTACGTTTTTAGAGAGCACCGATTGGTGCATTTTACAAACCACCGGAAGGAACCGACTCCAAACACGATAGGAGTAGAATAAAACCTCCTTAGTATTAGTAAAATATCTAACATAAACTTTCCCGAATAGAATTGATGAAGACAAATAAAAGATGTGATTATTTTTAAAATTGCATTGAAATAGGATGCCTGCTATCAATGCCACTATTCAATATAGATACTGTGCAACATTATAGGACATGCAAAGGAAATAAAATATGTAATGGTTGCAAAGAAAGAAAAAAATATATTCAAATAAAATAACTGTGTACCTATAAAACTCAACAAAATAAAATTATAATAATCAGAAGGGGAATTCTAACTAGTAAATTTGGCAAGATTTCTGTATGTTACTCACAATAATCTATATATTAAAAAATCATCTATAATCAAAAATTTATAATGTATCTAGAATTTAACCCTAGTGAAATGTAAAATAACTTTAGGCCTAACATGTTGACACTATTGAAGAACATAAGGAAGACTGGACCAAAAAAATAAATGGAATAAATATATTGAGATATTAATTCTACCCAAATCCATATACTAATTCAATGCAATTTCTCTAGCATGATTGAAACAAAGAGCACTTGACAAGTTTATTCTAAAACATATAAGACAGAATTAAAGAGGATGAAGACAATTCAGAAAGAGAAAAGCAAAAAGTGAGGGTATGGGAATTGACTTCAATATTCAGATATTTTGGTATTTAAAAATCATTACAATTAAATCCTTAGGAGAACTTGTAAATGAATCAGCAGAGCAAATTTAAGAAGTGTGGATGACATTAATATTAGTGCATAGGTTAAGTCACATCAAAATCAGTGTATAAAAGATGAATCATTTCATAAATAGCATTGGAAAAAATTTATTCCTTGTGGGGGCAAAATAACCTGTCTTTCCCACAACGTAAAGACAGTTGAGTCATAAAAAGATTTTTAAAAGACCGTTAAAAAGATTTAAACTTTTAAGAGTAAAATTACACATTATGGAAAGAAACTGGAGAAGAATGTCTTTATGACCATGGAGTGGAGAAGGATTTTTCATACAAAACAAAAAAATACAGACCATAGTAGGAAATAATGATGCATTTGACTGATTGAAATGAAGATTTTCTACCAAATTAAGAATATCACAGATAATGTGGAAACTGAAACAGTGGATAACTTTTTCAAAGTATTGAGCAGTTTACAAGAACACCCATTCAAACGTCTCCAGAAATCTTTGCCTTGCCTTTGAAGTGAGAAAATGTGAGGGGTTACATCAACTATTACTATTGGAATTGGTGGAGAACATTGTGTTGTATAACATCATGTTGAGTAGCATGGGTCTTTCCCTGAAAGAGGCCAGAATTGAAGTCATATTTCTGCTTCTAACTAGCTGTGAGAGCTTGAGCAATTCACTTTGATTTTCCAGTTGCAAGTGAAAAGTGTATACCACATACTGCAATGTCCAAATATTTAGTATTCTCAGTATTTATACCAGTATATAGCTCCCAGGTAAAGTAATATATCGTTAGGCAGTATTTTTTTTTCCATCTGTCTTCCATCATTCCTTTTCTCTATTTCTCCCTCCTTCCTTCTTTCCTTTCTTCATGCAGGTCACTTTGTGCCAGGAGATTGATATTCAGTAGGCATCATTTCCCCAAGGAAATTAAATATAAAATTTTAGACATCTAATAATAATAACAAATAAGGAATAGTAACAATAAACATTCAATAGGGACTGCCTTGGCAAAAATAATAGTAAGGTTTACAAAAGTGGAATAAAACTATCCAAGCCAACAATTCTGCTAATGACATAAAATATAATCTTATCAATTTAAAGTAAACGCAGTCATATCTGTTTTTTATTTGTTTGTTTTTGTTTTTCTTTTGGTTTTTGAGACAGAGTCTTTCTCTGTCCCCAGGCTGGAGTGGAGTGGTGCCATCTAGGCTCACTGCAACCTCCGCCTCCCAGGTTCAAGGGATTCTCCTGCCTCACCCTCCCAAGTAGCTGGGATTACAGGCATTTCTGTTTAATAGCAGTTTCTCCAAGGTAAAATCTCATGGATTATAGAAAGTTTTCTCCTTCCCTCTTCTCCTTCCCTTCTCTCCTGGAATGACAGAAGCTCTGAGGGCACTGGTTGGAAGAGAATTATTGCTGAAGTATGAGCTTTTCGATGTTGAGTTCTTCTGAGATGTAAGAATACAACAGCAATAACAATTAACAGAATAAAATTATACTATTAACTGATGTTTACTGAACATTTATTATGTTTCAGTTACTATTATAAATAACTTCCATGTTAATTCTTTTCATTTTCACACCATTGCAATGAGGTGTATACTGTGATTCCTCATTTTACAAAAGAGAAATCCCTATTGGTTCTCTGCCTCTATTTCAACCGGTTGCACATGAAATGTCTATGTTCCTCTCTACTTCCCAGGCACCAGGCCCACATATCATTCTCTGTCCTTTTTACCCTAACACTGAGGACTTTCCAGGCTTGGTGGCTTGCTCTCAGACACTTCTGAAACCTCTGAAATCTCAGAGAATTTTAGATGTTACCCCATGTCACAGTGAACTATATGAAAATGTGTGAGGCAACCCCTAACCATTATGCTGGGCAATTGTTTCTCTCCCTAAAGGCACCATGCCAGCATAAAAGGTATGACTTTCCGTAGTGACAATTTTATATTTTAACAAGGAGCTTAATACCTCCTTCTTACATCGATGACTCTAAAATTTGGAATTAATCTATACAAATGATGAATTAGTGACTGAGAGATGGCCATACCTGAAATAGGATGACACTCCTTCTCTCTGCCTAGCCCTAATATGGATGGGTGTTTTTCGGGACCATAAGTGCTCTAGATCTCCAGATCAGGACACTTCTTCCTTTACTTCTAAAAAGGCACAGGACTGGAATGTCCACGAGAAGGCTCTGCTCAGCCTTTTCTTAAAGTAATCCCACCTCCTGAAGGAGAACTAGAAGGCAGTGACCACAGTCATCAAAAAAATGTCTTTGAATTGGCAATACAGGGAGAAAATAGAATTCACTGGATTAAAATTTCAGTGAAATGTGAATTGGAAATGGGTTTTATAAAGGAGAGACTGTCAGTTACACTAAGCAACTAATAAGCTGATTTTCATCCACTGGGACAAAGAAGAAGGAAAGTAGAATGAATCACCATTTTCCACTCTAACGATGACAGTTGGAAGACTGTTATGACTCTTCCGATGATAATAATTTCCATTTCGATGGGCTTCTTTTCCAAGACATCTAAAGTATTTTACAAGTGATTTTTGCCATCCATCCTCATGTCTTCTAAAGAGAAGAGATACAAATACTGCTTTCCTCATTTCATAGGCAGCAGATATGTCTGAAAGTTTCTGAATACACTGTACTTTTTCCAAATAAATTAATAAGGTATGCTATGGAAACTGAAGCATTCATTCATATCTGGGAAGAAAAAAAAGGACAGAGGCATAATATGTGGATATAAAATCTCCTACAATTTCTTTTTTTTTTTTTTTTTTTGAGACGGAGTCTCGCTCTGTCGCCCAGGCTGGAGTGCAGTGGCGGGATCTCGGCTCACTGCAAGCTCCGCCTCCCGGGTTCACGCCATTCTCCTGCCTCAGCCTCCCAAGTAGCTGGGACTACAGGCGCCCGCCACTACGCCCGGCTAATTTTTTGTATTTTTAGTAGAGACGGGGTTTCACCATTTTAGCCGGGATGGTCTCGATCTCCTGACCTCGTGATCCGCCCGCCTCGGCTACAATTTCTTACAACACATTATTGAAAGAGAGAAAATTAAAGGCTAAAAATAATATTTTCTGGATATATATTACATTGTAGCTTTTGATTAATATCAGTTTTCATCCTGTAACATTTAGTCTTTCTATACTTCTCTGATTCAGATGCTATTTTTTCTCCCTCATAACAGTTCCTATTTTCTCTTTCATCTACACTAACATCTGAGATATCCCGAGTGTGCATTGGACACTCTGTGAAGTTATATTTATTTGCTGAGTATACATAATATTAGGCATGGAGTGGAGATCTACAAAACCATTCAGCATAAGAAATAAACTGAAGACTATATCCATCAAAAGGAGAGAAATATCCTGTGAATTGAGAGGATTTTCCTGATCCTTCAGTTTTCTTCTAGTTTAAAATATGATTGCACCATGGTCTCTCTCTCTTCTAGTTTTTCACTCATTATAAAAGGAGGATTTCTGGTAATTATGTGTGATAGGCAGAATAATGGCTACCCAAAGATGTGGATATTTTATTCCCTATAACCTCTTCATAGAAAAGAGAAATTAAGGTTGCACATGAAATTAACGTTGCTAATCAGCTGACCATAAAATAAGGAGATTGTCCTGTATTATCCCAAACAATCACAAGGGTTCTTTATATATAGAAGAGGGGAACAGAAGAGTTATGTCAGAGTGATATGATGTGAGAAAGACTCGAATTAGTCATTGCTGGCTTTGGCTTTCCATAAGCCAAGGTAAATTGGCAGCCTCTAGAAGCTGGAAAAGGCAAGGAAACACGTTCTTCCCTAGAGCCTTTAAAATTAATGCAGTCTTGCTGACACCTTAATTTTAACCCTAAGACCGATGCAGTTTTCTGATCTCCAGAACTGTAAGATAGTAAATTTGTGTTGTTTTAAGCAACTCAATTTGTGGCAGTTTGCTAAAGCAGCAATGGAAAACTAATACAGTATGCAATGCAAGTTTAATAAATGCTTGTATGAATGGATGAACCAACTATATAAGTCAGATCCTATCGTTTACTGACATTACAAATCCTGAATAAGGGCTGGGAGAACTAGAGCTCATAAAATAGCTTTTCTTTTCTTTTCTTTTCTTTTCTTTTCTTTTCTTTTCTTTTCTTTTCTTTCTTTCTTTTCTTTTCTTTCTTTCTTTCTTGTTCTTTCTTTCTTTCTCTTTCTTTCTTTCTTCCTTTCTCTTTCTTTCCTTCTTTCTTCTTTCTTTCTTTTCCTCTTTCTTTCTTTCTTTCTCTTTTTCCCTCCCTCCCTTCCTTCCTTCCTTCTTTCCTTCTTTTTTATTTTTTTTTAACTTTTTTTTCCCTTGAGACAGAGTCTCATTCTGTAGTCCAGGCTGGAGTGCGGTGGCATGATCACAGCTCACTGAAGCCTTGACTTCCTTGGCTCAAGCGATCCTCTCGCCTCAACCTCCCGAACAGCTGGGAGTACAGGAGCATGCTAGCACACTGGCTATTTTTTTTTTTTAATTTTTTTATAGAGACCGTGTCTCACTATGTTGCCCAGGCTGGCCTCCAACTCCTGGACTCTAGTAATCTTCCTGCCTGAGCCTCCCAAAGTACTGAGATTTCAGGCATGAATCACTATATCCAGTAGTTTCAAAAAATTTAGTTAAAAATTATGACAGTAGTAATGGTCATGCTATGCATTATTTTAATTTTTGCTTATTCCTTCACTTTCATCTGTAAGGAAGAGCATGGTGTTTAAAAAGGAATAAATGGTTATCCATGGAGTATCCCAAAGAAAATTTGAAAGTGCTCCAATTCTACAGTAATCATTATGCTAACCGTGATGGTTAATACTGAGTGTCAACTTAATTGGATTGAAAGATGCACATTGTTGAACCTGGGTGTGTCTGTGAAGGTGTTGCCAAAGTTTAACATTTGAGTCAGTGGGCTGGGAAAGAAGACCCACGCTTAATCTGGATGGGCACAATCTAATCAACTGTCAGTGTGGCTAGGATAAAAGCAGGCAGAAGACCATGAAGACTAGACTGGCTTAGCCTCCCAGCCCACATCTTTCTCCTGTGCTGGATGCTTCCTGCTCTTGACATCGAACTCCAAGTTCTTCATCTTTGGGACTCGGACAGGCTTCCTTGCACCTCAGCTTGCAGACAGCCTATTGTTGGACCTTGTGATCATGTGAATTAATACTCCTTAATAAACTCCCCATATATATATACATATATATATGTAATTATATATTATATATATATATATAAAGGTGAGTATATATATATGTGTGTGTGTGTGTATATTCTATTAGTTCTGTCCCTCTAGAGAACTTTAATATACTAATATAGTGCTTAATCTGTCTTACTATGTGCATTGTTCAAAGCACTTTACATATACAAACTAGCTTAGTCTTCATAACGATATGAGAAAACTACTTTTGTTTTCTCTGTTTTATGGATCAGTAGCATAAATAGGCACAGAGAGGCAAAGCAGCTTTTCAAGGTTACACAGCTAGGAAGCAGCATTATCAGGACTTGAACTCTTTATCATGAAAACCTATTCCATATCAAAAACAAATCTCCCATTTCCCAGTGCCACTTAGAATATGCAGTTCTTGATGTGAACATTTATTAATATGTGGTATTGGTCCATGTGAAGGTTGGGCCCAAAGATAATCTACAGTACAAGAGGAAATGAAATCGTATTAAAGTAAGAGCCAAGTAAACGTCAGGAAGAGTACTTTGCTAAGTGCTATTGTCTATGGCATATAAAAAACTATTGTAAAACAAAGTTAGAATGGTATTTGGAGCTTTTTTGAGGTTCTTCAGTAGAAATTTTAGTTTTTTTGTTTGTCTTTTTTTTATTTGTTTGTTATAAGCACAAAAATGAAGCCGTATGAGTTTCCATGTTAGGAAGGTTAACTAACCTATACTGGTTTATATGAAAGGCTGACAGTAGAGGCAATGAGGCATGGAGTTTACAGAGAAGACTATTATAGTCTCACAAATGAAGGGTGCTGGGGATCTGAACAATAGAAGTGATATTGGAATGGGAAACGGGGGTTCAACATGTTAGGGAGAAAGAACCCATTAGCAACTTTCTCAAAATGCGGGAGCAACAGAAATCTTTGAGCCTTTGAGACTGGATGACAGGGAGACAGATGGACATAAGTGGAGGGAAAGCTCAGAGAGATTCATAGTTTTGGGGGAACCCCATTGTAGCTGAAGGAATTATATATATGAAGTTTTTAACTTCACGAATAATAAGCACCTGGTTTGTGATTGACTTTCAGATGTTTGCAGAGCCTTATGATGAGACCTTCACTTTGAAGCTGTTAGTCTAAATCTCACTGATCATAACAATATTTACATCACATTTAAAAAATCACAGGGTCTCTCTCTGATTCTTAGATACTCCATCAACACTTCCTAAGTCCTGCCACCCTGCTACCTGTTTACACCATCAGTTTCAATTTGGTAGTTTCTCCACCTGCTGATAAAAACAGACGTCTTGGAAATAGAGAGCAGCCCTATTGAGTAAGCAGATGCAACCATGTAATATACACCAGGAATACAATTCTCCACTTCTCTCAGAGATCTTCAGAAGGTCCTCTGAATAAGATCTGGCTTCTGAAAAGCAATGTGTCAGCTATGCTACATTTGATCATACTTCTTACCCATCTACTACAGATGAATCAGACCCAAAGGCCATTAAAATATTGCTTTTCTATCACCACAGTATTAAAATCTATGGACCTTCAATGCTTTCCTCTGTGTAGTCAGATGTTTCAAACATAAAAATAGGGGAGTATTCACCAGCTCAGCTTACTCTCTGTGTGGCTGGAATCGGCTTCTTCACTGCTTATATCAAATTCCTAAGCCACGAACATCTGTAATGCTGCCTGGCAATCTTCTTTCAATTGACTGCCCCATTTCTATGTAGTTTAAAAATTCATCATACTTGAAAGTCATAATGGATGTGCAAATTCTCATTTTTGTTAGAATCCATCATAATGCCTCACAGTCCATTGCAACAATTACACTCAATCATTATAGGAAAGCTCTCACAAAGTTTATTACAATAAGTTTAAATAAAGCTTCTTCAATGGTCTTTAACCAAAGCAATTTTTTATATTTGGAGTGTAGTTTAATGAAGCTTGTCGAATGCCAACAGTTCTCTTTCATATCAAAGAAATTTCCAAATGAATATTTGGTTATTTGAATCTATCTTGATCACCACCTCCCCCAATCTCAGTTGAATTATTACATCTTTCTTCTTGTTTCTTCTATTCTTCTACTAAACCTTCTACATAGTTCTACTCTTGCACCTATAACAGCATAGTTTTTTTTTGTTTTTTTTTTTTGTTTTTTTTTTACATTTTCGTAGTTATTTAATCCTCCCACTGAACTATAAGATCTTTGAGGGCGAAGTAGTTCATTCCACGAATATTGAAACCAGAGAAAGCTGGTGTCCAGGTTTCATCAGATCTCTAGAATACATGACCAAATATCTGTAATTTTTATTTTCCTCATTTGAAATGTGGAATTGATCACAGCACCCTATAGTCTTTTGTATCATAGGAATGTTTGCAAATCGAATAAAAATGCTCTGTTAACTGAAGGTGCTTTAGAGCAGCAGAACTGATTTTCACCTGCTAGCTTGTTTCCCAGCCCCATTCCAGTCCTCTTGGCCTATCCTGCCCCACTGTTGCCAGATACTAATATGATATATATTTCTGGGATAAGATAAAAGAGACTACTAGGCCAGGCACTGTGTCTCACACCTGTAGTCCCAGTGTTTTGGGAGGCTGAGCCATGAGGATTGCTTAAGGTCAGGAGTTTGAGGCCAATCAGACAACATAGTGAGACTCCATCTCTACAAAAATTAAAAATTAGCCAGGTGTGGTGTTGCACATCTGTAGTCCTAGCTGCTTAGGAGGCTGAGGTGGGAGGATTGCCTGAGTCCAGGAATTCGAGGCTGTAGTGAGCTATAATTGTGCCACTGTACTCCAGCCTGGGCAACAGAGCAAGACTCTGACTCAAAAAAAAAAGAAAAAAAGACAGAGATTACTTAAAATGCATATCAACATTTTTAGGTACACACATAGGCATGCACATGCACGCAAACACACACATACACAAACACAAAGAAACAGATAGCAACTTCTGCCCATAGTATCCTCTTTGAACACAGAGGAAAATGATATAAATAGCTCCTGTATGCAAGAACAGTGATCCACACCACTGTCAGACCCTTCCCAAAGTCCACTGGGAAATTAGACCTCATCAGTGTCAAGCATCAACTCACAATCACCACAACAAAGTGGCAGAAGTTGCCAGAGTGACACGCTCTGCTGCTGAGGCCAGGACTCTTGTCACAAAGAAATGAAGAAGGACAATTATCCTGAGATTTAAGTCTGTGTAGACAGCCACATTATATCATTCAGGACCACAAACTTCACATTGTTTGAGTTCCCCAATGACTGTACCCAACTACTGCTATGTCACTTCCTATAGTTTACGTTACTTTTTAATAGAGTAAACTGGGTCTGAACTTGGAATCTAAAGCGAGAGAAGGGCCACCACCAAGATTTACACTGGGTAAATCTTGACAGCTCCAGGCAAACCTGAGAAGCCTGGAGCTGTTGTCCCCTTTGGGGCCCCCCATCAAAAATGACACATGTATCTCATGAAGATATCCTAGCAGGTAGCACTTGAAAATAAATGTCTCACTACAGAACACTGTCAGGTAATAAGAATCGAGTGGCTTCAGCAACTAAAGACATCAGCCTCTTGGGGATATGTTAATCTGCTTGTGTCTGCTAGGAGGAAGGGTGAGCTGGCAGATGAAAGTCTGAGGCTGTCAGTGCCTTCAGGGAAGTGATGGGTGAACATCAAACTTCAATTCAGATGAACATCTCAACGCCTGAGTAGGAATTTCACTGTCGGTATCCGTTGATTGGGAGGGGTCAAAAGAAGGCAAAATTCACCAGCACAGTCACAAGACACACACCTCACCAAGGAGACAAGGCTTTAATAGCGGTAGTGAATTTTCATAAAGGAGAGTGGAAAAAAAATGGATGATGGGGTCAGAGATGTACATAAGATACACTCTCCATAAATGTTAAGGCTCCATAAATGTTAAGGACAACAGGAAAGATGCTTCACAGCAGTCCCTTATGATTTCTGACCAAACATTAGTACAATACACTAGCAAATAAAAATACCACTGACATGATATCCTTAGAAAACAAGGAGGGAGAAATTCACATTAAAGTAAAATGCATATCCTAACATGTTTAATATTCAGGGCAAAAAAAAGGATATACTTTTAATCACCGTCATTGGGGCAAAACATCTTGCTCTAATTATTGGCCAAGGCAAGAATTCTAACTAAAGTCATTTCTACTCCATTTCTTGAAATCTTTTTTTCTCTTTAATATTTAGTGGTTGGATTTGTTCTCATTCCAATTTTCCAAATTAAACCTTTAAGAAAAGTGGTAACAAATCAGTTTTTAATTTATCACATGACTCAGATGGGAATCATTTAGAGATTTAAACTCTTAAATATTCACTTTTTAAAAGTATCTTCCTGCTGTTCAATGTCAGATTGGCTACTGGATACAAAACCATATGCCATTACCACTGCAAAAATAATAATAAACATGTTTGGAGTGTTCTTTATTATAGGCCTTATGCCCTGATTTTAAATGAATTGTGCCATCTAATCCTTACATTAACCACATAAAATTGGCATTATTTCCATTTAACAAATACACAAACTAACACAGAGTGTTTATAATTTTACAAAAATTATAAACCTAGTAATAGGTAGAGCAAGAATTTGAACGTAAGAAATCTAAAACCAGAGACTTCACTCTGAGACCTTTATTTTGTTTTCTTTCTTTTATTTAATTTATGTGATGAAACCTGGTCAAATTTTGGGCTGAGTTTTTACTTTCCGAGATGACATGCATAGACTGGCCATACAGTAGGATAACGTATGTCATACCTTCCTTCAGATAAACTCTAGTACATCAAGATTGTTAATTAAACAGGTTTAAAAGCAAGCAATTCAACAGAAACAACCTGGAGAGCTTTAGCTCTGAAAGTAATGAAAACCACTGTGGTAAAATCAAAAGCTATATTATGGCTTTTTTTTAAGCTTGCTTAATTTGGAATGGAGAACAAAATGTATTTCACTGAAGAACTATAGCTATGTGAAGAAAGGTCATCCTGCGGACACTCCACTCACAGGTCATGTTTCGCTACGTATTTCTTGATTTCCTAAGGCGAGTCCAATTCCATATAGTGTGTCTTTTTGTTTGCATTTTGGTCAGATTGTTTATACGTAAGTTTTATTTAGAAAATATTATCAGTGTATATTTAAGAGTACCAATATTCCTTACTTTAAGAAGTTGAATATAATTATATTTAAATGTATAGAAATTAAATAATGTACACACTAATGTACAGGGATATTAAAGATAAATATGTCTATGCTTTAAGTTGTAGGCAGTAAATTTTAGATTTCTACTGATTTCAATTATAAAATTAAAGATTTTTTTTTAGAAGCAAACAGAAACACAATTTAACCCTAAGACATAATATAATGATACTTTAAAAAGCAGCAAATCCTTTAAAGGCATACATTGAAAATAAATTCATTTTTATAATAAAATGCTAATGATATAATAAATATGTCATATTATAAATGTAAATTAGTTCTTACTCTTTTTATGTTTGGGAATATGTACTGAACATCCACGGGGAAGAAAAGGCTGATAGCCTTAGAGGAGAGAAGAGGAGAGTGTAACTACTCAAAATCTTTGTTCCCTGATATTCCACAAGTAGAGGACATGTCATTGTCTTTCTTACCCAGATCCTTTGCCTAGCACTTCATGAAAGTTACTGCCTTAAATTAAGCAAAACTTGTGTAGAGAGGAAATCTCATTCTCCCTCTCTCTCTCTCTCTCTCTTATTCACACATACACACGCATATTCACACACATTCACGTATCCATATGCCTTAAAGAAAAAGAATACCTGTTTCTTCTCATATAAAAATAAGTCTGTATTTATGATATATAACCTGAAAATACAGAAAAAAATGAAGGCATGAAATATAACACATAATTCTGAACCCACATATAATTAATTGGTCAATGTTTATTCTCCCTCTCTTTATGTGTGTTTGTATTTGTTTGGAAATGTTTCCATGATTACATGATGATAGTTTTCATATGCATGTTTTTAAATTCTATTCTGGTGTGCTTAAT
This sequence comes from Homo sapiens, assembly GCF_000001405.40. NCBI lineage: Eukaryota > Metazoa > Chordata > Mammalia > Primates > Hominidae > Homo > Homo sapiens. Next base: position 40,622,700 of record NC_000018.10, on the reverse strand, counting down.
AGAATTTTAAATGTCAAAGAATTTCTCCTCTTATGTAGGAGACATGGGATCTGTGGCAGACAAAGAGTTGTGGGGGACATATGGAGAGAAGAGCAGCAGAACATTCCAGTGTTTTGCAAAAGAGATGCTTTCAGAGACAAAGCAGGTAAAGGGAGCCAGGAACTCTGAACGTAGCTGGCCAGGAGATTATTTGCTGAAAGAAATAAAACTTTTCTATGTATTAAAGAGCCATGATTACAGTTAAAGAATGTTCAGATAGAAATAAAACTTTTCTGTGTATTAAAGAGCCATGATTACAGTTAAAGAATGTTCAGATCGTCAGAAAGGTAATACGATAGACCATGTGTGAGAGAAACAACTGTGTATATTTAGATATCAATAGAATTACAATGCAATAACAAAATTAATCAAATGTCACTTAGGAGTGTCCTTTATTGTGCAACTAGATTTACACATGTAAATAACTGTCTCCTTGATAGTTTCACTACATTAAGTCAAATGCAATGTTTTACATATTTTTCATATGAATGTATTAATATATTATATTATGCTACCTTTAGTTTCCAAGCAAAAACCAAAAAGTTACTTACAGCAATACTGTGCTACCTCCAAGAGCTTTGAAATAAGGGAAGCAAAAATGTCCTCTAGGTGCTAAATTAATAAATACATAATGCCCAATTTAAAAAACGCACAAATTTCTTATGGCATTAGAATGCGTCCCTGGCTATGTATGACAGAATCATAGCCTGACGGAAGAAGTATGTATGTAGAAGAAATAAAAGGTAATCAGTGATCAACAATGCAATCTCAGATAAAGAGAAGGTCGACTAGAAATGCTCATCTAAATCCACCCCAGAGTAGAGGGTGCCCTTGTGCTCAGGTGTGATTAACTCTTCCTCATGTAAGGAATATTAACATTTTCTGTTTCCATGTTTGCTAATTAAATTTCTGATTATAATTTGACTTCCGATTCAGCAGTACTACAGAGACTGGTGGTCAGGGCACATATTCATCCAGGCTCTTTGGCAGTTATTTTACTAAGTGTCAGTTATATTGACAGAAGATTAGAGAGTTTGAATATGCACAATTGTATCTCTTCAGTCCCAGAATACTATACAAAGTTTCTTTCCTTTCAAGGCTAAGGGCCATATCTTAGACAACATGATTAGTTATATATGCCTTGTCTAAAAATACTTAGTATGTATTCATGACTTCTCTTGGCCACTCAAGAATTGCTATCTCTGTGAAAATATCATAAACTCCCTGTACCCCATCATTTGCAAGCCCACACAGATATGTTTCGGTGCTGCTGGCTTTAGTGATTGGGGTGATAGAAGAATAAGAAGTGGAAAAACAAAAATTAAAAATTGATTCAGTTGAGACTGGTATCTCAAAAGGTGAGTGATGTATAAGAAATTAAACAAAACCTAGGAAGATAAACAATACAAGGTTCAATGTACATAACGAGATTGTACAGGATTAATGTCCATTCATACTGCACCAGCAGAGATAAAAGACAATGAAAAGAAATGCTGCTTCTGCTTAAGAGGGAGGGAAAGAAATGTCTAACATACCCAGATGTCTGCAATTTAGGGCAAAAACTAATGATGGTTTGGGGCAGAAAGGACACTTGCAATGACAGTGTCCTAAGGCAGAAGTTTCCATGATATCCCTGATTTTGAAAGACCTTTATGAACCTTCTAATTAGATGATGCTTCATTATGTTCAACATGCCTTTTTATATAATTTAATTGAGTAGAGTATGTGGACCCTAATTCATTAATAGCATTCCTCTGGCAATTTCATATCCTATTATCATTCAAGCAAAATGCAATTTTTTAACCAGCAAAATCCTTAGGATGATTTACCAATATCCATTTCTCCATAAAACCTATTTCCACATAATGATACCTATCGTGCTCTATATTATCAGGCTTTGCTAATCTCCCTGACCGATTTACCACTTAACAAGGACTTGTTTAACATCTTTATGTGCATAGGCAGGGTCACCCAGATGCACAACTCCTGGGACACCATACTTAAGAGTGGCACTTTGGAGTCGTGTAGTATGCAAACTGCTGGCCACATGCAACAACTTCTACTCAGGCTCTGCTGAAAGCTCTGGGTGGCCACTGACCTGGGAGGCCTGATTGTTGCCAAAGATGTTGTAGCTAGTAAACCACCATGATAAGTTATGTTGAAAAGGCCAGCAATGAGAGTCAGTTTGGAGAATGAAGGAGGCAATACCACCCCTCGCTATTTTATGTGATGGCCAGCCTCCTAAATGCCTTATAATGGTTCAAGAACTGAACTTTGCAAGTGTCATAGGAATGCTCCGAGACAGAATTTCTAGTTGTAGGTGAGACAGTTGTTTGTGAAAAATAGTTTTATTTCTATCCATAATTGGAGTTCGGAAATACTGAGACCTGATGATGATGAGTTGAAGAATTCTGAAGAAAGTTGGATTGGAGTAAAAAACAATAAAGAGTCTGTGTAAATGTATGAACAAGGAAGAGGCTGACTGAGAACTAGTGGCAGGCGTGCGTTCAGGGAGTATTGCAGGGCAGTCCTATAAGTCCTCACAGATGGCAGGGACAGGTGACAATCTATTTGAAAAGAGAGGCTGGGCATTGCTATTCAGCTGCTGGGTTTAAACGGCAAGGACATGACTTGCTAGACATGACTTGCTGGACATGACTTGCTGGACAGCAAGGACATTTTATGTAGGATGCTTTGACAGCAAAAAGATTGTGATTATAGCTAGGAAATAAGGAAAGGATAAACTCTCCTCTCTTCATTTAACCTAAGATGTGGTACCACCAGAAAAAGAACTATGCAGTGTTAGGGTGGAGGTGAGCCTGCCTAAAACCCACACACTGGGGCCTGGAGTACCACTGAGTCACAGTACCAATTCTAGGCCTGTTTATTCTAAGATGTGTTGCTCTGCCTCCTGTTCCAATTATCAAGAGGGATGGCTCTGACAGGCTTGGATTTCTGGGCTCTTATAGCAGCTGGATTCCAACTGGGTTTGGCCAATGCAAAGCAAACATGGAAGGTTGGAGGGCAGGAGGAAGAGCTCTGTCAAGGTTTTTCCCCCTCTTTTTCCCTGCATTAAATGGCATCTGTGGAGTTGGCCACATCTCTTGGACCCATCTTCCACAGGACAGGCTGCTGGGTTTTGATAATGCTGTTTTTTCTCTTTCTTGATCCATTGTATGGGTGACAGCTTCTTCCTAATGTAACTGATCTCTTGGTTGCTTTACCATTTCCATCAGCCTCTCATACTCATCACCAATTATGTAATGAATCCCCTAAATTAAATTCTCTCTGTTGTAAGTGCCTTGAGAGGTTTCTCTTTCTCTGATTTCGACATTAACTGGATGTTATCTGAGACAGAACTTTTTGATGGAAGCAAGTAGGTTCTAAACATTCTGAGACTTAGGGTGTTACTATATATTTAACAACTAAGATGACAAATAAAACCTGTGACATACTGGTTACAGCACTACTTACTTAGGCAAGGGAGATTTCAAATTCTCTTAATAAATATCCTAATCCATTTAGTGTGCTGAGAACTTGGGTGTACTGCCAGGTCAGTACCCTCAGTGCTGTTTATTTTGTTGCTATTTGGTTTTTGGTTCCTGCTGCTTCTGAAGATAATCTTGAAAGGATTTGGAAACTAAGAAAATTCCATTTCTGTATATTTCATTTTTGCTTATCACAGTAACTACAACAAAATTTTTCTCAATTTACTGCTCCTCTTTTTTCTAAAAACTTGAGAATTGGATATAATCTGCAGCTATATAAAAAGAAATAATATTTCTAGAGACTGTATTAGATACTGTACTTACAAAACTACAAGATATTCTATTATTACAGAGGCATCTCTGATATCAAATATACTTGGATAGCTTGAACTAAAACTTAGATAAATCTGATTCAACCCATTATTAGGGGAAAAAACCTGAGGTTTACTGGACTAATTAAGAGAATCCTCATCTGAACTTAACTGAAAACTTTGAATTTGTTTGCCTGTTTTCTCTTTTCCTTGAATGTTTTTTAAACATCAAACAAATTCTTCAAAAGCTACAACATTAGTAATTGACTTTTCACCAGGGAAATACGTCGCAAACAGTTCAATTTTATGATGCATCTACAACTTTAGAAAAATCAAGTATGCAGCTTCAAAGAGATAACAGTTAAAAATAAAATTTCTTAGGGAGGCTACCTTATTGATGGGCAAAGCTCTAAAGTTTTTGAGGTTCAGTTCAGTGAAGTATCCACATGTTAGAATAACCTCTAACTTATCTAAATATGTTACAACTGTAAAATTGAATCTGAAAATAACCTCAGGATATTCTTTATTTTGAAACTTGTCTACTACTAGATTTTCTTCTTGCAAATCTAAAGAGAAAAAACAAACAAACAAACTAAAAAGCCCACATCACTCTTTACTCTCCTCCTATGCTCTCTGGGTTCTGATGAGGTCCTGCTGCCCAACTGAAACTAAGTATTACTAAGCTTCATGTTCAAGTATATGATTCATGGTATTACACTATACCTAGACCTAGACAGATAGGCATTCAGGGAGGCAGGAAGGAGCGAGACTGAGTTCAGATATCAAATAAGACCCAAATATATGATTGTTAATTAAATATTACATTCTAAGAGATGGAAGAAAGAGAAAATTGGAAGGGTAGAATGATATGGATTTAGGGGGAAAGATTTGCAAATGAATAGATTTTGCTGTGATGTGCTTTATATTATATTTTACAGCAAATTGTACACAAATACTTCTGGAAGAGAAAATGCAGTATGCATAGGCTTTTAGATTTCTGCTCATGTTTAAAAAAATAAAACTTTTTTTAAAAAAATAAGGAAGATAAGAAAATACAAGCAGTATGTTCAATAAACCATAAAAGTGGAAGAGATGATCGATTTTGCTATCAGTTCTGATCATGTTAGTAAAAAATCAGTTTTGAATCTTGAGTGACTATTAGATTTGTGACAAGACATTGGGAAGAAAACGCACTGTGTCCTAGAGAAAATCAGTTTTTATAAATTTTCGTATAAGCAAGATTGCATCTGGGGATTTAAAAAAGAACAGGTGCTCACATCAAAGCTCTTAAATTCATGTTTCAAAATTCTGAAAACGTATGCAATTCTATTTTAAAATAAGTAAATATCTATCTCTAAAAATTATTGAGGAGTATTCCACACTGGGAAATAGTATGGAAAGTTTAGATTGTATTATTTTAAAATAAAGATAGGTTGGAAAAATAGCAAAAAAAAAAAAAAAAAAAAAAAAAAAAAAAAAAAAAAAGAAGAGGCAATGCTCTTATATTTTAAACTTAAACTTAGGGTGTCTAAATGTTGGCTGAACTATTGAGAAATGAATATACAGAGTCCCAGCCTTGACCAAGGACTTTTCTCAAAATGAAATGGTATGATGTCTATTTAATTTTTAGGGAACAGAAGAAACGTAAAAATCTGATATTTTTAATTTAAATAATATTTAGAAACTTTTATATTAAAACATAAAGCATTTGGCTATGCACAATTATGTCTCTGAAGGAAAAAAATGTAACAATTACCTTATGAAAAAAACATTTTGGCTACAGGCCTTGAAGATTACCTAGAAGTGTGCTACTTATCATTGAGCTTTTCAAGGAAAAAGTTGGTAGACTTAGTTGAAAATATTGTGATAAATGTTGCTAATCATTTAAAACTGGACTATGTAAGATTTGTTCTCAAGACAATTAAGTACCTGGAAGGGAATGGCTTGTCCTTTAAAAGGAGGGACAAACATAGCTTTTAACAGTTCTTCTCTCTGCTTCCTGCAAAATCTCTGCTCCTTTGCTGTTTTTGCTAGAGAGAAGTTGATTGTGGTTTAACCATGGTTCAGGTATATAGCAGCTTCTTTCTTCTTTTCTCAGGAAAATTATCCAGTCCATATTACTGGGCCTAGTACAAGGCACTGAAAACAGAACATTTCTATTTGCTGAATTGCGTTACCAGAACCATTGCTAGCCTGGAAGGGGGCTTCTTGCAAGGGTCTGAAAGTCACCCCTCCAAGATGGAGACAGCTATGCACACAGGTACACAGCTGGCAAAGAGAAGCAGAGGCTCAATTTCAACTCTTACTTTTAGCTCAGCTCATTTGTGTAAAACGCAAAAGCAAGTGTGGGATCCAGAGTGACATGGTAAGCCCCAAAGGAGGAACACAGTATATATATCAGTCAGGGTTGGAAACAGGAGCCATTGAGGAAAAATTAATGGACTATTCACAAAGGCATAAGTAGAGAAAGCAATGAGGGTTGGCAAAGCACTCAGAGGCGTAGCCTAGTAAAGACAAGGGAAGGGAAGCATGAGCAGGACTCAGAGAACTGTAGCAACAGCTTTTGCAGTAGTTGCAGCTGTACCCAGCAGGTAGGCATAACCCTACAATAGCTATTACCTCATAGAAGAACACAGCCATTGACAACTCATGTTCTTCATGTACAGAATAAGCTAAGTAATACCCAGAATTTTGCTCTTCTCTCATTCACCAAACCCAAATAGAAGTGAGAAACCAAAGAAGCCTGGTTGATACAGTAAAAAAGGGTCAACCCCTCTGGGCAGAGATCAGAGTAGAAAAGGCTAGAAAATACGTCTCGACAGGCAAATGGAAAACATTCAGCATAGAAAGGCTAAAAATTGCTTAATGGTCTTATCTGGCCTCAACACAAATCAATCTCTGCCTATCTAAAGTAATTTTATTCTCTGATGTTTCCTATTATTGAGAATTTTTTGCCCTGTTATTTCTTGAATTATCATTCAGGAAATGAAGAAACTCATATCTTTATTTCTTTCTATTTTTACTGATGCAAAATATCCAGACCATCCTGTACTGGTGTTAGACATGGTCTTTTCCACTTTGGCTTTTGTTCCCCCCAGGCCACAAATGGGAAACTCAGTGGGAGAGTATGAGGGACAATCATATTCATGTCCCTTGATGATGTGTGAGACGAGCATCATTAATTTCCAACCTTTCCCAGACGTGTGACATTGCCTCTCCTCTATGTACAAGAATCAATGTGCACCTTGAATCGAAAATTCCAACAGTGCATTGAAAGTTCCAGCAGAAAGTTCCATTTGATCTGGCTGAGCCAGAATTCAGATTTTGCTATCTTAGTTTACAATCACTCCTTGCAACTGGTATCTGTCTTTACCTACTGAGATGCATAGGCATACTCATTTTTATAAATAAGAAAGACAAATAAATAATAAGATATATCTTTGCATTTCAAAACATAGCACTTGAAAGAGTTGATCCCTTATTATAAATGGTGCCATTGCAAGGGTAATGTTAACAAAGGCAATTGCTCTTGACTACAAATGTGAGGATGAGGTGGGAGGAGTGAGGAGATAACCTTCTTTCAATGTGCTAGGGAGACAGTTTGGGGGAACAAAACACAAAAGTAGTTCTGACCAATGGCAGGGAGAAAAATAAACAACAATAACAAAATGAGTGTGATCTTATTTCAACTTCTTTTAGCCGTTTTTACTAACATAAGAAAGGAATGATAAATTTTACTATATAAAAAAATTACTGTTAAGGACCACAGATTTTATTCTTATTATTTAATTTCTTCACAAGTTTTAAAAGAACTTTTTATTATTACTTTTTACAAAATATAAACCTAGAATATAATAAATTTAACTTGCCAAATTTAAAGAATAAATACTAAGCAAAAGGATTCAAACCCAAGGTTCTCTGACTTCCCTCTTTTCCCTCTTGCTCTCTCTTCACCTTCTATTCCTGTACCTTGAAAATTGTCCTTTCAAAATCACCATTTATTTCTATATTCCTAGACAATATTTATGCCAGGGGCTCCACAGGAAAAGAGAAAGACCTCTCAGTACTCAGGGTCTTGGGTTTATTATTGCTAGAAAAATTAATTATTGTTCTGATTCCACTAGAAATTCTCTATTGTGATGTGATGTTCTTTCACCTCTCCATCCATCCATCATCCCATCAGACATCTATTGAGCATCTATTATGTGTCTGACATTCTTTTTGGAACCCAGTGATACCCTCTGGAATTCACTAGGCCTTTTGCAAATATTAAATTTGCTCCCTGCCTTGTATACTAAAAACCAGTGAAAAGACACATCCTGGTATGAGGCTATGTTTCATTATATAGAAGAGTAAGAAAATGCCAGTAACATTTTGAGAGCAGTAAACTGTATAGCTGATCTTCCTTCTTGGGACAGTGAAGTTGTACTAGTCAAGATAATTCACATTATTTACCAAAATACACAAAAATTAGAACTCTAGTAACACAGTAAGATTTACTTTTCCCTTACATCACAGCCTGATGTTGGTAAGGCAGTTCTCCTCCTTATAGCAATGCCATTCAGAGCATGTGTCTTCTAAGATTTCTATAGCAGGAGAAGAAATAAATGAAGCTCAAACACTCGTTCTTGACTGCCTTGGTCAGAAGCATCCCTCATGCCCATTGGCCAGAAGTAGTCACATGGCCTCTACCCGATGGTGAGACAGCCTGGGAAATTCAGGGAAACAAACAAAATATTGGGCAAGTGGTGTCTTTTCCACAGATAGATCACTAAGCATTTGTTCACAATTAAATTTGTTTGGGAAATAGTGATTGAAAGAGAGCTGGGAAATCTATCTTTTCAGGAATAAGAAAGCAATTATAAATTAGGTTTTAATTCTCCCATGGGAACAGCCCTTTCATTGGACACAAGAATAGGAGTTAAGCAACAGACCTAGGTGCAGCAGAAAATTGTTTCTATAACAACTTGACAGAGTGCCTGTTTGGAGTTTCTAATTTCCATTATACTTTAGCTCAACTGCCCCATGGGTCATTCTGTTACTGGAAAGAGGTCCTGATCCAGACCCCAAGAGAGGGTTCTTGGATCTCACACAAGAAATAATTCAGGAAGAGTCTACAGTGAAAAGCAAAAACAAGTTTATTAAGAAAGTAAAGTAGTAAAAGAACAGCTATTCTGTAGACAGAATAGGGCGTTCCCAAAAGTAAGACTAGGAATTCGTCCACCCTAGGTACAATACTTGTTTATAAATGGGATTAAAAAAAAATCATGGGGAGATGTGCTCTGCTACAAGGGTTTGTGATATTGGCTTAATTTTCTTATTCACTATGTTTTGCAAGGATCTATATTATCTTTAAAGCAAAATTAAGAATGCTTCTGTTCTCAAGATATTGGGATATCAGGACACTCCTCTTAAGTCTGGGTCTGTTTAGTAAGTGTTATCAATCTGTTCCCTTAACCATAAACACCTAGAGGCTAGGAATGCTGACTTTCTGGGAATGCAGCCCAGTAAGTCCCAGCTTCAATTTTCCTAGCCCTCACTCAAGATGGAATTGCCTTGGTTCAAATGCCTCAGACAATTCTTCAAACATAAGATTTCAAGTATAATTTAGTATAAGTAGCGGCCGGGCGCGGTGGCTCACGCCTGTAATCCCAGCACTTTGGGAGGCTGAGGCAGGCCGATCACGAGGTCAGGAAATCGAGACCATCCTGGCTAACAAGGTGAAACCCTGTCTTTACTAAAAATACAAAAAATTAGCTGGGCGTGGTGGCAGGCGCCTGTAGTCCTAGCTACTCGTGAGGCTGAGGCAGGAGAATGGCGTGAACCTGGGAGGCGGAGCTTGCAGTGAGCCGAGATTGCGCCACTGCACTCCAGCCTGGGCGACAGAGCAAGACTCCGTCTCAAAAAAAAAAAAAAAAAAAAAAAAAAAAAAAAAAAAAAAAAAAAGTGTAAGAAGCTATTTTAAGGAATATATTATGGATTTTTGCTTTAACAGAGATGCAGGTATCTTATTTAAGGAGCAGATCGTAAAAGCCATTCATGATCCTCAAAGAAATAGAGCATGTGAGGGTAAATTTGGTTTACTAGTTCTGTAGAAATTAAGACAAAAGTGCCACTATATATTTCAACACAACATGATTTTCTCTTTAAATTGGTAGGCATATGGCTTTCCATTACAATTCAACAACCATGTCAAATCTTGAGGTCTAATTGTAGCTCACACTCTCCCCTTTAACATGGTTGACTTGGGCAAGCAACCAAGAACAGAAGCATCAGGCAGGTGTTCCTAAATCGTCTGCTGGTGTCCATTTGGTTATTCTTGCAGGCCCTTTGGCAAGGCTACATGCTGATAAACCCAAACCTGTTCATTGTTTGGGATTCATGGTCCAAGAAAGGAATGCCTTAAAGTGGATGGTTTCATGTGCAGCTGATACCCAAGGATTTCTGTTTACCTATGTGACTATGTGGGCACCATTTCCTTATGAAACATATGCTGAAGCAGCAGGGTCTGAACGAAAAACAAACAAAAATGTACCATTTGGCTTGTGCATATTGATAAACAAGAGCAAACTCTGTTCCCAGATGATATTTAGGTTACAAATGGATCAATTAAAATTCTGAGGGGTGTCTTTGGGAGTCAAAATGGCCCACAGTTATACTCATGGGAGGTAAATTAGCAGGAAAGAATATGGGATTTGAAGGCAGACTTGAGAGCTATCTTGTTTGAGTGGAATCAAATCCCCTGTGTTTAATCAGCATTAGTTTCCAGACTTGGGTCAAAATAACTTTTTTGTTATTTTGTTAAAACTTGCTTTATCATTTTGAAAAGAATTTCCATTAAAATATTTATAGATTCTATAGGTAGAAGAATGTGCAGCCTAATCCCAATCTATTAGCTTAAATTGTTTCATGAGTGAAAGTTGTATTTATTAGCATGTGTAGGGTTCAGGGCACACAAAACTGTCTGTGTTGTTAGTCAAGAGCTGGAAGAATTGCCCCCCTTTTTTATAATACACTGGACTCTAATGCAGTGACTCTCAATTTTGTTTGCACTTTACAATAATCTGTGATGCTTTCTAAAGTTTGGTTTGCCTGAGTACCCTCACTCCTCCTGCGTTTAATTGGTCTGGGGTGTAGACTAAGCATTGAGAGTTTAACTGCTACCCAGATGATTCTAATATACAATCATATTGAGGACCATAGTTCAACATTTGTTGTGGGCAATTCCTTTTTCTGGATTAACAAAACGTCTTTAAAAAAACAACAAAAGGGTAGAAGTAGTTGACAGATTCATTGCCTGGCATGTTTATAAAATAACATTGTCTTATGAATGTGCACGAGGAACTCAATAGGGGCCCAAAGCAGAGGAACAAGAAAAAGTGAAAAGTACATTTTAAAAAAAGACTCTGGTACCAACTTTAGTCAATTTCATATTGGGATTTGTTCATTTCAGTTTATGGGAACAAGGAGGGTTGCCATAAACTTTCTAAGAAATATCATGTTGTACATGTGTATGGTTTGGAAAGAAGACAAGCAAAAGATAAACCTGGTGACATTTATTTGTTTAAGTCTCAATGTCCTTATCTTAGAAATAGGTTAATAATACAAATTTCATGAAATTCCCTTCTAGGTTTAAATTTCTATGATTCAAAGATAAACCAGAGCTACTTCTTGATTTGGATTATTTCCACAATTCTCCAAAAGCAAAATACAGTTTTGCAAAAATTATTCATTTAACCCTTTATTTTAAAATCACCTGTTGGGCACAGGGAATTGTGAAGTTCAAAGATGGTGTATACCAGAGTGTAGTTTGTTTGTGAGGTACCACCTGGACCTTCACAGTGGCTATAAGCATTCATTATCATCAAAGATACTTCAGAATGGCCTTAGCTAGGCTATATTTGTGCTAGAACCAGTGTATATAGCCCCAGAGAGGCATAATGCTGTCACTGAAAACAATACAAAACAACAACAAAAAACTACTTTAAAAAACAATTTATTCCCCATACAATAGTTGGGATTTTAATTATAAAGTCAGAATTATACGAAGAAAAGTCAGAGAAAATAAAGAATAAAATGTGTTTGCCATGAAAGTTGCAACAAGATGAAAATTATATAATGTTGACTTTTGGTTCGTTAATTTCTGTTCAGAAACCCTCTTGGTGACGTATGTTTATTAATGTACCATTTATCTGTTCAAACACTCGATTTTGTTCAAAGCACTTTCACAAGAGGCCCTCATTAAAACCTTGTTTAAAAAGAACAACAAGTAATTCACCATTGGATAGGTGAGAAATCAAGATGGTCAACTAATGGGATAATGAAGTTCGATTGGAATCAGAATCTAAAAGTGAATAAGTGAATCAGTTGCCTTTTTGTCCAGATTCTTGTTCTTTTTAAAAAAGTGCCCTAAGGCCAGTAGAAAGAAGATTTTACCTAATGTCAATCAGCTAGTTAGTTACAGCAAGAGGGTGGGAGGTTCGAATTCAATCCCTTACTCTCTTCAATATTTTATGTTGGTTTCTTTTGGATAAAATTGCATACATAATTAGGATTAGTGCTAATTCTAAAATTCAGTCCCATTTTAGGACAATCACTACCTCCCAAGTAACATGAAATCTCTCCTAGAAGTTCTTTTGAACTCTCTCCCTGGAATGTCCACATAATGTGATATGATAGCAATGTTGCAAACAGAACTTCAGAGATGTAAAAACTAATTTACCATACCGTATTCTGGGCAACTTAGACTAGGGTATCCAGGATATACTTGAGAGACAGCTAAACGGTACCTATGACTGATTTAATGATCTGAACAGATCTGAAACAATGTTGTGAAAATATTCATAAGAAGAAAGTTGTTAAAAGAGGAATTCTATACTATCTAAGTGGTAGTATATTTGTACCCCAGCTATATCAGATATACCTAGGAAGGTTAGCACTTCAAATTTGACTTGTAGAGTTCTATGCAGACATGTTACTAATCACAGGTTCTTAGGCTCCTTTGCAATAGAAATTGACATGAGACCAAGCAAGTTTCCCAGAAAAGGCTTTAGTAAGACTTATGATTGAAAAGGTTAGGCACAAGAGAGACAGTAAAGCAGTAAGTGTTGTCTGGCTGCCTCCCCAAGAAGAGTGCATTGCAGTGTTTTGAAGAGGGTGACAGGAATAATGCCTGAGGTAAGTGAGCATCATTACATGTGTGGTGGGAGTGCTGGATGTGCAGGCACAATAAGAAATCATGTTAACACACCTATTGCATGATCAGAAAATAGTGGATAAGCTTCTTCTTGGGTGGAGCCTTAAGTATTGTAATAAGGCAATGGTTACAGTTGGCCCTTTCCTGGTCTTGTGCGCATAAGAGTGGTAGAGTCAACTGCTTTGCGTAAGATTTATACCAGAATGTTGCTATCTTAACTTTTTCAAATAGCTTGCAAGGTCTTAGCAGGTTTGGCACCAGTGGGGAAAGTGGTGCAAGGTCTGTTTGTTAGCCGATATGCATAGAAAAGTATATTAATGTAGGTGGATACCAGTCTCTCTTGTTTCCACTCTGTCTCAGATGGACCAAACTTAAGTGTTCTCTCCGCCTCAACACCTGGTCTGACATACATTGATTTTCTGAACTTGCACAATTAAAATAATAAAGGAATTGAAAATAGATATCTTAAAGCTAATTCAGTTCATTTCCCAGAATTTGGTGATGAGGAAGTGTTATGTCCAAGGTCTCAGATTTAGCTGGTTGTTTACCAGAGGTTTTAATCCAATCAAGTTCCTGCCACAGCTTATTTTGTTAAAGCAATCAAACATAGACTGGTACAGCCTAATGTATGGAAAGTACTTGTTGTCTTCTTTAATGGTTTACATTTTCAATATGTGATGGTTCCTGTCCTGTTAGATTTTAGTCCATCAGACACAAATTGTCTTCTTTAACAACTTCCACAGACTAAGACAAACAGTGCAAACCTCAGGAGACATCTAAAATCAGTTGGTCAATCTATTTTAGTCAATTAAATAATTGTTTCATGAAGAGAATCCAAAGTTATTTTGGGCCAAATGACACTTGTTTTGATCTCTGACACCGCCTCATCTCCATCCCCAGTTATTTCAGTGTCAGAATTGCTTTGGAGCTAACCTGGAAATGGATCTCTGAAGCAAAATTCAAGGATGGCAACAGTTAGCCCTGGTGTTTTGAGAATTGGGAGGGTGTTGGCTTAGTGGGCAAGCTCTAATTTGGATTTTAATAACGGCATTCCCAAGCAATTAACTGAACACACAGGAGAAAATTGAGGAGGTGGAGAAGGAACAGCAATTTATGAACAGCAGCATAACAGGTAGCTAAATGGGACTCAATTTGGTTCAACCAGAGGTAAAATACGCAGGAGAATTAGGCTACAATGTTGCCTTTCATTGATTTAGTAAAAGATGGTTGCATAATCTCCTGAGGATGTTGCAAGCATTTTCCCTTTGTGGAAAGTGAGTGAAAATTGTGAGTGGTGCACACTTATTGTTCTGTGACATATCTGCTCTTTTTAATAGACTACACTGTGCCTGCTTTTTATTTGCTTTTGTCATTAATCAATTAAGATCAACAGAATGATTTGTACATATTTCTTTAAAATATTTGATGGAATTTTTTTTCAAGAGCATGACTGCAATTTCTTGTTTCCATGCACAATTAGTAAAGTTTGCCCCTAACTGTGTGAAGAGAAACCAAAGAATAACTGGCAAGTGATTGACTATTGGAGTAAACTTTCTTGAAAGAGAATTGTATAAAGCAAGAAGAAAGTGGTGGAGAGCAAGGAATCTGTTATCGTATTGTTCATTTCTTTATAGTAGCGTAGTTGGAAACACATGGAGTCCTGGGAGGTGTGGATGGGAGTGCAGAGTATATATCTGTCAAGAAAGAATGTAACACGCTACTCCCAAATCCTGAAAGGACTGAAAACGATATTGCATTACAAATCTCTCTCTCTAATTCTGGAATGGATTTTTCAATTGTCCTTTTAGAGAATCAGACTCTTAGTATGGTAATTAGCTTGTTTACTTAACTGAGAAGCAAACATCTCTGTGATCACTCAGGCTGACAGAAAGAGAGCAGGAGAGCTAATCCATATTCTAATGACTGCAGATGTCAGCACCATCATACACTCATCAGTTTCTAGGTAGAAATTTTCTTACTAATACCCAAACTTACGTCCATTTCAGATTGGTGGTGTTCTTTTGTTTTTTGGGAGTTTTTTGTTCGTTTGTTTTTGTTTTGATGTTGTCACTTTCCCACTGGAGTTGGCAATTAAAAACTGTCCAGAGTAGATTATAGTTATAGTTAGTCTAAATTAGTTCTTCCCTCCAGAGCTTTATAATAGTAAAGCTACTACATTGATAGCTGTATATACTGCCTCGTGAGCTCATGTTTTATCCATTTCCAAAATAACACTGCTTTTTCTTAAGCTAGAAACCTGACACAATATATAGAAAGAGATTTAGCAAGGTAACAAGGATTGGTGAGCTACAGTTCTACAGTTTTTTTTTTGTTTTGTTTTTCGTTTTTTTTGTTTTTTTGTCAGCAGTATCCAGAGAGGGTGGCCATTTTGGCATGTACTTGTAAGATCAACTGCAATAGCAATAATGGCAGAACTCAGTAGCCAAATTCCTCTTTTGGCTTAGTAACAAATTGCTTATGGCTGTCCAATCCTGACAGCCACCTTTGTGCTTAAGAAACCCATTGAAAATGTGGGCAGCTGAAGCCAAGCTCATTGCCTCATAAAAAAATCAGCCTACTCTAACCACATTACAAACCCATTTGCTGCCTGTTTTGTCTCCAATGATGATCTACTTATTTGGGTTTAATGCATTAAATGAACATGTTGAGTTCTGTAATTCTTATTTTTAAGATTACTCTAATGAAGTGAATAAAAAGTTAAGAAAATGAGTATTTGTCCTTTAGTAAAGAGATTAAAAAGGAGAAATATCACATTTACTCTAAAGAGATCCTATTATACTTTTCTACATTGAATGTCCCCATTAATATTTTTATTATTTGTTTTTGTTTTTAAACACTATTTTAATTTAGTTAACATATAAAAAGTTGACACAAACTTGGAAGCATAAAAATGAGTTCAAATTTGATGGATTTTACACAGCGGTTGATGTTCCTTTTAGTCAGTATAACTTTGAGCATTTGGGTCCCTGATTAAAAGGTTAGTAGTGAGTGACTGTTTCCACCAATGTCTTTTCCTTTTTATTCAGAAACATTTTACTAACCTATCCTCTCTGTTTCTGTGAGCGAATAAAAAAAAAAAAATCTTCTTGACCCTTTCAAGGAAGAAAAGGGCTACTCTCCTTTCCTTCCATAAACCCCAAAACAAATACTCTTGGAAGTGTGAATGGCTCTGTGTTCCCACATCTGAGTTTAAAGAATTCAATTCATTTTCATACATTAAATTATTAGGTGTTGTTTATGTGTGGAGATGCCAATTCATGGCCTGATTGAGCAGTGTGTTTACCATTTTCAGAAAAAGATTTGTGTTAAGGATCATGAATTTTACACCAAAGGCACCCCAAAGTGGATAGGTAGATCTGTCATGAGCCATTCTCATAAAATCATTTGAATATCCCTGATTACTTATGAGATGTTCTGATTTGGCTTAAGGGGAATTCACTTGGATGGAGGGTATTGGTCTTTCAGCATGACTGAATAACCATCTAATTGTATTAATCCCTCTTCCATTGAACTTAAATTTAAAGTTGTTAAAAACAGAAAGAGACTATAACACATTTGAATCGATTTTTTAAAATCCACATAACATATCTGGGAAATTCCTTAAAAAAGAGATGAATAAAACTATTATGGTTAAACTATAGTGAGATAATTATTTTCAGGCTTAATTCCTAACCAATGTCAAATGTTCTTTTTTTATTCTACAGGACACAGAATATATTAATTGTCCTGAAAGACTTCACAATTTAAATGTCACTAGAAATTTAGTCCAATTATTTTAAATAATTGTTTGAGACATGTGAAAAGGGTTTGTTTTCTATAACCAAATGCCTTAACCTACTATTATTATTTTTCTCCTTGCTGAATTTTCCTGTGGTCTAGTATTCACACATTGTGACTATTTTGCAATTTTTCTAAATGGTAGTATTGTATGGGCTAATTAAAATTTTTTAAGGTAAAGAAGATATTTGTATCCTTTTCCCTGGACAAATGTTTTGTTTGAAGGCAGACGTGATTATATTGTGGTAGTTCAATTTCTTCTCTTCCACCCGGAATTTCTAGTTATCAGAACTTTGTTTCCTCAAACTAACAAGTGAGTATCTCCAGAGACCAGCAGCTCCTCCGCTTCTAAGGAAAAGAGTCAAGAAAGAATTTAAAATAACGGGTAATAATAATACTAATAAATCCAGCAGTTTCTTTAAAACTGATCACGAGTTCAGGAGATCGAGACGATCCTGGCTAACACAGTGAAACGCCGTCTCTACTAAAAAAATACAAAAAATTAGCCGGGCGTGATGGCGGGCACCTGTAGTCCCAGCTACTCGGGAGGCTGAGGCAGGAGAATGGCGTGAACCCGGGAGGTGGAGCTTGTACTGAGCCAAGATGGCGCCACTGCACTCCAGCCTGGGTGACACAGCAAGACTCCGTCTCAAAAAAAAAAAACACAAAAAAAAATAAAAACCACTGATGTTTAGGAGTAGGTTCATCAGTCTATACAGAACAGAACAAAGGGGGAGGAGAAAATAATAATTTTATCTTATATTTGTATAGACTGTGACATAACTATTTTATAGCATTCTTATGTTACATCTTTTTAGAAACAGTGGGAAATATCATTCCCATGAGAATAAGAGGTAGTAACTAATCGAATTTTCTGCTTGTGTATAAGTTAGGCAAGGATTATCAAAGTTAAACTTAACAGATAAGGAGAGGGAGGCACAGAATAGTAACTTTGGTGTGCACGGCCTCAGGGATTATATGTAGCAAACCCAAGACTAGAATCCACATCTTTTGGACCTAAGTGATACTTTTCAAGAAACTAAAGCATTCTCAAATCAATAATCTGGTGTTATGGGCCATTAGCAAAGTTAAAACAATCATAGAATTCCCTTCGAGAATCTCTTTGATTGAGACCAAAATCAAAGGAGTAAACCATTGAGATATTCCAGGGACAACTCCTTGTGATATAGATTTTCAATTCCAAACTTTTGGTTGGTGGCATTTGGTTATACAATTTAGGTGCTTAAAGAGCACACGATGATGCTACTCTCTATAGAAAAGAGTTTTATTTTTTATTTTATTTATTTTTTGCAGAGACAGGGTCTCCCGATGTTGTCCAAGCTTCTCTTAACTCCTGGCCTCAAGCAATCCTCCTGCATTTAGCCTCTCAAAGTGTTGGCATTACAGTCGCGAGTGATGGTGCATAGCCTAAAGAGAAAAGTTTTGAAGATCCCATCCGGTTTAAATCTCCATCAAGTTTTTGAAGCTTTACAAAATCTGATTCTGAGGTGGGGTCCAGAAATCTTTATGTTAAACAGCCATTCAAGGTGAAACTGATGTAGGTGATCCAGGGACCCCATTTTGTTTAAAGCTAATCTAAATAGATTATGTATTTTGAATTAATTTAAGGTACAAGATGATAAAATATAGTATAATAAATTAGGTGGGTGTATTATTAGGCGTTACTTAAGATAAGTAGCAGTGCTTTATTTACTCACAAAACAGACTCTGTTAGAGCAGAGGGAGTATGTTTCCCCACATCATCAGACCGGCTAACCTGACCTAAAGGGATAGCTTCTAGATGAGGTTGTAGCTAAATTTTTATGGCCCATTTAGCTCTTGGTCTCTTTGCTTTGCCGGCCATCAGAGGGGCCAATTAGTGAAGATGGTTTCAGTACTTGTTTCAGACACAAATCCCTTTCCACTAGGGAATGATGTAAGCCCACCAACATACTTTGCATAAAATGAAAAATCAGTTCTAGAAGGGGCTGAAAAGTCTGATTGTGGGCTAGAGGAAAACAAAGCCATTAATCTTTTGTAGGTGAGTAAAAGGTTGTCCCATGTGGGTAGGGACTGGTACGAGGTAGAATCAGACCTTTGAAAGGTGGTCACACAGCAAAGGCAACTTTGTGTGTTTTAACTGTAATGATAATGCTGAATTCTTACATTTTCATTCCCGAAGCATCAAAATAATTCAGTATATATTTATTCAGTGCTGTTTGGAAAACAGCAAAAAATGAAGAAATCTAGCTACGTAAGAGGGAAACAAAATATAATTTATTCTGAATATTTATGGCAGTATTTTATAAAATACTTGTGTTTCAGGAAGTTTTTAATCTATCACCCAACTCCTGAACTTCCCACTGAAAATACATTTTCATTGAATTGCATTTAAATTATTTAGCTGTTTTTATGGGCATAAGGTAATCACATACACTATGTACCACACAGTTCACCAAATGTTCATGATGGAGGCTGTCTTTCTGCTAATTAAATCAACACCACTATTAAGAGAGGAGAAAAGAGTTTGTGATTTTTGTTTTTTGTTTTCCTTCCTTCCTCCCTCCCTCCCTTCTTCCCTTGCCGTTCCTTCCTTCCTTCCTTCCTCCTTCCTTTGTCATACCTTCATTTTCTATTTTTTTATTATGCTCAGTGTCTTTTTTTTAAAAGAGAAAATTAAAGTCAGCTGTTAATTAGCTACTTTTCAAAAGTATCCATTAATATTACATAAATTACCACCTAAGAATACAAATAGATTCTTAAGTCTTATTGGAACTAAACAGATACTTTAATTTCCAGGGCACATTATGAAACGAGGCCTATAGAAGAAATCAATACAGATGTAGGAAAGGACTAAGTTATGTGTGTGTGTGTTTGTGTGTGTGCATCTTCAGGTTTTCTATATATTTTTTCAATTGTTAAGCTGCTCTGTGATTAAACGGAACTACCCTGGATGATCAATTCATCCTCTAGTTTAAACTAGTTTAAGACCAACAACCAAAATTTACTCAGGAGTACCTCAATGTTATTAAAAGATAGTAATAAGTCAAGTTATGGAACAAACAAACAAAAAAGAAATTTAAATGCTTTTCAGAAATTTAGAAGTGCTTATAATTGAATACAAGAAATGGGCCATTCTCAATATCTATACACCAATCCTCTGATTCAGGCCTTCAGAAAATATTTGTATGTCCAAGGTTCAGTATATATGTTAATATATATAATGATAATCAAATTCTGTCAATGTAGTAGAAAAATTACATATTTAAAGGAAATATACAGAGTAATGAAATTATCATCCCCTAAATCATCATCTACTTAATACATTTCAATAAATATTTGCCTTGTTTACCCACTATACTATAGCCTTAGAAAGCATTATTAGTTTGTTAGGCTTTGCTAGCCTAGAAAGCTAGAGCATGCTATTTAACCTTATGAGTTTCAGTTTCCCCATCTGAAAAAAAAACAAAACATTTCTGAAGATTTGAAAATTAAATTTAAAAATGTTGAAGCACATAGGCTTTTTCATGAAACAAAGAGGTGGCTAATAAATGGTAGCCAATGTTTTTTCGAAAAACAGCTTTGTGTAAGTCTTACCTATAATGAAATTTGCTCATATTATGTGTACAATTCAATGATTTTTAATAAGCTTACCAAATTATGCAAACATCACGACCACTTAGTTTTAGAAAGTTGCCATCAGATTAAAAATATCTCTTACTCCATTCTTGAAGTCAGACCTCTTTTCCACTTCTAGGTTTAGACTACTGATAATTTATTTCTTGTCCATATGGATTTGCCTATTCTGGACATTTCATACAAATTGATGCATACAATATATGTTATTTTGTAGCCAGATTCTTTCATTTAGCACAATATGTTCATATTAGCATAACATGTTCATATATTGCATATGTTGTGAAAAATTATAGTTTTCTCTTGGAATTACTTTGACACTATCAGAAATCAATTTACCATAATACATGTTTATTTCTGAACTCTTGATTCTGTTTTGTTAATCTGTGCGCCTAGTTTATGCCTATAACACATTGTGTTGGTTACTGTAGTTTTATAATGTATTTTAAAATTGTAAATTATCAGTTATCCAATTTTTTTTTCAAAATTGTTTTGGCCATTCTAGATTCTTTTTATTTCCACATAAATTTAGGTCAGCTTGCCAATTTCTGTAAGAAAAATAAAAAAAGAAAAAGGAAGAAAGAAAAGAAAAGAGAAAGAAAGAAAGGAAAGAAAAAGAAAGAAAAAGAAAGAAAAGAAAGAAAGAAAGAAAGAAAGAAAGAAAGAAAGAAAGAAAGAAAGAAAGAAAGAAAAAGAAAGAAAAAGAAAGAAAAAGAAAGAAAAAGAAAGAAAAAGAAAGAAAGAAAAAGAAAGAAAGGCAGGCAGGCGCAGTGGCTTACGCCTGTAATCCCAGCATTTTGGGAGGCTGAGGTGGGGGATCAAGAGGTCAGGAAATCTAGACCATCCTGGCCAACATGGTGAAACGCCATCTCTACTAAAAAAAATAAAAACAAATTAGCCGGGCATGGTGGCGGGCACCTATAGTCACAGCTACTCGAGAGGCTGAGGCAGGAGAATGGCGTGAACCCAGGAGGCGGAGCTTGCAGTGAGCCGAGATCGCGCTACTGTACTCCAGCCTGGGCGACAGAGCAAGACTCCGTCTCAAAAAATAAAAATAAAATAAAATAAAATAAAATAAATAAAATAAAATAAAATAAAATAAAATAAAATAAAATAAATAAGAAGAGAAAAAGAAAGAAAGAAGGAGAAAGAAAGAAAAAAAAGAAGGGAAGGAGGGAGGAAGGGCAGAAGGGAGGGGAGGGGAGGAGAGGGGAGGGGCCTGCAAGTATTTGGATAGGGGTAACATGGAATTTATTGACCAGTTTGGGGAAAAATTGCCATCTATATTGAGTCTTTTAATCCATGAATGTAAAATGGCATTCCCTTTATTCAGGTCTTATATAATTTCTCTAGCAATATTTTGTAGTTTTCAGTGTAAAAGCTTCACCATTTTTTTCTTGAATTTAATACTAGTTGTTTAATTTTGTGGTCCTCTTTTCAATGAAATTATTTTTAATTTCAGTTTTGGATTGCTCATTGCTAGTATATGTAAAACAATTGATTTTTTTGTATTGATCTTATATTTTGCATCCTTACTGAACTCATTTTTTTTTCTTTCTTTGGTTTTATGTGGTTTCCTTAGGATTTTCTCAATATAA
Source organism: Homo sapiens (assembly GCF_000001405.40). Lineage (NCBI taxonomy): Eukaryota > Metazoa > Chordata > Mammalia > Primates > Hominidae > Homo > Homo sapiens. The sequence continues at coordinate 40,600,634 of NC_000018.10, read as the reverse complement.
AGTTATGTCATCTGTGAATACAGACAGTTTTACCTCTTGCATCCTGACTGGTTTGTATTATATTTCTTGACTGCAATGGCTCAAACATCTAATATCATGTTGAATAGAAGTGGTGAGACTGACATCCTTAACAAGTTTAGTGGGAAAATATCTAGTCTTTCACCATTAAGTATAATTTCAACTGTTTTGTAGAGGTCTTTTATCAGGTTGAGGGCATTTTCTTTTATTTCTGGTTTGTTGAGAGTTTTTATCATCAATAGATGTTAAATTTTATCGAATCTTTTTTTCCACATCTATTGAGATGATTATGTGGTTCTTGTCCTATATTCTATTTCAATGTCTTGAACCTGGAGTGGGTATGATAGTAATCCCAGGCTAAAACATAGAATACCTTCTATATTCTCACTAAGCCTTAAACTTTTTGCTTAAACAAATGCTTCCCAATTTAATGTATACCCCTTTTTAATGTCCAGTGTCCAAAAGTTGTTTTGACAATCTATTTCTAGTTTTATTATTGCTTTATGGGAGTGGATTTGCTGTGCTTATCATTCATCCATTTCAGAAGTCACTATACCACCACAACATAGGTATTATTCTTGACCCAATTATTTTATTTTACCTTCAAATTTACTTCCTCTGTAAAATGGGACTAATAATTATCCATTGGGTTGTTAGAAAGATTACATGTATAATATATTTGAAAGCTCTCATTGAAGCATCTTGTATACAGCATATTCAATACACAGTGATTGCATTTGGAGCTCAGACGGATATAACAGAACAAGATCATTAAGAGGTAACTGAAAAGGTCTTTGTGGGACTTCAGTATAACTTGGGGTGCTCTATGGGATGCCCTAGTCAAACTAAGAGAGTATAGATTCTAAAATCAATATTTGCTAATGTTTCTTACTTATTTGTTCTTATGAATAAATCATTTTATATCCCTTTATTTTCTACTTCCTTGTTAAATCAGGGTTACTTTGTGATAATCTGTTTTTCTTCTTGCCTTAGAATATTTTACATTCAGCTTTACCTTAGTTAATAGTGTAACAGTAACTTTGGTGTTTATCTGATTTATTGAGCCCCTTTGGAAAGGCCAGTATCAAAACCTTTGATACCAACTTACCCTAATAGCACAGAACCTTTAAAAAATTAATGCTACTGCTTATAAGCAGGTTCTGTGTATCACAAATACCTAATATTAACAAGGTGAAGATAAAGAGCCCAGAAATTCAGATAAAATCAAATTTTTTATCTTTAGGTTTGTTTTTGCTACTTCTCACTCAACAATTTGTTTGCTATAGAATATGTGTTCTTATAGATTGGAGTAGTGATGAACTTGTAGGTAATTAAGTGCCAAGGAAGGGACTAAAACTTTATATGGAACTTTTATAAGGTACACTAATTTCAGCTATGATTCATGTCTATCTAACAAGATTACACAATTTCAACTGGCCATTATGGGATCAAAACCATATTCTGAAATTCTCCAAAATAGATGGTTCTCTTCCCTCTTGCCCTCAATTGTTCATTAGTACAAATCAGTGTCCATCAATAATGGCTTCTTGTGTGCAAAAGTTACCCAGGTGGTAATAGTACATTTATGACATGTGTATATGAAATAATTATTAAATTATCATCACATATAATTATACATATATATTTTTCAATCCCAGCAGAAAAAGAACATAAGCAAAAGTGTAGGAAGGAAATATAATAAATAGTGACAACTGGACTTAGCTATTTTAATCTTGCATACATATTTTTATCCATTCTTTATTCTCTTTCCTTTATTCCTACTCTTTTCATATGTTTTGTCAACTTACTTTCTCTTATTTCTCATATCTACTTCCCTTATAATTTTTTTCTACACAAACACTGTCTTGCTTTGGTCTCTATTTTTTTTTTCACAAAATGCCTCACTCACACTTCATACTCTTTGTCTTTTCTGTACCATTACAGACATGTCCAAGTATATTGGCAGCAGTTTATACTCCCCAAATAATTCACTCTAAGAAGCAGCTAATTTTATCTTTCAAGTAAACAATTTCTATCCTAGTAGCCATAAATATCTCAACGATGATTCTCTCTACAACATTTTCATTAAAGTTGGGGCTTTGTTTGGTGTTTTGGTTTTAAACAAACACTCATCCCAGCAGTGCAACTCACCAATATAGAACAGAATTACAATGTACTTCCAGCCAAATTCTGTTTTTATTGTCAATTTCAGTAGTGTTTCTTATGGTAGCAATTATTCTCTGTAAGCCTGCAAGCAAGCAGCAGAAAACTGAAATCATCAAAGAGTTTTTATCTGCAGCAATTCCAGAAATGACAGGTAGCTGATAGTTTAAACTTTAGTTCTCTGCAGTGGAATAGTGCAAATAGGAGAATGACATCTGCCTGCTCCTGGAGGCTTTCTGAAAAATATACCGAAGTTAATAAAGTTTTTGGGTGATATTTGATAACTTTAGTTACTATTCCACTAGATGCTCTGTTGCATACATGGCCCTCTGCTGCTGCCCCAGACATCCCTGAGACAAACTTTACAAGTTGGAAAAGCATTGCATATATATATATCAGGAAACTTAACCTTTATCTCCTAAATGTTAAGTTTCCTGGTTTAACCTGAAAAATAGGATGACTGTTGAGATTTACATGAACAGAAACAAATACAAGAAAGGGCAACCAGCTTTGGACTTATTCTTCAGAGAGTTGTTCTTAGGAATTTTCAAGATCTTAGACAGTTAAATCTTAAAACAAAAGAGTGAGTTAAGGGATGATTGTAAAATGTCATCCAGTTTATTCTTCCTGTTGGTGATAATTCCTTTAAAGCATCTTAGACAACAAATGGACTGCCATTTTCTATAAATATTCTAAACAAACTTTTTAAATTTATTTCTTTAAATTATTAACTCAACAAATATTTGTTGCTCTCCTTCACTTTCATGCTTTGTGGAAAAGAGTGATAGAAAAATTCTTCAGACTAAACCAGTGAACAAGACAGAACTATTCCTTTAAGCTTACGTACCAGCATAGAAGAACACAAATTGTACAATTGCTTAAGTTGTAATAAGTGTACAAAGGAGCCAAGTAAAGGGTACTATAAACAAAGGGCCTTCCTATTGTTTCTAGAGGTTTCCTTGAGAAATTTGCTGAACCATAAAAGGTCAGTTGGAGTTAACTTTGTAAGTGAGCAGAGAGTGAAAGAGTCAGTCCATGAAGAGAAACAGAGTAAGCAAAGGTCCTGAAACAAGAGAGAACATAAAATGACTTTAAAACCAAAAAGAAAGCCAGTGTTGTTACAGGATGGAGAGTAATGGAAGAGGTTCATGGTGAGGTTGGTCAAATAGTCAGGGTGGTTAAATATTTTGATCTGTTTTTTAAGAACAATGGAAATATCCTTTAAAGTTTTAATCAGGGGAGCAGCATGGGGTTTGTTCTTATTTTAAGATAATGTAGTATGTAATGTAGAGAGTCAACATTCAAGGCCAAGAGTAGATATTAGGTGGTGCTGATCACAATCCTGAAAGACACAATCCAAGGCACCATAGTCATGAATTGTTGCAGGAAGTCAGGGATCCCAAACGGAGGGACCGGCTGAAACCATGGCAGAAGAACGTGGATTGTGAAGATTGCATGGACTTTTATTAGTTCCCCAAATTAATACTTTTATAATTTCTTATGCCTGTCTTTACTGCAATCTCTAAACATAAATTGTGAAGATTGCATGGACACTTATCACTTCCCCAATCAATACCCTTGTGATTTCCTATGCCTGTCTTTACTTTAATCTCTTAATCCTGTCATCTGAGGAGGATGTATGTCACCTCAGGACCCTGTGATAATTATGTTAACTGCACAAATTGTAGAGCATGTATGTTTGAACAATATGCAATCTGGGCACCTTGAAAAAAGAACAGGATAACAGCAATTGTTCAGGGAATAAGAGAGATAACCTTAAACTCTGACGGCTGGTGAGCCAGGAGGAACAGAGCCATATTTCTCTTCTTTCAAAAGCAAATGGGAGAAATATCACTGAATTCTTTTTCTCAGCAAGGAACATCTATGAGAAACAGAATGCACCCCTGAGGGTGGGTCTATAAATGGCCCCCTTGGGTGTGGCCATCTTCTATGGTTGAAACTGTAGGGATGAAATAAACCCCAGTCTCCCATAGCACTCCCAGGCTTATTAGGATGAGGAAATTCCAGCCTAATAAATTTTGGCCAGAACGGTTGCTCTCAAACCCTGTCTCCTGATAAGATGTTATCAATTACAATGGTGCCCGAAACTTCATTAGCAATTTTAATTTCACCCCGGTCCTGTGGTCCTGTGATCTCACCCTGCCTCCATTTGCCTTGTGATATTATATTACCTTCTGAAGTACGTGATCTTTGTGACCCACACCCTATTCATACACTCCTTCCCCTTTTGAAAGTCCCTAATAAAAACTTGCTGGTTTTGCAGCTTGTGGGGCATCATGGAACCTACTGATATGTGATGTCTCCCCCGGACGCGCAGCTTTAAAATTTCTCTCTTTTGTACTCTGTCCCTTTATTTCTCAAACTGGCCAATGCTTAAGGAAAATAGAAAAGAACCTACGTGACTATCGGGGCAGGTTCCCCGATAATGAATGTTGAAATCCTCAATGATCAATATCCCTAAAGTCTAAAGTCCTGAAAATTACAATCCCAAATGCTTAAAATCCCAATTGTTGTAACCTTGAAAGCTGAAGTTTGGCTGGATGAGGTGGGGAATATCTGCCCAAAGAAGCCAGAGAAGTTGCTGACTGATTCAAAAATAATTTTGTGCACAATACTATAAGAAGATAGTTAAAAAATGATGTTAGATAGTTGCTCTTAGATTCCCAGTATTGTTTCTGCCAGATATGTGCTCTGTATACGAGTGAATATGGAGTGGATTTCTGCATAGCCAAGGCAACATCGAGCCATGGCATAGAAGATGGGAAAATTTGATAAGGAATGCTCATATCAGTGTATATCAAACCATAGAAGAATTCCAAAAAGAGCAGTGTCAACTAGAAAATGAATGTGAATATATTTTCTGATGAAAGTCATGCCCTACAAGAAGAAAAAAGCAGCTAGTTATCACAATGCAAGACTACAAAATATAGTTAATGAAGGTGAAGTTTGGTCAGCTCTTATGGACTACCTCTTCACAATTGCCCATAATCTGTCCTACAATACATTTTCATATATGACTATTTTGTTTTTAATTTTTAGGGTTTACTTTTTTTGTGTTTTTCCCTACTATTTTAAATTGTCAGTGTTATTTTTTACAGTTGGCTATGTTATGTATTTTACCTTCACATCATTTCCAATACTGGAGATATAAAATGTATAAGGACTTTCAAAGAGTTCAAATTTATTTTATATATATTTTGCAAATTTGTCTCCATGAAAGTGCATTGTCACAAAATTGTCTTTGTGTATAAGCATTGTTCAAGTACGTAAACGTGTTTAAACCCTCTCAATAAGTGGAGAGATGTTCTTTATGTACATCTGCGTTTGTGAAAGACAAAATTTCTCAAGATCTCATCTTGTAGAGTGACTGAAAATATGGTGGTGACCCAACATGGTTTTTGATCAATCTTGTCAAAAAACAGGTTGTTCATCTTGATATTTTGGATGACTGCAGTTACAAAACTGGTGTACATAATTACCAACCATAGTGATATGTGTTTAGACATTTCATTTTTGATTTCTTTATTAACACAGTTCATCTGCTCATAACTGTTATACCTGTGAGACTGCTGTTAGTATAACTGAATGTTAATGCATACAAAAATATTTATGTTATCATTGCTTATTTTATCGTGTAAAGTGGCCTATGAAGTGTTCTGCCATGTTTTATATTTTTCTCAAATAAATCTTCTCTTAAAAAATGTAAGTAAATATTTTTTAAATAATTAAAAATATTTTTCCAGAATTATATTTTTGAGATTTCACTCTTTTGGAATTTCAACATCAGGGATTATGGCATTCAGGATTGTGTCTTTTGGGATTATGGTCCAAACTGGTTATTAGGAGACATACTAATTTAACCCAGTGCAGCAGTAGAGATGAAAAGATGTGGGTATTTATATAAATGTTTTAGGTAATAAAGTGACATGAATTGGAATAAACGAAATATGGCACATCTGTTAGTCTATTTGGGCCTCTAAGACAAAATGCCATAAACCAGATAGCTTATAACAACAAAAATTATTTCTCACAGTTTTGGAACTTGGGAAGTCCAAGATAAGACGCCCACAGATTCAGTTTCTGGAAAAGGCCTGATTTCTTGTCCATAGATGGCACTTTCTTACTGTGTTCTCACACGGTGAAAGGGGCAAGTTGGCTCTCTGGGGTCTCTTTTATAAGGATACCAACCCCGATTAGAAGATTTCTATTCTCATGACCTAATCATCTGTCAGAAGCCCCTCTTTTCAATCCCATCACATTTGGGGTTAGGTTTCAACTTATGAATTTGAAAGGGACATAACATTAAGTCCATTGCACGATATGAAGGAAAAGAAAATGCCAAGACTCATTCCTATGATTTTAACTTGTATAACTAGAGCAACCCAGGTTCAAAATTAGTAAAGATATTACGCAGACATTTGGCAATACACAGGTTTTAAACTGTGTGGAGTAATCTAGGCTGGTGCAAAGTATCGGAGAGGCTTGGCATACATGTGGCCATTGAGGCTGTGGCCGAAAGCACCTGAGGAGAGAGTAAGGAATAAGACAAAGATACATAGATTCTGGTGTTTAAAAATTCAGTGTTTAAAGTTTCATTAGAAGATGATGAATACCAAAGAATATATTGGCAGAAATGTAGCAAAAAAAAAAAAAAATAGGAGAATTTGATTGCCAGGAAGTCAAGAAACATACTGTTCTATGAACAAGAGATTGATACCAGTCATATACTGCCCCCTAATTAGAACATTTTTGTAGAAAGAGCATTTGATTCTAATCAACCACGGACACTAACAGTGCTCGGACCAGAACTATTTTCTCTTGGAGGAATGTGTTAATCTAAAATGCTTACTCTTGTTACAAAATCTTGAGTGCAGTTGGGTCTACTCTATAGATACACACACACAGACACATATACACATGTATATATAAACTAACAATACATGTAAGAATATATGCAAGAACTCTTTTAGTCTAAAATTTTATCATGACAATAAAAATAATTTTGATATTGATAATATATTTTATTATTGACAGTGTATTTATTACAAGAAAAAAATAATTGCAGTTATTTGAACATTATAGAGTTTACCGAATACAAATAATATAGGTTCATCCATATTCATCATGACAAAATGCATCTATGTATACTTTTTATGGGTATATACTATTATATATAATATATAATTGTACATTATGTAAACTATACATCTCAGTTTTTAAAATCTTTCCATATTATATATAAATCTATAATTACTTATGTAGTATATGTATGTTACACATTTATATACAATAATGTTGTTAAGCAGAGGGAAGGGTGACCTACGTCTATGCAGAAGGGATTTAGGGATTTACTATTACTTTCTGTATCACTCTATCAATGCTTTAAATCTTTTTTTTTTTTTTTTCTTATCAAGACAGGGTCGTGAACTCCTTGGCTCAAGTGATTCTCCTGCTTCAGCCTCCCAAAGTGCTGGGATGACGGGCATGAGCTACCATGCCCAGCCAATGTTTTACATTTTATGAAAGCTACTCGGAGTGATTACTATATAACTTTATCTTAGTCATTGTATGTGAACTACATAAACACAAGAGCGCTTGTGTTTACATTCCCTACTTTGAACTGGATAGGCGTCCATAGAAATGGAACTATAATATAAATTCTTATTTTACTAATTATTATATTCCAGAATACAGAAAACTTCAGAAAAGTGTTTTGAACTTTGAACTTTAGAAACCTCTTTTGCTATGATAATATTGGTTAGTTTTTGATAGAGAATTTATAGACTCATTCCATGAGGAATAAGGAAGCCAGATCACCTATGCGCATGAATCTTGCCCTGGTCTCAGGATTAAAGTTGTTGAAACAGATTTAGCCCATTTTGAATGAGATTCTATTAAGGAGTTTCTAATAATTCACTGAAGAACAGATTGTGCTTTGTGCTGCACATTCCGCTGCGTACAATGATTTGAAAGGGACTCAATATAATTTGGCTTCTTGTGTAGAAATGATACATGGCATTTTACATTCAATTCTTTAAATTTTTATGTGTTCCGTTTCAAAAAATTTAAAAGCTATTTGTCTATAAATGTAATAGTCACTTTTGCTATTTTCTAGATTTTTTTCACTGATCATTTTAAACGTGTCTTCTCAGGTTCTTTCTTATTTCCCTTTTTAATAATTTTTTTCTTCTTGTGACTACTATCATTCGTGTCTCTATTCTATCTTACCTCTTTATAGGACTTTATGCTTCACAAAAAAAAATTATGATAAGTATTACATTAAGCCTCACTCACTGAGACCCATTGAACTACTTCAGGCATAGCCCATTAAACTTAATTAACAAAAAAGGCAACTCTCTTTTTCTCTCTCTCTCTCACACTCACATACACACGCACACATACACACACATGCACAAACACATACACATACATACATACACACACACTGATACAAATTTCTGAAGGTGACTTTGAGAAATGATTTCAGAACTTGGAGCTCAACTTTCTCTGGATCACCAACACCTGATCATCATATAGTCCCCTCTCCAGGAATCATAAATCCTTTTCCCAAGACAAACTCCTAAAGAGATTTGAAAATCTACTACATATGTGGCCCTGTTCTGAGTAATGTGGATGCAGAACAGACATCTCTCCTGAACAAGTGTATAAGTTAGACATAAGCTATACAATCCCTTCTTCTTTTTTTTTTTAAACGGAGTCTCGCTCTTTCGCCCAGGCTGGAGTGCAGTGGCACAATCTTGGCTGACTGCAAGCTCCGCCTCCTGGGTTCACGCCATTCTCCTGCCTCAGCCTCCCGAGTAGCTGGGACTACAGGCGTCTGCCACCATGCCCGGCTAATTTTTTTTTTTTTTTTTTTTTTTTTTTTTTTTTTTTTTTTTTTTTTTTAGTAGAGGCGGGGTTTCACCGTGTTAGCCAGGATGGTCTCGATCTCCCGACCTCGTGATCCGCCCGCCTCGGCCTCCCAAAGTGCTGGGATTACAGGCATGAGCCACCGCGCCCGGCCTACAATCCCTTCTTAAAAGCATCTATAATGAAGGTCAGTGAGCACACTTGCATAGGATACTCTTTCAGAAGGCTTGCTGGAAGAGGTGATTTTTACATAGGTTTATTGAAAGTAAGAAACAAAAATTTGAAAGTGAAGGTAATGAAATGCATATTGCATAGGAAATGGCATCACACAAACTTTGAGATTGATCTCAAATCTCAAGGTCTCTTTGGGAAACTCCATGTTTGTATATGACATATTGAATGCCTCTTCCTCTTCTGTGGAAACATAGAAGAGTGATTATGGAAACATAAAGGTCTGTGGAATCATAAAGGAAGAATACACAAAAAATGCACATTAGACAATGTGTACATTTTTCAGTATAAGACTTTATTCCATAAATATGAAAACCAAACCCTGTTTTTTTTTAACTACTTATTTGATTGCATTCTAGCAAAATCAATATTTAGAACCTGATGGAATCATAGCACAAAAGTAATGTGCTTTCATAATGATAAGACCGATTGGATTTCCTCCCAATCTTGAATGATTCTCTTTTTCATTTACTAACAATCTGGGTAAGTGCTAGGACCAAATGTGCTACCCACTTAATAGTCACAGGACAATAAAATCACATTTACAATACTGTTTTCCTTCTTCACTGCTGGCAGCCAGAGAAGAGAGAGTTCCAGCCCAAACCCATTTTCTCTACATTTCGCCTTTGTAATGTCTCTCCAGTATAATGAATAGCAAAGGCTTGTAAACCGTTTCTCTCCCTAAAATAAGGAAGCTCTGCCACAGTGAGAATTAGGAGAGATATCACTCAATTGTTTTTGTCATGAAGTGTGATGATCATAAAGAAAAGCTATAAAATTGGACCTACGGGTCTATAGAGAATGCCTCGGTCTAATGAATAAAACGTGCATTCAGATCCTTCTCTGCTAGTCAATATTTTCTCCATTATTTTCCCCTTTCCTTTTCTTCCCTCCTCTCTTTACTCTTCTTCCCTTGCAGTTCCTTTACTACTAACACAGCTGTTGTGTTGAGATAGCCACTGTGTTAGATTCAGGAGATATAAGTTGTCCTTGCCCTCAAAAAATCATAAGTACTGTGTGGTTTCAATGGATCCATGAGGATGTAGACAATATTTGTAGTACTGAAGAATGGAGGGGAGCGGGGGAAGAGTTCAAGTAATTGATATAACTAGCACCTACAGAGGTTGTAAACTAAAAAATATATTATGCAGAAAAGTTACCACAGAAAGTTTTGTTGACAAGAGAGTTTATATCTTTAACTCCGGCTCCAGCAAACACATTAAAAAGGCAAACATAAAAAAGGTACTGATCATGTAGTGATCATGACATATTAACACAGTTAGTTGACCAGGAATATCTATTTAGAAAAAAAGATGGGCATTAATAGCACAATATTCTAAGATTTCCTTCATGTTGCTGACATTTTTGTGGAACAATAAGCCAGCTGAAAAATTTAGGCTTCATTTCACACACTGTATATGCAAGTCATTGTCCCAGTCTAGGCTGCATTGTCTAAGAAACACTTGGAGTCTTGGAATTCAGATTAAGACCATAGTACGTGAATATTACATACCCATTCTTTCAAAAACTCTGATAGAGATTAATTTAAGAAATCACTAATTGTTAGGTATTTGAGAGTTGGAGACACAAAATAAATTTAATTTCATAATTAAAAGAGTTTGGGAAAGAATTCAGGTAATTAGCCTAAAAAAAATGTCTCAGGAACAACACTAATAACAGACAATATTCATTCACATGTGCCTAATATGGGTGCCTGTCTTCATATATTTTACATATTAATGGAAGTGACAAGTCATAAACAAGTGGAATTAGAGGATGCTTGTCCCACTATTTACTTTCTGTCTACTTCTTGGAGCAAATATGAAAAAGATAACTAGGATGATCCAGAGTCTGGAAGTTACATCTTACATGTAATGGATAAAATAATTAAGAATTTGGGATATTTAGCACGGAAAAATATTTCCTGGAATATGTGAGATTTATTGCCAAAAGGTAACATTTTGCCTAGAGTAACAGTGATGACCAGAAAAAGACTGGTCTGTTGCTAAACCTGTCCACAGTGTAGGAACACAGGACAGAGTTGGGAGCAAGGCTCTCTGGCAAGTGAAATCAATATGGGCCAGCTGAGCTTTCTAAGGGATCCAGTCAGCTTCCTTTCAAGCTCAGACAAATTATTGTCCTGGAGTACATAACTGGTAGAGCAGTTATCAGCCTAAAATACCTTATGATGAGCTAAAATGGTGTTCACAGCAACATAAGTGAACCGCAACTTTGAAACTTACAAATAACCATAGGGCACTACATTTTAATTAAGGAGCAGGAAAGATGACATGATATTGAAATCATCCTGATGAATGAGTTTCCTAAGATTAACAGAAATTGGGACCTCATCTTTGGAAATTCAGACAGTGATGATTTAGGAAATCACTCATGCATTGAGAAACTGGAATAAGAGAGAATAAATTCAATGTGTCTCTATGTGTATATGTGAGTGTGGGGATGAGATGGATAAGGAAATGACAAAGGCCACGGAGAAACAGAGCTGCAATATGTATTAAACAGAGGGCAGAAAACACATAAGGGCAAACTTCAGCTCCATTTTTCATCTATATTCATTCATAGTCCCCTGTAAGAAAAATCTTTCATTATTTTTATGTATTGCTATAGACTGATAGATTCATTTTTAAAATTATTCAACACATTTTAACTGATTGCTATGTATTTATTTTGATACACAAATTATTACAGTTGTGTTTCATGATAGTCCATCAGTGTTTTTTTCTTTCAATTTTTCATTTATTTGTAAAGAGTTTTTATTATTTTATTTAAGAATGTCAACTTTACCTAATCAAATTTGTTGACATAAATGTTTTCTTCTCTTATTATCTGTTTAATATCTATGTATATTAATTATAGACTTTGTTCAGTCTCAAAGTTGTTTATTCATTCCCTCTCACGATTTTCTGAATCAATATTGTCAATAAAATCTTTAAATTTTATTACATATTTTAATAACAAACTTTTGGCTTTGTTCATTTTTGCTATTAATTGTTTTTCATTTCATTTATCTACTTTTAATTTTCATCTGCTTTTGTTCTGCATTCTTAGGACATATTCTGCTGTTCTATTTTACATGTTTAAGTTATATCCTAACCATATTAATATTCAAAATAAAAAAATTTTTATTCTTTTTATTATATAAAGTGCAATGACTATATACCTTATCATATAAGTATCATATTAGAAGTGTCTTAAAATATCAAAGCATGTAATTATCTTTATTTTATTATTTTTGAGAATTTCTTGAAAAATTATTCTAGTTTGTCTCACTTGTGTACTGCACTGAGACCAAGCTGAATCTTTGGTCATAGTCCACTTTGTAGTGCATTTCTCAAAGCATTCATCACGCTGCTTATGGTCAGTTTTGCATATATATTACTTAAGACTTTGCCTAGGACTTGATTCACAGATTTAAGAAATTCCCTTTTCTACATCTCTCCTCTCCATAATTTGCCCTCACTCTTTAGATGAAAGGAGAGAGCTCCCACTTTCTATTGTTGTTCGCGTAATAAAAAAGGGCAGGGATAGGTTACAGGGCTCCACAGCACAATCTCTGCATTGATTCATGTGAGTGGGGATGGTCCCATATCTGGTCATTCTCTTATAAGCATTATTCACTATCATCTGGCTTGCTGTGTTGTTTTTGAGAAATTAGCTGTAAATATAATTAATACTATTTTGTAGGTAATCTCCGGCTGGTTCTAGGATATTTTATTTGCCTTTTAGATTCTGTAGGTTCACCAATTTTTTAAAAATTGATTCTGCTTGGGATTCATTTACCTTCTTGAATTTAAAACCATGCATCCTTTATTAACTATGAAGAACCCTTATTTATATTCTCTTCGAAAATCGTATCTTCACATCTTTCTCCTGTAAACTTTATTAAATACATTTTAGACTTTATCACTTTGTCCTTCCTCTTCACTTTTATATCATTTTTATTGATTCTCTATACTGTATTCAGACATACTGTAATTGATCTATAACAACTTTCAAGAGCCAATTTTTAAATATTCAGAAATTTTGTGAGCCACTTTTTAAACAATCATTAATTTGAAAATGGTTATGGCCAGAATATTTAAGTTTGTCACGTGTTACAAATCCGAGCTAATTTTTTGGAAGGGAAGTATTACTAGCATACTGCTGACAATTCCTTCAGATGTATCATCCAATTTCCCAATTGCCTCTTTAGCTATGTCTAATGTATTTAACCATTAGAAACCATTAGTTTCTAATTTCAATGATAAATTCTAAATAAAAGCTGCAATTGATTCTGTTTCAAGTCAACTTTGTCATTTTTAATAGTGTCTTGCCCTCATATTACATACACTGTATGTACATATCTTTATTTAATAATTACAATGACTATTACCTTTTTTGTAGTTCTGATTTTTCTGTTTTTAAAATATATATGATTTTGTTTATTATTCATGTCCTGTTAAAACTCTCATTTTTAGGCCATAAGAGTTTTCATGTCATATTTTATTGAATAAGTTAGAAATATGCTTTTAAATATCCAAATGAATGATAGTTTTAAATTTTGTCATTGCATTTTTTTGGGATTCGGGTGGGATTCTTGATACTTTCTCTATGGCCTTATCTAGGAACATGCTTTAAAAAGATTATTTTCAAATTGAGTGAAATGTTCTAGATATATTCTGAAAAACTAGTATAATTTTTTGGTTGACAATTGCCCCAGTGAGTTCACCAGCACTTGCTGCCCTCTAGTAGCAAGTAATCATTTTCTGTTTTGGTCTCCAATAATTGATTTCTTTTATTTTGAAGTGGTTTCAGGAACACAGTTAAAATGATAGCTATAAAAACATTCTTTTCCAGAACCTTTTGGGTTCATTTGAAGAAGTTTTACTGCATTTGTATTTTAGTACGTTGTTAACAAGCAAAGCTGATGCTATATTTAGTGTTAATTGAGGCGATGTGTATAAATTGCTTAGACATTATGTAATTGATTATCATTGAAAAGACACACATATTATGTATATGTATAAATGTATTATGCATGTCATAATTTACATAAATGATAATCAATCACATCATGAAAACATTATGTAATTGAATATTGATTTTGAACTAGTGCATTGGATAATGTTAGAATAAAATTTACTGATCCTTAATCCAGTGATGTGGTAAACATGACTAGTCATTAGCAAAGTTCTAGATTTCTTCTTCTTCCAGGAATGTCTCTCCTTGACTTTTTAAATTTTGTTTTATTTGAGATGGAGTTGCTCTATGTCACCCAGGCTGGAGTGCAGCAGCACGATCTTGGCTCACTGCAGCCTCTGACTCCTGGGTTCAAGCGATTCTTGTGCCACAGCCTCCAGAGTAGCTGGAATTACAGGCGTGCACCACCATGCCCAGCTAATTTTTTGTATTTTTAGTAGAGATGAGTTTTCACCATGTTGGCCAAGCTGGTTCAAACTCCTGACCTCAAGTGATCCACCGGCCTCGGCCTCCCAAAGTGCTGGGATTACAGGCGTGAACCACTGCACCCAGACTCCCTCCTTCACTTCAGTAATAATCATGTGATTCGCTTTGGTCAACGAATATTAATGTAAGTGATGTGTATCATTCCTGGATAAAAAGTATTTCAGAGGTAGTTTGACATTATCTATGCTTATTTTTCCCTTAATCTGGAAAGACATGTTGATATGAAGATACTACAAGATTGAAATAATCTAGAATGAGAGCCCACCATATAGAAGACATCTGCCTTTGAGAGTTACCTAGTTCCTTGGTGCACATTGGCAGAGTAAGAAATACATTTTCGTAAGTCGTATATATTTACCTCAGTGCTGCATAACATAGCTTAGCTCAAAGGACACCGTGTTTTTGCTATGCGCTATGCTCATAGTATGCTAGCTTCTGCTTTCTTCATATTTATTATATATTCCTAGTGTTTCATATGCTATACTTGTTCCCCTTTACCTAAGTAAGCTTTTCTTAAATCTGAAAGTCTTTTGAACCCCTTCACTTTTATTTAACCATGGTTTTTGTTCAATATAATTTAAACTTTTGGAGATGTTGATAATATATATATTTTTTAATTTTACTAAAGTGCTTAGCTCAATTTGCTATCTACAGTCTATGTTCAATGGCTATTTTTTAAACAAAATGTTTTAAATCAAAAATAAATTTATGATAATCTTTACACTATTTCCAAGAATATGTCCAACCAGTGAAATACAAAGAGGATTAGAGTATAATGTACAGACTTTTTCTGTCACATAGAATATTATAAGAATATGTTAAATATCATTATGGTAGTATATTTGTAAAATGTGCAATTTATAGGAAAACTAAATTATTTGGATTAAATGATCCTTTAAAATAACAATAATCATCATCATAATAATAAATAGCAGGTTGTGCTTATTTATTTGGCCATTCATTCTCTCACTTCAAAATAATACTGACTGGTTTCGGTCCATACCCCAAAGCTATTACACATGTTTTATAACAGATGTTTTATTGCCTGGCACTTTGCAAAACTCATCCATCCAAAATACTATAATATGCCCCCAACCCAACCACTACTGAAAATAAAACAGCAAGAATGCAAAGCAACCGAAAACACACCCCCTTAAAAGTCATTCTGGATCATAGGAACTCTTTTGTCCTTGAGTTTCTCCACATGATATGTTTCCTCTTTCTTAATTAAACTTTGGTCTTAAGAATTGATAACTGTAAGGTTTTGTTCTTCTCTTTTTCTTTTGCACCAGTGCCTCAGGAGTCATGATAATGAGTTATGTTACTTGTAAAATATGTACATTTATTCTTCCTTAAATGCTTAAGATTTATCAAAAATCTCACCTACAATTCTTAACATAATGGCAGAAGATGGACACCAGAAGGGAAAGTCTATTCTACTTTGCTGTACACTTTTGTAGATTATTTGACACCATATCTGCCTGCCTGTTAGTCTCAATCCATAGTTTGTAAGTACAAATGCTTCCAGTGTTTAGACAAACAAAGCCAGTCAATGTAAAGGGTAATGGTGGTTAGGAATGAAGTATTAATAATAGTACAGTGAATAACAAATTTAAAAATCCCAAGTAAAGCATATTCAAACAAAACTGTTTTACTAAAAGAAAACCCAGCCTCTGTTCTGTTAGTCTGCCAGTTTGCATTTCTTTTTTACTAATACCTTGCATCACTGTGCTACCGAAGTAGGGGCAGGGAGGTGCTGGGAAGGGAAGGGCGTGGTCCCTGGCTAGGGCTTCACCTTCAGGCCTGTGCCCATGGACCTAGGTGAGGACAGGCACTCCTACCTTGGTGCCCAAATATTGCATTTCCCAAGACCACCCTGGCCTGCCACGTCACCGTCCTGCGCCTATAAAAACCCTGAGGCCCTAGCAGGCAGACACAAGCGGCTGGACATCCAGAGAAACACATCGACAGAGGAACACACAAGCGGCTGGACGTCAAGAAGACCTCGAGAGCACACTGATAGGCACTGTGACACTGGCAGGCCATCGACCAGCGGAACGATGTGGAGTTTGGCAGGGGCGGTCAAAAGACAGCCCAGACCACTGAATCACCCAAATCCAGGGGAAAGTCTTCCCACTCCATCCCCTTCTGGCTTTCCCCATCTGCAGAGAGCTACTTCCACTCAATAAAACCTTGCACTCATTCTCCAAGCCCAGGCGTGCTCTGATTCTTCCGGTACACCAAGGCAAGAACCCGAGATACAGAAAGCCCTCTGCCCTTGCAACAGGTAGAGGGTCTAATTGAGCTGGTTAACACAAGCCATCTGTAGATGGCAAAACTAAAAAAGCACACAGCAGCATACGCCCACTGGGGCTTCAGGAGCTGTAAACATTCACCCCTAGGTGCTGCCGTGGGGTCGGAACCCCACACCCTGCCCATCTGTATGCTCCCCTAGAGGGGTAAGCAGCAGCAGCAGGGCACTGAAGAAGTGAGTCATTCCCCCTGCCGCACACCTTTCAAGGGGGACAAGGGAACCTTTCCCATTTCAACTGGCTATTGCTTGTATCTAACTTATATAAAGATTCATACTGAGAAGAGCAGTTTTCACTGAAATCTTTTGGTTTGTGGTACTTTGGTAAGATTAGTAGTGGAATGCCCTGAAATTTCAACACTTAATACCAAAGCCTTCATACCCTTGCATCTTTTTCTATGCTTTCAGTTATACTTCATAGCAAATGAACCCACACGCAGCAGTTACCTTTCCTTTCCTTTGTCTCTGTCACTACTTCCTCTCAATTTCTGTGACCTCATCCTACATCCTGTGGACATTGTTATCAAGTAAAAACAAGCAGAAGATGTTTCTATGCATTTTCTTTTATTTTAGGACAAATTAATACAGCAAGTCAATGTTTATTATTATTTTGAAGAGGGTCCAAAAAGAGGCCAATCAATTTTAAATATAGTGACTGGAGATTTTACTCTTGGCATTTGCTCTACCTTTGGAAGCAAATTATTGAAAGGAAAGAGAAAAAGAAGCCCAGTAGCCACTATTTTGTTTTGTTATCAAGTTATAGGGAGATCATGCTCAAGCTCCAAAAGATTTAATTTTGTGTGTGTGTTTGTTTTGTTGTTGAAACAGGATCTTGCCCTGTCACCCAGGCTGGAGTGCAGTGGCATAATCACAGGTCACTACGGCCTCAACTGCTCAGGCTCAAGCGATGCTTCCACCTCAGACTCCTGAGTAGCTATGACCACAACTGTGTACCACCACGCCTGGCTAATATTTTAAAAGTTCTTTGTAGAGATGTGGTCTCACTGTTACTCAGACTGGTCTCAAACTCCTGGCCTCAAGTAATTCTACTGCCTCAGCTTCCCAAAGTACTGGGATTACAGGTGTGAGCCACTGCACCTGGCCTGATCTTTCTTATAAAGTTGTAGTCATTATATTATAGGAAATATACTTACAATAAGTGTTCGTATATTACCTATTGGTCTGAAGATTGTTGCCTTAAGTTAGAAATCTTTATAGTATTTGAAGATACCCCTGTCTAAATGTTTGCTTTGTGGTTACTTTGTAACTCCCAGTGGGAACTTCTGGTATGACACTCTCTCCAACCAGTAACAATATCATCAATGTTAACCTACATTAGGAACTCTGATAATTCTGTTTGTTACTATATTATTAAATGGGATTGAATTACTTAATTGTATCAGCTAGTTGAGATGAATCTTCATGTTTTGGAATACATAAGAGTTGCTAAACTATAGCAGATGGTAGAAGGCCTCTGAAAAGTTAGTTATTTGTGAATACCTGAAAGGCACCTGAGCAGGCTAGGGTGGGAAATGGAATAATCATAAAGTACCCAATTTCCTTTTGAAGAGGACATTACACATTAGGAAAATTGGTATTCACATATAAACGTATGTATGTATTCACACACACACACACACACACACACACACAAACGCATCATCCACAAGGCACTTCCGTTAAAGACCTGATGTAGAAATAAAGTTCATACATAATTCTTTTTTGGGGGCCTTTTGTGAATCTAGAAACTTCCCAATAAGGTCTAACTGTGTAAGATCATAAAATTTTCCCAATATGCATTTGATTTCATGGATGAGTTAAAATTTGAAAAGTACTCATAGGAAATGTGACTATAAGAATTCCATTGTTAATCATATTCACTTAATTTTAAGTTATAGATACAATGAAGCGGCCCTAAAAGTTAGCAGCTTTCTCATTCTTCCTACCTTTGTCTACTTCCGTATCCAAAATTGTGTCTATTTACATTTCCCATGTTAGAATTAGCTGCTGGGTTCCTTGTGCTTCCAAAGTCTCTACCATTGACAGCTAGTCCTAGATTTCATTATATCAGAACCACACCTGAACCCCATGTAGCTACAAATGGCAGTGCTAAGAGAGAAGATAATTTTCTGGAATACCCCAGGTTTCCATTGTATTCACTTTCCCTGGTTGACAGAGGGGCCCAAACAAAGCTGCTATTGTAAAAGCTGTTTGTGTTACTGCCTAGTCAAAGGCCAGAAAAGCATTTCTTGTCCCAAGAAGTGTAAACACCAAAAAAATGAAAATGGGATGTGGGGCTGTGTGGGGGTCAAGTAACTGAGACAGAGGCTCCAAGAAGGTGGCTTTGGTGTTTTTGCTAATTATGGAGTGGCATGCTTGCACAGGATCTAGATAGTTACTATAGTGGGGGCAAGATTGGAGGAATATAGTTCATCCTCATCATTAGTGGATTTCATATTTGTGGATTCTGTATTCACAAAGCTGCCTACCCAATAAAATATATTTGTAACCCCCAAATCAATACTTGTACACTTTTGTAGTCATTTGTGACATGCATAGATCTGTGAAAACTTGAGTCAGCCAGTGCACATGTGCCTGCTTCAGGGTAACAAGGAAAGCTCTGCCTTCTTATTTCAGATTTCATACTCCAAACAAGTGTCCTTTTGATATTCTATTTAGTGCCACCTTTTTTTGGAATTTTTTCTGCTTTTTCTTGTTGATTTTGCTGTTTAAAATGGTCCTCAAGTGTGGTGCTGAATGCTGTCTAAAGTTCCTAAGTGCAGGAAGGCTGTAATGTGCCTAACAAAGAGAGGAAGATAAGCTTTGTTCAGGCATGAGTTGCAGTGCTGTTGGATCTGAGTTCAATCTTAGTGAATGGACAATATGTATGATATAAAGTGTCCTTAAACAGAAACACACCCAAATTTGGTGTTGTATTGATTGGCTGATGAAAATGTTATGATGAGAAGTTCACATATGGTTTAGAATTTGCTAATTCAGTTTTCACAACAACTTATGGAATATAACAGCCACAAATAATGAGAATATATGAACTATAATTTGTTAACTTCTTTATTTAGCTTTTGTTTCCCTCGCTGGAGAATGAACATCTGCCTGGTGCAATAAACAAGTGATATTTTTTCTAAAAGCACAGAATCAGCTCTAGTCCTACCTCAAATGTTTCACTCACAAGTATAGCCAAGCCCCTTGGATATGACATGTATCCAGCCACACCCTGTTCCTTTGTGAAAAATGACTTTAGGTTTTATGCAGAGGACAATTTACAGTGGGTACCTGACATACTTACTTCAGCGGTGGACAACTCCCAGGCTCTCCAGCTCCAGACATATACTTAATATTGAAGGAATGAAGCCACTCAAGATGATTCTATCTTTCTCTTTCTCTCTTGATCTTTTTCTTTTCCTTTTTTGTTTTTCAAGAATATCTCAAAGTCAGGTTCTACTTGTTTCTAAATATACCATGAGCTAGGGAGATGACCACTTTCATCACAGGTATCCTTATGTGATCACCTTTTTTTTTTTTCCTCCAGAAATTTTGTGCTTGATGCGAAAAGAACCAAAATTTCACCATGATTTTTGCTGATTTTAAACTCGGTCTGCTTTCAGTAGTGAGGGAAATTTAAAATTAGTGCTAAGCTCAAAGAGAACAGGTTAGCAGGTGCATCTATGTAATTACCATTCATTCCAGAGGCCCTCGCTAGTCAGAATTCGGACACAAAGCCTTGTAATAAAGCTGCAAAATATTCACTTGGAATCTTGGAGTTACTAATTCATTGTTATAACATGGCTCTCATAAAATTATGTAAAAAACTCATTTACGGTTGTCAGGGGAAATAACTACCCAGATAAATAGGCATGAAAGTACCATAACTACAGCAGAGAAAGCCAATTCAAAATTGGGCCCCAACTCCAATCTCCTAATTGGCTTTATTATAGTGTCATATGAATGAAAAGTTCTATTAGCAATGGTTTTAAGTTTAGTCCACTGTTCTATAAAATACTGTCCTATATGCATTTTTACTTAGTTTTATATTATGCTATAGTATAAAAACATTTTGCCTTGATTCTTACATGAATTTGAAGTGCTCGGGCAAAAATGGCATGAATTTCTGTTGTTTAATTCTCATAAGCATTTCTACAACTTATTTTATGTCCAAAAATACATTTTTATTTTAATTAAGCAAACATCATATTGTAGAATATTTTTAAATATAAGTTTTCTCTTTTCCAGGGCTTCTTATCACTTGATTCCATACCCTCAAATAAATGGAAATAAGACAGAACACTTTTGTTTATAATTTCTTTTAAAGAGAAAATATAATAGCTGCACTTCTGGGTTTTCAAGCTGAAAAGAGAGAGAGAGAGAGAGTGTGTGTGTGTGTGTGTGTGTGTGTGTGTGTGTATGTGTAACTGATGACTTCAAACTTGTAGGATGCAAATTATTTTATTAAAAATTATGTAATCTAATGACTTTTAACTTTAATAACACATCATTATATGCATAATATGAAACTACACACACACAATCACACACACACAGCAAAAAAGCTAAAATGTAATGTTGAAATTAGAACAATGAAATTATTATCTATATTGGTGTGTGTATATGAACATAACTATAAATATAACTGAATAGTAGAGGCTCTAATATAATCCCATAAACCAGGATTTCCTCAGTGCATAACACTCACATCTCATTTTTCTGGGACAGAAGGATACATTGCCTGTTTTCCAGGAATCTGAAGACCCAGGAAGAATGTTTCAATTTATTTTCACCACAAGAGCTTTTATAGGATACACCAATTAATTAAAAACTTATTGTCCTATAGATATGGTGATCAAGATTCAAAGTTGGCCAAAAAGTTATAAATCCCATTGCCTATCTGCCATTATTACCTGATTTGTCATGAAGAAAGAATGACTCAGCCACAGCTGGTGGAATGAAGCATTGTGTTATGCATTATATAGGTGAGGGAAAACATTTCTAATTTAAGGAAAATCCAAATGACGATTATGTAATGACTCTATGTTGATGATTCTATGGATGCTAAATGTTTGTGTCTTCAGTTTATCCTAATCCTGTCTAATCTGGAAAATGAGAAAAATTTAGTCTACATCCTCAATGTATTCAAGTATTTAACATTATATTAAACTCCAAGAATGTGTTAAGGAGTGTAGATAACACACGCTGTCTGTAGTATTTTCTCAGGAGAAACTCGAGGAGGATGAGTAGGGGGTGAAGGGGAGGCTGTGAGCCGGTGAAATCACAGTTCAGAACAGCTCACTGGGGACAATAGACACAGCTAGAGCCTTTATTTATTTATTTTAATTACTCTTCTCTTCCTCCTATTAAATGCCTCCTCCTTTGTTCTTAATTTGAAAACATCCCCCATCCTCTTTTAATTACTGTGCTTTTGATTGACAAGAGCAGAGGACAGGAAAAAAGAAAGCTGTCTCCTTCATGTCCTATTTGACACAATATAATGAATGTGTGATGGCTAGTTTATTTTTTCCTTGACGACTTAAATATTTGAAGATGAAATGTGGAATGTAAGAGCATAATGCCAGAGAGCAGAGAGAAAGAAGAAGAAAGGAAGTTAATTGGACCAGGAACCATATACAATACTCATTTGTGCATTTGCCTAATAGTTTAATAACTGCCAATTTGATGCAGGGATTCTGTGTAATTATAATAAGAATTTCATCTCAGCTCTTCCCAAGCAAAAAGGAGTCAGCAAATAGACTGTGTCCACCGGATGCCCTGGTCCTGCGTTTTATTATGTTTACTTTATAATCCCATCATCCCCACGCCACCAGCATGCTTGAGGGGTAGTCAAGGCAGCAGCGGCTGCTCCCTCTCGGCCCCCTGTCTTTCAGAGCTACCCTAAGGTACTTAAGAATGACAGTATAAAGAATATCTGTGCAGATGAGCCTGTAGATTTGGGGAATTGGCTGCTTATAGACAGGGATTCTTTTGGTAGACTTAATTCCTTTAGCAAGGGTGAAGTACCATCTGTGGGGATTCCTGTCATGTATAAGGAAGTTAGTCATGCTCTCTGTGGAGTTGAGTTTCTTGAATTTTAATGAAACCTATGTCAATCTGTCTCCTCTATACCCTAGTGTTAAAATCAGTGGTCAGCTGCTCAACAATCACAACAGTAAATCACAGTAGATAAACCAACCAGGAGAGCTCTGAAGAATTTAAGGCTGTGTTCCCCACTACCCACCTCCCCTTCACAACTAGGACATTGAAAGAATGCATAATGAACTGGTGGTGTTTCTGCTTTAAAGAGACAGCCTTGTGTTCAAACCAGGAATCTAGATTTTTTTTTTTAATATCCTTCTTCGCTGGGAAGTTTTTCTTCTCTGTTATTATTTATACTCCCTTTAATAGATCTGTTACGGGTTCTGGGGCTTTTATACAGGTTATGTATGACAGCTGTGCTTTTACAAAATGCTTTGAGAGAAATGCTGATTCTAACCAAAGAAAATGAACTGTTATGCAGAAATTAAGAGAAAACGTTGTGCATGCCACCTGAATATAAATTAACTGTGAATGATGTAACTCAGGGAAGCAGGTGGCTTTACAATTAGCTGTATGCATCACTGTGAGAGCACAGCATAGGAAATATCTCACCCAGATTGGATTGGCTCACAACAGGTTATAATAGCATTACAGCCCTCAATGTAACTTTCTAATTCTTCTAGGATGTGTCGCCATCATCTCAAAGGCAAGGTCATTGGAATGTAACTTTCATTGTCACTTTGTTTGCATATACAAGCCAAAACTGTTTCTGTGGAGAGGACCGACAGAGCAAGTTGGAACTGAAAGTTCTTTTTGGCAGAACTGTCCTGGCACAAAATGGAACTCTAACTGGTTTCTTAATGGTAAAAGCTACAACCTCCATTTGTCTTCTTGTTTGAGCTGGTAGTTGGAATTACTGGCTGGCTGTTTTCACAGATCTATTGTCTCTAACCAGTGTCGTATTTCTCCTTGTTTTCTTCCTCTTGTTGTGGGTGATGGTATATTCCACTAAAGCAGGCTGACAATTTTTTATCTTTTGGATCAAAACAGACACCCTCCATTTAAATTAATTAATATTTCCATATTAATGACTTGTTTAAGTTAAAGGAGCCTACATGTAAGCCCACGTTAAATCTCCATTTTAAACACTGCAGATCTTGTTTTTAAATTAACATGTGGCTGGGTGTTAAGTTTTCTTTGTCATTTTTCATGGTTTCACCAATTTACTGTCATTTGATATTTAAATATGTTTGAAACCACTGATTCCAGTAATATCACATCCCGCTTATGCTAAGTCTTAATATACAGAAAGAGGGCAATGTTGAGAGAAACATTTTGCTCTCTTTCAGGAAATAAACAAAGACATCTTTTTGCTTTTTTAAAAGAAAAAGCATCTCAGATTTAGCTGTCAGCATTTGCTATTTGATCATGTCTTATACTTTTTTGGTTTACTCAGTAGAAATCATATAGTAGATACTCAATAAATATATTTGATTAATGATGGTATATTATCTATTGTACAAAAATTTAATTCTTTATTTGTATTTATTTGCAAATGTGGTTTTATAGAAATTCACAAATTTTCACCTTGGATACCAGCCAAGTCCACAAATACTATATATGTATTAGTCGTTAATTAATTAATTTAGTCATTTGTTTCAATAAGTATTTGTAAACATCTACTATGTCTCATTTGTAGTTCCAAAGTCCTGGTAGGCAGGATGACAGTGAACAACACAGACATGCCTTTTGTCTCTCAAAAGTTCCCACCTGGGAAGTGCCATCTATACATTATCCAAATTATTCTACATTCTTAATGTAGATTTTAGGAATGTATCCACCTTTCAACTATATTTTCAGCTTTCTTCATTTTCTTTTTCACTCTCCTCTAAAAACCCAGTCCTATTTTTAACACTAGTTGAATTTACTATATAAAGTAGCTAATCAACTTTTAGTCACTGATCATCTAATTTGTATTAAAAATGCAGAACTCTGTATCTTCTTAATTCAAACTTTTCTAGACAGATATTACATTATTTGAATCCACCCTGTTGATATTAACAATACCCAACATTTTGAGAGCTTACAATGTACCAGGTGTTGCCCTTTCCCTGATTTTTTTGTTTTATTTAGTTTCTTTAATACTGAAAGTATCCTAAAAGAAAGATTACACTTGATCAAAGGCACATGTTTTATGATATCAGCATTGGAGTCCTAGAGTTTCACATTTCTAGACGGCATTCATAATTATCAGAATACAGTCCCTCCTTCAAACACACTGTCCTTAACTAAGTGGTTCACGTGAGTTTTGGCCTGTAGTAGATGCTGTAGTATGTTACCCAGATTTTCTCTTCAGCATTGAAGCACTTATTCCCCAGTTGCCAGAACCATTAGCAGCTGATTGTTCCAATTTGCATCCTGATATGGTTTGGTTCTATGTCCCCATCCAAATCTCTTGCTGAATTATTATCTTCAGGGTTGGAGAAGAGGCTTAGTGGGAGGTGATTGTACCATTGGGATGGATTTCCCCCTAGCTGCCTTGTGGTAGGGAGTGAGTTCTCATGAGATCTGATGGTTTAAAAGTGTGTAGCACTTCCCCCTTTGCTCTGTCTCTCCTGCTGCCATGTAAAGACATGCTTGCTTCCTTTTCACCCTTCTGCTATGATTCTAAGTTTCCCGAGGCTTCCCAGCTATGCTTCCTGTACAGCCTGCAGAACTGTGAGTCAATTAAACTTCTTTTCTTCAAAAATTTCCCAATCTCAGGTAGTTCTTTACAGCAGTGTGATAACAGACTAATACAGATTTTCTATGGAAATTTTTCTCCATTAGAATGAAAAGTTTGTATTCTGTTCTTGGGAAAGCTCTCACCCCATTGACTGGTGAATGTGGGATTCAACCATCTGGCACTTTTTTTCCCCAAGTTTGGACATTTCTGAAGTGACTACAGAGCTTTTGTGGGATTGGCCGAGCCTCTGTTGCAAACGGATCACTCTTAAATTTCACCTTCTGCCTAATCTTGCCTCTATCACTTGCATCATGGAAAAGTCCCCAGAGAGTACTCTTCAATAAACCTTTTATATGAAAATTTCTGTCTCCAACTCTGTTTCATGTGAAAGTCAATCTAAGTTAAGGGCTCAGAAGCTACTAATGATCAGGTGCAGTCTATGAGTTCCTAGTCGTGATACAATCTTTGATCAAGAGTATGAAGAACAAATTAAAACAAGTGGCATTTGAGATATAAAAACAGGTATAAAATAATCTAAAATTGGGTCCTCTGTCATTCTCCGTTAATATTAAAATACATAGAATTAAATCAGAAGAAATATTCCTCAATTTTCCCCTTCAAGATATTTTTCACTTAAGTTTCCACACTAATGGATTAAGAGGAATTCTAAGTAGACTTGTAAATAATGCAGGGGAACCCCCAAATTGGGCTCAGCTCAGGAGGGTTTTTGGCTTCACTCAGGAAAGAATTCAAGAGTGAGCTGACAGTGAAAGAAAGCAAGTATATTAGAGCAACAGTGTGCAGCAAAATAGTTGCTCCATAGAGAGAGCAAGACGATCATCCCATAGGCATACTGGCCCAGAGTAGCATTTATGGATTGCTGCTTAGCTGTATTTATGCTCACTCTTAATTATATGCCAAATAGGAGTGGGTTATTCATGAACTTTCTAAAAAAGGGGCGAGGAGTTCCCAAAACCATATAAAGTATCTTCCGTGTAATTGCTGTGTCATCATTGGTAAACTAGCATGGTGCTGGTGGGAGTGTCTTATGCAAATGTATTATAATTTATATTCCTAGCTGGTTTGGGCTGATGTTTTTGCTACATCCTATTTTGATGAGTAGGGTCATAAAAACAAGTCCTACTGATTCCTACCTCACACATAATACTCTCTTTTTGACCTCTATTGCTCATCTAAACATTTTCTATTCCATAGTAATTTCAACTACCCTGAACATCATAAAACATCTATAATCTATGTAAAACAATTAACCCTTGTTGTTATACTCTATTGTATTGTTTGCTTTCATTGTGCATACTAGGTGCTTTCCTTTTCTTCCAATTTAGCTTTTTTGAAACCTCTTTGAGGACAGTTGCCGTAATTTCAACATTGATATCTCTGGACTTTGCCCATCATTTCTAGCATTTGATAGAGTTCAGAATATATACAAATATCTCCATTTGAGAATTATTAAAGGAAAGGAAAAAATCAGTGTGTTCCTTTTTTAGAAGCTTTAAAAATTATTCTTATAATTGAAGACAGGGAGCCTATTGAAACTTGGACCCTTTATGTTTCCTTTCTTTCTGCTTTATATAGCTAAACAGTTAGCTATATATATATTACCAGAATGCCGTCTTGCAATTATGAGTTTTGAAACTGAGTTCTAATATTGTATAGAAATAACTATACTGAAATAGTAATATAAACCGCAGAAAAATCAAAGATGAATGAAAACCATTGAAAAGTATATTGCCTGGTTTAGTATCATATAGTAGATATAAACCTGATATAAAACAAAAATAATTTAAATATTTCATTCTATTTAGAATACATGACTACATGCAGGTAAAATTAACCTGAAAGAATATTCTGTAGATATTTTTCCCTCTGCAACTTCTTATTTTTCAAAATGTGGGGTTCTGTGCCTTGACATCTCCTACAGGCTGTTCTCGTTCTTGTTGCTCTTTTGACTGCTGCTGTGGTATTCTTCATTTATTTTTTTCTACTATTGTAAAGACGCTGGGCTGCAGCAATTTCTAAGATACTTGAATGCATCTCATCTTCAAAAAGAAAATTCATTCTTTGCCAGAAACCCATTTCTGAGGTTAGCTAGAATGCCATTTGATCAGTTGGATGCAGTCAAATATCAAGATCCTTTTCCCTTCTCTGATATAATGAATGGGGTGATTTCTTTCTCATTTTATTTTGGAAATCTCAGTAAAAATTAATCAAGCATGTTTTACTAAACCCCAGTTGTTAAGCCTCACAATTGATATATTCATTGCCTCCACTTAAAAGGATGGGAGGGATAGGGCAGAAGGAGTATTCGTTCCTTTTCATTAATGCACATAAATAGTTTGTAAGAATTTCAATTACGCTATTTGCATCCATGGCTTTATTTTTAAGATCGAATTTGGTGCCCCATGAATGCTTATTTATTATTCATAAAGTATATGTTACTTTGATTTGTATATTAATGGTCTTTTCAGTAGCAAAGACATCACATTCAAACCACTTTTTGCATTTTTACTGACATTCATGAAAGACTACTTTTAGGTGTTTCAGGTTTTATAATTTTCTAAAAATTGTAGTTTCAAGCCAAAAGAATACAAGCATTATATTTTTTGGAATATAGGAAAAATGTCATTTCACTGATTAGAATATTTAAATATGAAACATAAGAAATGATAGGAATATGCTATAGCTAATACAGAAACTGCTGATGGATATTGGGATGCATTTGGGGCATTTTATTAAAGTAGGTAACAAGGCCAATCTCATTTTCACCTCTATTTACATATATGTTGTCAATTCTAAATAATAACTTTTTAACTTTTCTATCAAGATCCAGATAAAATTATTCTTTTTGTGGGTCCAGTTCAAATTGAAAGCTATCATTAATTCCTCAGGGTGGACAATTGCACTTGATTTTATTTGTATAACTTTCAGGATCTACTATTGAGCTGGATCCAAAGGAGGCACTCTGCAAATCCTAGTTATTAATACAATAATAATACAAATATTAAATGATATTATGACATTATTTTAAAATACAGAAATGTGGGTTCTTTCCCATCTTTCTCTTGTTTTTCTCTAAGCTTCCCATTACCCTTTCCTTCTCAGTTCTAGTTTTCCATTTAGTGTCCAGAGTGAGAGAGATTAAAAAATAAAGCCAAATGATCCAATGATGTCAACTGAGTATTATGTGGAACCTGAATTATAACAAATATCAGTGAAAAGTCCCATCCCACCAAAAGCAAGCACTGGATCAGCCATGGCAATCACTGCTGTGGTAGAATACCGACAGGAAAAGTCAAGTTTCCAGGTTCAAAGGGTTTATCATCTTAAGAGGAGATGGACATTTATCCTCCTAACTCTAACAAGTGCTAAAATTGAGATATCAAGTTTTGTATGCTATTGCCTAATAAGTGAGCACTTAGATTTTATTTAAGAACAGTAACTGTCTCTTTGGAATTTATAATCTGGCATGGGAGATCACTTACATAAAATATCTTACATATCTGTCATATGCTACTGTATAACATAAAGTGAAGTTTTCAGCCTTAATTGTTTTTCTAACTAATGAGCAGTGTAAGGTCAATAGTTTGCTAAGCACTTCTTCCTGATATGAAATTCAATTGAGACCTTGGAGATATAAATTTACTTTCTTACTGTAAAAAACATTTTCAAATCAGCAATCCATATTAAACAAATAAACAATTAGCTTCTGTTATCCTTCAGTACATCTCAGAAAGAAAATAGAAAATAATGTGCCATCTGAGATATCAACATTCTTCCAATACTTCTGCACAGAATGAGCACCACACAATTCATTTAGAGAGCTCTTTTAAAGTCTCAGTTTAATCACACAGTGTTTTGCATCCAAAGTTCACTTTCTGACCAACATAATGAACAATGCATTCTGCTTTCACTTCTTGATTTTGTTCTAGGGGGACGAAGAAAAAATTCAGTCACTCTAATTCAGGGGTGTTTTTTTTTTCAAGTCTGTTTCTATTATTAACTTTATTTCCTTTTCAACAAATAATTTTAAAGATCATTCTGAAAGCCTCAGGGTAGAACATCAAGCTCATTTTTTTTTTCTTTTTTTGTTTTTAAGATCTTCTTCAGAATCTACTATAGGGCTAGGCCCACAGAAGGTGTTGTAAAATCTAGTCACATATAATTGGATTAGTAACCACCCAGTAAAGTGACCTGAAATGAAAATGGGGAGGTGAAAGACAGAGAGGTAATCATCTTAATGAAGATTTCCTATTTGTAAATTCCAACCAACAAGGTCAGCATGGCTGAAATTTAACAACTCTCATTACCAGTGTTACCTTCTTTTTCTTTTTACTGAAGAGATCAATGACCTTGTTTTGCTTTATGAAGACCTCTCTGAATTGTTAATTGTCTTGATCAATTGGAAAGAA
Source organism: Homo sapiens (assembly GCF_000001405.40). Lineage (NCBI taxonomy): Eukaryota > Metazoa > Chordata > Mammalia > Primates > Hominidae > Homo > Homo sapiens. The sequence goes on along the minus strand of NC_000018.10, from coordinate 40,570,354 downwards.
ACAGCTCACAAGCTAAAAATTCCTTCTTGGTCATCAGAGAAAGTTAAAAACAAGCCAAATAAAACTACCAAAAACAAAACAAAACCATAAAGTGCCAAAGAGCAATGTTTATAAGTTTTCAAATAGAAGCTGAAAAACACTTATAAAGTTTGGATTCAGCTCAAATGCATCATCAACCTCAGGCAGCTCCCCCCACCCCGCCCCTACCCCTTTTTAATGGCCCATTTGTCTAGTCCTCCTGGAAGATCTATAGAGAAAATTACCGGGGCAGAATGTAGATCCAATTGCACATCCTGCTACAGGAGAAACGATTCCTGTTCTCATCATTGGGATCAATAATTTGCTAACACAGTATTAGCAAGAGCAACAACTCCACCAGGTTAAAGGAGTTTTACACTGAATAATGACGGCCTAGGAGAGAGAAAAGCTGAGCGAGTAAATCCTGGCAGCCTTTTACTATTGAGAGAGCATATGCCAGTGAATCAGTAGTGGCTCTGGTGAGTCTGGGCTGTAAAGATGCTTTATTGTTCTGCCTAAGTTCATTGGCAGAGACGCTCCTCTTAATATCTGTACACAGGAGCTACTGGGATCCAAGCCTGCCCTATTAACGAAAGCATTTTCTCTTTAAAAGAATGGAAGTCCCTTCCAGGGACCCAGAGCATGGCTGCATCCTATATCTATAGCAACCCCATGTAAAAAGCAAAAGGCTGGTATGAAAAGAATAATAAGGGAAGCTCCTAAGAGACTGTGAAAAAAAAGACCTAGAGCTAGAGAATGCAACTTTACCTCAATAGATTCCAAGGACTGATCAAGAGACTTTTCCTCCTCGGTATTTTCCTGAGTCACTAAGCTGGATCTGTTTGATGGAAACAGAGACTATTAAAATCAATGTGTTTCTTGGTTGTTCTCTAGGACAAATAAATAACCTCTTTGTAAGAAAACACATTTTTGGAACAGTGACATGATTTACCCAAGGTCAAACATAGAAGAGCTGGGATAAGAATGGAATGCCTTACGCTGACCTCCAGGACAAAGTGGTCTTCCCACTGCCTCCAATGGTAACCTACTATTTACGTCTCACGGATATTATTATGAGTTTTCTCTTAACAAGCAGTTAAGGAAGGAATTCTATTCATCAACTATTTCTGGCTTTCTACTTTTCAGGCACCTCAGAGGATGTATTTTCTGTCTCCCCTCCACTGTGGGTGCAAAGGCTATGAGACAAGTTCTGTTAATTAATTGTGATAGAAGTCTTTCTTGGACTGGAGCAGTTCCTTTCCTGGGATAATATTTGAAGTGAACAACATAGCCAGGAGAAAAGAGGAATAAAGGTTGTCTTTCCATGGTAGCCTGGCAGGCTAAGAGTTACCCATAATTAAGAGAAAGACAGAAATATAGATGAGAATGCAGAGAAAGAGAATCTATATCTATCTATCTATCTATCTATCTATCTATCTATCTATCTATCTATCTATCATCTATCTGTCTATCTAGAGGAAAAAAGTTATGGGTGTGGCTTTTGTCACATGAAGTTTGCTGTAGCTAAATAGATGAGAGAATAACTAAGTTTCTCAGAGAGTTGCGCTTCCAAACAACTACTATCCTGAACTAAAAATCACATCAACTGTTTGTGATTTAAAGCAACTCTTGGGCTGCCCACTATCTTTGGGCAAAACACAGCCTGAGAAAGCAACTGAAACCTCTAGAAAGGCAACATTGTCAAACCCATTTCCGCTGCGTGAGTGGATAAAGAAAAAGGAAGATCCTCCCAGAGTGGAGCCCAGAGCCATGTAGAATAGTGGCCTGGGTAATCGTCCGATCAAGCTGATTCAGGGCCTAATCAAATATTTCCCACTCATGGAGCAAAGCCCTCACTATATCTGCCAAGAGGATTTTGGAATTGCTGCAAACCAGAGGCAGTCTTATGCTTTTCCCTTCTGAATGACAATGTTTCTGTGATTAGTTTATTCCTGTTTCATTAACGTTTGTACACTAATGAGACTGTTAACATGTCTTTCAGATACATAGGTTTCCTAATCAAAAAGCATTTCAGGTGAATATGATTAAATACTCACCTATAAGCTTCTGATATATTAAGCCACATTCCTTAAGACCTTGGATTTTGATCTTGATGGCCTGGACAAGACCTTTAGGATTGTCCCCCTTGAGGAGCTGGTAAATATATATTTGTCTGAAGAGGGAGTGTAATTTGAATATTGTGTGGCCAGAAGAATAAACTTCCGGAAAAAAATTAATGCTGTGTATCAAATATTTTCTGTTCTCTCTCATCCGATTATATGTTTAAAAGATACTTTCTGGATAGTGTGTAGTTGGGTAAGGCCATGTGGCTAGCCAGTGGGCTTTGAACAGCTGTGATGTTTGTTCCTTCTAAGCCAGAGCATTTAAGTAGTAGTTTAAAACCCTCCAGAACACTCTTTCTATTGGACGTCTTTTGAAGTAGTGGCTGTTTGGTAGATGGGGTGTCAGAGTGAGGAGAGGTAGAGCAGATTCTAGTCAAACCACAATAGACCTGTAGACAAGCAAGAGTAAAAATGTGTTGCTGTAAAACTTTAAGATGTGAAAATTTTAGTGACTACAGCCTAATTTTGCCTATTCTGACTGGTTGAGAGTTCCTACCATCACCTTCTCCTGCATATCTAACACATGTAAGCCAATGCTATGTTTCGAATAGGTGGTGACCACATAAAAGCACAAATAAATAAAAGTGGAATATAATAAAAAATATTTAGAAGGAATTGTCTACTTCTCTCTCCAAGATTTTTTTCATTCTTATGTCCTGGGACTGAAAATCTGAGTAACCATAAATATGTGTGCAAACTGTGATATTTTGCTGCAGTTAAAAGTAGTTTTATTCCTACTTTCCTCTAGTAATTGTTCTGCACAATTTTCAGAAGGTCTTATAATGACCTCTTCAAACTACTACAGAAGATATTCTCAACCTCCAAGCAAAATGATTTTAATAGCATTCATTGGATTGTAAAGCGCACTACTAGTTGAAAATATTCCCACACACCTCACCACATCCTTTCAATGGTGTCCCTGAAAATTATTTCTTGAGGATGTCTGCTCTAATTTTAGATCCATGTTTATAAAATGACATCCAGATATCAGGCACTTGATATGCTTCAAAGACCTGGGGATTCAATTCTTTTCTCAATTTTGGGATTAGATTTATAGATTCTTCAATATACATAAATATTTAGGGTTAACTTTTGACTAAGGGACTATCCTTGGAAGTATACCTCCAGTTTTAAATCTCATGGGCTGGGATTTTATTGAAAGAGAAACTACAGTTATAAATGTAATGGCCCTTCATGTTGGAAACCAGATTAGATTTATGTAAAGCTATTCTCATATTTGTTTTTCTAATGTGCTTATATTGTGCCATTGCCTAAGAAAAGTGGTTATTTGGGGGCAGTATTTTCCAGAGTAATGTACCTTCATTGGAGTACACCATCTGTACATTTCAGAAACATTTAGAGAAACGTTAACTATATTCAATAGTACATGGATTTTCAGAGTCTATCCAAGTGAAATAAGTGTTTGGCAAAAATAGCTCTGTTCTCAAAGTAATCCCATTGGCAACATTCAACACCCAAGTTAATTATTATTGAAGAAAACTTCATGGGGGACTGTTCTCTCCTATCAATTCTTTGCTCCTTATCTGTGAAAATAAGTTACTGTGAGTAGAGCTGCCAAGTGCTACAAGCTATTCCTGAAATCCACCTACACAGGTGGAAGCTTATTGTGCCAACAAGTGGAAGAGAATGGATTTCTTAAGTAAGAATATGACTAGTCTCGTTAAATAAAAGATTAGAGATGGAGAATATTTTTACGTACTACCCCATCATCTTACAGGACAGGAGATTGAGGTCAGGTTTGCAAAGTACTCCCCAATTTCACAAAAGTTATGATCAGAAGAGGCACTATTGTACCCAAGGACACCGATCTTTATGTCTAATATTTCACTCATTACAAATTCCAAATACTTGACATTCACATGTTTAAAGCAGTTGGCAAACATTATACCATGTTATGACTTGACTCACCAGATCTCCCTGCAACAAGAATATAAAATGCTAAAATAAAGCTAAAGTTATTTCTTTATATGTATCAGTTAAATCATAGCTATTTCAATGCTTTGACTTAGTGCTGTTCTAGATGGCTCCTTAAGTAACAAGTTTTCCTTAAGATATCTCATAGGTAGTATAAGCATATAATTTATTGTCTATACTAGGTCATTTTTGAAAGTGATATCAGTCACTGTTTATAAATTCACTAGGCCCACAGGCATAAACCAGAATTATACTTGGCAAATTATACCTTACTCATTGTCTGCCAGAGTAAAGGAAGCTGTTCTTGAGAAGAGCTGGCAGCAGGTGGACTTTGATTTTCTCTACTCCAAGTAGAGGAGATCTGCTTTTCCAGTTTTAAATATGGAGTTGCTATACAACATTTTATTTATTTGAATTTTTCCATAACAATAAAAAAATCATTTGGAAACCACTGCTCTCAATGAAGCATGATCATTTGGGTAATCGAAGTCTCTCATAAACCAAGTGTTCCTTACATAATGTAGCAATCAGGAAAGTAGTACTTTTCTGATATAGTCCACTTACCTAAGGACTTCAAGTCTATGTCTTGTTTTCCTACCCCAGCATTGGTACTAGCTCAGACTGACACATTTAGTTTTATCTGGGATAGAAAATGAATAATCAAGAAAAGGAGGGAAAATTGACCTCCTCCCCCGCTTCCTCCTTTGTCACATTTAAGCTGCCATCACCAAAAACTTTATCAAAATAAAAGGAATAGAGAGCAGAAATGGGAAGTCTACTGAGAGAGAGAGAGTTTAAATCTTTGTGTAAACAATTCTTCTAAAGGATTCTAAAACAAAGGAGTTACATGTTGTGGCCAGCGTGACTTGCTCAGGAGCCTTACTTTTTTTGTTATTGAGGTATAGCCTGAATGTTTCTGAAGAACTTTATGGAGCAGAAAAATGTATATACCATCAAATTTCACTTCCCAGACTCCCAAGAGAAGGTTGAAACCACAGGTAATTAGCTGACACATAGGAGATGAGTCTATATTGTAGTTTTTGTATCCCTCTAAGTAACAAAGCTTTTGGGAGGGGAAGATCGGGGGGGAAGTGTGTTGTCTATAATTCTATTATCATGTCTTTTTATCTTAATATGCTATTTCCTTACTTGAGTATACGTTTCACGAACATTTATTCTGAATTCTTCTAAGTATTTCTTAGCCAATGTACTCTCTAGTTCCATGTATCATTCAGTGACTAGACATATGGGATTAAATTGTCATCATAGAATGCATTTTCCCCCATTTTTGCTACTCATGCTTACAATTTTAGTCTCTGGAGGTCATCAGAGAGTGTCAGAAAGGGAGTCATTCATAAAACAATCTGATATATTTTAATAGTATACACAACATAAAAATGCTGTTTAACATCTCTAAATCTAACTTACCCAGTAAGCTTGGATTTTATCATTTGGAAAATTTCCTCAAATACTTATTCTGCCTTAGACATCCATCAGATCATGTAAACAAATGTATTTATTCACTTTCCTGTGCTGAGAACTATCCACTTATTTAGACACGAAGGTAACAGGTGTGATCCCTGTTCTCTAGAAGATTTTTAAAAAGCAGTAAATAAATTCAAGTAGCAAAGCCTTCTGATATCCAATAATTTACAAAATGTGAGCTACAAATAGTAATTGGTTCAGGATTTATCAAGAGAATACAATCAATAGATACTGCAATAAGTTGGGAAGGCTTTATCTCTGAAGTTGCACCAAAGCTCAACTGCTAGGTTGCTACCCAATGCTAATTCTCTCTTTTCTTTATAACAGACCACAGACCTCATCATTTTCAGCATTATTTACAGGAACTACAATTTCCTTCCTTGTAATGATGGGGTGGAGAACATTTGACATAAATATAACTAAAGAGATGGAAATGGAAAATATACTGGATATTTCCATAAATTAAAAAAAATTCTAGTAAAAAATTCTATTTGCTTTTTATGGCTGTGTTGTTCTTGCTTAAAAAGCTTTGTGATTCTAGAAGTAAAGCAAACCACTTAGGTGGGAAACTACTCAGATACAAATACTCATACAAAAGCTACATGCTTCAGACAGCAGAGAAGGAAGCTGGAAGTAGCTGCTTTCTTGACGATCTACTCAAGCGACTGTACTAGGCTTACACTGCTCACCTCCAGCGTTCCCATTGTGGTAATAAAATATAACTCCTCTTTGGTTAAGACACTGTAATTGTGTTTCTGTTCCATGTAGCCAAACACAATCTTTCACTGATAACAAGGGAGTTAGACTTTTCCAAGTGAGAATAGAAACACACCTTGTTGTATGAAATACAGAGAAAGAAACAGACCAGAATAGAGCCAAGCTCTCTTGTGAGGAGCATGTTGCTGTAGCATGGAATAAAAAAATTGACACCAAGTTTGTTCAAAGAAACTATAGCAATTGGAACTTTTCTATTACTACCCCTCTATTTTTATATGAATGCTTGGGTCGTATGACCATCTATGATTTACCTCATCTTTAATAACCTGCCCCATGTAAGAGACCAAAGGAGAAAAAAATGCACTTTTACAACTGGTTATTCTTTTGCTTTTCTTGGTTTTATTCATGTTTTTCATGAATGCCAAAAATCCTCTCCGCCAATCTTATCTTTCTGTTTGTACTTTTTTTAATTTTAAAAGTCATGTAAAGTATATTTTTCTATTATCAAACAATCACTACATAAATATACAGAATGAAAAGCAAAAATCTTTTTCACACTGCATCCACCTGTTCCTATCCCCTGAAGCTTCACTCTTCTCCATAGTGGTAGTCAGTATTATAAATTAGTTGCACGAGCTTCTGGACCTTTTTAGTATGCAGTTACATATTTTATATAAATAAATGTTGCAAAAAAGTCTTTGTGTTATTGTACTTTGTGTTTTTTTTTTTTTTGTATGTTCACTTGCTTTAACAGTAAAAGGATCCATTTGTTCATATAGATTTTTGTTTACTTTTTAACTTAATTTCCCTTGGAGAGCTGTCTTAGTATGCATATCTATTGTTCTTTTTTTAGTGATTAAATCATATCTCATAGTCTCATAGCTCATACAACAGAGCTAGTTATCCTACATTAACAAAAAAGCTTAGTGACTTAAAGTAAGAAAACTTTGTGTGTTCACCATGATACATCTCCATCTCTAGTAAGTGGGAGGCCTGCTTCATGATCCCTTGCTTTGGGACTAAGGCTAATACAGGAAACATCATCTGGATTGTTGCATGTCACTATGGCATGGGAAGAAACATAGCTGATAATACACTGTCTCTTGAAGTTGCCTACCCAGAAGGGACACACATTACTACAACTTACATATCCTTGGCTAAAGCAGACCACATGCTATGCCTACCTTCAAGAGTGTAGAGAAATACATTTCTACCATATGTTTAAAGAAAAGCAAATTGAAAAGATTAATTCTCTCTTGACCTCCATTGCTTTTATCTAACTGGTATATCACGGTGCATTTTTGTGTCCCCAGAAACTATCTTTAATTCAAATTCAGTACCCAGTAATCTCTGGAAACTTTGAAAATTTCCTTTTCTTCAGTGCCGTCATCCTACTCAATGACTACAAATCCATTTCAGAAAAGATAAGGAATAATTTTGTAGCTGTGGCAGCACTGTGGGGTCATTTTTCTCAAGGTAATTATGACATCTGCTTATTTAAATGTTTCTGGCTTTGCGAACAAACTCGGGACTGAGTTTGAATAAAGGATGGTGAGCCTATTGTAGAAATACGACTATTCACTGGCCTAGAGGTGTATTTCAGTATTAGAAACACCGCAGTCAATTAGTCCCATCAAAATATTTCTGTGATTAAGTCCTTTTGAGCTCTGTTACAGTTGTACTTCCCATTACAGTGGCAAGACACACGTTGCTTCCAGCATTTCAGAGCTCCCGTCAAACTCTAAACTTCTGGGTTCAAGAAATCAGGAAATCCATTTAATAGTGACATCTCTTACTAACTTCCCTGGCTTTCAGAGGCCAGCCTCTGCAGAGCTATTTGGAGTGTATTTGGAGGTGCTTGTGCTCTCCTCAACAATGTTTCTCAATGCTTTGGTGAAGGGCATGTATTCTTTGTCTTTCCCAAATATGTATTTGGGAATGAATAAGCAAGCCACGTGCAACAAATTCAATCAAACATTCCCTTCCTGAGGGTTTATGTTCCTCATTCCTCATATCATAAAATGAAAAGGAAATACTAACATTCTAACTATAATTGTTGTTAGAGATTATGAGTTAAATTTTAGAAAACCAACCAAGAAAATGTTTGAAAACCTCACACTGCTTAGGCCAAATCACTGAATCCTGAATCCTTGATAAGTGCACCCATATTGACACATTCATCCTAATCTATCTGAGAGTTTTATTATTCTTAGTTGTACACCTTCAGGATCAATCCCCACAAGTATTCAGGAAGTTTCTGTCTACCTATATAGACAGATTTATTCTTGTGATTTTATACACTTCCACAAACACACATTTATATATATTTACATATACATTTTAATATTTTATATATTATATATTTATATAATATATCTTTTATATATATAACTTTGATGGTGGTTTTTTTTTTTTTTTTGGACAGATTTTCGTTCTGTCGCCCAGGCTGGAGTGCAGTGGTGCAATCTCAGCTCACTGCAAGCTCTGCCTCCCGTGTTCAGGCAATTCTTCTGCATCAGCCTCCTGAGTAGCTAGGACTACAGGTGCACGCCACCATGCCAGGCTAATTTTTGTATTTTTAGTAGAGAAGAGATTTCACCATGTTGGCCAGGATGGTCTCAATCTCTTGACCTCATGTACCCGCCTCGGTCTCCCAAAGTGCTGGGATTACAGGTGTGACCCACTGAGCCCGGCTGAAAAGATGTTTCTTTCTGGGTCAGACTTTGTGTATATTTTAATACAGAGAATGAGAGGTTTGTACAAACATTGGAAGAGTAGGGAGATTGAACATCGGGGAAGCTGTTGCCAATGATACTAATTTTCTGCATCACAGTGTTGATTACAAGAGATTCTTGGGAAGCAAAAGGCATATCTACTGGGTTCTGCAGGGAGATAAATCAACATAGCAGTACAATAGATCTGGTGGGTCTTGAGAATAATGGAAACACCACTGCAAGGCAATTTCCTCAGCCCTATATAACACAAGTCTTCAGGCAGGGAGAGGCTGACTATTACAGATAGGGAAAGAAGAGCTACTTTGCTGGTAAGGTATTATATGTAGCCCCATAGCATTTTGGCTTTCTAAGTACTCAAACTCATTGGACTCTATCCAAGTGCCCCATTCCGATTATCAGAATCCCAACCTTTCTTGATTAGTACTGTACTTTTGATGTAAGACATCTGATATATCTTTGACTTCAACATATCTTGTAACTTAGCCATCAGCAAGACCAAATATTGGTTGTGATATTCAGAAATGTCAACCTTAAGGCTTTAAGAAGAGATCCTTTCAAATCAAAGAAAGAAAACTCTCTGTTCTTCTGACCAAGCCTTGGCCCTATCATTTTAAATCCATGCATATGTCATGTTCTTTCTCTAAGCTTTTTAAGACAATCTGCTCTACAGTCCTTGGACTCAGATGTGGTCACATTTCCACAAAAGTGTTCTATGCCATCAGTAACTTTGCTGCCATTGCCTTGCCTTCTAGAGATGCTTGGCTTCAGACACCTACATGTGGTAATGAAAATTATTTCGTCATTGCAATTGACCATCATGGTGACATTTTACATAGGCAAATATCCATTTCTGATTTCAAATCTGATCTGACTTCAAATCTAATCTGAACAAAGCCCCTATTCCAGATTTTTATTTCTGAGATTCTGTTTTCTGGAAAACAACTTTCCATATGACATACTATGTAAGGCAAAAGCAATTACTATTATTTTAATGTATGTAATTAGAGGTTTATACAACTACTGGATGAGTTAGGGAGTTACATACAAGCCAGTTATCACCAATAATGTCAATTTGCAGCATCAAAATGGTAGTCTTCAAGGGTTTATTGGGAAGCCATAGGGACATGTAGAAACTCTAGGAAGCCTGTGCTTAGTTGCTTAGTTGCCTACAGTGGGTTGGATTATGCTCAATTGAAATTAAGTTAGAGTTACCAATATTTACACATAATTTTTCAATTTATATTCATAACCATATGAATTTCCATTTTCTCACATTTTTACCAAAAGGATTTAACTATTTCATATGTGACAATATAATGGGATTAGAATAGTGTCTCAAAGCTAAAACCCATTTTCCAGCTATTTGAATAAATTGCTGTTTTCTAACCAAGGAAAATGTATGGTGCTAGTTGCATTTTTCCATCTATTTACATACTTTTAGAGCCCTTCATATCAGCCTTTGCTGTGGATAAGTTTCTTTTGGGTTTAGTATCTAATCTGACGCGGCATCTGAGAAAGCAGATAGAAAATGCAGAGAGACATATGCATTTTCGTTTTTGATGATTGATTTGGTGCCAACTCCATGAGTTGAACATCATCTGCCATCACTGTTGCCAGTTACACACATAAAATATCATGCAGGCAATGGATTTGAAAGGACCTGCCAAGTACAGTGTTGAAAACCCTAGAGATATTGATTTTACAGTTTCTCCAGTGATTCTACATCATGCTCCTTTACTTTCTGGCAATCTTTATAACTTTTACACTGACATAAATTGCCATAAAATAAGCATCCGGTACACCCCTCTTCTTCCTCCTCTAGAAATGGTTAAGGACATTCCATTATTGTATTAACATGTTTAACCATTAATTCCACTGATCTCCCTGAGAATGATGAGGTGACTCTAAACTTGGAGGGCAATTTGTACTGCCCAGCAGATTTATTATTATCCTCTCTAGTGGAAAGCACATGAATTCATCTAAACATTTATTTTCCTTAGTGTGCCGCTATTTTTCTTTTTATGTTTTTTAAAGTAGATTTAGTGGCAGAATATTAGCAGCTGAGGATACCAGAGTTGTTGGCTAGGCAACAAGGCAGGCAGTCTAGCTTTCTGAATATGGCCTCTGACACCTAGACTTTCCCTCAGCTGTCATGAGAGATGGTTCTATGGCAAATGGAGAGGGCAGTGTAGAGTGCCCTATTGTGGGAAATTAGCTAGCCTTTAGGTGAACAAAAAGAGCGTAGGCCATAAAAGATGTTTCACAGACAAGACCACTGCTCAGCCTATAATGTTACTGTTTAAGTTTTCTATTGCTTCTGTCACAAATTACCGGAACTTCACAGTGTGAAACAATGCAAATTTATTACCTTACAGTTTTGTAAGTGAGAGGTCTGACACAGGTCTCACTGGTTTGAAATCGGGATGTCAGCAGGGATGTGATCTGTTCTAGAGGCTCCAGGGTAGAATCTCATTCTTTGTCTTTTCCAGGTCCTACACTCATCTGCATTTTCTGGCTTCTGGCCTGCCTCCATCTTCAGTCAGTAATGGCAGCTTGAGTCCATAGACCATTTAATTAAAGGCAGACTTGGTGCGGACCACTCTGGCTAAACCAGATCCCACCTCTTAGATAAATTAAAGAGTGTTACTGAGGGAATTGTCAGGCTGGGCCCAGAGCACTTGACTAGTATCTGGCACTGCAGTTATCATATTGAGGAATAAAGCAACTGTGAGCATTATCTCAGAAGGAAACTTTTCTCAGGGTAATGCCCACTGAGAGTGAGTGTTCAGCATGGTGAAATGGGGCTGTTGGAAGACCTCAGCACTAGTAAGCATACCAAGTGTTTACAGTATGTGGGAATTTGGAGTCGCTGTAAAATTGAAACTAGAGCCATTGCCATTATTGAGTGATTTTACCTTAAGTGAATCATTTAAATTATAAGACCCTCAGTTTCCCTCTGTGAAAATAATAATTATTATGATTGTTTTCTATTCTATATCCTATAAAGTACTAAAAATTCAATATGCATCTCATCCCATGTATCTCCATTTACAATTGTATGTATATATGACTGAACAGAGAAGGGCTGACATTACCCTCAAACAAATGAATCAAACACAAAGAATGCACTGTAAACCAGCCAGGCACAGTGGCTGACACCTGTAATCCCCGCACTTTGGGAGGCTGAGGCAGGTGGATCACCTGAGGTCAAGAGTTTAAGACCAGCCTGGCCAACATGGTGAAACCCGGTCTCTACTGCAAATACAATAAAAATTAGCCAGACATGGTGGTGAGCACCTGTAATCCCAGCTACTTAGGAGGCTGAGGTAGGAGAATTGCTAGAACCCTGGGGGTGGAGGTTGCAGTGAGCTGAAATCGCACCACTGCACTCCAGCCTGGGCAACAAAGTGAGGTTCCATCTCAAAAAAAAAAAAAAAAAAAAAAAAAAGAAAGCACTGTAAACCAAGAGTCTTTCTTAAAAATAAGAATTATTTACACACAAACTTTTTTTTTCTAATACTACCCAACTTGAAATCTTTATAGAGTTTCAAAAGGGGTTGGGGATGAAGAAATTATGTTCTAGTCAATTCTATTCCCAACCACTGACATAACTAAGTTATTGTTAGTTACTATAAATAATTTTAGCGTTTAAAGAAAAAAGTTAAATATATCTGGTTTACCTGGTAACTATTCCCATTACACAAATACCTAAAACTATTGCCAGGTGCAATAGTTCATGCTTGTAATCCCAGCATTCTGGGAAGCCTAGGTAGGAGGATTGCCGGAGCCCAGGAGATCGAGACCAGTCTGGGCAACATAGTAAGTCCCTGTCTGTACAGTTTTGTTTTGTTTTTTTTAATAGTCGAATATGGTGGTGCATGCGTTAGTCCCAGCTTCTCAGGCAGGAGGATTGCTTGAGTCCAGGAGTTCGAGACCAGCCTGGGCAACATAGTAAGGCCCTGTCTCTACTTTTTTTTTTTTTTAATAGCCGGATTTCGTGGTGCATTCCTGTAGTCCCAGCTACTCAGGCAGGAGGATTGCTTGAGCCCAGGAAGTTGAGACTTCAGTGAGCCATGATCGTACTATTGCACTCTAGCCTGGGTAACAGAGCGAGACCCTATCTCAACAAATAAATAAATATATAGAATGAAACTGTATCTAAAAATTTTAAAATTTGTATACGTTTATAAGAATTTTTCTAATATGATTATATGATTCTAGATTATTTTTTCTAGTTTTAAAAATATTTAAAAATAAAACTGCCCCATGAGTACGAGGAATATTGTATTAGTTCATATAATGAAACTAAAAGTTTGGGATCAAGCGATAAGGGGTAGGACAGCATTTGTTCAACAACAATAAGACCAGATAAAGAGAAATCAATAATCTTTTTGAAAGGAAATCATGTAAATTGTGTTCTTTTTATAGGTCTTCAGAGATGTTAAATCTTAGTATGGAAAAAAATGGGCTCTTCCTATATTGAAGATTTATATATTTTTCAGTTAATCAAATGACAAAATTGGAAACCTATTCTGTGGAAGTGATTGTTCTATTCAGCACTGTTTTTCAGCTATAGCTCCTTGAACAGAGGAAAGAGCAAGTGCTCTTTTGAAATTAACCAGGATTCCTTCCTCAGTGGTGTAGATGATCTGCTTATGAAGGGTTCAAAAGAAATTTGTAACAGAGGCAGGGCGGGTGGGGGCAAGACCATTCTCAGCCGAAGGAGCCACTAAGGAAATGGCATTTAGTATAAATAGTGTGTAAACATCTGAGAATTCTGTCTTCAGAATGGCATGACTTTAGTGAGACTCAGGGCTAGACTGGTAGATTGGGGAGGGATGTAGGAACCTGATATGAGAATACACACCTATGTTATTGCTGTACTAAGTTGTGCTGTCTCATCTTCCCGGGTCTTTCTTCACGGGAAGCAGGTCTGATCTGCCAATAGCCAGTCTGTCCACATGCTGTATGCAGCAAAGCTGAGCATGACAATTCTTGTATGCACTTAGTATTTTTTTATTATAAGGACGTTCAATACCGATGATGTTTCATTTCACCCACCTTCCTCTTGCAAGTCCTTGCGACATTGCTGCCTATATTTTTGCATTTATCTCAGTGCCAGCACAGTGAAGCCAGGCACATCTTCAGGCCTAGTTAGCTTCAGCAGTTGACAGGAATTGAAATACTAATAATCTTTTTTTTTTTTCTGAATTCTTATAAAGATACAAATGAGTCACACAGCTGCAAGTCATCTGATGGCAGGAAGAATCTCTGACAGCTTCATTTGAAGTTCCAAAGTTCCTGCTTTATGGCTTCTTTAATGTTTGGTAAAAGATAGGCTGTTTAAATTAGAGAAACCTCATGGTAGAATACATAGTTTCACGGTGAGTGACAAGTTTTTCCCAAAAAATCTAAAAAGAGAAGAAAATACACAATTTTGCAAGCTTGTGAAACACAAAATAGTCTTTCCTTTTCTGTGTTTTATTTTTTTGTTTAACTATTTGTAGAGTGTGTCATACTGTACAACACAAATATATTTTTCAACTTGGCCCATTAGTTTGTGGCTTCTAACTCTACTCAAAATTGTCCTTTGCATATGTAAAACAAAACACGTGAAAATTAGACAAATATTCAGCTATCTGAATAAAATAGCAAGTAAACCAAGATAATTCTTACATTTGCATGAAGAGATGGAATTCTCAGACTAAACAGTCCACAGTCATTCCTTAATGGTAGGTTATGGTTTACTGGGTAGACACACTTAGAGTGCCAGAGGGCTTGTAATCAGAATGGTTTTCTGTTTACATCCCAGAATTCATCTTTCCCTTTCTTTGTTTTCTTCACTTACTTGGGTTAGAGTTCCAAGTCCAACACTGAAAATTGGTGAGTCTGTGGACAAGTCAACTACCCCTCTGTTTTTCTACTGGGAGAGTCACAAGGCTGCTTTTGAGTTCTAAGACATTTAGAAGTCTGACCACAACTTGGTTGTTGGCAATGTTATTATTCCTATTTTATGGAGGAGGACATTGAGATTTAAGATGATACGTAACATGTTCCTAGAAAAGTGATTCAGAACCAAGGGCAATGTTGTCCCCCAGAAGACATATGGTAATGTCTTGAGAAATTTTTGGTTGTCACAACTGGATGCCAGGAGAGGGGGCTGGTACTGGTGTCTAGTGGACAGAGGTTATGGATGATACTAAACATCCTACAATGCACAGGATAGCCTAACAAAGCATCATCCAGTCCAAAATTTCAATAGTATTGTGATTCAGAAGCCCTGTCCTACAGCTACAAAATCCAGGTTTAGAAAACAGGTCATATTCAATTCCAGAGTCTAGACTCAAATATTATCCTAGTTTGCATCAGTAATAATAGTTTAATCACTATTCCTCAGGGACTTCCTAAAGAGTGAAATATACCATGACAACAGTTATGTGGAGATATTAGTGTTCTGACATGTATTTGAGAGTGTGCTTCAATTGATTCTAGTAAGCAGCGGAGAGCTTCATCTCTTTGCAACGGCAGTTTTGTAATTAGCAATTTGTCTTTTCCTTTGATTACAAAAGTTTATTATTATGTTTGTAGGAGAACCGTGCCTGTCTTTAGGTGCTTTCAAATCACTCCATATTCTTGTTTCTGTCTTGACCTATCACTTACCTTTGATCTTGATTAGTACTTATCAGCCTGCCCTCTCTAATGTTAAACTTTCCTAGAAACCCACAGATGAATTTAATCTCAGCAGGGCACCAGTAAGACAAAAGCTCTGTAAGAAATCTAATCACCCAATGGTCTCATTTGAGATTGGTTGTATCTAAAGCCTGGACTCCAGAGCCTCAGTAATGTAAATTGGCCCCAAACAAGCCAGACTGTCAGAGAGAAGTGTCTGTGTTGTATTTGTTATACAGGATTTGTAATTGCTGAAGAAGTTGATGGAATTGTCAGACCATTGATAAAAGTGGATCCTGAAGAACAAGAGGTAGATTTAATGAGCAGCTCACCTCTGTCCTCAAAATGCAATACACTTGCTATCTGAGTCCTGACACCCCTTTGTTCCAACCTTACCTAATGCGTCTGACTTACCAAAGAGTAAGCGGTCAGTTTTTCCCTATAATTGCTTCCAAACTTATGTCTCTGATAAGTGCTTTCATTTAGTTTGTTCTACAAATCGCCCCTTTAAGGCTCATTCTAAATATGCTTCTTGGAGTATGTGTAGTGATTAGATTGAATGTGCTGCTTTAGGTAAGGTCTAACAAAACATACTGCATTTTTTCAATAATAATGGAGCTGAATAATCTTTAATATAGGTTTCTGTTAAAATAACTCATATATCTCTCCAGGTCAATATGCTGTAGTACCTTCCTATTAGGCAGATATTAAGTTCTTTTATTACATTCTACAAGATTCATTATTCTGCATTTATCTGCATTGAATTTTCTATCTATTAGCCCAAGTATTTAAGTGAGCTTATTCTTCTCCTACCTGAGGATTGTTTTTTTTTCGGGGTTGACCTTTCTTCCCAATTTAGCATCATCTGCAAACCAGTACATTGTAGTGTAAGTAATGTGCTTGGAGTCAGTTATTTAAGATCCTTAGTAACAAGATATCCAATATCATTTCTGGACCAAGGTAGCTCCACAATGAGTAACTTAGCTTTCATTATATTCTTTATCTTCAATTCCATAACATAGAAGTTCTGATTGGAATAAAAACAATGAAAAAAAAATCTTGATTAAATCAAAACCTCATTTAAAGTTGAGATTTCCTCTGTTAGATTTCTTTGTAACGCAATGTCCTCCAAGATGAATCTGCAAAGCACCTCTCGCATCCTGGCAGGTAACTATTCACTTTACAACCCTGGGTCAACAAGATAGACATCACTTAGACCCAGAAAATTGGTGCAATTAATTCCAGGCTTCTACTTCAAGTGTCCCTGAACTGGTAACTCTGGGTCAGTGATTCAAGGAGGGAGGTAAGAAGGAGAAGGAAAGGAGGCTCAGCTATTCATCTGAAAGGATTTCCTAAGTTTAAACAGGGAGATGTGTCAGGCAACCCTTCCAGGCTCACACCATGGAGGGAGAAACCACCCACTTGTGAAATCTTTTCACCTTCAAGTGTATATTTAATATCATCTGATTCTGCCTGAATAAAATGATAGAGACAAGGTAGGTCTTTCAGAGTGAGTCATTTCCTGCTTTGAAAGCTCTTTTTTAACCCAGACTCTCCTGAATGAAAAAGCTAATGCTGAAGAGACCTTGAAAACTTGTTTAATTTTAGGGTGAGAAGAGTTACCAACCACAGAGTTAAAACAAGACAAACTTATCTCACACTTCTGTATGTCAGAAGTCCAGTGCAGCTAACACCAGGCTAACATTAAGGTGTTTGCAATCTTATGATCCATTCTGAATGCTCTAGGGACAAATTTGTGTCCTGCTTATTCAGGTTCTTGGCAAAATTCAGTTCTTGGCAATTTTAAGACTGAGGTCCCATGCCCTTGCTAGCGACCAGCATGAGACTATCCCCAGCTTCTAGAAGCCTCTGCATTCTCTGACTTGTGGTGGCCTCTGCCCATCTTTGAAGACAGCAATTATGGGTCAAGTTTTTCTCACACTTGAAATCTCTCCTGCCTCTTCTTCCATCACATTTCTCTGATATCAACAGGCAAAATTATCTGCTTTTAAGAGATAATGTAATTGGATTGAATTTACTTGGATAATTCAGGATAATCCCCTCACCTTGAGATCCATAAATTTAATTACATCTGTGAAGTCCTTTTTCTATATAATATAACATATTTACAGGTTTCAGAAATTAGGACATAGGTATCTTTGGAGAACATTATTTGTCAAACCCCAGGATTTCTGTGTATTTCATTAGAACTGCATTAACAATTGAACAAATTTTAATCTTATCCTTGAGTTAGTTTTGGGCGGTTATTCTATTTTGGTGAATGTGTTTGACATCTTCATGTTCAGTTCCTAATTATAGCCACAAATGTATCTTACAGGTTTCAGCTATTTTAACTCCAAACATTTGTTGCTATGTTAGTAACATTATTTGTATATATACAAGATAATGTATCTTGCTCATTCATTTATTTATACACGTTCATTGATTTCCTAATGTATCATAGGTACCATTATTAGCATCATTGCCTATATATCTACCTTCAGTCACCTTGATCAGATTAGTCCAAATTAACTGTTATGTTTCATATTTAAAGTATATACCTTCTTACCTATCCAGTTCTGGTCAAAGAGAGCTGGAAGCTCAGTTCCAGTGGTTAGTGTGCTCATATGTTATGAATTGAGGGGTTGGGCCCAGGAATCAAAAATTCTGGTCTTCTAGAGACAGTGTTTTAGGCAAACTCTGGATGAGAATAATTGCTCTCCCTTACCATTCCCCTATCCCATTTCTCACAATTTGCAATAATTAGAAGTGATGAGATTCTTTTGCAGGATATCAGTGTCATTGACTATAAGATCATCCTATGGCCATTCTTAAGTTTTGTGTCATTCTGAGCATGACTGTGATAATTCTGCTAATTCATTCACACAAGCTTCTAGTTTCCTGCATGAGTTGTTTCTGAAGAGCATAGAGGTTTTTCTTCTTGTTTTCTGAATCCTCTTGGCAGGGTCTATACGGTAGGCAGGATAATGGTCTCTCCAAAATTTACATATCCTAAGTCCCATAACCTATGAATATGTTACATTACATGGCAAAGGGGAATGAAGGTTACAGATAGAATTACATTTGCTAATCACGTGTCCTTGAGAGGGATGGATAATCCTGGATTATCCAGGTGGGCCCAGTGTTATTCCAAAGGTTCTTAGAATTGAGACATGGAGGCAGGGTGTCACAGGGTTGAGATGTGAGGAAGACTCAACGAGCCATCCCTAGCATTGAAGATGGAAGGGGCTTGCTAGCCAAGAATTGCAGGCATGCTATAGAGCCTGGAAAAGGTAAATAAATGGATTCTGCCCTAAGGTTTCCAGAAGGAATACAGACCTGCCAATACCTTGATTTTAGCCCAAGAAGATTTATGTCAGACTTTGGACCCTGAGCACAGTAAGATAACAAATGTACGATGTGTTAACACTCTAAAACTGAGGCTATTTGTTATAGTAACCATAGAAAACTATGACGAGCTACGAGGAAAAAAATACCACCTTTCTTTTAAACCCACCTTACATGGTGAGTAATATGACTCTATTTTAATCAATCATAAAAACTTTTCAGAATCTCTAGCTGTATTAGTCTGTTCTCATGCTGCTGTAAGGACATACCCAAGACTGGGTAATTTATAAAGAAAAGAGATTTAATTGTCTCACAGTTCAGCATAACCGGGGAGGCCTCAGGAAACTTACAATCATGGCAGAAGGGGAAGTAAACACATCGTCTTCACATGGCAGCAAAAAGGAGAAGAATGAGTGCCCACTGGAGGAGGAAGCCCCTTATGAAATCATCAGATTTCATGAGAGCTAACTCAATATCACAAGAACAGGATGGGAGAAATCACCCTCATAATTCAATTATCTCCACCTAGTCTCTCCCACGACATGACATGTGAGGATGATGCAGCTACAATTCAAGACTAAATTTGGGTGAGGACACAGCCAAACCATATCACCAGGTGTGGGCAAGAACTGTAAAGAGTACTTTAAATATTCTGGGATTTGGATAGCCACTATTAAAAATCTTAAAAATATTTGATAAGTTAAAATATGTGTAAGGTTGATTAGCAATACATATTATAGGTGGCATTTACTGTTTTATTATCCTGTGTGCCTCAATCTTCCAATTTATGAAGCTGAGTGGGTCATATTGTATGCCGTCTGGAATCCCACTGAGCTATTAATCAGGAGTCTATGGTTCAAGAATGATGCAGGGTAGCTAAATAAAACACAGCTATTGTTTCTTCTCCCCTGAGTAACACAATTCATTGGATGTCTCCTATAATACTATTTCTAAAACAATATTCCCAAACTTTGATGTTAGAGCATAGTGTTCATTTTAGTGGTCAATGTAACATGAATGTAATGTGTCATATCTTAAAAGTAGTTCTTGGATCTTCTGGACAGGGAAAAATGTAGCTGAAGTGAACTATATCATTTTTATCTCTGTGTTATTTGCAATCAGGTGATACAACCTAGAGGACAGTGCTATGGACTCTGAAGTCAGGATAGCAAGATATATCTGTTGGCTTCCCAACTCTACATTTTTCTACAGAGCATGAAACACACTTTCACAATAATAAATTATAGCTATTATTGTAATTCTCAGTTGGCGTAAGATCTCTATTAAGAAGAATTGCCACATTCTTTACCCTCTCTGGGCATCCATGTCTCACAAGCAGAGAATATTATCCTTCTCTCAAGACACTGATAATGGGAACAAGTGAAGTTAGTGGTTGCTCTATGTTCCAATCCTGGGAAGTGGTGGAATGAAAATAGATTAAAAATGACAACCAGCCAGGTGTGGTGGATCACACCTCTAATACCAGCACTTTGGGAGGCCAAGGTGGGTGGATAACCTGAGGTCAAGAGTTCAAGACCAGCCTGATCAATATGGTGAAACCCCATCTCTACTAAAAATATAAAAATTAGCCTGTGTGGTGGAATGTGCCTCTAGTCCCAGCTACACGAGGGACTGAGACAGGAGAATTGCTTGAACCCCGGAGGCACAGGTTGCAGTGAGCGGAAATCGCACCATTGCACTCCAGCCTGGGCAACAGAGTGATACTCCATCTCAAAAAGAAAAAAAAAAAAAAAGGCAACAATTTCACCTAATCCTCCCATCAACCCTCTAATAAGCATCCAATTTACCCCATTTTATAGATGAGCAGACCAGTAACCAAGTGAGATTAAGTATCCTACCAAGGTCTCTCAGCTGGAAGATGGAAAAGCTGGCATTGGAAGATAGATCTCCCTTTCTCCATAGCCTAAAATCTCCCCACTAGACACCCAGCTTCCCTGATATGGGATATACCTCATGGAGTTGAATATGGGTCAGTGTTTTCAAGTCTGATGCTGTGTGTTAGAATGCCACGTAGAATTCTGACTTAGCATATTATTATGTGGTATCTTTATCAAATCTTACAAGTACTTGGAGTCTCAATTTCCTTTCCTATAAAATGAGAATACTTTTCTATTAAACTAACAGGATATAGTCAGTAGATAAATACTATGTAAAAACTTAATGTATAATGTTTTTTCAGACTCTAACTTGAGGCCAGGTGTGGTGGCTCACTCCAGTAATCCCAGCACTTTGGGAGGCCAAGGCCAGCGGATCACGAGGTCAGGAGATCTAGACCATCCTGGCTAACATGGTGAAAACCTGTCTCTACTAAAAAAATACAAAAAAAAAAAATTAGCTGGGCGTGGTGGCGGGCTCCTGTAGTCCCAGCTACTGGGGAGGCTGAGGCAGGAGAATGGCGTGAACCTGGGAGGCAGAGCTTA
Source organism: Homo sapiens (assembly GCF_000001405.40). Lineage (NCBI taxonomy): Eukaryota > Metazoa > Chordata > Mammalia > Primates > Hominidae > Homo > Homo sapiens. The sequence continues at coordinate 40,548,883 of NC_000018.10, read as the reverse complement.
CAGTGAGCCGGGATCACACCACTGCACTCCAACCTGAGCGATAGAGCGAGACTTGTCTCAAAAAAAAAAAAAAAAAAAAAAAAAAAAAAAAAAGACTCTAACTTGTAGTTCATGTAGCACCCTAAAATTTATTTAAAAAATCACTGTGTCTACTTAGGAAACTTAAGTTCCTTATTAAGTATTAATTTATTCTCTACTGCCTATTACGCTTTTGGATGACCATTTTCAATGAGTCTCTTACTCCCTAAAAAGATATCACTTTGTTGCTGACTGAAGTGTCCTTAAATTAATTATAGTCTGATAGTCTGAATGTCTTTACTGGAAAGCCAGTGGATGCCACTCCATCTAAACTTTAGGTGCCAGTGCTATATCTGCCAGGTGAGTAATATTGGCCTTTTGCTAAACTTTCACCATGGCTCACTCTGAAGTTCTTGTTTCTAAGAAGCAAATACCTTAAATAGCTGGCTACCTTAACAAGGGCATGAATTTCATGCAACACCTTCCAACAAAGGAAAGCTTAATATCCTTGTCTTTATGACAGCGTAAGAGAAGAAGATGTCCATTTGTTCCATACCACTCAGCACTTACAAAGACCTTCCACAGCAGACAAGGAAAGACTCAGTTTCTTTGAGGACATGCAGCCTATTATAATTGATTTCACAACCCTACTTTGTTGTCAATATAATTAGACAGCTGAGAAAATGTCACCCTTAACTCTACTCTTTGAGAAGAAAACCTCCACTTTGTTTTTTTGAGAGTCATAGGAAAATAGGAGATGATGTTAGAGTTTCTTTATGTTTTACTGTACATGTTGTGATTCTGTGTCTCTATAAAAAGCGAACCCATTTTGAAGATTAAGATTTGTTTCCCTATGCTCCATGAAACCACGTCATTAACCTTCACTAAGATAAATACAGCTCCAAAGAAGTCAGATGGCTTCAGTATCTTCTGAGTCATAGACAAATGACCACCTCAGACCAAAATAGCTATAAAAAGAAAAAATATATACAATATTTGACATCAAAACAACCGCTTGTTTCCTACTGGTGCTGGTACTAATTTTTTCTTACTAATACATGGTGTGCTCTCTGTGCTTCCTCATATTTTAAATTTTTAAAACATTACCTACTTCATTCACTCTCCTTTTAGATAATTTTCTATTTTCAAAAATTGGAGAAGTTGAGGCAACTCTTTTTCTGGTCTTCTAAAGGAATATAAATGATGCCCAACCTTCAAAAGTTTTATTCATATACAATGATGTCCCACCAAAAACAGTGGTACCAATACCAAAAAGCCACAATCTAATGCTATTTGACACTGCAAAAATGAAGTTAATTTAAAACAGGAAGATTGTCTACACTTTGGTTGACTTTGTGATATCTACTTATAATATATCATCACAACAGTTATAACTAGGTGTAGCACAGCAAAACAAATAAATAAAAAAGTAATTCAACAATGCAGAATAATAACCTTACTTATTTCAATCTAGCATTAAAGATTGAAAGTAAGATTTAAAGATAGGAAAAAAATAAGGGAAAGAGGTAAATAAAATCATTTGCAGATGCTTCTTCTCTGAAAGCAGAAGATGAATAAAATCTCTTTCTAGGGTCTTAAATAATTTAAATTCTATCAAACACATATTTCCCCCTGTTACAGGTTCACACAATTTTCATGACACTGTAAGCTGTTACTTTCTTTGGCTTTTGCTTTTCTGTACTCCCTGAGGATGTTCTCCGATGATTATTTCTTTCTGTCTTTATTTTGCTTCTTTCTATTTTTTTCCAGCCCCCTCCTGTTCCCTGAGGAAGCATGCAGCCATAATGCTGAAGTGCTGCTAAATGCAATAAGGCAAAAATCATCACTGCTTGATGGCACCAGAGTGCCAGCGCTTTGGATAAAGAATTATCCCACTAACGCAGCATGAACCAGTCAACAGGAAAAAGAGGAAAGCAATCTCCAAACTCATGGCATATTTATTTTTTATGATTCAAAAAACCTTTATTTAAAAAAGATAAAATGGGAATCATCGGATGAATATATTTGAAGACAGGAATCTCACAGGCAATTTGAACCTGCCATAGTTTTGTGTGTTGGTTCTCAGCACCAGGTTTTCAAAGCTGGGAGACAAATATACATAGTCTCCAAGTTCAACCTGAAATAAAACATTGTTTCTCTGATTTGTTCTTTGGAACAAAAGCTATGATTTAAAAATAAGAGTGTTTTTTTTAAAGTGGAAATTTAAAAGAAATTCAATGGCTTCAGTGAATTCTGGATTTAAAGCAGAAGGTAGAAAAAAATATGTTTTCTCTTAAAGTCTCAATAACCTAGGTTACTACAAGTTTTAAATACATTTAGTATCTAAAATAAATACATATATAACAACTCATGCCTCTTCTTAGTGAGCTGCACCCATTAGCTAGGAACTTTTCTTCTTACTCTGTTTATATTTCTCTTACATTCTTTTTTTTTTTTTTTTCTTTTTTGAGACTGAATTTCGCTGTTGTTGCCCAGGCTGGAGTGCAATGGCACAATCTCGGCTTACTGCAACCTCCGCCTCCTGGGTTCAAATGATTCTCCTGCCTCAGCCTCCCGAGTAGCTGGGATTACAGTCATACACCACCAGGCCCGGCTAATTTTTCAATTTGTAATAGAGACAGGTTTTCTCCATGTTGGTCAGGATGGTCTCAAACTCCCAACCTCAGGTGATCCACCCACCTCGGCTCCCAAAGTGCTGGGATTATAGGCGTGAGCCACTGTGCCCGGCTCTTACATTCTCTTGAAACACAATCATTATGGGATTTTTTTTTTTTGGTCTCTTTCTCTTCCTTTCTCTCTATCACGCTCTTGTTATCTGATCAGTTTCAGATGTACAGCTTTAGCATCATGGACTTGGGATTCTGTACTGTTATAACATGAATACACATGCTAGGGGAATCTACATTAATTTTGCTTGGACATAATCAAGAGTTTCCTTATTTTCACCATAATGCAAATCGTCCCTCATCCATATCCAAATATTGCTTGTTGAGGTTTGAGGTTGCTAACTAATTATCTTTTGAAATTATTATTTTTTTATGAAAATAAGGATTCATTTACTTATTCTGCAGTCATTTCCATTCTGTTTTAGCTGTTTCACATATTTTTTGGTTTTATTTAGGTAGCAAGCAGAATAACCTCCACTGTGGTAAACAACCATTGTTAATTTAGACATTTTTGCGGAAAGATTTCAAATTGCAAACCCCAATTTCTAGCACTGACTTCCACATTTCAAATCAATTTGCTAATAATTCTGTACATATAAAAGGCTGATTTGATTATTTTACTTCTGGATATTTTGTTTAACCACTAATAGGATTTTAACATGATATTACTATAATAAGTGACAAGGCCCACGAACAGCCCTGTTAGAGATTTCACATTTTTATTTTCTTGCACTGCTCTTTGGATTGCTTGCTTTCATATTGGTCATATTTTCTCTTTTTCTTCTTTTAAAATCCCAATTATAGATTATGTTGTTTCTAAGTTAGAATTGGTTAAGAATTAGTAACAAACAAATTTGCCTCTAGAAGTTTAAAAATGCAGTGTTCTGTAGTCATAGAATTTGAAAGATAAAGGTATCCTTGTAGGGCCTTTATTTTGTGATACTGTTTTACCATGATGACATCACATGGGAGGAAAAAAATCAGACAACAAGTCTTTTCTTTACCTAATGTGCTTGCCTTCAGGCATTCATTTTTTCAGCAACAAAGTCCCAAGTAATGCTTTTGTGGTCCATTTTCTGTGAGTAATTTTTTGACCCATCAAATGACACTGCAATGATATTGTCACAATTGCTTGATTTGTTTGTTTTTGCAGACATTGTCCTGGCCTCTATTCCAAGGGTAAGCCACCATTGTGAGTTCTGAGATTATATGACTTGGGAGAAAGGAGCATTTTAGAAAATTGGCTCCTACCTGAATCAAATCATAAGTAAATAGATAGAAGTCTACACTGTGTGTGTGTGTGTGTGTGCATGTTCAGATTTATTTAAATTGGCATTCCAGAAAAGATGCCTACTATTTGTGTAACCTAAAATTAATAATTTTAACTTCGGTAAAATTAAATTCTTTTTTGGGGTAAGATGGATGTATTATTCAGTTAGGTTAGTTGCTATAATGAAACACTCAAATCTAAGTCATTACAAAAAATAATTATTCCTCAATTATGTTACAGTCCGATGTGGGTGTTTCTGCTCAGGTGATTCCTTTAATATGATTCTCCTCCAATAATCTATTCAGGGACAGAAACTGCCAACATTCTACAAAGGTCTTGGAGTCCAACAATGATTTACCAGTATCTGGTGACCAAATGAACATAAAAAGACAATATGCATTATTATGTGAGTGACTTTTTTAGGTGCCAGTCCTGGAAGTAAGATAAATCAGAACCAACCACATTTCCTTGGCTATAACTCAGTCCAATGGCAAAGGTGACCTGCCAAATATAAGGCTAGTGGGGACATCAGGTCTTGTTGTATATTGGGGGAGTGCTTAACAGAATTCAGAGAACACACAGCCTTATTTCTGTCAAATAGGATAAATTATAGCAAAATAGGATGAATCTATAAGCAAATACATTATGACAATAAATTGCTAAGATAGTAACTATTATTTTCTCCTTTATGGCCAATATCAGAGTCCACAGACTACCCAACTGGACTTTACCATACGGAACTCAATCTGCATGCTCCATAGTAATCTGCTGTTGCTTTTCTTATGAGATTTATTGCTTTAGCCCTAAAAATAAAATAATTTATTTCTTGTATTTGCTTTTTCCCACAATAAAAAAAAGTCTGTCAAGTACTGGACATCATGTTATATGTATAACATATACATAAAAGACATCATATTATATGTATAACATATACGTAAAACATAATGTATAACATATATTTCATGTCATATATCACGAAATGAGATGAAGGAGGCTCACTCAAGGAGTTATTCTTTCAGACAAAAACAACATCCATGTTTCTGGAGAAGCAGTTTTATGTCCCAGCTTCTACTGACAGAGGCTCAGTAGCAGTTGAATTTCCCTGGGAATCCCCAAGTAACTACTTTTCCCTCACCTACTTGGTTGCTCTCAAGCCGCATCAGCCTTTCTGTGCGCAGCCAGTGTTGAGCTACAATGGAGAACAAGTGTATGGCAGCTGCTACTTCAGGTCTACAAACTTCCCACAGCAGATGAGTGTGAGCAGCTTTGCAACAGCATATGGAGGTCTCTTCTCGGAATATTTTGTTGTGGCAGCAGCTGGGAACTTATTAGTTTGGGGAAATTAGTATTGAAAGGAGGGGAATGGTCAACACAATTCAGGGGCCAGACGTATTCCTTGTTTTCCCCTCCTCTGAATTTCTCCTGTGTAAAAACTCAAAAGAAACGCATTTTATATGATTTATTGTTATGGAGAAAATAATAATAACATTAGTGGTTAATGTTAGTAATTTCTTAATGAAGTCATCTATAACATACATTTTCTTATATCTATAGAACACTCATTTCCAGAGATCAACTCTCATGGATTCTTCCAATTTCAATGGAGCAATGAGTATCAGAATATGAGTTAATACAACATCCTTTGGATTAGGATTAATGACTAAGGCATTGTCCTTGTTTCTGCATGTAGTAAGTACAGGGCCCTCTCTCTCATGAGGACATCAGGGAACACAGTTTTATTTAGAAACCTGAGAGTGTCTTTTATGACGTAAACAGCAAGATTGGAGTGTCTTTTGTGATATCTCCAAATTCCTACTCTATTTCCCTTCATGATCCTATAGGTATAAATTATATCACCTTTAAGAATTCACGTAATGCTTCTAGATAATTTTACTTGTTAGTTTATCCTTATACAAACATCTCTCCATATTTTTGTTGTTTTGACTGATTTCCTCTGACATAATTATAGAAATGGAATGAGTGATGAGCTCTTTTCCTCCAGCTTTCAGAAAGAGAGAGAAAAAAATCAGTTGAAAGCTTAATAAAGTTGTTACATTGAATGAGCATTGAAATTATGAATTAAGGTATGCATTCATTAAAATGTAAAGCAAAGTTATATTTGTGTATTTATAGTGTGAAAATCATTATTTTAAATCTATGTGAAAAAGAAAAATGGAAAGCACTTTTTGAGCATTTTGACATAATTCTATTCATAATGACAAATAAAGCTATAATATAACACACTATTCCTACTTCCAACTACACTAGCATTCCTTAACATCACACATATGTTAGGGATATATTATCTAAATCTACAGTAGCACAATTATGAGATAGAACAAAGAATCATATTCAAATTTCCGAATTATAAGGCAACATAGAATTTTACAAATATGATAAAATGCAGGAACCATGTTTGCCTGCCTATCTGTCTATCTATCTATCTATCTATCTATCTATCTATCTATCTATCTATCATCTGTCTAATCTATCATTTTTGAATAAAAAAATGCTAGTGGTGGCTCAATCTTTTTTAATTTGTATACACCCTTTGCAAAAAAAAAAAAATTTGCTCCTATGAGTTCAAAAGTGCCATCTGATTGGCGCTTTTGGGTAAGGAGTGTGAATGGTTTTACACCAAAACAATATGTTAGATTTTCATCTGGGTGGTGTTTGGCGTTTCTCAGATAATCATATTGCTAATATTCTTCTCCTTGACTCAATTTTTGCCTCCCAGAATAGAGAATAATTCAATAATTTATTTTACACTCTTTTAATCATTTATTGAGCACATATTAAGTTAAAAGCACTGTCCCAGGCACAACAGAAATATCAAAGGGAAAGCCGTAGTAAGTGTTGTGGTTAAACTTCCAGGCTTTATAAAAGAAACAAATTGCCTGAGTAACTCCCAGCCTATGATATTTACTCGCTGGGGAAGTTTGGATGAACCATGCTACCTAGTCTTATTTTCTATTTTATTTTATTTTATTTTATTTTATTTTATTTTATTTTATTTTATTTATTTTGAGGCAGAGTTTCACTCTTGCAGCCCAGGCTGGAGTGCGATGGCATGATCTTCACTCACTACTACCTCTGCCTCCTGGCTTCAAGTGATTCTCCTGCTTCAGCCTCCCAAGAAGCTGGAATTACAGGCGTCCGCCACCACCCTGGGCTAATTTTTGTATTTTTAGTAGAGATGAGGGTTTGCCTGTTGGCCAGGCTGGTCTCGAACTCCTGGCCTCAAGTGATCTGCCCACCTTGGCCTCCAAAGTGCTGGGATTATAAGCATGAGCCACTGTGCCCTGCCCATTTTCTCATTTATGAAGTAGATAATGATAAGTCAAATTTGTTAGGAGATAAAGGATGCATACAGGGAGGCTGAAGTCTTCTTCAGTGTTGCTTCTCACCAGGCTTGGCCAGTGCTCACTTCCTGACAGTTCCCTTTCAAGCCGCCCCTCATGCCCCTAGTACTTTGAAAAACAGAAAACAATGGAAAGCAAATGCCAGTCCCTTCAGTCTGTGTGGTGTTGATGTGCTTCTGAGTGATGGGCACTTCATCTACATGGAAATCTCCAATAATAATTTGCTGTCCTGGGCTGTAAGTTTTCTAGACCTGCTTTTAATCTGGCTCGGAATCTGTAGGGACTAGACCTCCAGGGAAGATCTCTCTTGGACTGGCCATCACTCACCAGAAGAAATTCTCCCAGAATTCAGTTTGAGTCTGTTTCCTCTGGCTCAAGGAACCATTAGCTCCTTAAGTTCCTGCGTTATTGTAAACTCAGATTCCTGAGGTCACCTCCGTGAGGCACTGGGAGAGACAAGTTTCTGTTTCTTTCTCTGCCAGCACCTACAGGGTGACCTTAAGCTAATCTTTTGGTGTCTCTAGTCTTGCTATTTCCACCATTACAGGAGAGGTAATAAGGGTTTCCAAAAACACACCTGATTTCCATCATGTTTGCATGGGGAACAGAGTAATGGCGCACTCACTGTGTGCTGTTACTGTATTCAGTTTCATGGACATGCACGTCTCCACATTCCTGGGAGTGGTTAAGCACAGTAGCCTGTAGCACATATTCCAGGTGGCTCCTTTTGCCCCTCTCTGGAATTTCCATTTCCTCTCCTAGAAGCTTTGTCCATGAGATTAATCATTTGGCTGGAAATTTGAGGAGTATGTGGAAAGAACACTGAGTTTGGGGAGTGAATATTCTTTTGCTATCTCCTCATCCCCTCCCTGCCCTTATACTAGTTAGGAAGATAGGAAGTCAAACTTCTCCTTACCTCTTACCTGACCTATAAAATGAAGAGTCAATTACAAGACAGCACACAATAGGGGCTCAAGAAATATTTCTTTCCTTGAATAAGGCAGATTCTGCCACAAATGAAGGTGGGGTCACAGAGAGTCTGTGGAACATTCAGACTTAAAGACATTTAAATAAAGGGAAAAACCATAGGGTTTAAGGATGTACCATAGGCACTTATTCTATAAGTCAAAATAGTGGCTTCTCTTAGTGGAAGAGAAGAGTCTAATTAGCACAGGGATAGGCTTTCTGGAGTGGCTGGGAAAACTGTTTCTTGACTTAGGTGTTAGTTACAAGGAAATTTTGCACCTGTATTTATTTTTTATTTTGTGGTAAAAAAGATTTTAAGAATAAGAATTAAAAAAAAGAAGCCTGAGAACAAGTGTCTAACAGGTTTAAAAGACCAATAGAAGAATAAGACATAGCAAAAATTAATGAAAGAAAGAATTGACAATGAAGAATATTTCACAACGGGAAAAGCTAAAGAGTGATCCAGCATAAATGTCCCCTGCGTGTAGCAATAAAGCAATCCTGGATGACACTAAAGATGTTAGTTTCATAGAAGCAGTTGAAGCTTTAGCCAGAGACAAACGTATGGAATAAGAAACTACAGTAATTTCTTATAAGACTTTGTCCATGAACAGGAGGCTGGACATTGTGTTTTCTGTTAATGAATCCAAGATTCATTAACCCTAGGTTCTTTTTGTTAAGTTCTTCTCTGCCTGATGCAAAAACTTGATAATTTATATTCATTCTCTTAAGTGACTATCAAGCTCTTTCTCTATCTGTTCATCCAGCCCATTTTTTAAATGGGTTTCACATCTCACCTTTTCTGAGAAATATTCTGTGAATAACTCAGCATAAAGTAGTCAAGACAACTCACGTTGCTCTATGGAAATGGAGTTAGATTTGATTAAAAACATTAAGAATTCTCAATGACATGGAGCATATTCCTCATCTTTTAATTTTTTTCTTCATTTGATAATATGCTTGGTTCCATATCATGCTTTTCTGAAACAAAAGCCATGTTTTAACAGATCATCATGCCAATGCTATTTGTTAATGGGAATAGCCAGCCTTAAGGAAAGTATGTAAAAATTAAAAATATAAAGCAATATGCAGAATAAACTGCTCTGGAGAACAAAATGAAACAGACATTTGATATCCATTTGGTGTTTACTTAACTGTGAAATCCACAGAAATTTTGCAACTGCCTCTCTGTCTGAGGCTACCTTGATCATATATTCTTAATATGTGGAGGCTTTCATATAACTGCATAGTTTTTATTATTATGTCCTCCAGTATAATTTTCTCTAAAGTATAAGTCTACCCTGAGCATGTTTCTTGAGCTCCAAATTGGTGTTTCCAGTGATCAAGTGGCTATTTTCACCTGGATATACTAAAGGAACCATAAATTGTACTTCTTTTCTGTGCTCTTCTCTGCCCCAACTCTGACAATGTTGCTCTGATATTTGCCTTGCCAATTAATGGAATTAACTTGCCCCTAGTCACATAGGCCAGATATTTTCAAATCACCTTCAACTGTTTCTTTCCTCTTCTTATCTCTAGATCCAATTATTTATTAATTCTTACTTTGAACATACATATCTCTGACATCTACCTAGCTGTTCTTTGCATTCTGCCTACCACTATTCTAATGTGAGTCTCTTTATACATCTATGGGGTAATCTTTCAATCAGCTTTCTTAACTACAGTGTCTACTCACATCTAATTGAATGATCTCTCTAGAGTGTAAATATAATCATGCACATTACTCCCTCTCCTCACTGGAGAACATAGCCTAAGCTCTTAGGCACCCCCAGGGTTTGGTCCCTATCACTTCCTACTGTACGTCTCTCCATTCTCATTTCCTAGTTTTCTTACACGCTTCCTCACAATGTTTGTGTTCCAATGACACCTGTTATCAATTTTCCAAATATGTCATACTGTTTCATGACTCTGAGCTGATGTTTGTGCCATTTATACTACTTGAATTTATCATTTCCTCCTACTTGGCTTGAAAACATGTTTGAGTTGAAGCCCAAGTATTCCCCTCCATTCTAAAGTCTCATTTATTTTGGGGTGGGGAGTAGAGTTTGGAGAATTTTGTTGTAATTATTGAGGTATTTTTATTTATTTTATTTTATTTTTTATTTATTTTATAAGGTATTTTTCACATACCTTATTTTTATTACTTCTTCCTTTTTGCAGCAGCAGCAGCAGCAGTGGGATTTTATTCCATCACCTAGGCTGGAGTGCAGTGGAGCTTCCATAGCTGTGTTTACCTTGAAATCCTGGGCTCAAGCAATTATCCCAAGTAGCTAGGGCTGTACAGGCATTTGCCACCATGTCCAGCTAATTTTGTATTTTTATTTTTTGTAGAGATAAAGTCTTGCTATGTTGTCCAGGTTGGCCTCAAACTCCTGGCCTCAAGTTGTCCCTCACCTTGGTCACCCAAAGTGATTGGATTACAGGCATGAGCCATTGTACCCAGACATATTACTTATATTCTATTGCAGTCATTTTCAAAGTCTCTCTCTCTCTCTCTCCCTCTCTGTCTCTATCACAATTAGTTCTATCTCTCCTAGGAGACTAAAATTTTATTTTGGGAAGGGTCAAATACATTTACCATTTTATTCTCAGCATTCAGCACAGTGAGCTTACAAAAATGCTTGCTGAATGACCAAAAGAAGAAATGCATTAGAAAATATGAGTGAGTAGTGAATGGTAGTCATTACTGAAAAGAAGAAACTTTTGAAAAACTGCACAGCAAAATGTAAAGCATTTTAAAGAGTTAATAAGTAACCCAATTCATCCAAAGCAAAGATTCTAAATGATTCTGTACAGCCAAACATCCTCATTAGCAACAAGGCTAGGACCATAACTTAAAGGTATTCATATTTTATCCCCTTTGAATCATTAAGGAAACCTTAGGGGATTTCCTTCATATATCTTGATTATGTAGTCAATAGTAATAATATTTTATCCAGGTCCTCTTTGCATAGTGCCTACTACCACCTGGGTTTTATATAAAAATGACCACCATGCATTCTACCTGTATAAACCCTAATGGAAAAAAGAAATAAATACACATTTTGTGTGTGACTTAAAGGTATCTTAGTGGCCAATTTAGTCTGTAGCATTGATGAGTCAATCAGCTGAGCCATAAGGCAGCTGCAAATCTGGATCATGCACAAAATGCTCAATTTGTTGGCCATATGTAGGCATAGACTTTGTGATGAATAAGCAAGACTAAACCAAGTCTTTTCTTATATGGGGAGTGCACATGCATGTTGATGAGCCATAAGAGCAATCCTCTGCTGACTCGGGAAAGCAGAAAAGAAAGCCCCCAAAGATCCATCTTTTACAAAAAGAAAATGTACAAACTTCCACTGAGTTCATTTGCCTAGAGATCTAATTTATTCATACCTGTTAGGGACACAAAAGCCATTCAGTTTATTGACTTCTGGAATCAGTAAATTTATTACTAAAGATTTGTACATGGAAAATGTAGTCAATGGAGACAATTCACTACTGCAGAAGGTCAATTGGACACATTAATGGCCGATTCTCTAAAGCATGAAGGATCATTTTAGGGCTAGCATTACTATTTGTAGTTAAATAGTCAGGTAAATGTTAAAAGGGCAAACAAATTTCATTTCCCTAGGCATTAGCTGAGGCCAGAGAGAACAGGAAGTTAGCCACATTTTCTACTCATCTGTCCCAAGCCCTTTGACTCCTGTTCTGGGGAAAGAAGGTTATTTTTCAGTGCCCTCTAGCAGTCTTTGGTCTAGGTGGCCTTGGTCCTTAACTAGCCCAATGAATGCCAGGCTTGCTGTGAACAGCTGCGCTCCAGCTGAGCCATGGCCAGGAGGAAGGTCTCTTCTGCAGATTTAGGCAGAATTTCAAAATGCAAAAAGTGTGTCTTTGATGTCCTTTTTACCCTTAACTCTGCCTTTATCTTTCTCTATTCCTGTCAGGCACCCTGGAACTTCATGCGCCCTCCTCCACTGCCCATGACTCTGTCCCTTGACCATAGAACCTCATCTATAACAGTTCTCCCAAAGTAGCACCATGAATATGTGATCCTTCTCTACATCTCCTTATCAAAACTACCCTCTCCTTTGAGTCATTGTCTATGGAATTTTCTGTCAGTGAGAATTACCTGAAAAAATATATTAGATAAGTGTGTTTTGCAAGTCCTCTGATTATTTTAATTGAGAGAAGAAATGTTTGTGGAAATTTTAGGTGGCATGACTATGATGAATATGGCATGAATATGGCAGGATATGAATAAACATATTTTGGCAAAGGGAAATTTTGGAAACTGCAAATCATACCACTTTTATGAGTGTGGTAATTTGGCTCTGAAATTTGCCATCACAACAGAACAAAACAAAACATAATACCATAGAATTGTTCTAACATATCTCAGTTCTTACTTCTTTTGGAAAGTGTTCCCTGGGTATTTCAGCTCACAGTAGTCTTGCCCTAGAGATTGCAAAGAGAAGTAAGTGGTAAACAGCATATCCTTCATATGTGAGTGAGACCTTCATGTTTCACTGGACCTAAGGATTTAGGTTATATTTGTTTATTTACAAAGTTTTTCACCCACGTTGGGCACTCAGAATATATTTCTTTTGTAACTCCTGGTAAATAGGATCTTTTTTTTTTTTCTGCCCTGTGCTCCTGTTTACAATGGGGTCATCTGAAAAATATACAGAAACTGCGTTTTAAGTTCCCAGAGGAATCACGGTTTGCAGAAGGCCAGAGACTGGCTCCAGGCCTTAAAAACACAATGGAGGGTGTTTCACCTCAGTGTCCCTGAATCCCAGCCAACTCAGGTTAATAGTGCCCAAAAGTCATTTTCTGGCCTACTCACATGGTTGGAAGGGGATGGCGTGATGGCGGCAATTTCAGACATCCTCCTCCCAGATGAGCATGGCCATATGGACTCAGAGCTGGAAGGGAGAGTATGATGAGTTTGGAGGCAGCAAATATGAATGAGTAAGGAAGCAATTTGAGCCAGGCTGCCGGGGAGAGCAGGGCACAAATGAGGAAAAATGGTTTAGAGGAAACAGTTTATGGCTGGAGATCAGGATACCTGAGTTTTTTCTGGCTCTGCCTCCATTCAGCTAAGTGACCTTGGAGAAGTTATTTATATTGTCTTGGAGATATTTCTTTTCTGTATGTGAAACAAAATGAGTTTGTTTGTCTGTACAGTTCATTTCAGCTCCAGAATTCTAAGGGAGAGACTATTAAATAGTATTGTGTTACTGAAAAATTTTACTCTGTAAATCATCTATATATATCTATATATATAAAAATATATCTATACCTCAATATTATCTATTTACATGTGAAATAGGATGTACCTAAAGCTGCCTTACAGGGTCCTCAAAGCAATCCAATTTCTAATGTTATTAAAATTAAACACAGCCATGTGCTACATAACTATGTTTTGATCTATGATGGACCACATGTACAATGTGCATACACACACACGCACACACACACACACACGATCTCATATATAAGACTATAGTACTATATTTTTACTGTATTTATAGTAAGAGATGTTTAGATACACAAATACCATTACAATGACTCACACTATTCAGTACAGTAGCATGCTGTACAGGTTTAAAAACTGGGAGCAATAGGCTATAACATACAGCTCAGGTGTGTAGTAAGTTGTACTATTGTGGTTTGTGTAAGTTCACTTTATGATGTTCACACAATGATGAAATTTCCTTATGACACATTTCTCAGAATGTATCCTAGCCCTTAAGTGACTCACAGCTGTATATGTAAATTACACATCCACTTTCACATATGGTCTCATTATAACTTCTCAATAATCTTATTAAGTATTATTGTCTCTTTTTCTCTTTTTTATGGATGAAAAAATCTAAAGGTCAGAGAATATAGCATTTCCCAATGCTACATATCAGATGAGCATATTCCACAATAGATGTAAAAAATAACATTGTCTCTCTTCTCTGTAGAGCTTACGAATTCTCCATAAAAACAATACACACACACACACACACACACACAGCAAAAATTACAACATCAACATGAAATATGTCAAAAATAAATTATACAATACACACAAAAACCTGAATAAAATATTTGTGCCCAAATCCATAAACACTGCAATAAATGCCATTGACAATCAAGATTGGGGAGCTATTAATGCTGTTTATTGAACCCCTACTATATGTGTCTGTTTCTCTAATTAGTGCTATGAATATGATTTTAAATTTAGACATACACACACATCAGTAAACAAGTTTTAAATAATGTTTTTCCCATGTGATCAAATTAACATTCAGATAAGTGAACTGACTTGCTTGGAATGCACAAAGTGGCAGAACCAGAATTTTAATTATAATTTAGAAAATCACACAGTTCTCTATTTTTTTAATAAAGGCCCACCTTTTTCTTTTTTTTCTTTTTATTTATTTATTTATTTTTTAATTATACTTTAAGTTCTACGGTACATGTGCACAATGTGCAGGTTTGTTACATATGTATACATATGCCATGTTGGTGTGCTGCACCCATTAACTCGTCATTTACATTAGGTATATCTCCTAATGCTATCTCTCCCCACTTCCTCCACCCCACCACAGGCCCTGGTGTGTGATGTTCCCCATCCTGTGTCCACGTGTTCTCATTGTTCAATTCCCACCTGTGAATGAGAACATGCGGTGTTTGGTTTTCTGTCCTTGCGATAGTTTGCTCAGAATGATGGTTTCCAGCTTCATCCATGTCCCTACAAAGGACATGAACTCCTCATAAAGGCCCATTTTGTTTGGAATGCCTTCATGAAAAAATTTGAAGCCATCATGACAGAGGAAGAGAGAGCTTTTCATGTTAAATTACTAGTGTAAGGAAATACACAGAAGATGGAATCAATGTTGGGGAGAAAATCCAGAAGCAGTTACATGCAAGACAAATGGGCATAATACACATGAAAAGTCTATCATGCCAAAGAAAATGAAATTAGTTATAAACTTAACAAAATATGCACTGAACTGAATGCTGATGAAATGGAATCAAAATATATTTAAATAAATGGAGAGAAATACTAATGTTATGGTTTGAAAGACTCATGTGGAAAACACATCAATATCCTCCAATTTAACCTAGAAGTTTAAAGCACTTTCTGTCAAAATCTTAGTCATTTTTCGTAAACATAGACAAATTAATTCTATTATTTACATGGAAATGAAATGGCCTTAGGGAAAAAAATCTTAAGTATATAGAGTAGGAGGAATCACCTCTCAATATCCAGGTTTACTCTAGAGCTACAGTAATAAAAACAGCATGGAGGAATAGACACAGAGATATATGGAACAGAATAGAGAACCCAGGAACAAATTCACACAAATGCACACAACTTTTAAAAAAAAGATGCAAAAGTAATTTAGTGGAGGAAACACTGACTTAAATGTAAACATGAAACTATAAAACTTTCAAAGTAAAATGTGAGACAGTCTTCAGAATCTAGGGCTAGGCAAACTTTTCTTAGACCTAAAAATCATGATCCATAAAATAAAAAAAAATGATAAATTTAAACTCATCAAAATTCTAAAAATTTTCTCCATAGTAAAACCTGTTAAGAGAAAGAAAAACCAAACTATAGATTAAGAGAAAATATTTTCAAAACTCATATCCAGCAAAAGTCTAGTGTCTAGAATATGTAAAACATACTCAAAGCTCAAAGTAACAAAAAATTGAATTAGAAAATGGACAAAAGATAGGATATTATACTAAACAGGATCTGCAGATGGCAAAGGATCACATAACAAAATATTAATATTATTATCCATTAGGGAAATGAAATTAAAACCACAATGAGATATCACTACCTGCCTATCAAAAAGAGGTAAAAAAAAAAAAAACAGTAGTAATAGCAAATACTAGGGAGGATGTGAATAAACTAGATCATTCCAGTTTCTCAATCATTCATATATTGCTGATGCAAATGTAAAATGGACAAGCCACTCTGGAGAGAAGTTTGACAATGTCTTATAGAACTAAATATGCAATAATCATCTAGCCAAACAATTGAACTCTTAGCTACCTATTACAGAGGAATGGAAGTATGCATTCCAAAAGAAAAAAATGAAAAAGAAAAAGAAAAGAAAAGAAAAAAAGCCTTTACATGGATATTTAAAGCAGCTTTATTCCCAACAGTGTAAAAACTGAAAACTATTCAAATGTCTTTCACTGAGTGAATGATTAGACAAACTGATACATCCTCAGATGGAACACCATGAAGCAATATAAAGTAACATATTTTGATACACACATAACTTGGATGAATCCCAAGATAATTATGATGAATGAAAAAAGATAGTTCCAAAAGACAAATATACCATATGATTTCATTTCGATAATATTCTTGAAATAACAACATTGTAGTGATGTAGAGCAGTTAACAGTAGTCAGAAGAGAGGAAGGAGGATGGTGGTATGACTATAAAAGGCAACAGGAGTGATCCTTGCTATAAGGGAATTGTTTAGTATTTTGACTGTGGTGATAGATACACACAGGCAATCAAACTGCATAGTGCTAACACATAGACACATACATAGAGGATTGCATATAAAACTGGTAGAATCTAAACAAGTTTGAAGGGATGCATCAACGTCAGTTTTCCAGTTGTGATATTGATCTGTATTATGATTACGTAGGATGCTATCATGGTAGAATCTGGGTAAGGGTATACAGGATGTCTCTGTATTATTTCTTACATCTGAATGCGATCCTACAATTATCTCAAACTATGATGTTTAATTTTAAAATGAAGAAAATGTTTGTAAAATCAAAAAGCTTTGTTGCATATAAAATTTTGGACCTTCAAGGAGCAAAATATTTTAGGTGTTCTTGCACAATGGTTTGTGTTTTGCAGAAGGAAAATGCAAGCACAGAAGCTATTAGATCTCACGTTCTTGGAGAGGTCTTATGGCAACAAACCCTTATTTTTCTGACCCTGGCCTACAAGCTTTCCAAGCAGAGACAGGTTGTTAGGCTTGTCCAGTGTCCAGTTAGCTGTTCTACCTCCAAGACTCCTGCGGACCACTGGTACCAGACTACCTGGGTGGACCCCACCTGTCTTGCTGCAAAAAGATTGACGAAATTTATCTTCATCACTTTTTTTGTGCTCATCACTGAATTTCCTAAATTCCAGGCTTATTGAATTTTCTGTCCTTTTCTCTCTCCAGGCAGGGGTGGGTGGAAGCATTTCCTGCTGTGAAATAGAGTGTGCTTTTTTCTGATTGGTAAGCAGCTCTTCTTCATGTTCCTATATAGACCAGCAATGACTCATCGCCTTCCCTCTCTTATTGCAAAAACGAGGCCTGGGAGAGTTGCACATACATCCCAAATGTTACATATTAGAATTGATTACACCAACACAACTATTAGGCTTTCAAAGGCATAATGTTTTAAGCCTGCTCAACTAAAATACTATAGTCTATGCACAATCAAACCTCTCTGAGGGGATTAGGCAGAAACCATTTTAATTTATCCATTCTGGAGTGTGGTGCCAGGAGTGCTACAAAGAGGAAAACAAAGAAACTACTGAGTGAGCAATTTTTTTTTCCATCAGCAGAAGACTTGTCTTGCTCTGGAAATGCAAGGAAGAATATCATGCTTCACTCACCTCACACATGTTAAAAAATGGGAGGCTCTCTTCTGATTAATCTCCTAATTCACTCATGCTCGCATAAACTTAATGTTTTAGAGAACTTGTGTTTTAATTCGTGTTTTCTTGCTTTGCCTCTACCAGAGTCTCCTTTAGGTAAGAACTCCTAATAGAGTTCTATGTAACCTTAGCAGCATTCTGTGGCAGGCCCTAATATCAGCTTGTTGATACTGTGTTGAATCTATGAATGATTATTATCATTTTTATTATACATGGGCAAATGTATAAAAGTGTAGTGTAAAAAGTGTTTCATATTTAAAAAGGAACCATACATTGACTCTGATCTGAATAATTAATAAATTTTTTTATTGGATATACCTTTTAAATTATTGTTACTCTTCCAGGATTACTGCAATCATTGAGGCAAAAAGTTTGGGAAGAACTAATCAGGTGCATGAGAATCTTTCAGAAGGACTTCTCATATCACATCTATAGTCTGCCCATCTTTCTTAAAAGCTACCTCTCCATTAGATGGAGAGATGAGATAAAAGCACTAAAAAATAAGGTAAATAATATTTGAAGCCTGTGCTGTTCAATTACTTGTCATGCTATTCACATGTAACAGTAAAAAGTATTTGTGATGTGGAAGTCTTCTAAGAAAGGTGATAGAAATTTGAAAGTCTCAGCATTTGTTCTTATAGCAGGTTTTTTATTAAGAAAGCTGACATTTGACTTCAGTATTCACTGTTTTCTTTTGTATACCTTTTTGCTGTTTTTGAATATTTACACTCTTCCCTATGTATCCTTCATGCCTGTCCCCATGAAGAAAATCTTATCCCTTACCCTTTATGGTAGACAACACCCTGTCCCACAACCACCCTGCTTTTTTTCTGCTTGTCATAGTACACATTTGATCTTTGTGTGTGTCCAGGTACAATGACCCTTTTTAACTCCAGAGCATGCATCACGGTTGGCTTACCTTGTAAGCCAATACAGAATGATGCTGATATATTTTCTGAAATTCCCATGATAACATTCCTTTTAGGGAAAACATTGAATGCCTCTATTTCTATCCCAGTGCAGGTGTTATAGAGAAGAGATTAGCAAACTCTGACCCAGCCTGCTGTGAGATTTAAATAAAGTTTTATTAGAACACAGGCACACTCATTTATTTATGCCTTTTCCATAGCTGCTTTCATATTAATACTTTAAGGACAGAGTTGAATAGTTGTGACAGACACCTTGTGGCCCAAAATAGTTACTACCTCGTCATTTACAGAAAAAGCTTGCTGACTGTTGCTATGTGGAGAGATGACTCAAAACATTGAACCATCACTGCCTGGTTGAATTAATGAAGTTGAACCATTGCCAGTGCAGCCATGTTCTGTTGACATGAAAAAGAGCTTTTAGTTTCAGTTAGCTTTAAAATTTGAGTGCCTTAAAATAAGAAAGCATTAGCATTATTCCTATTAAGAAGTCTGGAATTAGGGATTGATTGATCAAATCAGCAGTTCAACAATATCATTACAGAGTTTCTATCTCTCTGCTCCATCATTTTAAGGTTGGCAGGCTAGCTCTTCTGCCCACCACCCATGATTCTAAGATAGTTGGAAAGTCTAAGATTACTTATTCTCACATAACCAGATCCAGAATCATCATAAAGATATACTTCTCTTCACTGATTCTTTTTTTAATTAGGGGAGAAATCTTTCCCAGGAACCCACCTGTAATCTCTTAAACTCCATTTGTTAGATTTTGACTTTCTTAATAGTCTCTCTCTTTGAACATTAAAAAGTGATATGGTCTGGCTTTGTCCCATCCCAAATCTCAACTTGAATTGCAATTCCCATAATCCCCATGCGTCATAGGAGGGAACAGTTAGACATAATTGAATCATGGGGGTGATTCCCCCAACCTGTTCTCATGATAGTGAGTTAGTTCTCACAAGATCTAATGGTTTAATACGGGGCTTCACCTTTCGCTGGACACTCATTATTCTCTTTCCTGCTACTGTGTGAAGAAGGACATGTTTGCTTCCCCTTCCACCATGACTGTAAGTTTTCTGAGGCCTCTCCAGCCATGCTGAAATGTGAGTCAATTAAACTTCTTTCACTTATAAATTACACAGTCTGGCATATGTCATTATTAGCAGTGTGAGAATGGACTAAGACAAAAAGTGAATCCTAACATGGGAGACATGATGCAATCTCAAATTATAAAAATTTTGGTTTATTTTTGAAAAAAGAAAAAAAAAATGAGAGGAACATAAAAGATAATAATGTTTCCAATGCTGTATATGGTGTGTCACACACAAATTTTCAAATTTTCAGCTGACAGAGGTCATCACATTGAAGAGAGGGATGTTCTGATCATAACATGTAGAAAGGCAGGTGGGACTGTTTGCAGGTGTTCAAAGAGAACCAGAACAGGATAGCATTCTAAGGTGGAGTGTCATGGCTAGTTCTCTACACCCATGACTGAGACAATGATGGATTCTAGAAAACTTTTCCAGATGTTTCCATATTTTTTGCATTCCAAAATCTCACTCAAAGAAAACACCAGCCCCAGATTTTCTCCCTAAAGAATATCTTGAAGGAGACTGCTCATTCCAACAGTACCATTTTATCCCAGGGCTACAGACTCTCAGAAGGATTTGCACTAAATAGGATTTTCCACCTTTTTTTTTTTTAAGATTCTGAATAGATGTCCAAATACAGCAGGTGTATTTGAACAATTATATCTGTCCAGATAAGCATGTGTAAATGCCATAATCATTTCAGACTTGTTGTTCACTGGGCCACAGTTTGCCCTGAACAAGAGGAAATTGTGCTTAATGGTTGTCAAATGACAATAAATAAAATAGGTCTTTCTTCAAATGGTCATTTAAAAATCTTCCAATACACCTGTGTATTTCAGCTGGAATAATTATTCTAATAACATTTTAATTACAGAAAAAAAAATTGAGGTCAAAAAAATTGATAATTTTGAAGACATGAAGAAAAGACCTCTGTAATGTATTTTTGCGTATTTTAATTTAGAGTGTAATATTTTAATACTGAGTTTATGGATTTGGAATAATTAAAATAAAGATATATGATAGAATCGATTTGGGGAAACACTAAAGAAGCTTAATTGCTAAACAAAAATTGTTTGTGGTTTTTGGTTTCAAAATAGCTAGGTTGAACACTATAGGTAAATATATGTAACTTATATAGAGTTACTTTGTTTTTGTAGTGTAAGACAAATGTCCAGAAAAAGAAAAGAAAAAAATGTATGTGTGATTATGTATTGTACATACACATGTATATAAACACATGTGCATATAAAAGCTTCTGTTATGTGTATTATAATGCCTCTAAAATATATAATTCTGCTGAAATTGTAAGGAGACAAGTTTTATTTCAATAAGACACAAAAATAAGAGGAATTGGCATGTGTAGTTTTCTTTACTTAAGATTGCATTCAGGTTTTGTATTAGGATTGTACTGATCAAGTAAAATGAGATAAAATATGCTTTCTTCTTTTAATTTTGAGAATATTTGTGAAAATTCATATTTTTCCTGAAATGCTTAAATGCTTGTAGAATTCATCAATGAGAACTTACTGGTTGGTGTTCCTTTGAGGGAGATTTTAAATTATGGATCTAATTTATTAAATAGATATAACATTATTCATATTTTCTATTTCGATACTGCCCGGACGCAGTGGCTCACACCTGTAATCCCAGCACTTTGGGAAGCTGAGGCGGGTGGATCACTTGAGGTCAGGCCTTTGAGACCAGCCTGGCCAACATGGTGAAACCCTGTCTCTGCTAATAATACAAAAATTAGCCAAGCATGGTGGTGGGCGCCTGTAATCCCATCTGCTTGAGAGGCTGAGGCAGGAGAATCGCTTGAACCTGGGAGGTGGAGGTTGCAGTGAGCTGAGATTGCTCCACTGCACTCCAGCCTAGGTGACAGAGTGAGACTCCATCTCAAAAAAAAAAAAAATTGTATACCAATATTTTAAAAAATTTCATAGCAGTTCTTAAGTTTGTTGACATACGGTTTGTACATATAACCCCTTTTTATATTTGTAATGGCTCTAGAACCTACACTGATGCCTCTTTTTTCATGCTTGTTATTGGTACTACCCTTTATCTTTTTCTGTGTTTTTTATCATTGTAACTAGAGGTTCTTCAATTTAATTAATCTTTTTACATAAGCAATTTGGCCTTGATAATTTGCCTACTACTTTTTTGTTTTCTATTTTATGACTTTATTATTTTCTTGTTTCTTTTTGGATTTACTGTTGTATTTTGTTTTTTAATTTCTTAAAGTGGAAGAATAGAATATTGATTGTAAAAGTGGCCCTTTCTGACGTATACATATAAGGCTATAAATTTCCCTGTAAGCTCTGCCTTAACTTTATTCCACTCATTTTGTTTACAGTTTTATTAAAATGAAATTGATATATAATAAACTACACATGTGTAAAGTATACAACTTAATGCCCTTTGACATAGTATGCATCTGTGAAACCATTGCCTCAATCAAGATAATGAAACTATCCACCACCTCCAAAGGTTTCCTAATTCTCCTTTTTCTCTAGCCTCTCACATCTGGATGCTCCTTATCCCCAAGCAACCACTGCTCTTTCCACTGTTGTAGTTTAAATTTCAAATTCCATAATTTTATGTTTATTAAATCCATAGAATATATGCTCTTTTTTGATTGACACATTTTGCTCAGTATACTTATTGTGTGATTCATTCATGTCAGTTTGTGTATCACAAGTTTATTATTATTTTTTATTGCTAAGTAGCATTCCATTGTATTGATATGCCATAATTTACTTAACTATTTACATATTGATGCACATTTGGATTGTTTCCAATTTTAGGTAATTATAAATAAAATTGCTAGGAAAATTAGGATATGAGCAATTTTATAGGAATATATCCATAATTATTCATTTGTGAAAGTATCTAGGAGTGAAATGACTACAGTTTTTTCTAAGTTCACTTGTGGGTTTTAGTAGCTTTTTTGTGTAATCCAGAAGTAGGCAAACTTTTTCTGTCAAGGTTGTAGACAATAATTATTTCAGGCTTTGTAGGCAACATAAGATCTCTATCTTCTTTTCTTTTCCTACTCCTTCTCCTTCTCCTTCTTTTTCTTCTTCTTCTCAGCTTTTTAGCTTAAACATCATACAATAAATAGGAAACTGACCACACTTGATCTAGGAATGGTAGTTTGCTTGTCCTCAAAGGATTTTCTACCTTAAATGACAATTACTTTAATCTACCTTAAATGATAATTATATCATGTAAGATTAAAGATAGTTTTACTTTCCAGTTTAGATGACTTCTACTTGTTTTCTTTTTCTGATTCTACTGTTTAGAATCCCCAATACAATGTGGAATTCAACTGGTGACAGTGGACAGCCTGGTCTTGTCTCTGATCTTAGTGACAAAACATTTTGTGTTTTTCATAGATTTCTTTTATCAGATTGAAAGTGTTTTTTTTTTTTCCAAAAGCAAATTACAAAGACAGGAATAAATGTAAATTTTAAATTTTCTTTTAATAACTCAATAAATTTTATTTCACAAGTGACTGTAATGACTGCTTGATTACAAAATTTCATGGCCACAAAACAAAAGTCATGTCATTTTTGTTTGGGAAGTGAAATCTTACATGAAGGGAGTTATCATTTATGTGAGGAAAAAAATGTCAATAAGGCCATATTTTCCCAGAGTAGATTTTACATTTTTTATTCAACAGTATTTATTCAATATGACTTTTCATTCACTCGTGAGAACTTCCATTCACCAAAAGATTCCCACAGTATCATGAGTTCTTTCACCAAAGTAAGATAAACAAAGTGAATAAAAATGTTGTCAGTTTTGCAATACCTATCACAACTTCAGTTCAAAAGGAGAGATGATGAATGTTGGTATGTTTTAACAAATGCTCTGCCAAGCACAGTCTGATTTTGTTCTATCTCAGTCAATTAGTGTGTTGTGAAAATACATAAGATTGGCTTCCATAGTCATCATTTTTGTAGATTAATAATCATGTTTTTACTCTCACTCTACTATACTGAAGTGGTAGGTACTTTCATGTCTCCTTGAGGATACTCTAATAATAATTTTGCCCTCTACAACACCTGGTAAAATCAAACTTACCCTGTTAGACATAGATTCCATACAACAACCCTGGTGATATCTACTCATTTACCCCAGGTACAGTAAGTTGTTCCCTTTTCCATATTTCTAGAGTTGCTTCTATTAGGGACTTACTACACTGAATTATGATTTGATTATATTTCTGCTCACCTCAACTAAATCGCACTATTTTTAATTTTACAATAAGGCCTAAATACAGAAATGTATATTCCTTATGCCCAGTGTGGTGCTCATAAAAATCAGCAGTGATTTTTTGTTGAAGTGATTTATGAAGGACAGAATGAACGAATGGAGAAGATGCCACATTCCCCGAGCTTTCAGGGAAATCAAACAGTCAAATTTTTAAAGAATTTTTCATGGCTTCTCACCAGCAACGTGAGTCAGAAAGAGAAATGCCAGAGAGTAAATAAAAATCTATAACCCCTCTGCAAAGCTGCCAGTGGCCTTGAACTGGAGACATAGATAAGAGATAACAATCAAAAAATCAGTGGGACTGAAGTGAGAATTGACAAAAGGCTCGGAAGAAGTTTTGGCCTTGGATGAAGAAGAAAAGAGCAGAGTTCCAAATTAAGGACATTGGAGAAAAAAAAAAAAGCAAAACAACCACAACAATAACAGAAACACCTAGTTTATTGCTTAGACAAATTTGTAGAAAACAGTGAAGTTGAGGATGAGATACCTGTGTGGGTCAGAGAGAAAAAAAATAGACATTACCAGCATTTTGTTTCTGTACCTGCATTTTGCTAACTTAAATGTGGCTTTATTCACATCCATCAGAGAGCTGAACTTAAAAACTTGGTGTTAAAAATTTTGAACTCTTTGGGCATAAAGGGGTCATCTCTCTATCTCATTGTTGTAGTCACAGGATGAGGAAGATAAGTTTTCACTGGAAAACAAATTCAGCTCTTGGTACCCAGTAACTCTTCACAAACAAAAAAAAGCCTACTTTGGTTTGAAATGAAATAATTCAATCACAAAGAGTTCCCTAAAACATCCCACACTTCACAATACCTTATTAACACTGAAAAGGGAATTTGACCAACAGGGAAACATGGCAACTTTGGACTATTGGAAACTTCACAAAATTCTTGGGAGAAAAAGCATTCCTATATGCTTATTCTTTGAATACTTTATGCAAATGTGTTGATGTATATGCACATGTTGGTGGGAAAATAAATGCAAAAAGATGGAATTTTCAATGAATGAATATGTTGAATTGCTAAAAGCAACATATTGCAACTTATGTTCTGAGAGCTCTTTGATCACCATGAAATCCCCAAGCTGAATGTATTCAGAAGAAATGCAATAAGGTATGGAATAGTTCCAGGTTCAGATGTGAACACAGATACAAACACAGTGAATGCCGGAATGTGTGTTTGATGCTGTTGTGCAATGTTGAGAAAATAAATTGGATGTTGTTCATGTTGCTAATTCAAAAACAGAATGAATGCTAAAATGAAGTTATCTGCTGATTTTGGAATCTCATTTATCCCCTGCTGATTCATATCTGTTTTGGTATGACACGTGATGCAAACATTCGTTTTGCAAAATCCCACTCCCAAGTCTTCAACGACTTTACCCCAGCTTTTGAAAATTAGCACTAGTTAAAATACCAAGAGCATAAAGTAATTGATTTCAAGCTGGTTGCGTGGGTATTTTCTGCACGTGATGCTCTGCGGAAATAAAAAAATTTAGAATTTTTAAAAAAGAAAATAAAAAGAGAAAAATGCTCCTTGCGCAGAGTAGGCGTATCAGAATATTTGTTTACTGAAAAATATATTCTGTCCCTGATCTAAAGAATCTGAAAACACAATTGGAGGTGAGGTAAAATATATATATTTGACACCATTAAATTAAACCAGAAAGACAAACAGAAATCACAATGTAAGTCAATACATGTGTAAATATCAAGTTGAAAACAAGAAATTGCTTTAGGAATTTAAAGAAGGAAAGTAACATGGACTAAGTTTTCAATGAAGACTTTCCAAGGAATTTTTGGTCAGGCATAGAGACGGAGCACAAGAGGAACGTATGACTAAGTTGTAACTATGGAGGATGCCATTTCTGTTGCTGGACCAAGCCAAAGGAGAGGAGGTGAGAAAGGACTCAACATACACAATAAATTAAGTGAAAAATAAATTTCGTCCCAGTCTTTCTTTGTTTTGTGTTTACTTTTTAAGTGTGGAATTTCAGGCCTTTGGAGAACCTCTAGAATACAGATTAAAATTGGCTGCTTGACTACATTTACACTGTTCTTTGCCAATAATATCTATCAAGATAATTCAAATCCAGTCATCTTAACTTATTCTTGACTTTTGCAATAAGTTGATTATTTAATAGAATTAATGGAATATTTTCTGAGATAAAATGTATTTGCTGTACAACTAAGTTAAAAGAATTCATGTTGTGGTGATGGCTGACTTAGCCTCTAAATTTAGGATGTTTTCAAATCGACAAATTTAGTTATTTAATGCATTTTTAACTTTTTTGTTGACTAATATTTAGTCAATATTAGAGCCTTTCCTTAGTGAGTCAGAGAGTGCTAAATGGTGGTTAGTGTGAAAAACAGATGTCAGAATTGATTAACTAAAGAAATCTGATACACATTTATCAGGGATTCACATTTGATTTGCTTTTTGCTTATTGTTTCTGCCTCATGACATGGTTTGTTTTTTGTTTTGTTTTTTTGTTTTTTTTGAGATGGAGTCTTGCACTATCACCCAGGCTGGAGTGCAATGGCACAATCTCTGCTCACTGCAACCTCCGCCCTCTGGGTTCACACGATTCTCCTGCCTCAGCCTCCTGAGTAGCTGGAATTACAGGTGTACACCACCACACCTGGCTAATTTTTTGTATTTTTAATAGAGACAGGGTTTCACTATGTTGGCCAAACTGGTCTTGAACTTCTGACCTCATGATCAGCCTGCCTCGGCCTCCCAAAGTGCTGGGATTATAGGCGTGAGCCACCAAGCCCGGTCTATATTGTCTTATAAATACCATCTCTGTGACAAATGAGGGTTATTCAGGTAATTGTGCAAGTGGCACTTAATATCCAGGTAGTTTCCAATCTCTAGATATAGTCTCTCATATAAAGAAAACACTAAGACTTGTCCATGTGTCAACGTGTCGGACTGAGCTGATATGAGAAACTTCTCTTCTCCTACTCTAAACACAAAGATATTCTGAATGAAGTATGACAAAGGAATGCCAAAGGGGCATTGGAGCCTGAGTAAGACCTAATTGGGACAATTAAACCCAGCATACATTTAGGAAGTGAAGTCTTTATATTCAAAGCTTAGGCTGGTGCATGGGATGGACAGAAAGTGAGTTCCCTAAATCTGGGTGGAGATGCAAAGGTCTGCGTACTGCTATTTTACTTTTTGTTTTATTTTTAAATTTATCCATTGAACAAGCATTGGTTGAGGGTCTATTGTGTACTAAGCACTCGTAGTAGAGAAGAAAGGAAAAAGAGAAAAAAGAAAAAGAGATAAAAAAGAGAGAAAGGAGGGAAGAAAGGAAAGGAGGGTGGGAAAAGAAAGCAAAACTCTCTGCTCTTGAGAAGCTTGTATTCTAAGCTGTGGAGGAAAGAGGCGACAGATTAAAAGTAAGGTGTTATACATTAGACTGTGACAGGTGATATTGACAAAAATAAAAAGCAAAAGATATAAGAAATATGGGGATTTCTGCAAATCCATATCGAGTCACTTGAGAAGACTTATTTAAAAATAACCGAGTTAAGCCTTCATGGAAGTGAGTCAAGACTTGCAAAATATATCCAGAGGTATTCCCAGGGAAAAAGTACTCCAAGCAGAAGAGACCACAAATATAAAATCTGCAGTAAGGAGCCTTCCAAGAAAAAGTAAAGTGACCATTAGGGTTGGAACAAAGCAAATATAAAGAGTAATACAAAATGAGTATGCAAATATAAATAATCTAGATCATATTGTTAATGAGCTGCCAGGTCATATGTATACTTTTAAGGTTGTTAGGGGTAAAAGCAGGAAGTGAAATTACATTGGTATGGTACTAATCCAGGTTGGAGATGATGGGGGTTGGAACCAGGCGTGTAACAGTGAAGGTGTTCAGAATGGTCATATCTTGGATATTAGTCTAAAAGCAGAGTCATTAGGATTTGCCAACACACTGTATATGTGTGTGAGAGTTACAGAAAATCAAAGATGACCCAAAATACTTGTTTGAGACATAAAAGCAGAGAGTCATTAACTGAAATCAGGAAGACTATTGGAAGTGCAATTTTTGTCAGAAAGATCCAAACTTTGTCATAAGCTATGTAAAAGCTGAGATGCCTATTAGAAAACTAAATGTAGCAGTTAAGTAGACAGCTGGATATATGAGTTCAGAATAAATGGAAAATGTCTGGGTTAAAGATGTAAATTTGGAAATCATTAGTGTATAGATGATATTTAAAGCCACTAGACAGGATGAAATCACCAAGGAAATGTGTGTAGACAGATTAATAGTTATTAAATCATGTTCTTGAAAGACTGAATCCTCTAGCCATGGGTAGGCTGAAAACTGGATGCCCAGGGCTGTGGCTAGGAAAAAAAAATCATGCATTTACCTTTAGAAAATCAAAACTGCTTCATCTGAAAACATGGGGTCTGAACTCATACTACTCACCTGTAACAAGAAGCTTAAGTGGCTAAACTAAAATGATGTTTGGCCCAGATTTAATTAATCTGTGAGTATCTGGAGAAACAAATAAAAATATGCACCTTAAACTGCTTCCTGAGGTCAGGTTTATGAGTCTCCATGAAACACAGAACCTGTTGAAAATGATATCGCAGTAAAATTTTGCAACCTCCATAAGATATCAGCAGATATCCTTTATAAAAGGCAAAATAGATGCTCAATGTACATTAGAGTAGCCAATAAACTTTTTTTAATTAAAGGCAAGATTAAGAAAAATATCTAAAGTAAGAAGAGTAGATTTATAAATAAATGCCACTTTTTGAAAACTACCGTTTTTAATTTCTAATTTCTTTAATGTTAACTAAAACATTGATAGTTGTAGTGAAGAGTAGATTACACATGCAATAAAAAAGACAGTACATTAAGGCCGGGTGTGTTGGTTCACGTCTGTAATCCTAGCACTTTGGGAGGCGTGGCAGGTGGATCATGTGAGGTCAGGAGTTCAAGACCAGTCTGCCCAACGGTGAAACCTTGTTTCCACTAAAAGTACAAAAATTAGCTGGGCATGGTGGCATGTGCCTGTCGTCCCAGCTACTTGGGAGGCTGAGGCAGGAGAATCACTTGAACCTGGGAAGCAGAGGTTGCAGTGAGGAGAGATCATGCCACTGCACTCCAGCCTGGGAGACAGAGCAAGATTCAGTCTCACACACACACAAAGGACAATATATTAGAAGAGAGATTTGGGCAAGTGTCCAGAATGCACATCTAAAATACAAAGAGAATAAATAAGTAAAGAAGAACATAAGAAATACAGTGGATGAAAAGGTCAAGTTTAAATTTAATGAACATTAAAAGATAAAATGAAGAAAATGAAGTGATTAAAAGGATAATGACAGGTGATTATCTACAATTCAAGAAAAATACAAGGATTTTTCTTCAACCTAAAATAATCCTAGTTTCTTGAGAAGTATAAATAAAAATAAATCTACACCTAGACATACCAAAATGAAATTTGAAAACATCAGAGGCAAAGAGAGCATAATAAATGTAAGCAAATACGATTTCATAAGAAAATTAACCACTCACAGCTAACAATTGGACCAACATTAGGCCTTTTTAACAGCAACTAGCATGCAAAAAGAAAATAAAATAATATATTCAGATAACTGAAAGAAAATCATTACAAAAATATAATTATGTATGCAGTAGCGTTATCATTCAGTAATGAGAAAGAAAGACATTCTCAGGCAGAGACTGAAACAGCTACCATACACAGGCCTTCCTCAAAGATCCAATAAAGATTGGAGTTCAGAATTTTGCATTTAATTTTTCTTCTTTGGTTCAAAGACCCTGCTCTTGAGAGATCAAGAAAGCAAGAAGGAGACAGAAGCAGAATAAACTAATTATTTATATGTTTTCAATGCTTTCGGTTTCAATAAACAGAAAACTGAAGGGGTTTAAATTATTATAAAAATGACTATTCAATATAAATCAAGAAGTAAGGTCAATACTAGGTTAGTACATCAGTGGCTAACTGATATTAACAAGGACCTTTGAGCTATTGCTTTGACCTCAAGAGCAACTTGAATTTGACTGCAAGTATTCAGTCATATATTAACTGTAGCAGTTCCATAAATGGTATCCAGGAATAACTAGCTCAGAGGAATAACTGAACCTATTCTGTGCCTATTTATTGGGAAAAAAAAAAGTAGTGAGGAATGTTTTTTCCAGAAGCTCCACATAGATATTCCCTGATGATTCATTGACCAAGCTTAGAGCCTGTGTCCATTCTTCAACCAATTCGTGAAGGAGAAAAAGAGTTGTTAAAATTTTCTTATATCCACGAGTAAAGAATCCATGTTAAGAAACCCATTACAAGGAAGAGAAAAGGATGTGGTAGGGAATATAGAACTCTAAGGTCTTGGCTGTATCTGGAGGAGGATGAACAGATTGATATATTTAACTGCATTTCATTTAGATATACAAAGATACATACTAACCCCCAAAAAGAGAGTGAAGAATGTTAATATTGAGAATATTAATAAAAAAACAAATTATATTTAAAGCAGAGAACATTACAAGAAAGAATGTGATGTGAATAACATTGTTTTTAAGTACAGAAAACAATCGATAGATTTATTATAACTTTATCACTTGAAGGTCCACATTCATTTTGATTTTTCTCTCACAAATACAACATGTATGCTAATAAATGTTTTTAACCCTCTTTGCTGTGATCCTGCTGATACTGGGTTTGCTTCAAGAGCTTCAATGTTTGTAAATGTTCACTTTGATTGAAGCATCAAGTCTGTTAGTGCAGCTACTCTCTAAAGAGTAATGTTGTCCACAGTATATAAGCCAGTGGTATATCAAGAATTACTTTCTTTTATTTTTCCTCACTGTAGCAGGACAAAATCTGGTTGCACAGCCATGGAAGTTGCACACCCAGTAAAGAACCAGAATTAAGAGCCAATTTGCTTTAAAAAATAGTTCATCTATCTTTGCTCTATGTAGCCAACTCCATTCTGTTAAAAACTTGGAGTAGGTATGGCAGGGAGGGTGGAGGAGGTGTCTTTAACCACAGACAGCTACACCATCCAAACACACAACCAACAAGCATATATTATGTCTACACTCAGCTGGTTGTGATTCTACTGCTTTTTAAAATTACTTTGTGGTTATACACTTTAGATCACAACATATCTATGTTTAGAGAAAGGCACTGTCATGAACAAGTTATCAGAGAATACTTGACTGGTTTATCCACACTATGTATTTTACTTTTATAGTGTTCACTGGGCCTCAGCATTGTCAACCACTAAGAAAATCAGTTGGGAACTGAAATGTTTTTTAGATAAGAACCTCGAATTAAGTAAGAAGACTGGAATTGAATCAGGATAAATGATTTTAGGATTTGTATTTAGATATGATAAAAATGACAGGTAGACTAGCATCTGGGATTAGGAATAAAAAATGGAGAAAATGCATGGTGTTTGAAAAGAAGGTGAATATTGCTGCCAAAATCACTTGGAATGGAATGCTAGCTCTGCCACTTACCCGCTATTTGAATTTCAACAAGTTTTACTTAACTTCTTTGAAAACATTTCTTCATCCATAAAATCAAGTTTGCTATAAAGAGTAGAAAATATATTAAGAAAGCATCTTCTTAGATATCAATAGCTGACACTTGTTGAGTCTAATTTTTAACAAACGCCACCTGGTTTAAATAGAACTAGAACATTTAGTAAAGTTATTAATACAATTCTGCCTCATTTGAGGCTAAGACACTTGGATTTAGTAGTTTTAAGTCTAATGATTTTTTTCTTCTTATCCTGGAACTATAGAAGCCAGCATTTTTGCCTTGGTGTTTAATGTATTTCATTCTTGCAAATATTAATACAAATATGTTTAATGAGATACAGTTAAAAGATGGTCCTCCTCTTTGGGCTAACTCCTCAGAGGGAATCTGTGAGGTCCTAAAGAAGTGGTGACAGTGGGGATTTAAAAGAGAAAGATCAGGATAAGTGTATATACATGGAAATTTGTCATCAGAATATTTGTCCCTAGAGTTTTTTTCTTATTGTTGTTTCTACTGAAGCATAATTTGGGCTACTATATATTTGTAGGAACATTGATTCTTTCTATAACTTCTCATATTACAGTAAAAGAAATGATCAAATCATTGTGATTAATCAATTAGGACAGAAGACTGTGTAGAAAAATTAAAATATAGGATCCATAATAGGATTAAAATCTAGATGTTTAGAAAGACTTAAATGTATGATCGGATAAAAGTGGAGGAAGCATACCGCACAACATTTTATTAAAACAATACAAAATATATAAATTAGTTTTTAAAGATTAAAAAATGTCGTAACAGTGACAGAAGAGAGAAATCTTTAGAGCCCTAAGAAACTAGGGAAATGCTTCATTGAATAGTATGCATTTTAATACACAAAGCACAGAAGCAGAGATTACTACCTCATTTATCCTGACTTATTTCTCTTTTCATATTTCTGCACAAAATTATAGTATTGCTATTCCTAATATACATCTACCTTTTCACATTCAGAAATCCACAAGCTACAGAAAAATAAGAAGAATTTAAGCTGAAATAATGGTGTTCTAACCCTAGTTTCATGATGTTTGGCTAATTAATTAGGTCCTCTGTCCTTGTTTTGCCATATATAAAGTATGTAACTGGACTAAGTAATTCATGATGTCCCTACTAACTCTAAATGTATAAGGGCTAGTTTTAGGCACAGATGAAATAGAAACTCACTCAAATAAGACCAGTGATGATCAAAGTGCCAGAAATTCTTCTGAGAGAGCCTTCCTTTGCACTGACAACTGCCCTATTCTGGCTTCTTTTAATATGCAAACATCTGTGGGAAAGGGTACACTTTGGTCTTTCACCTTAAATTGTGAATGAATCCATCATCTCCTTCTCTCCTGGCAGCCTCAAATCCATGGGAAATACAGCAGAACTAGAAGGAGTCAAGAGGACACAGAGCAGAAACAGAGGCTGCCAAAGGCTCTCCCCTACATTAATATTTTGCTCAGGGCCAGCTTGAATAATAAGCTATAACCCAATCAGGCCTCAGAGGAAGCAGATTTGCAAATGGGGGTTGAATAGCAACCTGATATTACAGCTGCAAAATCTCTCATTTTAATTTCTGAATCTCCAATTTCTGTACACATAACAGTTAAATTCATTCCCAACCTTGTTACCAACACTTTTGCAGAAACAAATAATTGATGCCTCTGAAATGTTACAGCATGGAAGCAGGAAGTAGAAAGTCTAATTAAGTAAACTTGTTCGAAAGCAAGTGTATCTATTAGTCAGTGATACAAGTGTCACCAAGTTGATGAATGCATAAATCTTTCATAAAGTATTTGAATGCCTCCCTGACAGTCATTTGTCCCCAGATGTACATAGTTATCTATGCTAGGATATGAGATAAAGGTATTTTACAAAACTGTTTTCACTTTGAAATGTAACACACTGAAAGTGCATAAAACATAAATTATTATTAAGTGAAAACTCATTTAAGTAGTTCAAGAAATGCGAAGTTGCCAGCACCCCAAAAGCCCTTACAAGACACATCTCAATAACCCCATCTTAAAAGTAAAAATAAAGTTCATTTGGACTCAGGTAGTGTGATGCCTCCAGCTTTGTTCTTTTTTTTTTTTAGACAGAGCTTCACTCTTGTTGCCCAGGCTGGAGTGCAATGGTGCGATCTCTGCTCACTGCAACTTCCGCCTCCTGGGTTCAATGGATTCTCCTGCCTCAGCCTCCCAAGTTGCTGGGATTACAGGTGCCCACCACCTCGCCCACATAATTTTTGTTATTTTTTGCTAGAGATGGGATTTCTCAGTGTTGGCCAGGCTGGTCTCGAACTCCTGACTTCAGGTGATCCACCAGCCACGGCCTCCCAAAATGCTGGGATTACAGGTGTGAGCCACCATGCCCATCCCGTTTTGTTCATTTTGCTTAGGATTGTCTTGACTATAAGGGCTCTTTTTTGGTTCCTTATGAAATTTAATGTAGTTCTTTCTAATTCTGTGAAGAAAGACAGTGGTAGCTTGATGAGCATAGCATTGAATCTATAAATTACTTTGGGCACAATAGCCATTTTCACAATATTGATTCTTCCTATCCATGAGCATGGAATGTTTTTCCATTTGTTCGTGGCTTCCCTTATTTCCTTGAGCAGTGGTTCGTAATTCTCCTTGAAGAGGTCCTTCACGTCCCTTGTAAGTTGTATTCCTAGGTCTTTTATTCTCTTTGTAGCAATTGTGAATGTGGATTCACTCATGATTTGGCTCTCTTTGTCTATTATTGGTGTATAGGAATGCTGGTGATTTTTGCACATTGATGTTGTATCCTGAGACTTTGCTGAAGTTGCTTATCAGCTTAAGGAGATTTGGGGCTAAGATGATGGGGCTTTCTAAATACACAATCATGTCATCTGCAAACAGGGACAATTTGACTTCTTATCTTCCTATTTGAATACGCTTTATTTCTTTTTCTTGACTGATTGCCCTGGCCAGAACTTCCAATACTATGTTGAATAGGAGTGGTGAGAGACGGCATCCTTGCCTTGTGCTGGCTTTCAAAGGAGATGCTTCCAGCTTTTCCCCATTCAGTATGATATTGGCTGTGGATTTGTCATAAATAGCTCTTATTATTTTCAGATACATTTCATCAATAACTAGTTTGTTGAAAGTTTTTAGCATGAAGGGTGTTGAATTTTATTGAAGGCCTTTTCTGCATCTATTGAGATAATCGTGTGGTTTTTGTCATTTGTTCTGTTTATGTAATGGATTACATTTATTGATTTGTGTATGTTGAACCAGCCTTGCATCCCAGGGGTGAAGCTGACTTGATCATGGTGGATAAGCTTTTTGATGTGCTGCCGGATTTGGTTTCCCAATATTTTATTGAGGATTTTCACACCAATGTTCATCAGGGATATTGGCCTGAAATGTTCTTTTTTTGTTGTGTCTCTGCCAGGTTTTGGTATCAGGATGATGCTGCCTTCATAAAATGAGTTAGGGACGAGGCCCTCTTTTTCTATTTTTTGGAATAGTATCAGAAGGAGTGGTACAAGCTCCTCTTTGTACCTCTGGTGGAATTCGCCTATGAATCCATCTGGTCCTGGACTTTTTTGGTTGGTAGTGTATTAATCACTGCCTCAATTTCACAACTTTTTATTGGTCTATTCTGGGATTCAACTTCTTCAAGTCTACAGTAAGCAAAACAGCATGGTACTGGTACCAAAACAGATATATAGACTAATGGAACAGAACAGAGGCCTCAGAAATAATGACACACATCTACAACAATCTGATCTTTTACAAACCTGACAAAAACAAGCAATGGGGAAAGGATTCCCTATTTAATAAATTGTGTTGGGAAAACTGTCTAGCCATATGCAGAAAACTGAAACTGGACTCCTTCCTTACACCTTATACAAAAATTAACTCAGGATGGACTAAAGACTTAAACATAAGACCTAGAACCATAAAAACCCTAGAAGAAAACCTAGGCAATACCATTCAGGACGTAGGCATGGGCAAAGACTTCATGACTAAAACACCGAAAGCAATATCAACAAAAGCCAAAATTGACAAATGGGATCTAATTAGCTAAAGAGCTTCTGCACTGTAAAAGAGACTGTCATCAGAGTGAACGGGCAACCTACAGAATGGGAGAGAATTTTTGCAATTTCTCCATCTGACAAAGAGCTAATATTCAGAATCTACAAGGAACTTAAACAAATTTAGAAGAAATAATTTAACAACCCCATCAAAAAGTGGGCAAAGGATACAAACAGGCACTTCTCAAAAGAAGACATTTATGCAGCCAACAAACGTATGAAAAAAAGCTCATCATCACTGGCTATTAGAGAAAAGCACACCAAAACCACAATGAGATACCATCTCATGCCAGTTAGAATGGTGATCATTAAAAAGTCAGGGAACAACAGATGCTGGAGGGGATGTGGAGAAGTGGGAATGCTTTTACACTGTTGGTGGGGGTTTAAATTAGTTCAACCATTGTAGAAGACAGTGTGGCAGTTCTTCAAGGATCTAGAACCAGCAATACCATTTGATCCAGCAATCCCATTACTGGGTATATACCCAAAGGATTGTAAATCATTCTGCTATACTGACACATTCACGAGTATGTTTATTGCAGCAATATACACAATAGCAAAAACTTGGAACCAACCCAAATGCCCATCAATGATATATTGGATAAAGAAAATGTGGCACATATACACCATGGAAGACTATGCAGCTATAAAAAAGGATGAGTTTATGTCCTTTGCAGGGACATGGATGAAGCTGGAAACCATCATTCTCAGCAAACTAACACAGGAAGAGAAAACCAAACACTGCATGTTCTCACTCATAAGTGGGAGTTGAACAATGAGAACACAGGGACACAGGGAGGGGAACATCACACACTGGAACCTGTCTGGGGGTGGGAGGCTAGGGGAGGGAGAGCATGAGGAGAAATACCTATATGTAGATTACTATGTAGATGACGGGTTGATGGGTGCAGGAACCACCATGGCACGTGTATACCTATGTGACAAACCTGCATGTTCTGCGCATGTATCCCAGAACTTAAAGTGTAATAAAAAAATAGAAACAAAGTTATTTTGGACTTCTATGTTAATAGTTTCCTTGTTTTCTCTCACAGTTATAGCACATTTGTGTGTACCTCTAAACTCTTTACATTAGTTTTGTCTGGTTTCTGATAGCCATTTGTATTCATTTATCTCACTAGAGCCCATTCACTTTCATTTTATAGTATTCTATTGTATGACGGCACTTTCACTCTACTAACACGGATAACAGAGTTGTTCCCAGTTGGGGACTATTTCCATCAATACTTTTATAAACATTTTGTATATGACTTCTGTTATGTATGTACAAGCATTTTAGAGTGATATACTTACTGCTCATTATTTATTATGTATATATTATATATATATGTATAGTTTTAATTAAAAACTCCAAAGAGTTTTCCAAACTGGTTACGAAATCTAAATTCCTAAAATACCACACAAAAATTATTATTTTAGTATAATTATTAAACGAACTTTTAGTAGCCAACATTTATGTCAATCCTTTATGTATTAGTCACTCTGGTGATTATTAATTTTTCTGATTATGAAAAAAGTTTAGCACTTTTTTATGCGTTTATTGGTCTTTCAATAAATACATTTTTGGTGTGAAGAACTTATAAATTCCCTTTCTCATTTTTTCTACTGAGTTAGTTATCTTTTTGTATTAGTTTATAGAAAATTCTCTTTCTTTTTCTGTCATTTATTTTTATCATAATACTTATGTATCCTGCTCATATATTATCTCATGTATGATATGATACCTTTGTTGGTAATATGAGTGGCAGAATTTTCTTTCACTCTTTAACTTGTCTTTTATTCTCTTGATGCTCTCTCTTTGATGAAAAGATATCAATAACTATTTTTAGTGTTTTGTATGACTTGTTTAGGAATTTTTTTCTACATTATCTTCTAGAAACTTGAATTTTGTTTTTGTTT
Organism: Homo sapiens; assembly: GCF_000001405.40. Lineage (NCBI taxonomy): Eukaryota > Metazoa > Chordata > Mammalia > Primates > Hominidae > Homo > Homo sapiens. The sequence goes on along the minus strand of NC_000018.10, from coordinate 40,511,053 downwards.
TATGCTGTGTACGTTCATTTCTATAACCCACTTGAAGTTGTTAGCATGAAGTTTACTGTTACTTTCTTTGACAACCTTTAGGAGATAAAGAAATTTTCTTCTACTCCTAGGTTATTAAGAGGTTTTATAAAAACTGGATGCCAAATGTTGTTAAATACAGTTCTATATCTATTAATAGAATAATAGATATTTTCTCCTCTAATTTGTTAAATATAATATATTTTATTTATTGAATTTTAAGTATTAAACCATTTTTGCATCCATAGAATAAGCATAACATGTTCATTATGTATATTATTGTACTGGTTTTATTTTACTTCTAAAATCAGTCTGCTAATACATTATTGAGAATATTTACTTCACGTTTCTTTCTTTTAATGCTCTTGTCTGATTTGATATCAATGCTTTTTGCAGCCTCGTAAAATAAGCTGTAGAGTTCTCGCTCATTTTCTATTATCTCATAGGTTGTGTGAAAACCAGACATTATTTCCCTCTGAAATATTCTATAGAATTTTCTGGTGAATCCCTCCAGGCCTATAGTTTTGATTACGATAAATTTTCTATTTATCGACGAATTTAATAGTTTTCTATTTATTTGTGGATCTGGCTTATGTCACATTAAAAAAATTTATGTCCATTCACTGATACTTTCAGAAGAGTTTCCTGTGAGCAATATTTCTTTAATTTTTTTTATCTGTTAGATATATAATCATGTTCCTCTTAACATGTCTGATACTGGTTATTTGGTTTTTTGATCAGATTTTTAAGAAGGCTACTAATTTTATCAGTGTTTTCAAAAAATGAACTTTCAGCATTGTTAATAATTACATATAGATGGATACATGAATAGTATTTTTCCTATTTATTTTCTTTCCTATTTTCTTCACTTTTTCTTGTTGCATTCATTTTGCCTTCATTTTTCAAACTTTTTGAATGTTTAACTTTTTATATATTAGGGTTTCTCTCCCACACACACACAGTTAAGGCTATAAATGTTCAGTTAAGTGCTACTTTGATCACCTTTCACAAGTTTTCTAATGTAGAATTTGCGGTTATCATTAAGTTGAAGATATTTTCTAATTTTCTCTGTGATTCTTCTGTTATCCTATGGGTCATTTAAAAGTATATTTCTTAATATGACTTTTTGCTATTTGCTTTAGGATCCTTTTATAGGTTACAGGAAATTTATTAAGAATTGTGGCCAAGCGCAGTGGCTCACGCCTGTAATTCCAGCACTTTGGGAGGCTGAGGTGGCCATTATCACCTGAGGTCAGGAGTTTGAGAGCAGCCTGGCCAACATGGTGAAACCCCGTCTCTACTAAAAATATGAAAAATTAGCCGGGAATAGTGGCAGGAGCCTGTAATCCCAGCTACTCAGGAGGCTGAGACAGGAGAATCGCCTGAACTCAGGAGGCAGAGGTCACAGCAGCCGAGATTGCGCCATTGCACTCCAGTCTGGGCACAATAAGAGCGAAACTCCGTTTCAAACGAAACAAAACAAAACAAAACAAAAGCATTGTATGGCCAGTATATAATCATCTTTTGTAAATACTTCATGAGTGCTAGAAAAGGATTCTTGGGGTATCTGTGTTCTGTATATGACCAATAATATTCATCTAATCTTCTACCTTCTTACTTCAAGATATTTTATGTTCTTAATATATGTTACTCTAAAATATTTGCTCAAATCTCTCACTATGATTGAAGATGTAATTATTTACCTTACTTTTTTTTACCAATTTTTATTTTAATTTGTTGAGGCTATGATTTTTGACACAAACAAATTTAGATTATCTGCCTTTGAAATGACATTATTATTGCAGTTTTTGTCCTAAAGTTTATTTTGCCTGATACTAATATAATTGCATCAGACTTCTTTTATATGGTGTCAGTGTTATATATTTTCCATCTCTATCCTTTCAACATTTCAATATTTTAAATGTGTGTCTTATAACCATCTAGTTTTATTTTTTGAAAAATGTTTTTCCTTTAACTGAATTAGTTGGCCTATTTGCATTTAATATGATTGCTAAATTTTGGCTTAACTCTATCTCCCTTTTGAAGATAATTGAAGAGAAAAGCTGGAAAAAATTATTTTCTTCCAAAAATTATCAAAATTTGGAACGAACTAACACCTGATAAGAAACGTTTAGTCCAGGGTCCCAGGAAATAAAGAAATCCAGAAGGCTAAGCTTGGCATCTGTGTTTACTTTGCCCTGAGAATATTTGCTGATCTTACTGTGCCTTGCTTTTAAGGAGTTCCTGGGTCACAAATAACTGAGAAATTTCATGGCAACCTTTTATTTGTATTTGAACATCAAGAGAATTGTCCCAATCATGGAGGGACTGATTTCACTCCATTTACTGTCTCCATGAATTTAATCACTGTGCAAAGCCTCAAATGCAAATTGGTCTCAGAGTATTATGAACAAACCTGGTGTAAACTACTGGAAAAGTGAGAAGCTGCTTCTTCTGCCACAGTGTAGCCCCTTCAGGTTATGATCTGTTAAGGCAATACTTGATTTTGGAATAATAAGAAAAATTCCTTTAAAAAATATTATATAAATTAGTATCACTTTTGCTCCTTCATAGTCCACAGATTGATGTGTAAAAGAAAAATGATTTTTAGAAACACACAACCTAAAAATTATAACTATAACATACATTCTAGACTCTGGACATTTCCAAATGATTTATTCATGCATGCCTATAAAGTAAAATGTGAAAGGGTAAGAACTTATAGTGTTTTCCTCATTCCCTTCCTTTTTAAACAGATGTTTGAAAAAATTGGTAGAGGATGGAAGAGAAATGTGAGAAAAAAGTAGGTGACCTGAACAACTGCAAAGGCCAAAGAAAGATGAGAGGAAAACTAGGGAGGAAAAAGTATATGAGAAGTGCAAACAGATAAAATACCTTGAAGAAATAATATTCTTCATCCTTCACCATCAAAATTTATCCTGATTATTATCAGACTCCCTGGTATCTCTGCTGAGCATCTCCACCTCCCAGTGATGACGTTCTGGACAAGGTAGCAGCCATGTGGATGGGCTTGCAATTTAATAAAACATTGGATGGAGAATGTGCTAAATGCAACCTAGGATACAAGAACCAGAGGGAGTCATCAAGCATAAACTCAAATCAGAATGGTGCATTTCAAATACCGAAAAGACCAAGCCCAAATACAGTCTTCACTGAATCAAGATTGAGGTAATATAGAAGCAGGAGTTTATTTGATGTATTTATGGGATCAGATGGGAAATGGCTTAGGTTGGAGGAAAGTGACTTAAAAGGCAATTGCTGCAAATATCACTAGGATTTTTTCTGTCTTCATTAAGGGCGACTAAAAGAAAAACATTTAAAGCTTCTGTTGTTAAATATATTTAATACAATTGCTTTCTGTAAAGCATTTTTTTCTAACATTCTATTGTAACACTACTCTTATCACTAAAATTAGAAACTTGGCCTTCTGAACTTCCAATTATATGAAAACATATGGGAAGAAAAAAGGTCTGGAAGAGATAAGAAAATGGAAAAGAAGATATACAGTATGGAACACTGTTATTCTCATCTCTAAGACTTTGTTTCTGCTTTATCCTCTTTCTAAAATGTTTGCACATTCACCTTTATGTCTTCACTTAAATTCTCCTAATCATCAAAATCTTTTCTAAGATCCAGCTTAAGATCTTTCAAGTCATACATATCAGCCTCATTAAGTCGCTCACAGTCATCTACTGCCTTGCATATCTCACCTCTATGCACCAGATTCCCTCTATGAATGTTATTAATTGTAAAATAATTTTCTTTGTACAACAGGTTTTTAATATATGCTGATTGATTTTCTAGCATAATAGTTCTAGCATTGATACTTCTCTTAATGTTGACAATGACACAAAACCTGAAATGAGGGTCACCCAAAAGGAAGAAATGTTCAAAACTACAAATACGAAAACTATCACTAGTTATAATTTTTTCTGTGTAGTGGATCATTAAATGTCAATTCAAGATAAAACTAACTGAAGATGTATCCTTCATTTATTCCATTGTGGCCTTAATTGATACAATGGAAGATCTGTGTTATTTAGGAATAGTAGAGATAAAAATTAAATGAAGTCTGTTACCATAAAGTGAGGTTATTTTTTTTCCTTTAAGCACTACATAAGGTTACACTTGATAGCAATGAAGCTCTCTGACTTTTCTAAAAGTGTCCTGGAAGTTTGTATTCCCAAAACAGAATCAGTAGTTTCCATATCAATGTGAATAGTTATTTTTTTTCACACTCATGTCATTTTCCTCTCAACCATTCCCACTGCAGCAATACTGTCTCTACCAATTCCCCTAGGAGATTGTATTCTTGGAGAGAATTGCTTGTCCCATGAATGCATATTATCTCTCATCGTGAAAAATGCCAATAAAAAAGCAAATTATATTTGTTCTCTAAGATGTTTGCTACAAACCATGACTGATTAGTGTTATATGTGACATCCACAAGAACAGTAATCAAGGTTATGTTAACATTGATTTTTACAGAGGTGAAGTCCCTTTGATGTATTACTCCATCAACACCTGCAATGACAAAATTTGCACATGAAATTAATCCCAATTAATTATACTGTTTGTAGGTAGCAATGCCTCTTTTATGCTGCAAAATAAAAATTAATTTAGTGACTTTTTTGTCACCTTGTGAGGCTTATTTAGTTAAGGGAGGGGAACTCTATTGATTGGTATCCTGAAATATAAAAGAAAGGTTAGACAACTGAAGGGGCTTGGAAAGCTAATCTGGTCATTGGGGAGCAACTCAAGTCTTAAAGCATTGTAACACTATTTTATTTTCATTTTTACTACTTTAGCTTTGAATTCACGTTTCTGAGAAAAAGTTCTCAGTCCTACATGACCTATATTTAATATTGACTTTTACCCACACATAAATTCATTGTGCTTTTTTCACATATCTTTTGGTTTGGCTACTGTGTCATATTGTCGTACTTAGTCCCTAGTCTAATGGGGGGAAAACAAAAAAGAAATCTTTGAACCACATCATGAAAAAGACAATCAGAACTGGGCACTAGTATTTGTTCAGAGCCTTTTTAGTGATTACTTTAGTCTTTTGGAAAATGCTTTGAAAACTGGGCTCTTGAGGTAGGGTAGCTCCTTTTTGTCTCCTGTAAGTAGGGAGAACATTGAAAAATTCTATTTCTAAGACACTAATGCTTATTTAAATATATATATATATATATATATATAAATGCATAAGACTTAAAGACGTATATATATATATGTATAGAGATAGAGAGAGAAAGATAAAGCCTTATATTTTATGTGTGCTTTAAAATAAAACATCCTTACATTGCACACATTGCTAAGGAGAATGGGAATCTATAACTTGTATGCATCATCACTATATGTATGAAGATTATATTGCACTTCAGAACAGGGGTACATTTTAGGAGCATTTGTTCCTACATTGAGTGGCCCCAGCAGTCTTTTTCTAGCATTTTCATTGGCTTCTCACAGTTCATAGTTCCTCTTCACAGATTCTGATATATTAGCTAATTTCATATTTAATTGCCTACTTGACAGAGGATCTTCCATACTTTACAAAGACTTATACATTTATAATGTTACACCCTGTGCACTCAGATCTCAATCCTAACTTCTAAATATGTGGTCAAACCTAGATGGCTGAGTTTGGTAGGAGTCTGGCCCTGGGAATTAATACCAACACCCTTCTTCCAGGTTAACTTTTATGTAATCTTCTGATATTCTAATTATGACGTTCACCAAATTTACCTAATTTAAACTTTTGCATAGACATGATTTGCCCTTACTATTGATTTTGAAACTGTCAAACAGTGAATTGGGTGACTATAGTAAATTTTGATTTGTTAAAAGTTTTGTATCTGTCCCTCTTTCAACAGGCAAAAATTTCTATTGTTTTATCTAAGATAAATAATCATTAATTTTTGTCATGTTAAAAGGCTTTCCAATTAAATGCATATTCATATAGTCAACTGTTAAATGTCCAGCTTTGATGGCATCTGTTCAATGATGTATTATTGTGAAGGAGCAATGTGGTACATTACACAGATATTAGGCTCTGAAATCAAATATTGTATTTACATCCAGTTCTTACATTTGCTGGCTACATGATCTTAGGCTAATTGTCTATACTAACTTCCTTTATTTTTTAATAGTTAAAAAATATTTTCCAAAGCACCTAATGTAGAGCTCAATAAATAATTTATGTCATTGTACTTATTGCCATAACTCAAAACATTAATGAGTTGTTCCTAAAGGTTAGGTGATACATGTAATTATCTTTAATCCTCATAATGACCCTGGAAAGTGAACTCACCACACCACCTACACTGTAAAGTAGATCTCTCATTCAGAGACAATTGTATGCAGTGTCCTCTGAATTGTTCTGTAAACCCTCTAAAAGTGGTGCCAGCATAGGCATGGCCAACAGGAAAAGCAATCATACCCAGAAGAGAAGAAAATTATGGTAGGACTAAATTGATATCCTCTAGAAGGTGGGAGGAGACTGATAGAATCAATTGTCAGGCGATGTACTAGTCTTCTCAAAATAAGGTGTCATGACTAGGTCTCACCATGTCTCTGTTGCTAACAACACAATATTTAGTAATATGGATAGCCGTATCAGCTTGGTGAAATCAAGCCCAAATATGGGCTCATCTTGAGTATCTATCTGTGAAACCACTGCTAGTCCATCTAAGGGTCTACTTGCAAACACTGCAGTGGCTGAGAATAGTGCTAACCAATAGCCAGTAGACAGGCCATTATATCCACATGATGGTTAAGGGCCTCCTCCACAGTGATGCTTTCTGGTGGCCACTGAAGTGAGAGGAAAAGATGGGTACACAATGTGCTGGATTCCATGAGCTCATCCATATGCCTCTTCCCAAGATCTCCTTGTCTCTGACTTTCTAATCTTTCTTCTTCCAGGACCCTGACTGATGGGCTAAACCATGTGCCACCACCTGGGAGCGTCTACATGTACTCCCTTCATTCATGTCTCCCTCCTTAGAGAGTTTCTAATCAATTTTAATGCCCACTATAAGGATTTCTCTCACAACTGTCTTTTAGGACCACCCCTATATGAGACTGTGATTCATTTCATACCAACATACTGAGCTGTCCTGTTTTTGATCCAGGTCTGGAATTTTTCATTTCTTTCAGCTGATTTTAGGGAAAATCCCAAGAGAATGCAAGTGTGAGTTGAGGAAGAGGTGAGAGTGCAGCAGAAACTTTGGACCCAGTGCTTTTATGACTGACATGTGTGCTTCAGGCACATTTTTATCGTACAGTGGTTGCTACAAGGTCTGCTCAACATCATGGCCTGGTGGGTATGACTGTTTACAGCTTATAATGGAGAATTCTGCCACAAGGTCTTTGATACCAATTGGTAGACACTGAGTCTCTACTAAAGATCTTTCATACACTAGGAGCTGCTTTTCAGTATCTCATGTAGTTCTCTGCCATAAAATAGGTGAACACCTTGACTTCAGCCAAAATTAGAAGTGTGTTAAGAGGATGTAATAGAGGGCTTCGAAAGCACCTGATTCAAGAAACTAACTTTCTTGTTTGGGCATTGCAGTAGGAATATTTGCAGTAATGACAGAAAAATTAGCTATGCAAAATTAAGCGATTAAACAAAATATTTATTAGATACTGTTACGTCAAACACTCTCCTAGACACTGTGAAAGAAATATAGAAAAGTACAATCTATAAACTTAAGCAATTGGGATTAAAGGAAAACCTAACCAACAACAAAATAGAGATAAAGGACTCAAGAAGAAAAGCCACATTAGGTAGTAGAGATATGTGTGATATCAGCAATGAGACACTAGGAGAGGGGTTGTTAAGAGTCCCAATTTTGCAGTATGTATGAAGATTTCAAAATGAGGACCTAGGCCTCTGGCTTTATGTACAAGAAGCAAAGTTACTCTTGGTTCATTGTTCAAATCAAAGGAAACAGCTGCAGTTATTGAGAGTCTAGTGGACAGTCAGGAGTCTACAGTACTGATGGGCAGAACTGAATTGAGTGAACTGATTGAGCAGACTTTGGTCCTAGAACCAGTACTAGTGCTTCCAGCAAACTGCAAGGCAGTGGGCAGGTAGCTTCCTATTTCTAGAGTTGTTTCTTCTCCTAATTTAGGAGGTCACTGAGCTTCCTTCCATATTCTAAATTTTTTTTAGTGTTCGGAAATTAAGATTATTTATGCAAACTATCCCTGGCTTTTCTTTCTTGTTTTTGTGACTGCCTCTTACATTCAGATATTATCCACTAATCTCTTGATTATAAAAATCTTTCAGAAGTAATAGCTTGGTTTACATTAAAGTGGATATTCTTAAGATTAATAAAAAGTATATATTTATAAATAAAGTATACATTTGTCACTGGCTCTGTGCTATACATTTTTAAGTGTAGCAATTTGTGAATATATGAAAATATACCCAAATATTTATTGAAAAGATAATTTTGGACAGGCCACTCAGTTAGGAATTATAAGGACTAAAAAAGTGAGACATTCGACACTGATTGTACTACCAAGCATTTAAAGCCTAAATGAATATATAAGTTGCTGTGTATACATGTGCCCACTAGAAAATACACATATATTCACTCAAAGTGAATAAAAATGAGTTGAAATAATAAACACTAAATAATAAAAATACAACCAGTGAAAATATCAAACATTGACCAAGAAGTAGAATAGGGGATGTTGGGAGTTAGATCCATGGGTGATGTGGTATGTAGGGAGTGTGAGAGCAGTAAGCCATGAAGCTTGGCATGGGCCTTGAAAAACATTATGAATATGGCTAGGAAGAGAGTGGATAATAATGTAGACACAAGAATAGCATAAATAAGTGGAAAAGATGTGAGTTTAGAGGACTCGATATATTGATTTGTTGAAAAAAAGAGCTTGAATGGAACCAGAATGATGAGTTAATACTAGTTTATGAAGGAAAAGTGATTACCAAGATGAATAGGTAATTTTCTATTAGACACGGAAAAAGGTAAGAGTTTTCAACTTTATTGTAATAATTTGCATAGATCCCAGACTATTAGTGTTTTTACTTTCTATTTTTAATGTTGTGTTTTTATTAATTAAACATATACATATAAATTCTATTGACATATAAATAAGGGCCATCAACGTAAAGGGGAAAAAAAACTGATAGCAGGTTTGGCATTATTCTTTTGTTTCTGATGTCCATACAAATAATGAAATACCTCTTGAGAAACCTAGTCGAATCTACACATATGCTGTTTGTCAGTGGACCTTAGTTAAATTGCAAAGTTTAACCAGAGTTCCTAGGGACCTTATAAAATCCATAGGTCTGTGGTGTATATATTTACCATGGGTGCTTTTAACACACCCAAATAAACCAATGCCAAATATAATGCTTCTCTGTTGATACTTAGTATGTTCAAAGAATATGAGCCTCTCTATTTGCATATGAATGTAAAATAATTCTACCAATGTGTGTGTGGGACTTAATTGTTTTTTAAACAATGATCTGTACTCTTATCTTTCTGGAAGCAATTCAGGCCATCAAAGGGTTGTCAGTGATGAGCTCGCTAATTACTTTCCAATACTTAGCCTTGTATTTCTCTTCATTATTGGTGTTCTGTTCCCTCTAGTTTTACATTTACTATTAGAAAGTACATTTAGAATCCAGTCAATCTTCCAGTGCTAATTCTGCACTTTAAATTTTTCATTCAAGAAGGACACAATGGGAATAATGTTTGAAGCTGCCAAGGAGATACGTGTAAACTTTTTCTTGCCCTGTCTGTTCAAAATTTCCTGGAAAATATAACTAAGAAAAGAACAGATTTTAGCTATAAGTATTCAGAACAGGAACTGCCATTCTGGGCCTGAAGACAAATGTAAGAAATCTTTATATTAAAATCATATTTTCCAGTGACACAAATGCTGATTGTTAAGTTTTACTTCCCTCATTGTTTTTTTGTTATTCTCTAGGCCAATAAATCAAAAGGAATCTAGTAGGATAAGTGTATGTCTAGTAGGATCTTTCAGCAGCAGTTATAATCCTAATGTGTATTTTTTGAATCTCTGGGTTTTATTTATTTTTTTTTTGGACTGAGCTCTGTAGGAAATTATATAAAAGCATTATTAGAAAAATAGATTATCTGAGAGTGGCATTACTTCTTTCAGCAGACTGGACTAATAGTCTTTGAGTGTGTTTACATCATGCCAGTCATAGATATTTCCAAACATCTGGACTTTGGGCAACAGATCAGTAAAACATGTGGATAATTGATTATCACTGTGCTTGCTTTTGTAATTGTGTAGCTGCTACATATATTTAATTCTTCCTCCAAATTAGATGAAGGTAGAATGTTTGGCAATAGACTCAGAATCCAATGTTTGGGGTTTTATAACTTGTTTCCGTGCTGAAGTGCTTGGATAAAGCCTCCCACATGTTTAACTGAGTAACATACCTTTACACAGATTTTTAAAAAATCACTGATGAATAAATTTAAATTCTTGGCAAAACTTTTCAAGTAGTGAAAGACTTGGCAGGCAAGGTGGGAACAATTAGGGAAGCCAAATAGAGATTAAGTCTGTGATGACAGTTCATTTGAAAGATGATTATAGGCAAATGTCAGTAAGTCTGTTGGAAATTCACAATTTTGATGAGGGTTCAGAGTTTGTGTGATATTGAAAATGAAACACTCGAGCCATGTGTGAGTCCATGAAAAGAGAATGCCCAGCGAGAGGAAACATAATCACAATCTTATTTTGAGGTATGCATACTAAGTGGTCAAGGTAAGACAGTCATCTGGGCTGGTGAGACATAAGACATTCGGAACATATTATGGTTTGAACCAGAATGGCCTGGAAAATGTCAGAAATTCTTAAATTTTTCACGTCAATTTGTAGATAAAATCATGTGGACTATATTCAGTATGTTCCAAAATTCAACAGAAGATACTCCCTCTTAGGTGGGTTTCTGTTTCTACACAGCTATTCACAGGAACAAGTGCCTGAACTGAGATAAGTAGAAAAGTTTTTGAACCATCTCAATGTATTATGGATCTTTCTTTATGCACAATGTCCTGAAATATTTTGAAGTTATTCAATTAAAGTATAAGAAATGTCTCCAAGCAGGTAAGCACTATGAGTACTTGGTTCAAGCAAACTAAAAAGATAATAATTATAATAACATAAAATATGCCACAATTAAGTAAAATGTATTGCAATATTTTGTATTCTAACCCAGAGTCCAGGAAGACAAAATATGTCTTTAAGATAAACATAGTAAGGCTAATCCATACTAAAGTATGGATGAGTAGCAATTATATAAATAAATGAATCATTGTAAAGGTAAGATTTTTCCAATTCTGCATTTTGTGTTTGAACTATTTTATCAAATGCCCTATGGCACTATCCAAGTAACTTTCTGTGCATGACAACAATGCTTGATCGACTAATCATTTACCTCAGCTACATGAGCTGGTTTCCTCCTGAATTTTCTGAGAGCACTGCTTGGTTGAGACAGGCACAAGTATTTACTAACTGAGGTGAATGGCAGAGATGGCTCAGATGTTGAAAGAGGAGTAAGCAGAGAAATAGAAAACAAATAAACAAGGACTATCTCAATGCTCTCATCATCTGAATATTTTTTCTTCTATACATCTAGCCAATGATGACCTTTCGATTTCATGATATTGTTTTTGTTATACATATAGTAGCCCTGTACTACCTGATGAAAGGTGTTAGTTACACTCTTATAAACTTAGATAATTTGTATTAATGTATATAACTATAAACTGAAGATGTCTTTGTGTACAAATTATTGAGCCAAACAAATTATTTTATACAGTGACAACTTTAGAGACTTCTCCTTCAACAACCTAAGCTAACTTTGGGAACTATGTGTTTAAGTGAAGTGTCACCCAGCACATTGTTCGGAACATCTATTCAGGACTCAATAAATGAGCTACTATGATGGTTGAGGTATTTCTGGAACTCTGATGTTATGAGAGATAATATGGAGAATTCATTATTTTTCCTTAAAGACTTGTCCTTCCTTGTAGTTATATAATTTTAAAAATATATAATGTAAAAAGAATATGTTATATGAAAAAATAAAGAGCCTGTTTTTGAACACTTGCATGTAATGGTGGAGAAAGCCATAGACCACTTGCTAAGGTATTATTAAACAAGTCATTGAACTGTTTGCTTTTCTATATAAATTGAAGAAAATAATATTTGCTTTATCTAACTCAGTAGTTTGTTGTAAGAATAAACATTGAAAGGAGGTAGAAGTATTCAGAAAGCATTTGACAGCACAAATGTAAATGCTATTATATTTGTTAAGAAACTGTCTTATTAGATCTACAGAAGAATCTAAAGAGAAGATTAAGTTATTTTCAGGCAAAATGATCTGATCTGAAATAAATCAGTATATAACAAATGCACATGCTATCCCATGAGAACATTCATTTCATATGTGTTGCATCAAATACAAGCATTTATCAGAGAAGTTAGAGAAAGGAAAAGTTTTTAAAAGTTTCAATGATAACACCACACAAAAATAAAAATATCTTCAGTTTTCTCATTTATTTTTATTAGTTGAATAGAAAGAGAAATGTGTAGATCTTCTGACAACTATAACACTTTATGAACCATAAAGTTAGGTAATAGAAGTTGTTCATTAAAAAATACATGTTTTTTTGAAAAGTATTAAAAATAATAAGACACCCTGATGTTTTAAAGGTTTGGCTGCATAAGTCTCTTGTTTTGACATTTACAACATCACTGGAACCCCTTGATTAAACATTTAACCATCATTTGAAATTTGTTTGTTCTTAAATTTTATATCACAATTTGACTCAACCTCTTGCTTCACTGATTTAATAAAAAATGCTATTAACGGTTTGTAAATTATTAAATTGTAGGGCTTTATTTGTGATTGTTAATACATCAGATAGGCATAAAATAGTTTGCTTAAGAGTAGGGTGAGACTCGTATTCTCCATTTCTCACTTTTCCTGACTTTGGTCACTTTGCTATTTTGACAACAGCTAAAGGAAAAGATTGTTGATTACTTCAGAAAACAAATTCTTGGATTGAGAAGGGTAGTAGATATGGGGTGTTTACCCTCATGGGCACTAACCCACAGAAGGGCACAGGAGAAATCTTAACAACCTTAAGTAAATGTGTGTGCGCTCATTACTTATAATAAAACGCATGAAGAGAGTAAAATCCTGGAATTATATTTTAGAATTCAATTGGAAAAGTGTGAGTCTTTTCAAGGGTGCCACTCATCTCTGAAGGCTAATATACATTTTTCCTAATGGTGTGCCAGTCCGAGGGTGATGCAATTGCATACTACCCAGGCACATGGACTTTAAGCCATGTGGCCCTGAGCTTTTATCCCAACTCTGTCATTTTCTAGCTGAGTGATCTTGAATACATTATCTAGCTCTCTAGGCCTCAATTTTCCTCAATCAGAATACTAACATTAGCATTTATTCACAGAGTTGTCCAGAAGGTTAAGTGAGATGATATATGACAATGTACGACATAAATGGGGTATCTCTAGAAATGCTGAGTACTGGTTGTATTAATTGGCTTGGGCTAGGTACTAACTGGTATTCTCCAGAAAGACATAATGAACATGTACATCAAGGCACAAACACCAATAGGGCTAATTGCTGGTGAAGCCTCTCTTCCTGGTTTCTGGATAGCTTGACTTGTCCTCAAATTGCTTTACCTCTGGGAGCAGGCAAAGAAAGAGAAGGAATTCTCTTTCTCCTCTTATTCTTCTTCTTGTCTCTTCATATTTCTATAAGAATGCCAATCCTATTGGATTAGAACCCCATTCTTATCACTTCATTGAGCCTTAATCACCCTTGTAAAAGCTTATTGGAGGTTATGTATTCAACACACGAATCTTGAGGGAACACGTTTCAATCTGAAACACTGGTCTTACTTTCTATGCCATTTTCTTGGTATCCTGGATGTCTTCTGTGTTGAGGCACCTGTTCTTGCCTTTTTATGTTGTGTCATGCTTGACCCATTGTTTATGACTGCATTGGTCTCAGATTTTGTTAACAGCCCACACTCTTATTAGCTGATAAGAACCCCTAATTATATTACTCACATACAGGGTTCTGTTCTTGACTACTTCATGCTGACCTAGATCAATGTTTAGTAACTGAATTATCCAAGTGGAAATGTCATATAAGGAAATTATAGGAAGCCTGTAAATAATCCAGAAAATTCAATATACATAGAGGACAAAAGGTAATGTTTCTGATTTGGAGTGCTTGCAAAAAACTGATTTCAGAGAAGGCAAAAGAAGGATAGTAAATAGCTGCAGATCTTGATCAGGACATTAGTAATTGCAGGCTATACCACTGTAAGTAGGAAACTCCAAAATACAATGGTTGAGACACAGAAAACATATATTTTTCCTTCCTATTATGTCCTTGAGGTGAGCAATCAAAGGCTGGTGGGTGGGCCTGGTGCATTGGTCATCTGGTTCTTTGAAACACGTGGCCCTGCCCATGGTGATATCCTAATCCACTGTGTTTGGGTTTCATCCCATTAGAAGAAAAAAGGAAAACAGACTTATACTACATAAGGGTAGTATAACTCCTTGGTTTTATATATTTGTATCTATATTAGTCCATGAAGAAAACTAGGGAATGTAGCCACTGTCTAGCTAAAATTTCAGCATCCATATTGGTAAAAGAAAGACGGGAAAGGAAGGTGATTGATAGTGGAGGCCAATTACTAGTCTGTCACAGCAAAGAATGTGGGTTTTATTCTAAATATGCCGAGAAGCCACTGAAAGTTATTCAGTAAAAGAGTCAAGGAAATTAATTCACAGATGTTGAAGATTGTTTTATCTTTTGTGTAGATAACAGAACATAGAAAGATAAGAAAAGAGAAGGGAGATGAGTTTAGAGGTGATTGCAGTGGTCCAAGTAGAGATGAAAGTAAATGGAGTGGGTAGAAATTTTAGATTCAGGATATGCTGAAGGCATGTTAGAAGGTAATACTAATGGCTTTAATGGTTAAAAAAAAGAAGAAAGAAAGAAAAATGGGTAATAAAAGATCCTTTCTATTGGGAGGCTAATGCAGTTGTATCACTTGAGGTCAGGAGTTTGAGACCAGTTAGGCCAACATGGTGAAACCCCATCTCTACTATAAATAGAAAAATTAGCCAGGCATGGTGCCTGTAATCCCAGCTACTCAGTAGGCTGAGGCAGGAGAATTGCTTGAGCCCGAGAGGCAGAGGTTGCAGTGAGCCAAGACTGCACGACTGCACTCTAGCCGGGACAACAGAGTGAGACTTCATCTCAATAAATAGATCAATAAATAAAATAAAATAAAACAAAATAAAATATCACTTCTAAGATGTTGAACTGAGAATTTGTTCTTCCATTATATTTGAGCAATGTGTTGCAAAATATAGTTACTTATCCATTATTAAATATGACTTATGCCTTATGTTTTTTTGTTGTTGTTGTTTTTAACAGAAAACACCATTCTATGGCCAAGATCTCTGGTAACAGCAGTTTAGTTATTGTGTGATATCTAAATGTACTATCAGCTCTCAGTTACAGAGTATCAATAAGTACAGTGTCTATTTTTCTGAATAGCCAGCATCAAAGAAGTGAACAGACGCATTTCAGAAAGAGAGGACTCCAGGATTTACTTCTAGCTTTATAATTAGAATATTATCTAACTTGAGCAATTCACCCAACTTTCATGGGGATAAATATCCTCATCTATAGAGTGGGGATAATGATACTTGTCTTACCTATCTCAGAGGATCATTGTGGATCCCAATGGAATAAGAGATGTGAAAAGACTCTGTTTAAAATGTTAACATCTTGGTGAATAATTTTTATCACATTTTAAATTTCAGTCTGACTCCTCCCAAGATACCACTTGGTAAAAGCAACCACTTCTAATGCTTATTCTCTCCAATTCCCAGGGCAATTTGAATTCTCAAAGCAGATCAAGCAGACAACAAAATAAACTTGCCGAGTTATAATCTTTGTTTTGGGGATAATTGCTTCTTTCCCTTCCTTCCTTTTTTCCTTCCTTCCTTCCTTCTGTCCTTCCTTTTTTCCTTCCTTCCTTCCTTCCTTTTTTCCTTCCTTCTTCCTTTCCTCATCCTTCCTTCCTTCCCTTTTTCCTTCCTTCTCTTTTGCCTTCCTTTTTTCCTTCTTTCTTTCTTTCTCTTTCTTTCTTTCTGTCTTTCTTTTCTTTCCCTTTCTCTCCTTTCTCTTTCTTTCTTTCGCTTTCCCTTTCTCTCCTTCCTTCCTTCTTTTTCTTTTTCTTTTGTTCTTTCTTTCTTTTTTCTTTCTTTCTTCCTTCCTTCCTTCCTTTTCCTTTTTCTTGTTTTCTTTCACCTGATTCATTATTTGTAATGAGTATCTCAAGAAACCTTATTATTAAGACTGACAACTACAGTTTTCCAGATAGCCAACAGCATATTATTACTATTATTATTATTGTTATTGTTATTGTTATTGTTATTGTTATTGTTATTCTGAGGCAGGGTTTCACTCTGTTGCCCAGGCTGGAGTGCAGTGGTGCCATCACAGCTCATTGCAGCCTCAACCTCCTGGGCTCAGGTGATCTTCCCACCTCAGCCTCTCAAGGAACTAGGACTACAGGTGAGTGCCACTGTGCCTGGCTAATTTTTAAAATATTTTTCATATAGACTGGGTTTTGCCATGTTGCCCAGGCTGTTCTTGAACTCCTGAACTCAATCAGCCTCCCAAAGTGCTGGGATTACAGGCATAAGCCACTGCACCTAGCCAGCATATTAATTTCAAATATTACATGTAAATTATAAGAGATGCTTGACAGAGTTTCTTTAATCAGTGAACCTGAATATTTCTCATGTATTCCATGTATAAGGCAACTTTTCTGACACATTCTGACAGATTTGTGACTATATTTTGTATTTAGGACCAAAAAATTAGCCAGATTAGTAAAGTATATGATGACTAGAAATATGAGATACATCTTAATATTTATTTCCTTCCAAGAACCCTTACTGGAGAGTAAGATCACTTTTTGTTCTACCCACTGGTTGCAACCACCAGCTTTTCTCAAATAAAGTCACACGTACTCTTTGGGCTATAACACTGTATATCTGGAGGTGATGCAAATCCATGTTATAATAAACACAGTATTTCTTCTTAGTACATTACCTTTTACTGGACAATTTCTGGAGTATAGATTAAAATTTTTAAATATTATATTTATATTGAAATAAAAAATGAGCTATCATATATTTTAATGCAAATTTGATGATAAAAGAAAGAGATAATTTCATGAAATATTGTATTAGTGGTGGCAGCTCAGAGTAAGCTCCTGACTTCTAGGGCTTGAGGTCACTCTCTTTTCCGATTAAGGGAATATCAGTAAAAATATCTAAGATGAAAAGCTTTAGAGTCCTAATCAGATTCAGATGATTGATCCACACAATGAAGTATTTCTTGCGCCCTTATCAGTGCCATTAATCGGTGCTAGACAGGGTGGGTAGAAAAGCCATTTGCAAGATGTTGTTTATTTTCTTTATTCCAGTCCTCTAGGGTTACCTTGTAGATATAAGAGACTACCAAGTATGTTATAAATGCCAACTATCGATAGTTTAATATGCCTGGTATGTATAGCTTGATAAAATTAGGTTTGATCCTTATGTTACAGTAGATCCTTAAGGGAAAGTTTATTGGATGGTATAACTGGGAAGCACAGGGATGAAGCTGATCAGAGGCATGGAAGAATCCAAAGGGATCTGACAACATCTTTGTGGTTTTACTTATTTTTATCTTTTGGCTCATCTTTTATGTGTGGTCACACATTTATCTACTGTACATGCTTTTTCTGGATTTGACAGAGAAAAAAATAGCTACTAGGCACTTACAAATCATAATAATCTAACTTAGCAGACCAGGGGAACGGGACTTTTTTCTTCACATGGCCTGTGTATAGTCTAGAGAAGGAATCTACGTGGTCCTACTTGGGCCAATCATTTTTGACACAATCATGAGATGTCTTCATTTGTTCAGTTTGTATCATCTGACTACACTGATGACCAGGGGCAACGCTTCCTCTCAGAGATAGATGGAAGAGAGGGTGAGCAAACAAATCTGTAACTACCACTCTCAGAAATTTCTGTAGATAATTATTGTGCTGCACATTTATTTATTTTGTTTGTTTGTTTGTTTGTTTAAATCAAGGTAGTGGTATTGAATAACACAGCAGAGTCTAAATAACCAGAATTAATCCCCAATATATTTATATTCATCTCTTTTACATCTCTGGCATACTCAAATTCACTGTTTTACCTGATATGAAACCTCCTTCTTCAGTAGGCAGCATAATTTATTGTTGGGTAACTTTTGTTCTTACAAAAACTGATAATGTAAACCTAAATCTTCCTCCTACTTTGTTGGTTTTAGTTTTACTTTTTTCAAGACATGAGCTAAACATAATTACCTCTCTCATATCAGCCCTTACATTTATTGGATACACTATGTTTTCTCCAAGTGTTTTGTCTTCCGGTTGGACATATTCAAAACCGTGTGATCTTCTGCCCTGGTCTCTTGCCATTCTGAATTGTCTTTTCTAGATGCTTTTCTAAGAGGAAAGACGCACCTGTGTCTAGGAGAAAGTTGGAGGAAGAAACGGAATAAAGAAAAAGAGAAAGAAAAAGTGAGGATAGCTACTAGAGTGACTGGTTTTCTATATGCAGAAGCTAATCATGGGACAGGAGAGAGAAATTAAAGGGTGAGTTTACTGTATTTACCAATCAGAGCACATCAACCTAGTAAGAATCTTAAGAAATTAGAATCAAAACAACCCTTTTCTAACACAAAGAAGCAAGATGGTGTTTAAACTAGCAGGATTAAACAGATGGTATATCCCAAAAGAAGAAAGTTATTGGTAATTAAATCATACCTCAAAGTCGTTTCTAATTTTTAGGTAGCTGCTAATTTAAGTCAAACTGATCCCTGTCCTACTACTCTTTTCCTGTCAAATGTTTATTTGTTCATTAATTCATTTGTTTATTTTAATTTACAGCCAACATTTCTCTAGAAAATGGGAAGCACGCAGGCATTCGTGGTCACATTCTCAGTGCCATAAGTAAGATGTGGACTGACTGGCTCTCTTTGAATCTGACAGAAGAGCACTATGCTGCACCAAATAGACCAGATTAAGCTGAAAAAAAAAAAAAAAAACTAGGAAAAATTTCTAACTGTTCTGCTTCCTTCCTTCTGACCTAAGGTGTTTACACAGTAACAATATTGTCTTTTTGCTAGAAAATGCATATATCTATATATCTATATCTACATCCATATGGAAATCATGAATTCTAGATTTAGATTAAAGGAGAACTGGAAGCTATTGAAAGCTGAAACTACCCTATGAATCCATGAATTAAATAGGGAATGCCCAAGATGTATTCAGAGCATAGCAGAGTTTATTGTTTCAGTTAATTGTACAAAGGAATATAAGAAATAATCTTAAAGATGTAAATTGACAATACATTGTGGACAACTTTAATTTCTTTGCCAAGAAGTTTGTACTACATGGTATAGATGGTGGAAAGCCATTGACATTTTCCTTGGGTGGGGGAAATATGAAGAAGAGCATAATAAACTATAAATTGAAAACTAGTTTATTGACAAAAAGTGTAGGAGCCATTAAATAAGTAATGAAATTTGGAAGTGAAAAGAAAAGATTAAAAAAATACTTGCACAAGATTGAGGCTAATTTTAAATCTGGTAAATCCTCAGTGTCTTTTCAAATGTCAGAGGAAAACAAAGTATTAGCAAATGGAATATATCATTTTTGTCTCTATACTATACCTTGAAGATACATGACCTTGTGTTTTATAATTCTTACACGAAGTGTTACCTTATTCTAATAAATTTTCACTCATACTCATTCAAAACATTTAAAGCAATCTTAGGAATTAAAAGATCAATTTTACAGTTTCATGTATGTACAGTTATGGTTTGAGGCTACGTATATGTGAGGTCAAAAGTATTCTGATGAAGAGATTTAACAAGATTACTGTTATAAGGAGAAGTCTTGTGATTTTTATCAGTGACCTTAGAAATATGCCAATTATCTACACAATTAGGATTATGTATTTTATCAATTTAAATAATAAGCTGCAATTTTAAAATATAAAGAGTATATGATGGGAAATTTCATTTGTTACTGTATTGGGATGAGCAAACTATGGCACACATGCCAAATCTGGCCGGCTGTCAGTTTTGTAAATACAGTTTATGGTAGCATAGCTATACTCATGTATTTATCAATTGTCTATGGCTACTTGATGCTAAAATAGCAGATTTTAGTATTTGCAATCAAGACCATACGACCTATAAAGTCTAAAATATTTACTATCCAGCCCTTTGCCTACAAATTTTGCTTGTCCCTGTCTTATATAATATTCCGTTCTGTTGAGCTGTTTATACGGAAAAGTTATTTCTTATACAAAACAAAATAATCAGTAAAGAGAAAATGATGACATAATGAAGAGCATGATTATTAATAGAAATAAATCAGACCAATTTCTAACATGAGTCTTATTTGGAAAAACAATTTTTTCAGTAAGCTGGGAGAATAATGATGATAATGATGCTTACAAAGAAAGGTGCTTAACAAAACTCTCAGGGTGCAAATCTGTCCCATGTTGGCCTGCCTTGATTGGTAATCTCAATGTACTCACCTCATGGTGAGATGAGGGATACCACACAAATTTGACAAACAATTCTAGGATTGGCAACCCAATTGACTACAGGGTTATGGAAGATTTAAAAAGTCTAGACATTCAATAGAGAAACAGAATTCCAAATAGGCAGGTCATTTAGATAACGTGAATGTGAATAAAATTACACAAACACATAGCACATGGAAATTATACATCATTAAGATCAAAGTCATGAAGAGAAGAATTGGAAAAAAAGTGGGAAAAGAAATTGGGCAGGATGAGTATAGAATCATGAGAACAAGCTGAGTAATGAAGCATATAAAGTTGTAAAAAGTTGTAACCTTGGTGTCCATGAGACTTTGCAGTAATCTAAGCTGTGTGAAGGGGTCAAACATTTTTATCAGCGAGGCAGCCAAACTCTGTACATTTTGATGATTGAATAAAATTACCCAACATCTCACAACTAGTAAATGGCAGGGTTGGAAATTAAACTTACATCTCTGGGATACAAAATACTATGCTTTTAACCCATTAAGATAAACCACTTCCAACTCACCTCAAAGCCATTGCGGCATCTTCCAATCTTTCTAACTCACAGGCTTTGATTTATTTTTCTTCTAGCCACTCTACACTTTCTCCAAATCAATCTGCTCCCAGGAAAAGATCAGGTCTCAGTTACACTACAATGAGTATGTTTTACTCTATCCTGGAGTGTTTGGCTCTTCAACTTCTTCACCACACATATTGGTCAGTTGATGTTTCATGGCTTGGTTCTCAAGTACCAGGAGCAGAAGCCACTGGGGTTTCTGGAGGGAGGCCCAGAAACTTCTTGAACCTGGGATACACTAAAATCAACATAAGCCAGCCCTCTTTGTTATGTTTAATCTTTCTTCTAATTTTCATAAGTGATAAGGATTAAATTATTAATGCATCAATTTCTTTATTTAACAGCTATTTATTGAATGTCTACTCAAATTTAGGTACTATTGCAGATTCTGGGAATTTAGTGAATCAGAAAGAAAAGAAAAGACCACCCTTCTTCTCATAAAACTTAAATTCAAGAGAAAAAAATAGGTACAATACAGATAAAAAAATAAACAGATGAAAATGTAATTTTAGACAATGATAACCTCTAGGGAGATGATAAAGTATTGTTCCAGGGATTGGAGTGCTTCATTGTTCTTAACTGGGGTACTTGAATGCCTAGGGCTTATATATATATATATGTATATATAATCTATTAAGTATATATATATATATATATATATATATATATATATATATATATACTTAATAGATTTCATGAACTCCTTGAAATGGTGTAGAAAATTCCATGTCAATGAATGTGTGCAATTTGGGCAGAAAGAGTTCCTAGCATGCATTCAAGTCTCAAAGGAATATGAATCTTACAAACGGCTTGGAACCTTTGACTGATATGAAGAGCCTTTCAGAAGAGGTTCTATTAAAGCTGATCCTTCTCTAGCCAGGAGAATCTATGGGTCAAACATTCAAAGCAGAATATAGAGCAAGTTTCTAAGGCAGGAATAAGCTTGGTGAGATGCAAGTGAGTAGAAGAGTGAATTGAGAAGTTTTCAGATACTCACAGGTAGGCAAGAGATGGAACAAGGAGCTTTTTTTACACCGAAGTAAGAAATGCAGATTAAAAAGAAAATTACTGGGAATTCATCACAGGAATTTAAGGGGCACTATGTGATATTATTTAAAAACATCACTTATTCTTGTGATGAGATTGTAAGAAGGCAAGAAGAAAAGTGCAGAACCCACTTAAAAGTTTCTTCTCAATGTGTAGGGGAAAGATAGTGGTGGTTTTGGCCAGAGTGCTAGACATAAATAGACTTGTAAAAATTCCAAAATATCTTTTGGAAATAAAGATAAGAGATATTTCTTTAGAAATTGAATTTCATTTTTGTAATGATGTGTTTGAGATACCTATTTTTCAACATACAGGTAATATATATTTTGGTTAAAAGTTAAATGATAGAATTTTGAGTATTAAAATTAAATTTGATCAAAGTCAAATATCAATATAATTATCGGATATAAAAAATAAATTTAGAATTGTGTCAAAATCGTATATTACTACAATTTTTAGTTAAATTACAGTTCTTAAATTTTTAAAGTTTGAATTTCGATGGCAATTATAAGTGCCTGCCTAATTTGAAGTGATATTGCTGAAGGAGTAAGAGTTTTTGTTGTAGATAATTTTACACTAATTTTTAACATTTTTTCTTTCCTATTTTTATAAGGATAATTTACTTACAATGATAATTCATTATAATTATTTAGTTTTTCTCTTTGTTGATATTTTGAGAAAGTGCAACTGAAATTCTACCTTTCATTCAACCTCCATAAGACGCAAAGTATTTCAAAGACGTTATTTTTAAAGACTCATGTCCTAAATATAATAAAGTAATTTTAACTTTGTATACTTTTAATGATTATAGTGTTTAATATCATAATTTTGAATCTGCTAAATATTTTATAAACATCAGAATTGTGATGAAATCTGATTTTGATTATTCTGTTTTATATTACTTTTTAGCTTGTAATAGTCAATTTTTTGGCTCAGAAGATGTTATGTTTTGTTCTAAAATTATGTAATCAAAGCAACCTCTTAATATGTATATGAAATGTAAATTGATTAACATATTTAATTATTTCAAATTTCTTAACATTTTACATAAAACTGATCTTTTTCAAAATCAGTATTTATTATAAGGATTTTACAGTTACATTAATAAATATAAAATAAGTTCAAGTAACATACAAAGTACACAAGGAGATTCACTAAGTATATTTTTAAATACTGTAGATTTCAGATACTGACAAAAATTCAAATTACATTACTTCTTTATGTTAGTAACAGATAGAGATAGATAAAGATAGGTATATGATATTTTCACCAGTACATGAATGATGATAACTTAAACAATCACCTGATAATTCTCTGCACATATGATCAAGTGTGCCAGAAAGAAGGTTGAAATATGTAGCTATTCAGCCTTTTAAAGCCCAAATTAAAACATATAGATAATACATTTTGGATGTGTTTTTTATTGAAAAGAAATAAGACTCAATGGGTACAAATTAATGGGTTCAAAAAAAGATAAATAACTAATGAATAAATATATATTTTTATATTTAAAGAAATCAGTTTTTGATTAACCAATCAACTCCTCTCCCAAATACTTTGGTGAATAGGGTTTCTACGCTATTCTGGAGATTACTGGAGAATTAATAAACGCAACACCGTGATTCTTCTTCCTCTTGCTATGGCCATATAAACATATGTTAATAAATATGTTGAAGAGAGACTCAAAGAAAATATTCTTCAGTTTCTCTTGGATGATCTCTTACCTATCCTCAGTTCAGACTTCCACAATATTGTTGATTAGTGTGCTCTCCCAAATGTGAAGTTTGTCCTGCCCCCATGTCCCCATAAGGCCAATATTCTTGGAGGAGATAACTACATATATTGCATAGGTTTTAAGACAGGTGATGTCAAACAGATTATCCAGTTGTTTTTTGTTTGTGTCCTGAGCCTTAGTTGAGGATGTTGCCTTGTACTTGGGCAGGTAGGCCTAGGGGTTAAATATTACAGGCCCTGTCTGACATCTTATAAAACATAGTCAAGTTCATATCACACTGATGGGACCTTAAGATCTGGGAGGTCAAGACAGAGGCTAAAAATATCCCTCACCTCCAATATGACTTTACCAAAGTTTGACATGACGGACAGTAAATTGAATGCAGTGTTTCACCTAGTTGTTTGACAGCTCATAGTAAGCTATAAATTCTGCAGAAACTCCAATTTCTGTTATCTCAAATATATGATTACAGTGTAGAAAATGATAGGACCCTACTATCATGCTATTTCATATAAAGAGAGAGTATGTATGCAAAAGATTAAAAGATTCAAGACAGGGCGCAGTGGCTCATGTCTATCATCCTAGTATTTTGAGAGGCCTAGACCTGAGAATCACTTGAGGCCAGGAGTTCAAGATCAGCCTTAGTTAACATAGTGCTACCCTGTCTCTACAAAAGAATTAAAAATTAGCTGGATGTGGTGGGGCCTACCTGTAGGCCCAGCTCAGCTACTTGGGAGGCTGAGGCAGGAGGATTGCTTGAGCCTAGGAGTTTGAGGCTGCAGTCAGCCATGATTGAGCCACTGCACTCCAGCCTGGGTAACAGAGCAAGACCCTGTCTCTAAAAGCAAGTTCAAATTATTTGAGAAAATTGTTCTTTATACTGAATTTTTGCAGAAAGCTTTTATTCGAGCTTGTAGAAAGATAATTAATATTCCTACTTTTTAGTTCATGCCTGAAATATAATTGTTCAGAAAATATTTTTTCAATTGACAATTTTATTTTGTAAAAACAACTGTTTTTTGAAACTTTAAGAAAAAAGAAATGTAATTTTTTCTTCCTCTCTTTTACTTAGGATCAGTTTATGTCATTGAAATATGTAATTTTTTCTTCATCTCTTTTACTAAGGATCCATTTATGTCATTAAATAAACACATGAGAATAAGTCTATTTGTAAGCACAGAAGTGTGCTGGAAAGAATGTGATCTATAGAGACACAAACTGATGGGAAATTACAAAGTCTATGGAAGAGTATTGATGTTTTCTCTCTCAGTGAATTCTCTTTAGTAGTTGGTCATCAATGTACTGAAATGCCTTGAGAAATTTCCTGAAACTTCTCTTTGTAGAGTTCTGTCTGATTAGCTCCAGACACTTGGACCATTACTGCAAGATAGTTCTCTAGTTATTCATGCTGACCATGGCATGCATGAATCATGTGGTGAGGGACAGAAGTTATTATTAAGTGATAGCTTTGGAAGATAACAGAAAGATAAAATGTTACATCTTGGATTATCCTGGGTCCAGGAACTACCTTCTTCCCATTCTCTATCTCAGAGCCTGCATGATATGGGGGTAGGGATGGAGGTGGGAGCAGAAACACCTAATAAGGTGAAGAAGTAAAAAAGATAATGGCAATATTACTTCATGTACAAGCAAATGACAATTCAACCCAATCCCTCATCCTCAGTTCCTTCACTTTCTCCTTTCTGCTCTGTATTTTTTCTTCCTTCCAGGAATCCTAGGTTGAATCTAGTGCTTTTCACCTTAATTTCACTGTTCTTTAACTTGTACAAAGTATCCAATTTCAAACCCTCCCAGGGTATTGAATTTTGATAGGTCAATTCTAGGCTACATATGGATTTATTTTTTATCAGGATTAAACACCATGGCTAGAAACATACAGTCTCTTTCTAAATGCATACTTTTCAGGGAAGTCAGAGGTTACATTTAGTATGGCTTTCTCATGGGAAAACTTAGATAAGCTTTAGCTCATAAAAATATTTACTTTCAATGATCAATTAAACTGGAGATTCTTTCTAATGCTGTCTCACGCCCTTGCTTTGGGAAGCAAATGCATTCTTTGTACAGCAAAGATGAACAATATAATCCTTTTTCTTGTTCTTTCTCATAAAATTATGAGCACTGCTGTAAGTCCAGAAAATATAATATTCCATTTGCATTAGACTTGTTAAAAAGATTGCATCCACGAGTATTTTTGAGTACAAGTTTGCTAAGGAAAATGAGAGTAAGGTATTTTAACATTCATAATGGAAAACATGGATAAATTACATAATATTGTAAGCACCATAAACCAGGTGAAAAAAATGGCCATATATATTCTCTACCTACAAAATGAAAGTGAAGGAACAAGTTCCCTAAAACATCTAATTCTAAAGCCCAACCCATTGGTAAGAAGGATTTTCAAAATCTTTAATATAATATTAAATGCTTTTATTAATTATTATTTTTATTAGATACAGTTGTTGCATAAAATGAGTCTTTTTCTGTGGACACAGGAAGGTCTAACTGGTCCAGAATATTCTGGATGCAATTATTGGCAGGATCCCACCAGACACAGAATTAATTACTTATGTATTATACAAAAAATGAAGTTAGATATCAAGAAGTTCTTAATTTTTAACAGTGGTTGATTTATGCTCCTTTAGGTATCTAATTTTAAAGAAAATAGAAAAAATAGGAACAGTTAATATGTTTGACTTAACTTTGGAAAATTAGTACTCTTATGTACATTAGGACTCTGAGGTACATTCACACATATTCTATTTTAAAGGAAAAACTAAATTCTTGAAGGCAGTTGTTGTTAAAAGACTACAGTTCATTTTTAACCTAAGGATATAATCCATACTTAGAAAAAAATATTTATATACAAAAATGTATCACAGAGTTATTTCTAATAATAAAAATTGACAGAACATAAAAACATGATAAGAGCAGATTGGTTTTAAATTTGCATTCACATTATGGCACTGAAAGTATTTTTTCAGAATGTAAAACTAAATAAAAAAGTATTTGGTATATTGCTAAGCGTGGGAAAAGAGGTTACCCATATGTGTATTAAGATTGGCCCAAATTTCTTTTCTTTTATTTTTATTTTTATTTTTTATTTTTTGAGACAGAGAGTCACCCAGGCTGGAGTGCAGTGGCACAATCTCAGCTGGTTGCAATTTCTGCCTCCTGAGTTGAAGCAATTCTCCCGGTTCAGCCTACCAAGTAGCTGGGATTACAGGCGTCCGCCATCATGCCAGGCTAATTTTTGTATTTTTAGTAGATACAGGGATTCACCATGTTGGCCAGGCTGGACTCAAACTCCTGACCTCAAGTGATTCACTCACCTTGGCCTCCCAAATTGCTGGGGCCCCAATTTCTTTTTAAAAACACACAGAGTGAAAAAGAAAATATATTTTAGATAATACATGCATATTTCCACAATGGTTATTTTAAGGTGGTGAGCTAACAAGTGAATTTTTTTTCCATTGTCTATATGCCTCCTTTATGCTCCAAATTGAGTAAAATAACTCACATCAGTTTTGTAATAAAAAGTAAGATAATTTTAAAAGAGTAACACGTAAAAATACACCCTTAGAAGTCCATCTTTAACTACTACCATTCATTTCCATTTATCTAGATGTTTTAGGAGGCCCTAAATTTTTCCTTTCTGTACTATAGGGCAATTATGTGAACAATTTCTTCCCATTTTTTCCTCTCCATACTGTAGGGCAATCCAATCAGATTGCTCCATTAATTTACTCAAATCCTACCATCTTGTGGTTGTTTATGAAGAGACATTTTAATTGCAACTAATGAGAAGAGAATTGCAAGGGGAAGAGCAAAGTGAATGGAGACGATATCAGAGGAGAGGAGAAAATTAAGGAGAATAACAAAATAAGAGAGTTTAATACGACTTTGGAAACAACAAGGCTTTGCTGTGTCCACTGAAAAACACTCATTTTATGCAACAACTGCATCTACTAAGAATAATAATTAACAAGTGTGTTTTATGTTAAGGATTTTCAAAAAAACGTCTTACTAATGGGTTCGGCTTTAGAACTAGATACTTGAGGGAACTTGTTTCTTCACTTCCATTTTGTAACTACGAAACAAGACATGGTCCCCAGAAATTAATGGCACTGCTCAGGTACTTTAACTGCCCAATCAGTATGATTTGTCTCTAGTCATATCTGTATTTTACACTGAAGAAAGAGGCAAAAGTATCTCCACCACCATGTCTGGCAGCATCAGTTTTATTAAGACGGTTTGTTGTATTTGGGTCTTAACTCTCCTCTATCAACAGAAACCAGCATTTTATTCATAATAGATTTTTCTCATCCAGGCTCATACCAGGATAAGCTGGAAAAATTAAACTGATAATTTCTACCTAAAAGTAAATATTACTGGTACCTTGGATAGAAATCTTCTGTTTACCGAGAAGTGTGCTTGGCATACCTTTCTAGCCTCCAGGTTCAGAGCTTTGATTTCTCTTGCATCTGTTGCTACACAGGCTTTCAAGACTGAAAATGATCACTGCCAGGGACTACAATGCAACACGGACCTGGCCAGAGATCTCTTTGTTTATGAAAAAGGAAAACTTATATCAGCATAGGCCTACAAGAATTTGAATTATAAGAATAAGAAAATGCTAAAAATGTCCAAGGAATATTTAACATTAAAATAATCTTCATAAAACAGAAAACAAGATTAAAATATAACATATATTTTGAATATACTGACAGACCTTGCTTCTGTCACACGATAATTGGCCAAAAAAATATGTGGTGCAGAAAAATGAATAACATAGTATCTGAAGCTAATTTTTAGTGGCAGATATAAATGAAAGACTTACAATTACAGCAAATACAATCAGCGATACTGAGGATAGGCTTTAAGAGAAACAAACAAAAAGAAGAGGAAACGAACAACAAGATAAAAAAAGGGGATAGACATGGAATATGGATCACTAGATCATGGAGCACAGTCCATAATGATTTTGGTCTCCAGAAGAAAAGATTGAGGAGGAGGAGAAAGAGGAGGATGAGGAGGAGGAAAAAAAGGGGAAGGAAGAGTCACTACTAATAAAAATAAAATAATTATGTGCTTACCAAACATTGTTTATACTTAAATGTATTAAACATAGAGAATTATCCTCAATGTAAGAGCAAAATGAGGGCAAGTGTGATCACTATAGTGGGAAAGTGAAGAAAACTTAATTCACAAAAATGAGAGGCATCAGTTAAGATTTAATCACAACAAACACTAAATTAAGTAATGGGGCTACATGAAGATAAACAAATAAGTAAATATTAAATGTAATAAAAGAGTAAGCAAAAATAGAAATATAAATATTATAAGGACAATTTCATAATGCAAAAGAAACACATGACACAGATATAAATTTACTTAACCTACATGAATCAAAAACATTTGATAATGTACAAGGTAAAGGCCATTTAAAAATGTGAAGCTAAACAGAAACAAAATTGTATCAAATAATATTTCTTGAATTCAATTCATACCTACACATATTCATAATTACATCAGCGTAATTACAGCTATATCAGGCAATCTTTTCAGTTGATGTTTTCCTTTTCAAACATTTTATTTCCCCTTCCCTTTTCTTCTCATATTAACCCTGTATATATCCATTCACCTTATTCACCTTATTCTGCATGCTGAAAACAAACTATTCATATTAAACATTGTTTTCTTTAATGGTTGCGTGATATTCCATAGTAGATATGTATCATAATTTACCCAGTCATGAACCTATTGATGATTGTTTCTTTTACTTATTTTTTCTTCTGTGTACAATTTTGCAACTAAAAACTTAAAACATATTTTTGATGTATTTTTATTATTTCTAACAGTCTTAGGGGTAGGATTGATGAACATATTCTTTTCAAATGTTTAGTATACTTATCTGATTGCATTCCAAAAAGGCTGTTTCAATTTAAATATCCACAAGCCATTTTCCCCACCTGCAATAAGTGTTATTGCTCTTTTGAAATTTTTCCCAGTCTGATGGTTGTAAAGTAATAACACATTTATATTTGCATTTCCCCAACTACCACTGAGTTTGAGCTTTTGTTTTGTTTTGTTTTGCCATTTGGATTTGCTCCTTTATGAATTTTATCTTGATATTACTTGATGTTATTCTTATTCTATAGCTGAGAGTGAAGCTATATTATAGATCCTAATACTTTGTCTAAACCTTACATTGGAATTATCTCCCTAAAGTGGAAATCTATTCAGGCTTTTAAACTTTTTATAATAATATTTAAATTTTCACAGTTAAATATTATATATGCTTTCTTTGTTAGTTTCTGGGTTTGCAGTTTTTTTTTTAAGAAAATTACTTACATCTCATTTTATCAGATCTTATTGGAACAATTTTATTGTTTTACATTTTACAGTTATCCATCCAATCATTAAATTGTGTTTACTGTATGACATGAGATGGATAACCTGTTTTATTTTCATATTATTTTCATCTTGTTCTGTTTTCAGGATTAATCATTTGTGCCAGCATAATTTATACTACCTTTTTCATATAATAATATATCATATATACATATTTATGTACATATTTATATGTAGAATATTATATGTTAAGCCAACAGTTCTCATATATTTTTCTGTAAAGGACCTGATAGTAAAAACTTTATGTGCTAGATGGCCTTTATCACAAAGACTCAATTCTGATGTTGTATTATGAAAGGAGCCATAGGATATATACAAATAAATGAGCACAATGTGTTCCAATAAAACTTTATTGATGAATACTGAAATACTAATGTCATACAATTTTTATTTTTCATGCTATATTTCTCTTCTGATACTTGTTTTTCAATCAATGAAAAATGTGAAACCCATACAAAAACAGGCAAAAAGCAGGAAGTGGACCATGACCATAGTATGCCAACCCTAAGATTATATTCACCAAACCTACGACAATATCATGTTGATTAGATCACAATGGCTTTACAGTGTGCTCTGATATCAGATAAGGCCATTCCTCCACAGATGTTCTATTATTTCTACTCTTCTTGGTTATTCTGAGGAATTGCAATAACATTTTTTCATTTGCAAAATAAAATAAAATATGTATGCATTAAGTTCGGAAACATTTACTCTTTTGATATTTTGTTAATTTATTAAAGAACATTAAGTTCCCATTTGTTTAGATCTTATTTTTAACCCATCAAAAATCATACAGTTTAGACCCTCCATCTTTTTTCCTAAGCTTGAATATACATATTTTTTCAAATTATCTACAAAAACATTCCCTTCATTTGTACTCATCTATATTTATATAATTGGAAAATTATTGATTTTGTATTCATCAATCTTCCCAAATTCATCTCTTAATATTAGTATTTTTAAAATGCAAATATATTATGAAAATAAAGAAATATATGCTCCTCTTGAATGCTTATATCAATTATTTCATTTCCTTATCTTATTACATTTACTAGACTCCCCCAAGTCAACATTTAATAACATTGTACACAAGTCAGACCAATCTTATTCTTGATTTTAATAGATCACTGTTTCACTCTTTAGGATAATATTTACTGTGAATTTTTGTTTTTTTGATTTTATTGTTTTTAAGCAATTTTATTTTATTCAAATTCTATAGCTTTCTATATTTTATTAGAATGGTATTGATTTTTTTATTTGCCTTTTCAGCATCTATCAGGATTTTCTCTTTTAATTAGTTAACTTAATGGCTTATTTCAGTAGTTATGTATATTTGCAGAAAGGAGGCTCAGGAAGAACATTCAAAATTTGAAGAGATGGCCTCTGGAGATATGTGGAGCAAGGAGAGGAGAGGCTGCTTCTGCTCAGCAAGTGTTATTTGAGCTATCTATGTTCCTCTTTCTTTAGGAGCTGTGAGTTAGGTAAAGATGTGTGAAGAGTCCTTCCTGCCATTGAAGCAGGCAGCATACCAGCATTTGCCATCCTTTAGGCAGAGAAGACTAGGAAAGAGGAAGGCATCAACCGGGTGAAAAGATAGGCTGTTGACTGTCTTGCTCTTGCACTATATAACCCACTTGGGCAGACCCACCTTACCATTTACCACTCAGGAACTTGCTACAGGCTCAAAAGTTGCACCTAAGCCACACTGGGTAAGTAAAGAAAATACATAAATAAATAAAACACAGATTAAAAAAAATTTTCCAAGTGTAAAGAGAAAAGAACTAACGTATATCCAAAAGATATGGTCTCTAGTAAAACAGTCACCAATAGGTGAGATAACGACTTGAACATATGTATTATATGGAACAATTAAGAAATCTTTCTGCAAGGCACAAAATTCTGTGAGAAATATAAAACTTGGTTTTCCACGTAAAATATTTAGTGGCTGAAGCATGGGGAGGATAATTACTGTTGAGATGTAGTTAGATCTGTGCAAAAACAAGTAGTAGAAATATCCCTGTATTAGTCTGTTTCATACTGCTATAAAGAACTTCCCCCAACTAAGTAATTTATAAAGGAAAGAGGTTTAATTGACTCACAGTTTAACAAGAAGCCTTGGGAGGCCTCAGAAACTTACAATCATGGTGGAAGGTGAAAGGGAAGCAATGCACCTTCTTCACAAAGCAGCAGAAAAGAGAAGTGCTGAGTGAAGGGGTAAGAGCACCTTATAAAATCCTAAGATCTCATGAGATCTATCACGATAACAGCATGGAGGTAACAGCTTCCATGATCCAATCATTTCCTACCATGCCCCTCCTATGACACCCGGGATTATGAGGAATGCAATTCAAGATGAGATTTGGGTGTGGAAACAGCCAAACCACATCAAGAGCAAAGCAAATAGGTGAAGAAATATGAAAATCATAAAAATCGTGGAGAAAAAGCAAGAGACCTGGAAGATAAAGCTGGAAGACACTTCCATGAGCATTATAGTTCTGGACAGTAAGGAAAAAAACAATAAAAAACTGGAAGAGAAGTTTTAGTAATAAAAATATTACTAATGGAGGCAGGATAGGGAGAGCCATTTCAAGTTCAGAAGACAAGTGGAAATAAAGACGAGTGTGGGAGGCGGAGCTTGCAGTGAGCTGAGATCGCGCCACTGTACTCCAGCCTGGGCAACAGAGCGAGACTCTGTCTCAAAAAAAAAAAAAAAAAAAACGAGCGTGGAACTTAAAAGCTCCATTACTTAGCAGAGAATACTTTGAAAACACACATAAATTTCTAAAAAGGAAAGCACAGAAATACAGTTCTTGAAACAATGCAAAAACAGCTCCCATACAAACTGAGTAACCAATTCCAAGTTAAGATGACATCAGGAAGATCTGGAAAACAACAGGTTTTCTTTCCTTTGCCATACTGATTAAAGGTAATAGCCAGTTCTTTAGTGAAATAGAATTGGACATTAATAGCAGATATATTTTTATTAAGCTGTATATTTTCTTATATATAAGGATATTTAGAAAACACAGCTATGTTCTCATTAAAAAGCAGCAAAATTTGACAGTTTATCTGAACCTAAATCTTGAATCTACCTTCAGTTCTGTATGTTTGTTTAAATCTTTGAGTATATGAAACCTGCAGGCAAATGTGGCTCAATTCCTACACCCAATTTCAATTGCCCAAATCCTGACCTGTCTCACAAGCTGTGAGGCCCTATTTGTTTAAAAAGCAGAAATAAGACAATCATCATGATGCTTGAAATTAAAAACAGATGACGATATTTAAATACACAAACAAAAAATAAAACTGAAAATAAATACACAACAAAAGTTATAGAAATACAATGATAAAATTCTACATTATAAGTCACAACAATAAAAATTAAATCAATATAAAAAGATTTACAATAGCCAAAGCTGTTCATGGAAGGAAAGGCTTTTAAATATTTTCATTATTAAAATAAAAAACAAGTAATTATTATAGATTATTTTATTTAATAAATAAAATATATTTTAAAATGAAAATTACTTTAAAAAAATAAATAATTAGGGTGCATTGGTTCACACCTGTAATCCCAGCAATTTGGGAGCCAGAGGTGGGTGAATCGCTTGAGCCCAGGAGTTTGAGACCAACCTGGGCAACATTGTGAAACCCCATCTCCACTAAAAATACAAAAGTTCGCTGAGTGTGGTGGCACAGGCCATAGTTCCAGCTACAGGAGGCTGAGGTGGGAGGATCGCTTGAGCCTGGGGAGGTTGAGGCTGCAGTGAGCCGTGATTGCAACACTGTACTCCAGCCTGGATGACAGAGCAAGAACCTGTCAAAAAAAAAAAAGTTAGAGTTCAGAACAGGAATAAAATTAAATTTATCTAAATGTTAGTTTTTAAAAGACAAAATAAAATAATCTATAGCAATTTATTTAAAATTTTATGCAATTAGGAGTGAGCACAACTGATAAATGAAGCAAATGCTATGTGTGATTATATACTAATTAATATGTATTTCTCATTATAAAATGAAAATGACTGAGAAAGAAATTAAATTTTAAAGAACTATTCTAATCAAAACTTCTAAGAAATTCCAATGATTTTACTGATAAATTATGCTAAACTTCCAGTAATCAGGTACTACATACAGTATATAGACTATTCATCACATTAAATAATGAAGAGGTTTAAATTAATTCTCAAAAGCAAACAAGGCAGATTCTATAACTTGACAACATTTGCCTCAAACCAAAAACAATGGACCAATCTCAATTTGGAAAACAGATATAAACAAACAATAATTTAATAGAAAATACAATTTAATGACATACAAATAACAGCCCAGCTGCATTACATAGTGTTTATGTAAAGAAAAAAAGATAGTTTTGCAAAAGCAATAAAAAAGACATAATTATGATGTTTGCTTAGTATTTAAAAAAATTCTCATAAATGCAATAATGCATGATTATTTCAGAGCATAGAAATTTGGGCCTGCCTCAAATCTTACCCCAAGATTAAGAAAGAATCACTTCACAGAACAGTGTGGTCTGACAATAATACCACAATAAAGTTGTTTCCCCAGAGCTTCCCAAATCATTTTGTGCCATTAAAATATTCTATGACCCAAAACTATTCCAGAATATTATTGGTACTTTATGTTTACCTAGAACATAAGTTTTTCCATGTTGACCATCATTTTACATCTATTGTTTCAATGGATCAACACATAACTAATGGACTGACTGCAAATCATACTGATTTTGATAGATCAGAGAATTGAGATGTTAACAAGCTCACCTACAGTTAGGAAATTCCTGATGTGGGGTAGATTCACTACTACTAATATCTAGTTTCCATGTTTTAGCTCCCAACCAAGTATGTTCCATGTTTTATTTCACCAACCTTCCAAGAGGCTATTTCCCAGAACTCAAAGTCTCCAGAATCACATTCTCCAGAATCACATTCTCCAGAATCACATTCTTCACCAAGGTTTTTCTAATAGTTCCACATTTCCTCCCCTCCCCTCTCCTCCCCTCCCCTCCCTGCCTCCCCTCCCTCCCTCTCTCCCTCCCTCCCTTCCTTCCTTCCTTCCACCTTTCCTCTGTGCTGCCTTTCTTTTACATCAACATTTAGTTGTCTTTATTGTTTGAGTCACCTCTTTATTTCTTTGGATAGAACTGAGCACATTGCTTCTCATCATAGCTGTGGAAAAAATGAATAATAAAAATAACAATTATACTCATTTATATGATACATTAAATAATAATAAAAGCTAATATTTATGTACTGATAACTTTATGTCCGCATCAGAATGTGAAGACAGGGATTTTCTTGTCCAGTCTCAAATCCTTGGTGCTTAGGGCAGTGTTTATCCCACAGTGGACCTAGTAGAAAAAACATTTGTCTAAATGAACATACTCTGGTAAGAATTTTATATAGATCATTTAATTTAATTTTTAAAATATCTCTGTAAGGTGTTTATTGTTATCTTTATAGTATAGATATTTCAGGTTCAGTAATTTGCCCAAGGCCACAGTTTTCTCGAGAGATGGAGTTAGGATTCAAACTCCTGTTCATCTTAGTGCATAAGTTTAACCTCTAGGCAAGTTTGTGATGTGTGTAGTAAACCCTGGAATTAGCTAGCAACGTTTATGTTTTAACATACTACACCGTATGAGTGCCTTTGTAGGGGATCACCTTCTGTGATTTCTCTCTCTTTGTCCCCTGTACCCATAGTTGCTATCGGGCCAGCTGTTGTGAATTGACATCAGCTGTCAGCCTCCTAGCTTATTTTGCTTAGGGCAACCTCTCAACAGGGAAAAAGAAAAATAAGGGGAGGTGAGAGGGAACAGAACCACATTAGCTACCAAGGTCTCCGTTAGTGACCATGTCCTTGCATACCTTCTCTTCTTCCTCTGATCTAGTGCATTTCCTGGTTCTTGCTTCGTGGAAAATTGTTTACCCTGCAACCCGGGGTTTCTACTAAGAACAGACCGTTTGTCGAGATCTGCTTCTAGCATCCTCCCTGTTCTTCTTCATCTTCTCAGACTCAGCATTCCTACAGCCCTATTCTTTGTTTCCGTGAACACTTCACTTTTTACTTTGTTGTAACCTTTCTCCTGGCCATTCAACTTGCTGCTGTATGCACTTGCACATGACAGTCACATTTCGTACTCTCCAAGACATTTACTCTTGTCATTAGCATTGCCACTGCTCAAAATCTTCCACAACAGTTCCCCCATGGGTGGAAGAATATTTTGGGAATGCCAGCTGGTAATTAAGATGCAAACCTGATCTCACAGCAAGGTGAATAGGAATGCCATATATTAAATACATTTCCACAGGGCTCTAGTGGTCATACCCACTTTCCCTGTATCTCTCTTTTGCCACTCTATGTCTGTCTCACCCCTTCCCTCAGGCCTGTAATTTCTGTCCTTTACACCCTCAGCAACAGGATGTGGCTCCATAGGGAGTTTGCCCTTATAGATCGAAGGCTTGTGAATGTGAAGTAAAAGAGAGGTCTGCAGATTGCTGATAAACTTGCTTTATATTGGCAAAATTACCTTGGAAATGTCCGTTTTTCCTAATGCTTCGACTGCTTATTGTACATGACAGGCATTTGCACTGTGAACCGCAGTATCGTGAACAGATGGTGTAGCGCCACTCGTGGTCATGAGGGATGGTTTCATAACAAAAGAGATTTTATTCTCCCCTGTATTTCTCTTGCATATTGCAGGCTTTTTTTCCCCTCATCCTTTCCTTTATTTTTTTCTTGGACAACATATATTGCCTTGGCTTACAGCTTCATGGCATTTTGCTCATTGATCAGCATTAGCTCAGAACTAATAATAAATCTCTTTTCATTTCCCCCCACTGGGATGCATTAGGGTTATGGCCTTGGAAAGTAAGTCACACCAGCTGGGTTATCTCTGTTGTCTGTGCCTCTGGTGGCAGGGTAACATCATGAGGATGCATTTATGAATCCCAGAATTGTTATTCAGGTTTTTTTTTTTTCTACCAGACTGTGCCTTGCAGTACCACGCAGCAGGTGTGTTACTCTACAGCAATGATTACAGGGAAGGAAGCCACACTATGACCTTTGAGGTTGAATGAGCTAGAATAGAATTTAGTTTTATGGAGAATGTTTCATGCTTAAGATTCCTCAAAGAGCTCTAAATATAATGAGTGCAGCATTGATAGCCCAGAAACTGGGAAAGCAAATAAAGTAGTCTCCCAAAATTTAAATGTATTTTACTTGTAACTGGTGATTTTAGAAGGTGTTTCTACAATATTATTTACTTTCAGAAGAGAGATTGTCTTCTGAGTCCCTCTAGTTATCTGTTTTCTGATAAGTACTAAAGAACTTATTTATTTTCCAAACATAGTTTATAGATATTAAGATAGCTGTATATCCATATAATGATGCAGTCAGCTGATTTCTAAAAAGCCCATGTGAACATCCATCCCAAACAATGAGAGCCAGCATTCCTTAACATTTACCCAGGAAAACCATACTTCAGACTTCATGGAACAGCTGGCATTGCTAGTTTTTTGCTGTTGTTGTTGTTGTTTGTTTATTTGTTTGTTTGTTTTGAGGGGGATTGGGAGGTGGTTTCTGATAAAGACTGGAAAACTTGCTAGATAAATCGTAAAAAAGCTGTAACACTGGCATTGCTAGTTTTTAAGCTTATTTATACTTCGCTCACAACACGAATGTAGCAATAATGATCGTTTCTATGGTTTTAGTCACATAGTATAGAGATTTTGGTCGTTATCTACCTTCTTGAGACTCTGAGGGTTAAGTGACATCGAAATTCAAATGCAGTTTTGTGGCACAGGTTGAAAAATCCTCCAAAGACTTCGGCTTCAGCTCTCTCTCCTCTGGGTCTCCTTCCCTCTGTTCCTTTTCTCTCTTCCCCTATCTCCACTACTTAGTATTGTTCTCCAAATTACAGCCAAGTGGACAGAATGGAGCATGGAGAGCAGGAGAAACCATGTATTTCTTTCTTTGTTTTTGTTTTGTTTGTTTTTTTGAGAAAGAATCTTGCTCTGTCACCCAGGCTGGAGTGCAGTGACGCGATCTCGCCTCACTGCAACCTCCACCTCCCAGGCTAAAGCAATTCTCCTGCCTCAGCCTCCCTAGAAGCTGGGATTACAGGCATGGGCCACTACACCCAGCTAAATTTTGTATTTTTAGTAGAGACAGGGTTTCACTATGCTGGCCAGGCTGGCCTCGAACTCCTGACCTCAGGTGATCTGCCCTCTTTGGCCTCCCAGATTGCTGGGACTACAGGTGTAAGCCACCGTGCCCAGCCTGAAACATGTATTTCTTTAAATAGGAATAAGAACTTTTATAATAATAATAATAATAAATTGATGTTTTAGTTGCTTTGAGTGTTAAAGAATCAGTGAATTGAAAATTTGGTTAAGCTGGGCATGATGGTTCATGCCTGTAATCCCAACACTTTGAGAGGCTGAGGTGGGAGAATCCCTTGAGCCCAGGTGTTCGAGACCAGACTGGGCAACACAGGGAGACCCACATCTCTATAAAAAATAAATAAATAAAATAAATAAAGAGAATTGCCATACTGGGCACATAAAAATGCAGGACACCCGGAATAAAGAAAATAACAAAAAAGAAAATTTGTTTTTAAAGTTCTCATTTTCTATTTATTATGCATATTAAAGGGGCATGACCTAATATATATAGTATGCTACATTTATATATTACCAGTCACAATAGTAGGATGTAGAAGACATTGTGGAAATATTTGTTGTACTCCAGGATAAATTTTGGGTTTTGGCAGTTTTGGGGGTAGTTGAAACATCCTAAAGAAAAATAAACATAGTGCTATATTAGTTGTCTTGATAGAAAGGGGAAATGGTTCTGATCATCTAAACCAATATATTGTATGCTCTTAGTTCCCATTCAACTTTGGAATGCCTGTGAGAATGTTTTAATTACAGATTTTCCTTTTTAGACATGTTTTTCTTGGACAAACAATGAAATTAGTTTGCATTAGATAAGTAAACATCAAGTGACCCCAGGGGCAGACCCAGCTTAGCATTACATTTTTGCTGCTGATAAACCCATATGCACAAATGAGTTTTGATACTACACAAATAAATGAGGATTATATATGAAAAACATATTCAGGGAAAGCACATTTTTAGAATGGGGACATAGGGGAATAGCAAGGAGAAAAGCCAGAGACACAGAAATGTATCAGTATCTTCTTAATATATCTAGGAAGACTTCATGGAGGCAGAAAAGAAACAAAAAAAATGTCATCTATCTGACTTTTCTTCCTTTCCCTCATGGAATAATGAAGTCAAGGCCTACACAAGCATGACTTTTGATAAGGTTGGTAACCAGAAGATCTAAGAATCTTTGTGTTGCTAAGTTTGCTGTTGTCAGCAGCCTATGATATGAGCTTTAATTCACCAGTTGGATATGCTGCAGGATTTGTTCTTTAAAGGAATGGCAGCCACCAAACATCTCATAATTAAATTACAGAAGCCGGGAAGTGTATAAAGCCTGTTCGAGTAGGCTTGGACAGCTGAAGACAGGCAAATAGGAAGCTAGAAGAGATTTTTATCACAAGAATTAAAAAAGGAAATATGACAGAGTGCCAGCTCCATCTTTCCTACTGTGTGACAAGAGAGTGCCTGAGTTTGCAAAATGAAAGATCGAGAAAGATATCCCAGAATTTCTCATTTTCAATCCTATGTGTGAATTGAGCTTTTTGCTCATTTATAATGGTTCCTATAACTGCCTTCCCTCCTCTATTTCCTGTAAAATTGCACTATGAACACCTGTCATACCAATTAAATTAAAGAAAAAAAAAAAAGCTAATGAATGCCTCCACCATTCTCCTACAGTCCCAAGCCAGAAAACTTGAAAATCATTATTAAGTACTTCCTACTCTTTCCTAAATGCTTCCATAATGTTCAATTGATCTAGCCAACTAGGATATGATATATCTAAGATCAGTGGGAAACTTTTTGAAAGAGGCAAATACTTAAAGAAAGGTTTAGAATATAAGTTAGACACAAACACACACACACACACACACAAAACACACACACCACTGCTCATTTATTTTTCTGTCATACTCCTATTCTCCCTAATTTTTCCCATTAATTAAGATTTTGTGTTTCAGAATTGAGTTCAGCCAAATTGAAGTTTTCCTGTAGTGACTATGAGAATTTTCTCAATCTTTTGGTGGAGGTTATCCAACACAGAATATTTTTATTTTATTTCCTATCCACTAACCATGGGCTATAGGAAATTTCATTCCATTAAATTTCATCTCTAGAAAATGAACATCTTGATGATAGAAGCTGATTCTGGCAGAATTCGTACATGCACAGCAGAACCTGATGCGACCGAAAGATTCAGTTCATCCTACTCAATATGCCTCCTTGGCAGCAATTATAGGCTATCTTCATTTCACGGCCAAAAATGGGCCTTGCTTTGCCAATTGAGGACAGGCCATGAAGTAATAGGAAGAGGACAGGGAATAAAGGCAACAGAATTGGGTTCTAATCCAGCTTTGTTTACTAGCTTGGGAATTTCTGAGCAAATTACTGAAACTCATCTGGTCTCAGTTTCCTCACCAGTAAAATAGGTCTAATAATAGCTATTTCATACAATATTTCATTAATTTGTGTACAGTGAAACACTACATAAAGTCTTGTAATTAGTACTATTAATAGAAGTAATAAATCTATAGTTTTTTATAGTGTATAAATAATCTGAGCTAAATGTTATTTTTCTCTATTCAGCAAAGCAAGAATCTAATAAATATGGAGAGAAATGACTTCTGGTGTGTGTCCTTGATGTTTGACAAAATGAGAAAAAAATGCAACCAAATAGATTAGTTTTAAAATACTGTGTGCTGACAGAGATGAGATTCTAAATCTATTTTCCACATTTTAGCTGAAAATGCTTTACCTGCCAGAATTGGTATTGGCCAAGACTTCAAAAGCTTCCCAAACAGTAATTACTACAGTAAAAATAAGAAGGCTACAAGAAAACAAGTAGGAGCAATCCAGATTTTTCTACTGTTTAGCAGATGTGGAAAAGTAGTAAAGGGATATTGTTAAGTAACTTGGATATAGCCTAAAATTTAATATCAATCACTGTTTTTTTAATAAAAGAAAACTGCTTTAAGTATATACTATGCAGAAGTTATTCTGCCAAGTACTTAGTTTGTCAAATATTGTGCTAAATAAAAGGAGTTTAAAACGTGAACTGGGCATTTAGTATGCTTACAGCTGAGATGAGGAGAGAAAGAAAGCCTATGTTCTTACAAAGTTAATTAGTAATGGAAAGTCCTGTAGACGTAAACATTAAATGGAAGAGATTTCATTAGTAGAAGAGAGCCTATCTCTAATGGAGGTGCTGATGCAAAATTCTGTCAAAATTTTGTACAAACTGTGTGAGCTTGGATGAATTTCTTCATCTCCTTTCATCTAATTAATGGAGCCTCATATAGTTCAACAATTCCATGATCCTAAATAATAACATTCATAATATGATAATGACATTAATGTTTCCTGTTGGAGGAGACTGTGGTGAAGTTAGAAGTAGCCTCACAGAACAGGTAAAATATAAGCAGTTCCTTAAAAAACAAATAGGATTAATGTAGACAGGAGTTAGAAGAACATTCTCAAAAAAATCATACACTATCTTTAATATATAGAAGGAGTATTCTAAAACAAAGAACCTACTGATGAATTCAGATCTTCAGTTAAAAAAATAACAAGGAAGTTTGGAAATTAAATTGGGGCCAGAAATCCTAGGTTTTGCGTGGCCAATTCAGGAGTTTGGACTTTATATTGTATGCAATGGAAAGGCACTGCATACAGCATATTTGCTGAATGCTCTAAAATCTCCCTGACAGATCTACTGCCTCATGCAAGTTCATCAAGTGTACGTAGATGGCTTTCAAACATTTGTCTTCAAGATAGACTTTTTCTTGAAAAGAAAATAACAAATCCATGGTTTAATTGCTTTTTGAACATCAGCTTAAGCATCTTGATCTCAACAAGCCCTAGACATAAGTTTCTTTAAGCAAAATATAGGAGCTTGATTGTGCAGTTTACTGAGTTCATGACATTTGCATTTGGGTATTGAAGGGTGAGAATGGAAATTGATTGATAGGAATAGAGAAAAAGTGTCTTCGTGGAGGAAACAACAAGAGCAAAGGAATAGAACCACAAAACATCACAGAATGTTAGGTGAGTGATGAATTGTTATGTTGTACATGGATGTACTAGGAATGTGCATATGACTGCAGTCCTCAGAATGGACCTGCTTTGATGCACAAATAAAGGATAAGTTACAGAGTAACTGCCACAGTAAAATCCAGAAAAAATCAGGGTCTAGTTTAAGTAGATAATGGTTGAAGGAAATTAATTTTTAAAATAATACATATAAACAGTCAGACAATTCTAGGTACTGATAGAATGTAAGTGACAGTCAAAAAAGAGAAAATGTATTCGCTGCAAGATGTGCAACCTGTGCACTGAGAACTTCAGATTTGAGTTACAGATAACCAAAAAGGAGAATTTTGATAAAAGGATGAGCCCTGTCCTCCTCTTCCATAGTAGTCAGACTGAGGCAGCAATGTCTTGCAGAAGTGAATTATATGTAAATTTAAAAAGTACATGTTATCATAGTTTTTTAAAGAAGGAGTTTGTTCACCTTTTTCTAAGTAGAATACGTGTGCCATAGGAAGATCTTGTTGAAGTTTAGTTATCGAGAATATTCCACTTCAACTATAGGTGGAATATAGAACTGAAAGAAAGAATACAATGACATTAAACATTTCTAAAACTTTGAAACCATGCTCTTTCTGAAACTGACTTTATCCTATCATGCATCTTGCCTATACTTCCTGTATATAGTCGTTTTGTTGCATTTGCTTTCTTGTGTGTTCAGGGAATTATAACACCTGAATCCAAATCGGTAGTTCTTCACTCTCACCACTGTGTCTCCTTCTCACATTTAGCAGGCTCCTTTACTCCTACCATTTGTTTGTGTCAAGCAATATCAAGAAATCTGGGAAAATCAATACTAAATAAGTTACAATAATGTTTTCAATATCCTATCATCTACTTTAATGTGCACGTGTTTTCTGTCACTCTTCACTCACTAAATCCATTTTGCAATCAGTTAGATATAACTTAATATAAACATAATCCTTTCCTGAATGACCTAAAATTTCACTGCACCAGAGCCAGCTCTACTGGATCAGTCATTTTTTGGAAGTTGAAAAGATTAAAAAAAAAAATCACAGAAACAAATGCCACATTCATCTCCAGTAGTCACACCTACTGAACAGGGTCTGTGGCTGGAAAAGTTAATGCAGTTCTCCCTCAGTATCTAACAAGGGATTGGTTCCAGGATCCCTGCAGATACCAAAATACTTGGATGCTCAAGTCCCTTATATAAAATGATGTCATATTTGCATATAACCTAGGTATATTCTTTTGCATACCTTAAATCATCTCAAGATTACTTATAATACCTAGTTCAATGAAAATGCTTTGTAAATAGTTGCTATACTGTATTTTTTTATTTGCGTTATTTTATTGTTGTACATTTATTTTTATTTTTCCAAATACATTTGATTCATGGTTGGTTGAATCTGTCTGTGGAACCCATGAATACTGAGGTCCTACAGTATCTGGAAAAAAGTGAGTAATAACTTGGGCCTATAATTTTTATATTCTTTCTTCACTTCAGTTGGGTTAACAGTGTTAATTATTTGTCCCAATGTGAACTGCCAGACTCATTGTTTCACCAATACACAGAGAGAAATTGGACACAAAATTTTTGGCATTGAAAACTTCAATAGATTAACTTTTTGAAATAATTTTCAAATAGATCCTAGAGTTTCATAGAAAATCTTCTTCGCTCAATTTGTATTCCAC
Source organism: Homo sapiens (assembly GCF_000001405.40). Lineage (NCBI taxonomy): Eukaryota > Metazoa > Chordata > Mammalia > Primates > Hominidae > Homo > Homo sapiens. Next base: position 40,466,544 of record NC_000018.10, on the reverse strand, counting down.
AGGATAGCTCTGCAATGTATTAGAATGGCTGTGTGTGTTTTCTGACATTTTCACTGTGCATTTGATAATTTTTCAATTTTGCTTTTAGTTTCAACAACTCTTTTATTTATTCAATTGCAAATGTAGGATATACTTACTATATAATGATTGACTAGAACAATAAAAACTATTACTTTTAACTTGGATACTATGACTGTACTACAAGTATATATTTACTATTAAACAATTATATTCTTACTTTTAATGGAATGTATTATTATCATTCCCCATGTGTTATTAAAAATAAAAATATTTAAAATGTTTATTATAACAAAAAAGATTTCCAGTTTTTACAAGATAGCAAACAAAAACAACTTGAAAACATTTTCTAAACATCTAAAATGCTCATTAATTATAGTCACATAAAATAGTAATGCATTGCTGAGACTGTGGAGAAACCACAACAAACACCCAAACAACAACAATAAAAATTCCACAATAAATTTCTAGATTCTGGAATCAAAGCCAGTAAGACCTAGAGATAATTGTTTTCATGGCAGATATGGTGTCAATGGCATGTAAGCATATGGCTATTGATACCCATACAGTTAAAGAAGTCTAAGCTTTAGACACGTGCAAGTCAAGAATTTATAAATGAATTGCCTGGATGAAACTAGTTAAAGAATGAATAAGAAAAAGCTTAACCTGTCATTCGAGGAAACATGGATAGAACCAGAGGATGTTATGTTATGTGAAATAAGCCAGAAACAGAAAGTTAAACACCGCATATCCTCTCTCATATGTGGAAGCTAAAAAAAAAAGTTGATCTCATAGATGTAAAAAGTAGAACAGAAAATACTAGAAGCTGGAAACAGTGGAGAAAGGAGAGATAGGGAGAGATTTGTTAAAGGATAGAAAACTACAGCTAGATAGGATAAATAGTTCTAGTGTTCTATACCACTGTAGGATCACTGTAACTAAAGATAACATATTATATAGTTTCAAATAGCTAGAAGGAGTATATTGAACATTCCCAGCACAAAGAAATTATAAATGTTTGAGATGATGGACATGCTAATTATCCTGATCTGATTACTGTACATTATATGTATCAAAACATCAGTATGTACCCCATGAATTTACACAATTTATGTCAATTAAAAATACAATTAAAAAATCTGAAAATAAATAACAAATGAGGGTGAAACTTTTACTGAAAAAAAATTAGGGTCAAGAGCAAAGTTAACACTATTAAATAAATAAATACATTTGATTTCATATTAAAGGATATTCCATGGGGAAAATTTTTTTTAATTTTAACCGTTGCCATAAAGGCCCCAAGGAAGCTTGTCTCAGCCTTTTCCCTGTCTTCAAATATCAAGATATTGGATCTCTGTTCCAAAGACAAGGAAATGCTATAAGTTGAGATTACCAGGTGATAATGTAGGTTCCTTTTCAAAAATAAATGAAAACTTCTGGAGAGACAGATTCAAAGTCCAGGAAGTTCGTACCCTCATTGAAGGTGTGTTTAAACTTAAAAATTATTTAACACACAAAAGCATATCTACCATAAGGAATAGTCAGCAGACATCAGTAAATAATAATGTCACCTGCAACTTCTTTCCATTCTTTTTGTTTTTAATTTTTAAAATTAGCATTATTGCAATAGCTGGGTCCTCCAGCACAATGTTGAATAGAAATGTTAAAGGATGTTCTTACTAAGTTTTTTCTTTTATTTTAGGGGAAAAACATGTTCAATATTTCACCATTAAGTAGAATTTAAGTTGCAGGTTTTGTTTCTTTGTTTAAGATGCTCTGGATCAACCTGAAGAAATGCCCTTCTACACACCTATATCAAGTTTGCTGAGCACTTTTTATCATGAATGAGAACTGAATTTTTCCAATGTGTGTTTCTCATCTATTGAAAGGACCATCATTTTTTTCTTTTATTTTGTAAATATGATAAATTAGATTGAATGATTTTGAAACTACCTTACATATCTGGTTATGATGTATTATCTTTTTAAACTATTTTATGTATTACATTTGGTTATATATTGCTAAACATATTCACAACTTTATTTATGAGGGTCATCTGTTTATAATTTTTTTCTTCCTTTCTTCATTTACTTTCTTCTTTTCTTCCTTCTTTACTTCCTTTTCTCTTTTTTCTTTATTTCTGTAATATCTGTTGAATTTTGCTCTCAAGATTATGTTAAGTATATATATGAAAATAGTGTTCAACATCACTAATCATCAGAGAAATGAAAATCAAAACCACAATGGGATACCATCACATACCAGTCAGAATGGCTATTATCATTTTTATTATTTGAGACAGGATCTTGGTGTGTCATCCAGTCGGGAGTACAGTGGTGCTATCACAGCTTACTGTAGCCTCTATATTCTGGGCTGAAGCAATCCTCCTACCTCAGCCCCCCAAGTACCTGGGATCACAGGCATGTGCCACCATGACCAGCTAATTTTTTAAATTTTTGTAGAGGCAGGGTCTCCCTATATTGCCCAGGTTTGTCTCAAATTCCTAGGCTCAAGTGATTCTCCATCTCAGCCCCCCACACTGCTGGAATTATAGGCATAAGCCACTGGGCCTGGCTGGCTATTATTAAAAAGTTAAACAATAACAGATGCTGGTGAGGTTGCAGAGGAAAGGGAATGCATACACACTGTTGGTGGGGATGCAAATTAGTTCAGTCACTACGGAAAGCTGTTTGGAGATTTCTCAAAGAAATAAAAAGAGAATTACCATTTAAGCCAAGATCCCCATTCCTAGGTATAGACCCAAAAGAAAATAAATCTTTCTACCAAAAAGACACCTGTACTCATATGCTTATTGCAGCGCTATTCACATTAACAAAGACATAGAATCAACCCGGGTACCTATCAACAGTGGATTGGTTAAAGAAAATGTAGTACATATACACCATGGAATACTACACAGCCATAAAAAAGAAAACAATGTTCTTTGCAGAAACATAGATGCAATTGGAGGCCATTATCCCAAGCCAATTAACACAGGAATAGAAAGCTAAATACCATATGTTCTCACTTATAAATGGGAGCTAAACATCTAGTACACAGGGACAGGAAGATGGGATCAGTAAACACTGAGGATTCCAAAGTAGGGGGCAAAGGGTTAAAAAAATTACTTGCTTTGTAATACACTTGCTACTTGGGTAATGAGATCATTAGGAGCTCAAACCTCATCATCATACAATATACCCATTTAAGAAAGCTGCCTATGTACCCCCTGAACCTAAAATAAAATAATAAAATTAAAAAATGTTATGTTTACTTTATAAAACAATTTGGAAGGTGTTTTCTTTTCCTAAAGGACATTATGATTGGTGTTCTTATTGAATGTTTTATATAATTCATTGGAAAAACCTGGGCTAGGAATTTACTTGATGAGAAATCTATGATAGTTAATCCACATACTTTAATAGGTAGATGGCTATTTATTCTTCCTGTTGCACCTTATGTAAATTTTTGCTAGTGCTAATTTTTAAAGAAATGTGTTTATTTCTACTAAATTGGCATGAATGTTTTTATAACATTTTAATATTTTTATATGTATATGTAGCATCTTTAGTAACCGTCCTTCTTTTATTCCTGATATTAATGTTTTGTGTTTTCTCTTTTTATTTTTATTCAGAATTGCTAGACATATCCCAACTCATCATTTTGTTAAACTGTTTTATTGTATATCTGTTTTCAATTTCATTGATTTAAGCTGATAGCTTTATTTTCTCCTCTTTACTTACTTTGGCTTTACTTTGTTCTTTTAGTAGCTTTTGGAAGTAAAATATTAAATCATTGATTTTAAATTTTCTATATTTTCTGTATATATTTAAAGCTTTACATTTTTCTGAGCTTTGTCTTGCCTGTATCCCTCAAATTTCATGTATTTTAATTTTATTTCATTTGAAATATATGGTAATTTATTTGTGATTTATTTTTAAAAATTTGTTGATTAATTTCTAAATATTTTATTACATAACATATTTTAATTGATTTCTTAATTCTATTGTGCTTGGAGGATATTCCTTCTATACAATCATTTATTTTATTAAGACACAATTAGGTAAGAGAGTGGACAATGTTGTCCTGTGTCTTTACTGATATTTTTCTCTAGATCTAGTTGTTTTTATCAATTGCTGGGAGAGAAAAATATTAAAATTTTCTACTTTGACAATGAAATTATAAGTTTGTATTTACAGTCAATTTTTGCTTCATGTATTTTGAAATTATGTTTTACACATTCTCATTAACAATTATTATATCTTCTTGATAAATCACTAATTTTTTAATGTGTTTGATATAATGCTTTGCCTTGGGGTCTGTTATATCTGATTTTAGTACAGCAACTTCAACCTTTTATGCTTTCTGTCTATATGCATATGGTTTTCATCCATTTACTTTCTACTGTTTGTCTTTAAAGTGCTTCTCTTGTAAGCAGTATATAGTTAGGTCTTACTATTATATCCTGTCTGATAATCTCTGCCTCTTAATAGAAATGTTTAGTATATTAATATTTAGTAATAACAATGCAATTAACAGAAACAACTTTAAGTCTACCATTTTATAAGTTATTTTTGTTTATCTCCTCTCTTTTTAGCCTCTTTTATTTTTCCTATTTTCTTTTACATTATTTGAGGTTTGCTTCTGTTGTGTTTAAAATTCTGTCTTAACTACACACACACACACACACACACATACACACACGTACCTTTACAATATTGCTTTTTAGTTCTTGCTCTAGGGTATACATCTTGTCAACCTAAATAACAAACAGGGAGACTCTCTAAAAGAAAATAACATCTATTTGGGAATAAGCATTGCAATGAGAATACATGTACCATGATGAATTATGTGCATCTTCAGGGAGGTAAAGAAAAAAACATTTTTAAAAAAAAAATGAAATATATACCATTGTTTTGAATTAATTGTTCTTAGCTATGAATATCAATATAAGACGTGGTGCCAGACTGAAATTAAACAGCCTGTTGTTGGGAAGATGCCGTTGCAGAAGTATTTTTTTGTATAGGGTTGTGATGACCTTTGTGTAAGGTAATGGTTTTTGCAGATTCTTTTGTGATTGTTTGTGTTATCAGGTATTTGTGCATGAGAACTCTCCCCTCGTGGACTTCCCTGGCTCTACGTGTCCGTATTTTTAGAACTAGCAACTCCATTTTGATTATGACAGCTTTCACAACCTTAAACTTACTCATGCTAGTTTCTTCTAAGGTTCAAATCCCCTCCAATTTTTTTCTTTTTATTTAGATTTATACTCTAGAGAGATCAGAAATTTGCACTTGAGGTTTTTTTATTTGTTTGTGTCTTATACATAGCATATAGTTATTATATAAAGGATAACTAATTTATTAGAGCCTATTCACCCTGCCAGATGTGAAAACCCTAGTAATGTCATTTTATGAGTGAAAAAAAGAAACAAATGGTGAGGATTTACTACTCATAAACCTTGTATTGAAAGATTGAAAGAACTATGAATGGACTTCAAGAAGAACAATAACCCTAATAGAGGTAATGGAATGCTATAAGCAATGTTTAATGACTAAATTACTAGAGCTAATGGGGAATCTAAATTAACATATACTATATAATAATAATGATGATGATGAATATTGAACTAGAAACAAAAAGAACTTTCAATGCTTGACATGACACACATAATATGAAAGAGAAGTTGTAAACTCTTTAGAAATAATTTCAGCTGAAAGAAACAGAAAACCTACCTAATGGTGGCTGAATTTTGTAGCTGCTTAGAAAGCACACATTTAGGATTAACATGTTTGATAGTGAAAGACAGTAAGGAAGCAGTGACATCTGAAATGTATTTTGGTTTGCCAATCATATAGCTTTATTTTGATAAGAAGGAATAAGTGTATATGACTTTCAATTTTTTAAAGTAAAGTATGTGTTCTAAAAACATAAGTGTGGCCTTTAAAATAAGAGAAATAGAATGGAAAATTATATATCTCTAGGATGTAAAAATAAAATAGTAAAATTATGGTAAATTCAGTAAAAGACAAGAGAAAATGAAACAAAGGAATAGTTAAAATGAGGACACAATATAAGTTGGTTTTAACAAACCCAAATGTATCAGAAAATAAGTAAATGTCAATAGATGTTTATTAAAATACAATTAATTTCAGATCAGAAAATTAAAAATAAATATATCTAACTATATGCTGTTTACAAAGATAAAAACCTAGATTACAATTTATCAGAAGGACTGAAAGTGAAAGGATGGGGAAAAAGCTGATTATCTATATAATATCAGATAAAATATACTTTAAAAATATTATTAGGAGCAATGAGAAAACCCATGTAAAGTTAAAGTGAATGATTTCCTATGAAGATATAATATTTTTAACATGTATATTACTAAAAACATAAAAGTACATAAAGCAAAAATTGACAGATTACAATCTCTAACATTATTATGGTGATCAGCAGGATTCATCTTAACTATTCTTAACCCATTAACCATCCTTAAGTCTATAGGATTTCCTTATTCCGAGGAAACAAAAATAAATGGAGGAAGTCATTTATTTTCACAAATTGAAAATAGTCTAAAGTCAATACTACAAAAATTACAAAGGCACTAACATTGGTCTCTTAGCTAATGAGACACAATGAGAAAATTGATGGAGCTGCAGTTTCTTTTTATCTTTTCCTTTCCCGTTGTTTTCTTTCCAAAGAGTTCATTAACAAAAGGAAAAAAGAGAAAAAAAAACTAAAGTGAAAACCCAGCTGCTATGAGACAGTGGGTTTACAGCACTTCCTCACAGATTATACCCAAGAGAGAACTAAGATGAAATTGTAATATATTCTTGTTTCTAATTCACAAAGCCACACAATTTTCTTATGTCTCTGCATTATTAAAATTATCATTCCCACCTACTCTTTGAGGTGTGAGATCTCTTTTTCTGGGACAAAATTTTTTCATCAAATATTTTCTCCAATGATAAGAATTCATGTTAACTCAGGGAAATATATCTACAGTTTGAATTTCCACTAAGGTAGAAATGACTGATATGAGACCTGAAACCAGAGGTTCTGACTTTTATTATCAGTGTTACCTATGATTCCAGGGCAATACCCACAGGTGTGTCCAGAACCTCATGAGGTAGAAACGAAATGAAGTGGAAAAAATGATTTAAATCAAATGATAAAAGCACAGAAGTTATTGAAAAGAAATTCTGAAGACCCCAAAACAAATACAACCACCTTCTCAGTTTAAGCATGCTTATGATGTTCCCAGATTTAACTAGCATATTGGGGTATTATGGACTGCATGTCTATGTCTCCCCAAAAGGATTTCATAAGTTGAACTCCAACTTCCAATGAGATGGTATACGAAGGAGATACCTTTGGAAGGTAAATAGGTCATGAAGTTGTAGCCCTTACGAATGAGATTAGTACCCATAAAAGAGGCCAGAGAGCTAGTATGCACACTCACTCTTGCTCGTGCTCTCTCTTTCTCTCTCTCTCTCTCTCTTTCTGCCATGTGAAGACAAAAAGAGAAGCCAGCAGTATGCAAACCAGAGGAGGGCCTTCACCAGAACCCAACCATACTGACACTCTAACATCAGACTTCCAGTCTCCAGAACTGTGAGAAGGAAATTTCTGTTGTTTATAAGCCACTCAGTCTATGGTAAGTTTTTATTACAGCCCAAACTAATGAGGCAATGAATCTGAAGACCTACATCTGGTGTAGAGAAGGGAAATTGGGGCAATTTTACTTCTTGTATATTATGGGGATGTTCCACACTGACAGGTTTTATCATCTGTCTACTCTACCTGTGTACTTTCCCAAATTGAAATAAATAACCTTCCTTTGGGTGCAAAGGAATGTATTGGAGACTGAAGACTATGTAATCTACAATAATCAGAGTAGCTTCCATTATAATCAGCTTAACTAAGGTCACAAAACATTTATTACAGGAGAATTTTGTTTATGATTCATTCTGTTGTAACTCATGACTTAGTTGTCAAACATTGAAATAATCTAAATGTAAAACAATTTGGCTTTAAAAACCTCCTAGAAGGAAAGCAAGAAAAAAGAAACAGAGGAACTTGAGATAGACAGGAAATATGGGACTGTGGATAACAATTTCATCCATTTTCCTTAAACACTATTAAGAGTTATCAAAACAGTTTGATCAAAACAGTCTGATGTGTGTGTGTGTGTGTGTGCGTGTGTGTGTGCGTGTGTGTGTGTGTGTGTGTGTGTGTGTGTGTGTAGTTCAGGGTCTCTTCGACTGAACACTTTGCTTTCCTCTTCATAACCTAAGGGGGTTTCAATATGTAGCCTTATAGCTTATTTTGTTTTGTTTTGAAGGTTTTGTGCTTGAGATGCCTCTGGAAGTCTCAAGATTCATTTCCCCACTAAGAGAAAGGCATGATGTTGCAATTGGTCTATTATCAACGTATGCTGGAATAGAATTACTGAGTGCTGGTAGATTGACTTCCCTTGCCTCCATGAGACCAGAAAATGCTGAAGATACTCTGTTACACAGGAAAAGACTCCATGCCTTCTGCTAACCTTTTTGTTACACTACCTCTAAGAACATGAATTTTTTTCCCCATGATGGAAGGCATACCAAAGCTGTTTCATTTCGTCCCCTACCTTCCCTTTCCACCACACACACACTGGGCACAGTCTTTGTTTTTTAAATATTTTCTCACTTCCTATCAAGTGTCCACTGTTTCTCTGCCTTATACCTAGTTATCAGGAACCACTCTCTCTGGCTTTTGAGTTATCTTTTACTCTGTGTTTGGGTAAGACTTGCTATTTAGACATTGGAAGAAACAGAAGCAGAGCTTTCTTTAGATCTACAGACATTCTGAGGATGTCTTATAATTTGAGTTTGGTATGCTTGGTGTCTATGAGGATCAGGTCAGCTCATTTTAATTACATGGGGGCTTCAGTATGTAGCCTCATAGCTTATTTTGTTTTGTTTTGAAGGTTTTGAATATGGTTTCTGTACCTTGTTCCCTGTTTTCTTATAGGGAAGTAGTCATTTGGAATATTTACCTGTACTGTTACTACTTTAAATAAAATGCAGAAATGATTGTGCTATGTAACATAATTAGGATAGATTTTTATAGCTTATCCATTATTTGCGATATTTATCTTTTTTCTTTTTTTCCAGAAATTGCTAATGAACAGGTAATTGAATGATATCAAGAAGGACATATTAAATTCTTAGCTCTAATGACAAGATTGATTTAACACATAAAGACCAACAGTCTAAATTATGTAAGCAAATTCTCTCTCTAGGGAGATGATAGATTAGATAGATAGATAAATAGATAGATAGATAAACTTAGAAAGAGAGAAAGTGTGTTTGTGTTGTTTGATACAGGGATTAGAAAAAGATAATGAGTGTATGGGGATAGACAAGATTTTCTTCAATGACTTGCAGATACCACCATTACTTAATGTCTTACCACCATTACTTAATGTCTTACCCCCAACTCAATGTATACATTTCAGGTTCCTGGTTTAGCATATTCAACTAGACAACTTGACTCTAAAAACTAAGGCAGATCAAGTTCCATTAAAATAAAATATGTGGTTGACTCACAAAACAAATGTCAAATATTAACACAAGTTAATAAAATAGAAACTTCACCAAAGGCAGCATTTTCCAAACTGCATTAAAATAGTATGCAGAAAAAAACGAGGTTTCCATGGGTAAACAAAGATGAAAACACTAGTTTAAACAAAGGTGAGCTGATAGACTGATTTTAAAATTGTAGCAGTCTACATAATCTGTAACGGATTAATGTGTAATTTGGGTCAGTCGAGGCATTTTGGCGATTTACATATTCTGTGTTTCTTAAGTGTATCTTTTAATAGAATCTTATGCACGTGTGCAGCATCTTGTAGAAAGACTTTCTTGAATCATTTTTTTAACCCCTCTGTATTTTTCTCTACCTCAAAAAGTAGCAGAATTCACATGAAGGACTCTGTCATCTTTTCAAATTTCAACAAGAAAGATGATAACAATTACCAACAGACATAGTATGTCAATTAAACATAGTAAATAAGGGTAGAGAATGTTGCTAGAATTTACCCTGGAACTTGAGTGAGTTCCACCCACTCAATATTTCCTGGAGTATCTTATACGCTGTACTTCAGTACATATAGTTGAGATCTACTGCCTTACATTCAAATTTGGTAGACCTGGAGGACTGGAATTTCAGCATTAGTAATTTGAAAAGGATACTCACTAGATTCTAATACAATCCAAATTTGAGATCCACTTTTCTTGCTTACAAGATATCCAGTACCTCCTGTCTAACAAGATAACAAGCATATAATTCCTTGTTTACTTTTATCTGCAGTATGTGTTCCTACCCTTGCAAACTGGGTTTTTCTCTCCTGGATGCTTGTGTTGCTTTTACTATCCTGCATGCCACTGACAGGAATATATGTCTTGGGAACCTGTTGTGATCATTATTTTTGATGCTACGACTTCCTTAAACTTTTGACAAAGACATTAGCTCCTGGGGGGAGAAAGTCTTATTCTAACATCCAAATGAAGTTCTTACATTATCATGTTAGGACTTTCTGACCACAACAAGAAAATTTCTAGTAGCTGATAACAGGATTATATATGCCAAAGATGATCAGATTTGTATCTGAGATATAAATGAAAACTGCAAGTATTTAACAAAACAATATCAGTTGTATTCAGCTTTCAGACATTGCATTACAATACATAAATCTAATGAAATATAGCCCTCAGGTTACACAGGTATGCTACCTTCAAATATATGAATATTAACCAGCCCATGACATTCTCAGTTTCATTAACTAGCTCCAACTAGTTATTTCAGCCGCTGCATATATAGGCTGGCCTTCCTTAGAGACCAACCCACTTGGGGTAATAAATTGAAAACTAATGTCAGGAGAATTGCAGATTTGTTTCAAAGCAGAGAATTATGGTGGGGAACATCAATGCTGTTGACAAAGACGTCTCACTGGTGTTCTGCATTCTACCATCAACAATTCCCACATGGGGACAACAAAGAGAGTGGTCCCATCTGAGTCTCACATTCTCTCCTTCCTTTGTATTTGTTGCTTTGTCTTTCTCCTTTTGTTTTTTCTCCTCTATTTTATAACAAAGAGAAGTGGGACAGCCATAATACAGACAAGTGCCCTCTAAAAAACAAGCTTATGAAATTGTAAAGGTCTTTCAAGGTATTTTCTCAACTCTCTATGTTTTTTTCATTAGCACTATAGTCAGTTGTAGATTCTTTATCTTTATCTGAATTAGGTTTTTTTTTTTTTTTTTTTTCAAGAAAATGTCACCACATCCTGCTTTACTCATAAGCTCTGTCAGCTATCTACTGGAAATTACATTGCACTGTGTAAATAATTATCTTTGGAGATTTTAAAAATTAATCATGTCAAGGTAATTTTAAATCTGATAACTTAATTCAATAGCAAGGTTACCAGTGACTGCCACATTACTGAAACCATAGTCAAGTCTCAATTTTCATTGTGCTTTATTTGCAGCATTTGATACATTCCTTTTGTCTTGATATACTTTCTTTATTTGTATTTCAGGACCCTTTTCTCTCCCTGTTTTTCTCCAAATTCACTAGTTGCTACCTCTTAGTTCCCTATCCTGGTTTCTTCTCACCTTCCTGACCTTTAAAAGCTGGTGTTTCCCAGAGTTCAGACACTGGTCCTCATCTTTTTCTTTCCTTTTTAATTATTTTATTTTATTTTATTTATGTTTTTTGAGATGGAATCTCGCTCTGTCACCCAGGCTGGAGTGCAATGGCATGATCTCAGCTCACTGCAACCTCCGCCTCCCAGGTTCAAGTGATTCTCTTGCCTCAGTTTCCCAGGTGGCTGGGATTACAGGTGCCCACCATCATGCCTAACTACTTTTTTGTATTTTTAGTAGAGACAGGGTTTCTCCATCTTGGCCAGGATGGTCTCGAACTCCTGACCTCAGGTTATCTGCCTGCCTTGGCCTCCCAAAGTGCTGGGATTACAGGCGTAAGCCACCGCACCCAGCGGTCCTCATCTTTTTCTAACTGCATCTACTTTCTTGAGCAAGTTCATCTGGCCTTTTGACTAACTAATCTTTGTATGCTGATGATTTCTGTAGCATATTCCAGAACAACTTTAATAAAAGTACCATCATTGGGTAGCTTAAAATAACTATGTTCTTTCAAAGCTCTGGAAGCTAGAATTTGGAAATCTAGGTGTCGGCAGGGCCATGCTTTATCTAAAGGCTATAGGGGAAATTCTGTTTCATATCTTTCTTTAACTTCTGGTGTCCCCGGCAATTGCAGTTATTTGGCTTGTAGACACATCACTCATTCTCTACTTCCATCGTCACATGACGTTCTCCCTGTATGTCTGTGTCATCTTCCCTCCTTTGAGGACAGAAGTGGTGTAGATTAAGAGCCCGCACCACTCAAGTATGACCTCATCTTGCCTGAGCTAATTACATCTGCAATTACCTTATTTCTACATAAAGTCCTATACTGAGTTTACAATTAGGACATAAATTTTGGGGGAATGCTGTTCAACCCAGTACAATTTACAAATTATATTTCCAGCCTAATCTCTCCAGTTAATGCCAAACATGTGTATCCAAATCCTCATTTGCAGCTCCACTTGAGATTTACTGGGTATTTCAAATTTAACACATTTGAATCTGGATCTCTCTGTTCTGCCACCTGAAATTTGCTCTTCCTACAGTTTCTTCATCTCAATTCATAGCAACTCCTTCCTTCCAGTTATTCAGTCAAAAATCTGGAAAGTATTGTTTCTCCATTCTTTGTGTATCTAGAGTCTATTTTCTCCTTGCCACTTCCTCTCTTCTTGTGATTACTTCCAAACTAGATATCCTCTTTCTGCCCTGGCCCCTCTTGAGTCTATTCTCAACCATACCCAGAATGTAGAGTGATGGCATTAAAACAAAGTCAGACCGTGCTATTCTCTGTTCAGAGTGTTCCTATATCATCTCGTCTCACACTGAGTACAGCTAATGTCCCTTTATAAGATTCTATGAGAGTTGTCTTCCCTTCACTTATCTGGCTAGATCCCCTAGATATACCTGGCTCCATGCTATTCATCTTATTCATTAGGCACATTCTCACCTCAGTGCTTCTGCACTTCTTTTTCCCTCTGCTTAAATTATTTTTCATAGTTGTCCCCATGGCTCGCTCCATCACTCCCTTCAAGTCTTTATTTAAATTCTGTTTTCTCCATGAGCCCTTCTGTGAATACTATGTTTAAAATTTCACTGCCCCAAACCCTCTATTTCCCTTCCCAATGATATTTTTCTCCATAGCACATACCACTATATAACAGACTTTGTATGATCTCTTTTGCATATTGGTATCTCTTCTTCAGAGTACAAGTGTCAGGAGGACAGGAGTTTTATGTGCTTTATTCAATTCCATATCTCATGCATTTGGAAGAGCACCACATAGTAACACTAATCACTATTTGCTGAATGAAAGACTGAGCTGGGTCTGGTAGCAGGGAATAGGAAGATTTGAGGACTGTGTTTCAAAGCAACAATTCTAGCACCAGCTCTATTGCTTGTACAGCATTTGCTCTTCAGTGAGTCTCTAAATCTCACAGAAGTTCTGTTTCACAGACTATCCTCCATTATGTGAACCCAATCACGGAATCACTGAACCAGACTATAGAGCCACGCTCAGTCTCAGTGTGGCTGACTCAGAATTTTCTGTGCATGAGGAAAACTCATAAAAGACTAATGTTATACCACAAATAACCAAATCCTCTATTTGCCATGGTTGAATGGATCTCATTCCTAAACTCTATAAGTATTTTTAAAGCTTTAAACAGTGATTTTAAAGCATGGGCAGTGTCTCTTGTTACTGAATGTGTTTAAGTCTTAGGTCAACTTTTTTAATGTATAGGTATGTACAGATCTATACTGAGTTTGGACCAGAAAGAAAAAAGAAAAACACAATTGCTTTTTAGCATTTTCAGCAGGTTGAAAATCAATTGTCAGCCTGATCATCTTTATCCTGAAGAAACTGAAAATGCTACAAATCCCTCACAGAGTTTTTCAACCACTTTGCCACCAATAGGTATATAAAGATAACATTTAAAACTATTGCTTCTTTTATCTTTTTAATTGCTTCCCGTATTAGGATTTATCTTCCTGATACAGAAAAACATTTTTTCTACAGAAACTGCAATGTTTTGGAAAAAGGAAAATATTTCCAAAAGTATTATATTAACGAATGTTTATGAGTTTCAGTTCTGGCAATTCAAAAGACTCCTGAGGTACCTATTCAGAGAGCTCAATTCAACAAGACAGACATTTAGTTTTACAATAAACCAGGGTATTTCATGTAAGATGTGGATCTCTTTTTCAAATGTTAACTAATTTTCCCATTTCTGAACACTGATCACCATGAACTCATTTTATTTCTCATTCACAGAAAAATAGTTTGAATAACATACCTCTACATATCAACACTATAAGAGGATTTGAACCTCTTTCAATTTTACTTGTATTATGAAAACACAATTAATTACAGGTAAAGTGAGACCATTCCAGTGTATGAGAAAGATTAGCCATTTCCATAGGATCAAACACCCACTCAATTGATCATAGAATTTACTTTCTATCAGGACCAAAAATAGGTCCAGCTGATCAACTACAAGTAAGACTTGTGGTAAATGTGATTTTTGAAACTGCAGAAAATATTTTTTCAGGGAAAAGATTTAGCATAGCTCCATCACCATGCTATGTAAAGATAGGTTTTCTGAAAACCAAGTTTATAGATATTAATCAGAGCTAGTGAGATTTTAAGAACGTTTACTTACAATGCATAAAGTGTCTTTTGACACTGCAGAAAAGAGAGAAGAAAATTTATTTCCTGTGATCTATTATTTGTCTGTCTGTAGAATATAAGTTAGAATTCTCTATGAACTCTACTGAGACTGTACTTCTGCCTCAGCAGGTGAATCATCAAGCCATACATATTCTGATTACTCAATAAGACAGATATTTGGTTTAAAACAAATTTCATTATTTTATAAAAACAAAAAGAACTTTCCTTTATATATGCTACTTCCATTAATTGTTGTCTTCTTTATTTTCTGTGGCACTGAAGATGTGAGGCTACATGAAGGGCAATGAACCCCTGAAAGGATGGGTTTAAAAACCATTGAGACTGTCAAAGGAAGGTTTTGAGGGTCACAGAGACAGAAAAGAATGGGAACTACCAGGACATCCACCACTTTAAGCACACTTAATGATGATTTTGATATAGCTGGAGAGACAGGAGGAGGTAACTAGAAGAACTCCTGGGTTTCTGAATTATAATCTTGGATTGGTGGTGGATCTAGATGATGTATAAAAAAGAAGCCTATTTCAAAGGGGACCATATTTTGTGTATGTATGTAAGCACTTACTTGGGCATACTGAATTGAAATGAGTTTGAAAAATCAGAGCAGCTGTTGACTAGACAGTTGGCCATGTAGGTGTGTAGCTTAGAAGACATGAAACTGTGAGAAACATCACTGCCATATGTCTGATGAGCAAAGCCTCAGACTGGATGAGACAACTTGGCAATAAAGAGAACAGAGGAAAGACTGAAGAGGATCTTGAAGTGAGCTCTGAGAATTTCCAAGTTCTAAATGCCTCTAAGGGTAACATATCTTCATCTGCTTCCAGAGTAAAACACTTTCAGTTTGGCTCTGATCATATAACACCTCTGATCAAAAAATCTTTGCATATCCACAAAACAAATGCCAAAGTGTTCTGACTGGCATCCATGACATTCAATGGCCTGAACTCAGTATACCATTCTAAACTTATTTCCAAAGATTCCTTTCAATGTCTTCTTAGGTACAAAATCTTTCTCTATCTGCTCCTCTAAGATATCCTACCTCTGTGACTTTCCACATAGAATGCCTTTTGTATATAATGACCACATCCACGTGTCTCACTTTCTGTGTATGTTTAAACTTGCTTCAAGGCCCAGCTCATTTGTGCCTCCTAGTGAAGCTGACAAGATTTTTGCCTCTATTTTTCATTCTCGTGGGACTCGTTCTGCTTCTCAGCATATCATGTGTCCTCTGAATATAAACACCACGTTTTGTGACATAATGTACATAGGTAATATGTGTAACGTGCTTACCATAAAGCCTAGTATGTTGCAAATGTTCAAACATTCTCAACTGCCTTCTCTTTTGTCTATCACAGTAGCATGCATATGGTCTTGTATGCAGACATTCCTATAAGTAACTCACATTGAACACGAGCTTGAGTATGTGAGATAATGTGACGTAATATAATGTAGATTAAATGCCCATCGTCCAAATGATGCTCCTCCGGGTATACATATAAAGGCATTGACAGTTTTGTTCTATATAGTTTTGTGTAGAAGCACTTTAAAAAAATGGAATAAAGGAAAACTGACTATGAGAACTGTGTTCTTACCATTGCTCTGACCTCAGATGGTTCAGTTAATTTTCCTTAATCTCAATACTTTCATTTCTAAATGAAGAACATGATATTTTCTAATCAAGTTATTATGAATATCTAACTAGTATGAGGTTAATAAAAGGTATTTGAAAAATTTAAAGGTCTATAGGCATTTTAGATAATATTTGTTTCTTTGTTGGCCGTGATAATATGAAAGGGTGCCAATGAGAATTTTAATCTTAAAATGATGAAAAAAAAAGTTTGCATTGGGAATACATGGAATATTTTTCTAAAGAGACCCTGAAGAATGTTGTAGGATTAAGTATAGTCTATGACTAAATAAATAAAGTAGGAACATAATCTACATAGCTGTGCTAGTCCTTGAGATCTTTGTCCTTCTCTGAATTTTGGGATGTGGATATCAATGGGTTCTCCTGCCTTCAGGCTTCTGTTTGAGTTTGAATGGCAGGTCATTGGAAGACAAGAACAGAATGTGGTTTATATTTGCCTGGTCCATTTCTGCTGGGTTGAAATTTGACTGTGTTTCTCTTCTGAAGGCCATGACTCTTTCTGCGATTTTTTTCCCTATAGTATTCCCTTTGTTTCCAGTAAAGTTTAGTATTTAGTATCTAGTGTTTCTAGTAGTTTTGGATTTAATGACTATGATTAACTCACATAGTTAACCCATAAAGCAGAAGTAACAATTAAGGATGACATGTGTAATTCTATTTACATATATCACATAAATAATTATTTTAAACATGAGTTAATCTCATGCATTGTGATACTACATCTGGATCTGTTCTTAAAGCAGTCCTTAAGCTAAAATCTGAATGCAATGTAAACACATTCCACCATCCTGATATTCATATTCCTATGGCCAAAATTTTAGAGATATGATACGTATACTCATGTGTCTGAGATGCTCATCTTTATTCCAAGTATTTGACATCACGTAGGTTTATTCATGATCTTGCTGCTTTCACTGAGGCTAAGAGCCTTTCTTTCTCCCTTCCCTGATACAAGATGCCCTACTTGCTGCATTCCTATTGACACCACAGAATTTAACATGTAATTCAGAGTGGGATGTGCCTCACTGTAGGCAATGGGCATGGGCATGTTTTGAAATTAAAATATGAGATACAAATTGAATTCATCTAAATTAAATCTTATTTGAAAATGATGAAGAAAGTGTGTGATATTTAAAGTAAATATAAAATATAAATTAATTTGAATATAATTTGTTTGAGGAAGAATTACTCCCCTTTTAATATTTCTCCTATAACTTTATTTAATTTTATGCTGTATTTGCTTAAAGAAGAGAATGTTTATAATTTAGAGTGGATTTAAAATTAGGTCTCTCTTTTATTCTGTTCATATAATTTACCTATCATAGCTACGCATGTTTCTGTGCAGTTGTAGATTAGTGTGCTTTATAGAAATTTTAGACATTTAACTATATCTCAGGACTATCCTCTGGGTATTTATACATTATAAGCCACCAATGAAACTACTAAGAAAACCAAATAACCAAACAAAACTCAGACTTGCTGTTACATAAATAGTTGCACAAATTTTTGGACCTTTTATTTCAGATGTAATGCAAAAAAGACATCAGACTTTCAATTCTGCCCCAGTGTATCACAATTTCCCTATTAGGCTTCTGCATTGAAAACATCTTTATCAAATGTCTTTACATAGTCGTTAATTTTTTAAATAAAATTTATTTTCTTTTTAAATACATATTTATTTTAGAATAGTTTCAAAATAAAATAATAAAGAAATTAATTCCTCATAGTGCCACCAAGTGATAAATGATTTTCATGGTTTTTCTTTCCTCAATCATAATATTTCTATGCAATTGTTTTCATACATATTATACTATTTTATGTCAATTCATAGATATCCTGCTCAGTTAAAATTAAGTGTTCTTGGAATTAAAACAAGATTGTCAAGACACATAACTAGTCCAGTGACTTCATTTAATTGACAAAACTACTACCCAGTTGCATAAATTGCTCAATATCCTGTAGCAAACAAAGGGAGGAACCAGATCCTCCGTATTTGCCTAGAGCTGCTGCATTGCCCTACATATGCAAGAACCCAGGGTTAGAATGGGAAGATGTAACTTTTGTTAGGACTGTTTTTTTCTTAAGTAGCTTATTTGATGTATATTTTGGACAAAAAATTTACCCTACTCAAGTATACAATTCAATAAATTTTGGTCAATGTACTGAGTGGTGCACCCATCACCATAAATCACTTTTAGAATATTTTCATTACCCCAGTAAGACTCCTTCTGCCCAGGTATAAGGAATTCTCATTCCCACCTCCAGACCAGGAAACTACCAGTCTGCTTTCCATCTTTGTAAAGTTTTCGACAAGACATTTAATTTCTTGATCTTAAGCTTATTCAACACAAAAAATAAGGATAACGATATGGTCTTATGCAAAGCTAAATAAATAATGTCTGATATAATGCAAGCACAAAAAACATTTCAGAATTAGTAGTATTGGTAATCTATTCATTGGCAGCACTCACAATATAAGAAAAGGAAGTTAAAGGAAACTAAGATCTCATGCTTATTCTAGCATTTGGTTCAAGGCTAAGGTTCAAATTTAAATCAATCAATCCATTATTATACTTTACCAACTGAAGCAGAATGGATTGAGAAGTATTTTAATATTTCCCAGCTTCTTCTTCACCCCCAGTGTGTTCCAAATGCTGCTATCTTTGACACTAGGCCTCAGGAAGTGATGAATCAGTTGAATCCTCATTTTTTGGCCTGATAACACCTGTTAATGGAGCCAATTAAGGCAGAGGATGACAGAGATTTGGAGGAGATGCTGACACTTGTCCAGGAGGAACTGTGCTGAGACTGCCCAGTGAAGTCCTAAACAAACCACCAAACAGCTGTCGAAGAGTAAGGATTTTGAAGGTCTCAGCCCAAGTCAAACTTTAATAAAAGTAATGAAGTTAATGTCTTTGGATCCTGTGGTTGAAGAAATATGCCCTCTTGGATATGAAAACATTATAGAAATTCTGCTTCTCCTTGTAAAGTCCTACACTGGAGAGAAATCTACTGAAAATATCTGTGCTCTACATTCAAAGCACCTCTGCATTTAGCAGTGAATCAGGTGAGGAATAGGAGGAGTCCCTGGTGTTGATGTGCTCATTCTATGCGAGATGTAACTAATAGCATGTTAAAAATCCAGTACCACCTCACTGCTTTGGAAGAGGGGCTAGGGGCACCTTGGATTTTTTTTCTCCATTCTGATTAACTAGAGCCAACTCAAGATATGCACGTTTTTCCCACGTTTTTAACATTAATCACATAAATGATTAGTGATTAGTTCATAGATACTTAGTTCATATATTAGCTCATAGATAATTAGTTCATAGATACTTCTGGCTTATAATAATAAGCCCCAAATTAAATATCCTTAGTCCAGAGGTCCAGACAGCTAAATGTGACATGGGGAAAAAAAGGAAATAATCAAAAACGTCTAGGAATTTTTTTCCTCTGTATTTCTCTTAACATACAGAGAGTTCTGTTTAATTGGTATACTTGATTAAGTGCCCAAATGTGAAGTATCGCCAGGAATACTACCTAAAACATTCTACTTAGTAGTCCCATATAAGAAAGAAAAACTTTGAAGCAAGCAAAAGTGAAGTTTCCAAAACACTTGGCAGCATTATTGTCAATCCCTAAATTTTGTGATCCGTCTCCTGAATTTTAAATATGCTCTCTCCCTTTATTTGTTATATCTCCCTGATTTAAATATCACTGGGTTTTTAGATTTTTACCCTAAACCCTTCCTCCTGCTGCCACCACCACCACCATCATATCATCTCTGCTTATGAAAATAATATTGTTGTGTCTTCTTTTGGTTTATAATTCTAAATGTTTGTTTTCTTTGAAGATATTGGTTTCCACTCAAGATTTCAGCTTAAAAAATTTTGTATGGCAAATGCTTAATTAAAAAAAATTAGCTAACTCTGGTTATTTGTACTTAAAAAAATGTTATTTCCAAAAATTGAATGAAATGTCTTTCTTCTAGTTGTATGTGTGCTTATAAACACGGAGTTGATATATATACTTTAAATATGTGAGGAAAGAGAGATTATACTAAGAATACATAACACATACAAGTCCAGCTAGGTGGGCCTCACCAAGCAATCCCAAAGAGAATGTTCACAGTTCAATCAGGAGTCTCTTCTATAATATGAAATAAATAACTGACTTACCTACACAACTTGCTTAAATGCAAGTTACACAATCAATCATTAGCAGTACATATCAATTTCAAAGTAGTTTTTTCTAAAGATATCTCTCCACTGAACAACCACAGCAAACCAAAAATCCAAGCCAGCCTACTTTTGCCAGTTGACGAGGGTTTCCATTAGTTTGATTGGGACCCATCAGTGTATGTTTAATGGGTCATAAATATATCCCAAGGCTCAGTTCTTTGTTCTCTGTTCTCTGTTTTCAAGTAGACAACATCCATTATCTTGGTCTAGTGAACCTCTGTGTTAGCATTTTACAAAAAGATCCCCAGATTAAGTTTGTACCAAGGTCAAGTCTTGTATCTCCAACTGTCACCTACACATTTTCAGTGTCAGCAAACGTAATGTCTCTGGTATCAAACTTACCATAATTCCTTCTAAATCATCTCTATCTCCAGATAGCCAGGCTTTTATAGCACTCCCTTAGGAGTATCATAGGTCCCTTGTACTCCTTCTCAGCTCCTTCTTCTTTCTTTCCTCATCACCAAACTTTTCTCTCATTTGGTTTTCTGTAATGGCCTCTTGCAAGCTTCCTTGACTCCAGGCCATGTCTCTAGTTTCATATTGTCACCATCATTCTTTTTTTCTCTAATGTGCCATGTTTATTAGTTCAGTGCCAAAGTAAATGCAGTTTTTGCAATTACTTTTAATATTTACTTGGCTTTTCATTCATTCATTTATTCATTCATGTCATCATTTTGTTGAGCATCAATTATGTGCCAGGTTTTATGATGGGTGCTAGGTTTTTTTGAGATAATGTTCTATTTAAAGTCATCCATTTGTTATTTAAACCAAATTGTTATAGTTGACCTCCACCACGAATTTTCACTTTTCTGTTGATAATTTCCCAATCCATCTCCCTTCCATGAATATATATGCTCTAATATTGTCCCTTCTTTGGAAAGCTAGAATAAACTCCTCTACTAATCCAAATCTTTTGCTTGTATAATTTTTAAAACAATGTGCATTATATTTTTTCATTTTTCTACTCTTTCTTTACTCTGGAAAATGTTTTGTCTTTTGTCCCTTGTTTAGCCACTCAAGAATCATTTATTTTATTTCTCCAACTGCTTTCTTTATTTCTTACATCCCCTCTTGCCCTCTGAAGTTGTATTTCTGTTCATTGGTACTGGGGTACATTGCACTGCAAGGTATAATTTCTTGATGACTAAGGAATGCATATATCATGTCCTTTTCTCCTCCACAGTGTAAACATACCCAGTGCTTTACAGTATTCAATATAGAAGAAATATTTTATGCCTCTATTTTCTCATTTCTGTTTTAATTCTCTCTCTCTTGTTTTTTCATCAAAATGCCCCACCTCGATTTCCCCACCTTGGATGCTCTTACTATATTTTTAAGACTATATGACCAGAAAAATATTTTCAAATTTTACAAATTACTGATCAAAGTTGGCCCCACAGTCATTGGTTAATCATATATTTCCCCAATTCTCTCCCATTGAGATGTTCTAGTGTGTTTGTGTGTGTGTGTGTGTGTGTGTGTGTGTGTGTGTGTGTGTGTGTGTTTTAAATATAGTATTACACTGCCAATAAGTATTATCTACTTTCCCATATTATCTTAACATGGACATTTAGAGACAGCAATTAAGAGTTGGATTTGACGAATTATGTAAAGAAGTGATTGGAGGGAAAATCTAAGGGAGTGGAAATCAGCACTCTAGATTTCCATTCCTCTTCCATCCTAGTGGTCCTTCAATGGCCCCTATTGCCTTCTGAATTCAGTGATCCACTTGGCCTTCTCTTTGCCATCCCTCTTTCCTGTTTTTCCACTCTTTAGCACATTGGCTCATGCCATTTTTTTGTCTTAATTATTTTCTTTGTTTACTTCTACCTTCCCTTATCATTCAGATAGTTGGAGAAAAACAAAACTGTCATGTAAATCCACTTTGGAGACATAACAGAGAAAATAACTTGAGGAATGAGGACAAATAAGGAGAATTAAATCTGGAGAAAAGCAAAGTTAATTTTCATTTCCCTATCCTGAATCTCTGAAAGGAATCGTTTTACCAAGAGAATTGTCTTCTGATATCAGACACTTACCTCAAGCCATTCACGTCTCTACTGCAATGTTCCCTGACTGGTTGTTACTTGTCACTGAGCCAAACAAGGAGGAGGCAAAATAGTCTGGGAAACTGTGGAATAAGGCTGCCAATAGAGACTTTAAACAAAACAAGGAGAGAAATCCAAATACCTAAGCATTAAATCTAAAAAAGCACCTGTCAAGAAATGCTAGAAATGTGCCCAATTTGATCTACTGATCACTTAATATTTCTACTTATGTATTTTGCTCTTTTTTCCTTTTAGCTATATTCACATTTTATTCTAAAATGATATTTTGAATCCAAACTCTCCCACCCTCAGAAACAAAAAGATAATTGAAATAACATAATAAATGCAGCATCTTTTCCATTTCTCCATCTTAAATTTTTTTCCCTTACATTCCAGACATTACAGAACCAAATTACATTTTTGCATATTATATCAAAACAAGTGCAATCAAAATAACCATTTATTTCTCAGCATTTTCATTTCTTTTTTAATGAACTTTCCCTGAGGACATTCTTACAATTGAGTGCTTATTTATCATAAGCAACAGAAGAAATCCTGATTGTTCCAGCTGTGACAGAGAAACTTAGTTTGATAAACATATAGTATATGAAACAAATAATAATAATGATAAGCATTTTGATATCTTGGAATGTGAAGAAACAAAAAGAAATAAAAAGGCTCTGGGTTAAGATGTTTTCTTTTCCATCCTTTTTTGGAATATTTTATTTTTCTTCTGCAGAATCCAATGAAATTATTTTACCAAAATACCAAAGCTCACTATAAATTACTTAAAAAAATAAAATCTTTACTGGTAAAAATACCATGACAAGAACTCTAAAAGGCAAAGCTCTGTTGCTTGAACATTTAGAAGCAGCAGTAACACTTGTAACAGATAGACCACCTTTGTTCATATAACAATTTAATTCATAAACTGGTGGCTCACTTTTATACTGCTATTTAGTATTCATTCTTCCATTCATTCATTTATTTATTCATTCACTGCACATTTCACACTTAGGACGGGTGGGTGGCAAAGTTTTGTCATTATTTAGGTCTCTAAATATAAATTCAAAGACTTTACTCCATCTACATGACATAGTCTGAGGTTCACTAATATCAGCTGGAAACTATTTATTATATCAATTATACTAGTTTCCAAAAATGATAAGCAATAATGCAGTCAGTTAATGTGTATAATAGCTACTATACAATTTCAGTTTAGAATGAAGACAAGATAATCTTTTCCTGCTACTTTGTCTATATCCTTTTGGTGCTTTGAAATATATAACATCAAAACATACTATCCTTCTCCTTTGGTGATTTGTGTGTGTATATGTGTACGTGTATGTGTATGTGTATGTGTGTGTCATAAAATAGTCAAAATGGCATCTGAAATTCATTCATCTCTATGAAGATATATATTAGATTTTGCATTTCCTTTAATAATTTCTCTCACTTCTACTTCCCCTTCACCTTACTGAAACCTCAATTTGCTTTTTTAATAAGAATACAACAAGAGAAAAAGCTGCATAAATGCTCTCTGGATAAAGGAGAGCATAATTAACGAACTGCCTAACTTACTAAATACACAAAGTACAGACAAGCATTGGCAGTTCTGTTCTGCTTTTAAGGTAAGTAGAGAGACTGGATTGCAGTAGAGATAACAGAGGTACAATTCTTCACTCTGGAAGGATAACGTATTTTAAAACATAGTTTTACTTTGTGGGATTCGGTATAATGAAGATCTCGCTGAAAGATATAACTTACATGGGAAAAAGCATCAGATCTTCTTTAACTATTTAAAGAAATCAAGAGTCACTTAAAAATTATTTACAGGTGGATTAAAGAGCTAAATGTAAATGGCAAAATTATAATATCCTTAGAAGATGATAAAAAGACTACCTCTATGAGCACAGGGAAAGAAACGAAACAGAACAATTTTCATAGAATAACCCAAAGAGGGAACATCAAAGAAACGATTCATTTAAATAAAGAACTTTCATTTGTAAACAACCAAAACACCATAAAAAGAAAAAAAAAAAAACATAAATTTCCAATTGGGAAAAGATATTGTTAACATATAAAATTGAACATATGTAACTGTTCAAATATATTTTTAATACTCCTAGAAAATAACCTAAGAAATTGCCAACAGACTTGAACATATAATTCACATAAGAGAAAACCCAAAGGACCAATAAAAATATAAAAGCATGCTCCATCTAATTACTATATGGGAAATGCAGATTTAAATCCACCAGAATAGCTTGAAGGAGAAAGTCTGATCACATCAAGTATTGCCAAGAACTAATGGAACAACTAATGAACACCTAAGTGTTGCTCTAGATACTGTCTTGCACAGGTGCACCCAGACAAAGATGCAGGGATATTCAGAGTAACAATATTGTTGGTAATGGCAAGAGCTGGAAACAACTCATGTGCACATCAACTGTAGAATGAAACACATTTACAGTTGTCAATAAAAGTGAAGCTAAATACATGATGTTGAGCAAAGCAACGTGCTCTGGGAGGATAGATAGTGTATAATTAAAATGGTATTACATTCAAAAGGCTGCCAAATGAAACAATGTGTCATATTGGAATCTAAATAAAGATGAAAACACTAAAGAAAATGGTAGATCTTTCCACAAAATGACAACCTCCCTAGGGAAGGAGCAGGGTGTGATGAGACAAGGGCATGGAGTGGCATCTAAGTTCCCCGTAATGCTCTATTTCTTAATCTAAGTTGTGGGCACACGAGCATTTTGTTTATTATCTTAAAAATGGTACACACATATTTCATTTACTCCTTATACATTGTAATTAATGAAAGCAAAATAAAAGCCAAACCAAAAATGAGTAGAGTTATTAGATGACACAAATAGGAGTTCATTGCCTTGGAATTTCTGAACAGACATCTCAAAAACTGTCATGCAATGGTCCATAATTGCCACGTTTTATCTCAACAAGAAATGATTCGAGAGATTATCAAAAATATAACCCACAGTAGTAGCCATTATAGCTATTGTTATGCATCTGGATTCCCTAAGATCACTTTTTCCATTTTCATGAACCCTTAGTTTCACCCCAACATGTTTTGTTTCCAGTGTCCTCTTCCTGTGATGTCCTTGCAGTGATGCCTCTTGGTGTTAGAAAGCCACTCTACCCAAAGTCATGAGTAGTCCGCCTGCCCAAGGTCCTCAGCCAATCAATGACTGACTGGCGCTGGGTTATGAAAGCTCAGCTCTTCTGCTTTAAAAGCAGAGGTTTCCTATGTGATCAGGCTGTGGATGGGGTTTTACCACTGGTTGGTTCCGTCTCATTTCCTTTCCTCATTTCTCCACTCTTTAGGCTCACTTGCACACTAATCTTCGTCTCAGAATCTGCTTCTGTGGATCCCAAACTCACACACGCATAATATTGCTGACGATTCAGAATTCATTCATGTCTTCTTTTGTGTTAGAAAACCATTACTTGGTCTGTAGTTTAAGTTTGTTTTTGATTGTTTGTTTATGGTTTTCTTTTTTTGTTGTTGCGGGGTGCTTCTTAACAGGCAATAATTTCTGGGTTAAATCTAAAACAACGGCAATTTTAGGTTTCTGTTTTTTCTAAACAATAATAGTTTATATGGGCTCAATATACTTTTAGATGTAACTATTTGAAATGCTAATTCCATCATAACATTTTAAAATTTGATGTGAAGTAGAATACCCAGAGGAGAATCAGATAATATTACTAAAGATGGAATTATCTCTGTCCCTGATGTCTTCATTGCTTTGGGTACAATATGCATTTTGGCCACTCCTTCTATATTTCCTCAGCTTCTTTATTTTTGCCTTTCCTGAGGAATCATCAATCATAAGTGTATATGAAATTTAACAACTGAATAATACTTTGCCATACAAGAGGAAGCATAGATCTATGGTTTCATAACTAATCCCACTTCTGGGATAAATAATGTGGGGTTTGTGACTAGAGGCATGACTGCCATTCAGAACTTCTTACTCCATATTCCTTTTCACAGAGAGACGTGTGTGGACTTAGGGAAATTAGTGAAAATTTAAAAAATAGCCTCCTGGGTTTCAATTGACTCTGGTCCTTACCCCCTCTGAAATATTTTTTTAAATATAATAAGAATATTGTATTAGTCTGCTAGGGTTGCCATAACAAAGTACCATAAACTGAGTGGCTTAACAACAGAAATGTATTGCCTTACTAGAAATTCAAAATTAAGATATTGGCAGGGTTTGGGTTGCTTCTAAGGACTTTGAAGGAAGGATCTCTTCCAATCCTCCTTCTTTTCTTGTAGATGGCTGTCTTTTCAGTGTGTCTCTTCACATTGTCTTCCCTGCATGCTTGTCTCTGTGTCCATGCTTTCCCTTTTTATCAAGACGCCAGTCATATGGAATTAGAGCCCTCCTTCATGATCCCTTTTTAACTTAATAACATCTCTAAAGACCCTGTTGCAAATAAGGTTGCATTTCAGTAGCGATGGGTTTGAACTTTAAATCTATCTATCTATCTATCTATCTATCTATCTATCTATCTATCTATCTATTTATTTATATTTACATATATGTGTGTGTGTGTGTGTGTGTGTGTATTTTGCGGGGATACCATTCAACCAATAACAAATATTAACTATAGATACTGTAATGTTTTAAAATTAATTAAGTGTTGTGAGCTGTTTCATTTTATTGTATTTTTTTAAATCCCTCTCATAGGGCTGAAATCAGGTCCAGAGGCATACTCTAAGTCCCCTGCCCTCATACATAGTAGTGCAGGTGTAAAACCCCAACATTTTATGAGACGCTAAGATCAGAAATCTTCATTTCCACTCCAAAGCAGAATAAGGTTATATATATATTAATGAATCCAGGAATTGCTGTCTTGGGACAATTTACTCTGCCTTTGATGGAAATCTCCAAAAAAAGAAGATAGATATTTTTAATCAGAAAATATTTTATTTACAGTCATAATCAACTAATGCTTCCTTGTTTTATTCCCACTTTTAGACTTAAAAGGAGAATAGATGGAATTTCCAGCTGCATCTCAATATTACTACTGCTCTTATTCTCTAAAAGAGAATGACTAAACCTATATGAATGACTATGGAAGATGAATTGTCAACATTTTATTACAGACTTGAGGCTCATTATTTTCTATCCTTGTTTCTAGAGGAGGTAGATGAGATATTGGAAAAGAAGTTAACATAAACTCAAACTAAGCCTACTCTAATACTCACCCCTGACAAAATTATACTCAATGAATTTTGCTGTTTGTTTTTGTTTAAGACTAAGAAGTTTTAACTGTGAATACATACCCATTCTTATATGTAGATTCTGTCTTGTGAAACTTCAAAATCTCCTGTGTGTAGGATTGTGGTTCTCTTTCTGCCCTTCTTTGTTCATCTATAAATTGAGAGAGAAATATTTAGGTCGTTATTTCCCTTCCAGCTTTCAAAGCTAATGGTTCTATTCCCAGGGAAGTAGTATTTACCCATATACCTTCTGAAGTCAGGGCCAATAGATGCCCATTTTGCTACTTTAATGCCTGAAAAGAAGGAAAGAAATATCTAGGTAACACTAACAATTGCACTTCTATAACTGTGTTTCTGCTTCCTCTTTTGACTTCTGGCAAAAAGAAACCAGGAGCAACTAGCCAGGATGCAGAGGGGTTTTTTAAATCAACTGTAAGTGAATGGTCAGTTACTGGGATGGCTCATATGCAGTAATTCTAGGAGAAGAGGGGATTGACTAAATGACCTTTTAAGGATGATTCCAAGTCTATGACTCAATAATAATACTTATCAACCTGTTCTTGTCTTCAGGTACTAAAATGGGAGTGGGAAGGGCAGTCTATTATTAGCTGCAAGCTTCTGATTAATCTTTTAAGCTAAGGGAGCTTGTGTTTCAGCCAAGATGTGAAGCTGTCTCCTGACGTGAGGCCATTAACATGACAGGAATGAGACAAGGTTATCATTAAGGAGACATTAGGCCCTGATGACCATAGTGAAGTCAAGAATAGCTGGCTGGCTGGCCAGGCAAAGCTGGCTAAGAGCTAACACAAGGTCACTATAAGCAATGCCAAGCCATATGTTCAAATTGAGGATAGCTATATATCTCGTCTTTTGTCACCCTCTAGAGGATTCCAGTCAGCAAATGAATGAAAACGTATTTCCATGAGAGTGATATAAACTATGGGTTCAACATTGTATTCCAATATTACGTGGATGTATATGTGCACGCATGTCTGGTCATATGCTCGTGCATATAGGTGTACATATGTGTGTATTCTGGCCAATATCTATAAAACCAAGAGTTAATCTTTGGCTTTTAAAAATACATTAGCAACTGAAAGCATGTACCTGCTTAAAAAAATATGCCCTTTCTTAAATTATGCTTTTTCCTATATAAAGAGATTAGAACTAAAATTTTCAAATGTGTACGTGGTTTGGACATCTTAGGTTTCTATCCAAGGCTCATTCTCCATCAATCTTATAGAATAATTAATCATTTAGTGGTTAAAGAATGTGATGTCAACTAATAATTCAAAACAGAACTAAAAAGAAGCCTAGTGGATTAATTTAAAAAGATCAATGGAGCAGTTAAATGTAGTTTATTCCTCTTCTTTTGTTTTCTTTCCTTTTAGTCAAAATAGGCTGCTATAGCTATTGCTACATAAAGAGTAAGTGGCCTGGTAAAAATAATTAAGATAAATATTTTGAAATATCTTTAGTATTAACAAATTCTAAGACTTACATGTGGCTTTGGTCAACAGTCTTGGTTTCTCTACATGTAAAATAGGGATAATAATGACATTCCATCTGGTTGCCATTATAATCAAAGGCAACAACGTGGGTGAAAGTGTTTTGGAAATCTGACTAGGTTGTATATATTGCTGTTGATATTATTGCGTTTTTGTCATTGTCATTGTAACTAACATGAGAATGGGTACCATACCCGCAGTTCTAAGAACTATATCTAATAAAATGGTTGGTACATAGTAGATACATAACAAATGTTGAATTGTTTGATGAGTTAGTGTATATTGATGTAGTTATGAATTATATAAACATATATCCCTATATGTAGCATAAAACTGTCAATATAATAATTATAAATATAATACAGCTATAAATAAACATTTCACACACATATGTGACTTTCAAATATAAACCACAGGTAGTTTACACTTCTTTGCATTTATCTTACTACTATTATATTTATTTTAAACTCTAACATTCATTTGTCCATGTATTCATACATCCTACAAACAGAAAAGCAGATCTGGAAATAAGGTACCTGATTTCACATTTGTATTAGTCCGTTTTCATACTGCTGATTAAAGACATACCCGAGACTGGGTAACTTACAAAGAAAGAAAAAGAGATTCAATGGCCTCACAGTTCCACGTGGCTGGGGAGGCCTCATAATCATTGCCGAAGGCAAAAGGCACATCTTATGGCAAGCAAGAGAGAGAATGAGGACCAAGTGAAAGGAGTTTCCCCTTATAAAACCATCAGTTCTTGTGAGACTTATTTACTACCACCAGAACAGGATCGGGGAAACCGCACAATGATTCAATTATCTCCCACCAGGTCCCTCCCACAACACATGGGAATTATGGGAGCTACAATCCAAGATGAGATTTCGGTGGGGACACAGCCAAACCATATCAACACTTTACTTAATAACTTTCCCTCTATAAATACCTATTTTCTTATTTCTCACAAGAATAGTAGAAAACCCATTTCTGTTTATGATGCAGGAGTTGAGAGTACAATTTATTTGTCACAGTAGTGCCTCAATATAGGATCTCTAATCCTGAACCATTCATTTAGCCCCCTGCTTCAAAGGGTTCTCTTCCTCCAAACACATACCAACAATCCAGTTAGATTAAAAACCTATTGAACTTCCTCTCATTTTCTTTGGTCCCTGAATGAAATTTAAATCTCCTTGGTCCTTCCCTTTGTCATCTGTCCCACAGCAGCAATAACTTCTTCAGACTTATTTTAAGATTTAGATTCAGTGGGAGTAGGTAACAGAATTAGGAAAAGGTGAATGACACAGAAATAGGATAATGGGCCTATCACCTGCATGATTTGCCTTCTGTACCTTTTTACATGAACCATCTGCAAAACTGTAGAGAGCTGCTCCAGCAATTTCAAGGTCTAGATTATGTCACCCATAAGTATTTGCCCCTCTGATAGAAATATCAGTATTTCTGCAATGACTTCAACAGAAAAACAGGACAGGAATGAAAAGACAATAGACTTTAAAAACTACTTTGACATTGCAAGGTTGTTCAGTTCATAAAACAAACTTTAATGTGTAGAAGGAGTTGCATTTATCATTTTGCTCTTTTTATTTCTAATATTTACTCACTTTACTCATACTCTGTACAAATATATATTAAAATTTATAAATGTATGCACTAAAATTTATTAGTATTATGCATTAATAAATACTAAAAATCAAGATAAATTACTAGAAGTCGTATGCATTCTGATTCATGTACCCTAAAATATAAACACATACATGTATATATATAAATGTTATAGCTTGTGTGAATCAAAATGATCCAGTACTTGCTAATTTATCTTATTATTTAATATTCATTAATACATATTTTATTCCTCTAAATGCTGGGAGCTAACTGATTGTTGTATCTTCAGAGAGCACTGGAGTCAGTTCCATAACCAGAAAGCAAAGAGTGTGACATTTATTCATCGGACTCTGAAATGGATCTGTAGCATTATGGAATTAAATAAAGCCATGGTATCCAGAGGTGTAAAAAACAAAAACTGAGTGGCAGACACAGTGGCTTAGGAGAACTTAACGGTACCATCTTTTTTTATTACCTTTGCTCTGGTGTCAAGGGTAAGTTAACCTTCTTTTTAAACTCTTTACCTTCACTTCAGTGTCTTCCTCCTATCCTGGGCAGCCAGCACTCTCCTTTTGCCTATTGTCTCTTGTAAAAGGAAATTGATCTAATAAACATATTCATACTTATTTAATGTGATATTTGTTTCAGTATTATTTGCATTCTAATGAAGACAGTGGGAGAGGGCAACACTTAACACAGATAAAGAAAACATTAATAGTGGGACTGTAAGCATAGTGTAGAGAACATAGTGTAGTGTAACATTTCAGACTGGGAGGCCATGACAATACCACTCAGCTCATACAAATTCAAAAACCACTATAGTGCCTAGACATAAGACCAACCTGGAGAAAAAGGCAACGTTATCTCTAGTATTCTACTGGTGTGCATGTGGGTGTGTAGGAGATGTCATAGCAAGTAGCCTTACTAGAAAGCCCTTCTGTTTCTAGTACGCATAAGAGATGAAGTTAAATGAGCATTGCTCAGGTGTCTAGTCGGAGAAGACAGTCAGCATTCCTCATTCCTAAAACCATCATTCTGCTTTTATGCTGATAAACATAGTAACATTCAAAGAGGTTGCTGTTTGGGCAAGCTATAGTTAATTCACAAATCAGATAAAGGTCTATTCTGTGGACTAACTGCTGGGACTTATAACTTCAGTTTCATTGTTTATGTGTTTATTGTCTCAGACTCCAATTTCTGAGCTTACTCAGTAATATGGCATCACTATTTCCTTTGTTCCTAAGTACATAATTCTGATCCAGAATAAGTCTTTAAAAATAATATCTAACAGCTGAGACCTCACACTTTATAATTTAAAATTCTCAAGTAAAGCTGTAATAATGCCAGTGATGCTGATGCTGGTGATGATAATAGTGATGAAGTATAATAAGTATTTTATGTTTACTGTGAAATCAGGGAATGTGATAAGAATTTGATAGACATCACTTGTATTAATCCTCACAGCACCTCTAATACAGTGAGTGGTATGGCTACATCCAATTCATAATCTCTTCAAAAACCATAGTTATAATAATGACTTTAATATTTTTATTTATAGATGAATGCTTACAAACCATTGTCATTTTCTCGTTAGATCTTCACCACATATCTAGGTCTCTATGTAACTAGTAATATAGAGAAAGGAGAATAATTTGTTCTTGCCTCTCCTTAGCTTCAGAAACAGTGACAGTTCCTAACTCCTTTACATAAGAATAATTTGGAGCCTCCAAAGACTCTAGATAATTGTACCTATTCAGTTTCCATTTCTCCGGCAAATTCCATTGTATTGTTATCCCCACAATTGAGAAATAGCATGAGATTGGACAGAGAGCATTTGCATCAGAACACATAGAATAAGCTCATCTTCTGCATCTTATTAGTTCTGCAATTAACTCAGAGGTCATCTATAAGCTGCCTGCCCACATCTTGAAAGTATCATATACAATATGTAAAAGCATTTTCTAACTCTAAAGCTCTATAAAAAATTTGACACATCTTATAGTATATATGCTATGGATGTGGTTGATACATACTTTGGAAGGTCAATTTATAAATGTTCTGTATGCTATGAATATTTGTGTACAGCCACAATATAAATGAATAGTAAATTATGTACTAAAAATGACAGTCGCTTAGCAGTAGTGATATTGTCATGCAAGAATCCCAGATACGCATGTCCTGAGAGACAACCAACTTGTCTTTGTGTGATACCCTATCATACTACTATTGTAACATATATGAAAGCCCAGTGCTCTTTTACTTCTATGTAAAAGTAAATGATATAAGTGATCAGTATCATGTGAGGTGTGGGTGCACATGGCCACCATATTTCTACAGGTAAATTAATGTCTTGTGTTTTAAAATAGTACTGGCGCCTGCTATGAAAAGTAAGTGGATGCTCTAGCTTTGTATCTCTATCACCGTACATGTTTTCGCACTTCTTTTTACCAAGATGTTTTAATGTGTTAGTCATCAAAATGATACTTAGAGGTATTCCAATATATAAAATCATTTTACATTGGACACAATTTATGGAGAAAATGGTATTTTATTTACAGTAAAAAAAATTACATAGGCACACAGTTGTGATCTTTAAGTATAAGACATTGACAATATTTGAGGCTCAAAAGCTTAAGGAATTTAAGGAGTAAGAAAGAGAGAAGTCAGATAATGTGTGTATGTGAGTTTGGGACATGCACAGGGAGCAAACGAAGAGAGGATAGCTCCTACTTCCAAACTACTGTCCTATTGAGGTCATGTTGATGTAATATAACCTAATCTAAGAGCATATGTGTGAATGGATAGGTGAAGCATGATTAAAAGTTAAAGGACAATGGGGTTATTAGGAAAGGAAAGTGATTACATTTTGTAATATTCACTAAGCCAAAGAAAGCACATCGCTCTCCTTCTTAGGATTGGTTGATGGACTTGAAAAGAACTTGCAAAGCTGAAGGGCGGGACTCACAATGTAATTTAAAATCTTTGTGATTAACAATTTCTCTAACTTTATTGACCTTTGGAACAATAATCATGGCTTTCTCTCCAAGGTAATTTCTTTCTATTTGTCTAATACATCTCTCTCAATAGGCTAAAGGAACTGAGCACCTATTATTGAATCTTATCTATAACTGAAGAATGCAGGGATTGGAAAGATTAAAGGAAGTGGCCTCTGTTCCTAAATTCATTTTAGGAGGAGTGAAATCAGAACTAGTGTATTTCTTTACCTCACGAAGCACACTGAATAAGCAGAATAAAAAACGGAATTTAAAATTTTTTGTCATAAGGCCCAAGATCATTGCTGTATTTATTCACTTGATATGCATACACGTTTCCAAGGCTTTTACCTTTCTGCGCCTTTTCAATTGTATTGTCTCAAAACTCAAGCACTTCCATCACTCCCCTAGCTTAACCTCTGCTGAAATAATAAAGTAAACTCAGGAAACTGCCTTGGCACATGCTGTTTTATTTGGTGTTCTTGAAGGTCATGAGCATTCCGCACTCTCCTTAACCGATTAGACAGATCATATGCACAGTTAATCTCCCCTAATCCCTCCCCTTAGTTAGACCATAGGAGAAAATGCACACACAATAAAGATAATGCTTTTGTACATCTGAGGCTTCTTTCATCTGAGGATCTCAAAGTCCTTGTTACACATGTCAAAAGCTCCCTATCACTCTTTCAAAATGGGTATTACAAGATTAATTTGCAGAAGGGCAAAGGCAGGCACGGAAATGTTAAGAGACTTTCCAAAGAATGTATACTCAGGAAAGACAGAAATAGCATTCTCAAGTTTGGGGTGTCTATGCCCTGAGGGGATAGAGGACATTTCAATACATAGGAAGCTTATCTTTTACAAAATGAGGTCTCACTAAAAAGAAAATGAATTTCTTTATGTTATCATAGGTCATGGGGTTGAATAAAAGACCTCAGACTTGAGGCTTTGCTTTGCTTTTTCTCTTAGTCTCCTGGGTTTTGGCGTGAGGACAACAAGTGAGGCTGCTTCAGCTGTCTCGAAGGTATGTGTATGTGGGGAGTGACACTGAATGAGAATAGCTTTCACTTTTATTCAGAGGACTAAACAGTTGAGTGTCAGGCAGCCAAATTTCTGTTTGTTCCAGTTGTTTAATAAACTATTTTGAGTACTACTTTATTAAGCCTAATAAAAACTGGAAGCTAACATAAATAAAAGTGGCATTGACATAAAAAACAGATGATCCCATAGGACTCTTTTGAAATTATATGTTTGGAACTCAGAACTTATGTTCCCATTGAAACCATGTTTAAAAAGTTAGATTCCCAGACCATCCGTTTAAACTTATATCAGTAATGAGGTTGAATTACTATCCTATCCATTACGGATTAACATTTATAAATTATTAAGGTAATGGTTACTTTACGGAAAATAACATTTTAATATTGAACTTTTCCAAAACATTATCCTTCACTAAGGATCCACAGTCAAAGAGACTATGATGAAAACATCAGAATAAGTGATTTTATCTCCTCTTACTCCATACATACTATCTGCAGGAGAAGAACAAAGACAACCCCCAATTCTGAGCCTGTGACTGCAGCATTGATGGAGGAAGGTAGATCTCCATGCAGCACTTTCTTATATGACTCTAGTCATGTAAATGCTCACAAGGAGTATTCTCTAAGCCTGAAAAGGCCAGGGTGTGTGAGAAGTTCCCCCATGCTAGAGAGAACCTCGCCACCTAGACTCAAGACTTCACTGGGACAAGAGAGAATTAAGTGCTCACACTTTATTTCCCCATCCAACCCCTCCATTTTCATAAGCAAAGCATAGAAATGGGTTTTTAATAAATATCAGCTTCTTTCCAGCCTATGTTTCTGTACACATTGCTTCTCTAGTGTTTAGCACTCAATGTTCACCAAGGACTCCTATTTTTGCATTCTATCTGGTTAGCTTGTCTAAGTACAGCTAGAGCTGGTGCCTGTTCCTAAACTTTAGTTGGAATGTGGGTCCCCTGGTACTATGATGAGCTTCTCCAGCCCTCCTTCATATGACTGTTTTCTCCATTTCAGCTCCTATGCGTTCTCTACCAGACTGAGTTGCCTATAATAAGTACACCTTAACTAGGAACACCTTTTTGAATACTGTGCCCTTGCCCACTTAATTGCTATCCAGAACAACATCGAGTTGGGCCAATTTATTTTCTCTTTGGCATCATTACAGAGTCCAAGTCTTCTCAGATGCTAACTTGCTCCTTTTCCCTAACAGCCCATATGGATGAAAAATCCGAGCACTTCATACAATGGAAACTTACTATACCATGCACTGAGATCACCAGGCTTTGCACATTACATGTCTACGGCATTTTCTGTCTGCCAGGGACTTATAAAATATTCGGGACATTACCCTATGTTGTCTTCCAATGGTGGGATGTGTAGGGAAGCAGCTGCAGCTTTTTTTGTAAAATAGTGAAGGAAACAGACCAAAAACGACCAAAACAACAAAACAAAACATACACACACACATTATTGAACACATAAGTGTGTAATGAGGATTGTGATGAAGAAAAATCTATGAAGAAAAATTTAAGGGTATTAGGAGATTATATCACTGCAGAATTGACCCGAGGTATCTTCTGAGTTGGAGAACTAATGGAAATGAATGAGCAGATAAAGCAGGAGTGAATCTGGATGTGCTGCCATTTATATAACCCATCTCCTATTGGAAGACATGTGCGTTATTTATTGTTCCTTGCTATTATAAACAATTCTGAATTGAATAGCTTCCATATATCACTTTGCCAAAGTATGTAAAGATCTGTATAGTGAAAGTTAAGTTGTTAGGTCAAAGGGCATACATATTTTTTAAAAATTAATAGAAGGTCTTGGGGAGCTCACAATGGCCTGTGAAGAAGTTATAGAACTTCAATGTAAATATTGCTTAATTATTGACCAGTTGGGTATACTGTAACTAGATATGGATGTGAAGAGATTTTGCTTGGTTGTTTTTGTTGTTTTTTTTTTAATCCACATTTGTTTGGCTTTGAGTATTTAGCACATTTTTCATGGTAATCAGTTCAAAGTATGTTCTGTGTGCTCTGATTGTCCTCCTAATATGTGGTGAATACCTGAGACAAAAAAAATCTAAGGCCGGGCGCGGTGGCTCACACCTGTAATCCCAGCACTTTGGGAGGCCAAGATGGGTGGATCACGAGGTCAAGAGATTGAGACCACCCTGGCCAATATGGTGAAACCCCATCTCTACTAGAAATACAAAAATTAGCTGGGCGTGGTGGCACGCGCCTGTAGTCTCAGCTACTGGGAAAGCTGAGGCAGGAGAATCTCTTGAACCTAGGAGGCGGAGGTTGCGGTGAGCTGAGATGGTGCCTCTGCACTCCAGCCTGAGCAACAAAGAGAGACTCCATCTCAAAAAAATAAAAAATAAAATAATAATTTAAAAAATCGATACCACCCACTAGATTTGTAGACTTGTAAAATCAATTTAACTTGCATTAAAATTGCCCTCATCCAATCTTATATTAACTCTTCTTCCCTCCAAGAGTCATTAATTGTAGATAGTTACTAAATCTATAAGAATACTAATGACTGATTTTTACTCCATTAAAAAATAGATAATTTTTAATTGTGTAACTAATTATATGAATAACTGTTTTTTAAAAAAATCAGACAATACAGAAATAGTATAAAGAAAAAAATGCAAGAGCTAATTTACCTACCATCTTCTGTCATCACTGTTCTTTATAGAGCTGATATATGGGTTATTCAGTTTTGAATCTGAAAACGTCCCTAACATCACTCCCTCCTCCACCCCACTGAAGATTTCAACTGGTTGTGTTTTGTTAGGCAGAGCACCTCCTAAACTAGGACTGAAGATGTTGAAGGCATTTGAAAAATCAGAGCACTTGATATAATGGAGTTTATTATTTCACTTTTCTTCTTGGCAGTTTTTTAAAAAAATATTACTTTGATTGTTTTCACATTATCATAACCTAATGCAAAACATGTCACAGTCATTACCTGAGTTTCAACTATATGTACATCATCCATCAGCTCATCCATCCCGTCTAAAAGTCTTATCACCATAAATTACATTTGAAAACCTAAAGTAGACGTTATTCATCCCCATTATTATTGAACAACAGGGGACGCACATGTTTTTTAAATCAAAATACTCACTCTATATTCACTAATGCCTTCCAATATCTTATGGGATATTCAATTGGCAAATTAGTAATGAAGTTTTTCTAAAAGAAATGATGCCCTTAAAAAATAATTTCAACACAAGCCATTTTTGCAGAGGATAAGCATCTCAATAATGGTCTGATGATCCCTGCACAGCTGGGGGGCGAATCTCTGCCTTTCAGTCTATTCATTTTGACTCCTATGTGTGTTTGGAAATAAAGCATTATTATTCTACCCACTGAATTTATTAAAAATGCAGCTTTACAGATCTTTAAGTTACTTGTAAATCTTCTCCAAGGTTGTTTTCCATCTCTTCTCTTTTCAAGCTCTTTCCTTCCCTCTAGCAAGACCATGGTGCTTCTAAGACAGTAGCATCACCTCCATTGTCATTATGATTTTCATTTTCATCATCATCAATAAAAACAACACCTTATCAAATGGTTCTTCAGTATAGAACAGTGAAATAAGTGCTCTAAGGGATTTTTGATCTAGGTAGAAAGTTTAGCATATAACATGTTCACTTGAGGCTTGGAATTCTGCTAATAAATTTGGAGGAATATTTGTGTAGGACCTTCAAATATTGTCACCTCTATTAAATTTGGAAGACTTCTTCAAACCGATTTATTTCCCTACCATTCATCTTGTTTATCACACTGCTTATTATTGATGTGAACACTGAAGTATTTCAGCTGATATTGATATTTGCTTAATACATGTCCTCAAATGTTGAATATGCTTTCTGTTCAGAATTAGTATGTGTCCTGACTCCATGTGGGACATTAATGCCAATCTGATAGAATACCAAAAGGCAGTTGAGTGTTGTGCTCAATGGCAACTAGCACTGATGCCCTATTGAGATAAGCTATTTCCATAGGTTTATCATCTACCAAGTAAAACCTCTCAATCACTAAGTTAAAAAAGATTACCAGGCAAATAAACATTGTGTAAAATTTACAACATTTTAATATATAGAGATTTAAATAATATATTTATTCTGGTATTCAATGTATCTTTTGACTGGGATAAGTTTTCTTTTCCTAATTTCTCTGATTTCTTGCTATGCAATAATCCAGAACACAGGACATTTAAGTAATTTACCACACATAATCCCCAGATGAGGATTATTGATTTTGAACAAATGATTGAACACAAACTGTTTTATGAAAAATTTAAGTTAATTTTTGAAATTAATTTCATAGTTACTGGCATTTGTTTTAATTGCTCTATAGTTAAAATTAGCTAAGAAATATATATTAACTTCAGAAAGAAATAAAACAGTAAAAATAAGAAAACTGTTTTGAATAAAAAATTGCAACAAATCCCACTGCCAAGCCATTATTTCCTGAGTAATAATCCCAGAGAATTAAATATTCTCTGTTGATTTCCTAGTACGTGCAGTGGTAACAATAATCATAGTGAATCTATGTTGGTGTAACCAGACCCTGTTCTCAGAACTTCACGTGAAGGAATATGTCTCATTGTCATGGCATCATATGAGGCAGATTCAAGTATTATTCGATATAAATGAGGAATCCTACCACAGAGTTGTTAGTAATGCACTCAGGGTCACGGATGTACTAGTACTAAAATGGGTCTAAATCCAGGCTTTTATGGCCGGATGCGGTGGCTCACGCCTGTAATCCCAGCACTTTGGGAGGCCGAGGAGGGTGGATCACGAGGTCAGGAGACCAAGACCATCCTGGCTAACACGGTGAAACCCCGTCTCTACTAAATATACAAAAAATTAGCCGGCCGTAGTGGCGGGCGCCTATATTCCCAGCTACTCGGGAGGCTGAGGCAGGAGAATGTCGTGAACCCAGGGGGCGGAGCTTGCAGTGAGCCGAGATCGCGCTACTGCTCTCCAGCCCGGGCAACACAGGGAGACTCCTTCTCAAAAAAAAAAAAAAAAATCTGGGCATTTAATCACTTTACTAGCTTTTATGAATACACGAGCAATGTTAAACATCCACAGTTTTCACTCCCAGGTCCAAACTCCTGTTTTTGATTGAAGTCTATTTTAGGTAAATTACTTATTGTCACATGAAATATAACTTTTTCTAAAAATTATAATATTTAGAGCCTAATTTCATAGAATAGCTATATGTCATCTATTAAGTTTGTTTCAGAGAGTGTCCATGAATGTTATTCTTCTCAAGTTAGGCAGTCTTTCAGTCTTCACATGTATCACTTCTTGGCTGGATATGGCATTTCAACACCTTGAATCTTTCTTTTTTTTCATTTCTAATTTTTCACGATACAAGAGAGAAATCTGAAGCCAGCCTCAGCACAGAGACAGTTGACTTTTACCAAGTCCTTAAGGCAACTTTCCTATGAGGAATACAGAACCCTGTTGCAGAGACACGTTAGATTGAAACCAACTCAATCAGTGCTAATTTTGGGGGCTCGCAAAACTCATCCAATGAAATTCAGCAGACAAAGGATTTTAACTGAGTTCTCTTCATTATTCCTGGGGGCTCTGCCTTATGCCTGTAAGTGTTGTGTTTCATTATAAATGAGCCACATGAAAATTATTTTTTAAAGCATTAGGGTGTGTAGTTACATTGCTAAAAAAAAATCTTTAGGATTTTTTAAAACTGCCCTGATATTATTAAAATGAAAACTTTCAGGTGCATATAAAATTTCTATTGATTGTATATTAACACATATTCGAAAGAGCCATTACTTACCAAGTTTACACAGAAGATACTGAGCTTGGTAGGAGTTTCAGATTGAACCACAGGCAATTGTTTTGTTTGTTTGTTTGCCTGTTTTTTATCTTGTTTGTTTCCTGTAAGTAAAAAGTTGAAAGCTGATAATTTTCTATAGTTTAACCTGATAGGTTAAATGATTCTAAAGCAGCACAAATTAATTATTAGTAGAAGAACTTGAATTATATTTCCAAGTTGGCCCTATATTATTAATCGTCTCATTAAGAGAATATAGGACTGTCTTCTATTTGGAGCCATCACAGATTTTCATGTAATTGGGAATATATGGCATTTTGTTCTTTGAATATACATGTAAGATTCTATCTTCACCTTTTTGATCCCATTATTTCACTAGGGTATGTTTAGATCCTGTGACTTAATTTTACTTGGTATACATTTAAATCTTTCCATCCATAGGAGCAAGTCCTCTGTCAGTTAAATTATTAGTTCTTCTACCATATTTGTGATTACTTTTTCTGTTTCGTTTGGCTTATTCTCTTTGGGAGCACCAGTTTTCCCAAGATAACCTCCACTGGTATGCTTCATATTTGTCATCTTTCTTTTTTCTTTCACCTACCTCGCTGTTCTTCTCTTCTGTGATTAGAGTGTCCTCAAGCCTGTCTTCACATAATTTATTTGGTTTCTGCTATTTCAATTCTGATCGTGACTTCTCAATGCACCTTTTCTGTCTGCACTGTGATTATCTGCTTGGATTATGTGCTTGGATTCATCTTTCAAGTTAGCCACGCCCCTCATCATGAGCCTATTCTTTTATCATCCCATTATTCAGTACATTTTTTAAGAACAAAGCAATTGCTATCTACAAATATCTCTTCTTTTCTTGTTTTTGTTATCTGCAGTCATTTTAACTGTTTCACAGTATGATTTTTTCAAAATATTATGTCCAAAAAATTTTTTTTCTACTCTGTGTGGAGGCGGTGGAGAGTTGTAGTCTGGTTCTGGAATGCACTATGGTAAGTGGTCAAGTGTTTTGTTTTTTGTTTTCTTTGTAGAGGTGGGGGTCACCCTATATTGCTCAGGTTGTCTTGAACTCCTGGGCTCAAGTGATTCTCCCACCTCAGCCTCCCAATGTGCTGGGATTACAGGCATGAGCCACCATGCTTAGTCTCTGAGTTGCCAATTTGTAAAATATTTCAATACCTTTAAATTTCTGATTGTGGAGTCTCATCCTGGCTGAGCTATGGTTAAAATATCATCATAAAAAAGTCTCCTGTTAGTACAATCCCATGCTTTCCCACAGCTTATCTTCCACTAGGTTTCAGGTACTACTAATCAATACAGGCATGGGAAAGGTGGAGGAATCTATAGGGAAGAGGTTTTCTAAGGGGCAGACTCATGTCTCCCATTGTCTACTCATGCCGTCAGCCCTTATCACTAATTTTCATTACTAAGATTCACTTATAGAGGAATGGCCCTGTGTATGCCCTGCCATCTTCCTTTGATTTGGTCTCATCACATGACACACGCAAAGATTTAGATCTGGTGTTGGTAAACACCTGTCCCCACTCTCCACTCTTCTCTTTGGTGATTTAGGTAAGGCCTGAGAAAAGAGTGTGGAGGTTTACTCCTACTACTGCCTTCTCAAAACACCCAGGTATTTCTAACTTAAAAAAATGCCAAAGTCTATGGAGGAATTAAAGTCATTTTTTTTTCTTCTCAGAAAGGTGGAGATGGTTTAATAGCTATAACTCATCATACCAAGAAGTAGAAACTTTCTTAAATTTGGTTCATGTAACATAACAAAAAGCTGTCAACTTCTGTTAAAGGCAAACCTTTCCAGGAAAATTTTATACTCACCTGAAATTACTAACTTCATTTTCATGCTGCAGAGAGATACCAGGTTTTTAACTAGAAACCACATCTTCCAGATTACAGCATATGCTGCTGGGGCACTGGCAGGCTGGCTGGGAGGGTGACGTCTGTCACAGAAAGGAGCCCAGACTC
Organism: Homo sapiens; assembly: GCF_000001405.40. Taxonomy (NCBI): domain Eukaryota; kingdom Metazoa; phylum Chordata; class Mammalia; order Primates; family Hominidae; genus Homo; species Homo sapiens. The sequence goes on along the minus strand of NC_000018.10, from coordinate 40,423,471 downwards.
TCACTTGGGCTGGACTCTTCTTTTCCGGTATCAACTGCTGTTCAATTGGATGCCATTTTATCCTTGTCCTTTAGAAAATGATTGTGCACTTTTCTCCTGTCTCAGAAACACCTATGAGATGATCTTGTTAATGCAATTCTCAATTTCACAATGTAATACAATATGGCTGGTGTGATGTTGTTCATGTTTTGGCTGAATATGCAACATTACCAGTTGAAAAAAATATAACTAGAAATTATTCTTCAAAAGAAGCTTTCTCAGCCTCTCTTAAAAACTGGCACAAATGCAGATCTGCCAAAATCCTGGGAGTTGGAAGGCTTGGCATTTTCTAAGCATTTGAGAAACAGAAAAACACTGAAATTGAGATGCAGTAACCACAAAAACAACAGCAGAAGGCACTAATAAGGCTAATGACTTATATTTAACTTGTTATGACTTGTGTAGCTGGATTTAATTGAACACATACTATATGCCTAGCTTCTACAGAGATAAGGATGGGATAGATTACTCAAGAATGCAGGAAATATAAATGATAATTTTTGTCTTCCAAAGCTTATGATACAGTTGGTGAAATAAAATATTTATTTGGATTAACTAGAAAATGATAAGCACTCCCTGGAAGTATGCTTTGTGCCTCAAAGCTTGGTAGACAAGCAATTCTGTTTGGAGATGATAAGCATGTTGCCAAGAAATAATTTGACTTATACAGTTAGCACTCAGCATCTCTTAAGTAAAATTGTATAATTTTTGTAAGTAATTATATATTGCCATGTTATATACTGCAAAAGATAATCAGACTATATAATATCTAAAATTATTATTATCATCATCATAGCATACTTTAAAGGAGATTATTGCATAGGTTGATTTATTCAGAAAGACATCATGAAAAAACTTGGATCTAAAGCCATGATAACCAAGTAAGATAATATCAAAGGCAAACTTATATGTTGGAACGAATGGAAGAGGAGATCAAAAGAGTAAATACAATCTCTTTCACTTACTTGCTGTTGTGTTGTTTCTGACCGACTTAGCTCTCTTCCATGACTCGGTTTCCTCATCTGTGATACAGTGACAATAATAATGCCCAAGCCTATTGTGTGAGACTTTCATGGGCATGTTCATGAAAATGCTTAGAAGTCACAAAAACAATTGGGAAACATTTCTTTAATCCATGTCATCAATCTGCAAGGCAAGTGTGTGTGGGAGAGGGGTGTGTTTGTGTCTGTACACACAGGCACCAAGGAGAGAATATACAACCGTAATAATGTATCAACAAGAACAGAGTCACCATTTTGGATTCAGTAGCATGAGTATTTCTCAAGAAAGACTTCTGATCTCTGGAACAAATGAGCAGACATGGGGACATTATGCAGAGAAGGGTCTGGTGGAGGAAAAGGGGATGGACTTTGAAGGTACAGATAAAATTGATCTCTGTGGTCCCTTTCTGTCTTATTTTGATATTCCTTTTTTTTTTCTCCTCATAATAAATTCCCTCACAATGACCTGGCCCCTCTTGAGCCTTGTCACTTCCCATGACCATATTCTGCTCCCTGGAGAGTATCATGTTGGTCTTCTGTCTTGCAGAGAGCTGTTAAGATGCTGCATTTCTTCTCCCGTGTTTCATGTGCTGGTAGCTTTCCTTAAGCTTGAAGAGTAAACTTTCCTTCATGGCACCACAGTTCAGGCACAGAGGTCAGCTAGGGTGTTGGCTATAAAGGGGTAGGGATGGTAGTGAGATTTGGAGAGACAGTGGGCATGTCTATGCCTTCCCAGTGTTTCTGACACCCATCTAGGCCTGTTTTGCTTTTTCTAAACTGCAGCCATCCTTTCTTTCAAGGAGATAGAGAGCCCTACAGAGAGAAATAAGAGGGAGGAGAACATTCAGGTTCTGTTGGCATAAAAAACCATAAACACCAATCTCTGCTGCCCCTGCAGGCCCTGAAGGCTCATGGAGCAAGGTGGCAGAAGAATTTTCTCAAACGTTTCCTTGCTCTTGTTTTCCTCTATGCCTATGGCTCTCAATTTATCTTCTCATTCCTTCCTGTCAAAAACTATTGTTTTTATTTCTTCACTGCATTGTCCTCTCTTTGTCCTAGGCTTTCAGTCTTGAATCTATGTAATTTTTTTTAATAGCTTGAGCTAATTGGGTTTTCCAGTATGTCTGGTACTTTGGTCTTTCTTTGGTATGCCTTTTCCTAGAATATTGAACAAGAGAGCCAGCATATGAAGTTATTTTAACCTGACTTGTATTCTGCAATGTAAAATTGTGCCATAATTGAAGTGGAATTACATATGGTGAGATTCAGTGGTAATGGTCAGATCATGTTAGTCTCCTGTGAGTGAGGGCTTCTCTAGGACTTGGGATGTAGAGAGCCTCTTTTCCTCTAAGACCAGATTAAAGATCCAATGCTAGGGGTGGAAACTGGGGGCTGGCAAATACCAGGAACAGAGGCAGGAGGCTGGCATAGAGTTTTTCCAGATTATCCTTTCCTTTTCTCTGGATATCCTTAGGGCTCTTTTCTCATTCACTTAGCTCTCTGTTTTTATGGCAGTATTCATGAATTGCTGTATTCCTCTGTCTCCACCCCACCCTCAACCCAGATGGCACCCTTTTTGAAGACAAGATATTTGACACTGAGATTTGTTACCCTCAGTGCACTTGGCACATAGTCTATCACACAACGGTTGAAACATTCTTTAAATGAATGAGTGAGTTACAGCAATTCTACTGCAAAGTTAGGCATAAATGCAAGATGAAGGGACATAGCTCAAGCATCAGGGTCATATGTATTGCCTCATCTCCTGGAATACTTTATTCTCTATTACTTATAACACAGAATCAGCAGTTTATTTCAGTTTAAGAAACACTTATCATGACAAGTACTCCAGTAGGTTACAAAGAAACAAAAGAAAACAAAATATGTTGCTTTTCCAGAAGGCAGTTATACTGTACATGGTACTACAAAAAAGGAATTGCACAAAATGATAGAATATAACGCATGAAATAAGAGAAACTTATGAAGTGTCTTGAGTAACACAGAAGATGTGTGGTCTATCTCTGGAGACTGGTCAGAGAAGAGGGACTCCCAGAATCAAATTTTTAAGAATGAACATGAATTTTCCAAGTCTAAGAATGAAAAAAGAAATGTGTTATATGTTAACCAATAGGAACTGTGTGTGTGCCTGTATATGAGTGTGTGTATGTCCATGTACAAATGTGTGTGCATGACTATATTTGAGTGAGATGTGTGTATGTGTGTTCATGCAAGTGCATAGCTGTTTGTGAATGTATGTGCATCTGTGAGTGTACATGTTAGTATATGAATGTGTGTAAAAGTACATGTGTATAACATGCATGTTCATGTATGACATTGTGGGGAAAGTATTTGTAGTGGTAGAGTGGTGATTGTACTAGTTGGTAGATAGCCTGCAGGGTTGGAAAGTTTCTCAGCCATAGCTCTCACTTGTAGAAGTGGTCTGAAGAGGCCGTCACCTAAGAGGTTAGATTAAACTAAGAGTTGATATTAAACTAAGAGGTGAGATTAAACTGGAAGTCAGGAAGCACGGATGTTAGCTCTAAATCTCCTGCATAACCTTGGTGACCTTGGAAAAGACTCCCTGGGCCTTGTATTCCAATATGCTTGATAAAGGTATATGGTTAAATAATGGCAAGCTGATGGCTGAAGTTCTTTTGTAATGTAATTTCTGTGATTTTCCCAAAATCAAAACTCTCTAAGATGCTGTTCTCCTCCTGACATAGATACTGCCTGTGACCTTTAATTTTATGTGACAACTTGACTGGCCTAAGGGATACCTAGGTAGCTAATAAAATATTATTTCTGGATATGTCTGTGAGGAGGTTTCCAGAAGAAATTAGCATTTGAATTAAGTAGGCTGAGATCTTTCTCTTAAGAATGTGGGGGCCAGGCGTCGTGTCTCACTCCTGTAATCCCAGCAATTTGGGAGACTGAGGCAGACAGATCAATGAGCTAAGGAGATTGACACCATCCTGACTAACAGAGTGAAACCCCGTCTCTACTAAAAATACAAAAAATTAGCCAGGTGTGATCGTGGGCGCCTGTAGTCCCAGCTACTTGGGAGGCTGGGGCAGGAGAATCGCTTGAACCCAGGATCAAGTGGTGCGAGCCAAGATCGCACCACTGCACTCCAGCCTGGGTGACAGAGCAAGACTCCATCAAAAAAAAAAAAAAAAGAATGTGGATGGGCATCACCCAATTCATCAGGACCTAAACAGAACAAAAAGGCACAGGAAAGGTGACTTTGTTCCCTTTTCTTGAGCTAGGACATCCATCTTTACCTTCCCTCACACATCAGCACTCATGGACCAGGGGCCTATGAACTGGAACAGAACTTACATTATTGGCTTCCCTTGTTCTCAGGCCTTCCAACTTAGGCTGAATTACACTACCAGATTTTCTGGGTCTCCAGCTTGCAGACAAGAGATCATAGAAATTCTCAGCCCCTATAATCATGAAGGCCAATTTCTATTGTGTGTGCATTGGCCGGTGGGGGTGGGGTGTCCTATTGGTTCTGTCTCTTGGGAGAATTCTGACTAATGCACTGGCTATTTCACAAAAATTTTATAGAAAGAACAATAATTGTTATTTTAAAATTCAGGCTAGAATAGCAAGAACAAAAGATAAACAGTTTTTGAAAAAAACTGTAGCCATTACCACATTCTCCAAGTGGGTGTAGTATTTATCTTTGGGAAAAGATAGTGCTTTTTTTTTCTGAAAAAGAAATACTTTACTGGGGCTGGGTCTTCATAATACGACTGATAATAGTTAAAGAAATATTATGCTTAGTATGTGCTGGGTAGAGATCCAGGTGCTTTCCATGGCCAACTTGTGTGGCAACATTATAAGTATAATGAATGTAATCTTCATGGTGACAGAGAAGCTAAGTCACATTCTAGTAAATATGACAGCCAGGATTTAAACCTGGGTAGCAACTCTGTAGTGACTCTGCTCCTAACCATTTGGCTATTCTGTGCTGTGCTAGGAGCATGAGATAGTGAACGATAAAGGTCAAGGGTTGTCTTCTTTGTGTAATTCTTTGATGCTTTCCGATTTGGGAATTTTCCCAATGGATTTTAAAGCATATAGCAAAGAGATGCTGAGAAAGGTGTTGAACAACTTGATGGTAGGTGGATTTTGAGGATAACCCAGCTTTCAAGAGTGCTCAGACATCCAGGAGTCACCAGGAGTAGTGTTTCAGAGGGCGACATACAGGGGAAGTTCAGCTGTGCCTGGGTTCTTGGGATATCCAGGAAATGAAACCCACTGCCTGTATACATATAAAATAATATCTTAGATTATGCCTCTTCAATATTAATGAAAAAGAAGGCCTCAGATACTTGAAATCTGAGGACTCAAATATTACATTGAACTTTATTTACTGTATATAAAAATAACATCCCAGGTCTTTCAAAAGAGCAAGAATAGTGCTCCTTGTTAACCAGAAACCTGATCTGAAACACAGCCTCTACTTGGCTCTGAACCTGGTGAGTATAACTCTTCTTACCTACAAACTTTAGCTTGTCCTGGCCATGCTTGTTTGTCTGGCTAAATGCATATGCCATCTGTCTTAGACCTGGTGACTTTCCTTTATTAAAATGATCTGTCTATAACTGTCCTTTCTACTACCTTGTAATGCATTTGAGGAAAGAGCTGTCTGGGCCACCTTTACAGCTCTAGCATTCATATTGTGACTGGCACCTGACAGTAAATATCAATGCAATGTTAATCATCACGAACTGCAGGGAAATTACATTTATGTTTGCAAATACCCCTGAGGGGTAATTCTACAAAGGTGACACAAAGTGAAAATAATTATCTAAGAATCAGAGTAATTTGCATGCTTTCTGGCTGGTAATCTAAGTATACCAAATCTACTGTAATCTTGATGTCTTCCAAGGGAATAAGACATGGAATTATACAATTTTGGAGCTCAATGGGTCCTTACAGTTAATTTGATCTTTTACTTGACAGGTGATGAAACTGATCTGGAGCACTTAAGTGAGATGTCTGTTAACTTTGGCATGACAGAGTCAGATTCTGAATCCAAATCATCTATGTCCTAGCCAATGCCTGACTCACAAGTTCACACAGAAAGATAATTGTGCCTCTTTCACCCTTCATCCTCAATTATAGCATTGTGGATTACTACAAAAAACACAGTTCCACCTCCGTGACTCCCATTTTTCTTCCATCATGTTGCAATGCTCCTCTTCCCTACTTCACAATCAAAAATTCAGGCCACTGCTGAGACTATCCTGTGTTAGAAATAGGCAGTGGCTGTGCATTTAAACAAAGGTCTTTCCAGAATTCTCATTTGGTTCCTGGTTGCTTGGCAAGGCCATCTCTCTTTCTCTTAGTCAGTATCACTCAGCCCATTGACTGGTGTAGGCTCTCATAAACTTCCACTGAGCACCTACCATCATCAAAACAAGGCTGAATTTTTGGGCAATGCTTTAAATGTTCCGAACCTCAATATCCTCATCAATAAAGTAACAGTAATACTTTCCTTACTTTTTTCACAGGTTATGTTCTGGTGACAGTCACAGGACATAAATGACATACTTGGATTTGAAAATTAAAAGGAAAAAGTCCATGTTGTTTTCAATGCTCTTCTTGTTTATACAGTATCTTCTCTGAAATTTAGGTTTCTGAAGTCCAGACTAATACTGAAGTTCCCTTTGGGGTTGATATAGAGACCAACACCCACCTCTATGTGCCTCAGTGAAGACCTAAGTGGCTGGACCAGGCCACTGGGTTAATATTAGGTTGGTGCAAATGTAACTGTGGTTTTTGCAATTACTTTTAATGGCAAAAACCGCCATTACATTTGCACCAACCTGATACTACCCAGAACTAGAGACCTCTTGGCCAAGGTGCAGCCCACACTCCATAGTCCAAGCTGTCATGATAAATCCCACATGGAGATAACAAAGGTAGTTTGACTAGAAAAGCATCTATAATTCCCTATCATTGCTGGAGAAATCTTGAAGAGAAAAATGAAAGAATAAAATAAACCAAAAATGGATTTTTATGAAAACAGAATTGATTAAGTATTCTTCCAAGAGGCTGGATTGTACTTTTTCTTCTTCATAGTAAAATTGTTATATTTCATGTGGATAAGGGAAGAAAATAATTAACTCAAAAATAACTAGGATTTGGAGCATTCTGGAAGCCAGATCCTCAGAAAAATGCTTGAGGGATTGCAGGCATTTAATTTGGAAAACAGAAGTCTTGAGGGACCATGGATATCATCTTCAAATAATTTAAGGGATTTAAAAATGAAAAAAAAAATGTCAATGTTGTTCTAGAATCCAGGACACAGGACTGGTGCAGATACTCGTTTGAGCAGTCTCTCTTGCCTGGCTCCGCTGGCCCAAAGACACAGAACAGGATGTCACCAAAGATGTGCAGAGTCAGCAAAGTAAATGTTACAGAAAGACTGAGATTTGTTTCAATAGACAGGAGAACAAAGGCTTTAGAGGCAAGCAAACCTGAGTTTGAATATCTTTCTCTCACTTAATAGCTGTGTGCCCTTGAGAACATTACTCTAGCACTTTTCAGTTCTCACTCTCAAAATGGGGATAATACTCATTATTCCAGATTGCGAAGATTAAACACAATGATATATATATAAGCTCTTTGCTAAGTTTGACACAAATAGGTACCTATGAAAGGGTAACTGTTATGTTCATCATCTTTCAAGTCATTCAGTGCAAATACAATTGTGTCCTTTGTACTAATGAGAAAACTGGTCTTGGAGCCTGAGTAAATTTTCTATGGTCACACAGGTAGTAAATGATGGGATGGGAACACACATTTTCACCTGTCTGGTGATGGAATCCTGCCCTCTCCAGGATCCCAAGCTGCATCTCGGCTAAGGAAATACTTTCATTAACAAATAAGTCAAAACATTGTGTCTTACTCTCTTGGCCAGACAGGACACACATGTCCTTGTCTCTCTACCCAGAATGATGGAAAGGACACCTCCAGGATGGCTTTTTCAGGACTTCTGGAAGATTGCATCATCAAGTAAGTCCTAGACAGTTCTATATTCAATTAAGTGGATGCATTTTTATTTCATCTAAGGAACCACCCCTTTATAGAAGACTCACACATGATGTATCTGACCTGAAATCATTACCATAAGCTCGTGACTCAGTGTTAACTCTCATTGTGGAGCCACAAACCAGGATTTGATGATTACACCTTTTTCTTTTTTACTAAATTCAATGCGGGGATATTTAAAAGCCTTGCTTCAAAGGGCATCTGAAAAATCTTTAGCTACCCAGTTCAGGACCATCAATCTACCTGCTCCCTCCCTAGTCCCCCGAAAAAACACAGTCTGTCCTCCCCAGCAGCTGTTTGTCAGCATGCAAATATTCCTAAAAGGGGAAACCAGAAATCCCTTGCCCTGAGTGGTATCATAGGTCTCCCCTCCACGCAAGATCTGTGAAGCTGTACCAGGAGAGGAGGGGCCTTTTAAGTAGGGACAAGAATAAAACAAAATAATTTATAAATGAAATATTTTAATTGCAATTTTATTTGCAAATTTCCAAATTGTTCCAATTGCTTTTCAAGCCATTCACTTCTTTTGACTCCCCAAAGCTCTGTCTTTTTTTGTCTTTTCCCTCTCCAGTCTCCCTTCTGCCCCTCTTTCTGTCTCTCTCAGCCTGAAAATTCTGGTTAGCCGTGGTTTAGGGTACACGTTGTGGTTTATCACTGATAACCACACTCCCTGTTCTGAGATGCTGGAACACTTCCTTAAAGCACAGAGTGCATGGACTAACAATTATATTTCAAGCTGCATTTAATGTTGAAATATGAGACAACAAATTGATCTTAGATTTCTTCAGTCAAGCATGACCTCACCTCTGACTCTGGCAAAAGCTGCTGCGGTGCCGGAGCAGTAGTTGTGCAGTTGCAAAATGAATAACAGGAAGAAAACAAAGCCTCATCCTTTTTAAACCAAACAAAAGAGAAAGACTACCAACATTTTTTTCTACATTAGCAATACCTGCTTCTGAAAAAGCAGATTGGAAAACAGTGACTAAAACATTCCTTCAACCTTCCGTGTAAACCATCCAGTCTGGTGTATGCTTTCTCTTAGAAAAGATGCATATTCATAGACTTTTGCTTCATAGCCTGACTTTTCATTAAAGAATAGAGAAGGTTATATATTCAAATATCTGCCACAAAAATATCTAGGAAGATGCTTATTCACTGTCTAAAAATTATCTGCATGTGGCTATTTATTCATTCAATCTCTCAATAATAATAGCTCTTGAACAAAGGAGGAAAAAGTACCTCGCTCGGAGAAGATCAAACAGTCCACAATATTTTATTAATTCTCAGATGGTTTCTTTGTGGTAAGTGAGTAGTATTATTGCTTCATTTGAGACAGGGAGAAATAAAATCCAAAGATAACCTGACATGTACTGGAGATAGGTAGTTTGTCATTGCTTATATCAAGGACTAAATGCAATGGTAACAAAAGAAGAGTGTATTAAAAAGAAAGAAAGGAGCAGGGGAAGAAAAGAAAAATAATAACAAGAAAAAGAAAGAAAAAAGATATCAAAATTGGCATTTTCTCCCAAGCTATCAATAAATTTGTAACATAATTTAAAACATATGAAAATGAGAATAAATGACAAAGTGGCAACAGAATAACATGCTGTAGTTTTATTTCAAGTACTTTTGTTGTAAACAAACATGACTCTGTTTGCAAAGTTTCAATTGTGAGATGTTTTCTGAGCACCGAAATACTCACTAAAATCCAGAATTTGAAAAGAAAGTGCCTACCTTTATGTTTTCATTTTTAATATTGAAGTAAGAAATTAAATTATGCACTGGACTAAAGATAAACCTTTGTCTCTTCCCAAACGCCAAATTTTATGACCCAATTGTATTCCTGGTCAGAAAAAAGCAGAATTAGACCATTTCCAAAAGTTCAAGAATGTCTGTGAATATCTCAGCCTTTGCAGGATAGGCAGTTCCCAAAACTGCCTGCCATTCCAGGATTAGCTGCTGTGTGGCGTTAGTCCCCTTCAAATGAACAGGCTCTCTCTTCCTCCAGCTCCTGCTCCTGTGCCTTGTTGCTTGAAAATGGTTCTCTCTGCTGTCACTGTAACAAACAGTTCTAATTGCTGGGTTGCCTGTTATGGTGGAAATTGCAGTGGTCCGTAGTTGAAGGCTTTCACTCTGGTTTGGTAATCACAGAGAGAGGCAAACTGCTCCTTTCCTAAAGGGATAAAGAAGATAATCTTGAAAAATATAGTAATAAATAATAAATCATTTTAAGAGAAGCAGAAAACCAACACACTTGCTGAATGGTTATAGTCTAATCTAATTGTAATGCATTTTTCCTCTTGAAGAGATGAAAGTTCACGGATATATTTTCTTGTATTCTTGGTGGTGGTGATGGTGGTGGTAGTGTTTGTTTTTGTCTGTGAAGTAATACATGGTAGGCAATGATTTGGAATTGTAAACTTTCCAATTTATTTTCATGGCAATCTGTGAGATGTGTCCCTGGAGGAAGGCAAACAATTGCAGTTTTAGAGCTGAATTGGCCTCTCTGTCTCCTTTCTTACATTAGAAAGCATGCAATCTCATTTTGAGTAGGATTACAAAATTTCCAAATTCTAATAAAGTGCAAGAGTAATATGTGATGGTCTGAGATGGTTGATGTGTTATTGAAGAAACACTCTATGGTGGGCGAGGTAAAAATGAGAGCAGTTATTGTCAGATTTTACCACCATGACAGAATTCAGGTTACAAAAGGCAATTCCTAATTTGGGAATTTAATCAGATAGCAAGCACCAAGGACAGCAGCTGCTGTTACATTAGGTTGGGTAAAATTATAAGGCCTATCAATTCTCATGCTTCGGGGCATAAGCTGATCACCAGCTGAGGTCAGGAGAAAATTTCCCCAATGACAGGCTTGCATAGTTATACCCAATATAAGAGATTCAACACCTACCCCTAAAATATCTGATGTGATTCGTTACCAAATAAATACAAACATACAACATGTACTTATACTATTACCAAAGCAGCCACACACAAGGGACTAGACAGACATAAAGGTGAGTATTGGTCTGAATGCCCAAGTCTTAAATGAGACCATAATCACCCAAGGAAAACCTACCTTCACATGGTCAGCTTTGCCTACAGAGTCCCTTTAATTCTTTGTCAAATTTGTGGGCGAATATTTTTCAAATGTCCACTCAATTCAGATATTTGCATTTGCTTATATGAACAAAGTCTTCCAAAATGAGTGGTGCTAGAAGGGGGTGGTATTAGCTTTCTTTGCTGCATGAAAAATTACTACAAACTTAGCAGCCTAAAATAACCAGATTTCTTATTTCACAGTTTGTGTGGGTCAGAAGTCTTAGTCTGGGTTAGCTGGATCTTCTCCTGGGGTTTCACCAAATGATAATAAAGGTGTCAGCTAGGGCTGTGAATTTCATCGGAGGCTCTAGGGTCTCTTCCCAACTCACTGGTTGTTGGCAGAATTCATTTCCTTGCAGTTGTATGACTGAGGTCCCCGTTTCTTTGTTAGCTATCAAATAGCCAGGGACTGCTCTCAGCTGCTAGAGTTCATCCACAGTTCCTTGTCACATGAACCCCATAGGCATCTCACAACATGGATGCTTGCTTTCTTTCAGCCCAATAGGACTGTGTCTCATTGACTTCTCCCTGTGAAACAGGCCAATACAGTCTCCTATAACATAATCTAATCAAGGGAACAGGGATCTCATCATATTCACATGTCCTTCCTATACTCAAGAAGAAGGAATTCTACAAGGTGTGCACATAAAGGAGCAGGAATTTGGGAATCATTTGAGAATTCTACCTAAAACAGGGCTCTAGTGAAAATAGGAAAGATCAAGATTAATAATTCAGGGCTATTTTATTTCACTAATTCTATAGGATTTTAAAAAACTATTTGATGGCCAGGCGTGGTAGCTCATGCCTGTAATCCCAGCACTTTGGGAGGCTGAGGTGGGCGGATCACGAGGTCAGGAGTTTGAGACAAGCCTGACCAATGTGGAGACACCGTGTCTCCACTAAAAATACAAAAATTAGCTGGGCGTGGTTGTGCATGCCTGTAGTCCCAGCTACTCGGGAGGCTGAGGCAGGAGAATCTCTGGAACCCAGGAGGTGGAGGTTGCAGTGAGCCGAGATTGCGCCACTACACTCCAGCCTGGTGACAGAGCGAGACGCCGTCTCAAGATAAAACAAAGCAAAACAATTTGATGAGACTAGTCATTAATCTATTGTGTTTTATCAATTAGCAATCGTCCACTACAGAAGGACAGATCACTGGTGAATTTGTGATTATAATCATATAAATATAACTTTAGAATATAAATTAGAGGTATTTAGTTCAATTATTTTATATGGCACATAAATAAATTGACACTCAACAAAATTAGTGAGTCTAACTCACTGGGCTTTGCCATTTAAAGTCAGAATAAAAATCTAGTTCTCCCTACTCCAAAACAAAACACATCTTTGCATTTAACTCACCATCAGGCCCTTCGTCGACTTTTGGGTATTTGCTTTCACTCTGCAGATTTCCAAGTATCTCCAGGTATTTGTGCATTTTCAGCCAAGGTAATTGTTTCTGTTGAATGGTAATAAACTCACTCACACTGAGCTGCCAGTGACTGATTACATTTTAAGGACGATTTCCTAACCTTATAATGGTATTATTACTTTCACAGAAGTAAATACACTAAACTAAAAGGGAAGTGATACCGTTAATGTAGACTTCCTTGTTAGAGCAGAAGGAGAAAGGTGGGCTTGTGTGTGTTTGTGTGTAATGACTTGTCCTTTGGTCCTCATGTTTGTAACAGCAGAGCAGACGATAGTTTGGGGTCAGTTATCAAGTAACAGTATGACAAAAAAGGAAATGTCAAAAACTTTTTCTTGCTCATTTAATCAGGTAGTAGGGGTTCCCACTTTTTTAACTTCTTATGTAGTCAACTCTTCTATCAACTAACTTATTGGTTAATGGGTAACTACTAATTTGGCGAGGAGGTTTTCATACAGTTCTATTGCTATGAACAACAGGGCAGGCAGAGATGCTCAAAGCAGGAAGTGCTCTGGTGAGTTAGAGAATCTTGGAATCACAAATAAAATGCTAAAATGTATCCTAGTTTTAGTAGAGATAATAGAATCCAGGACAGTTCTGACAGTTTTGGCATCAAGACAACATTTTGCACAATGCTCTGTCTTTGGGTGCCTCTCATGAATGAGATTTTTGATGAAACAAACATGTGCCAGTGATTGAGTGTGGAAGCAGGCAATATTAGATGCTATCTTTGTGAAAAACAACAACTGAAGAGGGTTTTTTTCCAGAACTATGTTTATTAAACAGGTAGATGTTGGGTGGTTGTATCTGTTATTTCATCTATGACCACAACTCAAATTTTAATCATTGTAGATTAATTTGGTGAGAAGGAGAAGAAACACTGTACCCCAAAATCTTTATTAAGAAAGATACTTTTGGCCAGGCATGGTGGCTCACGCTTGTAATCCCAGCACCTTGGGAGGCCAGGGAGGGCGGATCACCTGAGGTCGGGAGTTCGAGACCAGCCTGGCCAACATGGTGAAACCCTGAATCTACCAAAAATACAAAAATTAGCTGGGCGTGGTGGCGGTTGCCTGTAATCCCAGCTACTCAGGAAGCTGATGCAGGAGAATCACTTGAACCTGGGAGGTGGAGGTTGCAGTGAGCCAAGATTGCGCCACTGCACTCCAGCCTGGACCACAAGAATGTAACTTCGTCTCAAATAAATAAATAAATAAATAAATAAAAGAAAACTTTTCTGGCTTGCATAGTACTATTATAATATCTATGAGTTTCATCAAGTTATTATTTTTAAAATATTTTTTCTCTGCCTAAAATGTGTTACAGCCTTAGATAAGAGTTTGTCAGACTTTGTTGTGTTCAGCATGAATTTGTCATCTTCCTCTTGGATGGGGAAAGGCTGTCACCTTCATTTGAACTATGAGAAAATATTCTCATACTTCATAAGAATTTCAATATTTTAAGCAAAATGTTATTTTCACCTGAGCATGAATCATCTTCTCATCCAGTATTCACTGTCCTATACTTGCAAGCAACCGTGTTTATATCACTGATGCATCCTATTATGAAAAAATATTTCTTCAGAAATACCATGATCTTAGTCTCGCTGTCTGGCTAGCCAAGTCTCATCTGATCTTTCAACATGGAGCCCAAGTTACTCCTTCTAAATAAAGATTTTTCTGACTATCAAGTCTACAGTGTCTTCCACTTTCTCAGGGCCTATTTCTGGGGATATTTATTTTAACACATAACTGTGTTTTATCTCTATTTCCTTTATGCAAGTCTTATTTCCGAATAGTTTGCCAAAATCATTGAAAATAGGAACTTTTCCTCACAAGTTTTCAGTACCTCCTACGATGCCCAGCATAGTGCTGAAGAGAATAAAGCTTTGCCGAACTGGGAAATAAAATTAAAATAGCAACCAGTTATATTAAACAGCCATTGACCTTTTCATAGTCGGGATAGTAATTTTTGTTGTCATTGGGTTTTTGGTTGGTTTTGTTTGTTTTCTGTTATTGCTATTAGGTTTGTTAACTTGTTTGTTTTTGTTGTTGTTTTGCTTGACATACTTGCCTGGATTTGCTTAACACTGACGACGTGAACTAAACATGATAATAGTTAATTAATTGCCATACTATTCTTGACAGAGCTGATCATACAATGTTTAAAACAAAACTAAACTAAACTAAAAATATGAGGAGATCTAGGCACAGTGTTTGTCTACCAATTAAACTTAGCTCTAAAATCAAATTCATGACTCTTTTCTAATATTTAATAACTCAAGGTTTGCATATTCACTCTGAAGAGAAAGCAACATGTGGTCAAAATAATCCTATTTTAAAATGAATGAAGGAATTCACCATATAAAAGTGAATTTGTCAATTCTCTCTGAAGTGAATAACTATCTCCTAATATTTTGTTATACAGAAATTTTACATGCCAGGTTAATTAAGGAAAGACACACCTGTAAAAAGCTGCCGACTAGATGTGGTTTTTATTTCACTGCCTTCCAGCATGCCACTAACCAATAGCTTGGCCAGATCTTCAGTCACATATACCTTAAGTTTTAATGGTTACCATGGTAATGAAAAAAGGCATTACAAAATGCACAAGCTGTTAACATGTTGCAGAAGCCAAAAGAAAGAGCTAAGAATAAACTTCTGCAAATTCCTGATCACACCACATTTGAGAAAAAATGCTGTTAAACCAACGTCATGTCCCAGTCAAATAGCTCATTAATCTGCAGCTGAAGCTGCATACACCTCCCTCTAAGCGCTCCCTCAGCTGAGGCTGGGCCCTCTCCCTATGAGAACATACGTGAGTGTGTCAGAATGAGCAGGGGTATGTGTGTGGAGAGGGTGGGGACAGAGAGACAGAAAAAAAGAATAAACAGGCTGAAAATTGAGTCTCAGCTCCTTCATCAACAAGAAAGAAAACCTTCATGTTTTCTAACAGGGATGACAGACAAGAGAATTTAAGTGAATCTAATTTAGATAAATCTAAATTTTAGTGGGTGAGTAAATCATTATAACCATAGACAGATAAGATGAGTGTTTCATTTGCTTTGAATTTTGCCTCTAGAACCTTGATATTCGGGCTGCAAAAAAAACAAAAATATATATATATGCACCCATCTAATCCCCTGCTGGGAAGAAAGCATTGCTTGCTGAGCAAGAAACTGTCTCTCCTCAGAAGTGGGGGCTGCCTGCTTAGTAACATAGCTTCTAGAGTAAAGAAATAAAGAAAGGAGAGTCCTTGGTTTGGTAATATGATACCACCCAGGAAAACAAAGGGTAAGGTACCAACATTTACACTGAAAGGGGCATTGGTTCTAGAATAAACAGACAACAGCACAAAAGGTAGAACTCTTTATTTATCGATTTACAGGCAGAGACCCATGCAGACAGACAGTTGGGGAGTTAATAAGACAGATGAAGCACCAGACACGATACAAAAATGCCAAGTCCCGTTCATATTGTTTAAATGTGTATTTGTTCCAGTTTGTACGCTCCTATAAGGGAGGTCACTCAAGGTGGGAGGAACACTGCCACCCTGGATTAAACTCTAGAATATTGTGATACCTGCGGAGGGGTCCCTTCATGTTTTCCATTTCCCTTGAGGCAGATCTCTCCTTTTCATCTGTGGCCCTGCTCAGACTCTGGAGTGTCTCTTTTTGGTGGTGTTTGCTACCCAGCTCCATTCTCAGCTGTCGGCAAATCTAGTCCCTGCTTCCATCCCATTCTCCCTGTGGGCAATTCTCCCACACGAAGATCCACATCCTTCCCCCTTGCCTTCCAATCCCCAGGACACGCTTGGCAATGTCCTTGGCTTTGTGTTTGCTTACATCCTATTTTCCCCCTTACCATCACTTTTGGAAAGCTTTAAAGACCCAGATAAATCCATCATTTTACTATCAGGCCTTCCTCAGCAACCCTGACATTTCACGTGTTTCAGACTACTTTGTAGCTCCTAAGCAAGGTCAGTATCCTAGAACATCTTCTTTCTTCTCCTTCTTGTTTTAAATTTTGCTTCCCCAGTTAGATTTTAGAGCCATTTATGACTGCTGTTTCATCCTGATTTTTTCTTTTTTGCAATGTTCACTATATCTAAAATACCATAGTGCTCCTACTAAGTACCCAATAAATGCTCAATGAATTAACTTATATTTTAATCATCAAATGCCATATTCCCCAGCATCACACATCTCTTGAAATTGTATCTTAATACCTATTGTAAATTCAAAGACTCAAGTTATAGAGATATAGTAAATCAAGATAAAATTCAAACCATGATACGATTATATAATTTTTGCCAACAATTTAGAGAACTGTAGAGCTGCAAGGAATGTGGACTACTCTAAACTACTCTAAACCCACACATCTTTAAAAGACAAATGAAAGGTCCTCATGAGCAGTATGGTTCCCTAACATCACATGTTATTTGAGCTAGTAGGAGAAGAAAAAGAGGCTACTTTGATCTTCCTCATGAATCCTTTCCTGATGCCCTACTGCTTGTCACCATGGCAGATCCTTACCTACATTTGTTGCCCTATGCAGGAATTTGAAATGATATTCAATATATTTGATACAGTGTATTTATTCCCAAATATAGATGTTTTCTGCCTGTTTTAAACTCTTCTGGTTAGGAAGCAAAGAATATTTTTGCCTGAAACCTCTCTCTGGTAGATGATGTAGCCAAAGTCAGCTCACAGCTCACTCTCATATGATACCTGTTTATTCATTAATCAAAATGTATTTGAAACTAGACATTGTGTTAAGTACATGGAATACAAAGTAAAGATATACCCTATCTCTGCCCTCAAGAAACTTTGTGGTCCAGTATGGGATAGGACCAAAGTGAAAGGAGAATCAGGTACTCAGACTTCTGCCAACAACATGGGATGATCATCTGAGCAGAAGAGATGTCTCCTCAGCCAAACACTACATACTGGAAGGAGAGGGACATGCAGAGCCTGGAGGCAAAGCATTCCTCAGAGTGAACACAGCAGGTGCAAAGGGTCAGAGGCAAAAAATAAACAAATAAACAAACAAACAAACCATCTTGAGGATTTGGAACTAAATTTTGTTTAGTTTATGTGCTGCACTGAGAGAAGGTGATGTAGAAAGGCAGAAAATAGACCTTGGGAAGCTTTGTGGCCAATATTACAGCATTTCAACCTTAAAATTCTTCAGTGTAAATAACTTGCAAAAGTATGTGTATAACAGCTTTATTCAGAAGTGCCAAAACTTGGAGGCAACCAAGGTGTCCTTCAGTTATTAAGGACATAACTGTGGTGCATCCTGACAATGGAATATTACTCAGCACTAAAAAGAAATGAGCTATTGCCATGAAAAGACATGGAGGAAATTCAAACGCTTATGACTATATGAAAGATTCCAATCTTAAAAAGCTACATATTCTATGATTCCAACTATATGACATTCTGGAAGAGGCAAAACTATGGAGAATGTACAAATATCAGTGGTTGCCAGGGTTTAGGGGAAAGGGAGAGGTAAATAGGCAGAAGATTGTTAGGCCAATGAAATATTCTGTATGCTACTATAAGGGAGGATACATGTCATTATACATTGGTTCAAACCCATAGAATGTAAAACACCAAGAGTGAAACTTATTGTAAATTGTGAACTTTAGATGATAATGATGTGTCAATGTAAGCTCATAAATGGTAACAAATGTACCCCTCTGGTGGTAAATGTTCATAACAGGGGAGGCTATGCATGTGCACAAACAAGGAGTATTTGGGAAATCTTTGCACTGTTTTCTCAATTTTACTGTCAACCTAAAGCTACTCTGAAAAATCTTTCAGTGTCCAAACAGGGCAATGACATAATTAGATTCAATATTCAGAAGGTCTGTTTTGATGACAATGCCAAAGATTGGCATTGGCTCAACAGAAGAGAAGAAGAAGAGTTTGGAATCTGCTGCAATAATCCAAATGAGATATGAACTTCTGAAGGAATGGGAACAGAGAAAAAGGGTTAAAAAAGCAAATATTTATCAAAATATAAATTTTATCCAACAGAAGATTCTGAGGGAGAGGTTCAAGTGACACCCAAGTTTCTAGCTGGTGTTACAGGGAATGGTTGTACCATTCTCTGGGAGATAAATGCAGGAGGAGAAGTGGGTTTGAGAATGGTTGTCATTAGTTCATGCTTGGACTTGTGCAGTTTGATGTGACCATGAGAGACCTCCAAGAAGAGGTTGGAAACCAGAATCCAGAGTGCAGGAAAAAAGGAAAGGACTGGAGAGATGGACATCTGTGTCTTTAAATATAGATGATCATACAGTGAATCACCATGACACTGGCTGTTTCCCTAAAACTAATCAGAAGCAAATGTTTGGAGAAAGCAGGGTTTGTTTCATGTGGTCACAACTTACAGCTATGTGCTTCTGCCTGACCATAGCCTCTTTAATTACCTTATCTCCAATCAACTTACCATCTCCATACATCTTTTTCTGAACTAATGTTATTAGAAAATTTTTACGTAACTCAGCTCCATATCAACCTCTCCAATGGGACTCTGGAAGGTTAAAAAGTCTTCCAGAAAAGAGAATAAATCTCAAATGCTATAATATCATGAAAAACAGTTTTTTTCAGGCTAGTGTAGTCAATAATAGCTGCTATTTACAGGAGGTCCAGGATGGAAATTTAACAGGGATATGCCCATCACAATCATACCACAAAGGCAGATCTCAACCCATTGATGCATATGAGGCATAACCTCTATAGCATTCACTAAATACTAGACACTGTTCTGACACTTATAGGTAGTCATTTAACCCTCACAATAACCCTAAAGTACTATACTTTTCCAATTTACTGGTGGTGAGTATACCTAGTCACAAAAAGGTTGAATGACTTGTGCAAAGTTTGCAATTTTGGAGTTGGGACTCATTCTAAGTACATCTAACTCAAGATACTGTCTTCTAATTGTTTCTGGAATGAATGGATTGATTAATAAACAAACATTTATTAAAGTTAGTAATATATAGCAAAGGCAAGATAGAGAAGCTGACACAATGCTTTGTGAGTTTCAGATTATTTAATATTACTTTTAATTCATGAATTTATGAGACATTTTGGCAAAAACGGGGGGTCAAGAGAGGAAATTTGATACATACAATATTCAAATGACTTGTAAATATAATATGACAAATAGCCTAGGGAGTAAAGATTAAGCAGGACATCATTCTATTGTTAATTCTAGAGGACCACACGGAAAAGGAAGAAGAAAGTTGCAGACTCACATTCCCTGAATTTAAAAGTTACTGCAAAGCTACAACAATCAAAATACTGTGATTCTGGCGTAAGGACAGACATATAAACCAGTGGAATAGGAGAAATAATTGAGCTTTGAGTCCTTTTTTTTACCAAGTATTAGTGGTGCAACCCAGAAAAAATATTTAGGTGTCAGGAAGCCTTGATTTCTTCCTCTGTTAAATGGGAACAATATTATCTTATACACATTAAAGGGGGAAGATTACATGAGATGGTTAGTCTAAAAACCCTAGCTCATAGTTTAGGAAATAGTAATACCCTATAACTACCTGCTGTGTTCGCCCATTTGTGTTGCTATAAAGAAATGCCTGAGACTGGGTAATTTATAAAGTAAACAGGTTTATTTGGCTTGTGGTTCTGCAGGCTTTACACAAAACATAGGGCCAGCATCTGTTTCTGGTGAGGGCTTCAGGAAGCTTACAGCAAATGGGTTTGCCCTAGAGATCTCATGTGTTAGTATTGACTTGTCTCGACCCCAATTAGCTGTGGAATGTGATCAGGTCACAAGCCAAAAAGATAAGGCCAGTATCTAGGTTGGCAACTTGGTCTGATTCTTCTGTCCTCTAAGAGGGAATACCTGGGATGGTCTTACAGTCCACCAGTGGCCAGACCCACATGACAGCTCTTATGTTCACCCTTCAATTTTCAAGGAGAATGTTTCCAGTTAAAAACCCAAACCACCCTGCTCCATTTCCTCAGGCGGAGTCAGTGAGCACTCTCAAGCTGCTTTCAGCCTCCCAAATAAGTGAAATGTTTGACACGAAAGCATATGTTTTTTGGCAACTTTGTTTAATCCACATTTTAAAGGGAAAATTGAAACCACAAGGTGCGAAAAAGATTAGTGGAACGTTTCAGTATCTGGTGGAAAGCAGGCCATGTTCCCTCCTCCTTCTGTTCTTTTTCCTCTTCCTTCATGTGCGGATATTTGCTTTATAAAAGCTGCCATAAAAATGAATCTTTTAATTAAGAATCTGAGCCACCTAACTGCAGAACAGAGAAAAATATCAAATGGCACAGGATGCAGGAGCCATCTGTAAGACAGAGATGGCACATGTCTGTTCTTAAGAAGGGTCATCACTCTCTGAAGTCATGTGTGGGTCACAGTATCAAAAGCTTTGGATTAGAAAAATAAGATTTCTAAAGAAGTCAGATTTCTCACTACGAGAAAAAGAAGTGACTCCCCCAGGAAGAAAGTCACCATGCAAAAATTTGCTAATTATTTTAGAGAATGCAGAGTCTTACAGGCAATTGCTTTTAGAAATCACTTTTCCAGAAGTGCTGATGAGACAAGTTTTAAAGACATACAAATCTGGACTCAAATATGTCTGAAAAACCCACAGAGTCATTCCTGATGTGAGACAGGTTTGAAAGGGCTTAGGAGTCCCAGGTGGTTGGGATGTAGATGGGAGGTAAAAGGGAAAGTCATCCAGTTTCTCACCCTCCCCAGGTGCATTGGTACTACCTTTACTGTGACCCCCACACACTTAGCAATGACCTTGCCAGACAGGAGGGTAGAAAATGATGCTGGAGATTCATAGCTGATTTTCCCAGTTAGTTACTGAATTGAGACCCTGAAACCTAGAATGAATCTCCAATCCATACAGCTAAAACCTTGGTTTCTCAAAATACCATATTAAGTATACACTGAATCATGAAACTTAATACGTTTGATTTTTTTTTTTTTTTACAATTGTGCAGTAATTTAGGAAGCAATATAAAGATTTTGGAGACAACATGAGAACATGGCTCTGGAGCCAGATTATTTTCTATTCAGATCTAAGATCCACCCCTGTTTACTATGTAACCTTAGACAAGTTATTAAACCTTTGTTTCTACATTTTCTAAATGGGCATAATAATAAATTTTTCTACATACTGATATTTTGAAGATTAAAATAATTGTTACAAGTACAGCAGTCAGAATATGCATAGCACAAATTAAAAGCATGAAATTCTTAGCTAATCTATTATAATTTATAGGTTTCAAACTGCTTTTTGAAATTTTATTTTTATTGTGCTAAAATATACATAAAATTTATCATTTT
Source organism: Homo sapiens (assembly GCF_000001405.40). Taxonomy (NCBI): domain Eukaryota; kingdom Metazoa; phylum Chordata; class Mammalia; order Primates; family Hominidae; genus Homo; species Homo sapiens. Next base: position 40,401,488 of record NC_000018.10, on the reverse strand, counting down.
ATCCATTTTAAAGTGTATAATTCAGTAGCATTAAATACATTTGCAATGTTGTACAACCATCACCACTATCCATTACTGGAAATTCTTCATCCCAAACAGAAACCCTGTAGCTGTTAAACAATAACTCCTCTTTTCTTTGTCCTGCTAACAGCTGGTAAACTTTATGCTACCTTTTGGCTCTATGGCCTATTAGGTACCTCTTATAAGTAAAATCACACAACATGTTTCCTTGTGTGTCCTGCTTACTTCCATTAGCATAATGTTTTCAAGATTCACACATGTCATAGCATGCATCAGGATCTTGTTCTTCACATGAATGAATAGTTCATTATTATTAAGGAAGTTTTGTTTGTCTATTCATGCATTCATAGACACTTAGATATTTCTAGCTTTTGGCCTTTGTGAAAAATACTTCTATAAACACGGGTATACCAATATGAATGTGAGTCCTTATTTCAAATTTTTTGGGTAGATACCTAGAAGTGGAATTGCTGGCTCATATGGGAATTTCATATTTAACTTTTGGAGGAGCCACCAAACTGTTTGGAACAGTAACCACACCATTTTACATTCTCACCAATAGTGCACAAGGGTTCCAATTTTTCCACATTCTTGCTAATACCTGTTAATTTTTTAATTAATAAACATCCTAATAACTAAAGAGGTTGAGCATTTTCCCAGATGCTTCCTGGCATTTGTGTATCTTCTTTGGAGGAATGTCTATCCAAACCTTTGCTCATTTTTGAATTGGGTTGTTTGTTATTCTGTTGTTGAGTTGTAGTAGTTCTTCATATATTCTGATATTAATCCCTTATCAATACATTACTTGTAAATATTTTCTCCAATTCTATGGATGTCTTTTTAGTCTTTTGCTAGTGTCTTTTGATCCACAGATTTTTAAAATTTTGTCGAAGTTTAATTTATCTATTTTTTTTGTTGTTGCCTATACTTTTGGTGCCCTATCCAAGGAATCATCACCAAATCCAATATCATGAAATGTTTCCCCCATGTTTTCTTCTAATAGTTTTGTAGCTTTATGCCTTTCATTTAGGTCTTTGATTCATTTTGAGTTAATTTTTCTATATGGTGTTAGGCAGGGGTACAATTTTGTGCTTTTGCTAATAGATATCCCGTTTTCCCGCACCATTTGTTGAAAAGATTGCCCTTTTCTCACTTAATGGTCTTGGTATGCTTATACAAAAACAATCAGCCATATATTAAATAGCTTTCTTATTGGCTTTCAATTCTATTCTATTTGACTCTATGTTGGTCGTTATGCAAGTATCTGACTGTTTTGATTACTGTAGCTTCAGATTACCTTTTAAATTCAGGGAATGTGAGTTTACAACTTTGTTCTTCTTTTTTAAAGATTATTTTGACTATTCGAGGTCCCTTGGGATTCCACACAAATTTTAGGGTTTGTTTTTCTATACAAAAAAAAATGCCATTGGGATTTTGATAAGGATTTTATGAAATCTGTAGATCACTTTGGGTAGTAAGCTTATCCTAACAACATTAAATCTTCCAATCCATGAAAACATGATTTTCTATTCACTTATGTCTTTAAGAAAGATATTAATCTTTCAGCAATGTTTTTTGGTTTTCGGTGTACAAGATACTTCATCTCTGGTTAAATATATTCCTAAGTACTGTAATTTATTTATTTTATGCTATTGTAAATTGAAAGGTTGCTTAATGACTTATTTCAATTGATCTTGGCAACAATAATTCGGTGAATTGGAAGAAAAGTCATTTTATCCTCATGATAATTTAGGTAAGCAAATACAAGTAAAATCTGAGGGTTAATGCTTAAGACTGTGATTCTAATTTTAGACAGTAGGCCTAAGACCACTGTGTCCTTGGCTAGGCGTGTAACATTCTGCTAGATCTAAAACCGTCATGAAATGGGAAGAGGGATTCCTTTCCCACTGGCCTCACAGAACTGATATTCAGGTCAGATTGGAAGGTCCTTTTGTGAGCTCCGTGGAAAGCCTTGAGCCTGCTACCTACATAGACTCATTCTTCCTGGCACATTTTTTGTTTTGTTTTTATTCACACAGTAGTCTCTGTTGATGCTGAGTGAATATTAGGATGAGAGCAAGGGCATAAGCATTTGACCCTGTAAAACCCTGTCTGAGAAGCAGTTGTATCTTGGTCAAGGAAACTGAATTTGTCATTATTGACAATAACAATGTCTCAAAGATGAAAATCAATGTGGGAAGAAAAATGGATTCATTAATTTAGTTAATATTAAAAGTTTATTTGAATCATTACTTAGTTGATGAGTTACCTATACAAAGTTTGGAGCTTAACAGTATATTAAAACAATAGCAACAAACCTAACTTATCTGCAAATGAATTAATTTCATCATTTTTAGAAGTAGACAAACTGACTCTAGAAGGTGGTTTTTGTGCCTACTTTTTCTTAGCAATATAGTGATGACATTTTTTAAATTGTTGATTTTTTTATGTTGGTGAATAAATAGAAAATCTAAGATCAAATTATCCTTAGTTTTATAAATAATTGACTATCTAATCATGTTTTTTATAAAATCTATTCTTATAAGGAAATTGTTAACTATTAAAATATTTTTTATTTGATTTTTAAAATAACTTATTTCAACATATGTGAAATGATTGATGCTTTAATACTGTATTAGTTTCCTGATAATGTTGTAACAATTATCACAAATGTGGTGGCTTAAATACAACATAATTTTTTTATTTTATAATTTAGGAGGGTAAAAAGTCTGAAATGGGTCTGACTGGTCTGAAACCAAAATAGGTAGGCAGTACTGTGTACCATTCTGGAGACTCTGAAAATAATATGTTTCTTTATTCTTTTAGCTTTTAGAGACTGTCTGCATTCCTTGCCTTGTGGCCTTCGTCCTTCATCTTCAAACCCAGAAACAGCAGGTCAGGTTCTTCTTAAGCCGCTGTTTCTCTGGTCCTCTCTTTTCTCCCTTCCTCTTCCATATATAAAGACGCTTGGGATTATTACCCTGGGCTCATTCTTGTAATCTACAATAATTTCAACATCTCGAGGTCAGCTGATTAACAACCTCAATATCATATGAAAAATTAATTCCCTTTGTCATGTAACCCAATGTAATTTCAGTTTCCAGAAGACAGGACATGGACACCTTTGGGGACCATTTTCTGCCTACTACAAACATTACATGTACATAAAAATATATTTCCATATTAGAGCCAAAGGAATGTCACTCAAATTCTTCTATTTATTATGGAAAGAAAGCTGAGAGAACAAAAATGATTTGCCCAACCCTGTTCAACTAAGTATTTCCTACTCCCACTAAATTTTCTCCCTAGGAACTACCAACCAGGCAGGTCACCTCTCATTTTCCAGCCTCATCAACAACAGCAGAATCTCATTTTTAATATGTCAAGATCCAACAGCAATTACGTATTTTTGATTTCTATCATTTGCTCACACATAGATGTTATATTCTGTAATTCCTGATATTTCCACTAATAAGTAATTTGTTAAATGTTGAGGGAAAAAAACAGAAAGCAAGAAAAATTCTGGAGTATTCTTTGTTATTTTCTTTCTTTTCTTTACTCTCTCCTTTTTTTTTTTTTTTTTTTTTTTGAGACAGGGCCTAACTCTCATCACCCAGGCTGCAGTGTTAGCCTCCTGAGTAGCTGGGACTACAGGCACTTGCCACCATACCTGGCTAATGTTTTGTATATCTTTTAGTAGAGATGGAGTTTTGCCATGTGGCCCAGGCTGGTCTCAAACTCCTAGACTCAAGCGATCTGCTCTCCTTGGCCTCCCAACGTGTTGAGATTATAGGTATAAGCCATTGTGCCTGGCACATTCTGGAGTATCCTTCAAGTAATGATCCTAAGATACATGATTGACAGGTGTTGTCTATCAATCAAGTCTCAGAAGAAATACATAACTTCCTACAAATTTGGACATCTGAGTCCCATTGGTTTTTCACCTAAGCAGCTTTCCCTTGGAAAGTAAACATGTCACAATAAAATGGGGATCTCCAGTTGTATCTGTTTTTTTTTCTACAGTATATAATGAGAAGAAAGTATGAACAAAAAAGGTTGTGCAAAGCATCTTAAGCTTGCCAAATAACAGTAAAGGGGAAATATTCTTTCCTTTTCTTCAGAAGTTTGCTATCTTTTGACTCCAATATTCATAAAGAAGCATCTTGACTCTGACAAGTGACAGTAATTACGAAATATACAAATTACATGCAGAAATAGATACTTCGTTATAACTCACTTTCTTCACATTGCAGATATTCTGAAGTACTCCAAATATATTGAATGAAAGTTCAAGAATACAAAAATTAATGACATTTCCACTATTTTCTTATCAATCTATATACAACTCAAGGGCTATAAATGTGTTCATTATATAGATGCATTATTTTAGAATACAAAGAAGTCACTTGTGGCACTCCAGTATTTAGGGCAATCCAGAAAATATGACTCCCTTTGAACCTTAAGGACTTTGAGTAATATTAATTTCCTTTATCAGAGCTGTAAAATAAGCAAGGATGCAAAAGCCATGGTTGATGCTAACATAGTGGTCAACCGATACGATATATCTTGAAGGGATTTGAGGTGAGTCAATACAACTTGATTATGAAAATGACAAAATATTAAAGTTGGAAAGGAATTTACAATTTATCAAATGTAGTTCTTATATTTTATAATTGAGGAAATTGAAGTCTTCCAAATTTAAGTGACTTACATAATATTTTGCCAATAATCACCTGATATTTTATCTAGGGTACCCCAAAGTAAATAGACAACGGGAAGTATAATCAAAAAGTCCATTACCAGATGAACAATTCCCATAGTCTCCTTTGTTTCAAGATTTCCAAAATCACAAGCCCTACTCTTGGTCAATCTGCTTCTGTAGGCTAGCCTCATAAGTGCTTCCCTTTCTTTTTCTTTCTTTTTTTTTTTTTTTTTTTTTTGCCAGGAAATAAGCTGTGTTCTCCAAAAACCAGAAAGCCCTTTACCTTTGTAAAACTGCTTAATTCTGGGGGCCCTGAAAATAATTTCTCAGCCTAATTGATAGTTCTCCCTGTGACCTAGCCTTAGTGGCTTTTTAATTTATGCCTAAGCTATGTAGCTCACAGCTTTAAAAATCTAGGGATACCTATGAATAAAACCTGGCCCATAATTTCACTGAGTCTTGCAGTATACTATGATCAGTTTATTCGACCTACCATATAAAAATCTACTTAGTTATACACGAGTACATTTTACCAATTATTGATTTATGAGTGCTGAAGGTATGCTTCTGTCGCCATTTATGCACTAGAGTTTTATCATCTCCAAGGGAGTGACAATCTACTCTAGTGACACAGTCTCTACTATTTAAAATTTCACACCTTTCATCTGATTACCCCATTAACCATTATGTTTTCCAGGCTGTAGAGATTTTAAAGTAATTAAATGTCTCCCAACAGTCTTAGGCTTTTGGCCATGGACTTTCACTCTCTTTTATGGTGGCGAACTCTGTGAGAAGCAGCTGTGACGGCTCAGAACTGAAGTGAGAGCAGAAGACAACCACCAAACTAATACAACCCTGCCAGGAAGGAGGTCGCTTTCAAAATCAGAGGAGCTGTTCAAACCTTTTGCTCCACGCATCCTCCACTGACCTAAAATTTTTCATGTAATTAATCTCTCTTTTCCTTTTGTGATACATTCTCCATCTAGGAAAGTTCACGAATTTCCATGGTTTCAACTTTCATTGAGAAGTTAATGACTCTTACACATCTATACAAATCCTACAGAGGCCCCAAACTCATAGAGTTAAAAGCCATACTCTATCTTCCCTTCTACTCCCACCCCTTTGGCCTCGCCAGTTACCAAGTCTCAAAAACCAAAGGATTATGTCTCTGAAATTTCTCTCAGTCAAGCACAAATCTCTCTTCTTTCTCTGTTTTGTATTTGATGCTTTAATCTGGACCCTGTTCAACCTGTGGTAATGAAGAAACATTGATCTGGAGCCAAATGGTCTGATACTGCTTGGTAGATTCACTTAAATCCCTGGGCTCCCAGTTTCCTTGTGTATGAAAAGGAGAAAACAAGAGGATTTACTTTATAAAATTATTTTAAGAATTAAATGTATTAACACATTTAATAGGTTTTGAATGTTCTGTGGCACATATTAAGCCCTCAAAAAATCATCTGTTAAGGTCAATATCTGAGATACTTCCTAGACTGCAGTTCATCCTGTGGAACCAATTAACTCTTCTCACCAGAGCAAGAGTGGTATTTCTAAAACAAAGATGTAATCAAACTCCCTCCCCCACAGCCACTCTGCTGTGCACTACGCAACTATGGTGGATCTTCTAAATGTTTTCTCCAAGGCTTTTCACATTCTGATTTTGACACTGCATCCACCATTCCTGGAACATGCCCTGCTCTTCCACCCACTCAGCATTTAGCTCATGCTAGAGTTTACATTTGAATTGTTCACACAACTCCTTCTTTGACGCTGAAGAAGGGGAAGAAATGCCTCTTTTCTGAAGCATAACCTGACCTTCTTCTCAGTTACAATTACTTTTTCTAGTATTTAAAAATCCATGGCACTTTTAGCATACATTCTTGAAGCATGTACTCTGGTAGGAATTGCACTCCGGTTATTTGTGTACATTCCTGCTTCCATTCTTTATCTTGACTTCCAGGATCAGAATGTAATTCTATGCATATAGGACCACTCATTCTCAATGCCTAGCAAAGGATATTATATTTTCTGTTAATGAAATTGTATATATATTATTTAGTCTGCCTCTCTCATTTGCTATGAAACTAACTGGGAAAGATATCACAATACATTTCTTAGAACTTCCTGAGCAGTGGCTGGGCAATTAGTCAAAATAATAGAACTATTCCTGAGTGTATAGGAATAGAGTGCTAAATGGTTAAGAGGGGTGGCAGGAAGGGGCAATAATACTACCGGAGAATATATTGACTGTTTTGAACTTTTACTTAATTTCCACCTTCGATTTTAATTATAAAACAAGATAGCTTGCTAAATTTATAAAGCACTTTTGGGTCTGAAGATAAGCTTGCAAGGCAGACACAGCATATACCATTCTCAGCAGGTTGAGAAAATAAATTTTCAAGAGGTCAAGTATCTTGTGTAAACCGACCAAGCTAGAAATTGACAGTGATTAGAATGGAATCAGGTTCTTGCTTGATGATCAAAGTGCCAGACTGGTTGGTTTTTCCTGGGCCCAATTGTATACAGAAAAAGGAAATAGAAACTCAACATAAGGGCTGTTCCTCCTTTACTTACTTTGTAAGTTGATTTTCATGGTCACATGATGAAAACACTGAGGTCCCCTTGAGCTGGGACTTTACAATCAACCTCAAATAATACAATTCAGAAAAAAATATTCAGTATAGAGTTTATTTGAGCCCAAAGCTTGAGGATTGTCATCCAGGAGCATAAATTCAAATTCCCCTGAATATACACTTGGATTAGCAGTAGTTACATGTGGATTTTTAAAGAAAGAAGAAGAGGTAGTTTCTAAGTTAATTACCAATAATTTACATCAAAATAACAGAAGTTATTGATTGTCTATACACTTTTCTTCGTATCACAAAATCCAGGAACATGAAGATATGGGCAAGGGAGCTAGTCAGAAACAAATTGTTTTTAAACAGTTGCCCCAGGCATGGGTGCACGGGTTGGGAAGAGGTGAAGTCCCATACTCCCGTCTCTCTGGACATTATACAGTTTGCAAACCTCACATAGCTCAAACTGCTCTGAGCTACTTTTTTTCTCAAAACCATTAATATATAAAAAGTTTTTTAAAAACTATCAGCAAACCTGTATTTGTTATATTATTGTGAATACATTGATAGCTTACAGGAAATATATGAGATTTTTTCTCTAACAAATTATACTTACCCTGCAAAATCTAGCTTTACTTCTATGTCAGCTATAGTTCTGTGAATCATTGTAATAAATTATCAAAACTAAGGTGGTAGTGGGAATGGCAAAATTTGTAGCCAGTTGGTCAAAAGCTGGGTAGTCTGGGACCCCTGGAAGTGGTGATTAGCTTCTGAAGTAAGGGTAAACTTAGTGACAACTGTACTTTCACTTATGAAGTCTGTGCTAACTCCGATGGTTAGTGTCAGACTTGCACTGGAGTATGTCAGTGGGAGTGATAAATGATTAACCATGAAAAAATCAGATTTTCTTCTTCTTTTTTTTTGAGAAGGAGTCTCACCCCGTCGCCCAGGCTGGAGTGCAATGGCGCAATCTCGGCTCACTGCAACTTCCACCTCCCAGGTTCAAGCGATTCTCCTGCCTCAGCCTCCAGAGTAGCTGGGATTACAGGCATGTGCTACCATGCCCAGCTAATTTTTTCTTTTTTTTTGTATCTTTAGTAGAGACGGGGTTTCACCATGTTGGCCAGGCTGGTCTTGAACTCCTGACCTCATGATCTGCCCTCCTCGGCCTCCCAAAGTGCTGAGATTATAGGTGTGAGCTACCTTACCTGGCCAAAATCAGATTTTTTTTAACAGATGAAGTAACTGAGGACAAGAGAGTTTAGGTAATTTGTCCAAAACCATATAGCAAATATGAATGGGTCAAAAATTAATGTTCTGCTTTAATTCCATTGTTTATCACTACATTATGATCTCAATCAGTAATATGTGATAGCGTACAGACTTTAAGGGCAGGGATACACAATCTTTCCCTTTACTTACATCTACCACAGTGACCAGTATATGTTTGGACAAATAGAGTAGATAATCAATAAAAACATTGACTGAGTTCCTGAACTGCTTAGTTAAGTGCTTTTGCATAGAGAATCCTTGCCATGACAGTTATTGCATTTAGGTTGAGAGAACACATGTAACTTAGAGAGAGACAAGGGGAAATGGGTGTAAGTCATTAGTAAATGTGGGAGCAGTCAATTTCCAATTTGTAGCTAAAATTGATTTTCTGATGAGCTGAAAGACTTTTAAAAGTACTTTGTGAGGTTATCTTCTTATACGACTAATCTTGTTTATATATTCATAAATATTGAGACTACATTTGCATTATTTTCTGAGAACGGTGTGCAGGATCAAGAATATGGTGCTGTCTACTTGGGAAAACCAAAAAAACACTCACTCAACCCCTGAGCATGTATGTCTCCATCTGAGCAGTGCATTGTAGGATTCATTCTCATCAGTGAGAGGACACTGAAATGAGATCACCTACCAATTCTCCAAAGAGAATTGAATCAATTATTCAGGTAGAATTGACATTGGTCCCAGTAGCCACTTGGATTTGATTAGAACAGATCAGGCAGAAGGGAGAGGGGTCTTCATCTTATAAACAGAAACTGTGTCCTTGAGATGTCTGATCCTCTACTGAATCTATTCCTATGACGAACTGATAAGAATGTCATTTGAATTCACACAACCATTTTGCCCTTGGAGATCGAAAGAGTACCCCTGAGAAATGAGCTTCCAAAGAAACTGTCTCAAGTAATTTCTTCTTTTTTTCTGTAGACTTCCTTAGATGCATATTTTCCTCCATTATTCTCAAATTTGTACAGACCAGCAGTATAGTAATATACAGGCTGAACAATAGAACAATTTCTTTACTTCAATCATGTGTTTTCCCTTTCATGGTCTAGTTGCCAAAGACCCATGATCTGTAATTCTTGCATTTCTTTTTAATTGCATGAGCCAAAATCTATCATTTTTGAATATTTTTAAGACAGGGAATCTGAAAGGTTTATTCTGATCATTAATCAGCCCCCACCAATTAAACTTAATTATACCCTATAATCATTACTGTAATTATTGATTGATTAATCTTTCAACTATTAATTAAAAGTCTTAATTAAACTTTCTCTGCTTTTATTTAAGCTAAAATGTAATTATTATGCAATTTCCCTGGTATATGCAATATGTCCTTCTAGACTTATGGTATAGTCATAGTCCATTAGTTATTTATTGCTTCTAGCAGAATCTGAAAATGAGTGGAAGATTCTCCTCTATACTCACTTCCAACACATACGTGCATGTGGATGGACACAAACAGACTCACCAGTAAAATGTTGAGAAGAATAAGCAATGGAGAGTAAGTAAATATAATAAGAATACTAGGATCATAGATGGAGGTAGACTTTTTCCACAAATCTAATAGCCTGGAATCAGGACACAGACAGGACAAAGGAAAAATAAATTTACAAGATATTCATAGTTTTCTGGCCTGATTTTGTGGATCATGACAATAATTCCATGCTTTGGAAGGCCAAAGTGGAAGAATAGCTTGAGCCCAGAAGTTTGAAACCAGCCTGGGCAACACAGGTATAACGTGTCTCTACAAAAAATAATTAGTCAGGCAAGGTGGTGCATGCCTGTACTCCCTGCTACTCAGGAAGCTGAGGCCTGAGGATCACTTGAGCCCAGGAGTTGGAGGTTGCAATGAGTTATGATCACACCACTGCACTCCACCATAGGCAACAAAGTGATACTCCATCTCAAAAAAAATATTTTATATATATATTTGTAGTTTTCCACACACTATGCAGCCTTCCAGCCTTACCCATGTGTGTGTCTGCAGAAGAGAGGCAGGATTTAGCTTTATGAAACTGCCAATGTGGGCTAGTTTTGCTGGTTTTGCAGAAAAATTAACAAAGTAGAAAAGAAGAGTAAGATATAGTCAGGAAAGGCCAATTTTCTAAAGCTGAATTCTTCATCACTTCTAATCGTGTCGATAACCTTAAGGGAAACTTACGTCCATTTTATAGATAAGAAAATATAATCAGGGAAGGAGTCAAGATTGGAAACCAAACATATCCAACTTCTAATATATCGTATTAGAAGTGAGATGTACCAGAACACAACCCACTTGTTTAATAAAAGAGGATGGTTTGGGGATCATACAAACAGGGCTCAGATATCAGAAGTTCCACTGATAGCTTGTGACCTAAGCCTAGTAACATAAGTAGTTGGAGTCTACGGTTCTTCATCTGTAGATTGACCATAAAAGATACCTTACAGGATATTTTCAAGATTGATGATAATGTGTGGTATATAATGTGTTCTCTATGGCTTGTATGAGAGCTTTTCCACCAATGCTTGATGTAATTTTCTACTTAATGCATCTTTGCTCTAAAATTGGTAGATTTTGATGTTAGTTCTAGTTCTGCTACTCACCATTGTCTAAACTTAGGAAAGCCATCCCACACCCACATGTTCTACCCTCCATCTCTGTCTTTGGGTCTCATAAATTGTTACCAGCTGAAACAATCTTGAAAATTTCACAGACTGGCCCTTCATGCAGTGATGAGGACACTGAGACCCAGAGAGGGTTAAGGACTTGTCTGTGGTTGCATTGCTAATTACTGACAGAATCAGGTCTCTAGACTCCCAGTTCAGATAACTCTTTCCACCACTCCACATTGTCCCTCAAGCTAGCATTGCCCTACATTTTGTAAATGGTTGTCATGAGGATCAAATATGATTAAATACGGGAAAGTGCTTTAAAAAGTGCAAAATTATGCACAAGAGCAAAGCATTACTATTAATGGGCTTCTTACTTGGCTTCTTTGGGTAGAAATGAAGATGTTATTTAAAGCAGCTTTAAAGATTTTTGTTGTTGTTTAGCTGTAAAATGTGATAAACTTGTGTTACGTTTTGCAATGAGAATGCCAGGACTTAAAGGGGAGCCAATGGTATGCATTTTACTTATGTGAAAAATCTATCATTATAAGTAGGATACTTTCCTGATGCAATGATTTCAGTGCAAATAGCTCATCTGGTAGGTGATGCAGGGAAACTCCACGAAGAGAGTGAAGAAGTAAGACAGAAAACAGCCAGCACTTTGTGAGGCCAAGGCAGGCAGATGACGAGGTCAGGAGATGGAGACCCTCCTGGCTAACATGGTGAAACCCCGTCTCTACTAAAAACACAAAAAATTAGCCGGGCGTGGTGACGGGTGCCTGTAGTCACAGCTACTCGGGACGTGAGGCAGGAGAATAGCATGAACCCGGGAGGCGGAGCTTGCAGTGAGCCTAGATCACGCCACTGCACTCCAGCCTGGGTGACAGAGTGAGACTCCACCTCAAAAAAAAAAAAAAAAAAAAAACCAAGAATGAATGGTATGTTATTAACTGTGTTACTACTTTGGGCAACAAGAGCTGTATTCCAGAAGCAATCACTGGGAGGCAGCTTAAAAAGTTCATACCAGAGGTATCCACCCAAAGTGACAACTAGGGTAATTATCCACAAATTCCTGTTGGCACTTAGTTAAGGGCATCTCACAGGAGATATTAACTCTCCTGCACCTCTGACCCACCTTGCTCTCATGGCTGACCGGGCACCTGTGGGCAGAGAAAGCCCTAAGGCCAAGAGTTGCTGCTGCTTTTAGTCCAAATCTGTTCCGCTTGCTTGGAAAAGTGTTGGAGTGTTGAGGGAATATGAGCCTTTGGTACCAACAACCTCTGTCACTGTGCTTTGGTAGTAGAAAGAAAGCTCTCTGCTTTTGAGGTGCTGGCAAATTCATGCATACATAATTTCTCCTTACTTAAGTCAATTCAAAGAGAGACTGATATAAACGGGGATTGATTGGGATATGAAAATAGTGGAAATGTTTGTGGCTGACAGGAAAACTGGGCTTAGCAGAACTGCATCTGATATTTTTTGTCTCTCAGACTCCATGTGTTTTCTAAGCAAATATTGTATCTCCCTAAACAGGTTGGTAGATGGGCTCAAACATAAGCTGGGAAAAAAGAGATTGTTACATGGCCACCAAAAGACTTTTAGGTTTCCTTTTCTCAGGGTACTCAATGCCCTCCTACTACCCAATGCTATCAGCAAGACCATATTAGAACTTCCAACCAGGGTTAAAATTCCTCTGTTGTGTCCCCTCGTTATTTCTTTTCAACATTTTCATCCCTTAGTCTTTTGCGTTCAGTTAGCTCTTAGACAGAATAACAATCTAAGAAGTGCATATATGTAAAGATGCAATGTTAGGGAAATATTTGCATTATTGCCCTTTCTGGGAGTTTGTGTGTTTTTTTCAGTACATTCCTAGAGGTCTGAATAAGGAACTCAAAAATTAATGATGAATGGTGAACTTCAGACACTAATCAGGGAACCAGCTACTCTGTCTATGCCTAAAACACTTCTGTGGAACCGTAAAAGAATGCAGCCCAAAGACATTTTCCAAGGTGGCCAATTAAAGAAAACCACAGAGATTATCATTGAGAGCCACATTACTGCCTTCATCTGGAATCCCACCCTCTCTTGGAAAGTTCATCCTTGAAGATTCAGCTCAGCAGCTCTACACAAGGTTGGCCCGATAATATCATCCCTCACTAATTTTCTATGTTGTTAAATATCTACAGCATACGTCACACACGTTTTTTAGTCATTGTTTTATGATGCATATTCTTATCCTCATAAACTGACTGCAACCTGCTTGAGGGCAAAAATTGTATTTTGTTTATTCTAAAATAGTGTTAAATCTTCATGACTTTCTGGGCCAAGGAAGGAGGTGAACATTCACACACAATGTTTCTCCTTAACAACAGATTTGTGAGGCTATTATTAGATAGCTGAGAAAATCAGTTGAAGGAGATGAAAAGACTTGTTTCAAACTTTCTATACTCTTTTAAGGATGTCCAGTGTACTTTGTATATACAAGTTATGGAGGAATACGGAAATTTATTTCTTCTTTCACAAAGAGTTGTACTCTCTTTTCTCTCCATTATATAAACATCATGGACACCCTGTAGGGTATAATAGCAAATGTGTACACTGGAGTCAGAATACCCAAGCTAAAGACATTGCCTTGCCACTTACTAGCTGTATGCAAGTCTGACTCTCCATTTCATTGCCTGTAAAGTGAGTGGATGCTTGCTGTACCCCTGTCATAAAGTTTTATAGGCTCAAATAAAATGAATGTGGAAGCGCTTACCATATTTAAGCACTTGTCATAGTTGTTATGACTATGAACTTTGGAGTCAGGCATGGGGTTAAATACCTGCCCATAACTACCTTTTATGCAAACTTGAGCAAATTACATTCCTTTTCTTTGCCTTGATTTTTAATTTATATTATTTTTTGAGACAGTGTCTTGCTCTGTCATCTAGACTGTAGTGCAGTCATGTGATCATAGTTCACTGCAGCCTTGAACTTCTGGGCTCAGGTAATGCTCCTGCCTTAGCCTTCTAAGTCACCGGAACTACAGGAATGTGCTGCCAGGCTCAGTCTTTTATTATTATTATTATGCGTACAGACAGAGTCTTGTCATGTTCCCCAGTCTGGTAGAGAACTCCTGGTCTTAAGGCAAGTTTTTTATTTTTAAAATAAGAATAGCTAAACTTTTCTTTTTCCAAAGAGCTGTTTTAATGATTCAATGAGGTTATAACTAAAAATTACCTATGACATGGTAAATATCAATAAATATTGGCTTTGGTTAATTTAGCTATTAACCAAATGTAGTTTGGTTATTATGCTATTGCTGTCAGTATTATTATATACTTCTGAGCACATATATGCTGTGATTTTGCAATGTCATTGGTATAATTGAAATAGACTGGGTGTTAGAGATCCATGAATTAACTTCTTATCCTGGTCTTGCAAACCACTGAATATAACACCAGCGAACTTTGATGTTTCTTCAACAGTAAAAATCAAAATCAAGGGCTCCACACAGTATTTCTGTGAGTGTTAAATGAAATAATGCATGTAGAAAACATCTGGTATTGCATTGGCATTTAAAAACTAGATCTGGGCCAGCTGAGGTGGCTCACGCCTGTAATCAACAGCACTTTGGGAGGCTGAAGTGGGCAGATCACCTGAGGTCAGGAGTTTGAGACCAGCCTGGCCAACATGTTGAAACCCTGTTTCTACTAGAAATACAAAAAATTAGCCTGGTGTGATGGCGCGCGCTTGTAGTCCCGGCTCCTCGAGGGGTTGAGGCAGCAGAATCGCTGGAACCCAGGAGGCAGAGGTTGCAGTGAGCAGATACTGCGCCACTGCACTCCAGCCTGGGCAACAGATTGAGACTCTGTCAAAAACAAACAAACTGACAAAAAAACCCCAAACAAAAAAAACCTGGATCCTCTCTCTCCAATATTTTAGAGATAGGGGTTGATTTTACATGCCTTGAAAATGTTTAGGTAGCATTACTGACATCTATCAAGTTTGAATATTTCTTCTCATATATTTCCTCAAGCAGGTAAATGTATGTAACCTAACAGATATCAAAAATTATAAAACACATAACTTTGTTAGATAGAGAAATATTGAAGAAAATAATCCTGGAAGTATGTCCCATTTTTTTTCAAAAGTAAGGGTAAGGGGTAACTTCATGATAAGAGTTGGGGGGGAAAATATAAACAGCAGCAGCCAATTCCTGTTGTGGCAGATGAACTGAATGCACCTTGATATATGATCCCTGAATAGGCAGGTGCTATTGCTGTGGAAATGTTGCAAAGCTCATGACAGATTTTGGACAATATATGAAGTGCCAGTTAATGGATAAAAAATACAGTCTATTTTATCAACTCACTTGTGTCAGACACTTAAGTTGTTCATAAGAGTGGCAGGGATCAATAATGGGCAGAAAATTCCAATCATCAAATAAACAGATAAAGCCTCTAATATCCAAGACTTAAGTGAATCTCTGCTGAGCAGCTACTTCTACGGAGAAGACTTTAGACTTTCAGTCATTAGGCTGAAAACTGAAGATTACAGGATCAGAAATTCTTATATACCCTTTTATTATTCATTTTTAGTTCAGAAAGGGCATATTGAGCAATAGCGCTAGTGATGTCACTTCCGTGTTTTCTGAATGAGGTTAAGTTTTATTTTTTTAATTTCTCTCATTAATTGTGGTATTCCTAGAACTATATCTTGCCTCTCATGCATCCAAAGTCACCTGGAAAGAAAGTGTTACACTCAAGTGGTTTTTCAGGTAATTTGTGCTTACACATAGCTTTCCCAACCCCACTTCCCAATATGTAACCATGTTGTCTGGGAAACTTTCGAGGCAGTTTTGTAAGTTTCTTTGCTTTTTAAAGCAAAGAAAATAGGACAAAGTCAACATCATTTATTATTGTTCTGTGTGACAGTACAATCTCCTGTCTAGTGCTCTTGATAGCTGTCAGTTGCCGCTTTTAGATCACATTCTTTAATAACATCCTCTTTACTTCTGTCCACCTACTCCTCTCGCAGACATACACTCTTTGTACATAGATTAATTCGTATCTTGAATGGAACAATTGATGACAAATATATATATATATATATATATATATATATATATATATATATATATTTTAAATCTACTTTTTAAATAAATGTCATGGTTTCATGAACTTCTTTACAGTTACCTTGTGAATGTAGAGGCTGTTCAATAGTCTCATGTTAAGGGCTGTTCTCTAGGTTGTTGTGAGACACTTGTTGTTGGCATAAGTATTTTGATGATTCACATGGATCTCGACCCAAGAAAACCTTGAATCCGTAACTACAAGCTAAATGCATTGCAGACAGTGGGGCCTGTTGGTTCATAAAAAGATGAAATATGGCCGAGGCAGGTGGATCACAAGGTCAGGAGTTTGAGACCAGCCTGACCAACATGATGAAACCCTGTCTGTACTAAAAATACAAAAATTAGCTGGGTGTGGTGGCACGTGCCTGTAATCCCAGATACTCAGGAGGCTGAGGCACGAGAATCTCTTGAATCCAGGAGGTGGAGGTTGCAGTGAGCAGAAATCGTGCCACTCTACTCCAGCCTGGGCGACAGAGCTAGACTGTCTCAATAAAAATAAAAAATAAAATAAAAAATACAAAAAAAAGATGAAATATAAAAAATGGTGTGTCTGCAGCCTGGAGGCTCATCATTTAATTAGCAGGATGTTAGTCATGCTTAGTTTTCAGCAACTGATATTTTTTGTCTTATATCTCATAATAACTCCTACTGTGTGTCCAATTTTAATAACTCAGTAGTTTCCCTGTTTGACACTAACTTTGGGTTTGAACCCCGTGTCCTAAGTGACATTGATAATTTCCTGTAGACTGGGACATGGCTGGGTTCTGGTCTCTCTTTTCCACCATCAGGTCTCTCTGGTTCCAACCATGTATCTCTTTAAATATCTACTTACCACCTCCCACCAATCCTTTCAAATTATTTTCTTTACCTAGGTGTTGAACTATTTTCCCATTGCTTGCATGATATCTCTCTGATGTTGACACCTAATCACCTCAGTTTCCTTCTATTGACACCTTTCATATTTTCTGGGCTTCTATTCTGGTAGATGCATCTAGTCATCATTTTGTGGCCCAGGTTGTTACCAACTCATCTCTAGTACTGCTTCTTCCTTCTTCCCTTGCTTTTATCAATTTAATAATAATTCCTTAATAGCAAGAATAAAAATATATCAATACATTTTTCTGATTTCATATATTCAAATGCTAGTGTTAATTTCCTACTATGTGAACTCTGTAATGTAAGTCATGATAGTGATTTAAACTCTTAGAGAGGAAGCTCTCTATGGTGCTCTCCCTCCCTGTGTCAGTATTTCTCTCTCCATAATTAGAGGCAGACACTTCACCCTACTACCCAGTCTACTCCAGCCAGGACGGCAAAGGATACATTTGTAACTCAAGTTTTTCTTTTTCAAATGACAACTTCCCATATAAAGAATGAGTTGGTGGAAAATTCATGAACAATTTAGAAGACACTAGCTAAACACCACACAATAGCCTCAAGCAGACATCCAAGTTCAGTAAAAGGGAAAATGTGTTGATTGTAATCTTCTCACAAAAAAAAATTTTTTTACAGAAATAAGTACCTATACTGTTCAGATTTCTTTTTTATTCTTCAAAAGTTTGAGATAAAAATTTAAGATCAAGTATTCCCTACAGCTCCAGATTTTACCCTCAGATAATATCTGTAGTTAGGTAATAACTCACCTCTACTGGTTTCTTGTTTTTCTGTTTTTTCCTTTTTCTTTTTTTTTAACCTTAGAGGAAATGAGCAGTCGAAGCTCCCTTAGCAGCTTCACAATAATGCCTCTGGTGGAAAAGAAACTCTCTGGCTCAGGGGAGGAATTCTGCCCCAATTCTCAACATACATAAGACCAAGATTGTCCTCTGTAGATTGTGACAGACCTTAAGTCACAGTCTAGACAAATGGCTGTTTGATGTCACCAGAGAAAAGATGGAAAATTATAAGGTAGGAAAAATATTTTTCAGTATTCTGTGCTTCAACCACTTAAATTCCGATCCCATTCACAGCTCAGTAGCCTGTACCAACCAATCAACCCCACCAGCACAAACCCCAAAACTAAATACACACTAGCATGCTTTTGAAAGAACAGTCTTTCTTATCCATGCATGGATTTATACATTGATCCATTTGAATAAAATTAAGTGCCTACTATCTACTTTTCTATGTACTGTGAACACAAAGATGAATGAGATATTTTCTGTAACTGAGGGATCTATGAGTGATGTTTTTAAAATTTAGATATTTATTTTGATGAATTAAGTTATAGAAAAAGTTAATAAATTTGTATGCTACCCATCTTTGTGATATCTACACTTAAAAAGTGGTCTGCAATAAAAGATAATGCTTATCTTGAAAATGATTTTAATTATCAGAAGATTCTAGGAAACAAAACAGTTCAGTGGAACTAGGGCCTTGTACTTCTTCATGAATCTCAAATTGTATCACACTGACAGTCACACACATAGAGCCAGCTTTACATATTTGTAAATGCCAAGAAAGTTTTTCTTTGACAAAACATTAAACATTTTAGTAACAGATTCATCAAAATTAATCAATGTACCTGCATTAGGTATCAACCTCATTAGGTAATGCACAAGGCTTTCCAGGGGACTGAGTGGACAGAGAAGCTATGGTGTCTACCCTCATCAATGACACCATTGAGCATCTTTGTCAAAGCATCATGCTAAGTTCTTTATGTCTATTACATTTGTTGAATCACAACATCAGCAAAGCAATCTTTTTTTTTCACATTTTGCAATTTTTAAAAAAGACTATTGGAGACATTAGCAATGGACGAACAAAGACATTTCTAAATGTTGCCAAAGTCATTAAATTAAGAATGTAGGATTTAAACCCACAAGTACTTGACTCTGCAGATGAATCACAAATTGCAACACTATATTTACTTCAATAATATTTCAATAACATTCAATGTAGATAAAAATTGGTGGAGATGGGTAACATGAAAAGAAATAATATAGCCAACAATAAACAAGCAGATATGACAAACGCCACATGGTTGATTTACATAAATAATTACCCAGTGTGAGATGCATCAATCATAATCAAAAATTTTTGTTCTCACTCGTATTCCCACAATATTGCCTAGAAAATCAGACACTCCTAATAAATATTTGTTGACTCAGTTAATTAATTGATATTTTAAATTGTGTAGAAAAGGTTGGAACAGAAGTGCGTTTTCCTTAGTGGGTGTAAGTTCTGATAGGAGATGAGTTGGGATATTCATGATTCTTCATTACAAGTAAATAGACATTTTCCACTATCTTCTAACTTTCCTAAGAGACAAAAAAATGGCTTCTGGAGTTAGTTTATGAAAAGTAGAATCACTTTATTTGGCAGGTGCAATTTCAATGTCTTTTGACTTTCCTCCACCATCAATCTCACCTTCATAAAGAAGGTCTTATCACTTTAAATATACCCCCATGGGGGCTGCAAGGTTAAATGCCTAAGGACCATTTTGTTTATAGGTGTTTCACTGCGGCTTCAAAAAGAAGAATCAAAGGTCTAATTGCTTTGCAGTCACAATCTAAAGGTCTAACCATTGAAAGCATGGTCATAAAGTGAGGTGATAACTCAGTCTTAAGATCTATAATAATGGGTGGGACACATTCTCTAATTAGGATGCTCACTGTAATTCCAAAGGGTTCTCTCCCACTTTTTGTCTTATTATATTTATCTTTATCAAATCACATTCAGGATTTCCAGATCTAAGCTGTCACTAAATTTACCCTTCAACTTTGACAAACAGCCAAGTTTATGTGTTTAAAACAAATATACTTTCTAAAAATATTATAAGTTAAAAATAACTAGTGTGAAATTATTGTGAAAGATAATGTAGTTTCTAGCCTCTGGCCTTGTACTACTAAGGAATGAAAATAAATAACTAGTTTTTCCTGATTCTTTAAAATCTATGAGGTCATGGTAGAATGACAAGGGATATTGGGCACTTACTGCTTCTAGCCTGTAAAGACCAGAAGAATTACTCATAAATACTGAACACTGGAGTCACTGTGATGGGTAAGCAGGATTTTATGCATGGAGTGCTTCCCACTACCCTTCGTATCAAATACATCAGTGGCTTGTTTCTCTGCCTATATATGAAACAGACTGTGTCTTTTCATGGTTAAAAAAAAAGTGCCTTGCCTTTCCCTTCTCTTGCACATCAGCACACGCAGAGGCTACATTTCCCCAAAGTTCAGAAAGGGATTTTTTTTTCCCCGAGCATCTCTACCTGCCACACAGGCCTCTCACAGCTCAGGAAGAGACACAGCCCGAAATGCACTGCCGGGCTTTGAACGCTCTCTGAATAGCTCTTGTCAGTCAGGAGCCTGCATTTCATGTTTCAGATTTTTCCCAGGGGGCTTTGATGTTAATCCATTTCACACTTCTAACACATCTGTTCTTCTTCAGGCTTTCTTATCTTTTCTGAGCATTCAAATATATATGTGGGGGGAAAAAAGAAAAAAAAACTTTAGGCTGTCATTGTGCAGTTTCTGAAGGGAGACATTAATGATGAAGTACATTCTACCTCACCTCATTGATGCTCAGTTCTAACCACATGAGACACTGAATAGGAACTGAAATTTTTCTACCATTTACATTCCCCCAGTAAGGTCAGATGACCTGGGTGCTGGAAATAATTAAATAAGCAGCTAAGTATCTGATAAAACATGTGCAAATGTATCTTGGGTTTTTGCTATGTGCCTAGCTCAATGCAATGTGCTGAGGAAATGCAAAATGTAGTGATGTGGAAAAGTAGTCTTACTACTGATAGCATCAAGTCCCGTTGGTCAACAAAGACAAATACATAAAACATTAAATAATCATATAAAACATAAAAAAGCTCAGTTTGACAATGCAATTAATTTC
This sequence comes from Homo sapiens, assembly GCF_000001405.40. Lineage (NCBI taxonomy): Eukaryota > Metazoa > Chordata > Mammalia > Primates > Hominidae > Homo > Homo sapiens. The sequence goes on along the minus strand of NC_000018.10, from coordinate 40,380,340 downwards.
ACAGTGCAACTTATGATTAAGTGTAACAATGGTCTATTGCTTATTACTCAAACAAAAAAGGAGCAATGACTGTAGGCCATAGTGAACTGAAAAGCTTTGATGGAAAGAGTATAGTTAAAGAGGGAAAGTGGGGATAATATATCAGTTGGGGGTTAAGGATCCTATAGAAGAAACTTTCTTTTTTTAATTTTTAGTTTTTAATTTTTTATTTTATTTTATTTTTTTTCTAAGGATGGGGTCTCACTTTGTTGCCCAGACTGGAGTGCAGTGGCTTGATCATAGCCCATTATTGCCTCGAGTTCCTAGGCTCAAGCAATCCTCCTGCGTCAGGCTCCCTAGCAACTGGGACTGCAGGTGCCCGCCATCATGCCTGGCTAATTTTTGAAAAAAAAAATTGTAGCGATAGGGTCTCACTATCTTGCCCAGGTTAGTCCTGACTCCTGGGCTTAAATGATTCTCCTGTCTTAGCCTCCTAAAATGCTGGGATTACAACCATGAGTCATTGTGCCCTGTCAACTTTCTTTTTCAATAACTAATTTTATCTATCCTTGATAGAATATCTTTTCTCTTGGCAGACTTAATGTAGTTGCAAAGATAAGTGGTCAGGCTTGATTTCGGCCCTCAGCAAGCTTACAATTCCAAAGAGTAATAAAGGGAGAATAAAATTTTGAACCAATAATATGCATGATAATCTGTACATTATTACAGTGAAATATGACAATGTTGAGGTACTTTTTCTTTTTTATTACATTCTTTCAACCCTATTCTTTTGTTAAAAAGTAACTGTTCCTATCCTGATAAAATAAAAAGAACAGCTCTGCAAAATGCTACAAAGTACCATATTAGATCTATTACATGAATTTAAATGGAGGCTATTGTCAACGTTATCTGTCTTTCTTCTCCTTTCACTGAATGAAGCATGGCAAAATTTAATCTATAAACTTCTTTGCCGAACATTCTACAGTCACGAGAGAATTTCATCATTAAGCATACAGGCTACAATTAGCGATGTGCCTTCTAGAACTTCCTATCTAGGATTGAAAGTGAGTGTTTGCTGTTCATAGAAATTTACAATCAGAAGCTAAATGGTATTTATTTTTATGTTGACATAAAAAGCCAGACCTTGACCAAGGTTTAGAGATTACGAACAGGTCTATTTTGATATAACTTGAAAAAATTCTAATAGTAGCTTCCATCAGTGTAAATCCATTACAGGAGAGAATGACCACTCACTTAGGATGCTGTCCTAAGAATTTCTTTATGGGTAAAAGCTTGTTTTTGAAAGCTCTTAATCGATTCTATGATTGAGTAATTCTATGATACAGCCATGTAATTTTATGCAAGATGAGAAGATGTTAAAATGAATATTTGGCCTGAAATGGAATGACAATTGAGTGGCATAGGGTACAGTCAGTATGAGAGGTGTGTGGTGATGGGTCATTTCCACAACACTTTGTGTATCATGATTATAGCACAACAAGAAAATTATAGGCATCATAAATATACATCTATTGTCCACCTTCTAAGTACACACTAACATGATAGTTTTCCCACTCAAGTGATGGGGAAAATGTTACATGCTGACTTGCAGGTTATTGTTTTGTGCAAGTCAGCTAATGCAGAAGAATTAGAAACTTGTAGACTTGAAACTACATATTTGTTCATCCTTTTTCCTCATTAACAATGACCAGCCTCTTGATAATTAAAATTGTCCTTATTATTTCTTTTATAATAAATGACTTGGAAACAAAATGTAGATACATTTGGTCACCATTATGTCATACATCTGGATGTAACAACACCAAAAAATAAAAATAAAAATAACAAAACTAAAAAAATTCATTTGATATCATAAGATGCTGGCTTACAAAATGTCAAATCCCCATTTGGCCAAATGTTATATGTCATAAATTTCCAACTTTAGTTTTAAAACATAAGTAGTGCTCAGTTGCCCTTTCAGTTGTGATATTGAAGTTGCAAGGCATTCTCTCTGTGATATTACTTTTGCTTGGAGTTTAAGAATTCAATCCTTAGAGTATTTGCTGTAACTTATGGTGATTACGTGTGATTTCTGACCCAATGAGGCTGCTGTGTAAGTCAGCTAATTACAACCTAACCTCTGACAGCTAATTGGTAAACAAAACATTGAGAAGGTTTGAAATATTAAATTAGGTATTGAATTACCTTCAGTGCCATTAGCACATTGTATTGTTGAACACTGATTTCAGTAAATGAAAATCTAAGCACAATGAAACATAAAAGACCAAAATGTTAAAAAATACTAATCATACAGATTATCCTATGCAGGCACTTAAATTACCACTCCCGTTTTATAGTTATTATCATACCTCTATAATCCATGTCCCTTTACAAGGCTATTCAAGCTATAATACATGACAGGCAGTGCATTGCTCTGCTATTTATCAGGCGCCTTGGGTCACGTTATATGGCATAAGACTAAAGGCAGTATGACTTAAACCACCCAAGAAGTGCAATAATCCCTAACAAATGCACAGCCTGGAGTATCTTATTGCTGATATGAAATGAAATTCATACATTAAACTGAGAAAAATTGTCAGGCCCAGAGCATTTATTGGGAATAATAAACATGTCTGTCTATTCATTGATGCATTTTTCTGGCCTATAGGAATAGGAAGTGATTGTTCCAGCCCTACAGATTATCTACTGTGTCTGACATGCAAACTGCATCAATCTTGTTGGTTTCAGACTTCCTCAACCATCACAAAAAAACAAACCATTATACCAACACCTTTTAAACTAGTGGATTTATTTCCCTGACATTCTCCTGGTTTTGCCTAGGTTTGATTTTAGTAATGATCCATATAGAGTGGAGAAAAACATCAGGTCCCACAAGTAATAAAAATGCATTTATAGAATATAGTCCAAATATACCTAGAGAAGAGTATACTTACATTGCCTGCCTGGATCATGGTAAGCTGAGAGCAGTAATGAATGGAAATATATCCAGTTTGAGGGAGGCACTGTGGAGAGAGCATCAGTAGAGGAGCCAGCTTTATTTAATACCTTTATTAATGAGCTGAAAGAGGGAGGGAACCACACACTAATGAAAACATTAAGCAACACTGAATTGGAAGTTGTTGCAAGTACTAGTGAGAAGAGGAAAAAAATAAAAATCCAATAAAAGAAGTTAGAGCTGTCAGCAAAAAATAAGTAACTTAAATTTAGCTTGGAAATGTATAGATACATTCATTGGGGAAAAATAACTTGTAAACCACTGCCTATGACAAAGAAAAAAAAAACTACTGGAAAAGGTTGCAAATTTGGATTTTCTCATGTTGAATTTCACAAGTGGCACCAAACATCCAGTTTTCCTGACTGTTTTGTTTCCTCTGAGTATCTTAATATTATAAACCAAGTGACTGTTATTCCATTTTTTAGTAATCAGTGATTTTTGTTACCTCTACAATAGTAATTTCTTTTGTCTAGCATCATTACTGTCAAATATTATTCTAAAGGTTAAGTCTCAATGTCAAGGCTCTATAAATATTACAAAGAAAAAGAAGCCTTCATACTTGGGCAAATTATATACATATTATGTATATATATAGAATATATATATACATAATATATATATTATATATATATAAAGAAAGAGAGTGTAAGAATCACTCAGAATATACATACAGTTTCAGAAAACCCAAAATAAAAATACCTATGTACAAACTGAATGCTTGCATTCACATAGGTTCACGTTACAAGGGACAAGTTTTATTTTAAATTTCTTTTGTTCATAATGTGTGTGTTTCTTTGTGTGTGTGTGTGTGTGTGTGTGTGTGTGTGGTGTATATATAAAGACATTTACTTTAGGGTTCATTTACAAAGCAATTCCCGCCAAGGTATGCTTAATGTTGTATGTGATGCTTCCCTCCTCTCCAGCACACATCTACACACCAATCCAAGGAACAAAGCAAAAGAAAACAAAACAAAAAACCCTGAACTATTCTATATCAGCATGTTGTGTTTACTGAGGAGTACTTTTTCTCCCTAATATAGATCAGCACCACTCTTACTCCATATGGAAAATAGTATGCTCACACACAGAGATGCCTTTATTTACAATCACCAAAATGTAAAACATTCTTCTGAAGGTCAAGAGAGCCTGTGATGTCACTGCCCAAGAACCACAGCCTGAATAATTGATGGCTTATGGGACAGAAGCCTAAAATTTGGGTTTGCTAACTTCAGAAGACACTGATATAAATTTGTCATATTTTATGTGAAGAGAAGTAGGCCCTGAATAGATAGGGCAAAGACTAGAATTCTAGAACTCTTGACTTCCTGTCTAGCTTCCTTTACAAGAGTCTGATTTACAAACCTTATGAAAGTCGACTCTGCCAGAATCACACCACAAATTTGCAACAAAACCCAGATCTAGCATCCAGTGTATTTCTACTATTTAAAGATGTTTCCCTGACATATTTGGTCTTTGAAAACCACAACAATCTACATACACAACTGAAGTACTCAGCCAAATTAAATCAGCTAAATCTTTCATCAGTCAATTGTCTTCAGTTAAAAAAAATTAGTATTCAAAAATATTAATTGATAGAATTGGACCATTCATCAGGCTTGGCAATTTCATCTAAAGGGTCAGATAAACAGATTATATGTGAACGGTTATTTGCTGAGAAACACTCTTATTCACCACTTCATAAAATTATATATTTTAAAAATCTGCTTCAGGCTCTGAAACAAATTGTTGGACGTTTGCGGAAATGTTGTTGCAAAATGAACGGATTTGTCACCAAACAAGAAACACATAATCAGACCGGCTGAATGTGCCCTAATTAGATCTCAGCCTTGGGTTGACACTGACACATGTGTTGTGCCATGTTCTCGGGGAGCTGAAGTCTCATTATATGGGTGGTCAGGACTATTGCTATTTTGCTATTATAATTTGACTGCATTTGTTTGAAGTGTGCTTCATTTTTTTTCTTTTCCTTAACTTCAGCCTGAGTAAATGAGATAGAATTATAAGTAATTCATAGAAAGGTTTAGCATACAAAAACTTTGAAATGCATTGTAGTGATGCATCAAATACAACATTGAATAAACACCAAAGTAAGCCAACAGTTAACTAGAAAAATAAGATTGAAATTCTAAGATTAAAATAACAAGCTTACATTAAATTACCTCACTCAGTGTTTAAGCATTTGATAGTTTCAAAAATTATTTTTCTCTCCAAACACTTAAAGGTAATTCTCAATTTTGTCTTAGGTGTTATGAAGTTTGTTGGAGCCACCAGGACTAGAAGATCATCATGGGGTACTAGGGAAATAAATATCTCAAGTGTGCATTTAAGGAGTATCCACATATGTTGGAAAAACTAAAGGATGGAAAGTATCATGTCCCAAATCAGTGGACCTTGAGAAATAAGCTTGGGTTGAACCCTGACTGACTGAGAGTGTAAACACCTACTGAAATCTTCCTCAGAGGATAAACAGCTGGATGATCAGGGACACACGAATCATCAGGGATGGATGCTTTGCTGGATAGAAAGGTACTTAGTTCTAGCAAGGTCTCAGGTTCACATGTACCACTCTAAAATTTGAGATAGTCCAGCACTGTTATTCTATATTAACTATGAAAAAGTATAACTATCAGATTAAATTTGCCTTTCAAGTAAACCTAAAGTTTTACTTCTTTGTCAATTTAACAACTGAATGGTGGTTGGCACACATACTCAAAGGGGTAAATTGTATGTATTTTTACAGTTTTTCAAGGAGATTAAGTCAACGAATAGAGGTTAGTGAGGGATGTGTTTATATTGAGGAAACACTAAAGGTCACAGAAGAACTAGATGAACACAAGAGAAAATAACAGACAAGAAAATCAGAGAGAATATTATTAGAGAGACACAAATGGCATATGAAAGCAGAACTTCATTCCACATTAGAGTAGTCAATATTGCAGAGTACATATAGACTATTGTACTGCATGAATGTGGATCATCTTTCAAAAGATACAGGTTTGCCATCAGGTACATTGCTTCACACATACTGGCTTCTTTCCTTTTCAAGTCAGGAAAAGGGAGGTGATAGGCTATTAAATAGGTAGTAAACTCCAGATTATGGCTTGCAGTGTGGAGTCCTGAGTCACCTTGAAAATATAATTTCCTTAGTTCTACACCCACCTGAGAAATTGTTTCATGGTATTAATTAAGAGATTTCTAAATTTCATGTATTAATTACTACTTCACAGAGGGTGAAAATCTACATGGCTAAGATCCACATTTGAAGCCTCTTAAACCCACCAGGCTTGCAGTTTGCAAAGGAGGTACCTAAATAGGGCAAACAATCCTCTCAATCAAAAGAACTTTGTTAAATGAATAAATGAGAGAAGAAAAAACTAGTGTCCTATTTTATGAAATATTAAGGCTCTTGTTGCAAATTACTTAGTTTACCTAAGGACTGAGTTAATAATAATGAACACTGTGCAGCTATGTATCTTCAATCCCTTCAGAGGCATTGCACAAGGACAGAATATTTCCACAAGAGTTCTGCTTGATTGAGAGTAAAAAGACCCCTTCAAAATGCTGTTGACCTCAGAGGAATTATGTGATCTCCATTTGCAAGGCCAGTGTTCATCTTATTTTGTTAACTGACTCATTGAAAGAGTGATACAAATGGAGAATATTTAAGTCAGCAACAAACAAGGAAGACTCTAAGATAACCTCAGTTCATCAAGCTTCTTAACTTTCCCCAGTTGCTTTGCGGGCAATAACTAGTCATGAATTGCCTTACATTCCAGGCATCTTAAAATCTTAGCAGAAGCAAGCATATATCACACAATGTCTCCTAACTATTATGTTACATATTTTCTCCTCATAGAAATGATCATTAAGTGAAGCTTAGGTAATCTGCTACTCAACAACTGGCAACAAACTATCACATTCAATTCAACTAGTACTTACCCTGAGTTGACTGATTTCCCAGCCCTGTGCAAGATGTCAGCTCTGTGACTTTAGGCTGGTAATCTGAATTCACCCGCAACCCCTGCCTCCTCATTAATGAAGTGAAACTGTACTTCAGTGACTTCCTATCTCTGTTCCTCAGAGTTCTGGGGATTCTCTACACAAATGTCAATCTAGATAAAGTGAATAGATTGGGATAAGTAGTTTACAGAGCTCTAGTCTGTTCTAACTCTAGGCTTCTATGTTTGAACCAAAGGGCTGCCATTTTAAAATATTGAAAAGCTACTCAAATTATCTTTCAAGTTTCTCTCAATTAGCATAAATGAGTAATACAAATAGAAGATTTGTGCAATATGATCTATGCTCTCAGGTGGTTCTCAGATGCAATTGATTCAAATAACCATTACAATGAAAATAAACCCAAAGGAAATAGTAGAATATTCCAGACCTTCTAATAAAAAGAGCTCATGGCCAGGTGTGGTGGCCAATGTCTGCAATCTCAACATTTTCGCAAGCTGAGGCAGGAGGACTGCTTCAAGTCAGGAGTTCAAGACCATCTGGGCAATATAGTGATACGCCATCTCTAGAGCAAATAGAAAAATTGGCCAGGTGTGCTGATACAGTCCTAGCTGCTTGGGAGGTTGAGGCAGGGGGATTGCTTGAGCCCAGGAATTCAAGGCTGCAGTGAGTCTTGAGCCATGATTACACCACTGCACTCTAGCCTGGGCAACAACGCAAAACTCTGTCTCAAAAATAAATAAATAAATAAAGGAGCTCAGTCTTTTAGGTCAGATGACAAAGACTTTATGTATAATACATAAGAGATGTATAATAGTAAGGAAAGAAGACTTCAGCAAGAATAGATAGGGAGAGCTGGCCCAGGAAAGGGAGAATGGGAGGATGGATTGTGTGAGGAGCTGCAGTAGAAAACACAAAAGAGAATGTAGAATGTTAGAGAGAAATGGAAATGACTGGTATGGAAACTGTACAGCCTACCCAAACATATCAGTGGGAAGATATGTTGCCCAGAAGCTCCCCAGTCAAACACTAGTGAGCATTGCAATAAAAATAAGGAAGACTCCAGGGTCTTGAAGAAAAGCTTGAGGAAATTAGTCTGGCTGAGGTTATTAGACAGTGCAAAGAGGGGAGGGGATATAGCTAAGAGAATGTGTGGCAACCTGGCTCGAGGCTTATGCGTGAAATGTACAGGAAAGAATGAACCACTGCTTCATTGGGATGGCATCATTTTTAACTGAAACCCACTGTATTATCTAAGCCTCTTCGGTTTCTTATTCACTATTGAGCAAATGTTTTTTTCTATCCCCCTACTCAAAGAAATGGTTTATACAGGTTATGTATCATGGACCATAACAATAGTACACAAGCTCTTGAAATCTAGTGATTAGTGGGTAACAAGCCTGGTTAAGACTTGACCTTTTCATCATGCCCACATTCTCATATGGTTTTCTCATAGGCAAAGAATGTATTGTCACGTTTCCATTTCCTGATATGTAAATGACTAATTTATACATTCTGACTACATGAGTGAATGAGATGAGCAATCTAGGAAAACATGTTTATAAAATGTGTGGCTAATACACTGCTTACCCTAAATGATAAGCATTATTTCATTAGATAGTGATAATTTCCAAGAATCACTGGGGGAAAGAAAGACTGAGCTTGTTTTGTTGTGGTTGGTTGGTTGGTTGGTTGGTTGGTTGATTTATTTTTTTTTTAACCTTAGCTTTTTAAGGTGAAGCAATTTGTTAAGGATGAAAATTAATTAGCACCGAGGACAAGTTTGAACTAGGGATTATATCTGGCATCTGAAAATGGATATAACAAGGGAAATTTTATAATGCTATTAATACTAACTAACAACAGAGACAACATTAACTGAGTGGCTATTAAGTATTAGGGAAAGCTAAGCTTCATAATGACATAGGTTGCGTTTTTCTTCATTATAGATTGAAAGAATCAAATGCTTAAATAGATTTAATAATTTGCTTAATTTAAGCCCCAAATCATAAGAGGTGGAGCCATCTTTTTGTTCAAGGGGTGTCAAACTCCAGAATCTGTGTTCCTAATCACTTCAAAACATACAAAGTGCTACCTAAAATGCAATATTAAAAAGGGATGTGGCCGGGCGCAGTGGCTCACGCCTGTAATCCCAGCACTTTGGGAGGCCGAGACGGGCGGATCACGAGGTCAGGAGATCGAGACCATCCTGGCTAACACGGTGAAACCCCGTCTCTACTAAAAATACAAAAATTAGCCGGGCATGGTGGCGCGCGCCTGTAGTCCCAGCTACACGGGAGGCTGAGGCAGGAGAATGGCGTGAACCCGCGAGGCGGAGCTTGCAGTGAGTCGAGATCGCGCCACTGCACTCCAGCCTGGGCGACAGAGCAAAACTCCGTCTCAAAAAAAAAAAAAAAAAAAAAAGGGATGCATCCATATAGTTCAGTTGTGTCTAGGAAAGATGGACCTCTATGTGTGTGTGTGTCTGTGTGTGAGTGAGTGAGAGGGTCAGAGTATGCAGCCAGACAGGAATAGGCAATTTAGCAAATTTCAACACTTGGGAACAGAAGTTGATTTAAAAAAAAAAAAAAAAAGCAGGCTTCTTTTCAAAACTCCTCTTGTCCTAGAGGTAAATGTAGGGGCAGAGGAGGAAAGCAAACAGAATCCAAACACATCTGAGGATGAGGGTTTACCCAAGATAGAAACTAAAATGAAGACCAGGCTGTTTGGAGGTAGGACTGAGGTCAGACTAAAGTGCTGTGAATCAGCCTTAAGGATGCCCGTGGTGCATGGGACACCAGGCCTTCTGGCACGAAGGCTTTAGTGACTGCTATCGATCTATCAGCCTCACCAGTGTTCTAATGATGACTGGTTTCCTGGTCCCAATTTTTTTCTTTTATTCCTATGGTTACTACTTGAGTAGCTGTGTTACAATCCAATTCCACCCAGTGGTCATTTATCAGTGTTCCAGATATGGACAGCCAACTAGACCTTAGCTAATCTTTATAACAGGAAAAAGTCAGCAAAAGAACAAGTGAGTGGTGCCCAGGAGATGCATTTTCATTTCTTAAGAATATCAGGCACTTTTCACAAACTGAATTCTTCTGAATCTGCTTTGCCTGCAACTCACAGCTGAGATCAAGAAAGACCAAGGAAGTTTTCTACCTCTAGGCTCTATTCTGCATCAGGTCTGTATCCTGATGAAACATAACATTCATCCAACATCAGATCTGTGCTTTCTTTGCCAACCTCTAACTTAGTGGAACGTTGTAAAAAGTTATCCATTGGCTGGGTGCAGTGGCTCATGCCTGTAATCCCAGCACTTTGGGAGGCCAAGGCAGGCCAATAATGAGGTCAAGAGATCGAGACCATCCTGACAAACATGGTGGAACCCATCTCCACGAAAAATACAACAATTAGCCGGGTGTGGTGGCATGCACCTGTAGTCCCAGTTACTAAGGAGGCAGAGGCAGGAGAATTGCTTGAACCCGGAAGGCGGAGGTTACAGTGAGTCGAGATCACGCCACTGCATTCTAGCCTGGAGACAGAGCAAGACTCCGTCTCAAACAAACAAACAAACAAACAAACAAAAAAACAAGTTATCCATCTAGACCTAGACCTAGAACTGAGAGTCCAGCCAGACACGGATCCCCTTTTTGAACCTTTGGGTTTCTGACACTAACATTGGCTGCAAATCCACCTGTGCTTCCTTGTCATCAGACTGTACACTCCCTCTTGCCTCATTTGCCTAAAATTGGACTTCTGTTACCTTGGAGTTCCAAACAGTTACTTTGACTGATTTCTTATTGCTGTGTTAGCATAAGAATTATGCACCAAAATCAAACTTTGATTTAGGGAACCAACTCTGCTCTTCTTAAGCCTTTTTCCTCCTGTGAATAGAGAAGAGGTCCTGACCCAGAGCCCAGGGTATAGAGTCTGCTGCCAAGTAGAAAAGATCTACTGATTACTGCTGTTTTCACAGACTCCCAGTACCGAATAGCACTTACCTTATTTGAACTCCACACTCCACCTCAAGTTCCTTCACTGACTCTTACCTGAATCTGGACAAGCACTCTTAGTAAGCCAATTCCCTTAAAAGTCCCAACACCCTGCATGCTTTCAATCAGTAAGTGTGACTGAGGTGAAAAGATTGTGTTTAGACAAACAGTGGGCTGTGTTCTGTTGGACTGAAAGCTGGTGAGGCTGTCAGTTTGTACCTGACTTTTAGGAGCTTGCAGTCTACTTAAAAGGTAAAAGTAAAATTGAATTGATAGGACACCTTATAATTATGTGTCAAAAAGCCTGTATTGGGATTTTCTAGAGAAACAGAATCAATAGGTTGCAGAGAGAGAGAAATGTAAGAGATTTATTATACAAATTGGTTTATCTGAAAACGGATGCTAAGAAGTCCACAATCTGCTATTGGCATGCTAGAAGAAACAGGAAAGCTGGTGGTGTAATTCAATCTAAGGCTGAAGGCCTGAGAACTGGGGATGAGGGTGGATGAGTTGGGAGGAAGTCATGGAGTAAGTCCTGGTTTGAGTCCAATCCCGAGAATCAGGAACACCTATATCCCAGAATGGGAGAAGATGGATGTCCCAGCTCAAACAAAGATAAAGCAATTTGCTCTTCCATTTCTTTGCTTCCCCCCCACCCCCAAAATCTGGTCCCTCAACTGATTGGATGATGTCCACCCACTTCGGTAAGGGAAGACTTGTTTATTTAATCTACCTATTCAAGAGCCAATCTCTTCTGAACTCTCTGGCAGACACACCCAGAAATAATATTTTACCAGCTGTCTGGGCATTCCTTAATTCAGTCAATTTCGTAGGTAAAATTAACCATCATGAAGGCCAAAATATATTGTATCTGTGTGAGGCTGGAAATATTTGAAGGATTTGAAGAAACTGTCTTGATGACGACTCCATTCTTGAAAGCTAGACTCTGCTGAGTGTTACACCTTTAAGGAATAAACTATTTTACAGATGAGGAACCACAGGCTTAAAGGTTAACTGTTTTTCCCCAGATCATACAGCCAGTGCAAGTTAGGCCTGAGAATTAATCCTACTTTCCTTTCTCCTATGCTGTCTGGAAAAAAACAAAACAAGCAAACAAAATCTTAATGATGGAACTTCAAGAAAAATACAATTTAAATTGTTTGAAAATATGAACAAAAGGAATATGATTTGAACCCATATGGCTTTGTCAACGTTAATCAGTCATTTGTGCCAGTCAATTCTCATTCAAATGGAAGAGACTAGTGTGTGATTTATTGAACAGTCTGTCATTTCTACTAATTCCATTAGGACTCTAATGGTAAGTATTACCTGGCAACTGCAGCAAGAATCCAGAAGCTCATGGGCATCGGTTCTGGGCAAAATGTGGCCCTGGGTGATTGGGAAAGAAAGCCAGACCTATTCAGTGAAGAACCAATTAGTTCTACCCTCACCACTTTCTCATCTGCAAATGGCTTTTTTCCCTTTCTCCAGCTGTTATCTGTTTTTCAGCTTACAGTTTCTCTAATGAGGTATTTGGTACTTAATCTTTCAGAATAATGAATGAGTCAGTCTCTCTGCAAAGGTGGTTCCTGTCCTGGGAGCACTGTGGCAGCTCGTCAGGATGCCAGCCTATTGTTTGTTAGGTTTCTATAAGGGCAGCCCCCATGAATGTGTCTGACATTGAGATTACATTGCCCAACAAAGGTAGGGGGGCGGCCCTGGGAATGGCAAGGCTGTGAAGACACACACTTTGCCCCAACAAATATAAAGAATTAAAGCCACATGTTAATCTCTCAAGAGAAGTGAACTTCTTGGCATAGACCATTCTACAAATCAGACTTATCAATAAGAAAATAACTGCTCAGCTTGTTTAAATGCCTGTGTATGCACAGGTACCTATTATTTCAAAGCCACATAGTTTAGACACTAATCACAGTGGCTATTAAAATATAAATAAATAAAAATTAAATTAAATTAAATTGTTGATTTATTTCCTCAGTTGCACCAGTCATTTTAAGTTTGTGATGGCCATGTATGAGGAAAGGCCACTCACAGATACAGAACATTTTCACCATTTTCCAAAGTTGTGCTGGACAGCACTTTTCTAGAAAAATAAGCGAATAAATTTACCATCCTCAATGACTACTCCAGTAATCATATCAAACACATAGTGTTATAAATAATAAGCAATTTGTACATGTTCTGTCTAATCAAGGGACAGAAATCTAGCATTTATCACCAAACACAAGACATTTAAAAATCATACACTTATGTCCCTGAGTCTAGAGAATAATCCATGTAATTTCCCCACTAAATAAGCCACTGTATACAACAAAGATAAGGAACTGTCTATTTTTCAATACCATTTACAAAACAAAAATCTGTAAACCCTCATCCCATGCTATGGTCTCAAGTTCATCTGAAACACAGTAACCTGACAAGGGAGTTTGATAATAAAATTAGCATGGAATTTGGAATATGTACTTAAAAAGCTCTGCAAAATATTCTTTTTCATGTTACAATCTGAGAATGTTCACTGTAAAGTCAGAGAGAAATGAACTCTTGGTCTCTCATATATATTTCTCAAAATAAGACCAAGTCAGACTTCCTGGGTTTGAATCTTGGCTCAGCTGCCTACAACTGTGTTGACCTTGGGCAAGTTGCTTTTCCTGAATCTCTCCAGCAGAAGTTTCCTTCCATATCATTGGTGAGGTTTGGCTGTCATATGTCCTTGAGTGAACTCAGAGCAGGCAAAGCTGAATAAATGGTCATGAATGCTTAGACTAATTAGCTTTCATCACACAGCAGAAGAAAGAGCCAGGGAGGATACAATCATCCAATATTAAACAAGGTTAGAAATCTTTATCAAGGAGGAAGCTAGGTGGAATGGCTCTTAGGATATAACCAACAGTGTCTGGCAAAGAATCTTGCTGCTTGGTGCTCAAACATGGGATATTATTGCTAATCCTACATGACAGATGAGTATAGCAAACCTCTGAACTGTTTCATATACTTGCCGAAGTCTACATAGCTTCTTGGCAAGAGATTTACAAACAGCAGCATTGTCTACTCAATCAAGGTGCCTTTCTTCTACAGTTACATCAACAACTTCCATTGGCTTGCTTTTCTTCTCTTGTCACAATGTTTTACCTTTTATATGTCCTTCCTCTTTTCCTTTTATATTTTATGTGAGGACATCAACTTTGCATATTTCCCAAGTCCATCTCTCCCTCACCTCCCTGATACCAGGCTCAAAAATATACTTTGAATTTTTCCTTTTCCCCCTTTTCTTTTAGTAGCAAACGTGGGATTTTTAAGTTAGACACTTGATCTTAGTCATTAAACATGAAAACAGATAATCCTATGCTGCATTTAGGAATATATGTGTGTGTGTGTGTGTGTGTGTGTGTGTGTGTGTATGTGCATTTTTTTACCAACAGAATAAAATGAAAGAAACCCAAGCCTTCCTTCATTATTCAGGCTTAGGAAGAATATTTGTAAGTAGGAGGAAATCTGACATCTCTTCATCTTCAGTGGGGAAACCATACCGCACTCTTTTGAAGAAGTGGTGGGAGCACCAAACATAAAAAGGCATCTTTACTAAAGGAAAGAAAGCCAATACCCCAGGAGTTAGAAACCTCAAATCCATTATAGGTTTTGCAACCGTCTGGTTGCATTTCGAAACCTCATATTTATGAGCTCGCTCTCAGCTTTCCAGCTGTCCCAGGCGATGGCCTAAAAGGAAGATGATAGCTTCAGGTGGGGAATGAGGAGCAGATGGGGATGGTCACTTAAGGCATGGGGTCCTGTTATCATCACCATGCATTTGATTCCTTAATTATTAAGGAATGAGGGTAGAGAAATTAAGAGAATGTAATGAGCATTTTCAAATAGGCTGTGTTTTTGTAAAGTGCCCATGAGGAAGCACCTGTTCTGGTTACATTCTTTACTGCAAAAATGTTTTGAGGCTTTTGTTCATTTCTTTTTGCTTGTTTCAAATTGTTTCTAGGAGGCAATTTTATCTTTGATCATTTAATTCTGGTAACAAGGGTTGTATTGTCCTCAAAAAGGCAAAACATCGTGAAAAACTCCATTTGACTGATTGTATATTGTTGTAGGTAGTCTATAACAAGAATTACAACTATGCCATATAGGGTGAGTCACCTTAAATTTCTTGGCTTTTATATTTATTTGCAAGGTAGAGATAATACTCAGGCTTGTTATGTACCCAAGCTCACTCTCAAGGATAGGGCAGATTAGAGGAGATGATTTGAACATTGTACACTGAGATGAAAATTATAGTTTTACCCTTCATGTGGGTTAACTGATATAAGAAGTTTAAATATACTATAAAAAACATGACAACAAGTATGTACGTCTCCAAATTTTGTCTTATATTTTGTCCAGTCATCTCATAGATGCCCACTGTTTCATGCAATACAATTGGTAGTATGGCTACTCTGTAGTGTCCACCTTTGCAACGGGGAATAAATGATTTAAAATGCAAGTTCTTCTTTGTACAAAAAGCTGCTTCTGAGAACATGCAAAGATATGTGTCCACCCTCAGATCATGAGAACATGAGACAATGGAACTAGATTTGAAGGCTTACAGACATGGTAGAGAAGATATAAAAAGAAATGGCCAACGGAACAGAACAGAGACCTCAGAAATAATACCACACATCTACAATCATCTGATCTTTTACAAACCTGACAAAAACAAGAAATGGGGAAAGGATTCCCTATTTAATAAATGGTGCTGGGAAAACTGGCTAGTCATATGTGGAAAGCTGAAGCTCGATCCCTTCCTTACACCTTATACAAAAATTAATTCAAGATGGATTAAAGACTTAAATATTAGACCTAAAACCATAAAGACCCTAGAAGAAAACCCAGGCAATACCATTCAGGACATAGGCATGGGCAAGGACTTCATGTCTAAAACACCAAAAGCAATGACAACAAAAGCCAAAATTGACAAATGAGATCTAATTAAACTAAAGAGCTTCTGCACAGCAAAAGAAACTACCATCAGAGTGAACAGGCAACCTACAGAATGGGAGAAAATTTTTGCAATTTACTGATCTGACAAAGGGCTAATATCCAGAATCTACAAAGAACTCAAACAAATTTACAAGAAAAAAAAAGCCATCAAAAAGTGGGCGAAGGATATGAACAGATACTTCTCAAAAGAAGACATTTATGCAGCCAACAGACACATGAAAAAATGCTCATCATCACTGGTCATCAGAGAAATGCAAATCAAAACCACAATGACATACCATTTCACACCAGTTAGAATGGCGATCGTTAAAAAGTCAGGAAATAACAGATGCTGGACAGGATGTGGAGAAATAGGAATGCTTTTACACTGTTGGTGGGAGTGTAAACCAGTTCAACCATTGTGGAAGACAGTGTGGTGATTCCTCAAGGATCTACAGCTAGAAATACCATTTGACCCAGCCATTCCATTACTGGGTATATACCCAAAGGATTATAAATCATGCTAATATAAAGACACATGCACATGTATGTTTATTGCAGCACTATTCACAATAGCAAAGACTTGGAACCAACCCAAATGTCCATGAATGATAGACTGGATTAAGAAAATGTGGCACATATACACCATGGAATACTATGCAGCCATAAAAAATGATGAGTTCATGTCCTTTGTAGGGACATGGATGAAGCTGGAAACCATCATTCTTGGCAAACTATCACAAGGACAGAAAACCAAACACCACATGTTCTCACTCATAGGTGGGAATTGAACAATGAGAACATTTGGACACAGGGTGGGGAACATCACATATCAGGGCCTGTCGTGGGGTGGGGGGCGGGGAGCATTAGGAGAAATACCTAATGTAAATGACGAGTTAATGGGTGCAGCAAACCAGCATGACACATGTATTACCTATGTAACAAACCTGCACATTGTGCACACGTACCCTAGAACTTAAAGTATAATAACACCACCAAAAAAAAAAAAAAAAAAAAGAAAGAAAGAAAGAAAGAAAAGAAAAAAAAAGAAAAGAAATGGCCAGTAGGGGCCACTAACTGTGCATTATGGAAAAGTATGGGACATAAATTGGCCTTGAAAGATTGCAATGAATCTATTAGGTCTGTGCAGCAGTGATTGCGGTTTTTGTCATTACTTTTTACTGCAATTACTGTTGTACCAACCTAATAGCAGACAAGAAGGTGCAGCCTAGGTGGGAAGAATTGCTGAAGAGCAGAAGCATGACATGAACAAAAGTCAAGTGCATACAGGGTACAACAAAAAAGCAATTTTTGTGTTTGTTTATAATCTCAGAAATGCATTTTGGGGCCCAAATTTGTATTAACTTTCATCAACTGAATTGACACTGAAGGCAAAATAAAATTTGGGCTTTTTCCTTGATTTTCTTTAAGATGCTTGACATTTGACATTTGCTCAGCAAAATGATTGTTTTTAACGTTACTCTGATGAGGTATTTTATACTAAATTTCAAGGTTACTATGAAAATACTAAACTTATTACAGTCTTTTAATTAGTTTATTATAATCATTTTGATAATGGAGACATTGGGAAAAAACAATAATCTATCTATCTTCTAAAATATATTACCATGCCGTTCATGCCCTGTGAACTTTATAGGACAGAAGTTGGCAAAATACAATCTGTAAGCCATATCCAGCCTTTTGCTTTTTTCTGTAAATAAAGTTTTCTTGAAATACAGCCACAGTCATTCATTTGCATAGTTTATAAGGGTGCTTTTATGCTAGAACTGCAGAATTGAGTTGAGAATTGAGATTGAGTATGTGGTCTACAAAACTTAAAAATATTTACTACCTAGACTTTTACAAGAAAAGTTCACCAACCCCTGCTATAAATGGTAGCACAAGTTAGCACTATGAAAAAAAGACAAATTGGGCAACTAACAAATTGACCGATTTTTAAGGTAGACAAATACAATACTGGACTCCATTCTCTTTTTATAATGTGGCCTCTTTCTTTTCTCTCTTTCTCGCTCTCTTCTCTCCCTCACTTTCCTTAGAAGGCTTGCTTTTTCCTACCATCTCTTATCCACTAATACCATAAAAGAGCAAAATTAGCACAGGTAGAAAATAGGAGACAGTGCTGATGATGACTTGTTCAAATAAGAAAATGTTTGGATACATTCCAGGTGTGAAGTGGCATACACTGATAAAATGAACTTGCCAAATGAAATAGATTTGATTATAAATTTCCAAATCTGGTTACATTTTTATAAATTTTATATGTCTTCTGTAATTTTATTTTTCTCACAAAATCTACTGGTGCAACTCAGCTGATAATTGCATATGCCATATATGGATAAATTTTGTGTCTTGAAGTCAGACAATCTTTCAAAATGATTTTCCAGCCAGCCATTTCTTATTTGGCTCTTAGGAAAGTCTTAGACTCTCTAGGGGGGAAATAAATATGTAATGGTATAATTAGGCTAGAACTGTTCATGTTTCTCCCATAATATTGTCCGACTATGCCATAGTCTAAAAATGGAAATAGGTTGATTGAAGAACCTGACAAGAATGATTTCTGTGGACTGTTTCATGTTGCATTCAGTCTCATGAGATAGTCTCCTAAATTAAAGATTCCCCTGTAGTTTCACCCAAACTTTTCTTGATGTGTTTTTTCCTGCTCTTTCATACTTTTAGGCAGAATAGGAAACTACCTAGGTAATTTGACTTAAAAGATATAAGAAATCTTTCCAGCCTATAGATGCATCTCACAGCCTGTTCCAGAAACCAAAACTCTGTTAAATAGATTGTCTCTTAGTACAAAGGAGCCAGTGGAGGAGTGGGGAACAAATAGAGTTCATTGATACATGACTAGGCTTGGGACACCCCACTGCCCACTGTCTTACCCTAAATTTCCTCTTTTTCCCAAGCCATAGTTTCTCTACATGTAAAACTGATGTATATATAATAATTATCTTGAAGAGTGTTTTAAATATCAAATTAGATAATGTATGTGAATGGCCCATTATAAATTATGAAGTTATAATTAAGGCATTGTTTCTCTAAGTGTCCCATTTCAAATCCCAGCTGTCTCATGGAGGTGGGCAGGATTCTCATTGTGGTGGTGTAATTTTATTAGATCTTTTTTTTTTTTCTTCACAGTTAAGGGCAGGCCAGTGAACAATGATCCTGTAAGGGTGAAAAAGGTAGTAGACAGACAATGTGAGGGTAGGGCACTTCATATAGGAAAACAAGAAA
The DNA here is from genome assembly GCF_000001405.40 of Homo sapiens. Lineage (NCBI taxonomy): Eukaryota > Metazoa > Chordata > Mammalia > Primates > Hominidae > Homo > Homo sapiens. The sequence continues at coordinate 40,361,128 of NC_000018.10, read as the reverse complement.
ATGTAATTTTGAGATAAAGTATAAAAACAGGGTTGGGTAATAGGGAGAGAACATGAGCCCACAGCCACTGTATACAAGCTTCACCTAATTCAAAATTTTACCAAAGAGAAGTCCTAATTATAACTACTGTTTTTGTTGTATCCAAGAAAAGGATATTGAATCTAATTTGTCACATTTGGTTTTAACCAAATGGGGAGACTTCAGTTTAAAAAAATTAATTTCGTAGGGAATGGATGAGCCTCAGGAATATAACTCTGCCCTTGCATAAATCAAAAGGTGAAAAAAAGAACAGAAGGGCAGACTTGCCAAATGCTTATAAATCACATGAGCCACCAAATAAGCTGCATTCCTAATAAAGGCATGCAGGAGCCCAGGCAAGAGGCATGCAAATCATTCTGAATGTAAATCACAGTAAGTGGGTGCTAATAAATTTCAGCCTGACTGAAATGGCAAAATTTCAGAGGAATTAGTGGAAGGTGGGAATATTTGGAAAGCAGATGGAATACCGTTAATCATCTGATCAAGTACAACTGGACCCTATAAATTATTTTAACACATTTTCTGTAGTTTTCTGCATTATCAGGGAATCATTCCCACACTAGGTACATTTTCTAAGTCTAAATTAAACTTTATTTTATATGAATTCCCTCCATATTAGAAAACTCCCCACACTTTCTATAAAGTCTCCAGTTTGCGATTGAGTCCATTGTTCTGCAGGTGCCTGTTACTAGAATTGCCTTCCTGCTTTTTTTCAACACTATTGAATCTCAAAGCTACTGTTCTTAGCATGGAAAACATTTCATTTCTCCCAACACTCCTTATCACTTAATCTGCTCTCTTCCTCCCAAAGCTATAAATGAATTTATTAAGTGAGTAATTATATGATTTACCTCTGGGACATGTTTAAAGATGTTTTAAAATACTTACCATTTGGTTAGGATTTGTTTCCACCCATTTTAGTAGCATTTCTGTGCCTGTGCTTATGTTAAATGGCTACTGATATCTTCATCCTCTTAAGGTTTTGAGAAATTACAATATGCTCATTGGTATTGACATGAAAGAGCCAAGGAAAAAGAGAGATGTATTTCAAAAAGTTTTAATGGTGATTGATTTATATTAGCTTTCAGTCACACTTGAGTTTGTCTTTTAAACATGCTGCTTGTAGTTGAGAAACATTTCTGTTGGTTCACTTGTTACCGGGAGGGAAAGGTGGTTTTGCAACTATCTATGATTACCAGAGCCATCCACTGAATACTACAAATAAGTTTTATTGGTCCACGTCCACGCAGACTGAACTGTTTAATCTGCTATTAAAAATACACTGAAAGCAATTATTTGAAGAATAGAAAACTTTCTTTGGGTCTCATATACATACAATTAACCCCTACTCACAGGAATGTGTGGTATCCATCATAACCCTAAAAAGAACAATGTTTTTGTAAAAGATTGTCTCCTTACATTTTACATACATCCTAAGCTGCCCAAATATATGCAACTCACTTTATTCTGCAGGACTTGGCAAGAGGTGGAGAGCAGCATCTGAAATGTATTCAACTTCTACTCCTATTCTGGGGCAACCAAGTCGATTAGGAAGACTTGATGTGGTTAGGAAGTGGAATTTCCTTTGTAGTCTCCACCAAGTCCTACCTGGACCTGTAAAAACCTATTAGATGCCCCCTCCAACCTCTGAGACAAAGGGTTCCAAAACAAATGAATTCCAGCCTCTATAACTAAAAGTTTATCCTTTTAAAGTAACACACATTTAGATAAAGAATGTCTTCTAATTCTCTGCAGCCACATACATACATATGCACACATGCAATTAATACAGTCATACATGCTAAAATGTCTCAGCTTCTACATCCAAGGCTGTAGATGAGAGAAGAATCAATGATGTCTCAAAAACCCCTGGGCTTTGTCTGGCTCTGGCTGGATGGACTTGGGTAGGTAAAAGGGGAGGACAAATGTCTTTGGATGCAGGACACAACATTTGAGCAAAATGCTAAGACAGGAATATGCAAGGTGCATCAGGAGAATAATGAATAAATTATCAGTGCAGGCAAGTGAGTGATGGCAGCTGAGGTTGAAGACCTAGGAAGAAATCCCATCATAGAGGCTCAAAAGGGTCCTTCCCTTATAAGTAATGGGATGCTACAGTCATTCTGGAAAGAATCAAACTAAGGAGCATTGTTTCTGTGACCAAGTGTTATTAGGATCAGAACAAGCCTAGAAATATGATGAAATAAAAAATAAGACTTCTAACCTGTGTATACTTAAGAGCATCTCTTGTGCTGCTAAGGTCTCACTCTCCATCCAGTCACAGCCCTTTTGCTGTGGCCTGAAGCTTTTCCCAAGTCTCTCTGAAAAGTGTATCCCTACTGGTCTATATATCCTAAATGAGGGATATATCTGTTATTCTAGATGTTCCTTGAGTTTTTTATTTATTATTTTTGTATGGATTAATTAACTGATTTTTCAGTTGGCACCATGAAAATAAAATACTGGAGAGAAGTTTCAATGAGTAGAAGGATGTGTGTAAAAATTAAAAAATAAATATGCAATATACCAGTTAAAAGCAAAATAGGTTGTAAAGATATTGTATTAGGTAAGAATTAGGAAATATGTAAACATATGACTCTAAAAGCTTTTGGTGGTTGGGGAGAACGAAAGGATTCCAATCAGAAAGGGCAGGTCTAATGCAATGGAACTGTGTATGCATCTCACATTGCAGTAGGGACAAAAGAAGAAAAAAGAGGGCAGCTTTGCCTTCCTTAAACTTCTGGTAGGGGCTACCTCTGCTCAGGTTGACAAATCTTCGTATTTAAACCTACTCATTTTTCTGTCTCAGCCATATTCACCTACCCCTTGCAGATTGTTTTCCCAGTTATCCTATCTGATTGTTTCTCTCTTCCCTAAACAGCTCTAGTACTTTTACTCATTTAGCAAATAAGGAGGTAGTTCCCCTGTGATATCAGTTGTCATTAAGCATTCTTTAAAATGTCTTTCTTATACTGCTTTATGCATGTTTATTGTCTATCTCCCTACTAAACTGGAAGCTACTTGAGAGCAAAGACAAAATCTTGCTGCCCTATATTCCCTGAAGCACCAAAGCACTGGACACAGAACTGTCACATGGACAGCTGATAATTCAATTTGGTAATCTCCTCCAAGCATGAAGGAGAATATGAACCTATTTTTTGGCACAAAACTCTACAGCTATGGTAGTTCATCTCTATGCTGGCTGATATAACTCTATTCTTGTTGGTTGACCTTCTACTTCTAGGAAAAGGTGTATTTTTTAAGCTTGAGCAGCTCAGGTGGCCATGAGTGGAGGAGCTGAACCATCAACAGTGCACTGGACAGAAACAACACTGAATCATTTCACCTCCTCTGAGCTGGAGCCATAGCTGAAAAATCTGCCGTCCCATGGGAGAGCTAGTCATCCATAGCCAATCTCCTTGAATACACTAATGTTCTTCTAAAATAAGTTACAATTCTAAAGTGATATGGTCTATGCGTTGGCAAAGGAAACTTTTGCTTCCAGATAGAAAGGCACAAATAAAATGGCTTTGGTTTCTTCATTAAATCAATTCATATCAGCAAATATTTATTGAACATTTATTATGTATAAAGTGTTATGTAGCAAAGAGAAAATGTTAATATTCAGTTCTTACTTGGAAATTACTTGGGAGGAGCTGTCATACACCATAATTAGATGTGCATCCTCGCTGAGCAAAGGGCCAATTTTATGATACATACATTATCATCCTAAGATTTTGGAATTGAAAGAATGACTATAGTCCTGTTTCTAATATAATCACCCTAATGATTGGTAAAATATAGAATTCTGGGCTACACTACCTATGGTAAGGCAGAATGTCTAGACCAGAAGCCCAGGTTACCTGCTTTTTATATACACCTAAGTTTGAAACAATTTTTTCTATCCACTAGAGCGATGAAGGAAGACATCAGGGGAGAGGCAGGATGAAGGGTTCTGAAGGCAGAATTCTGGCTCCTTCTGTCCCTTTTCTAACCTATTTCCTTGGTCACTGGTCAGTCCAAAGCAAGGGTTTGTGAAAGGATAAGGGGAACATATCCTGGTAATTTTCTTAGAATATTTTTTGTTTAATATAAAAATTCTGTTCTTGGCATACTAATTATGAGTTCTAATTATTATCCTCTAAAGTTACTTGCATCATTCTATAGAAATGTGTTTTACCAGAAAGAATGCAGTTTTATGCTAAACACTTTAGTAACAACAGGCCCATCTCTAAGCATACCTGTAGTAAAGTTGGAGAAAGAAGAATCAGACACCAATGAGCCAACCACAACACCCTTGCCTATGTTTTTCAAACTGACTTCATATTTCTGAGCTAAAGTGTTTGTAAAAGATCACCTGCTAATAACATAAACAGCAACACATGCACATGTACACATACACAAATACACGCTTACAGTAGCCGTTACAAAATATCCTTGGTGCCAACTCTTGATGCTCCATTAAGAAAATGGTTTTCCATAGATGTGCTGCATGCATGAGCAGGCACCCATGCATATACCATGGTTTCCTTTTAATGGTCACAAACTTTAGTCTAATTTCTTAGGTGAGTGAGACGCTAATCAAGCAGTTGAAGACAGAGAGCCTAGTGAAAATAATCAAATGTGAATTTGTCCAGGGGGACTCTCGACTTTGAAGAGGGAGAGAAGAAATTGTCACGTTGATTCCACTGGAGACAGCCTTCCTGTTACTAAGCGGCCCCTGGGGATTTGCTACCTGATTTGCTCTCCGTCAGGTTGGCATGTCAGTGACAAGGCAATTGTAATTAGAATGAATAAAATGAGAGATGTGCCAACTCTCTGCTTATAATTCAGACTGTGACATTAAAGAAACATTGCCGTTTTATTTTTTTTTAATTTTTTAAGGAGTTACAAACAGCTAGTAGGACTTTGCCTACTAGGATTCCTTCCATAAGACTCAGAAGTATCTTGCTAAAGAAAAAAAAAATATGATGTGCTTGTTGTACTCCAGATGGTTATATCTTACCTTTTGGGATTTTAGACTGTGTTTGGAAATTGACTCATTTTTTCAGGCTTGTTCTTGCAATGCACAGGCAATAAAGTTTAGGGGTAAAGAGGAGACATAAAAGAAGATTCCTGCTATCCTATTGTCTCTAAGTTCACTGCTGCTGGGAAAGAGTTGGATGACAGTAACATGGGCTGCAGCAATAAAAGCTATCACCACTTAAATATGATGAGGGCTGGGGCACAGCCTGACTAATTTTTGAGCTGGGCTTTGACTCAGCATAGAACTTGAACGCAAGCCAAAGAAATGATAAAATACATTTAGATCTCTCTTCTCTGCTCTTCTCTTTTTATTGAAGGTGGGGGAATTACTTAGAATTCTGAGGAGATTGCAATAGGTGATTTATTAATTAGAATTTGGGGGACACTTGCAATCTTAAAATGATAAAAAGCCATTATGCTGAAATGTTTAGCTCCTTTGGTCTCATGTTTAATTTGATTTCTTCATAGAGATAGTGAAGAATTTCCCATTCTTTTTTCTCTATCATATTGAGAAAAAATGTACTATTTTCTCTCTGCAAAATAAGAGTCCCATTTATGATAGTTGTACCAAGACTTTTCTCTATCTCCTGGCCTATGTATGCTATGTTCTTGTGCTGCTCTCTTCTCATATGTTTGCTTCCCATCCTCTCTTCTTTGTCAAATCCTAACTATCTTTAAAGATCAACTAAGACCCCATCCATTCCAGTTTTTTTTTTGTTATTGTTTTGTTGTTTGTTTGTTTGTTTTTGAGACAGAGTCTCTCTCTGTCACCCAGTCTGGAGTGCAGTGGCGCAATCTCGGCTTATTGCAACCTCTGCCTCCTGGGTTCAAGCAATTATCTGCCTCAGCCTCCTGAGTAGCTGGGATTACAGGTGCCTACCACCATGCATGTCTAATTTTTTTGTATTTTTAGTAGAAACAGGGTTTCACCATCTTGGCCAGGCTGGTCTTGAACTCCTGACCTCATCATCCACCTGCCTCAGCCTCCCACCATTCCAGTTTTAAACATATGTCTAATGCATGCCTGAAGAGAAAATGTTGAATAGATTGTTGAGGGCATAAGCTAAAATTTAGGAGAAAAATATGAGCTGGGAAGCAAGTTGTCAGTACATAGGTGATATTTGAAATAATGAGACTGGATACTATCACCAGACATTATTTATGGGATTTAAAAATCAAAGCAGTTGAACTCATGAACATAGAGTGTAGAAGAATGGTCACTGGATGCTGGGAAGGGTAGGGTTAGGTGTGGTAGGGATGGTTAATGGGTACCAAAAAATAAGAAAGAAAGAATAAGACCTATGATTTGATAGCACAACAGAGTGACTATAGTCAATAATAACTTAAGTGCACATTTTAAAATAAAGAGTGTAATTAGATTGTTTGTAACTCAATGGGTAATGCTTGAGAAGATGACACTCCATTTCCATGATGTGGTTATTTCACTTTGCATACCTGTATCAAAACATCTCATGTACTCTATAAATATATACAGCTACTATGTATCCACAACTCTTTATTAAAATAAAGGTAATCAAAGGAGGAGAAAAAGAGATGACCAGACCAAAACAGGCTGTGACTCAAACATGGCCATGCCTATGATTTCTCTATTTCTTGTCTAAACTAGAAGTTCTGAATCTTTTTAGATTCACCACCACTTTTGAAGGGTATACCAAGGTATGACACACGAGTTGCTTGGTTTAATGTTACCAAAAAGTTTGCTTTTTCCTCTAATGGAGTCAATCAATATTATGACCAAACATATGGGCAATGAAGTTCTAATAAGGACCCATGTTGTATGGTGGCAGTGTTAAATCACTATTTCCCTTCTTGAAAAAATCCTCTCACATCAACTGTTTTTCTTATTGGCAGTCAACATGGATTGCTATTTGTGGACACAGTCAATCACTCTATTGAAAGTTGCCTTTGTGATGCAACATTTACCTCAGGCGATAAGTCATTCATCTGCCATACAGACTCAAAGTCATTTGCTTGCCCAGATGTAATAACAGAGGTTTCATCAATTTCATTATATATATATTTTTAGACAATTGAGGTTATACCTTTATACAAAGTAAAAGCAAGTAGAAACAAAATCAGTTTAATATTTATGTTGAATATTTTGAAGAAATTTTTAAGTTAAGTCTCTGTCTTCTTAAATGGTAACAATGAGAAGGATTTCACACTTTCTTGTTGTCTCAGAGTCATTGGAATAAACATTATGGTTCTAGGTGGTTCAACTCTGTAGACCTGTTACTCTGGTAATGGCCTGCATTCTGTAGCACTTTTATTTCATGTTAGCAATTATACTTCCTTCCTTTGCTGTCTGCTGTCATCAGTCACATCTCATCTTTAGCATATCTTCTCTATTTCTAATCTGCTACCTTATTTTATACACAACTGTAAGAACCGGAGGAGGCTGTATTCCTCTTTCATTCAGCAGAGTTAATGGTATGACAATTTCCTTTGCAGTTCAGAACCTTTGCCTTTTTTTTTTTAAGTTTGGTTTTGTTGCTTTTAGTTTCTTTATTCCTCTTTTGCAGCTTCTTCCTCTGGAATGGCAATAGAAGAGCTTTAGTTGCTGGAAATTATTTGCCAGCAAGTTGGTCATTGCTGTAACTGACATAAGCATAAACTTTCATGTTTGCATAAGATAATTTCCTATATCTAGGGGTTATCTTTGACATGAAATTCCCCAACAATATTTTAAAAACAGTTCAGTGTTTATATGGGCATGAGTTTTATCTTGCTGTTCATTGCAGTTTTTCACCAAAATACATATCTTATTTTCTATTAAATGGGATAGCAATAACTATAAAGCAAGCTTCAGTGAAAGTCAGTCATGTACTTAGGTGCATAATTGATTTCTTTAAGCCTCAGTTTTTAAATCTTTCATGTGGGGACAATAGAAATAAAACCATGTAGAGTTGAAATTAAGGCTCCATGAGCTACTACTGATGAAGCACATGTTAGTGCCTGACCTATTATTGTGCCTAGTATTATTTAGTTAGATGCATTCATTTTATGATAAAGAAGTTTGGATCCCAGGTGACTTAAGTAACCCTCATCTGTTTCTTACTTTTCTCAAAGCCAGGTGTTTTGCATATATTATTTCCTTTAATTCTTACTATCTGGAATATATGCTAATGTTCTATTCTTAAGGATGATGAATGAGGCTCAGAAAATGTATATAGCTTACTCCAAACACACACATCATGAATTAAAGACTTATAATTCAAAGTCTAGGCTTTACATACCATTAAAAGTTGATTAGACTCCACCTACCACCACATGCAGTCTTTTCTAGCATGCTACCTCATATTCAAAACCTTTAGGACTACAGAGGGGAGAAATATGAAGGGAATGTACTAGGGTTATGGATAAGAGTGAGGGGAACTATCTCAACTCCTTTCTGGTGAGAGGGGCTTCAAAATGAACAGTAAGGTTTTAGGTACCGTAAGAAACTATGTCTATAGTTTCCAATATTTAAGCATTGGTAGAAGACACCTGTCACATTTCAAGCATTAAGAAAAATGTCTTGTTTCCCGCATCAACTGCTACCTACTACCAACTAGATCCTACCTGTTTAACAGGATTAGAAAGAGTAAGGGTATTTCCATAGGGCAATTCCATAAGGACAAAAAGATACTATTTTTTAAATGTTAAAACTCATATAAGCAATGTTTATTTCCAAGTATAAGTTCAATGTATGATTCTGAACCCAACATGTCACTCTCTCCATCACAGTAACTAGAAAGATTCCTGATTGGGTTCTCAGGGCCTCTGCTTTTATATACTTCACAGAAATACATTAAGAGAGAGCAGAGGCAAAACATACAGCCATGATGTAAAAAATAATCCAAATCCTATTTACAATAAAATAAATATCATTTACAATATGTTATGCATTTAACTGAGAAAATGGGAAATGGAGAAGGCAATGTCAGGCCACATTCTGAAAGACACGGGTGATGGGACATTGCAATGTGTTTCAATTGAGACTCCAGGTACTTTGGTTTTAAAAATTGCAGCGCAAAATGTGCGACTGAATTGGACGGGCTTCATCCTTCCTGACGTATTTTCATTGAACCCCAGTCACACGCATCTGACTTTAATATTCTAGCCGTCAACTGCTGTCACTTCTTGGCGGGTGCAGTTGCCAACCCCATTCACAGGGGAGTGAAAATAAGCAGATGAAATCACCGGATAGGCTGTGTATCAGAACCTGTATCATCAGGCCCTGGACCCCTCTAATGGATGATAGAAGCAGAAGATCACAAGAAAAATGAGTAAAAAAAGCAAAACATGGAACAATACCTTTAACAATTTATATTCTATTTAAATCTTGTTTTCCTTAATTATGAACTTTCTCATCAGTATTTCTGAATAATTGTAATTGCTTCCCCACTAAGCTATCAACATGTAAACTTACAGATGGTAGTAACCTCTCCAGTGCTTTTTTCATTGCACTGAACTTCTGGTGCCTCTGAAGGAGTCTGGCTTATGGCTTTGTTTTGCCACTAATGCATCTCCTCTCCTTTCTTCTCTGCAGTAAAAGTTGTTTCTTTCCTCATCCCTTGCCTCCCACCAGGCCATGGTATGTTTGTTTTGAATAGTAGGTATTGCTTCCTGTGATTCCCACCCCTCTCCTTAGCATGATCATCATGTTCTAAATCCAGACGATCCTCTAGAGGTATCAGGCTCACCTGAAAAATAACACCTCCACATACATCTTCCATATTCCTATCACTGATTTACCATTACAGTCCAATGCTGAACAAGCTGGAGCTTTAGTTACTCAGTTAAGTATTTAGCACTTAGTGGATACTCTGCCTTGCCTGGTACTCTGCACACTATGAAAATGTTAAATAAAATGGACTCCATATTCATGTAATATATCCATCAAAGAACAAAGACCAGCACACATGAAAAAGACAGTTACTTGCGTTGAATGACAACACAACAGCGGTACAAACAATAAAGTTAGTTACTAGTTGTCAAATTAGAGTTACCAGATTTTGAACCATCAGTTCATAGGAGGGAGGTGTCATGGTAGGTAGGAAAATTTTTAAATTAAATTAAGTTGGAGGTTAACATTATGTTTAAAATCTCATGTATAATTATCACCTACAGGGCTTCAAACAGGCTGTCCTCAAATTGCTTTTAGGTTCTTTGCGACTTTTATTGCATTTACAGTTACTTTCATTGGTTTCGTCCTTTTCATTTTTATGGATGGCATTTATTTTAGCCATACATTTAGGAAAACAGCATTTTACAAATAAAGGATTGGTAAAATAAAGCATTATATCATTTTATACACTGAGTGCTTCAAAAACAAAGAATTACTCTACTGATTTTCTCTATGGTTTAAAATAATATAACCACTTACATCTCTTTCCAACTTTGCAAAGAAGAAGTGTGAATTCATGAGATCAGTTAACGGAGTTCTGTTACCACCAGATATAAAACTGATGTCTGATACATGGGAAAGAAATTGAATGTAAATAGCAGCATCTCAATTCCCAAGTCCCTAAAATCACTTACAAGAGTACCAACCCTCAATGCAAATTAGCCTCCATCTTTCAACTCATTCAAAATAAGTTCTCTCCATGGACATGCTTTCCTTATTTTATATGAAAACTGGGCAAAATAAAAGCAAACATTATATTGAATTTTTAAATTTTAAAATAGGCAACTTATTTGTGATGATAGAAACCAATAAAGAAGTATGATCTTTTGTCTTTATAAATCAACTAGACCCAATTCTTGTTAAGTGGCACCATGCAGTTAGTTTCATTCCAGTTTTGACTGGGAAATTCTGAATTCATAGATTTGAAGACCCTGGCACTTTCTTCATTCATGTAATGAACTGGATTACAAAACCAGCTCTTTTTGGTTTCCTGCCAGTCCCTACCAGGGTGGTGGTGGCTGGAACCAAAGAAAAAAAAAATCAAACCTGCATACTCTGTGGGCCCAGTGGGCCATAGGGGTCTGAGGGTTTATTAACAATTTCATCATTTCCATCCATCATTCTCTGTGCACCATGGCATGCGCCCACCAAGAGAACTTTAAAATAAGAAATAAAACTCAATGAACTCACATTCAATTAATATTAGTTATATTACTAATCTTTGCTGGTGCAGGACTTATCAGGAGATAATTGACCTTGTCAGTGTTCCGAGCCTGCTGCATTGCTATAGGATCTCTCACTCCCATCATGCTTAATTAGCATGCAATAAAAGCAAAAGAGAGAGTTTTTATTTTTTCTACTTAAACATGAAATGTCTACCTCCCTCTTGAATCTTCTCTTCAGGAAAGGAATGAGAAAAAGTGGGAATCATGGATGTAGAATCTTCTCAATTAATAAAGTGAAACTAACATCATTGCTCCCCAGGGCATGCCAAATGAATCTATCTGCAAAACTAGACTACTGATATCTCTTACGTGCTCCGACCCTTCTTTCTTTCTCTGTGATTTTAAAAGAAAACATGATTTTAATGTTGCTGTGAGATAGGCACAGGTGGAGAGAAGGGGGTCTTGTTGATTTACTATTATATAAAAAGTGATGCTTTATCTACTTGATCAACTTGGTATTAGACTTTGGTTTCATTTCTCTTTTTCAAATTTTCTAATAGTCAATTGTCCTGGGTGCTGGCACCTCCTTGCTTTTGCCCCTAGTTCACATTTAACACGGAGGCTTTGAACTTCAACTTTTAAAATTTTCTCATTCCAGAATTTGTCAGATGGCCATTTGAGCAAGAGGTAAATGAGTTTCATGTTTCAAAACCAGGGATTTAACCAAAAGATCTCTAAGGGCATTTTCAGGTGAGAAAATCTATGTTAAATTTTGAGGCTGATTAGGGTAAATCTTTTGAAGCAGATGAAGACTAGATCTTCCTGCTCAAAGTAGGATTCCAAACACAGGTCTTCAAACAAAAGACTAGAAATCCAGAGATGTTTCTTGTGCTGTTCCTATGCCTATCTCTGGGTGGATGCTGTAAGGCATTTCAGCCAAAGAGCTTACATTCTGAAAGAGACTGACCAACCTCAGTGAAAAATCACACACACACACACACACACACACACACACACACACACACACACGGTATTGAAATACATGTGCAGATGTTTGTCTCAGGGCAGTTGAGCATGGTCTTTGTGGAGTGTGATTTCAACAATAGACAATTCTGTACATTTTGTTTGATCACCTATTTTATTATTAAATTCCCTGGTCACACGGAAACTTAGAGCAAAACCTAAAAATAGGTGTCAGGGGGAAGTCTGAGTAGTCTTAATTCTTCAACATATGCATATCTCATATTTACTATCTACAGCTATATAATTGAAAGCTCACTGCAAATGCATAATCCACTTCCTATGTGTATTAACTAAAAACAAAGAGAGATTATTGAATAATAACAATTATAATTATAAGTCTTTTACTTTCTGTTTTATACACATAGGAATTTCTTTCCTGTTATGGCTGGTGTGCAAGTAGAGTATGTCATTTAACAAAATAGGTGGATAGTGAATATCCCCTTTGTGGCCAATTTTATAATTTTTTTTTCTGGCCTGGTCCATTGTGATTATTTTGGGTTAAACAAGTTTAAAATTGATGCCTTGGATTACAAAGCATAATGAAAGGTGGACAAGGAAAAATAACTTGATCTGTCACAATTAATGTCAGGAAGTAATCGAGTCAATGTCAAAGGCTGGAAAAATGAATGACTTTAACACAGTTCTCTGATAGGTATAAGGAAAATGATGCTTTTAGGCTGAATGCTCTCAAGCCTGCTTCATCCCAGTCATCCTGAATAACCCTCATGAATTTAAAAATCTTTGAGAGCCAATGAGATATGGTCTCATAGTGATGTGTTTTCTTGGGGGGTACCTTTTTCAAAATATTATTTTGTTTCACTCAAAAATATTTATTGAGTGTTCTCTATGTTCCAGACACTTTTTCTGTTACCATGGTTACATTATGAATAAAACAAAACTGTGCCCTCATACAGCTTACATCTTAGAAAGACAGAAAGAAATTAATAGAAGGAATAAATAATTGTATAATGAGTCCTTGGGCCCTTTTGTCTACTGCCCTGTTGCTTCCTAGTATTGAGCCAAGTATTTGCTCCTAGGAGCCCTAACTCTCTAAACTCATTTCACAGCAAGATAAAAGAAAATCAAGAAGTAAATCCTCTAATTTAGAAAACTCATGAAGAGGTTATAGAAATAAACATGCATACATGCATTCAACATACAAAATAAAATATTTAAATATCTGAATGCACCGATATATTAATAAGTGTAAGAACAGTAAGAAAGGGGATTAAATGCTAGGATTAGGACAATTAGGGCAGGTTCTTTGGGGAAGATATGTTTTACAATGGAACAAGTTCACATTAGGTTTGCCTACCTACAAGTTCATGGCATTGTCAGATCTTTCAAACCTTGTTATCATAGTAGCAAATATACCATTCAGAGATAGCTGGAGCTGGGCAGATTTTTCCAGTTCTCCTTATGCTATTTTACCAGCCCCAGTTCCTGGAGCTGCAAACTGACACTACTTCAGGCCCGTATGTGTACACACTCGATATTGGTTCTGCCTCACAAGCTGTTCTGGAAGGCCTGTCATGCCGAACGCTATGGTCTTTTTGGATCTGCTTGCAACTTGCTCTCCCTACCGGGAACTCATAAAGAGCTACTGCATCAGTGCTACTGAATCCAGTTATTTTTTATTGCCTCCTTATTATTATTAGTGATTATTATGACTTAAAATTTATTGAGTGAAAACAATATGCTATATGCTATTATAGGAAGCATCAGACGACTGTGCATTTAACAATATTTTAGAGGGCTTATTCTTAAACAGAGTTTTAGGCCATGGTTAACTTGGTGCCATCAACACAGTCACCAGGCAGAAAACCCATATGGTCATTCCAAATGCATGGTCATTCTAAATATTTACGCAAGTGGTTATAGCAAGAATGTCACTGCTTCCTAGGGAATCCAGGGAAAGTCGGTCTTAGGTCTTCATCAGTCTGTAAAGATGATCAAAAGTAGAAAAGAGGAAAGAAGGAAATGATTCATGGAATTTGACATATATTGTTGAGTACAGTTTGTTTCCAAATATTTTATTTTTTCTGGTTTTGAAAGTAATGCTTGTTTACAAAAGTTTGGAAATATAACTCATGTATAATCATGTTAGCAAACAAAGAACTAAGTTAATTTTCACACATTTACCTTTAAAAGTGTAAACACGTGCACATATACATACACGTATAAATCAAAATTAGATAGTGTTGTATTTATAATGTTATATATTATTTTATTTTTTGCCTATTATTGTATTGTGAGCTTTTTCAATATCATTAACTAGTCTTTGAATACATGGTATTAGTAAGAGCATAATCATGTATCAAAATGTAAATAATCAATCCCTTGTTTAGACATTGAAGTGGTTTCCAAATTGTATGCTATCATAGACAAATCTCAGATAAGCATTCTCATCTATCATGCCTTGCCTTTACATTGTATATTGTGGACTGAATTTCTAGACTTAAAACAATACATTGACAAGTTTCCACTATAAGTGAAACTGTGTTTAGACCCTCCAAAGAAGTATGACATTGACTGTTGCCCCATAGCCTTACCAGGATTGAGTCATAGAATTTGAAGGCTAGGAAGAAATTTGGAATTCTAACACCACTCTTTTTATTTTACAGATTGAGCCAATTATAGAAAAGAGACTTACTGAGGTGAGTCATTTTACAGATTATACCAATTACAGCTAAGAGACTTACTGAGGTCATATTAAGTTAAAGCCCAAAGAGTCACTATATCTCATAATAAAGAGCTCTTGCTCTTGCCTAGGTTTAACATCTGGCCCCAGTACTTACTCCTGTTTGACTTTGGGCAAATTACATAACTCATTGTGTCTCAGTTTTCTTATCACTAATTCCTAGGTTGTTTTGAGAAGTAAATAAGTTAAAGGTTATACCCATGTAAATGTTGTAAACTTCAAAGAATTGATAAGGGAAGGGAATTTGTAACATGATATGATATTTAAGTATTAAAGGGAAGTGAATTTGTAACATGATATGACATTTAAGTATTAGTTATTATTATTTAGAAGATGAGAGACAGGGTCCTTCTTTAATGATATATAGAAAGTCAGGCTGAAACACTGAACTCTCTGCATTTAAAGCTACTCTTCCATTTTTGAACATAGTGTTACTCAAAGAGTGTGTATTTATTCTCTGTCCCAGCTTTTTAAAACAAATCTGAAATAAACCTGGCATATAAAATGCTTAGAAGAGTGCCTGACACCTCATGAGGATTCAAAATACTTAACTATTATTAATATTGGCCAAGATTTATGACATGAAAACTTACGTTCCACTTGCAAAAACAAAATCACAAGAACTAGGATTTACTGCTTAGAAAGACTTTTTCTGTTGAGGACTTTACTTAGAAAACCAAAAGGACAGAGTCCAGGAACACATTTCGTGGCCAACTCACCTGCCCTTTCTCTCTGGTCTTTCACACTTCACTGTCCATTTCTTTATTTTTAGATGTTTTCATTCTATTTACTGTCTGCTGCATAAACATCATCATCATTATTACTATTATTGTTTTACTTTGTTTTCTCAGTTTCTCTCAAAAACACAATAATTTACCCCAAATTGTGGTAATATTGTTGTTAGAATTCAGACATTTTATATGTGCAAAAGAAGTCATTAATTCTGTCGTACATCTTTTCTCCAAAGTAAATCTAAATTATCAGCATCCAAATCTATGTAAGCCATACCGATGTGAATCTTCCTCACTCCCTATACAAATTGCAGGTGAGGTCACTGGCTCAGTTAGCAAATGTGATCACCCAGATATGGAGATTTAAGACAGATCTAAAAGTCACCATTCCCCTAGGATATTATCTGCCTTACTAGAATGTCTCCTCTGAGCTGCCTTACCTGAAACTTTCTCCTAGTAACACCCCATGGTTCAGCCCTTTGCTGACCTTTCACCTCATGAATATTCTTGCCTGACCCCTATTTCCCATTGTCTCATGATTGTTTTCTTTGTCAGGGTAAAATTGATCAACTAATTAGTAATAAGATATTAATGCTTAATAATATATTTGCATTTTTATGAGGAACACTAATGTCTTAACTAAAGGGGATGTTTAATGATGAACAAAATTTTGCAATTTTGGCAGACTGGTAGGAGAAATACATTTGAAAAGAGAACCATCTAACTGCTCTCAAATTATGACCTTACCTGATTAAGCATGTGTTGCATAGAGCCAGAAGGGAAAAATAATCAAGTTAGGATCTCCTAGAGACTTCTGGCTCTACATAACACATGCTTAATAAATAAGAGCTTTTTATTCTACTCTTTTCTGGCCACAAGTACAGCAGGCACATACAGCACCTGCTGATATTAGTCATTACTTGCAGTAAAAGTGTACATAGCCTTCCCACCACCTCAAAACAGAAGGATTTCAGATTTCTCAAAATCAAGTTTAGAAGAAGTACCTGCCTTTGATTCATATTATTACAGCTCTGTTACGGACAATCTGAGTGCTTAGGGCATTTTTTATTATGAAAATTTCCAAGGATTACCATAAAATAATACTTTCCCTATCCTTTTACTTGCCTTCTACTAACACTGAGATCCAAGTGCTCATAAATGCGCACCATATTTCATAATCTTAAGAAATACAAATTGCATTCCATTGTGGTTTAACGAAATGAAATTGTCTGAGTTCTCTTCATAGTCCCTTGGTTTGTTTTAGCTTGTTCCATCTTAAGATAGAAATATAGTAAGATAATAATTATCTACTGAATGGTGAAAGGCAGATAAGCAGATATAGAAAAAGGCAAACAAAGCAGGTAACAGATCTGTAGAGCAATATGTAATCTCACACTGAACATGGGAATTGTATGGTTATGCTGTCAAAATGCATTCAGTTCAAACACTATCCTCAGGAACTATACAACTGAAAATAAAGGCAAATTGGAGTAATTTAATCATCACAAGGCTTCTTTTCATGTATCCTTTTTGTGGAGTGTAGACAGATAAAAAATATGTTAAAAATTCACCATGGAGTCATCCCTGAGCATGGTACTCACACTGATCTCTATCCACTTTGACATCCTGGAGTATTCCATGCTTGCATTATTTAACTGTCCCATGGAGAAATGAGTTACAGTATAGTTTCCACACTTCCACAAGCCTTAGGACAGTTCTAAAAATAGAATTACTGTTCAATCATTTCTTTACATTTTGGTTCTCTGATACTTTTTCTTACAAGCGTTTTTTTTTTTCTTATAGTTATGAAGAACTCCATGACATTGGGCCACTGGGAAGTTGGAATTTTGATTTATAAAATAGAGTGTATATTAAAATCATAGCTAATTAACCAGTTCATGTATCCACTTTTCCCCATCACTCGTTAAATTCTTTTGGCCAAAAAATCAAAATCTTTAACATTTTTTCTCTCAAAAGAAAAGGGAAAAAGTGATATCAGCAAGATGGCTGACTGAAAGTTTCTGGTGCTCATCTTGCCCCAACAAAAAATGACGAAAATAGTGAATAAACAGCTCTTATTTGACTAGTGTCTAAGGGATACCACTGGAGTAGAGCAAGAGACTGGCGCAGGCCTTGTGGAACACAGAGACTCATGACGGCCAAATAGAGAAAGAGGCGAGGCACACTGCTGCTGTCACCCTGTCTCCCAGAAGAAATTAGCTTCGAAGCAAGAGCAACTTTCCTGCACAAAGAGAGCAGCAGGGCAGGCCCCCAGCAGCCCCCACTAATGCCACACACACCTGCAGTTTTTGCTGCTGGAGAATCCTGCAGCTCTCACACGACATGAACCGAGTGTGAAATCTGCCAGTTCACATGACTGTTTTGATTCAAAGAAGGGGCCCACATTGTGCCCCTCGTCTGCCCGCCATTACCCAATCTATTGTTTCAAGGTACCATCTTGAAGCCAGAGCCACTGCTAGAGTGTATTCAGCTCCAGGGGCCAGTAAACTCTGTAGCTCCTTAAATTGGAGGCTTTGCTACCATTACACCATGTTTACAAATGATGGGGCACCATTCCCAGTCCAAGCTGCTACAACTCGCTGGTCCCTCGGAATAAGCTTTCTAGTGGGAAGTTCATCTTCCTCATTCTAGAACCAGGACCCTGGCCACTTGGAGCCTGGGTTCAGCAGAATATCTGTTGCCCCAGTGCCCTGCCCCTAAAGGAGTATCTCCTCAGCCAAGCTAAATAGCAACCTCATGTGTCTTCTGAGCACAGACCATCCCAGTACCGAACCCACAAAGGAGCAAATCTTGAGTAGGTGAACCCGCTATGCAAACCTCTGCACTCCAAGCCACTGAGGTACTTACAGACATTGCTGACACAGTCTGTAGCTGAAGAAACTACATGAAGACTACACATCTGCACCATCTAGAACAAAGCCAACGCATTCTACTTGACACTCTAGGACACATCTGCAGGTGAAAATCTTCCCCCGCCCAAAAAAAAAAAAAAAAAAAAACACTTTATAAAATTGGAAGAGTAAACTGTTCTACCAGATGCACAGAAATCAATGTAGGGATACAAAAGCCATTAAAAGGCAAGGAAACATGACACCACCAAAAAAACACAATGTTTTACCCATAATGACCAAAAAGAAATAAAAATTTAAGGATAGCCTGAAAAGGAATTGAAAATAATAACCTTTAGTAAACTCAGGGAGATACCAGAGGAAAGAGGTAGACAATTTAATGAAATCAGGAAAATAATTCATGATCTAAATGAGAAATTCAACGAAGATGTAGATATCATAAGAGTGTCCAGAAGCAAAAGCTGTAGGTGTTCATGTCATTTGAAACATAAACTAAATTGACAAATCACTAGCTAAACTAAAAAAAAAAGAAAGAAATCCCAAATAAATAAAACCAGAAACAAAAAAGGAGACATTCCATCTAATACCAGAGAAATGTAAAGGATCATTAGAGTGTATTATGAAGAACTATATGTCAACAAATTGGAAAGCCTAGAGAAAACGGATAAATTCCTGGACATACACAACATACCAAGACTGAGCCAGGAAAAAATAGAAAACCTAAACAGACCAATAATGAGTAAAAAGATTAAATTGTTAATAAAAAGTCTCTCAACAATAAAAAACTCAGGAACTGATGACTTCACTGCTGAATTCTGCCAAATTTTTAAAGAAGTTCTCAAACTATTTTTTTGTTGGAGGAGAAGGAATTCTTCCAAACTCATTCTACATGACCAGCATTACCCAGATACGAAAACCAAATAAATTCACAACTATAAAAGCAACAACAAATACAGGCTACGATCTCCGATGAAAAATGACGCAAAAATTTTCAACCAAATATTAGCAAACTGAATCGAACAGCACATCAAAAATATTATATACCATGATGAAGTGGGAGTTATTTCAGGGATGCTGGGATGGTTCAATACAGGAAAATTAATAAATATGATACGTCACATCTACAGAAAATAAGAAACAAAATGTGTCATCATCTTAATAGAAATAAAAAACTAATTTTATAAAATTCAATGTCCCTTCTGTCCCTTCATCATAAAAACACCCAACAAATGAGGTCTGGAAGGAATGTACCTCAAAACAATAAAGGCCATATATTACAAACCCACAGCCAACATCATACTGACCTGGGAAATGTTGGTAGCTTTCCCTACAAGAATTAGAAAAAGTGAAGGACACCAAATTTTATCACTCTTATCAACCTACTTTCAGAAGTTCTAGTCAGACTAATTAAGCAAGAGAAAGAAATAAAAGGTATTCAGATTGGAAAAAAGAAAGTCAAATTGTTCCTGGTTGCAGATGACATTGTCTTTAGCATTAGATTATACTAGCCTCATAGAAGGAACTGGGGCATGTTTCTCTATTTTGTTTTATCTGAAAAAGGTTGCATAAGATTGGAATTATCTATGATTTGAATATTTGATAACATTTTCCTGTAAAACCACCTGGGCCCAATGGGAAAGTTTAAAATTATTAATTTATTCTACAAATGTAGAATTATTAAAGTTTCTTATTTCTTCTTGAGTCAGCGTTGGTAAGGTATAATTGTCTAGGATTTTGTTCATTTTGTCTAAGTTTTCAAATGTAGTGTCACTAATAGATACATATTTTTCTTATGCTTTTACTATCTGCTATATCTGTAGTTATCTGCCTTTTTAATTCTTAAAATTATTTGTGCCTTTTTTTCTTCAACAATTTTGCCAACATTTTGTTCATCTTTTCAGCCTTTTAAAAAACCAGCTTTTAACTTTGCTGCTCCATTATTTTTGTGTTTGTTATTTCTTTCCTTCTATCTGTTTTTTTGGTTGCATTTACTATATCATCTTTTTTTCTGTTTACTTTATTAAACTTTATATTTTATTTATTTTAATTATTATTTTAAGACTATAAATGTTTCTCTAAGCAAAATATTAGTTGCATTTAGCAAGTATTTGAAATGTTGTGTTTTATTAACGGTCAATTCTAATTTTTTTCTAATTTTCCTTATGGTATCTTCTGTGAAACATAAATTACTTAGAAATCTGTTTTAAATTTTTCAGATAATTCAGTTTTTTAAGTTATCTTTTGGGATTAATTTTTAACCTAATAATATCCTGGAAAAGAATGTCTTCTATATGAAACTATTTGCTTGACATTTGTTAATCTCCAATTTTGCGAATATCCCACATTGCTTGAAAAGTATGTTTTCCATAAATGTTCAGTATATTGACCTTGCTCAGCATGATATTTAAATGTAGATGATACACTTGTTTTTGCTGCTTGATTAATTAATCAAGAAGTGTGTTTAAGTTTACTATGACAGTGAATTTATCTATTTTTCACTCTAGCTTCACTGCGTTTATGAGGAGTCCTGTAATAGACTACTAAATCATTTCACCACAAGAATCATTTCTTTCTAGTTAGTGCTCAATAAATGAGTACTGCTATTGTGGGTTGAATTGAGTTCCCCAAAAGATATGTTGAACTCCCAACACTTGGTAACTCCGAATGTGGCATTGTTTGGAAATAAGGTATTTGCAGCTGTATTCAACTTCAAGTGAGATCATATTGGATTAGTGTGAGCTCTAAATCCAGTAACTGATGTCCTTATAAGGAGAGAGAAATTTGAAGACATGGAAGAGACATGCAGAGAAGGCCAACAAGGAAAGAGATTGTAGTGATGCTTCCACAGCCAAGACACATTAAAGATTGCTGGCAACCACCAGTGATACGGTTTGGCTGTGTCCCCACCCAAATCTCATTTTGAATTATAGTTTCCATAATCCCCACCTGTCATGGGAGGAACCAGATGGGAGATAATTTAATCATGGGGGCAGTTACCCTCATGATGGTCTCATGACAGTGAGTGAATTCTCATGAGATCTGATGGTTTTAATAAGGGGCTTTTCCCCCTTTTGCTCGGCACTTCTTGCTGCCACCATGTAAAGAAGGACGTGTTTACTCCTCATTCTGCCACGATTTAAGTGTTCTGAGGCTTCCCCAGCCACGTGGAACTGTGAGCCAATTAAACCTCTTTCCTTTATAAATTACCCAGTCTTGGGTACGTCTTTATTAGCAGTGTGAAAACGGGCTAATACACACCATAAGCTAGAAATAGGCAAGGGAAGATAAATCTCTAGAGCCTTAGGAGAAAGGATGGCCTTAAAGACCCCTTGAGTTTGGACTTCTAGCCTCCAGAAATATGAGATAATAATCTTCTATTTTTTGTTTTTTGCTTTTGTGAGATGGAGTCTCACTCTGTCACCCAGGCTGGAGTCCAGTGGCGCAATCTCAGCACACTGCAACCTCCGCCTCCTGGGTTCAAATGATTCTCCTGCCTCAGCTTCCTGAGTAACTGGGATTACAGGTGCCTGCCACCACGTCCAGCCAATTTTTATATTTTTAGTAGAGACGGGGTTTCACCACATTGGCCAGGCTGGTCTCAAACTCCTGACCTCGTGATCCGCCCACCTCGGCTTCCCAAAGTGCTGGGATTACAGGCATGAGCCACCACACCCAGCCAATAATCTTCTGTTGTTTTAAGCAAAATTTAAAAAATAAAAAAAGGCAAAACAAATTTATTGGCTCCCAAACTAGGTAAATTGGAAAAATATGTACTCTGAGTAATTAGAAATATAATCTCCATAGCTCAAGTGGTCAGAACGCTTCTGCAATATGGCCTTACTCCCAGATATTGCTGGCCTCACTGAAATGATCGAGCAATAATGCTATAAAGTCTTATATTTTCTGTTATCTGTAATTTAAAAATATTCTGTTAATATGATATCTGTTATCAGAGAGGAGTCATGTATCATTGACAAATACAATAGTAATAATTTATTAATATTATCTTTAAAATAGAATAAAACTTGTGGGTAAACAGAAAACTATACATTATAAGAAATGTAAATCTTAATAAGAAGAAAAACAAGGTTCAAAAGAATAGATAACCTGTAAGTTGTTCATCTTGATAGTACCATTATTGAACACTGTATGGTACATGCCGAATATCAAATAAATATTGCTGAGCAAGTAAATAAATAAATTACCCACATAACAACATGAACATATTAGACTATTAAATACCCAGAGATTGGTACATTCAACAAGGAAAAGATGCTATTGAAGAAGGAATGGAGCTATGTCCCTTCAAAATTTTAGCAACTTAATAATTTTACCTAGAACTATAGCTTATTTCAAATAATGTTTAAAACAGAATTTCTTGTATTATCTGGGAACTTAATTTGCCCAGTTTTACACCCGTAGTTCCTAATATCAAATTTATAGTATAGAACCATTCCAAAATCATTTCTTTGAATTGTCATGCTAAACAGGCAATTGCATATTTTATTTTCTTATGTTTATGGCCTGTTTTCTTGTATTCCAGAAAACATGATATACAAAAAGCAAGCGTTTGACTATGAAAAAGAAAAAATATATATATTTACTTATATATTATATGTATATTAAATATATTTATTTATTTATATATACACATATATAAATCAAAATTGCTAGAAAATATGGAATGTTTTTAATAATGAAAGTTTAATTATGCAACACAAATTGAAACATTCCTGTGTTCTTTTGCTTTGATGTATAAATGTATTTAATGCTGCAGAAATCAATATATGTGATTTCTTTGTTTTCCTTAAAGCATCTGTAGAGCAAACATGAGATGCAGAACTACACAATACTCCACTCTAAAAAATCAACGTAAGGATGGTGCCTCTTGTTTTATAGAGATTTTCTCTCATTGAAAGTTATTACTTATGATAGAACCTATCTTTGAATTTAAAAATTTTTGGATTATAAAATTATTATATTATTCTATTGCTGGAAGAATGGAGTTCTAAGTTTTACTAGGTAAAGTCAATATAAGATATGTCATCTGGAAATATATTACTATGTTTAGTTGATCCTAACCCAACTCCCTTTTTTCTGAAATTTTTCTCAACTTAAATTACTTCTCCATGCTTCATTTGTTTTAAGCCAATAGTTCTTAACCTGAAGTATTTTGCCACCATACTCATGAAGACATTTGGCAATGTCTGGAGACATTTTTAATTGCCATACTTGGGGAGGGGTGAAATTGACACTTAGCATCAAAAACCAGGGATAGTGTTAAAATACTACAATACACAATATACAGGACACCATCTCCCCAAACTCTGATGAAGACTTAATCCAGCCAAAAATATCAATAATGCCAAGATTGAGAAATGCTGGTTTAACTTGTTTGCCAAGGTAGTCTCTGCTTCAGGGATATGTTGTTTTATTTCTGTTTATCCATCATTTACCTTCTCATTCATTCATGAAGCAAATGTTGTGTGAAAACTCATAGTGGACAGGCACCACACACACACACACACACACACACACACACGAGACAGAGAGAGACAGAGAGAAAGAGAGATGTGTTTCTAGTCTGGTGCATTGAACACAGTATGTTTTCAGCCTACCATTCTAGTATTTTATTTCAGTCTTCTTGTGCCCTCTGTGTTCTGATTTATCAATTGTTTACTACAATTTCCTATCCTTCCCTACTACCACACGTTTTATTCCTATGTGACTTTTCATCTCCTACCTGTCAATGCCAGTAATCTAAAACTTTTGTATAAAAACCTGTCATGTCAAGAGGATTCTTGAAAGATGGTGGATTTTTCTACCATCTGTCTGTTGGAATAGAAATATGTCTACCTACACAGAAAACAATTACACTGGAATATTATGTCTGATGTAACCATTTTGGAACTGTGGAGGCTACTGAAATTTCAAAACTTCCATGGGAAGATTTGGACAAGAAATTGCAGAAAATTTCAGTCAATTTCAGCTATAAACAGGGGCAGCTGCCTATCCTTCATCTCAGCTCTATAGTGGGCAGCTGTGGCATGCAGCTGTGCACTTGTTCCTGGAGCAACTTACACTCAAATTGCAGGAGCCAAGGTGGGAAAGAAGGACTCTTTTCTTCAAATATTGGGAATCTGTGCTCTGATTGATGATTGCTGGTTATGATCACCTAGTTTCAAAAGAAGAAGCAGGTCACCATTATTATTGCACCTCCGCTCATTGTTGCAAGTCCTTCCCCCTCTCTCTGATGTGACTTCCAGGGAATTTAAAGGACTGTCATCCTTTCCCCAAACTCTTCATTTTTCTCATTTTCTCCTTTTGGGAGTCAGACATTAATGACTACTATATTCAAAAGCAACTTCTTGTACAGGAAAAATTAGAAAGTGAGAGTGTACACCCTGGGAAATGTGTAGGCTTAGAAAAGACCTAAAAAGATTGCAAGTTTATATCTTAGACTTAATGTTTTGCACAGAGACAGCCTACAACAGTTTAAAAAAATAAACAAAGACAATAACAAAAAGCCAGCATGGCCTCATGGCAGATCTATTAGACACAGACTTTTAAATAACTGTCATAAAGGTGCTTAAATAATTAAAGGAATACATAGAGAAAGTCAAGAAAATTATGTAAGCATAAAACAGAAATGTTCATAAAGAGATAGAAAACTGAAAACAAAATCAAAAAAGAAATTCTGGAGCTGAAAAGGTCAATAATTATAACGAAGAATTTCCTAGGCAAATTCAAAGGCAGACTTGAGCAGGCAGATGAAAGAATTTGCAACCTTAAAGATAGGAAAATGACAATTAAAGAGTTTGAGGAGCCGAAAAAAAAAAGAAAGTGAACAATGTCTAAGGGACCTGTGGAATACTATCAAGTAGACCAATTTACACATTATGGAAGCGCTAGAAGAAGAAGAGCAAGAGAAAAGTGGGAGGGAGAATATTTGAAGAAAAACATGGCTGAAAGCTTCCCAATTTTAATGCAAGACATGAACATAAATATCCAAGAAGCACAACAAATTTCAAGTAAGATAAACCCAAAGATAACCATATTGTAATCAAACTTTTGAAAGAGAAAGACAAATAAAAAATCTTATAAGAAGCAAGAGGATAGTGGTTAATTACAAACATGGGATTCTCTATAAAATTATCAGATTTCTTATTAAAAATTTTGGAGTTCAGAATGCAATGGACCAATACAGTTGTCCCTTGCTATCCATGGAAGATTGGTTCCAGGACCTCCCATGGATACCAAAACCTGTGCATGCTTAAGTCTCTGATATAAAATGGCATTGTATTTGCATATAACAAATGCACATCTTCCTTTGAATTTTAAGTTCAATTAGATTAAATTCAAATTAGATTTTTCAACATACCAAATATTATGTAAATCCTATGGAAATAATTGTTATTCTCCATTATTTTGGGAATCATGACAAGAAAAAATGTCTTCTGCACTTGTTCAGTACAGGTGGAATTAAAAAATATTCTTTATACAGGGTTGATTGAATCTCCAGATGTATAACCCATGAATATAAAAAATAGACTATATATTCAAAGTGTTAAAAGATGACTAAAATCCTGTCAACCAAGCATCTGCCAACCAAAATATTCCCATACAAAGAAAAGTTGAAAAATGTTGTTACTACTAGACTTGTCCTACTCAAGAAGTTCCAGAAGGAGAAATGAAAGGACACAAGACAGTAACTTGAAGCTGCATGAAGAAATAAAAATCATTAAAAGGTAAACAGGTGGACAATTATAAAACATAGTATTATTATATGTTTTGTTTGTAACTACATTCTGTTTTCTACATAATTTATTTGACTAAAGTATGTCAAATAATTATTACTTTATATTTGGGGGCACACAACATATAAAGATGTAATTTTATGATATCAACAACAGGAAAAGGTAGAGATGGAGGTGTAAAGGAGCACAGATTTTCTCTGTTATTGAAGTTAACTTGGCATAAATCCAAATTAATATAATTTTAGAATGGTAACTATAATCACATAGTAACCACACACACAAAAATAGCTATGGAATACACACAAAAGGTGAGAAATAAATTTAAACATTTCACTATTAAAAAGTCAATCAAACATGAAAGACAGTAATATAGAAACTGAAGGACAAAGAAGCTGTAAAGCATATAGGAAACAAAGAGCAAATAGAAAACAAAGAGCAAAGTGAGAAGTTATTTTAATGAGAGTTACTCTCTCATTAGTTACTTCGAATGTTAATGTTTACATTCTTCAGTGAAACAATATCAATTAAAAGAATGGATTTAAAATATGATTTCATTGTATTCTGTGTACAAGAGACTCACTTTAGATCTAAAAACACAAATAGATTGAAAGTGAAATAATAGGAAAAAATATATATTCCATCTACATAGTAACCAAAAGAGAGCAGGGATGACTATATCAGATAAAGTAGAATTTAAATAAAAATTGTTTGCAAGACATAAAAGAGGACATTATATTAATAAAAGCTTCCATACAGTAGAAATATCTAAAAATATTCATGCATCTAATTAAAGACCCTCAACATACATTAAGCAAAAATTACAGAACTCAAGGAAGAAATTGATAGTTCTACCATATTAGTTGGAAATTTCAATACCTCGCTCTCAATAATGGATGAAAAAAACAGACAGAAATTAATAAAAAAAAAAGTACTTAAACAACTCAATAAACCAACCAGATATAACAGAGATATACCGAACAATCTAGTCAACAAAAACAGCATGTACCTCTTGAAGTACACATGGGACATTCCAGGATAGACCATATGTTAGGCAGCAAACTGAGTATCAATAGATTTAGAGAGACAGATAACATGCAGAGTATCTTCTCTGACCAAAACAGGATGAAATTAGAAATCAATAACAGAAATAAAAAGCAAAAATTCACAAATTTGCATAAATTAAATAACATGGTCATCAGAAACCAATGGAACGAGGAAGAAATCACAATGAAAACATAAAAAATACTTGAAGATAAATGAAACAAAAATACAAAAATTTCAAAATTATGGGAAACAGTGAAAGCAAGGCTAAGGGAAGAATTTATGGATATAAACATTTTTGTTAAAGCAAATTCAAATCAACAATCTGACATTACAACTTAAGGAACCAGAAAAAGAAGAATAAGCTAAAGCCAAAGCTAGCAGAAAGAAGAATATAACAAAGATTACAGCAGAGATTAAACAAAATATATACTGTCAAAACAGTAGAGAAAATCAATGAAATCAAAAGATAGTTCTTGGATAAGATACTCAAAATTGACAAACCTTCAGCTAGGTGAATTATGACAAAAAAATAAATTACTAAAGTCAGAAATGAAAGTATGGACATCACTACCAATCTGTAGAAATAGAAAATATAGGAGAATACTATCAACTATTGTACCCCCAAAAAACAGAAAACATATAAAATGAACAAATTCTTAAAAACACAAAATCTACCAAGAAAAATCATGAAAAATCATAAAATAGAATATAAGAATAGACCTATAACAAGTAAGAATATTGAATCAGTACCCCAAAATCTTCTAATAAAGAAAAATTCTGGACCTGATGGCTTCCCTGATTAATTCTGACTAACACCAATCCTTCCCAGACATTTCCAGAAAATTCAAGAGGAAAGAGTACTTCCTAATGTATCCTATGAAGCAGCACTGTCCTGATATTAAAGCCAAACTAAATCACCAAAAGAAAACTACAAGACCCTTATGAACACTGGTGAAAAACATCCTCAACAAAATACTAGAAAACTAAATTTATCAGGATATTAACAAGATTATACACCAGACCAAGTGGGATTTATTCCTACAATGCAAGGATGGTTCAACATAGGAAAATTAATGTAATATATCATACCAACAGAATGAAAGGAAAAACAAAACAAAACATTTTTGTATTAGGCCATTCTTGCTTGCTGTAAAGAACTACCTGAAATTGGGTAATTTATAAAAAACAAAAAAATTGAGGTTTAATTGGCTCACAGTTCAAAAGGATTTACAGGAAGCATAGTTCTGGCATCTGCTTTGCTTCTAGGGAGGTCTTACAGAGGGCTTTCAATTAAGGTGAAAGGTGAAAAGGAAACAGGCACATCACATGTTGAAAGCAAGAGCAAGTGAGAAAGAGAGGTGGCAGGGAAGGTGCCACACACTTTTAAATGACGAGATCTTATGTGAACTCAGAGTGAGACCTTGCTTATCACCAAGGGAATGGCACAAGCCTGTCATGAAGAATCTGCCCCATTGGTCCAAACACCTCCCACCAGGCCCCACCTCTAACACTGAGCATTATATTTCTACATAATATTTGGGTGGGGACAAATATCCAAACTATACTAATGTTTATTTCCATTGCTGCAGCAAAAACATTTGACAAAATTCAACATTCTTTCATGATTAAAAATGCTCAAAAACTAGGAACAAAAGGAAATTAGCTCTACATAATAAAGGTCATATATTAAAAATTCACAGTTAGCATCACACTCAATGGTGAAAGACTGAAAGATTTTCCCCTAAGATATGAAACAAAAAAGGACACTAATTTTTGCCATTTCTATTTAATATAGTAATGAAAGTACTAGACCAATCAGGCTAGAAATTAGGCAAGTAAAAAAGAAATTAAGGACTTCTAAATTGGAAAGAAAAGTATAAAATTATCTCTGCTCACAGCTGATATGATTTTGT
The DNA here is from genome assembly GCF_000001405.40 of Homo sapiens. Lineage (NCBI taxonomy): Eukaryota > Metazoa > Chordata > Mammalia > Primates > Hominidae > Homo > Homo sapiens. Next base: position 40,331,950 of record NC_000018.10, on the reverse strand, counting down.
ATGTAGAAAACTCTTGTATGTAAAGACTTGGAACCAACCCAAATATCCATCAATGATAGACTGGATTAAGAAAATGTGGCACGTATACACCATGGAATACTATGCAGTCATAAAAAAGGATGAGATCCTGTCCCTTGCAGGGACATGAATGAACCTGGAAACCATTGTTCTGAGCAAACTATCACAAGGACAGAAAACCAAACACTGCATGTTCTCACTCATAGGTGGGAATTGAACAATGAGAACACTTGGACACAAGGAGGGGAACATCACACACCAGGGCCTGTCATGGGATGAGGGACTGGGGAAGGGATAGCATTAGGAGAAATACCCAATGTAAATGATGAGTTAATGAGTGCAACAAACTAACATGGCACATGTAAACCTATGTAACAAACCTGCACGTTGTGCACATGTACCCTAGAACTTAAAGTATAATAATAATAAAAAAGAAAACTCTTGTATGTAAAGGTTACACACATACACACAAACTGTAAAACTAATAAATTAAGCAAAATAGCAGGATACATGGTCAACATGCAAAAAATCAGTTGCATTTCTACACATTAAGAGTGAACAATCTGTACAGGAAAAATTAAAAATAATTTTATTTAGTACAGCATCTAAAATAATAAAATAGTGTGATTAATGAAAGTGAAAGAGTTGCACAACGAATACTACAAAACATTGCTGAAACAAATTAAAGAAGACATAAAATAATGAAAACACATCTTATGTTCATGGATTATAAGACTTAATATTGTTAAGATAACAATGCTACTTAAGTAATCGATAGATTCAGTGAAATTCCTCTCAAAATTCCAATGACATTTTTTACTGATGTAGGAAAATCTATTCTGAAATTCATATGGAATCCCAAGGGATCCTGAATAGCAAAAATAATTTTGAAAAATAAGAACACAGATAAGGGAATCACATTTCATCTTTTCAAAATTTACTACAAAACTACAGTAATCAAAATAGTGTGGTAGTGGCATAAAGATAGACATTTAGACAAATGAAATGGAATAGAGAACTCAGAAACACCTCCTTGAATATACGGTCAATTGTTTTTTAACATGTGTGCCAAGGTGATTTAATGGGGAAAAGACAGTCTGCTCAATAAATATTGCTGAGAAAACTGAACATCGACATTTAAAAGAATGAAGCTGAACCCTTACTTAATACCATATACAAAAACAAAGGCAAATAAATCAAATACCTACATTTAAAACCTAAAACTATAAAACCCCTAGAAGAAAACAAAGGACAAAATCTTAATGATGGTAGATTTGGCAATGATTTCTTGGAAATGATACTAAAGGCACAGGCAACAAAAGGAAAAAATAAATTAGATTTAATAAATTTATTCATTAAAATGTACACGAAAACAACATGAACAGTGTAAAAAGTAAGGCAAGGGAGAAAATATTTGTAAGTGGGAAAAAATATTTGCAAGTAACATATCCGGTAGAGAATTAATATCCAAATTACATAGAAAACTTCTAAAACTCAACAACAAAAAACAAAAATGATTCAACATAAGCAAGGGACTTGAATAGACATTTCTCCAAAAAAGATATCTAAATGACTACTAACCACATGACAAGATGCTCATCATCACTAATTATCTGAGAATGTAAATCAAAACCCTAATGAGATTTTACCTCACACCTATTAGGATGGTTACTATCAAAAAGACTGAAAACAACAAATGTTGCCAAGGATATGAAGAAATTGGAACCTTTGTGCACTGTTGGTGAGAATGTAAAATCATGCAGCCACTGTGGAAAGCAGTATGGTGGATCCTCAAAAACTTAGAAACAGAATTAGCATATGATTCAGAAATTCCACTTCTGAGTACATATCCAAAATAATTGAAGGCAAGGTTTCAAAAAGATGTTTGTATGCCCATGGTTTATAGCAACATTATTAATAATAGCTAAAATTTTGAAGCAACCCACACATTCATCAATGAATGAATGGATAATCCAAATGTGGTATATATACATACCATGAATTATTTCTCATCCTTAAAAAGGAAGGAAATTTTGAAATATGCTCACCACGGATGTGCCTGTAGAATATTATGCTAAGAGAAATAAGCCAATCACAAAAGAGAAAAATTTTATATGATTCCACTTATATGAGGTACTTAAGGTAGTTGAAATCATAAATACAAAAATAGAATGGCTGTTGCCTGTGGCTAGGGAGTGGGGGAATGAGGAGATAAATGGGTGTAGAGCTTTAGTTTTATAAGATGAAAAATGATGATGGCTATGATTGTCAAATATTATGAATAACACTGGATTGTACACTTAAAAATAATTAAAATGATAAGTTTCATATGAAACATCTTTTATCACAATTTTAAAAATTGGAAAAAGGAAAAACTTTGTCCATGACCTTGATTAATGGTTATTTTGCCCAGCTCTAGCATTTATGATTTCCAGTATACATTTTCTAATTTTCTGGTATGTTTTATGCATGTGAATTTTATCTCAGCAATTACAAACTTCTGAAAACAGCAGCTAAAACTTTATGAAATTTTATAACCTTTAGATTAACTGACATTTTGCTTTGAATAAATTAGTAGTTTTATTAATTTAGTAAAAATAATGGTACCTATAATTTATGTTGAATTTATGTTTTACAAAAGTACAAACTGTGCTAAAATGTTATATACACTATCCTATTTCATCATTATAACAATAGTGTGATAAACTATTCATACATATACTCATTTAACAGTTGGGAAAACTGAACCACAGAGAGGTTCATTTTTTTCAGTATGTTTTAGCTGATACAGGGATATGAACTCAGCTCTGTCCAATTACAAAATCAAAATTCTAGCCCATTATGCTACATGTAATAACAGCAATACAATAATAGCTATTATGATAGGCTGATAATTGACTCCAATGTTACCAGGTCCCAATCTCTGAAACCTAAAAATGCTACGTTATTTGCAGAAAGAATCTACGCATGAGTGTTAAGTAAAAGACCTTGAGATCAAGAGATCATACTGAGTTATATGCTGTGCACTAAATGTAATCACAAGTGTATATGTAAGAGAAAGGTACAGGGAGACTTGACAAACAGAAAAAGATCAGGTCACCTGACTACAGAGGAACCTTTGGAATTACGTAGGCAAAAGCCATGGAATGCCAGCATCTACGAGAAGTCAGAGGAAGAAAAGAAAGGATTTTCCTCTAGAACCTACAGAGGAAGCGTGGCACTGTTGATGCCATTATTTTGGACCAGTGATACTGATTTCAGGACTCTGTCTTCTAGAACAGTGAGGAAATAAATTTCTGTTGTCATAAGCTACCAACTTTGTGGTATTTTTTTATAGCAGCCAAAGAAGATGAATACTAATGATATCAGTTAAGTGCCTCAAGATCACAGTCCATCAAGATCACAAGAATGCCTAAGAATCAAAAGCAAAAGAAGCAAATTCTCATGCTATCTGAGAAAATAAGTACAACTCGTGGATTTTTGTTGCTGTGGTTGTTGTTACATTCTTGTAATTTCAAAAGTTAGACATGTCTCCTAAATATACAAGTTTGCATTTTCATCCGTTAATGTTTAATTTTTCCTTTCTACCTCCCAAACCATTCAACATCTACCTAGTAGTGTGATTCATGCTGCTTCTACAACGGACTTTAAGTAGTACTTCTTTTAATGCGTTTTATGTTTGTCAAGATTTTACAATATTTGCTTTGATTCTATTATACTAATTTACCATACAAGCTACATTCAGTTTAAAAAATTGTAGTGAAATCAAAAATTAACATATTTATTGAACACAAACTATAAGTAAGAGACTGTGCCACCACCCATTGTAAACCAAGCACACATGGGCTTTGCCCCTGAGAATCATATAATTTGGGGAAATGTAGGATAAGCATAGAGACTTATTTCAGGTATACTTCAAGACTACTATAGAACACACTATATGGTGAACTAGCATATTATTTATTCAGGCAACAATTGGAGTAACATTCACAGGAAGGGAAGATCGCTGCAGCAAACTGTATCTCCTCTGAGCCTTCCCTCAACTAGAAATCTAAATAGTCTATCTTCAAACTGCAACATCCCCAAATGTCTTGATAATTATAATTCTATGACTGCTTTGATATACGTTTATGTCCACCAATTCTGGGAAGTAGTTGGCTTCCATAAGTTTTCTTACTCTGAAGTCATGTGTTACATGGCCCTTGCTATCCCAGAACTCAGCCCTTCTTTAAATAATTGCTTTCCCAAGTCCAATTCAGGACCTTGGACACATTTTTTTCCATACCCCTTATGCCTAATATGTACAGTTATATAACTTAAAGAAGTCTCTCAAAAATTGAAAATTTATTGTAATTAAATGATGGCAACAAATCTTGTCAGTTATAGCACAGAACAATTTGGTGACCCATTTGTGTTCCATATAGAATTAAAAGTAGCAAATCCTCCTTGCAAGAGCTGAGTCTTGCTGATAAAGGGGAATTCATTAAGAATTCTTTAGCCAAGCTTATAACGGAAGCCATGCAGAGGTACAGCTTAAGAGAAAGAGGTTTTAACAGATGGGCCAGCATCTTAAGGGTGAAAAATCCTCTTTGTGTAAAATAAAGGAAGAAGGAGCTTCAGTTCAGTGAAATCTTCAAGAAACCAGCTCCAATTTCAATAGCGTTTTTCTGAATAGGAATCGGTGGTCTCTCACACTGGTGTTTACCCCATCGTTTAGGTATGAAAGCCACCTTCCTGAGGTAGACATGCGAAGGAGAAATAGAAATGGCAGAAGCCGGGCGGAGCACAAAGGAGCAACAGGAAACCTTTAACTAAAGAATAAAAACACTCAATTGACTGTGTAAAAAAGAGAGGAGTGGCAGGTGAGTTGAAAGGGCAGGAGATGGATGGCTATGTGGTGAAAATAGTCAAATGATTACCATCCACCTCAAATGTACCTTATTCCTTTATTTCTCTTGGATTTTTGTTGTTGCACTAATTGTGACCAATACTGTTTTGCACCCTTTCCAACCCAGGGTGCAATTCTTTTCCTGATTGTTCCTATATGATGTGAAAGAGTTTTTATAGCCCTCAGATTTATGTCTTGTCTTTCCCATTAAATTGTTATATTCTTAAGGCAAGACATCATTCATTCATCCACTTAAAATAACATATTAAAGGATGACTGTGTGTCAGAATTATACGAAAAAAAGATTAATAAGGCACTCAGAGATCACATGGTTTACCGGACAAGAGAGAAAGAAAGACTAATGATTTATAATACAATATAGTCGAGTATAATAATTGAGAGATTTTCTTATTTTATTTTTTTAGCCCTTTCTCTATGTATTACAACTTAATTAAAATTTTCTGTCTATCCATTCTGATTTTATGAGATGCAAATCTCAGATCAAGAGAAAGACTGAAAACTTAGAATACAAGAGAATGGATTTTGTCATAGAATGAGAAAAGAAGGTAAAAGAAGTGGAAAAATTGATAAGGAAGGTTTTTTGTATAAATCAGGTATGATTGACATATCACAAAATGCACATACTCAAAGTATACAATTTATTTCATTTTGATAAATGTATACACCTGTGAAACCATCACTGCAGTAAAAATCAGAAACATTCATCATCTCAAATGTTTCTTTTCATCCTTTATAATGCCTCCCTTCCAACCATCTCCAGACAATCATTGATCTGTTTTTTTTTGCATTTACTAGATCTCTCTTCTTCATCTTCTCCTTTTCTTCATCTTCTTCCTCTCCCTCTTCCTCTTCTTCTTTTCCTTCTCCTTCTCCTTCTTCTCCTTCTTCTTCTTCTTCTTCTTCTTCTCCTCCTTCTCCTTCTTCTCCTTCTTCTTGACACAGGATCTCCCTTTGCTGCCTAGGTTGGAGTGCAGTGGCAAGATCACAGTTTAGCTTAGGATAGACTTGGCGATGCAGGCTCCTTTTTGGTTCCATGTGAACTTTAAAGCAGTTTTTTCCAATTCTGTGAAGAAAGTCATTGGTAGCTTGATGGGGATGGCATTGAATCTATAAATTACCTTGGGCAGTATGGCCATTTTCACAATATTGATTCTTCCTACCCATGAGCATGGAATCTGGAGGCATCACGCTACCTGACTTCAAACTATACTACAAGGCTACAGTAACCAAAACAGCATGGTACTGGTACCAAAACAGAGATATAGATCAATGGAACAGAACAGAACCCTCAGAAATAACGCCGCATATCTACAACTATCTGATCTTTGACAAACCTGACAGAAACAAGAAATGGGGAAAGGATTCCCTATTTAATAAATGGTGCTGGGAAAACTGGCTAGTCATATGTAGAAAGCTGAAGCTTGATCCCTTCCTTACACCTTATACAAAAATTAATTCAAGATGGATTAAAGACTTAAACTTTAGACCTAAAACCATAAAAACCCTAGAAGAAAACCTAGGCAATACCATTCAGGACATAGGCATGGGCAAGGACTTCATGTCTACAACACCAAAAGCAATGGCAACAAAAACCAAAATTGACAAATGGGATCTAATTAAACTAAAGAGCTTCTGCACAGCAAAAGAAACTACCATCAGAGTGAACAGGCAACCTACAAAATGGGAGAAAATTTTAGCAACCTACTCATCTGACAAATGGCTAATATCCAGAATCTACAATGAACTCAAACAAATTTACAAGAAAAAAACAAACAACCCCATCAAAAAGTGGACAAAGGATATGAACAGACACTTCTCAAAAGAAGACATTTATGCAGCCAAAAGACACATGAAAAAATACTCATCATCACTGGCCATCAGAGAAATGCAAATCAAAACCACAATGAGATACCATCTCACACCAGTTAGAATGGCAATCATTAAAAAGTCAGGAAACAACAGGTGCTGGAGAGGATGTGGAGAAACAGGAACACTTTTACACTGTTGGTGGGACTGTAAACTAGTTCAACCATTGTGGAAGTCAGTGTGGCGATTCCTCAGGTATCTAGAACTAGAAATACCATTTGACCTAGCCATCCCATTACTGGGTATATACCCAAAGGACTATAAATCACGTTGCTATAAAGACACATGCACACGTATGTTTATTGCGGCACTATTCACAATAGCAAAGACTTGGAACCAACCCAAATGTCCAACAATGATAGACTGGATTAAGAAAATGTGGCACATATACACCATGGAATACTATGCAGCCATAAAAAATGAGTTCATGTCCTTTGTAGGGACATGGATGAAATTGGAAATCATCATTCTCAGTATACTATCGCAAGGACAAAAAACCAAACACTGCATGTTCTCACTCATAGATGGGAATTGAACAATGAGAACACATGGACACAGGAAGGGGAACATCACACTCTGGGGACTGTTGTGGGGTGGGGTGAGGGGGGAGGGATAGCATTAGGAGATATACCTAATGCTAAATGACTAGTTAATGGGTGCAGCACACCAGCATGGCACATGTATACATATGTAACTAACCTGCACATTGTGCACATGTACCCTAAAACTTAAAGTATAATAATAATAAAAATAATAATAATAAGGAATTCCAAAAAAAAAAAAAAATCACAGTTTACTGCAGCCTCATCCTTCTGGGCTTAAGTGATCCTACCAGCTCAGCCTCCAGAGTAGCTGTGACATATGCCACCACACCAAGCTAATTTTTCTTGTTTCATGTTTTGTAGAAATGAGGTTTTACCATGTTGCCCAGGATGATCTCAAACTCCTGGACTCAAGTGAGCCACCTGCCTTGGACTCCCAAAGTGCTGGGATCACAGGCGTGAGCCACAGCGCCTGGGAAGGATCTCTTTTTAAAATGTGGAATTATATATATTTAAAACAGTATAACTGCTTTGATATTTATCTGTGTTTTGTGTATCAATTGTTTCTTCCATTTTATTTGTAAATAGTATTCCATTACATCTATAAAATACAATTTTACTTATCCATTTTCTTATTTCTATTATTTCCAGATGTTGTCTATTCAGATATAGCTACCATGAACATTCCTGTACCAGACTTTATAAGTCTTTGTAAGTACACATGCTTAATCCTTTCCCCCAATTCTTTTGTATAGATATATAAATATTTGGGAGTGAGTGAACTGTAAATAATATGGTAGGCATAGGTTTTACTTTATAAGAAACTAACACAATGTTATCCAAAGTGTTGTGCTATCTTAGGTCCCCACCAACTGTGTGAGAGTTCCAGTTCCTCTGTATTTTCACAAACACTTGATGTTTTGGTCTTTTTAATTTTAGATATTATAATATGTGCAGCAGTATCCTGTTGTAGTTTCAACTTAGATTTCTTTAAAGGCTAATGTTATTTAGCATATTTCCATACATTTATTTGTCAACTGTATATATTCTTTTGTAAATTGTTCATATATTGTGCCCATTTAAAAATGTGTTGTTTCTTATTTATGAGATTTAAGAGTTATTTATATATTTAGGAAACAAGTTCATTATTAGATGTATGTTTTGCAAATATTGTTTTCCCAGGTGGTGGCTTATCCTTTTACTATCTTAACAGTATCTTTTGATGTGAAGAAGATTTGATGAAGTCCATTATATAACTTTATAAGTAGATCATGGTGTTGAATTTTTATCTGAGAAATCTTTGTCTAAACTAAAGTTGTGGCCAGGCACAGAGGCTCAAGCCTGTAATCCCAGCACTTTGGGAGGCCAGGACAGGCAGATCACTTGAGTTGAGGAGTTTGAGACCAGCCTGGCCAACATGGTGAAACCTGGACTCTATTAAAAATACAAAAAAATTAGCTGAGCATGGCACGTGCCTTTAATCCCAGCTACTTGGGAGGCTGAGGCAGTAGAATCGCTTGAACCTGGGAAGCTGAGGTTGCAGTGAGCCGAGATCATGCCACTGCACTCCAGCCTGGATGACAGAGTGAGACTCCATCTCAAATAAAATAAAAATAAGAATAAAAATAAAAAAAACAATACACAGTCTTCTGCAGCCTTCTGACCTGTGGGACAAAGTATGTCTCTCTATTTAGTTCTTAAATTTATTGCCTCAATATTTTGCAATTTCAGTAGACAGGTTTTTCACTTCTCCTGTCAGATTTACAGCTAAGTATTTCATTTTTATACTATTATAAATCTTAGTCTTCAAATTTTAAGTTTCAAATATTAACACTAACATATAGAGGTATAATTGATTTTGATAAATTGATTGATCTTGTATTCTGTAATCTTGCTTAAGTGGCTTACTAGCTTTGTAGCTTTTGTAGATCTCATTCAACTCTGTATAGACACTGAAGTTTTCTCTCAATAAAGACAGTTTTACTTTCTCATTTCCAACCTGAATGTCTTTTATTTTCTTCATTGCACTGATTAGAAACTTTAGGAAAAAGTTGGACAGAATTGGTGAGGGCAGACATCTTCAACTTGTTCTGATCTTAGGGGAAAGTAATTCAGTCTTTCACCCATTAAGTGTGATATTAACTATGTGTTTTTTGTAGTTATTATATTTAAGGTTGAAGAAGTTCCCTCTATCCCTGACTTGCCAAGAGTTTTTAACAAGAATAGATACTGGACTTTATAAAACATTTTTCCTGTGTCTTTTTGAACGACTATATTTTTTAGTCTGTTAATATAATGAATTGCATGTTAGACCAATCCTGAATTCCTGGAATAAATACTACCTGGTCATGTCATATTATATGTCATATGTATTTTGGGTGTATTATTCTGTTCTTCTATTGCTAAAAAGAACTCCCTGAGACTGGATAATTTATGAAGAGAAGAGGTTTAATCGGCTCATGGTTCCACAGGCTGTACAGGAAATATGGCTGGGGAGGCCTCAGGAAACTTATGAACATGGTGGAAGGGGAAGAGGAAGGAGGTATATCTTATACAGCCAGAGAAGAAAGAAGAGAGTGAAGGGGGAGATGCGACATAGTTTTGAACAACCAGATCTCGTGAGAGCTCACTCACTATCACAAGAACAGCAAAGGGGAAATTTGCCCCATGATCCAATCACCTCCTACCAGGCGTCTCCTACCACATTGGGGATTATAATTCAAATGAGATTTGGATGGAGACACAAACCATATAGTTGGATTCATCAAATTTTGTTTAGAAAGAAGATTTATGAGATAATTGAATGTTTCATTTCTGTTCTTTTAATGTAATTGCCTGGTTTTGGTAGCAGATAATGCTTATTTCACAGAGTTACGTGGGAAAGATTTCCTCCTTTCAGTTTTCTGGAAGAGTTTGTGTAGAATGTTTATTATTTATTCCTTAAATGTTTGGAATAATTCACCAGTGAAGCCAACTGAGCTATATCTTGAAGTTAACTAATCATTTTTTCTGTCTAATCTGCCCTTAATTCTACCCAGGTTATTTTTTATTTTAGTCATTGTAGTTGTCATTGGTTGAACTCTCATTTGGGTCACTTTTATATCTTTCATGCTTCTGATTAACTTTTTGTACATATGGAATAGAGTTATAAAAACTGTTTTAACAATCTTTGACAATTTTAAGATCTCTGTCACATCATGGTCACTTTCGGTTGATTGATTCTTTTCCTCAATATGGAAATGTTTTCCTACTTCTGTTCATACCTAGTATACTGTAATTATATTTCCAACATTCTAAATTTTACCTGGTTAAATGCTATATACTTTTGTATTCTTAAAAATATTTTTGAGCTTTGTTCTGCTATGCACTTAATTTATTTAGAAACACTCCGATACTTATAGGCTTGATACCTTCATCATTTGTTAGGCAGGTCTAGAGTAGTGCTCAGCCTACAGTAATTATTTCCCACTACTAAGGCAAAATCTCTAATGTCCCATGAACTATGATTTTTTTTTCTAATGGGTCCTACGGGAATGGTGATGCTTTTCGAAGATGTGATTGAATGCTGAGTGGTGTTTCTTCTAATTCTTTCAGTTGACCTTTACCATAGTTTCAGATATTTTCCTTATGGGGTTGCATTTATTAGTACTCTGCTAAGTACCTTAGAAGATTAAGTACCTTAGAAGAACCCTGTATAGCTCTCCAGCATGTGCTCTTTGCATAGTCTCTCCTTCCTGGTACTCTGTCCTGTGAATTCTAGCTGCCTTGGTTTCCTCAGAATTTTAATTCCATCTCCTCAAGTGCATGAGTCCACTTGGATGCCTTGTAGCCCAAAAATTCTCATGGCAGTAAGCTAGAGAAATCATACAACTCATTCATTTGTTTTCTGTCTTTCAGAGATAACTCTTTTTTGCTACCTAACATTCAGTGTCTTGAAAACTTGTAAAATTGCCTTTATCATCTTTATATTTGTAGCTTCAGAAGGGAGGACAAATCTGTCCCTGTTAATCCATCTTGGGCAGAAGCAGAAATCTAAAACAATTAGCACTGATACTGAAGTAACCCAGAAAACAGTTTAAGTGGGGAAAAAAAGCAGCAGATTTAAATTTCAGAGGGAAAAACTAGGCTAAGTTGTTTATGAATTTTTTGGATTCATAAAGATGAGAAAGAAGAGAGTCTGTGATAAGAATATTTTAATACAATTATTATTTATGGTATGACATTGCTTACTATATAATTTCTGAACTTTATTTTTCTTCTATGTTTTACACACTGATTTACATTCAGGATGTGGAACATGAACTCTCACTGATGCAGGAAAATAAATAGTATAACTGCTTTATCAAGTTTGCCAACAAATTAATGATATAATTAAAATAATTATAATTTTTGATATTATTTTGTAGGACATACATTTCTGTTGTTCATAACTTAGCAGTGTTATGGTCTTTTTATACAGAAGCTCAAAAAGACTAAGATACACTTTTCACTTTTACTTTTATTCAAGAATAGTTTGATAACCCAGTAAAAGACTCTAAAAGTAAAAAAAAAAAAAACGGGGGGACATTCCTCATGACTAAAATGTTTCAGTCTTATTAATTTAAGAAGATAACAGTATACAGTTTCTCCTGTCTTTATCACATTCATATGTGATTCTCATTTCCATTTAAAAAAATTCCTGACTCTACACACTTCTGTATATATATTATAGTAAAGTACCTATCTCCTGCTATCCATCAAAGCTCAACTTAATGGCTACCTTCATTAAGGTTTCTGGACCAGAATATCACACATTTCCTATTTCAACGGATTCAGTTTAGGTTAGAGTTGTCTGTGGTCAAAAAGAATCATCTGCTTTGCTTGTGTGTTTTGTAGACAGTGTAAGGCTATTGAGAGAAAAAATATTATACCTTTTACTTCTTTTGTAGAACAGCTCTGGGCTTCAGTTGAAGTGAATTCAATTCTATTTCTGAATGGAGTATATGCCTGTGCAGAGTTATAAAACCTGATTCTTATTTCAGTTCTTCTACTAAATAACTGTGTGATCTTGGGTAACTCATTTTCAGACTTTTCTATAAAATGAACTCATTAAATCAAATTATCTCCAAGGTCTCTTTTAGTTCTGCAATGGTATAATCTTAGCCATAAATATTAGATAATAACAGAAAAAGCAAAATTATATAGCATCCACTGTATAATAAACTTCTTTCTTTGTCTGAAATCCTCCAAAAGTATTCATCACTATACACTAAGCTGAAAACTCATGGTTTTTATCTGAAATATTTACAAGTTTATTATGGATAAATAACCTCAACTTGGTAAGCTTATTTGAAACTCTGGCAACTACTAGTAGCTAAACCTCTCGGGTTTGCAAAATTGGGCAGTCAATTGTATGACAAGGGGTTTTCTCCCAAGATTTCCTATGTTTGCTGCTTCTGGCAGGTTGGAATTAGAGTGAGAAAAGCCAGTTTTGTGATACCTTGTTACTGCCACTCCCAGGTGGAGTTCAGAAGTGTAGACACAATGACAAAGGTGATGAAAACATAATAACAACAAAAGAAGAATTTAATCAAATTTTATCTGCTCTCTAAAAGCTTGCAGGCCCAGCTCCACTGTTGCCTATATTTATTTGTGTATTGCATTTGTAAAATGAACTTTCTCCTTGGGGAAAAAGAGAGAGTTATGTAATTACCATTTGGAAATGACTAGCTCTGTACCAGTGAAGCAAAATAACATCTTGGATTTTAAGTGGAGACAAAATTTAATATTAAAAGCAGATAACATCAACTTCTTTTTGTTAAAATCCTGGAATGTTAGATATCAAAATTACCTATAACCCTTATTTATCCTTCAGCCATGCTCACTCATGTAAATTTTGACTCATTTCTCCCAATTCACTCCTTTCCAGATTTCCTAAGCTAAATCCATTTGTGGCTCTATACAAAGCCTCATCGTGATCCCCTGACCAGGCAAAACAAAAGTAATTTGTTTCCAGAGCAGTGGTCTTATGTCCCAGGGGTTACCACAGCCTTACTTCAAATACTTATTCCTAGATGATACCATATCTTTGTCTTTATCTTGACAAAAAACAAAGTTTAGACTTTTCCACTGATCCTTATATATACCTATCATTCATAGTAATAGGGTATTTTCCCCCCAAGAATTGACGCCCAGCTCTGAATCTTACTGCCAACCTTTCTGGCCATGAGATGGTCTTCTCAACGTGACCCATCTTCAGCTTGCTGTTCTAAATATTCCTAGCATTAATTCCCTGTGTGCTCTGTGCATGTGGAAAACCTACTCTGCCTCCCGCATTTGTATCTAATCTGAAGCATGGCTCAGGCGATTAATTCAACCTCCATTTCTTTCCTTTGCTGAATGGCAGGTTTTGTTCCAAAACCTAATGAATACTCCTTTTCTTCACTGCCTTTCCTGTCTTGGTTCTCAAGTTCATTGTGCTTTGGACACAAGAAAGAAATTATAATTCCATCTATCATGCTCCTATTATGGTGTATCTCTTCTGGAAAATCATGTTCTGTGGTTATAGCCATCTCAGTCACTGAATTTGTGCAAGTATAAATACTTAATTTAGGATTTTTTATTATATAGATTCTACTCTGCTTCATGTTTGTATATTTTCCAATCAAAATTACAAACTCTTGAGAGCTGAGGTTATGTTTTCCATCTTTTCTATCATCTACTATATCTAGCATGCCATTAGTGCTCAGTAAAAGTCCCAGTGTGACTTTTAGACATGACACATTTGAATGATTTAATGTAAGTTATAGATTTTATTTAGAATATATAGTGCTGTGTATTTATCTTCAGTTCAGCTCAACAAATATTTATTGAGCAACTAACACAGTGTCTTATACATAGTAAACCTTTAATAAATATTTAAGCGTAGAATATTAGCAACTTATCTGAACAGTGAATGGAGCCCTAGCAGGAGAGGAGGAGTTAAATAACTTCTAACACATTTTCTGGTATGTGAATTCTAGTTTTTATATTTTGGTTTTAGAGTGAATTGCATTAAAATATTGTACAATCTCATGTGATAAACTAATAGAGACTTCTGTTGCAAAAACTGGCACTTCATCAAATTTGAGATCGTCACAGAAATTAGGTAGTGGGGAAACTGGTTTGGTGAGGCTCACCTAGTCTTTTGCCATTGCTTTTTATTTACTGATGGGGCATTTCTTAAGTCAATCCTCAATAAAAGGTTTTAATGAATCCAAATGTTGAGGCATTTCATAGAATCTCATGGTGAAGTGGGTGTTGAGAAAATGGCGGGTATTTCATCATGCATAACACGAGCACCACAAAGCAAAATGTGAAGACTAATCAGAAGCCCTTAAGAGAAGACATATTGACAGCAAATATACAAGAAATGAGTACCTACATTATCAGCCACTAGGGAAATCAAACTAAAACCACAGTAAGATATCACTACACACACATTAGATTAGTAAAAGTAAAAAAAATGCCAAATATTGTACAGAATATGGAGGAACAGGAACACTGCTGACATGAATGTAAAATCATACAGTCTGTCAGAATATTTCTTAAAAAGTTAAGTTATATTTATGTGATCAGACAATTTTACCCCTAAGTATTTACAAAAGAGAAAGAACAACATATGTTCACACAAAAACCCAATCGTAAATGTTTATGGAAGCTTTATTCATAATTACCAAGGATGAAGACAACACAAATGTCCTTCAACTAATAAATAAATTAATTAGTTAACTATAGTTAATTCCCTACAATAGAATACTACTCATCATCGCAAAGGGACAAACTAATGCTACATCCAGAATGATGTGTGAATCTTAAATGCAGTATCCTAAGGTTAAGAAGCCAGACTTCATAGGTTAAATACTGCATATGACACCAATTTTATGACATTCTGAAAAAATCAAAATTATGAGAACATAAACAGACCAGAAGTTACCAGGGAGCAGGTTAGAGAGGTTGACTACAAACACACAGCATGAGGAAATCTTTGGGGTGATGGAAGTGTTCAATATCATAATTTGAATGGTGTTTTCATGACGATGTATTTGTGAAAACTCAGGAATATATACTAAAAAGGTTGGATTTTACAAGGTGTAATTTTTTTTAGTACAAGGTGACCACTTTGAGCTCTATTAAGATTGTGGGAGTGCATCAGTGGAGCCTAAGTGACTTGATTGCAGTCTTTAGAACTAGAGACAGGTAAGTGCAAGCTCAAGTACAGCCTCTGAAAGCTAGTTTAAACATGTTATTACATCAGTCTTTAAGAAGGAAGGATTGGTGTGCAGTGGTACTCTCTCTGTTTTGTGGGTGAAAATGGTAACTACTTGGGGATTAGAAGCAGATCAGATCTTATGTTTTTCTTGTGTCAAGAATGTAATACACAGAATTTCTTACTTTAGGTATCCTCTTAGGGTCTTTGAACTAAATTTTTCTGCAGTGTTTCTTTCTTCCAGGAACAGTTCTAAACTAATAAACACAAAAAGGCTGTCTCAGCCTATTTAGATACATGTTTACTAGATGATTTGTTTTGCTGCATTAATGATATTTGGGATTGGTATTATTATCCCCATTTTGCAGATGAGGAGCCTGGGTTTCAGATGGATTTACTAACTTATCTCAAGGACCCAACCCTTAGACATCATAGACTTACAGAAAATAGAAGTTACATAAGTTAAGCTATAATATTCTCATTTGAGAAAATCTGACTTATAGACTTATTATGCACAATTATGTTTTGAGCATATAATTTATAATTCTTATTTACAAAACAGTGAAGAAAATGATAAAATTTAAAATACCTGTAATCACATCAATGTAATGTTGACATCATTTCCTTCCTCTTTGTACACCTTAACCCCTGTTCTAATAATCAATATATTTAAATATTTTACTGTATTGTAAACACTCTTTACAGTTTGCTTTTGTTACTTACCAAGAAATTATTGGCACTTTTTTAAAAACTTTGAAGCCACACAGTTTATACTTATTGATAGCCTACATTGTAAGCTCCAAGGATACAGTAATAAAAGATACAATTCTTATCCACAAAGGGTTTATGGTCTAGTGAACAAAACAGTGAATTCATATGCATAATATAGTGGGAAGTGTGCTATGATGGATGAATTCTTGATGGTACTGCATAACCCAGAATAGTGCATAAACGCATAGAGGGATGTTTATATTTGGGCTGTACAGGAAAGAGCAGTTCAGAAAGGAGATTGAGGAGGTGTGGTCACAGAGGTAGAAAATAATAGAGAGAATTTTATATATTTTAATGTTTCATATAATTTAATCAATTTGAGGTAGTATTATGTGCTTAGCCATTTTTATTAGACATTATTTATAACCAATTTTAACTATTATAAATAATGTTGCAATAAATGCTTTTGTGCATATAGCTTTCATCTTATTTTGAATTATCTTCTTACAATGTATTCCCAAGTGTGAAATTACTAGAAAGGTTACACATACCCACACATACACAGACACACCATTTTTTTATTCAAGATTTTGCTATATAACCCCGAATTGCTTTTTAAAAGGCTGATACCTATTTACAGTGTCATAAGCAATATATGACTACATCAGTTTTGCCAATATTCTCTAGCTTTGTGTAATCTTAAACTTCTTTAAATTTTGCTAATCTAATAGTTACAGAAAAATGGAAGTAATTTCTGAGAAGATGAAATATTTGGCCAAAAAAATGGATGAGGAAGGAACACAACACATTTAGGGCATAGTGATGAGTATGATATGGCAGAAAAATGCCCAGAATGAAGCACTTTAATCATACAAATCCTAAAATTTTAGAGCATAATTTTGTGATTTGAAACAAGAAGTCAGCTATGATAGACCAATGTTCTTTAATGGAGTTTGAGATTTATGTATTGGATCTTGACAACATCCAGCCTTCAGGAAAAATTCTCCACTGGTGTATTTTATTTTCACAGATATTTATGAACATTATACAGCAACCTACTGCTGACCCAAGTCTCTGCTCTTCTATATTCATTTATCTCTTGGTAACATGGGCAGTTCTTTCAGATGAGCCATGGACCTAATGGGAGAACTTGGAATGAGATTTTTTTTTTTTACTAGAGTGAGTCCTACCAAGTCCTTAGTCACTTAAAAGTGTCAGTGAGAAGGGACTCTGACAGGCAGCTCTGTCAACGTGAACAGAGAGTTTTAGATCAAGCCCAGGAACATTACTGTCAAAAATTACAACCTCAGCGTTGACATAAATGTTGACAGCACCATTTTCACTGATAGTGGTATCAGAGTAGATTATGATTCACAAAGGACTGTCCAACAAACAATGATTTAGATGAAATGCTCCCAATAAGTAAAGAAAGAGGAAAGGGAGAAGCAAAATATGAGGACTGCAGGTTACAAAATTTTATCAAGACAGCATCATGCCATGACAATATACATCTCTCCTTCCTGGTAATGAGGGTTTGTCTGCAACTATATACAAAGAGAAACACGAAACTGGAAATTCAGACTCTCTTCTGAGTCTAGTCTACCTCCTAATTCAGCCCTGTTATACACAGATTTCTGTAAAATATTTGAAGGAACGATGATGGCGTATAATTACAGAACAAATAACTAACTTTTCCTGTGTGCCAGCAAAATGTTTTAGAAATCAAAACTATGTAGACAAACAAAATGGCATTTGGCAAAGAAATGCATATAGAGATCGAGACATGACACGTTTACTTTTTCCACATACAGAAATACTATTAATTTACCAAAGCTCATCTCAACTTTCCCCAGTACTCTCTGCAACTCTGTTTCACTATCTCTGATATTGTGACACTCAAAGATATCCTATTAAGCAGCACAGTATGTCTTCAATTTCAGAATTACTTCCATGTAATGTTCTAGCCCAATTTAAATTGTAAATGCTTTTCTACTTTTTTTTTTTCCCTCACAGCGCTGAGCAAGGATTTGAGCATGTAAGTGGTAGGAGATACATTGAAATATGTAAATTAAGAGCAATTGCCTTGTGGAAACTAAGAAATACCTGTGAAATATTCAAATACAGCCACATGTTACCTAACGACAGGGATATGTCCTGAAAGAAATGTGTCATCAGGCAATTTTATCGTTGTGCAAACATCATAGGGTATACTTACGTAAACCAAGATGGTGTAGCCTACTATACGTCAAGGCTATTGCTCCTAGGCAACAAACATGTACGGCATGTTACTATACTGAATAAGCAATTTTAATACAACGGTAAATATTTGTGGAAACATGTCTAAACATAGAAAAGGTACAGTAGAAATACAGCATCAAAGATAAACAGTGGTACACCTGTTTAGGGCACGTACCGCGAGTGGAGCTTGCAGGACTGGAAGTTGCTCTATGTGAGTCACTAAGTGAGTGGTGAGTCAATCTGAAGGTCGAGAACATTACTGGGCACTACTGTAGACTTTGCCAAAACTGTACACTTACACACTTAATCTAGTTAAAAACTTATTAAATAACATTAACGTTAGCTTACTCTAATATCTTTACTTTATAAACTTATTTTTTGACTTTTGACTCTTGTAATAACATTTAGCTTTAAAGCACATTGTACAGTTGTACAAAAATATTTTCTTTATATACAAATTTTACATGTACTTTTTATATTTTTAAATATTTTTATTTTGTTTTACTTTATAATGTTTTTATTATGAACTAAGACACAAAAACACATATTAGCCTAGGCTTTTACAA
This sequence comes from Homo sapiens, assembly GCF_000001405.40. Classification (NCBI taxonomy): domain Eukaryota; kingdom Metazoa; phylum Chordata; class Mammalia; order Primates; family Hominidae; genus Homo; species Homo sapiens. The sequence goes on along the minus strand of NC_000018.10, from coordinate 40,312,873 downwards.
GGTCAAAATACAAAATATTACTGTCCTCCACCTCCACATCTTGTTCCACTAGAAAGTCTTCAGGAGCAGTAAACAGGCATGAAGCTACCTTCTACTACAATAATAACGCCTTCTTCTGGAATAACTCCTGAAGGATATGCATCAGGCTGTTTTACAGTTAACTTTTTTTAAGAAGTAGAAGGCGTACACGCTAAAATAATGATAAAAACTGTGGTATGATAAATACATAACCTAGTAATATAGTTACTTTTTATTAGGTGGGTGCAAAAGTAATTGCGGTTTTTGCCATTGAAAGTTATAACGATAATACTTAATCACTATCAAGTATTATGTACTGCACATAATTATGTGTGGTAGACTTTTATACAACTGGCAGTGCTGCAGATTTGTTTATACCAGCATTACCACAAACACTTTAGTAATGAATTGAGCTCAGACCTTACCTCGCTACAACAACATTAGATCATAGGAATTTTTCAGCTCCGCTATAGTCTAATGGGACCACTCTTGTACGTGTGGTCTGTATCTGACCAAAATGTTATGTGGCACATGACTTTACCTTGTGCAAATATATTTTCCATTATCTTTCCTTTCAGAAAAGAAAAATCACTTCCAAAAAATATTTATACAAAACAAATTATTTGAGAAATTATTGAATGATTCATAAATTATGTCTCTAAGCTTTTTGGCAAATTAAAGTGAAAAATGAAGTTAAATTAATCTATATCAAAAGAATTTGTCTAGATTCAGTTTCAATCTCAAGTGCTTACTATTGCTTCTAAATACTACTATAAATATTGGAATAACATTCTGTGTTTTTATCCCATAGTACCACCTTATGCTGCATTACAATAACTGATATATTCGTATTTATCAATCTTTGATATTAAAATTTTGAGTAAAGGAAATGAATTTTTGCAACATTGTGTCCTTCAACATCTGAGTGTGATAGCTAGGATATGAGACCCTGCATAATACATATTTTAGTTATCAATACACTAAAGGATCAATATACCAATGTTTCCTTAAATTCTTTATGAAGCAGGGAAAACACAACAGGGAGCAAGAAAATAAAATATGGGTTGGGAGACTGGGCAGTTGACAGAGACAGGTCTGATATAAGGATTATTTACAAGAAAACATTATTTTACCTATGATTATCACAAAGTCAAATATTGAGTACAAATTTTTGTATACATTTTCCAGAAACTGGCCATGGAACATGGTGACCTTATATCCAATGACAAACTGAAAATGTTATTGAAGAGTAAAAACTTCCTTTTACTTTCTTTCTCAAACTTAGGCTTAATGAATATTTACAGTAATAAAATAAAAAGAACATTTTAATTTACCTCATTTTACAACTGGGTGTCAGTTCTGCCTGGCATGATTTGTTTCAGTGATATTCCCCAGTTAAGAATGTTTCTGAATATTTTTCTGGAATTTGTCTACTTGGAAATGTATTATTTATTCCAAAAATTAAATTGGATTATGTTATAAATTCCATGCTGTTTAATACGTTTATTTTCTTTTATAGAACTGTTTTTCCTGTTTTCCTAAAATATAAAATGCAATGTATATTTCTAATAGAAAATATAAAGTGCAAGAAAATATAGTGGGATAAATTAAAAAGAACAAAAATTCTGCCAACCAAGACAATGGCTAGCAAGGTATTGCTGCATTTCCAGTCATTTTTCTATTTGCAAAATATTCTTTGGAAATATGTTCTATAATAGTTGCAAAGTAGTCTATAATAAAAATAATTTTTTGCCTAAGATTAATCTATTAATTAACCATCTTACCTTGATACTATGTTGACTTAAATTATACTTCATATTTGGCCCAACTGAGCATTTCAAAATAATTATGCCTCAATAATCTAATTCTGTGGATTCACTTGAAGAATATTGGAGAAGAGAGTAAACTGGGAAAGGTACGGCATGAAGGATGGAGATCTGGATAAATAAAGCATCTAATAGAAGTAACAACTGTACAATGGTAGTAATAATAATAATTGTTATTATAGTAACTACTGATGTCTATATGTGTCAGCCCCTCTTCTGGGTGATTTACATTAATCTTCACAAATTCTCCATGACAGATACAATTTACAAACCCATATTACAGCTGAACGAACTGAAGAATAGGGTTTAAGGAAATTTTCCCAAACTCACACATAGTAATTAAGAGAACCCAGAGAGCCTGGCTACAGATACAGATATTTTCTTCCAGAAACAAATATCTGTTTATGATAACGTGATTCAAGTTTTTTTGTTTGTTTTTGAGGTGGAGTTTTGCTCTTGTTGCACAGGCTGGAGTGCAATGGCATGATCTCGGCTTACTGCAACCTCCACCTCCCAGATTCAAGAAATTCTCCTGCCTCAGCCTCCCAAGTAGCTTGGATTACAGGCTCCGGCCCCAACGCCCAGCTGATTTTTTGTATTTTTAGTAGAGACAGGGTTTCACCTGTTGGCCAGGCTGGTTTTGAACTCCTGGCCTCAGGTGATCCACCCGCCTCGGCCACCCAAAGTGCTGGTATTACAGGCATGAGTCACCACGTCCGGCCGTGATTCAGATATTTTTATTGGTTCTTGCAATCTCTTTTGTCTCAACTAGAAAAAAAATGACAAGAAATGCAAAAATTCTAAGGAATTGAAGTTTTTATAATAAAGTCGTGATTTTGGTGCAAATAAGCACAAATTTGGTGTGACAGATCAAATTTTGAAAACTCTGACAATTTAAAAGTAATTTCTTAGGCTATGTGCCTTAATTAGAGATGATGACTTCAGCAGATCTCCAATGTCCATGGACCGCAGCTAGCCATTATTATTAATTCACTCTAAGAAGACTAAAAAATAGCCCCACTGTTCATGTGTCTCTACACATGATCATGGTAATTTTACTTAGTACTATGTCATCTTGACAAAAGGAACCATTGAGCTCATCTGAGTATGAAAAGAAACCTGGATAGTCTGTGATCTGAAGTGGTAAAGATAATCTGGCTTTAATAACATTTAATTCTCAATATGAAAACAGACACTATCGACATTGAACAGTTCTCAAATAGGAGTTCTCTGGGACTGAGTCCTGGTCCTGCAGGGTGAAGGAAATAATTCACCCTCCCTCCCTCACCCGTGTCCTACTCAAGTTAGCTTCCTCAAAATTCACAGCCTGCATTTCTTATTCTGTCCCTGCTCAGACTCTCGTTATTTGAGAAGAAAATGAAATTCTTCTACCCAGTGTCACACTGGTAAATATTTTTTTTCAAGGTCATACAGGATGCCCTTTAACCCCAAGAAGAGGAAAATGAATACATTTTGCAAAATGCAACTTTTGTCTTAGTAATTCAGATTCCTGGGGGGCAGCTGCCATGTTGAATCTCCAGTCTGAGAGTTCCTCTGGCATGTGGAGGGGGTGAAAAGCAGAAATTGAGTGAGATGGAAGTTTGGCCACCACAGGTATAGGTATTAATTGGGGGACCAGGTGCTCATAGTGTGCACAGAGGGTGAGTTAAGTTAACTGGCTGAGAGAATACAGCCGCAGGAAGGCCGCACTAAGGCCACATTTATTTCCAACACAAATGAAGACCCCTTGAGACTCTTTTTCTCCAAAGCTTTGTTCCATCTCAGCAGTACCAAATGAGGTTATAAATAATTCTGTTCTGGGCGTTCCAGAATGGCTAGTCTGTCATCATCATCTGAAATTCTTTTCTTTACTATGTATTTTATTGGCCGGGTGTGGTGGCTCACATCTGTAATCCCAGCACTTTGGGAGGCCAAGGTGGGAGGATCACCTGAGGTCAGGAGTTCGAGAGTAGCCTGGCCAACATGGTGAAACCTCATCTCTATTAAAAACACAAAAATTAGCCAGGTGTGGTGGCATGTGCCTCTAATCTCAGCTACTCGGGAGGCTGAGGCAGGAGAATCACTTGTACTTGGGAGGCAGAGGTTGCAGTGAGCCAAGATGGCACCACTGTGCTCCAGCCTGGGTGACAGAGTGAGACTCCATCTCAAAAAAAAAAAAAAAAAGCAACTATATGTATATATGTATACATACATACATACATACCTACATACATACATACATACATACATATTATTGCTATTGGTTTTCTTAATTTTATCATTAACAATAATATGCCATCATTATTATTACTATTTTCATCATCATTAGTTTCTAAACTCAATGTAATAAATCCTAAAGATGTTTATATCCTGGTTGGATATAAACAGCTAAGGAATAGTTTTCAGTATTTTTATGAAATGAAAAAATATAATGAGAGAGAATAAAGATGTGAGAGAGAGGATGTGAAGGAGTTAAGAGCTGACTAATGCTATATATGTCCATTAATAAAATGGATTTGGGTTCAGTTCTTTTACACAAAATAATTTTCTCATTCTTTAAGAGTTTGACTTATTTTCGTGTAAAAGTTTAAAAGTTAAAATATAAAGTGGACAGAAATTAGCTTAATAATTGGTAATTTCCAATTAATATACTCTCTATGAGCATACTTACAGTGACAATTTAGCAAAATTATTTTACCACTTATTGAAATGATTAAAAATAATCTGATTATAAAGCCAATAATTTAGACTAGTAATACTTAAGCCAGGAAAGAATTGAATCTATTCTTTTTATATCCTTTCTCTTCTTTACTCTCTTTCTCAAACAATATAAAATTTCTGAAGCAAATGCAAAATGAAATTGGAAATAGATGTTTGAAGCAGTGTTCTCTCTTCCTAAGTTTCTGTTCAGACATTTATCTGACATTTACTACAAATAAGGTTGCTTAACATTATTTTTAAAACCTTCACAACCACAGCAAAGGTATCTATATTGGGCTCAAATTTAAAACAAAGAAACAAAGAGTCACATGATGTGCTCATTGCTATACAGCTGGTAAGTACTATTACTTAACAATAATATAAATTAATAAGATTTTGCAGCCATAGTAGAACCAAGAGACCGTAATTCTAGAACAGCCATTTTTCGAAGTAGTCATTACTGTGTCCTCATATTTCACACTGACTTTCTCTGTCATCTCCACCCTCATGTTGAAAGAGTTCTAGCTCTAGGCAATTATATGTAATTCCCTACATTCCCTTTCACATATTTTAAATGAAAACTTTTTATATTCAGGAATAGAACATTTACAGAAAAGTACGCTAAATAAAATATTCATCAGTGAATTTCCTCATTGTGGTTGTAGTTTGAATAACTCTGATTACTAATGTAATTGAGCATCTTTGGCCATTTTGTTATAGTTCATGTGAAATGCATGTTTAATTATCTTGCCTACTTTTCTTTTGGTTGATTTTTCCTTATTGATGTGTAGAAGTATATTATATATTCAGATATGAGCCCTTTGTGGCTAGAGCATTTCAAATAATCCTTTTTCCATTTTGTGATTTGCCTTTTTGTTCCCTTAATGATGTCTTCTGATACACACATAAAAATTATCTCTTGATTTAGTCCAATATATCAATCTTTCTTTTTTGTCTTATTTAAAAAGTCTTTCCCTGTACCAAAATCTTGGAGATTTTTCTCCAGTATTATCTTCCAAGAGATTTATTTTTTTATTTCTCATTAAAATATAATAATCAATCTGAATTGATTTTTAAGTATGGGGAAAAGTAAATGACATGACAATTTTTTCATGTGGATATCTCCTAATTATTCTAGCACCAATTAATGGAAATATTATACTTTCCCATGGTTTTAAAGTATCATCTTTTTCCTGACTTAGGTGTTACTAAGTCTGTCAACCTGTCTACCCTATTGCTCTTTCTTCATCTCATATTATTGCCAATACTGCATACTCTTAATGTAATCTTATAATAATTATTGATATTTGGTAGAGCATGTTTTCTCACTTTGTTATTCTTCTTTAAGAGTATCTCCATAATTCTTTCTCCTCTGTATTTTCATATACATTTTAGAACTGTATATAACATAAATTTCACATACTAACACAGACACAGAAAAAACATTTGAATATTTATTTAGATTTAAATTTTTTGAATGTTTGAAGACGTGGTTAATGTCCCTGAAAAGAGAATTTGTTCTATAGTTGTTGAATATAGTGTTACAAATCTTCAGCATACTAATTGTATTCTTCAAAACTTCTGTATTTTAATAATTTGTCTATTAGTAACTGCATAGAATTATTACTAATTCTAGGTCTATAATTTTTGCTTCTTATTTTAGAGGGTATATTATCTGTTAACAATTTGCAAATGTTAATATTTTCTCCTAGTGTATCTGATTATTCTTGATTATGTATCAGAAATTTTATTTACAAAATTATTTAGAAAAATAACTTGGGATCTAGAAATATGTCCTTTTCTTCTAGAGAAAACCATTGTATGTTTCTGACAGATACGTGCTAGCAGCAGCACTCAGGAATAACATGAATACAGTCTCATGAATTAAAGTAATTAGAAACTGCAGTCACAGGTTGCTGTTCAGAAAAATAAAACAAAACAAATAAATAAACAATCTAATTACTCATCACCACAACAGTAATAAAACCTCAGCATGTTCATTTACTAATTCATAAGGTAAATTTACTTCATCAAACCATAAAAGTTAATCTGATAATCAGCATTCAGAAGCAAAAACATTTGTAAAATTCTGGCAATTAGGAGTCTCAGATAATAAATACTACTTCCAGGCCTTTGCATCCTAAAAGAAAGACAAGAAGTCTACAAACCTCAATTTAAATCAGTTATTTTTTTTACAAGATGGCTGACTAGGAACATGGGATGCCAGTCTCCTCAGAAAGAAGATCAAAGTTACTGGTGAATGGACATATTCCAAATAAAAAACTGATAGAAGAGAGCCAGGACCTGTCGGAGAATCCACAGGAAGAAGATGGGATGCAGAAAAGGAAAGCAGCAAGAGTCTTGAAGAGATAGACCCTTGAGGAACTCGGAGCCCCATGGAAAGGGTAGGTGGGAATGCTTCTCCGCTACCCTCACCCCTGCAATAATTTGCTGACTGTCAAACTGTTGGGGAGCCCCTCTACCCTAGTGACCCTAGACAATACTCTTTGTGGTGATTCAAAAACTTTCTGGCAACAGAAAAACGGTGGCCAGCTCATGCAGGCATGCCTATACTCCTGTCAGGCCAGAACTGAGATGGAAGGTACCATACTGGTTGTACACCCATCCCATTATGAGCCACTGCCCTGCCTGGGGGATCTCAGGCCTTGAGTCATTATACCAACAGACACCACTTTACCATACCCCACAACCCACTCTGATTTTGACAAGTGAAAGGGACCAGTGGATCCCTGGGGAGCTGCAGGACCCCTGGAGAGCTAATCCTCAGTGTGGATTACCCCTATGGGAGGAAAGAGCGCAACCCACCAGATCCCACTTTGGAATAATTCCTGAAGGAAGCAGCACTGGTGACCCAAAACCGATTTGGAGAAGAGGTCATCTCCTCCCCGCTGTCCACTTTTTTGGATGGCAGAGGCTCTTCTAGCTGGAGGTCAACATGCATGCACTTAGATGAAGTGTTTCTTGTGCTTTTCATGACAGTCCTACCCTCACTGAAAGTGAGCCTGTGCTGCTTGGGCTTACATAAAGGGCAGGGCCCCACTCCTCCTCCCTAACAGAGAGGCAGTGTCCCAGCATAGGAGAGCAGACTAGACATCTGCAACAGAATTGTCCGCTCTGGACTCAGGGAGGAGGGTCTGTCCTGAGCCCATTTAGGTAGTAGCTACCAGATAGGTAGGGATATCCATGGTCCAGAGCCACACTGAAGCCTAGAGCAAAAGGACAAAGTCAATGAACAAAAAATCAATGAGCCCTGTGACAGGGGCATGAGAAGAAAGAAGATGATATTCCTACTACTGCTACTCAGGATGAGGAGCTGGTATAACCCTAACCTCTGCTTCTTTCTCTGAAACCTTAGTGCACCCACACATGATCACTCCACCACTATACCCTCATCAGGGCCGGTGCTGTCATTCATCATCAGCCTACCTCAGAGCAAGCTAGCTCTTACCCTTAAGTGCCACTTACTAGACTTGATCCAGGACTGCACCACTAAATATAAACTGGATGCCAAAAGCGCATAGTGCTCGTGTACAAGATAAGCTTCCTGAGACCTCCACACCATCAGCCCTGAAGGAAATAATGTGTCAGCTCATACATCTAATATATCACTATAACAGGCAGCACCTGAGAAAGCCAGTACACAGAAGTTAGCAACAACCAAGGAACCCATAGAGAGCCTTGGCTCCCAGGCAGTACCCTGAAGTGAAGTCAAATGATTATATACAGCATACACCACAGTCATGCCCTCAAGGGAAAAAAAGAATAAAAAATTAAAATGTTTCCTCCAAATTACAGTACATTAAAAAAAAAAGTGATGGGTCTCTCAAATAAAAGGGAATAAGTGAAAGAATTCCAGCAGTACAGATAAACAGAGTGTCTTGACACCTCCAAAGGACTGCACTAGCACTAAAAATGAATCGTAACCAAAATGATGTCTGAAGTGACAGGTTAAGAATGCAAAATAAGGATTGCAAGGAAGTTCAATGAGGTCCAAGAGAGTTGAAAACCAACACTAAGAAACCAGAAAAATGATTCAAAGCATGAAAGATCAGATAGCTATATTTAAAAAGAAAAAAAAATAAAACTTCTGGAATTGAAAAATTAATGAAGGGAATACCAAATTACAATTGAAGCTTTAATAATAGACTAGACCAACCAGAAGAAAAGTTATCAGAGCTTGAAGCCCAATCTTTCAAATTAACCCAGTCCAGCAAAAATAAAGAAAAAAGGCCAGGCATGGTGGCTCACACCTGTAATCCTAGCACTTTGGGAGGTCGAGGTGGGCACATCACTAGAGGTCAGGAGTTCTAAACCAGCCTGACCAACATGGTGAAACCCCATCTCTACTAAAAATGCAAAAAAATTAGCTGTGTGAGGTGGTGGGTGCCTGTAAAGCTACTCAGGAGGCTGAGGCAAGTGAATCTCTTGAACCTGGGAGGTGGAGGTTGCAGTGAGCCAAGATCATGCCACTGCACTCCAACCTGGGCGACAGAGCGAGACTCTGTCTCAAAACATAAAATAAAATAAATAAAATAAAATAAAATAAATAAAACAGAATTGTTTAAAAAGTGAATGAAGCCATTGAGAAATATGGGATTATGTAAAGCAACTGACTCTAAGGTTATGTAAAGCAACAAACCCTATGGCATTCCTGAGAGAGAAGAATAAAAAAGAAACCACTTGGAAAATATATTTGAGGGAACAATTCAGGAACAACTCCCTAATCTTGCTACTGTTGTCAACATGCAGATAAAAGAAATCCCGTGTGAGATACTACACAAGGTGACTCTCACCAAGACCTATAATCATCAGACTATCTAAGGTCAACGTAAAAGAAAAAAATCTTCAAGTCAGCTACAGAGAAGAGCCAAATTACCTATAAAGGAAACATTTGACTAACAGTGGATTTCTCTACAGAAGCTTTGCAAGCTAGAAGAGTTTGGAGGCTTATTTTCAGCCTTCTGAAAGAAAAATAAAACACCAAACAAAACTTTTATACCCTGCCAAACTAAATGAAGGAAAAGTAAATTATTTCCCATAAAAGCAAATGCTAAGGGAATTGATCACCACTAGACCAAGCATATAGGAAATGCTCAAAACAGTTCTAAATACGGAATGCAAGGATGACACTTGATACCAAAAAGCACACTTAACTACAAAATTCACAGATTCTGTAAAGTGATAATGTAATCAAGACTACAAAGCAGTTGGGTAACGACACTATGACTGGAACAAAACCTCATATATTAATATTATCCTTAAACATGAACAGCCTAAATGCTTTACTTAAAAGATAGATTGGCAAATTGGATGAAAAAACAAGACCTAATCATCTGCTACCTTGAAGATACTCATCCTGCATATAATGACACCCATGAGCTCAAAGGAAAGAGGTGGAGAAAAATCTATCACACAAACAGAAAAGCAAAAATTACAGGTATTGCTGTTATAGTATCAGATATAATAGACTTAAAAATTAGTTAAAAAAAGAGAGAGAGAGAAAGAGAAAGAAGGCCATTATGTAATGGTGAGGGGTTCCATTTAACAAGATTTAACTATCCTAAATATTTATGCACCCACCACGAAAGCACCCAGATTTACAAAACAATAACTGTGAGAACAAAGAAAAGAGACAGACAGGCAGACAATAATAGTGGGGGACTTCAACATGCTACTGAAAGCACTAAACAGCACATCAATGTAGAAAACAAACAAACTCTGGACTTAAATTTAACTCTTGACCAAATGAACCTACTAGACTTCTACAGAACATTCTACCCAATGACTGCAAAATATACATTTTTCTTATTTGTGTATGAACCATTTTCTAAAATTAATTACATGCTTGGTCATAAAGTGTGTCTTAATAAGTTCAAGAAAATCAAAATAATATAAAGCATCTTCTTGGACCACAGTGGAATAAAATTGGAAATCAATGCCAAGAAGAACTCTTAAAACCATACAGGGCTGGGCGTGGTGGCTCACGCCTGTAATCCCAGTATTCTAGGAGGCCAAGGCAGGCGGATCATGAAGTCAGGAGATGGAGACCATCCTAGCTAACATGGTGAAACCTCTTCTCTACTAAAAATACAAAAAATTAGCTGGGCATGGTGGTGGGCACCTGTAGTCCCAGCTACTCAGGAGGCTGAGACAGGAGAATGGTGTGAACCTGGAAGGTGGAGCTTGCAGTGAGCCAAGATCGCACCACTGCACTCCAGTCTGGATGACAGAGTGAGATTCCGTCTCAAAAAAAAAAAAAAAAAAAAAAAAAAAAAAAAAATATATATATATATATATATATATATATATATATATATACAAGAAGATGGAAACTAAGCAACTAGTTCCTGAATGACTTTGGGTTAAACCACAAAATTAAGGAAGAAATCAAAACATTTTTTGCAACAAAGATAGACAACATGTCAAAATCTCTGAGCTACAGCAAAAGTAGTATTAAGAGGAAAGTTTATAAGGCTAAATGCCTCCATCGAAAAGATAGATCTCAAATTAAAACCTAACATTACATCTAAGGGAGCCAGAAAAATAAGAATAAACCAAGCCTCAAGCTAGCAGAAGAAAATAAATAACAAAGATCTGAGCCAAACTAAATGAAATTGAGACTCCTAAAAAAAAATACAAGGGAAGTTGGAGTTGTGAAGGGATAAGCAATATTGATAGACCACTAACTGGACTAACCAAGAAAAAAAAAGAGAAGATTTAAATAAGCACAATCAGAAATGATAAAAGTGGCATTACAGTTGATACACAGAAATACAGAAGATTCTCATAGACTACTATGAATATCTTTGTGCACAGAAATGAGAAAACCTAGAGGAAATGGATAAATATCTGGAAACATAAAGCTTCCCAACATTGAACTGGGAAGAAACTATAATCCTGGACAGCCAAATAAAATAATGAGTTATGAAATGGAATGAGTAAGAAAAACTCTACCAATCAAAAAAAGTCCATGACAAGATGGGTTCACTGCCAAATTGTAACAGACAAACATACAAAGAAGAGCTGATACCAATCTTACTGAAGCTATTCCCAAAAAATCGAGGAGGAGGGATTCCTCCAACTCATTCTATCAAAACAGTATCATTCTGATACTAAAATTTGGCAGGCACACAACAAAACAGAAAACTACAGGCCAATATCCCTAATGAACATAGACATAGAAATTCTCAACAAAATACAAGGAAACTGGCAGGGCACGGTGGTTCATGCCTATAATCCCAGCACTTTGGGAGGCCAAGGTGGGTGGATCACCTGAGGGCAGGAGGTCAAGACCAGCCTGACCAATACAGTGAAACCCCATCTCTACTAAAAATACAAAAATTAGCCAGGTGTGGTGGCATGTGCCTGTAGTTCCAGCTACTCAGGAGACTGAGACAGGAGACTCACTTGAACCCGGGAGGCAGAGGTTGCAGTGAGCCGAGATTGCACCACTGCCCTCCAGCCTGGGTGACAGAGTGAGACTCTGTCAATAATAATAATAATAATAATAATTGTAATCATTCACAGCCCAATAAGGTGGTGTATAAAGAGACTAACCTTTTATCTAACAGTTATGTTTTGCTAAACAGTATTACAAATACTCCTTCCCAAAACCCATGGTAAAGATAATAACCCTACTTTGCCCATGAGAAAACTGAGGCCTAGCACATTGAAAGAAGTTGCCCAAGCTTTCACAATTAATAAACGGCACACCTGGAATTAAATTCCAAGAGCACCTAACAAAAAATCCTGCTCTCTTAACCACAACAACAAAAAAAGTGCTTCATACCTGGGCAACATATGGCATTGGGTGTGAATTAAAGACACACCCTAAGTGAGAGAACACAGTTTGCAGTATCTATTTACTTTAATTTAATTAATTTCTATTTTATCTCTCAGGTTATTTTCTTGGAGGCAGCATCTATTCAAAGACAAGGTGTAACAGTGTGTAATGACAACACGATGTGATTGATATTATGAGATAAAGCTAGTACAAAGGCCCATAGGACTAGAAATACTTTCTTATGGGAGAAGAGAGGGATACCCAATAGAGGGGCTGCCATTGGAGTTCTTATTTGAAGACATAAAATTTCAAAGGAGGAATGTCTCAAATCAAAGAAGACAGATTTAACAATTTATTGGAGTGCATGCTACAAAAGAAAAATGTTGAGGGATAATCCTCTGAGGAGAGAGAGAGTGGCCAGATCAAGGGATGTCAGTACTGCCAGATGAGATTTGGAGCTGTGTCCTGGAGGCAATGGAGTGAAATGGAAAGGAGGATTATGCTTTTGTACTGAGTTATTGATACTGGTCTGAACACTCTCGTACCTATTACCCGATCTAATTCTCATCACAGTGCTGTTACGGTGTAAGATACATGCAATTGCTACCATTCTCTAGCTTAAAAAAACAAGGCAGAGAGGAAGAAACTACCAGTTTCAAGTTCATATAGCACATTAGAGGAACCACTGAGAAAGCGACAGGCACTCCATTCAACTTAGCTATAGCAGGATTATACTTAGGAAGACACACGTTTAGAAAAAAGCAACCTGGATGGAGCAAAGTCATTGGAGTTTGAAGTTCAGTTGCTTTCTATTTCTGTGACTTAGAGAAGGATGAAATCTCTCTTATCACTTGTGTTTCTCTCTGGCCTCTGTCAATTTTACATATAAAACTGTGGTAGTTGTCATTTTTCTTCCAGGACAACAAAGAACACATAATTAGAGTTCTTCATTGGTATGTTAAGAGGCAGTTGTCTATAAGTCTCTCAAGTTTTTGCAAATTTTATGAGCAGAAGTATCATGTCTTTTTTCCAGATGATCTCTTCAAAGATATTTGTAGAGCAGACAACCTTAGAAAATGGAGATAGTGTCTCCCTTTAAAGCAAAGGACAGGTTTCTTTCATGCCTTGGAAAATATAGCGTCTTGTTCAAATCCAAATTGCCCAGTACAATAAATATAATGTCTCTCTATGGGATGAAAGGCAGACATACTTACTGCCTGTTAAAAAAGGTATGGGTTCCCTAAGCTGTTTCTCTACTGTAATGCTACCTAATGCAAGTATAGGTGTCACCTTATGTCTTTTTGATGTCCTGTGAACTGGGGCTCATAGAACCAGCACGAGAAAATGTTGATATTCTGACTACGGCTATCACCTTGAAAAACCAGGTTATGTACCTTTGATCCAGGAGTATCATGTCTCTTGCCAACATCCAAATAATAGTGACAGGCAACATTGTTAACTTATAAGTAAGGTAAAGTCTCAGATGCTTCACAGTTCTTAACATAGCTTAACCCAAGATAACTCACATTCAAATAGCTGCTGTGTGCACATATGACCTCTATCACTGAAGGACAGAGTCACCTGGTTTCATGAAAAAACATGGCTAAAAAAAGATACCAGGCATGGTGGCTCACGCCTGTAATCTCAGCACTTTGGAATGCCAAGGTGGGTAGGTCACTTGAGGTCAGAAGTTTCAGACCAGCCTGGCCAACATGGTGAAAACCCATCTCTACTAAAAATACAAGCTGATGCAGGACAATCATTTAAATGGGAGGTGGAGGTTGCAGTGAGCCAAGATTGCACCACCGCTGCACTCCAGCCTGGGCAACAGAGCAAGACTCTGTCTAAAAAAAAAAAAAAAAGGACCACAGCAGAAACAGGATGTTCAGGATGTTTATCCAAAGGAAATAAAATAATTATATCAAAAAGATGTCCACATTTTCACATTTACTGCATAATACCCAAAATAGAGAATCAATCTAAGTGTCCATCAATGGATGATGGATAAAGAAATGTGGTATATAGACAGAATAGAGTACTGTACTGCCGTGAAAAAGAATGAAATCCTGTTATTTGCAGCAATATGGATGGACCTGGAGGACAATATATTAAGTAACAGAAGCCAGGCACAGAAAGACAAATACCGGGTAATCTCACTCTTGATCTCTAAAAAAGTCAGTTTCATAAAAGTGGAGTAGAATGGTGGTAACCAGAGGCTAAGGAGCAACGAGTAGAGGACAGAAGGAAGTCGGTTAATGGATACAAAGCTGTGGCTAGACAGGAGGAATAAGTTATTGTGTTCTATTGCACAGTAGGGTGACTACGGATAATGATATTTATTGTATATTTTAAAATAGCTAGAAGAGAAGTTTTGAAATGTTCTTATAACAAAAAAAATGAGAAATGTATGAGGTGATAGATGTGCTTAATACCATAATTTGACTTTTACATATTGCATACACGTATTGAAACATCACAATATACCCCATAGAATGTATAATTATTTGATTTCAACTAAAAACAAAATTAAAAAAATGGATTTCAATTTATTTAAATTTCTAGATAATTGAACTCCAGTTAAATGGGTTTGCATTTATTTGAACTGACCACATATTGTTTCATATGCACTTAGCAATTAAGATCATTCTCCTGCCTGCTCTTCATTTTGCCCTCCCTCCCATCCCCAACTTGTTTTTTATTACTTGTTCATCAGATAATCTTGTAATTCAGAAAAGCTGATACAGAAGTAAAACCCTCATAATTAAAAATTGGCTGAATATCCACACATGCCTCTTAGGTGGAACGATGAACAGGCAATCTTTTTTAGCTTTTCATACACAAAGAACTTCAGCAGCATTCCAAATATGGCTTTCTGGTTCTTGTCTAATCAAAGCATACACAAGAAAGGAAAATGATATAAAGCTTCTTTTTCTCCCACTGTGATTTTTATTCTGGGTCATCATATTTCTCTTACATACCATTCTATACTTTAAACATTTCTGTCAAATTAACTTCCAAAATTAGAACAGACGATGTCCTAGAACAACCTCAAGAGGTGCAATTTTTCACAGGTTGTTGTCTTTAATTTCAATTTCTAATTAATGAACTCCATCATGGTGATTCATGTTACTTTGCTGTTTTGGCTTATCTTATTCACTTCTCTTGTTTTCACTGCTCTATGGCATTTATTGAGGAAGACATAGACAAAATTGAAGGTGGAGGCAGGAAGAGGGGTAATGAATGAGAAAAAATCCTATTTCTAAGAAGAGGCCTCAGGCCATTCTGCTTTCATCCAATGAACATGATTACACCAATGACGTCAATAATAGGGTCACCAGTCTCCATCCTTTACCAAAATAACATAGAAATCTTTTTACTTCTGTACTTTTTGTTTAATGTAAGTCTCACACATGTTGTTTCACTTTAGAATTTCCACTGTTGTCCATCTATGTTTTCTCTGTTCTACCATATAGAATTAATTTCACAAAATTGCATAAATGGTACATGTCTCCATAGGGAAAATAATACCCAAGAAGAAGCAATCAACATGTTAGAATAGATCATCTCAGAGACACAAAACAGTCCTGCATAAGTCAGCATAGCCTCTCATAAAATTCAAGACTGACTCAGCACACATGGGCAGTCATTAGTTCTCCAAAGCATCATTCTATTTCCTTTATGACTTAGCAGCCAGATTTTAGGAAGTCCATAATCAGAGGAATCAAACTGGTTTCCTAATTACTGAGATCACAAAAAGTGTTGATGGCCCCATTAGGAATAAATGAAGCCTTGACATATAAACTCATGCAATTGGGCTATTTGATACTGAAGCTTCCTTTCCTGAATTTGGTACCTCGAACAAAAATTATTCTTACAATAGTTGTTATAAAATTATTATTTATACAATTCTATCTTGTCATCTAGGAACACACAGATGATCTGTAATTTGAGGGGAAAATATGGTTGTCATTTTTTAAAAACTCTTTCTCACAAGTCAGATGATATTAGTGAAATCTAATATAGATATGTCAACAAAAATCCTCCTGAAAGTATGGCCTTCATTTAAGAAACGTCATACTATATATATGAAAAGAAGTTCTAAAATTACAAGACAATGTAAATTAGTGTTTGAATATATCAACACTTATTCTCTCATTATCTTTTCAGCCTGCAATCCAGAATTAATCAAAATCTCACCTTCTCCATTAGGCTTCATAGTCTTTCAAAACCACTGAAATATTTGAATTTACATAACTGGTCCCTGCCCTTACTACTCGCTTATCTTGGAAATGAAATATAATGTAATTTTGTTCAATTTTTTTGTATAACATAAATTTTATTTCCTTAGCTGCATTCTAGGCTTGCTAAGGCCAGTGACTATTGTGAAGAATCCCCCTAATATTCTCCATAGTACAGTGAGTGTATGCAGTAAATTACTGTCTCTTAAAATATTACTTTTCAGCTGAAAATTAAAAAAAGAATAAAACAACTAGTCATTTCACGAAGCAGCAGCTAACTCCTTAAGTTTTCATAAAATAATGTTTAATAACAATTTGATAAAGCTATGAAATGTGAAACCTGGAGTTGAAGATAAACTGCTTTATTATCATCTTGTATTTATTGCGAATATACAAGGTTTCTCTTATAGTATTACAACTATGGGTTTAAGTTAGCTATTTTTGTCTATGATTCATCTTTTTAAAGTTTTATTACCTGCAATTTTTGTCTTTTAGGAGCCCAGAATTGTGAATTTAAAAAAAAAATTAAAGGAATTCTTTATTCAAAGCCTTCTTACTCAGATGTCAACCACGCAAAACATGAATATAAAGCTCTTTTGCTTGAACAAGGAGATGGTCCCAAGAACCCTGTTTGGCTCCCAGTCTCCTCTAAGAACGCTGGGAGTAATATTACCAAATTTAAAAATGGCTGCTGTAAGTCATGCAAGGGCTACACAGATTGGTTACCTGAGAATTGCTCTTTGAAACAAAGAAGCTTCTGGCTTCTGTTTTTATATTCCCCACACTTGCTGGCTTATGTTATTATTCAGTTCTGGGTTTTTTTGACTAGCTTGATTCTACTCTTTCTCCACTATTCCTTCACCCCTTTTCTCTTCTAGTCCTTGAATTGTCTGTCTTTAAGCCTTACCCCCTCCTGCCCCAACCCATGCATATTCCTGAGAACTAGCACACACAGACTCACAGACACACCAGTGAGCAGGAATTCATCATTGTTACACACCAATCAGCTGGATCACTGTGCCTATGATATGATTTAGTTGTTTGTAAAGGAAGCCAAAACTACATAAGCACATTGCTTTGCAATCTGATAATTTCAGCTGTTTCAACCACAGAATCATGTCAACCTCTGCAAACCCATTGCTAGGTCATCTGTCTACAGTGGTCACTTTTGTAATTCACTCCAACAGTGAAAGCTGAAAATAATTACATCATACTGGAAAGCAAATGAGCACTGAGCATTCTTGATGGTGAGACTAGACTGAATGCATTTGATACTCAAAGAGGTGGCTACAAGTTCAAAACAAAAGCTAAGAATACCAATATGTTGCTTATAATCACAACTGTAAGTAAGTTTTCACTGAATTGGCAGGTTTAGTATAATATTGATAAAAACTAGGAAAAACAATAGAACTACTAAATATTTACCTGAAATGTCCAAGAAATAGTGTGTTAGGAATAACTCAATTTGTCATCACTGAAACATGTTTAATTATTTATATATAAGTTCATTCTTTACCTTAGTAAACATATTATATTGAATATATTTACACTAACTTTTTTAGAATTGAATGTCATCATTATGAATGGAATCAAGCAAATCAATAAAATTAAGCCTTAATACTTCTAGAAATGGCAGCAAAGCAGACACATGAACACTGCCACAGTTAAAAATTATAAAAATTAGAATGAAATATATTATAAAATTATTAAAGGCACTGTACAACATTTAAAGCAGAGAAAAAGAAAAGGATAGTCAACTCCAAAAAAAATTGAAAATGAAAGGGAAATAATCGATCAGTTTATGTCCTTCTGGTTTAGGGATGTTGTACACCTCCAAGATTGACTTTGGTGGCACTGGATACTTTAAGGAGTAAAATGATATTCATCATAGCCTCAATTATCTCTCCCAAATATCTATTAATTACTATAGTGTTTTTAACATATGTCTCCAAATTTTTGAATACTCCTTTTTTTCCAAAAGATAGAGTGTAATTCAGCTTAATCCCACCACCTCTTGAGTGTGGGCTGAATGTAGTGATCCATTTACTACAAATTGTGTATACAAAGAGAAAAATTAATAACTTTACAGTGGATATAACTTATAGATATCACTTCAACCAAGCTTCAAAGTTAGTATCACCATCCATAAATCATGATGATACCTTGTTCCCAATGATATGATGTGATGAGAAGGGTACTTCAATTATGTGATATTCTTCAAAAAAAATCCATATCCTCCATGAATCATGATAAAGCATCAGACAAACAAAAAATAGGAAACATTCAACAAAATACTTGACTAACACTCTTCAAGGGCGTCAAGGTAATAAAAATAGGAAAGATGGAGGAACTGTCACAGATTGGAGGAGTCTACAAAGTCACAGCAACTAAATGCAATTTAGTATTGTGGTTTCAATCCTGGAATATAAAGGATTGAATATCTAAGGATTGAAAAATCTAGTGAAATCCAAATAAAGCCTATAGTAAAATAACAGTATTGTGCCAATGTTTATTTCTTCGGTTTGCCACTGTACCATGGTTATGTTAACATTAGGAGAGGCTGGGTAAAGGTATATGGTGAACCTCTGTACTATTTTTGCAACTCATCTGTGAGTCTAAGATTTCAAAACGAAAAGTTAAAACAAACAATAATATCCTCTCTTACCTCCATCATACACTGTGAATTAGCCAAAAACCCAGTACTATTACTTATTTCTCATCTGTAGGTAACCAGAACAAAGTCTGTTATTTCTGGTTCCACATCTGTAGGGGGAGCTGCTGCTATATCCAATATATGAAAGCCCCACGATGTATTATTAACTTGATATTAGATGGGATTTTTATAAAGCTTCACAAATAGGCTAACACTGCAATTAGTATCAGAAGAGGACAAGATTTTTAAATTCACAAAGGAACAGAGAAATGCATGGCTATTTTGTGGTAGGCCAATATATCACTAAGCCAGGGTAATAAAGAATATGGAGAGGACAGATGAAGCTAAATCAACCTAAAGGAAGGTCCAAATAAAAATGGCAGAATTCTTGCTTGTGTCCTGTATGGCTGTGCTGCCTCATCGTCATCTTTATGCCATGGAGCCCTAGGCTATTTTCCCTGAATTCAGGGAGGCTCCCAGCTTGGCAAGACTGAAAGAGTAAATGTATCTCCATTTGAAATGATGGTCACTAGATAGGCAAACTCTTTTGGGAATACAGGTTGTCTCTAAGGTACACAGTTGCTAGAAATATAAACTTTTTTAAACCAGTATAACAATCAAATGAGCATATTCATTCTAAAGAATTGCACATACATATATTAGCATAAAAAAGAAAATACTCTTTTAAACAGAAGAATAATTGAGGCAGATGTAGGCAAATAAAAATACTTAGTTAAAAAAATGTATAATTTGCTATTTGTTGAAAAACAAAAGTAAATCCTAACCACAGAATTCTTAAATTTGATATGCTCATGAAGGGGATTAAGCACAGTTTATGTTATAGATGTTTCTGTATCATGGGATATAAAGGGATATAAAAGGATATATATTCAACTCTGGGTGCCTTATTTGAGAAATGAAAATTGCTGGTTGTGACTGCCCTTAGACCTTGCAATCAGTAAATTATGGAGCAAGTTCTATGGTTCTTGGTTTCGTAACTTAGAACATACTACATTATCTTAGCCTAGTTTTTGCATTAAAAAGCAGTACAAATGATTCTTAATGAGCACAACAAAGTACCATTTGTACTTTCCCACTGTGTATTTTTGGTATGGAAATGGCTATTTCTAGAGTTTTCAAAAAGTGTTTGTTCTTTTAAGCAAATATTCTGCCTTACAAACATTTTTTCAAAATGCCCATGTTCAAGATAAAGTATGGTTTAGCCCATGCTTAACTTAGCTGCAGTCTAAACTACTGAACATTTTTTTTAATAAGAAGAAAAGGAGAGGAAGAAAAAATGAGAAAAAAAATGAAAGGAAAGAGAGAGAAAGAAAAAGAGGGAACAAAAAAAAAGGTGGGGGGATGGGGAGGGAGGAAGGAAGGAAAGAGGCATACAAAGGAGGTAGGTGGTCTGGGTTCTTTAAGGAACACTATGCATGTTATATGCACATATAGATCGAAAGATACATTTTCAAGCCACAAAAATCTACTCCCCAACAAGGATAAGATAATGGAAAACAAATTACAACCTTAAATAGTCATTGTGCCATCTTATAGAGTCCTAATATATACCATGTTCAATATGTAGTTTAGATAATGATTCTCATTGAGAGATGAAGAAATGGAGAGATACAATTTTGGGGTTTAAATTATCAGAATTTGTTAACATAAGATCTCCACTTAACATATTTTCCGTGATAACTATAAGTTACAATAACAGAATTTAAATAATGTTAAGGGACTCAAAGTTTCAGGTTGCCTATTTTTTTTTCAATTTATGTTTATTATGTGTATTTAAGGTGTATAAGATGTTTTGATATAAACAGACATAGTAGAATAATTACCATAGGTAAGCACTTAATATATCCATCAACTTTCGTAGTTATGTCTTTTGTGTGTGTCCTGTAAGTGCATCTAAAATGTGTTCTTTTAGCAAGTTACCAATATGCAATACAATGTTATTTACTACAGTCCCTCCGCAGTACATGAGATCTCTAGATTTAGTCATCCTACATAACTGCAAGTTTACACATTTTGACCTACATCTTTCCATTTCCTCCCAATCTTTGCCTCTTGTATCTACTGTTCTACTCTCTGTTTCTTTGTATTCAACTTTCTTAGATTACATATATAAGTGAGGTCATAAAGTATTTTTCTTTCTGTATCTTGCTTATTTTAATTAGCTACTGTTTTCCAGGCTCATCCATATTGCTGCAAATTACAGCAACTCCATTTTTAAGGCAGAATGACATTTCCCTGTATACATATACCACAATTTCTTTATCTATTAATCCATCAATAGACATGTACATTGTTTCCATATCTTGACTATTGTGAAGAACGCTGCAACGAAGATAGGAGTGAAGATATCTCCATGAGGTGCTGATTTCATTTGCTTTGGATATATACCCAGAAGAAGGACTGCTGGATCTCATGACAGTTATGTTTGTAATTTTTTCAGGACCCTCCATGCTATTTTATATAATGATTGTAGCAATTTATATTCCCATTAACTATATACAAAGATCTCCTTTTCTCCACACCCCAGCCAACACTTATTTTCTGGTATTTTGATAATGTCCATCTTAGGTGTGAGGTGGTACCTGTTTGTGGTTTTGGTTTGCATTTCCTGTATGATTAGTAATGTTGAGCACCTTTTCATATACCTTTTTGCCACTTATGTATCTTCTTCTATGGAGAAATCTATATTCATGTTCTTTGCCCATTTTTAAATATTTTTTGTTTGTTAGTTTTGCTATTCAGTCATGTAAGTTCTCTATATATTTTGAACATTAGCCCTTTTCAGGTATGTGGCTTACAATTGTTTTCTTTCAGTCTATTGGCTCCCTTCATATCTTGATGATTGTTTTCTTTGTTATGTAGAAGCTTTTTGGTTTGATGTAGTACCACTTGTTAATTTTTGTTTTTATTGCCCAAACTTAGTGTAATATTCAAACACTCTTTTCCAAGGCCAGTTATAAGGAGTTTTTCTCCATGTTTTATTCTAAGAATTTTACGGTTTCATACCTTACATCTAAGTCTCTAATCCATTTGAGGTTAATTTTGTATGTACTGTAAGACATGGGTTCAGATTCTTTCGTATCTTTTTTTTTTTTTTTGCATGTTGATATCCAGTTTTTTTTTAACACCATTTATTGAAGAGACTACCCTTTGTCTTTTGTATCTTCTTGATTGTCTTGTCAAAAAACAATTGATCATATATGTTTGAGTTTATTTCTTTAGGTCTCTATTCTGTTCCATTGGGGTGTGTGTGTGTGTGTGTGTGTGTGTGTGTGTGTGTGTGTGTGTTGTTTTTGTTTTTGTTTTTGTTTTTTGCTCTGTCGCCCAGGCTGGAGTGCAGTGGAGGGATCTCCGCTCACTGCAACCTCCAACTCCTGGGTTCAAGCGATTCTTCTGCCTCAGCCTCTCGAGTAGCTGGGATAACAGGCGCACGCAGCCATGCACAGATAATTTTTTGTATTTTGTGTGTTTTTAGTAAAGACGGAGTTTCACCATGTTAGCCAAGATGGTCTCAATCTCCTGACCTCGTGATCTGCCCACCTCAGCCTCCAAAGCGCTGGGATTAGAGGCGTGAGCCACCGCGTCCAGCCAGTCTGTGTGTGTTTTTATACCAATGCCATCCTGTTTAATTACTATAGCTTTATAATGTAATTTGAAACAAGGAAGTGTGATGCCTCCAACTTTGTTTTTCTTTCTCAAAATTATGTTGGCTATTCAAGACATTTTGTGGTTTCATGTCCATTTTAGAATTTTTTTTTCTATTTTTGTGAAAACCATTGAAACGTGTATTGATATTGTATTGAATCTGTTTGATTCTTTGGGTAGTAAGGGTATTTTAACAATATTAATTCTTCCAATTCACAAACACGGGATAGATTTCTATTAATTGTGTCTTCAATTTCTTTCATGAACGTTTTACAGCTTTCAAATCACAAATCTGTCACTTCCTTGGTTACATTTATTTCTAAGTATTTTATTCTTTTTGATGCTATCATAAATGGGATTGCTTTTTAGATTATTTTCCAGATACATCAGTATTGGTGTAAATGAATACAACTAATATTTGTATGTTGACTTTAGACCCTGTTCTTTTTGTGAATTGACTTACTAGTTCTGAAAATCTTTTTGCAGCATCTTTAAGATTTTCTTCATACAGAATGATGTTATCTGCAAACAGATATAAGATTACTTCCTGCTTTCTGATTTGTATGTCTTGTATTTCTCTTTCTTGTCTGATTATTCTTGCTGATTTTTCCAGTATATGTTAAATAGAAGTGGCAAGAGTTGGCTTTCTTGCTCTGTACCATGTCTTAGGGAAAAAGGTTTCAGTTTGTCCCATTGATTATTATGGTAGCTATGTGCTTTTCATGAATAAGTTCTTTTTTTAGAACATTTTCTTTTAAATCTGTTTTATTGAAAGATTTCATCATCAAAGGATGTTGAACTTTATCAAGTGTTTTTTCTGTCCGGTATTGAGATGATCATATTTTTATCTTTCATTCTATTAATGTGGTATGTTACATTGTTTGATTTGTGTATGTTAAAACAATCTTGCATTCCAGGGACAAATCTCACCTGATCAGGGTGTAAAATCTTTCAAATGTGTTGTTGAATCTGTTTTGCTGGTACTTTATTGAGGATTTTTGCATCTATGTTCATTAGAGATATTGGCCTATGGTTTTCTTGTGGTATCTTGGTCTGGTTTTGATATTAGAGTTATGCTGGTATCATAAAATTAGTTTGGAAGTATTCTCTCTAATTTTATTTTATTTTTAAAGCTTGGAGAAGGATTGGTATTAATACAATGAATATGTGGTAGAATTTGACAATAAAGTTACCTGGCTTTTCTTGTTGGAAGGTTTTGAGTGCTACTTTCATTTCTTTATTGACAATTTGTCTATTCAGGCTTTCTAATTCTTGATTCAATCTTGGTAGGTTGTATCTTTCTAGAAATTTATCCATTTTATTTGCATAATTATCATAATAGTCCCTTATGATATTTTCTATTTCTGAAGTATCCATTGTAATGTCTTCTCTTTTCTTTCTGATTTTATTTGAATATATTCTCTTATTTTACTAGTTAGAGTAGCTAAGAATTTGTTGATTTTATTTTTTCAAAAAGCCAACTCTTAGTTATGTTGACTTTTCCCATAGTTATTTTATTTTCTATTTAATTTATTCCTTCTCTAATCTTTATTATTTCCTTCCTTCTGGTAACTGAATTTAGCTTGATCTTCTTTGTCTAGTTCCTTGATGTGTAATGTTAGGCAGGTTATTTAAAATATTTCTTCTTTTTAAATGTAGGTTTTCATCCCTACAAACTTCCATCTTAATAGTGCTTTTGCTGCATCCTATAAATTTTGGCATATTTTAGGGTTTTTTTCACTCATCATGAGATTTTTTTAAAATTTCCTTTTGATTTACTCTTTGACTCAGTGATTGTTAAAATGTTATTTGGTTTCTACATATTGAATTTTAAGATGTGTTTTGTTACCTAAGGTGATCTATCCTTGAGAATGTTATTTGTACAAAAGAGAAGAATGTGTATTCTGCTGCCAATGGATGTAAAGTTCCATATATGTCTATCGACTCTATTTGCTCTATAGTGTTGTACAAGTCAGCTGTCTCTTTCCTGACTATCTGTCTGGATTTTCTATCTGTTATTGAATGTGGAATATTAATATTTTCTACTATTATTGTATTACTGTCAATTTCTCCTTTCAATTCTGTCAATATTTGCTTTATATCTTAGGTGTTCTGATGTTGGAGATTATATATATATATAATATATATATACACTAAATATATACAGTTACTATCTTCATGTTGAATTGACCCTTTTATGATTATATAATTACCTTCTTTGTCTCTAGAGACAGTTTTTAACTTAAAGTATGCTTTGTCTGATGTAAGTATAGCCACTCCTGCTTTCTTTAGATTATCATGGAAATAGTAACCAAAGGTTTCTTCTTATTTGCAAAATACCTTCAAAATAAAAATAACTCATTTTGGAATTTCTCTTGAATTACCAGTAATTAAATATTCATTGACTATAATTAATTGTGCTTTGTAGCTCAATTAACTGTGTGAAAGCATCCCCAAAATGACTATTCTTGCATATCTTTCCTAGCAATTCTAATTATTTTTCCGCCCCCCCTTTCTCTTTATTACCTTCAAAGAGTATAATAGGTAGAAGTGGTAGAGTAGGAACTACCACTAAAGTGTGCTATTTGGTCACTGTATGGCCTATGTTTATCTACATTATGCACCCATACCTGCGTTGCACTCCATTTGCCACTTCTTCGCTTGCTTAGGTATTCTACCAAGTTTGTCCTTTGTAAGGAAGGAAAAATATTATTCCTTCTACTCATCCTAGGTCATGGCTGAGGGCTCTATAACAACAGACAGGTTAACAAAAGAAAAGTATACCAATTTATGTACTATAAATTTTATATGACACTGAACCTTAATTTAAAAAAATAAAGACCTGAAGAAATGAGTAATGCAGAATATTTTTATACTCAGTTTGATGAAGAGTAACTAATCATGGAGAAAATATAATAGGACAAAAAGTAGAATTGAATGGTAATAAACTGAGGGAAATTTAGCAAGGTCTTGTTGTTTAGATTTTTCTGTCTGTGTCTCTGAGTCTTCAGAGATAACAATGATCTTTTCTTCTGGATATAGGAAGAACACCTCTCGCATGAGGGTCTTATGACCTGCTTCAGGGGAAGAACAGAAAATTCTTCCTCGGTTTTTATGAACTGCTTCTTGGAAGAAGAGCAGGGGGAGATCAGAGAGACTTTCTAGCTTCTGCTGTTTTTTCCAATTTCTTTAGCTTAAAATATTCAGTATCTCAAAGTGCCATATTTTGTAGTAGCATGTCCTGAAACTCATCACCTTCCTATTTCAAGTTCTACTTCCTCAAAACTCCTTATGGTAATTACAATCCATAAAATTCATAGATTCTACTTAGCATTTGATTATAGTTAATCATATCAAAACACTAAATAGTCGTTCCTTGATATCCATTCAGGATTGGTTCCAGGATACCCCTCAGAAACCAAAATCTGTGAATGCTCAATTACCTTATATAAAATGGCATAGTATTTTCATATAACCTATACAGTCCCCCATATACTTTAAATCATCTCTAGATTACTTATTATCTCAAATATAATGTAAGTGCTATGTAAATAGTTGTTATACTATATTATTTAGGAAATAATGACAAGAAAAATGAGTTTGTACGTGTTCAATACAGAATGAGAATGAATTATATATTTTTCTTGGCAGTAGCATTGTATGTTTCTTTTTAAGCAATTAAAAGACAATCTTTTATAACCAAAGATTCAGTTTGTTTAAATTTTCACCACTTAACAAATGAAAGTCTTTATTAGTTTTCCTGATACAAAGGGCAAAGAACTAGCTGCCCCCGTCAGCTATAGTGAGCTACATCATTAATGCCACACATCAGACCTTAGAGAGTCATTTTTCCATTTAATCTTCCTGGCTTTCTTTTACAATTCCTCCCCACATTTCTTATTTGAGCTGATATTTTATATTGCTTGAGCTCAACACAAAAAGTTAAATTGGGTATAGGAAATGTTCTCTTTTAAAAAATGAAAGTATTTTGCTTAGAAGGATGATTTAGAAAACATTCAGATGGATTCAGTGAGAGTATATGCTTTGATATGTTGAAAGAAATCTGCTTCACAAATAAGATGTTTTTTAAAAAAAATGCAAATGACCTCATATGCATTACATTGAGTATACCTTCGGATAGCTTTTAAAAGAATTTCATCATGGAAAGACAGATCTCTAAGGTACAGAGGAAAGGAATCACACAAATACAATTCTAATAATTCTTGTTTGAAAATGTGGAAATCGTGTTTCAGAAACACAGTAGCATTTATAAAAGTAAAAAGCATTTACTTTCATTGCTTCATACAGCCTATAGAAAAAAATGACAAAAGCCAACACATTTTCTCCCATTCCCCACTCAAGTAAAGATGGCAGACATGACACCAAAAAGTTTCTTATTGTTCATCTGCAGTTAATCTTCATATACTTCTCCAGCTGTAGATGACAT
The DNA here is from genome assembly GCF_000001405.40 of Homo sapiens. Lineage (NCBI taxonomy): Eukaryota > Metazoa > Chordata > Mammalia > Primates > Hominidae > Homo > Homo sapiens. Next base: position 40,285,521 of record NC_000018.10, on the reverse strand, counting down.
CTATTATCTTTCTTTCTATATAAATTAGTTTTTCTAAATATTTCATAAAAATTAAATTATATAATGTGTGGTCTTCTGCCACTGGCTTCTTTCACTAAGTGTACTAAATTTGAGGTTTAGCCATGCTGAATTATATGTCAATAGTTTGTTCTTTATTACTGAATTATATCAGTTATATAAATAGAAAACATTGTTTATAATTCATCTTTTGATGGACATTGGGTTGGTTCTAATTTTAAGCTACTATGAATAATACTCCTATTAATAGCTTTGTGTTGTCATACGTTTAATTTTCCTTCAGTAGAATACAAAGTAGACTCCCAGGTGTGGATTTTCTGGGTCATGTATATGTCTATTTTGTTTTTAAGATTGCCAAACAGTTTTCCAAAGTGTCTAGCCCATTTAACATTTCCATTTAACCTTTAATCATCAATGTATTAGGGTGGTAGTTTCTGCACATCCTCTTTAACTCTTGTCATTGTCCATCTTTTTGAGTAGAGCCATTCTAGTTGGGTGTATAGTGGTATCTCATGTAGTTTTAATTTGTAATTCCCTAAATATTATTGATGTATGTATACATTATAGTGTTTAATCCTTATTCCTATAACTTCTTTGGTGAAATGATAATGAAAATGTTTGCTCTTTTTTTGGCTTATTGTTTATCTTTTTAAAAACCTTTTTGTATCTTGGATACATGTCCTTTATCTGGGAGTCTACCTTGGAGTCTACTAAAGGAAATATATAATTTTCAAATAATTTCTCCCTATTTGTACCTTATCAATTTTTTTAGTAGTATGTTTTAATAAATTTGAATTTAACATTAATAATTTTTTATTTCTTTCTCTTTTAGTGTGGTCCCTTCTTTTATTTTTAGTAAACATGTTTTCAAGGTATAATTTTTACTCATCTGTGGATTATTTTACTATTTACATTTAATTTTTTTTTAGTGGATGCCCTAGAGATTACAATATGCATCTTAACCAATGACCATATACTTCCAAATAACATAAAATTTGTTCTGATAAAATATGAAAATATTGTTTTACTATAGCACAGTTTTCTTTCTTACTTTGTGCTATTATTTTCATAAATATCTATGGGTTGTATAAAGTCAGTAATAATGTGTCATAATTATTGCTTTATACCATCTCATATATTTAAAATAAGTCTACAAAGAATTTAGCAAACTACATTTATAATATATTTTATATTAACTCACATATTACCATTTCTTCCTATGGATTTGATTTACTGCCCTGTGTCATTTTATTTCATCCAGAATTTGCTTTACTATTTCTTCTTATGACATACCTATTAACAACACATTATGTCAATTGTCATTTATCTTGTAGTGTCTTTATTTTAAAGTCATATTTGAAGGATAATTTTTATTGGACATAGAATTCTTGGTTGATTTTGTAATTATTAATTTGTATATGTGATCCCACTACCATTTGGCCCCTGTTGTTTCAGATGTGAAGTCATGAGTTAGTCATATTGATGCACTTATTTGAGTTGTTTTTGCTTGTTTGTTTGTCTCATTGTCTTTAAGGTGGTCTCTTTATTACTTTCTATAGCTTGACTACAACACACTGGTGGATATCTGTGTGTATTTATCCTATTTGAAATTACTTCAGTTCCTTGACTGTGTGTAGTAAAGTGTTTTAATCAAATTTGTGAGATTTTAAGCCATTAAATTATTAAATTCTATCTCCTTTCCTTCTCACTATTTTCTAGGCCTCCCATTACGCGTATGTTGGTAAGCTTGGTATTTTTCCACAGATTCCTGAGATCCTGTTCAATTTATTTTCTATGGCTTTTTTCTGTGTGTGTGTGTGTGTGTGTGTGTGTGTGTGTGCTTTGATTGTTTCTTCTGTTATTTCCAATCTGCTATTGAATCCATGATTTTTTATGGATTCAGTGAATTTTTTCATTTTTTGCATGTTTTAACATACAATTTGTTTTGATTCTTTTAAAAATAATTTCTCTTTCCTTATTGAAATTCTCTCCTTCTTGTCATAGTTTCCTCCAGTTCACAAGTAGTTGTCATTGGTTTTTTGAATATGTTTATAACAGCTGTTTGGATGTCCTTGTTTCCTAAACACAATCTCTGGGAACACTCAGTGATAGTTTTTATTAGCTTCTTGCATCCTTTGAAGATATTTCACACTTTCCATATCTTTGCATGTTTTACATGTTTTTGTTAAAAATTGACATTTTTATAATATAATGTAGTAACTATGAATCTTGATTTTTTTCTAATAAAGGTTATTGTTGCTGAGCTCTCTGGTTTTTGTTTGTTTTTTTTTTTTTTTTTTAGTAATCCATCATTATCTGTCCTAATTTTTGTATTTTTAGCAAAGACGGGGTTTCACCATATTGGCCAGGCTGGTATCAAACTCCTGACATGATCCGCCTGCTTTGGCCTCTCAAAGTGCTGGGATTACAGGTGTGAGCAACCACACCTGGCCTGATAGAACTATTCTTATTCTCTTCCTAGCCCTGGAATGATAGCCATGCTAACTCTGGAATAGTAGAAGTGACGGTTAGAGCATTCTCAAGCACGAATATCACAGACTTCTACTGTCTCACTCTAAGTTCAGCTGTTTTTGAAATATAGATGCATTACAGCTAGGTCTTTGGTTAATTTCCAATGTGCAAAAATTATTGTTTTTGTAAATGTTGTCCATTTTATAATTTTCAAAAGAGGATTTTCTAGTTCCATTACTAAGCTAAAGTCGAATTTCCCTTGCCTTTATTTTTTAACAGGTTTTTCTTCCTCATTAAAAAAAAAACTTGGTATATTGAAGATGATTTTTATTTGCCATGTGGCTTCCTTTTTGTCCTTTTTCTCTTTTGATCTCCTCTAATTATATGTCTTTTCTTTTTTTGGCAATTTTCAAGTTTTCTCTTTATTTATGGTGTGTGTGTGTGCATGTGTGTGTCTGTGTGTGTGTGAGAGAGAGAGATAGAGAATCTGTTAAATTCTGAATGTGGTTCACTGAAGCTGAATTTCTTTAATATGTGATTTGATGTTTTCCATAAAACTCAGAAAAATTTCAGCCAATATTTCCTCCACTATTTTTGTGCCCTAATTTCCCTCCATCTTCACCTTCTGAGTAGTCACACAAATCTTAGGCCAGCTGATGTTTTGTTCACAGATATTATATGTTTGTAGCTTATTTTCCTCCTTTATTCCCTTTTGTATAATTTCTACTGTTCTGTCTTATGTTTACTTATTCCTTCATGTGCTATATATATTCAGCTGATATATCCACCAAAATTATCTTTATTTCTTTTCTCATATTTTTCATTCTAGTGTTTTTCACTCTGTTGAAATTACTCATTTGAAAATTCACATTGTACATATTTTTGTTAGATTCTTTATTATACTCACTATCATTTTAAAATGCCTCTGATAATTCCTACATTTGAGCTACCTGGGTTAGTTTCATTGTTTCTCCTCTTGATGATGGCTCACATATTTTTTTCTTTGATTGTTTCATTTTTTTATTAAATATAGACATTATGTGGAAAGAACTGGAAAGAACTGAGTAATTTTAAGTCTAGGAAAGGACATGCTCCTATTTTGTTGTTGTTGTTCAGACTTTCACCATGGGACAGAGATTACTAAGTCAATGTATATTTGTGTCTGGCCAGGTCTTTGTTTAATCTACTCCATAGTTGAACTGGCCTAGTTTCTGTTATTCCTTTAATTAGATTCAATTCAACAAAAGATCTCAAATATTTTAAGGGTAGAATCACAACTTTCCCTTTAGTAAGGCTTAGGATCTGAGTGTCTGCTGGTTTTATCTCTTTACTCTTAATCTACCTTCAGCTTTCAGTTGACCGTATGTGTCCTTACCTGAGGGTGGTCTCTTTAAACTCCTCTGCCTCTTCTCAACCACATGATTGTTCTCCGTGTAAAGGAGAAAGCGCTGGCTGGGCGCGGTGGCTCGCGCCTGTAATCCCAGCACTTTGGGAGGCCGAGGAGGGCGGATCCCGAGGTCAGGAGACGGAGACCATCCTGACCAACATGGTGAAACCCCGTCTCTACTAAAAATATAAAAAATTAGCCAGGCGTGGTGGCACGTGCCTGTAGTCCTAGCCACTTGGGAGGTTGAGGCAGGAGAATAGCTCGAATCCGGGAGGCGGAGGTTGCAGTGAGCCGAGATCGCACTACTGCACTCCAACCTGGGCAACAGAGAGAGACACAATCTCAAAAAAAAAAAAAAGTGCCTGGAGTGATTGTCTGTTCTCGTGCCCTATTTCAAGCTTTAGTGTGCCCTGCAACACCGGGTTTTAGTTCATTGTGGTAGCGGTAATTTGCTCATCTCTCTTCTGCCCCCTTTTACTCCCACAGATAGCTGCTGTCTTGTACTTAATCTAAGTATCTTCCAGTTTTCCTGAATATGAGTCAAAGCTCCCTCAAACTCTCCAAGTTATTTACCATCTACCTTATAAGCATTATCAGACTATTCTCTCTTCTAACTTCAATAGTTTCTTTAGAATAATTTTTACTTGACAATTAATCCATACATTTATTTACTTGTTTATCGAAATTTATCTCACACTTCTTATGTGTCAAGTTCATATTAAGTATTTTAGATTCGTTAATACATAAGATATGATCCCTAAATCTAGAAAACCTGTAGTCAAATACTTGTAGAAAGAATACTTAAATCAACACTTGTAATTCTATCATCTAGTTTACAGCTCTTAGTTCATCCCATTAAAAATTCTCATTTTTTTATGTGCAATGACATTTTTATTGAAAGTGATTGTAAGATAATATATTTTTAAATAGAAGACAGTGTTTTATCTATACTCTTGTGATGTCACTGTGCTTTAATATAGTAGATAATTTTTGAATACATAATTACTCCTAAAAACTGTGACAGCGAAATTATCATCATTGTTTTGGAAGCTATATTTTTGAAAACTCAGTGATAAAACTACTTTTGTAAACTAAACATTGCAGCAGATATTTAAAGGTATAATAAATGGTTTCTCATCTTTTCAGTTGTAATCTGTCAGATTTAAGAACTGTAGCAAAATAGAAATTTTATATTTTCTATTTTAAAACCAATATATTAAAACTAGAAATTTGAGGTATTAATGTTTAACCAGAGATACAGAACTAAATAGTACCAGAATAGTAATATAACAATTTCTTAAATTGTCAGTTGCTGGTGTTAATTTTATCAAGTTATTCAGGGGCAGATGTCAGAAGAGGCTACACAACCTTTTAAAATGTAGGAATAACATATACTTCTATATTTTGTATAATATATATCATACCAATAAAAAAGTACATTGGTACTTATTTATGACCTAATGACCTCCTAAAAGTTGCTCTCTTAAGATCTTTAGCCATCTTGACTTTCTGACGTTTGCCCAATAACCTTGCCTTTTGTTATTGCTGTTGTTAACCACTTTAAGTGGTCAGTATGTTACTGTGAGATTAAGAAAGAAAATGTCATCATAAATACACTGCTAAATGGTTGAATGCTCAAAATAATACTGTTTGTACCTGCTATTACATGTATGATTTTATTCAGAGTATTATTTCTTAAAAAAAGAAAGTTCTTGAAGAACTGTAACTCGTTTATTCTGAGGTCATTCACAGCATCTAGCTCAGAACTGAAAACAGTTGATGTTTAATAACTACTTTTGAAGGAACATAAGACTTTTTTGAAGTAACGGTAACTGCTACATATATCTTCAGCTTAAAAAACATTGTATCACAATAGAAAAAATGTTCATGCGTTGTAAAATTTATTACAATGGATTATTATCTCTACTTTATTAGTAATTTAAAATCTGTTATATTGGCGACCTAAAAATTGCCCTAAGCCTATAGTAGTTTTCCTTGTGCTACAATGCATTTCTCAATTTATTTTACTGATCAACACCTAATAACCCTTCAGACTATTCAAATGCTACCGTTACATGATGCTTTTCCTGAGTTTTCCACATAGTCTAGATGCCCTCTTGTAATTCTAAAGTACATTATAAATATGCATATTATAGTAACTATGTAGTATGTGTGTTTTATTGTGAACATTTTTTATCTCTTCTACCATGTATATACATCATCAACATCTTGAAATATAGCTGGTAAAATAAACTGATATATAATCATTATTTCATAATTATTTGCTGGATTACCAGATAAATAAAAATGGAATAAACATTTGAATGTCTTCAACTCTTTTCATTGTGTTATTTTCAAAAATTTAATTTTATTAGTCTATTCTAATAATTGCTGAGTATTAGAAACTAATCCTACCCTGGCAGGGTGCGGTGGCTAACATCTGTAATCCCAGCACTTTGGGAGGCCGATGTGGGCGGATCACGAGGTCAGGAGATCGAGACCATCCTGGCTAACATGGTGAAACCCCTACTAAAAATAGGGCTCTTTTTAGTCTCTACTAAAAATACAAAAAATTAGCCGGGCATGGTGGTGGGCGCCTGTAGTCCCAGCTACTCAGGAGGCTGAGGCAGGAGAATGGTGTGAACCCAGGAGGCAGAGCTTGCAGTGAGCCCAGATCGCGCCACTGCACTCCAGCCTGGGCAACAAAGCAAGACTCAGTCTCAAAAAAAAACAAAAAAAAATTCAAGAAATTCTTAAATTTAAAAATTATATTTTCAACTTTTGTTGAAATGAAAGTGTTTATCCCTCCTATTACTGAATATATATATGTTTATATATGTGTGTGTATATAATCTGTTTATCTACATATCTAATACATCTTTCTTATCCGTATATATAAGGATCCTTATATACATTCAGGAGGGATATATTTATATGGCATCTTTCCTAGACTAGTGAGACAATATGTGTTTTTGTTTTGTTTTTAATATAGGACACACACATATTATTTTCAGAGTTAATTTCATCTTTCTCCTTTTCTTTCAATCCACCTATTTTCTTCCCTCCTTTTCTCCCTTTCTTCCCTCTTTTCCTTCCTTTCTTCTCTTTCTTCTTTTTTCCTTTCTTGTCTTCCTTTCTTCTTTTCCTCCTTCCTTCCAAATTTCCTTTCTTCCAAATTTTCTCCCCAAACACTTACTGAGAAAGCACTGATATCAGGATTTCACCCTCCATCCTGTAATTCTACTCAGACAAGACTCAATAATGAAAGAAAGATAAGACTTCTAGTGAGGCTCCCAGGGCTCCAATTTTAAAGTCACTTCTTCAAGGAAAATCATCCTTTTTTAAATGGACTAGGTTATGTCTTCTACTCTACGATTTCTAAGGGCTCAATAATTGTCCCTATTAGCACTTACCACAATTAAATAGCTATACCTTGGAAAATTGTATTTTTATAAAATATCAACATCCTGCAACAGGATGTTTTTTCTTCATTGTTTAAACTCATGAGCTTGTTTTACCACTTACATATTCTTAGGATCCAACACAGGAATCATACATTATAACTCTCATGTTATGAATCTTGTAATGTTATTAAAGTACTATAAAATATACTTAATTTTCTAGGAATCCCATAACAATGTACCACTAGGTGCATGGCTTAAAACAACAGAAATGTCTTATCTAACTTTCCTAGAGGTTAGAATCCTGAAATCAAGGTATTTTCAGCCATGCTCCCTCCAAAGCCTCTGGGAGAGGATCCTTCCTTGCTTCTTCCAGCTTCTGGTAGGCCCAGGCATTTCTTGGTTTGTGGCAGCACAACTCCAATCTCTGCCTTAGTCTTCACAAGGCAATCTTTTCCCTTTGTGCCTTCATATCACTTTGCTTCTTTCATGTCTGGGTTTAAATTTCTCCTCTTCTCATAAAAATACCAGTCATATTAGATTAAGGCACAATTGTTCTCCAGTATTACCTCCTCTTAACTAATTTCATCTCCCACAGCCTTATTTCCAAATAAAGTCATATTTTGAGGTACCAAAAATTAAGAATCAACATATATTTTGGGACCCCAAGTCAACCCGTTACAGAAGTATTGCTACCATCAGTGCTCATTTCCTGTCATTTCATGCATATGTACAGACTTCAAATTGAGCTCAGGTACTCATATTAGTTACTTAGTGAGACATTAAGAAACACAGATATCAAGTTTTCTTGAGAGAGTCCCAAATATAAGTATGTTGGAAGAGGGTCATCTATGCACCCAACTAATTAGAAAGCAGCATGATTAATGAAATGTGAGTTGTATGCAAAATTGAATGCAATGAAAAGTCTGGAGAATGAGTAAGTATTCTTAATAAAGGAAGATATATTGGCAAATATAGGCCAGGTATTACTGGTGTAACAAACACCCCTAAGATTTCAGTCAATTAAATCACAAAGGTTTTATTTGTTGTTCATACCCTATGTTCACCACTCATTTCATTTCTATGTTGTCTTCACTTCAGGACCCATATAGTGGAGGCTTCACTGTCTCAAACACTGAGAGCTACAGTGGCAGAAAGAATAGAACCCTGGACTGTCTCACAAACGTAATTAAATATTATGGCTCAAAAGTGACATAACATCTCCTCTGTCTACAAAACATCAGCCAGATAAGTTTTCATGTTCCCAACTAACTTTAAAAATAAGACACAGGCCAATCAAATTCAAAATGTCAAAAACTAAATTATCTTTTCCTCGAAAATTGATCGTTCATTAATATTTCTTATCTCAGTAAATGATCCCACAATCCACTTAATCATCTGGGAAGATAGCTAGATGATATTCTTCACATTTTCTCTTCTTTTCTCATTGTCATTTAGTCATCACGTTCTATCTACCCTGTCTCATGTCTCTAGAATATGTTCTCCTCTCTCTGCCAGTACTGTAAACACTGCTGTGAAAGCCTGGACTCTTGACATGACCATTGCCATATCACCTAACTGTTCTCCTTACTTTTGTTCTTACTTTCCTCTAATATGGATCAGAAGATTTAAGCCTGACTGACTTCTCAAAACATACACCTATCATGCCAATTTTTTAAAAACTTCCTCTTGCTCTTATGATAAATACCAACTTCTCCACCACTGCTCTTGCCTATCAGCTTCATGTCAGTCCACCTTGTCTTTGAGCTCCAGCCATGAAGGTCTTTGTCAGTTCCATACTCATTTTGACATTACTTCATTAGCCTCTCTCACCCCAATTTTTCTCCGGCTAGCCCTCTTTACCTGTTATATCTCAGGTTGGACATTACTTCCCAAGGGAAGCCCTCTCTGGTGACTTTCATCATCCTCAATTAGGACAAAGCCTGACATTCTGTGCCTCTTCATAGCAAGTACAATCAAAGAGGAAAGTGAATTATTGGGATTAATTTTTTAATACATATGATTACTTTTATTCTCTCCATTTGAGAAGAGTCCATGTCCCTTTTGTAAACAATTTCCCTGCACTCAAAATAGTACAGTAACAATTTCAGTCTTTGAAACATCATATGTTCAAAATAAACAGTTCTTTTTGTAGAGGATGAACCCTCTTTGACTTCAACTGAATGAGTTCTCTAAAATCTAAACTATATTTCTTCTTGCTTAGGACTTATTGGCCTGTTTCTACTTGCTACCCATTGAAGACCAAATCCTGCTGAAGGATATGTGAGCTGCTGTATTTAATGACAGCCTTCAAACAATAGCTGAGAGCAGATTGGAGCCCAGAGCTCTTTAAATGCATGAAGGGTGGAGGAGAAGGTGTCAATTGATATTATAAATTACAATCCTCATCACTCACAAGCTTCAAAATTATGTCCAAAAGCATTATAGTTTCAAATGCTAGCAGAGTTTTAATGATCTTCCAAATTCTTTGATATTAATGATGATGATAAGAGAGCAAAGTGAAAACCACAGAGAAGAAAAGGAAAAGATAAAAGGAATCTACTCTATAGTTTGCTCATTAGCTATACCACCTATATTTTCCTACTGAATGATTCTTGCCATAACAATATAATAAATATATCCTTCTCAATACCATTTCCTGGGAAATCTTTTGTACAAACAAACAAAGAATGTCAGGGAGTTAACATATTGTTTGCCTACTTTAATGACTTTGGTATTAGAATGAAAAAGCATTACTATAAGAATATAAGAAAAAACTAACTCAATTTATGCTACTATACTCTCATAACACAGAACACTTCTGTGACTTCAGCTATGCTGGAGTTTTCTCCCAAACACAAAGCAATTCTTCAGATGATTCTCCTGTGGACGTCAGCTGAGTGTCTTCTAATTCAATTAATTTCTGACACTATCTACCTGGAGATAGCATCAAGTCACACAGGTTGAAAGGTCCAGTCCTGCAAGACTACCCTTCTTATGCCAGTCTCTGGCACAGGTTATGGCCTGTGCTTCTGACCAGTCAGATGTACATCAAGCTTCCTATGCCTACCCAATTCTTGGGTTCAATTAAATTGCTAGGGCAGCTAACAGAACTCAGGGAAACACTTTCCTTACATTTGCCCATTTATTATAAAGGATATTACAAAGGATACATGAACAGCCAGATAGCAAAGATACATTCAGCAGGGTATGGGAGCAGGGCACAGAGCCTCTATGCTCCTTTCAGGCATGTCACCCTCTAGGAACTTCTATGTGTTCAGCTCTATGGAGGTTGTCAGAACTCAGTTCTTTTGTGTTTTTATGGCAGGATCATTAGATACTCATGATTGATTGAATTGTTGGCCTTTGGTTTGTCAACTCAACCTTCAGCCCCCCTCTCCTCATGGAGAGTGTGGGACTGAACATTCCAATCCTGTAATCTCCAGAGCTAGTTCCCTGGCAACCAGCCCCCATTCTAAGGATATTTAGGGGCTACCAGCCATCAGTCATCTCACTACCATGCAAAAGACAATCTTATCACTTTGGAAATTCCAAGGGTTTTAAGAGCTATCTGTCAGAAAACTGAGACTAAGACCAAATATATATGTCACAATATCACAATTACAAAATACCGTAAAAGGTGGTTTTATTTGGGTAATTTTATTCATCCTCAAATAGGGATAGACTATTTTATGAAAAGAAAAATAGAGATTCAACTAGATCAAACAATTAACCAAAGACATATAACTTGAAAATAGCTGGTCTTTGACCAAGAATTTAGTATTTCTGAATCCAAATCCTGATTTATTTTTTATTATATTATAACCTCCCTACTCCCAGATAGTCACTCTTCACACAGCTAATATGGCTGTAGCTGGCAGGTGAAGATGATTTCAGTAGGTCAAAGGACAAAAACAATTGATTTACTGTCACTGAGTCTAAGAGAGCAGAGATATCCTGACACACCACTCCTTGATATTGTGTAATATGATTATAAAATATAAATAATAATCAGATCATTGATTGGAAAAGAGGAAGGCAATGGGTGATAAATGGCCCCTGAAGTAAAGTGTTTGGGAACAAAGACATATCAATTGGAGAGGATAGGAAAGTATAATAATGGAAAAAAAATTCTAAGATTTCCCTTGCTGATATTGGGGAAGATTCTGTATGTTGTCATTGTTGTATGTTTTTGTTTGTTTGTTTGTTTGTTTTTGACAGAGTCTCGCTCTGTTGCCCAGGCTGGAGTGCAGTGGCGCAATCTCGGCTCACTGCAAGCTTCACCTCCCGTGTTCACACCATTCTCCTGCCTCAGCCTCCCGAGTAGCTGGGACTACAGGCGCCCACCACCATGCCCGGCTACTTTTTTTTGTATTTTTAGTAGAGACTGGGTTTCACCATGTTAACCAGGATGGTCTCGATCTCCTGCCCTCATGATCCAGCCGTCTCAGTCTCCCAAAGTGCTGGGATTACAGGCATGAGCCACCGTGCTTGGCTGTTGTATGTTTTTTACTTTGTTATTTTTGTTTGTTTGTTTTTGTTTATTTTTGAGAACAGAGAATGTCTTTAGCTCAAAACAGTCACAGGGAAGGATTTCCACAGATGACAGAGTGGCCTAATTACTTTGACATAAAAAGGTGACTGGAATCCTGAGACATCTGAGTGAAAGACCTTCTTACAAGCTTATTCCTCTCAAACAAGATGACAACACATGAAAAATCAGAAACATGGCTCCATAACACCCCAGCAAGCACCAAAAATTTCCAGGTTTCTAAAGTCAAGTCAGTTCAAAATGGTGTGTGTGTGTGTGTGCACATGTTGTACTGGATTGCCTTTCTATTTAAGTTCTTTGTTTACAATGTCTACAAGATTTTTATAATATTATCTTCCCCATGTGAATAAACCTGATGGACACGTTAGGTATAGCATTAATGAGCAAATGGAATGTTTATTATAAGGTTCTCATTCTGTACTCTCTGTACCAGCATCAAGAGAGACAGACTACATTGGCAATTTCATATAAATATTCCCCCAAAAAAGAAACACTTAGGGCATTCAGGTATCTTTGCCTCTCATGGATTTTTTTTTTTCTGCCTGCAACTTTGGCCTCAATGAAAGTGAGAAATGGCTTTTTCATTCCACACAAAGTGTTGCCTTGCAACTGAGGAGCAATCAACATACAGAACTTGGAAAAGAGTTTGCGTGCCCCACATGAATGAACTAAAATCTACTTTTAGAATCATTTTCCCTATGATACTGTTTCTGATTTCAATGGCCTAAAAATAAAGCCTTTCTTTTGAATATGACTCATTTGGAGCCAATGTTCTAGAGATATATGAATGTGAATGCCATTGAATAATTTAATGGGACTGTGCAAAGCAAATAGAGCAGTTCAAGTCCTTGCCAGTGGAGTAGAGGGAAACTGAACACAAGAAGCTTAATCTGCACAAGTAAACTGTCCTACTCAAACACATACGGAAAGAATCAGACGATTAGCCAGCGGCAGGTTTTTATATATAGCAAACAAACCCAATTACATGGGGAGGAATATTCAAGCACCACATAAAAAGTTATCAGAGGGCCTGCAGAGATTCCCCCTGGAGCTTCCAAGCACAGATTCAGTAGCCAGTAATTTCTACTTTCCCAGATAATGTGCAAGGACCATGGTGCTGATTAGCCCTTAAATCACACTCTCCCAGGAAAAGTAAAGCCTTTAATTTTGTTAACGGGCAGAGATGTGTCCTGGCTTTTTTCTTTTTCACCTTCAACACTTCTTTGGCAGTTTAAAGACATGGTGTGAGAATGCATGTCTGTGTATCTGTGTGTCAGTCGATGCAAAAACCAGAGTTGAAGATTTTGCTCCTTTGAGATGTACACTAAGAATCCTCACTAAATTAGTAAGAAAAGTTTCTCCATTAAAGCCAACTTGGAATCAGCATCTGAGTTTGAATTATGGGAAGGACTGTGTGTGGGTTTTTTTCCCATTATTATCTAAAACCAATCTTATGAATCCTGCTGATATTTACGTTCTCTGGTACCTGGATGGCAATGAAGACAGAGAAAGAGACGGTGGAAATAAAGTCAGTTAGTCATATGACTATCTTTGTTAAATTAACTGGGAGTCTCTCGAAAGAAAGCTGATGCCCTGGTCACCCTTGTATAACCCAGGACTATAATGATATCCAGTGCCTACTAGGTACTTGGTGCAAAAATAATTTTAGTGCTCACCATCTAGGAAGAAGAGAAGTGCTCAAACCATAAGAGTAAAGAAAGAAATCAAAAGGAGAAAATTAACAATTTTAGCTACTTAAAAAAAATTGTATATATCAGAATTGTAATAAAATCAAAAATAAACAGGAAAATAATTACATAAAATAAGACAAAGGTTTGATCTTTTTAATATGTATTGGCTCCAGACAACTCATTAGCACCTTAGCAACATGAACAAATAATTCACAGGAGAAATAAACATAATCATAAAAATATGTTCAGGCTCACCATCAATAAAGTGCCATTTTTATTTTTCAAGTTAGAGTTAGCATCAACTGACATATGTCAAATTGACATACCATCAGCCAATATACCAAAAACTAACATATGGACAGATATAACATTTGTCTACAATTAGAAGGGAAATAACTATGAGCATTGGATATGGTATACAACCATTGAACAATGTCAACTATCTTATATTAATACAGTAACTCTACTTTTATTTTTTCACTTCTTACTCTAACTTGCATATAAGTTCATAAATTAGCAGACATATTTATCATCCCTGAAATACAAGGCTTTCTTATGAACAGAGAATGAGATTTGCTCTTTCTCTCTTCCTCCTATTTTTCTACCTCTCATATGAAAAATGGATTCATAGATGCATCTGCTTCTCTTCCCTCACACTGAACATGGTCCAGTTACCTGCATCTACACAGAGCATTACTGAGTACTCAGCTCAGGGAAAATAATAAGAGTGAAAATACATATCAAACCAGCCCTCTGGAGTTTTCATGGTCTGCTTATTTGCTGGAAGCAAAGATGGATAAAAGTATTTACCTCTTAAATGTTTACCTAATACTGTATGAAGCAATGACCTTAAGTGGTCTTTACAGCTCATAGACCACACACACAAAATTGTGAATGAGCAATATTTATTCCCCTGAAACTAATGGTTCTGGCACACTCTCCTCCTCTTCTAGGGGACTGCCTGTACTATTCACTGGTTAAATTACTATGATTCATAGATGGCAGTGACCAAGTTTCTGAATTTAGCCTAAGGTGGGAGATGAAAAGGAATAAAAAGCAAAGAAAAACTGTCAGAGCTTCATTAGAGAAGGCTGATACAGTTGACTTGGGTTTCTAAACTTGACCTTGAGTAATCACTCAACTAGCAGAGCTTCCTATGTGTGAGGGTCTAAATTCAAACTTCAAGTATCAGGCAAGTAAAGTAAATGAACCAAAGTATGCCAGGAGATCTGTGCTGAACTATTAGTAAGTATCCCATCTACATCAACAGCAGCCACTCAAATGGTTTTTTGTTTTTGTTATTTTTTTTCCTCATGCAAGAATACAGTTCCAGTGATGCCATAACTTCTGGTTTTTGAAAGAAATCAGAAACTGAGGCCCATATCTAAAACTTTCATTAAAATAAAATTTGAAGACAAACTCGTTTTTAAAATATACAATAGGCTAATTAAAACATTTGTGCTGATGAGATTCAGCCCTTAGGTTGCCATTCCCAAATCTTGGGTGAGCACTGTGGTAGACATTGTGGGGATAGACGCCGAAGTGTAAGATTTCGCTGCCCTCAAAAAGCTTGCAATGGAGAAGATAAGGAGGGGTAGACACAGAAAAATGTCATAAACATATAGAGACACCTACCTCTCTCCCTTCATCCTTCCATTCCTCCCTCCATCCCTTCCTCCTTCCTTCCTTTCTTCCTGCCTGCCTGTCACACTGGCAGCAATGGGGCTCACATGGGGGAAGGTAGGACTCAGCAAGATGGAGTGGTAGCTTGGTGTAATTGAGGCTGATGCCAATGAGGGTTGGGAGGTTGTGGATAATTGGAACCAAGTTTCTCAGTGTTGAAATGGAGGGCTACATATATGGAAAAAGGGGCACTTAGAATGAACCTAGAATATTGAAGGTATTGGTATAAAGACATATATTTTAACATATACGCTTATCTATGTAAATAGATGTGGATAGATGAAGAAATATAGATGTACATGCATCTGTGTGTGTGTGTGTGTCTGTGTGATTGTGTTTACACATATTTTCTAATTCTCCTCCCTGAGAAGACTGGGAACAGTGACTTTCAGTGCAGATTTTTTTTGGTTTTTATATACATTTTCACTAAAAGAAAGCAAAAATGGAAGAGGAAAATGCATTCATTATTGATTTTCTGAGCCCAAAAGTAAAAAAAATAAAAATTAAAAAGCACAAAGAATAGGGGAATATTATGAGAAGAAATAAAGATGCAACTACTCTGAAGGAGCTTCGTATGGAAAAAATTTGAAGCAACTATTGGGAGAATTTTAAAAAATTATCTCCTAACTCACTGGATAAAATAGAAATCACAAGACCCCACTGATAAAGAGAGAAATGAAAGAAGGAAGAAGGAAAGAAGGAAGGAAGGAAGGTAGTCTCTTCCTTATAAGAAAATAACAGCTAAGAAATGTAGATAGAAGAACTGTTAGATTGGAAGATCATCATTTTTCAACTATCATAGTGGCAAAATTATTTCATATCATTATAGAAAAGAGACATAGGTACATACTAGCATTACCCAAGTAACAGTATACTGAAAGTGGTATGTTTACACATTCTCAAGATATCTCACCACAACATGCTTAACAAAGAGTAGCTTCAGAGTAGATTGCACTGCCTTTATCAGATAATAAAAGCTGATTTCGCAAGTAATCAGAAAAAGAGACATTGTCAAGAATCTGATCGATTACAATATTAATGTCAAATAAAACCATAATACAAATCTAATCTGAAGAAACATCCCACTGACGCTTTAATAACATGAGATGCTCTTGTTGCCTCTGGTTTTTTATTCTCCTTCTTTTTATTCTCCTGTTACACGACAATCGATGTTTTCTTTTTTTTTGTCTTATCCTCCTTTTTATGCTTTCTGCTAATATACTCTCCTGAGTCCAGCTTCTCCTCTCTAGTGTTTTTATCATTCATTTTCATGACTTTTATTTCCTCCTCTGATTCTCTTGCTCACAGATTAAGGCCCACATCGCTAAACTTCTACTGGGAAACTTCTCCTAGTTGTCTAATAGATGGCCAAATTTCAGGTTCATTTTCTCTTCCAGGCTGCATGTCCTCCACCTTTCTTATTTCAGTGAATGGGGTCTTTCTGCCAGTTGCCTAAGTCTGAAACTCTATCCTCCTTGTCAATGCCACTCCTTCATAACTGCATGCAAACAATCACCATGTCCCTGGATTCTTTCAACCACCTCATACTTACTCTCCCTGCTTACAGTTTTGCATTTTTCAGATCAATTTCCCATTCTATAGCCACAGTGCCAATCCTAAAAGGCAAATTCAACAATCAATTCTTTCAGATACTTTTCTTAGAAAGCAAAGTTAAAGCTAATAATTGATATTTACAAGGCTTACCTGACACTCCCCCACCTTGACCCCAAGCTCTATGTTCCAGCCTATTCCCTGGAGTCTCTGAGATTTTGCACCTGCCAATCTTTACCACTTATTGCTTACTCCAAGACCAACCTTGCATTTAATACCAAATATCTTTCTCTTGTTCCTTCAAACTAAATCATGTTTCTCTTCTATTTGTACTGACAGCACTTATTTTATTTTATTTTTTTGTTGTGCTCATTGATCTATTTTTTTTCACTGTCTCTTAAAGAGTTTTCTAATTCTTTTGACTGTATCAAGAATAAAGCTTCTATTCAGCATGAATTTGACTTGGACCCTTAATAATATCAGTATTTCTTTTTCATTTAAAGTGTGGTTCAGGAACAAGCTGTCCACAGGGTGAGTGGTAGTCACAAGTCTAAGATATGTGCTTGGACAGAGCTACCCCCTAGATTGAGGGCTGATCACTAAGGCAGAAGGCCCTCTCTCCACATCAATGTCCAGATGCTATCCAGCATAATGTTTTACAAACAATTGGGGAAAAAAAATCTTCTTCTTGTCTATATGAATGACTTTTATGCATCTTTAGAGTCAGAGAATTCCCTAAACTCTACAATAAAAATGAAAAACTTTCTTATTCTGAGCAAACAGAAAGCATACATGTGATGATTCAACATCTAAGTTTCCATAAAATGCTGCCTTCTCCAAGGGGCTACTCAGTCCTTCCTCATAACATTTTCTCTGATCTTTTACAGCACTTGGAGTCAATAGCATCTTAGCATGTAGACTTTAATCATAGCCAGTTTTGCATTGTTCTGTATATATTCCCCATATCCTTCACTAAGAGTGCTCTCCCATGTCACTCTTGTGTTTTTATCCTGAAAAACTCCAACTAACTTTTAGGTACCAATTTAAAAAGTCATCTTCCCTCTGTGCTTGTCTCTGATTTGTCCCTCATTTCAAATGATTCTAAGTACTTCTCACCTTAGTCCATATTCTATAACAATAATTAACAAATAGTAATAGTTGCATTTGTTTTTATTTTCTGCCTGATCATAAGCTCATCAAAGACAAGAATTTCAAATTCATCCTTGCACCCACTGGTTGCCAGCAACTTCCTGACATATAGATGGTATTTAAAAGCATGTATTAAATTAAATTGAAGTAAAATGTTATTTATATGTATCCAATTCTAACTTACCCTTATTTTACTTATCAATTGTATAATATTTATTTATAGCAACTTTATTGAGATATTATTAGTATTTCATGAAATTCATCCTTTTAAAGTGCTCATTTTAGTGGGTTTTAGTATATTTACAGAGGTCTACAATCACTAACACTATCTAATTTTAGCACAATTTCAACACATCAAAAATAGGTCCTGTACCCTTCAGAAGCTACCCTTTCTTGCTCCTCCCTTTAGCCCCTTAAAACCAATAATCTACTTTGTGTCTCAATATATTTGCATATTCTGAACTTTTTATACATCTGGCATCATACAATATGTGGGATTTTTCCTCTAGCTTCTTTCACTAAGCACAAGGTAGGGTTCATCCATGATGTGGCATGTATTAGGACTTTATTCCTTTATACGCCCAAATAATGTCTCATTTCATGGATACACATTCACCAGTTGATATACATTTGGGTTGTTTCTAATTTTTGGCTATTGTTAATGACGCTGCTATGAACATTTGTGTAAAAGTTTATGGTGATACATGTTTTAATTTCTCCTTTGAGTCATATGGTAACTCCATGTTTAATATTTTGAGGGAATGCCAAACTATGTTCTAAAGAGATCGCATCACTGCACTTCGGCCTGGGCGACAGAGCAAGACTCTGTCTCAAAACAACAACAACAACAACAACAACAACAACAAGCTATGGGTGCTTCTTTCAGGCCTGACAACGGGAATTACAAAGTCTTCCCTCTCAGGTCTCATGAGACAAAACTTCCCTCCCCACACCAGACATGGGGCACAAGTTCATTGCATCTCTGAAGGGATTTGCACTCAGGGAAACTTCCTGTTTCCCTCCCCTTGCTTCAGATTCTATAAAATTCCTGGCTCCCTTAACAGAGAGATGACTCCCAAATCTATGCTGGTCTACCTGACCCTTATTTTGTGCACCATTCCTTAATGGGATAAAGGGCCAGGGGAGTTGGCATTTGCTCCATTTTTACTATATCCATAACTGATTAACAGTTTAACTCTTCCATTTTTGGCTTGTTTTAATTAGTTACTTAGACACCTGGCAGCTCAGCTTCTGTTCTCCAGGCTCAGCTGAGCTCCTAACAATAGACATACAAGTGAATGTGAAGTGGCATCTTATTTTGGTTTTGACTTGCATTTCAAAATAATAATTAAGAATGTTGATTATAGTTTTATGTGCTTATTGGACATTGTAATAATTAAAGAAGTTGATTATATTTTCATGTGCTTATTGAATATTTATTTGGAGAAGTATATTCAAATCATTTGGCAATTCTGTCATTTGGGTTTTAGCTAGGTTTTGGGTTTTACTATTGATTTCTAAGGGTTATTTATATATTTCAAATGTGGTTTTTTGATTCTACGGATTAACTTTTCACTTATTTTTTTTCTCTTTTTTGAGACCGAGTCTCACTCTGTCGCCCAGCCTGGAGTGCAGTGGCGCGATCTCGGCTCACTGAAAGCTCTGCCTCTGGGGTTCAAGCCATTCTCCTGCCTCAGCCTCCCGAGTAGCTGGGACTACAGGCGTCCACCACCATGCTCAGCTAATTTTTTGTATTTTTAGTAGAGACAGGGTTTAACCATGTTAGCCAGGATGGTCTCGATCTCCTGACCTCGTGATCCTCCCACCTCGGCCTCCCAAAGTGCTGGGATTACAGGTGTGAGCCACTGTGCCTGGCCCCAACTTTTCACTTCTTTAATGGTATTGAAACATAAACAACTTTAAAATCTAATTTTGTTGAAGTCCAACTTGTCTGTTATTTTTCCAGTATGGCCATTTATGCTTTTGGTGTCATATCTAAGAAATCAGTGTTTAATCTAAGGTTATAAAGATTTACTTGTATGTTTTCTTCTAAGAGTATGTTTTAGTGCTTCACAGTTTCATGTCTATGATCCACTTTGAGTTAATCGTTCTTTGTTTGATATGAGTTAGAGGATTATTCCTTTGCATGCTAATATCAGTCATGCCAGCACCATTTGTTGAAAGACTATTTTCCTCCAACAAAATGCTGAGGTACACTGGTCAAAAATCAATTGATCACAAATGTAAGAGTTCATTACTGAATTCACAATCTGTTCCATTGATCTACATGTCTATCCTCACACCAGTAGCAAATTTTCTCCATTTGTTTAGCATTGTGCTGTTTTGAAATCGGAAAGTGTAAATCCTCCAAATATTGTTTTTAATCAACATTGATTGGCTGTTCTGGGTCCCCTGCACTTCCATGTGAATTTTAGAATCACTTTGTCAAGTGCTGCTAAAAAAAGGAGGTGAGAGTTTGATAGGGATTGCATTGTAGATCAATTTGGGGAATGTTGCCATCTTAACAATATTAAGTCTTCCAATCCATGAACATGAAATGCCTTTACATTTTTACTGTCACCATTAATTTCTTTCAATAATGTGTAGTTTTTAGTGTACAAGTTTTGCATTTATTTTAAGAAATGTATTTGCAAATATTTTACTATAAGTAAAATTGTGTTCTTAATCTATTTTTCATGTTGTTCATTAGTGCATAGAAATATAATTAATTTTCATCTATTGATCTTGTATTTTGTATACATGCTGAACACATTTATTGATTCAAAATTTTTTTCTGTACTTCTTAAGTTTGTATGTAAGATCATGTTATCTTTGAATAGAGATAGTCTTATTTCTTTACAATCTGGATGCTTTTTATTAAATTGTCCAATTGCCCTGGCCTGAACCTCTAGTATAATATTGAATAGAAATGGCAAAAATATACATCCTTATCTGATTCCTAATTACTGGAAAAAAATCAGCTCTTTTTCTAAAATATTATTATTTTACTATGAGATTTTCAAAGATGTTTTATATCAGATTGAGAAAATTCCCTTGTATCTCATTGTAGTCAGTGTTTCAATAATGAAAACGTATTAAATTTTGTTAAATGCAATGTCAGTGTGGATTGAGAAGATCATGTGGTTTTAATCCTTTACTCTATTATAGTTTATTATATAAACTGATGTTTCAGACATTAAACAAACCTTTTACTATGGGGATAAATTTCACTTGGTTGTAGTGTGTAATTTTTTATATGTTGTTGGATTCGGTTTGCTAATAGTTTCTTGAGTATTTTTGTATCTATATTTGTGTTAGGTCATTTTTGCATGCTATAAAGAAATATCTGAGGCTGGGTAGTTCATAAATAAAAGAGGTTTAATTGGCTCATGTTTCCGCAGGCTGTACACAAAACATGACACCAGCAACTGCTTCTGGTGAAGGCCTCAGGAAGGTTACAATCATAGCAAGAGGTGAAGTGGAAGCTGATGTATCACATGGCAAGAAAGGGAGCAAGGGGAAGGGAGGGGCCATACTCTTTTAAACCACCAGATCTCACATGAACTCAGAGTGAGAACTCACTCATTACTGTGAGGAGGGCATCAAACCATTAATGAGTAGTCTGTCTCCATGTCCCAAAGAAGTCCCACCAGGCTACTTCCATCACCATGAGATTTGGAGAGGAAACACATCCAAACCATATCATCCTGCCCCTGGCCTCCCAAATCTTATATCTTTTTCACATTACAAAATATAATCATCTATTCTCAATAGTCCCAAAGTTCAAAGTCTCATCTGAGATTCAAGTCAACTTTCTTCCACCTATGACTCTGTAAAATCAGAAACAAGTTATTTATTCCTAAAACATAATGGTAATATAGGCATCGGGTAAACATTACCATTTCAAAAGGAAAAATGGACCATAAGGAAGGGGCAATAAGCCCCATGCAGTATGAAATCCAGCAGAGCAGTCATTAAATCTTAAAGTTCCAAAATAATCTCCTTTGACTCCATGTTCCACATCTAGGGCACACTGCTGAGAGGGTGCCCAAGGCCTCCGGCAGCTTCACCTCTGTGGCTTTGCAGGAAGAAGCCATCCCCAGTGGCTACTCTCATGTGTTGGAGTCAAGAGCCTGCAGCTTTTCCAGGTGTAGGGTGCAAGCTGCCAGTGGATCTACCATTCTAGGGTCTGAAGAGCAGTGGTCCCTTCCCACAGATCCAATTCCCCAATGGAGATTCTGTGTGGGGGTTCCAACCCCACATTTTCCATTGTTATTTCCCTAGTAGAGGTTCTCTGTGAGGGCTCTGCTTCTGTGGCAGGCCTCTGCCTGCACACCTGGGCTTTCTCATGCATCCTCTGAAATCTAGGTGGATATCACCAAGCCTCCTTCACTCTTGCATTCTGTGTACCTACAGGCTTAACACCACATGTAGGCCACCAGGATTTAAGGCTTGAACCCTCTGTAGTGGCAGCCCAAGCTGTACCTGGGGTCCTTTGAACTGCAGCTGGAACTGGAACAACCTGTATACAGGGAGCAGTGCCTTGAGGCTGAGCTGAGAAGTGATGTCCCAGGCTTGGCTCCCAAAACAATATTTCCTCCTAGGCCTCTGGGCCTGTCATGGGAGGGGAGGAGTTGTTTCCAAGATCTCTGAAATGTCTCTGGGGCTTTTTTTCCTCATTGTCTTGGGTATCAGCACATGACTCCCTTTTAGTTATGTTAATTTCTTTAGCAAATGATTGCTCCAGAACCTGCTTGATTTCTTTCTCTGTGATATGGACAAGCTGCAAATTTCATAAACTTTTATGTTCTACTTCCCTTTTAAACATAAATTCCCACTTTAAGTCATTCCTTTGCTCCTATATCTGATCATAAGTTGTTAGTAGCAGCCAGGACACAGCTTTAACACTTTGCTAATTATAACTTTCTCCCACTAGATAACCTAATTTATCACTCTGAAGTTCAAACTTTCATAGAGCCCTATGACATAAACATAACACAGCAAAATTATCTGCTAGGGCATAACACAGAAGACCTTTACTCTAGTTCAAAAACTTTTTCATTTTCATTTGAGACTTCATCAGCCTGACCTTCACTGTCTATATTTCTATCAATATTTTTATCACAATCATTTAACCAGTTTCTAAGAAGTTCCAAACTTTCTCTCATCTCCCTGTCTTCTTCTGAGCACTCCAAACTCTTCTAATCTCTGCCCATTACCCAGTTCCAAAGATGCTTTCACATTTTTGTGTATCTTTGTAGCAACGCTAATGCTTCACTCCTTTGTACCTTTTGTTTTTTTTGGGTGGGGGGATGGAGTCTTGCTCTGTTGCCAGGCTGGAGTGCAGGGGCACAATCAGAGTTCACTGCAACATCTGCCTCCCGGGTTCCCCTGCCTCAGTCTCCTGAATAGCGGGACTACAGGCACACACTACCATGCCTGGCTAATTTTTTTGTATTTTAGTAGACACAGGTTTTCACCATGTTGGCAAGGATGGTCTCAATCTCCTGACCTTGTGATACTCCCGCCTCGGCCTCCCAAAGGGCTGGGATTACAGGCATGAGCCACCAGGCCTGGTTGGTACCATTTTTTGTATTAGTCTATTTGCATTACTATAAAGAAATATCTGACACTATGTAATTTGGAAATACAAGAGATTTAATTGGCTCATAGTTCTGCAGGCTGTACACAAAACATGGCACCAGCAACTGCTTCTGGCTAGGGCCTTAGGAAGGTTACAATGATGCGAGAGGGTGAACGGAAAGCCCGTGTATCCTGTGGTGAGAGCAGGAGCAGGAGACGGAGGGGTTAGGTGCCATCTTTTTGAAACAACCAGATCTCATATGAACTCAGAGCAAGAACTCACTAATTACTACAAGGAGGGCACCATAGCATTCTTGAGGGATTTGCCCCTATGACCCAAACACCTTCCACCAGGCCCCACCTCTAACACTGGGGATCACACTTCAACATGAAATTTGGAGGGGATACCCTATCAATATTTATAAGGAATATGATTCTGTAGTTTTATTTTCTCACGTGTTTGTCTGTTTGTTTCCTTTACAACACGGTAATACTGAACTCAGGATAAATTGGAAAGTGTTTCCCCTTTTTCTATTTTTTATAAGAATTTGCTAGATTGATGTTAAATCATCTTGAAATATTTGATAAAATTCAGTGGTGCCGGGCGTGGTGGCTCACGCCTGTAATCCCGGCACTTTGGGAGGCCGAGCGGGCGAATCACAAGGTCAGGAGATCGAGACCATCCTGGCTAACACAGTGAAACCCCGTCTCTACTAAAAATACAAAAAATTAGCCAGGCGCGGTGGCGGGGGCCTGTAGTCCCAGCTACTCGGGAGGCTGAGGCAGGAGAATGGCGTGAACTCAGGAGGCAGAGCTTGCAGTGAGCTGAGATTGCGCCACTGCACTCCAGCCTGGGCGACAGAGTGAGACTCTGTCTCAAAAAATAATAATAATAATAATAATTCACTGATGAAGCCATCCGGGCCTGAGATTCCTTTGTGGGTAGTTATTTTTTAATTACTAATTCAGTTTCTTTACTTGTCATAAGTATATCAAGGTTGATTATTTTTTCTTAAGTTTCATTAGTTTGCATTTTTTTTAAGTCCATTTCATCTAGAATAAGTAATGTTTTGGCAGACAATTCTTCATAGTATTCTCTTATAATCTTTATTTCTGTAAGGTTGAAAGTGATTTTTCCTTATTCATTCCTGATTTTTATAGTTTCAGTGTTTTGTCTTTTTTTCTGGTTAGTCTAGCTAAAGGTTTGCCAATTTGGTTGTTCTTTTTCATAGAACCAACTTTTAGTCTTGTCAGTTTTTCTCTATTTTCTATTTTATTTATTTTTGCTCTAATTTTAGTTGTAGCTTTTCTTAGGCTTGTTTTGAATTTAGTTTGCTCTCTTTTCTAGTTTCTTAAGATGAATGACAAGGTTATTGATTTGAGATTTCCTCTTTCTTTTCCAGTACTCTTTACAATGATAATTTTCCTCTCCAAACTGCTTTAGCTGCATCCCATAAAGGTTAGTTTCTTATGTTTTCATTTTTATTCATCTCAAATTTTTTTTTAATTTTTCTTATGGCTTCTTTTCTATTTATGTGAATGTTGTTTAATTTATACATATTTGTGAATTTCCCAAGTTCTGTTATTGACTCTTAATTTTATTCTATTGACTATTGATATCAGAAAACATTCTTTCTAAAATTTCAATCCTTTTAAATTCAGTTGAGCTTATTTTAATAACTAATATATGGCTTATGCTAAAGAATGCTTCATGTGTACTTGATAAGAATGCATATTTAGGTATTCTTGAGTAAGATGTTCCATAAAAAGATGTCTGTTAGTCCTAGCTGGTTAATAATGTTGTTTAAATCATATTTAGCTGTTCTCTCCATGTTAAAAGTATTTATTAGTATTTCCAACTCTTATTGGTGAATTGTCCTATTTCTCCCTTCAATTCTTCAGTTTTTTTTGGATTCATGTATTTTGCTGCTTATTGTTAGGTGCCTATATGTTTATAACTATTATGCCTTTCTAGATGTACAGGTCACTTTATAATTTTAAAATGTCCTATTTTGTCATTAGTAACAACATCTGTCTTAACACATATTTTGTCTGCTATTAATATAGCCTCTCTAGTTATTTTTTAGTTATTGTTTATATGATATATTTTACATTGTTTAAATTGTTCCTTAAATCAAACAGGAAAAGTCATAGATATGCAAAACTAGTTACAATATGTACTTAGGTAACTATCTTTACTTGTGCTCTTTATTCCTTTGGATTTGACATACTATACAGTATCCTGTATAGTATTCTGAGTTACTATATAGTGTCACGTTACACATGCATAAGAATTTCTTCCAAATGTTCATTTACCATGTGATGTTTTCAACGGTTTGTTTTTATAGCCTTCCCAAGTCATATGCTTAGAAACTGATTCCTGGCATTGGAACATTGTTCATTTGGCAATTAGTATCTATCAGGAATTCCTGAATACAATCTCCAGCTCCCTCTCCATAGACACAGCAGAGATCCTATTATGCAAAAGTCACATGCCCTGTATATGAAAATGTCTCTTTAATCATCATCCAATCATGACATACAACCACATGTGTGAATATACATTTATTTCTCTACTTAAAATACGGAAAAGTCTCTATTAAGTTAAAGATTCACATTGAAATCTATTTGTCTGCCTGATCCCAGTCTGCAACTTGTCTCCCTTGCCAGAAGTTTGCACATCTTCCAAAAATGTCCTCCTATTTTCTAACGTCATGTGAACCTCTACCGAACATTCAGAAAACTCCAACTTGTACACACGGTAACATTCTCACCTCATAATTCTTGTCCTTCATACAGTAGTACATTCCTAGAGATCAGAGTTATCTGAAGATGTAACAGGAGGCTTTCTAGTGAATAATCAGAGCCAGGTCATTACCCATTAGTAAGTAGTAATCAGACTTGGAAAGCTTATGACTGTCCTGACATATGCAAGGTTAAATAATGATTTCTATACATATACACACAATTCTCAATTATTAGGAAGAATTTTTCTTATTTGTTAAATCTCATCTTTCTGAGTTTCCTTCAGATGCTAATGATAAGAAAATCAATCTTGGGAAATTTATTGAAAAATAAATAAAATATATTTTCTGTTTTTGTTTTATTTCATGCTATTAGTTTTGTTTTTCTCTACTATTTTGTGTCCTTGCTTAGATTTTTACTTTTCTAAATAGTGACTTCTCATTCCAATGTTAAGTAAACTATCTTGTACAAAGATTTAAGTATACACTATTTTAAGCTGTTTTTCCTTATTTATTTCCTCATTTCCTTATATTTATTATAATTGTTATTATTAATACTGTTACTATAATAATCATGATTATTATGAGAATTATTATTGTTTTAGAGAGTGAACTACAAAGAAAGAATTTTCCCCAAACAAATATGATGAAAGCTGACCCTTGAGGATATGCTTCTAGAGACTTATGGAACCGCTCAAATCACAGTTACTAGATTTTCACCAGATGTATTTTGCATGGGTCATGCCCTGTTCCAGTAAACATTGCTGCTAAATTTATTAAGCTTGGCAAATAGCTAAACACTGTTTTGGCAAATAGTTTATCCAAACCTCTCAGTAAAGAATGTGCCAGACATAGGGCTCAGAGCGAACTCATCTATAAGCCTCTCATATTTCCCTGCAGCTACTTTTGGAGGGCTGTGACAAGAATCTTTTAATAGAAGGAAGTCCACAGTATACCTTTAAAAAAACCTTTTTTGCTCTCTGCCTCTTCCTGCTCTTCTTTGATCTTCTTTGCTTCTCATGTTTCCACAAATTTTCCCTCTTTCAACCTATGAAAACAGTAATGAATACTTATGAGAGGGAACTTAGACTAGCTTAGGCTACCTTAGGACTTCATTTTCAGAAAATTAGTTAAGAGGACATAAGTCTGGGGAGCTCTTGGGTGACAGCTGGGTGGATTTGTGTAAGGAATTCTGGAATTGTGATCAGAGAATAGAGTCTTTCATCCCTGAATATCAATCTCCAAGGAATAAGGAGGAAAACTCGTGTAGTGATTTGGCCTAGTTGGTTAATCTTTCTACTTCTCTAGTTATTCACCAATAAGTTGAAAGGCTATGATGCTTAGATCACAGCTAATGGGGTAATATATTATTATTTTAAGGCAAGTGAAAATATCTGCTAGTTGAGAAATAATAAAAATTTAAGCAGATGTGTAGAAAACACACATGTGCAATGAATAACAATGAAATTAAAATTGTAGTCTATGAGTTCAATTTGTTACGCGTTAAATTATTTTAGAAATTTGGAGATTTGTAATTATAATAATCATACCATGCTTATTATATTTTATAACAATAGCTCATATTTATTGAACATTTAATTTTTGACAGATACTGTTCTAAACTATATATATAAAATATGCAATTTATATATATAAAACACTCAATAAAACTATATATATAGTATATATATATAAAAACACTCAATTCTTTGAGTTAAATATTATTATCTTTACTACATAAAGCTGAGGAAACACAAATTCTTTTTTTAAGTAATGTGTTCAATGCCACACATTTAGGAACCCAAGGAACTAGAATTCAAAACGATGTAATGTTATATCCAGTTTTAAGGGTACCCAGAATTTGTTTTATTTCGGTATGGTAAGTAAGATGTACAGATACAGTAATGATTGTCATAAATGAGCACATTTACTTCTATTTCCTAGAAACAAGAGGCATGGCATGTCATGAATGAGGACCACAGAGGTAAGTAGCAGAGGCAGTCAGGGGTCAGATGAACAACGGGAAAGTATGGGCAAGAGGCCTTATTGTGATTTCTGCAGGAAAGAATAGGAAAGACAGGGTAAACCGGCTTTAAATTGGTTAGTTTGAATAATTTCTACAGGCTCGAGGACATATGGGATGTACCTTGTTGTCTGGTATGCGACCCTGGAGTGATTAAGGAAAGTATTTCATGGACCAGGTGTGAGAGCTCTACAGAGTAGGTAGTGGAGTATGGGTTCTGGATTGGTCAATTCACATTTGAAAGCATACTCACTGGTAGTTGTTTGCAATCACAAAGAACTAGCTATCCCTAAGAAGCACAGTTGCCCTAGGTTCAGCAAGGACCCAGATATCAAAACACTGAAATACAGAAAATAAAAGAAATGATCAACGTTTTTCTCCTGTTCCACCTCCACTGTGCTGCAAACTTGTCTTATCAAAATCCACTGTCTTTGTCTTATTCATCAGGGTTTCCTTGGCCTTTGGAGTAAATATTTTCACTTCAGTGGAAAACTTGTGATGAATCATTTAAATCTATCTAACTGTGACTTTACATAAAGAAAAGCTTAAATATATAGAATACATAAAGGACAAACAAAAACAACATACATTAAAGCTACATACAAATTCTTACATGTGTATATTTATTATACATGTTTATATAACCTTTATTTTGATTGCATGAAAAATGGAAAGATCATAGGAGACAGGATAACTATATCACTCCATGTCAGCTAGTGTCAATATGAAATTCAGCTAAAATAATAAGTCTCATTTGTAATGCCAGTTAAAACTTTGATCCCTCAGCAAGAAATGGTCACAATTAGTCAAAAGATTGGAATATTAGCCTTAATCAGTGGTTTTCCAAAGAATTTTCAAAGAATATTTTGCTTAAAATATCTTACTCAGTAATTTATTGTAGAAAACATACAAAAGCAAAAGTATTCTTACATGCTTTGGAAAACTAAGGATAAACTTGGCCTGCCACCTCTACTTATTTTGGCTGTTCCTGGGTGACATGGGGTAAAATAGCCTGGAGAAGAAGATTATGGGGAAGGACAATCCCTGAGAAACACAGTTGTAAACTCCTAGAATAGGTCTCTAATATCTCACTCTGTGCCATACTCAATGATCCTCTTAATCTCAACTTCACGGTGTCAATAGTTTCCAGTCAGTATAAAACACTAGGAAGGCATGTTAGAGATTAAAGTAGAGTTAGAAAAGCTCTGGAGATTATAGAGATTAGTGGTTTTAATCAGTGTTGGCCCTAACATGATCTTATTTTTGTCTTAGGAGGGCAGCCTAACTTCCCAATTTATAATTTAGTGCCCAAGATCTTGAATAAAGGTAAAACTTATTATAACTAGCCCCTTTGTCTATGAGACCTAGAGAAATGTAATTAAATTCCTACCTATCTTTAATGTCCCTTGGTATTTGTAAAGATGGGTAATGTGGCTATTATATTAATACTTAAAATGATAGCTATAACTAAAATGTGTAATATAAATGTATCAACTGTCAACATCACATGGTGGTAATGTACAGCATACTAAGATAGTTATTACCCACACTTAAGTTGCGCTGGAAGAGTCTCATTTAGGCATCACTTAGTGCGTTTGCATTACTACTGCCAATTAAGGTTCAATAAATTCATATATATTTATGAAACCAAATCTGTAGGCTTTCTTTCAGTATCTTACCATGACAACAATGATATTCCTGTCAGAGTTTTAACTATACAATGAAATGTCTATGCAAATTTCTCCACATTTAGATTAAGTAAAAGTATAACGAGCCGTATGAGACACAGAATTTCAACTATTAACTAAGAATCATTCCTTGCCAAAAAATTAGAAAAATATTAAGCAAAACGGAGCACGGTCCAATCAATTTTCTTCTTCTATTATTCTGGTTGGCTATCAATGGCTGATGGTCCCCTGAGTTTCTATGTTGATCTGGGCTGGAAAGATCACTTAGTAAAACAATTGTAGAGAATTGTCAGTAAATTCTGTTTACAATTCCCAGGTTCAGTCTTTACTTACTGCATTGCCAACTTCTATTTCTCTAGCTTTACCAACCACACTCAGCTGTGAAAGGTTTGAGTTTGAAGTTTGTCCTTCCTTAATATTTCAACTGAAAAATTTACAAAAATTACTTGTTTTGTAGGAACAGGTCTCTTCTCTGCATCTGCTCTTAAAAAAAACAGTCAGGAACTTCCTCTGCATTGCTGAATAGCTCTGGTACTCTGGCATGTTTTGGTTCTCTCTGTAACAATCTGTCTAGATAGATTGATCAATAGATTAAAAGATAGGTCAATCCATAACTTTTTTTTTAATCTGTCTTTCTATTTGTCTCTTCTCACTCCTCCCTACCTGTAATCTATGGGTTACATTACTTAATTTTATAACAAATTATAAAAATTCCTTGCATTTTGGAGGATGAGAAGTCTTTGTTTTTGCTTTTTTCTCCCAGGTTGAGAAAGACATCCCATCTAACGAAAGCCATTGAATTACATCATGTGTTCTTTGTATTACTCTTAATCTCCTTCTGCCTATTACAACCTGTTTGTGTTTATGTCTGTGGGCACATTAACACATAGGCCACACTTTCCCTTTCATTTTCTTTCACTGATATTAACAATAGCTCTCTGGAATTTTCTCTCTTGAAAGGGAATAAAATTAAAGTTCAAAGAAGTTGTCAATTTTCCAAAGCATCTTATCTTGTCTACTATTAACTTCATCAAATTGTTAGCACTGTATTGACACACTCAAATGTTTATACTGTATATGGATTTTGGTGGTTGAATCAATACCATACACCATGTCCAGTAGTATTTCAAGTGGGAAAAAACATAACTCAGATAATCATGAGAAGAAGAAAATATATATGGCAGGCACAGAGTAAAAAGGAAAAAGGAATGTCCTCAAATTAAAGGGATGGAGGAGGTAGATATGGTGAACAGAAGACAGGGCTGGGTTTTTCCATCTTGGTGGACTGCAGAGTCGAAGCTTTTGAAGCTGAGACCAGCTCTGAGGGAGAAGGCATGACTAAAGATACTTTTTTAATTCCTGCTGGACAGTGGCAGAGCTCCGAAATCAGCAGTGAGGCCATGAGGTTCACCTGATTTCAGGTAGCTTTGTATATATGGATGTTGGAAGAAGGAAAATTTTGTTGAGGGAACACTTGGGGACTTGGGAAGACAATAATTCAATTGATATCATAGAATTATCAGAATGTGAATTACAGATTTTGTTACAGACATGAAAAAGACAGAATGGATATTTTTTTGTTCGTTTGTTTCAAGCCCACACTATAGAAAGCACAGGAAGGGAAATGAACCCATTTGAAGAAGCTGATTAAGTCTCCCGTGTGATCATGCTTAGTCGGCCAGTGATCTGCCCTTTTTATTGCAGCTTTTAATGGCGTCACTTCAGTTTATCAGGAAGCACTACACTTTATGTTTGCGTGGTCATTTAACTGCTTCTTCCCTAAACACAGAGTGTTTTATACCCTTAGCTACCAAAGGGGTGCTGCCTGGCAGCATTTCTTTCTCATAAGCCATTTAAAATGTCCTATGTATCATTTTACGACAACTTTACAAGGTTTTTCGAGGTAACCATAGTTATCCCCTGAAGATATAACTAATGATTTTACTTCCTAATCCTCAAATTTCTGTGGATTTACATTATAATAAAACCCATAAAACTCCTAAGATTCGTAATGAAAGTAACCCTGGTGTTCTAGAGGGAAAAAAAAATCCAAATATCAAGATACAGTTGGTGGGGCGTTACAATATAGGTGTATTACATTTCCTCAGATATTCTTGCAGGATGCCAGTTGCATAGAATCCATAAAATCATAACTTATCATTAGGGATGAAGTGAAGATAAATGATCAGGAAGCAGTGGCTTGCTCCTGGGAGGTGAGTAGTGGGTCAAATCTTAGTCATTGTGTCTGTAATGCAAGTAGAATGACCATGGAACATGAATTCCAATAGGTTCCATTTAGTTCTCCAATTGCTAAACAGTTTTCTCAAGAAAAACTCTATGTGACAAATACAAAACAGCATTTATAGCTTACTAAGCTCTGTGCTGGACAAAATGAGGGAAGCAAAAGCAGTTTAAGTTGGAAATATAATTTTAGCTGGACTATTTAGTGTTCAATCATGGGAAGTAGAGAATAAAAAAGTAAAATATATTATGCCATGTTAACTTGAATATGATTGCCAGGAAAGCTACAAGTGATGAACAAAGTAAACATGAATTCTGGTTGCAGATGAGCTAATTTCTAAAACTATCTTTGACATAGCACTTTATTTATATTTTCTCACCTATTAAAAATAAAAAACAAAAAATTAGGGGTATGTGTACAAAGAAGTCTAAAATGATCTTTTTTCAACTCCATTACTTCACTTTTTTACCCTTAATACTTAAAATTATTAATTGAATAATACAGATACATAAACACTTATCACCTGCTTAACACTGCTCTCACCATAAACA
Organism: Homo sapiens; assembly: GCF_000001405.40. Classification (NCBI taxonomy): domain Eukaryota; kingdom Metazoa; phylum Chordata; class Mammalia; order Primates; family Hominidae; genus Homo; species Homo sapiens. The sequence continues at coordinate 40,252,786 of NC_000018.10, read as the reverse complement.
TGGTTCAGAACTCTAACTTTCACGGAATGGCTTAGTTGCTGACTTTAAAGAACAGGCTATATCAAGTCTCCCCAGTTTATAAAAACAACAACAACAACAAAAAAAAAACAACGAGTATTTCATATGACATCACGTACTTGAACCAAGTATAGAAAGTCGATTTTAACCTCTTTAAAATGTGTCCGCACAATTTGATGACAATGATAATAAGAATGTATGTGTTTGAATTTCCTTCTTTTCCCCATAGTATAACAGGATCCGATGGCTTCAGATCGTTTTCTTGAGAACAGAGGCCAGTGAAGGAAATCTGCTAACTTAAAAGTAACAGATATGTCATTTATTGGGCCATATGAAGAGTTTGGATGGATTGCCAAGAAGAGTCAGAGACTTTTCAACAGTGCTTTGACTAATTAAGATAGTTACATAAAACAGCTAAAATCGGATATGTTCTGGCAGATCTGAACAGGACAACAGCTGTCCTGGTAAGAGTGCATTTTTGTTACTATATGAAGTAAAATCATTTGTACATTGTTTCTAAAGCAATCAGGGGTTACTCATATCTCTAAGATTACCTGACAGCTTCTCTATCAATAGAGAGAAGAAGGCACTAAAGAAGCACAATAAGCCAAGGCTTTGAGATACCTTTCCAATTTCAAATTCAAAACAGGATATTTTTCTTAATCATAGCATAAGTCCTGAAGGTAGGGCCAACATTATTCACAAATAAGGAATCCCTCCAATAATACATAATCTGAGAAATACTGATAAATCTGAAGAGACATTTCTAAAATCTTTAGTCACAATGGCTAAAAGTCTGTCTTTAGAGAGTAATTATTTTGAATTACTGATTTATCATTAGAAATACTAATTAGATTTTACATTGCTAGAGGGTTATAACCTACATTTTATCAGCAATGAACATTTTAGTGATGCTGGAGTGAGTTAAAGAAGACCCACTCATCATATGTATTTTTTGCTCTGATAGCAAGCTTACCACAAGGCCCTGAACAAAGTCAGAAGATAAAGTCACCTCAATGATAGAAATTATGTAACGGAAAAGACACAGATTGCAAAATACTGTTTGTGGTTCTACCTGCATTGGAGTACCACAATTAAAAGTCGTATGTCCTCTTGCCCCTACATATATTCTTTCCATTAAGGAGCATGGTGTAGAGCTTAGCCATCTATATAAAACAATGTTTACTTTAAAAGGCTGGGTTTTGATATGGCAAACATAGTTACTATCTCTTGCGGATGGCATTAGTGTGGCTCAGAGAAGGTGGCATGCTTACCCATTGTAAAGCTGTTTCTACATACTGAACACTATGTGATATACTCCTCATTCCACAGTAATTTTATTTCAATATCTTTCCCATTATACTGATTATGAGTAAATGTGAAGAAGGAGAATATTGGTTGCTGTAAAAATCAACGCTCACCTAAGTAAAATCAGAATTCATAACAATGGTAACAAATGTATTGCAAAAGAAAATGCAGTTTAGACATCTTGCCAAAAATTCAATAAAAATATTCTATTTGTGTTATTGCATTGTGGTGCATTTAGTTTTATAATATTCTAGTGCAGGGGAAAATTGGAAATACTGATATATTCTGCTCAAGCCAAAAGTACTCTTTGCTGACCTCAGATTATTTGAATTTACTAGTAAGTCAGCAGCTTGCTAAGTCTGTTGGCTTGTTGGTTATGATAATGTATCATTCCGCATCTGACTACTGAAAAGTGAGGTATGGATGAGTGGCCTGGTGCAGTCTGGAATTTGGTACCGCATAGTGAGGCTGTGTCACCTAAATTAGACCTTCTTTTGGCCATGGTCTTTGAGAAATCATCTGAGCTACGAAAGGCATTAAAAGACTGACAATTTTATGTTATGAATTGTTTAAATATAGTTATGTGTATGCCATTATTTTGCTTTTATTTTAAAGTAACTGTGTATATACACAGATTATCACTATAAATATTTAGCCACTTAGCCTGGAATTACTCAGTACAATACTAATTCATTATACATACGAATTAGAGAACCAATCATAATACTGTCTCAGTTTTTTGTTGTATCAATTTAGTGGATACATTCAATGTGTCCAGGAATCTCTCTCTCATCTTTTATACGTTTTAGGTGTAGACATAATTTTTGAATGTGAATTCCAGATAAAGCAGAAATTTGCCTTGTGAGATTAGAAACTTCCTTACAGCAGATGAAGAAAGGAAACAAGCATCATTTGATTTTATTCCAGAATCATACTGAATCATACTAGAACTGCTCTACAGGGAGGCTGAGCCAAGTTGGACATGCTGAAAAGAAAAACATCTTGTTCAGAATCCTTGGACTTGTTGTTTGGGTGAAGCCTGTTGGGAGTAGGTAGATGTGACTGAAAAAGAGAGACCGAGCTGTGCTTTTCCCCTGAGCTCTTTTGCCAGGGAGAAGGAATTAGACCAGTATCTTTGGGAATGTAGTTACCTGTTGGTCATGGGCCAACAGAAGAGTGTTGCTGTGGAGAGACCTACATTTGTTAATTATCTCCAGGAGAGCTAAAAAAAGCAGGTAGACATGAGTTCATGCTTTGGCTGTTGCTTTAACACTAACAATGCCATCTTCTCATTCTATGTGTGTATGTGTGTGTGTTTTCTGCTTGCACAGGCAACTCTTTTTCAAGTCTCTAAACATTCTGGGTTTTTTTGTTTATTGTTTTGTTTTGTTTTGTTTCATTTCTCAAGCCATCCTCATCATTCTTTTTTTTCTGAAATAAATATTATTATTTTGCCATTATTTCAATACTAGTTCTCAAGGTGTTACAATTTTGTTGTCATTAGCCAAGTTAAGATATGCTAACTAGCCATGGTTCAGGAAACTAGATGAGTCATACCAGGAGCATACCTCAACACACTAAAATAATGTGTGACACCAAGCCATCTGTCTCCAAGAGGAAAAATAAAGCAGCAGTCAAGAGAAAACATGATTGGTAACCCTGATGCTAAGCTCAGAAGTTTGGTATTTATTAAAACATAAATAACTTTTCACAACTTGCTCATTTTCAATCTAGCAACTATTAGTAATTAATATTATGTTTAATCATTTTATTTTCAATTTATAAAAGAAGTGGAATATTGAGTAGGTATTCTTTCTTTCTCCATTACCTCACGTGCCTCCAGAAGTGACTCACACAGAGTTAACAGAACTCAAATCCAGTGCATATCGTATTTCAAGGTTGCCTGTTTAAACAGAGTAATTTGGATTTTTCTTCGTAGGTGGTGAGCCACTGCCACACTTCTTTTTCAGCATATGTCTTAAAACTCAGATGGGAAGAAAGAAAAACATAAGTTGATTTATATTACTGATTCTTTACTAGCACAGGGAGTTTTCCACCCTCTCTTTCAGAATACAATATTGATATATAGAAATCAATTTCATTTTAATATCAATTAATTATTAAAAGTTAAATAACCAAAAGTATACTTAAAGTTAAATTTAACAAAAATATGCTGCATAATGATAACTACAGAACTGGCCTGTACAATGGTAACTGTAAAACATTGACAAAAGAAATAAAAAACTTAAATTAATACAGATATACCATTTTCATGGATTATTAGCATTTTTAAAATTTTTCTCAAGTTTTTCATAGATTCAGTGCAATCTTTAGAATTTTTATGAAAAGGAAAATGGTCTAGAATAACTAAAACAATACTAAAAAAAATTTTGGAGATTTTGCCTTAGTCATAGAATTGCTACAAACAAAGAGTAAATCGGATAATGAATGTATTACTGGAGTAAGATGAATATACAAATCAATGCAACAGAGTAGGATCCCAAAATACATCCATCCCTACATGGTTATTTGATTTTCAATAAAGATGCCAAAGTAATTTAATTGGGTAAGGCATCTTTATGACAAATGGTACTGGAATGTCTGGATATCCATATAAAAATTAAAGAATCTCAATACTTAGAATAAATGAAAGTTCATTCAAAAGTGATCACAGATGTAAATGTAAAAACTAATGTGAAGTTTTTAGAAGAAAAGGTAGAAGAAAATTTTTGCATCTTTAGGAAAGTAAAAATTTCTTACATAGAGCCCAGAAAAAATAATGATAAAAGAAAAAATAGGCCAGGTGCTGTGGCTCACGCCTGTAATCCCAGCACTTTGGGAGGCCGAGGTGGGTGGATCACAAGGTCAGGAGATCCAGACCATCCTGGCTAACATGGAGAAGCCCCATCTCTACTAAAAATACAGAAAACTTAGCTGGGCATGGTGGCGGGCACCTGTAGCCCCAGCTACTCAGGAGGCTGAGGCAGGAGAATGGCGTGAACCCGGGAGGTGGAGCTTGCAGTGAGCCGAGATCGTGCCACTGCACTCCAGCCTGGGCAACAGAGCAAGACTCCGTCTCAAAAAAAAAAAAAAGAAAAGAAAAGAAAAAAATCATACAATAAATTGACCTTTAGTAAAACTGAAAATTCTACTCCATAAAAGGCACTATTAAGAAGATGAAAAGGCAGAGACTGGAAGACAATGTGTACAACACATACACAACATACACACAAACATTTATATATACTTATATAAATGTATATATTTAAATGCATATTTATTTATGTATATATAAATGTATAAATATAAATGTATATAATTTTTTTGAAAAAATATACTCTATATAAATTATAACAGAAGTATGAATCAAATGTAAATTACATGGAAAAAAGTTTTTATATATAACAAAATATATGCATTAAACATACATTCATAAAATACAGTATATATTATATATTATATGTACTATATATGTATTTATATAATACATGTATTTATTATATAAAGATGTATTTATATAATACGTGTATTTTTTATATAAAGATGTATTTATATAATACGTGCATTTATTATATAAAGATGTATTTATATACGTGTATTTATTATATAAAGATGTATTTATATAATACGTGCATTTATTATATAAAGATGCATTTATATAATACGTGCATTTATTATATAAAGATGCATTTATATAATACGTGCATTTATTATATAAAGATGCATTTATATAATACGTGTATTTATTATATAAAGACGTATTTATATAATACGTGTATTTATTATATAAAGATGTATTTATATAATACGTGTATTTATTAAAGATGTATTTATATAATACATGTATTTATTAAAGATGTATTTATATAATACGTGTATTTATTATATAAAGATGCATTTATATAACACGTGTATTTATTATATAAAGATGTATTTATATAATACGTGTATTTATTATATAAAGATGTATTTATATAATACGTGTATTTATTATATAAAGATGTTTATATAATACATTAAACATGCATTTTTGTACAACAGAGTAGTTACACTAAGTGGAGGAAAAAAATATATAAGACAAAGACTTGCACAAGGTTGTCTAGCGAAGCTTTATCCATAATAGTCAAAAAACAATCCTAACAATGTCTACCAACAAATGAATGCATAAACAAATTGTGATACAGCATGCAATGAAATACTACTCAGAAATTAAAAACAAATAATGAACTGGATAGACATAACCACATGATCAATCTAAAAACCTTATAATCAATGAAAGAATCCAGACACAAATGAGCATATGCGTGTCATTCCATTAATGTGAAACACTAAAAAAGACAAATTTAATCTGCAAGGATAGACAGCAGAGCAGCAGTAGCAGGACCAGTAGCGGCTAGTGACTAACTGGGAAGAGATATTAAAGAACCTTTTGCGTGATGAAAAATGTTTTCTATCTTAAATGTAGGGGTAGTTAAATAGGCAAAATCTGTTGAACAATGTGATAAAAATTATTATACTCTGTATAAATTATAACCTAATAAAGTCAATTAAAAAATAAACTCTTTGTAGAAACTAAACAGAGGGATTTTAAAGCTAGTATGAATATAAATTTACTATAGTCAGGAAAGCAATTGTAAAGTAAAAAAAAAAATGGAGGTACAAGGCAGCTGATAGTACAAGATATAATATCTTTCTCAGTCATAGTAATTGTAAGAGTTCGGAACAATGTATGAACGGATAGAATAGAGAGACAGGCCTTTCATTAGTGCTTTTATAATTAATTAAATGCGCACATAAATCTTAAAAATAACATGGTATAGACCAGAGTTCAGAATTAGGTTTTGAGTTGCCTACGTTTGTTCAGGGTAAAGCAAATTCAGAAACGTGTCCAGTACCTCAAAAAGCTTCTGTAACGAAGGCATATATTCAGGGTACATCTGTGCTCCCTGAAAAATAAAGCCATATAAATCGGGGATTATTTGCAGAAACAATCCACGTAAGAGTCAAATAGTATTTTTTAAAATTCTATCTGTACAATGTGCTAAAACTAAGTTGATGTAATTTTCATTTTTCATCCTCTCTATTTAAACAGTTTTCTTAGTCTGAAAATAGTATAATAATAAATATTTCATGGAACAAGTAGAAGTCAGTTACCGTGTCTGGAATTGGTTCCTTCTGGTGGCTTCTTGGTCTGGCTGACTTCAAGAATGGAGCCATGAACCCTGGCGGTGAGTGTTACAGTTCTTAAAGATTGTTTCCTGAGTCTGTTCCTTCAGATGTCCAGATGTGTCTGGAGTTTCTTCCTTCCAGTGGGTTTGTGGTCTGGCGTGACTTCAGGAGTGAAGACACAAACCTTCGCAGTGGTTGCTACAGCTCTTAAAGGTGGCGCGTCCAGAGTTGTTTGTTCCTCCTGGTGGGTTCGTGGTCTTGCTGACTTCAGGAGTGAAGCCGCAGACCTTCACAGTGAGTGATATAGCTCATAAAGGTGGTGCGGACCCAAAGAGCGAGCAGCAGCAAGATTTATTGTGAAGTGCAAAAGAACAAACCTTCCACAGCATGGAATGGGACCCAAGTGGGTTGCCTCTGCTGACTTAGGTGGCCGGCTTTTATTCCCTTATTTGGCCCCTCCCACATCCTGCTGATTGGTCCATTTTACAGAGCACTGATTGGTCCATTTTTACAGAGTGCTGATTGGTCCTTTTACAAACTTTTAGGTAGACACAGAGCACTGATTGGTGCGTTTTTACAGAGTGCTGATTGGTGTGTTTACAAACCTTTAGCTAGACACAGAGCACTGATTGGTGTGTTTACAATCCTTTAGCTAGACAGAAAAGTTCTCCAAGTCCCCACCCAACCCAGAAGCCCGGCCGGCTTCACCTCTTAATAGCAAATCTTTCCTTTATGAAGGTCAGTTGCCTTTTTGGAAGCAGATGCATAACTCTTTAACACTGACAAATAGTATATAACATTTGAAGAGGTCAAAAACATTTTGAACTATGCAAACTTTAAGGAGAACTTACATCATAAAGTTGTTGGATAAGGGATGATTGGGGAGACATGGGTAACTAAAAATTACTGGGCTTCCAAGGGAAAGAAACTGAACTAAATTCCAAGTGTTAATATTTCTTCTTCAAAACCAGAATGCAGTCTTGCAGTCCTGGCCTTTGTGACTCAAGAAAGTCATGATGAAGGAAACTGCAGGTGACAGACAAAGAAAGAGATCTTTGACTCCACAGGTTCAAGCAAACCTCCGTGGTCTTCATGTTGGTATTGCCTCTGGTCTGTGGATGTACCAGGCATACCCCAGTCTTGGGATCTTTGCACTTGCTGATTCGTCTACCTGTAAAGCTCCTCTTCTAGATAGTCACACATATTGCTTTCTCACTTTCTTTATGCCTTCACTCAAATATCCACATTTCCTGGTCACCATATCAAAAACTACAACCTGCCTACCACCATTATCCTTCTTCTGCCACACACACAAAATTCTTTTTACTCATCTATGCTTTATTTTCTCGTTAGCACTTTATATGGTCTGGCATGATTTGATATATAGAATAGATAGACAGATGATAGACATATAGACAGATAAATGAATATGTGTGTATGTGTGTGTGTTACAAACACACTTATTTTAATTTAGTTTATTGTCTGTTTCCCCATCAGAATGGCCTCATAAAAGCAGAGATTTTTGCATGTTTTGTCACTACTCTGTCCCTAGCACCTATAATGATGCATGGCACATAATGGTATCTAACAGGCGTTTATTGAATGATTGACAATCAATTAAATGAATTAGTGATTGACTGAAGACTGAATACTAGGGGTGGGAATTGAGGCTGAAAATTCTTGTATGGGATGAAAATAAAATACAATTGACAATCACAAACTGCTCTACCCAGAGAAACCTCACCCAACATTTTTTAAGTGATAAATTTGGTGTTAATAAAAAGTTTATATTACACACCAGAATAAGGTCTACCTGAATGTTTTTAATAAAGTTTTAGGCAAATCAATGATGACAGTGTATAATGGGCTTTAATAGAAATTGGTATTTTTCACAAATAAAGCTAATCTCTAAATTGTCATTGTGATAGATATTCCTGCAACTCTAAAACAACATCTGATGCTGCTGATGGAAGCCGACTCGCAGGGTAAATGGAGCATGATGCCTTAGTGTGACAAATCCAATTAATCTATTTATTCTACAAAATTCATTGAATACTTCTAATAAATAGCATACCTAGTCACTGACTGATGACTTTTATGCTCTTTGCTATGAAGTTTCTGCTAGTCTGCAACTTTCCAAAACTCCACAAATACTTCTCAAAAGAAGACATTCCTATGGCCAACACTTATATAAAAAAGGTCAACATCACTATTCATCTGGGAAATGCAAATCAAAACCACTGTGAGAAATCACCTCACACTTGTTAAATTACTATTATTAAAAAGACAAAAGAAATGTGTTGGTGAAGATATGAAGAAAGGAAAATCCTTGAACACTCTTGGTGAAAATGCAATTTGGCATAGACATTATGAAACACATGATGAATGTTCCTTAAAAAATTAAAAACATGATCCAGCAATCTTACTTTTGGTTATATGGCCAAATGGAATGATATCAGTGTTTCAGTCTCAAAGAAGTATCTACATTCCACATTCATTGCAGCATTATTTACAATAGTCAAGATATGGAATCAACCAAAGCTTGACAAATGAATGGATTTACTAATGTGATACACACATACATGCAACATACAATGGAATGTTATTCATCCTACAAAGAGAAGGAAACTGTCATTTGAGACAACATGAACGAAACTGGAAGACATTATGCCATTATGCTGAGTGAAATAAGCCAGGCACAGAAACATGAATACTGCATGATCTCACTTATATATGGAATTTGAAAAAGTTGAACTTATAAAATCAGACAATAGAATGGTGGTTACCAGAGGGCTGGGAGTGGTCTGGGGAAACAGGGAGATGTTGGTCAAAAGATACAAAGTTTCAGTTATGCAAGACGAATAATTGCCGGAGACATAGTGTACAGCTTAGTGACTTATTTAACAATATTGTAGTGTAAGCTTGAAATTAGGTAAGAGAGCAGATCTTAAATGTTCTCATCACATACACACAAGAAATTATCTGAGATAATGAACATGCTAATTTGCTTGATTGTGGTAATCATTTCACAATGATTGTATACCTACACCGAAACATCACATTGTACATATTAAATATAATACTACTTTTATTTGTCAATTACGTTTCAATAAAGCTGAAAATAAAACCCAAACAAACAAAAAAACAAAGCTCAAACATAAGTTTTCAACAGTAGTGGTATAGCTTTAAATAGAATCCTATTTGTGATTTATTATTGTATAGACCTTTTCAAGTTAAAAAAAAAAAGTAAAATAAAGGGAATACAGAAAAAGGAGAAAAGAAACACAAGTAGGTCATCCCTCCTTCAATGTGTGTTGCCAAATGTCTGAAATATGCAGAAATAGCCTATGAAATGATTTTTACTTTTTAAAGCTTCAGCAACGATGGGAAACACCTGTATTTTGGCATAAGATTATACCCCATCCACACTCCCAACGATAATCAGTCCCGGAAAAAAGTCCCTAGCACAGAGTATTCAATTCATCTGTGTTTATTTTCACACATAATCTACCCCCACATTCCATCTATTTAAGTATCTCTCACACATGATGCATAAATTAGACATCATGCTAGAAACTAAGAAACTAAGATGAATGACACATAGTTTTATTCAGTCAAATTGTCTAGATTTCATATAATATAGGAAAAATGCAAGCTATCTAAGTGGACCTGTGGGAGAATTTATTTGTAAGGACATATTTCAAATACAGAACAAAAGGCATATGAAAAAAGGAACTTTTTCTCTTCCGTTACCAATATAGTCTCACGCCATGAAAGAGATACTGACTTTCATTACCTAAAACAATATGCAGTTTTTGAAAACAATTACCTCACATAGTTATATAAAAGAATATTAAAAATCTCATAGATAGTAGGTTAACAACAAAAACATTTTGACATGTCCATATTGAACCTTCTACTTAGGAAAGTAACATACTAGATTCTCTCCCTCCCTTCCTAGATAAAGAAGCTGTGTGTACCATTGGTGTGTGCCATTGTTGTTTACTACATGTGTATGTGTCCTCAACAACGTAAATATTAACTTCTTATTATACAAACTGTATGCAGTGGACATCATAATGCATAAATTCAACTTTTTCTCAATGTTATGTTTTTGTAGTTTATCTATTTTGATATGTGTAATGCTAGGTCATTTTTACATATTTCTATCAGGTATTCCATGGCAAGAATGTATCACTGTTTACTTATCCCTTCTGTTTATAGATGTTTAGGTTTCAGTTTTTCTCTATGTTTTAATAATAATTCATATGTGTTTTTCCTGGAGTCATGAAGTAGGGTTTTTCTGGAGTGTATGCTCGTAAGTGGAATTGCTTAGTCTTAGAGAGTGATATATTTTAATGCATTATAAACGTGCTGCCCTGTAAGTTGCACCAATTTATATCACAATCAATATCCTGAAAAATTTCCCATTGCTCTATGTCAGTGCTTCTCACAGATGGGGATGTGACATTCTGAGAGGCACTGGAAAATTTCTAGGGATGTTTTGGGTTGCCGTAATGATTGGAAAGCACTACAAGCACGAAGCTGGTGGATGTTAGGAATGTGAGATGACCAACAATATATGCAACAGTCCCCCCATAAGAATTGTTCTGTTCCTCAGAGGTCTTTTGAAAGTATAACTGGACACCTATCAAGATTGTTTTTTAAAAAGAGATCCTGTGAGTAATTATCAAAGCTATAATGTCAATTATCTTTCATACATATCCAAAGTAGTTTTGCTTAGTTTTAACTTATGCTGAATTTCCAATGATTGGAACCACTGTGACAGTTGTAGAAAGATACATTGTGTGTGTGTGTAGTGACAGATAAGGATCTGTACAAAAAAATTGGTCACTACTTGGAAAAAGTACATCACTAATGACAGAAATGCCCATGGCCATTAAATCCTCTACTAAAAATGTCAGGATTTGTATTCATTGCTGCCCCTTTCATGGTGATATAGAGGCAAATGCCTGACATTATGTTGTCATGCCCAAGCATTGATATATTATACTATATAATCACATTATAAATTACTTTTCTTTATTTCTCCTTGCATATTTTAATTGTGATGCTATATATTATGATACTATCATGTTATATTGTTGGATTTTTGAATGTATGTGTATAGAGAGGTAATATTACCTATGAATTTTATATTAGGCTGCCAAAGCGAACAACGTGTCCAACACATAGCATTAGCAGACATTTCACATTTTGCCAATCAGATGCAGATGAAATATTTTGTTTATATTTTCATTTCCCTGGTAACAATTAGGTTGAACATCTTTTCATACCTTTGGTTAACTGTTTTCCTTGTATGTGTTGTGTGCTCATAACCTTTAAGTTGATTGTATTTTCCTTACAGATTTGGTAAATTCTTAATATATGCCAGAGAATAATCATTTGTCATTTAGATGTATCATAATTTTTTTTGCCATTTGTTGTCCTTTAACTTTATTTTGCCTTTTGTGTAGAGAAGTTTAAATTTTATTTTGTTCTAATTCAGTGTGTTTAAATTATTTTAAAACATTTGTACAAAATGAGTCTCATCTAGCTAAATTCTCTTTTCCAGGAATTTATGTTGAAATATATATGATAAAAATATATACTATAGAATATTGTGCATATATACATTTTTACCTGTTTTTGCAATTTTGAATTAAATGTTAATTTTGAGTGGAAAGTTTTGTGTGTGTGCTTCTTATTTCTTGCTCTTTCCTTCACTTCATCCTCCTTTTCTTACCTGTCATTGATTCATGCATATCAGATTTGCCCACCCTCCTCACTGGACCTCGATCCTTATAGTTGTGGCTCAGATATCTTTCTTGTTAAACTATCAGGGATTTTGTATTTCCTTTTATCCAGCCAGCTGTGATTTGCTGAATTTTCTGTTCACATATCTTTGACCTTGTCTATGAGCTTCCCTGGATTCTTAAGTTTCGGATTTTTTTAAGCTAGTTTCAAAGTATTCTAACTACTGTCCTCTGGCTTTAAACAGGTGATTCCTTACTGAATATCATTTCTATTGTCTGTTCATAATCTTGGAGACCAGCAGGCCTGACACCATCACTGCGCTCACAGTTTTGTGCATCTGTTCTATTTCTGGTCCATGAAAGTATATAATCTGGTTTTTTGAGCCTGCATGAAGTGCTTTTGTTATTGCCATTGCCATTATTTACTCTTTTATATGTTCTTTTATCATTGCTATGTATTTGAAGCATGGGCTTTGCCTCTAGTTGCAAACTTACTACGTAATCTTTAATGGAATTTGAAAATGTATTTTGGGAAAAAAAGAGGTGGACTGTGGATTTATTAAGTGTCACATGTTGAAATATATATCTCTTCCACCTATGAAGGTGGAAACCATGATGATAAGGAAGATATATTCCAGGTTTATGAACAAGCATAACTCTACTCCTTTCCTAAGGCAAGACTGTAATTTCTTAATAACAATCCAAGGTTTCAAGTTAATGGAGCTGCCACAGAGGCAGGGAGTATAACTGAGACCCCCTAAGTGTTTATGTGTTCTTGTTTTACTTATTAATTTTCATTTGTGAGTCTAGGTTGAAAGTGATAATTGTTTAATTGTGCATATTGGCTTTTTCATTTTTTAAATTTAACATTTTGCAATGTTTTTAATCTAAAAGAATACCTCATGCTGTGATAATCAACATGATAAAATGTAAAAATAAATAAATAGCCTACATTTAAACGATTTCTCTTATCTACCAAGAAGTCCTATCTGTTGAATGTAAACTTAATTGCAATGTATTTCCTTAATGGTCTCCTTTAATTGGATACCCTGATATGGTATCTTTGAAAAGTTGAAGTTCCATAACAAAGCATTAGCAGTTAGTTCTTTCAAAGAAGCTTGTAATTAAATGAACACATAGAAATAATATTTTTTCAATATGTAGCTATTAAATGAAAATGAATATACTTTGCTTTGCTTTGAGTTGAATTTCTTTTTGCAATGTTACGAAAGTTTATGCAGAGAGAACATGGTTTGTGAAAACTAGAGCTATTTACACAAAATACCACAAGAAATAAGGAACTATACCTAAAATTTCAGCCTCCTCAAATTTTTTTTCTCCAGATGGGGCTTTGAAATTGCAAACACATTGTACATAGGAATGTATAGTTCAACCTAGTACTGTATTCACATAGGTCAATAAGCACTTTCAATAAAAATGATGAAATTAGCAAAACAATCTGTTTGGCTTCACTCTGAAGCAGAATTATATGGTGTCATTTTTTTGTTCCTTCAACTTCTTGTATTATAAAATATTCTAAAGGTAAAATAAACTAACTGACCTCTAGAAATTACTAAGCATTAACAAAATAATAATTTCTGCATATAATATCTTTTGTTGTTAAGTAACAGATATAGATGAAATTACATTTTTTCTCAACACACTCTCAATCCCTTGTCTGGAGGAGCTACCATCCAAATGTATTTATAAGCCATGAATGATGCGCTATTTGCTTTAGTCTCATTCTGTATTTAACCATCCTGCAACTTTCTTTTTTCACTCTACATTAAAAATCTTCAATATAAATCTGTATCTACACAGATAGAATGCTTTTATTCATTTGTCAACATGTGAAAATTATAAATTCTTCTCCTAATGGATACTTCCAAGTTTTTGATATTACAAAGAGATTTAATTTTGCAAAATTATGGCAACTGAAAGTACTTCACCAAGGGTGTGTGATAACTCCCAATTCTCATCTTCTCTGTAACACTTCACTCAGTCATGCTTCTAAAGGTCAATGACTAAATTTATCCCCAAATTCAAGGCTACCCCAATTAGTGATTAATAAACCCTTTTTTTAAAAAAAATATTCTTTTCATTTATTTTCTTTTTAATTCACTACATATGACTCTCTTTACTTGGTGTAAAATGCCATCTTGAATTTCATATTGATTACTTTATATATATGATTATGATATATTTTTATAATATTCATTATAAAATCTTTAAAATAACTATGCATTTAGGTTGTGTAAGTGGTACTGTTTTACTATATTTCTCATCTTAAAATATATATTCTTTATTATCAAATTTCAATTTTTCTGTATTTCTCCTAAAAAAATTTTTCTGACTTCTTTTTGTGAAACATCTCCAAATTCTAAATAAGAAATTTGTTTCTTTTTAAGTCATCCTGATGAGTGATAATGTTGCTTATCAAAATTTGGCAACATTGTTTAATGTTGGCTTCTTTTTCTTTTTCTTTTTTGTTTTTTGTGGTAGCCACCTGATGATTTGCACATGTGGTGCAAATTACACATTCCTCACTAAATTGATAAATCCAAAGTCTCTTTGAGGTCTCGAGAAAATATGCCACATTTGACAGAATCTGACATCTTTTGAGATCTTGGTAAAATATGTTAAATACACTCTGTTTTTATACACAGGTGGACATGAGATGTTAAACAATCAAGTCTCTGTATCACTTTCCTGAAACAGTTTAAACTGAAGCTCTTATCCAAATCTCTTTAAGAGGAATACAAAGATGCAAAGATTTCCCACTGCATTAAGAATAACATTTCTGAGGCTACATCGATGTCAACCTTTCCCACAGAGAAGCTCTCCTCCTCCTTTCCTAAGCCTTTAATTTCTCAAATTCTTTTCTTCCTTCTCACCATATAAAGGAGAAAAAGAAGGAAATTATCCTACAAAAATTGTGTTCTCCTAAAAAATCATTACTTATCCTCTGCTATCATTTAGTTATATCAAACCCATAGTTTTAAAACCGCAAACCCAATTAAACTGCCATAAAATTCTTTTATATTTCCAATTTTATTATTACAATTATCAGAAAATGTATACAAAGAAACAAGAGAAAATGTAGTTTCTCCTTTATGAGTGAGTTACTCTGTCCTTTGTAAGTTGCTAATGGCAGATTCATAATTTTATGACTGACAATATTAAAGGTTTACAGATATTAGAGCCATATAAATGAAAAAATAACTGCAGTGGTAGCATCACCGGCTCGTTCAGCTTCATAATAACCATTTCAGAATAAAAAAGAAAAAGAGACAATAGATATTTGATTGTAGTGAATTGTCAAACTGAATGGATTTAATCTTTTAACCAGAAATACCTCCAAACAATATTATTTCAAAACAGCTTGGCAATGAATTAAAACAACTATGGAAAAAAAAACAAGTCAAATCTTTGTGTAGACTGAGTTTACTGATGAGTTCAATCAAAATACATGTTCACTGAGGTTGGTCTAGAGCAACCAGTGTTCCAAGGTTGGAAGAAATAACCAGGCCCTAGTGAGAAACGATGATTCAGTCCCATGGATAGCAGAAAACTTGTTTCTCCAAATATTAACCCGTACTCCTCCAAATTTTAGTTGCTAGATCATTAAAAACATTCTTATCAAGCAGTCATTGTCTGAGGCTGTGATTTCTGGTCCAATAAGTTCTACTCTGACTAGCCGGATTGGTTACACTTTTTAAACTATATTTTAAAAATATATATATTATATATAAATTATGTATTATAAATATATAAATATGTTTTAAACATATTTCTCCCACCAATCTATTGTGTATGAATACTTTTACAAAAAAATAAATATATGAAAATACCATGAGCTTAAAATAGATATTACATTTATGAAAATGAAATTAAAGCAGGTATTAAAAAATACAAGCCCGAATGTGTCTTTTATTATTACATGAAAACAGACACAATGCAGTCCGACAAATTACTATAAAAGTTTT
The DNA here is from genome assembly GCF_000001405.40 of Homo sapiens. Classification (NCBI taxonomy): domain Eukaryota; kingdom Metazoa; phylum Chordata; class Mammalia; order Primates; family Hominidae; genus Homo; species Homo sapiens. The sequence goes on along the minus strand of NC_000018.10, from coordinate 40,236,549 downwards.
AAATGCTAACCCTCCATTGATACACTTACCCTGGGACATATGATGCCCTAAAAAATGTTCCCTAAATCCATGCAAATTCATATACTGAAACTTCATCCCCAACATGATGGTATTTGGAGGTAAGGTTTTTGGAAGGTGATTAGGATATGAATAGGCAGACCACATGAATGAGATTAGTACCTTATAAAAGAGGCGGCCCCAGAGAGTTCTCCTTCCCCTTCAACTATGTGAGGACACAACAAAATCGTGGCCATCTATGAACCAGGAAGTGACCCCTCATCAGGCACTGAATCTGACAGTACCTCAATCTTGGAATTTCTAGCCTCTGGAACAGTGATAAATAAATGTATGCTATTTATAAGCCAGTATAAAACAAAAGAAACAAACAAAGGCTTTCATGTACTCCTTCATTGTACAAATGTTTACTGAGAGCTAAATTGTGCTGCCAGTAATGAACAAGACAGGAGCTCCTGCACACAAATAGCTTTTGTTCTAAAAGCGCGACAGAGACTGTTTAGTATCACTTGGTGTGATTTAAAACTAAAAGTTTTACAAAGCCTGTCTTTTAAAGGAGAGTAATTCTTGCCTGGGTGCGGTAACTCACGCCTGTAATTCCATTCCATTGGAAGACTGAGGCGAGAGGATTCTTTGAGGCTAGTATTTGAAACCAGCTTAGTCAACATGGCAAGACGCTGTCTCTAGAAAATAAAAATAAAAAATTAGCTGAGCACTGTGGCAACCACCTGTAGTCCTAGCTACTTGAGAGGCTGAGACGGGAGGATTACTTGAGACCAGGAGCTTAAGGTTACAGTGAGCTCAGCCTGAGCGATAGAGCAAGAGAGCCTGTCTCCCAAAATAAATTTTTAAAAAGAATAGTTTTTAGATCAAAAATGATACGGCTTGACAGATTAAAACACCTCTAGACACATTGTCTTGTTATTTGCAGATTACAGTTCTGCAGCACTTTAGCCCAGTAATGACCAAAGTTCCTGAACAAGCAGCATCAGCCCTACATGGAAGCTAGTTAGAAATTCAAATTACTGAGGCACGCCCCAAACCTACAATATCAGACATTCTGATTCTGATGCCAGCTGAAGTTTGAGGAACAATTAATATGCTCCAAAGTTGTCTGCAGGGCTTACTGCATCACAGATCCCTAGACCCCATTCCCAGAGGTTTGAATTCAGTAGATCTGAAGTGGAGTCTAATAATTTGCATTTTAAAAAAGTTTCCAGCTGTTGCTCATGCTGGCGATCTGGAGACCTCACTTGAAGAACCATTGGCCTATTGCATATTCATTTTGGATAAACATTACATGAAAAGTATCTGGGAAATTCTAAAATCACGAATGTTTGGCCCCCACCTCTGGGCAACTCAAGCATTATCTGCAGGTATGGCACAGAATTTATGTTTAAAAGTGGATTCCATGTGATTCTGATGTATATCCAGAGTCAAGGTAGCATGCTAAGAGAAAATCAACTACAACAGCTCTTTGTGCTACCATATAGCACACAAGTAAAATGCTATTTTCATGAAAAAACATCAAGAATTTGAAACAAAACTCACTGTAAGTTGTTTCCATATAATGCCCCCCCCCAGAGCAATAGTAAAATAAAAAAAATCAGTGAAACATATTATCTAGCATTATCTAGGTCAAAACAATATATTAAAACCCTAGGTATTCTGCAGAATTGAACTTTATAAGCAACTCTCAACTATATTGAAACTTTGTCCAACTGGGACATTCATGTAAATACAACTCTTAACAGTTTTCATTTTGGGGGGAAGATATGAATATCAATCATAGCATACACCTTAATCACAGTCCTACATCTTGAATTATAGTGGACTGGAAATGCAAAAGTATTCACTTTATTTGTTTTGAAATAAATGATAAACCTTGCTTGGTACTGTAACTGTTACTTCCACGAGTCAAGATGAAGTCTGTAACCCATTTCTGGAGTGAAAAGCAAATGGCAATTTATCTAGAAGCACTAATTCTTGCTGTGTCTGGGAGGTTATGGGCCTCTCTTATCAGTGTTTCATTCTGCAGGGAGCCAGTGGGCTTTGGGGGTCTCTTTGTTTATGTTCTTTAGTACTTTTCCATTAGAATAAGCACCAGGTCTTTAAGTTGCTCTGTTTCCCCAGACTAGTCTCCTGTGGCTTTAAAGCTCTCCAAATGCCACAAGTTCTCAATACCCCACCTCCCAACTCCCCTGCAGAATTTGTAAGTGACAAGAAGCTGGAAAAATACAGATGGCATAATTATATATTTTGCAGTTGATTAATCACCACAAAACATTAATCACATTTTGTATAACAATACATAATCAAATTCTTTATAGTAGAAATTAAGTTTCTTTCTGATAGGGAATGGATTCCTTTAGGATATTGACAGAGTTTTTCAGCATCTGTTTGGCTCCCTTTCCACATCTGCATTTGATTTTCATCTGCTTTAGGGCTTAGTAAAATGTGGCTTAAAGGTTGTTTTATGACTATAAATGTATGTGTTAATAGAAGAATTTGTTGAGAAGAAAATATTTGCACAAGTTAGACACTATAAATATTTTTTTCCAGGCCATAACATGTTTCTTTAAAAACCATAAAATTTTGTTTTTTCTAAGAAATAAACCCACTGATATCAATGATAAATTACATATTTTAATAACTATTGAAATAAATACTTAATATTATAATTTGCTTTATATTATTATAAAAGACAACAATCTCTCTGTAACATATACATATCTATATGTAATGTTTTATAGTAGAAGTACCTAATTTATTGATTACTATAAAATAATTATATAGATTATATGTATAAATTCATATGTACATATAATTGATATTTATGATCATTTAAAAATAACTGTGTATTAAAACATATACAAATTTTCCATTGCCACAACTTTTTTATTATTGGCAGTATATAAAACAAAATTATCCTACTTCTTAGTTATGCCAGTCACTCAAAAATTTTTATATACAGCCTTTTACAGGCATAGTTTTTTTTATTTTGTTTCTGGAAGAAATTAGGGAACAAAGATACACATCTTCTGCTTCAAGTTTCTAGTAATACTCTAATAGGAAGAACATGAGTATATGAACCAAGAAATTTTCTACAGCAACATATAAATAATAATATGAAAATTTAATATATACATGCTGTGTGCCTGTGTGTGTGTGTATGTGTGTGTGTATGTGCTATATGTATTACATCATGAGTATAATTACACAGCTGGCCTGTGGAACTCAAAGAGAAATTTACATGATCACATAACTCTGGCATCAAACTGATACTCACAGACAGCATTGATACATATATGCAAATATAATTTATCTCTAAGACACTATTGAAATAAATTGTATGAAGAAAGTAAATGTAGGTTAAAATATTCAGATGAGAGAGAGGATGAATCATGCCAGTGTAATATGGTGACTGAAAAGACAAGGGAGGTGTGCTTATGATAACCTAGAAGAAAGGTCATAGGGCAGGGTAGAGCAGGGCAGAAGACGAGGTGCCTGAAGAGAAAGTGAGAAGGTAGACTCCACCTGAATGAATGGCTCATGTTGAAGAATGGCTAAAACAAAAAGTGATTGCACATTTTGCCAATAAAGAAATGGTGTTTGTATTCAGTTTTAGTTAAAATGACTGTATGCAGTGAGACTTGGATACTGAGTGTAGCCCCTAAAACTGTTCGTACTCCATGATAACTTTTAGCCTAGAGATTTGAGACTTATGGCAGTTACATATGGAAGACTCCTGGAGAATCTGGCACATCCTTTTACCTTGTGGATATATATGGTCCCTTCTGACACACAGGAGCTTACAGCCTGAAATTCCAAGAAGCTGATATAGAGACTTTCATAGGGCCTCTGCTTGTCTAATGGCATGGGCAACAGATTCTACCCTTATTTCATATTCAGCCAATATAGCTCTGGACCCAGAAAGTAAGTGGTGCAGGCTTGATAAGCTTGCCTTTTGAACAAATAACTTGTCGTCTATATTGAGAACTGAGTGTTACTAGCTTTGTGAGGCACTTTTAATGTTGTGAAAACGTGTATACAAATAAAATGATTGATGTCCTGTCAATAGAAACTTCAGGGAGAGTATCAGACAGAGCAGTTTCTTTTGAAGTAAGGATGGTGGAGGTAAAGGTGTTAGATTTTACTTTTCTATCTATCATAAACCCCCAAACATCAATCCAACAAGAATAGAACTTGGTATCTGAACAAGTCAGAGCACAATTTCTTAGCAGTAGACACATCCCAGCAAAAAACACAAAAGCTGGATTTATAAAAATGCATTCATAAGGATTTTATTATAATTTTTTTCCATCACTGGGATGATGTTGGCAGGAATGCTTATGTGTCTTCAAGTTATTTTCTTCTTGCCTTCATTTGTCGTAGGTTTTTTAACTTTCCTTTTAAATGATGAGATTAATATTTCTAAGGACATTTCGTTGTGAAAATATTAAAGTTATTAATATGCAATAAATGGTATTATTTAAAATAGATATAATTGAAAAATGTAAAAAAGTGAAAGAATATGCCACACAATCATTAAAATAGAATATAATTCAGTATGGATCATTTCAAAAGTGCAGAATTTGCAAGCCTCTCATGGAGAAGGTTATAGATGTATATTGGAAGACATTGGAAAATATTTAGGTAAATGAACTCATATGCAATGCTTACAAATAAGAGAATGCAATACTGAATAACAGTTTTCCCCAAATAAACTATAGTTTCAATATAATTCCATTAAAGATCCCAATTGCCCCTGTTTGCAGATGACATGATTGTATATTTAGAAAACCCCATCATCTCAGCCCAAAATCTCCTTAAGCTGATAAGCAACTTCAGCAAAGTCTCGGGATACAAAATCAATGTGCAAAAATCACAAGCATTCTTATACACCAACAACAGACAAACAGAGAGCCAAATCATGAGTGAACTCCCATTCACAATTGCTTCAAAGAGAAAAACATACCTAGGAATCCAACTTACAAGGGATGTGAAGGACCTCGTCAAGGAGAACTACAAACCACTACTCAACGAAATAAAAGAGGGCACAAACAAATGGAAGAACATTCCAAGCTCATGGATAGGAAGAATCAATATCATGAAAATGGCCATACTGCACAAGGTAATTTATAGATTCAATGCCACCCCCATCAAGTTACCAATGACTTTCTTCACAGAATTGGAAAAAACTACTTTAAAGTTCATATGGAACCAAAAAAGAGCCTGCATTGACAAGTCAATCCTAAGCCAAAAGAACAAAGCCGGAGGTATCACGCTACCTGACTTCAAACTATACTACAAGGCTACAGTAACCAAAACAGCATGGTACTGGTACCAAAACAGACATATAGACGAATGGAACAGAACAGAGCCCTCAGAAATAATACCACACATCTACAACCATCTGATCTTTGACAAACCTGACAGAAACAAGAAATGGGGAAAGGATCCCCTATTTAACAAATGGTGCTGGGAAAACTGGCTAGCCATATGTAGAAAGCTGAAACTGGATCCCTTCCTTACACCTTATACAAAAATTAATTCAAGATGGATTAAAGACTTAAATGTTAGACCTAAAACCATAAAAATCCTAGAAGAAAACGTAGGCAATACCATACAGGACATAGGCATGGGCAAGGACTTCATCACTAAAACACCAAAAGCAATGGTAACAAAAGCCAAAATTGACAAATGGGATCTAATTAAACTAAAGAGCTACTGCACAGCAACAGAAACTACCATCAGAGTGAACAGGCAACCTACAAAATGGGAGAAAATTTTTGCAATCTACTCATCTGACAAAGGGCTAATATCCAGAATCTACAAATAACTCAAACAAATTTACAAGAAAAAAACAAACAACCCCATCAAAAAGTGGGTGAAGGATATGAACAGACACTTCTCAAAAGAAGACATTTTTGCAGCCAACAGACACGTGAAAAAATGTTCATCATCACTGGCCATCAGAGAAATGCAAATCAAAACCACAATAAGATACCATCTCATACCAGTTAGAATGGCGATCTTTAAAAAGTCAGGAAACAACAGGTGCTGGAGAGGATGTGGAGAAACAGGAACACTTTTACACTGTTGGTGGGAGTGTAAACTAGTTCAACAATTGTGGAAAACAGTGTGGCGATTCCTCAGGGATCTAGAACTAGAAATACCATTTGACCCAGCCATCCCATTGCTGGGTATATACCCAAAGGATTATAAATCATGCTGCTATAAAGACACATGCACACGTATGTTCATTGCAGCACTATTCACAATAGCAAAGACTTGGAACCAACTCAAATGTCCATCAATGATAGACTGGATTAAGAAAATGTGGCATGTACACCATGGAATACTATGCAGCCGTAAAGGATGAGTTCATGTCCCTCGTAGGTACATGGATGAAGCTGGAAACCATCATTCTCAGCAAACTATCACAAGGACAAAAAAACAAACACCGCATGTTCTCACTCATAGGTGGGAATTGAACAGTGAGAACACTTGGACACAGGAAGCAGAACATCACACACCGGTGCCTGTTGTGGGTGGGGGGAGGGAGGAGGGATAGCATTAGGAGATGTACCTAATATAAATGATGAGTTAATGGGTGCAGCACACCAACATGGTACATGTATACATATGTAACAAACCTGCACGTTGTGCACATGTACCCTAGAACTTAAAGTATAATAAAAAATAATAATAATAATAAAGAAAGAAAGAAAAAAGAAAAAAAAACTGGACCAGGAAGAGTGGGGAGGGAGTGGGAAGCATGAAGGACAGAAGTAAGAAAATCCAGATGACAGGTGATGCTATGTTGGGGAGGGGGAATGAAGTGCCAACAGTGGAAATAGTGGGAAGTGAATCCATTCTAGAAATACTTTGAAGGTAGACTCAGCTGGATTCACTGGCTGATTGGCTGTGAGTTGTAAGAGAGTGGGATCAACCCTAAAGTGGAATGAAGTGCTGATACAAGCTAAAACATGCTTGAACCCCAAAACGCTTGGCTAAGTGGAAGAAATCAGGTAATCTAAGTTGTTGCCAAGAAGGACAACAACCAAGGCTATTTGGGAGGGCGGTGAGTTTCACTTTGGGCTTGTCAAGTTTGTGGTGCCTATGGGACAGTTAGAGAGCGATAGTCTGCAGTTTTGTTTTGTTTTGTTTTGTTTTGAGACAGAGTCTCACACTGTCACCCAGGCTGGATAGCCTGTCCACATATTGTATGATTCAATTCATGTGAAATGTCCAGAATAGGTAAATCCATGTAGATGGAAGGCAGACTGGCGATTGCCAGGGGGTAGTGGGAGACGGGAGGGGTGTAACTGCTTAATGAATATGGGGTTTTCTTATAGGGTGATACAAATGTTTTGGAATTGGAGGTGATGGTTGCATAACATTTGAGTGCACTCAGTGGTACTGGATTGCTCACTTCAAAATGGTTAATTTTATTGCTTGAGGCCAGGAGCTCAAGACCAGCCTGGACAACATAGTGAGACCCACCCCCCCGCCCAACCCAGCCCATCTCTACAAAAATAAAAAATTAGCCCAGCTTGATTGCATGCACTCGTAGTCCCAGCTACTTGGGAGGCTGAAGTGGGAGGATCACTTGAGCCCGGGAATTGGGGGCTGCAGTGAGCTGTGATCGTACCACTGCACTCCAGTCTGGATGACAGAGTGAGAACTCACCTCTAAAAAAATAAAAAATGAAATAAAATGGCTAATTTTATGTTCTATGAATCTCACCTTAATAAAATAAAGTGGGGGAGGGGTTGAAAAAAAGCCTCCAAAAAAAAAAAAACCCCAACAGGATTTTTAAAGCCAACAGGCTTTTAAAAAATATTATTACCTGATGCTAAAATGTGTATGGAGGAGAAAAGTAGAAGAATAAACAATACACTTACAGTATTAAAAATGGTCAAACACTACCAAATATCCAGATTTATTATGTAGTTACAGTAACATATAAAGAAAAAAAATGGGAGTAAGAGAGTATAGATAAGAAACCCTTTAGAGTTGGAATCAGACCTACATCTCAAATTGCTTAGGGACCAAGTGCACTGCTAGGTAGCAAGAGAGAAAACAAAGTCATCAATAAATTTTGCCAGAAGAATCACTTATCCATAACATTTTAAAAAATGGAATTTGGATCTTTACGCCATACTCTTAACAGGAATCATTGAGGTAGTTTAAAAATGTAAATGTAAGTATCCAAATTATAAATACAAAACTACAAAAAAATCGGGGAATCTCTAAAAGACCTTGCTGCTATGGCTTGACTGTGCCCGCCAGATTTCATGTATTGGAGGTTTGATTCCAAAATTCATATGTTGATTGGAGGTGGAACCTTTGGGAGATAATTAGGGTTAGAAAAGGTCACAGGGGTGAGGAGCCTCCCTGATGAGACTCGTGGCTTCACAAGATGAGAAAAAGAGATTTACACTGACACACAGGCACATTCTCACCAGCTTACCATGCAATGCGCTCTGCCATGTCTTAATGCAGGAAGAAGTCCCTCACAAGGTGCCAGCACCATGCTTTTGGACTTCCCAGCTTTAGAACCATGAGCTAAATAAACTTTCTTTCTTTATAAATTACCCAATTAGTGGTATTCTGTTATAACAACAGTACAAAAACACTTACATAGAAAATAATCTCTTAAACAAGACTTAATAGATGTAAATCATAAAGGACAAATAAATGTGAACATATTAAAATTAACTTTTCCATTAATCCAAAAAGTTATTAAGCAAATAAAAAAATACAAACTGAAAGAAGATATTTCATACGTATATAACTAACAAAGACTACCTACAAAATATATAAAGAACTCCTAGAAAAAGATTTTTTAAACACCTGTGCACCTGCCCCCAACAAAGACACTATAAGCAATGATCTGGCATTTCACAGAATAGGAAAGAAAGATATCATGTGAATTATATGAAAAGACCCTCAATTTCTCAATAATCAACAGAGTGAAATTTAAAGTCTCTATAATAGAGTATTTCATGCACAATGCGCTGGTATAACATATAGAAGTCAGACAAGTATTGGTGCTGTCTGGAAGCAATTGATTTTTACATACTGCTGGTGGAAGTGAATATTGATCACTTTAGCAAATAATTTGGCATTTTCTATTAAAAGAAATGATTCTCACACCTTGAGATCAGTCATGCCTCTTATGTATTCTAGAGAAATTCTTACACATGTGCACTTGGAAGCATGCACAAAGATATGCATAGCAGCACTGTGGGTACTAACAGTAATCACAAAAACAAATAAACTACCACAGTTGTACTTCCATAAAAAGAATGATAAACACATTGTCCTATATGTAATGCTCTAAAACAGTGAAAATAAATGAACCAAAGCTAAGGTGCAATGTCATCTTAGAACATTTATCTCCATAACCACAACTATGAAAACTAGTATACAGATTTATGCATTTATTCATTTACCATAAATACATTTGGTGCATGTATTTCTCTTTTTGTGTAGACTACCGCATTGTATAGACATGAACTTCAAACTAAGACCCTTCCTGGTGCAAGTCTCGATGTTGCAAAATCAAAGCAGGACAATCCCTGTATCTCTTCTGCATCATCCTTGGCTCCTGGTCACCTTCATTTCAGTTTGTTCTGTGCATTTAGGACCTCACAGGATATATTTTTCCAAATGTGAACCAGTTATCTTGCTAATGAGCAGCAGCTGCATCTTTATAATTTCCATTCATCGTATCTTTAGATGTCCAATGTGACTTCAACTTCTTAGGGCTAAATCTATTTCTTTACTAAATCCTTTAAGTACGTGAGATTGGCATCTTGGCCCTCCATAATTTGGATCATCTGTGTCCTATTCTGGATGTTTTCTACTTGGCCTTCCTAAAGAGAATGTCCAGATTAAAGTTCTAAAATTTCAGAAGACAGAAGAACACCTCAAAAAACAATGGGAGCATTTGGTAGGGCCTTTCATCTGAGGCTTTAGGTTATTCTCTCCGATCAGGCATTATACATTCATCTATTCATTTGTCTAGTGATGAGAGCTAGAGAATCAAAATCCAAACTCAGCCCATGTTAACAAGAACTCACAACATGGGAATGAAGGATATTTTTTATTGATTTAATCCAAAATTATAATAGCATTTTTAGCAAAGGGAACATTCTCAATTCTAACTGGGGTGTCTAAATGCCATTTGCTACAGCAATCTACTGCAGATGATTTAAATGATTCTGTCTGTCACAGTTCCTCAGGAAATAGATTCTGAAGCAGAAATGTGCTTACAGAAGGTTTACTGAGTAGTATCTTTAAAAATAATATCTTTAAAGGAGTGAGGAAAGTAGAACTGGGTTGAAGAAGATACTGAACTCATGCAGTTTCAACAGAGCCCTCAGCCAACCTCATAGAGATTTATAGAGCTGAGATGGCTTTTCAGAGGTGTCCTGACTTGAGGTGCAAGACAATCCCTTGTACCCCAGCATTAAATATTCATTAGATCTGTGCTGACCCTAGAAAGGACGGCTATCCTTGGAAGATGGATTTCTTTCATCAGAAGGCAACTTCCAGAGGAAAGGATGCTCCAGATAGTTGGGAAAATTAGGGCTGTGGTCCTGAAGGAGCATGTGGGCACACAACAGTATTCATTCACAATACTGTAATAATACTGTACATTTAGAATACTTGCAAGGTCAAAATGCACTGCAAGATAACTTTCTATTAATTTATTCAAGTTATTCCACGAAATGTGTAATACATCTTATCTTTCCTTCGTAAACAAAATTTTCCTTTGTAAATAAAATTCCCCAAACTCAAATCCATCTTCCCTTTGTTTTGTATTATTTCAAAGAAAAACATTTCACTGGAATGAGTTTATGGGAGTGTCTGATGGAGGTGGGAGAGGGATTATAAGAAAGAATGGCAGTGGCATCTAATAAAGAAATAAATAACAAATAAATAAAGATGTATGTATTTATTATTTTTATAAAAAGCTTATGTGACAAGCTTTTTAATAAAAATGTATACTTACATAGATTAATAAATTTGCTGCCCATTTTGAAATAACAATTATCTCTCCAAATCCCAGAAACAGAATTACATGAGCTGAATTTCAAGAATAAGCAAATGAACACTCTAAATTCTATTCTTGACTTAGCTAACTCTTACATATCATTCAGGTCTCAGTTAAATATCAATTCTTGATTAACTGTTTCTTAACCCAATACCAGAGGGGCCTCTTCCTGTCACCTCTACATCTTCCTGCTCCTGCAGCATCACGAAGGCCCATATTCTAATAATGGAGTACAGGAAATGCTGCCCCAAAATATGACACCTTGACATATTGAGTATTTTAAACTGAAAGAAATTGAACAAACTTCAGAAGCAGGATGGTCTCCCTAACCGTCTATCATCTTAACATACCCCAGTTATACTCGTTAACCCCAAACCTGTTTTTCCCACAGCTCTTCTCTGTAACTGGCAGTTCCATCCTTCTAAGGAGTCAGGCCAAAAATCTAGGTGTCGCCCTTAACCTTCTCTTTTTTTTTCACATTATATGTCTATTTCATCAGTAAATTCTATATGTTGTAACTTGAAAATATATAAAACAGGTCTTCTGAACTTTACTACTAATATCCTGGTCAAAAGCAATGTTACTTCTCACCTAGACAATTATATACTGTGTACTATCGTCTCCTTACTTCCACAAGATCCTGCCCCCTACAATACATATTCAGTCCAAGAGCCAAAATGATGTTTCTAAAATAAGAGCCAGATCACTTCTCTTTAGACCATTTAAAATATTCCTTTTTTTAATTACAGTAAATATTCCACTTCTTTCAGTGTTCTGTTCAAATATCACATTCACCTTGAGGCCTTCTTTTATTACCATATGTAACATAAAACCTCCCTTCCAAATGGCAACCATTCTCTTGTGTGCTTTATTTTTCTCCATAGCACATATCCACTTCTCATATGCTATCTGTTACCTGTCTATTTGTTTATTATTTGTCTCCATCTCTAGACTGCAATAGTCATAAGGGCAGAGATTTTTTATTTTGTATTTTTCTATGTCCCCTATGCCTTAAAAAAAAATGCCCGGCCTATAGTAAATGCTAAGTAAATGTTTATTTGATATATGAATGAATATATAGATGAATACATACATGGACAAATTATCAAAAAATTTTGAGTGCCAATTATAGGTTAATAGCTTTGTATAAAATAGATAAAAACAGAAAAACATACTCCTAATGTAGTTTATATTCCAGCAGGAGATAACAGTTGATACATAAGCAAACAAAGAAATAAAACCAGTTTTTTATAGGTAGTAATAGCGCTGCCTTTGTTATTAAGTGAATAAGTACAGTGATATAATGGAGATTAACTAGAATGGAGATTTCGGCTGATTTAGAGAGGTCTATTCCAGGACCTCTTTAAAAAGTGGTGATGTTTAAATTAATATTGGAAGAATGCCAGAAAGAGCATTCTTCTGGCATTCAAAGAAGAACAAGAACAAGGCAAAGAGAAGTAGAAAGATGTCAAGAAAAGAGAGAGTTTGGGGAGCAAGATGTCCAACACACTTGCATGTGACAAGGACTCTTTCACTGCAGTGGTTCATAAACAATGCCAGTTCAAGCAGAAAACCCATTCTATAGCAATTTTTTTTTGTTGTCTCAATTGACCACAAGCCCATGGTAACAATGCCATTTCTCATTCTATGGAAATGTTGGGGCTTAAAATATGATACCCTAAAATATGGTGCTTTGACATGCTGGACTAAAGAAGCAGCCTCAAGACCTCTCTGACTCCTGCCCCAACCCCATCCCTTTTGTCTATTAGTCCTCTGTCTCTCCCAAAGCACAGAATGAGGCTGTTCTCTGAAGCTCCCTTATCTATGGAGAAACCAGATCTCCAAAAAAGGAATGCAATTGCTTTCCATCTCTTCCCTGAAATTTCATTAACCAGAGAAGATTAAAATTCATATAACAGAGAAAGAGACTGAAAATTAAACACCACACCTAGGGCCCAGAAGGATTTCAAACTTTGTCCCAAGCCATATTTTGTTCGCTGATCCCATTCAATTTTGAAAGAGTATCATTCACAAGATAATGTCTGCCTCCTGAGTCCATTCTTTCTCCCCTAAAAGTTATTTCCTTCTATACTCCACCTCCCCTTCCCCTATAAAAAAGTATATAAGCATCTACACTCCATTGAGTTATTGGGCATTCTCCTGCAATTTCCCAGTGTTATGCATGTTGAAATGAATTTGTATGGCTTTTTTTTTCCTATTGATCTGCCCTTTGTCAGTTCATTTTGTGTGAACCTTCAGTGAGTGAAGAGAAAATCTCCCTCTTGGCCCCTACAGGTTTGGCACAGGGAACAGGGTAAACCAAATCTACTCTGCTCTTCTGTGAGCTGCAGTCAAGGGAACCCAGGACCTGACAAGCCAGCAAAAGGGTCTTACCAGTCAGATTTCCGGTGGATCTCTGCCTATGGAATTTTGTCCAGCAGACAATAAAAATTCTGCTTGTCTCTTTTTTCTTTCCAAATTTAAGATTAATGCAAGAAAAGCATTTGTATGACTCATCTTAGGTTTGGCAACTCTTGTGTGTGTGTTTTATAAATATTCACATGATATGATCCTTTTTTCTCCCAGAAATAGTCTGTTTTTTCCTTTGTCTTTGACTTCCTGTCATTTTGTAATAAAGAGAGGTACCATGGGGTAGAAATGGGAGCCCCCATAAGCCCATTGTGTGAGCCTTTCACAAACTGGTAAGTTTCACAGTTTTCATCAGACCAGCATCTGTTTAGATAACTTGTGCTCTGGATCCTCAAAATAAAAACCAGATAAGGTTGCCCTCTAGTCTTGTTTTATGTCCTTGAGAGCTTGACTTATGACCAAGTGAGAGCACTCTCTCTTGGTCTCCACCACTCAGGAGTATGTGATTCTCAGGTCATGTTCAGTGGACGGGCTGAAAGGTCTGGGAACCCCAACACATATAAAATATGAAGCAGCATACTCTTTATTCTAAACATGCCAAGCTCTCAGAGGAGTTTATCTTAATTTAGAGTCTCATACAAAAGGGAATTTTGTTGTCTCAATTTTGTTGCTTGTTTAGTGCAGGGAAAGTCTAATCCCAGACATGCCTGCCCAATGTCACAGATTTAGTGGGTCTGGGACCAACATGTTTACATGTCCATGTGCTCAGGAGGAGATTGGAGTTATTATCCCCACAAACATCATCCTTAACTGCCCATCGTAACGAAGATCCTTTGCTATGTTAGCATATCTCTGGAAGTAAATTTTGGTGGAAGTTGGGGGCTGCCTCTTCTATGCCCCCTCCAGAAATATGTGTTGCTTATATGGTTAAAACTTATTCTAAGCCTGGAAAATTAATTCCTGGTCTTTCTATGAAGAGGTTTATTGGACTGAGACACTATTGACATAAATGCACAATTAGAAATCCTCATTGTCAATGGTCAGACAACAGAACTTTCGATTTAAAAAAGATTTATACATTTGAAAATACTTTTGCAGATATCTCACCCTAAGCAATTGCCTTATTTGTATTTATGGGATGATCAAATTTTAAAAGACACATAATAATGTCATACCTAGCCTCAGAAACAGTTTTGAGAAAATTAAACAAAACAAAAAACAGAAGTATGACCTAGAACCAAAGTTAAAATCATTTATACACTCAAGCTCCCTACTTTTATTCTCTGCATGATTTACAAAACTGCCATTCCAGTCTGTGGTCTGGTAGTTAAGATTTCATTATTTTATTGCTGTAGCCTGGGTTTAACTCCTGGTCAGAAAACTGGTCCCCTAGAAATGTAAATAATTATGTGACTCAAAAGAGACGCCTTCAGCCACCACTCAAATCAGAAGCCACAAGCAAGCCTGGCAGGTGCTCCTGCAGAGTAGCTGCTGTGGCTCCCTCCACCTCCGTTCCCTTGGCTCAGGTAAAAGGCTGTCTGCTCAGACAGCAAAAAGTTTGCTGCTTGTCCTAGATAAAAATCTAATAATAAAATATTTAAAAGCTTTCCTTTCTTAAAGCTCTATGGGCAGAAGTTGGCTTAACTAATAGCCAATGTTTCAACATATACATGTATTTTTAACTTCTTTGTTCTCTTTTGAATTCTATCTGTCACATGGAAATGTCTTAGTTGACTAGACCCACCTGCCTCCCACTTTTTTCCCCACTCTAACCTCTGTTAACTGAAAACTTAAGATCTCCCCAAACTGCCTCCTGTAAGACTTGTTCTTTCATTTACTTCTGCCCTTCCTTTCTTTTGCCACATTTAATACCACTTGAAGGAATCTAAAAGAGACTTCTAGTGACTCTAAAACCATCTGAAGCACAACAAAAACAGCATCACTGACCCCCTCTTTTGGAGTCCTCTGTCTTTCTCACAGAAAACCAAGTGTCATAAACAGGTTCCTCTCTGATCTAAAGTCCTACTCTCTTTCACACTGAGGTCCCTGATCTCTTTGGCTTTTGAATACATGTGCAGATATGTGTGTTATATGTCTACTACATGTGTGTATATATCTGTACATGTGTTTGTGTATTGTCTAGATGGCAACAAATAGATTTAGCATTAACATTCATAAATTAAGTGAATAACTAGCTCAAAGTCTTTTAAATTCGTGTCATTTTAATAATCTTTGGTAAATAAAGTTAGTTTAAAATTTTAAAAAAATCTGATTTCAATGTAGGCATTTTTGCTTGGGCCTATGGGCCAGAAAGATTTATACTGTCTCTAATAGGTGTTATAAGGTCATAAAATAGTTGCTTCTATAATATTTTTGACCCTTGCTTGATTTGTCTGTGAGTTAAAGCTATGAGGGCTGCCTTCTGGGTCCCCATATAGCCTTGGACAAATCTTGCTATGAGCTTATGTCTTTGGTTTTGAGCCTTTTGATTCTAGGGTCAGATATGTGGCCAGGGTGAGGCCTGCAGACATATGTGTGTCTGCAGCACCTGGGCTATCAGCTATACAGTAGAGCCAAATCTGATATGGCGCCATCCTCCATTGCCCAGCTCTGCCTCTTGGTCATACTGAGAGGAGCTGGATAATCCAAGAGTCACCTTCACAGTGCTGTCCTCAGTCCGGGGCTCCACACCTATTGTGTAAATCCAGGCTCAAAATAACAGTTAATGAGGCAGGATGAGCCAAGTTTTGCTTTTGTTAAAAAAAAAAAAAAAAACTTAAATGGCTAACTTTAATTTTCAAAAACAACTAAAATGTATTTGTTAAAAGTGAATACATTAGGTAAATATAAATAGGATAAATGTTCTCAAATGATCGTGTCATAGTTTCAAAAATCTTTCAGTAATTTAAAATCAAAATCATGTAATGCTAAATCAAGTAATAGATAATCATAAAATATCTGAGTCATTTATATTAAAGAAATAAATAAAATACTAGAACATAAACTACTATATATAGCTGTAAATGTATTTGCTTTCTAAATTTATTTTAAAAATAAAATATTTGGGTATGTGATTAAGTATGTTCTATTCTACATAAAAGTGTTCTATAAAAAGCTTGTATTTCTAAAAATTATAAAACAATTTTATTTTACAAATACTAATATGATACAAATTTAAATCGCTTACTTCCTAGATTTATCATGGTAAATTAGAGTTATTAAAAGTTAAAATTGTAATTAATATATGTAATTGAAACTACTAAAAATAAAGAAAAGTATGCAGAGAGGATAAGATATATTTTTGGTGAAGAAGATTTGAAAAAGACATAAGAATGGGGTTTTTATGACAGGTAATTTATCTACACATTATTTAAATGTTGTTTATAAATAAAGAAATAAAATGATATAAATAAAACAACAAATAAAAAATATGAGTTATAAAAAGTAAATCTCCTAAAATAAATTTTATGTGTAATCAAACTCACTAAAATTAAATAAATGTATTATAAATATTCCTTTTTTTAATTGAGCCTTAATATCAAAAGTACACTAACACAAAACTAAGACGTGGTGTTCTCCTTTAAACAACCTTTTTCTGGCCAGGTGCGGTGGCTCATGCCTGTAATCCCATTACTTTGGGAGGCCAAGGCGGGCAGATTAACTGAGGTCAGGAGTTCCAGACCAGACTGACCAACATGGTGAAACCCTGTCTCTACTAAAAATACAAAATTAGCCAGGTGTGATGGTGCATGCCTGTAGTCCCAGCTACTCAGGAGGCTGAAGCAGGAGAATCACTTGAACCTGGGAGGTGGAGGTTGCAGTGAGCTGAGGTTGTGCCATTGCACTCCAGGCTGAGCAACAAGAGCAAAATTCTGTCTAAAAGACAAACAAATAAACAAACCAAAAGCAAAAAAAAATTTTTTCTGTAATAGTGATAAAAGTCAATATTTTTTGTTCACCATTTGAATAAACTAAAAATTACTGAAAAGACAAAGAGAAATTCTGTATGCCTTACTGTCTTTTATTAAGTCTTCTGATTATTTAGAAAACTATGTGTCTTCTTTATGAAAGACTGAAGATATTTGCTTTTTGAAATATTTTAATAATCACTTTGGCTAAATTAAAGACTTTTATGTTACAATAATGTGACTTTATTCTGAGTAAGTGTTTTAAAGACTTATTTTTGAAAAAAAAAATTCCTAAAATCAATATTAAGTCTTTTTGACTGCAAACTAAGTTTGGGATGGTCCGGAGGACCTCTTAAGCATCTGAAAGAGATAATAATTGACTAATATAATTGCTAGATTACATGGGAAACAGTTTCAAATAAGAAATAATGTTTAACTTTCTTTGTTATATTTGTATGCAAGTTCTCAATATATTTTCCAAAATTATATAATATTATATAAAATGCTAAAATTCTGATATGTATTGGTATACGTTATCAGTCATAATTATGATTAGTACATTTGATTGTTGTAGAACATTGAAAATGACAAAATTTCCTTGTCAATTGTGTCTTTAACTATGGCCATTTGAAAACTTGGCTTCCTACAGTAAATTTCTTTCTTCTGATTTCTTTTTTTCTGAAACCACTTTGCAAATCCTAGTGCTGTTTCTTCAAGGAGGTTGATGGAAAAGACTGAAACAAGTACCCTTAAACTCAGGTTTCTGACAACTTTGGGAACATACCATTTGACTGGGTAAAAATTCTAAAACTTTAATGAAAAATAAAAACTGGACTCATAAAATTGCTTACTTGACATCAAGCAGAACAAGAATATGTGGGGCTGAACTAATGAAGGACTAAAATGATTTCTAATGATGTTTTATTTGACACATTGTTGATAAAATATTTTGTTTTCTAGAATTAAGAAAACTTTTTCATTTTAACCTATCTATAGATTTACAGCAACTTAGTCAAGTATTCTTAGTAAGAAAAACTGAAACATTTACCTTTCTCTCCATCTGATTCCTCTGAAATTCAGAAATTATTTGTGAATATTCTCGTTTTATGAAAATTTAGTTATTTGTATGAGGTCAAATAGAGTATTTTTATGTTTTTGTTTTTGTTTTTTGTATCAGGACACAATTGTAAATACTGACCATTTCAAAAAGACTTTGACTGAAATGTCGTATTTTCAGATATGACCACACTACTTTGAGATAATACAGTTGCCTTTTATGAAGAAAAAAAAAAAGTCCCTTCAACAAAATTGGTCTGGCACTTTGTATACCTAGTTTTCTTACAGTGTTCAAGATCTTGTGGTAGGTAAAGAATGTCACTTTTCAACAGGCCCAGGAATCTCAAGATATTTTGGAAACCTCAAAGAAAGAGAAATATACCCAATTTGTACAGGTATTTTAGACCAAGTCTGATGAGTTGGCTTGGCTACTAAGTCATTGACTTGCCTCTTAACCCTCATGAGACCTTTTAAAAGTCTAATCTGAAGTTTCCTATAAATAAATTCCAGTAAAGAAAAGTTAAAAAGAGCCATAGTCAAAATATATAGTCAATTTAGCACAATTCTTGCTAAAGTTATGTAAATAATGAGATTAAAGACTAAACTTATTTTGCAAACAAATTAGTCTTACTGTGATTATCTTTGGTAGAAATGGGAGTCAGGGAGAAAAATTATATTTTAGAAGAAAACTATATTGCACCTGTTACTCAGTTCTAGATCCTAGCCCAGCCCTTGTGTTTGAGATCTTATTACTTACCTACAATCTGGACTGGATCCTGAATTTTTAATTTACTCCAATATCTGGCTGTGACTTTCCAAATTAGCATTTTCCTTTTTTTTCTTCTACTCTTCTGGTTTAGAAGCACTAAATATTAAAACTGTCCTTTAAAAAAAATTAGAGCAAGTTAGCCAACGTGGCTTTGAAGAAAAATTATTACAACAGCTTATATTTGGATACACTTTGTATATACAAACTACAAACCAGAAAAATCTGTGAGATAGGCACTGATCTCAAAGGACTCTCCTCCAAATTCTAAATAAACTAGTTTATAGACTACTACAGATATTAACTTTGTTTTTCTTCTGTTTTCATAGAAATCCCTTTTATTAATGATCTGTTTGCCTACATGATATATAAATGCCTGGCTTTGACAGCCTATCTGCAACACCATCTTATAAGATAAAACACAACTGTTTAATTAGATGTCCTATTCCCAGGAAGGGAAAACTGTTTAAATGGGATCCTCTGACATTCAGCTATGAGCTCAATTTTTTCCTCCATAGCCACTAACTCATTTTAAATATGTGAAACTTACAGGGACATTTTAAACAAAGAAAAGTTGGTGATCAGAGACTGACAGCCCAAAATATATTGCTATGACATGCTAAACTAAAGAAGTAGCCTAATGTCCTCTCTGACCTTCATCCTCTCCTCTGTATCACAATACATTGTCTCTTCCAAAGCATAGAATGAAGCTATTTTCTGAAGCTCCCTTATCTGCCTAAAAACCAGACCCCCAAAGAAGAAAACAATTCCCTGCAATACTTTCCTTGAAATGTTATTAATAAAAGATTAAAACTCCTATTACAGAGGAAGATATTGAAAATTAAGCATCACACCTAGAGTCTAGACAAACTTTGAACTTTATCCCAAACCATTATTTTTCTTTCTTGAGTCCCATTCAATTTTCAGAGACTCCTTCACAAGATAATGTCTGTCTCTTGGGTTCATTCATTCCCCCCTGAAATCATTTATTCCTATGCCCCAATCTCCCTTCCTCTACAAAAAAGGGTATATAAGCATCACTAGGTTACTGGTGAGAGAGGAGGAAGGAAGAAACCACTCAAGCAGACAGTTTGGGCGGGTCCTCAGTTGAGTTCTTTCAAACAAAAAAAACAGCCTGCAGGCACAGAACTCGGAAAAGAAAGGAACTTGCACAGGGATGCTTGCCTGAGACATGTCCACAGCCCCAGATATAGGAAAGGCTATGTAAGAGACTTGCCCAAACATACCCACAATGGAAAATTCCATCCCTTGACATATGCACAGTAAGGGGAATAAAGCAACATGGAGTAACACAAGCTGAGGGCTGGCATGTGCACTACGAGGAAGGGGTAGAGCTACCACACAAATTCGCAACTTATGCAAATGAGACACCCAGCCCTCATTGGTTTCTTATAAAAGCCCCTGTATTCAACTGTGAAACAGCAACTGTTTTGGGGAGGCCCTTTCTGCGGCAGTGAGCATTCGCTCTTTCTTTCACTTATTAAACTTCTGCTCTAACCTTACCCTTGGTGTATCCACATCCTTGATTTCCTTGGCCATGAGACAAAGAATCACACCCCAGAAAACAAGGCCAGCTTCACTGGGTCATCACTTCTCTGTAATTCCCCCATGCTATAAACATTAAAATAAATTTGTATGTTTTTTCCCTTCTATTAAGCATCTTTTGTAGTTCATTTTCAGTGATCCTTCAGTGGGTGAAGAGGGAAGCTTTCTCTCCTTATCCCTATAAGAATGGTACCTGACATAGAGGAATCTTAGGAAAATGTTTATTGAATAAATTTTATGAGCCAGGCAAGTATAGCTTGCACATGAGGCAAGTCACTTTAGGTGGAGAAGAGGGTCAGTGAAATTAGATAGTATATTGTCAAAATGGTTCAAAATTTTTGTTGTATATTGTAAAGTTTTATTAGGAAATAACTTTAAAAATCCAAAGTACTATCACTGTTGCTGCTATTGTTCTTTTTCATTTTGTTTGAGGGTTGGTCATTTGGTGGTAAATTTTGGTTTGACAGGTATTGAGGACTTGGGGAAAAGTTAATGAAGTAATTCAGAAAAGAATGCATTGAACCAATGTTCAATGTGCTAATGATTTTTTTGCTGTTTCCAGAAGTAATCAGAATTTCATTTTAATGATGGTTGAATCCAATTTTTCTCAATATTAATTAAGTTTTGGTTGAAGCATTTACAAAAAATAAAGAATAAACTTCAGAAAATAAAAAATTATAAAATATTATACACTAAAAAAACATTAAATATTTTCTTATTTAAGATTTTGATATTTCATTTGGTTTATCTTATCTACTTCTTATTCCTTTCAGAACTTTTCAATAGCTTTTGAAATTTTTAAAAGGTTAAAACTTTTTAGATTTTATTCCCAAATTATTCAAGCCTAAATGTTACATTTTAATGATGAAAATACATATTAAATTATATTTAAATAGTGAATTGAATAAAATTAATACTGGTGTACAATTAATTTTATAATCCTAAATTTAAAAATATTTTTGTAATTAAAATTTAAATTATATAAATATAAAATTTAAATTTAAAAATTACCCTAGTCATATTGAATTTAAAGTTATTTTTATTTTAAATTAAATATTAATTTTTTTAAATTCAGAAGCATTTGAAAGAAATTACCAGAAAAATCCTATCACATAAGACGTTGCTAACCTTTGGAAGCCATGAAAGTCAGTCTGAATAATTCCACTTGGTAGCAGTTTGCACAAATAGCCAACATCAAAAGGTTTACTCAGTCAATGATAAGAAAAGAAAGTTCATATTATCAGAAAGAATTATTATATCCCCCTATATGATTGCAATCATAAATTTGAAGTATATTAAATATAAATGCAAAATTTTAAAGAAAGAATTAAATGGTTTGAAATGCCAATAATTCTTAGGCTAAAAACTAAAGATTGCCCAGGTCAGGGGATCACTCGAAGTCAGGAGTTTGAGACAAGCCTGGCCAATATGGTGAAACCTCGTCTGTAATAAAAACACACAAAAAAAACATTACCTTGGTGTGGTGGTGCATGCTTGTAATCCCAGCTACTTGGATGGCTGAGGTGGAAGGATTGTTTGAACTCGGGAAGCGGAGGTTGCAGTAAGCCAAGACTGTGCCACTGCACTGCAACAGAATGAGACTCCATCTCAAAAAAAAAAAAAAAAAAGATTGACAAAACAAAAAGTGAAATAGAAGTTTAGAAACATACCAGCTCAATCTTAAAATGTAAAATAAAAAAGCAGAAAAATACATGCCAACATTTTTGTTACTGTGATAAAATATACTTTTATAAAACATTTACTATTGAATATTCCTAGTAAAATTCTTATAGGTTCATTTTTAAAATATTAAACTTTTGGTGAAATAGTTATTTGGGAAATTAATCATTTGATGAATCAACTTTCAGCTGTTTCTAGTGAATTGACTCACAGCTAAATAATAATCACCTAAACCAAAGTTATGAGATTAAAATCTCATGGAAAAGAACAAAAAGTTGTGAGATATGAATACCAATTAAAAAAATAGAGTCAGAGACAGTTAAACCATTTGCCAAAGTCTCCCAGCTAGTTAGTATCCAAACTAGCACAGAGTTCAAGTGAACAGATTTGTCTTCTGGTGTCTTTTCAGCTTTGTAACCCTTGTTACAGGAAACAAAGAGGTGGAACAATATAATAACTATCTTTGTTCATTTTGTGAAAAATTATTACACGATGCCTCCAGTGCTACTCAGTGACAGTGGTTATCTCTGGATATGGAAGAACAGATTATTTCTGTTTTCTTCTTTGTGTGTGTGTGTGTGCCTTTTTTTGTATTTCATAATTATTTTCAATTTATATGCTTTTATTACCTTGAGAAAAATCAGTACAATTTATTATGTTTAATGTGGAAAAGTACTTGGAATAGTAACCTATAGTAACATATACTTAGTTCATTGATTTGTTAAATTTACATTATAATAAATAACTTATTTGCTTGATGGGAATATGTTTTTGTCAATTTACACAGTCTGTGGTTCCAAAGATACTTTAAGTAGCAGAGTATTGTTGTTTTATTATGTCTAAGTATTACCCAAACAAGATGTATCAGTGAGAATAAGCAAAGCTCATACTGATATAAGTAACCTCCAAATCTCAGAAAGTTTATATTTCTTCCTCAAATAAATACAATGTATGAATATACATGGATGTGTGTGTTTGTGTGTTGCCAGGGCTAGGATGGCTCTATTCCATATTACCCACTGATGAACAAGAGAAGAAAAAAGATAGAGAATTGAGAATGGGCTTTTTGGTCAGAAAGTAAGTTTATTTTTGCTCACTTTTCATAAGTCATAAAAATTACATGGCTCACCTCATGGCAAGAAAAATGATCAGTGTAGCCTTTTCAGGTTCAGGAAAGAAAAGAAAGTGGACTATTGATGAATGGTAGTAATGCATACGAGATAAGACATTTTTCTTTTTTCCTCAGTTATAAGGGTTTTCTAAAGCTTGATGCCATCTTGGAAAATTACTCTTCCCCTGTACTTTCAATCTAGTGGCTCTGGTTTACCCCAGAAGCTTAAAAAAAAAAAAAAAAAAAAGGACATTCCTTTGACATCTATCAAACTCTGAGGATTAGGGGAGGACAAATGAGAGATAATGTATGTAAAGCACTTTGACTAGCTCAGCAGGAAGGAGCTATCTACATTCAAGGCACTATTAAAAAATATGCTGATGAAACAACCTCTAGAAAGATGAAGCAAAAGAGAAAAGAAACAATTGTCAGCCCCCTTCTGCCTCCCTCAATTTCCCAAGGACCAAAAACAGCAAGACTTTCCAACATTGTCATCTCATGTTAATCCATTTTCAGCGGTTCCATGACTTTAGCCGCTCTGGCCAATACTAGTGTATCAATAGTATCGCAATGGCCAACTAAAAGACTCTCTACAGAGCAAGTTTGACTCTATCTCTGGAATCCTTAAAACATTAACAAGGATATTGTCTGTCTCTGTAACTTTAAAAGTCATTATGATTAGCATCTCCTGTGTTTAATCAGTGTCCACTCTGCTGTTGACTGGCTAGATTTGCATATAAAATGCCTTATGCAGATAGCTAGGTCCTCTCCTTGTGTTTAAGGAAAATGAGCTGTTGGAGAGTAAAAACTAACCCCTAATTTGAAGAGGCAAGATAATGCAAATGAAGGGAGATGCAAATCTGGCAGTTTGTGTCAATGTAAATAAATCCCTTAATAAATACTTCTTATAAGAAAGGGGAAAAAAATAACAGCAACAACAAAAATCTGCTACCTGGGAAGGGCTGCATGCTTTAGTAAGTGCTCATGACTTCATGAAAGGCTCCTTCTCTTACATTGGTATTATTTTCTCTTCCCATGTTTTCTTAAACAGAGGAAATGACATGGGCCTTCATTTAGAAAATTTTACAGTTCTTTAGGACGTATTTTTAAAATCTGTAATTGAAAGGATTCTAGTAGATGATATTAACGTCCTTCAATTACTTTTGTGTATATATGTGATATGGTTTGGATTTGTGCCCCCACCTAAATCTCACGTCCAGATGTAATCCCCAATGTTGGAGGAGGGACTTGGTGGGAGATAAGTGGATTATGGGAGAAGATTTCCCCCTTGCTGTTCTCATGATAGAAGTGGGCATTCTTGAGAACTACTTGTTTTAAAGTGTGTGGCACCTCCCCCTTTATTCTCTTCTCCCCCTGCTCTGGCCATGTAAGACGCCCCACTTTCCTCTATGCCTTCTGCCATGATTGTAACTTTCCTGAGGCCTCACCAGCCATGCTTCCTGTATAGCCTGTGGTACTGTGAGCCAATTAAAACGTTTTTCTTTATAAGTTACCCAGTCTTAGGTAGATCTTTATAGCAATGTGAGAACAGACTAATATAAGATTACAACAGGAAAAGCACAGCAATATCTCCAAAACCAATGTTGTGTGCTTTGATCACTTTTGTAATGTTCTGTCAAATTTCGAATCCAAATTTATGCTTCAGAATAAGCTACTTGTCTTGTTTAGATTGGGTTGATACAGCCCTGCATAAGTTATGTGGTTACATTTAAGGATTGTGTTGCAGTACCAAGAAACCTGTCTTTCTGTCCTTGTGACTCTCTGGAACACAAATAAACAAAGTTTTAATAAGTAGATTCTTGAGACTAATTAAGTGCTCTCCAACTGTCAAGCTGAATATCAGTGGGACTTGAGAAAGGAGCATTTCTACTCATGCTACAAAAAAAAAAAAGCCTTTCCGAACACAATTTATATAAACATGAAATGTTGGGTCTCAGAACATGATACCCCAAAACATGGCACCTTGACAATTGAGAAAAACTGCAAAAGTGAGGTCAGTCTCACTTTCCCTCACCTTTGTCTGTGAAGCATGGTCATAAAGGAATTCTCTGACTTACCTCACCTGAAGTAGGTCATGAGATGCTCATTCTGGAGGGCTCCTGATCTATATTCAGAGGAAAGGAATGCCATACAGAGAGGCTAAGAATAATCTGAACAAACAGGTCTTGCTGAGTTCCCTTTCATTTATTACCATTAATTAGGTCATATCTCTTTTTATCCAATTATATGTCTACATGACAATCCATTTTTAAAGAAACCTAAGCATAAAAATACACTATTTGCCACAGGTCTTTGGGTCTTCAATTCTGAAGGCTCTGTGTCACATAAAACTTTGATTGATAAATTTGTTATGCTTTTCTCTTGTTAATATGTCTTTTTTTAATAGGGATGTCAGTCATGACCCTTTTGATGAGTAAGGGAAAGATATTAGTTTTTCTCCCCTACAGAAAGAAAGTAAAATAAAATGGAATTTTTTTCTTTCATAACTGTTTCCTAGCATCATGTCCCCTCAATATTGTGAATCCCAAATAACAGACTGAGTGAAGAGTGCACAACGAAGAGAGACGAGAGAAATCAGATTGGTGTTGTGAAATCCTGCCATACATGCTTTTTCTGACCAGTGTATCATGTGATGATCACTCAGGTTGAGTGGTTGTGTCTTTCTCCCATATCAACCTCTATCAGATGACTGCCATAACTATGTAGAGTAGGTGGCTCTGTGTAATGGTAAAAGAAGTATGGCATTCAAGATGATCATGGAAAAGAAATATTATCTAGACCACATCAACTTAATGAGGATCCCAAAATGCTCCATAACTCTGATAGAAGCTACTTTTGACAGGTTACATTGATTCCTAAAAATTAATTTATTCATAGAAAAGAAAGCATTTTCTCTCACTCTTTCAGAAAAAGCCCCACTAACATGTACACACACACATTTCCTTTTACTCTGAATAATGATTTGTTTTTCTTTTACTCAGTCATAATTAACCTTTCCTCTTTATTTACTTTCAATAGAGGGAGGGACAAGACCTTACACCGTAACTAGATAACTCTTAAGCAGTTAGCTAATTCCTTGGTGGTTGGCTGAAAATAAAGCTTCTATTCTTTTCCAGGGTCTGAGATTTGCAGTAAAGTGGATCCCAGGACATCAAACTGATGACATTGACTAGTGGCAAGATAGTTCTGCTCCTATTCCCTTTCTTCCCTCCTTCAATGCCCCATAAAAAGAGTTGAAAGGTTTAGCTCTCAATAGTAACTAGAGAGATGAGAATACATGGTGAAAAAAACAAAATATTAAAAGGCAAACCCTATACAACTTTCAGAAGAAATCTAAATTGCAAAGCTTGAAATCAGCAGGGTCTCCCATAATGGTTTTTGGAAATACAGTGCTTAGTTTTGCTTTCAGCCCCATTTGTTCTCACATTTTTCTAAAATAAATTATTATTCTTTTCTCAATTCTCTTAATCTCATACTTTACTTTTCTTAAATTGAATAGATAAAATATAATTATGGTTTGAAAATTCTATCTTCCTTAGAAGAAAATTAGAGCCTTCCTTTACATGTGGCTAATTGAGGGCTGGGGATTGCTAATGTAGGCAGATAACCACCTTAGATATTTAATCAGAAAAAGAAGATTTTGTTTTTATGTAGGCGTCAAGCAAGCATTATCTGTAATCAAGATTTTATTTATTTCTTTTTAGTTCATTTTTTTAAAAATGTATTTTCCAAATTGCAGCTACCTTGGGTTTGAGGAAACTGTCCCTCACTTGAACATACCACACCCCTGGCATTCTGCTGTTACGTAAGTATTTTCATAATTAAGCAATAATAATTTCTCAGCACTGTGTGCCTTGAAATGTTCCCCCAAAAACAGAAGTGCATAGTCTTAAAGCATGCCTTTTCTCAGGCACAAGTGTGAAGAATGAAATTAAAACTATCAGCAACCTGATACCTGTTCCTGGCAGAGGAAACTGATTCCCCTTTGATCTGTCTGTTAGCAAAGTAGTCAATGGGCATGTCTTTACCAATTTCTCCTTCCTCTTCAGCATGAAGTTTCTGCAGAGCTTCAAACTGTTCTTGTACTGAACAGATTAGGCAATCACTTGGAACCACTTGCAATTAGGAACAATTAACCTCCTTTTCTCAGAAATTGTATCCTTAAATATTTCTTTGGTTTTAGTACTCTTCATGTTGTGTTGAAAAAAGTACAGATGGTAGTAGAATAAGTTTTAAGATAGTAACAGTTCAAAATAAAATGTTTTATGAAATGACAGAAAATACAAGAAATTTAGAACCAGAAAGAATTTTAGAGATTGTGTTCTCCTGTAGATTTTAGAACTTGACTCTGCAGAACTCTCAGTGAACATAGCTCAGAGTGAAAAGAAAGCTGAACACCTTGAGCTCTGCCACTTTGCCCCAACCAGCATGGTTCTGCTCAGTCTGCCCAATACTTCAGAGTCTGTGATAGAATAGGAAGAACAAAAAAGAAATTTTTCTTTGTTTCAGAAAGAAAAATCCATTACTAAAAGGATAAACTATATATGTAAAACTATCGTTATATTTGAAAACCACTAATTTAACCAAGTCATCCATTTGAAAGTTGAAGAAGTCCCAAAGTTGTCTAAATAAAAAAGTAAGAGCTCAAACTAGAAATCTGCCTGTTTTATATCTATTTTCTGTTTTTCAATATGATACTGCCTTTTTCACTTGTCACTAAGCTGGTGAGACAAATAATTCGAAGAAGTGGGGGTGCCAGGTGCAGTGGCTCATGCCTGTAACCCCAGAACTTTGGGAGGCCAAGCCAGGCGGATTGCTTGAGCCCAGAATTTCAAGACCAGCCTGGCCCACTACATATTTTTGTAAATAAAGGTTTATTGAAACATAGCTATGTTCACTCATTTTTTTTCATATTGTCTATTGCTGTTTTCATGCCTTAATGGCAGAATTGAGCAGTTTCAGCAACAGCTATATGACCATTTAAAGCCAGAAATTTGAATGTAATGGGAATATATGCTAAATATTAATAAGAGACAAAAGAGGAACAAGGTCCTTGATTATTATGAGGTGTCTTAAAGGAAAGCTAAAGAATTTTGACTTTGATCCATAGGCAATAGGAACTATTGTGGATTTTTACTTAGCAGGGGAGTGATGTGATGAACGACATACTTTGGAAAGCTTTATAAGGCATAATGAGAAGGAAGTATCAGAGCCTTGAGAGAAAAGAAGTGGATGGAATGTTATTTCTTTTGTGTCGCTCATATCTTCTTTCATATCTGTGGACTCAGCAACTGCTCTCATGGTAGGATAAAAGCTGTGACTCAAGGGTAATGTGATAATGAAATGCATCTCCTTCTAGCTCCCTAGTCATGCCACATGTCATACAATACACTGGATCACACCCACTGCACCACCAAAATGCCCATGCTTGAAAAATTGTGATGGGAATAAAGAAATTCCGGCACCTGGGAAAGGAAACATTGGCAGAGAAGAAGGAAGTGTCACAAGGGAGGTTGAGTCATGCCAGAGACACCCTCAGTCACTTCCCAATTAGATCACTGGTGGCCTTTATGGGCACTCAAATGAGGTGCATGATCAGGAAAGGATTGGAGAAATAATTATTTATCTAAGAGTTGCCCAACTGGCAGAAAAGCTGTCCTCTGGATGAGTGGGGTTGGAGTTGAATGGTTTGTTTTCGTTGTTGTTTGTTTGTTTGTTTGTTTGTTTGTTTTTGATGGAGTCTCTCTCTGTCGCCCAGGCTGGAGTGCAGTGGCGCGATTTCTGCTCACTGCAAGCTCCGCCTCCCAGGTTCACGCCATTCTTCTGCCTCAGCCACCCGAGTAGCTGGGACTACAGGCACCCGCCACCATGCCCGGCTAATTTTTTGTATTTTTAGTAGAGATGGAGTTTCACTGTGTTAGCCAGGATGTTCTCGATCTCCTGACCTCGTGATCCTCCTGCCTCGGCCTCCCAAAGTTCTGGGATTACAGGCGTGAGCCACTGTGCTCAGCCTGGAGTTGAAAAGTTTTATGAGACTGAACTTCATCTTGATCTCAAAAGTTGGCTGGGCACAGTGGCTCACATCTGTAATCCCGGCATTTTGGGAGGCCGAGACGGATGGATCACTTTAGGTCCGGAGTTCAAGACCAGCCTGGCCAACATGGCAAAACCCTGTGTCTACTAAAAATACAAAATTACCCAGGTGTGGTAGCGCATGCCTCTTATCCCAGCTTCTCAGGAGGCTGAGACAGGAGAATCACTTGAACCTGGGAGGCAGAGGTTGCAGTAAGCCAAGACTGCACCACGGCACTCCAGGCTAGGTGATAAGAGCAAAACTCTGTCTCAAAAAAAAAAAAAAAAAGTCACATACTTTCCTCATTCACTTTGCCTTGGTGAGTCAATGAGTAACCATGGGGATCCCTAATGGTACTCGAGGCTCCTCTACTTTGCCATACCCTTTTCCTCCTTCATCTGTATTAATTCACACTTTTAATTTTCATTTGATATTTCAACACTTGTTTATCTATTTTCAACCACATAGTTCCTCAATTTGTTCAAGTCCATTCATTTGAGGGTGAATTTTGTGATGGATGAGCAAGTCATTGCCTCATGTCCTCCAGGGTACTTTCACAGTTCTAGCCATTGTATGGTTGCTTAAAGAATGTGAGAGGTTATTCTACTGAATTAATTTTGCTGTTGGTGAAATTAGAGGGAGACCATTTAAACAAACAATTATATAGTCTACGTGTCAGAAAAGAAGTGCGGGATTGTCGAAGACATAGTGACTTAAAGGCCTTTGACAAGACCAGTTAAATCTCAAAGAAAGGTGAGCTCAGCCATCATCGCAGCCCAGGGAAGGGAGCCCTGTCCCTCACTTTCCTAGCAGGCTGCTCCTTGTTTGCTCTTCCGGCTCTGGTGAACGCTTCAGTTTGCAGCAGGCCTTATAACAGTACCATGCATAACAATCTGTCACTATTATTCATGGCTTTTCTCCAGTCTCCATACTTTTGACATTGCCATTAAAGAGATTCAGTGTGCTTAGTAGCTCTTTAAAAAATAAATAATTGAAAGCTAAATTATATTAAACTGAGCCAATGCTGACCCCTTCACCTCAGTCCATTGCTATCTCCTTAAATGTATTCCTTCTTAAATCATATTGTAATTTGAAGATGCTGAAGTCTAAGTTTTCTGACTCAAATGCAGTTCCTTCTGATGCATAATTCATTTTCACTTTGTTACTGGTGCTGCACACGCAATCGCTTTTTTGGCAGCTAAATGTAGGATGAAATCAACAACTCTGTAAAGGGTGAGGAATCGGAGTGGACATCTTGGCGGAAGAAATATTAAGCATGTCACAATGTTTTGTACTCTGTCTGGTGAAATGGAGACGAAAACCTCCAACAATCCTCAGTTAATGGGAGAGAATGGCGTTTTACGGCTGAAAATTATCTACCACTGATGTCATGCTGATGTTGCATTTAATTATTCTACACATCGCAGAAGACAATGACTTCTGAATGTTTTCAAGCCTCACAATTATTTGATGAGCATCTTTTTGGAGTTTTGCTGTTTGTAAGAAAGAAAACTCCCTTGGTTCGGTTTGCCTGTCACTCTCATATTCCCTAAGGGGTTCCAATCCCCAACAAAACATATGATCTTAAAGCAAACAGAAACTAGGCAGGGAAGTCTCAGAGTGAAGAGATTGTCAGCGTAAATAAGAGTTTGGATATTTGGAATATTAGGTAAAATTAGAGCTGTGACTGAACATTAAGTTGGCCTTAAATTAAAAAGCAAAGGGACCTAATATTATACACATCCAGAGATGTACCATTTCATTGGAACTTTAAAAACACATGTCGTAGGCTGAGTGGCATGGCTTATGACTGTAATGCCAGCACTTTGGGAGGCCTAGGTGGGAGGATCATTCGAGCCCAGCAGTTTGAGACCAGACTGAGCAATATGGCAAAATCCCATCTCTATCAAAAAAAAAAATTAAAGATACAAAAATTAGCCAGGCATGGTGGTGCACACCTGTAGTCCCAGCTACTCAGGAGGCTGAAGTGGGAGTATTGCTTGAGCCCAAGAGGCAGAGGTTGTAGTGAACCAAGACTGCACCATTGCACTCCAGCCTGGGCCATAGAGCAAGACCCTGTCTCAAGAAAACAAAAACAAAGCGCATTCTTTCTTCAAAATAGTTGTGAAATCAGAAACTTTGCTTCTGGTGCCCTCACATTGCTTTTAAAAAAAAAATGCTGAACATTTGACACATGAAATTTAGCAACATTCATGCTAAATGAATACCAGAAAAAAAAATTAAAATTGCTTAACATTTTAAAAATATATTATCACAAGATACATTTCATCAGTGAGCACCAAAAACAAAAAATGTGCTCTACTGCATTTCCAAATCTTTACTCCTTGTCTTATTTCCTATCTTGGGGAAAATTCCACCACTAACTCTTCCCTCAGCTCCTACCTTTTTGGCAAGGCCTTTTTCAGGTACCAGGTCATGACTGTCTGTGATGTGAGCATTCCAAATGCATAATTATATATCCGTTGTTTCAAATTTCATAATCGAGGACCATGAAGAAGACTGTGTGAGCATGAATGTGTGCAAGTGTGTGTGTAAAATGCAGCAGGAGGAGGATAGACAGTATGCCTTCTATTTCTAGTAATTAAGCTGTTACCTTTTCGGTCTGTTTATAACAGTGTGCTGCTGTATTGCATTGACTCTTTCTGAACATCCTGATAGAAGACAGTTGAAGATAAATTTTCAGAAACAAGGGATAAACAACCCAAAAGGTTAACTGTTTGGAGAGACTGCTTGATCAGGGCTGATTAAAAAAAATAAATCTTTGTAGCTTGATGCAAGGACAATGAGTGACTAAGGTAGGACACAGAGAGGAACACTGTACATTCCTCTCTCATCCATTCAGAATGACAAATTTGAGAGGGAAAAGACTTATGAGGTTCAAGGGTAGCTGTGGGATAAAATTTAGTCAATCAGTCAACATACTTATATGGAATCCTGAAATGAGCAAGCCCCATGCTAGGCACCAAAGGAATATCTGAGAACTGAAAGACAGCCTGAAGCCCTCATGGAATTTCTTAGGTGATAACAAATATCTCAAAGTCTTGAAATAGACACTGAAAATGCAGTATCAGATAACTCACATGAACACTTTTTAAATGACCTAATCCACATCACAAGAATCAGAATCCCTCTTGGTCACGAATGAACCCCATTATTTCACCATGCCCTTTAAGATTAAGTAGTATTCATTCATAGTTTCTCTGTTTACAAAAGTTTCTTCAGGCCAAGGACAATGGCTCTTCTTCTTGGGTGTGTATGTGTGTGTATTTTCTGGCTTGTTTATTCAGTAAACTAAAAAGGAAAATTGATTTTAGTGGACCATGTCTTTTTTGTTCTAAATTTGATGAAGGACGGAAGAGGTTTCCTAGGTAGTGGATTGACCATAGATTATCTTTGGCCTGGGTATTGCAATACCTATGAAGGCAAGAAACTTCCCTGGAATATCACAGCCCCTCCTAGCCTTGCCCTCTCTGGATATCAGTATAGGTTTATGATGCTTCATAGGCAATAATCCCGTAACTAAGGAATGTTTACTTAAGTAAGTCCAATCAAGCCAATGGTTGCAAGAAGATATTTTTGTTGACTTTTTCCTCTACTATCTCTTTTGGCATTTCCATTCTCCCTCTTCTCTTTCATTTTATTAGAATGTCTCTTATACTGAAAGAGTTGTCTAAAAGATCTACCTACCAATATAATTAAGCCAGGTGACACACAACATGGATCATGAGACTAGTATCTAAATTTAATAAGGATTTGCAAAGAAAAGACTAAATTCTCTAAGATCCAAAATATTAACTTGATAAAGCAAGAGTATGAAAGGCATTCTGAAAGTTCATCTGATCCCATGGCTTGTTAGGTGCACAGCCTCACTCAAATACTGGCTACTCAGGAAGTTCAGCCTAATTCCTAGTCAACTCAATATGGGCTTATATAATTCCCCTTTAGAGAATCGAGAAAGGAAATATGAAAGCACTCTACTTGATTTGAAAAAAAAACAAATATCAACAACAACAAAAAAACAGATAATTGGAAAGAATAATGAAATTCTTTGTAGAAGACTAGTGATATATATTGACTCTATTTAAATAAAAAAATAAAAGTCATACTTGTAAAACACAAAAGTTAGAAAATTATTTACATTTTCTTCAAAAAGCAGTGTTCTAATAAAAATAGCCAGTTCCAAGATCAACACTTTTATCCTCTTAATTATTAGCAGCAATGATTTATTCTCTCTCTTCAGTTTTCTTGACCCCTTCACAGAATGCACATACATTCTATTAATCTCACTGGTCCCTAGTACAGGAATCAGTTAAGTGTTTTGTATGATCCAAAAGTGAATATTTATTTAACATTTCAAAGGGTTATAAAAACAAACAAACAAAAAGCAAAAATGAATACATGAAAGACTGAAAAAAGAGACCAGAAGTAGCCTGCAAAGCCTACAATATTTACTATATGGCCTTTTATTTAAAAAGTTGCCAGTCTTTGTTCTAATAAGTAGAGCTAATCCTGTAAGTATGGACAAAATTCCTGAAAGATAAAGCAATGGTCAAGGTTGGAGAGGCTTGTGAATTGTGCTTTGAAAAACACTGGCATTTAATTAAATGGTGAAGCTAGAAAAGGCAGTAGAAAGAAATACGGAAGGACTCTTACACTCAAAAAAAGTCAATGAACATGAAAAAGTAAATGCAGGACAAAGAACTCAGATATGTCACTGATGGACTGTGTTTGTGGTACCAAAACCAATGGGAAAATACCAGAAGCTGTGGGATGATGATATTCAAAGGTCACACTAATCTAAGCCTATATTACAAGTTCAAGACATGAGACTCAAAACCTGAGCAAAATTTACTGCCAAAATGGGACAGAAAAGCAGAGGAACGCACAAGCAAGAAATGACAAACCAGATGAGCAGAAATATTGGTGACTTGGAATATAAGCCCAAAAGTTAAACAAGGGCCATTGGTTGCATTTAAAAGGGACTCCAAAGAAAGGATGAGTCTCCTAATACCATATTTTTCTTTTAAATGGTATGCAACTGTGTTTGCCATTTGGAATATGTTTTCACTTTATGTCCTGCCTGTATCTAAAATGCAACACTTCTAAAATTTAAATGATCATAATGCTCAAAAAATTAGCTCCTTTTCTAGACCATCGGAGGATGGTTGATTTTATCCACCACCCACCAGGTGAATTGGTGAATTGGTATGTGGCCAACTCCCTTAAGAATCACCTTGGTCTTGGCCTCAGTCCAGTGCAGAAAGAAATCTATCATTCTGTTCAACTCTGCCTCAAATAACTTGTAGGCAAAAGTGACATGCGCCTGTCTGTAACATCAGAAGAGCAAAGAAAGGTGATATACTGAGTAACAAAGCAAATTTCCCCCAGACATTTCCATGGAATCAACAAAATTAAGGTACATTAGAAAAAGAGAGTGATAAATGTATGTAATATAACCTACATTTCTCAGCTTTGAACTATAATATTATAGACTGAACTAAAGTTCTGTAAGTACATTCCAGGCTCCTACATTATAGTGATGTCAGCTCTTGTCAACTGAGCAATTGTCTAGATAGTAAACCACATACGAGTCTGAGGTAGAGCTTGGAATGAGCTTATGCATACTATGAGGATGCTATGAGTACCCAGGTGCTCAAAAAGAAGAAAAACGAAAAGGGTAAGAGTAGCTCACAGATGTCTATTAAAAACTAATGTGAAACATTCAAGGAAGGCAATACATGCTAAAGGAAGAGTTTCCCCTTTAAAGTCATCTCTTCTTACAATTGTGATATAAAGATCAATATGCAGCTCTGGTGACCCTTCTGATTTCACCAGACAGAACTGAAAATTAGTCTTGTTATTTTACGGGTCTCAAGGTTTCATATATATACATATATATATATAGCTGTATATACATATACGTGTGTGTATATATATCTGTATATACATATACGTGTGTGTATATATAGATCTGTATATACATATACGTGTGTGTATATATAGATCTGTATATACATATACGTGTGTGTATATATAGATCTGTATATACATATACGTGTGTGTATATATAGATCTGTATATACATATACATGTGTGTATATATATACACATGATACTTTGAGATCCACAAATATCTCAATATCCATAAATATCTCAAGGTCATAAGTATATATATGCACACACACACACACACATATATATATGAGCTTGAGATCCATAAAATATATATATGGATCTCACATATATATAAAATGTATATATGTGTGTATATATGTGATGTGTGTATATATGATGTATATATATGTGTGTGTGTGATATACTGACAATAGATATACTGACAACAATGATATACTGACAATAGAATATCATTATATATGCATATGTACATAATATATACACACATATATATACATCATATATATACATCTATATGATGATGATTGCCTGATTGCCAGGATATCATTATTCAACTCATTCATTCACCTTAATCACTTGGCTTCAGGTGCTTTTGCTCTTAAAAAAAAAAGTTGATTCTAGGGCTGGGGCATCTTATATTAAAAACCGTAAAATATTTAAAATGTTAAAAACATTCTCCTTGACCCAGTCAAACCTTATGTGCAAAGAGCCTTGTATGCAAATGTAACCTATTAGAGACAATAAAATGCAGACTCTAATATTTCTTTTTACCTTTAAAAGCAGCGTGGTTTTGGGGTGTTAGCAGGAGAGGGCATACAAGGTACATGTTACTCACTCATCACTTGAGATTTCCTCTTTCCTTATAGCACAAGGACTCTAAACTTCCCCTGTTTGAAAATCTGCCCCTTTGTGTTTTCCTTGCCTTTTTCAGTAACTATCATTTTTTAAGGTTTAAGTATCTCTGGACAAGTTATCAAATGCTATCTGTGTGCTTTGATAAGAATGATTTCATTAGATTTCTTCCTCTCATTGGCGAAATCAGAATAGCATGAGAATACTATTGATCTGAAAGGGAGAAAAGATGGGTCATGAAAAAGGAGCAATGAGGACACGTACCTTGAAGGGATGAAGAAAAATAAAGGCAAACTTCAATGATGTTGCAATTTTAGTAGGGCTTACTCTGACCACTCTGGTTCTTTGATTGTTTCCCTTACCTCCTGAGGTTAAGCCTGACTGATTTTCTTTTCTCTTTAAAATAGTGTTCAGCAAACACCACACATGTGTTGAGTTTGAAAGGAGAAGAATGCTACGAGCTCTCAAAGGGGTGGTGGAAATTATAGGTAGCAAAAATGTAATTATCCAACTTGGAGTTTTTCCAGGCCGGATCCACCTGATCAGAGACATTAGAGCAAATGCATTACACTTTTAAAAAGTCTCCTGCTGAGCTCACTGAATGAGAGTAATATCATATTGCCTATGTTTCTGGTAAATAAAAAACATCATTAACAATAACACAATGTGAAGAGCCTGCTGAAATGATATACTGTATTTAGCCACGATGGTCCATCAAAATCATGAGCCTGGCTTTGGAAAGGGCTGGACGCACTGGAGGGGCAAACAGTGATGATTAAAAAATGCAGTCAGAGTGAGAGCAAAAATCTTTCTAGCTTCTTCTTACAGGAACTTTCTTCTTCAAAAGCAATCACACTTGGAAACTTATTCCACTTCAGAATAGGAGGAGGCTATTGTACTGAATGTGTGTAAATAAAAGGGTTTGTTCTATTCTGGCACAGTGGCACAATCTCCAAATCAAGGCAAATGCATTTGCAGTGATGGGTCTCTGGCTGGGTACAGAGCTGGCAAAGCTGAGAATAAAAGAGAGATCAACAATGGATGGGGAACAATGAACGTGTCACTCCTCATTCCGAACAGACTAATTTCATAAAATTTACAAATATTTTGAAGTGTTTTTAATATGCAGATATTGCCTATGATATTATAAGTTATGAAAGAAGTGTGACATGCTGCCTTTCTGAAAATCATTGTAATCTACTTAGGGGATGGGGCATGGAAATTATAACATGAGAAACAGGCTAACGAAAAGGTATTCAATTCTCTAAAATAAAATAGACATGTTAAAATGTGCTATGGGAATTCAGTGAAAGAGGCTTTGTGAACAGTAGATGGTATCAATAAAGACATCAAGGAGAAAGAGATATTTAATATGAATATTGAATTTAGATAAATATGAGGTAGAGCAGCTTTTAGGCACAAATATGGCCACCCTAGTTGTTTAAGGCCACTCTTTGTCCTCAGTGGATGGAATTGGGTAGACAACTTAGATTTGTACATACAGAAAAGGAAGCAGAGACAGTACATGTATTGGCATGCAACATATCCAATATATTATATACAGAGGAAGAATTAGATGATATATATAAAATCCATGTCTCTCAATTGGTCACATTTAGTAAGTGTAATGTGTATTGTAATAACTGTAATATCTATCAAAGAGACTAACTTTGGAGAGCCCACTGTGCATACTCATATCATCTCTAACTTTCACAACCATGCCTATTATTCTCATTCCCAGATGAGAAAACAATTGATTACTCAGAGAGCAATCAATCTCTGAGTTTGATTGCTCAGAGACAGACAGGAAGAGAATACGGCAGGTTCATTCTCACTTCTGTGGTGATTAAAAAACCAAACAAAACAAAAAACTAGACTTTTTCCCATCACCATGCTATCCATATAGACCTGCAATATAGAGGAACCATTTTTGACAAAATATTGAAAGAATTGTGTGAATTGTGCTCAGTTCACAAGTAGTATGTGACACTGCAGGAGCACCGTCATCTTGGACACTTTAAGTTCCAGCTCCGTTTCTAACCTCATGCATTTCAAGGAAATCGCTTCTCTTCTAACAACAAGCAGCCAGGAAGAGCAGACAGTAAAACACAGATAAGACAGCTTGGGGACAGAGGGAGGCGGGAAAGTCTCTTGGGTAAACACCAAACTTCACACTCATACAATGGGCCCCAGTAAAACAGTGGGCTTTAATAGGTGCATTCCTTTCCTTTTAGGTGCACTTAGGGAAGCTAAAAGCAGACTGAGGGGTATGCCTGCAGCTGCAGGAAGATGTATGGGAACAGACACAAGACTCTGCCTCCCAGATAAGCACACAAAGAGACACAGAAACAGTTCAAGCCTCTGATAAGGTCTGCCACCTTGAATCCTAAAAAACTCTGAGTCTGTAAGAGAGAGTGCCTCTGACCTAACTCGGCCTGAAGCCCCTCTCAGGTTTATTCTCCAAAATAAACAGTCTTTGACTGTTGAGCTGCTTTTAGGGTTTCTTTCCTCTTTATTTAATGGTTACAGTATGCTTGCATAAGAAAGAACTAGAATTTTGTACTGTGGAAAGCCAAAGATGAAGAAGCAGCAGCACATAGATTGTGTCATCTTAGAGAACCAGGGCAGGCCCTTTCTTCTCAATGCATCCCTTCTTCTGCATTTCCTGCATCAAGCCTATAATTTTTAATAACATCTTTTACTTTTCTCTAGAACTAGCATGATTTCAGGTGGCGCGAAAGCATTGACCTTCCATTATTACGTACTTTCTTGAATGGAAAACTAAGGAACACACAAAAGGAGTGAGGGTAGAATATAGACATTCTCTTCTCAAACTGGGTCTGTGCCCCACTCTGGTGATAGATACTTTTTCTGATAACTCCCTGTTCTTTTAAGGTATAGAAATCCTAATAAATTCTAAGCATCCTGAGTAATTCAACAATCTACAAACAAGTTAAGGATATCACTGCATTGTTAGTTGTGCCTTCACATTTCTTTTGTTGAATGGATGGTCTACTTCCCTTCAATATTCTAAGCCAACCCTTCTGTTAACATTTTATTCAAGTCAACCTCTGTCCCAGAAGTCTACAAGATCCAGAAAAAAATGGTATCACATCTGACAGCCCTTTCTTTAAAACAACATAAGCCCATCCTCTACCAAATTTTAATTGAGTGCACTTGGCAATTAGCAAATGTTGTGTGATGATGGTGATGAAGACAGGTGATATAAGTTGGATTTCTGCCCCTTCCAAACCTCTTATCAAGCTATGATCCCCAGCATTGGAGGTAGGGCCTCATTGAAGGTGTTTGGGTCATGAGGGTGGATCCCTCATTAATGACTTGGTGCCCTCCCTCCAATAATGAGTGAGTTCTCATTCTATTTGTTCACATGAGAGCTGGCCATTTAAAAGAGCCTGGCATAGCCCTCGCTTCCCCTCAACATGTGACATGCCAAATCCCTTGCCCCTTCCACTATGTTTGGAAGCTCCCAGAGGCCCTCACCAGAAGCAGCTACTAGTGCCATGCTTTTTGTGCAGCCTTCAGAACAATGAGGCAAATACATCTCTTCTCTTTATAAATTACCCAGCCTCAGGTATTCCTTTATAGCAATGCAAAATGGACTAAACACAGTCCAGAAAACATCAATATTTGAATTTTTATATTAAAATAATCACAAATCATCATATCATATATTTGATCAAATAACTCACTGTTTTTGTCAGCTAGATAATAGTGTGTGTATATGTTTGTGTGTGTGTGTGTGATATAATGCTTTCCCCTTGTCTTTTGATGCTTACACTCTAATATACAAATCTCTATAAATGTACTTGGAAAGACTCTACATAGGGCATCGACTCTGGCAGGATTTCAGAACTCTTCCATTAAAAATAAATAAAATTCTAGAAATTTTATTTAAAATGTGAACTTTGGAATCTGTCATGGAAATGACAAGAAAATTAGTGTTCCTAAGTGTCTGGGCAGAGAATGGGAAACCAGAAAGTGAAGTGAGCTCTACAGCTGACTCTTGCTGGGGAGTATCTGCCTGCCATGGCCAGGAGCTAATTTAGCTCAAGCCCTTTTGTACTCTGCTATGCTTATTATACTAATAAGTTCTATATGGAAAAAAGACAAGGTGCTAGAAAAGAGAATGAGAAAGTTATTAAAGATTGGACAAGCAGTAATACAGGAATGGTATCTCCAAGGAAGTGTTTTTCAAGGAGACCTAAGAGATGAGATAATACAACACAGCCTGAGAAGGCATTAATGTGAATTTAAGGGAGCAATATCTGTGAAGGCCAATTGTTGGAAAAAGAAATGATACCTTAGAGCAACTGAAAGAAGGTCATGTCAATAACACCTTTGAAGTGAAAGAAAGTAAGTTGGGTAGAGGTTGGTCACGCAGTTATGAGTCAAACACATGCAGTATAGAGTTCTGGCAATTAAAATAAATTTCTATACACAGTATAGTCATTAATGGCTTTTCACCAGAGAGGTAGCATAATTTTTTTTGTTAGTTTTAAAATTGTTACTTGTTGCTGCTTTTGTTCATGTGGGTTTTATCTATCAGAAAGTAATGTTGAGACAAAATTAAATATTTGTTAATTTATTTTATTTTTGTCTTTTTCTCTTTTTGTGGAGAATGGGGTCTTGCTATGTTGCCCAGGCAGGTCTTGAACTCCTGGGCTGAAGCTCTGCTCCCTCCTCAGCTTCCCTAAGTTCTGTATTACAGGTGTGACCCACTGCACCCAGCCATTAATTTATTTTAAAGAAAAATGTAAAATAACCAATTAAATGTTAATGTCAGTAGCATATTTTTCTGAAAATAATTATTTAAAAAATCATGTTAGAAGAAATAGAAGAAATAGTTTCTTAGGCCATTTTTGCTTTGCTATAAAGAAATATCTGAGGCTGGGTAATTTATAAAGAAAAGACTTTTAATTAGCTCATGGTTCTGCAGGCTTTAGATGGCATCTGCTCAGCTTCCAGAGAGGCCTCAGGAAGCTTACGATCATGGAGGAAGGTTAAATGGGATCATGCAAGTCACACAGCAAAAGCAGGAGCAAGCAAGAGAGACTTGCGGGGGAGGTGTCACACACTTTTAAGTGACCATATCTCAGAAGAACTCACTATTACAGAGACAGGACCAAGTCATGCAGGATTTGCTCTCATAATCCAAACATTTCCTACCAGGCCCCAACTCCAACCTTTGGGACTACAATTCCAAATGAGATTTGTGCAGGGACAAATATCCAAACTATGTCAAATAGTATTATTGCTTTGAATTTTTGAAAATTTATTTGATGACTGATTGAATAGAAGATAGCTAGGTTCTCATGTGTGTATCTGCCTTTAATCTGATGCAGTATCACAAATCATGTAGCCTTTGGAAAACTCCACCATAGGCTCATCAGAAAAGTGTGAGTTAAAAAGACAAATGATGTCTTAGTTTTATTATGAAAATAGTTTTGACCTTGCTGACTTTCTGAAAGGACCTTTGGAATCCCCGGAAGATCCTGGGCCACACCCTGAGGACTGCTAAGCTAGATGGAACACATACAAGTTGGGAATTTAAAGGCCTTCGCAATCTATATTCTTTCAAATATATCTTCTGCTTGTCAAAATCTTCCTCC
This sequence comes from Homo sapiens, assembly GCF_000001405.40. Taxonomy (NCBI): domain Eukaryota; kingdom Metazoa; phylum Chordata; class Mammalia; order Primates; family Hominidae; genus Homo; species Homo sapiens. The sequence continues at coordinate 40,194,493 of NC_000018.10, read as the reverse complement.
AAGACAAGCAGAAGCCAAGGCTATTGTATCTATATGGAAAATGAAGCTTAAAACAAGACTTACGCTAAGACCAGAACATAGAGTTAAAGCTAACTTGACGTACAGTATTCATGGATAAAAGAGAAATAAACTGCTAGATGTCAGTCCTACAGAGGCATTGGTCTCCACAGGACATCAGGCTACAAAAAATAAATAAGAAGCCAGGGGCTTAGGTTTCAGATAGGTGAGGGAGAGGCTGACCATCCCCCTGATAATTTTCAAAAAGTAAGATGAGAGAAATTTCCTGCACTGGAGAAGAGTCCCTGCAGAGCCGCAGGGACTTTAGTAAATATTTGCAGCACAGTTATAATTGGCAGGGAAGATATTTTAAGGACAATTGTATGTCAAAGTATGTATCCTTAAAAAATTCAGTAAGAAAAATATCAACATTACAAACAAAAGCAACAGCAAAAACCAAAACAGGAGAGCCAACCAATACAAATAGGAAATAAACTCATAAGCTTATTAGTAAACACAAACTGTGAAATCACACGAGTCCGTGTCCACATTTCACCCATCATATTGACAACGTTCAATCACCTGAAAATACAGCTAGTTATAACATAAGCATTTTAATACACTGGTGGCGGGAGTTCCAAATTTTGCTTTTCTAGAATGAAACTTGGCTGACTGTCACAAACTTACTTCAAGAATCTCTACTTCCAAGAAGGTTACCCAAAGAAGGCTTAAAATACATTGTCAAAATTTTATATATGTATATTAAATAAAAAACTTGTGAGTCCTCATCCTGGCTAACACGGTGAAACCCCATGTCTACTAAAAATTCAAAAAATTAGGGGAGGAGCCAAGATGGCCGAATAGGAACAGCTCCGGTCTACAGCTCCCAGCGTGAGCGATGCAGAAGACGGGTGATTTCTGCATTTCCATCTGAGGTACCGGGTGCATCTCACTAGGGAGTGCCAGACAGTGGGCGCAGGCCAGTGGGTGCGCGCACCGTGTGCGAGCCGAAGCAGGGCGAGGCATTGCCTCACCTGGGAAGCACAAGGGGCCAGGGAGTTCCCTTTCCGAGTCAAAGAAAGGGGTGACGGACGCACCTGGAAAATCGGGTCACTCCCACCCGAATATTGCACTTTTCAGACCGGCTTAAAAAACGGCGCACCACGAGACTATATCCCACACCTGGCTCGGAGGGTCCTACGCCCACGGAGTCTCACTGATTGCTAGCACAGCAGTCTGAGATCAAACTGCAAGGCGGCAGCGAGGCTGGGGGAGGGGCGCCCGCCATTGCCCAGTCTTGCTTAGGAAAACAAAGCAGCTGGGAAGCTCAAACTGGGTGGAGCCCACCACAGCTCAAGGAGGCCTGCCTGCCACTGTAGGCCCCACCTCTGGGGGCAGGGCACAGACAAACAAAAAGACAGCAGTAACCTCCGCAGACTTAAATGTCCCTGTCTGACAGCTTTGAAGAGAGCAGTGGTTCTCCCAGCACGCAGATGGAGATCTGAGAACCGGCAGACTGCCTCCACAAGTGGGTCCCTGACCCCTGACCCCCGAGCAGCCTAACTGGGAGGCACCCCCCAGCAGGGGCACACTGACAGGGTACTCCAACAGACCTGCAACTGAAGGTGCTGTCTGTTAGAAGGAAAACTAACAAACAGAAAGGACATCCACACCGAAAACCCATCTGTACATCACCATCATCAAAGACCAAAAGTAGATAAAACCACAAAGATGGGGAAAAAACAGAACAGAAAAACTGGAAACTCTAAAACGCAGAGCGTCTCTCCTCCTCCAAAGGAACGCAGTTCCTCACCAGCAACGGAACAAAGCTGGATGGAGAATGACTTTGACGAGCTGAGAGGAGAAGGCTTCAGATGATCAAATTACTCTGAGCTACGGGAGGACATTCAAACCAAAGGCAAAGAAGTTGAAAACTTTGAAAAAAATTTAGAAGAATGTATAACTAGAATAACCAATACAGAGTAGTGCTTAAAGGAGCTGATGGAGCTGAAAACCAAGGCTCGAGAACTACGTGAAGAATGCAGAAGCCTCAGGAGCCAATGCGATCAACTGGAAGAAAGGGTATCAGCAATGGAAGATGAAATGAATGAAATGAAGTGAGAAGGGAAATTTAGAGAAAAAAGAATAAAAAGAAATGAGCAAAGCCTCCAAGAAATATGGGATTATGTGAAAAGACCAAATCTACGTCTGATTGGTGTACCTGAAAGTGATGGGGAGAATGGAACCAAGTTGGAAAACACTCTGCAGGATATTATCCAGGAGAACTTCCCCAATCTAGCAAGGCAGGCCAACGTTCAGATTCAGGAAATACAGAGAACGCCACAAAGATACTCCTCAAGAAGAGCAACTCCAAGACACATAATTGTCAGACTCACCGAAGTTGAAATGAAGGAAAAAATGTTAAGGGCAGCCAGAGAGAAAGGTCGGGTTACCCTCAAAGGGAAGCCCATCAGACTAACAGCAGATCTCTCGGCAGAAACCCTACAAGCCAGAAGAGAGTGGGGGCCAATATTCAACATTCTTAAAGAAAAGAATTTTCAACCCAGAATTTCATATCCAGCCAAACTAAGCTTCATAAGTGAAGGAGAAATAAAATACTTTACAGACAAGCAAATGCTGAGAGATTTTATTACCACCAGGCCTGCCCTAAAAGAGCTCCTGAAGGAAGCGCTAAACATGGAAAGGAACAACCGGTACCAGCCGCTGCAAAATCATGACAAAATGTAAAGACCATCGAGACTAGGAAGAAACTGCATCAACAAACGAGCAAAATCACCAGCTAACATCATAATGACAGGATCAAATTCACACATAAAAATATTTACTTTAAATGTAAATGGACTAAATTCTCCAATTAAAAGACACAGACTGGAAAATTGGATAAAGAGTCAAGATCCATCAGTGTGCTGTATTCAGGAAACCCATCTCACGTGCAGAGACACACATACGCTCAAAATAAAAGGATGGAGGAAGATCTACCAAGCCAATGGAAAACAAAAAAAGGCAGGGGTTGCAATCCTAGTCTCTGATAAAACAGACTTTAAACCAACAAAGATCAAAAGAGACAAAGAAGGCCATTACATAATGGTAAAGGGACCAATTCAACAAGAAGAGCTAACTATCCTAAATATATATGCACCCAATACAGGAGCACGAAGATTCATAAAGCAAGTCCTCAGTGACCTACAAAGAGACTTAGTCTCCCACACATTAATAATGGGAGACTTTAGCACCCCACTGTCAACATTAGACAGATCAACGAGACAGAAAGTCAACAAGAATACCCAGGAATTGAACTCAGCTCTGCACCAAGCGGATCTAATAGACATCTACAGAACTCTCGACCCCAAATCAACAGAATATACATTTTTTTCAGCACCACACCACACCTATTCCAAAATTGACCACATAGTTGGAAGTAAAGCTCTCCTCAGCAAATGTAAAAGAACAGAAATTATAACAAACTATCTCTCAGACCACAGTGCAATCAAACTAGAACTCAGGATTAAGAAGCTCACTCAAAGCCACTCAACTACATGGAAACTGAACAACCTGCTCCTGAATGACTACTGGGTACATAACGAAATGAAGGCAGAAATAAAGATGTTCTTTGAAACCAATGAGAACAAAGACACAACATACCAGAATCTCTGGGACGCATTCAAAGCAGTGTGTAGAGGGAAATTTATAGCACTATATGCCCACAAGAGAAAGCAGGAAAGATCCAAAATTGACACCCTAACATCACAATTAAAAGAACTAGAAAAGCAAGAGCAAACACATTCAAAAGCTAGCAGAAGGCAAGAAATAACTAAAATCAGAGCAGAAGTGAAGGAAATAGAGACACAAAAAACCCTTGAAAAAATCAATGAATCCAGGAGCTGGTTTTCTGAAAGGATCAACAAAATTGATAGACCCCTAGCAAGACTAATAAAGAAAAAAAGAGAGAAGAATCAAATAGACACAATAAAAAATGATAAAGGGGATATCACCACCGATCCCACAGAAATACAAACTACCATCAGAGAATACTATAAACACCTCTACGCAAATAAACTAGAAAATCTAGAAGAAATGGATAAATTCCTCGACACATACACCCTCCCAAGACTAAACCAGGAAGAAGTTGAATCTCTGAATAGACCAATAACAGGAGCTGAAATTGTGGCAATAATCAATAGTTTACCAACCAAAAAGAGTCCAGGACCAGATGGATTCACAGCCGAATTCTACCAGAGGTACAAGGAGGAACTGGTACCATTCCTTCTGAAACTATTCCAATCAATAGAAAAAGACGGAATCCTCCCTAACTCATTTTATGAGGCCAGCATCATTCTGATACCAAAGCCGGGCAGAGACACAACCAAAAAAGAGAATTTTAGACCAATATCCTTGATGAACATTGATGCAAAAATCCTCAATAAAATACTGGCAAACCGAATCCAGCAGCACATCAAAAAGCTTATCCACCATGATCAAGTGGGCTTCATCCCTGGGATGCAAGGCTGGTTCAATATACGTAAATCAATAAATGTAATCCAGCATATAAACAGAGCCAAAGACAAAAACCACATGATTATCTCAATAGATGCAGAAAAAGCCTTTGACAAAATTCAACAACCCTTCATGCTAAAAACTCTCAATAAATTAGGTATTGATGGGACATATTTCAAAATAGTAAGAGCTATCTATGACAAACCCACAGCCAATATCATACTGAATGGGGAAAAAATGGAAGCATTCCCTTTGAAAACAGGCACAAGACAGGGATGCCCTCTCTCACCACTCCTATTCAACATAGTGTTGGAAGTTCTGGCCAGGGCAATTAGGCAGGAGAAGGAAATAAAGGGTATTCAATTAGGAAAAGAGGAAGTCAAATTGTCCCTGTTTGCAGACGACATGATTGTATATCTAGAAAACTCCATTGTCTCAGCCCAAAATCTCCTTAAGCTGATAAGCAACTTCAGCAAAGTCTCAGGATACAAAATCAATGTACAAAAATCACAAGCATTCTTATACACCAACAACAGACAAACAGAGAGCCAAATCATGTGTGAACTCCCATTCACAATTGTTTCAAAGAGAATAAAATACCTAGGAATCCAACTTACAAGGGATGTGAAGGACCTCTTCAAGGAGAACTACAAACCACTGCTCAAGGAAATAAAAGAGGATACAAACAAATGGAAGAACATTCCATGCTTATGGGTAGGAAGAATCAATATCGTGAAAATGGCCATACTGCCCAAGGTAATTTACAGATTCAATGCCATCCCCATCAAGCTACCAATGACTTTCTTCACAGAATTGGAAAAAACTACTTTAAAGTTCATATGGAACCAAAAAAGAGCCCGCATCGCCAAGTCAATCCTAAGCCAAAAAAACAAAGCTGGAGGAATCACACTACCTGACTTCAAACTATACTACAAGGCTACAGTAACCAAAACAGCATGGTACTGGTACCAAAACAGAGATATAGATCAATGGAACAGAACAGAGCCCTCAGAAATAACACCGCATACCTACAACTATCTGATCTTTGACAAACCTGAGAAAAACAAGCAATGGGGAAAGGATTCCCTATTTAATAAATGGTGCTGGGAAAACTGGCTAGCCATATGTAGGAAGCTGAAACTGGATCCCTTCCTTACACCTTATACAAAAATCAATTCAAGATGGATTAAAGATTTAAACGTTAGACCTAAAACCATAAAAACCCTAGAAGAAAACCTAGGCATTACCATTCAGGACATAGGCATAGGCAAGGACTTCATGTCCAAAACACCAAAAGCAATGGCAACAAAAGCCAAAATTGACAAATGGGATCTAATTAAACTAAAGAGCTTCTGCACAGCAAAAGAAACCACCATCAGAGTGAACAGGCAACCTACAAAATGGGAGAAAATTTTCGCAACCTACTCATCTGACAAAGGGCTGATATCCAGAATCTACAATGAACTCAAACAAATTTACAAGAAAAAAACAAACAACCCCATCAAAAAGTGGGCGAAGGACATGAACAGACACTTCTCAAAAGAAGACATTTATGCAGCCAAAAAACACATGAAAAAATGCTCATCATCACTGGCCATCAGAGAAATGCAAATCAAAACCACTGTGAGATACCATCTCACACCATTTAGAATGGCAATCATTAAAAAGTCAGGAAACAACAGGTGCTGGAGAGGATGCGGAGAAATAGGAACACTTTTACACTGTTGGTGGGACTGTAAACTGGTTCAACTATTGTGGAAGTCAGTGTGGCGATTCCTCAGGGATCTAGAACTAGAAATACCATTTGACCCAGCCATCCCATTACTGGGTATATACCCAAATGACTATAAATCATGCTGCTATAAAGACACATGCACACGTATGTTTATTGTGGCATTATTCACAATAGCAAAGACTTGGAACCAACCCAGATGTCCAACAATGATAGACTGGATTAAGAAAATATGGCACATATACACCATGGAATACTATGCAGCCATAAAAAATGATGAGTTCATGTCCTTTGTAGGGACATGGATGAAATTGGAAATCATCATTCTTAGTAAACTATCGCAAGAACAAAAAACCAAACACCGCATATTCTCTCTCATAGGTGGGAATTGAACATTGAGCTCACATGGACACAGGAAGGGGAATATCATACTCTGGGGACTGTGGTGTGGTGGGGGGAGGGGGGAGGGATAGCATTGGGAGATATACCTAATGCTAGATGACGAGTTAGTGGGTGCAGCGCACCAGCATGGCACATGTATACATATGTAACTAACCTGCACAAGGTGCACATGTACCCTAAAACTTAAAGTATAATAAAAAAAAAAAAAAGAAAAAAAGAAAAGAAGTGAGGAAAACCAGGAAAAAAAAAAAAAAAGAAATGATAAGTGTTTGAGATGATGGATATGCAAAAAAAAAAAAAATTCAAAAAATTAGCGGGGTGTGGTGGCGGGCGCATGTAGTCCTAGCTACTCGGGAGGCTGAGGCAGGAGAATGGCGTGAACCTGGGAGGCGGAGCTTGCAGTGAACGGAGATCACGCCACTGCACTCCAGCCCGGGCGACAGAGCAAGACTCCCCCTCAAAAAAAAAATAAAATAAATAAAAAATAAAAATAAATAAATAAAACAAAAACTTGTGAGTCCTTACAGTTAAGAAATGCAAACATAAGTAAATAAATGGGATGAAAAGAACACTTCTTTATAGTAGAATGCTTATTAATAAGTGGGGAAGACAAAATGGATTTGGAACATCACCACTTTATAATCATCACAGACATAATGATTCAGATGAAAATTATTAATAAATGCAAACATTTTATGATGAACATGATACTTAGAGAGGCTCTCAATATGCGTTCATTCAAAGAGAAAAGCAGTAACTTTAAAATGAACAAACTTGGCACACCTTAAACAAATCATCAAAGTTAATGTGACTAATAATGGGACACACCAACATCCCTGATTGATGAACTGAGACAGCATAACTTTATGTAGTATTTGTGCCAAGAATGAGTAACCTGAATCTAATTGTGAGGGAACACAAGTGAGGGAATGTCTACAAACTAAGTAGGCTGTTTATGCTTTTCAAAAGTGTCTATTTCATGAAAGACAAAGAAAAATTGAAAAACTGTTCCAGTTAAGAGTCCCAGTGAGTCATTATGGTTTCTAAATGCAATATGCAACCTGAATTGGATCTTGGGGAAAAGTTGGCATGAAGAATACTATTGAAACAGTTTGTGAAATTGGAATATGGAGTCTAGATTGAGTAATATTCCTTTATCAATATTAAAATTCCTGAATGTATTAACTGCACTATGGTCATTTAATTGTTTGTAGAAAATGTACTCTGAAGAATTTATGGTTAAAAAGCGTAATGTATGCAATTGTCACTGAAAGGGTGTAGAAAAATCAATACATAAATTTATATCTTGGCTGGTCACTGCGGCTCATGCCTGTAATCCCAACTTTGGGAGGTGGAGGCAGGAAGAGCACTTGAAGTCAAGAGTTTGAGACCAGTCTGGCCGACATGGTGAAGCCCCATCTCTACCAAAAATACAAAAATTAGCAGGGCATGGTGGCACATGACTGTAATCTTACCTACTTGGGAGACTGAGGCAGGAGAATTGCTTGAACCCTGGAGGTGGAGGTTGCAGTGGGCCGAGATCATGCCACTGCACTCCAGTCTGGGCAACAGAGTGAGACTCTGTCTGAAAGAAAATAAAACAAACAAACAAACAAAAAGTACTATATGTTATATCTATGTCTATATATAATGATAGAAGGATTAAAAAAATGTGGCAAAATTTTAAAAATTGTGAATCTGAATAAGGCATATTCAAGAATTCTTTATATTATTCTTGAAACCATTCTTGAAATTTATCTGGACATTTGAAGATATCCAAATAAGTCTGAAAAATATCACAGGTGTTCAGGTGCATGGGTGTTCATGGAAACCCTATTTAATGTATATTTAAAGGACTGCAAAATTTTCTCCAAGTATTGCTTTATCTAGATTCTATGGGTTTTGATATGTTGCACTTCCATTCTATCTAAGTAATTAAAATTTAAATTTAATTTTGTTCTATTTAGAAGAATGTTAATCACTTTCTAAAGGTGAAGAGAATTTGTGGTTGTTATGGATCTAGTTTGCTTTGTTATTCTTTTCTTTTTTAAACAAACTTTTCCCTCCTCATTCTTCTTCTTTTCTACTTTGCTTTTTTATGTTGGTTTTATGTTGATTTCTAATTTACTGCATTGTGATCACTTGATGAGGTCTGTGTAATATCAATTAAAAAGTATTGAGACTTTTACATTGGACCAGGATATAGGCAATTTATGTAAATATACCATGTCTGTTAAAAGTATTATAAAAGATTGTGTATATTGAGAGACTGAATATCCAAACAGAGAATAGCTTGATCATATGTAAAAGTAGAACTCTGACCCAAAACCTGCAGGAACCCCTTATCTACAATAACCAACCAGGAAGCCACGATTGTAGGAAATCATGCTGCTATTTCAGTACCAATCCAGTAAGCCAAACAATAACTTTTTTAACCATCACTCCGAAATGGCCAGGACTTGTTTAATAACGAACTGCTTTCCTAATTTTTTATCTCCACTTCCAACTTAGGACCAGTCAGAGAAAGCCAGATATGTACCCCCTAACCAGTGACATAGCATGTGCTGCTTCTACTTAGCCAACCTACAGCTTCCCCATACTAAGCATCTCTGTTAGAGCAGAACTGAAGCTTCCCTTTTGTTCGCTATAAAGCTTTACCAATCCTCCGCCTGCCTTTCAATTTCTGCCAAAACACAAGTAACAATGACTGACTCTCTTGCTATAGCAAGCTCTGAATAAATAACATTTGGTTGCTCTTCATTTATTTCCATGATATTTTGTTTGAGTTCTTTCCGTGTCTCTGTCTCTGTCTGCCTCGCTGTCTCCATCTCTCTATAAAAACTCATGCAAACATATCAACCTAAACACGAACACGGTGAAAAAATAAATAATCTAAATGCTCAGAAATTGGAAGATAATTAAGTACGTTATGAATCATCTACATAAAGAATAATTAAATATTTACATTAAAATTATGCTGTTCAAACATGAGGTTAAATGATAGCCCTTAATATATTGGAAAATACTTTTTTTAATAAAGGACCGTATATATATTTTTAAAAATCAAGATATGAAATTTCATAGGATGGCAGTCTAAATTTTTAGAACAACAGCAATAATAAGTTGTCTACATATGGGGAAAATAAGATCACTTAATTACTGAATATAGTAACAGTGACTTTTTGAAAGTGGAAAGATTATATAGTTTTTATTTATATGTAATTAGCTGCATTTTCTAAATTCTCTACTGTAAGTATGAATTTGTTTTATAAACAGGATTTTAAAAATCAACAAATGGTCTTGGAAAACTGCTTAATGAAGTATCAGTCGCTTAATGGAAGTTGGGAAAAGAGAAAGTTTAAGTCTATATAGGACGTAACTATATATATGTATAGTGAGAGATAAATTTAGTCACAGAAATTCAAATTACCTGTTTAAATTTATTAAATATTGCTAGGGCATACTAAAAATGTATATCCAAAGGGTTAATGACCTAAGCTCAAGGAAAATCTAAGGGGTCTGTAATGAGATAAAGTCAAACAAAATGTGATCAAAGAAGATGAAATGCACTTGAACTGGCAAAAAATCGTAAAAATGTCATAAAAATCCGTTCTGTGTATTAAGCTACTCATTTTTGGTGAGTGTGGTGGGCAGGGGAAGCAGCTTTAGGGAACCATATTCAGCAACTTATACATTTTTTTTTAACCCACATCTGTTTTGTTAGCAAAACCAGCAATATAATTTTGAAAATCCCATTTGAATCCCCCTATCTCAAAGCTCAAGGCAGTGCATTCCCTATAGTGAATTTGTTGTTATTTGTTTACTCTGTTTTTAAATGACATTGCTAACAATAATCCTCCCCTGGGATCCCACTGCCTCCAGCCCCCACCAAGGACAAACCCAGGGACTATTATGATGAACATTTAAACACATGTGGAGCATGGTGTTCACAACCGTCAAGGGGCACCCTCACACCAAAATCTAGAAGTTAGGGTGTGAATCTTAACTCTTTCCAGTCCAAGTCATCGTAGCAGAGCTTGCCAGGCCTTAACTTCATACCTCCATACCTTGAAGGCAATATCTTAGCACTAAAGCTTATAACAAATTCCCTTAAAAGAAATAAACCTCATGGCACCCAATACTAGATTTTAATCACTTTAATTTATATTGTTTCAATACCTTATTCCCAATATATTTTCACTGCATAAGACTCACACTGTTTTATTTGATAAGAAATTTTTCTTAACACTTTTAATGTAAAAGTGTACTCTGTTTTTTTTATATAAAAACAATGACAATTAATTTTATTAGGTTTTTAAAAATATTTTCCTTCATTTTTGTTGTAAAACACACATAACACACAATTTGCTATCATGATCTGTTTAGGTGTACAGTTCAATGATATTAAATACATTCATAATATGTTACCATCCACCTCTGTAACTCTCCATTTTGTAAAACTGAAACTCGATACTTATTAAACAATAATTCCTCAATATCCTGCCTCTGATCCCTAGAAAATACCATTTACTTTCTGTCTTTATGATTTTGACTACACTAACTAGCTAATATAAGTGGACTCACACAGTATTTGTCTTTATGTGACTTGGCTTATTTTACTTAGCGTAATGTTCCCAAGTTTCATCCATGTTGTAGCATATGCCAGAATTTTCTTCTTTTTTTTAAAAAAAAAGGCTGAATTATACTCTATTGTATGCATATACCACATTTATTTATCTATTTACCCATCTATGAACACTTGGGTTGTTTCCACATTTTAGCTGTTTTGAATAATGTTGCCATAAATAAAGGTGCACAAATATATCGTTGATACCTTGCTTTCAATTTTGGGGGGAATATACCCACAAGTAGAAGTACTGGATCAGATGGAAATTCCATTTCCAATTTTGGGAGGTACCTGGTACGTTATTTTCCACAGTGGCTATCTATTATTTTTTAGTAGAATGTTCTGTATGTGTCTGCTAGATCTAGTTGGAATATTATAATTTTTAAGTCCTCTATTATTTTATTTATTTTCTATCTCTTTGTTTCTGTCCATTACTGAGAGTGGGCTATGGAATTTACCAACTGTTATTGTAGAACTCTCTATCTCTTCAATTCTGTCAGTTTTTGCTTTGTATATTTCAATGGTCTATTATAGGTATCTAAATGTTTATAATTGCTATATTTGCTTGCTGTGTTAAAAATTTTTATTAATATATAATTTCCTTATTTGGCTTTTTACATCTTTTTTGACTTAAAGTCTATTTTATCTAATTTTAGGATAGCCATTCTTGCTCTCTTTTGATTACTATTTGCATAGAGTGTATTTTTTTCCATCCTTTCAGTTTCAATCCATTTGTCTCTAACTTAGAGTGAGTCTCTTATAAACAGCACATATGTGCATCATGTATTTTTAATCCATTCTGCCAATTTTGACTTTTCATTGAAAAATTTAATCCATTTACATTTAAAGTAATTATTAATAAGAATGAATTTATTTCATCATTTGCAATTTGTTTTTTATATGCATTATAGCTTTCTTATCCCTTGTTTCCTGTCACACTCTCCTCTTGTGTATGTGTGTACTTAAAACAATGTTTAAATTATTTTCTCATTTTTCTTTTGTGTATACTCTGTAGCCATTTTTTGTAGTTACCATGGAGATTATATTCAGCATCCTAAAGTTATAATACTATATTTGAATTTATAAGAGCTTAAATTCAATAACATGTGAAAACTCTGCTTCTTCACAGTTTGATCCTCATTCTTTTCAGTTGTTGATGTGACACAATTACATGTTATAAACTGTATGCCCCTCAAAAGTACTAATAATTCTTTCATATGTGTTAATCTCCTTTTTCTATTTTTCCTTTTCTATTTTTAAATATTTTAATAGGCTCTTACATGATGTAAAAAAGTATATATTTTCAAATCAAAATTACAATAATATTAGTTTTCAAACTAATAATTGTGTTTTTTAAAAAATGTGTTAGTCTCCTAAGTCATCCAAAATTAAAAAGTAGAGTTACAAACCGCTGTTATAATAATACTGGCTTTCAGAATTTTTCATTTATTTACCTTTATTGGCAGATTTCTTTCTTCATACAGCTTCAAGTTTCTGTCTGGTGTCCTTTCATTTTACCCTTTAGGACTCTTGAAAATTTTGTGCAGAGCAGGTCTGGTGATACCAAATTTCTTCAACTTTTATTTATCTGGGAATACCTTAACTTCTCTCCCCACTGCTGGAGGACAGTTTTTCTGGTATGGAATCCTTGGTTAACAATTACTTTTGTTGTTGTTGTTTTGTTTTAGCACTGTGAATAATTGCCTTTAATACTCTAAATTTCTGATGAGAAATCTACTGATAATCTTTTCAGGAATCCTTGTACGTAAGAGTCACCTGTCTCTTGCTGCTTTCAAGACTCTTTCTTTGTTATTGTCTTTTTTTTTTTTTTTTTTTTTTTTTTTTGAGACAGAGTCTCGCTCTGTCACCCAGGCTGGAGTGCAGCAGCATGATCTTGGTTCATTGCAACCTCCATCTCTTGGGTTCAAACGATCCTCCTGCCTCAGCCTCTCAAGTAGCTGGGATTATGAGCATGCACCACCATCCCTGGCTAATTTTTGTATTTTTAGTAGAGAGGAGGTTTCACCATGTTGGCCAGCCTAGTCTCAAACACCTGACCTCAAGTTATCTGACCCTTTCTGCTTCCCAAAGTGTTGGGATTACAGGCCTGGGCGCCTGCGACTGGCCTGTCTTTGCATTTTGAAAGCTTGATTATAATGAGCCTCAGGGTGGGTCTCTTTGAATTCATCTTGGAATTTCTGAGCTTTTTGGATATTTGTATTTATGACTTTTATCAAATTGATAAATGTTCAGCCATTATTTTTTCAAATATTCTCTCTGCCCGTTTCTCTTTCTTCTTCTCGAACTCTCACAATGTTTACGTTGATCTGCTTGATGGTGTCCCACAAGTTTCTTAGGCTCTATTCACTTTTATTCAATCTTTTTTTTTCTTTTTCTCCTACTCAATAGTTTCCATTGTCCTGTCTTCAAGTTTGCTGATTCTTTTAGACTGCCTGCTCAAATCTTCCTTTGAATTCATCTAATAATTTTTTAATTTCAGTTATTATACTTTTCAGTTACAGAATTTTTGTTAGGTTTCCTTGTAAGTTTTCTATCTCTTTACTGATATTTCCAGTTTGTTTACACATTGTATGTTGACTTTCTCCACCTCTTCCTTTAGTTATTTGAGCATGTTTTAAAGTATTTGTCTAATAGATCTGTCTTCAGATCTCTTTTATGATCAGTTTCTATTTATCTATTTATTCCTTTGAATGGGCCATACTTTCCTTTTTCCATGTATGCCTTATTTTTTTTGTTGTTAAAGCTAGAGATTTGAATAGAATAATATGGTAAATTTGGAAATCAGATTCTCCTTAACTGGGGCTCACTTTTTTTGTATTTTTTTAAACTATTTTATTGTTATTGTTGTAGGCTATCTGTGTACCAGGGAGTAGCCTAAGGGGTAAAATTAAGATCTTCTCAGTTTTTTTCTGAGCCCACACCTTTTCCTGGGCGTGCACATCACTTTCTAATTTTCTCTACATATGCAAATGCTTTTGAATATTTTAGTCTTTAATGTGAGGCTCTAGGAGAAGAAAAAGTGAGGGGATTGAAAGCCACTAGCCCTTTAAGTTCTTAGAAGTTAGTTCAGCCAGAAAGGAAATTGTTGCAACAATGGTAAGAGGTGCTACAACAATGGATATCCATCTCTTTGTCTGTATCTCTTTAATAAGAGCAGCAATCAGCAACCAGAGCACAGATCCCCAGTATGTGGAGGACAGGGTTCTTTTTGCTTATTGTGGCTCCTGCAAGCGGCTTGCAAGCTGTTCCAAGACCACAAGCACAGCTGCTAGGGAATGGGGAATGAGTAGCTGCTACTGTGCTAAGATCTGAAATTGACTTAAATTAACTACAATTTGCAGCCCAAGACTCCCCCTGCATGTTACAAACCTTCAATACACTCCAGACTTCCAAAATAGTTACTTTAGATAGATTCTGTGAATGAGTACAGTTGTCTAGGTGGGAGACAGCTTCCTCATGCTCTGTATTCTTCCCAGAATCTTTAGAATATTTTATTTAAATTAATTTTATAATGCACAAGAAGAAAGAAAGTGGAATAAAATTATTTTGATTATTTCAATTAGATTTTCTTATGAAAATAGTACATTTGTTACATGCAGAAAATATTAAAAGATAGAAAAGAGGAAATATTTTCACATATAATTTCTCCTGAATGGAGAGACACTAAATTTTGATCTATTTTTCTGTCATTTCCTTGGTTTTAGTGTTAAAAAGTTTTAAACTAAAATAGGTATTTAAATATGTGGCACTATGTGGTTGAATGAACAATAACAACAAATCAAAAATAAAATGAAAACAAAATGAGACTTTTGTTTTAACCTGTCAGATCAAATGTTTTTATCTGTTTCTTTCTAAAACTACACAACGATAATTTTAAAAAGGTATAAACTTATGAGGAAAATAAGAACAATATGGGAAATTACTCCAGATAAGTGATGTCAGCAAAATGTGGAAAATAAAAAACAGAGTGACGAGTGGTATTTGACTCAGCAGAGGAGGAGTAAAAAGAAACTTGAGATCCTATTGAAAAAAAAAATTAAAGCAAGCATATTTGTACTTCATAAGCCTGGAGAAACTCGTACATTAAAGGGAACTAGGTAACTTCTATAGGGAGTGGAGCAGGCCAGAAGGATCTCTTCCACCACCCAGCATAGTTAAAGACAGACGTTCCCATCTTGCAAAAGGAAACACAAAGCCAGTCTCCAGAGAAACTAATTCAGAGACGCTTTGGAATTTGGACATCAGCAAAGCTGAGAATTAGTTAGTGTCATGACATCCTTGGCTACCCTAGTATCTAATAAAACATGACATCTTTAGAATTATTCTGAGTATAACATAAAATGAAGAATAAAAGAAATTGCAAACTTAATTGACCAAAAAACTGAAATGTGACTAGAAAGAAATGATTTTTCTTATTTTAGAAAAAATCTGTACCAAGATTCATAACATGAGGAAAAAGTTAATATATTTAGTTTAGCAAAGTACAGTAAAAGAGGTAAAATGTGGCTTGATTGAGATGCTAGGCTTACTTGTTATTGAATTTGAGCTCTATGATGATAACATCCATAGATCAAGGCAAAAGACATTGGAGAAACCATTTCTACTTAATAACTGTTCATATCTGGTGGTTATAGAATAGTAATTCAGGAGAAAGCATTCATCTCAAGTCAAATGTGCAGAAGAAAATATCTCCTTTACAATCTCATAAATTCAGATTTAGAAAATTAGAAGGGATCTTAGATATCACTTAGGCAAAAATTCTACTTAATTGAGAAGTCTTTTTAAAAAAATATTCCTGACAGCTTGCTATTCAAAGTATACTTGGTCATTTTAGTATCCTCTATATTAAACATCATGCCTTCTTATGTGTTTGGTGAATATATATATATATATATATAGTTATTAGACATACATTTGTGTCTTTGGAATTTCCATCACTTAATCCTAGTTTTGTACTGAGGACCTATTCAAAACAATGAAATCATTCTTGTAGTGAACAAGAGTTCACTACAATTTAGTTTTCTAACCTAAATGTTCCAAATTATTTGACTAGTTCTCATATTACAGAATTTTGAAATATTTTACTACCCTGCTTTACCTATCCTGAATTTATTTTGACTTGTTATTTTCTTTAAAAATTGTAGGGCCCCAAATATAATGAAAATTTCTAAATTCTTCTAAACAATTTAGCTAATCCTACCTTGTTTTGAACACTAGATTTTGCCTTTATTTTTACTATTTAGGATTTAATTGGCTATTTTGAAAGTTAAATTACTTTCTAGCCTCCTCAGATCTTGGAGTCACCCATAATTTCAAGACTGTAAGAAATATCTCTTGATTTAAGCTTTAAAATATGTATCCAAATTTACATTTATCCTTATTAACTATCTTGGTTCTCACCTGTGATGCATCATTCTAGCCTAAACTTTTTCTACCAAAAGTCTCTGACTAATGATTTAGCTATTCATCTGGCTTTGTAAAAAAACTAAGGACATGATATAAACTTCTATTTCTACATCTACTTTTAAAAAAAATAAATCAAATTTATATAATCTCGATGGAAGCAGGAGGGGTCTATGCCAGTCTAGATGTTGCTTACTGCTGTTTTTCCAAACTCTAGCAACATGGCAGGCACATGACACATATGTGTGCAAAGAAGAAACACAGCCCTGAGACATCTCTTTGGATTGACATTCATCCTTTAAGAAACATAGTCCAACTAACCTTGACTTTATTTAAAATGTCAACATATTTTCTTTCATTTTCTTCAGACATATTGAATTAGAAAAACTTTGCTGATCTCTAGAAGTATTGTTACTGAAACTTTTTGCATTTCCATTCTGAAAACAGTATCAGAAACAGGAACAGAAGATGAGTTTAACATGTTATTATTTGTTTTTTGGTGAAAACACATTTGGTGAAAACACTTTGTTTCCATTACCAGTTTTTCCTTTTTTGAATATGGACAAATAGATTATTTAGTAATCACCTAGACAATTCTAGTAGTTATCAAAGTCAGGTCCTTGAGCTATAATTTTCAGAATCTACCTTTCTCTCCTTTTGGACAACTGATATGAGACTTTTGCATTTCTAGCACTTCACTGTTCCATTCTCCCAATTATTTTATAATGGCTACATGACTCTGAAATTATATATGCAATATTTTCTTATTTAAAATAACCACGCTTCCTCTTTTAATTTCTCTGCCTTTATTAGACTGTAATTTTTTAAAAATCTGATTGTTTTGCCTTTTACAGTTTTAATCTGTTTTTCTGCTTTAATAATGAAGATGGAAAGATATGTATTTCTTATGGGTGAAGATTTTCAGATCATAGAATGTGTCACTAATGGAGGTTATCTAGAGTCATTTTACTTTTTAGAAGACCCGAATAAAGAGGGCTAATGCTAATTAGTTCTGTTTTTTAAATTAGGAGTTTGTCTGTGAGCAGACACATGGTTTTATGACCAATTGGTACTCTTAAAAGAGCCTATCCTCCTTACTATCAGTTCCTTTAGCTTTCTCGGTGCACAATCTAACACATTCCTCCTGAAAGCATATGTCCTTTCCAAGCTTTGGGAATTCACCGAGGCATGAGCAGCTGTGAAAAAGTCTTCAGCCTAACACCAAGATGTTTTTCCTTGACTCATCATTCTCCTTTTGGCTTCCCAGGGGATTTTCTTTCTGGGGCTCAGAAAGATTTGATAAGACAATTGTTTTTCTTGTCTTCCCTCAGACTAAAATTTCTGGATATCTTCCTTCTGACATTCTCTGTGTTGTCATGTTACCTCATTACCTGGACGAACAGCGTTTGCATTCCTGGTGCCCCAGCAGCTTGCACAGGCAGGGAAGTTTGATCTTTTTCGGATTTTGCGGTTATATTAGATGAGATGTCCCTGTAAGCTAATTACTTTGGCAACCAAGAGGGCACCAACAATTCTGTCAGGCATCCATGGGGGCACCTTAATAGTGTTTTAAACAATGTGTACAGAAGGGGTTAAAAGCTACACAGGGAGGAGCAGAGCCTGAGGGAAAAGACACTGCAGGTGTGTGGTTAACAAGGAACTAATTGGGTAACCAGGCAGGAGGAGAAGCAAGCATAAAGCTGGTCAACAGGCTTGTGTAGAATTCCAGCAGTTAGCTGGTGCTGAGCCCTTGAGGAGTTGAAATAAAGACAAGTTGAATCTGGAGTCTATTTTTTCCTGTGATCTTTGCTAGAAACTGCAAATTGGGACTTGACAGCTTTCTTCGCCTCCTGTTGCTTTGTTTCAGGTGGTATTGTTTTGAACTAGCTAAGAGCTGACATTCTGGATGTCTAGCCTGGGTGTCTTGTATCCAGACAGAAATGTACATCAACTCTTAAAGACATGTTACTCTTTCTTCTCCTCTTAATGATCTCTGAGTATTGTGAGTGTGGTAGTAGATAGTGAAATGAGTGTTGGCCTGCTGTTCAGGAGACTTGTTTCTAATTCCAATTGTACATCCAGTCGTGTCAGCTTGAGCCAGTTACCTCATCTATATGGCCTTTGCTTCTTTCCAAGCTGCAAAAAGAATGACGTTCTATGTGTTTCCCTTTTGAATGTCTTTGTGCTCTAAGTTTTTTTTTTTGTAAGATTGATTAGTTTTCTTTGTTGAAACTTGACCAAGTGTGAATAAATAGATGAGGCAATATGGAAAATACACAGAGAACAGAAGACATGTATTCTGTCTTCAATAATTTTTCCAAAAAATGAAAACAAGAGGAGTTCTAAACACTGTGATATAGATGGGTGAAAAGGCCATTCTGCAGAAGCTAGCATGAGGATGCATACTCCAGAGAGTACCTGCAGGTTTCACAAAGAATGTGTCATGTTCTGAATGTTCGTGTCCCCCCAAATTTCATATGATGAGATCCTAACCCTCGAAGTGATGGTATTAGGAGGCAGGGAATTTGGGAGTTTATTAGGTCATGAGGGTGGAGCTCTCAGGAATTGGACAGTAGCCTTACAAAAGATACTCAAAAGAGACCTCACTAACCCCTTTCACTGTGTGAGAACACAGCAAGAAGACATTGTTTATTAAGTCAGAAAGCAGGCCTTCACCAGACATTGAATCTGTCTTGATCTTGGACTTCCCAGCCATAAGAACTATGAAAAATAAATTTATAAGCTATCCAATTTATAGTATTTTGTTATAGAAGCCTGAACAGACTAAAATAGGACAGGTCTTGGAATAAGCCTTCTTGAAGAAGCTGTCTTTGATGGGATACCCCAGGTAGTTCTCTAAGCTGGAGGAAACATTGAAATTATGGCTCAAGATTGATAATAAACCTATTGAGGGGAGCATGCAAGAAAGAGATCGATCAGACTGAAGTGGAGACCTGTTAATGAGGAGCAATAAAAATTGCTTTCTTAGGTAGAGAGAAATTATTGATAGCCCAAAAAGACAGGCAGGCAAGTCTTAGGGAAGAGACAGAAAACATGTTAAACTTGAGAATATTTTGAAAAACAGTATTTACAAAAATTATTCTGGCTGTTGAGTAACATATAAGATTAACTCAATTTTAATTATCATTTTTCTTTAAATGATAATAAAGCATATAATAAAAAAAATCTTTGCTGCAAACAAAGTAAGTTCCTAGAAGTTTCCAAAGGAAAGTGTCTGTTCACTAATATCCTTAAGCTTCTCGCTTTAGTTCATGTTATAAAGGTATACTTTCTCTGAGCTAAAATAAGTTGGCACCAAAGAAATATAAATCAACAATTTGGCAGTCATTGAATGAAAGACATCGTCTGATCATTTTTTAGCATAGATGCCAAAGGAGCTAATGTAGAGAGTCCATATGGTATATCATGTTCACAGGACTCAAAGTTGTGCACCAAACTTCCTGAAGACATAATATATTTGTTTACATGGTCAGTTCACAAATATGGGCATGCAATTTCCATTGAATCCAACACTCCCTATTGTCCTACACCTATTCCACTGGACTCCTTTATGGTTTGTGAGGTCACTCCCAGATATAACTGCAGATTAGGCTTGGCACTAACACTGAGTGAGCTGAGTCTTTGCAACCCATTTAAGCTCTCTAGCCTCTATATTCACATTTGCAAAATGAGAATGTTTGATGAAAGTAACTCTATTTCCTCTTCTAACTATGAAGTTCTGCAATACTTAATAAGAGATAATATTTTTATAACATGATGGTGTGATATGACAGTTTGGAAAGAGGGGGGAAGGTAACTTTTAAAGACCAGATTAATGAAATGCAAATTGCACCCATATAACTTTTATTTTAAAGAAATTGCCTCATTTGTGCTGATTTTTCTGAACAACCAAATCACAATTCTTAGAGAAATTTGCAAAATCAGAATCCTAATACCTGACATGCCTTTCTCCACCCACCTCCATTCAAGTTTCAACTTAGAGGAAAGAAAGAACATTTTTAAAGGAGCTTAGAATTAGACTCAAACAGCGAATTCTATAGTTCAAAGACATTTTACACATTTTTAACAATAGCTGCACTAACACTTTAGCAATTCATTGAAATCAGTGATTCCCTTAGATTAGCTACAGGAAAGTTCAACTTCTGAATAAAACTTGCTGGTTGAAATTTTATATAAAAATAGAGATATTCCATGAGATTTATAATATAGGATTACCAATTTCCAATTTCTGTTTCTCAATGGACAGTGTCATCAAGCAAAACTGACATTTATTTAAGTTGAGCACACATTCAATCTTATTTCTACAACACATCCTTTATTAATTACTTTCTTGTCTTTGATATGAGTTGAAGCTATGACATATAGCTTCCACACACCACCAAAGACCAATTTTCCTCCTCTTTTACTCTTGTCTAGCCAAATCCTTCAAGTTGGTTATTTATTTCTTTATATTGAATCTTTAAAGAGTGCTTGAATAACAAGCATTACATTTTCTTATTCAAAATCCTCTTTCATGCTATTTTCATTGTTTCTGTGAGTGAATGTTTGTATGTGTGTTCATGGCTGGATAACAAGTACAAAAATAAATGACTGACAATCATATTATGAGTGGCTTCTACAGTGATATAGGGATAGATTAAATTACATACCCAGTTTCCTCCATGTCTCTCACATGATGCCCTGAAGTCTTAATAATAATTGCTAATGACAGTGAATTTGTGGTTTTATTATTGAAAAACCTGTTTCTACATTTATAAAAATACTCGATGCTCTAAACATATCTACTTACCCCTTTGTCCAGGCCTTCCCTACTTCATGAACATACTCATGATAAATGCAAGCAATCAGTGTCTCCTTTGGTTTTCCTACTATTCAAAAGAAGCTTCAAAATATGATGTCATCTAACATGTTTCACCAATAATTATAAAATATGAATTTATATGATAAATAGGTTCCTGGAAGCCCATAGACATTAATTTTATTTATTCAGTCCATGTTTATTGAACACTTTTCACGTATCAAGCTTTCTGTATGGATCAGAAGACAGTGGTCTACAAGACAATATGATCTTTGCCATTTCAGCTCTAACATTATGGGAAAGATGTCATACAATGAATAAGTAAGTATAAATAAAGAAGTTATTTGTGAGAACTACTATAAAGAAAAAAAACAGAGCTCTGTGGTAGGAAGTAAAGAAATAATGTTTCAGTAGCTTGAGCTATGTTAGGCTGTGCAGTGAGCTAAGGAAGACCTCTTTGAGTAGGGGACATCGAAGCGAAGTCTTGAAATTGTAAAACACCTAGTCATGCAAAGGTTTAGGGCAGAGCCTAGAGTACAGCAGAGGTAGAAATGCAGAAGCAGGAAAGAGCTTGGTGGCTTTGAGCAGGGGCTAGAGTGATTGATTTCCAGGAGGGATTAGAGCAGAGTTTGCAAGGTGGGAAGTGATAAGAGCAAAGATTGCAGAGGCTGGATGTTGCCATATCATGAAAAGTCATATAAGTCACATTTAGGAGTTTGTGCTTAATCTAAGTGAAGCTGAAGATTTTTAATATTAGACTATAAGGTCGATCATCTACTTTCTCTCCTGGCTGTAGGGAATAGATTGAAGAGCAGCAAAAGCAAAAACAGGAAGTCCAGTTAGAAAGCAGTCCTGGGCATCGTTACCTGGACAAAACTGATTGCTCTAGAAATGGAGATAAACGGTCAGATTGGAAATATATATAGTTTGGAGGCAGAAAAATTAGAGCTTTCAGTTATATTTTCTATAGAAAGGAATCAAGGAAAAATCTTACTTTTCAGATCTGAACAACTTCATGTTTCATAGCATCATTTAGTATGAGAAGACACAGGGACAAACAAATCTGTGTGTTTACATATGTGGGCTCATGTGTGTATCAATAATTCTAGTTTTAAAATGTCTATGAAATATCCTTCAAGTAAACATGTCCATTAAGAAACTGGATACAGTAGAGTTGTCTCAAATTACATGAGGAGCATGAGGAGTTATTGCCTAAATAGTTAACTTTGAAAGTCTATAGGATACAGACCTTTCTCAGCATGCAGAAGGAACAGGGTCTATCTCTTGGAGAAGTATTTTAGATAGCCAGAGAAATAGAACCTAGGACAAATAGTCAACACATGAGGACATGGCTAGACATACAAGGAATCAGAAAATTTTTCAAGTGTTCTCAGGAAGCTTTTAAAGGATGATTAAATTAAAGGCCAATAAAAAGCAATCAAAAAGATAAACCAATAAAAAAAGGCATATGTACACTTAAATGCCTTAATAGGCACATTTGAAAAGCAATAGAAACCACTAAAATTGATTTTTTAAATATATTTTATTGGCTAGGCGCTGTGGCTCATGCCTGTAATCCCAACACTCTGGGAGGCCGAGGCGGGCAAGATCACGTGGTCAAAAGATTGAGACCATCCTGGCCAACAAGGTGAAACCCCGTCTCTATTAAAATACAAAAATTAGCTGGGCATGGTGGCACTTGCCTATAGTCCCAGCTACTCAGGTGGCTGAGGCAGGAGAATCGTTTGAACCCAGGAGGCAGAGATTGCAGTGAGCTGAGATCGTGCCATTGCACTGCAGCCTGGTGACAGAGCAAGACTCCTTCTAAAAAAAAATAGATGATAGATAGATAGATAGATAGATAGATAGATAGATAGATAGATAAATAGATAGATAGAGATAGAGATATATTTGACCAAATATATTCAAAATGTTATCATTTAAAAATGTGTCAAAATAAAAAAATTATTAATCAGATATTTTACTTTATTTGTCACTAAGTCTTTGATTCGTCGTGTATTTTACAGTTCAGTTTATGTCAGTTCGAACTAGCCACATTTCAAGTTCTAAATAGCCCCATGTATTTTGGGGCCACCATGTTGGACATCATGGGGCTGGAAAATTTTGTATGAATAATCTGGTAGAGAGAAACACAGGATAAAGAAAAGATTTCTTCTGAAAATCTGTTATTTTTCAGAGGAGTAAAAATGTTTGTGAGATTTAGATCTAGGACATAAAGTGAGAGTGGTATTTGGAGGAGTGGCACTTCCTTGAATATAACAGCAGAGAGAGAGAGAGAGAGAAGGATGCAGATAAGAGTAGAATAGATTTGTCCACGAGACCATATGACTGTAATTTAGGAAAAAATCATATTTTCTTCCTGAAATATGAGGGAAGGCCATTAACTGAGTGGAATGAGAACGTGGCGTTCTATCTGAAGAGAGCTTTCTAGGACTTCAGGAAGCAGTGCCTAATACATATTATTCAGTCACGATTTGACTTAACTCTGCCAGAGTTCTTTTGGGTAGTCCTTACCTCAGATGTGGAGTGGGCATCTAAGTGAGCATTTAATCCTCTCTCTCTCCTTTTTTCTTCTCCTTCTTCTGGTAAACATTCTTGTTATTCCATGTTCTTCGACTTCAACAACTGGCTTTTCACAATCCAAGGGAATGTTGCTTACATCTGAATTGAACAAAGTTTTTCAATGTGAGGACTCTACGTATATGTGTGCGTATTTCAACAAATACTGCATTGTGTACTTTGGAATTGTGCTAGCTGTGTTCCTACTGGATCATGTTATAGGCATGAATATCACTAATGAACAATTGGTGGTACTGCAGAATTTATGTTTCCCTTTTCAGCCTCGGTTTCTGCTTTCCCAGCTCCACCTCCATACATTTAAACTCTCAAAGTAGAGAAAAAATGAAGCCAGAAAAACGAAACCCAGAGATCCCCGGAAGGTCATATGGAGCAAGAACAGGATAGATGGCTGCCCTGTTGTGTTGAGAAAATAAGAAGACAGGAGTTGAGAAGTCAGATTGTATAAAAGTTACTGCTTTGTGCTGTGGCAAGGAGGAGGAGGAGGAGAAGAGCGATGTCACTGTGCACACTGCAATAGAACTGTTCAGTTTCCAAGAATGTCAAGGCTTTTAAATACAGGTCACTCCAAATCAATCCGCATTGCACTCCCCCAAAATAAAGAAAACAGTAAAACAGCTCTTGATGTAATTTATTCTTTCAGACCTGTGGCAGAGAGAGTTTTCTAAACCTTTAAGCTGTGAGTAGTTTTCTTTCTTTCTTTTTTTTAAAACTATATATCCCACTCACTTATCCCACACTTTCTATTTTTAGTTTTCTCTTCTGATGAAACCTTGCAGATCATAAAGTTAACATTCTCTGAGCAAGATTAGACTGCATGATTCCCAAGATTTGATTTCTATTCAGCATTCTCTTTATTTTTTTTCCTCTGGATTTCAGTATTACCTCCTCATTCTGTAAATATTGCACAAACTTCTGCTGTAATTTCTAATGTGCATGAAATCTTAGATAGGGAAGATACTGCAGGATTCCTTGTTGCAAGTGTTTTGAATAGGGGAGGAGAAGAGGAAAAGAAAAAAGTATGGTCCAAAGTTGACATTAAACATTTTAAAATTATGTTGCTTTATGCTTTTTCTCTCTATTCCGGACCCTTTTAAAATCTGTTCTTTTACAGGTTAGGACTTGTTCCTGAGAATAAGCCATTACTCAAATTCACCTTGTTTTTCTCCGTGGTTAATGAAACAGCTTACCATTGAGGCACTATTTAATTTCTACTTCTCTATAGGCCTTCCAGAATATTCCAAAACTTTTTTCTCTTTCTGAACTCTCATTTTTCTAGGAATGATGTAACAGGGCAGAGGGAACCTACAAGTAAGAATCTAGTTACATTATTCAGACAAATCTTACTTCGAATCCTGACTCTACTTCTCAGAATTATGCCACAAAAATAAGTAATATATCAGATTCCTATCTATAAAATGAATAACTCCTCAAACTAATGTTATAAAGAGTAAGTCAGATACTGTTGGCAAAACTATTTGCATACTGCCTCAATTTTAACCAATGCAATTCATCTGAGTCCAATTGGGCTGCTATAATAAAAATATAGAATAGGTGGTTTAAACAACAAACATTTATTTCTCACAGTTCTGAAAGCTGGGGAGGCCGGAATCAAGGCGCTGGCTGATTCAGTGTCTGGTGAGGGCCTGGTTCCTGGTTCATAAGTGATTCTCTCATTATGTTTGCACATGGCAAAAAGAGTGAGAAAGCTCTCAGGAGTCTCCTTTTAAAGCAATCAATTCCATTTATAAGGGTAGAATCTAATCACCTCCCCAAAATCCTCGTCTCCTAATATCATCATATTGGGGGTTAGGATCTCAACATATGAATTTAGTAAGAACATATACATTCAGTCCACAGCAAAAGTAAATAGTTATCACCCCCATTAGTTATGGTAAATAGGACAACAGGAATAAATGGAAGAGAATATCACTGTGCATATTTTTAATGAAGGATCTTGAGGATCACAATATTAGAAAACAAGACCAAAGGTAGCAGCAGAACTAAAACTAGAATTGATACCTTCAAACCTTTTGTTTGCAGGTGATCACATAGGCAGTTAATCACCAATTTGAGAAGCAGTGTCACACAATGGATGAATCACATTTGAAGTCTGAAATTTATGCATCTTAATTCTATACAAAAATGTCTACATGATGTAACCACATATAGTCATGCATCACCTAACAAGGATAAATTCTGAGAAATGCATTAAGAAATTTCGCTGTTGTGCAAACATCCTAGAGTGTACTTACACAAACCTAGATGGTATAACCTACCACATATCCAGGCTGTATGATATAGCTATTGCTCCTAGGCTACAAGCCTATACAGCATGTTACTATAATGAATATTGTAGGCAATTATAACACAATTATAAGTATCTGTACATGTACACATACCCCAACATAGGCAACATATAGCGGAAATACAGTATCAAGCTTTTTTTGTTTGTTTTTTGGCACACCTGTACAGGGAACTTACCATGAATGGAGCTTGCAGGTTTGGAAGCTGGCCTGGGTGAATCAGTCAGTGAGTGGTGAGTAAATGTGATGGTCTAGGACATAACTGGACACTACCATAGGCTTTATAAGCCCTGTACATTTAGGCTACACTAAATTTAGTTAAGAATATTTTTATTATTTCAATACTATATTAACGTAAGCTTACCGTTACTTTTTAATCAATGTTTATTTTTTAACTTTTTTACTGTTTGCTAATAACACTTAGCTTGAAATACAAACACATTGTACAACTATACAAAAAAATTATATTCTGAATGTATAAGCTTTTTCTTTTTTAAAATTTTTTTCTTTTTTCTTAAACTTTTTTTTTTTGTTAAAATCTAAGACAAGAATACACACATTAGCCTAGGTTTATACAGGGTCAGAATCGTCAATATTACTTTCTTCCACCACCACATCGTGTCCCACTGACAAGTCTTCAAGGGCAATAACAGAACTGGGGCTGTCATCTCCTATGACAACAATGCTTTCTTCTGGAGTATCTCCTGAAGGGCATATATATATATATATATATATATATATATATATATATATATATATATATATATATATATATATATATGGTGAGAGAGAGAGAGAGAGAGAGAGAAAGAGAGAGAGAGTACACTCTAAAATAATGATAAAAGAATAGTATAGCAAACACATAAACCAGTAACATAGTCGTTTATTGCCAGTATATAATTGTATGTGCTAGACTTTTATACAACTGGCAGCACGGTAGGTTTGTTTATACCAGCATCATCACAAACAAGTGAGTAATGCATTGTGCTATGACATTTTCAGCACCATATGCCATCTGTGATGGACCAAAACGCTGTTACACAAATATGGCGGTATACTTTGCGTAACATCTCTAGCCTATTTATTACTAACCTGTATCTCATAGGATTTATTTGGGTTTTATACAACATATTCCATATAAAACAATCATGGGCACATAGAAAGGGCCAATCACAGGTAAGGAGAGAGAGGGAGGCAACCCTTCAAATGCAAAGCTTCAGAGAAGGCTGGGGGCGAATATGAAGTAAACTGGGAGTGGAGGTGATTTGAATATCTAAGTAACTTTCTGCCTGGTGTGTGCTTTGGAATACGTGGCCAGTATTGGAAGTCCAATATTGGTTTAGGCTGAGGAGCAACATGTATGGGATAGCATAAGGATGAAATTGTGAAGAATTTCAGACAACAACAGCAGGAAGTTTTTATATGCTAAAATTTCAGTTTTATTCTTCCTTTCTTTCAATGTGTTTACACTTATGTTTAGAAAATGACATAGTTTTTAAGGTTACAACTGTGCCAAAATTTAAAATAGAATCTGTTAAAAATAGCTACTAAAAGTTAGGTTGCTTTCAATTCTGGAGCAAAGCAGTAGACATCCACTATTTTTTGTGTGTTTGTATATGTGTGGGTGTTGCAGGTATGTCTGGAACAATTCCATGTTTTTATCTGCCAACTATATGTTATAGTGTTTGTCTTAAAAAAGTCTTGAACTAAATGGTGTTATTTTTCTGTTTTTCACCAAGTTGAGCATTGTTTTTTACTTTTTATTGACATGTTATGCACTAGAATTGAGGGTTTTGATTTTTAACCACTTAAAGCTCCATTTTCTTTCTTTTTATTTTCTGTTTTTTCAGAAGTGCTTTTCTATTTTCATAAACCAAACACAGTTGACTGATAATTTCTCCCTGAAAGACATTGGAAGATGGCTTCCAAAATTAATGGTGTAAGACAAGTTTACAAACTGTCAGGCTTTGAAGTGAAAATTAGTGTGTCATTCTTTCTGAAAAGAGCAGAGCACAGAACTGACTGCTACGTTATAAGAATCTCTCAAGGCAAAAATACATTGTTTAGATGAGAGGACAAAAGTTAAACAAATGTTTTATTCTCCATCTCACTTCCCAAATTCCATCACCCTACCTATGCTCACACACACCCACACACAATTGGAAGAACAAATTATTTATTATTCTAGGAAATCAATACCCATGGGAATTATATGATGGTAAATCTTGGCATTCCACTTAAAAAAAATGTTGTATTGACACGTATAACTGAAGAGGGCCACATGGAAGAAATCTGGAGACAATGTGATTATTTTCTAACTTTCTAAAGTTAAAAAAGTCTCTGTTATTCAAAATTTGATGGTCCTGTTGAGAAAGAAGCTTCAGAAAAATAAGCTAACATTTTCAAATAGAGTCAAATATTGGCTTTATATTCAGGCCAAAATTCTAGTATCACTCAAAACTCTGTTTCAGCCACTATCTTACAGCCTTAAAATATTAGAGCCGTAGATTCCTCAAAAACTGTAACAAAAAACCTCTTCATTGTTTAAGTTGATAGAGGGCTTGGGATACACATTGTTGAAATTAGGCAGATTTGGTTGCATTCCAGACTTGCCTTTTCTTTTTAATGAAACTGTGAACAATTTACTTAATTTCCTTGAGTCTCAGTTTTGTATGACTATAATTGTAAAAAAAAGAAAAAAGGACACAATTCACAGGTCTTCTGAAAGGATTAAATTATACAATAGATTTAGAGCATGTGGCACATAGCTGAGATCTGTAGCAGGAAATGTGCCCATGCTGAAATGAGGAAATAAAAATTTTGATAATGGGAGCAGAACCTACTCTTGGGAGGAGGGATGTGGAGGTCTGCTTTTCTGAAGCAGATTTCATACTGGAGCATGTCTTTATGGGAATGCGCCATGTATTTCCTAGAGACAACTGGGCATGAAAAATTTCAGAGAACACATACTATACTATGCTATGTTATACTATACAACTATGTAGTTGAAGATCTGCCCATGTATTCCCTAAAATATATGTTATTGCAAAATTCATATTACCCCCCAAAAATTCTGAGTCCAATTCTCCTTCTCCAACTCTTATTTGCCAACTGTCCTTCTCTTACCAGAGAATGATCTTAGAGTGATCTTCCCCATGGTGCATTGACTTTCTTTTTTCTTTTTTTTTTTTTTTGAGACAGAGTCTCACTCTGTCACCCAGACTGGAGTGCAGTGGCATGATCTCGGCTTACTGCAACTTCCCCTCCCATGTTCAAGTGATTCTCCTGCCTCAGCCCCCATGTAGCTGGCATTACAAGCGTACACCATCACACCCAGCTAATTTTTGTATTTTTAGTAGAGACGGGATTTCACAACGTTGGCCAAGCTGGTCTCGAACTCCTGACCTCAGGTGATCCACTTGCCTTGGCCTCCTAAAGTGCTGGGATTACAGTATTGGCCACCATGCCCAGCCAACTTTATTTTCTATCCATCTAAATATCTACCTATCTATCTATCTCTATCATATGTCATCTATCTGTTAACAAATCTATCTCAATTAAAATTCAGAATGAGATATTGTGAGATTGAGATATGTATGAGTATATTTATTTCAATTGATAAAGTTAAATTCTTTCAACAAAAAGATGACATAGTATAAAAATGATAAATTATTAAGGAATTTCCTGTCATCTACTGTTTTAATAATGATGGTCACTTTCAAATCATAGTATTTAGCTTCCATTGTATACACTTAATAGAATAATTTAACAATTTTATATTTAAATGTCAACATTTATAATGTATTTATTTTGTATCCTTGTGTCATAAGTTTATGATAAAAACTTTTAGATGTCAAGTTAAAAATATGTTAGAGGGTAAATAGTTTTTCAAAAGTCTTTTTGTGGTACATGAACAAAGACGTTCATGGACACCTGCCATAATTGTTTACTAGAATTCTAAAAGAGCACACAAAACTCTTAGAAAACATCCTTTCTGCTTTACTCCATAGAACTAAACATTTATACGTGTGTTTAACATCAACACATGTTTTCTTTAAAAATGTTGCCTAAGTTAAATACACAATGAAATTATTATAGTGCAATTACACCCTGGGAAGTTATTAGGAACTGCATGTTAAGATAAATTTCTATTTTCTCTATAATTGCCCTGGTCAGAGACCTGTACCTGGAAATTAATGTAAGAAAGTGCATTCTATTGTATGCCAAAGAGGAGCTCCATAGAAGTCTTTAGGAAAAGAAAGTCTACAGGTTTGATTGTCTTGATAGACACTCTATTTTTGGTAAGCCATAAATATAGTGTCTTTTGGTATTCATTGTCATTAAATTCTTTCAAAATATGTTGAAACCCTTTAGGATTCCCAGTTGTGTGTTGGACTTGTTCTTCACAAACCCATTGTCACTCAACACAGCATTAGAGAAGCTGCCTATAGCTTCTAAAAGATGTCTAGCACAGAATGCCCTGTCTAACTTCTCTGCCTTAATTGAGTAATTCCCTCTTTTGTGTTCAAACCATCAATCATTCTAAAACTTTTGTCAGAGCCCAACTGTTCTTATAAGACTGCTTCATTCATGTCATTATCTGAAATTCTATCATACTTCTTCATAGAACTGTACTGTTTGCCACTTCATTGCATCATACTTTTATAAAAGGTTATACTTGAGCCTTCCCCTAAAGAAGAGACTGCATAAATAAGAGACTATTTCAGGTATTTTGGAATGTTTTCTATCTTTCATGATATTTAAGGCACTAGACATTTCACAAATTCTTCATAGTGGGCTGCTTGATGCTATTTGCCATATTTCTTCTCTGAAACCTAGTCCTAAGACATTATAACATTTCCCCTTTACTTGGTACCAAAAACTTATTAAAAACAAATTATTTCAAATAAAATTACTATAGATAATAATTCATGTCTACTGTTCATTAATAGCCTGGTTTTCAGAAAGCTACTTTCAGTCTAAATAATGTAATTATAATTGCTTCAAACTGAAAGTGGTGTGGCACAAAACCAAGTCTAACGCCCTCATTTTTTAGCTGAATTAAAGGCCTTTTTGATTCAAATTTCCAACCACATAGCAAGTTAGTTAAATCTAGATTTAAGACTAGAACTCAGGCTCCTGATTTCTGATCAAGTGTTCTTGGTTTAATAACATAATGCCTTTCAGACCGTAACCCAGAGCTGCTTTTTTGATGAACATGCTCTTAAACATATACACTTTGCAATCACTCACTGGTTCCCTGCTTCCTTTCACTTCTCTGTGAGTAATAAAAAGTAGGCTATTGACTGGAGTTTGAAAACATCAATGCATCACAATGTTATTAATATAACACATACAGAACAAGTTTACAGTCACAACTTGGGAGAGTTGTGGTGGGTTTCTCCTTACTCTCTTTCCACTTTCCTTTCGCTGATGAAAGATCTTTAGTAACAAACTGAGACACTATCCCTTTATGTAAGATCTTTACTTTGAAAGATATAACCATCTTTCTTAAAGAAAACACTGTATTTTAGACCAAGAGAGCATCAATCAAAACAAAGTGACAAATTCCATATTGTAATGGTTATGGCAGTACAATTATTTAATAGTTGAAATAATTGGCCAAGTATACTGGCTCACGCCTGTAATTCCAACACTTTGGGAGGCCTAGGTGGGTAGGTCAAGAGGTCAGGAGTTCGAGACCAGCCTGGCCAACATGGTGAAACCCTATCTCTACTAAAAATACAAAAATTAGCTGGGTATGGTGGCAGGTACCTGTAGTCTCAGCTACTTGGGAGGCTGAGACAGGAGAATCCCTTGAACCCTGGAGGCAGAGGTTGCAGTGAGCCAAGATTGAGCCATTGAACTCCAGACTGGGTGACAAGAGTGAAACTCTGCCTCAAAATAAAAGAAAAAAGAATAGAAAAAGAAATAATCAGAGTGTTTTTTATTACTGATAATAATATACAGAGTTACAAAAGAAGAATTATGACATTCAAAGGAATTCTAATGTAAAAAGATTGAAAAAAAGTTGTGATTCAATGAAAGTGTAAAATTCTAGACTAATTTTAACCAAGAACTTGGAGTGGCCAGGCATACCCTTAGCAATCAAGTATAGCGGCATAGTGCAAGAAATGAAGGGAATTCAGTATACAGTACCAACCGCAAGATATTAAGTAGGGGTAGATTAGACTAAGTAGGTGGCAGGGCTTTGGCTCTTACGGAATCTGGAGTAATTCTGCTGGATGCATGCTAGTTTCTAAAGATGACTTTTACTGCCCTTTTTAAAGTCGAGGCCAAGTTGTCTTTTCCTCACGTCTCTTCCCAGAAGCCTCAGGTAAACTTAGGGAGGGATGCAACAGTTCTAATCTGGGTTCTGGTCAGAATCGACTAGAGAAAATTAGAGGAGTGAATATGCCCTCTGAATATATTTTCCCGAATGCCTTCTTTAACAAACTTTAGGTGCTATGTTAGCACAATATTTGTTTGAATATGAAAATAATTTAGAAGAATCAAGTAAAGCAAGAATGTGAGACATGCTAGAAAGGTCATCAAAATGTGGCACCCTTTTATCATCTTCTTGCTTCCCATCAACTGATGACACAGGCTTCACACTCAGATTTGCTCTCCTCCACCTTCTTTTTATGAATGTTGGACCTTAGCAAAGTTTCTAATGTAAAAGGAAAGCTAAATCATCTTCCAAGTCAATGATTCCAATAGGAGTTTTTTTTAATAACTTGTTCATGTTCTCACCTGCCCAGAAATGTAACATTCCCTAGAGAAAGTGGAAAGACTGTTTTATTAGCTGTTTACAAGTCTTATTAGAGCAATTTAATGAAAATTCTATAAAAAACAAAAACATAAGGGGCAGAAAATATGGAAATGTTTACCCAAACTCAGATTTGAACAAATAAACAGAATAGCTTTAGTGTAATAATAAGAAAGAATTTTTCCTATAGCAGTGGCCAACCCAGTGGCATAATGGCACAGAAAAATAAAACACACTTTGGTGGCCTTTCTTAAAGGCAACTTCTCACTTATTTTATTTTTTTAACCTTTTCTCAAGGGTCTTTCACTCAATGCTCATATTTAGTGTCAAGAATTTTGACCATAAAAAAGGCTCAGAGAACACAGAGCTTCATTTGGGGGTATATTATTTTTTCTTTTGAGAAAATTGAGATTTATTTTAAAAAATAGGAAAAAAAGAAGTCCAAACCAAGGTACAAAGGCAAAGGTTTACAAAGAAAATACGCATTTTATACACTGGGAACCAATTTAATAAACAACCTCTCCCTGCTAGCTTGTGATTAAACTAAATTGCCAGCCTAAAATTTTCTGTGCAGAATTTCAAATGTCAACACATTATATTGCGATTCCTCTTAATTTCTCACAAAGAAAATGCAAAATGAATTCATTATGCTGGAGTAAGTGGAAAAAATGATGAGTTTCTCCAGAAGAGTATGCAATGGGGAGAGATTGGGCAAGACGATTATATTGAGATATTTGAATAGCTGGCCATTAGCAAGAGCATCCCCATTACTCTGCTGATAATTATATCTCTTCTGCTATGACTTCCCAGTAGAATAGTAGAATGTTCCCAGTGCTGGAGATAATGAAAAATACCATTCAGGTGGTACATATATGCCAGGAATAGAATGCAGTATTTCTTTCCTTTCTGGTTTTTGCTCTGCCTTAGCCCCATCAAATCCAATTCCCTGTATCTTGTCACTCTAAGGGCACACAGCTACACAATATATGTTAATATGTGTTTGGTTGTTCTTTGTTGTGTACAGGAAAAATAAATGGATCTTGAAAATGGAGATGGCAATGGAATATCATTCTTCCAACATAATTATCTCCTGTGTTTAGAAAGCCTGGTGTTTTGCTGAGTACATTTCTGTTAGCTATTATGTAAATGACTTTCAAAACCCGCTATAGTTCAGAGTGAAGGCTATGGATGGGATCTTATAAGGATAAAACTCTTTTTTTTCTCTGTAAGAAAGGAAAAGTGGTTGCATATTCTTTTAATTAATCCATCACTTTACAGACACTTTTCATTTTAGCAATCAAGTGCAATTATACAAACAAAAAGGGATAAAAAAATGAGATCAAACAATAACACCCATTCATCTCCAATAACAATTTCCCTCCCTCTCTCCTCTTTACTTTTTTTTCTCTGTTTTTCTCATTTGAACATTTCATACAATCTCTCATGTGTTATTGCCACCTTATCATCGTGTGGCATTTTTATTGCTCTTTATTTTCGGTTTGGGGAAATCTTGCTGGGTACTGTATGTCTTCACAAATTCATTAATTTTACAGAAAACTCAATTTGCATCCCCCCCCTTTGCTCTATCACTGCTATTTTTAATTCTGGATCCTTTCTTGAGAGTTTCATTTTAAAATTATATACATATGAGAAGAAAAGTTCCATCCAAACAGCTTACATTTGCATCCTGTAGAGGGCAGTGAAACGTTACATTGGTTTTACCCTCCATAAGGGTTGAATTGAGAACTGCTCGTTTTTCCATATTTTGGCACTCACTGGAGAACAGGACAAAAGAGCAGCTAAATTACCCGAGGGTACCTTTTTTTCTATTGAGATTGTATTTGCATTTAGAGTCAGAGAGGTGTACTTTATTATGTGAGTGCTTTCTAGTTAAAATATTTACCTGGAAATTTATTCAGAATGCAAAAGGTTGCAATGTGTATTGACAAGTGGCTATGACTCAAACCACAGGAAATGAAATATGTGTATTCATGGGGTCAGCTTTAGGATTCATACTCAATATTCAGTTAATATCTAATTGTAGTCAAAAAGACTGGTTTATATAGTCCATGATTAATGATAATTTCATTGTAAAATGAACCACTTTTAGTCTGGAAAATTTAATTCATAAATTGTACCTTGAAAAAGGCAATCACAGGAAAAAAATCACATTCACTTAAAATTTGCATGTTTTATCATCATATAATCATTAGTTTGTAACTAAGTGTAATGGTGAACATTATCTTTTAAAACTTATTAAATTATTTTTACATATTTTAGAAAATGCCTAATTTCCCCCCAAATTTAAGATATGTTAGCTTATTGATATCTAAATGAATCACATTTAAATTTAATGTAAGCCAAAATACATGGGTGTGTGTAATATATGTAGTATGTGTACTATTGGTTGATTGTAATGGCATATAGCCAATATATTACACATTCTAGGTATCCTAATTTTCATAACAGTCTTATTAATTCTGTAATAGACCTATAGAATATTTTGTACTCAATATGCAATGAAAATATGTCATGAAATATTTCAATACTTTCACCATACTGTATGATCAAATCAGTGTTATTTGTGATTGATTAAAACCTGTATACCACACCCTAATATTTATTTGGACACAACCCCTAACTTTTAATAAGGATATCTGTAACAAGACACTGTTATTTAGCATTACCCTGAGTGAATTCCCTTTGTTTCCTCCTGTTTTAATCTTCCTTTCTCTCTCCCAATGACTTTCCATTACATTTCCAAACTATTTTCTTTTTTCTTTGAGATGGCAAAACCTATATGATCAAGGTCTCTACTGCTGGTGCCTAAATACTTCCAAGTTTCCTTGTCATGTGTATGTTTTTCTTTTTTCTCTTTCTTGTTTATCTTTCATCTCTTTTTCTTTGACTATTCACATTCATTTCTTTCCAGATTCTTACCAGCTAATCCTCCTCTTGCTTTTCCAAAATTAAATTTACTAAGTTCAACTGGTCCTGGCCAGGGTAAATTTGCTCACAGTCAGAGGGGTACTATATCCCCCTTAAGAGCAAGTCCTGTCTGGGAGGTTGTCTTTCCTATTCTAATCTCTGTTTTGTGTAAAACCTTTCTAATTTTATTAGTTTAGGATAATCTAATATTGGCTTTTCTAATCATTTGTCTACTTTTTAACAAATAATTTCTTTTTCCAAGTTTTTGAGTCAAAATTGTATGTCAACTTAAAATTAGTAATACTGTTACTCTTAGCCTACTGTTGATTTCCATTGTAACTGTGCTAGCTTAGATTCACATTCTGCTATGAAGGTTTATACCCAAGGGTGCCCTTTGCCTCCAAATTTTTCCTATGATATGGGAGCCCATTCAGCCTGTAAGGGCAAGGGTACCTCTTCCAGGGTAACCATCACTAATAGGTATATAAAAAGTCTCACCTCCTGTGTAAACTAGTTCAACCATTGTGGAAGATAGTGTGGCAATTCGTCAAGGATCTACAACTAGAAACACCATTTGACCCAGCAATCCCATTACTGGGTATGTACCCAAAGGATTATAAATTATGCTACTATAAAGACACATGCACACGTATGTTTATTGCGGCACTATTCACAATAGCAAACGTGGAACCAACCCAAATGTCCATCAATGATAGACTGGATTAAGAAAATGTGGCACATATACACCATGGAATACTATGCAGCTATAAAAAAGGATGAGTTCATGTCCTTTGTAGGGACATGGATGAAGCTGGAAACCATCATTCTCAGCAAACTATCACAAGGACAGAAAACCAAACACCGCGTGATCTCACTCATAGCTGGGAATTGAACAATGAGAACACATGGACCCAGGGCGGGGAACATCACACACTGGGGCCTGTCATGGGGTAGGGGGAAGGGGGAAGAATAGCATTAAGAGAAATACCTAACATAAATGACGAGTTGGGTGCAGCACACCAACATGGCACATGTATACATATGTAACAAACCTTCACGTTGTCGTTGAGCACATGTACCCTAGAACTTAAAGTATAATTGAAAAAAAAAGTAAAACAAAAAACAGACAAAAAAACTCCCACCTCCTATCGTTCAAGGGGCAAAAATTTAGGAACTATACTGTATGTTTTACAGGTGGTCCCAGCCCCTGTGGTTCATAATGGTCAACTTAAAAGCACTAATCCACTTGCATTGGCTTTCCCACTGTCCTTGACTAATGATCCCTGATTCTTTACTCTTACTCCCTGGGTTATCTACTAAATGAACCACTTGAACAAAGGTCCTTCCTTGACTGAGGCACTACTTTATAGGAAACACAAGTTAAGATGCTCATCTTAAAATACAAGCAACATAACACATGATGATAATACGAGATGGTTGACATGTTTACATAGCTCTCAGTATAAATTTAGGGGATAGGAGCGCAGTTTTGATATGTGGATATACTGTGTAACAGTGAAGTCTAGGCTTTTAGCTTAGCCATCACACAATTAGATATTATACAAATTTGACTTACTGGATGCATTACATTTGAGACACAGCATGACATTTGATACCTTGATTTTCTAAGTTGTATCAATTTGTATACAGACTTAATAGTTGTCATAAAACAGAATTCTAAAATTCGGGCTTATATAAATATCATTTTAGCCAGTTGTACAGTGACAAAAATTATAAATGCCAATTTGTAAAATAACAGTAAAAGTTTATTTCATACCTCAAATTCTAAGATTAAAAAAAATCAATCAAATATAACTGGTGGAAGAATGTTAAAACATTTAATTCAATCACCTTTTAAACCTTGGATTAAATGAATACTTATAGGAACTATAAACAAAAATATATATCAAAAAGTAGAATTTTCAGATATACATAGAGTGTTCTGCAAGATAAACTATATTCTCAGTTCAAAAGAAGTTTCAAAAAATGAAAAATAAAGTTTTTTCTGACCAAACATAATTAATTATAAATAAAATTAATGGTATTTAGAAAATCTTGAATGTTTGAAAGAAAAAAAAATATTCTAAGCCAAAGAAGAAACACAAAATGAATTAGAAAATATTTTAAAATAATGATACTAACATACCAAAACCTTTGTGATGCAGCTAGAAAGTGTTTACTGTTTTAGCTATATCTTGTATCTTGTATAATATTTGTATTTTGTATATTTGTATCTTGTATCTTTGTAATATTTGTATCTTGTATCTTGTATCTCAATACATATATTTGTATATGTATTTGTATCTTGTATCTCAAATGTTTATTTAAGATAATAAACAATTGAAATCAATGATGTGATCTTCTACATTAAGAAGCTAGAAAAGAAGGCCAAACAGAAGATAGAAATGAGCTTTAAAAAAGAATAGTTTTCAAGAACACGGAAAACAAACAAATAGAAAAATAAATAGAATTATACTGCAAATCTAGGTCCTCGGTAGATTGTTGAATTCTAACATATAGCTAAGGAAGAAAATTTGTATTTATTTATATATTTTTTAGAGATAAAGTCTCACTCTGTGACTCGGGCTAGAATGCAATGGCATTATTTTGGCTCACTGTAGCCTCAACTTTCTAGGCTCAAGCATTCCTTCTACCTCAGCTTCCTGAGTAGCTGGGATTACAAGTCTGCACCACCATGGCTGGTTTCAAACTCCTGGCCTCAAGTGATCCTCCTGCCTCAGCTTCCCAAAGTGCTGGGATTACAGACGTGAGCCACCATGCCCAGCTTCTAAGGAAGAAATAATACTAATTTTTACACAAGTCCTTTCAGAGAAAGGAGGAGGAGGAAATACTTTCCTATTAATTTTTTGAGGCCAATAGAACCTTGAAACCATAACAAGACAAAAATACTACAAAAAATACGAACAAAAAATAATATATAAAAAAGTTTTATAAATACAGTATTCAAAAACTGAATGAAATAACGTATAAATAGAATAACTCAGGATGAACAGGTAAAATTTGTCATAGGAATGCAGCATTGGTTTAACACTTGAAAGTGAATCAGTATAATTCAATACATTAACAAAATCAATGAGCACATGTATATAATCACCCCAATATAGTCAGAAAATGGATTTGATAAACTTCAACCCATATTTATCATGAAAATTCTCAGCGAGCTAGGAAAAGGAGGAAATTCAACAATCTGACCAAGGGCACTTACAAGTAATTTATAGCTAGCATCACACTAATGGTAAAAAACGATATATATATTTTTCCTAATCTTTGGAAAAAGACAAAGATGTCTCCTATCACACACATGTTTGATGGAAATCAATCTTGAACATCAGAACTAATAAGAAAGATTTACATTACATAATTGAAAGATTTATTATAGTCCAGGTACGGTGGCTCACACTTTGTATTCGCAACACTTTGGGAGACGGAGACAGGTGAATCACTTGAGCCAAGGAGTCCAGACCAGCCTGGGCAACATGGTGAAACCCCATTTCTGAAAAAAAAAAAAATTAGCCAGGCATGATGGCATGCACCTGTAGTCCCAGCTACTCAGGAGGCTGAGATGGGAGGATTGCTTGAGCCTGGGAGTTTGAGACTGCGGTGAGCAGTGATCATGCCACTGCACTCCCACTTGAGCAATAGAGGGAGACCCGATCTCAGAGAAAAAAAAAAAAGATTTATTATAAGGCAACGTTAATCAGGACAGTGTGGTATTGGCTTGATCCTCAAATCAATGGAATATAAGGGTATAGAAATTGATTTAATATTAGATAATCAAATAATTTTTGACAAGGATGTCAATGCAGTGCAAAGAAGAAAAGTCAATACCATGGTATTTGAGCAATTACAAAGGAAGAAATATAAATCTCCAATAAGTACATGGACAATCCTCAATGCTACTGGTCATAAAGAAAATTAAAATGGAACCACAATTAGATACCACTATACATCCACTAGAATGACTAAACTTGAAATGGCTCACAATATTAAGAATTAGTAAGATGCAAAACAATTGGAATTCTCATAGCTGGGTAGTGAGAGTGTAAAATAGGATAACCATTTTGCATATTAAGCATTTTCTCATAAAGTTAGTTATACATTAAACTTATAATCTAATCATTCTACTTCTAGACATTTACCAAAGAGAAATAAAGACATATGTACACAAAAACATGTAAAAGAAAGGCTAATAGAAAAATTGTAATATAATCATATATTGAATACTGCTCTGCAACACAAAGAGACAAACTTGTAGTATGTGCAATAAAATGAATGAACAAGTTATTACACTGAAGAGAGAAAAAGACTAAC
This sequence comes from Homo sapiens, assembly GCF_000001405.40. NCBI lineage: Eukaryota > Metazoa > Chordata > Mammalia > Primates > Hominidae > Homo > Homo sapiens. The sequence goes on along the minus strand of NC_000018.10, from coordinate 40,154,044 downwards.
TTTAGAGTAGAAAAGCCCGACAAATGGTATCTTAGGTGATCAAGGTCAACATTAATAATAATAAATAATTTGATATTTTGCACGCTTGGTATGATATAATGAAAATGGCGCTTTCCTCTCTCATCTTTCTACCCCAAACCCACAGCTCTATTCTAATTATGAAAAAAACATCAGACAAATCCCAGCTGAGGAAATTCTACAAAATACCATATCAATAATTTTCAAACTTATCAAGTTTATCAAAAACCAAAGAAATTCCAAGAACTTCCATAACGCAGAGCATGTAATGACTAAAAGTAGTGTCTTATCCTTGATGCAATCCTAGAACAGCTAAAGGACATTAGGTAAACAGTAAAGAAATCTGAATAAAGAATGGGCTTTACTTAGTAATAGTGTATCAGTATTGGTTCATTCATTGCAACAAATGCGCCATAGTAATGTGAGACTTTAATAATAAGGGAAACTGAATATGGGGTTTTTGAGGTCTCTCTGTGTTATGTCAATTTTCTTAAGTCTAATATTTTTTAAAAGTAAATATTTAAAAAATATTATGATGAATAAAAAGCTGGACATACAGGTGTACATACTGTACAATTTAACTTGTGGTATGTTTTAAAACAGACGACACTAATATGTGATGAAAAGAGGAATCAAAGCAGTGGTTGCCTCTTGGGAAGAGGAGTATAGATTGACTCCATTCAAGAGAATCTTCTGGAGTGAGAAAAATGTTCTGTATCTTGATAGGGATGAAAGTGATATGGATTTAATCATTTTCAAAATGTGTTAAATTGTGCATTGAAAATCTTTGCATTTAAAGTTGGGAAAAAAAAGAATGTAAAAGAAAAAGTTACTGAGGCCCAATAGTGAAGTATTCAAAAATCTACCTTCTTTCTGATTTACTTGTCCATCTGAAATGAGAGCAGACTTTTTTTTTTTTTTTTTTTTTTTTTTTTTTTGTAGCTCTTTGCCTTGTGAAATCTTTGCATAAAAGCTCCTTGGTAAGTACAAAGGCTCATTGTGACTGTACAGTATGACTCACTGCCAATAGAACTTTTAAATATGGAACTTTACTCCAAAATTTTACCCTCCTTTGTTTCTTGATCTGAATACATGTGGAATGAACTCTTTCTATAATCAGGATAAAATTTTCCCATTGCTATTATTCTCCAAATCATACTCTTTGCCCAACTTTATTTATGTTTTCTTACCACTCTGTTACTCAAATGTCCTTATAGTTGTTCACATTTTTGTTCATATGAAACAACTATTGTGTTGCACTCCAAAGCCCTTATTTTTACATATGTCCTACGAATGCATCTTATCACCATTTGTTGTTCATTCTCTTTCATATTTTAAGTCTCCATTTTAATGGGAACACAAAAAGAAATCAAAGGACAGAAGAGGAGAAAACAGAAATAAAGAGGGAATGAGAGAGAGAGTGAAGAATGAAGAGAAGATACCACGCTGAATGAGAAAGAGGGCCCATGACTCAATCAAGGTCCCCTAAACAGCCCAATGAAACTTAAGCTATCACTACCACGGCACTTTTAAACTAAATCATGCCTGCTCTTCCCACTTAAGATCTCTCCCCCTAAATTTAACCCTATGTGGAGACATTAAGGACATATTTATATAGGTTTATAATAAATAAAAATATGATATATAATTTAAAGGTGGCATCTTTTTACAATTGCAATGAACTCCATGATTTAATTTTTCTTTAACTTAATCTATACTACCTCATTTTGTAAATATCTGTTTTAATGTAATGTAAAGATTTGAGACACAAAACATCCAAAGCAAGCTACAAGTATATACCCCATGGCCTTGAACAGAGCTTGCTCATGTAGGATTTTAGTTTTACAATATTCTGATTGAGAATAGTTGTTGTGCAATACATACATAGAATAGTAATTCAATGAGAATTAGTATACAGCAACTATAATTAAAATTGTTCTGAAAATAATTGCTTCTTTTTACTGATTCCAAATGCATATATTGCTATTTCAATGACAAAATATCACTAAGAACTTTAAATATAATTTTCTAGAGGAGTGCAAAGTGCCACTTAATAAACAGTTATAGTTAATAGAATGTCCAGCAACTGAGAATTTGCTCCATTTATTTTCTTACCAAGGAAATAATGAGTGTTCAAGATATTCATGGAACTGTGCTAAATGATGTTAATTCTAGGAGAGGAACTGAGCTCCGTGTAGAGATGGCCACACAAAAACAGCAACAAAATAAATGGAATCAAATGGGTGAAAGCATTTCAGGAAAAGAGAGAAATTATTAATTACAAAAGAATCATCCTCAGTGAGAAGTTAATGAACATTGATCAAGTATATAATAAATAAGCATAGAAATACAAAGAAGTATCCAATCAAATAAACCAAAACAGAGCAAAATTTCCAAATACTGGGTTGTCACGGAGGCAAAAAGAGCAGTGCAAGGTCATCTAAGAAAATTTTGTCCAACACAAAGTGGAGAAGAACTTAAATATAGACTGATCTGACAAATGGACTGACAAGACTGATTCAGGTCAACAGTCTCCAGCTTGTCACTGAAATAAAAATATTGGGACCACTTTGTCAATTATGGATGTCAAATTGATGGGGGTAAAATAGAAAAAGAGAAAGTATGAAAGAGACCACAAAGAAGAGTACACTCTAGCTTTCTCTGTGAGAGATAACAAAATTTGAATCAGTAATCCCTAAGATACTTGCCCCAAGACCATAACTAATGTTCATGACCATATGAAAATAGGGCTTCTGACATTTTAGCCAAATGGTCTCTTCACGGATGCAGGCAAAAGCTCTACATCTTAAATATGTTGGAATGATCATTGAGAACTTCTTCACAGGTTTGATTGAAGCACAGACTACTATTGCTGACTGATAAATCAGGTATAGAATAAAGTAAAAAAAATAAATAAATAAAGATACCTTGCTCTAAGGAATTATTACGTAAACGTTCACCACAGCCCAGGAATGTATTATATGATGGGTAGCTGGAAGAAAAAGAGAACATAGGTAGTAAGGAGACATTCTAAAAAAGAGATATCAAGATGTAGGTGGAGAGTGTTGGAAAAAAAATATATTATGAGGCCTGATCCTAAAGCATGAACATTGTAAATAAAATGGTGGTATAGGGAGAGGGAAGGCAAGAGGAAGATACTTTAGGCAGGATGTACATCATAAACACAACAGAGGTTTATACTACAAAGTAAGTATATTCCAAATGTGGACTCTTGGGAAGTCAGCAGAACTCACTGATCTGCAGAAGAATATTGTTAGAAAATAGGGAAAGATAATAATATAAACTAGACATTATTCCAAGCTCATATTATAGATGAAAAAACTAAGACACAAAGAGTTTAAACTTGCTTGCTTGTTCAACTTGCTGGAGATAACGTAGCTAGTGAAACTCAAAATTGACTATAAACAAAGTGGCTCCAAAATTTATCTTCTAACTACTGTATTATACTTAATCTCCATATTTGATAGGTAGAGTGCTAAGTTCACCATCTACCTGTAACAAGTTTTCCAGACCTATATGAACACAGTAAAAACTATTTGTAACCAGTAAACAAATATTCTTTCTGTGAATAGCCTTACTCATCCCGTTAGTCTGTGCCCTGTACTCTGAGATACACAACAAGAAACAGTGAAACTTCAGAAAGGTTAAAAAGGTAAACTCAATTCATCTCATTACCCTAGGCAGAGCATTCTGCCCTAAAAGTAAACATGAATCTTGATCAAGCACTCAACTGAAAAAATGGCACAGATTATCTTTGTTTGATTAGCTATTACCAAGTTGTAGTCAGAAGGAAGAGAATGGCCAGTGAGAAACTGCCCTTTGAATAATCTCAGTTTATAGTTTAGAGGGAAAGTTTAAACAAACAAGGAAATAAACAAAATTCTATTATTATTGTCACATTGACTTAGCTCCAAAACTGTGGCATTAACACTCATAAAATCATCGAATTTAGCCCACAAATTGTATCATGCAGTTTGTCACACAGGGAATTCACGTGCAAAGAGGAGGTGTCAAATAAACTCAAGCTGCCTGGGAGAACCTTTAAGTGTAATTTCTTCTAGGTTTCTATTGGGGTATTTAACCTGCTTTGGGAAAATGCCACTCATGCTTATTATTGCAGTCTTTCTTGCCACAGAGGCTCCAGCTAACGCCCCCGCAGGGATTGCACAGTGAGCCCCATTTTTCAAGCACTTTCTAACTCAGTCATAAAAATTGGATCTGTGCGCAAGCTTGTCCCAATTGTGGTGCACTTTCTAGCTTGTTTGTTATAACCAGATGTATTTAAATTTTGTTCAGCTGTTTTTGAAGGTGGAAGGAAAATGATATCTGCTTTTCAGATGAATTTTGGCAATACTGGGAATCTGAAGGGAGTGTGATTTTAAAATTAAACATGAACTTTTAGATTCTATTAAGACCATACTTTTGATCTGAGGCCACTGCCGATGGGCATTTCTATTAGCAAGCAAACAGAAAATAAAACCCAGTGGAAATCATCCAGTTAAAAGGGAGCTGACAATTCAGTTCCATCCCAGGCCTTATGCTAATAGTCAGCCAATTGTGGAATTCTGTGACCTCCATGGGAGATGCATTCTGGCTCTGTGGAACATCAGATTGGGAGTTTGGGCCTAGATACAATTTTGGCTAGAAATTGAGAGGCAGGCACAATGAGAAGGGAAATTTTGATCACGTAATAAATACATGGAAGGAAAAAAAGAGACAAGACAAATTCAACCAACAGATATTTTTGAGAGCCTACTATGTGTCCAAAAGACTGATGAAAGCTTCTTCAGAGAGCGGCCATAAATATTGCGAAAGATGTGTAACAATGCAAACATGAAAGAGATGGCTGGAAACCAGAATGTGTCAATGTGTGCCGCAGATAAGTGCCCAGGGACAGAAGGCTTATGTTACTGTGGAAAAGATGCCATGCAGGGGCTCCCTAACATCATTTTTCCTTTGTGCAGCAGGGGAAATTTGAACTAGGCCCTGGAGGATTTGGCAAGAAGAGAAAGGAGACCTGCATGAAGAGAGTTACAGAGTGAGGATAGGATATGCAAGGCACTTCTAGAGGACCATAGTAGCAGGACCAGATGGAGTAGATGATGGATAGTCTCAGATGCCAGAATAAGGCTTATCAGCTTTATTTTAAAGTAGTGTTTAAACAGTTAATGAGGGCTTTTTTAACAGACTAGAAAGAAGTTTAAAATAATGTTTTAAGGTGGGCATGGTGGTTCACGCCTGTAATCCCAGCACTTTGGGAGGCTGAGGCGGGTGGATCTTGAGGTCAGGAGATCAAGAACAGCCTGGCCAACATGATGAAACCCTGTCTCTACTAAAAATACAAAAATTAGCCTGGCATGGTGCAGTGCACTTGTAGTCCCAGCTACTCAGGAGGCTGAGGCAGGAGAATCGCTTGAATCCAGGAGGCAGAGGTTGCAGTGAGTTGAGATCACTCCATAGCACCCCAGCCTGGGCAACAGAGCAAGAGTCTGTCTCAAAGTAAGAATAATAATAATAATAATAATAATAATATCTGGCTTTAGGAACCAGAAAGAATTATTTTAAGACTAGACTAGAGGAAGCAGGAAACCACTTCAATTAATAAGGTCTAAACTTTTGTGGTTATCAGAAAAAGAGATAGGAGGGAAAAACAGCTTGGACTCAGTGTCTTATTTTGTGTGAGGAATGGGAGGAAGGATGAAGAGAACTAGTAGGTGAGATAAGAAAACACTGAAGGACATGGTGCCCCAAAGTTCCTCGCTTTGAGGTGAGGTTCTTCTGTCTTAAACTTCAGGCTGTGGGTCTTTCCTGCCTGGCAACCTCAACATAGGCATCAAAGTTAGGGGTAGGGTATACATCCTCATTCTTGTGTTTTGAAGGAGAGGGAAAATGGAAGATTGCCTCCTAGAGCAGGGATCTCAAAACCCCCAGGCCATGGACCGGTGCTGGTACCCCTTCATGGCCTATTAGGAACCAGGCCACGCAGCCGGAGGTGGGTAGCAGGTGAGGCGAGCTAGGAAAGCTTCATTGGCATTTACAGCCACTCCCCATTATTTACATTACCACCTGAGCTCTGCTTCCTGTCAGATCAGTGGAGGCATTAGATTCTCGTAGGAGCGTGAACTCTATCGTGCATCACAGGGGCAAAAGATCTAGGTTTTGCACTACTTATGAGAATCTAATGCCGGATGATCTGTCACTGCTTCCTATCACCCCCAGATGGGAATCACCCCCAAACCATCCCCCCATCCCAGTCCATGGAAAATTTGTCTTTTATAAAACTGATCCCTGGTGCCAAAAATGTTGGGGACTACTGTCCTAGAGAATAATTTAATCTATAGTGGGGATAGAGTTGGCTACATAACTTCCATTATCTTATTCTTCACTATCGGTGTGCTCCCATCTTTCTTTTGCTAAGCAAAAAGAATAAAAGCAACAACATTGATAGTAACAACTTATTTTCCTAAGTTCCTTTGATAATAAAGAGGTCAGTGAAATCAAAATTACAAGCACCTAGTGGGAAGTTCAAAAAATCTCCTAGAGGAGTTGACTTCTTTGAAAGAAGGTCATTTTTCTTTTCTTTATAGCTGCTTTCTTCTGCTTGCTGTCTGGAACACAGTTATGATGGCTAAAGGTCCAGCAGCCATATTTTGACCATAAGGAAATTAAAAATGAAAATCATGAACAAAGATGACAGGAAAACAACATAACTCCAAACACACCATATGTACCTGGGTTGCCTACCTCTAAACTTTATGTGAGAGTCTCCCTCAAAGAAAATAAATCTCTGCTGTTATTTTGAATTCTTATCAGAATCTCAATTCATTCCTAACGGACACAAAGAGAAAGAAACATTAATTAATCACAGACATCTTGAAGATGTAAAACTTTTCTTGATTATGTTTTCTGTGGTTAGGAACTACTTAGAAATACATTAAATATGGTTAGTAAAAATGATTTTGTCCCTAGACCTAGTAAACAACAGACACTCAGCAAGTATTCACAAAATGTTTGTTGAATAAACCTGCAGATAGATAGGTGAATAAATCAACAAATTTGCCAGCAGCTGGGAGTAATGGCTAATACTTGTAACCCCAGTGCTTTGAGACACCAAAGTGGGAGGATCAATTGAGGCCAGGAGTTTGACATCAGCCTGGGCATAGGGAGACCTTGTCTCTTCAAAAACCTAAAAAAATTAGCCAGGCATGGTGGTGGCACACACTTGTAGTGCTAGCTCCTTGGGTGAGTGAGGCGAGAGGATTGTTTGAGCTCAGGAATTTGAGGTTACAGTGAGCCATGATCAGACCACTGAACTCCAGCCTGAGTGACAGAGTGAGACCCTGCCTCTAAAATAAATAAATAAATAAATAAATAAATAAATAATAACTTACCATTTATTTTGTCCCAGTGTGATTAATTTCATCTTTCCTTTTCCAGATATTTGGCACTGACACCCTTGCATCTCATCTGTATTATTATTGATAGCAAAAAAGACTCACATTAGCCAAATAATGTTTATTTTTAACTCTTTAATATCTTAGTACCTTGTGGGCAGGGTAATTTATTGCATATAATCATATTAAAAGATGTTGAAAATAGGTAGACAAAAATCAATGCCTAGAAAGTCTGAGTACTAATATACTAAATATTTAAAGAATAATTACAAATCCATAAGGGAAATGCCTTTACAAAAATAGAAAAAAAATTAAAGATTTGAATGGTGAAGTAACACAGAATGGTTCTCAGCTTCACATACTATTAAACATCACAAAAAGGGAAAAATAATTACTATTTTCACTAAACAGGTTAAAAAATATCAAAAAGTTGGTCTGGAGAGGGAAATATACATTCTCACTTATGTTATGTTGGTGGGAATACAATTTGGTGTAACTGTTCTGGACAATGTAGCAGTAACATCTATCAGTACCGAAAATACATGTACCCACTGAGCTAGTAATTCCATTCAAAGGGACTTATTATATAAATATATTTGCACATACTAACAGAAATGTACATACAATAATGTTTGTTATTAATGGTTTAAAAAGGGGCATAAATATATTTTCACAGAGGAGCTCTTTATAATGATCTACATTTCATAATGTAAACTTTTTATTTATATTATAAAATAGCGGGCTAAAAATAATCTGGATCTTTATGCGCTAAGATGGAATGAGCCACAGGACACAATAGTTAAGAAAAATGATGGACAGCTTTTGTGTATGTATGCTTGTACATTTATCTGTTTTTAGTATTATACATAAAACAATCATGTTGGTTAATGTTCTTTATCTTCCTAAGGTCAGAAACTGGAATTCTACCCTTGAGCAAGTTATTTAGTAAATTTTGTCAACTAGAGGAGGGTATTAGAATGGTTCAATGCAATTTACCCCCATTAGTAGAGAAGGAAATTAAAGTTATCTTTTACCCTGACACCATTCTATCACTTTCCTTTGGGGCCCATTGCACAGTAATGTTTAATACCTGAGCTAGGAATTCAGTCCAAAAGTAGGTCCTAGTAATATGAAGAAGCAAGCTCTAGTTACTCTGATGAATACTTTATCTGGTTCATGGGAAAATTAAATTTTCCTTGCCCTTGGGCTGATCAGATCAGGCTCATGAGATGTTGTGTATCTTCTTCAGCCAAAACACCAATAAGGTTATTGGTCATTAAATTATCCACTCCATAGTCCAGCATTGTTATTTGATTTAAAGATGTCCTACAGTAGCGAATCCCACAGACCTATTATCACTATATTTAAGGTTATTGCCTTTAATTTGTTTCAAATTTGCCAGCCTTTCTGCATTGCCTCTAGTTCCTTTTTCTTTCTTGCTGTACCAAAGTACAATAGAATGGAGTATATGTGAATTTTCTGTTCTTCTGTGCTGTCAGTTTGCTTGTTACTTTGCTAGAGTGCTAATGATGCCACATTTCATTATCTTGAGTGTTCTCTCACACTGTCCCAAGTTCTTTTATTTTAGTCCAGGATATCCATCTTTTGGAAGATAACTTTAAAGTTTACTCTGGACCTCCTCCAGGTTAAATAGTTCATGACAATGACAAATATCTACAATGATGTGTGACCTTGAAAATGACTGACATTTTAATTTTGCTTGGATGATCTAAAATGCCAAAAGGCACAAATATGATCTAGAAATTTCATACAACTCTGGCAATATTTTTACTGATTTTTTTTTTCTGTAGATGAAGTTTTAAGAGATAAAATGACATAGGAGGAAGATGGAAGGAAATAAATAAACAGGCTTTGGAGTGAGGAAGTACTGGTTTTGAAACCCAGAACTGCTACTTACTAATTATATCACCTTGGATAAATTATATTGATTCTCTGAGCTTTAGTTCGCTCTATAAAATGAGTATAATGATGAATACTCAACAATTTGTTCAACCTAACACATAACGAGTGTTCAATACATTTAGATCTTATTATTTAAATAGAGAGTCAATTTACTTTTAAGTATATTTATATACTTATCTGAATACTTCATCCGGAAAACCCCACAAAATTATGCAAATCAAGAAGTTCAAATCTTCATGTTCACTTTAAGAACATTCTTGAAACTGCCCAGGACATCAAGGTTATGCTTACATGAAAAGCCACCAAGTATCTGAAAGATGTTATTAGGTTGATGCAAAAGTACTTGCAGTTTTTGCCATTAAAAGTAATGCCCTTACCACAATTACCAACCTTACAATCATGGAGTTGGGAGGTGTGCCCAGGCCAAGCAGTGGGGCTGGACACATGGTCGGTGGCCCAAAAAGATTGCTGAATTTTAGATGCACATGCTTAAATCATGCAGAGAGTAATGCTAAACTTGAGTTTCAATGTATTATAGATTCTCTGATCATTGAGCATATCCAGGTGAATAAAGCACCTAAGATGCTCTGCCAGACTTACAGATCTCATGGTTGGATTAACCCATACATGAGCTCACCCTACCACATCTTGATTATCTTTACTGAAAAGGAACAAATTGTTCTTAAACCGGAAGAGGAGATTTCACAAAGGAAAATACACCCTAGAAGAAATTGAAGAAACAAAACTTATGGAATGGGAATAAATTCAGCTTCAAATAAATGCAATTAAAAGTGAAAAAGAAAAAAAAAAAAAGAAAGATCACTTCTGCTATTTAAACCTGGAATCTTGTTTGATTCAACCATTGAGTAACTAGGAAATCTTCTGGTTTCTCATATGTTAAATTGAAGTGTTGAACAAGAAGTTCCCTAAGGTTCTTTGCAGTTTCATCATTCGTGATTTAACAATACGTGGCCTTTCTAGGTGCTTCTTCACTTCTTCCCTCATTAGTCTGTCAATGAGTATAAATAGTATGTTTATCTATTTATCCTCGGGCAATCTCTGTTTTTTCTCCCCTTCTCTAAATTATGAAATCGCTTCCTAGTTCTTGATTTGCGGGGGGTATGCTGGTAAATGGTCAACAACTAGTACGCCACCAAAAACAACAACAACAAAAAAGACTCCTGATTTGTAGATTTGTAGCATTTGCTAATTGTTATGGTGTAAACACTCCCATACATGGTTTATTTGTTTAATGCTATCAATGTGACATTTCTGAAAGTGGAGATAAAAGAGAAGAGCATTAAGGCACCATTGTAATATCACATACAGATACAAGAGACAGTATACATAACAGAAGAGATAATATAAAATGTAGTAATTATAAAGTGATACATTCTGAGTATTGATTACTTTTGTTTCTAGTATTGTTTATTCAAGTGTAATTCTATGATTTAATTTTTAATAAGGGCTGGGTTAAAAAGTCTGCTTGGAAAATTTCTGAAAACTTAATTGATCCTTGTAAGCTGGTATGAGCTGACTCCAGCACATTATTGGTACTTAGTTCTGAAGTTTAATTTGAAAGAAACTCTCTTATTGGAAGATAGAGAATATTATACCTTCCAGTTACCAGAGTTTTGAAAGGCTGGCTGAGCTTCCAACCACCATGCCTCCAACTGTAGGAAAGAAAAAAGAGAATTGGTATATCACACAGTTTAATGTTAACTATTTGCAATGATATTTGTTCTAGATATAATTAATGAGTATTTTAACTTTAAATGTATATGTGTGTATATCTATATAATACATATATTGTTCATCAATTGGTGATTTATAAAATTTAAAAAATGTTCTTATTGTCTATACATTTTAATTGCTTGTGAAGCTAAAAATCTGAGAGTCATAGACATGAGAACTCTTTGTCAGTGAAGTAGAAATATTTATATGCATTTCTGAAAGTAACCAGTAACTATTGAAAGAAATTATGATTTTTACAAACTGCTATAAACTGTCAGAAAAAGGACTGTAATTAGGACAATGGCCAAGATGATCAAGTTCTTTGTGATAAATTATTTGTTATAAATGCCTAATTCTGAGGCTATTGCCTCACCTGTTATGAAAAATCTATATAGCTACAGATGGGCATTTTGAAGAACAAAAAACAGACCATAAAACATTCAAACTCTCAATGTCAGATCTAAAGGCAAGAATAAAATTAGTATATAATTTGCATATCAGTAGTAGGTAAAAAAGAGCAATGTTGGTCTAAAGTAAATCAAAGGAATAATACCAATATTATCATAAAAGTTAGTTTTTACAAAATATGTAAATGGACGCATAGGTTGATAAAATTGATGGTACATTGCTCAAAGTTGCCTCGTGAATGAATTTGAGGCATTCTCCAGTAGTTGTGCTATTTCTGAAGAAAAAAGAAATCAGATTCATATGGACACAATCACTGTAATAAATAAAAAGGTAGGTGTAGCAACTGCGGGAAGGGTGGCAGATAAGCAAGAAGCTCATAGTTGATTAATTGAAAATGGCTTCCCTAGGAACATGATAGACAAGCTACTAAAAAGAATATTTCTCAATTTACATAAATAAAGAAATCAAGAATGGATGGTCAGGAAAGTGAAGGCAGCCACCCAAGAAAAAAAATCGTAATTGTATGGCCAGGCGCAGTGGCTCATGCCTGTAATCCTAGAACTTTGAGAGGCCAAGGTAGGCGGATCACCTGAGGTCAGGAGTTCGAATCCAGCCTGTCCAACATAGTGAAACCCTGTCTCTACCAAAAATACAAAAAGTAGTCAGATGTGGTGATACATGCCTGTAATCCCAGCTACTTGGGAGGCTGAGGCAGGAGAATTGCTTGAACGGGAGGTGGAGGTTGCATTGAGCCAAGATCGTGCCACTGTACTCCAGCCTGGGTGACTGAGACAGACTTTGTCTCAAAAAACAAACAAACAAAAAAATCCTAATTGTATATCTATTTCTGAACTTAACTCAATTTTCAGGCCCAAAACCTATAGATTGAGAGAAAAGCAGGGAAAAGCAGAATTATTATGAGAAAGGACACTGTACTATCACAAGAAGTATATGTGACAATGATACTCTTAGTTGTTATCAAAAAAGATCTATGAACATTTATGCAAGTAACCATGCATACACTGATGGAGGGGAAAACCGAAACATTTTTAAGATGATTGATTATAATATATAATCTGTCATCAATACACAGATACTCAAAACCTTATCATGCCCTTAATACATGATTATGGTAGGGTCAACTGGGGGCCACATAATAAGTAGAATGCTGGAACAAGTTTGGCTCACAGTGATTCCACTGGATCCATGGATCCACCCATGGACATTTCTCTTTTTCTTAAACATGTAGTTGAAATATACATAGCTTTTGGAAGAACACCTATATTATTTCTTTGGCTTGTAGGATAAAAGCTATCATAATAGCGAAGTTCATGTGGAAGTCTCTAATACTGTTTTTCTCCAGGACCACATGGTAAATCAAAAATAATATTATTTAATTGTGTGAGAGATGGCACACTTAAACAACTAAAGTACATGTGTGTAAAATCTGGCTACAGCAAAAGACAGAGAGATACTAAAGGGGGATATTAGACTGCTTCAAACTCAGTGACATATTATTCCCAAATGCAGCTGATGTGCTTATGTAGTATTTTTGCTCAGGTACATGGTTTGGTATCATTGAACTGGTGTAAGCATTCTTTTCCATTCCTGTCATAAGGGAGGATTAGAAATATTTGGCATTCATATGGGGCAGAGAACAATTTACATCTTTCTCCAAATTCCAATAAAAATTCTATTTATAAAAACAGGTGTCAGACCGGATACAGCCCCTCAGATGCAGTTTTTCAATTCCTCATCTAGTGACCAGGATGGAAAGGGAGGTAAATCCTGAGAGTTTGTGTGTTTCATGCATTGTTTTTCAAGGAAAAGTAATGTGTGTGTGTATGGGAGAGCGGAAGAGGGGAGGATACCAACCATTAATAAGGAAGACTAGACCGCTTTTGTAGTCCCAAATGATTCAGGAGAATCTGGAGATTTATAAATTTATGATCGCATTAACAAAGATGCACAGATGTCCTCTTCCCACGTCTCTTTCCCAATCAGGGCACATCAGACTTCTATGGGCTGCAAATTTACTCTTCTCTGGAGCTCTGTTACAATTCTGCTTGAGACCTGGGCCTGCTTCTTCCCTTCTTTGCCCTCTGTTTGCAGGAGATGAGTTCTTTTTTATCATATCAATTTTATATGTTACCCTCTGATTTTCACCCTTAGTCTTTAATGGATAATTAATCATCTTCCACCACTCATTGATTTTCACCTAATCATCCATTGCCCAACAAGGGCACTTAAACTCTATTGTGCTTAGAATGGTTACTTTCCCTCAAATTATCAAAGGCATTTTACATTACCCTAGGCTACGCATTTGCGTCCACCACTTTGCCATTCCATTTTAGTGCTCATGAAAGATTTGACAATTGTACGGTTACTACATGACAGTGACTATCAATGCTCTACCTTCCATCAGTGGTCATATATTCATTGCTAGCTGGTTAGTGGAGAATTCTACTATAAAATTCCGTTTTGTGCTTCATTTTCATGGACCACCTTTACAGTAACCATTGCAACTAGGAATTCCTTAGGAAGCTGGCTCTGAGATAGAAATTTGCATTTTGTTGTTGTTGTTGTTGTTGTTTTTGAGACAGAATCTCGCTCTGTCGCCCAGGCTGGAGTGAAGTGGCGCAACCTCGGCTCACTGCAAGCTCCGCCTCCCGGGTTCATGCCATTCTCCTGCCACAGCGTCCCGAGTAGCTGGGACTACAGGCACCCGCCACAATGCCTGGCTAATTTTTTACATTTTTAGTAGAGACAGGGTTTCATCCTGCTAGCCAGGATGGTCTCCATCTCCTGACCTCGTGAGCCACCGCGCCCGGCGGAAATTTGCATGTTAAAATTTGTTCTGAATTAGAGCGAGAGGCCCAGACTCTCTAACTTCTACATTGACCAGTCATTGGGTGCAGGATGTCCCTTGGCAGAGAATGAGACTTTGAGTGAGTTGAGTCTTTTTGGCAACAGGTAGTTTCTGCGGGGGGAGGTTTTAGTCACTAGCAATCAGTCATCAACTTTCCTAGTAGCTGGGACAATAAGTCCTCAAAGTCGGAGTGAAGGATGGAAGCTGGATGGCACAACACAGTGTCTGCTACAGGGGTGTTATTATGGAAGAGGCAGTAATGAAGAGGATCTTTGCCTTGTGAATGTATAGGGTTTCAAAGGTTAAGATGATAAAGCTCACAAACAAAAGTCAAGGGACAAGAAAGAAAATTATAGAAAAGGGATAGCAAATGGCCCATTCATTTGGTAGAATCATAATAAGATACATACATACATTGCAGCAGTAAAAGTTGAGACTACTCATATCCATTCATAAAGGGCTATGTGAAGCCAGACTAAGCAGTTTGAAATATTTAGTCTGTCTCTTTCTTATATAGACATTTCTCCCCCGTTGTCAAGTTTCATGGGATCAAGACCAGAACTAGAGTGAGGCAAGTAAGCCACTTACAGTACACAATTTAAGGAGGCACTCATTTCTAGATACAACAATGTGGTGCGAAAGTTTGCAAATATCTCTTTCTCTTTGGCACCACTGAAGAGACCAATCTATTTTTTACTAAATGTTGTCTTGCCTTTCTTTCAGATTTAACTTGTGGTTAATAATCCATCAGTCAGAAGGATGCTTATCATAGAAGAGCGGGAAGGGAATTATTACTTCTGCGTAACCCACCCGGTTGATACTTCCTTAATCACATAATTTTGGGAGACCATCACCATTAACATTGAATCATCATCTTCTGCCCATCTCTTTGTTCTCTTTCTATTGTTTCTGACAGTCATTCAAAAGGACATTCTTTAAACACTGCTAGGCCAGTAGAGTAATAATATACGACCAATTAGGAATGCGAAAAAAATCATAGAAATTGCTTTAAACAGTCTACCTGTTGGAAGCCAGCTTTTTCCATGCTTTCTCCAATACCTCATCACTTTAAGAAAATGAAACTTGAAAGCTAGTCACAAGAATGGACTTGCTCTTGATTTTCACATTTACAGAACTTCAGTGCTTTGAATGGAGTATTTTCTTAAAAAAACTGAGGAGAGGCAAACAGATGAAAACATCATCAGACCACTGATTCCAACTTTAGCTACTTTATAAAATGCATTAACTAACATAGATTTAGGTATTAAAAGCAATCTAACTTTGAGCATACATTTCCAAGGAAATATAGCACAAGAGAAATTAAAAATATATGGCATCAGAATATAGACTAAGGTTACAATCATTGACACAATCAGATTATTTCAATCCATTATATTATGCATGTAGGCTTATTAACCATATTAAAGATACCTCATTGCTAATTTGATTTGAAGATGTAGAATCAGTCCATGCCTAATATGAACAGAAAACATGAAGTTTAATATAGCAATCATGCCAAGGCAACCTTGTACAGTATCAACTAGGAAATCCTTCAGTGAACTTTGTGATGCATGTGCCCTTATACCATACAAAACAGGGACGGGTGAAGGTAGAGAGCCACAACCTGGAAGTGTTTAGCACATAGGGTCTAGTTTATGTCCCAGATATTCTCTGCCAGGGAGAATTGGTGACTCCTGTTAAGTTTAAACTTCTCAAACTGGTGTACACAGACAGCTATGTCAGAGTGGATATGTGAACCAACAGAATAAACATAGGCCAACTTCCTAGGGCTTTCCATTTTTAGCATTAAAAATTTAAGAAAGTGAACTGAGAAGCAATTTTAAACATTCTTATATTACAACAAACACCAATATATTATGGAATAAAATGCAAGATATGCATGAATTTATAAGATAAAACGGGAGACTTCAAAGAAATTTCACACTTGCTATGGGCCATTTCAGTCTAGATCCCAGAGCCCTAGGCACACATGTCATTTTCTCTGTGCTGATAGGGATAAATCATTGAACAAAAAATTGAAGAAGTTCTTTCTTAATATAGGTTTGTTTTGTGGAATCTTTCTGAGTCCATTGGCATTTGGAGGAGGGGAATTAAGTGTTACCAATGAGATGGACAGTCTACTTAGTGAGATTTCTAATAATTTCAGGCTGAAACATTACAAAAGACTTAGCAAAAGATATAACATTCTAATTTATCCCCAAATGAATGGCAAAGTAAGTCCTAACTGGTGTGAGCTACTAAACCACTAATAAACCCAAAGCGCCTGAAAAAAGAGGTGTCCCTGTTCACTCTGCCTCTGAAATAGTGAGGAAAAGAATCCTAGGTTCAGGGTGGCAGACTCAGATTAGGAGTTGAAAATTAAAGGGTACTCTTTCAAAGAGAGCACAAATTTCCTACAAATTTGTTACTTTCTATACCAGAAGTAACAGATGCGCTGTCAAATCCTAGTTACAGAGCAAGTCTTCTGACAAGATGAGGTATTGACAAACAGCTCACAGGCCACATCTGACCCACTGCCCACTTTTCTATATTTCACAAGCTGAATGGTTTTTACATTTTTAAATGATTGGGGAAAAGATTAAAATGACTTACTGACATGTAAAAATTATCTGGTTTTTTTTTTTTTTTTTTTTTTCCTGAGACAGAGTCTAGCTCTGTCACCCAGGCTGGAGTCCAGTGGCGCCATCTCAGCTCACTGCACCCTCCACCTCCCAGGTTCAAGTGATTCTCTTGCCTCAGCCTGCAAGTAGCTGGGATTACAGGCACCTGCCACCATGCCCAGATAATTTTTGTATTTTTAGTAGAGTTGGGGTTTCACTGTGTTGGCCAGGCTAGTCTCGAACTCCTGAACTCATGATCTGCCCACCTTGGCCTCCCAAAGTGCTGGGATTACAGGCGTGAGCCACCATGCCTGGCAAATTATCTGAAATTTAAGTTTCAGGGTCAAAGTCTTATTAAAACACAGTCACACCTATTCGTTTAATGTATTGTGATGGTTGCCTTGTGCTACAACAGCATAATTCAGTAGTCAAAGCAAAGCCTAAAATAGCTACTATCCTGCCCTTCACAAAAGCTTGTCAACCTCTGGTTGAGTCTTGTAACTTCGTGTGTGGTCCTAGGACCAATAGCGTTGGTACCACATGGATGATTGTTAGAAATGTAGAATCTCGGTCACAATTCTGTCTCTCCCAAATAACACTTTGCATCTTAGTGAGTTTCATCATTAATTCTTATGTACAGTAAAGTTCTGGAATCATGCCCTGGGCCATAAAGACCTTGGAGAGATACATGCTTTAACTGGCTAAAGAAAAAGAGAGGAAGAGAACTGAGTCTTAGACCAAGACCACATAAACTAATACTTTCCATGGTCCCTGAAAATAAACATAGATCCACAGTCATTTTTTTTGCTCAAGAAAAAGTTTATTAAATAAATATATAGCGTGCACAGCAGATGATCAAACTTGTTATGATTTCTCCAACCCAAGATTTTGGTCTTTCAGGAAGTTTCTTCACTGAAATAAGATTCCATGAAGCCACCTGAGTACTAGGGTATCAGTGTGCTGAAATATAACTCTGATGAGAAGTGCCTGAATTCCGTTAGCCAAGTAGCCTCAGTTTGGTCATATCGAAGAGTCTGTTTGAGACTTAGTATTATATAGACTCCACTGAGTTTTGTGTTGCCACAAAACTCTCTCATTGTTCTCTTTGTATCTTAATGCCCTCTCCAGCCCCAATAAACACACATTCAAAGATACACACACGCGCGTGCGCACGCACACACACACACACGCATCCTGTGGTAAATTGGACAGTTCCCACAATTCATCCTGCTTTGTATACCATATATGAAAAGAGAAGTGAAAAATCATCTTTATTAGCTGTAATCATAAAAAGGATTTAAAAATAAGATGCATTCTTCTATTTTCTTTTTTGTTTCTTTTTTTTTTTTTTTTTTGAGACGGAGTCTCCCTCTGTCGCCCAGGCTAGAGTGCAGTGGTGCGATCTCGGCTCACTGCAAGCTCCGCCTCCTGGGTTCAAGCGATTCTTCTGCCTCAAGCGCCCACCACCACGCCCGGCTAATTTTTGTATTTTTAGTAGAGACGGGGTTTCACCATATTGGCCAGGCTGGTCTCGAACTCCTGACCTTGTGATCTGCCCACCTCGGCCTCCCAAAGTGCTGGGATTACAGGCGTGAGCCACCACGCCTGGCCTATTTTCTATGACTGAAACTGTAGACATGAGTGGTCAGAAAACAACAAAACTAAGGGAGACAGCTGTAAACACAAGTGGACTGAGAGCTGTCAGTGAGAAAAGGGATTTGTACAGTGTTGTCGAGATTCGAAACTACTACTCATGTATTTGTTGCTGGGGGTGAACAAATCCATGAAATGGAATGTATGTGAACTCCTTAATTTAGAAGAGCCAAAACTGTCACCACAACTCTGAGGTAAATTGTAACAATAATAGCAAACTTTCCTTGTGATGCAGACTTCTGAGTTTTCCCCAACCATCACTAGTGCTTTAGAAAGAATCTAGTAACATCTTGCTATGATTTGTAAATATAGACCTACTTAAACTCACACTTGCATTGAACACTGTGCTGAATAAATTACAGACATTAGCTCATTTAATTCCTACAACCCAGTGCCTGGTAAGATAGGCATCATTTTCTCTATTATAGAGAGGTAGTAAATGACCTTCAAAAAGACTCAATAACTTGCCCAAGTCACATGACGTTATAAGAAATGCCAGACTTTAACCCTATACTATTTCCACCTCATTATATTGTCAAAGGTGTTGGGTCTCTGACCAGAGATTTCATTTAAATATCAAGAAGTTAAGACCTCAATACTCTATTGTTTCTAATTAATTTGCACAAAGTCTTAGCCTTATGAATTCTCTAGGTACCATTATCATTTTAGAGCTAACTGGAACAAACTCATAATACCAAAACAACAGTGGGAAGCTTTGTCTGTCCTACTTGTGCACACTTAAGATTGATGTGTACCATTTTTTCTTCTCTCTCTAGACAATAAGCAGAGACCCTTTGTTACAAAATATTTATATGTACAAAATATTTATACAAGCTTCAAAATAGAGATCTGTTGAATATTGGGTGAAAGTACAAACAAAACGCTCCCCAAATATAAGGCTTAATGTGTTGTAATTTTTCACTAACACAAAGTACATTCATATGTGATGCTAACCTGTGTGGGAGATAAAAACTTGCAAGAGCAATAATAAACCAAGCTTTTTTCAATACTAGAAGGACTAAAAGTTTCAACATATCTCTTGTACCTTTCTTATACATACCAGATGTGATGGATCCCCTCACTATTTCACCTTTTACCCTGAATCATGAAAATTAACAAGTCAGTGGCTAAAAAGCCTTAATTACCTTGCTCATAGAGCTGGGAAGACCTTCTTGTCCATTCTTTCTGTTCAGTGATCATTTGTCTTTTGTAAAGCATGGTAATTTGAATACCAGGACAAGATAAAACAGTCATCATCATTCCGTTGAACATGGATTGCCAAATATTCACTCTTTTGGAAACATGTATCAGTAGCTCTATGATGGTAATTTGTGCTGTTTAAACACAAGTCCTTGCGACCTCTTTCCAAATTCCATAGAACACCTTTAATTTATGACAAGGTGAGGTGTTGGGGAAAAAAATCATCATCAAGATGGCAGATTGAATCACAAATGAAACTTAGAGTAGTTCTGAATACTGTTAAAAATAAAAATGTGTAAACAACTTAAAAGCATGAAATGGACAAATGCAAATTGTATTTCAGTTTTCTCAAAAAAAAAACTTGCAATGATTGAATGAGATAATACAATCAAAGCATTTAAAGTGACTGGTGCACAGTAAGTGCTCAGTAAATGTTAGTAATGGTTTAATAATTATTAGTTGCATTCAAGAATGCACTTTATTTTGGCCAACAGGTTTCATCAAATATTAATGACTTTCTGTGTAATACGGTAGCTTTAGAAAGTGGAAATTGGACTGTTGTAGGCTGACTAACGTGGAAATGACAGGCAGATATATTCACAGCACTCAGATGTGAAAGTCATGCTTCCTCATGGGGCCTTTCATGGGACACCTACCCTGAGGACACAGAGTTTGAATGTCCTTCACTCCCAGTGGGAGTCCCATTTCTAGGACACAGTGGCCTGTCATCTCTTTCAGAGAAGCCACAGCAGGAAGCCAAATTTGGGCTTAATGAACAGCCTTTGGGGAATTCCAGATAAGTGGTCATTAATGCTCTGCATATTTGCAAGGTGAATCTATCTCATTCTTCAACAGGTCTTCACTACAATTGCCTGTGCACTCATTCATTCATCTCACACCACAAAAGGTGAAGGGAAAATGTAAGGCTACTACGCACCTTGCAAAGGGTCAAATAGATATTCAGAACCCAGAATGGATTATAGGCCGATGTCCACTGTAGTGTTTTCGTGTCGGGGGGCAGTGGGGGGCATTACGTGTGTGGGGTGACTGCTTCCCTGATTAATATACATTCATAAATATACAAATGTATATTTTAGAAAAAAATTACATTATAAAGTATAATATAATCTTATAAAATTATATGATAAATAATAGATATTGATAAATTTATATTTCAGAATAAATTATAAAGGAGAGCAGTCTGCCTCATTTCCTGATGTATATTTGTTATATTTAATAGCATCTTCTTCACGACAACACTCCCTTATGTTTGAAACATCGTGTGTTTTTCCTGAGCACCGTAATATCTAGGTCTTCAAATTTATTGCATAAAGTATATAATATAGCCATTTGTGATTCTTAAAAATGTATTTGTTTTAATGGGCCTTTCCCTCTTCTCATATCTTGTATATTTTCGCTTTCTCTCTTTATTTCTTAATTTAGCTAGTAATTTGCCTGTTGTATTAGTCTGTTCTCATGCTGCTAATAAAGACATACCTGAAACTGGGTAATTTATGAAGGAAAGAGGTTTAATTGACTCACAGTTCCACATTGCTGGGGAGGCCTCACAATCATGGAGGAAGGCGAAAGAGGAACAAAGTCATGACTTACATGGTGACAGGCAAGAGAGCTTGTGCAAGGGAATTCCCGTTTGTAAAACCATCAGATCTCATGAGACTTATTCACAACCATGAGAACAGTATGGGGGAAACCACCTCCATGATTCAATTATTTCCACCTGGCCCTACTCTTAACACGTGGGGATTATTACAATTCAAGGTGAGATTTGGGTGGGGGCACAGCCAAACCATATCATCTATTTTGTTAAATTTTTCAAAAAAATGTAGAACGTAATTTATTCATTAGATCTGTTTATTCTCCTCTTTATTCTTTTTTATTCTTTCATTCTTTGTGCTTTCTTTGTATTTGTTCTGATTTTCTTTTTCCAGTTTTTGAGCTGAGACTAGGCCATTTTTCCCATTCTTTCATTTTTACTGATATTAGGGTTTGAAAATGCTATGAATTTTCCTCTGACCACTGCTCTAAATGCATCTCCTATGTTATGATGTGTAGTGTTTCTATTGTCATTATTTTTTCATGAAAGTTTAAAATTTCAGTTTGTATCCCCCTTTATGTTAAAGATTTTATAGAATTCTTTCCACATGGAAGGGTCTTTTTGTTTGTTTGCTTGTATCATTGTTGTTGATAATTTCTAGTTTACTGCATTTTGATCAGAAAGTTGTTTATATTTCCACATTATGGAAATTGCTAATGCTTTTTTTATAACCCGATTTATGATGAATATTTGGAACTGTACCATGGACACACGAGAAGGAACTGTGTTACCTACCATCAGGGTATGAAGGTCACTACATATCATAGAGTCTTATTGATTATATTGTTTTGATCTTCCATATCCTTATTGATTGTCCACTTGATTGTATTTTGGAGTGATCAATAAATGCATTCTATTATTAATGTGTTTATTTTTTACATTTTGTTTCCTATGTGTGGCCACCGTGTTACTTGGTGCATAAATATACATTCATTGTGAATTGTGTTTTTTAGCATTAAAAAGTATTCCTTGTCTTGACATTTAATGGTTTTGGTTTTAAATTCTACTTTGTCTGATATCAGAATTGCTACTACTACTCCCTCTCTCTGTTTCCATTTTCATGGTACACATCTGTCCAATTCTTTATTTGTAGTATTTATGAGTATGTTTAGTTTAGGCATCTTTCTGTTATAAAGTATATAGTTAGGTCCCGTTTTGTGAACCAATAGCAAGTTTTCTTATTTTATTACATGACTGAAATCCACGCACATTCTGGAATCCACTTACTGGTAGGCTTGAGCTAAAATCTGTCATAATATTTTATTATTACACATTATTTTATATTTGTTGTGTTTTCTTCTTTACATGATATGTATATTATGTATTTAAAAATATTTTATGTTGTATTTAGGAAGGTTTATATTTTTGTTCTAGTGATAACCTTTGCATTTTTATTTTTAATTAAGTGATCTTCACTACTTGTTTTCTTATTTAACATTTTACTATCTGATGTATTGATTTTTTTCCTTAGTGTGCTTTAATGCCTACCTGTTGCTTATACAACAGTGCACTTATTCTATTTTTTTGTTTTAGTTTCCTGTATTTTTCCATTATTTAACTGCATTATTTCTACTTTCTTATAACAAACAAAATTTTTACATTAATACAAACTTTTTTTCTTAATGTGTAACATACGTATATTAGTTAGCAACCCTCATTCCCCGTCTTTGTTTAAGTCTTAGATACATATTTACATAGTTATAAATGTTCACCATTAGTCTATCTGATGAATGTTTTCCAGTCATTACTTTGCTGGATGAACCTTTATCCTTTAGTAGATTCTGTAAGCAGGGGTAATGGCTGCAGAAGTCCTTACATTCTTGTAAGTTTAAAACTCTTTGTCTATGGCTTTGACATTTAAACAATAGCTTCACTGGTAATACAATTCTTATTTCACACTCTTTTCCACTGAATGGTTTATAATTCTGCTCTATTGTTGCCCTGATTTGTATGTTGTTTTATCAAAAGTTTGATACCAGTCTAATTCCTTTGCCAGTGCAAATTCTCTGATCATTTTCTCCTGTAGTCCTTGAGGATCTCATCTTTATCTTTGAAATTAAATAATTCTACTAGAATCAGTCTCAGAGTTTATCATTCTGGAGTCTACCCCTCCGCCCCAACCCAGGTACTTAGTATAGATTCAAGTCTTTTTCTATTTCTGGCAAGTTTTTTTGAATTACAATTTAATTTTATTTATTTATTTATTTATTTATTTATTTATTTATTTATTTTTGAGATGGAGTCTCGCTCTGTCACCCAGGCTGGAGTGCAGTGGCACGATCTCGGCTCGCTGCAACATCTGCCTCCCAGGTTCGAGTGATTCTCCCTCCTCAGCCCCCTGAGTAGCTAGGATTACAGACACCCACCAGCATGCCCGGCTAATTTTTCTATTTTTAGTAGAGACAGGTTTCACCATGTTGGCCAGGCTGGTCTGGAACTCCTGACCTCAGATGATCTGCCCTCCTTAGGCTCCCAAAGTATGGGATTACAGGCATGAGCCACTGTGCCTGGCTGAATTACAGTTTTAAATATTAGCTCTGCTCCATGTTTTATTTTTCTTCTTTAGGGAACTTAATAATATAAGTATTAGTTTACTTTCTACTCTCTGGCCATTTTTACTTTATTTATGTCATTTTCACTCTGTTAGTTGTTTTTCTGCCTTTTCTTCAATGCATTTTATTACATTTTTATTTAAATCTATTTTCCTGAATGTTTGCAATTCTTTTTCTTATTTAGGAATAATTTTTTTCTTTCATTTATTTACTAAGTTCAATGAACTCTCTTTTCATTTTTACATTTTTCCATTTTGGTTTATTTTATTGATTTTTGGATTCAATCTGATTTTTCATATTCTCAAGTGTTAGTGTGAGACTATTTGATTCCACTGGGATTGATAAAATTACAGTTTTTGTCTGCTCCAGAGTTACTTTTGGAGGGGCAAATCATCTTCAGTTGATATGCATGAAGATATGTATAAAATGCTATTTTTGAATTTCTGCAGTAGCTCTTAACTTTCTTTGTCCATTTTTGTAGAATTTGGACGTTTCAGTGGCATCTTCTTTCAGTGAAGCAAATTCTAGGTGCTTTGGTGGGGTTGTTTGCTTGTCTTTTGCATGTTTGGGAATAATAGTTATGGTGAGTTCTCTGATTTTATGGTTTTGTCTTACAACACCTTCTATCCTTAGATTTTCCACCATTTTCTTCCTTTTCCTTCTATTTTCCAATTGTCAAAGGGTGATTCTCCCCCATTCTTGACCTATATTCTTCCCTGCCCTTTTAAATCATACCTGCCACCTTTGAGTTGAAGGTACCTTAATGTTTCCTCCCTGTAGGTAGTGCTCTGATTCATGCAGACCCATTTTTTTTTTTTCTATTTTCAGACTTATTTACACTGACAGTCTTTTGGGGCAAAAGTTTAGCATAAAATTCAGGCTTCTCAACAGCTTCCGCATTCTGCATTTCCCACAGTTGTTCTGGGTCTGCCTTTGTACAGGGCAGGACCATAAGATATAAGCTGGTATTTGATTATTTTTCCTTTTACTCACAGTTATTTTGAAGTTTGGACAATCTGTTATGATAATGGTGTCGTTTCTGTATTGATTTGCATTACCTTTCTGATAATGTTTTAACTACAGGGAAATTCCTACCATGTAGGATTTTTGATAATAATTTATACTTGCTCCCTCAGGCCTGGGGTGAGATAAAACTTGTTCTTACTAACTCTGAAAGTCTGTCAATTTCTAGTGGGTTTTCTGTATCCTGACTACCTCTGTAAATAAATAACCCCTTTATTAAACTTTCCCCATATTACCTGATTTAAATGTCCTGAATGAGGTAACAAAATATATTATTTATGTACTTATTTATACCAGTATATATAATATGTTTTGATTAAGAGTGTTAGTGTTGTGCTATTTGGAGTATAGATATTTATATTAGCAATATTTCTGTTGTCGATTTTACACTTTAGCAGTTGAAAGTGACTTTTTGTCTATTGGCCATAATTTAATCATGTCTGATATTAGGATTATGAATCTTGCTTTCATTTTCTTTGAGTTTTTCTAGAAAGTTTTTGCCAGGTTTTATTTTTTGTTATATTTTGGAGTTACTTTTATATATGTGTGTACATGTGTGTGGTGGCTTATATTTATGGATTTACTGTAGTTAGAATTTTGCTTTCACTTCAGATCACATCTGAAAGTCATTTTCTTTTGAAAGATGAGTTCAGCCAGTTTAAATTTATTGATACGGCATACATATATGGACTTAAGGTTTATCTTTTTATGGCATTTTGAAATAGTTTTCTGCGCCCTTTGTTTTGGTTTGTTTTACATGTTCATGTTTCTGATATTGAAGAAATGCTGTATCTTTTTTCTTATCTTTATAGTACTAGCCTCAAAGTTTTAGACAATTTCTATTAGGTGGCCACTACAGTCATTTCTCCTCTTATCTACAAATCTCTCTAAGTTATTTTCACTTAATTTATTAACTAATATCTACCTTTATATTTTAATAGATTTATACTTAAATTAATTTGATTGATTTTGTCTCCCAACTTCTTAACTCTTTCTTTCCCCAATTTTAGTATTCGTATAATTTCTTAAACATGCAGCGTTTGCATTCTATTCCAACACCTCGTCCCCACATTAGTCTTCATCATAGGTCTACAGATATATGCCGATATTGGATACTGCCAATGCTCTTGCTGTACTTTCCCTAGTCATACCATGATTGACTAGTCTTGAACTAGAATTTTTAACAATTTCACATCAGAAAATATTTCATGAGTTCTTGGATTTTAAAAGTCATTTGTCACTTGATGTTATAATTGATTGGCATTAGATCTAGATACAAAATCCTTAAGTCATTTTCTATCTTCAAGAAATGTGTAGGTGTTGCCCTAATGTCTTCTGGTGTTGATGGTTGCCATAGAGAAGTCACAGGCAGCCTTGTTTGTTTCTTTCATTCCCATCTTACAAGAGAATTGGTTATTTCTCACTGAAGTCCTAAAAATTCTTTTTTAAAAATTCATTTGAGCTTAGTGCCTTTATTATCATGCATTTTAGACTTGATCATCATCAGTGTTCCCTGGCACAGGTATCTTATAATATATAGAAATGAAATGATTTTTTAAACTCTGTAAAAATTTTCTTTTTTTTTTTTTCTTTTGATAAGGCGTCTTGCTCTTGTCGCTCAGGCTGGAGTGCAATGGCGCGATCTCTGCTCACTGCAACCTCCGCCTCCCAGGTTCCAACAATTCTCCTGCCCCCACCTCCTGAGTAGCTGGGATTACAGGCGCCCTCCACCATGCCCGGCTAATTTTTTGTAATTTTAGTAGACACGGGGTTTCACCATGTTGATCAGGCTGGTCTGGAATTCCTGACCTCAGGTGATCCACCCACCTCGGCCTCCCAAAATGCTGTGATTACAGGCGTGAACCACCACACCTGGCCACAAATTTTCTTGACTTTACATAGTTAAATATTTTCTCTTTATGATTTTTTTGTTTTTATTTTTTCTTTAAGGACTCTGATAATATGTAGGCTCAATGTTCATTTCCTCCTTTTTTTTTAAATTTCCTCCTTTACTCATATTTCCTTTTGCTTTTTCATTTTCATGCCCTATGGACCTAATTATATTTTATTTTGTTCATTTTTATTTCATCTACATTTCTGTGATTACTTTATGGTTTATGCTATTTATTTCCTGAGCTATTTCAGCTCATGTTCCACTTCCTACTCCTACCCCACTTTCGCTTTCTTTAATATATTTTCGTTTATATTATTGCTTTACAGGAAAGTTGAGTATATTTTTTCAATGATAATGATATATTTGGCCTGGATAGTTATCTACATCTTGGCAACATTTTCTCAGGTAGTATTTCTTTCCCTTTTGCCTTATAATGTCCTGTGACACCTGTGTTTATATTTATTACTTTAAGTGAAAATGGTGAATTTATGTTGTACCAGATATTTTCAGAGGACTTCTGTGGCAGTTGAATGTCCAGAGCCTTTTTCTGGTAGAGTTGGGATTTTCAAAAAATTTATATTTTTGCATATGGGTCTCTGCAGTAGAATTCTGGCCAGTAGAGATAGGCCAATGGGAATAACAGAGGGTATTTTTTTTTTTTTTGCATTTTAAGGGTTCTTTTTCCTTCAACATCATACAGACAAATTATTTTATTAAAAAATGACTTATTTGTGTGTTTGGAGGTTCGCCCTATCATCTGCGCTTCTTACCTAATCCCATGATGTCTACTGCACCAGCCAGCACAGAAAACTACACTATTTTCTTTAAATATACAACTAGCATCTTAGAAATATTTGTTATTGCCTCATTAAATTAAATTAATAAACTACTTTATCTGCAGGAGTTCATAGTCTATTTGGTGTTATAACACAAATAAAAACCAGTAAATGAAAGATCTAAAAATTATAATGGGATGATACAGGCAAGATTTCAAAGAAGTAAGATGTTCTTATCACTACATGCCCAGAGCAAGAGAAAATGAGACAATGTTTAAGACCATGCATAGAGAAAAAATAAAATAAAATAATACAACAGTAAACAAATGTTCATTAGTAAGCCATTCTCTGTTGCATGTTTAGTGATGTTATCTAGCATCAATATCGTATATGATTTTAGTTTCAGGTTGATATTTTGTAATCAATGCTCATTTAGACTTAGCAATACATTTTATTGATTTCTTTGCTCAGTGCTGTTTCTTAAACTCTATTATCTTCTCTAGGATTCATTTACTTTACTTCCTGGAATGTATGCTCTAGTAATTCTTTCAGACTTGAATTATGGAGGATAAAGTATCTATGTCCAAAAAAAATTTTAAATGTCTTTATTTTGCCCTCAAAAATTAATAATAGAATTCAACATAATTTTCTCTAAGAAACTTGAGAGAAATGGGCTTCTTGCGTTCATTATTACTGATGAGAATCTGAGGTCAAATTGGAATACTTTGAAATCTCTTTTATTCCCTTTTTTTCTCTTAAGACTCTCTGTTCTCTTTATCATTGAAGTTTGTGAATTTCACCATGCTATTTTTATGTGTAGCATCCTTTTTATAAATCACACTTAACATTTTGTGAGCTTTTTCATTCTATTTATACATGTTTTCTTTTGTTTTGAGATGGGGCTTTTCTATGTTGCCTAAGCTGGTCTTGAACTCCTGGGCTTGTATGGTCCTCCTGCCTCAGCCTCCCATGTAGCTGAGATTACAGAGGTGAGCCACCACATCCAGCCTAGCTCTTTCATTCTAGAAACTTATATCCTTCTTCAATCCTGAGAATTTTGAAATTTTATGTTTTTGCCTATTTTCCTCTCCACTTCTCTATGATGTCTCTCTAGAACATTGTTTGGCATTATTTGGCTTACAATTTCCAAATTTCTGCACATGTGTTTTCCTGTCTTCATTTCTTTTTTTGTAAATATACCTTATAGAGTGGAATCATCTCCTCAATTCCACCTTGCAGCTAAACACATTTTTACTCTTCAGCGTTTTAATAGTCTACTATTCAACTTTTTAATTCACTTTATTTCAAAATTAACTTTTCAGTTTGCAAGTTGAATCCTTTTTAGACCACTTCACCATCCTGAAACTAAAATGTTTTTTCTAAAATAATCATAATAATCTCTGTGTCTCTCAGAGGAGATGTATATTATTTACCCTAGTGCATTGTTTGTTCTCTTTACTGTTTCTATGAGTACATATTCTTCTATTTGCCAAGTTTTCTACCTCTCCTTTATAGTATGGCTCTCCCCAGGTATTTGGTTATGCTTGGTTGTGGATTTATCTTTGTATTGAGATCCACTGTTACCTCTCTGGTAATGCTGTGTCTGTTTCCATAGATTTTGTGGGCTGTGAGCCAGGTTACACCACTGTAGTTTATATTGATTTCTGGGTAGATTTTTAGGAAGAAAAAGCAGAATTTTAGCTTTCTGGAGTATTCTCTTCTAGGTGTGGGGTTACCCTATTTTCCTTGAGCTTTAGCAGCCATTCAAGTCATTACCTTGTTCTTCACCCTAAGAATTCACATTCATTATTATTGTCTGTTCCAGTAGTCACTGTTGTTTGCTGCTTGGCCAAAGATTTGACAGTGAAGCAAGATGTAGTATTTCCCAGCTGTGCCACTCAGACTAATACTCCTGCAATTTTCACAGCCCCATCTTGTTTCTTCTATAACGTTTGTAAATGTTATAAACCACAACATTTGTAGAATCACTTTGACTTATTGTAGCAGTCTGTGGACTCACTCAAGTAGCCCTTCATACTTTAGGTATTAGTCATGGTTCCCCATCCAATGGAGGTGTTCCTCTGATGTCACCATGCGTTCATTTTCTTAGTAACATATTTTCTACTGATACTATACAGTGAGGATGTAAAGGAGGCTGTTTTGTGTGTTCTGTCTGCTCTTTTGAATGCATAGAGTAGGAATTAAATGTAACACTCTGCATATGGATGTGGGCACATCTCTGATACTTTCACATTTATATCGCTGGATATATAGTTCCATCTAATTGTGAGTTGGGAACAACCATCAACCCTTGCAAGACTGATACCTCAACACTCTAACCTGAGAACTTCTGGGTTATAAATATTGTCACTCTTACTGCTGAATCTAGTTGGGAAACATTTGAAAAAATTTATGAGACATGCCCAACTGAAACAGCCATCTTCCTTTCTTCTCTGTATTTAAATCCTAAATTACCTAACCACATTCCTTTTAGAATAATTATGCAACAAAGAATGAGTAGGCCAGATTCAGTGGCTCATGCCTATAATCCCAGCACTTTGAGAGGCCAAGGCAGGCTGATTGCTTGGGCTCGGGAGTTCGAGACTAGCTTGGGCAATGTGGCAAAATCTCATCTCTACAAAAATTATGAAAATTAGCAGGGCATGGTGATGTGTGCCTGTAGGCGCAGCTACTTGGAGGGCTGAGGCAGGAGGATTACTTGAGCCTGGGATGCAGAGGCTGCAGTGAGTCATGTTCATGACACTGTATTTCAACCTAGGTGACAAAATGAGATGATGTCTCAATAAAAATAAATAAATAAATAAAATTAAATATGCCCTATATCCATGTCTTTTAGAGCTCAACCCATTCAAAAAGCTTTCTCTAACCCATCAGCCTAATTTAACTCATGCACTCTATCATCAGGGTTTCAAAGTCAGGAATAAGGATGTTTCTCAGTGAGAAGGAAAGCCCATCCTGCTTGTCGATTGCTACCTTCTAGCTCCCAGTCTAACTGGAGATTTTGCTTCTTAAATATGTCATTATCACATGAGAGTAAAGATTTTTGTCATGAATATTGGCAAAACTGCATCCAGCAGGGAAAATGTTTGCATAGGCCACCAAAATCTCCAGAAACAGGAGTATCAAATGCCGCTTGTTGCACCTGTTCTGTTCTCGACATCAGTTCTGCTAATGTTTTATCAAACTATTCTTTTAATATCGTCAATGACTCTTAGCAACCTAATTATCTGTCTTGCCATTCTTATTGCTATAAACTTTTTTAAAAATTATATGGCCCAAGCTTTTTCTTCCTTACCTATAGGCCACTTTACCTTTATCTACTTCACCTACTTCTGCCATCATCTTAGACTGTGAATAATTTCCACCCTTCATTTACAATGCTACCTTCAAGATATTTACAATTCTTATTCATGTCCTTGTTTAGCCTTCCTTTTCTATATCTCTAGCTTTCCCAAACTCTCCTGTTTATCTCTGGAGACTTGTTTTTATTCTTTATATATTTCTCTAGATTTCTTGTTTCCTTCCAAAGAAAACCAAATAATACTGGATGTTCCAGGTGCCGTGGCATCCAGGAGGGGAGGCGTGCAGACATTATCCCTCCAAACTGTGTGTGTCCTCTTTAGAGTAAAGCCTCAGAACTGATAATAGTGCCACACATAAAAACAAGCATCATCCCAGTCAACTAGCCCTGTCAATAAATCAGAGAAACCCACCATTCACTGGCTGCTTTCACTGCTCCTAGGGTCTCTGCGATAGAAGAGGGCATAATTCACTCCTCACAAACACTTAATACCACATTTCTACGATTTACAATCTGATAATATTCAAATACTATTGCTGTATTATGCAGCTCACAATTGCAGATGCGATTCCATAACAGCCTGTCACTTTGGCATGCATTATGTAAGTTGGTATAAAATTGCCTGTCTTAAAACTCTTCTTCAATTGCAACCCAATATCATCGTTTCACACAGAGCTTTGGGAACATTAAAAATTCAGCTTCTTCCCTATTTAGCAAGTTCTGCAAAAGGGAGCAAAACAGACAAACAGATGTTCCCTCTTCTGAGTCCCCAGGAGGTCTGAGGCAAAGTAGAAAGACCCCAAAATGATACAACAGCAATGACACTCAAGATACATTTGTTCAGTTTTTTTGTTGTTGTTGTTTTTAAGAAAAAAAAAAGAAAGGGAAAAGAAAGAAATCTCTTACTGTCTCCTCTGGAAAAGTAGAAATACTCTACATTGGTACTGGTAAATGCTTTTCCACATAGGTGGAATTTTCTAGGAGGTTACCACCTTACAAAACTTCCTCATCTTACAGTTGTTCACCATTTTCTCACATAGTTTTCTGGAAGGTGAGGTGATGTGTGCATTTTGTATCGCTAATAATAGATAGTTTCTCAGAAACTAGAGTGTCAAAAACTATTCCAATTCTACCCCCAATTTGCCCTGATGACAGATCTTTTAACAGGACACACATCTTCCATTCCTCAATTCAGAATATATGGCTGAACACGAATACACCCTCAGGGAAGGTGGTGCAGGGATTCTCATTCATCTTAAGTGGTAAAAGACAGATATAAAACATTTTCCAATTGCAAGTTTTGATAGAAAAGGATAAAAACCAAGGCTTCTGATCTAAACTTAGGAAAGTGAGAAAGGCAGCTATAAAAGGCATAAAATACCATACTGTAAAAGGAAGATAATTTTTTAATAAGATATTATCTGAGCAAGAATGCTGAGTGAGGAAGAAGTCAGAATATCGAGTTTCTAGCACTGGCTCTGTTTCTAAGGAGCCACAGGATCTTGGCCAAGTCTCCTAACCTTGTGGGACTTCGTGGTTGTCATTATTGTTAAGCTAAGGGTATGGGGTACAGAACCTTCCATCTCTGAGCCACTAGGAGGGCTTTGCTGAGGAGCAGACTAGAATATATTACACACTTTAATGTCTTCAGGCTTAAATCAATGAGAACTTAAAAAGGAAAATAGTGAAGGTAACATAGAGAGATAATACATATAGACAGATGGTTTGCCAATTAGTCATTAAGATTTTTTCCTTTTTTCTCCCTTCTTGCTTTGCTGTCCTCTGCCTTTGAAGATGACTGTGTTAATGCAGCTGACTCTCCACGTTTGGGTGTGGCTGAGAAGATGAAAGAAGGCTACAGGATGTAGTTCCCTTTCCTGAGCAGGCTTGTTGGGGAGGATCAGTCTTTCCTGCTCCCACTTTGCTTTACGCCCCTGGTTATTCAGAGACCAGATAATCCTTAGTGACAGCAGTTGACCACTTCCACAAGACTTCAGAGAAATACACCCAGCTCCCATTTCTAAGAAGAGGGATTTCTCTGATGGTTTGGGAATGATTTCCTCCTTTTGTGAGGCTGCAGCTGCAAGGGAGACAAGGGGAGAAGGCTGCAGCTGCATTCTGAAGGTTTCTCTAAAGAACAAGCAGGGGCAAGGAATTAATAGTTTAAAGCCAAATCAAACCAAAATGCAACAAACTAAAAACCAAAAAAACCCCATAACTTGAGAAGGGTGAAAATTTGACTTTATTTCTTTCTAAGTTTACCTGAAATTATCTACATTGTTTGCAAATGTAGATAAATGCATTGTCTACAAAGATTTTCATAATTGGGCATTTTTCTATTTTTGGTGCTCAGCTTACTTACTTAAATGCATTGGTAAAATTGACCACTTACTGGGATTTGAGTATTCATCCTGAAGTGATCCAAATCCTTTCACTGTAATCTGCATCGGCAAAATACCAAATACAACAGATTGCTTCCAGAATGCTGGCCTCAATATTCACATGTCTTATAGTAGAAAGAGAGAGTCCTGGACTGGATGGGAGGAACCCAATATTCTAGCATTGCCTTTTCCCCAACCAGTTATAAATATGGGTGAATCACATTGCCTTGGAGATCCTGAGTCTTTGCTCTATAAAATAAGGGGGCTGATGTATTTGGCTCTTGAGAGACTCGTCAGTACCAGGGTTTAATCTTTACCATTAACAGTCTAATTAGCTTCCATGTTTCCTCCTGCACAAATATGCTAGGCCTTGCATTCTCTACTACACAACTTCATTGTTTTAAGCTGGAGGCAATTAGAAAAATAAACTGCTTTGGGGTGGAGCCAAGATGGCTGAATAGGAACAGCTCCAGTCTACAGCTCCCAGCGTGAGTGACACAGAAGATGGGTGATTTCTGCATTTCCAGCTGAGGTACCAGGTTCATCTCTCGGGGGAGTGCTGGACAGTGGGTGCAGGACAGTGGGTGCAGTGCACTGTTCGTGAGCTTAAGCAGGGCGAGGCATTGCCTCACCCGGGAAGTGCAAGGGGTCAGGGAATTCCCTTTCCTAGTTGAAGAAAGGGGTGACAGACGGCACCTGGAATATTGGGTCACTCCCACCCTAATACTGTGCTCTTCCAATGGGCTTAACAAACGGTACACCAGGAGATTATATCCCGCACATGGCTCGGAGGGTCCTACGCCCACGGAGCCTCACTCATTTGCTAGCACAGCAGTCTGAGATCAAACTGCAAAGCGGCAGCGAGGCTAGGGGAGGGGCATCCGCCATTGCTCAGGCTTGAGTAGGTAAACAAAGTGGCCGGGAAGCTCAAACTCAGTGGAGCCCACCACAGCTCAAGGAGGCCTGACTGCCTCAGTAGGCTCCACCTCTAGGGGCAGGGCACAAACAAAAGACAGCAATAATCTCTGCAGTCTTAAATGTCCCTGTCTGACAGCTTTGAAGAGAGTAGAGGTTCTCCTAGCACGCAGCTTGAGATCTGAGAACAGGCAGACTGCCTCCTCAAGTGGGTCCCTGACCCCCGAGTGGCCTAACTGGGAGGCATCCCCCAGTAGGGGCGGACTGACACCTCACACGGCCGGGTACTCCTCTGAAACAAAACTTCCAGAGGAATGATCAGGCAGTAGCACTTGTGGTTCACCAATATCCACTGTTCTGCAGCCACCGCTGCTGATACCCAGGCAAAAAGGGTCTGGAGTGGACCTCCAGTAAACTCCAACAGACCTACAGCTGAGGGTCCTGATTGTTAGAATGAAAACTAACAAACAGAAAGGACATCCATACCAAAAACCCATCTTTACATCACCATCATCAAAGACCAAAGGTAGATAAAACCACAAAGATGCAGAAAAAACAGAGCAGAAAAACCAGAAACTCTAAAAAACAGAGCGCCTCTCCTCCTCCAAAGGAACACAGCTCCTCACCAACAATGGAACAAAGCTGGAAGGAGAATGACTTTGACGAGTTGAGAGAGGAAGTCTTCAGAAGATCAAACTACTCCGAGCTAAAGGAGGAAGTTTGAACCAATGGCAAAGAAGCTAAAAACTTTGAGAAAAAATTAGACGAATGGCTAACTAGAATAACCAATGCAGAGAAGTCCTTAAAGGACCCGATGGAGCTAAAAACCAAGGCATGAGAACTACATGACGAATGCAAAAGCCTCAGTAACCGATGCGATCAACTGGAAGAAAGGGTATCAGTGATGGAAGACAAAATGAGTGAAATGAAGTGTGAAGAGAAGTTTAGAGAAAAAAGAATAAAAAGAAACGAACAAAGCCTCCAAGAAATATGGGACTATGTGAAAAGACCAAATCTACATCTAATTGATGGACCTGAAGGTGATGGGGAGAATGGAACCAAGTTGGAAAACACTCTGCAGGATATTATCCAGGAGAACTTCCCCAATCTAGCAAGGCAGGCCAACATTCAAATTCAGGAAATGCAGAGAACACCACAAAGATACTCCTTGAGAAGAGCAATTCCAAGACACATAATTGTCAGATTCACCAAAGTTGAAATGAAGGAAAAAGTGTTAAGGGCAGCCAGCGAGAAAAGTCGGGTTCCCCACAAAGGGAAGCCCATCGGACTAATAGCTGATCTCTTGGCAGAAACTCTACAGGCCAGAAGAGAGTGGGGGCCAATATTCAACATTCTTAAAGAAAAGAATTTTCAACCCAGAATTTCATATCCAGCCAAACTAAGCTTCAAAAGTGAAGGAGAAATAAAATACTTTACAGACAAGCAAATGCTGAGAGATTTTGTCACCACTAGGCCTGCCCTAAAAGAGCTCCTGAAGGAAGCATGAAGCATGGAAAGGAACAACCGGTACCAGCCACTGCAAAAACATGCCAAATCGTAAAGTCCATCAAGGCTAGGAAGAAACTGCATCAACTAAAGAGCAAAATAACCAGCTAACATCATAATGACAGGAACAAATTCACACATAACAATACTAACCTTAAATGTAAATGGGCTAAATGCTCCAATTAAAAGACACAGACTGGCAAATTGGATAAAGAGTCAAGACCCATCAATGTGCTGTATTCAGGAAACCCATCTCATGTACAGAGACACACATAGGCTCAAAATAAAGGGATGGAGGAAGATCTACCAAGTAAATGGAAAACAAGAAAAGGCAGGGGTTGCAATCCTAGTCTCGGATAAAACAGACTTTAAACCAACAAAGATCAAAAGAGACAAAGAAAGCCATTACATAATGGTAAAGGGATCAATTCAACAACAAGAACTAACTATCCTAAATATATATGCACCCAATACAGGAGCACCCAGATTCATAAAGCAAGTCCTTAGTGACCTACAAAGAGACTTAGATTCCCACACAATAATAATGGGAGATTTTAACACCCCACTGTCAACACTAGATAGATCAACGAGACAGAAAGTTAAGAAGGATATCTGGGAATTGAACTCAGCCCTGCACCAAGCAGACCTAATAGACATCTACAGAACTCTCCACCCCAAATCAACAGAATATACATTGTTTTCAGCACCACACAACACCTATTCCAAAATTGACCACATAGTTGGAAGTAAAACACTCCTCAACAAATGTAAGAGAAAAGAAATTATAACAAACTGTCGCTCAGACCACAGTGCAATGAAATTAGAACTCAGGATTAAGAAACTCACTCAAAACTGCTCAACTACATGGAAACTGAACAACCTGCTCCTGAATGACTACTGGGTACATAACAAAATGAAGGCAGAAATAAAGATATTCTTTGAATCCAACGAGAACAAAGACACAACATACCAGAATCTCTGGGACACATTCAAAGCAGTGTGTAGAGGGAAATTTATAGCACTAAATGCCCACAAAAGAAAGCAGGAAAGATCGAAAATTGACACCCTAACATCACAATTAAAAGAACTAGAAAAGCAAGAGCAAACACATTCAAAAGCTAGCAGAAGGCAAGAAATAACTAAGATCAGAGCAGAATTGAAGGAAATAGAGGCACAAAAAACCCTTCAAAAAATCAAGGAATCCAGGAGCTGGTTTTTTGAAAAGATCAACAAAATTGTTAGACCACTAGCAAGACTAATAAAGAAGAAAAGAGAGAAGAATCAAATAGACACAATAAAAAATGACAAAGGGGATATCACCACTGATCCCACAGAAATACAAATTGCCATCAGAGAATACTATAAACACCTCTACGCAAATAAACTAGAAAATCTAGAAGAAATGGATAAATTCCTCGACACGTACACCCTCCCAAGACTAAACCAGGAAGAAGTTGAATCTCTGAATAGACCAATAACAGGCTCTGAAATTGAGGCAATAATTAATAGCTTACCAACCAAAAAAAGTCCAGGACCAGATGGATTCACAGCCAAATTTTACCAGAGGTACAAGGAGGAGCTGGTACCAATCAATAGAAAAAGAGGGAATCCTCCCTAACTCATTTTATGAGGCCAGCATCATCCTGATACCAAAGCCTGGCAGAGACACAACCAAAAAAGAGAATTTTAGACCAATATCCTTGACGAACATTGATGCAAAAATCCTCAGTAAAATACTGGCAAACCAAATCCAGCAACACATCAAAAAGCTTATCCACCATGATCAAGTGGGCTTCATCCATGGGATGGAAGGCTGCTTCAACATAACGAAAATCAATAAACATAATCCAGCATAGAAAGAGAACCAAAGACAAAAACCACATGATTATCTCAATAGATGCAGAAAAGGCCTTTGACAAAATTCAACAATGCTTCATGCTAAAAACTCTAAATAAATTAGGTATTGATGGGACGTATCTCAAAATAATAAGAGCTATCCATGACAAACCCACAGCCAATATCCTACTGAATGGACAAAAACTGGAAGCATTCCCTTTGAAAACTGGCACAAGACAGGGATGCCCTCTCTCACCACTCCTATTCAACATAGTGTTGGAAGTTCTGGCCAGGGCAATCAGGCAGGAGAAGGAAATAAAGGGCATTCAATTAGGAAAAGCGGAAGTCAAATTGTCCCTGTTTGGAGATGACATGATTGTATATCTAGAAAACCTCCTTGTCTCAGCCCAAAATCTCCTCAAGCTGATAAGCAACTTCAGCAAAGTCTCAGGATACAAAATCAATATGCAAAAATCACCAGCATTCTTATACACCAATAACAGACAAACAGAGAGCCAAATCATGAGTGAACTCCCATTCACAATTGCTTCAGAGAATAAAATACCTGGGAATCCAACTTACAAGGGATGTGAAGGACCTCTTCAAGGAGAACTACAAACCACTGCTCAAGGAAATAAAAGACGATACAAAAAAATGGAAGAACATTCCATGCTCATGGGTAGGAAGAATCAATATCGTGAAAATGGCCATACTGCCCAAGGTAATTTATAGATTCTATGCCATCCCCATCAAGCTACCAATTACTTTCTTCACAGAATTGGAAAAAACTACTTTAAAGTTCATATGGAACCAAAAAAGAGCCCAAATTGCCAAGTCAATCCTAAGCCAAAAGAACAAAGCTGGAGGCATCATGCTACCTGACTTCAAATTATACTACAAGGCTACAGTAACCAAAACAGCATGGTACTGGTACCAAAACAGAGATATAGACCAATGGAACAGAACAGAGCCCTCAGAAATAATGCCACATATCTACAACTACCTGATCTTTGACAAACCTGACAAAAACAAGCAATGGGGAAAGGATTCCCTATTTAATAAATGGTGCTGGGAAAACTGGCTAGCAATACGTAGAAAGCTGAAACTGGATCCCTTCCTTACACCTCATACAAAAATTAATTCAAGATGGATTAAAGACTTACATGTTAGACCTAAAACCATAAAAATCCTAGAAGAAAACCTAGGCAATACCATTCAGGACATAGGCATGGGCAAGGACTTCATGTCTAAAACACCAAAAGCAATGGCAACAAAAGCCAAAATTGACAAATAGGATCTAATTAAACTAAAGAGCTTCTGCACAGCAAAAGAAACCACCATCAGAGTGAACAGGCAACCTACAGAATGGGAGAAAATTTTTGCAACCTACTCATCTGACCAAGGGCTAATATACAGAATCTACAATGAACTCAAACAAATTTACAAGAAAAAAACAAACCCATCAAAAAGTGGGCGAAGGATATCAACAGACACTTCTCAAAAGAAGACATTTATGCAACCAAAAAACACATGAAAAAATGCTCATCATCACTGGCCATCAGAGAAATGCAAATCAAAACCACCATTAGATAGCATCACACACCAGTTAGAATGGCAACCATTAAAAAGTCAGGAAACAACAGGTGCTGGAGAGGATGTGGAGAAATAGGAACACTTTTACACTGTTGGTGGGACTGTAAACTAGTTCAACCATTGTGGAAGTCAGTGTGGCGATTCCTCAGGGATCTAGAACTAGAAATACCATTCGACCCAGCCATCCCATTACTGGGTATATACCCAAAGGATTATAAATCATGGTGCTATAAAGTCACATGCACACGTATGTTTATTGCGGCACTACTCACAATAACAAAGACTTGGAACCAACCCAAATGTCCAACAATGATGGACTGGACTAAGAAAATGTGGCACATATACACCATGGAATACTATGCAGCCATAAAAAATGATGAGTTCATGTCCTTTGTAGGGACATGGATGAAGCTGGAAACCATCATTCTCAGCAAACTATCGCAAGGACAAAAAACCAAACACGCATGTTCTCACTCATAGGTGGGAACTGAACAATGAGAACACATGGACATAGGAAGGGGAACATCACACACTGGGGCCGGTTGTGGGCTGGGGAGAAGGGGGAGGGATAGCATTAGGAGATATACCTAATGCTAAATGATGAGTTAATGGGTGCAGCACATTAACATGGCACATGTATACATATGTAACAAACCTGCACTTTGTGCACATGTATCCTAAAACTTAAAGTATAATAATAATAATAATAAAAAGAAAAATAAACTGCTTCATTGTAAGTAAAAAGTAAAAGCTGAACAAGCATACGTATGAAGAAATCTTAAGACCCAGGAATTTTCTTAGAAGTCATAACTGACATTAGGCTTGGCCATTTAAATTGTCTTGAGTAGACCATTTAAGAGTGCACTGTAGGAAATGTTAAAGTTAAGATGAATAAGACATTAGGAGCTCAAAGATTTTATTTTCAAATTTTTGACTTCAAAGATTCCAGTTTAAAACCATGTAAAAATCACTTTTTGTTGATATTTAAGATAGAAGTTTTTCACCAGCCTCTTCAATAAAGATAGAATTGAAGATACAGTGGCAATCTGAAACAACTCTGACATATATAGAAACCAAGAATATGCAGAAAAATCAATAGAGGTGGAGAAGGATAGAGTCAATAAGGTTCTTGATAGCCTCAAGGGCAGATTCAAATGAAGAGTTGAACAATCGTTTGCTAAATCTAATAAAAATTAATGACAGTATTTCCATTCTCTGTACATTTATCAATTCACTTAATAAATAAGTAGCTGTTAGGAAAATGCATGAGATACTAAGGATATATGAGTGAACAAGATACATCCATGAGATTGACCCCTGTCCTCAAGAACTACATAATTTAACAGAGAATGTAGTCAGTGAGCAAGTAATTTCGAGTATAATGAGAGTTATGAAAGGGTAAGGGGGGCAAACTAACTTAATCACAAAGACAGAGAAGTACCTTAAGAAATGTCCTGTAACAAATATCCTTTAACTTGAAAACTTACAGATGGGTAGGGGTAAGACAGGCATTGGTCAATAATTGCTACCCGCCTATGAATGTCTCGCCTTGGCTGCAGCTGGAGGCTATGGCTAAGGTAAAATAATGATAATGGTGGGTGAAGATGCCTGGGAACAGTACAAGTGAGGAGGAAGAACTTGAGCAAGAATGCATACAACATAGGATAAATATGTTTTAACCCCCACCCCCTCTGATTAGACATAAAAAAGGAATATAAGAATGACTAAACTAACATTCCCCAGAGAGGTGGGTGGAGCCCCCAATTCCTGAAAAATTGGGGGCTCCACCCACCTCTAATGTATGGGCTTTTCCCAGCTTTGTGGAAATTGGATTGACTAGCCAGGAAGCAAGAGGTGTTAGAATGTAGAATCCAAATAATTAATGTGAGAGGCAAGTACTTTATACATCTGATATGGTTTGGCTCCATGTCCCCACCCAAATCTCATTGTAATCCCCACGTGTCAAGGAAGGGGCCCGGTGGGAGGAGATTGGATCATGGGGGTGGCTTCCCCCATGTTGTTCGCATGATAGTGAGTGAGTTCTCACAAGAGCTGATGGTTTAAGTGTGTGGCACTTTGCCCCTCACTCTCTTTCCTGCCTCCATGTAAGACATGTCTTACTTCCCATTTGCCTTCTGCCATGATTCTGCCTCAGGTTTCCTGAGGCCTCCCAGTCATGCACTGTGAGTCAAGTAAACCTCTTTTCTTTGTAAATTATCCAATCTCAAGTAGTTCTTTATAGCAGTGAGAGAACAGCTAATGCAACATCTAAAAACAAAAATGTACTAAGAACCCCACAATCTAAAGAAAGCCATGGAAAATTGCAGACAGTCTCTCCAGAGTTCATTAAAATTTAGCACAAGTGACCATAGTACAATGCGCATCTACCTCACTATCTTTATCTCACCTAGGCTATAGAAGTAAGCATTGTGATGGGGGAAGAGCCACTCGTTTTGTAACAAATGCCTTGTTCCATTGTCTACATGGAGGTCCAAGAAAATCTCCAGTGAATATGTGAGGTGCTGATGAGAAGAGACTGGATCTCATTTCCAGGTTGTATATCTGCATAGGTGGTCAAATTGATAATCTGATTATGCCAGTGGTAGAAAAGCAAACTGGATCAAAGAGACAGGTGAATAAAGGAAGGGGCAAACATTACTCACACCAGTTGGCTGGGCAAAATAAGCTACCTCTAGGTCAAGTGGACACTGTGGAAGCTAGGCTTAAGACATCTTGCCTGAAGCTTGCACAGCAGAGCTGCCCACTAAGTAAATGCTTCCAAGTTGCAAAAAGTAAGTAAAGCGATTAAAATTATGCCCATTAAGGTAAAGGGACATTTGCCTCTTTACCTAACTTGGGGTAATTTTTATCCCTTTGCCCTGTCCTAGTTCTTGAGACAAAGCTTAAGAGAAAGACAACTGCAAAGGAGTGAAAGGGGCAGTGAATTCTTACATCAGCAATAGCAGAGAAGAGAATTTAGAATCAGATGGGAGATGGAGCTTTTCATGTGGACTCACCAATTTTAATACCTAAAATAGCTAAAATGTTATACAATCTTCCCAGAATGTTACTAAAGATAGGAAAAAGGAGGAGGGCTTCAACATAGCAACATAGTCTCCAACATAGGTTAGGGCCATGATTAGAATAAATAATATCATCTCATCTTATACCCCAGTAGAGTGAAATTCCTTTGTGAAAACGTTGGAATGAATTGTGTGTGTGGTCCCCAGCCCAAATTGCATACCACTTTCTGTCAGTCTGTTGCTGTAATTTTGAATTCAGCTACTTTCGTCAAAACACGTAGGGTTTTGAGTACACCTGGGCCCAGAGAATAAGCAATTCTTTTAAGACAAAAAAAACACACAAATATGCAGCAATGCAAGTCTCCCTAGAATGAAGGCATTATTTTACAATAAACACAGAATAAATTTTGCTCTATTCCTCATTTGTGAATAGGATGCTTGCTTTTCCTCAATATAAGCAAAGTGTCCTTAATCCACTCCAACCCCAGGAATGACATTATCTTGAAAGGTGATGTCAAATCTTTGTCTCTAGAGAATAATAAAGTGAACCAAAATAAAATAAAGTAAAACTCTACTTAGTGTATACAATGATAACATTTCTCCTCAGCCTCATCTTGCTCTTGCCATGAGTGGGAGTTGCAGAACCCTGGCAGATTTAAAGAGCTGGGTAGGTGCAGTGCTGAGCACCCTGAAATTGAGACACAGCTCTAGATCAGGGAGTGGAGTATTTATGTCCAGTGAGTGGTATCTGTTGGAAGGAATCTGCAGAGTTCTAAGTGTATTTGTGGTGGCTGAAGTCATGGATGTGAATGATTTTGCCTGGGAAGCAGATATAG
Organism: Homo sapiens; assembly: GCF_000001405.40. Classification (NCBI taxonomy): domain Eukaryota; kingdom Metazoa; phylum Chordata; class Mammalia; order Primates; family Hominidae; genus Homo; species Homo sapiens. Next base: position 40,110,931 of record NC_000018.10, on the reverse strand, counting down.
AATTTAAAAAGGAGCCTAGGAATTATGTTTAAGTAAATTTCATACTGAACAGTACTATTGTGCTTTTGCTACAACCTATTTTCTCATTTTATTTTTATTATTCCAATATATATATATATAGATAAGACAGATATTTTTAAAACTTTATTTTTAAATTATTTATTTAATTTGTTTTATGAAGACAGAGTTTCTGTCTGTGTCACCCAGAGACAATAGTTTCTCTTTCAGTCACTCGGCTGATGTGCAACGGCACAATCATAGCTCACTGCAACCTCAAACTCCTGAGCACAAATCATCCTCCTAACTCATCCTCCCAAGTAGCTAGGGCTACAGGCAGGCGCCAACACACCCAGCTAATTTTTCACAGAGACAAAGTCTCACTGTGTTACCCAGGCCAATCTCAACTCCTGGGCTCAAGTGATTCTCCTGCCTCAGCCTCCCAAAGTGATGGGATTACAGGCATGAGTCACTGCCCCTGGCTGGGTATGACAGCTATTATTCTTCCTTTTATATATTAGGAAATGGAGGCAGATAATGTTTAAATCTAAGTGGCAGATCCAGAAGGCGAAATCCAGAATCATGTTTCTTAGTCCAATGTCCTGTTCATTACAGCCCAGTCAATTTCTATGTTTTTCCCTGCATCAAGAAAAACATTTAACCTAAATTATATGAATAATAGTTTGAATAGTTAGCAATACCTCTAAAAAGTAGATTGTTAAAGGGAGAAACGTTTCTTTTTTAAATCTAAACCCCCATATATAATGATGATGATATCATATAGGCTCTCACTATGCTTTAACAACCTTAAATACAGAATCATCTTTTGGATTTGATGCATATTCCAGGTCATAATCCTAATGATATGTTACGACACTTTTTCCCATACACCAAAAAATTCATAGGCATTCTAAATATTATCCCCCATCTACTCTCTTTATGAAAGTGATACACTACCTCTAATTAGCCTGAACTCTGTGATTCATTTAGAATATTTCATGAAGCTCTATTTGTTACCAACAGATATGGCACACTCTAGGTGACTGGTCCTATCCCCTCAACCCCAGTGGAAGTCAGCTGATGAGAATTTACATTTAGGTTCATAAAAGAGCCCTGTGTTCATCTTAAGGTTTCTGTTTCTGTTTAGAATTGCAAGTGAAATGCCCTTTTCTCTATCAACTGTCAAATTGTCAAAACACACTGAGCTTGTTTGAAGTTGGGGTATTGGAATGATGGGGAGACCATCTGCTCTCTCTAACATGATGATTCCCCATATTTTGCAGGATGTAATTATTCAGTCCCTTGTACCCAGGCTTTTTCTAAGTCAAGACATTTCAAAATGTCCACTATTAAATGCTTTTCAAATAGGAAGCAGGATTTTATGACCTTGCAACTGCAGGATCGGTGGTTTTATGCTTCCTAGCCTTTGTCAGAATGTGTATGTGCTTCCCCCATGCAGGCTATGCATCAGTTAGTGTTGATTCAGTAAACGAGGTTTTGTTTCATTACCACAGATACTGTGTCTATGGAGGACAGATTGCATTTCCTGATAGAACCTCTTGGTCTTAAAGCACACTTCAGTAGTCCTAGCTCTCATTTGTGGTGTTCAGTATAAAACAAGGAAACTGATTATAAAAGATTCTGCAAGAAATAAGGAGAGAGGTAGACAGTGGCATATAAACAGAGAGCAACTGAGAAATGAAAGTATTCAAAAAGTAATACCTCTTATGAAATATTACTTAGATCACAATTTAGTTAAAAGGGTATTAATGCCCAGAAAGTCTTTGATCTTCTTCTCCCGGAACACAGAGGATGGTCTAGCTTATTGACAGATTTTAGTGGAACATGCTATGACCGAAGTTTACTCCTGGAAGAGAGAAACTCATAAATTTCTGCTCACACAGAGTTTTACAGTTAGGAGGCTCACATAACCTTTATTGACCTTTAGAGAGAGCTGTCAGCCTGCTGTGCCTGATTGTTTGTAGTGCTTTATATAAGACAACATATCTTTAAAGGCGGTACATGTGTCCTCCGACTCTCTATAACACAGATCCTGGTTATAATGAGAATGCCTTGAAATTGCTCGCCTGTGCCATTGTTGTGTCTGGCCCATTAAACCCTGAGCTCATGAAAGAAAGAACGTTACATTTAGTCTCTACCAGGTCAGAGACATATGCTTCCCTAAGAAAAGTTCTGGCTAGAAAGAAGTGATTGATTGGGTGTTTTGAAGTGTTTATACAAACACGTGAACTGGTTACACAGAAATATTGTACCTCTGGCCTGAAGAGACAGTAATGGAGGTGGCCATCTGGCAGCCTGCACCCTGTCTCAAATTTGCTCTTTTGGAGAGATGGTGATAGAGATGAGAGAAGTAGAGGTGACTTTCCTACTAAATAATGTACGGATACAAGATTATTTGTATTTAAGGCAAAGTAACTAGAGGAGTAATTTGCAAACTATTTACTCTTTATTGACCTGTTATTCCTTTAATTCCCCAGTGATGTGGAAATGATTCTTCTAAATATTAGAATAATTGGTTGATGACTTGATGATCTTGAAATGGGTTGATGTGAATTCCATGTGAAACTGGAACATTTTTTGTCTCCACGGAGAAATATAAAATGTTTCAGAGAAATATAAAATTGTATTTGCAAAGTAAGTGATATGGTGTGTGTCTTGAGGGGAATCAATGCTTAGCTGGGGCAGAATCAGGATTATTCTCTCCAACGAATATAATTCTTTCCATGGTTCTAGTACAGCAGAGAATATCAGACGTAACAAAGCACACTCACACAAGGACTCTGGGGTTGGAGAGAGTAGCTGTACCTAAAAAAACAAATTAAGGAGTAATCTTGAGGTACATAACACAGTCCTGGAAGCTGAGTCTGAGAATAACTCAGGGGAGCAGGTGATGATCTTGAAGCAAGGTGCTAGCTGCCCAAGAAAAACCTTCATGGAACAGAAACACAGGGAGAATCAGAAGACCCTGGAAGGCTAGATATCCAGATTTACACAGGGCAGGTTCTCTTCTATTGCCGTGTGGGTCAAGATTCACTCTCTGCAGTTTATTGAGTAAGAAAACAAAATTATATCAGAAACCTCTTGAATCTCATATGTTGTGTGCGTAAGTGTAAATATAAGATAAATATGTTATAACATATGTGTTCTATAGAAAACTATTTAAAATGTATATGGTTTTGGATATATTACTAAAAGGCTTTTCAGGCTAATGTGACTAATTTGTAATTCTAATTTTGAAAAATTTCCAGGATAAAATTATTTGTGGCATAATCTCTGGTGATTATTCATTCTTTCATGTATTGGGATAGACACAGATGAGCATTTTAAGAAAAAAATTCAGTCTTGTTTTAAATTTCTAGTTGGTTTCGCTACAGAAATAAAGGGACCATTTATTTATAAAAAAAATTTATTGTGCAACTTTATTTTCCTAGAGAGGACTATGCTCACATTCTTCACTTCTCACTAGTTAAGTTACAGTACACCTATTATCCGTAAATTTGACAGCCTCAGATTTATATTTGGGAAGTGCCTCTGAAGACGTATGTATCTATGGCTCTAGGATTCTCAAACCTGATTCTTTCACGCACAGAATCACTCAGGATGCCAAGCACCCATCTCACATATATACATGCACTCACACACACACACACACACACAAAGACACATTCTTTGTCTTTGCGCCTACACACACACACACACACACACACACACACACTCTGGGGACACGACTTACAAGAATCTGGTTTCATACCACATGTGGGGGCCCAGACATTGATATTAAAAATTTTAAAAATTAGCTTCCAATGGAATTCTAATTTGCAGCCAGAGTTGCAACCCACTGGTCTATAGCATGTAGTAATCTGCAGTTTTGCTGAGGCACAAAATTGAATCACTTGTGCTTGGAGTGAGTGATTCCGTTGGTGAAGGAGGTCAGCCTGCCAGTCAGCTTCTACACCTCTGGACAGCCTGGTTTTGCTCTATTTAAGTTTGTATACACACTGACTCTTATGAAGAAAACAACAAATTCGAAAAAAGCAAACAAACGAAAGCAAACCAAAACAACACTTTGCTTCATCTTCTTTGTGAAAACTGGCTGAACAGAAATAAACCGCTGCTCATGTCTCAGATATAAAGGAAGAGATTGTGAAGAAATCTAAGAAAACCCAACAGTAGGGGGATCAGTTAAATGGATTTTAATTAAACAATCTTCTATTACCTGTTTGCCCCTTATTTATTTGGTGATCCCTTTAGGATTCTAAGTTACTGCAAAAATGATACGGGTTTGCCTGATTAGCTAAATGATAGATTGTATTGGCCTTATTAGGTCCAGGATACATCATAACTCCAAGACTGGTTGCAGACTTGCTCAATAATGAACATTCTAAACAAGGAGAGAAGCATTTGGAATTTTATGCCATGGATGTGCATGCTAATGTGTATATGTATGCATACAAGAAAAAGCAAGAAAACACATTTTAAAATCTCCTTTGTATTGAAACAGTTCCTCCTAGAATTGTAGTGACTCACAACCATGACAGCCACTGATTTTCTCCTCATCCCAAATTAGACGTCTGTCTCTCAGAACTCTCCTTTATTTATTATTGTTAGCCCTTGGCACCTTGAGACACTCACTGCCCATGGGCTCTAAAGGGTCTGAGCTACTCTGTCTACTTTAGTAGATATTATTGAGATATTACTTTAGTAGATATTGACATTTACTAGATTTAGTAACAATATAATATCTAGAGGCAGAAGACTCATAACTGTTTTAATGAGAGAGTCTTTATTTTTTTTTCTTGTTTGTTTTTAATGAATTCAAATCTTATCTTCTGCCCACTAGAGGCTCCTTACTAAATATTCAATCCACACTTTCTAATGGGTTCCCATTTAGCCAATGGCATGTTCTTTCCTATTATCAATCATTCATTCAGAAACTTTTACTTGGAACTTCTCTTAATCTTTGCATCACGGGAAGGCTATAGAAGTAAGAATAAACTGTTCATTTTTCCTTACTTTTTTTTAATACTAGACATTCTTTTATGCCATAAGGTTTTTGTACCCCTCACAGAGCCAAGTAAGTAGGTACCTCAATCAATGTAAGCCTCTCCATAGGTGCCCCAGTTTTTGACAAAGTCCGTTTCTCAATGCTATTTTGATTCTCTTCTCATACTCATCAATTTAAGATTCAGACTATCATTCCAACTGTATTCAATATGATGGAATAAATGACACTGAAAGAAAGATTTTTCTCCTAAAAACCTTACTTGGTTAACTGGGCCACTCGATATTTGCATAGTTAACTTACAATTCCTATTCCTCTTTTTCACATGCCAGTCATACATGGATTCTTCCTGTATAGAGGCAGGAACTCTACAAAGAACAACTCTGCTCACTGATGCACAGAGATAAGCCCCTGGAAGCCCTTTCACTTAAGGAACTACATCAAACTAGGATCTTTAACCCTCCATCATTTATTTGTCCAGAATAGTGAGCACTAATCTCTGAAAAGTCTTGCACAATACTCCTACTGAGAATACAATTGCTTTCTGCCCCTGCCTTGCTAGTATTGAGCCTATATGTCATGTTTGAGTACTCCTTGCCACTAAGACCAACAGAACCCTAACATCTTCATATCCTATCCCCTACATATTGGTAAATTTCTTGCTTACTAGTTCCAGGTAAGACCCACTGACTGGCCCTGATGACAAAAATGGCCCAAGAATAACAGTTGTTTTTGCAATAGGAACCTCAAGTCTGATTGCATCAGCAGTCCCAAATGTATGTCCACTCTTAGCATATCCCCAAATGCAGTATTGCACTTTTGTTGTGTCCAGGAATAGCTTCAAAATAAATTTCTTTGCATAAATGAATCGTGTCTTATTACTATTTGTATCTTCTCATAATGACCTGCACATGCTTTGGATATAGTGGAGAATTCATTTATATTAATATATAAATTGGCACAACAAAATTGCACTTTATTACAATTGACAGACCTCCCTGGCTGCATTTTAAAAATGTCAGCCTCCTTGCCCTTCATTTTTTCCTTGAATTGCAGTTAGTCATGTCTCATTCAAAATTCCTGGAAACTTTCTTATTATTGCCTGATTTTAATTTCCTCTGAACTAAAAAAGCAGATAACTAAAATTTCCTAGAATTTGTGCAAAGTTAAATGGGACTCTTAAGAGTTTGTGGGATTTTCTCCTATAGATTAAAAAAATGTAATTATCGTTGAGCTTTGACATGAGGCTTTTGGATGCTGATGAGACATCACATTGCTGCTGCTTTTGCTGTTGCTATTTTCTTTTTCCATTCTCTTGCCCCTTCCCCTTCTCCTCCTTATTTTGCTTCCTCTTCTTCTTTTTTTTAATTGACTACTATGCTTAAATGATATGAAGCTGATGGAAATTCAAATTTATATTTCTAGAAATATGTGCCTTTACCAATTGATCATAAGATCTAATGGAAACAACAGTAATATCGCAAAAGGGTCAGGAATTACCAGTATAGGGGCTGCATATATCTAAGCATCTAAACTGGTAAACTCAGAATTAAAAACTGAACTTTTTTAGTGCAATATATTTTCTCTGTTATCTCTGCTTCCTATATGGGAATGAATGAAGAGGATAAAATACCCTGTAAGTGATATTCAGTTAAGTTATTTTAGTAGTAGTCTCATTACATCTAGCCATTGAAAAAGGCAGAAACTGAGCCCCAGGGACATGTAATGACTTGACAAAGGTCATTTTAGCAGTAAATGACATAGAAAAGAGTGGTTCCCAGAGACCTGACCTCTCAACCCTGCTTCACCATTCTCTAACATTCTACTTTCCCCTGATACTGCCATAAATGCTTATGTTAGTTGGAGATGACAAAACAACAGCAACACTTCTTACTTTCCCTTTTAAAAATTATTGTTCTTTTCTCAAATTGATTGTCAATTTTTAATACATACTGGTATTAATGAAGTGAACTTTTCCTAATAGATACACACATATAGGCCTAAAAAGTTGTACATTTGGTTTGCCCTACTAAACCTAGTGTTTTGCTTCTTTGATCTTAATACGATTGTAAAGATTCCAGGTCTTAATCCCACATAAAATAAGGAGAGGAAGAAGAAAGAAAAGAGGAGAGGGAGAGAGAGGAAGAATGGAAAAGGATGAAAGAAAGAAAAAGAAGTAAGGCAGGAAGGCAGGGAGGAAGGAAGAAAGGAAGAAAGGAAGAAAGAAAGAAAGAGAAAGAAAGAAAGAGAAAGAAAGAAAGAAAGAAAGAAAGAAAGAAAGAAAGAAAGAAAGAAAGAAAGAAAGAGAGAGAGAAAGAAAGAAAAAGAAAGAAAGGAAGAAAGGAAGAAAGAAAGAAAGAAAGAGAGAGAGAAAAAGAAAGAAAGGAAGAAAGAAAGGAAGGAAGAAAGAAAGAAAGAAAGAAAGAAAGAAAGAAAGAAAGAAAGAAAGAAAGAGAAAGAAAAAGAGAGAAAGAGAGAGAGGGAGGGAGGAAGGGGGAGAGAGGGAGGGAGACGGGTGGGAAGCAGGGAGGAAGGAAGGAAAGAAATGAAAAAAGAAGAAGGAAAATAAGGAAGAAAAGAAAGAAGAAAAGGAGAGAGGGAGATACTTATTTTCTTTCTTCAGTTAGGACCACAGAATAAGAAACTGTCAATATCCAATTTGTATAGTCAAAAATATTTTCAGCTGTCAACTAGTCTGACCATTTATTGCCAAACAGAAAATATTAAGATAAAAAGCATTTTAAACTTTATCTTACTATGTGATCAGTCTGTGAGGTGCTCAAAACATATTATGCAAGAAAAATGAAAGGCCAGATGTTACCCAGATATGGGAAAGATGACAGTCATGTGGTATGATGCAGGAGGAAAGTGCACATAAATCTGCCTACCTCTCTGTTTATCATTTTCATATTATACTTCTATTCCTTTTAAGTCTTAACATCTCCATTTGAGAATAGGTGTTTTCTTTTTCTAAAATAGATAACACCTTAAACTTAAAAGTGTCACTTTTATTTAATAGCTATCACCTTAACTAGGAAATTATTGGCCAATTAAAACCCAGAATTTGACATGAATTAGTTCTTAGGGAAAGGTGCCTGTCTGATTTCAACTCACCTCGTAATCAGTTAGTTCATGTGATAGAATGGGCTGTAGAGATAGAAAAAGAACTGATATGTCTCACTGGAAAAACACTAGCTAGTGAAGGTTTTGGCACACAATTCAGCAAGTGGAGGTGTGGAGTTCCTGTGGAGAATGGTGAAATTTCTATCAGCCAAGTAACCCACTCTCTGAAGTGCTCCGTTCTGGTGATGCTGCAGTTTTCTTATTAGGAACTTCTGAATGGTTAAAGGCTGTCCTTGCATTTACTTGGAAGCATTCACTTAAAGACACTTCTCCATGTTGTGTCCTAGAGTCAAAACAGAATAAAACAAAACAATAAAAAAACCACTAAATAGCATCTTCAATAAAGCACTGTTCATAGACAGTCATAATTAAAGATGCCAACCAAGATACCTGTTTGCTTTTTCTTGGCTATAAGAATTCAGTTTGGGCCGGGCATGGTTGTTCACGCCTGGAATCCCGGCATTTTGGGAAGCTGAAGAAGGAGGATCCTTTGAGCCCAGGAGTTCAAGACCACCAAGGATAGGGAGACCCCATCCTTACAAAAACTAAAAAACAAAATTAGCTTGGCATGGTGGCACATGCCTGTGATCCTGGCTACACAGGAGGCTGAGGTGAGAGGATGCATCACTTGAACCAAGGCAGTCAAGGCTACAGTGAGCCATGATCACACCCCTGACTGCACACCCTGAGTGACAGAGCAAGACCCTATCTCAAAAAAAAGAACTCAATTTTTAGTTTTATGATATTCTGAATTCATATTGATATTTCCTATAATGGCACTATATTTCCAAATAGAACTCATTTTGAAGGCAGCTGGAATCAGAAGACAACTGTGCAAGAGAAAACCATCTTATCCAGATATTTTAAATTAGTTAGTTAGCTTGGCAAATATGATCCATCCATTCATCAACAAATACAACTTATGGAGTACCACATTCTTCTACAGGATAGAAATATGAAGAAGTATAAGGGATTTTTCTCAGAATCTGTGAGGACACAGCATGATGCTGGGACCTTCTGTGCTTTTCCTCATGTTCTTAGTGTTCTCTCTCCTCCTGGGCTCATGGTGGGATTGTTCTTCTTGATATTTTGTCAGGTGGAGTAAAGTGTCTAGTTCTGTTCGAAAGCCTGTCAGTGGAAGTGAGATGTTTGATTGCTCATTTTAGATTCTGCAGTCTTCTCTCCTTTACTTCTACAATGGCAGTGGCAATATCGCAGACAGTAGCTGATCTGTTAGACAGGGTACCAGAATGTGGACAAAACAGAGAAAGAGCATTTTATTCTCGCTGAATGGAGGTAGATCAATAAGTTGTGTTGTTCCAAAATATGGAGATACTTGTTGCTGTAGAATAACCTAGCCTCTGTTGACTAGTAGGCATGATCAACATCTAGACATCTCTAAGCAGAAAGCAATTACTTGTACTTACAATAGATTGATTATATATACATATATATATACACACGCACACACCTCAAAATATGTGTTTACTATGCTAATCATAAATTAGACTTAAACTAAAACTCTGTGCTTTCCAAGTTTTCTGGGCCAGATATCTGATAAGCAAGAGTATATATTTGTAATTTATCAGAAATAATGAAACATATCCACTGTATTAGTTCCTTAAGGCCACCAGAACAAATTGTGCAAACTGACGGGCTTCAGAAAACAGAAATTCATTCTTTCACATTTCTGGAGGTCAGCAGTCCAAAACTGAGGTGTCAGCAAGGTCATAATCCCTCTTTAGGTTCTAGAGAAGAATCCTTCCTTGTTTCTTCTTAGCTTCTGTTGTCTCCATAATTTTTAGTGTTTCCTGGCTTGTAGATGCCTCACTCCAATCTCCACCTGCATCTATATATAGGCTTCTTTTCTTCATATCTTTATGTCATCTTCTTAAGAGGATGAAAGGCATTGAATTTAGGGTGAACCACATTCTGAGGTTCCAGGTGGACATGAATTTTTTAGGGCGGGGGGTGCATTAGCCAAGCCAGTACACCAGCAATGTATAGCCTACTTAGAGTGTCTTTGTCCTGAAATTAATGTCAAGGTTTAGGGTTACCAAACAAGCTTAATTTTAATTACAGATAACTAATTAGGACCTGCATTAACATATTGCATTGTCTGAAGAAGGTATGTTTTAAAAAATTAATGCTGGCAAGGTGTGGTGGCTCATGCCTGTAATCCTAGCACTTTGGGAGGCCGAGGCAGGCAGATCACCTGAGGTCAGGAGTTTAAGACCAGCCTAGACAACATGGCAAAACCCCATCTCTACTAAAAATGCAAAATACAAAAATTAGCTGGGTCTGGTGGCAGGGGCCTGTAGTTCCAGTTACTTGGGAGGCTGAGGAAAGAGAATCGCTGGAACCGGGGAGGTGGAGGTTGCAGTAAGCCAAAATAGTGCTTCTGCACTCCAACCTGGATGACAGAGCAAGATTCTGTCTCAAAAGAAAAAAAAAGTGCTTTGGCTCCAATAGCTTATCTGATGAATCTACTATTAGGTCCTGAAGTAATGAGACCCAGTGGTTAATGAATTTTGGAGGAAAGAGAGCTGAGAACATAATGTACTTTTTGGCTGTTAGAATTCAGTAATTTAGAAATCTTGGTTATCAGTAGATGATAGTTTAGAGACAAAGGAGCTTAGTCAGGGTATCTGAAAGAAAGAGCTGTATGTCCCTGAATACAATTTCATTTTTATCACTGTTTTGCTAAGGGATGTTCTTAAAAGCTTCATAAGTCTTGGTCTCTGAGATTATTATTTATTGCTTATAATAGTACCATGTTGCACTCTTATTTAGCATGGCACATCAGAGAATACGATGAATTTTTTCTACCTTAAATCCCTGCAGAGTACAATGATAGAGACATAATGCATCTGCATACACATGCAAGATAGTTTGAATTTAATGCATTTCATATCATTAAAGTTAACATTTCATGTATTATATTTCCTCTTAGAATACACTTGCATACATCCATATCCATATAGATATATGCACGCACACACACAAAATCCCATTATGTAGATCAATTTACTTGATCACAATGTTCATATCCATAAAGCAGTGAACTTCCCAAATCAGATGCATACATAAAAGCATTGATGCATAAAATTTCCATCTTGCAAGTACAGAGAAAGTTCTAGTAGGCATTTAGTGCCATGACAGGTCACTTAGGTTACAACTAGCTATATAGGACATGCTAATAAGATTTAACCTTCTTTGTCTGTTGCTGAAGAGGGGGAAAGAGCAGAGGGGTGAGACTTTCCTATCTTTGAAGATATCAAAGAAAATTAAAAACAACCACCTTCCCTCTGATCCCTGTGGCTGAATGTTTCTGAGCAGCATAAATTAGATACACACAAAAAGAATATATTTTTAGGGTGACAATGTGAGCTTTTAATACACTCTCTACTGATCATAGCATAAGTGAAATGGATTAAACATAATTTGATGGAGTGTCTGTACAGAATTATTTCCATAGTCATACTTGATATGACTCTTCATCTAAAGTAAACCCCACCGAGATTAATATTTAAAATGGAAAGCTAAAACTCAAAGTGCCATGTGACAACACTTAAGTGAAAATTTATTAGACTTGTCATTTCTGTTAATTATTGTCATTTCAGCTAATTAATAGCCATTCCTGTTGGTTATTAGATGTGTCGTTTCCCCTTCTGAGCTGCCATCTACAGTTGCTGATTCTGGTTTCATCGCATACCCTCAGGCAATGGGTCAGTGGCAACCCAGTGGATCCTCACACCAGAAGAACTATTCTTCATTCTGCCAAAAGACAGAAAGATTAGCAAAGAAATCATTAATAATGCTTGTCCTTACTTTCTAGGGTGGGAGTAAAGTGGCATTATTTTGTTATAAACAAAAACAAAAGAAGCAAAAGGGATTGTCTATGGGCTAGAGGTAATCTATGAGGAGTTTGTCTACAGCTTAATTAAACTCCAGAAATCTCATGAACTCAGCAACGTTCACTTCCCCAGGGTCTTGCAATCTATAGTGGACAACAGACTGAGAGGTGTTGGCTGAAGAGTAGCTTAGGAACAGCAACACGAGGGTGATTATCTTTGAAAAATTCTCCTTGTCTGAAATTCTCTCCGTGGATCTTGGAGCACTGGGTGTATGTGTGTGTATGCATATTATTTTCCCTCCAGGGAGTCCTGAAGTATAATCTGATGATGATAATAAAGAGCTTAATCTAGGAATTCTATCAATAAAATGCATTTCAGGTATCACAAGAAAGAAAACAAGGAATGCAGATGTTATATTTAAAAGAAATATCAATACACTTAAGCATCCCTAAGCAAGGAATATGGACACCAGATTTTGTTATCTTTAGGGTTTGATTGGGAATCACGGCATGGTCCACATGAATAAAACAGGCTGTGATAATCATAAAGAATATTTATGGCAACATTATTGGATAGCTGGATAAATGCCTTCTCATTATATTTTGGTTTTATATGTAATTAAAATAAAATAGAAAATTGAAAAATTGTTTTGGAATCTATTTAGTAGAAGTAACCAAATTCATCAAATAAATTACTTTTTCTGGAGAAAAACCTCCAGGATAATCAAAATACTCTATTATTTACTTACTTCAATTTGTCACTTTAGCCTCAGAATTCCACCCTTTCTCCAAAGGCCTTCAAAGTTCATAACTAAGTCGTTTTCAAATAAACCCATTCATACTAATATCATTGGCTTTTCCTCCATATATTGGTTTAAAGCAGTCATTCTGAATCCCTTTGAAATGTCTATTCTGTGTTAGTGAGGTGCTGTATTCTGGTCAAGAGTTATTATTCATAGTCAGAGTTCAAGATCATCTATCATACCTAATGCAACAAAGAGAAGGGAGGGCAAGAGAGTGTCTACAATCTGGCATAGTCTAAGATACACACCAAGGTTCTAAATACATGCATGACATTGTCGGCCTTTATAAGATGCTTCTTAGAGGCAGTAGCAGTAGAACAAAACTGAAGTTCCTGTAGCCTAGAAAACAAATCCAAGTATTCATTGGTCTGAAACTAGACACTTCAGAAAGTATCTTGTCCAACTTAATATCTCGACCACTACTGTCAGCTTAGCAGCTGAAATGTCTTATAGAAGACTAACAAGTAGATAGGATTTTGTTCATTGAACCGTTGAAGTTGGTCTATGTTTCATACCCCTAGACTGTCAGAACTTAAGTGTTGAGTTGGACACACCATCAACCTGTGCCTTCTGTGAGGTTAGGAAACCAACGGCAATCTAAAAGGATTATGTTAGACTTCAGAATCGGATTTCTAGAGTCTGAAACAAATAAATCAAATGCTGATAAATGAAAGAACATACACTATAGATGGTAGAACCTAGTCAATTAGTGATGAAATCAACAATTTACACCTAAATTACAAGTTGGCGTGATCATTATAGTACACAAATTTTCTGTTCTGCTCTGTATGGATAAAACAAAGGGAATGGAAAAGGATGCGAAATGATTCCCAATCTCTTCCAAATATAATTTTTAGATGCATTGAGGCCTGCTTTCTAATCTGTCTCAAGAAACCAGAATAAACATCATGGCAAAAGTGGGAGAAATTTCTCTCTATATGAAAATAGCCACTAGACACAATTGAATTGTTTGTTACCTGTGCAGTTTCCCCTCAAGCCTGAGAAGTTTGTTTCTATTTTCCTACCAAAAACTGGCAATAGGATACAGGTGTTTGCCTGGAGCAACCGTGGGACAAATTGGAAAGGGAATAGAAAAATAGCCTACTGCACGTGAGTGTGCATGTGTGTTTCACTACAATCAATCACATTTTCTTTGACGTTGCTTCATTTATGGATTATTGCAAAAACACAGGAAGAATGTGAAAAGATAATGTTGTAAAGCCACAGGAATGAAATTGGTGGGAGGAACCCATTTCTTACTGTGTTCCCAAGCACTTCTGCACTCAGAATCCCAGCATTGTTTAAACCACCATTCTATATGAGAAAGCTAATCAAATGACACTCAGGAAAATTGACTTGGGCTTTCAATCCAGTTTTAGATCTCTAGTGTACTTATTTCAAATGGCATTTGTTATTCTCTGCATATCCTTAGGAACATGCCCTGTCAAGAAATGCCATACAACTTCAAACCATGTTTTTTCCCACCTCTATAACTTTTTATGTATTCCCTTTTTACATTTTATTACAGCATAACATCTAAAAAATGAAATAAAGATTATAGGCAAAGCTTCAGGACCTTGAGTTCTATGCCTTGCCCTGAATATAAAACTGTGTTGATAGGAACCACTGTTATACCTCTGTAAATTGCTCAAATCTCCCCACTGACCATTGCTGTAATTATTTCTGCTCGGAAATAAAAGGTTTGATGGGCAGAAAGACTATTTTTTATGTCCATTTTTTTCTTCTATTTACCTGAAGTGCATATTTCCACTTGGTGGTGGATTCTGGAGATATAATTTATACATATATCTGAGAGGCAAGTAATCAAACAAAAATAAAGAGAAAAAAATAATCAATTTCTATAAATTTTTAAGTTAATAGGGAGAATTTGCCCTACTTCATCATATTTTAATGATATCAGATTCGTTAGGTTAATTGTTCTTTCTGAAGTTGTGTAATATAGGGAATGGTTGGGGGAGGGAAGAAGTGAGGGAGGGAGGAAGGAAGGGACAAAAGAGAGAGAGAAGGAAAGCTCAAAGTAGAAGTGAAATTTTACAGAGACAAAAAACCTTCATCCAAAAATTTCTGCATTAATACAAAAGATGCTATGGTCAGCTGACCTTAAAGGCATTGAGTTTGTGATACTTTAAAAAAAAAAAAAACTATAGATCATTTCCTATGTATTTCAAATATCTATGTCCCATACTTTCTCCATTCTTTTGCCTCTGCTATAACTTTTCAATATGACTCTCACTCTTCTCCTCTGGCTCAAAGCTAATGTAGGACTGATTAGTTCCTATGTTCACTTTGAACACATTCTTCCCCTCTGAACATACCCTATGACTTGATTTTTCTCTACAATTTATGGAAAAACAGCAAGTATGACAAAATGAGACCATGGGCCATTGTTGAGGGGTGGGGAAGTGGTGTATGTAGGGAAGAGAGGAGATATGAGTTCTGTCTCTCACAGACACCTACTGTGTTGCTTTCCTCCTCTGTCCATTGTAAGTCAGACTCAGTCATCCCTAAGGACTATTTTGTAGATCAAAATAAGTCACAAATCACTCCCCTTTAAGTAAGAAGGTACTCAAAAAGTATTAGGGAAGAGTAATTTTCGTTTATAACAAAATTAAAGTCATGACTAATAGTAAATCAGGACAAAAGGATGAAATAGAGAAATAAAGTTAGAGAGTATCAAAAATTGTTTATTTGTTGGGGTGGGGATCATTGTTTTATTGTGTGATTGTATAAACTGTTAGCTCATACACTTTTCCAAAGGCTCAAAAGTCAAAAGCCTTTTGTTTTTGATCTTTTTTATTTCTCTTTCTCTGTGTGTGTGTCCCTGTCTCAGTCTCTCTCTCTCTCTCTGTTAGTTCTTCTTACTTTGTTTCTTTCCTTTCCTCCTCTGCTCCTTAATTTCTTTTCTTTTCCTTTATTTCAGCTGGGTTTAAGGAGCCACATTAAAGCCTGGTGACCTCAGAATACCTTTCCTGGAAAGAAGACCCCTCTGAGTATGGAGGTCCCACACTAATGAGACCCAGGCTACAGTGTGGAAAGTGCTTGCTCCAGCATCCAATTCTCAGGGGATTGTAGGAATGAAAGTTTGTCGCAATCTTTCCTGTTTTGTAAAGAAAATATGAATGGAAAGATGCTAACTGTGGTCCCAGAGGATGTGTTTGCCCTGGACCTGAGAATACATAGATTTTCTCTGTTTGTTCAGTTTCTGAGGAAATTCTATACCTTGTACTCATGTCTTACATTGATGTATATGACCGCAAAGTCTTTTAGACTGTGTCCACATATGCCAGTTTAGCTAGTGGAGATGAAAAAAAAAAGACTCAGCTACTTCTTAGGATCACTGGATTTAGAGGCCATTCTACCCACTTACAGATGAGGAAACTAAGGCTGTGAGAAGCAAGGCAACTTACACAAAGCCACAGACCTAGTTGGAGGCAGAAATGACACTAGAATCTTTCTGTCCACAGACCAGAATGAGTAACACTGTAGTTATGAAAGTGAACTCATCCCACTGGATGTACGCTTCAGTTTAATCCCTTAACAGGCATTTATGGAACATCATTTATTACCAGTGAGAGAACCCTAGGCTCATTAGTCCAACAGAATGGCCCAGTTCAAACTTACTATGGTTATGCAAAGTCACCCCTCGTTTTAGGAAACCAAGAATGTTTTTGCAATGACCAGAGCTCTAAAAAGCATCCAAGATAAAAGCAAAAATGCTTGAAAGGAGGAAAATGGTGAAATGGAAATCGTTAGTGTGAAATGCAGAAAGAGTACCTGCCAGCACACTGATTTCCCCATGCTTTAGTTGACTTCAGGTTTAAGAATTGTTTTTGATATGCATATCACTGCTTCTTGTTCGAGTTAATTTGTTTAAACATTCATGAAGGAGAAGGTTTTTTAATAGAAATGTGCCAAATGTTTTTTTCAATTACAGACAAACTAGGGTGTTTGCTGATCCATGAACAACGTGAATATTCAGTTGTGGAGAGTTTTACTGCCTAGTAACAAAGTTTTTATTTTTACCCTCTCTGTTAAATGCCAGAATCTGTAAGGAAAATGATAGAACACCGCTTTAGCATCAGCTTCCTCACAAATGATTTGTTTTGAATAAGGCAGTGGTTTGACAGTAGCTTTGTCGGGATTGAAAACAAAAACAAACTATGTATAGGCAAGAAGCAGTAGAGGAAATGACGCTGTGGGCTGAAAAAATCAGTGAGGATGCAGCAAGACCAGCAAGAGCATAGGTGAGACTACGTTCTTTTTATAATCCAATAGGTTGAGGGCAGTGTTGTGTGAAATTGGGTCAGAGACTCCAGGGAAGTTTGTCTTCAGAGGCATCCCAGCTGACCTTCCAAAAACAGTCTGGCTTACAAGTGACAGTGGTGTGGAGAGCCAAAAAGGGTCAGGAGAGAAGGAAGAGGCTCTATGAGAAGGTGGAGCAGAAACTGTCCCATTTCTGTTTTGCTCATATCTTGTCCCAGCCCTAACAGAGTCTCTGGCAAATAGTATAAGCCTAATAGATCTTCTTGAATTAAAAATGAATGAATACAGGCAATAGACAATAGGAGAATTCCTAAGCAGACTAGCAATTACACGTAGGAAAAGTCAGTTTCAAATAACCTGTCCCAGTTAGGAAGTTTGTGGTTCACAAACAGGATTCTTCTCTAAGAAAGTAAACAAGAGATTTTCATAGTGAAACTAGGGCATAGTCTTATGAGAATTTCATTTTTACAGGCAGAATGGATTATTACTGTGATGTACTTGGTTGTGAACATCCAAGATCTTAAGCTACTGACTTTAGGCTTTCTGTATTCCCTCAACCCAAAAACTGGATCAATTCCAGAGACTGAGATGAAGCAGATGGGGAAATTGACCCCAATACAAAGCTACAAAAGAACTAAAAGCCAGGGAACAATGTAGTCATGTGCCACCGCATAGCAACATATATGCTGGTGGTCCCATATGATTATAATACCATATTGTTACTGTAACTTTTCCATGTTTTAGATACACAAATACTTACCACTGTGTTACAATTCCCTACATTATTCAGCACAGTAATATGCTGAGCAGGTTTTGTAGCCTAGGCTATACCGTACAGCCTAGGTGTGCAATAGGGTATGCCATTGAGATTTGCTTAGGTATACTCTCTAAGGTTGGCACAATGACAAAAATCACCTGCGGCATTTCTCAGAACTTGTTCCTGTCATTAGGCAACACACATAACTGTAACACAAATAGTTTCAATCGCTGTTTATGGAATTTGGGACAGAAAGGAAAACCACTGACAGATTTTTTTTCAAATTATCACTAGAGAAAGGTAGCTGTCACCCCCTGTCAGAACCATGAAGGAGTGGCCCCACTCCAAATTCCTTCCGTCTGGGAATACTGGTGGATTTTATTGACTAGAAAAAAAACTATTGTCAAGTTAAGCCTGATCACCACACTTCATGAAACTCTGTTCTCCACAACCACAGCCTCTCTCTGGATACAGGTGTCCCTGAGACTGGTAGCATTTAAGTCCATACCACTGAAGTCTCTGCAATCAGCAGAGAAGGCTTGGCTTTCGTTAGCTGCCCACCTCTAGTGTTGCACCATCACTGCTTCCTTTATCTAGTTGACTGTTGATTGGCAGAACTTGCAAAAGATATTCCTTCCTTTTGTCCTTAGGGAAAAAGAATAACGTTTCGTGTTATATGCTCTATTTCCAGGATATCAGGCAAGAACCCCTTCTCTCCTTCTTCAGGTTTTTCATGAAGCAGCCTCGGAATTTCAGTCTTTTATTGAAGACTAGATTAAAGAAGGGGGCATTGGTATGTGTATTTTCTGATGTAGAATATGCCAGATGAGAATAATACTATAGGTGCACATAGATGCAATGTATTTATTTGAAGTCTAGGTCAAGCTCCTTAGGAGATTGACGGCAGATGAAGCTAGGGTGATGCACATAGATTGTTCATACTGAGTTCACTCTGGACAATATTCAGACAAATTGAAATACGGATTGTCTCATCTGCTAAACCTTAGCAACCAGTGAAGATCCATGGGGACTGCCATTCCTAGGTTAGAAATAACGTTGAATGATGGAATAGCATGTGGAGTGATGATAGTGGTTCCTGACTGATAACACATAAGCAATCACCAATTCTAGTGATAAGGCTGATCTTATTACAAATTATCTTAAATTGTGCTGGTAACCTAATAACTAAATTTAAGTTTATTCTTTAGCTTAGTTTCATTTAAAACTGTGATTATTAGAGCACTAGTGTACAATGGAAGTGGCTGAGGGCCGATACAGAGGGAAAGAGAAGAAATGTAAATGGCCATCAGGTGGAGTGAGGGTATTGTGACTCTTCTTCTTTATTTAAAGTAGCTTCACTTTCATTTGTTTTGTGTAATAACATTTTGCATAATATTTCCCTTCCTTAAAAATGCTGATCTGTTTGCAATCTGAGAGATATTTATTGAGAGAAAAGACTACAAAGTTTCATGTATGAGAGAGTTCTTAATTTTCTTTATAAATAGGTAAATGAATTTAGTGACTTCTAAAGATCTAGTCTCAGCTTATCAATCGCAGCCCAGGATCCATAAGATTTAAACAAGCTGGACTGATAAGTCTTGCTGTCTGTTTGTACCTTCCCATCAAGGTAAAACGAAACCTCCAAGCTAATTCAGACATAGAATTCATCTTCTCAGCTCCTCCACTCAGGCTACTGTATGGCTTTTAAGAAATCCCACAACTGTAACCTTTAGGGCCCCCAACAAGCAATGGTCCCTAACAACAACTTTGGCTCCATTCTTCCAATTTTTGTGATCAATCTCTCTCATTTCTTTCTGAATTTTCTTGAAAAAAAATCACTAGTACTATAATGTTTCTGAAAAATCACCAGTAGCAGTTCATGAACCTCCAAAGCTGACCTCAATCCCTTCCAGCAAAAATTTTACTTTACATTTTAACAGAAAAATTCAGTTGATTATTGAAAAAAAATGCATCAACTTCTTGCCTCCACAACTGTGAATATAGCTCGGTGGTAATGTTTAGCCTTCTTTCTTTTCATTGCAGAAGATAAAATATTATTCCATTTCTTCAGTATCAATTGCTCTATCTCTGTGCTCAGTCTCATTATGACAGATTTCCTCTAAGGAATTACTCAATCAAAAATTTGCCTCTCTCCCATTGCCCTAAATCTTTCCCATTTATATTTCAGTTCAAGAGTATCTTATCTTCATTCTGCCTTTGACTCCATGTTTTTTTCTAACTACCAGTTAAGTTTACTCAAAGCATCAATGAAAACAATGTATGTGTGCGCATGTGTGTGTAAAATACTACCATAGAATAAATATACATATATTACATATATGTATATTCTATGGTAGATATTTATGTCAATTAGGCTATTCCCAGCTAAAGTAACAGAAATCAAATTAGGACTGGAATAGAAACATAAGAATGTTTTTAAATCTTGTATTCTAAGAATTCTGGAAGCTTGATTTTTCAGAGCCAATTACCAAGGTTTCATATCCCCTCTTCCATTTTCCAGATGTCAGCTTTCAGTTTTAGGTTTGTCCTCTTGGTTACAAAATGACTGCTGTATCTCCAGAGATCACAGCTTCAGACAGTTACACTGAAAAGCTAGCAGTGGAGAATAGGACATAAGTATTTCTATATCTCATATTTAAAACTTTCACATAAGCTCAACAACATGTTCCTCCTCATGTCTCCTCATGTTGTCCAGGGTAACCACTGTGCAAGATTCATCCCCTGGAACTGAGAAAGGGCCCAGGTCCCCTAACACTTATCGCACTTGATACCCAAAGCAAATCATAGTTCTATGAACAAGGAAGATGCCAGAGCAAAGGGGGTTCCAACATGTGGGTTTTTTTTTTCCACTCTGTTGCCCAGGCTGGAGTGTAGTAGCACAATCTCGGCTCACTGTAACCTCTGCCACGTGAGTTCAAGTCATTCTCCTGCGGCAGCCTCCCGAGTAGCTGGGACTACAGGCGTGGGCCACCACGCTCAGCTAATGTTTGTATTTTTAGTACTGATGGGGTTTCACCATGTTGTCCAGGCTGTCCTTGAACTCCTGACCTCAGGTGATCTCTCTGTCTCAGCCTCCCAAAGTGCTGGGATTACAGGTGTGAGCCACCACAGCCTGTCCAAAATGTTCTTTAAACTAGAAATTCAATTAATCAGGGTCCCAGACCTGAGCATCATTGTTGGTTACGGTTTTGTTCTGCTGCATACACAGGCTTTGCTCCATCAAGGTATTTTGTTATTTGACATTTGTTATTTTTTTGTTAATTGACTTTAGGATTAAAAAGAAAGCAAGCATGGTGCGTGTATGTTTGTAGATATGGCAGAGGAAGTGAGAAGTGTGGAGACAATTCAATAAAAGTTATAAATTCATGACTAGGTTACTGAACGGAATTCATAATCATTCATAACACTTGACTGCTTCTTATACATTTTGGGAAATCTACCATTTATATAGCCATAGGCCTACTGGCCCAGAAATAGAAGAAATTAGAACAAAGGATCAGGTTGGAATTCAGGGCTGAATAAGCATTCTGCATTACTCTAAATCATAGTCCTGTTGCATTACACGCTGTTGCGACCACAAAGGAATGATTTTGACAAAGTACAGAGAGAGATCTCTACTCATACCTGTGTTCCTTCAGGCTAAGGACCTATCATGACTTTTCAATGATAGCATGGAATACTGGAAACTTAAAGAGGAAGCTCATATTGAACAGTAGTTTCTGTTAGAGGAGAACTTGAACATTAGTCAGCTTTGGTGAGCAGATATTCTGAGAACATGTTCGTATGAGATGGCTGAACCGAGCTCTAATTTTTCCTCTCATTTTATGTTATCTGTCATTATTCTGGCACCACCTCATCTTCCCACTCATTCTTAGCCTCTGCCTCTCCTTACATTTCTTCCTGCTCTCCTATTTTTTTTCCTCCCATCTGGTCTTTTCTTTTTCTCCTCAATCCCTCCTTTTTGATTCCTTCATTTTCCTTTTCTTCTTTCTCTCTGATTTATTTAACCCCAGTAGTCAACTGGAGTAAATGTTTTTACGTATTGGACACTATTAGGGATCCACCCTGTTCCTCAAATCTTGACAGGATCAAGGTAAACTGCAATGAGCAGAGCCCTTGTTTAGTCAAGTTTAACTATGTAGACAAACAATCTAGATAAATAATTCCCAATTGCTGCTCACAAAAAACACCATTTTCCTCCTTTGTACTGTTTTCAGGCCTTAAATTTTTTATGTTCCTGCCTTAACACTTCACTTCACAATGCCTCCATAAAAAAAAAAAAAATGTCTTTTTCTCTTTTGTTAAGAGAGGAGTATCTTCCCAAGCAGCTATCTCTCAAGATGTGTTGAAATCCCAAGAGGAATAGTGTTTTACATTTTTAAAAAAATGCTTTCCCAGGTTTTATCTTGTTAGATACTCCCCAGAATTATGTGAAGTAGGCAGAAAGGTAAAACTGCTTCAGAGAAGTTAGGGCAATAATGTTACAAACTAATTAAGGGCAGAATTAGATCTGTCTCTGTCTTCATAATACTGGTCCTATGAGTTTGCATTAGAGTACTTTTGTATGAAATGAGCAGACATAAAGATGGTGAATATACAATAAACAAACATGTATGTTTTTCTTCCTCTATATTTTCAAGGGAAAGTAACGTTGCAATTGCTCACCCTATGGAAACTGGAATTGCTTCCTCTGGGTTACAGACACACCCTTATCTCTACAGGTCCAGCTGTGTGTCTCTGTCCTTTACTCCATTTTACTCAGCTATGTGATGTGGCATCAGTGCCGGTCAAAAACGGAGCATTTTTCCTTCCTTACTTCTTTCTTTCTCTTTTTCCTCTCTCCCTATCATCTTTCCCTGTCCTCCCACTTTCCTTTCCATGCTCCCTTTCCCCCTTCTCTTTCTCTGTCTCTGCTTCTACTTTCATTTTCTTTATTTCTTTAGTTTCCTCACTTGCTCCTACGCACACTCCCAAGAACAGAGAAAAAAAATCCGTGATTGCCTGCATTCACGTTCTCTTTGCTTTCATCCTTTTTCCCCCTCAGTCTTATAATGTAATGCCAATTATTAGAAAATATAATTCACTGTGTCTCACACTATTATTTATAATCTACTCAAGCATTTTCTTCACATTCTTAATATCCCCGGTGTCGGGGAGAATTACAGCTGGGAAGCTGACTGCAGGACTCTGCGTAACAAGAGGAGAGAAGAACATTGTTTTCACAGGCAAATTTTCTGTTGTGTGGTGAGCTTTCATGATTTTTCTGGAATAGTTAGATATTTTTGTTATGCCTTTAAAATTATTTTTGCCAAAAAACTCAAGGCAGTCTATGATTAAGTTTTGTCTTTTGTTTTTTTGTAGGGATAAGAAATTTTATAAAATCAGTAGACCATTTTAAAGGAAGGAAATTATAAAGATACCTAGTAAATAATGATTCTTGAGCAGTTTAAATCCATTGTTTGGCTCTGAGCATGAATGGCTCATTCTATACATTCTACACCTTTATTAACTTTCCCCAGCCTCTGGGCCTTCTCTCTCTCTCTTTCTCTTCCCTTTGGCTCTCTCTGTCAACACACACACACACACACACACACACACACACACACACACACATCAGGGTAAGCTCTCTGTGTATACATCAATGAAGTCTTGATTTTTCCTTCTTAATTTAGCAATTGACATAGTCTGTGTTCTGGGCAGTCTGGTCTATCTGTATGTATTTATTTGGTCAAGGATAAGATTCATGAACATACCTGGAGTCAAGACAATGCTGGACAGAACAAATAAATAGAAAAAATAGTATACATTTTGGAAATAGGATTGCAATAGGAAAGAAAGTGAAGAGAGCAGTTGAGAAATAGCTCATTTCTGCTAGGTTAGCAATATGCCATCTTGTCCCTTGGATATGAGAGAAAGCTAATGGAAGTTAATATTAAGACATTGGGTATTCTGTGAGGCCCACAACACATACACACAAACACACATACACACGCCTCTTCTTTCTGTACCATGAGCTGCAGAGACTTTGGCTGTCCTGTCTTGGTGACTGCAAATAGTCACCCTCTTGAGCTCCTTCTCCTCGAATAACTCAGAGGTAGACAGTAGTCTCTCTCCCTACCTGCTTCCCTCCTGCTCCCTTGCCCTACTCTACTTCAAATAAGCATATAGATGCCTTACATTTTGAGACTTTCCATGCTAATCATGACAGGAAAAGAGACATATAATAACAATAATAAACTAGAAGGAGTTACTAACCTTTTAGGATTTTATGTATGATCAAGCTCTCTAGCGTGCATTTTATAAAATGTTCTGAAATCCACCCATCCATGCAGCTAAATGATACTCTTGCATAACATTTTTATAAAGTAGATCATAGTCCTAGTAGAATCGTTTTGATTTTATCATACATATATGTCCTTACTGTTCAGCTCCACAGTTTAATTAATGAATCAGTCCATCATTTAGAATTTTGTTTTCTTTTGTTTACTTGTATTTTAAATCCTAACTAGACACTATACATTTCTCTATACGAAATAGACCAAAGAGTGTAAAATCAGCCACTGTCTTCATGAAACATATCCTGTTTAGACAAGGAGTCAAAGACAAATTTAATTATATATGGCCCTAAACTATTGCCAGTGCTCAATGGTGACCAGCTAAGAAATACTGCATTCATTTCCTAGGAATGCTGTAACAAATTAGCACTAACTGGGGCTTGATTAAAACAATATAAATTTATTCTTTCACATTTCTGGAGGCTAGAAGTTTGAATCCAAAGTGTCATCAGAATGTATTCCTTCTTGGGTCTCAAAGGGAGAATCCATCCCATGACTCTCCCCCACCTTCTGGTGGTCGCTGGCACTCCCTGGCACTCCTTGGCTTGTAGAGGCATCACTCTAATTTCTGTCTCCATATTCACATGGTGTTCTCCTTTCTGTGTGTCTCCATCTAAAGAGACACTTAAAAGTCTTCTTATAAGGACACTAATAACATTGGATTTAGGGCCCGCTCCAATCCAGTATGACCTCATCTTAACTAATTACATCTGCAAATATCTTATTTCCAATTAATGTCATAATATGAGATTTTAGGTGGACATGAATTTTCCAGGACACTCTTCAACCCACAACAGATGGTAAACATGGGTCCTGCTACTTACAAGCTTAAACAAGATGTTATTCTTAAATATTTTATTCCTCTATCTGTGTAGTATATATTTTGCTTTTCTGCACAATAGGGAGGTTTACGTGTACTTTCAGGGTACATCAGGTCACATAGTTAATGGCTACTTAATCACTCTCCGGACCTTCATTTGAAAACCAGCACAACCACTCAGAGTCCTATGGCCAGTGCCCGAGAGTCTGGAAATGTACTTTGTTTTGATTTTAACCTACGGACTTGTAACTCACTCAACTGACAGAACACTCCTAAAATAAACTTTATAACTAAATAGCTATTACCTAAATCTATTTGTAAAGCTCCAAGTAAAGAACTAGGAGTTTAAAAATAAGGCATTAGCTTTAAAAATGTTCTATCTGGTGGTAAAGTATAAAGTATTACAACACACACATACACATATATACAGGGAAAGGGACAGGGGCCTCCCCATAGTCTCAACCACTTTCATTGGGTCAAAAGAAAATGCTTGATATTCAAACTGCATAATCTCAAACCTATTTAGAAAACAAACTCACTCACTCTCTAGTCCTCAAATATCTCTGATTCTTGTCATAGCGGGTGTGATAGAGACAGAGAAAGAGAGAGCCTTTGTTACAGTAATTTGATGTAACCTTGGAGTACTTTAGGCTCCAGGAGCAGGTCTCATGAAACAGTGTCTCTCTGTCTCTCTCTGACCTTCTCCTCTCTTTCTTTCATCTGCCCAAGGCAGGACTCTAATCTATTGTGGGTCGAAAGACCCTCATTGCATACCCTATAACAGGGGTGTCCAATCTTTGGATTCCCCGGGCCACACTGGAGGAAGCATTGTCTTGGGCCACACGTAAAATACACTAACACTAATGATAGCTGATGAACTATAAAAAAAAAAATCGTGAAAAAACAAAACCTCATAATGTTTTCAGAAAGCCTACAAATTTGTGTTGGGCTATATTCAAAGCCATCCTGTGCTGCATGCGGTCTGCAGGCCATAAGTTTGACAAGCTTGCCCTCTAGGGAGGAATACTACCCTGAGACACCAAGAAAGGTCTGAACAGACAGGCCTTGCTGGGTTTAGATCATGTACTTTTTGTGTAGTCACATTTCTATATAGTTTTTAATTATGCTTATGTAATGAAGCCTCCATAAATGGGCTTGGAAGCTCCTAACACTTTTCCCCATGCCACACCCTACACATATCTTTATCTGAATGCTTTGTAATATCCTTTATAATAAACTAGTAAATGTGTTTCCCTGAGTTTTGTAAGTTGCTCCAGCAAAGTAATCAAACCCAAGTAAGGGGTCATATGAACCCCAACCTGAAGCCGGTTGTACAGAAGTTCCAAAGGCCCAAACTTATAACTGTTGTCTGAAGGTGGGAGAACAGTCATGGGGACTGAGCCCTCAACCTGTGGGATCTGACTGTATATCCAGGTAGTGTCAAAACTAAATTAGAAGACAGCCAGCTGATGTCTGCTGCTTGGCATGCAGGGGAAACCCTCACATTCGGTCACAGAAGACTTCTGTGTTGGTTTTCTTCTGTGATGATTGTTATGTGGTATAAGAACAGAGAAAAAACAGTTTGAATTTTTCCTGAAGCAGTAGGTTTTCAGTCAATCTTTTAAAAATTGTGTACTAAACCTCTCCCCGGTCTCATCATGCACTTTTAAATTTATTTTGCCTCATAATAAAAATAATTTGTGAATACGGCTTAGATGAAACCCAGATTAGTAAGCCTTGACTCTAGACCCAGATGGCCTGGATTCAAATCCAAGCTATTGTGAAAATTAAAGATACAATGTATAGAAGATAGCTTATATCAAACAGCCAGACATAAACAGTATTCCATATGTATGAGGCATTTTATTTGTGTCATGACTCAGGGCCAGCTCCCTAGGCTTGCAACCTGTGCAGTCAAACCCAGGTCTGTCTTAAAAGCGGACCATATTTGGTTTAATGTCCTATTGTCACTGTTTTGGATTCCTAACACATTTTATCTTTGAACTTGTGTTTTATAAGTGACGTTCAATGGGACAATGGAGCAAGCGTGTGTGCAGAGGAGATTCTCTCAACATGCAGGATTACCTTCCTTGCTAACCATTTGCATTTAAAATTCACAAGGTACCAAGAACACAGAATTCCAAAGGACCCAAAGTGAATTGGAGTGCAATGAGACTGAAAAGTACAAGGTAAGTGTGTAACATCTATGACTGACTGGGGCCACACTTTTCCCAAGAGGCCACACTTTCCATTTGAACCAGAAGTTGCTTTGAATGCAGAGTAAAGATGTGTGCAGTCTAAGAGTGACGAACAATTGAGAATGACTGTCCTATCTTTTCTTACACAAGTCACTTCCCTGTATTTCAGCTAACAACTTACACTGAAAATAATGCCCTAGTTGGAAAGAGAAAGTTAGGGCAACACATAGAGAGTATTGGTGGAATGCAAGAGTATCAGAAAGTACAAAGTATCAACAAACAGTTGAGTTAGTTTTGTACAGTGTTTCCATTGTTTTGGTAAGAACGAAATATATATATGAATATATGTCCTTGAAATACAAATTGTGCAATTCTGGTGATTCCATATACAATTTAAATGTTCTTACATTTGAATTTAAAACTGAAATCGTACAATATAAAGATGAATAGTAATATTCATGCTAATCATTTAAATTTAATGTTTCAAGAATGGCATTAAATAGCAAATTTTAAAAAACATATGGTAAGTCAATCAGGAGACCTGGAATAAAGGAAAAACCTTATATTTCAATATCTTATGGTCACATTTTTCCTGCTTTTTAAACTGGAACCCTGCAGTTCCATTTTGCACTAAGCCTCAGAAATTATATAGCCAGATCTCCCATCGTTATTATAATCATTATCAACAGGTCTGGGCTGAAGCTGCATAGTTAAAAATCACTAGGAAAACTAGAAATAATCTTGCACATTTTTAAAAATTGCACAAATATTGGATTCTGAGGAATGTCAGATTAATTATTTTATATTTTGTTCACATTCCCCTCATGAAGAAAGTGGCAGCATAGTGTTTCGTATCATCCCAGCTGGAATTGGCCTCTCACTTCTCTGAATGGATGCATTATTCCAGTTGGACCGCTCTTGTGGCAGAGAGCTTATTCTCACCTGCATTGTGGTTACTCATGGTGCCTCAACTCTCCAACATCCTGAGCCTTGGGGGCATCCTTGTAGCACCCTTTATGTTGGTCAGACTTTCATACAGTATCGTCTTGTCTTTTCCTGTTGACTGAATGAGTGAATAGGCCAATAAGTTGAACAGACTATAGATTTCTGTAATAATTACTATGGGAAGAGGGGCATGCCGTCCTGAGATATTACACTGAGTTCTGGTTTTGACTGCATTTATTCTTTCACCAGAAAGAAAGCAGCAACATGTCAGTTATCATAGAGTGTTGTCTTCATCTCTCAGGAATGGGGCTGTTTGATTCCACTGTTTCCATTTATTACTGTAAGATAAATAATAGTTCTTCTAATTGAAAATGAGCAGAGAAGCTCTGACACAAGTGAGCACAGAGACACTAGACACAATTTCTAAAGGTAAGAACTGCCTAAGTCCGTGTTCAATGGATGCAGCATCTGCCCTATTTAAACATCTTCAAATCCAGATTCCATTTATGTAGTCCCACCCCGACCAGTGGAGACTTTCACCCCATATATTGCGCTGCACAATTGACTTGCTGCCTTCTGGGGATGGGGGGAGTTCGCTCTCTTCCAGTGCTTCATGTATCATCTGGTGCCAGAGGCAGTGAGAATACAACATTGGTGGACCAATGGACTGATCTAATATGGCAAATCCTATATTCCTGTTTGGGTACAAATGAATAACCTCATATAGTTCTGCACACATTCAACAAAATGATGAAAGGGAGAAAAAAGCCAAATGGAATTTCCTGATCATTGCATTCCATTTTATTTCTCTGTTTAAACTTTGTAAGTGAATTTAGTGTCTGTAGAAGGCAATTGATGGCTCTAACAGAAAAGGAAAGAAAAATGTTAAAGCCCCAAACCACAATTTGAGCACTGTTAGGCTTGGTTATCTTCCCTTGCTGGGATCCTCAGCAGGATTCTGCACCTTACAGACTGCAAATGTCATCTCAGCATTTTAGGGACAAGGGCTGTAGATTCTGCAGGATAGGGCTGCAACCCTATGCCTGCAGCCTTTTATTAGTAGGGAATAGCGGGTAGGGGCAAAGAGGGAAGGAATTGACTACCGGTATTTAAAGGAAAAGAAAGGCTGTCTCAATTTTGCTTTAAATTTCTCAAATCTCTCATATAAGGGATTATGCTTCATGCCAATCATTTCAGCTTCTTCATAGCCCACCCCATGAATATTTTCAACTTCTAACATTCTAGAACGTCCTACTATTTGCTTTCTCTGCCTAACTTATTCCTGTGCTGTATTTCTTTGTCCTACCTCCTGCATGAAGTCTTCCCTAATCAACCCAGACTGTAATATCCTTCTGTCACTGTAAGTTTCTGAAAAAGGTGTTATATATTACCTGTTTGTCATCGTGTTCCTCTGCACTTTAATTTTGTTTTTCACAAATATATGTTTCTTCCAATTAAATAAGTTAATTAAGAGAAGGTCTGGAATCTTTATCACCCACAGTTCCTGGCAATGCCTTTTACATAATAAGTTCATAATTAATATCTGTTAATAAAAATTACTGCTATTCTTAAACTGAGTATATGGAGACCATCTGCTTAAAATATATGTGTGTTTGTGTGCATGTGCCTAAGTAATTTTTCTCCATATATGTATATTTTAAATATTCAATAAAAGGATAAAAAAACAGTTGATTTTTCTCACTTTGATGTATCTACACAGCCTGAAAGTAGTTAAAAGACAGAACCTACATTTCCAAGTGCCAAGGTCCACTATAGACTTAACTTGTCCCAAGAGCAGTCTTATTTTCTCCCCCTATTGGGCGTCAAGGACCAGGAAGTCTGATTCCAACATGGTTATATGTGGAGGAAAAAAGGAAGAAAGAGGATAAATTATCCATTATAACCCAATCAGCTGATTTAAAAGATCAGTCTGTATTAGCCACAGGAGCAGACAAAATGTGCAGGACAAATGTGCAAAAGGCCCAATGGGCATAAATAGTATATGCAATACAAGGAAGCAATACTGCAGAAAGAGCTCAAAAATAATTGAATGTGAACACTATACACAAATCCAGATGAGATTCGAGCTGTGACCTTGAGGTGAAAAGGCTCCTTAAACTGCAACCAAAGCTTTCTATTCTGAAGGGATTAAATCTCTGAAAATTATTCTCTTTCTTTGCATTCATGTTTCACACTCTGTAATGCTCACATAAAAAGGGCAGATATACCCACACTTTGGTGTTTACTTTCTTGTGTTTCTTTTCTTCCCAGATAGCTGATATCGGCTTTACTGTAGATCAGTGTGGGTGAGCCTTTTTCACCTTTTGATTATGGTTTATAATTGTCAATACCAGGTTAGCAAGCTTTCTGATGGAAATTACCAGTGCACGGAAGAATGATAAAGCAATCTTCTCGGATGAGAGAAGTATAGACTCTGGGGTCCAAGTCATCTTTTCTAGGGCTCACAAAAATTATGAGGACATATTTAATAAACTTTTGCATGAAAATTGTAGCAGAATATCCCTCAATCCTATTGCCTTTGCATTGCAAACTAGACAATACCAGCAGAGAATGAAAATGTTCAGAAAGGCTAGGCAAGGTTTTGGCCTAACTGCTTTTCTGTGGCCTCATAGTTAAATTTGAATCCAACTCTAAAGACAGGGTTGCCAGTGGCATTTACAAATTTGATTCTTCCTGTCTCACAGGACAGGTGGCAGTGATCACAGAGCTCAAACTTATTTTGAATAGCAGCTACCACACAGACAGTGGTTTCTGAGTTCAGAGCTTGAAAGGATTAAAACTGGATTAGGAGGAGGAAGAATGTTTTCCCAGCGGGCAATATTTATAACAAGGAGAAGGCTTTTTCCCACCCACTCTACAAGAATAACACAGATAAAAAAATGAATCCGAGCAATGATTCTCAAAATGGCAAGATGTGGGCAGACTGAAGAAATACACCTTTCTAATTCCCAGGCAATTTATGTGTGTATGCCTAAGTATCCAATTAGCAGGCACAGATGCCATTTTGCATTAAAAATATAAGGTTTTACAACTGCAAACCAGCTGCACCCATAAATTTCACCAAACACTTTGCAGAGGTCTACCAAGAATTTGGACCTGAATATTTTATAACTATTTCCCTCAGCATTAAAATAATCAAAAATTGATCAGCATATTTTTTTGTCTGGTAAAATATTTTCCTCAAAGAAGAATAGGAAATAACAACATATGTGCAGTGGTAAGCCTCACAGAAATCAATGGAAATGGATTGTTTCTGACCCACGAAAAGCCTACATTGAACAACCGCTCTTTCTAGTGGAAACTTTTGCAATGATAGGAAAATTCTATAGCTCTATTTTTCATTACAGTAGCTACTTGACAAATGTGGTAATTGAACACTTAAAATGTGGCTAATGCAAGTGTCAGGGTATATTCTTACTTTTATTTAATTTTAACTAGTTTAAATAGCCACATGAGGCTGGTGGCTACCACACTGAATAGCATAATTCAAATTATTCATGCTGTTACTATATCAATAAACAAACAAATGACAGTCTGAAATCAAATAGACACCTACTGATTTCTAGCCATGTGACTCTATACAAGTTAACCTGTATAAGGCCATTTATTTCATAAAGCCAATAATAATGGTTCTTCTAGTATTGATGGATAATTAAAAGCACAATATATTTAAATTATTGGACCTCTTGTCTGAAAAAAAGTGGGTTGTTAATCAATGTTTTTGCATCTTCCCTATTTTCCCTTTCCTACCTTTCTAACTTTTTTCTTTTCTTTCCTTTCTTTTTTTTTTTTTTTTTTTTTGTTTGTTTTTTGAGACGGAGTCTTGTTCTGTCACCCAGACTGGAGTGCAGTGGTACGATCTCGGCTCACTGCAAGTTCCGCCTCCTGAGTTCACGCCATTCTCCTGCCTCAGCCTCCCGAGTAGCTAGGGCTACAGGTGCCTGCCACCATGCCCAGCTAATTTGTTGTATTTTTAGTAAAGACAGGGTTTCACCGTTTTAGCCAGGATGGTCTCGATCTCCTGACCTCGTGATCCGCCCGTCTCAGCCTCCCAAAGTGCTGGGATTACAGGCGTGAGCCACCACCCCCGGCCTTCTTTCCTTTCTTCTTTTCTTCCTCTATTAGATAAGGAAGAAGAACCAAGAAAAGTAGCAAATATAGAGTATCCTCAATATATTGCCCAGTATCCAATAAGGGATAATGCTATATCTGTTATTTCTTCATATACTTTGTTCTAAATCAAAACTTTACATGAAGGTTCTCACAATCTAACCTAACCCACAGGCAACATTTAGGAAATAATACACAATACAGTCAATGTAAAGTGTATAGGCCAGGCGTGGTGGCTTATGCTTGTAATCCCGGCACTTTGGGAGGTCAAGGCAGGTTGATCACTTGAGGTCAGGAGTTCAAGATCAGTCTGGCCAACATGATGAAACTCCATCTCTACTAAAAATACAAAAATTAGCTGCATGTGGTGGCAGGCACATGTAATCCCAGCTACTCGGGAGGCTGAGAATTTCTTGAACCTGGGAAGTGGAGGTTGCAGTGAGCCAAGATTCTGCCATTGCACTCCTGAGTGACAGAGCAAGACTCTGTCTCAAAAAAAAAAAAAAAATATATATATATATACATATATTAAATAAATAAATTGTACTTACTTCACTTGTTGTTCTTTTAATATGTACAGTATTAAATTTGATAAAAAAATTGTCCAATGACTTCATGAGAGGAAAAATGATTGTCATTGGACCTAGAAGAATAGGTTCAGACAGTGAAATGTCAGGAAAAACTAAAACAAAACAAAACAAAATAGAGAAGGAAAACAAAATGGGGAATAATTGCATATAGTTTACATTTTTAGTTTTGATATATTTAATAAATGTTGGCAAAGCTTAATTGTCAATGTTTAGAAACTTATTTGTTCAAATGAAGGAATTAAGCCCCCTATGAAGATGTGACTCAAATAGGACGAGGAAAACTTCCCAACTCTCCCATCCTCCTCCTTTCCCAGGCCTTCCTGCTTCACAGCTGCTTGGGAAGAAGACACATCAACCAGGGGCTGGTTTTAGCTTGTTGTTTCTTTGTACGCTCCTCACCCCAATGTGTTTCTTCTTTTCTTCCTCTTTATTCTGTATTTTATAATTATTTTCTTTTCAATTACACTCATTTTTATTTGTGTATTTGCTTGTTTGTTTGACTGTTCCATTTTCTCAATACATTTTTCTCTGGGTATAGTCAAGACGACTTAGTGACTTTGTTTGAAAAGTTGTATTTTGTGCTTGACAAGAGTTGGAAGAGAGCTTTAAGTAGTTGATTTGTACATTAAGTTTTCACTTTCCTTTTGAATCCTCAGGAAAGATGATCATAGAAATTGGCCATGTAACTAAAACCACCAGAAACTCTTGATCTGTTTGGAGGCAAATGACCCTTATCAACATGAGATTATTTGTTTTTACTAATGTTGAGAACCTGAATTACTCTAATTTACAATTTAGATTGTGCACCTGTTGAAGGAGGAAAGGTATCCCACAGAAGAAATGAAAGAGGTAGCTAGCATTTCACAAAAGTATAGGAGAAAATGCTTTCTTATAAATAAATTGAATAGAGCATGCACCCACACATAAATGTGGAAGCTTCAAACAAGTGGATCACAATTTAAAGAATAACTAAGATATTCATATGGAGCGTAGCAAAGACCCTGATGAGAGAATTGCTTCATGGTATAGAACAGCATGAGATAAAAATGGGATGGATAGACACAAATGGGTCAAAGGTCAATGACAAAAGGATCCTGGCTGGCTTAACAAAAATATTGTTTTTCATCCCCCCCCTTCACAGGTTTAAGGTTTCTTCCAAAGCTCCTGGTAAAGCATAACTAGCACCTGCCCCAGAACTCTGCAGTGTCTTTGCATCTAGATGTGCACACTTCTTAACACCTCAGACATTCCATTTAGTTGTTAGCTCTTGAGTTCAGTGGTTCTCAATCAATTTTTCAATTATCTTCATAAATTTCAGGTTAAGAGAATTTGAATGGATTAAGATGTTCTTACCTGACTAGGATTGTCAAGATGTTGAGTTTAAGCACAAACCTGGGTGACGGGCCTCTCTGTAGGACATGTCTGAGATCAGGGTGTTCTTTTTCTGCCTTGATTTGCTACTCATTAAACATGACCTTTAGGAAAATATCAGCGACCCTACAGCAAATCGTTGACTCAGATCAAACATAAAAAAAAAAAAGAAATAAAGAGGATACCAAGATCCAAAAGAAAATATTTTTACTGATGTTCTCTGATATTTGCACAATTATTTAGACCTATTCATATAATTTTTATATTACTAACTCTGTCCATTTCTCTCACCAGCTTCTGGAAAGACATCATGCAAGCATTATATTCTCCATTTAATAGATGCAGAAACTAACATCCAGAAAATAAGTGGGGTGGTTGAGGTCCCTCAGCATAAGGATGACAGAGAGAAAACAAAAACTCTGTTCCCTTTTCATAATGCAGCTTTTTCCCCCCCTTTGATGGCCTCATATTAAATTGTGCAGGAAATGCAAAGGAATACAATCCAAATAGACTCCAGGTAGGCGGGAGACCTTCTCTTAGGCTCACATCAAAGAGTGTCTTTATATTAGAAGGTAGGCTCTTGTTTTTAAAGTCTGGCATGTATTTTTTTTTCTTTTTCTTTTCTTTTGTTGCAGTCATTAAAATGTGCCACTGGTACCCTGTGTGCTGACTGTTGGGAGGTTTCTAAGAAAGGCATTGTTATTTATTATGTTCAAGAGGGTTTGTGGAGGAATAAATTGCATACACATAGTGTGATGGCAGCTGGCAGTCAACTGTGACTGCTGTTGTGCACTTCACAACATGTTTTATGTGGCTGGGAACATTTACATTAAGGTCAATTAGGTTGCCAAAATAGAGAATCGCAGCTGAGGGATGCTTAGTGGAGTGCATTGGTGTTTGGCAGGGGAAATGGAACTGATAATCCTACATGTGCTTGGTCTGCCAGCTGGTGGGTGGTCTCAGCCATGCTGCTGGAACACTATTCAATTCAATTCAGCAAATATTTATTGAGTAACTAGATTGTGCAAAGCACCAGGCAAAGTGCTCACGGAGAGGCAAGTCAGCACAAACCATGACGTGGGTCTTAGAAAGGTTTTTGATAACAATAGATCCCAATATCCAGCAATGATTACAGGATCACCATATGCTGGACACTGTTCTAAATGTTCCATATGTGTTTACTACCATAATGTTCATAGAAACATTATAAAATAAGTGCTCCCATTTCCTTATTTTATCAATGAGGAAACTTGGTTGGTGAGGTAGAAGAGTCATTTGTGCCTTTGTAAGAGTTTTCATAATTTTCTCTCTCTGGGCATATGACAGATGGCATTTCATTGTTACTTTGAAGTTGAATGTGGCCATTGTCTTGCTTTAGTCAAAGATATGTGAGCAGCAGTGATGTGTGTCACTTCTTGGGAAAGTGTTTAAGAGGTAGTGTATAACTTTTCTGCTGCCGTGGTCCTCATTTACCTTCCAGACAATGAAGACTCCATCAGTCTGGGTCCTGGAGTAAGGATGAATTAGAGCAGGGACATCACTGATATACAATACACACAAAGTATAACATAATTTAAGCCTCTGAGATTTTAAAGTTGTTTATTGTAGCACCATAACGTAGAATGGGCTGTCTAATAAAAGGTAGGATCAAGAATAATACACATAAGAAGTTAATTGACAAAAAATATATAGTACATGATTAAGTTTCAGCAAAAAATACCAATAATGAAAGCAGCTCTCATTTTTTAAGTGCTTAGCTAGTTGCATACATTTTCTTTAGAAACAGAAGCTCAGGGAGGTTAGTGGAACTACTTAAAATAATGTAAGAAGATACAGAACTATGAACAAATCCCAGTCTTTTTGGTTTCCAAAGCTCACACTGCTTCTAGTATATTCTGGAAAGAGTGCTGCAAAGGGATCACACTTCAATCCTATTTTCTTTCTTTCCTTTTCTCTTCTTTCCCATTTCTACTCTTTCCTCCTTTCTCCCTTGTCTCACTTCTTTAATTTCTTTTTCCCTCCCATTATTTTTCCCTACTTTCTACCTTCTCATTTTATCCAGATATTTATTGTGCATTTTCTTTATGCCCATGTAAGAGGTGTGGACTTTTCCTCAGTGTTGTCTTCCCATTACTATTCCTTGGCTGAAGTAATTCTTTAATCTCTCCTCTTCAGCCCTGTTTTTCTGTTTGTTTGTTTGTTTTGTGTGATTTTCTTTCTAGCTATCACTGCCTTACAAAACTGGACACCAACTCTCAGCCAAATAATTTACAGCATTATATTATTTTCTTTCCATCTTGGTTCTTTTCACACTTGGCTAACTGCAAAGTTGAGCATAACCTCCTATATTTTCAAGAACCATGTTAATGCCTACAACTGGGAAAAAGCAAAAAGAAGTTTTAAAAGACGGCAATAAAGAAATTAGTGTTGAAAGACAGTACAAAAGTAGTGATAATAAATTGCATGGTTTTCTTCTTACTGTCTGCTAGAATTTTCTCATTAGTCAGTTAGGTTAGACTCAGATGTTTTGCCTTTCCTCAATAGAATCAGCTCTTCCTGCACCAAATTGGCATAACACTATATGAAGATCACCAGAGTTAAGGCCAAATTTGAGTTATGGAGTCACAGTGTTTTACATAACTCATTCAATTCTTTTTTTAAAATTGGTGACTAGAAATTTTCTCCATTCTTACAACATTCTGTATTTCCACTCTAGAACTTCATTAACAATCGTGGATTCCTTTTGGAATCCATGATTCAAAACTGTTAGAGAGAAAGCTTTCTTTCTTTCTTTCTTTCTTTCTTTTTTTTTTTTTTGACAGAATCTCCCTCTGTGGCTCAGGCTGGAGTGCAGTGATGCGATCTCAGCTCACTGCAGCCTCTGTCTCCCAGGCTCAGACCTCCTGAGT
This sequence comes from Homo sapiens, assembly GCF_000001405.40. NCBI lineage: Eukaryota > Metazoa > Chordata > Mammalia > Primates > Hominidae > Homo > Homo sapiens. The sequence goes on along the minus strand of NC_000018.10, from coordinate 40,073,768 downwards.
AGCTGGAATTACAGGCACATGCCACCACACCTAGTTGATTGTTGTATTTTTAGTAGAGATGGGGTCTCACCATGTTGGCCAGGCTGGTCTTGAACTCCTGACCTCAAATGAACTGCCTGCCTCAGCCTCCCAAAGTGCTGAGATTACAGGCATGAGCCACCATGCCTGGTGTGAGAAAGCCATTTTTTTAACCCACAATGTGTCATAGTATTTGCCATATAATATTGAAATTGTATGTTCCTTCATTTAGCCCCCAAAAAACTATCAGTATGTTTATAGTGAACATCAAGATTTATTCATCTTCACATTGACATGTGCCTAGCCCTTCCCCTAGCACATCGGTGGCCTTCAGTAACTGATTGATAAGGCAAACTAAAGTGATACTTAACAGTTTCTTCCCTTGACTATAGTTCATTGCACTGCTGCCTTCTATTTTTAAGAGGTGACTTTAGTTCCAACCCACCTCAGTTTCTGCAAAATTCCCTTTTCTCTACAAAATGTCTCTTTTTCAAGACCCAGGTTGACAGTATATTTACTCAATAGTCACTAATTAATTATTCCAAGCCCAGTAGATTTTCTCAGTGCACTTTAAAGGGGCTGGCTTCTTTCCTATTTTCCTAAGTTAATTTTGTATGAAAATCTCATTAGCTTCTTGAAGAGGGCACTAGCAACTGGAAGCTTATTGCTGGGGTTTAAATGTGTGCCATTCAAAATTCAGGTGTTACCAATGTGATAGTACTAAGAGTTGAAGGCTTTAAGGGGTAATTAGGACATGAAGCCTCCTTCCTCAAGAATAGGATTTAGACCCTTATAAAAAGGCTTCACACAGCATTTGGCCTCTTGCCCTTTTGTCTCCTGCCATGTGAGGACACGGCATTCCTTTCTTCTGGAGGATGCAGTCTTCACTAAATAGCCAGTCTTGCAAAGGCCTCGATCTTGCACTTTTCACTCTCTAGAACTGTGAGAAATAAATTCCTTTTTAAAGTAAATTACCTAGTCTGTGATATTTTGTTATAGCAGCAGAAAATGGACTAAGACGCCTGTGTCCTTTCCAAGACTCCCAGTAGACTCACCAAGATAGGTCTTTTTCTTTTCTCAAATGGCCTCAATGTTTTTATTCAACAACAAAATATAATTTGCATATGCTGTGCCAAGTGCTAACTCAACTTTTTTCTGCTTCAGTCACATGACTCATTTATCTACCAAATTCTCAGAATTTGCTCTCCAAATTCTCGTTTGGAAAAAAAAGAAATCATTTCTACAGTCTACTATTACAGTTTGGCAATATAAGAATATTTAAAGCATATTAATAACTAATAATGTGAAGATTCAAAATCGTTATTTTTAAGGGGATGGCTGTATGGTTGATCTGAGCAAAAGTTTTGGAATTAGACAGACTTAGGTTAAGATCCTGGCTGAGCCATCTGTCAGATGTCTTCAAGTTACTCATCTCTGAGTCTTCAGTTTTTCATCTATAAAATGGTAATAAAATACAACTCAAAATTCCTATCATGATTAAATGCAATAACAGCTGGAATATTGTACTTCTATAATAAATAGAAGCTCTTGCTATTATAATATCATTTGTGTAAGCACTACTTGAAGAATCAAGATCTGAGAGAAGTAAAATAATCAAAGGAAGCACATTTCCTTAGACCCCTCCCAAGAACTTTCTCTTTTGTTTTCCTTCTTTGAAAGATGTAGAAAAATCCATCCACTAGGATAAGATCTGATGGAAGAGAATGCCTCTTAGTTTTATCATCACCATGGGTGGATTTTGATAAATGTTTGGTCAATTAGAAACTGAAATTTGTATCCTTCTTGCAGAAGTCTCCTCTCATGTCTCTTCACGAGATGCCTGCAGCACTGGGGCCTATCCAAATGGCCAGGCCCTTTTCAGTATTAGATGACCAGAAGAAAATGGAGTCAGCAACACTGCTGTCTGCCCTTAATACCTTATCTCAATAACTTCTATCAGAACAACACCATGAAATAACACATTAAGTCATTTCCTAACAACTTAACACCAAATTGAGAAATAAATTATAACAAAGGTGGAACAAAGTTGGAATTCTGGCTAGTTTATACCTGCAGTAACCATTGCAACGCACCAAAGGTATGTATGTCTATATATATATATTACTGTCCCAGTAGGGTATTCTCTAATCTCAAATGGAAGAAGTTGTTTCCCAGGGTACATTTGGAAATATCTGGAGAAATTTTGATTGTCATAATGGAAGGAAGGGGATGCCACTTACATCTGGCGTTAGAAGCCAACAATGTTAGTAAATATCTCACAATGCTCAGGACAACCACCCTATCACAAGAATTATTCAGCTTCAAATGTCAGCGGTTCTTAGGTTGAGAAGCCCTGTTCCAAATTATGTATACACTTATCACCAATTCTTCAATATCAGGTTTGAATCTGGAACTCATTGCCACACTTCAAATCTCTTGGGTCAGTGTTTTAGTTTGTTCTTACATTGCTAAAAAATTAACTGAGACTGGGTAGTTTATAAAGTAAAGAGGGTTAATTGGCTGACTGTTTCACAGGCTGTACAGGAAGCATGATGCTGGCATCTACTGGGTTTCTGGGGGAGGTCTCAGGAAACGTACAATCATAGAGGAAGGCAAAGGGGGAGGGAGGTATCTCACATGTGAGCAGGAGCAGGAAAAGAGTTGGCTGAGGTGCTACACACTCTCTCTTTTTTTTTTTTTTTTTTTTTTTTTTTGAGACAGAGTATCACTCTGTTACCCAGGCTGGAGTGCAGTGTCATGGTCTCAGCTTCCTGCAACCTCCACCTCCTGGGTTCAAGCAATTCTCCTGCTTCAGCCTCCCGAATAGCTGGGATTAGTAACCAGACCTCATCAGAACTAATTCGCAATCACAAGAACAGCACCAAGGGGCTGGCACTGAACCATTGATGAAAAAACACCCCCTTGATTTAATCATCTCCCACCAAGCCCAACCTCCAACACTGTGGATTACAGTTGAATATGAGATTTGGGTGGGGACACAAATCCAAACCATAGCTTTCAACAAAACTTGACTTCCTTTCTTCCACAGCAGAAGGTCACACTTCCTTGTTTTTTTCTTCCTGAGTCCCCAGTCTCAGAGTGCTCCCTGGTAGTTTCTGTCTACTCTCTCTATCTCTGGGTAGAGGATGGTATCATTCATGGGCCAAGGTCAAAAATGGGGTCTCAAATTTTAGTCCAGTCCTTTTAGTAAGTGTATTAGTCCATTCTCACACTACAGATAAAGACATATGCAAGACTGGGTAATTTGTAAAGGAAGGAGGTTTAATTGATTCACAGTCCTACAGGGTTGGGGAGGTCTCAGGAAACTTACAATTATGGCAGAAGGGGAAGCAAACACATCCTTCTTCACGCGGTGGCAGGAAGGAGAAGTACTGAGCAAAAGGGGGAAAAGCCCATTATAAAACAATCAGATCTCATGAGAACTCACTCACTATCACAAGAACAGCAGCATGGGGATAAACCACCCCCATGATTCAATTACCTCCCACTGGGCCCCCCCATGAAATATGGGGATTATGGGAACTACAATTCAAGATGATATTTGGGTGGGGACACAGCCAAACCATATCAGTAAGACTATATTATACATAAGAATCCTATAATGTTAAGGATCTAATGATAACCTTGCATTTCCAAACAGTAGATCCACAGAAACTATGTCTTTGAGATGTTCATATTTAATGGAAAAATAAATTTCAAATATCTTAACATTTGGAAAATGCTATGATGAAATTAGACAGATTTCTTTACTAAAGGACTTTTCTGGGCTTTTAATATGCTATTTTGTCTTGATAATCCACAGTAAAAGATGATGTATGAATCTTCCTTAAATATATTTCATCTCAAAATTTTTTTAAAAAAATAATCTTTCTGGACTCTTGCTCTGTAGTTTGCAACTTCGCAAATTATGACTTATCTAACTTGCTCATTTGACTGAGACCCAGAAAGTGAAAGGACCCATTCCAGCTTACGTGTCCAGGTTTTTCCAGGGAGGGGATCTGAATGTAAGAGTGTTGACTCTAATTCATTGTTCTTTACAATACATGTTAGATGACAAAAGAAAGTATTGATCTAGTGCATTCTTACCCTGCAAGCATTTCCATTTAATTGAATTTTTTCTTTAAAATGTAAGTATTCACACATTGACATATGAATAACTATAAACTGGTGTATCATATGCTGCCCTCTTCATGTATTTATTGACATAAAATATTTTGGTTTACAACTAGGTTTACACATGTTTGTTAACATATTTATGCATGCCTAAACCAGCTGTAGTTTTGTTAAGATTTCCCTAAATATTATCAGCTGAAGAAAAATTGTACTTATATTGGTGGAAATGATTTACCTAGTTCTATGAACCCATAATATTTTACATTCATATAAGAATTCTTTGGGATTATTTTATAGTGGAATGCACCTTATTTCACTAAAATACTTATTCTCACAACTTTTTCCTATATGATGTTCTAGGTAATTAAACATAGGTTATTAGAGTCTTATCTTGGGCCCACTCAAAGCAGAACTTAAGGAATAAAGGTGAGGAAAAAGAGGAAAGGAGGTAAGCAAAGAGGTGAACATTTTGATGTGATATGCTGTCATGTGGCTGCCACTCTGCAATGAGCTGCAAAGGTTTCTAACCTTTGTTATTTCTACTTTTCTACATTTACCAACATATATTGCTTAATTTGTCAAATTTCTAATTTTTAATAAAATCTCAACATAATCCACTTTATTTCCAAACTCAACTACCAAATTCTCAAGTTTTCTCTGACCTATTGGAAGGGAATTGATTTGATCCTTTTTCTGAAATTTCTAAGTGGCATATTCACATAGATCTTATTTATTTATTATTATTTTTTTTTTTTCTGAGAAAGGGTCTCACTCCATTGCCCAGACTGGAGTGCAGTGGCACGACCTCAGCTTCCTGCAACCTCTTCCTCCTAAGCTCAAGTGATTATCTTGCCTCAGCATTCTGAATAGCCGGGATTACAGGCATGTGCCACCACGCCCAGCTAATTTTTATATTTTTAGTAGAAATAGGGTTTTGTTATGTTGCCCAGGCTGGTCTCGAACTACTGGCCTCAAGTGATCTGCTTACCCTGGCCTCCCAAAGTGCTGGATTACAGACATAAGCCACTATACTCAGCCTGCATATCTCTTGAAACAGTCAGTATATTTTATGTTTTATAACAGGATTTTCTTTGGACCTGTCTGATATTCCTATTAGATTATAGGAGCCCTAATTTGGCAAATATATTCCCTTTTAAAAATCTCTGGATTTCCCACAGCACTTTCCAGAGGGTCTTGCACATTTTCCAGGAAATTTTAAACTCCATTGACATAAGGCAATTGAAGAAAATGCACAAAAGAAAATGTTTTCTTTATAGAAATCTTAAAAAATTGTTGCTGAAAGGAATAAGTTGATGTAGTTAGAAGTACAGTAGGCCTATGTTTCTAGTTTTTGCTCTGATACTAATTAGCTAAGCAACCTTGAGAAAGACATCTTACCTTTGTAGGCCTTCATTTTCTTATCTTTAAAATGAGCTATAGTGTTTTCTATATGAGCTACCACACAGGAATTTTCAAAAGAACAAACACTATCACATAAATATATTTTGGAGGTGGAGAGCACCATATAATTGCAAACACTATCATGAATAGAAAATAAAAGAGTCTTTGAGTAGGCCAGTACTTTGAAAACATTTAGTCCAGTCCTCTTATGTTAGTGATGAGTATACTGGATACTAGAAGGTTACAGAACTTGTTCAAAGTCACAGAATTGGTTGATGCCAGAGCATAGAAAAAAACACAAGAATTAAATCACCCATTTTATTTCTTTTAAAATTCGACTTCCAGCTGTCCAGCTTACCTGATCTCTCCAGATTATTAAATGGTTTCTCTCCTCCCATCCCCAGTGCTCACTTTCTGTGGCTCATGATTAGTCTCCTCCGACTCTTTGAAGAGGTCAGAGTCACTGTCGTTGGCATTTGTGTAAAATCTTTCTACCCTTCCGTGATTCTAGGCTTTTAGGGTTCAACTTTAAACTGATATCCCAGCCGGTTCCCTGGATGGCTGGTCATGCTGGGATCTTCATCTTCTGGTCTGTCTATACTAAACCAAACTGCCTTGAAAATCATAAATGAGTATCTTGACTTTGCTTATTTGATCACCTGACTTTGCACTTTATTTGAGTAAATCTTCCAGACAGATGGTGCCACCCAGCTGTTTGGGCATTTATACAGCACAGATGACTTTTCTGCCCCACAGTCAACAACTGCCCAAGTCAGCTCATGTCCTCAGCCCTTCCCCATTCTCTGGCATATTTTTGGTGAATTATCATTCAGGTACTCCCAGAGATGGAAAATTAGTCCTTTTAATTGCATTCTCACAATCCATGGGATTTTAAGCAGTAAGATTAGGTACAAAGTTTATCAACAAATTCTGGTCTTCTGGTTTCTAGACAAGTTATTCTGGTACATAATACTATCTTTTGTTATTAATTTTCATTAGTGTTATGATTATTATTTTGAAGAACATGAAAAATAGAAATACCTTATTCATTAACCCACAACTCAATTTGTATTTTTCTCATTCAAGGAAAGGATGTTATATTACTTGCCTTTGAATCTCATCAGCTTATTATTTCTTTTGACAGTGAAAAAAGTCAGGAAATCCAAGCACTTTCTGTTGGCAGTAGTCAGATGAAACTCATATATACAAAATGGAATGAAAAACTGTCTGATGAGCTAGACTTGAGGCAGGAGGACAGGCATCATATATCTTATTGTTTTATTTGCCTTCCTTGATCCTCCAATAACTATTCCCAATTTTGCTTTGCATCATCTGTTCTCCCAAAATATACTCCTTAGGCTTTTATATTTATAGGTCCTACTTGCCTTTTCATTCGTTTTATGTTCTTTTTTTCCCCCTTTTCTTTCCTCTCCAATTATTCTATGGAGGTTTTTTATTGACTTTAGCCTTTGATAGCTCTATGTATTTGAAAGTAGCCATTCACCACCTCCTGTGGAGAAGTACCAATAAAGTGCAAAACCATTATCACAAAACTGTTTCTCAAAGTTTTGTCACATCCCAGACAGTTTCATGAAGATATGCTGAAAAGATTTGTTTTGTTTGTTTTTGCTTTAGGGATTGCTAAGGGCAACAGGCAGTCTTGAAAGGGATTGTAAATCATGACTTATTGTGACACATCTTGTTTGTTGCAGGGGGTATTTGCTTTCTTTGGGCCAAAAATTTCAAAATTTTGTTCAAAACTATTTTTCGATGTCCCATGCCATATCAGAAAAATAGTGCATGTTTTCTTGCCTGAAATGGAGAAAACTCTCCAAATTGCTTTTAAATAATGTCCAATCTCAGGCCAATAAGCACTGTATTAAGTAGTAACAGACTGTGAGGAGACAGAGAGAGACAGAGACTCAGAGACAGAGACAGAGATTCTAGAATATGCAAAGACAACAAATTCCAGAAGGCTATTACAAAATGGAAGCAAGAACTAACGTCTGCCAAGGTAGATCATCTGAATACCTGGACTCTCTAAGGAATGCTCATTGTGTTAGGTCTCTTTTTAGGAAACTCTGTGGTGTTGAGATAGGCCACTGGGAGTTCTACTTGCATGATTTTACTCTGACATGGTGGGCCGCTATTCAGGCAGTGTCAACATACTTGCAGTGATGGAAGATGTTTGGGTTTATTCTGAGTGGAAAATGATGTATTTTTGTTTGTTTGTTTGTTTATCTGTACTTTGGAAGTCCTGATTGAGGAGCCTGAAGATATCCACACTGAGCATTGATCTGTGCATCAGTAAGTCTGGATCTAAAGAGGAAGATCCACACTGGAGCACAGGTCTTCTACAATGTAGTCATCGTGCCCTGTGTGGGGGCCACCATGGGATGGGCCCCAAGAACATGGTGTGAACAACAACAGCAAAAATGGTCTTGACCTCAGAGAGTTCAGGTCTACTCTGATGGGAAAGAAAATATTACACAGTGCCCACCTTTCCGATGGAGCTGAAGGAGACGGAGTCAGAGGGACTTAAAACAGTAACAACAACAACAAAGTGACATGGAATCCATGAAAGGGAGTGTGACAGATAAGCAACTTTTCAACTGTATTCGCATTTATAGAGTGTTTTAGGAAGGTAAATATTGAAAGGAACACAACGAAGTAAATGAAATTAGAAATGCACATTTTATTTTGTGAAAATACAATTTTTTGTCTGTACTAGGACTATATCAACCAGAAAGATAGCTCTCCATGAGACATCATGACTCTCTAAAAGATGCTTATTGTACAGATGATGTTTTTCTAAATTTACAGATCTTTTTCACCTTTAGTGTTTATGCCTGGTATACATTTTATCCTATATTATCTTGCACTTTTATCATTCATGAAACATTCAGCAAGTCTTTACTAGCTCGTTGGTGAAAGCAAAATGAATACACATTTCTCCCCATTTGGCAGACATTTTCTGAGGGTGTAAATTTAATAAAGTTATACTGAGAACTTCTTAACTACCTCCTATACACAAGATATGCACACACTGAGAGAATGGTGCAGATGTGTTAATTAGTATACATAGAAAAGTAAATAACAATTCATGGCAATCATTGTATGTAGGCAATCAGTAGGGTTTCTATTAGATTCATTAGTTCTTTCATTCACTCTTCCAATTATTCATTTGAAATATATCTTCACATTTCATTCAAAACCTAAGATTCTCTGATTGTATGATATGATGGCTTCAAATCCACTCACTTGTCTAGGTTTACCTTGAACTCTTCTTTATGATGTGTGTGCTCTCTTTCCAAACAGCCCTAAGAAAAGAGGTCAGAGGACATAATTTCTCTTTCTTCAGAGGCGTATTCTCTGAAACTCCTGGAAGCATGCTATGAAAGCAAGTAATATTCTCTCCATATCTACTTGCTAAAAGAATTAGTGTATATATGCACATAAACATACAAACAGAGATACATAAATACATGTATTTTCTAAATGTGGTGTCAATATCTCATCAATATTCTGTATCTCATCCTGGATTGAGTTACTTATCCCAAGGAGTCTCTTGCTAAACTGTAGAATAAAGTATCACTCAGGGCATTTTGATATATCCAAATTAATGCAGCTATTTTAATGCCACCATTTTTATCCAGGAGGTTGTTTGTAGAATTTTTTTTATTTGGTCCCATTAAAATATGAACTCACTGCATTTCTTTGTTCTTATTTATCAGGGAGGCCACTTAAGAGAAGTCATAATTATCAGCCCATTCTTGATCCTATCTCCAACACAATTCCCATCCCTCGAGTGAGGTAGGCAAATAAATTTTCCCATTGTGCCTTCATTTGTATTTATGCTTATTTCCTGTCTATTCAAAATTCTCCATATTTTCAGTCCAAATTGCAGAAGAAGCTAGTTTGGTTGGCTTATTTAATTACTATTAACTTTACTGAGTAGAGTCATTTATGGCTGAACATGTTATTGTTCATCATGGAAAGTATGGCTTGGTTACCTTTCAATAACAAAAGCATCTGATCCTGATCTAATCAGTGGCCAACTCTGCCTATAGGATACTTCACTACTTATTTCATAAGCATTGGTTTGTGGATAATGCAGGTTCACAAAGAAACAGATATTGGGTATAGCTTGGCTGACCAAAGGTGCTAATTTGCCTACAACAACCCCAGTTTGCATCCGCTGTTTAGCTCTCCCAGCTGTCTAACTCACCTATCCTTCCTCAAGTATTAATGTAGATACAGTGCCCTTTGTGTCATTGGTTGCTATCTTTCTATATGCATAGTTTCAAGGATGTGCCTATCTAAAATGATCAAACCTACACACAATTATTGCCTTCCAATAAGGATGGAATTCAAAGGCATCTCTGGTTACTATATCCACAGAGAATATCACAGGCTCCTTTAAATGCTGTTTGTCTTGGAATCCACAGTCTCCATATGTTGTATATTTTTCCTCTAATTCCATCATAATTCCACCCAGATGTTACCAGATCATCTATAAGCTATGGACTACATAGTAAATTGAGTTACCAATACAGTTAGTGAAGAGAGGATAATTAGAACACATGCAAACACTTATGAACAATGGCAGTAATAACCAGGCACAGATGAAATCTGAAGTCCTTTTTCTACTTCACAACAGTTTAGCAGTTTTTTTGTTGTTGTTGTTGTTGTTTGTCTCTTATTTTCTCTGTGGCATATTCTTATAGTCTTTGGCTTTCACCCAGAACCCCAGTTGGCTATAACTCTTAGTATAATGGTGTGAGACAAACCCCTGGTTGTTCAGAATCCAAGGCCTTTGTGGTCTTGCCTGTGCAATGCAGTGGTAGACTGTTGTTAACTTTTACCACTGACCATGGTCATACAAGAACCATAGCAGAGATTCCCCAAGTCCCAAATTCACCTGCTATGAAAATTCACACCTAAGATGTCTGCATAGCATGATAGCACCTATGATCACTTGTTTCTCTAAAATTACGGAGTTTTGAGATTGTTAATGTGCAGTTTTAGTTTCCAACTTAATGAAATGTAGGTCTTTTCTCTAGGTTGAATGATACTTCTTTTGCCTTTTATAATTGTAGAGGAGAAAAAGTAAAGATTTTGAAATTTATCCATTAAGAATAATCATGAGAGATTAAATCCAACACCTCCAAAGCACGGTGTCAAGATTCAAGTGTTATTGCAGGGAAAAAAAGAGATAATGTTTCAGATTGCAGACCACATCTTAGAAGCAAGTTCATCAGGAAAACCTCAAAAATCCCATTTTAATAAAGACATTTCACTTCTAGAGCAGTCACTATTGCTTGCTAATCCCAATATTCATTTTTCTATCCCAGTTTATCAAAATAATTTAACTTGTATTCAACTACCCACCCCTCAGGGAAGCTAACACTATTCTAAGTTCCTTTTTTTTTTTTTTTTTTTTTTTTTGGACCAGGTCTCACTGTATTACCCAGGCTGGAGTACAGTGGTATGATCACAGCTAACTGCAACTTTGATCGCCTGAGCTCAAACAATCCTACCTCAGTGTCCCAAATAAGCTGGGACCACAGGTGTATGCAACCACATGCGGCTTTTGTAAAAAATTATTATTATGATTATTTGTAGAGATGAGGTCTCACTGTGTTGCCCAGGCTGGTTTCAAACTCCTGTGCTCAAGCAATCCTCTGACCTCGGCCTCCCAAAGTGCTGAGTTTACAAGTGTGAGCCACTGTGCCCAGCCTATCTCAAGTTCTATCTCAAGTGTAGGCTGGTCGCGGTGGCTCATGCCTGCAATCCCAGCACTTTGGGAGGCTGAAGCAGGTGGATCATCTGAGGTCGAGACCAGCCTGGCCAACGTGGTGAAACCTTGTCTCTACTGAAAATACAAAAATTAGCCGGGCGTGGTGGTGGGCGCCTGTAATCCCAGCTGCTCGGGACGCTGAGGCAGAAGAATCGCTTGAACCCGGGAGTCGGAAGTTGCGGTGAGTCAAGACGGCACCATTGCACTCCAGACTGGGAGAGAGAGTGAAAAAAAAAAAGGCTGGGTGAGGTGGCTCACGCCTGTAATCCCAGCCCTTTGGAAGGCTGAGGCGGGCGGATCACGAGGTCAGGAGATCGAGAACATCCTGGCTAACATGGTGAAACCCTGTCTCTACTAAATACAAAAAATTAGCCGGTCATGGTGGCGGGCGCCTGTAGTCCCAGCTACTCGGGAGGCTGAGGCAGGAGAATGGCGTGAACCCAGGAGGCGGATGCTGCAGAGAGCCGAGATCGTGCCACTGCACTCCAGCCTGGGCGACAGAGTGAGACTCAGTCTCAAAAAAAAAAAAAAAAAAAGTCCAAAAACGAAGTGTAGTAATTCCATTACATTTACCAGTAATTGGTTTAAGGGTGAGCATATAACCCAAAAGGTAGCTGTGTTGAAGAGCTTCTGAAAAACAAGAAAAAAACAAATATATACATTAGATATTACTCACTCTGAAGAAAAGCGACAAGAAAGTTACTTCTACTTCTGCTACATGTTGGTTTGTTGCCATCAGATGTATGTAACTTCAGCAGTCCTTTGAAAGTGAGAGGGAGGTAGGGGTTTCACTTAGAGGAAAACCTGGAGGGCAAGCCCCCAGCCCTGCATGGAAAGTGTCTGTCCTACTGGGGAATGAGCCTAAAGTATGGGAAAACTCAGAGGAAGATAAAACTAACTCTCCCTTGGAGAGTTGTAAAATGTCTCAGAGAAGGTTAATGTTTCAAATGCAAATTAAATATTCGTTCATCAAGGACAAGTATGGCAGGAAAAAGTGAATCAAGTAGAAGGAATAGAATATGCAGAGGTGAAGAGGCTTAAAAGAGCATGTCAGAGTAGAGAAAATTTTTCAGTGGAATATTTAGGGTGGAATGAGTCAGAAATAAAGCTAGAAAAGTTGATCAAGACCAGATACTGGGCGTCATATTAGGAATGGCTTTAAAGGGTGTGAAATTTGAATGTAACTGTTGAGGAGCAGTTGAAAGTGCTTCAAGATTATACATATTCAGATTCACTGTTAGAAAATTTCTTGAAAGAATGAATAGGACAATGTAGACTTAGGAAGCAGGGAAAACCATGAGCAGGCAGTTAGAATAGTAAAATAGGAGAAAAGTGAGGGAACTAAAAGAAGAAATTTGTTTCACTTAATTAACTCTTGCCTTTGAGAAAATTTTATGCCCTGCAGCTGATAAAATGCCACGTAGATTTGAAACCTGGTTTCATTTCTGCCAATTTCTATGGCAAGTCTTTTTATAAAATGCTCACAAATATTTAATGTTTTCAACCTAGGATAACTAACAACTCTAATTTTTGATGTTCTTTCTCTCTTCTTAAAGAATAGCATCAATTGTCTTTATGTTGTTTTTCCTCTTTCCTAAATTACATTGAAAACTTCTGCCAAAGGCATAAAATCGTCATTTAAAAAAAAATTCAGTCAGCCCATCTGTTGCAGAAGTGCCACCTTCCCTGAAGACTGCTAACACAATTTTTTCCCTCTCTGGCAGTAAGTGTTTTTCTAAATTGCCCAGTAGAGTCTTTGAGAGAATCTCAAACTCTTCCCCCAACCTTTTTGGTCTCACTCTCTGAAACATAGGGTAAGACTTAGGCTAGGTAGATGGAAAATATTTTTTCATCACATAAATATTTCTTTCAAGTTGGGAATAACTTAGTCTTTTACACTCTCAAAATGTTCATTATATCTTCACTCTCCTGAGCCTTGCATGAACTTTGCTCTCTACATAGCCTATACTAGTAGGCTTTGATTAGCCATAGCACATTAGGCTCAGGCAAGAGGATCCCTGGTCCTGGACCCTGACTTTAGAGAGCACCTTTGCAACCCTCCTGTGGCATGGCAAGTGGTAGGTGTCCATGAAGCTGTACAGATGTGCTCATTTGGAGCCTGTGGCCCTCATTTGGACAATGCTCCAGGTATCCGGGACCTTGAGATTTTTGGCCAAAACAATCCCAGCCTCATTTCCAAACTGTACAGATCTCTTCACTAAGTGTTGCTTCTGAGGAAATGGTCACTGTACTCACCCTTGGGGAAGGGATGACCGTAGGGTAACTGTTTACAACAGACAGAGACTGAGTTTGATGTTCAGACTCTCAGTCTGATTTTCAGACTGCCATGCTCCTAGCACAGAAAACTGAAGAGTTAAGTAATTCTAAATTCAAATGTATTCTTCCAGGTTTTTATGAAGGAATATTCTTTAAAGTAGGAGGATCAAATATAATTTGATAGTTTATTATCTTGGTTTTTTAAAAAAGTAAATATTTAACATATGTTATGTAGGTATCCATTTGTACTATTGCTCCAGGAATCACATGTGGTAAGAAGTAGCAAATGACGAAGTATGATTTTGTGGGTTGTAGACAACTTTCTTGTTCTAAGATGTTCCTCTATAGCTAGTTGCTACAGCTGAAATCCTACCATCATTGTTCCTTGTTCAAACGTAAATTCACCTGAGGTTATCACTTCTGTGGGATTGGCATATCTAAATTCTTTCCGGATGGTAGTTTTAGAGAATATGTTTTAATATGTGGAAGATAGAAAAGCTATGAAAACAGAGATGGCTGTGTAGGTCTGAGAAAGACTCAGGGAAAACCACAGAGAAGAAGGAATGATAAAGGGAACCCACAGAGTAACTAAGAACAATGTGGTGGACTTGCAGAGATGATGGCTCCCAAAGGTGCGTCAAGTTCAGTTACATCAGATCATCATTTCTGACCTTCAGATCCCAAGTGCATTTTGCTTATGTCTTCTGTGGGTCTGGTCCAGGGCTAGTGTTTTTCTCAAATTCATAGCAAAGTGAAACAGATGGGACAGGACTACTGTACCCAATGCCATCTCTGGCACTGGCAGGTTTCACAGTCTTATGAAAACAACTCTCTGCCATAATTTTCTCCTCTCTAGGACAGAGAGAATATTTCCTGACAAATCTTATTCTTGAGGCATTTTTTGTTGGTTTTACCTGTGTTTTTGTTTCTCCCTTTTATTTAGTTTTTTTTTTATTCTTTTTTTTTAACTCAGATAATAATGACTTCGAAGGGGATCCTATAAAATAAAGTGTTTTGTACATAAATATATGAATAGGCTGCTAACGTTGTGTGTGTGGGTAGGAGGATGAGTTTGTGTTGGACTTCTAATCATGGTAAAGGCATTGTGCAACAGGAAACACCACACTAATGGGTTGAGGTTGCTGTAACTGCTGTGGTTTAATACAAGAAGGGGGCCACCTCCACCATTTGTAAGAGAATAGTACACAGAAACAGAATTCAAATAGTTCACCAAAAGCCAAGTCCCTGAAAGTCCTCTGCCAACAAGCTGGAGGTTGGATAGAACTCTGAGGTAATGGATGGTTCCAGGACCATTGGAAAATCAGAGTAGACTTTTGGGGTGAAATTTTCTTTAGTGGTTAGATACAGAATGTTACCTAGAAGGTGCAAAAACACCTAAAAGTGTGTCTTATCAAATTCAAGATTATTCTAAAATCAGATATTAATTCAAATGATTATTATAATAAAATTATGATTGAATGTTTACTGTATACATAATGTGAGATGGCACATATTGAGGGCTTACCATATGCCAGGCTTGTATTACATAAAACATTACCTCTTTTTAGTTCCACAGCAATTCCCCAAGAGTTAGGTAAAATTTTTATTCTCATGTATCAGTAAGGATCAGGCAGGAAAACAGATTCCATGACAGAGATCTTGAAATGCTTTGAGGAACTGGAGTTAGTGGTAATGCCTGAATGAGTGATAAGTGGCTGGGAAGCTGTTTGGAAAGGTGCCAGCAAAGCAAACTGTTACAGGAAAGGATCCTGATCCAGACCCCTAAAGGGTTCTTGGATCTCATGCAAGAAATAATTCAGGGCAAGTCCATAGAGTAAAGTGAAACCAAGTTTATTAAGAAATAAAGGAATAAAAGAATGGCTACTCCATAGACAGAACAGCCCTGAGAGCTGCTGGGTGCCCATTTTTATGGTTATTTCTTGATTATATGCTAAACAAGGATAGATTATTTATGCTTTTCCTTTTTAGACCCTATAGGGTAACTACCTGGTGTTGCCGTGGCATTTATAAAATGTCATGGTGCTAATGGAAGGGCCAGATGTCACTCTCGTCACCATCTTGGTTTTGGCGGGTTGTGGACAGCTTCTTTACTGTAAACTGTTTTATCAGCAAGGTCTTTAGGACCTGTATTTTGTGCTTACTTTCTATTTCATCCTGTGACTTAGAATGCCTTAACCATCTGGGAATGCAGCCGAGTGAGTTTCAGCCTGATTTTATCCAGCTCCTATTCAAGATGGAGTTGCTCTGGTTCACATGCCTCTGACAATACTACCAAAGACAAAGTTTGTTGTTTCAGTTCCAACCATGAGTTATATATTCAATGAAAATAAAAACAAAAACATTGAGCACCTTATATGTATCAGAGCCTCTACAGAAGGTCAGTGTGTTAGTCTGTTCTCATGCTACTAATAAAGACATACCCAAGACTGGGTAATTCATAAAGAAAAAGAGGTTTGTTGGACTCACAGTTCCACATGGTTGGGAGGCCTCACAATCACTGCAGAAGGCAAAGGAGGAGCAAAATCATGCCTTACATGGTGGCAGACAAGACAGAGCTTGTGTAGGGGAACTCCCCTTTATAAAATCATCAGCTCTCATGAAACTTATTCACTACTATGAGAACAGTATGGGGGAAACCACCCCCATGATTCAATTATCCCCACCTGGTCCTGCCCTTGACAGGTGGGAATTATTACTTTTTAAGGTGAGATTTGGATGGGGTCACAACCAAACGATATCAGTCAAAATATGAATAAACACAATTCACATTTCTTATGAGAGAGGCAGATATTAAAATATAAATTCAAATTTGGTGTGATAGTTGTTCAATAGCAGCATGCGCAATATCAAGGGAAGGTCTAAGTAACTCAGCACATGGGGATAGGGAATAACTTTACTGCAGAGGCAACGATGTGTCTACATTTTAAGGGGCATAGGATAATAGCCACATATCTTAAAAGAAATTTAACAGAAATGATTGGCAGAGTAAGCCACACAAAACAACAAGCTTTTATAATACCTAACTAAAACAGAAAAGGGTAACTTACATTAGGAAATGATTAGATACGAATTAAACTGTTGTACATATCTAACTGGCAAACTAACTTTTTAGCAGAATAAGATATTATTTTTGAGTCTATCAGATACAGTATTTTATGAACCAAACTATCTCAAACTTAAAAAGAAAAAAAATTAAGACTTAGATGCAAAGAAATCTTGATTGCTTTCCTCCAACTACCCCTTGAATGTCCTTCTTCTTGTCTTCACAACCCACTTCTCTCATATTACACAACCCCAAGCAAGGTGATACAATTCCAAGACAAATACATTCTCCCAAGCACTGAATAATACTTAATATTTCTCCTCAGGTGATAGGGAAAAAATGGGGTGCTTCTTGTCACCATTCAGATCTTAATAGTTAGGGAAGCTATATATACTCTGAAAAGACAAATGAGTTCAAAATAACATCTGAAAATAGCCAGAAGTTAAGAAGTTCCATAATAGGAAGCTGTAAAGTGCTACCCAAACAGATGAACAAGAGAAATCAAGCAGAGAGAAGCAGAAAGGCTGCTGATTACTTTGCTCTAATATAAATCATTCTGTTTGGGGCTTTGTTGGTATTACAGTCCCTAGAGTATGTGCTGTGCTGGGAACCTCTGGTAGCATCTGATTAGAAAGGTGCAGTTGTCAGTGCATTTCTACTCTTTGGAAATGTGAAGTGATGAAATATCAAAGTCAATATTTTTGCCAATCTTCCCTGCCCTTTGCAAATCTTGCATCTCTCCAGGGGCCTGAAATCTGCTGGTCCTGGAGCGGATCCATGTGTGACTGCCAACAAAGCCTCTCCAAGGAGAGGCTGAGTGTTTGATTCCACATTGGGCAGACAAACACACTCCGCTGTGTTCTCCCCAGTGAGTGGAGAAAACTCCAAAGGCAGACACAGTGATGGAGTAAAAGATTCTGCAGCAATGAACCAAAAGGCTCTGTTGTGATTTTATTTACCTATTTTGTTTTTTCTCTCTGTTTTTTAATAAAAATATTTAATATAAAATGGCTATGTTTTGAAGAAAATGATAAAAAATTAATATGGAGCTTGGAGCAATGTGGTAGAGGAAATTCTGCAAAATCCAGTGGAGTACAATTTGCTCCTGCTAATACCACTTTTAGTGGAGTCTTGTTCCTTTCATTTCTTTCTAAATAATTATGATAAAGCCTGGCTATCCTACCAGTACCTTTGACTAGATACACCCTCATACAATATTGAGTTGTCTTTTACTGATTTATTTCTCTTTTTATTTTTCTATCATCACTATCTCTTCAATGTTTACTTGTTTCCTATATATTTTAAATATTAACCATTTGTAGAAATGTCAAGGTGATTACCATTTTCTGCACTATAAGGCTTCTCACATGACCTGGAAAGAGGTTGTACCTATGCTCTAGAAATCTAGCTGTCTAGAGTAGTTCAGATCTACTTTGAGTCCAGGCGTGACAACGAGGAGTAAACTGCACGATTATCGTTCAAGAATTTTGTCAAGTGTACATGTTCTCAGGACAAAGCCCTGGGATTCTGATTCTGTATGAGTGTTTTGGAGCTCAGGAATCTGATTTTTGACATGTACTCTTAAGTGATACTGATATAAGTGATCACTAGGTCATAAATCAAGATGTTGGTCTAGAGTATCATGTCCAAATTCCTTAGTGAGTCATCCAAGCTTCCTCACCATTGGCTGTCGAATGCATGGTTAGTTCTCACAATTTCAAAGTACTCCAAGGGTATTCAGAATCATTTTCCCACTCTCTCTTTCTTCCCTATGCCCTCTTTACTTTCCTCACTTTACATTATATTACATGGTATAGAGTTTAGAACTCAGCTTTATTATCAGGCATTCTTTAGAGTCAGAAAATCTTCCCTCTGCAGCTTCACAACCTTAGTTTCATAATCACATGCAAGCCAATTTACACTTCTGTTCTCAGTTTCTTCATTTACAAAATGGAGATCATTCAGGTTGTCATATGAATTTAGGGCTAACTTCATGGGTGTGCAAGCTGTGCAGTCACATAGAACCCCAAACTTACAAGGGCTGACACCTAATTTAATGGTCTACTCTTGGTGTCTTCAGGCTCACAGTAATTTTTAAGACAGGAATCTTGCATTTTAATTTTGCTCTGCTCCTTGCAAAAAAATGGATTTGGTCTTGTTTGTGTTAAAAAAAAGATAATTTGGTAACACTGAATTTTCATGGATGCATAGATGTTATTCTTTTTATTATTCTTGCACATCTTCCTATTCTAACTTAAAACAGCTGGAGTCAGCTCTGCTTTGAAATGTTGGTTTATGAATGGTGGAGGAAATATTCAAACCAAGGTCTCCAATATAACCAAGGGGCAGATTTAGCTTTTCTGAGGCGAGCATCCCCATTTATCTGTGGTTCAAGTCCTCAGGCCCAGAGGCAAGGCTTCTGACTAGTCCCTGCCTTCAGAATGAGTTTCTTATATCAGCCATTGAACTAATAATTATTTATATCTGCTTTGAGACTGTCAGTAAAATTTATTTCCATAACTTCTAAAATCAAAATAAATGTAAAGTCTTTAACCCAAATTAGCAAATACAGGATTATACAAACACAGAAACCAGACATTAAAAAAAATTTCCAACTTTCCCTTTTGAAAAATCAATTATCCACATTTATAGGAACACCTAGTATTATTGTCTAAAATGTTGAACCTGAATTCAATAAGTATTCCATGTATAACTCTTAGTTTACTGGAAACATTTGGGACAGAGGAACAAATTCAACAAGAGAAAGGTTTTATAAAATAGATTTAAAAAATGTAACAACTCAATGTAATTACTGATCTAGGTTGGAGCTTGATAAGCAAACCATCAGGACATTGTGATTGACAGAATAGTATTCATATAGGGCTTAAAAAGGTAGACATATAGGCCAGGTGTGATGGCTCACACCTGTAATCCCAGCACTTTCGGAGGCCAAGGCAGGCGGATCATGAGGTCAGGAGACTGAGACCATCCTGGCTAACATGGTGAAACCCCGTCTCTACTAAAAATACAAAAAATTAGCTGGGCGTGGTGGCAGGCACCTGTAGTCCCAGCTACTCGGGAGGCTGAGGCAGGAGAATGGCGTGAACCCAAAGGCAGAGCTTGCAGTGAGCTGAGATTGTGCCACTGCACTCCAGCATGGGTGACAGAGTGAGATTCCATCTCAAAAAAAAAAAAAAAAAAAAAAAAAAAAGATGGACATACAGATCAACAAGAACCAAACTGGGAGTCCAGAAGTAGACCAACACATATATGGTAAGATGTATTTGTGACAGAACTGACAGAGTAATTCCGTAGGAAAATGATATATTTTTCAACAAATGGTGCTAGAACATTGGATATCTGTAAGAAAGAAAGTAAACCTTAACTCCTACCTCATATGGTATACAACTTCTCTTAAAATGGATAAAAGTTATAAAGGTAAAAGTTAAAGGTATAAAATTTATCAAATTAAACATAAGATAAAATTATATAACCATTTGAATAGGCAAAGATATCTTAGAAAACAAAACCACGACCATTAAAAAAAAATGAATAAATTGGACTTCATTCAAATTAAATACTTCTGTTTTTTGAATAATTCAATTATTTAAAATGAAACAACAAGCTGTAGAATTGTATCAGTAACACTCTTGAACCTCAAAATCAGAAGACAAACCCGTAAAAATTTGGGCAAAAGATGTGTGAACACATACTTTACAAGAGAAGATGTATGGATGGCAAATAAGCACTGATCTCATCATCATTAGTCATTAGAGAAGGGTGCAAATTAAAACAACCATGGGATGCCACTAGACAGCCACTAGAATTGCTAAAATTAAAAAGATTGGCTATAGGATGGCCAGAGTGTGAACCAAATAGATCTTCCATATTTGTTGGTGGGAATGTAAAACAGCACAACCAATTAGAAAATTAAGCAATTTTCCAGAAAGTCAAATATACACACAGTATATGACCTAGAAATTTCACTCTTAGGTATCTACCTAAAAGAAATTTTAAAAAATCTCCAAACAAAATTTGTTCTCAAATGTTTCTAACAATTTTTATTTATAATTAACTCCCAACACAAATGTTCTTCAACAGGTAAACAGATAAACAAAATGTTGTCATCCATATAATGGAATACTGCACAACAAACCACTGATACATGAAACGGTATGGCTGTATTTTTAAAACATCAAACTGGCTGGACACGGTGGCTCATGCCTGTAATCCCAGCACTTTGGGAGGCCGAGGAGGGTGGATCATGAGGTCAGGTCACCAGCCTGACCAACATAGTGACACCCCGTCTCTACTAAAAATAAAAAAATACAAAAAATTAGCTGGTTGTGGTGGGGTGTGCCTATAATCCCAGCTAATTAGGAGGCTGAGGCAGGAGAATCACTTGAACTGGGTATGCAGAGGTTGCAGTGAGCCAAGATTGTACCATTGCACTCCAGCCTGGGCAACAGAGTGACTCTGTCTTAAAAAAAAAAATCATACTAACTTAATGCAGATATAAAAATGTATGTACTATTTGATTATAGTATATAAAATTATAGAAAATGCAAACAGACTATAATTGGATCAGTATTTGCCTGATGCCAGGTGTCCAGGAAGAAAGATTGAATGAATTTTAAGGTGTGCAAGACAAATTTGGGGTTAATGGAAATGCTCTAAAATTTAATTGTGATGGTAGGTAAATATATGTGTACAGTTGTGAAAATTCACCAAAATGTACATTTAAAATGGGTGCATTTTATTGTATCTACATTTTGTTTTAATTAATTTAACATGGATTTCACGTAGTTGAGGAGTGTAATTCAAATTAATTGAATTAGCTGTTTATTACTACAAATCAAATTTTTAATGTAAAGCATATATTGTGCCAATTCAATATTTTACTCAGGCATGACTTTATGATAGTGACATTAAGGGAAGTTTGAAGCCATTTATAAATATAATCAACAACAAGGATTTGGTAAGGTTTAAGGCTAGGGCATTGTACAATAATTTTTTCTTTGGAAGTCAGAGGTGTGTGTGTGTGCATATCTGTGTGTGCATGTGTGTGTCTGTATACATGTTTTTGTGTGTATACATTTCTCTACTAAGTGTTTTTAGAGTTGGGTAATGGAAGGCGGATGTGAGATTTACAAAATAGAACAGGCCTAGTGTTAAGAAATACAGTGACAAAAAATGCACATATGCTCCACCAATTGAAGATTAATTTGAATTAAGGAGCACAATTTGAAGATACCAATTGTACCCATCTGCAACCATTCAGACTGTATTATCAAATATAACTAATGGAATTAAAGCTTGGATGTTATATGACTTAGCAAATGAAAATTCCCATCAGGAAAGTGGTTAATTCTATAACCTTGGTTTTTGATGGGGAGTGCAGATATGAATAAAATGATACAAACTTTAAAACTGAGAATTTCTTGTTAGTGAAGGAGAAAAAGACCCATAGACAGTAGTAGAGGAAACTGGAGCATAAACTTGTGGGTGTTTAGCTTTGCTGATTAATAATTTCTCTTACATACTCATACCTTTCTATTTAATTGATCTCTAACTAATTTTTCTTAAAGTGTGCTTTGCACAGCACCTGCAGAGAATCACATGCATGTTAAAATTGGGATTTAAGAGATGCCTCCAAACACACTGAACTAAAATATTTGTGAGTTTTCTATTGGAGGGACAACAAACACCCAGGTTAATTAATCTGTGGGTACCCTGAAGTTTGAAAACTTCAGTTAAGTTTGCATCTATTTAAATACCGATTGGATTTTGTAAAGTTCTGTAGCCTACATTATAAAAGTAAGCTCCTAGTTTTGGTCATTTAATTCATCCCATTTTCTATAAAAGAAGTGTGAAAAAGAGCTGAAGGAACCCCGTGAAGAACACCTGAGGAGCCCATACAGTTAGAGAATGATATTATAATTGTCTAATCTTGAGGCATGAAGTGGCCCCAGAAAAGCGGTCACAAGAAGAATTATGGTTCTTAAAATTGCAAAACAATATGAATGGGAAATGAGGTTTATAACATGCATATAACATATACATATATGTCTATATGTTCATTAAAATTTTTTTAAAGTGTCCAACTATTACTTACTGAACACTATTATTGGTTTATTGGTTAACTCATTCCTCACTTCAGCAATTCCTCATATATTTACTGCCTACTCTGAGATTAGTATTCTGAGGGATTAAAAAATGCTATAGCCAATGGAGGTTATTTTCCACTGAATGAGAACAGACAAATATACATCTCTTAAAAACAATTTAAGTTATACCTAAAACTCTACGGAACGCTATATAAATATTACACAAATAGAGAAGAGATGAGTGGAGGTCAAAATACTGGATAAGAAAGTTTCATAGGGATGATAAGAAGATAAGAGATGACCTGTTCTTTAAGTTGATTTAAGGTTGAATAGAATTCAAACCAGGCTGTTTGTCATGGCTGTCACTTGGGAAGGGATGATATGAGCAAGTCATACACTGCAGGATAGGGTACTTCCTCAGTGAGCTTAGAGGGGTGAAGGTGGCATATCTCAAAGAGTCAGCATATTGGGGTGAAAATAGGACATGAAGCTTAACTGCCAAACATTTGAATTTATTGGGGACATAAGTCATATACATCCCCAACACTGGTGAATAGTCAGTGGTCACTTAAAGAAGGAAGAAAATCATGTTGGGGGATAATCCTGAAATTAACAAGAGTGGGACTGAGCCTAGAAGAATGAGTAACTTATGTGAGTGGGAGGGGGGTATCCTACCAAAAAACTAGTGGATTAAAAAAGAGATATTTAAATATTTAAATAAACCAATTATTGAAGATTAATACGTTAAATAAACCAATTCTTGAATATATTGGCAGGACCCCTACCATAAGGTATCCTGGTGGTCATATTGAGGAATTTTTATTGATCTGGAAAGCCTAAAGAATCCCTGAAGGTTTTTATCAGAGAACAAATGCAACAGATTATGGCGAAAAAAAATTCTTGCTGCATGGTGAGAAGTAAATCAAAGAAGCACAAGGGTGGGTAACTAGGCCAGTTACAAAACTAATGTGGCATCCTAATTCATTTCGGAAATGGCAGCGAATTCTCTAGAGTGGGAATGAATATGGGGTGGGGGCTGAGATGTAGGAATGCAGACGAGTAACAGGAAGCAGCAGCAGGAATGAGCAGCATTTGCTATCGGACCCTCACCACTCACCCATCCCCAGACTCACAGAATCCCCATTCCTTCCTTTCTCTTTTGATAGGGGAGTACCAGAATATAAAAAAGCAAATATTCTCCTTTGTTTCTTAATTTGTTGTATTCTTAATTACCTGGTGCCCATGTGTATGCTTAAGAGTGTGTGTGTGTGTGCATGCGTGTGTGTGTGTGTGTGGTGTGGGGTGTGTGTGTGTGTGTGCGCCTGTGACTCTGTGTCTATGAAAGAGAGAGAGAGAGAGAGGTGGGTTGGGGTATGGGATAAGGATGCTTGTTCCAAATACAGGGGCGTTTTCTTGGACCAGTGTAATATCTTGTTGGCTAAATGGAGATGCCTGTCATCCTTCATTAATAAAAATTAACTGTAAATCTCCCTGCTTCCCACAGGAGGGCCTTTTAAACATTCCATCAGGGGCCTGTGGAGGACGTCTGGCGGCGAGTCAATCAAGAAGCAGCATGAACTGGCAGTAGAATCTACGAGGAATTTTAAAATATACATTTATATATACATGCATATACTCTTTTTTTTCGATCTGCCATTCCTAGGCAGACTTCCTCTGAATTAGCTTCCGTGGTCTCTCCACAGACAGTTGTTTTTCCCACTCTCCCACCCCAGCCCCTTATGCTTCCCTCACCACCCTAGCACCCCCACCCTCCGCCGCCCCCCTAGTGCTGGAGACCTGTGCAATATCATTTTCCGCATAATGAAATCCGGAGTGACATTAATATAAGTGTAATTTTATAGAAGGGAATGGCCCTGGCTGATGGTTTCTACCTGCTGTGTTTTGATGATAGACATCGGGATGTCACCATCTGTGTAATGAAATTTCACCTCCGTAATGGTTCAGACTATCAACCGTTCTTCCAAGCTGGCTCTGGGAATCTATTTATTTATTTATTTACGTATTTATTTATCTGCAAACGGGTGCTGTAGGCCTGTTTATCATAGAAAGTATGGGTGAAAAGAGGATTAAGTGCATTAAGGAAAGTAAAGGAGAAGTGGATGTAAACATTGGCTATTGCCCCATAAATACATTGATCGTGAGGTGAAGTTACAATGCCCAGTCCTGCAAATGAGTTTTTTCTTCTACATTAACCTACATAGTTCTCTAATTGGGACAGATACTGATGAGTTAATTTCAGATAAGTGTAAAATTAAGGTAAGTAACATATATGGAAAGCCTATTATGTGAATGTGTAGAAATTATCTCATTTAACTTCCAAATAATGTTGTCAGGATGCAATGACTTAGCAGGTATAAAGTTCCAGAAGACAAATACAAGACAAATGTGTAATACTCAGCAAAAGGTAGGCACTCTTACTCACTTAAGCAAAAAGTGAGACTCAGAGAGGATAATTAACTCGGAGATGAAACACAATTTAACCCAGAACCGTCTTCCTCATAAATTCATGCTCTTTTCATTACCCCAAGCTGCCTCCTAGGCACTGAGGCCAAATTGGGGTTGGTGAATTGGATTCAGCAGGGAAAATTTCAGATATGTCCAAATGCCCAAATATGGCTGTATAATTTCAAGTTGGAATATCAACTATTTGTGTCTCCAGTTGCCAGCAATGACCTAGATTTTGTTTGTTTTCTATTTCTCTAATGCTTAGCTGTGACAATGGCATTAAAAAGATAAAGGAGACAGGAGAGAGGATAAATATTGATATGTAATTATTTCAGTTAGATTGCAAACTGCTTATTCCATTACATAACAAGTCCATTTGTTTATGAATAGTTAGAACTACACTTCATATGATATCCAGGAACAAAATACACGTTTTTGATAATTTTTGAATATTATGGCTGATTATAGCTCCTACTCATTTTTTAAATAAAACTGCTAGTAGTATTATTTCATAACTATTCAGTGTTTTACTCTTTTCAATTCTGATTTTTTATTTTTAAACTAAAAAAAAAAAAAAAACCTAGGTTTCAAATTTCTGTCTCAACTCTTTTCATTAGTGAGATTATTTAACTTTGAGGTATGCCACAAGTAATAGATAATAATAATAGCTATATAATCACATTTTTAAATTATTTATCTTTGTTGTAAATATGTTTGAGCAGATTCAAGATTATAATGTAATTTTTGATAATTGAAAACTCTCATATGATTTCTTCATATCAGTAGAAAAGAAAGGAATAGAATTACTATTGTTTGCCACATAAAATTCAAAGTCTCTGTACTTGTATCATGGCTTGCAGAACCCACCTGAAATTTACATGAGTTCTCGGCCAAGTGTGATGGCTCACACCTGTATTCCTAGCACTTTGGGTGGCTGAGGCGGGAGGATCACTTGAGGTTAGGAGTTTGAAACCCACCTGGCCAACATGGCGAAACCCCGTCTCTACTAAAAATACAAACAAATTAGCTGGGTGTGGTGGTGCACGCCTGTAGTCCCAGCTACTTGGGAGGCTGAGGTAAGAGAATTGCTTGAACCCAGGAGGTGGAGGTTGCAGTGAGCCAAGATCGTGCCACTGCACTCCAGCCTAGGCAACAAAATGAGACTCTGTCAAAAAAACAAACAAAAAAAAAGAATGAAAAAATAGAAGAAATTTACATGAGTCCTGACAAAAGCTTGAGAATTCAGGATCTACTTGGGTAAGTGTAGTTGGCATTCCAGCCTCTTCTGAATAATGTGTGATTTTCCCATCTTCTTTCTTTCACCCCTTCTGCATAGTCACTCTTCGTGTTAACTTGGTTTATATCTCATTCTGTGTATTTGTCTCATATCTCCCAGTTCTATTAGAACCTCCCCAAAATGAGGAGCTAATTTTACTCATCTTTATTTCTTACAACACCTGGCATAATGCACTGAAAAATTAGGGACTCAATTTACATGTGTTCAATCACCCTCCTTTAACCAGCATTAAAGCTTGAACATCATTCCTGGTTCTTCAGTTCTCCTGCATGGAGTCTTGAGCCTTTCTTCATCACCTCAGTCAGAAGACTCTGTGATTGGAGATTCCAAGAGATCATCCTCGATCACCATTTTATGCGGGCAGAGCAAAGAATAAAAATGCTTAATACCTGGACAGATGGCCCAAGAGTCATTGGAGTGTGAAGCTGGCAATGTTTCCTTCGTAGTGAGCACATGCTTATCCACTTTAGAATAAACAAACCCAGTGGTATAGGTTTGTTTATCAACAGGAGGTAAGGATAGAGGTGGGGGACAAGTTTATTTTCTTGACAACTTCCATCTGCATCTTGGGCCAAAACCCCTGCTAACTCAAGATTAGAATACTTCCCTTAAAAATGTGTTTACAGTGACCAGAAACCTTTGCATTGATGAGAGACCAGAGCTTGGGGTACCTATCCCAGTTAATGCAGCCCCCTAATAATTTCACCTATATCTAGGGGCATCTACAGCCTCTAAAATCCCACCTTACACTTTACCTTATTCCATGCAATCTCCTCTCCAATTAAACCGAACTTCACCCAGTTTGATCTAACCATTAAAACACGGATGACAATCCTTTGCATTGAACGAGATGAGCTTATCCTAGTCAATGTTTGTTGAGCGAAGCCCAAATCTCACTCACCACCTTTTGTCTGTTTTCAATTTCTGCCAAACCCCTCACTTTTCCCTTTTGGGAAGATGTCATTATCTAAGACTCATTAAGAGAAATTATTCACCATAATGACTACAATTGTTACATGTACTGAGCTTCTAACCCTGAAAATTCAAGTTCAAACGTTCCTACATACACATACTGAAACACACACCACCCACACATACAAAATCTATTCTTTATTTCTGGTCACATTTTGTTGAATGCCCCTCCAGGGTATTAAAGCTTCTTCTGTTGCATTGACACTTACTCTCTCTTTCCAGATTAGAGGTGGAACATGAACAGTTCAAATGCAGTCCAATCTCCACACATTGGGTCTGGAGTAACATCAGCAAGATAATTACATATAAAAGTTGAGCTTCAATTAATTGGGAGTTCTAGGCCTATAAACTAAGGTTTAGGAAATTTGCCTTTGCTAGAGCTTTTGAAGAGCAAGAGGAAGGAATCAAGGTAACTCAGGAAAACTTAGAAGCAGGAAGAGCCAGTGGCCATAAATGGTATGAACAGATGGGCTTCTAAGGGGCAAGAGGTCTTGTGTTTCAGTGTAAGTGAGAGGCCAGTAATCAAGGTCCTATCCTACAACAGTGAAAGTGAGGAAAAGAGATCAGAGCTGGGATCTCATTAATTTTCTGTGAAGTTTGTAACAAGGGCATGTTGTCGCAGGTCTCAAATCTGTGATAGTTTTCCAGGTTTATGCAAACTGTGTTAGCTATAGGAATGATCTAGTCCCTTTTCCTACTGCTCTAAGTCTATAATTCAGGCAGAAGGATGCAGTCATGTGCAGCATGTTCTTCTGTTCTCATCGCTTTATTCTGTATGGAATCTGCTCAGTGGGCCCCTTTGGTGACGTTTTTTCTATTTTACAGAGGAAAGCCAGGAACCTAGTTATAACCTGACGGCATGACTTCTATATACCGGGACAGGGGTGGGGAGGGGGAAGAAAAAATCTCACATTCAACTGTAAAATGAAATAAAAAGGTAATAGCACATATATTGTTGAAATTGCATCCTATATTTTAAAATTTTGATTAAAAAACTTAAAGATTTAAAACTCTACCTTATCTAGCCTGTATTCAAGGGAAGTTGTCTGACATTAGCAAGGTTGTAGACAATGTAAGTGTCTCAATAGACGTTACTCAGAGCTCCAAAATCATCCTTCCAAACTTTTAGAACTGCAGAGCTTCTCATGCTGAAATTGCCTAGGGATCTCAAAGGCCTTCTCTGGCAACCCAGAACACAGAAATAAATGGATGAGATTTAGAGGAGTTAGCAAATCATAGCCTATAGGCCCAATCTAGCCCATCGCCTGCTTTTGTTAATGAAATATTACTGTTATGTATTGTCTATGGCTCTTTTTGTGCTATGTTTGCAGAGTTGAGGAGTTGTGATGTGGCCTGCAGTGCTTAAATTATTTGCTATTTGGCCCTCAACAAAAAAAAAAAGTTTGTTAACCCCCACATTAGAGAATATGAACATTAGAAAGTGTCATGTAAGCATCCTTTAAGTGACTATACAAATAGGGACAAACAACTAACAAAACAAATAAAATGCCATGTATATTATTTTATAAGTAGCTGATAAAAATCTTAACTCATATGACAAATAACGTGACATTTATCCTGAAGAAGAAGAGAGAAAGAAGGGGACACTAAAGTCTTATTTTCAAGATAGTCCATCATAATGGAATTTTTGATATCATTTGTCCCAGTTTATAGAAGTAAAAGAAAATGCAACTTAATTCAAAAACAGAAATTGGAACTTTCTTTTAAAGGAATGAGTAAGTGTTAAAATAAAAACACGCCTCATTCCCTAGTTAGAAATTATTTCCAAATCAGGTAATTTTCTTTATGAGGCATCCCAAACCCATTTACTTTTCTCCATCCCCAATGCCCACCTTGGCTCAAACCATCACTGTCTCCCAAATGAATTATTAGATTCATAACTGGTTTTGTCTATTCACATCAATTCTCTACAATGCTGTCAGAGTGTTTCTTCTACAGACAGACTTGATTATGCTTAAAACTGTTAAAAGCCTTCATACTGCGGGGAGGACAGAGCTTAGACCTCTTACTCTGGCCTATAAGGATGTCTCTCATCTTTCCTTCTCCATTTCAAATCATTGGTCTCAACTCTTGACCTCTTGTGCTTCCCACCATAAAAGTAATTAATTGCTCTTTCATCAATGGCTAAACTCTCAACATCCTCCCAGCTTTTGCCTTTACCTGTTCCTCTTCCTAGACTTTCTTTCCCCACCCCTGTCCCAATCTTCAAATAGCAAGACTGAGCTAGATAGGTATCTTCCCTTAAATCTTACCAATGGAAGCACACTCCATTTACTATCCTACTGTATTAATTGGTTACTTTTCTCTGTCCCCAAATAAGTAGAATCAGCTTCAGAACAGAGGTCATGGTTTCTTTATTTTTCTATCATTAGAGTTTAACATGCCTGGTACAATTTTGAAGCTCAATAAACTGTCTCAAATAACACAGTAAATGAATAAATAAATGGATGAAAAGAAGGATGAGAGAAAAAGACGAAGAAAGAGAAAAAGAACAAATTTATGCCCTCTTGCCCAAGAAGAATATAAAAATACAGTTGGTTTGGGGGGCATGAGGATGGGATCAGAGGCACATGCTACTGTAAGATGCAAGTGTATTTTCAGAGAAAATAAATTATAGTGTGTTTCTTGTATAGCAAACTGTAAACCTATCACCTCCTGCTGTAAATCTGACCCTCCATGGAATAAATCTGTCCTGTAATCTCAGTGTTTTTCATAAAATAGCATTCCATTCTTTAAAAGAGTAAAATGATCTAATCTGCAGTTCCAAAACTTCACTTTTCAAAAAAAAAGAAAGGATTATTGAAATTTATAGATTTGGCCATGGCAAAATGGCATTTATATTTTTCAGAGTTAAAATGAAATAAAATATATAACTTGTTGGGTTTTGCTTTCATGACAAATAGGCACTGACAAATACATACCACATTACCATCCTTGATTGCTCTGATGGAACTCATTTTCATCTTGTGTTCCTCTAATTACATGAAAATTGCATACTTTTTATGCATGACACATTTTGCACAGCTTTAGCAAAAGGTTGTGATGAAAAGGAGAAAAAAAAAATTTATCAGTTTTTCCCCTTTCACAGCAGCAATTGATCACCTTCCCAGCAATCAGTCTTGCTTTATGGGCCTACTTTTCTCCACTATTGTTGTAACCAAGTGGCAGCAGAAGGGCCTGTATACAAGAAAATATGGTGGGGACTTTTAGGTCCTTTTCTCTACTCTTAATAGATGAGATTTAGGATGCCCTTGCTTTCCGATGGTTGTTGCTGAGTTTTCTTTGCTTTCTACATCCCTGTCTGCCTGGATTTGAAGCTTTCACCTTAGAAAGACTGATAGGACTCCTGTATAAGAATCTCATCTCACCCCTTATTTCTCATTCATTCAAACTACTTTACATTTATAGCAAATATTTAAAATTGTAAAGCACTTTCCCACATTTTTTTTTTTACATTTTAACTCCACAATTAAATGTAATATATTTAGGGAAGGCAATTTTAATCTACCTTTTTAAAATGAAGAATGATTACATGACTTGTGGTTTACCTAAGTTGATGTGATTTATTTATTTTAAATCTTGAAGCTGACTCAGAAGTCCTGGCCTCCTGTTCCAGCTTTTCCCAGTGTTTGACTTCTCTTTACTGAAGACCTCGGGAAAGAGTTTTTCTGCTACCTATCCCTAAAATGCATACAAAGAATACATCAATAACAAATACCCGAGCAAATTACAGGCAATCAATTGGGTGTTTCTTTTCTCATTCTTTATTTCTATTCTTTCTGAGAAAGAAGGCATTGGCATTCAGAGGAAGCTCAGCGTCATTGTATTTAACTCGAAAGGGATTGTAGAAGGCACATCTCATTCCTTGAAAATAATGACAAATTATGCAATTTTTGTTTTACCCAACTAGATTGAAAACGCCTGGGGAATAGCCAAGCTGCCTGGCAAAGGGAGGCATTTGATGTTCAGGCTTTGGAGCTCAGGGAACGACATTGCTTTTTAAACAGGTGCGGGCTCCTAACGCTGCGCTTGCTTCCCTTTTTTGGACAGGCACAGCACCTGACCAACTTCGGGAGAACAAAGCCTCCATCTGGACCAAAGGGAAAGAGAGCTGGTCGCCTGTGGAGCAGCAAAGAACAAGGCTTTGCTTCCCTTTGAAGAGCTGGCGTTCTTGTTAATCACCTGGCAAAGTCTTAATTTAAAGAGGGACTCTTAGAGAAGGGGAGAATCCCAAGTATATTTGACTTTCATATCTACCTACCTTTCATCAGCTTTATTAAAATTGGTGATGTCTCATGTATTAATTGTGAACCCCATTTGTATCTGAATATGAAGTATTGCCTTGAGGTCCTCTGTCATTGCTCTCTGGTCCTGGGATGTACTCACATTGCTGCCTTCTCCGTGGAGTAATTATTTCTGGGGATAAATACTGTAGTGTCAGGCACACTGGATTACAACTGTTGCAGGGTAAACACAAGGGGACTTCAGGTTTTTAGAATGCCTAATTAGACGACAGTAAATGCACTGTGCAATGACTGAAAAATACAAGCCTGGGAAGTATTGCATTTTCACCATTGCAGGCTACGTGCATTGACACATTTCATATATTTATTCTTACGAAATAAATATCATAAAGGAATTATCTTGTCCTGTTAGAAAGACATCTCAAATATTCACTTTGGATAAATATATGAATCCACAAAGCCATAGTCTTGGGAGGGGAGGTCAGCCCCATCTCATGTGTGGAATATGTCAATGATTCCTCTGTATGTATCTCACCCAGCTTCCACAGTGGAGTGCTATTAACAATCAGAGGGTAAGGGATTTCTTGATGTTATACTTGATACTTGGTGTTGGATGCAGCCAAATGCAGGAAATACAAAAAAACTAGGGTACTTCTGGCCATAAAAGGGTTTGTAATCTATGCGAGAAAAATAAAATCATCTGTGAACGTTATTGCGAAAAATAGAATTAAGCATTAAAACAAAATCAATGAGAAATAAGAGTAAGAGAGTTTTAGTCAAAGAAATAAGTAACAGGGTCCATGGAATGGCAGTTTAAGATAAACCTTACAGCTTGTATGGAGTTAGAAAAGGAAGGATACAGATGATGTGTTTTTAGTTTTGATTACTTCAAAGAGAAAAGACATACAGTATGCAAGAATAAACCAGCAGAAATTCTAGTGGGGATGTTCACCATGTGATAGTCGAGTTTTGAAATGATCCCTGGATAAATGGAGACTTGACTTTAGTCAGTTATCAGATTAGAAATTAAAGATGAAGTTTGGCTTTTGATGAGAGGAGTGTGTGTATGCGTACACACCCATGCACGCATGTGTGCATACATTCAGAAAACCCCTTGCTGTCTCCTTGTCTCATGCTACAGATTTCCATGAGGTGCCACACCCAGATACAACCCATTGACATGTGATCTATACTCCAAAATATCCCTCTCTTTCTTCATCATGGCAAGCTTTCACTTTCTAGCCTGTTTCTAGCTGTCAGGCTACGGGAGTGACCAACAAAATGATCTGACACCAAGTTGTGTATGTGTAACTGCTGTAACACATGCTACTTCTTCCAAACTGCATATATTTGCAAAGGGTATGCCTAACCCGAGGAGCCAGGGGAATACCTCTCCAAGGGGCAGATAACTGAGGAGTTTGAGAACAGGAGGACATCTGAGTGTCCCTCAGTTTCCTCCAGATAAGTTGCTGCCTACTCACTGAAATGTATCCTAGGACAGGAAAGGGCTTGCTCTGTAGGCCTGCAGACAGTCCCAGGCCTATAAACAATGGAGCTTGTCATATTGGGGGTTGGAAGTGAAAAGATAGAGAGGTGGTGCTAGCAAAATCCCATTTAGAGAATTATTTATTATTCTAGTTTGTAGTTTATGCTTACAGTATCTGTAATAAATAAACATGCTCCAGAAGAAGCACAACTTAACAAGGAGTAGATGAGACTGAATGTGACAACTCCAGCCCTGTACAAGAGGCAGTGGCCCATTAAATGAATGTTCACAGCTACTTCTTAATGCTCTCCCTCAGTAATCAATTTCTGAAAATACCAAATAATTTTGAAACAGCCCTTTCTGACCTCATTCTCCAGTGATGCTGGACCAGCCCTTGCTGATTTGCCTACCTAGTTTTTAATCAATCAGATTTGACATTTGTGTTGTTTTGTTTCTCTCCTTTGCCTACCCCTACACCTTTTCTCTTTCCCTGGCAATATTAAATGGTAGCTGCCCTTTCTCAAGGTTAGGGTCCAAAATGTAGCTTAATATTTATAGATTTGGGCATCTTTGGAAATAGCAGCAGACGAATCTAAATGCCATTGCAAGGGGCTAGAACATTCTGATGCTGCACTAGGATTTGCTTTCTGTTCAGATAAAAAGACCCAAGATGCCCAGAGCCTGAACACAGACAGAACTTGAGAAAGAAATGCTGTCAGCCTGAAATATCTCCTATCAGACTTTTAAACAGGGTCTGATTCAGACAAAAGGGTTAAAAAAATCCAATTTGAGTCTTCTTTCTCTTTTTTGACTGATTAGATTATCCAGGTCATCCATAAAAAAAGTCTCCAATTTCCCAGTGTGTAAGAGATAATATCTGTGAAAGGGTTTTTAGAGAATCGACTTTTTAAATATACACTGTATAAAATAACCCTCCTATTTATTTGTTCATTTTTTTCTTTGAAATCTCAATTCCCTCTTCTTGTTTTTCCCCTCCTCTCGCATCCTTTTAGCTTCTTTCCTGCTCTTCCTTTCTCTTGTCATCATTCTTATTTTGAATATAATTATAGTTGTTAAGATGTATCTTAGTAAGGGTGGAATATTGGGGATGTGAGAAAGGGAGTCACCATAGAAGGTCATTGGAGTTCACGATTTTATATAGGGGGAAAGGAGAAAGAAAGGTTAAGAAGATCAAATGAAGATTAGTGAGATTAGAAGTGATGCTCCATTAAAAAAATTAAAAAGCTTTAGATAAGAGAAGAAATTGTTTTGACAGATGAGAAGATCACAATCCATACAAAAAAAAAAGTTTAGATTCTCAGGAAGCAAGTTGATAGTTACTGAAAAATTAACTGTGATGATGGGGAATATACTCAAGAAGTAGATGGTTGTCAAACTATGGATCACACAAAAGTTTAAAATTTTAAATTTTAAATTTTTTAGAAAAACATGGGCCAGGATCTTTGCCTATAAGATACACAATCTTAACAAGTTTTAGAGGTCAATAGTTTAACAAACTAATAGCAAAAGATATAGGTGTAAATCAGTGACCTGGAAGACTTTCTGGTAAGGGTATGTCTAAAATGGCTGCTAGAATAAGACAATGCTATTAATATGAATTATGTCAAATAACAAATACGCTAGGCAGTTAGTAGAAGGGAAGAAATCAAATGTGGTCCATATAAAGAATTGACCAAATAAGGAACTAAAACTGTAACTATACTGTAGCATAGATCAACAAGTATAGTCAATATGGGAAAAGTCCAGCTGCCTGCATGTTATTGCATAGTTCTTGAGCTAATTGTTTCAACATTTTTAAATCGTTACAAAATAATCAAAAGAAGAATACTATTCTATGACACTTATAATGTATATAAAATTCAAATTTCAGTGTCCATTAAAAAAGTTTAATTGGAACACAGCCAAGCTTACTTTTTTTGTCTGTAGCTGCTTTCATGCTATATAAAAGGGTTTAATTGTTGCAACAGAGACCATATGGCCTGTACAGCCTAAAATATTTACTATCTAGCTCTTTACAGAAAAGCTTTCAATTCTTGATCTGTAGGCTCTGATTTTGGGAAAATTGGGTTCTTGTCCATATATTTAATTCAATTAAACAGATATTAATTGAATGTCTACTACTTTCAGTGATGTGTTCTGTAATACGTGAAATTACATTGTAAATGTCTGTTCCTTTGGGATTTCTTTGATAAGCAAAATTGGTATGAGAATCTACCATAAGCCCGGTATAAAGATTGAAATAAAGAGGTCATTTTAGTCAATTAAGACTCTGTGTGAGTTTTTCTGGCTCAAAAAAATACTAATAAAAAGGAAAGGTTATTCTAAAAGGAGATCACACCATGAGTTTTGGACAACAGGTATCAGAAAACACATGTCCTAGAAACAAGTATCTGTTTAATAGTCCCAGAACATGGCTGTGTGCAAGTAAGAAGTAGCAGAATCAAGGTTAAAAAGAAACATTAATTTGGCTGAATTATTAAGTCCCTTCATGTGATGTTAAGAATTTAGATTTTTCCCCTGATAAGAGATCATGAATTTTTGACCTCAGATTGATTGTAAAGAAGAGTGAGTTTGAGATATATTTCAGAGATAGAATCAGTGAACCAACTAAATATTGGAGTGAGGAGACAGAAATGGGGAGGTTTCTGGATGTGTTGCCTGCATGAACAAGGGCCTTCCTAAGGTGATGATGAAGGAGGTAGTAAGAGAATGGGGAGGCTGAGGTCTGAAAGTAGGTTTGAGTGGCCTGTGGGAAATTCATGGGCACAGATTTAAGCACAGGGAAAAGATATCTCCAAGTGGATAAGAAGAGTTGAAAACGATCATTATAAGCCAGGAGCCGAAGGCCTGGGATAAGTGGGATATCCAGGGAGGGCAAATCAAACAGAAAGCAAGGGGGACGGGGAGCATGATTAGGACGATAATACTCTTTAAGAGTTATCAAATGGATATAATATCAAATCCTCCTAAGCCTCCTTCAGACTTAAGACCTTATAGAACTGAGAGCTAGATTGCACACTGAGTGCATGAGGAAAAGGGAAAAGAGCTTATAAAGGGCTGCATGGATCTCAACAAACACGACTCCGATCACAGTCATGGTTTTTGAGAGAGTCCTCCCTGTGCCCTTGATTCCTAATTACGAGCCTAATTTCCTATGGTTAAAAAGGAAATAGAAATAATTTTAAAAACTTTCAAAAAGCAGGGTGACTCTGTGGCCCTCTGCTTCTGGGACAGCAACCTCTCCTCCATCCCCAATTAGTTACATTGTCATTTCTTGATTTCTCACCCTTTTCAGAGGCTGATCATATTTTGTTTTCTACCATCTCCCTTTATTTCTTCCTTTGCCAGTTGCTAAGCACTCCCTTGTTGCTAAGTGGGATATGAGCACTTAATTTACTCCATTCTTTTTTCTCATACCAGATTTTAGAAATTGCAGATCCTGTTTAATCAATGTGTAAATGCAATGCTTTTGATGTATTTTTCCTAAGAGCAATATTTTGATCATTCTTAATGATACTTAATGAAGTCACCGCATGATTTCTGATTGTACCTAATTGAAGCTTGTGACTTGCATTTAAATATTATCATCTTACAGCTTTAGGTCTATGAGATGAAAATTTTCCAGGGCCCAAAAATATTAGAAAACATAAAGAATTGATGTTTTATTTTAAATTAAAAATTATTCTAAAATATTTTTATTTGTATGCTAATGCACATATATGAAATTAAGTGAAAACTGAAGCAAATTTTCCAAAATGTGTTTTGTATGTTGATGATAATGGGAGAAACCTCTTTGATGAACTTATTTAACCACTAGTTTAATCTTACAATGGAATCTAAAAAGCCTTAATATTAATACTTTTATACAGATCCTACATTGAACTATATATGGTATCCAAGTGCAAACAAAGCCTGGCTCTTGGAGGAGGTAATACCTTGGAAATTTATTTTTTCTTGAATCCTCTTCTACAGACCTAATCTCAGTGATTTAGTGCCTAAAAACCATAGTGCCAAAATTTTAACTGGATCCAAACTGTCTCATTCTTTTGATTTTGCTTCCCTTTCATCGAGATTTGTCCATCATGGGCCCCAATCCCCCAGGGTCCTTTTCTTTGCTACAAGACAGTGGGTAGTAATGATTTAATCAGAGACAATAACCCCTGCTAATATGTTAACTAGCTAATATATGAACCCTCCTAGGATAACACATTAGCCTTGACCCAGATCAGAAAGGAAAAGAGAAAAAAAAAAAAAAGAACTCTAGCTCCACTAGAAACCCTGAAGGAATAATGCCATTACAGAGACTTAACCCCATAGGAAGCCAGTGGGGGAACTACTTAAGGGAAGCTTTTAACATTCTCCGGTATCATGTGGCAGTCTTTATGTTGAGTCAATGGTGGAAATAAATAGTAACTGTGATGCTGACAGAAATCAATTTCACTAGTTAATTTTAATACCTCTCTCAGGGATTTCCATGAAGAATCATAAAGCACACCCAAAGCATAGATTTTGCGTATCTTTATAAGAGGAAAGAAGGCACCAAAGTCAAGGGGGGGGAATACTTTTATCATCCACATCACTTTCATTTCTTCTTAATGCTTTTTCTAAATATTAAGTGTTTATAAAGATATCTCTAATAAAATATTTGTTTTTGGAGTCACCTATATTGGTATTTCTTTCTATTTTATAAATAAGAAAGTCAAGACCCAGATGATTTAAATTAAATAAGGCGCAAAGTTTAGTAGACATGAAAGCTGAGACTCAAATCTAAGACTTTTAGTTCTAAGTCTGGGTCATCTCTCTATCTACCCAGGTATCTACCACCCTATTCCTCAGAGAGCTTGGGAAATGTCAGGTGTAACCAATACACACATGGAATCGTACTAGCACGACGGACCTGACTTCTGGGTCACTGAGCCCTATCCTTACCTCCATCTAGCTTCTGACTTCCCAACTCCCTAGAGAAAAACATTAAATCTATTGAAGCAGAAGGAGTCCAAAAGATAACAGTAAATGTGTTTTCCAATAGACATATTATCCTAAAGGCTGTTAGTTACTACAGTATGACTACTATAGTAGTACTGCTAGGAGTAGTACTAACCATGGTATAATCAGTGTAAGCTTGATCATTACTTGGACATGTATTTGAGGATTAAGTTAAGATTCTACTGAAAAAGATGCATTCCAACTGTCATACTGTCTCAACTATAGACGACTTGAGACAAATAATCCATTTGTGGCTTGAAAAACACCAGTATAAGACAGCAACCTTTCATCAAGGTTCTTAAAATATAAATATGGAAACAACATACAACAGAGTCTATTATGAACCAAAGCAAACTCTAATAGACATAGTAAGAATTCAGACAAGGAAGGGAACATTGCTACATATGAAGCATTGTGCTAAGTTATTTGCATGGATTATCTTGTTTAATCTTTTAACACAGCTAGGAAACAGAAAACATTATCATTCTCATTTTACAAGTGAAGAAACTGACATGGAATGGTAGGTAAATGGCTCAAGTCACACTGAGAGTAAGTAAGTGGTCAAGACAAGATTGAAATCCAGGCATCTACCTTTTGAACACAAACTGCATTCAGCCTCCTTGGCCTTGGTTCACACTCACACATATTAAGAGCTGGAATACAACTGGGAAGGCACAAAGTGGGACACTTTAAAAAAAAACTTACATTCTACTCTGGGGAAGTGATACAACATGGCTTAAATTACAGTAGAATTAGAAGTTCTCCTACTTCTTGAGCTGTCATATACAAAGACTTTATTAACTGGTCATTACTAACTTTGAAGCAATTCTCTGATGTGCTATATTGGTTAATATTTTTCTCAACTCTGTGGATAATAAAAAGTGTCTCAAACTTTAATATGCATCATCTGGAGACTTTGTTAAATAGCATACATATTCATATTTGTTAAATAGTGTATGCACTCATACATACTTCTGAGTATCTACTCAGAAGTTCTGGGCTGAGGACCTAAGAGTATGCATTTCTTACAAGTTTCCTGGTGATTCTGACATTGCTGATCCACGATCCACTTTTTAAGTATCTGGGATGTAGATTATATATTTATCTAACAGGCAAATGATAAAAAGCTGTTAGAAAATAAATACTTGAACCATTTCAATTACTAAACTTTGAATGGATTAACTAAAATTTGAGAACATTATGATTATTGGCAATAAAGTGCCTTAACTGGAAAGATAACACTTAATTAAGAAGAATATATAAGGGAGCATTCAGTTGGTTAAAAAAACACAAATAAAAAAATTGATGCCAACCGATTAATTAGCTCTCTCAAAGCCTCTGAGCTGTGAATGGTCAAGCCAGAATATAAACGCATTTAGATCTGGCTCCAGTGTTAATTATACTGACTGTGCATACTGTCTCTGAAAGGATGCAGATTAGAGTATGTATACACGCTTCATTTTAGGACACAAAAGGTTATTTGAACGAGCTTACAGCCTGTGAGGGAAGAAAGGCAATACGATGCCCAGAAAAAAAAAATCTAAAATATTAATTCTGTTGAGTCCTTGCACTCATACTTATCAGGCTACACTTGCAGTTTTGTACTTACCAATGGGTCACACTTTAGGTATGATATTGACAACATAAAATATGTTCAAATGAAATAAAGAGTCGTTTTTTAAAAGTCTTAGAAATATGTCAAGAGAGCTATTGAAAGAAGCAGTGATATTTAGAGTGAAGGAGAACATACCGAGGGATGATGTTGGTTAGTGAGAGATAGTAAAGAAGGAGTGGGATTGTTCTGTGCAAGTTCTGAGAACACCATTAGGACTAATAAATGGAAGTTGTAGCAAAACAATTTGTCAGCTAAATATAAAATATCAGCATTGGTAACATTCAACTGGAGGCCCACTGAATATCTTCAAGTAATCATACAGTTGAGATTCCAGTCCTGTGTGAGAGGTAAGAGTGGATGGCTTATGAAGATCCATCTCTAAGTCTTTGTGTGTAAATACTGTGAACTTAGAAATCACGTGATAAAGTCTTTTTGCAATATAGTACTCAAGAAGCAGCTTAGCTAACAGAATAAATTAAAAGGGGATTTTATTATTTAGTTACAGGTTGAAGGATATTAAAGGAAATCTAATTTATGACTCACTGAAAAATTGTATAAATTGCTTCCTCCTCTCTCTATTTCTGTTGTATAGCTGTTTAAAATAACCCACATGCTCTAAACCATAGAAATTTCCGCTTCAGATTAGCTACATATGGCATTTGTTTTCTCTCTCTCCTTCTCCCTCCTTTAAGCAAGAAGGAGAAAAACAGGAAAGAGAATCTGTTTTTGAGAAAGTAAAAAAAAGATTTGTTAGGTAGATTGAAGGGAGAAGCAGGTAACAGTTTCTCACTCCTCACCCCTGAGTCCAGGGTTGGAAGATTCAGAAAGTCTTTGCTCTGGTTCACTCTGGTCAAAGTCCAGCTTGGACTTCAGCATGCATATATTTATAGGGAGGAATGTATTGTAGCAGATATTAGAAGAAGGAGTATCAGGGAAAGCTGGCTTACTTCCTCTCAGTTATGTAACAGAAATACAATTATCACTAAAGAAATGGAAGTGCCATTCCCTTCAATTCTACCAATTTACACACTGTTGGGAAAAAAGAATAGCAATCTAAAATCTTGTAACTGCCAAATTGCCTTCCTTTCTTTAAGGATCTAACTCACTTCCTTAAAGAAATTATCATCATTTGATGACCATGGAATTTCTCCCTGGCTATATATAAAATAGAATCTGCAGAGTTGGTAACAGTTTAAAAAAATCAATCAATACTTCAGTCAATTTGCTGAGCGCTGACTATGTACTCGGTCACTTATTTAGTGTTCTGAGAGGATATGAGAGAGAAAAGATCTGGCCTTCAGAGGGCTGTGTTTTGAGTTCAATACTAGCTAGTAGTCAAATTCTCTTTCTAAATTTTGAATGTGTTTACATTTCTGTGTATGTTTGTGTGTGCTTATATCTTATATGCTAGTGTGTTTATGTATGTGGAATGGTGTTAATCTGCCAAAAGCAGAACCATACGTAGGTTTGTTGTTATTAACAATTTGGGACAAGACATCAGTTAAAGAGCTTGCATTAGAGGCACTAATTCTGGGAATTTATTTGTCTGTTTATCAAGAAGTTTCTACTGTTTTCTGTAAGTATAATAATGCCTAGTAAGCTGTTGCAGATTTCCACATCATATGCAACTAGACGGTAATATACCAATGTGTGGCTCTCAGCAGAAGTTGGAGTAGTTAGTTAGTGTCTTTTGTAATGGCTCTATTGATAATGGCTAATACACTATCACCGAATCATCGTAGAAACCGTGATAGATACACCTACTGTATACATAATGCTTATTGAATACTGCATACTGTTAGGAAAATGGCTCATAAAAATCCTCAATGTCTTTTTTGTCCTCTCCTCTTTTTCTGTTTCTCCTTCTGTGTTTGCTCAGTGTCACTGTGCTATGTAAATAACTGCACTGGGGTATGCGATGGATGAATGAGCATATGGATAGATATCCCTGTCATTTTTGTTGATAGTTCTAGAGACAATTCCCTTGAACAATGAAAAGTATAAGTTTAGATGGTCCAATGAACAAAAACTGTGTGCCAAATTTAAAAGAGAAATGAAGACAGTAGAAAATATATAATATTTCTAAGGCCTCATTTATTAGGCTCTGTGAGACAGCTTATGATGTAATAGAGGATACTGGTTTGGGGAGTTAGAACACCTGAGTTCTTGTCCTGATGGCTACTGACTACTGGTGTAACCTTGGGCAAGTCACTTATATATTCTGAATTTTGAAATGTGCATGTGTGAGTGTGTGTGTGTTGTGGGTGGGGATTGTGGTTAGTGTCTAAATCCACTTCTGGTTTTCACATTTTTTTGTTTTAGCAATTGATTCCATCAGAAAATTATTCAGCAAGCATTTATTTACTTTCTTTAAAAAAGTTGTGTCCACCTGTGAGGTGGCTCACGTCTGTAATCCCAGCACTTTGGGAGGCCAAGGGGGGGGCAGATCACCTGAGGTCAGGAGTTCAAGACCAGCCTGACCAACATGGAGAAACCGCATTTCTACTAAAAATACAAAATTAGCTGGGTGTGGTGGCACATGCCTGTAATCCCAGCTACCCAGGGGGATGGGGCAAGTGAATTTCTTGAACCAGGGAGGTGTAGGTTGTGGTGAGCTGAGATCATGCCATTGCACTCAGTCTTGGCAACAAGAGTGAAACTCCATCTCAAAGAAAAAAGGTTGTGTCCTTTAATGTGTAGAGAATATAAAAAGGTAAAGGGCATTGTCCTTTCCTCACTTTAAATCTAATTCATCAGAAAAAAATATACAAATCTAGAAATCAGAAAATATATAGCTAAAGGCTTGTTCATGAATTCAGATCATATAATGAGTAAACAAGAGGTTACAGAGAGCAATGGATGTGGTAGGATAATTTGTGAAAAGCAGTTGATGGGTATAATTCAGCTATGTAGTCTCACCTCTCCACAGAGTAATTCTCTGTCTTCCTTCCATACCATGTACTCTGCTCACCTGAACACCTGACCTGATACTAATCATTTATGCTTTGTCATGGGGGATAGAAACCTAGTCTTATTTTAAAGTCTGAAAGTTTAGACATTAGCAAAGGATTACAATTGACATGGGAGCAACAAACACTGAAACTCTAAGAATCACACCATGGAATCAACAAGCTATCCTTTTTATCATCACAATTGTTGCTATTAGAAAATAACTTTCTTGGTTGCAAAATTATCGGTATAAAATTAGGTCCTGTCCAGATTTCAGTTCTCTCCCAGGTAGAATTGCTTATAAGCACAGACTTCTAACTTAGAGATTTTATCTGTCATGCGGCAGAGTTCCAGAAGGCTGGTCCTATTATACCAGCAACATTATGAGGCTTTCAACATAGCTTTAGTAGACAGATTTTGGTTCCCTTTTGGTCAGAGTCTGGT
Organism: Homo sapiens; assembly: GCF_000001405.40. Lineage (NCBI taxonomy): Eukaryota > Metazoa > Chordata > Mammalia > Primates > Hominidae > Homo > Homo sapiens. Next base: position 40,030,466 of record NC_000018.10, on the reverse strand, counting down.
GGAAGCTCTCTCTCAGGACCTGCCAGAACAGTAGGCAACTGTGGAAGCAGCAGCAATTAGTTAATAAAACTGTATTGTTCCTGACAGCTTTTACACATCTATTTTCTTCTGCTGACTAAGAAGGTCACCCAAATTCTATCTTTTCCAGCATCTTATTTTTGACTGGATCAAGAAAGAGCAGTGACAAACTCTACAGAGGTGCCACAGTGGAATTTTTAAGATTAATTAGAATCTTTGTTTTTGCTAGGGAATCTCATAAGCAGAAGAAAGAGGTTAAGTACAAGAAAGAATCTGACATTAATTCAAATTTAAGTCTTGGCTCCTACAGTGACTAGCTGTGTGATCTTGCAGAAGTTATTTATATTTTCTACATCTCAATTTATTTATTGGTAGTAATAATGAAACTTATCTAATAGGGTTGTTATGAGAATTTAAAAGGTCTATTTAAATAATTTATCACAGTGCCAAAATAGCAGTAAACATTTGTGGTTGTGGTGGTTGTAATCTTTCTTGAGACTAGAGAATGATGGATTAAAAACCAAGCTTCTGTATACAGAAGGAAAGACACTACAAAGTACTTGTCTGGTGGCTACTCCTCAACCTTCTTTGTTTTTGTAAAAATCACAACATAATGGCCTTCCTGAGACATGGGCATCTTAAGAGAAACCAAGGAAAGGGAAACCCAAGAAAGCTAGGAAATCATTGCAAAAGGTCTAGGAATTCATATTTAGGATAAGCAGAGACTATAGGTTGAGCAAATTATAGATATAGATACAGATAGATAAACAGATGATAATGTACTAGATGTATTGCATGCATATAGTACTCAATGTAGTAAAGTATATGATTAATAAAATATAAATTTATTTTGCTAGTAACTGAATTATGCTAAACATGCTATAAATCAGGAGAGACAAACAAACACCCACTATTCTGTGGAGGCTCAGAAAAATACGGGACATGCAAAAAACATCCCTGCAATGGACTTTCTGGAAACTTCTGCTAAAGGCAAATAACCAAGTGGCCTTTATGAAGGTCCCCTACTGGACTGGGTTCTCCTTGTCATTGAAGAAGATTTTGGAGGGACGAAAAGATATGATTACAACTGAGATAAGCACCAAATATATAAAGTTGGCTCCATGAAGATCCTCACCATTATTAACCCAACACCTAAGCTACCTAATGTCTATGTTTGCCAGAGAATTAAAAACAAAGAAAATGAGAAGAAGCTGTTGTTGTGTTTTTTTGACTGTACAGATACTTTTTGCTTGTTCTGCTGACATACAATATTAGTAAATAAAAAGAAGAATATGACTCCTTGATCCTCATTCCTACACAAATAGTGCAAAAAGGAAACTTGAAGGATATGACTAGACTAAAAGAAACAGCATACAATATTATGACCTTTTGCATAGAATCAAAATTTTGTGGCAAAATTTTACTGTCTAAAACCCTGAGGCAGAAGACTAGAGCTAACTCCAATAAATGGAACAATTAGAGGGGTAAATTATTTTTTCAATATATGTTGCACTGGTCTGAATTAAGTGGTAAGTTTTCTGTTCTTGAAGGTATTAAAACTGCGACGTGCTGGGAATATTGGAAAAAAACATACCCTATTCTAAAAGAACCTTGGCTGGATGACCATTTAATTCTGGTTTTCACGTATTTTTGTTTCGGTGCATTGATTCCATCAGAAAGTTGGAAAAAAAGGATTGAAAAGGAGTCCTGAGGAAACACTTGATTTTTCCGTTCACCTTGGATTGATCTTAGTAGGAAATTTTATGATTAGTGTTCAGTGCAGGCAACATGAAGCATAGAGCTGGTGCAATAACCAAAAATATAATTCTGTTCTTAAGAAAAAATATCAGATCCAATTGCTTCCTTTTTGGCCTGACTTATTTAGATCAGTTGATCAGCTCGAATTTACCAAGTGTTAGTTTGAGATCCCCCTTGGGAGAATGTAGGCTTTTATAAACCCTTTTGTGGAAGAGTGTGAGCACTGAGCATGGTGAGACATAGGGCTAGGGGTCTTGCAAATGTCCTTCAAGCCATGTTGAATCTGCCTATCCTGCTTCTAGTTTCTCCAAGTCCCTGAAGCCCTGCTGTTTCTCACTGACCACAGAGGTCACAGCAAGGGCCCTACCCACATATAAATTACGGTAAATTATACTCCTATTAGATTGGTCCTTTCTCCCCAGAGCAATAATTTTCAATAGCAGCAGTATAGGGCATCTCTGAGAGCATTTTGGAAATTTGGCTTGTTGGGGTTAGGGGTTGCATTTGTGTTTGGAGGATGCTACTGAAATGTAATGGGTTGGAAACAAAGAAACCAATCTATTGCCATGAATGAAAAATCTCACATGAAAAAAATTATCCCAAGCCCCATCCAACTTCTCAATGACTCACCAGTCTTTCACATATGTAAGCCTAGACTCTACATCTGTTTTGTACATAGAGTTAGTTGTAATATATGCTGGCTTTTCTGTAAATGCAACAGTCATGTATACCAAAGGAAGACCTTTTTTTTCAGAACTTTATCAAAATGTTTTGTTATTTCAGTAAATAATGTCACTGGTGACAATACCACTCCTGGTATTTTGACTATCAATCTCACCTGCTATATTATTCTGATTTGTAGTTCATGGAGATTTCCTGTTTAGGTGAGAGCATCCAACTACTTCATCGTGTTTCCTGGTATAGCACTGCCTATGCATTTAGATATTGAAATGTGTGTTTTCCTATGATATATAATTTTTTATTTTTTTCTAAATCTTAAAGTTAAGATGTTACATTTCTTTTAAAAATCTGTATGTTTGGCAGGGCACGGTGGCTCATGCCTGTAATCCTAGCACTTTGGGAGGCCAAGGTGGGCGGATCACAAGGTCAGGAGTTCGAGAGAATCCTGACCAACATGGCGAAATCCCGTCTCTACTCAAAATACAAAAAATTAGCTGGGCGTGGTGGCACGTGCCTGTAATCCCAGCTACTCAGGAGGCTGAGGCAGGGGAATTGCTTGAATCTGGGAGGCAGAGGTTGCAGTGAGCCGAAATTGCGGCACTCCAGCCTGGGCCACAGAGCAAGACCCCGTCTCAAAAAAAAAAAATCTGTACGTTTATAAGTTATGTTATTCATTAATTTCATTTCAGGATACTACACTAGCAATACTAGTATTGTACAGGAGGCATTTGTAGCTGTTAGCATTGAGAATAAATGCTCTAAAGAATTTCCTGTTCCAGGGCAGGCACGGTGGCTCACGCCTGTAATCCCAGCACTTTGGGAGGCAGAGGCAGTTGGATCACAAGGTCAGGAGTTCAAGACCAGCCTGGCCAATGTGGTGAAACCCCGTCTCTACTAAAAATACAAAAAAAAATTAGCCGGGTGTGGTGATGCGTGCCTGTAGTCCCAGCTACTCGGGAGGCTGAGGCAGGAGAATGGCATGAACCAGGGAGTCAGTGCTTGCAGTGAGCGGAGATCGTGCCACTGCACTCCAGCCTGGGCGACAGAGCAAGACTCAGTCTCAAAAAAAAAAGAAAAAAAAAAAAGAAAAAAGAATTTCCTGTTCCAGGTATAAGGCTTTCTCCAGTCTTCCAAACATCTAACTTCTAAACTTCTAGATCTATGATGACGAAATTTATGATCCTTATCCTTAGGAAACAAATCCATGGAACATCTGGTTATACTAATACCCTGCCAAAATGATTTTTCCAATTTGTTTATGTACTTCTTGGAAAATTATATGAGTTAATCATATGGGAAAACATATGATGTAGTCAGGCTGAAGTACATTCCTTACCTACCATCCCTTACGTATGAATCAATATACGCATTTGGTGTCATGTTATGCCTGAGTCCCAACTATTTTAAAGTGTCAGCTTCAGATGGATCAAATTTATTATTGGTGAATAGAAAACAACAATTCTGAAGTAAGAAAAAATGGTTCAGAACCGGAATTGAAGCACCAACTAAACTACTTCTTCCATAATTCTGGCAAGGTTCAATTTAGTGGTTAGTTAATTAATTGAAAAGGAAGAGACAGAGGAGGGAAAAAATGAAAAAAATAAAAGAAAACCTCCATCCATGTTGAAATGTAAATTGCACAAAAGTATTTGGTGCCCCCAGCAATGAAAAGCCTGTGGCAGGCCATGTATGTACGTACGCTCTCCTCTTTGAATTGTGCATGACGTGGCTGGCAAGAACATCTACTTTTAGTATCCGTTTCTCATGGCTAATATTAATTTTTTTTCTTTTATACCTTTAAAAATTGTTTCTCTCCCACTTTTTAAGTCTTTGTCTCTGTTTTTGTCTTCCCCTCTCTTTCTTCACACACAGACACACCACAGATATGCACACATTTTTACTTTTCTTTTTTTTTTTTTTTTTTTTGAGATGGAGATTTGTACCTTGTACTGTGCCCACGATGGAGTGCAATGGGATGATCGTGGCTCACTGCAACTTCCACCTCCTGGGTTCAAGCGATTCTCCTGCCTCAGCCTCCCGAGTAGCTAGGATTACAGACGTGTGCCACCACACCTGGCTAATTTTGTATTTTTAGGAGAGACGAGGTTTTACCATGTTGGTCAGGCTGGTCTCAAACACCTGACCTCAGGTGATCCACCCACCTCGACTTCCCAAAGTGCTGGGATTATAGGCATGAGCCACTGCGCCGGATACATTTTTACCTTTAATCAAGGCTCAATCGAGGCTTTTCCTTGAGAAGATTTTGGGACACCTTTCATATGCCTTGACTACTCTGTGTCTCTTCTAATTGTTCTTATGCATGCCATGAAGCCATATTCAATTTTCATCTCTCCTCTCTAGCATATTAACTCAACTTAACAATCAGTAGATATTAACTGAGCATCCAAGCTATAAAATATTCCACCATATGCTCTAGAACACTTCTTTGCTTAAAGACATTATATTTAATTTGGATAGACCAGAACACATATAAGTATAGTAAATCGATTTCCCTGGTTATCAGGAACTTTCACAGATTTTCCCTCCATAGAGCCTCAAAATTGTAAAGTAGGACATATTATCATTATTATCTTCACTTACAAGTTAATACAATGAAGCTCAGAAAGGTTAAATGAGGTTCCTGAGGGTGATGAATAATCAGCTCAATCTCTTGTCAGTTGATTCTTAGGTTTAAGTTAGTTCTGCTGTTGATGCTACTTCCTAGAAAATAATAAACAACAATAAAATCATTCCCCAAAGTATTATATAATTACGGTCCCTCTAGGGAATCATCAGTGAATATCCTTAAGAGTTCATAGAGGAGAGACAACCACTGTAAGTGTGATAGGTCAGGGGAAACCTGCTAAGCCTAATGGAAACGAACAAAGCATCCACTTCAAATACACAGGGCAGAGGAAGTTTTCAAACGGAAGGGAGTATAATAAAAAAAACTGAGGCAAGAATACATGAGACTTACTTGAGGAAAAGAGGATATCTAATGTCAATTGAGTCCTTAGTATGCCTAGGCACTGTTCCAAACGCTTTACCTGAAATTATTTATTGACTCCTCCCAGTACAATCACATTTTCGCAGATAATGATCTAAGAAACAATAACTTGTTCAATGCCTCACAGCAGAGGAAGGGTTTGAATTCCGAAGTCTGGCCTTAGAGCCTGTACACTTGTCAGGTTCGGCCATGCCACGTGGCATCTCCAACACTTTGGTGAGGTGGAATATGTCTATATCAATCTATCTATAACTAAATCTAATCTATATCATCTATAGCTATTGCTCTATCTATATCTCTATCCAGGTGAAAACAACCTCAGTTTTTATATTCTTCCCTTTACCTCCTGAGTTTATTTGCACATTTCAGTTATCTATACTTACATTGTTTTAGCTGTAGAGCATGGTTGGTCGGTTGGCTTTTTAAAGCATTTCCCCAGCACATACACAAATTATAATGCATTTCTTTCTTACTAGAATTCTCTGATACCAACACACCAGATATTATTTCTATTTCAGAGACAGAGAAAAATGCCCTATCTGAGGGTCATATGGTAACAACTTGGCTCTCTGCTTCTTTATTGTCTTTCATTCACAGCAAGTTAACTGAATCACAGCCTGCTGGGACATGTCACCATCTCAGATACCTTTCACTCTCTCTTCTCTCTCCATGTCTGGCTCCTACTTGGTCCTCCCAAAATGCTGCATGTCTGAAAAAGGATAGGAAATACATTCACCTTAATTCTAACTCTGAAAGTGGCAGAATAAGAGAAGAATTGGGGGGTGGGGGGGTGGGGGGCGGGGGGTGGGGCGGGGAAGGAAGCTCCAGAGTCCATCTTCCAGCAGCTGTTGGAGATGAATGATTTAGTGGCCCTAAAATTCTTAGAAGGCCAAGATACCACATCCCATGAAAGCCATCACCCTAAGGAGGAGATGAACCCTGAGGGAGCCTTCAGGAATTACCAAAAAAAAAAAAAAAAAATCTATTATGCATGACCAAAATAAGCTTCACGCCTAAGCTTTTGATCTGTTATTGACTCAGTTGGCTATATCCTCTACAGAATTGTGTATTTCAATTAAAAACAGAAGATAAGAGAGAGAAAGGGGGTAAAGTGTGAAACTTTGGGAGATTTTCAGCAATAATAGACTTTTACCCAATTAGCTGGCCTAACTTTCAGGAACTTTATCACCTCTACAATCTGTCAGGGCTGTTTTTCTTTGCTATCTTCTCTTCAAACAATTACAGGAAAGAAGTCTGAAAGGGTAACCAGGTCTGGCCTAGTTGCACCTGAAGGCTGAGGCTCCTTTTTCAGAGCAAGCTCTAGGCATTCGGCACTGGGCAAAGGTTTCCATCTTCACGCTCATTATAGCATGGGCTTCTTTAAAGCAGAAATGCCTGCCAAGCCCCAAATACATGTCCCATAATGAAGACAAATGTCCCCTTGAAGTGAGTTCAAACTGTGGAATTCATTTTGCTATGGAACTTTATTGCCATCTAATTAGAATGACATTTGGTCTGTCTAGTTATTATATCTGGAATCAAACCACAGACTTGGAGGTAAAAGCCTCTGGGCCAGGCGTGATGGTTTGGCCAGGCGTGGTGGCTCATGCCTGTAATCCCAGCACTTTGGGAGGCTGAGGTGGGCAGATTACCTGAGGTCAGGAGTTTGAGACCAGCCCTAGCCAACATGGTGAAACCCCGTCTCTACAAAAATACAAAAATTAGCCGAGCATGATGGCGGGTGCCTGTGATCCCAGCTACTTGGGAGGCTGAGGCAGAAGAAACACTGGAACCTGGGTGGCGGAGGTTGCAGTGGGCAGAGATCATGCCATAGCACTCCAGCCTGGGCGACAGAGCGAGACTCTGTCAAAAAAAAAAGCCCCTCTCTGCACTGTCTCCCTTCCAGAACTAAGCTGATTCCTTGTGTAGGGGTGGATGGTCTTCCTTTTGAGAGTCCTGGTCCTCACAGCCTGATTATTATTGAGGTCATTACTAGTAAAAGATGCCAGAGCTGAAAGCACCTGAGATATTTTGATCTGTCTTTTAAAATATGGCGAGTCTTTACTCAGCTGTGTTCCATTTCTGGAGTAAAATTAGTGGTGAGTGCCAGGGTGGGCTCTTTTCTCACCCTATTCCCTGGAATAGTGAAGCTATAAGAACACAGATATGGCAGATGTGCAATGCTTAGTGCCCTTTCTTTGGAGAGCTGACTGGCAGGGGGCAAGAATCACAAGGCATTTAATTTAGGGGATTGTCATCCGGAAAACTCAAATCCCAGCATTTAAGCTATATGGAAATGAATATATACAGCCTTCCCTTGGCATGTAGAATCGCTGTATTCTGTGATATTTCAAAGAGCATGGAGTCCAGGTGGTAGATCTTCACATAGGCCTAAGTGAAGGAAAGGGAAGTAAACTACCAGAGGAGTGGGATGAGGTGTACGTTACAATTCCTTTGGCTGAAAGCCTGAGTTTCCTCCCATCATGGACCTCAGATAGCAGATGTCACATCTAGATCTGCCTTGCATTTAATAGAACAATTTTGTCAGGAGCCCTCATGCAGCCTGCCCTGCCTCAGGACCCTCACATTCTGGGATAATATTTGTCTTTGTTCAGCCTTAAATAGCTCTTCGTCTTCCCTATTCTCACACCTTCCTTTCCCTCCATAGTGAGTGAGATATTTTGATATCCAAAATCAATAAAAAATGCACAGTGCATAATATAATGGGAGGCAGGTTGCCTATTCAGTTTATAAATTTCCAGGTTACTGAGCAACATCTTCTTTCATAAATGCCCTTAGCATTATTAGTTATACTTATTTTAAATTCATAGAATGGTAATACCAACATTTCTTCCATACCTGAATCTGGTTCTAGTGCTTGTTCTGTCTATTCAAACTGTGTTTTTTGCCTTTGAGTATGTCTCATAATTTTTTTTGGAAGCTGGACATCATGTACTGGTAAAAGGAACTGCAAGAAATAGGTCTTTAGTGATGTAGTTACTAAGGTGTAAGGTATGGGGAAGCATCCTAGAGTCCTCTGACTAGGTGTTAGTCTTTTAGTGAGCCTGTACCCCTGGGCTGTGAACTTTGTGAATGTTTCTCAGCTTTTTTGTTTGTTTGTGTGTTTGTTTGGGTTCTTTTCTTACCCCTAGGTGGGGCTGAATATCTAAAGGGGGTTGGAGTTGGATATTTCCCTTCTCCCAGGTGAGTTAGGCTCTGATAAAACTCCAACAGGTTAAGCTCTGGTAAATAATTTTTCTTGAGAACAGACCTTATTAAGAACAAAATGCTGTGACGTATTTCAAAATGATCACATTTGCCCTTCTGCAGAAAGAACAAGGGGCTTTTTCTCCAATCTTCTCTGTAAGAACTAGTAGAGCTTCCAGAGATAAAACTCACAAAAGTGGGCCTTCCTCACTAAGATTGCCCCCTTTCTTCCCATTTCTGGATCTGGACTTTTAATCTCTCACACTTGTCTACACTGAGCCTGCAGCAATTTGTCAATTACAGTTTAGATTTTTCTATGCTGGTACTGGTTCCTGTGAAGGGCTCTGATTTTGGGTTACTGCTTTCATAAGTTGTGATTCTCTGTGTCTGTCTGTCTCTCCAATTTTGGGGGCAGCAGTTTGCTCTATGACCTCAATTCTCTGATAGATCTAAGAAGGTTGTTGGTTTTAACCTTGTTCGGCGTTTTACTTGTTTTTAGGAAAGAGTGAAAATTTCCAAGCTCTTTACATACTGGACCAGAAACTAGAAGTACAATATTTTCTTTCAATAATCATGGTGGTTTAGTACTACAAATCCTCCAGTATTCCTACATTACTTTGCCTAATATAATAATCATTACCATTATCGGAGCACTATTCCTATACGGGATTAGATTTTGATGGTTAACTCTGTTATAGAACAGAACTGGGGTCTACTTGCCCAGCACAGTAATACCAGATATACACATTGAGGTTTTTGCAGTGACAGAAAGGAAGGCATTAAGTTACAGGGTGCCAACCAAGCAGGACCAGGCAGCTATTGTTTAAACCCTGACCTCTCTGCTGGCCTGCAGGCAAAGGTTTTTAAAGGCAGAGGTAAAATTCAGGAGGGAAAATTGTAAATCAACACACAGCTGTTACACATTGGTTTTGGCATAAGGACTGGATATCTTGAAGCAGGGACTTACAGGTTGTTGGTAGATTCAAAGATGTTCTGATCTGCAATTGGTTAAGGAAGAGAAGCTTTTCTTAAAAATGTGAATTCAGCAGAAAAAAAAAAATTTGCCTGGCTCTGGGGTGTGGTTCCCTCCAAGCCCCACAGGAAGAAATTTAGAACACAGAACAATGGTCAGAGTTCAGTCTTCAATTCCTCCTTATCTGAGGTCTGTGTAACAGCATATCTGGATATATTTGGTGGGGGTCCTTCGCGGGGAAATCCAGTTTTGGAAAGATAACTCAGAGACATATGTTAAGCTATTATCTTTAGTTTCAATAGGAAAACCAAACATCTCTGTACCTTACTCCTTGGCTATTGTTTTAGGCTATTACTTTCTTGCATCACAAGTTATTTATTTACTTCTCAGGGCTAGTTTCCCTTGAAGAAACTCAAAATTTTATTTTATTTCCATGCCTGGGAAAGTCGGGGGCATGCAGACCCCAAAAAGGGACTCTCTGCTCCATCTCATGAGGGTGTGTGGATTTTTATACGTGAGCCCAGCTATGGGAAACTTAAATGCCTACTGGATCAAGGCAGGTAATGAGCTAAACTGGCCAAGGCAGATCTGGGAGAATCCTGACACTCATGTTCTTGTCTAAAGATGGCAGTGCTACTCAGTCCCAGAAGCTGTTGCTATGAAGAAAGGCAGGCCAACTCCTGCTAGATTGTCAGGCTTTTCAACAAAAGCTACAGCTATAGATATGTTTTTTTATGTTAAATTTCTAAATTAGCTAATGGTGTCAGCTACTTCAAAGACATTTTAATTGATCAAAACAAAACATGCCTGCAGGCTATAGTCATTCAGTGGGCTCCCTGTTGTGGAGCTTCTGCCTTATAGCAAAAAATGTAGGTGCTTTACCCAGTTTTGCAGTTACCTATGCTATGGGAGTAAATACTCTTTAGAGACTAATATATTACTCCATGTTGAAAATAGTTAAATCAGTCATCCTTTACTCTTAAGCACAGTACTTAAGAACAAGTCATGTTTATCTGTTCACCAACTCACACTGACAAAGAACCATGCCATTAGATCATTGCGCACTAACCAGTTGCTCCTTCTGTGTAGATCTGCAAATACTTACTGGAAAGGTCTTACGAGGCAATAACTGTGCTACGTTCAACTGATTTAAGATGAGAAATAAAATACAGTCTTTTATTAAATACTTTACTTATATCCATATAGTGATATGCTATACAGCTGTAAAAAATAATGAGAACATGCTCTATAACTTGATATGGAACAATCCCAAGATAAAATATCAAATAAAAAATAAAGTGCAGGACAGTATACTGAAATTTGCCTTAAAAGGGGATATATATGTGTCTCTCTGTTTGTGTGTGTCTGTATGTTTGTGTGCTTATGGACATAAAATTTCTATTAAAGAACACATGGTAATTGATAAAACTAGTTTCTCTAGGAGGAGAATTAGGAGGAAAACAGACAGCATAGAAGGAAAATTTTTACTCCCAGGTTAAGTTTACTATATGCCAATTATGCTAATAAAATGGCAAACATAAAATATCCTTTAAGAAAATATCTATCAGTGGGTTCTTATAGCCATTGACTAAGTTAGATTTCATGGAGGCAGACACAGAAAGATATATTGGCATCACTTCCACCCTCCACCACCCAAACAAACTCATACATTTTTAAAAGTTAATAAATAAGTAGAAAATTAACACTATGCAAATATATTTCAGAAGCAAAGCTCTCCATGGCCCAGGCAGATTTTGTTTGCAAGAAACCAGCATTGTAAACTGTGAAACAAATCCCAAATTGAATTTTCTTGGTCCCCAAAACATATTCTGGCTGCCCTGCTGATGAGAGACCCGGGGAGCCACAGCAGAAATCTCTTAGTTATTCATAAATTCTCTCTCTTAAAAAAAGTTGTTGTTGTTGTTGTTTTAAACACAAGAGTGGAGATGAACTCCAGAGCTCAGAAACCATTTTCATGCAAAAACAGGCGGCTCAGTATACAAATAAAGACCTAGCTGGAAACCCTGAACAGAGCAACATAAATACTCACATCTGGTATAAATAAATAACAAGATACATTGTTTTACGATTAATGCCCAGCTCATGAATAAGTACACACAATGGAGATAGAAATATTTAATTTTGGGTTGTAGAACATAATTAGAAATTATTAAACAAAGTCAGAACACAGAAGAGACTTCTCAAAATGCACAGGCGCCGGGTACAGCCTGGGTGTGTTTGGAACCAGTTTTGTCCAATATCAGTTTGTTTCGTTTTTTAAAGACAAACAAGAAAAGCTGCAACCTTAGTGTTTCATTAAATAGTTCATGAGAGTCATTCACTCTCCCTTTTTTCCCACTTCCTTCTGGGAGTTTAATGCACTGTGATAAGATAAATATCTGCCTTTTAATGATGATCACACCCTATTAAAACGTCTCACCCTGTTACCGATAATGCATGAGATTATGAAAGACGGAAAAAAGTAAAAGTCTCATTTTCTCCTCCCTGCTGATGCCATTTGTTTACCTTTAGCATTACCCTAGCTTACACAATGAAAAAACAGCAGCTAATTTTACTACATTTCTGTTTATTCTACTTTGATTTCTCCCACAGATGAAATCCCTGCCAGTTTTATTATTTTCTTCTTAGATCAAGAGTCCTAATTTTGTTTCATTAAACTTAACTGGACTTATCATTACCGCTTGCTTTAATCAAATAGGATAGAATTAGGTAGAACGAGGACAAATTGCCAGGGTTCATTAAGATAGCAATGCCCAATCTGGAAGTGTGGAGAGGGCCTGCAGATCAAACCCACCATAGCTCCTAGACACATATAATTGCATGTGGCCACCATTATGCATGGACACCACGGTTCAAAGAATCAGGGGAGTGATTTTCTTCTGATTTTAATGTTTCAAGACTGTTCTGAATCAGAAGAGTGGGAAATTTATGCAGACTTTGTTTTTAAGTTTTAGGAGTAAATAAGTCAAGAACAAAGGCCAAAGAAGAACAAGTACAAAGAGTGTTATGATGCGATAAAACAGGACCCAAACGGTGTGATTCTTGGCTTTGTGTGGCATGTTACAGAAAGCAAAGGAAGGGCTTTTGTCCTCAGAGAGTATTGTCCTTTGCTCTGACTTTCTGTCTGAGTAACCTTTCTAGCTGATTTATCTCCTTCTTAGAGACCAAAATGGTAAAAATACTGAATCTCTTCTTTCTGGCCTTTTCCTCCATTCCCCTGCCAGCAACTTATTTGTTTTGAAAATTAGCCATTTAACAGGGCATTGCCTTTACCAGCTATTTGTTCTGCTGACCTATGGTGGAAGCTGGAATTGGTACTGCAAATGTGCTTCTCTAACAGGTCTGTTATTGCATTATTCCTTTATGGGGGCTTCGACGTAATTATACTAAATGTTGTTATAAACCCCACCGGAAGCCACCTCTCCGCTGACGTCTAGAGGACACTTTCAGTGTATATCTCCCTCATCTGCCATTAGCACGCCTCCATGTTCTTCCTAGTATATTAGAGAGCACAGTGAACAGAAACAAGGACTACATGATCCAAACGGAGAGTTGAATGATTTGACAAGAAGCCAACCAGCACTTAGAGGAAAACTAACTACCATCAAAACACTTCCTTCACAACAAAGGTTGAATCATAACCTTATTCCCCTAGCATATGAATTAGAAGAACAATTGTCTGATTATGATTAAAAAAAGAGCATTACATTTTATGTTCCACCATAATTGGTATTTATGACAATTTATGTAAACAGTAATGAAGCCTATGTGATTTTTGCGGGGAAATTGCATTATGACACCAATGATCGTTACTGTTAATTTTCCTGAAGATGATGGCAATCAGCAGGCATAGTTTCATTGTAAATAGGTTAATTTAAAATTCAAACACTGCTGCTATTTCAAAATGAGTTCACATTTGATTTCTGAAAGCTTTGGCCCAGTCTTTTTCCATGTCAAGATAAAAATGCATAGATGACGTGTATCAATGTATAAAACCTTGTTCTTCAGGGTTATCTGGGAATAAGCATGTATGTGATATATGTGCAAATGTGTGTCTTACATACTACATATCCTTTTAATTTTTTCTCTGTTTTTGTGCTATAGAAACAAGTTTCAAAAACATATTACTAATATAATCACAAAATATACTTATCACAAACTAATTTGCTATGTATTAAATAGTATAAGTGAAGAGTGACATGTCAGCATTTTCTATTATTTCTATTGTGTACTGAAAATTGCCAAATCAAACTTTTAGCAAACAATTAAAACATAAAATGATCTTTCTTTATTGACCTTGGGCTTCTAGCTAGTTTTGAGTTAAATTGTTGTTCGACCAGTACATAGTTTGGACAAGCCAGTTAATTTTTTTTTTATTTTAAGATATATGCTTCTTACAGTGTAGATCAATTTCTGCCAATTTGTCCAAGCAAAGTGAAAGGGTCTAATTTTCACCTTTGGACATTTGAAGAAAAGGGAAATTAACATTCTTGAATACAGACACACATGTGTGTGTGAATATATATATATATGTATATATATATATATACATATATATATGCATGTGTGGATATATTTAAACAATGAATGTCATAACAATAAGATATTTGGAATTATAAGGAAAAAGAAGAAAAATTTTAAATGCTGACCAGTGTCTACTTACTTTAAGTAATATTTGAGTAATTATAACATATTTTCACATTTTTGTAACTATAATATATGAAAGTTGTACTAATATGTGCTATTAATTCTTCTTAAAAGTAAAATAGTATAGACTATGACTGTGAATCATTGCGATAAATTTTATTGACAACAGAAATTAACCATGCCTATAAATAGCTCTCTTTCTTTCTCACTCTCTTTCTGTCTTTTTCTCTTTGAAATCAGTTTTTCGGTGGCCAATCAACTGCTCAGAGTATGTTATTCTAATGAGAAAAAAATGTAAGTATAATTGTTCAAAATGTATCATAATTTTGACTATACTATTTCTACTAGTTTGATCCTGAAAATTTTATTATTTTTGAAGAACTTGTGTGACTATGCCTATCTGTATATGTGGTACTTTTAATTAAAATACCATTTTCAAAAAGACATGCCCAGATTGTTTTACCCTGGACCACTCATTTGAAGAAATAGGGATTAGAAAACAAGTGTTAGGTATCTAAACACCTGGAAAGCTGGAATAAATCTAATATGATTTCTAATACGAATATTATGAAATAGTATGAAATCTAATACACTTTCAAAAACTTGGATGTGTATACCCTGAAATCGTATTGCTTTGTATTGATTATAATTTTTAAAAATCAATAATTCTATGTGAAAGTATATTTACTTGTGGGAAATATCCATATACCTATATATGAAGTAATACACTATATAATCTCAAGTAGGTACTTCTATTTCCCCCAAGAGAGGGAATTACAAGATGTTGAAGAGGTTGTTCAAGTGCTTTCTACATTTTTCTTGCAATATTCATTTGTAACTTATTTTTTTATTCAAATAACTATTGTTAGTGGACTAGTTCTAGCCAGCTGTAATGCTTTAAGGGGGAAATATGGAAGAAAATCTTAAAATTAAGAAAATCATGTATATTTATTAAATGTTCTGAGAATTAGCAGAAGGCTCCGTTTAATTGCCTCCTTTAGCACGTATTTCTTCCATAGGAGTTTACATTAGAATTACTGCTCTGAAATATAATCAGGGTGATATAGGTTTGCTACTTAATACTTTTTTTTTCTTTTTTACTATTTTTAATCGGCAATTCTCTGCTATGAGTCTAAGTTTCTGTTTGGTTCCTGGGTAATCACATTTATTGTTTTTCCATTTCCCTACACACAGAATAATTCCTAAATCCAGACAGATTCCTTAGTCAGAGACAATGAATTGCTTAACACGAACCCTTTCTCATACTTTAAAAACAGAATCAATACAAGGAAACAAACTAAAACTTATATTCCGTTACTGAGAATTCAGTAGTGTTGAGTCTGTATTTTCATATGAAAAATGAGAGTCTCAATTATTTCTCTAGTTGCCTCTTCACAGGAACGTTTTACTATACAATCTCAGGATTCTTGGACTTTTCAAACCTTTAATAATGCCACATTCTGTATGGGTCAGATATTAATAAAACCTAATTATGCAACTAAGTTTGATTTAGTTAATGTAGTAAAACAATTGGCTAGTTACTAGTCAAAGAAAAGAAACGCAACCAAATTAATTCATTAAGTAAATACAATTTAACTTGAGGGTAGGGATATTTACCTCAATCATAAGAACAAATAAAAAGAAAAGAAAAGAGAAAGAAAAAAAAATCCCCTAAAGCAAAATGTCAAACTAATGTTAATGATGATTGTGTCAATTGACAGATCTTCTTTGTGCATTCCTGTGACTCATAAGTTGTTTTGGTTATAGTATATCATAAATGAGTTCTGAATCTTAGGTTTGATATCAGTGTGGGTTATTGTAATTAATTGTGTAGGCAATATATTTAGTTTTCACCAAAATGTATTTCTAAGCTTAAATACAACTTGTGCTCATAAAAATGGCCTCTAAACTAATCTGAAATCTCAGAAATGGCTATTGGTCGGCAAAAAAAGAAGTTGTGGCTCCATCAACCCATAGTCAATTAAAAAACAAAGCAAAGCAAAATAAAAAATGGGAAAAAAAACCCCACTATCTCACTAGTTGTACTATATGATGAGATTGCTTGTTCAAGATAACACTTCCCATGCTCTTTAGAACCTGTGGGTATTTAACCAACATACAACAGGTGTAGAAATGGATTTGCGACCTGCATATTCTAAATCCATAGGGTCCTTCCTTACATTATAGATTGGGCACTGTAGCATAATTGGTAGAATCAAAGAAGTATCTATAATGATTTCATTCATGCATGCATCTTCTCATGATCTGCCAATAATTTGAATTCAAAAATGTTACCTGAATATGATGGATGAATTACACAGGTGTTAAAGGTTTTGGCTTATGAGGGGCCTTTTAACATCCTTTATTTTGTTGGAAGAGGATAACATGACAGCAGTTTCCCGTGTCTTCACCTTCTTGAAAGGGAGTACATAAATGCATTGATCATAGCATGTGGACAGTGTTACCAACATTTTCCACTGATCCACAGAACATGTCCACACTATAGCTGATCAGCTGGTGTTTCATACTCCTAATTGTATTGGGGTGGGAGCTTACTAGCAATTATGCAAACCTTATGCTCTCTGTCCTATTGGGGGAAAATGATTGACAAAGTAACTTACCTCAAGAGTTTCTGATCTGAGGATAGTCAGAGAGAGTCTAATTTCATTTGTTGGTATCTGTCTTTCATCACTCATGGCTGATGAGAAAGAAAGAAAATCACAGTCAAAGAACATTCTTTTATTTCCAAGAGGAAAAGGAATTTGACCACAAAGATGACAGAGTTACAATTCTTTACTTTTAAGGGGCAACCTTTGGAGGATGACTCTCATTCTAAAAATGCAGGCATTGCTTTTTTCTTTTGTACCCTATTAAGAATTGTGCATGAGACCACTCAGAGTAGATGGGGACTCTGGGTCAACAGAACAGTGAGAAAGGTGACAAATGGCAATTCATTTCAGTGTTTGTTTTCTTGATGATGGCTGCCTCTTTTTCCTGGTGTTCTCATGTTTCTGGGGTGCTACACAATGAGTTCTATGTCCTTTTAAATGGGGGCAGAGCTGCCACAGTGTAAACTAATAAATAGCACAATTGAAGCCTTCTTGGTCATGAAATACAGCTGATTCCTCTCAGTTACTTTATTCATCCTCTCAATTCTCTTTTTTGAGGGAAAAAAGTTATTTTTTGACTTTATTCTGACATATGTGGATTAATTTTTTTAAACTAGTGCTGCTTTCCTGTACCTTTAATGTGGTACAAATTTAGACGAAACGTCTATTATGCTTGCTAAATTAGATTAAAACCTCTTATCCTAAGAAAATTTCTACAGTTTTTTATTTGGTAATTGGGCTATTTATGATGTATTAACTTTATGTTTTACTTTTATTAGAAAAAGAGTTTGGCAAATGAGTGAGAAAGAAATAGAGAATTTTCAAACTGAGCTTATTCTAGAGATGTGAATAGAATCAAACCAATCAGGATGCCACATCTACCTAAAAGATAAAAAAAATTCTACCGAATCAATACACTAATTTCAGTTGTCTTATAATTAATATCTATCAATCTATTCAAATAGATATTCAGTGGTCTATATTGATCTCTAAGACTTCCTGAAAACCACTAGGGAAAAACAACAGCATGCCAATATGTGTTAATTGCACTCATATTGACATTTTGTAAGTGCCAGAATTTCTATGATAGTGAGAAGTCAAATATTAGAATGCCAAATCCCAGAAAAGTGATATTATAATATTGATTTAATCAGATAACATTTTCTCCAAAAATTCGAATCATCTTTTCCTTTAATCAAAGTCTCATATATTTTCTATCTTATCAGCCCTAATATAACACCTGCTGATTTTAGGGACCAATGTAGTTCTCACATATTTTGGCTTAAAACCTCTTCCACTGTTTACATTACATTTTTTTAACCTAGCTTATTTTATATACTATCATTGCAATCACGTGGTGCTCTCTCTTTCCATAATACCTTAGATTGGGTAATAGTTAAAAAGATTTGACACTCTCATAGGAGGATGAGTACATTTTCATTGATGTCGAGCTAAATTTTGTGATCTCTTTCAGTCAGTGAAATGGAAACTGAAGAGGCCTGTAGCACTTCTTAGTGGAAGCATAGTAAGATTAAAAAATAAAAATAAGAGGCCAGGCACAGTGGCTCACCCCTGTAATCCCAGCACTTTGGGAGGCCAAGGGGGGGGGGTGGATCACGAGGTCAGGAAATCGAGCCCATGCTGGCTAACACGATGAAACTCCATCTCTACTAAAAATACAAAAAATTAGCCGGGTGTGGTGGCGGGCGCCTGTAGTCCCAGCTACTTGGGAGGCTGAGGCAGGAGAATGTCCTGAACCCCGGGAGGCGGAGCTTGCAGTGAGCCGAGATCGCGCCACTGCACTCCAACCTGGGCGACAGAGCAAGACTCTGTCTCAAAATAAATAAATAAATAAATAATAAAAAAATAAAAATAAGAAAAATACCACAACATCTGCTTTGCATTGTACTCATTTTTTCCCTCAGTTGTGAACCTAGCAATGTCATACACAGAGATAGCTTTGCCAAATGAGTGAAGACCTTTTGAAACTCAGCCACCTCTGACCCACAGTGAGCATGTAAACAGAGCAAGAACTAAACTTTTGTTATTGTAGATTTCTGAGCATTTAGGAGCTGTTGACTATAGAGGCATAACTTAGCCCATGCTTACTGCTACATAAATTGATACCAGGAAAGGAATGTTCCTGTGTTGCAACACAGCCTAAAAAATATGGCATTGCTTTCAAGACAGAGTAATACAGGCATGGAAATGGAAACAATTACTGAAGACGTAGTTAGGAAACAGTAAAAGTTTTGATAGAATTCTCCCCTGCAACAACTTGGACAACAAGGTATGTACCAAATGGACTTGGATTTGAACTAAGTTAACTCTGGAAACTGGAATTTTATAAGCATGCTTTGGTTGCAATGGGCTATATTTGACAAATGACTAAAATATAGAGGTGATTTAACAAACACACAAACACATAAACAAAAATGATTGTGGGCTGGGCACTGTGGCTTATGCCTGTAATTCCAGTAATTAGAGAGGGCAAGGTGGGAGGACTGCTTGAACCCAGGAGTTGAAGACTAGCCTGGGTAACAAAGTAAGACCCTCATCTTTACAAAAATGAATAAATAAATAAATAATTAACTGAGTTCGGCAGCATATCCCTGTAGTCTCAGCTACTTGGGAGGCTGAGGCAGAAGGATAGCTTGAGCCTAGGAGTTTGAGGCTGCAGTGCACTAGAATCATGCCACTGGACTCCAGCCTGAGAAACAGAATCAGATTCCATCTAAAAAAACATGGCTGTGTGCAAATTGTAGAAAGGAGAGAAAAAATGACTGGAAAACATCCAGACTTCAGGATATTGTAATATTGAAAGCTGCTGCAGTGTGTCACCAAAACAAGAACAAGCTAAACAGGCCTTTGGAAAACAAAAGTACACACAATTAAGTGCAGAGAGAGAAAGGGATATCTCAAAAATAATGGTAGGAGTGATGTTGGTAAATAGAATTGTCTAGAATCAAAAAGTTAAGAAACAAAACAAGTTTTTGAAAAGAGTCACTACTGAGAGACACCCTGAATACTTGAGGTTGAGAATGACCATGGGGCTCTCTGACTTTTTAAATGTAAGCCTCAAGGTAAGAGAGATTCTCAACCAACAATAACAAAACAGAATGAGTTTTTATAAAGAGCCATCACTTAAAGGCATCCTAAATATTTGAGGTTGAAAATGACCCTTGGGCTCCTGACTTTTTAAATGCAAGCTGCAAGGTAAGAGTGGTTCTCAACCAACACTAAGACATATCCCCAAAGAACTGTGGATTGAGCAGCTGTTTATCAGAGAGTAATATCAGCTGTTTAAGGATACTCCCAAAGCCCAGGGTAGAGTTTCCTCATAACTCTGCCCAGCATTACTATAGACCAGTGATAACAATGTGTTTTCCACTCCTCACTTTCCAAATGAGAATGTGTATTGCAGTTATCATGTCCTCTTCTCAACAATGCATTTGCTATCTGAAGAGACTGGATAATCTCACTTTGGAGACATAAATCTCTGGAGTCAAAAGATCCACATCTGAGTTTGATGTAGAAATCATCATAAGATCCTGGATTTGAACCTGTTGCTATGATTGGATAAAACTGTTGTGTTTTTTTTTCCCCCTTCAAGTTGGGTAAGTAAAGAGCTTTTATTGAAAGAGACGATTGGTTTTAAACACATGTTCTGCTATGCACTGTGGATGTGTGTATATATACATCTCTGCATGTTGGCATGAAGTTGTTCCATTTGACTTATGGTGTTCCACCCTGTGACATTATATTTACCCTTATCTTTCTGCTTGATATCAGATTCAACAATGTTATATGTTTTGGCAAACGACATGAGAATAGAAGTGAAGTGTTTTAAGAGCACATTTCACCACAGTGTCTTTTTACTTCTGTTACAAGCCTGGACATAGCTTCAATGGAAAGCAGCTCCATTAGATTGGATATTAGAGTATCTAGTACCTGTTATTGTAAGCTACTGATTTATATACATCACCCTTTAAAAACCTTAGCTGTGAATGTATAAAATTATTGTCTTTATCCTTTCGATATTCCAATTTGTTGGCCTGTACTTGAGAAAGTAGACAACTATACAATTTGTCATCAATATAAAATTCATAAACACCAACCTAAACCCTGTGATCAACACTTTGGAGAAATCCTACTGTGGAATTCAAGTATGCTTGTTCTCTCACCATAACAACTGCTGCTTTGTGTATTATTTTTTCATAGCTTTATTGAGGTATAATTGACATACACTAAACTATACATGGTTAGCAAATACCATTTGGTAAGTTTTGAACATATTATACATATTTCAAACCATCACCACAACCAAAACAATTAACACATTCAGCACCCTCAAACATTTTCTTGTGATAATTTGTAATTATTTCATTCTGCTCCTCCACTCTAAGAGAGTCACTGATTTGCATTTTTTCAGTTTAGATTAGTTTGCATTCTCTAGAATTTTATGGAATTTGCTTTAAGCAATATATATTATTTCTTGTCTGGTTTCTTTCACTTACAATTATTTTCAGATTGAATTCTGTCATAGTGTATATCAACAGTTAATTCTTTTTGTTACTGAATAGTATCCCATTGTACAGATATATTACAATTTATTTACCCATTCATCTGTTGGTAGACATTTGTTATTCTTATGCTATGAGTAAACATTTTGTTGTCTTTGACCAAGGATTCTTGTGTCTTCTGCTAGCATTCATGGAACTAGAAGAGACTAACATGTTAGCTTCCAAGTAAGGTAAAACTTCAGACCCTTCACAATGTTGACAGTACATATGCTCAATATTTGCCTGTAATATATTTCTCATATCTGATTAATTTCTTTGTTTTCTCATCCCCATAACTCTGTCTCTCAGTTTAATGGTAGCTTGCATCATCTGAAATAAAACACTTATTATGAAAATAAGACTTTTAACTCGATCTTTGATTCATAGTGAATAATTTATTTCAACTGAAAAGTTTTAATAGTCTAGGTTTACTTTCAGTCTTTCTTCTTTCTCTTTGGGGTCCAGAAGTAGTGGCTTTTCCCTTTAAGGACTGTAATCTCTGTATTTTCAGTATTTTTTTCCAATTCTGTTTGAAAAATCAATACATTTTTGCCTTAACTCATCTTTCTTATAACAACTTGCTAAAGGCAGCCAACAATAGCCATGCCACACTTGTTCTCTGAGCGCTCTTTTTAACCACTTGTCCTAGGGTTGCAGATTCAATAGCTCTATCAAACACTGTGCAGAGGCACAGGAAGGAATTGTTTAAATTCTTTGTTTAATTAATTTAATTAATTGTTAAATAGAATTGTCTTTGCAACAACTTGGAAGGAAGACGCATTTTGTCTGCCACTGCACAGCATGGGTCTCCATCTTTCTAGCCTATGATACGTATCTTTTCACAGCCCACTACTCGACTGCTCAACAGCTGAGCCGTTGTCACCCTTTTTATCATCCTTATTCTTAAAGCCCCTCACTTTAAGAAATAAACATCTATATTTGCTAGGTAATAATAACTTTGAATCAAGCTAACTAAAAAATGTAGAGTAACACTTAATTTCTCCAGAATGTGAAGTATAAAGTAGATGTTCCTATCCACAGATGGTTTTTCTCCAGGCAATGATTCAAGGACCCAGGCTTGTTCCGTTTTGAAACCCTATTATTGATAACACATGCTATTCAAACTCACTATTCTCATCCGTACTAAGATGTTAAATATTGGAAGCTTGTCAAAAATCACCATGGTGATTACAGAGGCTGGGGATAAGGGAAATGGGGTAATAGGGAAAATGATTATCAAAGGGTACAAAATCTCACCTAAGAGGAATGGATGGATAGATAGATAGATAGATAGATAGACAGACAGACAGATAGATAGATAATTTGAGTTATTTTCTACAGCATGGTGAATATAGTTAATAATTGAGTATTGCATATTTCAAAATTTAAAAATTGAGAGAATAAACTTCAAGTATTATGACCACAAAAAAAGTTAAATATTTGAGGGTATAGGTAAGTTAACTAACTTGTTTTAAGTAATCCACATTGTATTAATAAATTATAACATCACTTTGTATCCCATAAATTTATACAATTGTAATGTGTTAATTTATAATTTAAAAAGTCGTAATCATGCATGGAAGACTGTACTGAATAAGGCCTGGAAGTTTCATACATTGCTTTCTGTTATGTTTTGCTAGCCACCTAACTGCAAGGGAATATGGAAAACACAGTCTAGCTGTTGGCCCAGGAAGAATAGATAATTACTTGGCCAACAGTTTTTCAGTCTCTGCAATAGTATACATGTATATCTCCATCACTAGAAAATAAGCTCCATGAAGGAAAATTTTGTGTATACTTGTTTAGTAATTATACTAAGTGTTTAGTATTCAATAAAATATTTGTTAGATAAATGAGTGAAAGTGAAGCAGCATCATTGTCTGGGGTAATGCCCAAGGTTCGTTGCCTCATGCCAAGGAAATCAAGGACACAGACACACACAAGGAGTGGGTTTAGGAGTGGAGGTTTAATAGGCAAAAAAAAGAGAAAGAAGACTAGCTCCCTCTCCTGAGAGAGAGGGGTGTTGGAGTGGGACTTCTGGCCAGCTGCGGAGTGCACCAAATTTTATGGACAGGCTTGAGGAGGCGGTGTCTAATTTACATAGGGCCCACAGATTGGTTGGACCAGGAGTGAGATTTAAATAGCCCACAAAGAAGCTGGCAACCCCACCCTAATTTCTTATTATGCAAATGAGCTTTCAACTTGGCCAGTGTCATGTTGTCTGTTCCTGACTGCACACGTGGTTAGAAAGGAAAAGGGAAGATGGAACCATGATTTTGAACAAGCCTAGTAGCCTTTTCCTATTGGCACAACTGCTGGCATTCACCCGTGCAAGCTTCCAGCTTGCTTGTCTATGTTTGCAGCTCGATTTTACAGGCTGCTCTTTGTTAGAAAAGAAAATGATTTTGAAGCTGCTTCTTAATAAAAAGAAAACCTTACTGAGAACTTCGTTACCCTCATTATCTGCCTAAATAATTTCTTTTTAACTCCTATATCAAAAGAATTAAGGAGATTTAATATGACCACACATCCTTGGAGATACGAATACTGGCACCACAGTATATTTTACTTTCCCATTTTACAAAGTTCTGAAGAGTAGAAGCAATATAAAAGTCAGCTCTGAAGACTATACTCATTCAATGTTCTAGATAATTTTTTATCAGTATTCTTCCAGAAATTTCAGTGGCTGAAATTATAAATATACTCAGATATGCATTGATCTTTAGAAATGTAGTAATATAAAAATAACATATTAAAAAATATTCACCAGTTCTATTTACAGAAGACTTAGTCTTAAACTTAGTTAAATCATGCCTCAGATTCAGCTTCCTCTAATATGTGTAAGTATGCTCTTTGTCCAGATGCTTGAATAACAAACATGAAAAGTTCGTATATACTTTGTTTCTTTTCCAGCTCTACCTAGCTCTTGTTCAGCTCAAATGTGATTACCATCTTTTTTTTTTTTTTGTCATAAACCAAATCAGGCTAGGTTTATGTGAAATTTTGGAGTTTATTTGCCTTGTTAATACAATAATATAGTTTAAAGAGTTTTTCATAGCTGAAGAAAGTTTATGTTGCTCGTTGAAAAAAACATGTCTTCAAAGACAATGTCACCTCCCGGCCATTGCAGCGATGGTGGTTATATTGGTATGAAAACTTGCGTGTGCTTGAAATATTCTTATCATTGACTAAGAACAGTGATGTATTTCCACAATGGGAGAAGGATGATGAGAAAGTCTGGAAGATAGCTCTGACTGAAGATTGTGGAGCACCATCTACATTTCTTTCTGACAAGGTTGACGTCAAGGGCGACATTAACAACTTGTTCTCAGTCTAATGACACATTTAGATTAGAGTGTGCAATGTGCACAGTCTCCTTTTTTTCTTCTGTTCATTGCCAGATGAGATATTTGATAGGTATCTCCACAGTAACCTTTCAGAATTCATTTATTTAGATAAGTCAAAATAATGAAATGCCAAACAAATTAAGAATGATATTTTTATATCAACTGAAAACAATTTAAATAGTCCTTATGCATAAGCTCTGTGACATGAATGATCTTTTTATTTCATGGCTTAAAAAAGTGAAGAATTTATTAGTTACTATTGCTGTGTTTTTGTGTACAGAAGGAGGAAGAAATGTCTGTAAACTGAGGATTCACAGCTACCCTTTTCCCTAGGAGTCTCATTAGACCTACCATAACCAATAAAAAGTTAATAATACATATTTGCAAGATCTATTTAAATTTCTAGTGTTTAAAATCACAATTAAAGAAAGTTGTCTTTTCCTCTGTTTTCATTCCCTTTGAGGAACTTCAGCTTGTATTTCAGGAAGATGTAAAGTAAAACAAGGTCAACGGTTCTAATTATTGTATTTTTGTGATTTGCACCAAACTAAGGTCATTATTCGCTTTTCTTCCCCCTCTATTCTGTTCTTCTGCAGTTCTCTTTCCCTGATGAATCTTATCTGCCTAGGATAGAGAGTAACTCAGCAGCTGCCTGCCACTACATTTCTGGCAGAGTCATCCTCTCTGAATGCTCTGACAAACATATTCTGCATGTACCCCTTCTTGGTGAAGTCTCAGTGAATATATCATCGATTTCAGCACTTTGTATAGTCCTCAGATTGCTTCACATCTATGCGTCTTTAAAATCTCACATTGATTTTCTTAAGCAGGAACTATGTAATATCTTTCTTTTAAATCTCTCATAGCAGTTAATATAATGTTACATGCATAACAAACATCCTGTAAAGAGATATTGAATTGGATCAGTTAAAGATAATTGTCATTTATGACCCTGGAATTGCCTGTTTTATTGACAAGAAGACATTAGTATGAATGAAGCCTGATATTTGTTGAAAGGTTGCTGAATGCCATTTTGTCTAACTTTCCATTTATTCAAGATGGCTCCCAGCATTCTTTCGTGTTCAGTGGATAACTAACGTGGGACTACAACAGAGAAGCATGGGCAGATGAAATGCCATACTCATTATCATGTGTAAATGTCAACAGAGTTCATGTTTAAAAAAAAAACACCTTTTAATGTGAGAATAGGCATTGGGCCATGCTTCCTCATGTACCATCTGTCACATCACCTTTGAAGTCCTACTGAATCCTCATCCTTTGAAGTCAGACACTCATCCTTCTACACAAAAGAAGCTGCTAACATGCAGCAGCAGCAAAGAGATGAAAGAGTGTGCCTCAGCTATGCTGAATATACTGTCGGTGTTTTAATTTAAAAAGCTAATATTCACCTTTGACATAGAAAATTGGCCTCTGGTTATAGTTCTTCTAGAAGTGTATTTGGAGCAGATGGGTGCAACCTTTACAGATATTTTCTGGCCAAGTAGTCATTTCAACTGTAAAATTTTCTCATAAATGTTCATTACAATATGATAGCAGCTATGATAAAAACAATTAAACAGAAGTAAAGATGACAAAGACTCTCTCCTTGAGCAAACTTTAGAGAGGTTCCTTTGAGCCTCTTTTGACCAGGTCTCACACATGGCCCCTGTTTTCAGCCTGCTGAGTCCAGTTTAAGCAAAACTCCTGTTAAGTCGGTTAAGGTATAATCCTTCCATTTTGATATCTGATTACCTCTGATATCTGATCAATTTCCTTTCCCTACATTGATATCTGATCACCCTGACCCACCTTCAGCAGGAATCCAATTAAGTTAGTTTAAAAATAATTCTCCTATGCTGACGTCTCCCTTTTGTAATTGTCCATCTACCGACTCTTATCATTCTGCTTGTTGGATGTGAATTCCAACCAGTTCTTGCTGTACTCCTAATTAGGCTCAATTCTATACTGTGATCTCTTTTCCCCCAATTTAACAGTTTCTAAATTATATCTGTTTTTACTACTTTACCTACTATCTGGCTCTGGTTCTTTTTAATAAAGCAGATAATCTCCTTGTATAGATAATATGACTAAAGAAAGATATGGTACATAGGATTAGGAAACACATCCTATAGTTGTATCTGTGGTATTAAATTTGCTTCAAATTGTTAGGAAATAGATTAGGTTTTGGCAGGAAGAAATGTGTTTTGTGTATTTTATTTTTCTACCAGAAGAGGTATTTTCAATTAGGATATACTTACTGGGTGCCTGCTATGTATTGTGTAATATGCTAAGCCCTTGGTGCAAGAAATGAAATACAAGGAAAACCACTCTTTTATTTACTTCACATAAGTATGTAAATATATATATATATATATATATATATATATATATATATATATATATATATACACACACACATAGATTTTAAATTTTTATTTTAGGTTTGGAGGTACATGTGAAGGCTTGTTACATAGACAAATGCGTCATGAAGGTTTGTTGTACATATTTTTTTGTTTTTTATTTTTTGAGACAGAATCTCACTCTATCACTTAGGCTGGAGTGCAGTGGTGTGATCTCGGCTCACTGCAACCTCTGCTTCCTGGGTTCAAGTGATTCTCCTGCCCCAGCTTCCTGAGTAGCTGGGATTACAGGCGTGCATCACCATGCAGGGCTATTTTTTTTTTTTATTGTTTTTTTTGTATTTTTAGTAGAGACAAGGTTTCACCACTCTGGCCAGGCTGGTCTCAAACTCCTGACCTTGTGATCCACTCACCTCAGCCTCCCAAAGTGCTGGGATTACAGGCGTAAGCCACTGCGCCTGGCCTGTTGTACATATTATTACATCACCCGGGTATTAAGCTTGGAAGCCAATGGTTATTTTCTCTGCTCTTCTACCTCCTCCCGCTCTCCACCTTCAAGTAGATCCCAGTGTCTGTTGTTTCCTTTTTTGGGTTCGTAAGTTCTTATTGTTTGGCTCCCACTTAAAACTGAAAACATATAGTATTTGGTTTTCTTTTCCTGTGTTGGTTTGCTAAAGATGATAGCCTCTAGCTCCATCCATGTTCTGCAAAATACATGATCTTGTTTTTTGTTTTTTTTTTTTAATGGCTGCATAATATCCTGTGGTGTATATGAACCACATTTTTTTTATCCAGTCTGTCATTGATGGGCATTTAAGTTGATTCCTTGTCTTTGCTATTGTGAACAATGCTTCAATTATGATTCATGTGCCTATGTCTTTATGGTAGAATGCTTTATGTTCCTCTGGGTATATACCCAGTAATGGGATGGCTAGGCCAAATGGTAGTTCTGCTTTCAGCTCTTTGAGGCATCGCCATACTGCTTTCCACTATGGTTGAACTAATCTACTCTCCCTCCAACATTGTATAAGGGTTCCCTTTTCTCCACAACTTCACCAGCATCTGTTATTTTTTTACTTTGTAATAATAGCCATTCTGACTGGTGTGAGATGGTATCTCATTGTAGTTTTGATTTGCATTTATCTAATAATCAGTAATATTGAGGTGTTTTTCATATGCTTATTGGTTGCATGTATGTATTCTTTTGAGAAGTATCTGTTCATGTACTTTGCCCACTTTTAAATGGGATTATTTTTCTCTCGTAAATTTGTTAAAGTTCCTTACAGATGCTGGATGTGAGACCTTTGTCAGATGCATAGTTTGTAAAAATTTTCTCCCATTTTGTAAGTTGTCTGTTTACTCTGTTGATAGTTTCTTTTGCTGTGGAGAAGCTCTTAAGTTTAATTAGATCCATTTGTCATTTTTCATTTTGTTGCAATTACTTTAGGTGTCTCTGTCATGAAATCTTTGCCGTTCCTAGGTCCAGGTTGGTTATTGCCTACCTTGTCTTCTAGAGGAACCCACTATTTCGATGAGTACTTGATCTTGTGTTGAACAAAATTAATAAACATAAATAAAATATACAATGAAGAGGTACGACAATAAGTTTCTATAGAAATTAATATTACTTTTAGTAAGGGCTTGAAAGAAAGCTTCCTGGAGGCGGTGGCATTTGAGCTCAAGTATGAGATAAGTATAAGTAACCACAAAAAAGTAGAATGGTAATGAATAAGAAAGAACAAAAGGGAAAAGAGAGGTGGAATTTAGGGCATTCAAAGCACAGGGCAGGAAGAGAGAAAAAAACAATTGTGAGATAGATAGATTCAGGTAGTTCTCAAGATGTGATCTTTAGAGACACTTTGGATCAGAAATCACCTAAGATGATGGAAAAATGTACGTTTCCAAGTTGTTGAAACTACTGAATAATCCTCTTTAACGGGTACTAAAAAATCAGAGTTTTAAAGACACTTTCTACTTTATTTTTATGTAAATAAAAATTTCAGTCTTTGGCTGAAGACACAGAATGTCTACTGTTGCCCTCAGTACAATTCAAAATATACAAGCCAACATTTTCCAGTCATTACTAATTTAGCACACAAATCACTCAACATCTTTCAAGGACCAGGTGATTAAGATTATTATTAAGGGAACAGTGAGGTTCAGAAGCTTCTACTTTTTAGAAAGACAAATAAACCTGTATAAAATTATGGCACCAATATAGAGAACTAAGAACTTTGGAGGAACATGCTGGAAAAAAATCCTGCAAACATAACACTGAGAGAATTGCTGAGCTCACAAGAAAGCAAATGGAATCTCTAAGGAAAAATAAATACTTTTTTAAAAAAAGAACTACATAAATAAATGATGGTGACTTGAAACAAGAAGGAATTGTAGACAAAAGAAATGATAACCCTAGGGTAAAATGGCACCAGTGCTGGGATCCACAGAAAAAATTGTATAGATTCTACTGTGTTAAAGAACTGTATTTGAGACAGAAAATTTAAGCTGGTGTGCTTAAATAAAATAAAAATAGTGTCAGATCAATGTCACACCCTACAGAACCAAGAGCAAAACTTCTCTGGAGTAAGGTACAGCGTTTCACTGAATAATTTCAATAAAATATACCTTTCAACCCCAAATCATCAGACAAGTAAGCAAGTCACCAGTCTTAAGAGGTAAAATAATAATAAATACAGACTCCAAGGGCTTCATAAATTGATATTATTAGAATAAATTATGAATTAATTATTTATAAAATGTTCACAGATATAAAATCGAAAATAAAAAATCAACAAATATTATATATATTCAACATTGTCCTACAGTTATAATTCATAGACAAGAACATAGGCAAGTAAAATAATAAAATCATTAATAAAATAATTTAGCGAAGTGGCTAGATGTAAGTTCAACTACAGAATGCATTGCATGTTAATATACTTGTAACAATGTAAACTAAAATATTAATATCATTTACAACATAAATTTAAAGAGTCTGAAATCTAGGAATGCATTTACCATAAGATGTAGATGACCTTTATAGAGGAATTCTAAAATTTGATAAAAATTCATTAGAGGAGACATAATACATACAGATATACCACAGTTATAAGAAAAGCAATACTGAAATATGTCTATATTTCTCAAATTGTGTTAACTGTTCCAAAATAGCAAAAGAAAAAAAAAAGAGCTACAATATACTTGGCAAGCTATTTCTAATATATGTGTAAGAACAAAGTCCCACCAGTAGCCAAGATATTTCTGAAGGAAAGATATAGTAAGACATAGCGATTACGGCAACTTATTTGTGCTGTGATAGTCAAATTGATAAATGCACAAACTCACCAATGGAATGAAATAAAAGGACCAGAAACAAACCCATACAGAGATGTAAGATAATATTGTACATAACTGGCAAAAGAAAAAGTTTAACTCTGAAAAATTGGTGGATATAACATTTATAACACTTTGTTGTTGTTTTTGGAATTTAAAAAATCTTTACCTGGCAGGGCGCGGTGGCTCACGCCTGTAATCCCAGCACTTTGGGAGGCCGAGGCAGGTGTATCACGAGGTCAGGAGATAGAGACCATCCTGGCTAACACGGTGAAACCCCGTCTCTACTAAAAATACAAAAAATTAGCCGGGCACGGTGGCATGTGCCTGTAGTCCCAGCTACTCAGGAGGCTGAGGCAGGAGAATGGTGTGAACCCGGGAGGCGGAGCTTGCACTGAGCCAAGATTGCGCCATTGCACTCCAGCCTGGGCAACAAGAGCGAAACTCCATCTAAAAAAAAAAAAAAAAAAAAACACCAAAAAAACTTTACCTTACACCATACTTATTTTTAGGTATATTAAAAACTTAAATGTAAACATCAAAAATCAGAGACTCTTGGTAGAAGATATAGAAATATAGCCTTATGACATCAGATTATGAAAAAGTTCTTGCTTTCGATACAAAATCCACAAAAAATAACAGAAACGGTATAATGAACCATATTAAAAATTAGCAAATTGTATTTATCAAAAGATCAACCGTAAAAAAGCAGAGGAAAGCCAAAACTGGCAGAAAACGGCTCCAACTCACGTAACTTACAGGGAATTTGTGTCTATAATATAAAATAATTTTAAATTATTCTAGCCAAAGAAATGCACAGATATATTTTTAGAGAAGAGAAAAAATAAAAGTGGGCAATACACATACAGAAAGACACCATGTTTTAAACCAAAATATTGACAAAAATTTTATCTGAAACTATCACGAATGTATGAGTGTGGAGCAACAAGAATCCTTCACCACTACTGGATTCAGTAGTTAGAATATCAGTGGGAAACCATTTGACAGTCTTCTAGAAATCCATATATGGGTATAAATATTACTCATTAGTTCTTCTCTTATAAATATGATTCTCTAACCTATCACACAAGAGAGGCACACGAGACTATTCATTCTGTAATGTGGTAACTGCAACATAACAACAGAAAAACGTGAAAATGATTCAAGCAAGATAATAGATAAATATTGTATATTTAATCAATAAATGTTATAGAGCAGAAAAAGAGGTACAAACTGAAATAACTCACAAATATAACAATAAATGTTAAAAACATAACATTTAATGGAAAAAAAACCCACAGATGGTATAAAATCAACAGGTTTAATCCCATTATATAAAGGTCTGTTACTGGTGAGAGGCCTCCATAGTCTCTATTTAATTGAATTCAGAAAACAATTGTAAAGCATGGGCTCTGGGTAGAGCTTAACTCTTGTTTCTTAAGCACACTGGGTTTGATCCTCTGTCAGTGGTCTGCTGAGACCCGGTCAGCACAGATTTTCTGACAAATAATTTCCCTTAAAGATGAAGCCCAAAATAGCTTGTGTAGCACGGACAGGACTGAAGCGGCATTCTGATAATGATCTCCTACGGTTAGCGAAAATAAGTTTTGAGGTAAAGCGGACACATTTATTTTCAAGGCGGGAGACTATTTTTCAATCACGTTGTCCAATTTCATTTTCATTAATGCTATTAGAACAAAACAATTTGTGACAAGAAATGAAAAGTAAATAAACCACATTAAGAAGATTCCAGTGTTATTGAACTCTTGGGCTTTTTCTGATTTAGGGTTTAAGTGTTCCTAGCTAATAAACATTCTATTTAGAAAAAATAAAATTAGAAAAGTCTATAGCAAGAAATTCTGCATTTAGATTTTTCATAAATTTATGTTTAGAGGCAGTCTTTCCCTCAGACTTATTTCAGTAGATTTTAATGGCTCTGTGCTCCCACTGGCTAATCATGGCAAATTTTAACTCATGTCTATCTGGAGAAACAGAACTTACATTCCCATTGAGGAATTATGTAAACCATCCAAGGTGATAAGACAACCCAAAAATGCTTGTTTCAAACTCTGTTTTTGCTTTGCTGTCCTTCCTTTTGTTTTGTTTCAAATAGTGGGCAATTGCTTCAACTTTCCTGCATAGATATAGCCTTAGATAACAGGCTCCCAGAAATGCTGAGCAATTCTGAAATACAGATACAACAGAACAATGAGAAGTATATTTTTCCTCTGACACAGGTAGCTATTGTGCTGAAAGGCATTTTTTTTCTGATATCTATATCTTACTAATGTTTATCCATTGTTAGCAGAGGCTGTGGGATTTGGAAATTATTATTAAGGTTTCTAAAAGTCTAAATCAAAATGCCACAGTTCTCAATGGCTTATGGTGAAGCATCTGAAAGTGAAAACAAGAAATACTTTCCCAGCCTCTGAGAAGATTCCACATATCATCAGAGCCAATTTGAAAAGGTATAATTATCCAACTCTCACACTCCGTGTTTAATTATACAATTCTAAAGAAGATTTCATATTGAATCACTGTATTCTTAACTCATAAATTTCTTTCAGGTCTTTACATTCTTTCTGTGAATCTTTTAAAAAGTGATCCGGCCAGGCGCGGTGGCTCACGCGTGTAATCCCAGCACTTTGGGAGGCCCAGGCGGGTGGATCACAAGGTCAGGAGATCCAGACCATCCTGGCTAACAGGGTGAAACTCAGTCTCTACTGAAAATACAAAAAAAAATTAGCCGGGCGTGGTGGGGGGGGGCCTGTAGTCCCAGCTGCTCCGGAGGCTGAGGCAGGAGAATGGCGTGAACCCGGGAGGCGGAGCTTGCAGTGAGCAGAGATCGCGCCACTGCACTCCAGCCTGGGCGACAGAGCAAGACTCCGTCTCAAAAAAAAAAAGGGGGGGGGGGTTTCATTTGGCTTTCAGTGGCACATGGAATCCTGCTAAGCTACAGTGCTTAAACTTACTTTGACTCCCTCCTATCACTCTTATTCCTGCTTCTGAT
The DNA here is from genome assembly GCF_000001405.40 of Homo sapiens. Classification (NCBI taxonomy): domain Eukaryota; kingdom Metazoa; phylum Chordata; class Mammalia; order Primates; family Hominidae; genus Homo; species Homo sapiens. The sequence continues at coordinate 39,996,933 of NC_000018.10, read as the reverse complement.
TCATACACCATTAGTCATGCTCTCCTCACAATCCTGACTGATGTCTCTTCATCTTTCAAATCAAATTTATCTTCAAAGTCAGATTGAGGTCCACCTTCTCCATGTTATCTCCCTTACTTTTCTGCCCTAGGCCCCTCTCTCTTCGCCAATGGTATTGACTTCACATTGTTGGATCACTGCTTGATATGTTTGTACCTGATCTCTAATTAAAACAGAACCCCTCAAAAATAGGTATTAATTGAATACTTTGCTCTGTGGCCCCATACAGACCTAATGTAGGTAGAATTACATGTTGGAACATACCCATCTTAGGAAATGAATTGAATAAACATGAATGAAAAATAATAATTAGGAGCACCAGAACGATGCTCCTAATTCTTACATATGTAATAGTATTTTCTTACCAGTTGATATCTTGGGTGATTTTTGAATGGATTTTTTCACCCCAGGATCAAAGTCCCTAGAGAAATTCATTGCCAGTGAATAACAAAATAAGAAAAGATTTACACTGAATAGAAAATATCATTTAGCTCCAATGTCCGAACATTATATGAGATTTAGAAGACGCTAGTTTGTCCCTTCATTTCTCTGATACTAACTTGATAGGACCTTTTATTGGATGCCAGTTATTAGTGCCTTTCTGATGATCTCCATCTCCTCAATATGTAGCCTCTCATCTTTCAACCTTGAGTGCAGCTGAAAGCCAAAGCGAGGCTCAAGATCTTGAAAGCTATCAGTAGTTGATTTCTAATATCATGATCATAGAGGGCTTACTCAGAGTCCCTTTCATCTTATGCTCTTTCAAATGCATTAGAAACCAATTACTAAACAGGACAGCCATCATGCATTACTTTCCAATCTTTTTTTCTTTCTTTTTCCTACCTCTCATCTTCTTGGTGCTCCTAATTATTATTATTTTTCTTTCTCTGTATTACTTCCCTCTCATTATGTTGAAAATATGAAATAAAAATAATTGGAGAAAAAAGACTTGTAATTATATTAATGGACAATGATGAGTAGATGAACCATAAGTAATAGGGTCCCTGTTCTCTGTTCTCTGGAATCATTATCTATACAACTCCTATATACAGTTAACTTACTCTATCAGTCTCAGGTTCTTCTGTAATAGTAATCAAATTTCATAATCTCTGCTGTCACATCTTCTCTAATGCACTATGAGTCTAAGTTACCTCTTTGTTCTAGGATAGGTCTTAAAGAAGGGTTTGCCCTTAAGAACATCTGAGAATTAGGTAAAATTTATTTTTAAAGACATCTCCCCTGGCTTTTGTTCTGAGATCATTGTCATAGAAACAATGCCTGCCTGCTATTTAATCCTGCCCAAGGATCAATCTGTTAGCACCAAAGCAGGACTTACTGTCTCTGAGCAGCTTCCATTTTTCCATCTTGAGTAGTTGTCAAATATTGCCATATTTTATTTATTGATATGAGGAAAGTTCTAAGAACTTGCTAACTTAAAAAATCTAATGTATAATAAAGGAATAAAATGCAAATTTCCATAAAAGAAGTTATAATAAAAATATTACCAATCAGGCAGAAATGAAGTCTGCAAATAACAAATATTTCCCTAAGAGCCTAGTTCCATCTGGTAAATTTTCAAATAGTACGTCAGATCAGTGGGGGAGATAGTGTTGCTTACAAGTTTCTTCCTCTTAGGTCACTGACCTCTTCCCCAAAAGATCAAATCACAAGGGAACATTTCTACTGTATTCATTGCCTAAAGTGTGTTAGAATCTTTAATGCATGCAGGGAAGACAGTAGAACATGGGTGCCCTCAGAAGCCTGAGAACCTCTGAAAGGAGATGTTGGAGTCGACTTTCCCCAGTACAGAGATGTGTTTTATCAGAGATATTTGCACAGTAGTTAAGAGTATGAGCTTTGTAGATGGATCTGAGTACATAAAAAGGCAGCAATGGTTCAAGGGGTGGCTCAGGACTTTTTAAAATTCCCAAATCATTATCAGTTCTTTTCAGTTCCCAAATAAACATACACGCTAAGTAAAATTAGTATAATTGTGATTCAAATGCAGATTTAAGACACATGCACAAGTACAGCAGTCTAACCGAACTATCTCTGTCCTATACAAAATCATGAAGTCACTATGAAACCTACATCTTTATTAGCCCCAATGACCCATCCATATCCTTGGAGTCTTGCCACTTCAGTGCCTGCAGGCTGATTGCCAGCTTCTAGAATCTATGGCATTTGCCTGAGGGCTTTCTCTGAAGCTTAGGGAAATTACTCTGGCTATGGGTTATGGGGAAATGCCACTCCTCTCAGTATTCCTCAATTAATGACTGAGCAGAATTGATGTATATATTGCAGTTCCCTCCCCTTAGATTGGGATATGTTTGAGACATGTAGTCCGCTGTTTCCAAGAATTTCCACTTAAGATAAAGCTCCAATAATCCATAGTCATTGCCTACTTAAGGATGCACCTAATACTGGCCACTTTCTCTCAACTTCTCAGTTCCCTTCTTTCTACTGCTGCTTCCTGCACTTCCCAATCAACTACTTTTACTTAAATCTTTGACTAGGGTCTCTTTCTGTGGGAAGCCAAAGTAAGACATCCTGGATTTGCCATTTATTGAAAGTGAGCTCTAGGGATGATTAGTTATACTTTTTTTTGCCTCCATTTCCTTATCTTTAAAATAGGAGTAACAATAATACCTGCCTCATGGATTTTTGATGAGGATTTAGTAAAATAGCACTTCTAAATCACTTAACACAATGAATGGCAAATACATGGTAAGAGCTTAGTGAATATCAGCTTGATAGTAATTATTATTGTATCTCTCTCATGATTAGAAGTGGGGTACAGCAAATTTACTAAGAGCGTGCAGAAGTACATTTAAAATATATACATGCTAATATAAACCACCACTATCCTGTTTACAATAACAGGTTTTGTAGGGCTTAAATATTATACATACTCACAGTCCAATGGACTTCTTTGAGATAAGAATTTTTCTACATGCACCCAACTGCGCTGCTTATGGTATCAGTGGGTAGTCTACTTCATCAAGGCTGCCTAGGAAGCAAGAAGTACTTTAATGTACCCTAAACTTTAAGATGCAAAGTTCCGTATGCTTCTGCAGAAGAGTGGAATTGTCATTCCGGTATTGTCAAAAATGAACAAAAAGTATTGACAGGTCCATAAGCAACTTTGTGCATTTGGGGAGTTTACTGTCCCAGATTCATGGGTCAGAATATGTTCAAATTGATGACACTTTCTGGAATTCAGGAGAACAAAGGAAGAATCTCACTTCTGATAAGTTTATTTTGTCTCCCAGTCTACTGTAAAATCATGCTCAACCTAATGAAATAGAGCAGCCATGGAAACAATACTGCATTTTTTAATTTTGTAGAAACTGAGAACTTTGAGCCAGTGTGGATCATCCAAGATATGTGTGTATGTGTACACCTGTGAAAATTTCATAATTTACTTACAAAAATTAACCGGATCATTCAAACCTTCACTATAAACATACTTTTGCCTGAAATATTGTTTATTATTGTTGCGATTGTTGTTATAATTTGTTTGAATTATCAAAATAATAGATAACATTTTACAGAACAGTCTTCTTGTGGAGATGTGCCTATTTAAAATGTCCAGTCAGAGAATATTTATATCTGCATGCAATTAAATTTATGTGTTGGTAGATGGCACATTCTCTTGAGGAAACTCGATGGTGGCAAATTATTTTTTTGAATATAGATTTCCTTTAAAAATCATGAACACTTATGAAAAAACAAGTTTTTTAAGGCTAAAGTAGGATATCATTTTGAATCAAATGTTAATGTAGTTGGTCAGTTTTCTTGTCAATATGATTTAAAGTTTTTTTAAATGAAAGAAAATATTGTATGATGTGTATATTTATTTATGCATTTATGTATTTATACAGATGGCATCTTTCTCTTTTGTTCAGGCTCGCCTCCAACTCCTGGCCTCAAGTGATCCTCCTGCCTCAGCCTCCCAAAGTGCTGGAATTACAGATGTGAGCCATTGCATCTGGTCTGAAATTTAAAGATTTGTAGTTAAAATTAAAAATTAAAGATTTTTAAAATATTAAAAATGAAGATTTAAAACTTTCGTTTGTTATAAATGAAAATTATTCTAAATTGTATTCTAGAGGGCAGCACTAATTCATATTGATATATCTGATGTTTTTACCATCACCACCTCATATTTCATTATCTTATTATTTTATTATGACTCATAGTTGAGAGTACTGGCCCATTATGCTAAAATGTGAAATATTAGGGTACTGGTTCATACACAGAGACAAATGTAATTCCTGTGAAGCTTGATACAATATAAAGTGTGTGTGTGTGTGTGTGTGTGTGTGTGTGTGTATTGACAGAAATGGATAGAGAGAAATCAGATGATTTGGGTTTATGCCAATATGTATACACTTATACAAACAAAAATATTATAATTGAGTGATGATGATATGCTGCTGATAGCTCATCTATATAGGCATATGCAAAATCCAAGACAGAAATGAGGTCAGCTTCCAATCTGAAGTGCACTTTCACCTGATATAGTCAGGTCAATCGCTGGAAGCAAAGGGAGTGATCTCATTTGAAAAGTGTAAATAATAGTGTGGATTCTCCTTATTACTACAAACAGGATCTTAACCATGGTGTGTGGGATTGATAGGAATTCATTGGAATTATATGTATAAAGCATGAATGTGAGCTGGATTTCTGTATGTCTGCAAAACAGCCTGTTCTTTTCGTTTACATTGTCTTCACTATTGTGTTTTCATTTGCATGAGTTGGCTTATGCACATGTGTGTGTGTTTTATGGGGATGAGGGCAACAGAGTCGTTACAAAAGAAACACATGTGTTTGTGGGTGATTAGATGAATAATAGTTTTATTACTATCCGTTAGAGAGAGTTCTCTGCCTTGTCCCCGCAAGGTGTGAGTGGGAATTAAAGCGACTTGGCAATTACAAAGCTCCTGCTGCTGAATGTGAGAATAGGCACTGCAGTTATTGGCAGAGATATTCCCCCCCTTTCTTTCTTGAGGCTTAAGACTAGTTTGGAGGCCAGTCCTTTCTCCTCTGCACTCTACTGGCTGTTGCAGCCTGAAGCTAGCTTGTTATAAACCTACTTAGGCGGTGGGGAACTGTCACTCACCACTTCAGAATCAATGGTTGCAGATGGAAGCTTGGATGCAGTGCCTTTTCCCCCTGCAGTAACAAGCAGTTAATAGATTTTATTATAATTATTTTAACTGCACAAGCTCGGAAGGAAACTTAGAGGAGGTATGCAGGTTTGCTCATCAAAATCACACACACTTGCACACAACAAAGGGCAGTGGAATCTTTTGAAGGCATCCTTCTCAGAGCTGAGTGTAATATTAATAATGATACAAATAATAAATTCATTCTATGGGGAATTTGTTTGCATGAATCTGAAATGTTGGTTCATCAGAATTTTGCTAAAGGAAAGAAATAGTCACTGATTTGTCATCAAGGGAGTGGTGTTTTGTTGGTATACACACAAACACACACACACACACACGACTATGTCTCTATGGATATGTGCATATATATATGAACATATAGCTGAACTTTTTATTTTTCTCAGGAAAATAGAATGCTTAAATATTTTCAAAAACTGAGGGTCACATCTCAATTCAATGGAAGAAAATTCATTTATTCTGTTTCTTTTGTTAAACTTATCAGTTATACTTCCTGACCTGGAATTTGCCTTAATCCAGAGACTGTTTGATTAGGGAAGGCAAGGGTGCACTTTTGCCATCATCTCAAGTCTGTATTTACCTATGACTTCCTGCTGCAGTTTAGTAATCACACTGCATCTCTTTGGCTTTTCAATTTTTATAGTAGAGATTAAGGAAAGCTCTGAGAACAATTCATGAAAATAAGTACTGGAAATGAAAGGGTTCATAGAAGGACTAATCTAATACACACTTTTAGGGTTACTAGAAAGTCCTCTGTATTTAAAAAAATTCTTCTCAGTTGTATAACTTTAAATCCTACCAGTAATTACTTCATTTTTATAAGTTAATGCCTTTTGTTTAAGAAATGTGACATTATTCTACTATGAGCCACTGTTGTAAATACTATTCCCTTTGTCTCTTCTTTTCCTTCTCAATGTCTGCCTCCCCAGAGGGAGGCTGAAAATGCCAGAGAATGACATTCCCAGCATATCTTTCCATAGTGGTGGCCATTTGACCCAATTACAGTCAATAAGACATGGAGGCAAGTCTGTTGAAAGCTTCTGAGGAAGTTTATCTCCCTTATAAAACATAAGAAGAGAGCCCTTGCCCCATGCTTCTCTCTTTAGACTTTTTGACATGGCTACCACAGAGTTGCTGTAGAATCTGTCTAGCTGCTAAGCTTAATGACCAAGAGAAGGCATCACTCACTCATTGATTATGACAAAATGAAAACAGGAACAAGCACTTGGTAAAAATATTGGTAAGCCAGTGAAGACACTCTGGAACCATCTGTATGCCATACAATTTTTATGAAAAAACCTTTCAGAAAGCCTTTCCAGACTTTCTCAAAATTAAATGAGTTAGAAGAATAATAGAGCTATATATATTTTTTAATTTTATTGAGATATAAATATTAAAATATAATTCACCCACTTAAAGTGTACAATCCAATACTTTTTAGTTTTCTCAGAGTTGTGCAATCATCATCACAATTAATTTTGGAATATTTTCATCACCCCAAAAAGAAGCTCTAGAACCAGCAATACTCATTCCCCATTTCTTTCCCCTCTCCACCCCCTAGACCCAAGCAATCATTTATATACATTCTGTCTCTATTCTTGACATTTTAAAACAATTTCCCCTATCTAACTATAATTATATATTCTTTGACCAACCTCTCCCTATCCTCCTCTCCCCTAGCCAGCCAAGCCTCTGGTAAGCACCATTCTACACTCTACTTCTATGAGATTAACTTCTTTAGAATCCACATACAAGTGAGATCATGTGATATTTTTATTTCTGTACCTGGCTCCTTTTACTTAAAATGTCTTTCTGGTTGATTGATGTTGTCACAAATGACAAGAGAATTGGAGGAAATATTGCAAATTTTATATCAAAAAGACATTAATTTCCCAAATATATGTGGAACACTGACAACTCAAGAAAACAAATCACCCTATTAAAAAATAGGCAAAAGACCTGAATAGGCATTTCTCAAAAGACATACAAAGGACCAATAAGTATATGAAAAAAATGCTCTGCATCACTATCCATCAGGGAAATCACATGAAAACCACAATGAGATCACACCTTACACTTGTTAGAATGACTATTATCAAAAAGACAAAAGAGAGTGTTGACAAGCAAGTAGAGAAAAGGGAGCTCTTAAATACTGTTGGTGGGAACACAAATTAGGACAGCCATTATAGAAAGTAGTATGGAGCTTCTTCAAAATACTAAAAAATAGAACTACCATATTATCCAGCAATCCCACTACTGCGTATATGACCAAAGGAAGTGAAATCAGTATGTCAAAGAGATATCTGTACTTCCATTTATTTTTGCAGCTCTATTCACAATAGCCAAGAGTTGGAATCAACCTCAATGTCAATTGCCAAATGATAAAGAAAATGTGGTACATACAAAAAAAGAACTATAAGTTTCAATAGATATCAGGCAAAAATATAATAGTACAAATGCAATAACAATGTTATTCAGTTCAAAAATTTAATTTATACAAAGTAAATTACCCTGTATATTAAATAAAAGTTTTGTTGGGCTTTTCTTTTTAAAAAATAATATTCCATTCTCTCACTTTTACTTTTCCTGGACCAAATGTGATGCAAGCTATTTCATAATTAACGTGTTTGAAAAATACTGGGAAAGATAAATTAAATTGGGTAACAGCAAACTTAGCATTTATTATCATCAGTTTATTGTATATTAACTCTATCATGTGGTTCGCAAGCCCCTGCATTCCTTTTGTGTTTGAGAAAGAGAAAACAGTGTTGACTGAAGGACCCAACTATGATTTGGTTGAGGAATATAAGGTGACTCTTTTCCCTTTCCTTACCCAACCTGACAACTCAATTACTTTATTTCTGCCAGTGGAAAAAGAGCCAGGTTGTGGACAGATCAAGATACTAATATGATTGGGAGGTAAATTTTCTCTTAGTAACATTTATTTTTGTTCTCTTTTTTTTTTGAGAAAATATAGTCATTATAATAAAAATCAAAGGTATTACTTTTCAAATCCCAATAGATATGTTTTACTAGAAGCATGAATTTGATTTTGAAAATGTAGTTCTGACTCTATAATAAATTACATTAAATAATACATTTAACTTTTATAATATATTACTAAAAGAAGTTTTACAGAATTTCTTTCTTGACAACAGAGCCCTGCAAAAATGTGATAGGATTTGAGCCTCGGACTGTATTTGATGAGATCTTTGGGTTTTGTTTTTTTGTTTTCTTTGAGACGGCGTCTTGCTCCGTGGCCCAGGCTGGAGTGCGATGGCACAATCTCGGCTCACTGCAACCTCCACCTCCCAGATTCAAGTTATTCTCCCACCTCAGCCTCCTGAGTAGCTAGGATTACAGGTGCCCGCCACGCCTGTAATTTTTGTATTTTTAATAGAGATGGGATTTCACCATGTTGGCCAGGCTGGTCTCGAACTCCTGACTTCAGGTGGTCCACCTAGCTCAGCCTCCCAAAGTGCTGGGATTACAGGCATGAGCCACTGCACACGGCCTGTATTTGATGAGATCTCAAATCCACCTTTGAGAGGTTTCCGATCAGACTTCCTCTCACTCAGCTGACAGAGTGGAATGAGAGGTAAAAGTGGGAGAAGGAGCACAGGCATCTGCTCTCTGATTTATCCCCAATAGCGGCAGGCTCTTATGCTTATAGCACCAGATTTCATACAGTTATTCACATCTTACCTACCCTCAAATATAGACTACAAAATTTAGTCAATGGAAAATGTTTCTTCTATTTCCTGAGATGCCAGTAAGTTTATTTATTTCTTGAGACCTTGATAAGTTCCAAGATAATTTGTCACTCACATGCAAGCTTACTCACTCACTTTCTCATTTATTAATTCACTAAATTATTCATTTGACAGATATTTATTGATGACCTACTGTGAGTGTCATAATCTGAAGTAGACAATTATGATTCAGACACAGTCCTTGTTGTCAAAAATTTATCAGTGTCTTTATTGTCAAAGAGCTTATCAATGCTCTTGTCATCAAAGAGAAAAAGGAAAAGCTGACATCTGAAAATATGATAATAACCTGAGAGTTATATAGCTTAAGGGACAAGTAAAAAGGACCTGGAGAATTATACAGGACCAGGTTTTGCTAGTTTTCTTTGTAGTCATTTTCTTGCAGATTTAGACAATTCTCCCAAGGTAAAGCTGAAGAGCTCTGGATAACATAAAAAATAAGAGTACAGAAAGCTACTGATGGATTTCTTTACACCAGTGTTTATCAAACATTAGTGTGCATCAGAATCCCCAGTTTATGCACAGACTGTGATACTATCCAATCTTTCTCATCCCCATAATTTCTGATCCAGTAGGTACAGGATGGGGCCCAAGAATTGAATTTATTAAAAAAAAAAAATCCCCATATGCTGCTGGTGCTGGTGTAGGGACTGCCTTTTGAGATGCATGCTATCACTTGCTGTGGTTCTTCTGATGATTGGGGTATTACAGACACATGGGTATATGTGCAGGGGAATGGGGCCTGTAGAAAAGACTTCTTTTCAGGCTACTCTATCCAGGATGGGCTTTTACACTCCTCTTGTTCCTAGTAAACTTTCCAGAAGCTAGGTTGGGTTCCTAGTGACCCAGCAAGAAAGTGAAATGGGGAAGAAAATTGTTAAAGAGATTAATTGGCTGCTGGTTCCCCTAAAAAGACGGCCATCCAAACATATCAAAAATATGTATACTTCAGAAGTGGTGTCATTAACACACACTGAACTATCAAAAGTCTCATATTACTATGCCCTCAGATGGGTGCATATTCGTACTTAAGCTACTTCGTTGCAATGTAGAAGAAACAGAAAATGGATTATATGTTTCCATCACTTCAGTATCTTCACCTCTCCAATGCACTGCTCTTTTATAAAACCTGTCCCATTTCATGTGAATTCCTTATTACCCGCATAAAGACAGGATTGTTTTTTAGTTGTTAATGAATCCATTTGTTTTCAGTTTCTTTATCTGTAAGGTGGGGATAAAAATAGAATCCACCCCAAAGAATCCTTCTGAAGACTAAAAATCCTTACACATGTAAAGCATTTAGAATAAAAGGTACATAATAATCTCTGAATAAATGCTAGCTATAGTCATATATTTAGCTTTTTTAAAAAAATGTAAAACTTTAAACATAAAGTTGAAGTAATTTTACAGCAAATCCCTTATATCAACTATCTAGATTATTGATGTATTTCAAAGCAAATTTCATACATCAATAGAATTCCCTAAATATTTCACCATGTTAATGATTAAGTATAGCTCAATATTTTTATGGATTTTTCCTTTTGAGTTAAAATTTACATTTAAAGAAATCTTAAATGTACAGTAATTGAATTTTGATGAATGTGTATATCTCTGTAACCCAAGCCTCTATCAAAACATAGAAAATCACTTGAACCCCAGAAAGTTTCCCCATGCCTGTTCCTGTCAGTCCCTGCCTTTATTCCCATCCCAATCATCACCCCCATGAGTTATGACTATTCCACATCTTTGCCAACATTTGCTGCTATTTCTTTAATGTTGGCACATAGGTACTGGTGTCTTGGTATGGTTTTAATTTTAATTTCCCTGGTAACTAATTATATTGTGCTTATTTCCAATTCATATATCTTCTTTAGTGAAGGTTCTCTTTAAGTAATTTGCCATTTAACACATTAGTTTGTCTGTTTTTTATTTTTAGTTGTAGAAATTTTTACCTATTCCTGATATCATTAGCATGTCAGATGTCTGACTCGTGTGTATTTTACTACCAATTGTAGCTTTCTGATTTATATTCTTAACAGTGTCTTTAGATGAGCAGAACATTTAAATTTTAATGAATTTGAACCTATTACTGAGTTTTCTACTATGGTTCTTTTATCTAATTGCCAGTTCTTCTACAATACCACCCTGTCTTGATTTGATGCTGCGGCTTTACATAAAGTCTGGGAAGCAGGCAATGTAAATTCTCCTACTTTTTTGTTTTTCAAGATTGCTTTGGAAATTCTAGGTTTCTTGCATTTCCATGTCAATTTTAGAATAACTTGCCAACTTCTAAGAGCTATTTAATTGGAATTGTGTTAAGATTGTGATAACTCCATTTAATTTTGGACAGAATTGACATTTGAGAAATATTGAATCTTCTAATCCTTGAACACAGTGTATCTCTCCATTTATTCAGGCCTTCTTTAATTTGTTTTAGCAATACACTATGTTTATCAGTATAGAGGCCTTGTACATCTTTTGTTAAATTTAAACATGTTTGATGTATTTTGATGTTCTTATAAATCAGATCATTTTGCAAGTTTATTTTTTATGTTTTTGTTGCCAAGATAAATATCTTCATCTTTATTTTTGCATATTAAGCTTATTTCCTATAACCATGGTACATTTATAGGTTAGTTGTAATGATTCTTTTATACATCTCTTTGAATTGCCTATATCAATAACCATGTCATTAATAAATAGTTTTAATTCTTCCTTTCAAAACTTTGTGTCTTTTTTATATTTTTCTTGTAATGCAATGCTTAATACTTTCAGTGCAATAAAGACTAGAGGTAGTAAGAAACCTCTCCTCATCCTTGCCTTATTCCAGATCTTAGGAGAAAAGCATTTACTATTCCACCATTAGTATGATATTGCTATAGATTTTTCTTAGATAATTTTCATCAGGTAGAGGAAGTTACATTTCACTCCTAGTTCACTTAGAGTTTTTATCATGACATGGTGTTAAATTTTATCAAATTTTGATAATTAAATGCAATCTTTAAATTGATTTACATATACAAAGTTTTTTCATCTTGAATTGACTTTCATCATTTTTTGAGAAATATTTCTGTTTATCAAAGTTGTTGGTTTTCTTGGTGGAAAGTTGTTCTTGATGATTCCTTATTATCCTTCGTGACCTGTAGTTTACATACATATGCTCTTGCTCTCATTACTGATAGTGGCAATTTGTGTTCTTTCTTTTTTTCATTTTATTATTGAATTTTATTAATATTTTTAAAGAATCAACTGTTGCTTTATTAAGTGCCCATATATTTGGGGCTTTTTTATTTCATGGACTTCTTATATATTTATTATTTTCTTCCATTTGCTCAATTAAGGATTGCTTAGCTCTTTGTTTTCTAGCTTCTTAAGTTGAAACTTTAGGGTGTTGAATGTAGACATGTTTTTATTTTGCTAATCTAAGCATTTAAAGCAAAGCCCTAGATAACCTGCAACCCACACATGTTGCTATTTTGTGTTTTTTTATAATTCAGTTGGAAATATTGTCACCATTTTCTCTTTTATTCTTATTTATTTAGGTATTTATTTATTTTTTTAGACAGTCTTACTCTGTCCCCCAGGCTGGAGTGCAGTGGCTCAATCTCGGCTCACTGCAAGCTCTGCCGCCCGAGTTCACACCATTCTCCTGCCTCAGCCTCCCAATTAGCTGGGACTACAGGCTCCCGCCACCACACCCGGCTAATTTTTTGTATTTTTAGTAGAGACAGGGTTTCACCCTGTTAGCCAGGATGGTCTTGATCTCCTGACCTCGTGATCCCCCCGCCTCAGCCTCTCAAAGTGCTGGGATTACAGGCGTGAGCCACTGCACCCAGTTCTTTTTTTAAAACTCATGTATTATTTAGTAGTTTATTTTTAATTTTTTAATACATACCATTTTTGTAGATACAGTAAACAATTACTTTTTTATTTAACTTCATTCAGGTCAGAAAATATATCCTGTAGGAAATATATATATTAAATTTAGTGAAATCTTTGGAGTTTTTTTGTCTAGCATATGGCCTTTGTTGGTATATATATCATCTGCCCTAAACTTATCGTTACAAATTACGTCAGGAGTTTGATAGTATTGTTCAGGTCATCTAGTTGTTTACTGATTTTTTGGTTTTGTTGTTTCATCAGTTCCTAAGAGAGAGTTGCTACAAAACTGATTATTTCTCTCCAGAATTCCATCCATTTTTGCTTCATGAATTTTGAAGCTCTATTATTAGGTTCATATGTATTTATGATTATAATTTCTTTTCTATGAATTGACACTTTTATTATTACAGTTGAATTTAAATTGAAAACTATCTTTTGGATGGCATTCAAACCTCAATTCCATGCTTTTATGTTTAACAAGAAGAGACATGGAGTCAGATTAACATATGTGTGGTTCAGAGGTAAGATAGAGATTCAGGAATGGTTCATTTATAGAATTTAGATCTCTCCCGCTCTGACTATCTCCTTTCTCATACTCCCTACTTTCTCTTTCCAGTGGCTGTAGTTGCCACAAACTCTATCTTCTGGTTCTTCAGGCCAGTAAAATTGTGAGTGTGCTATCAGAGTTTTAGCTTTACTACACAGTGCAGACTGGGGCAGTCCCCAGGATAGAATTCTGGAAAAATGAGACTCTTACCCAGTATACTTTCAAATGTATTTTTTTTCAGTCTTGACTTCCTTCTAGCATCTGCTGGTTTTTCATCTCCATTCAGTGTCTTCAAATAAGTATTTCTTTGCCTCCAGAATTTATAGCTATCACCTGTGGAAAGGCTGTTCTGATAGGTGCTTATTTATGTATTCCTGAAAATGAAACTCTTAGTTTGGTTTTAAAATAATAATCATTTTCAGAAATTATTTCCCCACCCTCCCCCAACAGCCTTCTTCTCTCCCCCTCCTTCTCTTCCTTCTTCCATTTTTAGTCTTTTCCATTTTTAGTCTTCTTCCTTCTTCCATTTCTCAGTCTTGCCAAAGACTGAGATTTTATACCTTTCTGCCTTGCCTTTTGTACTCACAGATTTTAAGAAATGTAGTTCCTGGCGGGGTGCGGTGGCTCACACCTGTAATCCCAGCACTTTGGGAGGCCGAGGTGGGTGGATCACCTGAGGTCAGGAGTTCAAGACCAGCCTGGCCAACATAATGAAACCCCGTCTCTACTAAAAATATGAAAAATTAGCTAGGCATGGTGGCAGATGCCTGTAATCCCAGCTACTCAGGAGGCTGAGGCAGGAAAATCACTTGAACCTGGGAGGTGGAGGTTGCAGTGAGCCGAGATTGTGCCACTGCACTCCAGCCTGGGCAACAAGAGCAAAACTCCATCTCAAAACAACAACAACAACAAACAGAAAAAGAAAAAAAGAAAAGAAAAGAAAGAAATGTAGTTTCCACTCTTTTTCCTATTAAAGATAGCTGTCAAGCTTGCAGTTCTTATTTAAAGAGCTAGGGGAAAAGAGGATCACCATGATAATCTAGAGTTCCTTAGTTCATGAAGGAAGTAATTCATACTCATAGAAGAAAATAACACAAGGGACAATATTTAAATAAATAGGTAAAATTAGAGTTCTGGGTAATAAGTCTATGTTTAAATTAAGACAAGAGGAAGACCTGTAGGAAGCCAACTCAGATGTCTGGAAGTGAATCAAGTTCACTGTGTTTCAATACAAGGCAGCAACTCCAGTGGAAATCTTTGAGGTATGTAGAAAATAGGGGCAGGAGCCAGTGTAGCAAAAGCTACAGAAGCCAAGAATAACCCAGTGTTCCAGATCAAAGCAGATTCCAGGTTTTAGGAAGCAGGACTAATCCAGTTCACCCATTATTTGTTATCGTGTTTTCTAACATCCCCTCTGAAAACTTCAGGTCTGTTACAAGGCAGGGAAGCCTGAGCCTCCTGTAATGTACATCAAAAACTACATACTAGCAGGGACAGGGAGTCAAAGACTTGCATGGAAAAAGCAGAATTCTTCTGCTTAAAACTACTGTATAGAACAACCATATAAACCAACTTTTTAATTTCACCAAATATCGCTGTTCTTCATATATTCATTGAAGGAGTAAATGAAAAATTGAAAGATCAAGCCAAGGCTAACCATAAACCACAAATGGAACAGGGCAAGTTTATTTTTCTGTTTGATGAGCCAATGAACTATTATAACTTATCTTAATATTCCACATCCAAATTCAGTCACCTTAGAATGGCAGACACTTGAATATCTCCACTAAATCATATTTTCAGAAGAATGGAAACTTGAATTTCATAGTCACTTCCACAGAAATCATTCTTGATGTCATTAGACATCTCTTTGGAAGCCAGAAAACTTAAATGGCAGAAAAGTCATTAAACAACAATAAAATAACCAAAGTCTATGTTGTTAAAATTTTTTTTCAAGAAATATATTTACTGTAACTTATATTTAGATGAAGTTTGCAGCAGCAGATGGCAAGAATTTCAGGCAATTTGTAAGACGTGTCAGACATTTTAGCCAATGAGATAATAAAATGCAATAGCGCCTGTCTTTTTCCTTATATTTCTTGATAACCATATAAAAATAAAAATGTAAACCCAAGATTTCCCATATTTAAAAAAAAGAAAAGCAATTCTTGCATTCTGATGGAAAAAGTCCAAAAGATTTCCAAAGAGAACATTTAAGCAGATAGGATTCAACTCTCTAAGGAAACAGTTAACAACCAGGTAGAATAATTGTCATTTCACCTATATATTTTTATTCTAAAATTATAACTTATAATTATGAAAATGCATGTGATATTGAACATGGATACCTACCTATCTTTGAGTTTATCTCCATAACTGATTGTCTATAATGTCTTCTAAGATTCAGTTACTTTTCATAAAATAACAAAAAAAATTGTCTACATATTGTTAAAAAATTAAACTCAATATGTGTGAAAATTTATGTGAGATATATATGAGAATTTTACAGTAATTTATGTCTTTGTTATTATAATGAATTATAAAAATTATATCATAGGACCTAAGGGAACATTAATACATATTTTCAGAATTTTAATAATTTTTAAAAAATCATTAGAATGATTAGAGTACTGAACATTCCAAAAATAAAGAAAGAAAGAAAATAAGAAATAACCAGAGTATACTAACAAATTTATCTAAACTAGTGTTCTTTTATTCATATAATTACCAAGCTGTTGATAAAGTGACTGTCTCAGCCTTAGAAAATCTTGGTTTTAGTAAAGATTTGTCACAATTTCTCAAAATATTTTATGCATAAGATTTTAGAAATACTGACATATATAATTTTTTAATTTAAAAGTGGTTAATAATTATTTATAGCAGCATTGATTATATAATGGGGGAAATACTAGAATATGAAATACAGTAAGAGGTCACAGCATATATACCAGAAGTATATATGCAAAGAAACAAATATGAGCCAGGAAATGGGTAAATTATTGACAATCCATTCCTATAAATGTGTTGCATCCACATCCTTACTGCCAGTTTACCATTATAACTTCATGACCTGCAAGGCTTTTAGAGGTACAGGGGTTCTACATCTGGCATAAACATCCTATGATCCAATTTGTTGGTTCCACTTACAGAAATTCTGTTTTCATAGATCTGATTAGAGGGACAGAACCCCTTGATCTGAACAGTTTGGGAGGTGATTTTGATATGCAGTTATGTCTGAGAACTAGTAAAATAGTGTATTTCTTTATTTTGCATTTTCAGAGAAGTAAAATGAGTTATCAATGGTTAAAATATAAATATAAACTAACCCAGGACTCAAACTGTCTTTTGTTTGCTGTTCAAGAAATTCCAGCAAATTATAAACTTGTTACTGATCCTCTGTTACTGGATAAAAAACATATGGATAGTCAAATTTTATCAGATCTGATTTAAGGGTATCTAAAAAGGGTCTCCAATCTTACCATCAATGATAGGCACTTTAAAAAATATGTTTTCACCTAGAAACCTCTATAATATGAAGGCTTTTGTGACATAAAGAATTCACTATTCCAAATCAAAATAAATGGGCAGTGTGTGGGACACATATTCCTCAACAGGTATTTGTTATACAGTAGCAGCTTAGTTATCAGCAGTGATGTGCTGGCAAATGTTTAACCTCTGGTTTGTCTCCTTCTACGCCAAAAACCCTCAATTGTGAGTGTGTGTATGCATGTGTATATACACATATACTTACATATTTGTGTTGTAAGTTTTAAAGTTAAAAAATATAACACAATTTTAAAATAATAACAAAACATACAATGCACATTGAAAATTTCATATAGCCAATTGATATGCTTTGTTGATTTTTGCTGATCTCTTATGGCCAAAGCTAATCTATGATTGTAATTGACTACTGAGTATAGTTTAAGCATAAATGTTAGGTTGCTATACTTGTGTGTGTTTACAAGTAACAAGAAACTAAAGCAATGAAGGCATGCCCATACTTTATTCACTTAAAAGTGACATTATTTGCTGAATTGGATAATACTTTTCAAATACTAGAAAAATATTTGCTCAGTTTTTGTGGTATTCACAGTATAACGGCCACTGAGGTAAACATTTTTAAGTTTAATCTGCATTAATAACACATTGTCTATCAGTTTCTTAAGTCAAGACAATCAACAAAACAATAAATCAAGGCTTTATTTGTAGTGTTTTCTAGTTTCCATAGATTTCAAGAGACTACATGAAACAACTGAATATGGGGTTGGGAATAGATGTGCAGTAGACATCATGATGCCATACTTCCACGCTGCAGACAGAATAAACAAAAGTATCGTCAAAAGCAAAGATAATAGTCAATATAGTAAAATATACAGGAGGACATGTGTTATCCATTTTTTTTTGGTTTTTAATATAATGCATTTAATAAGTACATGGAATTTTATTTTTAATAATAGCTTTGTTTAATAACTGGCTTTCAAAATTCCTGACAATTTAAAAAATGGGGCTCTTAAGCCAGTACACCCAGCACACCACTGGTTCAGTTAATAGTTTGCCTGAAAAGATAAAGAAAGAGGAGAACACTAATATGAAAGGTGAATGCATTAGGGGAGGAAAACTTCAATTAAAAGTTGCATACTTTAAGATAGTGCAGTGGAAGTAAATTTTTTTCAAGAGAATTTCTCTTTTAGTCCTTTTCTCTTCATATTTGGTGTTAAACTGAGATTATCACCTAATTTTAGAAAATCATATTTTCTTTCTGGAAGAGTAATTTCACAGGAATTCATGGAGTCAGAAAAAAAATGATTTGTAAGGAAGTCAGAGATAAACCTGACACAAATAATGCCTGGGAACAATGATAGGCTTGACAAATTGGCCCCCATCACCACAGCCCCTGAATTATTCTGTTTTTGAGATCATTTTCTGGCTTGAAAGTAATATATTTTCTGAAGTTTAATTACAGATGAACTTTACCAATGCCCACCACGCCCATGCTTTTTCTTCTGGGTAAAATTTGGACAAAAGTGAGCATAGCTTATGAGATAGTTTTTACTATGAGTGTTATAAAATTTCAAAATATTTTCTGTGAGTTTATAGCCTGTAAATAGAACATTAAAAAGAAGTAAATATAAAGGAAAAATATATCTTTCTAAGGTTTCCAGTCAATACCTTGTCTATGTCAGAAAATTATTTTAACCAATAATATTCATTGAGCAACTATATACATGGTTCAAGAAAATTCTCAGTGAATTTTAAATTTTCAGTTGATTAACTTCTAAATATCTAATCATGTTTAAAAGATAAGTTCCTCAAACATAGATGAACTTTGCATATAATAGCTGTGAAAAAGTTAATGACAATTTTTGTTTTTGTTTTCTGCATGAGCCATAGTTATCAAAACATTAAACCCTTCTTAATTCAAAGTTTCATAAAAAACAACCTAGGAGGTTTTCTTCAGAGATGGCTTGAAGGTGTTGGAAAATGAACTTCAGAAAACTTTTAATCAGCTCTTATTCTGGGAATAGTCCTTTGACTTTAATTGAGTCACTTCAGTTCTTTTGGAGTTCAGTTTCCTCACCTATAAGATAAAAACTGGGTCCTGGAAGTGTTTCAAGGGTCAAAGGAAACCACCTGTGACAAATTCTGGAAAAAATATGACATTGGGTAACAGCTCTTGTCATTTCCATGGCATTGCAATATTTAGTAATATTTTCATGTTTTGAGCTGAACTGTTGACGTGCTCCAATTATAGAACTATAATAAAAGTATTTATGTATTTATTCAGTAATATAATTTATAGGGATGGGGGCAGAGAAATTCAAGGCAGAAAAGAGCAGGTTTCTGATGAAACCCAACCCTCAAGCTGAAAAGCGTGAAACCACAGCCCGAAGTAAGAACTTATATCCCTGTTTTCCTGCTCAAATGCTGCTTTTTCCTAAACCACCCATGACCCCACCCCATCCCATCCTGTGCCTATGAAAACCCCAGACTCAGCCAGAAGATGGAACGACTACATCTGAACGTTGGAGAGAAGTGGCTTGACTTCAGAGGGACATCTTGATGGCATAACTTTGGAGAGGAATCTGCTGGATATGGCCAGAATTCAGGGGAAGATTATCTACCCACCCCATCCCCTTTTCAGCTCCACTTCCCACTGAGAGCCACCTTCATCAGCAATAAAATCCCCTGCATTTACCATCCTTCAATTTGTTTGTGCGACCTCATTTTTCCTGGGTGCTGGACAAGAGCTTGGGAGCCACAAGTGTGGATACAAAAAGCTGTCACACTGGCCCTTTGCTCTTGCTGGCAAAAAGCAGCCACCTCACGTGAAAAAGCAGAAGGCCAACTGAGGTGCTAACACTTAAGCCCTCTGCAGATGGCAGAGCTAAAAGAGCACTGTAATATTCCCTCTGGGGCTTTGGAGGTCACAGGCACCCCCACCTAGACACTGCCACGGGGCTCACAAATTCACTTCTGCTGGCGCCCAAAAGTGTTTGCAACAGTCCCTGCACCCGCTCACCGGCGTTCTCCCTCCCGCGAGGGGTGGAACACAGAGGGTCTGAATGAGTGGAGTTGAGTCCTGCAGGCACACTGAAACAGCCAGCCAGTTCCAATGCTCATGCACTCCAGTTCCCACCTTATTCTCTCGTGCACTCCCTCACACAAGGAGTTGAGAGCAGCAGGCTGAGTAAACAAGGTAGCCCTGTTGCGAGTCCCAAGGAGGGGTTAGGGAAATATCCTGCTTCATAATTCATACCTGTGAAGCCCTGGCTACACCAGCAACTGGAACACTGAAGTAACTTCCATCTTCCAGTGTCTCTCTTGACCATACCTGCCTGTTTCCACAACCCAAAACAAAGAGGAAATGGAAATTTTTATACATTTGTATTCTATGCATATGTAAAATGTATATGTTATATAAACAAATAAATATATGTAAAATACATATAAGTATGTTTTCTATGTCAGCCATAATTAACAGGAGTTTGAGCTGCATGTTGTCAGAAATTCTAAAGGTTTTCAGTAGATATTCCTGGGAGATGACAGAAAAGAAAAGGACATCAAATTTCCTGCACAGAAAAGCTAATCATCCACTTAGTGAAATCAACTTATTCACAAGAAACTACTAGAAGTATTTTAGGACAAGAAATTACCATACCTTAAATTAAATGATAGAAATTATATGATATGAATTATATGACTTGAAATATAGGAGTGCTATGAACCTTTACAAACAGAGAAAAAGCGTATATGTGAGTGACTAAATGCATATATACAGGGAGGAAGTGCATTTCCATATTTATTAAGTATTTTAATTTTGTATAATACTGGTAACAACTTACTGGGGGGAATTTAAATGTATGTCCTTCACTCTTTGAAATTTTAGCAGTGGATTGGAGAAAAATAAATAAATAAAGCAGAATATAGACAGAAATTCATTAAGCAGAGATAGAAACTTAATATACTTAGTTTTTATACAGTGAGGCAGTGCTCACCATGTATCTTATGAAGGGAGGTCATCTTTGGTTGAAACTGACTGAGAAGTCCTATCAGAAAAGTAAGGACTCATTTGAAGTTTGTGGCTGATAAATGTTTCTCTACTGAATAGGAAAACAGAATTCTGGGAAGGAAGAACAAGGGAGTTGAAAATTGGAAACTGAAATAAAAGTAGGCTGTCTAAATAGTAGTCATGATTAACTGAAATGACAGATCGATTGTAGATTTAAGAATTAATACTAAGTGAACAGCAGAGGGATAATGGATTTTGGAAGTTAGGCTAAGGAGTTGGCACTGAATTCTCATGGGCAATGGGAGACCAAGGGGAATAGTAATTTCTCACAGAGAGATTCAGAGTTAACAATGGTATAGAGTCAATGTTTCTTTCTGAATGTCCAAGCGTGATTCCTCTAAACTAACTTAGATATCCCATGCATTGGGTAGTTCTCTTCATCTATTCTTCTCCAGCAGTACCTGGCTGGCTAAAACCTTTACTATGGTACCATCGTATAATACTTGCCCAGTCTGAAAACTAAAATGATGCCAGTGAAGCATTCACCTCAAGAACAAAACTTAAGGGACAGGAAAAAACTCAGTAAACAATATGAATATTTTAATGCAATATTTCTAAAAATAAAAATCAAGACAAAATTCCAAATGAGCAAAATACCAAAAAATTATATACAGTATCAGTATTCACCGTGTGCATGTCCTGTCTCATTTGATCCTAACAATCACCATGTGGAGACCACAAGACAATCACTGTTCCTGTCATTTAATTACCAAGGACAATGAAACTCAGAGAAGTTCACTCACTTGCTTGAAATGGGGAACCAGAACGCAAACCTAGATATTCCTATTCAAAAGTAGTATATTTTCTGCTCCAGGAGACTAGCAGTTCCTTTTATGGATGTTCTCTGAATAGATTCAGGGAAGAGGCAATTCAGAAAGCTCAGAACATTCATAGTTCTCACTGATTTAAATCTAGGAGGTTTGCTGTGTAGGATGCTGATTCTGTGATATATTTTTCTCTCTGAGTATTTCTGTTAAGATTTCAGTGGAATAAAGGAAAAAACTTTGAGAAGAGATAAATAGGATCATCCTGAAAGAAAAAAAATATAGAAATTTTACTTGAAAAGAGACTGAGAATAGACCGCAGAGTCTAGGTAGAAGAGAGTAAATTGCATGCTAATCGCATACAAATAATGCATGGACCTACTGTTTCATATACCTGCATATGACCCTCAGGGATAAAAACCAGCTGAATCCACTGCATCTCAGCATAGTCCCTGAATTGAATTTACTAGTAAAACCAACTCAGATGAATTTTTATTTATTATTTAGCCAATGAGAATGTTTCCAAGGTCACTAATTAGCAGTTTTAATCTCTTTAAACCCCCATCTTATTTGGATTCATGGCTCTGATCTACATCTTGTGTTCCCATCTGCATTTACTTTGATTTGCCACTTGGACATTCATACTGACCCCATCTGCACAATGGTGTCTGCCAGCCCAGAAGCTGGTCAGTTGCATTAGGGGTCTGGATGCTGGGCCTGGAGATGGCAATGAGGACAGTAGGCAGCAGTGACAGTTATCAGAGGCCAAGACCCAAAGCCAAAGCAGATATTCAGTTGATTGGGCCTAGGAGTTGGGACTAAAGCGCAAGGTGCACGGCAGGTGGACTGATGAGATTGCAGAGCAGCAGCAGTTTGGAGTTGGCAAGGTTTTGCTCACAGTTTGAGTGCAGCAGCCTTATTAGCAGGGTTGAAGCAGTGGTTTCATCCACTGAAGTTTCCTGACAAAAACATTGTCCCACTTTCAAAACTCAAATAAAATCTCAACAGGAAAGAAAACCTCCTGCGTGTGGAAAGGTATTGCTCTTTGACCAAGCACTTTGCTTCTGGTGGGAGAGAGAAGGGAAGAGAGGGTACCTACCTGCCCACCAGGTTAGTAATAAACCTCTGTTTATCTCAGTTATCCAACCCATAAAATGGAAATAGTAACTGCCTTATCTATAGCACAGATACATTATGAAAATTATGTGAAATAATGTGCGTAACAGAGCTTTAAAAAGAACAAAGCCTCATATTTTAAAAGTTGTCTTTTATGAAAAATTAGCATTGGTTTTGAATATACTAATATGTATCCTTTTGATTTCTTCTGAGAAGGAATTTAGAATCATCTGAGCTATTGTTAATCTTGCATTATTTCTTTTTTGTCCCCAAATTCCAGCTAAGGTGAACTTTGTATATTACCTAATCATAATCTTTTGGATATTTTCCTGTCTCCATGCTGAAACTCATACTATTTTTTTTTCTACCCAGAAAATGTTTGCTTTCTATTTAAGTCACAACTTTATCATTTCTTCAAATCCCACCTTAAATATCATTTTCCCCATGAAAAGTTTCTGTCTCCTTACTACTTTAAACTTCTAATATAATCTTTTGAGTTTTATTATGCTACAACTTGCCTTATCCTTACAACAAAGTCATTTGTGTCCTTGAATTATTCCTTCTCACAGATTTTAATCTTCTCTTGAGCAAGAAGACCTATAAGGCCTAGAGAAGGGCTCCACCCATATAATTCGTCAACAGATATTTGTCAATAAGAACCAGACTCACTCTGGAATCTTCCTCTACAAATTTCCTTTGGTAAAGTATATTTGAACAAATTGGAATGTCTTCACTGTTCTGAAATGGGAGGACTGAAATACAGCAGGAATTTCATTTTTTGCTTTTTTTTTTTGTAAGTGAAGATGCATATATTAGAGGAGTATTTCTTAAACAGCAATCTTAATAAATCTTTCTCCCACCATTGGAAACCTGGCAGAAAGTGTCTGGCAGAAGCCTTCCTGTGTAACCTTAGGACCCATAGTGAAGCAAGCAGCCTGTAAGATACAAAACAAATTTGTCTGACTCACCTGGAAGAAAAATTATTAAAATCTTAATACACAATAAATCACAGTAATATATGTAATATTCCCTAGCATATTTCTGTACCCAACAGGTGTTCAGTATATGCTAAACTAAGGACAAAATAAGCAAGAATAACAAACATGTTTTGCAGACACCAGAGTGCTAAATAGAGCAACCAGGGTAACTATTGATGAAAAACCACCTCAAATGGTCATTCCTCCCTGAATCAGATGCAGGACACAACCTCTGCACCCAGGGAGTTTGTGAGAGGAGTACATATGTGCAGAAGGTCATCATGCCTCTCATTGACAAGTTGGCCAAATCAAAGTGGATCATGTCAGCCCGGTTTGGTTTGCCCAAGGGGAAAGCATGCTGTCAGAATCCTTTACCATCTCAAGTCCAGTGAGAAGTTAGGAGAATGCAGTTGCAACATTAATTCCATTTTTCTTAGGTCAGTGGTTTGATGTGACTTGTCTTCAGACCTTGGGCAAAATGATCAATGCATATTTCAGACTGAAAGACCACGAGCTAGTTAACTCATGTGTTACAATGTATTCTTAACGAGACACTAGGAAACCTGGTTTCTGATGTTGTGTAGCGCTTTCAATGCATGAGCCCAAACTACTTAATGCAATCTTTAAGACTAGGATGACCATTTACCCTTCGTTGCCTGTCATAGTTCCTGCTAATACCTGTTATATCTACCTAATTATTAGTAGTATGCTTTTTCATTTCCAAGAGTACATATGTTTGGACAATAAATTATATGGTCATTCTACTTATCAATAGAGGATGGGGCAGATGACCTTTAAGATATTTTTCTGTTTTGTATTTCCGGAATTTTAACTAATTGAAAAACACATATAAAATGGAATCTAGTTAAATATATATACATATGTGTGTGTGTGTGTGTGTATATATAATTGTATAATTATATATAACATATATATAATTATATAATTATATATAACATATATATAATTGTATAATTATATATAACATATATATAATTGTATAATTATATATAACATATATAATTGTATAATTATATATAACATATATAATTGTATAATTATATATAACATATATAATTGTATTATATATAACATATATAATTGTATAATTATATATAACATATATATAATTGTATGATTATATATAACATATATATAATTGTATGATTATATATAACATATATATAATTGTATGATTATATATAACATATATATAATTGTATGATTATATATAACATATATATAATTGTATGATTATATATAACATATATATAATTGTATGATTATATATAACATATATATAATTGTATGATTATATATAACATATATATAATTGTATGATTATATATAACATATATATAATTGTATGATTATATATAACATATATATAATTGTATGATTATATATAACATATATATAATTGTATGATTATATATAACATATATAATTGTATGATTATATATAACATATATATAATTGTATGATTATATATAACATATGTAATTGTATGATTATATATAACATATATATAATTGTATAATTATATATAACATATATAATTGTATAATTATATATAACATATATAATTGTATAATTATATATAACATATATAATTGTATTATATATAACATATATAATTGTATAATTATATATAACATATATATAATTGTATGATTATATATAACATATATATAATTGTATGATTATATATAACATATATATAATTGTATGATTATATATAACATATATATAATTGTATGATTATATATAACATATATATAATTGTATGATTATATATAACATATATATAATTGTATGATTATATATAACATATATATAATTGTATGATTATATATAACATATATATAATTGTATGATTATATATAACATATATATAATTGTATGATTATATATAACATATATATAATTGTATGATTATATATAACATATATATAATTGTATGATTATATATAACATATATAATTGTATGATTATATATAACATATATATAATTGTATGATTATATATAACATATGTAATTGTATGATTATATATAACATATATATAATTGTATGATTATATATAACATATATATAATTGTATGATTATATATAACATATATATAATTGTATGATTATATAAAACATATATATAATTGTATGATTATATATAACATATATATAATTTGAGTGTCATATTGTACCTATGTTTTTATATTCTATACACAATAAATTCACATTACCAAAAATACCTTTGCAGAGTTAGACTCAAGCCATAGAGCTTATTGATATCCTCAATCCTCTACCAGGACTCTTTGATAGAGAGATGAGAATAGACAGAGTAACTTCACAGACTGATGTAAAACCTTTTCTTATTTATTTTTATTTTTATCTGTTCTCATCTTTGCTAGTCTATAAAGGAAGGGAGTGCTTTACCTTCTGAAAGTCTTGTCTTTGGGAGTTTACTGGGCTTCAGTCTTCTTGATGGAATGTTTCTCCACACACAAAAATATAAAATTTATAACAGCAAGAAATGTAAATTTAGTTTGTGGGTAAGAGTGAGAACATTAAAATAAGAAGGGCTGCCATGGATAGAGGCAGATTGACAAATGCTTCTGAATGAAGGAGAGATAAATGTGAAAATATGAGAAAAATGAGAAAGTGCATTCAGACTTGCTAGGTCATATCCTTGGCTGTGAATATTTGTCAGATGTTGTGACAGCTGTGCCTCATAGTATGACTTTTGGAAATAGGCTATTGTATTTGTTTAAAGAGGAATTCACATGCTTAGTCAATATCCTGGAGCCAGAAATATCAAGGAACATTTAAGACAAAATGAGAAAAATCTCAGGAAATGATAAGGCCAAGGTTTGAGTACAAAGTTTCCCCCAAAACACGCATAAACTTTGGACATGCATATGAATGGGTAAACAGTGACAGTTTTAAGTAAGTTGAAAAGAAAAGTAATAGCAAAGACAATGATGTATAGTGTCTTTAAAATTGCTTTGACTTTAGCCTGTGTCTTTGTCTCTTAGATTGCTCTGTTTAATGATGTTAAATAATCTCAAGTACCCTTTGAAGTTGGGTAACCCACAAAGCTCTTCAGAGTAGCTTTGAAGTTAGATTCTGTAAAGCCTCAAATGAAGTATAATTTAGGAATCCTGGATGTGGTATACATCTTCAGTCACTGATTTGAAAGTAGGCAGACGGAGACTGCATCTGAAAAGCATATAGTCCCATTATGTGCTTTTATGTCCCTTTATGGGAAGTTGAAAAGTTTGCCTGCTGAGATAATCCTATCTGATATGCCAAATCAATATTTTTTTTACATTTTCTTTACTATTGAAATTTTGGCTGTTATTAATATATTGAAAATTTTTGTTAATATTATTTCAAATATTTGAGTTATTAATGTAAATTACATCATGCCTTCATTTTGGCCAGAATGAAACAAAACTTGAAGGTAGAAAAATAAATGAAGAAGTGATAAAACGGTGAGGGTTTGAATCAATGTGACTATCTCTTCAAGATTTCAAGTTCCTAAAAGAAGGAATTAGGTAATTTGTATTTATCATTGTTTTGTGCCCAGCAAAGCACCGTATAAACTTTAAATCTTCCTATAGGCTTTCCAATTGAGAAGACACAGGAAGTCATAGAAGCCATTCATCTTATGGAGGAAACTCCTGCTGGCAAAACACTTTTCTGGATACTATTTGAGAGAATCCAAAGAAATGAAAAAGAGTTCCCAGTCTTTTGTAACTCTAACTGAATGCACTAAGATATAGCACTAGGCCTAAAAATGACATGGCACTCCCACTAAAATAAATATATATGAAGAAACACATATAATCATTAAATATAAGAAGAGATGCTCAAAGTCTTTAGTGATATTGAATTAAGTGAATAAAACCCAAAGTAAGGTTATATTTAATGCAATGTGATTGGCAAAAATTAACAAGTCTATAATACCAAATGTTGAAATACAAATAGGCTCTTTTAAACTCTGGTGTTGAGTGTAAACTGGTACAACCACTTTGGAAAGCAGTTTGATATGATCATCTAAGAGTGAATATTCATATAACCTATTATCACAATGATTTGACTCCTTGGTAAATACCTAGAAGAAAATCCTTACACATGTTCACCAAAGGTATACAACAAAATTTATAGCAACACCATTTGTAATAGCAACAATCTACGGAAGATTAAAACAACAAAAAAATTCATCAAAATGAGAATAGTCATATAGTGTGTGGTATATTCACACAATAGAATAGTATACATGTGTGAAAATAAACTCAAGTCAAATGCTACAATTTTGATGAACTTACTTAAGAATATTCAGTAAAAAAGTAATTTATTGGAACTAGAAGTTAAAACAACAGCTAATACTAACTTAATATAACTGAGGAATGTTTAGCTTTAGCTGTTTGTGTGTGTGTGTGTGTGTGATATATAAACACACATATATATTTATACATATGTTTGTTAATTTATATTACAAATACATTTCACATATGCATAGTATACAAATAGGTATAAATTCCCAGTTCTTAGTTTCTCTGGGTTGTGGAAGCAGGCAGGTGTGGTCAAGAGGAACACTGGAAGATAGAAGTTACTTTTAATGTGCTAGTTGCTGGGTTGGCCAGGGCTTCACAGGTATTCATTGTATTATTGAATAAATACATAGTTATTTTTATAAATTAGTGCTGTAATCAGAGTATTTCAACAGTTCAGTTTCTTACACAGAAATATTGCTAAAAATAACAATGTCATGGAAATGGAAAAAGCTGTTACACCACGTCCTATATTTTTCTTAGAATTTTCACATATGTTCTTTCCTTTGAGCTTTAAAACACTCCCACAACCCAGTGTTTATCTGATAGATAAGGAAACTGAGACTCAAAAGGACCGAAGTGATTCAGTCAAAATCAAGGGTCTAGTCCCAGAATAAGAGCTGATTAAAAGTTTTCTGAACTTAAGTTGTCTATTTTCCTACATTCTAAGCCACATACTTTGAAAATGTCCTCTGATATATTTTTTACAAAATTTTGAAATGAGAGGGATTTAATGTTTTAATAGTAAGATGATGCTAAGTTAATGGAAATCTCTCTCCTCCCTGTATACTACCTTGGCAACTAAGAGCAAAGTAAAAAGCTTTATTAGAATAAAATATAATATGTCTTTTCAGGCCTACACAAATGAGATTTCAGCTCTCTGAACATTGGCTAGTCATGCTATAAGGAGGCCAAAATGGGGAAGGAAATTCTTTTTAAAATATTTATTCATTCTTTGACTTATCAAGAAATAGAGAAGAATTGTCCTTCACCTTCACAAAAGAGTTTGTGCCTTTATTTGATCTAATATGAAAGAGAAGTAGAAAGGTTTTCCTGATCCCAATAGAAAATGAAATGTTTCTATATTCCCCAGTGGTGTCACTGAAGAAGTCAATACTGAAATAAGCGTAGCATAGACTTTTATTAATTATTTCAATCTTTGTGAAGTAGACATCCTTCTCCCCCCATTCTTTACAGATGTCTAGATAAAGGTGATGTCATCATCTCAAAGAAGATCAGAAACACTGGGACAAAACTTTTGATGTCTTTCAATATTGTAAATGAGTAGAGAAACTCAAGCCTCATACTTAGAGACTCATCTTTTTCTGAATAGCCTATCTAGGAATTATTTCTCTCCATGGACTCCATTGATTAATTTAGTAAACATTAAATACCTTGCAAAGACCACCTCAATAAATATACACATGGCTAGATGCTCAATGTGGCTGTAGACATTTAGAGGCAAGTAGGCCTCAATAAAAGCTGGAGTGGCCAGGGAACATTTTCAGAGAAGGAGAAACAATCCAGGAGACAGAGTATCACACTGAGTCAACAGGATATTTGTAGATTTGGGAAAGATGAGAGACATTTTAATCAAAGGAAGACACACCATTCTTATAAATATTCCCTGGACAAAGGGTTATCGCTCAGGCCCTGAATCCTGTGAATGCACATCAGCCACAGGAGAACCATAAGATAAATGGTTTGCTTCCCTAAACATGGCAACAATCTATTAGGGGACAGGCCTATGAGCTTAAGGGCAGAGCCTCCCTGCATTAAAAATTAGTTTGGGTAGGATTCTATATAATCGGCTGATGCAAAGTTTGATAATAGAAACTTTCTTCCTATTATAACTCTCCTATGACCTGCCCTGATATCTGGTATTTCATGAAAATAATATCATCATTGTGTATCTTATAGAAGCTTCAACCTCCAGGAGGCATTGCTTATGTGCACATGCCCCCGGGATAAAGGACATCCAACACCTTCAGAAGAAAGTGGTATTAAGATACGCTCAAAGAAAGGATTGTGTGGTTGGAAAAAAACCAGCAAGTAAAATTATCATTTAGTGGGGTACTCCAGCCTCAGAACACTGGGATAGGGCTTGTTAAAAGAAAGTTGGAAAGCCATCACAGTCGACCATTTTTTCCATTTTTATTCTCCCCAAAACCTCACTGAAACATGGCTTGAAAGGAGTGAATTTGGATATACTTCAGCAGTTCAATCTCTCCCCACCAGGGTGAGCCGGGTCATTTCCCTATTTTGGTGCTTAACCTAATTTGGAATCCTCTTTTGCAAAATGCCTTTACCACCTGCCTGAGGTGAAAGGAACAAAGCTCATGCCAACTGACAGGAATGTTTTCTGCAAGGCTGAGTTAACAGGGCAACCTTACATTATCTTTTGCTGAATAAGGAGATTTTTTTCCAAAGGTGAAGGCTGAGAACGTTCTTTTTTTTATTATTCATCTTTTAAATGAAACTCAGGTTAAGTGGAGAGCAGCCAAAACAGTGGATGTCACACACTGAGGGTGACGGTGGTTTTCTCATGTCCTGAGGAATGAAGGGGCTCACGGAGAAGGAAAATGTTCTTCTCTATAGACCATTGTTAGAAAAGCAACATAAATCCCACAGTGGAATATTCTCTATGGAGCACCCTTGTCCTAAGCAAGAATTTTCATGTGATGGCTGTCATGTTATGATTTCCCATTATTCATTAAGAAACAAGCCCTCAAAACTTGCCTGGCCCATTGCAACAATCTTTAAACTCCCATCCCTAAAACACAACCTTCACTCAGTCACCAAGGCCACTTTCTCCCAATATCCTCTATACCATGTCTTTCTGGGGCCCAGAGATTTTAGGGCCTCCCCAGCACCATTAGAATGGTGCTTGAATTTAATTTGACATTGAAAGTCTTACATGCAGGTCCTGGCTCACTTTTATAAATCAAAGCCCCCCATTCTATTTTAAAATGCTCTTCTATGGCCAGATCTCTGTGGCCAGTCAATTCTATGGACAGCTGCTTCTTACCCCGTTTTACTGATTTATTTTGTAGTTCTCTCAACTAGATACAACATATGTTCTTTCATAAAATCCTATCTACCCTTTACATCTTCTTTCTCCTCCTTAAAATCTTTCTGATAACTTCAGTGCATACTGCATTGCCTCTGTCCACATCTTTCGCAGTATTTATGGCTAAAAAAGCCCCACACTGTCCACTGCGTCATAATACAGCTTGACATGTTGTGTGCATCAAGTGTGTTCATCTCATTCATTTAATCAGCTAGAGTCAAAAAATTATTATTTTTGCAAGTTCAGTGCTGGATCTTAGGCTGGTTTCTCTCTTCCCACCAAAAACCAGCACAAAGATCATATTCATGATGACATTTTAAAATAATTTTGCATTAATTTAAACCATCAAAATAATAGTAAAATGAAAGCCATCCCCATTAAATGAGCTACAAATTTTGAATTGACTGCAAGAAAAAACACTTAGGGTACAGTTCTTTTTAAAAAAAATTGATGTTTTCTGCTTCAGGACAAGTCATAAAGGATGCTGTAGTAGGTTTAACAGTATTGTCCAAAATTTTATGTCTACCAGAAACCTCAGAATGTGAGCTTATTTGGAAACTGGGTCTTTGAAGTTGTAACTAGTTAAGTTAGGATAAGTTCAAACTGGATTAGATTTGGCCCTAAATCCAATGGCTGATGACCTTAAACAAAGAGGACACACTGAAAGACACACAGGGAAGAACCATGTGACAAGAGAGTCAGAGCTTGGAGAGCTATGGTTGCAAGCCAAGGAAGCCAAGAATTGCCAGGAGCCATCAGAAACTACAAAGAGGTGAGGGAGGAAGATGCCTCTTAGAGCTTTCAAAAGGAACGTGGCCCTACTGAAATCTTGATTTTAGACTTCTAGCCTCCAGAACTGTGAGAGAATAAATTTCTGTACAGTTTGTAATTATTTGTTACAGCAGCCCAAGGAAATGAATACAGATGTTGAGTGACGCATTTAGTGTTCTGAATGTAAGTGAGGCGTTTCACTCAAAATAGAAAGTTTGATACTAGCTGAAAAACAGTTCTGACCAGGGAAAATCTTCTTCTACAGATGGCCTTAAAAATAGAATAGCTTCTTTTTTTTTTTTTTTTTTTTCACGATGGTTTTGGTGTGATCCTCCTTGAAAAGAGGTGAATAAACCAAGTGACCTTTCAAGATCTTCCTCAATCCTTTGATACTGGGGTTTTATGAACTCTGCTCACTTGATAATCTAGGCCAGCTTTACTTATGCGTGTATACTTCCAGAACAGTTTTCTATCTCAAAACTTCTACTGCAGGCAAGTAAATTCCCTCATGGCCCCTACCTCTCTCTTTCTATACATATACACTAAGGTGCAGCCGTATCTGTGTTTATACTGATATATTTGTTTTTACTAATCTCCTTAGAAAGAAGCCCCTACAGTATGTCTTATAGGCTGCTTTCGTTCCCTATTTTTGGTAGCCTTGTTTGATATGGTCTTATTTTTATTTTTAACCAATGGGATTTAAAGTGTTTTATTAAACTAGTTAGTGACATTTCTATAAACTTCTGGATTAATCATAATTGTATAAGTTGCAATAATAAATAATCCATAACTGCAGAGGCTTTAAATAAAACAATTTCCCCCTTACCTACCCAAGTTGTACATCGTGGATCAGTGAGAGGCTTTGTCCTATACCCTACTCATTAGAGAAGGCACACTAATTGAGTTCTGCCATCTGGGATAGCTCAGAATCTGGAAGGGAACATGGGAATGGGGCACTGGTCCATAAAGGCTTCTACTTCCACATGACGGATATTATTTACTATCACATTTCACTGGCCAGAGCAATAATACATCCCTGCCTAACTTCTAAAGAGGAGAGAAGTGCAATCCTACCATGTCTTAGAAGGAAGAATATGAATATTGGTTATTAGTGTAAATAATGACCAGCATTCCAGACTACAAATCAGAGTATTTGTTACTTTACTTCATACACAACTTAATGGGTTCTCAATGACTGAGTCCTCCTAGTCTTAAAGGAATTTATATTCTAGATGAGAAAATAATTCTCCTTGGGGGAGAAGCCACAGACATGGAGTTGACCCTCTAAACACAGAATTTGAGTCGACCCTCTAAAGCAAAAGCAGTAATCTAAAGTCTTGGCTGGGCGCAGTGGCTTACGCCTGTAATCCCAGCACTTTGGGAGGCCAAGGCGGGCGGATAACCTGAGGTAAGGAGTTCGAGACCAGCCTGACCAACATGGTGAAAGCCCGTCTCTAATAAAAAATACAAAAATTAGCCATACATGGTGGTGTGCACCTGTAATCCCAGCTACTCAGGAGGTTGAGGCAGGAGAATCATTTGAACTTGGGAGGCGGGGGTTGCAGTGAGCCAAGATCGGCCACTGCACTTCAGCCTGGGCAACAGAGTGAGACTGTCTCAAAACAAAAACAAAACAAAACAAAAAAAGCATCAAAGCCAGAGAGCATATTTTTTAGTTTTTTTTTTTAAAGCATAAACTAGACCAAAAGAAATCTCTCCAGAACTACTGCAAATCCATAGATCAATTTCTCGAGTGTTGGTTATTCTCCGTTGGCCCTCCCACCCACTGCACACTTCTCTATACTTGTCTGTCCTGCCCTGTGTTCCTACAGCAAGCCCTTTCTTCCATATTTCCAGTTGCCAATGGGCTCTACTGGGACTATTGCCTCCCTGAAATCCTTTGGCCCTGAGGATAGTAGAGGCTTCTCACTGTTGCTAGTATCTGAACGCCTCACTCTTTTTTCCCCCTAAACCTATCCACACCTCTATAAAAATGTCTTCATTAGTTTCATCTGAACCTGGGGTGAATTCTGTTTTCTTCTGAGACTGACTGATAACACCTTACTTAATCCCAAGAATTGATGAAATGGTATGTTTTCCATAGGTGAAATGTAGGAGAAACAACAGATTCCTGTTGCATGTATCTATCATGACTCATGTAAACCTTTGCCTGAGGCGAGTTTGCAGGTCGATCACATTTGTATCATCTATTATTATGATGTTCTCCTTATTTCAATTTAATGAAAAGGCCTGTCTTTCACCCTTTAACATAGCACACAAAACTCATGATTTAAAATAATAATAAAATATCAAAAGCTCATACTTTCCTCAACACAATCCTGAAGTTTCTCCTGAGAGGAATAAAAGCTGTTTTTCTGGCGATAAAAACCCACCAAAAAGTTTATAAAGAAAACAAACTCCCCTCGGGCAGTAATCGGTGGTCAGACGGTATCTGACAAGCACAGCAGAATTTTAGCTATTGCTCTAGGGCTGTTCTTAGTTCTGGTCAATTCCTTTGCTAACTGGGATATGAAAGGAACCCAAGTGAAAATAGTCCAGAGGGGGGAAAAATAAGAAAGATAATGTAAAACAAACTCATTATATCTGGAATATTAAGATTTTTTTCTTAGAAGATTTTCTCCTTTTTGCCCTAGAGCACTTGAAAGTTCTGAAGATACATTTTATGTAAAATCTAAATAATATTTTACATAACACTTACTTTAAGTTTAAAGGCTTGCTACAATGAAACTGGTACTAAGTGGAGTTAAGGCAGCAAAATAAACTGAAGAGGCCTCATAAAAATATATAGGCAGTAGTTAACTGATGCAAGGAAATAAGCTTCATGGCATGAGACCTCGGATTTGCGTTAACACCTAAATTTCCCCTGCCTCATTCTGGAGTTCTCATGCAGTAGTAGTGTTTCCTCCTATACATTTTTTTTTTCTCAACAAGGAATAGTAGTCCTATTTCCTGACTAATTAGAATGGTTTATAATTAGGTTTTGGCCTGTAGGAAGGGATTAATCACTGTAAGAGGTGTGGGAAATTCAGCAGCTTCTGTTAGCAAGGGTATTCATGCCAACTTGGTATTTATTTATTTACTTCTATTTTGAGTTTCGTTTAATGGGAAGTTTTATTTTCTACAGATTTAATTTTGATGTCAGGGTTAAAGTTTCAAACTCACTCTCCTTTGTTCACACAAATTTTAAAGTAAATGTTCAAATTCACTCTCTTCCATACCCTAACCTCCGGGTTTAAAGTATTCATTGCATGCCTCAAGATTAATAATCTGGCGATTTTCACATCTTCTTCAAAGACATGTAATTTGGCTACATCTGGTATTCCCCACCACCACCAATCAGTTTTACAAATGCGCTGGGCTCCAGATACTCAGCTAGATGCTGTGTGACCTGAAAATACAAGGACAAAGTCTTTATAGGAGTTTAGAGGATAGCTGAAGACTATACCTTGTCAATAACAATACCAGCTAAAAATGGAAATCAGGGTCATTGTGCCAGGAATGCAGGATTAGATGTCATATGAGCTCTCTATATAGTAAAAAATATATTTTTAGAAACGATTGTTCCAATTACGTCCCTGCCACCAATGAAAGCTATGATTTGGGGAAGTCTTTTTCCTGGTTAATATAATAAGTAACATTATCTCTGCGGTTTCCTCCTGGTTTAAAAACTTGTATTATTATTTTATACAGATTTTTTTATACCAGATATCTTGGGCATGGGAAAGACTCTATAATTTTTACTTGGTAACATGACCACACTCTTAATAAAGATGTTGAAATAGGTGAGAATGACTTTTAGTGTAAAAAACCCACTCTAAATGGAGTCGCTACTCCTCTCCCACATTATAGAGTTGATAAAGTACCTGAAAATACTCTTTTTGTATAAGAACATTTTCTCATTTTGTATTTGGAAGATATGCAATTAAAAGTTTTATTAAATAAGTCATACATTATTGAAGTTGTGTGTGGTAGAAGTAAAAGTTGTAGTGTCTCAGTTTTTCATATTCCAATTCCTCTGGAATCAGTTTCTTCACTCAGGATGATGAGAGATAGGGCACACACTCTCCTACCCACCTCACATTCTTAGCATATAGCAGTACAGATCATTCTCATGAGTCAGACTTTCATTCTGCTGCTGTGACTAGACTTAAGAGTCAGAATCAAAGTGAGATGGAGATATGAAATAGAGATAACGGAATGGGTGGACAGATTTCAAAACAATGAACCCAGATATTCTTCTCATTTTATCCCTCAAATTGATTGGTGGTCTTGTCTCCCTCCTACTGTGCCAGTTCAAATCTCAACATACCTTATTCATCCTTAAAAGTCCAGTATAAATTTTTCCTTCTCAAAGCCATTTGTGGAGGACCCAGTTCACAGGGACCTAATACTCTGGGCTCCTAAAGCAGGCATTGTCTCTTCCTGGTGTAAAGTGGCTAGAGCATATGCTCTTCAACCAAATCTCTTGCCCTTACACCCTAGAAAGCCTATTCACTACTTATGTGACCTAGGACATTTTTCAGTAACTGCTTGTTTCTCAGATTCTCCATCTGTAAAATGAGGATGATAATACGACTTACCAAAGAGTTGTGGTGAGAATCTCCCATAAAGTAGAACTTGGCACAGAGTAAACATTAAATATCCAATGATGTTAGCTAACCTTATTTTATACCTCACAATATTCCAAGGTGTATGTCCTTTTACATAACTTGGCTATAAACCCCTTGAAATCAGTTTAAATATTCATAGTTCTGGGTCTTGCTCCCAGTGCCCCAGCAGAGTACAGTGAACACATCAGACGCTAAGTCAGCATTAGTCAACTGATACTTAGCAGTGGTTTCTGGTTTCTTTAAGACAGGAAATAAATTACAGGTGATTACATAGTGGAATAGGTTTTGGAAATGTAGCTCAGGGACAGGCTAACTGCCAGATATGCAGACTACATTAGGCCAGAACTGAGTAAACCTACATCTGAGTTTCTCCCTTGAAAGTTATATTCTGTGCGTTTGTGACAACTGTCTTCCCCAGCTCATTCTAGTTGTGCCCCATTTGGGAGAGAAGACAAAAATAACTCAAATTTAACTCTTGTCACAAATGTATATGTTAAAACAAGTACTTCTTGGTTTCTACATATTCTCTTCCTAATAAATATACCAGCATGAGTATAATCTCTTTTACTCACATTTTTGCCAGTGAACCCACAGAAACACTACAATATGTCAGCATTTCTTATGCTCTTAAAACATTTGTTTTTTTCTGAGAAGAACAGAAAACACAACAGCAACTTTTTTGAAAGTCCACAGTCCAAATGAAAGTTCATGAAGTTCCTCTGATGGCCCCAAAATTTAAAAGTGGCTTCTGTTAAAGTGGCCAGAGAGGCCCAATGATGGTCAAAAGCTGAAAAGCATAGATAAGAGGAATGAAGCAATAGAAATGAGGATAACATAACCCTCACTATACAAGATAGTAAGAATAAAATGCTCTATTTTGTAGAAAAGGACTCCTTCTAGACACACACAGGTACAGACATAAGCACACACCTTCAAAAATGACTAAAGCATAGAGAGAGTCGTTTCCAACAATAATAATTGCAACTACTTTATAAGTTCTAATTAGGTATGAGATACTTACATGATTAATCTGCAATTCTTAAAGCAATCTTCTAGGAAGCTGCTGTTATCTTATCATTTAAAGTTGACAATAAAGCTCAGAGAGCCTGCTCAGGCCTTGATTCTGGCACATGGCTGAGCTTGGTGCAGCTTAGGCAGCTCCTGTTCCATGCAGCACATAGATCTGCATTCCACTTGGCACCTTCACACTGAATCATCCTTTTACTTCCATTGTATGTGATTTACAGATCCACCCACATGATAGTTTAAAAAATAAATGGCTAAATTTAGTCAATGTTTCGATTATTCTAACTAAAACCTATTCAAATGCCCCAGGGACCATCAAACTATCCTAGACTACTTCACAAAAGCTCTATACTATATATATGCACACACACACACATATATATTTACATCCATATCTGTATCTCTATATCTGTCTGTATCATCTGTATTAGTCAATTTTCACACTGTTGATAAAGACATACATGAGACTGGAAAGAAAAAAAAAGGTTTAATTGGACTTACAGTTCCACATGGCTGTGGAGGCCTCAGAATCATGGAAGGAGGCAAAAGGCACTTCTTATATGGTGGCAGCAAGAGAAAAATGAGAAGGATGCAAAAGCAGAAATCCCTGATAAAACCGTCAGATCTCATGAGACTTATTTACTACCACGAGAACAGTGTGGGGGAAACTGCTCCCACGTCTCAAATTATCTCCCACCAGGTAGGTCCCTCCCACAACACATGGGAATTATGGGAGTACTAGTCAAGATGAGATTTGGGTGGGGACACAGAGCCAAACCATATCATTCCACCCCTGGCTCCTCCAAATCTCATGTCCTCACATTTCAAAACAATTCATGCCTTCCCAATAGTTCCCCAAAGTCTTATCTCATTTCGGCATTAACCCAAAAGTCCACGTTCTAAAGTCTCATCTGAGACAAGGCAAGCCCTTTCTGCCTATGAGCCTGAAAAATCAAAAGCAAGCTAGTTACTTCCTAGATACAATAGGAGTACAGGTATTTGATAAATACAGCCATTTAGAAGGGGAGAAATTGGCCAGAACAAAGGGGCTATAGGGCCCACGCAAGTCCGAAATCCAGCAGAGCAGTCAAATTTTAAAGTTCCAAAATGTTCTCCTTTGACTTTAGGTCTCACATCCAGGTCACGCTGATGCAAGAGGTGGATTCCCATGGTCTTGGGCAGCTCCACCCCTGAGGCTTTGCAGGGTATAGCCCCGCTCCTGGCTGTTTTGACGGGCTGGCATTGAGTGTGTGCGGCTTTCCCAGGTGCATGGTGCAAGCTGTCAGTGGATCCACCA
The DNA here is from genome assembly GCF_000001405.40 of Homo sapiens. Lineage (NCBI taxonomy): Eukaryota > Metazoa > Chordata > Mammalia > Primates > Hominidae > Homo > Homo sapiens. The sequence continues at coordinate 39,957,942 of NC_000018.10, read as the reverse complement.
TTCTGGAGTCTGGAGGACAGTGGCCCTCTTCTCACAGCTCCACTAGACAGTGCCCCAGTGTGGACTCTGTGTGGGGGCTCTGACCCCACATTTCCCTTCTGCACTGCCCTAGCAGAGGTTCTCCATGAGGGCGTCGCCCCTGAAGCAAACTTTTGCCTGGGTATCCAGGCATTTCCATACATCTTCTGAAATCTGGGTGGAGGTTCCTAAACCTCAATTCTTGACTTCTGTGCACTCACAAGCTCAACAACATAGAAAAGCTGCCAAGGCTTGGGGCTTCCACCCTCTGAAGCAACAGTCCGAGCTGTATTTTGGCCTCTTTTAGTCATGGCTGGAATGGCTGGGATGCAGGGCACCAAGTCCCTAGACTTCACACAGCATGGGGACCCTGGGTCGGCCGGCGTAACCATTTTTTCTTAGGCCTCCAGGCCTGTGATGCAAGAGGCTGCCATGAAGATCTCTGACGTGCCCTGGAGACATTTTCCCCATTGTCTTGGAGATGAACGTTTGGTTCTTCGTTACTTGTGCAAATTTCTACAGCAGGCTTGAATTTCTCTCAGAAAATAGATTTTTCTTTTCTATAACATTGTCAGGCTTCAGATTTTTCAAACTTTTATGCTCTGCTTCCTTTATAAAACTGAATACTTTTAACAACACCAAAGTCACTTCTTGAATGCTTTGCTGTTTAGAAATTTCTTCCGCCAGATACCCTAAATCCTCTTTCTTAAGTTCAAAGTTCCACAGATCTCTAGGTGGGGGAAAAATGCAGTCAGTCTCTTTGCCAAAACATAACAAGAATCACCTTTGCTTCAGTTCCCAACAAATTCCTCATCTCTATCTGAGACCACCTCAGCCTGGACCTTATTGTCTATATTGCTAAGAGCATTTTGGCCAAAGCCATTCGACAAGTCTCTAGGAGATTCCAAACTTTCCCAAATTTTCCTGTCTTATACTGAGCCCTCCAAACTGTTCCAACCTCTGCCTGTTACCCAGTTCCAAAGTCGCTTCCACATTTTGGGTGTCTTTTCAGCAATGCTCCGCTCTACTACTAACAATTTACTCTATTAGTCCGTTTTCATGCTGCTGATAAAGACATTCCCAAGACTGGAAGGAAAAAGAGGTTTAATTGGGCTTACAGTTCCATATGGCTGGGGAGGCCTCAGAATCACGGCAGGAGGTAAAATGCACTTCTTACATGGTGGCAACAAGAGAAAAATAAGAAAGATGCAAAAGTGGAAATCCCTGATAAAACCATCAGATCTCATGAGACTTATTCACTACCATGAGAAGTGTATGGGGGAACCACCCCCATGATTCAAATTATCTCCCACCAGTTCCCTCCCACAACATGTGGGAGTTATGGGAGTGCAATTCAAGATGAGATTTGGGTGGGGACACAGAGCCAAACCATATCATCGTCTATATCTACTTAACTCTCTGAGGTTGTTTATTCCTTGCCCTGACTATTATAATCTATCTCTACCAAAACTATAAACTATTTCCATCCATCTTTCACATGGTATTTGACAACAACTGACAGATGAGCTATCTATCTATCTATCTGTCTATCAATAGATAGATCTTTAATCTTGTTTCCAAAACCTAATGTGTATTAAATAGTAACACTATAAACACACACATACACATATATACACATATGTGTGTGTGTATATATATATATATATAGAGAGAGAGAGAGAGAGAGTTGAAATAATGACAGTATCCCCCTCTATATTTTAGGGATGCTTACTTTTCCATGAGCAATCTTGAAGTGTTTGTATAGTACTGTTAAACATAATATTCAGAAGAAGATAAAGTCAGAACCGTCATACAAATGTAAAATCTAAACACATTAAACTTTATGGCTTTTCTTATATGAGGGAACAAGGAAGATGTTATCACCAGTTCAGGAAAAGTAATTATATATACATACACACACACACACACACACACACACACACATACACACCCAAAGGAAAAGAATTACAAATGAGTACAAAACTGTTTTTTTTTAAATACAGAAGCAGAGAAAATCAATGGACACTCTTTGAAAAAGATAGAGTTTGCCTATCTATGTGTTCCTTACAATTAATAAATAGGTGTGAAATGCAGGCATACCTCATTTTATTGTGCTTTACTTTATTGCACTTCACAGATATTGTGTTTTTTACAAATTGAAGGTTTTGGGCACCCCTGCATCCAACAAGTCTACCAGCATAATTTTTCCAACACCGCGTGCTTACTGCCTACTTTGTGTCTCTATGTCAGCACTTCTTAACAATAAATTAATTTTAATTAAGCTATATACATTATTGTTTTAGACATAATACACACTTAATAGACTACAGTATTGTGTAAATATAATGTTTATAGGCACTGGGAAACAAAAAAAAATTATGTGACTCACTTTTTTGCATATTGATTTTATTGCAATGGTCTAGAAACAAACCCACAATGTCTTCGAGGAATGCATATAATTGAATATAATGAATAGCATTCGAATCAGACAGTTCATAAGGTTGTTTTAAAGACAATGCTTAGTTTTCCATTGAAGTGCTTTTTTTCCCACAGTCTCTTCTCTTTTGATCAAAAATAATCTCAAATATTTTTCTTAATCACAACGTAAGTCTGGTCTCATTAGTCTTAGCTTTATCATTGACATAGAAACAGCAACAGTGTTAATTTACTACATAGGTCTTTTCATGTTTACTTTGCTGAAAATTTTCATTAGGAATCAGATTGGATTTTTCATAGCCTCTTTACACTAGGAAGCCAAGTCAAGAAACTCTCTCTACCAGATTTCACCTATAATACCTACACATTGAGTGATTTCTTTTCTTTTTAAGGTCTCTGAAATATTCTGAGGTTCTTGGGCCCGTCTGAAAATGATTTCTCCTACCCACTTTTAAGGCTGAGAATCCTAAAAGCCAGTTATAAGGCCAGTTTTACCAAGAGTGCTTCCTAAGCATTGATTCCATAAAGTCAAATGTGGTTACTCAACAGTGGCTGGTAATACATGATTAAATAATCATCATTCTCAAACATGACATTCCAGATAAACTTGGCTATCAGCCAATGTTTTCAATTATGTCTTGGAAAAAGATGGCAAATTCTTAATGAACCTAGGCAAATAACTAAACTGCCATGAAAACAAGAATACTCAATAATAGAGTTTGAAGTCTGTAAGAATCATGCATGGAAACAAAGAATAAGACGCCATTGTTGCCTAATATTATAAGGCAAAGCAACACCAGAACTCTGATAAATAGAAACATATTTGGGAGAACTCAGGCACTGACCCATCTCCAGAAACAGTCTATGGATAATATAATTTTTCTTATTTAAATAACGGTATATCCCTGGAAATTTAATGTGGGGAAACAGCACCTCTTCAGATTTGAAAAACTCTTTCTATAAAATTAATCAATATTAACTTGTCAAATAAACTTACTTATTTCTGGTCCCTGTTTATTATAAGGTAGAACAAATCTTTGTGATTTTTAAAGGAGACTTTTGAAAAAAATCTCAAAGATACGTTAGGTGCAAAAAATATGTGAGTTTATCTTAATTTTATTTTATTTTACATTCAAAATTCATTTCCAGGAAGAAGGAAAAAAAGCAGTTGTCAGGAGATTTGACCTCTCAAGGTAGAAATAATACTGGTCTACCTATTTAAAAGTGACAATAAAATATTTAAAAATAAACATAGAAAGTAACATGATTATAAAGAACCGTGGTTCTTTCGTAAGTGAAGAGTTTTTGTTTTCTTAAATAATCAAGGACATAATAAAATAAGCATAAAGCCCAGAAAATTATCTTGCTAAAACACAAAATCTGTGCAGATTACACAGAATTACATATCATGGCTTAAGGCAATAAACAAAGAAAAAAAGCAAGCCCATTAAAACTGAACAGACTTTGTTAAGATTTTAGCATATTTCATAGTTTTTTTCACTAAACATTTGCACACACTTTATAGGCATGTCTCGTTTTACTGTGTTTTACTTTATTATGCTTCACAGAAAATAGTTTTTTCCAAAATTGAAGGTTGTGGTAACCATGTGTCAAGCAAGTCTACTGGCACCATTTTTCCAATAGCATGGGATCACTTTGTGTCTCTGTGTCACATTGTAATTCTTGCACTATTTCAAACATTTTCATTATAATTATATCTGTTACGGTGATCTGTAATCAGTGATCTTTGATGTTACTATTTTAATTGTTCGGGGACATCATGAACCATACCTATATAAGACAGCTAACTTAATCGACTCGACAAATGCTGTGTGTGCCCTGACTACTTCACTGACCTGTTGTTTTCTTGCCTCTTTCCCTCTCTTCAGAACTCCCTATTTTTTGAAACACAACAGAATTGAGATTAGACCAATAAATAACCCTACAATTGCCTCTAGGTGTTCAAGTGAAAAAGTCGTGCGTGTTTCATTTTAAATCAAAAGCTACACCTTGGGAGGCCAAGGTGAGAAGATTGCTTGAGGCCAGGCGTTCAAGTCCAGCCTGGGCAGTAGGGATAGGCCCTCATCTTTACACAACTAAAAAAAAAAAAAAAAAAAAAATCAGCTGGGCATAGTTGTGCCCACCTGTATTCCCAGCTACTTACAAGGCTGAGATGAGCATATAGCTTGAGCACAAGAGTTCAAGGCTATAGTGAGCAATGGTTGTACCACTGCACTCCAGACTGGGTAACAGAGTGAGATTTTTGTCTCTCAAAAAATTAAATATAAATAAATAAAAAGCTAGAAATGGTTAAACTTAGTGAGGAAGGTCTCCTGAAAGCTGAGATAGGCCAGAAGTTCAGATTCTTGCACCAAATAGCCAAGTTGCGAATGCAAAGGACAAGTTCTTGCAGGAAATTGAAAGTGCTACTCCAGTGAGCATGCAAATGATTTGAAGGCAAAACAGTCTCATTGCTGATGTGGAGAAAGTTTTAGTGGTCTGGATAGAAGATCAAACTGGCCACGACAGCTGGTCTAATTAAGCCAAAGTCTAATTCAGAGCAAGACAGGTCCTAACTCTATTCAGTTCTATGAAAACTGAGAGAGAAGAGGAAATTGCAGGAAAAAAAAACATTTGAACCTAACAGAGATTGATTCATGAGTTTAAAGAAAGAAGCCATCTCTGTAACATAGAAGTGCAAAGTGAAGCAGCAGGTGCTGATTATAGAAGCTGCAGCAAATTATCTAGAAGATCTAGCAAAGAAAATTGAAGAAGGTGGCCACACTAAACAATAGATTTTCAATGTTAACAAAACAGCCTTCTGTTGGAAGAAAATGCCATCTAGGACTCTCATAGCTTGGGCGGAGAAGTCAATGCCTGGTTTCAAAACGTCAAAGACAGGCTGACTCTCTAGTTAGTAACTAATGCAGCTAATGACTTTAAGTTGAAGCCAAAGTTCATTTTTTCATTCCCCAAGTCCTAGGGCCCTTAAGAATGAAGCTTAATCTACTCTGCTTGTTTTCTATAAATGGAATAACAAAGCCTGGATAACAGCACACCTGTTTAAATAATGGTTTACTAGATATTTTAAGCCCACTGTTTATATCTACTGCTCAGGAAAAAAAAGATTATTTTCAAAATATTGCTGCTAGTTGATTATGTACCTAGACACCTAAGAGCTCTGATGGAGATGTACGAGGAGATTAATGCTGTTTTCACACCTGCTAACACAACACCCATTCTGCCCACCATGGATCAAGAAGTCATTTCAACTTTCAAGTCTTATTATTTAAGAAATACATTTCATAATGCGATAGGTGCCATGGCTAGTTATTCCTCTGATGGATCTGGGCAAAGTAAATTGAACACCTTCTGGAAAGGATTCACAATTCCAGATGCCATTAACAACATTCATAAATCACGGGACGAGGTGAAAATATCAACATTAACACGGGTTTGGAAGAAGCTGATTCCAACCCTCATAGGTGACTTTGAGGAGTTCAAGATGTAAAAGGAGGAAATAACTGCTGATGTGATGGAAGTAGAAAACTAGAATTAGAAGGGATGCCTAAAGATGTGACCGAATTGCTGTAATCTCATGATAAAACTTGAGCAGATGAAGAGTTGCTTCTTATGGATGAGCAAAGAAAGTGGTTTCTTGAGATGGAATCTACTTCTGTGAAGATGGCTACGAACATTATTGAAAAGACAACAAAGGATTTAGAATATTACTTAAACAGAGTGGACAAAGCAGTTGGCAAGGTTTTAGAGGGATGACTTCAATTTCGAAAGAAGTGGGTAAAGTGCTATAAACAGCCTCACATGCGACAGAGAAATCTTTCGTGAGAGGAAGAGTCAATTGATGTGGAAAACTTCATTGTTATCTTTTTTTGAGAAATTGCCACAGCCACCTTAACCTTCAGCAACTACCACCCCTGATTAGTCAGCAGCCACCAACATCAAATCAAGACACTCCAGTAGCAAAATGATTATGACTCACTGAAGGCTCAGATGATTGGTAGCAATTTTTAGCAATGAAGTATTTTAATTAAGGTATGTACACTGTTTTTTAGGCCTAATGCTATTGCACACTTACTGGACTATAGTGTAAACATAAATTTTGTATGGACTAGGAAACCAAAAAATAATTGCGTGACTTGCTTGATTGCAACATTCACTTTATGGCAGTGGTTTTGGAACTGAACCTGCAATATCTCTGAGGTATGCTTGTAATTGAAAGCAAATACAATTTTCTTTCCATGGCCTTTCTACAGCTTTTTATATCTATTCAGGTTTTTCCTTCACTACCCTCTTTCTTTTTCTAAAACAACCAGTCACTTTAGACTGAAATTATTATCTTTCCCTTTACTGAACAGAAGCAGATTACATCACTTCACCTACCAGGTGATAGTTCGCTGCCACTGTTGTTCCTAGTGCATGTTCATTCACTTAAGTAACTGTAACTTTTTACTAAAGTAACTTCTATTTCACAGAGAAAAATAGGAGGTGGATAATAAATGCATGCATGTATTATATTTAACACTGATAGCTGTTTTCATTAAACCAAAAATATTAAGCTGGTCTCATTTGCCAAAGACTTATCTATATTCTGTTCTCTTGATTTCTTAAAGTATTTTTAAGCTGGCTTATATAAAGATAGCATTTTTTATAATACATTTAAAGTACTAAAGTTCAATTTTCTGGAAATTTTAGGAATATTCAATTGATATGTGTTTATCTGCCAACTAGAACGAGTTTGTTTAGGAGGCTTTTTAGGCTAATCTATCAGTATCATCTGGAGATTGGAAAACACTACACATTCATACGGTCTGTGGTAAATGTGGTAAAGCCTTCTCTGAGTGATAGACCCAGGATATACATACAGTTAAAAATAGAGAGCTTCAGCTGGGCATGGTGGCTCACGCCTGTAATCCCAGCACTTTGGGAGGCCGAGGCGGGTGGATCATCAGGTCAAGAGACCGAGACCATCCTGGCCAACATGATGAAACCCCGTCTCTACTAAAAATACAAAAATTAGCTGGGCGTGGTGGTACATGCCTATAGTCTCAGCTATTTGGGAGGCTGAGGCAGGAGAATTGCTTGAACCCAGGAGACGGAGGTTGCAGTGAGCCAAGATGGCACCACTGCACTCCAGCCTGGGGACAGAGCAAGGCTCCATCTCAAAAAAAATAATAATAATAAAAATAAAAATAGAGAGCTTCACTTCTAAAGTTGAGCCAAGGATTCAGAGCAAATAAACAACCACAGAACCTTACTGGCCTATCAAAAACCTGGTCTCCTTCTCACTGGAAAAATTCTTCATTGTCTGGAGGTAAAAATAGATAATTGAAAAAGACTAACAAACTAGATTCTCTATCATCTGTTATTTAACAGAGAGTAAAAATTACCAAGTGGTCAGACCATGAAATACAACTCTTAATCAATAAAATTAATAAACCAGAGTATCTGTTGTCTCTTATGCAACAGGGAATAGATCTCTGTAAACAATTAAACCTCATACAGATATTATCAAATAATCAGTCAATAAAACCAAATATCCAAACATTGCTGCTAGCAATCGGGAATAATTTATTGGCTGAAAATAAACCAAAACCAAAGACAAAACACAAAATTAGTAGAAAGTAAAATTAAAATTGAATAAACAGAGAGTCATTAAAGCTCTTTTACCTCTTTGAAGTCACCTCTGGGGGCAAAGACAGGATGTACTTTTTCCCAAGATGCTCACCTCTGGTGAGGAAGGTTACCTGGCCCTGGTGGGAGAATCCACTGGGCATATTGGTGGAAGATCTCCAAACTGTTAAAAGATAAATTTCAAAAAGATGAGATAATGACTCTCTTATAGATGGAAAAATGAACATGTGTTAAATATTTGATGTTTCTCATATGAGAGAATCAGTCAGATGCTATAACTTGTTCAAAGAAAAAGTCAAAGAAAGCATAGATTTATACTAAATTACACATGGATGCAAAACTGTTTTTTCTAGGGCAGGAAAGAAGTCAATGAAAACTCTGTTGGAAAAGATAGTTTGCCAATTTATCAGTTACCTACAATTTACAAGAGGTACAAAATAGCCCAAAGATAATTAGCAAGGCTACAACTAGAGAGTTTATGAATGTGTGCTATGGGCACTGAAGCACAGCTCATATGTATCATTGTATAAAACTCACTTAGCTACTCAGTGTGGTGTAAGACTGTCACTGTTATCCCCATTTTATAGATAACAAAGTAAATAAGGTAAGAGCTCAGGGTAACAATTTACATTCAGGTGTTCAACCACAATGATTGATGTTTTTGTCCATTTTTACCAGGCATAAACCTGTACTATAACCTGCAGAGGATATAAAATAAGTAAAACTCTGGACTGATGAACTTTGCAAGTTTAAATAATGCAAATCATACGAACTTGCAAGAGAAAATATGTGAATCTAGTGACAATGTTTAAGAGCTCAAAGAGAGGTATGATCACTTAAAATCCAAATGCAACTTTTATCTAAGCATGAGTGTTCAGGATAAAAAGTCTTCAATTTATTTAATAAATTTGCTTTCATAACAGAAATAAAAACCAACACAATTTTTTCATATGCATACCATCTTACTCTGCTGTCAACATTAGCTTGATTTTTATTTTTGGCCCAGGCATTTATCCAGTCAAAGAAAAGGACATTTGACTGTAACTAGCCAGAAATGTGGGGCAGTCATGGCTGCATATTCAGTTATTTCAGAAAACAGCAGTTGCCTCCTGTGTCAGACTGAAACACCTTCAGTTGAACATCTTCAGTTTGACCCTAAGTCAACTCCTCCTATATCAGGTCATGCAGTAATAGGGGCTGTTTGACTAAGAGGTCATTGAAACTGGCATCAACCAGGAAACAATTCTTGAAGAAGAACAAACAGTAATCTGGAGAAAGACTTTGAAATGGAGATTGTGCTAGATGTTAAGGTAAACTTGAATTGTCAATGAGCTGGCCTCTCAGTGGCTGTCTTTCTCTAAAAACAAAACCTGCATCTCTGTGTTCTCTAAACAAGACTGTTTTCTGTGCTTCTTATAGATTTTTGTATTCAGATATTCTGGGGTTATCATCACAAAAAATGGAAACAAGGAAGTAAACTGAGACCGAATTGCAAATTACATTTTTAAAAGGCTTACAGTAAAAGAATGCAATAAATGGAAACTGTGATGAAAGTGAGAAGGTAGACCAGCAAAAATGAAGGCAAACATATCCAAGACCAACTGAGCCCTCCAACAGTGAGAATGGTACTTAGTTTCCCTCTTCACATTACTCATTTCCAATTCCTCTTCTTCCATCTTCTGTGGGCTTTCTCTTTGTAGTTTCAATATGGCTGTCAATAGCTCCCAGGCATAGGTGCTTTCTTGTATCTAGTTCAGGAAAAGTTGTGAAGTTTACTCTGTATGGAGCAGTTTGATCATGAGCATCCTCTGCATCACTTATTGTGACCATTGTGTTGGGATATGTTGATACATTAATCCAGTAACAACCAACTCTGGAGTTGGTAGTTAAGTAAAAGTGCCATCTAAACTTAGAGCACAATGATAAGATAAAGATGACTTTCCATAACAAGTATGGGGTCCTGTTTTCTTGGTGGAGAAACATTGGATTCTGGACAGATAGGAGCCCCATCCACCATCTTCTAAATTGATTTTGGAGAGCCATGCTGAGTGCAATCCTCACTTTCTTGTCATGAGGAGCCAGGAGCACCATTTCTGCTGTGACTGCACATGAGCCTATGTGAAATCAGTCAGTGCTTCTTTCTCTTTATCTGTCAAATGAAGGTAATGTTTACCTCATATGGTGAGAAAATACATAATCTGAAAATTTTTTTAAATAAAATTTCTATTTCCACACAAATGACTTTTTCAGGTTAAGATGTGGTTGCTTTCTTTCTTCAGCTCTCTTCTCTCAGTTCAAGTAAGGAGACAATGACTTGTATCAGTGTTACCACATTAAAAATAAAATAAATATTTTACCTGTCAACTCTATGCTGCCTCTTAATATATGTCAGAGAAGATCTGAGTGGGCTTGAAATGGCCCTGCCACCTGAAATAGAGCGTCTCTGGCCTCACAGGCTCTTCTGTCAATGAAATCCTGATGGTACTCTTGGAAGTGTCTCAGACATTCAGCAAAACTAAAGATTCAGGCTTTGATCATGGTGATCACTTATTGAAATTACATTCTTACAATTTGGTAGCACTTTTTGTCTACAAAACACTTAGTGAGTACTTAAAATATGGAATTAGACACATTTATAGGTTGCCACTATGCATACTCTCTTTTGGTTTGCCTGTGCATTCTTTTCTCTGAGTGTCCTGATAATACTTAATGTGTCACCAAATGAGTTTGATTGCTGACACAAAGCCTCAGAACTGACTACTGGCTTACCCTGCAGTTGTGCAGTGATGGCACATTAGGGGAATAAGAGTGATTCTGTCCTTTTCAAAGCTACTTCCTTCACTGTGGGGGAGAAATGAGCTGTAGTGCATCAGTTGGAAACTATGCTGATTATGGCTTATTTACAAGCAATGGACCTCCTAAAGCCAATATGGGTGACTCACACTATTAGGAAGAGAACATTGTGTAATGTACTGAAGATGCATCTTGGAAAATATTAGAAACATCTATGCAAAGATAAGCTCTGATAGGTCAGAAAAGGAGTTGCCAAGGCCAGCAATGAAGAGAGCCAAAAATAGGTTGAGAGAATCCTCTAACCTTTCAGCTTTCTGATGCTTACACCTGCCCTGCCAGGAAGCCCTGGTTCTGAGAGGATGACTCAGCCCTAAAAAATCTTGGGGAGTGCCAGTGTCACATATTTTACCTTCTCAGAACCAGAGGACAGCAAAATTAAAAAAAAAAAAATAGATCAGCTTCAATTAAAGACTTTTGGACAACAGTTTCTGTATAAAGGATAAATTTTTCTATCATTCAAACCCCAGATTATATAAATTGCTGGGTTTTTTTCTTTAAAAAAAATCTGAAAATACAGCCAGAAATATGATATGGAGGGCCGTGTCTACATAGAACTAGTTCATCATTCGGCCACAACTTGTCATTACAGCACAGAAATATGGAACTGATCAGAATTCCAAAAAATCTAGTTCAATTCTTTTTGTTTTTAGGTGAGGAAACTCAGGCCTGGAGAGAAAAAATGGTTTTAGAAAGTCACACAAACTTTAAATATAGTTTCTTTATATTTTAATACAGTTTGTTGAGTTGCTTCCAAATTGGATTATTTTATGTGAGAACTTCTTTAACATTTTGACCTACAAACGAAAACACTTGGATAAAATATATATTGCTAAAACATGTATTATGCACATGTCCATTCCTTCAAAAAGTAGTCAAGCCAGTTGTTTAACTTAAGTAACTTATTTAATACTTTAAAAACAGATAAATCAACTAAAATTCAGCCAGAAAGGAAAAACACAGTATATAATATTTTTAAATGTACCTAGCATAATTTTTTGACATTGTAATAAAAAGTGGGGTAAATGCCATTTCCTATTTAGGTGTAGATACAATCTTAATATCAGGTGCCTGTGGTTCTAAATCTTCACCATTCATCAGAATTACCTTGAAAACTTGTTAAAACACATAAGTTGGACCAATTCGAGGAGTTTCTGATTTGGTAGTTCCAGAGTGGGACCAGAATTTTCATTTCTAACAATTTTCCTGGTGATGCTGATGCTACTCCTTTGAATATCACACTTTGAACACTACTTGTGTTTGTGATATAAAATATAAAATTCTAACCCAGGAGTTAAAAAAAATGGATTCTAGGTTTAGCTCAGATAATATCTTGCCATGTGACTTTAAAAAAATGAACTGGATTTTTCTGATCAGTATTTTTTCAACTGAGAGGGGAGAAATTTAAATTGAGTCCAGTCTAATATACCGGAGTTGGCATTTTGCAGTAACGAGGGTATTAAGATACTTCAAACTTCACCCATGACTAGATTTAAATTCTTTGCTAAAAATCAACTCTTACCTCTTTTTTAAAAATCAATTTATGTAGTTGAAATCCCTGCTGATCCAAGATTTTTGCCATGGACTCAACCTACACTGATGTAGCTGTTGGTGCACACCCATATCTTAGCAGTCACCTCTACCCACAGAAGGCAGAGCACTAGGGAGCCCTGACAATCTCCGTCTGTGGGGCTGCTTTCTGGCCACAAGAGCATGTTCACACCAAGCACAGGGCAAGCTGGAAATGATGAAGAGTAAGTGCCTTGGAAATCTGATCTCAAACAATGACTAAGGCAAGTAAAAGGATAACTACACTGCTGCCTTGCACCTGGGTTGGGATATTTCAGAGTCACATTCTACGCTGGCCCCCCAAGTCCCCCAGTGGGATGGAGCTCCACTTGGCACAGTTATAACTGGCTTGATTGTGCATGTATATTGGCTTCTATTCTTTCTTTCCTCCCTGCTCCCTCCTGAAATCACCTCAAAAAATTAACTACTTTCACTTAAGTCCTTCTTATAGGATCAGATGCTTGAGAACACAAACCAGGGAATTGTTTGTTTGTATATTACCATGAATAACAATTCATTTTTATTCTTACTCTTGCTCAGTGTTAATTTAATACATACAGATTTGTTGATGTTAAAAAATTCTAGTAGTTTTGTGTTTCTAATCTACCCAATCTATGGCATTTCAAGTTGTAAGATTCTTGAAAAAAGGTAATTTTAGTGTCTCCTTTTTGGGCTTCATATTTAATGATCAACAAGCTTTATATCAGACAGTGATAGAATCACTAAGAAAAAGCTAATTTATTAAAAATTATTAGTTAATACATGTTTTAATCATAAAGTGTTTATATACAATGCACACTTTTGGTGATTTAAGTTTGGATTGCTTTATCTCACATTTAAACTCCAACCATAGTAAGCATACATTTATAATTATAGCTGGAATGGACCCTAGATTCATTTTTAAAACAGTCATCTCTCGATATATGAGGAAACCATATTCTATGGATTGAATGAGCTTCTGGGCAGGGAATTTGGGATTTAACTAGGAAGATAATTTGTAATGTAACTAGAATTTGTGACATTACTAGCGAATTTGTGACATGAATACGAAAAGTGTGATGTCCTAACTTCTAGGACATTTTTCTCACTGAGTTTCTAGAGAGTACAGCTGGGTTGGGATATTTCAGAGTCACATTCTACGCTGGCTCCCCAAGTCCCCCAGTGGGATGGAGCTCCACTTGGCACGGTTATAACTGGTTTGATTGTGCATGTCTATTGGCTTCTATTCTTTCTTTCCTCCCTGTTCCTTCCCGAAATCACCTCAAAAAATTAACTACTTTCACTTAAGTCCTTCTTACAGGATCAGATCCTTGAGAACACAAACCAGGGAACTGTTTGTTTGTATATTACCATGAATAACAATTCATTTTTATTCTTACTGTTGCTCAGTGCTAATTTAATACCTACAGATTTGTTAATGTTAAACAATTCTAGTAGTTTTATATTTCTAATGTACCTGATCTATGGCATTTCAAGTTGTAAGATTCTTGAAAAAAGATAATTTTAGTGTTAAAATTGGGCTTAAAGGATAAAGACCATTTCATTCCATTCTCCCTAATAACCAGAACTTTTTGAATGAAGAAGAAATCTCCTATACAGTATATCATTAACATCTAGAATGTCTGAAGGTTAAAACATATATAAGGACTTATATCCCAAATATAGCTACTTGAGTAAAAGGTGGTAGTGTTATGCCTTCTGGGCTAAACTCACAGAAAATTGAGGGAAGAATAGACTAAAACGCTAAAGCAGTTGATCAAAATGTTAAGAAGAGAAAACGTATTTACGGATAATATTAGGAGAGAGACTCTTATGGTGAAGATGGGAGGAGATATAAAAAAAAAAAAAAAGCACGCGGCTGGGCGCGGTGGCTCATGACTGTATTCCCAGCATTTTGGGAGGCCGAGGCAGACGGATCATGAAGTCAGATCGAGACTATCCTAGCCAACATGGTGAAACCCCATCTTTACCAAAAATACAAAAATTAGCTGGGCGTTGTGACAGGTGCCTGTAATCCCAGCTACTCGGGAGGCTGAGGCAGGAGAATCACTTGAACCTGGGAGGCAGAGGTTGCAGTGAGCCGAGATCATGCCACTGCACTCCAGCCTGCTGACAGAGCGAGACTCAGTCTCAAAAAAAAAAAAGCATGCAAGCTACATTTAATATTTACGAGAACCTTGGATACATCTGGATACATCTGAATAGTTTAAGGATGGTTAGGTTGTTTTGAAAATCTGTGTCCTAAAGAGTTTAAGCAATCAAATACCAAATTCTTGGGCTTAAAGGATAGCAAATAAGAAATGAAACAATTTGCTGTAAAATTGAAACTGAAACTGTTCCTCAAAGAGTAAGAAACTAATGACTAACATATTTTTGAGCTTGCAGGATAATCGATAAAGGAGACAGCACTGAAACTCCCTCCACTTGTGAGATCAAGATAAAACTGGCTGAAATAGGTTGAAACCAATATGGCTGACTGGAGCCTGTGCAAAGTGAGCTTACTAACATCACAATCTGAATTGCCACAGCATGCTTTATGCTAACTCCCCCTGAATTTGCACATGCAATCCATGAGGTAGCATAAAGAGATAACTGCGCATGCTCAAGGACTCTCCAGACCTCTCCTTTCCTTCCACAAATCACCTGCTAATCTCAGAATCCACCTCAGAAAATTTTCTAATAAAAAATATTGCCTTGAAGCCAGCACAGGCAGAAAGATTTGAGCTTGATTCCTATCTCTTTGTGAGTCAACTTGCAATAAAGAGCTGTTTTTTTTTTTTTTCGCCTCAAAATCTAGTGTCATAGTATTGGCTTCCAGTGCATTGGGCAGCAAGCCTCTTTTGCTAGGTGAGTTTCATGGTTTCTGTTCCACTTCATGATTAAAACATTAATATTACTCTTGTGTTTCGGAGTAAACCCAACTAATTTTTTAATTCAAAACTTTTGTGAAATATACCTGATAAAAGTTTATATTCTCTTCAATAGAAAAGCCCACAGCAGTATCACCCCCTAAAACATTGAAAACAAAAAGCATTACACATGCAGAGAAAAAAGGGAGAAATCTTTCAAACCATCAATTAACCAAAGAGTGAAGAAAAAATGTAGATGGCAGAAGCTCTAATAATTCTTCCAATATAGGTTCCAATGTAAGCCAATTGCAGGTAGAAAAACAACTATGGATATTAATTTTTGTTAGGATGTAATTTACACACAGTGAATGTCAGATTTCAAGCATAATGTCTAACAAATACGTGTAAGGGCATATCACATTTTTTGAACCCAAGAATCCTTCTAAGTCAACCTCCTCACCCTAGAAACAGCCGCTGACCTGATTTCTATCACCTAGATTAGTTTTGTTATTCTACAATCTCACTCAAATGGAATTGTACAATATTGACTCTTTTGTGTCCAGTTTCTCAACATAACACGTTTGTGTGCCTGTTGTTGAATATATCAGTAGTCTTTCCTTTTTTGCTATTGAGTAGTATGCCATTATATCAATATACCAGGAATTTTTCATCCATTCTTCTATCGACAGACATTTGTTTTCTATTTTTGTTTTTTTTAATGAAACTGCTATGAACACTGTTATACAAAGATCATTATAACCTTATGTTTTAATTTCTATTAAATGAATAACTAAATAAAATTACTGGGAAATAAATTATAGATATTAATTTAACTGACAAATCTCATGTATCCTAGAAAACAGTCTATGAGAAAGTATATCTGAGTTTTCTGAGTTTGGGACAGTCTATTATATCTCACGTTATTTTAATGTCTTCACTGATATTAACATGATTTCTTCTGGCATATATTAAATATATGCATTTAATTATTGACATATAGGCCAATAATATTAACCAACTTAAACTGAGTACCTCTGAGATACTTAAATAGTCTAATAATTGAAAAACTTTGATAGATAGTTAATTAGATTCTGTAAATTGGTAGCATGGTATAAAAGGTGCTCACATATTCTTTGAGATTGAACTTAATGTCAAAATCCATGTAGCTCAGGATTCTGACAGAGTCACCAAGGAACGGTTTGAGCTCACTAATTTACTAACGTTCTATAAAAATTCTACCCCCCCTATTAATAATATATTAGGTATCTTATGAATTAAATACAAATACCTCCAGCTAGATTCCATGGCCTGCCCAGCTGTCTTTCTATTGCTCACTCTGAATGTCTTCAGCATGTATTTTGTGCTGTGAACTTGGCTGTCCCTTCATTGAGATTTCCTGCTACTCAAGGTGTTTCTACATCCTCAATTTTGCCCATATTCTTTCCCACCTTGGGATATCCTTTCATCCATCTTTTTACCCAATTGTCAATCAAAACTGCTCTGGTTCCATCTTTTGGTGAGGCTGATGTTAGCTGTATGAATAAGCTTTTCAAAATTACAGTAGCTCTGAAAAAATTATCTCATGGGAATTGACAATCATTTAGAACTTTTTCACGTTTAAAATTTTTGTTTAATTTTGCTTCAGGTTATTTTATCTTATTTTTAGTTTAGCCTCACCATTCTATTGTAAGTCTGTGAGCATGTATTAATTACACAAGTAATGATAGTGCTAAGTGCATTGTATTATCAAACCTCTATGGCTGATTGATGGATTCTTATACAGGAATGTCCTTTACTACTCATTAAAGTGGTAGGTATAGTAGTCTCTAGGTAAAGTAATGGTTGCCTCCAATTAAGTAATTTCATATTTTAAAAGTACTTTCATGCACATCATTTTATAATGAAGTAGAAAAATAAAATTTCCTTTCTGTTCTACTTATATATTTTCCATTTTTAATCTGACCTGTTAGCTTTTGCCTTCATGTACACAATTTTAATGTATCTTAAACAAATTATCCTTTAGTAGGTGTGTCCCACAGTCAGACTCCAATTTTGGGTCTCAGTTTTTGACTCGTTATCAGTGTCACTGCTTGGGGACTTAGATTCTTTACCTATAGGTTAAAATGTTTCCACTTGTTAATTTCTAAAATTATTTCAAATTCTATAGTTTTCTATTACAAATATATGGATAATATGTTAAATGATTTTAGAAAATGTGGTAATCAATGTAAAATTGAATATAGGATTTTCCTGTTTATAATAAACATATTATAAAAGATGGTATTTATTTAGATTATAAAAGACAAATTTGAACTTTACTTTGCTTTAATGACATATATTGAACAGCATTTAAAAGAAAGTCTAGGTGTTTATTTTTTATTTTAAATAGCTTTAGTTTCCTGTAAGACAAATAGTTCTTTAGACATGGGCTTTGTGACAAATAGCATAGTGTTAAAATGAGGGCTCCTCAGCAAAGCTATGCTTGGGAAGGCCCCATGAAAAGGTAAACCCCGGTTTGTCTTGACATATTTTTCATGAGATAAGGTGGTCAGAAAGATATGGACAATCGAATTCTTTATCAAGGAGCTAATTTGTATATATTAACATATTTATTTGTTCAAATTTTCTGTGGAATCATATGCAAATACAGTTGTGGTGAAAAGAGTTTCAGACATCAATTCATATAATTTGCTTTGAGGATTATATGTGCATTCACCCAGACATCTACCTGGCATTTGGAGGACGTGAAAATTACAAGCAATAAATAAGTAAATATGTTTTCCCTTGTCTTTCGCATTGCCTGTGCCAAAAAAACAGTCAAATGAATTGTTCAGCATAATCAATATAATAGAAAAGAACACTTCCCCACAGATTGTTTGATAAAACACAAACAAATAATTAACAAAATTTCCACTTTTTTGCTGGCAGTGGTGCCATCTCCCTTACCTAATCAGAAGTTATTGCTCCCCTCTATTATCAGTGGCAAATCTCATGACTGGGAGCCACACTCTTTCTTCACATTGTGTCGATGGGTCATTCAGGAGGAAAATAAATGTGAGAACCTATGACCTGCTTTTTCTGCTGACACTTTTTGTACTTTCAATTCTAGGTGTTTACTATGAATCTGACTGTTCAAGTTTCTTAGAATGGCTCTCACTTGGTTGCATGCAGAAACTATAAAGAGCTGAGTCAGGAGACCAAAAAAAAAGGAGAGAGAGAGAGAATAGTCCAACCGAAGACAAAACGCTGGGTTTTGTAAAGCTTGGCCTGATATGAACCCTCACCAAAATGAGAGAGAGAGAGACATAGAGACACTAAAAGAAAAAAAAATAAATCCAACAAGAAATTATGAGTCTCATTAAAATGAATCTAGGTTGATTTACTACAGTTGTAATCAAAGGTTGCATGACCTTATAAGCTTTGCTACTCCATTTATAATAAATCTAGGCAGTTAAAAATAGATGAGCTTTAAGACAGATAATAAATGGAACACTTTGAAAAAGTACATGATTATAATGAAAGGTCTGCCCTACCATCATTGGACAACCCTGCTTAATAATTAGGCCTGTGGGCTTATTGGTTCAGAAGGTGCTTTGGCCATGTTAAGGAGTAGAATTGTCTACATTTTCATTTTTTTAATGCTGGCTCTAAATGCTGGGGATGCAGAGAGGCCCAACTTAGCAGCCTTTGGCTCCTGGCCAACCGTCACTATTATAATTGGAACTGAGTCCATCTACCAGTATGAAGCAACACATCTAGATTTAGATCATAAATATAAATGTCATCCACCATTATGAATAGGGAAATTATCAGGTCATCTAAAGCTATGCATTTTAAGAAATTATATCAACATTTATATGTGAGAGGAAAAGAAACAGTTTCTCTAAGTTCTTGCTTGGGAAACAGAGACAATACATAGTCTAGTTGCCTCCTTCTCTTTAAACAAAGTTTGGCAGGAGAGAAAGGAGAGACCTTGTGTGTATTAGAGAGGAGTGAAGTTAGTTTGTACCAATTAAGGAAAAATGTAATTTTATTATAGATTATTCTATATAGTTAATAAACATGTGGTACATCTTCTCATATGTCTATTATATTTCCCTGTCCCATCAATGTGAAGAATGGCATGTAACTTGTTTCGGCAAGTTGAATGTGAGAGAAGTGATTATGCCACTTTGAGAAAAATGTTTAAAGAGCTCCATGTTCTTCTACCATCTTCTGTTTCTCTTCACCAGAAGGCCAGCCATGTTGCAGCTACGGGCTGCTCCTTTAATCTGGACTCTATAATCAAGATTTATCTGAGCTAGGTATGTAGCATGAAAAAGAAATAAATTTTTGTTGTACGAGAACTCGGAGTTGGGGTTTTTGTTGTGTGTCAATATGTAGTTTATCCTGAGAAAGGGTGCACTCTGCCTGTTTATTGCATATTCAAGGGCAGATTAAGAGGTTGATAGAAAATTTGCATGGAAAGGGAATTAAGGGTATTTAGTAGCTCCAAAAGTAGGCCTGGCTAGTTTGAGGTAGAAGATAAAAGTAATACCAGTAAAAAGAAACAAATTTTTGACTTTTCAGGTGAAGGCTAAGATAGAGGAGGTCAGAGGATGAGGAATCCCAAATTCAGAGAAAAGAATACAGAAGACATTGATAGAAAATAATAAGAGGCCAGTACAAGTTGCTGACCAAGAACTAAGGAGGACCTGAAGACCTGAGCCGATGATAAAGTTCCCATGGTGAATAATGAATGACACATTTCTGAGGCAGTGATGCCAGATACAGAATGTGAAATTATTTTTTACTCAAAGATATAATTATACCCACTATCCACAAAAGCTCTGTAAATATCTATCTCACATGTCAGAGTTCGTATTGATCCTTGGGATAAATTAGGATGAAACTATGACAGCCATGAAGCAGTGGTAAACATAATGCAGAAAGCAAAATAAAAGGGAAGGCAGAAGAAATCTGCAGTAAGAGCTGACAAGAGAATAATAACTCAACCACATGTAGTTGCAGAAACTTGGCGGAATATGGGATTTGAGTTTTAACTGTTTGTTTGAGTGTTACAGTGCTTTTGCCTATGGGAACGTCAGTGTTACTCAAGAAAAAGTCACATATGGAGGGTGGAGGCTGCTAAAATCATGTCCTGAAGGCTGACCCAGTTCGGTGTGTTGAGGATTAGAGTCTTTCTGCTGACATCAACAAGTATGATCTGAGCATTTATAAGGAAATGCTCTTATATGGGGCAAAATGGAACCGTGATGCTTGGGGTAAAGTTTATCAGCATCACCATATCATCAATGTCATCACACTAAAGTTTGTATTTACCGTACAATATTATAATTAATTTGCATAAATTTTCTTATTGGATTGTTGTATGGACTCCTTGAGATGGGATAAACAGGTAGTAGACTATTTTTTAAATGAAAGAAAAAAATTATCAAGCTGATAAGTGGCTGAAGAAATATTTAGTACATATTAGAGCTGGGAATTTGGCTGAGGCTTTTTGATTTAGTAATACTTTTTTTCTGTCAGTGATTTTCTAAGAGGATAAACAAGAAATCAGAACAACCTTGGGCCCTAATCCATATCTACCTGGATGCAGGGATGTTAAGAAGGAAAGAAATCCCATGTTCCCTAACTCAAAGGAGATAAGAGTGTCTGCCATGGGGAACAACTGTTGCTGAGCAGGTGTGTTTTATTCCTTGGAGTAGAAAACAAGATCAAAATTCCTCAAACATATGAAAACAACATAAGCAAAATCTTCTCACATTAAAAATTATGGAAATTTATTCATATTTGTTTTAAATAGTCATTATTAGCATTTAAGGACTTAAACATATATACACACACACACACGCATGTATTAGTCAAGGTTCTCCAGAGAAACATAATATATCTACATATATGTAGATATATTTACTAAGAGATTCATTATAAACAATTTTCTCACAGAATTATGGAGGCTGAGAAGTCCCACAATCTGCTGTTTGCTAGCTAGAGACCCAGGAAAGCTGGTGGTATTTCAAAGGCCTACAAGCCAGGGAATCAAGGGTGTGGATTCCAGTCTAGGTCTGAAAGCCTAAGAACCAGGAGTTCCAAGGGCAGGAAAAGATCCAAGTTCAGCTCAAGTAGATAGGCAGAGTTTAGTCAACCTTTCCCCAACTTTTTGTACTATTTCTGCCCTCAGTAGATTAGATGGTGCCCATCAACATTGAGGTGGGTCATTTGCTTCACTCAGTCCACAGATTCAAATACTAATCTCTCCCAGATATATCCTCTCAGCAACATCCAGAAATAACATTTAACTTACAGCTATCTAGGCATCCCCTGGCTCAGTTTAGTTGACACGTAAAATTTGTCAACACAAATCTACCCTTTGTCAACTTGATACTCATAAACATCTCCTTAAACCATATTTAATCTCCAAATAAACATAGCAACAAGGTCATAATTCGCCTAACATGATACAGCTATTCTGCACACCACCTAAAATGCACTGTCTGTGAGTGATGTTTACTCTTCTCTTTGATATCTTATAACTTAAATACTTATATGGTTTGGATTTGTGTCCCCGCCCAAATCTCATGTCAAATTGTAATCCCCAGAGCCTGGTGGGAGGTGACTGGACCGTGGGAATGGATATCTCCCTTGTCATTCTCATGATAGTGAATGAGTTATCACGAGATCTGGTTGTTTAAAAGTGTGTAGCATCTCTCTTTTCAATCTCTTCCTCCTTCTCCAGCCTTGTAAGATGTACCTCCTTCCTCTTGGCCTTCCAGAATGATTGTACATTTCCTGTGGCATCCACAGCCATGCTTCCTGTACAGCCTGTGAAACTGTGAGCCAATTAAACTTCTTTTCTTTATAAATTGCCTCAGTCTCAGGCAGTTTTTATAGCAACACAATAACAGACTAATACAAATACTATGATGTAAAATTAATAATAATTAAATACTATAAAATTAAGTCAATACATATTACGTTATATGATAAGGAAATAAAAGAGGAAAGAAAACAAAGATATGTATATACACACAAACATATTCATAACAAATTAAGGAGAAAATACTCAAGACAATTACAGTACTTGTTTTTGTAACTACTCACTTGGTCATAGTTGGTATTTATAATTACCTTCTTCTCCTACCCTGTCTAGTTACTTTTGGTTTCAGAAAGCACCTCAATTGGTTGTAGTTCTTTATCTGGCAAAGTGATCCAAATCTTTATTCCTGAAAGGTCTGGGCCATAAGTAGTCCTGCCTGGATTGCGTTATTGTAGTTTTCCATTGACCTTAATCACAGGGTACAGAAATACTTAGAGACACCCTAAAGGATCTCCTTTAATCCAAACATACTCTTTTTTTTAACTTCTATCATACAATAGTGGTTTGATATTCTCTTGGTAGTCAGAATCAATCACCCCAGTCAACAGAGTAACTCCCTTCTTTGCCTATTGATCCAGATGCATGAGAAGTCTAAAGTCACCCTACTTACATTGAACTTCCAGTTCAATGGAATAAATTCCGTTTCTCTTGGTAGAAACCTTTTATCTCTGGAACTAAGATTTTTATATCAGCAGAGCATAAAGTCATAAGAACATAAAGCAATTACAGAAAGCATTAGTTTTCAATGGACACCTCAAAGTACATGGTAACTTGGTGGTTCATGGTGAAATATTCAGTATCTACTAAAACTCTATAGCAGTCTAAGAACTATTTCTCAAAAGAAGAGCAGTTGTCTTTGAAAGGTGATAGGGCTTTGCTCTAAAACTGTAAGAGCAATTTACCTATAGGAATTGCTTTGACAACAGTATCCTTACCTGCCACTGACACTATAAGTACCACTGGATCTGCTGAATCATATGGCCTAT
Organism: Homo sapiens; assembly: GCF_000001405.40. NCBI lineage: Eukaryota > Metazoa > Chordata > Mammalia > Primates > Hominidae > Homo > Homo sapiens. Next base: position 39,934,702 of record NC_000018.10, on the reverse strand, counting down.
GTGGCAGAGCAACTGAACCTGCTGCAGAGCCTTCAACCATTTTGAGCCCCACTCAAAACTAGCTGCTTTTCAGACCATTTGGTAAATGCTAAATGAAACAACAAATTGGTTTCTAATTTTAATGTTGATTTTAATTGGCACACAACAATTTTTTTATTTGGGGATACAATGTAATGTTTTAATACACTACATTATGTAATGATCATTATGTAATGATCAAGTACAGGTATTTAGCATATTTATCACCTCATTAATTCCTCATTTATTTGTGGTAGGAACGTCTAAAATTCTTTCTTCTAGCTATTTTGATATATACAATACAACATCATTAACCACAGTCCCTCTACTGTACAATAGAATACCAGATCTTATTCTTATCTGACTTTGTACCTGTTGAACATTCTCTCTTCATCACTTCTGCTTATCTCTCTAGCCTCTGGTAACCACTATTCTCCTTTTTATTTCTATGAAATTAACTTTTTAAGATTCAAAATATGAGTGAGATCATGTGTTGTCTTTCTCTACCTGGCTTACTTTACATAACATAACGCCCTCCAGGTTCATCCATGTTGCCACAAATTACAGCATTCTATTTTTTATAGCTAAGTAATATTCCATTGTATATATGCACAATATTTTCTTTATCCATCATCCATTGATGAACACTTAAGTTGATTCCATATCTTGGTTATTGTGAATAGTGCTGCAATAAAATGAGATAGTAGATATCTCTTCAACACACCGATTTTATTTCCTTTGGAGATACACCCAAGTAGTAGAATTGTTGTACCATATGGTAGCTCTATTTTTAATTTTTTGAAAAATCTCCATTCTGTTTTCCATAATGGCTATACTAATTTACATTCCCTCCAACTGTGTATTAGAGTTACTCTTTCTCCACAGCCGCAAGCAGCATTTGATAATAGCTATTCTAATCAGGGTGAGGTGTTATCTCACTGTATTTTTTATTTGCACTTCCCTGATGATTAGTGATGTTGAACATTTTCTCATATACTTATTGACCATCTGAATGTTTTTTTTTTTTTTTTGAGGAATATCTAGTCAGGTCTTTTGCCCATTTTTTAACTGAAATATTAGGGTTTTTTTTTTCTTTTGCTATTGGGTTGAGTTCCTTATATATTATGGATATTAATCCTTTGTCAGATGCATAGTTTGCAAACATTTTGTCCCATTCTGTAGGTTGTCTTTTCACTCTGTTTATTGTTGTGCAGAAGTTTCTTAGTTTGATGTGATCCCATTTGTCTATTTTTGCCTTTATTGCCTGTGTTTTGAGTTTTTATTCAGAAAACCTTGCTTAGACCATTGTCATAAAACATTCATCTTGCTTGCTTCTAGTATTTCAAAATTTCAGATCTTACATTTAAGTTTTTAATCCTTTTGATTTAATTTTTTGTATGGTGAGAGATATGGGTCTAGTATTTCTTTTCTGCATGTGTATATCTAATTTACCCAAAACTATTTATTGAAGAGGCTGTTCTTTTCCCAATAAGTGTTCTTGGCACCTTTGTTAAAAATCAGTTGCCTGTAAGTGTGCGGACTTATTTCTGTGTTCTCTATTCTGTCCCATTGGTCTATGTGTCTATTTTTATATCAATACCTTGCTGTTTTGGTTACCCATGGCTTTGTAGTATATTTTGCCATCAAGTAGTGTGATGCCTTCAGTGTTCTTCTTTTTGCTCAAGATTGCTTTGGCTATTCGGAGTCCTTTCTGATTCCACACACATTGTAGGATTTTTTTTTTCTATTTCTGTGAACAATGCTATTGGCATTTTGATAGAGATTACATTGAGTCTATAGATCACTTTAGGTAGTATGGAAATTTTAACAATATTAGTTCTTCCAAGGCATAACCATGAGATATCTCCGCACTTAACTGTGTCTTCAATTTTTAAAAAATCAGTGTTTTATAGTTTTATTGTTTTTTATTTGTTTGTTTGTGTTTGTTTTGAGACGGAGTCTCACTCTGTTGCTGTATCACCCAGGCTGGAGTGCAGTGGTGCGATCTCAGCTCACTGCAACATCTGCCTCCTGGGTTCAAGCAATTCTCCTGCCTCAGCCTCTCGAATAGCTGGGACTACAGGCATGTGCCACCATGCCCAGCTAATTTTTGTATTTTTAGTAGAGACGGGGTTTCACCATGTTGGCCAGGCTGGTCCTGAACCCCTGACCTCAGGTGATCTGCCCACCTCGGCCTCCCAAAGTGCTGGGATTAGAGGCATGAGCCACCACGCCCAGCCCTATAGTTTTCATTGCAGAGATCTTTTACCACCTTAAATTTATTTCTAGCAACATTTTTTGTAGCTATTGTAAATGGGATTGCTTTCTTGATTTCTTTTTCAGAGTTTGCTATTGGTATATAATGGTACTAGTTTTTGTATGCTTATTTTGAATCCTGCAACTTTACTAAATTTTTTAGCTCTAACTTTTATTTGTGGCATCTTTAGGGTATTATATATATAAAATTATTTTGCCTGCAAACAGGAATAACTTGATTTTATCCTTTCCAATTTGGATGCCCTCTACTTCATTCTCTTGCCTAATTGCTCTGGTTAGGACTTTTGGTACTATGTTGAATAAAAGTAGTAAAGTGAGCATGCTTATCTTATTCCAGATTAAACACATTTTTATATGATATTGGCTATTTGGATTTCTCTTTAGGGAAATATCTATATGAATTATTTTTCGTATTAGGTGCCTCTCTTTTTTCTTATTGATTAGCATTAGTCTACACATTATAGATTATAAGCCTTTGTTAGCCTTTTCAGAGTCTGCTGTGTTTCTTACTACTGTTATTTCTTTTGCTGAAGAAAACATTCTAGATTTTTGAATAGTCAAATTTATCAAATATCCATATTCCTGGGGCTGCTTCTAAACTACTTTGTTTTATTGGTTTCTTTGTCTATTATTTTCCAATTCACAGTGGCTTATTAGTAAAGATATATATATATATATATAAAATCTCCATATTTGATAGTGAATGTTCTTTCATTTTGTCCTTTTTGTTAAAAGTGACTTGGTTATACTTGGTTCTTTGCTTTTCCATAGACATTTTATAATCAACTTATCAGTCACAAAAAAATGAAAAGTAGAATGGGATAACATTGAAGTTCTGACATTTTGCATTGGCTCTTACAGTTCATGCCTATGATAAATCTCTATTTATTTGGTGTTATTTTTAATACTGTCAATAAAGTTACATAATTTCCCCTACAGAAAAATTTCTGTAGAGGAATTGCACATTTTTGGTTAGGTTTATTCATATATACCTAGCATTATTGATAATATTGTGAATGGCATATTTTATATTTTAATTTTCTATAATTATAATATGAAAGTAGCTGATGTTTATATGCCAGTATATTGTTCAGCAATGCAACTCAATTTGTTTATGATTCTAAAATATTTTTTGAATACTTTTTCAGGTGTTCTATATTCAAATTCATAATCATACTATTTGAGACTGATCAAACATATTCCCAATAGTTATAGCTTTATTTTATGTGTCACTTTATTACACTGCCTGAGAACTCGAGTACAATTTTAAGAGCTGTAGTAATAGTAGATATCTTTGTATCAGTTGTAATGTCAAAGAGAAAAACGTTCAAGTTTCATCATTAAGTGTGTGATTTGTTTTAGATGATATGATTATCTATATCTACAAAAAAATTTACTTTTACAAATTTGATTTTTAATTATGAGTAGTTGTAGAATGTTTTCCAAAAATATTTTCTTGTTTGATTGCAGTATAAAATACTACTTCTTTAATTTCTTAATGTGGTGAATTACATTGAATCATTTTGTTTTTGGTGTAAATCAATCTTGCATCCTTGTAATCAATCCAAAATTATCATGATAAATTATCATTTTTATATATTGCCGAATTTCTGTTCAGCATAATTTTGTTGATCATTTTTTTTCTCTATTCTGGAATTATATTTGTCTACTCCTCTTTCCACACTGTTCTAGTCATATTTTGGTATAAACGTTTTGCTAGCTACAACAAATAATTTGGTGGACTCTCTTCTAATTCTGGAAGAATAATTGAAAAATTGACTTATTTCTACTATGAGTTTGTAAATCTATTTAAAAATCCATCTTGGCCTACTTATTTTTGTAGGAATATTTGTATTATAGATTCAATTTATTTCTTTGATTATATGCCTATAAAAGTCTTGTTTTAGATGATATGATTATCTATACCTACAAAAAAATTTACTGTTACAAATTTGATTTTTTTTTCTTTTCTCTTTTTTTTTTTGTTATACTTTAAGTTTTAGGGTACATGTGCACATTGTGCAGGTTAGTTACATATGTATACATGTGCCATGCTGGTGCGCTGCACCCACAAACTTGTCATCTAGCATTAGGTATATCTCCCAATGCTATCCCTCCCCACTCCCCCCACCCCACAACAGTCCCCAGAGTGTGATGTTCCCCTTCCTGTGTCCATGTGATCTCATTGTTCAATTCCCACCTATGAGTGAGAATATGTGGTGTTTGGTTTTTTGTTCTTGCGATAGTTTACTGAGAATGATGATTTCCAATTTCATCCATGTCCCTACAAAGGACATGAACTCATCATTTTTTATGGCTGCATAGTATTCCATGGTGTATATGTGCCACATTTTCTTAATCCAGTCTATCATTGTTGGACATTTGGGTTGGTTCCAAGTCTTTGCTATTGTGAATAATGCCGCAATAAACATACATGTGCATGTGTCTTTATAGCAGCATGATTTATAGTCCTTTGGGTATATACCCGGTAATGGGATGGCTGGATCAAATGGTATTTCTAGTTCTAGATCCCTGAGGAATCGCCACACTGACTTCCACAATGGTTGAACTAGTTTACAGTCCCACCAACAGTGTAAAAGTGTTCCTATTTCTCCACATCCTCTCCAGCACCTGTTGTTTCCTGACTTTTTAATGATCACCATTCTAACTGGATTGTGATGCTATCTCATTGTGGTTTTGATGTGCATTTCTCTGATGGCCAGTGATGGTGAGCATTTTTTCGTGTGTTTTTTGGCTGCATAAATGTCTTCTTTTGAGAAGTGTCTGTTCATGTCCTTCACCCACTTTTTGATGGGGTTGTTTGCTATTTTCTTGTAAATTTGTTTGAGTTCATTGTAGATTCTGGATATTAGCCCTTTGTGAGATGAGTAGGTTGTGAAAATTTTCTCCCATTTTGTAGGTTGCCTGTTCACTCTGATGGTAGTTTCTTTTGCTGTGCAGAAGCTCTTTAGTTTAATTAGATCCCATTTGTCAATTTTGGCTTTTGTTGCCATTGCTTTTGGTGTTTTAGACATGAAGTCCTTACCCATGCCTATGTCCTGAATGGTAATGCCTAGGTTTTCTTCTAGGGTTTTTATGGTTTTAGGTCTAACGTTTAAGTCTTTAATCCATCTTGAATTGATTTTTGTATAAGATGTAAGGAAGGGATCCAGTTTCAGCTTTCTACATATGGCTAGCCAGTTTTCCCAGCACCATTTATTAAATAGGGAATCCTTTCCCCATTGCTTGTTTTTGTCAGGTTTGTCAAAGATCAGATAGTTGTAGATATGCCGCATTATTTCTGAGGGCTCTATTCTGTTCCATTGATCTATATCTCTGTTTTGGTACCAGTACCATGCTGTTTTGGTACCAGTACCATGCTGTTTTGGTTACTGTAGCCTTGTAGTATAGTTTGAAGTCAGGTAGTGTGACGCCTCCAGCTTTGTTCTTTTGGCTTAGGATTGACTTGGCGATGCGGACTCTTTTTTGGTTCCATATGAACTTTAAAGTAGTTTTTTCCAATTCTGTGAAGAAAGGCATTGGTAGCTTGATGGGGATGGCATTGAATCTATAAATTACCTTGGGCAGTATGGCCATTTTCACGATATTGATTCTTCCTACCCATGAGCATGGAATGTTCTTCCATTTCTTTGTATCCTCTTTTATTTCCTTGAGCAGTGGTTTGTAGTTCTCCTTGAAGAGGTCCTTTACATCCCTTGTAAGTTGGATTCCTAGGTATTTTATTCTCTTTGAAGCAATTGTGAATGGGAGTTCACTCATGATTTGGCTCTCTGTTTGTCTGTTGTTGGTGTATAAGAATGCTTGTGATTTTTTACATTGATTTTGTATCCTGAGACTTTGCTGAAGTTGCTTATCAGCTTAAGGACATTTTGGGCTGAGACAATGGGGTTTTCTAGATATACAATCATGTCGTCTGCAAACAGGGACAATTTGACTTCCTCTTTTCCTAATTGAATACCCTTTATTTCCTTCTCCTGCCTGATTGCCCTGGCCAGAACTTCCAACACTATGTTGAATAGGAGTGGTGAGAGAGGGCATCCCTGTCTTGTGCCAGTTTTCAAAGGGAATGCTTCCAGTTTTTGTCCATTCAGTATGATATTGGCTGTGGGTTTGTCATAGATAGCTCTTATTATTTTGAAATACATCCCATCAATACCTAATTTATTGAGAGTTTTTAGCATGAAGGGTTGTTGAATTTTGTCAAAGGCTTTTTCTGCATCTATTGAGATAATCATGTGGTTTTTGTCTTTGGCTCTGTTTATATGCTGGATTACATTTATTGATTTGCGTATATTGAACCTGCCTTGCATCCCAGGGATGAAGCCCACTTGATCATGGTGGATAAGCTTTTTGATGTGCTGCTGGATTCAGTTTGCCAGTATTTTATTGAGGATTTTTGCATCAATATTCATCAAGGATATTGGTCTAAAATTCTCTTTTTTGGTTGTGTCTCTGCCCGGTTTTGGTATCAGAATGATGCTGGCCTCATAAAATGAGGTAGGGAGGATTCCCTCTTTTTCTATTGATTGGAATAGTTTCAGAAGGAATGGTACCAGTTCCTCCTTGTACCTCTGGTAGAATTGGCTGTGAATCCGTCTGGTCCTGGACTCTTTTTGGTTGGTAAGCTATTGATTATTGCCACAATTTCAGATCCTGCTATTGGTCTATTCAGAGATTCAACTTCTTCCTGGTTTAGTCTTGGGGGAGTGTATGTGTCGAGGAATTTATCCATTTCTTCTAGATTTTCTAGTTTATTTGCGTAGAGGTGTTTGTAGTATTCTCTGATGGTAGTTTGTATTTCTGTGGGATCGGTGGTAATATCCCCTTTATCATTTTTTATTGCGTCTATTTGATTCTTTTCTCTTTTTTTCTTTATTAATCTTGCTAGCAGTCTATCAATTTTGTTGATCCTTTCAAAAAACCAGCTCCTGGATTCATTAATTTTTTGAAGGGTTTTTTGTGTCTCTATTTCCTTCAGTTCTGCTCTGATTTTAGTTATTTCTTGCCTTCTGCTAGCTTTTGAACGTGTTTGCTCTTGCTTTTCTAGTTCTTTTAATTGTGATGTTAGGGTGTCAATTTTGGATCTTTCCTGCTTTCTCTTGTGGGCATTTAGTTCTATAAATTTCCCTCTATACACTGCTTTGAATGCATCCCAGAGATTCCGGTATGTTGTGTCTTTGTTCTCGTTGGTTTCAAAGAATATCGTTATTTCTGCTTTCATTTCATTATGTACCCAGTAGTCATTCAGAAGCAGGTTGTTCAGTTTCCATGTAGTTGAGCAGTTTTGAGTGAGATTCTTAATCCTAAGTTCTAGTTTGATTGCACTGTGGTCTGAGAGATAGTTTGTTATAATTTCTGTTCTTTTACATTTGCTGAGGAGAGCTTTACTTCCAACTATGTGGTCAATTTTGGAATCGGTGTGGTGTGGTGCTGAAAAAAATGTATATTCTGTTGATTTGGGGTGGAGAGTTCTGTAGATGTCTATTAGGTCCGCTTGGTGCAGAGCTGAGTTCAATTCCTGGGTATTCTTGTTGACTTTCTGTCTCGTTGATCTGTCTAATGTTGACAGTGGGGTGTTAAAGTCTCCCATTATTAATGTGTGGGAGTCTAAGTCTCTTTGTAGGTCACTCAGGACTTGCTTTATGAATCTGGGTGCTCCTGTATTGGGTGCATATACATTTAGGATAGTTAGCTCTTCTTGTTGAATTGATCCCTTTACCATTATGTAATGGCCTTCTTTGTCTCTTTTGATCTTTGTTGGTTTAAAGTCTGTTTTTTTAGAGACTAGGATTGCAACCCCTGCCTTTTTTTGTTTTCCATTTGCTTGGTAGATCTTCCTCCATCCTTTTATTTTGAGCCTATGTGTGTCTGCACATGAGATGGGTTTCCTGAATACAGCACACTGATGGGTCTTGACTCTTTATCCAATTTGCCATCCTGTGTCTTTTAATTGGAGTATTTAGTCCATTTATATTTAAAGTTAATATTGTTATGTGTGAATTTGATCCTGTCATTATGATGTCAGCTGGTTATTTTGCTCGTTAGTTGATGCAGTTTCTTCCTAGTCTCGATGGTCTTTACATTTTGGCATGATTTTGCAGCGGCTGGTACCGGTTGTTCCTTTCCATGTTTAGTGCTTCCTTCAGGAGCTCTTTTAGGGCAGGCCTGGTGGTGACAAAATCTCTCAGCATTTGCTTGTCTGTAAAGTATTTTATTTCTCCTTCGCTTATGAAGCTTAGTTTGGCTGGATATGAAATTCTGGGTTGAAAATTCTTTTCTTTAAGAATGTTGAATATTGGCCCCCACTCTCTTCTAGCTTGTAGGGTTTCTGCCGAGAGATCCGCTGTTAGTCTGATGGGCTTCCCTTTGAGGGTAACCTGACCTTTCTCTCTGGCTGCCCTTAACATTTTTTCCTTCATTTCAACTTTGGTGAATCTGACAATTATGTGTCTTGGAGTTGCTCTTCTCGAGGAGTATCTTTGTGGCGTTCTCTGTATTTCCTGAATCTGAACGTTGGCCTGCCTTGCTAGATTGGGGAAGTTCTCCTGGATAATATCCTGCAGAGTGTTTTCCAACTTGGTTCCATTCTCCCCATCACTTTCAGGTACACCAATCAGACGTAGATTTGGTCTTTTCACATAGTCCCATATTGCTTGGAGGCTTTGCTCATTTCTTTTTATTCTTTTTTCTCTAAACTTCCCTTCTCGCTTCATTTCATTCATTTCATCTTCCATGGCTGATACCCTTTCTTCCAGTTGATTGCATCGGCTCCTGAGGCTTCTGCATTCTTCATGTAGTTCTTGAGCCTTGGTTTTCAGCTCCATCAGCTCCTTTAAGCACTACTCTGTATTGGTTATTCTAGTTATACATTCTTCTAAATGTTTTTCAAAGTTTTCAACTTCTTTGCCTTTGGTTTGAATGTCCTCCCATAGCTCAGAGTAATTTGATCATCTGAAGCCTTCTTCTCTCAGCTCGTCAAAGTCATTCTCCATCCAGCTTTGTTCCATTGCTGGTGAGGAACTGTGTTCCTTTGGAGGAGGAGAGGTGCTCTGCTTTTTAGAGTTTCCAGTTTTTCTGTTCTGTTTTTTCCCCATCTTTGTGGTTTTATCTACTTTTGGTCTTTGATGATGGTGATGTACAGATGGGTTTTTGGTGTGGATGTCCTTTCTGTTTGTTAGTTTTCCTTCTAACACACAGGACCCTCAGCTGCAGGTCTGTTGGAATACCCTGCCATGTGAGGTGTCGGTGTGCCCCTGCTGGGGTGCCTCCCAGTTAGGCTGCTCGGGGGTCAGGGGTCAGGGACCCACTTGAGGAGGCAGTCTGCCCGTTCTCAGATCTCCAGCTGCGTGCTGGGAGAACCACCGCTCTCTTCAAAGCTGTCAGACAGAGACATTTAAGTCTGCAGAGGTTACTGCTGTCTTTTTTGTTTGTTTGTCTTTTTTGTTTGTCTGTGCCCTGCCCCCAGAGGTGGAGCCTACAGAGGCAGGCAGGCCTCCTTGAGCTGTGGTGGGCTCCACCCAGTTCCAGCTTCCTGGCTGCTTTGTTTACCTAATCAAGCCTGGGCAATGGCGGGCGCCCCTCCCCCAGCCTTGCTGCCGCCTTGCAGTTTGATCTCAGACTGCTGTGCTAGCAATCAGCGAGACTCCGTGGGTGTAGGACCCTCTGAGCCAGGTGTGGGATATAATCTCGTGGTGCGCCGTTTTTTAAGCCCGTCGGAAAAGCGCAGTATTCAGGTAGGAGTGACCCGATTTTCCAGGTGCCGTCCGTCACCCCTTTCTTTGACTCGGAAAGGGAACTCCCTGACCCCTTGCGCTTCCCAAGTGAGGCAATGCCTCACCCTGCTTCGGCTCGCACACGGTGCGCGCACCCACTGACCTGCGCCTACTGTCTGGCGCTCCCTAGTGAGATGCACCCGGTACCTCAGATGGAAATGCAGAAATCACCCATCTTCTGCGTCGCTCACGCTGGGAGCTGTAGACTGGAGCTGTTCCTATTCGGCCATCTTGGCTCGTCCCTCACAAATTTGATTTTTAATTATGAGTAGTTGTAGAATGTTTTCCAAAAATATTTTCTTGTTTGATTGCAGTATAGAATACTACTTCTTTAATTTCTTAATTTCTTTAATTTCTTAGTTTGCTTTGGTAAGTTATATTTTTCCAGCTATCTGTCTATTTCATCTATTTTCATATAAATAGGAATATAATTATTTAATGTAGTCCCTTATTAATGTCTGGAAAATCTATTGTAATGTCCTTTTACATTCCCATCATGCTTATCTATGCCACAAATCTCTCCTCTCCCTTTTTGTTTTGTCCTGCAATAATCCTGGTTGAAATGTATCAACTGTATCAGATTTTTAAAAAAATTACTTCTAGCATTATTAAGTGCATGTATTGTATGTATATTTATTATATAAAATATATATTTTTTAATTTTGAAATTGACTACCACTATTTTATAATTCACCTCTTTCACATAATCTCTGGGCTTATTTTTGGTACTGTTTTTCAAGATTCTTAGAACCTATAAAGCTCATTAATTTTTAGTTTTTCTTTTTCTCAAATATACATACATATATATCCTTCTCAGACAGACAGATAAATAGAGATATATATTCTTTTCAAGGCTATAAAAATGTCCACCTTAGTGCTACATTGGCTGTGACTCACAATTTTTTCTATTTCTATTATCATTTAGCTTAAAGAGTTTTCTAACTTTTATTTTCATTTCTCTAACTCAGGACTTGTTGAGAAATATTTCTTAACTTCCAAATATATGTGCATATCTGACATCTATCTATCAATCTATCTGTTATCTATCTAGCTATCATCTATCTTATTTACATAGTAGTCAGGAAGTGTATTCTATATGATATAAATCCCTTGAAATTTGTTAAGGCATGTTTTACAACAAAATATCCTATCAATTTTTGTAAATGAAGTCTGCTTTGCATCAGCTAGAGTCATTCCATATATGTCCATTGAATAATTCTATTTCCTTATCAATTTTTGACTTGCTATATCAATTGCTAGGATATATATTTCACAATGTTTGTAAATTTTCTATTTTGTTCAATGGATACCTTTTTTCTATATATTTGAGGTTATATTTTAATAGCATACATATTAAAATTTATATTTTCTTGATAATTTGAAACTTTTATCATTATAAAATAATTATCTCTATTACCAGTGTGTTTATCTCTATAAAATCTATTTTGTGTGACACGTAGTGTCTAAAACATAACCTTTTTTATTTTATGCTGTATATATAGCTCTTGTAAGTAGCATTTGTTTTCTTATTCTGATCTGAACATGATTGTGGTTGCCTTTTGCCTGAATAATTGAGCTTTTATATTTAATGCAGTGTAGGCTTACAGCTATTATGTTGTTTTGTAATCTTTATGTATTTTACCTGTATTTATGCACTCCTTTTTTATAGCTAAGTCTGAAAAAAATAACACATATACTTAACTAGCAAAAGTATAAAATTAATTAAAGTTTTTAATTTTCTTCCTGGATTACTGTTAACCCTTTATAACTACATGAGATCTATGTCTCTTTATTGTCTGGCACTATAATTCTATTTGAAAACTTAACTATGCTTTATTACTATTGTTTTATGTAGCCAGTATCTATTTAAATTGTCCACCTGTGTATTACTTTCAATACTTTTTGCATCACAGATAAAATATCAGAGAAATTTTATTATCATTCATATTCTCTCTGTCTGTAATTCATATTTTAATAGTCCTTAAAGAAGGATTTCTATGGATTAATTCTCTCAACTTTTGTTTTAAAATGCCATGATGTTTGCTTCACTTTTTCCAGATTTACAGATATTTTCATATGTAGAGAATAAATGCACAATTGATTCTCTTTGGTTCTTTGAGATATCCTTCCACTTTTTTCTCCACATTCATTGTTGCATTTTTGAAGACAGTTGTTCATCTACCTGTCATTCTTTAAAGGAAACCTGTGTTTCATTTGCTGACAGACTTTGGTTTTGCTCTGGTTTTCATTTTCAAAAAATTTTTTCTCCATTCATTGTTGCATTTTTGAAGACAGTTGCTCATCTACCTGTCACTCTTTAAAGGAAATCTGTGTTTCATTTGCTGATGGACTTTGGTTTTGCTCTGATTTTCATTTTCAAAAAATTATCTGTGATGTCTTAGTATGAATTTCTATATAATTATCTTGCTTTGGGCCGAATCTGTAGAATGGTTTATTATCAAGTCTGAAGAATTCGCAGTCATGATCTTTAAGCATGTTACCTCTATCAAGTCCTTTCTCCACTATTTTACTTGGATTCATTCTACTCTCTAAAGCTATATTCTCTCTCTTATATGTTATGTTTGGTTTTTCCATGTGCTTATTACGAATAATATCTTCTTAGCTATCTTCTATAGGTATTTTAACTCTAACTTCAGCTATGTCAATTTTACTGTTAAACATTTCACCAAGGTTTTAATTTGCTTTATTGTATTTTATATATATATATATTGCTCTATTTTGTTCTCTTCAAATCTGTATTCAGATACTTTCATTTGTTCTGCAGGTATCACCAGCTGTTTATTTCTTCAGACATAGTAAGTGTGGTCATTTTGTAATTCATTTCGGACATTTTCATTATTTAAAGTATGAGTTGGTCTTTTTCTGTTATTTGTATTTTTCACTCCTTGTTCAGTTTGCTCTTCTTTTGGGGGTGATATTTATTTTTAACTAAATGCTGGACACCCTTTTCAAAGAGTTTTGGTGTCATTCACAATGTTGGTTTTCAGTCTGTTTTGCTATTTTTCAATGGTTTATTTGAAATAAATTAATTACCAGTAAGGATACTCCTATGCATGTTCTCTTCTTTTAAAATTTAGTCAATACACTTCAGCCAATAAGAAAAAATAATTTATGCAAAAGGAAATATTATATTTTATAGTATCATTTCTCTAATTTCCTTTTATTATGTTTCCTTAAGCTTAATAAAACTGGTTATGATAAAAACTACACTGAACAGTGTCACTATTTACTTAAAAGGAATTTATCTAAAGCTAGCTATAGATAGCTTTAGATAAGTATGGGCAAAAACGTATCAACACTAATTTGTATTTCACCTATATTTTTGACAAAAATTTAAAACAAATATCTAATATTGATGAAAAAACATAATATGAAACATGTAGTAGTTTAATTGAGATTTATAAAGCATTCTTAATGATATACAGAGGTACTCATGATATAACATTTGGTATAATAATGAAGCACATAAAATTATTTAAATAGTATCATCTAAGTAATGCATAACAATACATAGAAGTTGTCTTTAGTAACAGAGAAAAAAAGAGAGAGAATGTTGTTTTCTGTTTAAATTGGGAAATTTTCAAAATTTATATTTAAACTGTATATTACTTAAGACCAAAAAGGAATACCTGGTAAACAAAATAAAAGCAAATGAAAGTAATTGTATGCTTACTTACGATGGCTTTGCATAGCAAGGGCAGCATTTTCTTCTTTACTTTTGTGTCTAATAATTCTAATCTGAAGATTATTGCTTTACAGGAATGGCAATAATACAAAAAAGAAAGAAAAGCAGTAATAACAGCAACAATTCAAAAAAAATACAGTTATGAAGTTCTATCTTCTCTTTGTCATTGATCAACCTTCTGTCATTTGCCTTTAGCCATAGCTTATTCTCCCCCTCAGTCTTCTTTCTAAACTTAGTTTCAAATACTCCTTCTATCCTGCCTATCTTGGGAGCCGATCACACTGTGCTGCAGCTTCCCCACCATGACCTTTGCATGTGTAGGCAACTTGTTGTTATTAATCTTGGTTGAGTGTCCTTCCTTGTTATTAATCTTGGTTGAGTGTCCATCCTCTCATCATCTTTGCAAATACTTTTAGGAATCAGAGCCTAGAGAAAGTTACCTGGGCCACAAAGCTGGCTCTTATCAAGTGCCATTTAATTTCTTTATTTTAATTGCTAGCAGAGATCTCGTTAGAAAGTGACTTTTTTAGTTTACCATCCTTTACCTATTTATAGGATACCTGTCCATGGATTATCAATAATCTTTACTCCAAGCTTATTAAGTTTGGTGTCTCCCTAAAATAAAGTTCTGACTGAACCCCGACTTCCTTTTTTTTCCTGTTATTGAATCCATGGTGGCACTCTGTATAACCAAACACCGCATGTTCTCATTCATAGGTGGGAATTGAACAGTGAGAACACTTGGACACAGAGTGGGGAACGTCACACACCAGGGCCTGTCATGGGGTTGGGGTGAGGGGGGAGAAATAGCATTAGGAGAAATACCTAATGTAACCAACGAGTGAATGGGTGCAGCACACCAACATGGCACATGTACACATATGTAACAAACCTGCAACATTGTACACATGTACCTTAGAACTTAAAGTATAATAATAATAATAATTAATAATAAGATTCTTATTATTTCTACACAGACAACAGTTTTTCCCCATTGGTGCACATTAGATACAAAATAGAACGCTTCTGGTTGCTTTTGCCATTTACTGTTCATTAAAGTAGCCAATAAGGCAAGACAGAATGAGCCCTTGTTCATTATCAGGATACAGAAACAAGGCTGTCATTCTGAAAGGGCCAGGACTATGTGTCCAAGATGGACAAAATATATCCCTATCTTTTTTGTGGTTATCTGAGATCCCAATGTTATCATTGTTTTTTCACCTTCATAAATGAAGGTGGCTTTCTCAAACTTCCCCTCTTCCCTTTACTTCCTATAGTTTTTCACTATTAAATATAAATTCATGGGCTTTTGTGTAGGTCAGTATAATTTAGAAATTATTTCTTTACATCCTGAACACCCCAGAAATAGGAATATTTTCATCCTTCAAGGGTGTTTTAAATACAACTATTTACCTGTATATATGTGCAGCCAGCCAGGATTATGTGCAAATATTGCCATTCACATGGTCTTTGCTCATTAATTTAATTGGCCTATAGTTATCTAGTCTCCCACAGGGAAACAAAATAGCATGAAACCCTTCACTATTTGTATTTTAAGAGGAAGGAAAAATGCTTTATTTGGAATATTGCAACTTTTATTTGATGAAAGTTACTATTAACATATTTTCATAATCTTCTCAGCCTAGCAACAGCAAGAGTAAAAGGTGTGAGGGCCATGTAATATTCATGAAATTAAGACGACTTGAGATGAAAGGGAGTTCCATTAGAGAGACCAAGTGTGACAATATGACACATATTTGCATATTTTACACTTTAAATCTTTTCAGCACATCCAAGTTGATATATGGATGTAAACATGCATTGCCAGTTTTTAGCATATTATAAGCCCTCAAGTCTTTGCATGCATTTTAATATGTTTCATTATTGCTGTAGATTTTAATTTCCAAACTGCACGGCTTTGATGGAAGAAAGCTGGAAGTCAAGGCATCTGGCCTCTGCCCCAGGCAACCACAGTCTTTTTCTTGAATATTTTGGGCAGAAAACCAGTCTATTTATTTGTGGGGCAGTGGGGGGGAAAATTTAAAAAAAAAAAGTGCTGCCCAGAAGCGCGTTTTGTTTGGTACACATACTAATTAAGTGTTAACTTAACCATCCTGGCAGGAAGCTAAAGCATTCAACTGTAGGTGTGCCGAAGAAGGCAAATTGTGTGGAGCTTTTATAATCCCTTTTTCCCTCCTTTAAGCCAGTCTCAGCTCCTATACTTTGAATGTAGAGATTATTGAAAACAGGTTAAAAAAAAATAGAGTTTCAAACTGTGTTTGTTCTTTAAAACAAGGGAAAAGATTTTCAGCTGCCCATTTTGTTTTCTGGAACAGAGTCTCTTGTTAGTAGAGGAAAGATCTTCCCATAGGTTAACAAGGACATCTTTGGCCCAAAGAACATGGCATCCAGATAAATTTCTCAGAGGTGTTTTGGCTTTTATATTTTACAAGGCTATATATTTAAATGGCTAAAGCATTTAGCATAAACTAAAGTGCAATCTTAGCTCGCAACGATCTTAAAAGAAAAGTTAACATAAGTTAAAATAATAAAAACAAAACATATAAAATTTGGCTTTTAGTCCATTATCTTAACCTTTAAGGAAAATAGATGACCTTTAAAGATAGTTTCTAATGATCACATTAAAATTTATTTTTATTGTTATAGAAGCATGAAGCTTTATCTATTAGCTTCTCCCAAGAGTTCAATAGCATTTTATTTTAATTTCCAGTTATATGTTAAACCATTAAATTCAGGAAATATTCTAGTTACCCATCTTCCCATAAATGATAGAAAGTATGGAGCAGTCATCTACTATTCAGGAACATATTTGGATAACTCACATATACAAAAATGCTGCAAGAAACATAATAATAATGGAAAAGAAATCAAAAGCGGCATTACTACTCGAAAGGAGTTTGTAAATAAATGAGGGAAAGATAATTCTTAGATTTTTAATACACATTTACCATCCTAAGAACATATTCATTGATTTGCAAATGAAACAAACAAAAAACAGAGGACTATTTTTTTTCCTGGTCATTATTTCTTTTCTAAAACTTTATATATAATTACAAAATAACTAAAATAATATTTCCATGAACTACCTTGGCCTAAGTTACAGTAGTTCAGCCAGAAGCGGTTGAAGCTCTCATCGCATTTTCAAGCTAACGTACAATCATATATTGCTGCAGCAAATAGCCAGTTTACCAAAAAATATCCCCGGTACTCAGGACACTAGAAGGTAGATATGGTCGCTTCCATCATTCTCTCCTTAGTGAATAACATGTTGTTGCCTTATGGAGCATAGGTCTGACAATACTGTCTTAGACAATGGAGGTTTCTAGCTGCTGTTTGGTTTCTCTTAGTTGTACCATTTTTCAGCTCCCCAATGTTGAGCTTTTTTATGGGTAGAACCATAGGTCCATGGCCCTACCTTTTGAGTCAACTTTGATAGAGATGGGAGGAAGTTTATCAGTTAGGAATTATGAGGTTAGCAATTCCTACTTAACATATCATGTCCTTTGTTATTGTACTGCCAAATATTCAGAATGTCTAATGACATAGAATGTGCTTTAAATTCTGTGAGGGCGTTCTACTGAACTATATTATAGCCCTCCATCATGTCATATTTAATCTTTACATTTTTCTCTTCTATTGTATCCTGTTTAGTAAAAACTAAGCTCCATCTTATCCTGTGGCCGTAGAGCTCAATCAACCTGGATGGCATACTATTTCCCTATCTAGACCCTGCTAGATTAATTTCCAAAGTGCTGAAGTCCTCTTCTCTAGCTTTTGCCATTGGCCGGGAATCTGCTGTGAATGAATTGCTCTTCCACAACAAGATGGCATTGTGCCTAATTACAATAAATATTGGTTTCAAGGGTTCTGCTCTGTACAACCATTGGGCTTTCTATCCTGATATGCACTGACCTGTGGCCAAGCTAGGTACATCTTTCAGAACCTTTGACTTGGAAAAAATCATCTTTGTTAGAGCCAGTATCTTCTGTCAACTCCATTTCCCTCACGCGTTCAGGTCCTAGCCTTCTCTTCCTCACCAGCAAACCTCCAGTTTTACAATGCCTTGTCCCAGAGCATAGTTGCATTAATTCATCTGTATGCTGCCCCATATGTGGCTCTACTTTGAGGTCTAAACAGAGTCTGCATGTGAGAATGCCGTTATCAATGCTATTGTTTGCTGTGCAAATCACAGTTGTCATAAATGAAAACATAACATTTGTTGATTTATCATTTTTGAATATTTGATCAAATGAGTCAACTCACTAATTTACAAAATATCAAGTTTTTCTAAATGTTTCATGGTTTTTCAAGTGAATTAAACAGTGTCACAAGGGGTGAAATCCTCCTCACCTTTTATGTTCCACGGTTCTTTTGTGGTATAACATCTTGCATGTATGATTATTTATTTCTGCTTTGACTCTTACATGACATTTAATCAAAAACCACAATCAGAAAACTAATTTAACAAGGATACATAACTCATGCTGAACCTTTCTACCTTAGAATAGAAACTGTGAACACAAAGTAATAAAATAAGCACAATATGTCATGAAAATAATAGAAACTTTCATTGAATGTTTACTAGGAGGCAAGCACTTTATCTAAATGACATTATTTCGTCCTCATGACAGCCTTATGAGGTAAGTTATTTTATCCCCATTTTCACAGAAGAAAACTGAGGTTTAAGTAGGTTAAATATCTTTATTAGTATTATACAGCTGGGGCATAGAAGCACATTGCTTTAGACTTAGCCATCAGACTAAAGAGCCTGCCAGCTTATGTTTTCTGGCATCCTACCTGCTGATCACAGTTTTAAAAAATCATCTGCCAATTCAAGGATTGTACAAAGAGGGTCTCTTGCTGCTTTAGTTTCTCAATAAGGGAGAGAGTAATATTTTAGCTTCTTTCACACAAACCTTTCTCTGACAGGTTCCAGATACTGGGTCAAATATTTTATATATCCTATGTTTATTGCCACTTCAAATATAAATTTCTTCCCTGTCTTCAAGGCCTTCTACTTTCTTATAACTGTGACTCCCCACATGTAGGTAAGTGTCCCCATTTCCTAGTGTATCCACCATCTACCTACTGCTACTATCAAGTAGATAGTCTCTCCATTGTTATACTGATAACTTTTTTTCCTCATATCATTTCCCAGAATGAAAGGCTCTCTGTGGATATCTCAAATCCCAGTCAATCTCAATTCTTTCCTGCTGTTTTATAGATCAGAGTTACCCTTCTCTTACAAAACTTTATTTTTGTTTTGCCCAGTTTCACATTTATTCACTTAACTGTTAGTTACCCATTTATTTAATGCTGAGTACCGATCTACGCTCAGATAACACAATAAAGAATGTCAAACTGAGCCCTGCCCCTATCGAAGTATAAAGAATAGAAAGAATAACCAATTATCATAAACTGGTGATTTTTTTATGTGTTTAAACAAAATATAGTAGAAATACAAAAGAATTGATGCAAAGCTTTCCAAAGACGGGGAAAACAAATGAACCATAGTGAAAGCAGGGGGTGTCGGGAAGGTAAGGGAGAAGCAGAAAGGAAGTCAGTGGCTCAGGTTGCACATTTTTTTAGAGAGTGGCTGGAGAAAAATGCTGGTATTCAAGACGGATAGAGCAGCAAGTGACTTAAAACCATGACGAAGAGCTCAGGCTCTTATCTTAAGAGTAAGAATGAACCATTGAATTATTTTAAACAAGATGGTTTAAACAGGCATAGGGAAAAGAGGTATAAAAGTGTGGATGTATGTATAAAGTTAAAGATATTGTCATTCTTGGTATTTAGAAAGATCACTCTGGCTCATTATGGAGAATAGATTAGCAAAGGGTGTGGGTGGAAATCAGGGAAACAGTTAGGAAACTGTTGCTGTAGTCCAGGTAAGACTGGATAGTGGCTCAATAGGATGATGGCAATAGGGACCAGAGATAAATGGACATATTCTAAAGATACTTGGGTGTAGAAGTCATATGACCTGGCAGTTGATCAGACATGGGAGGTCAGAAAAAGTCAGTTCTCTGACTGTGGGACCTAGGAGAATGGATGCAGGAGGAGAATACAAGTAAGGGAATAATAAATACAAACAGTGCTTAAATATCTACAATTTTATATTATTCCTTATCATCAAGTGCACAATTAAACCCTATCTCATAAGTCCAGGAACTGCCTAATTTTATTTCTTCTGCATTCTTTTAACAGCTAAGCATTGAGCTAAAAACTCAATGGATTCACACATGTTTTTCAATAGTTTGAATGATTAGTGTTGAGAGGTAGGACATTTAGGTTTGACTCAGAGATATCACTATGGAGTGTATTTTCCCCAATTATAAAATAACAATTGAATATAACATGTGTATAGATAGCTTTACCTTCATGCACCTGGTCTCAAAATAAAATTTCTAAAATCTGCTTTATAGAAAAATATGCGATCACAAAGTGAAGGTGGATGGGGAAAAATCAGTTGTCAGAAGCTGGGAGATGAGGGTATATTCAAAATATTCCTGTGGAATTGGGGGAGATAGAAAAACATAACAAAGCTGGCCAAGCTTCTTTCTGTAGAAATTCAGTCAGGCATCACAGCTCTTTTCCCCTGGGTTTGTGCTTTTCCTCTCTTCATGACTATCTATCACTGCTTGTAAAACTCCTCCACTAAAAGATCTTAAAGTTCACAGTAAAGCAATGCAATTATTCTGAGTCATTCCTTCTTACCTTTTAACCTAATCTTCAGAGGTGCCGGTACTGAAGAAGTACGGCTCCTGCCCAAAATGAGCCTAATCTTGTCTCTGAAAATAGCACTTCCTTGCCAAGAAGAACTTTCTCCTTTTGAATTGCTGCAATGATGAGAAAAAGAAGCCAGGATTCATTAATGGCCCCGGGCATGGTGGGTGCTAAGTCAGAGCGCCCTTCCTCTCTACAGAGAATAGCACTGTCTACTTACTGAAGGTTTTTCTTTTTTTTTTTTTTTCTTTTTATCCTTACAATGACTGTTGGCAGAAAGCTTTGAAACAGCTCATTACTGACTTCTAATTCAATAAGCTAAAAGGGTGAGGTGCAGGGCAATGCAGATTCAGATTTAACTATAATTTTTTGGAATGCCTACTATGTGGCAGGCTCTGCATTAGGCATTGCCATGACAACACCAAAATTGGGAGATATGAACCTGGTTAAGTAAATAAAAGAGGACAGCTCAGATACTGTCAGAAAGTCATCAGAGATAAAAAAAATCTGAATTCAGATCTTCAGATTCCAAATTCAGTGATCTCTTCACCTCTCACATCTGAGTTTGCCAGATTCTATTTGGCTCTTAACAAATGAGCTTACCCCCTACATTTCAACGAAGCCATTAGAAAGAAATGACATTTTCCCCTCTATTTTTCAATTTCCACTCAGCCCCATGCATTCATCTAGTCACTGCTCAGGTGAAAATGGAAGGTATTTTGGTCCTCTTTCTATTATTTTAGCCTCATTGGTCCCCTTGGGCTGTGCATCCATTGTCTTTTGCCTTCTTAGCTAAAATCACTCTCTGTGCCATCTGTCTAGCCTGCAACCCCTGATTCTCTACAAGACCTACTGTCTTAGTTTATTTGTATGGCTATAAGAAAATACTATCCATAGGTGGCTATTATTTCTCATAGTTCTGGAGCTTGGGAGGTCCAAAATCAAGGCATCAGTAATGTTGGTGTCTGGTATAGGCTCATTTTCTAGTTCACAGTTGGTGACTTCTCACTGTGTCCTCACATGATGGAAGGAGCAAGACAGTTCTCTTGAACCTCTTTTATAAGGGCATTAATCCCATTCATGAGAACTCAGCCCTCATGATCTTATTACCTTTCAAAGGTTACCACCTCTTAATAGGATCACATTGGTGAATAAGTTTCAACATATGCCATATTTTGAGGGAACAGCACCTTCAGACCATAATAGTCCACTGCTGTCCTCCCAAAATGTAGTCATTCTCGTAAGCAAAATGCACTCATTCTCTCCTGATAGCCCCAAAGTTTTAACTCATTTCAGCATCAACTTTAAAGTTTAAGTCCAGAGTCTTCCCTAAGTATAATCAAAATCAGATACGGATGATATTGAAAGAATTAATTTATATGAAGGCAAATTACTCTCCAACTGCGAGCCAGTAAAATTAAACATGTTATGAGCTTCAAAAGTACAAGGATGGGACAGGCATAGAATATACATTCCCATTCCAAAAGGGAGCAAGAGGAAACATAAAAAGAGTAACAGGTCTAGAGTAAGTTCAAAACCTTATGGCTTGAGAATAATCCTCGACTTGAGGTTCTGCCCCCCGAGCCCACTGAGGCAGAAGCCAAGCCTCTTCTGCAGCTTTTCTAGATAGGGGATGGCCACCCTAGACTCCAGATGACCCTGGCCCTACAGTTTTGGTGGACACAGCCCACACCACATTGGTTGTAGTTGGGTGCTTGCAGTTTGCACAAACTGAAATTGAAAGCTGGTGGTGGCTGTAGCAAACTAAGATTGGAAAGTAAGAGGAAAAGGCCCCACCACCATGGCTCCATTAGGCATTGCTCTAACGGGGGCTTCCTCCATTGGGCATGCCTTTGTAACAATTCTGTGTCTGGGTCTCATACACAGGATCTGGATGGCTCCATCCTTCAGATTCTATCTTGGTGGAGACAGCCATGCCCCAAAGACTTGTGCATACTGCAAGCCAGCAGAAATGGCACCACATGGATGCTGCCATGGTTTCTTACCTGTGTCCTATAGAAGGGTCACCATCACAACATATGCTTCACCTGGGCCTGCTGGAGTAAAACCTAGGGCAGCTAAGGAGCATTGCACTGGAATGCAGGGAACAGAGCCTTGAGGTGTGACTGGGTGAAGAGCACTGATGTCATGCAGGTGCCTCCATTTAAAATTGTTTTGCCCCAAGGCCTTTTCAGTCTGGGCCTGTGATGGCAAGAGCATCACTGATGACCTCAGAAATGCCTTCTAGGTTATTCTTCTGTTGGTCTTGATGAATAACATGTGGCTAATCTCTATGAATTTCCTTATTCAATTGTCTCTTGGCCACACCCTTGGTGCACTCTCCCAAACAAGCATTCTCACTTTTTACAATAGGAACAGGCTGAGATATTTCTACATCTTTAAGGTCTACTTCCCTTCTGATAAAAAAAAAAAAAAAAAAATTCCATTTTAAAATTGTTTCCAGCTTCTTGCATCTTACTACAAACATTCAAAAGAAGGCATGCTGCACCTTCACCACTTTGCTTAGAAATGTCTTCAGACAAATATCTATTTTATTGCTCATAATTTCTATCTTCCACAGAATATTAGGACATAAACAGAATTCAGCCAAGTTACTTGCCACTTTATAACATTGACCAGCTTTCCTCTACTTTTCATTAACATGTTTCTCATTTCATCTGAGACCTCATTAGAATGACTTTCACTACCCTTATCGCTGCAAACATTGTTTATGACCAATAAATATTCTCTAAGAAAATAGAGGCATTCTCTACAGTTCTTTCCTTCTTCTGAGCCCTCACATATTCATCTTTTATGGTCAATTCATGAAAATGTAGAATTTTTCTAGCAACTCTTCCAACATCTATTACACAGTTCCAAAACCACTTCTACATTTTAGGTATTTGTATAGCAGCACTCCAATCTTTGATATCATTTTTTTCTTAATGTGTTTGAGCTGCCATAACAAAATATCATAAACTGGGGAGCCTATAAGCAACAGAAATGTATTTGTCACAGGTCTCATAGCTAGGAAGTCCAAGATCAAGGTGCTGGCAGATTTGGGGTCTTTTAAGGGCCAACTTTTGATTTGTAGGATGGTATCTTCTTACTGTGTCCTCACATGATAGAAAGAGCAAGGCAACTCTCTGGGTCCTCTTTTATAAGGCATTGTTCCCATTCATGTGGGCTTTGCATGATGATCTAGTCACCTACCAATGGCCTCACCTTTTAATATTATCTCATTGGTAATTAAGTTTCAACATATAACTTTTAGGAGGAGACAAACGTTCGAACCTTAGCACCTACCAGTTAGCATTAAAACTTGCTCAAATCTAGAGCTTCTCACTTTACTCCATAACTCTTCATAGGCAAAAACCTATCATCTCACTAGATTAGGATATTTAAATAAATTATTATAAGTCAAGTGTTTGGCACATAGTAAATGCACAGTAAAGTTGACCTGTTCCTCTCAATCAATGTTGAAATACATTGCATCTCAGTCCTTATCTACATTGGATCTGTTTTCATGGTTTGGCATTGCAAAGCCTACTTTTATATTACTTTCTTCTGTTGATTCTCATGCTACCACACTGGGTTGTTTTTTTCTTTCTCTAGCAGCTTCTTTTTAGATTCCATTTATTAAATGTTAGGTATCTTTGGTGTGCTGACTTGTACCCTCTTCTTGACTCCCTCTATGCTCTCTTCCTTGTTCCTCTCATCTATTCCTATGAGTAACAATTTGATAATAACTCCAATTTTATATTCTTTAATCCAGAATATGCATATCAAAATTAATACTCTGAATATCTATTTGGACAACTCAAAACCACTTCAAACTCAGCACTCCCTTTTAGAAAATTAATCAACATGAAAGGAGAATAATTCACTATTTCAGAAGATAGTGACTTTTGCTATATACTAGATTACTGGCAATAGGAAAGGGGACAAATAGGTAGATTCTTAATATGGAAATGGCAGGTAGAAATGTCATGATTTGATGGCTGATTGTTTGTGGAAATGAAGAAAAGCATGTAAAGGCAGTAAAGTAGTTATCCTGGCTTAAAATTCGAAGAAGGAGAAAAAGTAAACATGAGAATAGATTAAGCTAGAGAGGTAGTCAGATTGTGAGAAGCCTGCACTTGGGCTTTTTCCTAGCCACAACGAGGAGCTGTTGGAGAGTTTTAGACAAGAGAAAAATGTAATCGAATATGTCTTACAGGGAGCTTACTCTGACTGCCTTGTGGGACTTACCATGCAGCTGAGTAAACAAGAGATGCATATGAAAAAATAACTAGAATCACTAATGGTTAAGTTGTGCCAACATGATTAACGCAAGTAATAAATGTGGCTGAAGTTAAGAGGAGGGACATTCTTTTAGACTGCTAAGGAAGGACTCACAGAAAAACTAAACATTGAAAATTTAAGTTAAGATATGGATGATGCATTAGCTCTAAGTAGAAAAAAAAGTAGAATGTTCTAGGCAGACAGAATTGATGTGGATATGAGTTACATACAGTAGTTAAAATCCACCAGGATTTTTTTTTTTTTTTAGGGAAACGTGAACTGCTCAACCTGCCTGGTACAGGGGATTCACATGGAGGAGCAGCTTGAGAAAGGGAAGAGACAAAAGCACTTGTGAGTGGCACTGAACTCAAAAATGCACACATCCTTTCCTAGGCAATTGGAAGCCATTTCAGAGTCCTGGAAACTTAGATAAACAATCTGTGCTTTAGGATAGTAAGCACGTTGGAAGGAAAGCCTGTAGCTTAGACTAGAGGGATTCAACACAGAAAAATAAGTATTGAGGGGCTTTATGAAGTCTGAGGTCATGAGGCAGTAAGCTAAGATAGCTTCAAAGGAAGTGGAATGAAACTGTTAGATATGACAATATCAAGAAAGAAGAAATACCAGGATTTTCAGAATACAAAACAATTAAATATATTGCTCTAGTTATCTAATATCCCTTCAAGGTGTAAGCAGGAAATACATTTGGCTCTAGTAAAATATAGCTCAGTGTCTCTTTTAATGGGGAGGGCTTACATACTGCAATGGGAAACAAGGTTGTTCTTATTTGCAATTTTTCTTCTAAGCTTACACCACAGCTTTTATCTTAGTACTGTAATGCATGACAATTTAGGAGTAATTGTTTGAAGATGATTACAAAGTCAGCAATGAATCCATAATTCCTGTCTAATATCTATTGAGAGGCTTCTAGTATAGGAAATGCTACCAGAGAGTACAATGAACACGGGAGAAACATTGCTATTTTGATGACAGGCATGTCAAAGGTAGGTAAAAGAAGTTGTGGAGACTTAGGAAACAAAATCTTCAAGTATGGTATATAAGCAGGATTTAATATCTTCCACTAAGCAAGCCAAATTAATCTCAGGACACCAGAATACTTGACTGGGTAAATGAACTTCAAGGACAATCGTGAGCTGCTTGCCAGCTGATGCTAACTGGGATTTTGAGTAGTTCAAAATAAATAGAAGAGGGTGTTGAATCACAGAATGAGGAAGAAAAACTCAGATCTCAGATATTTCTCATTGAAGAAAGAATCCAAAAAATAGTGCAGGCACAGGAACCAACCAAAAGAAGAGTAATAACAACTAGGGCAAACCCAGAAGAAGTTTGGGTACCTGAACTTACAGTTTAAGGCATTAGCCCAATAATTGCAAAGATAAAGAAGAATGGGCTATTTCTTAGGCTTTCTTTTACAAATGTTCCAAATTCTTTATACGTGTGTGTTATTAATGGTGATAATCATAGGTACTGTAGGTTTGAATGTAGCATTATTACAAAAGTCTAGTAAGAATCAACTGATAGTCAAAGTTTTAGAAAATTGTAAGCTATCCAGGGAATGTACTACTTTCCTCTGCACTATGCGCCTTTCAATGTGACAGTATGGCAAAAGAGTGATACAGGACTCCAGGTTAGTAAAATATTTTCTTGCTCCTTTATCATAATTTAAACCCTTACAACAATACAACTCCCACAGGTGCAGACAGAACCATTGGAAATACCATCAGTAAAGAGCTATCCCTTTAAAGAAAACAATGCTATCTTTCTGGAACCTGCTTAAAATGAAAACAGTCCTAACAGAGCAATAGTGGGAATTCCTAAACACTTTGGGAAGTGAAATAGCCTTTTCCTGCACTTTAAAGAATGCCTAAGGAAGCATAGGAACCCCAAGATTTCAGAGAAATAGTTAAATTAGGCAAAATAGCATAGAAAGAGGAAATGTTAGGACCCTGGAAATAAACTCCCCACTTTCACCCAGAACTCGTTTCAATGGTCTTCCTCTCAAAAATGTTTGACGAAGAAGGCCCATGTATGTTCATTTTATGACTGTCATTTTCTAAGCCTTCAGAGGGGAGTCTAAAAGTTAAATTAGAGTCAGGGAAGTACTTACATTGTTTTTCTTAAGGTTGTTAGTGTGTGATTCAGTGACACGTGGGGACACTCACTTTCCACACCACCCATAAAAACTTTGTTTGCAATTAGATGCTTTGACCCTTAGAGAAAGACAGTTATTCTCCCCCTGTGAAAAGAGAGGAACCAGATACTTATTTATAAAAGAACATTTCCTTAATACCCTAACATGAACCTGGAAAGTGACTTTCCCAAGAATATGACTCTTCTCCAAAACTAGAAGTAATTTATAGCTCTACACATCATCCGCCAACTTGCAACCATCACTTCTCTCAAGGTGCCGAAACAGTTTAGCCATCACATCTGTCTAAGGGGCAAAAACAGTTTTTGGTGGTGCTCTCTCTCTACACAGTTGTTAAGTAAATTCCAGATCAAATCAATCCTTCATGTGCAAAGCCAGGTGTGCTGAAAGGAATTCAAGGATACGAAAGCCAGGAAGTCTTGAAGCCCCCGCTAAAATCATGAAAACCAACATCAGTGTAGTATAGTGTGACGGTGAGGGAAAAGAATAGGAAATGAGAGAAGGCTGAAAGGCCATCTTGGAATGCTTGCTCTCCCACAGATTACCCAAATGAATCTGGGCAGATTATTCGAAATTTATCTGTGCATATGGGGAGTTTGCAAAATGGGAGTATGGAAGGATTGTTACTGGATAATCTCTTCTAGCTCTAACAGTTTATGATCTTACTGTGTCCTTTTCAGGCTTTTTGAGATAATCCCATTGCTGTTTAGTCCTATAGGAGGTTTGGGAAATTAATCAGTATCCTCTTCATTCTGAAAGCATTTGAGCAAAGCTCAAAGAAAGGAAGTGGGCAGTTCCAATCAGCTTGTTTACACCTATAACAGAGCTACCTACATGCTTATAGTCACAAATATTAAGTCTGCTACAGGTATGCATAGATGCATATAAAAAATAAAATACTGCATTAGGGCTTTGAGATGAATGATATTCATTTTCATCTGTGCTGGCAAAACTGTTTTTTCTCTGTTCGTTAATATTATATTTCATTTCTTCTTTTTCTTTTCTTTCTTAGTATTAATATTTATTCATACTAGTTCTTCTAATGTAGTACCTATATTTTCGTATATTATTTCATTTAATCTTCATAAGGACCTCATAAGGGAAAACATGTAAGATTTTTTTTCTATATTTAACAAAAAAAAAATAGAAATCCAGTTAGGATATGTGATTTAACTATTCGCATGCAACTAACAGGAGAAAGAACTGGAATTTGGACCTAGCCTCTTCCGATTTACTATTCCTTGTTTACTGATTGATCATATTGCAAAAACTAAAACAGAAAATTTAAACAATTATGTATTTAAAGTACATCTCTTTTATTTCCATAAACTTACAAAATCACTTTGATATTATGGAGGAAAAAAATTATTTCTTCTCATTCAAGTTTAAAATAAAGAAGACTTCATATGGCAAGAAAAGCCAGGACACTGATTTGACATGTAGATACATTAAACATTTTGCTAGTTAGAGTCCAGTGAAGTGGTTGATTCTGGAGACAACAAATGTATCATGAGGATCTACAGAACTCTGCTTTACGGAGCATTCTGGGCTCATCTCTAGAGCTTGTATCATGGACTAGACATCTTTATTTTAAAAAGGAAAATGTACTTCATCTTTATATTTTAAACAATTTTTCATCTCTTTCTTTAAAAGTCTTCTTCTCTAACACATATGTATTTGTTAGGGTTCTCCAGAGAAACAGTATCAATGGGAGATAGATAGACAAATAGATAGAAATGTATTATAAGTAATTGGCCCATACGATTATGGAGTCTGACAAGTTCCAAGATCTGTAGGGTGAGATGGCAAACTGGAGACCCAGGAGAGCTCATGGTGTCGTTTCAGTCTGAGTCTGAAGGCCTGAGAATGAAGGAAAGCAGCTAGTGTGAAGACCAGCAGGCCCAAGACCAAGGAAAACCAATGTTTCTGTTTGTATGTGAAGACACACAAAAAAAGCCAATGTCCCAGGTCAAGGGAGCCAGACGGGGAGAATTTTCTCATACTTAGGGGAGGGTATAGAACTTTTTTTCCGTTTGAGTCTTCAATGGATTAGATGAAGCTTATTGCCATTAAGGAGGAAAACCTGCTTTACTCAGTCTATTGATTTAAATATTAATCTTATCCAAAAGCATCTTCACAGAAACATCCAGAATAATGTTGGATCAAATACTTGGGCACCCAGTGAAGCTGATGCGTAAAATTAACCATCACAACACATTTATGAAGGCATCAGGAGGAAAATCGGTGGATGTTGAACTCATTCTGCTTAATCAATGGAGAACACCCTGGAAATTCCAGAGAAAAAGGATAAGCCTTCACACAGCTATATATCTATGTTTCTTCTCATAGTCTGTATTATAAGCTGAAATTTTTAGAAGTTCACTTGTTCGTTAGAACAGAAAGAAAAAAACATGGTAACAGTGACTTAAAATAACTTTTGCCTACAGTAGCTTCAAAGGATCTTTTTCAAAAGCATATTTTAAAAGTCCTGGGAAAAAATGTTAGTCTTTCTAGTTCTTATACACAAAAAAAGTAAAAATTTGGAGGGGGAGCTTTACAGAATATTTTTCTACTCTTATTAAAGTAGAAGAGTTTATAATCTTCTGGGACTCTTAGATTGGACTCAAAGGGTCTGTGAATTCCCTAAAATATATAATCAGGAATTCTTATATGAGGGGGTTTTTTTAGGAGATAGTTTATTACTTTCATCAGATTTTTAGTTTTTGGCCCCCTTAAAAACAATATTTAAAATCTGACATCCAATGATGAGGAACAGAGATTAAGAAATCTGAGCAGGGTATAACAACATCATAGGATAACTCACATATGGAACAAAGTGAAGAGATTTTCTAAAACAGGCTTGACTTTTGAGGTGATCTGAATCCCTGCTTATACCTGCTAGCAGGGTTTAAGAGGCAAAATAAAAGGGAGCCTCTAGCTATTTGTGGCCTTAGGAGAGAATCCATACTCTAATTCTTGAAACTGCTTCTTGCCCATGCTACTCCTTTTTTTTTTTTTTTTTTTTTTTTTTTTTTTTTTTTTGAGAGGGGTCTTGCTCTGTTGCCTAGGCTGGAGTGCAGTGGCAAGATCTCGGCTCACTGCAACCTCTGCCCCCTAGGTTCAAGCAATTCTGCTGCCTCAGCCTCCTGCGTAGCTGAGTATTGAGCGTGTTCTTGGGAGAACTGGTTGTTGTAAAGTGTGGCACTGCCCCCATTCCAACTCTCTCTTTTGCTCCTGCTCCCACCATGTGAGATGCCTGCTCCCCATTTGCCTTCTGCCATGATTGTAAGCTTTTTGAGGCCTCCCCATACGCAAAAGCCTATGCTATGCTTTCTGTACAGCCTGCAGAACTGCAGAACCATAAGCCAATTAAGCCTCTTTTTTTAAATAAATTACCCAGCCTCATGTATTTCTTTATAGCAAAGCATGAATGGCCTAGTACATATGCCTTGCCAAAACAATCACGTAAATCAAAGAAAGAAAATATGGCATTATAGAAATGTAGATTCTGACCCAAAGAGAAGCAAAGGGAGTTTTCTGGATGACAATAAAGAAAAATCTCAAAAGACAGCTGGGCAGCAGTTCTAGAGTTCACTCAACCCAGATTAAAACAAGCTAGAAGACACCTGGAAATACTGCTTCAAGATGACACAGAGAAAATACTTAAAGTATTTTAATGCATTGAAATAAATTTCAACAAAAAAGCGTAAAATAAATTAGTAAGAACTAATAGAAAACTAACAAACAGAAAAGAAACTTGAAAATTACTAACCAGAGAAAACAAAAAAATTTTTAATGTGTGTAGATCTAACCTAAATTATGATATAACCATTTCTGAACAATGGGGAGATACAAAGAGTGTATATATTTAAGGATGTGGTAGGCTAAGAAAGACTGCTAAATTCTCCTCTTTCTAAACAATTATAAAGTAAGGATTTCAGTATGCCATTTAGAGATGTATAGAAAAGTAGCAAATAAATCCATTAAAAGAGGCAAAGGGAGTTTTCTCTGGGTAACAAGCAAGGTGGGGATAGAGGTGAGGTCAGGAAACTGATTTTTACAATGAATTTGATTCAACTCTTCATGTTTATCATAATTAAAAAACAAAAACTAGAAGCATGCATAGCTTTGATAAAATAAAAACTAAAAAATACAGTGCCTATACATTGTAATTTCTCAATATTATTTCTATCAGTAGGAATAATTAAAGAACTGTAAAGATTTGTTCTCTTAAGCACCTTAAACTTTCTTTTTTTCAGTAGTATTTACATTATCCATTTTCCCAGTAAACACTTTTGTTCTATGATTAAGAAGTATATTTCAACATAGCATTGTCAGGGTTATCACAAAATCCCAGTCAGTCTGAGATTGAATTAATATGTTTCACAATACTTTACTTTTTGTATAGTTAAAAATATTATTTTTTTGTACAGAGACATAAGAAATGTGTGTACGTAAATACTGAGAAAACACAAAGTGTAACCATAATGTGAGACTCATCTTTCAATAATCTAACCAGATAATAGTTTTTAAGAATAACAATATTTTAGTGCATTCAATGTGAAATAGTATATTTATCTCATTTAATCCTGACCACATTCTATTTTAACTGCTACTATTTTAATTTTAGCACAGAAAATGTTAATATTATTAAGTAGCATTTATTGAATGTAAATGTGCAGGAGTCTGTATTAACATTTCCTTTAAATTACCTTATTTAAACCATTTTACAAATGAGTAAACTTAGATTCAAGAAGGCTAACTAATTTGTCCATGTTCACAGCTAATATAGGATGTAACTAATTTCAAAAATATTTTTTGACCCTAAATCCTGTGTTCTTAATTTCTGTATATATTGCCTGTGCCATAATTACTTATTCAATCCTACATTCTGGAGAACAAAATGAATGTTCGGTAGACTGTATTCTCCCAAACAAAAGTATGGCAATGGTTGCAAGAACATACACAGTGATCCCAGTAGGAGAGTGGGGAAACGTAATTATAAGAACTTTATCAAATTCCTTATCATTTGTAACTTCTCCAGCCTTCCCATCTTGGGTAGATCTTGCCTATTTTTTTGTAATGATTGTTGTAAGAACTAGAGTGGAAAATAATTATTGAGGAGATGGAATCAAAGTACACAGACAATTTTGTTTCATCCAAAGGAATGTCGAACTAAAGAAAGTGATGAAACTAAGATATGATATATAACAGATAGATTGAAAGGACTGACAAATCCTAATTTGTTATATCTGGTTCTGATTCTCCCTTAACTTCCAGATGCATTAGGATGGCCAATAACCAAACATGGCTGACATCAAGTAACTACTCTGTGTGTTTGGTTGTGTAGTGCCTTTTCTAGAATAAAAGTTCTTTGATTGGCATGAAAATATTTTAGAAAGATATTTGCACATTGAGACCTTCTTACATTGAGACCTTCAACTAGCCATTTGTCACCTGCCCACATCCAAAAGTCTATTCTTACCTCAGGCCACCTGTCTCTCCATATATGGTGAATGGTCAGGTGCAACACACAAACCTCTGCCTATTGGAAGGAATTCCTCTCACCACTGTCTGTTATGGCAACCACTGAGAAAGGATATATTGCTGTTATGGTCCATTTTTTATTTGTATCCACCTACTGAGCCCATTAACCTATAAAACAAACTTCACCTTTTTTCTCCCCTGTGAATTGGTCATATCAAGTCAGGCAGTCCCATCACAGGTGTGGTCTGTGGAAGAGGCATTGGTGCAAGGTGCAACTGTGGTGGATGCTGTGGAAGTCTGGGACACCTGCTAATGCAGCTTACTTGTGACTCCCAGTCTTGCTTATGCCTCACTCTGGAGGTACTACTTGTATTTTAAAACGGATTGTTGATAATGCCCAATCTTATTACTTGGTGGATCTACAGAGCCCTAATCAATGGGCATTTCTTGTCCTATAATCACATTATGATACTTGGTCAAATAATTTATTTCTTGCCTAATATTTCCTGAAAATCGTATAATTCCCTGTTGCAAATGGCATATACTTGGTGTAGAAACTTAATGGCCTACAATGTGATTATCCTACTAGTGCTTTCTCTGTACTCTGAATATCACCAAAAGAATACCTTTGATTCTATAGTCGAGAAGTGCTGCAGAGCCCCTTTTACTTCCAGACTCCACCAAAGCTGGTGGCCTTTAAACCTAAAGGACACTACAGATGTAGAAGTTCTCTCAATCTTATGAAGGCCTTCTTACAAGCTGTAAGGTATACGATATTTTATCCTATTTGCAAGCTAAAATTATTAGCCTGTAACAGTTTTGTGAATGCTGAATGAATAAAGACAAAAAACTGCTCTATCAGAGATGAAGAATTGTTTTACTCACAACACAGCCTGCAGCATGAGCATCATGCTTGCATCAGTTCTCCTTGACCACCAAGGCTGATTAGAGTGATGGAGAAGGACTAGGAACAAGCTGTACACATAATGGGATTGCATTACAGCCAAGCAACCCTGAGCTTAAGAAACCCAAATCTTTAAAAATGAGTAGTAAATCTGCCTGATCTATATCCCAAGGGAAGACCTGGACATTATCACCATGGACAGAAAAATAACAAAAAAAACCTACCATCTGCTCTAGAGAGAGACACTAACTATATGTTTAAATACTCTCTGCTATACATTTTTGAAAAGATAGTCCAGAATAAATGCAGCCAGTGCCTGTGCTTCCAAGGCTGTAGAAACACTGGAGACCCATAGAGAATTGTGTCCCAAAAGGCCTTCAATGTACTTGCCACTTCTAGTTCATTTGGTCCTATGTCTTTGGGGAAAGACTGAAGGCATCATTACCATATATATTGCCCAGGTTGTTGTAGGGCTACTCCCCACAGAGATCCAGTATCTCCTTCAGTTAATGGATTGCAGTAGAAAAAAAAATGAATGATGTCTGGAATCTTGGTAAAGGAATTATGACTTTTACGGAGACAGTAGGCGTTGCCTTCCTGATTCCTGTACTTGTATTTTTATTTCTGTACACTTCAAGCAATATTCTCGGGAGCCTGTCTAGCCCTTAGGAAGACTTGCACTATGAACCATCTCTATAGCTCTCAACAATTATGAACACACTGGCTGTCACTGTGACTTTGCTGCATATGATGATAACTATACCCACTCTTCTAAATGTTGAACGCTGACACCTGACATTTACTGAATGGGGCTACTATCAATTCCATTGTTTTTAGTGAGTTCAGTTATATAACAGTATCTCCTACAGTCAGCCCTGTTTCTCAGAGGACCACCACCACTCAGCTTCTTAGTGATGCTAAGAAGTCACTGCCACTGATGCTAATAATTCACTTATGTCACTGTCATAAATGAATTCATTGTTTTGATAAGCAGAGTGTTCCTCTCTGTATCCTCTAACAAAGCATGAACATTTTCTGGTCTTTCTAACTTTAGGTAGCATATCCAATTTCTGAGCCTCTTGATCCCCTTTTTACCCATCTTCCACAGTAGTTTTGCCATTCCTAGGTCATTTGAAATGGGCATTTCTGTTTCCATGTTTCTGAAATTTATCCTAACAATATGTTAGCATTATAACCCAGGGTCCTTTCTAGAGTGTTAAATTTTATTTTATTTCATTTTATTTTTTGGAGAAGAGTCTTGCTGTGTCTCCCAGGCTGGAGTTCAGTGGCACGATCTCGGCTCACTGAAAGCTCCGCCTCCCAGGATCACACCATTCTCCTGCCTCAGCCTCCCGAGTAGCTGGGACTACAGGCACGTGCCACCATGCCTGGCTAATTTTTTGTATTTTTTAGTAGAGATGGGGTATCACCATGCTAGCCAGGATGGTCTCCATCTGCTGACCTCGTGATCTGTCCACCTCGACCTCCCAAAGTGCTGGGATTACAGGCATGAGCCACCAAACCCGGCCTCTTTTTTTTTTTGGAGTGGGGGTGGTGGAGTCTCACTCTGTCATCAGGTTTGCAGGTTGGAGTGCAGTGGTGTGATCTCAGTTCACTGCAACCTCCATCTCCTGGGTTCAAGCAATCCTCCTGCCTCAGCCTCCCAAGTATCTGGGACTACAGGTACCTGCCACCATACCCAGCTAATTTTTGTATTTTCAGTAGAGACAGAGTTTCTCCATGTTGGCCAGGCTGGTCTCGAACTCCTGACCTCAGGTAATCTGTCCCCCTTGGCCTCCCAAAGTGCTGGGATTACAGGTGTGAGCCACTGTGCCCGGCCTGGAGTGTTAAATCTTGTATTATCAAATAGTGCTCCTATTTCAATAAAGTCTCACTTATCCAACTTTATGTTCTATCCCCCAGAATCAACACTATCACCATCTGTCCTGTACATACTCTCCTGACTCCTGCCTATATGAAGGCTAGGTTTTTAGCTCTTTCAAGGTAAGGTACCTTTCCTTTCCAGACAGTCCCAACAGTTCCCTTAATGTTGTGAATTAATTATTTTTGCCTATTGGTCAGAAAAAAAAATGAAGTGAGATCATGTTGTCTTTCAAGACAGAAGCTCCTGCATTATCTTCAGGCATGGAAAGTGTTAGCATTTAGCACACAATGGACTAAATCTGCAGCAAGAAGATTCAGAAGAATGAAAGCATTCACATTTGAGTACATCAACTCAGATGTCTCCATCCTCTTCTTACAGGCACGCTACTTCCATTTATCTCTACTAAAATTGAGAATGTAACTCTGCTATGCTTATAATTCAGTAAGACATCTGATCCTTAGCCTTTCCTGCTGTTGTGACAAGAGTGCTGTCTGGAAATTAAACTTAGCCTTTGATTGGTGTTGAGTCACTTTCAGGCTTTTATTGTTTTTCTCAAGATATAAACTGCCCTAAGCATCAACCATCAAATTTCGTAGCCCTTATAATGATCATTTCCTCCATATTGTTAGGGCACTGTTTGTTCATTCCTTTCTGTCAGTTTCAGTTCATCTCAGTTCAACACCTATAAAAGTTTTAACAATTGCCCTAATGACCATGCCAGAAGTCACCAGTTCGTCTACAACTACTACTGGCGGACCTTAGGTGGCCTTATTGTCAGATGACCCGGAGCTTCAAAATCTCAATTTTGCAATGACCTTTTGTTAAAGTCATTCTTAGTATCAACTGTCGTAGATTGGCTTTTAAGAAAACAGACTCTGAGATGGAGAACACCCTCGAGGCCAAAACTTATGAGTGAGTGAAAGAAGCAGGATTTGGCACAATTTGGCCTGCAATGCAATTATTAAAAGGCATTCAATGGACTTTTGGAGAACTCTGGAGGTGGATTTGCTGTGTGTAGTTACCCAGATTTGAGGCAAATGAAGTAGCCTTTTGACCAATCATTGGATGTAGGCTGCCAACAAAAAGGGGAAAAGACCTTGAGGTTGGATGGTCTCTTCAGACCAAGACAACCTCTAAAGTGTCTCAGCTGAAAACTGCCAATCGTTGACTGTGCCAATCCCACCTTTGGGAGTGAGTGCTTCTTTTGTTAAGGAGAAGATCTAGGTAACACAACACAGCATATATGATAGCAATAAAATAATTGAATCGTATTCTATGGCATAAAAGTATACCAAGTATTACAGAAGCAATAAATTTCCAAGTTCCTATAAGACTCTATCCCTTCACTTTATGTTCTAGATTCTACACCCTCTTGTCAAAAGAACTTTGTTCTTGTAATTATTCTTCCCACCCCAGCATCACCACTGTCTCTATTTTATCCCTAATGACTGTGTGAGTCCAGTGAGCATGGAAACATACTCTGGTATCTTCTATCAATTAGGGAAGAAAGAAGAAAGAAGCAAGGCAAAAGGTGTGGGGGAAAAGAGAGAAAAAATAAATTTTAAAAATCTTCTGAATATACATACACTTCTTCCAGCATTTCTGTCTTTGTCTGCTTCCTTATATAGAAACATTCTTGAATCAGTTATCTAAAATCTGTCTCCTCTTTCTTCGCCTCTCTCTTACTACCTTCTCCCTTCAGCCTACTCTAAAGAACTGATGCCACTCCATGACATTAAAACTGCTCCTATGAAAGTCCCTAACAACTAACCTATTGTCTATATTAATAATTTTTTCTCTTTATTTATTTTAGGGATTACTCTTGACACTTTTCTAGCTGATATCTACATTCATTCTTTAGGGAATATCATCTAATCATCTGGCTTTAAATACCTTCTACATATTCTAAACACCCAAAGCTCTACAGGTCTGACCTCACCTGTAAGTTATAGAACTCTTTGTTCTTTTATCTGCATGGCATCTCCATTTGGATGTCTATTAACACCACAAAGTTAACATGACTAAAATAGAACTATTGATATCCCCATACAACTGTTCCTTTTTTTTTTTTTTTTTTTTTTGAGATGGAGTTTTGCTCTTGTCACCCAGGCTGGAGTGCAATGGCATGATCTTGGCTCACTGCAACCTCTGCCTCCCAGGTTCAAGAAATTCTCCTGCCTCAGCCTCCCGAGTAGCTGGGATTGCAGGCACCCATCACCACACTGGGCTAATTTTTGTATTTTTAATAGAGATGGGGTTTCATGATGTTGGCCAGGATGGTCTCAAACTCCTGACCTCAGATGATCCACCATCCTCGGCCTCCCAAATTGCAGTGTGAGCCACCGCAACTGACCAACTGTTCCTTTTTTTAAAGCAATGGCATCACCATTGAACAAGTTGCTTAAGCAAAAAATCCATGTGTCATCCTTTATTCTAGTCTTTCCTTTTTTCCCATATTGAACTTATTACCAAGCCCAGTTGACTTTCTCCTCCAAATCACAATGCAGTATCTTCCAAGTTTTATGTCTTCTCTGTGACCATCTTAGTTCAAGCCATCATCATCTCTTACAATATTTTAATAACCTTACTGTCAGACCATGTTCCTCAACTTTTGCTCCCTCCTATAAATTACTCCACGCACAAGATAATTCAAGATTATTTTGGAATTTTAAATCAGATCGTAGACTTTCCCGAGTTAAATTATTTCAATAGTATTTATTGCAATTAGCATAAAATATAAACCCATACCTTGGAACACACAGGTCCAGATAATCAGGTGATACCTATCTTAGCTATGCCTCCCTTCTTGCTAGCTTCTCTCCAGTTGGAACCATACAGACCTGCAGTCAGTTCTTAGATGACCCGATACATGTTCTTTCCCAGAGTCACTGCACTGGCTGTGCCATCTGCTTGAGATTACCTCTCAGTTTGGGCCACTGCAAGTTCTATCTTACCATTAAATGTTTTTCAGTCTCTTGCTCAAAAAGAGCTCTCATGATCACCAATATAAGCAAGTTATCTCATTACGCTTTATCATATTACGCTGTTTATTTTCTGCATTTCACTCATTAATGTCTAATTTTATTTTATTTATTCTGTTTCTCTCTAATACAGCATAAGCTCAGGTAATTGATACTGTCCCTGGAATATTTACTGTCTCATCTTCACTGCTTTAGAATGTGCCGTGCACATAATAAATACCCAATATTCCTTGTAGGAAAGAATGGAGACAGGAAGGGAGAGAGGCTTACAAGAAAAAAAAAAGAAAGAAAAGAAGAAAATACAGATTATTCACCAAATTTTATTTGCTGAAGTTAGTTGCAGTAAAAGGCTAAAGTAAGGTACACATCATTGCAGATCGTGAAATACATTTTATTTTACTGCCTTAAAATTTTTTCCTGTAGAATTACATTAAATATTTGCAAAAAGGGACTATTTCTGGCAATTACCACATTATTATATTGTGCATGTAAAATGTTGCTATGTTCATTGAAAACAATGGATATAGCATTGCATTTAAAGTACTTATCAAGTTAAAGCACCTATGTTTTGAATGTAATTTCTTAAGTGTTGTGTGTCTGAGTTCAGGGATGACATTACATTTTTTTTCTTCTGTTCCACTAACTGAGAAGTAAGCATGTTTAACAAATATTTGCTTAAAACTAAAAGATTATAAATTTAAACAACTTTTCCGAAGTTTTCTTTTTGAGTAATATCCTATACAATTTGGATTATTTTTCTGCAAAATTGATATATAAACTTTTTCTTCTAGTAGGCTGGAATGAATTCCTACTAGACTGACAGTCATGCAGGTAACAACTATAAAGTCTGAATATGCACAATCACACACACACAATTCCTGAGACAGAACAGTTTTTGTAAGAGATTTGACATTTAGAAGAAACCAGCACTAGGTATTAGAAAGACAACTTAAGGT
Source organism: Homo sapiens (assembly GCF_000001405.40). NCBI lineage: Eukaryota > Metazoa > Chordata > Mammalia > Primates > Hominidae > Homo > Homo sapiens. Next base: position 39,895,491 of record NC_000018.10, on the reverse strand, counting down.
ACAGGATAATTAGAATAACTGAAACTCCTTTAAAAACCTTCATATTTTGTGTTGGTAAGAACCAGATGACAGGACCCAGTGCAACCACAGCACCCCACTGCCCACCCACCCCAAAAATGGAGAGGAAATCCTGGGAAGAAGGCAGTTAAAAGTCTGCATATGAACTCTGGCCAAGTCTGTATGTGAACCTTGAACCATACTTGTTGGGGGAAAAACAGGACAGAAACAAATTATCTCAGAGCTGAGGCTAAAATAACTACAATTTGAGCAGTCACCTACTGCAAACAAGGCAGAGCTTGCAGTTTGATATTAATCAGGTTAGTTGCCTTCTAAAACAGGAAATGAAAGCATCCACATTCATCAGAGGAATGTAACTGAATCTATGGTCTCAATAGCATAATATTTACAATGCATCTGTGTCAATGTGTCACATTCATTTGGCTACTAATATTTCTCCATATTGTACATCAAACACACAAAATAACTAGTCAATATAACTGTTTTTCTTATGATCATTGACTTGCTGAGGACTTGTTCTTCTATTTTTTTTTCACATAGCGTAGTTCTCATTTAAGGGATGTATTTTATCCAGCTTGATTGTCCATTTTCTTTTCATTGAGGTTTTCTCTACACACAGTACTATGGCACTGAAGAGTTATTGGGGACTAATTGGCCAAGCAGGCATATATTCCAGCATCTTTCAAAGACTAGAACATAAAAACAACCAAATAGTTCAGAACAGACTGACATTAATCATCTACATTTGCTATCTTTCTCCCTAAGTCCTCCCTTTTATTTAAAAGTCCTTCCTTGCTGTGTGGAAACCATAACAGAGGAACAAGTATAAAACGTGTTAGCCAAGAGGACAGCAATTTTTTTTTATAAGAAGGCAATCGGTAAGTTAGTGAATTGTGTTCATAATCTTAATTTGAGCGTTTGCTCCCAAGAGCATTGTAACATGACTGATGAGGAAGGCTTTAAGCCCGGTGGCAACAAGCTTTTCTACCAATTTCAGAATTCCGCTAAGCAAGACATTGATGGTATGTTGAAAATGTGCAGGGGTAACTGTGCCTATTTTCTTTTAAATTAGCTCCATAGCTCCATAGATAACAGCTAACTGCTTATGTTCTGATCCAGACACATTAAATATGTTCATCATACTTAATGAGTTGATGTTTCCTCTGTGATAAAGGCATCAGCCAATTACTCAACTAGTTCTTTTTTTTTGACTGGAGATAGATAGATAGATAGATAGATAGATAGATAGATAGATAGATAGATAATAGGTTGACAGATAAATAGATATTTTAACAAAAAGACAAGTAATGAACACATATAATGATAGGCTTGATCTATTCTTAATTCCTTATCACAACAGCTTTTTCCAAGCATTTACCCAGTGGGATATTACAGAGCATCTCCTGGGTTTGATTGCTTAAGGTATGTGTAATTATGTGATTGTCTGTATAATTAAGGCGGTGAACAAGTAGGTTAAAATATACCCTGATTTTGATTGCATGCTTTTCAAAGAGGGGCTTTTAAGCAATATCCCAAGAGAGGCTAGTGTGAAAGCTCAAAAGAAGGTGTTCTGTCTGATGCCTATGGGAGACATGACGCAAACCCAGACAGCAAGCCTCATGCTTGTGTGTTCTCTCATGCTGTTGTGCTACAATGTACCAACGATCATTTGCTCCCTTAAAAATCACCCCAAAACTTAGTAACTTCAAACAACAGTCATTTTATTTTATCGCAATTCTGTGGGCCAGCAGTTTGGTCTGGGTTCAGCAGGGTGTTTCTTCTGTTGGTCTATTCTGAGATCATTTATGTGACTGCACTCTACTATGAGTTAACTTGGAGATGACAGACTTAAAACATTTACTCTTACAAGGCTTTATTCTCTAGAAGACTAGAGCTTCTTCAACCTTCTTCACATTATAGCACCAGGTTTTAAGAGGAAGAAATAGAGGCCAGAAGGTTTTTGAGGCCTAAGCTTAGAAATTGTACCCAATTACATTCACCTAATGTTATTTGTCTAAGCAAGTCACAAAGCCATTCCAGAAGGAGTGAGAAAACACACCTCATGTCAAAACCACATTGAAGAGGGCCATGTGTACAGGAAAAGGAGAAATGTTAAAAGTCATACTTAAAGTTTACTACAAACAGAAATTCTAATTCTCTACCACCTTGTCCTTCCCATAATCTTCAAGACAAATTCCTCCTAAGTTCTCACAGAACCCAATAGGAGAGAAAACTCTACAGGAGAAACAGAAACAAATAAGGGTTCAAAACAAAAACAATATATTCAAAGTATTTCTTCATATATCCTCTGGACTATTCAAATGTAGCACTTATAAGACCTGTTTTTAAATTAATTTCTATTTATTTGAATAACCATACTCCAAAGTGTTGTAGGTTTAAGTTACCTTCCTCAACCAAAGAATTCACATGTCCCAGAGTCAAACTCTGGACCTATAGTATATTTGTTCTATAAGAAAACATATTCTCAACAAAGATCTTCTGAGTTGATTTAAACACTTTTCTTCTTGGTTCTGCCTGGATGTTCCCCTTTCACTGAATTATTTTCTCTTGTCCATTGGGTTCCCTCCAAACCCCACATCCACCTCTACCTCCTAATAATTAACAAGACAACTTGTTTAAAACCTGATAATTTATTTCAATAAATTCTCAAGTCCTCCTTCAGCATGTTTTTGAATTTCATTCTTTAAAGCACAGATAATCCACTGATCATGTTTACATAGCACAGCTATGTATTTTTATTACCTGGTAGTGGATATTGTCAGTGCTCTATTTGGATCTCTTTGGATCCTTTTTAATGTTTGCTTTATTTTGCTTGTAATAGCCTGTACCTCTGACTCTTTTCAGAGGAATATCCTTGAAAAAAGGGGGTGATTTCCTGTCCTCAGAGAGAATGGGAAGTACCTAGGAGTTTGGATTCCTGGGGCAGCCCTTGGCAAATAATTCAATGGTATGAAAGCTCAGCTCCCTTGCCTGTAGAACTGGCAAATCTGAGGTGTACTTCATACATCCTAATCCCCCTATAAATCAGGCTGAAGTCACCTTCTGCAGTTCTTTGCCTAAAACTGTACTCTTGCTTGGCGTCCTTCCCTTTTCTGCTTAGCATCCCTCAAGCTCATCTATTTCTCCCAGGAACACATTTCCTAATAGATCACGCTGCACACAAATGCTTATCTCAGGTTTCTGAGTAATCTCACCTCAGATAATGAACCAAAAATCTGCATACGATTCTAAACTTTAAAAAGTTGTCTGTTCTCAACCCCATTTCTGTCATTTTATTAGCTGTATTAGGCTAATTATACCTGATGCTCCACCCTTTGTCTATGGCTGTGTCGAGTTGAATTTTATGATCTATGCAAGCTTGTACACGAATACATATGCTTTCTTTTTAAATATGATGTTAGATAACCTCTGCTTAATACTCACAAACACTCGAGTTAATTCCAATGTAGCAGAGAAATTTTGCTATACCATATTAAATAACCACTAAATCATGTGTTACATCAATAAACGAAAAGTAACTGATTGAGCTAAACATTAAGATTATTTCAGATACATGAAATAATCCTCCAGCCTAAAATATTTAATTCAAACTCAGAATTTCTGTAAGTCTGTCCTTCCTAGAGTCTTCATAGAAAATTCAACAAAGGTTCTTGCAAAATCCAACAGAAGATTTCTTTTTTTTGCAAATTCATTCCATAAATATTGGTGCTTATTGTTTGCAAGGAATAGATACAAGTTGGCTATAATGGGCTTTATCAGTGCTTAGGCAGTTCAGTAATAGCAACCTAGAGTATTTCTAAATCAATGCTATTGGCTGTCAAACATAATTAGACCAGTCAGTAATAGATGTTCCTAGTTCACTATTAATCTCATCAGTTTGTTGGCCAATCATTAATGTAAAAGCATAAATTGAGTGCCTAGTCAGTGCTAATGATTAAGGCATTGCAAGCTTCTGGGAAAAAAAGTAATCACAGCATTTGTGCTAAAATAAGAATTTTACTTAACTTTGAAATAAATAATATATCAAACAATAATAATCTAAATAGTGATTATGTAAAGTCTTTACAATTTGTATTGATGATAAGTGTTGGAGTTTAGAAGAAAAGAAATGAGGACAGAATTATGGACATCTTTACTGAGAAGTAGGAAGTAGACAAAAGAAGTGTGTTGGGGGTTCCCAAGACCACCCACAGGTTTGATGACTTTCTGAAAGGACTCCTAGAACTCAAAAACACTCTTATATTTGTCTACCATGGTTTATTACAGTGAAAGGCTACAGATGAAAATCAATTAAGCAGAAGGCCCATGGGCAAGGTCCAGGGAACACCAAGTACATGTTTCCACATGTCCTCTGGAGGTGTGCTTAGTTACCCAGAGACAATGTGTGACCATATTTGTGCAGCATTGCCAACCAGGGAAGCTACCCATGCCTTAGTGTCAATGGATTTTATTGGGGTTCAGTCTCATGGCCATGTAGCTCCTACATGTCTGACATTTAGTTTGCTTAGACTCCAGACTACTTTTCCCTCCAGAAAAAAACACAAGCATTTACCAAAAACTACATTATCAGAATGAACTTACATGGTCAGACTGGTCTGCTTGGCCAAAGACCTCAGGCATACCAAATCAATCTCATCAGGTAAAATATTTTACAAGCTCACAGATTATCTCCCAGGAGCTGGCCAGTGGTCACTGAGGATTGCCCTCCCTTTGGAAAGTCCAAGGTTTGAGCAACCCAGGCTTGCTAAATGAGTACTTTCCTGCCCAAGTAGCTTGGCAAGGAAAGTTTGTAAAAAAGTGATCAAAGTGCAATTTCAGCTTGAAACATTCAGTTTGACATACCAATTACTACATATTCCACTATCAATAGCATATCCACTGGTATTCTCCATTTCTGGAGAAATAAAAGTATGTATTAATGTTGCAGAAATAAGTTATGGGACTAGATGGATCTGTGATTGGAGTGGGTAGGAAAGTTGAGAACCCAGTTGTGTTTCTCTTATTTGAATGTAATAAAACATCATGAATTTCAGTTGTTTCATTATATCACTTCTATCTTATTTACTCTATTTCATCAAATCTTGTTTTTAATATTTTGTTCTTTTTAGAGGATGGAACATTTGTGTTTAGCAAGTTGACATCTTGTAACTGATGAAAATCCAAAGTGTGGGGTATATGAAACAAGCTCTTTTGGCTTCAAAATGTGCCACTCTCAGCTAAATCCTAAGCTCTTTGTCTTTATTTTCTGGTCTTCAAAAATATACTAGAAATGCTATTTGACAAAGGAAAGATAGTCTAATTCTGTAGGGAGAAATAAAATAAGAAGATCCTAGTGCCATTAGGGGCTTTACATATTTAATATGTACATATCTTATAACTTTTCAAATAAGAAGTAGATTCTGAATTAATAAGACTTTAAGAAAAAAATAAATTCAGCAATTTTAATGGTCATATTTAGGTTAGCATAACTCAGTAAACCAATAACAAACAACACAAATGAAAATATATTGAGCATTTAGTCTGTACATTTTATATTTGATAATTAAAAAGCATATGTCAATGTAAGTTGGCAGCATGGTTGTTTGTTTGTTTGTTTTTGTATTTTAGAGATGGGATCTTGCTTTGTTGCCCAGATTGGTCTCAAACTTCTGGCCTCAAGCTTTCCTCTGACCTCAGCCTCCAAATAGCTACAACTACAGGTGCATGTCACTATGCCTGGCTAGCAGCAATTTTTTTGTTTGTTTTGTTTTGTTTTGTTTTGTTTTGTTTTGTTTTGTTTTTGAGATGGAGTCTCACTCTGTCTCCCAGGCTGGAGTACAGTGGCGAGTTCTCGGCTCACTGCAGACTTCGCCTCCTGGGTTCAAGCAATTCTCCTACCTCAGCCTCCTGAGTAGCTGAGATTACAGTCACATGCCACCACACTCCACTAATTTTTGTATTCTTTAGTAGAGACGGGGTTTTGCAATGTTGGCCAGGCTGGTCTCGAACTTTTGACCTCAGGTGAGCTGCCTGATTCTGCCTAACAAAGTGCTGGGATTATAGGCATGATCCATCTCGCCCAGCCCTGACAGCACTTTAATGAAAATAATATATAGATACTTCACAAGGCCAAAGGAAAGAAGGGAACAGGAGGGGGATGGAAAGGGGAAGGGGAGGGAGGAGAGGGGAAGGAAGAAGGAAAGGGAAAAGCGAAAAGGAAAGGAGAGGAGAGGAGAGGAGGCTGGGCGCGGTGGCTCGCGCCTGTGATCTCAACACTTTGGGAGGCATAGATGGGCAGATCACAAGGTCAGGAGTTAGAGATCAGCCTTGCCAACATGGTGAAACCCCGTCTCTACTAAAAATACAAAATTAAAGTGGGGCGTGGTGGCTCACGCCTGTAATCCTAGCACTTTGGGAGGCCAAAGAGGGTAGATCACCTGAGATCAGGAGTTCGGGACCAGCCTGGCCAACATGGTGAAACCCTGTCTCTACTAAAAAATACAAAAATTAGCCAGATGTGGTGGTGCGCCTGTAATCCCAGCTACTAGGGAGGCTGAGGTGGGAGAATTGCTTGGACCAGGGAGGTGGATGTTGCAGTGAGCTGAGATCATGCCACTGCACTCCAGCTTAGGCAAAGAAGGGAAGGAGTAGGGAAGGGGAAGGGAAGGGAAGGAGAAGGGGAAGGAGAGGGGAGAGGAGGGAAGAAAAGAAGGGAAAAGGGAAAGGAGAGGAGAGGAGAGGAGAGGAAAGGAGAGGAGACGAGACAGGTAGGCATCTCCCAGTGTAAGATAATAATCACATCTGTTGACTGAAAAAATATAGAATGGCCTATTACAATAAATTATATTCATTAAATTTATTTTTATTGTAGTAGTCATATTTATAAGCATTTTGGGGGGTATTTTTTTGTAGAAACAGGATTTCACCATGTTGCCCAGACTGCTCTTAAACTCCTCAATTCAAGTGATTCACCAGCCTCATCCTCCCAAATTATTGGGATTACAGGTGTGAGCCACCACGCCTGGCCTATTTATACATATTTAAAGGAAACATGTTGAAAGTATGTTTATTGCTTGGTAGATACATGTTTCAGTGTGTATGTGGAGCTACATGCAACTTTATTTCCACAGCCTTCCTAGCATCTAAAAACCAAAGAATGGAACCACTACCCTTGATTAATCTACCTAACATAACACTTTTTATCACTTAACTCGATAAAGTTTGGTAAATCATTATTCCCTATGGCATGTCTGTAATTGAATTAAATTCTTCACTGTCTCACGAACATGCAATACCGAGTACTGACTTCATGGCTTATTTTGTGCTTTACTTCAATGTGGTATTTATTCTCTCTATAAATTCAAATATTATGCAAGTTAAGACCTATCACCGCTGTGATACCCTACTAGATTGTTCCAGTTTTTATTGACTGTTTAAAAGGTAAATTATCATAAAGGCTAGATTTTATGATATATGATTTAGCAATTAGACCTATTATATTATTAATATTAATAATTATTCACTATCATTTTACATGGTAGTCTTCTCTAAAAAATCTAGAACAGGAGCCCCCAACCCCTAGGCCACAGACCAGTACCAGTTCATGGCCTGTTTATAACCAGGCTACGCAGCAGGAGGTAAGCAGCAGGTGAGTGAGCAAAGCGTCATCTGTATTTCCAGACACATTACCACCTAAGCTCCGCCTCTTGTCAGATCAGCAGTGGCATTAGATTCCCACAGGAGTGCAAAACCTATTGTGAACCACACATGCAATGGATCTAGGTTGCAAGGATCTCAGTTCCTTGCTTCTTATGAGCATCTAATGCTTGATGATCTGTCACTGTCTCCCATCATCCCCATATGGGACCATCTAGTTGCAGGAAAACAAGCTCAGGGCTCCCAGTGATTCTATTTTATAGTGAGTTGTATAATTATTTCATTATATATTACAATGTAATAATAATAGAAATAAAGTGCACAATAAATGTAATGTGCCTGAATCATCCCAAAAGCATCTCCTACCCTGGTCCGTGGAAAAACTGTCTTCCACAAAACTGGTCCCTAGTGCCAAAAAGGGTGGAGACCGCTGATCTAGAACATGAGTTTCAAGGTCTGTAATTATAACTTCTACTTGTTAGATCTTCCCTCCTTTAATACCTAATTTCATTCCTGATGCAGAGCATTATTGCTTATCATATTGCTACCTATGAGGAAGTCCTCAGAGGATGTTTGTTTTTTCTAACAAGAGTTGAGGGTTTAAAATATACTGCTTCTTCCACATACCTTCTTGTTTAGAATTCCCTTCTTTCGGAGTCTACTAGTCATAGAAAAACTGCACCTGGTCTACCCTCTCCAATGGTAATCTTGTTCTCAGGTATTGATGTCTTATCATATTTCTTGCCTATATTTTCCATTTGGAATTAGATTTTATTAAATTCCATAATTTTTCATCTTTTTACACATATTCTGTTTCTCCAACTGGATTAAGTTAAAGCACAGAGTCAGAGACTGTATTTTATGCTTTTAAATATTACCTGTAGCAACTAGCACAGCTATGTAAGGGGAAAGTGTACTCTTGAAGTCAGTCAATGGTGATGCTAAAGGATAGACACAATGAAGCATAGAAGATTATACATCATAGTATATGACATGGAATTTCACATTTTTATTAATAATAAAAGTTTTCTATTTTACTCTATTGAATGAAGCTACACACAAGAAAATATCTGATTTCTTGGTAGGCACATGTGCATCATATAGTGGTGAAAATAATCAGTAAATTGTTTAATTGTTTTAAAGAATGATTCATTTTCAATATTTTCTTAGGATTACTAACGTAAGGAGAAAGACGCAAATCATTCTTATAGATAACAAAATTTTGTTTCTATGTAATAACGTAAGAGCCTCTCAGACATGAAACTTGGTCTATAGTCCTATAAATAATGACTTCTCCAGCCAAGCGACTCTGCCTTAGGCCCAACTATGACCTGAAGTCTCTGGTGAAGTGGAACTATGCTTGCTAGTAGTGTCACATTGCTTGGATTTTTCTGAGTCTTTTTCACACACCAAGATGGTTTGTCAGTGCATTGTGATTGTGTGCCAGGAGACACCTCATTACTGGTCTGCATGGAGACAAGAAGGAAGTGAAGGAAGCTGACATGGTTTGCATTAATTACATAGCTATCTGTTGTTCTTGCAGCCATCCAAGCATATAATAACTTAAGTAGAGTTTCACTGAGTTAGAAGCTGCAGACTCTTGTTATGTTTTAGCAAGCTGATTCTCTATTATAGCAGTCAGTACTTTTATGTAAAGCCTGACAAAGAGCAATAGGGGCCACAGACCTTTGTTTTCTCCTGGCACTCAGTGCCACTAGGATATTTTCAGTGTGCGAATACAAGAGAGGAGGTCATGGATCGTGCCTTTAGAGCCAGAGTTAACTCTTCTAATCATTTCAAGCTCACGTACGAGTCGATTCTGTTTCCAATCAGAAATTTGATCCAACCAGAAATTTTATCCAACTAGAAATATGTTACACTAAATATAAAAAAGAGGCTCATCTATTTTTATATTTTTTAATTAAAGACATTAAAAGTAACTACAACTTCTATCAAAGAATATATAGTTGCTCAAAAATCACTGATGGAAATGTGAGATACAGTGGCATGTTGTGAAGAATGGTAGTCTTTTTCATTCACAAAGCGGTGTTGGCACTCACAGAGTTTAGCAACAGTGAAAGCCAAAAGGGTTTCTTTCACAGAAGAAACAGTGTATTAGTCAAAATGAAAATACATCTCTTAAAATTTTGGAAATTGACGTTTACTTTCTTCAGTTGAGTATACCCTAAGTTATTATTGGGAAAAATAAGCAAAAGAGTTACACCTGGAGAAAGCAAAGGTCAGCTTGAGAATAAAGCTGTTAAATGGAGAGGCCTAAGGAAGTGGGGCCCCAGTGCTATTCTACCTAAACATAATAACAACAATGTATGACATTTGTATAGTCTCATTGAATCAGAGCTCAAAGTGTTTATCAAAGGAGAGTTAACACTCATTAATTAACCCATCTGGCTGCCCCTGTCTATGGCTCTAAAAATTAAGCAACAGTTTCTTCATTACAGACATTTCTAATTGCATTTATTACACTAATTAAGCATCCCTTGTGCTTTAATTAAGTGCGCAAATGTTGGGGCATAGGACCCATCTCCCCCAGAATGGAAGATGATCACCTCCAAACTGAAAGGATAAACTTGAGATACTTAATAGCACTTTAAATAACAAAGATTTGATAAAGTTTGAAAGGGAGAAAGAAGAATTCGATCTGAGAACCCTGATATTTCAGACACATACAAGTAATAAAAACTTTCAAGTGTATGTATCAATCAAGAAATATTTACTAAGGGTTTATTATATGCAGAGCACTGGGATGAAGCAAGTAAGGGTGACAGATAAGCATAACCCACTCTGAAGCTCAACTTTTGGAGGAGGAAATGCTAATTTCATTATTGTATTTATGTCCCCAAACACATTCCAAAAATATATGAGGCAGCTTATAAGCTAATGTGATCAAATAAAACAAATGAAGAAATGAAGACCTCTAGGGGAAGAATGAGCTAATTTAAAAATACTTAAACCCTCTAGAGCCAGAAGGGAGAATATATGAAAAGTGTAAAAGAGTTGGAATCAACAGTTCCAAATCTCAATCTTTTATGAGTATTTAATTCAATTATCATCTTATGGTTATGTTGGGGCACATTTGTCAAGATTTCAGCAATTACTGATTTTTGTGACATTAGCCAGTTATAATGTGCAAAAAATAACTGCTTCTGGTCCTGCACTCTGCAGAAAATCAGAGAAGCAGAGCACCCAATTCAATCAAGATGTTGTAGTTAGCGTCAAAGTCATTGCTTGAATATGGGAAGACGTGCCACAGTAACCATCCTGGACTCTCTATCTCCTAACTACTTCATAGACCAGAGGCTTATAAATTTCCAGGTAGCTTGTTAGAAATGCAAAATCTAAGATCCCAGCCAAGACCTATTGTATCAGTATCTTCACTTTAACAAGATACCCATGTGATTGACACACTTGTGGTTATGCTCCAGGACCATTGCTTACTCTTCTCTATGGGAGGTGAAAGGGTTGTCTGCTTTGAGAATGTAGAAGAACCTGAGAGTGTTTGGCCCAATACCTCTAGATTGTTCTTTTGGCTCCCCTATGTGTAGAGAGGGTACTTTTTGCTCTGTGTTTCATCATGATGTCAACTTCTTGAGACAGATTCCTGTTGAAGAGTTCTATGGTAAATTAGCTTTGTCTGGGATAGACAGTGTCAGCAAAGTACTAAAGTGCTAGAATAGCAAATTAGGAAACCAATGCAGAAACAATTCTCGTCAAGTGTTCCAGTCAGCTTTACTAAAAAAAATTGATTGTTTTATTCTCTATGTCTGATCCCTATGAATGATTTTTAGACTATAAGGGTTAATGGATGATCCCAATACTTTTTGTTTTAAAAAATACCGTATTTTTGGCCAGGCACAGTGAATCACATCTGTAATTCCAGTACTTTGGGAGGCTGAGACAGGAGGGTAACTTAAGGCCAGCAGTTCGAGACCAGCCTGGTCAAGAAAGGGAAATTTCATCTCTACAAAACATTTTAAAAATTAGCCAGGCGGCCTGCACCTGTGGTCCCTGCTACTCGGGAAGCTGAGGCTGGAGAATTGCTTGAGCCCAGGAGTTTAAGGATGCAGAAAAATACTTTGTGTATTTTTTGGCAGCTCTTAACTATTGCAATTTTTTCCTGTTACTGAGTTATTCGTGACCTCCATTTTTTTGACTAACTAGCTATGTCCTCCAAGAGATGTCTATTTCCTATTTCATTTGATAGGACTCAGATTTTTTAAACACGACCATCTTTTCACCAGATCACCAGGAGTTATAAAGCTTTCAAATCTCTTTAATCATTCCTTGCATAACTTATTTTTATTTGTGCAATCACGATTTAAGTAATTTCCACAAATATTTCTAAGTATTTATTCCATATCTACTCGAAAGTGATAAGGTACACTAGAGATAGACGTGAGAACACCTATTCACTCAGCTATCTTATATATAAAGAAAAATAAGAACGTTTCCATTTCCCTCTGACCTATTGATGTTACTTCAGTAATAGGAGAATGTAAATATAGCTCCCTTTTGGGGAATAGTATTAGTAAATTCAAATTAGTATAATTTAGTAACAACAAGGGAACATCTTGATTGGGTTTGGTCAGTTCTGAGTGTTGGCTCTTTAGGTGCCAGTTCATAATATTTTAATATAAAGGAAGACTCAGCTTTGCCTAACCCAATGCAAGACAGTATCCCCATCAGCCTTTGCAGGTCTGCCTCATAGTCAGTGTGGACTTTCTACAAGCAGATCAATTCCTTTGGCTAACTTAGCAAGAGCAGCACAATTTCCTCCACATCAAAATGGTCACATTTCAAAGAGGGGGCAGGAGTATCCGGAGATATCCTCTTACATTTTCTATTCACAGGGTAGCACCAACTCCAATACCTCCTAATAATTAACTAAAGAAATGTAAAAACATGAAAGGATTCAATTCGTTTTGTTTGAGGGCACATTGCAGAGAAGAACACATCATAACGCTGGTCAGTTTGAGCGGGACTGAATATGCAGTGTGAATCCACGTTACAGGAACAGATGCCCAGTGGGAAGAATGCTTAGGAGCTAAAAGGCCCTGAACTATAAAATATTCAATAATGGACTCCGGAGGTGTGTGAAGAATCATACATTAATAAGGATTAAAGTCACTTTGAGGTGATTGTATAGAGAGTGCCCATTTTTATATGGATGGAAGTTTTCAAGTAAGTTGAGAAAATACCTAAGAGAACAATTGCAGGAATGTATTCTAAGACTAGGTTTAGCTTTGTAAGAAATTTCCAAACTGGACAGGGTATGGTGGCTCACGTCTGTAATCCCAGCACTTTGGGAGGCCAAGGCAGGTGGATTGCTTGAGCCCGGGAGTTCGAGACCAACTGGGGCAAGACGGCAAAACCTTCTCTCTAGAAAAAAACACAAAAAATGAGCCAGATATGGTGGTCATGCACCTGTAGTCCCACCTACTCCAGAGGCTGAGGTGGGAAGATAGATTGAGCCTAGGAGGCTGAGGATGCAGTTAAGTCGAGAAGGAGCCACTGCACTCCAGCCTGCGCAACAGAGTGAGACTGCCTCAAACAAAACAAAACAAAACAAAACAAAACAAAACAAAACAAAGAAAACAAACAAAAACAAAGAAATTGCCAAACTCTTTTCCATTGTAGCTGTACTATTAGTATTGTCACCAACCATAAATGAAAGTTCCTGTTCCTCCTAATTTAAGCATTTGATATTGTCAGTATTTTAGATATGACATTGTAAAATGCATGTATTCATATATTATGTTTTTAAATTTTCAATTCCCTAATGACATATGATAGTAATCATCATTTTATAGGCTTATTTGCAATCTACATATGTTTATTATTAAACTGTCTGATCCTATCTTTTGCCCACTCTTAAATGGTTGTTTGTATTTTTATTGTTTAGTTTTCAGAGTTCTTTGAAGAACATGGTGACTATAGTTAATAACAATGTCACTTGAAAATTGCTGAGAGTAGATTTTAAGTGTCAGTACCACAAATAAGTATAGGAGGTAATACATGTTAATTAACTTGATTTAGCCATTCCACAATGTATACATATTTCAAAACATCATGTTGTACACTATATATGTGCACAATTTTTGTCAATTAAATACATAATTTTTTTTTAAAAAAAGAATTATTTGCATGTTTTGGACACAATTCCTTTACCAGATATGTGTTTGGCAAATATTTTGTCCTAGTCTATGTCCTTGTCATTCTTTTAACAATGTCTTTCATAGAAAGGAAGATTTTGATTTTAATAAAGTCCAATTTATCAATATTTTCTTTCATGGATCACGCTTGTGATGTTATATATAAAAAGTCATAACCAAACCCAAAGTCACCTACATTTTCTCCTGTATTCTAGAAATTTTTTTGTCATGTGTTTTACATTTTGATCCATAATCCCTTTTGAGTTAATGTTTGTGAAAGATGTAAAATCTGTGTTTAAATTATTTTATTTATTTTTTGCACATGGATATCCAATTAATTCAACACCATTTATTGAAAAGATATCCTTTCCCCATTGAATTGCCTTTGCTCATTTGTCAAAGATCAGTTGACTATATCTGTATGGATCCATTTCCGAGCTCTCTATTCTGTTCTATTTATCTATGTGTCCATTTTTTCACCAATATCATATTGTCTTGATTACTGAAGCTTTATGATAAGCCTCGAGATCAGTCAGTGAATGTCTATAACATAAAATAATGGGCCATTCAACTCTCCTTGGCATATTCCTATAAAGACTTTCATAAGTATCAGGGTTTGGAGGTCTTCTGTGGACACTGTAAGCATAAATAATTATCTAAAATAAATATTCAAGATAGTACATCTTAGGAAATAAACTCCTCTTTCAACCCATGTAAGTGAGTTTGTAGAAAAACTACATTTTGCTAGCCTCCTTTTAAGGAAAGTACTGAAAATTCCCAAATGGAGGAAATATAGTGTTCATATTTATGACACAGAACTAAGAACTGAGTCTTCAAGATAATTCGATAAAATACATTAAACACAAATAAGACTTGGCAGCTCAAACTTTTTTTTTGCCTTCTTCTGGGTTAAAGAGTCTCCCTCCTGAAGTAGTAGATACCAATTTTCCTGCAAAGCCCACTTGAACACTTACGAGATGAAGGTGATTGAACATAGCTTACCCCAATGGAGGGTTTGGCGTCAGAGAACAATAGCAAGTTCTAGTACAGCTGGTTGTGGAGCACAGCTTTTTTTCTCTGAAATGTCTCTTGTCTCGCCCTATCCTCCATAATTCCATTCTCCATAATACCTTGGCCCTCAGATCCTCATGTTATGGGGTATGTCAACCACTCCCTAACCAGTTTCTGTCTTCTCCAATTTTTCATTATAAATAACAACTCATTTTCCTTCTATAATAGAAAACTTTGATTTCACTTACCTTTTTCTTATTCCTTTTGGCACTTTGATTTTAGTTACCTTTTTTTTTATCGTAGAAGCCTTTATTTTAAGATGGATTTCAAGTCCTTTAAGTCATTTGATCCAGCTTATCTTTCTCATCTCTTCTCCCATCACGGTGCTAAACGTACTTTATTCTCTAGTTACACAGGACTGTCTTATGTCCACTCAAAACAGTACGAATAACATTCAAATCCCCATGGATTTGTCTTTTTCTAACAATCTACACCCCATTCTTCACTATTAAGATTTATCAAAAAACTTACATCAAGCTCCCTGGTTGGCCCTGTGTTTCCTTAGCGCATTTAGATTAAACGCAATGTGATATTAAAAAACACATATGATGGTGCTTGCTCTTTAACACTTGAGAAAGTTTAATTTTCTTGTCTTATCATATGTGTACTTGTCTGTCTTCCTAGGATGAGACTTATAATGAAGAGTTTAATTTTTTTTCAATTTTTTATTACAAAGATCTAGCATATGAATGAATGAGGAATGAATGAATGAATTTATGAATGAACAAATGCAGTAGTATTGGTAGATTTATTTCTTTTCTCTTTAATTGATGGAACACACCATTAGCGTTTCTCTATTTAGGCAAATACAAATAAAAAATCCCTTATTTCACAAATTGATCATCTGTGCAATGTTTAGGCCACAGACAATGCAGGGTTTCAAGTCTGCCTCTTCCTACAAACAGCAGAAGCAGGAGGAGTTCACATATCTGCGATTCTCCTTCATTGAGCAGATGCTTCAAATGAGAGAATATTTAAAACTTGTTGGTTATAATTTACATCGTATTAGTCCAGATAAAAACATGCATTATCAAAAGAAAAATTAAATGATCATTAAGTTAAATAGCTACTTTGTTATCATTGTGTTTGTTTCAATTTTATCAGTGCAAATAGCAAAAAACATTAATTTGTACAGAAATCAACATATTCATTTTGACCATTATATGTGTATATCTTCAGACTGAAATCATTTAAATAAAAACAATACTATGTGGTGAAGGTTTGCTTTAGATTTAAAAACCACAGAGGACTACAACCTTCTCCTTTTACAGGATGCAGAGACTGAAGTTCAAAGAATAGCTTGTTCAAGGTCGTTCTTGAGCTCTGACCTGCCTGGCTTCAAGAGGGTAAGGCTTTGTGATTCATTCATATGTACATGGGCAAGTAGGAAAGGACATTTATGTGATACTCATCAATGAATACCAGAAACATTTAAGTGAGGTATTATGTGAAGGAGAGAAATGTGTACGTTTTTGGATGAAATACTAATGAATAGGATTAGACAACTGGGTTTTAGGCTCTGGAATTTTGGCTTAACATCTGAGCAATGATTTAATTTATTGAGGCATTATTTTACTCATCCCTTTTCATTTTTCTCCCATTTGTTCTTCTCTTCCTTCTTGTTGCCCCTATCTTTTACTATCAAATGCATAGTTCAGGCTCCATCTCCTTTTAGATCTGTCTTGCCCTTTACCCTTGTTAAATTTCTTCTCCCCTCTAATTTTATAGTGTATAGAATCTAGAAAACACAAACAGCTCTTAGGTTTATTTAACAAGTATTTACTAATCAATCACTTTGAGCAAGGGTGTTTTAGAGGGACTGTAGAAACCAGTATTCTGTACGGTGAAACAGTATTTTCTAATTGATTCATATGCTACCTTGGTCTTCTAACTTCCCTTAAGGAAGCATGTATTTTCTGTTGCTACAACACTTAACAGAGGGATAAGTTCAGTTGGAAATCTGATTGATTGATTCTGTCTTCCTTGTCTATAGCCTTTTAAATACTGGTGGTAATTCCATGCATCTCACCATGGAGGCCAATTAAATGTCAGTGATAAATTACACTCTTCTTGATTTTTTTCCCAAAAATAACCCCTCCCCTAATCTCTTGACCTCTGTTCCCTACTCTGGATTTCATTGTCCCTGTGACTTGACTTCATACCGAGCTTTTGACATCTGCTTCTTTTTTTCTCAGTTTGATTTTTAAAAGGGATTCTTCCATTTCTAGCCTTATTGACTGTGTTTTCTCCCCCTGGGTCCTTTATGCTTCCCAGGCCTTCTTACAGATTTATTTCTAAATATTCCATTGTGAGATCCAATGTATAGAATTCCCATTTGGTTAATTAACCCCTACTGGAAATAGGATTCCACCAACTTCTACACTTACAACCAAAACAGAGAGATCCAGGTATATTTATGGAGAAAGACCAAGGAATATAAGTGTATGTAAATTCATACTTTTTTTTTTAATCTGGATTTTTCAAGGGGTGATATGATCATCAGAAAGAACCAGAAAAAGATGTATGGGGTTCTAGGAAAAGCAGTCTAAATAGACAGTGCATTTGTATAAAGGATTTAGTAGTTAATGTTGAAAATGTGGACTAGAACAAAATTACGGAAGCTTGGTCATTCTTTTTACAGTCTCTAAAAGTATGAGAAATTTTTTTGTTCCTTAAGGGCCATTTCTATTCCTGTAAGTTCACCAATTATCTTAACATTTCAAGCTGGCTCTTTGGACCTTGAAGAAGAAATTCTAAAGTTTGTGAATAATTTGGAAGGTGGTTTGCTACCTTTTTTTTCTTTTTTAGCTTGTAGGAGGGTGAATGTACTTCTTGCCCTGATTCAGTGTCTTATACTCCTTCCTTGTTTCCGGAACAGTAGTTAATAGCTACAATGCAATCAATATTACTTTACCCTCTATAGAATCTCCCATACAGGCAATATTGCAAACTGCTTTTTTCTTTAAATAATACAGTAACCAAGTTAAATAATAAATAATAGCCCAGAGAGAGGGGAAAAAAATGAATGTTGTGTACAAAGGAGGAAAAATCGGCCTTTCTATACTATTTGAAAGGAAGTTAGAAGTTTATGAGGTAGAGGCCCAGGAAGATCATATATCATGGGAATAACTGTTCTCTGTTTCAAGCTTTCTGGGATCTTCCTAATTTTATGAAGGCAGTTTTGAACTGTCACCTCAAGATGATGAGCTTTTCAAGGAATATGAGAATTTGCCACTAAAGTAACATAGTATTACATCATGGAAAAGAAATGGGCCTCAATTTTAACTCTGGATTTTGAGTATAGAATACAGTTTTGTAAAATATATCAACTAGTATTTAAATGTCTCCTAAATTGTGTGGAAGGCTCTTGTTTGACAAAATGCAATTAACACCAAGCAATGGATCTGATGAATATACTCAAAAATGGTACAGAGAATCAATATTAATATTCTTCCAAACTATGCATAATGATACAAAGCCATGGCCCAGGCTCTTACCTGCTCGGATTGTTCTGTTAGCTTGTTATATCTATGCAATTTTTGTAGTGCAAAACTCTGTTCATCCTTTGGAGTTCAGTTCAAGTGAAGTCTCCTCTGGGATGAAACTCCCAGAGGAATTGCCCTCTCACCCCTAGTTCCCTATCCCCATTCATATTACTTCCATTGAGGACTCTCTCAATAGAGCTTGGTATGATTGCTGTTATTTTATGCTACTTCCACTATTGAAGGCTCACCACTAAATTTCCCAGTTATTTATGCATAATGATTGGTCAATGACCCTTCACCCTAATGAAAAATCAGCCGAAGACAATAGAGTTTAAGTCCAATAAGTGATGAAGAGATACAGCTCTGAGAATGTGAGCAGAAATTTTGACTGCAGGATCTTGCATTTTAAAAGGTAGTATGTTGGTCAAAGGCCATTGAGTGACTATTGAATACACTCACAGAGGACACATTTCCACCTGTGCCATTGCTGATTAGGAAAAAGTCTATTGTATATTTCTAAGTTCTGACTCCTGGATTTATCAAAGGAATTAGTTAAAGAGCTGAGCCATTCAAAAGTATTTCATATCATCTGTGAAACACCTTGGATATAAGTGGAATGAATGTTTTTTTTCTCTTCTTACCCAAGACGGACCATCTAGAGTCTTTCATCACCCTCATATTGTCTTTTCCATTCAGGTTAAAATCTAAAAGAAAAAAGAAAAAAAAGTCCAACATTCAGAATCCCCAAGATGCATACGTAAATCCTAATAGAAAATGCTCAGTTCAAGGTAAATATAATTTAGCCATTAAAATTGGATTCTCAATTTCAGGGTATTTTTTTAGGAGGGATTTATGGTATATTTGGCTTAGCCAGAGAGAGAATGTGTTTACTCCTGATGAGATGTAGGTAAAGAAATGAACAATTTATTTTTCTCATGCATATCGGTACTTAAGTTTGTTTTCATTTCAAAGAAAAAATGAAACTTTCCCCACTCAATTTTAAGCTCATAGAGGTAAAGAATATGCCATATTTAACTTGTATTTTCAAGGTCTAGGACAGAGAATATCACATAGTAAGGAGGGACTATGTTAAGAAAAAATGAATAAATGGAGTACATAACTCCAGACCTCAATTGACTATGTTACTTACCTCAAAGATTTCTGGGAGCAAAAAAAAACAACAAAAAAAGAGGTCCCACAATATCTGACTCATTCTTCCTTACTGGTCCCAATACTCTTCTCATTGTGCACAATGTCCCATCTTTGAGTAAGCACAGGAGAAGGACAAGCACCAAGAAAGCTGCATGCAAAATGTGGAGGCTCAATCTATTTTATTTTTATTTATTCATTTACTTATTTTTGAGATGGAGTCTCACTCTGTCGCCCAGGCTGGAGTGCAGTGGCACGATCTTGGCTCACTGCAACCTCTGCCTCCCGGGTTCAAGCAAGTCTCCTGCCTCAGTGTCCCAAGTAGCTGGGAATACAGGTGCATGCCACCACGCCTGGCTAATTTTTGTATTTTTAGTAGAGACGGGGTTTCATCATGTTGGCCAGGCTGGTCTCGAACTCCTGACCTTGTGATCCACCCTCCTCATCCTCCCAAAGTGCTGGGTCACCAGTGAGTTAGCTGCACACAAGAAGCAATCAGACAGTTAGTACCTCTTAATGATCACATTAGATGTAAGAGACTCCAAGAGCTCCAAGCACTCAGAATAGGGAAATATCATGCAGGCTATAGGGGCAGGTAAAGCAGTGGGTTTCATTTAAGCTGGGATCTACTCCAGTGTCACTCCTTTTTTAGCTCTGTAACCTTGTTTGCTAATCAAAGCACTCCAAGTCTCCTTTTTCTCATCCATGAAAGCAAAAGCACAATACTTGCCGGGCTAAGTGTCTAAGGTTGTGTGGAGATCGCTGAGTTAGATTATCTAAAAGTAATTCGAAAATCATAAGCACTAGCAAGGATGTAAATGATTATTACCAGTTGAGAAGGCTTCAAGGAGAATCTATATGGTTTTAATATGAAGAAAGAAAAGGGTGGGCCTGCATTGAAAGCACAGAGGAAACATCTGAGCAAACCTCTGGGATACAAATAAATCTCCACATGTGCAGAATTTAAGAGTAAGGTGTTCTAATAGGTGCTGAGGTGGAAGATGTGGGGATCGTGAAATTTATGGGGGATCTTGATTTGCTTTTGTTTTTTTTTAATTCATCTGCTCTCCCAACCCCTCCACTGTAAATCTGTCAATGAAAGGCAACTGTGTCAGAGATACAGAGGGTCAGTTTCTGTCCCATTGGTTAGAACATGGGCTCACTATTACTTAGTAAAGCAATTGTTCTGAATCCTTTATCTGGCCTGTTATTCAATCTAGCTGTATTCGGAAAAAGAAATGCAGAAGAGAAATAGTGGATTTTTCATCCTTGAATAGGTGGTTTGTCAAAGGCCCAAACCTATAGCAGAACTGTTATAATGATTTTCCAAATCCACTCTAGGATTTTCCATTAGTATTCATTTTCTCTTCATATAAATGGCTACCAACTCAAATAGAAAGGGTTGAAAAAGTCTCCCTCAAATGAAAAATTCTGCGTGAAGCCTGAACATACAACCTTTCATAATTTATTTTAGAAAAGAGGGAGGAAAGCTACAAAGTTTATATATAAACATGTATGATTATATACATATATCAATTTGCATGAAAGAGAGGTTTCTCTGTGGCACAATGACAGCTAGTATATTCTAAAATAACTTTAGTTTGCCATTGATAAGGGACTAGAAAGAAGAATATGTGTGTTCATGAGTGTCCATGGGTGTCTCTAAATATGTATGAGTGTTGGGGGCAGGGAGGCAAATAATGAAACAAAAGAAGTAGTATCAGTTTCTGAATTCTAGTGATTTTTAGAAAGTAGATTAAATGCCTTTAAGAAAAAAAAATTACACACTTGTGATTTGCTGCAAACCCCATGACCAGCACATAAACAGATAGTCATTTAAAAAATATACAAGGCAGCCTACGCTAGCAGAATAAGTGCCATGAGAATGCTAGGAGGATATCTAGTTTAAATCTTAGGTTAATCATTAAGTCTCTCTGATCTTCAGTTTCCTTATCTATGAAATCACTGGAGTAGTTTCTACTCTTGTCTGTCTTAAAAGGTTATTTTGAAGCTCAAGTGAGATATAACATAAAAGCATTTGTAAATTGATAACAGATATTCAACTTTTAAGTGAAATGTTATTTTGGGATATATCTTCATTCACTAAAATCCTGTTCACAATAGTCACAAAAACCTGGTCCTTGAAAGCTGAAGTGTTACTGAGGGTAGCTTGATAAAGGATTCAACTGCCATTAGGCAGTTGTGGTCACCTTCCTTTGAGATGGCCCCAAGTGATGCCTGCTTCTTACCCTTATGTACAGGGTCATCCCACATTGGTCTTATGTTGGTCCATGTGACCAATAGGTTATGTTGGAAGCAATGGTATGTCACTTTCTACATTAGGTTAGGAAAGACATTGAGCCATTGAGAGTCATATATAAGGCTTCGTTATGAAGCCTCAGGGCTTAGGAGGAAGATGTAAAAATTCTTTATAAAACATAATGATAACAGCCAGCATTTGCTGAGGGCTTACTATATGCCTGGTCCTCTACTAGGCATTTTACAGAAATTGCCTCTTTAGATCCTCACATCAACTTGTACAAAAAACGTGAAAGTGACATTAAGTTTCCTTATGCTTCTCTGTGCCCTTTCTATTAGATCTTAGCATTGGGTCTGTTTTAGGACAGGAGCCTCTATTCAGAATTATGGCCCCCTTTTTTACAGATGCCAAAGAATTAGTTCCAGGATATAGTATATTGCCTCTTTCTTTCCTATAGACAATTTTTCTTTTAATGTTGTATTGAAAGCAAAAGTGAAAATTACCATCATATAACATGAATGCAATAACTGTATTGCTTTTAGTGAAAGGGCTATTTGTTCCAATGAGGATGCTAGTGTCAGAGAAAGGTTTGAGATGCAGTCTGAGCTTCCCAGAGAATGCCTTTATTAGGATAATTCCAAAATTGAAAAATAAAACAACAACATTGTGTGTTTTGGATTAGATGCACAGAAACACACACACACACACACACACACACACACACACAATAACTTTCTTTCCTCCTTCTTTGGGATAGGAAGGATGTGGATAAGTGTGTGAGAGCAGAGGAAGATTTATTATATAGACAGTGGATGGGTCATATTTCAAAGTGGAGTGTTCCAGGAGGTGCCTCTTCAAATTTCATTTCTCAATTAAATGGGGATAGCAGAATTACGGGCATTAATCCTCTTTGAGCTGAGACAGGGATTAAAACAAAAACATGTTTCACCCAGTCAGTAACCCTAGGAATCCATGAGACCTGAGCTGCTCAGATCAAATTTATTTTGAGAGCTCATTGAAGTATTTAAGCTCCCCTTGATTAGATGTTATAATGATCAGACAGAGAAGTACAATGAGCTAAACTTTGCTAAGAGCTTGACGGCATTACCAACCTAGTTTATTCTCAGACATGTGACAATTTCATTAATTTATTCATTTTAATTTGGAAAATTATTTGCTCTAGAAAAAAGACTTACATGAGGACTAATGTTCAATTTGTTTTTCATGTTCTTTAAATGCTAATGATATGTATTAGTTTAAAGGGCCTGCCCTCTCACTGATTCCCCATCCTGTGATATATGATATAATTACAATGGCAATTGATCTTTGACCGAAATGTTGGTAAAACGGAATGGAAGTTGCTTTTCATGTGCCAAGGTTACAGTTAAGGACAAAGGAGCTTGCACATTCTTGGAGATTGGCTTACAGAGCTCTGCCTAACCCCAGATATTAATTGCTTGCCTTTTATAGTCATCACGTTCACCTACTTGAACATCAAGAAGGGAATGAGGAAGAGCAAAAATGACTCATCAAGAGAAGATGGTTAGCCACTATCTGAAAGAAGTCAGAGGCAGGAACAAAGCTTGTCAAAATGGTTTGGTTTTGTAAGTTTATGGAGAAACTGGTACAAGCCTCACAATAGATAAGAATGACTGAAAGTTTTCTGCATCCAGAATGTGGAACCCACAAATCAGAAGGCTGCTCTCTTCTCTGCTACTAAACCTTTCTAAGCCTCTTCTTCCTTCATTCTAAAATGGTGTTAATAATAAATGAGCTGTACTCCTTATGAGATTCGTAAAGTATCCATGATTGCTGGAGAGAGAAAAGGACCTAAGAGGTCATTTAGGTAACTTCTTTCATTGTAGGTCAGCTCAAAGGAAACTTGAATTACATACATAATTATGGCTTCAGTAATTCAGTAGAAACTTTTAAGCATAGCTAATTGAAAAGTCTCAGTTTTAGCAAGGTTGAGACTTGCCAATCATTTATACCTAAGGGTTGATGCTTTATGTCACTTCATTTTCTTATACCTGCTTCAGCTAGAGAAGCCTTTGGAAATGCTCAGCACCTAAGAGGAAGGAGACTCAAGATATAGGGGGTGGGGATAGCTATATCCTACTAGTATGAGACCAATTAGTGGCTCAGTGCATATGATGCCTCAATCTTCCATTGACCTTACATGAACTTCATTGAGCCATTTTATCAGGGTAATCTATACATTTCATTGAATATTGATATGTCTAACTAGATCACCCCTCATGAAAAGGAGCAAGGCAGTGCTGAGTAAATGCAGGGCTAGATCTATGTCTAGAATAGTTAATAAAACATACCTCATAACTGTAACAAAATATAAAGGGAGAAGTTAAGAATAATAATGGAAGTAGAATTTTTAATTGTATAATTGTTCACAGTATTGGTTATTCAAAAGACTATTACCATGCCAACGAGGTAAGTGCACAAAAACTGGTCCAAATAAATTCAATGAAGAATTTGAGGCTTTCTGAGTAACAAATAGTTTACTAGAATGGCTGAGAAGCCAAGGGCAGTGTCTGACTCTGAACTATAAGAAAAAGGCTCTGTTTTTAGAGCCACACTGAAAATACAAAGAATGTCACTTCTGAATATAGAACCTAATTTCTCCCTGCACACACTTACACACATAGCTGAGTGGCCTCCAATCTTCTACCTGCCACAAATACCTTTAGAAAAACTACCTCTTTCCAATATTTTGCTGATTTTGCCTCTCTTTTCTGTTGAGGAAGAGCTGGAGAACAAGCTGAAGGTCACTTCAGATTTTCCAAATCAATGATTCATTTAGCAATGTAGTCATGGCTTAGAAAGGCAGTTGCATACCTGAAAATGAAAGGAAATAGGAGATTTCTGCAGCCCCAATGGGATCAGAGTGAGCAGCCCATATTAGTCAAGAGCCTGAGCCAGGATTTGAAAAGACATGCTACCGAACATTGAGTAAGCCAGTTTCGTTTGATTAGACAATGAATGCTTACTTAAGAATATTTGCGCTAATGCTCTCTGATTTAAGTAGGTTAGACTTGAGTTCCCAAGTCCCACTCATCTGTTTCCTAACAAAAAGCATCACATAAAAAGAAATTAGCCATGATTTATTTTTAAAAGTAAAGACTATAATTTGCAGGAAAACATTTATAAAACTTGGTGAAATTCTGCAATTAAACAGGAAGTAGGATAAAAGAAAAATAATAATAATAAATAAAAATAAATAAAACTTGATGAAATATATAAGACCTTCTGCAATAGTTATATTGTTATAATAAATATTTTAATAATTTCCAAAACAATGTCTGACCCTTAGGAAAGAATATGTTTATCACCATCTCTGTAGAAGTCATATTAAAAAGTATTCCTGGGGAAGAAAGGAAAAATTTAATTTTTAAATTAGCATGCTAGAAGTAGGTAAATAAATCAGAAGCACATCTTTCTTTAAATACTAAATACATAGCTGTAGGTAACTCACAAAAACAGACATGGAATACTTTATAGAAGACAATATTTTATAAAGTAGCTGGTATCAGCTTAGTATTCAAAGATTTCCTAGGAAAATGACACAAAAATGATTGTAATCAACAATAACACTGACTCTAATACTAATTAATTAGCAAAATTAATAACTTACATATTTCTCTCTGCCAGAGAAATGTATTTGCTAAAAGTAATAAGTAGAAATGTCTATAAGTGATTCTGAGGAAAACGAAGTATTCTGACTGATGAAGAAAAGTCTTAATAAAATATTGTTTTGCATCAATTTCTACATTTTAACTAAAAGTGTGCATACATTTTAGCAACTATAGTAATCAAATATGTATATATTGAGGTACTATTTTATAAAATATTATAATATTTTATTTAGAAAATTTTGGTCCAAATAATTCTACATTAAATAAATATCTTTGTCAAAATTTTTCAAAAACCTATCTGGATTGCAAATAAGTACTTTAAAAATCTGATGGTGGTATTTTATGATGAGAGTTAGTCTACCTTACCTTTACTAGTAATCTCCTTTGAGGCTCTGGAGTATCATATCATTTGGCTAACCACATCACTCAGTTTCTTCCTGCTGTCAATCTCTCACCTGCAGCCATGTAAAACCCCTGTCCTCTCTCCCTCTTTTTATAGACATATAGGTGGCTCAGTGAAAAGATAAATATAACTGAAAGAGTTAGAACTTGCTTCAACATGAATGATTGGTTCTATTGATCTGACTAAACTGACCTATCTGTAAGTTCAAAAACTAGATGCAGAAAATAAACTCATTTAAGCCATTTTTTTATTTTAAATAAAACACATACTTATTGTTATTTATGCAAAACAGTCAACTGAATTTAAAGAATTATTCAAGTGGCTACTACATAGGTAGGACCACACTAGCACCATCATGGCATTCTGAATCATGCAACAGAAACGGGATGTGGTTCTACACCAAAATATTTGTACTTGGTTTAGAAACAGAGTATGTATCTGTGTGATAAAGAGCAATATAAGGCAATGTATAATTAGGTACCAATATGTCTGGTTTATAGAAATAAAAACAATGAGATATCAAAAGAGAGAACTATGTTTAGACAAAGAAATCAGAACTGCGTCTCACAAGCGCTTTTTAGTAACAGGTATAACCTTTCCTGCTAAAATTATCTCTTTGCTGTATCCATCCATGTAGCTTCACCAGAAGTTGCCATGTGCTTACCTAACTCAGCTTTCTGGAAAGAGTATACTTGATTGTAGGATAACCTGTTATCAGTGCTGGACCAATACATCCCATTACCTGCCAAAAATATTTGAACTTTAGCTCAAGAAAGTTTCTGGAAGTTTGTAAAAAGAGGTAGAGGCTCCACTTCATACTTTTCTCTTCCTTAGATTAAAGAAATATAAGCTATCATTCTGCAGAAAAGAATGAGGGAAGATTGAGAATCTGTTTGGAATTTGAGTCCCTTTGTTTAGCTATTCTTTTTTTTTTTTTTTTTTTTTTTTTTTGGAGACGGAGTCTCGCTCTTTCACCCAAAGCTGGAGTGCAGTGGCACAATCTTGGCTCACTGCAAGCTCCGCCTCCCGGGTTCACGCCATTCTCCTGCCTCAGCCTCCCTAGTAGCTGGGACTACAGGCGCCCGCCACCACGCCCGGCTAATTTTTTGTATTTTTAGTAGAGGCGGGGTTTCACCGTGTTAGCCAGGATGGTCTCGATCTCCTGACCTCGTGATCTGCCCGCCTCGGCCTCCCAAAGTGCTGAGATTACAGGCGTGAGCCACCGCGCCCAGACCTGTTTAGCTATTCTTAATGCCAAGTCAAATTCTTATCCTTGAGTTCTATGTGACTTCCCATATCTTTATGAAATGTCCCTTTCTTTTGAATTTAGATTGAGTCGAGTCTTTAATTTGCCACAAAAGCCTTAATACAGAAATGAATGGGATTTTGTTTTTTAGCTCTAGTGCTTTATTCTTATTAGGAGTATCATGATCTATGAAAACTGTTTGGCTGACATGTGTTATTACAGTTAAGTGACATATCCCAGGCCATTTTGGAGTCTCCTCTGTATAACAGACACATGATATATTTTAGCAATTCTGACAACACCAAAAACTCTCTAAGAATTTTGAGAATGAAGATGCATAGCCCGGCATCATCTTCGTACTGATATTTGAGTGATAACTTCCAATATGTGTTTCATTACTGAAAAGTAGAAAATTATACCGTATTCAAGAAAGTCACAAAAAAGAGAAATAAAAATGCCAATGATTGATTTTTTTTTGTATCAGAGGAACATGTATTTGTTTATTTTGGTTTTCTATAGGTCTGTAAGATAATATGTCTTAAAATTACTAATAGTTTTTAAATTATTACAGCGTATAATTTTTAGTAAAGGGGAGAAAGTCTAAGAATGACTTATTCAATTAGAGCACATTATTTATCAATCTATTCATCTACATTTAATAAAAATCTCAATTTAGCTTTACAATAACCCCATTTTATAAATGGAAATATGTACACACATAGAATAAAAGTGTGCTCCAAGCTTATAAACAAAGTGGCAGATGTATCACTAGAATTTAGATTTATTGATAAAATTCATCATTTCCACCAAGCCATATTTAATTCTTCTTTAAAGTCTTAGAAAATTTTAAATAATAATAAAATAAGAGTAAGTATGAAGTCTGTGATCTACTAATATGTAGTCTTAGAAACGAATCCTATTTCTTATAGTTGATAACTAATACTTGATCTTTGGGTTTCTAGAATGAAAGAATTGTACAGTTAGGAAAAGCTTCAAGGGGATAACTTACATCTGTTCTTTTAGAAATGAGAAGCTAGAGTCCAGAGCTCCTCCTCTGTTTGTGTTACTTTGCTAAAATAATCAGTGACTGGAAAATCACGTGGATAACTTCAGCATTTCCCAGAAGTAGTACAACCAAGTTTTTATCTCCCTCTCAGCTTTAAACCTCAAAAGGGTTTTCTTCTCCAGGTTTGTGACAGTGAATCGGTCTCATACATATAGTATTTGTTTACTGTGTAATTCATGGATTGTCATTCTAAGGACAGAAAATAAAATGATTTAAGGTTAAATGTCTTATGTCAAAATCACAGATGTAATAGATTCCTAAGAGAGTATTAAAGCAGTAGGAATGGAATTACCCTTAAAAATTAAATGCTTAGCACTAAGAAGAAAAAAATGCCTGCCAAACAATAAAATCTGTGCATTTTCAACCTGGACACCTTGCCAAAGTTGATTCATCTGAAACATGTATGTGTGTTTACATGTGTTTTGTGTGGGGACATTGCTCGTATTTTGTGTAGGGCAGCATATAAGAGCTCCAGGGAAGAGGGACCCAAGCCATCAAAGATGTAAAAGCAAAATAATGTAAGACGTATTTAAATAGTGGCAAAGAGCCAACCATTTTTAGAAAATAAGTTTTATGTAGAAGAAAAAGAAAAAGTCACAAAAGAAATGGAAATGGCACCATGTTTTATGCTCTTTGCATATTGGACCAAATTTTGTACTTAATTTGGTAGCAATAATAAGTAACCCATGGCTTATAAACAGAGAAATGATAAAGATAAATCTGGAATGAATACATTATTAGATAGATTGATGAGGAGGTTGACTACAGCGGGAAGGTCAGTTCAGAGACTATTACAGTTACCTAGGTAATAGCAATGGGAACAGAAAATAGAAGAATACATAGGACTTCTAGTTAAAGGACTTCATAGGATTTACCAAGTTCCTTCCTCCCAGAATCTTATACATTTTGCATAACATTCTGAAGGGAAAACAAAATGAGGCATCACCATCACCACCACCAATAACAAAATCCATTGATTCCCTTAAGCTGTTTACCTAAGTCCACACTACTACTTAGAGGCACACAGGCCTAGAACTCAAGATTCTAAATTGTTTTCCCCAGAAACTTTTTGGTACTGCTACTTTAAGACAGCCTTAAGTTTGCTAATGTAGTTTTTCATTGTTAACATATCAAACTTTTTGATATCCAGACATTTAACTTAAAAAAAAAAACATAATTGAACACTTTCCTTAGAGGACTGAATGCATTCTCTCAGAGCAGTTCTCTGAGAAAGTCAGGCAAGCTATTCCCTCCTTGAATGTTAGCAAATAGAAAGTTACCTTTAATTCATCCTCGTGTCCTTTGAATAACTGTTTTGTTATTTCAATAAAGGTCAGAAGGCTTAATGCACAGAGAAAGGTTTGCTCAGGGTTTTTTTCTTTTCTTAAATGAACACAAATGCAAACCTTGTTCATTGGTGGCTTTGAAATACATGATTTCCTCAACGAAGAAGCAGTTGTGATCTTTAATCAGAGAATGAAGTCCAGAGTATTCTCAGGAAGAGACATAGCCTTATTTTAGTGCTGCCTTTTGAGTACTTGAGCCATCCCTGGGATGATAGAGGAGGAAAAAAATGGTGTTATTCCTGCAGAAAAAAAAAATGTGTTATTTAATATCTAATTTTGGGTTGAATTACAAGTACCATTTTATCACTATGACTATGTGGTTTAATTTTTGTGTGATTTTATTGTTTGTTTTATTTTTTAAAATGAGGCCATTAGTTTGAATTTTAGGCCAGATAATACAATTTTCTCTTTACATAGGGATACAACTTTCTCTTTACATAAGGATGCAACATTCTATCTCAGGGAGGATATGCTATCTCTATTCATGTTGATCTTTATAAATTAAAGCAAACATCCTTTTGCTCCCTTTCTATATCTTGCTAGACATTTTTCATGCATGTATCCAACTTACTTTTTTTGTTGTTTTTTGATGTGGTATGTATCTCTCTCTTCCAGACAGCTATTATCTCTGCCAGCTGGTATCTATTGTTTCGGGACTAGTGGACTAGTTGAGAGCTTACATTCTTCCAATTATTTTAAAAGTAGAAAGTTATCAACTACTGGAAGACATTGCTGTGTAAAATCAACAATAATAAATATAAATAATTGCAGCAATACATGTTTGTTGATCATTTATGAAACAGCAGACTGTATTAAAAATGCTTGGCAAATATTGTTTCATTTAGTCATTAAAAAAACACACTAAAGGGTGCACTGTTTTTACCCCTATTTTTCAATGAAGTCAATTTAAAGAAAGACAGGTGAGTTTAGGCAATCCCCTCAAGGCCATGTAGCTTATAGATATATTGCTGTATGTATTTTCACCCCTACTGTCCTATCAGCCCTCATGGAATCCACTCTAAGAGCCTGCTGAGATGCTAGAAGCAGCCCTACGTGCCTGTACATTTTGAAGCAAGGCATAGTTTATTGATGAACACAAACCCATCAAGGAAATATCTTCCTGAATGATGAAAAACTCTTTTTATTTTATGAGTAGTTTCTGGAATTTACGTATGTGGAAATATTACACAGTCAAATTTAATTTCTCAATTTAAATAGAAAATCAGTAAAAGAAAAAGACACTTTAGCAGTCTTTAACTTAGGTGTAAATTTGAGGGTTTTTTTTCAAACTTCACTTCTTTCCTCTTTTCATCAATTACAAAGAGAGCTAATGTCAATGAATTAGTTTTTGTTTTTATGTAACTGATTTAATGTTGTAATTTTGGAGACTCGAGTAGCTTAATGTAAACCCTATCATGACATAAAGATAACTGATTTCTGATCTTAAAAGTGCTGAACTGAATGAAAGGAAAAATAAAGTGCAGCTTTGAATTAAGATTTTGGTCACAAACCTTCAGACTATGGAATTCCAGTTCCATTTTTGGTTTTGATTGTCTAGGGCTCCAAGCAAGATCAAAGACCTCTTTCCAATTTCATTTTTAATGAGTTACTTCTTAAAAAGCAAAGCCTGCTGCACTCCTGGGTCTTCCACATTGGGACTCCCCTATGAGCTGATTCCAACTTCTCCAGCACCACAAAGAGATCTGTGTGTGATCTGTGTGTAGACCAGCTCACAACCAACAATACCCCAACTACCGTGGACACACGTCCAGAGTGGCCTCCATCTGCATTTAAATTCCAATGTTCAGAACTTGGAAACCCACCAAAATAGACACCAGTCTGCCCTGGCACTGAGTTTGGAGTTCTTAGGTGATTGCCATCCAAGTTCCTCTCTGGCAAAGCCCCACATGCTCTCTCTCCTGCCAAAGGGAAAGGGAAAAAAATTTTCACCATGAACAAAGAGAGGCAAAACATTGTCAAAATAAACCAAAACCCTGGGACAATAGGGTTCTACTAAAAATGTATTCCTATGTGAGCATTCATTAATCCTTGGTAATTTGTGGCTGTTTGAAACTTGTCACGTTATTTATTGTGCATCATACATAAGACTAACTGTAGAAACCCATGAGTAGATTAGGATGCTTTTTTTTAAACCCACACTTATGCTTTTCAGTCCATTTTATGTTTTTCCATTTTTCTTTGAAATTACATTTTTAAATGTTGTTAATTGGATCACAGCACTCTATAAAATGGATAATTAGATAATCCCAACATGATTTGAATTGTGACCAAAAGGAAATCTCATTTTGCTGGATTCATTTTTTCATATGGTAAAATTGGAGAATGACAAAGAATGAATTGTGAAGAACAAAAATAGATGACTCTGTGTGTGTGTGTGTGTGTGTGTGTGTGTGTGTGTGTGTGTGTGTGTGTGTGCGTGCAGATAGGAAGTTTTGGAAGAATGAAAACAGAAGCCAAAATCTGAGGAAACAGGAAGAAGAAAATAATGAAAGCATGAGAACATTCTACTTAGAGCATCCTCCTAGATTCACAAATCCTGTTACTGTTCCAGCTCAAAGTGGCTTGCAGTTCAGCAAACAAGAGAAACCATTTCAAGGACTAGATTACAATTCATATCTACAAACCATTAACTGAGTACTGTACACCCAGAACCATGATAAACCTGCCTGTCTCTGAATTGCAACAAACCCTTGCTATCAGACTTTTTCAGATGCTGTTTCTTTCCTTTCTGATTAGAAAGAAAACTTCCTTAAGCTTGCCCTCTTTTTTACCAGCTGCTATTGCACTTTTCATTTAGGTAATTTCCTCTCAGATGCCAGGATTCAGCTTAGTGCCCACATTTTCTGAAGACATTGCCTTGATCCCTTCCCACTCACCAAATATGTTTCCTCTGTGCTTCCAATGCATCCTATAGTTTCCTATTGGTGTCATTTATGACATTGTATTATGACTACTTATTATCGTGTTTGTCTTCACCAACAAACCAAAAATTCTCTAAGTCAGAAACCATAGGCTATCTTGTTTACAAATAGTACCTCAGTGCCTAGCCTAATATTTGATATATTGTGAGTTAAGCAAATATTTTTAGTCTAAATGGAAAAAAATAAAAAAAGAATGCATCACACAGTTTATCTTAGACCTGATGATCTACTCAAGCCATATAACATGTCCCTATGTTCACAGGGAAACTGGAGCACAGACTACCCACACTAGAACTTCCCTACTTATATTTATTCTATCCACCACAGGTCAACAAAAAGCAGAACTTCTTCATTTCTCTCAGGCTTCACCAAGGAAAAGTTGGCTTTAAACCATTGCTCCCAAGGCCCTTACATGATTCCTAATTCTTGTGTATACTACTGGCCCATCTGCCAGTGGGTTTGCCCAACCACTGGCTGAGTCATACTGTTTGAATCTTTGCTTCAGTGTCTCCTTAGAGAATTTCTCCTTCCTTTCCATTGTGCAGTCTTCCCACTTTCTGTCACCTCTCTCAACAGCTGCTGCGGGAGCTGCCTCTGCTCTCATTTGAGGGCATTACGAGTCTGGCCCCAGAGTACTGGTATGCAGAAACATGGCTTCCTTCATGCCAATATTGCTCAAGATGCTTTTGAAACATTTTGGGGGACCACTTCAGTGCTTTTTAGGGAGGCTGTCTTTTTATTTCAGAAAGATTTCAATAATGTCCTATTCTTCCCTTACAGAAGTTCCATTGAGGTGAAGCAATGATGCAAGGCTTTTGGCAACCGTTCCCCAGCTCCCAGCCACACATCGCTCCACTTACCTTGAGTGACAGCCTCCAAAGAAAAGGTAGGATTGGCCTATCCCCCAAAAGGAAAGCTGGCAAATGCCATCCTGGGGCCTGATTTTTGTTTTAAAAAGTAGCTCCAATGACATTTTAAAAATAATTATGAAGAGAAACAACCAAAATATATTCCCTATAAATTTATTTCCAAATGAGTGAATGCCAATAATTCTCTTTTGTTTCATGTAAAAGTTTTAGAAAAAGTAAAGTTGGCATTTCCTGCACATAGAAAATGTACAAACACATGTATGTGATATATGCACACACACACACACACCTACCTCATGAAACGTAAATATCTTAGAAAGAAAAATATGCTTTCACACATTAATCCTCAAGGAAGTTACCCCTACTTGATGGCAATACAGCCTAATAAAAGACTTAGCTCTCAACTTACAAGGGATGTGAAGGACCTCTTCAAGGAGAACTACAAACCACTGCTCAAGGAAATAAAAGAGGATACAAACAAATGGAAGAACATTCCATGCTCATGGGTAGGAAGAATCAATATCGTGAAAATGGCCATACTGCCCAAGGTAATTTACAGATTCAATGCCATCCCCATCAAGCTACCAATGACTTTCTTCACAGAATTGGAAAAAACTACTTTAAAGTTCATATGGAACCAAAAAAGAGCCCGCATCGCCAAGTCAATCCTAAGCCAAAAGAACAAAGCTGGAGGCATCACACTACCTGACTTCAAACTATACTACAAGGCTACAGTAACCAAAACAGCATGGTACTGGTACCAAAACAGAGATATAGATCAATGGAACAGAACAGAGCCCTCAGAAATAATGCCGCATATCTACAACTATCTGATCTTTGACAAACCTGAGAAAAACAAGCAATGGGGAAAGGATTCCCTATTTAATAAATGGTGCTGGGAAAACTGGCTAGCCATATGTAGAAAGCTGAAACTGGATC
The DNA here is from genome assembly GCF_000001405.40 of Homo sapiens. Taxonomy (NCBI): domain Eukaryota; kingdom Metazoa; phylum Chordata; class Mammalia; order Primates; family Hominidae; genus Homo; species Homo sapiens. Next base: position 39,861,221 of record NC_000018.10, on the reverse strand, counting down.
CCTTCCTTACACCTTATACAAAAATCAATTCAAGATGGATTAAAGATTTAAACGTTAGACCTAAAACCATAAAAACCCTAGAAGAAAACCTAGGCATTACCATTCAGGACATAGGCGTGGGCAAGGACTTCATGTCTAAAACACCAAAAGCAATGGCAACAAAAGCCAAAATTGACAAATGGGATCTAATTAAACTCAAGAGCTTCTGCACAGCAAAAGAAACTACCATCAGAGTGAACAGGCAACCTACAACATGGGAGAAAATTTTCACAACCTACTCGTCTGACAAAGGGCTAATATCCAGAATCTACAATGAACTCAAACAAATTTACAAGAAAAAAACAAACAACCCCATCAAAAAGTGGGCAAAGGACATGAACAGACACTTCTCAAAAGAAGACATTTATGCAGCCAAAAAACACATGAAGAAATGCTCATCATCACTGGCCATCAGAGAAATGCAAATCAAAACCACTATGAGATATCATCTCACACCAGTTAGAATGGCAATCATTAAAAAGTCAGGAAACAACAGGTGCTGGAGAGGATGTGGAGAAATAGGAACACTTTTACACTGTTGGTGGGACTGTAAACTAGTTCAACCATTGTGGAAGTCAGTGTGGCGATTCCTCAGGGATCTAGAACTAGAAATACCATTTGACCCAGCCATCCCATTACTGGGTATATACCCAAAGGACTATAAATCATGCTGCTATAAAGACACATGCACACGTATGTTTATTGCGGCACTATTCACAATAGCAAAGACTTGGAACCAACCCAAATGTCCAACAATGATAGACTGGATTAAGAAAATGTGGCACATATACACCATGGAATACTATGCAGCCATAAAATATGATGAGTTCATGTCCTTTGTAGGGACATGGATGAAATTGGAAACCATCATTCTCAGTAAACTATCGCAAGAACAAAAAACCAAACACCGCATGTTCTCACTCATAGGTGGGAATTGAACAATGAGATCACATGGACACAGGAAGGGGAATATCACACTCTGGGGACTGTGGTGGGGTCGGGGGAGGGGGGAGGGATAGCATTGGGAGATATACCTAATGCTAGATGACACGTTAGTGGGTGCAGCGCACCAGCATGGCACATGTATACATATGTAACTAACCTGCACAATGTGCACATGTACCCTAAAACTTAGAGTATAATAAAAAAAAAAATTAAAAAAAAATAAAATAAAATAAAATAAAATAAAGACTTAGCTCAGATACTACTATAGTTTATAGATTATGAGCCCACATTAATGGGAAGGTTAGAGAAATTAGAAATAGGTGGTTATTTTACCTCTTAATGTCATGTTTCTTAAGGCAGCTCTTTAAATAGTTCCATGAGTTCTTCCTTAAATGAACAAACATCACTCATATACAGACATTTATGCTGGGAAATGTTGACAAAGGAAACAAAATAATGCAAGTAGGTTCCTCAAGAACCTCCTTTGTATACTATGAAGAATGAGGCCTCCAGAGTTCTTGTTTCCTCCCTAACCTTGTTTATAGCCCTCTTAGCTTTTTGCTCTGTGTTTTAGCTCTAGTGTTGCAAATGCCTCCCAAACTGCTTCTTGAAGAGCCTTCCTCACCCTGTCATCCCAGACCAGGTGAAACCATTTTGGTTTCTACCCTTAAATAACACTGTATTTCTCCACAGCACTCAACACAATTGCGAGTTAAATAATCATTTGTTTACTGTTTTCCATGTGCTAGACTACAAAGCTCAATGAGAATTGGGGTGGCAGATATCTGGCTTGCCACTATAATTCCCAACATGGTTATATGTGGGTTTTCAGCAAATATGTCGAATGAATGAGTGGCAAGCTAATATCCAGGTGTGTTATGATCTCCGCATACTCCCTCTAACACGTTCATGGTTCCATGAAGGCAATAATAGGCTTTCCCATGTCTCCTGCCTTCAGAATTATTAAGATTCATCTTTAGTCTCAACAATTCCATGAGTTTCATATGGTTCTTCCCTCCAGAATGATTTTGCTCTTCTCAAGGTGTTTGCATTGTATATTTTGCACTGTTACTTAAGTGTGTACTCACTAAGCATTTTTTTCTCCCATTAGTCTGTCATAGTATATATTAGTCCATTCTCATGTTCCTAATAAAGATATACCTGAGACTGGGTAATTTATAAAGAAAAGAGATTTAAGGGACTCACACTTCCATATGGCTGGGGAGGCCTCCCAATCATGGGGGAAGGTGAAGGAACGAACAGCAAAGTCTCATCTTACATGGTGGCAGGCAAGAGAGAGCACGTGCAGGAGAACTTTCCTTTATCAAAACATCAGATCTCATGAGACTTATTCACTATCATGAGAACAGCACAGGAAAAACCCACCCCCATAATTCAATTACCTTCCACCCGGTCCCTCCCATGACACATGGGGATTATTACAATTCAAGGTGAGATTTCGGTGGGAACACAGAGCCAAAGCATATCATGGTACTTCTTTTTTTCTATCTTTTTTTTGGTGGTTCTAAGACAAATAATATATGATGTAGGAGAAATACAAACACACACACACACACACACACACACACACACACACGTACATGCACATATACAAACAGAAACCAGATAGACAGATAAGTGTTATCTCAGTGATTTTGTCTCATACTGATCCCACTGGCCATTTATTAAACTTAAAGGTGGTTTTGACATCCTGGGAATACCTCGTTTTCTCCTCAGAATGGCATTTTGGCCAATTAATCTAAGCTAAATGACCTTGACTATATTCAATAAGTACTCCTATCATCCAATTATTTTCCTTCTCTCAAACAAAGAATCACTTTCACAGTAAAAGATAAAACAGGGATGTGTTCAATCAATTTATATTGAACAAATGAATTATTGTCTACATATCTCTAGCCATCTTTTAAATACATATTAGATATCAAACAAATAGAGGGAAGTACTTGGTTTTAAGTGCTATAATCCTATTGACAACATGGCCTGTGGTTTTTGAGAATATAACAGCCAGGTTGGACTTGCTTATGTAAAGGTAAAAAATAACTCCCAAATCTCAGAAACAAACAAACAAAGAACCAATAACGTTTATTCCTTACTCATGTTATTTGTCAGCCACGAGTTGGGTGGCTCTGTTTTTAACATACTTAATCAGGAGATTGTCTGAGCAAAGCTTCTATGCTGTGCTTATGATTCCAAAAGTGGGAGAGAGGAGCCAGGCAAATGCATACCTTGGCCAAAGAAAAGTCAAGACAAACCTCCGAGGGTATGGAAAATGTTATCTTATGATGTGCCTGGAGGAAAGAAAACAGGCATCATTTAGAGCATAGCACTAATGTCTAGCACAGAAGGAAATTGCTAAATTTTGCGATGTAAATTATAGATTACAAAAGAATAAAAGAACTAAGGGAAAAAGGGAAGATAGACTTTACAAAACAAAAAGGACGTAGATCTTTGTTGTCAAGAGAGAATACATTGTAGGGCTTATTTTTAAAGGATTAAACTAACAATGAAATGTAAATTCTCTTATTCTCAAATATTTAAGGGGGAATAAACAGTTGCAACTTGAGAGACTTTAGTCCTGAGGGGTCCTGAGATTTCAGTACTTTAAACCAGTGAGGAAGGGACTTTATTTCAGGATTTAATGCCTGGAAAATGGGACTGGCAGGGCAGTCAGAGAATGGTTGCTAACACTGAGAAGAGTGGTGTCAAATCATGGGATGCAGGCACAGAATCTGGAATTTAACTGAGAAGCACTACATGAAGTCAAGCACAGTGGAGGGCCCTGGCGAGCACAGTGCTTCTGCTAACTCTCTCTGTTTGGAGTGACTCCCCACTATGGTGGACTGGTAAATGAGATGGACCTTCCAGGAGGAGCCTGTGCTGGCCATAGTGAGGGGATGTGTTCCACCCCAGGCTGATTGATAGGATTCCCAAATTGGAGGGCAATTTGAGGTGCTTACCAGAAAACTCAGGTAGAAGACAAGCTGGATGGAGAAGGAAAACCTGGTGGTGTGTGTGTGTTTACATTAAAGACATTTGCAAAGTCTGTATAGGAACTAGTTGTGTGGTAGGTTGATATTTACAAACAGCAGACCAGAAAATCAGATCAAGAGAGGGGTTCATGGTAAAGAAAATATTTCTGCAATTCATAAACCACACATGGTGACTTTTTTCAGAGTACAAGGAGGATAATTAGGCAAAGATATTTAAGAATGTGTTTGCCTAGGGAAACCAACCATGCTGAATTCAGTGCAGGGTAGTAGAGAGAAGAAAAGGTGCAGACAAATCAGATGTCTTTAAAGCAGAGGATGAAGCTGATAAACTCTGAAATTTCCAAACAATACCAGTTGGGACAAGCATTATCTATACCCAGGGTGTCCAATCTTTTGGCTTCCCTGGGCCACATTGGAAGAAGAACTGTCTTGGGCCACACGTAAAATACACTAATACTAATGATAGCTGATGAGAGAAAATAATTGCAAAAAATTTTATGTTTTAAGAAACTTTACAAATCTGTTTTGGGCCACATTCAAAGCCATCCTGGGCCACATGTAGGGCACAGACTGCGGGCTGGACAAGCTTGATTTACACCAAGGACAAAAAAGCAAAGTGCTCACATAGAATCTTCTGCAAGACCAAGAGGACTCTGGCCTCTAACTCTGCTATCTCCAGTTATTTTCCTCATGGTTCACATGGAGCCGAACCACTCTTGTTGAGTACCAGATATTACTCCGTGTACATTTTTCCTTCAAAGGTTGCTATGGAGTCTGACTTAGGTTTTCTCCACTGAGTTACCCTGGTAATTTTCCCAAGGTCAGGTAGATGTCAGATATGGTCTTCGAGAAAGTTTCACACCATGATTGTAACCCTTAGTGTGCTTTACTTGCCATTGGATCTCTGGCCAGATGATACCAACACCCTCAAATTTGCCTTCCCATGTGTGTAATATCAGGTTTCCAGAAGCATCCTTACTTATTTCTATTTAGAATTGAACTCTTAGTTGCTCAGACATACCAAATTCCAATGTCACCAAGTGAGTATTAATGCCTCATATGGCTAGGGGAAAATTTTGACTTCATTTTTTTACATATATCATTTGTAAATCTCTACTAAACTTTTAACATTTGCATAAAATATTCTGGCACAAATGTGGCAAAGTTATTTGTTTAATAATCAGTGATTGAGAAAGGACTATGTTCCTTGATTCGTGCTTATTGGTTGAATAGATGTGAGGAATGCCATCTTTCCTGTTGAAGTGTTCACAGGACAGTCTGGAAATAAAATAAATGGACAAATAGCTGTAGTTCAGCAAGTTCGGTGAGAGAAGATGGTGATGATGAAAATGGTAAAATCTCCTGTAGCCCGCAGCTACAGGACCCCAATAACTGTGCTCTCTGGGGTTCCAAAGTGTAACTGAGTGGACATACTACTGATCTGATACTTTTTACATTACTTGGGCTACTGTGAAGAAAGACTCATTTTTTTTGTGGTTGTTTTGTTTTTTAGAGAAAGGGTCTAGCCATGTTGTACAGGCTGGTCTTGAACCCCTAGGCTTCTGCGGTCTTCCTGCCTCAGCTTCTCAAGTATCTAGGACTACACACAGGTGTGAAGAATGACTGGTTTCTAACTTCTCTCTGAACTCTGCTCCCTCCGATTAATTTTAAATCTCACTGGGCCTCAGTTTCCATTTGCATTCACAAGAGGGCATTGCTCTTCCTCCAAGTTCTGTTTGAAGGGATAATTAGGGGAGGCATTGAGCTTCATAAGAGAGCCACTACATCTGGATGCCATACATATTTCTGGGGGCAGCCTTGCCTCTGCAGTGAGCCAGGGCCCTACATGGTTTCCTGCTTTGTATTCAATGGGTTAAGATGGAACAAAACAAAATTAAACAAAGCAGAATAACAATAACAACAAAGAAACCCACAGGCATCTGTGGACAGGACTGCAGTGAGATCCTTGACTGCAGAGGTTTCTGTCAAACAAAGAGGTCAGGAAAAGTGTGACTTATACACCATTGGTTACATATTTTGGCCAAGATGGGAGATGAAAGAACACAGTCAATATTCTGTGTAATTGTTGATTACCAGTGCTGCTCATGGCAATTATATTCCTGAGATGGTCAGGAAAATTGTATTTCTCTGGAGAAAGCTGCTTGGGAGTTATTTCATCTAGTACCCATATTGATACTATAAAATAAGAACTAGGGGATATAAAAATTAGAAAATCATTATTTAATCTCAGGAGTTTGTTGTTTCTTCTCTTTCTTTTTTTTTAAATTTAGCATCAATGAAAAGGATGAAAAGATTATGACTGACAGAGTTTCTGCACTCTTATTTGCCAATATATTGGGAAGCAACAGTAAGGAATTCATCTTCTATTAGCTGGACACAAAGACTGTTGGCATCTAAAGTGTTATGCCCAGGAAAGTAACACTTATGAAAAGGCTTGTGAGAGTGGCTTTCATTAGAACTTATCCAAAGGGTGCTGACATAATAAAGGCTAGAGCCTCAAGGTTCTCTGTTGGGTTCCAAATCTGGAAGGACATCAATCCTCTCTTCCTTTTTTTTGTTCTCCGTCCCTCCTCTCTTCTCTCTCTCCTTTCCTCTCTCTGTCTTCCTCTCCCTTTGTCTATATTTTCCTGCGGAAACTGTGGTCTGTATGTATCACATCTTACCCAGTGGCTAGAGTGATCTGAGCCCTAGAAATTCTGCTGAGTAACCATGGTGATTTTCTTTTCTGACATCCTCCCCCTCGACTTTCACTGACCACACCACTAGTTGCTGATGTGTAGAACCACTCCTGATGAACCTCATAAACTCTGACTTCCAAAATCTCCCACTACTAATACCAGGATTTGCATAATGCATGTTTCAAAGCAGGGCCATCATGCAGGACCTCCCAGTGGAATCACTAGGCTTTCCATCCAAGCTACCTAAATTTCAGAAAATTTTAATTTGACAAACATTCATTAGATGCTTACCATAAGCTGAATATTGCATTTAAATGCATATTAATAGTAATTTATATATTTTTAATTAACATGTATAATAATGTGTAATAAAGTGTAATTAATATATAATATTGATAAGATATATTACACTCTAGATTGCAAATCCAATGCTTAAGAATAACAGTCTTAGCGACTGTTTGATTATTATATGGCTGGTGTTGTATAAAGCACTCTTTATATATTAGTGCATTTCATCTCCACAACATACCAATGGGACAGTTCATATTACAATGTTCTCGTTTCTCAGGAGGAACTTGAGGTTTAAAGAGATTATATTATTTGCAGTCACATAGGTAGTTAGTTGTAAAGAAGACTCAAACCCAGAGTGCCTTACTGCAAAGACCATGCTGTCAACCACAGTACTCTCTCTCTTTGCTTCAACACAGGTAACATACCTCTTCTCTGTTTAGTGATTATGTGCTCCAACTTCATGATGTGATTGTGTCATTATTCTGTGAGTGGGGCCACAGATGCTGCTGGATTCATCTACTTCTAAATTATTGTAGAGATTCTTAGGTACGATCCCATAGCTGGGCTCACCTGTTCTCATATTTGCTTGCAAAGCGTCACTGTCCTGTTTTTAGCTCTGCGCCATTCTAGGGCATGGTGACAGTAGTTGTCACTTTAGGAGTCTGCATACCATCTCTGTCCTTTACATGCTCATAAAGATGGCACAAATCCCCCATCCAGTGCAACTAGCTTCTGCTTTTGAGAAGTCATCAGCTGCCAAAGCCTCCTGTTTCCTCTTAGTCAAAACCCAAGGACCAAAGAAGTCATCTGAATCCCAGATTACTTCCTTGGGATCTTTGTTCTTTATATTCCAACCTTAATCTGGTGGCCAGGCCAAGAATTAAAACAAAATTCTAAGACACTACGATGCTTCGCTGATGTCTGCATTACCTTACTCTCCACAGCAGAACTTTGCTAAAGTATTTAATTTATACTGAAAGTAAAAACCACTGTATAGCAAATATGGAAACCTATTTAGCAAATCTATACACAAATTGAAACCTGCTCCATCCTAGAAGTTTCTACTGTACATATCTGTCACTCAAACCCTAAATAGCCTCCAGATCATGCCTTATGGTTGAAGTCCTTAAGAGGTACCATCTGTGGCATGGCCAGGATAGGCTCCTCCTAGAAAAACAGGCTGTATAGTAGCCCCAGGGCATCTCTGCTGTTCTGTCATCACTAAATCCTGCCTTCTTGCCTATGGCTCTAATTTTCCTCTTTCATGCAAGGTTCTGCCTATAGGGTCATAGTGTCTAAGAATATCCCCCACATTCACCTTCTTCACCCACAGTAGCTGACAGTGAACTTGTATATAACCAATAACTGATGCTAGGATTTTAGTATGCGGTCTCTAGCAAACAGAAATATTTGGGCCAATTATGATTCTTTCACTGCACAGGTTCTCAATTTGCTGTCTCCCCCAGCATAGTCGGGACAGGACTGGGTTTTGTGGGATCCTGAGAACTAGGCAATTGAATATCTCTTTCAGGAAATCAATACAATATTATGAACAAAAAATCACAAACAATATTTTTAAATTAGTATTTATTTAGTATAATGAAATAAATGAAAATAAATTATAATTTTTAAAGGTGAAAAATTCCAGATATTACTATATAATGGTATAAAAATACTGATTTCCTAAAACACCTATATAATATTTTAATTTTGAAAATATTTTTGCAATCTTTAAATTAATGTACTATGTAATTAACTTTGTTTTGATATACAGCTTATCTACATGTATCTACATGTAGATACATGTAACTACTAACAAAATTGAGATACAGAACAGTTAATCATACCCCAAAATTTCCTCATATTATTTCTTTGTAGTTAAAACCATCTCTCAACCCTATTCCCTAAAAAAACAATGGTTTGTTCTCCTTCCATATAATTTACCTTTTGCGTAATGTCATTCAAAGGAAATCATATACTATTATGAATTTTTCAGATTGACTTTTACCACTAAAAAAAAACTTTCTGATTCATTCAAGCTGCGTGCCCATATACAGTTCCGTTGTTTTTATTGTTCAGTAGTATTCCATTGCATGGATGTACCCATAGTTTATCTCTTCATATTTTTTCTACACTTGTGCTTGTACACTATTCATAAGATTTTATAATATTCTCTCTAAGATAATAGAAAATCAGACTTTCTCCTAACAAGATTGAACTTTGATTTTTACTGCTGTAGTTTTAAAAAATGTATTTCAGGGCTGGGTGCGGTGGTTCACGCCTATAATCCCAGCACTTTGGGAGGTCGAAGCGGGTGGATCACCTAAGGTCAGGAGTCCGAGACCAATCTGGCCAACATGGTGAAACCCCATTTCCACTAAGAATACAAAAATTTGCTGGGCATGGTGTGTGTCTGTAATCCCAGCTACTCAGGAGGCTGAAGCAGGAGAATTGCTTGAACCCAGGAGGCGGAGGTTGCAGTGAGCCGAGATTGCGCCACTGCACTCCGCCTGGACGACAAGAGCAAAACTCTGTCAAAAAAAAAAAAAAAAACAAAAAGGCTTTCAGTTTTATCATGTTGTTTCTGGTGAATTTGGAAAACATTTTCAGATTGCTATCAAAGTTGGGGAAATCTCCATCAACTTTCCTTCATACTTGAGCAGTACAGTTTGGAAAAATTTTCTGCTGATTAGATCTCGCTACACACATTTCACTCGTTGATTTTCCTTCAGTTGCCCAATCCTTTGGGTGCCAGGAACTGAACGGCACATTCATAGGACAGTCAGCCCCTGACCCTATGCTTTCATGTTCGCAAGTCCTTCGAGTCAGCACAGTCGGAAATAGGAAAAGTCCTGGATAGCCATGCATCCTCTGATCTAGTAAGAACTTAATCATCCATAAAAGGATTGCAAATCACTTAACCATATCCCACTATATCAATCCAAATGTATCCTCAAATCAACTTTCCCTTAGCTCAGTGCAAATTTGCCTGCAGCCATTTTAATGCCATCTTGAGAAAGAGCAAGTGTGAAAGGGAGAAAAACTCAAAGTAGAAATAGATAATGGTCTTAATTAATGGAAGTTCAAATATCTTAGTCTGCAAATTTGTGAAGCTCAGAGGCTTTATTCTTAACCATTCTACTATAGCTGCCCTCCATAGAGACTAGGCCACAACATTAAATCCTGAGGTCTGGTTGGTTTTGAAAAACTCATTCTAATCCCATGTCTCTCTCAGAGCTCCTGTTCTGAGGATGGGAAATGTCAGGAACTACGGAGAATAGTATACTTCTAATTTCTCTCTTGGGTTTTAGAGAGTGGTTCTCAAGATAAAATTCATATATGCATTCTCTGTTTTCCCAGGTCTCTCTTAGGGTTTCAGCTGGTTCCAATCCTTATAATGCTTGCTCCCCGCTCAGTCCATTTCATAGAAAATATCTCATTTTTTCTCCCCTGATGGTCTTAGGAATATTCTCACATGTGCTCCTGAATGAATTATATTGGTTTCCCAAGGTAATCCACAAAATATTCATTGTCGATTATCTCTGCCAGGTATGTAGCATGACAATGTTCTCAGTGGACACCATACAACACTCTCCTAGAAAACCAGCACCTCCAGGGGACTTCTGTGGGCTGCAGCCACCTCTCCTAGCTCTAGAAATGTTTCTAAAGGGATCTACAGGTGAAGCTATCTAAAACTTAGTGGTGCTGCTATCCTGGAGTAAAATAGAGAAATGTCTTGTTCCTTGCTGATGGACAATGTGATTAATTGCTTTCAAAAATCAAACCATCAAACATGCTAAGCTAACATGCTTAGCACAAACATGCTAAGGTGCTAACAGCCTGAAGGACCCTTGTAAGTATAATATTTCCCTTTCCAGCTGAGGGGGGTGATTTTTAGAGGCAATTATCTGGTCCTTATTTCCCCAAGAGGGATCCTCTAATTCTAGGAAGCATCTTCTATACATTATTAAGATGTATGGAATGTGGTCTGAATGACAGTTATCCTGCTGCCCAGTGATGAAGCACCATGCAATCTGTGGGTGCATGACTGTTCATTGGAAGGGAACCCTATAATTATGAACTTTAGGACACAATTTGGTCTTATACTTGGTCTTATTATGTTCAACATGGAGATAAAAAATCAAATGTATTACATTTGTGAAAAAAAGAAAGTTGAAAATAATAATATACTCTATAGTAGAATTAATAATACAAATTATTAATAATTTTTGGAACCAATAATTTCACCTCCAGCACTGATTCTAGGAAAATAATCAGTGATGTGTAGCAGGATGTACAAATGTTATTTATTAAATAAACATTGTGAGTAGTAGTTGCTGTATTAATTTGCTAGGACTGCCATAACAAAGTAACACAGACTGATAACTTAAACTGAAGGCATCTATTTTCTCACAGGGCTAGAAGTCCGAAATGAAGGTGTCAGCAAGACTGGTTTCTTCTGAGGCTGCTCTCATTGGCTTGTATCTAGCCATCTTCTCTTTGTGTCTTTATATGATCTTTCCTCTATTTGCTTCTGTGTCCTAATCTCTTCTTATAAGGACACCAGTCGTATTAAATTAAAGCCCACCCTAATGTCCTCTTTTTTAACGTAATTTCCCCCTTAAAGACTTATTTCCAAATACAGTCACATTCTGATATACTGAGGTTAGGATTTCAACATATAAACTGTGGTAGGGGACATATTCAACACGTAACAGTCACATAATAGGAGACTCATTAAATTCATTTTGGTACATTGTACTTGATACTCTGCAGCCACTAACAATTATGATGTTTTGTGAATAGCTATGGGCATAAGACAATGTTTATGGTAAAGAGTTAGTTTTAAAAATGTGTTATAAGTCAGGCATGGTGGTTGTGTGACTGTGGTCTTAGCTACTCAGGAGGCTGGAGTGAGAGATCACTTGTGGCCAGGAGTTTGAGGCCAGGCCACAGTGTGCTATGATTGTGCCTGTGAATAGCCACTGCACGTCAGACAGGATGACATAGTGAGACCCTATCTTGAAAATACATACATATACACACACACATACACACACACACAGACACATAAAGTTGTTAAAAAGTTGAGAATATAATCAATTTTATCAAATTAAAATAATTTGTTGCCTTATCTGCTCATGAAAACCTAATTCCTTAAACAAATCTCACTGTCAAAACTTTCCGCAGATCACTTCAGAGTGATCCACAGATGCTCAGTTAAAAGTCAACATTCAAGGTGTCCTCCATGCCTGGCCAAACAGGGCCTAGGCCTGCCCTACTGGCCATGTAGTCTCTCCTGCTGTTCTTTCAGGCAGAACTACTTCCTTTCAGAAGCCACCACTGCTCTTGGCACAATGGTGATGCTGCCACTCTACTCTAGGCCTTGCAGTGCACCCTGCCTTTCTTCTTGTCTCGGTATCATGTCAAGCCCCCAGGCACTGCTTGGCCCCAGTGTTTTCCTGGTACCCTCCTGAGACCCTGCAGCACCAGGCAGCTCTTGGAGGGCCAAGGCTGAGTACCATCCTATGGTAAAGTGAGAAGGGGTGTCCTGTTCCCATTGTGTTGCCAGTTAAGTTGCTTGGGTTCTAATAGGATGCAGGTTTGTAGGTGAAATAGCACTTGCTGGGCCGGGCGCAGTGGCTCATGCCTGTAAATCCAGCACTTTGGGAGGCCGAGGTGGGTGGATCACCTGAGGTCAAGAGTTTAAGACCTGGCATGATTAAACCCCGTCTCTACAGAAAATACAAAAAAATTAGCCAGGCATGTTGGCGGGCACCTGTAATCCCAGCTACTTGGGATGCTGAGGCAGGAGAATCACTTGAAACCTTGAGGTGGAGGTTGCAGTGAGCCAAGGTTGCACTACTGCACACCAGCTTGGGCAACAAGAATGAAACTCTGTCTCAAAATACAAAATAAAAAAAAAAAGAAGAAATAGCATTTGCTGTTTCTAATTACAGATTTTCTGTTTCCTACAGCTTTTAAACATGAGTCAAATGGAGATTAGGTTGGGAGACAACTCTAAAGACAAAAAGTTCTGAAGGATTTCTAACTATCAGGTTGGTGCAAAAGTAAATGCAGTTTTTGCCATTGAAAGTAATGGCAGAAATTGCAATTACTTTTGCACCAAGCTAATAGTTCACACTAAGGTGCCTGGATCCGTCATCGTTCCAAGAGGTTGCAGACATCCCACAAAGGTTTATCAGATATGTCAAATCCCTACTTAGAACTAAGTTGGGATACCTGATGTGTATGTGTGTGTGTTTGCATCAAGATTTGTTCTAAATAATACAAATTATAATATGGTCATATATTCAGGGCATGTGTATGTATAGATATAGATATTTCTGCAGAGAGAAGGAGAAAGACAATTACTAATTACTATTTCTTCTGGATTGTATAATTATAAGTGTTTATTTTTCTCTTGTTTGCCTTCCTAATTTATATACTTTTTTAAGAAGCATTTATTATTTACACAACTTTTTTAGCCTTCTAAAACACAGGGGAAATACTGTCAATAAAGAAGGAATAACAGAGGAAAAGTTCAACAGGTCAGAACTAATAATGTCAATTTTAATAGATTTAATTTTAAAGTTCTAAGTTCTATTAAAAATTATTTGCATTTGTATACACAGGAAACTCTGGTCTATTTCCAGATGATATGTAATGGTTCTGAGGTTTTTCATTGTTCCTAGAAGATAAAGAGTCCACTTCCAGAGGACAGTCAGCAGGGGATGCCTGAGTTTGTGTGCAGTGTCCTCTGACGTGGATGCGAGAAATCCAGCCATCATTAACTTAAAGAAGAGAGGACTTGCACATCTTAGTAGCTTTCAATATCTGACAGGCTGCCTCATGAAATAAAGATAAGATGGATTTATTGGATTAGATAGGTTTGTCTAGAAAACAAAACTAAGGCCAATATTTTCTTCATTTTAATACAAATATATTGACCACCTACTCAATGCCAAGCATTGAAGATAAGAAGAATAAAAACAAAAAGAATGCTATAGAAGTAGGTATCTCTCAATACATTTTAAAATGACTTTTTGAAAACATTTACTCACAGAATAGGTTGATTTTTTTTCAGGTGGCTTTTAATATAGTGAGTCTCCCATCCTTAAAATGTTCTGAGTGAGGCTGTACAATCATCTCCCAAGGATGCAATATCAGGAATTTCTGAATTCAGATAACCTAGAGCTATGATTCTCAAACTTTAATGTTGAGCAGAATCACCTTGAGGGCTTATTAAAACACAGATCCCTGGGTGCTCCCCATAGATAATTTGCATTCTAGTAAGGTCCCAGGAGACACTGATGCTGTTGATCCATGGACCACACCTGGAGAAGCAATGGCCTACGATAGGATGTACCAGGTTCTTCCTTCCAAGATTTGTCATTCTAAGACTACAGAGAAGAATGTCTCCCTTCTCAAATGTATTTACTTCAGCTTACTGAAAAAGAAAAGATGGTTGAAGAAAAGAAACAATCTGCTCAAAAGCAAAAACTACCCAAAGTGATAGACCTGTTTCTGGGGCAGTGAGATGTTAAGAAGAAAAAGTTTCAAGCAAGCCTCCCCTGATGATTCTTGTAAAATGGTTTCAAATATATATTTTTTTCAAAGATCCCCAATTACACTGTACACAGCTCTTAGACTGCACTGACAAAGCTTTAAAAAATGATGCATTTACTCCATGCAGGCAGCAGTCTCTGGAGCCAAAGCCTCAGCGTTAGAGATGTGTCGCAGCTGGTTTCAGGGCTGCGTTGAAAGCTTCAAGCTTTGGCACGACTGAGCATTAACTCAGCATTAAGCAGAAGCTTTGACACTGGAGACTACAAACTTGGATGGATTAAATACACATTTTGAATATCTTACAAAATACTAGCATTAAGGGAGAGAAGGAGATTGTTAAAAAGAGAGAGTATGAAGGGTATAAAAAGCATGCGACATAAATGAGAAGAGACATTGGTCTGGCAAAGCTATCCTAACCTTTACCACAGCTCCCTTGTCTCTCGGACTTTAGAACACTTACATCCATCTTTTCAACAGGAGCGGCTTTTTGAGATATTTGAATATGTGTGTACTTACCATCAAAAGACAATGCAAAAATTTTTGATAATATGACACACTCTGCACTAGCAGATTTCATTAAGAGATTCAGGCAAATTGGAGCCCAGCTTCTGGCACCAGAGCAGCAAAGTCACCATAAAGTAAGCATTCAATATATTTGGATAGGTTACTAAAATATAAGTAATAAATAATGTCTTCTAGTTCTAACATGCATGTAACTTTTTTCACAATTTCACAGATACTGACTCATTTGATTCTCACCATAATTCATATGTTAGATCAGCATTGTCTCACCCATTGCCTTCCCCAACACATTCTCTTTTAAAAATATAGAAGATATAGTATCTGAGAGATTTAGTTCCTTGCCCAAGGTTATATAGAGGATTAAAGGAAGTATCAGGGCAAAATGCCAGTTTTACTAAAACCAAGTTCTCAGACTTTCCTTCGCACTATGCATACATTAGTTCCAATTCCCAGTTCTACCACTGTAAATAAATTCTACTCATATATTTAAACTCCACATTCAATGAGAGCCCTCTAAAGATTCTGGAGAATCTCTCTGTAGAAATATAACATAATAGTGATAACCAGCAATAACCTACTATTCTCACCATCCAATGTTTTAAAAGTAGGAATTTAAAAGTTTTCCTTTAGAATTGCCCAACTGGCTTGTCAGAATTCCACTTCAACTCCAGAGTAGATGTATCTGTTAAATACAAAGTTTCGTTCTTTTCCTTCCTTCCTTCTTTCCTTCCTCCCTTTCTCCTTTCCTCCCTCCCTCTTTCTCTTTCTTTCATTTTAGTGGTAGTGTTGAGGACAGGAAATTCTAGATCAGATTAATAAACTCAAGTGGACTAAGGAAACAGAAGTCATGCTGGCAAATTTTCACTGTAAGCATGTCTTAAGTAAACAGCTTCACCAGCTAAAAGAATGTTTTGGGATGCACATGCATATTCTGTCAACTTAGACTATATGTGAAAATTCTAACATGATTGTTTGCAGGTATTAATTAATCCAGCCATCTGATTGCTTTTTTGCTGGCCCAACACGATGACAAATTTGGTTTTTATTACTAAATTGCTTGGAAAATATCTAGATATTATGCTATTACAGTCCCAGATGCATTTTCTTTTTTATATTTCTTCAACCTCCAACAATTATTTATTAAACATCTACCCTTAAGTTCCTGAACTATAAAGTGGATAGATATGATCCTTATTTTCAGTAAGTTTGGAGAGTGGGAAGGAGACACACATATGTCCAATTATTTACAACAAATTGTTACCAGTAGCTAATAGAAGCTGCTATGATCTAAATGATTTTGTCCCCCGCAAAATGTATATATTGAAACCTAATCCCCAATGCAATAGTTTTAAGATGTGGGGCTTCCGAGAGGGGTTTACATCCTGAGAGCAGAGCCCATATGAATGGGATTAGCGCCTTTATAAAAGAGGCCTAAAGTAGCTTGTTCACTGACTTCACCATGTGAAAAAATAGCAAGAAGTCACCATCTGTGAAGCAGAGAGGGAGCCCTCATCAGACATCAAATCTGCTGGTGCCTTATTCTTGGATTTCCCAGCCCTTATAGCTGTGAAAAATAAATTTCTGTTGTTTACAAATTACTCAGTCTAATGTGTTTTGCTATAGCAGCCTGAATGGACCGAGACAGAAGTTTATATGGGAAGAAGTGCTGCACAATGAAGAAGTAATTGTTATCTGGGCATGCTAAGAAAACTTGTATAACAGATGCAATATTTTAATGAAAATCTGTAAGAAAGAGTCTACTAGGGCACAGCATATTGCATACAGGTATGGGTTGATAGAAATCTAAAAGGGTAAGACACTGATTTTGTCTATTCAATCTTACCAATGAAGATAATGCCACTAGGAGAACTTTGACACAGCTAGTGGCTGTTGTTACAGAAACTCTCTCTATCTTTGCATTCTAATGAGTTTAGAGAGTTGTAATGTTCTTCTCCACCTACCCTTCATTTAGGGTTGATAGGCACATCTGATATCACCACAATATTACAATATTATTGAAGATGAAAAAAGGTTTAGGGGCCTGGTTTATGCAGGTGGGTCATCTTAGAATGAATTCAATTTACAATTCTGCTTCTTCACTCTGCTTATCTAACCAAAAAGTTATTTGTACGCATATTTAGAAGTTAAAGCTGTAGTAAATCAAATATTTCCTGGTAGATAAGCCTATCATGGCTTATCTACCATGGCTGGTCCACAGGAAATAGATTCATTGGTACATCATAGGAGAGGGTACACCCCTAGCCCCATACCTGGAAAATAAGGTGACAAATATTAGACAGAAAGACCAAAGCAATTGGGCAGGAAAGCAACTGGCTTCAGGAACGACTGGCAAGTGAGTGTAGCAGAGCGGCAGGGAGCACGGGAAACACACACAGTGAGCATGAGGAAGCCTGGCAACAGAGAGTTCTATCCCCAGGCCATTCTGCAGACCTCAGGAATACTGGCACCAACAAGCCAGGTTCCCACTCCAGAAAACTGAGCTTGTTAAGATCACCTAATCAAGCACAAGACCTAGGGAACGTGAGAAGAGGGTAAAGCATCAGTATGGGTTTGTTCTATTCATGTGGCCCCTCATGTAGTCTGAGTAGTGAATTCAGGAGGCTGATACTATGGCTTATTTTAGAAAGGAGAAAACTGAGTGTCAGGAAATCCAGACAGAGAACAGTCACTGGGCCAGAAGCAAAGTTAAGGATGCTAGATCATTAAACTCCAGCCCAACACTTCCAAAATACCTTGTGACAAAAACTGACTGTCAGAACCCCATAGGGCTGTATCTCTATCTGTGGGGATGTCTGTGTGTTTCTGTACCTGTTTCAGAGGGGTATAAAAAGTGGGAAGGGCGAATGAAGATGATCAGGTTATTACATTACCCTTTAAGGTTTTAAAATCTGATGGCATTTATGACAATCATATTGTGATCCATCTACTAAAACATAAAAACATGGAGGCCTAATCTCTCTAGGTTTAGGATGCAGTTCTGTCTCTGGAATATCAAGTAACGCAGTATCGAATGTAAAGGCTGCCTTTGACTGAGGACACTCTGGGAAACAATTTTCCGCTGCATGTTAGCCTATCTGCAATCAAAGTGTGTGTGTATCTCTGATTTTTTTAATCCCTTCACTTCTTTCTCTCTCTTTTCCCTCATTGTGTCCTTACTTCCCCCGCCTCCCTCCCCCGCAAAACACTTTTCTCTTGCCTATGGAGATGGGCACCAAAAGGAAATTGATGCAGTGGCGGGTTTAATATGACATTTGAAAAGTGACTTTTTGATTTTCAATTAACCTTGCACAAAGAGGAAATATTGAAATTCGCCCCTTTGTTCTTGGCTGGATCTGCAGACAGGCTGGTTGGTACCAAGAGCTGAACCGGGTTTTGGGTGGGGCGATAGGGAAGGAAGAGGCAGGTTGAGGAAAGTAAGAGAAAATCTGGCACCTACCAAAGCCGCGCTCTGCTTCTATTTGCACGAAATGAGACAAGACTAGCCTGTACTAATTACTCTCAGAAGGGGGAAACAGGTAGGAGAGAAAATGCTCTTGTCATTTGTTTGACTTAATTGTATGCTTTTATGAGCCGTCTGGCTGGAAGGATTAAAGTTACTTTTAATAACACTTCCTTTCAGAAAGAATGTGATTTGAAGTTTCCCAGCAGGGCCTCCCAGTCAACAGCAGGACCCTTTCCCCAATCCCTGACCCCTCCCTTTCCCCCACCGCCCACCCCCCCACCAGTCAACCCTCTCCCCTTCCCTTCTTTGAAAGGCCCATTGTTCTGTTTGTAGAAGAAAGAGATGCTTACACCATAATATAAGACAATAAAGTTAACTCCATAAGTCTCCTCTTTCCGGATTTTCTATGCAATCTTTACTAAAGGCAGTAGTATCTCCCCCGCCCACCCAGCCTCTCCGCTCTCCCCCCTCCCCTCCTTAACTTCCTCCACCACCCTATTCCCTGCACTCCCCCCTACACAGCCCCCGCTCCTTTTTGCAAAAGGAAACATTGAAAATCATATATGGAAAATAAAGTAGCTTGGCGCTTTGGACCTCATTAAGCTGCGTGTGGACACCAGCGTGGTGACAGTGACAAGGTTCCATAAACACACGCATCGCAGGTGATTAGGGCAGCCCGCTTCCGCTGATGGACCTTCCGCTTTTTGTCTCTGTTCTTGCAGGGTTTCTGCTCCTTGCTCCCTAGCTGTTTTCTCTCGCTCTCTTTTTACCTTCTCACTGTTTTTGTCTGTGTTTCCTTTTGCTCTGCAGTTTCCACCGCGCCAGAGTCTTGACCCTGAGTGGCATCGGCAGGGTCTCCTGCGGCAGACCAGGGGTGTTGCGGGCTGCGCTGGGTGGGGGACCGCGCGCTGCACGTGCAGTGCCGCCCGGACGGCGGCGAAAGGACAGCGGTGCACCCCGCCCGAGGCCCCAGCGATCCATCAGGGCGGCTGTACGCGGGAAGACGCTTCATCTCATCCCTAGATGGCAGCAGGATTCTGAAGCTGGCGCAGCCCTGGGCAGCCCTTTCTGGTCTATTTTCCTGAACAGATTGCCAGGGGATACGGCGGCTAAACAGCCAGGCGCCTCCCCGGAGCGCAGCTCAGACAGAAGAGCAAGCCGGACAGACGCCGCTGGCGAGGCTTCGGGGGTCAGATCCTGCAGCTTGGACACCACATTCTCTCTTTTTGCACACAGATGTGCTACTGTGTAAAAATAAGCAAACAAACAAAAACGGGAGTTCAGCTTCTTGGAGAATGTGTCATGGTCAAGACCAGTGATTCTGGACGGTGACAAAAGTCCTGGAGGCCTGAGTGCACAGAGGACACACGCACAGATGCACATGAACTCATGGAGAAACACTGGTCTTCTCTGCCAGGGACCAGGCTGGCCATGCAGGAAGGGAGCAGGATGTGAAGATTCAGACTTTAGCTCCAGCTTCACTACCGTCCTGCCGTGCACTTTGGGGGAAGATTCGTTCTGTTCCTGAGCCTTAGTTATTTTATCTGTAAAATTGGGGTTATTATAGCTTTCAGCTCTGTGTACATACAAAAGACTGTTAGGATTATCAAGAGGAACAAAGAAGGGGGAAAAATCACTTTGGCAGGAACAGGCTCACTGCTGCAGCTTTTGGCCCAGAGCAGGCATTTTTCTTCAGAGGAAGCTTCCAAATGGTGCTACAGTATTTATTTTGATCAGCCAGATATGACTTATTTGAAAACAAAGGGCAGAGGTTGTTTCGCACCTTAAAAGCTGAGGGCTTTTGTCTCCAAACCACTTATTTTGTCCACACCCAGTCCCTCATCATGGACTTTGTCATCCCTTGGAAATCCTTTACATCAGAAATCTTTATCACCAGAAACTACACACAGTAGCCCAATAGCTGCATCCCCGAGGGCCCCAGGATGAAATAGGAAAAGCTGAAACTACTCTGGTTGGAGTATATGCTATATTGGAAAAAGTTACTGTTAACATGGTATATAACATACTGAGTGAGTCAGAAAATTTTCTCACCAAGTCTGAGTCAGAGGAAAAAAAATCAAAGATTTAAAAAAATTCCTCATATTACGTTCAGTACATTTTGCTTGTTTTCTTTGAGTTCTGTTCTCTTCTAGCACCATGGCAACCTTCGTCACACAAGGAGCAGGAGGACAAAGGTGACAGATGTTTACCTCTTTATTTTGTCTAGGGTCTTGTTTCCTTCACTCTCACCTGATTCAAACTTTCAGCAAATGTACAAGGGCCAGAAACACTTCCTCCTGACCCTGACCCCAGCAATTTTGTAATATGTGTAAAACCTTAAGTAACTTTGATTATTTACACCAAATAAAGTAGAGCTTCACAGTCTACAACTTTGCTTACTGGGGGTTTTATAGGACTCAAAGTAAAGCTGTTTCAAAATGATGAGGAGGTGGGACAAGGGGGAAAACAAGAAGAAGATACTATACAAAAGTCTAGCCATTGAGTTATCCTTCCTTAAAAACATTATGCCAGATCATGGGGCAGAAAACAGAGTCGAAATTTTCTATCATTTGACTACGTCCCCTGTTCGGTTTGAATATTAGGCCTAATTTGAACTATTATTAGCTCTAGCTTCCTGTAGCATCAACCCCAGAATTATTATCACATCAGTAATTCCAGCAGTCTCATACTATACTGTTGACTCACCACATCACCTCATCTTATAGCTTTCTAATAATCTCTCTCATTCCGCCAATTCTTCAACCTCATAAAGTCCTCTGCTTGAGTGATCCTCACACTATCCTGAAAATCAGCTTCTCTTTGTTCCCCACCTAGCTCTTGCCATAAGCCTTGCCAGCCTGACCCCCAAGCTTGGTCACCTGAATCATTATTACTAAGAGCCCTCCCACCTTCTCTTCTGGAAAAAGCATAACCCTAACTGGAAACTTATAGAGAGCATAGAAAAAGATCAAAACTACAATCTGCATTCTTTTCTCCTAGAGCCAGGGAACAAGACAATGTTGGTGGAAATCATCCAGCCTTGCTTATTGTTATCAACAAATTCACTGCACACAATCTTGGATGGACCTTTTATGCTGCCTAATATTTTACTTATTCTTGATTATTTATTTTTCACTAGTTATTTTGTTTACTTACACATAGTGATTCTTCTTTCCTGGGATCTTTAGTGAATATGCCAAAACATTGGCCTTCTCTTCAAGGTTTTTACCACCCTATACACTCTCATAGCAGGCAAACCCCTCAACTACCTCACAGAAGAATGAAAGCCACTGGGGAAATGGGCCTCATCACTCTGCTCCCCATCAAAATGTTTATCTACCTGTACTCCTTTCTTTACTTCCTTTCCTCCTGTCTCAAGGGAGAGAAGCCCTTTATAGTAGCACTCCATCCAGCAATTCTCTCCATCTCATCTTTTCTCATTTCCGCTAGGACAGAGATTCATCAGTTATTCTCCCTCTCTTCTATGTCTTTAACCACCCGCTCTGACCCTCACAGTGTTTTTCTTTCTATACCCATTCCCTTCTCATTCATGTATTAATCATCTGTCCTACTCTCTAGATGACCAGAAGTGCTGAGCCACAGTCATGTGTCACTTAACTACACGGACACATTGTGAAAATTGCTTCACTGGGCAATTTTGTTGTTATGCAAACATCATCATTTCCCTCCACAAACCTAGATGGTTTAGCCTACTACTCACCTAAGCTAGAGAGTATGACCCATTGCTCCTAGGCTGCAAACCTATAAAGCATAATATTGTACTGAGTAATGTAAGCAATTATAAAACATCGGTAAGTATTTGCACATCTAAACATACATAAGCATAGAAAAGGCATAGTAAAAATACTGTATTGTAATCTTATAAAACCACCGCCCTAGCTATGGCCTATTGGTGACCAAAATGTTGTTACCCAGCATATGGCGGTAGTTGTAGGATCTCACACACACACACACACACTCACACTCCAGTCCTCTGCCACACTTCTTTACCTTTGTTCTTCATCCATGTCTCTGTGATGTAGAATGACTTTCTGACACTTTTTTTTTTCCAGATTCTTGCTCATCCTTTAAGACTCAGGCTCAAGGATCATACTCTAAAGAGTAAATGTTTCTTAACATCCAACATAAGCTAAGATCCTTTTATTTTGCCCTTGCAGAGAGCACATACCTTTTGATAGCAGTTACGCACTCATTTTATCTCAATGTAATTTCTATTTAACACATTAGACTATGAGCTCCTGAAGGGCAAAAACTATGTCTTATTCAGCTTTATTTTCTTGGTGCCAAATGCCGGCCCAGGCACATAGTCTTAAACTTTGTTTTATATGAATCAGTCATATTGCCTTCTATACCTGTTGCCTTGTAAGAAAAACGTTTGCTTACACCAGCAGAATAGAGTTTCCTAAACTCTGTTCTGGGTCATCAGGCCCCTCTCCTCATTTTGGCTGTTTGGACTGTGCAGTGTACTAGTTTAAAGGCCAGCCAACCTAACTTGTCAGTTTTCTATAAGATGGACTGAAAGAGAAAGCTCTTCTGAAACAATCATGATATAATCAAGGAGACTTTCAAATTTGAAATGGATGCTGTAAAGGAGGAAGGTGGCAGCAGAAACAACAACTTCAAGGTCAGGAGACAACTAGAAGCTAGGAGACAAGAAGAGTTATAATGGTCCTTCAGTGAGCTGAGTTTCAAGAGCAGAAGTAATAAATGTATATTTAGATTCCAAGTAATAATTCACCTCAAGCTCTCATAGAAAGTGTCAGAATGGGGACTAGAACCCAGCTCTCTTTCTATTAAGACCAGTGCTCTTTCTAGTTCAACTTACATGTTTTGTTCATTATTTTATATAACTTAATGGGCATTTCTAAAGTTAGGTGTAAAATATTCAGGCCTTACCTAGTAAGAAAGAAAGGAAGACAGATACAAAGTTAGGAAGAAAATAAAAAATAGACCATTGAAATAGAAAGGAAGAGTGTGAAGTTAACAACTATGTTATTAGTTAACACATTATAAATTACTGAAGGTGGACTTTTTTAAGTTAAAGAGTTCTGCATAGAGAATAAAAATTAATGATCACAATTGATTGGTGTTTACTACAGCCAGGCAGTCAGTATATCATCATCATCATCATCATCATCATCATCACGTGTACTTAATGGTCACTACTTAAAGAACTAACATGTATAAGATCTTCACAATAATCCCTTGAGTAGTTACTATAATAAGGCAAACATTAAAAATCAGAAAATTGAGGTGCAGGAGTTAAGTAAATTGATTAAATTACACAGCCAAAAAGTTGAAAGCCAATAAATATACATTTATTCACATGAATTATCTAATTTAATCATTGTAGCAATTTTTAAAAGGAGTAATATAATCATATTTCACAGTTATATAGCTATCATTTTATAAAGGAGAACTCTGAGACATCAGTTGCGTAACATTTTGTGCTCTTTGCTGGTATGACCCTATTCTATCTGATATAAAAATACATGTCTTGGCCAGGTGTGGTGGCTCATGCCTGTAATCCCAGCACTTGGGGAGGCCAAGGCAGGAGGATCGCTTCAGCTCAGGAGTTTGAGATCAGCCTAGTCAACATAGTGAGACCTTGTCTCTACAAAAAATCAAAAAATTAGCCATGCATAGTGGCATGTGCCTGTTGTCACAGCTACTTGGGAAGCTGAGGTAGGAGAATTGCTTGAGCCCAGGAGATCAAGCCTGCCGTGAGCTGTGATCACACCACTGTACTCCAGCCTGGGCAACAGATCAAGACCCTGTCTCTAAAATAAGAAAAAAAAATCCACACCTTCTCTAAAGCATATTATGCTTTTGTCTTTCATTTTGAATATTGAGGAATAACTAGGATGTTACTATGAGCTCATAAATTATCTTCATATATGATCATTTTTGTTCACATGTAAATAATGTTTTTAAATCTTCCTTAGGAAAAATAATTTCTAAAATAACTCAGAAAATAAACTTGTAGCTCCCAGTCTGCTGTGGGTCTTCAACATCACATCAAAGAGGAAATTTGCCTTTAGACTTCTCCTGTTACTCCTTTAATTGTAGCTTCTGATCTCTTTCAACCTCCCAAAGTTATCTGTTCAGATTTTTTCTTAGACAATAAAGTTATAATAAAGCTATTATTTCCTTAGAAATATTTTTGCATCAGGGTGCCTCTTAAGCCTTGAATTAAAAGAGGACTCCTTGAGAAGACAGTAGAACCGTGACCCTCTCTCCTATATGTAGGGGTGAGGTTCACCAAGTAACCTGAAACAGACCAGCAGTGATCAGAAAAAACCCTCTGCGATGTCTTTTCTCAGTACCACATATATGAGGCAGTAGTCACTGACTGTTCTTAGAAAATGCTAGTGAGTAACAGCTTCTATTTGTTGAGAAGCTTAGTAAACCTGCCTTTCTGTTGGCTGAGGGGAAAAAAATGATTACTTTGGATAATGAGGCATTGGTTTCTGGATATAAAGACCAGGCTGATCTTTTTCTCCACCCACTGACAGGGAAAGTCAAACTGTTCCCTAAAATAAAATTTCTGGAAGAAAAGAGAATCTAGACTGGTATCCCAGTCCCAGTTTACGAGCCTCTAAGATTCTCAGGAACGTCTGATTTTTCTGTAGGGACTCCATGGTTGTGCATGAAATGGTATGGTGAAAAGTACGGAAAGAAGAAAGGAGGGAGGGAGGGAGAAAAGAATGAGTCTAATTCAAGATACTTGTGCAGACTGGGCAAGATCTGGGCTGCAGGAGCATCCTGTGAACAAAGAAATACTTCACTGAGTCAGAAGGCCCTGTCCTACAGAGTGATGCCTTGAGGCCAAAAATAAACAAACATAAGCAGAACTAATCTGTTTCTCCTTGGCCACTTGGAAGAGAATTGAAACACTTCAATGGATAAATTCCCATGTCCTTAAGAAATTACAGAAGGGAAGTAGGCGCCAAAAAATATTTGTCCTTAAGCGGGATTGGGTGGGTGGTTGGATTAACTAAACACAATCAGAAATTGAAGTATATACCAGTTCTGAATTTGTGGAACAAGTCGTACTGATCATAGGTTGAAATCATAGGGATCCCCTCTTGATGACCTAAATATCCCTTGTATCCATATGGATGTGTCTCTAGTGGTAGGAAAAGGAGTTGTAGGCAGGAGTTCTAAAATCACAACACAAAGGAGACCAATCCACTGTTGGCTTCCAAAGCCTACTGCCTTTATCAAGCACTGCCTTGTTCCATGATACTTGCCACCAGCAGCTCCATAAATATCTCTCAGTGTTTATTTTTATGGTCATTTTGAAAAAGACTTGTTTGATAGGTTGGAAAAATTAAAGCTTATAAAGGTTGAGAAAAAATGTCTTTAGTTTCAGCAGCCACAGTTCCTGACCTATGTATTGTGTTGGGCATGTCTGACTCAGAAACCTCTGTTGGACCCACCAGCAACCTTTATGTCCTGCAGCATATGGGTCCTAAAATATTCTTCCTCCATGAAAATTACCCCAGTTTTAATATTTCATTATCTTTGGATTATTTTCCTCCCTGAATTTCTGTAATAATTATTAGCAGTATAAGGGCCAAGGGAAACCCCCCTTTCACCCTCTGAAAGTTCGCTGAAAATCACTGACGAGAAGCTGACTAATAGGAGAAAAGGCACACACATGTACATGGGAGCCTTCAGAATGAAGACACAAAGACACAATGGAAATTGTCTATTTCTGTGCTTAGGTTCAATAACATATGGACAGCCATGTAGAAATATGATTGGACAAAAAGGGTATGATCTAATGCTTCTAGACCGAATGGGGAAACCATCCCGGCCTGTCCATCTAGATTCTTCTTGGCCTCTCTGAGCATGCATTCTTCCCTTCTTGGTATGGAGCAGGACCCTGTCCTGAATGAGGTTCTCATGTCCTACAGCCAAACAACGTAGGTCAGATAATTTTTTATGGCCAGTTTTTGCAAAGAAAGGCAGAGGGAAAGTTAGATTCATATTTTTAGGGTTTTTGGCTGGCTTTGGAAAACAGGGTTCAAGTTTCTATGACCCACCTTAAGGAAAAGGGGTTCTAGTTTCTATGGCTAGCCCTGGGGAAGGATAGGACTGGGAGACAGGAGGGCAGCAGAAGGTGAGAGGAAAACTTTTGCTTCTGAGGCTTTCATTTTGGGGTATTGTTTTCTGAGTTCCAACAGCTGCAGTATTCATCATGTCACATTTTTATATGCCACTCTACCCTGTTGTTTGATAGTAAGTATAGGGAATCTTACAACCTCAGGATAATGTAAAGCTCTTAGAAAATGTACCTAATGGAATGTTTGTCACATGTTTTTTTCCAGAGATCACTGGAATTCCACAGAAAACTATGGGTATTCTATGGGGGAAAAGGGTGGTGATGTGTGCTCTTTTAAAGATTTTGACGAGCTGTCTATTAAAAAATCAGCTTACTTTCATTTGACTTATACATTCATAATTTTAACCCTTTCTTTTTTCCATAGTAAAAAAATTTTAATAGTCACAAACCAAAAGGAAAAAAATATTTTTTAGTGTTTTGTTCAACAATACAAATAAAAAATTCTTCACAATGTTTTCAAATATAGAAGATGGATTAATTGGAGCTTGAGTGAAAATGGTTGAACAAAAATATAAGTATTTAAAATTGTTATTGTCAACCTGGAAAGATATCATTTTGTTGAGACATAGAACTTTACACTTGGTCATCTCTGTTCAATATTCTTATCAGTGTTAATGTACCAAGAATTACTTTAAAACTATAGATACTAAGATGTCATACCATACTTTCCACACCACACCAAGATGCTGGATTTCATTTCTTCCTTCAAATGTCCGTAGCGCTTTTTTGCCTCAGGGAGTTTGGAGCTGATGTTTTCTTTACACAAAATACTCATTCTACTCATTCAGTTTCTCCACTGCCTACCACATGTGACAGGGAGTAGCGGTGCTGGATGTATAGAATTAATGTTTTGTTGCCATTCCCACCAAAACACACAAAATGCTCACATAAATGCTTCAGATATATCCTAGCTGTCTTCCAGAGATTAGGGAACATATTTGTATATAAACAAATATTAAAATGGTGATGTCTACTTGCCAACTGAGTGAAGATGATGCTTGTATCAAACTGGTGACATTTGGGCTGAAATTTGAAATTTGGACTGCATAGGATTTTTATAGGCTAAAGATTGAGGACATTTATTTGTCCCACTATATTTTGGACTAGCCCATGACTCAAATATTTTATTGGATTGCATAGGATTTTTATAGGCTAAAGATTGAGGACATTTATTTGTCCCACTATATTTTGGACTAGCCCATGACTCAAATATTTTATAAAGTTCTGACTGCACATTTTAAAAATGGGCATGGATAAATGGGAGTATACAGAAAAAAAAGCAACTAATAGTAAAGTACAGGACATATCAGACAGGGCATTGCTGAAGGAATTGGACGTTGAACTTGAAGAAGAGAAGGAGACATGTCATGATGGTTTTTCACCATGATACCATGATACCCATAAAGAAGAGAGATTCACATTATTTCTTGAAGTCCCAGAGAGAGTTTAACAGAGGGCCATTTGGTAGAAGTTACTGGGAGAGAGAACTGGGCTCAGTATATGAAGATCCTTCTGCAGACTACAGTGAGTAAAATACAAAATAATTACATACTGGAATCCCTGGGTCTCGAAGGATTTACAAGGGGACTATGTGACTTTCTGCCTAAAACTAATAGAGGGCAGCATTGAACTGGGTGCAGGACACAAATAGATAATCTCTAACCTCTTGTCAAATTCTCATTGGTTTAGAGTGGCAGAGATTATGTTTATGCCTTGTTTTGTTTTCTCACTTGTAAAACTTGAGTGAGGATGATAGTTGTAATAACACTAATTAAAACAATAATAGCTACTTTATAGATTCCTAATAAAATTATATATTGTATGTGACACAGAAAAATAAAACAATAATAATTAACATTTATCAAGCACTTATTAGAGCTAGGCACTGTGCTAATCATATTTTGTTCCATAAATATTTATTTGTTGAATTGAATGCATTAAATATTGTTGTTGATATTAATGTTTTATAATAAAATAAATAGATGACCTTAATTGAATGATTATTATATCCCCTAGATCATGATAGATTCATTCTGGCTTTCTCTTTTTCCAAGCGTCATTGCTTACTTTGTGGAGAGACTGTCCCATCAGCAAGAGCAGTGTGCCTGGGTCTTTGCAACAATGCTGAGAAAAGGCTATAAACCCACCATAGCTATTCACACTTACACAAGCAAGAATTATATATTTCACATATAGAAATTGGCCCACAGTGTAGGAATTAAAAACATTAAATAGGAATTGGTAGGCTTGGGTCTAGTCATCAATTTGACATCAGCTTGTTATGCCACCTAACCTCATAGGTTGTGTGTGCACATGGGAAATAAAAGTTATTTATTTTTGCCTACTTTATTTCTATTATCTATTTTAGATTCAATATTCTCTTTTCTCCTTAAAAGGTGAGTCTGGATAAAGCTGAAATTTTTAAACTTTATAGTTGTTTTAAATGGGAATCCAAAGAGTCAGCAAATGAATCCTAGGACTGGAGGATTGGTACGGGAACAAATTTATGCAAATGCAATACATAGAGTAGATTGTAGAGAGTCCAGTGCCTTAAGAAGAAAAATTATAAGACAAGGGAAGCAATCAATTTTGCAAAAACTCGTTTCCTCATTGGGTGAAAGACAATACGATTTCTTACAGATAAGGAGTTCTGTGGTTACGTGTAATTTTTATCTATTCTCTTGTCCTTGTAGAAACTAAATATAAGCACAGGAGTCCTCTCTTCCCTTTGCTTCTAAGCTAGTTTTAAATTTTCTTGCTAGGAAATACAGCCTGTGGTGGCAATGCAGTGGTGCGGAGGAGGGAAAGTTCTGGTACCGGAAGATTTCCGAAGAGCTTTAACAAAGTGCCAAAAGGTTTTATTGTGCAACTCTTCTCACTGCGATAGTTCCCCTCCAGCCTGATTACAGAACCGCTGTCAGAACACAAAGTCATCGACTGCAATTAAAAACAGAAATAAAGCCTTGATATTTGAAAAGAAGTGTCCACAACGAACAAGAAGAAAGAAAAAAGAGAATATAATTCATGATAATTGAATTTCTATTTTGTGTGAGGAATTTAGGGACTTTATAACAATTATATGATTTAAGTGTTATCATATCATTTTTTACCAGAGGAAACAAGTTCACGAAGGCAAAAATTTTTCCTGAAGTCACACCACTAGTGAGGAACAAAGGTAGAATTTAAGCAAAGACCAGCTCATGCCTGCTCTTCGACATACTGTTCAAATATAGTATTGTTTTCAAACTATTTAACAGCCATTCTTAATTATTTTAATAGACAGTTCAATTGAAGAAGGCAACTAATCTTTATTTCTGAATTAAGTGGAAACTTTTTAAAATTAGTAGCTGGGACTATAAAATAGTAACTAAGGCATTGCCTATAGTTTAGTAGCAAAATTATCTAATTACCAATTAAAGTACAAATAGAAAAAAATTGAGCAAATTGATATCTTGGATTTATTTTCACTTTTCTCACTCCCATTTTTTGAGTTATTTTTATCAGAAGCTGTTTATGACATTATTATAGACTACAAAGTGTTACAGCTCTATATCTAGAATCTCTATAACTAAATGATCAGATTGTTGTCCCACCCTAGCAATAAAGAAGCTAATTGCTTCAAATACGGTGACATTCATAGTTATAGAATTAACACAATAATTCTGAAGATCATTTATTCACCAAATATTTATTGGAAACTAACACTTTTCTAGGCACTGGATATATAGTGGCGAATTGTAAAGGCAATGACACCGTTCAACTAGAAATTATTTACTGATACATACTTTGCAGAGAATTAAAATGGAGAAGTCCTAAATTATAAGAAGGAACCAGCAGCATAAAAATTAGGGAGGAAAGCATTCCTGACAGATAAGGCATTAGGAATAATGAGCCTTAAGGTGAGAACAAGATTGGCATGTTTCAAGATCAGAAAGAATGCTCTATGGCTTTAAGAGCATTGGCTCAGGGGAGAGGGCTATTAGATGAGAGCAAAGGTAGACTCAGGTCAGATTATATGGGTCTTAATAGACCAGGGTCAGAAATTTAGATTTTATTCTAAATATTTTGAAAAATTGTTAAGATTTTAAGCAGGAGAGACATGATCCACGTTACAATATTTGCAGACTTCCTGGTCTGTTGCATGAGAGGATAGACCAGGAAGGAGCAAAAAGATCAGTCAAGAGATAGGGGATACTGGGTCTATAGATGAGACTGGTAGAGACAGAGATGGAGTGAAGTCAACAGATGGGATATAATTTGGTGGCAGATTCAGCAGGTCCTACTTGTGAATTTTATGTCAAGAGAGAGGGAAGGAGAAGCATCAAAGGTGCCTTTTTGTTTGGCGTGAGCAATAGGATTGGCTGGCTGGTGAAGTAGGTAGCTGGGGAAATGAGACAAATTGAGGCAAAAGGAGATTGAGGGTGAGAGATGGGGAAGGTAGTGAAGAGTTCTGTTTTGAACATGATAAATTTGAGATGCATATTAGGCATCCCTTAGAGATACTCGCCTGGAGATGGGGGAGAGGTCAAGGCTAGAGATACAGTTTAGGAGTCATTATCATATAGATGAATTTGAGGCCATGGGAGTAGATGAGATTACCTATGGAGAGGAGATAAAGGATCCCAGGAATGAGCCCTAGGGCACTTGAAAATTTTGAAAGCAGTATTTTTCCTTAAATAAATATCTTCCTGTTTAACTAGTAGATTTAATTTTAGTAGTTTTCTATGAAAGGGTAATAATCCAAAGCAAAGCAATTATTATTTTTTCTTTGAAATTTTCTCTAATCCCTATGCCCTAAAGGCTATATATAAAGTTATAAGTAGTTTAATGAGAGAAATATGAAAATATAGGAATAATGCAATTGGTTTAAGCAGGTCTTCTTGAAGATTGCTTTGTACTTGATAGCATTTCTATCTTTGGACATTACCTGTCATTCAGCCTTCCCTAATAATAGATAGTGATTGTGCATATTATACCTCTCCAAACTCGGAAGGAAGTGTTATATTCTGTACCCTATGAACTATACCCTCATGAGTTTAAACCCTGCCAAAAGCACAGCTAGGGAGTACCTTTGTCACTGAGCAATTGTAGCTCAGTATTACTGAAATCTTCTTTAAGCTGCTCATTGAAGAGTACCATGGTGGCATTTCCATCCTAAGGAAGTCTCAGTTCCGAAGATCAGTGTTATTATGCTGTATCAATTCCATGGCCTGCCAGCTGCAGATTTGAAATAGCTACACTCCATGAAACCCAACTTTTAAATCCCAGAAAAGGGAGTTCAACCTTTTATTGTCCTAAAATAGACCAATGTGATATGACTCAGTAAGGGGTCTGATGGTGCCTTCAAAATTACCATCCTCAATGTTCTATGTGGGAAATAAAAGTCCAGGAGAACTTTTCGAAGGCAGGCTTTTGGCCTGCGTCTCTTGAACAATATCTTTTCAGTTTCTTCCTGGCTATATACATCATGATACATGATTGCTTATCAACCTGTGCTGGGAGAAGGAACTATTGCTTTTATGAAGGTGCATGTCTATTTTATGTGCAGGGCTATATCAAGTGGTTGAATTGCAGATGTAGTTTATGATTGATGTTAATAACATTGGTTGCTAATTTTTAAACATCTAAAAGTGTTGCATGAAATATAATACTTCCATGATTGCACAGGAGAGAGTGTAGAAAACTTAGCTGAATCTATTTCTAATTTCAAGTGAGATTTGTGTCCTTCAATATGCTCAACACCCCACCCCACACTGCCACTCCTTTTTGGGACTGTTTATACACACACACATGTATGCACTCTCACAGAGACAAACAAACACATTTGTCTTACCTTTGCCTTTCCAATTGTTTATACCTAACCCCTTATTCTGACCCTAAAAGTAATGATTAAAATCATCTTCCTGGATTCTCCTGTCTCCAGGTGAAGGGTGTGAACTTTCCTGCTCCTGTAACCTGCCTTCCAGATCTGCTTCCGGGTCTGGATTCTAATACTATCATGATCTTATCTGTGCTGCCTTTATTCGCAGACTTCTCTCAGGTCTGATGAGGATGTTCTTACCATAGCCCAGCTCCTCTGGTCTTAAAATTCCCTGTGATTCCCCTTCCTCTGTGATATCTACTTCTTTGATCTTTGGGTTCCTCATTATCTCATTAAATTTTCTCATTTAACACAATTTCCTCCTTAAATTTTCTCATTTAACACAATTTTATGATTCACTTGTCTTTGGATGGTAAATACACTTATATCTGGCTCTAGAAAGTCAAAGTCCCATAGAGAGGAGAATAATTCTCTTCACTTCCTTTAGGACACTCACTTGAATTCACTGCAAATGAAAATGAGAAGGTCTATGACAATATTTTCCAAAAGCATATACATTAATAATATGCCATATTTTCTATTACATTTAGTAAAATAATTATCCATCTGAATGTTTCTTTTATTATTCTTATTATTTTCATGCTTTTTAATATGATTTAGGTTTCCCTTTGAGGATTAAATGACTTGAAACAAGAAAAGTCTTGAGCATCTTTTTTTTCTTTGTACATCCTTTGTAAATCCTTGTCTCATTGACCTTTCCAAAGTAGAGATGATGACCAGTAGTATTTCTTCCACACTGACCTTCCACTTCCTATGCCAGTTTTCAACTCTTTACAAGTAAAGAAGTTAATAAAGGAAGAAGAGGAAACTTTGATGCTGCTAACTCTTAAGCAATTTAAGCTGTGACTTTACTAACCTTAAAGTAAACGAAGCCAGATCCACTAGCTGCATGATCAAATGCTGTTACAGGATAATTTAGTCCAGTTGAATATTACAGTAATGGGGGGAAAATATATTCTGTGCACATTTAAGTTTCTACTTCTTCAGGAGAATTAAATTGCTGAATGACCATGTACCTCACTGAAAGTATCTCAAATACATACATTCAGAAGGCTAATATAACAAGCAAATATAAGGAAAGATCTGAGAGATATAGAGAAGTTTAATACATTTCAAAGATAGAGAAAAATATCTAATATAAAATCACATTTTATTAGTGTGTGTAGGATCACATTGTTATTTTCCATATTTTCAAAAGAGAGAGAAGAGAGATTCCAGATACTTTTCATATCCTGGCATCTTAAACAATTGTGTGATCCAGCATATGTAATTCCCCCAAACATATATGTTTCTAAATTAAGCAACTACTTATGAACTGCATCCTATATTTGAACATCAAACCATTTCCATGTTAGATGGGATGGATCAGTAGTGGATGTTCAGTGGACACCCTAGCAGATGTTGATCAAGATCTGTCAATGGGCAGCATCCAGATAGCAATTCCCCCTTGAAGGTTCATAACATGTTAACTTAATTCAAGCGTTTATGGGATTTCTCTGTGTGTCTCTAGAACTTCCTACATTAGGATACTAACTTCTACTGCTTCCCAAATTCAAAGGTTCATCCCTAATTTTATATTGACTATCGCAAAGGAAGAGTCCCTCCCATTCATCCATGTACCCGTCCATCCATCCATTTATCCATCCATCCATTTATCCATCCATCATCTATACGAAAGGATTATTTATTGAGCAGCCACTCTTTGTCAAATACAGTGCTAGGTACATATAAACATATAAAAAAATTTGAAATGGCCCTTTGCCTCATATAATTTATCAACATTTTGCAAAGCTTACCTGAAATTCTCATTTTCATTATTTCTTATTCTATTTTTCACCACGAGTATGATTATTTTTTATGGACATAATTTTCTTGCTCTAAGAGTTCCTTTGTTTTTATTTCATCCACTTGCCACCTTGCTTACTCTAAATCATAACTAAGGATTGCCTAGCCTTTCATTTTTGTCCAGGAGCACCACTTCTCACACACCATTTCAGCAATGAAAATCTCTCCTTATGCCCTTCATTTCCTGCCCTTTTTTTAGTCTCTCTTCACTCGCTACAAAAAATATATATCCAAATTTTATTTATAGTTAGATGCTTACAATTAAAATGCCACAGTCCTTGTTAAGTTTCTTTAGTAATATCACTCGCTGCCAAAACTGTGGTAGCTGTAAATGAGGTTTGAGACTCATTTTTTTTCACAGACCAAACAAAACCTAAATTTATGTGCACAATTGGTAGCCAGTTTTCTTACTTCTGCAAACAAGATGCAATCAAGTGTTCAGGGACACGTGTCACCTTGATGCCTGTCTACCCAGTGGCAATTTGCTACCCTTCTTATTCTTTTTGTCCTCTGCAATGTTTTGTTGGCCCCCGGTTTCCTCATCATAATCATCATCATTTCTATTAGTCTCAGGTACTCCAACTTTAACTAACAAACTCAGTATTTCTAGACACAAAAGCCACAGTGCCTGTGACTATGTCACTTTCTGTATTAGCAGGAAAGAGAATAAGTAAGAGAATATGAGTGAGTTGAAAAGAAACACTTAATAGAGTGCTTATTTAAACATATTCTAAAATATGTTTGTCTACTTGACCTAACTACTGACTTAAATGCAATAAGAAAGCATTTTAACACCATTAGTATCTGGATTTCTGCCAGAGAAAGCTCCTTGCTTTATATCCCCTTAGGCTGTACTGATGAAACTACCTAAAAATGGGGTTTAATAGCATTTAATTCATTTTAAATGCTAAAGCAACCAGTAAAGTGTATCAGATGATTAAAAAAAAAAAAAAAGAAAAAGTACTGTAGAGGTTACAGAAAGTATTCCAGCCTGGACTTTCTTGCTTATATATAAAGTATGTCATGTTTTCTCCTGGAGTCATGGTGAAGACTTGTCTTTCACTAGGCAGTGATTCATGACAGACATTGTTTTGCTCCAAAAACAGTGACATTGCAGCTTTCACTCACGTGTTTTTCCAGTCATCACAGTCCAGTTCTGGTGCAGATATGGCTTATGTTGGCAGTCTTGGTGGTGGTTGGGGTAGCAGCATACTAAAATTCTTTCCACTCAATAAAATTAAGCAGTTCAAATTTCAGATGCAAACTGCTCAGGGACAAGATGCTAAGTGTTTCTAAGTGTTTTGTTGAGAGCCAGTGTTTAAGTAAACATTACAAATTATGGTTGTCTAGTAAATAACGTAGACTGAAGCCCTTGAGAAATTTATTATTCATAATATACATCATTTTGTCAGCTGGATCATGTAGCTTTTTTCTCAGAGAAATTGATGGAGGTTTTGGTTTGATCACTGGCACGGAACAGTAAGTACTTTTCAAAGACCCAGGCAAGGGCAGGGCTTAAGATTGTTCCAAGCTGAATCTCCATCAGAAAAGGCAGTCCAGAGAGGCAAACAGGTAGCCCATTCTCCCTGCACATGCTTTGACAGGGGGTTTCGGCATTTGGTCAGCTCAGCCGCAGCATCCTCATAAGAATACATGGTTAGTCCAGGTCTTCGTTTATTGTATTTGCCCTAAGGAGCTGCATAGAAATTATTCCACAGAGCCTATGGATTAGTCACTTGGGTACAATTTTTAGCTGAAAGTGTTTCTCTCCTTTCAAGCTCTATCATTTTAATATGTGTGTGCACATGCACAAATTTATGCATGTGGTAAAGTGAAATAAAGTTTAATAATACATTAATTTCTAATACTATCACAGATGAATTAATGATTGAATCCATTTTTTTCTGTTATTGTCTTGCACACTGCCCTCTATGTTCATATTTTTGTTTCAGTATGTATGAGCATTGGATTCTACTCATGAAATTGTTCATAAATGTAGTGAATATTCCTCGAGCTCCAGCTATGAACCAGCCCTGTGCTGGGACCTGGAGAACAGGCAAGCAGAGAAGTCAGTCCACAATTCCGATGCAATAATATACATACTGTGGTGTCAATAAGAATAGCGCTTACCAGAAGTGTAATGAAAAGACACTTATCTCAGCCTTTCAGGTCAGAGAGATCTTCCTGAAAGAGGTAACCTTTGAGCTGAGTCTTAAAATAGGAAATGTGCAGTGAAAAGGAAGAGATTCTCCCAACAGAAGGAGGAGTGTATTAAAAGTGCTGGAGAAGAAAGGAGAGGCCATGCAAGGGATTTGCACTTCACTGGGCTTGCCTGGAACTCTGCATTTGCTTGCAGATGAGGCAGAAAATGAGATATTAGAGAAGGTGAAAGATGCTGGCTTTGGTGCTTGGGGAAGAAGAAAAGAGTTATATGTGGCAGAGAAACTAAAAAGAATGTTCTTAGTTCCCTTTGTGGGTCTGGGAAATCAGTTTTCAGTTTTCTCATGTGTAAAATGAGATATTTAGACTCTACAATCACCAAGGCCTTTTCCAGCTTTAAGATTCTGTGATTCTGTGAATTTTTGGTACCTTGCAGGAAAACATGAAAGTATTCATGAAAACACAAATCAACATTCTCTTTTCTAGGAGGCAACAGTTTCATTATTTGAGATTTATATTTGGAAAATTGTTATTGTGCTAACCGTGTTTCACAAGCAATCACATCATTATATTATTGAAATGGTGTCTACTATTGGTATAAGGGAAAAAATAATTACAAACACATTGTCTTTTTAAGAATAGTTCAAATCTTTAAGAATGTTCTTTAAGAATAGTTCAATTTTTAAAGAAAATATGAGCCCTCTTGTCTTGTGCTTAAAATTTCTCAGTAAATTGAAGTGTTAATTGAAGCTAGTTTCCTGAAATGAAGGGCAAATATATTAGGTAAAATATAGTGGTAAAAATTCAACTAAATATTAGTCATCATTATTTTTATCAGAGTGGAAACTAGGCCAATAACTTTTAACTTTGGGAGTATTTATAAGAAAAGAAAAAATATAACTTATGAATTTGTTTACTTTGTTTACTGTGGAATAGAACTTCATGTGTGCTATATTTTCAGCCTCACCCTTATTAGTAATTGCTACCTTTTTATTAACCAAAATTGTAAATCAACTTACACATAATTATATGTAGATATAGACACGCATATCCAGACATATACTTTTTTCCAGAAATATGTGATAACCGTAAAACCCAAACATGACTACATATGTAATTAATAGACTTTATCTCATAACCCGTTCCTTAAATCCTTTAAGAAGAATTGAGCAAAGTAGTTTAATTATTTGAATACTTAAATGGAAAAAAAGTTTAAAAAAACACAGGGGCCCTGAGTTGTCTATTGAGAATCACACAGCAATCACTATAAGGAGATGGAAATAAATTTTGGTGGTTTAGAGCCATCTAATTAAACTTACCAGCCATACTGAACCCATTAATTTACTGTTTTTCAAATATCCCATATTATATCAGATAGTCTGGAAACTTTCAGAAACCCAGTCTCCCTCAGTTACAATAAAATTTTATTCAACAAATATTTGTGATGTGACAAAAGTTTGTCAACATGGAGTTCAGTGTTGAAGTTACAAGAGCAAAGGTAAGCCAATACTTGTTTCCAAGGAATTCATAGTTCCATGGGGATGTCACCCTGTAAAGTAGCAATGACAAGATTTGAAATAAATGCAAATAGGAAATAGGCTTGAGGTTCTTTGGAAAGTTACATTGGAAGGACTACAACCCTATTTGTGAAGATCCCCAATGGAAATGATTTCCAAGCTGAGATCTATTGAAGAAGGGGAAGTTAGAGAAAGAGAGAGGAATTTGGACTTGATAAATATTAGTGTTTACAGCCTGTGTGGAGGAAGGGAAGAGCAAAGAAGCCTGAGCAAAAGCAGCCAGAAGGGTGATGGGAGATGCATATAGCTTGAGTTTACAGAAGACTAGGACGTGAGAAATTTCTGGAACAGAATGATTGTCAAATTTGAAGCCTATAGAGATAATAGCAAGCAAATGATCAGAAAGCAAATGACGGATTCAGCAATGACAATGTCCTTAGTATCATTGACAAGGGTTATTCCATAAAATGATGGGAATAGAGCCCAAGGACAATAGGTTGAAGAGTAACTTTGAGATGAAGAAAGGTGACAACTCTTTTTACAGTTATAAAGAGAAAAGATGTAGTAGGGTGGAAAGAGGAAATGTTCCTGTTAGTGTTTTTTGTTTTAAATTATATGAGAGCCTGAGTAACTTTCAATACCAATGGAAAGGAATCCGGAGCAACAGTCAAGTAGAAAGAAATTCAACTTGACCCAAAGATGGTTGATACTGTAGGGTCAAATGCATACAGTTAGGGATGAGCATTAGATGGGAAAGGGGAGCTCTTTCAAACACAAAGAATGATTTACTGAAAAGCTATCTTGTAGGGAGGTGTTGCAAGTTGATGGTGTTTTAATCTAATAGCTTCTGTTTTCTCAGTGATGTTGC
Organism: Homo sapiens; assembly: GCF_000001405.40. NCBI lineage: Eukaryota > Metazoa > Chordata > Mammalia > Primates > Hominidae > Homo > Homo sapiens. Next base: position 39,822,259 of record NC_000018.10, on the reverse strand, counting down.
ATATGGAAACAGCGCTGGAGTAGAAGGAATTAAATGTTTGAGAAAAGATATTTTAAAACAATACTGGAAATGGTACATTCATCTAGTAGCACAAAGGGCATAGTTGTGACTGGAGACCCTGAATGTTAATATAATATTGAGTATTTTTTTCAATAGTGTTCAGAAATCAGCTATAGGAAAAGAAGGACTCTTGAATGGATAACAATGTTGCTATGTTGAACAACAGAAGCCCGATCACATGACAAGAGACAGCAGTGAGGATTTATATAATAGATGGAAAAAAAACCTAGATAGGTGATCATACTACAGTATCAATGAGATTGAAGTTTAGATATATTGGGGATAATAACCAAGCAAGAGAGCTAAAGGGCAACAGATTGGAGTGTATTAGAATTTAATATTTTATAAATAGAACAGGTCAGCTGTTTGGTCTGATTTGGTTTGGCTTGATTTTGGTTTTATTGACAAAGCCTAAATTTTGGTCATAGGAGTGGATGGTAAGCAATTATTTTCTGAGACGAAAATGTTAAGGAACTAAAAAATGAGTATGTTGAATGAGTGGCCTTGATGTCATTTGGGACAATGGCAGAACCGTCTCCTTCTCCAAGTTCTAAAAATGAACTTAGATGACTGGCAAAACCCCCAGAGTGTGAAGGCTTGTAGCTGCTCACTGTAGCACACACCACTGCTCTCTCACTGTCAGCCAACATTGTGCCATCATTTCCTTTCACTGCTTGCTGTGGGATAGGGCATCTGCAACTTGCAGAGGAAAGGTGGCAGAAACAGGCATGCAGATTGATACTAGAAAGGGTACAACTCATCTGGACAAATGTATCCCAGTTTGAAACAAAACTCCAGGAGTGGACAGATGACTGATTAGCCAAAATGAAGTCTCTGAAATGTCCCAATAGATGAATAGAGAGCCAAGTGCAGAAGGCAGATTGGGACCCAGTTCTCTCTAGAAAAGTTCTCTCTAGAAAGACTGCCTTGATGTGGCTTCTGAGAGAATTCTATTCTGATAGGAAAGGACAATTGAAACATTTCAGCTCCAAAAACACTGACCATGGATAAATTCTGTGTTTCCCTTACTTTTATGTCATGTTTTCCTCTCACCCCTTCTTCTGTTTTTCTCTCTCACCCTGCCCTCCCTTCTCTCTCTTTGTCTACCCTCTCTCTGTCTCTCTCTCTCTTCCCTTCTCCATACTCTTTTCTATTTCCTATCTCTCCCCCTATCATAAAAAATAAGCTTCATTAAAGTTCAGGAACAGCCTGTTGTGGCAAAGAAATCTCTGCAGAAACTTTTGTTGCTGGGCTGTGGGCACTTCCTCGAGGTGTCCATGGTGCTCTTTGTCTGATTCAAGATTAACCAGCAGTTCCAGTTCAGCCCAAGGTCAGCAGGCTAGGCTTCCAGAAGTATCCTTTACACGCAGTGTTCCCTTAATTCTGCCTGCCCATGACCTTTCAACAGAGTATAATTCTGCAGACCTGACTCTGGTAATTTTTTGCCCAACCTGTAAGTATCATGTAGACACAGGGATGTACGCTCCAGTGCAGCTGTGCTGCCTGCCCTCCTCCTGTCTCCGCCGCTTGGCCTTTGCTCCTTGACTGCTTGTATGTCCCATTGGAATGGTACTTATCCATTTCCTTCACAATAAAATAAACTCACTCCATATATGATTATCAAATTCTGAAGGCCTTGGCCAGCTAGAGGTCACCATCAATTGTTGAGCAGCTCATTGTAGGACATCACCTCTTCCTTATTTCAGATGAAATGGCAACAAGAAGGAATTGGCAGGAGTGCTTTTCTTTCCTCTTTGTGGGAGAGATAAAAAAAAAAAAAGAAAGAGAGAGCAACACCTTCATGAATCATGCAAGTTGTCTTCCACCATGCCAAGGAAATTATCTTCTCTACACTACCCATCAATACCATTGACCTTTGTCATAAAAAGCAGGTCGCTTATATCTATATCCCATTAAAAAGCATCATCTTACAATCACTTCTTCAGTACTATTAAAGTCGCGTCAAAAAGAATCATTGACTTATTGTCAAACACATCCAGCCTTCCACATTAACGTACCTAGAGACACCTCACTAATCACCAGGCAAACAATGCCAGATATCCAGGAAGCCAGGGGAGCCAGGGGGAAATTTCTCAGGTCTCACTCTCCCTGGCTGACCTGTGCATTTGCTTTGTATCCTACACATTGGCACAGTCGTTAATATTTAGTTTAGCCACTTCAGCACTTATAAATTTAGAATAAATACTACTTTTTCACTTTAGCAGCTCAAAATGTGTCAATGACAGAAATTCTGTTATGTTCTAGAGGGTGCAAATAAGTTTTCCTGTCCCCTCTGGTCCTAATATAGCAGTGGGCATTAAATGGGTGCCAAATGACTTGTGTGTTGAATGTGTCTTTTGGTAAAATTAACTGGAAGCGTAGGACTGTTAGCTTGCCATGTGGCAGAGATTTGTATGTTATACGAATTCCAGGAAATAAAACAATTTTTGGCTTGGTTTGGTCAAGTAAGGCTTCCTGCTTTAAAAGGGGCATAAAAGTGGGGCTTTAATATAGGTCAAATTGAAATATTTGGATACGAATAGGAAGGGATTTCCAGACAGGAAACTGTATTAAGGAAAATCTAATTCTAGAAGTGGGAATACACAAGGAGGTGGGGAAAATTATGGAAAGAGAGATTTGTCTAAGGTTGGATGTGTGTTGGTGATAAGAAGATACATTTTCAAATGGGGAGAATATTTAAAAATGTCTGACTTCCAGACAAATATCTTTTGATTTTTTTCAAAATGCAGAGAGTAATTTTCAGAGGTTTTTGAGCACAGGAGATAAATAATAAAAGGAAAGAGAGTTATTTGGGGTTACCCTTCAGGTGAGCTGGATCCATGAGACATAAATGAAATTGCTGCAAAAACTGCCAGAGTAAGGAGATGAGCACATGGATTTTACTTGGAGAGGGATGGAATTGAGAAGATTTAGAAATAATTAGCTCACTGAACTTGTAGAGTTAAGACACTATGTGCCACTTAAACCCAGAATTCGATTCAAGTTTTCCTTCCTTCCTTCTTTCCTTCCTTCCTTCCTTCTTTCCTTCCTCCTTTTCTTCTTTCCTTTCCCTTCCTTTCTTCCCCTCACCCCTCCCATCTCCTCCCCCCTCCCTTCCCCGCTTCCCTTCCCCTCCTTTCCATTCTCTCAAAGGCTATGTTTTGATGTAGCCAATGTATGTTGGCTGAAATTGACTCTCCCATCCAAAATGAAAGGTGCTGGTGTGATCAGAAATCAGATGGCAGAGTGAAAAAGGCAGACATTCTAAAGTTAGAAAGACCTTGTCAGAAGTCCTGCCTCTGTACAGGATACTCAATAGTTCTGTGATGTGGTATTTCTCATATTTTTGTACCCATTATCTCTAATCACTTTGACCCTACAAAGTGTGTGATGTGTGTGTGTGTGCAGGCACAATCATCAGCAATCTACCTTCACTTTTCCAAGTCCCTTGGTCACACAGAACTATTCAATTCCATGACTCTTTCCCTTTTTGAAACATATTTTTACTTCGCTTCTGCATCACACACTCATGGCTTTTATCTTAAGTCAATGACTATACAATCTCAACCCAATTGTTTGGGTCGCCAATCCTGGTTTCAAACATTAAATGGTAGAGGGAATGAAGGCTAGGGCCTGAGTTCTCTTTTGTTGCTTATAATTTCTTCCAAAGTATTATCCAATTCCATTTATATATGGATAATTGTCAAATGCATATCTCTCCCTCTCATCTTTACTTAGAGCTTAAGATCCCCTGGACAACTGTTTTTATCATAGCCTAAGTGGAACTTTTTATTTACCCTCCAAAATCTGCTTCTCAACAAGTTCCCTGGGGAAATCAGTAAATGGGTCTATCACTGAGCAACTCCAGCTAAGAAACTGAGAGAAATGTTTACTCTCACTTCTTTTTTTTTTAATTATACTTTAAGTTTTAGGGTACATGTGCACAGTGTGCAGGTTAGTTACATATGTATACATGTGCCATGGTGGTGTGCTGCACCCATTAACTCGTCATTTAACATTAGGTATATCTCCTGATGCTATCCCTACCCCCACCCCCCACCCCACAACAGGCCCCAGTGTGTGATGTTCCCCTTCCTGTGTCCATCTGTTCTCATTGTTCAATTCCCACCTATGAGTGAGAACATGTGGTGTTTGGTTTTTTGTCCTTGCGATAGTTTGCTGAGAATGATGGTTTCCAGCTTCATTCATGTTCCTACAAAGGACATGAACTCATCATTTTTTATGGCTGCATAGTATTCCATGTGTATATGTGCCACATTTTCTTAATCCACTCTTACTTCTTATAGCCAATCCATCAACAACTGAAAATGAAAACCAAAACATTTCCCTAATCTATCTGTGTTCTATCTCCATTTCTATCATCTTGATCTTATCTACCACTATGTTTTGTTTTTTTTTTTAACCTAGACAGCTGCAGTGGCCTTTAACTAGATTTTTTGCTTCTATTTCATAACCCATTCTCTGTGTCATATCCCAGAATGAGCCTAGAAAATGGAAAGTAGATCATTGTTTCAATTCTGCCATGGTCTCACTTAACACTGAGAATAAAATACAATTCCTTACTGCAGATTTTATGATAGAACCTTGACTCTGTCTCTTGCTCTCCTTGGATCACTATGCTTAAGCCACAAGGGCCTTATTTCCATTCCTTTGACCTGCCTATCTCTCCCTGCTCCTAAGGCCTTTTGTAATAACCCCTTCCTTTGCCTGGAATGCTCTCCCCCCATACCTTCAATGTCTGGGTTCTCCACTTAACCATAGCCTAATGAGAAAAGCTGACCCATGTCTACACAACCTAAAATTAATGCTAGTAAGTAGCTGAAGACTTGCTATTAAAAGTGTGGTCCAAGGACCAGCAGTGCTGGCATCACCTGCAAGCTTATTAGAAATACAATATCTCCAACCTCACCCCCAAGGACTACTGAATCTGAATCTGCATTGTAACAAGATCCCCAGGTGATCTGTGCGCACATTAAAGTTTGAGATTCGCTGACCTAGCACTCCACTCTCTGTTTTTCTTTTACCACTTACATTTCCAAAGTTTCTCTTGTCTGTCAATGTTTATGTGTATGAGCTATACTTCTCCACTAAATATACACTCCATTAGAGCCTGGGCCTTGTCTACTTTGCTTACCTCTAACATGCTCAGGAACAAGAGTAATCCCTAACACTCTCATGATGTGTTGAATTAATAAAGAAGTATCCACATTTGACTGAGACTTCTCCAAAGCCATACTCTTTAAAGAGGGGAAGATTTGAGATCCAAACTCATCCACTCACTTCACAACTCCTCAGTTTATGAAATAAATTATGCCTCCCTTTGGTAGGCTGAAAGAGATCCACAATCCAAAAGGTGATTTGCCTTCAAACTGAATTGGGATTGAATGGAATGTTAAGCCTCCTTTAGCTTTTTGTTCAAGAATGGCTATAATAGGAGGGTTTCTGAGTGCTGTCCTCAGAGTTCTCATGAGTGACGCTGACCTATCAGTGGTGAAAGCTGAAGCTGAAGTTGTGTTTACCCCTTTGGCAAAAAAGTGAGTTTATATCACTGAGGTATTGCCATGTAAAGAATGAATTATAGCAGGATAGACAACAGACTGGCATGGGGCTGAGGGTGGAGTGCAGGTTGTGAGGAAATTCGGAAAGAGGAGAAGAAAAGATAGAGGAGAATATCTGATAAGTGGGTGACAGCAAAAGTTAATTCCCTAAAGCTATATGTAATTTCATAAGAGAAAAAGGACGGGTGCAGTGGCTCACGCCTGTAATCCCAGCACTTTGGGAGGCCAAGGTGGGCAGATCACCTGAGGTCAGGAGTTCAAGACCAGCCTGACCAGCATGTAGAAACCCCGTCTCTACAAAAAATTTAAAAATTAGCCGGGTGAAGTGGTGCATGCCTGTAATCCCAGCTACTCGGAGGCTGAGGCAGGAGAATCCCTTGAACGTAGGAGGTGGAGGTTGCGGTGAGCCGAGATCTTGCCATTGCACTTCACCCTGGGCAACAACAGTGAAACTCCATCTCAAGAAAAAAAAAAAAAGAGAGAGAGAGAAAGAGAAGGCACAAACCTTTCCTTCCCCAGAATTATTTTGTCTCTCTGTCATCATAACATGTTTTAATTTATCACTCCACACCCAAAAAATAAGATTATCGAAAGAGTGAACCATTGAACATATAATGAACTTTTGTTTACCCAAACAATGACTTGAACTCTGCAAACAGTGCTCAAATATACATATTTTCCTTTTCTGCCTTCCTCATGTTCTCTTGTACCAGTACCTCCTCTAGTTTTTCACACAGAATTCTTCATTGCTGGACAGCTTACAACTCTGCAACAGAGAAGAACTAATTAGCAGTACCCATGGTCTTAAATTAAGAATTTTTATAAGATAACTTAGATGCATTAGGGGCCCTTCTCTTCTATAAAAGCATGCATACAGCTAATTTGAAGTATGAAAAAGAGGACTGAGGCAGAGATGGCTAACTAGAAGGAACTATGGTGTGTGGCTCTCACAGAGAGGAATGAAAGAGGCCAGTAAATACAACACCTTCAAATGAAACAGATCAGGAAAACAGCTTTACCCAGGGAAAACGCAGAAAAGCAAAGCAGGGCGATGACCCACTCAGGAGCCACATGAAGCCAAGGGAACCTCTCTTGCCCAGGCAAGTGGAGAATGAATCTGTGACCCAGGAAATCATGCTTCTTCCATAGATCTTTGCAACCCTCAGGTCAAGAGATCCCCCTCATGAGCCACTTCAGCAGGGCCTTCAGTCTGAAACACAGAGCTGTATGGAATTTTGGCAGAGCAGCTGCTCAGGCCTATGTGGAAACTGAGGAGCTTTACATATTCTGGTTCTGGGCTTCCCAACAAAAGTGACTGCGTCTCTGGCAAGGCAGGAGGTTGGACCTCTGTACACACCCCTGGGAAGAGGAATGAGTTCAGGAGGATAAGCAGCAATGGTCTGCAAGCCCTACTTCAGTGGTGCCCCACAAGATAAGAGCCACTGGTTTGGAATTCCAGCCAGCCACCAGCAACAGTATTGTGCCTACATGGGACGGAGTTCCCGAGGGGAGGGCTGGGTCACCATCTTCACTGTTTGGGCTACTCAGCTGTTGCAGCCTGTGGGCTTTGGGGAGTACAAACCAAACTGGGGGTGGAAGGGATCCCCCAGCACAGCACAGCTCTTCTACCAAGATGTGTCCAGACTGCTTCTTCAAGGAGTTCCCTGATCTGTTCTCCCTCACTGGGCAGGACCTCCCAACTAGGGTCTCCAACCACCCTCACCAGTGTTCTTCAGCCAACAGAGGTTTGAAAACTTCCTGGGACAGAGCTTCTAGAGAGAGGGGCGGCCCACCATCTTTGCTGTTCAGGCAACTTAGCTGTTCCAACCTCCAGGTTTTGGAGAGCCCAAGCTGACCAGGGGCAGAAGTGGTACCCCAGCACAGCGCAGTTGCTCTACAAAAACATGGCCAAAATGCTTCTTTAAGTCTATCTCTGATCCTGTTCCTCCTGACTGGGTGAGACCTCCCAGCAAGGGTCTCTGTGTTGACACCTACAGGTGCATTCAGGTCAGCAATGGCTTCATACCTAACTGGGACAGAGCTCCCAGAGAAAGAGGTGGGTTGCCATCTTTGCTGTTTAGCAGCCTTCACTGGTGATACCTCCAGGTACTACAGAATTTGAAGTGACTGGAGACTGCAGCAGACCACCAGAAACCCACAGTAGCCCTACAGAAAAGTGGCCAGACTGTTAAATGAAAAAAATCAAAAGGTCAGCAACCTTAGAAATCGAAGGTAGATAAGTCCACAAAATGAGAAAGAATCAGCGCAAGAAACCTGAAAACTCAAAAAGCCAGAGTACCCTCTTTCCTCCAAATGATCACATCACTTCTCCAGCAAGGGTGTGGAACTGAGCTGAGGCTGAGATGGCCAAAATAAAAGAAGTAGAATTCAGAATATGGATAAAAATGAACTTCACTGAATTTAAGGAGCATGTTGTAACCCAATACAAGGAAGCTAAAAATTACAATAAAACCTTTTAGGAGCTGACAAACAGAATAGCCAGCATAGAGAAGAATGTAACCAACCATATAGAGCTGAAAAACACAATACAAGAATTTCACAATGCAATCACAAGTATTAATAGCATAATAGACCAAGTGGAAAAAAGATTCTCAGAGCTTAAAGACTGTCTATCTGAAATAAGACGGACAAGAATTGAGAAAAAAAGAATGAAAAGGAATGTAGAAAATTTCTGAGAAATATGAGATTATGTAAAGAGACCAAATCTATAGCTGATTTGTACCTGAAAGTGATGGGGAGAGTAGAAGCAGTTTAGAAAACATGTTTCAGGATATCATCCATGAGAACTTCCCCAACCTAGGTAGACAGACCAAGACTCACATTCAGGAAATGTAGACAATCCCAGTAAGATATTCCATAAGACACATAATCATCAGATTCTCCAAGGTCTAAATTAAAGAAAAAATGTTAAGGTCAGCTACAGAAAAAGGCCAGCCATCTATGAAGGAAAGCCTGACAGACAAACAGTGGACCTCTCAGCAGAAACCCTACAAGCCAGAAGAGATTGAGGGCCAATATTTAATATTCTTAAAGAAAAGAAATTCCAACCTGGAATTTTATATCTGATAAAACTAAGCTTCATAAGCAAAGGAGAAGGAAGATCTTTTTCAGATAAGCAAATGCTGAGGAAAATTATTACCACTAGACCTGTCTTACAAGAGTTCCTGGAGGAAGCTCTAAATATGGAAAGGAAAGACCATCACCAGCCACTATGAAAACATACTGAAGTACACAGATCAGTGACACTATAAAGCAACCACATAAACAAGTTTGCAAAAGGTCCAGCTAACATCATGATGACAAGATCAAATTCATACATGACAATATTAATCTTAAATGTAAATTGATTAAATGCCCCAATTAAAAGACACAGAGTGACAAGCTGGATAAAGAACGAAGCCCATTGTTATGCTGTCTTTAAGAGACTCATCTCACATGCAATGACACACATAGGCTCAAAATAAAGAGATGAAGGAACATCTACCCAGCAAATGGAAAACAGAAAAAAGCAGGAGTTACAATTCTAGTTTCTGACAAAACATACTTTAAACTAACAAAAATAAAAAAAGACAAAAAAGGGCATTGCATATTGGTAAAGGGTTCAATTCAACAAGAAGAGCTAACTATTCTAAATATACATGCACTCAACACAGGAGCACCCAGATTCATAAAGCAAGTTTTTAGAGACTTTAAAACAGACTTAGGCTCCCACACAAAATAGTGGGAGACATTTACATCCCACTGACAATATTAGACAGATCATTGAGACAGAAAATTAAAAAAGATATTAAAGACCTGAACTCAGCTCTGGATCAAATGGACCTGATAGATATCTACAGAACTCTCTACCCAGAAACAACAGAATATACATTCTTCTCATTGCTACATGGCACTTACTCTAAAATTGAACATATAGTCAGAAGTAAAACACTCCTTAGCAAATGCAAAAGAACTGAAATAATAACAATCTCTCAGCAGCACAATCAAATTAGAACTCAAGACTAAGAAATTCACTCAAAACCATACAATTACATGGAAAACAAATAACCTGCTCCTGAATGACTTTTGGGTAAATAATGAAATTAAGGCAGAAATCAAGAAGTTCTTTGAAACTAATGAGAACAAAGATACAATGTACCACAATCTTCTTGACACAGCTAAGTCAGTGTTAAGAGGGAAATTTATAGCACTAAATACTCATATCAAAAAGCTAGAAAGATGTCAAGTTAACAAAGTAATATCACAACTAAAAGAACTAAAACATCAAGAGCAAACAAATACCAAAGCTAGTTGAAAATAAGAAATAACCGAAATCAAAGCAGAACTGAGGGAGATAGAGACATGAAAAACCATTCAAAAGATCAGCAAGGCTGGGCACCATGGCTCAAGCCTATAATCCCAGCACTTTGGGAGGCCAAGGTGGGTGATCACAAGGTCAGGAGATTGAGACCAGCCTGGCCAATATGGTGAAACCTTGTCTCTACTAAAAATACAAAAATTAGCTGGGTGTGGTGGCAGGCGCCTGTAGTCCCAGATACTCAGGAGGCTGAGGTAGGAGAATCATTTGAACCCAGGTGGCAGAGGTTGCAGTGAGCTGAGATCATGCCACTGCACTTCAGCCTGGGCAACAGAGTGAGACCCCATCAGAAAAAAAAAATCAACAAATCCAGGAGCAATTTTTTGGAAAAAATTAATGAACCAGATAACTAGTTAGACTGATAAAGAGAAAAAAGAGAAGATTCAAATAAATATAATCAGAAATGATAAGAGGGTTATTACCACTGATACCACAGAAATACAAACAACCATCAGAGAGTATTATTAACACCTCTATACACATAAACCAGAAAATCTAGAAAAAAAAATGGATTAATTTCTGGATACATACACCCTTCCAAGACTGAATCAGGAAGAAACTGAATCCCTGAACAGACCTACAATGAGTTCTGAAATTTAAGTAGTAATAAATAGCCTGCCTACTAAAAAAAGCCAGGACCAGATGAATTCATAGCTGAATTCCACCAGATGTACAAAGAAGAGCTGGTGCCATTCCTACTGAAACTATACTAAACAATTGAAAAGGAGGGGCTCTTCTCTAACTCATTCTATGAGGTCAGCATCATCCTGATACCAAAACCTGGCAGAGATACAACAGAAAATGTAAACTTCAGGTCAATATCCTTGATGAACATTGATGCAAGTATTCTCAACAAAGTACTTGCAAATCAAATCCAGCAACACATCAAAAAGCTTATCCACCATGATAAAGTAGGTTTCATCTCTGGGATGCAAGGTTGGTTCAACATATGCAAATGAAAAAATGTGATTCATCACATAAACACAACTAAAAACAAAAACCACAAGATTATCTCAATAAATGCAGAAAAAGCTTTTGATAAAATTCAATACAGCTTCATGTTAAAAAAATCTCAATAAACTAGGCATTGAAGGAACAGACCTCAAAATAATAACAGTCATATATAACAAATCCACAGCCAACATCATACTGAATGGGCAAAAGCTAGAAGCATTCCCTTTGAAAACTGGAACAACACAAGGATGCCTTCTGTCACTACTCCTATAGAACATAGTGTTAGAAGTTCTGGCTAGAACAATTAGGCAAAACAAATAAATAAAGCACATTCGAATAGGAAGAGAGGAATTCAAACCATCCCTGTTTGCAGATGACATGATCATATATCTAAGAAACTCCATCACCTCAGCCCAAAAGCTTCTTAAATTGGGCTTTAACAATTTAAGCCCAATTTGTTTGATAAGCAACTTCAACAAAATCTCAGAACACAAAATCAATGTGCAAAAATTGCTAGCGTTTCTATACATTAACAAGAGTCAAGCTGAGAGCCAAATCACAAATGAATTCCCATTCACAATTGCCACAAAAAAAGAATGAAATACCTAGGAACACAGCTAACTAGGGAAGTAAAAGACCTCTACAAGGAGAACTACAAACCACTGCTCAAAGAAAGCAAAGATGGCACAAGCAAATGGAAAAATATTCCATGATCTTGGATAAGAAGAATCAATATTATTAAAATGACCATATTGCCCAGAGTGATTTATAGATTCAATGCTATTCCCATTTAACTACCATTGACATTCTTCACAGAACAAGAAAAAACTATTATAAAATTCTTATGGAACCAAAAACCAGCCCGAATAACCAAGAAAATCCTAAGCAAAAAGAACAAAGCTGGAAGCATCATGCTACCTGACTTCAAACTATACTATAGGGCTACAGTAATCAAAACAGCATGGCACTGATACAAGAACAGACACATAGACCAATAGAACAGAATAGAGAACCCAGAAAGGCTGGGCGCGGTGGCTCACGCCTGTAATTCCAGCACTTTGGGAGGCCGAGGGAGGCCGATCCTGAGGTCAGGAGATCAACACCATCCTGGCTAACATGGTGAAAGCCCATCTTTATTAAAAATACAAAAAAATTAGCCAGGTGTGGTGGTGGGCACCTGTATTCCCAGCTACTTGAGAGGCTGAGGCAGGAGAATGGCGTGAACCTGGGAGGTGGAGCTTGCAGTGAGCCGACATTGCACCACTGGACTCCAGCCTGGGCGACAGAGCAAGACTCAAGACTCGGTATCAAAAAAAAAAAAAAAAAAAAAAAGGAAAGACAGAGAACCCAGAAATAAGACCACAAGCCTATAACTATCTAATCTTCAACAAACCTGACAAAAACAAGCAATGGGGAAAGGATTCCCTATTCAATAAATTGTGCTGGAATAACTGGTTAGCCATATGCAGAAGATTGAAACTGGACTCCTTCCTTACACCATATAAAAAAATTAACTCAAGATGGATTAAAGACTTAAATGTAAAACCCAACACTATAAAGAAGCTGGACGATAACCTAGGCATTACCATTCAGAACATAGTAATGGGCAAAGATTTCTTGACAAAGATGGCAAAAGCAACTGCAACAAAAGCAAAAATTGACAAATGGGATCTAATTAAACTAAAGAGATTCTGCACAGCAAAAGAAAATATCAACAGAGAAAATAGACAACCTACAAAATAGAAAATGTTTGCAAACTATGCATCTGACAGAGGTCTAATATACAGCATCTGTAAGGAACTTAAACAAATTTACAAGAACAAAACAAGCAATCCCATTAAAATGTGGCCAAAGGACATGAACAGACACTTCTCAAAAAAAGACACAGGTGCGGCCAACAATCACATAAAAAAAGCTCAACATCACTGATCATTAGAGAAATGCAAATCAAAACCACAATAAGATACCATTTCATACCAGTCAGAATGGCTATTAGTAAAAAGTCAAAAAATAACAGATGCTGGCAAAGTTGTGGAGAAAAAGGGATGCATATACACTGTTGGTGAGAATGTAAATTATTTCAACCATTGTGGAGGACAATGTGTGGCAATTCCTCAAAGACCTAAAGAGAGAAATACCATTCAACCCAGCAATCCCATTACTGGGCATATACCCAAAGGAATATAAATTGTTCTGTTATAAAGAGACATGCACGCATATGTTCATTGCAGCACTATTCACAATAGCAACCTAAATGCACATCATTAACAGACTGGATAAAGGAAATGTTGTACATATACACCACTGTATACTATGCAGCCATAAAAAAGGACAAGATCATGTCTTTTGCAGGGACGTGGATGGAACTGGAGTCCATTATTCTTAGCAAATTAATGTAGGAACAGAAAATCAAATACTGCATGTTCTCACTTATAATTGGGAGCTAAATGATGAGAACACATGAACACATAGAAGGTAACAACACACACTGGGACCCTACTTGAGGGGGGGAGGGTGGGAGGAAGGAAAGGATCTGGAAAAATAACTAATGGGTAGTAGGCATAATACCTGGGTAATAAAATAATCTGAACAACAAACTCCTATGACACACGTTTACCTATGTAACAAACCTGCACATGTACCCTTGAACTTAAAGTATTAAAAACAACAATAACAAAAAAGTATAAATAAACACAGAACTGCAAATGTGAAAGATTAGCTCTGGAGTGAAAATGATCAAACAGAATGCCATAATCTGAGAGAAAAGAAAGAAAGAAAAGCCATGACAACCAAAGAAGAAAGCGATGCTTGCCTTTTGAGCCCATGGTTCTGATTGGTCTACAGAAATTCTGCCATTCTATCCTAGCCATTGGGCTGTATCCTCAGGTAAAATCACTGGGAGATTAATCAAAGCCAGCCAGAGTGAAAATTCATATTCTTTTGCTTGAAAAGAGAATGTGAATATCTCTATATCTCCATAATTTGTTTAATGTCTTTATATTAGTGAAATATAATGTCTCATAATGATTATAAGACAATTAAAAGGAAATTAAGAAAATAAAATAAAATATAATATGGATTTAAAAACGACAGCCTATTTCTTCAAAGAGATAGGCCACATGATCTTTCCTGTGCACCCCCCACAACAGGTTTAATTAGCTTCACACCTGCACTGATGTCTTTCCAGATCTTTTAACACCTATGTTCATATTGAATAATCTTATCAATTACTTTTGGACTAGGCTGTGATATCTATTTGAAAAATGAATGCAGCCATCTGCACAAGTTGGATTTACACATATACACATGCATACACATACAGGTGTCATGTACACATGCTATAGGAAACACAGGAGAGCAATATTAAACTCAACTGAATGCTTTTCAAAACTGCTTGTTACGATCCTGAAACACATTTCACTTTGTCAAGACACTGGAAAGGCAAAGATAGTGGTGGAAACAAATAATAATAATAATAATAATAATAATAATAATAATAATAATAAAGAATGAATAGCAAATCTGGTGTTTTCCAACTCAAGAAGCCAGAGTTGATTTTAGAAGTGGCAGAATATATACGCTGCTCCCAATTTTATTCAAGCAAAATCTTCCATCCTTGCCTTTGTATATGACTGGCCTCACATTTTGCAGTTACACACCAAAGCCCTCGGGAACTAGGGTTTTCGATCAGTGTCAGAGCATTTATATTTTAAAAAAAAATACCTTGAAAATGCCAGCTCTACCCCAGCTAGGATTGCTTCTCCTGTGTCCTGCAGTTACAGTTGTCAATATCAGTAGTATACATGACGTTTGAACTTCTTGCAAGTGACTTGCCCACACGCTCAGTCTCCTGAAAAATTTCAGTGTCTGCCCACCTGCTGTTCAAGTGTAGAGAAGAGATGAAAGATATTTTCTCCCGAAATTAAAAAGAACATAAAAATAAACAATTCCAATTGAATATCTTGATTTTTGTCAAGTCCTCCTCTGTCCTTCTTGTCAGTTTATCTTCTATAAGTAGTTAATTTCTTGCCACACCCTCTTTAACACAAGTAGATGCATAGGAAGACTGATAGGATACAATTATGATGATATGATACCTAAAATATATTTTTCCACTCAAGGCTTTTTTTGGTGGTGATAAAAATAATTGTAACTATGTTCATAGAAAGAATCAAGGAAGCCCATCTCACTCAAAGGAACTGATGCACAAATGCTAGTGTTTTGCTCATTAAAAAAACAAGAAATTTTCCTGTGCATTCCCTATGAACAATTTTATATAAGCCTTTGAACTACCCTAAATTTACTAATTTATCCATCCATTCATTCATTTATTTATTTGATTTTTGTTTATTTATATATGTTTTTTCTGTACTACTACTTTGGGGGATGATATGGTTTGGCTGTGCCCCCACCCAAATCTCATCTTGTATTGTAGTTCTCATAATCTCCATGTGTTGTGGGAGGGACCCAGTGGGAAGAGACTGAATCATGGGGTGGTTTCCCCCATGCTGTTTCTCGGAATAGTGAGTGAGGTGTCAGGAGAGCTGATGGTTTTATAAGCATCTGGCATTTTGCCACTTGCACTTCTTTCTCCTGCCAGCATGTGAAGAAGAATGTGTTTGCTTCCCCTTCTGCTATGATTGTAAGTTTCCTGAGGCCTCCTGAGCCCTGCAGAACTGTTAGTCAATTAAACCTCTTTTTTTTAAAAAATAAATTACCCAGCCTCGGGTATTCATAGCAGCATAAGAATGGACTAATACGGGGGATATCATATGATCATGATAAAAGGAATTAATCTGCCTACCCCACTTTCTGCTCTCAAATAACATATTTTTTTTTTTTTGCAGGGAAGATTAGCTATATACACAAAACAGGTAAAATAGCAATGCACTGATTAATAATGCAACAATTTAAGCATAAGGGGTGGAGTATTAAGTGTAAAAACGACCGCTGAGGAATGTTTTCCAGAGATATTGTATAGGCAGAGTAATCAGGAGGTTAGGAGGCTTTCACTGGGCATTTTATAAATAGCTAGGTGTTATAAAGTTAGAAAGAAGTTGGAAAGACATTTTCCATGTGGAAGGACAACATGAGCAACTGGAGGGAGGTAGCAATGTCACACATGGGAGGTGGGAAAAATTAATGTCATGAAGAAATGCCTATATTAGCTTAATTAATTCATTTGCTATTAATACACAGGTCTTCCTCTATCTCCCCAAATGTTTCTAAGACATTTTATTTAAACTGAAAGTTTTACTTTGTTACAATAAAGCCATTTTTATAGTTCAAGATGTGGGGAATGTGAGAATGAGGAGGAGACCTAAGCTACTCTCCTGCGAGGAGCAATTAGGGCTGGGATTCTCTCAGATGGAGAAATTCTGGTCACACAGCACCTCTATGAATCACAATGACAATAATTTGTGGTGGATCTTCTTTTTAGTTTTCTCTTTGTTTATTCCCTCAATCTTTGCTTCTCTGTATGTCTGGTCTTCTTACTTCTCCATCTATTCTTTGCTACTTTACTTTGTCCTCTTAGTTTTCATTCTCTATTTTGCTGTGTCTCTTTATTTATGTTTTCTATAAAATCTTCTTTGTCTTTGTCTGTCTCTTGATATTGGTTTGCTTACAATTCCTTACTCCCTGCTCTAACTCATCAACCGGATTTAGTGTAAGCTCCTTCTCATCACTAATTTCTCTCCCTATATTTCTACATTCTGATTCTTGAGAACAAGAATCCAATTGTCCCAGCTCACTCACCTAAAGCATCTATTTCATATTAGTCTATTCATGTGTTGCTGCACAGTCTAAGGACCGGCTGCCTTTGAGTCTGGAGCACTTCCCATTCAATAAGGCACATCTAGGAAGTAAGTGCTTGCTTACTTTATCCAGGAAGTACATGTTTGCCATCATTAAGTGTTTGCTTGCTTGGAACCTAGAGCTGGGGCTCCTCCCTCAAAAAGAGCTGTGAGCAAAACAGCTTTCTTAGAGGATACTGTGGAAATGAAGTAAGTCACAATGACTGACATATCAAATAGAAAATGTAAAGAAAATGTTGAATTTATAATCTGTTTCAAGAGAGATGGATAATTGGTATAGTAAGGAGTTTATTGAGCATATGCTATGCCATGGATAGCATCAATAAAATTGCGTATACTCTATGTTATTAATCCTTTATTTTATTTAATATCTAAAACAATTTTGCAAAGTAGTTAATGTTCCCATTTTAGAGATGGGGAAACTGAACCTCAAATGCAGTAACTAGTAATTGAAGTTCTCTCAAATGAAGTAAGTAGTAATTGATGAAACTTCGATTTTAATGTATGTTTATTAGACTTGAAAGAATTGGTCAGCCTTCTGCTAGCATTCCTCTCCTTCTTATTACACAACTTCAGAGAAAATTTAATTCAGTAAGTTGGTGACTTTATACTGGTATAATCAATCATTTGATTAACCAAGTAATTGATTTTGCTCTCTCACTTACTTTGACCTTGGGCAACATTGGGTAACACTAGTTTATGTTTGTCAAATGTGAAACTAAAAACAAAAACTTGTTGATACTAACTTTAATTTTAAAGTAGTCCTTTTAAAGTGCCTATTGATTTTAAAGTAGACTGTTCTTATTTTCTACAAGGATGTCACTAATGATATTGCTTAATTCATATATTTATTTAGGGTAAAACTTTTAAAAATGACTTTTTACACATAAGGGCACCATTATCCTAAGCAAAACATTTAGTAGTTAGTAGTAATAACTTTCCTGTTTAGGGAGCATGACATATTTATAAAACTGGATCTGGTATTACACCATCCATTCATGGTACAAATAAAATAAATTTATTTGTTAATTATTTCAATTTGAAACAGGAATGCATTGAGCACTTATTTGAGTACAGCTCCCTCCTAGGCACTGTAGAATGTCAAAAGTGGTATTCACAATATCTGGCTTCAAAGTATTTTAAGCTGATTTCATGTGTGAAATGTACTCAAAATTGACAGGGGATAAAAATAAGGCATAATGTAGGCAACAAAATAAATAGCATAGAAAAGGTGCACAGTCAGAGTTCAGAAAAATGTGTCAGTGTGGTCTGGAAAAAAAAGCAAGGAGAATGTGATGGAATTGGTGATGGAAAGCTCAAGATACAGAATTAAAGGAAAATAAATACATACTAACACATCAAAACTCATTTAATGTATACGCTGCTAAATCCTAAGCATATTTTATAGTGAAAAGTGCTGAGTGAAATTAGTTAGGATATAGATTTTATTCTATTTTAGACTTTGACATCCCAAAAATATATATTATGAAATCACTTTATTTTTAAAAATCACTTTCAAATTAATTATTATATTCTTGTCTTCCTCCTCATTTCTACAACAAAGAAAAATTATTTGGTCATTAATAGTTTCTCTATAACAGGTGTCTAATTACCTTAAGAACACTAAGATTTGCTGGAGTAATGAATATATCACTCATATCTAGATTTGATTTTGAAGAGTACTTTAGCCTCTGTGAAAAGTGAAATAACTCTCTGGCTTCCATCATTAAGTGCTTGCTTGCATGGAACCCAGAGAATGTGTGTACCAAGCTTTGCTTTTTTCTTATTTTAATTGTACATGATGATGAATGATTAGGGATCAAAGTCTATATTAGTCTTGCCTGATCAATTCTTCAAAACTGCTTAGGACAACAACCTGTCAATTCCATTCTGATCAGCAAAGCAAAGTAGAAAGAAAAGAATAAACAGGCCATTGACAATAGAAAAGATGCTTTTTCCAAGGGTGGGAGAAAATCTGTTTAAAAAGGACTTTTTTCTTCTTTTAATATATTACCGGGATTTCATGGACCTTTAATTTTTGTTATCTACCTTTTGGCTTTCTGGACTCTGAAAATGTAAGCTCTTCATTATCTGAAAGCTATTACAGATTTTACTTTTTCGTAACTCTGTTAGCATTGGAACGGCTTAAAATGCAAAAGATTAGTTTTAGGTAAAAAAGCTGGAGATTATAGAACTTTTAGTGTTTTGTATGATGCATGTGTCACACAAAAGACATGCATGTCATGTACAAGTCACACATGATACATTAATTTATAACTACAGGACACATACACGTCACTTGCTTGTCACACATGACACACACGTGATATGAGGAGCACACTCAACAAATGACATCTATGGCACATACATGTCACATGCATCACACATATCGCACACACGGCATATGTATGGTGCATACATGTCACATGTCATACATGACGTTTATAGAGTGCACAAAACACATAACATGTCACATGATACACATGACGTGAAATTCATAATACACATGACTACATAACACGAAACGTACATGTCAGCCATAGTACATATGACACTTCACATATGACATAACACATGCATATGACACATATATAACATGTCGCATACGACACGCGTGACACATGCCTGTCACATATATGACGCATGTCATGTGTGGCATATGTGGTACATATGACACATTTCACGTCCCATGACACATGCACATCACACACTTGTCACGACACACATGATGCGTATATGTCAGGCATAACTCATTTATGACAAATACATGTCACATAAGGCACATGACAAATACATACCATAAACTCGCACATGACACATGCATGTGGCAGGCATGCATGTAACATGTAACACATACAGGTCACACACATACATGGCACACATGGACGTCACATGCATGTCATACATGGCACATTTATGTCACATGTATGACACAAAGTGTCACATAACACACATGACCAAATAGAACAAACATATGCCCATATCACATATGTATGACACACGTCACAGATGTGTGACACGTGCAACACATACACGTCACACACCTGGACACGTGAAACATTCATATCACATCCGTGTCACCTAGGACACATGAAACATCACAAAAGACACATGTGACACACATACCACCTATATGTCACCCATGACCAATTCATGTCACATATAACACACATGTTACATAGGTCGAATGCATGATGTATATACGACACATGACACATGTCATATATAACACATATGGAACAGAATGTCCCGCATTCCTGTTACGTGACATATGACATGCTTCACATACAACATAAAGGAAACAACACAATGGTGTGACATATGTATCATATATAACACATGTTGGATATGCATGTCACACACGACACATGCACAACACATGACACATGCGTGACACATGTACGACACATGAAAGACACGTGCACGTCACATGCATGACACATGCACGACACATGCATGACATATGCCACATATGACACATGACAAACAAGTGACACATACACTTCACATGCATGACATTTCCTACAGATTACAAAGGACACATGTGACACATACAGGTTTCCTGCAAGTTACATATTGCACATACATGACACATGCATGTCACATGTCGCACATAACATGCATTAGCGTGTGATACATGCATGTCGCATGTCACACATGACAAACGCCAGAGATATATGGTACACATATGCCATATATGACACTTATACATAACACCTACATGGAAAACGCCATATATGACAGCTACATGGCACGTGTATGCAGGATATGGCACGTATGACACATGCATATTACATACATGTGACAGATGACACATACATGTCATGTACATGTTACATATGACACACTACACATTATAAGACACACAGGACACGTCACACGTGACACACGTAAGTCACATATGGCACTTGCATGTTATGACACATGTAACATACATACCACATTCGTGCCACATCCGTGACACAGATGACAGGGACATGAAATATAACTCTCATTTGACACAAGTCACATATGACACATGCAAACGTCACATACACGTCGCACATGGCATGCATATTTACATAGAAACTAACGTCTTACGAACGACTTGTATGTGACATACATGTCACACACATGTCACACACAACACGTATGTCGCGTGTATAACACAACACACGTTCCATACGACGCGTGTCGCCTATGACACATATGACACACATTTGTCATGTATGACCCATATGATCCCTGTATGACACACCACATGCATGCCGCATGTCATATTTCACACCTATGTCACGTGACTCATGTCTTATACATGTCGCATAAGATGCATATTTGACACATGTCACATATTTGGCATATGAAACGACATACATTTCATATGCTGTATGACTAATGCATGTCACACATGGCATATGACAAATATATGCCACATATGACATACATCTATATGTCATTGTGGCTTATTTGTATCATAAGTGATATATATGTGTCGTGTGTGATATATGTCGTATTTTTGTCTTGTCATATATTATTTCACAGATTACCCATATGTCTATATGACACATATATGTCACATATGACACATATGTAAAATATATTTTTTCCTTCTACCCAATGCCAAGTTCAAGACAGGCACGTTTTCTCAGCATCTTCTTTTGTGAATCAGTGGACCTCTTTGGGTTCCTACTTTTATGGAGTGGTTCACTTTTAGTGGTCAAGTTGACACTCCACTTTGAATCAGCATTGTTTCATTTCTTGTTCTTATGCTTTAGGCTTATATTAGACAAAGCTGAAATATTCAATGTTACAATCAGGTTTGAAACTCAGTTACCTCCCTGGTGTCTAATTTTCACTTCATTTGGAGGAAAACAAAGTTTTAAAGTTTTTATGTAATACTTTAGGTCTTGTCTTTTTAATTCAGGAGGGTCACCATGTTATTATTTAGGAAAATGAGATTACATTTGACAATAGACCAATCTAATTTTTTCTTAATGTAGACATCTGGGCTATATGCAAAGTTGCTGTCTTAATTTGTCAATTAGAAAGAAATCCCTTTGAGACAGCCAAGTGACAGAGGGTCCCTGGAGAAATTCTAACCAGCCTCTCCACTGAGGTGAAGCCTCGGGAAGTTCGCCAGGTTTGCAGCATTGAGGAGCCTGGCCCCTCCCCTTCCTGTGTGGAACTTGGGATTCGAACGGCAGGCGGGAAGTGCTCTAGCAGGGGAGTCTGACCTTGTGAGGGAATACCTGTGTCCCCCCTTTTTTCCCCTTTTTACCCAATAAAACCCTGCCTTACTCACCCTTTAAATCATCTGCGAGCCTGAATTTTCATGGCCGTGGGACGGACAAGAACTTTATCTTCAGCTGAACTAAGAAAAAGTCCTGCAACATTTTTGGCGCGCAATGTGGGGGCACCAGAAGCGGTGAGTGAAATGGAGACTCAAAACCTCTCACTGTTGCTTGACCTTTTCCTTCCTTTTTTGGGACCAACTGGTGAGCAGTGTCTCCCCTCCACCCCCAACTCCCTGCCGGAATGGGAGGCACGGCTCAAGGATCCCGGGGCAGCTGGCTGGCATTTTCCGCCATGAACGGCTGGAGCCTTCCCCTTCCCCGCCAAGAGATTCAGCTCCATCAGCCAGTAATCAAACTTTTCTCCCTGGTGGAGAAACCACTTGCATAAGAATAAGAGGTTCTTCCCCAGGATTTTTTTTTTTTTTTTTTTGAGACTGAGTCTCGTTCCGTCGCCCAGGCTGGAGTGCAGTGGCGCGATCTTGGCTCACAGCAAGCTCCGCCTCCCGGGTTCACGCCATTCTCCTGCCTCAGCCTCCCAAGTAGCTGGGACTACAGGCACTCGCCACCACGGCTGGCTAATTTTTTTTCTGTATTTTTAGTAGAGACGGGGTTTCACCGTGTTAGCCGGGATGGTCTTGATCTCCTGACCTCGTGATCCGCCTGCCTCGGCCTCCCTAAGTGCTGGGATTACAGGCGTGGGCCACCGCACCGGGACTTCCCTAGGCATTTTTAAACTGTTTATTTTCTTTCCCTTTCTGTACCCAATCAGCAAGTTAAGTTTTAAAGTTTTTTTTTTCTTTTAGAAGATGTTTTGCTAGGCCAGGCACCCCCCGCCCCCCGCCGCCGCCCCCTCCCGCCCGCAACAACCATCACTGTTTATATTTTCTGCAAAGTTTTGGTTGTGAAATTAAGCCTCCATCTTGCTTTATATCCTGCGGGCCATGGCCGGTAACCACTTGGCAAAGCTTTGTTTGGCAAGCCTGCCATAGGGGATGAGCCCTTTCTGGTTTGACATCTGCATGTTTTCCTAGAGCTGTCTCTTAAAGGGCCCCACCCAGCGACTAGGTTTTCTTCTACCTGTATGTGTACTGTGTGTGATGTGTGTAAGAAGAGCTCTGATTAATTTGGCTTAAAGAAAGACAAGTCCTTTGATCAAGTATTTTGTAAGGGAAGTGAAAAGCTATGGTACCTTTCAGCTCACGTGATTTTAATCTTTAAGAAATAAAAACAGTCCTAAAGACTATTAGTAAAATGTATGTCAGGTGCAAGGTATGCTAAGTGTTTTGAGGTTACAAGCTGCTTTTTGGGTTTTGAGAACTATTTGACTTGCTGGCTTCACAATTGGTAAGGCCTGGGAACATATGGAATTAACCACACCCTTAACTAAGAAGGCCAATCTTGGCTTTAGTTAGCACGCAATTAAAGCAACTTACCAAGTTTTACCTTACAGTTAAAAATTGCTAGGCTACTAGAAAT
The DNA here is from genome assembly GCF_000001405.40 of Homo sapiens. Classification (NCBI taxonomy): domain Eukaryota; kingdom Metazoa; phylum Chordata; class Mammalia; order Primates; family Hominidae; genus Homo; species Homo sapiens. The sequence continues at coordinate 39,798,723 of NC_000018.10, read as the reverse complement.
AGATTTACATCCAAGGTGTGTAAAAACAGTAAAATGTGTTTTTTAGTAAAGATTATAAGAAGGCATGGAATGTAAACTTTTGCCTAGGGTTAAAGGATTGTTTTGTGTTAAATTAGGAAAGCTGAAGGTTCAAAGAAGTGGTGGAAGAATTGTGGAATTAATCTTTTAGAAGAGGTTCTCTGTGTGAACATAGTGACGAAATTCAAAAACAGGGTATTATACGGTTTTCTGTAAATTGAGCATTGAAATAAAAGCATAACAAGATTTTCCTAAGGCATTAATCTGCTCTTTGGCAATATTTGTAAAGGTTTATAAAGGTTTTTGCTTCTTTAAAACTTCTGCATCATCATTTGGGCAAAATGAGTAACTTATGGTAATCTTGAATTCTGTTTTGTAATATCAAGTGTTTGAAACCTCGAACATTTAACAGCCTTCCCAAAATCAAACTTCAGTTTCAAAATTGTCTTCCCTGATACCTGGCTTTTCAAATACTTCAGAGTGCCCCTGAAGTGTCCAGAAAAGAGAGGTACATAGGATTATTTGACATGTTTAGCTACAAGGGATTGCCAAAATGATGCTCAATTTTTCTTAGGTTATATCTTGGTGAATAATGCTAATATATGTTTCAAAATTGTATGGGATTTCTAAAATTTGCATGTCAATCATGATAGCATATACTTAATTATGATTAATTAAGATTTTGATGTTATTATAAACCTCAGAGATAACCAAACTTCTTTGTCAATTGTGTTTCTAAGTGGAACTACCCTGGGCATTTTGTTATTCACAAACAATTGTTGTCTTTTAAGTCTTTTCAAAAGATGGTTTATAATAAGCTATAGTAACAGGTGCTCTCAAATACAAGCTTCTGATAATTTTGGAAATTGTAACATTGGAATAAAGGAAAATGTACAGGACTCATGAAGAGCTGAAATGTTCATGAATATCAAGCAGAACAACAGTTAACTAAATGGACTGAACTCAGAAAGCTAAAGCAAACTTTTTGACGTTTGGTTAGGATATTACTGATCCATTTATTTTTCATAGTCAAGGGAACTTATTTTGAACTATTTATGGCCTTTAATAATTAAGCAAGGTGTGCCCTTATGATCAAGATTGGGAGTGTGTTTGTTTCTCTCTGCCTGGGTACTCTAGAATTTGGAAACTATCTGTGAATACTCTTAACTTATGGCAATATAGTTGTTTGCATCAGTGCAATAAGAATCCATTTCCTTTTGCAACAGAATGCAATTGGAAGAATTGGTTATTTTACTAAGGCTTTTATGGGAAGGGTATGCTTCCCTTTAAGGAGTCAATATCAGCTTACAGAGCTGATAAAAGCCCAATGGGGAAACTGGCCTGATACCCTTGTCTATGCAGTCCCTGTACAGGGTTCCTGACTGTGGTCAGTAAAGAATGTCACTTTCTAACAGGTCTAGGAGCTCCAAGTTTATCTTGGGACCTTAAGAGAGAGGATCATCCAACTCACAGGTGTTTGAGGATACAAACCCATGGTTGGGCTTGGCTTTAAAAAGTCTTATCTGAGATTCCTTGTGGAAGAGAATTCCATCAAAGCCAATCCAAAAGCCCTATGTAGAAATAATTATTGTGGCTGTACTTTATACAAATAATCAGGCCAAGTATAAAACTAAAGTCTATTTAAACAACTTAGTCCTATGATGATTTTTTTTTTTTAACAAACATGAGGAATGGAGAGAGATGAATCATGTTTCAAAACTTATATTTGTCATTAATTTCTAAACTCATTACTTGTTTTTAAGTTTTTGCCTACATTTTTAGACTAACCATGCTTGTTCGTGTGAACCAACCAGCAATCTCTGGTTGCAGCTCAAAAAGAACAAGAGGGATGGGTAATGTAGAAATCCAGATTAATATTCTAGTTCTGAGCAATTATCCTGCAGATCCTGCCAGGTGATGGAATAAATAGGATCCGCATCACCCAGAGGTTTCTTTTTGGGAAAGTAAAACCAAGGGAGCTAACCAAAGCCAAGCACCATGCACCCAAATCCTAGCAAGCATAACTATAGCTCCAAGTTATCTGGGTGTGTCACATGACATCATTTTCTCTCCCTTGTTGGTAGAGGACTCAGTTTCAGTTTCACCTTAGCATTTGGCTTATGATAAGCAGTCCATGCAACCCCTCGAGATACATTTTTGTTCCAGACTCAATTCCAAGCTTTGGGTCAAAGTCCTAGGAAAAAATACTGGATCTGACGGATCCAGAGGCAAATGACAACAGAGGTTAAAAGGCACAGCACAGGTGAGTGTGGCTGATTCCTGCTGATTAAGTCAACCCCAAGCTTCCTGTTTCATAGATAAAGGCCATGTTAGTATCCACGGCATAAATGAGGTCTAGGGAAACCAAGGCTACTGACAGCAGGGGAGTTAGGGCATATGTGGGAAGGAGTGGATGATTGCCACCCCCTTGGCCCCCTTGCTTCATGAGCGCAAGCTGCTTTGCAATTCATGGCAGCACCTGCCAAGGTCACTGGAACTTGGGGATGTGAGGATGGAAGAGGGAAAGAGGATGCTTTTCTCTCTGTCCCTCACTTACCCCTGGATATCTGTTACAAAGAGAAGGGAACCAGGGATGCCTGCTCCCCTCTTTCTAGATGTGTAGCCATTCATTTTCAGTCTGTACCCCTTTAGAATGCATCCTGAAACCCTGGGACTTCTTTGAAAAAATGCCTTCTTTTTATTCCTTTCTCGTCCTCGGTCCCCTCTTCACTGATAGGTAATTGTGTCTCCGTACTATGAACATACTCTCTTCAGATGCATCTTCCAAACTGAAAAGAGTTAATTTCCCAAACCCTAAACTTGTTGGCTTAAGATTGGGCCCAGGGGAAGAGAGCCCAAAAGCCCAACATGCCGGCAAAAGGGTAAAAGTTTTTTTTACCAGTCAGGCTTTTGGCCTCCCTCTCCCTCTGCAAACTGGTAAAAGGCCTCGGGATCTTTGAGCTGTCCTTACCCTTCCCCTTGTTTCATTTTGATACTTGTTTTCTAATAACCTGGTTTGTCTCTTCTTGCCTTCAGGCCATCAAACTCCAAACAGTCACACAATGGAGCATCTGACAATGACCCCTTCTGCTGGGAACCCTTAGATAGGCCTCTAAGGGAACTCTGCCGTTTCCCCAAAACAGTGCCCCCTGTCAGCAGGAAGCAGTTAAAGTTGGTGTTCTTCCTTATCCTTAATCTAATGGCAGTTAGATGAACTTCTTTAGAGGGGGAATGAGAGAGTCCCTGGAGAAACTCCAACCAGCCTGCCCACTGAGGTGGAGCCCCAGGAAGTTCACTACATTTGCAGTAGGGAGGAGCCTGGCCCCTGCTCTTCCTGTGTGGAACCTGGGATTCAAATGGCGGGTAGGAGGCGCTCTAGCAGGGGACTCAGGCCTTGTGAGGGATCCCTGTTTCCCCTTTTTTCCCCTTTTCACACAATAAAACCCTGCTTTACTCACCCTTTACAGGGTCTGTGAGCCTAAATTTTTGTGGCTGTGGGACGGACAAGAACTCCATTTTTAGCTAAACTAAGGAAAAGTCCTACAACACCGGGGTGCTAACTTCAGAGGCCATCAATTGGTTAACCAGAGTAATCCTAAAGATCTGGGACTTGTGTTCATAAAACCGGCCCCTGATCACCAGCCTCGTTACACCAGCACGAAGGGAAATTGTTCTCCCCTTCTTCCCATATAATTTTTAAATCATCTTGGCTGAGATTTCTTCCTGCATGACTTCACTTGATGTAAAAATTAACTTAATTTTCACCTTTTAAAGAAAGTGAAAAGATCAGGGATATTTAGGCCATGACTTTGCCTCTGAAAATTGCATTTCTTCCTAAGTATCACTGTGGTAGAGATACAACCTAAGAAACACCCTTCTTGGAATGAGAAGTGAAATACTGAAATATATTCATTCATTGGTTTCTTGTCATCAAGGATATAATCTAAACTTCTACTTTCTCTGCTATTCAAGATCCTCAAACTGTATAATGTTGTTCTCCACCTTTCTTTCCTTTGCCCTTTTATTCTTGTGTGCCTGCGTTTAAAATGGTGATAGATTGAATATGCTAAGATATTTCTTGCCTCTTTCTCTCTGAACATAACTTTATCCTCCTCTTCAATATATCAAACTGTTATGCTCCAATACCTATCTTAGATGCTTATTTGGTTATGGATCCTTCCTGAATTTTCTTTCCATCTTCTACTAATTTCTCCAAAATTCCCAGTAGAAGTTAGGTCAGATATAGCTATTCCCATTTTGTGAACCGTGGCATTTTGTTCAGGAAAAGTCACAGTGGCTAACATTAGTCTTTACATTCAATTAGTATTTATTGCTCAGATTGACTTGCTAGCTGGAGAGCCAGAACTAGCCTTTCAGTAGTCAGAATTACAGCCTGAAAACAGACTCACCATAGACAGCTGACTTCATATACCCACGGCTGAATATTCAGCCCAGTGATAGGTTTTTGAAGGATTTTTTGGTTGTTTTTTAATCTCCCCATAAAATCACTGCATTTCCAAATGGGGGTTCTAACCAGACATCTGAGTCTGTTTTCTGTTCTTGACATTGCGCTTGTGTCATAGTGCTTGCTTCTTGGTTGTTATTTTTTACTTTGTTTTTGTTTTCTATTTGTTTTGCTTTCTCTGGTATTTTGGTTTAAAAACAAATGACTATTGCTCTTATGTGTTTATGGAGTAAAACAAACAACAAAAACTACCTTGAAGAAGGCTGCCCAATTATCTTTAGGCCCACATTCTAAATAGAAATGAAAATCAAATAAATGTCTGGTAATACTTGTCAATGGTGGGAGTGAGGATGTGCTTGCAAAAGATAGACTCAATTGCTCGTTGAGCTGCTGGGCAGCGGCAGGGCCTGTAGGGTTGAGGAAGCTTGGTTGCTGAAAGCTGATGCGGGGAGCAAATAGACATTTTTGTGTGAGTTGCCTGGGTGCTGGGAGGCATCCGAATGAATATGAGGTGATGTTCAACCCCATTGTGTTTATATGAATACACATTACCATTTCCCGCAAGGAAGCTGATAACAGCACCATGATGCTTTGCTATAAAATCAGTTGAACATTTTCCTGCACATTTTACTCTCTTTAAAATGGCTCAGGAACAGACATAGGAAATGTCATTGCCTCTCTGTAACATTCTCTTTCCCCAAATGAGAACCCATTGGAACACATTGTAGGGGTGTTTCACTGCAAAAAGCTTGGCATAGACAACTGGAGCAAATGAGGGATTTTTCTTTAAAACCAGCAGGTTTGTGGGTTGTGTGTGGTGAGGGTGGGGTGTCATTCATTTTTTTTTCTCCCTGTATCTCTATGTTAAAGCTTACAGAAGCAGATAAAGAGCAAGGGGATTTAATTATGCATAAATAGAAGACAAAGACGAGTACTTAGGAGTATAATTAGTTGTGAATGTAGATATATGCATCCTTGTAGATACATTTTATTTGCATAAGAATATCAATGTTCAGAAGCACATGTGTGCAGGACATGTGTAAGACCTTTGGCAACAGAGGCACATTTAGAGGTTAGCATGGTATTTTGCAGATACCTTGAGTTAGCACTGAATTTGCTTTAAAAAAATGAGTGAAAACATGTTCCACTTAATTACAACAACAATAATATTGAACTTCTTCTTATATTTAAATGACTAACAAGGTTTAAATATATCCCTAAAATATTTTTAAAAGTAAAAAACAAAAAAGAAAGAAGAAAATTAAAGTCTCAGAGCTACGACTAGAGTTCTATTCGTAATTTAATTTCCTCTGGTTCTAAGCAGTCCAGGGGTTGAATCTAGGGATATATTGATGCAATTGGAAAGTAAGATCATGTGACTGGATGGTTAAGGTTCTGGATAACAAGTATATTCCTCTCTTGTATATATTTTATTAAAGAAATATCAGTACACATTGTGCTTTCTTAAGACGATGAATTCCTGTAGCTTGGACATTTCTGCATTTTTCATAACCATCCTTAATAACCTGTCCTAGTATTTAATAATAACCCCTTTCCTGTCAACAGTTATTGCTCAACCTAGATCACTTACATCTCTCCTGTTTTCCTGCCTATTCATTTCCTCCTGATCTGTCTTTGGTAAAATTTGAAGATAGTTAGGCTTTCAATTTTCATGTATAACTGATAATATTTTGTCATTGTTTTTCTCATCTCAGGACAGACCCCATGAAAAAGAGGTCCAGCCAGTATTTTTCCAGGGATGAAGAAGTTCTTTCACCATAGAAATAGACAAGAAAGGCTCAGTGACATTGGTCATTAAAGGACATTTAGGTGACAGACTTTCAAGTTGCTTAAGTAGTGAAATTGGTTCCTTAGTGACAAGAAAAGTTATTAGGGACATTAAGAAGATATCAGTGAATCAGAATTAAGAATGAGTTGGATGATATAGGCAGGAATACAGGGAAGAATTAGATCAGGAATGTATAGACAGGTCATAATGAGAAAAGTTGATGGAGAACTGGGGTTGGCAACCAAGGAAACAAAGGGTCAAAGGCTACATTTGGAGCTGGAGGAGCTGAGAAAATTGTGTGACTGAAGTTTGCTTGAAGATGGAAGCAAACAACAATATCAAACTTTACCTGAGTCTATACTCCCTATTTTTTTATGTTCAACTAACTACAAAGAACAATTATCTTCTCACATATTTTGAGATATGGCCCATCTCCCTTCTTCCACATAACTCCAATAAGACTCATGAACCACTTCCTCACCTATCTGCCTCTGTAACGGTGCAGGCCCTCTTTCTCTTCCTTGAACTGTTTTTCATTAATGACCCCTCTCCATATTCAAGAACCTGAATAAAATAATCTCCTTGATTGTCTGGTGCATTTTGTCTTTCACAAAGCAAGACACATTTTTTTTGAAAAGTTATCAGGTTATCAGTTAAACGTACATAGATTTATTGCTCAGTGTTACTCCCATCCAGGAAATAATAATTACACCTGAGTCCTAAAAGGGGAAGGAGAAAGGAGGAAGAGTAATTCAGGATTATTAAAATCTTCATCTTTTCTGAAAGAAGTTTCTTCTGAGTCTAACTCAAGAGACAGAGCAGTGTCCCAAAGCCAGGTGGATTGCTTAGTTTGGATCCTGATTCACCCCCAATTTCTACAGCATAGATGGATGTGAGTAAGTAATATGGGATGAAAGATGATTCTCAACAAGGATGATTGTACATTCCAATTTGAATGCCCTTTCTCCTATAATAAGGATAAAAACTGTGCCAGATAAAGCTACAGAGTTAATGGCCAGACTTTAGATTACGAAGCCCCAAAGAGTCTGAGGGTGGAGGTGAGAGAATTGATCAGCTGTAGGATGAAGAGCTTCAGGCAACAGGAAACTACAAATCCACCACCTTTACCAATCTGTTTTGTTAAACTTGAGAGGCTTTTGAGAGAGAAGCAGCATCTAGAAGGGGCAAATTTGCTTAGCATGTAAATAGATTGTAATTCAAGATGCTCAGATTTTACTCCTGAAGAATCTTATTTACTATAGCTGTGCAGGACCCTCCTGCGCTAGGCCAGAACTAGCACCCCTCACAGTCCAATTCAAAAGTGTCCCAACCTGCCTTAACTTGGTCACCCAGTCAGCCCTGAGTGCTGTCAGAATTTCCTGGGTGTCTTTGTGTTTTCCTTTTACAGGTCCTTCAGAGTGACCTTGAGGAGAGACCACCAGTCTAGAAAGTGAATTTGGTAGGAACTAGAAGCTCATTCATTTTCTGGAGATGGGGGTAAACTTAGTTACCTTCACACCACACTCAATCACTATTCCAACTTCAATCCCGAAGTAGGCTTCTTCCTCTAGTAAGGTCTCAGCGTATCGCCTTGAAGTACACCTACATTTCACTGACTTCCAGCAGTAGAGAGTCTGTTATACTCAACCAATTCACATCATCATGTGTTTTGTTTTACTAATTTTCTGTATTGGATTAATTTTAGAATAGGCAATATATGTGCACACAAGACCACAAAACAAAATGATAAATATGCAAAAAATATACAGTTAAAGTTTCTATTGCTTCCCTACCCCTAATCCTTGTTCTGCTTCCCAGAGGCAAACTCAGTTTACAGTGTGTTTTAGGCATATACATGGGGTGTGTGTGTGTGTAAAAGAGAGAAAGACGTGTATGTGTGTATGTATATGTATGTGTGTAAGTATTACAAGAGACATTTGCATTTCTCTTTTAATGAATAATTACATTTTCTAATGTCTCTGGCACCTTCTCAAATAGACAGTGGCTAGTGAAGTAACTTTCAGGAGATGTATATGTGTGTTTGTGTGTGTGTGTGTGTGTGTGTGTGTGCATACATATATATCTCATGAATATATATCTCCTGAAAGTAATTTAACTATAACATATATATATATACACACACACACATATATACACACATATATATCTCCTGAAAGTTATTTCACTAGCTCATATTTATATGTGACATCTCTGATACATTTTATAAGGAAACACTATATATTATACTGTACTCTTTGTTCTATACTTTGCTTTTTGATTTATTAACCAATATGTATTGAAGATCTTTTTAAATCCATACATAAAAAGCTACCCCATTATTTTGAATAGCTACCAAAATTCATCAGATGAATGTGCCATAATATAGTTCAGCAGTCCCCAACTGGTGGGCATATGGGTTGTTTCAGATATTTTCAAATATAAAATATCTGTACATGGACTTGTTTTGCTTATGAATCATTCTTGCCTGTGTGCCTTTATATCTGTAGGATGAATACCTTGAGAAGTAATTTCAAAGCCAAAGAGTAAATGTCTTTGTATATATGACATGTAATGCTAAATTGCCTTCTGTAAGTGTTATACAATTTTACAATGCCCCGGGATTTTTTCCCTCATATTTAAATGACACACTGTGGAATTAGCTTTTTGGTCTGGGTATACAAATAGTTAAAATATTTTTTGTCATCTGAAATTTGCATTTATCTTGTAATGTGTAATTACTTTTTCTAATGGTTATGACACCATCCCAAATAGACAGTGGTCATCTTGAATTTCAGAATCTTCCTTTGTATTACCCTCTCCCCCTCCATGGCATCTAGCCCATGACTCTGTATGTGAAAGGTATTCAAAATAGAGTTATTAATAAATTGATTCTACACCAAGCTTTGATTAGTTATCACCAGCATATGAACTCGTTGTGCCTGATTTTCCTTTCTTTCTCAGTTCCCAAATTGGCCTCATTATATAAAAAACAGAAAATGGTTCTCACCTACCCCTCTGTGCTATTGATATTTAATAAGGAATGTTTAAGTGGAAGATAAATATAAACTCAGTTTTATGTGTCAATAGAATAGAAGAGGATGTATGCAAATGAACTTCTTGACAGGATATAGGGCTTACAGCTTCTTTGGATGGGAATTCTTCACTTGTGAAGCCTGTTTTCCTTTGAGGGAGAAAAACAATATTTAATTCAATTTTTTTAAAAAAATTAAATAAAATGGTCATATGGTTCTCCAGGGGGGACATACTTCAGATTCTGAAAGGATGATGAGTTACTCTAAAACAAGTAGCTTTTGTATAAATTGGAACTGCTTCTGATGAGATATGGGGGAGGGAATGAGTTGATGTACTAGTCTAATGAGCAATATTGCTAAAAATCAATTCTAAACATCAGGGTGTGTTCACGGCAGGTAGTTGAGTAAAATATTCACTGAGGAGAGTATTACCTCAGTAAATGCTGCTGGTGTTGGTTTATTTTTTCATCAACCCTCAGTAACCCCAGGAGATCAGAAAACAGGTAGGGAAGAATAATTATTTATTGTTAATCCTAAATGTACTAAAATGCCTTTTTTTCTTATTTCATAATGACCATTGGTTTTTAATTTGACCAAATTAATGAGATCTAGTTCTCCTCAAGTCTAGGTATTTTTTTACTCGCAACTATGTGTTGCAACTTTGCATAATATTTATAAAGAATTTATAGAATGTTTAGTAAGTGACTAGTCCTGACATATTTACTGTACAAGTACAAGCAAAGACAGTTTCTAGATTTAAACACAACAAAGGGACATTGCATACTCATATAAAACAAGTATGACCTCTCTAAGGCAATAAATGAAGTACTCATGTTTCTCAGCCAGCTCCAAGTCCTCACTTCCTTGTTTCCATTCTTAATTTCCCCAATTACCCAGACAGGATTCATTTGAGTCACACAGTTATGAGTTCATATCCCACCCCCTCTGCTTACTATGTAGCCTCCAGCAAATTAATCCATTTCTCTGAGCCTTGCCTTTCCTTTGGTGTGACTTGAAAATAAATAAGATATTCCTCCCAGGTCTGTAAAATATATGTACAAATATATTTTACATACATTATTTAAGCATAACATGTAAAGCATTAAGCACATAGTAGGTATGCCGGAGATTTAAGACTTCAAAATTATCACTTGAAAAGCCTGCTGCTTCACTGTCCTCAGTTAATCATTTAGGTTTCCATTGTCTCTGTGATTTCCATTATCTTTCTTTTCCTTGGAATCCCTGCTGTCAGCACTCTAGTTATGCTCATGCATGTGGCCTATGATTTCTCCTTCTTGCTCACTCAGTTCGATATAGCAATATTTGTCTTCCTGAGGTTCTGCTTTCAGAATGGCACTACCCTGGCTCTCATTTCCTGCTGGAAAAAATAAAGCCCCTAAGCATCTAATAGTTATCAAATTCAGGACCTGACAGATATGTCTATTTTATTCTTGCCTCTTCCCCTTCATGTAGCCTTTCCTCAGTCACGCTCAACTTCTCACCACATTATTGTTCTGTATGCTTCCTCTAGTGGATCTTCTTTTATAATAAACTCTTTTTATTGCCCATGCACCAGAATCCTATCAGCCTTCAAATCTACCACAAATGAAACATCTAACCATCCCACCTCACTCACATTTCAATTTCTATAACTTTTTTTACACCCTTCTCAGTTAGAATGCTTAACACATACTTCCTTAGAATTATAGCTAATTGTTGTCATTCTTTATTTCTGCATAATGTTAGATTTTACTGAAAGAAAAGAATGAATATTTGGGGGAAGTAGGGGACTAGATTGTGTTAGCCTTGAGATGCAATGTGGCACAGTGGCTGAGAGGAAATGCTAGATCAGACTACCTGAGTTTCTATTCTCAATTTGCATTTTATTATTTGTGTTTAACAAGTTTGTTATCTTCAGCTCAGTTTCCTTAACCTAATTAATTAATTCAACAAATAAATGAATAAATAATGTATTCAAAAAATGTATTCAAGCAGCTACTATGTGCTTGAGTACAATGATGAACAGACTTCATAAGCCTGCGACTTAGGTGTTTACACAGGTCCCCGAAGTTTAGAAGGCCATGCACTTGGCTTAATGTTCTGCTGTCATTGTCTTGACATTTTTAGTATTTTTTCAACAAAGGACCCCATAATTTCATTTTTTGCTAGACTCTAGAAATTATGTAGCTGGTCCTGATAGTAAATAAGATAAATATGACCCCTGCTGTTATGAGGAGACTGAATATGAATAAGCAGATGAAAAAGTAAGAAAGGGAAATATCAGGCAGTTGTAAGTGTTATGAATAGCTAGGTGAAAACTTTAAATTTGGTGGTTAGCAAAAGCATCTCAAGGTTACATTTAAAGCTGAGATTTGAATGATGAAATGTACTCTGTAAAATGCTGCAGAAGAATATTCCAAGTAGAGGAAATAAGTGTGAAGATGCTAAGGCAGGGATGAAATTGAAGAGTTTAGGAAACAGTCTTTTTGGGAAAGAAAGAGCAAGGTAGAGAATGATCAAGCCTAAAGATTGGTCGTGGCCAGATCATTAAGGCCAGGATACAAGGGTTTGCATTTTATTCTAAATGTGATAGGAAGCCATTATAGGGTTTATAGTGAGGACATTAAGTTTGATTTATTTTTTAAAAGATCACTGTTTTCAATTATAGTGAGACAGAAATAGAAGCAGGCATGCCAGTAAGAAGACTACTGCACATGTCTAGACAAGCAATGGTGGTGGATTGAACCAGGACAATACACAAGCAGCTGGAGGGAAGTGCAAGTGTTTAGGATATATTTAGGAGACAGAGTTGATAGGACTGCTGACAGATGGGATGTGGAGGATGAGAGAAAGAGAGAGATCCAGGATAATAACTGTATTTTTGGTGATCATGTCATTTATTAAAATAAAGAAAATGGACAAAATTAATTTATGGAAAGATATTATGTGTTCTCTCTTAGGTATCAATGTGGATAAGTAAAGAGGGAAAATGAGTATCATCACTATCAAAAAACAGGGATAACAGCACCTACCTCATGTGATTAATATGCCTATTAAATCAGATCACGCATGTAAAGAACTCGGCTGCATGCTTGCCACCTAGAAATCCTCAATATATGTTATTATTTGCTATTTCTAAAATGCATAGCCAAGTGGAATTGTATATTACAAATCAGAGAACTTCATAGGAGTTAAAGTAGCTCTAGAAGGTCAAAAGGAAAGTTGGAGGAAAGAATAGAAAGATTTTTAAATAAGAGACAGCAGGTGCAAATTGTCCCTCTCTTTAATACATACCTTTTAGTCATTAATGCCTTCATACGTCTATAGTCTCTTGTTAGGAGTGTTTCCCATAATCCAGGAGCTGAGGATACAGCTCACACAATAGTGAAAAATAAGCTAGGCACAGTGGTGCACACTTTTATCCCAGCTACTCAGGAAGCTGAGATGGAAGGATTGCTTGAGGCCAGGCGTTCAAGGCTGCAGTACACTATGATTATGCATGTGAATAGCCACTGCACTCTAGCCTGGGTAAGATGGTGAGACCTCATCTCTTAAAAAAAGATGAAAATAATAGAAAAGTATGCAGCAAAGAGAAAGTGCACATTCTGTGATATGAGAAAGCAAGCTAGGTACAAGCACTCCTTCAAGTAGTCGGTAATTGGACCTGATTCAAATTCCCATTGCTATTCCCATCAGTGAGAAATAAAGCCCATCAGTAAGATCTGGCTTTATTTTGGAAGTCACAATATTCTTATTGTAAACATGAAGATTGAATTTAATAGGTAACATCTCTGTTTAAAATGTCCTTCTGGTGTTTTCTACATGTGTAAAGCTGTTCTAACCTATAGCAGGTCTCTAGAAAAAACTGTTTTAACATATTAATATCATTGGTTGGACAGTGTGGCAGGCAAAAGTTACTTAGGACTGGACTTGCTGTTAAGCCAATAGACACTTGAGTGACTTTTGGTGTATCTTATTTTCACTTATTTCTTCATCTTAGGGTGTGGAAAGGGCACCTTGAAGAATTCTAAATCTTATAAATCATATATCATAGCACATGCAAGCATTTGTTGTCTAGCATAGAGATTGCTGACAGTTATATTAAAATATTTAAAATTTTTATCTTTAAATATCATCTAAATATTGAGGTGATAAGCCTGTTCTCAAGTGATAGCCTTGTTTTCTAGATAGTATGTAAGCATAGTTTGGAGTATAAAGTAGTGCAAGGGAACCCTTCCTGGACATCAGAGATGTGGCTCTAGCATTGTCTCCGATTTGTTCCTAAGGCTCTGAATCATTTAGGATCTGTAGAATGGATGTAAAACTATGTGCTTTTCTATCACTCCTGTACCAGATGATAATTAAAAAAAAAACTCAAAAGGAAAGAAAAAGAAATGGTAGTGAGTGCAATTTGTAAAGACAGAGTTGCCCAAAGTGGAAAAGATTATTATAAATCGCATTTCTGCTGTCCAGAGACCTTTCCAGGGTCTCCACAAATTCATTTTCTGCTGACTAGTTCTTCTCAAGTATTTTCTGTGCAACACACTCACCAGGGTCCTTTGCATTGTCTCCATTCTATTGCTCTGCATAGGAAACTAAAAATACATATCTCGCAGATTTGTGTTACGCTAAATGATCATTTAAATGCTCAGATCGGAACCCCTGGAATTTTCCATCTGCCTTTCATCTGCTGGGCTGGTTCTGAAAGGGCACTGCTGAGAGCCTCCCTGCAGATTGGCTTTGCCGGTGGGTGTGATTGAAAATCTGTAGCTAACACTCGCAGAAACAGGGTAAGGGGATAGTTAAAAAGGACAAAAATAGAGATCAAAAAGATATAAACACACATCACAGTTTGATATTCAATATCATTTTTTAAATAACACATTTGCACGTTTTCAAGATCAGCCTCTCTGGGGTTTCTTGCAGGGGACAGAATATTCTTGCAAGTTGCAGGAAAGCTGATCTAGTTTTAAAGACAAGGGTAGAGGTGGCAAATTGCCAATTAGATTGGGGGTAGGGATGGGGTAGGAGAGTGGAGATGGATGGTCTTAATGTCCAGAAATTCATACTGATGACAGAGAGAGAGTAAAGACACACTCGAGGCCTGGGAGAAAGAAAGCATGCCAAATGTAGGAGGTGAAGCAAATCACACACATGCATTTTGTTTTCGCTTATAGAAAGAACACCCCCTCTTAAACATGGAGATCGTTATATAGAATGTCCAAGGCAAATTAAGGAAAATAATTATTGTAGCTGATGAAGCAGAAACCCTATTAGAGCTAAATGCTACTTCACAGTACTCAGTGGTGGAGGTTCTGAAGTAAGTGCATTTTTCAGCATCTTTAGTAAGTATATTAAATTAAGTTTTTAACCACTTTTCTCTTCCCCTTTATTTTCCTTTCTACCCTCCTCCCCTTGGTGTAGTTTCTCAGGCTGGTGGGACAGGGTTGGAGTTTGTAGAATGTGCTACAAGAAAGGAACAGCTGGGAAAGAAATCTATTCCCCACCTCCTTTTCCCCTAAGATGAAAAATAAATAAAAACTGAGAGGGGCAATTAATGGTGAAGGGCTGGGGCTTAAAGTGACAAGGAGTGACCTGTCACCACAGAAAACTGGGCAGAGAAGAGGCTATTGAGAAGCAGAGTGAATTCTTAAGCTTGTCTGACTTGTTTTCTGTTTTTACTCAAGGGGGCTCTTGCAACCTGAAAAAGATTCCTTTATCCCCTAGTCCCCATTTGTTCTGAAAAGAACAGGTCTGGGATGCAGCATAATTGCTGTTGATTTGAGATGTACATGTTTCTCTGCTTTCTTAGCTTATGTAGCCCTGGTTTTTTTGATTGATATTATTTGTTAGTGCATTTTTCTGTTTTATACTTGCTGTTTTTTAATCCATAAGTTGTATAGTTCTCTAATTAGATGACAAGTTTTTTGGTATAGGGTGTTGAGTCTTATACGGCTTGTATATCCCATGATGCTCCAGCAATATTTGCCATTATTAATCATATGATAGATGTGTATTAGAAAAGAGAGAAACAAATTATTTTTTTGTTAACCACAAATGTTGATTTTTTTTTCCTTAAGGAAGTTTCTAGTGTAAAGGAAGCCCTATGGATGTTCTGTGATCACCCACTCTCACATCCATAATGGGTCAAGGTCAGTAGTCTCCTGAACTGTTTTGGCCTTACTTTGTCCAGCCCTCTCTTAACCCAAATGCATAATTTCTGCTCCCACTTCATCCAGGGAAAGACAAGGCTTTCATGCAGGTCCTTCCTATCCCAGATGGATGTTCATACTCACCAGCACATGTTATCAATGCCATGTGTTTATATACTGAACCGTTGGTAGGTATGTGGAGAGGAACTCTGTTGTAAGACTTCAGTTTCTCACTTCAGAGTCATTATCAAAGTTTTACACATAGCAGCTACTCAATGTCTTTTTTTGCTGGGGAGAGGGTCTCACTCTGTTGTCCAGGCAGGAGGACAGTGGCATGATCACCACTCACTGCAGTCTCAACTTCTTGAGCTCCAGCAAACCTCCCACCTCAGCTTCTCATCTACTAGGGTCACAAGTGCTCACTAGCACACCCAGCTAATTAAAAAAAATTTTTTATAGCAACAGAATCTCCCTGTATTGCTCAGACTGATCTTGAACTTCCGGGCTCAAGTGATTGTCCCCACTCAGCCTCTCAAAGCTCTGGGATTGTAGGCATGAGTTATCACACCCAGGCTCAATAAGTCTTTGATACTAATTTTGATTATCAAAAAAGGGTTTCAGATTAGATAATTCCACAAAAACTGAAATACATGTTTGCTAATAAGCCTCAACTCCTCCCAACCCCCACAAAAAATCTGTTAAAGTGTTTCCATCAGCTGCAGTGAGTACTTGCTTCCCTTTGGACACTTCAGAGGGATAAAGGATAATTTGTATTCCATAGAGGGGAATGCCTGCTCCCTTTTTGCCACTCTGCTATGAGATCATGGAAATCTGTAGGTTCAGCTTCAACCATCATTTAGATCAGATCAGAGTAACCATAGTTCTCCTGAATTTGAATGACTTCTAACATTGAGGCTTACTTGGTACCAGTCCTGACCCTTAAGTGTGTTTTACATGTTTTTTGTATTTATTTCTTACAACAACCCTATGTGTCAGCTACTATTGTTATCCCCATTTTTCAGGTGGAATAATGAAGCATGGAATGTTAAATAACTTGACCAAGATCACAGAACTGTAAACAGCTGAGCAGAAATTCAGCCAGTCAGTTTGGCTCTGGCACTCAGGTCTTTAATCCACACAGCACATCCTCTTGATGATTTGCTGCAAGGATCAAAACCAGTATTATATAAATTGCTATAGTATATTAGATTTCCAAAGATGGTATGAGGAATATTGAGGGTGCTTTAAAAAAATGAAGGTGCTTACCAAGCTGGGCCATGCTAAGCTCCCACTCCATCTGACTTTACTTGGTCGCTGGCTGAAAATCCGAGATTTTCTCCTCAGCATTAGCAGAGAGAGACAGTGGCAACCACACATGCCTCATTCAGCCCATTGCCTTCTGAGGACTGTTGTGGCTATTTGCAGGAGTGACATATTTCTCCCTGTTCTCTGTAGTGAGCCAAGAGAACTGACTCTGAGAAGGCGTTCCAAGCTCTTTGTGCAATGGTGTTTAAAATGCAAGATTCCTGTCTGAGAGAGAAATGACTTGAAGAGCGTTAATGCAAACCCCCGTTCTGCTCTTCAAGCAGCTGTGTGCCTGGCAGACCCCATAGGCAGAGAAGGGACTTGCATGGGCCATGATGATACATATTCAGCAGTGAAGAAGACTTGATTCTGCACCTTGCCGGTTACAGCTGCCAGATTGTGAGTGATTGATAGAGAACTTTGTTAATGATGTGGAATTCACTTCTGGCATGCTCTGCCCAAATACGTATGCAATATATTATTAGTGCCCTCAACAACAGGCCTGTCCAGATGTGATTTAATTCAAAGCCTGATTACCTTTTTCTCTTTTTACTCTTATAATTGGAATGTTGTTGATCAGATTCTGCTTCTAATAAAAATGGCAAAGCACGCAGGATTTTTCTGAAACCATGTATTTGGCAGCAAACATCAGAACATCAGAGAGTGGAGGTAATGGAATGACATTACCAGTGGAGGAGATGTTACTGTAGCTTTGGGGAGAGCAACTTAGAGAGTCCTGGAGTCTACATTTTTAAGAAACACGGCAGGGGATGAGGAGGAGGAGAGGATTATCTTTGGATATTATTAGAGAAGATGTATTTATATAGATTCCTTTCCAAAAGATGAATCCAATCATCATCCCATAGACAAATGTGGAGTCTTAATGGCAAATGTTGATTTAATATTTGAGTCTGAGTCTTGCAGTAAAAAGACTGAATCGCATTAGAAGAGCTGGACTAGAACTGGGTAGACATGGAAACCTAATACCGCAGCAAATAAATCTGGCAGTGCAATTTAAAGCTGAAAAGAAATAGAAAGATAAATGATGTCATAAAAGATTCACAGGGGCGTTTTTAACTGAACTGCTAAATATTTAAAAACAGAATAGCCAAGGCCGTTTTGTATTAGAAACCCAAATGAGTGGCTCTCTCAATTTATTAAATTTAGTCCACTCAGTGTTTATCAAGCCTGTTCTATCTGAAAGGTACTGTACTAGGCACTGGGATGTTACTCAAGGAGATTACTGATTAGTAGGGGACATAAGGCAAGTAATAAGTTTGGAAAAATACTGTGCTGATGAGGCATCTTAGCTTGCCATTGCTGAAAGCCTATTTTAAGGAAGAAGTCGACACTCTACAGTATAGACTTCTTCTATTGTATAGAAGTGTATTATAATAGTTGCCTCCTACCAAGCTCCTATACCTTTTGTTAAATGACCCAATGGCCCTTGGTGTAAGCAGGGACAGCCAATGACATTTATATATCAGCCATCATTAAGAGGTCAATGACTTACCATTGAGTGACCATTCCATACTGGGTGAGAGCTAAGCCACTCCATCAGATCAGGTTTCTTAGTTTGGAACGCTGGGTTTGAGAAAGAGGATATGGAAGCAGGACAGTGGTAAAAGCACAATGCAAAAGGGAAGGGGTTATTCCTAAGAAACTTACGCCTTGTGACAAACCAGAGTTCACATCTGGTTTGCCCCAGAATGCTGCCTTATGATCAACCACTCTTATATTCACAGAAAACAGATTTTCCCATGGAAATTCATACTGCATTTGGACCTTGATGAGGAAATATGAGAAGTGCATGAAATGATACTAAGCAGAGACATTTTTAGCTGTTAAGGAGACTGCAAAGGGAAAATCACTTGCTTAAGGCCCCCACAGAATTTGCTGACTGAGGAGTAGGTTGATATGCTCAAGGCCACTGTTATTAAAAAGGAGTAAGAACACATGCGAAAGGATCCTAGAATCACAGCAGGTTTTTTTTTTCTGAACATTTACAAACTTTTAAAAACTGGAAGACTTTTAATAAAACTAGATCGAACTTTTAAGAGGTTTGAGCTATTTGTCTAGACTCGATCTGAGTGGAATAAATCATCAATGACTATGTCAAAGCAAACACCCTTTACTTACCAACTTCAGCCACCACCTCTGGTGACTTCATGTGTCACCCTTTTTTATGTTCAGGGTGTATCAACATCAAAAGACTTGGAGTGTAGTTGAAAGAACTGGCCACTTAAGTAGTGGGTATGCTTTGAGGGACAAAAGGGAGATTCCACCTGTCCCCAAAATAGCACAGTTTCATCCTACATTAGAGAGAGGATCTCCTGCATTAAGGAAAATAGAAATATCTCTGGGAAGGCATGTTTATCTTTTTTGTTTCTTATCCATTGGAAATATTTTATGAGATTTAGTCTATCAGCAAACTAGGCCTATAAGTACATTGGAGGGGGCCATATCCAGGACCTGTGATGTGTATAGGCAGACCAGACTGGTAGGGAAGAAAAGCAGAGATATCAAGTGGGGGACATGTGTTTGCCCTGGGGCTCTATTGGCCTGGAATTTTGTGGTAGGAGGAAGGCACAAAAAGTAGACTGGGCACAGTAGTTCATGCCTGTAATCCCAGCACTTTGGGAGGCTGAGGTGGGAGAATCACAACAAGGTCAGGAGATCGAGACCATCCTGGCCAACATGGTGAAACTCTGTCTCTACTAAATAGAAAAAATTAGCTGGGTGTGGTGGTGCGCACCTGTAGTCCCAGCTATTTGGGAGGTTGAGGGCAGAAGAATCGCTTGAACCCAGGAGGCAGAGGTTGCAGTGAGCCAAGATCGTGCCATTGCACTCTGGCCTGGTGACAGAGTGAGACTCCGTCTCAAAAAAAAAAAAAAAAAAGAAAAAAGTGGAAGAATGTTGAATATAAGTTTCACTCATTTTTAAATGATGCTCACGGCTGCTCATGCTATGAGTTTTCACAGATGAATATTTAAAATAAGTGTCTTTCTCATTTTTATACCCCACTCCTTTATCCAATCTTGTTCAGACTTTGAAAACATGTATCTTCATATTTGCTTCCCAACCTTTAAAAAGCTATTGTCGGAACGAATCTTAGGGTATTAGTTAATATTTGAATGTGAACTCCTTGTAGCTTACCCTGTGTTTCTTTCTGGGCACATTTGTAACTAAAGGGCTCAATTTTTAAGATAAAGGAATATGTTTCTAATCATGCAAAATTGTCAAAATAGGGCCTTTGAAAGTGAGGTTGTCTTCCTGGGTGCCTCAGTTTACCCCACAATGACAGGTTACTCTCGTCATTCTTCAGGCAGGGTCATGCAGGGCTGACATGATGAACCCTTCTATCTCCTTCTCCCCAGGCTGTGCCTCCCTTACTATGGGAGGCATACAGGCCAGGACTGCAGACCTTGGCCTATACATGAAATTATTCTGTGCTTAAATTCATGTATTCCAGAAGGTAAAACTCTGGTTCATTAAAGTGTGTTTTATTTATTTATTTATTTATTTATTTATTTATTTATTTATTTATTTTTTTTGAGACGGAGTCTCGCTCTGTCGCCCAGGCTGGAGTGCAGTGGCGCAATCTCGGCTCACTGCAAGCTCCGCCTCCCGGGTTCACGCCATTCTCCTGCCTCAGCCTCCCAAGTAGCTGGGACTACAGGCGCCCGCCACTACGCCCGGCTAATTTTTTGTATTTTTTTTAGTAGAGACGGGGTTTCACCGTTTTAGCCGGGATGGTCTCGATCTCCTGACCTCGTGATCCGCCCGCCTTGGCCTCCCAAAGTGCTGGGATTACAGGCGTGTGCCACCGCGCCCGGCCTAAAGTGTGTTTTATAATAAAACCTCAATCTGAAACATTTTAATAAAACCTTTAGATGACTAGATTTATGTTTATTTTGGATTTATGTTTATATGAATAAAAAAAGAAAAAAGACGAGGTAGGAGGAGACAGTAAAGTGTGGTGATTGCTGAACTTAGACATAAGAAGAAAAATAATCGCTAGGCTCTGTCTCAGGATAAAGTCTCATTTGACTACCTTTTACATCTTTTTATGACCTTATAATGTCTGAATCAGAATGATGCATAGAGGTCCTGCAAGGTCTTATATTGGGAAAAAAAATAAAAGGAAAAAAGAAAAAGAAAAAGAAATCAAAGATGTTTACAAGACTCTCCATGCTGAAACATGGAAGTAGACTGGCACATCAGAGTAATATTTTCAATATCAAATTTTGAAATTGAAAAATATGATCCTCAATGACCTAGAGAATTTAATTCATCAAATTTCTCATAATCTTACTAAGAAGTGTAGACAGTGACCCTTTGATTCTCTGAGTTGTATTGACAATAGAAAGGCTCAGTGTCCTGAAAAAAATTATAGTTAGCAAAATAATCTCTCTGATATCTACAGAGGTTCCTTGAAAGCCACTAATATCTTTGATCCATATTTTCCATGTCACATTTTTTAATGTAAAGCAACACTGTGGTTGCAATCATTTGCAGTTACCTAATAAAGAGTTACACTTTTCAAAGCTGCTTATGTCTAAGAAATCTTGGTTACTTATTTATTCCATATTGCTACTTTTCTAAATCTTAACAGTGGATATAAAAAAATCACAAGAATATAAGAGAATAGAGAATACTTGAAACTACCTTTTTATTTCATTATTCTACCACATTAAATTATTCCATTATAAAAATACCAACTAGTGGGATATATTTATCCTTGTTTGTTTTCCACATAGAATACTAAAAAAATTATGCATAAACTTGCTTCTGTGCTGTTACAGAAAGCATGAGTGATTTTCCCCTCACCAACTTGGACATTTTGAATGCTGTGAGATAAAGGTCTAAAAAGTGTTTCTCTTCCCTAAGCCATAAAATTGAAGACCCTGAAGGGTTCTGCAGTCATGTTATATCTAGGTGACTGACTCTGGAAATGCTTCACCAGCTTTACTGGAGGTGCTTAGTCAAGCAGTGGTCAGGGACAGCTCTACCATGTTCTCAGCATTCCTTCCCTTGAAACCAAGAAACCTTAGCAGCAGGCAGCATGCAACATTCAAATAGGACTTTTAAGTCTGACTAGATTGGCAGTTAGTGATTTAAGTAATGTGAAGCTTCTGTCAGTAGTGACCTCTTTCTCTAAGCCAGAACTTAGCAGACATGCAGGACCTCCACACCAATGTCCATGTACCCCGGCTCTAACATGGATTGGGTCTGGGCATGCAACATCTCTGCAAAACAAAATGTAGCTTGCGGAAGCTTAGCCTGCGACATTCACCAAATCTCTTCTGCTAAATGGAGTTTATTTCACTGTGAGAGTGTCCACCTAAGAGAACCAGAGGACCCAGAAGCATAACCCAGAGGTAGAGAGATATTTTTAATCCTTCTAGGTAGTTCAAGGTACTGTCCTCAAAGCAGAAACCAATGTACAGGAAAAGACAGCAGGTAATGGAGTGGTTTTGCACCATTACTGCCACAGTTTTACCTGAGCAATTCTTAAAACTGTGATCATGATGCCTACAGTAATTTACTGATCCATATTTTAAAATAATCAATTGTACCACCTTGTAAAACACCAGGGAACACCATTCCCACTGTGACCAAAGTGACTAATGCTGCCTAAGGTTATATAATCCACAAGCCAATGTTGGGGCCCTGTTGGCTCTTTCCCCTACATATTTTAGGAATTCTGGGTTCTCAGTTGTACACCACCAAAAGCTATCACATTTTTAAAAATTAAGTTTACTATCATAAATGTCACAATATTAGGGAACAAAACAGGGTTCTATAGAATAGCAAATATGTAATTTTAAGAAAGACAAGGATAATGGTGGGGGTGGAGGTAATCATTTAAAATCCATAAGTGAAAAACAGATATTGAATGACTGACTTGATCAAAGTTGTCAAGAAATTAGGGAGTAAATAAGTAGCTAGAGGAAAGTTATTTATGACCTGAATACGAGGACAATGTCTTTCTCTCCCTCTGTCCTCCTCTGTGAGATAGCCTTACCTTGTTCCTTTTATCAAGGAGACATTACATTCTGTAATATTTCTACCTCCCACATTGTCCTGTTTACAGTTTTTAATTTTTTTCTCCAAATTCACCTGTGACTCCCACAGAGCCAAGTCAGAGGTTTGCACAAATAAAAAAAAATACTTCAGCAGACTTTCAAGAATATGTAACTTTTTACTAAAATATTTTCCAGTTGGTGGTGTCCATATTTGACCCCATATCCTCCTCCATACCTCCAGGCTTCTGGTGGTATTTGCCAGGAATCACTGCTTTCACAAACAAAATCTGTATATAGGGGAGCATAAGACAAGGGTTTAATCTCAAAAGGGCCTTATCTTTTTCACACATTTCCTCTAATACAGAACTTGGTGGTATTTGCAACTTTTAGATCATAAGGGAAACACATTTTTACCACATAGTATACTAGAAATACCCATGGACTTGGAGTCAAGTGGGAAAAGATATATATTAAACTTGTCATTATGACTCTGGAATGCCTTATTCAAACACATGCACGTCTGTGACAACAAAAGATTTGTTCCTGCACAACCCCACTCAGCATTCTTCTTTTCAAAATGAAAATGCCACACACAATGCTTCTGAGAACACAAACTTCACTTTATTCATCAAATGATAAGATATGACTTTAAAAATAACAGAGAGAAAGAGAGGGAAAGAGACAAAAAGCTGGGGGTGGTGGGGCATGCTAGATGAATCCAAAGACATTTATTCAGTTTTGCCTGCAAATATGAAAAACTGATGGGCATGTTCTTAGGGGTCTAAGCATTTCTATGAGTTTTCATATTTCTTTGAAAAAGGACACTATGCGTTTGCTTTTTGAAGGCAGTAGACATTTCGATAGGAAAGCCTGCATTTGTTCTGCTTTTCCAGTTTTCCATGGTGTGACATTATGAACAATGATAGGTTTCAGGGACTTAGTAAAATGTGCTGTTGTCCTCAACAACTTGGCCTTCCTGCCTCATGGTGTAGAGCAGCATGGAGTTCAGCATACACTGTTCTGTATCATACCACCTGCATGCACAATAAAATCTCACACCCAGGCAGAGCTGGGGGGAGGAGGGATTATTCTTTTCTTTCTCTGTCTGTTTACACAGTTTTTGTTGCGTATTTATTCCTGGGATCTTCAAGGCAAGGTTCTGGTGCTCTGTAAATCACTAAACCACATCCATTCTTATGAAATCTGGTGATTCTACTGCATACCTGGTCACTTCTCCCAGCTGTCACTTCCTCTTTTGACAGAGGCCAAAACCTCATCAGACAAGGCCCTCATTCAAATTTGGATGGAATTCAATTACTTTGGTCCATGCTGTGAGCGGATGCAATTCCTCCAACTAGCTTGGTAGCATACAGACTGAGATGGTAAAATTCTACACATAGTTTTGTTGTTTTTTGTTTCTCTTTATCCTTTTATTTTCTCATCCTTTTGGGGAGCGTGGAGGAATAGAAGGAGAAGTCGAAGAGAGAGGTAAATATTTTTGTTTGTTTTTATGTATGTTGCAGGTAATTACCTAGCCCACCACTTATGATTGTCACCCAAAGGCCACCTCTAGCTTGGTACAGAGAATACACCACTTAACAAATTTTATTTGACCTCCAGGCCCATGGCCTTTTATGACCAGGCCAGTGGTATTTCCTGAGACAGCTGTCACTTTCAAAGATGAGAATCTTTTCTCTCCCTGCAAGAGAAGTTTAAATATGTACATATGTTGTCATTTGCTCTCCCAAAATTCTAAGTCCTGCAGTATCAACTTGTGCCAAGCAGTCATGCAGAAACATTTTAGACCTTCTCTCTGGGAAATGTCCCTGTGCCAGGGCAGGGTGGCAGAGAACAGTGCTGAGGATGATGGAAATTGGCTGTGTCTTTTGAATTAGAGTCAGACTTCTCCTCTGAGCAGAAGAGGAAGTAGCTGCCATGGGTGGTGTGTTAGTCCATTCTTGCATTGCTATAAAGAAATACCTGAGACTGGATAATTTATAAAGAAAACAGGATTAATTGGTTCATGGTTCTGAAGGCTGTGCAAGAAGCATAGCGTCAACATTACTCAGCTTCTGGCGAAGTCTCAGGGGGTTTTTACTCATGGTGGAAGGTGAAGCTGGAGCTTTCATGTCACATGATGAAAGCAGGAGCAAGAAAGAGAGAGAGTGCATGGGGGGAGGTGCCACACACTTTTAATTGATCAAATCTTGCCAGAACTCACTATCAGCATCAAGACAGCAGCAAGCCATGAAGGATCTGCCACCATAATGCAAACACCTCCCACTAGGCCCCACCCCCAATATTGGGGATTACAGTTCAACATGGTATTTGAGTGGGGACAAATATCCAAACTATATCAGGTAGCAACTGCCTGAGAACAGAGAAAAGGTGACATGTCAGGGACATCTGAAATATCCCCTATCTTATATAGACCTCTCCCACAGACTGGCTGATGACCCACTGCCCATATTTAATGAGTTTTTGCTTGATTTTAAGAAATAATACCAAAGCCATGTCATTGTGAAGGTGGGGAAAAGGCAGGAAAATATCACATCATCTTTTTCTTTGGCCTTTATCTGTCTGGGGTTGAGGTGCCTCCAGTTTGAGAATGGGCCCAACTACAATAGGAATGGAGACTGTGGCAGGCACTGTTCCCCCTCCAATGACTATAGCAATGATCTTCATGGTAGATTTCCTAGATGGTAATAATTGTCATACAAAGACAGGAATGTTCCCAAATATCACATTATTTTCAAATAACTCACACTTTATTATTGTTTAGATACTACCATGTTGACTGGGAGAAACTTTAACCACAGTTTTTTGGGATCCACCTCCTATGACCCTCACTTCCCTAGGGTTGTGCCAGTTTTTGGCAGGTCTTATAACTGAAGAACAGTTTTTGGTTGAGGGGGGCTTAGATTCTTGGATATTAACCCACAGAAGTCACTATTGAAATGTCCCTTGTTCCAGCCTGCATGGCCTCTCTAATTTCCAGATTTCATCTTAGGGTACAGTAGTCTCTACTATTACTTTACCAACAAGGGCATGGTCTGCTTGGAAGACTATAAATGTCCTTTTTGCTCCAGTCACAGTCATTCTTTCTGTGATATTTCCTTGTTCTTTCAGGGATCTTCTCATTGGGACTCAATCACACCCTTGCTCGGCCCTCTTCCTCCTTCCTCAATCTATTGTATCTTTTTTTCTTTATGACTCTTTCAAGCAGAAAGATCCTATCCCAAGTCATTAGTTTGGAATGTTCTGGAGTGGGATTTCATCTTCCTTATTTCAGCAGTTCTTTCTGCCCTCTTCTCTGAACACAGAGGCCTTTCAATGGGAAAGAAAGGGAAAGGGAAAATATAGAGAGGCATAAAGAAAATATGAACATCAAAATACAGTTTCACTACTCAGGCCTCCCTGTATCTTTCTGCAGGATGGTAACTATACACTGGCCCATGGCCAAGGGAATGAGTGTGAACAAAAATCTATCCAGGCCTTAGCTTGCCAAGCCATGCTGCATCCACCAAGAAGGGGCATCTCTTACCAGTTCATATGAGGCTACTTATGACCTACCAGTGGCCTCATTCAGTCTACATCCACATCATCAGGAATTCCTGAAAGCTGAGAGGAACTTTCTATTCCTGGTGCCTTTGTCAACACACATCAGCCTTCTTTGGTCTTTGATCCAGTCTCTCCTCTAACTGAGCATAGATATCATGTATAAAAGAATGTGATTTTATATTTGCCTAGTTCTGGCCTTGATTTTAAGAGAGCTCTATTTGTGGAAAAGTGTTTTGGTGTTTCAGAAAAAGAGAAGGTCATGAGTGAAGGTGCGGACCACATTTTCTGTTAAGAAATGCCTTTTTATCCAGTGAAACAACAAACTACAACCTGGGCTTGGAAAAGGAATGTTCTCAAAAAATGATGATGACAGCTCCAACTTTAATTCACTTCTCTGACTCTGACAATAAAGTGACAAATGAAATCAGTGACTCTCTTGGAAATAGCTATTGCTTTGGTTGTTAAAGAATGCAGCCCTACGCACCAACAGAAACATGTATCATCAGAGAAAATGGTTCCTCTTTACCAATTTTTCATTTATGTATTGAACTTTGTATTTACATATGAAACACTTGTTTTAAGGACTCTAGCAAATGCAAGTGTCTCTAAAAAGTAGACAGGTTACTGCCATAAAGTAGTAACATACTTTATGGTGGCCACATTTGTACAGTGGAGAGTGGTAGGGACAGGGAAACCTGGAGAGGCGTGCTTGGTCTAGAAACATTCAAACCATAATGTTAAACACACTTTTGGCCAATATTAAGGTTACATTTGGGCCATCTCACTGCAATTCCTGCCTGAGAGGATATTAAGTTAGGAGAAGGAAATGAACATGACTATGCACATTCACTGTTATCAGGCACCTTAACAATCTACAATGTCTTCTCATTTTGTAAATGGGTAAGCTAAGGCTCTGAGAGATTATGAGACTTCTCTCAGTTGACACTCTTCTAGTGGGGCAGAGCAAGGAGTCGATCACAAAATAAATGTGCTTTTAATAAAAGTATCATTTTATACTGTCATGCTACCTGCTGTAGAGACCTTATCATCTTATTGAAGAGTGGAGAGGTATATATATGAAAAGATGGGCCACTTGGGTGAATTGCAGTGAGAAGACCAGAGGAAGACAAGCTGCTTGAACTTAGGGTGGGTAAGAAAGGTTTTAATTTTTTCAGAGGTTGGGAGGTGGTCAAGAGCACATACATAATTGCATGAACAAATGCTGAAGTGACCACAAAGGTAGGCACTAGCACTGAACACTTGTATTTGGAGAGGAAGGAATAGAGGTGGTTAAGCAAGGTGTATTGGGTAAAAGGAAGAAAGAACTATGTGTGATCTTTATTGGAAAATATACTTTAAAAATCATTATTTCCAATCCATGAATAAAACCATAATTTGCCTCATCACTTCCAGCTTTAAAACTATGACTCTGTGATTTTATCCAATAACATTTCAATAGGTAAATTTTCCATAACTGTGTAAAACAAAGGAGTTGTTTTCTGCTCAATATGAATACTTAATTCTAGTTTATGTCAATGGGAAGAGAAGTGGAAATAGAAGAAAGTGCGAAAGTGCAAGGGATTCTGATTTTGAAAAGCATTTGCCAGTGTTTCATGGAATCTTATGGAAGAAATTAATTCAAATTGGCTTGGATATGAGCCTTGTCATATGCGTCAAAGACTCTCAGAAGAGTCCAAACCAATAATGATAAACAAGACTGTGTCTTGCTGGGAGGAGGTGGTTATTACTGTGCCAAAGGCTACATTTTCAAAACAGCAGTAATCAGTTAATTGCTCTAGTGTGTACCACACCATGGGGAACCCTTTCAGGGTTAGTTAGACTGCACAGAATTTTACAACTTGAAGGTTTAAAAGACAGGAAGAGAAGGGTTTTTTGTTGTTGTTGTTTTTATTTTACTTTTTTTAAGATTCAATAATACTTACCTAGCTTTGAAAATAGCCACAAACCCACTAGAGATACCAAGGGGGTAACCCTGATCATCATTACCTGAGATCATGGAATATAGAGCTCTTACAAATGGATGAGTTTAGATTTAATGCACTAGCCTTAGGCAAAATAAAGTAGTAAGTTGTTGGGCAATTTCTCCAGTGTTCCCGTGCCTCTTCCTTCTCACTAAAATAGTTTCTATTTGTTGAGAGCTAATAGAACACACTACACTTTTTCTACTAATTTAATCCTGAATATCCCTATAAGGTAGGTACTATTATTACTGCCATTTTACACATAAGAAAACTAAGGGTAAATGTCTTCCCAATCCCATAGCTCTTACATGGTGGAGATAACAAGCAAACCCAGAAATAATAAATCTCGAACACAAGTACCTAATTTTTGTAAGACAGTAATTGTCAAAACAACCGGCTTGACTTTTCCTGTATATATAACGGCTTTATTCTCTCCCACAATAAAAAATTTAAAAAATAAATTCTAAAAGGGACAGACATGACTTAATGTGCATGCCACTATAGTAACTTAGTATGAATATGACCTCTCTCAAAATTGGCATTTCAAATAAAGATTAGAGTCTTCCGTTAAATAAGTGAAGTTACTTTTACTAGTGAAACTTGAAGTATCACAAGCAACTTGTGAGGGGCGTGGATGAAGGAATAGTGCTTTGAGATTGCAAGGTATTCATAATATGGGCCACTCCAAGGGGCAACATTCAGTAGCATTACATGGGAATGGCGCCCATTGAGGTGGGCAATATGGCGGCCATGGAAGTGGGCAATATGGCGGTTCTGTTCACAATGTCTTTAAAATCGTGACACGTAAGCCTTGACCTAGCCCTGGGCTGTGATTCTAAGACAGTTGTTTCCTCCTCTCCCACTACCATTTACCATATAGGACATAAACAAAACAATATTGAAAATACTTCAGATGTACCTGGAGTATGAGTAAAATCCTAGGAGCAAATAAAATAATGTTTTTTTTCACCCCTGTAGAATCAGATATTTTCAAGAATTTTATTTTTTAAACTAAATTAGTAAAATTGGCTTTTTTGTGTTGTACTGTTCTGAGTTTTAACACAGGTAAGTTTAGGTCGCCACCACCACAATCAGAATACATAACAGTTTTAGCAACCTCAAAAATCTCTCTTGTACTGATATGTTGTCTATTACTTGAGTTTTGCCTTCAGGTAAATGGATTAATACATTTATATGACCCTCTGGAGACTGGCTTCTTTCATTCAGCATAATTCTTTTGAGGTATATTGATGCTATTGCATGTACAAGTAGTTTGTTCCTTTTCATTAGTATTAGTATTATTAGTATTTACGTGTAGAGACATACCACAATTTATTAATTCGTTTGTAGAAAACTATTCGGGTTATTTCCAGTTTGGAGCTATTATGTACAGGTCTGGCTTCTTTCATTCAGCATAATTCTTTTGAGGTATATTGATGCTATTGCATGTACAAGTAGTTTGTTCCTTTTCATTAGTATTAGTATTATTAGTATTTACGTGTAGAGACATACCACAATTTATTAATTCGTTTGTAGAAAACTATTCGGGTTATTTCCAGTTTGGAGCTATTATGTACAGGTCTGCCATAAATATTCATCTACAGGTTTTTGTATGAACATAAGTTTTCACCCAGGGAAATGCCTAGGATTGAAATTACAATGGCATATGATAAGTGTATATTCAACTTCATGAGGAACTGCCAAACAGTTTTCCAGAATGGTTGTACCTTTTGAATCCCATCAGGAATGTATGAGAGTTCTAGGTGTTTCACATCCTAGCCAGCAACTGGTACTATCACAGTTTTTTGTTTATAATCATCCTAATAGATTTGTAATAGTATCTTATCCGTGGTTTTAATTTTCATTTCTCTAATGACTAACGATATTGAACGTCTCCTCATGTCACATTCATCTTCTGTGTATCCTCTTTGGAAACAGCTATTCAAGTATTTTGCCCATTTTTAATGAGTTGTTTTCTTAATATTGAGATTTGATAATTGTGGTGGTATTAATAATTGTATACTTTTTTTTTCTCCAGTACACAAAGTTAAGGAGTATATTTGAAAAATTTTTTACATAGTCTGGAAATGTGTTGTGTTTCAGATATGTGCTTTCTCCCTGTCTGGAATTTGTCTTATTCTTCTAACAATGTCTTTCACAGAGAATAATTATTTTTTAAATTTTGATAAGGTATAACTTTTTTTTTCTTGTATAGACTGTGTTTGTTGTCATATCTGAGAACTCACTGCCTAACCCAAGGCCACAAAGACTTTCTTCTGTTTTTTTCTAGAAATTTTATAGTTTTATGTTTTATATTTAGATTTATGAATCATAATACGGTGTGGGGTATAGATTGAAGCAGGCTTGCTGTTTGTTTGCTTATTCATTTACTTGTGAAGGTCCAGTTTTCCCAAAACTATTTTTCAGAATATGATCCTTTATTCATTGAATTGACTTTCATCTTTGTCAAAACCAGTTTGCTATACTGTTGATTTATTCTTGGACTGTATTCTGTTTCATTGATTTATGTGACTTTACCTTCATCAATATCACACTCTTGGTTTTGTAGCTTCATAGTGGTTGTTAAAATCAAGTTGTATGAGTCCATCATCTTTGTTCTTTTTTTCAAAATTGTTCTGGCAGTTAAAGGTCTTTTTCCTTTCCATATATATTATAGAATCAATTTGTATTTTTTAAAGTTATATTTTTCTGAGATTTTATGTGGCATTGCATTAGCTCTAGGGATCAATTTGAAGAGAATTAACTTCTGAACTATATCAAGTCTTCCAATCCATTAACATGATATGTATCTACATTTATTTCGGTCTCCTTTGATGTCTTTAATTAGTGTTTATAATTGTCGGGATACAAATCCTGTACCTGGATGTATATTAGATTTATACCTAAGCATTTTATTCCTTTAAAGCTATCGTAAGTGGTATTAATTCTAAGTTCGGTTTTCAATTTGCTTTTTAGTAGATCCAATAAAATTTCCTATAAAGACAACAGTACAATTTGTGAATAGTTAATATTTTTTCTTTGCTCTCTGTACATCTTATAGAGTTGTTTTTCTTGCCTTATTTCACGGACTAGATTATTCAGTATGATGTATAGGAGTTGTAGAGCAAACGTTTTTGTCTGATTCCAGATCTTCAGGAGAAAGCATCCAGTTTTTTATCATTTAAAATGTCAGCTGTACTTTTTCTGTGAATGCTCTTTATCATGTTGAGGACATTCCCTTCAATTACTAATTTGCTAAGCGTTTTTTCTATCATTTATGCAAGTTGTTTTCTCAGATGAGTTTTCTACATCGATTCATATGTGCATGTGGTTTTTCTTCTCTATTCTGTAACTATAATAGATTACGCTGATTGATTTTCAAAGATTGAACTAGCCTCACATTTTCAGGATTAATCCCAGTTGGTGATGGTGTATTATTGTTTCAAATATTGCTGGGTTGATTTACTAGTATTTTGTGTCTATGTTTATGAAAAAAAATTAGCCTATAGTTTTTTTGTTGTTTAGTTTTTGGTGAGTTCTTTCAGGAGGATGTATGGTTTGTGTTTGGTCTTGGTGCCAGGATAATTTAGTGTCATAAAATCATTTGGGAAGTGTTTCTTCCTATTTCCTGGAAGAAATTGTGTAGACATATTATTAATTCCTCTTTAAATATTTGGTAGCAATCACTCGTGACACTACCTAGGTCTGGAGACTTTTTTTTCCAAAAACTTTTAATAATAAATTATATGTAATTTTTATTGATTTTTTTTTCTTTTTTTTTAGATACAAGATCTCACTCTGTTGACCCGATTGGTCTTAAAAAACTCCTGGGTTCAAAAGACCTTCTCATGTCAGCCTTTCAAAATGCTGGGATTACAGGCGTGAGCCATTGCACCTAGCTGAATGTAATTTTTAATAAATATAAGATTATACATATTATCTATATCTTCCTGTGTGAATTTTGGTAATATGACTATCATAAGATTGGTGTACTTCATCTAGGTTGTGACATTTATTTAGCATAGAGTTATTTGCGGTTTTCTCTTATTTTAATGTTTGTGCAGTTGGTAGTGATATCTCCTCTTTTTTTCTTGATTCTTATGATTTATGTATTTTTTCTCCTTAGAAATGTTGAACATGGCTGAATGCT
This sequence comes from Homo sapiens, assembly GCF_000001405.40. NCBI lineage: Eukaryota > Metazoa > Chordata > Mammalia > Primates > Hominidae > Homo > Homo sapiens. The sequence continues at coordinate 39,766,240 of NC_000018.10, read as the reverse complement.
TATCGATTTTATTGATCTTCTTTTAAAAATTGACCTTTGTTTATTTTTCAATTTCATTGATTTGTGCCTGTTATTATTTCCTTTCTTCTACTTGCTTAGGCTTATTTGCTCTTTTTAAAAAACTGTTTCCTTGGGTAGATTAAATTTTTTATTTGAAACATTTCTTCTACTCTAATATAATAATTTAATGTTATAAATTTTCTTCTAAACATTGTTTGCCTCAATCCCACAAATTTTGATATGTTGTATTTTCATTTTCAGTCAGTTCAAAATATTTTTTTAAATTTCCCCTGAGACTTCTTTTTTGAAAAACAGGTTATTTAGAATTGTTTTGCTTTGTTTCCAAGTGTTTGGAGATTTTTAAATTTTCTTTAAATTGTCAATGTCTACTTTAATTTCATTTTAATCAGAGAACACATTGTATGATTTCAATTATTTTAATTTTATTCAAGTTTGATTTATGAAACAAGAAATATTTTTTATTTTGATGAATCATCTATGAGCACTTGATAAGAATATGTATTATGTTGCATTGGGTAGAGAGTTCTGTAAATGTCAATTGTATCTCATTTATTGATAGTGTTATTTAGTCCTTCTACATCTTTCCTGAATTTTTGTCTAGTAGTTTTGACAATCGTTGAGAAAGGGATATTAAAGTCTCAAAGATAATTGAGAATTACTCTAATCCTACTTTCAGTTCTACCAATTTTTTCTACTTGCATTTTGAAACTCATTGTTTGGTGCATACATATTTTGGATTGCTGAATCCTGGGTAGATTGAACCTTTTAACTTTATGTAACATTGTTCTTTATTTCTTGTAATTTCCTTTGCCCTGAAGTCTACTCTGTCTTATATTAATATTATTTTGATTACCCAATTCTATTTATTCGAGTTTGCATGGTGTGATAGTGTGTAGTAAGAAATATATGTTTGGCTTTTGATCCTGGTTCCTGACGCAGAGCTCATAAATTCCTTGGAATTTCCTGGGTGATAGGAGCATCTTTTATTCTAATGAGGTGTCTCTTAAGGAGTTCCTAGATAGCCTGAGGATTGGGATTGATTGCCAGGGGAACTAACCATATGATTAGAAGATTAAAACTTTCAACCCCATCCCTCAACCTCTGGGGAGGGGAGAGGTACTAAAGGTTGATTTGGTCACTAATGGCCTATGATGTAATCAGTCACACCTATGTAATGAAGCCTCCATAAAATCTCCAAAGGGCAGAGTTCAGAGAACTTCAGGATTACTGAACACATGGAGGTGCCTAGATGTTTTTGCACTGGGAGATGGCATGGAAGATTTACCCTCCTTTCCACATGCCTTGCCCTGTGCATCTCTATCATCTGGCTGTTCATCAGAATCTTTTGTAATATCCTTTATAATCAATCATTTCATGTGTTTCTCTGATTACTGTGAATTGTCTTAGCAAATTAATCAAACCTAAGGAGGGAGTCATGGGAACCCTGATTTACAGCCACTCAGTCATAAGTGTAGGTGACAACCTACTACTTGTGATTGGCATTTGAAGTAGGGGACAGTCTTGTGGGACTGAGCTCTCAACCTGTGGGATCTTATGCCATCTCCAGGAAAATAGTATCAGAATTTAACTGAATTATAGGACACCATTGTCTTCTGGAGTGATAGTTGTTGGTGGGGTGAAATCTCCACACATTTAGGTGACCAGAGGTGACCTAAATTCTGTACTGAGAGTAGGAATAGAAACAAAACAGTTTTTTTTAATTCCTATTGCAAACACATGGTGTAATTTAATTTCTATCTTTTTACTTTTAACTTAATTATATCATTTTATTTGAAGTCAGTTTAACATAGGCAGCATATACTTGAGTGTTACAAAAATCTATTTTGGTAATCTCTGTTTTTTAATTTAAATAGTAAGTCATTTGCATTCATATTATTGATTTGTTTGGATTTAGGTCTACCATGTTATTATTTGTTTACTGTTCATTCTCCTTTTTATAATTGTTTTCTTTCTTTTATGACATTTTGAATAATTTGAATATTTTTAGTGTTCTTTTTAAATGAGTTTATTGAGTTTTTTAACATTGGTTTGTATATATTAGTGGTTTCTCAATATTACAATATGTATATTTAACATTTTAGAGCCTATTTAGAATTAATATTTTAACACTTCAAATTAAATGTAGTAAATTTACCACTTCAAATTAAATGTAGTAAACTTACTGCTGTCTACATTCTTTTTCCCTTCCTCTTTCATGTTGTAATTGTCATTTACATTGCATCCATATACACTGAAACTTCTTCACATAGGCCTGGTGTGGTGGCTCTCATTTGTAATCTCAGAGCTTTGAGAGGGCAAAGCAGGAGAATTGCTTGGGCCCAGAAGTTTGAGACCAGCCTGGGCAACATAGTGAGACCTCATTTCTAAAAAAAATACAAAAATTAGCCAGGCCTGGTGGCATGCACCTGTAGTTCCAGCTACTCAGGAGGCTGAGGTGAGAGGATCCCTTGAACCCAGAAGGTCAAGGCTGCAGTGAGCCATGATCGCGCCACTGCACTCCAGCCTGGGTGACAAAGCAAGACTCTGACTCAAGCAAATAAACTGACAAACAAACAAAAACAACAACAAAAAAGAAACTTCCTCCGGTAATATTACATATTTTTTCTTTAAATAATCAGTTTTTAAAATTTAGGAAGTAGAGAATACACGAGTATATTTATTCTGATAGTTATTATTTATTCTGTTCCTTTTCTAAAGTTCCAAGACTCCCTCTAGATCATTTCCCTACAATGTGAAAAACCTTTAACGTATTTCTAGAGTATATTTGCTGAAAATTAATTTTCTTTCTTTTTTCATATAAAAGTATTTTTATTTCACCTTCATTTCTAAAGAATAATTTTTTTTCCTGGAGATAGGAATACTGATGGCTAATTCTTTATATGAACATTTTATAAATTTTACTCTGCTTTCCTATGGTATCTATGGTTTCTGATGAGAAATCCACAGTTATTTGAATCATTGCTTATGTATATGAAAGCGTTATTTTCCTCTTGTTGCCTTCAGGATTTCTTTTTTGTCTTTAGTTTTCAGAAATTTAATTATGATAAACTTGGGCACGGATTTCTTTGAGTTTATCTTCTTTGGGGTTTGATGAACATTTTGCATTGCATTCTTCATCTAACTTGGGAAGTTGTCTGTCATTTTTTTCTTCAAATGTGCTTATTCTTCATTATCTTTCACCTTTCCTACTGGAACTTCAATGAATGCCAGACTTTTTTATATTATCTAACAGGTCAATGAGTTTCTGTCACTTTTTAGAATTTTTCTCTGTTTAGATTGGATAATTTTTATTCCTATATTTTCAAATTCATTGACTCTTTCCTCTGTCATTCCCATATGTCATGGATCCCATCCAGGATTTTTGGAAATTATATTATTTAGTTCTAAAATTTCCATTTGTTTCTTCTTTATATCATCTCTATCTGTGCTGAGACTGTTGGTTCATGTGAAGAATGTCTGTCCTTACTTCCTGAAGCGTGGTTATAATAGCTGCTTTAAAGTCTTCTAATTGTCCCTACTTCTGTGTCATTGCTGGATTGGTATCTGTCAATTATCTTTTCTCTTGTGATTTGAGATTTTCCTCATTCCTTTTTATGCCACATAATTTTTAATTTCTTATTATACATTTTGACAATTATGATAGCCTGGGTGTCTTGTATAAATCCTAAAATCAACATTGTTGTCATTTTAATTTGATTTGGTTTGTTTTAGCATGCATTTGGCCATGTTACACTTGGGATGCAAGTTCTAATCTGCCTTTTGTGACCTTGGTTCCATTGTCTGTTCAAGATTGTTGAGCATTTTCATTGTTATTCTGATTAGTCCCACGTGTGCACAAACCAGTGGCCAGCCTGAGACCTGGATGGAGATCTACTCTGCACCTCAGTTCTCAAAGCCTGAAATTTATTATTTATAGTCAAATTCCTGCTACACTGCTGACTTTGAAGATGGAGAAGGGATCACAAGCCAAGGATTTAGGTGGCATCTAGAAGCTGGCAAATGCAAGAAAAAGGATTCTCTTCTAAAGCTTTTAGAAGGAAACTAGCCCTGTTAACACCTTGACTATCAGCTTAGAGAAACTGGATTTGGACTTCTGGCCTTCAGAACTGCTTCTGGAAGTGAAGCATACCGAAGTGTAATTTTGGGAACAAGAGGCTGAAGATGAATAGAAATGAAGAATAATAGACATAAGCAGGTGGAATAACAAATATGAACCAATATGCCAGGTTATAAAATAGACAAGTAGGTACTGAAGTCACCCAGCAAAATGTTAGGACCTTGAGTGAAGAAGAGAACCAACAGCATATCTATATCCAAAATCGTGACTAAATAAGGTAGACTGGGAGATGCTCGGCTCAAATAGCAAAAGCTTCAAAACGGCAAAATGTTTTACAGAAAGAACAGGTAAGTATTTAGAAGATGCACTGAGACCCAGCATAAAAGCTGCAGACCCAAATTCCAGACCCAAATTCCCAGTCTCAGATGCACACAGAAATGGGCTCTGGTGGTAAATGAGAAACATGTTTCAGCCATATCACCTTGGGTGAGATATGGGGAGGTCAGACTCAGATTAAGAGAGATCAGATAGAGTTTTACAGTTGTTTTTAATACTTATAGTTCCCTGCAGAAAGTGCATCTGTATGACACATGGTCATATGAGTAAGCCCTTGGGTTTCTCATAGGACAGAATAATAATAAGGGAAACCATGGACAAGCACCTTTATTGTGGTGTCCACGAGAAGGAACAGGCAAAGCAGGGTAAGCAAGTTTAGGATTGGCTAATTCCAATAATTCAACAGCTTCTGGGGCATAGACACTGTCTCTGGTTATCTGGTACCTGGCACTGGGATGATCAGGGCTGTGTTTAGAGTCAGAGCCTGACATGAGAGGTGGTTGAGGTTTGGAATTAATGGGCTGAGCAAAAGGGGAAACTGATTGGCTTCTAGCCAGGGATCAAAACTGGGTCAAGACAGCATTAAAACAAAACAAAACAACTACATTACAAAACTGTGTTATTCTCTGTGCTCTAAATGCATCATTTAAAAAATCTAGGCTGGGCGTGGTGGCTCACGCCTGGAATCCCAGCACTTTGGGAGGCCGAGGCAGGCAGATTGCCTGAGGTCAGGAATTTGAGACCAGTCTGTCCAACATGGTGAAACCCCACATCTACTAAAAATACAAAAAAAAAAAAAAAATTAGCCAGACATGGTGGCGTGCACCTGTAATCCCAGATACTCAATACTCAAGAGGCTGAGGCAGGGGAATTGCTTGAACCAGGGAGGTGGAGGTTGCAGTGAGCCAAGATCACGGCACTGCACTCCAGCCTGGGTGACAGAGTGAGACTCTGTTTCAAAAAAAAAAAAAAATCTATCAAACCTTGTTATAATAACTTAAGAGCCTTAAGCAAACTACTGAAGTGTATTTCCTAAGAAAGATAACTTTTTTATTTTGGATTCTCATATTACAATGTTTTAATAATAGGTATGTTTTTCTCCACTATGCATAAAATGAAAGAAATGTCACATTTCTTTATCTTTTGAATGCAATCATATCCAGCTCAGAAACCTCTCTCAGGAGCATACTTGTGGGGGAGAGACTTCCCTCTGGGCAGTCCAACATTACAAACGCTGAGCTTCATTGTAAGACTCATTGTTCTAATCACCATGGTCCACTAGAAATCAGAGGTATCCACCTCTTTCACTGCAGGTCCCAATGGCATGATGATTAATGCTCAGTGTCCAGGCATCTATTCCCAGACCCTACTATGACTGGATACTTGTTGTATCCTGCATGAGCATTATGGCCAGTCACAGACCCCTCTACCCCTCTGTTTTTCCATGTGCTTAGAACTCAACTCTCTCCCAGGCTGGGAGCAGTATCTTTCCCTAGAAACAACAGCCCACATCTCCCTAAAGACAATCCAACAATATTATTTCAATCACAAATACAAATCAGTGTCATTTTGAGGGGTTTTTACATTTGCATTTACAGCTTTTTTTTTTTTTTCTTATGATTCAGAAATACAAAAAGATGTGAATTGCCCTCTGGGATAAAGGAACTCTAAACATAATAAGACTTGGCTGGAGTTCCTGGGAGAAGGAAGGGAAAATTTGTACTTTTTAAATGCATTTTAGGAAGAAGAGATTTTTTCATTCATTTTCAAATAAGTACACAGCAACAAAAGAATGGAATAACGGTTCATTAAAGAAAATATTGCAGTGAGGTGATAACTCATTCCTTCAGCGTGCACGTTGAGATGGGGTTGTAAAATTTATCTAAGATTTACAAAAGTTATTACACGCGTGCAGTTTGGTCTTGGTGAGGGCAGACAGAAAAACCCAGTGTGCCTCAGAACAATGTACTATTAATGCTTCAAATATGCTCCAAATACATCATTTTAAAAATAATAAAACATTTAAAAATAAAACAAAACAAAAAGTTAATTTTTTTCAAAGCAATAGAGGAACACTTAGTGTTCTCAACTATTGTTTAATGAGTTTATACAGTCGGGACCAAATAAAAACAACTAAATAACTTAATACAGATCACAATCAAACAGTATACTAATTTTTTTATGAGTCAGTTTGCTTTCATGTTTTCCTCAAGGTCCCTGAAGAACCTAATGTAGCGGTAGATAAGAATCATTTATAACCAGCACTTCTACCAAAATTCAAAAATAAAGATACTAATAATTTTCTAAGTACAGTTGGCTTTTGAACAACATGTGTTTGAACTACAAGGGTCCACTCATATATGGAGTTTATTCTGCCTCTGCCACCTCTGAGACAGCAAGGCTAACTCCTCCCCTTCCTCCTCTTCCTCAGCCTACTAAATGTAAAGATGAAAAGGGAAAAGACCTTTATGATGATCCACCTCCACTTAATGAAGAGTATACTTTTTCTTCTTTGTGATTTTTTTAGTGACATTTTCTTTTTGCTAGCTTATTGTATTATAAGAATACTATATATATATATACACACACACACACACACACACATATATGTACAAAATATGTGTTAACTATTTATGTTATTGGTAAGTCTTCTGATCAATAGTGGGCAAGTAGTAGTTATATGTGGGTTTTTGACTCTGTTGGAGGGTTGTTGTCCCTAATCCCTGCATTGTTCAAGGGCCAACTGTACTCAAACCATTAACTTTCAAGGAGGCACCTATTTTCACTCCACTTTAGCAATTTTATTTTAGCTTCATTCAAAAATATAAGGCTTTGTAGTTAGATACTGCAATGACCAATTTCAATCTAGTCAGTGTCTGTATAATTCTATGTTTAAGATATGTAGGGTCCAAATTAATGAGGTTTCTTGCATATCTCTTTTAGGCACATTGTTACTTTTCATTTTTGTTTATTTGCTTTTGCTTATATCAGATTATATATGTTTATCTGCACTTGTGAAATATTTTCCCTTTTCAACCAGGAAACTTAACTTTATACGCAAAAATAATACGATGTTGAATGCTTAAGTTGGTGATACATTATATTCAATGCAATACACTTTAAATACTTAATGTAAAGCAATTTGTAAAACAAAATATTATCTTAATCTTATAGAGTTAAATACTTTACTTTTTATATATTCTTAATTTATTAAAATTCAAATTACATATATCATTACTAAGAGAAGAAATTGAATATACATCAAGGATTTTCAACACAAATTTATAAAGCAAATCGTCAAAATATCCTATACTTTTTTTCCTTTTTTTTTCTTCATCAACTTTTATTTTACCTTCTGGAGTACATGTGCAGGATGTGCAGGTTTCTCATATAGGTAAACATGTGCCATGGTGGTTTGCTGCAGAGATTAACCCATCACCTAGGTATTAAGCCCACAATCCATTAGCTATTCTTCCTGATGCTCTTTCTCCCCCACCCCAACAGGCACCATTGTGTGTTTTTCCCCCTATGTGTCCATGTGTTCTCATTGTTCAGCTCCCACTTATAACTGAGAACATGCTTTATTTGGTTATCTGTTCCTGTGTTAGTTTTCTGAGGATAAAAGCTTCGAGCTCTATCCATCTCCCTGCAAAGGATATGATCTTCCTTTTTATGGCTGCATAGTATTCCATGATGTATATATACCTCATTTCCTTTAACCAGTCTATCATTTATCTGCATTTAGGTTGATTCCATGTCTTTGCTATTGTGAATAGTGATGCAACAAACATACACATGCATGTATCTTTATAATAGAATGATTTGTAGTCTTTTGAGTATATACCAGTAATGAGATTGCTGGGTCAAATGGAATTTCTGCTTCTAAATCTTTGAGGAATTGCCATATTGTATTCCACAATGATTGAACTAATTTACATTCTCACCAACAGTGTAAAAGCATTCATTTTTCTCCACAACCTCTCCAGCATCTGTTGTTTCTGACCTTTTTAATAATTGCCATTCTGACTGGCATGAGATAGTATCTTATTGTGTTTTTGATTTGCGTTTCTCTAATGATCAATGACAATTAGCTTTTTTTCATATGTTGTCTGCATGAATGTCCTTTTTTGAGAAGTGTCCATTTATGTCCTTTTCCTTCAATAGCTAGTTTATTGAGAGTTTTAACATGGAAGGATGTTTAATTTTATCAAAGGCCTTTTCTGCATCTATTGAGATAATTATTCATTTTTTTCTTTAGTTATGTTTATGTGATGAATTACATTTATTGATTTGTTTATGTTGAAGCAACCTTGCATCCCAGGGATGAAGCAAACTTGATCATTGTGGATAAGCATTTTGATGTGCTGCTGGATTCAGTTTGCTGGTATTTTATTGAGGATTTTTGCATCTATGTTCATTAGGGATATTGGTCTGAAGTTTTCTTTTTTTGTTGTATCTCTGCCAGGTTTTGGCATCAGGATGATGCTGGCCTCATAGAATGAGTTAGGGAGGAGTCCCTTCTTTTCAATTGTTTGGAATAGTTTCAATAGGAATGGTACCAGCTCTTCCTTGTACATCTGGTAGAATTCAGCTGTGAATCCTTCTGGTTCTGGCTTTTTTTTTGTTTTTTTGGTTGGTAGGCTACTTATTGCTGCCTTAATTACAGAACTCATTATTGGTCCATTTAGGGAAATAAGGCACATACAGACCAGAGTTTTTCCTGGTTCAGTCTTGGGAGAGTGTATGTATCTAGGAATTTATCTGTTTCTTCTAGATTTTCTAGTTTACATGCATAGAGGTGTTTAAAGTATTCTTTGATTGTTGTTTATATTTATGTGGGGTCAGTGGTGATATCGCCCTTATCATTTCTGATTATGTCTATTTGATTCTTCTCTCTTTTCTTCTTCATTAATCTAGCTAGCAGTCTATCTATTTTATTAATTTTTTTTCAGAAAAAAACAGCTTCTGGATTTGTTGATTTCTTTGAAGTTTTTTGCGTGTCTCTGTCTCCTTCAGTTCTGCTCTGATGTTGGTTATGTCTTGTCTTCTGGTAACTTTGACATTTGTTTGCTTTTGGTTCTCTCATTCTTTTAGTTGTGATGTTAAGTTGTAAATTTGAGATCTTTTTAGCTTTTTGATGTGGGCATTTAGTGCTATAAATTTTCCTCTTAACACTTCTTTAGCTTTGTCCCAGAGATTCTAATACATTGTCTCTTTGTTCTCATTGGTTTCAAAGAACTTCTTGATTTCTGCCTTAATTTCATTATTTACCCAGGAGTCACTCAGGAGCAGGTTGTTCAATTTCCATGTAGTTGTGTGGTTTTGGGTGTGTTTCTTAATCTTGAGTTTTAATTTGACTGCTCTGTGATCTGAGAGACAGTTTGTTATGATTTCAGTTCTTTTGCTGAGGAATGTTTTACTTCCAATTATGTGATCAGTTTTACAGTAAGTGCCATGTGGCGATGAGAAGAATGTATATTCTGTTGTTTTGGGGTGGAGAGTTCTGTAGGTATCTATCAGGTCTATTTGATCCAGAGGTGAGTTCAGGTCCTGAATACCTTTGTTAATTTTCTGTCTCCATGATCCGTCTAATATTGTTAATGGGCATTTAGATTTTCCATCATCATTGTGCTGGAGTCTAAGTCTCTTTTTAGGTCTCTGAGAACTTGCTTTGTAAATATGGATGCTCCTGTATTGGGGTCATTTATATTTAGGATAGTTAGCACTTCTCAGTGAATTGAACCCTTTACCGTTATTTAATGCCCTTTGTCTTTTTTGAACTTTGTTGGCTTAAAGTCTGTTTTGTCAGAAACTAAGATTATAACCCTTGCTTTTTTTGTTCTTTTCCATTTGCTTGGTAAATTTTCCTTCATCTCTTTTTTTTTTTCTTTTTTTTGAGATGGAGTCACCCAGGCTGGAGTGCAGTGGCACGATCTCGGCTCACTGCAAGCTCCGCCTCCCAGGTTCTTGCCATTCTCCTGCCTCAGCCTCCTGAGTAACTAGGACTACAGGCTAATTTTGTGTATTTTTAGTATAGACGGGGTTTCACCGTGTTAGCCAGGATGGGTTCGATCTCTTAACCTTGTGATCCACCTGCCTTGGCCTCCCAAAGAGCTGGGATTACAGGCATGAGCCACCATGCCTGGCCCCTTCATCTATTTATTTTGAGCCTATGTGTGTCTTTGACGTGTTATGGGTCTCTTGAAGACACCACACCAATGGAGGTTGACTCTGTATCCAGCTTGCCATTCTGTGTCTTTTTAGTGGGGCATTTAGTCCATTTACATTTAAGATTAATATTGTCTTTTGTGAATTTGATCCTGTCATCATGATATCAGCTGGTTATTTTGCAAACGTGTTTATGTTGCTTCATAGTGTCACTGGTCTGTGTACTTCAGTGTGTTTTCCTAGTGGCTGGTAATGGCTTTTCCTTTACATATTTAGTTCTTCCTTCAGGAGCTCTTGCAAGGCAGGGCTGGTGGTAACGAGTTCCCTCCCCATTTGCTTGTCTGAAAAGGATTTTATTTCTCCTTCACTTATGAAGCTTAGTTTGGCCAGATGTGAAATTCTGGGTTGGAATTTTTTTTCTTTAGAATATTGAATATTGGCCTCCCATCTCTTCAGGCTTGTAGGATTTCCAATGAAAGATGCGCTATTAGTCTGATGGTCTTTCCTCTGTAGGTCACCTGGCCTTTCTCTGTGGCTGCCTTGAAAATTTTTCTTTCATTTTGACCTTGGAGAATCTGATTTTTATGTGTCTTGGGGTTGATCTTCTCATGTACTATCTTACCGAGGTTCTATGCCTTTCCTGAATTTGAATGTTGGTCTGTCTAGCTAGATTGGGGAAGTTCTCCTGGATGATATCCTGAAGTATGTTTTACAACTTGTTTCTGTTCTCCCTGTCTCTTTCAGGGACCCTAGTCAGTCATAGGTTCAGTCTTTTTACATAACCCTGTATATCTCAGAGGTTCTGTTCATTCCTTTTCATTCTATTTTCTGTACTCTCATCTGCCTGTCTTGTTTCATAAATATAGTCTTAAAGGTCTGAGATTCTTTCCTCCACTTGGTCTGTTTGGCTATTGATACTTGTGATCGCATTGTGAAGTACTCATGTTGTGTTTTTCAGCTCCATCAGGTCATTTATGTTCCTCTTTAACTGGTTATTCTGGTTATCAGCTCATATAATGTTTTATCATGATTCTTAGCTTCTTTGCATTGGGTTACAACATGCTCCTTAGCTCAGCGAAGCTCATTATACCCACCTTCTGAAGCCTAGTTCTGTCAATTCATCCATCTCAGCCTCAGCACAGTTCTGTGTCCTTGCTGGAGAGGTGTTGCAGTCATTTGGAGGAGAAGAGACACTTTGGCTTTTTGAGTTTTCAGCATTTTTGTATTAATTCTTTATCATCTTTGTCAGCTTATCTACTTTTGATCTTTGAGGTTGCTGACTTTTGAATGGGGTTTTTGTGGGGTCTTTTTGTTGATGTTATTGTTGCTTTCTGTTTTGTTGTTGTTGTTGTTGTTTTTCAGTTTGTCCCGTCTTCCATAGGGCTGCTGCAGTTTGCTGGGGTTCCACTCCAGACCCTAGTCACCTCATGCTCTCCCATACCTGGAGATATCACCAGTGAAGGCTACAAAACAGCAAATATGGCAGCCTGCTCCTTCCTCTGGGGGCTCCATCCCAGGGGAGCACCGACCTGATGCCGGCCCCAAGGCTCCTTGTAGGTGTCTGGAGACTCCTACTGGGAAGTCTCACCCAGTCAGGAAGAAAAGGATCAGGGACTTGCTTAAAGAAGCATTCTGGGCCAGGCGCGGTGGCTCACACCTGTAATCCCAGCACTTTGAGAGGCCAAGGTGGGTGGATCATCTGAGGTCAGGAGTTCGAGACCAGCCTGGCCAACATGGTGAAACCCTGTCTCTACTAAAAAGACAAGAATTAGCCGGGCATGGTGGCATGTGCCTATAATCCCAGCTACTTGGGAGGCTGAGGCAGGAGAATCGCTGGAACCTGGGAGGCGGAAGTTGCAGTAAGCTGAGATCAGCTACTGCTGCACTCCAGTCTGGGTGACAGAGTGAGACTCCACCTCAAAAAAAAAAAAAAAAAAAAAAAGAAGCAGTCTGGCTGCCTCTTGGCAGAGCAGGTGTGCTGCGCTGAGGGGAACTTTCTTCATCCAAGCTGCCTGGACATTCCAAAGCCAGCAGGCTGAACTGCAAATATGGTGTTTGCCCCCCTCCCTTCAGTGGCTCCATCCCAGGGAGAGATCAGAGTTCTGTCCCTAACACCCTGGCTGGAATTGCTGAACTTCCCATAGGGAAGTTCTCCCCCGGCCTGGTGAGGAGAGATGGATTGGGGTCCCACTTAAAGAAGCAGTCTTGCCATGATCTGCCACAGCAGCTGTGCTGTGCCATGGGAAATTCCTCCCAGTCCGGACTGCCCAGACTCCCTGGAGCTGGCAGGCCAAAACAGCTGACTTGAGCCGCAGAAATGGCAGCTGTCCCTCTCCCAGATAACTCATTTCAGGCAGTCTCCAGTCTGCTGCCACTAGCTGGCTGGCCAATGGGTCTTTAACTTGTGAGGTGCCAGAGGTGCCATGGGAGTGGGGCCCACAGAATGACACCGCTTGGCTCCCTGGCTTCAGCCCCCTTCCAAGGGGAATGCACAGAGGATCTCCTATCTCACTGGAATTCCCAGGGCTGGAGTATGCAAAACCTCCTGGGTCTCCACGCATGCCTGAGTGGCCGCCAAGAATCCACACAGCTCTATGCTTCGGACCCAAGTCCTTGGTAACATGGGGTCACTAGGGCATCTCCTGATCCACGGGTTGCAAAGATCTGTAGGAAAAGCATGGTTTCCCGGGCAAGGTCGCACAATCAGTCACCGCCTCCCTTGGCTGGGGTGGGGGCTCCCTTTTTATGTGTATTTTCAAAACTCTTTTTTGAGTTCTAAGAAGGTAAAAAATAATCATGCCACTAGATTAGATAAAAATATTTTTGTAGAAATTGAGCAATTATCTATTTAACTCAGATCCATAGAAACTGACATTCACACAAGAATGGATTGTGGTTAGAATTCTGGAAGAGTAAGAACTGGTGAATATCTATGCTTTGTTAAAGAAGATTTAATTGTTTCATTTGCTTTAACAACATGCCTAGGATCGAATAGGGAGGGTGTACAAAAGCATCTTTGGGGCATTTTGGTGTCCGAGGGTGGTGAGGAATGCAGTGCATGTGGATAACAGAGTTCAATTGTTACTTCAAATAATCTGGAACTATTCAGATCACCTCAGTCACTATTTGAGGACAAGAACAATGAGCTGGGAACTATGTGGGAGAATTGTGGCTGCTGAAGTTCTGCTCACAGAACAAGTTTTTTACATTAATAACAAGGGGTTTCACCATCAAACCTTTGAGCTGGAAGACTGGTTTTCTGAGTGCATTTTTAAAGAATACCCATTGGAGATATTTGCTACACAATGTACAATAATTTGACATTCTTTGAAGCAGCCAACAGAAGAGAAGGATCAGAAAGATACAAACTTTTAAGACATTGCTCATTCTAGCTTACTTTGAACTTTAAAGCCTCTTTTTCAGTGATAACAGGGTCTACAATGAACGATCAAACTTGGAAATCACAGCTTGAAATGCCCATCCAGATGAAGTCATGCAGAAAATGAAACAAATCTGGCAGAACAAGACTGTGGTCAGAGAAACAAGACAATGTCAAAGAAAAGGGCAACAAGTAGATAATCAGTACCGATTTCTTTTCTTTCCTCCAACTCCCTCTTGCTCCCATGACCCAGTTTCTTGTCCAAAGGTAGGAATCGTAAGAGTGTACAGAAATAAGTCACATGCAGACCATATTGAAATACGCAGAGAATTCCATGGAGACTCTGATGGCTAGGTAAGCTCACTTTAGCTGCACACCCACTTCAAGAAGGTGAAGGAGACAATTCTGGGATAATAAAGATCTAGGAAGTATGTATCTGCCATATATAAGTCAGAGGTTCAGAATCAAGACAAGTGATGATGAAAGATGTCATGGTCCTCCTAACTGATTCAGAACATCTGTGTATGTCTTTCTTTTCACCTAGATTATATATTTGTTGAGACGAGGAGTTATCTTAGAGCTCTTAATGTTACCCCCAGTACCTTGTACTTATGGGGCATTTGATATGTGAATTTATTTTAGTAACTGTTTTTGCATGTATGTGTATCTCTGTGTGTGTTTTGTTGTTATTTGCTAATGAGCATTTAATATTAGATGATAATTTTTTCCCCAATTAACTGGTATTTATGGAGTTTTAAGGGTGTTTTTTTTTCTAGGCCACTGAAAACTTTCCAACCAAGGAAATTTTTTCTCATCTTGCCCTATCTAGCTACATTTTGAATATTTCCTTGGCAAAAATCATTAAGAATGACTCATTTCTCTAATTCTTCTTTTCCAGGGCACCGTTGAGCTGTTGCAACTGTTCTGCTGGTAAGTGCTTTTATGTGCTTGAGAGAAGTGGAGTGGAAACTAATTTTTCTGTGACCCATAATTTTATAATTTGTATTTTTAAGAAATAATCCATTTTCAAAGTCACTCTCCCTTAAGTCTTCATCTTTTGTTCTAACTTACTTCCTGTATTAGATTTGTCTTAAAATTAAATGAAAAGTAGAAGAGAAAAAATAGTAAAATCTCAGAAATAAACATAGAGCTTTTTAAAATATTAGAGCTGGGGACAAACTTGTTTGATACCTGGAGACATAATCTTAGGTTGAGTGGCTTGTTTAACATAACATGGTTGTCTGCTAATGGTTACAACAGAATTCAAAATTCCTAATTGTTCAGTGTATTATCTAGTAACTGATAGTGGCTAATTCCTGCCATGAAGTAAATAGAAAATATAAATATATCTTAGGTACTAGAAAAACAAACTCTATTGAGGATGGTTTTATATTTGCACGTTATTATGTTATGGAATACAATTATACAAAAAATGTATATTATATAATTTCATACAATTTTATAATAGCATTTAATGTTAAATGTGCTTTCATATACATTCTCTTTTGCATCTTTTTCCCATGAAATTTATCTTTTTATTATTCCCAGATTAAGCCTCATAAATATAAAATGGTTAATAAGTGATGAATCTGAGATTTAACTTTAGTTTTTAGTTTTTTTCTCTAGGAATCATGCCCAAAGACCCAGATTTCACCAGTTTTCTGGTGGAACAAAGTCTGTTAACTTTTATTCATGTCCTTGAATGGCCTATGTCCACATTCTTTCTCCTCAGGAGGTAGAGATTAGTTCTCTGCAGACTCCACAGCTAGACTGTGCATCTAGAATTATTTAAATGAATGTGTGAGGTGGCATCAACCCTTGACTTCATTCCAAACTGTAGCTGACCTTCACTTATATTGACCTTATTCTAAATTGGTCTATTTTTTTAAGTGAATTTAATGCTATCTGTTAAATTTATACAAATAGTTGGCTAGGTTTTTTGTTTTTTGCTTGTAAGAACCCAAAGAAGTAAACCAACAGGAAAAATAGATAAAAGTGAATGGAATTATATTTCTTGGATTTCACACTGAGTGGGAATTCATTTAATACATTTAATGGATGTTATCTTTGTTTTGTTTTGCTGTCACACAACACCTGAGGCTGGGTAACTGACAAAGAAAAGAGGTTTATTTAGCTCATGATTTTGTATGCTGGGAAGTCCAAGAACATAGCACCACATCTGACTTGTTTCTGGGGAGGGCTACATGCTGGATCAAAACACAGCAGAGAAGTGGAAAAGTGAGTGAGTGTGTGCAAAGAGATCACGTGGCAATAAAGGAAGCAAGAAAGAGTAAAGAAAGTGAAGCTCACTTTTATATCAACTTGCTCTCTAGTAACTAATACGTCTGTGAGAGCAAGGATTCATTCACTCCCATGGGAGGGCATTCATCTATTCATGAGACATCTGTTCCCATGACGCAAATATTTTGCACTAGGACCTACCTCTCAACATTGCCAGACTGGCAATTAAGCTGCAGCATGAGTTTTTGTGAGGACAAACCACATCCAAACCATAGCATTCTGCTCCTGGCCCTCTAAAACTTATGCCTTTCTTGCTTTCTTGGGTATAAAAATATAATCATTCTATCCCAATAGTCACAAAAGTGTTAACTCATTCCAGCATCAACTCAAAAGTCCAAAGTCCATGTGTAAGCCTGTAAAATCAAAAACAAATTATTTACTTCCAAAGTATAATAGTTGTACAGTCATAGGGTAACTACTTCTATTTCCCAAAAAAGAAATTTGTCCAAAGGAAGGAGTAATAGACCACACACAAATCTGAAACCCAGCAGGGCAGACATTAAATTTTAAAGCTCTAGCATAGAGCTTTCATTCCATGTGCTGTCTCCAGGACATACTGGAGCAAGGGGCAGATGTCCAAGCCCTCAGGGAGTCCCATACCCATAGCTTTGCTGGGTGCAGCCCATGTGATTACTCACAGGTTAGAGTTCTGTGCCTGTGGCTTTTTCAGGCTAGAATTATATCCTGGTAGTTTTACAGTTCTGGTATCATGGCAGCAGCCCGTCTTCAATAGCTCCACTAGGCTTATGGCTCTGTGGTGGCTCTGGCCCTGTGACAGGTTTTTGCCTGGGCTTCCGGGATTTTTAGTACACCTTCTGAAATCTGGGTGGAAGCCACCAAGCCTCCATAGCTCTTGAATTCTGTGCATGTGCAGACTTAACACCATGTGAAAACCACCAAGACTTATGGTTTACACTCTCTAGAGTGGTAGTACAAGTCATACCTGGGACCGTTTGAACCATGGCTGCTCCAGGGAACAGTGTTCCAAGGTGGGGCAGGACAGCAGCAATCTGGGCCTGTTCCCCAAAAGTGTTTTGTCCTCCTAGTCCTCTAAGCCTGTGATGGGAGGGGTGGCCTCGAAGAATTTTGAAATGCCTTCAGGGCCTTCAGGGCCTTTTTTCATTGTTCTGATGCATAGCACCTGGTTCCCTTTTATATATGATAATGTTACTAAGAGTAAGCAGTCTGTTTGGCTGCACCCTTGGGTTTCTCTCTGAAAATAGTCTTTTATTCCCTATCAGATAGCCAGATTGCAAATTTTCCAAATCTTTTTGCTCTATTTCCTTTTTCTCTAGAAGCTCGCTGTAAGTAGTTAGAGGTAACAATGCAGCAGCCTGAGCGCTTTCTTGCTTCAAAACTTCTTCCACCAGATGCACTATTTCATTACCCTTAAGTTCAGCCTTCCACAAACCCCTAGAGCATAGACAAAATGCAGCCAAATTCTTTCCCATAGTTAAAAAGGATGAACTTTCCTTCAGTTCCCAATAAGTTTTTTATTCATTTCCATGAAGAGACTTCATTAAAACAGCCTTCACCATTTATATTTCTTTATTATTTTTTAAATATTTAATTTATTTTAATTTCTATTTTATCATCTATAATTCTAGCAGCATTTTGGTCACAACCACTTAACCAATTTCTAAGAAGTTCTAAACTTTTCCTCACTTTGTTGTCTTTCTCTGAACTCTCACCACAATCACCCTTAATGTTGTATTTATGGCAATTCAGGCTTTTTGTAGTCTGCTCCAAATTTTTCCAGTCACTACTCCTTAACCAATTCCAAAGCTGCTTTATAGTATCTTTATAGCAGCATCCCACTCCTCAGTATGAATTTTCCCTCTTAGTCTGTTTTGTGTTGCTATAACAGAATACTTAAGCTGTGTAATTTACAAAGAAAAGAGATTTATTTAGCTCACAATTTGTGAGCTACAGGCTCACAGCTACAGGCTGGGAGTTCAAAAGCATAGCATCTCATCTGTCCAGCTTCTGGAGAGAACCACGTGCTGGGTTGAAACATGGCAGAGAAGCAGAAGAGTAGGCAGGCATGTGCAGAGAGATCCCATGGTGAGAGGGGAAATAAGAGAATGTCTAGGAAGCCAAACTCATTTTTATCACAACCCGACCTCTGGTAACTAATTTAGTCTCATAAGAGTGAAAATTCACTAACTTTTATGGGAAGGCATTAACCTATTCATGAGGGATCAGCTTCTGTGAGCTAGACACCTCCCATTAGACCATACTCCCCAACACTGCTTCACTGGCCATTAAACTTCAACATGAGTTTTAATGGGGACAAACCACATCCAAGCCATAGCAAATGTCATCTTCCCTAATAGATAGAATTCTTAATCTGGGAGGAGCCATTCACGGTGTATTTGGGGAATATTAAATACTTATGCATTAAAAATTACAATAAAATATAATCAGATGAAATTCAATGTTGACTATTCCTAATTTTTCTCTTTTAAGGCCAGAGTTCATGTTATCAGAAAGTACACTATTGGGGTCCCTCTGGTTTGAAAACATTGGTTAAAATATTATTGTCTCCTCTAAATAGTTGTTGAGTACCTCATATGTGTCATGCACTATGAGAGGAATAGGGAGTCTGAAAGAGTTTCTGCACAGAACTTTCTGTTCAGGGGGTGGTGGTAATTACTTCTCTTAAGGAGATTAGGATCTCTCAAAGAAAGCAGAGACATATATAAGCAATTACTTCATATTATGGTTAGTGATATGATATAATACAGCAGGGACTCCAAAGGAACCCAAAGAATAGACACACAATCCAACAAGGGAGAAAAACTGCCGAAAAATTTCTGGAAAAGAAGACCCATGCTCAAAAGCCTGGGGGACTGTTGGTCATTCTAGCAGAGGGATCACTGTGGACAAAGTACAAAGGACATAGACAAACCCTGAGAAAATAAAAGGTATTTCAGTGAGTCTGGAGTACAACACGCAAGGAGGAAAGTGGTGCAAATTAGGTAGGACTAGACATGGGGGAGATCTGACCTAAATAATGATAAAGAATAGAATTGTAGATACTCGGAAGTTGGAAGAAAGAGGACTTTCTGATTCGTTGAATATTAGTGGCAAGTCAGGAATCTAGGGTGAGCTTTACTTTTCTGACTCAGATAGAGGATAATTTGCTGTGCCCTTGACTAGGAGTGGGAATATGGTAGCAGGGAAAAAAAAGATCATTTCAGAATCTAAAAGTGTGCAAGGATTAGTGTTGCTTGAATTGCTCTAAAATATCCCCAAGACAAGCAAAAGGAAAGCATGTATAAACATGTTTTTATGCTCCACAGAAAACATTTTAAGAGTTTCATCCTGCCTGTGACCTGAAAGTGTGTGAACGTGAATGTAGACGTTTAGAGTCATTCACATAGGATTATTCTACCATTGCATTGGAAGGTGAAATGTTAGCATCTCTGTCTGAATAAGAGACATCTCTCTAAACACGAGTCTTCCTTTTTAAAAATATGGGTAAAGCCCTTGTGTGACTCCCAGGCACAACAGAAATCAGATATGTTGTTGGCAGGAAACCGGCATAAGTACAGACCCACAGAGTTTGTTGTTTTTGACACTGCTTCTTGGGAATCTAACATGCGCTTCTCATTCCTACTAAGAGGCTGTCTGGTCCCTGAGGCTTTTCTGATCAACCCAATTGAACAAGATAGTCTCCATCCTCTGAAGCCCATGAATAATATGTGTCATTCTTAAACCTTTATCATGAATTTCTTTGTGTTGTAGCTGCTTTTTGTTTTTCACTTGTATATGTCTTGCCTGTCTGGTAGCCTACTTGCTCTTTGAATCTAGTTATAATTTCTATACAGAACTCATTGGATCTTTATATCTGGCCATATAATAGATACACAATTAGACAGAGGATTTGGGCACTCATACTGGGAAATGTCATCAGTACTTCATATAGCTTCTTTAAAAGGTAACAGTTTTAATGAAAATACCAATCAATCTTCATGGCTGTTAAAGGGCATTGCTGCTGTGTCTTAATAAATTTAAATGATCAGATGTTCTTTAAGAAAATCTTGCTGATAGAAGAAGCCTAGTTATTTCAATAAAAGTATTAGACAATGTTCTGGTGTAAGAACAGAATTAAGAACCTAATTATAGTTCAACTATGCGGTAGTAGGCTACCTAATTTATAAAATTGATGCGTTTCAACAGGCATGGCTTTTTCTACTCTGTGTGAGAGTGCATGTGGTGTGTGTCCGTGTGTCTGTGTCTCTCCATTTATAGCATTGAACTGCGTTTTACTTTAATTTGAAATAGCTCTGTGTTAAGAGGTGTTGTGTGTTTGATGCTGTGGGCAGGCTGGTAAGGATTTTGGCAAAGATACATTCCTAAAAAGGGATGGTAACTGCATTATTGCACTGTACTTCAAGGCCCTAAGACATAATATAAATAAAATAAATTTAATTTATTAAAACATAAATCTATTCTGCCTACCTTGTACTTTCTGAAGTAGTCAAATATTCAGGATGGGATACTTACAACAAAAAAGGAGAACATGTACTGAATGGGCCAATGAAATAATAAAATTCGGAATGACATCCACTAGGTCAATCTGCCACCAAACGTTTGCCAATTGCCCACTTTGATGTTAGCTTTATATTTTGCACCATTTGGATTGCCAGGAAGGCAAAAAAAAAGTTTTTTTCCCTCAAAAATCTCTATAGCATTTCTCGGATATTGATGCTGATAGAAAGCAAAAAATTGAATGTAAATAGTATAAGAGATATAGAAAGAAATTAATATTAATTGAGAATACATTAAGTGCCAAGAAAAAAAAAGACCATTTAGTTCACATATACAGTATAATTAAACTTTATACTGAGGAAACTGAAACTTATTTGATTAGATAAGTTACTCAGATTCAGAAAGCTTGACTTTTCTGCTAACTAGATTGCCTCAGTATAAGGGCTAAACTCCACAGAAAGGGAAGCGGGAGATACCATATACACTGTTATTAGACAAATCTGAATTTGATCAAAGTCCCTTGTTTTTCCAATTAAAAAAAGAGCCAAATGAAATATTTTGCCCAATTTAAATAATTAAATGCAAGATTTGGGGGCTGTAACATAAATATTCAAAAGTCTACTTAAAACAGTTTAATTAAAACTTAGTATTATATGCTTTTTTAATGTTACATATTTAAAATGTGTTTATCTGGTGATATTGCAGTTTTCCACTCTCAATTACGTGAAAGAATTTTATTTAAACTACTCTTGGTCATCTTTAATGTTATTAGCTTCACTAGAGCTACACATTAAGTCATTGGATACACTTAAATTTTCCAAGGCTTACTATATTTATGGATGTCTGATATGTTTGAGATAGTGATTTTTTGTATATAAGTATTTTTATTTTCAAACAATCTCAAATTTTTGCAGGTACAATGCAGCATCTTTTCTTTTCCTGAACCACTTGATAGTAATTTTTTAATTAGATTTCCCAATACCCCTGGTAACTTCAGTGTATATGTTTGTTTTTATGAAAAAGGCATTTTTCTATATCAGGAGTCAGTGAACTGTGGCTCACAGGCCAAACCTCACCTGCTACCTGTTTTTGTAAATAAAGTTTTATTGGAACACTTCCACATTTATTTGTTTACATGTTGTATGTGACTGCATTTATACGACAGTGGCAGATTTAAGTAGTTGTGACTGAGGCTGTATGGCACACAAAGCCTAAAATATGTACTCTGGATCTTTACAGAAAAAAGTTTGCCAATACTTGTTGCGCATAATATAGTACAACCATGAAAACTAGAAAAGTAACATTGCTGCATCACTACTTACCACCTAATCTGTAGACTCTAGTCAAGTGTCTATAATTGCCCCAGAAATGCCCTTTAAGCAATCTTTTTCATTTACCTTCCATGTCTCTTTGGTCACATTCAATCTAAAATGCCTCCATGAAAGCCTTTCTTTGACTTTCATGACTGTGACACTTTTAACCATTATAGGCCAGTTATAGCAATTTGGGTTTCTTCTGAGGTTTCCTTGCAGTAGGAGTCAGGTTATGCATCCTTGGCAGGACTGTCACAGACAGACCCACCTGCTGGGTCCTTCCCATTGCACCCTTTCATGTGTGCTCAATTTGATCAATTGATTAGGGTGGTGTCCAGCAGACTGCTCCACTGGGATATTACTTTTCTTCTCTTCATATTTACTAAGTATTGTGTATTTTCACACAATATATTTGAATATATATTAGATTATATATAAATGTGTTATACATTATATAAATTTATTATATATAAATTATATATAATATAATGAATATAATATGTATATAAATATAACTTTATATAACATTTATTATATAATACATTATATATTAGATATATTTATATATAATATTATATATATGTTTATATATTGTCAGAGCATGTATGTATGTGTTTATGTGTGTCCCCAGGATTTGATGTGGTGAAGGGAGCTTAGTCATTACTTATTCTACTTCTTCAAAAAGGTATTTGCCTTAAACTGAAAATTATCTGAAAAGCAAGATCTTTTTTAAGATTAAATAAATAACAGTTTGCTTATTGTGGCATTTCAGACACTGAGACAGGTGGTACATAAGAATCATGATGACTAAAATATCAAACCACTGTATCATTTAATGAATCCTTTTAACTTCATTAGGTGTATATTTAATGATCCCTATTCATGTGGCACCTGTTATTTGTAGCCCGTAAGACAAATACATGAGAACATGTCTGCACATCACCATACAGCTCTAAAGAAACTCCTGTCCTCAAGTCTGAGCCTTCTGTGTTTTTCTTTTTAAACTCATACATACCCATCACTTCCATTACCACCTCTCATAGATAATAGTTGCTCCAAAAACATTTGTTAAATAAATGACCAAAGAATGAACGAATGATTATACACATGCTAAGACTGGCCTTACAAGCCAGCATACTATATTTTGCAAAAGTACTTCTGACTAATTCTTTGGAAACTATATGTTGCACACACACTTGAGAGTTATTGAAAAGCTGCTATATAATTAAAAATATTGATTCGTAGAAACATAAACCTAGAAGGGACAAATAAGCCAACTTTCATTTGGTCTGCGTCTACTGCACTTTAAAATGGAAGTTTATTTTTAAAAATCAAATAGGTTGTTTGGCACCCTGCAAAATAAAAATCATTGACTAGATTATTTTTTAAAAATCAATCCATTATCTTACAGTTGTGTAGACAAACACTTAGAGATTTCAGACAGGTAAACTAAAACATAAGCACACACTCAGCTGTATATCCTGAGATGCCCAGGGCCCAGAAAGCACACAGCATTTCTTTGTTAGCTCTTTGGTGAGGCTTACACACAGGAAGTTAAGGCTAAGGTTTTATATTTTTTTCTCTTTATCTCTCAAAGATATTTTAAATTTATTCTTCCTCCCTAAATTCTGCCCTAAATCAGAAACATTCAGGGAAAACCAATCCACAAGCATTTTCTTTTAACTTTTTCTGTGTTTCATCCATCTGTGAGCTAACTAGAATGAATTCCAAAGGCTTGGAAAGGATTAGGTTAAGATATAATCTTGAAAATACTTAATAAACATAGGGAACTGGAACACATAACATTCAGCCAGGAATCCAACTGACTTCTACTCAAAGTGGCCCCCTACGATAAGCCTACAGACTTGCAGAGCATGAATCCACAGATTTGATTATATTATCCCTCCATTTCCCTAGCCACAGGGGTAAAGCTTTTGCCTGCATGTCTCAGTGCCAATCCAAACAATGATATGACTTACCACTTACAGCCATGGCGCGTATTCCTCATCAGAAAGCTTTATGAATGGGAGCTCATTAATCAAGCAGTCATCCCAAGAGGCAGAGCAGAGGCAGAATCTGAGCTTGGAAGGTGTCCGGAAACTGCCAGGTGCAGAAGCATGCATTTACTCGCTCGTTCATCAGTGCCTGGATGTCAAAAGGGCTTTCTAAATAACTATGCTGAGTAATGCTCCAATTCTAGTTTCTGCATTTCTGCATATTTCACAGCCTGTGCCTATCAGCTCCAAGACAGATCCTAACCTTTGCCTTTAGACGGACATCCATTTGAAATCCGTCTTTAGCAAATATTAAGTTTGTGGGTTTGGACAACTTAGTTGAATGTTTTGATCATTAATTTTCTCATCCATAAAACCAGGATCTTTATTTTCTAATGTTGCTGAGAAAATTTTATAAGGTGACGTAAGCAAAGAACCTACCAGGGTCTGGTTACATGCCTGGCTTTCTATTAATTCTTTAAGAAAAAGTGTGTTATAATTGCTTCCCTGAAGCACTCTCATATCTCTGTTATTTTGGTCACATCATCATCATCATATCTCTTTTATTGAGTGTGACTGTTTGCCATGCTATTGCATGTGTGGGGAATGTGTGTATGTTTATGTATGCATGTATATATGTATGCATAGTAAATCACCTTTATGTATGCATAGTTAAGAAACCTGGAAGGGACTATGATTTATGTGATTTATTCATGTTAAGCAAATAATATTCACATTAACTCTGTGAATAAATATTGTTCTCATTTTACAGCTGAGGAAACCAAATCTGAAAGAGATTAAGAAACATGAGCAGTATCAAATGACTAGACAATGTCTCAGCTGAATTCAATCATCTTTTTAAACTCCATCTACCTGCTCTATCTGACATTAATAAACATTCCAAGAAGAATGTCTGCAAAGAGGAGAGACTGAGAATTACTAGCCACTCAATTAGGTCACTTAACATCTTATATTAGCTGCTCATTTCATTTGGGAGCAAGGAGAACTGGGTTCTCATTCTTCAGCCAATGAGCTGGAGAAACCTGGACAAATAATTTAATTGCTTGAGGCTTAATTGTCCAATCACTGAAATGTAAGAAAATAAGAAATAATCTTTAAATTTACTTTCAATTAAATAAAACACTGATTGTTAATACATATTTGAAAATATACTAGAAACTGAACGTGCAAATTAGGATAATGAATTGCACTCTAAATTTAAAATGCAAGAAATGATGTATTTTATTTCTTATTTATACATATATATTATTTCAAGAATTATAAATCTCAACATGCTTTCCATATAATAAAAATGTTTAATATATGTGTATTGGCCCTTGTTGTATGCAACCATTTTCCATCAAAATGTTCATCTAAATGTTCACAACCACTCAGTGAAGAAGACATGGCAGGTGCAATGCCCCTTTTGAAGATGAAAACACCAAGTCATTGAGAGTTTGAATGAGCTCATGTTTGTGAATATATTGTGTCTTCCTTAGGACTAAATTACTACTGTAGTGAGTTGAATAGTGTTGCCCCCCTCCACAAAAAAAAGCCTTCATTTCCAACTGAATTTTCCTAATGTGACCTTATTTGAAAATAGAGTCTTTGCGGATGTAATTAATTGGTGTAAGATGAAGTCATGCTAGATTAGGGTGAGACCCTAAATCTAATGACTAGTGTCTTATAAGAAGAGGAAAAGAGACACAGACACACTGGGAAAGATATTATATAATGAGGGTGGCAAAGATTGAAGTGATGCAACTGTAAACCAAGGAATGCCAAGGGTTTCCAGCATCCACAAGAAGCTAGGAAATGTAAGGGAAGGATCTTTTCCCCAGAGCTTTTAGAAAGTGCATGCCCTGGTGACACACTGATTTCAGAGTCCTAGCCTCCAGAACTGTGATAAAATAAATTTCTGTTGTTATAAGCCACTCAGATTCTGGATATTTTATTACATCAATGCTAGGAAAATAATACGATTACCAGAAGGTAGAAGTCTCAGCACCATGTTTTCTGATTATGTGAGCCTAGATTAGGGTGAGGACAATGAGGACAACACAAGTGGATAGATTTAAAGAATTTATTATTTCCTTCCACAACCATGTACTGAAGTGACTGGCATGATCTAATATATGATTTTAAGAGACTGTTAAAACAAAGGAACAAAGTTGGGGGCAAGGAAGCCAGAGGGAAGACTACACAGCAATGCATGAAAAAGATTATGGTGGATAGATACGGGTGAATAATGATGAAGATGCTGAGGTTGCTCAATTTATAATATACTGTTGTCAAATCATGGGGATGAGAGAGCTGCAATAATAGAAGTTAAGAGAAAGGAGTGTTTGAAATTGAGATTTTAGAGGGGTGAGGCTATTGATGGTGGTTTTGACAATGGGATTAAATGATTGAAAGAAGATGGAAGAAGAAACATTTGAAGTACAGAGGCAAAACAAAATAAGAAGTCAAATTTTTAAAATTTCATTTTAGTATGGTAAGAACACTTAATATTCAATCTACCCTCAACAAATTTTAGGTATACATTATAGTATTATTGATGATAGGCACAATGCTGTACAGCAGCTCTCTAGAGCTTATTCCTCTTGTGTAACTGAAATTTATGACCATTGATTAGCAATTTCCCATTTTCCCCACCCCCAGCCCCTGGTAACTACCATTCTACTATTTGATTCTCTGAAGTTGGCTATTTTAAATAGTTCCCGTAAGTGGAATCATGCAGTATTTGTACTTCTGTGATTGGTTTATTTCACTTAGCATAATGTCTTTGAGATTCATTCATATTGTTGCATATTGCAAGATTTTTTTCTTTTTTAAGGGTGAATAATATTTCATTGTATACTTTTACAATAGTCCCTGAATATGGCTGAATACTGTAAGTCATCTCTTTCTTAGCTTCCAAAGGGCAAATACTGTGTCCTAGTCATCTTTGCATTACTCATACTTGTCATAATCCTGTTACTAAAGAACTTAGAAAGTGCTTGCTGTAGGATTAAATTATTAGAATATTATCTATGTCTGATTAAGCTGATTTCTAAAAGAGTTTCTACTTCAAGTAATTAATGATGTGCTAGTGTTTTAACACTTGTGGTGTAACTGGAAGTAGACAAGATCAGTATACTTACACACACACACACACACACACAAACACACCCCCATACTGATTCTGCACTTTGGAAAAGCACAACGTAATCACCCAAAGTACCTAAAGCAGAAAAGGAGGTAGCGTGGCTGTCTGTGACCCAAGGCACAGGGATTCTGCTGTCAGCATGAGCTTTCATGGAAGAAAAAGGGGTTGAAAGCTACTTTCTCCGTAAGTAGTATGTTTATGTATTATTCACAGTAGCAAATAATTGCAAAATGTCAACATTTCATCTTCTTCTTAAGAGCTTCTTTAGTGACCTAATTAACCATTAAGAAGAAAAGATTTTTTAAGTGTAAATATGAAAAGTGAGAGTGTTTCTTAGCAGCAATTTGTGATCTTAAAATGTCACAAGCAGGCACATCACGGAGGTGCTACCAACCAGCACTTTTCAAAATATGACTCTGTGTCAAAAGCGTGTGCTGTGGATTTGTATTTTTTGTCTTTATTCTGAAACAAGCAATGCAAATATAGATACGGTTGCCTGAGAGATTTCCTTCTCTTTTTGAAAACCCTTCAACATTTTCTCTGACAGCCTAGGAAAGGTTGTTTTTAATCTATTTAATTTGAGGCTGTATTCTCCACAGATAATGCCATATTTTCTCTTTCACTTCCTGAGCATGTACAGGAAAAAAGGCAGAAATGTCTCTCCTCACACACACTACATTTACATATATATACACACACCCCTAAACATAACGTATATATGTTCAATGCACACATGCAACACACATTCACAGACACACAGCATACGCTAATATACAACCCAAACATGCATATATAACACAAATTATGCACATAACACACATGTACACATTTATATGCTGTCACGTACATACCACATGCATACTTATATAACCATAACATCTACATGCACTCAATCAAATGGCATATTTACATATAAATTTAAAGGCATCTCCTTAAGTCCTGACACACATGTCAAGGTGTGACATCTCCTGCGAGATCTCAGCTGGAAGCATTTCTGAAACAGTCTTTCTCACAGTTGACAGTAACCTGACCTTTTATTCAGACTGTCCACAGGGACCAGGAATGAGCAAGATATATAAAATGGGAAAACACAAACAAACATCTACAACCATGTAGATTTCTTTTAAAAAGGTCCAAGTCAGCTTTAAATCTATTCTACCTGGCTTACATCGCATATTGAGATATGGAAGTTCTGTTATCTGAAACAAAGATATTTTAAGAACATGCCTCTCTTTTGGGGGTGATGATCAAAGGCAGAGTCTAGATAATATACTATATTATGCAAATCAACATAGATTAAATTACTTTACACTGTTTTATTACAGCATGAAATTTCTAAAATCTTCTCAAGTAGTTAAACACCATCTGAAAATGTCCTTCCATTGTTACACACACACACACATACCCTTTATAAAAAACCTTTTAAGAGTATTTGCTTTTTCTATTTTTGTAACTACCGCCTTTGTAATCACCAAGCATAAATAGTGGGTGCTAATAATTTTTTGATGAATAAATTAATTCAACTTTAAGAATAAGAATTCATATTTAATTAAAGCATCAAATGGTAACTATAATATGTAATTTATTTAAGAACTACTGAGACCTCACTAGGAGCCAGGCAATATGCAAGACCTTACTAGATAGAAAATATGAGAAAACCCTGCCCTGCAAGAGCCTTCAGACTCTTGGGAAAGACATCCATTATAATATTTAACGTTACTGCTATGATAAGGGAAGGCACAGAATACTGCTAGAAAAACAGAAGGGAAATCTAACCAAACTTTGAGAGTCAGGAAACTCTTTCTCCATCTCAGGTCCTTCTTTACTTTCTGAACATAACTTTATTTCCGGAAGCAGGTACTTGGAGGCCTATGCACTGAGGCAAAGAAAGCCACATTGATGGTGAGGAATCAGAAATACACATTGTGGTATCACAATGTCTGCAAAGGCTTGAACCATCCATTCTAAGCCCACACTTTGTGGCAAATTTTGACAGGAAAAAAAAAACCGTTTAAGAAGCCATTTCAGATCTCAGTTTGGATGCTGTAACAATAATCCAGCTGTGAGACCAACTTGACTTTGTTGGGATTAATGACATCCCCCTATTTCTTTGCTGTACTTGTATGAGTCCATTTTAATGCCTTTCTGGGTTAGGCAAAAGTTATATTGACAGAAGGCAGATCATGGCTTTTTAGAGGATCGAATGAGGGCAAAAGTTATCTACAAATGGGTATGAGGGAATTTGGGGCCGTGATAGCAGTACAATATATTCTGATTGTATGGCTGCAGTTATGCATCATTATGTGTTGTTCAAATCTCACATAATTGTATATTTAAGAAGGTAACTTTTTGTTACCAATTTATTATTTTATTTCAATAGGTTTTGAGGGAACAAGTGGTGTTTGGTTACATGAATAAAATCTTTAGTGGTGATTTCTGAGATTTTGGTGCACCCATCACCCAAGCAGTGTACACTGTACCCAATGTGTAGTCTTTTATCTCTCACCCCCCTCCCACCTTTTCCCCCAAGTCCCCGAAGTCCACTGTATCATTCTTATGTCTTTGCATCCTCGTAGCTTAGTTTCTACTTATGAGTAAGAACATATGATGTTTGGTTTTTCGTTCCTTAGTTACTTCACTTAGAATAATGGTCTGGAGTTCCATTCAGGTGGCTGCGAATGCTATTATTTTGTTCCTTTTTATGGCTGAGTAGTATTCCCTGGTGTGTGTGTGTGTTTGTGTGTGTGTATGTATATAAACCACGTTTTCTTCATCCACTCTATCTGACTGATGGGCATTTAGGCTGGTTCTATATTTTTGCAATTGCAAGTTGTGCTGCTATAAACATGTGTGTGCAGGTATCTTTTTCATATAATCACTTATTTTCCTCTAGGTAGATATTCCCCTATTTCTATGCACAGTCTGTGTCCCTGTCTTGGACCTCCAGCTCTCATTGAGGGCTTCAGCTGCTGAGAACATTTTCCATGTGTATGTGGATATGTATCTGTGTATGTCTCTGCACGCGCATGTGTTGTTGTGTCTTTATGTCTATGTGAGTGTGTATGTGCATACGTATGTGTATAGGCATGTCCTACAGCACTTTGTTCATGACCAATTGGTTCCAGCATGTGCCTTGAATGACTGAGCAATGACTGGATTTCTCTGGTTCGGACATTGGCACTTCCAAAAGTTAGATAAAGTAGTTTGTGCCAAGCCATCTCTGTGGAAAGGATGATCTCTAGAAACAGCGGAAGGAGAAAATGTCTCTATGAGATTGAGTACAACAGCAACTAAAGGGACTGAGGTCATGCATTCCACTTCTGAGCTTATGGCCACGTCCAACTCTTACAAAAAATAACCTTTCTCTCCTGCACTCTTAGTAGTTTGGCCAATTTTATATGGACTTGTGCTATTCCTTTACTTTTTGGCTTAAGCGTATATATGACTCCCAAGGCCATGAAAGCCCTAACCATTTGGCTGAGGGTGGTATTTTCAGGAACTCCACCAGTGAAGCAGATACTATGTATTGGACAACATCATGTGTTCCTAATGATAGGTTCTTATTCAAATGACAATAAATATTGTTAGAAAATTCAGGCGTAAGTTTGAGTGACAATAGTGATAAAAGGAAAGTCTCAGCAGCTGGTCTAGCAAGGTTATCTATGATAGCTGCTTGTTGCAGGAAGCATCATTTGAGCGAGTTTACATGTTCAGTTCTGATATTTTCTCTAGAAGATGTTATTTTTTTTCTCCAAATTTTAGGTAAGAGACAAAAGACCAGTTGGGATGGCACAGACATTGTTCTTCCTCTTAGGGTTCCCCATTGGTTGTTTAAATGGAGATTACAGTGGGCCCCTAACCAATGTCATGATTTCATGTCTCTTTGCTCTCAGAGAGGTTTGGTAATCCTTGATTTGAAAGTGGTACTATTTATAGTACTATTCATATCCGGAGTAAGGAGAGTCATAAGATGCTGAGGATTTGGGGGGAAAATGAGCAAACAAAAAAGCAAGAAACAAAGTTCAGATGTACATATTAGAAATTCTCTGGGTTCTGTCTCTGAAAGAAAAAGGAAACTTATCTTTAATAACCTGTAAAAGGAAAAAATTAAAAGAACCAAAGTTCTTGGCCCAATAGCCTCCTTGCTCTACCATCCACAGGGCTCTATTTGAAGTTGTAACAGCCCATGTGTGGAGTAGATAATGTCACTATCCATGAGAAAACAGCAATGGGCTGGCTTCACACACGCTTCAGACTCCTGTAACCAGGCAATATATAAGCAGGTTGTGCAAGTGAAAGATTGGTGAATCCCGACAGCAGAGACTGCTTTTCCCCTTTAGTGACTAAAACCAGATGGAATAATCCTCACATAAAAAGCAGCCAGAAATTCTGTACCAATTGCCTGAATCCCAATCAGTTGTTTTTTTTTTTCTCATGGTTATGGTGTGTTTCATTCCAATTTCAAATCTAATCTCTTTTGGTTACTGACCAAAACTAGGTGACTCCTCTGAACTCCTGGTCTGTA
Organism: Homo sapiens; assembly: GCF_000001405.40. NCBI lineage: Eukaryota > Metazoa > Chordata > Mammalia > Primates > Hominidae > Homo > Homo sapiens. The sequence continues at coordinate 39,734,480 of NC_000018.10, read as the reverse complement.
GCAAATGAGGGAAGATGTCCTCACTGAAAGCCCATTTTCCCTCCTATCAGCAGTTGTTAAACTGTCTCTTATTACATTCTATTAGTTACTGCAGAATGTATGTCAGTTCCTAGGTTAGTTTCCACAAAACTCATCTCCCCAGAGATTTTCAAGTATAAATTCCAGCAATCATTAATTCAATTTACAGTTTATGGAAGTGAGGCATTTAAAACTATGATTCTTGTAGAAACAGATTCCCAAAGCAAATTGATTCTTATAATAAAATGTATGTCTTTTTGAGATGATTTTGCTTATATTCTGTTTGAAAACAAAGAAAAATATGTTGATTCTTAGTCACATCTTCTTCTCTCCAAGAAGTTTGTGCAAGAGGTCAAAGTAGTTAAAAGACTAACAAAGACCCTAAATTTCTTTCTTTCTTTCTTTCTTTTCTTTTTCTTTCTTTCTTTCTTTCTTTCTTTCTTTCTTTTTCTTTCTTTCTTTCTTTCTTTCTTTCTTTCTTTCTTTCTTTCTTTCTTTCTTTCTCTCTCTCTCTTTCTTTCTTTCTTTCTTTCTCCTTCCTTCCCTCCTTTCTTTCTTTCCTTCTTTCCTTCCTTCGTTCTTTCTTTCTTTTTCTCTTCTCTTCTCTTCTCTTCTCTTCTCTTCTCTTCTCTTCTCTTCTCTTCTCTTCTCTTCTCTTCCCTTCTCTTCTCTTCTCTTCTCTTCTCTTCTTTTCTTTTCTTTTCTTTCTCTTTCACAGCGTTTTGCTCTTGTCACCCAGGCAAGTACAATGGCATGATCTTGGCTGGAGTGCAATGCAGTGATCTTGGCTCACCGCAACCTCCGTCTCCCGGGTTCAAGCAATTTTCCTTTCTCAGCCTCTCAAGTAGCAGGGATTACAGGCATGTGCCACCATGCCTGGCTAATTTTTGTACTATTGATAGAGACGGGGTTTCACCATGTTGGCCAAGCTGGTCTCGAACTCCTGACCTTAGGTGATCCACCTGCCTCAGCCTCCCAGAGTGCTGGGATTACAGGCATGAGCTACCGCACCCGGCCTGAATTTCATTTTGCAAGGGGTGCAACCCTGTTGATTTGGGCACTGAAGACACTATGTTTTCTGTTCTAGCAAAAACTTTACACCAGATCTGTCTACTTCTCTTCACCTCCACTGATGACCAATTCAGCCATCATCACTCATCTCTCAGCTGGGCAACTTCAAGACCATTTCAACCGGTCTCCAGATTTCTAATCTTGACAACCTACCAGCCATTCACCATAGCAGCAGTTACTTAGAAACATGTAACTTCCCTGCCTGAACCTTACCAATGACTTCTTATTTCCCATAGAATAAAATCCAATGCCATATTTTGCGCACTGCTGCCTCCCAGGCCTTCTTGTGAATGACACTCTACCTTTTCCATTGTATATACTCTTCCTGGCTTTCTCTGCATTTTTCCAACAGCACTCATTATTAGTTCCATCTTTAGGCTTTGCACTTGCTATTGTCTTTGCCTGAGCTTAAACTTTCTGGTTTCTCTGTACCATGCAAGCTGTAGGTCAAATGCTCTCTCCTCAGGGAAGCCTTCTCTGATCACCCATTTGAGAGTAACTTCTCAGTCAATCCCTGTGACATAACCCTTTGCACTGTCTTTGCCCTTTACACTCAGGGCTATTTTGAATTATGAGTACACAAGCAGTGATAGCTAGCCACTGGTATTCTTTCTATAGATATTTTAGGAAATTTGATCTGAACTTCTATCATTGGATTATAACTTTATTAGTTATACTATTAATCCTTTGATATATTGTTTATATCTAAGGTTCATTCCAGCCACATAATCCCATGGTTGAACATAGAGTTATTTGGAAAGATTTTAAGACACAATGTTTTCCAATAAAAAAACGCTAGTATGCTGTCAAAGCATACGGCTTACACTAGGCAAAGAATAACGTGATTGTGAGCATAGAACGGACCAGGTTCCTATCAATATGCCATAAAAATTTGCCACTCCACTGATATGTGACCTTTATAGCTTGTAGCTTTTAAAGTCATACTCTTACCCAGTGCTGCATGTCATGCTCATTAAAATAACAATTAACCCTATAGACTGCTGAGTGGCATTAGTATCTTTTACAAGAAAAGCGCATGATTTCATTTCATGCAAGACGAATATAAAAGGTCATGCAAATAACTCAACTGTTTTCTTTCTATAAGTCACCATATGAGCTGGAAGAAAACCAGCACAACTTAATTCACAGGAACATAAGCCAACAACTTCATAAGGAAGATAAAGGTGAAGGAAATAGAGGCATGAAAATTTTACCTGTAGGGTGACATAGTAAAAGATACAAAATTGGGTTCCAGCAGTCATGTCTGAGAGAGATGGTTGGAAATCCTCATCTGTGCAGGGATGAAAATTCAAACATCCCCAGACTGGATGGATTTATCTTGCTACTTTATTAAGCAGCCTTGCATCCCTGGATCATTTGCATTTGCATTAATGACTCTATATTAATGTAATAGCTTTATTACCACACATAACCATTATTTGATCATCCAGTTCACAAATAGGTGTTTCTGTTTCTAATAATAATAAAACTGTTTGAACTTGAAGATGTTGGAGTTAAGCTAACAAGTCCAGCAATGGTTAAGAAAAACTTATGAATGAGATAAAAGGAAATGTTTTATTTATAAATAGTTGAAATAGGACTCCATTGTATAATATCATTTTTATAAAAATGCAAAAACAGAGAGGAAGTTGCATCTTTTAAATCTGACATTCCTTAAAAATGGGTATACTAAACAGCATGATAAAAACTTAACTATGGTGATATACGTTCAAATTCAGAATTGTTTTCTTTTCCAAGTGGTGAAATTGTGGAAAATATGCCTGAAGACAGATATATTTCTAATGGACAGATGCCTGTTATTTCCTGTAGCAATTATCTGTTGTGGAAATCTTCAGACAATTTAGCACATAATTAAAATTGTATATAGAACTATTATTTGTTTAAGCTCAGTTTTATGGATGGAATTAAAATATTAAAAACATGTATTGTTGTAAAAACTTTTAAGTTCACATTGTGTAATTTCCCATCTAATATGAAGTCATTGTATGGTACAGATACAAACTGTGGTTTCATTTCTGCTGTAATATTTCTAGTGATAGGGTCATCATCATCTGCCAATTTATGTAGTTCCAAGTACTTTAGGTTTTTTGGCATTGAGAATCAAAGTCCAATAGATTTCTGCAACCCACTCTTTCTACGGTTTCTGAGAGTACTCTACTCCTCTTCCACATACAACTCTCCAACTATTTAAGGACCTGTTTTGCAGTAAACATGTCAATCATTCCTCATAAGACAGAGTTTCTTGTTTCTTAATTACAAAACTAGTTTCCGGTTTCACCTCTTGTCTGAATACAATTTTTAGTGCATTTGATTTGTAACCAAAATGTGGTATCTGGAATTGAATGAAATTCTTTAACCATGGCCTATGTCCTTTCTTTTTTTAAGATGCCATAGTTCTATTAATGTAACCCAAATTTTGTTAGTCTTTACATAGTTACATACTTCATCATTGGCTCATATTATTTTGCAGTCAAACTTTTCTTATTTTTCTAATCATAAGCATGTAAATCTTGCAAATCTCCTCACCAGAAGGTGGTGACTGTGCTTAATATAATGCCCAAAGAAGCCAGAATGTGTTTTCCTCATCCATTCTGCCTAGCATAGTCTCATTTCATTTCCCACACTGTATATCCACTCAGCATTTTGCTCCCTAACTGTGTTTGTGCAATTTACTCTTATTTACATACCCAACAAGATTGCCTACAGATTCTATCTGTCTCAATCTTACTGGACTTTTTAAAGCTCATATCAAGTGTTTCCATCCATGTCATATTTCTATTTTTTTTTTTATTTTTGAGACAGAGTCTCACTCTATTGCCCAGGATGGAGTGCAATGGCACTATCTCAGCTCACTGCAACCTCCGCCTCCCAGGTTCAAGCAGTTCTCCTGCTTCAGCCTCCTGAGTAGCTGGAACTATAGAAGTGCACCACCATACCCGGCTAATTTTTGTATTTTTAGTAGAGATGGGGTTTCACCATGTTGGCCAGGCTGGTCTTGAACTCCTGACCTCAAGTGATCCACCCGCGTCGGCCTCCCAAAGTGTTGGGATTACAGGGGTGAGCCACAGCTCCTGGCCCCATGTTGTATTTCTTGATGAGAATAGTCCATTGTGTTTTATTCTGTCCTCTGAATTTTCACAGCTAAAGAATCCATTCCCTTTGAGATTAATCCCACAAAGTTTTGTATTATAATTGAGCTTTTTATAAAAAATATACTTTGGCAGCCGAGCTAGGACATAAAGTGTTTGACAAAAGAGATTTTATTCTTTGAATTTTTCTAAATATACCTAATGAAGACTCAGGATATTCACTCCATGAATACTTTAAAAGTGATAACAAAAATGAAAAAAAATATTGTCTATCACGGTGGCTTGAAGAAAATTAGACTTGGGTTTCTACCTTGAAGGAACCTTGCCATATATTTATGAGGCTTTCTCTCATTTCACGATAATTTGATTTTTGCATTGAGTGCTGGTCTGCAGAAGGGATTACAGAGAGAGAGAGTAGTTCCAGCACTGTTGCAAATTATCTATTCTGTTCATTATCAAAAGTATAATGTTGCTTGTTGGGCATTGTTTAAATTTTTGTCCCTTGGTATATATATGCCATTTGATAGGTTTTGATGTAGGAGTATGTTTTGCATAGTGTAATTATGTCTTGCATAATTCTGGCTGGATTCTGGGTATTTTCTTTTTTCCTGAAGGTTCTAAATCTTTATGTATGATCTTCTCTAAAAAGCACAAAATATATGTGAATGTGAGTCCCTGTGTGTCCACATATATGACATTTATTGAATGCCTACTGTGCACCACTCACCCTCTGCAGGATTTACTGGGATTGCTTTCACTTTGTAGATTAGGAAAATGAACCCTGAAGGAGTTAAATAACTTCTTCCAAGGTCACACAAATAATAGGGGGTGAAGCTGAGATCTGAGGTTCACATCCTTTCTGTCTTATTTGACTTTTATTCACTCTGCTACATTATTGGGACAGTGCTAAGGGAGAGAGAGAAAGTTAGAAAATTAGTTTATTATTAGTAAAAATAATTGAATTTTAAGTGTGTATTTTTAGACCCGGGTTCTAATTTCTAGAAACCCTGAGGAGTCAAAGGTGATACCAACACAGTCCTTGTACCTTATAGGCACTAGATGTTAGTTGAGTGTTTTAGTCATGGGGGCTCTCTAAGCATGGGTTTACAGACTACTTCATGGGAATATTTATGACCAGGTAATGAAATTCTTCCTTACATTACTGGTTATGATACTGGCAAACCTCAAATGCATTTGAATGGATTCAGAAATTGTAGGATTTAGAATCCCATGTGGTATTCCAGTTAGGAAGGGAGGCGGTAGAATTTTCAGCACACATTTCTCGTACCTTTTCCTGTGCCTCATCGACCTTTCTTTCAAACTAGGCAAGAGCATGCATTAACCCAAGCTGGACTTTAAAACCTCCTGAGAAACAGCCACACACTGGCACTGGATTGGCCAGGACTCTACTTAAATTATACTTATTGAATGATAGAAGAGTAGAAAACATTCTCCGGTCTCTTTTATTTATATAGTGATTTGAGGTGATAATGTTTTATTTTGATTTGAGTTTCAACATTTTAACTACTTAAGACCAACATAGCCAAATATTTTTATTGCCTTTGCTTTTGAGGGCAGCTTTTTTGAAAACCTGTCTTTGATGCAGGGCAGGTTTCCCTCTCCCTATGGGTGGGGTTTTAACACCAGTTTTTCTACAGCCACTCTGAAGGGAACCAATAAATCTCAGCAAGTTCGTAAGGTTTCACATTCTATTAGAGAAAGAGAACAAAGGAACAACAGAATTAGAGACAAATGATTTGACGGAGTGCCACGAAGAAGGTTCATTAGATACTAAAGACAAACCTGTGAAACATTCACCTGAAAAATGTTTGCATTTTTATAGAAAGGCCTGTTTTGGATGCAGTGACTGATTTGTGAGGGGTCACAATGACACCGGTGAAATGGCATTCTTTGTTCACTGAAGCTGCCACCCAAACAACCTGAATTTTAATCTCTTTCATTTTGAAATACATTTTCCTGTTTTCTATGAACAGTCATCAGGAGGCTTAATTAATGAATTAGTGTTTGTAGAAATCTTTGATATTCCAAGATGAAAGATTTTGCATAAGAGTAAAGCATCAGCACCAGCAGTAAAATGTCCTCTTGATGACAGAATGTGTAAAGTGCTAGGCTGGAATACATTTGACAACTGCAATTAAAGGGGTTTGATCCTGTTTTCCTGCTCCATTTTTTATCATGTACATTATTCTGGAGGATATGAGGCTAATAGGAAAGGTAAATTCTCATTGGCCAGAAATCGTGGATACCCACACATTCCCCAGCGGTTAAAGCAGGTGGAAAGTTTATGGGCAGCCTCTTTCTAGGGCAATAAAAGCTTCTTTTATTTCAAATTCTCTTTTTACACCAGTTGTTATTACTCTGAAAAGCTCCTGGCATTTGGAAGGCAATAAGCAGGGCATAAAATCCATTCTTTCCTGAACAGGTCCCATTCCTAGGACCACTTTTAAACTGACTAGTTTACAGCAAAGAAACAGACAGCCAGGTCTCCGGCAAAAGCTCTCAGGAAAAGCCGTGGACTGGAGACCTGCTAACTACCTCAGTACAGTACATGGGTGATAGATGAGTTGCCAATAGCATCTATAGCGATTTCCTTATGCTACTGAAATTCTCTGGATCTGAAAAATTAAGTTGACAGAATTCATGTTGTTGTGGACAGAGGAAATTACTTATAAGTCCCCATATTCTGCAGGATACCTCTTTCTTGATTTAGGGTTTCTTCTGAGATAATCCAAGTTCTAGCTCCTTCTCTAGTTAGGGTATGGATGGAAGTAAATACAGAGTTGGGGTAAATATTCAGTGCCTTTCCGGGGCAATAGTTTCAGTGTTCCATCTAATAAAATGATAGCCTATGTGATATTATTTTAGTGTAATAATCATATCAAATCATGTCTCATTGCATATCCAAGTATCTTTGTCAAATATCTCTACATGCCTTCCCTAAAGTCAGCCTCTGTCTTCTTTTCTAAGAGTGAATGGTTACTGTCATCTGTAAGGGAAGCTGAGCCAATGAAACTGATCTCATTTGTTTGGGCCTAACATGGAATGAAATTTCATGAAATATGTATGAAAGTCCACTGCTAAATTTCTAAAGAGAATTTTATGTCGGTTAACAATAAGCTTAAGACAGGTCCACATCTTGCAGTAAGTAGCCAGACCAATTTCAGAACCACAGTGGAAAATTTCTGAGAATAAAGGCAACTCCTAGGTGAGAAATAACTTGGAAACTGGGTGTGAATTTGGACTGATTGCTAGATTGTGCCATAAATTGGGTCCTGTTCACCTTTTCTGAATGATAATGGTACAAAAGTACTTACTGAACACAGTTGCAGAATTACAATTACTAATAAAAGTATTTTTTTTCAATTTAGTAAGCACTTTAGTAGAGAAAATTATATTAAATTTGTGAAATGACTTGCTCCAGCTGGCAGGATATTAGCCCCACTCTCTTCTATAGGTTTTTTGCACAAGACTGATAAAATTTACCTGCCATTTTTGTTTTTAAGTATGATTGGGCAGCTTCCAACTCCCTCCTTCTGAGCAGAGAAAGTGGAAAGCATGTTTTTGAGCACAGGAGGTTAACCTGCTACAAAAGATGGATCGGGGGAGGGATTTAGGGCAAGAAGTATTTGTTATCTTCAAGAGAGCTTTAAATTATTTTTCAAAAGAGCATTAATGAGGGAGTTGTCAAAGACACAATTGATAGAGCCACAGAAGGAGCAGGGCATGTGGCCAAGGATATAGTCAAGGTACTATTGATGGGGAACAGAAAGAATCCCTGCACCTACTCTAGAGTTGGTGGTTGGCTCAAGACCATGGTTTCCCAGTGTTTTTTGTTGGAATTCGTAATCTGACAAGTTAATGTGGGTTGATTTTCTTTCTCTTAATTTAAATTCTTTCTTACAATATTGCTTTTGATGATTCCAAGTGTGGCTATTCTATAGAGTTCTGCAAAAACTGATTAATAATTAACTAGCTTTAAAATATATGTCCAATCCCTCAAAAATTTTTTATGCTCACAAAACAAATTAGCTCTTCATAAGCAAAGGGATATAATGACAGGCAGTTTCATTATTAGCATTGAATACACACTATGTCAATGACCATGTGGTTACATGACTTAAGAAACTTAAATTTTGGATAGTATCTCAAAGTAATGTATCACCTGGGAAGGCTTGTAGTTAATCTCTACTGTTGTCAATTGGAAACAAAGACCAGGTCCCCTAATTCAATGCCCTATTGATGGGATGGATATAGCCCTGGAAATTTCTCCAAGAATCACATTTTGAAGATGTCTACCTACTGGACCCCCACCTCATTTCACCTACACACCCAAGATTTTCAGAAATGGATCATTCATACGTGATAGCTAAAATGTGGTGTGTTTGAATGTCCCCAGATGCATGGTTAGTTTGAAGAAAAGAAGAAAGAGATAATTTGGGAAATACAGCCACACAAATGTCATCTGTCCAAACATGAATAAACCAGGAAATGGTTTCTACTTTTAAGGTCAAATATAAAGCAAAATGGTAATTCTCATAATTTATTGTGCTTGTCAATTTGATAAATTTTTAAGGAGGATATTTATTTATTTTAAACAAAGCCTTTGGTCAAGAAGTTTATTTATCCACTGGTTTATTAGCATTTATATCAAAATTCTGAATTGGAACACTGGTTTTTCATTGTAAATTTTGCGGTCTACAATATTACCTAGGATATCTTATATTTGAAGTTGTCCTTCCACTCTAGTCATCAATGTATGTCCTTTCTCAAGCTCACACTTGTTTCTTCTCCCCATTGTGGGTGGTTGTGTGATATTTTACTGTCTCCAGTCAGCTCTTTCCTTTTGCCATCCTCTCTCTAATTCTTTGTTTACACTCAATTTCCTAAGGCTGATAACAGATCAAATCAGCATGCCTGTCCTGGAGAGTTCATATTTTAAAGGAGAAGATATTTAGGCTCAGGAAACAGGAGAGTAAAACATAGGAGAGATATGCTCAATGCCTCTGAAATCACATTCTATAGATGTTAATAAATGAAAATTTTCTTCTTCAGTTCAAGGTGTATTTATGTGCTTTCAGTTCATAAATTTTTACCTCTAGTCTTATTAATGCATTCTGATAATGCTGAGACAAGAAAGTAAATTTACATCACAGTATGAAGATGAGGAAATATGAGCCCTCAAGATGATTGTTACGAGAATTAGCAGCCACCTGCCAATTTCCTTAGGACCTAAACCAAGTGTTTTAATTTGAAATTTTATGATGATCTGTATATTTTAAGTCCAAACTAGAGACAGATACTGGAGATTCTACCTCACCATAGTCTGTATTCACAATGCACCTACCTGTCTTCTCTGAGACATACACAGATAACTTAACCATCAGCTTTTGTTTCCTCCAAGTACAATGATGACTAACTCACTGCTTTCTCTGCCCCTTGCCAACTTTCAGATTCTTGTTATAGAATCCCCTGGGAAAATCTATGCTTCATACATAAGTGATTATCAAAGGGGTTAGTTGTTAATATCTTTATCATAGTTAAATAAATAAATGATGGCAGAACCACAATGGGCACTAGGAAGCTAGTTTTTCACTATACATTTTGCAGTCTACAATATTACCTGGAGTATCTTATATTTGCAAAACAGGTTTTCATTACTTCTGAAACTCTCACACACACACTTTTTTAAGAGTAATACGCAAAATTTAACTAAGTTTAAATAATTACCATAAACCTATTGTTATTATGGAATGTCACTCTTCAGTTAAGAACTGGCTCTAAGTAGATGCAGTAAACCATCAATGAAATAAAGCTTCTGACAAAACCAGAAAAGCTAATTAATGATTTTAACTTCCTAAATAGGTTTCTGCTTTGGGGCTTAGAATTTCTTGTCTCAAAGCCAAGCTTGGTTCTGCTTTTATCAGAATTGATATCGTTAAATCTATTTTTACAAGAATATTTTTGTCAAATCCTAAGACAGGCCATCAGTCAGAATAAGAGTTTAAATATATTGGCTGGAAGATACATCTCATTATCAGTAATCAGCCTGTATCCTGGAGGAAGAGTTATTTGTGGATATTTATGCATGTGTGTGAACAGGTATATCTTTATCTTATTATTCTTGTTTTATTTGGGATCTTAGAGGAATTAGCGATAATGGTTATATTCCTTATAATATTTATAATAATTATCAAATCTATATTACTTATCATCTCCAAAACAGTTTTTAATAAATATACCTTCAATGCGTTTTGGCGTAACATAGGCAATGACAAAATTTCCATTTTATAATTATTGAAACTTGGTCCCAGGGCAAGTTATTTACTCAAGGTCACTGCAATATGTTGGGGACTTCACCCACTGACAGAGTCAGAAGGTTCCAGGAAAAGCAGAATGGTTAGCTCTGTATATTTCAGCATGTTAGATTAATATTTTTAATTTATCTTCGATATTCAGGGATGTGTTTATTAAGTGGTGACCCTGGGACAGACGTTGGGGAAATGGAAATATTATAAAAAAGTTATACTCCTCAATATAGATTGTCAAAACAGGCATACAGAAAAAAATGAAAACAACCAACCAAACAAATACAAAGCAATATGACCACAACCATAAGAAAAGCATGTGTAAGAAAATTATCCCACAATGGATGTACCCTAGGAGATCAGAGAGTACTTTATTAAGGATGTGATATTTGTGTTTAGTGCTTTAGGGGGTATGGGGTTGCTAAGTAAGGATTGAAGGAGAGTGAACAGAGAGCATAGCATGCCTGAAGGCAAAAGAATAAATGAGGAATCCATGGGACTATGGAAGGGCCTTGGTAAGGTCTGAAAATTGGGCAGGGAACAAATCATTAAAGGACCTACTTTACTGTACTAAGAATATAAAGTTTATTTTAAAGGCAATGGTGAGAACTCATTGCAAGGAGAGGATCCGTGGTGAGGTATTGGGAAATTATTAAACTGGTATAAGACATAAAGTGGTTCTAGGTTAGAACAGAGTGTGTGAGAATAGACAGGAAGAGGCAGATTCAAGAGATGATTAAGGGAGATTAAAGGATCGAAAGGAGAGTTTGGGTGACATATAATCTGCTCTCTAAACCAAGACACTTTTGAGAAACATGAAGGATGCACCACTAATAATTATGCCAGAATAAAAGGCACAAATAAGGATTATCCTGGACCACCAAACACAAATGGTCACCCTGATCTTAGTACAGGTCATACTTGCAGAGCCTCGCCTGATGCAGGATCAAGGAGACCAGAGAAAAGCACTCATTTTCTTTTTTGGTTGTTTATTTTTAATATTTTTTCGAGACAGGGTCTCACTCTGTCATCCAGAGTGGAGTGTAGTGGTGCAATCATGGCTCATTGTAGTCTCAACCTCCTAGGGCTCAAGCCATCATCCCACCTCAGCCTCCTGTGTAGATGGGACTACAGGCCCACACCACCATGCCTGGCTAATTTTTGTTTTCTTTTGAAGTTTTGTAGAGACAGGGGTCTCACTTTGCTGCCTAGGCTAGTCTCAAACTCCTGGGCTTGAGTAATCCTCCTGCCTCAGCCTCCTAAAGTGCTGGGATTACAGGCCTGAGCCACTGCACCTGGGCTCCAGATGTTTTTAATACAGAGCCAATGTTAGGGACCACTGGATTAGAATACAACATTCTTGAAAGAATGGTTTATTTTCTAAATTTCTTTGTATGTGTTCAAGTTCTTAATGCATTACTTTATATTTGGTAGATACTCAACCTTTTTTCATCCATTGTTTGGTAAGCAAGGTACCGAGTCCCTTCAGATGAATACATAAAACTCATTTGTAATTGCCATATTAATTGTGTGTATGCAAATGCATGGTGTTAGGGTACTTGAAAGAAAATTCTTTTAAGTGGTTAAACAGACCTTTATATAATCTTGTTTATGTGAGTAATTTATTTAGCAAACTCTTTTTCATAGATAGTGCAAGGGCAAACTTCAGTCCCACCACCTTCTGAATTATCAGTGTCCATATTAGTGAGTGTCCAAATTAATGAGTTTTCAGAGAGCAGATTGTTGAGCTGTCAAGACTGCAATGCTGATAGTGTTAATGCAGGGCTTTTTAATCTCAGGGAATAAATGAAGTTTTCCTAGATGGTAGCTGATCTACAAGATATTTGTATTTCATACCACTAATAAATGTTCATTAAAACATGTTTCATTATTAATTATACAGACCAGCATACAGAGCTCCAGTAAATTGTATCCCTATTATAATAAAAGTATTTAATTACAGAAGTTCGGTAGTAAAGCTTATTTTTGTAAAGCAGTTTTATTAGGTGTGTCATATGGTTTAAAAACCACAGAAGCAGACTTCACAGTACATCAAGACTGTTTAAACATACTGAAGAGGAGATTACTATGTTATGTGATAACTGATCTCAAATTTACAATTACCACTTTTTGTTATATTTTATCTAACATTAGTCTTGTTAAAGCATAATGGACTGGCCACTGGTGTTGAATAAATGATAGGCCTCATCCACTCTGTATCTTTGGTGCCAATACATCATCTGTGGTTTTCTGCATTTATATCTTGGCCCCTCATTATTAAGCCATGGTAAATCACGGCTTCCCAGAATGGAAATCCTGTCTGGGTATCTGGGTGCTTCTACATGGTAAGAACCTCCTCTGAGGAATGTACTCTTGGGGTAGTAGCTACTGTGCAGCAAATAAACTTAAGGCTTACTGTATACATTATAGTTGTGTGCTCATGGAAAATGTTGACAGTTTTGAGCTAGAGGAAACTGAGCCCCCATGAGGTTAAATGAACAGCTCCAAATTATACCACAAGGTTAGGCAAGCAGATGGGGACAGAATCAGCACAGAGCGGCAGCATTGTGTATTGTGCTTGGGAGATTCAAAGAGACAATGAATTATACCTTGCCTCTGCTACTTAGAATCTGTGACCTTGGTCAAGCTATTTCACCTGTAGGACTCAGTTTCCTTATACGTATGATGGTTAAGTCCTATCTGCCTCACTGGCTTGTCAGGAAAAGACCTACCATAGTGTCTGGCGCCCAGGAAACTTGAAAATATAACTTTTATTTTCCCCAGAAGCTAGATTTCTCAATTGAGGACCCGTCTGTTTTTCATTGGATCTCAGCTGCTGTTCCTCATTTTCACTGAGATTATGTTTTAGATTTATTATTTTTTCCTCAATGGCATATATGGCATATCTAAGAACAAATTCTAATGAGGGTGTTTTGGGATGCTGGAAAATGCTGCCTCATAATATTGCAAATGCTCCACTTTTGAGGTGGTGCTTGGGATGACACTAATCCATTGCAGAGCATATTAGGAGAGAGGCTCATAAATAAAAACTTTTAGCTAAATGAGTTCTAACTTCCCTTCATATCTGAGTTTCTATGGTAATATTTCCTTGACTTTTAGAATAAGATAGGACATTTGATAAAATTTTTTCTGACCCATTCACCTAGATCTCCTTGAGGACAGGAAGAAGGTCTCATTCACCCTGTCCTTCCTGTACCTGTAACTAAGCCAGACACACAAAATTTAACAAAACATCTGTATTTTATAGCCTCTAAAACCTGGAGGGGTAAAGTGAATTGCTCATGTTTCTACACACTTACTTGTAGAACTTGGAGTCATCACCTCACATCTATATATAAAAAGGGCCAGTACAATATTGAATTATCTACTGGCTCTAGAGGCACATACTGAATATTTGAGCTGCTATTTTTTCAGCCTGGTCTCATTTGATCCTCAGTGTTCAAATCTTTGCATCCCATATGTGAGGGTTCATTAGACTATGTGTGTGTGAGTATGTATTTAATAGATTGGTTGACCTTCCTGGGAAGTGACATGTAGGTATCATTTTTTTTTTCCTTTTTTTTAAGGTCAGAAGTTTTCCCAGTTGATTTCAGTTTGTTCAGAAATTAAGCTGTGGTATATCTGTCTCTTGGGCATGATAGAAGCAAGGTGACATAAAAATAAACAAGGAGAGCGTTTTCTTTTAATAAAGCTACACCCCCTTTGCCAAAAGGCTATCTTAAATTTCTGTACTTTAAACTAAGGTATATTTTACCATAAACTTTAAGGGTTTTTTTGTGGGTTTTTTTCCCCCTTTTTTTCCTGTTTTGGCTCCAGGGAAGAAACAATCCCTTTCTTGAGCCTTGTCTATGAGTGGCTTGCTTTGGACACAGTGGAAATAATTAACAGGGAGAATTATCCAACAAGAGGATTAGGCATTCATATGAGTAAGAATAACATCTGCAGTGACCTGATAAAAATGATACAGACCATTAAATCGCATACATCAGGGCATAAACTGATCACCAGCTGGGGAAAGAAATAAATCTCCCCTCCTGGTATAATATTGTACAATTAAGCAAATTTGGGGGTTTTGTGCCATCTTTTAGAACATTCATTTTCATCTAGGCTCAAAACTGAACTTCTGGATCTTGATTGTCTTCCCCTCAGCATTTCAAATGACTTAAATGCTCAAGGTTGGTGCTTAAATATACACTGTCCTTACTACCCACCCATGTCCCCATGGACTTCCTGTTTCTGCCACTCCAGTCAATAATGGAGTGGAGCTTTCTACTCTCATGCTTGTCCTTTTTATGGCCAATGGTACTCATCAAGGAAATGGATGGCCAAAGTTTAACATATAAGTTTGTAGCTAAGGGTTGATGTATGTTCTAAAACTGAACTAAAATGTTCCTGTATTCCTTCTTTCATGCATATGATGTGCCAAATAACTAATAAAATATCGATGTATTAATTATTTAATGATGTCCTATTTGAAAGATATTATTCTAGATACCAATAATATGGCAATAAATACAACAAACAATTTGCCTCATGGAGAAGATAAACAATTAAGGACAATTAGAGATGCCAAAGCAAACAAAAACTAACAGAAGAAAAAGGAAGAATAGACAATCAATAATAATGGATTTTAATAATAGATTGATTGAACAAGTAGGCAGAAAGATCAACAAAGAAATAGAAGACTTGAGAAATACTATAGCCAACCAGACCTAACAGATCCCTATGGAAACACTCCACTCAGCAACAGCAGAGTATATTCTCCTCAAGTGCATGTGGAATATCCTCTAGGATAAACCGTATGTCAGGCCATAAAACAAACCTCAGTAAATTTAAGAGGATAGAAATAATGCATGTGTTCTATGAGCACAATGGAATAAAGTTAGAAATCCGTAACAACAATTTATTTGGGAAATTTGTAATAATGGAAATTAAATAACACATTCATAAGCAGTCAGTGGTTAAAAAAGAAATCAAAACAGTTGAAAATACTTTTAGATGAACAAAACTGAAGGCACAAAATACCAAAACTTATAGGATTGCAGATAAAACTGTGTATACAGGGAAATTTATAGCTGAAAAACCTATATTTAAAACAGAAGAAAGGCCCCAAATCAATTACCTTCCTGTCTACCTTAACACACTGAAAAATAAGAAGAACTAAATCTAAAGGAGGAAGATGAAAGGATACAGTAAAGATTAGAATGAACATTAATGAAATAAAAAATAAAGAAAATCAATGAAACTAAAAGCTGGCTCTTTGAAAGATCAATGAGGTTGGCAACCTTTTAGTTAGACTGATCAAGAAAAAAAGAGAAAAGACTCAAATTACTAGAATCAGAAATGAAAAAGCATATCACTACTGACATTACAGAAATTAAAAAGGATTATAAAGGAATACTATAAAAAATTGAATGCCAATAAATTAGATAACTTTAGATGATATAGACAAATTCCTACAAAAATACAAGGTACTCAAACAGCGTCAATAAGAAATAGAAAATCTGGATAAACCAATAACAAGTAAAGAGGGGAATTAGTAATAAAAACTACCCATAAAAAAGTTCAGACCCAGATGCCTTCGCAGACTAATTTTATACAACATTTAAAAAGAATTAATAGTAATTCTTCACAAACTTTTTCAAAAATTACAAGAGGATGGAACACTTTGCAGTTCTTTCTGTGAGGTCAGTTTAATACCAAACCAAACAAGATAGCACACAAAAACAAAAATGACATCCAGGTATCATTTATGAATATGGGCTCAAAAATTCTCACAAAATACTAGCAAACTGATGCCAGCAACAAATAAAAAGAATTATACACCACATCTAAGTGAGATTTTTTTCTCCCATAATACACAGTTGGATCAACATAAAAAAGAATAATGTAATATACCAAATCAGTAGAATATTAAAAAGCATCATAAAACCATATGATCTTATTATATGCAGGAAAAGCATTTGGCAAAACCAATGCCCTTTTGTGATAAAAACACACAACAAACTAGAAATGGAAGGAAACATCCTCAAACTGGTAAAGAGTATCTATGAAGAACACAGGACTTACATCATACTCAAAGTGAAAGACTGGATGCTTTCTCCCTGAGATAGGAGCACAAAAATGTTTGTTCTCAACACTTTTATTCAACACCATACTAAAGGTTTTAGCCATAGCAGTCACACAAGAAATATAAATATGGTTCTAGCCATAGCAGCTACACAAGAAATATAAATATAAAAGCATCAAACTGAAAAAGAAGTAAAACTACATTTGTAGATGGCTCGATCTTGTATATAAAAATCCTAAGTAACCACCAAAAAAAACTACAAAATGAGTTTATCGAGATTGCAGACTATGAGATTTATATACAAAAATTAGTTATATTCTTTATAGTATCAACAAAAGTGCAAAACTAAAATTAAGAAAATAGTTCCATTTACAATATCATCAAAAAGAATAAAATATTTGGGAATATATTTAGCAAAGTAAGTATAAAGTGTATACTCTGAAAACTGCAAAACATTGTTGAAAGAATGTAAAGGAGGTCTAAATAAATGGAAAAATATATCATATTCATGGATCAGAGGACTTAACATTTTCAAGATAGTAATAATCCCCAAACTGACCTACAGATTCATTGCAATTTTTATCAGAATCCTCGCTGGCTTCTTTGTAAAAACTGACTAATTCTAAAATTAACATGGAATTGCAAGGGACTCAGAAAACCCAAAACAATCTTTAAATAGATTAACAAAATTCTAAGACTTGCACTTCTCAATATCAAAATGTGTAACAATAGTGATCAAGACAGTGTGTAACTGGCATAAGTATAGACATATAGATCAATGAAATATAATTGAATACAGATGTAAACCACATGTCTATGTTTAGTTGGTATTCAAAAGATGTGCTAAGATCATTCAATGAATGAAAGAATAGTTTTTTTAAGAAGTAGCTATGAGCCAAGTAGAAAACCACACATGAAATAATGAAGTTGAATCCTTCCCTAACACCATAGGCAAACAGTAACTCAAAGGGATTCATGCCCTAAATGTAAAGGCTAAACTATAAAACTCAGAAGAAAACATATGTCTAGAATAGGTAGTTCTATTGAGAAAGAAAGTAGGTTAGTAGTTGCTTACAACTGGGAAGGGGAGGTTGGATGATAGAAAAAAAGAGGAAAATAGCTAAAGATCACAGGGTATCTTTAGGAGATGATGAAAATGTTCTAAATTGACTGTAGTAATATTTGCACATGTCTGTAAATATACTTAAAGCTTAGAATTGTACACTTTAAATGGGTGAATTTTAAGGTATATAAATTATATCTCAATAAAGCTGTTTTACTAAGCCAACAGATAAATAAAAATTATGTCGGATGGGTTGAGTTTTAGACAGATAGATAGTGATGGAGATGAGTCGCTATTGTATATGTGGGAATGACTTGTTCTGACATCGTTATTTAGAGTGAGGCCCTAATTCTGACATAGTTACTTAGAGTGAGGTCCTATTTTCAATATACATTAGCACTGTGCTCTTATTGTTCAATATAGAAAGATCTCTTCTCATTTCCCTTGACAGATGTGGTAATTGGCTCCTCTGAAGGATCCATGGAAATGAGAGAAAAAGATGCTTAGAGTACTCTTCTAATAATTAAAGATTTATCCATAATCTTCATTATAATGAAAGTATAATTTGGATTGTACTACCATCAGCCCATTTCCTCCTCCACTTCCTTCTTTTTTCTACTTTTACTTCTCCCTTTTGCCTTATATAATCTTCCCCTCACTTTCTTTCCCTTTGTCCACTTCTCTCCCATGCCCTTTTAGCTCTTCCTTTCATTCTATTTGACTTTAGTTTCTTCACTTTTAGCATCAAAAAGAAGTGAAAGTCAAAATAGGAAACATACTTCTGTACTATCAGCCAAAAGTCCCTTCCTTCACTTTATAGATTTTTTTTTTTTTTTTTTTTTTTTTTTTTTTGAGACGGAGTTTCGCTCTGTCGCCCAGGCTGGAGTGCAGTGGCGCGATCTCGACTCACTGCAAGCTCCGCCTCCCGGGTTCACGCCATTCTCCTGCCTCAGCCTCCCGTGTAGCTGGGACTACAGGCGCGCGCCACCATGCCCGGCTAATTTTTGTATTTTTAGTAGAGACGGGGTTTCACCGTGTTAGCCAGGATGGTCTCGATCTCCTGACCTCGTGATCCGCCCGTCTCGGCCTCCCAAAGTGCTGGGATTACAGGCGTGAGCCACCGCGCCCGGCCTAGATTTTTTTTTTCTTATCGGACAAAGTAATTTGGTGATGTTAATTATATAGATAGTTTCTTGTGTGCTTCCTCACTATGTAAAATACAGTCATAATTATAATCCAGGGTTTCTCAGCCTCAGCATTATGGACATTTTATGCTGGATGATTTTTGTTGTCGTTGTTGAGAGAAGCTGTGCTGCACATTGCAATATGTTAAGCAGCATTCCTGTTTTCTCTGTACTTGCTAGACCCAAACACATGTCCACCTACAGCACTGGGAATCGATAATATGTTCAGATATTGTTCAATGTCACCTGGGGGCAAAATAACCCCTTGTTGAGAACTCTTACAAATCAAACCTGAAGATATCTTTTTTTGATCAACTCACATTGCTTCTTTGTTATAGGTTCTTTCACTCTTCCAAAAGAAAAGTAAACTTTGGGATGGATATGCCTAAAGGTGAGAGAAGGCCAGGAAGGTGGCTTACTTTTGATTTTGTCTTATTGTGGGATACAGATCCAGTGACCTTGTGAACAGGAGTGGAAATTTTCACTTCAACATTTGGACCATATTCCACATAAGATAATTATGTTTTATTATCTTTGGCTTTCTTGATGAAAATTCAACAGGGGCTATTTTTCCCCATTGTTTCTCAGCCCCAACACATAGTTTCAACATATATTAAGTAGCTTTCTGTTTCATTATAGAGCTAGCTGGCCTTCAACATTTGAAAGAATTGACACAAATCTGGGCAGAGTGTACTTAGATATGTCTGTTATAACTGCGGTGATGGCTACCTAAAGATAAATAATGAAATAGCCCATAGTCTCTCCAGGACTTTATTCTTTGTCTGGCTATTAGTGGCATCTCCCTTTCCACCCATTTTATTTTGATCATCAGGATAATAGACACTATTGTGTACTTACTTTGTGCAAGGCACTATATAAGGCACCACAAATTTCAATAAAAGATGGTAAGGAATGGAGCCAGAATTCAAGCACAAGACATTAGGAGAGCAGAGAGGGCAGGTGCAACCTTAAATATCAGTTATTCCCTGTATCCTGCAATGTTGTATTTGGATCGGGTCTTCAAAACACTTCTTGAGTATCCAGTTTATCAATGAAAATGTTGCCTCAAGAAAGGTAATAACAATAAATTAATCCCATTTCATTATTCATACCATTTTAACTACTAGAAATTATATTTTTTCTGGTATGATAGTTTTCTCTGCAATTTTTTTAAACCTTATTCATACTGGATCTCACAGAATAAGCCAAATTCTTCATATAAATAATAGCTTTAGGCGTATTTGAATCTATTTGTTATGGTATTTCTATCCCCTGCCCCAAATTTTTCTAGGTTAAAATCTTGTCTGCCCCTAACTCTTAGTTGACTGGCATGATTCTGTGCTCCATGCCTTGGACTTACTTCAAAGATTGTTTTCAGTCTCTTAAGTGTTGGGTGCTCAGATTTCAACACAGGACTGCACTCACCATCTGACAGCAAATAGCCCCCAGTTGCTAAAGACAGAAAAGCCTTAAGGCACATGTGCGTAGGGCGGGACCATCTCCATAAAAGTCAGCACAGCAACTTCCCCAGCGATGAACAGAAAATAAACCAGAGTTCTCAGGGAGGGCAAACCACCAGTTTTTCTAGAAGCCCTACAGCTTTTCAGCAAAGCTAAATCATCCCTGAGATGAGGATAAATTCCAACCCCTAGCATCAGTAGGCATATGTGCAAGGCCTTGCTATCCCTGAGTGCAATTGTCGAGCCAGCCAGGCAAAATATGTCCTTTGGGGTTGGAGTATGGAAAGATCAAATGAGTAATATTTCAAACATTTTTTTCTTTTGAATTAAAATGCACAGTTTAAGCCATATTTCAATTATCAGCTTGACATTACTCTGTAAGCAAATGACTAGAGTTAACAAGAGAGCTACTACATTTTGAGTACATTGATTTTCTGCTTGGTATAAACTCTAAATAGCCGATTAGAAAGCTGTGAATCAGACAGACTCAGTGTACCTAATACATCCTGCAATATATTACAAACTGGAAACATTCAGATCTTTGAAGGTGAAATGAATTAAAAGCACATGATTGTTACAACTTCAATATATAAATAGTAGCGACATACTAGCTCTTATCTGGCAATTTAAAAAATAGTCCCCATTTTGTTATGCACATCAACCTAATGCATAAAACTACTGAGCTTAAAGGTATAAAGATACACAGATTTATTTTTCAAAAATGACTGTGAAATGAAATGAATACTTAATTGAACAGTTTCCAGTTACAGAATATGCTGATGTGGCCCTCCATTATTATCATAAGCAGCAGGATATTTCCACTGCTGTGTCTCTCACTTATGTCTTGATTTGACACTCTGGTTGTCCATATTGAGCTTGGGCCTCCATTTTATTGATCACAGGAGTAGCTCATCAGCTTAAATAGTATTATTTGAATTAAGAATTAGTTGTCTTTTCTTAGCTGTATTCCTAGCACTGACAGTGTGACCTTGGAGAAATGACTTCACCTCTCTGTATCCTGAGTTTCTCTACCTATAAAATTATATTAATGAAATGATAGCACGTACCATGTCATTGAGAAGGGTAAAAGGTGACTGTAACAGCTCAGGCTTGTTGTTGCAATCATAATGTCAGGAAAAGAATCCTTGTCATGTTTCTAAGACCTCCTCTTTATAAAACCCTAAAAAATATATTTCACTATATTTTTGTTCTGAAATTTAAACACGATAATAGAATTGAGAAACTGGAAGGAGACTTTATCTATTGATGTGATTATTTAGCATATAAATTGCATTTATTGATGCAAAGCACCTCCCTGTAATTTTTGCAAGCTGTTTTCCTCACACAAATCCAGGTATCAGATGGTCTTTGAGCTCAGAAAACTCAAGCATGGCGATTTTAAGCCAAGCACAGTGAGTAGCCGCATACAAAGATGGAAGCAAATCTGGAAGAAATATTTGTACCTTCAGCTGCCTTGGTGGGAAAGACAACGTTATTTTCAGGTGAATTATGCCTTTCCTTTTACCTTCATTGGCCCTTACCCTACTTCTGGCACACCTTCAAGAGCCACTGTCCACTGTCAGATGTAATGACTTTGTGCCACTTCTTTCTTCCCCAGCAGAGTCAGTGGAGTGTTTTCTCCCATCTAGTTTTCTCAAGCAGGGCCAGGAGCTCTAGAAATATTGACGTCTCTCCATATTACAATATAATTCAGAAATCCAGTTTCAGGAATATGACAACATGTGGAGATTTTAATAATTAAAAAGACAAAACAGAACAGTGATGCACTGCCCTTCCTATAGGCCATTTGTATTTTCAAACAGTCGAACAACCTTTAAAATCAGATTTCAAAATCTGGGGGAAAAAAAAGGAGCCGTTTTATTGGAGCAGTGAATAATCTGCATTTATTTAAAATCATGCTTTTCCTGCAGGCACAAACTGAGCCTCAGGTGTTAGGTTAGCTATGATATTACCTTAATAGAAAGGTTAGTGACAACGCAGCCCAGTCCACGTTGCCAAGCTCCACTTCAGGCATTAGCCATGCTCTACTTGGTTGTGTTATGTTTAAACTGTCTTTTGTTTCAAAGATAGCTAGAGACAGTTTAGAGAATACAGCAATGAAAGTGACCAAATAAATGGAGATATTTTCTTTGAGGATATCATATAATCAGGCTCTTCAGTCTGTAAAAGTCAAAGCTGAATAGACTCAAAGTCTACAAGTCTATAAAACTGAAAAGAATAGAGAGAATTGAGATGGTCTTATTCATCAAATTCCAGAACAAAGGGTCCCCTTTGAAGCTTAAAAAAGGAGGATTTAGGATAAATGGAAAGAACTATTTTTTAACACAGTGGGGGATAAACTTATGGAACTCATTATCCAAATTTTGCTATTCATTAAAAATATAAATAGACTCAGACAAAGATTCATATCTGAATAAAGATCAGTAATGGGTTACTAAGGAAGGTCTGGTTTTAGTTTAATGGTAGAGAGCCTTTGCCTTATTTTCACCTATGTCGGGTTTTAAGTTCTAGCTCAGCCCTCACTGGAAAGATGACTTAACCTTCAATGTCCCAGTTTGTATTAGAGGTAATAGTACTTATGTGTCCAAATTGTTGGAATAATTAAATGAGATGAGGCACATTAACTTCATTGCAGCACCTGATGACGATGAAGGAGACAAAGGAGATAAAGGGGATGGAAGGGATAAAATGGTAGAAAAAAGGAGATGAAGAGGAAGAGGATGAGGAAATGATGAATGATGGTGGTAAAATCTTTCCAGGTTGATGTCTCGCCATTCTCAGTGGCATCTTGAACAGCACATTTCTGACATTCGCAGGAGAGTTCTACCTAGCAAATAATTATACTGTAGAGAATACAAATAGGGCACCATTTGAGAAACACAGATTTAAATCATAGGTCTGCATTGAGGAGAACTATTCTATTCATACCCTCTTAGTTATAGGTTACTAAGCTCTTTTGACAAAATTACACATACACATGCATCCACGCATATGCATACACATGTGGACAAACACACACACACACACTTAGGCTTGTTGGTCCAATGAATCATTAATTTAGTAACAGATTAAACATTTAAGTTTGTAACTTGATTTAACCAGGAAGCCCAACTAAACTAACTGAACAATTTCTGCTTTTAAATATAGGCTATCTTTCATTGTATACTAAATTCTGAAATATTTTCCCTTTGAATTGTATTTTCACTCTCCTCTATTTTTAGTATCTTCTGGAGCTCTGAAGAGCCAGACAACAATGAGTGAAAAGAAAGTAATTCCATGTAGAACACTGAAAAGCACTGTTCTGCACACTCTCAGCCTTAGATTTGTATAAAAATTTGAGTCAAGCATTTTCCTGCACCCTCTTCACTCCTTCCTGAGGATGGTCTGAAATGAAGTATACTATTTCTGATGGTTCACCAGTGATCATTCTTTGCTTTCCATGCTTGAGACAGCTTTTTTACCCTTCTTCTTTAATTTTATAATTTCTGATTTTGTTATTTGCTCACATACCATATGGCTCTTCTTTTCTGAAAATATGTGTTTCTCCCTTTTACCCACTGTAAAGCCAACTACACCTCCACAATTCTTCCTCAACAATCAAAAAGACTCACATGAAAAGGCCACCCCTTCGTACACACACACACACACACACACACACACACACACACACACACATCTTCCTCTCTTGTCCTCTGGAAAACACATCTCTAACTCGCGTTGTGGTGCCTTCACACTTCAGGCTGAGGTCCTGACACTCAATCTGCATAGCTCTTATCTGTCCTACACAGGAGGAGGCAATGGGGTCTGGGGGGCAATGGAGAGAATATTTGTTGCAGTTCAAAGCAAGCCATCTTTTTTTTCCTTCTCTCTTTTTTTGCCCTTTCAAGATAAATAGAAGTAGAAAGTACAAGCAGTTTTGATTAGCATTTAAAATGTTGTCAATTTTTAATGAAAGCGTAACCTCCAGCCATCAACTTCACACAAACTGGAGACAAGGTTGCAAAACGAATGCTAATATATTTGGCACACTTTCTCACACTTGTCCTTCTGTGAACTTTTCTTGTTGCTAATTTGTTATGTCAGCCCATGTTAGTAGGTTTCAAAAGTCCAAACTGGCAAGTGTGGTGACCCAAAGAGAACCAGCCTTTGGAAGATCTTTAAATTGAAACATAGGAGATGGGCAGTTTATTAGCTGTACCTATAGTCCTATAAATGTGACTATGTTAACTTGGAGGAGGTGCCAAGTTTCAGGAGTAATCTTCAGAGTCTTTCAAAATCCACTTCGTAATGTGACATTTTTATTTAGGAAATAAATGGTTGCCGGTCAGTTAACAACATTCATTGCCTGCAAATAATATATTTACCTATCTTGTGTTGATAAAGCCCAAAATTCCAACATGATTGCATGATACAGTGATTTCCCTCAATGAACTTACATTTTTAATAGCAAAACAAGGAAACATACATGAAAAGGATACAAAAACACTTGGAAAATACATACATAATTAGGAGAAGATCAAGAGTGAACTGGGAAGGGAAATTGATAATGATGTTGTTAGGGACCGTATACAACTGAATGTAGATTGCAGTGTCTTTCTCAGAACAACCAGCTATAACATGAGAGAATTCAGGACAGTCTGCTCTCTTACTGATAAATTTACTTGGAAGTAGCCAGGTAGCAAAATAGGTATATCAGGTTATCTCTGATAGTAGCACGTATTAGTCCATTTTCACACTGCTATAAAGAAATACCCGAGATGGGGTAATTTATAAAGGAAATAAGTTTAATTGACTTACAGTTGCACATGCCTGGGGAGGCCTCAGGAAACTTACAATGATGGCCATATGGGAAGTAGGCACATCCTACTTGGCAGCAGGAGAGAGAAGAAGGCAAAAGGGGAAGAATGCCTTATAAAACCTTCAGATCTTGTGAGAACACACTCACTCTCATGAGAGCAGCATGGGGGAAACCACTCCCATGATCCAAACACCCCTCTCCCTCAACATGTGGGAATTACAATTTGAGATGAGATTTGGGTGGCGACCCGGAGCCAAACCATATCATAGCACAAAATAGAGAGGGAAAACAATGAGTCATATTATACAAAAAAAGAGAAACATTTGATTATTGAGAGCTTTGCTTAAATCTTATTTAAAAGTGAAGAAAGGGAAAATAAACATACTCTTAACATATGGTCCTTCAGTCATGCTCCTAAAGGTGTTGGAAACATGTTCACGTGAAAACTTGTACACAAATATTTATAGCATCTTTATTCATAATTTCCCAAACTTGGAAGCAATCAAATGCCCTTCAGCAGGTGAATAAATATATAAGCTGTGGCATATCCAGACAGTAGAATATTATTCAGCTCTAAAAAGAAATGAGCTATGAAGCATGAAAAAACATGGAGGAAACCTAAATGCATATTACTAAGTAAAGAAGCCAAACTCCAAAGGATACATATTATGTGATTCTAATATGACATTCTGGAAAAGGTGCAACTGTGGAGTCACTAAAAAGATCAGTTGTTGCCAGGGGTTAACGGGGAGTGAGGGATGATCAGGCAGAGCACAGAAGATGTTTAGGGCCATAAAATACTCTGTATTATAATATAATGGTAGAAATATGTCATTATACAAAATATATCAAGAGTGAACACTAACATGTAAACAATGGACTTTGGCATACTTTCTCACACTTGTCTTTCTGTGAACTTTTCTTGTTGCTAATGTGTTATGTCAGCCCATATAAGTGATAGGGATGGGGGCAGGGAAGTGCTGGAAAGGGAAGGGCGTAGTCCGTGGCTAGGGCTCTATCTTGGGCCTTTGCCTACGGAGCTAGGTGAGGACAGGCATTTCTGTTTTCATGGCCAAATCCACCCTGACCTGCCTTGCCGTCATCCTGTGCCTGTAAAAACCCCAAGACCCTAGTGGGCAGAGACACAAGTGGCTGGACTTAGAGAGAAACACACCAGCCCAAGAAGACACAAGTGACTGGATGTCGAGAGGAACGCACCAATGTAAGAGCACACTGACAGGTGCCTGCAGGCCGGCAGGCCATCAGTTGGCAAAATGATGTGGAGTTTGGCCAGGGCAGTCGGAGGAGAACCCGGCTGCTGAGTAGCCCCACTCCAGAAGAAAACCACCTTCCTCTTCCATCTCCCTTCTGGCTCCTCCATCTGCTGAGACTGCCTGCACTCAATAAAACCTTGCATTCACTCTTCAAGTCCATGTGTGATCCAATTCTTCTGGTACACCAAGGCAAGAAACCCCGGCATACAGAAAGCCTTCTGTCCTTGCAATAAGGCAGAGGGTCTAACTGAGCTGACTAACACAAGCCACCTATAGTTGGCTAAACTGAAAGAGCATACTGTAACACACGTCCACTGGGTTTCAGCTGTCAACATTCACCCCAGACACTGCTGTGGGGTTGGAGCCCCACAACCTGCCAGTCTTCATGCTCCCCCTAGAAATTTGAGCAGTGGGACACCAAAGAAATGAGCCGCATCCCCATCGCATGCCCTGTGAGGAGTATAAGGGGACTTTTCCCATTTCATCAGTAGATTTCAAAAATCCAAACAGGCAAGTATGGTAACCCAAAGAGAATCAGTCTTTGGATGATCTTTACATTGAAACACAGGAGATGGGCAGTTTATTAGCTGTACCTGTAGTCCGATAGGTCCTATATGTACCTACAGGACTTTAGTCTCCTTGGGAGATTATGATGTATCAATGTTGCTTCATCAATTGTAACAAATAGACCATTCTGGCAGGGGACACTGATAATAAGAGAGGCTATGCATATTGGGGTGGGCAGGGGTATATAGGAAATTTCTGTACCTTCCAGTTAATTGTGCTGTGAACTTAAAACTTCTATATAAAACAGTGAAGTCTTTAAACAAACAAAAAAAAGTGAAAAAAGTATGTCAAATTATTTTCTACTGCAGGAGTATTTAAAAATACATATATTGGCTAGGCACAGTGGCTACCATCTGTAATCCCATCATTTTAGGAGGCCAAAGCAGGCAGATGACTTGAGGCCAGGAGTTCTAGTCCAGTCTGGCCAACATGGTGAAACCCCGCCTCTACTAAAAATACAAAAAAATTAGCCAAGCGTGATGGTGCACACCTGTAATCCCAGCTACTCGGGAGGCTGAAGCACAAGAATCCTTTGAGCTGAGAGGTTGCAGTGAGCTGAGATTGCACCACTGCACTCCAGCCTGGGGGACAGGGCAAGACGCCGTCTCAACAAATCATAATAATAAAAAATAAAAATATGTATATTATTTAGGTTAACCCGGGTTTACTGTTCTCTCTCCTTTCTCTCTGCTTCTTTCTCTTTCTTGTTTTTATTCACTGATATTTTCTACAAACCAGAATGCTGTTTTAGGGTCCATTTGCAGCAGACAGTATATGAGTTATGTAACTTGGGTAGATTTAGTCAGAAAGGCCTTAAATGCAAGATGTTATTTATTCCAGTGCTTTTAAAAAACTTCAAATTTTATATATGTGTGTATATATATATATATATATATATATATATATATATATATATATTTATCTATATAAACACTTTGTTTTGACACAGGGTTTCACTGTGTCACTCAGGCTAGAGTGCAGTGGTGCAATCATAGCTCACTATAGCCTCCAACTCCTGGGAAGAAGCGATCCTTCTGCCTCAGCCTCACAATTATTCTAGTACTATTATGAGGAAGTTCACATTCTCAGTTTTTACTGGGAATGGAGCTTGAGGAATATTATTTTCTTCAGGTGTGTGGCATGATACTTTATCTTGTTGATCTATGTGGACCTATGGATATTAGTTCATCAAATGTAGTAAGCACTTATTTGCTGTGTGCTTATGGATTTCAACAAGAATATGTGATTTTTTCTGGACAAATATACACAAATTCACTCTCTTAGGGCCTATTCTTTTCAAATTCTTTTACCATCTTTTGAGAACTGTTTAATACTCTAGAGAAGGCTTTTCCATTGTTGTCATAGGAGAGTTTTCTATTAGTGACTAATCTTAAAAATAAAACATCTTGTCAAAAATAGAATTTAATGAGCTAGCTCTTCATTTTATTATAAACTGAAATATGCAAAGCAATAAAAAGAAAATCAAAGATTGAGTCTTTTAATATTGTAATGTGCCCCAGCACACTTTAAAAATAATAGTCTCTTAAAAGTATACAGTCATAAAAGTAATATAGATAAGCTTACAATAAAAATAAGCATATTTATATTGTCATTTTCAGGCTTTTGTGTTTAACTCTAAAGTGTTAATGTATTAAGTGTCTAAGTTAATTTAGGCAGAAACACGCACATACACACTCACATACATACACACATCTTTATTAAAAATAGGAATTGCACACAAAGATAAGATGGAAGAATTAAAACTAAAGGTCATGAAATTTGATCATCTCCATATTTAAGGTTACTCTAAGTACTCTGCAAATAACAAGGTGCTTTAATGCCGCGCCTGCACTTTCGTCTCATTTAATGTGAAACCTGTGAAAGATTGTTCCTGAAGTCATTATCTTCAACTGTTGAGAGCATAGATCATGACTAAGTGACTGAAGTGCCATGGGAACTCTCAATGGGATCCTGCTCAGCATCTGATATATGTCTCTTGGTATCCATCAAACTCAGTTGATATGCAAAAGATAAGAAAGACAGAACTTTAATTTTTGTGTGTGTGAAGTTTCCTTCCTGCTTTTGAAATGCAGGCCCAAGATAAGTTAGTTGAGAAACTGATGCCCAAGAAAATTAAAAGTCAATTTTAAAAAGTCATGTGAGAGAATTTTTAAACATTCCTATGAGAAAATGTTTTCTGGCTCATTCAAAAGAATACATATTGCAAACATTTGAAATAGTAAAGGTTTTGTGAATCATACCTTACTTATTTCCACTTTCTAGGCACTTTTCTGGTTAATCTATGTAACAAATATGTTCTGAATATCTAATACTTATAAGTGTATATAGAGGAATTTGCCATAAAATAATTTTACTTTAAGAAAAGAGGTAGCTGGCTTGAGTGATCGGGGAAAGCACTTGATATGAACTTTAGAGAGAAGAATGTCTGAGAAGTGATTTCAAGGTTAAAGAATCACATCAGTAAATCCACAAAGGGGAGTCTACAGGATTGCTTGTAATAAGTAGAGATTATTAATAGCAGAAAATAGTGTGCATCTGAAAAAGTAGGGGTGACTACTTTAGTTGGATGAAGGCTTAAAAATTTGGGACTTGGGGCATTGAGAAACCATTGAAGGTTTTGAGGAAGAAAATGACACTAGTCAAAGTAATTGGAAAGGACAACTCTTCCAGAAGCATATACATGATAAGGTGGAACAGGGAGAGACTAGGGGCAGAGAAATTCATTAAGAGGTTGTTAAAATAATGTGAGGCACAGTACAATAGGGATTTTAACTGTGGCAGCCATTGGAAAGACACCAGGGAGAGCATAATTTACATCAAAGGAAGATTCTCTAGACTCTAACTGAGAAAAGTTATGGGGAAAAGGGAAATGTCTGAGTCAATATTATCCAAGGCTCAAAAATAGGTAACAATGAAAATGAGAGATACTTTTCTGTCTCTGTGAGGGAAAGAGGAAAAATTCTTTGATTTAAATTTCAAGTGTTTTCAGTTTGCTTTGTTCATATCATCTGAGGGTAACAGTACAACAGCTACTTGTAAAGTCAGGGTTGGGTATTAGATCAACAATCTCCCCTGGATATTCACAATAGAAGTCCTCTGAATAAAGAAGGCAATCAGAGAGAGAAGATATTACCACAAAGAGCATAAGCAAAAGATCAGAGAAAGCAGGGCATAATAGACTGAATAATGACCCCCAAAGATATCCATATATTCATGCTTTGAACCAGTGGTTGGTACCTTCTAGGCCAAAAGAGACTTTTCAGGCTGGGTGTGGTGGCTCATACCTAAAACCCCAGCACTTTGGGAGGCTGAGGCAGGCAGATCACTTGAGGTCAGGAGCTTGAGACCAGCCTGGCCAATGTGGTGAAACCCTGTCTGTACTAAAAGTATAAAAACTAGCCAGGAATGGTGGCACCTGTAATCCTGGCTATTCTGGAGGCTGAGGCAAGAGAATCGCTTGAACCCAGAAGGTGGAGGCTTCAGTGAGCCTAGATTGCACCACTGCACTCTAGCCTGGGTGACACAGTGAGACTCTATCTCAAAAAAAAAAAAAAAAGAGAGAGAGAGAGAGAGAGACTTTTCAGATTTAAGTAAATTCAGGACCTGGGAAAGGGAAGATTATCCTAGACTATTCTGGTGGGCTGTAAATGTAATCACACGTGTCCTTATGGAAGGAGGCAGAAGGAGATTGACTACAGATGAAGAAAAGGCTATGTGATGATGGAAGCAAAGATTAGAGTGATACAGCCACAACTCAGGGAATGCTGGAAGCCTTTAGAATATGGAAGAGTCAAAGAACAGATTCTCACCTAGAGCCTTCACAAAGAACCAACCCTGCTGACACCTTGAATTTAGCCCAGAAATAACTGATTTCAGACTTCTGGCCTCCAGAACTATAAGAGAATAAATTCTTACTGTTTTAAACCATTAAGTTTCTGGTATTTTAAAAAAATTATTATTATTTTTTGCAGCAGCAAGAGGAACCTAGTACAAAGTGGTTACATAAAACACATGAAAGAGCCAGGCATGATGGCAAGCATCTGTAATCCCAGCTACTAGGAAGGCTAGGTGGGGAGGATCACTTGAGCCTGGGAGTTTGAGATAAGCCGGGGCAACATACAATATAACAAGACCCCTATATTTGTCCATTGTCACACTGCTATAAAGAACTACCTTAGACTGTGTAATTTATGCAGAAAAGAGGTTTAATTGACTCACAGTTCCATAGGTTGTACAGGAGGCATGGCTGGGGAAGCCTCAGGAAACTTACAATCATTGTGGAAGGTGAAGGGGAAGCAAGCACATCTTCACGTGGCGAGAGGAGGGAGAGTGAAGGGGGAAGTGCTGCACTTTTAAACAACCAGATCTCCTGAGAGCTCCATCACAAGAACAGCAAAAGGGAAGTCTGCCCCATGATTCAATCACCTCCTACTAGGCCCTCTTTCAACATGTGGTGATTACAATTCAACATGAGATTTGGGTGGAGACACTGAGTCAAACTATATCGACCCTATTGCAAACAAACAAAAACCTTGCAGTTTAAATATGTATTTATATGCTTATATATTTATATATTTTAATATATAATATATATTTCAATATAGAATATATATTTCACATTTATATTCTAGGAGGGGGAGGAGCATGTGTGTGTGTGTGAGTGTATGCACACATACAGTAGAAGTGGGAGGAGAGGGATGAGACTGAGAAAAAAGAGTAAGAGGTGAAACAAGAGTGTTCAATGAGTCATAGAAATAAAGACAGGAGAGAATTTCTAAAGAATATACAGTTTTGAAAATTCTGTATATTCAAGATTTGAAATTTCTGAAAAGACAGAAATTCTTCACCTCTCAGGTAGGAAGTTTGGGATGCAGCAAGGTGGAGGGAGTCAAGTGCAAGAATTTTAAACTGAGTTGGGTTCTTCCTCAGGTCCATAGAGAAATTAGGTTTCCGGTGTCCCAAGACCAACTGTCTTCTGCTTTCTGGTGTTCAGGAGAAAATAATTTTCAATGTATCTTATTGGACTTTAAGCCTTTTATAGACACATCTGGAGGCAGCACAAATATGGTGGGGATCTTGCTGGGAAGATTTTCATATGAGCTCCAGTAAGCTGGTGAGCTGGGTAGGCTGAATTTCTGTGGTAAACTGTTAGTTTCTGAGTGATTTTGTTTGGAGTTCCAGGAAGGTGGAGTACAAACATTTTTATACCTAACTGCATAATTCCTTTACAAACCTTTATGTTTCAGAAAATAATAGTTTAGATGCAGACATAGAAACATATACATTTTATTCAGTAATTATAGGACAATAAATAAATTACGTAAACTCAGCTATATAGATCTCTGTATGAGGTTGTCCTGGCTTCCTACCTAATCTGATCGTGAGACTGAGGAAGGTTGATATCCACAATGAGTCTATCAGTTCTTGATGAATCACAGTGTTTGTTTATGGTTAATCATTGCTGATAGTAACAGCTGACAGGAAGACCTGAGGAGGGAAAGGGGAAAAAAATCTAAAGCAACTCAATCCTATTTAACAAAGGAGAAAAAAATCCCTTTTTTTAAACAATTTTTTTTGCATACAGATAGAGTGAACTGAAGGATATTCTGCATATTTTTATAAAGCATATGAAATTACAGAGGATGCATTTATTTCCCTTTGAATACAAATCCTGAAAATGTTTCCTGATAAGTCTTTTTAATTTAAGATACCAGAATGAATTATCCTTTTACTTTTTAGCATGAGAATTGTTTGTCCTAGCATTTGCAAGAAGTGGGAGATTCTATCTCATAGTCCAAAACTGGTTTTAATTGGGTAGAAGGTAGATGTGAGAAGGCCATTATGTCATTAATGGTCTTAGTCATTGAGGGTGAGCAAGAACAAGATTTTTAGGTGGTGTGTGCTTCCCTCAACATACCATCCCTTGGCCAATGATGCATGTGCCGAGCTCTGGTGGATAAATGATTGGATTTTACTGCATGGGAAACCCTCCACTTCTGTATATTTGACAAGGAAATGGTTTCTTCACTCAAACCAAGCAGAGCAAAGCAACGTTACATCACCAACCTGAACACAGAAATATTTTCTTCTCCATAAATGTCTTTAAGGAACTATGGATTCCTCAGCAAACCAGTTCTGATAGGTTACAGCTGAGGATGTTTTCAAAGGAATGCATTTGTATTGATGCACTAGCTTTGGTGTAACCATAGCAACAACAAGCTTCTCCTCTAGAGTCTTAATTTGGGAGAGAGCAGGGAAAATAGCGTGTGACCTGGGAGACACTCTGATTTCAAGCTGGGCAGAGAAGAGGAAGCCATGGCTCTTGCAATTTGTCCTTTTCATACCTCACGTTACAGAGATAGACCCTGAGCAGCTTTGGAGTTTTTCTCCTTGTTTTTGTCATTCATTAGTGCTCCCAACAACAGACTGAGTTCTAAGCAGTGTTTGAAAAGTAGTGGGTAATATTTCGATGCCCCCACTCTGCTACGTCGCTTCTACATAGACTTAAAGCTGTTAAAATTTAGAATTAAACCTCAGGCCAAGGCCCAAGGGCCAAGGTCCCTGATGCAGTTGATCCACACAATTTCTTATTTCTTCACATCCTCTACCTCTGCACTGCCCTTCTCTCCCATACAAATACATTCCAGTCTCCTTTGTGACAAGCTGACATAGATCCTGATTCCAGGAACCTTGAGCACTTGTAAATTACCTCAGTCATTAATTCCTCAACACTCAGCTATATGATTGGTTTTAGTACCATTCCACACTTTCCTAGTTCCACCCTATTTTCTAGAACCCCACCCCCAGCCCATGAATGGAGCATGGCCCTCTCCTGCCCTGGTGGTTCCCCACCACCCCCACTGTGAGATGTCTGGTCAAGCAAGAATGCAACTAGATGATGACAGTCTTCCTGTTTCCTGAATATCAGGTATTGTCTGGATATGTTGTGTGTGGAGTGTGTCTCTTGGAATAAGGTCTAAGAGTTTTTCCTGCTATCGGCATTGTGGGTACAGTTGTCTTTGTCTGGAAGCTAAGTTAGGCCGGGGCCTGGGGATTGGGCTTCTTGCACTGAGGTAGGAGGCCATTGTAAGTCTGTCTTTTGCCTATGCTGCACCTCCTCTGTCCTCACAGTAGCTTTCCTCTGCAACATGTGCTTTGGGGAAGCAAAGAAGAATGATGGATGGTTGCTTGGGTCAGGAATATCCTAGGTGGAAGAAAAAGGTTGCTCACTTCATTTTACCAGTATCACAGTAACATAATACAATAGCCTTGTTTGAGAGTTGCTGGCTGGGGATGGAGAAAGGAAGATGCTACTGTCAATGTGAGCCTTGGGAAGCAGGACTAGAACCAGTGCTCAATCTGACAGTGGATGCAGAGGATGACAGAGACATCACTGGGCTAGCCTTTCCATTATCCTCCTCTTCCACCCCAGCAAAGGCTTTTCCCCTTTAGGAGCAGGGATAGGTGGCTATGCACCACTTAATTGCTCTACATGCAAATAATTTCTGTGTACTCAGTGAAATATATCTGTACCATATCAATGTGCAGATTTATTTCTATCATTTTATCTAAAGTGCAACATTTCCAAGAGCTGATTATAAGCATGTGAAAGAAGGCTTAGTTGCTATTTTTTCAAACTCCAATCAATTCACAGGGATGATTAGATTCAACTATTGAGGGAAGAGTTGACGTAATCTACCCAAACGTGTTCCTGAGTCATCGCTGAAAATGTGTGTATCCACGGACTGATGTATCCCGCCTTGTTGTTTCTTTCCCTTTTAATTAGCAATCTTCTTCTCTTGTTTTTTTTTTTTTTCTTTTTCCCTCCCCATCCATTTAAGATTTCTATCATGGAAAATATCCCTGCAAGCAGTAACCACTATTTGAATGGTGAAATCAGCAGCACAGCAAACATGGTTCTTAATGAGGTGAGACCTGTTGCCTCCTTAGTCTTATAAGAAATATTTATGCACATACATATTTTAAATGTTAGGAAAGACTGTGTGTAAAAGGCATATTGACTCCACCTTTTACAGATTGGAAAGATTGGTGCAATTCTGTTCCAACATATTACTTTTTCAAAGGATCATTTTATAGCCATTTTCTTTTTCTATTACTTCATTATTCTTGCTTCTTTATTTAGACTCTTTGCCATGCAAATATTATTTAAGCCTTGCTCAGCTAATGTAGTGATTTTTAAATGTTTTAATGTTCCATTTGACATTCCCGCTGGTCCCATTTCTTGTGCTGAAAATGTATTAATTCCCATATCAATATATATGTATATACATTTTTTGCCCATCAGAGGTACAAAAAGATATTTTCTGTGCATACATTAGAGAAGTTATTACAGGTAGATGATAGAAGAAGAGAGAGAAAGCAGGGAGATAAAAAGGCAAATAAGAAATTGAGAAAAATATAAACCAAAAGCAAATGAAAGTTAGAATTTCAAAATATGGAAAAAGCAAGAAAGGTGGAAGAAATTCTCAAGGTAAAAGAAATATATGGGGAAAAAAGTGAAGCAAATTTAGTGACAGAAAAAAATAAACAGCCAAATAAAATCGTAACCAAATAAATCATCCGAGTAAAGAGGAAAAGAAACAGATTATGGACTGACAGCAAATCATAAATGAAAACAGCGAAGAAAGCGTACTGCTAGTGCTGGGTCATTTCAATTTAACTGAAAAGCTCTATTTCCTATATTGTCAGCCATATTTTTTCCTAATTTTACCAAAAATATTATCTTCCAAGTATTATTCTTATTAATGTTCTCTTCATTTCTGTAGGAGGCATAAAAATAACAGATGAGTGTGGGAACATAAGCTGTGTGGTTAGTGAGGCAGGGGTGATAATTAGAACATGCTGTACTATGCAGTAAACAAAGCTATTATGAACGAGAGGGTTCTTTATAGAGTGTTTAAAAAGAGGATGGAAATAATATACTTTTCCTTGACTGGCTTAACAGCTCAGCTGGTTACTACCCTGAGAAATCAAAAAAACGGTTGGAGTTAATCGGCCACTGGATTTGGACTCTAGTTAAATGCATCCACAAATATTATTGATATATGTCTTATGCCATATAAAACTTTTTCTTTTCATGATTCCTTTCCTGTCCAAAGCTTTTAGTTTTTGAACTAAATCTCAACAATTTCTACTCAATAAACCTTCATAATTTTTGAGCCCATTATTTAAGCTTGTTTTTTTAGTAATTTTTGATAATTGTGATTTGGAGTTCTCAGAATGTGCAATACTATTTGTAATTTCTGATCTTACCTCGAATCTCCTAGTTCTGTTTCCATTTATCTAGGTCAAATAAGTCTCTGATTTGGAAACTATACCTAGTCTTTACTAACTATATTAGTCAGGGTTCTCCAGAGAGACAGAACTAATAGGAGATAGGTAGGTAGGTAGGTAGGTAGGTAGATGAAGAGGATTTATTAGAGAAACTTGCTCACTTGATTAAGTGGAGGCTGAGAAATCCCATGATTGGCCGTCAGCAAGATGGAGAACGAGGGAAGCTGGTAGCATGGCTGAGTTCAAGTCCAGAAGTTTCAGAACCAGTGAAGTAGATGATGTAACTCTCAGTCCAAGCGTGAAGGCCTGAGAAGCTAGGGGTCCACTGGTGCAGTTCCTAGAGTCCGAGGGCCAAAGGAACTAGAACCAAGAGAAGGAGAAGGGGGGTTCCAGGTCCAGAATAAAGAAAGAGCAGATTTGCCATTCCTCTGCCTTTCTTTCTTTCTTTTTTTTTTTTAATTTTTGAGATGGAATTTCACTCTTGTTGCCCAGGCTGGAGTGCAATGGCGCAATCTCAGCTCACTGCAACCTCCACCTCCCAGGTTGAAGGGATTCTCCTGCCTCAGCCTCCCGAGTAGCTGGGATTACAGGCATGTGCCACCATGCCCAGCTAATTTTGTATGTTTAGTAGAGACGGGATTTCTCCATGTTAGTCCTGACCTCAAGTGATCCACCCACCTCAGCCTCCTCTGCCTTTTTTTCTATCCAGACCGTCTAGATAGACTGGATAGTGCTCACCCACTTTGGAGGAGGGTAGATCTTCCTTACTCGGTTCACTAATTCAAATGCCCATCTCATCTGGAAACACCCTCACAGACATACCTTGAAATAATGCTATATCAGCTACCTGGGTATCTCTTAGTTCACTCAAGTTGACACCTAACATTAACTATCACACTAAGTAATTCTAATATGATTATATGACTATATTTGGAAAGGTTTTTTCAAAGCTACATCAAATTTATAAAATACTACAAAATGCTTTTCCTTTCTTCAGAATACCCCATAAACCATGGTTATATTAAAAAAAAAACTTGCATTATATTTTTTGCCATCTCATCTAGGTCCATGCTCCCCATTTTTTTCGGATGCAAGTTCTCTTAGTTACTATAAAATACTGTAGTAGTGTTTGACCCCAAACAAATAGAAGAGAATAATTATTCACTAAACTAAATGATATAATTTGAATATGTCCCTCAAAATTCACATGTTGGAAACTTAATTGCCATTATAATAGTATTAAGAGGTGACATTTTTAAAAGGTGATTAGCTCATGAGGACTCTGCCCTTATCAGTGAATTAATGCTGTTATTGTAAGAGGGATTCCTTGTCATGGGAGTGGGATCCAGAAAAAAGGGTGGAGTTCTGCCCAATTTTCTCTCTCTATTTCACATGCCCACTTGCCGTTCTGCCATGGGATAATTCAGTACAAAAGCCCTTGCCAGATGCTGGCACCACACTCTTGTACTTCCCAGCCTCCAGAACTGTGAAAAATAAACTCTTTTATTTATATATTAACCAGTCTGTGGTATTCTGTTGTAGCAGAAAATGGACTAAAACACTAACAAACCCCAATAATCCAAAATTGTGCATAGTGCTCATTTTGTCAAATTTCTTTCCTTGGTAAGCATTGCTTAATCACTTATTTGGTTTAATCACCATGGTCTGGAGATAAAGTGATACAAATATGTGCTTTCTTTGACCAAAAGCTCTAGGAAAGAACAGTAACAGAATTATACTCACCAATGCAACAAACTATAAACTAGGTCTGAAAATGGTTTAGCAACATGGATAACAGGTAACAGTTGCAGATGGCCTCATAAGAGAGGGTAGACTTTAACTGACAAGTGGAAATGCAGAGACAGATCTCCAAGTTACTTTTTAAACAAGGAAATAAACATTACTGCCTTCAAATGCAGAGTTTTAAGGCCTGCCACTTGTAAGGAGCAGTAGAGAAATTCAGCCTGATTTTATTGAGGTATTCATGTATGTGGCCAGCACTGGCTTTGGTTCTAGGGATAGGAAGAGAAGTAAACCATGGTCCTTACCTCTACAGAGCTGACCGTCTTCCAGGAGTGGTGGAGAACGACTTTTAAGCAGTCAAGCCCACTGAAAGTAGATGGAGCTAGAGTAGAGGCATGTACAGAGCATCACAGACCCAGAGGAAAGATGATAGATTGTCAAGAATGAGGTGTCTTGGGGATTCACTTGATTGCATTGGTCTCCTGTCTTGTTTTCTTGCTTCTGCTATTGCCTTTATGATCTATTCTCCGCATAGCAGTCAAAGTGATCCTTCTGAAAACTTAATGCTAGTAATATTATCCATTGGCTACAAATCTTACAGTGGCTTCTGTCCTCCTAGAACATAATTCAGAGGCCTTAGCCTGGTGTCACATCCCCTGAGATCTGGCCTCTGATAACTCTCCAGCTGCAATTTCCTTTCCTTTCTTTTTTACTGTAGGGGTTATTGGAAAACTTTCCCTTTGGCCTCTTGAAAGTTCATTGTAAAAAGGCAGGTTAATAGGAGAAAAAGAATACAAATTTATTAACATGTATTGGGGAGAGAACCACAAAGTGAATACCCCAACTCCTCAGTGAAGTACAGAAGCTAATATGCCCTTTTTCATAGGGGATGGGGAGATGGAGAATGTAGATAATTCTTTTGAGAGGCATTAAGTGATTGTTAGGGAGAATGAATGAACCAGGGAGACAGAAATTAACTTGCAAAATGATTCTCTTTGGAATTCGAATGAATCCAAGAGGCAGGCATTATTTTGTGGAACAAATTATAAGATCTTAAAGAAAGGGAAGATAGTTGACACCTTTATACCACCTAGAGATTACAGAAAGAATAGGGGCTTAGATTATGGTAAAATAAGTTACGGTAGCAAAACAGGTTATGGGAGGGAGAGAAGAGGAGGCCTGGCTAGCAAAGATGGTCTTGTTAAACATATGAAATTTCATAGAGAGCATCCTCAGAGAGAATAGATGGTAAATGCTTCTTTCAGACCTTTAAGATGTCAGAATCTCAATTAATCTTTCCTAGATCCAGAAAAGGTGAGGCCTTCAGAGAAAGCCTGGCTGTATCAAGGCAGATTTTCTTTACAGTTGCAAATCTCCCCTACAAAAGACAGCTTTTCAGCTATTTTTACATGTCCAGCTTTTCTAAATAACCATCTAGAAATATGTCAAAAATATTTTGAGGTAAAATAGTTTGGTTTTTATTCATGACCAAGAGCCTTTTTGCTACTCCTCCAGTTCAGTTCATTCATGCTGTTGGGACCTTGTTCCACATTCCTGCTGCAAGACTAACCTTCCTTTCACCTTTTTTAGGTGTCTATTCAAATGTCTCCTACTCAGAGAGAACTTCCCTAACCAGAATGCTTCAAACAGATCAACAGATAGAATACTTCTATCCCTTCTTCTTTCTCTGTCCCTAAAATGGTTTTCTCTTTTTTTCTATATCCTTTATTACCACCTAATGTTATTTTATTTATTAATGAGCTTGCTTCATGTCTGTTTTTGAACACAGAATGCAAGCTCCATGAGGGCAGGGACTTCATCAGTCTTGTTCACTGAAATATCCCCAATCTCTAGAATAGTGCCTGTCACATAAAAGATCTTCAATAAATATTTTTAAATGAATGAAAGAAATTGGAAGTGAATTTCTAAGAAAAATTGTAGTTAGTGGTTAAAAATGATTAGCAAATAGAATTTTCATTTAATCTGGATCTTTGTCCAAAAATGAACACTTTCTTTCATGAGTCTTTCCTCATGAGGTGGGATTTTAAAAAGACATTTAAGCAAGTTCTAAGTGTTCATATTGTAAGAGGAAATCCATGCATGCATTAGGCACAGATTTGGATTCAATGAGCCCAAGGTCCTTCTGATATTAATGGTTCATGATTCTATACATAAAATTATTTAATCACAAGAGGCCTATGGTCTAATACAAGATATTTAAAACTGTTTCAGAAGGCAATCATTTCTTGGGATGTTAATTTTTGTGATAAATAAAAAGTGATTCAAATACATTCCAAAAAATTTGGATTAAGTAAATTGAAATAAGCTCCTTGATAGAATGAACTTAACTATGAATGGGCATTGTTAATTTTGAAAACAAGAATAACATATATAACATTAACCAGTTTATTTGAATGAGAATATATTGGTTACAGAACAACATATACTTTAGGAAACACTTTTTCCAACAAAACAAGTAAAATTGATGGGACTTAGCAAATGTGCAAAGTGTAGAAAATGTGTTCTCTGTTCCACATCTTGGTTTTCTGAGTACCTTTCCACCACCTTTCAGTGCCCTCTTACCTAAAGCAGCTCAGAATTTCAACCTTCTCTGTATTTCAGATATTATGAAGAGCAATCTGATAAACATTCTCCCCCACCCCCACCTGCCTCCCAACGTTGTCTGTGTAGGAGAGAACAAATGTGCGCTCAGCTTGGGGACAGAGTTCCTCTTGGTGGGGAGAGGTCCCCATTCCACTTATTTTTGTTTCCCTGCACTGAGTCTGACTGCTCTGCCTCTCCTCCATTACTATTAACAACAGCTGAAATAGAAGGATTGCTTTTAGTAGTGAAGACACAATGAAATGAATTTGGGAGGCTTGCCAAACATCTCCTCTTTCTGAGCCTCCACTGAGATTTTTTGCTACCAGCTATGGAGAAGGTCAGGAGAGAAAGGCATGATGATAAACTCACTTATAAAATTGTTCTAACAAAGCATCTGTGAGCTACTGCTTGATCAAAATGACAGACATCAATCAGAATAATAACTTCAAATATGAGATTTTCAATTAGTGAGTGAACATAAATAAATGTGTCTGGAAAATCAGCATAAGGAATTTTAGATAGAGACAGCCCATACATAACAAGAGAGAGGAGGGCAGCAGGGAAAAGGTATACTATTCAGCAAATGCAAAATAGCCCCCCACCAGAACACAGAGTCAAAGACCTAGAGAAATCAGCATGCAGATCAACAAAGACCTATGCACACTTATCCTTGAGTGATGCTTTTGAGCTCGTGAACCTTATTAGAGGTCTGCAAAGAAGACTAGCTTCCATTTAATAAGGGGCAGAATAAACCTTTCTGGGATGCTTAACTTCGTTTCCCAGACCTCCCTTACCAAATGCAGTAAGTCAGACAAATTATCAAAATAGAAAGTCTAGCACACAGAGGGGATACTCTGTTGGAGTGTGAAAGAAAGAAGAAGAATGTTAGGAAGGTCAGGGAATTTTCCAAAATGTTGATTTTGGCTTTTCAGCTGACTAAATAATCCAGAGTTTACCCCATGGTGTCTGACAGCAGAATAAAAAGTGATTAACGCAACCAAGACCTATAGAGGGCAACGGGCTTACTTTTCAAGCACAAACAAGGAAGGAGAAAGGAGATGATGCTTGGCTGGTGGTGTGCTTCACACACTATACAGCTACTCTAATTATAACAACAACAGTAACAAAATAAAACCTTCCAAACTCTATGCATATTCCACCTTTCATCAGAAAGCCACCAAAGTCTTTTCAAACAATAACTCATTAGTCTTTACAATACCCTTGTGAAAAGAGTTAGATATGTATATGTTATTAGCACTTTGCATTTCCATTCTATTTATCCTCTAAGGAACTCCAAGTAGGGGTGGATTCAGACTGTAAAGCAGAAACCACTTCAAATTGATAGATGGTTTGAGAGGAGGGATTTGCCATGGCTGTGAATATGCTTTTCAGCAGGGAAAAAAAAAAGTATTTTGTGGAAGGGAAAGAAGGAGGAAAAAGGAAATGAGTAGGTATCTGCCTTGATGATTCTTTGATTTTTTTTTTCTCATATCTGTGTAACAAAGTGCTCTAATTTCAGCCACAGAACACTTGGTTACACTGAGGGGAGTCTCAACCCAGTTGTCCCATGTTAAAGAAGTAGAAAGCTGACTTTTAGGTCCTTTTCTTCCATAACTAGTCCGATGTACATGTGTATTTCTCTAGTTTTTGGTAGCAAGTAGCCTATCATGGTTCAAGAAACTTCTTTTTATTTATTTATTTATTTATTTATTTGAGACGGAGTTTCGCTCTGTCGCCAAGGCTGGAGGAGCGATCTCGGCTCACTGCAAGCTCCGCCTCCCGGGCTCACGCCATTCTCCTGCCTCCGTAGCTGGGACTACAGGCGCCCGCCACTACGACTGGCTAATTTTTTTGTATTTTTAGTAGAGACGGGGTTTCACCGTGTTCGCCAGGATGGTCTCGATCTCCTGACCTCGAGATCCGCCCGTCTCGGCCTCCCACAGTGCTGGGATTACAGGCGTGAGCCACTGCACCCGGCCGAAACTTCTTTATTTTATTTAATTTATTTTATCTTATTTTAGGCAGGGTCTTGCTCTGTCACCCAGGCTGGAGTGCAGTGGCGCGATCTCGGCTCACTGTGGCCTCAACCTCCTGGGCTCAAGCAATCCTCCCACCTCAGCTTCCCAAGTAGCTGGGACTATAGGCACATGCCACCCCGCCCATCTAATTTTTGTGTTTTTTGTAGAGACGGGGTTTTGCCTTGTTGCCCAGGCTGGTTTCGAACTCCTGAGCTCAAGCGATCTGCCCAACTTGGCCTCCCAAGGCGTGAGCCACAGCGACTGGCCTAAGAAACGTCGGCATTGCTCATTTCACGCTGAATGCCCAGGATCCTGGGTAGACACTCTTGGCTCTTAGCTGGGAAAAGCAGCTGAGGGCCTGAAAAGGTTGAATTATAACCACTGTAGACATTCTGCTTTGTATCTAATGGCTACGCTTTTCTTAAGGAATTTTGCCTCACTGGTGTTCAAATTAAATGATCCTTTCCAATATGCAACTTCTCCAGGAAGTTTCTTAGATATTTCTTGTGATCTCAGCTTCTTAACAAAAAAAAGAATGAGAAATGTTTAGAATGATCCAGATGAATCCTCAGTTTGGTTAAATGGTTTTATCAAATATTCAGTAAGAATTTTTTAAACCCTATGATTTGAGGATACAATGTAAGATATATAAAATAATGGCCACAAAACAGCACAGGATTATCGTATGTACAGAAATAAATGAATATAACCAGTAATCAATGATCTAAGCTAATATCATAGACTAATAGGAAAAAGAGTTCTTGGAATATGCTAGCAGTTTCTCATGTGTCATGGGAGAGTTCTTTCTTTTTGTGATGCTGTTTCTGACTTGAGAAGTCAGGTCATTCTTTTAGACTGTACTGATTTATGATTTCTTTTTTATTATGTATCATGAAAATTTTAAAACTTGAAGAACTGTGTTCTATTACCCAGATTTATCAAAAGTAAAATTGTTTTGAGGACTATAATGTTGCAAATTCAATTGAAACGACCTTTACCGTTCCTTAACTCATTTTGCTCTTTTCTTCCCCTGGGTTAACCACTGTCTTTTATTTGGTGAGTATCTTCACATTTGTGCTTTTTTACTTTTATTATTTATGCATATATCCATATACAACACTTAAGATTGTTTTGCATTTAAAAATTTTATGCACCAGGCATTTTACAATGCAAATGATCTTGCTTTTTAAGCCAATATTATCCTTTTAAGATAATTTTGATAATGTAGATATCGTTCATCGTGTTTTGATATAAGTTTTAATCAGGCAATATTTCAATTAGATAGAAGTATGTACAAAAGTAATAAACTATATCTCTGAATGAACAACTTGGTATTAACACATGGAAATCTTTTTGCTGTATTTTAGATTTCTCTCTTCCTTACTTTTTCTTTCTTTAATACTAGGAAACATGACTGATAGAGTAAATCCTCACCTTTCATCCCTTTCCTTCTCTCATTCCCTAGAAGTAACCATTACTCTGAAGTTAATATGTGTCATTTCCATGCATGTTTTTACAATTTTATTATTAATGTATCATTCTGCAAATAATATAATTTATGAGTATTTATAGTATGTTATCAAATTCAACTATATTTAAAATATTCATATACACAACAAGTTGGAAAGAATTTTACAGTGAGCACCTACATACCTTTTACTTAGATTTATCAACATTTTGCTATTCTGGCTTTATTACACACCCATTAATACATATTCGTTTTTGGATGCATCTCAGACTAAATTGCAGAAATCACTTACATGTTCTTTTGCAATTGCATTTTTGCTCATTATATTTAGTTGATTTGTTTTAACTGTTAGTAAGTAATTGATTAAAACAGTAAACATTTACCTATATCTACTAGTGGTTCGAAATTATATGGACTATAATTTTTCGCTGTTATTAATAATAGTGAAATAAATATAATTTCACGTCATTCCTTGTATAACTGCATAATTTTTTTAAATCATGTAGGTGTAGAAATTGAATGGCAGGTCATAGAGCATGTGTGATTTTACTTTTCCTATGTATTGGTAAATTGCTTTCCAAGATAGCTTTACCAGTTTATATTTCAACATGTCACTATTAGAGTTCCCATTTACCCACAGCCATCCAAACACTTGAAGTTGTCACCTTTTAAAATTCTATCAATCTAATGGCTTTCAAGTGATCAAATAATCACATTGTTTTAATTGACATTTTCCTCATAAAGGGTAAGGTCCAATATGTTTTTAATGTTAGACATTTGCTGTTGTTCTTTGTGGAACTTTATGATCAGATCCTTTCTCATTTTTCTATTGCACATTTATTTTTCT
Source organism: Homo sapiens (assembly GCF_000001405.40). Lineage (NCBI taxonomy): Eukaryota > Metazoa > Chordata > Mammalia > Primates > Hominidae > Homo > Homo sapiens. Next base: position 39,689,502 of record NC_000018.10, on the reverse strand, counting down.
GATTGACTTATAGGTATAAATTATATATCATGCAATGTAAGCTAATGTCATATATTCACTCAATATTTTTTCTAATATGTGGTTTTAATTTTATTTGAAATGTATTTTTTATATGAAGCTTTAATTTTATACATCTCTAGTTGTGTTTTTTATATCTTCTTAAAGATGTTCTTAAAATTTTTAGTATAGTAAAATTTTCCCTGTATTTTCTTCTGAAAGTTTCTAAGTTCAGCTTTTAGCACATAGGCCTTTTCCATGTGAAATTGATGTAGGTCTATTTTGTAACTCAGGGATCTATATTTATTTTTTACCAGTGAATAGCTATTTTCCAAACAATATTTGCTACATTGTCTCCCACTGGCTTTTAATACCTTTTTTTGTCATGCATCAAATTTTCACATACAAGTGGGTCTAAGATTGTTTTTCCATTCTGCTCCGTCGTTATAATATGTCTCTACTGCTCCAGCATTACAGTATTTTAATAAATCTTGTTAAATAATAAGACAAGTTTTTATTCCAGCTCCTTCTTTCTTTTTCTTCTAGAGTATTCCTTGTCCTTTATCCTTCCAAATAATTCATGGGTCAAGGTCTTCAAAACACTCTTTTACAATTTTATTTGTAATTAGATTAAAGTTATATGAAATTACAGTTAAAATCAACATATTTTATGCAATTAAAATCTTATTCGAAGTTCTTCAAAATTGTGTTTCCTAAATTTTCATATGTCATTTACAATATCTTTTGTTAGATTTATTTGTAAGTGCCTTTTCACTATTGTTGTCATTTTAAGGGTATCTTTTGTCATTACTTTACAGATGCATGATTGCCAATGTGTAAGGCTGTTAAAAAAATCATAGCTTTTTTAAGATAAATCTTGTCTAGAGCAATGTTGCTGCTCATGCTCATTCACAGGTTATAACAGACGGTTCTTTGCAACCAGTGTGGCTTTATCATTAAGTTTTAAGTCATCTGTTTAATTTGCCAATTCATTAGCTATTCTTTATCAACTTAAGGATATGCTCTTCTATTCTCATGTTACTATAACTTTTTGTTTATCATCGATAAGTGCTTATTTGATTCAATTTGTTCTCTGCATCTATTAAGATATTCTTAATATCGTTGCCCTTTAATCGTTCATAAAGAACAGTAGGTTTTCTTACATTAAACCATCATTGTATTACTTTGTATAAACCCTAGTTCTTTTATTATGATGCTGAATGTAGGTTTTAAGTTTTTATTGCTTTTTAAATTTTATATTCATGTTCATGGTAACATTGGTCAATCATCATAGTTTCCTACATTTTTTCTCACTCAGTCTTAATAAAAGTTCTCCTGGCTTTATAAGACAAATTGGGTATCCCTGTAAGACATGGCTTACATATGCTTGTAAATCAATCTGAGTATAATATGTATAAAATTGGGCAGTGAAAAAAGGAAGAGGGAATTGTTGATTGTTATTTCCATAGTCTGTAATACATTGATTTTATTTACTCTGTCTCTTTGAATTTATTTTTGCAGTTTATACGTTTCTTTCAGATTGTCCGTTTCATTTTTCACCAAATGTATTGGTATAAAGTTGTTCATAGTTTTAAACTATGATTTTAGAAAATTAACACTCTATTTGAAGTTCTTTTTATTTGTAATATTATTTAGTTGAGCAATTTTTTATTTCTTGAACAGCCTTGCTAGAGTTTTAAAATCCTTGGTTAATCCTTTTGTTAATTGTTTGTAGGAAAAAACTCAATTTTATTATTTATTATATTGTTGAGGTTATTTGTTTCCCATTTCATTTGTATATGCTTTAATCGTTATTTTCTCCCTTTTACTGTTTGTATTAATTCTATTAGTTTTCTGGCTTTATCAGTTAAAAGTTTATTCATAAATTGCCAATCTTTGTTTATATTAAACAGAGAGTTTGGAACCATATATTTACATTTATATTTAAATTTAAATACCATTATAGCTCAAAAAGTTTGTTTATTGATTCATTTGCTAATTACTTCTAATACTATTTTATTTCTATTTTTCCTTTAATTCAGAACTTATATAGGTTTATTCACTTAAAACATTCTAAACTTTCTTCATTATCCAATTTTACATTGTTCATAGCTAAACTTATTAAGATGCTGTCAGAAAATACGGCTGATATGACATTAATTATTTAAAACATAGGCCGAGTACAGTGGCACATGCCTGTTACCCTAGCACTTTCGGATGCCAAGGTGGGCGGATCGTTTAAGGTCAGGAGTTCAAGACCAGTCTAAGCAACATGGTGAAACCCCATCTCTCCAAAAAATATAAAAATGAGTCAGGCATGGTGGCACACACCAGTGGTCCCAACTATTAGGGAGGCTGAGGTAGGAGGATCACCTGCGCCCAGGAGATTGAGGCTGCAGTGAGCTGAGATCACAACACTGCACTCCAGCGCAGGTAACAGAGCAAGACCTTGTCTCAAAATAAATAAAATAAAATAAAATAAATAAAATAAAATAAAATAAAATAAAATAAAATAAAATAAAATAAAACAATGTGTAGAAACTTCTTTTCCTCCTTAGAATGTAATCAAATTTTTAAAAAGTGTTCCATATATATTTGAAGAAGTCTATTTTATGAGCATAGAGTTTTACAAATATTTGTTTAAAAATTTTGAAATTGATGTAGAGGGAGATGGGTATATTCAAATTTGTTAATATGTTTATTTTAATCATTTAGATGTTGACTTTTTATCTGCTTGATCTTTGAGTATCTAAATATATATATTAAAATATTTGGTATTAAAAATTTATTTTTCTAATTATATTTTTGCTTCATATTTTGACATAAAGACTATTCATGCCTACAGTTGTTATATATTATCGGAATTGCTCTTTTTATCACTATATCACTACTCTCTGCTGTATGACATATGTTGTATGACATTAATGTTACTATATTGTTATAAAGCATTCCTTTGGTTATTGTCTTTCATAGTATCTGTTTTATTTTTACCTCTTTTTCTCATTTTTAATAATTCTATGTCATTTTGTTTTAATGTATTTTTTTTTTTCTTTTTTTGAGATGGAGTCTCGCTCTGTTGCCCAGGCTGGAGTGCAGTGGCGTGATCTCAACTCACTGCAAGCTCTGCCTCCAGGGTTCACACCATTCTCCTGCCTCAGCCTCCCGAGTAGCTGGGACTACAGGTGCCCGCCACCACGCCTGGCTAATTTTTTGTATTTTTAGTAAAGACGGGGTTTCACCGTGTTAGCCAGGACGGTCTCGATCTCCTGACCTCGTGATCCTCCCGCCTCGGCCTCCCAAAGTGCTAGGATTACAGGCGTGAGCCACTGCACCTGGCCCTGTTTTAATGTATCTTTTAAAGCAGCATAATAAAGATTTTAAGACTGTATCACATTTTCTGATATTAATAAGAAAGCTTAATTTCTTTATATTTATTGGAGTTCTTGATATATTTGAAATATTTCTACCATACCTAGTGTTTTCTGTTTATAATATTTTTCTTTTTTACATTTTTATTTTCCTTCCAATATTTATTTAATTATCAGAATTTTATTTATTTCCTTTGTTTTTCTTTCTTCTGGTTTGGAAGCACTGCATTATATTTTTATTATTTCTAATGTTTAGCCATAAATATATAGGTACATTATACATAGATTATAATGTTACTGGAAGGAAGATCGTGAGTGAGAGTTGTCCAGGTCCTTGGTGTTTTGAACAAAGGATTGAACAAAATGCACAAAGTAACAGGAAGGAAGCAGGGAAAGCAGGAAGCAAAAAAGCACTCCACAGGGTGGGAGTAGGCCCTAGCCTGCAGCTCAAAGGGCCTGGGTACAAAGTTTTCTGGGTTTTAAGTACTCCTTTTGAGGTCCCTATGGGCTACCCCTTATCTGGATAAAGGATTTGGTCCATGGCTAATTAAAGACTGAGGTGAATTTGTGCCCTATGCAGATGAAGGGATGGCTTATCCTTGGCCCACTGCCAATCCAGGACACTTTCCCATTCCCTCTGCGATGTGGTGGAAGGGGGAGGGTTGCAGAGAGAGTAGCCTTTGATCCTTTGTTACTTGGGCAGGGGGAGATGGGGTTTTTCCTTTTGGTTGAGCTTTAGGAAGTCGGTGTTAATTGGCCTTAGATTCCCTGCCCCCTAGACCTTGGTGTTTTCCTTTTATTCAGCTTTAGGAATTCAGCACGAATTGGCCTTAAAGTCCCCTGCCTCCAGACCCTATTATCTTGCCTCAATAACTCTTTATTAACAATCTAATTTATTATTGGTTTCTCTTTCAAAATACATGGACAGTCTTATGTTTTAATAACAGATTGAAAAAAATCTCCCAAATATTCTTATTGTTTTTAATCTAGAGCCTCAATTCTGTCTTTTAAAATATGCAATATAGTATTACTTATTTCTTGTATCTTTTTTTTTTTTGAGGCGGAGTCTCGCTCTGTCACCCAGGCTGTAGTGCAGTGGCGAGATCTCAGCTCACTGCAACCTCTGCCTCCTGGCTTCAAGCGATTCTCCTGCCTCAACCTGCCAAGCAGCTGGGACTACAAGTGCCTGCCACCACACCTGCTAATTTTTGTATTTTTAGTAGAGATGAGGTTTCATCATGTTGGCCAGGCTGGTCTCAAACTCCTGACCTCAAGTGATCTGCCCGCCTTCGCCTCCCAAAGCGCTGGGATTATAGGCATGAGCAACTGCTACCAGCTACTTATACCATAAAGTTAAATAATTTACAACATATCTATGTCAGTATTTACCATTTTTGTAGGATCTTACCTTACCCCTTGCTAAAGTTGATTCTTCACTTGAGATTTCCTTAAAGACCTATGTATAGTTTTTTGTTTATTTGGTTGGTTTTTTTTTTTTTTTTAAGATGGAATCTTGCACTGCTGCCCAGGCTGGAGTGCAGTGTCTCTGCTCACTACAACCTCCGCTTCCCGGGTTCAAGCGATTCTCCTGCCTCAGCCTCCTGACTAGCCAGGATTACAGGCGCCCGCCACCATGCCCACCTAATTTTTCTATTTTTAGTAGAGACAGGGTTTCACCATGTCGGCCAGGCTGGTCTCGAACTCCTCACCTCAGGTGATCCACCTGCCTCGGCCTCCCAAAGTGCTGGGATTACAGGTGTAAGCCACTGCTCCCAGCTCATTTCTTATATCTTAAAGTTAAATAATTTACAGCATATCTATGTCAATATTTACCAGTTTTTTAGGATATTACTTTGCCCCTTGCTATAGTTCATTCTTCATTTGAGATTTCCTTGAAGACCTATGTGTAGTTTGTTTTCTTTGTTTGTTTGTTTGTTTTTTTGAAGGAGTCTCATTCTGTTGCCCAGGCTGAAGTGCAGTGGTGCAATCTTGGCTCACTGCAACCTGTGCCTCCTGGGTCCAAGCAATTCTCCTGCCTCAGCCTCCTGAGTACCTGGGATTACAGGCGCTCACCACCACGCCCGGCTAATTTTTGTATTTTTAGTAGAGACAGGGTTTTGCCATGTTGGTCAGGATGGTCTCAAACTCCTCACCTCAGGTGATCCTCCTGCCTCGGCTTCCCAAAGTGTTGGGATTACAGGCGTGCCTGGCCTATGCGTAGTTCACTCAGTATTTGCGTAAGACAAAACATAGCTATTTTGTTAATTTTTCAATAATGCTGATTATACAACTGTAGACTGATGAATGTTTTTCATTCACCCATTCAACATTATTACTCATTATTGTGTGGCATCTCCCATAGGCAATGAAAACCCTGTTCTCAGTCCTATTGCAGTCTCTGTGTATAATATCTGCTTTATTTTGCTGGTCATTTTAAACTTTGATATTCATTATTTTTACTATTATCTGTCTAGGGGTCAATTCCCTTTTTTTATATCCCATTTTTTATTTTTCTTAAACTTTCAGTTTTTAGACTTGAGCTTGAATTTCTTCAATTTGAAAGCATTCAGCAACTGTGCTTCGGATATTGCCTTTTCTCATTCGATTTAATCTTGTCTTTGAGAACTGCCATTATAAGTAACCGTGTTCCAAGGCCACTTGCTATGATAAACATGTGGCCATGATAGTTCCAATATCAAAGGCAGAGAGGATGAGGTATGCGTTGACTCACCTTGCCATCTGGACTGAAGTCTGTTTTTCTCTGTAGCATTGTTTCTCCTGTTGTCTGGTTAGGGCAACGAGGTTTTTGCAGAATGTAACCCCCATCCTTTGTTTCACCTGTTTCTAATTGCTATATCCAAGATAGGGTGCTTGAAAGAACAGGATGCTGGCTTTGATTCTGATTCTTCCATTTACTGCAAAGGGATGGTCTGATCTGCAACAAGAGGCTGCAACAGGTGTCTGATAAGCGTAGGACAATACCTGGGTTTGTGTCCATTTCCACATCTGTAGTATAGTCATGCATTATTTCTTAACTAATATGACTCTTATGATATTAAATAGGTTGATATTTTTAATGTGCTTGAAAGAATGTTTCCAGGTTCTATCCTTTCTTCCCCTCACACCTCTATCCTCTCACACTCCATATCTTACAAACATTATTTCCTAAGTCTCTCAAATCCCCATCTGCTATCTACCTACCTCTGCTTTAGTGCAGACTTTCGTTATTGCTCTCTGGACCACTGTAATAATTTCCTAACCTGCCTTCATGCCTCCAGCTTCATCTCAGTTGAATCCATCCTCCACAATGTCACCAAAATTCTTTCTGAACTGCAAATCTGTTAACATTACTACTATTCAAAATTTTCTGGTGGATTCTAATCACTGTCATGTACCTTAGTGTTACCTGTATTAGCTTCTGGCCTTGTTTCTGCAAACTCCTCTCAAACTATGATTTTCTACTTACCTCTCTTTTTGATTCTCTTGATCTGTATTCAGTTCCCTAATTGTTTATGTTCTGTCTGTCCTCTGCTTGTGTCCATGTTGTTCCCATTTGGTATACCTTACCCAACCATGGCCACTTGCCTAATCATCACTCATTTCCCAAAGGTCAATGCCAGCAGCTCCTCTTCCTGACAGTGTTTCTAATCTCAATCCCCAGGCTGAGGTTGAGAAGCCTTGTTCATATTGGATAAGTGCAGATACTGTGGCACTTACTCCTTTGTATTGTGATTTTGTCACAAAGGTCATTTTGTTCCTTCTTTCATTGATTCTAAAGTGAACTCATTGAGGGTAGGAACCAAATGCTTCTAATCTCTATGTCCAAAAAGTGACCACTTGGCACACAGTGAGACAGCTTAACAAATATTTGCTACATTCGTGAGCAAGTGATTCACTTAATGAATTTCGATAAATAATTCACAGTGAGGCTTGTGGAATAAAGATGGCTACTATTAAAGAATTAGGATCCTTTAAGACTTATTTTTAATATTACCATATAATTTAAAAGCTAAGAAGTAAGCACCACCCTGGTGATCAGCAATTTGCTAGCAGGCATATTGAGTCACATAAAGGATATAAGATAATTTTGGGTCCTCATGATGCTAAGAGACATTAAAAGAAACAGTTAAATTTTTCTATAGTAAAATACAGGTTGTTATTTTGAGCCTTAACATCCCCAACAATTTTGTGAAATTCTGATTATGTTAGAGTCCTAGCCTTTTTCATCGATCTCCTCCCTTGAAGTAAATGCTTAATAAAGATATGGCCACCCCTTCCTCTGCCTGCCCACCCACCTTTGTCGCCTTCACCTCTGTACCCTCTAACACAGTATGGTCACCCTTAGCCCTTTGGTTCATGCGTTCCATTCCTATTAATTTCAGAAAATGGCAACTGCCAAAGCAATAAGAGTGAATTTAATTTAAAAAGTGCAATCATGTTCTGGCTTGTGCTGAACTGGACTTGCAAGTATTTGTGTCTGTGATTTAGCATTATTTCTGGGGAGAGAGTCTCCCTGTTTAATACTAATAGTCTTCCCAGGAAGTTTCATTAGAGTGAACTACAATTTTTATTGCCCAGGATTTAACAAACTCCAATCTAAAGTCTCAGTGCCACTTTCGTCCAGGCTCCCAGTCTCAGATGAAATTCTAAATTCTAACAATGTCAGCCCAGGACTCAGTGCATCACCCAAGTTTCTTTGCTGAATCTCATACACCAGAGACCTCACGCCTCTTCTCTTCTCATGTGCACCTTTCTCCTGAAATTTCTCTGCTCAACACTCCTGACAGCAACCTGTCTGCAGATGCACCAACAGCTGCTGCTGCTGAAAAATGGGCTTGTCTCTCTCACGGGGGCTATGATTTCTGGCATATGCATGCCTCCTACTGTCTGTTTGGTTTTAAAGCAATTTTCGGCACACCTGCTTGCTTGAACTTTACTGAGAAGCCCTCTCAAGAGTTCACTGAAGAAAAAAATAATCCGTTTCCTAGGTACTTCTGTGTAATTCTAAATTTCACTTTAAACCTCCCAGTAAAGTGTTTACCCCTGTGAATGGAGAGACAATCTGTGTTGAGACAGTCCCGCTGCCTCAGGCAGGATCTCATCAGCTCTCATATCACAGCAGATAGAGAAAGGGATGATCCATTAGGGCAATAAGGCCAACTTGTTCCTACCACCGAAATTGTTCCTTAGAGTGCATTTGCTACTGCCATGTCCAGTCTGGTTTTTACTGTCACCTACGAAATTACATCTCACTTAAAAAATTCTCCAATTGGATGGTTCTGCTCTTTTAGTTTTGACTCTACCAGCTTTTTTTTTTTTTTTGAGTCAATCTCTTAGAAATACCACTCAGTTCATTTTTACTCTAGTTTCTAGACTTACCTTACAGGAGTTCTCCATAATGTTGCCCTTTTGATTATTGTCTTTAAGATTCACCATTTAGTCTATCCATGGGTTATGCAAAAAGTGGATATTTAATCTGATTGTAAACAACCAACCAGCAATTGAAAAACAAAAAAACTTTTTTTTTCTCTTCTTTTGGTTTAGGGGCCTTGATCTTAAGGTAATTGTCTCAATGTTCCAGGTAGTCCCTGTGTGACCATAGCATTGCTCAGTGTCAGAAACCACTTCTGATTATTGCTCCTGTGGAACTGGCAGGTGCTCTCAATTGTAGCCAAGGTTTTTAGGTAAACCCATCTAAAGCATTGCAAAGCAAGTGAATTTGGGAGTAAATGTACATTTGTAAAGCAGGTTCGTGTCAGCTAAACTTCATGCAAAATAATAAGAAACAGTGATCTACATGCAATTGTAGGAAATTTCATTAATATCATGAAGGTAATGTGAGTATGGCTCATGAAAGATATCTTGAAACCCAAACCAATAAGCATTATAAAAGGAGGTGATGGGTGGACATGGGTGGGCTTTAGGACTTAGAATGCTGTCACAATGTCCAAAAAAAAAGCAACATAAAAATACAGGAGAAGAAGCAAGACAGAGTCCACACAGGACAAAAGGCAGTGCTATGAATTCCTTGCATTTAGAATTTGGCCAATGACGTGATCATTATTTAAATAAATATAACTACTTTTTATTTGACACATGAATTTTCTTTTCTGCTCTACAACATTATGAAATAGCTGTTCCTTTGATGGGCAAAACAGAAAGTTGAAATAATATTGCCCAAACAACTACTAAGTGTCATATTTACTTAAACACTGGATGTTGGTATACAGTGATGCAATGGATATTATTATCCCTGATGACCTCTGATTAAGCTTATAATCAACAATGGTCAAGCTACCCAGTGAATGAGTCGGGATATGAACTCAGGCAATTCTGATTTTAAAGCCAAAGCTCTTTACTTTCTGTCTCAAGGCCCCTGTGGCTTCCATTTCTAGCTAAAGCATAATGTAACCTCAGCCACTAAAATCACATTGCCATTGGTGCCTCCCTCATTCTCTCTTCATCTTCTTTTATTCTGTTTCTATGCCTGTGCAAAAAGGCAGCTGCCCTGGGAGTGGACTCTGCAAGGACACCAGATGCATTCACACTCCAGTTCTGCGTCATGCATGCTCTATGAACCTGGGCAAGCAGAGTAACCTCTCTGAAACTCAGGTTTGTCGTCTGTAATGTGGGAACAAAAATCTTGAACTAGGCCTGCTGAGAGATTAAGCACCCAGTAGACAATAGGTGCGAAGTAATTATTAATTCCCTTCTCTCTCCCTGTCAATTTGCTGGCTCCAGATTGGATACAATCTTCCTGCTTTGACCTTGAGTCTCCCTCCTTACAAAATGCAATTCCATTTACTGAGCATCTGAACATAATTGGCACCTAAGGAATACATGTTGAGTGACTGAAAGACCTCTTCAAGGCTCAAATGTCCTCAAGAATCTGAAGCCCAGCCTGAGCCTTGTGAAGATCTTTGTAACTGCCTTATATCCCCACACTGGTTTATGCACATTCATTATCGTTTACCATATTGGCTTCTAGTTTTTCTTAATACATCATAAGTTTCTCAAGAGCAAGGACTATGTCTTACTTTTCTTTGTAAACTTAGCTATTACAAGATATCCTGAATATTTATTTGACAAATTACTATTTGAAAGATTTAAATTGAATCATTATTCTAATATCAGTAGTTAACACTGATTAATCTTGCCTGTAATACTAATTCCTAGAAGTATTTGAAAATATAATGAAGGCATTAAAAAGGTTAGTGCTCACTTCAGCAGCACATATACTGAAAATAATACAGAAGGCTGGGCACAGTGGCTCAGGCCTGTAATCCCAGCACTTTGGGAGGCTGAGGCGGGTGGATCACGAGGTCAGGAGTTCAAGACCGACCTGACCAACATCGTGAAACCCCATCTCTACTAAAAATACAAAAATTAGCCGGTGTGGTGGTGGGTACCTGTAATCCCAGCTACTCAGGAGGCTGAGGCAGGAGAATCGCTTGTACCCGGGAGGCAGAGGTTGTAGTGAGCCAAGACTGCGCCACTGCACTCCAGCCTGGGCAACAGTGTAAGACACCATCTCAAAAAAAAAAAAAAAATACAGAAAAGATTAGTATGGCCCCTGTCCAAGGATGACACAGAAATTTGTGAAGTATTCCATAGTTTTAGCCAAGATATGGAATCAAACTAAGTGTTCATCAGCAGATGAATAGATAAAGAAAATGAGGTATATGTACACAATGGAATACTAGTCATACAAAAGAATGAAATTCAGTCATTTGCAGCAATATGGATGAGCATGGAAGATATTATGTTAAGTAAAATAATTCAGGCACAGAAAGGTAAATATCACATGTTTTCCCTCACAAACAGAAGCTTAAAAAGTTGGTTTCATAGAAGTAGAGTATAGAATAATGGTTATTTATTTATTTATTTATTTTTTGAGACAGAGTCTCACTCTGTCACCCAGGCTGGAGTGCAGTGGTGCAATCTCAGCTCACTGCAACCTCCGCCTCCTGGGTTCAAGCAGTTCTCCTGCCTCAGCCTCCCGGGTAGCTGGGATTACAGGCAAGCACCACCACATCTGGCTAATTTTCATATTTTTAGTAGAGATGGGGTTTCATCATGCTGGCCAGGCTGGTCTCGAACTCCTTACCTTGTGATCCACCTGCCTCGGCCTCCCAAAGTGCTGGGATTACAGGCATGAGCCACTGCTCCTGGCCCAGAGTCTAGAATGATGGTTATTAAAAGCTAGGAAGGGTTGGGTCAGGAGATATGGAGAGGTTGGTTAATGGAAACAAAATTTCAGCTAGACAGGGGAAATAAGTTCTAGTCTTCTAAAACATGGTAGGGTGACTAACAATTTATTATATATATATATATATTTTTTTTTTTTTTTTTTTTTTTTTTTTTTTTACTGTAGAGACGGAGTCTCACTCTGTCACCCAGGCTGGAATGCAGTGGCGCAATCTCGACTCCTGCAACATCCGCCTCCCAGGTTCAAGCAATTCTTCTGCCTCGGCCTCCTGAGTAGCTGGGACTACAGGCACATGCTGCCATGCCTGGCTAATTTCTTTTGTATATATATTTTTAATAGTTAGAAGAGAGGATTTTGAGTGTTCCCAACACCAAGAAAAGATAAATGTTTTAGGTGGGGGATAGGCTAATTACTCTAATTTGATCATTACACATTGTATATATCAAAATATCTCTCTGTACACCATAAACATATATAACTATTAAGTGTCCATTTAAAAATGGTACAACCACTTTGGACAATAATTTGGCAGTTTCTTATAAAATTAAACCTATAGTTATCATATGGCCTAGAGATTCCTGTCTTATGTATTTACACAAGAGAAATGAAAACATGCCCACAAACACATTTATATATAAGAATGTTTATTGCAGTTTTGTTCATAACCAAACATAAAAAAATTACAAATATTCATGAACCAGTGAATAGTTCCAAGTTGTGGTATGACGATGCAATATGTACTCTCTAATAAAAAAAAGGAACAAGCTACTGATACATAGCCTAACATGGATTCAGAAATGTTATGTTGTGTGAAGGAAGCCAGACATAAAAGAGAACACAGAACATACTTTATGGTTCTCTTTATATGACATTACAGAAATCAAAACAGCAGTTGCCTCAGAGATGGTATGGAGTGGGATATAGTGGTAAAGGGTGGGAAGGGAATGCTCTAGGGTGATGAATACATTATGTATCTTCATTGGGGACTTATTATGTGGGTGTATACATTTCTCAAAATTCATTGAACTATATACTTAATTGAACTGTACACTGTATTTTATTGGATGTAAATTATACCTCAATTTAAAAGATAATATACAATTCAAAAAACAGAAGGATCTATGGAATAGATCTACAATGTAGAGCTAACCAAACTAATATACCCATATTCTGATGATCACCTAGCCAGAATATGGGTATATTAGTTTGGTTAGCTCCACGTCATAGATCTATTCCATATTTGTGCAAAAGTTATATTTCGAAGGGTCTCATGTTTAATGATTTAGACTAGAAATGTGTTGGGGTGCATAATCTATAGATATCTCTATGGTAGGTTGGTTTAGAAAATGAAGCATTTTAAAAGGTAAATGACTTCTCTAATTAACCATGTAGTAAATATTGTCCATAAGATATATACACATTATATATATATATAATATACATATGTGTATATATGCCCATATAATACATTAAAAATATATTTTTTTGACCAAAGACAAGCAAAACAAAATAAAAGAAAACATACCCCCCTACCTGGTGAGGGCTCTCACATTCTCACATTTTGGATCTGGCTGGTGGTCCTGGTATTGCTGATTTTTTAGATGGTCCCTGAAAGCAGATGCCTCTGTCTGTATTTCCTTAGGAAACTCCAGAATAGGATAAGCTCAGAAAACGACCACTGTACCCTGGAAGCATAAATTAGCTTCGGAATAGGGATAGGGCTCAGTTATCTCCTTTAAAAGGGGGCCTGCCAACCTCGTCTAACTGTTTTAAGAATTCTTTGAATGGTAAGAGCATTGCATAAACAGGAGCATTCATTGCAATATCGGCTTTGACCTCAACTCAACCCTCTTCCCCTTTCAAAACCACTGAAGAACATTTTACTCCATTTATAAAATATGAAAGGGAACTTTTAAGGTTGTTACTTTCTAATTTTCCCAACTCATTCTCTTCATCCTGTTCCTGGTGGCTCAGGACAACTTCCTACCTCGCATTGCCTCTCATTCACCTCTAACCATCCCCTTAGATGTTAGCTGATAATTACATAATACCTTTGCTGTTTCTCTCAGGCTTGTTTTCAGTTTTAAATTAATTATGAAAGTCCCTCAAGTAGCATTTCACCTCCTAAATGTGGCCCTGCCATCCTGGGATCTCCTGAAGAAAGTGGCTGATGGCTTTGCCCACTCAGAAACTTGGCCATGCCGAAGGGACACCCCATCTCTGACAGGACAGCAGTTCTCTTTGGGCTGAGCCGAGGGTGGGACATGACAGAAGTCAAGGCTGATTTCTGTTTCCCTTGAAAACACTGGTCAGAATGGAGAGGCTGCCCCATTTAGTGAGCTTGGGAGGATGACTCATCCCTGGGAAAACTCATTACTTTCTCAGAACCTTGATCTGTTCCCAAGTTCTCCTTTTTTATGGCAAATATAAAGTGGTTAGAACTCCCACACATTTTTCCTTCAGTGTCTCTGAAAATCATTCAGCCCTGTTCAGGGTTTCGCCAGTGATGAAAAGCTTATCCTACATATTTTCAGATAGCAAATGTCATAGAACACACATAATGTGACTACCTATTGCACTGACATTCGTATTTAGTACTCAAAGGCGAGCCATTTCTGAGGGAGGGAGCCCGGTTTGCTCTATAATGCCCTGAGACAGTCCTGTATCTCCTGCTGCGGCTCCTGACAGATCTTATAAAAGATCGTAAATTACTATCTGTTGAAATATATGAATTTAATGAATTCCATTAACGCACACCTGCACAGAAGAGATTTCAGGAACCCAAAGATATGATCAGTCAAACAGCTTTAATAGTTATTAATTACAGAAGCAGACTATTTATCCCCTGCCTACATAGAAATCTGAAAGTAGTGTAATACTCACACTTCAAGGGTTTTTGGGTGGGAGAGAAAATGGGCTTTGGTTGAAAGGATCAAATACTTATTTTAGCTAATGCACTTACATGCTGGGAGTTTTATATTTATATATGAGAGAGCAGTCACTACTTTTATGTGTAGATTTTAAGAAATTTAATGTCATGAGAGTTTATTTTTTTTTAAGAATTATAAAAAAGGCTTTGGCCAGTATTTAAAATAGGCCACTTATTTTTGCTTCTACATGCATGAACATCCAAATGTTTAGATGAAAACCTAAACCAACCATTTAGGAAAGTCCAAATCAAAGTCTCCTATGTAGTCTTCATAATATGTCCATAGAAATGGTTGGGCAGGTGGCATACATGAGGTTTCCAGGAAGAGTAGCCTTGATCCAGTTATCTGCGTTCTAGGGACAAATATCTCACCATCTTTACCTAGTCATATGAATAATGACAGAAATTAATATTTATCATGTTATATTCCTCATGGAAAACTCTATAAAAGAAACTATTATTATTCCCCTTTAATAGATAAAGAAATTAGGGCATAGGAAGGCGAAGGATGCTACCCTTGATCCCACACCTAAGGCTTGGGTATGAAGTGCCTATTGCTTGACTCCATACCCTTAACCACTGTGTGATGCTGCCTTCCAACCATTCTAAAAGAATGCCACACAAGACCCTATTTCTGTTCCTCTAATAGTGACTATCTACCTGGATGCAAACTTTGTGACATCAGGTAGATAGAGGCACATGCCCTAGAGGAGGATAGAACACTCATCAATGAAGAATCACAGTCCCGAAGCCTGCAGGATCTGATGACAGAAGCAAAGTCAGAGGGCCAAGAGCCACATCCAAAGACTGACTTCACTAAGACTTTTCTCCAATTACAGAACCAGGAAAAATGTCTGCATCCTAGGAAAAGGATGTCTGTCCTCAAGGCTCAGCAGAAGGAAGAGTCAGAGTTGGATCATTGTCATGTACAGCCCTGGCCACCCTCCTGCATGCTGGATTCCATATCTGGATATTTAACTGGATATCCTGTGTCAGATATCCCTTCTCTGATGATATTTCTGTTGCTCAGTAAATTGATCATCCTATCCTCTGACCCATTCTACACTGCAGTACTTGTATTTCCACATTATATTTAGCTAAGACAGCTTTTCTCCCTGTTGTCTGCCTGTAAATTCACTCATATTTTAAGAACCACATCAAACATCACCTCCTTCATAAAGTCTTTTCTTTCTCCCCAGGCAGAATTAAACATTCCCTTTTGTGTCTCCCTGTGTATGCTGCATATACTTCTGTCATAACAACTATAATGTTTTATTGCCCTGATTTGTTTACATGACTGGCTTTCCTTAGTATATTGAAAGGTGCTTGAGAGCAAGGGCAGCTTGATTAGCCTCCACATTCTCATATGAAAGTAGCATGTAGTAGGTGCCCAGAAATTAGTTGTGAATGAATGAATAAATAAATGTATAGTCATAGAAATGCAGGAAATATACTTTCAGGTGATGTGGGAGAGAAAAATGTGATGAAGGCATTTTTCCTTCTTTTGAGAGCTGAAAGAATATACCTGGTTTATTAACAAATCATTCCTGTTTCAAGAACAGCTGGGTAACTGTCTCAATAAGTGAAGGACGTATATTAGAAAGGCATTACATTTGCTATTGACATTTCATTTCCTGTCCTTTTTTATGTGCCCATACAGCTGCAGTAACCTTGCACTTACTATACTGGTGATTGGGAAAGCCATTTCTATGCATAAAGTTTCTGTGTGTACAAATATGGCTTAGAGTAGGTGGATAGAGCTGATGTAGTTCTTGGTCATAATTTTGAGTTCCCCAAACTCACCTTTCTTGGCAAATGTCCTTAGAAATCATTGAATGTGTTGTATGTTATACCAAGTAGTATTACATCTGTGGGGATAGCATGTTCCTTTTCATAAATATAGGGGTGGGTTGTTTTTTTTTTGAGATGGAGTTTTGCTCTTGTCACCCAGGCTGGAGTGCAGTGGCGTGATCTCACCTCACTACAACCTCTGCCTCCCGGGTTTAAGCAATTCTCCTGCCTGAGCCTCCCAAGTAGCTGGGATTACAGGCATGTGCCAACACACTCAGCTAATTTTTGAATTTTTTTTTAGAAGAAACAGGGTTTCACCATGTTGGCCAGGCTGGTCTCAAACTCCTGACCTCAGGTGATCCGCCTGCCTTGGCCTCCCAAAGTCCTGGGGTTACAGGCATGAGCCACTGTGCCTGGCTGGGGTGGGTTTTCATATTCTTTTATTTGACCAGAAAATTAATCCAGTAGAGGAAGCCAGAACTGTAATACTATCCATCCCATGGCTGTGAAAGCAAAAAATATGATTAGTAATGAAGCCAGAACGAGCACCAGCACCTAGCAGTTCTGACTCTACATTCTATCATTTTCAATATTCAAAATGATTTTTCCAATGGAAACTATATGGGAAGGGAGCACCACTAGCCAAATTCAGAGCACAGTTTAGATAGTAAACATATTTGGGCTTAACATGATTAAAGATGTTCTCATTTCATAGGTTCTTATATCTGAATTGTATGAGAGTGAAAGCATTTCTGCATGTCTGACTACTTGAAAATTCCTTATCTTCATGATGGACGTCATTGTTGTTACCAACATTGCTAGCGGTTTTATAGTATTGCACAATTCCTGTAACATTTTCACTTATATCATCCCGTCTAATTCTCACAAAAGCCATATGAGATGAATATTCTAGTTATTCTACCCATATTACACATGAGGGAATTGAGGCTGAGTAATTCAGGTGGAAAGCAGCATGGTTTGCTCTTCATCTTAGGTATTCTTGCTTAAATTACATGCTCCTTGAGTACCTGTTGTATCCTCAGACTTTACTAGGGGAGCCTTATGCCTCTTTTCTGGCATTCTCCCCCGGGAGGATGCCTAAGTCATATAGTCTTAGCAGTATTTCTTTTTTTGAGCATCTGTTTAGGCAAATATATATGTCAGTTACTGTAAGGAATATTAAGATAAAGAGGGCACAATTCTGTCGTACAGACACTCATTTGTTGGAATGATTTAAAAAACCAAAATAAATATTTTCAAAGCTAAAATTAAAGAGTACTGTGGCAGGAAAAAGGTAAATATCTTCAGATATGAACTGCAAGAACTGTGGAAGTTAAAAGGAAGTGATAGTGCATTATTCTCTTGGGATCATGGATCTTTGCAAATGAATGAGACTGTACAAAGGTTTGTGCTTTATATTATGCTCCTCATGGGTTTAAGATCTTCCCATGGCTTCTCATTGCCTGTAGAATAAAATCCAAAAATCTTCCACATCCTGGCCTCTCCACCTTCCCAGCCTGATTTCTAACCATGACAGGACTCTCGCTATACAGCATTTCTGACATTTCCCTAGTTAGAACACACCAAAAAACATGTTCTTTTCCATGTCTCTTCCATTGCATATTCTTTGCCTGTAATGGCCTGACTTTGGTTTTGCCTTTCTTAGAAATCCCAGGCTAAGAGTTACCTTCTCAAAGATACCCTCCAACAAGCCTTTGGAGAATGTCTGGCTCTCTGTGAACTAATATGCCTTGTCTCTACTTCCAGTATAGAATTGTTGGTCATCCATCCGTCTCCCTTACTAGAATGTCAGCTATTTCAGATATGTGAGGGAAAAGGACTTTAACTTATTTGACCTTTATAAATACATCACATTATAACTTATTTGACCCAGTATCTGTCAAATGTTTGTTGAACTAATAATGAACAAATCTTAGAGATCATAGAAGGCAACTCTATTGTTAAATCAAACACATTAGCTTCAAATACATACATTTATGTACATTAACCCTAATGTTGAGGTGGCTACTACTTCAAAAACTAACAGTAAACTCAAATTACTTTGCAATTTCTTGATTACTTATATATATATATGACACTGTAGAAATAATGAAAAACAGTAATAGTACTCTCCCTATGTTCTTTCTCATCTAGAATAAACAACCATTGTTCATTCAACTATTTCAGGCATGATATAGCTACCTACATTTTGCTTCACTATTCTCTAGTCTCAGAGAATTTTGCCAGGGCTCCATTTCAAATGGATTTCCTGGAGTCTGCTTGTAACTCTCCTGAACACTTAGCAGAAACAAGGAGAAAAAGTCAGAATTGGCCTGGAGCTCAGAGCCATCTTAACATTGAGAAAGGGCTCAGAGGAGTCTTCTAAAAGTGAGAAGGGTAGATTATTATATTGCATTATTAATATGCAATGGATATGCATTTATTCATGTATGGTTGGCTCTACCTTTTCAACATTAAATTACTTTCTACCTTATGAAAACTTAGTTCCAAATGCTTTTCTGAAGTGTAAATTGTCTAGGGAGAAAAGATGGTTCTGTTAGGTTGGTATTCGAGGCCAGCCCTAGGTAAAATAGTGAAGCAGATGAAGTTTTTCTTGGAATCCTTCCATCCTAAATGAAAAATAAAAGAATAAACATAAAGCAAGCCCACTCTGCTAAAGTGTCAGTGTTCTCATGTTATTTCCATTGCCTATCATTGCTACTGAATGCATATCCCTAACCTAAACTATTGCCACTGCCTGCATGCCCCCATACATACGCTACATACATTATTGCACATACACTTTTTTGGGGTAAGGTTAGGATAGGAATATACCATAATAGCAAACTATTTTAGATCTCAGAGGGTTAACCCATAAAACATTGTTTCTTCCTCATGCAAATCTGCTGTAAGTCCAACAACTCCACAAGGAAGTCCTATGACCAGAGCAAGTCACACGATCTAATTTCAAGGAGACTCGGAAATGTGGGAGAGTTCCCCAATATTTAGTGAGCAGTAAACTATCTATGCTTCATTCTTGATCTCCAGCATTTTCTTTTCTTTTTTTTTTTTTTTTTTTTTTTTGAGACGGAGTCCCTAGGCTGGAGTGCAGTGGCGCGATTTTGGCTCACTGCAAGCTCCGCCTCCCGGGGGTCACGCCATTCTCCTGCCTCAGCCTCCCGAGTAGCTGGGACTACAGGCGCCTGCCACCACGCCCGGCTAATTTTTTTTTGTATTTTTAGTAGAGACGGGGTTTCACCGTGTTAGCCAGGTTGGTCTCGATCTCCTGACCTCGTGATCCGCTGGCCTCAGCCTCCCAAAGTGCTGGGATTACAGGCGTGAGCCACCGCGCCACCTATCTCCAGCATTTTCTTAAACAGCAATAGGCAGGAAGCAAAACTAAAACTAATCCAATAAATCAAATTAAAACTTCTCAAGTCATAGCTTTACTTTCTGATGGAGACCAGGGCAGACAACCAAACCAATTTATTGCTTCTATTGCCTTCACTTGTTCATATGTTTCTCAACATCTTAAACAGATTATGATATTTTTCACTGTTATGGATGAAACTGTGTTGCTCCAAACTTCATATGTTGGAGTCCTAAACCCCAATAACTCAGAATGCAACTATATTTGGAGATAAGGCCTTTAAAGAGGTGATTATGTTAAAATGAGGACAATAGGGTGGGCCCTAATCTAGTTTGACTTTTAAAAAAGGAAATTCAAACACACAGAAACCACATATTCTCCTGCACAGAGGAATGATCACCTGAGAACATAGCGAGTATGTGACCAATTGCAAGAAAAGGAGAGGCCTCAGAAGAAATCAACCCTACAGACACTTTAATCTTGGACTTCTGTCTTTCAGAACTATGAAACAGTAAGTGTCCGCTGTTTGAACCACTCAGTCTGTGGTATCTTGTTATGACAGCCCCAGCAAATGAATATACTCATTTTCAGCATGCCCACTGTGTTGGATGGGATGGGCTAAGTTACACTGTAGAAACAGCTACGTCCAAACTCTGTTGCTGAAACATAGGTTAATTTATTGATCCTTGTCCTTTCATAGACCAGCTTGAGGCCCCACTCTATGTGATACTTACTCAAATCCAGACTCACAGAGCTTCCACCATCTGAAATACTAAGAGCCAGTCTGATGGAGGAAAAACAAGGCACCAAAGTAGTCTGTGGCATCTGCTTTCTCATCTGTCACACTGGCTCAGGCAAGTCACCAGGCCAAGTTCAAATCCAAAGGAAGCAAGGAGTGTAGTCCTTCCCCCTTGTAGGAAGAAGGAGAACAGGAACATTTGTCAACAGCCCTATGACTACACTACTACACCCCATGAAAGAGGAGGGTAATAATGAAACATCTGCAAATTTGGAGGGTGATAAAAGCAGGTAATTTAGTGGTCCATTGACATTGATTATTTATTTGTTGACAGCATGGTATCATATAAAGCATTCTGGGTCAGGTATATTCCACATCTGTGAACTTAACCTAAATCATTTATTTTCTTTCTAGACAAGACACTTAAAGTCTCTGAGTCTTGTTTTTTGGTTTTTTTTTTCCTTATTAAAAGATGGAACAAACAAAGATGAACACCAAAGATCTTTTCAGCTTTAAAATTCTGAAATTTTATAATTTTGTATGTGCTTTCTCTATCAAGTTATCAACATGTTTTCCTTCCTTCCTTCCTTCCTTCCTTCCTTCCTTCCTTCCTTCCTTCCTTCCTTCCTCCCTCCCTCCCTCCCTTCTTGCTTCCTTCTTTCCTTCCTTCCTTCCTTCCTTCCTTCCTTCCTTTCTTCTCTGTTTATACTAAAAGTACATACATCCTGAAGACCTACTACACACTGGCCCCTGAATGAGATACATTGAAAAAATAAAAAGATGCTCAAGCTTCATGGTGGTTACTGCTAAAAGAGAGAGAGAGAGAGAAAGAGAGAGAAAATGGACACACACATGAATAATTACACTCAGTCATTCAATCAAGAGAAACCAAAGTCCTTAAAAATAATCAGAAAACCATTTGTTCAGGCTTCAGTAGGTAATGAATCTATGCTTAGCAAATCAGGAAATGATTCATAGTGAAAATATCAATAGCTGAAAACAATATGAAGATTCTCTAGGAGGAGAGACTCAAAAAAGCAAAGCAAGGAAGAGTCTAAGCTAGAGGGCTGCAGAAGGCAGAGTGACTGGCTGAAGTACAAGCTTGGTTTGCAGGAGTATCAGGGAGTTAAATGGAGAGGCAGAATGGTATGGGGTCAGATAGTGGGGAACCTGTGGATGTTATCCAGAAATGGACTGGGGACCCTCACAAGTTTTATGAAGGAAAATAACCTAATGAAAACAGTGGAATTGATTTTGTGAATACTTAAGTACAGCAAGTAATAACAATTTTAAGAATGGTATGAAGAAGAAGGAACTGGTCATTTAGAGGAGAAATATGTTTTAATGCACATGCATTGTTTAATAAGCTGCCTTGTGTGTGTGTGTGTGTGCGTGTGTGCAGGAAACCTCTATGGTTGCTGCAATGGTTAATTTTACATGTCCACTTGGCTGAGCTATTGTGCCCGCTGTTTACTCAAACACTAGTGTAGTCTAGTTGTTACTTTAAAGATATTTTGTTGGTGTGATTACATTTATAATCAGTTGGCTTCAAGTAAAGATTATCCCAGATAATGTTGATGGACTTCCATTAGCTGAATGCCTTAAGAGCAAAAACCTGAGATTTCCCAGAGAAGAAGTAATTCTGCCTGAAGACTGTAAAATAGAGATACTGCCTGGGTTTCCAGCCTGCCAGCCTGCCGGCTTTCCCTACAGTTTCGGGCTTGCCATCCCCCAAAATCACATGAGCTAATTTCTTAAAATGTAATCATCTCTCTCTGTCTGTCTGTCTATCTATCCATCTATCTATCTATCTATTTATCTATCTATCTATCTATCTATCTATCTATCTATCTATCTATCTATCTATCTGTCCTCTATCTTTATCTATCTATCTATCTATCTATCTATCTATCTATCTATCTATCTATCTAGTTGCCTGTTGGTTCTGTTTCTCTAGAAAACTCTGATTGAAACAGGTGGGAAGGGAGAAACAAAGAGAGAATCTTCCATCCACTGCCCTGAGAGCAAACCTAATTATGTCTTTACATCCCTTGCTAAGACTGACAGATATGATATAAATTGTTTCTGGTAAGTGACAAGGATCGATTTCTGAAACGTCATTTCTCACAGGAATTCCTCCTCTTCTGCACAGCACTCTTTGCTGCAACAAATGTTTACTTTGCTTTTCTTTTACTGTCTTAAACTGCCACTCGTATTTTTCATTATTTAAATTTTTACATGTTTATATTCTCTCTCTCTAACCATATTGCTGCATCACGTACAAAATCTCACCCTGCCCCCAGCCCAGTTCTTTCAGACATGTTTGCTGATTTGATTTGAGAACACTTGATCCAGAATCTGAGCTCTTGGAATGCATCCTGGAGACTCTCCCCCAAGCCAGGCCCAGGGTGGCACTGGCAGGATTGGAGAGGGTGTGAAATGGTTTGGATTTGTATCCTCACTCAAATCTCATGCTGAATTGTAATCACTAATGTTGGAGCAGAAGCCTGTTAGGGGGTGATTGGATCATGGGGGCAGATTTCCCTCTTGCTGTTCTCTTGATAGTGAGTTTTCATGAGACCTGTTTGTTTAAAAGTTTGTAGCCCCGGGCCCGGCGCGGTGGCTCACGCCTGTAATCCCAGCCCTTTGGGACACCGGGGCAGGTAGATCACGAGGTCTGGAGTTCGAGACCAGCCTAGCCAACATGGTGAAACCCCGTCTCTGCTAAAAATACAAAAATTAGCTGGGCATGGTGGCGGGCACCTATAATCCCAGCTACTCGGGAGGCTGAGGCAGAAGAATCGCTTGAACCCGGGAGGCAGAGATTGCAGTGAGTCGAGATCACGCCACTGCACTGCACTCCAGCCTGGGCGACAGAGTGAGACTCCTCAAAAAAAAAAAAAAAAGTTGGGGGGGTGTAGCCCCTCCCCTTTGCTCGCTTCCCTACTGCTCCAGTTATATAAAATGTGCTTGCTTGCCCTTCTGCCATGATTGAAAGTTTCCTGAGGCCTCCTCAGCCATTCTTCCTGTACAGCCTGTGGAACTGTGAGCCAATTAAACCTCTTTTCTTTATAAATTATTTAATTTCGGTATCTATAGCAGTGTGAGAATGGACTAATACAGAGAGGGTGTTTGCTCCCTGCTGTTCATCCACAGTAGTTGCTCGAGGAGGCAGGAAGGGCCTCCTCAAAGGAAAGGAACACCTATCTGTCTCGGTAGATCACAGAACCACTTCTACCGTTTCCCATGAGTGCCCTCATCTCACTCTGCATGGAATAAGTGATATGACTGACAACCGAGAAGCTCACCCAATCCATTTCCACAGACACTTCAATTTGGACTACAGTGTAATCATAACCCAAATCAGATTGAACAGTTTCTTGTCTCTCAAATAGTGAATATTCAGACACAAAAATGATCAATTTAGCATATGCTCTTTGTCTGTCTTTGCCTTTGTTTGCAAACTTCTCCGAGGCAAATGTGTTAAAAAAATTTGTAGCACAGGGTATCTAGATCAGGAGATTAGAACTGTCTTTCTTTTAAAAAATAGATTCTTCATCCCACGTGTTATATCAAGGCATTATGAAAAGCAACAAGCTTTGCAATACAGAGCAAATTAAAATATTTTATTGTTGTTGTTCTAAACTTTCTGCAAATTATCTGTGCATGTTGTTTTCTTAGGATATGTATTGTTTCATATTGGTCAAGTTCTGCTTCTGACCGATTGCAAGAATGTAGTCTCTCTGTTGCACATCAAGTGCCACAGTATCAAGAAGATAAAATGGTTTTTGCTCTTTGTTTTGTTTTGTTTTATTGTTTTTTTTATTTTTTATTTTTTAGCTGACAGGACAGCAAATGGCTCAATGGAGAAAGTTCTGTTTGGGTGGAATACTCAAACACAGGAAAGGTTTGAGCAAAGTATGTCCAAAAACACTCTTCCTTATTGTCTGCCTCTAAAAAAATCTGCTTTCAAATTTCTTAACCGTAGCAAGTTTAATCTCCTTGTCTCTCAAACAGCTACAATAACAATAATATTTTCTTGTTTAAAATAATGGAGAAGGAGCCATATTTCCTTATGATTGGTTCATGTCTTGTTTAGATCCCCATCCAAGAATGTAAAAGTCCTGAAGTCTGAAGCCGAATTTTAACAAGACAATATTATCTTGAAGACATTCCCATAGTATGGACATAGTAGAGAGAGTTAGAATTAAGCTCCAAGATAAGGTGGTGAAGAAGTTTTGGGAAAAGTTAACGGAACTAAATTTGCACAAACAGTAATATGTATCTCAGCACAGAGACCACTTACAGTAAATTTCATTTGCCATGCTGAATTCAATGTTTGGCTTGACCCTGACTAACATTCCCCTACATCCTCCTTTTTACTTCTTAAATTGCTGTGTTCTTCAAGGGCCTGCTGAGGTCTCCTCTGAGCATTTTAATGATTAACCTCTTTGGACAGAATCATTCATTCATTTATCAAATATTTATTGAGGGCTTAATATTAAAGTCCGCTTACAAACATAGGCTGCATTCCATTTCTTGTGTCTTCTTAATAAAAAAGTATATATATTCTCCCTGGAGTGGGGCATATTATCTTATCTGGATCCCTGGGACTTTACAATGGGGATCATTATTCATCTCTGCTTTTAACCCTGCTCCAGATTCCGGGAACACTTGTGCTCCAGGAGGAATTAGAAAGAGGCAAATCCCTACTGGCTCATAAAGAATCAACATTGTTTGGACCTTAGAACTTCAGTTTCTTTTTGTTCATGGATTTATTGAACACCTCTCTGTTCCAGGCATGAGGATTGTAGTGGACATATAGAAACTGAAGATACATAGACACATTTCTCATCCATGGATGTCTAATTAGGTAGACAGATAAGGAAAGGCATGATTTTTTTTTAAATGTGGAAGGTGCTGAGACAGCAGAAGAACACTGTAATTTCCATGGTAGTATAAGAGGAGAAGGCACTTCAGAAATTAAGTCTGTCCAGAAAACATTTTTTTTCTGCTGTGCCCTAATATAGCTGGCACTTCATGTTGTCAAATGCCCTTGAAACTCCTTGTGTTTCTGTCGTATTCTGAGGATCCATACCAACTCCCTTTTGCTTCTTCCAACTTCATCAAGTTTTATCAGTTTGGATCATACCTCGGTTCAGACTGTTAGCTAATGCTTCTTGCACCCAATTTAAATTTTCCCAAATAGAATGATCTTCTGGCTCACACTCATGTCCAAATGTGCCTGCAGAATTCATGGCACATGACTGTTGGGTTCTTCATATTATTCTGTCAATTTATCGACATTCTGGGCATCATCCCACTCCACATGAGTCTGTAGAAAGCCTTTGGCATTGGCGTGTATTAAACACAATGTTTTAAAAAAATATATCCATTAGTTTACAAAGTGAAAAGATGATCAGAATTTGAATCCCAGGCTGCCTATCTTTTGAAATCCATCTTTATACATTAGGAGAGAAATATAAAAAAAGAGTAGTACATGAGGCAATCATACATTATTACTAGCTAGAATATCAGCATCTAAACTTTAAGTTAAACTTTCATCCTCTTGTGCCTTGTAGGCCCTCACAGACATCATTTGCTTCTCTAACTCTGACTAGACAATAGGTAGGCCTAGGGGTTTACTGAATGTCCCAGTACAAAAAATCTTCCATCCCTTTGTTCCACCTGACATCCAAAGGGCAAGGGTAACCTCATGTGAAAGATATCCTAGGATCCACTGGAGCATATTCATGTCATTAGATGAAGAGGAAGAAAATTCTAGAAGAAAAACATAATACATAAAGAATTAAAGACATAAAAGGATAACATTTCTTCTGTACGGATCTGTTCATATTCACCTTATTTTTCCCATTAAAATATTTATTCAAATATAATCACTATTTGGGCTTCTTGAAGATTCATTTAATTGTTAATGAATATCAGAATCTTTCTCTTCCAAAAGAAGGCTGCACGTTTCAGTAGATTTAGAGAGAGGTGCTGTAGAGGGAAGGAGAAGGGAGAGAGACAGAGTAAAGAAACACTGTGGTTCACCCAAACAAATGCAGTATTTCCCTCAATGTCTGCCTTTGATACTGGTATGACCACTGATACCTCTTCCACTTATGTGGCACCTCAATGCCTAGAATAGAACCAAGAACTAGGAAAATGGTCAGGAAAACCTCTAAATAACCAGCACGCTCTAAATTCCTGAGATCACATACCATCCCAAGATAACCACTCAGGCCTTCACTCAGGGTCTTTACTTCATTACCCAGAGATCAGAAAATGATACATTATACTCATCATTCGATTTGTTACTTTGGAAAGTTTATGAAATACTTTACAAAGTTTTCAAAACAAATTATTTCAGAATATTTTCAAGCAATGCACAGGACTAAAATATTTTCAATTAAAAAAGCCATTTAAAAGAAAAAAGATAATTTTTTAAAGAATTATTGTATACGCGTTTTTGCCGTGTTTCATGTTATTAAAATAGTAATAAATATATTTCTTGGTGTGCATGGAATGTTAAAATCTCAGCCTATGGGAGGTATGAGGCTGAAGCCAACCACTACATAGATTGGGAGATTAGGTGTTAATTATCATGACTTAGTCATTAATAGCTTGTGTTTAGGCTCAAAACCTGGCTCATCACTTACAAGCTATGAAACTTTGGGTAGATTACTAAAACGTGCTCGGTCAAACATACTTTATATATATTTTTAAGTGGTAATGATTATGCTGTCCAATTTATGGATTATTATGAAGATTAAGTTAAATGATATATACAAAGTATTTAGAACAGTGCTTGGCACAAAAGAAGCACTTAATAAATATTAGCAATTTTATGGGATTGGTCCTTGAGGAGCGTAACTAGCAGCATTCATTTTGATGTTTCATGGTGTGTCATTATCTCAGGCTTGCTTTAGACCAATGTCTGTGTCTGAAGGTTTCCAGCCTTGCCTGCTGGGGCATGTGGCAGGAGGCCTCAGGCAGTAATGACCATCAGGTGGATGGCAGCACTGCAGGTCCAGATGGTCCTCTGGCAGAGGGTCACATCCATGGCTGGAAACCCAAGTGATGGGGTCCAGCTCTCAGGGGATGGTAATGAAATGCTGATTAGTAATCCAAAGTGAATACAGTGATGCTTGGGGGAAGGCTGTGGCCTGGTAAACAAACAGATGTCTGAGGCTCACTCTACACACAACAAGCACTGGGCCATTGGCAGTGGAGACAATCGTACTCCGCACTGTGTCTCCACGATGATGCTATAATATTCTGCATTTGGGGGGCCAATATTGGCTCAAAAACTGGATTAGGCTAGGCCTGCAGTTTGAAGTGTCTGCAGGTGAGTGAGTTGGGCAAAAGCCATTTTAGAAATTACAATGGTATTCAAAATATTATCTCATATATCTTCCAGTTTAAAAATGTCAGAGTAGGATAGGGCCAGGCTTAGAACCTCACTTGTCTCTTTCAGCGCTGTCAACTATTCCTCCTTTTAATAGAGGTGTTGCCCCAACTGTGGTTTTGTATATATTGAAGACTCCAATGTACTGGAGGATTGGAGTATTCAATATATACAAATGTATGGAATGTAAATGCTGTAAAGTGGACTAAGCATTGGGCTACTTTAGACCTAGCCAAGATTGCTGCACAATAGTGCTCCATAAATGATTATTGATTAATTCATAGATTGCTTTATTATAGCCTAATTACCTCATTAACTGTGTCCACTTGTGCATGTAATAATTATTGCTTATGGAGAATGGTGATATTTAAACATTTTAAATGTAAAGATTAAGTTGTAATTGTAGGGTAATAGAAGCAAAGTATACTTACAATGATAACTCTGCAAGCATTTTTTTTTAATTCTTTAGTCAATATTTTATGGGTTTAGGTATAATTTGTTCTGTGAGTCTCATGAAGTTCTGAATGGCAGTATACTGAGAAAACAGTCACATAGATACATGTCTAGTAGACAACATAATACATTAAATCCCAAAGTAGATAAAACAGACACAAATTTAAGACTGTTTCAGATAAATTAATGTGTGATGGCTCTGTGGTGAAAGTTTGTCATAGACAGGATTCTTGTTGCAGACAATCAAATTCACTTTTTCTAGTTTAGACAGAAAGAAAGAGACTCTCAGCCGAGCTTCCAGAAACACAGTGAGAATACTGTTCCTCTGCCATGATCGGGTAGTCGCCGAATCAGGAAGCCTCTATCAATGCCACCTCCTATGCCACCAACTCTGCTTTGATCCACCTTAGACAAATGGGTTCTCTGAAACTTCCACTTTCCCCACAGAATTCAACTACAAATCAGTTTGGTAAAGGAACAACTGATTGATGGAACCTAAAAATCTCTTCGGGGGCAAGGAAGCTCAAAAATACATTTTTTTTTAACTCTTTTATTATAATTCTGTCCTGGGAAAGTAGAACTTATACTGCATGGAAACAATCCAGCTATTGAAGGGTATTTTGAATTGTTCCGAATGTGTAATATTCACTTCAGAAGTCAAAGAAAGATGTAGACATTAGAAATGTTTTCTCATCTGCATTTATTTCACGCTCAACAAAACATCCTCTAAAAGTCCATTTCTGTCCTCATCATAGACTGGACTGAATAGACTGTAGTTATCTAAAATCTGCGCAAAACTTTTTGATTAAAAAAAATACCAGATATTAGTTTTGTTTGTTTGTTATTGAATGCCTCCAACAGTGCTCTGAGGGAACTGGGAATTTGGATGTGAGTCATCTACTTTGGAAACCACATGAATTCTGATTATATCATCATCACATTATTCATAAAGTAAAATCCTGAATCTTTATCTTTGACTATAGGCATCAGAAATATGTTAAATTGAAAAGCAATATATATGTCAAGCCCATTCTCATCATTATTATTTTAGTACTTGAAAATATTTCTATATGTATACACAAAGCAATGTAGAAGCTCTTTAATAACTTTAATAATCTATCTGTTGCAAATTATGCACACAATGTGATACAGTGCAATGCAATTGCATTGCACACATTTCTTTATTACACAATGCAATAAAATAAACCTTTAAAGCTACATGTTAGTAAGAGTTTAACATTTGCCACTTGATTACCCAATTTTATTTTAGCTATACGCCAAATATTATGTTTAAATTAACATCCTTATTTTAGACAAAATTATTTAGATTAATGGTTCTCAGATGGGATGTTCAGGATGTTAAGCTAAATTGGGGGATTGCACCATGATATAAAAATGGAATAGAAGTAAAACAAGTGTGAGGACAGAGAACTGTAGGTAAGAAAGCTAAAAAGTGAATTATATGATGATATAAATATTTGTGGTAGACAGGAACAAATCTGGTCCTATGTATTTTATCAGTCAATATAAACTGAAAAACAAAAAACATGTTACTTATACAATTCATGGTGTTAGAAATAGAAATTCTAGTGTTGTCACGTGGGATGTGGCAAATAGTTAATAAAGAGCGAATATAAGGTAATGAAGTCTTTACACTCCTATCTAAACATGCATTTATTTACAAGATTTGAGATTTGTAGATGTTAGCCATCTGAGTGACTTCTCAATTGAAAGCAAGTAGAAAAGTCCTTAGACTTCCGGAGAGACGTAGTATGAATTAGTATAAAAAGTCAGAATAAAGTCTTCTCTTAAAGGCTGAGTCTGCCTGGAAAAGAAGTAGCAACAGAAAACACAGCAATCTTTACTACTCCACGTCCTACCAGCACTGCCCGCCTCTCTCTTTGTATTTTTTGCTAATACAAATTTAAAAATTGCAAACTTATATCGGAAAGCTGTAGATGCAAGGCAAAATTCATCTTGACAATGTCTCTTACTTTATCTACATTAATAGAGAGAGGGTCAGAAAGAAGAGAGATCCTGATTCCAACTATCCAAATGATTATCTTGCCACTTCCCACTTCCTATGGCAAACAAACAGAGCTGCTTCTTTTTTCTCCTTTTCTCACAAGTTCCTTTCTTTTCTACTTACCCAAATCCCACCCAGCCTTCTTAACTGAGCTCACATCTCAGTGATTCTATTCTTTTCTTATCTAGTTCACATGTTCAAGTTCTACCTCTTTGCCAAATTCTGCGAGCATTTAAAATCTGTAGCTTACAATTCAGAACTTAATATATCATTTACTCTTTGTTGTTGTTTCCTGTATCTTAATCCTCTTTCTCCTCTTAACAAAATTGCAAATAATACAAAGCTGTGTGAGACAGTTAATCACAGGGAATCAAATTACAAGAAGCAGGAGTAATGAGTCCAAGATACCATGCTAAATTTTGATAGCAACAAATGAAAAGTCTGGCCTTGGCCAATGACAATTGTGTGCCATGAACTATGGAGTGTCATTAACTGAATTATGTGCACTTCAGATCTTTAAACAACAACAAAACGATACAATTCCGTGCTTAGGAGCAAAAATGGAGTTGCGTAGGTAAAATAGTGATAAACATATTCAAAATAGTTTGTATTTAAAAACTAGGTCTTTCATTTATTTGTCATTCAGTCATTAAGCGTTTAGAATGACCTGCAAATTTCTTTACATTAGAATTTAGGAATTTATAGGTGGAGAGTGAGTTGTCTCTCCACTCAAGGATCTCGTACACTCCTGTGCAAACTAAAGACTGGTTTACAGTACAAGGATCACACAGTAGAGACATGTTCAAACTGCTAGGTAAAAAGCAAAAGCTCAATATTAGTCATAAATGGGCAAATTGTAGTGGATAAATGCTGTGTGCAAACTGAGGTGGATTTCAAGATGCATAGTTCTGGAAACAATAAGGGAGATGGTAATCCTATGGTCCTTAGGCAGTCAGGCCAGAAAAGGGATGCTTTTAGATTCTAAATAACACGTATTATAAAAGGAATTAGGATATGATGTACTCTGAAGGTGGCCACATGAAATTAAAATGTCTGGAAAATGAATTGTGTAATAAAAGATGATAAAAGAAGAAAAGACATAAAGAAGAGATAAAGATATTTAAATACTTGAAGGGCTCATGTAGGAAAAAATATGTTTATACTTACTCTGAAAACATACATGGGACAAATGGGACTTGCTGGAAAAATGGTAAGGAGGCAGAATTTGGCTAAATATGAAGGAAATTATTCTAACAGAAAAAAGTGACCAAAATTAAAATGTGCTGCTTTTAAGAGAGTCCTGAAGTAAATGACGCATTTGTCCAGTTGGAATTTTATTGCATCGTATCTGTAGTTTTTTTCCATATCTAATAAGATGATAAAGATTTTGATTTTGCTTATTATGTCTATATTGATTCTCATAGTACTTATTAAGAATCTATGATATTCTAGGTACCATATTTGGCAACTTAACATGACTGATGGAAAGTCACCAGTAGGCCAAGATAACAGATATGGAGAAGGCAACTCGAAGTAGTAGATGTGCACTCCCAACAGAGGTACAGGCTTTCTAGGTGCTCTAACAGGCTTTCCAGGTGCCAGCAACAGAAGTACCACAGTGAGGGGCCTGGGAGTCCCACGGTGGTGAAAGAATTCTGACTCCATATTTAAGTACTGAGAAACATGTAATAAACAAGATGGCTAGCTTTCATCATTACCACGATATTGTAGGGTGCAGGAACTGTGAGCCACCATAGAAGACCAGGTTCTGAATTGATTGTGGATCACCTATAATAGAATTAAAATTAAAATTAAAATTAAAATTAGACTGACAGCCAGTCTCCATAGCTGTAGAGCTACAGAAGACAATAAAAGAGGATCATCAAAGTGCTGAAGTTTACCCAAAAGATGTCATAAACAAAATCCTTAAAGTAAACTAACAGACTGGAAAAAGATATTTGAAATATACACTGGGTAGAAACTTGCCAAATACACATGGTGGCTAAATAACAAACATATGGCTAGCTCTGATTGCCAATATTACAAATTTAATTTCTTAGGTATGAGATCAAATCTGATTTTTTTTGAAAAAATGAGTAAGTATGGCAGTTTACTTATTGCTAATTTGAACGGTTGGATTTAAAAGTTTGACATCATGATGTAGGGAAAATTACTGCTCTGCACTCTTGGCTACTGTAGGCTAATACAATCACTACTCTGAACACTGATGCACTAAAAGAGTAGTTCGTTTGCAACAATGTGGCATGTCATAATATCACCAAGATATTTATACACACATAAATTAAAATCAGAAAAAAATCTGTAAAATTTCTGGGAAAAAAAGTTAAAAAATTTGTGGCGCATTTTAAAAATCTGTAAGCTTCAGATATCTAATATAGGCAACTCTAAACATTATTTCAGTGTTACTTAAAATTTCAGCCTACATAGACTCTAAGGGATAAGAAATTGTTTCCTTAAATTATACTTAAAGTATGTTCTTTTAAAGTTTGGTAAGTGAGAAAAAAATGGTTTGAATTATTTTATTTACCTTCTACTCTTTCTTCTAGTCTTTATACTCCTTATAGTCTCCGTTATGTTGAGATCAAAGATGATTTATCATGGATATTGTTGCACATGGTTTTGCAGTTTTTTCTCTCCGTGACATTTAAAGGTAGCAAAGTTGAGATTCTGCTTTTAATTCATCCTCACGAGATATGAAGACTTCTCTAATAAGACTTTTTTTCTTGAAAGACTCTGGCCTAAGCTGAATTAAATAACAAAAAATTAAATATAGCTCTTAATGCTTCTAAAGATTAGCATTGTGATATAATCTAATTTCTATTATTCTCCTGTTTTATTAGCATTTAAAATTTTATAAACATTTGCTGGCTGAAAACGGATATTATGTTCTTGTTAGTGTTATCTATCTAATGCACTCTCTCTTATTCCTAATAACTGCTAACATTGTTTAACTGTTTGAAAGTTCTTAATAATTTTTGTACAGCAAATTAACAGCTTTCAAAATCAGCATATTTCAACATTTTATTATTGAAACACATAAATATGCTTATATTTTAACAGCCTGTAGAAGCCCATGGAGGTTTTTATTCCAAGTTACATCTAGACTGCTCTCCTAAGTTTGAAAATGAATACTTAGTATGTATTCAGATGTTAATAGCCAATTCGAGGGCTACACCTTGTTCGTAATTTGAGTGGTCCTACCTCCATTGAACAAGCAGATGATGAAGGGGCCAGAAAAGAAGTAGCTATTTGTTACTCTGTCTTTCAAAGCCTGAAGCCAAGGCTGAAACCAAGTATATCTTTTCCTGAGTACTGAGGCCAAAGTTAAACTTTGTGGCATCTCTGTGTAAAGAATTCCTAGATACAATTAAGAAAAACAGAAAAATGACAAAAGCCTATCAACAACCCCCAGAGGAGAAAACTGGAATCACCAATAAACCTATGAAAAACTGCTTAACCCTGTCAGTAATCAGATAATGAAAACTGAAACAGCAATGAGATGTCATTTCATACCCATCAAGTTGGGAAAAAAATTAGCAAAAAATATCACACATTGGTAAGAATACATGTAAATGGAACGCTGCAAGCAATTTGCTAATAAACAGTAAATGTGATGATTCATGTTACCTGGCAACCAGCGGTTTGATTTCTAGTCTGTGTGCTAAATGAATACTTGCACATGCACGCCAAAGACGATACATAGGAGCTGGGTTATATCCAAACAAGGAAATACTATATAACAACTAAAAAAGAATAAATGGAATCTACATTTGTCAAGTTTGATAAATACAAGAAATAATAATTTTGAGTAGGAAAAGCAAGCTGCCAAATGATATCTAATACAAGATAACATTGATCTAATATGTTATAGGTTGCAAAATGTCTTTTGTGGCTACAACCACATAGTAAACAGAAAGAAAATGCTTGGGAAGATTGCATAACAATTTTAAGATGGCGATTATCCCTGCAGAGGGAGCCAAGTCTAGCTATTCCATTACCTTATAAAATGATCTGAAAAATAAAATCTCTGAGAAGCAAATAATATTTATTGTCCTCTTTTTACAGATGAAGAAACTAAAGTTTACTTTACAGATGAGGAAACTAAAGTTTACTTTACTCAGTGAAGTAACGGCCCAAAGATTTGATAAGTGATCAATGGTATTATTGGAATTTGAGTCAAAGGTTTCTGGTTCCAGAGCTGGCACACTCAATTATTATCATACACTGTGCTGGATAGTTAAGTACTGATAAAACATGATTTCTATTTATTGTTATAGAGGGGATATAAACCTATTCTAGCTGACTCAAAATATATTTACTAATAGTATCCTCAGGGTCCCAGAGTTTTGACATAGGGGAATATTCAAATATTTAACTCCAATGAAGGAAGATATTCTTTTAATGAAATTAACAATCTACTGTGGACCATAAAGTACAACTGGTCAAACCAGGGATTTGGTTGCTCTGATAATCAGTGTAACTGTATAGAAATTCTAGCCTGGCATTTCTCTGAAAATTTATGTGACTTTCCATATCCTGAGAAAAATTAGTCAAGGAGTCAGGAAAACAGGGAAAAGTATTATAATTCTGTGAGATTTAAAGTATAACAATCAGCATAGAGATCTTACTGATTCAAAGTAATCTGCTGATATCATATCAAATGCAAAAGCAAGAAACAAGACATGAGGAATGGAAGGATAATGTGGACATTTCTGGTAGTGAGGACAGGAGTGCCTAAGAGAGAACTGGTCATAATATAATCAATTGCTCTTGCTTATAACTGGTGCTATAAGTATGTGTTTATGGGCCTGTCTGCTGGAAACAATGAGTCATTCTTGCAAATAAAATAGATACTAATAAGTTTATATGCATTATATTTATTATAGAAATTCTATGAGTGATGTTCCAGTAAATAAGTTTTGAAAGCAAAATAAGTTCTTCAGTTGGCAATTTTGACACGAGTGTGTGTGGTATTCTTAATGATGCTAGGAGATCTGAATATATCAAAATGATGTTTGCTGGTGTTTTCCTGTCTTGAATATTTGCTATAAGCCAAGATTATATATTTTAAAAATATAAGAAGTGACAATAATAAGAAATCATTCTTCTATGGGTTATATAAAGCTTTAGAGTTTTTTAAATGAAATATACAATAATAAATGTATAGTTTTGCATTTTAAAATCTGCAGATAAATTATGAAAATATAGAATATCTTAGAACTTTAGGAATTTCTGAGGATTCTTGATAATTTTGGTTTATTATTCATGAATCCTGAAGATAAATGTCTGTTTGGAATTTGACAACACTAGGTTGTAATGTGCAGGATTGTGACTCCTTTTGGAGACTACAAAACTCAAGTATGCTTTCTGAGTCCATGCATTCAACGCTATGTTCTCTAGAAAGCGTAGTCTGTTAGACTTACTGTATCGCCCAAATCAGCACTGGTAGGAAATGAATTAAATGCTATAAACTAGAAAGACAGATTGCTGGAAAACTATGATACACCTATGATTAAAGTCATACTGATTTTATTGTCTCTACTGTATTAAGAATAATGAGTGAAACATTTCACATTACGGCACCATTTGGTGCAATGAAGAATAATTGGAATAGATCTGAGAGAGCTAGCTTTATTGATGAATAACTATTTCTGAGACTGATTTCACAGTATAGTATTATCATTTGAGTCTCCCCATATTGTAATATGGGAAAGCACAGGCTCAGAGTGGCTAAGTTACTGACAAATTCCCCAATTCCTGTTTTCTTTGGCACTCTCAGGCATTCACACAATTAATCATCTAATGAAATATGAGCACAGTCATTTAATCAAATATTTCCAGAGTTGGGATGGCTCATTGTGTTATACTTTTAACTAGTGATTTTGATGAATTCAGTGCAATCTAAACCAATCATTGACAAGCTAAAACCTTGAAGAGGGCGCTGCTCATATATGTTTACCATTTCTATGAATACAACATCAGAGGGATCATCCATGCACCCATAGATTTCAGAGACTTTCAAACAAATGTCTTAGATTATTTAGACAAAACCTCATTGTTCGACATCCCCTTTCCAGGGGACGCAATGGTGACCTTCGTGTTACAATGAAGTTTACACTGGGCATGATTGTTCCTTAGAAGCTGTAGCAAGGAGGAGAAATGGTTTCGTGAATTCCATCTCAAACACAGAAAGCAACCTTCTACTCTGATATGATTAGAACTTTAATTTCCTAATTAGGAAA
Organism: Homo sapiens; assembly: GCF_000001405.40. Lineage (NCBI taxonomy): Eukaryota > Metazoa > Chordata > Mammalia > Primates > Hominidae > Homo > Homo sapiens. Next base: position 39,652,946 of record NC_000018.10, on the reverse strand, counting down.
TTAAGGTTATTGAAATTGAGATAATAAAGTAAAAAACAATCTATTTTATTTCTTTATTTAGAAGTCTGACCAAAAAAAAGGATGATGGCACATCTGTTGTGTAGTATGTTTAAAACAAAATCACAACGAACAAGTTTTCTGTGTCATTTGAGGTAGTGCCTGCCTTGTTGGATCTTGAGCAGACTACTGAGAACTCCAAATATTCTGTATCCTCCTGTCTGTAGTTGATGGCTACATCTATTCTTTCTCTCCTTCTTTGAAGGCCTTCCATAATCTACTTATCTATTTCCTCTAGTCCCCCTTGGTCTCTCAAAGAAAATAATACCAATGAGACAAATACCATGGCCTTTGATTAGAATAATTAAACTTTAATCACGCAATGATTAAGCTGAAAAACACCTTAATGATTATCAGTTTCAACCCCTTGAATTTTTAGAGTTACAAAGTTAGATCAGTGTGATTTGGGGAGTACTGTATATTACTTTGAATCCATAATCCTTTCTACTTAACAGTAGATATTCTGTAGACACTTATTTTCTTCCATTCTCTTTATTTTGATATATTTCAGGATGTCAGAAATCCAACAAGCATTTTTATTCACGTTGCTAATTATTGTATTTTATTTGAAGCCCCAATCAATCTTTAAAGAAAAACAAATTACAGATAAATATTTAATTGCACAAAAAATTAGCAAGTAGAAGGCATTGATGAAGACATAACACTTCAATATGTTATAAATCATCAAAAATATGCCAGGAGATACATTTCACGGAATGCATTTAAGTGTAATAAGCTTTTCTGAGGTATTCAATAGAGAATATTTTCATTTTCATGTATATATTTAATTTGTTATATTCTCTCAAGTCAAAGTTAATTTTTCAATTAGAAAAAAAAATTGTGCCCTGCAACTTAATTTTTTAAAACCAATGTGTTGCATTTCTTCTTTATAGGATCATCACTTTTGTAACAGTTCAATGACACATTTAGCTGTTTGTTCTCTATAAGATCTATATGGGCACAGTCTCATCTGAAATTGTTAATTTTGAAATAAGTACTGTGATGCAATGGTATCAAATTACAGGCATACAAGTTAATTTTTCTATCAACAAAAAATCCTCTAATTTTCCTTTGCAGTTATAGATTCACAAGACATGTGGGGTTAAATTCAAGCTTCTATTGAGTGAAGATGTGTTAATGGGAGCATTACTCATCATGAATTTACTGAGCACCTATTACATGCCAGATTCTGGGTCTCAAAGACACTTTTTCTATTTAACCAGAAATTTAAAGAATACAACATGGATCAGATTTAAATAATGTCATGAGTTGAACTGTGTTCCCCCAAAAGCTATGCCATGGTCCTAACCCCCAGTACCTATGAATGTGACTATATTTGGAAATAGGGCCTACAGATGTGATTAAGTTAAGATGAAGTCTATTACATTAGGGTAGATCCTAACCCAACACAACTGTGGTCCTTATAGGAAAAGAAGAGATACAAACACACAGAAAGGAGAAAACACCATGTGAAGATATTTGAGTTTTTTAATAAAAAATGCTTTCAAACCCATGTACATATTTAATATATGGCAAAGATAAAAGGCAGAGATTGAAGTGATATGTCTAGAAGACAAGTGACCCAAAACATGCCTGCAAACACCAGAAGCTAGGAGAGAAGCATGGGACAGAATCTCCCTCAGAGTTTCTAGAAGAAACCAACACTGCTGACACCTTGATTTCAGATTTGTAGCCTCTAGAAATACGAGAAAATACATTTCTCTTGCTGTAAGCCACCAAGTTGTGATCCCTTGTTACAACAACCCTAGGCAACTACTATGAAGAGTTAGTGTGGTGTGGTAGAATTTACACTTGGGCAATAGACAGTTGGGAGTTTGTATTCCAGTTCTTCTACTCAATGACTGTGTGGCTGGGCAAGTTATTTAACCACTTCTACCACCAATTAGTGTCTTCATTTGTAAGATGAGGATTGCTATACATATCCCAAAACTTGCCATGAAAATTAGAGAAAAAACATGAAATACCTAGTACAGGCCAGGTGCAGTGGCTCATGCCTGTAATCCCAGTACTTTGGGATGCCAAGGCACTCAGATTACTTGAGGTTAGGAGTTTGAGACCAGCCTGCATAGTGAAATCCAGTCTCTACTAAAAATTAGCTAGGCATGGTGGTGAGTGCCTGTAATCCCAGTACAGTGGGGGCTGAGGCACAAGAATTGCTTGAACCCAAGAGGCAAGGGTTGCAGTGAGCCAAGATGGCACCACTGCATTCCATCCTGGGCACCAGGGCAAGACTCTGTCTCAAAAAGCAAACAAACAAACCTAATACAATGTCCAGCAAATACGTGTGTGTGTTTGTGTGTGTGTATATATGTATATTTATATATATATATATCACAATTATATATATATATTCAATATTATCAGTTACTTATTACCTAAAGCATTAGACTATTGTTGACTGTTATATTGTTTAAGATTAGAGTTGCAATGTTTTTATTTCACTTTTATCTTACATTGTGTGAAATACTACAGGAAATTGAGACACTCAGTATATACTTCTTTGATTGATATAATAATTTTGAAAGCCATTGCAAAGGTAAATATCAGATGCCTAAGCTGTCTTCTTTTTTCATGTTTTAAGAAATAGGGACAAAATAATTGTTTTATCAACATTAATTTTTTTTGAAATGGACAAAATTATGCAGCCCTTTAGGAAAAATATGAAAAAGTTTCAGCTGGTCTTTGACCAGAAAGTATAGGATGCAGAAGTCATCTTATAGATAGTGATGTGCCTCATTCTCATTGATTGTCCAAGAAACTAAGCAGCAATTGTCCTTTATAGCATGAAGATTTGTCCATAGCTCTTTAAACATGTCTTAGGAAGCTGAATGAAACTCAGCGTTTGTTAGTAGCACTTGCTCATTAGTTCCTTTCCATCTTTGCAAATAAGATATTTAATTTTCATTGGGGAGGACTTCTGTCTCATCTTGATTGATTACTCATTATCTACTGGGGACAATTCCTGTTGGTTAGTGAGAAACATAGACTCGTTTATCTTTACATCATATATTGTGTAAATTAACCTAAAAATGTAGAATTTGCACACTAAAATGGTTCTACTGTGGAGAAATGTGGCTATAAAACAGCATGCTAACAAGCATGATATGATGAATGGAATAATAAACTGCCATGATTTCCATTTTACCCCCCAGTAGATCTCAGGACTCTCACCTATTGGAGACACAATAACAGTACTCCAGGAAGCTCAGTAAACCACCTTAAAGGCAGCAATCCTCAGCAGGCCCACGGTAGCTGTTTAGCTAAGAGAGGATGAGAGACACTGGGCCTCACTACACATCATTTCCAGGTATTTCCTCCCACTGCGTTTGAATGCACGGCCTGACAACTGCCTGGTGTGCAATATTGGTAGGTAGTGGGCACAATGTTAGAGAAAGAAGTACTTTGAGATGGTGTGATACAAAAGGCAGGGAGAAGGACTAGGAACTTCTTCCAGCCTTCCCAAGAAAAAAGAGCCAAGGGTGAGTTGTTCATTCCTTTGCTATCTTTCAAGGTACTATTTTAATAAAGAGTAGGAAAGTCACAACTCTGAAGAGATTTTAAATTTGAAAAGATTTCCCAACATAGATCAAAATCAATTTAGTAAACTTCTCTTTTTGAATTCCATCTGCACTCTATAGGAAGTCGGGACTCCAAAAATGAGACAACTATGATGATACATCCCCTTAAAGGTTCTTCATTGTACTATGGATTTTTTAAAATTGTAAGTCAAGTTCCAAGTTCTGTGAATCTACTGATTTTAAGTCTGTGACTCAAACTGTGCCACAAGGAGTGCGTCTTTTCTGTTTCCCTAGGCTGCTAACAATCTAAATTCCTCACATCATATCTCCCTATCATCTCTAAATTGTACACCTGCCTGGCCAATGTCTTTACTTTCCTAGAATACGAAAGGTATTTGTTTAAGCTTTATGAAAGGGAAGAAGAAAGGAAAGAAAGAAGGAAGGAAGGAAAAAGGAAGAAATGAGAAAGAGAGAGAAAGAAAGAAAGCAAGAAAGAAAGAGAAAGAAAGCAAGAAAGAAAGAGAAAGAAAGAAAGAGAAAGAAAGAAAAGAGAAAGAAAGAAAGGAAGGAAGGAAAGAAGGAAGGAGAGGGCAGGAAAGAAAGAAAAGGATGGGAGGGAGGGAGGGAGGAAGGAAGGAAGGAGAAAGAAAAAAGTTAAACTGTGAAAACATCAGTTGTAGTGACTAGTAGATTCACAAAAGATATTTTAACAAATTGATGTTAAACATAGAAACTTACCAGCAAATCAAACAAATACTCTGTTGATATTCTTGATACAAGTGGCTTGGATCCATAAATCTTATGAAAAATACTGTGATCTGGGTACTTCCCCTTTTAACCAAGATGGAGTAATTATAATTAGATTTACTCTTCTATCAGAAACAGCTATAGACATAATTTATGAAACAACAGTTCCCAAGAAGCTGGGGATCAACCTAGAAGGAAGAACAATCTCTGACATATGGGAATCAAATTACATAAGCCCTTGATTGTTCCTGCACGTTGCTGGGAGAGTTTCCAAGCTATGACACAAACTGTGAGAACCCAGAAAGAGCTTAATAGACTTCTCGAGTTGAGGAGATAGGGCTGGAAGTCCAGGGAAACTAGATGACTAAAAATTGCAGGACAGAGTTTCTGAGAGGTGAGAGCTACACAAGAGAGAACTCTGAGGATCTGCTAATGAAGCAGCTATGGTTTGGATATCTGATCTGTCTAAACCTCATGTTGAAATTTGATTCCTAATGTTGGAGGTGGTACCTAGTGGGAGGTATTGGGTTATGAGGGTGGATCCTTCATGCATGGCTTGGTGCTGTTCTCATGGTAATGAATGAGTTCTCATTCTATATTAGTTCCCACGAGAACTGTTAGAAAGAGCCTAGTACTTTTCCTGTCTCTTGCTTCCTCTCTCACTCTGTGATCTCTGCACAAGCTGGCTTCCCTCTTCACCTTATTCAATGAACTAAAGCAGCCTGAAGCGTTTCCCAGAAGCCAATGCTAGTGCCATGATTCTTGTACTGCCTGCAGAATTGTAAACCAAATAAACCTTGCTCTTAGTAAATTACCTAGCCTGAAGCATTTCTTTACAGCAACACAAATGGACTAAGACAAGAGGCACTCAAGTATTCAGCTAAGTACTGGTCAACACATTAATGTGAAGCAACATTCTAAAATGAGGGAAAGACTTATCCATAGGATTAGAACAAACAACCTGTACAGGTCATACAGGGCCAGGAATAGTTTGTGTTGTCACCAGCCTGAGTAAAATTTCTTATAATGCACAGGACCTTAGGTAATGAAGGGCCTTGCCTCAGAGGTAGAGAAAAATTAACCCTAATATCATGTTTTACTTTTTCTAACTGATAAGCTTAAAAGTAAAACCTGAAAGTATCATAATGTTTCCAAATGACTCTACTCTGTCCCAGAACAAAACCAATAATATTTATAGGAGTATAGCAATTTTTGGTAAAAATTAAACAAGTTAAAATCTATAATGTCTGACATGTTGACATGTATTGAAAGCAGTTAAAAAAGCAAGAAAATAAAATTCATAATAAGGAGAAAAAATAATGGTAGCTAACATAGAAATTACACAGATAATAGAGTTAGTATAATTGGACACTAAAACAGTTCATGTTCAAAAATCAAGATGAAAGATTGAACATGTTAAGTAGAGATGTGAGAGATTTAAACACAGTCTAAATAAAATTTCTAGGGATGAAAATTTTAAAATCCATAATGAAAAATATGCTAGATAGGATTAATGGCAGATTAAACAATGGAGCAAAAAGATTTGAGAATTTAAAGTCATTGCAATAGAAACATTTCGAAATGAAACAAAGAGTACAAATAAAAAGGAGGGAAAAGGGGAACAACACACACTGGGGCCTGTTGGGGGGGCGGCAGGTGCAAAGGGAGGGAGAGCATCAGGACAAATAGCTAATGCATGCAGGATTAATACCTAGGTGATGAGTTGATAAGTGCAGCAAACCACCATGGCTCATGTTTACCTATGTAACGAACCTGCACATCCTGCACATGTTCCCCAGAACTTAAAATTAAATTAAATTAAAAAAAAGAAGGGAAAAAAGTGAACAGAGCATAAATCAGCTGTAATTGGAATCCCTAAAAAAGTAAAAAAGAAACAAGTATTTGGAGAAATAATGGCCATATATTTTCCAAATTAGATTAAAGAAAAATCCAACAATCCAAGAATTTCAACAAACCCTAAGCTCTTTAAATTGAAGAAACCTAGCATGTTACATCATAATGAAATTGCTCCAATGGTTAATTGAGTGAAAATCTTAAAAGTCACTAGGTGGAGGCAGGGGTAGTATATTTTTAATGGTGGAACAAAGATAAATATTACAATGAATTTCTTGTTGGAAACAAGAGAGAAGACAGTGGAGCGCCATCTTTAAAATAATAAAAGAAAAAATATCAACCTGGAAATAATTACTGAGTAAAAATATCCTTCATAAATGAAAGGGAAATAAAGACATTTTCCATTATACAAAGCTGCAAAAACTCATCACCGGCATACTTACTTTATAAGAAAGTTTAAAAAAAATCCTATATGCAAAAAAAGTCTGCCTATACACCAAAAAATAAAGAAAATTGAAAACAGTAATTAGTTAAATAAATCTACATACCAATTTTTTATTACTTGAATATAATTTAAATATGCTGGAATGTTTATAGTAAAAATAATAATATGTTATATGTCTTATAACATATGTAAAGGTCATATATGTGACAAACGTAGTGTACAAGCCAGTATTCAATATAAGAAATTATACAGTTCTAAGATTCTTATACTGTGCATCATGTAATACAACTGGAAGGAAGCCTATTATAAGTTAAAGTAATCCTAACTCTAAAAAAAACACTAATATCACAAAACAAAATTACCGTTGACAAAATCCAAAAGGAGATAAAATGGCATTAGAAAAAAATACCCAATTATTCTAAAAGGACAAAAAGGAGTCATGGGAAAAAGTAAACATATCAACCAAATAAAAAATAAGCAGAAATTTGGTAGAGTTAAACCCAACCATATCAATAATCACATTAAATAATTTAAACAACCCAATTAAAAATGAGAGATTATTAGGTGGATGAAAATGCAAGATAAACTGATATGATACTTCCAAGAAATACTTCACTTTAAATAAATCGACATATATATGTTAAGAGTAAAAGGATGGCAAAGATATACCATTTTAAAAGTAGTGATCATAAAATATAAAGAGCTTTATTTCATAATGATAAAGAAGTCAGTTCAACATTAGGAAATAACAATTACCAATATTTACACACAATACAAAACCCTTCAAAATGCAGGGAGCAAAAACTGATATAATTGCAAAAGAAATATACAGTCCTCTGCATATGGTCTCATATTCAATACTCTTTTTGCAATAATTGATACAGCATGCATATATGAAATTAAAAAGCATATGAAAGACTTGAATAACATTATTTACCAAAGTGATCTAACTGGCACTTATAGAACACTGAAAAACAGTAGAGTCTATATATATATATATATATATATATATATATAAAATATGTATAATATATACACATTATATATTATATATAATACTTATATAATATATAATATATATCATATTGTGTATATAATGTATTTTATATATACATTATATATTATATATAATACTTATATAATATATCATTGTGTATATATAAAATATGTGTATATATAATGTCCATAAAAATAATGTATGTATATATAAAATACATTTTCAAGAGCATATGGAACTTACCAACATACACTGTATTCTGAGCCATAAAACAATTCTCAATAAATCTACAAAACTTCAAGTTATAGAAAGTATGTTATTTGACTCAGTAGAAGTAAACTAGAAAACAGTAAAAAAAAATTCTCTGAAAAGCTCCCAAATATTTAGAAACAAAATGGCAAACTTCTAAATAACACAAATGTCAAAGAAAGAGTCAAAAGGCCAATTTAAAAATATTTTAACTGAATTAAGGCTAAAACATGACATATCAAAATTGATTAACAGTAGCTAAAACAACACTTAGAAAAAAATATCAAACTAAAAGGAAGATCTAAAACAGAAACCCAAAGTAAGTAGAGGAAAAAAATAGAAATATCACAGTGAAAGTCTAAATACAGAATGGAAAAAATAAAACAGCAAATGAATAAAACCAAAAGTGGGTTCTTGAAGAAGATTAATAAAGTGGGTATATCTTAACCAGACAGGTTGGGAGAGAAAAAGAGGAGGCGAAAGAGAAGGAGAAGGAGGAGGAAGCAGAGGAGGAGGAAGAAGAGGAGAAATTACCAATATCTGAAAAGAGATCAGTACAGATTATAGAGATATTAAAAAGACAATAAGGAAATATTATGAACCACTGTTTGGCAATAAATTCACCAACTTAGATGAATTGAACAAATTCCTTTGTAGAAGCAATCTATCAAAGTATTTGTGTAAAAATTTATGTTTATTTGAAAAGCTAAAATAGTCAAAGCAATTTGGTAAAAGAACAAATTCAGGTATCTTACACTAGCTAGCTTCAAGGCACTATAAAGTTCTAAAAATCACAAATAAATTCTTTATTAGAATAAAGAATCCAGAAATAGATCCACACACATGTGATCTAAAGCAATTTATTAATTAGTCTTTTCAATAAGTGGTGCTGTGGAAAATCTGGAATTAAAGACTAACCCTACCAAATGTTGGAGGAGATATGGAAGAACTGGACAGGTGGGCATGTAAAATGGTATAAACAGTTTGGAAAAGACTAGCAATATACTAAAATATTAAATATACAACTACCATATAATCTAGGCATTACACTTCTGGGTATTTACCCAAGAGATATGAATGTATATGTCCATGCAAACAAAGAGTCTTATACTCACATATTTATAGTTTTGCTTATTATAGTCAAGAACTAGACACAGCCCAAATAATCATCAGTAGGTGACTAGATATGCAAATAATAGTATGTCTACACAGTGGAAAACTACCAATTAATTTTCCAAATGAACTATTAGAAACTACATACCACAGATGAATAAATTTCAAAATAATTATTCTGAGATTCTGAGTGAAAGAAGTGAGACAAGAAAGAGGACCTACTGTGTGATTCCATTTATGTAAGATTCTAGAAAATCCAAACTAATTTATAATGACAAAAAACAGATCAATAGCCTTATGAGTGCTATGGAGGGTCAGGGAGGAGAGATGAAGACTGGCAGGTGGGAGAGATTACAAAGGGGTGTGAAAAACTTTTATGGATAATGTATATATATATATATATATATTTTTTTTTTTTTTTGAGACAGAGTCTTGCTCAGTCACCCAGGCTGGGGTGCAGCGGCTTGATCTCAGCTCACTGCAAGCTCCGCCTCCTGGGCTCACGCCATTCTCCTGCCTCAGCCTCCCGAGTAGCTGGGACTACAGGCACCCGCCACCATGCCCAGCTAATGTTTTTGTATTTTTTTAGTAGGGACGGGGTTTCACCGTGTTAGCCAGGATAGTCTCGATCTCCTGACCTTGTGATCCGCCCTCCTCGGCCTCCCAAAGTGCTGGGATTACAGGCGTGAGCCACCGCGCCCGGCCAGATAATGTTTATGTTTCTTACCTTGATTGTAGTCTTGGTTTTCATGGATGTATACATACATTTAAAAAATAAAATTTCACAAGTTAAATATATACAGTTTATCATATGCCAATTACATACTGTGATTAGAATTTACTAATTCTAATTTACTGGTTTTATAGCTAATTTTTACTGTTGTTATAGCTAAATTTACTATTGTTATAGCTAAAATTATTTGGCATAAAAGGCTTTTTCTGTTGTACATGTTGACATTACCTAAAAATAATATGAATATGTGTAGCCATCCTTGTGTGTTATGTTTCCCTTTTCCCTTACAATAGCACTGTGAATTAACCTGATTTTTTTCATTTACTCTAAAATAGAATTAACTTTCTTTTTAATTTTTCTTTAAGTTAGATGAATGTTCTAGAGCTGCACTATCCAATACAGTAGCCACTGGTTACATATACCTATGTAAATTTAAATTAATTTTAAAAAATATTTAAAAACATTAGTGCGAAATCAAATCATCCACATTTCAAGTGCTCAATAGTCAGTTGTGTCTGGTGGTTACTGTCTTAGACACAGCAGATATAGAACATTTCCATAATCTTAGAAAGTTCTATTGCACAGGGGTGATGTTTACTATTCAATCGAAAGTACAAGAAGCATAGTTATTAGTTCGAGCTCTGCCTTGAGACTGAATAGCTCTTATGAAAATCAGGTAACCCTAGTCAGCCTCAGTTTTTTAATTACCGATATAATGGAATCAACTTTTATAAGGTTCTTATAGTGTTTCTAAGATCCCTGTATATTATCGGAGAAAATATTTATGGGTACTTTGGGACACTAACACGTGTCTCTCACACCCTATCATATGAACATCTGCCACTTCTTTTATACATTTTGTATTTAATGTTTGTGGGAAGAATGGGTAAATAACATCATTGTATCTTCATTGCCCATCTAAGCCATCACCCATCTTTGAGGCAGAATATTATGAAGAGCAGAGACAACGTGGGCGGGTGACAGTCGAGACAGACTGGAAGAGTTAGTTTTGGAATTGAATATATTTTTCCGTAAAGTTCATTTTTTTTTTTTGAAATGGTTTTTCTCTATCAGGCCTCTCCTCCTATCACCCCCTCCTTTCCTTCCCACCATCCTGACTTTTTTTTTCTTTTGAGACGGAGTCTTGCTCTGTTGCCCAGGCTGGAGTGCAGTGGCAGAATCTTGGCTCACTGCAACCTCTGCCTCCTGTATTCAAGCAAGTCTCCTGCCTCACCCTCCTGAGGAGCTGGGACTACAGGTGCACGCCGCCATGCCCGGCTAATTTGTGTGTGTGTGTGTGTGTGTGTGTGTGTGTGTTTATATTTTTAGTAGAGACGGGGTTTCACCACTTTGGCCAGAATAGTGTAGATCTCCTGACCTCATGATCCACCAGCCTCGGCCTCCCAAAGTGCTGGGATTACAGGCGTGAGCTACCACACCTGGCCCCATCCTGACTTTTATGAAAGTGATTCCTAATCAGTTTTGGTATTCAACAATGTCATCATCCCTTCAAGTTCACAAGAAGGTCTTTACTGATACTCCAGAAAAAGTCAGATCCGTCCTGTTACTCCTTGTACTTACTCTTTGAAGAATTATTTCTAGTCTGGTTAAATAATACATGTTTGACTATCTCAAGTAGATTGTTCAGTTGAAAAGGGCAGGGACCTTATTTACCTTGAACCTCTCTATCCCTGGAGTCTGGCTCAGTGCCTGGTACATAGTGAGCACTTAATAGATTTGTATCAAATACAGAATAAAAGAACTTGAAAACTTAATAGATTTGTATCGAATGCATGTATTCCATTGGGATATGACAAAGTACTCCTAAAAAGAGCCACTGGCAGTTCTCTATAGGAGTTCAAAGACATCATAATATTCTTCTACACATTTTTTGAGATCTTACATAGCTCTCCTGACTTTCTGTCTCCAGGGTTCTTATGACCCTCCGTCCGTACCTCCAATTACTGCACTTCCTGCCCCATCTTGTAAATCATTTTTCTAATGTTCAGACTGAGATTCTCAAAGGGCACACTGAACACATTGTCTTTTGTAATCTTTTAGGTATGTCACAGGAGTTATATTATATTCTTAATAGATTTTAGTTCATAATATTTATGCAAATATAATGTTATTTGCCATTTCTAACCTAGAAAGAAAAGTTAAGGTGAATTCATAAAATCCTTGTTGTGCACTTGACTTCTGAAGTTAATCAAAACACTTGATTTCAGAAGCAGACCAAAGCAAAACGCAATTTTCATATGATTTCAGAAGCTGGCCAAAGGTACCAGAGATGGGTCAATTTCATATATTTACACTGTATTAAACAAAGCATTTGAATGGGAATTGTGTGATCTCGGAACACAAGAAGCCATGAGTTAAACATGGATTCCTCATGGACCATTATTTATTGTCAAAGAGTTTTTAAGTAAAAGTTAAAATTTGTCCCTTAGTCCAATAGTTTAATGTGTGGTGACCTCTTCCGTTTATTTTTTAGTCATGTTATGGAAAATTTTAATGTAATCATATGGGTTCCTATTTCTTCATCTAGTGCTGAAATATTGAAGATGAACACTATAGTGAAATGGTATCAAGCCAGGCGTAGTGGCTCATGCCTATAATCCCAGCACTTTGGGAGGCCGAGGCAGGTGGATCACCTCAGGTTGGGAGTTCGAGACCACCCTGACCAACATGGAGAAACCTGTCTCTACTAAAAATACAAAATTAGCTGGATGTGGTGGCCTGTAATCCTAGCTGCTCGGGAGGCTGAGGCAGGAGAATTGCTTGAACCCAGGAGGCAGAGGTTGTGCTGAGCCGGAGATCGTGCCATTGCACTCCAGCCTGGGCAACAAGAGCGAAACTCCACCTCAAAAAAAAAAAACAAAATTAGTTCAAAATGTTTTGATGAACTAAAAGAGCCTTAAGAGCTTGAGCAATGGGTAAGGTTTCGGTTAATAGCCTTGATATATTTCAGAAACATCCTTTATTTAGAAAATATATTTCACACATTTTATACTTTTTTACATTAGAAGTGATCTCATAGTTTTAAGTGTGCAAACCTGGTTTTCCAATTTATTTGTAAACTCTTCAAACACCAGTCCCATATCATCTCTTACATCTGTTAAGTTACTTAACACAAAGCAGAGTGTAGAAGAGAGATGTGGTCAATGATTTTTAAACAGCATTAAAGACTTACCTTCTATAACTAAAAAAATCTGTTTTAAAATCTCTTCATTTTAATTCTGCTGTCCCTGAGTGAGATTATTTTCTTCTTTGCTTTTCATGATTTTTTAAAGCAAGTACTCTATACCTATTGCCCTCTTTTCTCCAAGTAGTGTTTGCTAAACAACGTGTATAATTATGTGCAATTTCTTTAACCCCTAATAGCTGGTTTTCACAATCACAACTCTCAGATAGTTTACCCATAAGGGAAGATAATAATGCCTGATTTTCTTAGACAACTGAGAGAATCAAGTAAAATTGTGAATGAAAGATGTTTAAAAGTCTGAAGTATTTTGAAAATAATATAAACTGTTTGGGGGAAAAGGGGATATGAATCCAGAGAAAATATTATGAAATAGAGGCCAGAGACCAGATTTCACTGGCTTTCAATATTAACAAACATAAAAATGTGACACATGAGGCCAAGCTCTCAAAAAAAATGTAATATTTTGGCTACTTTGGAATGATCTCCATTAATAGAGGCTGTAATCCCATATTTAAGGAAAAGCCAGTCCAGTTTCACTCTGGGTAGGCAAACGTCTCTTATATATGCATGTTTCAAAATCCCACCTTTCAAGAGACAAATAGAGAAACTGGGTTTTGCCCGGAGGATGGCCGTAACAATTTTAATGTATCAATTTTCTAAAAGAATTTCACGTTTTAAAGGCCACCCGTATAGGAATGAGGCTTGGATATTACTTCATATGCGGGAAGTTTGAAGATAATGGAATATTTAGTTTTAAGAAGAGAAGACAGATATTTTTGATGATTTTCTTTAAATATATATAAGTTACTATATTTATTCAGGTTGTACCTTATGGTCAGAGAGTTTTCAGAGATAGTTATAATACATAGAGAATACAGCAATTTCAGCTTAATTTAGAAATTAAAGTTTAATAAATGGAGCTGCAAGTGAGTGTCTCAATATGAGCTGTCCATCCCTAAAGAGATGAAAACAGCCAAAATATTAATGTAATCTTTTGTATTGTACAGATCAACCTCCTCATGAGTAGGTGAGCCAAATAAACTCCATGGTTTCTTCTAAAGATAAGACTTAATGTGTTCTGATGAGAACACTCATGGTGAGTCTTGGAGCTCAATGTCAGCTCTGCGTTTTGTAAATATTAAAAGATTTTGGAGCACTGCAAATTACACCCAGACCAAAGTCTTAACATTCCCTTTAGTTTATGAACAATCCTACCTGGCTTATTGCAACATGTGCATTTCCTCCTTGTGATTTAATCAATACCATCTAAAGTGTTTATTTAGCACCTCCCAAGATACTTTATTATTGGATTATTGCAACTGTTAGACATTGTATTCTTAGTCTACTGAACCTCGGCCAGTGAGTTCACCTTTTTGATCTCCAGTTTTTTTAATCTATAAAATAATGTGTTTAGTTCCAATTTCTGTGCCTTAGCATAAGCCTAGTCACCATCAAACACTAGCCATCTATTTAAAGAAAACTGCCATGCTTCGGTTTTAGAACTCTGTTTTGGAATTCCTCTCAGAGTCAATTTGTGAGCAGCACAAGAATATAAGTCTCATTAGGTTATAATCAAATCTTGTTTTTAACCAAAAACTGCATTACCCAGCTTGATCACTCATCTTATTCACTAGACTTGGCTCTGAATGACTTTTAGCTATTTCTAAAAATTGAATCCATCTGCAAGAGATGAAGATTTACCACTATTGAGGCTTTCAAAAAAAAAATGTGCTACAAGCTTTGAAGAAAATTCCAAAAGAGGAATTCAAGCAGTGTTCTAAGTTAGGGCTCCATTATTAAAATAATTGTATAATTGCCCAAGGGACAGTAATCATTTCAAGGTATAAGTTCTGATAGAAAAAAGTAGTGATATTGCATAACAGTCATATTTTATTCACATAAAATACTAAGTAATAACAGCAAGCAGCAGGTGAGTGAGAAGGAACAGAAGTCAAGGGGCAGGGGCTGGTTATCACTTTATACTGAGATAGTCAAAGAAGGTTAAATGGAAAAATAAAATCTGTTCTAGATTTTGAAGGGTGTATATATTATTAGCATCCATTATTATCTCAACTTTAAAACTGCATTTTGTTTCATTAGACAGCAATAGTTGGTAATACTAGTGTCTTAGTTATTCAGGCTGCCATAACAAAATACCTCAGACTGGGCAATTTATAAACAACAGATATATATTGCTCACTGTTATGGAGGCTGGAAGTCTAAGATCAAGGTACTAGCAGATTCAGTGTCTGGTAAGGGCTCGTTCTTTGCTTCAAAGATGTAACATTTTTGCTGTGTCCTCACATGGCAGAAGGGGCAAAAAATCTCCCTCATGCCTCCTTTATAAGGGTATAAACCAAAAGTATCTGAGACAAGTCTCAATCAATTTAGAAAGTTTATTTTGCCAAGGTTAAGGATGCACCTGTGACACAGCCTCAGGAGGTCTTGATGACATGTGCCCAAGGTGGTCAGGGTACAGCTTGGTTTTATACATTTTAGGGAGACATGAGACATCAATCAGTACATGTAAGATGTGCACTGCTTTGATTTGGAAAGACAGGACAACTCAAAGTGGGGTGGGAGGAGGCTACCAGGTTATATGTAGATTTAAAGATTTTCTGATTGGTAATTAGTTGAAAGAGTTATTAACATAGAAACGAATGTCTGGATTATAATAAGGGGTTGTGCAGGCCAAGGTTTTATCACGCAGATGAATCATCCAGGCACAAACATTCAGACCATAGCACCTAGTTACCTCTCACTCAGAAAAGTTAAATTCTGAAGAACTAGATAAAAGACAGTGAAGCTTTGCCTAGGAGGGATCTGATAAAGCCAAAGTCAGGGGCCACAGTTCACAGTAGGATGAAGTGGGTGGGCAACCAGAGGGATGACCTTTGTTCTTTCTGCCTCCCTGGCAACATGTGCAGTTCTCCTGCCTGTCAGGACATTTTCCTAAAGAGGTAAAATCTCATCCCCAAAACAACTGCCACCACCAAGACTGCCCATAAATGATATCAATAAGAAACTGAAGCAAGGTCTGTTCTGCTTGTCAGGGAGGCAGAAGAGGACTTCTGGAACCCAGATACAGGATCATTATCTGTTCTGAATATCTATTTGGTTCTGAACCCCTACTTTCCTACCCAAATTTACAGGGTTTTGTTTTGCTTTGTTTATTGTTTCTAGAAAGATGCTATGAGACACTATGGAATAGGACTTTTACTTCTGACTTTTATAACCATACCAGAATAACGGCTACCAAGTGAAAAGATTATCAGGCATTTAAAAGTCTAGAGATGGGTTCACAAAAGAAGATTGGAGATGATTAAAATGACCTTCCTTCACTTAGAAGTGTCACTCAAGTGAAATCTATTTGCTTTTTCTATGCCTCAAACAACACAGGGATGGAGAATGTCAGTAAACCAGTGTGTCACATGTAAGTAAATCTCTCAGTGCAGTAAAGGTCATTTGCAACTCATGTGCCTTGGTATTTGCCTTCCAATACACTAGAAGTAATAACATACTCTTCTAAGGAAATTTAATCATATTAATTAGAATTTAGGCAGATCAAAATTTTTTAATCTAGTATCTGGAAACTGAAAAATATGTAATACAAAAAACAGATAGTTGTGTCACTTTCCATAGATTCCATAGTGAATCTATGTTTGCTAAATTATGGTTAAGAAGTTCTTGAAAAGGAGATCAGAGCTTAGTGTAGAATAGTTTCACCTTGTTAGAATTCAGTCTAGCACTCTGGTATTTTTTTTCTTGGCCCCTTTACCAAATTCTTAATCTGTAGAAAATATGTCAAAAATGAGTCAATAACAATGCTTGCTGCTGAAACAGGAGACTCAACAACAAATACTGCCCAACTGTCATTGTTTAAGCTACAGTTTACTTATGAGCAATTGAATCTCATTATTTCAGCCAAATTATGTTTTACTGTAGTGAGAAGCCAAAAATATAATAATAATTTAAACTGGTTTTTTTTTTCTACACTTCAGACTTTAGTGATATGGAAAAACATTGAGCTCTCAAGAAAACAGAAATGTCTTTTTACCCAAGAGGAATATCCCAGGAATAATAACCAGGAAGTGTTATTGACCTAGAAGATAGGGAAAAAAATTGCAGTTTAGCCAGATCTTTATCATCCATATAGTTACTTAGAGAGGGACTGTTACAGTACAGAAAATAAACAATGGATACTTTTGAAAGTTATATGTGTTTAACAGAAAAATGCAAAATATGTTATATCTTTCAGAATATTTGTCTTACTAAATGTCTAAGCATTATAATTAACACTAATAAAACTACTTACATTGAGTGTGGCAATGCACTAAAATATTTGCATGGATTATCTCCTTAAACTGTTATGAAAACACTGTGAAGTTCTACAGATGAGAAAACTGAGACTCCAAAGAATTGAGTAATTTGGTTGAGGTTACTCCCTCAGGTAATAAATGGGTTACACTGCTGTCTTAGTAAGCTGGAATATAATTTGAACTGGCTTAGAGTTAAAAAGAAAAACAAAACAAAAGGAATGTATTATTTCATGAACCTGAGCAGTCCCAGAAATTTATATTTTAACTGGGCTTTTAACTGAGCTTTGCTAGTCAGAATGGGCTAGGTTCCATTGCAATAACAAACAAACCCCTAATCTCAGGGACTTTGAACAATTAAAGTTATTTTTTTTTCTTTCCTAAATATACAAATGTAGTTCAGCTAGAGGCTGACTTACCATAGGAAAAGAAAGTATGTTGGACTGATCCCCTTGAAACTTCCACCCAGAAGTGAAATCCATGCTTCTATTTATTCTTCTTTAGATACAACACATTTTGTGGCCATATCTAAACTCAAAGTTATAGGGAACTATTTAGTGAATAGTATTTATGCAAATATTCTGAAGACTTCATTTTGAGACACAGATACCACTTTTTGATTCTGGGTTAGTTTTTTCATTAACACTTTACAAACCTGCCTTTGGTTTTTCTCTATAAATTTGGATATCCGTTATTGATGCTGAATTCATCTTCCTCATTTCTAGGTATACCAGAAATTCTAACTAAGTTATTTTTCTCCAGCTAAGAAGTCAAAAGGCATTTCCTGCTCAATAATTTAGTTGCTTTTATTGCATTTGTTAACACTCAACTTGTTCCAAAATCATTCAGTGTACCCCTAATGTACAATAAAATCTGATACTTTTTAGAAGCCATTCAGCAATCAAACAGGGCAAAAAAAAAAAAAATGAAGAAAGGTAACTTTATCATCTCAGCAGAATACAACTACCAGCTATTTTCTGAAAGTTTGTATATAAATTAATTATTTGTAATATTTTCTATTTTTCCATTGGGATGATACTAATTATAGTGACTGGCATTTCTGGAAGACTATTCCAATGCTTAATTAACTCATTAGGCTGTATGTTCAAAATAAAACAATGTAAAATAAAACAGTGTAAAATATAATGTCTTTACTACACTAGTAATTCAATAGAACAAAGAATGTAAAATTCAAATAATATATTTGTTATGTGTATTTTATGCTAACACTGAGCAAGTCTTTTTAATTAGAGAAGAATGAAGAGGTAGGTAGAAATTTTGCTGATATTTCAAAGGGGACTTATGGGCATTTCCATGGGTTTAAATGTTATTGGCAGTGGATCTCAATTATTCCTAATTGCTGCTTCAAATTGTATGATGTCCTTGCTTTAATACAGGTATATCACTAACGATACTTTAAAATTTCAATTTATGATTAGCCTATTGTTGGAATCATGATTGCAATAATGAGAATGAGAATAAAATAGTTAATGAGTGAGAAAAAAAGGAGAGAGAAAATGTACTGTGTTAACTGGGACAGAGTTTTAACATAGCAGGGGAAAAATAAAATTGAACTGGATGCGTTTACATTGTGAAAAATTGTCTCATGGGAAATACCTGAACTATTTCTGGAAAAATACAGAGAAGAAAGAAAAGATGTGGTCTGTGCATGATCCATTGGAAAAAAAAATAAAGTTGATGTGGTATAGAAACATTTGAGTCAGAGAAGTTATGTAACCAAAGACAGGAGAAAAGGGGAGAATAGAATCACTTGCTGGGTTTTTAAAGTAATGAGTCTGAGTGGGACTTGAGGTTGTGAGGTGACAGGAGGGAGTGAGAAGATAAAGGAGGAGACAGTGAGAATGAGCTGAAAAGGAGACCGAAACATGTTTTTGTTAATATTTAAGAATTACACAGGCTAAATGTCATCTCCCTACTTAAGCTTCCTGAAGATGGGGTAGAAATTCCCACTCCACAGTCATATCCTTTTTAATGGACCTAGCCCAGAATCTCTATCTGCTTTTTATCTGTGGATCAATTATCTGGCAACTTTCTGAGTTAGCTCAAGTTTTTTGGACTTCACTACATTATGCTCTCATCTCCCTTCTTCTTCTGCCTTATACCAATCCCCTCATCAGGCTCAATCCTAGGGAATTTCCCCAGAGTAGATCACAGATTAGAAGCAAAATATTAACAAACACAGAGGCAGAAAAAGTTGGAATGGCAGGGGTCCAAGGAGGACAGTGATTTGATTCAAAAGAATCAAGTATGGATGAGTGACTACTTATGGGTCAGGCACTATACTATGACATTTCACATATAGAATTTCTGTTTAACATCTAGTCAGTATTTTAGTGCTTATATTCTCAGCAACCATAGATAGGAGCTAGAGAGCTAACTGGCACAGTCTTAGGTTCAAATCAGAGGAGGCAGAAACCAGAGTAGGATGATGACAGGTGGAGACCGCTGGAGGGTCCGCCTGAGGGTCAAATCTGGGGTCTAAAAATGTACCTTTTGTGTCCCTGTCTTTTCCCACATCTCCCACCTTGAATACCCCTTGAGGAACAATTACATATCAAAGCTTGCTCTTAAAGCCTTCATCATGTTGGAATGTAAGGGAAAATCAGCCCTAGGTGCCAGCAGTCTAAGAATACCAGGTAATGTCTTTTTAATTGAACCCCTAGGATAAGTAAATTCACTTATTTATATATTATTCGGCCACGTATTGAATATCTTACATGCCAAGCACTAGGCTAGGCTTTATGGATGCACATTAATAGGAGCTAAGTGGCACACTGGAATTTCAGACATTAGTCAAGAAACCTGCGTTTGGAGGATGGAGCTAGCAAGGGCTTCTGTCTCCTCTGAAATCAGAGGACAATACCTTATTTCTCAACTTCCACTTTCTTGATTACATGTCCAGGGACATGAATAGTTAAAAACAGTAAGTCCAATTGCCCCGTATAGGTTGGCTATACCTGAAACAATGGAAGAAAAAGTACATGCATGAACTCTGAAGGCAGAAGGCTATAGAGAGACTCACAAAAGTTTAAGGAATCCATGCAGCAACTGGCTCACACAGATGCAGCAGGAACAAGTCTACACTACAAGGAGTAAGTCTAAACTTTAAAACTACAATAGACCTTCCAAGAGTTTGGTAACAAGGAGAAATACATGAATGAAATATAGTTTTATCCAATAGTCAGAAATTCAAAATACCATTTTATATATGTTTAAGAGCACATATATGTTGATGAGTAAGAATCTCATGAAATTTTAGACAAAGTGATATCCTGAGACACCCTAGTTGGTTCCTGGATCATAAAGCTATGTGTCTGAGCTCCTGTGCAACAGGGGCAGTGGGAAGGAAAGTCTAAGAAGCCCAGGAATGGCTGCATGAGAGTTCAGCTCAGCCTGAATAGGTCATGTGGTAGGTCTGCTCTGTTCCAGCAATATCACCTATCTTCTTCTGTCACTTAATTGTATCCTAAGACATTCATTCTTCTCCGGTAGCAACATCCACAACCACCACTGCCACTTACCCTAGAAGTGCAGATATTTACTAGGAGGAGCAGCAAGCTGACACAAGTCAGTCTGAGGTGGTGAATTAGGTTATCAGAGAGCTATCCTCCCAAAGAGCAAGCTCACCTCTCAGAGTAAGGGACAAGGCCAGGAAAGGCCAGGCTTGGAGGCTGTGCTGAGAGGCCAACTTGCTCTTACTGGGCTTCTTGTGTCAATTAAGCTAACATTTGAAGAAAGCAGGTAGATCAGTAGCTCACTGGTTCTTCAAGGCTAGTCCCCAGACTGGTGGCATCTACATTGCTTCAGAACTTCATAGAAATGCAAATTCTTAGGCCACACTTCACAACTGCTCAGTGAAAAAACCTGGGGTTGAGGCCCAGCAGTTGTGCCTGTGCAAGACTTCCAATTTATGTGCAAGGTAAAGACACACAAAACAGGCATTCCCACTGCAGGGCCACCCTATATTTAATGAGTTTCTGATGCTTGCCTGAAATCATGTTTTGATATCCTGGAGGAATGGGCTAGAATAACAGTTTCTAATGCTGGGGGTTGGGTGGGGTGTGTGAGGTGGAGGGGGAATGTGTGTGTTGTTGAAGAAAGCCCAGAAACAAAAGAATAGAAAAGGAAGGGAGACAAACATATTACCATTTTTAAGTTTAGCCCTAGTTTGACTTTAGTCTTTTCCATGATAGAACTTTACACTGGTGACTGTGAGGTTGCAGATGTGGATTAAGGCTGCACTGGAGATGATTTTACCCGGGTTTTTTTTTTTTTTTTTTTTTTTGTCTCCCAAGGCAGTAGCAGCAGGTTAAGCTACTTCCCAATTTGTGAGCTTCCTTCCACCCCAATTTGTGTTTTTCTTTCTTTTTGTAATGAATTCTAATGTACTTACATCTTTCCAGGGATTAGGCCTGACAGCGACATCCCACAATAAAGTGAGCATGAGGTCACACAACAATATATGAAGAAGAATGAACTACAATTAAGCCAACATAATTGCATACAAGCAACACCCTCCAAAGTAGGGAACAATAAATCTTTTGCTCAAAGTAATGAGGACAGGGAGATGAGAACATTGAAACAGCTTGATTGAGCAGTCTTAAAGCTCATAGTGAAAGAAAAACACGTAACAAAAATTGTAATGGGTTCCTAATCCCAAGAAATAAGTCTGTCCCCCAAAATGCAAGACGTTTACTTTCTAAGCTGCATCATTATTGCCAAGCTCTTAATTCCTTCCTGGTTTGTTGTTGGATGAACAGTTGGCCCTACCTTTATTACTGGAGCCAGTGTTCAATTACCAGGGTAATGGTAAGAGACTTATCAAGAATACCAAACCTGAAGCTAATCAGCACAATATTCAAATTAAGTCATGATTCATTCTGTTTATTAGTATTTTCTTTCCAACAGCCAATTGAATGTATACTTACCTTGAAATGATTTTTTAAACTCTCCAGTCCCTACAGATCAGGGACAGGTTTGTGATCAAGTAAATTTTCTTACTGCAAGTCATCTAGAAAACTGACCTGCTCTCAGAAAGGGTGTGTGACTGAAGAACTTGGAAGTCCACACGAAAATGAATATGGTAGTTACTTTTTACGTCTTCCTGGTGGAGGAAAAAAGAGGCTATAATATTGTCAACAATGGAAAAAGAATAGAGATGAGAACTTTTTTCACTTAGAAAGTATTTGGCTACATGGAGATCCATAACAAAGGATGATTTAACTTGGACGGAGTCTATTTGTTCCTATACTATACACATAATAAAAATATTAATAATTAGGACATTAATGAACTACAACTTAATCACTGAGAAAATATTTGGTGAATTTTTACATGAATGTGGCCTAGTCATACACAAGCAAGACATGATATCAGTTCTTTTCCCAAAGAATACATTTTACACTGTAGGGGTGTGTTGGATCAAGGGTAAGACACATGACAAAATCATAGACTAGTTCAATTATGAGCTGTAGATTATCAAATAATAGGGAATCATACAGAGAGAGAAATTACTGTAGAACAGAGAAGCTGTAAATATGGAAAAAGAGTTGGACTTCAACTTAAATGCTTGGCAAAACAGCAAGGAACCTGCTCCCTACTTCTTCCTTGTACTTTTCCTGCAAACTAGGCACCAAGTTTTCAGTCCACTTTAAAACTATTTAGACCATAATTACACCAAGAATTGTATATTATCATATTTGCCTTTTGTAGGCCACTGAGGACATCATCTATAACTCAGTTCTTGTCAGTTGAGAAACTGGTAGAAAAAGGAAGGAGACTAGATGGAACCTTAAGAAGGTGTGCCTTTTAAAAATGTCCCTACAAGGAGAAAAAGAAGAGAGAAAGAGAGAAAAGTACAGAAGAACAGAGATGAAGAGACAGAAAAATAGTGAGAAACAAAGAGGCAGAGAGAAAGGAAAGAAGTCAAAGTATCAAAGGAGAAGGAAGAAAGAGAAGAAGGGCGAAAACCAAACCAAACCAAAACCAAAAGTTGAGGAGAAAAAAAAAAGTCAGGATATTTGAAATGTTTCAGAATGTTGTGTGAATTCTTATATTTAAAAAATACATTCTGTGTGTGTGTGTGTGTGTGTGTGTGTGTGTGTGTGTGTGTTGGTGCTGTCTGACAGATCTCTCGCGTTAGGAATGATTGGTTTTACAACAGTGATTGGCCAGTTATGTTTGAAAACTGGTCTCATGTGGGAAAACTTGCTCTGCTCCCTATACCAGGAAGAGCAGGGTCCTGGAGCCAGAGTTCAGGGCAATGAAAAACAGCCTTGTCAAGAACTCTTAAGGCTTCATGACCCTGCATATTCAAGTCAATAGGTTGTCAGATACAGTGTTTGGTACCTACTAACCTATTGACTTGAATATACCAGGTTAATATAAGATTTTCTTTGGCCCAAAGTGAGTTGACTTCAAAGCCAGTAGCCATAGACTAGAAAGCCAGAGAAAAATGAGGCTGTAAGAACAAAGGAATCTGGGGAACCCTCTCTTACCCTAGAAATGGAGCGGGCATGTGTTAGAAATATTTGTGTTTACTAATTAAATACATATCATTTATTTTTACATCTTTTTTGCTTAACTCAGGGGAAAATGTGCATTATTTAAAAGAACCACACAGAATGAAAACACGAAAAAGAAACCGTTTGTATTCAAATCTTGGCAAATATCCAACTAGCAATAACTTGAAGATTTAATATTATTACATGCAAAAAAAAAAAAAGCCTAATGCTCATCCAAGCATATTTCAATCAAAGCTCTCTCTGGGAACATTCCTACTGACAATACAATTTCGTGCAAAATAAACAATAAGATGCAAAAACTACAGTAAGCAGTTTAGGAAATTACATATCAAATATCTTCCTAAGAGCCTGGGGGTCTTATAAGCAGAAGTTTTGCCTAACAGGTCTCACTGCATATGCAGATTTAAATAATTCACTTGTTTAAGAAATCTCCTATTCTCTGTTTACTCAGGCACTTCAGCAGTAGGTTGTTGCCGGCAGTCATGCCACAAGTCAAAGGGAAAAAAGGTTCTTTTTCTAGTTTTGAAGGGAGTGATATAAAATTAAGTAGTAAGCCTAGGGTTTTGCAGTAAAGTCAGGTAACAATAGTATATTCAGTGAAAATATGTTCTAAGTGTGACTTCAGAAACCAGGGTAATTGCATTTGTCTATTCTCACACTGCTCTAAGGATACATTCAAGACTGAGTAATTTATAAAGAAAAACAAGGTTTAATGGACTCACAGTTTCACATGGCTGGGGAGGCCTCAAAATCAGTGGCAGAAGGTGAAGGAGGGGCAAAGGCATGGCCTGTGCAGGGTAACTGCCCTTTATAAAACCATCAGATCTCATGAGAACTCACTCACTATCACGAGAACAGCATGGAGATAACTGCCCCCGTGATTCAATTACCTCCCACTGGATCCCTTCCACGACACATAGGGATTATACAAACTACAATTCAAGATGAGATTTGGGAGGGGTTACCCCCAAACCACATCAGTAATTCATACATATATGCAAACATAAACACTGAATATTTGTGTGGGCATGTTTAGCTGCGTAGCCAACTGGATAAACTATCTGTCCTAGTATTTCCCAAGAGAGAAATACTTCCCAAGAGAGATGCTGTCCAAGTCACAAGAACAGTGAGTATAGGTCAGCATTGGAATTACAAAATAAGTCTTCTAAATGTTGGTTAATCTTTTCACTACACAAAAAGACCACACGTGGCATTTGATATATACATAAAAATATATATTTTTTATATATATAATTTATACGTATGTGTTTAGGCATATATATTTATAAGATCTTAAATTTGTGTCTGTGTATCCTTTCAGACTCCCAAGTTATTTAGACTTTGATTAAATTGAATAAATCTTTAGTTCTCTCATGCATTCACATATTTTCTCTGATGATTTGGCCAATAATAGCATAATAAAATAAAAAGACAACAATAATAAACTAACCAGATCTCTCCAAAAGAAGAAAGTAACAAAATCAATGTCTGCAACCAAAATAGTAGTGAGATAGCTATTCAAGAGTTTTTGGTCTGAGGATCTATATTGAAATAATCTTGGTATGGACAGGATACAGGGAAATATTGGGTATAAGAGGATGGTTCCCTGGCAAAGGCCCCACCCTCAAGCCTGAAAACCCATGGCCCTAAATGAGAAAAGCCATTCCTGTTTTTGCACCCAAATGTTGCCTTTTGGCCCACCATGCCCACCCACCCCCCATCCTGTACCTACATAAACTCCAAACCCCAGGCTCCACAAGCAGCAGAGCAGCAGAGTGGCATGGCAGAGAAGGAGAAAAGAGAGGAGGCATCTGAATGTTGAGAGGAGTTTGGCTGGGGACAGTCAGAGAGGAGGTAAGCCACAGGAAAGTCAAACTCCAGGGAAAAATCATCTTCCCACTCCATCCCCTCTGCAGCTTTACATCTAGCCGAGAAACACCTCCATCACTGAATAAAATCCCCACATTTGCCATCCTTCAAGTCTGTGTGACCTGATTCTTCCCGGACACTGGACAAGAATTCAGGATGCACTGGGTGTGGGAACCCAAAAAGGATGTCACACTGAGCTTTCACTGAACTGTTTAACATTTAAGCCATTCCGGAATGGCAAGGCTAAAAGAGCACTGTAACACCCCTAGACACTGCCACAGGACGGAGCCTAAAACCACTCACCCAGACTCCTGCACCTGCTCACCTGCATGCTCCCCCTCCTATAAGGACTTTGAGCATGGGATGGACAAACAAATGAGCCACACCCCTGTCTCATGTGCCATGAGGTGGTCAGGGAACTTTCCTGTTTCAATCTGATTATAAAAATTCTTAAACTTTAAAAAGATGCATTTTTATTTTAATCCCATTTTTAAACAAGTTTTAAAATAATCATGTATTGAAGATGATATAAAAACACTTTTTAATAATAACCTCTATTTCAGATAAATATAGCCCACAGAGTCTAAAGCATTGTTGATAACAAAAGCGCATAATAGAGCTGAACTTAGTTGGATGTGTTCTTTATGATTTCCAGGCTGTATGCCACACTTTCAGTTTTTCTCTATACAAATCTCACAGATATTTCAAGATATCTACTTTCTTTATTAAAAAAAAGTACACTGTGCCTAGGACAGTGGGAAATTCAAAGTACAAGAAATCTTCTTGCCTCTAGTAGAGTTCAGAGTCTTAATGGGATAAAATGTCCTGTTTAGATGAAAAGTTAATTTTCAGTTCAAAGCCATATGCCATTCAGCCAAAAGACTATCTTAGAGGAAAAGCCAGATTGTTCTGGGAATCAAGGAAGCTTTCCTTGGAAGATGGACTTGTGAGGAATAGACACTGATGAGAAATGTGAGCTTTCATTTGAAAAAATTGTCTGGAAGGATGAAGCCTAAATTGTTAACAGCAATTTCCTCTGATGAGATTTGTACAATTTTGGTGTTTAAGTGAGAATAGGCTTAAAGTTTGTTCTGTATATGTCTGCAGTTATTGAGGTTTTTCACAATAAAATATATATTTAGATATTACTGTTGCCATTATAAGAAAAATAATGTTTGGGTTTACAGACTGGATGGATGAGTTGAACAAAGCAAGAGAAGCTAGATCTTCTAGCTTCACACACAAGCTAGAAGCTAGATACACACAAGCATCAGAATGGTGAAGAAAGTATAGTGCTTAGAGTCCACGGTGACAGGAGCAGAGTGTGGTGATAGGATGGAGTTTAAGAAATGTTATACTATAAAATTGGGTCTGGAACTCATTGCCTAAGGTAAGGCACATGATGGCCGATGTTTATTCATTTAAAAAGTCATCATGATTTTCAATAAATATGTATTCAACATCTACTCTATCATTGTTCTTGGGGGAAAATAGCTCAGCTTTCTTGGAACGTGCATTTCATGGAGAAAGAGGGGACAGTAAGTAAATCAATGGTTAAACATTTTAAAATCAGACCAAGTTATGTTCAGTAAAGAAAATTAAGTCAGGGGATGTGAAAGAGATGAAATGTGTAGCTACCATTGCTGATGGCTCAAAGAAAGTCTGTCTCAGAGGATGATATGAGCTATGATATTAATGATGATAAATTATAATGAAGGAAAATGGTGTGAGTCTGGCCTAAATAAGGTTTAGGTATTGACCAAAATACAATCAATCACCCATGCATAGAGATATAACACACCAATTGAAATCACAAGGCTTCTCAAAAACCTTAAAAATTGGTTTTGCTTTCTTTGACAACTATGTGGACCTAATTAAGGGCAAACTGCCCTCTCAATGGCCTTCATTCAATCAGCTTACCCAAGGGAAAACAACAACAACAACAACAACCAAACAGGCCAATAAATAGCAAACAAATACAGGACTGTGTTTCACAGATAGTCTGCAGTTTTCACTTTTATAAACTCGTCCTTTATCTTTGTTTGGAGAGATGATCTATACAGCATTGAGCTCCCTCACATATGTGCATATTCAATTACACTCCAACTAAGTATCTTTGAGTCATTCCTTGACAATGCTAAAAAGAAACAAATACGCTAAGACGAAATGCAGATATCAGGAGGAGGCACATTCTTGACAGATGAAACAGCTCTATTAGGTAGTAAGGACTCTACCTTAGAATAATTTGTATTCAGATAGAAACTGAGAGTGGAAATGAAGCTGATTAGGTTGGGGTAGGAAGAGGTGTTATCCGTAGTCTTGTTTTGGCTACACAAAGCGTGGATACACTTCAGATTTATATATGGAGAGGGCAAGGATGCAGTAAAATGTTTAAATTTGGTGTTCTGAAAAGAGAGAAAATTAGGATATATGAGTTGAAGAATCACAATATATAGATGCTTTTTAAAGCAATGGGACTAGATGATGTGGAGGGTAAGGGAAAGAGCATGTTGAGGGAAGAGATGGGAATCTACATTCATTTATAACAGCAACAACATTCCTCAACCTCAGAACATGATTAGCACTTAAATCTTATGTAACCTGTATGAAACTGCAAGCCAATATGCAAACAGGTTAGTTAAATCAAGCATAAAGTCACCTTTGTCCTATTTTCATTGGAGTTAACACAATACAAGTCTTGTTCTTCATCCTCAGGCTTACATGATTTAAACTAATCATTTCATTTAATACATAGTTAAGTGTATCCTGGCATAATAATTATCATTAATCAAACTTAAAAGGAAATGTTTGTTACTTGGAAATTAGGTTTTATTCTGGCACAGTATCTTTAACTAGCTGTCCAGATGTTAAAATTGATTTCTGGAAGATCTAAGTTGAGATCTCAAGGCATATAAACCTCTAATTCTTACTGTGATTGGTAATCAGTAATTCTCAATTTCTTAAATTAATTATTTAATTCTGCCAAGAAAAGTGATCTTGGGATTCAAATAAACGTGACTTTGAATCTGAATACTATACATTACTGATGACTTTAGCTAAGTTACTTAACATTTTATGAACAGTTTTCATACATCTAAAATGGTAGTGATAATGCCTACACCCTAGAATTGTTGTGAGAATTAAATAAAATAATGGATGTATGAAGGGATTAAGTATGTGACTGGCACATAGTAAGGGCTCAGAAAATGCTATTATTTTGTTAAAGTCAGAAAAAAGGAAACGTACTATCAGGGATTCAAGTACTTGGATATAAGCAATAGTTTACAAACATTTAGTTTCTTTGAATCTTGCGTTGTATTTTAAAACTGTGTGCATTTTTAACTTTTCCTCACAACAATCTGTTTGTGTTAACATGAAATTCTCCATCAAATAATAGGTCATATTGACCTTTAAAGAAAAGAGTATGTAAAATTCTACTTCCTAACACCTAGAACACCATGCTTCAAAACAAGATGCTGGGATAGAGGAAAGCTCATTTAACAGTCTTAATATTGTCAGTTAGTATTAATGTAACATTCATATTTGTGAGAGATAACATTGACTCCCAGAGGAAAGAATGAAAATACCCTAATATTTGCCATATTTACCCATCTAAATCTTATGATCTGAATCTCAGTGACCTTTATTGATCAGTCATAGTAAGCCTAGGAATACAGGAGTGAAAGCTTATTAAAAAGTTTTACAGTAGGAATGAAAAGAAGTAAAGTAAACATGGAAAAGGGCCAAGTGGGTGACTTGAGAGATCCACGTGCTCTCCATCCGACCCTTGACTTGGGGTTTTATACATTGGCGTGGTTCTGGGGTTTGCATTTCATCTCCCTTGATTTTTTTTTGGGCTGGCTATCTGTACATACGTGCAGTGGTCTGTCAGCACTTGAGAGGGGCTGCATGCACAGTGTTTACTGCAATTGTGCACATGCTCATTTGAGGCATTTTTCCCTTACCAGTGGAGTGTTCCTAGAGGAAGGTCATATACCAATTAAACTCTACCATTTTGCCTTTTACTGTGCATACTTAAGCCTGCTCACCAAACTCCTGAGATCTTAGGAAGCTACTGATCACCAGTTTCGCGTGTTTTCTGTCTTTTGGGAGACTGCCATTTCCTGGCACCAGCTATGGTTGCCCTTCACGGGGTAGAAGGCCCTCTCCTGCCATGCTCATGTCTGCCTAGCTACCTATTCTAACATTCTGTGCACCTAAAGGTTGAAAATGAAGCAAAATTAATATAATTGAACAGTTTATTTGTGCCAAGGTTGAGGACTGCTGTCCAAGAGTCATAGATTCAAGTAGTCCTGAATATATGCTGCTGTTAGCATTTACAGCAGTTCCAAGTGGATTTTCAAAGAAAAAATGAAGAAGTAGAAGTTAGAGGCAGTTCCTAAAAATTTTTTAAATAAGGTATATTGTTTATTGAAATAATAAGCTGTTGACTATTTATTATTCTTTGTATCATAAATCCCAGGAACATGAAGAAAATAGGTGAGAGTCACATTGTAAAACTTGGGGTAATATTTTAGGAAGTTTATCAGCTAGTCTGGAAACTACACGGAAGGAAAGAAAAAAACCAAATGCCTTTAAACAATTACCCTCCAAGCATGGATGTGTGGGATGAGAGGGTGAGTGAAGTCTCATGCTCATGGTTCTCTGGGCATGAAAAATGTTACATACCTCACATTCCTCAGACTACTTTGAGGAATCTATAGATAAAAATTGGGGCAAAAAGGAAAATTTAAATTCATGTCTGAGCTGGAGAGTAGAGAAAATGGTACAAAGAGACTCATATAAAGAAGGATTCACTTAGGGTTTGGGTTTCTATTCCACACACTGTTAAAATATGCTCTTGGCTGATGGACAAAATGGACTTCTCTTGGCTAACTGAGGTGCTCAAGGTTAAAACAGAACCAGGCAGCCAAGGCTGGGTGAGGAAGGGATCACATACTCTGTATTCTTGGGAAAATGTTTTAAAAGTGTCACAGGACCTCTTTCTGCAATCAAACTAAACCAGTTTCTGTTATTTATCCTAAGATAGATTGCTGGTGAAAATTCCTCAACTGACCACCCACAGACCACCTAAGCCAGTCAATAGAGTCTTGTGATGTCTTGCTTAAGGGCCATCCAACCTAGAGTCTACAACTGATTCCCTTCCATCCTATGGTTTTTGCCTTTATAATAATTTTCTACTCCTTGACTCCTCTTCGGTGTGTATTTTGGTTTGCACTGAAGGCTGCATCTCCCCAGTCTGCAGATTGCTTTTAGAAAATAAAGTTCTCATTTTGCCTCTGTAAATCTCATTGGTATATACTGTAGGAGCAAAGAAAGCTTCCCCTCTGCCCTCTAAAGGTTTGCTGAAAATAAACTGAAAATAGGCAGATTAATAATACAAAAAGGCATACAACATTTATTTAATGTGCAGGAGTACGAGGGAATCACAGGAGAATGATGGCCCAATAACTCAATGAGGTCCAGGTATTTATATAACCTTCTCAGGAGAAGGGGCAATCAAGGTTGTAGCAATTTTGAGGGGTAGTAAATGATTTTTAGGGGGAATGAATGGACTCAACAGACAAAAATTAACTTGGAAATGATTCTCTTTGGAATTCAAATAAGGCTGAGAGACATTATCTTATAAAAATGTCCCTCCAGATATGGTTGCATTCCTGTCTTCTTTTCTGTGATAGGTAATGAGATTTCAGAGAGGGAATGGAGGGCAGTTGGGTTCCTTTGGCAGGTCCAGTCTTAAAGTAGATAAGGAAATTTCAGAGAAAAGCCTAAATCCTGTGCTTTGTTTGGAAGAGCACATTGTCATATTTTTGGGTATTGTTTTCTGAACCCCAATAATAGGCACACAGATAATTTTTCCACTGAGGACTCCACATTTTAAATTATTTAGCAATAGGCTTTTTGACATTTTTACTAATCATAGGTATATACTCTCCAAATTTTTTGATCAGCACAAGCTATATCACTTCAACCAGAGTTATTCCAATGAGTTGTTACTTTACACAAAGCAAAGAAGCCTGACATTGATCTAAGTCTGAGCAGGTTTTTCTTAGTTACCTGAAAAAGGCTTTAATTTAGTGTTTTCTTGTTTGTTTGTTTGTTTTCAATATTACAGAAGACTTGTGAACCTTTATCACTTAGCCCCATGGGTCTAAAGACCATATTAGAATGACAGACCAGAAGTGAATCTTTCTCCTCTGGTAGCCAATATTGAAGTATTTGGAAGTGGTGACATGTCTGGTATTCAAGCCCTAGGAGATATCTGAGAGACTGATCAAAGGAGCAGGGGAAGCCTGTCTCTTGTATGCCCCAATTTCACAGAATACCTCTTTGTATTTTATAGTCTTTTACTATCTGTTGTTGCACTTAGCATAGAATTGCAAATTCCTATTGATTGATTAAACCAATTTAGACTGGTTCACTTGTAGACGGCCCAAAGGGAAAAACAGAAAACAAACAAAAAAGAAAAAAATATCTAAGTTATTTCACTTCAAGGGCCTCTGAATGTGTGTTGCAATACAGAGAACAATGATCTCCTCTGTCACGCAGTTTCTTTTTTCAAGATTCCTTATAGGTTGTTACTGTTTTCCCCCACCACAGTTTGTAAATAGCAGAATATGAAACAGGCAGTTGTTCTAGTAATTTGCAGTTTCAAACCTACATCTTAATGCCTTTCCCCCTAAGTCATTAATTACAGCACAATGGATCAAAATCTCAAGCACACACCTCCTTCAGAGGACTATGGCTGGTTTTATAGTTCAGGAAAGGGCAGAGCCAACTGTCTTTTCTTCTGACCCTTATGAATTGCATGCACACCCAAGCCAGCTTGACCTCTTTATCTAAAATCTTGAAGTTGTGACCCAGGGAGGGCCTGTGAAGACAAGATCTATAATGAATGTGTGACTTAAATATGCTTATACTATGATTGACTTTGTGGTCACAGTGGCTATATGATATAGTTTAGATTAGTGCACCCACACAAATCTCATGCCAAATTGTAACCTCCACTGTTGGAGGAGGAGCCTGGGGAGAGATGACTGGATCATGGGAGAGGACTTTCCTCTTGCTGTTCTCGTGATACTAAGCGAGTTCTCATGATATCCAGTTGTTTAAAGAAGTGTGTGGCAACAACTTCTTTGCCCTCTTCCTCCTTGTTTGGCCATGTAAGATCTGTCTGCTTCTCCTTCACCTTCTGCCATAATTGTAAGTTTCCTGAGGCCTCCTTAGCCATGCTTCCTGTACAGCCTGCAGAACTGTGAGTCAATTAAAACCCTTTTCTTTATAAATTACCCATTCTCAGGTAGTTCTTTATAGCAGTGTAAGAACGAACTAACACAGAAAATTGGTACCAGGAAGTGAGGCATTGCTAATAAGATACCTGAAAACATGGAAGGAGCTTTAGAACTGGGTAATGGGCAGAGGTTGGAACAGTTTGTGGGGTTCAAAAGAAAACAGGAAGACGAAAGAAAGTTTGGAACTTCCTAGAGTTGTGTTGAATGGTTGTGACCAAAATGCTGATAGTGATACGAAAATAAAGTCCAGGCTGAGGAGGTCTCAGATGAGATGAGAAATTTACTAGGAACTGGAGTAAAGGTCACTCTGTGTCCCAAATTGGTGGGTTCCTTGTCTCACTGACTTCAAGAATGAAGCTGCGGACCCTCGCGGTGAGTGTCACAGTTCTTAAAGATGGTGTGTCCAAAGTTTGTTCCTTCTGATGTTCACACGTATTCGGAGTTTCTTCCTTCTGGTGGGTTGGTGGTCTCGCTGGCTTCAGGAGTGAAGCTGCAGACCTTCCCGTGAATGTTACAGCTCTTAAGGCAGCGCGTCTGTAGTTGTTCAATACTCCCATCTGGAGTTGTTTATTCCTCCCGGTGGGTTCGTGGTCTTGCTGGCCTCAGGAGTGAAGCTGCAGACCTTCGTGCTGAGTGTTACAGCTCATAAAGAACGTGCGGACCCAAAAAGCGAGCAGCAGCAAGATTTATTGCAAAGAGCGAAAGAACAAAGCTTCCACAGTGCGGAAGAGGACCCTGAGAGGGTTGCCACTGCTGGCTGGGGCAGCCTGCTTTTATTCCCTTATGTGGCCCCACCCACGTCCTGCTGATTGGTCCATTTTACAGAGAGCTGATTGGTCCGTTTTGACAGGGTGCAGTTTGGTGCGTTTACAATCCCTGAGCTAGAAACAAAAGTTCTCCAAGTCCCCACTAGATTAGCTAGACACAGAGCACTGATTGGTACATTTACAAACCTTAAGCTAGACTCAGGGTGCTGACTGGTGTGTATACAATCCTCCAGCTATGCATAAAGGTTCTCCAAGTCCCAGCTAGACTCAAGAGCCCAGCTGGCTTCACCTAGCGGATCCTGCACCAGGGCCACAGGCGGAGCTGCCTGCCAGTACCGCGCTGCATGCCTGCACTCCTCAGCCCTTGGGCGGTCGATGGGACCCGGCGCCACAGAGCAGGAGGCGGTGCTTGTTGGGGAGGCTTGGGCCACGCAGGAGCCCACGGGGTGGGGGGAGGGTTGGGGAGGCTTGGGCATGGCGGGCTGCAGGTCCTGAGCCCTGCCCTGCAGGGAAGCAGCTGAGGCCTGGCAAGAATTCAAGCATGGCACGGGCAGGCCAGCAGTGATGGGGCACCCGGAGCCCCCTCAGCAGCTGCTGGCCTTGGTGCTAAGCCCCTCACTACCCTGGGCCGGCAGCTCAGACCGGACGCTCTGATTGCGGTCCCGCCGAGCCCACACCCACCTGGAACTTGTGCTGGCCCATGAGCGCTGCGCGTTGCCCCAGTTCCCACCCACGCCTCTCCCTCCACACCTCCCCCCAAGCAGAGGGAGCCGCTCCAGCCTTGGCCAGCCCAGACAGGGGCTCCACAGTGCAGCGGCGGGCTGAAGGGCTCCTCAAGCATGACCAGAGTGGGCGCCAAGGCCGAGGAGGCGTCGAGAGTGAGCGGGAGCCGCCAGCATGTTGTCACCTCTCAACTCTGCTATGCTTTAGCAAAGAGACTGGTGACAGTGTGCGCCTGCTGTAGGGATCTATGAAATTTGAACTTGAACATGATGATTTAGGGTATTTGATGGAAGGAATTTCTAAGCAGCAGAGCATTCAAGATGGGCCTGGCTGCTTCTAACAGTGTATGATCCTATGCGTGAGCAAAGAGATTATCTGAAACTGGAACTTATATTTAAAAGGGAAGCAGATCATAACAGTTTAGACAATTTGCAACCTGACCATGTGGTAGAAAATAAAAATCCATTTTCGGCCAGGTGCAGTGGCTCACCCCTGTAATCCCAGCACTTTGGGAAGCTGAGGTGCATGGGTCACAAAGTCAGGAGTTCCAGACCAGTCTGACCAATATGGCAAAACCCCATCTCTACTAAAAATACAAAAATTAGCTGAGCATGGTGGTGCACACCTGTAATCCCAGCTACTCAGGAGGCTGACTTAGGAGAATCACTTGAACCTGGGAGGCAGAGGTTGCAGTGAGCAGAGATTGTGCCATTGCATTCCAGCCTGGGTGACAGAGCAAGATCCGTCTCAAAAAAAAAAAAAAAATCATTTTCGGGGGAGGAATTCAAGCCAGCTGCAAAAATTTGCATAAGTGAACAGGAGCCACATGTTAACAAACAAGACAGTGGGAAAAAATGCCCCAAAGACATTTCAGGCTGGGCACCGATGGCTCATGCCTATAATCCCAGCACTTTGGGAGGACAAAGTGGGCAGATTACTTGAGGTCAGGAGTTTGAGACCAGTCTGGCCAACATGGCAAAACCTCTTCTCTACTAAAAATACAAAAATTAGCTGGGCATGGTGGCATGTGCCTGTAATCCCAGCTAATCAGGAGGCTGAAGCAGGAGAATTGTTTGAACCTGGGAGGCAGAGGTTGCAGTGAGTCAAGATCATGCCACTGCACTCCAGCCTGGGTGACAGAGCGAGATTTTGTCTCAAAAAAAAAAAACAAAAAAAACGCCTTTCGGAGACCTTCACAGCAGCCCCTCCCATCTGAAGTCCAGAGGCCTGGGAGGTTTTGTGGGCTGGGCCCAGGGCCCTGCTTCTCTGTGAAACCTTGGGACACTGCTCCT
This sequence comes from Homo sapiens, assembly GCF_000001405.40. Classification (NCBI taxonomy): domain Eukaryota; kingdom Metazoa; phylum Chordata; class Mammalia; order Primates; family Hominidae; genus Homo; species Homo sapiens. The sequence continues at coordinate 39,617,182 of NC_000018.10, read as the reverse complement.
TGCGTCCTAGCCACTTCAGTTTTAACAGTGGCTAAAAGGGCCCCAAATGTACCTCAGGCCACTGATCCAGAGGCTGCAAGTTGTAGGCGTTGTTGGCGTCCATGCGGTGTTAAGCCTGCAGGTACACAGAGGGCAAGCGTTGAGGCTTGGGAGCCTCTGCCTGGATTTCAGAGGATGTATGAAAATCCTGGATGTTCAGACAGAAACCTGCTCCAAGGGCAGATTTTCCTCTGCTTCAGTGCAGAGGCAAAATGTGGGTTTGCCCCCCTCCCCCCAGACACAGGGGCACTACCTAGTGGAACTGTGAGAAGAGGGCAACCATCCTCCCTCCTAGAGAGAATGGTAGATCCACTGACAGTTTATACTGTGCACCTGGAAAAGCCACAAGCACTCAATGCCAGCCTGTAATATCAGCTGAGGGGGCTGTACCCTGCAGAGCCACTGGGGTGGAGCTCCCCAAGGCCTTGGGAGCTCCATCTCTTGCATCAGTGTGGCCTGGATGTGAGACTTAGAGTCAAAGGAGATTATTTTGGAGCTTTAAAATTTAATGACTGCCCTGCTGGGTTTTGGACTTGCATGGAGTCTGCAGCCCCTCTGTTTTGGCCAATTTCTCTCATTTGGAATGGGTATATTTACCCAATGCCTGTACCCCCATTGTATATTTGAGGTAAGTAACTTGCTTTTTATTTCACAGGTTCATAAGCAGAAGGCATTTTCCTTGACTCAGATTAGACTTTGAACTGTGAACTTTTGGGTTTATGCTGAGGGGGACTGTTGAGAAGGGATGATTGTATTCTGTGATGAGAAGGACATGAGATTTGGGAAGGGCCAGGGGCAGAATAATATGGTTTGAATTCATGTCCCCACCCAAATCTTAGGTCAAATTGTAATCCTCAATGTTGGAAGAGGGGCCTGGTGGGAGGTAATTGGTTCATAAAGGTGGACATCACCTTTGCTGTTCTCATGATAGTGAGTGAGTTCTCACAAGATCTGATTGTTTTAAAGTGTGTAGCACTTCCCCCTTCTCTCTCTTCTTCTGCTTCAGCCATGTAAGATGTGACTCCTTCCTCTTCACCTTCCTCCACAAATGTAAGTTTCTTGAGGCCTCCCGAGCCGTGCTTCCTATACAGCTTGCAGAACTGTGAGCCAGTTAAACCTATTTTCCTTATAAGTTACTCAGTCTCAGTAATTCTTTATAGCAATGTAAGAACAGACTAACACACCTTTAAAGGAAAAACATCTTCACTTAAAATATAGCAGGCAAAAAAAGAGAAAATATTACTTGGGAGTAAATAACAACAACAAAACAACAAACAAGGCAGTGTTTCTGTCCATCTTAATTTTAATTTTTCAACTTATGAATATTCAGAAACATAGAAAATGTTTCCAAGTCAGCCACACAATTCTTTCGGTCGTGGGCCATAACTCTGATAAAAATTGTACCCCTATTTTGGGAAATAATTGTTCTTCATGGCAACAACAGCTCAACATTTGGAGGGGTAGTCTTTGGAGAGGTTTCTTGATGGTCCACTTTAGTGCTATCAGCTACAATTATCTTATTATATATTCAGTATTTTCTTTATATCACTTCTTGGAATTATGAGATTTGTCCCTCTATTTTCTAATGATTGAATATATATTTTCTCCATTTTTTTTATTTTTAAACTTGTTAAGGCCTAAATATATGGAAAGAAGCACTTTATTTCCTAAATTATGTACTTTAGGATTGCAGGAACATAGTCTAACTTCAACTACTTGAACTACAGGATTTAGAACAATTTTTTAAATGCCCACTCCAAGTGTTTATTTGATCATGAGTTTTCAATTGTGTTTTAGAGCCTTTACTAGGGTCTGGGCAAAAAAGAGAAAGAAAGCAGAATGAGACCTTTTCTCCCAACATAACCAGATTATTTCCACTTTCATTATTTTACACATTGGGCTACATATTTGAAAACTAGAAATTATATAACCATTAGTCAAGAACAAGAATTTTAGTTCTTTTATTACATAATGTGTGTTTATTTATTTCATACATAGAGATTGATTGTTTTTTTCAAGGTTCCATTTATATGCAAGTAAAGAATATAAACTAAATAAGCAAACCATTTTGAGTTCTTCCCTGGCCCACTCCAAGGCATAGCCTGGAGAGTATTCCTTTTTCAGTGTCCAACAGCATGTTTTTTCCTATCCTCCACATAGTAACATGAATTCTTTGGGGGCAAAGACTTTGACATTTTTCTTTGTATACATAATATGCATCACAGAGGCAGAAACTAATAGGGGTGTAAATCAAGAAGCCAATTGAATTTGATCTAATCTGAGCAGAAAACCTCAAGAAATGGTGTAAATTTTACTTAAAATAGGTAATCAAGTGGGAGAAAGACTTTCCTAATCACACAGATTGTATATTCTCTCCACAAAAGATTGTGTGAAAGACAATTATTATATCTTTGAAATAGTAGCCCATTGCTACTCAGCTAAAGACCTGATTATCTGAGTGATGAATTGATTCTTTCCTTCATTCTTTCAACAAATACTCATCACAAGCTGCTATATACATAAGCCTGAGCTAGGCACTGCGGGTGGAGGCGGGGGGTGCTATAGAGATAAACTGTAGTGTATATTTCTGAATTTCACATAACGTAAACGAAGAAATAAGACCTGCATGGAAACAGCATCAAATTGTAGCTCAAGGCATACTGTAGATGACCAATTAGTCCTAAGAAGAGAATGTACTCCAGCAGGGTTCAAAGGAAGACAGATGCCCGGGAGTAGGGGGTTCCCGTGTGGAGTGGAGTCTAAGGGAGGTTTTTAGAAATGGTTAAGGTTAAGAGAGGCAAAGACATGTGTGTGTGTACGCCTATATGGAGTTAGGGGATGCAGAGGAAGCCTGGATAAGATGGGGAGATGCAGATTGCTGTAGCCAAGCTCAAAATGAGCAAGAGATCATCAAAACAAGTGGAGTAACCTGCTAGGAGCAAAGGGTTCAGGTTCAGTTGCTTAGTCCGCAGCTAACTAATGAACGTGTTGTGTGTGTCCAGTACTGTTCTAGACTTTGTGTGGGTTACCACCTCCTTCAAACATACTCATTAGAAAAATAAACAGGCACACACACGCACACACATATATACACACAGTGTGTAACAAGAATGCTCAGGTTTCTGCATCTCGCCAAACAACAGCAAAGAAAACATGAGCACTATGCTTCTGCAATAAGAAGAAAGCAGGAAAGAAAATGTTAAAACGTAGATGGAAGTTATTAAACATTGATATGGTTTAGCAGGGGAAGAGATGAAATCTCTTCTGTTTTTGTTTGTTTTTGGTTTGATGCTCACCTGCCTACCCTGGAGGCAAGGAATGGAACTTTCAAGGTCCTTTTATGTAATTCTAAGAAATCGCAACAGAATAACCCCAGGATTTCTGGTAATCACACACTGATTTTTCTGAGTTCTCATCCTGTGACAGCCCAAAATGCTAGAGTTGAAAACAAAATTTGGGGTAGGCTCATTTTGTAAAAGATGAGTCTGAGAAGCAGAGAGCATCTTTCTTTGTTTTGGAGATTTTCTATCATATTATTTGAATCCATGTCAATATGTGCTTATTCTTTTGTTTTGATTCACATGGCCAGCTATAGTTCCTGTGGCCTCCTTTGCACTCCTGTTTCAATCTGAGGACACACACACCCACCCGGGAACCACACCCTGGACGCTACCTGCTGCCTGTACTCCAAAGTGGGGAGAGAACTTTAGATTTGGGAATTTTGGAAGTCATCTGGCCTCTGGCCTCCTTGGAGACAAGGGATCTTACTGTAGTAATTTTCAGGCTGGTTTGCTATGCAATTGAGTTGTTATTTTGGGGTGTTTCCACCTGTAGAGTGAAACTGCAGTGAGCCCAGCTAAGGAAAACGTAGGAAAGTATATATATCCTTGAGATGGCTATCTTACTCTCCATCCCATGTATTGATAAATTTCCTCAGCCTTTTTAAAGAAAAAAACAAAACATAACAAAACAAAGCAGTAATCTACAATTTGTTCTTTTATTTTGACTGATTTAATTTTAAATCTGAAATCAACACCATCCTGTGTGTCTATTTGTATTTTCTCCCCTTTTATGGATATTAATAAGTGGGTCATCTGAATGTCCTAGGAAAAAGTAAAATGAAAAAATTTTGCATTTGAATTTTTCAGTCCTCTTTTTCCCATGTATAAAAACATCAGATGTTCATTCAGACTTAGATGTAAATGTTTAAAGTGTTAATGAGTCAGATATTTTGCATTTTAAATACAGAGATCAATTTTTTAAAGAATAGAAGTTTCCATGGTGGGATATAAGCATCACTAATATTTTACTCCAATATTTCTAAGATCAGATGGAGTGGGCAATCTGCTTGCCTTTCAGGTGAGAGGACTAATGTGTCTAATGCTCGGTCGGACCAAAACATGTATCTGCCGCAGTTTGCTGTCTGTTTTTCACCCTTAAAGACTCAGTCTCTGCAGAGAAGCAGAGCTGTTTCTCAGCTAGGTGCATGGATAGTTCTTTAACTCTCATTTGCCTATAACTGGTTAAAAAGAAATGAAAAACTAAAAGAAAAACATTCCAGACCAAAACAAAACAAAAACTTTATTTAAAAAAAGGAAGGCTTTCATGGGCTGGAATTTAAGACAGTTCAACTTGTCTTTTTCTTCTTCCACATCCAAATATGCTCTTTTTGCTTTCTCTTTCTTTGATTTCTCCTTTTTTCTTTTTCTTCACATATTTTTTTCTCCTCTCTTTAGGGTGTGCTGGTAAATGTTTAGCAACAAACTCTCTGAAAAACAAATAAACCTGATTTATGTGTGTGTGTGCACGTGTGTGTGTGGTGTTGTGATTTTCATGGTGTAACTATACTCCTATCATGGCTAATTTGACTTACATGGTTAGATGTCAGTGGACGCCAGCACATCACTAATTCATTTTCTCTCTCTCTGTCTATCTGTGTCTGCCTCTCTCTCACTCTCTCTCTCTCAGTCATACACACATACACCCCTAAAAAGCCATTCATCAGAGAGATAAAGGGATGAACAGAGAAGAAAACCTTGCAACCAAAAAATATTTTCAAGCATTTCTCCACTTATTGAAGTGTCATTTTGGTCTCCTGGTATTTGAACTTTGGGGCCAGCAATATTCTACTCCTTTTCCTGTTGAGTTGGGGGAAAAATTCAGATCTCAGCTGGGTTCTCACATTTTTTTTTTCTTCTAAGAAAAAGTGAGCCCTAGGGAAGAAGAAGAATCTCAAGAATTTGTGCGTGTGTTTTCATTAGTTGCTTTGAGATTCAGAACTTTTGTTCAATTGCCTATATATATATACACACATATTTCTCTTTAAGCCAGCAGGGAACTGGAGATGATGAGCCCAGGACTTGGTTTCAACCCTGGGGCACAACATCATAAGATTTAAATAATGTCTTATAGGTTTTCATACCATTCCCCGCCCCCTGAGCCCCGCAACAGGGAGTTTTAAGCATGTTGAACTGTGCAAGTTTTGCTCTCAGTATTCATTTCCCACTGGCTTTCTTTCTTTTCAATATATTCTCCTTTCACTTTTCTCTTTCTTTCCTTTCCCTTCTTTTCATTTTGCCTCTCTTTCAATTCTCTCTCTTCTCTATTAATGTTTGACCAATCACCCTTTCCCTTTGCTTTTTTTCAGTTCTCTTTCTAGCTTTCTTTTAACCTCTGACATCATCTTTCAAAAAATCTTCAAACAAGTTTCTCTTACATAACACCATGCAATAATTCCCCACTGTAATGCATTGAATCATTTGGAGTAAGGAAAAAAATCATCAATGTAAATAATTAGAATATCCCAAATAAGAAGTGAAGCTGTGGAATGAGAGCAAATATTCAACCAAAACTTTAAGTTTGAGTCTAAGTCAATATAACTGTGGCTATCATTAGCATGGGTCACCACATATTTCTTCTGCCTTTTCCTGGCACATGATATACACTTCTTTCTCCTCTTAAGTTGGTTAGGACCGTGGCACACACTTTGCCAGGTAAAATGTCAGTGGTAGCAAAATTACCTCAAGACAAATGTTGCAAGAACTGATGTCATGACAATATACAGTGTTCAAGGTGTGGGGCTCAGTCAGCCTGAGTCCCAGGGTGAGGATAAAGCAGGAGAAAACCTCCAGAAGACTTGGAGTGGAAATGTAGCATGGGCAAGAAATGAAACTCATTTTAAGCCTAGGAGATTTGGAGGTTGTTTGTTACACTGTATATAACATACCCTATTCTGAGGAGTACAGTAACCAAGAGGAGAAAACATAAAATAAGCTATTGGCTTTCAGAGATAAGAGTGTAGAGGCTCAAAAGAAAATGAGAAATGAGGTTAAATTATTGTCACTTTAAGGAAGATTTTCTCAAAAGTGTAAAAGATGGCTGAAACTAATCCTGTATTTTGGATGAATGCAGAAAGTGCTAATTCCTGTTGTCCATGCACATGACATATTTAAGATCCAAAGAATACTTCAGAACATTTGCAAATGTTGCTGCAGCTAGCCAAGAGGAAAATGTGCCTTGTCAAAGTGTTTTCTTCCATGATTTGAAAATCACTGCTAGATCCAAGCCCAGGCCTATGTCAACCTGGACTGTTATGTGAACCCATTACCCTGTTACCACAGGGGATAGGTAATATTCATTCCCCATTTTTGTACTTTACTCACTAAAAATTATCTATCAGTTACCTTTTTGAGACTAAAGTAGACTATGGAGTTTAGTTTTTATTATAGTCAATGGAATATGCTGAGAAGAACACCAACAGAAAATCAGAAAAATTAAGTATCTGCTCAAATTCTGCCACTAAGTGTGTTGTTTTAGGTAAATAAACGAGAGCTTCAATTTTCTCATACGTAGAATGACGGATAGCTTCTAAGATCACATTCAGATTGAATATTCCTTGATAGCAAGTATGAAAGCCACAACTTACAAGAAATACTAATAATTGATCCTCCAAATGACTGGTTTGCTAAAGGAAGTCTATTCTACACTATTCCATCAGGGGCTACCAGGAACCCTGAAGGGAATGTAATTTTACCCCTTTTGCAGGCTAACAACTTTACCTGCCACATCTTCATGGATACTGGCAGAAGTCAAGACATTCCTGAGTCAGAGACAAATGACTTTTTTTTAATACAACAATAGCAATAGTGAGACTGTCAACATTTCTTATGCTGGTTCCCTAAGCACCAGTTTCCACAGGGTGGAACCCCTGCACACATAGTGGGTTGCATTTTAGGAGAAAAATTGTTAGTTTTGAGAAGGCAAGTCTCTTATAAAGATCAATAAGTAAGTCTGCTATTAGCTCCAGAGGGAGATACTATCTTTGTTACACTAGGCAGAAAGCATTGACTGCTGTTTTCTTTAGAGGATGGGTGTCCAACTTTTTGGCATCCCTGGGCCACATTGGAAGAAGAATTGTCTGGGGCCACACATAAAATACACTAACACTAACAATAGCTGATAAGGTTAAAAAAAATCCATGTATAATTTCTGTGATATTCATCACCACAGATAAGCAAAGAAATCCTATATTCAAAGGGTTGGACACCCGTGCTCTAGAGGGAGACACTATCTCTATTTCCAAGGCAGTAAGCAAACCTGCTGTTTCTTGAGGGAGACACGAGCTCTATTTTTCTAAAGCACTTCACTATATAAACATCTTTAAAAAGGTAATCCAGAACAAAGACAATCACCATGTTTGCTCATAGCACATGCAGAAATACAAGATACCCACTGAGAATTGTCTCCCAAAAATATGCATCCATTGTTTTTTTGTTTTGTTTTGTTTTGACGGAGTTTTGCTCTCCAGGCTGCTCTCTTGCCAGGCTGGAGTGCAATGGCATGATCTCAGCTCACTGCATCCTCTGCCTCCTGGGTTCAAGCGATTCTCCTGCCTCAACCTCCCTAGTAGCTGGGATTAAAGGCATGCGCCACCACATCCGGCTAATTTTTGTATTTTTAGTAGAGACGGGGTTTCACCATGTTGGTCAGGCTGGTCTCGAACTCCTCACCTCAGGTGATCCACCTGTCTTGGCCTCCCAAAGTGCTGGGATTACAGGTGTGAGCCACCACATCCAGCGTATCCATTGATTTTATACCATCTGGGCGTGTAGAAAATTGTTTTCCATGAGTAAGTGACTTGATCAACCACTTTCATTAATCTGACCAACAAAGGCTGGAGCCAAATCTGTTCAATTTATCTGGTAGAGCATTCAGTTAAGGTTACTACCAACAGGATTCCAAGAAACAGCATGATGTCAGCCTGTAGTGATTGACTTCAGTGATGTCCCAAAGTTCTTGTTGCCTACCAGCTGAACAAAGACCATAAACCTTTAGGATTTACCTTAGAAACTCAGGTGGCTTTCTCCTTAAGTTTTTGTATTGACCTTTCCATTTGATGCAAGATATGAATGCAAATATAGTAGAAGGTATTAGAGATTACACATATACCACATTGGACTGCGTGGAGGAAGTATATGGAAATTCTGTCATCTTCAATGATGGCTAGTGACTAGGGGCTCACCTGAATGCCTTCTAGGCCCAACATGGTGTTATTGATCTGTTCAGGTAGAGTCAAGAACAGTTTTTACCCCACCTGTTGTAATTGAATGGCCCCTATTATAAGGATAGTGCCCAGCAGGTGCACATAAATAACAAGAAAAGATAGTTATTTCTCTAGTAATTAGGGATAATTTCATACCCAAATATATATTTTAAAACCATGTTTGCTTATGAAGTTGCTAGAACAATATATCATAAATGATATGTTTAATTTTTATCTAAATATTATAATTTAAAGTTTCCTTCTGCTAAGTCTGCTAAGTAAAAATGTTTAGCCCCTAGGCCCCTTTATTTTAAAAATATTATTCACAAAAACATCATCACAAAGGCCTTATCTGCAGGCAGAATAGGTGTTTCCCCACACAGTGTGCAGATAAGCCGCTCTGATCAAAAGAAATTCCTGCTATTTGCTTGCCATTATGTCTGAAATTCCCAACATTAGATATGTATTTTTTTTTAATATAAGGGAAAGATTCCTGTGTAAGCAAATATTTATAGGGGGAAAAATGCTGTCAGTCAGTGTTTATTGTCTACAAACATTCAACTAATATGAGATCTTTTCCACTGTGACAATTATTTAAAAGAAGCTGCTTATTAAACAAGACCCACAACAGTTCAGTTTTGAAGAGAACAGAATAGAGAATTGTCTAGGTTAGACGTGAAAACAGAAGAATGTTTGGGGTGAAAAGGAAGCCAGTGAAAGTTTTAGTATCAGGACATAAAGCAACAAGAGATCTCTAAGGCAAAAAAAGAGACACCGTAGAGATCAAATTGTGCCAAAATCTCAGGTTTATCTAATAATAACCTTTTAGGTTATAAGGACTTGCTGAATGATTGGAGGCTGGAAGCAGAGCTTTTTCTGTGATGGAGTGTACCGTTAAACCCTACTGGCTCCTTTTATTTCAGAACAATGTTGACCAAAGTCCAATGAGATCTATCAACATCCCATCTCTGCTGACTCATTTAGCTGTAAAAAGGGGTTCACAAATCAATTCAAAATAGAAAAAGAGGGAAGGTGCACAAAAGAAAGGATAATTGAAAGAGATATCAAGTAAGACTTCTAGCACCCTTTAAAAAATTACATACCAAAAAAAGGAGAAAAAAAAACTGTTTGAAAATCATTTTTAGGGAGTATCTATGAATGTAAGACCCCTGTGCCAGGTGCATAATAAGCAGAAGATATAACCTTTCATCTCTCAAAATGATGAATGGATGGTTGTAAAATTGTAAAATCTGGAAATGTTTTTCCCCACCACTGCCTGAATACCTACCTGGCTTCTGCATCTCAGCATCCACAGCCCAGATTTTTATATTCCAGAAGCTAAATGGAGGCACGCCGGGCTCAGCTGTCAGCCTGTGTTGACACCACACAGCAAACGCTGTTCAAATGGACAGATTTTCACTGGAATTATGCCTAACTCAATCGTTAGTCACTCACCCTTCATGGCTTATTTGTTTTAACTTGTTTATCTTGTTTGGTCATTAGTTTTGTCTAGATTTTATATTCATTATTCTGTATCGTATCTCTGACATTTCAGTTTAGGAGGTGATTGTTTACCATATACATTGATTCTCCCAGGCCCTCAAATATTCCACAATCGATGCTAGCAAGATAGTAACTACGAACAGTCATTATTTGGCTATTTTGGGACACATTCTCCATCTCATTTTAATGCATTCTTATGTTTCCCGTCTCCTGGGGACTCTCACATATTCCTTTTGAACCTTTACTCTTTAATGCTACCCAGACAGAGCCTTTGTACCTCTGTGGAATGAATAAATACAGACTATCTCGGGTGATTTAAATCTCTCTCTCATGTGCCTTTAAAAATGCACACTTTGCTTTTATCAACCACATGTTTTGAACTTTCAAGAGAAAACACTGCAACTGGCATAGGTTCTCTTATCAGCCTGTATTATAGATGAGGGGACCAAGTCGGGACAGGCTTGTCTTCTAGGTTTCTAACAAGTCACAGACACAGGCAGAATGTATTGTGGATGCTGTAGATCATTTGTCTGGCCTGTTTGCTATTGTAGTTTTTGTTGCTAGTTTATCTATTTACTGCACCTGGAGTTTCTATGTGGCCTTTAATTGGGACTGAGCAGGGGAACTGTTACTCCTGAGGCCCAAGTATATTTACACAACAATGAATTTCCAGGGTATTTGCTAACGCTAGTACAACCAATACCCTAGTTCTAAGGGAGAAAACCCAAATACAAAAATAACAGTCCCATCTACTATCCTTTTTTGGGCTCCTTTGACTTGACGTGTGTGCTTTTTTTCATAGTAGAGTCACCACTGGCATAACTGCTATTGTTCCATGGCCCAGGAAGTCTGTGGGGGAGGCCCCTCCTCCACATATCCAATATATCCATATATTGGCAAAATATGTGCACCATATCTCTTCTCTAGTTTGTGTCCTCATCTTGCAAATTTCATATAATATATAGATAAGCTAGCTTTAGATGGCACTGGTTTTATTAGTAGACCTGAAGCATGTTCTACCTCATGCTAATCTAAAAATATTTTACCTATTTATGCCAAACTGCTAAGACATACTGACAAAGCAATAAATGAGAAATGTGGCTGACTTCTGCGGGATTGTATAAGCAGTCAAGCATCTCCAGCAGAGTCCCAGACTGACCAATAAAAGTCTCTTACATTGTGTTTCATTGCACTATGCACTGAGATTTGTATTTTTAGAGATATAAGATGGAGTAAGGGGAGGGAAAAGGGGGTCCTTCTCCTCAGTGTCATGTGAGGCCCATACCCTGGTGGTTTAATTTTGAGCATAAATGAGCCACCTATCCAAAGGCAAGCTTTTGTTTGCAGTATTCTGCTATTATCTCTTTCACAATAGCCAAAACACAAAAACACTTTCAAGGAAATGATAAACCCCAAAGTAGAAGACAACTCAGTGTATTAGTAATCTAGATTAACTCTGTTAGATATCTAGTCCAGGGAACAGAATATTCAACCTTTAAATAAATACACAATAAAAATAGCACACCCTTACTATAGGGTTACTGGACTGTAGCAGTAAATGAACTGAATAAAATTTTATGGCTTCTTAACATGCTGAGGTTTTTGCAGTGTCTTCCATCTTGTAGCTTAACAACATTTTGCAGTCTGCTATCAGTGAAACTAATAGTGCAGATGAAAATTTTACAAAAAATGGGAAATCTACATTGGTTTTATATTATGTCAGTGAAATGAATAAAGATCATATTTTGGCATTAACAGCTAATGGTGGGAAAAGGAGTGGGGGCTGGTTGCTCCATTTTGGGTCCCGGAATTGATATTTTTTAAAGAGTCAGCTGTAATTATGATATTTGAATGTCATTATCATTAAACTGATGAATTATTTAGAAAGAAGGTGAACAAGGCAAAGAGTTCCTCAGTGTGTTCATGCATTTTACTTGTATTTTGCCGGTTGAGGTGCTTCTTTCGGTGGGCGGTATTAATCTCATGGATGGTGCAGCTATGTTGTGTTATTATTTCTCTCAGCAAGGTCGAAGTTTTCTACCACAGAGCATTTGAGGGTAGGAATAGAGGAAGGGCGGATGAGAAATTGTGAAATAATGAGTCATGTTACAAATGCTGATGGAAAACAGTCTCTACTCTTTGAAACAGATTATTTTATATCTTCCATTTGAGTTGTTATAATGAATTCTTTTTAAACCTTCTGGTCTCCCACCTTGATTGGCTTGAAAAAAGCTTATTTGATAAGAAGGAACCATGATTTGAAAAAAACTATTAAAATTATATCTTGTGATGAGAAAAATATTAAGTGTAAGATACAAGCAACTTTGCCTGTGAACATTTTCCTTGAACCAAATGGCAAATTAATAATGAACAACATTTATTTTCTCATTTCTTTCTCTTCCATCCTCTCTCCAGGAAATAACATTTGCTTGTTTATAGTGCTTTCATTCCTTAGGAGTCTGTAAAATAATTTTCCTTCTAGATCTATTTGCAAACTTAGGTTTCGTTTGCCTGACCTGAATTGATAAGTCTCTGCTTTTGAGAAGAAACTTGCCACTTTGAGTCCTTCATGCCAGTCTTTGATTGATGCTTATTGAGTAATCAAGGTACATAATTTTGTGTGGCATATGAGATGGAAAAGACAGAGCTTTTTACTTTTGGATGTTATTGTTAGCAGAATATCATACTTAAACTACGTCCTACAAAATGCAAGTCAATATATTCTTGTATCCTGCAGATTTTCATGCCTTTCCATAGTTTGTAGTATGAAGACTTCGGTTGAATCGCATGCTGAATTGTCTTACTTGGTCATGGAAGTCCTTACTTTTCTGAAGAATCCCATTTATGGTTCCAGTAATGTGATCTCTTCCAACTGCCCTTATATTTCTCGCTTTTCTCTCATTGTGGAGCTGAGTACAGTTTTAATGGGGCTTCCCCTTTGATTCAGGTCCCAGAAGAGAATAAACAAGGAGATGCATGCTTGTAGTAGGTTTTGAGGGTATGATTTAGGGTAATCAATAAAGGGTAATTTTCTCCCAAGTTTCCTCTTTTCAGTCCAGTTCATCTAGAAAAGAATACAAATTTCACAAGCAATCTCCTGTCTAGTATAAACAATATGCACTATCTTTCCCGCTCTAAGATTTGGGGAAAATGGAAATGAAGGTAAGAAAGACTCAATAGCTAGGCAAACACTAAGCCAGTACAGCAAGATTAAAACTGAATTGTTTTATTTCATTAATCTTTTTATGGATTTGTTTTTCTTCTTATATTTTAGTCTTAAAAATTCTGGACAATATTTTTCCCTTTTATATATTGAGAAAATATCCAATAATTACTTTTTGTTAAGGTAATTTCTTGATACTTGAAAAGTATTCTTAACTTGTGCCACTTTTGTTTCTGCTCTGTACTTGCTTCATCTATTTAACCAAGTTATTTTCCCTCTAGTGCTTCGAATATCTTGTGTTCACATATGCACAGATACACTCACACACATACAAATACACTTTTATAACATGTAAATATTAAAGAGAGGCTAGTCAATTTATTAATTTATTCAGTGTTATTTGCACTGAATGAAGGAGATTTTATATTCCCCAATAGTATTTACATTTTAGACTGTTTAATTTACAATAAACAATACAAACCAGCCACACATTTCATTCATGTCTGAATTTTTAAACACTGGCGCTTACACAAATTAACAAATGATTAGCCTTTACTAAAGAGTAAAAGCTGAATATTAAAAAATTGATAATATTTTATTCCTTGTTACTAAACATGAATTCCTATAAGATCTTTAACTCTTATTTTTGTGTCTATCTTTTTTCTCTGAATTTTACATTAATAAACACATTCTGGAAATTTCATGTTCATCCAGTTTTGATTTTAGATTTATTTGATACAAGGCTAGTTCTATCTATCTTTTCAATAGAAGCACAAGCTCCTACTAAAATCAGAATACTTTTCACATCATTTAGTCCATAAGAACCATATAAACATACACTATGTTTATATTCTCCTGGATAGCTAATATTATGTATCCAATACCTCAAATTGAAGTATTAAAAAAGTGTCATAAGAAATAATAACATTTTTATTCCACTTATATGGTTTGAGTTTATTTATTTGCTCATTTACTTACTCAGGCCTAGTTTAATGGAACAAATCACATCACTTTATTTTAATTTTTTTTAAGTTGTAAGAATTGATTGTTTTAACTGGAGAAGGATTAAAAAAAATCCAAAATTCTTATTTACTTCTTATACAACTGGATATGGAGTAGGGAGGAGGGATGCAGAGATTAGGTGTTTTCTTCTGGAACATTTCAGAATCAGAGTTAGAAAAAAGCATTTCTTGGGATTTCATCAATCAATATTTACAAGATTTCCATGAAATGGTTAGGACTGAGACGCCATGCTGAACAAGTCAAATGTGGCTGAAATTCACCCGGGGACGAATGTTGCAGGTATTAAATTATCCATGGGCTCCAGTCAAGCAATTCAATACTCAATCTGCTCAAAGCCCAAGGAAATAAAAATCACATGAGGAATTCCAGTTTGAAAGAATATTTTCTTTTTAATTTCTGACGTACAATGGCAGGCCATCTGACATCATGTCACATCAGCTTAACTCCCTGGCTGCAACAAACCTGTTGTGCCATATCAGTGGGGGAAATGTACAAAGAGATTCTTGTCCTCAATCAGATTTCCCTGGTATCAGTCTGGACAGCAAGCAGTCAATCCCAATTGAGCAGGCAGATGGAGACAGAGCAGATTAATAAGTGGATCCTCTTTATCTGAAGAGCTGGCAGGCATCATGGTTCGCCAGGCACCTGAGTTATATTTTTAAATAGGTCAGCACATCGAGCGTTTACAAAGGGGAAATGGAGTTAGCTGGAAGATTGGCACCAGTGGGGAGCACAATGTGGGAGGTGGAGCTCAAGGTGTGCTTTGATAGAGTCTGAGGATTTGGGACAGTGGAGAATGGAAAATAACGAATTGCTGTCCCTTGTTTGATGAAAATTGAATGAACCATAAAAAGCACACAGAACATAACTGGGTAATGTCTCTGAACCTGATCGGGTATTTTAGTTTTTAAAACTTCCAATAACATCATCACTGCCGCTACACAACAATCATCAGGGCAGAATGCAGGGAGTTTCTTTCTTTCTTTTGTACTTTTTATGGCCTAGGACCCTCTGGAAAATACACAGGAATTAGGAGAATTAGACCTTCAAGGCAAGGAAACAGGATCTATAAGGTTCAGCTATAAAACAATAACATCTGTATGAGTGTGTGTGTGTGTCTGTGTCTGTGTCTGTGTGTATGCTTTAGCAAACTTAGTAAACTGTCTTTAAATCAGGCCCAGAGGAAATATAATTTTGTTTTTAACTGAGACAATGTATCAACCAACATGTAAATAACATAAACTAACACTCCTCCCAGTGTGATAAATTTTATTATATCTATTCATTGATAATGTTTCTTAAATGAATTTAAAATTCTGTGACACATTTATAATGATATACAAATTTTTTCAAATAATATTTCATAATATTCCTTACAAATAGAACTTTTTATGCCCTCATCAACAATGTGGCATTGCTTACATTTTGAATATTAACCTGTCTCAACCAGGAAATTTTAGTACCTAAAACAAACAGGGAAATCTTGTCAATACACTTTCCAAGGTATGGATTATCAGGAATGAAATTATAAAGAGGCCTGAGTTAAATTCTTAACTGCAATCACAGGGTGGTCCACTTAAAATATTCCATTTCAAACCTTCACCCTAACATATCAAAGAAGTCCAAGGAACATAAATGAGGATTCATTATTTAGCTACCAGTTTGTATGTGAATGAATAATGTATAATGTATAAACAAGTATATTTTTCCAACTTTTAAAAAGTGTACCGTTTGCTTTTTCCTTCTTTCTCTCTCTTGGTAGTAGGGGAGAATTCTTGGGACTGTGCCACATTACCCAGATTGAACAAGGCAAGATCGTGTGATTCACGCTCACAGGGTTTGCCTCAACACTTGATTTGACAGCTGGAAGTCAAACTCCATTTGCTTGTGTTGTTTCCAAGGGTAGATAAAAAAGACATTTGAAAAGAATAATTTGGGACCTCTAGGGAGAATAACGTATTGATTGAGATGAAGTGTGCAAGGCTACAGGAGCAAATTTCTCCTAAAATTAGATTCAGGAAAATTAAGTAGCAAGGGAGCAATGAAGTAACAATAAATGCTTAATTTGGAAAGGTTTTTAAAGTCTCCCAGAGTTTTTGAATCCTCTGATCTGGGTGTCTCAGATTTAGTCAGTGATTAAATGATTATTCAATATGACAATGCAGTGTGGTAGGCATTTCCTCAAGAACTTGTGTGGGAACAGCCATTTTCTCATCTTGGAGGAGAGAGAAGTAAGTATGGGGATTAGGATGTAAGAGCAAAATGATAGAATTCTGAATTTTCTTTCAAGTCCTTTGAGGAACCAAAGAAAACTGAGGATGTAGAAACAGTCTTAGCAATCCTGGAACCTGGAAAAAGTAGTCAAGTGGCCACTGGAAGGCTGTAGATATTGTGGAGCAGACATTATGGGCCAGACAGATACTATAGATCTGGGGTGAGTGGCAGGACTGGAGATAAGCTTGATAAATTCTGGGGAAGCCTGGAAAAACTGTTGGATCTGAAAGTGTTTCTCAAAGACCTCAAATTAGCAATCTAAGTAGTTTTGTCTGTCTTAAATTCTCTGCATGCCCAGCAGGAAACCTCTCCAATTTTTTGGTTCTTATTATCCTTCCTTTTCCCACACTCTTCCTCAGGAGTGTAGCTGTTAAAAAATGTTAGTCAAATGATTCTACCGAAGAGACAAAAGGACATTGATCTGTGAACAATGTCCAATTAAGGGTTGATTGTATCTCTGACTATGGATGTGGGTACAACTAAAGATACCAACAACAACAAA
This sequence comes from Homo sapiens, assembly GCF_000001405.40. Lineage (NCBI taxonomy): Eukaryota > Metazoa > Chordata > Mammalia > Primates > Hominidae > Homo > Homo sapiens. The sequence goes on along the minus strand of NC_000018.10, from coordinate 39,600,136 downwards.
AAATGTAACCATGTAGGTTTTCACAGAAAATAATAAAAAGAAAATAAATTTGGAAGTAAAAAAAAAAAAAAATTCCCACTGCCCTAACATAACACTTTTCGTTTCTTGAAGTCTTAATACTTCAATTCAGTTCAGTTTATTAGACAAAGAGTGGGCCCTGTGACAGGGATAGAAAAATGAATAAGACACTATCGCTGTTAACAAGAAATTTCAAATTTTAAAAATGGGAAGAAAATTTTCATCTATAATAAGCATGATATATTAACTGTTGTATTATTCATTTGAGAAATGGTGTAAGAAAAAAGAAGAAGCGGATATTGTAACCATTTCTTATAATAGGTTAAAATATTTTTCATATTGTACATAGGATTCTAATGTATCAATCTTGAGAGTTCCATTGTGGGACTTTACTCAAATTTTCTTAGATATTTTCCTTTTTGTTGCATATAAAGATGTTCCCAAAATTTTCTTAGTGTATAGTGGTACTAAATATCTTTTAATATATTATTCTTCTCTTGTATTATATCTTTACACTCAATTGACATGAGATGACTACTATGTCAAAAGATAAATAAGCACATATTAACTTTTTTCTGTGAAGAATCAGATATAGATCCATTAAAAACCAGTTGGCTTTCTTTCATTTCTCTAAAAATATGCCACACCCCAGTAAGAACTGGTTTGTTACTCATAAAGGAAACAAGGAAGAAAATTCTGAGGTGACTGATAAATTCGTAGTGGAATTTATTTTATGTATGTGGATACTTCCATTCTTAAAGTAGTTTTGCTAGTTTTCTATCTTTGTTTTGTCTGTCATTCTCTCCAAGCTTTAGCTTCTCTTGACTTTACTGATCTAGTTAAGGTTAACGTTTTTTCCCTACTCCTCTACTGAACAGTTTCCCTCTGAACAAACACTCAAAACTTTCTCTGCTCCTTCTATACAAGGTGAATTCCAAAAACACCTTCTCTCAGCTTAATGCAGAACTTAGTTCCTTCTCTCCTATGGCCAGCTCAGTAGGGCAAAACCATAGATGAGTTTAACAGCTGGCATACCTAAATCTGGCTTTAGAGGTTGGCATTCACTCTGCCTATTCCCAGTAAATGTGTGAATGGCACGTAAGCGCTCATTACATGTTAAACATCAAAAAATATTTTAAGAGAATTTCTAAACCTGCCATTTTCAGTCAGCTGTCATATGACAGCACTTCCTGTGAGAAAAGGCCTTTAAGTTGCTTTCATCCATCAAAATTCCCTTCCCCATCAATTTACCTGATTCTCCCTGTCCTCCTCAGAGTGTGAGTGAAATGACTGGATCAGAATACATACTTCTAAATAGATCTTTATACTGAAAGTATTTGTAATTATTCATCAATTTTGTGCATGTGTATGTGTAACATAAGCATATATAAGTGAACAGTTGACCCTTGAACAACTCAGGAGTTTACAGGCACCAATCTTTCATTCAGTTGAAAATTCACATATAACTTTGGACTCCCCCAGAGCTTAACAACTAATAGGCTATTGTTGACTGAAAGCTTCACCGATAACATAAAACAGCCAATTAACACATATTTTCAATGTTATATGTATTGTACACTGTATTCTTACAATAAAGAAAATACAGAAAAGAAATGTTATTAGCAGAATTATATGGAAGAGAAAATAAATTCACTATTTGTAAAGCGAAAATGAATCATCATAAAGGTCTTCATTCCCATTGTCTCCATGCTGAGTAGGCTGAGGAAGAGGAAGAAGAGGAGGGGTTGGGCTTGTTGTCTCAAGGGTAGCAGAGGCAGAAGAGGTGAAGGAGGTGGCAGGGGACACAGGAGAGGCAGACACACTAGGTGTATCTTTTATTGAAAAAAATCCACATGTAAGTGGATTCACACAGTTCAAACCCATGTTATTCAAGGTTCCACTGCATATTCAGTTCAAACTGGCTTTAAAATAACATGAACATAAATAATAAAATCTCACAGGAAAAACAGTGCTTTTTAAGAAAAGAAAAAAAGAGAACTAATTAATCTTTCTCAGCCTCTTTGACCACTTTTCAAAACACTTTGTCCAACAGTAACGTTTTAAATGGATTTTTTTAAATCCATAGAACTCATTATCATAACATTTGGAAGTCATTACATATATGTGTATATATATATGTGTGTGTGTGTGTATATATATATACACACACACACACATTTATATGTGTATAACTACATATATAAGTAATATATGGGATGATATAATCACATACATTAGATATACATGGTTGTGTGTAAATTATTATCCTCATATATATATAAATATATTTGAAGGCACATATTTTTCAAACATTTAGAAGCTCCTGAGAACAGAGGTTTTCACTTGTATATCCCTTGTATTCCCCTCAGTTATTAGAAGAGTACTAAGTAGAATAGATATCAGCATATTGATTGGTTTTAGATGTTAGATATATAACTAAGGTAGCCTTTAGTCTATTGTCACAAATAGCCCTTAGATTGCATTTTCTACTGATAGATTCCCTAATTATTTTATCATCATTCACAACCCACTGGAAGACCACAAAGAAGAAACATGTGTGTTTACAAGGGCTAGTATTAAAATTAAAGCTGACAAAGAAGGTTGTCATTGAGAAACGAGAGAAAAAGCTCATGGTGTGATTAGAATCAACTCTCTGATCCCATATTGAGCAGAAGTCAGAGCATAAAAGCATGCCTAAGGCCCTGCCTCTGTTGCATCTTTAATCAGAAAATGTGGCAACCTCCTTTTTTTGCTAACTACTGGTCTTCACCTTCTTCCTAGCATAAAAGGCCACTTCATTATTTTTCTTTGTTTTTCTTTGATAAATGATTCCATTTTCCCCAACTTGGTCGGCAGAATGGCCAACATTAAACGTTCATTTGTTTAAACTAACAGAGTGTGGTCAGCTGATTCCCGAGGGAGGAGAGGAAGCCAAACAGGTCTAAAATGGCATCATTTAAGAACACAATCAATTCGTTATCTTTTTCATAAAGTTCACATATGTGCACATTAATCATTGTGGCGTGGCACTGGGCAGGAAGTTCTTACCTAAGCAAGTTCCACTCTACAATATATCTTTAGTGTTTAATGGCCTTTGCAGCTTAGATTTTATTGTGTGCTCACTCATCTGTTGTTTTATGAGCCAGTCTGTGTCTTTGTGACGAACTGATTAAGCAACTGGTTTTGAAGTTAAATTCGTAGGCAAGTCAACACTCCATCCATATCTAGCTAAGGATATTTGCCTGTTAAGATCTTGTCTCTTCTCTAGTATATTACTGTTAGAGGTAAGGAGAAGTTTCTGGAAGAACTTAAGGCTCTTTAATAATTAAATAGCTGATGAAAATCTGGATGGTGACTGAAAAATAAGGATGTTAAGGTAAAAACCTAGTGGCCATCTTCACATATGTACACGGTTGTCTATGTTAAAGTAAAAAGTAAAGTCATTATGCACTGTTACAGAGAACAAACAATAGTCCTATGGAAAAGAATGAAGGGCAAGATAAGAAAGAACTTTCTCAGCACTCAGCAATGAAACAAATGAACTAAAGAGCTGAAGTCAAAGGAATGATTCCAGAAGAATCTAAACAAATGAACTAAAGAGCTGAAGTCAAAGGAATGATTCCAGAAGAATCTAAACAAATGAACTAAGGAGCTGAAGTCAAAGGAATAATTCCAGAAGAATCTGTGCTATGATGAGTCAAGGATATTGAAGTGGATCAGGCATTTGCTCTTGAGATTGGACTATGTGACCTTCCCAGTAAGAATTCATGATGTTCATCACTTTCTGAGTATTCTTACCTCTTACCAACCAATCAGTCTGGTAAAATAACCAGATTGGTTGTTTTCTCTCTTCTTTTTCCTCTGTTTCTTCTTTATTAATTTCCTCCCTCCATTCCTTTTTTTCATGAGTTTGTTGCTCAACATAAGCCTTTTAATAAAATGATTATTTATTATCTTATATATAAAGATAGTCGTAGCTATTAGTGTTCCAGTGATGTAAACATAAATTTCAGACCTTTATACCCTTCCCTGGTCAGCTACCTTTTCTGACTACTGTGAGTCTACTCTTCAAACTAACTGGCTTATATTATCAAAATTCAGAAGAGAATATCTAATTTTTTTCTGGAAGCAAAACTAAAAATTGCTATTTTTTTGTTTCATAAGTAATCCTACATTTTCAGGTTATATATATTAAATAAATAGAATCCAAGAAAAGAAAAAAATATGTCAAGGGCATTTCCAATTCATCCTAAAACACATGCCAATTTCAACTTTATAGCTCACCTAGAGAAGATTGTAGAATCTTTTCAAAGCCTTTTAAAAAATATGATAGCCAAACAATATTCCCTATGTCCTTAATTTAATCTAATTTGAGTTTCATTGGATATGCAAAATAGTTTGTTTCTTATAAAGATTTCTCCTATATTTGTAGATTGCAATTAAATCACTCCTTAGCCTTCACTTCTCTATATTAAATTAAAACTCTATCTCCTCCCCAGCACTGTTTTATGCCAGCTCTTTAACAATTTATGATGCTTTCTGCTGAATTCTTACTCAAAAGTGTTTCTATACAAGATTGGGTTGAATTCTTTACATGCTAAGCCCTTCTAAGATTGATGTATATCATCATCTATATTTTGAAAGTTGAGGAAGAAGTTAAAGAGGAATTAGGCCTGTCATCATTAATAGGCCCTGAATCATGGCTAAGATTAGAAATCAGGACTTCATACCACAAATAATAGTGAAACGAACAGCAACTTCATCACTCACCAGTCACCAGTCACCTAACAGGTTGCCCTCCAATATCATCTTTATTTTATAGCACTATATTTCTTACCTCTGAGGATCTTTGTGAAATAGATGGGATGATCAGCTGGGCTGTGATGGATGAAACCATGTTGATTGCTGTTTTCCAAGATTGAAGACTCTTTGAATGTTAAACCATACCCTATCTTCGGCAGACAACTCTAAAGTAGCTCTATGACACCCATCCCCCCCAACTCCTGATGTTCATGCTCTAGTATAATCTTCTCCTTTTGAGTGTGGATGCAATCTATGACTTTCTTCTAACCAGTAGAATATGGCAAGGGTTATGGGATGTCACACCATGATTATGTTATGTTATATATTAAGTCTTGCTAGTGGACTTGCAAGTCCATAGGCAGTTCATAACATAGCAGCTTGCTTCTATGTTATGAACTGCCTATGGAGAAGACCACATAGCAGGGAGCTAAGGAGTAAAGAATGACCTCCAAGTAACAAGCAGCAAGAACCTGAGGCTCTCAGTCATACAGTCACAGGGAATTGCCAACAATTAAATGAGCTTGGGAGTATATTTTCCCCAGTTGAGCATCCAGATGAGAATGCAGCCTAGCTGAAACATACCTTTATTGCAACTTTGTGAAACCTAAGCAGAAGACCCAGACTTCTGATCCACAGAGACTGTGAAATAATAAGTGTGCATTATATTAAGCAGCTAAGTTTGTGGTAGTTCTTTGCATAGCATAGAAAACTAATTGCTGTCTTTCCAGATGAGATAATTGAGGCTGTTGACTGTAATAAAGACATCTTTCCAGTAAGCTCAATAAAGAGACCAAAACTCAGAGCTTCAAGACTGATGATAAGGTGGTTTTGTTTGTCCATTTTTGTATTTGTTTTGTTATGTTATTATAAGAAGAAACACCACAAGAAAATCTCAGGAAGAAACTCTGGACAGCTGGAAATGTAGGAAGAATGCCTGAGGTTGCCACAGAAATGAGGACAAAATGTTCTGGATTATAAAGGAACTATGGTTTTATTATAATTCTAAAAGAAACTTTTAAATTCCTACCATGAATATTGGCCTACTTTTCAGATGGTTGTTTTTAAAATAAGAGTGAAAACATGAACTATGTCAAGCATTTGATATATGTCTATATGTATATCAAATATTTTATATGGACATTTCAGCATTGGAAAAAATGAGAAAGAAAAAAGGAAGAGAGGAAGGAAGAAAGAAAGCAAATTAGGAAGGAAGTAAAGAAAAAGAAAAGAAAAGAAGTAGACAGGAAGGGAAGAAACAAGGAAGAAAGGACAGAGAGAAAGATTTATAATAAAAATTCTTCTGATAATATATAAAATACAATGGCCTATAAAACACTATAGCCAAGTAGTTACTTTGACTTTACATAAATATGGAATGTTCACATAGAGCAACTGTCAAAAAAAATAGAAATTCCTTATTTTATGTTATGGACATTATCACATTTAAATTATTATATATTTCTTTAAAATAACTTGCTAAAAATAAGTAAGTCACCTTTGCAGAGGTTTGACCACAATGTTCACAACTTCTGGATTCTTCTTACATTTTAGTTTATCTTAAACTTCTTGTAGAGTTTGTGTTACCAGCCACCCGCATTGAACACAGTCATTTAGATTGAATATCTACAGACTCCAAAATCATTTCCCATCTTATAACTCTGGCTACCTGCAAGACTGGTACCTACAATCCTTGCTAATCAGCCATAGTTAACTCTGCTCGCTTTATACAGAAAATAAAAGGGAAAGAGTCTTTCATAAGCTTTGACACACTACACTAGGCCAATGGTCCTCAAGGTCTTCAGGAATAGAATTAAACACTTTTGACAGTGCTTACGTTTGATTTCTCAGGGAGAGCAACATTAGTCATGAATTTTGCAGCTTATTACTTGCTCAGATTCCCTGGAGGGCTCGGACACTGTGATTGGTATTTCAGATATTGAGGGTCCCTCATACCTATCTTGGATAACCAAGGTTTTCTATGTGTGTTATTCCGCCTTAAAATGCCCTGCCTCCTATAGTTTCTCACCTTTTACATTCACCAGTAGAAAATTCTTCTTCTTATAAAGTGTTAGGTGATGTTCATTATCAAAACCAGTACTCTTCCCATATTTGTGTAGATTTCCTCCTAAATGAATCTACTCAAACCAGCCTCCCACTTGGAATAGTCATTCCACTTTTCTATTTTTAACTCATGGTATACAGACAACTGTCAAAGGAATGCTAAATTTGAACTTCAAATGAATGCTCAAACACTTTCACATTTCAAGGTTCGACACACGCCTTTCCTCTTCCATGTCTCTTTGTTGACCAACCTTGATTACCCAATTCTCACAAATATTTTTAATCTTGAATTTCTAGGATCTATTTGAGGACTCTACAGTATTTCTCAAATATCATAATAAAAGTATTGTTCTCTTTATATTGTGCATAGGTGTGCTTTGTGTGTAACTATGCATCTGAAGGAGCCCAGAAAATTTCACCCCAACATATGGCACCCCAGAATGTGATTATTTTAAATTAAAGGCCCTTGAAGGTCAGCAGATGCTAAAAGTTTTACTCTGCTATTCCCTTATCTACCTCAAGATGGTCCCACCAAAGAGAACATGATTGCCTCCTTATACCCTCTTTGGAATTGGATTCTTTATCACTGGTAGAAGACTGAAGAATGCAACTACGCCTGGATAAACTTTTTCAAAAGATAATATCAAATTCCAAAGGGAATCATTTGTAAGCAAATTTCTGTTCCCCAGGTTCACTTATTCTTCCTAATAAACATTTTACTACCCCTCAAAATAATTGCCTACATTCCCCATCTCCTCTGCCACTATGAAGAGGGGTATATGACCATCTGACCTCACTGGGTTATTTGGATAATCACTCTCCTGTGATTCCCCCAACCTTGCACATTAAAATACAATTTGTATTATATTTCTCCTGTTAATCTGACTCTTATCAGTCCATTTCCAGCTAACCTTCAGAGGGCTAAGAGAACGCTTTTCTTTTTTGACCCCATACAGGTGGAAATTAGGTTTCAATTACTTTTTAATACTCATAGTCAAATAATATTGTATTTTGTACACAGTAAATACTTAATACATCTACCATAAAATAAATAAGTACTTTGATAAAATAACTACTTGCTAATCACTGGTTAAAAACCAGTGAAAATCCAGTTCAAAACCGGTGGAAATTCTAACTCTTACATGTAAACAGTTCAAAAAGGTACATTTTTTTTTCACAATGATATCTTGAAAGGCAGTATAGCAGGCATTCAAAGTTCCCAATGCTAAATGTGGAAAAAGATCCCCAAGTAAAGGTAGTGAAGAAAATATTGTAAAGAAATAGGACCAGGTCCCTAGGAGGCCAATAAGGTTATGTAGCCTCAGCCTCATGATTCAGTGTTTGCCAAAGAGATCATTTGAATAACAAATGCAAGAGAACAGCTGCAAGTTTGCATGGGGTGGAGGTAAATTTAGGTGTGAAAGAAAGCTAATTGCTTTAGTGTGTGCCAAACTTTTCAGGTGCTAACAAGATCCTGCTTAAGGACCCTGGGGGAGCTGGAAGGGGATCCCAGAATGCATTTGAGCTCAGTTATTGACTTGTATCCTAAAATCAGTCATAATTAAAAAAAAAAACAAAACACAAAGCAACTTAAAAAAGACCTTGAGTTTGAGTACAGGAAGAAAGGTTAATCTGCCAAATGTTAACCTATATAGATAAAATAAATTTCATGTGATTAATCCACATTAACTCAGGGGAAATGTAGATTGAGTCTAAACCAAATGCTTTGACCAAAGTCGATACTTAGGACAAGATTTAGAATTTCTAAAATCTCTACTTATGTCTGGAGAGTAATGAATATGTTGGCCACAATTGCCACAATGTTTTGAGAGAAGATGGTTCTAATTTCAGAAATAAATTAAAAGTTATTTCAGTTCTTCATTGTCACCTTGTAATGCATACATATGCTTGTGTGTGTGTGTGTGTATGTGAGTGTGTGTGTGTGTGAAGTTTCTGGCTAAGAATCAAATTAGAAAGTTCCCAGTGCTCGATTACTTATATTTAATGGGTTAGCCAACTATCAGCTTATAATGCTTTGAGATGATAAAGAGAAAAGCCGAAAAATAAAAGAAAATAATTGATTTGTTCTTAAGGTGATTAAATTATTTGACAGCATCTGCCACCTCTTCCCACTGGTTGTTTTATTGTGGGCCTATTCTTATGAAGCATTTCTGCTTATACCATCACAGGCCAACTATGGGGTAGGCACAATGATAGGACTGATGAATTTCCAACTCTGACATCTTTAAAAAGTCATAAATTTACCATGCTTCCTGGTATCAGCATTAGACTAGTTTCAAGCAATAGCACAAATAGGTGTTACTCTTCAATTTGTTTGTCTCCTATGTAAATGATCCACTATTATTTGCATTAGTTCTTTTTTTGTTACCTATTTACAGATACTTAGTCAGGGATAGTGGGCAATTATAAACCTGGAATTTCAAAAAGCTAACATTTGAGCCTGATCTCCTACTATATGAAGCATAAACTGATACTTCTGGAATGGCTAAAACATTCTCTATAATTTTTCTAGAATGTTTTACTTCCCTTATCCATTTGCCCAACTTCTTTCTCTACCTTTGGCCAAAAATCATTTCTTATAAGCAGTCTTCCAAGATTCTCCCAGTCCTTATTTTTGCATAGTATTTTGGTTACACATAAATTATAACTCACCTCCAGTGATACAGCCTCCTATATTTTCCTATAAATCTCTGCCAGTTCCATATGGGGCTTTCCACTCCTCACACAGAACCATGCTTCTCAGACTTGGACTCCCTGGATTCATGAAATGTCAAGGCACTCAGACAATTTCTTTTTCTTTTTCTTTTTTTTTTTTTTTTGAGACTAAGTCTCGCTCTGTTCCCCAGGCTGGAGTGCAGCGGCACGATCTCGCTCACTGCAACCTCCATCTCCTGGTTTCAAGCAATTCTCCCACCTCAGCCTCCTGACTAGCTGGGATTATAGGTGCACGCCACCATGCCCAGTTTATGTTTGTATTTTTAGTAGAGACAGGAGTTTGCCATGTTGGCCAGGCTGGTCTTGAACTCCTGGCCTCAAGTGATCTGCCTGCTTCAGCCTCCCAAAGTGCTGGGATTCCGGGTGTGAGCCACCATGGCTGGCTGATCAGACAGCTTTCCTTCCTTCTAGCCTTCTATACTCTTCCCTTCTTTTTCCTCTCTAGTTTTCTTTCTCACTAAGTGTGATGTTAGCTGAGGGCACATTTTTCTTAGGTCTTGCTTTCTTGTGGCACGTAAATTCAAGCTCATACATCATTTTCATATTAGGAATTGTATTGGTTTTTAGGAAGAGAGACTTAGGAAAACAAAAATAAGAATCACATAGGACACACTTCTTCTAAATTCTAAAGGTCTTATAATTATGTCCATTCTTCTTTTCTTCCTGCCAGTTGTGTTGAGATAGGCTACTGGCATAGGATTTAATTTCTAAGAGTGGGGATTACCAAACTCCCTGTTGATATCCTGACTTGGCTTTGGGAGAGGTAATGTAAGACCTCCACTTTTGAAGTCCTCATTTTTCTCCTCTTGTCTATGATGCAATCAATGATACTCTCCCTGTTGCCAATGATGAATTCTATTTTTGAAAAACATTCAAGTTCTACTCAGCCTCTGCCTCAAATTGGGAGATTCACATCTGAGCATTTCTTCATTCCTCTTTAACATGTGTAATTTTGAAGAGGAAGGATCAGGAGTTTTTGTGTTTAGATTTTATGTATTTTGTATTTTGTTATTATATTGTATACAATAGGTTTACTGTATATTTACTCAATAATGTTATTTGGATGTACTAATTTTCCACAAAAGATGTATGTGAGATGATATCCAGGTTTTCTCTTATTTCTGTGAAAATACTTTGCCTTGAAAAACAATATAATACGTGACTGATAAATATGGTAATGTGATAGAACTTGGAAAATGAGCAAGAGCTCTCTGTGGGGTATATGTGTGATGGCTACAGTGGTGGTGTTAAGAAAGAAAAGATACTTGCAGTGATTCTTAGCTCACCATGGAGAATTAGAGTAAATTTAGGTTTGTTTTTTATACTCAGAAAATTCCAGGATACTAAATAAACCATAGGCAAGCATTAACTGGTTTTTAGGGAAACTGTTCATGCCATTGGGTTGCTTACTAAAGATTCAAAAGTAAATCCTATGCACTAAGTTTAACTAAGGGCAGGTACTCAATATGTTTCTTGATAGACTAAAACTAAAATATCTAAGGATGATATTAGGAATATGAATATACATATAGAATGTTATGCTGTATACTAATACCCAGGATCTAATGAAGAAAGGAGAAAGTAATATTCAGAAAAGGAGTGGGGTTAATTAGGAAAGGCTGATTATACCCAAATCTGATTTTTCTATTAAATCAATTTCCAATTCTTTCCTCACTGGAGATGAAGAACAGCTGTCCTTCTTTAAAGGCTCTATTAAAGATGTCTTTCTTTAACAGATCATCATATTTCAAACACAATTCTCAGAGCACCCTTTAGTCTCCTCTTTGCCAAGCTAAACAATACCACTTTCTTCAACTTTTCCTGTGAGACCTATTTACCCTTGAATCATAGAGCACACACTTGAAGAATATTGTCTTTCATAATCTCCAGCTTAAACCTGCTAATTTTAGGCAAAATTTTAAAAAAATATATTTTGGCAACTATTATGCCTTAGTAATTAATCCACTCAAGAAAATAATACTTGCACCATGGATACATATAAAAGACAGTTTAACTTGAAAGATGTCTATTTAAATCTCTTGTTCCAGACACATCCTTAAAATATGATTAGATAATAAGGGTTATAGTTGACTTCTCCATCACAGTTGCCTTTATGGGTCTTAGTAATAGTCATAAGCAAATGTACCATGTGGTGATCCATATGGAGTAACAATGGAGATAGGTCAGCCAATCAACTGACTTTCTTAACTTAGAAGCTGATTTCTACCACAAGGCTTGAATCTGAACCCCTTGATGCTGTTCTTTAAGGGAGCATAGCCCAACCTAGAGACAGGAAGTAGGTTTTATTCCGTCTGCCAAGTGGATTCCTTGACTATTTTGATGAGATGCAATATTTTCTGAGGCTGCTTCCATGCTTAGCAGGAAAGCAAATCATCATTGATTAACAGTGTCTGCCATGCACATGGCCAAAGAAAATGACATATAAAATACCTATTTGTCACATTTGAATAGCAAAAGGACACTGTTGTGAGGCATAAGCCTGAATTCTGGATCTTTCCAACATCACTTTATGATCTTAAGAAGCTTATTTTACCTTTTTGAACCTCAGGTGCGATAAAATGGAAATATTATTTTAACTCCCTGAAAGCAGTGTGCAGAACTAGAAGTCTTGAAATTACTTAAAGCACCAAAACACATTATTCTGTGTGTCATTGAAGAACATTACTGACTCAGATTTCATCAACTCAACCAAGAGACTTACAGCTGGCATTTTGCCATCATATAGTCTTCTTGGCTGAAAGTGACTATTTCCATTATTGAATCCAATAATTTGTTCCTGGCCCAACTAAATCTAAAGTTACATACTAAAATATCAAAAACAGTAAAACAAAGTGGGAAAGAAAAATAACTTGTACAATTGCCATTTGATTACTACACTCAATTTTGGTGATTGTCAAAAACAATATCTAATTTATAGTATTTTATATTTAAGCATCTGGCAGTTTGATTAATTTGATTAATTAATTTATTAGAATTCTGTCAAGTCTGCTGCACCATAACTCACATAAAGAACTAAACAATAGAAAATAACTTTAAAAAGAATTAAGGATGTCATGATTTGAGGTTTAATATAATTAAGTTTTCACCTGGAAAAGGCAAAATAAGGTGAAATTAGGAAACGAAGAGGCAAAAAAGTAGATTTTCAAGCTAAACGCACATTGCAAAGATATTTAACAGATGTTTTATTTTAAGGCATTAGGTTTTGTATATATTCTGAAGGATGCTGTAATAGATAACTGATTTCGTTAAAGGAGTATATGTTGGGAAATGCTTTCTTATATTTTGGGGCTGGTCTTTGATTTCCAGTTAAAAATTAGGCTGCTGGAACTTTTGGATACTGCTTTCTGTTGGGCACTGAAGTGTGCTAAGTCCAGCAGGACCCTCATGGAGAAAGTCTGCTAAAGAAATGGGTCATATCCTTGGGTGAAACATTTTCCTCTAGGGGAGGGAAATCAATCTATTTGCTGCACTAGTTGTTATGCAATCTGCTATCTGGACATCATACCGCTGATATGTTGGAAACAACTCTCAACTGACAGCTTTCCGAACTAGTTTTTCTAGCTATCCAGCTGATGAGCTTCCAGCCACCCCACATTTTCCTGACCTCTGCAATTTTGCAAGCAGGGGCCTAGTGAAGTAATCACCTGACCTCAGCAAAACCATCGTATAAAGGGAATTTCGTTAACATTGTTGTAAGCGCAGCTGGATGGACTAACTGCTTTCCTTTGCAGATTGGAAGTCTGTGAATTCCAGCAGCTTGAAATGGTGTTCCTGGGTTCTTGCTGGCATGTGGCTGTGTCTGCCTCATGCTTCTTTCTTAGGTGGTTAAGAAAACTTCCCATTTCTGAAAAAATGCAGAAGCATGCACAAAAAGTTTCCATGTGGCCCCTTCCATGACAAGGGATTGCAGGATTAACCTATCATTTCAAAATTAAGGTAGGAGAGTATGCAAGGGGAACAAAATTCACAATTCTTCTTGAGTGCCCATTTCAGGTGTAAATGCTTGTTAGGTCTATGTGAGCACTTGAATAGAGATTGCATAAATTGACAAATTTTATTTTTGCCTGCATAGATGGTTTATTCTGAGGCAAGATTTTCATCAAGAAGAGTATGATCTTCTCAGAGACTTTGTGTTTTTTTTTTTTTTTGAGACGTAGTGTCGTTCTTGTGGCCCAGCTAGAGTGCAATGGCACGATCTCAGCTCACTGCAACCTCCGCCTCCTAGATTCAAGCGATCCTCCTGCCTTAGCCTCCTGAGTAGCTGGGATTACAGGGGCCCGCTACCACGCCTGGCTAATATTTGTATTTTCAGCAGAGACGGGGTTTCACCATGTTGGCCAGGCTGGTCTCGAACAGCTGACCTCAGGTGATCTGCCCGCCTTGGTCTCCCGAAGTGCTGGGACTACAGGCGTGAGCCACCACGCCCAGCCGAGTCTTTGTGTTTTGAATGATCTAACATTTATCTTGAAATATCTTTTATATTGATTGAGCACTTCCCAGACACAGGAGTGGGAAAGGGAATATATGCTGGGGAGGCCAAAGCAACTCCATCTTGGATGCCAATCTGCCGTGTTGGCTTCTCATTAACCCCTGTTCCGAAAAGTCCTCTAAGATTTCCAGTTTATCTGTTGTTCCTTGTGTAAAACCAGGTACTTACCATAAATCCTACCCTTAGGCCAAATAACCTTGATATTATCATAATTCAATTGTCCTACACATCCCTTCTGAATCACCCTTCCCCTATGGTGTATAAGTCCTGGATCTGGGGAATAATGGTAGATGGTTCCACCCTTTTGTCTCACCATCTCCTGAGACACAGACATGGCTTCTGTTAGTAAGTCTGTATTAAATATTTCTTTCTGAGACATATCAGCCTCTGTCTTCAGTCTGTCAGCTTCCTTGGACTTTGGGGGTAGGTTTTTACTGACCTGACCATCACAGAACACAAACAAACTGAAGGCAGATGAAGAAAGGTCCAGAAACCCCAAGGTTTTAGAAAGAGTAAAAACAGACTCAAATTTACTCTGGTTTATTGGGAGGTGAGGGAGGGGAAGTGAGATCCTAGACTGATGGCATGGTACAGTCAAACTTATACATACTTGACATTAGTGTTTGTGTTCTCTTATCATCCCCTTGTGCCTCATCTAAACTCCAAAGTCCCAGCTGTTTTCCTTTTTTTCAGTATCCTACTCAGGCCAGGCATGCTTTCTTATGGCTGCAGATGAACAAACAACTTCACTTTCACCCCAGATCCAATTTTCCATCCCTTCAGTTCTGACTTGCAGCTAGATTTTACAATATGAGAAGATCTGATTAATGAATAACCTGTAAAGAGATGCCTAGCTATCAGTGACCTAGAATTATAGATCTCAATGAGATGTATATCTCTAAATAAAAAATCGGTAGAGATGGAGATACCTTAATAGAAATAAACAATGGGTGACACAATCAGTCTCTGGTGCTATAGGGTGGAGGAGATGATTGGCCAGAAATATTATCCTGATATTCCTCAAATCAATATACAAGTGTCTACAAAATTGCAAAGCACTCTGCAGTGTTGTTCAACAAATTCCATGTACAGCAATCAAGGAGTGCCCCTTAAGATGGAAAGAAATAGGTTTTGCATCTAATAAATGGAATCTGCCATTTATCGTAATCGGACATGAAATGAAACAAACAGAAACAGATATATGAGAAACAAAGAGGCTCTCACAGGCAGCTTGATGGCATTCATTGGTGTCAGAGGACAGTGTAGCCATTCAGTGCCAACATGGGGAAGTGAGGCTTGACCCCCTATCCACCACCCTTGTGTGGTTCTGAATCATGTGGGCCACTGTGCAGAATTACTACCAGTACCAATGTGACTACATTCTAACTGCATTTGAAAGAATCCTCAAACCCAGAAATGTTTTATAGTCAAACAATTGTTCTCTGTATCCACTTCAAGTCATGACAACCTGTGAGCTCAGGGACTTTGAGGCACACACCTGGCCAAAGAATACTTCTCAAAGAGTCAAGAGACTTTCTGCAGGGTTGTAGGTCAGTACTGGGAAATAATGTCCCTCTCGTTTTTCATCTTGACTTTAAAAAAAAAAAGGGTTAGCAGAGCTAGTATGTCTCTTTCCACACAGCAGAAGATACATTTTTCATACAACTTATATTTGGTTTCAGTACTGAAAGCCAGAAGCCTTGAGCTCTCTCATCCCACGACCACACTAAATGAAGTGTCTTGAATGTTATTTTTCATATATGTAATGTTTCAATGAAGTAATGTGCATGAGTTGCACTGATCCATGGACCTATCTGTGGTTATTTGCTTCTGCAGCCATTCCAAGGTAAGTCTCTATGAAATAGTTTCAGCCTCTTTGCAATCCTGGCCTGGGTTGAAGTCATCTCCTTAATATTTGGTCCTTCACACAGCTTATTTTATTAATTGCAATTAACATGTGTAGATGGACTCTACATCTTTGTGTTAAACTCTTCACCTAAGCAAATAAGAACATTTGCTGGATGCCCACTGTGAATAAAGCACTCCATTGGAAATTGTGAATTTGTAGACAAAACATTAAAAATAAGAACAAAAAAACCCCACACTGCTCTCCTGGTTCGAAAATTGAAATGGAGGAGAGATGCTATAGGTGAAGATCCTACTTCAGATCATAATCAAAGCTCTAATAAAAACTCATCCTCTGAAAGTTGATTCCTCTACTGACTGAGATTGAGACTTTCTCTCAGCTCATTCACTGCTTTGCAATTACAGTGCGTGCAAGTTTCTCTGCTCACTTCTCACATATAATACATTTTGATGAGACATAAAACCATATTCACTGGACTGATAATTATTGGTCTGTGCCGGCTACCTTTCCACTTATATGGTGATTTCTGAGAGCAGGAATCTAGCACTAACACCTTCTGGTATTCCTTACTATTGGCACAAGGCCCCACCCAAAGGATTCAATAATGCTCTTTGTCAAAATGCTACAAGACAGCCACTTTTCAGATGTAAGATCTGAATTTAAATGGTGCCTTATCAATGAGTCCTCCCTGGGATATCTGTCTAAAATATTGCCCATCCTGTTAGTCTACTCTTAAACATCTCAGTTATTTCCTTCAAAATACCTCTTTTGTTATCATTCATGTGCTTCTTTATTTTCTGTTCAACCTACTAGACTAAAATCTCCATAAGAATAGGGACTTTACTGGTTTCATTCCCTACTGTACCACCAGAGTTTAGCTATTTTTCCAGGGCATTAAAAAAAATCAATAAAAATTTTGAATGAATTAATAGTATTATGTATTTGGATTATCAAGATGATGAAGTTGATGGTAATAGAAGTAAACCTTTCAAAACATCTCTTGCATGTAATACATTAACTATAAATGAGCTTCTCGTCCCTATTCTTTAAAGGCAAAAGTTTGCTAGAAACAATTAGTGTATTTAAAGAAGGTAGAAAAGTATGTAGTTATTGATGAGTATATATACAAAGATAATGTTGACTAGGGGTTATTGATCATTAAGTTCCATGGAAAAAAAACTGATCCAGTCTGCATAGGCTCTGGGCAATTGGCATTGGCCTGGAGTCAAGGTATCTAAGAGTGTCCCATTTAAAAATGGCCAAAAAGAAAAAAAAAGTGATACAAGGAGCAGCTTTATCAAGACCAATTGCCTTCATTTTGGTTTTTGTAGCCCATCAACCGTCTTCACATTAGAAATACCTCTCCTTTTTTCCCCGAACACATTTGATAGACACAATTGTTTTTCTTTCATGCATATTCTATACTTGCTGCCAGTTAAATAGCTACACATGTGGGTTTCTTGCCAAAATGGTCCCATTATTAAATCCTAACTGTGTAACCAAGCACTATGACCCATATATTTGGCAATAGTCTGGAGCTTTTCATTTCTATCTATGGCAAATTGAGGTCAAAGGAAAAGACCTGGAAATTTCATCAATAAAGCACACATATTCTTTCGTTTATTTCCTTGGTTGTGTATGCGTATGCTCACCAAGGATTCGACAGTATTTTTGGAGTAGCATAGAAAAAAAATCAAACAGAAATCTTAAGATCATATATACGTGGCCATTTTCATTACTCGTTTGTTATCAACATGACCTCAAGAAAAGCCAATGGGCTGAGTCATTGATTGCTTATTGTCATCAAAAGTAATCAATTAATCAAGATTAGACATTTAGGGGGCTTTTAGGATGAAATGAAGTATAAGAAATTTTTCTAGAATCCAAGGAACTCACAAATCATGGGCTAGGGAAGCTTTCTCGACCAATTAATACCATGGAATCTATAATCATAGGGCAGGAAGCAACATCAGAAATCATTGTAATCAAATGCCTCACTTTATGGCAATGCAAATTAAAGCCCAGAAAATGCAGGTGAGTTGTTCAAGGTTATTACGTGTGCCAATGGCAGAGTCAGAGCCAGGGCCCTTGACTCCCTACCAGTTAATAATTTAAAATAAATTAATTGACATCAACTGAAGATAGTATAGGAACTGGGACAGCATCTTGGGGAGGACAAAAATGCTCAAGAGCTGCCAAATAGAAACTAAGAGAAAGAAATTACAATAACAGCCACCATTTATTGAGAAGCTATTATGTACAAAGCACATCACTTGGCATTTTATAAAATGATCCCTAATACAACAGCCCTGCAAGGTAGATATTATTCATCTTATTTTCCAAATGAAAAAACTGATTCAGTGAAGTTAATGAAGTAGCCAAAGGTCACAGAGTTAGAAACAAGATTCACACTGAGCTATGCCAAACCGAAGCTCATGCTCTTTCTGCTAAACCAAATTTTCTTGAGGGAATACTGATGGTAGGGCCATGTTTAGTCTGACCAGATAGCTCAACTAATGGAAGCATATGAGGAATATGTTCAAATAATCTAACTGGACATGATCATGGAATACTTTTCATCCTGGACTAATGAGTTAGGACTTTCATAGGAGTTTACTGAGTCACATTTGAAAATTGGTGCTTTGGGAAGGAAATTCATGTAGTGAAGGCTGTATAATCAATTAGTTGGATGATTGATAAGGACATGAATACCAGTAGTAAGGGTTTGATTTTTTTATGTTTATTTTTCTCTTGTTTCCTCAAAACACTCAGAAATATTCTGGTAGGAGGATTTGAAAAGTGATCTCAAGTCCTCAGAGGCATTTTTCCTTCCTGCACAGCCAGCATTGATTTTCAGCATGTACTTACTTTCAGCAACTGTTTTGATTGGACACACATCTGTTCTGATAAAAGTACCCATGCCACAGTAGATGTTTCAATTTTGCATATGACTCTTGTGTATATATAAAATAAATCCAAGCCATCCTTCAAAGGTGCAGCCCTACTTCATCATGTGTTTCTCTGAGTACCTCATGATTCAACGTCTTCATTACTAAGTCTTTATTATATGTTAATGTAATATTAGTATGACACAGGCCCCTGAAATTTTAAATTTTAGTCAGAAACCCTCCCATAGGTAGAATAAAGGTATCCTTCAAAATGAGAGATGAAGAGACAGAGAGAGATTGACTAAGTGAACGTAAAGTTCTATCATTTCTTCTTGTGAATCAAGATTGCTGTTGGTGGTAGTTTTTCCCAGCACAGCACATAAAGCTGTTCAGCATTTTGCTCATATCAACCTTTCACTCTGGATCTTTCTACCCTTCGTTAACAGGCATCAGTCATTCCTAACCACTAGAGACCTCTTTGTCTTTTTTGCTCTATTTGCAAGAACTCCCTTCTCTCTTTATGCTACCATGGAATCCTACACTTGAACACCTCAGAACAATTACATTTTATGGCTGTTGATTTGATTGCATGTTTTCCCTTTAAACTGGAAATTTCTCATCAATGGAAATTTTGATTTTCAAATTAGGTTTGCTTTTCAACCTACAACAGAATAGGCACTGCTCTATACATGTTTTCATAAGGAAATATGGAAGAAAGGAAAGATAGAAGAATGGAAAGGGGTGGAAAAAGAAATCAATATCTATATGTTGCAGAATTAAATCTGCAAGTAGTTGTGATTGATTTTTTCTGGGACTTATAATTTCTCAATTTGTGGTTGATAAAAAGAGTGAGATCAATTGTGTTACCTCAACCTGGAGACCAGTTCTATATCCACCTGTTCTACCAACTAAGAAAAACATCTCCAGAAACATGTGGATTATTGGATACACCAATCACACATAAATACTGAATTAGTAAGAGTCCTGAATTAGTAAAAGTCTCCAAATTAGTAAGGAGAATTTGGTCATTGTTTAGGTTAAAACATGATCACTTTTAGCTATTACACAGTATTTAGCAAAGGACTAGAAACGTGTCTTGAGGGAAGAGATGATAATTTAGTCATTATATTGTTTAATCTCTGGGCCTAGCACAGTGTCTGGATCATAGAAATGTGGTTTGGTTTGGTTTGGTTTGGTTTGGTTTGGTTTGGTTTGGTTTTTTGAGACAGGGTCTTTTTCTGCCACTCAGGCTGGAGTGCAGTATCATGAACATGGCTCACGGCAGCCTAGACCTCCTGGGCTCAAGTGATCTCTCCACCTCAGCTTCCTGAGTAGTAGCTGGGACTGCAGGTGTGCACCACCATGCCCAGCTAATTTTTAAAATTTTTTGTGGAGATGGGTGTCTCAATATGTTGCCCAGGCTGTTCTGAAACTCTTGGGCTCAAGTGATCCTCCTACCTCAGCCTCCCAAAATGCTGGCATTACAGGTAGGAGACACCATGCCCAGCTTGAATCTTTTAAATCAACATTTGGGTGAATATTAAAATGATGTTACATATTTTATGCTTATTGACTGGTTTCTGGTTTTGTTACCAAGTAGTTCTGTAATCTCTGCAAGCCCGTTTCCTCATCTGTGAAGAAGAATGAATATATGTCTACCTGCTTTTTTTATCCTGAAGATTATCAGGGTAATACACACACACACACACACATAAATGCTAACATGCTTAAGAAATGTGAGATACTATTAATGAACTGAAGTAAATAAACTAATTCTCCTTGTAAAGATAGCAATTTTCAGGGTACATAATAAGAAAGAATTGTTGGTAAATATTTCATAAGTTGAGGCTGAGGGAAATCTACCTTTTTCTCAGTTTTTGCCTTTCGAGCTATTCTTTTCATGCTGTATCATTTTTAATAACTCAGTTAAAAGTTGTCTTTTTAGAATGCCTTCTTATGGTGTTATGATCTGGCCTCACTTCGCGAATACTAATTGAAAGAGCCAAGATATGGTTACAGAAGGTCCAGATGAATGGAGATGTGTCACTAGCAGAACAGAGTTGACTTTCTCCATGGGAATCTATCCCTGAAACAAAGGGACTGTCACTTCAATGACCCATGAGCCTCAGTTAGTCACTAAGCAGACATATTTGAGAAACATGCCTTATCAATTACTTCAGGAAATAAGTATTTTTAAAAAATGAAAATTTATTAACTTATATCTGATTGGATGCAGTACTTTAAAATTTATCATCAGAAAACTACCCTGCGACTGTTGGTTTATTCATTTGGTTTAGCATAGCTCTAAAGAAGATAAAGTTGTGGGTTAAGTTCCTGAACAAATACCTTCACATTTTCTCAAGAAGTAAGACATCCTCTCTGTGTATATCTGATATTAATCAAAGGAGAAATCAGGATGAGAATAAGAATGGTTATGGAAAACCGGTTGCCGCTTGGAAAGGGAATGGGGAAAAAAATCCTCTCTAAGTTCTTCCTTTGTTCCAGGCACTAGCCTTGGTGATATATCTACATTCTTTCATTTAATCCCTTTAGGGGAGAAATCTGAATCTTCATACTACGGAGTGGAAAATCCGGGCTTAGTGAGCCCAATTAACTTGCCTAAGGTAACTCGTCTGCTAAGTGCCAGAGCAGATACGGAAACAAGTTGTGTTGGACCCTTGCTATAGTAATACAGTGTTACAGCTTACGCAGGACATTTTACTTTTGCCCCCAGAACTTTTCTCTAGCTTCTCCATCTTTCTTACATCTGTAATGGACTGACCTCTAATGGACTACATTAAGGGACTCCCACACCATCTGGCTTTCATGTCAATATAAGCCTCAGGAAGACAAGGGAAAAAGGGAGACAGGAGCTGAAGGGTGGGTATTTATTACCTGCCTTTTTTCCTGTAATGTCTTCTTAGGACAGATATGTTCTTCAACAGAAGATCACTGCTTTTCTGAGGGTGGCCTGTTTACTGTGACACTGTCCTTGTGGATCCTGGTAACTTCTTCCTCTTGTTGCCCTTCAGGCATAGGGCTGATAATCACAGCTGCTTGACAGCTAATCCCAGGTTCCTCCCCTACTTACACTTCCTCTATACCAACCCACATCTTGGTAATTAGATCCTCCTGGAATTATTCTAAATTGTATCCTTCATTCCTTTTCTACTGGGACCCTGACTGATAAGGTGTATCTGGAATGTCCTCCTTGTATACAAAACTTGCATAAAAATAAAATGGCAAAGTAGATACTTTGTCCCAAATTCACAGAGCCACAATTTTGTTGCTAAATCTACGTATCTTGAAATGAATCAAAGTTTAAAACTGGTTGTGACTTAGGAACTCATAAGGAAGAATGACTGCTCTCCTAGAACGGTGTTCCGCAGACAAGAAGCATGCTGTGACTTTTAATCATGAAAAATGCATTCACTGCAGAAATTCAACACTAACTCCATGAAGTTTATGTAGAGAATGTTTTCAGTCAACAAAACATGTCAGAGCAGTGAGTAAAGTTTTAGAGGAAAGGCAGAGTTTGGGGATGCTGGGGGAAATACAAATTTAGGATCATACATTTTAAAATGTCAGTCTCAGACTCCAACAAATAAACGTATCCTTCAGGAGTTTACAATGAAGTAGGAAAATCATTTAAATTACTGTTAAATGTTTGTGATAATTACTTGCCCTGTAATAAAATCAAGTTCTTAAGAAACTCATTGGAAACTTTTTGTGGTTGGTTAAAAAAAAAAAAAAAACTTCTTAGCACAAACTATATGTTTCTTGGTGAAAAATGAAGGACTAAAGAGAAATGGTTCTTGGATAAGCTTATTTTTTCTTGTTTATTTCTTATTTTCTCTTTATTAAAAAAAGGCTCCAGATAAAGGCAAAAGAATTAAGTAACAATTATGAGAGCTTATTTGAAATACAATTATTAGTTTCAGGGCACCCCCATTAAGCAAAAAAAAAAAATGGTTTTAAGATATGCAGATTGCAATTCTAATTCACTTATTAAGGAATACGTATTTCTTTCCCTTTGAGGATTTAGACAAAGTCACATGCAGAGCTCCTTAAAGTTAAGAAGGAAAAATTTCTTTTCTTAGATTCATGTCAAGAAAGGTAATAATGTTTTTATACTTCTTAGAAATGGAACCACATGCTTTAGAGTCAGCCTGTTAGCGGTACATGGCACCAAAGTATGTTACAGCAGCAAATCTATACATATTTGCAGCAACCTCAGTTCGTGCCTCCTCAGAAGAAAGAATTGACTGAGTCAGAGTGGGAGATCAAGGCAAGTTTTAGAGCAGGAGTAGAAGCTTATTAAAAAGCTTTAGAGCAGGAATGGAAGGAAGTAAAGTACACTTGGAAGCACGCCATGTTGATTCCTCAAGAGGTCAAGTGTACTGTTTGACCTTTGACTTGGAGTTTTATATGTTGGCCTACTTTCAGGGTCTTGCATCTCTTCTCCCCTGATTCTTCCCTTGAGGTGGGCTGTCGACATGCACAGTGGCCAGCTGGCACATGGGAGGTGAGCATGCACAGTATGTTTACTAGAGTTGTACATGCTCACTTGTGGTGTTCTTCCCTTACCAGTTGAATGTCCTTACAAGGTCATACATTAGTTAAACTCTGCCACTTTGCCTCTTAATGCACATGCTTGAGCCCACGTGCCCAGCTCCTGAGATCTTATCAAGAAGCTTCTGATCATCAGTTTCAGGTTTTTCTACCTAATGGGAGACTGGCTTCCCCTGGAGCTGGTTGCAACCAATTATAATTTTGGTGAGGCAGTTAACAACTGCCTCACCATCACCTGATGGTCACCTGACATTCCTAGTGTGGGGGCTAAGGGATTCCTGTCCTGCCCTGCTCATGTCTGACTAGCTAACTACAGAAACAAGGCTACCTGAATTGGAATCCTGATTCTGTCCCTTATTGGTTGGTTGTCCTTGAATAAATTACAGAAACTCTGTGACTCAGTTTCTTTTCTGTATAATGGGTATGACACCATTAGTGAAAACTCCATAGCCCTGATGTGAGAATTAAATACAGTTACATGTATAAAGCATGTTACACAATTCTGGCACAAAGTAAGTATAAAATAAGTGTGAGCTAACATAGTTATCAAAGAGGGTGACCTCACTGGATTATGCTATTATCATCTTTTAGTAGAAAGAACTCTCCAGCTAGGTCTCTTGCCATTTTCTGTTCCATCCTGGCAGAAAAGTGCAGCTACACCTGACCTGTCCCATATCCTCAGATGATTGGCCACCTAAGGTCTTCAGCTGCTTGAGGACACTAACAATGTCTTTCTCATGTTGTTTATCCTTGTGTTTGACCTGAAATGAAGGATTACAAATAAGCCTGCATTAAGTTAATAAGCCTCCTAAAATGTCAAGCTAGCCTTTTATGTGTTTCTCCATTGGCTAGTTTGCCAGAATTTTGCTATCACAAATTATTTGGTGAGTGTTATCAATTTCTTTGACCTAAACAAACAAACAAACAAACAAACAAAAAACACGAAGAAACTAGAGTTGAAAAATATAAAGGATAAATAACATGATAAGGAAGAGGAATGGCATAGACAGTTCTAGCCCTTCAGTTACTCCCACTAGAATCATTTTTATGCATATGAGGTGCACATGAACCAGAAGGTACTGGTTCTTCAAAACCAGCCTGTGCGGGACTGCATTTGGGTGAGCTGACATCAGGCAGGTTGGGCTTTTGCTAAATTCCCTTTCTTAAAAAGCAGATCTTTTCCTGTTCACAGGTTTAACTGTTGTATGGATCCTTCCGCAAACTGGGTTTCAAAGTTAGAGGAGAGAATAGTGCATGAGATGCTTACCCTGCCTCTTGGACTAAATAGAGTGACTGTTGTTTATCCTCTCTTGAGGTGCGACTCTGTATTGTGAGATGCAGCAAATATTGCATTACAAATTTGAGACATTGCTGTGAATTGTTAATGTTGTATCCATCCCATACTTGGTGACTCTGCAAGGGTCTTATTTGCTCCCCACTTCCTGAGGAGGTAGCTGTGTTGCAGTGATTTTGTCCATCCAACTTAGCACTAGCCTGCAAGGTCTCTTGTGACATGAATAATGTCCCGGATAATCCGAACCACTGCAAGGCCCCACAATCAGCAGAGCATTTGTGGTCTTGGGGCTGGGCCTGAGTTCCGCCTGGGACTTAACTATGTAAATAAATGCTAGAAATGAGATTCAGAGAGCTTAATACTGCATTGGAAGAAAGGCTGGAGCCAGCCTAAGCTCCAGACAAGCTTTCACTCAGAACTGCAATAAAATTTGACCATTTCAACTTTTATTTCTCATTATTTGTCAGAAACGTGAAATAGTTTACTAAGAAAAAAGAAAACAAAGGAAAAGAGATGAGAAAAGACTAGTCCATATCCTGTCTGAAATCCTGTTCAGAGGATTTGCTGCAAAGGCGTTCCAGCTTCAAATAAGACTGATTAAAATAAAATTACTCAGTCTCCTGACCCATAGCAAATTTCATGAGCTGCAATTTGTCTAGCAGTTGAGCTGTGAGTACAATCTGATTGGCTATAATTTAAGTTTATAGTTCCTACTTTTTTTTTTCTCAAACACAGTAGAATCCAGTGATCCTGAAATAAAGAATTAGAAGGGAAAATGGAGGATTTAGTATAAGCTAAGAAGAAATGGAAAGAAAAAAATTAAAAATATGATAATACTGTTTGCTTTTCTAAAAGCTTGAATTTGCAATATCTCTGGAGCTTTGCAAGAGAAAAATGTCTTCGCATTTGCATTTATGCATTCCATCCTAAACTACCTAGCTGTTTTTGTCTTGCTAGATTGCCCTCCTTTTTTTTTTCTTTCTATAGTGTTTGTTTTCCTTCTCTTTGTTTCCATCTCTGATCTCTAGGTCTGTAAGTCATGAGAGTTTCCTATAGTGAAAATGCTGAAGACCCACAGAACTAAGAATCTGCAACGTAACACCAAGGGAAACTGGCTCTTTCTTTCCAGGATCTGCCACTTTCATCTCTTTGCAGAATTATCAGAACTCTTAGTGACAATGTAGTATCTTTCAAAGCCTGGAAAAGTACATTAAGCCACTCTGGCTGGAGGAAATTGTGGTAAATGCCTTTTTTTTTTTTTTTTTTTTTTTTTGAGACGGAGTCTTGCTCTGTTGCCCAGGCTGGAGTACAGTGGCGCGATCTGGGCTCACTGCAAGCTCCGCCTCTCGGGTTTACGCCGTTCTCCTGCTGCTCAGCCTCCCGAGTAGCTGGAACTACAGGCACCCGCCACCACGCCCGGCTAATTTTTTTGTATTTTTAGTAGAGACATGGTTTCACCGTGTTAGCCAGGATGGTCTCCATCTCCTGACCTCGTAATCCACCTACCTCGGCCTCACAAAGTGCTGGGATTACAGGCGTGAGCCACCGCGCCCCGCAGGCAAATGCCTTTGACTTCTTGTTGTCATCCAAGATGTTGGAACATCCAGAAAGAGAAATCCATGCTAAAGCAAAGAGAAATATCAGCTAACACGTAATTGTTTAATTTTCTCTTTTCCAAGCAAAACCACAGACTTGACAAATAGAATGAGCCCTCTTTGGCCTTAGAACATCAGTCCTGCCGTTCTGTCTCTGAGATGAGTTAGAGTAAGGTATCTGGTACAGAAGTTAGAGCAGAGAGACAATTTGGAATATAGGTGGGTGTTTTGATTTCTCAGTAATGCATCACTGTGACTGCAGAGGAATTATACACAGTTTTAGCAACAGAATTTCCACAATTCTTTATAAGGTATGGAGACATTCTGACTCTTCTCTACTCTTCTCTTACCGGACCTTACTTCCTAGCAGTGTGGGCCCAAAAGGCTTCCTTAGTTGTAGTGGCTAACAGCAGATGGATGTGGGCACCAGCTCAGTTAGCTGACCTCCTCCGGATACTACAATGTGGTGAGTTCTTATAAGGGGGGAATTGGCAAGGCCTTCCTTGTGTCTCAGGTAGAGACATTTGTGACATTTCTTCTGACAAGTACAGGCTTTTAAAGAAACAGCTCCAGTTTTATTTTATCACCGTAGAAGTATATGATACATAGTAGATGCTCAGTTACAGTCTGTAGCAAGGTGAATAAGAAAGCAGAGGCTCTACTGTAGATTGTGTGTCTCTCAATAGGGAGAGTCCCAAATTGGTCGACATACTTTTCATTGCCAGGGAGACTTAACAGACACCAGACAGCCTGCTTCCAGGACTTCTTTAAACCATCTATTTTTAGGAAAACAAAGTCTTGAGCTAGTCTGCCAGAACAATGGAGTTAGGAATTTCTTCCTCTTCACCTTTGCTTTCTAAATTAAGAGTCTGGTTCTATGGAAAGAAAACAGACTTTGAGTTTACTGTGAGCTAGGTCTGAATATTGGCCGTACAAGTTGCATGTTAACTTGGACAAATTGCTTTGCATCTCTGAGGCTTAGTTTTCTTTTCTACAAAATGAGAATAATAAAATCTACCTTGCAAGAATGTTAGGAGGATTAAATAAAATGAGGTATCTAAAACTCTTGGTACCTAGTAGGATCTTAATAAGTAGCATGGTTATGTTAGAAACTTACATGAAGAACACTTGGCACTTTTCTGCAGAAATCCCTCTCCTAATTCACTTCTTCTCATATATTGCTTAAGGCCACCTTTTTTAAAAAAGGAGAAATTTTATTGAACTACCAACGCTTATTCCAAAATATACAATCATGAGAGAGTCTAAAATGAGAATCAACCATTCTTATGTGTTCAGGATTGCTGTAGAGTCCCAATAATTTAATATTCAGGGGAACACGGAAAATTGATTCCAACTGCAAGTCATTTAACTTTTTTATTATGAAAAGATTCAAACCTATGCACAGGTAGATAATGAACCCTGTGTACCCATAAGCCATCTTCAGGTAGTATGGAAACCCAAACCCTGGTAACCTCATAGGATATTGAATTTCCTTCTCAAGTTAGTAAAGATGACCTATGCCCATATGCTTGTTCTATAGTTGAGAAAACTGAAGTTCATAGAGATTGTGATGTGTTCACAGTCTATTTCAACCTGAAAGGGAAGTCCAGCCTACGGCCCAGATCTGATGCCCACTGCACGGCATTTTTCTATTCTAACATTCCCTAATGGATAAGGGTGGAGAGAAGTGCCAAGAGGAAAATAAATCTGCTAGTTTGGTTAGTATCTCTTTGACTTTCCTCTTATTGAAATAATTCAAATTAGTTAATGGATTCTACATAAACAACCTATTTTCTAGAAAATTTTTACTTTATGTAACCCAAAAGATAATCCAGATTTAAAAGCAGACAGTTTCATATTACTTACATGCAAAAATGCGAAGATGAGGTGATACCAGTTCCCCTAATTAGATGATAGTTTGAGGGGAAATTTTTCTCAGTAGTTGTTTTCTTTAGTCAACGGGAATGGTAATGTCAGGTAAAAGAATTCCCTACTCCAGATCCCTGTTCATTACAAGGAGATGGATAGCTTTGGGCGGGAATGCTCGTTTTAGAGTTTTTAAAACCCAAGCGTGTTTTGGGTGTTGGTAAGATTGGACACCAGAGGGTGCTAAAGAGCTGCATAATTTATTTCTGGGCCTTTGCCCACCAAGTTTTCTTTTATTTATTTATTTATTTATTTATTTTTTTATTATACTTTAAGTTTTAGGGTACATGTGCACATTGTGCAGGTTAGTTACATCTGTATACATGTGCCATGCTGGTGCGCTGCACCCACTAACTTGTCATCTAGCATTAGGTATATCTCCCAGTGCTATCCCTCCCCCCTCTCCCCTCCCCACCACAGTCCCCAGAGTGTGATATTCCCCTTCCTGTGTCCATGTGATCTCATTGTTCAATTCCCACCTATGAGTGAGAATATGCGGTGTTTGGTTTTTTGTTCTTGCGATAGTTTACTGAGAATGATGGTTTCCAATTTCATCCATGTCCCTACAAAGGACATGTACTCATCATTTTTTATGGCTGCATAGTATTCCATGGTGTATATGTGCCACATTTTCTTAATCCAGTCTATCATTGTTGGACATTTGGGTTGGTTCCAAGTCTCCTTGTGAATAATGCTGCAATAAACATACGTGTGCATGTGTCTTTATAGCAGCATGATTTATAGTCCTTTGGGTATATACCCAGTAATGGGATGGCTGGGTCAAATGGTATTTCTAGTTCTAGATCCCTGAGGAATCGCCACACTGACTTCCACAATGGTTGAACTAGTTTACAGTCCCACCAACAGTGTAAAAGTGTTCCTGTTTCTCCACATCCTCTCCAGCACCTGTTGTTTCCTGAATTTTTAATGATTGCCATTCTAACTGGTGTGAGATGATATCTCATAGTGGTTTTGATTTGCATTTCTCTGATGGCCAGTGATGATGAGCATTTTTTCATGTATTTTTTGGCTGCATAAATGTCTTCTTTTGAGAAGTGTCTGTTCATGTCCTTCGCCCACTTTTTGATGGGGTTGTTTGTTTTTTTCTTGTAAATTTGTTTGAGTTCATTGTAGATTCTGGATATTAGCCCTTTGTCAGATGAGTAGGTTACGAAAATTTTCTCCCATGTTGTAGGTTGCCTGCTCACTCTGATGGTAGTTTCTTTTGCTGTGCAGAAGCTCTTTAGTTTAATGAGATCCCATTTGTCAATTTTGGCTTTTGTTGCCATTGCTTTTGGTGTTTTGGACATGAAGTCCTTGCCCATGCCTATGTCCTGAATGGTAATGCCTAGGTTTTCTTCTAGGGTTTTTATGGTTTTAGGTCTAACGTTTAAATCTTTAATCCATCTTGAATTGATTTTTGTATAAGGTGTAAGGAAGGGATCCAGTTTCAGCTTTCTACATATGGCTAGCCAGTTTTCCCAGCACCATTTATTAAATAGGGAATCCTTTCCCCATTGCTTGTTTTTGTCAGGTTTGTCAAAGATCAGATAGTTGTAGGTATGCGGCATTATTTCTGAGGGCTCTGTTCTGTTCCATTGATCTATATCTCTGTTTTGGTACCAGTACCATGCTGTTTTGGTTACTGTAGCCTTGTAGTATAGTTTGAAGTCAGGTAGTGTGATGCCTCCAGCTTTGTTCTTTTGGCTTAGGATTGACTTGGCGATGCGGGCTCTTTTTTGGTTCCATATGAACTTTAAAGTAGTTTTTTCCAATTCTGTGAAGAAAATCATTGGTAGCTTGATGGGGATGGCATTGAATCTGTAAATTACTTTGGGCAGTATGGCCATTTTCACGATATTGATTCTTCCTACCCATGAGCATGGAATGTTCTTCCATTTGTTTGTATCCTCTTTTATTTCCTTGAGCAGTGGTTTGTAGTTCTCCTTGAAGAGGTCCTTCACATCCCTTGTAAGTTGGATTCCTAGGTATTTTATTCTGTTTGAAGCAATTGTGAATGGGAGTTCACTCATGATTTGGCTCTCTGTTTGTCTGTTGTTGGTGTATAAGAATGCTTGTGATTTTTGTACATTGATTTTGTATCCTGAGACTTTGCTGAAGTTGCTTATCAGCTTAAGGAGATTTTGGGCTGAGACGATGGGGTTTTCTAGATAAACAATCATGTCGTCTGCAAACAGGGACAATTTGACTTCCTCTTTTCCTAATTGAATACCCTTTATTTCCTTCTCCTGCCTGATTGCCCTGGCCAGAACTTCCAACACTATGTTGAATAGGAGCGGTGAGAGAGGGCATCCCTGTCTTGTGCCAGTTTTCAGAGGGAATGCTTCCAGTTTTTGCCCATTCAGTATGATATTGGCTGTGGGTTTGTCATAGATAGCTCTTATTATTTTGAAATACGTCCCATCAATACCTAATTTATTGAGAGTTTTTAGCATGAAGGGTTGTTGAATTTTGTCAAAGGCTTTTTCTGCATCTATTGAGATAATCATGTGGTTTTTGTCTTTGGCTCTGTTTATATGCTGGATTACATTTATTGATTTGCGTATATTGAACCTGCCTTGCATCCCAGGGATGAAGCCCACTTGATCATGGTGGATAAGCTTTTTGATGTGCTGCTGGATTCAGTTTGCCAGTATTTTATTGAGGATTTTTGCATCAATGTTCATCAAGGATATTGGTCTAAAATTCTCTTTTTTGGTTGTGTCTCTGCCCGGCTTTGGTATCAGAATGATGCTGGCCTCAGAAAATGAGTTAGGGAGGATTCCCTCTTTTTCTATTGATTGGAATAGTTTCAGAAGGAATGGTACCAGTTACTCCTTGTACCTCTGGTAGAATTCGGCTGTGAATCCATCTGGTCCTGGACTCTTTTTGGTTGGTAAACTATTGATTATTGCCACAATTTCAGCTCCTGTTATTGGTCTATTCAGAGATTCAACTTCTTCCTGGTTTAGTCTTGGGAGAGTGTATGTGTCGAGGAATGTATCCATTTCTTCTAGATTTTCTAGTTTATTTGCGTAGAGGTGTTTGTAGTATTCTTTGATGGTAGTTTGTATGTCTGTGGGATCGGTGGTGATATCCCCTTTATCGTTTTTTATTGTGTCAATTTGATTCTTCTCTCTTTTTCTTTATTAGTCTTGCTAGCGGTCTATCAATTTTGTTGATCCTTTCAAAAAACCAGCTCCTGGATTCATTGATTTTTTGAAGGGTTTTTTGTGTCTCTATTTCCTTCAGTTCTGCTCTGATTTTAGTTATTTCTTGCCTTCTGCTAGCTTTTCAATGTGTTTGCTCTTGCTTTTCTAGTTCTTTTAATTGTGATGTTAGGGTGTCAATTTTGGATCTTTCCTGCTTTCTCTTGTGGGCATTTAGTTCTATAAATTTCCCTCTACACACTGCTTTGAATGCGTCCCAGAGATTCTGGTATGTTGTCTTTGTTCTCGTTGGTTTCAAAGAACATCTTTATTTCTGCCTTCATTTCGTTATGTACCCAGTAGTCATTCAGGAGCAGGTTGTTCAGTTTCCATGTAGTTGAGCGGTTTTGAGTGAGTTTCTTAATCCTGAGTTCTAGTTTGATTGCACTGTGGTCTGAGAGATAGTTTGTTATAATTTCTGTTCTTTTACATTTGCTGAGGAGAGCTTTACTTCCAACTATGTGGTCAGTTTTGGAATAGGTGTGGTGTGGTGCTGAAAAAAATATATATTCTGTTGATTTGGGGTGGAGAGTTCTGTAGATGTCTATTAGGTCCGCTTGGTGCAGAGCTGAGTTCAATTCCTGGGTATTCTTGTTGACTTTCTGTCTCGTTGATCTGTCTAATGTTGACAGTGGGGTGTTAAAGTCTCCCATTATTAATGTGTGGGAGTCTAAGTCTCTTTGTAGGTCACTCAGGACTTGCTTTATGAATCTGGGTGCTCCTGTATTGGGTGCATATATATTTAGGATAGTTAGCTCTTCTTGTTGAATTGATCCCTTTACCATTATGTAATGGCCTTCTTTGTCTCTTTTGATCTTTTTTGGTTTAAAGTCTGTTTTATCAGAGACTAGGATTGCAACCCCTGCCTTTTTTTGTTTTCCATTTGCTTGGTAGATCTTCCTCCATCCTTTTATTTTGAGCCTATGTGTGTCTCTGCATGTGAGATGGGTTTCCTGAATACAGCACACTGATGGGTCTTGACTCTTTATCCAACTTGCCAGTCTGTGTCTTTTAATTGGAGAATTTAGTCCATTGACATTTAAAGTTAATATTGTTATATGTGAATTTGATCCTGTCATTATGATGTTAGCTGGTTATTTTGCTCGTTAGTTGATGCAGTTTCTTCCTAGTCTCGATGGTCTTTACATTTTGGCATGATTTTGCCGCGGCTGGTACCGGTTGTTCCTTTCCATGTTTAGCGCTTCCTTCAGGAGCTCTTTTAGGGCAGGCCTGGTGGTGACAAAATCGGTCAGCATTTGCTTGTCTGTAAAGTATTTTATTTCTCCTTCACTTATGAAGCTTAGTTTGGCTGGATATGAAATTCTGGGTTGAAAATTCTTTTCTTTAAGAATGTTGAATATTGGCCCCCACTCTCTTCTGGCTTGTAGGGTTTCTGCCGAGAGATCCGCTGTTAGTCTGATGGGCTTCCCTTTGAGGGTAACCCTACCTTTCTCTCTGGCTGCCCTTAACATTTTTTCCTTCATTTCAACTTTGGTGAATCTGACAATTATGTGTCTTGGAGTTGCTCTTCTTGAGGAGTATCTTTGTGGCGTTCTCTGTATTTCCTGAATCTGAACGTTGGCCTGCCTTGCTAGATTGGGGAAGTTCTCCTGGATAATATCCTGCAGAGTGTTTTCCAACTTGGTTCCATTCTCTGCATCACTTTCAGGTACACCAATCAGACGTAGATTTGGTCTTTTCACATAGTCCCATATTTCTTGGAGGCTTTGCTCATTTCTTTTTATTCTTTTTTCTCTAAACTTCCCTTCTCGCTTCATTTCATTCATTTCATCTTCCATTGCTGATACCCTTTCTTCCAGTTGATCGCATCGGCTCCTGAGGCTTCTGCATTCTTCACGTAGTTCTCGAGCCTTGGTTTTCAGCTCCATCAGCTCCTTTAAGCACTTCTCTGTATTGGTTATTCTAGTTATACATTCTTCTAAATTTTTTTCAAAGTTTTCAACTTCTTTGCCTTTGGTTTGAATGTCCTCCCGTAGCTCAGAGTAATTTGATCGTCTGAAACCTTCTTCTCTCAGCTCGTCAAAGTCATTCTCCATCCAGCTTTGTTCCGTTGCTGGTGAGGAACTGCATTCCTTTGAAGGAGGAGAGGCGCTCTGCGTTTTAGAGTTTCCAGTTTTTCTGTTCTGTTTTCTCCCCATCTTTGTGGTTTTATCTACTTTTGGTCTTTGATGATGGTGATGTACAGATGGGTTTTCGGTGTGGATGTCCTTTCTGTTTGTTAGTTTTCCTTCTAACAGACAGGACCCTCAGCTGCAGGTCTGTTGGAATACCCTGCCGTGTGAGGTGTCAGTGTGCCCCTGCTGGGGGGTGCCTCCCAGTTAGGCTGCTCAGGGGTCAGGGGTCAGGGACCCATTTGAGGAGGCAGTCTGCCCGTTATCAGATCTCCAGCTGCGTGCTGGGAGAACCACTGCTCTCTTCAAAGCTGTCAGACAGGGACATTTAAGTCTGCAGAGGTTACTGCTGTCTTTTTGTTTGTCTGTGCCCTGCCCCCAGAGGTGGAGCCTACAGAGGCAGGCAGGCCTCCTTGAGCTGTGGTGGGCTCCACCCAGTTCGAGCTTCCTGGCTGCTTTGTTGACCTAAGCAAGCCTGGGCAATGGCGGGCGCCCCTCCCCCAGCCTGGCTGCCGCCTTGCAGTTTGATCTCAGACTGCTGTGGTAGCAATCAGCGAGACTCCGTTGGCGTAGGACCCTCCGAGCCAGGTGTGGGATATAGTCTCGTGGTGCGCCGTTTTTTAAGCCGGTCTGAAAAGCGCAATATTCGGGTGGGAGTGACCCGATTTTCCAGGTGCCGTCCGTCACCCCTTTCTTTGACTCGGAAAGGGAACTCCCTGACCCCTTGCGCTTCCCAGGTGAAGCAATGCCTCACCCTGCTTCGGCTCGCGCACGTTGCGCACACCCACTGGCCTGTGCCCACTGTCTGGCACTCCCTAGTGAGATGAACCCGGTACCTCAGATGGAAATGCAGAAATCACCCGTCTTCTGCGTTGCTCACGCTGGGAGCTGTAGACCGGAGCTGTTCCTATTCGGCCATCTTGGCTCCTCCTCGCCCACCAAGTTTTCTATGGTAATGGGGTCGTCTGGTGTTGAGAGAAGAGGTTGGGTATATTTGGTGTGAGGGGGTGTGTTCCCTGGCTCAAGGCTTTGTTGGTGGTGTACACCCACCTGGAGCCACAGGCCACATTAATGGACCGCAGTTGGGCCATGCTCTTGTTGCTGCTGACTTCACTGTTGGTTTGGTCAATCCCATTGATTGTAAGAGTCAACTGTTAAAAATAGAATCAATGGTGCTACCACCAGCTCACTAGCCATTTACAGGCAGTCATAAATACTGAAAATGACTGCCCAGAGGCTGAGCTTCCAGGCTTCTTTTAGCTTTACTTTGAATTTGCTGCTTCTCGCTACATCAGCAGAAGAGAGTACTTGAAAGAGCTGAAAACAGCCCAAGCTGCTTAAGTCTCTCAAGAAAGGAATTATTAATTAAACGTCAACTCCTGTGCATTAAGCTTCTTTTGAAAACCTTTCCTAAATTCATGAGATTTCAGGTTTGGTGCTTTTGACCTGCTCCGCATTCCCGGTACCCACCCTTCTGCTTCTCAAGGACAGATGACCCCCTTTTTACCTATGAGATCAGGTCCATCTTCTCACTTGAATGTAATTACTGAATGTTTACAATGGTGCTCAGCACCACAGAGAGTGCAAATAATAACATATTCTGACCTCAAGGACCTAACAATGACGTAAACATAGGAAAACATGCACTGAGCAATAAAGACTCTTTTACAAGCTGCTGGTTTGGTTGGTGTCACAATGTGACACAAAACTTAGTCTATCTTTTTATTACTTGTTAAGTCGAATATGAAATAATAGTTTACAGTTTCTTCAAATAATAGAAATATTTATTTAATCTTTTCATTATATTTTGTCCATTTATCTTACCCTTTTTGCAACAGATTTATTTTCTTTTCCTCTTTCTATAGGAGCATGAATAAATATGTTTCCCTTGGACATGTCTGTTTGCTCCTGGACAATACCATGGTGTTCAAATTATTGTGGCATTACCATATGCTTATAAATAGCAAACATTTCACAAGAGATGCATATTTTGCAAAGTTTTGAAAGAAATAACCAATTTTAAAAAACTTAGGAGGCCAAATTTTTACAAATTACTCTAATAAATTTCTAAATTTTCTCTGTGGTTGAGTGTTTTTTTTTTTTTTTTTTTTTTTTTTTTTTTGAGAGAGAGTCTCACTCTGTCACCCAGGCTAGAGTGCAGTGGCGCGATCTCGACTCACTGCAAGCTCCACCTCCCAGGTTCATGCCATTCTCCTGCCTCAGCCTCCCGAGTAGCTGGGACTACAGGTGCCCCCCCCACCACGCCCAGCTAATTTTTTGTATTTTTAGTAGAGACGGGGTTTCACCGTGTTAGCCAGGATGGTCTCAATCTCCTGACCTTGTGATCCACCCGCCTCGGCCTCCCAGAGTGCTGGGATTACAGGTGTGAGCCACTGTGCCCAGCAGTATGGTTGAGTTTTATTTTTTCATTTAAAAAATCAATTTTGATGTCAATTTTGTCATTTCCATTTTCCTAGTACATTATCATAGTTATTCATATTTCCAACATAATTTTCATAGGATTTGATGAATTTCTTTCTTTTGACTAGTTTAATTAATTAAATCTATGCTGTCTTTCTTTTTGATAATTCTTACATTTATGTACTATTAGGTTTTAACACTTATTGTTGGACAAATTGGAAATTTCTGTATTTTTTTTCTCTATGCAAAGAACCTCTTTCCGGTTAATTTATGTATCAACTTTAATTTTCAAAAATTTATAATTAGTGCTAGCACTTCTATTAAACTTATTAGTTTTTTTGTTTAGCAATAATTGCACTTTTATGAAATTCTATAGTTTATTTCAAGAGCTTTATTGAGGCATAATTGACTATTTATATTTAAAGTATACAGTAAGGCATTTGACATGTTGTGACATAAGTATAAACCTGTGAAGCCATTACCACAGTCAAAATAATAAACATATCTATCCTTTCAAAAACTGCCCTTATGCTTCTATATCCCATTGCATTTCTTTCCTTCTGCTTTTCCCCATACTCTATTGTTTATCTCTAGGTAATCACTGATCCACTCTCTGTCACTTTACATGTCCTAGAACTTCATGTAAGTAGATCATACAGTATGTTCCTCTTTTTGCTTTTTTTCACTCAGTATAATTATTTTGAGATTCATCTATGTTGTGGCATGTATCAGTTATTTATTTCTTATTATTACTGAATAGTATCCTAATGTATGTATATATTGCAGTTTGTTTATCTATCCATTCATCTGTTGAGGGACATTTATGTTGTTTCTAGTTTGGATTGTTACAAATAAAGATGCTATGAGCATTCATGTACCCATTATAGACACAAGCTTTCATTTTTCTTGGGTAATTACTTAGAAATAAAATGGCTGAATAATATGTTAAATAATTTTTTTTAACTTTTTAAGAAATTGCCAAAGTTCCAAATGATTGAATTACTAAAAATCACCTCAACAGTGTTCAAGAGTTTCAGTTCCTCCATATATTCAACAACACTTTGTATGCTCATTTTTTTAAACTTTGGCTATTTTAATAAGTGAATAGTATTTCACTGTGGCTTCCATTTGCATGAAATTCTACATTTTTATGTGCCCTAGATATTCTGTGATTTTTTGAGATAATAATTATTAAAGAAAATGAAAAATTCCTAAAGTTAGATGTTTATTCATTCTTATTAGATTATAATTGTCATGTAATATGCTAAGACTATAATTTGCAATATTATTAATGGGGATGATAATGGTATTTACTTCAGCTGACATGATAGAGTCATGAACCTAAATATGATAATTATATAAATCACTTAGCACAGTGCTAGAAACATAGAATCACATAAGAATGGTTTCTGTAATTGCTATACTTATGGAATACTCTTAAGGGTAAATCTATCTTGCTTATAATGGGGCATTGAAGAGAAAGAACTGAATAATGTGAGAGGAACCCTAAATTGCCAATCTTGAGATTGGTTATTCTATATTTATTTGTTGATAGATAACCCCAGAATATGTCTCAACAAGACTCTCAACACTATTCCCATTCTCTTGAAAGATTAGCTTCAGTGTTACACGAAGAACCATCTGCCTTCAAGCATCCTAGAGTCCTTGGATTCCATATTTAAATTTCATTTAGAATGGTAAAAGAGTCATAAAATAATACTTGCATAAAGGTAATGACAAAAATTGATATGCAAAGTATCACTTGTTGAGTGTTAAAATATCCAAAACTGAAAACCATAAACCTGTTCATTTAAAAATTACAACTGCTCATTCATTTTGTTATTTGTATTTTTCCAACAGCCAGGACTCCTCAGCATACATATATAAGAGATGATAAGTATCTAAGGAGAGTAATTATTATCTAATAAAATCACAAATTTTGATAACACAAGTAACCGATTTTTAGACAATTGGGCCATTAAGAAATGGTAGAGATAGCAGTAGAAATAACTATTGCTCAGTCAGCATCAGTGAGGAATCTATAAATCTTGATGGGGTTAAAAAACTCTATTTTTTGTAATCCCAGCACTTTGGGAGGCTGAGGGGGGGGTGGATCATGAGGTCAGGAGATCGAGACCATCCTGGCTAACATGGTGAAACCCCGTCTCTACTAAAAATACAAAAAATTAGCCTGTAGTCCCAGCTAGTCAGGAGGCTGAGGCAGGAGAATGGCGTGAACCCGGGAGGTGAAGCTTGCAGTGAGCTAAGATCACGCCACTGCACTCTAGCCTGGGCGACAGAGTGAGACTCAGTCTAAAAAAACGAACAAACAAACCAACAAAAAAACCCCTCTATTTTTTTAATGACAACCTAGACTACTTATGAGTACCCGAGAGTTAATCATTATATCCACTTAGGAGGCCTTGCCCAAGTCAGACAGAAATTCTAGGCCTCAGTTTCCTCATTATTAAAATGTTGATGTACTTACATGGTGTCTACATACCCTTAAAGCTCTTATAGTTTATGATTGTGTGGGCTTATGAGCCCTCCTTTTAGATAAGAGTTGAAAAAAGTTCATGACTTGGATAGAATTACTTATTCCTACAATTTGGAATAGTGGCCAGGAAGTGTAGTCCTTTAGAGGGAAATCTATAAAGAAATCCTGGAAGAATTGGGTCATTTAGCCTTGAGAAAATACTCAGGGAAGGTTTCTTAGGATCTCCTGAGGCATTTTCTCAGGATCTAAGCCAGAAGTCTTTGCTGCTTCCTGTTTAGGCCATCTATAAAGGAAGTCATTAATATAGCCTGGTGACAGCTTTCTTTCTGCCTTACTGAGGCTGCCAAATGTTTGTGGAATACACTTTCCCGTATGTTTCCCTGGATCTGGGAGACAGGAGGTGTAAGTTCGTGAATCACTGAATATGAGGATTCTTACTGAACAAAAAGAAGGAACCCTTTTGACTAAACCCAGAAGAGCCTGGGCCAATAAACAAAACCTTAATTAATGTAGAAAAATATGTCTCTACTTTTGAATATGTGCATCGGAGTCTTTGTTCAGTTAGACAGTGGATTATACCACTGAGATCTGGACTGCCCTGATGTTACACACACACGCGCACATACAACTACTATTATTGTAGTAACAACTCTTCTCATAGTGAACACCTTGATGCATTTAACCATCCCCCTCAGAATATTTATTCCTTTATCCATTTCACAAATGTCCTTTCAGAGCATACTATATAGCCCACACTAGCCTAAGCACCTAGGATATTGGCAAGCAAAAAACACATGTTAATTGTACTCTTAAAGCTTATGTGCAGGAAAGGTAATGACTAAACTTTTGCACAATTTAATGTAAAATTATTATAAAAATGTTGTAAATGTAAATGGAATGGTGCTACAAGTGTCTAATAGAGGGAACCACCCTAGGGATACAAAACTTCATGAAGTAATGTTTGCAGTGTGTTCTGAAGGCTAAGCAGAAGTTACGGTGAAACAGAAAGGAGACTATTCCAAGCAGATGGAACAAGATGTTCTAGGATCCTGCAATAAGAGGGTGATTTAATTAACCCAGTGTGTGTGGCAGACATTAGATGCTAGCCAGTACCCATTCATTCACTCATTCCAAGTGTCCACCATGTGCTTAAATGTAGGCACTGTAGTCTGTGCTGGGAACAGGGTGATGAAAATGAAAGACTGGGTTTGCGACATCATGAAAATTTTAATCTAGGAAAAACATACCTATTAAATTAAGTCAAATGGAAAATAGGTTAAGTTATAATTATGAGAAATCTCAAAATGAATATTACAGAATACCCTGATGTGGGCATGTGGCACAGTTGTGATATGGAATAGAAAGAATTCTTTGGTGAAATGACATTTAAGTTGAAGCCTGCAAGATAAAGAAAAAAGAGTTGATTATTCCAAAAGCAAGAAGAATAGCTGTTAGGAAGGGAAACTTACTGATTCAAAATTGCTGAGACAAGAAATACCTTGGTGCATAAGTGGAAAAGAAAGATGGTCAGGGCAGCTGGAGAAGGTCAAGAGAGCTCATCTGACCTTGAGAGTCATGGTAAGGTCTCTATTTTAGAGGCACTAAGCAAC
The DNA here is from genome assembly GCF_000001405.40 of Homo sapiens. NCBI lineage: Eukaryota > Metazoa > Chordata > Mammalia > Primates > Hominidae > Homo > Homo sapiens. Next base: position 39,559,997 of record NC_000018.10, on the reverse strand, counting down.
CACTGAAATAGTTTAGAGGACAGAAGAAAGCAGATATAATGAGATTTATGTTTTCAGAATATTTTATGAGTGCTTTGTGGAAAATTTGTTAAAGGTAGGCAGCTATGGAATAGGTGAGCAGAGTGGAGGCTATTGAAGTTATCTAGGTGAAAGAGGAAGGTAACTCAGAATAGAGATGTTGAGCAGGAGTGAATCTGATGTATGTTTAGAAAGCTGATCCAACTTGATTTGGACACCATGACCCAGATCTAGGCCCCCTTTTGCCAACACAAATAGATGACAGCATGTATCACATTCATTGAGCTCTCTCCATCATAGTATTACACACTGGAAAGGTAATTTTCCTATCAGTTATTGCTCAGTGAGTAAATATATTGTGCTTCATTACAGAAGTGTCTTGCAAACATGCTTATATTAGTGTGCTAAATTAAGTCATATTGTGCCCTACCTCTTTTAAATAGAAAATACGTTTTATGAGTAGAGATCAATAACGCTATAGAACATGTTTAAAAAGTAATGTGTTTGATTATAAACATCTTCCATAAAACAAAAAGAATATGTTTCTATTTCAATAAAAAGAATTTAGGTCAGAGACCGAAGAGTACTCTGATGAGAATTTTTAAAAATTCAATAGTTAAAGGAAGTAGGTTAAAAAGATACTGAGTCATGAAATGGGCTAAAGACCTTAAAAACATCCAGTGCCACTGCATGGGGCTCTGCAAATTGTTCATCATAATTTTCATGATTGGCCCCTCTTAGAGTGGGGCAATATGCAACTTGCCCAGATATTTGTGGCTATCCTGTTCTGGCTGTGCCCTATGACAGATCCACCTGTTAAATCTTCTGATTTCAAAAGGTTGGACTATATTGCCAGTACATGCCAATCTAGCTCTACAATTCTGTGATTCCAACCCAGTATTTCTGTAGTTGAATATAGGCAGCTTCTTAAGGTGTTCCAGATGTATTTTCTATCTAGGTGTGGAGAAGACTTCTGTTCATTCATATGTTCTTCTAAAAGTAATTTTAGCCAGTGTGGGAGATTTAGTGAAACTGAACATCAGACTTACTTACATTAGTAAACCTCAGCACAACCTCACTTTATAATCCTGTGGCTCATTCAGGTATGCTTTGTCTCTCTGAGTCCTAGATTAGCAAGTGTTTACATGATGAGGTGTCAGTAAATCTGCCAACACAAAAATGTGCAATCCTCAATCCTTGAACTCAGTTTTCCATACAACTTGACAAGAGGTTTGCTATGAGACCAAAATATATTTTCAGCTGTTACAGACAGCCCTTAAACATTTGCAGCTTGATGCAGTTGAATATTCACACTGTGTTTTTAATTAGGCTAATGTGTGCTTGCTCCAATGTATAATAAAAGACATAATCCATAATTATAACCCCTTTGCACTGCTTCCTGTCAGAGGAATTGGTAAAAAAAAAAAATAAAAAGTTCTTGTTCTCTCTTTCAATTTGTTAATGGGATTATGATGAGCAAAAAGGGCCTGATTACCATGGCCGAGCAGACACGTCTCAGCAAGGTGAAAGGATTAATACTACAGGTCATCAGTAATTTAAAGATGTCAATTGCCAAGCTCGTCTATGGGATTCTGAGAAACCAGAGGATCTAGAAAATGTTTGCTCCTGAGAGGCAAGCACGTTAGTCACCCTTAATAAGTTCAGAGAGAAAAAGTGTCCTCCCACAACTCTGCAATTCAAAACTATGCACCAATCAAAGAGAACTGTTCCAATCATGAAGCTACATATCAGAGAGAAAAAATAAAAGTGAAAAAGAAAATTGCTTCGCAATGAATAAAGTTTAGAACATATTCTATGTAATGTATTCTATCTTGATCTTCATAATGGCTCTTAGCATTTATTATAATATACTTTTATTATTATTATTATTATTATACTTTAAGTTTTAGGATACATGTGCACAACATGCAGGTTTGTTACATATGTATACATGTGCCATATTGGTGTGCTGCACCCATTAACTCGTCATTTAGCATTAGGTTTATCTCCTAATGCTATCCCTCCCACCTCCCCCCTATAATATACTGTTATTTGTCTTTTCTTGTGTAAGATTTTTTCCTCCCAAATGGATTTTAGACTCCAAAAAGGAGCAGTACTCAGCATGTAGCACTGGACATTGCTGTCTGTGGGTGCAGCACACATGCTTATTGATGGTTATAATGAGAGTAAACTCTAAGTTTTTATAGATATATAGCCCAGGAAAGGTCATTTAAGTTAATCTTAGTAGACTTTAGGGGTAGCTATATTAGGCTGTTCTTATGTTGCTATAAAGCAACACCTAAGGCTGGGTAATTTATTTAAAAAGTTTAATTAGCTTACAGTTCTGCAGGCTGTACAAGCATGGTACCAGCATCTGCTCAGCTTCTGGTGAGGACCTCAGGAAACTTCTACCCATGGCAGAAGGAGAGGCAACAGGAGCATGTCACATGGTTGAGAGGGAGCAAGAGAGGGGGACAAGTGCCACACACTTTTAAACAAGGAGATCTCTGGTGAACTCACTCATCATCACCAAAGGAATGGCACTAAGCCATTCATGAGGGATCCACCCCTGTGATCCAGACACCTCCCCCTGAGCTCCGCCTCCAACACTAGGGATTATATTTCATCATGAGATTTGAAGGGCCAAATATCCAAACTAGATCAGTAGCTTTGTTTTTTAAAAGAAATGTATAAAATTAAAGTTTCATGAACGATAATACAAAGTATTTAATCTTATGTCTTTTGCCATATACGTTTTTGTCCTCTGGATTCTTTGAATAAAGAAATAGTGGCGGTCAGGTGCAGTGGTGTGTGTCTGTAGTCTCAACTACCTAGGTAGCTGAGGCAGGAGGATCGCTTGAGCCCAGGAGTTTGAGACCAGATTGGGCATCACAGCGAGACCCCATCTCTAAAAACGAAAGACAGAAAGGAAAGAAAGAAGCTACTGAGGATGCTTACCTACTTCATAATTATTACAACCTCGTGTTCCACAAGGATGACATGATGATGCCAGCAGTCTTGGGATGGGTAGAATTGGTGTCCAGAGTCTCAAAAACAGAATCAAAACAAAAATTATCCTATTCTCAATATAAACCAAAATCTATTCCCCAATTGGTTAGGAGAGAGAAAATTCTAAACCCCTGTACAAATTATTTTGTTAAATGATGTCCCCTTTTCCCAGTAACTGAGATGACTTTCTTATTAGGCTAGAGGACAGCAAGGGGGTGAAGGGAAGCCAGCTGGAAGCCTCTGTTTATGCTATGTGAAGGAGAGCATGATGTACACTGGAGATGAATGAGTACAGACAAGCTAAACACTGGTTCTTTGGAGTATAAGTTTTAAACCATTTCTATTTCAGTAAATAAAATTCTGAAAATAAAAATAAAAGAGCAGTAATTTAAATATCTTAAAGCCAATAAACCAAGCAGGTTATATTTTATTGATTCTGACACTTTATAAGTAGTAATAGTTCTTTTTTCTAGGACTGTTTTTCAGTTTCCTTTGATGTATCTTTGTTGTCTTAGAGGAAAATAAAAGTGCAAAATTGTGTGGGGTTTTTTTGCATTAATTTTGTCAATACTGTCTGTTCTCTTTATTACACAATATAAGAACAATTTAGCCATTTTTAAAAAGAAAGTTACACTAACAATTTTAGGTTATTGGCTTTCTTAAAAAAAAAAAAGTTGAGGGACCTAATAAGGAAATACATTTTATTACATTTGTTATTGATGCTATAAAACACAATTTTAACAGCCAGAAAATGCAATGCAATTGATCATATGTTAGAACTGCATTAATTTGAGTTACTGTATTTTTCATATGTAATTTGAAATTATGTATAGACATAAAAATGTCTTATTGCATGGTATAAATCTATGCATTACTATTTCATTACATTAAATTAAAATCATGTCTATAAGAGATTTTCCCTAAATTCTCTAGTATCTGACATAATTTCCTGGAGGACGCTTTCTTAGACTGAACTGACCACGGTCTATTACTTGGGGTAATTTTCTTCACAGTTCCAGCTTTGGTCTATAGTTTGCTGCTTTTGACCTATTGCTTCTAGAAACAGTCATCAGACAAAAATAATGTCATTCATAAAAATGACCATTTAGTAGTAAAAAATAGAGGACTTTACTGAGGACAGAATAATCAAACATGAGACAGCAGTTTAACAGCCCTTTTTAAAGGCCAGTTTGTTTTCAGAAAAGGAGATGCTGCCTCCCAGTCCATCTCCATCACTCAGCATGTCAAGCAGTGGTGGCAGAGGAATGCGTTCCCCTGTGTGTCTGGGTTTGTCTTGCACAACTAGCTCAGCTCAGAAGAAAAGGGCACCTTCTTATTGGCAGAGTGAGAAGCACATTTTTCAGATCACTTTCCAAGATAATAGCATCTTCTTGATTTAGTTATAATGAAACAATCAGTATGTTAACAAAATATCCTACTTTTCACCATACATGGGGCCCAAACTATTTGTTTGCAAAGTAATTGCAGCATGTACGCATGAGTTTGTGTGTCTGTGCTCTTCAGAGCCCAAATGTTTTAATTAATTACTAATCCTGTCTTTGGCATAATTTCAGGAACATGATTAGGCTGACATTGCACAGATCTACATCCCTCACCCGAGGTGTCCAATGTAGGATCATCTTGGTATCTCACATTCTATCTCTGTCTATCAGAAACTTTCCTCAAGTTAAATTTTTAAGAAAGTGGAGTTTCTTTGGTTTCCAACTACTAACTGAAGAATGCTTCATATTTTACAGTTCCTTTTTCATGTGATGATGCAGTCTCCTGCTCAGGTTCATAACCTTGGAGGTCATCTTTCATCCTGAACACCCTTTGATTATAAATTTACATCACACAAATCTCCTTCTATCATCTCCAGAACATAGCAAGGCTGTGACCAAAGCTGTCTCAGGAAGATGCCAATTCAATAATTCATACTGTTATTATATCTCAGCTGGCTGCAGTAATTCATCCTAGTTGTAACACCAATAACTGTCTCAGCCCTGTATTTTAGTATTGCTGAAGAAGTCTCCCATCTCTTGCCAGTGCAGTGGCTCTAACATATCTGATCTATTTGTCTAAATCAATTGAATTATGCATCTAAGTGTCTCCATTCCATTAATTATTTATATAGCTTTTAGCACCTCTGCCTAAATTCTTCAGCAAAGAAATATAGTCAATGGTTACAAGAATTGGGGGTTATCATAACCTGAGAAGTACTCCAGGAAAGCTGAATGTTGACCCTATTTCTGTGAAAAGAACTGCCTAGAATATCGCAAAGCAATCAGAAACATAAAGGAGAATAAATGTCAAATCAATGTGATTAAAAGAAGAATCTAAAAGTGCAACTCTAATAGAATAAAGGAGATCTAGCTGAAACTGCTCTTCAAAGTTTTGAAGTCTTTACGTTAAGCCAAGAGGGAGAATACAGTGATAGGAAAATAGTATACGTTTTATTCCATTATTCAAGAGCTGCCTAATATGTCCTGGGTGCTGTTCTAGAAACTGGAGAACAAGCAGTTAACAATATAGAAAAAGTCCATGCAGCATTAATGGAAGTGAATGAATGAAGGGGCAATTACTATATGATCGCACTTTACCATGCCTGACCCTGCCACCTAAAGATGACGGTACCTTGCCGTGGTTTGAGAATCCCACCCTCACTTCTGTTTTTTTTTTGTTGTTTTTTTTTGAGATGGAGTCTCGCCCTGTCACCCAGGCTGGAGTGCAATGGCACAATCTTGGCTCACTGCAACTTCCACCTCCTGGATTCAAACGATTCTCCTGCCTCAGCCTCCCGAGTAGCTGGGATTACAGGCACCTGCCACCATGCCCAGCCAATTTTTGTGTTTTTAGTAGAGATGGGCTTTCACCATGTTGGCCAGGCTGGTCTCAAACTCCTGACCTTGTGATCCGCCCACCTTGGCCTCCCAAAGTGCTGGGATTACAGGTGTGAGCCACCGCACCTGGCCCCACTCTCACTTCTTAATAAGCCTAACAGAACATTCTCTTTTGTCCTTGTGGGAGTTTCCTACTCACTTGCATCAAGGCAGAATATGGGCAAACAATTGCCTAATTGTCTAAAATAAATGTGTGTTGTCATGTTGTATTCAAGTTTATCAGAAGAAAGGGACCAACAAATGAGAAAGAGAAAGGTAGAAACGTTTTAAAATTCAATTTATGTCAATGCTAAGCTTAATATGCTGTTAGCAATGGGAAACAAAATAATTTATAGAGAAGAGATGAGTTGGTAAACATTTTCTTTTTGATGAAGGTTTGTGGGGAGCCCTCAAGAGGAGATTAGTTTTTTCTATTATAATGCCTCTGAACATCTCAGTGAGAGGAATAGGTTTAGATAAAAAATTTAGTAATTTGTTTGATTGTAAAGTGTAGACAGCTCTTTCAAGATGTATGAATGAATATTAAAGTAGACAAGGTGGAGTCAAAAGAAATAGCATGGTTCAGAGTGAAATTTTCTGGAACAGGAGAGAGCTGAGCTTTGCTGTACTTGACAGAGAGAAGTTGACTTGGAAGAAAAATGACAAAACAAGCAACAGTGAAACACAGTCCTACGTGAATAGTAGAAGTGTCACCATGCAAAGATGAGATTGAACAGTAAACTTGAATAGTAATACAAAAAGGGTTGGTTGGGATGGAGAAAGAGTTAAAGTGGGATTTCAGGGTGGAATTGAGCTCCCACTTTCATCAGATGTTTCAATATCTCATTAAAGAAAGTTACATGATATTTGCTGAGTATTGTATGAATTTACATACATTTATAGTGGGTTTATAAAGAGGAGATGCTTTGACACAACCAGAGTGTATGTAAAACTTTCATGTGATATGTTTTAGTTAACAGTTTCTTTGCTGACCCTGCTAGACACTACAAGAAAACACATTTTCAGAAACATGTCATTGAACAATGCTGGTTTAATGAAGTCATCCAGCTGAAGTTTACACAAGTTGTAAGTCTCGCAGTGAGGTGACACTTCAAGGAAATGTACCTGTAGCTATAAGCCATGTAACTATTTGATGTGGTGTTTTTGTATAGTGAGAGAATCCAAATTCTAGCATGAGCTTGTAAAATAATGACCATCTCTTAATCTTTTCCTGTCTTACACAACTTCAAACCTTGTGTTACATACACACTCTGGACCTTCTCTTTTATTGCCCAGGAAATTTTCTATATTTATTAACTATCTTTGGAATAATTTCTACCTCTTCAACTACCCCAAACTCTTAACTTTCTTTTAAGAGCACATACTTATAACCTTTAAGTGGCAGTTTTTCATTCTTCCAGGAGCATTCTCCAGGACCAATAGTAAGCTCACTGGGATGCAACACTTATACTGGCTCATCCTCCTGAGGCCACTTCCCTGAGTTCACTTTCTTGGAAGCCATTCCCAAATTATACCACCCTCATTGCCTGTCACTGTCACCAATGATGTTCAAGTCACATCCACAAAATCAATGAAGGTTGTGATAACTTTCTTGCTACCCATTCTTATTTGTGTCACAATCCCAAGAGAATTTAATATTCATAATTATGTTCTTTTAGTAACTCTGGGCTTTGAGTGTGATTCCAGCTGGATTTCCTATTTACTACTACTTTGGTGTTCCCAGATTAGGTATACACCTCCTCTTGAAGTATTTCTAAGTCTTCTCTTCAGCTCAGCTCATAAACTGCATGCACAGTAATATACCTAACACCTATGATCCTACTATTACCCCCAAATGTCCTATGGATCTCCATCATATATTAGAACACATTAGTGATACCACTTAGCAAGAAACCAAAGGCCCTTCACAATTTTGTTTTGACCTTTCGTATCAACTTCCCTGAAAACACCTTTTCCTCTAGAAATAAGATTGTTCACTTTATGTTCTCTGAGTAAACTGTGAACTTTCATGCCTCCATGGCTTAGCACATTTTGTATTTTTCCATCAGATCTAAGCTTTCCTTCATTTTTCTCTCTTCGTCTATTCCGGTTCTTCTGGACTGGGCTTCAGTGCCCCACATTTAACCTTTCTCAGATCTCCACTTCTAACCTAACCACGCTTGTGCTTCATTGTGACTTCACAGAACATGGCTTATGTCTCTCTCTTCCCCTTATTATGGTGAATTCATAAATAAAATAAGCATGCAATACTGACTTAGTGAAAACCTTCCTTGGCCCAAGCTTCCACATTTATGAAATAAGAGAATTAGAATAGTTAATACCTAATTCCTTTTAGCTCATTTTTTTTTTTTTTTTTTACTATTTCAACAAAACAGACTATTGAACTTTTATCATTTTGCGTTTACCAACTACTTCCTCTAAATAGTTTCTATGGCACTTGTATTGAAATGCCTGACCAGCTTCCTTTATCTAGTTTCTGTTTGTTGAGAGTTTGTTGTATACAAAGCACAGTATGAGGGGTATGTGTGTGTGTATGTGTGCATAAAGTCATGGGCCATAACTTCAAATGATAAATATGATTAAAAATCAGTTCAATGTAATTCTCTGGGCCATCTCATTTACATGGACTCACTGGCTTTACAGACACTGCCTATTCTTTCTGTAAAACATACTCTGGAGTCCTACAGTGGAATGAAACTCCTACCAATTGAGTTGTATATTTCTCAAGAGTCAATTGTGTTCATCACCAAGTCAGCTTATACTCATTTAACCTGATACTCAAATTTCATAATTATATGTTTGATATACTGATGTATGTTCGATAAACTAATGAAAGATATATACAAAAAGAGAGTTAGTATTTCTATGGAAAATAATTTAATTTGAATGCCTGTCATGAACATACCCTAAAGTGAACCCCAGTGACTCATGCTCTTATATAATCTCTTACTTTTAAGTGCAGGTGAAAGCTATGACTTGCTTCTAACCAATGGAATTTGACAAAGGTGATGAGATACCACTTTCTTGATTAGGTTATGTTGTATAGTAAAACTGGTGGCATGTTTCTCCCACGATTGTATGATATTACCTAAGATTCTGCTCAGCATACTGAAGATAGAGCTTCTTCTGCTGACCTTGAAGATGCCATGTTTCTCCATGTGTTGGAGAGAGCCATTTGGCAGGGAACAGTGGGCAGCCTCTAGAGTGGCGTCTAGCCAACAGTGAATAGGAAGCATGGAACCTCAGTCAAAAAGCTTCAAGGAAATGGATTTGGCCAAGAACCTGAAGAAGCTTGAAAGGACTCCCCCCTAGCTGGGAATTAGATGAGAATGCTATCTGGCAGACATCTTGATTGCAGCCTTGAGAGGGTCTGAGTAGAGGCACCAGTTAAGTGCCAGGAGCCCTGCCCTATGAAAACTGTGAAGTAATAAATAATTGTTGTTTTAAGCTGCTAAATTTACAATAATTTATTATTCAGCAACATAAAACTAATACAATGCCTTAGAAAGGCTCGTTAATGTCAATTTATTAGCCACAAAAAAGAGCCAACACATAAACTTGCTGTCAAATTTAGTCAAGGCAGGACAACAATAAATGTTTGAGGGGGTACAAACTATAAATGTCTATAAAAAGTATTCCTTTAGATTCTCATACAAATGTATTTAGGAGGTTGCTCCATTTTAAAGAATCTCCATATAGAATATAGTGATGTTTATTCAAGAAAAATAATGATAAACTACAATCATCAGTTCTGTACTCAAAAGATTTGTCAGTACTAAAAGAATAATAATTTTATGTATCTCTGTTTTAGGTTAGCATAAAAATTTAGAATATATCCTTTTAAAAATTATTTGATACTTTAACTTTTTCAATTAGCAAACCAACAACAGGTATTGATTGTATTGCATAAGATAGTTTTCTCTACACAATAATATGTAGGTTATGCATCACTATAATATCCCTTTTTACAGACATTTGTGTGGAGAGGAGAGAAATTCTAGCTGAGACTGTCAGAGAAGATTTCATAGAAATGAAGGCATTTGATATTGACAGTGTGTAGGGAAGGCCAAATGGAAATGCCTTCAATAGAGTATGCTGGTAAAGTCCCAGCAAACAACATACTTCGACGTCAAATGCAATGGTAGGATACAATAACATGGGTTTCAGAAATGGTGAGACTCCAGTTTGAGAGTAAGGAGTCACTAAGTAATCATCAAACAAATGTGAGTGGACTTGGAAGTGTGTTGTTAGTCTTAGGGGTCTGTACTTCAGTTTGCAGGAAATAAGATGTTAAAAATTACAAAAATACTGAATCTATTATGTTTTTAGGCAAAACAGTTGGGAATTTTATCTATAAATGTAGGTAAGACTCAAGGTAATTCCTGAAAAGGATAATTTAAACAAAAGGGCATCTCATAATCTGAGGAAGGAGCCCACTAATATTATTCCAAGTGGGAAGAAAATCAGAGGGATGCTTGTAATGAATCAACCTATCCATGTGTCTGCTATTGAAGAAAGCTCACTTAGCCAAGAACTCCATTAAAAAGTATGGTATATAACCTTTGGTTATTGAAATTTTTATTGCTGCTATATTATCCTTACACTGAATGCCTATTATCCCAGCTACTGGTTCTCATAGGTTTTTGTTAGCAGCTTTATCATGTTGCATTTTATACTACTTAAGCAGGCCATGATGATATATTACAGTCAGCTGGAGTGTAGAACATTCTTAGATTTATTTTGACACCTAAAGCAACTTTTCATTAGGCTGGTAACAAGCCATATAGATGCCATAGTCCTAGCAAAAGCATCATTAGGATGTCGAAAAAGTGCTGACATAAATGTGGACATTCTCAAGAACATGTTTAAGAAACTGATAGGGTGGAAGCTCTTAATTTTCTCAGGTAGCAGTAGGGGGAAAATCTATATGCAAATGGCAAAGCAATGATGCTCATTTTTCTTTACAGAAGAAGTTCCCATCATGTACGTGTAACAGCTCCACCCTCCCCTGACTGACTTTTCATGAAATTACAGAGCGCGCTGGGGCATTGTTTGTGCAATATCAAGTGCGTCCAACAGCTGCTTTGCCATTCTTGAAATGGCACAAACATTTCATGGTATACATAAAAGCCTTAGGATGAGGTAGGCAGTGGAACTCACTGAAATGTATTATTTAGTAATGAAACTTAGAAACAAAAACAAACCCATGCAGTTTATTATAAATCTATACATAAATTTATTTCACCATCTAAATGAGGGATAAAAAGGGTGCAATCCACATGGACTACATTCCACCATTACTTACCAATGTGAGGCCATTCTCTGCATATTACTGTGGAAAAACTTCCACTAGAATTTCTGTAGATTTGAAATCAAGAGGGATTACCAGCCTACCAGATGCATTGCTTTAATAAAGTAGGGTTTTTTCATAATTCAAGTGAGACTGTTATGAATATATATATATATATATATATATATATATATATATATATATATATATATATATTTTATAAATGATCTGCCAGAATGAATTAAATGTGTAAGACAGAATAGCAATATCATTGGTGAATATGCATATATTCATATTGTGTAACAGCAATCATGATTGTCCATCCAAACTCCTCCACCACCCTATCCAAACTGAAAACCACGTTTCAATTACCCTTCTTTTGTTAAGTTAATTTGGTCATTCTCCAACATTATTAATATCCTTTCAAACTTTGAGTCATGCTCATTTTTTTCTAGATCATTTCCTCCTCCATTGTGCCTAGTTCTTTTCTCAAAACTTAACAGTTTTGAAAAATCATTCTATTTTTATTCTCACTATTCTCAGTGTAACTCAATTTGAAGAGTTTTTATTATTTAACACTTACCATTCCATAAAAAATTTTCTTCAATTTTCTTTGTGAATGATTTGTTATCCTAAATGTAGTATATTCTTAATGGAAGGAAGGTAAGGAATCACTTCGCTCACTTAACCCCTTCTCTTTTCCCCCCAGAACTTCAGCAAACTACTTATTCTCAATTGTAATACCTATTGGTAATAACAATTAGTGATTAGCAGCTGATAATAGCATTATTGCTCTACTCAGATTTTTTTAACCATAGTGTAATTTCTTTTGACTATGTTTGTTGGTACATATGTAGACCCAGCCAGAGCACTGTTGACAATATCTCTCAGTGTTTAAACACCACAATTACAGGTCATTTTCTCTGTCATGATGATAAACCTGGTATGCTGTACCATCTATTCAGCTGTATCATAACTAGATAAATCAACATAATACACTCAAATAAGTTTAAATTTCTTGTTAAAATCATGTATGAGAAGTTTAGTCATTATCTATACTAAATGTTCACTCATCCATTCATCTTTTTTTTCCCCTCACCTCAGAGAATTAACCAGATAATTAAGAGAAAGATTACTTGACACAGAACAAATGAAGCACAAATGAGATCTAGGGAAACACATCCAAGAGATATAGGAAGATGTGAGGGGCATTAACAAGATCCTTCTATGTGCATTTTGTTTCTATGATCTACTCTCAGTCTCTGTATACAGTACCATGCAAATATCTTGATTCTCATCTTTCACTGAGTGCCATTGTTGATGCTTGCTTTAGTTAAGCACAAAACCACCATGGTGTTGGCCTTCATGTATTATTTTACCAAAGCATAAGTGCCAGAGCTAATGCATGGCTTACAGGAAGTTCTATTTCAACTACGTGAAGAACTCATTCTTTTACATGCTAACACATCATATGCATTCATAACATGCAGTTTTTAAAAGTAGCTTATTTATTGGGAAGCAGTGTATCAAAAGCCAAGTAACAGCACCAGTAGATGCCCTCTGATCCCTCAAATGTCCTCCTTAAAAAGGATGGTCTTGGCCATAGAAACAAAGACTTTCTTAGATAAATTTGAATCACTACTGGACTGCCACCTTCAATAACTTGTTTAAGGAAGAAGTGAAGGAGCTGAGTCAAATCTCAAAGCATCTTATGAGCAAACCAGTTGCTTATCTTATCAGTTCCTGCTAGAGTCCAAGATTCAAGATTTAGTCTTCTTTTGTCTTTTCTTTTTCTTCTAATTTATTCATTACGTTTCCTAACAAGTGTTATAAGAAATTTGGATCTGCTTAAAATGGATTGTTCTTCTGAAGATTGTTACATCAAAATAATATTCCATTCACATAGCCAACTTTTCAGAAGAGGGGGCTGCTTTACTGATTTATATGCTTTATCTTGCAATTAGAACAAGGTAGAGAAACCATAACCCCAAAGGAATAAAAAAGCTTACGGATATGCATATGTTTTTACTGAAAGAAACTAGGAAATTGAAACAAATAACAAATAAAAATGTTTAGAGGCATTAGAAAGATTAAAAAAAAAAAAAGAATTGTGAGAAGAAAACCCAGAGAGATGAGACCAGTCCAGTTTTCAACCAGAAGTAGACTGACCTGAAAGAAACTTAATCCCAGACCCAAATCACTTCAGTCTTTGGTCAAAGTAAGGTAGTATAGAATTACTAGTTCCCATATAGCCATGGGAATTAAATTTAAATATTTTCTTGTGGCAAATAATATCTCCTTACACCTCAAAACATACAATGGCTAATACTTAATAGAAAATAACCAGAAAAGTAAAAGATGAAATAGCATGAGTTAAAAATCAAGAGAAGCAAAACTTTAGAAACTCATTTGATATTTACAATAGACTTAATGGTCATAAATTGTAAAAATGTAGGTTTAAATATTGACAAAAAAACAAAAAAATGGCAGAAAACCAAAATACTATAAATGTGAACCATAAAGAAATTCTATACCTGAAAAATAAATAATTTCACCAAAGAATTGGACTATACACACATACATATATAACTGTAAATATAAATTTTAGAAATTAAAAAACACAAAGTCAGGAATTCAATAGATACGATTAATAGCATGTTAGATATAGGAGAAAAAAGGATTACAGAACTGGTCATTGGAAATTAAACTAATTAAAGCTCGAGAAGACTCTTGAATAGAATAATAAAAAGGATGATAAGAGGTATAGGAAACCTGGTAAAACACTCTCACATATAAATAATTGAATTCCAGAAAAAAGTAGGAAATAAAATGGATAAGAAAGAATATTTTGAGAAATTTTGGCTGACACTTTTCTGAAATTTTTTCAAGATATGAAATTCCTGTTTCTGGAAACTCTGTCAATATCAAACAGAATAAATACAAGAAAAAAAGAAAAACTACCTATAGCATATTGTAATGTCAAAAAACCAAAGACAAAGAGAAAAATCATAGAAGTAACCAGAAGTGAAACAAAGCCATTATTCTCAAAATACTAATAATAATAGATACAGTTGATTGAAAGAAGAAATGATGACAAGAACTAAAAGAATATAACTGACAAGCTAGAATTTTATATGAAGCAAAAGTATCCACCACGAATGAGAGTAGATATTGCCAACAGATCTGCCTAAAAGTTGTGCTAAAGGGACTTGTTTAGGCAAAAAGAACATTACCTGAGGTGGAATCTAGAAGTGCAAAAGGTACAGAAGAACTCTGACAAGGTAAACCCATTGGTAAATCTAAATTTTTATTGATAGTTAAAGCAGGGAATCAACATTTTTGGTAATGGGTCAACAGATCTTTTAGGATCTGTTGTATATTGTTCATTCTTTTTTTAACTTTAAAAATAATATTCTTAGTTCACAGGTAATATACAAACTAAGAGCTAGAGTAGGCTTATGTGCTGTAGTTTCCTGAAATGTGCTTCAAAGCAACAACAATAATATAGTGTGGAATGTAAAAATATATGTAGAATCACAGTATTAAAAAATCAGACTACAAAATGCAGACAGAAAAGGGTCATTAAAGTTGTTAAATGTTCTTGCATTTTCTAGTTAAATAGTAAAAGTTCCATTATAAGTTTGATTTTAATAAGATTTAGTAAGATTTTAATTTAAACAAGATAAATGCTAAAAATCTCTAAGACAGAAATAATAACAAAAGCATGTATAATTAATAAGCTATTACAGGTTAAAATGGTATAAAATATGTATTTGATTAATTCAAGAGGAAGAAAAAAAGAAACAAAAATTTTGTGGCATAAATAGAAAATAAATAGTAAAATGTAGTTTTTGACTCCCCACGTCAGCAATCGTATTAAATATATAATTTAAACTCTAATTAAATCACAAAGATTGTCATACAATATTGAAACAAAACATAAAGCAAAGAACTAACTATATGCAACATAGAAGAAATATCTCAAATACAAAGTTAAAGAAAAGTTATATATGCAAGGATGAGACCTCCACTTGCAGATAGAATGTAGAAAGTTGTAGCAAGTGATGGATTTGTCAAAAATAATTAAGAAGACAGACAAAATGCTGAAATATTTTGTATGATAACATCAGAAATTTGTGGAAACAAATACTACAGAGACTAAAACTTACTCTCTCATAGGAGAGGTAAATCAATAATCTGAACTTTTTTCTTATTGGAGGCATTTTGCAATTTTGTGCATTAAATAGAGGCTCAGAATCTGGGCATGAAATGGCAAAAGATGACTGCTGGGGTATGGAGAACTCAGAAGAGGTGACTGCAATTTCAAAGTCTATATACATAAGCCTGTGTGTGTGTGTGTGTGTGTGTGTGTGTGTGTGTGTGTACATTTGAATATATAATATACACAACAATACAAACATATATACATACATATGACATGTATACCTTTATAAATATACATATATATTACACACACAGACACACACACACACACACACACACACACACACACACACACACACACACATACATCTCTCCATGTAGTTCCCATTACTGGTATTCTTTAATTTATCATGTAGACTCAAACTACTGTATAGTATTCTTTTATTTCAGCCTTGATCCTATTCCTATTTATTACAAAGCAAGTCTAGCAAAGATAATTCTCAATTTTTGTTCTTTTGGGAAAGTTATCATTTTTCCTGTATTTTTGAAGAATAGTTTTGCTTTAAATAGAATTCTTGGTTTACAGTCTTTATCTGTCAGCACTTTGAATATGTCATTCCATTGCTCTCTGCCTTTCTGGTTTCTGGTAAGGAAGCAGCAATTCATCTTATTGAGGTTCCTTGTACATCCTTGATCATATCTCTCTACACACTTTTAAGTTTCTCTGTAGACTTGGTCTTTTAATGATTCATTACAATGTATCTGGGAGTGATTATCTTTGAGTTAATCTTTCTTGAAATTTGTTTAGTTTCCTGAGTGTGTATATTAATGTTTTTCATCAACTAATGCAAATTTTTGTTTGTTAATACTTCATATATTTTTTATATTCCTTTCTTTCTCTCCCCTCCTTCCATTATTCCAATTTTATGTTATGTTGGCATACTTGATTGTGTCCCACACGTATCTGAGTATGTTCATTTTTAATTTTTCTTTATTCTTTTTTCTATTCTTTGCAGAGAATAATCTCAATTGACCTATCTTCATCTTCACAAATTCCTTCTTCTGCCAAAGAAAATGTTCTATTGAGCCCTTCTAATAAATTTTTCATTTCAGTTATTTTAATTTTCAACTTCAGAATTTCTATTTGGTTCTTTTTTACACTGTAAAAAAATTCTCTATTTGGTGTGACATCATTCTTTTTTTTTTCTTTTCCAGATACAGGGTCTTGCCCTGTTGCCCAGCCTGGAGTGCAGTAGCAAGACCATAGCTCACTGCAGCCTCAAACTCATGAGTTCAAGTATTTCTCCCATCTCAGCTTCTTGAGTAGCTGGGACTACTAGGTCCCAGATATGATGAAATGTCATCATATCTGACTAATTTTTCTTTATTTTTTACTTTTTGTAGAGATGAAGGTCTACTTATGTTGCTCAGGCTCATCTTGAAATTCTGGCTTCAAATGATCCTCCTGCCTTGACCTCCCAAAGAGCTGGGATTACAGGTGTTAGACACCATGCCCAGCCCCTTTGTTTCTTAAGACACAATTTCTTTTAGTTTTTAAACATATGTTAAAATAGCATTTAAATTCTTAGCCTCCTAACATCTGTGCTTCCTCAGGAATTATTTACTTTTTTTTTTCTCTTAACTTTTTTTCCCTTATGTATGGGCTGTATTTTCTTGTTTTTGTATTTGCATGTTTCATAATTTTCTGTTGAAAATTGTACATTTAAAATAATACAATATGAACACTCTCTAAGTCAGATTATTTTCTCTACTCAGGGTTTGGTGACAATGGTGGTGGTTGTTGTTGCTGTTGCTGTTTGATTGTTTAGTGACTTTCTAAACTAATTGCACAAAATCTAAATTTTTTGTAATATGTAACCACTAAATACTCTGTTTAATTTACCTAGTGGTCAGGTAGTTATTGAACAGTAATTTCTTTAAATTGCTGGAACCAATTATTCTCTCAATCTTTGTTGAGAGGTTCTGTGTAGATTAAAAACCCTACCTTAGTCTTTGCTTCCTCCTTGAACAGAGGCATTGAGAGGTGAGAGCTTAGGAATTTCTGAGGTCTTTTCTAAGCCTGTGCACAACCATGGCTGTCCACACAGTCCCATTAATGTGCATGGGCTTCTAGAGTGCTAGCACTATGTTGGCTCTTTCTTCTATGAACACCTCATTTTTTAGTTTTCCTTTTAAGCTTTTTGCCAGCTTTGTTTTTTGTTCCAACTCTTATATCCACCTCAGGCAATCGTGTTGTTAAAGAATTGCTGTTGATTGTTTTTAACAAATGCTCCCAGGGAAAATGATGTTTGTACTGGGTAAAGTCTGGGTTAGGTCAAATAAAGATAAATTCTTGAAGTGGGTTTTTGGAGGGAACTACTAAACATCACAAATAATAATAGTTCTCTGGGAATGGAACTATTTGGAGGGAACTACTAAACATCACAAATAATAATAGTTCTCTGGAAATAAAGCAAGGATCCTCACCTTTACTATAAATATTTGGCATTATATTAAAGTACCTATCTGATGTATAATGCAAAAACAATATTATGAACATTTTCTTTATTATATATATGCAGAGAGATAAATAGAAATGGATTTTTATTATTTATGCAATAGTTATGTTCTATAAAGTCATTATAAACACTTAATCAGCAAATACTGAACAATTGCTTTTAGGAGAAATATAAGGCTAGGTTCCTGAGAGCCTCTGCCCATGTTAGTTTTATGACTGATCAGTATATAACATAGTCTTGTGTGTATTTCCATTTAAAGACACCCTATTAATAGTAATATTTACCACTGGTTTATTACATGGAACCCAGATCCAACAGCACTATAACTGGTGCCAGAAGAAAGCTTATCTAACAATGGATTTTCTTCCTAAGGCACATCACAGCCTTCCTCTACTGAGGAGTGCCAGATAGCACTTCAGCACTAGGCTTGGAGCCCATTTTAAGCAATCACATCACCAATGAAAAGCATAAAAATGCAAAAAATGTGGCACAAATGGACTGCAAAAAGGACACTTATTTATAGTATGTGACCCGAAACAAGAAGATAGAGCTGGGAAAATCGGTGACTCAAATTGTTCACCACTCTGTGTTTGTTTGCAAATGACCACAAAAGTGCCATTAATATTGATTTTAGGGATACAATTAAATTATCTCAAGTAGGTAAATTATCTCAAGTAGGTAAAATATATATAACTGTTGTTTGTTTGTTTGTGACAGAGTTTTGCTTTGTTGTCCAGGTTGGAGTGCGGTGGCACGATCTCAGCTTACTGCAACCTCTGCCTCCCAGGTTCAAGCAATTCTCCTGCCTCAGACTCCTGAGTAGCTGGAATTACAGGCGACCGCCACCATGCCTGGCTGATTTTTTTTGTATTTTAGTAGAGATGGGATTTTACCGTGTTCCCCAGGCTGGTCTCAAACTCCTGAGCTCAGGCAATCTGCCCGTCTCGGCCTTCCAAAGTGCTAGGATTACAGGAATGAGCCACCGCTCCCAGCCACACATATATATTTAAATTAACTATATGAATTAGTAAGTAAAATTAGGAAAGTTTCTAGATACATGGTTGATTTGCAGAAATCAATTGTTTTTTCTAAATAACACTAAATGGTAATTTGAAAATATTTCAGAAACATACGATTTTCTGTGGCATCAATGAAAGATCAAATACCTCTAAAGAAATCTAATAAAAGATGTATAAGTCCTTGTCAGAAAAGTATAAAATATTATTATGGTGATGCATTGAAGCAGTCAATATTTTAGAGTTGAATCTTTGTAATTGATGCATAGGTTTAATTCAATTATGTAGCCAAATTACAAAATTTTAGTAGTTTATTTTTGTGGAAAATGACAAACTTAGAAGTATGTATGAAAATATGAATGGTCAAAAAGAATGAAGATTAAGTTGTAATGCCAACTAAGAAGAATGTTCTTCACAAGATAATCAAGCCTTCTTATTGGAAAACCAAATAACACGTGTTCTCACCTATAAGTGGGAGCTAAGCTGTGGGTACACAAAGGCATGCAGAGTGGCTTAATGGACATTGGAGGTTTAGAAGTGAGGAGGGTGAGAGATTAAAAACTACCTGTTGGGGACAATGTACACTACTCAGGTGATGGGTGCACTAAAAGCCCAGACTTCACTATACAGTTAATCATGCATCCAAAACCACTTACATTCCCAACACTATTGAAATTTTAAAAACTAAAAACAAGTCCAGAGTCTGGTTGTTTAAATACACATCTCGTATGTAATGAAAAAATATATAATAAAAAATATAAAAAATTAAGCCTTCTTGGAAGGCTATAGTAACTATTGAGGATGATGTGATATTAGCAAAAAATTAGAAATTAAACTATTGGAATTGGATAGCAAGTACAAATTCATATTCACGCCCAATTTTGTAAAGATAGCACCACAGAACAGACAAGAAGAGATAATCTTCAATAAATGAACAAAACTGATAGGGCACATTAAAAGTTAAAACTTTGCTTTATTAAATGACAACATTGATAAGGTAAAAATGCAAGCTACAATGTGGGAAAATATACCTGCAGTACATACATTTAACAAAGCATGTGTATCCATAACATATAAATTATTAATGTATACATTAATAATGAGAAAAAAAATTCTTATAAAAAATACATTTATAATGAGAAAATACTTATTTTGTGAATAATAAAAAGACTGTCAACTCACTAAAAACATGAGAAAAAGACTAAGTAGGCAAATCACAAAATAGTAAATCTGAATAGCCAATAAATATTTTTAAAAAGGCATTCATCATAATTAGAAATGATGGTGCCAGGAGTGGTGGCTCACGCCTGTAATCCCAGCACTTTGAGATGCCGAGGTGGGTGGATCACTTGAAGTCAGGAGTTCGAGACCAGCCTGGCCAAAGTCGTGAAACCCCATCTCTACTAAAAATACAAAAATTACCCAGGCGTGGTGGCACACGCCTGTAGTCCTAGCTACAGGAGGCTGAGGCAGGAGAATCACTTGAACCCGGGAGGCTGAGGTTGCAGTGAGCCCAGACTGTGGCACTGCACTCTAGCCTGAGTGGCAGAACGAGACTTTGTCTCAAAAAAAAAAAAAAAAAAGATGAAAAAGTAAATTAAGCCATAATAACATGCCATCACAAACTCACACAATGACTACAATTTAAAAGACTGACAACTGGTAAGGACATGGGACCACCAGAACTATAATATACTTCTGGAGAAAATGCAAACTTGCACAACCATTTTTGGAATCTATCCAAAATTATCTACTAACCTGAATAAATGCTTACTCAATACAATAGCATTTCTAAGCCTAGGTATCTACCCAACAGAAATACATTCATGTCTAGGCCTCAAGAAGGATAAATGATATGCACAGCAATATTTTTTATGAGAGCCCAAAGCTGGAAGCTACTCAAATGTCCATTAACAGTAGCAGGGATTAAAAGAAAAAGTGTCTTACTCACCAATGGTGTCATATACTACAGACAAAATGTGCTGCAGCTACGAGCAATGCTGTGGATGAATTTTGCAAACATTGTAGTGAGTGAAAGAAACTAGACCTTAGAGAGTGCATGTTGTAACACTTCATTCACATACAGTTGAAAATCAGGCAAAAGTATTCTACTCTGTTAGAAGTCAGGTCATGGTTTTCTTTTTTTGGAAAACGGAAGGCAGCGATTGAGAAGGGCAGGAGGAGAGCTTCTCTGATATTGGGGAATTTTGTTTCTTAAACTTGGTAGTGAATATATGTGTGTGTTATCTCTTAGAGACTCATTGGCCTATATTCTTAAAATTTTAGCATTTTGAGTGTGTTTTATTTGAACAATTATTTTTAATCACCTCACACAATTTAATGGGCATGTTTGTAGGACCAAGTTCTGCACATGAGACAGAGGTAGGTGCTATGATTGCAAAAATGAGTAAAACAAAACATCTTTCCTTAAAAAGCTTAGAGCCTGCTGGGCACAGTGGCTCATGCCTGTAATCCCAGCACTTTGGGAGGCCGAGGCGGGCAGATTACCTGAGGTCAGGAGTTTGAGACCAGCCTGGGCAACATGGTGAAACGCCGTCTCTAATAAAAGTACTACAAAATTAGGGGGGCATGGTGGTTGGCGCCTGTAGTCCCAACTGCTGGAGAGGCTGAGACAGGAGAATCGCTTGAACCCAGAGGCAGAGATTGCTGTGAGCTGAGATCATGACACTGCACTTCAGCTTGGGTGACAGAGCAAGCCTCCGTCTAAAAAAAAAAAAAAAAGCTTAGAGCCTGCATACTAGAGCAGAAAACTTGCTGCTTTATTCAGTTCCATAATTTTATTTTCCTTCAAAAGCAGATATTTGGTTACATACAGAACTCAACATAAAAGCTCAAGAAAAATTACTTACCTGACATAGCTCTTAGTAGCCTGTTGTCACTCAGTTAGGGGGTGATTGGAAGTGAAATAAATTTGGTGGCATTAAATGTACACCTTTGTAGAAGTATTTGTATCAGAGAAACCAAGTATATTCTCAAATGATTACAATTTTTAATCTCCAGTATTACAGAGGATAAAATCAATAAGGAATGGAAAACTCTCTCTTTCCATTTAATCATTAGTTAGTTATATCAAAGCTTCTATCCACGTTTGTAATTGAAGGATGATGACACTTCCTTATCCTCACAACTTAGCTTGAGCTTTTCCATGCTAGAAATGAAAAGAGTGGTTTGCCTTGTAACATAATCTTCACTGCCTTAAAAATAAAACCATCACTAAGAAAAAATATGTTTATGTTTCACTCTGAAACAGTTATTAAGGGAGTTGAAAATGTATATTCTGTTACTCTCAACTTACACAATAGTGACTAAGACATGGACCGTGGGCTTAAATGCCTGGGTCTGTATCCTGGCATTTTCACTTACTAACTACTTTGCCTTTAGCCGGTTACTTATCTTCTCTCTGTCTTAGTTTCCTCATTATCAAAATAGTGATAACAATAGTAGCTATCTCCCCAGATTGCTGTGGGGATTAAAGGCCTTGGTACATGTAAAGTACTTAGAAAAAAATCAAATAAAGCTATGATTATTATATTTTATATGATATTACTTAATGGCTAGAAAGAAGCCATCATCTAGCAAAATAATTGTCTCATTCACACTCAGTATCATTAAGTAACCTCGGAAGGAAAACCATGACACAGGAAGATGTCTCCCATATTTATTGTAAAATGGCTAGCCACAAAGACATCTTAATTCTCAACATTTTATAAATGAAGAAAACAACTAAATATCCACAAATAAGTTTATTATTCTGACATAAATGAATTACTTGAAAGGGTAAAGCAAATGAAAAGAGTCCCAAATTATTTCCATGTAGTAGGTGTGATACTGTGAATTGATGTATGAGGTGGTATATGGGTCTTTGCTTTCTTAGTAAAGCAATGTCAAGTAGTAATTTATACTGAAGAAGAACCACAACATAGAGTCAATAAGTCAATGCTATGTTTTTGTTCTAGATAGAATTGTGGTTTCATAAATCAGCACCATTGTGATATTTATTTATTTTTTGAGACAGAATCTCATTCTGTCACCCAGGCTGGAGTGCCATGGCATGATCTCGGCTCAGGGCAATCTCTGCCTCCCGAGTTCAAGTGATTCTCCTGCCTCAGCCTCCCAAGTAGCTGGGATTACAGGCGTGCACCACCACATCCAGCTAATTTTTGTATTTTTAGTAGAGTTGGGGTTTCATCATCTTGGCCAGACTAGTCTCAAACTCTAGCCCGTTTTGACCCCCCAAAGTGCTGCCTGCCCAGCTTATTGTGATATTTATAGGTGTATATATATTTATTTAAAGTGTGTTAATATTTGTGTTACATATTTAGATATGGAGCTTGGGTAGGTGTTATGAGGTTTCCATTGGAATGTGAAAGAACATATAAATACTTGAATAATTGTTTTCTTGTTTTATTTTTGACCAGGATCAATTATAAGGACTATTGAAGTGAATATTTTCAAAAGATATTAAGTTTATTACATTTTACAAGCATATTTAGAATGTAATCCTTTCCTTAGTTTAAATGAAACGAGCCCCAGCCTGATTCAATAACCTGGCAGAGGTCATATAGCTTGCCAGAGATGGAGCTGAGACTCATATTTTCACCACCTGTTTGTAAGTCTTGGATTCCTTCCCTTTCACTCTGCTAAAAGTCAGAAAGAATAGAACTACTGAAAAATGGTGTATAGTGGAATTAGATGACTACTAAGGTCTTTCATTCCTGGGCGTCTAGGAAATTCAGTAGACAATTAGCAATAATAGTTTCTGATTTTATCAGAAGGAAGATACCCTGAAGTCAGCATCCAAGCATATATTTAACCTTGATCTATTAAATTCAAAATATATCAGTAGCACCTGGAAGCAATCCAAAGATGACTGAGTAAAGGTTTTTTTCTCAGAGATTTGCAATGATATAGCTAGCCGATGCCCTTCTTTCCAGGTGCAATGATTTTTGCCACATTCTGAGTTGCTAAGCCCTTTTCTTCTAGCCCTCTTCTCTTTCCCTTCAACCCCTCTCTTATACTGCAGTTATTTTTCTCTCCAATTACACTGCATTCTCATGAAGCTTGCTTTCTTCTGTTTGGAATGAAAAAAATAAAAGCCAGAGTCGGCTTGCTTTCATGATTGGCTGCTAAGGTAGTGAAATAAAATGAATGCCCAAGGGAATTGTATATTATTGTATATTTGGTTGCACATACAGAATAATTCCTTCAGATATTTTAAAAAGGAGAGCATTTAAAATGTACTGTTAGAAAACCATTACTTCTTTCTGGTCTTTTAAATTTTTCCTGGGTTTTTTTCCCTAAACACCTAGAAGCTTTTCCATATTTCCTCTTAGAAGATCTTGAAAAATTAAAGTACTTTAAATCTGCTGTTTCTTCCTTAAACCTTTTAAATTTTTTTTCATATTGATATATGGTTAATATATGTGTTTTTATCCTCCCCACCAGGAGCCTTATGTATGTGGTTGAAACCACCTGTACTACTGGAATGAAAGCACCTTTACAGAAGAGGCAATGCAAGTTGTATTCATCACATGTGTAGAATGAATTAAGATTTATGCCAGTTGCAAAGAAGAATATTGGCTCACTATTTTTCCTCTGGGCATGTGAGTATTTTATATTATATAAATTATACATATATATATATAAATATATAAAATATAATTCCTTACCATCTGAGAGGGTAAGGAAGAACAGTGAGGAGGATGATGGAAATCAAATAAGCTCCTTTGGCCTCTCTATGCCTTCCTGTGTTCAGACCTCTAGGGTTCTCTTCTATACATCCAAGAGAAAGTGTTTTCTCTAATGCAGACTGCCTGGTGTATGGTCAGAAGTAAAAATCCTCTGAAGGAGGCACTGTAGTTGTTTGCAGGATATTATTATATATGTATGTTATATTATTCTAGAGTCTCCCTCTAACTGTCTGAGGTTAAAACTTGAAATAACCACTTTGATTTGAGGTATTCTTATCTGCTGAATGGAGTGAATATTACTATTTCTTTGCTTATAGGCTTATTGTGAGAATTAATATGAAGTAGAATGAGAAAACTTGCACATGAATAAAGAATACACAGATTTAGAGGGTTATCAACACTATTTCTGTAATGATATATTCTGAATCCCCTCATCTCAGATTTATAATAACCTTAGTTCTTCATATGTCCCCAAAAGGGGTATGGCAGATATTTCCAAGTTTTAAATTGAAGTGATTCACTAAAATTTTTAATTATTAATAATAATAATCATATACTGTTCATCTCTCCCTCTCTTTAAGTGCTTATCACAGCACCTGGCACATAGTAGGCACTGAACATATATTGGTTAAATTTAATCAAAAAATGTCGAATAGCAAAAGTGATTTCAATATGGAGTGAAAGACCACTAGAACAGAAAACAGAATCAATTACTAGTTGTGATGTATTTTCAGGTCAAATTTGAAACATTTGAAAACAATTTTGACTCCCCATAAAAATAGAATTGTGATCAGTTATTTCCTAGGCAAACTACACTTCAAAAAAGTCCAAAACTGTTGTTAAGGTACATGAAACAATCCTCTCTGCATTGAAAGGCGTCAGACTTCTTTGCTCATTTTGTTTCTTTTTGACCATGTTTTCTGAAGCATGCTTTCTGCTTTCAAGAAAGTAACCACCATTTGTCATTATGGAAATTCTGTCTTTCCCTTATAATTCTCTCTAATATCCAACTCACTTTTTTTTGTATACTATGTTAAACAGATAATCAAGATGATAAGTTCAGTATGGCTCTTAGAAGGATATACTTTATCTTTGAGGGAGGCCTATGAGGTTCCTTTGGGTACCTGGATTTTGTGACATCCTTTTGCTTGACTGTAAATGTTTAAGGCCCCTATCCTACTCTTAGTCTGACTACCCCTGGAGGTAACATAATAAGTAACCTTGGAATAAATATATTATTATTATATACGATCTGATCAGGTGTGAATTCAGTTCTTGGCCATCTACATATATATTAGATGTGTGTAAAATGAAACAATTACGCTTCTAAATTTGTTGTAGTATTAAAAGCTAAAAATAATATATTTTCTAACAATATTGTAATTTTATGTTTTGTTAGGAGTTTTCATCCAATATTAACTGAAAAGATCAATAGACTATCTCAGCATGTTATGCTGTGCATTTATTTTACTGTTGCCACTGATGCAATAAAATTAAATTACAGTACTTCATCAGCCCATACTATCCTGTACTTAATTTACTTACAGTGTCATTTCCAACAATATCTGATAGATCCTGTGAAAATAACAAAGAAAATTCCCTATCGAGTGAGAGAGGTGGGAGTCAGTGGGAAACAGAAGTAATAAGATGTTGTGCAGTATGAAGGAGAAACACGTGGTCTCAGTTCAGTGTGGTGGCAGGGTGCATGTCTGTTTGAACAACCTTCATCATCCTACTTCATTTTTTGTATTTGATACCCAAAGTCATTGATATCAGCATTCTTGAAATTTCCAATAAAAACATTATTGTCACTATCAATATTAAATTGTAATTCAGATAACGCAGGATGTCTTTGCAAGAGCTTCTCAAAATATAAAGGATATTACCTGCTTTGGAAATTATGTCTGGAACCTAATGTTTTCCCCTTTGTGTGCAGTAATTTATTGGAACAGAACAGTGCAGAATATATTGGTGCAGATTTATTCATTAATTGATTCATGCATCAGACTACTAATTCAACAAATATTCATTTAATGTTTTTCATTTACCTTATGATGTGTTTGGTCTTGGGGATAAAGTCAATCTTGTAGCCAGAAAAGTGGCACTATCGATTATAATACAATAGCAGTAGATAATGAATTTAATAGAGGAAAATGCATTGTTGTCTGCCTAAGAGGGTCAATATTATAAAGTATGTGTTGATTTGCTAAGTTTTTAAGAAAGGATAGGAATATCCCAGGAAGAAAAGTGGGAAAGCATATTCTAGAGAGAGGAAACTGGATGTACAAAAATCATGTAAGTGTGAGAAAAAGAATCACTGGGAACTCTAAGTATTAATACTTGGGTATTGTTGGAGCCTGGCACATAGTAAATGCTCAATAAAATATCACATTGTTGTTTTTGTCATGCACTGCAAGAGGTTGGAAAGCAAGAAAAATGCCTAAGCACGCTCAGTGTCAGCCCTTTTATGAATGTGATTGCTTCCCATATTAAAGGATGACTGAAGTTATTCCTTTTTATTTCATATTAAGACCATGATAAGGTCAAGGTGACTTGAAAAAGCTATTTAATTCAAGTTTAGTTTTTACAAAAAAATACATAGAATTAGATTCATATGCATTCTCCTTCTCCTCTTCTTTCCTCCTCCCACTTTTTCTTTTCAGTATTTGGATACAACCCCCATCTCTGACATTGACCTGATGTATTTAGAAAGAGCTCAGACGTGTTTGTGAAATTCTAAGATAACATGTCAGTTTTCTGTGGGAGTGGTTAGGACAAGGCAGAGAATCTATTTTTTTTGTGGTATAAATTAACAGACTAATTGCCCCAACAAAGGAATCTCCCAAATTGTGAAACAAGAGTACAAAGAGGAAGATGAGAGACAGATATGGCCAATTTTATCATTGGACCTTGAATACACCCTATAGTGGAGGTGAAGTGGAATGGCTAAGGGCTTACTAGCATCCTAGGGTAATGAAGTCAGAGAAACTGAGAAACCTTGAACTTACTATTTTCTGAAGTGCTGGGGAAAGATAAAAGTCCCAATTAAAAGGTAAAAATGATACACAGAAATTAAAGGCGGATTTCATATCTGAAACTGCAAATTCATGGCAATAAAATTCTTCCCTTTCCCTACCTGAGATCATTCTTTTCAAGATGAGTTCATTCTCTTATAGCTCCAAGGCTGATCTCCTAGGATGATAAGGTTCTAGTTGGATTTCCATTGCAGTAGGATCAAGTAGAGGACCTTGGAAAATTAATGTTCCTCTGCTGCTCTGAAGATAAGTACTTGGCTGACCCCAGAAGTGCAAAGCTGACTGTAAAGCTCACCTTCTTTCCATATCCCAATGTTGAAAGAAGGCTGAAATGGTGAATAATTCATCTTGCAGTGATAAGGAAGGTGGCCTTGTTGGTAAGGGCTTTGTGATGCTATCACCGTCCATTCTCTGCATGGAAACCTATCAAGCGGTTTTACTGTGTGTCTATTCCACTTCGGAAGCAAACAAAAGAAACTAATGGAGGTCAAAGTGCGAAGGTTCAACTGGAGTAACTTGGGTCATTTTTTTAAGGTCGGATATTATGTCATTGGGGATATTGATTATATCCCAAATGCAAGGTTCTCTGTGTGGAATTTCTTTATTTCCATCATCTAGCTAGCCAGTTAAACTACCATGATTTATTGTGGACCAGGGAAACCACCATTAATAAGCTTTTCTATACAAGTACATTAGCCTTCAGTGTACCTGAAATTTGTGATTTCAGTTCCCCCAATTTTTTCAATCCCCCTCCTTTCTCTTTCAGGGGTGTATGTGTACCCATCACTAAAAAAACTTTCAGTAATTTATCAGAAACTTATTACAAAAGTGTAGCTAGTCAACAGCATCAACCCTGAGCACAGGCCTTGATTAATGGCAGCATATTTGGATCAAAGGGAGTCAGGGAAGAGGAAGTAAACTCAGGAGAGGACTTTAGTTGTTATCATGATGAATCTAGAATAGCCTGGAAACACAAGAAAGAGGGACCTTTTCAAGAAACATTTATATGTAACAAAAGTTAAAGTCTTCATTTAAACTAAGAAAATAATTATTCTGACACTTAACTTCCTGTATCTATATAGGAACATTATTTGTGTTTCAGAAGCATTTTATAGTGCACGTAAAGCTAACCAATACATTTTGCTACCAATTCATAAGGCTGGCCTTCCTGGCATCATTCATTCATTCGTTTATGCCACAAATATTTATTTTGGGTATAACATGTGCAAAGCACCATGTAGATACCATAGAAATCAATATAAATAAGACATCTTTCCTGTCCATAGGCCAGGGATATAAGCAAGCAGTTGAAACTCAAAAATATTGTGCTGCAATACAAAAATAATTGGGGGAATGCTGTGATATTTAGGGCTGTCTGCATATACCAGGGAAAGTTTTACTAAAACTGTTACATGTAAGTGCATTTTGGTGGTAAAATTTAGATAGAAATGTATAACAAACAAAACAACAACATAATGTTTTCAGACAATGAGGAGGGGTGTATTATAGGTAGTATGTGTATTTCATCCTTGCCTGAGTGTCTAGTATAAGGAAAATAAATGGCCATAGAGTGGGCTAGTTAGGTAGGTTGAATGTCCATGTTAGTGTGTTGTGCACAGAATTTGATTTTATTCTGTAGGTGATGGGAAGCCCTGAGAACAATGATCAGAATTGGGGCCCAGCCACTCACCCCAATCTTTTGATGCAACTCTTGTAGCTCTATGCACAAGCATTTTCGGATCTGGTTGCCTTCCTTTAGCGTTTGTGTTTTTTTTTCCCCTGGGTGTATCTCACATTGTTCAAGCAAGCCATATATATGAAATGTATACCAATTCACTCATTTTATACAATGTATACAAATTCACTCATCCTACCAGTAGGATGGGATGGGACACACGCTGTGATTCTCTGAGTCCATGTCAGAATGTTACGGATATAGAAAGAATGCTAAGTTGGAAATGGGATAGGGTGAGGCACAAACTGGAGAATGGAAATAACAATGAAGTGGAAGGGTGGATTTTCAATTTCAAAGAACATAATTACTGCTAATGATTTTTTTCCTTCCTTGCCTTCCTTCTGAATAAGGGTCTCTCCCCCACTTAATAGGTTTTAATTAAATTTGAGAAACATTGACCAAGATTCACAGAGTATAACATAGCTAAGCCTTTCTGAATCCATCTGGTTCTCTTGAAAAGATTTCTAGTCTACTTCCTGACATATGCCTGCAAGTTTTTCCTACCTACATGTGAGACGGTAAAAGTTCCCTTGTTACCCTGGCAGGGTGTGCGATGGGGGTGTGGCTCGCTTCTTCAGTGCCCCGCTGCTCAAACCTCTAGGGAAGCATACAGATGGGCAGGGAGCCCCACGGCAGTGTCTAGGGGTGAATGTTTACAGCTGAAGCTTCAGTGGGCGTGTGTTACAAGGTGCTCTTTTAGTTTAGCTGTCTATAGGCAGCTTGTGTTAACCAACTCAGTTAGACCCTCTACTTTGTCACAAGGACAGAGGGCTGTCTGTATCCTGGGTTCTTGCCTTGGTGTATCGGAAGAATCAGATCACATCTGGGTTTGGAGAATGAGTGCAAGGTTTTATTGAGTAGAGGTAGCTTCCAGCAGATGGGGAAAGTCAGAAGGGGATGGAATGGGAAGGTTTCCCTTGCAGTCGGGCCACTCAGTGGCCTGGGCTCTCCTTGGGCTGCCCCAGCCAAACTCTGCATAGTTCTGCCGGTCGTTGGCCTGCCACATGCCGGTACTTGTCGGTGTGTTCCTCTCCACGACCAGCCGCTTGTGTATTCCTCGCTGATGTGCTCCACTCGACATCCAGTTGCCTGTGTGTCCACCTGCTCGGGTCTCGGGGGTTTTTATAGGCACAGGACAGGGGCATGGCAGGCCAGGGTGGTCTTGGGAAATGAAACATTTGGTTACAAAGGCAAGAGTGCCTTTCCTCAGCTAGGTCCATAGGCACAGGCCCGAGGGTGGAGCTCTAGCCAGAGACCCACCTTTCTCTACCCAACACTTCCCTTCCCCGCTCCCATATCACAATGGGCTCATTTTTGAACATTTTTATCTTACTTTTATGGTGCATAAGTACCATTCTTCTGGACTTCTTCCAGGCCTTAACTGTCTCCATTATTTTCCTGACGTTCTACCATTACTGTTACTGCCATTCCTGAGTCTCTTTAGTGTTTTACCTATCTTGCAGCTGTGAGACTTTCTATGAAAACCACCAATAATTGATTATTTTAGAGGTATAGGTTTAAATCTTAAGGTATCTAGGAATATCATAATAATTATAAACTTTTAAAAATAGTTTAGAAAACTATTGCTTATGGTTCTTTGACCAGAAGGCTTATATCTGCAGCAAAAAGTTATAGAAAAAAATATTCAAATTGACTTAAATAAGAAAGGGGATTTATGGTATCACATAAGTGGGAAGGCCAGGGATAAAGCTGGCTTCAGAATTTGCTTGATTCAGTAGCTCAAAGGTGCCAAGGAGACAGTTACTTCTGGTCTTTTTGCTTTGTCTTCTCTAATGTTAGGTTACTTTCATAATGGCAGAGTGGCTGTAGCAGTTTCAGACTTCATATCTTCACACCAAACGGACTGGTAGAGGCGCTGATTGGCTTTAGGGCACTGAGCTTTTAGCTAGAGCCATAGATCAAGAGAGTTTTCATGTCTGGGAATCTTTGTCTCTTAGTGAAAGACTTCCAAGTTCTGCCCATCTCCAAGGCCCTTACTTTAAAGGTGTTTATAACAATGATGACCTCTGCCTTTAGGTGATTCACAATGACAGATTCTGGTTCAGAGATACTGATAATTTCCTCTTGTCCCCAGACTGCATCTTCATGAGGAGTTCAGCTGTCCTGTTTGTAGTCGTAGAATGAGGCCCCCACTAAATGGTACAAGATAGCAGTACACGTGACACATGATAATGGTCAAATGAGACTGGCAAAAGTTTATTAGTCACGTAACCCTACAGCCTGGGAGCGGAGGACACACATGCTTTGTCCATGCAGGGCACAGAGGGCATCACAAAGCCCTTACCAACAAGGCCACCTTCTTTATCACTGCAAGATGAATTATTCACCATTTCAGCCTTCTTCCAACATTAGGATATGGAAAGAAGGTGAGCTTTACAGTCAGCTTTGCACTTCTGGGGTCAGCCAAGTACTTATACTTTGCCCATGCAGGGCACATAGGGGCTGCATTTGGGAGCAGAGTGAAACAGAAGGGGGTGTGGGAGGCAGGCTTTGTAGAAACGAGAAAGTGAGCTGCCCCTCATTCCCATGGGAGGATGTGATTGGCTTGATTGACTGATTTTTAGGTCTGGCAGGGAGGTGAAACCCATTAGGTTGAGGACTGGCTGGAATGCAGTGGATCGGATAGATCGGGGAACTAGATGAGTGGGGAGCTTTTCCCAGTGACTGGGGACACATCTGACTAGAGCAGGAGAACTCTCATTTAGGCCTTTGGGACCTTCTAAGGATTGAAGATGTCAAAAATGTTAGATCTTACAATATAAGTGGCTCTCTATTAACAATGATGTTTTCTTTTTCTTTTTCTTTTTTTCTCTGTTTTCAAAATGGCCAACATCACACTAAGCTTAAACCTTTGTTTCTTTCTGAAACTGACAAGAATTCCATTATACTGCTCCTTTTTCCTAGGCGATAGTTGTGCTTGGTATGTACTTCTACTACATAAAAGCTCTGAGTCAAACATTGTTTATGCTATCAAATAGTAAATATTTAAAATATCCCAGACTGGAATATTGAGATTTTCTCTCTCCTACATTTTATATTCTCTGGCTAGCCCATTGAATATTTTGGGGCTAGTAATTTGCAATATTTCATTTTTGATACATGTTTCATTGAGATATTTTGTTGCAAGGAACAGAAATAAACTCTTAGAAGTTTAGGCAGAAAAGAAATTATGAGATATTAAATAGCTCATAGAATCAAAGGGGATTCTGGAGGACCAGCAAGAACTAAAGAAGTCTATACAGGAAAAAACACAGGCACATGATGGTACAAGAATAGTCTTGACCTCAATACTGCTAACCCTTTCCTGGCACCATTATCACCACAGGCCCACTAAAAATGGGGTTTCTGCTCAACTCCCAGCCCTTCTATTGTCACCAGACTTCTGAAGCCATCACCAGTGTAAAAATATTCCGATTGTCTAGCCTTTTATTCTTAGCATATATTAGTCATTATACACGTAAACTGAAGAAACTTCAAGCGTGCAGCTCAATTAATTTGTGCAAATCTAGTCACCTGTGTAAGCAGAATCCATATCAAGCTGTTGAAGATTTCCAGCACACTAGATATCTCCTTCAGTATTTCTTCTTCACTACTATTTTTCTCTTCATTTGTACTGGATTAGTTTTTGTTATACTCATTCTTGAGCTTTATGTAAATAAAATCAGATGTATGTATACATCTTGCTTTTATTAACTATCTGTGAGATATAACCATTTTGTTGTTATATATACCATGCTAGTCATTTTTAATCACTGTATATTATTTCACTGTATTAATATATCACACTATATTTGTTCTTCCACTGATGTTTCTTTAACACACCACCCCTCTTCCCCCACCTCCAGTTTTTTTCCTTTTCTGAATGAAACTGCTATGAATTTTATTGTACCTGTCTTATGCAATACATTTATACTCTGTTCCATGATAAGCAGGTTTGTGCAAACCTACCTCCAAAGACTGAGGGAGTTGAGAAGCTGAAGAAAGAGGCCAAGAAATCCACTTTCACTGGAAAGGTTAGCTAAGCATCTTTGTGAGGGGTAGTCTATACTGCAGGCATGGTTTAAAGACCTTATTCCTGATCACCTTGGTATGTGGGGGTCAAACATCAGTCATCATTGTGGTTTTGCTTCAAGATGGCATCACTCATGCCATGCAACAGACTGTTTTCCCACACCCTCATTTCTGTTGGGGGCATAGCTAGAAGTTGTTCATAAGAGTATGCAGATGTTCAATACTATTCATAAATACCAGTAGTTTTCAAAAATGCTTTACCAATTTGTATTCCTGCCAGTATTGTAGGTGTTCAAGGTGCTCCAAATCCATTTCAAAAAAATAATATTGTTAGATTTTTAAATTATTTTTAAATGTTAGCCATTGTAGTGGGTGTGTAGTAGCATTTCTCCTTGGTTTTGATTTGCATTTCCCTGGTGGGTAATGATGTCTAGCACTTTTTTATAAACTTATTACATTTTAAAATCCTCTTTTATAATTTTTGCTGGTTGCTGGTGTCTTTTGCTCAATCTTATCACCTTGCCTTTTCTTTAATTCATAGAAGTTCTTGATATATATATATATTCTTATTTGGTGGTCTTTGTTTATATCCACGAATATTACAGAATCAACTGGATATCTATATGTGTAAAAATAAATCTGGACCCTTTCCTCACAGAATATACAAAAGTCAATTAAAAATAGGTCATTGGCCTAAGTGTAAAAGACAATACAAAATAATACGGTAATACAGGAAAATATATTTGTGACTTGTAGTAAGCAAATACGTTATTTTAAAATTTACACTATAAAATCTAATACAACTTCAGAAAAAAATGTTAAGTTGAACTTCATTAAATTAAAAAAAACTTCTATTAATCCAGGGGCATCTTTAAGAGATTAAAAGTGCAAGGCACAGAATGAGAGAAGGCATTTTCATTAAACAGATCTGTCAAAAGAGTCATATAGAAAATATATCAAGTGGCCAGACATTGTGGCTCATGCCTGTAATCCCAGCACTTTGGGAGGCCAAGGCAGGTGGATTGCCTGAGGTCAGGAGTTCGAGACTAGCCTGGCCAACATGGTAAAACCCCATATCTACTAAAAACACAAAAATTAGCCAGTTGTGATGGTGCCTGCCTATAATCCCAGCTACTTGGGAGGCTGAGGCAAGAGAATCACCTGAACCTGGGAGGTGACATCCACATTATATTAATCATCATAATGCCTAAAAAACAGATAAAAAACAAAACCACAACTTTTTTTTTTTAGCCCAGCAGAATATTGGGGTGGCAATGCAACCCAATAACCTAAAATTCTAAGAGGAAGAAGTTTCTCCAAGGAGAGCTAGGGCATGTGATCTCTCTCGCCTATGGCAGAGCATGGAGAAAGAGGCTTCTCAAGGCCACAAAACAAACAGATAAGAATATGCCAAAAATTAAAGAACCCCTCACCACCAAAGGCCTATTGTGGGTAGTAAGTAAGAAATTGCCGGGGGCGTCTGACAGGGAAATCTGTACTCACTCACTTGCAAAGTCTTCCCCAGGGGCCTGTACTGGTTGCTCAGGAGCAACTTTGGGGAGAGTTGGAGACTGAGCAAACTGACTGATGGTGCAAGTGCTGATGGCACCACAGGGAGGGGCAGGCATAGGACATCTGTGAGCTTTCTGACCCTTTTCTCCCATGAAGTGAAAGCTGTAGGCCCTTTGGTGAGGGACAGAGAAACTACTTGTCCACAGGGCACAGGCAGTGAAAGTTGTCACTGGTAGGTGGGTAAGAGAAATCTCTCCATTCCACAGGCGGGGGCAAGAAGTTTTCTTGAACTGAGTCTTTTATTGAGAAAGGTGTGCCACTGCTGAGTAAGGGGAGGGGAGAAGGGCTGGACCAGAATGCAAGAACTACCAGATTCAAGGCAGTTGGGCTGCCACAGGGAGGTGAGGCAGGCAGGCTGAGAACATTCCATCCTGAAGCTGATGCACATGGCTTTCTAAAACTGAGGTTGGGTCAGAATGGAGAAACCTCTGGCCAGGTCAATAGCCAGCTGGTATATAGGCCACAGCAGTCACATGGAGCATGTAGATATGCAGTTGCCTGATGGGAGGTGTTTTCACCAAGATTCTCCTGTGCATATTTAGAGATGAAGCATCTAAAAGGGAGATAAACTGCAACACCCTTTCCTTCTCCTTTTTAAAATTTCTTCTCCTTGTGTCTGCAAAATGCCAGCTTCAGTGTCCTTTCTCTCTGAAGTCTTCTACTTTATCTACAGACTGTCTTCCTTTTGCAGTATGGTGGATGGAACTCTCTCGCAGCTTTCTTTGAGCTGTATCTAATATTTGCATCTCAAAAACAGGATTTATATAAAATTCTTCTTTGATGTTTCTACAGTAAATGGCATTGGTGTTATCTGTCATCTATTGATCGATTTATAGTAAATGAGAAAATGTATAGGTATGTAACTTTTGGCAATTTTCTTAAAATTTCCCAGTTTCAGTTTTACAAATGAATAATACTCATAGCCCTGTCTGTAACATTCTAGGTATTAATAGCTCTTATATTTCTGTGGATCTTCATGCCAATATCTGGACTCCTGATTTTATGTCCTCTGATTTTTTCAAGCATTTCTGATAGGCCACTGTGAATCCCGAAAAGTCCTAAAGTAGCTATTGTATTAATCCGAATTCCCCATGTCCTTGGTGACCCATCCACACAGACACATTTTTCCCATTTCTGCTCAACTGCAAATGATATCAATGCAGCCAACTTAGAAGCTAAGAAAGAGAACTCCCACAAGGTGTCAAGGTATGTGTTTTGGGGTAAAGAAATGAGAAAAATGGACAGGTAATTAGACATTAATCTTTCCCAGTTTTTGAAGAAAACATAGATCATTCTTATTTCCTCTTGATGAGGGGACATTGACACACAGACATTTGCTGGAGTATATGCTCTCAAAGAGGTAGTTTAGGATTATAAATGTTCACAATTCCAGACTAGAAAAGGTGCAGGATGATGATGAAGCTAAATCAGGGCTGTTGACCAGTGAGTCACAGGTCCTGAGTAAGGGCTGTTGACCAGTGAGTCACAGGTCCTGCCATGCTGCATTCTTTTTATCAGGTCAGGTCACTCTCTAGTTGGTGTCAAAGTGATAGGTCTGGCCAAGTGCAAATAATGTTGCCTCAAACTGGTTTTGAGAGAGGTCATTAGGGTTTCCCCTTCTTATGTTGCATCTAGATATAATCTAATTTACAGAGAAGCTTCCGAGAAAGTGAAGACCTACTACCTTATTTAATCAGGGATGAGTAGATATTTAGTACTGAGCTGCCTAAGTAAATCCAATGTAGTCAGTGCTTCTCTGGCCAAAGAAAAACAAAACAAGCAAAAACAAAACAAAACACCCATAACAACTCACAAATCCTTTAAAAAACACCTATGCCACTCATTTTTCACATATAACATTGGTAACTAAGCTCAAATTTTGTATTGTGTGAAATATCATATAAAAGATTATATGAAATATTGCATCTGTTCAGCCAGATTTATATTTAAATTTTACAAACTTTAACTGGAAAAGAGAATATGGTGAGCTCTCGAAAAACGTTACATCACAAAATATTTTTTGGGAGATTCTCTATACTTAGAAGTATTGTCCCAGGGATTTCTAATGAGAACAACGGAGTTGTTCTTGGGTATGTGAAGCTGACTGAGTTTAAGACTGGTGCACATGTAGCTGTGGATATATGTATTTATGTGTGTGCATTTGCTTTCCTCCTAGGTTAAAATAGAAATTCTCTGGGAATTTAAACCAATTCTAGTTATAAATTCATAAGGAAAATATGCTCATGCTGCTTTAAAAAAATGTATCTTAGGCCAGGCGCGGTGGCTCATGCCTGTAATTCCAGCACTTTGGGAGGCCGAGGTGGACGGATCATGAGGTCAGGAGATCGAGACCATCCTGGCTAACATGGCGAAACCCCGTCTCTACTAAAAATACAAAAAAATTAGCTGGGTGTGGTGGTGGGTGCCTGTAGTTCCTAGCTACTCGGGAGGCTGAGGCAGGAGAATGGCATGAACCCAGGAGACGGAGTTTGCAGTGAGCTGAGATCGTGCCACTGCATTCTGGCCTGGGGGACAGAGGGAGACTCCATCTCAAAAAAAAAAAAAAAAGTATCGTAATGAAAAATAATCTTCATCAGAAGGTATCTATGGGGCCAAGAGCAGTAGCTCACGCCTGTAATCCCAGCACTTTGGGAGGCTGAGATTGCCAGATTACCTGAGGTCAGGAGTTCGAGACCAGCCTGGCCAACATGGTGAAACCCCATCTCTACTAAAAATACAAAATTAGCTGGGCGTGGTGGTGTGTGCCTATAATCCCAGCTACTTAAGAGGCTGAGGCAGGAGAATCGCTTGGACCCAGGGGGGCGGAGGTTGCAGTGAGCCAAGATCATGCCACTGTACTCCAGGTTGGGGGACAAGAGCAAAACTCCATCTAAAACAAAACAAACAACCAAAAAAGTATCTATGAATCCCATTTCATTCCGCACAATACATACCCTTTACTCTCCTGAGATAGTGGAAATGAGTATAATGAAAACATGCATTAGTTTACAATTATTGCCCTGATAATGCTTTCAAAGCTCAAGTAGCCTTTATTTTCCCACTTTTAGAAATACTAGTTAGCAAAACATTGAGCAAGAAGATTTGAAATGACATTAATGAATATGCTCTGTTTTGTACCACTAGCCTTTCTCTTTGAGATAAAACATCCACATGATTATTCCCTTCAGTTCTGAATTTTAAACTCTGCACCAAACCCTAGAATTCTTAGGAAATTCTCCCCTAAAAGACTTCTGCAGGATTGAATGAGTTTTGTCTTTCATAATCTTAACCTTCCACGATCCTATTCTGTCTTTGTCCTTAACATCTGGCACTGTGATGATCTCTCAGGCTTAAAAAAAAAAAAAAAATGAGCTGGCAATCTACTACTTATTAAATAAATCTAAAATATACTTTCCATGGATGTTTTACAAATAGAATGATTGCAATTCTTCCTCTACCTCCCCCACTTCAAACCAAGGTTTTACATTATTCAGGTCTTCCTTGCATATCAGTATTTTTTATTCTTTTTTTTTTTTGTCTTATGTGTCTGACTTTGAAGATCTATAGCTCCTTTCAACATTCAAGGTCTTTGGGCCTCTTACCTGTTCACAAGGCTATGTTATTGGAATTAATATTAACCATCAAAGCTTGCTGAATTCCATTGACAGTAGTCATCATGTAGTTAGTTTTGTTTAAATGCTTATTGCCCACATTTGTCTTCTGGTTTTCAGTGGCCTTCCATCTGTATGACCAAATAACTTATTTGATTAAAAACCTAGTTGTTCTTCAATGGTAATATTTCATGTCTCTGAAAAAGCAGAACCAGGATCAGTTGTTTACTTTTTTAAAGATCATAGAGGATTGAGCAATGTATTATCATCTGTGATATAACGAAATGTAGAATTAAAAGCAATACATTACTTTCAAAAAAGAATAATTTATTTTTAAAAAAGACAAGAAAGTTGTCAGACTGGTGATATTTCAAAAGATGAGTACAGATTCCCAAGTGGTTGGGGAAGAGGAGATAAGACATTAAGCACTAATTTAATTCTCCACTCGTTCATTTACTCCCTTATTCATTCAATTTAGTTTAAATATTTCCTGAAAACTCATGGTAGAAGACATTTTGCTAAGCACTATGGGAACCACAAATATACAAGGAAGAAGAAAGAAATTAAGAAAAGAAAAGCAGAAGAGAGAAGGGAAAACATGGAATGATAATTAACATTTACTGAGTAGACCATTGCTGCTTTTGTAAGTTTTTGTTTGTTTGTTTGTTTTTTGAGACGGAGTCTCACTCTGTTGCCCAGGCCATCTCAGCTCACTGCAACCTCCGCCTCCCGGGTTCAAGAGATTCTCCTGCCTTAGCCTCCAGAGTAGCTGGGAATACAGGCATACAGGTGCCTGCCACCACGTCCGGCTAATTTTTTTGTATTTTTAGTAGAGACAGGGTTTCACCATGTTGGCCAGGCTTGTCTCGAACTCCTGACCTCAGGTGATCTACTCGCCTCGGCCTCCCAAAGTGCTAGGATTACAGGCATGAGCCACCACGCCCGGAGTATTTTTAATAAGCTACTTTGTGCCAGATGTGTTTGTCCTTTGAAGTCATTAGGCCATTTAATAAAAATACACCCAATACATTGGGTAAGAAGATGAAATTGAGTGCCATAGCAGTTACATGACTAGGATGTGATAGGACAAGGATTATAACCCTGGATTTTTAGTCTGAAGTCCATGTGCCTGCAGGCTACCGCCTATTCTTCCTCCTACCCATGTCAAACAAATAAACAATAAACAGACACTTACACCTTCTTCGCACAAGACATTTGAGATTTATTCCTTTAAGCTGGTTTTGCTACTCACAGTTGCAGGCAGCCTGAGGACACTAGAAGTTCTATGAGTTGTAGTCAGAGAGGACAAGGGTTGCTAGGAAAGTAAAACAGGAGGAGCAAAAATAAATTTTGTCAGATCTCCAATTCTGACCAGACTTAGTTATAAATGCCCTCTTCTCATACCTTTTTCTCTCTACCTTTGGCTCTCCCTGAAACTGTAGTTGGTGAGTCATCTCCTTTCCATCCCACCTATGTACTGAACGTTATTGAATATCCAGTATGTGCCAGAAATGGTGCATGTGCATTCCGGCAGGAGATTTTACATTAGATGAATGCTCAGGTAATTCTAGTGTCAGAGGAAGCATTCAGGTTGCAGGCTCAGAATTAATACAGGAGTGCATTGGGAAGAAGGACTAAAAGTAGAGACAGTGAAGACCCAGCTTCCTAACCTGCTTTTGGGGCAATGTCACTAAAATGTGAACTTGACTCACTGGTAGGAAAAATATTTTCAAAGAAAAAGCAGGAGCATGGTTCTTTTCGTTTTGCCTTGTGATTGTATTTCTTCATGTATGTGTACCTGGGTTAGAGACATTGAAATTGCTTTACAAGAGGAAGGAGAGAGAAGGCCTTTGTCCCTGAAAGAATCACTTAACTCAAGCTTGAGTGACCACAAAAAAGGCCAGGTAAAGTCAGTGGCAAAAGGTGATTCTCCAATAAGGGCTGTTTGGAGAATTGTGTCTCCTTTCTGTTTCTGTACTTCCCCGTTCTCCTTTTTCTGAACTTTCCCAGATCTGTCTTTCTCTTCATTTCTATCATTTTATTTCTTTTGCTTTCTATATCCTAACTAGTTTTTACAGACTGAATTGCCTATCAGTTCAAAGAGAGTAAACTTTAAAAAAATGATTTACCAGGACAATCACTGTTCTTAACCAGAGCATGTTTACTGATACAGTGTGTATGCATGTGTATGCACACATATATCACATTTATAGGGTCACGTGACAGCACAGGACCTAGACAGAGCCCGATATCAACCTTTTTCTCTAATTAAATTGATTGAGCATTTTGCTTTCAAATAAGTCCCTTCTCATCTTAATGCCTGTGTTCATTTTGATCCTTCATTCTACACAGCCCTCATATATACTTAACTCCATTGATAAAATGCCTAGCCATCCTCAGAGGCCTAGCTCAGAGACCAGTAAATATTTATTGAAAGGATTTGTTGAATGAATACAGTGCTGTCCTCTGAGATGAGCTCTCATTTCCCTTCTCTATATGCTTAAAGATTTCACAATAAACAGAGAAACTTTATGGAAAGGAGTAAAGAAGAATAGTTCCCAAATCTTCTAGTGATGGGGCTGCAACATCTGTCACTCATTCACTTATTTATCACACAATTTATAACTTCACCTGGCTATGCCATTCTTTCTCTTTTAAGAATGGCTGCTCATTCTATTCCCCAGTCACTGTAAGCCCAGAAGGAGTATCTGCCTATTACAAAAGATATTGGACATTCATAAATATTATCGGCATTTGGAAATAATCTTCAGAGCTAGATGACAGAAGAAGTCGAGAAAAGGAAGAAATAAAAGAGCCACAGTCATTGGGGTGAGATCCTAGGAAATATAGGAAGACAGTGCTAAATCTGGGAACATCTTGGATTGAGGTAGAGAATAGATGGTATCTCTTCTTTCTGTAAGAATTTCTTGGTAATAACTTTGGACAAAAGATATATAGAACTGGATCAGTGAAATGGATGAGACTAATTCTGTATCTCTGATGATGAATTTAGTTTTTGTCTTTGCCCTCTTTTGCTTTCAGTCTTATTTAGACAGGAAGCCCACGAACCGAAACAGGCATCACCCACCCACCGTACAGAGCTGGATGTACTGTCACTGCTATATAAATTGACTTCTTCTTCAGGATAATAACAGTATAGATCATTCCTCTCTTCTGGGATGGCAAATCTCATGTTCATTTATAATACTTTGGACATCCAATTCAGTTTGCATCTTCATATTTAAACACCTTTGCAGTTGTAATAATACTAATAAACAACTAAGGAAGGTTGGCATATTTCACATTTGAGACATGGATCTCAAAAATCCCAGGTGGGACTTTCTCTCCTGGTTCTTTACTATGTAGTGCAAGTATCATCAGGATGATTTGCGGGATGCTTATTCCTTACTTTTACTAATTAGTGGAATTTTGTCTTTGTTTTCAAAGGGAGTCTTTCTATTCCCCAAGTTAAATTGTCAGATTCATTGTTTGTTCTGTCATATATTTATGCATGTATATTAAGATAATTACTAGAGAAGTTTCTTAAGTTT
This sequence comes from Homo sapiens, assembly GCF_000001405.40. Lineage (NCBI taxonomy): Eukaryota > Metazoa > Chordata > Mammalia > Primates > Hominidae > Homo > Homo sapiens. The sequence goes on along the minus strand of NC_000018.10, from coordinate 39,517,834 downwards.
TGATATTTTATATATATTTGAAACCCTCATACTGACTCCAAATGGTCTGATCATTTGAATTAGATTACAGATTACCCCAAGAAAGATAGTTTTCTTACATCATTCTGTATGAAAATATTTTTGTATATAATAATTGCTCTATATTTTTTCTTTATCCAAGTAATGGCTAACACTTTTCTGAACTACGACCAACATTTTAAATCATGGAAAATTCTTAGCATATCTCTTTGTATTTATGAAGTTGAAACAATCAGTTTGAAGTAAAAAGGCCTATGAACAATGATTTGATATCAAATAGGGAAAAGCAACTTCTCATGCTATTTTACTGAATTGGAATCATGGTTTCAGTAATACATGGTGTTTGTATATAAATATCCTGAAGTTCTCAGCTGGAAAACAAGTCACAAACTATTCTCTGTAAAACATCAGGCTACCTAGGGACCATTTTGTAGGTGTATACATCACCCAAAATATCAGTTTTTAGAAGGAAAAGGAAACGTTACTCTGAATTGTATATGCCAACATATGTGTGAAACTGATATGACTTTTTTTATTTCTTGCTTTGCTAAATAAGTTGTATGCTTAAAGCATCCATATATATTTACTATTAAAGCGTCTTAAATAGGTTCAGGATATTCCAAAATGATTATGCAGTTTTTCCCTATTGCTAGCACTAAGAGACAGCATGGATCAGGGAAACAAAGGTAAAAGTATTCTTTCTCACTCTCATTAGAAAAGATGAGATGATTTGAGGCACATCAGAGAAATTGCTGGATATATCAGTAAAGAGATAAAATGTAGAGTGTTTTGACTATAAAATAGGAACCTGGCTTTGGTTTCAAAATTTCCCAGTCTGAACTCTGCTGGGTGACAAACAATATCTAACTCTTAATTTGTGCTCTTCAGTGTATGTTCAACTTCTGTTGCAGCTCAGCTGCTCAACACGAAAGGCACAGTTGATGACCTGGGCTGCCTCTGTATGGCAGTGAAGTCACAGCTTTATAAAGTGACAACTGTCATTTTAGATTCTCAGCAGGGAGAGTAAGAAGAAATTAATCTTTGTCAATTCTAATATTTCCCCTTGTTTTGTTGTTATTATAAACCATTCTGTGGAAAGGAAAAGTAGTTTCACCACAGGTTCATCAAACTTGAAACTAAAGGTTAAATAAATTTCTCATAGTGAGCTCATGCAGAGGGAGAAGACACACACATCTGTATATAACACACAGATTAATCTGCATTGACTGGACACCTGGCTTTATTTGGCAGCTAGGTGTTTGTGATTAGAATATTGAAAGCCATATATCCATTTATTGAAAGTAGTAGGAGAAAGTTAGCATTTAAATTCCTATCTATCTACTGATTAGGTGTGGTGGCCCATGTCTGTAACCCTAGCACTTTGGGAGGCCAAAGCAGGTGAATCACTTGAGATCAAGAGTTCGAAATCAGCCTGGCCAATATGGTGAAACCCTGTCTCTATTAAAAATACAAAAAATTAGTAGGGTGTCGTGGTGGGCACCTGTAATCCCAGGTACTCTGGAGGCTGAGGCAGGAGAATTGCTTGAACCCGGAAGGCAGAGGTTGCAGTGAGCTGAGATCACACCACTGCACTCCAGCCTGGGTGACAGAACAAGACACTGTCTAAAAAAAAAAAAAAAAATCTATCTATCTATCTGACTGTTAGATGAAGTACATACCATACAGCAAGCAGACATGCCACAAAGGCTTTATAACTTTCCATGAATGGTTATTTTCGAGAGATGCTGGTGAAAATTATCACCTCTACTGTCCTAACACTGTATTTGAAATGTCTGATTTTGGAAACATGGATTGATAGAATGACATTTTTGGAAGAGATCTAAGAGATTATTTACTTTAATTTTCTCTTTCTTTACCTACAGAAATGAATGGCTGCTAGAGTTTGTGGATCTGGCTGGGGAAAGAGGGGGAACTGGAGTTAGTATTCCCTATTTCCTAGTCAGCTCTCCTTTTCTTGTGATTAAGAGAGATTCCTATCACTAACTCCGGCATGGCTAAGACCTCAGGTGCTCACTTAAAAGGGGAGCACTTTCCGTTACTATTCTTTAGAATTGTAACATAAAATACATTTGCAGATATTTTCAATTATGACAACTGGCTAACAAATACGTCTCTGAGGAATCAGGATGTAGAATGGACATCTGGATAATTACGGTGCTAGAAGGAATGAGGGGATACTTATTTTTGCTTTCATTCTATATGCAAGGAGAACACACGGATTAGTGAAGTCTTATACTTTCAATATGGCACACAACTATGGTATGCATACTCATTTGTATGCATATGTGTATTTTCTGACCAACACAAAAGAACAAAGCACTATGCTTATTTTATTTATGTGTATATTACAGATATTTGCTTAGCCTTTAATGTTCCTTTGAAAACAGAATTCATAGTTTTTGCATCATACTCCACCAAGCAGAGGAAAGAGAATCAGGCTGCTGGTTTGGGAGAGATTATCTAAGATTAAATTCTTTGACCTATCCCATTGGTTTATTTCTCAAGTTTTTCTGCTTCCATCCCAATCAGTGTGTATCTGTATAAAAAGTAAATTAATTCAGCTTTTCTCAGCCTAATCACAGTCCCCAAAGACCATGTAAGGACTGCCTGAGTGAAATAACTAGTAAAGTCAGTAAGGGACGCATCTGGGACCCAGCCCTTGAAGCGTAAGAATCAATTAAAAATGAACAAATACTATACTGAGTGAAAAAGTGGTTCTAATTTAACTCAGTTCAAGCTGTAGATGGCATCAGGTAGTAAAATCAAGAGAGGGAAAACCTCCAAAGAATGTCAATTCTGGCTACTTAAGGGTTCTTTGTGGGTTAATCACAAATCTCCACCTTTGTTCAAGCTAATCACAGTGCCTCTGCTCTGTGTGCAAAGTGAAGAGGACAACCCAATCCTGTAGACTGAAGAATTATACCCCCATATTAAATAAAGTGGATGTTCTTTTTAAAGCTAAACCTTGTTATGGGAAGTCTTCATTAGGGAATCCACATTCCATCTCCTGAGACAAGACCCCAGGGGTGGTTTTCTGTTGCAGAGCCCACTGTCATCAGTACATTACTCCCTTTAAAAGTCCCAAGGCGGAGCTCACTTCCTGATCCTACCTCTTTCTACCCAGGAATAATGCATAAGCTTTTTGACCCATAGTTTTCTCATGTGTAAAACAAAATCACTCTAAAGATTAAATGAGGTGAAAGTAAAAATGCTTAGCACAAAAAAGCCTAAGATAGGGCAATGAGTGTAATTTGTTATGGAGTTAATTCCCTATTTCACGTAGCTGCTACCACTCATTCATTCCATATGGGCTTCTTTCTGCTCATTTCAGATGACAGGGGTGATACTTCCTTCCTCCCTCTTGTCTTTTTTGCTGTCCCAAGAATATACCCAGGGGTCCTTCTCATGTAAATCCAATTATAGCAACTTCCTAATGAGAAAATATTTTAGGAGGCAAAAATTATCAACAAATCTGGGGACCCAGCAATTTTACAAGTGTTCAGAAATATTATTACCAGATCTGTTACTCTCTTACATTTGAAAAAATACCATATCATGTCTAACCACCATTTTTCTTCTGTGATAACAAAGCCATTTTGAACATGAATCTGCTTTTAAACTCTTGGGCATAATACACAGAGGAGGCTTAGTCGTGACTAGTTATTTCCTGGAATATAGCATATTCTACTGATCCTCTACCTTTAGCATCACGGAAATTTCATCAAGCATTTTTGGGCTAATCTTGACAATCAAAGCCTAAGCTCAGCCGAGCAATTCTCTTTCAGGGCAACCCCAAATACCACCAGCCTCGCCTCAGAGCACTTCCCTGCTCAATAGGAGAATGTGTTCCTTTGTCCTTTGTTACATCCTTTCCCCATTTCAGACAAAAGGTCCTGGTCATTTTTGCAGGATCTACTATGAAACATTACTGGAGAAGGAAACATCTTTGGAGGGCAAAAGGCAATATGCTGATTCTTCCACCTGAAGAAGGTCAGGAGCTAGAACTTGCACTAGAGCCAGCAAGGAAAACATTGACATTAGACTGTAGCAGCTCTGGTTTAACTTTTTTCAACTAGTTAGTATTAACCTAAAGTTTGAGGAGCTGAGGCACTGACCAGGTAGAAGGAGAGGTCTGAGTGGGGTAGGTGAGTGGCCAGTGGGCAGCCTGGCTTCCTGATGGCCCTGAGCAGGTGGCTGCCTGCTCTGCCTATCCAGAGTTTACTTCTTTCCAAATAAAGAATCCAAACCAACTTCTTCCTTCAAGAGTTCAGCCTTAAGTGAATGTATTCACTCCTCATTCGCCTTTGTAATCTGCCTTTCATGAGATTTCCTCTCACTCGGCAGAGTTCTGTGACTGATTTATTTGCCTTTATTTCTTGGCAGCAATCAGCATGTTTCCCTGCAGCTCAGCAGAAGTGCAAACCTGCTGCCTCCTGACTTTTGAACTGGAAACCAGGCTTTCATGAAGGTCCTAGGGTGAGCTATGCACTCAGCAGGTCCCTGGGAAGATTACAGAGCCCGGCAATGACACCAATGATAGGGCTGAAGATGTTAGCAAGCAGCAGAGACTTCTTGGCCCAGGGAGTCAATACAACACATTTGAAGTTTTCAGCCTATGCACACATTGGTATTGCATTAATAAGAGAACATTGTGAAGGGGAAAATATAGCCAGAAACCTAAAGTTTTGCTGAAGTATGTTCTCCTACAACTGGTTAATTAAGAGTCGGAAGATCACTCTGAAATGTTTCAGTTCATGTACCTACAATATTCACCTTAACTTTATAATACGTCAGACAAGAAAATGATGTCTTAGAGAAATTCTAGGAAAAAGTCATTTGAATGATTTGAATGCACTTTAAATCTTTTAAAACAACACCCACAGTATTTGAAATTCTACATTTAAAAATTTGTCTTTAGTTGACTAATACCAGTGTGTGTGTGTGTGTGTGTGTGTGTGTGTGTGTTTTAATTCCCACTCTCCCTATGGTCTAAGATTAAATGTACCATGAGGAGAAGGAGAAGGATGGCATCTGGCTTGTTCACTTCATGTGACCTGGAACTGAAGCTCTGAGACAGTAAGGAGAAAACAGGGGAGAGTTTGGGTAGGATAGATGAGAGGTAACTATGCAATGCAGCCAACAAGAGCTCCTGGAGTTGCCTCATGAGGAATTGTCTGCCTTGTTTTCTTCCTTCCAAACAGAAAATAATACAACTTATCTTACTACTTCTTAGAGATTGCAGCCTAGAGCATAGAAGGGGCTCAGTAAATTCATATTCCCTGAATGAATAGCTACATGAGTGAAAATGGCACTTTGTATAGAGGGAAGTTCAGCAATCACTGAGCTAAGCACTTCATTCCTAGGCACCAGGGAAGCTGCTTCTCAGCAACAGTGCAGTTTCTTCACTCTCGGGAGACTGTTGTCCAGACTCCTACTTCTGAGTCCTTCTGGCCAACTGAGTCAGTTTTCTTTCAGATTCTTAACAGCTTTACCTGCTTCTTCTCATCTAAGATCAAAGTCTCTTCACTTACAAACTCTGAAATCAGCCTCAGATACCTAAGCAGGAATGGAAGTCACTTTGTTTCTTCTCACATGGGTTTTTCTCCTCCTCCTCCCCTTCTTCTCTTCTCCTTCTCCTTCTTCTTCTTCTTCTTCTTCCTTCTTCTTCTTCTTCTTGTACTTCCTTCTTCTTGTTCTTCTCCTTCTTCTTCCTCTTCTTCTCTTCTCCTTCTTCCTCTTCCTCCTCTTCTTCTTTTCTCCTTCTTCCTATTCCTCCTTCTTCTTCCTCCTCTTTTCCTTCTTCCTCTTCCTGTTCTCTGTCTTCTCTTCTCCTTCTTCCTCTTCCTCCTCTTTTTCTTCTTCTTCTTGTTCCTCTTCCTCTCCCTTTCCCTATTCTTCTCCTTCTCTTTCTCCCTCTCCCTCTCCCTCTCCCTCTGCCTCTCCTGCTCCTTCTTCTTCTACTTTGAGACAAAGTCTCATTCTGTTGCTCAGGCTGGAGTACAAACATAGCTTACTGCAGCCTTCACCTCCTGGGCAAAAGCAATCCTCCCACTTCAGCCTCCTGAGTAGATGTGACTACAGGCACATGTCACCATACACAACTATTTATTTTTTGTTTTTTGTTTATTTTTTGTAGAGACAGGGTTTCACTATGCTGCCCAGGCTGATTTCAAACTCCTAGCCTCAGGTGGTTCTCTCATCTCAGTCTCCCAAAGTGCTGGGATTACAGGTGTGAGCCATGACATACGGTCTCTTACATGGGTATTTTATCCGTGGATTTTCCCATGTGCCTTCCTGTCTCCCTACAGCTTGGTCTTACCTATCAGTGGTCTGCAATCTCTATCATTTTGCAGTTCTTAGGCAATCTTGTCAAAGTCAGGTAATATATTACAAATCAGTAAAAATCGAGAGGACAATGCTGATTGCTCCTCTGAGTCTTTTGGAGAAAGCAGATCCAGGTGCCCCAGTAAAAATCACTGATCTCCTATAAACTACTTTGTTTCTCAGTTTAAACTTCCCCTTTCCTACCTCTTAAATTCAGAGTAGTAAGGATGGTGTTTCTGACCAAAAACAAGCAAAAAGCAAAAGCAAACAATGCCAAAAAGCAATCTTCAAGCAATCACCAGTTTCTGAAATAATATCCAATTAATCAAGATAATCACTCAATTCTAAAAGTTTGTAATCTTTCAATTTTTCTCATCTCTTGCTATCCCTGTATGTCGAGCCATCAATACAGCTTGGATAAATTCTGTAGCAAATTATTTATTGCTTTCTCTGCATCTTCTCTGACTCTGAGTCTATGCTCAGTTTTCAGCCAAGACATCTAGATAACACAAGTAGGATCATATAACCTCTCTCCTGCCATGCTGGTGTAGCCTGTCTCTCCAGTTTCACATCTGCTCGCTTTTCTCATCACTCACCGTACCCCAGCCACACTTGTTTCCAGCATTCCTTAGAACAAAATAATCTCTTTTCCACTCCAAGGTCTTTGCACACATTCAACCATAAACTAGAGATACTAGTACTCTATTTCTCCATGTGATGCCTTCCATTCTTCTTTGAGATCTCATGAATCACAGCAGAATAGCTATTTCTATTGTTTTACCATCCTGGACAAATTTTACCTGTATTCGTATGTACTCCTCCAACCCTTTATTTATTTCCTATAACTGGACTGTTCTCATCATAGCATTTATCACAAATTATACTTATTTTACTTACATATTGTCTTCCTCACCAGACTGTAAACTCAATGAGGACAAAACATTTGGTTTTTCAATATTCTCTGGCCCACACATAGCACTGTGACCAGCACATTGGTGTTTATTAAACATTTGTTGAATGAAGAAATGGATGAATGGATGAATAAAATTAAAATCTAGTTTTATTTTATGGGTATTCATGTGGTTTACCTGTAATCTGCACCATTCAATTTTGAGTCTCATAAAACAGTATAATATTTTATAACCGGGTTCTGGAAGAATTCCCACATTCCTCAATTAATCCAACTGAAACATCTCTCTTATAAAACATCATGGTTTTCAAATCTTTTAAAATTATTTTTCTAGTTCTGAATACTTGTATATATGGCTTGACAAATAGATGAAGTATACTTTTTCATACATATAATTATTTAAGGGACATTAGGGTCTCCTCTTTTAGGGGACACATTGCTGAATATTACACTTCTAGAAAAAGGGCAGTGATTAAAAAGGAAAAAGGGACTACTCACTTCTTTTTCAACACTTTTATGTGTGTGCCAAATAACACTGGACTCTGGTTCTTTTCATAGAAGATGCAAAATGTATTACAATCTTTCACCCAAAAAGGAAAAGAAATGTTGTATATTTGATCAAATACCAATTTCTATTGCCTTTCATTGTCATTAATACAGCAGATATAGATAGAACCAATCATTCCAATTGTGAAGAGGAAGAAGAGAGGGGAGGAGGAGAAGAAGGGTGGCTGTTTTGCTGCCATTCCTTCTTTCTATTCAGTCACTATATTCCTTTCCTGCACCTTTGCTTGTCCTAGGTTTTCATCTGACAATTTCATTTCATGAAAATCTTGCTCTCAAAGAGCACTGAGATAGATTTTCATGACTTCGACATTAGGAAGAGCTGAGTTGGAACATTGGTTGTGCCACTTACCAGCTTTAGACAGTTTTGTTTTCTATAAAATGCTCTCATTAATATCTATCTTCTTGTATTGTTATGTCAATTAAATGAAATACTGAATAAGCAGTAAATCTAATAAACCTCAGTAAAAATTTACCTGTTTTTATTGATAGATATGTCAATGTGAGATCCAACTATCAGAAAGCCTTTTCCACAAAATAACTAATGACAAATTTTACATATCAGGCATCACTATGAAAAGATGTTGGGGTGAAGGAACTTAATTAGGTAGTTCATTTGTTCTCTAGCCCTTTCAAGAACTTCTTAGTTTTTTCTACACATTCTCTAGACATAACTTCCACCTAACTTCATGTGCACAATTAAACCTAGAGCAGTTTGTTTTACCAAATTGGTTATTCATAGATAAAAGGTAGTTAATAGGATAAACTCTTACCTAAGAAGTCACATATTTACCTAAAATGATGGACCAGAGTTGACTACAAACCACAGATTTCACCTGTGACATTTGTTAATTTTGAAGTTCATGCTGGAATTGTAGAGATCCTTTGCTCAAAAGCAGGAGACCATATATACAATTGTTTATGGGTGATGGTCCCAGTTTATGGTCTTGGTTTCCTATATTCCTTTGGGCAGGGATAGAATAAAAATGACAGTGCAGGATGGGCCATACTGCCATTCATTTACAGTATTTAATTGAACGTGCTGTCTTTGTACTTTATCTGTTATTCTTGGCCCCTAAGGACACTGGGCAGTATGAGGTTCTAAGTCACAATTCCATTCACTAAGTGTGTGCTGGAGCTTGTAATGAGTTTGTCTAAAGCCTTTCACACCTTTGCTTTCCATAGAAGGTTCATTTACCTCTCTGAAACAGAACAGAGCTGTTTTTAGATTTCCCTGATTTCCACAGACAAGTCACTCCTGGGAGCCTGCTGTAGAAAATGTTCGCTAAGGCACATTCTTAGCTGACTGGCTGATGGGTGAATAGGGAAAAGCAGCTAGAAAGCCCATGTCCTGTATGCCTCGTCCCAGCCTCAGAGTTATTAATTGTACATCACAGCATTCTCTTTCCTCTAAATACATGTCTAACTCCTTTATTAAAACTTCATGCTAATTACTTCCATTGCATCCCTCAATGGGTTGATTCCATATGCAATGTATTAATTACTCTCCCTGCAAAGACTCTAACATAAATTCGTCTGGTGCCTGTCCCCTATTGCTTCTTAAAATTGTGTCCCTTCATTCCCCTTCTTGATGATAACTTATTCTAGTTGCTTTCCCTCCTGCTCTGCCTTCATCTTGACACAGCAATTATATTGGTAGGGGAGATTTTCAGCAAAGTATTGCCAAAAGTGAATCCATATCTTTGCATATATTCCTTCTTATTTCAGCAAACCCTAAGATCTGCTGAACATTTTTTGATGGGCTACTGCCTTTCCAGATCTTTGAAAGCTTGTAGACATAAATGGCTAAGATCAGAATATTGAGTCATCATAATTGGACACAACCAACTTCCAGTATTAATGAAAGAGTGAAAGGCTAGGGCTATTGCCTTAGGAAGGAAGAAGGAGCATGAGGAAAAATGGAAGACAGATGAGAAAAAGGAGAACACTTCCTGGTGTTAACGTTTCACAGGTTTTTACCCTTAAAAGGCAAGAAACAGTCATTGTAACCCCTTGGATTGATTACAGCAGACCATATATTCTGTCCATGGTGATAATGTGCCTCACTATATATAAAATTAGAAAGGGCTTAGCTGTAGCAACAGAGCATCAAACAAATAATCAGCTTTTTGCAATTATTTAATTCCTTTGCACTCAAGAAGGAACACAGTATTTGACTTATTTCAAAAATACATAGTTACCCTAATGACCCAAACTGGATGTTTACCTTGATCACATATAAATAATTTTAGAAAACTGAGGGTGTAACCACTTACCCGCTGCCTAGACAGAACCGATTTATCAAGACAGGGGAACTGCAATGGAGAAAGCATAATTCATGCAGAACCAGCTGTGCAGGAGACTGGAGTTTTATTATTACTCAAATGAGTCTCCCCTAGCATTTGGGGATCAGAGTTTTTAAAGACAATTTGGCGTGTAGGGGCTTGGGAAGTGAGGAGTGCTAATTGGTCAGGTTGGAGATAGAATCATAGGGGGTCGAAGTTAGGTTTTCTTAAAGTTAGGTCTTCTGTTCCTGGGTGCGATGGCAGAACTGGATGGGCCAGATTACTGGTCTGGGTGGTGTCAGCAGATCCATCAAGTGCAGGGTCTGCAAAATGTCTCAAGCATTGATCTTAGGTTTTACAATAGCGGTGTTACTCCCCGGAGTAATTTGGAGAGGTCCAGACTCTTGCAGCCAAAGGCTGCACGGCCCCCAAACCATGACATCCAATCTTGTAGCTAACTTGTGAGTACTATAAAGGCAGACTGGTCCCCAGGCAAGACAGGGATTTTTGGCGAAGGGCTATTATCTATTTTGTTTCAGAGTTTAAACTATAAACTACATTCCTTCCCAAGGCTAGTTTGGCCTATGCCCAGGAATGTATGAAGACAGTTTAGAGGTTAGAAGGAAGATAAATTCGGTTAGGTCTGATTTCTTCCACTGACATAATTTCCTCTTTTATAATTTTGTAGAGGCAGTTTCAAGGGACAAATATGACTTTCTGTTAACTGTTGATGTGGTTTGGAGATGTCTCACGATTTTTGACATTTGGAAATTTGTAATGTTTTGAAGACCACTATTGTGAAGTCTTGATAGTCATTTTTTCCTTGTAATGCAGGTTGAGCTGTAAATGCTATTTTTTGTAAAAACTAACACGGTATGGTCAGGATGTGACCAATAGTCCAGAGGGTAATCTAGCCAGATTAGCATGGGGGAATAAACCATACTTCCTATTCCTATTTGCTTTGGAGCCATGTAAAACATCAAAATCCATCACAGCACATGACTGGAAAGAACAGAGTCTATTTCATAATTTGTAAAATGAAAACATTGCCTGCCTTATCTACATTTTAAGGATCCATTGTTTGATGATTATAAAACTTTAACACTGGGGAAATGAGTAATTATCATTGGCATTGGTCAAATTAACCATTGCCTAATTGCAGACTAATCTTATATTTATATGTTACTTTTTTCCTTCTTTATTCCAAAAGTATAGCTATAAATTGTTTGATTCTATTTTGATTTTTATTCTATTATCAATTGTTTGATTCTATTTTGATTTCTATTCTATTCTATTCTACTTTATGATATTTCTTTGATGAATTAACTAATCTTATTTAGTGCCTGAAGCCTATAAATTAATTCTGAGAAGGCTAGAAGACTTTTGGAATTATCGTGGAGCTCACATTTAATTACATGGAGATAGTTATTTTCTATGTATTCTGTGAAATAACTAGACATTTTAAATACCTCCCCATAGATCTGCATCTCAAAACATAGGGCTGATTTGAAGGAATGCTTCGTAAGAACTTGGGGCTAGAAATGGGATCACCATTGCTTTATTGAAGTTATATGCCTGAGACAACCTTCTAGAGAGTTTTTCTGTGTTGTATTTCACTATTATAACTCCATCATGGCCAATTAGCAAGACAGACTCCTGGCTTTTAGGCTTGAAATGAGGCTTCTTGATTATTTATGTTTCTAAGATGTTATTGAGTAATTCAGCTTAGTAAAGATCTTCCATGTGTTCCATCATGATGACTGTAAATCCAGGTGTTAATACTCTCGGATGGCCCATCATCTCACTGGAGATACCTAATAAAGCAGCCATTAACCGACTGTATATGGCGATGTAAACTACACTGCTAGCTGAACTTCCCATTACCAAGAGTACCACTGTGGAGGTGGAGGAGATTATCTAAGTAGGGACTAGCCATGATCATAAAGAAACCTCAGAAACAAAGATGTTTCCTTTACCCAGGGAAGTGTGTATGCATAAGGAATCAGGCCTGAAAGTTAGGTATGAAGGAAAGATTTGATCTGTTACACTATAAAATTAGAAGGATAAATTACTTTCACACTGCAGGCATTAAGCAGGTGTTGAATGCAGCAGCTTCTACAGATGCTGGTTTGCCCCAGAGGATATTCAGTTATTTCCCTTTGGCAAATCTAGCATCACAGAGGACTGGAAAATCAGACTCTGGAGGCAAAAGAAGCTTGTGCTTCCACCTATAAGGACATCAAGAAAAACCTCTGGTATTATGAATGTTTGGGTCAAAAGTTGTCATTTAGCTTTATGCTTTTGGAGGATGGAGATAAATAAAGAATCCCAATGTACTGAACAAAATGGCATGTGGGGTATTCAAATAGTGAACAAAGGCTAAATGTGTCCCTGCAATGAAAAACTCTACTCTTGGGTCCTCCATTTACAAGCTGTTTGGGATTAGTTACTTCACTCTGGGTCTCAGTTTCTTCTCAGTTAAGAAAACTGAGATCAAACTAAGTTGAGATTGACAAAGACAGGGCTTATGTGCTATCATTGTCTCATCCCATACCAGGGCATACATTATTTTTACCTTTTTTTTCTATAATCGAAACCCAGGAGTGGCATCACAGTCTTCTACACATTGCTTCACAGAGCTGCTGCTTGCCACATGAGCAGAATTGGAATATGGGGGGAAATTATTTTGGCTATAATTATAGACCTGTGTGATCTGGCTCTGTGATCTTTTCAGTTCCCAGTCTTTGTGATTAGCAAAGTTATTCAATCTTCTACCCACATGGAATTAGAGGGCATTTCTCACATTATTAGAGTCTCTGTGCCTTAACAAATCTATCTCTTGTAGGCATCGTCTCTTCTTCCTCTTCTTTTCCTTCTTCATTTTCCCCTCCTTTTAAATAACTTCTCATGATATTGAACTCAGGGTACAAAAATCTCTAACTCAGAAAAAAAAGAGAATTATTTTAATTTAGCCTAGGAAAGACACTGTTGCTTTGTACTTAGTAGCTTGAAATATTTGAATATTTCCCATCATTAGGTGGCTTTTCTGCACTCCTAACCATCAAGAGTAACAGACCAGCACCGGCTAAACACTGTGGGAAATTGAAAATGTAAGCTGAAAGCACAGGCTATGCCTTACAGGAGTTTATAATCTAACAGAGGAGAGAAAAATATATACAAAACACCCCCAAGGAAACATAAAGTACCATAACAATATACAGTCTTTAAAATAGCATCTATCCTGTAAACTGTTGACAGATTAATCTTCCCCAAGCACTGCTTTTATCATATCCTCTGCCTCTCAACAACCTTCACAGTCTTATTTCTTATTATATTAAGTCCAAACTCCTCTGCTTTTTTTCAGGACATCTTTAATAGGGCTTCACCTGATTTATTCAAATTTATGTCCTACTCTTTCTCCGCCAGCCAAAATGTCTCCAGATCCTTGGTCGTGATGATTTTCCCAGTTCCTTCATAGAAAGGATAGTTCCAACCCCACCTCACCTCTCAGCTCTTGGGAATATTACCCATCATTAGATGCATATATTAAAAAATAAAATAAAGGTCAAATCTGGCTTCCCCTTTGAAGCTATTTCTTAATGGCCATATTAATTTTTTATTTATCTGAATACCAAGACAGTGTCTATAGCTTTATGTTTATTTTGGGGACATTTTCCTCATTATCTGTGTGACTGTGAACTGAAAGTCGCTAGTCTCCCTAAGCCTGGTTGCCTGAATGATAAAGTGGAGAGAGGCCTCACAGAATTACTATTATGTTTAGAGATGTTATCTTTAAAATACTGAGAATATGGCTTGACTAGTTAGCGTTGAATAAATAGCTTTAAAAACTACAAAAACAAAAAAGTAGAATAACATTAATGTAAAGTTAATTTTATTTACTGTCTTCACAATTTGGACACACGACCAAGATTATACATTGTGTGTGTGTGTGTGTGTGTGTGCGTGTGTGTGTGTGTGTGTGTGTGTGTACGCATGGCTTCACATTGTTTATCAGAGATGCTTAATAAATATTTGGTAATTGGTCAAAGTTTAAGTTCAATTTTGAATTTAGAGGCATCATTAATGTAGTGGATGAGAGGCTCTACTCTGGAAGATTCCTGAGTTCACAGTATAGCTCTTGCCCTCACCTACTGTGAGGCCTTTGGCAAGTAACTTCAACTCTGTTCCCTGGTTCTCATCTATAAAATAAGGACAATAGTATCTATTTTGCAAGGTTGTTATGAAGATTATGTGAGTTAAAATTTATAGAGTTAATATCTTTAATATAGCAGGTATGTGCTTAAAATGGTGATTAGTAAACAGCAAGTTCTATACCAATATTAATACAATATTAATATATTTCTAATGTATTAATTAATATTAATATTAATACATTTCTAAGTATATATGACTTTCCTTGACCAGCCTTTCAGCTCTTACATCTTTTATGACTCCCTCTTTATCTCATAATTAAAATATAAGTATCTTACATTTCATATTTGAGTTTTGATAATTCTTCTAATAAATATGTGATGTAGTTGAACTAGGTTTGGAAACAGGAAAAAACGTATAGATTATTTGATGCAGAGCATTTTTCCAAAATTATGGAGTTAAATTTACCAACATGTATGTCAATGTGCGGCAGAATACATTGGCCCTCACTTATGTGTAAATTTACTTCAGATAATAAAGATTTACTGCAGAAAAACTTGAGAAAGAAAGGAAGAAATGTAAAACATTCCAGCAGATACTCTTCAAGGCTGTGTGGCACCTGGAACCTCATTTACAACCCTTATGGATGGAAACAATTGCTAGCATTTATTTTTGGTTAACTCTAGAGATCAGATGGAATCTCCTGTGACTCAACCACAAGACTTAGAATAGCCCCTCAGTAAAGTTTGCCTGTGACCTCACAATAATGCTGTCCACTATGGACATTGAATGTTCTCTCTTTCTACTAGTACCACTTCTCTGGTTATTAGCACCAAATTCACTTTTCTTCTGTTTCCTTCTAGTAATTTCTTACTCATGGTTCTACTTGATACCTTTTCTCTCTGCATTGCATTGACTATGCCATGCTGCTGTATTGATCCTTCTCTCTGTGTACTGCATTCACACATTCCAACAAAGAATTGATCAAAGAGTTGAATGCATGTCCAGTCACCACCATAAAATGCCCTTGTTGGCAGTGCTTTCATGTCTAGTTACCTCATGAGATCCTGGACAACTTTGATTTGATAAGCAAATCAAAGTTTTCTTCTGCTTGGTGACTTTTCACCCCTTTTCCATCAACTGTGCCCAGAGAGGCAGAGACACAGGTCGTAACCCATTCCAATTGTGAGTGAGGGGCCTTTCACAAGGAGTCTGTGGGCTTAGCAACCCACAGAATAGCAGAGACTTCTCTTCAGTGTAGTTAGTCCATCAACTTCTGATGAGAAGGTAGGTCATTGACAGGCTAAGACTTATGAACTAGGGGCACAGGGAATTCTGGAATATTCTAGGGAGAGAGTTGGCCTTCAGTACACAAGGATTCATGCACTCATGGAACTATGTCTTTGTAGAAGAAAGCAAGCAATTTTAGGATAACATGATGGAAACTTAAACTCTTAGGGCTGGTAAAGATTCTAGGCATTTGAGGCATTAAAGAGGAGTTACAGAAAGCAGCTTAAACTTGGTCACAAAGGCCCATGCCCTCCACTCTTCTTTTCTCCACATCTCTTTTTCTTTTTTTCCATCCTCTGGAACTTTTTAAATTTATCTTTTCACTGTAGTTCTGAGAACTAGGATTCTTAAATTAAAAAGAAAAATTATTTTGTTTCCACAGCAAGGTACTAGGCCAATGAGTTTAGACATTAAACACTTACTGACTTCCTTCCCAAATTAGAAATATGGTCAGCATGTTAAAAATTATCTTTGAAAGAAGGAGCATCATATTAAAAGAGGTAGTACAATATTTTTGTGTAAAAACATTTCAGTAAGCCAGACCAGAGGCACATGCAAGCCTGGGGGTGTATAGAGCAAGATGGGGGTGTACGTTGTCCGTCAAGAGACTGGTGTGTCAGGCAGTTCCTTCAGCTCAGCGATGAGTATTGGAGGCAGAAAGAAGAATCACCTGGTTCTTGGGGAGCTGAACAGTTTTTGAATATGTTTTTTTCAAGCCAGGAGATGTCAAGGACATCTAATCTGGGGCGCTGCATCTCACTGCTACTTTGCAAAATTGCTCTTCAGTTTTGAACTAATGAGTATGCATGCCCATGGAGAAACAGACAGAAAATGCAAATTATCTTATTTGTCAAAACAATATATATTTGCATGATAATATACAGAGATGTGAGTGTTGGTTCAGGCTATCCCTCACACAGGCCATATGACCTTTGGCAACTGATCACCAACTCAGGTCTCCAGGAAAGTCAGAAAAACTGCTAAATTATTTCAGCAATTCCTCTGGTTTCCACAGTGCAATGATTTCATTAATCTCTAAAAAAAATAGGGAGAGTTAGGGCAATTCTTAACAACTCTTAACCTTGAAAGGGAATTTTAAGGATACTACAAAGTGGTAGTATTTTGTCATGGTCTGCTGATTTATTTCATGTGCTCCAGTGGTTTGGTCAATTTTACAAAAGACAGCAACAGTTTAAAGTGCTAGACTTAAAAAGTCTGCATTTTCTCCATATGAAATCTTAGGTCCGTATGACAGCCAACACCTCAAACGCTTCTTCTGAAAGTACCTTCTTATTTTGTGCGTTTCTGTGTTATACACATAGGTGTCTGTGCTTCACTAATTAGGTAGCTGAGGGACTGGAGGGAGGAAACTTGTCCAAGAATATTGAGTGATGAACAGCACACACCATTAAAGTAGGTAGAGGGAGTATTGCACACATTCTCATGACCTTTTTTGGTTGAATTAGGGGCCCAGAAACACTTAGCTGAGCAGCTCTGACTGTACTTGCCTTTTTTCAATTCAAACAGTAAAAAAAAAAAAAAAAAGCTAAGGGGGCAAAACCACTATTATATTTATTGTTTGCACATCTGGTGGTGGGAGGATAAATTTTGAAAATGTCCTAATAAAAATTGAAGGGAAATGAAGTAACATCCAAGGAAAAAAAATGTTGTTCCCAGATTAAAAGCACCTCGTTTACACCAGCTCATTCTAGATGCACAGCTGGTTGCCCTGCAACAGCCACTGTAACTCTGTAATAGCCTCCCTTGTAGGCTGTGTAGCCTGTCTGCTTTGCATCCCCTGCGGTGCCTTAGCCCCTTTTTACTGTTTCTGTGTTTATCCCAAGGAAAAGTAAAAGAGGAGACAAATATACTACTTTTTTTTTTTTGAGAGCACTTGTGCAGTGTGAAGCAACATATCTACGCTGCCTAGTGATTCAATTGGGAACTATAAGACTATACTACATGCCATAGCTTGGCCTAACTTTTATGGCTCAATAAATTTGGGGTTTGTTAATGGATCTGCTATAAAAGATTAAAATTCACTTATAAATATTGATTCACAGTCTATTATATTAGGATTATCTACAGATTAAAAATGAAAACTATGTTAAAACAACATGAAAACATTAGATTCAGATCTCTGCTTGGCACAAATCATCTTCAGGCTTGAGAGCAAAAGCAAAGAACAGAGTAGCTATTATTTTGTTTGAGAGAGAAGAAGAATAAATCTTCTTAAAATCCTGGTCCAATATACATCCAGTTAAAGGGTCCTCTGATAAAAATTTCTTCCCGTCTTATCAGATTCAGACTTTCGTCATTGAAGATAAACAATTATCATTTGGAGCAGAGTATTTTACTTATAATGTAATGGTAATAATCAAAAACAATGTCATGTATTTTTAGCTTTATGCTGCCTAACATTGGCCATTTAACTGACCTCAGTTACAGAAACACACTGTCAGTGCCGGATATACAGTCACAGGCATCAGAAATTATGAAACTCATTCCTCATTTACTGAGTGTTCCTTTTCTAGTTTTACCCTCACTTTTTATGGTTAGTAAAAGCACATCAATCTTGTGTTTATTGGTTAAGCATCAAGTTGTGGGTAACAATGCCTGGTATTTGTAAAGCATTGCATACTTCCAAAAGAGAGTTTGTGTATGCTGTCCAGATGACCCTCACCATGTTTCCATGAGGTGGGTGTGGTTGTGTTTAGACCATGATATAGATGAAGACATGGAGCAGAGAGAAGATAGTGGCTCAGATCAGCCCACGATTCCTTGCACCTACTGGCCTTCCTCCTCTACTCCCTGCACCCTTACTCCCAAACCTGGCTCTTCCCAGCACTTTCTCATTTTTTCAAATACAAGTTCAAGAGTTTGTTCTTTGTCAGAGAACCTAAAGGAAATGTTTTCTCTAAATTCTAAAACCTCATCAGGGAATTTCATGTGATGCGACTCTTGCTAGGTTGATATTATCCTAGTGACAACTTATTTCATATGATAAACATGAACACATGACTCCAGGTCACTCAAGAAGAGTTTGTTTTTGTTTTTTGCATGTGTACACTTTAAATCTAGACTTCTAATTTCATATTCATTAAACCAATCATACAGAATCTGTCCTGGGTTTGTGTGTATGTATGTGTATGTGCACATGTGTGCATGTTTGTATGTGAACAAGCAGGGGAATAGCAATGTAACATGTTACTGGCATAATTTGTTTTAGGTAATTTTAGTTATTCAACTAATATGTGAATGTGTTGCTGATATGGTTTGGCTGTGTCCTCACCCAAATCTCATCTTGAATTGTAACTCCCACGATTCCCACATGTCATGGGAGCAGTTCCCCTGCACAAGCTCTCTCTCTTTGCCTTCTACCCTCCATGTAAGATGTGACTTGCTCCTCCTTGCCTTCTGCCATGATTGTGAGGCCTCCCCAGCCATGTGGGACTGTAAGTCCATTAAACCTCTTTTTCTTCCTAGTCTCAGGTATGTCTTTATAAGCAGCATGAATATGGACTAGTATACTTGTTCTTGTTTAAAACAACAAATTTTAAAAAGCTACACCTGAGGAAAAAATTTCCTTTAACCAATCATCCCAATTCTGGCCCTCTACAGAGATGTCAGTTACTGCTACATATTTCTACATGTATGTTTATGTGTATTCTGTGCCTGCTTGCTTCACAGTAAAGACATTGTAGTTTGTGTAGTATCCGGACAATTTTGTTTGATTTTTACTAAAAAATATGTCTTGACAATCTGTAAATCTATCGGCTTAATCTCTGTATTGATCTTCTTAGAGAATGCCACAATACAAATGCAGCACATTTTTGAGCCATTTCTTTGCTAAATTAACATTTGTATTATTGCCAGCCTTTCTGTGCTATAAAAAGTGCCAGGGTGAACATTCTCCTACATGATTCACTTTGCACATGTGCATGTTTTTCAGAGGCTGAATCTAATAAGTGCTGGTGCTAGATCACAGGGTATGCAGATTTTTAATTTAAATAGTTACTGCTCAATGGAATCCCCATCAATAATTTCCCCAATTTACACTTCTGCCAGTTGTATATGAAATTACACTATGCCCCACACAGTTGCCAATATGTGATTCTAACAGACCTTCTGATTAAGCACTTAAGAATAGTTGAAATAACAAATGTGAAAGTTATAAGCACTAAATGGGGAGAGCAGGGAGGAGCCACTTATACCCTGGAATGTGAGTCTGAATGAGAATGTTTATCTGGAAGAAGAGACTTAGGAACAAAAACATATGACTGTCCCCAGATGTTTTAAAGACTTATACAGTAGGGCTCCAAGCATGTAAAACCAGAGCCAAAGTACCAAAGAGGAAAGAACAGAGAGGCATGTTAATATCAAGCCAATGAAAGGCCCTTCACTTTCATGGGCCAAAATGTGGGCTTCACATGTCAGGGTCCTTCACTTGCATGGGCCAAAATGTGAAAATAATCCGTGCAATTGTTCACATGATCATATTCTTTTGTAAAATTTGGAAGTAAGATATTTTTTACCTCAGTAAGTTAAGACCATGTTTCCCCTCCACCCCCCAACTGTGACATCCATTGTATCAAATTGGCCCTGTGTCATGTAACTAGAATGGCTGCAGGCATTTTTGAAATTTGGGTAAGGGGAGGTGATTTGTAGCTACAGTTAATGTGGGTTTAGTGGGATATATTTATGTGGTGCACAGTCTCTTAGGTGAAAGGTTAAATTACCTCCAGCTAGGTTACATAGGTTAGTAAGTATAAGACTTGAGTTTGTGGAACTCAAATGCAAACCGAACGTAAAACTACACTGCTTATGCATAATAATTCAAGAACTGGCTGTCATTTCCTTAGCTTTAAAGCCTGATGGGCTAGAAGCCACTATCCAGCGTTCAGCTCTACCTTCCACCTCCTTGCCTAGCTCCAAAGAGTGTGTCCCTTCACGCTTTGGTGCTCTCCACTCCACCCCATTCAAACTGTTACCCTGTCCTACCAGGTCAGACCTTTGTCATACTATTCTCTGTCTGACATGACCTTTTCCTTTACATCTATACAGGTTCTTACTGATTTCTTGATGACTTGACATAAAGTAAAAACACTGATAAAGATAATATACAACTCTCGAAAGATCACTACTCAAGAGGATATTTACTACAAATTGGTCAGCGCATGTCATCAATTCAAAGAGGATATTGTGTTTGTCACTACACACATACACACAAACACACATACTTTGAAATGCCCTGACATCTTACAGCTTGTATTAAAAAAAAAAATTGAGATGTTTACCCAAATTTGAAAACAATCTTAACAATTTACATGACATTACCGACAAGTTAAGATGCTGAAAGAAAATTTAATAAAGCATCAATGATTAAAAACACATTTCTGTCAACCTTGCTAAAGGAAAGATTGAATGATCTTCCTATTCACTCCATGAAAAAATGATGCCACAAAATCATTTTCATATGGCAATGTGATCAAAGGACCAGCAGTCAAAAAAGTTTAAGAAAAATGATAGATTATTAACTGCTAGGCAGTAAATAAATAAACATTATAATAAATGTAAATATACTATTTTTTCTGGATTTTAATAGTTTTAAAAATGTGTAATGTATTATAGTTTCATTTATCATTTTAAATAAAAAGTTGAATACTTGATTTTGTATTTATAATTTTTAATATTTTCCTTAAAACAGGTCTTCAAAATTTATAGACCTGTAGCCCCACAAATCTTGAACACTTTCCTCAAAAAGGAAGTAAATTTTGGTGATTTTTAAGGATGTGCGTTGCCCCCTCTGGAGTCAGTGAACCTCATATATCTGGAATCAAGTAGAGGCTAGGTCTTTATAAGTATGGAATTTTAACAGAAAAATTTATGAACCACTTGAGGGGTTAAAGTTTCATGACTCTTTTAAGGTTGCTCTATATGTCCATTTTTCCACCTGAGAAAGATTATCCTAAGAGAGAATATTGATTAGACCCAGTGGCTCTTTTCATATATTAAAAGGAAAGAAAATGAAGGAGAGAAGGAAGGAGTTGGGGAGGAGGAGGAGAAGTGGGTAGAGATGGAAGAAGGAAAGATGCTAATCTTATGTCTGTATCCTGGTCTTCCTAGATTGATATTAAAATTCTTATTCTGTAAAATAATATAGATTATAAAGATTGATTTGTGACTGTATAAGACGAAGGTACCCATGTATGCACATACAACAAACTACCAAGAGCTCTCTTTTCCCCAATTTAGACATTACTCAAGATTCACAAGTTCAGAGTAAAGTAGCACCCTGCTTCCCTGGCATTCAGTATGACTTGCCTTTGGCGAAATGCTACTTCTTATATTAGGGGAGAAAAAAAAAGATTTTTCCAAAGCATGTTTGAAAAGCCCCAAGGGCTCTTGAATATCAAATAGTTCATATTAAACAACATGGATGATTGAAGTGTAAATGAATTTAAAAAAGCATTTTTTTCTTTTTCTTTATGTTGAATGTCTTCAAAAAGCAAAGAGAGGGCTAAATATCTGAAAAAATAATCTGAAGTGTTTGGTGAACAAAAACCAAACTATGCTTATTTATGCACACAAAATGGATGTGCGTATGTAGAGGCATGTGGATATATGTGTAAAGACAGAACTAGGTTGTATTTATTTTACAGCCTGAAAAGGCTTTGATGATGACAATTTTGAGTAAATTTTGATAGAATGGGAGGTGGTCTGTTCTGTTCTGTTTTAGCTATGAATAACAATGTACCATTTCAAACCTTTTTATTGAAAATAATATTTGCAACTATAGTAAGTCAGATTCTCAGGTTTGATTTTCCCTATCACTATTATCACCACCATTCTCCTCCATTTGGCCAGCAATACTTGCTGTCTTTCTGATTAGATGGAGGCTACAACTGATTAGCAGGTTGGATACATAAATGCAAACAGTAGCTTTAGCTTTCCTATAACAAATAGGCAGGTTCTCCATATGAAGCTAATGGTAAGCATGCAGGTGTGCAAATGTACACAACTTCACTGGCCCACATGTGGTAAGATAACATACAGATGGCATATTCATTGCATTATAAACCCAGCTGAAGTTCAGGTACCCAGAATTTTACAAAGATTTCTGAATTCTTAGCGTTTTTTTGGAACTAGCAATATGCAGTATACTTAGAGCGTGTTTTGCTTTTCTATTTTTTAATCATGTGCATTTTAAGTATGGCAGTGGATAGAAAACAGACACATCTAACTTTTGAGTCATGAAACAAATGATGGACAATTTTAACTCATCAAAGTATATATGCATATTCAAGATTAGCCTCTGTCCAGAATGTCTCACTTTTTAGTCACTTTGAGAATTGTATAGACCACAATTTTAAAGTTTCATTTATGTCTCAGATTTTTCATTAAGCTCCTCTTTTTTACTATAAGCTAAAATGAATGTTAATCTTCTTGTTCTCATTAGAGAAAGCATGAGTGCATTTCAAAACTGTGTGTGCATGGTTTTGGTTTTCACAATGACTGGGATTGAGACATGATACAAAGTGACAGGGGTCAGGTAGATTGTCCGCAAGGAGAGGGGTGATCCTTCACAAGAAAAGATTTGTTTGTAGTTCAGGTTATTTTCAGACATTCCATTGGATGTTCACGTAGGTGAAAAGGCAGTTTATTAATACCTGAGACTAGAAAACAACTCCACTTTAGATTTTAAACTCGAAATATTTTCCCCAGTGATAACATGTATGAAAATGTACAGAAATGCAACTATTGTGAAAATCAAAGACAGATATTACTTCCATTTATTTGGAGCTTTGTGAAGTGTTGTCACCATTTGAGTAAATCATTCACTACTGGTGTTATTTGAGCTGTTCAGAAAAGATACCCTTATCAGTCTTCACTTGCAGCTGTCACTAGCCCAGTACAGCTGACCTCTCATTGTTCCTTCTGGGGTAAATATAAATGAGCACTGATGTGTTGAAATAATTTAATATGTAATCACTTTATCTTTTAAAATAGTTTACTTTTATTTTGCCTTTATTTATACATATATTTTTAAATTTTGTATGAATTTTTTCTTTAATTGACACATGATAGTTGTATATGTTTATGGGGTACAATTTAATGTTTCAATACATATGTGTGTTGTATAACTATCCAATCAAGCTTGTTATTGTATCAATCACACATGTGTTTGTTGTTTCTTTGTGGTGAAAACATTTAAAAGTTTATCTTCTAACTATTTGGTAATATACAATATTTTATCATTAACCATATTCACCCCCTCTGTGCCATAGAATTCCAGAATTTATTCCTTCCATTTAATTGTAGCTTTGTACCCAGTGAAAAATGTATCCCCATCCTCTGCTTTCTTCTCCCCTCCCCAGTCTCTAATAACAACGGTTTTACTCTTTGCTTACGTGACATCCACTTTTTTTTTTTTTTGATTCCACAAGAGGGCCAGGCATGGTGGCTTATACCTATAATCCCAGCACTCTGGGAGGCTGAGGCAGGAGGAGTGCTTGAGTCTAGGAGTTTGAGACCAGCCTTGGCCAAACAGCAGAGGCCCCGTCTCTACAAAAAAAATACAAAAATTAGCGGGGTGTTGTGGTGTGTTCCTGTAGTCCCAGCTACTTGGGAGGCTGAGGTGGGTGGATCACTTCAGCCAGAGAGGTGGAGGCTGAAGTGAGCAAAGGTCACAGCACTGTACTCCAGCCTGAGTGGTAGAGCAGGACCCTGTTTCAAAATATAATAATAATAATATTCCACATGATTAAGATCATGTGGTATTTGTTTCACCGTGTCTGGCTTATTTCACTTATCAAGATTCCCCTCCAGCTTCATCAATATTATTGTACATGACAGTATTTCATTCCTTTTTATGGGTGAGTAGTATACCTCTGTGTATATGTACCACATTTTCTTTATCTATTCATCTGTTGTGGATGCTTACGTTGATCCCACATCTTAGCTATTGTAAGTAGTGCTGCAATGAACACGGAAGTGCAGATAACTCTTCAACATACTGATTTTATTTCCTTTGGATACATACCCAGTTGTGAGATTGCAGAATCATATGGTAGACATATTTTTAATTTTTTGAGGGACCTCCATACTGTTCTCTGTAATGTCTATACTAGTTTACAATCCCACCAACAGTGTATAAGTGTTCCCTTTTCTCCACATTCTCACCAACACTCGGTTTTCTTTTGTCTTTTTGATAATTGGCATTCTAACTGGAGTAAAGTGGTATCTAATTGTGGTTTTGATTTGCATTTTCCTGTTGACTAGTGATGTTGAACTTTTTTTTTTAATATATACACTTGTTGGCCATTTGTATATCTTTTCTAGAGAAATGTCTATTATGGTCTCTTGCCCATTTTTTAATTGGGTTATTTTTTTATTTTTATTTTTATCTTTTTGCTGCTGAGTTGTTTAAGTTCCTTAAATATTCTGGATATTAACTTTTGCCAGATGTATAGTTTGCAAATATTTTTTTCTCATTTTGTAGATTGTCTCTTTACTCCATTAAATTGTTTCCTTTGCTATGCAAAAGCTTCTTAGTTTGATGTAATCCCATTTGCTTATTTTGGGGGGGTTTGCTTTTGCTTTTGAGTTATTTTATTAAGAAAAATTATTGCCCAGCCCAATGTTGTGAAACATTTCCTCTGTTTTCTTTTAGTAGTTTAATAATTTCAATTTTATATTTGCCTTTAATCCATTCTGAGTTGATTGTTTTATATAATGAGAGGTAGGGGTCCAGTTTCATTTTCTGATATCCAATTTTCCCAGCACCATTTATTGAAGAGACTCTCTTCCCCAGTGTGCATTCTTGGCATCTTTGTCAAAAATCAGTTGGCTGTAGGTGCATGAATTCATTTCTGAGCTCTCTATTCTGTTCCATTGGTCTATATGTCTATATGCTGGTACTATGTGTCTTGGTAACTATAGTTTGTAATATATTTTGAAGTGAATAATATGTTGTCTCCAGCTTTGTTCATTTTGCTCAAAATTGCTTAGGTTATTCAGAGTTATTTCTCTCTCTCCCTAATTGCTCTGGCTAGAACTTTTTTCTTTTTTTTTTTTTTTTTTTTTTTTTTGTGAGACGGAGTCTCGCTCTGTCACGCAGGCTGGAGTGCAGTGGTGCCATCTCGGCTCACTGCAAGCTCCGCCTCTCGGGTTCACGCCATTCTCCTGCCTCAGCCTCCCGAGTAGCTGGGACTACAGGCGCCCGCCACCACGCCCGGCTAATTTTTTGTATTTTTAGTAAAGACGGGATTTCACCGTGTTAGCCAGGATGGTCTCGATTTCCTGACCTCGTGATCTGCCCGCCTCGGCCTCCCAAAGTGCTGGGATTACAGGCGTAAGCCACTGCGCCCAGCCTAGAACTTTAAATCTTATGTTGAATAGAAGTTGTGAGAGTAAGCATCCTTGTCTTGTTCCTGATCTTTTGCCCATTCAGTATTATGTTAGTTGTGGGTTTGTCATATGTGGCCTTTACCATGTTGAAGTACATACCTTCCGTTAGTAGAGGAAATACAAAATCAAGCCATGTTTTTTTTTTTCTCTGTTCTCACCCACAATGACGATAAATAGAGAAGACTTTGTTGACCAAATGTGTGGGAGTTTTTCCCCAGAAACTGAGTAAGCAATCAATTCTGCAGCAGTTACCAGCTGGGTGTTCTCCAGCTTGATTCTAACACTATCAACCTGAAGATAGCATCAGATTCCACAGAGTGAGGGCTCAGTCCCCAAGACTGCCTCCCTTTCAGACATTAGTCACAAGTCTGGACTTCTAGAATATCTGACTAGTTTCAAGTTAGGGTTCCCACAACCCCATTTTTGGGTTCAATTAATTTGCTAAAATGGCTCACAGAACTTAGCAAAACATGCTTATCATTTTATTATAAAGGATAGTACAAAGGATACAGATAAAGTGATACATAGCATGAGGTATAAGGGAAGGGGCATGGGGCTTCCCTGCCCTCCCTAGGCCTACCACCCTCCAGGAACCTCCTGATTCAGCTTTGCAAAATCTCTCTGAATTCAGTCCTTTTGGATTTTTATGGAGGCTTCATTACATAGGCATGATTGATTAAACCCTTGGCCATTGGTGATTAAGTTAACTTCCAGCCTGTCTACCCTCCCCAGAGGTTGGGGAATGGAGCGGAAAGTTTCAACCCTCTAAGTCTGTGTTGATCCCTTTTGTGACCAGCCCAATCCCGAAAGAGGTACCCAGGGGCTGCCAGCTGTCAATCAACTCTACATAGACTAGAAGTCAGATTTATGAAGCCTGTGACTTCTCGAGGCTCTACAATTGTTTGATTCTGCCACCTTTCCAGTGTCCCTTATTCCTTCCCCATGCCCTCATTTTCTTCCTTACTTGAGATTCTTATTTTATTATCACTTTCTTGTTCACTCTTTCAACTCTGTTGATCCTCTTCCTATTTATAATCACTTGGCAAAATCCCAAACTTGGTCAAATCCAGCTCCCACCCATTGTGACCACTAGAGCAAAAACCAAACCAAACCAAAAAATATATACATAACCCTGATGACTGATATCACTTTAAATTCATGACCACCAACCTCACAGGGATCCTTGTTATTGAGTGGCAAGAATAAAATATTTCTTTCTCTGCTTCCTGTACCTGAAGCATGCTTTCTCCAGATATCACATCACTTATTTCTTCAACTATTTCTCTGCTCAGTAGCACAATATCAGTGAAACCTATCTTGATATTTGTACTTAAACTAGTGCACACCAGTCTTGACAAGCATCCCGTAACCTCATTTTAGTTTTCTCCTAACCTTATTACTGTCAGATGTGCTGTGTATTCTACTTATTTGTGTAGTGTGACTCCTTTAACTACATTCAGAAGTAAGTTTGATGAGGTAAAGGTTTTCCCTAGAATGGTTCATAATATACCTACACTTTTGTTTGTATGATGGCCAAATATCAGAACAGAGTTAGCTTCCTAATATGAAGAGATGAATTCTCTTTCTCAAGCCATTTCAATTGTTCTGTGGGTCCCTCAGTTTCAGGAAACTTCATGAACCATTTCATTTTCAAAAATACCATAAGAAGTTTAAAGTCTTTCATAAAAATGTTATAGATGTCTGTTTGCCATATTGTAATGCAATCACTTTCTAATTTTGTTTATTCTTTTCACTATAATAATCTATAATCCACAATACACAAATAAACTCCCCTAATAAATAGGGGGAACACTCTGATGATGCTTTACTGCTGTTTGCATATTTATAGCATTTTGTGATCTATACCATTGCCAATTAATTTGCATGAATTCCAATTATTATAATTATTTTCTATAATATTTTGCATCACTATTTGAGCTCAAGAAGTTGTCACTAAATATTTTACATGTATTATATACAATACATATAAAATTATATAATATCTGTTATTACTATTATATTATCATGGGGGAAAATGAGGTATCTGTCTGGGGAGGCATAGATGGCACTATGGGATGTGTAGAGGTAATGATATGAGCAATACCAAAGAAGTGAAAAGGCATATAGTTTCTATAAGGCAGTGATTCTCAGGGCTGGAGCCCCAGAGAGGGAAAAGATTCCAAGGAGAAAGGCCACACTTAATCAGGCTGTATCACGGGCAGTTCACAGGAAGTTACCACAGAGTCAAACATGAAAAATTTGGCAACAGAAAAGCCCTTAAGTTAAAGGGAAGGAGAGGAGAGAAGAGGAGAGGCAGAAGAACTAGAAGACTGGAGAATAAAGCTAGAAATTGTAAACTGAGAATTGAATGAAGTGAATATTCAAATTTACAGTGAAAAGAGATCATGTAAGAAAAGGAAGATTTAGGATGGATTAGGGGAACATCTTACATTCAGCAACTGTATTACTCCTTCCAATGGTGGACAGCCAGATCCGATTAGATGATCGAATGGTGTCTTTATTGTATTAGAATCATACTGGGTACACGCTGTTTTTGGAAGATAATCATTAATGAATGTATGAGCACTACCACATGCCTAGGACTAGAGAATGCATTAAAGCTTTGATAAAGAAGTATAATGACAGCATCTTTCTTCATAAGAAGCTTATAATCTAGTTAGAAAGAAAAGGCAAGCTTTATACAGGACATAATCAGCAAACTGGCTAGCATATAACGTAACACATTGCATGATAGGAAATAAGCTAAACTGATTATCATAGTTGGCAGGATCCAAGTTATAGGGCATTCAGAAACTTCCCTGAGTAGAGATAGGATAGATGGTTCAGATAATAAGGTTGGTCCTCCTCCCCAGAGTGGGATCACTAAGCCGAGGGAGGAATAGAAAAATCTTCACCATGCAGATTATGTTTGATATTCAAGTTGCTGCATGAGAAATGACTGGGTGGGATTGAGAGCAGGGCTTCTAGGCAACAGTTATTATTGGAAACCATTGATTGAGTCATTGTTCAGAAAATGTATTCCAGACAACAAAGGGTCACCAGAAGCAGGGTCTAGCATGGTGGAATGGCAGGAGCTAGATTAGCAAGTAAGAAATCATGTGAATAGATTGAACTGTGGGCAGCATCCTGAATATCAATGCAACGTAGTTCTCATGCTGCAGCTGACTGTTCCATGGGTAATGAAAGAGAAAAGGAAGTCCCAAATAGGACTGGTCAAATATCATTTAAGGTTGGAACATGTGGCCCTAATGTACTTCCAGGATTGACTCTCTATGATTTGGTGATGATGTAAGATTGAGCTGTAAGTTGTATTCAATTTTTTAAAAAGAAAAAAATAGGCAAGAATTGAGGCAAGAATGGACCCTGACTATGCAGGCCAGATAAAAGCTCAAAGGTAAACGTTGATGTGGGCTAGAGTTACAGGGAAATCTCTGTGAGGAAACATAGCTTGATGTTAGCTTACAAGGATGAGTGAGGCATAAAGGCTACAAGAGTAGGGCACAGAAAAAAAAAAGCCTCTTAGGTGGAGAGCAGGGTATCAGCATTTTCAAATAAAACATGGACGAATATTAAAACCAGCATGACCACGAAATGCTGAGAAGGCTTAGCTAGTGAACAACAAAGGTAGCCAGATTGCTGATTCATTTTCAGGCAGATCTAGTTTGGACCTCACTCTGCTTCAGTTCTTATCAGTCTGGCTGGGTTAGCCCTGTGCTCAGGCAGGTGCATAAAAGATCCTAAAGTAAACCCATATACAGTCATTAGGAAAATGAACCAGGTCCCCAGGGAAGCATTGTGATATACAGTGTCTGAGCTTCTCCAATATCCTTATGTAATAAGGTGCCTTATAAATGTTATTAGCTGCAGGTTTTATGGCAAATTTTATGCTATTTTGATTATGATGCCGCTGGATGACAGCTAGTTTACGTTGCTTAAACATCCTCCGTATCTAATGTCGAGACGAAACTAATTAGCTATAACCATGAAAATGGCTGTGTCATGTGAAAAGGAAACTATGTAGAGTAAATTTCTTTACCCCAGGATGGAGACTGTTATACAATGATTACCTTCAATTTTAAAACATTTACACGAGCTAAAAGTCACAGAAAGGTAATTAAAAAATGAGAATGTATAACTGTTGTTTTCTAAATACATTTTTATTTGTAGCAGGCATTCATGGCCCAAATTCTTTAATGGTTTATGACCCAATGAATCACTTTCTCTCGGTCACCAATTCCATGTGGTTATGTGTTTATTAATGTTTCCTGATGGATCATCAGTCCATATTTCTTTAGAATATCCTTGACAACATATTCAGAACATTATTTAAGACTCATTATTCACTGAAATAAAACATGCAAAGGCACAAGTTGGGTAGTGGGGATATTTTATTAGTGTGTGCTGTATTCTAAGTCCCTCATCAACATAAAACACTGTAAAGAGTCTATAAATCTAATTAAGGGCATTAGAATAAGAAAAAATCACTGAGTACTTAGTAAGGATAGGCAAGCCTTATGCAGAAGCAAATTTTTCGTTGCAGTCATAAATGGCAATTGAAAAACCTTCATTACTTTTTAACACTTGAATACAGAATTGGCGGAGATGGTGTTTATCATTAAACAAGCATAAGGAACAGAAGCAGGTAAAGGCTACTACTTCTTTTGTTGTAGTGACTAAATTTTTATCTAGGGAAAGGTAACTTCAAAAGATCAGAGGCACTAATTAAAAACCTTTTCTTATATTATTTAAAAAGGCACTCCTTCAAAAAATAGTTTTCCCTTTGTTCATTGACAAGGAAATTGACCATGTGGGCCTCCAGTGAGCTGGGGATGGAAGTGGGTGGGTGGATGGGGTGGGAAAATGAGAATTACTCTGGTTGTGAGAAATGCAGTAAAGTGGTTAAGGGCCCAGACTCTCCACACACACTCTATCACACCACAAATTTGCTTTATTTAATATATATGTGTGTGTGTGTGTGTATATATATATACACACACACATATATATATATAGATATGTATATCTATATATATACACAGAAACAGAGTCTCACTATGTTCGCCAGGCTGGAACTCATACTTCTATGCTCAAACAGTCCTCCCATTTTAGCCTTTGGAGTAGCTGGGACTTTAAGGCATGCACCACCATACCAACTCACAAGTTTACCTTTTTAAAAATCAGAGGTGGCAAACTTGTGGGCTATGGCCTGGATATGGCCCACAGACATAGTTTACCTTTAACAACATGTTAATATTTTAAGCCAACATTTGAAAATTAGGAGATTTTAAATAAAACGTCCATTTTCTGGCTTTTTGTGAAAATCTGGCAACACTGAGCGTGCATTCCGGTATGGCAATGGACAGCTGCCCCCTAGAGATGGGTCTGTGCTCTCCAGCCAACTGCCATCTCTGCCTCTCTCTGGTCATCCCCAATCTGGCTTTATACATGGTTTTATGAGCTCCCTGACCCTGAAGGGGCCATTGCTTCAGGAAATGAGAGACTCTTTGACCTACATTTGATAGCTGAGAAGGAACACTCACATAAATCTTCCCTGAACAGAGAATATTGTTTACTAGTGACCCTGTGACTCCCCATATAGGGGGAAGTAGTTGGAAATTTCTTCCCAAAGAGAAAATAATATGAACAGTGGAAGTCCATTCTGCCATTGAGGTCATCAGGCCTTATTGGATTCTTTGTCAGTAACAAAACTAGTACCTAAACTTTAGAAAACTAATGAGTAAATGCAATCATCAAACAGATATCTTGTGCCTAAGTCCCTTGGCCACAATGACCTTTTCACAGGGTGATTAAAATGGAAGTTACCTAATTAGTTTAATTTTAATTTTAGGGCTGCTTGCCCTTAAAATGTCCTGCCTCACACAACTTTCTGTGGTCTGGCATTCCACAGAGAGTGATGTATCCCTTGAGATAATTATTCGTCATGCTGAAAATGAACTCCATTCCAAGAGCAAGGGAGTTTATCTGATGCTGTCTAGTGGATCTCTTTTGAATAGAGAAAGAGTGAGTTCAGGGAGCCTCAGGCAGAAAAAAAGTGGAAATTAATGAGGAGGAAAAAGAAGCATTGAGAGGAAACTATGTGGTATCCACTAATGGTGAGCCAAATTTGCTCCCTCTATCCACCTAGTTCTGTATGGCCTTGAGCATTTTAGATAGTATCAGACACCACCATATACCCGCCCACTGGGGATTGTGTTTAGGTTGTTCTAGGGCTTACCAGAGAGTAACTGGGCTTATAGAAGTCATTTATGTTTCCTTTATTTCTGCAGCCCAAATGAAGCAGAGGAATCCTATACACCTTTGCATTCAGTTTTGTCACTCCCAGCCATTGACACAAGTGTCTTGTAGAGTACACATATGTGTTAAAAACAAACACCAAACCATATCTCAATACTAGGTCTTCTTGATTCTGTTTATTTATTGGAGCATCCTGATTGTCCTTTGACAAAAAAAAAAAATTCAAGTGAGAAAAATCATTGAATGCCATTTTTAACAATATCCAGATAAGCAGGGGATAAGAAATTAAGTGAATCAACTTACTGCTTTATCTAAATTAGCACATGGCTACCTAATATGATTATTTTTCTCTCAAATTGAGCAGTTCAATTGTCTTGGAATTATATATACATAGCTTGATGCTCTTTCATTCATTTCTTCTAAGAAAGATACCATAATAAGCAATTCAGTAAGTTCAAAAATGACTAAAGCAAAGCCTCAGCCCTCAAGGAACTTACCCTACTGTGCTGAGATAAAATCCACGTGCAAATTGCTATAACATTCAGCAGAATATATCAAGAGCCATGTGGTTGGTCCAAATATAAAACTAATATTTTTAAGGGAGGGCAGAGCCTACCACAATGCCTGGCACATAGTAAACCATCAGTAAATGTGTGTTGAACAAGTGAATGAATGACTGACATAAAACTATTTCCAACTGGTTTAATCAAGTAATGCCTTGCAAACTGGCTAAAGTCTGTGCTGTCTATGGAGGCTAAAATTTTCATAGATGAAGATAGGGTAGATAAGAAGACATTCTGGAGGCAATGACATGTGGGAAAATGTGGGAAATATTTGAGGAGAATGAGTAGGTAAATTTGGCCAATTAAGAAAATTAAAAATATTTAATGGAATAGTAGAACTCTGAGTGGTGAGGTAAGTTAGAGACAATTTGTGGATATAAAGGTTGCATTATTTAAAACAAAGACAAGCTTGAGAACACTGACAAGATCAAGCTTTGTATCAAATCTGTATTAAATGATTCGGAAAACAGCATACCAGACATCTAAATATGTTTTTCTCCCTGCATTTCTCCTATTCATGACATCACACTGTCAAAACTCAAAAAAAGAACAGTGTATGTATATCAATAAATCAACCAGAAAAGATATACGGCTAGAATATACTTTCTATACCCTTTATTTTCTCCCACTGCATTGTTATCTGTTTTATTTTAAAAATTGGTCAGTTTAATTTTTAAAATTAAGAAGTTGTAACTTACTTCTTCAATGCCCATGCTATCTTCAATGTAGGTAATCAAACTGGGCAATGATTGCGAGGTAGCCACAATAAATTGAGTATGTAAAATATTCAGTTTTTGACTAATTATTTTATTGTCAAGTAGACATTTACATAAAATGATTATTGATTGTGTAAACAGCAATTTCCCAAAATGTCTTTTAAATCTTTTTTTCCCCCAACTTGGTGATTTTACTGTTCTATTAAAAGTAATTAAAAATAAACCTTCAAAAGATTAACCACTTAAGTCTTACTTTTGAAACAAAGTGGAAAACCTACTTATAGAGGAACAAGTGTAGAGGTAGACATGCAAGACAGGTAATTTGGAATTTTACATGCCTTTTTTTATCATCTTTTGTTAACATTCCCAATTATAATAGAAAAATTTAAGAATGCATTCACAAATACCCAGAAGTTAGCTTGGTAAGCTATTCTCAAACTCTCTGGTGAGATGTCCCTTTGGTTGTGATGATTGGCACCACTCTGTTGTTTTATGGAGATGGGCTGTCTGTCCCTGGTTGCAGTCTTGTCAGTGAAATGTTTAATAGTTTTCTCTGGCTAGAACAGGGCCCAAGTGAGAAATGAGACTCTTGTGCCACTTTTGGAAATAAAGAAAGAGACTTATCTAGAGTTCTGACCAACAGCCTCATATTTCAGCAAAACAAACAAAACATCTTATGTATAACTTGTACAATCTTATGAATGAACCAATTACAAGTCTACTACTTACTTTTGGCAAAAGAATAAGAACCTTATAAAAACATGTGCCCCTGACATTCCTCCAGTGTCAGAATATACTGCTGTAGTCTGCACTACTATTTTTTCTTTCTTTATACATTTTTTTTTAAATTTTTATTATTTTTTATCCCATTTAACAATACTTTCTCACGTGAGATGGGTGCACTTTCCAACAAGGAATTTAATGAACAGAATGCAGACATGTATATACTTGTCTTTCATTGCCTTAAATAGTCTCCCCTATATTTAATTATTTGAAGTGAAAGTTCTGCTTTAAATAAGTATTAGAATTAACCCAATGAGAAACACAGTTTCTCCAAAAGGAGAACAAGAATCCCGATTGCAATATATCCATTAAAATGTCCCCACAAACTGTTCCAATCTAAATTATCTCAGGCTGCTGTGTCTTTCCAGCCTTATTGATTTGAAAAATAACAGACAAGTATAAATGACATTTACAGCTCTTAATTGGTGTCATTAGCGGTTCTTATTATTCTGCAGGACAAGCACTAACCCTTTATTGAGAATTCAGTGATGCAGGTCTGCTTGGGACTCATCAGCCTTAAAGACAAGTAATAAAACAGCTGAGTGACTGACTTAGAGCGCTATTCATCAACAAAGGCCACAGGCAGCTGGGCCCTATTTTCCCTTGATTTGTTTTATGCAGTTATTTAGACCTTGGAACTCCAAAAGGAAAAAGGCACAGCAATGGAAGAAACTTCAACTGATTTTGCATGCCCTCTGGTCTCAGTGATCCTAGGGGCAAATTTTAGGGTTATATTTGAGTCTCCAGTCTTTGTTTGCTCCTTAGTGGTTTCAACTAGACACAACGGACAAAGGGTGGGTGAAGATGGGAACTTCCTTGCTCTTCCTGATTTGAAGTCGTCTTTGACATCCACTAGGTTCCGCTGAGGAGTAAATGGCTTACAAAGAAGTTTTGCCTTTTAACAGGGCTCAGGGTCTCACCTTGGGCTTTCCAGGTTCAGGCACTCACTGACTATGGGAAGGTGTTTGGAGACACATGGCTTCCCTGGCTCCTTGAAGTCAGAACTGGCTTTCAGCTGGGCATTAGCTGATTCCTATTAAAAGAGACTCAACTTCCTTAGGCTCTTTATGATTCTCAGCCTGGTGAAGGGACAGGAGACACCTATATGGGTTTTTCAGGGCAGGTCATCTCCTCAGGCTTTGAGAGCTCACTGACCTCCCTGTGCAATGATCTATGGCTCCCACACTCTTTTTCTTGTTATTGCCTTTTGATTTAATTTGGGCTTGCCATTTGTTTAGTCATTGATGTTCTGCTTGGATAGCTGTGATGAAGATATGTTTTGTTTTGTTTTTATCTTTCATATTAACTGCAAGATGATTGCTTCTTGATATCCAGGTAGCAGTTTCTTGTTATGTTAAAACACACACACACACACACACACACACACACACACACACACACAGAGACGGGTAACAGAAAATATTCATCTTTCAATCTTGTAACCCTGTCTCCATGGCATTGACTGAATAATTGAATGTAAATAGTTGTGCATAAAAACCTAACAGTCTATGAATCTGATTCTTTTTTTTTTTTTTTTTTTTTTTTTTTTTTTGAGACGGAGTCTCGCTCTGTCGCCCAGGTCGGACTGCGGACTGCAGTGGCGCAATCTCGGCTCACTGCAAGCTCCGCTTCCCGGGTTCACGCCATTCTCCTGCCTCAGCCTCCCGAGTAGCTGGGACTACAGGCGCCCGCCACCGCGCCCGGCTAATTTTTTGTATTTTTAGTAGAGACGGGGTTTCACCTTGTTAGCCAGGATGGTCTCGATCTCCTGACCTCATGATCCACCCGCCTCGGCCTCCCAAAGTGCTGGGATTACAGGCGTGAGCCACCGCGCCCGGCCGAATCTGATTCTTTATGAGTTGCACAATCCATATGTGAGCATTTATCTTTTTTAATTTCATAATTTATTTGCTGTGGAAATCTCAACCGAGAAACATTATCTGGTTTTCATCCACAGCCTGCTTTTTACCTAGTTGCATAAGCTGGACTGTATGAAGCAGAAACTAGGTCGAGTAGCACACGCTGAGGAAGTGGCTCCATTAAAACCTGGCCCCTGCTCCTCCATGTTCCTTCTCAATGTCCCTGTTTACCATTAGACCCCTGTGCAATATGATTACTCAGCCTTGCTCTCAAACTTTATTGTAGTAGCTCGCAATCTGCTCAAAATGACACATTTAAATTAATAATCCAGGAAGTTAAGAAAAAAAAAACTACATTATCTATCCAGTTTATATTATATGAGACTGAGAGAGAAATGTATATATTGAGAAATCAAGGACAATTTGATTAGCAGGTTCAACGTGTCATTCAAATATTGAGAAAAAATATATATGTTTCTGATGAGTAATTTATATTCATTTCCTTACAAAGATGACAATCTGATGTAAATTTCTGCCCAGCAGTGAGGTGTTTACATTCCATAAGGAAAGGGTGGATGTCTTTTTTTCATTTTCATTTTCCTGCCAAAACCAAGCTTAGAGTTATATGTGTTGCATGCTGGAGCCAATGTTATGACTTGTCTATGTAAAACAGGGTATAGGTGACAAATGCAAGCTGTTGTGGGCTTCCTACTGTGAATCTGTGAGCACCCGAGATTCTACACTCCTATTCTGGCACTTAAGCTACATAAAGCAGCACTCCTCAATTAGGAGGGCATGGTGACCAAGTGTGGGTCTTTTCTGCTCTCGTGTGCAAAGGTCAATATGGGTCAGAAGACAATCTTAGTAATAAAAATTTCCAGTCTCCAAATACAGTCCTTCTGGTCTTTCCTTCACTGATACCAGCAGGGTAGGATGGGTCTTACTTACTCCTGCATAGCACTGTATAGCAGCCAGCTGTTGACAGTCATCTCCAGAGAGCCAGTAAGCAGGACTGGTTGTAAGCCATCCAAACAGGCGCAGCAAAATGAGCAAAAGTTGGGTTTCTGCATCACAATGTAACTCTTTGTTCTTAGTCCTCAATGATATTTTTCATACATTTGCTGTTCAGTTGACTACCCCTCTTTTTGTTGCTTAATTTACTATCGTTAATTTTTATGTATTTCTTAAGACCAGCTCCATAATATTTATATACCATTTATGTAGATGAAAACAGACACATATAAGGTGATATGAAGGGAGAAATGTCTTGGTTGCCCTGATATACTGCCAGCAATTCTGCACTTTCTCAAAGTTATACCTACCTAGAACTTATTAGTCCTTCTTAAGGATTATTTTTACTAGCAATTACTATCACTATAACTTCTATTTGCTGAGCATTTGCAGTGGCCAGGTGCTGTGCAAAATGACTTACATACACAATTTCATATGACCTTCACTGAAACTCAGAGGTGAGTATTGCAACCCTTAATTAAGAGATGAGAAAACTGAAGACTCACAAAGATTACGTGCTTTGCCCATTGTCATGCCATCGGTGAGTAACAGAGGCCAGATTTTAAAGCCCATGCTCAAATTCAAAGCCCGTTTTTTTTTTGTTTTTTTTTTTTTTTTTTTTGTTGTTGTTGTTGTTTTTATCATGATTCTATTGGGCTGCAGCTAATTAGAAACATGTGAATGTTTCAATACAGAGACAAGGTGGTGGCACTCCGCAGATTCTCACAAGGAGCCTATCCCAAAATGGCTTGGGCAACTAACTTAGTTTTACTGGTCTCAAGTGTTAATGTTTGGAGGAACACTGCATGCCTATCAGCTCAGGGCTGAAGTGCATCCTCTCAAATGGAGGTAGTGGTAAACTGGTGGTAAGCATTTATGTTTAATCACATGCTGTAAACTCTGAAACTTGGAGGAGATGCAGACAGTGAAAATCAGCCTCCAGCTTCATCATGTTGTTGAAAGGGCAACTAACTCTAGAGGGACACTTCTTACATCAACACATAAAAAAAGTGATTAGATACAAAGGTGGGAGGAAGCCAGAAGTTGATGATGGAAGCAGGACCATGGAGGGTTTGGGGGAAGTGGTTCTCAATTCCAGATATCCAATAGGGTTACCTGCAGAGTATTTTTTCTTAAATTCTGAGACAGAGCACCATCCTAATTCAATAGAATCAGACTTTCTGGGGGAATTGGGCATGGGTATCCACACTTCTGATGCAGAGAGGTCTGAGGACTACTGATCCGGTGAACAGCTCTTTCAAAACAGGAAGAGCAAGGTCTTTGGGAGGCAGAGGACTGTAGATAAGTTTTACTGTTAGAACCTTCTCTTGATTTCTCATCATATCCCAAAACATAAGTGAGTACACATACACACATATGCATGCACATGCTTATATCCTCCGTGATGCCTTCTTTCTCCTGTTTCCCCTTTTTATCATCAAAAATTATACTAGAATATTTTCAAATAAATTCATTCATTCTAATTGTAAATGGCAGATGATTTGATACCTTTCCAGAAATATAAATTTGTAGGAGAGATGACGTTCATATGCTGAAATTTCAGGCATCCAAAAATATAGGATTTTAAAAACTATTTCTTAGAAAGCACAAATCACATTGCATTGACATTCATATATT
Source organism: Homo sapiens (assembly GCF_000001405.40). NCBI lineage: Eukaryota > Metazoa > Chordata > Mammalia > Primates > Hominidae > Homo > Homo sapiens. The sequence continues at coordinate 39,479,014 of NC_000018.10, read as the reverse complement.
GGTAACCTATGGAAATTAATTAATTAACTACAAAAAGGATTTACTTAGAAGATGATGAGTTAAGTTTAAGATATTTCAAGTTCGAGGTCTCCATGAGAGATTGAAATGGAGATTGTGGGGTTGATCAATCTTAAGAGAGAACTCAGGATTGATGAACGTAGCATTTCAAACTATTGGTTTCTAATCTGATGAATTAATGGCAAAATATCTGTTCTACCTGATCCAACTTTTGGAAAATAAATACAAGTTTCTCAGTGACTGGCCCTTTACATGGTAGCTTCTTATTTTTGTATCATCTTGCAGTGAAACTGTGTAATCAACCACACTAACATACTGCATACTTGAACACCAAGCATTATATACAGTAAAGATGTAAACATCATCTGGTACCAAAGGATATTCATATATCTAGATCTACATGGCATTTCCACATTCTTGGTTACTAGCTTTTGCAAAGGGAGGATTCTAATTAAGGTTCCTCCCTCATATTTCATTACAATGGGTGTGAAGCTTTTCTGCCAGGTTCTTCAGGTCTTCAGACATTCACAAACCTACCTAGTTGTGATGAGAACTAGTTTAGAAGCCCTCAAGGGCCAAAGTGGAGACTTCCTCTGATGGTAAAGTATACTTTAAATGGCTCAATAGAGGATGTCAACTCAGCAACATTTATTTCAGTGAGCCAATGTACTTTGAGAATGGTACTAAACCCTTTCTTAAACAGATCTTGATCTTTTGGATTGCTATGAAAAGCCATAGTTGAGCAAGTGAAGGCTGTATTTATTGCTTAATGCAAACATGCAAGGGAAGCAGACAACAGATTTCTCCCAACTCGTGCAGCAAAAAAAAATGCATGAAACCTGTTATCAACAGACCATCGAAGGGAAAGGTAGGTATTTATGATATTTAGACACTATGACATTTGAGCCTTATTATTCTACAGGTAGTACCCTCTTTTAAATGCTATGTCTTCAGAACAAACACATGTGAAGAGTGAAAGAAAGACAACCAGAAGAAGCAATATTTTAATATTTGATTCTTTTTTTGTTTATAAAAGTCCTAACCTCAAAGGAAAGGTGTCATTTACCCCGGTGTCATTTCAATTAATGATTTAGAAGAAAGTACAGACAACTGGGATTTGTGAAAACCTGGGTTTTAGACCTGGCTTCCTCATGGACTGACTTGGTGACCTTGGACTATTTACTTAATATTTCAAGACTTCAGTTTTCTCATCATAAAATGAGGGAATCAGACTAAATGATCTCTAATATTCCTTTCAGCATTAACATTCTGCAAATTTATTCTATGAAGATAGGAAACCTCAAATGAGCATTTGGTTTAAAGTGTGACTGGTTTTACAATCAGATTTATTGTCTATGACCTATTCAGAATCCAGTATCTACCTGAGGAACTCTCAACTCTGACTTCAGATGCCACAGTATTTTGAACTTTAGCACTGAGAGACTTAAGCAGGTTTCTATCCTGACTTTTTCTTTAATAAATTAGGGAACTGGCATCAGTGAAAGGATATGGCTGCTTAAGGCTACATAGGTAGTAGCCTGAGCTGGACATAGAACTGGAATATTTTAATTGAAAATCAGCACTCTATACAAAATATATCTTTATTTAAAATGTATATGTGTATGTATGTGTGTATATATATTTATATATATTTATATATATTTATATATATATTTATATATTTATATATATTTATATATTTATATATATTTATATATTTATATATATTTATATATATTTATATATATTAATATATATTAATATATATTTATATATATTAATATATATAAATATATATATATATTTATATATATATCTCAGGTTATATTATATATATATATCAGAATATATATATAAAACCTGAAACCTAATTCTTGTATTCACCTGCATTTTAAGGAAAAGTGTCAAAGTTAAGTGAAGTGATGGTTGAAAGTTAAAAGTGTCACAATGGCCAGGTCTAGTAGTCTTATACCTCCAAAGTTGCGTAGACAAAATCTACAATTGATAAATTAGGAACTGATCCAGTTATTTCATGTTGTTGTTAAAGTTCACATGAATTAATCATAGCTTTTCCCTCTATCAGTTTTATAAGTCTTCTCAAGTAAAATCCATGAAGGTAGGGCTACTGTTTCTCTCTTTTATTATTTGCTCTGCACCTGAATTAAGGCCAGACAGCCAAAGATTAAGGATAGAGATCAGTTCTGGCACAAATCACCCTTGCAAACTTGAGCAAATCACTTCATGTCTCAATACAAATACTTTCTCCAGATAAGTAAAGCAAGTGAATTGGAATATAATGTCCACTTTAGCTCTGAAATTTCAAAATTCCAGCAAATGGATGATACAGATGGATAGATTAGATAGATAGATAGATGATAGATAGATAGATAGATAGATAGATAGATAGATAGATAGATATAAATATAGATAGATAGGTGGCTATTTTTAAAAATTAAACTAGATATTACCAAAAATTAAAAAAAAATGAGAAATTCAGGTTCTCAGTTTATGAGATTTTTTCCTCCATTATTATTCCCTGATATGCAGTAGGAACTGGTTAAATTAGAAAACTTCAAGTTATAAATATTTAAACTGCTTTTTTACAACATGAAGCTTAGATGCAAAGGCGTTAAGCACTTTAAGAAATAGATTGAAAAGAAATGTCATTATCTTGATTTTCTGAATTGATTTGCTTAATAACAATACTTAGCATTTATATAGTGTTCTGTATTTTCAAATTGCTTTATAATCATTAATCAGTTAATTCATGCAACCTCTCTGCGAGGTCAAGATTATTATCCCAATTTTACAGACAAAGAAATTGAGATGTGGAGAAATTAAGTGACTTGCCCAAGGTCATTGAGGAAATGAATGACAAGCTCTAGTTTAAAACTATGAGACTGAGTCTACACTGGCTGAATGAATTGTAGATTTGACATAACTAACTGAATAAGAAGAAATAACCATATTCTCCAAAATAGATAGAAACTTGATTTAAAGATGGTCACTTACTAACCCTGAATTTCCTAATTGCTTTTTTTCCTGGTAGTTATCTTACATTTCATATATAGAAATAAACTATAAATCTACTTGTAAAAAAATCTAATTTGTGATGTGTTGTTCTCATTAATTGTGACACTCTACCCGAAGTTTGCTGACTTATTTGTGCTCTGCAAAGCTTTTTCTTTAATATTTATTTGAGAAATCCTCAAAACATGCCTGTGATGTGTTGCATTTAATATTTTTTCCCCTCCTCCAATTCAGGGGAGGAAAGTGGTGAACACCTGAATTAAAACAGAGTATTTTCAACTTCAAGCCCGGTGTCCTTAGTACTATACCACTAAGCCTAATAAGATGGGAGCTAAACATGGGGTACATGTGAACATAAATACGAAATAATAGACACTGGGGACTACTAAAGGGGAAAGGGTGGGGTGCAAGGGCTTAAAAACTACCTTTTGAGTACTCTGCTCACTACCTGGATGATGGGTTCAATTGTACCCCAAAGCTCAGGATTACATAATATAACTTTCTAACAAATCTGCACATGTACTTTCTGATTCTAAAATAAAAGTTGAAAGAAAAAGAAAAGAATTATTTTGGTAGACCAAATAGATTTTCACTTGGTCCTCAAAAGGTAAATCACATTCTGATAAAAAGTAGTATTAAGGTAGAAGGAATATCTGAGTGGGAAGAAAAACGTGAGGCATAAATAGTCTGGATGTTAGAAGTTTTCAATACAGAAATCAGGCTGCACAGAAAAGATGGTGCAAAAGTCCAGGACGTAAAATATAGACCAGACGGGCAAGGTGGTTGATGCACACCTGTTGCTCTAGCTACTTGAGAGGCTGAGGTGGGAGGACCACTTGAGGCCAGGAGTTCAATGCCAGCCTGGGAAGCATGCTGAGATGTGTGTGTGTGTGTGTGTGTGTGTGTGTGTGTGTGTGTGTGTGTACATACATGCACGTTGAGGCTTATTAAGCACGTTATAGCTGTATTCATGGCAACATTGGAGACTCTCAGGTAGGAGAGTGGAAAGCCATTCAGCAGTTTATTTATTTCTCTCAGTTATTGCTACTGTTATTTTCTCCACACTGCCTTTAATGTTTTATAGTGAAAGCAACGGTTGAAAGAGAGATACTTGAAAACTTCTGGGCTTTGCCATGCTTTAAGTAGCTCTGGAACCTGGGACAAGTTGCTTTTGTTTTGTGGACTCAATTCCCTCATTAAACTAGGTGGAGTGGAGGCAAGAAAAATCGGAGCCAATGTGATCTGAGCACCATATAGTAGGTATTGTGCTCGATCTTGTCCACTTATCTTCTCATTCAATACCAGAGAACATTGGAAGGTAGTTGTTATTTATCTACAGATGAGGAAACAAATATTTAAAAATGTTAAATAATGTTCTCAAAGAGGTGGCAGAGCTGGTTTTCGAAGGTCTAAATAGACTTTAAAACTTTAGTTCAAGAATATTTATCTGGCATCCACCTATTTTAGAATAATAGAAAATTAAGGGCTCATGCCTGTAATCCCAGCACTTTGGGAGGCCAAGGCGGGCAGATCACAAGGTCAGGAGATCGAGACCATCCTGGCTAACACGGTGAAACCCCGTCTCTACTAAAAATACAAAAAATTAGCCGGGCGTGGTAGTGGGCGCCTGTAGTCCCAGCTACTCCGGAGGCTGAGGTAGGAGAGTGGCGTGAACCCGGGAGGCGGAGCTTGCAGTGAGCCCTGATCGCGCCACTGCACTCCAGCCTGAGTGACAGAGCGAGATTCCGTCTCAAGAAAAAAAGAAAAAAAAATTAAGATAAATTTAGGATTAAAGAAAATTAACTGAATGATTAAGTAAACCACTGGTCCTTAAATGTCTTGCACATTAGAATCACCTGGGAATCTTTAAAAACTACTATGCCCGACTCCTACTGTAACTTTCTGATTTAATTGGTAAGCGATGTCATCCCTTGGCAGTAGGATTTTTTTTTTCTTTTTCTTTTTTCTTTCTTTTTTGTTTTTAAGACGGAGTCTCACACTGTCGCCCAGGCTGGAGTACAGTGGTGCGATCTCCACTCACTGCAGGCTCCGCCCCCCAGGTTCAAGTTATTCTCCTGCCTCAGCCTCCCGAGTAGCTAGGACTACAGGCGCCCACCACCATGCCCGGCTATTTTTTTTGTATTTTTAATAGAGACGGGGTTTCACCGTGTTAGCCAGGATGGTCTAGATCTCCTGACCTCGTGATCTGCCCGCCCGGCCTCTCAAAGTGCTGGGATTACAGGCGTGAGCCACCGCGCCCGGCCTCCAGCAGTACGGTTTTTTAAAAGCTTCCATGTGGTCAGGCACGGTGACTCGCGCCTGAACCCCAGCACTTTGGGAGGCCGAGTTGGGCGGATCACCTGAAGTGAGGAGTTCAAGACCAGCCTGACCAATATGATGAAACCCCGTCTCTATTAAAAGTACAAAAATTAGCCGGGCGTGGTGGCAGTCACCTGTAATCCTAGCTACTAGGGAAGCTGAGGCGGCAGAGGTTGCAGTGAGCGGAGATCATTGCACTACAGCCTGGGCAACAAGAGCAAAACTCTGTCTCAAACAAACAAACAAACAAAAACACACACAAAAAAACAAAAACAAAACAAAAAACTCCCATGTGTCTGGAAACCAATGACATAAGCATACGATACTAAACTCATCTGAGACATGTAGCAGCTAGCCATACTCAATATTAGAAATGAAAAAGACCTATTCTGGTTGAGAATTTTTAAAAAAAAATTCTTTAATACATTTAACATTGTCTATTTACTGACTGGTATGATGATGATAAGATATATTGAATTCCTTAAACAAAATGAAAACTATTTCACCTGGCTCATGATAGTCTCATTTTCTTCCTCTGATCCTGTTTTTTTTTCGTTCTGTGTCTGTCCTATTTTATTTTGTCTCTGCCTCTGTATATCTCTCTCTTCATGACATGGAGATCGAATTAGAGTCATCTTAAGCTCTGATAATTTTGAAAATGATCCCCAGCAATAGTAGTCATTCTCAATATCCCCTCAAGCCCCGCTCATGAGAGGGGAAAAGCAAACACTTTGAAGTTAGACACACCTAGGCTGTAATTTTAATTCTACCAATTACATAATTGTGTGATCTTGAACAAATTGATTAACCTCGCTAAACCTCAACCTCACTACTTGTAAATTGAGAAAAAAGATATTTAACTCATGGAAAAATTTTGGGGACTAAATAAGAGGACTCATATGATTCCATAATTCCAAACCTGGTATGGCCTTTTTAGTTCATTTCACATCTTATCACCAAATAAGCTGTTCAAAGCAGTAATTTCCTCCTTCCATGACAAAGTCTTTTCCACATAGTTTGGCATTAACTAATTTTTTTCATGCCATATTGTCTCATTTCAGACTTACCTTATTGTCTATTATTGTCTCTGTTACCTTTTTTTCTTTTACACTTTACGTGTTTATATTTTATGTGTGTCTTATTCAGCTACCTTGTCTCTGCAAATAGTTGATAAGTTATTTAAGGATAGGAGGATATCATGATTTGTTTTTTTAAAAAAATTTACTCCTCTAGCGCCCTCCCATCACATCTCTTTCCTCTCTCTGCTCCTGGGCATCATGCAAAACTCAACATCTCAGAGGATCTACATCTATAGCTAGGGAAATATGTGAGAAACATAGTTCATCATTATATTTTCTAAAAAGCAACGAGGTTCTCATTACTGGCATCACTTCTCCTTTTGGTCTCAATGTCAAGAATTTAAGACAACAGGGGTTTTGGGAAGATTCTCTGAGTCTGCAGGAAAGTGAGAAAAATCCATAGAATCTTTTTTTTTTTTTTTTCCTATGGCTATGTTCAAGCAGGACATCGATAGCTCGATGTTGAACACAGCTTCTTCTTGATGTTATGGGGCAATGAAACTGGGTGCAAATCCTCCTCATGGCCCTACAGCAAAAAACCTGATGCCCTAGCGCATCGGATTTGCTCCCTCCATCTTAGCACAAAACTTCAAATGTTGTTTGAATTTAGAATTCTTTTAAATCCAGCTACAGTCCATAACTGGAAGGAGGCAGTGAATTTCAACAACTGACATATACTGTCGTCTAGGGAAATTTACCCATTTTTCATTTCAAATTTTCTAGGTAATGTCTTCATTCAAAATTCTTTATTTGAAATTTATGGGTAAAATAAATTGAGATTTCCCAGTTTCTGTCCCTATATAATGAATATTTGTATTGCATAATGCATTTTCATATCATTTTCTTTCTGGACACTGTAATCTGGAATGTTCTTACTCTTCTTTCTATTTATTCAAATCCTGCTGAGCCTTTAAACACCATTTCAAATATTCCTGTGAAGACGTTCAAAACTCTAGCAGTTCTCACTGATCTCCTCCTTTAATCTGTTCTAGTGAGAATGTGCTGCACCACAACAACTGAACAATTAATTATTATATGATATTTTTGTGCCCTGTCAACTCCTATTTTCTACACTGCATATGTTTTAGTTTCATGTGTCAGCATTGATTGGAAGATTCTGAATGGCAAGGAACTTGTTTTCTCAACATGCATTCTCTGTAATTATCTATTTATAGAAGGTACTCACAACATTCATGCTTATTTGTTGATCTTCAATGACTTTGGTTTTGGGGAGGAGAGGAATGGAAATAATTTTAAGAAAGAGAAGTTGGCCTACAGAACAAAGGGCAAATTTAATGAAATCTGGACTATTTACGTACACATTTACTTTATGAATTCTCTAAGGCATTTGAAAAGCTTATTCTGGTCCTCTCTCCCTTGCTTTTTTCTAAGTCCTCTTCCTCTGTTGTTACTTAGTACGTGCTTTGGGAATGCAAATTAGTTTCTTTGACATTAGACCAAAGTGAAACATAATTAGAGAGGGAGATCAAAGATGCATCCTGTAATACGTCTCAAGGCCAAATATGAATGATTTCTGAGTGATCTGCTATTTTACCAAATTGTGTCACACAGATAATCAAAAGTTATGCTGCCACATTTAATCTTCCATTAAACCCGGCATCTTGAGAAGGATAGTGTTAAGTCTGTCGAAAATAGTATTGATCTCCTTTAACTCATTGCAAGTGGACTCTGGGTTGTCAGATTAAGACTTGGTCTGAAAGCTAAAGAGCATAGGGATACTTTAAAAGACATAAACAGAAATAAAAAGTGAAAAGCAATAAAAAACAAAGCACTGACTAGAATCACCAGCTCTCATGATGCCTTCGGAATCTCTTTGGATTGGCAAGAGGGGGAGGTATTCATAGCAGTATCAGGAAGGAAGGACTATTCTGCATAATTTTCTCCCCGGCTTGGCATTCCTACTTTATAATAAAATGGTTTGCTGAAGTTGTGATGCTTAATTAAAGTATACTCAGTATTTTCCCTTAAAGGAAAATAAAATATAGAGTGGCACATCTATTTTAATCTTCATGTAAACAAAACACTATAATAAATGTAAATAAGAAGACCCTTTCCATGGCCTCTTTGTATGTGATAGATGGGAGCAAACAAATAAAATTGGGCTGGTTATGTAATCTCATCAGTTTGATAGGCTGAGATGGGAGGACCATTTGAGTTTGAGACCATCTTGGGGCAACATAGCAAGACCCCATCTCTACAAAAAAATTAATTTTTTTTTTTAATTAGCTGGGTGTGGTGGTGGCATGCACCTGTAGTCTTAGGTACCCAGGAGGTTGAGGTGGGGGGATCACTTGAACCCAGGAGTTTGAGGCTGCAGTGAGTTATAACATGCCACTGCACTCCAGCCTGAGTGACAGAGCCAGACCATGTCTCTAAAAACAAAAATCTAATTAATTAATTAATTAAATCTAATCAATCAATCAAGACAAAGAGAACCATATTTGGGGTAGACCATCCTTTGTAAATCAAGTAATCCAGTTTCCTTATTCTGCAAATAATGTAACTGTATCCTAGGGAGAGAAGTGATATGCCTAACATAACACATTCTATTCAACTTGGCAGAAATATGGCAAAAACTGAAAACAGTGAATTTTCAATTCATCATTCCTTTCACTACATTATCATTGAAAGAATGAATTTTGATAGAAGCAGTGGAAATTGTGGGATGTATTTTCAAGGAACATGGGTATTTTTTCAGAAAAGCTTTTCAAAATATACATACATAATGAATAGGCTAGCTCAATAGGCAGGTTAACAAGAGAGGAGACATCGATTAGATGACATTTTATATGTCCTTCTACCCTAGAAAGGAGTTTCAGGAGCATCTGTTTTGAAAGTGAGATGGTTGAAATATCAGAAGACTTCAAAAGTGATTCTGTGTGCCAATTTGAGGTAAATAGTAGTTCCCCATTTCTATAGTATCTTTCACCAAATCACCTCACTTCCTAAGTAATGTCAGACTGGTGTGTAAAATGTTCAACACCCCTCCTTGCACCAGATTTTGTGGCTACATGATATGACACTTCAGAGGATTAATCAGTTCTCAAATTTGAAGAGGCTGACACTGGGGCAAGTTATATGTGAAAAACTTCACCATCCTGGAATTTCAGTAATGAACTTTGTATTGCCTTCTTTCCCAGTGATTTGGGAAAGTTGACTTACTATTCATTTCATTTCATAATTCATTAGTTTGATTGAGTGTCACCAAGTTGAACATCTGGAGACAAATGAAAGGTATATAAATAAAAATCACATTTTTACGGGATGGGAAAATAAAAATCTATTTTGGAAAATACAATGGTAATAAGCTGCTCTTGAAACTGTGTAAGTAAACGGAAGCGAAGCATGTTCCACTTTGTCATAAACCCCCAAAAATAGCTTGATTGGAGATATTTAGAAGATTCTTCCTGGATATATCTTCTATCTTGGTACTTCCTATAAGTGTGTGAATATCTTCCTAAAATATATAATTATATATTATGTATATAATAATACATGTACATTCATAGGTAAATACACACATCTAGATTCTGCAAAGATTTTTATGAGGTGAACACGTTAGTAAAATTTCTTCTACATGCTGATTTTTGCTTTAGAATCTTAAGAAGAGGATTGGAAAATCCACTGACTATACCATGATTGTACTGTCCACAGTGTCAGCCAGAGAGTAGAACCTTGTGCACACTCAACTGACGAATAAGCACATATCATTTATTTCTTTAAAACATTCCAATGGCTTCCAATTATACCTCAAATAATTATCTACTCCTTGCTGTCATCATAAAACTTTACCTCTTCTGGCCCCTGCTGATCTCATTTCAAACCATTATCTCCTGTTATTCAACCATTAGCCCATTGAATTTTTAAATTTTTTATTGAGCACCACTGCAACTTGTTCCTATGTTAGGCCTTTCATCCCTGCTACTCCCTGTCTGGAACTCTGTGGCTCCAGAAATTTTATGCCTAGCTCCTTCACTCTTAAGAGCCTCTTCAGATGACCTCATCTAAAACAGCCCATGCATCCCAGGGATTCTTCTCTGTCATCACCCTGGCTTCCTATCTTCACAAAATTTACCTTTTTTCTTTTTTACATTTTATTAACTTTCACTCTTAAATAATAATACTAATAATTATTATTTTTACTTTTGTGTCTGTCTTGCTCAACAGAATCTGAAATTTCTGATATCAGGGTTATTTTTGTCCTCTTTATTTCTATATCCATGGTGTATGGAAGAGTGCCTGGCTTAGAGTAGATGCCAAATAAATATGAATAGAATGAATGAATTCACTGAAATATGGGATTACAAAGATGAGAAAGAGCAAACATATCTACATTTCAGAGCAGCCTATAATATCACATTTAATATTTCTCACTCTTTCTGTCTCTTTAGTGGGGGAGAGTGGTAAGGACTGAGCTCTTCTCTCTGCTGAAAGGTAGATACTCAAAAGAAGTAGGGGAATTAGAAATAATAAATAAAATGCTTGTCCACTGACACTTTCTTTTACAAGGAGGAAAGTTCATTATTTGACTCTGGAAGGTGGACTCCACATTTCCTATTCAATACTTCTGTTCACATGATTCTTCTTAAATTAGTAGGAGGTGATGTAGAGGCCATCAAGGTTTTAACAATATTCCTAGTTGTTGCTGATGCCCTCACATTTTGGAGAAAAACTGTCTTTCATTCTACCTTATGAAGCCTATATGCAACTGTCTTCTCTGGTGTTGTGTTATAAGGAAATACCTTCTTGGAAGTCTCATATGTATTCATCTGTTGATGTGAGCCATGACAGAGGTAGTGTCAGATGCCTCAATTAAACAATTAATATCTCTTGAGTATCTTTTATATTTCTTGCAATATGTTGAGTTCTAAGTGTTAAAAAATTAATGGCATGGATTCTAGTTCAAGTAACTAAATGATATTGTGAGGAAATAGATTTATATGATACAATCAAGTAACTGCACAATCAAATTGAGGGCTGTACAAACCTAACTCATCCTTCCTTGCTGTTTCCAGCATCATAATCCTGAACTGGATAGACTCTAAGTTAGGATATTAGATGACTGAGCTTACTTTAAAAGGTGTGTGTGTTTGTGTGTATATGTGTGTGTGCATGGGTGTGAGTTGTATGAGTGTAAGAGTGTTTGGATTCCAACCATGGAGCTATATAAAACAAAGAAGACTGAGCTTGGCCAGAGTTAGAAATCAATTAGGTCCAAGGCTCACTTATTTTAAGTGGTCTTCAGAAAACATTCTGGACCCTTAGCATCAGTTTCCCCATTTCTAATCTGGAATAAACTTAACTTTAATTATGAAGTTACAAAGAAAATCACTCAGAACCAAAATATTTTTGAAATAAAGATATAAAATAATAATTTGTGATGTATAAACAATGAGATGAATATGATCTAAAATAGCCATAAAGTTTTGATTTTGGAGGTGAGACTGCTGATGGTGTCTGAAAGGCTGTTTGTATTCACATGGATAGAAATGAGTGAAGATGTCACCTAAAGAAGTGAGAATGATGAGCATGCTACTAATAGTGACAAAATGATATAATATGCCCTTTTTGAAAACTTCATTAAACTATATATTTTATTCATTTAACATTTATAAAGCACCTTGTGTGCATATACTAGAATATCAAGAAAGGCAATGTGGAAAAGAACATGAACTTCAAGGTCAGATTCAAACATTTGCTAAATTTTTTGCTAGTTTTATGACCTTGGCTACTATATTAGTCTGTTCTCATGCCGCTAATAAAGACATACCTGAGACCGAGTAATTTATAAAGAAAAGAGGTTTAATTGACTTACAGTTGAGCTTGGCTGGGGAGGCCTCAGGAAACTTACAATTATGGTGAAAGGGGAAGCAAACAACATTCTTCACATGGCAGCAGGTAAGGAAAAGTGCCAAGGAAAAGGGGGAAAGCCCCTTATAAAACCATCAGATCTCATGGCAACTCACTCACTATCAAGAAAACAGCATGAGGGGAACTGGCCCCATGATTAAATTACCTCCCACTGGGTCCCTCCCACTACATGTGGGGGTTATAGAAACTATAATTTAAGATGAGATTTGGGTGGGGACACAGACAAACCATATCAGCTAGCTTACCTAATTTCTCTAAATCCCATTTTTCTGTCTATAAAATGGGAATTATAATATCTACCTCAGAAAATTATTTTCAGGTTTAGGTAAAATAAAAAATATCTTCTATCTAGCTCAGTACTTGGCATATTCAAAGCATTGTAGGAGGACAGGCATGGTAGCTCACTCCTGTGCTCCCGATACTTTGGGAGGCTGAGGCTGGCAGATCACCTGAAGTCAGGAGTTCAACACCAGCCTGGCCAATATAGCAAAACCCCGCCTCTACTAAAAAATACAAAAAATAGGTGGGCCTGGTGGCATGTGCCTGTAATCTTAGCTACTTGAGAGGCTGAGGCAAGGAGAATTGCTTGAATTCAGGAGGCAGAGGTTGCAATGAGTCGAGATCATGCCACTGCCCTCCAGCCTGGGCAACAGAGAGAGACTCCGTCTCCAAAAAAAAAAAAAAAAAAAAGGAGAAAGAAAAAAAAAGAAAAATTGTAGGTACTTTTCTTCACCCTAAGTTGCAGGGGAGGGTGGTTGTCTCCTAAGTCCTACATTAATTACCAAAGTGTAGCTAATAAAGATGTCATCACTGTATCAAGTTAAGGATCATCATGGTGTGATAGAACACATCACAGAATGTTCCTTATCTTAGTTATTAACAGCTACAATCCCACTTCTCAGAATTCAATTCCACTGAATTTATTTTTTAAAGGGTTAACTGAATACTGCTGTGGGCCAAGCCACATGTTCACAAAGGAGCAGACAGCATTCTTCATCCCGAAAAAAAAGAAAAAAGTAGAGTCATTCCTTAGTATTCATGAGGAACCAGGACCCCCAGTGAATACCAAAATTCATGAGTATTCAAACCCTACAGTAGGCTCTGCTGTGGAGCTTGTTGATATGAAAAGATGGCCCATCATATCCACTGGTTCTGGATCATGTTAATACTGTATTTTCAACCTGAAGATTGGTTGATCCCAGGATGCGGAACCCCAGATACAAGGGCCAGCTGTATCTTCTTTAGTTGGAGAAACAACTGCAAATCAACACATAAAGCAGGTAGACAAAAGAATTAGAATATGATTAAGTCTCTGAGTGAAGGGTACAAATTTACAAAGGGGAGAAAGATTCCTGAAGGACATGGGTCTTGAACTGGTATGTGAGAGATTGTCAACAAATGGGTATGCAGAAAGGAGAGCATGAGGGAAAGTAGGAGGAGAGGGAGAGAGAAAATATGTGAATTTTTCAGGTGATGGAAACTTCCAAGTGGCTGGAAATGTATATGTTCTCACTGCAGGAAGCAAAGCAGTTAAGCCTGACTGTAATGGGAGGAGTATAGAGGGAGACAAATTGGATAAGTAAAGTTAGGGTGACATTGTAGAGGGCTTTAAAAGCCAGGCTGGTGAATTTGGAGTAACTTCTCCATGAAATATAATAACTAACCTCACTTTGCAGATGAAAGATGAGAATTTGGGGTCAGTCAATCTCCTATCTCCAATGATTGGTTCTAATGTTAAAGTTCCCAATCACACCAGTGAAATGCACAGCATTCAGCCCTGTAAAGCCATCACAGGTAGGAAGCCCAGAAATAGCACCCTAACTGAATACATTTAAAATATAATTTGAATTCTCAGGTATTTTATTTAAACACTATTTGCATTGTTTGTGAAAAAATATGGGTCTCTCTGTAATAGCAACAGGATATCCAGAAGAGAAAAAATTACTAATCAAGCTTATGTAATTCTATCTGATGCTCTTATCCTTTAGATAGTGAAAGTCTGATGGATTAAAACAGCATAATAGACTTACAACCTTTACAAAACTCCATGGGATGTTTCTGGGGTGAAAATCAGCAATTTTGAATTCTGGTGAGCAGCAAATATTGTTTGGGCAGACTTTTTAATATTTCTGGTCCTCAGAAACCTAATCTTTTCCCATTTGGGGGTGACAGTGACCTTAAATCAGCTATTCACAATCTGTTGGCAAGTGAAATCAAAATATATGCTTAGACAACCTCTTTTTGCACATCTTCACAGAGGGAAAAAAATAATAAAAGGAGTTCTCAGCCCAGAATATAAACTATGCTGACAATTACAACTCATCCTGCCTAGACATTTCCTGTGCTAAACTCCACAAGGGGAGTAATGCAAAGCTGCCTTGCACATGGAGAAAAATCAATTTCATAAGAGATATATCTTCATGTGTCATGATCCAGTGTATGACTGGCCTTTGATGTCTATTTAGCTGGCAGCAAATTTACAGCCATAACTTTTAATTCCCAGCAATGAGTGCAGCAAAAATAACTTAGTTAAATAGGAACCTTGTGCTCATTGGATGACTGTAATCAACTGCCAGGAATGACCTTGAAATTGGACATTCCTCTCTGCTTAAGCACCATTAGCAATATTTTTCAGAAAGCCAACCATTTAGCTGGCTGGCAAAAAAAAAAAATGCCAATAAAATCTACTCTTGGCTACTCTCTAAATTGCATTATACTATCTGTTCACCAGCTGAGGGTGAAGAGCATTGTATATTAAAAGATTTTCATTGTGTAATAATGTGAATACCAGCAGCAGTAATTATAAAATCAATAATTCGTAATAAATATGTCCTCCTTATATAATTACTAAATGATTGCAAAACCAATATTATGCACTAGTTAGAATGGTAAAGGTTGCTGTTAAACACTTTCTATATTATACATTATTGTTCAAATCTTAAACACTTTTGGTCAAATGAAGCAAAGCTTTACCCTCATCAGAAGTAAACTAGATACTCTTTCTTTTGAAATTACTAAGAAGTGTTTGATTCATGAAATAGTCAATTATTAGATTAAAATACCTATGTTCAACTTGACTATGTATGGGTACCTCTACTGCCTTTTTTGTTTCGTATTGGGTTATTTTTTTTTTTTTTACCTCAGTGAAGGTATATGTATGTCCATTCATCAGCATCAGGAATCCATCTAATTGCCATTTCTCATGTCATATTAAAAAAGTCAAACCCATAGGAATATTATTGTTAGCATTTATTTTCAGTTCAAAACTAAGGGAGCATTTTCCTATTGGAAGAAAATCAACAAAGTTCCCTTCCTGCAAAGAGGGAGTCTTTTTGGTCTTTGATGGCATTACTTCTCCTGAATTGTCCATAACCCTGTGAGGTTACTGAGAAAGAGTCACTGATGTTCCCTACTGGTCCTACCAGCACCCAAAGTTGAACACTCACTAGAGGAACCACTCAGAACACAGCACCACTGCCATCTGAAGATGTGGAGGTTAGTCTCCTAACTGTGCATTCTCTGTACAATTTCTCAGATAGTATTTAATGTTTGTGTTTGTTAAGTTCCTACTGTATGTGCAGCCAGCTTTGTGTTGGGCACTGTAAGAGAAAACTATCAGGAAACAGAGGGAATATGACATTCTTACATTCAGGCAGTTTGTTTTCTAACTGAGGACATAAGCATTTCAGAAATGTTCTAGAAGAAATAATTTTTATGTCAGAGGCTCTGTGAAGGTGGTCTTGAGCTTCAGGAAGATAATATTAATTAGCCCACCTAAGGAAAACTTGTATACGACCACATGATACAAAAGAATCTGATCTATACATACCCAGATAATGTCAAAATCAAAATGGATCCTGTGGGCTACTAGCCTTGACAACTCAAATATGTATCATGGATTTCATATTTCTAGGGTGTATTTCTCTGACCATTTAGCACTAACCTGATAGCTCAGCTTCCTGGCCTGCCGTAGAACAGAACAGTCATCAGCCCTCACAGTATTTTCTCATGCCCTTTTACTTATTGTATTAGTCATGGTTTTCTAGAGAAACAGAACATATATCCTGTTTGTCATCTCATTCTCTCTCTCTAATATATGACAGAGAGAGACAGAGCAAGCAAGTGTGCACTGTTTTAAGGAATTGGCTCACATGATTGTGGGAAGTCCCAAATTTTTAGGGCAGGCCAGCAGACTGGAGATTCAAGGAAGAGTAGATAATGCAGCTTCAGTCCAAAAGCAGTCTGGAGGCAAAATTTCTTCTTCTTCGGGAGACCTTAGTTTGTTTTCTCTTCAGATCTTCAACTAATTGAATGAGGTCCTATGTGATGGAGAGTAATCTGCTTTACTCAAAATCTACTGATTAAAATAAATGTTAATCTTATTTATTTATTTATTTATTTATTTATTTATTTATTTATTGAGACTGAGTCTCGCTCTGTCGCCGAAGCTGGAGTGCGGTGGCGCGATCTTGGCTCACTGCAAGCTCCGCCTCCTGGGTTGACGCCCTCTCCTGCCAGAGATGGGGTTTCACCACGTTACCCAGAATGGTCTCTGTCTCCCGACCTTGTGATCCGCACGCCTCGGCCTCCCAAAGTGTTGGGATTACAGGCGTGAGCCACCGCGCCAGGCCTAATCTTATTTTTTAAAAGATTCCTTCACAGCAACATCCAAGCTGGTGTTTGACCAAATATGTACGGACCAAGTTGACATGCTGACGCACAAAATTAACCATCACACATTTTTTCTCTCCACTCAGTAAATAATTTATTAGTTGTAGGCACCTTTTCTCTCTCTTTTTTTTTTTTTTTTTTGTTTTGTTTTGTTTTTGAGATAGGAACTCATTCTGTAACCTGGAGTAGAGAGCAGTGGTGTGCTCATAGCGCACTGTGCCACTTGGAACCTTAAACTCCTGAATTGAAGCAATCCCCCACCCCGGCCTCCCAAGTAGGTAGGACTACAAGCATATACCACAGTGCCTGGCCAGCTTTTATTTTTTTCATTTTTTGTAGTAACAGGGTCTTGCTATGTTGTCCAGGCTGGTATGAAATTCCTGGCCTCAATTGATCCTCCTTCCTTGGCCTCCCAAAATGCTAGGATTACAGACATGAGCCACTGCAGCAGGCTGGAGGGACTTTTGACACAAATTCACTTCAGAACTCTTCATTTTATAAATGAGAAAACAGAAAACGAGAACTTTTGCCTAGCTTCCTGTAATCCACACGGTACCTAGCACAATTTGGGGCTCATCTGTTCATTTGTTCTTCCTCATTCAATAAATATATATCGAGAGACAACTCTTAAATGGAATTCCCATTTCTAATCTAGTCTTGTAACATGCTTTGTATGTGAACGTAACATAAGATGAGTGACTGTAAAGCAACATGATGACTTGTTGGTGTCTAATGGAAGAAGAGAGATGGTCATAGCAAAGAAACAGTGTCACATATTTCTCGTTTTTTGCTTGGTCTGGTGCAAACATTTGTAGTGAATAGAAGGATATGTGGTTGTTCCATGCTATTAAAAACTGAGTGACTAGACTCACTATTTTGGTACAGTACATTAGTAAAGCTTTTTATAAATGGCTATTTGGCATCAGTTTAGGAATTAAAATTGCAAATTTTTAATATTTATAATTTTTGTTCCAAAAATTTTATTTCTAATAATTTAGACTACAATAATGCATATTCACATACCTAAAAATGTATCTGCAAGCATGTCCATTGCATTATTTTTGTCACTAATAAAATGGAAACAATGTATGTTTATCAGAAAGTATCAATAATTACGGTATTAAGTATTAAGAAGGGTGAGGAAGATTTATGCATTTTCTATGGGACAGAGGTCCGAGATTCCAAGAAACATTTTTAAGCAAAACAAGAAGTCACAGAATAGTATGTGGAGTATGATCTTTCTTTCTTTTTTTTTTTTTTTTCAAAAGGTATTCTCACAAGTCTAATTATATGCAAATGAATAGCAAAAAAATTGTTAGGAGACATAGCAAACTCCTTAACTGTTATCACAAGGAATGAGTAAGATGTGAGTAAAATGAATATTTTCTATTTTAATTTATGTTTCTCTGTATTTTTGAATCAATGAAAGTTATTGTTATAACTACTTTATTCACTTTTATTGCTGTGTAGAATTCCATTTTACAAGTAAATACAAATATGGTATTAAATGAAAAAAAGAAAAGAGGCATGCATAGAGTATGGTACTATTTTTATAAAGTTTAAAAGCAAAGAAAACCAAACTCTATTGTTTAAGAATACATCATAGTAGGTGAAGCTATAAAGAGTAACAAAAACATAGTAACCACAAAAGCCAGGGTAATGGTTTGCTCCAGAAAGAAGGGAAGATGTTTTCATTTGAAAGATGTAAACAGTGTGGGGAGTGCCTGGCATGTTAGCAAATGTTCCATTTCTTTGATGTGTTGCAGTTTCTAGGTGTCAGTTCTGTAATTGTTAATGCAATTTACATAGATATTTAATGTGGTTTTCTGTCCACATGATGTATTTAAGAATAATGTGCAGGAAACTATAACTGTGTAATATAAACAAGAGAACAAAATAAAAGTGAATGGCCACTGTTTACAGAATTAATATAAATATGAAAGAAGAATAAATAGGTATGTTAGAGACTTTTTCAAGTTTTACAGAACTCAAAATTATTTTTGCATACAGGCATCACTTAGTTATCAGAACAGCCTGATAAGATATTTTTACAGATGAGACACAGACACTCAATAAATCAGAGACATTGCATAAAAGTCTGCCCCCTCTTCTAGGGTGATTTTATTATCAGAGGACGCCCCACTCCTATCTTTTCTTCAGGCCCAGCAGTGAATCTTGAGATGCAAGAATCTGCTCTATCACCCCTTTACAGCTGACTGTATCCAAGAGGGTGAGAAATACTGGTTAATGGTTCCCCAGGCTCAACAATTATAGCCTTCAACAAAGAAACACTGAGTATTAACAAAAATCACACCCGTTTTTGATTGGATAACAAAATAACAAAATATGCAAAGCAGTTATGTTACATTTTTGGTATTTAATTGGGCACAATATTAAATTTTATTTTACTGCATATTAGTAATACCACAGTTAATAAAGTTTTTTTAAAATAATCCTAGAAACTCAGTTATTTGCTTTATATATATTATCAAATTTAATCCCCACATAATCTTGTGAAATTGTTGTCTCCATATTACAGAGAAAGAAGCTAAAGCAAGAGATTTTGGGAAAGAGGCTCACATTCCAGTTACTAGGTGGCAGAGCTGGCTTCCACAAGTGTGTCTTTTGCAAAGTCCAGCCTTCTATAGGAACCCCAAACTATTTGAAATGCATCCCATATTATACATAAAACACAGCACTGTAGATTGAATTGTGTTCCCCACCCAAATGCATATATTGAAACCCAAACTCTGAATGGGACTGTATTTGGAGATGGAGCCTTTAAAGAGGTAACTACGGTTCAATGAAGTCATATGGATGGGTCCTGTATTACTCAGTTCTCACACTGCCATAAAGAAATTCCTGAAACTGCATAATTTATACAGAAAAGAGATATAATTGACTCACAGTTCCCCAGGCTATACAGGAAGCACAGTGACATCTGCTTCTGGGGAGACCTCAGGGAACTTCTAGTCATGGCAGAAGGCCAAGAAGAAGCAGCTATCTTATATGGCAGGAGCAGGACTGAGAGAGGGGGGTGGTGATATACACTTTTAAACAACCAAATCTCACAATAACTCACTCATTCACCATCAGAAGAACAGCACTGAGAGTTTGGTGCTAACCCATTCATGAGAACTCTGCCCCCATGATCCAGTCACCTCCCAGGCCCCACCCCCAACACTGGGAATTACAATTCAGCATGAGATATAGTGGAGAGACATAGCCAAACCATATCAGGTCCTAATCCCATATTACTAGTGTCTTTGTAAGAAAAAGAAGAGACACCTGTGATGTGTCTCAGAAAACTTGCAATTATGGCGGAAGGGTGAAGGGGAAGCAAGCATGTCTTCACATGGTGGCAGGAGAAAGAAAGTGAAGGGGGAAGTGCCAAATACTTTTAAACCATCAGATTTCAAGAAAACTCACTCAGTCTCATGAGAGAAGCAAGAAGGAGATCCTCCCGCATAATCCAGTCACCACCCACCAGGTTTTACCTCCAACATTAGGAATTACATTTCAACATGAGATTTGGGTGGGGACACAAAGCCAAACATTATCACTGGTATTTTTAATAGAAGGGTATGTTAATTGAAAATTTATTTTATGGAAAGTAATTTAAACATTAAAAAGTGTGTATAATGAAATATTAATATAATTCTACTCACCTTGTTTGCCAAGAATATGTCCCCAAAATATTCTCTTTCACCTTTTCTTGCTTATGTTTTGAGAGATGTTCAATGTATACCTAAATGTGTGTGTAGTGTGTGTATTTACTAAAATGTAAAAATATTATTTATATACTTTCTTCTTTTGCATTTTAATTTAGCCATATGTCAGAGATAATTCAATAATAACACATTATGTTTTAAAGATATTTTAAAGTTTTAAACAAAGTTTTAAAAAAATAGCATGTAAGTATATAAAGAAATAGAAGAAACACCACTTTAATATCTACTCCTCCCAAACCCACACTGTATTTCTTGTAATCATTTTCCCTATTATTATTTTCCTATTCCTTACACAATAATGTATGCTGATATGTCTTGATTCATACATTTCAGATACTATATCTATTGGCTATTCTTACTGGAGAGGACGCCTTATCACTCTTCAAAGAACTCTTACTTGCCCTTATCCGTTCTCCCAATGTGGGTAGTTATTTAGTTACTCTACAAAATTTATAAAATAAATTACCCAAATTCAAAAAATCATGACAAAAATAGACAAGGTTTAATTAAAATTGTGCAAATATTGTATGTTGATTGGCCAAGTATTTTATCATTTTTTAGAGTAACTTTTTGCTGTTGGAGTTATTAGGTTAATTGACTTTTACATTTTTATCATTTTCTCTTTATTCATATTTTTCTATAAAGCTATTATGTACCTATCAATAATTTTTTCCAGGTGCAGAAACACATCACATAAATTGCCATTTGTCTTTCTTCCTTTCCTCCTTCCTTCCTCTTTTTGTTCCTATATGTATGCATGAATCTCTTTCTAGCTATCAATCATCTATCTATGTATCTACGTATCTATCTAGGTATCTATCTATCTATCTATCATCATCATCATCTTCATCATTTACCTGTTGTATAGACTATCTTTGTCATACCTGCTACATTTAAGGGTTGTTTCTCTTTAGGCTTCTGACTTGATTGTTATTCTGGAATTCTGTTTGCTATTTATTCATTTGGGAGTATCTATTTACTGTATCTTACACCTTCTTTCTTCGTTTTAATCTATTTTTTATTAGTGTTTATCCTCTAACAGTTTTCTAAGAGAGTGCAAGGGACATACGTAGGGAGTACTTACATGTCTCAAATGTCCTTGGCTATTGATGATCTAAAATAGCTTAGGATAATTTTCACACAGGTCTTTGAAGCCTTTCCTCTACTCTCTGCTGGTTTCCAGTGTTGCTTTTGAAAAGTCCCTCTTCTATGTGCAATACTCCCCACCCTAGTTTAATTGATTCTTTTTATGTCTGTTGTATCATAATATTTCAGTGCTGTGCTTCATTGCACTCATGTCCAATGCTTACTCAGAAAAAATTGTCATATTCTTCGGCCTTGTAACTATTGAATTGGAATATTTCTAAGAGTCTTCCCTTCTGACAAGATAGCGCAGTCTAGAATAACTCTTTTGAGAAACTTGTGCTATGAAACTATTGAAATATATCATGAATAGTTGTAAAAAAAAAGACTTATAGATGAATCAGGCTTTAGGAGAAGTTCAAGAGTTCATTTCAGACCTGTTGAGTCTGATCTGTCTGTGAGACTTCCAAGTAGAGATGAAGAATTACCATTTAGTGATGCACATTGGGAGTGATATATGAATGGGAATGGCAAACTTTGGAATTAGCACCTATGAGGCTTTAAAACTGCAAGCCAGAATGTTATCATCAAAGAAATCAATGTGGTTTGAGAATAGAAGAGGATTAAGGACTGGGTCCTGAGGCACTACAAAACAAGGGATCAGGGAAAGGAAAAGAGATTGAGAAGGAGGAACTAGTGAAATAAGAGAAAAACTAAGAGAGTTTCTCATCCATCCTTTCTCTTTGTTGTTTTTGCTTTTTATCTTTTCATTATAGTGAAGCTTAGTTATGAGTATAATTATTAAAAATCATGTCCTAGACAGTAGGCAGGGTAGGTTTTTCATTTGATATGTCCCTAAGTCAGCATAGATATTGCAGAGTACATCTAAATAGTAATAGTGCCTGGACAAATACTCTCTAGTGTTCCTTTCAATTTCCTTCTGTGTAGCTCAGAGCTAGCAACACATCACATCATAACACAATGCTATCTTTTAAAACGTAATGTATATCTTTCTTGCTTTCTCACTAGATAGAAAGTTCTTTTGTGGCTTGAGTTTTTATGTTGTCTTTGTGTGCTTAACCCTACCTACCACTTTATTACATGTGCATAATCCTCAGTGGGTTTTTGTTGGTTGCTTTCTTGTGAATCTATTAATATAGTTTTTAGCTCTGAGCCTTTACTTGGGCTCTCCAAAAATCATTCACAAGAAATGAAACCTGGTCTTAGCAAAGCAGAAAATAAGGCATCAGAGCAGACCTTTGATATTCTTCTATTTTCCTCTGCTCAAATATGCTTTCTCCCTTTTCTGCCCCCCTTTCACCTGTGCAGTGGATTTTCTTTCACTGTCACTTAACTTCTCAATGTCCTCAAACTAACTGCACTAACAGTGCTGGCCTTCTTGTCATCACCTTATTCTGCATTTTTTTCTATCCTTTCTCAGGCTTTGTACCAGCATAGCTAAAAATTTGCATCTTTTTAAAAATTTTCCTGGATGTATTATAAGTTATCCATTCTTGGGTAACAAACCACACCAAAATATAGTGGTTTAAAAGAACAGATACTTATTTCTCAGGAGTCTATGGGAAGTTGGGTGTGCCTGTTGACTTGGCCAGGCTTGGCTGATCTTAACTAAACTCACTCTAGTATATGTGATTCATTGCTGGGTTGCTGGGGGCTGACTGGTCTAGGTGGCCTCACTCTCATGCCTGGCTGTTGGCTGGCAGTCAACTGGAATCATGTGAATAGGTTCCTTGTCTTTCATCACCCAGCAGGCCACTCTGGGCTTGTCTACATCAGGACATAAGGGTTTACAGAAGGAGAGCAGACATGTCCATAGCCCCTTCTGGCCTAGCCTTCAAACTGGCTTACTGTTACTGCCCCTGAATTCTCTTGGTCAAAACACCTCACAGGATTAGTTCAGATTCAAAAGGTGAAAAAATAGATTATGCCTCTTGATTGGAAAAGCTTCAAAGTTTCATTGCAAAGCAGTGTTGATAAAAGGAGAGAAATAATTGTAGCCATTTTTATAATCTGTTTACAACACTGTGCCCTTTCGTCACAATTATTCATATCCTTCCCACATTAAAGAAAAACATACCCTCTCCCAACACACCATAAAAGCCTCATTTCATAATGATATCACACATGAAGTTCAGGGCCTTATGATCTCCATTAGGTCCAGAGGCAGTTTTTATTGTGCAACTTTTAT
Organism: Homo sapiens; assembly: GCF_000001405.40. NCBI lineage: Eukaryota > Metazoa > Chordata > Mammalia > Primates > Hominidae > Homo > Homo sapiens. Next base: position 39,454,982 of record NC_000018.10, on the reverse strand, counting down.
TAGTTTCTATACTTATGAACAAAAAAGACAAATTTTCCATCCCCCCTTCACCCATCACAGTCAATATACAATTGTGACACAGGGACAGGAAAACAAAACACATACTCCCATTTTTTTTTAAAGAGATCATTAATCCAGAGCATTACCGAGGTCCCACTGAATCAATATTGCAGGATTCCAAAATCAAGACCAGAGGTATGCCAGGACTATTAGGCCTCAGCTTAGACGAGTACAATTTCACTTTTTCTGACTCCGTGTATCAAAGCAATATACAAAAGCTTGAAAGCCTGGGGAAATAGACTATACTTCTTGATGGTGAGAGTTGCAGAATCACATCGATGGCTACGTGGACAAAAGCAAGAAGATAAGTGCAGCTTTTTTTTTCTTTGCAAAATCTACCATAAGGAGTTTCTGGGTAACAAAAGCACAGCTGATATGTTAATTCAACTGAAAATAACTATGAGTAATAATATATCCTGACTTCATCACATTTGCATTTAAACTAAGAACTTCAATATCTTAATACTTATTTAATAAGTGGAGAACTCACTATCTCATAAACCTATCTTACATATTCTAACTCCATATTGTTGTCTACATGCATTTATTTTCTTTTTGACTCAATTTTATCTTTTTAAAAAATGTTTAAGGTAATACTTACTGCTGGAACAAACAAACCACCAAATCTCAATGGCTAAACCAATACAGTGTATTTCTGTCTTATCCAATGTCCTGTGCAGACATTCAGCAAGAGGCCTTTTGTGTACTGATTCAGAAACTGGGACTGCTTTCAGTTTCTGTTTGCCTTTCCCTAGGTCCTATCTCCTGGTAAGAAAAGGCAAACGTAGAAGATACACTTCCTAGCTTATATACAATTCTGCTAATGGAATTTGTGCAGGACCCTTTCCCTGGGAAGTTGGAAAAGTGCCTGGATTAGGTCTTCTTTGGCAACGTTTCCTGTGCATTGTTTTGCAAGGCCCCTGGCTCACACCTCTGGAAAAATTTTCACAGTTCATTGTCCTACTTGGCCACAGTAACATGCAGTGTTCCTTAGAATCTGCACAATTTTTGCAACCCTCTTCCTGATAATGTGATTGACACCCAATGTTGTTTTATAATTCAAACACCTAAATCATATTTTAGTCCAGCCTTCAAATTCTTTGACAATACAATTCTCTAACATATTAGCAGATTTTAAATGTGCTGTTTCTAGACTTTTCATTGCACTAGTAATTATACCCACAGTTCTTCCAATCTAGGTTTCAGATGTATTCTTATTATCCTAAACCTATAAAGCCCTTTGCTTATTTGTTTCTTCTCTTTCAATGTCTGTTTGAAAATCAGCCAATTCTCTCCTGAACTCACCTCTTTCTTGTAATACTTCGCTAAAGGCCACAATTAGAAGCTAACTCACTATTCTGCTGCATCTTTCCAACCACTTCCCCTAGAGCCACAAGCTCAGTGGGCAGGATCTTCCTTCCAAGTTATTTCACATGGCAGTTTTACCAAATATTTTGCTGCCAGACTACTGTGTCTGTTTTCTTGCCACTGGCTAACGCTACACTAAAGTAAAAAAACTAAAGGTTTTTTATGATGACAATGCCTAGCTTCTATTATCAATGTATTTATTGCTTAGTTTAGTAACACTAACTGCTATTAAAAAACAAAACCCCCTATCTTAGGGCTTAACACCATTAAGAGTTTATCTCTAGCTCCAGCCAATTGCAATGCAAGTATTTGGTGGCCAGCCTTCTACATCTGATTAAAAAACCCTGGGTCCATTTTTTTTTTTTTTTTTGAGATGGAGTCTCACTCTGTCACCCAGGCTGGAGTGCAGTGGACGATCTTGGCTCACTGCAGTCTTCACCCCCGTGGTTCAAGTGATTCTCCTGCCTCAACCTCCCAAGTAGCTGGGAATACAGGTGCCTGCCACCACACTCAGCTAATTGTTGTATTTTCAGTAGAGACAGGGTTTCACCAGGTTTCACCAGGGAGTTTGTTAGCTGAAATTCTCTCAAACTCCTGATTTTAGGTGATCCACCTGCCTCGGCCTCCCAAACTGCTGGGATTACAAATGTGAGCCTGGGCATATTTTTAATGGGAAATATAAAGAGGTAACATACACTAGACCCTTCAAGTTCTTATGAAATGCCAACATTGAAAAATTTCCAGTTCTTGGAAGAAGTTACCTCCAGCTACACATGCCTTCTACCTTAGCCCAAAGGCAATGAAGTAATTGGACTTAGGAGGTTAATAAGTTAGCAACTGACTGCACCCACCGCTTCTGTTTTCTTTTTTCCTACCCCATATGATTTGGGTTTTCTTGCTAAAACTTTCAGCATAGTGCTGTGCCTCTCAAGATTTGGATATGTGTGTGTATGTGTGTTAGCGTGTATGTGCATGTGTGTGTAGGGGGTATGTGTGAGACAAGGAAGATCACCTGTATCTAAGGAGAGGAAGGAAATTGAGAAAGCTTCAATGTGCATAACCTGACAGGGAAGAGAAACTCAAGACTGTGTCACTGGCCAGAGCAACAGTGAAGTTCACTCCAGACTATATTCTCCACTGAGAGCAGAGCCAAAGACATGGCCCTGATGCTGTAACCTGCAAAACGTTTTTTCTAATTTGTATTTCTTCATGATTTTGACCTGTACATGCCTCAAATTTTTGTAATGTTTATCATCTTTGTCATTGATTTGGCAATTCATATAGTTTAGCATCCTTGTTAAAAATATTTTCAATTATTTGAATTGTCTGATTGTTTCTTAAAGGTTTTTATCTAAACTTACTCATATCCCCACAAAATCTAGCACAATTTTTTTCCATGGTAGCTATCAAGTAATTTTTTTTTATTAACTGACCAATTATTCTGAGTCTTAGGAGACAAACTGAGAGGTTTTTTTTTTTTTTTCTTCTCTGGCACCAAATGCATGTGTCATTTTCGAACACCCCTTCTTTAACTCTCTTACACCAACTGGGTGTAAATTATATTCAGTTCTGACACTGTCTATCTAGTGTCAGATCCTGCAAGAGTTAATGTCAGATCCCACAAGTTAAAGGGCTCAGTCCCATAAGACTGCCCCCATTTCAGATGTCAATTGCATGTCCTAGACCACTCGTATTTCTGAGTGACCAGCTATAAATGAGGGGTTTCCATACGCCCACTTTAGTCTCAATAATTTACTAGAACAGCTCCCAGAACTCAGAAAGGCATTTTACTTATATGTACTGCTTTATTATAAAGGTTACAACTCAGCAACAGCCAAACAGAGGAGATGCATAGGGCAAGGTATGAGGGCTAGGGGTGCAAAGCTTCCATGCCCTCTCCTAATGTACCACTCTCCCAGACCTCCATGTGTTCACAACCAAGAAGCTCTTAGAATCCCACCCATCATTTAAGGGTTTTTATGGAGGTTTCATCATGTAGGCATGATCAATTATTATTATTATTATTATTATTATTATTATTATTATTATTATTATTTTGAGACAGAGTTTCACTCTTGCTACCCAGGCTGGAATGCAGTGGCACTATCTCAGCTCACTGCAACCTCTGTCTTCCAGGTTCAAGGTTCTCCTGCCTCAGCCTCCCAAGTAGCTGGGATTATAGGCATGCACCACCACGCCAGGCTAGTTTTATATTTTTAGCAGAGACAGGGTTTCACCAGGTTGGTCGGGCTGATCTTGAACTCAGGACCTCAAGTAATCCACCTGCCTCAGCCTCCCAAAGGGCTGGGGTTACAGGCGTGAGCCACCGCGCGGCCATGATCACTTATTAATCAATCTCCTACCTTTCTACCCTCCCCAGAGGTTGCGTGTGTGGCTGAAAGTTTCAGGTTTCTAGTTAAGGTTTGGTCTTTCTGGCAACCAGCTGCCATCCTGAAGCTATCTAGGGGCCTGTCAAGCAAGGTTGCTTTATTTTGAGAGACAGAGGGAGAGAGAGAGAGAGAGAGAGAGAAATGAAATCTCCTATGACTCTGGAAATTTCAACAGATTTAGGTGCTCTGTGCCAGGAACCAGAAACAAAGATCAAATATATATTTCTTATTATATCACATCCTCCTACTTTAGTTGGTAAGTATAAGGCAAGATATATTCTGGATATTGAGAAGTCTGTTTTTCTGTGTTGAGAAAAGTGAATCTGATTATATGCACGCTATAAACAAGACAGTATTTTTCTAATAGACACAGTGTACTCAGTAAATTAAAAGGGCTGCCACTGTACTTTCATAATTCTTAGTCTTCAAAGTGAATGAAATAGAATACAGTAAGTAAATAAGCAAGTAAATAAAATAAACAATAAAATTTTTATCACTTCTGTCTAGAAATAAGTATACATAATACATCTCTCATATTGTGATTTTTTTTTCCTCTAGTTAATAATGTCATTTCTCCTTTGTGGAATGATCTAAGGATGGGTCTAACAAATGTCATTTTAAATAGAAGGGGTTTTTTTTGTTTGTTTTTCTTAAGAAATTAATCAATAAGTGTATGAATAAATATTTATTTAGGTTAGACATCGACTGGATGAACCAAAACGCTACTTTGTGAAGTACTTTGTAAATGCATGAAACTTCATAATTTCACTTATTTGGAATGATTAGTCCATTCATGCTTGCTGGAATAAAGTTAGCTCTTCCTTGACTATTAAAATAAAATTGACAATATTAAAATTTAAAAAATATTAGCGTTTTTATTAGTGAGGACCATTAGGATTACCTCTTTAGCTGCATAAATAATATTAATGGGTCATTAAAAATGGCTCCTCTAAATAGATTAGTATGTCTTTGTTTTGTTAAAATCTTAAAACTTGTTCCAAGAATTCCCTCCAACTTTAGAGCAGCATCACTTTCTTACTCTATAATAAACAAAGGTTCTCTACATAAAATCTTTCATTAAGTTTTTATTTTTCACCTATTTAATAGAGTAAATTTACAGAATTCTACTGGGCTGCATTACTGTCTATGAAAATTAATCATTTTTATATTAAATTTGTAGATTGTCACTTATTTACTGGCCTGAGGCAAGACATGTTTTACTTTTCTTATCCAAGTATTTAAGAAGTCCCATAGAATAAATGAGTTTCTAATATTAGATATTCTAGAGAAGTGAAGGAAGAAACTATTCTGTGAGCAGGAACATAAATGGTTCGTCTATGTTAGGCTGCATTAAAATATACTCAAATGGAAGTAAGAAAACTTACTTTATAACATGATTTTCTTTGGCAAAATGACAGGAGTTACAGAAGACGTGTTACATGGGTTTCTTGGATACAGAAGTACGTGAAAAAGATTACATGTCTTGAATGCTCTTCTACCTTTATTTTGCTTTATTTTGTCATTACAAACCCTACCTCCTATGACTGTATGTATGTATGTTTATGTGCCTGTGCTTTCATATTACAACTTACAAGCCTATGAAGGCTTAATGTGTCACTATTCCTGAAGACTATAACTGGGGATTCATATAAAGTATGAATACTAAGACAAAACATGTCAAACATTTTTTTTTCTTAATAAACTTTTTTTTTCACACAAGTTGATATTTACTGAAAAATGGTAGAGATGATACTGGGATGCCATATGCCTCTCACTCATCTTCCTTTATTATTAACATCAATATTCCTTTATTATGATGAATTTGTCACAATGAATAAATTAATATTGATGTATTACTATTATTAACTAAAATCAATATGGTATGCATATTTCCTTAGTTTTAATATAATGTCTTTTTTTTTCTATTCAGGCTATGACATTAGAGTTAGTCATCATGCCTCCATAGACTCCTGATAGTTGTGACAATATCTCAGACTTTTCCTGTTTTTCATGATCTTGGCAGTGTGACAAATACTGGTCGACTGTTTTGTAGAATATTGCTTGATTTGGATCTGTCTGGTGATTTTCTCATGATTAGACTGGAGTTACAGTTTTGGGAGGATAACTACAGAGGTAAAGTGATATTCTCATCACATCAGACCAAGATTACATACTAGCAACATGACTTATCATTGTTGATGTTGACTTTGTCCACCTGGCTCAGTAGTGTTCGTCAGGTTTCTCAATGGGAAAGTTGTTCTTTATTGTCTCCTTTTGCATATTGTTCTCTTTGGAAGGAAATCACTATGCATAGCCCACGCTTCAGAAGTGGGATTTTATGCTGCAGCTCTTTGATAAGAGAGGATCTGCATGGATTATTTGTAATTCTTCTACATGGGAGATTTCTCTTCCTCTCAATTTGTTTATTATTTAAATAATTATAAATTCATGGGTATTTACTTTATACTTTAGGGTATTTCCCAACAATATTTATTTTGTTTCTCAAGTTGTTCCAAAAATAGTTATGAGAGCTCTTTCAGTTGACTCCTATATTCTTTGGTTATACACCCAATATTGTGGGTCTTCTTTCTTTGGGCTTTTGTCTCTCTCTCTTTCTTTCTTTGATGTACACCCATCATTGTGGGTCTTTCTTTAGGCCTTTTTTCCCTCTCTCTTTCTCTTTCTTTTCTTTTCTTTCTTTCTTTCTTTCTTTCTTTCTTTCTTTCTTTCTTTCTTTCTTTCTTTCTTTCTTTCTTTTCTGTCTTTCTTTCTATCTCTATTTCTCTTTTCTTTTCTTTTTCTTTTTGTAGCTGTTCTTTTCCGTCTGGCATTCTAAGATGCTCCAGGTTCATCTTGCATATTTACTGCCTCCATCTTTATATCAGCTATCTGCTTTGTTGTTGTTGTTGTTTTTGGAGACAGGGTCTCACTCTGTCACCCAGGCTGGAGGGCAGTGGCATAATCTTGGCCCACTGCAACCTCTGCTGCCTGGGTGCAAGCTATTCCTTTGCCTGAGCCTCCTGAGTAGCTGGGATTACAGGTGCACGCCACCATGCCAGGCTCTTTATTTTATTTTATTTTATTTTTATTTTTAGTAGAGACGTGGTTTCACTATGTTGACCATGCTGGTCTCGAAATCCTGACCTCAAATGATCCGCCTACATTGGCCTCCCAACGTTCTGGGATTACAGATGTGAGCCATTCCCCCTGCCCTTGTTTTTTTTGTTGTTGTTTGTTTGTTTGCTTGCTTCTTTTGTTTTTTGGTTTCTGTTTAATTGTAGAATTACATTAGAATCCAAGATTTGGACACTAGAGTGTTCATTTCTATTGAAATGTTGTTGTTTGTATGTCACCTCAGAGCAAGAAAACATGTATGTGTATACTAGCCCATGTGGATGCATACTTCTAAAAATATTTGTATATGTAATTTATCTGTATCAATATTAAAGTAAATATAAGTTCAAACTGATATCTCCAGCTCTAATCCTTTTTTAAAAATTATACTTTAAGTTCTGGGGCACATGTGCAGTATGTGCAGGTTTGTTACATAGGTATACATGTGCCATGGTGGTTTGCTGCACCCATCAACCTGTCATCTACTTTAGGTATTTCTCCTAATGCTATCCCTCCCCTAGCCCCTCACCCCCACCGACAGGCCCCGGTGTGTGATATTCCCCTCCTGTGTCCATGTGTTCTCATTGTTCAACTCCCACTTATGAGTGAGAACATGCGGTGTTTGGTTTTCTGTTCTTGTGTTAGTTTGCTGAGAATGATGGTTTCCAGCTTCATCCATGTCCTGCAAAGGACATGAACTCATCCTTTTTTTTGGCTGCATAGTATTCCATGGTGTATATGTGCCACATTTTCTTTATCCAGTCTATCATTGATGGGCATTTGGGTTGGTTCCAAGCCTTGGCCATTGTGAATAGTGACACAATAAACATACATGTGCATGTGTCTTTATAGTAAAATGATTTATAATCCTTTGGGTATATACCCAGTAATGGGATTCCTGGGTCAAATGGTATTTCTGATTCTAGATCCTTGAGGAATTGCCACACTGTCTTCCACAATGGTTGAACTAATTTTCACTCCCACCAACAGTGTAAAAGTAGCAGGATGCCTCCAGCTTTGTTCTTTTTGCTTAGGATTGTCTTGGCTTTGTGGGCTCTTTTTTGGTTCCATATGAACTTCAGTTTTTTTTCTAATTCTGTGAAGTAAGTCAATGGTAGCTTGACGGGGATAGCATTGAATCTATAAATTACTTTGGGCAGTATTGCCATTTTCACAATATTTATTCTTCCTATCCATGACCATGGAGTGTTTTTACATTTATTTCTGTCCTCTCTTATTTCCTTCAGCAGTGGTTTGTAGTTCTCCTTGAAGAAGTCCTTCACATCCCTTGTAAGTTATATTCCTAGGTATTTTATTCTCGTTGTAGCAATTGTGACTGGGAGTTCATTCATGATTTGGCTCTCTGTTTGTCTGTTATTGGTCTATAGGAATGCTTGTGATTTTTGCACATTGATTTTGTATCCTGAGACTTTGCTGAAGTTGCTTATTAGCTTAAGTAGGTTTTGGGCTGAGATGATGGAATTTTCTAAATATACAATCATGTCATCTGCAAACAGAGACAATTTGACTTCCTGTCTTCCTATTTGAATATCCTTTATTTCTTTCTCTTGCCTGATTGCCCTTGCCAAAACTTCCAATACCATGTTGAATAGGAGTGATGAAAGAGGGCATCCTTATCTTGTTCTGGTTTTCAAAGGGAATGTTTCCAGTTTTTGCCCATTCAGTATGATATTGGCTGCAGGTTTGTCATAAATAGCTCTTATTATTTTGAGATACATTCCATCAATACCTAGTTTATTGAGAGTTTTTAGCATGAAGGGGTGTTGAATTTTTTCGAAGGCCTCTTCCGCATTCATGGAGATAATCATGTGATTTTTGTCTTTGGTTCTGTTTATGTGATGGATTATGTTTATTGATTTGCGTGTGTTGAACCAGCCTTGCATCCCAGGAATGAAGCCAACTTGATCGTGTGGATAAGCTTTTTGATGTGCTGCTGGATTCAGTTTGGCAGTATCTTACTGAAGATTTTCGCATCGATGTTTATCAGGGATACTGGTCTGAAATTTTCTTTTTTTGTTGTGTCTCTGCCAGGTTTTGGTATCAGGATGATACTAGCCTCATAAAATAAGTTATGGAGGATTCCCTCTTTTTCTATTGTTTAGAATATTGTTTCAGAAGGAATGGTACCAGCTCTTCTTTGTATCTCTGGTAGAATTTGGCTGTGAATTCGTCTGGTTGCGGACTTTTTTTGGTTGGTTAATTAATTACTGCCTCAATTTCAGAAGTTGTTATTGGTCTATTCAGGGATTTGACTTCTTCCTGGTTTAGACTTGGGAGGGTGTATGTGTCCAGGAATTTACCAATTTCTTCTAGATTTTCTAGTTTATTTGTTTAGAGGTGTTTATAGTATATTTGTATTTCTGTGGGATCAGTGGTGATATCCCCTTTATCATTTTTTTATTGTGTCTATTTCATTCTTCTCTCTTTTCTTTTTTATTAGTCTGGCTAGCGGTCTATGTAGTTTGTTGATCTTTTCAACCAGCTCCTGGATTCATTGATTTTTGAAGAGTTTTTTGTGTCTCTATCTCTTTCAGTTCTGCTCTGATCTTAGTTATATCTTGTCTTCTGCTAGCTTTCGAATTTTTTTGCCCTTGCTACTCTAATTCTTTTAATTGTGATGTTAGAGTGTCAATTTTAGATCTTTCCTTCTTTCTCTTGAGGGCATTTAGTGCTATACATTTCCTTCTAAACATTGCTTTCAGTGTGTCCCAGAGATTATGGTATGTTGTGTCTTTGTTCTCATTGGTTTCAAAGAACATCTTTATTTCTGTCTTAATTTCCTTATTTACCCAGTAGTCATTCAGGAGCAGGTTGTTCAGTTTTCATGTAGCTGTGTGGTTTTGAGTGAGTTTTGTGGTTTTGAGTGAGTTTCTTAATCCTGAGCTCTAATTTGATTGCACTGTGGCCTGAGAGACATTTTGTTATGGTTTCCGTTCTTTTGCCTTTGCTGAGAAGTGTTTTACTTCCAATTATGTGGTCAATTTTAGAATAAGTGTGATGTGGTGCTCAGAAAAATGTATATTCTGTTGATTTGGGGTGGAGAGTTCTTTAGATGTCTATTACGTCTGCTTGGTCCAGAGCTGAGTTCAAGTCCTGAATATCCTTGTTAATTTTCTGTCTTGTTGATCTGTCTGATATTGACAGTGGGGTCTTAAATTCTCCCACTATTATTGTGTGACCTGATGGAGCTGAAAAACACAGCACAAGAACTTTATGGAGCATACACATGTATTGATAGCCAAATCAACCAAGCAGAATAAAGGATATCAGAGATTGAAGATCAACTTCATGAAATAAAGCAAGAAGACAAGATTAGAGAAAAAAAGAATTGAAAGGAATGAGCAAAGCCTCCAATATATATGGAACTATGTGAAAAGACCAAATCTACATTTGATTGGTGTACCTGAAAGTGATGGGGAGAATGCAACCAAATTGGAAAACACTCTTCAGGATATTATCCAGGAGAACTTCCCCAACCTAGCAAGACAGGCCAACATTCAAATTCAGGAAATATAGAGAACACTGCAAAGATATTCCTCGAGAAGAGCAACCCCAAGACACATAATCATCAGATTCAGCAAGGTAGAAATGAAGGAAAAAATGTTAAGGGCAGTCAGAGAGAAAGGTCGAGTTACCCACAAAGGGAAGCCCATCAGACTAACAGTGAATCTCTCTACAGAAACTCTACAAGCCAGAAGAGAGTGGGGGCCAATATTCAACATTCTTAAAGAGAAGAATTTTCATCCCAGAATTTCATATCCAGCCAAGCTCTAATCCTTTACTATTTCTATCATTCTAGCTTTCTCCAAATACTTATCTATATACTTCCACTCCAAGAGTGAGACACCTGACTCCCACTACCCTTGATGCATTTATTTGTGTTCATTCTATACTGAGCACCTGCTATATATAGCAGTGCAGCAGGATCAGAATTTTTAACCCCATCGTTGTGAAAAACAACTTTCCCGACTATTACATTGTTTATGTGCTGCTTCATTGCCTTTAGTTTTACACATTCCCCTCATTTCCAAAGTAACTTAAGTCAGCACATCCTCCCTACCATATGCTTTTGAGTAAGCTTTTTCATAAATTTATAATACAGTTATATTATTTTGTCATATTCTTCATTTTATCCTGTTATTCATCCAACCTCATAAATAATTTTAATATGCATGCATTACGGTCCACTCTTCTGTTGTAAAGTTCAGTGGGATTCGACAAATGTATAGTGTCATATATCCACATTATAGCACTATACAGAATAGGTTCAGCACCCTGGAAAGTCATTTGTGCTTCAACTTTCTCCTCCTTCCTCTAAACCCCTGCAACATCTATTTTTATAGTCTCTAGAGATTTGCCTTTTGCAGAAGGTCCTATAATTTTAATCATATACTATGTATCTTTTTCAGACTGGCTTCTTTCACTTGGAAATATGCACTTAAGATCTATCCATTTCTTTTCATGGCTTTCTACCTCTTTTATTTTCCTGTTACTGAATACTATTCTGTTGCACAGTGTACTACAGGTTACATGTGTATCTATTCACTGAGTAAATGACTGGTTGTTTCTATTTTTTCTTGATTATTAATGAAGTTGCTCTGTGTGTTTGTGTGCAGGCTTTTATGTGGACATGTTTTTGAATTACTTGGGTAAATACCAATGAGTGTGATTGCTGTATGGCATGGTAAGACTGTGTTTAGCTTTGTAGGAAACTGCCAAACTGTCTTCCAAATTGGCTGTACCATTTTACACTCCCACCACTAATGAATGACAGTTTCTATTAGTCTGCTTCTTTGCTAGCAATTGGTATTGTAGGTCTTTTGAATTTTAGCCATTCTCACAGGTTTTTAATAGTATCCGTTTATTGTATTAATTTGTAATTCCCTAATAGCAAATAAATGTTGAAGATCCTTTTATGTGTCTGTTGCTATATGTATATCTTCTTTGGAAAGTATCTTTTTAGATTTTCTTTCACATTTTCAATTATGTTGTTTGTTTTTCTATTGTTTAATGTAAATGTTTAGTCTATTCTCATGCTCCTATAAAGGACCACCTGAGACTGGGTAATTTATAAAGGAAAAAGGTTGAATTGACTCACAGATCAGCATGGCTGGGGAGGCCTCAGAAAACTTACAATCACGGCAGAAGGGACAACAAACAAGTCTTTCTTCGCATAATGGCAGAAAGGAGAAGTGCAAAGCACAAGGGAGAAAATCCCCTATAAAACTGTTAGATCTAGTCAGCATGAGGATAACCACCCCCATGATTAAATTACCTCGCACTGTGTCCCTCTCATGACATGTAGGGATTATGGGAACTATAATTCAAAGTGAGATTTGGGTGGGGACAGAGAGCCAAACCATATTATTATGAGTAACATTTCTTTCTTAGATATGCGTTTTGCCATGTTTTCTCCCATCTTTAGCTTGTCTTTTTATTCTTTCAATAGTGTCTCTAACAGATCAGGGGATTTTAAAGTTAATAGACATTGTCTTGTCGTTTGTTTTTTCTTTCATTGGTCATGCTTTCTGTGTTTGTCTGAAACTTCATTGCCAAACCCAAAATCACCTATATTTCTATGTTTTCTTCTATAATTTTTATAGTTTTTAATTTTATATTCATTTTATTTGACATTTGATTTAATTTTTGCAAAAAGTGGATCTATGTTCCTTATTTAAATATATGAACCCACAATGGTTCAGTACAATTTTTTTAAAAGACTGCCCTGTTTCTATTGAATCTTATTTGCTCCTTTATTATTGTAACATATAAACAAATGTTGACTATATTTGTTTAGTTCTATTTCTGAGCTCTTTCTTTCGTTCATTGTTCTTTGTCTGTTCTTTCACCAACATCACAGTGCTTTGGTTATTAGCTTTACAATAAGACTTCAAGTTGGGTAGCGTGAATCCTCCAACTTTGTTTTTTATTTTCAGTCTTATGTTGGCTATTTTATTATGTCTTCTGCCTTTCCGTGGAAATGTATAAATGAGAGTATTTTCTGACTTCACAGTGAGAAAGTGATGGGGCCCCTGGCAGTAAAACCTATAGTAATGTCCCCTCGTACCCCCCTCCCCCCAACACAAAAAAAAACCCTGGCAGCTCCCAGGAGTTTCTCACTCTGACACTAGTACTAGTCTACACTTAGCCTCCAGCAAATTGTCAAAATTACAATTTTAGTGATCTCACCAGTTTATGACTCAGGTGATCTCACCAGTGACTTTGTATTTACCTTTCTCTCTATATTTTTGATTTGCCAGTGACCTCAGTTTTCTGATGAATTCAAAAGTCATTGAATTTTAGTGTGTTCAGTCTTTTCTGTTTTTGTTGTTTTGAGAACGGGAGTGTTGATTTCTAAGCTATTTGCATGTAGGATTTAAAACTAGAAGTCAGCATGCCAACAACTTTACAAAGAAAAGTGAGTTCATCTGCTTTTTCAAGAAAATATTCTTAGCTTATTGTGCATGTCTCATCATAACTTTGAAAGTATTCAATCAGTATCTCTACCAAGTCTTACCCTATGATTTTGGTCAAGCGAACACTGTGTTATTCTCAGTTTTTTCTGTGTCATCACTACATACAGAAAATGACATAAAAACTTATAATTATACAACTTAAAACTTTTTAATTCTTGTGTAAAAACACATTAAGTTATTATGAATAAAAAATAAATCTATTTAAAAATAAAAACTAGTCAATACTTTTCATATTCTTAAATTACCAAAAGCCTAAGATATTATCAAATGTAACTACTTTTTTTCTGAATCATTTTCATAAGCTACATTTTTTTATTGTGGCCCGTATTTGTTACATTATCTAACTATGTAATTTTCTTTATTTGAAAAGTATACCTAATGTAATAATTACCATACTTAGACTAATTCAGACAACAAAATTTTATCTCAGGAGAGTGTTCTTGAATTATTATTATTTTTGCACGGTCCTATGTTGTTTCTCTTGTTCTCTTCTTTGAGGACCCCTATAGGTTGAGTTAAATATATGTACTTTTTTCTGATATAAATAACATAAGTCTAAAATTGTATGACTTTATAAGTTTTCTTTATGTATTTCCTTTTTCATCTCTCAAATAAATGGGATTTATATTTTAGTACATCACTGAAAAAATAGCCATCTCATAGCTAATAGAATGCCCACAATAGAAAATTCTGAGACACAGAGTGAAGAAGTGGAGTAATTTGTAATTTTTCTGAATTCCCTTGTTTTAGAAAAATATAGCAACAAGGGTAATGGACATCTATAAAAATATTATGTGGTAAAATAGTTCTGTCAACTTCCAAATTATTCCAGGGAACAGCACTGTAGCAGCTTCCAGACAAGAGTAAGTGGAGAGAAGGCAAAAGGGGCATCTAACTGCCCTGAAAAGAGGAAAATCCCAAAATAGCCAGAAAATATTCACTAGGAATGGTGTGAACAATCTAAGAAGAGACAAATCTGCATGGACCAACTACAGACAGAGTTTTTTGTTTTCTTTTGTTTTCTTTTGTTTCTCAGACAGAGTCTCGCTCTGTCACCCAGGCTGGAGTTACAGTGGCATGATTTCAACTCACTGCAACCTCTGCCTCCTGGGTCCAAGCGATTCTCCTGCCTCAGCTTCCCGAGTAGCTGGGATTACAGGTGCCTGCCACCATGTCTGGCTAATTTTTGTATTTTAGTAGAGATGGGGTTTTACCTTATTGGCCAGGCTGATCTTGAACTCCTGACCTTGTGATCCGCCCACCTTGGCCTCCCAAAGTGTTGAGATTACAGGCGTGAGCCACCACGCCCGGCCAATTATGAGTTTATTACAGTAGTCTTTCTACCAAAAAATACAAACAAGTAGATAAATAAAAACTAAAAAAAAAACTTACTTCCAGTGATTGGGGGAGCATAAGAAATCAGGTATCATCTGTTGTTTAATTTTCTCACAGCTGATGAGCTCTCCAATACATTGAATTGAAACAAACAAATAAAAAATGGTAGAGGTGTCATTCCCATACTAATCCTGATTAGGTTCTCTGAAGTAAACAATTGAAACGCCATGCCCTTCTCAACCTGGCCTTCTTTCAAATATGTGAAAGCACATATTACCCTTTTCTCAGTACCAAACTCCTTCAATTTCCTTATTTGACAACTGTGCTCTTGTAGTTGTTTTTCTCTGGATGCAATCTACTTTGACCACTCCTCTTTTTAAATGTATTTGCTTATATTTAAACACAGAAGTTCTCCCATTTTAAAGTTAGAATGCAGTTAGACTATTATTTGTTTGACCTGTATATAATACTTCTAATTATGCCTGCCAATATTACTTTTCTTTTTTCTTGTAGTGGTTGTTTCAGACTAGGGGTACTTAAGATTACAAACTGCTGGTTTGTTTTATTGGTTCTTGAATACAAAGAAACCAACAGCATAAAATTTTATAATCAAGAAGCCACCATCTATGTTTCTGAAATATTTGGTGTTTGCTTAAACACCAAATTTTGAAAATCAATAGTTATTAATTGCAAAAAAAGATGAAGATTAATAGAGTATATATTCTGGAGTGAAAACTTCATAAACACTAACTGCATAACTAAAATTTGCCATGAATGTGCTCTCCTCTCGGGATAGAAAATATATCTGATATAATTTTTGATGAGTAAAAGCTGTTTATTTCTTACCTATTAATGGTGGGGGCTAGGAGAAACAAACTAACGAACAAATAAAAATAAAAGAAGAAGTAGACTCTCTTATTTTTCCTTGTAATGGCTTCCCCTCTCACTGCTAATCCAGATTCTCAGTGTCCTTTTGATGCCATTTCAGATTTAACTCACTTAAAATATTTCTTTGTCGTGGTAACCTATGAAAATCTAACTTTTTAAAAAATGTCCAGCTTTTATTTTAAGCTCTGGGGTACATGTGCAGGATGAGTAGGTTTGTCACATAGGCAAACATTTGCCGTGGTGATTTGCTGCACAGATCATCCCATCACCCAGCTATTAAGCCAAACATCCACTAGCTATTCTTCCTGATTCTGTCCCTTCTTCCACCCCCTACCCTTCAACAGTCCTCAGTGTGTGTTGTTCCCCCCGTGTGTCCATGTGTTCTCATCATTTAGCTCTCACTTATAAGTAAGTGAAAACATGTGTTATTTGGTTTTCTGTTCTTGCATTAGTTTGCTAAGGATAATGGCCTCCAGCACCATCCATGTCCAGGGACATGATCTTATTCCTTTTTATGGCTGCATAGTATTCCGTGATGTATATGTACCACATTTTCTTTATCCAATCTATCATTAATAGGCATTTAGGTTGATTTCATGTCTTTGCTATTGTGAATACTGTTACAATGAACATAAGTGTGCATGTATCTTTTAAAATAGAGGAATTCTAACTTTTAAGGTTGGTTCAGTACTGTAAGTTTTGACATGATTCCATAGGTTATTAAATTAATCTTTAGTGAGTCTATATGTTTATGTCTGGCTCCCCATTGAGAACATGAGCCCTCTGAGGGCAAGATCACCTAGTGCCCATAAACCTCTGAATCTTTCTTGTTTACATGTGCTCTTTGTTCTAGCCAAACTTGGGTACTTACTAGTTAAGTATACCTTACTGATGGATTCCTGTCTCTGAAGCTTTGTCCTCGTATTTTTTTCAGGTAGAAACCTTTTACTCCCCCTTTTCTGCTTATATGTCTGATCTGTAAATTTATCTCATATCTCTCCTGCTCCAGAAGACCTTCTCATTTTATCACACAGAATTCACTACTATTGAAGTTATTGTCTATATAGAAATCAATTGTATTTTGTGTTTTTATCATCTCTTGTGGTTTTTTATGTTGTCATTTTAATCTTCCTAAAATTATTTCTCATCTCCAAAATGCAAAGATTATTTCTTTGATTTGTTATATTCTCCACATACCTAATACTGGGGAATATAAAGTATGCCATTTATAATTGATAAATTTAATTTCTTTAGCATGAAACATTTCATCCAATAATGATTAAACAACCAGTTTATCTCAGTCCTAAATACATTGTACAGAGAAGTCACTCTTAAAAATATAAGAAAGTGTGAGGTGAGGAGTGATGAGTCTGAAACAACCTTGAAGAAATAAAGATGGACAGAAGTAGGAAGATAATACATTTCTTCCTTTCCAAAGGCAAAATGAAGGTACCTGACTCAACTGAGAAAAATGGCTTCATTAGTGAGAGAAAGAGAAAATTGCAGATAAAAAGTAGATAAAATCTGAAACCCATATGTATAATAGTAGAGGAAAAATTGAATTTACAAAAAGGAAATCAGGAACCAACTTAACATTCTGAGCATTTTAGTTACAAATCAATCCTTGATTACTTTCTCATCATTTACTTAGCATTTATTATAAGCAATATAGGATTCTAGGCATGGTGGTGCTTCAAAGACGTACAAATCATAGCCTTTGTCTTAGAGGGCCTTACAATTTCCCGATGAGGCACCGGTGTCATCTCTGTCCCACAATACTTTCTGTCAAATCTCGGATTAGACACTTTGCCTCTCAGATTTCCATGTTCTTCCTCAGTAAAATGATGGTGTTGGACTAGATGAGCTTTTCTTCTCTAGCATTCTGCAATTGGATGAAACAAGTGGCCCAGTCATTTTCCTTCTTAACATACTTCTGCCCCTCTATGCCCCCCAACATTTGTTTGCTGTCATAGACAAAGCTTTTAACACTAAACCAAGTCTGCTAAGATGAGATTTTGACACTCACCACACCTAGTGCCAAAGAAAGAGGAAGCCTCCAAGAAGTCTAACTGGGGGACTTGTCATTCTGCAGGCTTGAGTGAATAAAAAATTAGCTGATACCCAGTGGCAGGAGTGGAAGGCTGTGGGTGAATCATTCAGGAGATGCAAATGTTTTGGAACCTGCCAAGAGCAACCTGGTAGTTATCTCAGTGGCAGGAGTGAAGCTTGGGAGGGAAAGCCTTGTTGGAAAGAGAAGCGTACCTTTTGGAGAATAGGTGTGTATACATCTGCAGTGTGCACAGGGAGAGGAAAAGTGTTGTTATGGCATCAGGATGCACCTGTGAGATGTCACATTGACATCTCTAGCTTCCTCTTAACAGTATAGTATAAACAAGATTTCTCTCAAACCTGCAATGCAAACTATTGCTTTGGTTCTCATTTCTACAGGTTCTACTAACAATTTTTCAGTTCTAGTTCATATAATAACTCTCTCCCCAAGTTGCAGTGGTCAGGCTCTGGTACGTGGAAGTACCTGGATGAAAACTTATTTTGTGCAGCTCCAGTTTCTGCATTTTACATTTACTCCTTTCTCTCTCCCCCAATCAAAACAAATGTGTCCCTCCCTTCTTTCCAGCCCATGAAAATCTGATATATTCTTAGAAATACAACCCAAATTTTTTGTACCATGTTTGTATTCTCTTTACTCTCACAATATAAGACACATCAGATATAATTTTTGAAGGGTGAGAAGCAACTCTTTGTGGTTGTTTTAATCTATTTCTTCATTTTGGTTATTTGCTAATAAAGTCTTACTTTATTTTGGGGTTTTATTGTGACTTCCCAACTAGTTAATAAGTACCTTGAGGGCAGACAGCAGGTCTTCTTTTTCTTTGTATCTGTCACAGCACCTTCTATTGTCTGGGGGCACATATGAGATACATAAATAATACTTTTCAAGAGATCATTGGCTTGACTTTCTCAGTTAAAAAATAGCCTACTACTCTAGGAAATTTTATGTTTGATTGACTGCCACAAAATAGACTGGACAGCTTTTAATGATGTCAAGTCACTGATAAAGGTTTACAAGGGTCTGGGTTAACCTTTTTTATTCCTTTAAAAGGGCAGATTACCTCACAGGCCACGGAGCAAATGTCAATGACTCACTGCATAAAATTGAGTCCAGCTGGTGCTTGCCTTAATCATTAGCTCTGGAGAGTGCTAATGAAATATTGATCCCAATATAACACACTTTGGGAAAGTGTGTAAGTTAATATCTGCCCCCTAATACATGTGGGTATATTAAAATCACTGGGCTGTGAAATGTGCAGAGATAGAAGTTCATGGCTCTCTTCAGCTTCATGAAAACTAGATTCTATTTTGTTTCATGGGGTTCACCACTAAAGCATAGTTTTCTGTGGGTGATGTATTCAACCACATCAAAAAGCCAAACAAAGTAGAAAGTTTGAGAAGGTTCATATGACACCAGTAGTTCTGGATCAGACCAATATCTGATTCAGAATAGAATGTTATCCAGTGAGGTTCACATTCTCTGTAAGTGGTGGACTAACAAATTTGTGGACTAAATGGTATTTTAAGAGATCATGAAGCCTAATCTGCAGATAGAAAGCTGTTAAGTGTCTTTAGGGAAAGGATTAGAGATAAAAGATGAAGCAAGTACATGTTAATAACTTTCCATTTTTGAATTCTAGTCCCTTCCTGAGGATGGGATTTTTGTTTCTAATCCAACAAGAACATTCCCTGAATAATAATCTTCACCATTTTTTTGTTTGTCTTAGGTTGAACCTATTTCTTTATCTTGATTCAAATAGATTTCTATCCAATACAAATATTGGCAAAATAAATGAAGCAAAGTAAATGCAGAATGGACTGAGGTGAGTTGGCTTGGTCAATAGTGTAGCTTTACTCATCACGGAGTGAGAGAGTGTCAGAATGTGCTATTGAAGGTGAAGCGGTCAGTTAAGATACTACCTGTCATCTACTGAGGTACCACCCACATGACCACTCTTGGAAAGGTTTTGTAGAACTAGAATCAAATTAGCAAGAACACAGACTCTATTGATTACTCTTGGAGTCCTTCAATAAGGTACAACAAGAGAGAAAGAAGCTCTGGACTGGAATTTTTTACTATTAATATAAGCTAATGTAGAAAATCTGGGTTGCCAGATTAAATTTGCCCAATGCCAGAAACACATCATCTGACTAGAAGTTAATATTTATTTAACTTGAGTTATTTAACAGCTTCCAATAAAAAAAATTTATTGTTTGATTTCTTCTCCATCTATAAATTAATATTCTCATCTAGAAATGCTAGTGAGCTGTCAAATAGTATAGGAATGTTCGGGAGGAGAAAAAAGTATTAGGAAACCAAACCTACCAGGTCTCTCTTGAGTAGCTCCTGCTGCACCCTCCTTCCCCCAACTTCACTTGCCATTTTAAGTATATCCCATGACTAAACTCAAAATGCAACAAGGGGGCCACATTCTGAGAAGAAAATACACTGTTTGGTAACACAGCTTTACACTTTATTCTCCAAGCAAGTCTTAAATCTAATGCAACTAAGCATAGAAAGCCAAGAATGGGCAGAGCGCTAGTAACAGCTGCAAATCAATTGAAACAAAGTAGTTATGGTGCTAACAGATCATTACATAGTTTGGTAATCAGGGCTCAGGGATTATTCTGACCAGCCAAGAAAGCTGGAGTTGGCTTTTAGAAAATAGAGTCTCCAAAATATAAAATTGGTGGCAAAATAAATTTTATGAAAGTTTCATCACCAGAAAATTGTAAGCGTGGAAAGCAGAGTTCCAGAATTAACTTAAAACCATTAGGGCAAGGAGTCTCAATCCCTGCAATAGAACAGTTTCACCTAAATACTAAGCATGCCAGGAAAATTTGGACATGAACCGCTAAGTCAACAACATCCTCTACCAGGACATTCTTGGAAATCTTCCTCTCAGACCAAGAACAATCCTCTGAAGAGAATAAATACATACAAATTTTAAAAAAGTATTGGACAGCTGACCAAGGAACTCATTTCTATAATAAATAAATGAGACAACCTAAGGCTGTCTTTCAGCTTGCTTGGTTCTGTCATTTACCTTTCTACGAGTGGCCAACAGAGTGCAATGTATTTTAATGGGTTGCTGTCTTTGAGATTTATTTTCTTTGCCTTGTTTATTAAAGAAGTGGTGTATAAGTGCACACATATGCTATATTCTTTTTTACTGCTATCTTTTTGATATTGGAAGAGTTAAAACTTATGAGTTAATGCCATTAATTACAGGATAGTGCCAAGTTACATCTCTCTGGCTCCTGTCCCCACCGTAAATTGTATCCCATCAATATAATTGACATTCAAAAAGGTGGCATATAAGAAGATTGGCTAAATCACGTTCAGAGAGAAACCTTGGTATGAATTCTAGAAGATTATGTGATTATTCAACCTTTTCATAAAGTACACAACAGAATAGAGGAGTGGACAAGCATCCAAAATAAGATGAGTCATGTCATCTAATTAGAAGCATCCTGCCACAATCATGACAATTCTGAAATATTGTGCTTTATCTGTAACATTTAGGTACATTTTTAATGCAATTCCCACTACTTTCCATTAAATTAAGCTGACTTCAGGGAGATAATCTCTGACTGTCTGTGGCATTCTGCATCCCTCGCATATGGTTGGATACCCTTGTTTGAGTTATTGGTGGTGAAATTACCAGACTTTTGATTCAAATAGCTTAACTGCAAAGGTTTCACTTGGGAAATGAGTGGTCTTATGCAAGTTTCTTTCCCACTCTAATTTTCAGTTTTAACATCTCTAAATTTGCAGAAAATATCTCATCCATACGATTGTTAAAATAATGAAATGAGGTGTTGTATGCAAAACATATAGTACTGTACAGTGCTTAGAACATAAATGACACTTGGTGATTGGTACCATTAATTCCATTCATAGTTATTGGCTCCCTTAGGGAATGGTCTTCAATATGTAGGCATCCATTTTCATTAAGGACCACTCTCAGATGATATGTTTTTGAACACAAATAACCACAAGGTTGCCCTAGGCAGTTTCCGAAATGCTTGATCCACAGACTATATTCATTGTAATCTGACACCCATTATGTAAGACTTTTACATGAATGTTGATCCTATTGGGTTATATTGTAAAACATTTGGCATACTGAAGCAGTATGGTAAGGCAATCTACCCTGTAGAAGGGAATAAATTTTCCTCTGAAGAAAATAGAATGTTTCCCATGTTAAGTCATCAGAAAAATAAGCAAAGCCTCGAAATGGAAACAAAAATTCTGAAAATAAGACTTTTGTAAACAAGGTGAGTACTGTAGTATCTCAACTTAGGGTCTCTGGCTTTGGATTTGAAGGGTGGAAATAGGCTTGAGGACACTCTTTGGGGATAGAACCAGATGATTCTCTCATGTGAATACTGGCCATGAGTAGGCACAATGTCTTTTCACTAGATTTCCCTCAGTTGACTTTCATGTTACTTCTAAATCTAGCTCTCTTTAATAAATCATCAGTAAAATTTTCCATGCATGCTTAGATGTGAAGGACTAGGCGGGCTCATTCTTGAACGGCATGGGAGCTATGACACTGAATCCATCCAGATGATGGCAAAGGTGCTCAGGAGAAGATCCCTAGAGAAATAAAATCTGTTCATCAAGCAACACTCCTTTGGTGGTGCCTGTTGATTTAGTGATATTGGTAGAGTCAGCATGTTTTCTTAAAAAAACAATCTATGTATCTCTCAGTCTCCTACCTTCCAGCGTGACTTGGTCAACCCTAAGGCTTTCTTGCTAAAGCATGTATCTGCAAAAGCTACTCAGCTCCTTTTTTGAATGTAAAAACTTTCCTAACTCAGAAACATTTAAGATATGGTCCATGTGACTCAGAATCGTAAAGTGGGAAAAACATAATTAGCACTTTTCAGCTTCAAAGAAGATTACAAACACTGGCTAATTAAACTTTCCAACACCTCCCTGGTACCAATGTAGTTATTTCCCCTTTCTGGACAGGTTAAGATACTTACTCAAGGAAGGAGAATACGGCTGCTCCTCTCCTGCAGGGCAGCAATATAATCTTTCTCCACTCAGCAGGGGTCTAGACACAAAGTTAAGTTTAATCAAACATTTAATCAGCATCACTTTACTGAAAAGCTATGTGCCTGACTTTGTGCTCTGTGGTTGCAGGGAAAACAATACAAAATAAGACAAAAAGCAAAGTGTCAGCATCTCCTGTCTTTGGAGAGTTTAACATGAAATTGAACAGAGAGCATTCAAACATTATACTAAAAATAATGCAAATGAGAATATAATAATGTATAAAATATCCTTTTATCAGACTGCCTTTTTGTTCTTCATTCTGGGTACTGGGTACTGGGTACATCAAAAATATCTTTCTGGAATGCAAATCCAATCACATTACACTTTTGCTTCTTTAATTATTTTGTAAGTTTCGAAGAATCTATTTATACACCTGGAGTAATATTAACTAATCTTTGTGATCTTGGTCACCATCTACCTATCTGGGTCACCTTCCATGCCCACATTTGTACAGCAAGTCCCAGCCCTAGAAAATTTTCTAATCTATACGTGTGTGCTCTTCTTTTAGTGATCCCCATACCTGTACGATCATGCCCTCTTTGCCCAGAATGTTTTCTCTTCTCCTCTCTCTTGTGAATTCCCTCTCTTCCTTTAAGAATAAGCTCAAAGGTCACATGTTCCTTCATCCTTTAAAATATATATATATATTTCCATAGGTTTTGAGGGAACTGGTGGTATTTGATTACATGAGTACGTTTCTCAGTGGTGATTTGTGAGATTTTGTCGCACCCATCACCCAAGCAGTGTACACTGAACCTAATTTGTAGTCTTTTATCCCTCACCCCCCCCCCACTCTTTCCCTCAAGTCCTCAAAATTCATTCTATCATTCTTATGCCTTTGCATCTTCATAGCTTAGCTCCCACTTATGAGTGAGAACATACAATGTTTGGTTTTCCATACCTGAGTTATTTCACTTAGAATAATACTCTCCAGTTCCATCTAAGTTGTTGAGAATGCCATTAATTCATTCCTCTTTATGGATGAGTAGTATTGCATCATATATATATATATATATATATATATATGTGTGTGTGTGTGTGTGTGTGTGTATATATATGTATGTGTGTGTATATATATGAATGCATATACACACACACACACACACACACACATAAACACACATACGCACACACCACAGTTTCTTTTTCCACTCATTTATTGATGAGCATTTGGGTTGGTTCTATATTTTTGCAATTGTGAATTGTGCTGCTATAAACATGTGTGTGCAAGTATATTTTTGTATACTGACTTCTTTTCCTCTGAGTAGATACCCAGTAGTGGAATTGCTGGATCAAATGGCAGTTCTACTTTTAGTTCTTTAAGGAATCTTTACACTGTTTTCCATAGTGCTTGTACTACTTTACATTCCCACCAGCAGCATAGAAGTGTTCCCTTTTCACTGAATCCATACCAACGTCTAATTTTTTTATTATTTTTTGATTATGGCTATCCTTGCAAGAATAACGTGGCATCACATTGGGGTTTTGATTTGCATTTCCCTGATTATTAATGATGTTGAGCATTTTTTTCAAATATTTGTTGGTCATTTGTATATCATCTTTTGAAAATTGTCTATTCATATCCTTAGCCCATTTTCTGATGGGGTTGTTTGTTTTTTTCTTGCTAGTTTTTTTGAGTTCCTTGTAGATTCTGGATATTAGTCCTTTGTTGGATGTATAGATTGTGAAGATTTTTTCTCCCATTCTGTGGGTTGTCTGTTTACTCTGCTGACTGCTCCTTTTGCTGTGCAGAAGCTTTTTAGTTTATTAAGTCTCACCTATTTATCTTTGTTTTTGTTGCATTTGCTTTTGGGTTCTTAGTCATGAAGTCTTTGTCTAAGCCAATATCTAGAAGGGTTTTTGCAATGTTACCTTCTAGAATTTTTATAGTTTCAGGTCTTAGATTTAAGTCCTTGATCCATCTTGAGTTGATTTTTCTATAAATGAGAAATGAGGATCCAGCCTAATTCTCCTACATGTGGCTAGCCAATTATCCCAGCACCATTTGTTGAATAAGGTGTCCTTTCCCCACTTTATGTTTTTGTTTGCTTTGTTGAAGACCAGTTGGCTGTAAGTATTTGGGGTTATTTCTGGGTTCTCTGTTCTGTTTCATTGGTCTATGTGCCCATTTTTATGCCAGTACCATGCTGTTTTGGTGACTATGGCCTTATAGTATAGTTTGAAGTCAGGTAATGTGATGCCTCCAGATTTTTTCTTTTTGCTTAATCTTGCTTTGGATTTGCAGGCTCTTTTTTGTTCCATGTGAATTTTAGGATTTTTTTCTAGTTCTGTGAAGAATGATGGTGGTATATTAGTGGTAATTGCATTAAATTTGTAGAATGCTTTTGACAGTATGGTCATTTTCACAATGTTGATTCTACCCATCCATGAGCATGGGATGTACTTCCATTCACTTGTATCATCTGTGATTTCTTTCAGCAGTGTTTTGTAGTTTTCCTTGTAGTGGTCTTTCACCTCATTGGTTAGGTATATTCCTAAGAATTTTTTTGTAGCTATTGTAAAAGGGGTTGAGTTCTTGATTTGAGTCTCACCTTGGTTGCTGTTGGTGTATAGCAGAGCTGCTGATTTGTGTACAATAATTTTATATGCTGAAACTTTGCTGAATTTATTTATCACTTCTAGGAGCATTCTAAAGGAGTCTTTAGGGTTTTCTAGGTATGCAATCATATCATCAGCAAACAGCAACAGTTTGACTTCCTCTATACCAATTTCAATGCCCTTAATTCTTTCTCTTGCCTAATTGCTCTGGCTAGGACTTCCAGTACTGCGTTAAAGAGAAGCACTGAGAGTGAGCATCTTTGTCTTCTTCCAGTTCTCAGAGGGAAGGCTTTCAACTTTTCCTCATTCAATATTATGTTGGCTGTGGGTTTGTCATAGATGGCTTGTATTACATTGAGGTATGTCTATTGTATGCTGATTTTGCTGAGGGTTTTAATCATAAAAGGATGCTGGATTCTTTCAAATGGTTTTACTGTGTCTGTTGAGATGATCATGTGATTTTGTTTTTAATTCTGTTTATGTGGTGTATCACATTTATTGACTTGTGTATGTTAAACCATCCCTGCATCTCTGGTATAAAACCCACTTGATCATGGTGGATTATCTTTTTGATATGCTGTTGGGTTCAGTTAGCTAGTATTTTGATAAGGGTTTTTCCATCTATGTTCATCAGGGATATTGGTCTGTAGTTTTCTTTTTTGGTTATCTCATTTCCTGGTTTTGTTATTAGGGTGATACTGGCTTCATAGAATGATTTCAGGAGGATTCCCTCTTTCTCTATTTTGTGGAGTAGTATCAATAGGATTGGTACCAATTCTTCTTTGAATGTCTGATAAAATTTAGCTGTGAATCTATCTGGTCCTGAGCTTTGTTTTGTTGGTAATCTTTTTTATTACCATTTCAATCTTGCTGCTTGTTATTGGTCTGTCCAGGGTTTCTAATTCTTCCTCATTTAAGCTAGGAGGGTTGAATTTTTCCAGGAATCCATCTCCTCTAGATTTCCGAGTTTATGTGTGTAAAGCTGTTCATAGTAGCCGTGAATGATCTTTTGCGTTTCTTTGATGTTAGTTGTAATATCTCCCATTTCATTTCTAATTGAGCTTATTTGGATCTTCTCTCTTCTTTTCTTGGTTAACTGTGCTAATGGTTTATCAATTTTATTTATGTTTTCAAGAACCAGCTTTTTGCTTCATTTATCTTTTGTATTTTTGTTTGTTTGTTTGTTTGTTTTGATTTCACTTAGTTCTGTTCTGATCTTTGTCATTTCCTTTCTTCTGCTGGGTTTGGGTTTGGTTTGCTCTTGTTTTTCTAGTTCCTTGACATGTGACCTTAGATTGTCTATTTGTGCTCCTTCAGATTTTTTTGATTTAGTCATTTAAGACTATGAACTTTCCTCTTAGCACTGCCTTTGCTGTATCCCAGAGGTTTTGATAGGCTGCATCTCTATATTCCTTCAGTTCAAAAAAATTTCAAATGTCCATCTTGATTTCCTTGTTGACCCAATGATCACTCAGGGGCGGGTTATTTAATTTCCATGTGTTTGCGTGGTTTTCAGAGTTCCTTTTTGAATTGATTTCCAATTTTGTTCCACTGTGGTCTGAGAAAGTACTTGGTATAATTTCAATTTTATTAAATTTATTGAGACTTATTTTGTGGCCTAGCATATGGTCTATCTTGGAGAAAGTTCCATGCGCTGATGAATAGAATGTATATTCTGAAGTTGTTGGGTAGAATGTTCTGTAAATATCTGTTAAGTCCATTTCTTCTAGGGTATAGTTTAAATCCCTTGCTTTTTTGTTGATTTTCTGTCTTGATGACCTTTTTAGTGCTGTCAGTGGAGTATTGGAGTCCCCCACTATTATTGTGTTGCTGTCTATCTCATTTCTTAGGTCTAGTAGTAATTGTTTTATAAATTTGGGAACTCCAGGGTTGGGTGCATAAATATTTAGGATTGTGATATTTTCCTGTGGGACAAGGCCTTTTATCATTATACAATGTTCCTTTTTGTCTTGTTTAACTACTGTTCCTTCAAAATTTTTTTTTTTTTTTTGGTCTGGTATAAGAATAGCTAATCCTGCTCACTTTTGGTGTCCATTTGCATTGAATATCTTTGTCCACTTCTTTACCTTAAGTTTATATGAGTCCTTATGTGTTAGGTGAATCTCTTGAAGGCAGCAGATAGTTCGTTGGTGAATTCTTATCCATTATGCAATTCTGTATCTTTCAAGTGGAGCATTTAGGCCCTTTACATTCAAAGTTAGTATTGAGATATGAGGTACTATTCCATTCATCATGCTATTTGTTGTCTGAATACCTTGCTGGGTTTTTTGTTTGTTTGTTTGTTTGTTGGCCTGTTTATTATATTTTTGTTTTATAGGTCCTGTGAATTTTATGCTTTAAAGAGGTTCTCTTTTGATGTGTTTCCAGGATTTGTTTAAAGATTTAGAGCTTTGTTTTAGTAATTATTGTGGCACTGGCTTGGGAATGACAAATTGTCTCAGCACTTGTTTGTTCGAAGAAGACTGTATCTTTCCTCATTTATGAAGCTTAGTTTTGCTGGATACAAAATTCTTGCCTGTTAATTGTTTTGCTAAAGAAGGCTGAAAATAGGTCCTCAATCACTTCTAGCTTGTAGGGTTTCTGCTGAGAAATCTGCTGTTACTCTGATAGGTTACCTGGTGCTTTTGCCTCACATATCTTAAGATTCTTTCCTTCGTCTTGACTTTAGATAGCCTGCTAACTGTGTGTCTAGGTGATGATCTTTTTATGATTAATTTCTTAGGTGTTCTTTGAGTTTCTTGTATTTGGATGTCTAGACTTCTAGCAAGCCTGAAGAAATTTTCCTCAATTATTCCCCCAAATGCGTTTTCCAAACTTTAAGATTTCTCTTCTTCCTCAGGAACACCAATTATTCCTAGGTTTGGTTATTTTACATAATCCCAAACCTCTTGGAGGTTTTGTTCATTGTTTTTATTCTTTTTCCTTTGTCTTTGTTGGGTTGGGTTACTTCAAAAACCCTGTCTTCAAGCTCTGAAGTTCTTTCTTCTGCTTGTTCATTTCTATTTCAGACAAAAAAAAAAAAAAACTTTGAAGCAACAGCAGTTACAAAAAAACAAAGAGGAACATTATATAATGATAAAAGACCTTGTCCTACAGGAAAATATCACAATCCTAAATATATGTGCTCCTAACACTGGAGTTTCCAAATTTATACATCAAAAAATCTGACTTTCCAGTACATTTTGCATTTCTCTAAGTGTGTTCTTTATTTCCTGAAGCTTTGATTGTTTTTTATTTATGCTATCTATTTCACTGAAGATTCTCCCCTTATATGTTGTATCATTATTATTTTTTTTATTTCCTTAAGTTGGACTATACCTTTCTCTGGTGCCTCATTTTTAGCTTAATAATCAATCTGAATTTTTTTTCTAGCAATTCAGGGATTTCTTCTTGGTTTGGATCCATTGCCAGTGAGCTTGTGTGATTTTGGGGGTGTTAAAGAACCTTGTTTTGTCATATTACCAGAATTGTTTTTCTGGTTCCTTCTTATTTGGGTAGGCAATGTCAATGGAAAGATCTGGGCTCAAGACTGTTGTTCAAATTATTTTGTTCCCTTGATGTAGTACTCTTACACTTTTCCTAGAAATGTGGCTTCCTGAGAGCAGAACTTCAGTGGTTATTTGTCTTCTGGATCTAGCCACCCAGCAGGGCAACCAAGCTTTGGGCTTGTACTTGGGGGTGTCTGCACAGAGTCTTGTGATATGAACAATCTTCATGTCTCTCAGCCATGGATACAAGCACCTGTTCCAATGGAGGTGGTAGGAGAGTAAAATGGACTCTGTGAGGGTCCTTAGTTGTAATTGTTTATGAACTAGTTTTGTGCTGGTTGGCCTCCTGTCAGGAGGTGGTGTTTTCAAGAGATAATCAGCTGTGGTAGTATAGGGGAGGATCAGGTGGTGGGCAGGGCCCTAGAACTCCCAGGAGAAGATAACCTTTGTCTTCAGCTACTCAGGTGGATAAGAAAAGACCATCTGGTGGGGGCAGGATTAGGCATGTCTGAGCTCAGACCCTGAGACTCTTCTTGGGTGGGGCTTGCTGCAGCTGATGTGGGGGATGGGAGTGTGGTTCCTAGGTCAATGGAGTTATGTTTCCACAAGATTTATGGCTGCCTCTGCTGTGTCATGCAGGTTGTCAGGGAAGTTGGGGAGAGCCAGCAGTTACAGGCCTCACCCAGTTCCCATGCAACCCAAAAGGCTGGTCTCACTCCCACCTTGCCCCAATCCAAGCAGCACCGAGTTTGTTTCTAGGCATTGGGCAAGCTGGGCTGAGAACTTGCTCCAGGCTACCAGCTTCCCGGCTGAGAAAGCAAGCAGGGTTTTCATGCCTCCCTGCCAGTCGAGTCTGCACACTCTTCCCCCAAGTTCTGATCAGGAAACTTCGTGTTCAGTTGGAATTGTTACAAAGTTTAGCTGGAGGTTTCCTTCTTCCTGTGATCTTTTCCCAGTTCCCCTGGCAGCCCTTCCCAAGGTCCCTTGTGAAACAAGTCAGAAATGGCTTCCCTGGGGAACCCAGAGAGCCTACAGGTCTTTTCCCGTTGCTTCCTCTACCCTTGTATTTCACTTGGGTCTCTAAACTGTCTCAGCTCCAGGTAAGGTCATATCCTTCTCCCATGATCTAGACTTTCAGGTTCCCCAGTAAGGGTATGTGTTTGGGGGTGGATGATTCCCCTTTCCCACTTTCACAGTTTGGACAATCACAATATTTGGGCTGTCTCCTAGGTCCTGCATGAGCAATCCGCTTCCTTTAAAGGGTCTATGGATTCCCTCGGCTTTCCTGGTATATTCCTGAAGTAGTTCTTGGAGCAAAAGTTTATGATATGAGTCTCCACACACCGCTCTCTCTGTCTAAATGGGAGCTGCAACTTAGTCTTGCCTCCTATCTGCCATTTTTTCCTCCACTCTCCTTGATGCTTTTTCTAACTCTGCCTTCTTTCTACTCCTGCCTCCTCTAAGTCCTCTCTGCACTAAATGTAAATAAAGCAAAATAAAACAAGTAAAATGGTTATTATATTTCCACATTCTACTGTGATTTTTTTTCTCTCTCTAGTTAGGCTATAAATAAGGTCATAACATAAATCTGGTTTTATTTATTTTTACATCTCCAGATTCTGGCATGGTTTCTGAAAAACTGAACTTATTGCTTAATGGCAAATTTGCTATCCAGGCACACCCTGACACTTCAGTCTTCTCACACTACTGTATTATCTTAGTGATTGTGCCCCGTCATCCCAGGGCCTTTGTATGCTGTTCTCTTGGCCTGGGATACCTTTCACTTCTCCTGCATATTATATGGCTAATATTTACTTATACATCAAGACTTAGCTTCTCAGCCAAAGTGACATGCCACTCAACAGCACTCTGTGAGTAAATTAGGACACATCTTATGTCCTTTTAGAAAAGCAGTGCACGGACATCCACATCAAAACCATTTTAACTTTGCATTCATTTCCTTATTTGAGCCACGGTATGGTGAGCTTGCTGATATCAGTCATTGGTCTTACTGATTTTGCTCACAACTTAGCACACAACTGATAATTTACATTTGGTGGGGAAAATACTAAATGCATAAGCTAAGTGAATAATAGATTCACATGTGTTTTAATAATATGAGGTTTCATAGAAGAGGGGTACATTGATGGAAGGCATGTGGAATGCAGAGAGAGGGAATGATTCCATCTGGAAGAAACAACAGCAGAGACTGATGTGATAATTCATGTCGTTGCTATAGTAGCCAAGGAGAAACCACCCTTATCTTTAGAAGGAGATTCATTATGTGGAATTGTCCAAGAAAGTTCATAGATAGGTATGTTGGGAATAGTTAAGAAAGAGCCAAGGAAAACACACTCTATTAATTAGTTTAGGCAAATTCTCTAATTTACATGCCTGAAAAAGCAAAGGTTTAATTTTCACTCCTGGGTCAGTCAGCAGTGGGTCAGCCATTGGAGTAATAACTACTCCACTTAGACATTCAGGAACCCAGGTTTCTTTCATCCAGCAGTTTCACCATGTGCTAGGCCTACAACATCTTGATCAAGTCTACACTTGCTTCTCTGTATTTGGTAGTAGGTAAGTTAAGAGAGAAAGCTTGAAGGTAATGGGAAGGGGGTCCTAGGATTTAGGCCTGGAAGAGGCATTCAGCACCTTCACTTACATTCCACTACCCAGAGCTCAGTTATATGCAAACACCTAATGTTAAGGGAAACTGGGAGACAGCATACTTCTGTTGCTTCATGAAAAAAAGAATTGGGAATTAAGAAGCTTTTAGAATTTCCTCTGCTACAAACACAAAAGAATTTTATTTCATAGAATAGAGAAGAGGGAGCTCAATTGTCATTTGCCAGTGGAAAGACAGTAGCATGAAATGGTGCTAAAGGAGAACCAATCTCATGACAAAGCTCAGGAGAAAGGAATAAAGGATGAAGAAAACTAAAACAGGAAAATCATATAGAGTTTCTACAAGCTTAATAAAAAATACACAACATTAACACAAATATTGAATGAGTTTATAGGAAACGGAAGTAGGGGCCTGTCCATGTGCAGTAGCCCTGTGTTTGATGAATGACTCCTGTCCAGTGCTTTGGTCTTTTCAGGAAGCATAAACAAATTTAATTAAAACATCCAAATTAGGCCGGGCACGGTAGCTCACACCTGTAACCCCAGCACTTTGGGAGGCTGAGGTCCATCACCTGAGGTCAGGAGTTTGAGACGAGCCTGGCCAACATGTTGAAACCCCGTCTCTACTAAAACTACAAAAACTAGCCGGGCGTGGTTGTGGGTGCCTGTAATCCCAGCTACTCGGGAAGCTGAGGCAGAAGAATCACTTGAACCCAGGAGGCGGAGGCTGCAGTGAGCCGAGATCATGCCACAGCACTCCAGCCCTCCAGCTGGGGTGACAGAGCAAGAGTCTGTCTAAGAAAAAAAAAAAATCAAATCATATTTGAAGCCCCAGAATTGCATGTGGAGTTACATTATGGCAATATCTGACATTTTGGGAGGAATGATACTGTAAAAAACATTTAATTTAAAACATGTGCAAATATACAAATTACATAGGTATACATACATGCACATAAATATATATTGCATTCGAAATACATACATATGTAAATACATATTTTTATATTACATAGACATTTATTTTCAAAGAAGTCATATAGTAGTAGTTGTGCAAGTGCCACCTATGCTCATATCACTAATGAAAAAACTGAAAGTGCTTTATCACACCCAGTATTCAAAATTGGTTCACGGCTGGGTCATGATGAAAACTTTGATCTCCTGATACCCAGCACAATGCATGTCCCATCTATTGGTCAACTAGATTATTATTGTAAGGGTACCTTAGTAGGATTATAAGCAGATCTCATTTTAAAAATTATTTGTTCTAAATGCTTAACATGTTTTAATTTCAACATATTTTATTGTGATTTTTTTAAGACACTAACAGGGAGATAACAATACATTGAAGGTAACATGGCATAAGAGTGGTAGAGCTCAGATTTGGAATCACATTTCTGGTGCAAGTTCAAATGTGTTGTTCTGTAATGTATAGGGTTAGCAATATGGTTTTCTTGAAAGTAAGTACCACACAGTGCTTACTATGAATTATACCACAGATATCATTTATAGTGACAGGGATTTGGGCTCATACTCTGATTTTCTCTTTTAGTAACTGTGTAACATTGGGGAAGGTAGATATGCTTTTTGTACCTCGATTTTCTCAAATGTAAAAAATATTAGTGCATACTTCATAGGATTTGTGTATTGATCAAAGGAAACGGAACCAGTAATGCCCGCCTTGGAACAATGCCAAGCATAAAATAAGAGCATAATAAATTAAAATATTATGCTTATTATTAAAGATAGTTGTATGTGCTCATAAACATCAACAAAAATGCCTTTGAAACTGAGCTTCCTTATTGGGAATGGTGTGTCAGAACCTCTGCCTTTTGTTTTGCAGGATGTCTTCCTAGTTACCCTATTACAGAGATTCTCAAAGTGTAGTTCCCAGACCAGCAGCAGAAGAAGCTGGAAACTTGCAAGAAATGCAAATTCTCTGGCCCCTAGTGAATTAGAAACTCTGGGCATGGGGCCCAGCAATCTGTGTTTCAGCAAGTCCTCCAGGAGAGCCTCAGGCATTCTGGAGTTTGAAACTACTGCTCTGTTGGAAAGCAGAATTATGAGGATTGGTCTTAACGGTTTCTAATATTTATGGTTTCTGACAACTTGGAAAACCTAAAAGAAGAGCCCCTATCCCTTGAGATCTACCTTGGCCAAAACCGCTTACGAATCAGCAAGTCTTCAGATAGCTTGAATTCACTCCTGCCCAGACTGAAAATATGAATGACAGTGGAGGATCTTGCTGATTTTAATATGGTAGGCCAAGTAGATGTTGCAAGACTGAGGATCGGGGAGTTGTGCTTTTGCCTTATTTGTTTCATTAAACCACATGAAGAAAGGTAGAGTGGGAAGCCTGGCAGTTTCAAACATCAGAAGGAGCATGATCATGTGATTGCTTCCTTGATCCCAACATCTCTGTATCTTTTCTACTACATTATTTTTTGTTTGTTTGTTTTCCTTTAGCCCTTGAAAAACTCCATATGTTACTCCCTTGAAACAATCTATTGATGCCATATTAAGTTTTGTAGTGATTTTAGAGACTTCATTTGAAGTATAATATCAGTGGGTCTCAATGAACAGAAGCTGACTGTTCAAATCCAACTTTGGTTTCTTCATCAGCTACCACTGAAGCCACTTTTTTAGTTAGTTTTCTTAACAGTGCCTCATTTGAAAGAGTAGTGTTCAGTTTCCCCTCCTGGAAGCACAAATAATCCTATGCAAAAAGTATATATCATCTCTTAACATAATTTCCTTGAGGAATATTAAACTTGGCATTCTTGTGTTAAGGTGCATTTTGACTTCTTCTTTTTTTTTTTTTTTTTTTTTTTTTTTTTTGAGATGGAGTTTCACTCTTGTTGCCCAGGCTGAAGTGCAATGGCGTGATCTCGGCTCATTGCAACCTCTGCCGCCCAGGCTCAAGCGATTGTCCAGTCTCAGCCTGCCGAATAGCTGGGATTACAGGTTCCTGCCACCATGCCCGGCTAATTTCTTTTATTTTTAGTAGAGATGGGGTTTCACCATGTTGACCAGGCTGGCCTCAAACTCCTGACCTCAGGTGATCCACCCACCTCAGCCTCCCAAAGTGCTGGGATTACAGGTGTGGGCCACCATACCTGGCCGCATTTTGACTTCTTATTGAGGTAGATTACATTTCAAAGGTCATCAAATTAGCTGAATGAACCTGGACCTGTTTGAGCTACCTAGAATAACGTGAACTAATCCCAGATATATTATTCTTGATTCACAAATTTCTTCTGTGATAGAAAAAAGAGTGAGAGGTGGCCTTCAGAATTAGCAGTAGTGGAATGATTCAGGGGCAGGGCCCCAGGATTTTTTAATGATCAATCAACTACTCATTGTGGCAAGAACCATTAAGTCCCTGAGGGAGATAAATGCCTAGAAGTGAGGCAAAAGGAAATTCTAACTAGCTGAGGGTTTTGGCCCCAAACATCTAGGTGGTCTCTTGAGAACTGGACTAGGCCACAATAAGTCACAAAGCTCTTGCTTAAAAGTAATGTAACTGCTAATTTGCCTCTCTTGGAGGTTAGTATTTCTTAATAGTACTCAGATGTATTGGCTGTGGAGAAGGGAATGTGCCATGTAAAATACATTTTTCAGGACTTGAATCTCAGAAAAACCAATTCAGAAGATGTGAGATGGGTTTCAAGAATTATTTAGCAGTGCCTCAGGGTTCTCTGAGGTAGATGGTTAGTGCATTAGACTATAGCCTCCGAGATTTTGGTGCTGCAGTGATATAGAAAAAAAAACAAAAGAAAGAGCACAATAAAAAGAAAAATAATGGGAAAAATCACTTGCCCTGATGCCAGAGCAAAACACTCTTAGCCCACTCTCAGGCAGGAGGCAACCCCCATGAGCTTCACAGCTCCAGCTCAATGTCCTCACTCTTCTCCCACCACCTATTGTCCTTGAACTCATCAAAGCTTTGATGAAAGGAGTCTTGAGCTCCACTGCATGGCCAGAGAAGCCTCTATTACTATTATGTTTATTTTGCCTGAGTCCAACTACTAAAACAGACAAAAAAACAAACCAAAATGTAAACATTGAATGGAAACTTTACTGGAAACCATTAGAAACAACAAAGAGGAGATGTCAAAGATGTTTGAACTGTGCCTTCCACTGACAGTTTTAACACACTGATGTTGGAACATATTCACCTGAATTCCTTTTCCTAGGTTCTTGTCTTTGCCGTCTTTTGGGAAGAGTTTTGTTTCTTATGGGTACATATCTTTGACTTCAGGAAGTGCTAACTCAATTTAATTAAAATAAAATGAAAATTTTATAATTCAATCTTTTAAGAATCTAGATTAGATTAAGTAGGGCTGAAGCCTGACTTTTGACTTGGTGGCCTCCTTTTTTTTTTTTTTTTTTTTTTTTTTTGATGAAATAAATTATTTCTCTTTGAGGTGCCTGGAACTCTTTTCATAGGAAAGGCTCTGGAAACAATAGAAAGAGCATATATTTGGTGTCATAGTCAGATGGGCAGGCTTTTTTTTTCAGCATTAATTGTGTAGACAGCTCTGTAAAGAAATAAACTTTTTGTTATATCAACTTTGACATCTGTTAAATGAAAATTGAAACATGCTAATTTCAATGGGTTCTATTTGGCATCAAAATGCATATGTGGACAAATTTAAAACTACAAAAATTATATCACATTTTTATTATTAAGAAACATCAGATTTCTAACTAAGGTTTATAATTCACCTGTAATTTCTCTTTGTATATGTTCTAGGGAAAGATTAGGTCATTTATTCACTTCAGCCACATGTAGGTAAGCTTTTCTTCCTTTTCCCTGAATTCATTTATTTATAGAATAAAACCACATTATATTAAATATACTTTACTTTTGCTGTTTTCTACCTTGCTGCTGCTGCTGCTTCTTCTTCTTCAGCTTCTCCTTCTCCTTCTCCCCTTCTTTTTCTTCTTCTGCTTCTTCTTTCTCTTCTTTTGCTTCTTCTTCCTCTCTCCTCATCCTCCTCTTGTTGTTGTTGTTCCTCCTTCTCCTCCTCCTCTTCCTGCTCTTCCTCCTTCTCACATAGGTCTCAGTCACAGACCTCACTTCTGAAATTTCAGTTAGAGCAGAATTCTCTTTCTGGTTGGCTCTATGTTCTCCAATCACGTTTATTCTTTCACATGGCAAACTTTTATTGAGTATCATTTGAGCTGGATTTAGTTCTAAGGCTGGAATTCTGAGAATAAAACAACACATTTGTCCTCAAGAAGTTTCCAATGAAGTGGAGATTGAATACAAATACCATATAGTGGGCTATACTATGGTGCACGGTGCCCTGTGGCAAAGAGAAGACATGCATGCAGTCTGTCACAATCGAAGGAAGTCTTCTAGGTGAGGTTAAACTGAATCTTGAAGGAAATCTTGAACAGAATCTCCATATTAAGGAAAGAAAAAAGAAAGGATGTTTGAACATCGGTATAAGCCTATCCCCCCAAAATGGCTTATTCAAATAGCTAGTCTTGTTTATTGAATTGAAAGTAGTTTAGTATAATAAGCAATTTAGTGCAAGTTGAGAAGCAACAGGGAATAAAGCTGGAAAATCTGGAAAAAGATAAATCATACAGAGTAAAGCAATACCATGCTATGAAAGTTGGTGTCCATATTGGAGGTAATGGGAAATAATGAATGATTTTTTGTAATATAAGACATATGTAATAACTCACTGTAACAGGATAATGACTTGTCTATTTAGTTTTTATTTATTTTTTGTGGTGATATTAATAGGTGATCCACAATACAGTTTCCTAATAGCTTGGGTATAAGATTGGAAAAGCCTAACAGAGTTTATATTTTATTCATTTAAGTATCCTCATTCAAGGTTAAACTACTGGTTGGTGACATGTTAGAGAACTATTACGTTGGTGCAAAAGTAATTGTGGTTTTACTTTTAGTGGCAAAAACCACAATTGCTTTTGCACCAACCTAATAGAAAAATTTCCATATACACAATTTTGCATGAAATTGTTGAGATTCTGATGATCTGCCAGAAAGGAGATTTTAATTCTTCCTTGGTAATAAATACAGCCATGTATTTATATATATCATCTAAAGATATATTATTATTATATGGCTGTGATCCCAACAGATTATAACAGAGCTGAAAACTTGCTATGCCTAGTAATGTCTGAGCCATCTTAGCAACATAGTACAACATATGCATGTGTTTGTGGTGATGCTGGTGTAAACAAACCTAATGCACTGCTGGTCATATAAAAGTGTAGCACATATAATTATGTACAGTACATAATATTGATAATGGTAATAAATGACTGTTACTGGTATATGTATTTACTATAATATTTTTGTTCTCTTAGATTGTAATTCTTATATGAAGTATAAGACTTTTTTTTGTTTTCTTAGAGTGTAATTCTTTTTTTTTTTTTTTTTTTTTTTTTGAGACGGAGTCTCACTCTGTCACCCAGGCTGGAGTGCGGTGGTGCAATCTCGGCTCACTGCAAGCTCCACCTCCCGGGTTCACTCCATTCTGCTGCCTTAGCCTCCCGAGTAGCTGGGACTACAGGCACTCGCCACCACGCCCGGCTAATTTTTTGTATTTTTAGTAGAGACAGGGTTTCACCGTGTTAGCCAGGATGGGCTCGATCTCCTGACCTCGTGATCCACCTGCCTCAGCCTCCCAAAGTGCTGGGATTACAGGCATGAGCCACTGTACCCAGCCAAGAGTGTAATTCTTATACTTATATTTTTTAAAAGTTAACTGTAAAACAGCTTTAGGAAGGTCCTTCAGGAGGTATTTCAGAAGAAAGCATTGTTGTCATAGGAGATGAAAACTCCGTGCATATTGTTGCCCCTGAAGTCCTTCGAGTAGAACAAAATGTGGAGGTGTCAGACAGTGATATTGATGATCCTGACCCCATGTAGGCCTAGACTGTTGTGTGTGTTTGTGTCTTAGTTTTTAACACAAAAATTTAACAAGTTAAAGAAAATTAAGAATAGAAAATAGAGGATGGAATAAGGGTATAAAGAAAACGTATTTTTGAATACTATACAATGTGTTTGTGTTTTAAGCTGTTTTATTATAAAACAGCCAGAAAGTTAAAAAATAAATTTAAGTTTATGAAGTAAAATAGGTATAGTAAGCTAAGGTTAATATGATTGAAGAAAGAAAAATAGCTTTTTATAAATTTTATGTAGCCTAAATGTACCGTGTTTATAAAGTCATCATCTTCTTCTGCTGCTGCTGCTGCTTCTTCTTTCTTCTTCTTCTTCTTCTTCTTTCTTTTTTTTTTTTTTTTTGAGACGGAGTCTTGCTCTGTCACGCAGGCTGGAGTGCAGTGGCACAATTTTAGCTCACGGCAGCCTCCACCTCCCGGATTCAAGTGATTCTCCTGCCTCAGCCTCCTGAGTAGCTGGGATTATAGGTGCCCGCCACTACGCCTGGCTAATTTTTTGTATTTTTAGTAGAGACAGAGTTTCACCATGTTGGCCAGGCTGGTCTCGAACTCCTGACCTCAAATGATCCACCTGCCTCGGCCTTCCAAAGTGCTGGCATTACAGGTGTGAGCCACTGCGCCTAGCCAGGTATATCATTTAAAAAAAAAAGTTAGACCATATTTATACTGTACCTTTTCTGTGTTTAGATACATTTGCATACACAAATACTTACCATTGTGTCACAGTTTCTTCCAGGATTCAATACAGTAATATTCTGCATAAGTTTGTAGCCTAGGTGAAATAGGCTGTACCATGTAGCCTAGGTGTGTAGTAGGTTATACCATGTAGGTTTGCGTAAGTACACTTTATGATGCTCTCACAATTACAAAATCACCAACGACAAATTTCTCAGAACATATCCTCATTGTTAAGCAATGCATGACTATACCAATATAAAATAGTCTGCTTTTTTTCCAAGTATGTCTCCACAAAAGGAGAAACACAAACATATATATGACCTCATCACCACACATTTTACCTGGATTCCATCAGAACATTTCTCTTACACTTGAAACCTCAGTCGAAAATATTCGTAGGCTGAAGAAAACAAATACACATTTTCCTCTCTCTCTCTTCACTCAGGCTGCAAGCTGGCTCATCTGATTAGCATAGTTGAAGATTATCCCCAGGTTCAAAAAAAAACTTGAACTTTTTCAAATATGTGCAGATGTTTTATTTATTTTTTTTCTAAAAATAAGTCCATCTCTTTCCAATAGATCCCTGATAGGCATTGCATTTTTTTTTACCCTAAATCAATTTAGCCTTAAGCTCAATTTTCCTCAGTTGAATGCTCATCTTGATAAACTCCTTAGGGCTTGATCCCTAGAGAATTTTGTTAAACCTAATTTTATTAAAACTTAGGATATAAAAACCTTGTTTGCATAATTATCTATATTAAATATTTCTACCTGTTTCTTTAGAGACTTCACTGTAATCTCCCCATTAAAAAAAAAAAACTTTACTATATTTTACAGGATTTCAGACTTGCTGTTTGAATGAGGAAAGTCTAAAAAAAGAGAATGTGGCGTAATTTAAAAAACTGAAATTAACCAAAACTACATGTAATCCATTGTGTTGGCTAGATAACTAGAGTTATTATTTTTGTCATATTGGGTAAAAAAAAGAAAAAAAAAGAGCTCTGGTTTCTCTTTTCCTATATAGGTAAACTAATAATACCTGTCCTATTATATCACACACAGCTGTGAATAATGAAGGTGGTTTTATTTGAAAATACTCCAAAAGTTCCAAAATATCACATGTATATAAAATATTATTATGTTCTTCTTATACCAAGAAGTCATGTAAGCAGGAATTGTGTTAGAGCCCTTTTCCAAGTCAGCTTACTGACAGGCACTTATTTCAAAGGTAGCGTGTGCCTACCACTGTGCTAAGTGCTTTGAGATAGTCTTAGTCTTTTCTCACAATGAGTGAGCTGATTTACAGCTGAGTTTTTGCACCTGACCAATTTAAAACAGGAGATCAAGAAACTAAACTCTGAAGTAAAAGGAAGATGAGTCACCTTCCTATCAAATCACCTCTGAGTCAAACTACTATTCACAGTGTGGGTGTTGGCACTCCTTAAGAAAATCATGTGCCTCTTCTACCAGTGCAGATTGTGGAGGTTCATAGGGAGAGGGCAAAAGAGGATAAATCTCTATCTCAGTGGGGACTAGCCTTACTAAATGAATGAGGTCTTTTCATGTTGCAGAATACCATCTAAGGGAGCAGTTCTGGAAACTAAGTATGAAGACTCTCCAACGCTCTTCAGATGATGTCAGATAAATTTCTCCTTCATGTAGGAGAAACTGAAACAAAGTTATATACGGGCTGTGGAGTTTGCTGTCTACAAACTTGAAAATAATTCTGTCGCCTTGACATATATTATAAGTATTTTACAAAATAATCAGAGCAGAAAAATGCAAATCACCAAAGCCAGTGATCATAGAGTGATTGGAAAAGATAATATATCCCAAGAAAAAATGCCTATAGCAGAATAGGTTAGCCAGAGATAAAAGAGACAACATTTAACAGTGTAGAGGTCAATCAAGTACCCCATTTTCCTGACAAAAACTGCTTTTTGTATACAGGTATCAGAATCTGGTGTTGTTTACTGTGTGAATCTTGCTCAATCTCTCTTCCACTTCTCTCACAAGCCTGTCACTGCAAATGCAATCACATTAATGGTATCACTACTGGAAGTCCACCACAGTACCCACCTGTGCTCACAAACAAGTCTCTCAACTACCAGTTAGTTATTTGTGTCCACTGCTGAGCATTTGGCCATCACTTCACAGAACCACGTGGTTTCTAGAAGGACTATTGTAACTTTCACTATTTTCTAGCATGCCTACTTGGTGCCAGCCTTCCACTTTGAATTCTATGTATATTGCTAAGCTACATGAATTTCACTGGTCACTGCCACATCTCCTGGACACAACTATCTTTGCACAGTATTTTTTTCCTTAGGAACTGCTGCCGATTTCTTAGATCCTGGTGGGTCACGGGAGCAGCCCTGATGTGTTACAGTCACAATTTATAACATGTACTCATGTTTAAGAGAATTCTTTAATGGCATATGTATTGTTCTTTCTTCTGAGTGCATGGCTAGTCACCCTTTATAAATCTTTCCATCTTTATGAAGGTTCAAATGATAGAACCCCACTAGTTTCTGTTGTTATTCACAATCCTTTCTGAAGCCTTACTCAAATTTAGGTCCGTTCACTTTGAATTCATCTGCTTCTTTATTACAAAGACATAGCACACTATTGTAGAAGTAGCATGGCCTAGGAGTCAATCTGCTCTGGGTTCTAATTCTGGCTCTTGCACTAATTATCTGTAGAACTTTGAAATAGTTTCTTGATTCTTTGAACCTCGTTTTTTTCTTTAATCTGCAAAATTGGCATAATGTATGCTGTAATTTAGAAGGTCATTGTGAACACTTAGCCAGATAATATCTGTTTAGGAATTATTACAATGCTTGGCTAATGGGAAAAGCTAAAAATTTGTAGCTCTTATTATCATTGTTATTAGCTGTATTTCCCTGCTCTATCCTACAAGCCTGTTTTTACTTCAAAGCAGACCTCTCTGAAACTTCCTGATTATGAAGGAAAGAGATAGAACAAGCAAATTTACTCTGATGGGTTAGTGACCTAATGTGGTGCTCTATGGGGTGGTAAATAAGAAAGATTGGGAAGAAAAACTTTTATAGCAAAGACTGAATATCAGAGGTAAAATATGGGGTTCTGGCTCTTCTGATGAAATTAGCTTTAGTAACTTTGCTAAAGTGGTCTAGAGAAGCTCTACCTGAATGGGTTTGGTTTCAGAAATCCTATTATTCTGCCCCCAACCCATCACACCAGCAAGCATGGAAATAGCCCATTTTATTACAAGCTACTTACTATTCACTTTTTATCAGCCAACAAATCGATTTGCACAGCACTTTTTAAAATTCAGGAACTGCGATATGAATTTGTTGAAACAAAGAGGGTCATTACCAAGTCCTATTATCCATCCTGCTGGCTCTCTCTTGGGTTTTAATTATTCTGGCCACGAGTAGATATTGGATAGGAAGGCAGGTCACTGAGGTCCTGCCAGGTTGAGTCATGTGTGCTTGGTCTTTCTAAACCTCTGTCAGCCACATGGTCTTCCTCGCCTTCGAGATCCAGCAATGATATTAGATAATAGTGAGTTGCTCCTTCTCCTCCTCATCATCATCCTCAATTAACCAGCACTCAGCTCCCAGTAGTGCAGATTATGAAGGCAGCGAGTCCCTGGGGTTTGGAGAAATTCTAAAGGTCTATAAGAAGGAAGTGAAGGAGAGAGGTAATTGTAAAAGTGAGGCCTTAAAATTAGTAATGTGATTCTGTAGGTCTGCCAGAACACCTACCAGCATGTTCCATACCCAACTACAATTGTTTTGAGTGACTGCCTCAGGAGAGAGGAGTTTGGAGTTATGGCTCTGTTTGGTGTCTCAGAAACCAAAGCTAATAACAGTAGCTGACAAGGAGAGAGTAATTAAGGTAGACTCTGACTCTAAAATGCTCCTTAAAAGTATTAGCTCTCGTCACTTCTAATATACTACACAACATATTTATTATGTTCACTGTTCATTTTTTCTCTTTTGTTAAAATATAAAGGTCAAAAGACATAGCCTTTTGTTTTGTTCCCTAATGTCTTCCAAGCACCTAGAAGAGTGCCTAGGACATAGTAAGTGGTGAATAAATATTGGTTTGATAGATGCACCCTGTTCATTCTCCTAAATAATTAAAGGAACTCTTTGAAGAATGTATCCAGTCTATATTCCAAACCCTAGGTTTGTCATTTGTGGGTCCTGTATTGAAATGGTAATAAAGTAATAGAATAATAGTTTAATGCTTGCTTCCAAATCTTATTCCTAAATATGGAGCTAAGCCGATTTTTCTTCTCTCTTCAGCTTTGTGGAGAGTTAAAGGCTTGCTGAGCCCATCATCATAATCTCTTTGACCATCCCCATCGACCTCCCTTAATTCTTTACTTATATTTGTACTTTTGCCATGTTTCTTAATCCCTCTTATAACCATTCCTTGTATTTGGTACAATGTCCGATTGACTGAATGGTTCATGCTTTTGGACATGGATGTCTAGTTTTTCTCTCTATGTGAAGATTATTCTGTAAAGTCTTTCTCTCTCTTCCTGTATTTCCCTCCTTCTCTCTCTCTCTCTTTCTCTCTCTCTCTCTTTCTCTCTCCTCTGTCTTCTATTGCTCAGAAGACTAGCATCAGAATCAAGTAGACTTCCACACATTTTTTTGCATTGTCTCCCCTGGTAGCCTACCCTGAGCTGTGCCTGACAGGGTAGAGGAGGGAAAGGTGAATTCTGAATGTTGATCTTTGCAAAAAATGACAAGAAACTTAGTCTATTTTCTTTTTATCTTTTAAAGTGCAATAACTCCTATATCTTGCAGCATATTGAGTATGAAAACAGGGATTTTATGTTCATCTAAGTCAGGGATCCATTTTTGATAGAGTCAAAATCATGATAAACTCTTTATCCACTGATACTACAATTCTGGATATAAGAGTGGCTCACTATTTTCCTAAATTTCTATCTCTGGTTACTTCCAAATGAGGTGAAATCTTTCCCCTTTAATGCTATCTCTTGAAAACAATAGTCTTTAAATGCATTTAATGCAAAAAATGCAATTATTGATGCTCCATAGTAGCCTATAACCAAAAAGAAGTTCATTTTTATACCCACTTTTGAGCTCACATTTGCAGTTGCTTAAGTCAAACAAATCCCTGTGCTAGCATTTGAAGACATATTTATAAAATTAAATGCATGTGCATGCATGCACACGAGTGTGCACATACACACACACACCATTTATGAATAAAAATACCTCTTTATCCTTTAAATTGTTTATTATTTAAATGCTGTTTAATTAGAGTGATTTGATTGACAATGATAGCACCTATATGTCCCCATTTTGTTTTACGTATCACTGATTTTTTTAACATTAAAATATAAGGATCACTATTTTGTAGGGGAGAAACTGTACTAAATATTTTGGTCTTAAAAATTTTTTCAAAGCATATGTAAATTGTAAAAATTGATTTATTTTATTAAATGATAAAGTGAAGGGAGTTTTTAAAAGTTTGTCAGCTTTCTCGTTTACCTAAAATTATTTTTAAAATATATCTATTATAATAAAGGAGGGCCTTTGATTTCAAGGTATAGAT
The DNA here is from genome assembly GCF_000001405.40 of Homo sapiens. Classification (NCBI taxonomy): domain Eukaryota; kingdom Metazoa; phylum Chordata; class Mammalia; order Primates; family Hominidae; genus Homo; species Homo sapiens. The sequence continues at coordinate 39,410,293 of NC_000018.10, read as the reverse complement.
GTGAGTGTGTTAAGTGATTAGAAATGCCTGAGAAATGTGTGCTGTGCTTGTGTTCTTTCTCTCCACCATTATTTTACGTTTGAATAAGTGCCATCAGCTATCTGTATCTTTACTGAGGCTGACTCTCCCTGGGCAAACCTTGTCAGGATGTATGTGTAGGTAAAAGCCCTCTCACATTTTGTGAGTAGAGCAGCCCCGCACATGTGAGAGAGTTGTGGCTTATATTGACTGCGACAAGCCTAACAACCTTGAGTGATTCAGATGCCATCTCCCTAATTTAACATCTCATCCAATTTGTGAATGAAATGTAGCTTGGTGCTTTTGAAGTTTTGAATTAATGGAAGAAGAATAGGAAGCTGCCTAGAAGGCAAAATGTTCAAGTAATGGCTAGGTCTATTAAGTTGTCTGGTGGTGTTTAGGGATTCTCATTAACTAGGGTTGAAAAGGTTCTAGGCTACATTTACCTTATCTCCCAATCTCTGTGGTGTCATACCTTATTACTATCTATTTTTTTATTGTTAAACTAGTCCTGTGGTACAAGTGAATTATGAATTCAACCTTATTTCCCTTTCCCAGATGTGTGGTGGATTAGACAAAATTCTGTTTCTCCCCGAGGGTTGTTCTAATGTTCCTAGATATGGTAAATCTGCTTGGCTTCCTTGTTTTGTTTTCAAATAATCCTGTGAAATATCTGTTAGTAATGTTTACATGAGATACAGCTGGAGAATAAAACAAAAAAAAATTATAATGCTGTGAGATAAAGACCTTAAACTTGTAGAGATCTTAAAATATTTTTTATTTTTCTTGAGTAAAGGACCTTCTTTTATACTAGACTATAATTTCAATAAGAATATAAAATATGACTTTTTCATTCAGTACTAAATATTCAATGCCTAGAAGAATGCTTGGCATATGGTAAGAGGTCAAAAACCCTCTTAAATGAGTGAAAATATATATATATATATATATATATATATTTATATTTATATTTATATCTATATAAATATAGATATACATGTGTGCATGTGTGTGCATATATAAATAAATGTATAAGTGCTTCCTACAGTTAAACTTGCACCTAAATAGGTATCTCATTGAAAAAAGAGAGATACTACCTGGTATAGGTAGTAATAATCTAAGAAGCTTTTATCAGAGTTAAGAGATCAAATGGATACTTAAATAGCTATTGAACATACTCTCTATATCAAGAATTCCATGGGAGAATTATAGCCTACAATTAAGTGTCTTCGTTTAGAATTTAGCATTATATATATGTGTGTATATATATATAAACATATATAACTTGTGTGTATATATATAAATATATATAATTTGTGTGTGTATATATATAAATATATACATAATTTATATATACACATATATATGTATAGTCTATTCCAGGGATCAAATATGTGATCAAGAACAATTTCCTTGGTTTCACTCTAAAAGGAGAACCATATCTTTGGTATATAAGCCTTGGGCCTCTTTTCCATGTTTCAGTAGACCATGGGCAGAGCTGTTAGAGATGGTGTTTAGTGAATGAATATGAGATCATGGAAGTCTCATAAGAGAGAATGTTTGCCCCAACTGAGTTCCCCAGAAAGTAGAGTTCAAAGCAACAACTAGCAAACTACTGTGTTATTTCCTTATCAGTAGGAAAAATTTCAAAGAACCAGGACGGAAGAAAATGGAAATGAAAAAAAGGAGAGACAGCAAATACATAGTGCCTAATGGTGCTGAATTCTGCTGTCCCTCAAGCAAAGCTCCATTTTGTAGGATGGCCTTCCAAGTCCCAACAAATCGTTGCTAATCTCAGGTTGGTAGGTCTCAAAGTTGGAGAGAGAAAACTTGACCCCTTGATTACTATTTTCTCATAGGTCAATGGCTCACTCACAAGAGATGGTGCATACAAAATGCCTTTCAGAGTTGAGTCTATGCAGAAGCTCGGTGGGAATTCAGCATCTCAGTCTACAGTGGCATTGGTGAAGCCCAAAATCTCAGTCATGGTCATTATCTCAACTATGGGTTGGGAGTCCAAGTGAAGTCAGCCTGATCTTATGCAGTGCTGGTTGCTGGAACCATGACTGGGAGAAATAACTGACTCAGAATTCTGGAGATAGGTGAGGCTAGGAGGCTATGAGATGGTGCCTAAGTAGTGTCTAATTCCCGGTGGGAATTACTGATACATCAAGGAGCCCTGGATCAAATTTCTTTGGAAGAATGCCCCAAATACATGATCCAGGAGAGCTAGGTGGTAAAAATAATTCTGTGATGGCAGAGAGGCCATAATAGAAAAGATGTAGAAAAATGTGACTCAGAAGTCAGTCAAGAAAAACAGTTAAAGTTTGTGAGACATATTGAGTTAGTGAAAGGATGTTCTTTTGAGAGAATAAAGTGATGGATATTACAATAAGGGTTGGCATCTTTGTAATTATTGCTTCAATCTAGCATCCCTGAAAGTGACCAACGTACTACTGTTTATGCAGATCTGACACTCACATGGCAGGAATGAAGGATTCCCAAAATGAAAACAGGAAGAAAGGATGAAAGGAAAAAGTGAGGAAAGGCAAAAGGAAAGAAATAATTTAATGGTTAAGGAAAATTAAACTCAAACAAGTCCTCTCTCTGTTGATGAAAATAACACTATTAGCACTTTTAACCTATATTTTAAAATGTAGATCATATTCTGAGAAATTAAATATTTGTGCTTGTAAAAGAATGGGAGTAAATGTAGATATTGAGGGACATTCATTGAAATCCAGGTAACATTCATCATATGCTTCCATGGAGCACCATTGAAAAATAAACATCTGTGTAATTCCTGGAAGGTTTCTCTCATTATCTATACTTAACAAGTCATTAGTAGATTTTCTTTCAAATTTTACCTCATATTACATTGTATTAATAGTACCTAAACTGATGGAGAGTCATCATAATTTATTCCAAAGAGTCTCAAAATTTTTTAGAGAAAAAAATATAATTTCAGAGATTCAGGGTGTTGAGAACTTACCAATATAATTTTTCAAGCTTTACCAATACCCCTTAAGAGACCTTTAGCTTATTGACTAAAGGTGGCATCCTGGCACCCAATACCATTTCGCTATCTATTTGTTCAACAAATATTTGTTGAGCCCTGTATCAGGCACTATGCTGGGTGATGGTGAGTCAACGGAGAACAAGGTGTACATGCTTCCCAATCTTATGGAGCTCACGTTTCAGTTGGGAAGACAGACAAATACAAATAACCTGAAATACATTTTAAAAGAGTATAAATTCAGTATGTACAATGGGAGAAATAAACAAGGAACTGAAGGTCAAAGAGTTTTTCTGAGGACCTAACATTTAAGCTGGAACATTAAATATAAGTAGCAGTACCCACGTGAAGAGCGAGGGAGAAAGTGTTTCAGCAGAAAAGGTAGCATCCAGTGTTTTATTCCTTGAGAAAGAAAGAGCATTAGGTGTTTCAAGAACTGAAAGAAATTCAGCATGGCTGTGGAATAAACAGGTCAAGGAAGGGTGGTTTACAATAACGGGAGAGAAACAGGGTGAAGTCAGATCATGCCTGGCTGGTCAGACCATAGTAAGAAATTTGGGGTTTAATATAAGAGAAATGGGAGACCACTTAAATGTTTTGAGTGGATTAGTAGCTTGATTATAATTTAGAAAATTACTCTGGCTACTGAGATATGAATGAAACAGGGCCAAGAATGGATGCATGGAGACCAATTAGGAGGCTGTTGGCATTAGTTAGGGTAAGTGATGGTGGCAGTTTAAACCGGGACACTATAGATTAGGAGATGAATCAATGTTGCAAATAATAATCAAATAGTAGAAAGAGATGTGTGCCATAAAATCATTCATATGTACTATAATGGGAGATGAGAGAACAGCAAGATTATGTTTGATTTATGGCAAAATATGGATATAACAGAAGATAATTTAAGAAGATGTGGTATCTGAGCTTCATATTACAGAATTGGGGGGTGGAAGAAAGCCATTCAAACACAATAGACAGTATATGCCAAGCTGCAGAAGGAGAGGGCACAGCCTTTGAAGGCCTATTGAGCACTTCTGTTTGAGTGGAGAGTGGGCTGGAAAGGGCATGACGGGAGATGGGTTCATGAGGCAAGTGCAAGAGAGTGCAGGGGACTTCAGTCCTGGGTGGAGGTGACAGGGTATTAAGCAAGGTGACATTGTGACCATAACTTTGCTTTTGAAACAATGGAGAAGAGACAGCACTGGATGAAGTTGATTCTATGGATCATAACAGAATTCTTGAGATGACTGAGTATGCAGTGTAATGGTTCTGAAGTAGGAAGATGGAGAGGCTTTTCCCAAGAACTAAAAGAGGGAGTGCATAGTTAGGAGCAGATATGCAAAAGAAAATGATGCCTCTAGCTCCTTTTATTTTTCAGTCATATTTAATTCTTTTTTTGCTCTTCATATCTTTGAAAGTCCTTGGTTGTGGGGCAAAAACTGTTCACATTTGAGAGCTTCAAAGCACCATTCTCCCCAGTCTAACATGATTTTGAATATATATTTCAATTGATTTGATACTTCATCCATGTATGTTCCTGCACCAGAACAACCTAAAAATATATAGCTGCTAGATTGGTAGCAATCATAGTAAATTATTTGTAATCTGCACCCCTAAATTCCTAAATGTAATTAATACACTTGACTTCAAAGCACTTCTTCACTTACATACTTATTCTATTTTTGTCAGTGTCTTATTGTGAAAATCTCTTTATTCCCAATCATGTTGACAAGATTATAATTTAAATAAATAAAAATAAAAAGTAGTTTACAATCTTGTTTTTGAGTACTTTGTAGCCATATCTATTTCTATATTTATCCTGAGATATTATATATATTATATGAATATATATACTATATATAGTTTATATTTTATATATATAAACAATAGCCAATATTGAATGAAGGTCTGTGATGTAGCAGTTTCGGCACTAGGTACATTATTTAGGTTACTTGTAATTCTTATAAAAACTGTATCATGGAAATATTTTCAAACTCACTTTACTGCTTAGAAACTAATGTTCTGAAAAGTTAAGCTGCCAAGAACACACATAATTAAATGCTGGAGTTTGCATTTACCTCCAGGTTTGTCTGATTCTGAGGCCTGTGCTTCCTTTTTCACTAAACATCCTTTCCACCAAAATGTTTTAACTGACTTAGAGTAGAGGTTCTTTAAAATGTTGGTCTCTGGATATCTTTTATACTAAAAAAATATTGAGGACCCCCAAAGAATGTCTGATTATGTGGGTATTACATCTATGAATATTTATTGTATGAAAATCAAAACTGGATGTTTAAAATATTTATTTATGTATTTATTCATTCACAAATAAATAATAATCCCATTACATATAACATAAATAGCTTGTTTTGCATGAAAAAATAACTATATTTCGCATAACAAGAAAAATGTAGTGATAAGAATAGCATTATTTTATGTTTTAAAAATCTCTTTACTGTCTGACTTACAAAAGATGCCTGGAATCTCAGATCTGCTTCTGCCACTGAGCTGCAGCATATGTTTCTTTATTGAGGTATATGGACAAAGCAACCCTTACTCAAAGAAGTGTGAGGATTAATAAATATGAGTTAGAAAATGGAGGGGTATATTAATAGCCATTTTGGACAGTTGTAGGTATAACTATATATTTTTTAATACTATACCAAAACTCGACAAGTTACATATCAAGGTTGGGTGCAATGTGAAATATGAAATCATACCAATAAAGTTTACACACTGTTTCATTAAATTCACAGATATATTTTGCATCTTGAATTAATCTTTTGCCTAATTTTGTGATATTATGCATTAGTCATTTGAAAAATATTGGTTTCCTGAGCTTCGCAGATCTTCCAAATATTGATAAATTTATTCATTAATGTTATCATTGATCCTATCAGAAAAGTCATTAGCTATTAGGAAGCAGTTCTGTGCATGGTGGCAGATATAAGTTTTCCACAATTTTAATTTTTGCTTGAAACCTCACATTTGATCAATGGCAAAAACTACTGTCCATTGCTTTATTTGAAGTGACAAGTTCACACAGTTAATTTTATGAGACAATGTCTACTCAATACTCATGTCTTAATAACCATTGTTTTTTACATGTCTTTCAACAGCTTTCAAAAATGACATTCCATTTAAAAAAAAAGTGGCTAGTTCAGCTTGCAACTCAATAGCACGCGTGTTTTCCTTGAGACCACCACTGTGGTTGGTACGCAGCAGAAGTGCTTTGTGCATACCACTTATTTTCACACACAGAACAGTCAACATACACTCAAGATGGAACTTAATGAAATTAATAATTTTCACTACTTCTTTAAGGACATTCTTAGGTAAAGTATCTTTTTTTTCACCTGAGCTTATGTGGCAATGAGTAATGCAATGACTACTATAGTTTGGTGCCATTGCCTTGTTACACATATTAAGACATTGTCAGTTATACTCACTGTTTCATTTATACCATTGGTGCAATTGTCAGCACAATAAAAAAGGCAAACATTACCTTAATTTTTTAATGAAAATAGTTTGACTCTGCACTTAGCCTGAAAAAAGTCTTGGGTACTTCCAGGGATTCACGGACTCCACTTAAAGACCTGCTGATCTAGATCACAGTTTTAGCCAGCTGAACAGAATGTATAAATATTTGCCCTATGCATTTTTTGGTGTCTTCCATTCCAGCATTACATAAATGTCTCTTGAATTTGACCCTTATTTTAGATGGACTGTGAAATTACGTAAAACAAATTCATGTAGTATGGAGATATAAATGCTGTCCTGGTGAGATTTTTTTAGCAATGTGAAAACTTCAGAGCTTCTTCTTCCTCTAAAACCACTTTTTATTTCTATTAAAAGGAATCAGCTTCTATTCGTATGCCCCTTCCTTCTGAAATCATTGCATGCTTTCCCAAATGTAATAAATACTTAACATTTCAAACTGTTGAAATAAGTTTATTTTGTTGTTGTTTCCAGAACAGTTGCTTAGCAAACCTTTGACCAATTTTTTTGATAATGGGCTTAACAATGTTTGTTTTCTTTTTCTCTAAAATTTTTGACAAACATCAACTCAGCCTAAAAGTGAGCAGAATACATAGTTTGACTCATATGGGAAAATAGCTATGGACTTTCTGTTGGCCAAAAAAAAAAAAAAAATAGCTATGGCCTTTCATAGGATTATACAGGCAACAAGAACCAGCATCCATAGAAATCTCTAAAACTTGTCAGATGATGAAAATACATTGAAACCGGTCTTTGCCTGTTGTATTACAGGACCTTACATAAAGAATATATAATTATCTGGTTAATGAAGATTTTGTTGTTTTTCCTGTTCTCTATTCATTCTAACTCAGAATTAGTCCAAAAGGTTTAAGATTTCTTCGCCTTAAATTCCCCTTTTCCTTCTCATCTGGTAAATACTGTTGATAACCAAGGAGGTTTTTGTTGTTGTTGTCATTTTTTTTTTTTTTTTTTTTAGATGGAGTCTTGCTCTGTCGCCAGGCTGGAATACAGTGGCATGATCTCGACTCACTGCAACCTCTGCCTCCCGGGTTCAAGTGATTCTCCTGCCTCAGCCTCCCGAGTAGCTGGGATTACAGGCGCGTGCCACTGCACCCAGCTAATTTTTGTATTTTTAGTAGAGACAGGGTTTCATCATGTTGGCCAGGACAGTCTCGATCTGCCCGCCTCAGCCTCCCAAATTGCTGGGTTTATAGGCATGAGCCACCACACCCAGCCACCAAAGGTATTCATGTAGTTTCTGACCATCCCTCCTCTGCATCACGGTAACAGCTCACTGCAGCCTTGACCTCCTGGGCTCAAGTGACCTGACTTTATTCAGATATACAAATATGCTCCAAAGACTGTGCTCTTCATTAAGATAACCAGACCAACTTCTTACCGGTCTCCTGGCATCAGACTCCACATATTACCTCTTCTTTCCTTTCTTCCCCTTTGCCTCTCCCCCTCTACCTTCTTGACTCCCTCTTTATTTTTTAAAATAATTTTTTAGCATGTTGCAGCCATTGTAAAATTGAAACTTGTCTCTTTTTCATGAAAAATGAAGTTTTTTTGAAATTTTGTCTTAGACTAGTAAAAAACAATAAACTTATACTTTTGAGTTTACTTTTATATCAGATATAAGTTGCAGTGCTAGCTATTTTTCTTGGTTTAGCGAAACTAAGTTCATGCCAAGGTAGTCACTGTCTTCTTTTAGAATTGGCAAAATCTAGCACACTGTTTCTTACACATAGCAGGTGGTCAGTGAATATTCTTTGAATGAATTAAATTTTGAAGGAAAGATATCCAGGTTAAGGAACTCCTTCTCAAAAAAGGAAAGGTAGCAAGAAAAGATGAACATTTGCACAGATGCGTATTTCACATTCAGAAGCAAGTTATTTTCAATTTAATTTAATTTATTTATTTATTGAGACAGGGTCTTGCTCTGTCACCCAGGATGGAGTGCAGTGGCACAATCATGGCTCACTGCAGCCTCAACTTCCTGGGCTCAAGCTATTCTCCTGCCTCAGCCTCCCAAGTAGCTAGTACTATCTGTGCTCATCATCACACACAGCTAATTTTTAATTTTTTATAAAGATGGGCAGGGGGAAGGGTGTCTCATTTTGTTGCCCAGGCTGGTCTCGAACTCTTTGCCTCAAGCGGTCCACCCATCCCAGCCTTTCAAAGTATTGGGATTACAGGCGTGAGCCACCATACCTGGTCAGAGCAATTTATATTTGTGTGCTATGGAATATAACTCAATTCTATATCAGTCTGAGATATATCTGGGAGAGATTTTCATTCGTGTCTGTTCATGTTGTTTACATTTTCAGATTTCCAAGGGGGTAAAAAAAAAAAAGTAAAAACAAAAGGGGAACACATTCGTCTCTAAAACATACACATTTATTACTTTGTCCTACTTATTCAGAACAGATTGGTTGCCAATGCGTAGGAAGCTGCTTCATCTTCATACACGGATTCAACATTCCATTTTCTGAATAACATTCAGACTGACCATACAACAATTCCGTATTTATTTTAATGCGATTTTAAACACCATTACACTCGGCGTCTGAATCTATATCATCCTACAAGTTACCAGAATAATCTTCTCAGTTTGGTTATATACATATACATATACATATACATATACATATACATATACATATACATACACATACTTATACATATAAGTACGTATACACAAATACATGCATATACCCATACACATATATACACATATATTGATATGTATAATATATAGTATTATACATTTATAAAATTTAAACATGTGCAAAGTTAAGCTAAATCAACAAAATAAATGTATTTAAACCAATGCTAAATATTACTTTCTCTAATTGACTATATCTCTCAATAAAATAATCTAAGCTAATTAATTATCTTAGAAATTATCTTTTTTATTATTATTATACTTTAAGTTTTAGGGTACATGTGCACAATGTGCAGGTTAGTTACATATGTATACATGTGCCATGCTGGTGTGCTGCACCCATTAACTCGTTATTTAGCATTAGGTATATCTCCTAATGCTATCCCTCCCCCCTCCCCACCCCACAACAGTCCCCAGAGTGTGATGTTCCCCTTCCTCACAAAAATAACATTGTCTTACAAAAATTATCGTAGAATTATCTTACAAAAATAACATACTCCTCTGGCATTTTTTAAAAAATTGCTTTCAAAGATTAGCAGACTGGGTGAAGGGTGATTCAAGGAGAAATGATCCTCTGTATTATTTATACATGATTTCAAAAGGAATACATTCAATATTCCATGAATTCTCAAACTTGAAGTGGGACAAAATTGCCAGTATTTCATATGGACTTTCTCTTCTTCTCTTTTACCTCAAATCTTTCTTTATACCACACACTTCTATACATTTTCAAATATCACATCTGTTATGTGAGATTTCCCAGTCTCAACCCTGGGAAGATTAATTAATCTCTGTGATGACTTATACACAAATTACATATTTTTACCTTCTCAAATTATATGTTTCTACAAGCATATAAAAATATAGACTATTTATATATCTATGTTGGACCAAACACTTTGGAGAAAAAATTATCTGCATATGTCTCTAAAAGTGTGAATAATTGTATATTCATTTTATCTGCATGCTTAAGATATACATATTTATGTATACATATGAACAAACATAGTACTTTGTACTTGCCTCAAATACAGTAATTATTCATGTTACATATCAATTTTTATCATATAGAAATCCATGATTCTAAGTTCCTAGATGTAAATTAAAATAGTCTTTCTATTTTCTACAGTCACAGTTTCTAAAATAGTTTCCTACACAGAATAGGTACCAACAAATGTTTATTGCATAGAGTTGCCAACTTCATTTTGCATTGCAAACACATCTCTCCCACGCTTTTAGAAGAACCATTGAATTCTCAAAATCTGAAATTTGAAGCCAAGTCTGTGTTTGCACTCAGCATTTCTTCAGAGTGATGTACTCAGTTTCTTGTATGGTATTCATGTGTTGTCTTTTTTATCAAGCCCATTTTGTTCATATAAATAGATCTACAAATTAGCATAAAAAAGAAAATTTCACTGATTTTTCTGAATCTAGATGGCTTGACCCTACAGGTCAAAATGGATATCTCTCTGTTCTAGATGGAATCTGGGGACATCTGGTGTTTCCTTGACCCCCATGACCACTCTGAACATGGAGAGTGGCACTGTTCACTATCCCAATGTACTCTCCCATATTGGCTTCCGTGGCACCACTGTCTCTCATTCTTAGACTCTCTTGGTACACATTTCTTATTTGTTCCTTCTCAGTCACCTCTGCTTTTATCCAGCCCTTTAGCGTTGGTCACAGTAAGTACTCTAGTTGTGCCCTTCTCATGTACTCCCATAACTGCATCAACTCTCTATTAACCATGGGCTGAGTCTTTGCTCTCCTGCATTACAGAAGCTTCTCCTGCATTACAACAGCATCTGCTGTTGCATACTTTGTCAGTGTTACAAATAACAAATTCTGATGTTTTTTCAGTATTTTGATATAATATAATACCTTTTAGTTTGGGTTTTTTTAAAATAAATGCTAGAACTGAGTTGCTGACATGTAAGTATACAAAAGTCCATGGGAACTCAACAATAGCTTAGATATGTGTAGGGAGATTTATGTAATACAAAATATCTTTGTGAATTTTTTTTATAAATCCTCTTCTAACACTCTTTATGATAATAATAATAAAATACTTTCGGAACAACTAAGAACATTTTGTTTTGTGATAAGAAGTAAAAGAAAAAAAACAATAATGAATAATCACCTATATCGTTACAATCTTACAAATAATTTTAATTCAATGTGATTCAGAAACTAGACTTTGAAAACTCCACTGGAAGGTGGGCACAGTGGTTAATACCTGTAATCTCAGCACTTTGGGAGGCTGAGGTGGGTGGATCACTTGAGGCCAGGAGTTCAAGACCAACCTGGGCAACATGATAAAACCCTGTCTCTACTAAAATAATAAAATACAGAAATTAGCTGGGTTTGGTGGTGCACCCTGTAATCCTAGCTACTCGGGGGGCTGAGGCACAAGAATTGCTTGAATCCAGGAGGCAGAGGTTGCAGGGAGCCGAGAACGCCCCACTGCCCTCCAGCCTGCGTGACAGAGTGAGACTCTGTCTCAAAAACAAACAAATAAACAAAAATCTCCACTTATATCTCAGTTTTCTTCTTAATTGAGGAAGGAAAGATTTGGTAAGTGATAGTAGTGACATTTATTATATGGTTGAGAGATAAGATGAAAAGGCAAAAAACAAGGATTGGTTTCAAAAATATTTACCGTGTTAATAATAAGTATTTTGGAAGTTTATAGTAGACACCTTAACATAATAGAGAACACTTATAGACAGTTAATTAATAATGCCTGGCACACAGTCGGTATGAAATCTTTAGATTTTCAACAAAAGTATAAAGAAGAGTTTAAATTTTCTTTGTCTTTCTATTAAGCATTTCCAAAGTTATTTTGTGGCCAGAGAGTTTGGTCTGATATTAAATTTTGTTGATCTTTGAGATTTCTTGTGTGCCATTTGTGCCAGTTACATTGTAATACCTGGTCCAGGTATATTTTAAATAAATCTATATTTTTAATTTGATGAATGCTTCATCTCACATGATAATTAAGTCAGATTTTTAATGTACTTCATCAAATCATCTACATTCTTGCTAACTTTTTGAAAAGCTATATAGAGAAATAATTGACGTGCAGTAAAATTCACATCATGTAGAATTTACTAAATTTCATAAGCTTTGACATGTACACACCATGAAATTATCACCATGATCAAGATAATGAATATATCTATTACCCCTAAAAGTTTTCCTGAACCACTTTGTAATTCATCCCTGCCTTCCCCTTCTGCTTTAAAGCAACCACTGGTCTGCTTTCTGTCACTATAAATTAATTGACATTTTTCAGTTTTAAGTAAATGGAGTCATACAGTAGGTACTCTTTTTCATCTGGCTTCTTTTGATCATAGTAACCATTCTGAGATCCATTCATGGCATTGAAGTGTATAAATAATGCATTCCTTAATATTGCTGAGTAGTATTTCACAATTTGTTTATCCATTCACCTGTTGATGGACATTTGGATTGTTTCCAGATTTTGGTTATTAAAATAACCTACAATGAACATTTGTGTGAAAGTATTTGAATGGATGTATGCCTTCATTTCGGGGCAAATACATAGACGTGGAATGGCAGTATCATATAGCTTATGCATGTATAACTTTTTAACAAAACCGCTGAACAGTTTTCCAGTACGATTGCATCATTTCATATTCCCTCCAACAGAGTAAAAGAGTTCCAGTTGTTCCACATACTTGCCTGTCATTGGTATCGTCAGGCTTCTTAATTTTAGCCATTTTACTGGTGAAGAGTTGTAGATCATTGCGATTTTAATTTGTATTTCCCTAATGACTAATCATGTTGAACTTCTTATCATGGCTTACTTTCAATGTGTATATCTTCCTTGGTAAAATCTTTTGCACATTTTGTGTTAGGTGTTTTATTTTCTTATTGAGTTTTGAGAGTTCTTTATTTATTACTTATACAAGTATTTTATAATATATATGCTTTGCAAATATTTTTTCCCCAGACTTTGGCTAATGTTTTCATTATCTTAACAGTGAATATCAAAGAACAACAAAAAAAAAGTAATTTAGATAAAGTCCAGTTCAATTATTTTTTTACCTTATGCTGTTATACGCAAACTACTGTCGTCTAAACCAAGGTTACGCAATTGTATCCTGTTTTCTTCTAAAAGTTTTATAGCTGTAGATTATATATTTAGTTTTGTCGTTTACTTTGAATTAATTTTTGTATATGGTTGAGGTATGAATTCAAGTTTTTGTTTTTTTACATAGAATTTCTGGGTATTCTAACAACACTTGTGAAAAGTTAGCCTTTCTCCATTTAATTACCTTTACAACTTTGTGGAAAAATAGGGATGTATATATGTGTGTGGATCATTTTTCTGGACTCCCTATTTTGTTTAATTAATCTATTTGTCTATATTTGTGGCAATACTACACTGTCTTAATTATTGTATAATACCACCATCGTCGGATTAGCACTGTAGGAAGTGTGCACTGTAAGAAGACTTGAAATCAGGGAGTTTTTGTACTCCAACTTCTTTTTTAAGGGTCTCTGCTGCTGAGGCTCCAGTACAGTGGTGCGATTTGATCATAGCTCACTGTAGCCTTGAACTCTGGGCTCAAGGAATCCTCCCACCTCATCCTCAACAGTAGCTAGGAGTACAGGCATGTATTACCCTGCCAATTAATTTTTAAAATGTATATTAAAAATTATTTAAATATACAAATATGTTATTTTAAAATAAATTATTATATATTATATAAATAATAAATTTATTTTAAACTTTATTTAAATTAATACATTTCCAATTACTTAAGTCTTCAATTTTTCTTTTCTTTAATTTTTTTTTGTTTTTTATGGTTTTTTAAATTTTTCTTTTAATTTTACTTTGAGTTCCAGAATACAAGTACAGAACATGCAGCTTTGTTACATAGGTACATGTGTGCCTTGGTGGTTTGCTGTACCTATCAGCCCATCATCTACGTTTTAAGACCCGCATGCTTAACTGTTTGTCCTAATGCTCTCCCTCCCATCATCCCCAACCCCCTGATTGGCCCCAGTGTGTGTTGTCCCCTCCCTGTGTCTATGTGTTCTCATTGTTCAACTGCCAGTTGTGAGTGAGAATATGTGGTGTTTGGTTTTCTGTTCCTGTGTTAGTTTGCTGAGAATGATGGCTTCCAGCTTCATCCATGTCCCTGCAAAGGACATGATCTCATTCCTTTTTATGGCTGCATAGTATTCCATGGTATATATGTACCACATTTTCTTTATCCAGTCTATCATTGATGGACATTTGGGTTGGTTCCATGTCTTTGCTATTGTAAATAGTGCTGCAATAAACATACCTGTGCATGTGTCTTTATAGTAGAATGATTTACATTCCTTTGGCTATATACCCAGTAATGGGATTGATGGGTCAAATGGTATTTCTGGTTCTAGGTCCTTGAGTAATTGCCACACTGTCTTCCACAATGGTTGAACTAATTTAGATTCCCACCAACAGTGTAAAAGTGTTCCTGTTTTTCCACAGCCTCACAAGCATCTATTGTTTCTTGACTTTTTAATAATTGCCATTCTGACTGGCATGAGATGGTATCTCATTGTGGTTGTGATTTCCATTTCTCTTATAATCAGTGATATTGAGCTTTTTTCCATATGTTTGTTGGCTGTATAAATGTCTTCTTTTGAGAAGTGTCTGTTCATATCTTTGCCCACTTTTGGATGGGGTTTTTTTTTTTCTTGTAAATTTGTTTAAGTTCCTTGTAGATTGTGGATATTAGATCTTTGTCAGATGGATAGATTGCTAAAATTTTCTCCCATTCTGTAGGTAACCTGTTCACTTAGATGATAATTTCTTTTGCTGTGCTGAAGCTCTTTAGTTCAATTAGATCCCATTTGTCAATTTTGGCTTTTGTTGCAATTGCTTTTGGTGTTTTTGTCATGAAGTCTTTGCCCATGCCTATGTCCTGAATGGTATTGACTTTGATTTCTTCTAGGGTTTTTATGGTTTGGAGTTTTACATTTAGGACTTTGATCCATCTCGAGTTAATTTTTGTATAAGGCATAAGAAAAGGGTTCAGTTTTAGTTTTCTGCATATGGCTAGCCAGCTTTCCCAGCACCATTTATTAAATAGGGAATCCTTTCTCCCATTGATTGTTTTTGTCAGGTTTTGTCGAAGATGGTTGTAGATGTGTGGTGTTATTTCTGAGGAATCTGTTCTGTTCCATTGGTCTAGATGTCTGTTTGGTACAATTGCCATGCTGTTTTGGTTACTGTAGCCTTGTAGTATAGTTTGAAGTCAGGTAGTGTGATGCCTCCAGCTTTGTTCTTTCTGCTTAGGATTGTCTCAGCTATATTGGGCTCTTCTTTGGTTCGATATGAAATTTAAAGTAGTTTTTTCTAATTCTGTGAAGAATGTCGATGGTAGTTTGATGGGAATAGCATTTAATCTATAAATTACTTTGGTCAGTATGGTCATTTTCACAATATTGATTATTCCTATTCCATAAGAATGGATTTTTTTTTCATTGTTTCTGTCATCTCTTATTTCCTTGAACAATGGTTTGTACTTCTCCTCGAAGAGGTCCTTCACATCCCTTGTTAGCTGTATTCCTAGGTATTTTATTCTCTTTGTAGCAATTGTGAATAGGAGTTCATTCATGATTTGGCTCTCTGCTTCTCTATTGTTGGTGTATAGGAATGTTTGTGATTTTTGCACATTGAATTTGTATCCTGATACTTTGCTGAAGTTGCTCATCAGCTTAAGAAGTTTGGGCTGAGGTGATGGGGCTTTCTAAATATAGAACCATATCATCTGCAAACAGAGACAATTTGACTTCCTCCCTTCCTATTTGAATATCCTTTATTTCTTTCTCTTGCCTGATTGCCCTGGCCAAAACTTCCAATGCTATGTTGAATAAGAGTGAGAGAGGGCATCCTTGTCTTGTGCTGGTTTTCAAAGGGAATGCTTCCAGATTTTGCCCATTCAGTGTGATATTTGCTATGGATTTGTCATAAATAGTTCTTATTATTTTGAGATATGTTCCATCAACACCTAGTTTATTGAGAGTTTTTAACATGAAGAGATGTTGAGTTTTATCGAAGGCCTTTTCTGCATATATTGAGGTGATTGTGTGGTTTTTGTTATGGGTTCTGTTTATGTGATGGGTTACTTTTATTGATTTCCATATTTTGAACTAGGCTTGCATCCTACGGATGAAGCCGACTTGATCGTGTGGATAAACTTTTTGATGTGCTGCTGGATTCGGTTTGCCAGTATTTTATTGAAGATTTTCCCATTGATGTTCATCTGGGATATTAGCCTGAAATTTGTTGTTGTTGTGTCTCTGCCAGGTTTTGGTATCAGGATGATGCTGGCCTTATAAATTGAGTTAGGGATGAGTCCCTCCTTTTCAATTGTTTGGAATAGTTTCAGAAGGAATGGTACCAGCTCCTCTTGGTATCTCTGGTAGAATTTGGCTGTGAATCCGTCTGGTCCTGGGCTTTTTTTGGTTGGTAGGCTATTAATTACTGCCTCAGTTTCAGAACTTGTTATTGGTCTATTCAAGGATTTGACCTCTTCCTAGTTTAGTCTTGGGAAGGTGTATGTGTCTAGGAGTTTATCCATTTTTTTTAGACTTTCTAGTTTATTTGCATAGATGTGTTTATAGTATTCTCTGAGGGCAGTTTGTATTTCTGTGGGGTAAGGGGTGACATCCCCTTTTTCATCTTTTATTTTGTCTATTTGATTCTTCTCCCTTTTCTTCTTTATTAGTCTAGCTAATGGTATGTTTTGTTAATTTTTTTTTAAAAAAACAGCTCCTGGATTCATTGATTTTTTGAAGGGTTTTTCATGTCTCTATCTCCTTCAGTTTTGCTCTGATCTTAGTTACTTCTTGTCTTCTGCTAGCTTTTGGATTTGTTTGCTCTTGCTTCTCTAGCTCTTTTAATTGTGATGTTAGGGTGTCAATTTGAGATCTTTCTAGCTTTCTGATGTGGGCATTTAGTGCTATAAATTTCCCTCTTAACACTGCTTTAGCTGTGTCCCAGAGACTCTGGTTCATTGTCTCTTTGTTCTCATTGGTTTCAAAGAACTTCTTGATTTCTGCCTTAATTTCATTATTTACCCAGGAGCCATTCAGGAGCAGGTTGTTCAATTTCCATGCAGTTGTGTGGTTTTGGGTGAGTTTCTTAATCCTGAGTTCTAATTTGATCGCACTGTGGTCTGAGAGATTGTTTGTTATGATTTCAGTTTTTTTTTGCATTTGCTGAGGAGTGTTTTACTTCCAATTATGTGGTCAATTTTAGAATAAGTGCCATATGGCACTGAGAAGAACGTATATTCTGTTGATTTGGGGTGGAGAGTTCTGTAGATGTCTATTAGGTCCACTTGATCCAGAGATGAGCTCAAGTCCTGAATATCCTTGTTAATTTTCCGTCTTACTTATCTGTCTAATATTGACAGTGGGGTCTTAAAGTCTCCCACTATTATTGTGTGGGAGTCTAAGTCTCTTTGTAGGTGTCTAAGAACTTGTTTTATGAATCTGGATACTCTTGTATTGGGTGTATATATATTTAGGACAGTTAGCTTGCTCTTCTTGCTGAATCGATCCCTTTACAATTATGTAATGCCCTTCTTTGTCTTTTGGATCTTTGCTGGTTTAAAGTCGGTTTTGTCAATGACTAGCATTGTAACCCCTGCTTTTTTTTTTCTTTCCATTTGCTTGGTGAATTTTCCTTTGTCTATTTTGAGCCAATGTGTGCCTTTGCACGTGAGATGCATCTCCTGAATACAGCTCACCAATGAGTCTTGACTCTATCGAATCTGCCAGTCTGTATCTTTCAATTGGGGGATTTAGCGCATTTACATATAAGGTGAATATAGTTGTGTGAATTTGATCCTGTCATCGTGATCCTAACTGGTTATTTTGCACACTAGTTGATTCAGTTTCATCATAGTGTCATTGGTCTTTATATTTTGGTGTGTTTTTGCCGTGGCTGGTACTGGTTTTTCCCTTCCATATTTAGCTCCTTCAGGAGCTCTTGCAAGGCAGGCCTGCTGGTGACAAAATCCCTCAGCATTTGCTTGTCTGGAAAGAATGTTATTTCTCCTCTGCTTAGGAAGCTTAGTTAGGCTGCATATGAAATTCTGGGCTGAAAATTCTTTTCTTTTGGTCCCTACTCTTTTCTGGCTTGTAGGGTTTCTGCTGCGAGATCTGCTGTTAGTCTGATGGGCTTCCCTTTGTAGGTGACGTGACCTTTCTCTCTGGCCACCTTTACCATTTTTGCCTTCATTCTGACCTTGGAGAACCTGAGGATTATGTGTCTTGGGGTTGATTTTTCTCGTAGCATATCTTAGTGGTGTTCTCTGTATTCTTAAATTTTAACGTTGGCCTGTCTTACTAGGTTAGGGAAGTTCTCCTGGACAATATCCGAAGAGTGTTTTCTAACTTGGTTCCATTCTCCCTGTCTCTTTTTTTTTTTTTTTTTTTTTTTGAGGTGGAGTCTGGGAGTCTGGCTCTGTCGCCCAGGCTGGAGTGCAGTGGCGCGATCTTGGCTCACTGCAAGCTCCACCTCCAGGGTTCATGGCATTCTCCTGCCTCAGCCTCCCGAGTAGCTGGGAATACAGGCACCTGCCACCACGCCCAGCTAATTTTTTTTTTTTTTTGTATTTTTAGTAAAGATGGGGTTTCACCGTGTTAGCCAGGGTGTTCTCAATCTCCTGACCTCGTGATCCACCCGCCTCAGCCTCCCAAAGTGCTGGGATTACAAGCATGAGCCACTGCTCCTGGCCTACCCCATCTCTTTCAGGTTCTCCAATCAATCGTAGGTTTGGTCTTTTTACACAGTCTCATATTTTTCGGAGGTTTTGTTTATTCCTTTTCATTCTTTTTTCCTCTAATTTTGTCTGCATGTCTTATTTCAGCAAGATGATCTTCAAACTCTGATATCCTTTCTTCCACTTGTTTGATTCAGCTATTGATACTTGTGTATGCCTCACAAAGTTCTCGTGCTGTGTTTTTCAGCCCCATCAGGTAATTTATGTTCTGCTATAAACTGGTTATTCTAGTTAGCAGCTCCTGTAACCTTTTATCAGTTCTTAGCTTCTTTGCATTGGGTTAGAACATGCTCCTTTAGCTCAGCGGAGTTTGTTATTATCCACTTCCTGAAGCCTACTTCTGTCAATTCATCCATCTCATCCTCCATCCAGTTCTGTCGCCTTGCTGGAGATGTGTTATGATCATATGGAAGAGAAGAGGCACTCTGGCCTTTTGGGTTTTCAGTGTTTTTTTAATTGATTCTCATCTTCATGAGTTTGTCTAGTATCAATCTTTGAGGTTGCTGACCCTTAGATGGGGTTTTGTGGGGCCTTTTTTTGTTGATGCTGTTATTGTTGCTGTTTGTTTTTCTTGCAATGGTCAGGCCCCTCTTCTGTAGAGCTGCTGCAGTTTGCTGGGGGTTCACTTCAGGCCCTATTCATCTGATTTGCTCCCACACCTGGAGATGTCACTCAAGGAGGCAGGTTGGAGAACAGTAAAGATGGATGCCTACTCCTTCCTCTGGGATCTCTGACCTTGAGGGGCACTGACCTGTTGCCAGTAGGAATGGTCTTGTATAGGGTGTCTGACAACCCCTTTTGGAGGGTCTCACCCAGTTGGGTGGCACAGGGAGCAGGACCCGTTTAACAAATCACTTTGACTGTCCCTTGGTGGAAGGGATGTGCTTTGCTGGGGGGAAACACACTCGTCTGCACTCCCCGGATGCCTCAGAATTAGCAAGAGGAAAGATTAAGTCTGTTTGTCTGCAGAGACTGTGGCCACCCCTCTCCCTAAGGGCTCAGGCTCACGGAGATCAGAGTTCTGACCTTGAGCCCCTGACTGGAGTTGCTGGAGTTCCCGTAGGGAGGCCCAGCGCAGTGAAGAGGGATGGGTCAGTGTCAGGCCTGAATAGGCACTCTGGCTGCAGTCTGCCACAGCTGGTGTGTTTGGCTGTTGGTGATAGCTCTTGGAACCAAGCCATCCAGCTTCCCTGGCTCCAGTAGGAAAAAAGGGTGGCCTGGAGCCTATAGAAATGGCTGCCACCCTTCCCCCACCCTGGGAGCTTGTTGTGTTAGGCAACTACCAGTCCCAGTGTTGGCTGTCGCCTCTCTTCCAAGGAGCTCAAAAGGCTTAGACAGCAGGCAGCCACAGCTCTGGTGCTGGCTGCCCCTCCCCCTGGGAGCTTGGTAGGCTTAAGCAGATTCTAGCTGAGTGGCTGTTGAGAATCTGCTCTGCTCTGTGGCTGGGACCCTAGGCCCTGGTGGTGTGGGCTCACAAGTGAGGTCTTCAGATCTGTGGGTTGCACAGTTCCATATAAAAAGCACATTTTCCCAGGCTGGGTAGCATGCTCACTCACCACCTCCCTTGGCTTGGGGGGTGGGGGCTCCCCTGCCCTGTGTGGCTCTCAGGTGGACAGCCACATCACACTGGCTCTTCCTTCCTCTCTGTGGGTCACACCAGCTGCATAGTCCGTTCTGATGACAGAACCTGGATACTTCAGGTGCCTGTGCAGGATTTGCATGCTGTTATGGTTCTTTTCGATGAGATCCTCCAATCACGCTGCTTCCAGTTGGCCCTTAGTCTTCAATTTTCATAAGTGAGGCTTTGAAGTTTTTAGTATGTGTCATAAACATATTTTGTGAGATTTAAACCTAAGTATGTCATAATTTTTATGCTATATAAATGGGGTGTGTTATTAATTTTAATTTCTGATTTAAAAATATTTTTAGTGTATAGATATACAATTGATATTTATATAATGGTCTTTAATTAGTCTTGCTAAACCCATTTAATAATTCTAGTTTTTTAAAAAAAATCCTTTGTATTTTTCTTCATTAAATACAGTTTTAAATATTCCTTTCCAAACTGAATGATTTGTATTTATTTTTCTTGCCTCATTGCATTGGGTAGAATTACCAGAACAATATTGAAATGGAAGTTGTGAAAGCCAGCATCTTTGCATTTTTTATCTTTGAGGCAAAGCACCCAGTCTTTTCCCATTAACTATGATGTTAGCTGTAGGTTTTTCATGAAACTTCACGCAGTTGAAGAAAACGAGGAGGTGTTAGAATTTCAACATATGAATATCAGGGGGACAAACATTCAGACAATAACACTGGCTCTGTGTAAGCACTGGAAATCTAACCTCTAATTCTCTCTCTTGGTTCTGTCTCCAGACTCCGGACATTTTCTTCTACATATACACTTATAATTAATCAGCTGGATATTTAAATGAGACTCTTCAGATTCCCCCAAAATTCAGACTTTGTACAGCTGTCTCCTCTCTAACTCTCTGTGCTATAGACTCTAGCTGTTTTGGAATCTTAAATTCTTGTTCTCAACTCAGGGAGTCCTCTGGGACTCCACCTAGAAGATTCCTCCCTGTGTGTGTTGTCTGGAAACTCTTTTAGAACAAAAAGCTGGGGCAATCATAGGGTTCTACTCATTTTTCCTCCATCGCTCAGGGATCACTGTACTTCTTTACATGATATTCAGTATCCTAGTAATCACCTTTTTCATATATTTTGTCCATTTTTTGGTTATTTCAGGTGGAAATGTAAATCAGTCCATGTTACTCACCTCGGAGAAGCAGAAGTACGATTTACTATTGTTGCTTGCTTACTTACTCTTATCAATTTCTATGAGAGGTATGATTTTCTATGACTTTTCATTTTTCAAAATCTTGAATTTCTATTATAGATTCATGTTTATATATGTGTTATATTTGTTTGTGCAATAACCTCATGATAATTATTTTTCTACTGGTTTCATGTTCCTGAATGACATACTAGTAGTAACAATACCTCAAGCTATAAAGTATATTTTTAAATATATATGATTGTGATTTTTTGAATTTTTTTTCTTTTAATAATTGGATTCTGTTACCCTAAAAAGAATCTAGTTTTCAGGCAAGCTTTTATTTAATCTCTTTTGGCTTTATAGACAGGAATATATTTCTGCTTCCATTTTCCAAAGTGTTTGCTTGTGAAACATAGGATTTGGAAAATCTGAGTACAAAATTATCAGGAAGAAGTAAAAATCTCTGATAATATATCACTTAATCATGATTTCTACATGAATTAATGCTGATCCTAGGCTTCAAGAAAACAAAGATTTTTGTCAGGTTTTAAAATAATACATTGGTGGTGTCATAAACAAGGTTTGTCATAAATATTCATTGAATGAATGAGTAGATAAATGCATAAAGAAATGTAATATTTAATCAATAAGGTAATGATTAATAATGTGGTAAATTGTGAACGGTTATAAATCTAGGTAGCAATCATTTGTGGTGGAAGTGAAATATTTCAAAAAGCAACTTTAGAAATTGTGGTAAAGATAATTGATTTGGCCAGTAGTCAATTTATAATATATATTGGAAATACATTAGTCGTGTTTATAAATAAAACAAATAAAGTTGGCAATTAAAGTTATTGTCTGCCGGCATAATGTGATAGATGCTTGTAGTTCTAGCTACATGGGAGGCCGAAGTGGGAGGATAGCTTGAGGTCAGAAGTTTGAGTCCAGCCTGGATAGCATAGCAAAACCTCATCTCTAGTAAATTTTACAACTATATAAATAAATAAATTTGTTATTTATATAACTTCTACTTTCTTCTTTTCACCAATCTAAATTTTCTAACTGATAGAAATTTGAAGTGTAGGAAAAAAAAGTTTGGTTCTTTCAGCCTTTGATTTTGCTTTGTAAACATATCTATTTGAGCATAGTTGAATTGAATGTGATGGTAAATATAATTGTTTCACATCAATAGGGTTTGGAGAAAAATAACTTCCCACAGTGACATTGCTGAAGTGTCTATGGGGCTCTGTTTCCATCACTGCCAATAAAGACAGTAGGCACTTTAAAAGCAAACATTTCTGTAAGTACATCAAATTAAAGAATTACGTGATGGGACTTTACAGTCTCTTTACAGTGAAGAAACTGAAAGCTTGTCAGTTATCTATAACTTTACAATTATCTAAATACTTGATACTTTGTAAACAGTATAATTGTCTAGTTGATGGTCTTTTTTGGTGTTCATCTTGATACTTAGTATATGAATTCCTTCTTGAAGGAAATATACAGTAAGAGAGGGAGGTAAAGAAAAACAACAAAAAAAGTATACCTATGCCTATTTATACCTATTACTATACCTATTTAGTACATTCATTTAGTAAATATTTACTGAGCACAAATTAGACATAGATATATATTTCTCAATGTTGGGAATTCATCAGTGAACAAAACAATAAATAAATAATATACATAATAATTAAGTTGATTATATAAACATTAAATAATATAGATTATAGGAGGTGACAATTACTGCATAAGTAAACACAGCATGTTAAAGATCAGGAGTGCTGGAAGTAAGAGGGTGGCCAGGGCAGGGCCAAAGAAGGTGATTGTGAAGAAAAGACTGGAAAGCAAAGAGGAAGTGGTTTCCATACATTTACTTATTTATTTCTTTCAATATACTTTTGATATACTCGTTATTTTTCTAAC
This sequence comes from Homo sapiens, assembly GCF_000001405.40. NCBI lineage: Eukaryota > Metazoa > Chordata > Mammalia > Primates > Hominidae > Homo > Homo sapiens. The sequence goes on along the minus strand of NC_000018.10, from coordinate 39,386,570 downwards.
TCATTAATTTTCTGAAATTTAGAAGGTGAGGTTAGAGAGGTTAAGTGACTGTTTAAAGCTCCATGGCTGAAAAACTGCCAAACCATGATGGTCTTAAGTCAGACCGTCTTCAGTATCCTGGCCTCTTACCTTGTTGCTTCACTACGTGTCAAGAAGTAGGATCTATTAGATGTAGTATCTCACCATAAGAAAGGTAGATACAAAGACTAGAAGGAAAGAAGTAACCTTAATCTGCACTTGCATGTGGAAAATGCATATTTTTAAGAGGTAAGAGGTGGAAAGAAAGTAGAACAGGATTTGATGGAAAGGTAGGAGGAAGTGAAAGACTGGATGGAGCTGAGAGAAGTTCACAGAGATGGGACAGTTAAGGAGTATGAGAAAATAATGCATATGTTGATTGTTAAAAACTCATTACTCTTCTTGAAAAGATTACCTTCTAAGCCAGGTGGAGGAAAAAATTAGATTGAAAAGATCTGATAGACAAGACTGTAAGAGATAAGAAAGTACATGCCAGAGGCTTCACTTTTTATTTCCCAAGTCGGATCATGAAAAGTTGGGAAGACTGAAGGAGGCAAACTGAAGGAAAATGAAGGTCAAAACAGTTGTGGGTATTTTGCCATAATAATGTCTTAATAAAGAGGTTAATCACAGGGCGCAGTGGCTCACGCCTGTAATCCCAGCACTTTGGGAGGCCGAGGCGGGCAGATCACCTGAGGTCAGGAGTTTGAGACTAGCCTGACCAACATGGAGAAACCCCGTCTCTATTCAAAATACAAAATTAGCTGGGCGTAGTGGTGCATGCCTGTAGTTCCAGTTACTCTGGAGGCTGAAGCAGGAGAATCGCTTGAACCTGGGAGGTGGAGGTTGCAGTGAGCCGAGATAGCACCATTGCACTCCAGCCTGGGCAACAACAAGAGTGAAACTCTGTCTCAAAAAAAAAAGTTAGTTTATATTTGTATACAAAGGAAGGTATTGGTAGGTAGAAAGAGTAAAGACCATAGGTGGTGTGGAAATTTCTGATGGAGCAGATTCCCTAACTGAATAGACAGTGGTAAAATTATATGAGAGTTACAAATGAATTCTTTATCTTTGGTAAGAAGAGAAGTGGTAGGGCTTCATCTGAATTACATAAAAAAGGGTAAGAAAGGTGAAAATATAAAAAAGAAGTAAATGATTAAGAACATTACCTGAGAAGCAAGGGAAGGTCAATAGGAAGGACAGTGGTCACTCTCTTCACAAGAGCAGCATTTTAAAATAATTTCTACTTACATTTATAAGTTAGATAATATTCCTTCAGGTCCATAAACCATCCACTCAAAGGTGCTGCCCCTTAAATAGCCACTAAAAGTAATTATAAATGCCACAGATTTTCCTCTAACCTGAACTTTACAGAATTCAAGAATTGACCAAAACATGGCTGCCACCTTTCCAATTACCTTATGGGACTGGACATGATAGCAGGCAGTCACAGGACCTTTGACAGACATTTTTTTCATTATGGCTTACAAGATCTATCTTGTTTCTTGACTTGCAGTTACTTCCACTATGAGGGCTTTGTTTTGTTTTGTTTTGTCTTTTTTGTAAATGAGAATTGAAATGTTCAAAATTTTCACCAAGCCATGAAGAATTCTATTTTTCAGCCAAACTCTCTTTTTTTTCCAAGCAGGACACATAAAATTTAATTTCCTGACCTCTTCTGCTGATGTATAGCAGTCATTTTTCCACAACATTAGACTAGGTAATCTATTCTTAGGGGAACCTCGTCAAGCCTGACTGATATTCAGCATTTTTCTTTCTTTTCCCTATTTCATATTTTATTTTTTGCTCTTTTTTCCCCTTCATATTTTCTGCAGTGGAAATATGATAATAGTAATAAAACACCTAGGAAAAAATAGAACGTATTTACCAATCCATGATGCTAAGATGAAGCAAGAGAGAAAGGTCATGTTTTCCATTCCTGAAAGTAAAGTAAAATAATAAATTTGCCTCTTGAGAAAAATCCATGGACTCCACTAGTAACATCCCATCTGTAGATTGTTCGGATAATGATTTCATTTTGGAAGATGAATTTTAGTATCTGCGAAAAGTACTAATATGATGACAGCTTTGAAGACCACTATCTTCTACTAATGCAAAGAAGACACAAGAATACTATTGGGTTTTCTACTGTCCTATCAGAATTAGTCAACACATTTATTTAAGGGGACTTTGAGTATGCCACCTTGTTTTCATGACAAGGCTGAGCACAGCACCAAGAGATTAGAGTAAGCATGTTTTCAATAGTCATGATAATGTTAGGTTCTTCCTGTTTTCTTTCTTTATCTTGTGGCCCATCAAAAAAAGGAACACAGTCAACATGTTCTCATTTTCTCTTTCCACAAACAAGACACTGGACGGTTGTCACATTGGAATAACTTCTACTCACAATTAATTTGTATCTGAATCAAACAACTGAGGTTAGAATGCAATGAGAAAAGCCCGTTCTAATTGCCTAGAGACCTAGGCCAGATTTGTCCAGAAGGTGGTGAGCAATGAACTGGTGCAGTTGGTTGGTACAGAGAGCTCATCTTGTAACATAATAAGCAGCATTAAGCATTAATTGAGAATTTTCTGTGATTGTGCCATTCTAACAGATACAGGGGAATAATTGTACAATTTAGTTGGAGACCTACTTATAAAAAGATAATACAAAGCCATACACTCTCAGCATCAAATGGATGATACTGACAGTAAAAGCTATAGGTCAGGCCAGGCACGGTGGCTCACGCCTGTAATCCCAGCACTTTGGGAGGCCAAGCAGACGGATCAAAAAGTCAGGAGCTCAAGACCAGCCTGGTCAACATGGTGAAATCCTGTCTTTACTAAAAATACAAAAATTAGCTGGGTGTGGAGGCGCACATCTGTAATCCCAGCTACTCAAGAGGCTGAGGCAGCAGACTCACTTGAACCTGGGAGGCAGAGGTTGCAATGAGCAGAGATTGCACCACTGCACTCCGGCCTGGGCGACAAAGCAAGACTCCATCTCAAAAAATAAAAATAAATAAAATATAGGCCAGAGGAGGGAGAGCCCAGCGGGTACCCTGAGGTGGTCAGAAAAGTCCTCAGGGTCTTGAAGAATGTATAAGAATGAGATAAGTGGGATATAAGAGGAGAGGTTTCCTGGACTGACGGAGTGGCACAAGTGAGAGCACAGCAGACCAGCAAGTACAAAGGAAGTAAGTCACGCCACCAATCTGATTGGTCACAATACAGTCCGGCATTATCAAAGTGCCCCCCAATTCCCACTCCATGTACTTCCATATTCAATTAAGATATATGTAGATAAATGTATATCCCATGTAATCTCTTACAATGCAAGTGATTTTTAAATTTCCAGTTATATGAATTGGAGATCCATCTCATTGAATTTCACTCAATTAATTATTTTATTTGGCTTTGTAGTCCAGGTAACATAGTGTGTCTTTTTTTTTTCCTATAAGAATACGTTGAAAACTTTATTATATATAATGCCAAATATTTTGCTTTTATATACATTTAAAAAGGCAGTTAGTATTTCATTAGCTAAATAGAACTATAGCATTTGAAATAATATTAGCCGGGTATGGTGGCTCACGCCTGTAATCCAGCACTTTGGGAGGCAGAGGCAGGCGGATCACGAGGTTAGGAGTTCGAGACCTGCCTGACCAACATGGTGGAACGCTGTCTCTACTAAAAATACAAAAATTAGCTGGCGTGGTGGTGCAAGCCTGTAATCCCAGCTACTCAGGAGGCTGAGGCAGGAGAATAGCTTGAATCTGGGAGGCGGAGGATGCAGTGAGCCGAGATTGTGCCACTCCACTCCAGCCTGGGTGATAGAGCAGGACTCTGTCTCAAAAAAAAAAAAAAAAAAATTACTGGAGTTTACACTGAAATCTATGTAGAGCACTGGCAATATAGAAAACAACTACCCCCAATGTTATATATGGTTTTAAACAAAAGGATTTGGGTTTTAGGGCAAAATTGAGATATTCAGTATACAAAATGCAAATGAAAAGTCAGATGAAGAGTTACACAGAGCAATGTCCAGAAGAGTCTAAACTCAGTAGTTTCTGTCCCCATGAGTTAATGTGCGCCACCCTCTCAGCATGTGAGTATCTTCACCAACTCACAATCTCTCTGAACCCCTAAATTTAGGGTTTTGTGGCAGTTCCATTTTACAGGCATGATTGATTAAATCATTGGCCATTGGTGATTGAATTTCCAGCTCCTCTTACCTCCCCAGAGGTGTGGGATGGTAGGGAGTGAGGCTGAAAGTTCTAAACCTCTATTCATTCTAAACCTCTGGCAACCAGCCTGCATCCTCCAAGAGTTACCTCATTAATATAAACTTAGGTATGGTTGAAAAAGGCTTATTATAAATAATGAAAGGTGGTAATCTCATTTCTATCACTCAGGAAGTTGCAAAGGTCTTAGAAGCTGTGTACATGGAACCAGGGACAAAGACCAAAGACCAAATATATATTTCTTATTTTATCATATCACACAGCTTCTGACTTTTTGGTTTTGGGTTTTTTGTTTTCCTCTCATTTTCTTTTCAAGATTTAAAAAAACTGGACACCTGTGAATCTAAAATAAGTTTTCATCCCCAATCTCTTTCCCTCTTGTCTAATTATCCACATTCTGATATATGTGGCACAAGGCTTCATTTTGGACATGGCAAATTTGAGATGAGATATACTTAATTCAAAAGTGACGAATAAATTTTTTTTTCTTTGAGGTAAGATAACTAAACTGTGATTATTGCTAGAGTAAATGAGAACCGAGTCCAAATATAAGTTGGAAAATAAGAATGAACGGTGCCTGGTATGCTGTAAGCACTCAATAATATTAGTTGAATTACTGAATGAATGAATGAATGAATGAATGAATGAATGAAATTCATCTATAACCCAGTTGCAATTAGTTTTGCTTGCTCCATAGTCCTAAATAACTTCAGAGATTTCCAACAACTGTGTTAACTTCAGAGCTTTTTATACTTCAGCCAGTACCTGAAGTTTTAAACCAATGCAATCTCTAAAGGGACACATGGAGAAACTGAGGCTGAAAGAAGAAATGCTGAATGATAAATTCCTGTCTTTACGGCCAGAGAACAACAAGGCTCAGTGGTGTCAAACTCCCATCTACTGTGTAAACCCAACCAACCAAATGAAAGAGCAGAAACTGTCAGAATGATGCTCTGATAAGGAATAAGAAAGGCTTCTTCAAAAAAAGTCCATTGCTGGAACAAGACAGTTTGTCGAGGGTGGGTGGAAAAGAAGAAATTGCCACATGAAACAGCAGAGCTCTGAGTTTAGATTTAAAAGTCCCCATGGTTGGAAGTGTTTGGGACTTCAATTGGCAATGTATTCCAAAGTACTTTCCTCTGGCTTTGATGAATCGTGGAATTGTCTCCTCGTGTACTCATTACCACTTTAAAAAAAAAAAAAAGGAGATCTGACAATCCCAGCAATCGTCTTTAGCTTCTGTTGTTTTCCATTAGCAACGGGAGCATATTCTTTTAGTGAAACACAAAAGCTGGTATCCCAGGCTACCGCTGCGCCATGTAGCATGCAGGGCGATTCACTCATTCGGAGAGACGCTCAGAAAGGTGGTTAGAGACTGTTTTAGCACTTTATTTGTCCCAATTATCTGTTCCTGCCTATTAGGGTGAATAGAACATCATGGCATTGTTTATCACGGGCTTTATATTTGCTAATAACACTGTTGTTTATTACCGCAAACATGCTGTATGCAGTCAGCTCCGCTTCTGTTAATCCCCACTGCTCCAAGTTCTGTTTTTTTCCTTTATATTTTTTCCTACCCAAGACAAATTAGATCCCACAACAAACTAAGTTTCCCACAGCTTCTGATTGTAAAGATGCCTTCTTGAATTGGGTTTCAGGTTGATTGGTTTCAGGCTGAAAACCCCAAAGAAAATAACAGGGTGATACTTACATGCAGGAATGGCTCTCTAACCATATTTCAAAGGCAAGTGCCTGCCTGGGCATTTCCTTCCAGGTGCTCGCAGCCTGAATTGCTGTAGTTCGTGTAACAGTCAGAGAAAAGAATGCAGCAAATGGTTGCCATTAGATCATTTAGACTTCCCCAAAGTCCTCTTCTTCCATACACTGTTTTACACAAACATATCCAGGGACTCTACATAGCCTGAGGCCTGCTGAATGTGCTTTTAAAAAATGCCCCTCATTTGGGCGTATGGGAAAGATAGTATCACTGTAGTCTATTATTCCCTGGACCACAGAGAAGTGCAAGAATTCTGTGTTGCTTCCTCTGAATAAGGTTGCTACATTTCTTTACTGAGAGCTTTATTTAATAAGCAATTAAGGTAGATGATTAATACCTAACTAGAAGAACAATTTCTCAACTATGCACATAGTAAATTATCTTTTGGGCCATCTCTCCTCCCTCTTGGAAGGTGTTTGTAATATGGGCTACTTAAAGATGTGCAGGTCATGATTAGAATATGGCAGTGAGGAAGATAGATCTTGTTAAACTAGATACAGATGCTACTCGACATATGATGAGGTTACATCCTGATAATCCCATCGCGTTTAAAATATTGTAAGTTCAAAATGCATTTAATACACCTAAGCTATGAAACAGCATAGCTTAGGCTAGCCTACTTTACTGTGTTCAAAATACTTTTATCAGCCTTTAGGTCGGCAAAATCATCAAACGTAAAGGCAATTTTATAGTAAAATGTTAAATATCTCATGTAACTTATTGAACACTGTACTAAAACTAAAAGTGAAAAACAGAATGGTTGTACAGGTACTCAAAATATGGCTCCTACTCAATGGGTATTTCTTTTATTTATTTATTTATTTATTTATTTATTTATTTATTTATTTGAGATGGAGTCTCACTCTGTCGCCCAGGCTGGAGTGCAGTGGCGTGATCTTGGCTCACTGCAACCTCCGCCTCCCGGGTTCAAGCGATTCTCCCACCTTAGCCTCTAGAGTAGCTGGGACTACAGGCGTGTGCCACCATGCCCGGCTAATTTTTTGTATTTTTAGTAGAGACGGGGTTTCACCGTGTTAGCCAGGATGGTCTTGATATCCTGATCTCATGATCCACCCTCCTCGGCCTCCCAAAGTGCTGGGATTACAGGTGTGAGCCATCGTGCCCGGCCCTCAATGGGTATTTCTTTTGTACCATCGTAAAGTCAAACAATCTTAAACTGAGCCAGAGTAAACTGGGGGATCTTCTGTAAATAGATTAATAAGAGAAACCAAAGAGAATATTTTGGAATACTTTGTTGAAAAGTATGTGCTAATTCACTGCAGATAATCAGAGACATTTATGTTTCTAACTGATACTAAAATGTAAGTTAACATGCTTGGGAAATACATGTTTAGGTTTTTTTTTTTTTTTTTTTTGGAATTTGCCACAGAAACATATGTTTATAGAAGACCAAAGGAGATCACTATGGAAGTGAAAAAAAATCTGTTTTTTGATTCAGTGTCTTTTTCGCATTAGAATCTTCATTAAGTTACTTAGTATTTTTGGGTTTCAGTTTCCTCATTGTCAAAAAGGGGACAAAAACCATCTTATAAGATTGTGCTAATTAGAAATAACTAATAATGATTAGAAATTTATAAATATTTGAGTCTTAGTAGAAGCCTTCAGTGGACATTTTCATCTTACATACTTGAAATGGAGATGTGCGAACTGAGTAATATTTCTACTAAACTAGCTGTCTTAACAGCAAGAGGCAAGTCCAACAATATACATTTAAATATAATCTGTTTTACCAGCTTGAGAAGGTGAAACAGAATACTTTTTAAAGCTCAGGTTAATGAAGGACAATAAGAATTTCTTCATGAACAAAAGAAATAATACAAGAAGGAAACAAGAAAGTAAGGTGCAATTCCAAAGTATTGGTCATGAGGCAATGGCCTTTTTAAAAGTTAGGAGAGTGTTGTAATTTGAAGTAGCTTGGTTAGAATACCCCATCCACAGAGAAAATTGATAAAATTGGAAAACAATATTTAACAACAATGAATTGTGGAACTTTGGAGGATATATACTCTTGAAATATTGACTGCAGTAGGTTAGGATTTGTGAATTTGAAGCACTTTGCCTGAGAGCACTTCTGGTTAGCAGGCCCCAGAGCCTGAAAAACAAGGTATCAGGCAGCAGAGTTTAAAGATGGTGACATAGTCAGAAAGTTAGTAGTGGACTCCTTCAAGGCAAAAAGCTGAAGAAATTAGTCTGAAAATATGAATATAAAAATCTATCCATACCCTTGGTTGACAATTAAACTATAATGTGAGAAAGGAGGACAATGTCTTAAGAACTTAAAGACAAAAGAGAAGCTGGAAAGTACAATAATTATATAGAGATTCAGTAGGCAGAGTTTGGAGTTTGAATCCAGAAGTTTAATTTTTTTTGCAACACAGAAATCATTCTTCAGAGGAAGATTAGAGAATTCAGAGCTTCTGTATAATGTACAGAATCCAAAAAGAGAAATTAAACAAAACAACAACAACACACATAAACTCACAAAAAACACTATGCATGTAAGGAAAATAAGAAAATGTGACTTATATTTAGGAAAAAAGAAGTCATCAAATGAAATTGACTCCAAGATCACCCAGATGCTAAAATTAGCAGAAAATGACATTAAATCATCTGTTATTAATATGACTAAAAGCTTTAAGAATTATGTGTAAATGATGAGAAAAAATGAAAATTCCCAACATAGAAATTGGTTGAAACTACAAAAAAAGAATCAAATAGAAATTCCACAGTGGAAAATATCATAGCTAAAATATCAAATTAATTGTATGACATTAAAAGTAGATTGGAAATGACAAATAAGGAATAAATGTACTTGAAATTAGATTAATGAATTTACTTAATTTGAAAAAGAAAGAGAGAAAAGACTGAAGATAAATATCAGACTTGCAGAAACCTATAGGATAATAATAAGTAGTCTAGCATATGTGTAACTGAAGTTTCAGAAGAAAACAAAGAAAAAATAAAACAATAAAAATTTTGAAAAAAAAGGCTGAAAATTTACCAAATTTGATGAAACTCACCAATTTCCAGATCCAAGAGGCTTAATAAACCCCTAGCATGAGAAATACAAAGAAAATCACATGTGAGCCCATCAAAGCCAAATTTCTGAAATCCAAATATAAGAAAAACCTTGAGATTAGTTATAGAAAATGATAACTTACATAAGGGAAACCAAGCAAATGATTGCTGATCCTCATGGTTAAAAAGGGAGACCTGAACACTGTGGAGGACCTTTAAAATATAGAAAGAAGGTGGAAATAAAGCAGATAGCCCACAATTATATGCACAGATGAAAACCCTTCTAAAATAATACTGAAATGAATACATTTTCAATTAAAGTGAAACTAGCCCTCAAAAATGAAGATGAAATAAAGACGCTTTTCAAATAGACAAAACCTATAGGCATCATCAGCTGTTGTTCACATAACACACAGAAGAGCACAAGCTGAAGACTTGAATCTAAAGGAAGCAACAATGATCACTGAAAATGATAAATTGTAATAAATATAATATTTTTAAAATTATTCTTCTAAGCTATTTGAACAAATATGACAGAGCAAACAGTGCAACACTGTGTTAAAACACTATAAACATATTAATGTATTGTATATGGTAACACCACAAAGAACAGGGATGGTAAATAGAAATATGGTATTGAAAATTCTCATGTATCACATGAAAAAGTATTATCCAATTCTGAATAGGATTAGTATAAGTTAAAAAATACTTAAGTTTTGGAGAAATGACTTAAAATTCAAAGAGCTAAAGAAATATAATTAAACCATAAAGAAGTCAAACTGTAATATTATTATTTATTTATTTTTTATTTTTTTGAGATAGAGTTTCATTCTGTCACCCAGGCTGGAGTGCAATGGTGCGATCTCGGCTCACTGCAACCTCTGCCTCCTGGGTTCAAGCGATTCTCCTGCCTCAGCCCCCTGAATAGCTGGGACTACAGGCTCATGCCACCATGCCCAGCTACTTTTTGTATTTTGAGTAGAGACCAGGTTTCACCATGTTGGCCAGGCTGGTCAAACTGTAATATTAAAAAAAAAAAAGATTTTTAAAAGAGACAGAAATGAAAGGAATTAAAAAATAGGTAGTTACTTCTGGTTTGTGGTTTCACATGTAAGGAGTTTAGAAGTCACGACTTCATCCTAAAAGCAAGTGAAACACTGAACGAATTACAACTTCATAGAACCAAAAGAGAAGCGAGGTCACAGAGCAAGCTGCTGCTTCTTAAATTGGAGAGACAGACAGGCTGGTAAATAAAATTAAAACATACCTGAGCAGAAACCTTTATGGGAACCAGTTCTATAGTAGTAAAACCTGAACTGTAATTGATTAATTACTGAAGCCTAGGTGTGAACAAATCTGAATTAAAAACTTCAGGAGGCTGGGCATGGTGGGTCACACCTATAATCCCAGCACTGTGGGAGGCCAAGGCAGGCAGATTACTTGATACCAGGAGTTCAAGACCAGCCTGGACTACATGGTGAAAACCCGTCTGTACTAAAAATACAAAAAATTAGTCGGGCGTGGTTGCCCTTGCCTGTAGTCCCAGCTACCTGGGAGGCTGAGGTGGGAGAATCACTTGAGCACAGGAGGAGGAGGTTGCAGTGAGCAGAGGTCATGACACTGAACTCCAGCCTAGGTGACAGAGTGAGACCCTATCTCAAACAAAACAAAACAAAACTTCAGGGAAACCCAGTCACAGGGAGAGGGGAGACATATGCTTTTGTGAGTTTTGCCTCCAAGAGATCAATAACATTCTCATAGTAAATAGTAGAGAATAATCCCCTGCTCTGGCAGGGGGAGGGAAAAAGAAACCTTTTCAAAATATACCAGAGTGCTATATTTTATCTTAACAAGGTCTTCCCTCAGGAAAAACAAGTTAACCAGGGCCTAACTTGGTGGGATTTTATCTAACTGACCTGGAGAAAGGGAAATAAACTCCAGCTCACTTCAGTCATTCTGTTCCACCTGAGAAGGAAACAACAACAGCAACAACAACAACAAAACTGAGAAACACCTGTGAAGTTCACACTCCAGAGGCGTAGGCACACTAAAAATCAGACCTCATCATGAGACTATAAAACACATCCCCTGCCCCTACACTTCACCACCACATTATTAAAGGCATATTTATAGCAGTTCTTTTTACTTGGTACATCATGTCTGCTATCAAGAAAAAAAAATTACAAGGCATACTAAAAAGCCAAAACCACAATTTGAAGAGACAGAGTAAGAATCAAAACCAGACGTGGCAAGAATGTTGGAATTATTAGAGAGGAAAGTTTAAACAACTATGATTACTATATTAAGGGCTGTAATGGATAAAGTAGACAGCCTGAAAGGATAGGCAATGTAAACAGAGAGATAGAAATCCTAAGTAAGAACTAAAATACTAGAGAGAGAGAGAGAGAGAGAGAGATACTGTAATAGAAATAAAGAATATCTTTGATGAGTCTATTAATAGACTGAGCACAGCTGATAAAAGAATCTCTGAGAATGATTATATACTCATAGAAACCCCCCAAACTGAAAAGCAAAGAGAGTAAAGACTTAAAAAACAAGCAAACAACAACATATCCATGAACAATGGAACAACTATCAAAAGGTATAACTTACATATACTGGGAATATCAAAATGAAAAGAAAGAGACAGAGAAACAGAATAAATATTTGAAGCAACCGTGACTGAGACTTCCTCTAAATTGATGCCCGACACCGAAGGGAAGATCCAGGAAATTCAGGTAATACCAAGCAGGATAAATGCCAAACAAACAAACAAACAAAAACAAACAAGCCCACTTTAGCATACCATTTCAAAGTTAAAAAAGAAAATCAAAGAGTAAATCCTGAAAGAAGCTAGAGGGGCAGACAAACAAAAGCAAACAAAATCTTATCTATAGAGGAAAAAAAGATAAGAATTACTAGCAACTGTTTCCCAAAACCCATCCAAGCAAGAGACTGGAGTGGAATAAACAAAATGTTGTGAGAAAAAGAAAAAAAAAGCGACCACCACCAAATTTGTTGACAGTAGGCCTGCCTTGTAAAACATGTTAAAAGAAGTTCTTTTAGAGAGATGACATATAATATAGGTTCAAAATTGGTCTATGTAACGAAAGGAAGAGCATTAAAGAAGGAACAAGTAGGGTAAAATTAAAAACTTTATTGTTTTTAAATTTTAAATTGATCTAACATATAATAGTTTGCTCAAAATAATCATAGTAACAATACATTTAATTACATGTTTATTTATAATATATTTGCTTATGTATACATAAAACTAATGATGGAAATGATACAAGAAAATGGCAGGGAGGAATTGTAATTATTTTGTTGTAAATTATGCTACTCATGAAGTGGTACAGTGTTATTTGGAAGTGGGCTTGAATTAATTGCAAATATATATTGCAATTTCTGGGTAGCCTCCCAAAAAGTTAAAAGAGAATAACTGATATGCTTAGACAAGAGGAAAAAAAAATCATATAAAATACTCAATGAAAATTCCAAAAGGCAAAAGATGCATACAAAAACAGAAACAAATAAAAGGGCAGCATATAGAATACAGTAACAAATGTGGTAGATATTAACCCCATTAAACAAATAATAATTTTGAATATCAATGGCCTAAATGTATTTTCATTGTAATATCAATTAAAAGACTGAGATTGTCAGAGTGGATCAAAGATCAAGAGGCAACTATGTGTTGTCTACAAAAAAACCACTTACAATCTAAATACATATATAGATTAAAAGACAAATAAGAAAAAAATGAATGAAATAACGACATGGTAAATCTATATCCAATCATATAAATAATTACATTAAATATAAGTGGACCAAACATGCCCATTAAGTACAGAGATAATCATATTAAATAATAATTTAAAACACAAACACAGATCCATCTATGTACTATTTAAAAGAAGACTATTTTAAATACAAGGGCAAAAATGAAGTGGAAAAAAATGAAAAAATCAACCAGTCAAACACCTATCAGAAGAAAAGCGCTGGCAAGGAGTTACATAAGAGATGAAGAGGGACATTGTAAACAACAAAAAGTGTCTGAACTTCGGAATACATAATGAAATCTAAATGTTTACGTGATCAATAGCAGCGATTTATGGTTCAAGGAGAAACAACTAACAAAATAAAAGGGAAAATAGACAAACCCTCAGTCATAGATGGAGATTTTCAAATCCCAGTCTGTCACCCAGGCTGGAATGCAGTGGTGCGATCTTGGCTTACTGCAACCTCTACCTCCTGGATTCAAGTGATTCTCCTCCTACCTCAGCTTCCTGAGTAGTACAGGTGTGTGCCACCACACCCAGATAATTTTTTTGTATTTTTAGCAGAGACAGGGTTTTACCATATTGGCCAGGCTTGCCTAGAAGTCCTGATCTCAAATGATCTGCCCACGTCGGCCTCCCAAAATGCTGGGATTACAGGTGTGAGCCACTGCTCCAGCCTGGATAACCGGCTTTTGATTTTATTTCCTCTCTTGATTTCTTTTTTAAAATTTCATTGATATCTCCCCTAATACTTATTTTTCTCCTCTGCTTGATTTAGGCTTAAGTTGATTTTCTTCTCTAATTTCCTTAGATAAAACCTTATATTGTTGAGTTTAGATCTCTCTTTCTTCAAGTGTGCATCCAGTACTATAAAATTTCCTCTAAGTACTACTTTTGCTGCATCCCACAAATTTTGATAAGTTGTATTTTAATTTTTCTAAAACTATGTTTTTAGATTTTTTTCTTCAGACTTCTTTTTTTGACCTTTGGGGTCAAAAAAAGAAGTAGGTATTTGTAGGTAATTGTAAGTGTGGTTTTATTTTTATTTTATTTCATTTTATTGTTATTATTTTTATTTAGAGAGTGAGTTTTGTTGTTTTGCCCAGACTGATCTCAAACTCCTAGCCTCAAGTGATCCTTCTGCCTTAGCTTCCAAAAGTGCTGGGATTACAGGTATGAGCCACTGAACACAGACAATAAGTGCATTTTTCAATTTACAAATATTTTATAAATTTTCAGCTGCCCTTCTGTTATTGATGTCTGGTTTAACTCCATTGTGGACTGAGACTATATTTGTATAATTTCTATTTATTTTTTAATTTATCAAGATACGTTTTATGGCCCAAAATATGGTATATCTTGGTGAATATTCCAAGTGAACTTGAGAAGAATGTTTATTTCACTGTTTTTGGATATAGTATATTAACATCAGTTAGATTCAGTTGATTGATGTGGCTCTTCAGTTCAACCATATTATTACTGATTTTCTGCCTGCTAGATCTGTCAGTTACTGACAGAGGAGTGATGAAGAGTCCAACTACAATAGTGGATTCCTTGCAGTTGCATTAGTTTTAGCCTCATGTATTTTGATGCTTTCTTGTTAGGAACATATACATTAAGGATTGTTATGACTCCTTGCAGAATTGACTCCTGTATCATTATGTAATTCTCTCCTTTATTTCTCACAAGTTTCTTTGTCCTAAAGTTGTCTTTGTCTGAAATTACTCCAGTTTTATTTCTTATTATTAGTAACATTGGCATGGCATTCCTATTTTTTCTTTAACTCTTTTTCACCAGTTGTGGTTTTAATTTAGCATTTCTTATGATTATATTTTCTCTTCATTCTTAGCATATGCAATGTTCTTCTTTTAAAAATTTGATTAGTGGTTGCCTCAGAGTTTGCAACATATGTTTACAATTAATCTAAGTCCTTTTCAAATAATGGTACATCACTCATAGTGCACGTAAATTATAACAAGAGTATTTCCAATTCTTCCTTCTGATCCTTTATACCATTCATGTAATTCATTACAATTACTCATATATCGTAATCATCAAATGCATTGTTAATATCATTATTTTGAACAAACTGTTATCTTTTATATCAATTAAAAATTTAAAAGAATTTAACCTTCATTTATTTGTCCTCTGACACTCTTCCTTTTTTTTTATTATACTTTATGTTTTAGGGTACATGTGCATAACGTGCAGGTTTGTTACATATGTATACATGTGCCATGTTGGTGTGCTGCACCCATTTACTCGTCATTTACATTAGGTGTATCTCCTAATGCTATCCCTCCCTCCTCCCCTAACCCCGCAACAGGCCCCGGTGTGTGATGTTCCCCTTCCTCTGTCCATGTGTTCTCATTGTTCAATTTCCACCTAGAGTGAGAACATGCGGTGTTTGGTTTTTCATCCTTGCTATAGTTTGCTGAGAATGGTGGTTTCCAGCTTCATCCATGTCCCTACACAGGACGTGAACTCATCATTTTTTATGGCTGCGTAGTATTCCATGGTGTATATGTGCCACATTTTCTTATTCTGGTCTATCATTGTTGGACATTTGGGGTGGTTCCAAGTCTTTGCTATTGTGAATAGATACTCTCCCTTTTTTACATCAATCCTGGTTTCTGATGTGTGTTATTTTTCTTTCTAAAGAGGAACTTCCTATTACATTTTTGCAAGACTGTCCTATGGGTAATAAATTTCCTCCAATTTTGTTTATCTGAATCATTTTTTCTTTTAACAAGATTACTTTTTAGTGTATATTTAAAGTGTACAATATAATGTCTGAATATACATATACTTTTTTGTAGTAATAGCACCTAAATCTACTTTCTTAGAAAACTTTCAGTATACAAAATTAACTGTAGTCTTCACACTGTATATTAAATCTCTAGATTTAATCACCTTATCTAACTGTAAATTTGCATTCTTTTACCTACTTCTCTTAATTTACTTTCCTTCCTTGGTCCTGGTGGCTACATTAATGCTATTTATTTCCATTTATTCTACTTTTTTAAGGTTTTACATATAAGTGAGAGCATACATATTTGCTTTTCTACTCTGGATCATTTCACTCAGCACAATGTCCTCCAGGTCTATTCATGTTGTCACAAATGGCAATATTGCCTTTTTTAAGGCTAAGTAATATTTTTTTATTTAAGATATATCTCTCTATATATAATAAGATATATATATATATATATCTTACATTTTTTATCCATTCATCTGTCAATGAATAGCTGGTTCTTTAAATATCTTGACTATTGTGAATAATACTGCAACAAACTTGGGAGCACCGATGTCTCTACCAGGTGCTGATTTTATTTTCTTTGGGTATCTACTTAACAAAGGGATTGCTGGCTTTTATGATAGTTTTTTTTTAATTAGTTAAAATCTTCAATATCATTTTCCATAACAGATGCACCAATTTACATTCCTACCAACTAGTGTGCAAGGATTGCCTTTTCTCTGCAGTCTCACCAGCACTTGTTATCTCTTAACCTTTTGGTAATATCATTCTAACAGGTGTGAGGTGATAGCTCATGGTGGTTTTGATTTGCATTTTCCTGATGATTACTAATATTGAACACTTTTTGACCTACCTGGTGACCATTTTTATGTCTTCTTAAAAATGTCTATTCAGGTCCTTTGCTTATTTATTATCAGGTTATTTATTTATTTATTTATTTATTTTATTTTTCTATTACATTGTGTGAGTTGCTTATATATTTTGGATATTGCCCCTTATTATATATGTGGTTTGAAAATTTCTTCTCCTCATCCGTATGTTGCTTTTTCATTTTGTCATTTTTTGGTTTGTTTTACGTTTTTTGCTTGTTTTTTTGGCTGTACAGAAGCTTTAAGTTTGATGTAGTCCTACTTGTTAGTTTTTGCTTTTTATGTGATAGCCACAAAATTATTGTCAAGACCAATGTCAAGAAGATTTTTTCTCATGTTTCCTTCTAGAAGTTTTATGGTTGCAGGTTTTACATTCAAGTCTTTAATCTATTTTGAGTTGATATATGCGTATTGTGTAATGTATGCACTGTTTCATTCTTCTGCATGTGGATATCCAGTTTTTGTAACACCATTTATTGAAGAAACTATTTTTTCTCCCATTGTGTCTTCTTGTTGGATTTGTCAAAAATTAGTTAACCATATATGCTTGGGTTTATTTCTGGGCTCTCTATGCTGTTTCACTGATCCTTGTGTCTATTTTTATGACAATTTCATACCATTTTGATTACTACAGCTTTGTAATATAATTTGAAATCAGGAAGTGTGATGCCTCCAGCTTTGCTCTTATTGCTTAAGATTGCTTTGGCTATTCAGGGTTTTTGTGGTTCCATATGAACATTATAATTTTTTGAAAAATTTCTGTATAAAAGTCATTGGAATTTTGATAGTGATAGCATTACACTTGTATATCACTTTGGGATATTTTAACAATATTAATTATTACAATCCATAAGCATGGAATTTTTGTTGTTATTGTTGTTTGTTTGTTTGAGATAGGGTCTTGCTCTTGTAGCCTAGGCTGGAATGCAGTGGAGTGATCTTGGCTCACTGCAACCTCGTCCTCCCGAGTTCAGGCGATTCTCCTGCCACAACCTCCTGATTAGCTGGGATGACAGGCATGCACCACTATGCCCAGCTAATTTTTGTATTATTAGTAGAAAAAGGGTTTCACCATGTTGGCCAGGCTGGTCTTGAACTCCTGACCTCAGGTGATCCGCCTACCTTGGCCTCCTAAGTTGCTGGGATTACAGGCGTGAGACACAGCACCCAGTCAAACATGGGATGTTTTTTATTTACTTATGTCTTCTTTATTTCTTTAATCAATGTTTTATAGTTTTCAATGTACACATCTCTTACTTGTTTGGTTGAATTTATTCCTAAGTATTTTATTATTTTTTGCTATTGTAAATTGGATTTTTAAAATTTTCTTTTTCAGATAAAACATTACTTGTGTAAATAAATGCAATTGGTTTTTTCATGTTGTTTTATTCTGCTACTCCCCTATTTGTTATAAGTTTTGTATGTATTTGTACGTGTGGAGGAGTCTTTATGATTTTCTACACATAGAATCATGCCATCTGTAAACAGTGATAATTTCCCTTTCTTATTTGAACATCTTTTATTTCATGTTTTAGTGTGATTGCTCTTGCTAGTACTTCCAGTAGTGCATTGAATAGAAGTGGCAAGACTGAGCCTCCTTGCATTGTACCAGATCTTAGAAAAAAAGCTCTCAGTTATTATCTATTAATTATAATGTTAGCTGTGGGCTTTTTCTTGTAAATGGCCTTATAATGTTGAGAAAATCACCTTCTGTATCTATTTTGTTGAGAGTTTTTTATCATGAAATAATGTTGAGCTTTGTTGAATGCTTGTTCTGCATCTATTGACGTGATCATGTAATTTTACCCTTCATTCTGTTAATGTAATGTCACATTAACACAATGTTAGTAATATAAGTCAGTGTTATTATTCCATTTATATGAAGTTTTAGAACAAGCACAACTTTCCAAGGTGAAGAAAATGAATCCATCAGAATCGTAGCTGGCCTTCAGTTGGGAGAATATATAGTGAATGGATGTGAGAACTTTCTGGGGAGGTAGAATATTTTTTTTTATTGTGAAAGGGAGTGGAGTGGGTTGTATGGATGTTTGCATTCATCAAAATTGTTCAGTTAAGATTTCTATGTAACTATGTGTAAATTTTACTTAAAAAGAATTTTAGGCTGCTCTGTCTACAGAGTAGCCATTCTTTATTCCTTTACTTTCTCAATAAACTTGCTTTCACTTAAGAAAAAAGAAAAAGAATTTTAAAATCAGCCATGAAATATATATACAAGGTACTTTGACATTCTGCACCAATAAAATGTAAAAAAAAAGTTATTTGAAAGAACAAACATCATAGAGAAAAAAAAGAAGAGGAAAAAGCAGTAAACCAACTGAGATACACAAATGAAATGAGCCTTTTCTAAAGAGTGGTCAATCTGCATTTCTATGAAAGGTAGTAACATTTTATATTCTATTATACAATAAAGATAATTCTGCTTTTGACAGAGTCAAGGAAAACTTTTACAGGCTTTTGAGAAATGAGAAACTGGTTATATAGATAGTGATAAAGAATAAGATTTTTGTTTTGTTTTTGTTTATGTGTTCATTTTTCCTGACAATCATTTAAGGTAATACCTAGGGATGGAGTGACTAAAAAAGGCCAGGAATGGTGTTTACAAGTGTTAGGAAATATATTTGGGATCAAACTGGGATCAAGTCTCCCTGACCCTGTGACTCTGGTGAATTGCTTCATTTATTTTAACCTCCCTTATTTCACATACAAATGGATGATATTTATACCCTACAGGGTTGTTAGTGGAAAGAATATATGTGAAAGCAGCTAGGATAATGAACAGTAGCAGAGTAGAGCTCAAGGTTTTATGAACCAGATTATATTGAAATATGAAGTTAAACTGAAAGTGAAAAAAGAATAAAATTAATCCCGGTTAAACTTAGAAAAGAAGTTATATATTTTGTGTTAGATGAGCCCCCAAAGAAAGAGAACTTAAGAAATTTATGGAGTGGAATGGGGAGAATAACAAAAATGGTGTTAGTTATGCATTAATTTTATTATTTGTTAACCATCTCTTATGTTAACTAGGCATTGTTCTAAGCTGGGTAATTATAATGATGAAGAAAACAAAGTCCTTAATTCATGGGTCTTGTATTCTGTTAGGTAAAATATAGTACTGAAAGCTTCAGATAGTTTTATATCAGTATTCAACATCTGGGTAATAAATTTAAAAGTCTATCTGATTTTTTCAGAAGAGGAGGAAGTGATTGTGGTGACTGATATAGTAGTATTCTTGGTTTTCACATCGATGAAATGGAAGTCTCATTTCCTATCATTTCTTCAATACCCAGAATAGTTTCTAACACAGTGAGTATTCACTGAATATCAGATAAATGAAAGACTCATGGAAAAATACCTCTTTAGTAGTCTATACAACTAAGAAGGGAAGGATTTTACATAGTTAAATAAGCATTTTTGCACTAGAGAGACACATTTCGAAATACCTCTTCCCATGTCAGTTCCTTTAAGCTGAAATAATCGAGTCCAACTATAATTAGTAGACTTGTAATGGCCCTGGGATAAGCATGATCCTAATCATCTACTGATTTTCCTTCCTTATTCACTTGTGATCCAAGCTAAAATATTAGGCTTCTGACTGTTTTTACCATGTGTTTCTATTTCCTTCTTTCAGGCCTAAGCTTTTTCTGAATTCCAGCTTGATCATCTGTCTTGAATGTTTCTGAGTTTCTTTTACCAAGGAGTACTCATCTCTGACTATTTCAGCCACCATGTGAAATCTGGTTTCACTGTGGATTGTATGTCTAGATTCTAAAAAGTAACCTCATATGACTTTGAGGGTTGCCACTATAGACTCCTGTACAACCCTCTAAAAAAATCACCTTTTGGCAACAATTTGACATTATGACTGAGTTTACCATTCTTTTGCTCTCTAGACACTGTAGTCTGAACTGCTATTTCCCCTACCAGCCTGCCCCCAGTATCTTATGCTGAGTCCCCTTAGCTGCTCTCAGCACACAAACTCCACTCTGTTTCATGCAGAACTACAGGGCTTCTGCAATCTGGAACACTGTGGATCACTGTCACAGGAAGCAGGCAAACTTCTGCCTCGAAAAGTATATGCGGTCTCCTTTCAAAGGTGGGGATCAAAGCAAGTCACATGGCCAGGGAGGAGAAGGCAGAGAACTGAACGTATTTAGTGATCAGAACTAATGACTGCCAGGATGAAAAGCTGTTCATGATTTGCAGTTAAATAAAAGATGTAGGGTACTGTAGGTGCTTGCTTTTCATTGTTGCTTTGTTTTTGTATGTGTTTGTTTTTTAATGGCAAACAAAGAAATAACAACAACAATAAGTAATTTTGTCTGTGCACAGAAATGAGACTGCTAAGATGCCACAGTGTGAACAGCATTGGAACCAATCAGAGAATGAATGGAAATAACTTCTTTCTCCTATTTGCTTATTTTTTCCTAAATTTTGTATAATAAATTATGAGAAATTATTTTAATAAGAAAAACATACATATATACACAGATTAACACACATACATTTCTTTCTCCTTATAACAGCTCTAATGAAGGAGAGTAATGTATGTATTATTTTAAAAAGGTTTCCAAACTTGAAACAAACTTTCAGAGTGGAAGGAAGATCCCAACCTAGGATTAACATAAAGTGATAGACGCTTTTTCTTATAACGAAATAATAAAAATGAATAAAATAATGCTTAAATAAAAATGTATTAGGGGAACTTAATGGCTTTTTATAGCTGCTCTTGGGATGGGTGGATTAATTTAACATTAAGAGAAAACAGCAGTACAGAAAACTCTTTGCAATCTATATTGCTCCATTCTGTTCAATTAATGATAATTATTTTAAAGCATGAAAGAATAAAACATATTTGAAAAAAAATTAAAACCAAACATTTTCCAGAGAGTTTATATTTACCAAGATTAACTTAAATCTCTTTGTCATTAAGTATTGCGCTTCGGAGTATTGAGGGAATTTGCAGATAAGGCTATAAAATTAATATTGGCCATCTATGAAGAGTTTTGGAAACGAGAAGAGGAGATGAGAAATTAAAGGGGTCTATCAATATAATTTTCACAAAGGAAAACAAAAATATCATGACTAAAGTGATTTGTGGGTAGGGCAAAACATTACAAAGCAATGGTGGGTCTCATCGCTCTTATTTTTTGTTTTTTTCTAAATTTTGACAAAAACGTTTATGATTTCAAAACTGGCAAATCCAATTCCATGTGCTGTAATGTTTCATACTCATTATTGTTGGGCGTGTCTTTGTGTGACATTGGGATATCAGAATCTTAAGAAGGATGATGGGCAGAACGGGCCTATTTACATGTTTTCCCTTATCCGACACTATTAGGTTGGTACAAAAGTAGGGTGGTTTTTGTCATTAAAAAAAAATTTTTTTGCACAACCTAATATAATTATGAAAGAGAAGATGTTGGATTTTATAAGCTACAAATAAGTGACTTTAATGTTGGTCTCAATATTTATCAACATCGTATTCTTCATTGTATTCGTGTTTCTTAATATAAATCATTTAGTTCAACAAAAAACAAGTAGTTCCAGATTTACCTTCTTTCTTTAAGTGCTATTTTTACCTAGTGAGTAGATCAGATGAGTAGTGTGTATGCACTTCAGCAAAATATTTTTCAGCTCTGGGCCCTACATAGCATCCTTTATGATAAATATGAAGATGTGGATTGAATTATTTTGAAATTGATTATAACTGACTGATGAAAAGGATTCTGATTAAAGTGATTAATTTTAACCTGGTAGAGGGTCTTTCCTTGTGTTTCCAGGTCCCTGTCATGAATCCTAGCTTTTTGTGCATTTATATTAAAGTACAGAAAAAGGCCAGTGATGGCATTCTGATCAGATTAATAGATGAGAGCTAAAAATAGGTAGAAAAAATTGTATGATAATATCCAATTTAAATATAATAGATGGATTCTGATTAGATGTATTTAATAAAAATAAATGTTAGGTGGAATTCTCTGCCCTATCTTTACCTATTTTAAAACCTATACAGTTTTGAAAAGGGCTTAATAGATAATAAAAAAGAAAATCTGATGTTTTGATTTTAGGAAAATGATCACTTAACTCATACTTTACTCTTTTTGGAATTGGTCAACTAGAATCAGAATATTATATCTCTTTTTAACTACTAAATTGCTGGGAAAGTGTTTATAAATACTGAAAAGGTATGGGTGGCTCGGCACTAAACTTTACTGTAACCCAATAGAGGAGGCAGAAAGGCTAATACTGGAGAATCAGAGTCTAAGGAACACACAATGGAAATCTGAAATTATTTGAAGAACTGCGATGTGGATGAGATGTAGCTTCTATAGCTATATGTAAGATTGAAGAGTCAGAGTCACAAAAGAAATATAATTTTAGTTCAATAAAATAAAAAAATCAATAATTAATGTCTGAAATTAAATCACCTTTCTTAAAAGAGAATGATATTTTTCATTTGTTGTGTTTTTTTTTTTTTTGGTTTTTATGAAGTATGCTACAATTTATCAATGATGGTGAAGAAGAAATTAAACATCCAGTGTAGGGTGTCAATGTGGTAGGGTAGAGAGAGAATTTGTCATGTATAACTTATATCGGGGTCCCAGCACCACCCCCACCTCCATTGCACACAGCAACAGCAGGAGGTGAACAGTGGGCAAGCATTACTGCCTGAGCTCTGCCTCCTGCAAGAGATCAGCAGCGACATTAGATTCTCATAGGAGCAGCAAACCCTATTGTGAACTGTGCATGCAAGAGACCTAGGTTGAATATTCCTTATGAAAATCTAATGTCTGATGATCCAAAGTGAAACAGTTCCATCCCCAAACCATCCCCTGACATCCAGTCCATGAAAGAATTGTCTTCCACAAAATCAGTGCCAAAAAGTTTGGGAACCACTGACTTATATAATCTCTCCCAATCATGTAATCCTCTTAGAAGTTTTACAATTTTTTCTCCCAAAGAGCTCAATTGACAATTTGAGAAGAGATGTGGAGGCTTAGAATCATTGTTTCATAACTGGTATAAGAGGAACCTAAAGGTTGAATAGTATGTTGCAAATGATAGAATATACTAGTATAAGAGCAAAAGCTGGATTTGATGCCTATGAATTTCCAGTTGGTAACTTAAAGAATATGGCTGTGACTAGTACTCTAAAAATGAAACTGCTGAGCTGTTGAGCCAATACATCTGGTTTGCCTTTGAAATATAAACCCATTTTCTCCCTGTAAAGTCTGATATACTGGGAAGTAAATTAATGACTTAAGTTTGACTACACGGAATACCTCTAGGTTGGTAGTATATTCTGTATACTTTGTAATTAAGAACAGCAATTCTGACCATTTCCAGTAAAATGAATCATTCTAAATGACCAGAGACTTGTGTTCTAGGGATGCTGTAGCTTCTGGATGTGAAATTCTAAAATACCAGAACACAAACTAGGGCAACCTATTCTGGAGCAAAGCTGGAGTAGTTCAGCAGTTGGGGGAAGTAAATTCCTACCTTCAGCCAATCACTAATGGGTTGAGAACTCATGAAAAGTCATGTGACTTCTATAAAGATGTTGGACTAGCATAATCAATAAAAGTCTGCCAACTCTAATATTTTGTTGTTTTTCATGAAATTGCTGGCAGTCATGATCTGAAATGAAGGTTAAAAACTGACCACCAGTGGAATAGATCTGCTTCACAGATGTGCTGTCTTTGCCTCTTCCCTCCATATTACTTTTAAGCAAATTGAATCAGACAATATTAACAAGTAGGACTATTTTGCCACCTTTGGTGTTTAATCATCTAATCTAATTGAAGAAGTGACCAGCCCATCATATTCACAGGTCACACCATATTCAATTGGAGAGGATTATACACGGCACCTATACCAAGGGAAGAAAATCTATAAGCTATCTTAGAATTCTGCCTATTATAGAAAGAAACATTTAATTTTGAAGATTTAGAAGTCATTTTAGTGATAAAATTCCAGTTCCTTCTCTGAACATCAGTTACATCATCTGTAAAATGAAGATATAACACTGTTTTATTTCTCTCTAATTTGGTCTTGAGCTCTCTGGAGAGTGGCTGTAACATCTAGCCCAGCCCTGACAAGGTTTCAGGGGATTTAGTTGCAGACATTTACAAGGTGCCTTTCATGAATATGTTTTTTTCCAATGGACAGCCTAATGCCTAAGTATTCAACTCCATGCCTGTGTCCAACCTGGACTAGGTATCCTTTTTGCAGGAAATTTGTTCATACTGGTAAATGTCCATGTGGCTCTTGTCTGACCTAGTTCCAGTTTACTTCTGCTAAATTAGCCACTCTTTAAGAGAGTGCCATTGTCTATGTAGACCAAAATGACAAAGGCATCTCTCAAACATCCTTTCATCTTGTATTATCTTTACTGGTTGAATCTCTATTTCTACACTAGAAAACTCATTTTCCAGAATCACCTAAATAAATTCCTTAATTCAGCACAATTATCAATTAATTTACTAAAAAGATAGTTTGTATGATCTTTTGCTTTAAATGCAATTACATTCAAATGTGAATTGTATGCAATACTGAAAAGAAAATAGCCCAGATAACAATGTTTATTCATCGAGTTACCATGAAATATGGAGGGGATCCTACAATTACTAGTGTAACTCCATCTATCTACATGGTAATTCACAACAATGAGAAGTTCTATTGGCCATTTGTAGGTTGATATGGTTATGTAGTACTAACAGATGTTAAATTAGTTTATAAGAACACCTAGCAACAACTGTAGCAGCAGATTGCTTGTAAGTAATAGGCAAGATTATAAAATTCAGATAACATGAAATGCAATAGGTTTATACTGAGACAAAGAAAAAGTATGTATAAATATTAGACACAAGGTGTGAAACGGACCAAATTAAGATAAAACCAAAATAAATGGGTTCAATATAAGTAAATAACATTAACAATAAAGATAGTTCAATAGTAATTTTCCTACTAGAGAACTTCCATGCATCTTTCATGCATTTTTGAGATGTTTGCTTTGAAATTCATGATGGTATTTCTTACATATAAAAGTATATATCACATATAGAAAATTAGTATTTCATGAAAAATAATCAATACATTTTACCTGGAAATTAGAAGATTGTAGAAGTTTCATATTTCCTCTCACTGTATTAATAAGCCAGTAAAGATAATCAATAAAATTGAGATATTTCAATCATATTCTGACAGAAACGCTGGTGCCACCTTAACCACAACCACATAAGCCACACTTCAATATAATGAGGCTGGATTTGATTTCATTTTACTTCTCTTCAAAGACTGCGTTGTTTAATAAGAACTACAACAAAGCAAATGCTAAAAACCCAACAGCAACAACACCAAAAATAAGGAAGTATTCATTTCTACCCTCCAGAAGTTGTTGTAGTTTTCACATTAATTTAAATAAGATGAAATTTCTCAACCTAAATTGCAGATAATTTGAGATAAACTTTGATGTGACGGAGGATATTTCTGAAATAAATAGTATTGTGGTATTTCTCTGTAGAAAAATATTAGAACCTTTAATGGAAAAGATGTATACATGCTGAAAACTGTTAATTAGTAAGCATTTTTTGATTCCTTGTTTTGTAAAGGGGGGAAGAAAGATTGGTGAGAAATTCGAAAAAATGTATACAGAGTATATTTTAAACAGCATTTTAATTCTGCTCAGTAAAATCATTTATTACTCCTGCTACAAAAGAGCCAGCCCTGTTGATTCTCAATGCTTTTTAATGCATTGTGACTAGCATTACAATGACTGATGCAACACAATGAGTGGAGGAAAAAGTTCTCTCTCCCTCTTCCTCTCTCTTGCCGATCAATATGCTGGAAGAAAATGTCACAGACTCCATTGAAGGTAATAGGTTTAGATCACCATTACACTTTCTATTCAATGAGCTGAGGCTGTTTGGGCCATTTCTGTTGGAAAATTCACCTGTTTGAAAAGATTCATTTTATTCAATGCAGTAGAACAAAACAGCAGAGCAGTGAGCCTGCTACACCTCCGGCTTACGCCGTTCCTTATTTCTGCCGCACAGGCACTCCAGTCTTGCCTATGCAGCCAGATCTAATTGAAATATATGAAAACTTCAGAACGCAGGCCATTGAAAAAGGTAGCAGACAAAGCAGGCATGTCATTTTCTTTGTTACCTTCCCTCTACTTTTCAGCACTCTTTCCTCCCATTATGTGCTGTCTGCAGTGCCTTCTTATGCTGTCCTACTGAGAGACAGGACTAGCTGGATTTCCTAGGCCGACTAAGAATTCCAAAGCCTAGCTGGGGAAGGTGACTGCACCCACCTTTAAACACAGGGCTTGTAACTCAGCTCACACCCAACTAATCAGATAGCAAAGAGAGCTCACTAAAATACCAATTAGGCTAAGAGCAGGAGGTAAAGAAATAATCAAATCATCTATCGCCTGAGAGCACAGGGGGAGGGAAAATGATTGGGATATAAACCCAGGCATTCAAGCCCCCAGTGGCAACGGCCTTTGGGTCCCTTCTCGTCGTATGGGAGCTCTGTTTTCACTCAATTAAATCTTGCAACTGCACACTCTTCTAGTCCGTGTTTGAACCGGCTGGAGCTGAGCTTTCACTCGCTGCCCACCACTGCTGATCGCTGCCATCGCAGACCCGTGCTGACTTCCACCCCTCAGGGTTCGGTAGGGTGTCCGCTGGCTTCTGATCCAGCCAGGCGCTGCCCATTGCTGCTCCCAATTGGGCTAGAGGCTCGCCATTGTTCCTGGGTGGCTAAGTGCCTGGGTTCGTCCTAATCGAGCTGAACACTAGTCGCTGGGTTCCACAGTTCTCTTCCATGACCCACGGCTTCTAATAGAGCTATAACACTCACCGCATGGCCCAAGGTTCCATGCCTTGGAATCTGTGAGGCCAAGAACCCCAGGTCAGAGAACAAAAGGCTTGCCGCCATCTTGGGAGCAGCCTGCCCCATATTGGGAGCTCTAAGAACAAAGACCCACAGGTAACACTACCAGGCTTCTCTGAAACCCTCTGTCATATGCTTTATGAGGCCTGCTCTTTGCAAGATGCCCTGGCCTATGGTCACCCCATTCCTTTTTTTATTGATGTCTGGGACAAGTCCTATGATCCATGACTCTGCTAGGAGATTAAAATAATACCAGGCCTAGATTCAGATGTTAATGCAAATACTGGGGTAATGGTTATCCCTTCCAGATACTCCTGCATGTTACAAAATTATTATCTTATCCTTTTTTTGATTTTTGTTTTTAAAAATTTTATTTTATTGATTGATTGATTGATTTTTGAGACAGTCTTGCTCTGTTGCCGAGGCTGGAGTGCAGTGGCATGATCTTTGCTCACTGCAACCTCTGCCTCCCAGGTTGAAGTGATTGTTGTGCGTTAGCCTCCCCAGTAGTTGGGATTACAGGTGCACACCCCCACACCTGGCTAAATTTTGTATTAAATATTTTTAGTAGAGACAGGATTTCACCATGTTGGTCAGGCTTGTCTCAAACTGCTGGCCTCATGTGATCCCTCTGCCTCAACCTCCCAAAGTTCTGGGATTACAGGCCACTGCACCCTGCCCATCTTATCCTTAATAAGCACCTTCTCCAAGAAGCTTCAGAAGATATGCTTTTGGGAGAAGGAAACAGTCTATCCCATATTTGTATAGACCTGATTTGAAGATGTTTGGCCACAAAATTATGGCCTATTCTCTCATCTAATAATCAGTAGTGTACAAAAGGCATTTTGTGTGAATGAACAGGAGTCTTCAGTGAGTTCATAAACTCCCATCAGTCTCCCTACTTTCAGCTTTTTTTCATCTAGTATTTTTTAAAAATTCTGTAGAGTGATAAATAATTGCAGCTTCAAACTCTGTTTCCAAATAGATTATTATCCCTAAGCCTGACTTAAATTAATACTGCAACCAAAAGTGGGTATGAAATTAGGCTTTTCCTGTAAAAGTTTCCTATTCATACTTTTTAAGGTTTGTCCAAGATGTTTCCATTCCAGAGACTAAAAATGCATCATTTTTCCAATTTTGTTATTTGTTTTTAAAGGCAATCTTGCATAGTAGTTAACATCTGAGGTCAGACAAGGTATAGGTTTTGGGTCTCAGCTTGTTGACTTATTAGAAGTATAACCATGGAGAATTAACTGTTAAGTCTTAGTTGCTTAATTTACCAAATCTCTAGAAACTGGTATGTAGGGATAAAACACCAAAGTTGGTGTGGAGTTGGGGGAAGAAAGTATGTATATAGGCCTAGTGTGGTGGCTCACGCCTGTAATCCCAGCACTTTGGGAGGCCAAGGTGGGCAGATCACCTGAGGTCAGGAGTTCGAGATCAGCCTGGCCAACATGGCGAAACCCCGTCTCTAATAAAAGTACAAAAATTAGCCAGGTGTGGTGGTAGGCACCTGTAATCCCAGCTACTCGGGAGGCTGAGGCAGGAGAATTGCTTATACCTGGGAGGCGGAGGTTGCAGTGAGCCGAGATGGTGCCACTGCACTCCAGCCTGGGCGACAAGAGCAAGAGTTCATCTTAAAAAACAAATAAAAAAAAAAAAAAAAAAGTATTATATAAAGCATTTAAAGTACTTAGCAAATATATCGCCTTGTAAATAACTATTTTTAAATTATTTTACTACTATTATGAATGAAATGATTAATTAACATGATCCAGTCAATAATATGCTTATAGGAATGAGATTTTTAGAGTTCCTTCATCTGATGAACAATGGATTATCAGATGGAGGTTGGAGTTTAGAGTGCTCACATTAAAGAGCATAAACAGAATGGCAAAGGGGAATATGGGGGGAAATGGAAGCAGACTTGACAGTGTCCCACTTTCTCCCGAGATAGACACTCATAGAGTATTTACTTATGGGACACATTCCAGCCATTGGAAAATGCATCGAACTTTGTTATTAAAAAGCACTTTGGCATTATCATCCTATGAATGATGTTTATGTTGGGTAAGAATCATTAAAAGTTCAGATTCCAAACCTCTGGACATCCTTAGGCCCTCAAATTATTTAGTCAAGCAAAGAGAATTCTCATGCTAATGAGAGCAAAAAATTGGATTCCCCAGTTTACAGAGTATAGCAAACTGAACAAAATTGTCAGCAGAACATTTAAATTACTTTTTTGATAAGCTTGGCTATTTACAAATCATCAGACAATTACATCTTCCAAAAACTATTTAGCATCAATTCACTCTGCCTTTTCAACAGTGCACTTGACTAATTCCAAATAAATTGAAAAAAATTACCTTGCAGATTGCAAGAAACTGACCAAAAACAATTGCTAGGGTTTTAAATTGTATATTGTTAAGCAAAAGAGTTTTCCTTTGCTTCATCACCCGTGTTCCAGACATTAACCCATTCGGACAGAGAGAAAGACAAACAATGAACCTAATACCTAAGACGAAGCTCCATCTTAAGAATCCCTATGAAGCAATT
This sequence comes from Homo sapiens, assembly GCF_000001405.40. Lineage (NCBI taxonomy): Eukaryota > Metazoa > Chordata > Mammalia > Primates > Hominidae > Homo > Homo sapiens. Next base: position 39,356,610 of record NC_000018.10, on the reverse strand, counting down.
TTCATGAACTTTGAAATGTTACATTTAATGACATGGGGGGAGATCATTCTTTAACGTGGGTTGGTCTTGCAATTTATTATTATTAGCCATAGTCTTCTTACTAAAAAGGAAATTAGAACTCATAAAATGAGGCCAATATTTAAGGGATCCAAATCTATGCCCTAAGAATCAATTATAGCATTCTCCAGCAAAGCAGTGAAACCATAAAAGTTGATTCCTCTCGCTACACACTCTAGAGATGCTCAGGACTCCACTCCTTACCACACCTATTAAGCTGTCCCACAAAACCCGCTCTGCGGAAAAGATGTGCAAGGGAGAATTTTCCTCCTGAAATAGCAGGGCTTGGACAATTCCTCAGTCCATCTAAGAAAGTACAGAGGACAGAGAGCAGTGGTGACTCTAGTTGATGGAGCTTGATAAATGTTATTTCAGCATCCACAGATCTTAGGTGTGTATGCGTTCATAAGGGATGGAATATTTTGTATTCAGATATGGGGTACTTCTTTTATTAAAAATGTGTCTTAGTCACCCCCACAATGAATTGGTTTTTAATCAGAGAAGGTTTTTTTTTAAATATTATGTTAACTTCAACATTCCTTAAGAAGAAAATTAAGACTGTTCACTTAAAAATAAATAAAAAGGAATTTAAACTCAAGTATCAGTAGTAAATAAGTTCATGCTTTATTTTTTTGTCTGGACCCTCTCCTAGCATTCTCTAGTTGCCTTGGAAATGATGGCCGTGACTATCTGAAGACTGAAGTGATTGCACCAAGAAGTCATAATAGGCAGATTTCCCTCAATCAGTGCACCGCCTTCCATGTAACCTTGTCTTTGAACATGTATGCCTTTTTTGAGATGGACTAAACTGGTATGGTGTTTAGGGTAACATTGAGATGATGAATTCTTCTTGATCAAAGAAGTGGAAATGTCAAAAGCCTATTATCAAAAATACCAGGGGTTCTGTCTAGGTTCTGCTGCTTACTGCACAGAAAGCCAATCACTGAGACAATTAGTATTTCCAAGGAAGAAGGCTTTCATTGGATGCTGCAGCAGAGGAGAACGAGAGATAAAGTCTCAAATCTGTCTCCCTGACCAACTAAAATTGTGGTGTTTATATAGCAAGGAAGGCAGGAAAACAGGAATTAAGGAGAAGTATGGAAGCAATCATGATAGATGAGGACTCTGGTATCTGGTTGTTTGGTTGCAATGATCTCAAGAGTTTCAGTTCCTTGCCTGTGGGTTGGTTTCCTGGGGAAAAAACTCAGAGGAGACAAATGTAAGTTTCAAGTTTTAAGACCAGGGAGGGCCAATTTCTATGTTTGTTCAAAAAACCTTAAATATTAGCTCTATGGAACAATGGGTGGGTTTCATCTTGATGGATATAATGTATATTAAAGATGTTTTAAAATCCAGTCAAAGGAAAAAAATTCACGAGGTACTGAGAGTGGAGATAAAGCTGTAAGTAAAAGGTAGATATAAAGGTCATTGTCTTCTGTGGGCTTTATTCTGCTCCCACAAAAAGAGAGGCTTCTGAGGGGTAGAGAGTTTTTAGCTAAACAATGCATAACACTTTCACCCTGTAAATCAAGGTTTCTTGAGGACTTTAGGAAAGGTGAATAGATTGGTATTGCTCCAGTTCATTTCTTCTATCAGGGGAATGACATTATAGGACAGTGATTAAGTAAAGACATATTAACAGTCCAGTGGCCAAATATCCTCTGCTTAGGACAGTTTTGGGCAAAAGTAATTAATTTGATTTACAACAGCTACTGGTCCTAGAATACACTTGAGACTTTTGTCTCTCTGTAATTGTTAAAAATTTTCTTAAATGATAAAGAAAACACAGACACATGTGTTAACCCTTTGTTATTTATAGTACAGTTGTCATTCTTATCTTGGTAGTTATTTTATCCACTATATGGTTCTAGGTTTAATTTCCTTCAAAAGTCATAATAGTCTTTAGCTGAAGTGCTTACAACTGATCATTAATTTAGCTTCAGGGCATGAATACTAAAGAAAAAAGATACCAATTAAATTTCAATTGGCTATTTTTTTAAAGGAGCAAACAGCAGAATCCCCATTTCAATTTAATTAACTTGGGAGAGGAAGTTAAAGAAACAAAGAAGGTGAACTTCAATATTTTGTACTTATATATACTGTTTCAAAGAAGTTTTTCTAGAAATTTTTTCCATATAAACAGGAACTGAACATAAAAAACTGTAAGGAAACAGAGAGTGCTGACTACACAGGACAATTACCATTGCCATTATTATAAATTTTATTATATTTTGCCACAAACCCAAACAATAGTCTCTGTGATTATGAGGAATACTCCATTTTTTTTCTTGTTTAGCTTCAAGCCACCTGGAATGACAGAGGTCTGTGCATCCCATACAGCTTGAAAATTTTTCAAATTATTCCAGGGAGAAATGAAAAATGACATTTTTCAGTGCATGAAAGAGAGGTTGTTCCTCACAGAGGAAAGACTATTCCTCTCTTGATGGAATGGTGAAGTACAAGAAAGAATGCAGAAAAATACTTTCCTTTAAGCCATACAACTCATTTTCTTCCTTTCTTTTCACATTTGTTTTCCTGCCAGGCCACTGCCAGCTTTATGTCTAGGTAAAAAATTCAGACCAACCAAATAATATGATATGAAGGTTGCAGATCACTTATTTGACCTAAAACAGTACTGTAAATTTAACCATTACTGCCATATTTTCAGAACTCTCTAAATGCAAAAATCTAGAAGTGTGAAATAGTAATAACTTGAGGTGAATTTATCTTATTGGATTCCTAAGGGTATAGTAAAGATCTGAGGGAATAGTTTTGTTGTTCATAGGTTTAATGGGATATTTACTTGTAAGGTGCGTTGCTTTTTTGAGAGTACTGGAAAGAAGCATGAAGTGAAGGTACTTGAATTTAGAGGTAAAGAATTCAGCAATAGTACACTTGAAAGATTTTATCTCTCTCTCTCTCTCTCTTATCTATCGATCAATAATTTTAATACCTATTTCTATGAAGAAAGAAGAAAAGGAAACTTTGGAATGCTGTCTGTATGTATTAAGCACATATAGAATCATGGATAAATTGATTTATTTAGAGATTAATAATAATCAAAATGTGAACCCACTGTCAATAATTTTACATACCTTCTCTCACATTTGTCAGAATTACAATTTGAAGACAGAACTCAAAGACTTTAAGTTTTGTTATAAGAAGTTCTGTTTTCATTGTCATAGCCTAAGATGGTCTTGCTTCCTTGAAGACATCCAGATAGGTAGTAGTAGAAGATGGGGCTCCTGTCCCATTTTCGTCGTGAGGCTGTGACTGGGGTAATTGCCTAAGCTCCCAAAGCCTTAGTGACCCTATTCATATTATTCTTCAAATATGTATTAAGCCTTATTTTGTGCTAGGTTCTACTCTAGGTACTGGGAATACATCCATGAACAAAACATGGGACCTGCTAGTCAGGGAAGAGAGTTAACAAATGAATTAACACATAAACATATTCCAACATGGGAAGTTTATGGAGAAAAGAAAAGTTAGATGAGAGGATTGGCTGTCAGGGTAAGGCCTGCAATTTCATTTAGGGAAATTACCAAAAGCCTTCCTGATAAGATTAAAGTAGAGAACTGAAGAATCCTGATAAGATTAAAGTAGAGAACTGAAGGACTTGAAGCACCGGAATGTGGGTGAGTCCTGGAAGCATCAAAGCCCACCATGGGGACACTGAGGAGAAAAATGTGTCCAGTGTGCAGTGAGGGAAGGGAAGAGTGGTAGGAGATGAGGACTGAGAGGTGGGGGCTCAGGCAGAGCATGGAAGAGGAAGGTCGAATCCTACCCAATGGGCTTTGCAGCCGTGTAAGAACTCTGCTATTACTGAGCAAAAGAAAAGAAACTCTTGGAGAGTTTTGAGCAGAAAGTGAACGTGATGTTTATCTAATACCACATGAATGATAACAATATCTACATCCCTGGATTATTATAAAGATAAAATGAGATAATGCTTGAAAAGTCAGCACATAAAAATTGCCATTGGCTTCATCAGTGCCAGCTACATCTAACACCACAAACTGTAAAATCCGTTCCATAGGCTTCTCCACTTTCTTAGTGTTCTTTTCAGTGTGGGCTTTACCGCCCAACTAATCTGTAAACTCCCTGAACACAAGGCCTGTCTTACATCTTACTTTGCGTTAAAGAACCTAAATTTGCCCCGGTAGCTGATTTAAGATTTATGTGAATTGCTTGATTAGTATAAATAAAAGCAATGAACTGTATTAGGCATCAGCTCCTAATGCAAGCAAGCCTTATCACTGGTGAGAAGGAGTGTGAAAACAAGGCTGGGAACAATCCCTTTGTAAAGAATTAGAGCAGTCCATCCCCTGACAATTACTCATTCAGACCCTTATTCCTGAAAGTCTTTTCTTACTAATTTTTCTCACAGAATCCTAGCAAAGAATTGGATATAATTGTAAACAATATGATTTAAGATTGTTTAATAAGACTGTGAGTGTAAAGAAGTAAGCCTAAAATACATATTTATACATATTTATATTTTTACAAACTTAGTAAAAATATTTTTTTTCTTTTTTTTTTTTGGCCTCCATTTCAAAACTGTAGTCTTTAATTTGAATTTTCTCTTTCTGAATCAGGCCAAAATATTTGTTGAGTACTTATAGCAGGTTCAGAAGGGCTGAGAGCATGCAGCTGGCCTCTCTCTTTCCACATGTCAACATGAAGGAGCAATGAATTTGGTTCTAGGCTCAGCTTTGCTACTTTGGGCAGCAGAACCTAAGCTGCACTTTAGTGCCTGGTTTAACTATAAAAGCAGGTATCAAGCATTTACTGTGTAATGAATCACAGGGACGTGGAGGTAACCAAGCATGGAAAAATATATAAAGCCACTTCTTAAATTGTCTCAACTAGTCTGCCACTATCCCCCCTGAATATATGATCATTTATAATTAGAGGGAAAAAAAGTGAAGTCAGTAAATTCTGACTTCTGTCAACTGAAGAATGGTGAGGTTCAGATATTTGGAAAGGAGAGCTTTATTTCTCATAAATGGTTGCAGCCTGCAAGGTGGCCATTTTGACAGGCTGGGAAGCATAGCCTCCAGTCAGAAATCAGAAACAGAAACTTCAAGTGAGAGGTAAGGGGAACAGGAATTTATGCTAAGCAGGGTGGCTGATTATACATATTCAATAAACTATAGGAGGAGTCATGAATATTTATAAAAGGAGAAATGTGCACATGTGCAATTGAGCTTCATGCCCTCCTGGGTCCCATGTACAAAAAATGGCTGTGTAACCTCGAACCCAGGGTGGAGTTTTCAGCCCTCTGATGTCAAAAGGTGAAGCACAGGACATGAAAACCCTCACTACACATCTGCCATAGACTGGCCAGAACCACCCTGTGGCAGATGGTCTCTTACCAGGAAGGAATGTTGGTCAGTTGTGTCAAAACTGCAAAAAGGGGAGGGCAGCCTCAGGAGGTTGAATAATACCAGCAGTGGAGCCAGTCTTTCCAAAGGGTTGGTTTCTGCTTAGCCCTTAGGGAAAAAAGCCTAAAGGCAATTAGGGAGGGAGGAGGTATAATAGGGTGCATCTGGCCTGGGGTGGTGGCTCACTCCTGTAATCCCAGCAATTTGGGAGTCCAAGGCGGGAGGATTACTTGAGCCCAGGAGTTCAAAATCAGCCTGGGCAAAATGGTGAGACTTTGTCCGTACTAACAATAAAAAATTGGCCAGGTGGGATGGTGCATGCCTATAGTTCCAGCTACTCAGGAAACTGAGGTGGGAGGATTGCTTGAGCCCAGGAAATGGAGGCTACAGTGATCCATGAATGCACCACTCCAGTATGGGCGACAGAGCAAGATCCTGAATCAAAACAAACAAACAAACAAACAAACAAAAAGTGGGGGAGAAGGGAGGCATGTCTGACCTGTTATCCCTTCATAGTCAGAAACTTGGTTTTCAAGGTTTCTCTGGGGTCTCTCTGGCCAAAAGAGGGTCTGTTCAGTGGGTTTGGGGGCTTAGAATTTTATTTTTCTTTCTTAATAGTACATTTTAAAAATGATTAATATGAACTGTAATGGCCAGGGAAAGCTAAGTGAAACAGGCAAGTTTTAAGATGAATTAGAGTCACAATTTTTTATTTTGCTTTGCAGTTTAATATCAGGCTTTTGGTGAAGTCACAGGTCTTCCTCCTCAGCTTAATTTAACTTGCTCACTTTGTCTTCTTTCTTGGTCTTTAAATCTTTTAAAAATTCCAGATGCACATTACATCCCATGTGTTTTATTAATTTAGCTAAGATGATCCTATTTGCTCTTTTACTTATTTCTCATATTTTTTTCCCTCGGATATTATTGAATATTCCTAATTTTTCACCTCCTGAATCTGAGGAGGAAATTCAAGGTTGCACCATCTATCACATTTCCCCTTAGAAATTCCTCCAGGACTCCTGGTTTATGCGAGCATCATCTACCTCTGGCAGCCATTTTGCACTTCATGCTTCCCTTATTAATGTGCTAGAAATGTAGCTGATTGCCTCTGTGGCCCCTTAATTAAAGACAATTAAAAGTTGCTGGGTTACCATGGGGATGACTGATTACCCAGCGGAGTTCACATTTGAGAAGATGAACCCTCAATAGCCCTCTTGCATGAGAAACAAGGACTTAGCCCTCAGGCCCCTTTATTTCATTCCCACAATACTAAGAAGTTACCTAAGCTTTTATTAAGGCTGAAACTCCAGGTCCCTTTTCATACTACAAAACAGTTTATTAAGTGTCTCTTTATTCCCCTCTCCCAGGCTTCTTCTTAAATATGCTATGACAGAATGCTAGATAGAAAGGTACTTAAAAAGCTAGTTAAACAAGCTAAACAAACCAGCTTGGCTAACTAGAATCATCACAGTTTGTTTCATATCCCAGATCTGGAGAGGGAATCTTCTAGCTTGTCCCCTGGTCCTCTTGCTTCCAGCCCAGTTTTTATTAACTAGTATGCAGATTAATGTAAACTGTCCCTGACTCATTGCCTCAGTCCTGAGTTGGCAAAGGCAGAGACAAACTACTGGGTTGCCATTTCTGCCCCAGTCTTATTAATTTTGTTAGGATGACTCCCTGAGCTTTGATAATTGGCCACTGTAAGGAGAAGATGAAGAAAGCAGAAGTTAAAAGTTAAGGCTTCAATTTAGTCTGGTCCTTTAGAAAGCCGATAACTGACTCAATTATTTCCCCTAGTTCTTACGTTACACGTTATTTTTATTTATTTTGCTTTACTGAGCTCCATAGTCTGATGCCTGATCCTGTTTTCTTTAAGTTTGCCATAGAGGAGAATCTTCCTTGAAATGTCACTGTTATCTCATGAATCAGTAATACGTACACACTGTGCCACAATTCCTGCTGGGGATCAATTGCTCAGCTCTTCCAGTGCTATCTGACAGGCTAGGTCTTCTACTGACTCCAGCTAGACCTGTTCACTGAGTGGCTGCCCCACTCCTTGATCTGGTTCTCATCTACTCCTAGCACATGAAACCTCCTGAAGGGGAATCATCCTATACCTTGTCAAGTCACAAAAGGTTTTGCCTTGATTAAGTTACTGAGAAGACGTTAAACTGCTTTCGCCTTAAAAGACAGATTTAAGGCAAAACTGTGGACTCATCTCCTGTCTGTGTAAGGAACTCACACTTCCTCATTTATGTGACCAAGCATCCAAGACTTTGGTCCTTGCTGTTTTCAATGGATTCTATCCTCAGAAGTTCTAGGTAGGTTCTCATGATGATTATGGATGTCTAGATAATTAATTGACCAAGGCGTCTCCTCTATTCTAATATTTGTCCTCAACTCCTGCAGCAGCATATGATCCCCTGTTGAAGACAGACAAGTACATCTTTCTGGTGGCTCCTAGACCTGGCATTGGGAACAGAAGATTATCAGTATGATCCGTACGCTTAAGGAAAGATCTCATATTATTGAAATGAATATTTTATTTGATAAATTGAACTACAGAATAAAGTACTTTTAACAAACCATACTTTCTGCAGTGGTTCTTTCTTTCTCTTGTTTCTTTTCTTCTTTCCTTCCTCCCTAGCTGTTTCCCTCATTCTCTTCTTTTTTTCCTTCTTTCTTTTCACTTCCTTTTTTTTTTTCTTGATTAGAATTCTAGAATTTCTACTTAATTCAAGAGATTCCTACCATCTGAAATGCTTGGTTTCAAAGGGTGAGAATAGTAACCCACACATTTTTTTTCAATACAAGGGAAATAATAGAAAGATTTGTGCCTTACATTTCTTCCCATTCTTCCTACGACTATATGTTATTCACAAAAGCACATGGCACTTGAATTCTAACAAAATTGTATTACTGTTAAAGTGAGCTTCTCAAATGCACTCTGCATGTAACACTCCAACAATTCATGATGGATTTGCTGCCTTAAAAATAAAATAATCTTAATAATTTTTAAAACCAATAAGCAGAAACTAATTTCAAGAGCCTGCTTTGTGTGTTAGATTCAGAGCATAGCACTTAGTGTTTTCCTCAGATAATGGAAGCATAATAGGTGTGAAAGGCTGACAATTTGGACTTTGTGGGTGGTCAGGAAGGGGTCACTCATGGGGCCACCTGTCCTTTGTTCATGAGCAGCACAGCCATGTTTTAAGTAGTCCTGGGGTAAGGTTCCCTGGCACTGTGCTCTCAGCAGGATGCTAGCCTGACCTGTAGAGACCACCTCCGAGAGTGTGTGTAGTTCACTTTCCGGGACCGGCTCTGTCCTTGATCTCCGTGCTGTGACTGACATCAAGGTGACCAATTAGTGAGCACCATGATGGTGTTTTCTGTGATGTTGTAAGGGCACAGAGGTCACAGGCGATTCAAGCCCAGCTAAATCCCAGGAGGCTGCACAAAGCCATGTCTCTGAAGTCTGACTTCAACACAGCATCCCGCAAATGAAGGTATGGCTCCTTTTTTGAACTTGACCGGGAACCTGCTCACTGAGCAGGTGCCTGAAATGCAGCTGCTACAGCAATTTTGAATAGCAAAGACATTTACTGATTGCCAAAACCCAGCTTTACCCTGAAACAAGGTAACCTGGGTCATTCTCAAGGGGAGATGAAGGCTGAATGACTAGGAAGAAAAAAATAGCTTTCAGGGTTTTTAGGGTTTAGGGGCTAAACTACAGTAAGTGAGTGACCACATATCAAAGTTTTCTTTCAGCTTCCTTCTCCACTACATAATTTGTCAATATTTATTTTATATCAGGGTAACAGTCACGGAATCTTATTTTGTTTCTCATTAGAATTTGCAAAGAGCTTTGCCATTCTAACAACGCTCTGAGTTAAGGGGATTAATTGTCTTCAAATATCTGATGAAACAAATTGAGATTTCTAGAAGCTCCTAGCCTTTTCTTTTCCACTCATTTGTATTCTTTGCCCTGTTTAGTTGGCAACTGCACAGGGCCAGTTCAGTCAACCCAGAATGAAGAATTGGCTGCATCCCTGATGGAGAGGCCAAAGGTCTCTGCACCAGCAGGATGGGCTGCTCTGGGATAGTGGAAGGTAGGAACAGGAGGCAGCTATGATTATTGAGTCTGGCATAGAAAAGATCAGAGATCATCAGCTGAGCACAATTCAAAATACAGCCCAATGGTGAATTTTTTACCTGTACACAGACCAGTTCTGTCTGATTTATTCTACTGAGATGTAGCTTTGGTAGAATTGTCAGATTTAGCAACTAAAAATATAAGCCATCAGTTACATTTGAGTTTCATACAAAAAGCAAATAATTTACATATAAGTATGTCCCAAATATTACATGAAGCACATGTATACTATACATACACACATATATATGTATATCTACACACATAAGCATATATATATATATATATGCTTTGTTTATCTGAAATTGAAATTTAGCTTGGTGTTCTGTAAGTTACCTGGCAGCCCTAGGTTCTGGGGTCAGAAACCCACACAGCCATGGAGACCAAAGAGCTGAAAGGGTTCTGACACCAACTGGTAAAAGTGGCCAAAATTCCGTTAATGGTTGGGAGTAGGGGGAGACAAAGGTCTGGATAAAGGGAGACACTGATATTTCCAATGCTGCTTTATGCCACACACAGTGCTTAATTTTTCTCTTTGTTTGTTTTATTCTCAGTAAAAAATGTACAGAGAAATGCCACCAAACTATTCAATATCACATGGGGGGTCACCTGACTTAGTAGCACGTGATCAGAGCCGGTTTATAGCATCCTTCTACTTTCTGTTTACATCACCTCTTCTTCTGGTGTTGAGACCCTGCATAGTTTCTTTTGGCTTCCACACTCACCCAGACATGTTGTGGGCATTCCTCTCCCTAGCACCCCACAAAAAAAGAAATTTGAAATCTGTTCAGTGCCCTCTATCTTCTCAATTTCTTATGAAGTGGTTAGAGCTAATTCCGTAGACTAAGTCATGCCGTCTTAATGGATGGTGATAGTTTAAATTACCAACACACATGAATAGAGCCTTTAGGGACTTTATCTTGACTTAGTGGCTAAAGTGTGCATCTCTAGCAATTAGGGAGAGGATATTTTCCAAATAGAGAGCCTCTCCCTGTTTTTTAAGTCATGCCATATTGAATATTGCTTAGAAGTAGAGATTAATCTATTTTCAGAGAATGGGAAAATTTTTGGACTCTTCGGTTACATTTAGGCTAACTTTCAAGTGATAGTCTGTGTTCTCCTGGAGAATTAACACATAGCCACTACCTACCCTATTACTTAAGACTGCCTTGTGAGTTTTGATCTCACACATTTCATCAAATTCTGAAAGGCTGCCTTTCTCAATCCTGATGGCAATATTCCAGATCACTTCCTGCTCTCCCCCTACAAAAAAAAAAAAAAAAAAAAAAAAAAAAAAGAAGAAGAAAGAAGAGGAACACTCACTAAGCTCATTGATATATACCCTAAAGCAACACACAAGAATCTGGTTATAATATAAACACAGCTCCATGATTTTCAGATGAGAAAGGCTATAAAATGTGCAAATGCCAAGTGTCATTATAATCACAGAGTCATCTTGCTAAAGAAGCTCATAATTTCTCAGACATTTACGACAGCTATTTCTGCCCCCATGGAGATGAGTTATAATCAAATACAACCACAGGCCATTGTCTCTGAGCCAAACTCCAAGGCAACCTCCATTAAAAATTACCAACATTTTTCATTTGTCTTTATTTTGTGTAGTGATTATGTCTGGGGAGCAGGACACCAGACCAAAGCATTGCACTATCTAGTGAGGCTGGGATGCTACCGGATTTTAATCTAAAAACATACTACTACTCTGACTGGCATTTGTGTGGACAAAGGAATGATAACGATTTACAGCTGAAAATCTCTTTATTTTCCCTCTTGAATATTTATACTTGTTCTTCTCTCTCCCTATTTCTTTCTGTCTAGTTTTCCCTTCCTATATTTTTCTTCCTATCTTATTCTCCCCTCTTCTCTCCCTTTCCTCTCTTTTTTCTCTCTTTTTTTCTTTCTGTGTGTTAGTGCTGTGACTCTTACTGTTAATGCCAGAGGACTCTTCTTGAACTGACAACTGAATTGCCAGTGTGAATTTCCAGTGCTCTGGTTTATTTTCATTCACAGTTGTTTTGGTAGGATTTCAAACTGTATTTACAAAACAGGAGAAAACGAGCCCATTAATCTCCTTTGCCTTCTCATTCTAACATTCTAACTTGCTGTATTTCTTCAAACTCTTTTTTTTCTCTCTTTCTCAGAAATAGACTTTGAAAATAGACTTTGGTACCAATAAAATTAAGCTGATAAAGTTGTGTCAACTGGAATCCCAAGATGTGTAGGGTCCGATTATCATCCCTGCTCCTGTTTTGTGATCACTTGAGTCTCCCATATAGGTGAGAGCCCCTGTAAAGATAAGAGCCCCTGTGAAGATGAGAGGAGAACTTTGCACAGGATGCCACTTTGATGTGTAGACGTTTAACCTGGTTTGTCCTTGCCCGCATGTTTCTATAGCTTTGTCTTTTGCTCTTCCCCTTGTCATTTGATCGTTTTTACTTATTCAAAGGCTTCATTCCTATACCGCCAATTTACTTCTTGCTACTGGATCATTTCCATCAGTCTCAAGACATGTTATAATCTTAAAAGGAAACAAACAAACAACAGTAACAAGAAGCAATCTTCCATTAACCCACATTTCAATCCAGCTACTGTCTCATTTCTCTTCTCCCTTTGTGGCAAAACATTTCAAAACATTGTGTATATTTATGTGTTTGTGTCTTTTATACACATACTCTTTCATGCTATTCTGAGCCTATAGTCATCCCCATTACACCCAAAACTGTTTTTGTCAAGGTCACCACCAAGTTGTTAAATCCAATGGCCAATTCTTATACCTTTGTTTATCTGTAGAAGTGTACTCAGTATGGACAACTGGAGACTAACAGTATAAAGAAAATAAACTTTTCTTAGAAAAGAAGGCTTGATTAAAAAATAATGAGTCGGTACTGGAAGAACGAGGTGAGTTGATGTCTTAAATTCTAGTTCTGGTTTGGTGCCCATCAGTTGAGAATTGAGACAATGAATGCAGGATTATAAAATTGGAAAAGCCAGAAGCCAAAACTACCATTTTAATGATGTTACCATGGGACACTGGGGGTACAAACTGTGGAACAGTGGCATTGGAAAAATTTTTGTAATAATGATAATAACATTAAGGAGGGCATCTCCATATTGGTGATGCTTGAACATTGTTTTGCAGAAGTACTTGTGGAATCAGAATTAGGGGTATTGGTCATTTGCTTAGAGCAATTTACTAATTATTTTATCTATGTTCTTCAATATACTATATATGGCCTATTTCTTAACCTAAATAGATTTAATAGCATGTAAACCCATTTATTGCAAGATTGTGTATTGACACTTGAGAGTGTTGCTGCTTTCTGGTTGCTGAGTTGTCAGGAGCATTAGGCTCACAGGGAGAACTTTAATTTGCTATCCATACTCAGGAGTTCTGTCTGTGTTTTTACGCTTTCTCTTCCCTACTCTGATTTGGTTGTCATTTCCTGTTGTCAGAGTTTTTATTACTTCTAATCTATTGTGAACTGAGAAAACAAAAACAAATGTGCTGAAATTGTGTCTAAAATAAGCCAAAGAAGATCTGATTGAAGGCCATGTGTCTTAGTCTGTTTTGTGTTGCTATGACAAAATACCACAGATTGGGTAATTTACAAAGAACATAAATTTATTTCACACAGCTCTATAGGCTGCGAAGCCCAAAATCAAGTTGCCAGTGCGTTTGGTTGTCTAGTGAGGGTTTGGTCTCTCTTTCCAAGATGGCACCTTAACACTGTCTCCTCTAAAGGGGAGAAATGCAGAAAGTAGGAGAAAAAAGACAAAGTCCCTCTAGCAATCCCATTTAGAATGGCATCTAATCCCATTCATAAGGAAAGAGCTCTCATGACTCATCACTTCCCAAAAGCGACACCTTCCAAGTCTGTTGCATTAGGGATTAACGTTCAACATTATTTTGGAGGGGAAGAAGCACTCAAACCATAGCACCATGAGAATGACAAAATAAATTTTGAATTTTTTTTTTTTTTTTTTTTGAGATGGAGTCTTGTTCTGTAGCCCAAGCTGGAGTGCAGCGGTGCAATCTCGGCTCACTGCAACCTCTGCCTCCCAGGCTCAAGGAATTCTCCTGCCTCAACCTCTGGAGTAGTTGGGACTGCAGGCATGCACCACCACACCCAGCTAATTTTTGTGTTTTTAGTAGAGACAGGATTTCACCATGTTGGCAGGCTGGTCTTGAACTCCTGACCTCAAGTGATCTGCCCACCTTGGCCTCCCAAATTGCTGGGATTACAGGCCTGAGCCACTGCGCCTGGCTGAAATTTTTGATTTTTAAGACCTTTAACTTCCCTAATCTGCCTATCTAGGTGCATATTCCCTTACTTATTTATATCATATGTGGTTTCATGCCTAGATGTTTGTGTCCCACTCAGTATCATAAAACTGACTAGAGATTCAGTATTTAGAATAGAATTCCATCCCAACATCAATTTCACCTGAGTTCTACAACCCAGGTTAATCTCCCATCCTCTCAGGTACTATTGCTTTAAATGTCTAAAATGTATTGGCACATAGTACAGCCCTCCTTCTATCTTTATCTTTCTCTAAATTTACACAGTCTCTAGAAGTAATTTATGGGCTCCCTGAGGTCAGAAACCAGTTTCATCTCATTTCGTTTTATTTTACTTTGTTTTAGGTATTTATATCTACCTTGTTCTAAAAAAAGATTTAAAGTGACTAAAAAAATACCCACAATTCTGAAAAATAAATGCATAAAGAATGAAAAATTAGGAGGACAGAAAGTCACAGTAGAAAATAAGATGAATTCAAGGGTGAGATTGATACATACAAGTGTTTGCTGTGAGGTTCTCTGCAATGCTCTAGATAGGTTATTATGCGTCATCTTTCTAACCGCAGACCCAAAGATGAATTATTGGTCAGACGCTTGATTTACAATAGATAATAACACAGATAAACAAGTAAACAATAACATCCAGTCGCTCAGGGAGAGCCTACTTATTTCTCATTTTCAGAAATAATGTCTCTAGGGGTCTTTATAAACCTGATGCTGTATCAAGTAGTGAATAAAGTTTTTTTTTGTTGTTTTTCTTGTTTTGTTTTGTTTTGTTTTTGTTTTTGTTTTTTGAGACAAAGCCTTGTTCTGTTTCCCAGGTCGGAGTGCAGTGGCCTGATCTCAACTCACTGCAACTTCTGCCTTCCGGGTTCAAGTGATTCTCCTGCTTCAGCCTCCCATGTAACTGGGATTACAGGCATGCACCACCACACCTGGCTAATCTTTGTATTTTTAGTAGAGACTGGCAATTTTTTAACAGTATCTCCACATTAAGTGTCAGCCAAAGAGTTTCATCTAGCTATTTTGTATAATGGCCTTAAGCTCAGGCTAAGGCACAGGATCAAGAATTAGATTTTCTACATTGTTATGCTCACATTGATTCAGGCCATTGATACAAACAATATTCAAAGGAAAAACAAGCTGCAGTATGCCTCTGGAATAAGCCAGCACACAAATTGAACACACACATATACATATTCTGTGAATGTTCGTTTCAGATTACTTTGTGCTTTTATTTGTCTCTGGGAGTAAATGGGACATTTCTAATGAGTGCTCATCATTTTGGCAGCCAGACTACTCACAGATGATATGAGCCGCTAACCACCAGGGACAATGTTTGCCCAGATGTGACTCTATCTTATGCTACAAAGCATTGTAAATGTCAAACCCCTGGTTGGTATGCAATTCTCCATTTACCATACACAAAGCCTGCTGGAGAACAAAAGGTGCCAGATATGGATGTGTAAATCATTATAATGGGACCAACAGATCAACAACATCACCCCTTAGAAATAGGATGGCCTGAGGTCACACTTCTTAGATCACTAGCCCCTTTTCAAAATGTCCTTTTTTGTTTGTCCTCTTTTTCAAGAGGCACCACAGGCTTTTTGTAATTAAAGTTGTATTGATTTTGTATTTTTAAAAAAGGATTATAAAAAGACTAGCATGAACCAGAACAAAGGCAGATAATGGATGGTAAACATGAGGAAAGATAATAGTCCAGCAATGCGCTCATAATAATTCCCACATACCTGCTTCCCAAAGTTGATTCAGATGCTACTTTGTTTTAAAAGCTATCCTATGTACCAGCAATTTTCAATAGTGATCCTAGGCAGTTACTTAGGTTGATTATAGCAATTTTGCTACATCATGATATAGCAAATTGCTATATTTTTGCTATATCATGCTATATTATGATTGCGGTCTTTTTATTTTCCAAATCTTTAATTCATTTTAAAAGAAAGGTTTGTTCCAGGATGGCAAATACAGTGGTTGAAGCTGGGGGCATGATGATAAAAGAACTCTAGAACTTCAGGATTCTCCATTGTTCTGGCATTGCTGCCCACCAGCAGAGGATCAGGCTGACATCTTCAGGAGGCATATGGAGGTAATGGTTAACTTTGCTACAGTGAAGACCAAGGTAAATTGGGTGCACTGAAGAGAAAAACCTGACCACTTCTGCAGCTGTGCATCTGGAGTCTGGTAGGACCCTTCAGTCCCTTTTGAGACATTAATTATAATGTGCAATGCTAATTTACCAAGTTTTTCAAATCTGTGGATAGAAAGAAGTCATCAGAATAGGTATGCCAAAAATCTCCCCAACTCCAGCCCCCTGAAGGTGTCTCCTGAGTTACATCTGTGTTCTCGCCAGGATATGTCACTGGTCTGGTCTTCTCAGTCTGTGACTGCACTGTATGTCATCTGCCACGTTCTTCCTGTCTCTCTTATTCTGCTTCACTGACTCATGTCTTCTGTCTGAAGAACATTTGACGGGGCCTTAGCCTTGCCGTCACTCCCATGGCCAACCAAGACAGTGCCATATCTGGGGTGGTAGGATCTCCTGCCACTTCCAAAGCCACTAAACTGTATACTTTTCCATCTAGGCTGTTTTCCAGAATGAAGATATCACCCCTCTCTACCACACTTCATCAACATTTCTTATCTTGACCTCTATAGGACTGCTGTTTCCTCGTGTGAAATCAGTAACTTTACTAACTACACTTGGGCATCAGGTCATGTAATTGAACTAAGGGCAGAGATCATGCTGCTGTCTCTGCTTTCTCTTTTTTTCTTCCCCTTTGCTGCCTCCCCTGCCTTACTCCCCAGGGACTCATGAACAAATTCCCTCTCCATTTCAGTCAAAACCTAAAGTCTTTGGCAAATCAATTCAGATAAATGAACTGGTGTTACTTGAATCTCAGTTTGTGTAGAAGATTGAAACTAAAGAGAAAATGGAATGTTAGATTAGCAGTGGTTTCCATATAGCTATCTGGTGCTTACCAGCTAGCATGCATAATGGGGAGTTGACTAAAACAATCAGATGGATCGCTGGAATAGCTAAATGAAAGTGATTGATGTGACACTTGTGTAAATTATAGGGGGAAACTCTAGCACTTTGAGTCAGGAAATCTCTGATCTAGTTACAGCTCTACTACCCACTAGTTGTGGGACCCTAAAAAATATAATTAAATTTTCTGGGCATAACCTTCCTTTTTCTATTAAATGTAGTAAAATATACTCTCTCAAAGTCAATTCTAGCTCTCTGCTTCTAGGAGAATGAACTCCTATGCGGATTCTTTAATACAAAACAAGGATATATTTATTTTCCAGGTATAGCTTTGAAACCTTGCTAGATCCTTAGGAGAAAGTCCATAGGCAATCACTAAATCAATATTTAACGAATATCTGCTTCAAGCAAGGCCTTATGCAAAACACCATGAAAAACCCAAAGGCTCTAAGGACGTGGTCTTTTCTGTAAAGTTATTTTAAGAGATAAAAGAGCCATGAATGTAAATGAAGTCAATCTCTGACTCCTGCAGCCAGGGGAATGGAGTATAGTTCTCTGTGCTTGCATGGGATGATGTGACAAGAGAGGTTCTGAGACTGGAAATGGGCCATGCTAGGACTCTGGTAGAAGGAGGAAAGTGCGCAGCCATGTTGATAGGAAAGAATCAATAGAACAAGTTGGGGGTGTGTCTGCTGGAGGTGGTTTTTTAGGAGGAGAAAGCCCTGCTGGCTGGCAGCAGTTCTGGGATTCTGAGGGAAGACATTTGGAGTTCATCCCATTCACTCTAGGGAGCAATTGGAGGTTTCTGTTTTTACCAGGAGAGTGAACAACTGTATTCTTGAGATAAAGGTTTCCCCGTGAAGATTGAATGTTGATTTCATATTAACCTTTAAATTCTGAGGTGACACTGAGAAAATCTGACTTAGAAAAATAAAGGAATGACATCACCAGAATCTTTAAAACATCTATGAAGGTAGTTTGAAAAAGCTCATGGGGAGTGTCTTCTCGGGGAGAAAGAGATGAAGAAACAAACATGAATATAAACTCTACATTTGGTTTGTGCCTTGAAGCCATTGGCATTAATTAAGATTCTATGGCTTCCAAACAATTATGACATAATTAAAGTAAGATTCTTTCTACAGTAAAACGATAAGAAATGACTTTTAGAAACCATGGGAACCATTAAAACGGCACATCAGTATCAAAATGAGCAATATTTACTAGTATTAGCACTATTAAAATGCCTTTTGAAGACAAACTTGGGCAATTATTACTCAGAAAAACTCACATTTGGAGATATAGAGCAGTGATAATTAAATCCCACACTCTATATATCTCTCTTTTTTGTGTTTGACAGAACAGAGTCTTTAAGATTCTATTTTAATGGCATTGAATTAGCAAGAAATTCAAACAGAGAAAGGGCACTTAGCAGGAGGTTGGTATTCAAGGAGACACAGCCTTCATTATTATTATTGTTATTTTTATTATTATTCTTACTCTTTTGGAGGTACTAAAGCTCCACTTGTGGGATTGGAACATGCACAAATAAGTTCAGTCTCTGGCTCATAAACTTTCTCTAATGGGTGTAGCACACCCTTAATTAAAATGGACAATGCACAGCTAAGCTGGATGATTATGCAGGTCTAATAGATGGAGCACTGGGGACTTGGGTCATTGGTTTGGATCAAATGGTGAGACTGTGTCCAGCTGGTCAAAAGCATCTTGCAAAACAAAGTTAGGGCTTCTAGGGAATTTTGAGGCCCTGAATCCTGGACAGGCAAAAACATCAGTCCAATTAAAGACAGCTTTAGTAGAGGTCAAAGATTGCTTATTTTCTTTCTAGTATATGTGAGTTTAAACACATGCACAGGAGGTGTGTATGTCGGGGTGGGGAGTAATTAAAGTGAGAAATAGAAAAAAGACCGTGAGGAGCCAATCATTTCCACTCAGTGGGACCATCAGATTAAATCATGGTGGCCCTTAGGAGGGATGTACTTAAGGAAGAATGGGAACTTAGGTGCCACTTACAGCCCCCAATCACATTCCAGCATTTATTTTAAAGACTATAATGAGACTGCTTCTGAAAGAGAAAGCAAATATTCTCCAAAAGTATTAATTATTCTAAAATAGATGAATGAGAAGGGACCAAAAGCTATACACCTTGAATGGAATCTGGTTATGTTCTTTTTTTTTTTTTTTTTTTTTTGAGGTGGAGTCCCACTCTGTCACCCAGGCTGGAGTGCAGTGGTGCGATCTCAGCTCACTGCAACCTACGCCTCCCAGGTTCAAGTGATTCTCCTGCCTCAGCCTCTCGAGTAGCTGGGATTAGAGGCATGCACCACCATGCCCGGCTAATTTTTGTATTTTTAGTAGAAGAAGTGTTTCACCGTGTTGGCCAGGCTGCTCTCCAACGCCTGACCTCAGGTGATCTGCCCGCCTCAGCCTCCCACAGTGCTGGGATTACAGGCATGAGCCACCGAGTCCAGCCTGGTTATGATTCTTAAAAAATATACATGGAAAGGACTAGAAGACATAACATCTGCTACTCTCAGTGATCCGTTGTGAGGCCTGTCTATGTGCTGAAATTTCCCTGATTTTTCATTTTTTTTTAAAGGCTGAATGAACTGGTCTTAACAACTGTGTATACAATTACAATGCTATACAACATGAAAAAGAAAGCACATTTCTAGAGTTACTTTCTATAGTTTTGAAGGCAATTTTTAAAGAAAAGTAAGAAATAAAACTCAAAGTCATCTAAGACTGCCAATGTTATAACTATGGTAGATTTTTAGTTAATTGTTTTCTGAGGTTTAATGTTGCTGATGTCAGAAAGGTCACCAGGTTGTAGAGAAAATAGTCTTAGATTTCAAAAGTGAAGAATCCAAACTAAGGAGGTGTTATATCAGATCCTAAGCTCTCAGAAGGGATAGCTGGAAAGGTAGCAGCATGCAGCAGGCAGGGTGGGAGGTGGGATGCCTCCCTGGAACGCTGGGTGGTGGGTTTGGTTACTAGTGAGGATCCAAAAATGCAATTCACGTTTGGTATATGACTTTTCATGGTTGGCATGACATTTGTGTGCACAGTTTTCTGCTTAGACTTTAAGTTCCTAGGAGGCAGAAGGCACATCTGATGAACTTTTTGTACATAGGGCTTAGATCTACCCTTTTAATACTTGTAGGATCTCTGGACTCTTTTGAGTTCAGATTTCAGAATGACTGGCCCTACAGAAACAGAACCATTTTGGAAACAGGAGTACTGATGGTGATGAAGTAAAGAAAGCCTATTTCTTCATCTGTAACTATTCACAGCTTATTAGAGGAAAAAAGTTGTCCACATGAAAGAAATAGAGAACAATGAAGATCAGGCTAGGAGCCCTTACCTGTCCACTGGAGTCTCTTTTTCACCTGTTCTCATTGATAATTCTTCTCCCCCGCCACATTGTCTTACCTACCATCTTATTTGCTTTAGCGTTCGCTTTTCCATCTCCTGGAATGCCTTCTATCCTGCTCTCTGCTGGTCCATTTTATCCCACTTGGAATTTTTACCTTCCTCATGCTCCTATAGTACTTACAAACCATACCCCAAAGTTAATTCTTTAGTCACGCACTCATCTGACTTGCCCTAGAATTCTTTTGTGCCCATTAGCTTTGTCTTCCTGGGAATGTTAAAGCTTCATAGATGGAGAGTTTCTCTTATATTTCCTGTGGCATTGCACAATGTTGGGCACATAATTTTTATGACAGATAGATTGCCACCGAATAAATACTTTTGCAGAATATTTACAAATATAGAATATTAATTAGGTTATGTTAGGCTAACTTATGCTTAGGCTATGCTGAGATAAGAAACAACACACAGCCTGGGGCAGTGGCTCACGCTTGTAATTCCAGCACTTTGGGAGGCCGAGGCAGGTGGATCACCTGAGCTCAGGAGTTTGAGACTAGCATGGGCAACACGGTGAAACCCCATCCCTAATAAAAATATAAAAATTAGCTCTCCTCCCGCCGCCCAAGATGCCGAAAGGAAAGAAGGCCAAGGGAAAGAAGGTGGCTCCGGCCCCTGCTGTCGTGAAGAAGCAGGAGGCTAAGAAAGTGGTGAATCCCCTGCTTGAGAAAAGGCCTAAGAATTTTGGCATTGGACAGGACATCCAGCCCAAAAGAGACCTCACCCGCTTTGTGAAATGGCCCCGCTATATCAGGTTGCAGCGGCAGAGAGCCATCCTCTATAAGCGGCTGAAAGTGCCTCCTGCGATTAACCAGTTCACCCAGGCCCTGGACCGCCAAACAGCTACTCAGCTGCTTAAGCTGGCCCACAAATACAGACCAGAGACAAAGCAAGAGAAGAAGCAGAGACTGCTGGCCCGGGAGGAGAAGAAAGCTGCTGGCAAAGGGGACGTCCCCACGAAAAGACCACCTGTCCTTCGAGCAGGAGTTAATACCGTCACCACCTTGGTGGAGAACAAGAAAGCTCAGCTGGTGGTAATTGCACATGACGTGGATCCCATCGAGCTGGTTGTCTTCTTGGCTGCCCTGTGTCGTAAAATGGGGGTCCCTTACTGCATTATCAAGGGGAAGGCAAGACTGGGACGTCTAGTCCACAGGAAGACCTGCACCACTGTCGCCTTCACACAGGTGAACTCGGAAGACAAAGGCACTTTGGCTAAGCTGATGGAAGCTATCAGGACCAATTACAATGACAGATACGATGAGATCCGCCGTCACTGGGGCGGCAACGTCCTGGGTCCTAAGTCTGTGGCTCGTATCGCCAAGCTCGAAAAGGCAAAGGCTAAAGACCTTGCCACTAAACTGGGTTAAATGTACACTGTTGAGTTTTCTGTACATAAAAATAATTAAAATAATACAAATTTTCTTCAAAAAAAATTTATAAAAATTAGCCAGGCGTGGTGGCACACACCTGTAGTCCCAGCTACTCAGGAGGCTGAGATGGAGAATTGCTTGAACCAAGGAGACAGAGGTTGCAGTGAGCCAAGATCATGCCATTGCATTCTAGCCTGGTAGAAAGAATGAAACCCTGCCTCAAAAAAAACAAAACAAAACAAAAAAAAAAAAAAGGAACAATACACAAATTTCAATGGCTTAAAATAGTAAAGGCTTATTTTTCACTCACCCAGGGTTTCCTGCAAATCCTGCTGTCTGCAGGACAGTTATCTTCCATATAATAGCTCAGTTTTACATTGCATTCATGGTCATAGAGGCAGAGAAGGGTGTCATGCAGGGGAGTGTTATACAAGTGATTAAATATTTCCACCATCTCTGCTTACAGTTCATTGGTCAAGGAGAATCACAGGGTGATGGCAAGCCCAGAGATTTAGGAAGGGATGAGTCCTTTGATGGCGCAGAAAGAGAAGAGCCAGGAATATTGATAAGCAACTCTAGTATTTTCACGTATAAGAACTGGAACAGTGAAAAAACAAGCACCTAGGATTCTATAAAGAGCACTAAATGCCAGAAAAGCTGATTAAAATAAGCCAGAGAAAGAATTCAGAGTCAAAAATATATATCATGTGATTTCAGTAAGTGCAGTTGAGGAATGATGTTTTTAGTATGATTTTCATTTATATTTTAGAAAACAAAATCAAACTGATTATTACATTGAGGGTGAATCAAAAAGGGGGAGAGGCTATATCGAGAATATGAATAAAAAACTAATAAACATGCTAACAAATGAAATAAGTGTGATATTTGATAACAGCAAGACTGGTTGCAAATTAAATTCATGAAATAAAAAAGAAAGCCTATGTGAAAAAGCAAAGTAAAGAAAAATGGCTAATTAGATGGTAACATAGACTTGGGATGAGCAGCATCTGACAAGGAAAGATAAGCAAACACCTTGAATTATTGAGTGTATACAAATCAGCATGTCTCCACTCATTCCTGTCAAGGTTACCAGGAGCCAGACAAAGAGATGAATGACACACACCTTCATTATTTAGGCCAATTCTCTGCTCTGGCTGGAGGTGATTGGGTTGCCCAGATAAACTATTTAATGTTTATCCCCAAGCAATGGGCCGAATAGCAATTTATCTCATTTGGTCTCTAAAGGAACTTAAAACAGAGAAAGAAAGACCATGAAACTGCCAGCTCTGTTATTCAAGCATCTGAACTCTGCGTCAGATTGATCTCTGACCATTGCTTGATTGAACTGTTGCTTACTATATTAGCATATTCTAAATGTTAAAAACATTTTTATATATGTAGATGTGGTCAGAAAGAATATTTAAGCCTGGGGGGAGTGCCTCTTGGAGAGCAGTGAACCATTCTATTAGGTTGTTTTGACACAATATAGCATCTCTGGGATAGCTTAAATATAGACTATTAAAAACAGAAGTCTGTATCCCCAGGAAACAAACCTGACAGAGCAATTAGTCGAAACACAGAATATTTCTATAGCCAAGTCAGTCATGGATGACATTGCTTATGAGTTACCAAATAGTGAAATAAAAACTAATAAAATTTTAGAATATGTCAAACATACTGATTTCTAGCACCATTTAGGCTAATCATACCAATTGTTGCCTACATTCTCCCCTCCCCCTTTTCACTATATGTTGACTTTTACTTTGTAGAAAGTGTGTTTGTCTAGTAGTTTTTGACTGTCTCACTAAAATTATCCCCTTTGGGATTTTTATCTCCCTTTGCCTCCAACCATAATATTTTATGGCTTTGGGTGTTAATTATAGTTCTCTTTGCATGTGTTTGGGGATAGTTCTGCTGTTTTAATGTATGGCTCTTTCCCAATTAAATGGAAAATCCTGGTTGGTAAGAGACATAATTTTCTTTGTGTTTGTGTCCTACCCCTGGCACAATTCATGACACAGTGCCTTCTACATCATAGGCACTCCATAAATGCTTGTTGGAGTGCATTGAAAAGTCAAGCCCATTGTGAGTAAAGCCACATCCTGATAACTTCATGCCATGCACATACCACCTTTGAGCTATCTTCTCTCCGTAAGACCAATTATTTATTTCCAATGACATAGGTAGCACCTGTTTTGGGCTTATTCCCAAAAAAGATCCCACAGAGATATGAAGAAAGAAATCTTTGGCTCTCCTTTGTAGGTTGGCCATGTAGGGTTTCCACATAAAAAAGTTATAAACCACTAGAGACAAAATTTTAAAAGCAGCAAAATATGTCATTCATATCATATCACAAACGTTATGGAAGTTTACTTCAGGAAGAGGTTCATGCAAACTGAACAGGAAACTAGAATTCTTGCTAGTGAAGCCCCCAGTTAGAAACTCACATCTCAGCCGCATGTTCACAGTCCAATGTCAATGTTTAGCCATTCTCAAATATGTCAAAAATAACATTGGCAGTAGTATTTAACTATGAAGGAAGAAGAGACCTAGTTTTCTTTTAAGGATTTTTATTAGCAGTCATATTGAGAGAAGAAAATACCAAAAAAAAAAATAGCACATGAAATTGTGGAAGAAGCCTTCTGTATCACTTATTACTTATCAGTAATTCAGATTCTAAGTGATATGTAAACACACATGTATGACCTCAAGAAATCTCTTTATGGTCAAAAAGACTAATGAAGGGAAGCTTTTAGAAACAGTTTCATCACAGTCTAACCCACAAATCCTGTGTTAATTCTATCTCCCTCCTCCATAATACCAGCTAGTTAACTGTGAATGGTCTGAGGTCTGGCCTAGTATCATCATCTCAGATCTCTGAAAATAAACATATTTCACACCTTTTCTGTGACAGGTTTTTTTTTTAACACTGTGCTTTGAGGAAATATTACCGAAGTTTATAGAATAAAGTTTAGACTGATTAGATTAATAAGCATTGTCTCTCATGCCCAAATTTTCTAAATAAACAAAGCTCATTTACGTATCAATTTCTCTTTAGAATTAGAAAAAAAAATGCTTGTCTTACGTTAGTACATACAGTCTGTCTTCCCTATGTGTAAGTTCTGCATTCAAGGATTAAATCAACCTTGCCTCAAAAATATTCGCTAAAAAAACATGGATGGTTGTGTCTGTACCGACTACGTACTGACTTTTTTCTTTATAATAATTCCCTAAACAATGCAGTATAACAACTATTCACATAGCATTTACATTCTATTAGGTATGAGAAGTCATCTAGAGATGATTTAATGTGTATGGGAGGATGCGCATAGGCTATATACAAATACTATGCCATTTTATATAAGGAACGTGAGCATTCGCAGATTTTGATATCTGCCAGCGATCCTGAAACCAAACCTCCCAGATATCAAGGAAAACTGCATTGATAACTAGGTTGGCATTCAAAAGAATAGATATGCTTGAAACTTTTTAAGATAATTATCCAACACAAGCATAATTATATTTTAAGTAAAACTGTGTGTCTGTCCATCTCTCACACTGTTTTGGTTCTGTGTATCCCTTCAATGGCACTGCTTTTGAGACTCTTCTATGTATATCCTATTTTCCCTCCTCGATAGTGGGTTCTCTAAGGATAAGGGCTGTGGATTCCCCATAGTCTTTGTGCAATACCCTATCCACAGCAGTATTAGGTAAATCCTTGCTGAATGAACTGATCGAAGTTGGTCTGTGGTCTTGACTGATAAAAATCCTTGATCAAAGTTGGTTTTCCTTCAAACATAAAAAAACAGAATGAACAAAGCTGAAAACATTGCTTTGAGTTGAAGAATGCCTAGAGCAGAGAAAACAAATTAAAAATTAAATTATCACCACACTCCAGCTGTTTCTTCTTCACCTGTTATGAATCTTGGCTTAGAGAAGAAAAGTTAAATGTAATTTTTTCATAAGGGATCAGGCATACCCTTTTCTCCTACTAGCTGGTATTCTTGGGTAGAATAGTGAGGCTACTTTTTCACTGAATTGCACTTCGGCTTTGCATTCTTTTTCTTCTGGACAGGTTTACTAATGTGCTTTCAGGTGACTCATACAATAACCTACTAGTCTATGGCAGTGGGTCCTAGCCCTACTCAGTTCCTGAGGCCCATTTACTCCATGGTCTTTACTTCAACAGGACCAGCTGCCATTGGCCTCATTTGGTGAGCTGGTTGCTCAGTTGTAACATCTGTGGAGTCCTGTGGAGGAACCCCTAGTAGGTGTCTGATGTGAGGTGAAAATGCTTCTGCATCACACTGATGGACCTTGTGTTCAAAAAGTACAGTGTGTCAGTTCCTGAGCCCGCTTACTTTTCAGCTAAGCTCCAAAGCTTCAGGGATAAAGGTAATAAAAGGCCACACTGGCTGCAGAGGAGTGAGTAGCCCTCCCTTTTTATTTTAGTCAGCACTTTTGGTTTATTGCCCCTTGCCTTTCTAAAATTGTGAGCTTTTCCATAGCCTTCTAAAGACATGCCATCCCTCCAGCTGGCTGCATGATCGGTTCTCATCCTTTATCTACTCTTTAGGTGGTTTTATTTTTTTCTTAACCTGGAAACCTCATGGAATAAATCCTGCTTTAATTTATGTAACTTATTTGTGTAACTTTTTAATGAGCCAGATCTGCATGGAAAAATGCAAAAATAGCTGGGAGGAAAAAAAAAAAAACAGAAATAAACAAAACAAAACAAAAATCCCCACACCTACTTTTTTTCCAATTAGAGCCAACAGTTTACCAGCATTGGAGCACATTTCTGGCACCAGCCAGCCTGTGTTTGTTTTTAATACCACTGTGCCTTGTCATATAATATAACAGCTTTTTATTTTCAATGATATTAACTGTCTGCAGGGAGAAAGAGGCAGAAGACCTCTCCAGGACCTGAGAGTCTTATAAATAAATGAGTTTTTTAACCTCTGCTGTAATACAGATATCTTTTCAATATAATATTAAGACCCTTTGTGACAGGATCTGTCATTTTAAATACAAAAACACTATGCCCATGGAATAAAAATACTTACTTGGCAGATGAAAAACATTTATGCTCCATTTTTACTTCCTGTGGCTGACAGTACAGAATTCTTTGTTGTTTTACCCTGTTATAATCACAGGGGATAAATGAGAAGGAAAGACATGGCCAAGCTATAATTAGGTGGGTGCCAGCAGATTGATGGTAAATCTCATTGCCAGAACCTCTTGGAAAGCCTCATTTCCTCAACCCTCAGTCATCTTCATCAAAGAGTATAACATAACTGGACATCTCTGGAAATACTCAGGAGTTCCAGGAAGTTCTACATAAAGAATGAAAATTATAATAAGCACCAGTAGGCTTGTGATTGAGTTCACTTGTTACCCTCTCAAAATATCCTTCTTGCAGAAATAGAGAAGACTCCTGATTAAAGTCATAAACATCAACCAACTGCAGCATTTGCTGGGGTATGAAATTGTCAACACTGGGTAATTTGGCCACCATTAATAACTAGACATTTTTTGGAGAGACACTATATACAAAGCCCTGTCCATGATATTATTGTGGATATAAAAAGGTATCCCTGCTCTGAAGAAGCTTATATCAACCAAATTTAAATAAAATTCAATATCCCTCAATTTAAATACATATCAAATTTTTGTGGCAATTCAAAAATCAAAACAGAATATTATGTGTATCACACAGTGCCAAGTGGTTAGTACAAATGTATATTGTGAGATTGGAGATAAGTAAGATGTCTGTGTTCTTTAATCTGTGAAAATTTAATAATAAGATCAAAAAAAGAATGAGAAAAGTTAAGTTACAAGAATTGGAGAGAGTCTCTCTTAGCCAACTCTGGCTCAGGAGGCTGCCTGCTTCTTAAAATTAAAAAATATATATATTTGACAGATGATAGATGGATGGATAGATAGATAGATGACCATTTCAGATGGGCCATTGGGCACTTTTAAAGGATGATGGTGTGTTCTAATACAGTGATTAGCTTGAAATGACAATAATGGTAACAGCTAATATTTTTTTCACTAAAACTAAGTGTATGTAAATTCAATACCTTTTAAAATTATAGTTATTATTTATGATACTCTTGATAGAGTGAACTAGATTGAATTAATTAACAGTTATTTAATTACAACTGAGGAAACTGAGGTTCAGGTAATTTAAGGGACTTTCTCAGTAATGCAGGTGGTAGCAATACTTGTTTTAGAACACAGAACTTCTTTTTTTTTTTTTTTTTTTAAGACAGATCTCACTCTGTTGCCCAGGCTGGAGTGCAGTGGCATGATCTCGGCTCACTGCAATCTCCACCTCCTGGGTTCAAACAATTCTCCTGTCTCACCCTCCCCAGTAGCTGGAATTACAGGTGCATGCCACCACGCCTGGCTAATTTTTGTATTTTTAGTAGAGGCGAGGTTTTGCCATGTTGGTTAGTCTGGTCTCGAACTCCTGACTTCAGGTAATCTGCCCGTCTCGGCCTCCCAATGTGTTGGGATTACAGGCGTGAGCCACTGTGCCTGGTCAGGACTTCTAATTTCTAAAGATTTGGCATCTAATACAGTGCTGTTTTAGATCAAGAACAAAGTATAATAATAATAAGAGGAGATGAAAGAGGAAGGGGAGACGGAGAAAAGAAAGGAAGACGAAGGAGAATAGGGAAGGGAGGAGGAAAGAAGAGGAAAAGAAAAAAAGGAGGAGAAGGAGAAGGAAAAAGAGAAAAAGAAGAAACCATCACTACCACCGATGCCATCATCTTGTAGACATAGAATATCAAAGGCCTTTAGCTACAGGGAAATTCCAGAGGAAAACACAAGAAAAAGGAGTCAAACAATCAAGCAGAACACATCTGTTTATTACTTTTTTCTTGTTTTTTCTTTTTCTTTTGAAGAGTTGTACTGCGACATTAGCTCTTTTGACTAGATGTGATGACAGACTGTCTTTGGTCCATTCTCTTTTATTGCCTTGGAAGAGAATAAATGAGGAGTAGTTCTCACCCATTGCAGCTGAGGCATCACACCTGTAATGGGATTAACAAGATGATAATATATCTTTTGCCAAGACCACATACTAGCAGGTAAGTCAACTGATGCTGCATGTCATTCAAACCCCTGCATTCATGTCTGCAATGGTCCTTTGCTTACTGGAAATGGACAGATCTTTTGCAAAGTCCTCACATAATCTTAATTACTACATAGAAACACTAAACATCGAACAAAATCAAAATCAGGAGACACATAGCACAGGCTGTTATAATTTTCACCACTGCCCTTTCTCCATGCTGATTAGCTCCCCATAAAGCATAAGTCCATTATTGAAGTGAAATCCCCTATTTTCTGGAAGTTGGAGTGCATGTTGGTTATACATTTAGTCAGAATCGGGTTCATGGGTTATAATCTTGGCTCCAGCACCTACATAAATGGTGGTTTTGGGTAAATTATTTTATATTTCCATGTATTAACTTTCTCACCTGTTAAATGGGAATAATCGCAGTGCTTACTTTCTGCATGTATCTAAGGATATAAACAATGTGTGAAATATATGGCACTAAGAACAGTGCTTTGTATTTTGTAGCTCTAAGTTATTATCTGCTATTACTATTTGATTGCAGCTTTTCAAAACACTCGTTGCAGCAAGAGAATGGAATTGGAGTAAAAAATGTCTGGGATCCTCTGAGTCTTATATCCACACCCCAAAATAAGAATAGAGTTAGTACTTACCTCTAAAATAAGAATAATATTTACATCTCTGCTCTATTAGGTAGGGTAGACAATGTGAAAATCATGTTAAGCCCAAGTCTCAGGGGCTGAACACGATAGTTCATTTCTTGTTCCTGTAGGAGTCCAGTGCAGATGTTTGGTGGGAGGCTTTCCTTGCTGTGACTCATGGCCCAAGATCCCTCTGTCTTTTGGTTCTGCCTTCTTTTATGATTCCCACACTTTCTCACTCCTGTAGGTAGGTGGGAACAGGGAAACACGCAGATGGATTTACTGGGGATTTTTTTTTTTTTTTTTAGTTCAGGTTATAAACAAAGAGAACTCTAAAGACAAGCATTTAGCAACTTCTTGTGGCTTAGGGACAAACTCAACCCATTCTCTACATTCACAGTTTGGGGTTCTTAAGACCACAATAAAAAGTTGTAAGGGGAAGAAATAAATTTTGGAAGGCTTTATGCTAGTTTTTCCTCTGGAGCCTGCTACTGTCTGACTGGGCTAGTCCTGGAAGAATAACTATTTTCAAGCACCTCCAAGAATTCTTCTTTACTCTAAGGAAATATTAATTAAATTACTACAGTTGCTACAGCCACCTTGACCCATGAGCATTCACACTTGTTCATTTCTTTGGCAACAGCTCTCCTGGCCAGACCATTTTTCAATGGTCTGGAGCTGATGCTAGGGGTTCCTATGTATCACACAGCCTCTGTAGGTCAGGCACTGCTCCAAGTACTTTATATGTATCAGACCATTTCCTTAACATATGCTTAGAAAATCATTTGAAGGCAGGCACTACTACATTCATTCTATTTTACAGAAAGTGTGCCCCAAAGAGAGGATTAATGTTCCCAGAATTGCAGAGACCTAAGTGGCCAAGCTGAAAATCAAACCTAGGCAGCCAGGAACTGAAGGCCATGCTCTTAATCCCCCTACTACACTCTACATTATTGCAACATCAGCGATTCTCCCAGTTTTGATTTTATGATACATATGGACAAAGCCTCTCCTCTCCTTCTTGCTTCTGTAAATTATTTCAAAATCCATATTACTTAGAAGTAAAGAATCTTTTAGTGCTTTTTCTGCTCAATCCCTGCATCATGCCCACCCCTCCCCACCCATCTTCTCTTCTCCAAGTCAAACTGCCTGGGTTTTCCAACCATGTTTCAAACAAGGCAATGATCTGCTTTTGCCATACTTCTTGCCCCCTAGTTGTCAATGCCTCTTAAAATGTTGCCTCCAAGATTAAAGAAGAAAATAACTCTAAAAATGGTCTGACTAGACTATAATGACTTGGGACTTCCGTCTCCATAGATTTGTTCACTAAACCTCCCTCTTCAATTTCAAGAATGTATTCCTTGCCAGCAGCTATGTGACACTGAGTTTGTGGTTTCTTTTATAGACTTAGAACCTTCTAGAAACATCATTTTTCATACTCTACCCTTCTTGCCCTATCTCATTCACTCTTTTTCCAAACATTTTGCTGAGGAAGCACATCAGATTTTAAATTTTAGCTTTGGAAATAAGGCTCTCCATGCCAGAGAATATTTTGTACTTTATGCTTTTATGAATGCCTAAATGATTCCTTTACCACAATGACCTTTCTAAAGTTTTAGGTTATTAAGGCAAGTTTAAGTATCCTTCTTTAAATTACTGTACTCAAATATAATACTAACTCCAAGCTTATTTTTAGCAGCTAAAAATTGGAAAGATGTTTTAAACTTACTGAATTTGGCCTTTTAAAAAAGACAACAATCAAACAAGCAGTCACCCAATTTTCTATTATTCCAGTACTCGGATTGCATTGGAGTTTTAACTCAAATGTCTGTAAATGTCATCATGGAGAGAGACTAGAACATCTGGTTCTGTGACATCCTGACTTAATCTGCTGTCTCCCAGGTGGGAGGGGAAAGGAGGGTTTTGAAATGCATTAACCTTTTGTAATTGTTCATCTATTACATAAACCTTGGAAGATGGAGCTGAGTAGAGCTTTGTGGAATCCTGTACAATCACTTTGTACCCTTTATCTGTTTGATTTGATTGGGTTTCTAGCCTAAGGAAAATGAATTTCTCTCTCTCTCTCTGTCTCTGTCTAAAACACTCATATATATATGTGTGTGTGTGTGTATATATATGTGTGTGTATATATATATATGTGTGTATATATATGTGTGTATATGTGTATGTGTATATATGTGTGTGTGTATATATATGTGTGTGTGTATATATGTGTGTGTGTATATATGTGTGTGTGTATATATGTGTGTGTGTATATATATGTGTATGTGTGTATATATATGTGTGTATATGTGTGTGTGTATATATGTGTGTGTATATATATGTGTGTGTATATATGTGTGTGTGTATATATATGTGTGTGTATATATATGTGTATGTGTGTATATATGTGTGTGTGTATATGTGTGTGTATATATGTGTGTGTGTATATGTGTGTGTGTATATATATGTGTGTGTATATATGTGTGTGTATATATATGTGTGTGTATATATGTGTATGTGTGTGTATATATATATGTGTGTATATGTGTGTGTATATATGTGTGTGTGTATATATATGTGTGTGTATATATGTGTGTGTATATATGTGTGTGTGTATATATATGTGTGTGTATATATATGTGTATGTGTGTATGTATATGTGTGTGTATATATGTGTGTGTGTATATATATGTGTGTGTATATGTGTGTGTGTATATATATATATATACACACACATTTGTTTCATATATATATATATATATATATATATCTTATATCATGCCTTGTTTTATTCTCCTTTTTTTGCATCATCACACCCAGGTTGTATTAGTCAGATCTCTTCAGAAGGACAGAACGAATAGTGTATAGCTATAGCTATGGTGACATAGCTATCATATCATATATCATATCAAATATCTCTATCTATAGCTAAATATCATATCTATAGCTCTAGCTATAAGCTATTATATCTTACATCATATATCACATATCACATACATCATATGTGCGTGATATAAGAAATCAGACAAAAGACTAACAGCACACCTCATTCTGTCACTTCCCTGGATTTCCTGGGGTTTTGTTTCATATATATATATATATGAAACAAATGTGTGTGTGTGTATATATATATATATATATATATATACACACACACACATATATACATACACATATATATATACACACATACACATATATATATACACACACATATATATACACACATGTATAGCTATAGCTATGAAAATCTATATACACACATACACATATATATATACACACACATATATATACACACATCTATAGCTATAGCTATGAAAATCTTCTGGGGGCCCAGATAGAAAAAAAATAATTCCTCTAATAAGTTCTAGCTATAGCTATAGCATAGATATAGGTGTGTGAGACACAACTTATTCGAGGAATTAGCTTATGTGATTATGGAGGCTGAGAAGTCCCACAACAAGCCATCTGCAACCTGGAGACCCTGGAATGCTGGTAGCATAGCTCAGTCCAAGTCTGAAAGCCTCAGAACCAGAGAAGCCAATGGTATAATTCTCAGTCTGTGGTGAAAGGCTTGAGAACCTGAAAGCTTCTGGTAAAAGTCCTGAAATCCCAAGTCTGGAGAGCCTGGAGTTCTGATGTCCAAGGGCAGGAGAAGGAGAGTCTTCCAGCTCCAGGAGACGGAGAGGAAATTCTTTTTTTTTTTTTTTTCTATCTGGGCTCCAAGCTGATTGTCACCCACATTGAGGATGGATCTTCCCATTCAGTCTACTGACTCACATGCCATTACCCTCTGGAAACACTCTAAAACATACACCCAGAATTATGCTTTACTAGGTCTCTAGGTGTTCCTTAATCCACACCTGAAACCTGAAATTAACCGTCTCACAGGTATACTCTCTTTCTATTTCATTAATGCAACTCTCTCTTGAATTATATCTTTCTTATAAGGCTAGGAGTGGTAGCTCATATAAAGTCATTATTAGACAAATGTCTGATTGCTATTTAGTTGTCAATGCCTTCTAAAAATGTTGCACTCAAACTTCTCAAAAATAAACAAACAAAAAATACTTTAGAAGTATTTAATTCAACTAGAATTTCCCTGAGCTCATTGTTTGCTGGGTCTCTCTTATTTCAAAGAAAAAGTAGACTACTTTTAGAAACTCCTTGACACTTAACTTTTTGCTTATAGTATAAATTCAGAGCTTTCTAGAAGCATTGCTCTTTATCCTCTTTCTCTCCCTTTCATGCAGTTACTAGAATGTTAGATTTTCAAATCAAGAAATGTGCCTTACATGTTGTCGTAGCTCCACTGTATATCAGGCAGACCCCGGTACATACTAGGCACTAAATGTGAGGTTTTGATTCCAGTATTAAGGAATGTTTACCTCCACAAATTAGTATTTTTAGAAATTCTGTCAGCCATGTTTTTTTGTTTGTTTGTTTGTTTGTTTGTTTGTCTAGCAAGTCTTTAGTCTCACAAATTCCTGGAGTCAAATAGTGTTGAATTTTTAAAATTCTGCTATTTCCATAGACCAAAACTGTCCTTGGTATAACTAACATCAGTGATACCCTGACTATTATGGCCCAAGTACCAGAACACCATGCACAGTGTCAGTTATTCTATAGACATTGTCTCTAGTGACTGGCAGCTGGCTCCTGTCATTCCACTTTCTCATCCACCAAAACAAAGAGTGCATACAACAAGCCACAGTGTTTGCACATCATTTCTAGAGTTTCCATAACACAAGCTCCCATTTTCATTTGCAGTAATGAGAAAAGCTCACAACAACAGCTCTTGCCACTTCCCTCCTTATTGTTCTTGTTTGGAAATGGGCTATAAAACTTTACCACCTCATCACTATAGATCACTTTAAAAAAATAAAATAAAATCGAATTTACATTTTGTTCCAACTGGTTTTCTTGACTGACAGTTGTCCACAGCTCAGTGGCTGCTCTGTTCAGTGTACTTTAATTTTGAGCTTTCAAGTATTTCGGAAGCCCATTCAGAAGTAAATTCTCAGAGAAAATTGAGCTCTGTCATGGATGGATTAGTACTATAATAGTTGGTCACATATCTTGCATGAAACCTTTCAGAAGCAAGGCAAATGAGAAGGAAATGAAATTCATTTCATACTTCTTCAAGCACGCTGAGAGACTTTCTCTCCAAGTAATCTGTGAAGTAGCGCTGGTTTATTGGAGGTTCGCATAACTACCATTACATTATACCTTGTCACAATCTCATGTATTGGGTGACTGCTTTTTCTGAACGGATGGTACCTGCAAAGTGCTCTCTGAAGGCACTGAACAGAGAGTGTCGTTCCTTTCATCAAAATGTATAGGTCTAGGGAATAGCATAAATAAAAGTACTTGAGCTAAATTGGACAATTACAGGTCAGAGGTGAATGAAATCTGAAAAGCAGATATATGGGGGAGTCATCACATTTGCTTTTTGATATATTGATAAACCAAAGACCAGAAAGGGAGGGTGACTGGGGGAAGGAGTGAGAAATACAGAGAGAGAAATTGAAAGAGAGAGAAATAGAATTGTTGCTAGATATGGCTCTTGGAAAACAAGGAAAGCTTTATTACTTTTAGCAATATTGTAACATAGTATTTTGTTACTTTTCCAACTGCAATAATGCCAGCATTTCATTGGAAAGCATGTGTGTTGGGGGGTGCGTATCATTTTACCATGTGATAAGCACTTTTCATAGGTAGCAAAGACACATTATGTAAACTTAGGAGGAGGAGAGAATGCAAATTTGCATGTGAATTTTATTTTGATTAATCGCTTTTTTTGCTTTTCAGCAATGTTATTTATGAACAACAAAATTATAGAAAAAGTGAGAAAAAGTCAATTATCAATTATTTTCTGATGAACAACAACAAAGACAAAAAAATGGTGGGATTGATTTATTTTCCCCTGACAGAATTGATTGTTTCTTTAGGTTCTATGCAACTTGCAGACTCACTGAGGGTGAATGGAATGTGCTGAAAATTCAGCCTGACTTGGCAGCTCCAAGGGACACACCTCAATGTAGAGAAAGCAGGAATTAGAGATGAGGTTTTTTAATCCCTGTCTCAGTTTTGCCTTATAGATGAACCACAATGAGTCTCAAGCAATCTGAGTTGAAGTAAGTTGGTATTAAGCAGGAGTGGTTTGGCCATGAGTATAAAAATCTAGTTGTGTCTTACCAGTGGATGAGGAGGCAACAGCCTGTGCTACCTCATTTGGGAGAGGGTGAGCAATACCTCATTCTGAAAGGTGACATGTATTCCATCAATGGAAATCACTGAGTTCATACTCCACCATTAGTGGCTTTACCATTGGTCTTCCTCAAGGCTGTCAGAGAACTAGTAACTTGTATGGAAAGGAGTATGCAGGTATAGACAGAAGAAGGGTTTGAAAAAGGGAGTCGGAGGATATTAAAAACAAATCTTATCAGTCACATTTTCATGTAGGCCTGCCTTGCAGGAACCAGTTACAAAAATTAAAAAAAAAAAAAAAAAAAAACCCACCAGAATTTACCCATTTGCATCCACTAGCTTTTGCTTAATTTAAATTGTTTGGAGAGGCAATGGTGTTTTGTGTCAACCAGAAAGAATGCAGTCTCTTGGATTATCCACATCTGCATCTCCCTTGCAGTGGACTTTCCCTTTACTTTCTGGAGTTAACTGTACATTGCTTTCAGACACAGAGGCCTTTCTGTGAGATGCCTCCCACTGCCTACCATTGTGTCTTCCTCTAATATGGGCTATCATACCATGTCTCTGCTTATGTAGCTAGTATTCCAGGTTAAACAGACAGAATTACATCAAGTAATATTGTAACACAAGTAAATTCATCAATCAATTAATCAATCAATCCTGGGGTATTTAGGAAAGTTTCTAGAAGCAAGCCATTTGGGGTGCTTGCTAAATGCTGTTATTATCTCACATATTCTGATCTGTAGTGCCTTCTTCTGTGTTAGAGCTTTAGACCATGCATTTTAAACAAACCTTTGGTGATTCTGACCCCAAAAATCTGTAGACTTCCTCTAGAATGACAATCAATGATGATTAATGGTAGGACTCAGGAATCTAGAATTCTAATTTATAAACTCTATAATCCTTAGTCCATTAATAGAAAAAATGAAGTAAACTATTCCTGCCATGTCATTTCACAAGGTTATGTGATTCACTAATGCTCACAAAAAGCTTTGAAATATAGTCACTAAACGTGTTGAGTGTATATTAAATAAATTAATACCAATATAAGCTGTTATTAGTGAAACACCTATTATTGCTAATATGCAAAAATCAAATTGTGTGTTGGCTATTCAACATAGTGTTAAGATATTTAGGGTACAACAATGTGTGCTGTATGTCTGTGTGTTGAGAAATCATCAATATGATGAATGTTGGCTTCAATTCCATTTGCTGTTTATTCACCCATGTGCCCAAAGCACTTGGACAGTGGGGATATTTGTCTCATCATAAGTCATTTAACATAGTATGTCAAGAATGGAAGTTAATTCTTTCATAGCTGAGCAATGTTTTACAGAAACAAAGAAACAAAAGTTATTAGTGAGAATACTAGTAATATTTCTCTGAGCTTAATGTATTTAACTCCTTATATTTGGAAATCCCAGTGGAAAACACAACAGGTGGGCTTTTCCAGTTCCTTTTGGACTTTAGCAGGATGATTGTTTTCAGTTGTGATATATCAGTTGGCCAAGATATCTAATAGTTAAGTCTGCAGTGTAATAGTAGGCATTTACCTGACTTTTGCTACTTTCCAGGTAGAAAGTTTGCTGTCACATGCATCTTTACTGTCAGGAAATTATCCCTAGCCATGCAAAGTCCCTTCTTGCTGAAGTGTTGTAAGTCTATTCACAGAACAAACTTCCAGTAAGCTATATTTTATTCATTTTTGGGAATATAAGCACAAGATAGTTTTTAAAAACACATTAGAATGTACTAGTATCCACCAAAAAAAGTTATCTTTTTGCAAATACTTGTGAATTTTTGCAAGTATTTTTTTCCCAGCTAGGAAATGTCACTGCAGCTGAATTTTAAATCAGGTGTTCATATTTCTTTGGGGAGTTTCAGATCAGCAAAAGAAATGGAATATTTACAATTTGGTGCATAATTCATTTTCTGTGTGTAACTTGATTTTTTTTTTACTTTTTTTAAAAGGCTGAATTGTGCTGAATTTTAGACAAAAATGGAGATCATAAATTATTAAGAATCATTCCAGAGGGTGGAATAAGTGGCTTCTTATTAGCATCATTATCATTGTGGCTAATAAAAGAACTTAGCAGGAAAGGAAACAAAAAGGAGGATGTAAGACTGCTGACAAAGGTGGCTTAATGTTTTAGTGCTTGCATGTTTATCAGAACCCATGTGGGACAGGATTTTCTTGAATCACCACTCTGATCTGTCTTTTCCAGCTGCAAAACCCTGGGCACATTTCAGGGCTGTCAGCCTGCTTTCCCTCTCCCAGAAAGGCCTGTGTTCAGAGGGCTGGCAGGGCGATAACATCTTTTAGCAGATAGGTGTGAAATCAAGGCAGGCTTTCATAACAACTCCTATTCAATCTGACTTGGAATCCACTGGAGTGGCATCGGACTCTCAAAATTCCTCAAGTTCTTCCCTTAGGCATGCTGACATGTGAGCAAAACAAGAGTAAATATCTTAGCAGGTAGTTTTATCTTAATGTTCTCATTATTTTTCCTTTGGACCCAGGATCCCAGCTCCAAAACCTCTCCAGCACCAATGTAGTTCCTCATATGGAATCCAATCATTACTCATTCATGCCTTTCTGTGAAAGTCTTACCCTTTCAAAAAAAGGTTAACCGGCTTTCTAGGGAGCACCCACTGAACTGCTCCCAATCATCAGTGTTCTATTTGCTGGCTGCGGTCTAGAGCTCATGAAGTCTGGTTTCAGTTCCTTTCTCTGTTGTTTGTGCCACAAGGAAGGTCTCCTGGTGAATGACACAGAGGGTTGGCTAGGCTACATTTCCCTGTGTGACAACTCTCTACTCCCGATTTTTCTTTACAGCCTCCACATAAAGTTGTGTAGGTGCAGCAGTCTCAATGAAAGATTAAGGACATTGCCACAAAAGGAAATTAAACTACGTGAGGAAGATAATTTTGAATGTCTACCGACAGAAAAATATGCCCAAGATTAGGAAATGGTCAAAAAGGCTTACTGTATTTTCTTTCACTGGAGTGTTGGACATTGTCTAACAGATCCTTCAGGGGTCTGAACCTGTCAGGATGTATACCTTTGATTGTCTTTCTGTTGAAGGTGCTACATTATAATTCTGTAGGGGAAGAAGTGAAGTAGTAGAACACTGATATTACTACAAATTATTCTCGTTCTTAAGAATACAAATAATTTTTGTCAAGTAAAGATATAATTGATTTCTATCCTGTAGAAAAGATGAGTCTAAACATCACATTGTATTGTCCTATAGATTATTAATATGTTTTACATCTATTAGCAAATTCATTCATTATTGCTGATTATATATCTATATATGGCTGTTTTTCTACTATTTATTTCAACTGACTTTAATATCTTACTGGCTTCTCATTAATTAGTGAGATGAATAAAATGTTTGCAACATGTTCATTTTGTATTTGCCTGAGAATAATATTTTAACTGTTTGAAAATTATAATTTAGCATACTGATTATGACTTTTCTTAATATCTAAGAGAAAAGCTAGAATAAGCTAAAATCACCTTATAAGTTTTACTCATGACGTTCCCTGGTTTCCAATATAGCCCTCCTCCTTTCTCCCCAGTTTCTGTCTCTTTGGCTTTAGGAAGTCTCTCTTTTAGAGTCCAGATTCTCTTTTTACCTTGTGGGAAATCCATCCAAGTACTTTGGCAGTTATTATATGTAGCTGAACAGTCTAAGTTGAATATTAACATTTTAAGTAGAATCTTTTTAAAGATTTTTCACTGATTAAACTTTTAAAGTCTTAGTCTACTAAGTAGCCCCTGGAATGCACGCTTGTGCACACACAAACACGTATATTCTCACCTGCACACACATACTCACCATTTTTCTAAAGAAAAACATTAAGTGTCATAGACAGTAATTTTGCAATCTAAATTTTGCTAAGTCATAAAAAGGAAAAAAAAACATTTTCCTAATTGAACTATAAGTTGAAAAGCTAAAATGGAATATACATAATCTATTATTAAGAAAAATAGCATAAGCTTCTTTCATTTAAAAATTTTGCCTTTTTGGACCCATCAGGAGTAAGAAATCGGCTAATTATTGGCTCATATGCATTTTAAGGACTGCTTTCTTAGCTGCACAAAGAAAAAATTTGTGTAACGATAGCTACTAAGACCAAATTTTAAATCAAGGCACCATTTTCTCTTTATTCTCTGGATATAGGAAGTTAGATAGTTTCATTCTCCTAGTTTCATAACAAAATATAAAGACAGAAACATTTTAAATCCAGGGCATAACAAACAAATTGAGAATATCTATTCATGGTTTTTTTTTTTAATTTAATAAGGAGAGTAGAGAAGAACTGGAGACATATCACAGTATTTTGTCATTGTGAGTGTTGTAGATAATGGTCTAATCCAGTGTTACTCGAAGTGTGGTCCTTGAACCATAGAAACATCTGGGAGCTTATTATTTATTTATTTATTTTGAGACAGAGTCTTGCACTGTTGCTTGGTCT
This sequence comes from Homo sapiens, assembly GCF_000001405.40. Taxonomy (NCBI): domain Eukaryota; kingdom Metazoa; phylum Chordata; class Mammalia; order Primates; family Hominidae; genus Homo; species Homo sapiens. Next base: position 39,316,433 of record NC_000018.10, on the reverse strand, counting down.
GGAGTACAATAGCTAGATCTCGGCTCACTAACCTCCGCCTCCTCAGTTCAAGCAATTCTCCTGCTTCAGCCTCCTGAGTAGCTGGGATTACAAGCGCCCGCCACCACGCCCAGCTAATTTTTTGTATTTTTTGTAGAGATGGGGTTTCACTATGTTGGCTAGGCTGGTCTCGAACTCCTGACCTCATGATCTGCCCGCCTCGGCCTCCCAAAATGCTGGGATTACAGGTATGAGCCACTGCGCTCGGCCTGGGAGCTTATTAAAAGCACAAATTCTTAGGCTCCATCCTGGACAGACTGAATCAGAATCTCTGGGAGTGAGGTCCAGGAATCTGTTTTCTAACAAGCCCTCCAGGTGATTCTGATGCACTCTCAAGTCTGAGAACCGGGAACCATTGAATTCTGATATAAGTTTTCCTAATAGTGAAGAGCAAAGATTAGGATTAAAAAAAAAAAACTGGATATACTGGTTAGCAAAAAAGTTTACAAAGCACTTTCTATAATATGATGAAATATTAAAATTAGATAAAGTATGCAATGAATCCTTTCTGGGAGCATATGCTAAAATACCAATAGTAGTTATTTTACTGTGGTGAGTTAGTGATCTTATTATTACCTTTCTTCTTCATTGTTATTTTCTTATTTTCTACAATATTCATGTTTAATTTTTGTAATACTCAAGTTTGTTCAGTCATTTATTGAGTATATATCATGCTTTAGCAAAGCTCTGGCTGTACACATATGAATATTATCTTCTTTATCTTTGAGGAGTCCAGTAGACACACATTGTAAATTCTAAAAGAAGAGATGCCTGTATAAATATTTTTAACAAAGTAAGCTTACACTAATGTTCATTGTCATCACATTGTCATAGCTCAGACATAGTCAAATATAAGATTTTTTCATTGACAGTTAGAGGTACCTGTATATAAGTGGTCAGATGGACCCTGACTGAGAACAGATATTTAAATGAATCTTAGACTTCATGCTACACAGAAGAGATAATGACAATGCAAATAAATTTTACATTCCTGTTGATTTAGAAATAATAAATGCAATAATAACTCATTAGTAGCTATTTTTGATACCTCTAGTCTTCAAGAACTTTTCTGTAATTATGTGATAAGTTTGAAAGCTGAATCCACTGTTGTAGAAACAGCTCGGCATGCGTAGGCCGGAGCAGGTAGAATCACCTTTGGTTATGTCTATAGGACATAAAGTAAAGTGGAAATTTGGGAGTTATTAAGATCTAGTTTGATCTATGTAGATAACCAGCCCAGATAATAAGTCCTTTGGGTGAGTTATTTGTACTGAATTATCTGGTTTGGCTATATACATGTAAACATAGATCAAATTAATAGGATAATTGTCAAACTTGTTCTTCACCTTGTGTGTGTGCTGACTTGCTCTCAGGACATAATTGGTACTCTGGGAGAGTCTAGCTCAAAACTGAGTAAACAGGAACAATAACTAATGGAGACTATGCTGAGTCTAGTAGAAAATGCAATGTGTTACGACTGTGCCCTGTAATCGGGTTTTTGGAACCAGATGTTCTGAATTATTAAGGCTAGTTGGTATTTAATGACATTAAAAAAGAAGTTGCCTAACAGTTCTACAAACACAAATGTGGAAATGACAGCTTTAATTCTGATTTATGAGGGAAGAGATAATAAAAAAACTAATATTTTAAAATGTACAAGTAAAAAAGAAATGGACACTATACAGAGGGCAGTTAAAACACAACTTTAAATAGCCTTAGTTAAAATTTTATTTTTTATTAGATAATTGTCCTTCAGAAGCCTGACTGACAACAATGAGTTTATAACAAAACTAATACATGAATATAACAATTATGTCCTCAGAAAATGACATTTATCAGCATTTGGATCTCATTATGTATTCTCAGCAAAATCCAAAAATGAGAGAGACTATAAATTATAAGGTAAAGGCAAGATTTTCCATTATAGAAAATTTAGAATATTCAGAGTGAGTGTTTCCAAGGCAACTGTCTATGCATTACCCTGCAAATAAACATGAGGAAAAGTTTTACAAGTATCATTATTTGAGAGATGTTATTTGAAAGATACGATAATACAAATATCTACATATGCTCACCTCCATTTCCATACAGTAATCCAAGTTCACATAAAATCGCTGCCGCAGGTGCAGTCCTCATGGGAGGTGGAAGTAATGGGAGAGAAACAGCCACTGAGCTGGCAGTAAATCAACCCACTAATCAACCAGTCAAGTTAAACAAACTTCCTCTACACTTACTATTGACTGGCATGCTTTTCTAATCGCTATGGGAAGGTACAAAGAGTAAGAAGAAATATCTCTTGGACTCAAGGGACTAATAGCTAGGTAGGAAACTGGATCTATGCAACAGGAACATTAGCTCAGACCAGAGGGAATGTTTGGCAAATGCTGAGGGAGCCCTTTGGGGTAGTAAATGGTGCTCTGTGCATGCTCCCTGGAGCAGCAGCAGCAAGATCATCTAGGAACTTGTTAAAGTGAAAATTCTCAGGGCCCACCCCAGATTCCAAATATTAAACTCTGGAGGTGATGCCAAATGCTGTGCATCTTAATAGGCTCTTCAGATATAGACAATAAATCACAAGAGTGATTCAAATAAAAGGGAATCACTGAGTATGTATAGTTATGGGAGAGAATGATAAACGTGAGCTGAGGCTTGAAAGATAGAAGGATATCAGGATCTGGGAGCCTGAAACAAAGAGAATGTATTCCAGGCACAGATGTTGATGTGAGAAACAATGGCACTCCATGCATGTCCCTGTTGAAGTCACCTGTTAAATTGTATGCATCTTTTCACATGCTTTTGTCCTCCAATAGACTGTAAAATCACTACAGACAAAGAACAAATTTTAACTTTCTTTTTTTTCAGTGTTTCACACATAAGGAGTGCTCAAAAAACAGGAAGAGAAGTAGAAAATGGGTCAGCAAGAGGAGAGGGGAGAAGGAAGGAAAACATGTACATAAGCTCTGTGTTGGGGGAAGAGCACATTGGATTTAGAGCCAAAAGATACTATATTTAAATGATATTTACAAATCTTTCTTACCATATGACCTACAGTATTCCTTTGAGTTTTGGTTTTCTCACCTACAAAATGACAAAGACAAAATCCACCTCAAAGATGTTGGTGCAGAATAGGCTACATTACATAATTTAATGGCGTCTGGCATTGTGTCTAGTCTGTGATGTGGCACAATAAATATTTTTTAATATCGAAATAGTGATTTTTCCTTGAACAGTTGAGGGCATGGTGATCTAAAAAATTGACTTAGTGTCCTCTAAATACTCTTTCTTTATTTTTCTCTATTCCTTTAGTTTTTACACTCATTCCTTTTATAGTCTTTCACATGCTTATTATTTATATTTTCATCTCTGGATTCCTATTGAACCAATTTCCCTCCCCATTTTCTTATTTAAATTGCTAACATTTACAGAGCCCTTACTAAGTGCCAACAGAAGGGCTAAATATTTTGCAAGGATGATCTTATTTTAAAATTACAATAGAGGGATCATAATTATTTCTATTTTGTGGATCAGAATCCAGACTTTTATAATGATTCAAAAAATATTTCCAGCATCACACAGTTATTACATGCTGGATGAGATTTGCACCCAGGCAGTCTGAGCTTCAAGACAAGTGCAGAACCTTCAACATTAAGCTGCTTCAATTCCAAAATATTCCGTTATGCTCCAGTCTCTAGTAAGAAAATGAGGTTCACAAAAATAGCATCAAATTATTTTAAGTGTCTGTAGTTGTATCTCATTTAATTTTAGAAATATCATCTGTTTGGCTTATGTTGCTTTGCACCTGCAGGGTTTACATAGGAACCTGTGAACTCCTTTGGAATAATGCCTCTACAAGTGTACTTACATGTCTTCATGCCATCCTTCTGTAGAAAATGGGAGGCATTACAAGAATGTGGTCACATTCTTAACCCAGGTAGTAGTTTCTGGGCCACCTTTCCCTAATAAATGTTTTGTTTGTTTGTTTAATCGAGAGAACTATCAAAATATAATCACATTTATAGACTCTGTTTAACTAGAGAGAAGGATTAATAATACATTTTAAGTAAGATATCCATCCACAATGAATGCATTTTGAAAATGAAACATTTTGTGCTTAAACAATAAGTTTTGGTGTTCAGGAAAATTCAGTTATTTGTAACTCTTCCTTCCTGAACAATGCTCAATAAATGACAACTTGCCCACCTCCCTTTTTTTGTGGGGCTATTTCCTCAACTATCTGTACAATCACCTCATTTTGTAACTTTACTTTGCCCTGTGTAGGGCATTGTCCTGGTTGGTAATTGTGTGGCCTATTGTTTGCAGCACATGGATAATTATTATGCTGTGAACATCAATTTGTTGTACAGTGGCGAATGGTGCGATTTCCCGAGGGACATGATGATAACTGTGATTCTCCTCAGTAGGGGGTGGGATGTTGCTCAGGGCTAGAGCTCTGCCCAGTAATTCCCTCTTTACAAGTAAGACTATACATAGTACATCCTAGAAGTCCTTCATTATAGAATTTGTTTTCTGCTTGTTAACATCATTTCACGCTGGATGGGCACTAGTGTAATTTTCCATTTTGTTTCATCAGGTTGAAGGAAGAAAGGAGACTATCTTGAAAGTCTTTTATTTTATAGACAGTTGGTCATTTCATTAACACTTTTCATATTCTTGTTTGTCATGATGACTGGTGATAGTAAAAAGATTTTCTCCCCATTAGCTTATGAGAGAACAGCACTTTTATTTATTTATTTATTTTTGGGCTGAGGAGTATTGATCGACCAAAGAGGACATTTATTAAAATGTAACCAGCATCTTGGCATTTGCAAGTGGTGCACACTTTAACCGATTAAATAGTCATGAAGAAAGAAATCAATACATCTTGGATTCCTCTACTCTGCTCTCTGCCAGCAAAGTGGCCTCACAAATTAAGAAAGAAATAAACAAATGTGTTTACACTGAATGTTTAAAGCACTTTGCACTTCAATCAGGAAGTAAAAAGACATTACTAATATTGGTTGGGTAGGTGGTTTGGATGTGGTTACGTTCGTACAAATCTGGTGATAAATAAGAAATCTACGACTAAACTTCCTGACCACAATTGGACGGAAGTATGTCTATGGGAATAATGCAACTGCAGTTGGTTGTCCTACGAAATGCAAGAGGAAGGTCATTTGAAGTCTACAGGACTAGAAGCTTATTGAGTTATTGTTTGTTTTGTTTGTTTGTTTGTTTGTTTTGGTAATTCTAGTTTGCATGGCCAAAGGATTCCAAATCTTTGATTCCTAGGGTCAGATGATCTGGTGGCGTAGGAGTGATGCAACATGCAAGGATACAAAATAAATATATACTACTAATGTTAGTGGCTTCCGAAATCAGTCATGGGTAATTTCACACTAAATTCTAGAGTCTTAGCACACAATTCTTTATCAGTTCACATTTTCAAATGTTTTCAGAGATGACTAACAGAGCATCTAATTTTAATTTTTCACATTGTGAATTTTTTGAAACACTTGTGATTATTTTGAGTGAATTGTTACAGGTCTGTTAAGATCACACTAATTCTTTGCCTTGATTCTTGTCAAATTTCATCTTCTTGGTTTTAGTTTACCGTTTTAGTCTATGGTGGTGGTCAATATCCCTGCCAGGTTTGTGTCATTTGAACATTTGAAGACTACCACAGAAATGGGAAAAGTTCGCTTGTCCCCCTCCAGGATGTGCAACAGGAGGTGTGGCTTGCCTCTTCAGTGCCCCGCTTCTCAAACCTCTAGGGGAGAATACAGATGAGCAGGTTGTGGGATTCTAACCCCATGGCAGTGTCTAGGGGGTGAATGTCTACAGCTCCTGAAGCCCCAGTGGGCGTGTGTTACAGGATGCTCTTTTCGTTTGTCACTGGCAGGCAGCTTGTGTTAACAAGCTCAATTAGACCCTCTGTCTTATTGCAAGGACAGAGAGCTTTCTGTATCCCAGTTTTTGCCTTGGAGTACTGGAAAAGTTAGATCAGACGTGGGCTTGGAAACCAAGTGCAAGGTTTTATTGAGTGGAAGTACCTCTCAGCAGATGGGGGAGCCAGATGGAGTGGAAAGATGGTTTTTCCCCTGGAGTTGGGCTATTCAGTGGCCAGACTCTCCTGGGACCACCCCAGCCAAACTCCACGTTGTTCTGTGTTTGGAATTGGTGGGTTCTTGATCTCACCAACTTCAAGAATGAAGCTGCGGACCCACGCAGTGAATGTTACAGTTCCTAAAGATGGTATGTCTGGAGTTTGTTCCTTCTGATGTTCGGAGTTTCTTCCTTCTGGTGGGTTCATGGTCTCGCTGGCTTCAGGAGTGAAGCTGCAGACCGCGGTGAGTGTTACAGCTCTTAAGGCAGCGCGTGTGGAGTTGTTCGTTGCTCCCGTCCAGAGTTGTTCATTACTCCTAGTGGGTTCGTGGTCTTGCTGGCCTCAGGAGTGAAGCTGCAGACCTTCGTGGTGAGTGTTACAGCTCATAAAGGCAGTGCAAACCCAAACAGTGAGCAGCAGCAAGAGTTATTGCAAAGAGCGAAACAACAAAGCTTCCTCACTGTGGAAAGGGATCCAAGCAGTTGCCCCTGCTGGCTAGGCCAGCCTGCTCTTATTCCCTTATCTGGCCCCACCCACATCCTGCTGATTGGTCCATTTTACAGAGAGCTGATTGGTCCATTTTAAGAGAGTGCTGATTGGTGCGTTTACAATCCCTGAGCTAGACACAGAGTGCTAATTGGTGCATTTACAAACCTTTAGCTAGACACAGAGTGCTGACTGGTACATTTACAATCCTCCAGCTAGACATAAAAGTTATCTAAGTACCCACCCAATTCAGGAGCCCAGCTGGCTTTACCTAGTAAATCCTGAGCCGGGCCACTGGCGGAGCTGCCCACCAGTTCCGCGCCACGCGCCCGCACTTGTCAGCCCTTGGGCGGTTGATTGGACCAGCCCCACGGAGCAGGGGGTGGCTCCCATCGGGGAGGCTCGAGCAACGTGGGAGACTACGGGGTTGGGGGAGGCTCAGGCATGGCAGGCTGCAGGTCCCGAGCCCTGCCCCGTGGGGAGGCAGCTGAGGCCCAGAGAGAATTTGAGGGCAGCGCGGGCAGTCCAGCACTGCTGGGGGACCTGGCACACCCTCCGCAGCTGCTGGCCCGGGTGCTAATCCCCTCACTGCCTGGGGCCGGCAGCACCGGCTGGCTGCTCCGAGTGTGGGGCCCGCTGATCCTGCGCCCACCCGCAACTCATGCTGGCCCGCGAGTGCCACACGCAGCCCTGGTTCCTGCCAGCACCTCTCCCTCCACACCTCCCCGCAAGCAGAGGGAGCCGGCTCCAGCCTCGGCCAGCCCAGAGAGGGGCTCCCACAGTGCAGCAGCGGGCTGAAGGGCTCCTCATGCACGGCCAGAGTGGATGCCAAGGCTGAGGAGGTGCCGAGAGCGAGCAAGGGCTGCTAGCACGTTGTCACCTCTCAGTTCCACAGGTCGATGTCTTACTGGCGTCTGTCAGTGCCTGTCCGTTGTGCTCTTCCACTGGTGTGCCCCTCACAATGTCCAGTCACTTGTGTGTTCTTCTGCTGATGTGTTCTTTTCAACATCCAGCTGCTTGTGTGCGTGCCTGCTAGGATCTGGGGGTTTTCATAGGCACAGCATGGGGGCGTGGTAGGCCTGGGTGGTCTTGGGAAATGCAACATTTGGGCAGGAAAACAGAAATGCCTGTCCTCACCTAGGTCCGCAGGCATAGGCCCGAGAGTGGAGCCCTAGCTGGGGTCCCGCCCTTCTCTACCCAGCCCTTCCCTGCCCCCGTCCCATATCACCACCATTCATCAAGAGAATAGGGGAATGCCAGGAACAGTGCTTTACAAGTCTCCAGTGTAGGGGCTAACTCATTATTAACTCTAGCTTAAAGTTATCTGACATTTATTACATACTTTTATCATGCTTGATATAGAAATTATTTTCTCCAAGATGAGAACATTTTTCCACTTAAAAAATAAAATTAGAACCTTTATTATATAATCCAAATGTATACACACAGGTATAGAGCACATAATCCAGCATTATGTACTCAAGTTATTTACTGGAAGTTTTTTTAATCTCAGAAAAGGATTATAAAGGTATTTTGTTGGAGTTGGAGGGTATTAGAAATACACAGATTGAAAATATTACATTCTCAGGGAAACTGGGTACTAGTGAAGCCTTTACTTTACACAGATAGTCCACATCTTCTGGGTGTTCATAAGACTGACTGCATCTATTCCTCAGGGAAGAAATGGCCTGTATCAGGCAGGAATAGACTGTATTTATATTAGCACAGATGAAATGGACATAATGTACTTTTGGTTAATCATATTTACTTAGCCTTGTAAAAAATGGCCACCTTAACTGTGACTTTAAAGTGTTTACATAAAATAATTTGTGAAGGTTGCATTTCTCGTTTTAACTCTGGTGTTTTTGCTTAGTTGTTACTCTTTCATCTACCCTCCCCCTGTCCCCCATTATGTCTACAAAAGGAATATCAATGCTGAAAGTATGAATACAGTACTGATATGGTTTGGATGTTTTGGCCCCTCCAGATCTCATGTTGAAATGTGACCTCCAATGTTAAAAGTGAGCCTAGTGGATAGTGGTTGGATCATAGGGGATGATCCCTCTTGATGGCTTGGTTCGAACCTTGCAGTAATGAGTGAGTTCTCAGTCTATGAGTTTGTGTAACATCTGGTTGTTAAAAAGGGTTGGAACTTCCTCCTCTCTCTCTCTTGCTCCCACTTTGCCATTTAATATACTGTGATATACTGGCTCCTCCTCCACCTTCTGCCATGATTATAAGCTTCCTGAGGCCCTCACCAGAAGCTGGTGCTGGGACCATGCTTCCTACACAGCCTGCAGAGGCATGAGCCAAAATAAACCTATTTTTTTTTTTTGTAAATTACTCAGCCACAGATGTTCCTTTATAGCAATACAAATGGACTGACACAATTACTGTCTTCATGTCACCACATCCTACATGCATATTCTACCTTCCACAGTGGGTTCCCAGACAGTGCTGCCATACAGGATAATCTCCTCCCTCACTCCTGTAACAAAACCTCCACTGCACATTTCCCCACATAATTATATTCCCATTGGATTAATTCTCTCCTGTTTTAAAATCTTGTTCCCCTGCTAGTTCATAAAATTTGGGGGAGAAAAAGGTAATAAATGTTGGTTATATTATATTCCTTGACATGCTTAGCACATTTCCGGGAATACACAGGTTGAGTATTCCTTATCCAAAATGCTTGGGACAAAAAGTGTTTCCGATTTTGGATTTTTTTTTCAGATTTTCCATATATGCATTATACTTACAGGTTGAGCATCCTGAATCTGAAAATCTGAAATCCAAATGCTCCAACATTTTGGCCTTTTGAAGGCCAACCTAATGTTCAAAGGAAATATGCTCATTAGATCATTTTGGATTTTGGATTTTCAGATTTGGGATTCTAAACCTGTAGTATATGTTGAAGAAAATATTTTTTCATTTAAATTCAATTTTATATTATCATGTTTAGGTGTAGACTCTTCATTCAAATTGTTATCCAAATAAAGCCTTTAATTTTAATAAATTATGAAATGGCAACTTCATGCTTAGGTTATCCTCTAACCTTGGAGTTATATACTGCTTGTATACTTTATTCTATCTGTTATAATTCTCCTGGTAAATAATGATACTGTTGGAACTGGCCTCCATCTCACAATACTAAATAATAATATATAATGATTGTGCCAGTTCTGAAACAGATGCATCAGATTTATTCTAAAAAAAATGATTCCTCTACTTAAAATAGCAACACTTGCAATATGTGGTCAAGGATGAAAGAGGTATATCTTACCAGTGAAGAAACAAACTTTAAGGTAATTACCAAGAAATAAAGAAAGTATAAAGTGGTTACAAGTCCATCATATGGTCCTGCATTAAATTCAAAACTGCCTTACATGAAAGAGACTTGTTAATTTAGGTATTTGCTTAAAGAAATTGTGTTTTGGATAGGACAGATGATAAATGTAAGGATATCATTAAATGGCCAAAACAATCTATGAAAATAAATTCCAGTGGTTACTGGTTTCTAAAGGACAGTTGAACTAACAAAAGAGGAAATCGAATTTCCATATACTTTGGACAATTTTTTTAAGCCAACCAGTTAACGATGAATAAAGAAGGGAATCAAAGAGAAAAAAATGTACCAAGTCCTGAAATCAGTAAAGATCTCATAACCCAATGAGATATAAAGAAGCAAAACAAAGCAAGACATAAAGTCATTAAACTCAAAGAACAAGCTGAGACACAAGGACTGTGGAGATAAAGGGGAAATATGAACAGAGTGAGGATCTTATCTCACTTAAACAGAAGAACAATAGAAGCAGGTTGCGTTTCCTTTTCTACTAGATGGAGTTAGGGATGAAGTGCACAGATAATAAAGGGGCCAATGACTGTTGAAGGTTTTCTATTGTTAGGTTCTCCATGAAAGCTTTTTCTGGCCCAAGTTAGTGGTGGGTGTGGGTGAGTTGGGGGGGTGGGTGGTTGTGTAAGAATATGTATGTGCTTGGATGCATGTATATGGAATTATTCTCTAATATTTAGTAGGATTTAGTGTTACATTTTTAAAGAAATTCATGTAAACCAGATGCAGTTTGTAAACTGCTGGCTTTTTTTGTGTCCCTCACAAAAAATATACAAGACTTACATAACAGCAGACTGGGTTTAGCTGGCCTTAGGCTTTAATTTTCATTCTGAGTTTATCCCTCTATGCTGTCTCCCCTTCCATGCATGACTATTTTCTGTCCACATGTATCTGTTTCCCTTTCCACATATAACTTTATTTCTATCATAAGGAATCTCATTTTGGTGGATTATATTTTCCATATAATGGGATTCCTTATCAGTGAGGTTGGGTGTCATCACTTTGTCCACTTTTTCTCAAGGTGAAGAATTATAAACTCATCTTAAGATATGCAAGTCTTTTGGGTTTATTTAATAGAGTCTGTATTGGTCAGGATTTTCCAGAGAAAAAGAAACAATAAAAGATAGATAAGATAGATAGATAGATAGATAGATAGATAGATAGATAGATAGATAGAGATATGGGCATATATATCTATATGGGCATATCTATCCATCTATCTGTCTATAATAAGATGTATATCTCTGTGCGTGTGCCTGTGTGTGTGTGTGTGTGTGTGTGTGTGTGTGTGTGTATGCAATCCATATATGTAGACAGTTAGCTATAGATATAGATACAAGAAGATTTGTTATGGCAATTAGCTCACATAATTACGGAAGTTGTAAAGTCTCACAATATGCCATCTGCAAGCTGGAGAACCAAGAAGGCTGGTGGTGTAATTCAATCCTAGTTTGAAGGCCAGACACCCAGTAGCTCCAATATCCAACGTCTGAGGGCAGGAAAAGATGGGTGCCCCAACTTAAGAAGAAAGAGAGAAAACGTACCCTTCCTTTACCTTCCTTTTTATTCTATTTGGATTGGATGCTGTTGGCCCACATTGGTGAGGTAGATCTTCTTTACTCAGCCTACTGATGCAAATGTGAATCTCTTCCAGAAACAACCTCACAGACACAGCTAGAAATAATGCTTTAACAGCTGTCTTGGCATCCTTTGGTCCACTCAAGGTGACACATAAAATTAACCATCACAAATTTCAAAGGTTGAATGACCATGAATCTTTTACAAAATATTTCATGTCAATGAATTTCATAGTATTTTAGAAATTCAAGAATGATGTTACTATTTATTCAATGGCAGAAAAGACTGTTGAAGAGACACAAGCTTATTTCAAGTACATCAGGTGACTAGGTTGAGAACAGTTGTAGAACAGGATTCAAATAAGTGCTTGTTTAATTCTTCTCTTTGTGCAGCTACAGGGCCTTATGTCTGAGACTAGGACACCAACTCAGTTGCGGATTCAGTTTTACCTGTGTATCTGTACTCACATCATGCCCCACAAAGCTCAATGGAGTCATAACTGAGTGGCAACTAAATGATTATTTCCAAAGATTTCCTGTAGTTACATGTGAGTGTGGCTACTTACACAACATAAACTCCAATCAATTTATATTTTTTATTCTTGTATTATGTTATTTGTTCTGCAATCGTTGCTAAAGGAGTAACAAAGAAATGTGGGAAATTGTTTGTACACAAAGCAAGCTGCATTCTCCCAAAGGGAAAAGGTCATATCTAAATTAAGTGTAGATGCTTGTTCAACAGAGGCTTAAGAAAGAAAACAATCTTGTTTAAAAGGGCTTCATGGTCTTCCAGAAACATCTTAGTCATATACTTTCCATGACTCTTGCTTTTTAATTTTAATTTAATCTAAGTTTCTCCTTTTCTTCTTTCTGATAACTCAATATTTTCAATGTGTAAGATGTGTAGTGCTAACACAATACAACATGACTTCCTGTGCAAGATTCAGACTCATTCCAGTGATGTGTGCATAAGGCATTAAATATCATTGAATCACATAATGAGAGAGTTATTCTTTTTTCAATTCTACTCCAATCCTGCTGGTTATGGGAAGATGGAAGTCTCCTTTGCAAGTTGGGGTGTTTTATTTCATTTTCTGTTGCTATAACTGAATACCACAGACTGGGTAATTTATAAAGAAAAGAAGTTGGCTCAAGGTTCTGGAGGCTGAGAAGTCCAAAAGCATGGAAGTGGCATCTGGCAAGGACATTCTTAATGCATCGTGGAGGGCATTACATGGAGCAAGGGCAAGCATCTGCAGGTCAGCTCAGGCCTCTCTTTCTCTTTTTAGAAAGCCACCTATCCCATTATAGAGACCCCAACCTGATGACCTTATCTAATCCTAATTACACCTAAAGGCCCCCCTTCCAATCAACATATGAAATTGGGTATTAAGTTTCCAGCACATAAAATTGAGGGGACAGACTCAAACCATAGTAAGTATTCCTTTTTAAGAAAATTGGAGTAGATATTAGACTCCTAGCTTTAAGCATGCAATAGGTGAGAGCTACAGTTTTAAAATATTATTTTATTTTTGTTGGTTTTGTTTCTTGCTCTAACATCTTAAATTCAGGGAAAATTTACACACACACACACACACAAATCTATTTACTTGATTAATTTCAAGGATATGAATTTTTCTGATTAAATTGTTTTATTTAAGTCAAGCATAAAATTTATATTAATGGAAAATAAATAATTTGGGTGGCAGATGAAGTCATGAAAACCTCACACTAACCCACGTCCTTGCAATTTATGTCACCCTTCTTCTAGAGACTTTCTTGGAAAACATGCACCCTGATTGGCCTCCTTACCCCTAATTTTTTTTTAGCCTTTTAATATATCCCCATATGTAGTGCCCAGTAAATGAGATGGATCCTTGATTGACACATATTTATTGTCTGGGGTAGACATTTACTTAAGTAGTGAAAGTGAGAAGGATTTGAATCATAAAGAGCAGAGAGGGGGCATTCCAGAATAGTAAAATGAGAGCATCCAAGGTAGAGATACCAGCATCTCTACATTTTGAGTTAAGGGAGTAGTACTACACCAACCACTGAAGTTCTGGCATTCAATGTTCTTAAAAGAACAACAGGAAACAAAATTAAATAGATAACTAACAGTTCTGAATGAACTGCTTGATGCATGTTGTTTTACTTTGAACCTGCCCTTAACCTTGCCAAACATTTTTGCCTAGTCATGGTTCACAGATGCTACCATTGGCTGCAGGGCCTCTCATCACCACCACTTAGATTTTAATATCATTTTAGCCCATCTGCTAAAGCTAAAGCAGCCTTTTGTGCACTTCTTTTTCTGGTATGCTTCCAGATTCACAGAAACACCATGCCTTGATATTAAATCTAAATTATAATAGGTTTTGAAGTTTTATTCATCAATTTTCCTGAAAGTACACCTAGGACACCCTGGTTATTTTCCGTGCTCAGATCTAATGCTCAGAATGGCAAGTAAAGGTAATGCAATGAGGTTCCTTTGGTAATAGTTAGCATTATTTCCCAGTACCATGATCTGCCCAATTTCCAACATAATGTGAAAATCTTAACAAAACAAGTGATAAAAGGAGAAAAACCATAACACCAATAAAAGCCTCATGCTTGCAGGATGTGTTTAATAGTTCTAACATGTATAACATTAAAATTTTATCAACAAATCAGGGAAAGGACATTTTGTACGCAGAAATCAATTTACCTAGCTACTATCTGGAAGACTTGCTTGTAATTTATTTTGTCTCAAAGAATACATTGCTTTTAAACCTAATTCTACAGCATTTTAGAGTGTATGAAGAGGGAAGGGATATGAATATTTTTGCTCAAAGCATAATCAAAAGATTTAGAAGACTTCCAAGTATTACAGACAAAAATAAATGCTTTGGTGAAGTAAAATGAAGTTTTGTGGCACCAACTTTCCTGAGTGATTGTATCTCTGTTTAAAATTGTTTTTACATTATAAGCTGCTTTAATGCTTTGTCTGAAGAGCCAATCTATTTATTAAAGGAAAGCATATAGGCCGCAGGATAAGTCAGGTTGAGGAAAGCCAAATGTAGTGGCTAAGATTATGAACCATTATTTCTACATGAGTACAATTGGAGTGGGCCCCACCATGTTCTATCTGGTGAGACACAACAGCAACAAAAAATAAACAATAACAAGGAAAAAATCCCCATAACCTTGTAATTCACATAAACCTGAGTTTGAGTATCAATAGCAATACTTATTAATTATCTGACTTTGAATATGTTACCTCTAAAAAGGCCTTACTTATATTATCCATGAAATATGGAAACTTGATTGCAGATAAGCCATGTGATTTTTTTCAAGGCTTAAATGATGTAACAGTTGAAAGCTCCTAGCATAGTGTCCAGACCTTACTAGGCCACAATAATTGCTAGTTGATTCTTGACTTTACCTTTATTATGAGAGTGCTTTAGACCAGATAAAATCCAGGAGTCCCATGGCTGATGAGATCTCAGCCATTGTTGTTTTCCTTCAACAGTCAGCTAGCTTCTGCCTCTCTTACCATTAGAGCAGTGTTACTCAAAGAACAGTAACCCCTATCAAGAGGATGAGGGACCTAAATGTAACATCTGAATGTAGCACTTCCATGTGATGTGGCCCAACCAGCCATTCTGGTGCCTCCTCTGCTTTGTCGTAACTTGCTCTATACTCCAAACGTAGTCCCTCAGAGTGGTACAGGTGTGTAATGATTTTGCAGAGTATAACAGCTATGATAGAAAGCAAGTCACTGGCTTGCATAAAGTGTCACAATAGGGAGGTAGAAGATCAATAATAATCTCACAGTTTGCTAAAGGCTTTTTATTTATGTGATGTCTGCTATAGCCCTGCTATAGGAGTGAAGAAAGAGTCCCAGTTCTCAAGCAACTTAGGATTCTGAAAGAGAAACCAGGTACAAAGAGCTAGAAACCTTTGGTAAATACACTTAGGAAGGCAAACCAATGGAGCGGTCAGTCCAGAAAATCTCTGGTGGAAGGGAATGCAGGCATTGGAGTTGATAACAGGGATAGATTGCGGGGTTCTGGTATTGAGTTGACACTGAAGCACCCCCCTTAACTTGAGCAAAGGTGTATAAGGTGCTCAGAATAGAGGTGCCCAAGAGAGAAGTTAATCAACTATACTTATGAGAAACAAGCATGAATGTTAAAAAGAAAAAAAAGATTAAAAATAAATAATTAATGTAAAAATAATTTAAATTGTCTTAGAGTAACTTAAAAAGATGCTTCAAAGCAACTATTTCCATTTTGAAATAAAATTAAATTAATACTAGACCTTTAGGCCTATTCTTCTTTCTTGACATCACACACATAAACTCACACACACAACTTATGTATGCATGGATGTATATATACATCCATGCATACATATGTGAATGTATATACACATATACACGCATATACACATAAACATATATGTGTATGTGCACACACAAACATACATGGGATGCCTGGCACTACCTTTGATTTTGCATGCCAGAATCTTATATTTATATAATATATTACATTTGCCAAAGTGCTTTCACTCTTCTCTTTGTCATTATTTCTCACTAAAGAAGCTGCATGAATGGAGTGGTGAATTTGTGGCCAATGAAACAAGAATTCTTGGGTGTGACTTCTAACATTGCTATAGACTATGTGACACTGGGCAAATTACTCAACATTTTGTATTTAAGGTTTCTAACTATGAAATGGCAATAATAAAATTACCCATGTTCTATGTTTATTACATTTATTGAGCTAATATATATATGTGTGTATATATATGTGTATGTATATATATATATATATAAAGAGAGAGAGAGAGAGAGAGAGAGAGTACTCAAAATAGGATCACTTAAATAAACCTTAGTTCCATAAACATTGACTGTTACAGTCAATGTTATAACATTGCTATAACTACCAAAGCTATAACTTGCTGTGGTAGGTAGGTGTGATATGATTATCCTGGTTTTATTAATAAAGAGCCTGGTTGGGAGCTGGTTAGTATGAACTTTGTCACTTGGCAATATATGACTCTACAGTTAGGAATAAAAAAGGGAGCAACTTGTGAGAAAGCATTTGAAATACAAAAAGAAAGAAAATGAGGCATCTCTATTGATGTTGAAAATATAGTATTTATAGAAAAATCAAGAAGGTAACCCAACAGATTTGAAAACTAAGCCACTTTACTGTACATATTGGAATTGTTAGCCTTCACATGTCTAGAGGGGGGTGAAGCAGCTGGGACCGTGAGCACAGCTGCATGTTGGCAGACCCCAGGCTGCACACAACCCTGCAGAACTCCTCTTGGTCCAGTTCTCCAAACCTCACTGCTGCCTCGAAGGCAGAAGGAATTCTCAGGATGATGGACCTTGGCTGTTGATAGTGTCGGTTTGATATGTTTACATCCTGTACACCCCTGATGGTTCCTGTTGTTTGTATAAAACCACACTAATGAAGAAGGATCCTGACATTGGTTGGCAAGTACAGGACAGCCTAGAGGGAAAAACCTGGCGGAGAGCCAGCTCAGAGCCCCTCAGCTGCGGCCTACTCTGTGCCTGTGCCTGCACTCAAGAATGAGAATTTGGAATCACAACTGGGAAGGCTGAAAAATGTGTTGCTATCTCTATTTTCCTCTCAGGTATGGCTGGAGACCAGAAAACACCAGGAGTATACACTTTCAGACAGACAACACCATTTGCTAATATCCAGAAATGGCTGAATTCAGAGTCACAACTAGATTCTATTTCTGTTTTCTCTCTGCTTAATTTTATAAAGGATAAGACATTTTCTGGGTATTTCTATTGATTGCTTTGCCATTTTATACATTAACATTTCCAAAAGAAAAGGTTATTTTAAAACTTTCCATAACAAATTTGTATGATAAGTACTAGGTGAAACAAAAATAAATAGGTTGTGTTTTGAAGCACTTCTATTGTTTAGTAAAAAATATAGTTGGTCTTTTACACAGTTTTTTAGTACAGAGCTTCAAAAACCTTTGACATTTCCTAAGTAATAGGAGTGTCTTGTTATGCTAATGAGGTGACTTGTGGGACTCCTAACTAGTGTCCCTGTGGGAGGCCGTTTGCCAGAAAAACCAACCACATGATGAGAATGTTTTGACTTTTGGCCTTACCTCCAGACCTCCAGTGTGGGAAGACGCAGGAGGAGCAAGGGATTCAGTTCAACCACCAATGGCCAAAGACTCAATCAACGATGCCTGCATCATGAAGCCTCAACAGAAACTCTTGAACAATGAGGTTTGAGAAGCTTCTGCGTCTGTGACCATATCAATGGCCTGGGAGGCTGGCACACACAGAGGGCATGGAAGTGCTGTGTACTCCTCCCCATACATTTCCCTATACATCTTTTCCTTTTGGCTGCTTGTGAGTTGTATTCTTTTTTGTTGTTGTTGTTTTTAAGATGGGGGTCTTGCTCTGTTGCCAGACTGGAGTGCAATGGTGCGATCTCAGCTCACTGCAGCCTCCACCTCCCAGGTTCAAATGATTCTCCTGCTTCAGCCTCCTGAGTAGCTGGGACTATAGGTGTGCACCACCACACGCAGCTAATTTTTGTAGTTTTAATAGAGACAGGGTTTCACCATGTTGGCCAGATGGTCTCGATCTCTTGACCTCATGATCCGCCTGCCTCGGCCTCCCAAAGTGCTGAGATTACAGACGTGAGCCACCGCGCCCGGCCAAGTTGTATTCTTTATAACAAAACTGTAATCTTAAATATAGCACTTTCCCAAGTTCTGTGAATTGTGCTAGTGAATTATTGAACTTTAGGGTGAAATGTTTTGGGAACCCCAAATTTGCAGTCTTTTGGAAAAAAAGTGAAGGTAACTTGGAGATACCGAAAACTTGCAACTGAAGTCTGAAGTGGGAGCAGTTTTGTGGGACTGAGCCCTTAACCGGTAGGGTCTCCACTAACCCTGGATACTTCATATCAGAATTAAAGGACTTTGTCTTTAACTTGTAGGGTCTATACTAACTTCAGGTTAAACTGAATTGTAGGACATCCCTTTGGTGTCAGAAAGTTGTTGTGGAAAAGATGCAATTTTTAAGATATTTTGATATGTTAAAAGAACATTGAAAATAAGAAAAAGACATTGAATTTTTAAAAATTATTGATTTACTCTGAAAATCTTTGCTTGGGGACATCACAGGGACTTATACTATTTTATACACACTTTAGGAAATCATTTGATAAAAACTGCTTCCATATACTTAATATTCTGTGTCTACCCTATGTTAGGCACTTGTGAATAAAGCAAGAGGAATAAAATGTTTAAATGCAGGTGGACCTTTTATTGTTTTACTTACCGTCACAGCATTCCCAGACCTCTCCTTGGTTCTATTTCTAGTTTTCCCTTGAGGTCTTAGTTCTTCAGAATTCTTTAGAAACCCAATTCTAAAATCCCTGAGTTGACAAAAATTATAATGAATCCATTGGTTTTGAAGTAGGTGTAAGAGGGCTTGAGGGCTACATATTTACTATTTTTCTTAAGTGATCTTGAAACAAGCCAGGGCCTAGATCAAGTTTTGCCAACACAAATCATCAGAGATCAGTCACTGAACATACAAGAATGAGGCAGTTTGTTAAGTGAACATGTTTATTTCAAGGAGAGAACTCTTCTCCAGCACCAATCGTTACTAGCCAGAAATCCAGGCCAAATGTGGGCACCTCTTCTAATTTTTTAAGAGAGGCAGAAATTCTACGTAAAATCCTACTTTTTTTCCAAATTTAGTTGAAAAAGATTATGTGTGTGGACAATAAAATTAAATAAAAAAAAGGATGTCTGTCATTTGAATTTGGGCCACCATCTGTGGTTTGCAAAGATTTTCTCTTGGAATAAAAGACTGTTCATAATGTGGCCCCTGACTCTTCTTCAGCCATGTTGCTAAAAGTCCAACCTATTTATACTCTTTCTTTTTGAGACTGAGTCTCACTCTGTCACCCAGGCTGGGGTGCAGTGGCACGATCTTCGCTCACTGCAATCTCCACCTCCCAGGTTCAAGCACTTCTCCTGCCTCAGCCTCCCAAGTAGCTGAGATTACAGGAGCCCGCCACCACTAATTTTTTGTACTTTTAGTAGAGATGGGGTTTCACTGTGTTAGCCAGGATAGTCTCGATCTCCTGACCTTGTGATCCGCCTGCCTCGGCCTCCCAAAGTGTTGGGTATACAGGCATGAGCCACCGTGCCCGGCCCCAACCTATTTATACTCTTGATCTTACTGAATTACCTATGCTTCTACCTGTATTTTTTTATTTATTTTTCTTGGATGCTTCTTGGGCTCTCCTAACATCTAATGACCTACTACATTTGTAAATAATTTTCTCAAACGCCATTTCCTTTGTGAAACTTTTGCTAACTCATTCTTGTTGTGCCTCCATGATAAGCTTTGCCACTTCCTCTTTGTACAGCAATAGTACATTAAAATGTTTGTATCATTGTCTCATAGCTTATATTGACTGCGTAGTTTTGAACATCGATCTTTCTGTAATGGACTATGTGAAAATACCAACAATGCCTGGTACATAATTGAAATGTAATCATGTTAAATGAATGGATGAATCAAAGAAGAGGGATATAATGACCAGTTAAATAGTCCACCATTGCCTTGATATAAGCTTGACCTCCTTAGCCTGCCACATGAAATCCTTTTTGTATGATGATCAAAAAGAAGATAATTTTTTTGGAGTCTCTGTCCTTGACCTGCTGTATAAACTTGTGTAAGATAATGAATGCTTTTCATTTATTATTATTATCAATTTTCTTGCTTGTGAAATAATGATAATAGATGCCTTGTAGTATTGTTTTAAATGTTTAATTAAATAATAGAAGTAGTACTTCTGCCACAGTAGCTGCCACAGAGGGGGTTCAAGTCTTGATTTTCTACCTGCTACTTATCATCAGCCCAAGCCTATGCTATTTGCCAGTACGAGTCCTCAATACAACATTTACTCAGCTATATTGAATTTCCCTGTTGTTACCACACAGTGTGTTTACACACATGGATTTCTACATGCTGGTTCTTCCATCTGGAATATGCTCCATCCCTTTTCCAACTGGTGAAGTCCTACTTGTCCTTCAAGGCTTACTTCAAATTCTGTCTTTCTTTCATCTCCCAGGGAGAGTTAGCTCTTCTGTACCTTTGGGTTAGCACCGGGACACAGCTTGGTACATAATAGGTGGATAATAAACATCAGTTTATCATATTACTTTCTTTCAAATTCTGAGTTATCCAAGGGTAAAGAGAATGCTTCATTTCTTCTGGAACTCTATTGCCTTCCAAAGTCTCTGGGAAGACGTCATGTATAAATATACATCTGATGAATGGATGAGCGAAACCAAATTGGGCTTTGGGAACTGAAGGATAAGATTATGGCTACTCTTGCCAGGCAGCACATTTTTTGTTCCTGGGAAATTCTCTAGAGAATTAAATTCTACACAGCTTTGTACTTACCAGTAGACATAATCCCTTGTTTACTAGCAAAAATATTTGTAGTTTCACTCAAAGGTATTATATTTGTGATTACAAATCAAGAAATTGTGGGCTTTACTTTCTGTATTATACTGGACTTAGATGAGTATAATCTCTAAGGTAGGTATCCAAAGTTAAGCACACTTTCCATTTCTGATAATACCTATTGAAAAAGGAAATACGTCTAAAAACAATGTGTTTCAATCCTGAATGTGTATTTCCTAAATGACTGAGAAAATTATCTTTTTATTTGAACATAAACACACACAAACACACATACATACAAGATTCTTGAAATATGCAATTATATCCCAATTGTGCTCTGTAACACGAACTGACAAAAAAAGAAATGTCAAAGTCACTTCCCACAGTTAACAACTTAAATATAGAAATTTTTTTTTTTTTTTTTTTTTTTGAGACAGAGTCTCACTCTTGTCGCCGAGGCTGGAGTGCAGTGGTGCAATCTAGGCTCACTGCAACCTCCACCTCCAGGGTTCAAGTGATTCTCCTGCCTCAGCCTCCCAAGTAGCTGAGATTACAGGTGCCCGCCACCACGCCCAGCTAATTTTTGTATTTTTAGTAGAGACAGAGTTTCACCATGTTGGCCAGGCTGATCTCGAACTCCTGACCTCCAGTGATCTGCCCACCTTGGCTTCCCATGGTGCTGGGATTACAGGCATGAGCTACTGCGCCTGGCCAACTTAAACACAGAATTTTCTACAACTTTATCATACGGTCTTATTTATGTTGCTCAAAGTTTCTAGTTTTTTAAGTTTCAGGGTCATGTGCCTTCGGTGTCAGCATAGCGATCCTTTGATCCACATGTGTTTTGGTATTTTGATTCTTACTAGGCTCCCCTGCACACCACTTCCTAAGTATTTCTGGGGCTCTCTCTGGGATGATTATGCATCCAAAAAATCTGACCTGCTTGTCATATGGATCCAGACATCTAGGTGTTTTGTTTATATCACTGCTCTACTCCCTGAAGGACATCTGTAATTACCTTTTGCCTGGTTTCTTCTTTCTGTTTATCTGTGCCACTTCTTCTCAAGTCTGGAACATTTCAAGGCAGAGTTAAGAACAGGTCACAAAGGACAAGAAGATTTCACAGATCTGAGGATAACAGAAGGGAATTAGAAGGCATGAAATCAAACCTTCTATTGACTACTAAAATGTCGTTTGCTAGAGGTATAGGTCATCCTCTTTCTAAAATTGACTCTTACCAGCCACCCCTCCACTTTGCCTAGTAGTTGTCATGTCTGGTAGAGAGGTAAGCTTTCCCCTGACACGTGTGCCTCTAACTATGCCCCCTTACCCAGAGTTTGTGCTCTCCTCTCCCACTTCTCTGAGGACCAGTGGGAATAGGAAAATATACTTTCCTTATTTTTTTCCTCAATTAAAATCTGTCTTAGGGAAAAGCAAATCTTTTCCATTAAAAAATTAATTGCATCTTTTCTAAAAATTATCCAATTCAGAAGATAAGTTTTATCTTCCTTGGATAAATAAATGACTCATTTAAGTTGCTTACCACTCATTTCTCTAAAACAATGGCTTAGCTCAATTTCACAGATGACTCCATACCTTTTTTTAGAACAACTAAAAAGTTGCTTCAGTTTTAAGAAGCAGTTTCAGACCCACCATCACTGCCCACATCTCTGCCCTTCCAAACCATAAGCCTTCCAAAACACTGTGGTTCGTATTAAGTTACATAATCCTATTAAACTCCGATAATTTATATTTAATAGGGAGAGGCAATCAATTACACATCTGAATCAATGAGGAAAGATACAGCAGAGTCATTCTAATGTTTACTGCTACATGAAAATAAGAGTTCTATTTTATTAGAAATACAAAATGAGAAAGTTAAATATTCTCTTCTTTCTTATTATAACATTATTTTGAAAAGTACAATGCAATGATTTTATATACTCTTCCAATGATTTCTAATGAGACTATAATTTTTGTGGATTTTTCCAGAAGAATTCCAAATGTGCTACCATCCATGTAGTTTTACTTGAAAAACCCCCTTGGAAATTAACAATAAGGCACTGACTGGAGCTGAATTTGCAAATGTTTTAGGAAGAAACTTTATCTCAGACTACCCTTGATGTATCAAAATATTTAAAGCAATTGGCAAAGGCAGTGAGCAATTCACTCTCAGGCACATGAATATCACCGGGAGAGGGCTGAATGTTCAGGTGAGTTTTGCTAAAGGCAATGACTATAAGTCAAATGTTGCTCCATAGTTTCTAATTACAGTTTGTAATTCCTGGAGGTTCAAACTCTGATAACCCCCTATTTCTAGGCAATGAGCTAAATGGCTTTGGAAATGGTATTATAGTGAGATTGAAAACTGGAGCTATTAATATATGTTTGCATGTTATTTATGAAAAAACTAACAGAAATATGATGAGAAATTACAAATAGCAATAATAAAATATGGCATTATTACTATATCATAAAATTTTATCATATTGTTGATTTGCATGTTATCTTTGAAAATGAATATTAAACATTATGTGATTTAAAATCAGTTGCACAGATGTCACTTGTGTATTAAAATATGGGACTGACAGCAGAATTCAAGAAACACCTGTTTCTGTTCACATCATTTCTCCAGGATAATTATATAATTTTATCGTTAAAATTCCAATTCTGAAACACTAGATAACACAAAAAATTTATGGAGAAAAATACAAACACAAGATTCCTCTTTTTAAGTAAAGATTCTATTCGTTATAAAAATAATCCATGTTTCCTTCAAGAGAACTGGAAAAATTTAGAAATACAGAAAGAAGAAAATTCAGAAATAAGCAAAGTGCAAAATTTGAAGCATTTCATAACCATAATATTTCTGCTTCATTGTTTGCATTTGCATGTCTATGGCATATTTTGTTTGATAATGAACAATTTATAGACAGGGTTTTGGATAAGGGGCAATACAATGGTTATTAATCTATTTTACTTTTAAAGATCATAAAATATCTCTGGTCATTTAACATTTATTTTTAAAACCTTCAAATTATTTCAAAATTCCGTAGATTTGTGGAGGGGAAAATTATTTTTGTTTATAACTTTTCTGATAAAAGAACTACATTTATGATTCTAGAAATGTATCAAAAAGAAGATGTATTTGCAGTTCTAACCGTTGCCCTGGGGCTATAGAAACCACTCTACAAAGTATAATTCAAGTGAATTTTGAAGTTGAACATCACAAAACATACAAGTAGACCTAACACATTTTATACCTAGACTTTCCTGATCTTGGCTTCTTAATTTTTTTTTCAGACAACTTCATGATAATTGAGTACAATTTAAAAACCCTTTCCATTATCTTTGCCTTTACTTATCTCAGGATATTTCTGTATTATCTTATAATTTAAAATACAAAAGGAATTGTCCTTAATTGATGAAGTATAACCTTAATTATGTTATCTTCAAATATTTTGCATTGGAGAGGACAAGTCTGGCATAAAACAATCTTTGATTCTTTTTTCTTGCTTTTATGTGGTTATTTTTAAAAATGTTTCAAATTTTTGTAACTAAAACCATTTTTTCAGTACCTATAAAGGTGTGGTTTCTTGTTATTGATTTCTTAGTACTGTGTTTAAAACTCTTTTATCTGAATCTATGTACTCATCCCCTTTCCTCTCATTCAAGAGCAATCCCTTCATTTTTATTTTTAAGGTTTTTTTATTTATTGCTTTTATAGTTTCTAAAATGTTTCTTTTTAAAACACTTCTATTGCAAACATCTCTCATCTGTCCATCTATATTCATTTATTTACTTATTTTATTATATATTTTGAATGAGATTTTCAAATTTGTGCTATTTATAAATTATATTCTTTTCCTCTGTGAATATATGCCTTTTTGCGTGAAGAGTTTATTTTTATTACATCCTTAAATTAGTTTTTCCTATTTAAAAAATTTAAGGTATTCAATTTTTTCATCTCATGATTTTTTTTTATGTTCTGCCTATATTTTATGGGGAACAAATAATCTAACAACCTTTTGATATTTTCAGTTTTCTAAATTTTTTAATGGCTCTTGCAATAGGTAAGTTTTAAGAAGTCTTCTTCAGTTTTCAATTGTGTGTTTGAACCACTCTAAACCTTTTAAACAGAAATCATTTATCATCACTCATGAGTCTATGGTTGCCTGTGGGTATTATCTGATATAGAATGGGATTGACTGGAGTATATTGGGTATTTATTGTATTTGTGACTAATTGGCTGGCTCAGACTTACTTTTCTCGTGGTGATCACAGATATGCAAGAGGGAAAGCTAAAGCACACAAGTCCTTTTAGACCCAGGCTCAGAAGTGATACACCGTCTCTTTCAACTCATTCTATTGGCCAAATAATCAGGTGGGGAATTACACTTTCATCCAGAGCAAAGTCAAAGGGTGGAAAAATACATTCTGCCTTTATGGAATGCATTCTAAAGTTGCATGGCAGAGGGCATGTGTATAATGTGAGGTGAAAAATTTGAGTAAATAATGTCTTAACTTTATTTAAAAATTCTTATGCAGTTTTCTTTTCCTTAAAGTACACCTATGAGTGTTACTCCTTTTTCTTTTTAAAATTTATCTTTGATCAAAATATAATATAACCAGATTAAATGGTTATCAATAGATATGTTGTGTTAACTGGCCTTAGCTAGAGTCAGTGTCTAACACATTCATGTAATGTGGCTCAGTGGAACTGAACTGCAATTGTTGCCATTCTTCCTTACCTGGCTCTCTGTCTCTCAAGATAGATGGAGTTCCTGTGATATTCTAGAGCCCAGAATATTCCACTTCTAGGACTTTTGCTGTTGTTTTCCTGCTTAAACTATGTTTAAGAACAGCATCTTTCAGAATGTAATTTACCTCCACTATCCCTCTGTGCTTCCTACCTACTCATAACATTACCCTTTGCTCTTTTGTTTTCTATGACTTTCACATTTAAAGCAGATGTAAGAAAAGATATATTGTTAGAAAAATTAAAAGAATAAGAAAACTACCCAAGGTTCTATCTTAAGATAATTAGGAGTTGCAAAGAAAGTGGCAGACATGCAGAAATTTTGCATTCTGAATTCAAAATGAACTTAAATGGAACAGGAAGAAAGGTTTTTATATGTTAAACAGGTAGTCTCTCTAGCTGCTCAGCATGGCTCAATACTATCCAATACTTCACAGGATTTAATCTTCGGAGACTAATATTTGACTGAATTTTTCAATCCTAGCTTTAGCCATAATTGTGAATTATCATCTTTTCCAGTGTCCTCATAGGAATTATATATGTAATTTGAGAATGCCTATATAAGAGGCTATTTTCCAAACACCATTTTAAAACAGTAGTCAAAATCCATAAAGGCATTAAGTTCTGACTGGCTGAAGTGAGCTTAATTATTTGACTAACATATTCAGAGACACTTGAGTGGTATGCTTCTTAAAGGTATGGAAAAGGCTCTCCCTGTCCCTAATATCTCCTGACAGTTCACAGTAATGTCCATGAAAAATCATAGTAAGACTTACCAGTACAAAACTATCATTAAAGCATGAACAAATTTACTATAGAGATCATCTTTGAATGATGGGTGAGGTGGGGGGCAAAGAGTGGATATCATCTCAGGGCAATGAGCAGTCTAATAGTTTGCACAGCAACTGGTAAGGTTGGGGTATATTCAGTCAATAACCATGTTAAATTGTTAAAATATCTCTACATATAGAAAAAGAGTAAGATTATGAGGTTTCTTATGGTCTCTACCATGTGGCTAGAATGTAGGTATTTTAATGGCCTGGACTACCACTGGATCTGTTCTAGGTCAGGATAACATGACAAATGTTTGCTGACTCCATGAAATCAAAATTATATTGTATCTGTTGTATCTCTTCTCACAGAGTTCTTCCATTTCAGTGCTGTTGTAGCTAACAGGATATAACATATCAACCTCATCTTAATATAAAAAGGTCAAGGTATGGTTTCAACATTTACCATACCTATCAACTTTGATCACAGAACCCGAAATTTCTGTTATTGGTCATTGAAAAAGGGTCACCATGATGAAATCAAGGCCAAGTGTTGGAAGGGTAGGTTTAGAATGATGATAAAAGTGGACTAAGCAGGAAAAGGGAAACAGGGAATTGATATAATTCAAGGGTGGCTTTACATAAGGAAATAAATTAGTACAATATCCTGCATTAATACAAAAAAGGGAAAAATACATGATCATATTAATTCACACAGAAAGGGCATTTGACAAAATCCAACACCCTTTCATGATAAAAACACTAAAAAAATAGAAAGTGAAGGAAATATTCAACATGATAAAGGACATTTACAGAAACCCACAACTAACATCACAGGATGTTTATAGAAACCCACAACTAACATCATACTCAATGTTAACTGAAAGCTTTTTCCCTAAGATTAGAAAGACAAAGATGACCACATTTGCCTCTGCTATTTAGAATTTTACTGGAAGTTCTAGGCAGAGAAAGTAGACAACAAAAATAAAAGGCAACTGAGTTGGAATGAAAGAAGTAAAACTACCTCTATTTACAGATGACATAATCTATATGTAAAAAGTCACAAATAATTCATAAGAGAGCTACTAAAGCTAACAAACAAATTTAGAAAATTTTTAAGTCACAAGATCAACACAAAAAATCAGTTGTTTTTCCATACACAATGAACTATCTGAGAAGAATATTGAGAAAACAATTGCATTCATGATAGCATTCAAAAAGATAAAATACATGGGAATAAATTTAATCTAGGGGTAAAAGATGTGTATACTCAAAACTACAAAATATTACTTAAAAAAGACAACATAGGTAAATAGAAGTTCATTTTATGTTCATGGGTTGGAAGACTTAATATTATTAAGATCTCAGTACTACCCAAAGCAATCTACAGATTTCACACAATTCCTATAAATATTCCAATAGCCTTTTTTTTTTTTTTTTTTTTTTTGCAGAAATGGCGAAGGTGATTCTAAAAATCTTATGGAATTGCATGGGGAATTAAATAGCCAAAACAATCTTTAAAAAGGAGAATATTGTTGGAGGACTTCCATTTCTCCATTTCAAAATGTACTATAATGCTACAGTAATCAAAACAGTGTGTCACTGCTATAAATATAGTCATAGAAATCAATGGAATAGAATTGAGAGTCCAGAAACAAAATCATACACATATAAGCCGGGCACGGTGGCTTATGTCTGTAATCTCAGCACTTTGGGAGGCTGAGGTGGGTGGATAACCTGAGGTCAGGAGTTTGAGACTAGCCTGGCCAACATGGCAAAACCCCATCTCTACTAAAAATACGAAAATTAGTTGTACATGGTGGTGCACACCTGTAATCTCAGCTACTCGGGCAGCTGAGGCTTGAGAATCACTTGAACCCAGGAGGCAGAGGTTACAGTGAGCCAAGATTGCGCCACTGCACTTCGGCCTGGGCGACGGAGCAAGACTCTGTCTCAAAACAAAAAACAAAAAACATACTCATATAGCCAATTGACTTTTGATAAAGATGCAAAGTACATTTATTAAATGTAACAGGAAAGAATAGTCTTCTCAACAAATTTTGCTGAAAACTGGATATCCATATGTAAAAGAATAAATTTGGATTTCTACCTCACATCATATACAAATATTAACAAAATATGGAACAATGACTAAATATAAGAACTAAAATTATAATAATCTTATAAGAAAACATAGGCCACATCTTCATAACCTTGAATTTAGCAATGGATTTTTAAATATGACATAAAAAGTATAAACAAAAAAATAAATTAGACTTCATTGAAACAAAAAATATAACTTTTATTTATTAATACACATTATCAAGAAAGCAAAAAGATGACTTACAGAATGGGAGAAAATAGATGGAACTCATATATCTGTAAAGTGTTTGGTGTTCAGAATATATATATAATTCCTACAACTCAGCAACAAAAAAGACTAACAACCCAAATGAAGAATAGGCAATTGACTTGAATACATACTTCTTGAAAGAAAACATAAAAATCACCAGTAAGCACAAGAAAAGATGCTCAAGATCACTAATCATCAGCGAAATGCAAATCAAACCTGCCGTACTACTTAACACCTACTAGGATGGCTATAATAATGAAAAAAAAAGGAAAATAACAAGTATTGGCAAGGATATGAAGATATTGGAACCATTTTGTATGCTGATGGTAATGTGATACGGTGCAGCTGCTGTATAAAACAGTTTGGCAGTCCCTAAAATAATTAAACACATAATTCTCAGACACAAAAGGACAAATATTGTGATACCATTTATATGAAATACAGTCACACGTAGCTTAATGACAGAGATACACTGAGAAATGTGTTAGGTTATTTCACTGTTGTGTAAACACCATAGAGTGTGTTTACTCAAATCTAGATGGTTAGCCTGCTACGTACCTAGGTTATATAGTATAGCCTATTGCTCCTAGGCTACAAACCTGTGCAGCATACTGTACTGAATACTGTAGGCAGTTGTAACACAATGGTAAGAATGTGTGTATCTAAAATAGAAAAGGTATGGTAAAAAATACAGTATTATAATTCTGTGGAACCACTGCGTATATATGGTTCATCATTGACCAAAGTGTTGCTATGTAGCACGTGACTGTATATAGAATAGGCACATTCATAATTATGGAAAATAAATTAGATGTTTCTAGGAGATGGGATAAGGGGGAGTGAAGAGTTGTTATTCAATACATACAGAGTTTTTGTTTAAGTTGTTTAACATGTTTAAGAAGTTTTGCAAAAAGTGGTAAAGTTTATGCAACATTGTGAATGTAATTACACTGAATTGTACACTTAAAGAGAGCTAAAATGTAAAATTTTGTTATATATATTTTATCACAATTTCAAAAATTACATATTAAATTGGATTCTAATAATGTGCCACTTTATAGACTAGTTACTCCAAGATAACAAGAACCTAACACAGTGGCTGATTCAAGAAAGGTCTTGAATTTGGTAAGCGTAAATTAGTAACTGTCCAGTTATAGAATAAATGAATGACTGCATATGTGATGATTGTGGTATTTCTATATAAAGGAAGTGGATAGGTGTATATGGATTCCTGGTATGTCTACAACTATAAAGACTATGTGACACCATGCACTTTGCAATTTGCCTCAATAATATTTTTGGAAATTAAATCATATTGCAATAATTAGGAATGTTATGTAATATATATCCCAGAATTGAACAGTAGAGAAACTGACACATGAAAAATTTTATCTTATAATATTAATCGTAGGATCCCATATTAATATATTTGCTAAGCTTTTCTCCAATAAAGACACCTTTCACATATTTACCTGATTTAATCCTACAAATAACTTCGTTGGATTAGTTGGTTATGAATTATTACACTCATCACAAACAAGAGTAACCTAAAGTCAAGATAATTCCAGTGATTTATCAAAATCTTTTAGTAAATTAATGACAGAGGTAGGGCAAGAACTCACATAGCTAAAATTAAGATAAGTTGCTGAGAAATTCTAATCCCAGAGTTTCTATACGTTAACGGAGGACGTTGAGTATTTGTGAATCTCTGTGTGAGGGAAGACTCTGGCAGTCTCTGTGAGATGGTCCTATTCTCAAGTACCTTTTCCCCTAAGGAGCTACCTTATGGCTGGCACTTGCAACCATCAGAAAAGACAGTGATCAAGGGATAGCTATGGCATGCAGCATGTAGAGCTAACAAACAAATTTTATTTGGAACATATACATAGTATGCTTCTCTCTGCAGCTAGCATCAGCTACAGTGAAAAACGAGCCATTAACTGGTGTTCCCTGAGTAGTCTAATTCTCACCTTCAAGATCTGTGGCATATCAGGAAATGGGGAATCAAAAGGAGTGGCGATGCAAATGTAACTTACATTGGCGAAGTCAAAAAAGGTCTGTGTAAAATGGTTTCCAGGTATATGAGTTTGAGGTGAGGCAATATGTTAAATCACTTAAAGCTAAGTATGAGGCCTTAAATTCTAGAAGCTAAGTATGAGGCCTTAAATTCTAGGATGGAGGGTTAGGAACCACACCTTCAGGCAATCCTCTATTCTCTAAGGCAAGGAGCAGATACAGTGATTAAATCACATCATTTCCAGAACCCAATTGTCTGCTTTCAAATCCCAAACTCAGTCTCCCAAGTCCTCTGCCACAGTCCCTGACAGAACTCCCCATTGCCAGGAATGATTGGCAATGGTAGGAGTGTCTACTCTTTTTCAATATAACTCCTTTTTGACTCCTTCTCTTCTTGTTTTCACTCCCCAGAATCTCTCTTACAGCCACACTGTCCCATCAGCGTGCTCCCTCCTCTTTTTCAAAAATTTTTTCTTCTTCCTTTCTTCTGTGTCATTCTGTATTTTCTTTCAATAAAGTTTTTGTCTCATTACTAAACCATATAGGTCTCCTTTCTCTTCAGTTACAATGCTATGCAAACCTGCCTCACCTAGGTTGTACTTTGCAGCTTTTACTATAATTGATTTCACAATAAATATCTCATGATGCTATTTGTTCACCTTCATGCATCCAGTGTGCTTGCATGTGCTCTTGAGCGGTTACACCAAGACTACTGACTAATGAATATGATTCTCTCCATATATGGTCAGGAACATCCAGAGCAAATTTTTAAAAATGTACATAATATCTATATCGTATCTTATTTTGAAATGGTTTCCAATCTGATGCTTTTTACCATCTAATCCTAGACCAAATGTCATTAGACCTTAGAATAAATTATCGTGTGCTTCTCTCTCTGAAATGTTCCTGGCTATAAACTATTCTAAAATCTGTGATTAGGTGCAGTGTTATATAAACCTGGGCCAATATGAAGGAAATGTCACTTAAAGATAAGTCTGGAAGATGAGGAGTTAATGATACAGAAATATTCCTCTGGCATTATTGCCCTCAAATAAGAAGTACACAGTACAGCCAAAAACAGCACACCTGAACCAAGAAACTTCTTCTTTAGTCAGCTTTATCATAATCAAACAACATAAGTTACACCCAAAAGCTGCCTCTCTCTGGGTCTTGGTTTTGGCATCTGTAAAATGAGAGGGCTCAGATCACATGTCTTTATACTGTACTCTGTAGGGTGCCAGAGGTCTTCAGGGGTTGCTCAGGGTGCCAGGGGTGAATGAAGAAAAAGAGATGGTGTGTAGGCACTTGGCTAAAGACCAAGTTGAACTGAAATGCCACCCAAAGCGGGTTTTGTATATTGTAGTCCCCAGTAAGGTGCCTGTATTCGTCCATTCTCACACTGCTAATGAAGAAATAGCTGAGACCGGGTAATTTATAAAGGAAAGAGGTTTAATTGATTTACAGTTCTGCATTGGTGGGGAGGCCTCAGGAAAGTTACAATCATGGTGGAAGACAAAGAGGAAGCAGGCACCTTCTTCACAGGGCAGCAGGACAGAGTCAGTGCAAGCAGGGGGAATGCCAGATGCTTATAAAACCATCAGGTCTCATGAGAACTCACTATCACGAGAACAGCATGGGGGAAACTGCCCCCATGATCCAATTACCTACACCTGGTCCTGCCCTTTACATGTGGGGATTATGAGGATTACAATTTGGGGTGAGATTTGGGTGGGGACACAGAGCCAAACTATATCAATATCCTTTGAGAAAGATTACTATTTTAAAGTTTGTAAACTACAAGCCAAAATAGTGCAGCAGACTTTGCCTAACCATATAAACTGAAATAAATTGTTTTACATTAAAATATTAATTTATACTTAAAAAAAAATGCTGCCAGATGCCTCTTTTGTCTGCAGTATTCCAAAGCACTAAACACGTGGCTAACTGGCTGCCTTTCTTAACCTCCTTCTCTGGCCTATGTTCCAGTTTGTTATGAAGGAGAAAGATAAACCAATTCCAATCCATCTATCCCAGTGCTATTCACAGCCAAGCAGTAACAATTATCTCTGTCTTTACATTTTCTCCCATCTCTTGCTATTTCTTGTACAGTAATGAATTGTAACAGCTACTTCTTGTTGACTTCTCTCCCATATAATTAATGTCCTAAGATATTCTATTTACTGGTGAAGCAGTTTGAATCAAGAAGTGATTACTTTTAGAGTAAACAGAGCTGCTAAACCCTCTCCACAAACAAAGCTGACAGCAGTTTTATTCTTAAAATAATCAAATTGAAATCCCCAAAAGATTCAAGTTTGGAACTTCTTATTTATTATGTGTATGTAGGTATTTTGTGTGTGTGAAAAGTATATTAATATTTAGAACAGACAATAGAAAAGTATATAGATTGATAGAAAGAAATGGCTTAAAAAAACCCATAACAATGTGACCCACTCAGGCTTTCTTGTTAGGCCTCACCGTAAGCCTTCACATCAGGTGAAAATAATGGAGAAGAGAGATTGTTTGTTTAAGAGCATAGATTCAATCCTTGAAAATATCAAAATTAGATATTGGACTTTCTTTGTTGGGGAGAAAAAAAAAATTGTCTGGAATCAAGACTCCCATAATCTTTAAATAGAAAGAAAGAAAAAGGAAATGCTATTGCCAAAAATGTTGCAGTGTGGAGTTTAATCTACCCAAGAAGAGGTCTCAAGGTTTACTTTCCCCTACATTGAAAGAAGAAAGTATTATTAGCCATAGCACTAGCCATAGCTATCAATTGATTAATGTATATCACTGGGTGACTGGTTGATTGCTCTGATGACCACACCTTAAAGTCTAGCAATTGTTTTTATAAGCACCACAGTACCAGTCCCAGCTGCTCATCTCAACCGACCCCCACAGCTTCAGGACTCCATGTCCCCTCCAGTGCATCCTCTTTTAATATTGCAGGCTTTTGCCTTCAGCCTGTACTTCAAACACATTCCCTCGGATTTCTGTTCTGTTAGGGATCGTTTAATGGTATCAAAGCAATTCCCCAAACTTGAAACTTCACACTAATTTTGAATTTATTTCTCTCTTGCCTTCTCTTATTCAATAGTTAATTCATTTTGATTATTTTACACATTTTTTCCCTTTCCAATCCTGTCCATGTTTATCTTTTCATTACCTCAAATGTGGATACAGAAATGACCTTCTAAACGGCCTCCTTGTCAATATGCATTGCCTTCTTCACTTCATGCAATGCCTCGCTCCTAGATTAATCTAAAATCTTCTCTACTCAAGCATCAGAACTAGTGACATTCAGAAAATGGAGAGATTTTTGACAGTAGAGCAGTTAAGGAAGACAACCCTGAGGAGATGGGCCTTAAAGTATGAATAACGAGGATGTAGATAATCAGAGCAGAGGTTGGAAACCGTCCTCGGAAAAAGGAAGCGCATCAAGAAAGCCATGGATGGTGAGCTTCAATATTGCGCCTTGGATTGTTTCCAAGTCTTCTAGCTGCCCAGACTTAACAGAAATTCAACTCATTTACAACTCCCTGACAGACATGCTCTTTTGCAAGGACAGAGAAAAGGTTTGACAGCATGGCTTTTTTGAATGCCTTCATTGCCCCCACATGCGACCTTGTCATATTTGCATATTGCTTCACGGGGAATCCGAACTTATTTTCTAAACTATATCCTCAGCAACAGTTACACTAGTCTAGTCACACTCCACAAAACATAATCCTTTCCTATTGATCATTCTGTTGATTCATCTAGAAGTCTCCTTTTTCCAAGTTCTGGTCACTAACCTTATGAAATTTTACCCCAGGCTGAAATTTCCTTTCACCTAGCTATTGTTCTACACTAATCAGGAAAAATGAATGAGCTGCCTTATATTGTTAGTTATTTTTTAACATTGTTTTATGCATATATCAAGCTTGTCCAATCCACAGTCCACGCATGCAGCCCAGAACAGTTTTGAATGCAGCCCAACATAAATTTGTAAACTTTCTTAAAAAATTATGAGGATTGTTTTTGCAAATTTTTAAAGCTCATCAGCTATCATTAGTGTTAGTGTATTTTATGTGTGGCCCAAGACAATTCTTTTTTTTCCAGCGTGGCCCAGGAAAGCCAAAAGATTGGACACGCCTGCCATATATAGTTTTAAATTACAAGATACCTTGGTTCACTAGCTATTTGTAATACTTAGAATAAAGAATGAATTCCCACATTCCATACCTTGTGTGTTACTGAAAAACCAAAGTAAAAGTTTCCAGAAATTTGTTCTTAAAGTAAAAGGTGAATAATTAAATATCACAGGATGTATATAGTAGCATAGAATACTATATGTTGGTGATAAAGAATTCTAGCAATTCAGTTGATCAGTCTAGTCAGTTGTTTTGATGAGTTACCATCAACTAACTATTCCTACCAAGAATTTCATTGTTAGTCATAAATCTAAACGAATTTATAGCTTTTAAGACTGTAGCCTAACTAGAGGTCTAATTTTTATTTTTTAAATTTTTTTGTACCAAAATAAATTACTTCTAGAAAAAGTGTTCTACGGGTCCAATTCTACAGTTTCTGTAAAATTGAGACCAGCCAGTGTGTGACTGGTCTCTATATATATGCAGTTGCTCCTCTAAGTCTAGGCAAGTAAAATAACAGGCTGAAAACGCCATGAGTTAGACTTTAGACAGCATCGATGAGTAGGACTAGTCATTTATCAAGGATGATTATGACAGCAATTGACATTATAAGCAGGCAGAAGAAGAACTGGAAAGCTGGATTTTAAGATTTTATGAAGAAATGGACTTTAGCCACGACCTTAGGCTACGTGTCTTTAGTCTTGAGGATAGAATTATTTTCCTAGTCATAGTGTTTTCCTTCCTAGGGGAGAGATCAAAATGAGTTTCCGGAAGACAAGAGGGAATCTTGGCTGTGAGCATGCGTCTGTATGTGTAGTAAGGATTAAATCAGGTCAATTTGATTACCAAAACTAGGATGCATGAGAGATTTTTCTTTTATCCTTGTTTATCTCATATTATCTTAGTCACTTATACAATATCTTGTACATAGATGTAAAAATAAGTACATTAATTGTTTTCATTGTCAAACTATAATTTCTTTTGCTAACCTATTCTTAATTATCACATCTATCCCTGACCAAAATAAATAATAACTTAGGAGTTAGATGTGTGTCTAGAGAGGGACTCATTAAACCATCACTGGTTTTCATAGTCTCTATCATGCAATCAAGACTAGGGATTACTGGCTTCGACTGTGAAGCAGAAAATGTGGGATGTGGTCCTCACTCTGCCACTTGGCAAGTATATGATCTTCATGAAATAATTGAGCTTTTATGAACCTCTTTAGCTGTTTGAGAGGTTTGGTGCAAACAATTTCTCCTTATTCCTTCCATTTCGGCAATTTCGTTAATCCATGAAAATAGTATGAGTGTGATTTCAGGAGTCTATTTTTTGGTGAGGAAGTCATATGAACAATTTTATGGCATGTTATACTACGTTTGTTTTCTACATTCACCTTGTGTATGCTAAATCTGTTTGACATAGTTAAACCTTTTAATATCAAACTCAATTCACAGTTCTTTACAAACTAATTTTAGCCTATTTTTACAGCTTCTTAGGGTCACCAGTCTTTAATGTAAATCTTTTGTCCAGTCAGTATGGTTCCTTTACCATTTTCAAGCTTGTCCAACCCACGGGTACATAAGTACCCAGGTGAGATGTGGCCAGTAGAAGTGTGAAAGCGGTGAAGTTAAATCTCATTATACCTCAGTTGTGGCAAGTACTGGGTCATTTCCTTGGTGCAGTCATCTCACTTAATTCATCTAATAACCATAACAATGGTTAAATGGTTATTAAATCACAAAAGCGGTTACGTAAAATATTTATTTTGAAATTTTGAATGAAATATTATATTTATTTTGTAAACACATACTGTGCTTACTCTTTGTCAAGCACTGTTCTAAGCCATTTGCAAATATTACAAGTATGAATTCCTTCATTTTGTTTCTCAAGGTAGTGAATACATAGTTCTGCAGTAAAAGATTGTCTTTTATGATGATGTCTTTCACATCTAATGTGTAAGGGTTCTGATAAATGCTATAGCACTAGTATTCATCTGTGCTTACAAAATGATTCAATAAAAGGAACCATAAACACTTGGAGCATCGCTTTATCTGCTTGTCTTCTACATACTCTCATTGAGTACCCATATGAAGAAAATCTCCATATACACACAGAGAAGAGCTTGCCTCAAATCTTGGAAGAGCAAGAAAACACTCATAATATAAACTTTTTTGAGCCCAAAATGGGAAACGTAACTATTCATAAAATATTTCCTTCACCTGTAATATATGAAATGTTATTTTTAATATTACAATTTTATTTATCCAGTAAGTATTGACTTATCTAAAATAAAGTTTAAATACCTTTGTATTTCAGTTAGAGTTTTGTTGAGCTCTAACTATGGGCAAGTCACTGTGCTAATCTTTGAGTGCTTATACCTTCAGTAAACTTAAAATCTAGTGAGTTGATGCATCTGCATAACTATGGCCTAATTCAATAAATGAAGAGTGTCATAAGGGAAAGTGCTTTGGGAAAGAAAAGAAGGAACATATTCTATGGTGCTAAAGAAAGATGAGAAAAACCTGCAAAAAGGTACTAGCATTTGACCTGAATTTAGAAATGTTAGTATATAGGAAGGAGTAGGATAGGAATGTCAGCACTGAAGAAAAAACATCAAAGCATGTGCCCATGAGGTGGTTGACCCTCTGAAGGAAACATAAGTACCCAGGTGAGATGTGGCCAGTAGAAGTGTGAAAGGAGGCAGGTAAGATAAGACCGAAGAGCTTTCCTTGGGCCAATTTGTTTAGGACACTGGGCTTTATTCTATGAGCACTGAGACATTATTCTATATTTGGATTAGAAATGGAATCAGAGGTTCTCCTTGGACTCCTTGGAGGTCCAGGAGCACAAGAAGGAATGTGCCTAAAAGGTTAGAATTTCAAGCCTTTCTCACTAATTCTCAAACGTGTAAGAATGAGCTTATCATATTTCTGGCTAACAGCAAGCACTGTTAGTGGAATGGGAGACCATTTTGGAAGGAAAAGCACTGCCTACATTGATTATATGCAGAAATACAGTAGCGTGGGCTTTAGAAGAGACCTAGGGGGCCATGGTAGGAACAACTGAGTGAAAAGTAACCCAGACAGGGAGGCTGGTGGGGCTCTGCTTATAACCCTGGCCATTTCCCTTGGTGTCAACTTTGTACCTATGTGCTAACAGAATTCTTAAAAGACTCTTGAGTAAACTGTTAGTACTCTCTCAAAACAGTGCTCATTAAATTATATAAAAAAGTAAACCACACCAATAAATTAAAATAAATTGACCATTTTATTAATAGGCTTAATTATTCTTTTGATTCATTATTCTGGTGACTGAGATAGAGCAGACATAGATGGAACCATTCATTTCATGAAGGAGAACACTCCGCATTATCATCTTCAGAGTGACTTATAGGCAGAGACTGACTGAAGGTAAAGGCAGATACTAATATCTTTCCCACATAGGGTCTGTTTAGCAATGCTCTCATTTGAACTGATTAAATGTCATTATTAAACAAGCTGAATGAACTTCACCTGTATGGAAAGGCACATTGAGCATCTACACTAACTCTTAGGTAAGCGCACTTGTCACCTCATTGAAAAAATGCAAAGACCGTGCCCTAATCATCCTCCCCTAAAGATCTTCTTCTGTGGCTCATGTATCTCGTAGGTTATAGAGATGTAATGCTATAAAGAGAGAGAAACAAGTAGTAACTCCATTCACATTTTCAAACTCACCACACTTATGCTCACATTAGATGCTATCTCTTAATTATGTCCATGAACAGGTAAAACTATTTCTATTACCACAGGTGTATTTTTTCTTAACTTTTAACTTTTCTCTGATTTAACAGAGTAATCCATGTTTCTTTAAAAAAAATGACAGAATGACATAATCAGCAGAAACAAAGCAAATCACACACAACATATTAGCCTGAAGAAAAATAAATTGTGGAAAACTTCACAGGTCAATCTGAATATCACACCTTTACTAAAGTTATCTTCAGTTAATATAAGCATTTACTAAATATGTATTGTGCAAATTTTATGTGGCAAACATTGTGTATAGATGACTATAACATATCCCTGCATTTTAGGGAATTACTCTCTGGATAGAGAGAAAGGTATATAAAAAACTAATTACGACACAACGTAATATGTGCTATGATACCGGTATGCTGCTTGCCAGGATCGGGGCATGTTGTGGAGGCATGAGGCATTCAGATGTCATGTGGACTAAGATGCAGGGTCTCTGGAAGGATGATACACAAGTCATTCATGACAATTTACAAATCCTAGTCATGCTTTTAAAAGTAAATATTGGTTTTGACTTAGAATTATATTATTAGCAAGATTCCATACACTGCATACAAGGTTTGGTCATATGTAATTATTTAATGTTTCCAAAAGTGAAATTCATCCTTAGCATATCTTAGCATATTCAAAGAGCATTCCACAGGCTCTGGAAGCCATGTGCCATTTGTGGTTGCTTTACTTGTCAGAAAGGGATTGCTTTACTTGTATGTAACCAGATATTAATGAACAATTTAAGGCATGGTTGTAGTATCCTCACTTCATTAAAGATAAGTCAAAGAGTAATTTTAAAAGGACTTCTACAAAGAACGTAACAGTTCCATAGGATTTAGAAACAAGAATTTATCAAGGGCAATGGCATATTTAGAGGAAAGAGCAGAGTACTTGGCAATGGGTAGAAAAGAAAGACGAGGTAATCGGTGGAAGCTAACAGATATGGAGCTTTTCTTGGTAATATGGAGGAGAGGGAGAAGCATTCACTTTCTTCCAAGTTTCTTCAGACTTCTCTACCAGCAGCAGACCAGTAATAATTTCAGATCACCTACTGCCAGCTGGAGAAGATCTGATTAGAGATTGGATTGGCCTAACAAAGACCCTTTCCATCTCTCAGCCTCAGCAGTTCTGCAGGTCACATTGATTTCTTTATGGGCATGTCAAGTAAGGAGATATCCTCTGCGTAAGGAAGAAGCAGGTTCACCCTGAAAGACTTGCATTTGAGGCCAGAGAGCAAGTCTTGCTTTCCAGGGCAAGATTAATAGATAAGGGCAACGTGCTAAACAGTCAGGCAAATCCACAGCCGCGAGTCTCAAGTGGAGAAAAGTGGAATCAACGGCCAAGGGAAGTCACACATAGCCAAGTTAAGGGTAAGAGATGTTTCAGGGCAAGGCATTCTAAAGGCAACTGGAGACTCAGTCCCAGGACTGAACTCATACCCTGTGTGGCAGTTGCCAAACCTTTCACCACAACTCTTGCTTGTAAAATGGAGAGAATGATGCCAATGTACAAATAAACTCAAGGGAATCATAAACACAGAGAGCTTGTTGGAGCTATATAACCCTTTGTAGCAAAGTTACTATCTAGGGATAAGAATGGGAAAACCAATAAAGGAGGGAGAAACTGTAGAAAACATAGAAGCACTTAATAGCTATGTGTTGTCAAGCTACTGAAGTCAGCTACAATGATAAATTGAATTTTCCTAACAGTGTGAAAAATTTCTTCCACAGTGCGGACCCATTATATATTTCTAATCTGATTTTCCATAATTTTCTCTACAGACCATATGATGTCCTGAAAATTCTTCCACAATATTTAACCAACACTT
The DNA here is from genome assembly GCF_000001405.40 of Homo sapiens. Taxonomy (NCBI): domain Eukaryota; kingdom Metazoa; phylum Chordata; class Mammalia; order Primates; family Hominidae; genus Homo; species Homo sapiens. The sequence continues at coordinate 39,275,751 of NC_000018.10, read as the reverse complement.
TCCAGAAAAACTTCATTTATCTCCATGTACCAATATTTTGGGGTCCAGCCCAATTCCTGTCCCTTCAGTGAAGCCTTATTTAATTTTACCAATAAATAATAGCTCTCTTTTTTGAATACCTTTGGTGGTTATTATTTGAACAAGTTACTTGGTGGTTATGATGTTAACCCATACCTCTCCCAACACAATTCTATGCCTCTTGGTGGTCAGACCCATGGCTCATGTAAGCCCTCAGAAAACTGAATATATTGAAATTGTGCATTAAAAAGAGCAAAAGGGATTTACTGGCAATTTATCATGATATTTTTATTTTGGGCCATAATATTCAAATAAATTATGTTCCTATAAATATCTATAAAATTTATTTTAAATTTTATTTAAGAAGGTACCTTATGTCTTAACCTCATTTTAATTATTATGGATGCAGAATAGAATTATAAAACTTATGACTGGACATCATTTCAAGATATTCCCTGGCTTATTTCCTTATCATCATAGAACCCCTGATGTACTTAGTGTAATTTCTTGTTCCAAATACCTGTTCAATAAACATCAGTAGAAGATGGGTCAGATGCAATCCCATTGAGAAACAGCCCCTGCTTGCCCTGATGTCTTATAAAAGGGTAGACTTGCCATTTGTCATGTGAGCAGGACTTCATTGCCTGAGCAGTCTTCACTCACTCCTCAGCTATAATGCTCTGGACCGATCTCCACCTTTGGTTCTCTCCTTATACCTTGCCACTTTGGTGTCACATCCTTTATTATGATTCCCAACTGCAAACCTGCGTGTTTCTTACGTCCTGATTCCAAGTCCTGCTTCTGGTGGTCAGAACTCCATTCAGAGGGGAATAAATAGAATTCAGGTAGGTCTGTGGAAAGGTGATGACTGGTCCAGGCTGGGGCTACAGGCTGCTGAAGAATTACACATGGGGAGTGCATGGTTGCAGCAGAGGATCACAGGATATTCTCACACCCACACTGCTGACCAATCTTTAGGCTGCCAAAAAAAACAGCAGCAGAGTCCCATTCCTCCTCCAACGTCCCTCAAGCACCCTCTGCTGAGAAAGGTTAACAGTGTGCTGCTGTGAAGGAGAAATGCTAGAAGGAATTCCAATTGCTGCAAATCATGTATTGAAGGGTGAATTGGAGCTGAGAGAAAATACTTTGATAACTGGAACAGCCCTGCTACAATGTTAGAAGAGGTGTTTATCTCATATACAATAGGTGTTTTACTCAGGAAGTGTATGTCAATTGATTTTTTTATGTCACAAACTATTTCAACCGCATTAGTGAATACCTTTTGCTTAATTAAATTGAAAAATTAATAGAGACAGGGAAAGACAAAGAAGAGAGCGAAAAAGAAAATAGAGATTCTGAATGAATAACTCTTTTTTTCTCCAGAAACATACTTTTATATATTAAATTAATAATGACTAAATTAGAATGATGAAAAAAGAAGTTTGGGCATATTACCCTTTAAACTCTCTTATTTATATAAAAATATATAAATGTATGTAAAATGTAATATGTTCCATCATTTATCAGCTTATTTACTATCAGAAGAATGTGAACTTTTTAATACAACATAGATTTTGAGATTTATATTAATAATATTAAAACTAAAAACCTAAAATAATTGTTCAAAATATAAGTATCTATACAAGAACCATGGGAAGCATAGTATTCAGGGCTTGTCTATAATCAAGCAAATGTAAAAAGCAATAATATTGGAGAGTACATGGAAAAAATGCAATTCTTATTTAGACAGTTCTGATATATATACAATGAGGAAGTCAACATTTCTCTGTTTTAGTCTGTTTACTGTAGAATACCTGAGACTAAGTAGTTTTTAAAGAAAAGACATTTACTTAACTCATGATTCTGCAGTCTACAAAGTTCAAGAGCATATTGCCACATCTGGTTGGCTTCTCTTGAGGTTCATGTGCTGGCTCAAAACAAGGTGGAGAAATGGAAAACTTGAATGGATATGTTAGGCTGTTCTTGCATTTTTATAAAGAAATAACTGAGACTGGGTAATTTATAAGAAAAGTGGTTTAACAGGCTCACAGTTCTACAGGCTGTACAGGAAGCATCGTGACATCTGCTTCTGGGGAGGCCTCAGGAAGTTTCCAGTCATATCAGAAGGCAAAGGAAGAGTAGGCATGTCACATGGCGAAAGCGGGAGCAAGAGAGGTAGAGAGAGAAAATTGCTGGGGAGGTGCCACATACTTTTAAATGACCAGATCTTGTGAGAACTCACTATCTCAAAAGCAGCACCAACCATGAGAGATCCACCCCTGTGATCCAAACACTTCCTTCCAGGCCCCACCTAGTCTAGATTTGTGGGGAGACAGATATTCAAATCACATCAGTGGGCATGTGCAAAGAGATCATGTGGCAAGAGAGAAAGCCAGAGAGTTAAGGAAACCAAACTCACTTTTATAATAATCTGCTCTTGAGGTAACTAACCCAGTTCCACAAGAGCAAGAACTCACTCACTCTTGTGGCAGGACATTCATCTATTCATGAGGGATCCACACCATGACAAATACCTCCCAGTAGGCCCTACCTCCCACCACTGCCACGATGGAGATCAAATTTCAACATGAGTTTTGGAAGAGAAAAATTCAAACCATAGCATTTCCGTTTTGGCCTATCTTCCCATATCCCTTGTCTCTTATATCAGGAACAACCTAACTCAAAATGCCTTGTCCTCTACTCCTGACATACTTAGGTAGTCCGGCACAACCACCTCTGCACTTTAAGTAATTGTGGACTTTGTTCTTTAAAGTCAGAATTTTTGGCTTTTCCAAGTTTCTTTTATCTAAGAAACCTTAGAATCAATCTTGAACCAATCAAAAACCAATCTTAATTATGTCTTCAGTAAAGTAGGTGCAATTGTAGAATAGGGTGGTGATTTGGGATCTCTCTTATTGTTTCAGACTTAGCAACTATGCCCTAAAACTGGGGACAAATCAGTGTGATTAGTCAAGCCTAGTCTTATAAGGGACACAGTATAAAATTAGGGCCAGGGACTTTTCAGAGCTTATTGAAAGAGGGCAGAGTGAGCTCTCCTACCACTATCCCTCTCAGCAAGCCTCTGCCTCCTGTTAACATCAGAAGGTTGTAGAGGGAAGACAACTGACAGAATAGGAGTGTATGGAAGTGCAGGGTGTGCTGAGAGGTTACTCCTTCCTTGCTCCATCAAGGGGATGCCAAATGAAGGGGAGCCTCATGAGGATTACTTGCAGATACTGGCATCTTACTGAGAGGTAGAGTTGCTGAGCTGTGGAAACTGTAGACCAAACACATAGTAGCGAGGGGTGTGGTAAGGGATTGCCTAACTTTTAAAGTGATTCCCAGAGTTTGGTGGTCTATATGAATATGGACAGACTAATGCTGAATTTTTGCCAGCAAGTTTCTGAAAGCAATAGATTACAAAAGCAATTTCAAGAATACTGTGACTAGGGACTGTAGCATAGTTTTATCTGAACACACTGAAGATAAAGAAGACAACCTCCTAGTCTCCAGGGCTTCATGTAAAGGGACACAGAAGATAAAGGATAGGACCAAGTGATGGGGGAAGGGCTGCTAGTGACAGCAAAGGGAGGCAGGGCTGCGGCTCTCTGAAGGGTGTCCTTGATGATAAAGTCGACCAGAATAAAGCTGAACACAACTCCAAAAAACAAGCACACCACACACATTTACATGAAGACTACAGTCATTTTTGCTGGAGCATAATAAAGGATGTTTCCCCTCCACTCTGAAATGATTGAAAACCAAGTTACATAAGAAAAGCTCTACATGCCTGATTATGCCTTCTATCATCCAACTCTCGAAAGGGAAAAAAGGCATTGTCCCAGGCTAAGAGCAGGCTCCAACTCCCCAGAGGAGACCTGGAGCGGGAGGAAGAGTAAAAGGACAGGCACCGATCCTCCACCTCTGCTCCAGTTTCCTTGAGTCACAACCTGACTGCCTCTAGGGGAAGGGAAAGACATGAATTTTAAATCAAATCAGAGTTTGGAACTTTTAATAGGTATGAACTTTTAATATTTGAAAGTGATCAAAAGTTTGAACAAAAAGCCGTGAGATCTGCCTGAGGTGTTAGTAAGTGACAGGGCACTGGACAGAATATAGTTGAAGTCAGTGACAGGAGAAAAATAACATTTTGTATTTACTCTCCACCGAATTGAAGCTTCTTAATAAACTGGTTGCAGCAGCCTGGCTTGGAAAACAAATCAAACAGAAAAAAACAAAAACAAAAACAAAAGCATGGAGTACAGGTCTAACTAGAAACAGCAATAGGAGAAGGGACAGGTGAGGTGTGAGTACGGGGAATGAAGTGGAGGGGTGGGCTTCAGATCTACAGAGGCAGTGAGCCTAAAGATAGAAAATTATAACTCATCTAAAGTAATTACTTATGTGTCAAACTTGAACAAAGGCTTTGGGCTCAGGCTCAGTCTATTTTGAGTACATCCCTCTGCAAAATGGAGGAAGGAGCCCTGGGAGAGCTCATTTCTAGTAGAACTATCTGCTACCTACAGGTACTGCCAAGTGAAGTGGTTATACGTTCTGTGGTAGTCACAGCAGACACCAACCAACCTGAATGGTTGCAGTTAACTGCCAGGAAAATTCCTGGAACATCAAGAGAAGAGGAGCTAGTAAGAAACGTTTCTCTATTCACCCTCACTGATATCTCATACCAACTGTATGAGAGCTGGGAAGGGGCTGTTGTCTGAGCTGCTTTAATATGAAGGCTATAAGATACCAGAATTCTGCCTTTACTCCATTAGATTGAGAGTTATTGTGCAGCTCTTTTCACCCTCTCTTAAATAGTTATGCCAAGTACTCACCCAATCCCCATATACTGACACACAGTTAGACCCTACCGACAGGCATAGCTTCTGAAGGTCAGTGACCTCCTTGATAAGGATCTATAATCTGGACATAATGTCAACATCTCTAGTTATTGCCACCAACATATTCTGCACCTATCGAAAAACATTTTTTCCCAAGTTTCCCTCTATTTAATTCAAGCATTATTTGGATTTACTAAACATGCTTATTAATATCAGACATATGGAAGTAACCCTGAAAAATCCAAGACCCTATTTAAAGGAAGGCAATTGAAGTGTATAAATTATAAAGTGATTGGAGAGAAAAATTACTGGAAGACAGTCTTCCCAAAGTGAAAGGCCACAAACTATTTGAGTTATTGGCAAAACTCTTTGGTATTTTCTTGGACTTACCTACTAGCATATATTTGGAATCCTAAATAATTTGCTGTGAAAACAAAAACAAAACTAAACGGAAAATACAGTTTTGCCTAGCTAATATCCTTATGTGTTTGCAATATCTCCCTGTTTTATATGTTTGTAGCAATACTGCCTCTTGTCAGCCTGGAAAACATATTTTTCAAGAGCTTATTTTCCTCATATTTAGCATGAGGAACAGAATACCAGTCTGTCTTCTCTCACTGGGTAACAACCAGTGGAATTGGGTCAGCTATAAGGGAATGTATACTGTAAACCATAAGCAGTTACGGTTTATGGTTTACAGTATACATTTATCATCTATTATGGAATACAGATGAAATTGATTAAAATATGCTTTTGTTTTCTGCTAATTCATGTGTGGTTTACACACTGGTTTTTGTGTGCTTCACATGTATTTTACATAGTAAAGGTCAAAGGAAAAACAGAAGAATATTATATTATTTTAAGGCAGATGTTTAACTCAGTCCTTAGGAGTTCCACTGCAACCCAAGAAAGTCTTTAAAGATTTGAACAGGCTGCTGTTGCTGAAATTCTCCCTGCTCTGTGTTCTTTAAAGGAACTGATATTAATTCAACCTTCAAGGATGAATGATCAAAATCTTTAGGATCCACTTCTTTGTTAGATGGCCATATAAACACAATAATGAGGATGAAAGGGACTACTCAACTTAAGACAAGGCAGAATTTGGGGGTATTATTGAGATAAATGGCTGAACAAGATTCTGTTACACCAAGATTAAATCACAACACCCAGAACAATTATCTCTTCAATATGGGGCATGAAATAAAATTATTCAACTATTATCAAAAAAACAAAATGCCATAACAAATACACTGACATGGTGTTTTTCATCCAAATGTTGGTCATATATTTCTCAGAATCAGTATATCCTGTAGTAAAGAGGTCATGCAAAACATTTGTGTTGAGAATTCAAATATTTAATTATATATTCAGTTTTTCTCTCTATATTTCATCCTTCCCCAGTCTCTCTCCCTCCTTCCCTTTTCCACTGTGGTCTTAATTTTCTATGTCATTATTTACAGGGTATTTTATACAATCTATGACACTTTTGTGCTTTTAAATTTTATAATTACAGTGTCATAATTTATCAAAATCTTCCACATACTTTTTTCCCTTAATGTTGTTTGTGAGATTTTAACCATGTTTTATGTATGGCTCTATTTTATTTTAACTTTTGTATTATGTTGTTTTAATTTACATATTTTATCTGTTCTTCTTTTGTTTCTGAGATTCATCTATGTTGACATATCTATATCTATAGCTATAGCTATATATTTTTATATATTATATCTATCTCTATATCTACATATAAAGTTTTGCCCATTTTCATGCCTGTAAATTATTCCACTTAGGAATGGCCAACAATTTGCTTATCCATCATAGAGTTGATGGTATTTTTATTGTTTCTAGGTTTTTAAATTTAATTTATATTATTACAAACCATGATGCAATGACCGTAGTTGAGCATGTGTCTTTATTATGGAATAGTCTCTGTCCATTCTCAACTGATTAGTAATAAGAATAAAAGTTTGATTAGATTTTACAAAACAGCATAATTTTATTTTACATTTTTTGATGGTGGGGAGACTTAGCAAACGTTGACTTAGCATTTATTGAACCAATATCTTATCACGTTATTTCCCACTGTCCAATTCAACAATCAATATATACATTTGTCCATATTTTAGCATCTTTATAATTTGGATATATTTTATAATTGATGGCGTCTTACAATCACTTTCCACAGAGGGGAATTGTGGCAGAAAGTGTGCTACGTGCCTTATCTTAATTATTACTCCTGTTGGTATGACAGGATAATCACTATTACTCAAAGTTTTCGTCAATACATTATTTAGGAATCAATCTGAGAAAATAATATGGGTCCCAATAATTGTCTGAAAATATTCAATTGATAATTTTCTGGTAAGATCAAAAAAGTGCCAGCATTAAAACTTGGAGAATGGGTATCTGTGGCTTGGGTAAAATCTGGAGATAATAGTGAAGCACTTTTTAAGGAAATGGGAATTACCAACACTCTTGATGATATAGTGAATGATATTGTAAAGAAAAACACAGATATTGATGACTCTAAATAGAAGAGTGATTCAAAAGATTTATATGCTAAAATGGGAAAACATTTTAGTAATACCTTAACCAGTTTATTTTATTCATATTTTCATTTATATTGATACATAACATACGTGTGTGTGTGTGCGTGTGTGTATACCTAAATGAGCATAGAAGAGTACTGGTAAAATCAGATATTTTAAGTGTTGATATCTGGTATCAATCTTGCACTTCAAATTTGTCTTGGCATTCAAAGACCTTAGTTCTACCATGTGAATTTTATGATAAATTTATAGGCTTGTTGAATTTATTTTGGCAGTCCTTCAATACACATTTGTAGGAGAAATTCAATCCTATATGTTTTCCTCACTAAAAGTTTATAATTTTTCCCATGAAGTTCAGGCACATTTTTGATAAGTTTATTCATAGTTACCTTAGATATTATATTTTTATTTTAAGTGTATTATTTAAAAATTATCATTCTAATGGCTGGTATACATGAATGACATTTATTTTTATGTATTGAGTCAGAACTAAGCAGCTTTGATAAACTCTCTTATTAATTCTATTGATTGTCTTGGATTTTTTGTATAAACAATCATAATGAGGATTTTTTTTTTCTAACTTTCTGAACCTTTAACTATTTATTTTTCTTATATGGCTGCAATGACCAAGGCCTCCAGTACAATATTCAGTTGAAATGATGAGAGTGGACATTCTTTTTGCTTTTAACTTTAAAGCTAAGATTTAAAATATTTTAAAGCACTATATGTAATGTTTGTTTTACAGTTTTGGTGGATAGTCTTCTTAAAGAAAAGGTTTGTTAAAATTTTCTTTTAATCATGAAGGGTAGTTGAATATTATTAAATACTTTTCAGCATTTATTGAGATGATCACATAGTTTTTTTTCTTCTTTGATCTGCTAAGTGTTGAATTTCATTAATAGATTTTCTAATTTTAAAACATATTCCAGGAACAGTCTCAAATTGGCATGTGCATATGTTTGAACACTGCAATAATTGGTTTACTTCTATGAGAAAGGCTGTGTATTACAGATGAACTCAAATCCTACTAACTATTTTGTTCCAATACTGGATCTCCCTCTTAGTGGCTGGTTACCTTTGAGTGAGTTACTTAACCTCAATGTACTTCAGTTTCCTCATGTATAAAATAAAGATGATGAAAATACTTCTCTTTCATAAGAGTAATATAAGATTTACATGGCATAATCGTTTATTCATTAGAGAAATGATTAGAATGTAGAAATCACCACAGAATCATTTATTAGTTTAAAGTAAATTATATTTTCCTTGGAATTTTAGCTAGATGTTCCTTTATACATTTCTCACCTATCTTTTTCTGGTTTGAGTAAGAGATAATAGTAGACTTTTAAATGATTTGAGAAGTACTTACTCTTTTTTAACAGCTGTATTGTTATAATTGGCATAGAAGTTGCTCGTATTTAAAGTGTATAATTTGATGAGCTTTGAAATATGTATACACATATTTCATCATTACTAACAAGATACACTCCTCTCCCAAATTTCCTTGTGCCCCTGTGTAATTGCTTCCTCTCAACCCCGTGGGCATATCTGTTCCCCAGGCAAAATTGATCTGCTTTCTGTTACCTTAAATTAGTTTAGATTTTCTAAAATCTTGTATATGTGCAATTATATGGTAGGTATTATTTTTCATTTGTCCTCTTTTTCTCAACACAGTAATTTTGAGATTTATCCATGCTGTTACCTGCATCAATAGTTAATTTTTTTAAATTCCAGAATGATTATTTTATTATATGGGATATACCACAGTTTGATTAATCATTCACCTTTAGAGGAATGTTTGGTTTGTTTCAAGCTTTCTGGCTATTACAATAAAGCTTATATGGACATTTATATACAAGTCTTAGATTTCATTAGATCATTGATTAGACATAAGATTTCACCATTTCTCTTGACTGTTTGGGGAACCCATCACCCAAGTATTTAACATTTCTATGTGATAGGAACATATCAAGTCCTCTCTTATAGTTATTTTGAAATATAATGTCTTGTTGTTAACTTAATCACCCACTCTGCTATCAACCATTAGAACTTGCTCCTTCCAAATAACTTCCTGTTTGTGCCTATTAACCTACCTCTCTTCATTTTGCCCACCCACATACCTTTCCCAGCCTCTGGTATCTATCATTCTACTCTATCTCAATGAATTCAACCTTTTTAGTTCCTACACAAGAGTCAGAACATGCAATATTTGTCTTTCTGTGCCTGGCGTATTTCACTTAATATAATGACCTCCAGTTCCATCCATGTTGTTGCAAATGACATGACTTCATTCTTTTTCATGGTCAAACAGTATTCTATCATGTAACATACACCACATTTTTCTTTTTTGTTGTTGTTTGCTTCTAAACTTTTAAGCTCAGGGGTACAAGTACAGGTTTGTTACACAGGTAAATTTGTGTCATGGGAGGTTGTTGTACAGACTATTTCATCACTCAGGTATTAATCCTATTACCCATTAGTTATTTTTCCTGACTCCCTATCTTCTCCCACTTTCCCCCATCAAGTAGGCCACAGTTTGTATCGTTCCATTCTATGTGTTCATTTGTTTTCGTCATTTAGTTCCCACTTATAAGTGAGAACATGTGGTATTTGGTTTTCCATTCCTGCATTAGTTTGCTAAGGACAATAGCCTCCAGTTACACCCAAGTTCTTGCAAAAGACATAATCTCATTCTTTTTTATGGCTGCATACTATTCCATGGTGTATATATACCAATTTTCTTTATTCAGTCTATCATTGACGGGCATTTAGGTTGATTCCATGTCTTTGCTATTGTGAACAGTAATGCAATAAACCTACGCATATATGTGTCTTTATAATACAAAGATCTATATTTCTTTGGGTATGTAACCAGTAATGAGATTGCTGGGTTGAATAGTATTTCTGTCTTTAGGTCTTTGAGGAACCAACACACTGTCTTTCACAATGATGGAAGAAATTTACACTCCCACTGACAGTGCATAAGCATTCTTTTTTCTCCATAATCTTACCAGCATTTATTTTTTTACTTTTTAATAATAGCCATTCTGTATGTTGTTAGATGGTATCTCATTGTGGTTTTGATGTGCATTTCTGTAATGATTGGTGATGTTGAGCTCTTTTTTCATATGATTGTTGGCTGCATGTACGTCTTCTTTTGAAAAGTGTCTGTTCATGTCCTTTGTCCACTTTTTAATGAGGTTTCATGTTCTTTTAATGAGGTTCACGTCCTTTGCCCACTTTTTAATGAGGTTGTTTTTTTTTTTCCGTGAAAATTTAACTTCCTTATAAATGCTGGATATTAGGCCTTTGTTGGATGTATGGTTGGCAAGAATTTCCTCCCATTCTATAGATTGTCTGTTTACTCTGTTGATAGTTTCTTTTTCTGTGCCAAAGCTCTTTAGTTTAATTAGATTCCATTTGTCAATTTTTGCTTTTGTGCAATTGCATTATGAAATCTTTGCCCATGTCTATGTCCTGAATGGTACTGCCTAGGTTGTCTTTCAGGGTTTTTATTTTTGGGTTTTACATTTAAGTCTTTAATCCATCTTGAGTTAATTTTGTTATAATGTAAGAACAGGGTCCAGTTTCAATCTTCTGCATATGTCTAGCCAGTTATCCCAGCACCATTTATTGAATAGGGAGTCCTTTCCCCATTGCTTGTTTTTGACAAGTTTGTCAAAGATCAGATAACTGTAGGTGTGAGGTCTTATTTCTGGGTTCTCTATGCTGTTCCATTGGTCTATGTGTCTGTTTTTGTACTAGTACCATGGTGTTTTGGTTACTGTAGCCATGTAGTATAGTTTGAAATCAGGTAGTGTGATGCCTCTAGCTTTGTTCTTTTTTCTTAGGATTTCCTTGGCTATTCAGGCCCTTTTTTGCTTCCATATTAATTTAAAAATAGCTTACTCTAGTTTTGTAAAGAATGTCAATGTTAGTTTAATAGGAATAGCATTGAATCTATAAATCATTTTAGGCAGTATGGCCATTTTAATGGTATTGATTCTTCCTATTCATAACCATGGAATGTTTTTCCATTTGTGTCATCTTTTTTTTTGTTTTTGAGTGGTGGTTTGTAGTTCATCTTATAGAGCTCTTTTACCTCCCTAGTTACCTGTATTCGTAGACACTTTATTTTTCTTGTGGCAATTGTGAATAGAAGTTAGTTCTTGATTTGACTCTCAGCTGGACTGTTGTTGGTATTCAGAAATGTAGCAATTTTTCACATTGATTTTTTATCCTGAGACTTTGCTAAAATTTTTTATCAGCTTAAGAAGCTTTTGGGCTGAGACTGTGGGGATTTTAAGATATAGAATAATATCATCTGCAAACAGGGATAGTTTGACTTCTTCTCTTTCTATTTGAATGCCCTTTATTTCTTTCTCGCCTGTTTGCCCTAGCCAGAACTTCCAATACTATTTTGAATAGGAGTGGAGAGGAAGGGCATCCTTGTCTTGTGCTGGTCTTCAATGGGAATGCTTTCAGCTTTTGCCCATTCAGTATAATGTTGGCTGTAGGTCTGTCATAGATGGCTCTTATTATTTTGAGATATGTTCCTTTAATACCTAGTTTATTGAGAGTCTTTAACCTGAATGGGTGTTGAATGTCATCAAAATACTTTTCTGCATCTATTGAGATAATCATGTGGTTTTGGTCTTTAGTTTGTTTATGTGATGAATCATATTTTTGATTTGTATATGTTGAACCAACCTTGCACCTCAGAGATAAAGCCTACTGGATTGTGGTGAATAAGCTTTTTGATGTGTTGCTGGATTTGATTTGCCAGTATTTTGTTGAGAATTTTTGCATCGATGTTCATCAAGGATATTGGACTTAACTCTTCTTTTTTTGTTGTATATCTGACAGGTTTTAGTATCAGGATGATGCTGGCTTGTTATTAATAGAATGAGTTAGGGAGGGGTCTCTCTGGCTCAATTTTTTGGTATAGTTTCAATAGGAATTGTACTAGCTTGTCTTCGTACATCTGACAGAATTCAGCTGTGAATCCTTCCAGTCCTGGGCTTTTTTTGGTTGGTTGGCTGTTTGTTACTGCCTCAATTGCAGAATTTATTATTAGTCTGTTCAGGGATTCATTTCTTCCTAGATTAGTTTTGTGAGGGTGTATGTGTCCAGGAATTTATAAATTTCTTCTAGATTTTCCAGTTTATATACATAGAGGTGTTCATAATATTCTCTGATGGTTGTTTGTATTTCTGTGTGGTCAGTGGTAATATCCCCCTTGTTGTTTCTGATTGTGTTTATTTGAATCTTTTCTCTTTTCTTCTTTATTAGTCTAGCTAGTTGTCTATCAGTTTTATTAATTTTTAAAAAATAATCCAGCTTCTGGATTTGTTGATCTTTTGAATGGGTTTTCATGTCTCTAACTCATTCAGTTCAGCTCTGATTTGGGTTACTACTTGTCTTCTGGTACCTTTGGGATTTGTTTGCTTTTGGTTCTCTAGTTCTTTTAGTTGTGATGTTAGGTTGTTAACTTGAGACCTTTCTAATTTCCTTATGTGGGGATTTTGCTCTCTAAATTTCCCTCTTAACACTGCCTTAGCTATGCCACAGAGATTCTGGAACATTCTATCTTTTTTCTCATTAGCTTCAAATAACTTTATGATTTCTGCCTTAATTTCATTATTTAACCAAAAGTCATTCCTGGAGCAGGTTATTCAATTTCCATGTAATTTAGTGGTTTTGAGTGAAATTTTTAGTCTTGATTTTGAATTTGATTGTGCTGTGGTCTGAGATACTGTTATTATTTCAATATTTACATTTGCTGAGGAGTGTTTTACTTCTGATTATGTGATTAATTTTAGAGTAAGTGCCATGTGGTGATGAGAAGAATGTATATTCTGTTGTTTTGGGTTGGAGAGTTCTGTAAATATCTATCAGGTCCATTTGATCTAGTGTTGTGTCCACGTCCTGAATATCTTTGTTAATTTTCTGTCTTGATTCTCTAACACTGTCAGTGGGGTATAAAATTCTCCTAATATTGTTGAGTGGGAGTCTAAGTGTCTTTGAAGGCCCCTGAGAACTTGCTTTATGAATCTTAGTGTTCCTGTGTTGGATGCACACATACTTATGATAGTTAGATATTTTTGTTGCGTTGAACCCTTTGCATTACGTAATGCTCTTCTTTGTCTTTTTTTTTTTTTTCTTTTTTGAGATGGAGTCTTGCTCTGTTGCCCAGGCTGGAGTGCAGTGGCGCAATCTTGGCTCACTGCAAGCTCCACCTCCCGGGTTCACGCCATTCTCCTGCCTCAGCCTCCTGAGTAGCTGGGACTACAGGTGCCTGCCACCACACCCGGATAATTTTTTTTGCATTTTGTAGTAGAGACAGGGTTTCACCATGTTAGCCAGGATGGTCTCAATCTCCTGACCTCGTGATCCACCCACCTTGGCCTCCCAAAGTGCTGGGATTACAGGCATGAGCCACCACGCCTGGCCTTCTTTGTCTTTTTTGATCTTTGTTGATTTAAAATCTGTTTTGTCAGAAACTAGGTTTGTAACCCCTGCTTTTTTTCTGTTTTCCGTTTGCTTGATAGATCTTTCTTCATCCCTTTATTTTGTGCCTATGTGTGTCACTGCATATGAGACGAGTCTCTTGAGGACAGCATACCGATGAGTCTGGATTCTTTATTTAGCTTTCCAATCTGTGTTTTTTAACTGGGGCATTAAGTCCATTTAGATTTAAGGTTAGTATCGATATAGGTGGATTTGATCCTGTCATGATGTTACCTGGTTATTTTGCAGACTTGTTTATGTGGTTGCTTTATAGTGTCACTGGTCTGTGTACTTCAATATGTTTTTGTAGTGACTGGTAACTGGTTTCCTTCAGAAACTCTTGTAAGAAGCACGTCTAGTGGTAACAAATTTCCTGAGCATTTGCTTTTCTGAAAATCATCTTATTTCTCTTTTGTTTATGAAGCTTAGTTTGGCTAGATACGAAAATCTGGGTTGGAATATTTTTCTTTAAGAATGTTGCATATTGTCTCCCAATCTCTTCTAGCTTGTAGGGTTTCAGTTGAGAGGTCTGTTATTAGTCTAATGGGCTTCCCTTTGCAGGTTACCTGGCCTTTCTTTCTAGCTGCCTTTAACATTTTAATCTTTCATTTTCACCTTGAAAAATTTTATGGTTATGTGTCTTGGAAATGACATTCTAATGAAGCAACTTACCGGGGTTCTCTGCATTTCCCAAATTTGAATGTTGCTCTCTTTAGCTATGTTTGGGAATTTCTCATAGATGATATCCTCAAAGGTGTTTTCCAAATTGGTTCCATTCTCTGTATCTCTTTCAGGTACACCAATGAGTTGTAGATTCAGTCTCTTTACATAATCTCATATTTTGGAGATTTTGTTCATTCAATTTTATTGTTTTTTCACTATTCTTGTCTGCCTGTCTTATTTTATAAAGGCAGTATTCAAGTTCTGAGATTCTTTCCTCCACTTTTTATACACATTCACTCACCACTTCCCTGGGTAGAGGAGGTTCCCTTGGCTCTGTGTTGCTCCCAGGTGACATGTCATCCTGCCTTGCTTTCTTCTGTTCTCCACGGGTTGAGTCATGTCCTTAATTAGTCTCAATGTGATACCTGGATGTTTCTGTTGAGGGTGCTGTATATACTCACCCCTTTCATTCCTCTCCATGAGAGACACACAACTAAGCTGCTTCTAGTCAGCTATCTTATGACTTTACCACATTTTTCTTATCCATTCTTCTGTTGATGGACATTTTGGTTGATTAAATATATTTGCTATCATGAGTAGTTCTGCAATAAACATGGCATTGCCAAGATCCCTTTGATATACTGATTTTGTTTCCTTTGGGATAATGTCCAGTAGTGGGATTGCTATATCATGTGGGAGTTCTGTTTTTAGTTTTTAAAGAAATCTTCATAATGTTTTCCATAATGGCTGTGTTGCATTCCCACCAACAGTATATTAGCATCTCTTTCTCTGCATTCTTGTCAGCTTTTCTTATCTTTTGTCATTTTAATAATAGCTGTTCTAACTGGGGTGAGATGATATATCATTGTGGTTTTGATTTTCATTCCCAAATGATCAGTGATGTTGAGCATTTCTTCAAAACCCATTGGTGATTTCTATGTCTTCTTTTGAGAAATGTCTATTCATGGCTTTTGCCCACTTTTTAACAGAATGATGATGATGATGATGATGATTTGCCCTTGAGTTGCTTGAGTTCTTAGTAAATTCTAGATTTTAGTCTTTTGTCAGGAAAATAGTCTGAAAATATTTTCTCCCATTCAACAGGTTTTCCATTCACTCTTGATTGTTTCCTTTGCTGTACAGAAGCTTTTCAGTTTAACATAGTCCCATTTGTTTACTTTTGGTTTTGCTGCCTGTGCTTTTAAAGTCTCAGCCATATGATCTCTGTCTAAACAAATGTCCTGAAGTGTTTCCCCTATGCTTTCTTCTAGTAGTTTATAGTTTTGGGTGTTAAATGTAAGTCTTTAATCCATCCTGAGTTGATTTTTTGTATATAGTGAGAAATACAGGTCAAGTCTCATTCTTCTGCATATGGATGTTTAATTTTTCCAGCACCGAATATTGAATAGGGTGCTGTTTCCCCAATGTATGTTCTTGGTGATTTTGTTGAAAATCAGTTATCAAATAAGTACATGAATTTATTTATGGGTGGTCTGTTCTGTTCCATTGGTCTAAGTATCTGTTTATATACCAATGTCATGCTGTTTGGTTACTACAGCCGTGTAATTTATTCTGAAGTCAAGTAGTGTGATGCCTCCAGCCCTGTCATTTTTGCTCAAGATTGCTTTGGGAATTTGGGCTCTTTTTTGGTTCCATACAAATCTTAAAATATTTTGTTATTAATTCTGTAAAAAATGACATCCCTTTCTATTTTCACAGGGATTGCATTTAATCTGTAGATTACTTTGGGCAATATGGTCATTTTAACAAGAATAATTATTTTGATCCATGCACATGGGATATATTTCCATTTGTTTGTGTCCTGTCCAACTTATTTCATCAACATTTTTGTGGTTTTTCTAGTAGAAGTCTTTCACCTCTTTGGTTAAATTTATTCCTAAGCTTTTTTTTTTTTTTTTTGCTGTTATAAACAAACTTGCCTTCTTGATTTCTTTGTCAGCTAGTTCACTGTTGGCATATAAAAACAATACCGATTTTTTTTTTACTTTATACCTACAAGTTTATATTCTACAACTTAACTGAACTTATTATTTATCAGATTTCAGAGTTTTTTCATACAGTCATTAGGTTTTCATATACATAAGATCATGTCATCTGTAAGGTGGGACAATTTGACTTTCTCTTTTCCAATTTAGATGCTTTTTGTTTCTTTACCTTTCCTGTTTGCTGTGGCTAGAGCTTCCAGTAGTATATTGAATAAGAGAGGTGAATATGGTCGCTCTTGTCTTGTTCCAGTTCTTAGAGAAAAGACTTTAAGCTTTTCCTCATTCAGTAGGGTGCTAGCTGTGGATTTATTACATATGGCCTTTATAATGTTAAGGTATGTTTTTTCAGTACCTAGTTTGTTGAGACTTTTTTTCATGAAAAGATGTTGAGTTTTATCAAATTTTTTTTCTGTGTCTACTGAGATGATCATATGGTTTTGTCCTTCATTTTGTTGATATGATTTGCCACATTTATTGATTTGAGTATGTTGAACCATTCTTGCATCCCTGGTATAAACTCTCCTTGATCATGGCATGTTATCTTTTTGATGCATTTTAGATTCAGTTTGCTAGTATTTTGTTGAATATTTTTACATGTATATTTTCCAGGAACATTGGCCTATAGTTTTCTTTTCTTATTATGCTCTTGTCTGTCCTGGTTGGCTTGGGCTCTCCAAGGTCCACAGGCTGGAATGGCTAAGTCACCCAAACAGCAAAGACGGTAGTCCAACCCTCCCTCTGGAAGTTCTGTCCTAGGGAGTTTTGGCATCAGGGTAATGTGAGCCTGGTAGAACAAATTAGGGAGAAATCTTTTCTTTTTAATTTTTTTAGAATAGTTTGATATGAATTGTTGTCAGTTCTTCTTTGAAAGTTTGGTAGAATTTAGCGGTGAAGCCATTCAGTCCTGAACATTTCTATGTTGGAAGACGTTTTATTGTGGATTCAATCTCATCACTCATTATTGTTCTGTTAAGGTTTTCTATTTCTTCTTGATTCAGGTTTGGTTGGTTGTATGTGTCCAGGAATTTATCCATTTCCTCTAGGTTTCTCATGGTGTCAGTGTATAATTGTCAGTAATAATCTCTGATGATCTTTTGCTTTTTTGTGGCATCAGTTATAATGTCTCCATTTTCACTTCTAATTTTGTTTATTTGGGTAATTTCTCTTTTTTATCTTTGTTAGTCTAGCTAGCGGTTTATCAGTTTTGTTCATCTCTTCAAAAAACCAACTGTTCATTTTGTTGATACTTCTTATTATTTTTTAGTCTACTTTGTTTAATTCTGCTCTGATTTTTGTTAATGTTTTTCTTCTACAGTTCTGGATTTTGGTTTTTTTATTTTCTAGTTTTTTGACTTGCACTATTAGTTTATTTATTTGAAATCTTTTTACTTTTCTGATGGAGGTATTTACTGCTATGAACTTTCCTCTTAGCACTGTTTTTTTTTTTTGCTCCATCTCATAGATTAGTGTGCTTTGTTTTGATTTTCATTCATTTCAATATATTTTGATTTTCTCCTCAATTTCTTTGTTGACACAGTGATTATTCAGGAGCACATTGTTTAATTACCATGCATTTGTACCATTTCCAAAGTTCCCCTTGCTATTAATTTCTAGTTTATTTCATTGTGGTCTGAAAGATACTTGATATAACTTTGATTTTTAAAAATGTGTTAATATTTGTTTTGTGCCCTAACATATGGCTTATCTTGCAGAACGTCTCAGGTGCTGATGAGAATGACATATATTATGTAGATGTTGGTTGAAATGTTCTATAAGTGTTAGGTCTGTTTGGTCTAATATATAGTTTAAATGAAATGTTCCTTTGTTATTTTGTGTCTAGGTAACGTGTCTGATGCTGAAAGTTGGGTGTTGAAGTTGTCAACTATATTTTATTGAAGTCTATCTCTCCCTTTAGATCTAATAATACTTGCTTTATATATCTGAATGTGCTGGTTCCAGGCACATATATTTTTAGAATTGTTACACCTCCTTGCCAAATTGATCCCCTTATCATTACGTAATGACTTTTTTGTCTTTTGTCTTTTATTATTATTTTTTATTTAAAGTCTGTTTTATCTAAGTATATCTACTCCTATTGGCTTTTGGTTTTCTTTTTTATCTTGAAACGGAGTTTTGCTGTGCCACCCAGTCACCCATGCTGGAGTGCAATGGCACAATCGTGGCTCACTGCACCAGCCACCTCCCAGGTTTAAGCAATTCTCTTGCCTCGACCTCCCAAATAGCTGGAACTACAGGTATGTGCCATCACACCCAGCTAATTTTTGTATTTTTAGTAGAGATGGGGTTTCGCCATGTTGGCCAGGCTGATCTCAAACTTCTGACCTCAGGTGATCCACCCACCTCAGCCTCCCAAAGTGCTGGATTACAGACTGCTTTTGGTTTTCTTTTTTTTTTTTTTCTTTTATTATTATACTTTAAGTTTTAGGGTACATGTGCACATTGTGCAGGTTAGTTACATATGTATACATGTGCCATGCTGGTGCGCTGCACCCACCAACCCGTCATCTAGCATTAGGTATATCTCCCAATACTATCCCTCCCACCTCCTCCCACCCCACAACAGTCCCCAGAGTGTGGTGTTCACCTTCCTGTGTCCATGTGATCTCATTGTTCAATTCCCACCTATGAGTGAGAATATGTGGTGTTTGGTTTTTTGTTCTTGCGATAGTTTACTGAGAATGATGATTTCCAATTTCATCCATGTCCCTACAAAGGACATGAACTCATCATTTTTTATGGCTGCCTAGTATTCCATGGTGTATATGTGCCACATTTTCTTAATCCAGTCTATCATTGTTGGACATTTGGCTTGGTTCCAAGTCTTTGCTATTGTGAATAGTGCCGCAATAAACATACGTGTGCATGTGTCTTTATAGCAGCATGATTTATAGTCCTTTGGGTATATACCCAGTAATGGGATGGCTGGGTCAAATGGTATTTCTAGTTCTAGATCCCTGAGGAATCGCCACACTGACTTCCACAATGGTTGAACTAGTTTACAGTACCACCAACAGTGTAAAAGTGTTCCTATTTCTCCACATCCTCTCCAGCACCTGTTGTTTCCTGACTTTTTAATGATCGCCATTCTAACTGGTGTGAGATGCTATCTCATTGTGGTTTTGATTTGCATTTCTCTGATGGCCAGTGATGATGAGCATTTTTTCATGTGTTTTTTGGCTGCATAAATGTCTTCTTTTGAGAAGTGTCTGTTCATGTCCTTTGCCCACTTTTTGATGGGGTTGTTTGTTTTTTTTCTTGTAAATTTGTTTGAGTTCATTGTAGATTCTGGACATTAGCCCTTTGTCAGATGAGTAGGTTGCAAAAATTTTCTCCCATTTTGTAGGTTTCCTGTTCACTCTGATAGTAGTTTCTTTTGCTGTGCAGAAGCTCTTTAGTTTAATTAGATGCCATTTGTCAATTTTGTCTTTTGTTGCCATTGCTTTTGGTGTTTTAGACATGAAGTCCTTGCCCATGCCTATGTCCTGAATCGTATTGCCTAGGTTTTCTTCTAGGGTTTTTATGGTTTTAGGTCTGACGTTTAAGTCTTTAATCCATCTTGAATTGATTTTTGTATAAGGTGCAAGGAAGAGATCCAGTTTCAGCTTTCTACATATGGCTAGCCAGTTTTCCCAGCACCATTTATTAAATAGGGAATCCTTTCCCCATTGCTTGTTTTTCTCAGGTTTGTCAAAGATCAGATAGTTGTAGATATGCGGCGTTATTTCTGAGGGCTCTGTTCTGTTCCGTTGATCTATATCTCTGTTTTGGTACCAGTACCATGCTGTTTTGGTTACTGTAGTCTTGTAGTATAGTTTGAAGTCAGGTAGTGTGATGGCTCCAGCTTTGTTCTTTTGGCTTAGGATTGACTTGGCGATGCGGGCTCTTTTTTGGTTCCATATGAACTTTAAAGTAGTTTTTTCCAATTCTGTGAAGAAAGGCATTGGTAGCTTTATGGGGATGGCATTGAATCTGTAAGTTACCTTGGGCAGTATGGCCATTTTCACGATATTGATTCTTCCTACCCATGAGCATGGAATGTTCTTCCATTTGTTTGTATTCTCTTATTTCATTGAGCAGTGGTTTGTAGTTCTCCTTGAAGAGGTCCTTCACATCTCTTGTAAGTTGGATTCCTAGGTATTTTATTCTCTTTGAAGCAATTGTGAATGGGAGTTCACTCATGATTTGGCTCTCTGTTTGTCTGTTGTTGGTGTATAAGAATGCTTGTGATTTTTGTACATTGATTTTGTATCCTGAGACTTTGCTGAAGTTGCTTATCAGCATAAGGAGATTTTGGGCTGAGACAATGGGGTTTTCTAGATATACAATCATGTCGTCTGCAAACAGGGACAATTTGACTTCCTCTTTTCCTAATTGAATACCCTTTATTTCCTTCTCCTGCCTAATTGCCCTGGCCAGAACTTCCAACACTATGTTGAATAGGAGTGGTGAGAGAGGGCATCCCTGTCTTGTGCCAGTTTTCAAAGGGAATGCTTCCAGTTTTTGCCCATTCAGTATGATATTGGCTGTGGGTTTGTCATAGATAGATCTTATTATTTTGAAATATGTCCCATCAATACCTAATTTATTGAGAGTTTTTAGCATGAAGGGTTGTTGAATTTTGTCAAAGGCCTTTTCTGCATCTATTGAGATAATCATGTGGTTTTTGTCTTTGGCTCTGTTTATATGCTGGACTACATTTATTGATTTGCGTATATTGAACCAGCCTTGCATCCCAGGGATGAAGCCCACTTGATCATGGTGGATAAGCTTTTTGATGTGCTGCTGGATTCATTTTGCCAGTATTTTATTGAGGATTTTTGCATCAATGTTCATCAAGGATATTGGTCTAAAATTCTCTTTTTTGGTTGTGTCTCTGCCAGGCTTTGGTATCAGAAATTGCGTGGTTTATCTTTTACCATCCCTTTATTTTCAGTGTATATGTGTCTTTACAGGTGAGATAGGTTCCTTGTAGGAAGCATAACATTGGATCATGTTTTTTATCCATTCATCCAGTCCACATCTTTTAAGTAGAAAGTTTAATCTGTTTACATATAAAGTTATTATTTGTATGTGAGGGCTTATTCGTGGCATTTTATTATTTGATTTCTGGCTGTTTTGTATATTCTTTCTTTCTCTCTTACTGTTTTTATCATGTGGTTTGGTGGTTTTCTATAGTAGTAACTTTTTAGTCCTTCCTCTCCTTATTTGTGTGTTTGCTCTATCAGTGGATTTCATACTTTCATGTGTTTTTATAATGGTCAATATTGTCTTTTAGCTTTTAAATGTGCAGCTGCCTTAAGTATTTCTTGTAAGTCTGGTCTAATGGCAATGTTTTCCCTCAGCATTTGCTTGTTTGAGAAAGACTTTATTTCTCCTTCATTTATCAAGTGTAAGTTGTTGGCTATAGTATCCTTGGCAAGTAGGTTCTTTTTGTTTTTCCTTTTAGCACTTTGAATATATTCTTCAATTATCTCCTAGCTTGTAAAGTTTATGTTGAGAAATCCACTGTTATTCTGATGGAGGTTCCCTTATAAGGGACTAGAAGCTTTTCCTTGCTTTTTAAATAATTCTTTGTCCTAGACTTTTAAAGTTTGACTATAATGTGCCATGGAAAACATCTTTTTGAATTGCATCTACTTGGAGATTTTTGAGCTTCCTGTATCTGGCTATCTAAATCTCTTGCTAGACTTGAAAACGTTTTAGCTATTATTTTGTTCAATAAAGTGTCAATCTTTTTGTTTTCTCTTTACCATTTAGAACACTGAAGATTCCAATATTTGGTTGCTTTATGGAGTCTCATGTGTCACATATGCTTTATCCATTCTTTTTTGTTCTATTATCTTTATTTTTTTCTGAATTGTTTCAAAATACCTGTCTTAAAGTTCTGAAAATCTTTCTTCTGTTTGTTCTAGTTTACTGCTGAAGCTTTTGAATGTATTTGTTTTTAAAGTAATTAATTTTTCAGTTACAGGACTTCTGTTTGGCTCTTCTTAATGATGTGTATCTAATAAATTTCTTATTCATATCCTGAATTGTTTTTCTGATGTCTTTCTATTATTTATCTGTGTTCTCTTATATATCATTGAGTTTCTTTAATATCATCATTTTGAATTATTTTTCTAGGATTTCATTAATTTAATTTTCCTTTGAATCTGTTGCTGGAGAATTATTGTGTTCCTTTGCAGGTATCATATTTCCTTGCCTTTTTATATTTCCTGAGTTTTACATTGACATCGTTGCATCTGGTGTAATCGTTACTTATTCCAATTTATTGTATTTGCTTTTAAGGGGAGGACTTTATTTTCTGAAAATATATTTGGTATTGGTTGGATTGAGCACTTTGGCTTTGATTTTGGATACATGGAGTAATATAGTCTCTATATAATTTCTTTGGCTGTAAACAGTGTCGGTGGTGTTTAATTTCCTCAGTGGTTTAGGGTGCGATTGTTAGTAGAGGTTGTGTCATAGTTTCGGTGGGGACAGGAATCCTAAGTGGACCAGTCCTTGAGCTTCAGTTGTGGCAATGTCAAGCTGAGTGTGTCTGCCCTTGGGCCCTAGGAAGGTATATGCTGGCACTGGTGTTAGCAAGTCCAGGCAGGCCAATTTTTGAGTGTTTAGTTGGCTTGCTTGTGTGCCAGTAGTGACAGCAGTTGGCTGGGCTGGTGAGCATGTCCTTGGGCCCCTTGGAAGCAGGCATATTGTGGCAATGGCAGTAGCAGTGGAAGGACAAGCCTCTGGCTCCCAAGTGGTTCTTGCTGGCATTGGAAGTGGCTGTGAGAGATTGGAGAAGGTGGGGGGTGGCCGGAGGCAAGTCCATTGGCCTACAGGTGGCACATGAGGGACAGTGCCAGCTGTGGTGGTAGCAGCAGGTTGAATGGGCCCAACCCTTTCCCTCCAGGCAGAGTGCTCAAGTGCCAATTGTGGTTGGGGCTAGGGAATCCCCAGACCTGCAGATGGCATGCTCAGGCACTAGGGACATAGGAGCCAGGATAGGTGAACATATTCCCCAGCCTCTTTATGGTGCATGCAGTCACTGATAGGCAGGAAGAGTATGATCCCCAGGCTCCCAGAGGAATGTTTGAATGGAGGGGCAACCACTGTGCTTCTTCCCAGCTAATTGGGTGCGTAGGGTTGTTTCAGTGGCAGCAGCTGTAGAAAGGTATCTTGGGAGCACATGTTTTGGCCCCAGAGAGTGGCTCTGGCAGCTTAGCCTGTCCTCAGTGTGTTTGTAAATATATGATAGCTCCACTGCTGGGAGCAGCAGGATTGTTGCCAGGGGCTTGTGCTTTGACTTACTTTTCAGGGCTGCATTTTCTCTATGTCTATAGGCATGAATGGGAGAAAGAAACTTATTTCAATTACTTCTTGGTGACTGCTGTGGGTAGGAAAGCTTACCTTCAGGGCACAAGAAATATGCAGCGGGGCTCCACTGCTGGGGTAGTGGACTTGTTGCCAATGGTAACACTTTGGCCTTGGCAGTATCAATTAGCTGTAAGTGGGGAATGTCAGTGGGGTTCCAGAGATGTGGAGATGCAGGAGCTGCTGGGCCTCATGGAAGGATGTAGTCTGGTGGGGGCTGAACTTTCAAAATTGTGCCTTGCTGTAGCTACTTAGGACTTGGAGGGAATGTGGGACACAGCATGATCTCCCTCTCTGAAGTAATGTCAGCATACAGTCTCCAGGCAGCTCCCTATGTTAGTCTCAGGATCCACAGGAGTTGAGAGGTGCTCTTGTGGCTAGAATTACAGGAGTCTCTAGTGGGAATGTGAACCAGTGGGTCTCTTACTTACCCTTTTCTCAAATTAGGAAGCCTCTCCAAAGGTCCCTGCTGATCCCAGGCAAGCAGGCTTCCTCACTTCCCTCTCTTTCCTTGCTTTAGATAGTTTCTGTCACTGCTCTGTTGAATGCTATTGTTCTCTCATAGATAATCTATTCAAAATGGAATTATCTACTCAAAATTTTGGTTTTTATTTATGGAGGAGGAAAGTAGAAGACACAAGATGCTTCCAGTCAGCCATCTTGAATTAAGCCTATTGACATCATTCTGTTTTTTGTTTGTTTGGTTGGTTGGTTTTCCTTCTCTTCCCCCACTCCTCTCTCTCTCTCTTTTATTTTATTTTATTTTATTTTATTTTATTTTATTTTATTTTATTTTATTTTATTTTATTTTTGGTGACATGGCCTTGCTCTGTCTCCCAGGCTGGACTGTAGTAGTGTGATCATGGTTCACTGTAGCCTCAAACTACTTGGCTCAAGTGATGCTCCCACTTCAGCCTCCCAAGTAGCTGGGACCACAAATGTGCTCCACCATACCTTGCCAATTTTTAAGTTCTTTTGTAAAGACAGAGTTTCAGTATGTCACTCAGGCTGGTCTCAAATTTCTGGCCTTAAGTGATCCTCCCACATAGGTCTTCCAAAGTTCTGGGGTTACAAGTATGAGCCACCATGCCCAGGCCCTATTTACATTCCTATTATTGAGTTATAATAGTTCTATATAAGTTCTTTGTTTAAAAGTTCTTTACCAGGGATATACTTTGCAAGTATTTCCTTTCAAGAGAAAATTGAATTTGTCTTTACATTGTCAATAGTGTCTATCAAAGAGCATAAGTTCTTAATTTTGATCAAGTTTAATTTATCAATTTTTCTTCTATATGTGGCTCTTTTGGTATTAAATCATAAAATTTTTATTTTGTCTAATCTCAAAATATAAGGATTTTACATTTAACTCTATGATTAATTGTGAGTTAGTTTTTGTGTATGGTATAAGACAGGATTAAAATTAATTTGTTTGCATGCAACAACCAAATTTTTCAGCACTATTGTTTGAAAAGACTACTTCCTCTGCTAAATTGCCTTTATGCTTTTGATGATAATCAATTCTGCATATATTTGTGGGTCTAGTTGTGGATTATATTTTGATCATTAAATCTATCTATCTACCAATACCACAGTCTTTTAGTTGTATGTTTTTAAGTCTTAAATTCAGTTTATGTTAGCCCTCTCACTTTATTTATTTATTTTTTTGAAAGTTGTTTTGGCTATTCTAAGTTCTCTGAATTTTTAAGATTTTGATTTAGCTTGCCAATTACTACAAAAATTCTGCTAAGGTTCTAATTTGAACTGTGTTGAACCTACAAATTATTTCGTAGAACATTGATTTTGAAACAATATTAAGTTTTATGAACTATGAGTGAAACATACCTATCCTTTTATTTAGGTGTTCTTTAATTTTGCTCAGCAATATTTTGTAGTTTTCAATTTGCAGTTCTTGCACGTCTTTTGTTAGATGTACCTGTAAGTATTTCACATTTTTTGATGATGTGGTAAGTGGTAATTTTTTTAATTTAAATTACCACATCTTCATTGTAGGTATATAAAATAAAGCTGATTTTGGGGTATTAATCTTGTGCATAACAACTCTATTAAACATACCCATTAGTTCTAGTGACATTTTATAGATTTCATCAGAATTTCTTCATATTTATTAAATAAAGTTTTTGTTTTTTACATCTGGATTAATTTTATTCCTCTTTCTTGCTTGATTGCACTGGCTATAACCTCCAATACAATGTACAATAGATGTTAAGAGGTTACATTTCTGTCTTGTCCTTTATCCTAAAAGAAAAGCAGTGCATCTTTTACCTTTAAATATGAGATTGTTCATAGATGCCTTATATCAGGATAATGATTTCTTCTATTTCCAATCTCCTGACAGTTTTCATAAGAACCAGTAGCTGGATTGTGTCAACTTTATTTGTTAAATACGCATGTGAGTTTTTATTTAATTTACTAATTTGGTGAATTAAATGGTTGATTTCCAAATATTAAACCAACCATTAATTATTGGTAAAAGTGCACACTTTATCACGATGTATTGTCATTTTTATATATTGTAGGCTTTGCTATAATTTTGTCTTAAATCTTTATTTGTGTTTATAAGGGATATTTATGTGAAGTTTTTATTTATTTATTTATTTGTGTCTTAACTTATTTTAGCTTTAAAGCACTACTGAAAGTATTCAATCACTCTCAATTTTCTGAAAGATGTGTAAAACTGGTATCAAATCTTCCTTAAATATGTTACATTATTCACCAGTGTGGTCATCTGGGCCTATCAGCATTTTTTGTGAGAAATTTTCAACCTACAGGTTTAATTTTTATTAGAAATGGGACTATTTACTTTTTCTCTTTTATCGTCAAAATCTTTTATACTTTGTGTCTTTCAAGGAATTTTTGCACTTCATCTAAGTTTATAGGAATGAAGTTGTTTATAATAGCTCCTTATTATTTTTAAAAATATCTATAAAATCTGTAGTGATGTTCTTATTTCTCCGATTGGCAATTTGTATCTCTTTCTCTTTCTTTCTTCCTCTTTCTCTATCTCCTAATACATCTGAATAGAATTTAATTCATTTTATTGATATTCCGAGAGAAACAGCTTTGGTTTGTTGTTATTGCTGTTGATTTTTTCATCTTTCACAGATTTGTAAATTCATGGTTATTGTTTATTTCTTCTGGTTATTTTAAAAATAACTTCTCTTTTCCTATGTTTTTAAAGTAGAAGCTGAGATCATGAACTTAAGAGCTTTTTTTCTATTAATATGATTGTTTAGTACTCTAAATTTCCCCTAAAATACTGCACTAGTGACATTATACAAATTTTGATATGCTGTATTTTGATTATAAAATTACTTTATGATTTTCATTTTTTTCTTTATCCCAAGTTACTAAAAACAAGTTTTGGGTTTGAGAGAAGAAGACTACAGAAGTGCCATTTTCATCACATCACATCAGTGATAGAAAAACTGTCACCAGTACTCATGATTGCTGATGTTAAACTTGATCGTTGGCTGAAATAATGTTGTTTATTCGATATAAAATTATTATTTTTTTCTATACTGTACTCTTTGGAAGGAAGTCACTATGCATAACCAACACTTATGCAGTGTGAAGTTATACTCCACCTCTTTGGAGGTAGAGTATCTACCTACATTATTTAGAGTTATTTTTGACAAAAGATATTTCTATTCCCTGCTCACAAATTTATTTATTAAATTATTTATTTATACCAGTAAGGACTCATGGATAAACATTCTATTCTTTGAGGTAAAACCAAATACATTTAATTTTTTTTCACTCAATCATTTTAAATTCTGCCAGCTCTTTTTTTTTTTTTTTTTTTTCCACTTTGTTCTTCTGGTCTGACAGATTCTGCTACTGAAAGTTCTTTTTATTTGGTTCCTGTGTCTCTTTGACATAGCCCACTGCCAAAATGATTATTTTTTAATTTGCATGCTTAGGGTTCACTCTTTGTGCTGTAAGGATTGTGGGTTATGAAAAATGTATAGTGTCATCCACAATTACAATATCATACAAAATACTTTCACAGCCTAAAATATCGCCTGTACTACACCTATTCAAGCTTACATACCTTCCCACATCCTCCTGGCAACCATTGATCTTGGAATCATGTAATCTTTTACATAACAATAGGTATTTAAGATTTAGCCATGTGTTTTCATAGCTTGATAGCTCATAGCTCTTTATCATAAGATAATATTCTGTTTTATGGATGTATCATAGTTTGCTTATTCATCACTTATTGAAAGACATCTTGGCTGCTTCCAGATTATAGTGGAGATGAATAAAGCTACCATGAGCTATCACATGCAGGTTTTTGTGAGGATATATGTTTTCACTTCAGTTGGCTAAATACTTAGGAGAGCATCAGCTGCATGGCATAAGACGACAATGTTTAGTTCTACAGAACTAAACATTTAGTTGGCAGAAACTGCCAAATTGTCTTTGGAAATGGCTATAAAATTTTACATTCCTACCAGCAATTATTGAGAATTTCTGTTGCTCTGCATCCTCACAAGAAATTAGTATTCTCAGGTTGTTTGTGTGTGTGTGTGTGTGTGTGTGTGTG
This sequence comes from Homo sapiens, assembly GCF_000001405.40. Classification (NCBI taxonomy): domain Eukaryota; kingdom Metazoa; phylum Chordata; class Mammalia; order Primates; family Hominidae; genus Homo; species Homo sapiens. The sequence continues at coordinate 39,247,214 of NC_000018.10, read as the reverse complement.
TGTGTGTGTGTGTGTGTTGTGTGTGTGTTTTGGTGTTTTGGCTATTCCAAAAGGTGGGTAGTGGCATCTCATTGTTGATCTGATACCTAATTCTCCAACTGCAAATGACTTTGAGCATCTTTTAATATGTTTATTTACTATCTGTGTGTTTTCTTTGGCGAGGTCTCTGTTCTAATTTTTGTCCATATCTTATTGAGTTGTATGTCTTTTTATTGTTGAGTTTAAGGAGTTTGGATATAAATCTTTAATCACATAAACAATTCAAAAATATTTTCCCCCAATATGTGGTTTGTCTATTTATTCTGTTAGTAATCTCTTTCACAGAGCAGAAGTTTTTATTTGTAGTGAAGTCCAAATCTACATTTTTTTTATTTTATAGATCATACTTTTGGTTTTGTTTCTAAAAACTATCACCAAACGCAAGATCATGTAGATTTTCTACTAAGTTTTCTTTTAATTATTTCATAATTTTGCATTTACATTTATGTCTACAATCTATTTTTGGTTAATTTTTTGAAAGATGCAAGGTTTGTGTCTAGGTTCATTTTTTTCACATAAACATATAGTGATTCCAGTTCTATTTGTTGAAAACACTATATCCTTTCTCCATTGAATTACTATTTCATGTGTGTGTGTGTCAAACATCAGTTGACTATATTTGTGCGTGTCTATTTCTGGGCACCCTATTCCATTCCATTGACATGTGAGTCAATTCTTTTATCAATAACGTGGTGTTTTGATTACTATGGCTTTATAATAAATAATGAAATTGAGTAGTGTGAGTCTTCTAACTATGTTTATTTCCTTCAGTATTGTGTTGGCTATTATAATGTCTTTTTGACTCTTCATTTAAACTTCAGAATCAGTTTATAAATATTCACAAAATATCCGCCTTGGATATTGATTACATTGAAACTATAGATCAAGTAGGAAAAACTGATATGTTAATAATATTGTCATCTAATTCATGAACACGGAATATATCTCCAGTTTATATCTTTGATTTTTTATCAGAGTTTTATATTATTCACATGTAGATATTATACATATTTTGTTAGTCTTATATCTAAGTATTTCCTTTGTTTGGTATTGTAAATGGCATGTTTCAATTTAATTGTTTATTACTACAATTTAGAAAGGCAATTAAATTTTGTATATTAATCTTGTATCCTGCGACCTTGCTATAATTGCTTAAAAGTTACAGAACTTTTGTTTTTGTTTGCATCAAATATCAGTTGAATAAATTGTTTGTTTGTGTTTTTTCTTTGTCAGTTCTGTAGAATTTTCTATATAGATGAGTACGTCATTTGTAAACAAGATAGTTTTATTTTTTCCTTCCCAATATGTATACCTTTATTTTTCATATTTATTGCACTACCTAGTACTTCCAATATGTTGTTAAACACAAATGATAATATGTGACATCTTTGCCTTCTTTCCAATCCTAATGAGAAAGTTTCTAGTTTCTCACCATTAAATATAATGTTAGCCATAGTTTTTTTGTAGATTTTTTTATTAAGCTAATGAAGTTCTCTGGTATTCCTAGTTTTCTAAGATTTTTTTTTTTTAGAACAGGAATGGATGTCAGATTTTGCCAAATGCTTTTACTCATCTATTGACATAATTATTTCATTGTTCTTCTTAATTTATTGATGTGGTAAATTACATTGATTGTCTTTTGTTATCATTGATGTATTCAAAAATATCTTTCATGTGATTCATCCAGGACCTTTGTGCTTTCCAGTTGTAAGTTTTTAATATATCGAGTCTCTTATATTCTCTGAAGTAGATTGTTTTAATAACAGGTATTTGTCTATTTTCTTCACTTTGATTATTTCACTGTGCTTGAATTCTTACATTTTGCTATTTCAGTATTATTCTCTCTCTGGCTTATGAACTTCTTCAGATGGGCAAATATTTAGAACTGTTGGATTACTGGAGATTACATCTGGAGATTGCAGGGGAGATTCTGCAGATGATGAAAAGCCAACTGAACAAAATTGCTCTTAGAGGTCACGTATACAAAAACTGCAAATAAATATATTCTTTACCCATGAATAAATTATAGTATAATAGGAGATACCAATGGTAAGAAAATTATTATAATACAGTCTATAGGAAATCTTAAACATGAGTAGCTGACCACTTTATAATTTATTTGTTGTTCTTATAAGAGTGTATATTGAAGAACATAAATTTATATTTCTACTATTAGGAAAATAAAGACTTAAAACATGTCTCTTACCCATGAATCCATTCATTTAGTAAATCTTTCCAGATCATCTAAGAAAATTATTATAATACAGTCTATAGGAAATCTTAAACCTGAGTAGCTGACCACTTTATAATTTATTTGTTGTTCTTATAAGAGTGTATATTGAAGAACATAAATTTATATTTTTACTATTAGGAAAATAAAGACTTAAAACATGTCTCTTACCCATGAATCCATTCACTTAGTAAATCTTTCCAGATCATCTGCATGGCACAATCAACTTCCCACGGAAAACAGATTGCAGTATGTAAGACTCTGGATAGAAAATCAAAGGCGTTACCAGAGATCCAGTATTTACTGTATAAAATGAGGTAGTCTGAAGTCATGTTCACTAAAGTATATTTTACCTTTAGTACATAAGAATAGCAACATTCAAAGGCATTTCTAGCAGCAACATGATTAATTGCAGTTCAATGACTAATGCTAGACCATACACATATAAATAAACAATCTTTCTATATATACACTGGGAAATGTGTGACCTAAGTAAACAATTCTACTGCCTTCAGCAATATAAACAAACAACTAAACAAACAAACAGATCAAAGTGGCACATAGCTGGTAGTGTTCTATACCTGGCCAATCCTTTGCTCACATTCTAGGTGACACCATCACTGTTACAGAAAGCGGGTGCCAGGAATCAGCTTTTCTGATTGATTGTATCCTATTGAAAGAGCATATTCATGAACAAAGACATAAAACTATTCTGAGAGGGTATTTCTTGGGGAATTTTTGCCTACTAGATGAACTTAATGCCATAAGAAACATTGATAATATATTCAGGATAGAAGTTAAAAAGTGAATACAATACTCTAAAAACCATTGAACATTAATCAGGAGGCCCCATTTAATCTTGGATCTGTCTTTAACTGGTTTGAGGACTTTGAGCAATCATTAAGCTCTTCTGGGTCTCAGTTTCTTCATCTGTAAGATGATATGCTTGTGTAAGGTCATTAAAATCCCTTCTACACTTAATCTATTATTTCATGAAAATTAAGCCAATAGGCCAGAATTTATTTTGATCAAAGGAAAGATGATCTTAGAAAAGCAGAGTGATGTGGGAGAGGTCAGGGCTCAGTGTTAGATGTGTTTTCTAGAGCAGAACAGGCTCAGGCTGCAAGTATTGCCAGGGAGGTGGAACTGGGAGCATATGTGGCATGTCCTTGTTGTACAGCAAGTGCTGATGTTAACAGTAAGCAAAAAGCCTGAATGAGAGATTTCTAATTGAGTTCCAATATTTTATTTAAAAAAAGGTGACATGAAAATCCTATCAGAAATGGTCAATTTAGGAAATTATATACTCACAGAATTGTAGAGCTGGGATTTAGAGACTAATGTTCAAATTATTTTATGTCTGTGAGTTAACTGAACCTCAAAGAACTAAAATAGCTTGCCCAAATTTACTAGGCTAACAGTGGGAGATTAAATAGTCTACCATGTAAAGTTCTATCAGTTCTCTTTTATAGGATTTTCTCATTTAAAAGGGGGGTGCTAATTCCTAGGAGAAAGGAAATCTCAGAAATTAATATACAATTTACATTTCATACACATGCAGATAATCTCATGAAATCAACAATGAATTATGGTGCCTCTGTAGGTCTACCTGATGTGTGTTTTGTGCTGCTGATGCAATAAGATTAAAAACAAAATCAGAGAAATAGTATTTCATATGTGCTCCTTTGTATCTTGTAATATCCTTTCTGGTCAAGCACCCTATCTCAGGAGCAGGTATTGATTTTTTTCCAGCTTTAGTACAATGCTTCACCCTTACCCACCTCATTCCAATAGCTTCTAGCTTGTAATTATAAAATGTTAAAGGCACAGTAAGTTATGTAGTTTCTTGTACTTGTTTAGTATATTAAAAAGCTAGCCACACCTTATTAGTAAAATCACATTACTAATAATAATGCATCTGGGGAGAGAAACAGTACCACTTGCTTGTATAAACCATGTCATGCCCTCCCACAAAGAAAAAGGTGGGTTGTTTTTTTTTTTAAGACAGGAGCTGGGAGTTACTCACCACTCAATGCGTAAAATCCCATTTCTTCTGCTCTCAGTTCTGTGCTATTGAGATTCTCTGAACCTGAGTCTCAAGGTGGGAAACGTGAAAATTCAACTTATGGAACACCTTGTTTTTTTATGTCAAATTTTCTATTTTCTACTCCTAGGTCTGTCACCAAGTGGTGCAGTTACTATTTTTCCTATCTGTGAAATGGGAAAAAATATTTTCTCTAATCATCTTTAAAAGCTTTTATCAGGGGAAAATATGAATGCCTGGAAAGAATGTTGAATTTGGTATTGTTTTTTCTAAGACATGATTTACAAAAGTATATTTGTATTACATGGAGGGACATTTTATAAATAACTTTTAAAAACCATAAATATTGTTCCTGCTTCTTTGTCTGAATAAGAGAAATAGACTGATGCTTTTGTATTTTTGTAAGAAGTAATTCTATGGTTAAGAAGATGGAATCATGAATGACATGATTCAGAAATTATGAGCTGGTCTTTCCTAACTAAAAACTCTGCTAACTTCTCTATGTGGGCTTTCTGTGAGTAGGTTTCCATTCTATTGAGAACACAGGGAACTAAATCTCAAGGATGGTTTTATCTACTAATAGTGCTCATTTGCATTCTGGGGGAACCTGGATTCTTGACATTTTGTTGGGAAATCATACCATTTACAAATAATAGCAAGCTAAGAGAAAATAAAACTACGGCAAAAAGAAAGAAGCTTTGCCTATATTGTGAAAACATCTGAACACAAAAGTTAAAAAAATACATTTAATTATCCAGATATTTACTGTACATTTCAATGTATGTGTGAAAATCAGAAATATGTAGATGATGTTCTGTTTTCTTTTTTTCATCCAGGCTGTCTTTCAGGACTTTCTGCCATGATGGAAATGATTTGTATCCATGCTTTCTAATATGCCAGCCACTTGCCAAATGTGACCATATGACACTTGAAATGTGGCTACCGCAGCTTAGGAACTGAGTGTTTAGTTTTAATATTTTATTTATTTTATTTTTAAAAATTTTGATTATTTTATTATTGTGATCAGAACACAACGTTAGATCTATCCTCAACAAATGTTTACCTATGAAATACAGCATTGTTAACTATAGGCACAGTGTTTACAGATCTCTAGAACCTATTCATCTTGCAAAACAGAGACTTTGTACCCATCGAATAGCAACTCTCCATTCCTCCCTCCACCCAGCCCCTGACAACCATCACTCTGCTCTCTGCTTCGATGAGTTTGACCATTTTAAATAGTGCATATATGTGGAATCCTACAGTCTTTGTCTTTTTGTTACTGACTCATTTCACATAGTGGAGTATCCTCAGGGTTCATCTATGTTGTAAAATATTACAAGATGTTTTTAAAGCTAAATAATATTCCATTGTGTAAGTTTATGCCAATTTTCTTTATTCATTCATCTTTTGATAGACATTGAATTTGTTTTTCTTTTCTATCTTGGCTATTGTGAACAGTACTGCAATGAACATGGGAGTATCTCTTTAAGATCTTAGTTTCAATTCTTTTGTATAAATACCCAGAAAAGGGATTCCTGGATCATCACGTAATTTTATTTTCAATTGTCTGAGGACCTACATATTATTTTCCACAGCAGTTGCACCACTTGTCATTCCTACCAAGCATTCAAGAGTTCCAGTTTCTATACATCCTCATCAAACCTAGTTGTCTTTTTTTTTCATAGCCATCCTAACAGATGTTAGATGATATCTTGTGGCTTCAATTTGCATTTCCCTGATAATTAGCAACCTTGAGCATTTTTTTCATAGACCTGTTGGCCATTTGTTTGCTTTTTTAGAGAAATGTTTAAGTTCTTGGCCCATTTGTAAATTAAATTTAATAACCCAGCTTCATTCTGTTTTTTGTGTTTTTTTTTCCTATTGAGTTGTACAAGTTTCTTACATATTTTGGAAATTAACCTCATATCAAATATATGGTTTGCAAATGTATTTTCCAATTTTACAGGCTGTCAATTCGCTCTCTTCGTGATTCCCTTTACTATACAGAATATTTTTGGTTTGATGTAGTCCCACTTGTTCATTTTTGCTTTTATTCCCTGAAAGCATTGCCAAGACCAGTGTAATCTTTCCCTATATTTTCTTCTAGAATTTTTGAAGTATTAGTTCTTCTTCTTAAGTCTTTAATTCATGTTTAGTTGTCTTTTGTGCAAGTTGTAAGAAAAGGGCCCAATTCCATTCTTTTGCATGTTGATATCCAGTTTCAGAATTATTCATTGAAGAGACTATCCTTTTCCCATTGTGCATTCTTGGCCCCTTTGTTGAAAATTAGGTGACCTTACATGGCCCGGATTGATTTACTTTTAAAAAGCCTCATGCGATTAGTGACAACCATATTGTTTAGGTCACATCTAGATGTTTGCTTTTAGCCTGTATTAAAACTTCAAAAAAACTTCTTGAAAATAATCCTACCTAATGGCTGATTAGACAATTGTTACTTCCTCTTAATGATCTTTCTAATTTCAAATTCAGGAAACAAATTACTGTTAGAATGAACCCCTGTCTGATACTAGTTTCATCATCTAATCCGATTATGAAAAACTAATCCCTTTGAAAGTGCTACTTTTATTTACTTAATAATTATAATATTTATTCTTTTCAGTATAAAATTTCCATTATGCTTCACCAATAAAAATAAAATAAAACTTGGCAGAAAGCCTCTGTCAGCATGCACATAATCTTACCATTAAATATTTGTGATACCCAACGGGAAAATCATCCATGACTTCACAGACATGTAGCGCAGTAGAAGTACCTACTTCCCACACCAGACGCCTTTCAAAGCGAGCCTCTCTTCGGGATGCAATTCATCACAGTTATCCCAGGTCACCTCATGTTCCTCCGTGTCATTTCACAGGGGAACACGACATGACACTGTGTAATTAAAGGAACGCAATGTGGTGGCTCCCATTAGAAAGAAAGGACGTATTTTCCAGATCAGCTCATAGGTCTTCACTCCAGCTGCCACGGAGAGGCTCAGAAGCTTTTGCGATGAAAGCTGGCCAATCTTGTGTGTTCAAATGTACAAGGTCTCTACATTTCTGCCCATTTCTATTAAAAGCCAAGTCAACCACTGTCAGAGAGTGTTACAGACCTTCTCCCTCAAGCTGTGATCTTGTTGGATCTCATAAGCCAAACAGGGTTGGGTCTGGGTGTATACTTAGATAAGAGACCTATTAGGGGAAAATAAAGGTATTCTGGGTTGAGGACAGGCAGCTGTTTTACCTTACTGATCCAAGCAGGATTACCTTATGGCTAATTCATCCTGTTCTAGTACCTTGGCCTGTGAGCTAGACTAGAAAAGTGCTCATGTATCACACATTGCACTCTCCTTCCCAAAGTTGGGGAGAATCTTGCCTTGCTTTCCTGGCTCTGTTCCAGTTCAGCTAATTGCTTCCTCTCGCTTTAAATTCCCCCTGCAGTGTCTATTGAAGGCTGTCTTCTTCATTTATGATTCTAAACTTGTGCCATGTTGCCGTGTGCTGGCAAGCAGCTGTTGCTCTTTACTCCAGCTGTGGTAGAATTTTTGTAGTGGCCAGAGTGAATTGTACACATGCCACACTCAATTGAGTAGAGGGAAGTCGTAAAGTCCTGGAGCTCATCCCAATGATGCATGCCATTTCAGTGAAAAATTATTCTATATAATCATATAGATGCAAATGCAGATATATACTCCTACAGTCTAGACTTGTTAACTCACTACCATCTGTCTGAGACGAATTCTCAAATGGAAGCCAGGGTGATGAGGCAAAGCGTGGGTTGGAAGTTGTGAAATTGGAAACCCTTATTTTCATGATTTTTATTCTTATTTTTTGGTTTAGCAAGATAACTCTAATTTAAATCAGTCATTGAAAAAACTTACCCATGTTGGTTTACAGAATTTTTCTTTAAACATTATTTGTCTATTTATTGATTTTAAAAAGGAGGCACTACTTTGCAGTTGATGAAAATAACTTTTAACACACAAAGCACTGCAGAGCATAAAATGTTTTACTTGGAGACATACATGAAGACTTGGGAAATCATTTGAAATGATTCTGTTTTGGACATGGGTCTTCTTTAGCCCCCTTCCCATTCCCTTTTATACCCCATTCCCAAAATAATCATAAAATCTTTGGATCATTGGAAATTTCCCACTCTGATATCCCCTTATTCTAATCTGCACTTCCTTGCCCCACCATAGGACCACATACCCCGAAGCAACTTGTTTATGCATATACTTTTCCTATTTTAATACCTCCATTTTCGGCCAGGCACGGTGGCTCACGCCTGTAATCCTAGCACTTTGGGAGGCCGAGGCGGGCGGATCACAAGGTCAGGAGATCGAGACCATCTTGGCTAACACGGTGAAACCCCATCTCTACTAAAAATACAAAAAATTAGCCGGGCGTGGTGGCAGGCTTCTGTGATCCCAGCTACTCTGGAGGCTGAGGCAGGAGAATGGCATGAACCCGGGAGGCAGAGCTTGCAGTGAGCCGAGATCGTGCCACTGCACTCCAGCCTGGGCGACAGAGCGAGATTCCATCTCAAAAAAAAAAACAAAACAACAACAACAACAAAAAAAAAAACCCTCCATTTTCTCATTGACAGAAAATCTAGTTTAAGAAGAACAGCCTACTTAATTTTTACTAAAATGAGTATAATTGCATTTGTCTGTCTGGTCTGTGGTCTTTAATTCAGTTTAACACAGCCAGGCAAGGACTTGGGGCCACTATTGCAGTTACTTCATTACCCTCTTCTTTGTTCCAAATCTGTTCTCTATCAAATCCAATGCAATGTTCACCAAACTCTGAAATCCAGGTGCAGGATGCCTCACTGTAATTACATCTCAGGCAGTTTAGACTTGTATTTCCTCTCCTTGGCTGTTGAGTCTTGGGTTTCCACTTGTTAAGGCTGGGCTTGTTTAACTCCTCTGATTCTCCTCGCATCAAGAAGACAGTTTCTTACTGTAGCAAGCTGCACCCACCATGAGCCACATGGGAAGGGCTGAGAAAGGCCACTTTTGACAGCCTCCTATTGAAGCATGCAGCAAAGGGAGACAGGGAGGAATAGATTCAGACGGAATTGCCTTAAACTCCTCCATGCATATTTATATTTGAAAAAAAGTGCTTGGAACTAAAAGTCAAGAAACCTATTTTCTACTATAAAATTTTATTTATTTTCTGTGACTTTAGGTAAGTCAGCAATCCCTTTAAATGAAAAATGTTTAATAGAATTAAAAACTAAAATTTGGCATTACTAGAAGTTATTTGATAATTCTTACTACATGCAGAAATTTGGGGGACATACCAGAGACAAATACCTATCCAGATATGAATGTTTATGAGAAGTCAGAAACTTAATGAGCTCCATGTCCTCTATTTTTAAGACACTCACTCAGTTGCTCAATTCCTTCTTTGGAGTTGGTTAAGCAGGGAGCCTGGTAATATTTACAAAGCATCTAGTATTGCTAGGTTCTTTGTATATATCACTTTACCTCACCACAATCTGTTACAATAAATATCATTTGTTGATGCTGAAGCTGAAGCAGAGATTTTAAGTAACTTGCTCATGGGAGTTCATTAAGTGTGGGGAGAGAGTTTGAATCCCAGTCTGTGAGTCTAATGTCCTTTCTCATTCAGGTATGCCACAACACATCTTGGAATTTCTCTTCCTCTTCAGACATGAATCTACAGGGAACGCTGTACTTGTTTATACTGATACTTATTTGACAAGTGTCATTCACATATTAGAAAATCATAGAATTCTAGGATTGCAAAGCTCTTTAAATGCCATTTGGTTCTGCATTCTTTTAATGTTTGTGTGCTTTATAAAATAGTGCTATATAAAATGAACTTATAAGTCTAAATAAGACTATTCTTTATCAACAAAGAATGTCATCTTTGCCAAACTACCTGACCAGCATGAAATAAAGAACATGTGGCTACCATGCTCCCTGAAACTCATATACAACTTTTTGCAAGGTCCGTTATTTTTTTCTTTCTAAAAACAGAGAATTGGCTGGGTGCAGTGGCTCACGCCTGTAATCTCAGCACTTCTGGGAGGCCGAGGCATGCAGATCACCCGAGGTCAGGAGTTCAAGACCAGCCTGGCCAATATGGTGAAACCCCGTCTCTACTAAAAATACAAAAATTAGCCAGGTGTAGTGGCAGCAGGCGCCTGTAATCCCAGCTACTCGGGAGGCTGAGGCAGGAAAATCGCTTGAACCCAGGAGGCAGAGGTTGCAGTGAGCTGAAATCGTGGCATTTCCCTTCAGCCTGGGTGACAAGAGCGAGATTTCATCTCAAAAAAAGAAGAAAAAAAGAGAATCATTAGGAATAACAATTACAAGTGCTATAAAAGAAATAATTCTGAGGTAGTGTTTTCATTTTGTGTCCGGAATTTGTGGGTTCTTGGTCTCGCTGACTTCAAGAATGAAGCCGTGGACCCTCACGGTGATGTTACAGTTCTTAAAGATGGTGTGTCCGGAGTTTGTTCCTTCAGATGTTCAGATGTGTCTGGCGTTCCTTTCTTCTGGTGGGTTCATGGTCTCACTGACTTTAGGAGTGAAGCTGTAGACCTTCACAGTGAGTGTTACAGCTCTTAAAGGCGGCACCTCTGGAGTTGTTCGTTCCTTCTGGTGGGTTCGCGGTCTTGCTGGCTTCAGGAGTGAAGCTGCAGACCTTCGCAGTGAGTGTTACAGCTCTTAAAGGCGGCACGGACCCAAAGAGTGACCAGCCGCAATATTTACTGCAAAGACCGAAAGAACAAAGCTTCTACAGCAGGGAAAGGGACCCGAGCAGGTTGCCGCTGCCAGCTAGGGCAGCCTGCTTTTATTCCCTTATCTGGCCCCACCCACATCCTGCTGATTGGTCCATTTTACAGCAAGCTGATTGGTCCGTTTTGACAAGGTGCTGATTGGTGCGTTTACAATCCCTGAGCCAGACACAGAGTGCTGATTGGTGTATTTACAATCCTTTAGCCAGACACAAAAGTTCTCCAAGTCCCCACTAGATTAGCTAGAAACAGAGCATTGATTGGTGCATTTATAAACCTTGAGCTAGACACAGGGTGCTGATTGGTGCATTTACAAACCTTGAGCTAGACACAGAGTGCTGACTGGTGCATTTACAATTCTTTAGCTAGACATAAAAGTTCTCCAAGTCCCCACCCCACTCAGGAGCCCAGCTGGCTTTGCCTAGCTCATCCTGGGACCGGGCACCACGGAGCAGGGGGCAGTGCCTGTTGGGGAGGCTCAGGCTGCACAGAACCCACGCCGGGGGCCGGGGGGCCGTGCAGGGAGGAAGGTGGGCTGCAGGTCCGGAGCCCTGCCCAGTGGGGAGGCGTCTGAGAACCAGCAAGAATTCGAGTGCAGCGCGGGCAGCTCGACAGTGCTGGGGGACCCAGTGCACCTTCCACAGCTGCTGGCCCAGGTGCTAAGTGTCTCACTGCCCAGGGCGCTCCGAGTGCAGGGCCACCCGAGCCCGTACCCACCTGGAACTCATGCTGGCCCATGAGCACCATGCGCAACCCTGGTTCCTGCCTGTGCCTCTCCCTCCACACCTCCCCGTGAGCAGAGGGAGCCAGCTCTGGCCTCGGCCAGCCTAGAGAGGGGCTCCTACAGTGCAGCAGTGGGCTGAAGGGCTCCTCAAGCATGGCCAGAGTGGATGCCATGGCCTGAGGAGGTGCTGAGAGCAAGAGAGGGCTGCTAGCATGTTGTCACCTCTCAATTTCATAACAGGAATGTGTGGATATGAGTAAGACCAGATTGGAAAAAAAGTTTTAGTTTTGGTTTGCACTTCCTAGTCTTAGGTAGCCATGATGTTGTGACTTCATTATCATTCAGTTGAACCAGAGTGGAGGTATGTGACCCAAACTCACTGCACTTTTGGTGGGCTAAACCTAATTATCCAAACTCTTCACACTATTCAGCTTTGTGATTTGTGCCTGAATTTGGATGTCCACTTTTGGAGTTAGCATGAAAATCTCCCACCCTCTCTTTGAATGGAAGTCATCTTAGTGGCCTCTCAATTACATTGCCTTACTTCCAGGCTGGTCAACAGGGTTGAGAAATCCACCTTTTGCTTCTGCCTATGAATTCTGCTGGTTCTTTAAGACCTAGTTTCTTTCATGAGTTGTTGTCTAACCTCACCTGCACGGGCTGCTCTCTCCTACTTCTAAAGTCCTATTTAGACATATATAGACCTTAACCTCATAGTTTTAGTTCTCTGATGTGCTATTTTCTTTTAAGCATATGCTCTTCAAGGACAATTTCTACTTGGCATAAGTGTGAATGCTTACTATCATGGTAAACATTATTGCCATGGTAAACATTATTGCCATGGTAAACATACAGAAGGTACTCAATACATTGTTGCCAAATAAAAGCTACACATTTTTTTTTTTTGAGACAATTTCCCTCTTGTCACCCAGGCTGGAGTGCAGTGGCACGATCTCAGCCCACTGCAACCTCTGCCTCCCAGGTTCAAGCGATTCTCCCACCTCAGCCTCCCAAGTAGCCACTGCCCCGGCCAAAAGCTACACATTTTACTTACGTGTCTGTAATCTCTGAATACAAAGGAAGATTTAAAATGGGAAAACTGGCTGGGCATGGTGGCTTATGCCTGTAATCCCAGCACTTTGGGAGGCCGAGGCAGGCAGACCACCTGAGGTCAGGAGTTCGAGACCAGCGTGGCCAACATGGCAAAACCCCATCTCTACTAAAAATACAAAAATTAGCCAGGCGTGGTGGCACGTGCCTGTAATCCCAGCTACTCAGGAGGCTGAGGCAGGAGAATCACTTGAACCTGGGAGGTAGATGTTGCAGTGAGCCGAGATTGTGCCATGGCACTCCAGCCTGGGTGACAAGAGCAAAACTCCATCTCAAAAAAAAAAAAAAAAAAAAAGACAGAAAACCAATTTAAATAGGAGAGATATTCTAAACACAAACCCCCCTTGTTTTGTTCAATGTGAGTGCATTCTACTGATAGTGACAGGAGGCATAGAAATTCTCGGCAGACAGTGGCAGGTCCCTGGCAAAACCCACCTTCAAGCCGTAAAGCCTGGAATCCACAGTCCAAAGTGAGAACTTCCAACCCTGTGTGCCCACTCTTTCCCAATTGGTTCTTTCTGAATGTCTTTTTACCGGTTAAATGTTGCCTTTTCCAAAACCACCTATGGCCTGCCCTGCCCCCCATACTGTGCCTATAAAGAACCCAGACTCAGCTGGCAGAGGGGAGAAGCAGCTGGACATTGGGGCGAGGTGACTTTGAGATAGCAGCTGAATGAAGCAACTTGACTTCGGAAGAAAGAGGCAGAGAGGTGGCTTGACTTCAGGGGAGAGTGACCTGCCCTTCCCATTCCCTTTCCAGCTCCCCTCTCCACTGAGGGCTGATTTCATCACTCAACAAAATTCTCCGAATTCACCATCCTTCAGTTCATCCACATGACCTCATTCCTCTTGGGCACCGGACAAGAATTTGGGATGCACCAAATGCAGGTACCCAAAAAGGCTTTCACACTGGCCTTTTGCCTTTGCTGGCAGAGGGCAGCCATCTCACAATGAGGCAAACGGTCCACTGAGCTGATAACACACTGTGTCTGTGGACAACAGAGTTAAGAGGGCAATGTAACAAGTCCTCTGGGGCCTTGGGATCACAGGCACCCACCCACACCTGGATGCTGCCATGGGGCCTGCACAGAGTTTGCTCCTGCTGTCGCTAAAGCTGCCAGCCCCGTTCCTGCACTCGCCTACACACTCCCTCCCTCCAGTGGTGCATCAAGGCGGACCCAAGTGAGTGGAGTTTGCTCCTGCTGGCACTGAAGCTGCTGGCCGGTTCCTGCAATTGTTTGCTCTGGTTCCTGCACTCATTTGCTCGCGTGCTCCCTCCTGGGAGAGGTTGAGTGGGGTGGGCTGAGTAAATGGGGCACCCCTGTCCTGAGTCCCATGAAGTGGTCAAGAAAATATCTTGCATCACTACGTTCAATGAATTCAAGAAAGGTGTTTCCTGGTGCTTCAAAAGCTTGGGTGAACGTCTAACCAATAACTGTCCCAGTCACTGAGAGAAATGATCTCCAGTATCTGAGTGGTATATTTCTTTCTGGATCAGGCTGTCTATTTAATCACTTTCCAACAGGCTGTTCTATTCACATGTCCACTCGATCTACATTAATTATTTTAACTGCCATCCTTGTTAAGTGAAATTGTTTTTCCTAGCCAGACTATAAATAGCCTCCACCTTATTCATCATTTATCTCTTTAGAGATCACACTGGCTGCATTTATAAAGAAAGAAAGGCATAACTTGGCCAAGATACATGAAGCAGCCCTCTCTAGGGGCAAAGGAATTTCACAGTTATTGGAGAGACACAGCTTATGGGTTTTGGTTTTGTTTTTGTTTTTGTTTTGACAGCAATGCCCAAACAGGGCATAGGCTTTCTTTTAAGTGTGAGAGATTGCTTTTTGTAATGTTCTTTTACTACTCTCCAAGAAGGAGGCAAAGGAGAAACACCAGTAATACTGAAAAGCATCAGAAATAACTAAAATTAATAAAACCTCATCTTCTGTCACCTCTTCTCATCCACACACTCCCACACACAAAGTAATTAAAGGTTGAAATTTATTTTTAAAGAGAAGAACTAAAGGGAATAAGTTTACTGTGACTATGTAAAAGGGTTAGCATTAGTCAACTTCTCATTATGTTTAAAAGAACCAACAGCTGAAAAGGAGATGAAATTCACTATAAAATATGCCTGAGATCCTAGCGCATATTATTGCTGTTTCTGCTGCTGTGTTAAGATCCCTTATGTCAGTCAGAGCTCAATTATACTACAATAGCAAACAATCCCACAATTGCAGTGGCTTCAAAAGGTGCTTATTCTATGCCTCCACCTATGGTCAGTAGGGTGTTCTGTCCCATGTCATCCTCAGGCAGACACCAGTAGAGACTTCACTTTTGAACACTGCTGATCATCTCTAGGGTACGGGTAGGTAGCAAGTTGCATATAGATTTGTAAGACTTTTGTCTGAAAGTAGCATCACTTCTGTTAACATTTGATTAGGCAGTGTAAGTCAGCTAACCTCAACTAAACTCAGGGATACAAGAAAGTGCAGCCTCTCCATGCTCTTGGAGGAAGAGTAACAATAGCAAACATGTTGGTTGAACAGCATGAATTAGTTCCACAAATCATTTCTCCCAGCATTGAATATGCATTTGCAGTTTTCTTCCTGCATGTCTTTATTCCACAGGAGAGAACATCCTGAAGTCCCTTACAGTCAAGCTCTAAGTCCAGCATTTCTTGGGAATGTGGAGTGGCTCTTATGTTACGGTTGGATATAGTTCCTTTTGATCTGGACACTTATGAATTTAAAAAATGGCACTTTCTATGGGCATCATATTGACTATGCAGAGGCTGGCCACAAAAAAAATCAATGAGGTTGTCACTTTCTCTTGTTAAAACAATTTTGCTGTCAAGCTGGTTATTTCACTGATCTTAATTAACAATTGAATTCCATGGACCAAAAGTCAGTCTATTTGGTTATGTGGCAATTAAGTATTATGACTTTTGGGAAGATGCATTAAATAAAATAAAGGCAAAAGTACTCTATTTGACCAAAAGAGCTTTACAGACCTGAATGTTATTCTAGTTTTTCTCCTGAGTAGTTTTTTAAAATGGTTTTAACATTTCATTCTTGTTTTTCGTATATATTGGTCCACAACGTGTGGATGTGTGCATGTGTGTGTGTGTGTGTGGAGAATAGGTAGGGTGGATGAAAAATTAATTGGATCATTTCTAACATTATGCAAGTTAATAATGTGAGTTTTAGAAATTTGAAGACAATAGCTGGAATTATTGTGACTACTCTCCATCATTTGATATTACTACTCCCATTTGTTCTTACTTTTCTCAGCTTCATATGGCCTCAGGTTTTATTCCTCAGCTTTCTTACATTCTTCCTATCTATTGCCGGTAAAATTTCAAAGTGAAATCGATCCTAGAATTTTCCCATTAATAAAAGCTCAGACTAACTATTATTTCACAGGTTTATTTCAAAAAAATGAAAGTTTGCATATTAGTCAAAATTCTTTCAGTAGCAAGCAACTGATTCCTGACTCAAACTAGGTTACATTTTAAAAAGGCATATATCAGCTATTGGTCTGTATCAAACCACATCCAAAACTCAATGGCTTAAAATAACAATAATTTATTTTCATTCAAGAATGTATGGGTCAGCTGGTCTCAGCTGAACAGCTCAGCTTTAAGCTGCAGATATAGCTGAGCTTGGCTTCTTACTGTGGGTTGGGCTTACGTCTGTTTCATGTATATAAATTACGAAGCTCAGGCTGAAAGGATAAGTAATGCTTTTCATGGTGATAAAAGAAGCAGCAGAGGACAAACCCAATGGAGCAAATATCTTTTAAACCATTGTTTACCTCACATTTGTTAACATCCTATTGTCAAAGAAATTCATAGGGATTAACTCAGCATCAAAGTAGAGGGAAAGTGTATCCCTCCCACGGAGGTGGTAGAAGGGGAAAATGTACTTTTGAGCAGCAATCTAATCTTCCACAAAGGGCGTTATATTGGTTCATGTATCAGGGCAGTTCAAGGGCAGTAAATCAGACTGTGTGCACAGCCAGATCCAGGTCAGATCATTGCCTTTCTCTTTCTCTCTTGCTCTCCCTCTGTCCATGTCCCATCTCTGACGCCTCAGTATGATGATTTTATTCTCTAGCAAGTATTCTAATATGGCTAAAAATACAACCTCTGGGAGTTTGGGGATTATTTTCTATGTGCTATTTTCCAAATGGAAAAAAAGACCTTTCCCTACCTCAGAATTCATCTATCAAACCTCAGAGAAGATTCTGATTGATGCAGCTGAAGGTCAATACCTAGTCCATATCAGTCACTAAGGTCAGAGGAATGATGTGTAGGATTAGCAAACGTAGATTAACCCATTTGTTGAGAGAATGGGGCATAAGATTTGACAGTCTCAATAAAGTCACTTGGAGTTGTGGTTGGATGGTACCATATAGGCAAATTGGGTGGGTGTTACGTGCAAAATAAGTGATTAATATTGAGTAAGCAGAAACATTAGATGCTCACTGCAGTAATAGTGTATAATTAATATGCACACATTTTACATAAAATATTAAGTAGGTGATTTCACAAAAATACATAAAATGGAATTTAGTGGAATTTACCCATTTACAAACACTCAGATTAACCCTTTATCTCTGTTTTCAGAGAGGGAAACCTTTCTCTAGGTTCAGAGCTCAAAGCTCACTTAGTTCTTATGTGAGTTTTTAAGACTCACGTAAGAACTGATTATTTCTACTTTACTTTTAGATATTCACAGAAAATAGTACCAGCCTTTTAATTAATACGTTTCCAGTAAGATTCTGATAAAAATTACTTAGTTTCCAGAGATTTTAGACATTATGTAATGTAGCACCTTCATTTAAAGAGAAGGAAACAAGGGCTTCAAGATAACAGGTCAATTTCCCAAAGTTGTAGTTACATATTGACAGGACCCCACCAGACCAGATCATGTAAGTCAAAATAAACAAGCAAAAAAGAGAATAAAAAAGAAACTAATTTGAAATTAGATTCATCCAGACCCATTACCTAAATAGATCACATTACCAGGAGATTAGGGAGCCTCCTCTGCATTCTTTGATTTATAGAAGCAAACCATCCCTTTTGTATTAGTCTATTTTCACACTGCTGATAAAGACATACTTGAGACTGGGAAGAAAAAGAGGTTTAATTGGACTTACAGTTCCACATGGCTGGGGAGGCCTGAGAACCATGGTGAGAGGTGAAAGGCACTTCTTACATGGTGGAGGCAAGAGAAAATGAGAAGGAAGCAAAAGCAAAAACCCCTGATAAAACCATCAGATCTGTGAGGCTTATTCACTATCATGAGAATAATATGGGAAAGACCGGCCCCCATGATTTAATTACCTCCCCATGGGTCCCTCCCACAACACAGGAGAATTCCGGAAGATACAATTCAAGTTGAGATTTGTGTGGGGACACAGCCAAACCATATCATTTCACCCCTGGCCCCTCCAAATCTCATGTCCTCACATTTCAAAACCAATCATGCTTTCCCGACAGTCCCCCAAAGTCTTATTTCAGCATTAACCCAAAAGTACACAGTCCAAAGCCTCATCTGAGACAAGGCAAGTCCCTTCCACCTATGAGCCTGTAAAATCAAAAGCAAGCTAGTTACTTCCTAAATACAATGGGGGTACAGGTATTGGGTAAATACAACCATTCCAAATGGGAGAAATTGGCCACAACAAAGGGGCTACAGGGCCCATGCAAGTCTGAAATCCAGTGAGGCAGTCAAATTTTTAAGCTCCAAAATAATCTCTTTTGACTCCACTTCTCACATCCAAGTCACGCTGATGCAAAAGGTGGGTCCCTATGGTCTTGGGCAGCTCTGCCCCTGTGACTTTGCAGGGTACAAACTCCCTCCTGGCTGCCTTCATGGGCTGGCATTGAGTGTCTGAGGCTTTTCCAGGTACACGGTGGAAGCTGTCAGTGGATCTACCATTCTGGGGTCTGGAGGATAGTGGCCATCTTCTCACAGCTCCACTAGACAGTGCTCCAGTAGTGACTCTGTGTGGGGGGCTCTGAACCCACATTTCCCTTCCATACTGCCCTAGCAGAGGTTCTCCATGAGGGCCCTGCCCGTGTAGCAAACTTTTGCCTGGACAACCAGGCATTTCCATATATCTTCTGAAATCTGCTTGGGGGTTCTCAAACCTAAATTCTTGATTTCTGTACACCCGCATGCTCAACACCACATGGAAGCTGCCAAGGCTTGGGGTTTCCACTCTCTGAAGCCACAGCTGGAGCTCTCTGTTGGCCCCTTTCAGCCATGGCTGGAGCAGCTGGGACACAGGACACCAAGTCCTTAGGATGCACACTGCATGGGGACCCTGGGCCCAGCCCACAAATCCACGTTTTCCTCCTGGGCCTCCAGCCCTGTGATGAGAGGGGCTGCTGTGAAAGTCTCTGACATGGCCTGGAGACATTTTCCCCATGGTGTTGGGGATTAAGATTAGGCTCCTTGCTACTTATGCAAATTTCTGCAGCTGGCTTGAATTTCTCCTCAAAAAAATGGGTTTTTATTTTGTACTGCATTGGCGAGATGCAAATTTTCTAAACGTTTATGCTGTTTCCCTTTTAAAATGGAACGATTTTAACAGCACCCAAGTCACCTTTTGAATGCTTTGCTGCTTAGAAATTTCTTTCACCAGATACCCTAAATCATCTCTCTCTCAAGTTCAAAGTTCCATAAATCACTAAGGCCGGGGCAAAATGCTGCCAGTATCTTTGCTAAAACAACAAGAATTGCCTTTGCTTTAGTTCCCAACAAGTTCTTCATCTCCATCTGAGACCACCTCAGCCTGGACCTTATTTTTCATATCGCTATCAGCATTTTTGTCAAAGCCAATCAACAATTCTCTAGGAAGTTCCAAACTTTTCCACATTTTCCTGTCTTCTTTTCAGCCCTCCAAAGTGTTCCAGCCTCTGCCTGTTACCCAGTTCCAAAGTCACTTCTACATTTTCGGGTATCTTTTCAGCAACGCCCCACTCTACTGGTACCAATTTACTGTATTAGTCCATTTTCATGCTGCTGGTAAAGATATACCCAAGACTGGGAAGAGAAACTTACAGTTCCACATAGCTTGGGAGGCCTCAGAATCATGGTGGGAGGTGAAAGACACTTCTTACATGGCAGCAGCAAGAGAAAATGAGGAAGAAGCAAAAGCAGAAATCCCTGATAAAGCCATAAGATTTTGTGAGGCTTATTCACTACCACAAGAATAGCATGGGAAAGACCAGCCCCCATAATTCAATTACCTCCCCTCCAGGTCCCTCCCACAACCACAAGGGAGTTCTGGGAGATACAATTCAAGTTGAGATTTGGGTGGGGACACAGCCAAACCATATCACCTTTCTAGACCATGTTGCAATTAGAGAAGAATGGAATGTCTGGTCATACCAATTTTCCACAATTCAGAGATTAGCAGAGATACTTTAATGCATACCCTGCTGCCCCATGCCCAGAGTTGTAAATAAGTGCCTACCCCTCAAGCTCTTCAGACTCCATCAGGCACTTCCAGGCAGAGCCATGCACATAGTTGGCATTTGAGAAAATTAACCTTAATCTTTACTTTCATGATTTAGCTTTTGTAGGATGTTTTGGGATGAATGGAAGGTATGCAAAATGGAGGATCAAAGTGAAGAATAAGTAAGTTTAGTCAAATAAGGAGTATATGTGTTTGAGTGAGAAAATCACATTGTAGCCATCACAATGGAATCTGTTTCCTCTCTGGGAGGGTAGGCATAATACCATATGTGTGGTATACGTATGCACACCTGACAACTTTTAGAGAATAAGAGGGAAAGCAAAGACTTTTAGTTCAGCTAGAGTGTTAGCTGAATTGTATTCTGTTCTTTCTCACTTTGGCCAGAGCCAATTTAAGCAGATCTTCATTTTCTTCTCATGCTCCATTTCCACCAAATGTCTTTTCAGTTCAGATAAAGCCTCTCTCAGCCAGACTTTACTTCTGTCTTGCACTGGCATAATTACAGAAAATTGCACTGTTTGCTCAATTTTTGCAAATTGAGCTAATGCAAAACTATGTAAATTATTTACCAAAAAGAGGCAAAATCAAACAAGTAAATGGGTTTGTGCTACGCATTAAGGGAGCACAGTGGCACAGCCGGCATCTTGGTTCCAGAGCCAGCTTGATGAGCTCAGCCCTGGGCCATAGAGTGGGACTGCTCTTGTTTGGCGCTGGTGAGCATTAGAAGGGGCGTTCCTTTCCTGCCACTTCGAAATCCTAATCAATTTTTTTTTCCAATTTTTGAGTCAGCTGAAGGATTTGGAGAGGTCAATATTTTGCAGTCTGATTAAGGCAAAGTTCTCCTACTACTGTTTCAATTCCTTCTCATTCTTTCCATTTCCTACTTTGTCCTGCCTTTCTCTTTTTCCTTTCCTTGTCTCCTCCTCTGTTATAAAACACTTGGCACTCTATAATAATGATTAACTAAGAGTGCAACTTTTAATTCCACAGTTTTGTTTTGATTTAATTTGTTTTTGTTGTTTTCTGAAAGATACTTGTACTTGAGTGGACTTCATTACATTTGAAATACTACTTTTCTAGTTGTGTGGTCAGTACAAACCTTAAAAGAGTCCTTGTGGCAGTGAGTGCTTCATTCACACGTAACCTCTCAAACCTACACACTACACATCCTGTTTACCTAAATCAGCACTTATTGTTTCCATAGCTGTCTTCTGTTCCTGATGACTGTTGGTCTCTCTCCCACACTTAACTTTAACAAAGGGGTGGAGATTGATGAAAGAATGAATTTGCAGCTGACATTGAAAACAGATGTTTGATCATAGATTTCACATTCATGTTGGTCCTGGGAAGAGAAGCTTGTCTTTTTATTTCAATTCAGGTTAATTCAATTTACCACATCTTTCAAATACTTCTAAATGTCATGTGAAGAAAGAAATTATATGTAAGAGAAAGAAGCCCAAACCAAATAAATATGGTGTATAGTAATAATATAATGGATCTGGGTTACATGAGGTCTAGGGGTTCAGAAAAGGAATGAGTTGGTATAGATTTATGAATTCTAGTAATTTAAAAAGCTACAATCATACAGTAGTTATTCAGCATGTACTCTGCAATGCATACAGTGGTGAAAAAGACAAACATGATCCTTTCATGAGACAAATATGGAAGAAAAATGACCTGAATTAGATTTGAATAATAGGTAAGGTTGAATAATTATACCAGAGGTTTAAGGGTATTACTAATAGGGACAATGGTATGATAAAAGATATTGGAATGTGAGGGAATTTTTCAGGGTCTCTGGGCAGGAAGATCTGTCTGGAAAAAGAAAAGTTAACTGTGTATATGTGGGTCACACACACATTCACATTCACATTCTAATTTACACACACACACATGCATTTATATAAATGTGTTTATGTGTGGGCTTCAATGTGTGAAAGGCTTAACATTTTACATAAGAAGGCCATTTATCTGTTTAATTAGTGTGCTAGGAAAACTGATCTTGAGAAATCTCCACTTGATTTTAGCGTTTTCTTTGGTGTCTGGTTGCTTATGATTTTTTCTGTTGCTACAGCATTAGAAGCTTTAAGATTCCTTTTTGAACCTTATGATCTATATGTACATTAAAATCATACAACCTAAGATTCCTTGCTATGTTTTATGGGCCAGAGATTGTTTTCCTACTCTCTCTTCTGCCTATTATGTTTGTAGAAATCAAAATAAAGGAAAGAAGTATAAGCTCTCCTAGGTTATTCATTGCATGCTATCAAGGATTTAGAATTTTGTTCTGATGTACATTGTCAATCTGAGAAGCACAGTTGAGGCAAAAAATTCAATGAATGCATTATATTTAATTCAAATTCAATTTGAAAGATCTTGTAGAAATGGTTGATCCCTTAAATAGTTACTATGATTATTTTAATAGTTGATATTTAAGATCTGATAATTTGGGATTGGTTTTAATTAGTTTAAAAGTGACATTCATGTATGGGCCATTAAGACTTTACCCCTCCAAGTATATCGTTGGAATTGCTTTACAAAATTCAGAAAATCTCCAATAAAAAAAAAACAATGATTTTGTTGAACCTGGTCATCTCAATTTCAGCATTTTCCTCTGACAGATAATCTCTTTGTTTTGATTATTATTGCTTCATTTGTGCTATTTTTATATTGATGGTCTTTCTTTAAATTCTGTCTAGGTCCTTTGCTCACCCATGATTCCTTGAGGTTTGTGTTCTCTATTTTCCTCTTCTCTCCTGAAACAATTCCTTCAAACAGTCTCATTGATTGTCACGGCTTCAATTCTCAACTCCAAGGAGATGACTCACAAATCTGACAACTTGTTTTAATCTGACTAATTCTCTGCATCCCATTTTCTCTTTCAATCTGCCTGCTAAATATTACTGTCTGGATGTCTGACCATCTACAAAACTTCAAACAAAATTTTCTTGCAAACATTTTTCTTCCTATTTTCCAACTTTTTGCTAATGAAAGCTCCACTCTTTTAGTTACCTGGATAGTCTCAGAATCATATTTGATTCTCTCTTCTTTTTTGTCAAGATAAATCAATGTTATTTAAAAATATTTCTCTTTTATAGTGTTTGTTGCTGTTGATGATGTTCACATCCAATAGATTTGATTCCCTTATTGTACTTCTACTTTAAGCCCCCAGCATCCTTTATAAAGTGATGCTACAAAGTTTGACTGATCTCTGTACTGTACTCATTGGCCATTTCACTCATGACCTTGTAAGAGATAACTCCCTTTTACATAAGACTCTACCCCAATTCTTATTCAGGCCTGATTATGCAATAGATCAAAGTGACTATGATTGTAAGAAAGTTTAGAATCACATTGGGAAACATCTTTGACAAATTTAGGGGATTTGCTTCATTTTACCTTTCTTTCAGTTTCCTGTTTAAATTTTCTCCTCCCACTTTTGAATTTTTAAATTGTATTTAATCATGTTTTTAAAGTTTCGGAAGGATTTTACAGATCCAGATACTCTAACCATCTAATGCCTTACAACAGACCACATCAAATATTGTGGCAATAAACAAAACCTGTCATTTATTATTATGTGTCATGGTTTTGGGTGGTGAATGACTGGAACCAGTTAGGTAGTTCTTTGTCAGGGTGTCTCATATAGTTGTAGTCAGACAATGGCTGGGGCTGCAGTTGTCTCCAAGTCATCCTTATCACATTTTTAGCATCTGGGCTGGGAAGATGCACATGGCTGATGGAGGAACAGCTGGAGCTCCTCAAGCATTTCTCTTTATCACTATGTGTTTTCTCCAGCATGATAGATTCAGGGTAGCTGGACTTCTTATGGGATGAATCAGGGCTCCAAAAGTGCATATATTGAGAGAAAGTCAGGCAGAATCTGTATCACCTTTTATGACCTAAACTCAGAAGTCACATAACTCAACTTCTGTACCATTCTATCAGTTGACACAGCCATAAAGGCTGACTCAATTTAAAGATGAAGCAATGTAGACACCACCTCTTGATGGCGGAGTGGCAAGGTTCTGGAAGTTCATGTGTGATGTTAATGTTGGAAAATACAATCTGCTATACTGGATTAAAGTGTAACAAATGTAAAAATTTTTTTAAAAAATAATGTATCTTGCCATCTCCAGTGTTTGTTCCTACTAACCCAGCCTGCTAAAGATTAATTTTCCTATAGCATAACACTTATCCTATAGTAATCTTCCAATCAATAGACAAACATTCTTACTTTTGTGATGTCTGAATTTGCATCTTGTGATGAAAAGGTTTCTGTGGTTAAAAATTGTTAAAGCATTTAAATAGCCTTCTACACTATAGGACTTGTACATGTGCATTGTGAATGTTCAAGAAGGACAGATATTACATAAATGATTCTCACAACAGTTTATAGAAACCTTTTGTTCAATGTCCCTATCAGCATTTTTCAGTACCTTTATTCTGTAGGATGTGCTGTGGAAAGCATTGATCTATACTACCATGTCACAGTTCTATATGTACAGAATAATGACCTAATCTGCTAGTTAAGCCACACACTTTTGAGAGACTGGAGGTAGCTATTAATGACAATAGGCATTAGCCATTCCAGACACCTCAGTGTAAGGGTCACTCTACTTAGGTGGCATTATATGCTCTCCATGCTGGTGCCTAGCTAGCTTTTTAACCTCATTCTCTTGTCCTTAGCAGCCCGTTTTTAATCTCCTGCTACTCATAGGCTTTTGGACACAGCACATACTTTTTATTCTCTGTGCCTTTGTATTTGCTTACGCCTAAAACATTTCCACTCCCATCAGGAACTTTAACAAGTTCTCCAGTGAAAGGTAGAAACCTTTCAGTGAACAGTCATACCACTTCCCCAAGGCAAACTCTGTTCCATCCTATATTACAGCCAACTATAATCTAGGCTTCCTCCTTCCTTTACATTGTGAAATGCATGTGTTTTGGGATAATTTTTTACTGTATTGAATTGCTAAGCATTAAGCTATATCATATCCAAACTAAAAGTTATGTATTTCTCCCATATTCAATACGTGCAGATATGTATTGAAATGTTAGAGCAGAAGTCATTTTTACTCTAACATAATTATTTAACAATGGTTTTATGGATCAATTATCAGCCTTTCCTAGTACTAGATGTCAAGGGAGATTTGAATGAAGATGTTTAAATCTTCGAAAGGGGTAGAGACACACACATGTGCTATGTTGAGTTTATGCAAGTGTTCAAAGCAACAAATAAGGTTAATACAAATATACTGACATTATGACAATTTGAATAAAAATCTAGACAAATATATTGGTATTATCATAGTTTTGATTTATAGGAAAGGTAAGAAGAGAAAGAGCAAATGAGAAGGGATGGACTAGAACATTTAGAAGTGTGACAAGAAGGAGAGGATGGACTTCTATTAGACAGCAGTGACATTTCCTACCTCTCCTTCATTATCTTAATTATAGTACCTTTCATAAAGACGGTTGCTTATTTTCAAGTTGGAAAAGAGGAATATTGGACTAAACAATACCCTATACTCAACCTGAACTATAAGAAAACTGAAGAATGAGAATATTTATTGCGGTCTACTTTTCCATTTTCCCACAAAGCTTTGGACAACCACTCTGTTTAGTTCACAGACGGATCACAAGTTTATCTTTACAATGTTGGGTCTATCTCTGAACCCCTGGATGTTGAAAAAGAACCCACCTTTGAAAAAGAATAATGAGAATGGGAAGATCTGAGCTGCTGGAGTGCCCAATGGCAATGATGGGAGAGGATACAGGCAAGTGATAGAATCCAGAAAAAGGACAGAAAAGAAAGACTTACATAATTAAGTTGGTTTGAAGGCGCAAAGATACTGTGGTGGTTGAGAGCCTAGATATCTGATGGAAATAAATACAAACATGGACAAAGTAAGCAGAGATGCAGGAAGCTAAAGAAATGAAGTTTACATTTTAAAAACAATATGAGAAGTTTAGTTTGAGGGAAAGAATGACCTGACTATTAGAAAGAAAGGTGAGTTTCCTTATCAGAAACATTCAGGATTAAGTGCAAAAAAGAAAAAGCTATGAGAAATATTTGTTATAGGAGTTTTTCTATAAGGGACATTGAGCAACATTGTTAATAATATATTTACCAGCTTTATTTATAGACAAAAAAGTATAAAATTAACACATGATCTGTGATTATCTTGATTGTCAGATAAAGTCAAGAGTTAAATTTCAAAGTTTCAATCTATACAGACAAATATATAGGGAATATAAACAACTTTAGTTACAAGAAAAACTATTATAGTTATTCAAATTCTCATGCACCTTTTATCCAGTCATCTGGATTCTGCTTTTAATTCAGTATTAGGCCCTCCTAGACCTGGATCCACAGTTTAATGGGGAAGCCTGGGACTCATAGTCCACAAAGTTTTTCAAATTCTGAAAGCTTGAATCCTCTGCTTGTTTCTCTTATCACTCATGGCTGCCTGTCTTAGGAAGTTAGTCAATTTCTCTATTGAAATTAGTAGTTATTTTATAATATGGTAACTATAATTAAGAATTATAAGATAACTCACATATATATCTTCAGGTGAAGACATATATCTCTCTAACCCCAAATGTGTGTCCAATAGTCTTCTCACCTGCCATCTCCTCCTAAATATTTCAAAGACATTTTAAACTCAATATGGTTAAAACTAAATTAGATAAAAATCATATGATTTCTTACCTCTCCAAATTTATGTAATCTTGAAACTAGGAGTAACTCTGACACTAAAGAGGTATGTTTGATACCCATATCATTAAATATTCTTTTATCCCCCTTATTTCTCTTCATACACCTACCACTTTTGTCCAGATCTTTTTTTTTTTTTTTTGGTCTAAGACTTTTATATTAGCCACTTTACTGTTCTACCTGTGTTTTTCTCTTTTCCACCTTGACTTCTCCATATACTAGACAATCGTATTTTCAAAAGGAAAATTTGTATCATATTCTCTTTATGTTTAAAATCACTCTAATCTCATTGTTTTTAAACTCTATGTGGCATCTTGCAACTTGGCCTTCAAGGCCTGGTATGACGGTATCAACTTTAGGAGTTCCTCTTCAGCTTTATTGAACAGTTGAATCTATCCCACTTTTTCTGTTTCGGAGTCTGTAGTCTTCTCCTGCTCCTTTAAAGCTCCATGCCTAAACCTCCCTTGTATCTCAATGTTGGCACATCTTATACCACCAACATGAAATGTTTTTCTCTGTCATCAGTCATTATCTTCATAACTGTTCAATTGCCATTTCTTCGGAAAAGTGTCTCTAACTTTCCTGATTGCGATCAGACAAATACTCCTACAACTCATGAAATCAAGCACTTCAACTTTAGAGTATTATCAATGTTACAGTTTTACATCGGTTTGTGTGGTTGACAACATTTGTCTATTTTACTGGCATAAACATTCTATAAGATCAAGGACTCTGTTTGCTTTTGTTCATCATTGTATTCCCACTACCTCAGACTGTACTTGGCATATATTAAGCATTTTGTGAAGACTTGTTACTTGGATAATTGTATTAATCAGTGAATTAAAAGGTACATCATAGCCCAGATAAACACAAGTATCGTATCTTTTTGCCCTTACTAGAAATATGGTGAGAGGTCAGTCAATATGCATGATATTAATATAAAAAGTAATTAATTGTTGAGGTTCTTTTTCAGTAAACTTCAAAGGAATGCATTATTCCAATGAGGATCTTCTGGATGGCCAAAGTTGATATGCAATTAAGGGGGTCAGACTATTTTCAAGTTATGCTATAAAAACTTAGAGTGAGGGAGCAATAGAAGAAAGAAATACAGCAGGCCAGAGCCAGTTGGCAGTAATGAGGAAAAGAGTGATTGCCAACAACTGCACTTTTCAGGGAGACAAAAATGTGATCAAAACCATTAAAACCTCAGGGATCAAGTCAGTGTACTTGCCAGCCAGCAATCAAATCTTCATCCAATGTACCAGAAAAACCACTGGCAAGATACCAGGGCCAATTTGTATTTGGTTATGAAGTGTCTTCATTGTCATCAACCTTAGGAGTGTAATGTTTCACCTGCCAATAGTCCTAAAAAAGTTGTTCAACAGAACATCCAAACAAAAGCCCCTGCCATCAGTCCTGAGACAGATAATGCAAACACAGATTAGAAACTCCAGAACACATATATCACTGAACTCTCTTGAGTCCCAGTTTTGTGTTAGGCACTGAACTATTTTCTGGGGTGTGTTTGTTTGTTGGGAGGAGGGGGCAGTTGAAGGAGGGGGAATTAAAGTCCTTGTCTTTAAAGAGCTTTTTTAATCTTAGCATTAAACAGTCTCGGCTTCCTTCTGCAATCTGAAGTTGACTAAGAAACTTATAAAGGGTTTACTGTGCCCCATGCATTGTTGTAAGTGTTTCATGTAAATTACTTAAGTTAACCGTCATGACAAATCCATATGATAGATATTACTGTCTCCTTTGAGAAAATTAGGAAACAGAGGCATTGGGAGGTTACAAAATTTGTGTGAGGTAGGAATTGAACACAATCTGTGTTACTGCAAAACCTGTGTGTCAGTCACTGCAGGATTTAGCCTCCAACCTCTTTGCCAACTCCAAATATAAGCTATACTGTATATTTGGTGGAAACCTTGGGGAACATAATCTAAAAATAGTGGTTCTGACATATCATGTGATGCCTTACATTTATGTATTAATTCAATGGTATGCACAGAGAAAAAAAGCAAACTAAATATTTGAGTCTCATAAGATTTATCTCTGTTGATTTTCATAAACACAAGTAAAACAGATGCAAACACCTTAGCTATCTATATTATTTTGCTCATGGAGGAATCTTAAGTGAAATTATTCACAATTACCTTAGTTGGCCTTGTTACTTGGCAAGCATGCATGCAATCTCAGTTTGTCTCTGAAGCAGAAATCAAACTACAGTGTAGTTAAAAAGCCATGACTACTTTCTACCAGGTTCATCTCTTTTGGACTATTTTGGTTTGAAAATAAAAGGTGGCATGTGCCTCCTTGTCACCAACACATAGTTATTATGGGAATGGACTAGAAACCAGCTATTATTATGTGGGATATGATAGTACAGCACTGTAGAGCTAGAGAAATAGTAATAACAAAATGACCCCATTTTAAATGATTCAGGAGATTCACCAAGAGAAGTTTGGGCACCCTATAAAATCATTATATTGTTATTTCTGGGTAAGAGTGTTAGGTACCTGAAGTCTTCGTTAGCTCACTGCCACTAGCCCCTGAATAAGAGATCTCTAGTGAAGAAATAGAAGAGACTAGAAAAGCCATACTTACTGAATTATCATCATCGTCATCATCATCATCCTGCTTGATATAATTTTTTTATCTTTTGTTAAACAAGGATCTCGTGACTCAGTGAAGTGAGCTATAAGTTGTATATTAACTATGGGACCTGAGTGTCCATTTGCTATAATCTTCACACCCAGGGGAGTCTTTTAACTTCTTTGGTTGTCTTCATCAATGGTATTCATCACCTCATAAGCCTTACATGCTTACTTAAATAGTTTGAATGATGAGTGATAGTGAGTCAACAATAACTTTACTTAGTGGCTTCAGGAGTGAATTTAAAAAAACATTATTATCTCTCTCCACTCACTTTAGCTACCCCATTTTTTTAATGGCACATAGCCCACAGTGCATTTTTCTTTGAGAAGCAGAATACCCATGATTTATAATGATATCTGTATAAGGAAGATTTAAGTCAGCATGTGTCCTCTGCAGTGTTGCATTTCATACATTATTTTTCAGTTTTGATTTTTGTTTTATTTTTTGGCAGACGATTAAAGGAACATCAGACATCTGTAAGACAATAGATATTGTGTGTTGGGGGGGATGGGGTAGTGAAAGGGCTTCCAGTGTCCCTGAAATCACACAGCAGAGAGACCCACTTATCTGCCAATGACTGACTAGCTGGCACTGTAGAGGGGGGACAGGCAGAGACAGATAAAGTGGCTCTCACTCGAAGCACTTGTACCTAAGCCTCCAAATGGCACCCACAACATCCTTTCCATGCAGCAGGCTCCCTTGACATTAGAGAAAATATCACCGATACCAGCTTGCCATATGGGCATCTACAGGCAGGGCATCTGCTGTGTGCTGTGGCGGCACTTGGTGGAGACAAGAAAGGTTTAACATTTTTCATTAGTGTATGCCATAGACAGTTGAACTCCATTATAATGTCTGCAGGAAGAATCTGATCCATTCCATTATCACAGTGACAAAGAGAAAGGATGGCTTATGACTCCAGAAAGGTCAGAGAGAACTAGTATTCAGCTGTAAGCACTCAAGGTATGATGATAATAATGGGAGAAAGGCTTTAAAAGATGAAGTTTACAGTCAGATAAAAATTAACATTTAAAAAGAAAGCCTGATCTATGAGATATCCCTATTCCTCTCTATTTCTTTCTCCTAGAAATTGCTGGTTGTTGGTGTATTTATATAAAAATATGTTCTTTGTCCTTCAAAAATCCATATCTGCTCTCTGATTCTTTCCACACTGAAGTATTAGAAGGAGATGCCTGTTGCTATGGGAGTGATTTCGATGTCACGAATGGAAGATAATTGTTTCATTGTGTGATTAAACAAAGGAAGGAAATGAATTGGGAAGGGAAAGCAGGTGGCTTATCTGTGTTTCTGGCTATAGGTAGCTAATTATTAATCTTTTGACAATCCTGGGAATAACATTAATCATAAGAAACCTCCTGGGGTACAGAAGTGAATGGGGTGTGATATGTACTTGAACCAGAATTCACATTTTACAGTGACATGTCTAAAATAGTGACTAAAAATTACTTACTTGTTTCAGAACATTACCTGCATGACTAACAATAAATTCGGACAACTGGTTGCTCCCTCCTGAAAACGTCTCTGATTAATAAAAACTTCTGTGATATATGTTTACCGTCACTCATCCACTTCTTTTTTTTTTTGACAAAAAGGGGTAAAAGGGTAATCTGAATTCATAACGTACTTCCCCCGTCACTACATGGGCTGAAGGAATAAGTGTCAGAATTACTTAGACAAATTTTTCCCCCTCTCTTCACTTGATGCCCTCACCCTAATCTCAGGATACCTCTTTTCACCTTTTTAACTTAATAGTCAGGAGATAACTATGTGAAGTGAATCTAGTGTTAGGTGTTTGAGACTGCAGCTTTAAGATGGCTCAATCAAGTCTATGTACACTGCAGCTTCCACCTAATCAAAGTAAACAAAAACATGTTAGCACTGTTTGTTGCAATCAAATTAAGTCTTAAAATGAAGATCTCACTCTAAATATCATCCTCATTATTTCATCCTAAATTGAACTTTCAGTATCAACCCTGATGTTACCAGCCTTTCTGGCCAGTAGCCACTTTATCTGAGATCAACATGACCAAGGGTGCTATGCTGAACCTGATAGGCATACAACTCTGTATCCCTTTGACTTTTGTCCCCTGTACTCAATAAATCTTTGATCTTACAATCTTCCTCCTCCACTCCTATAATCAGATGTCCATCCAGATAATATGATGCTCTTACTGCTAAGATAACTGCTCAATCCAAAAATATTAGTCCTTATTGCTCTAGAGCAATATTTAATACTATGGACCAATATCTTCTTTTCCATTTTTTTCTCCCTATATTTTCATTCTCTCCTTTTACCTTTCTAGACATCTCTTGATGTATTTTCTCACCATTCGTTTATTCTAACCATACTCAAAATGTATGTAGGACTTTAAGTTCTTCTTTTTTCTTCTGCTCTTCTCTCTACATATTTTGCAAAGAAAATGGCATTTATATGTTGCCCATCCATGGTTCCATCTACCATGTATTTCCTCAAACCATGTGGACCCTCAAATCAAAATATCAAGCTCAGACAACTTGGCTATACTCTGACTTCATATTAGCCATCACTACCTGAATATCACATAGGCAGCTCTTGTGCAATTCAACTCCAATATAAGTTCATTAATTGAATAAGATCTTGACTTTCTCCATGTACAAAGCTGTCTTACCTTAGGAATCCCATGTTTCAGTGCATGGCCAACTTATGTAATGATTTCCAAAGTCCAGTTAATTTCATATTCTGCAGGGAAAAAAAGGAAGCAAAAAAAAAGCAGACCATAACAAAAGCAGACAGCAAGAGGGCCAATTAAAAAATATATTAGTAATTACATTAAATATAAGTGGTCTAAAGTAATGGCAGAGATTGTAATATAGAATAAACAATGTAAATTAAAGTTAATGGTACCTAGTTGAAAGATACTTTAAGTAAAAGGATCTAAATAGCTTAAAAGTAAAAGGATAGAAATACACATCTCATGATAAGAGTAACCAAAGGGAATTGAAGAGGCATGGTTAATATTTTATATTTTATTTTTGAATAACATTTATATTTTATAAATATTTTATAACACATTTTCATTGGTGTTTATTTAATATTTTAAAATTTGTCTCTTCTTTCCTTTACATATGCTCTCCTGGTGCCAAGCTATTACTAACAAAGAAAAGACTGCTTCTGTAATACAACAATAAATTTATTGAACTAAAAGTTGAGACTGACATCTGGGCACATTGGGCTCCTCATGCCTCTGAATAAACAGACAAACAAATGAGTTACTATACCAGCAGAGGTAATTGATCCTGATTGTCAGAGGAAAATTGAGTTGCTATCTGTCACAAAATAAGGGTAAGGTACAGTATGTCCAGAATATAGAAGATTCTTCAGAGCATCTTTCGGTACTGTCATTTCCTGTAATTAAAAGCAATGTGTTGCGGGAAGTCAGGGACCCCAAACGGAGGGACCAGCTGAAGCCATGGCAGAAGAACGTGGATTGTGAAGATTTCATGGACATTTATTAATTCCCCATATTAATACTTTTATAATTTCCTATGCCTGTCTTTACTGCATCTCTAAACATAAATTGTGAGGATTTCATGGACACTTATCACTTCCCCAATCAATACCCTTGTGATTTCCTATGCCTGTCTTTACTTTAATCTCTTAATCCTGTCAGCTGAGGAAGATGTATGTCGCCTCAGGACCATGTGATAATTGCGTTAACTGCACAAATTGTAGAGCATGTGTGTTTGAACAGTATGAAATCTGGGCACCTTGAAAAAAGAGCAGGATAACAGCAATTGTTCAGGGAATAAGAGAGATAATCTTAAACTCTGACCGCTGGTGAGCCAGGCAGAACAGAGCCATATTTCTCTTCTTTCAAAAGCAAATGGGAGAAATATCTCTGAATTCTTTTTCTCAGCAAGGAACATCCCTGGGAAAGAGAATACGCGCCTGGGGGTGGGCCTATAGATGGCCCCCTTGGGTGTGGGCATCTTTTATGGTCTGTAGACTGTAGGGGTGAAATAAACCCCAGTCTCCCATAGCACTCCCAGGCTTACTAGGAAGAAGAAATTCCCACCTAATAAATTTTGATCAGACTGGTTGCTCTCAAAACCCTGTCTCCTGATAAGATGTTATCAATGACAATGGTGCCCGAAACTTCATTAGCAATTTTAATTTCACCCTGGTCCTGTGGTCCTGTGATCTTGCCCTGCCTCCATTTGCCTTGTGATATTCTGTTACCTTGTGAAGTACGTGATCTCTGTGACCCACACCTATTCATACACTCCCTCCCCTTTTGAAAGTCCCTAATAAAAACTTGCTGGTTTTGCAGCTTGTGGGGCATCACGGAGCCTACTGACATGTGATGTCTCCCCTGGACGCCCAGCTTTAAAATTTCTCTCTTTTGTACTCTGTCCCTTTATTTCTCAAACTGGCCAATGCTTAAGGAAAATAGAAAAGAACCTACGTGACTATTGGGGCAGGTTCCCTGATAGCAACGGAAAACTACAGCAACACAGTTTAAGCAGAATGTATAATGGCCCAAATCTTTCAGCACTAAAGATTTGGGTAGCCCCATCAGGCAAAGAACAAGGTACAACCATATGACCTGCTGCAGAAATAAAGGCAGTAATGATAATGAACATTTCTACTTTAATTTGTTATAAATATGTGGCAGATACATTTGATCTTTGAACAAGACAGGTGTGAGCTGCACAGGTTCATTTCTATGCAGATTTTCTTCTCCCTTTGCCACCCCTGAGATAGCAAGACCAATTCTTTCTCTTTCTTCCCCTCCTAAGCCTACTCGACATGAAGATAATGAGGATGAAGACTTTTATTATTCAGTTAACAAATACTAAATATATTTTCTCTTCTTTATGACTTTATTGATAATATTTTCTTTCCTCAAGCTTACTTTTTTTTCCTGAAACAGGGTCTCATTCTGTTGCCCAGGCTGTAGTACAGAGATGCAATCACAGCTCACTTTAGCCTCAACCTTCCTGGGTTCAGGTGATCTTCTCACCTCAGCCTCCCAAGTAGCTGGGACTACAGGTGTGCACCACCACACAAGGCTAGTTTTTGTATTTTTTGTAGAGACAGAGTTTTGTCATGTTGCCCAGCTGGTCTTGAACTCCTGAGCTCAAGTGATTCCACCAGTCTGGGCCTCTCTAAGTGCTGGAATTACAGGTGTGAGCCATCGCGGCCAGCCCAGTCATACATATAACACACAAAATATGTGTTAATTGACTGTTTATGTTATTATCAAGGCTTCCAGTCAACAGTAGGTTATTAGTGGTTAAGTTTTGGGGTAGTCAAAAGTTGCACACAGATTTTCAACTTTGTGAGGGGTTAATGTGCCAAAGCTCCAAATTGTTCAGGTATCATCTGTATTTCCTCTCATATTCTCACTATCATCTAACACAAAGTGTATTAATAGCAGGTAACTTTATATCACAATATTTAAGTTACAGGATATTAAGAAGACTAGGGAAAATCACTCAAAGACTTTCCATTCTTTTTTTTTCAGAGTTAGTGGTTTTTGGTGTGCCGAGTGTAGTACTATAATTACAGGTGGAAAAAATGACTTTGTTATTATGATTATTTGTAGATTAAGCATGTCTTGAGGAGCTGTATGTGAGTGCCCAGTTGACAAGAAGTGAACTGTGATGGCCAGTTCTATGTATCAACTTGGCTAGGTTATAGTACTCAGCTATTTACACATTAAACTTGGTGTTGCTCTGAAAGTAGTTTGTAGGTATGATTAACATCTACAGTTGACTTTAAAAGAGATTATCATAGATAATCTGGGTGGGACTGATTCCATTGATTGGAAGGCCTTTGAGCAGAAGTAAAAAAAAAAAAAAAAAAGAAGAAGTTCTTCTTGTGAAATGAAGCTTCAGCTTGTGCTTCGTATTTTCCAGCTGGTCCTTCCTGATGCCCTGTCCTCTGGATTTTGACCTACCTAGCCAGCTCTCACAATGGCATAATCCAATTCTTTGCAATAAATCTCTTAAAATCCTCCTGGTTTTATTTCTCTGGGTAAACACTGACTGATACAGATGTGTACTAAAATTTTAGTGATGCTTTTTCTCTGGATGATTAAACTATCAGTATTTTTCTACTTCTTGCCCATTTTAAATAAAATTGGGGAAATAATTATTTCTTTAAAAAATGCTACCCTCTAAGTTTCTTTTGAAATTGTCTACCCAAATATTCTGTACATTTTTTTTTAACCTTTGAATTGGGTCCATGCTATTATTGCTCTTTTCACTGTGCATTGCAATTTTTTGAGTCCATTTTTCTCTCCTACTATTTTGCTTGCTCTGGTGCAAAGGTAAATCTAACACAAATACATGTGAATCAGATACTCTTTTATTAAAGTGAGGTTTTACTAATAAAATTATGATACATGGTCACCCTTCTGATACCTGAGCTCTTGTCTGCAATTGGTCATAACTTCTTATACACATCTTGCTGCCAGAGACATCAGCCCATTTCTTGAGCACAGTTTCTGTTTTTGGGGTCTTAGTGTAGAGTCTTGCATGAGATCTTATCTGATCTATTTTCTACATGACACTTTTAGGAGAAAAGCATTGAGAGATAAAAGGTGAGAGTGGGATGGGACAAACAGAGTTCAATTTTCTTATCAACCTGCTACACCCCAGTTAGTCCCAATCCAAATATTCCATCTCTCATCTGGAGTTGCTGTGTGTCAGATGTTTGATATTGAAATACCAATTATATGACCCAAGAAAATGAAGCATCTGTGGTTAAGGACAACAATTAAAGGAGGTGTTGTGAATAGTCAGCCTAACTATTATAGTGTGAAATGGAGAAAGAACAAAATCACAACACATTGATGTGAGGGGT
Organism: Homo sapiens; assembly: GCF_000001405.40. NCBI lineage: Eukaryota > Metazoa > Chordata > Mammalia > Primates > Hominidae > Homo > Homo sapiens. The sequence goes on along the minus strand of NC_000018.10, from coordinate 39,210,543 downwards.
TGTTGGCTGCATATCTCTAAGTGTAGCACTTGCCTACTCATAACCAACTTAAAAAATTGTTGCTTGTAGTATTTTGCTAAGCTAGTTTGAAATACTTAACATTCACCTACACAGGTGTGAGTGTATGCACTCATACACTCATCCACACCCACCCACCCACCCACATATATATACATATATATACATACACATATATGTCACATGTCATTTTCCAACATAAATTACTGAATATGAAGTTCTATTCATAAATTACTGAATTTGAAGTACTATCCTTCTCTTAGCTAGGTAAAAAGATCTTCCTTTTAGCCTAAGAATATTCAGGAAAAATTAAGAATAGATATAAACCTAAGTGGTTATTTAACATTAGAATTATCTGGGGAACTTTGAAAAAAATAGCTTTGCCAGAGCTGCACTTCTAAAGGTATAGCCCAGAAATGAGCATAGGCCTTTCAGATTATAAACTCGATTTCCTGTTCCTTTAATTTCTGGTGAAATTTAGGATAGCTCTGATTCCTTCATCTCTAAGTTAAGATGCTGGATTATGTTAAATACAGAAAAGAAATAGTTTTCATAAAGGTTAACTGTATGTTTTGGAGCTCCAAATAAAACAGAACAAAACCACAGAGCACGAGGAAAAAAAAAATACAGAATCTTTTCACTGATTTTAATGGGACAAAATACCTGGAAAGAAAGATTTGACAGCCTGTGTCTTAGGCAATGCACCAAAAATGAGTTCATCACTTTTTCAATAAAATCAAGGTTATTAAGATAGAAAAATTATTAATAGAGATGAAGAAGATGTAGAAATTATGGACATTTATGAACTGGGGGGTAAGGACATTTATGAACTGGAGGGTAAGGACATTTGAAGCACTTGGACTTAGGTAAAGAAAAAAAGAAGGAGACATACTATTGTTAAAGTTCTGTAGACTGCCCATGCAGATAGAGAAAATGGATGTTGCATGTTTTATAATCATCTCACATTTGTGATATAAAGTATGATTAGAGAGCATTAGTTTCTGCTTTCCTTTTTCAGCTAGTAATTGAATGTCAGACAACTGCTTATATTTTCTGTCATGATTTCATACTCTAGGAGGTAGAAGATAAATATTAGAAAATTCCCAGTGGGCCATACTAAATCCTATCATTTATGCTGCTTCTCTTCCAAACACCAAGGCTAATACTGACATGAGACATGACATATCCAAGCCCTTTTAGAATCATTATATGGTTTTCCATCATGCTTCCCCGACTGACTGTTCATCTAAACGTGATGATGTTTTCCTGTCCTAAACACCAGTCTTTCTCATTCAAATACCTTAATTCCCTTTCTTACCTCCATGAGTAAGACTTCTGGTAACAGAGTTTTGCACTAGAAGCCAGCGCCAAACACTACACCTCTCCACCAATTTGGCAGCGTGCATTTTTAGCATCCTCTAGAACTGTAGTTCTGCTATGATCATAATCTCCTGACTTGTAGTCGTAGCAATAAAGCTGAGCCTGATGGCTGGATCCCATTTCCTGTTGACATATCATCCCTAATCATGATTGTCTGCCTGCTTGTATTTGTCCATTTCCCCATATAAGTGTTCCTTTGACTTTGGGGTAACATCTCTTGCTCAATATGTGACTTCCCTTTTACTTTCCATCTTCAGCCTAGTAGTTATTTAATCTAGGTGGTGAAATGTGCTGTGATGGTCTCTGTTTGTACCTTAAAAACTCATCAGTCTTTTTTTCCTATCCATGTCTCCTAGGGGTACAAGCAATTTTCCAGTCTTGACCCTTTATCTGTTGACCAAGCTAAGGCAGAAACCAGCTAAATTCTGGATTTAATCTTGAGCAGCAAAAAAGATCAGCTTTTGAAGTGGATCTGCTTTTATTCTTGGCAAAAGTTCAGCGGAGACCAACCAGAGTGGTGACAAAGTTCTTCAACATCAAGCCAAATGTAATACAAGGAATTACGGATAGTGCTTAATCTAAAATAAAGAAATTCCACATCTCCCTAAAAAGTTATTGGCTTCAAGAATGAAAACAAAAGAAGCATATTTGTCTCAATCCAAACACAGACACCAGAAAGACAAACCAGGAGTATACAGCAAAGTAGCTTGCAGGATAATACATTGAAAAATGTAATTGTGCATAAATCATGCACAAAGTAGAAACCACAAATTCTGTATTTGGCAAGGCTTCGGTTCCTTTGCATAATTCTTTCATTTTCATCTTGCTGCTTCCATTCTCTTTTCATCAAAAAAAGCTACATAAAACAAAGACATAAACTGTATGCAATTAAAATGAGAAAATAGCTGAAAGGAATGTATTGATAATTATGTTAAAATCTATACCATAAGTATTCTTGCATTGTTAAGCATCTAATTTTTCATGTGTTGACATCAGCATCTCAGTTCTCTCTAACATCTGAAAGCTTTTTTTTTTAAGGCAACTTCTTTTAGAGTGAACAAACTTATGTACCACCGAGTTGACAAAAGTATAACTATATCCTACAGAAAGAGACCTCAAGTAAACCTCCAGCAGCCATCTGGACTTCCATGAAAACAGAACAATCAGTGAGATGCAGAGCTTGGAGGAGACAGTTTCCATAGACTGAAGCACGTGCTGAAGCAAAGTTCACACTTGCAGGATTAGAAGAGGTTGACCGAAAGAAGGAAGGACATGGACAGCTATGTTGTTGTGGAGTCCTGTTTTATAGTCATAACCTTGAGTCAAGTGAGTTTGTCTGGACAGACAGAGCTTGTTGCCTTTACTTATAGGGAAGGCACCGGACACAGACAGCCTCAAGGACATTTGTTCTAGCCTTTCAGTATCCTTTCTCTTAATTATCTCACCTCATCCATGAAGCTGGTATGTACGATTTTTCCTTTCTTTCTCAATCCTTTAAAAAATTAAAGCTCTAAATCTCATTTCCACTTAGATTTTAATGTTGCATTGTAACTTAAGATAAAACCTTGCTCTGATGTTAAAAATACTAAAGTAAGAAGCAATATGGCATAGTGCTTATGAGCAGGACTACATAGTTCTTTCTGAATACAAATCTCAGATAAAACACTATCTCAGTGATCAACCAGGTTAAGCAACCTTTTTAGTGCCTCAATTATTCCATTTGTAAAATTGTAATAATGATAGTACTAACCTATAAGATTGTGGTGAGGATTAAGTCAGATAATACAAAAGAAGCATTTAGAGTATTTCCTGGCATTATCTACCATTTATTGAATTTTTATGGTTAAGAAGAATAAGGAAAAGCAGAAGAAAAGGAAAAGAGAAAAAATACATAAGAAGAAGGAAGAGTGGTAAGCTCTAGTAAATTACAACAAACGGTAACGTAGAAAACATTTGTTAGCCCTTAATATAGGCCAGGCACTGTGTTCAATGCTTAAACCTCATTACTGTTCTTTGAAGTGGATAACATTATTCCTTCCATTTTAAAGAAAGGAATACTAAAGACAACTTTGTCAATATTATTCATGTAATAAATGACAGAATTTGACCAAGACAATAGAGAATGAACTCTTAATCACTATATTGTTTTATTTTTTGAAAATAGATTTTAAGTTCTTATTAAATGTTAATGACTCACATCAAAATAAAGCCAATCAAAATTGACAGCAATTTATTTGTATTTTCTGTTTTTTTTCCCCTCCCTCTAGTGGGATATAGTGGGAAAACATTCGAATAAGTAATTAAGATACTTGTGTTTGGGCTGGGCTCAGTGGCTCAAACCTGTAATCCCAGCACTTTGGGAGGCTGAGGTGGGTGGAACACCTGAGGTCAGGAATTCAAGACCAGCCTGGCCAACATGGTGAAACCTCGTCACTACTAAAAATACAAAAATTAGCCAGGCATGGTGGCATGTGCCTGTAATCCCAGCTATTCTGGAGGCTGAGGCAGGAGACTCGCTTGAATGCAGGAGGCAGAAGTTGCAGTGAGCTGAGATTGCGCAACTGCACTTCAGTCTGGGCAACAGAGTGAGACTCCATCTCAAAAATAAATAAATAAATAAAATTAAAAAAGAGACTTGTGTTTGTTGCTAATTTGTTAAGAGATCTGTGTGTGACATGTGAAAGTGGATTGAAAACATGTAGAACACCAAACACATGAAAGACATAACAAAATATTTTGCAGGGACTGTTGGGGAATTTGGTACACTAATGGTATCCAATCTTATTTACATTGCACAAACCTGCTGCCTGAATCTTACATGGCATAGACTTGAAAAGATAAAGCAGAGATGGAAAATCTTATATTCCAAACATTTCAGATACTATGTTCGTTCAAAGTATATGCTCTCTGCTTCTCTCCCATTAACTAGTTTTTGGCTGCTTGCATTCTTCTGTGTTTCTCAGTCAGGTGAAGCTTCCTGTTGTCTTTGCACCCAGCTATATTGTCACATTTTCTCCTGGATTAGCAACATCCAGAAGAGTACAGGCACCTAAGGAGACAAAAAATCTACTCCAAAGAGGCCCTGAGTATAATTATTGTTAAAGTTCATTACGGTGGCAATGGAGAGAAGTAGAGCATTCATAATTTGGTTAAGAAGGAACTTGAACATCAAAGCCGACTACTATGGTGCAGAGCAGTGTCAGAGCAACGTGGTTTGCTCTGCTCTGGAGTGGCTTGTGCACCAATCAACACACCCTTGTGTAAGCAACGCATATAGCATATCCAGGGCAGAAAGCAGCAATTAGATCAAGGTTTGGCCCCACAGGGAGCTGAGTCACAGAGTCAGAATTGAATCAGAATTGGTGAAACTAGGAAGTAGACACAGTTTTTACAACTCATCATCTCCCCGTTTTTGTTTCTCTACTTACTTTTCCCCACGTTCCTGAAACTAATGTCTCACATTGACCTCACAATCCACAGTCCTCCACTGAGTCTGGTTTCACAACCTTAGACCAGTAGCTCATTTGGCCTTTGTTGTTTAATTTGCTTTGTGTCATGTACTGTCCTTAAAGGCAGCAGGGCCCTCCCCCAATCAGAAGAGGTGGCCTTCACCTCTTATGCTCCTGAAATTGCTATTTATTAAGCACTGGAAAATATGTATATTTATGGTGTTAGGATTTATTAGTGATATTTTACAAATAAGAAAACTGAGGTTCTCATTAACAAAGTGACTGGCCCTACATTACATAATCAGTAAAGTCAAAATTCAAAATCACACCTAACCAAATGCAAAATATAAGCATTTTTTTCTAACATCGTCTTTGTTTGCTGTAAATAGGCTGTGTAGACACAATAGTGCCCTCTTTCCCCAAACATTTTATGAAAAGTGCAAAGTTCACTATTCTGTAGGTGTAGATTAGTTTCTGGAATTCGGCGTTAGTATAAGAAAAAAAGGAAAAAGAGAAAAGAAAAGAAAAAAAAAAAAAGGAAGGAACCAGCATGGAAAACAACCTATTCTCATATTTTAAGTAACAGGCTTTGATGTTTCCGATTATTTTTGTTTTGTTTTGTTTTGTTTTGTTTTGTTTTGTTTTGTTTTGTTTTGAAAGTCATAACCTCTTCACTGAGACATACTATTTATTTGCAGTGACGCAAGCCAGCAAATCTCTGTTCTATACATCCTAAAAGCATGAGTTAATTTGGCAAAAGACTCATGCAAGTGTTCTGCCCTTTCCTGCTCCTGGTGTTTTATTTCTGCTGTCATGTTCCTGCTTTTCCCCCAAATTTTCTAAAATGCTGTTTCAAACCCCTCCTATGACTCTGCAAATAAGTATCATTTAAAACCTCTAACTGATTAATCAATTCATTTTTTATATCAGGAATGGGTTTGGGACAAAAATGTTTCCATCAAAAGAAGTTGCTTGCTTCTGCCTTTTCCCTTCTTGAAGGTGTGTGTGGTGATGGTGTATTCTGGAGCCTTGAGATGGCATTGAAACTGATAGAGGGTCACACAAGACTTGGGTACAGAGTACAGTGGAGGTAAGTACCTTGCTTTATTGTGTCAGCATTGCAAACAAAGAAGGGAATTATCTTATGTTCTACCAAACTTGACCTTCTTGAGGAAGTAACTTTTAGAGGAAATAAAGAACTTTAGAAGTTTTGTAGCATTTTTTATTGAAAAAAATTCCATTTTAATACTGAAAAAATTCCTCTGCAATCAAATGGAAGATTCTTTAAAGGATGTTTATGCTAGGGGTTTTATTGTGCTAGCAAAATAGTTTCTCTTTTATGGCTTATCGCAGCAGAACAAGGAAAACCCTTCCTAGCAAAATGCTTCCACATGCCAAATGACAGAGTCTAAGGAGCTTTCAGGAAACCAAGAAATCTGATCGCTCCTGGGGGTGTTTTAATACTTTAAATACAGAAATCATTTAAGCTTTGCTTTCTCACTACTGATGCTCTACTAGAATGAGAGCTCAAAGTGTATTTTGATGGTCATTATTTTTCTCAGCCCATATTAGCACTCAAAGAATTTTTGCTAATAAGCACTATCTCAATAAATATTTATAAACACTTCTTTTGTACAAAGCTCTTAGCAGGATATTAGGAGAATACATAAATGTAAGCACATTTGCCTTTTAGAATGGCAAAGATCAACAAGGTATAAATAATACTGTTTTTAAAATGGAAGCAATAAGGAGAGTGTCCAGAAATTGGCCCAGGGAAGACACGCTATGAGAGTGCAACCCAGGGTGTGCACACATAGCCCATCTCCCAAATGGGAACCTCATAGCAGAGAAACCTGATGCATTTGGAATCATGAGCATTTGGAATAGTCTCATTTGGACCATGCAACATAAGAGAATGGCTGCAGGGACCTTTTTTTTTTGTTAAACATTATGTCCATGCTCCCTATTCTAAGAGATGAAGTGGTTTGCCCAAGCTCCCAAGCAGGATTAGAGATCATGTCTTCTGACTCTGAGGGCCATGCTTTTTGTGGGTCTTCCATTTTTCCTCTTGTTCACATTGCCAGCAATATGTAAGGAAGATTTTGGCTGATCCTCAGCGTGGAGAATAGCACAAGTCTAAGCTTCAAAGTCAGTGAACTTGAGTTGGATTTTAGCTCTGAATTGGAACCACTGTGGTAACGTGCAAGTTGAAAGGAAATGAGAGCACTCCTCTTACCAGGGACTAGATAGAGAGCACAATGAAACATGTAGAACAATCCTTGGCATAGACTTACTATTCATATCTATTTTTTATTGTTGTTATGTGAGCTAAACCATACTTACCTGTTTTAATGGGATGCTTTTGTTTAGGTATATAGGGGTGGGAGACTACCTTTTGTCTCAAAAGTATCAGTTCTCTCAGGGCTCAAGAAAAGAGTAAACATAAAGTGTTTAAAGGATATTGAGATTGTTTATTAATAATTATAATAATAATACATTATTATTTATACAATATATACTTGAGAAATACCTACTTTGTGTCATGTATTGGGGCAATAGGAGAGAATAAGATAACAAGGTCTTTATACTAACTGCTAAAAAGTGATGCTAGAATTAATAAATGAGTATGATAAGAGAAACCCCTGGACTCTGTAAATACATAAAAGGGGAAGCTATCCCAGATATGGAGTAAAGTGGGGCAATTGGAAATGTTTTTCTGGAAAAGAATCTTTAATCTGAAACCTGAAGTAGCCAAAGCAGAGGAGATGGAAAGGCAGAGAATGCTCCAGTCAGTAGAAACTCTAGGCATAAATGCTCAGAGGACAAAGAGGGGCACGAACATGAAGAGGAAGAAGATGCTCTGTGGCCTGCACACAGATCAGGCGCTACCATTCTGCCCGCGGAATCTCTATTCTAGGTGTTTCCATGCCAAAATCAAAGTCTGACTTCAGTAGAAGAGGTCAGAAGCCAAGACTCGACTATCTCCGTGCCACTTGCTCTTAAACACATACATTGTATTTTAGTTCAGTGATGTACAGTTCCACTTGCTGCCCCCTCAAGCTGAATGGAGCCAAAGGTTTGTGTCTGGAAACCCCTGGAGGGGGTCTCTATTTATTACTCTCAGCTTCCACTACTTGCACCAGTCGTTCTGCTAAAGGTTAGCTTTCGTATTTGACCTTTTGCCTCCCATCCAAAACCATGTGGCTTGACTTTACTTTTTAATGTGTTTCCCAGAAGAGAAAGTGGTTATCTTTACCAACTGTCATTCAAACATGAGGAACAAGGGTACTTTTAAACAACAGGATACAATGTGATTGCAGTGGTACAACATGTACCAGCCAGAGATATGATCCCCTCACTGATGACTAGCAATGTTGGTCTCACACCCAATCTCCAGAATGCCTCCATCAAAGGGAAATCAGAAAATGTCTTGATGAGGAAAGAACCAGCTCCAGTCAGGATTATCTTCTGCACAACTAAGGACTGTCCCTCAAAATGTTTCCTTTTTCACCTGAGCAGTCCAACACCGGGAAGCAAAAGAGGAAAAGATGGAGAAGATTATTTCTGCTGGCCTCCAGGAAGCAGGGTGAGTTGTAATCTTCCTTTGTTAGCATCACAGAGAAGTAGAGGTAGATACAAGTGGTTGAGATAATGTGTGTCATATCAGAATACACCATCGAAGGAATTACTACATCATGCTTCTCTATCTCCTGTTCAATGGGTAGGACCCTGACCCTACACTGAACCCATGTCATTGATTCTTTGGTAGAATGGAGTCTACTTTGATGGTTACAGAGTTTTATCAGTGGAGGCAAAGAGTGGGGAGGTCAACTACCCTAGCATTCAAAAGGGCTAGCCATAAAGTCTATGCATAAGGGTGTGTATGAGAATGTATGTGTGAAATGTTTGATATAAACCTTATGAATAACAATAGGAATCTTTAGAAAAATCCTGCATATGCAAAAATTGCATAGCCTATGTCTGTGTTGATCAGCATCATGACCAAGAGATTAAATGGTACTCTTGGTACAATACATCTTAACTCTATCACAGTGAAGATGCATTATGTGTGCCCCAACTCAAGCAGCAGAACACATGCGGGGTATTTCCCTGTGACATCCATATCCAGATTAGGATAATGTACATAGGAGGAAAGAAAGAAAACAAATAACAATCATTGTACTAGTACGAAAAAACAGCAACAAAAACAACAAAGAAGGCCCTGAAGTCAACGACACAAAAACCAAATCAAAATCTACCTAACTCGCCAACTCTGTTTTCTTTATCTGTGTGATTAATTTTCTCCATGTGCATTGTGTGGTTAGCTTTATCCACAGTAGCTACATTCATGTTTAAAATAATGGCAGTATTTAAGGACAAAAAAATACACACTGATTATCGCATTCCCCTTCATAAAGGTTACTTACTGAGTGGAGCGGCACGTAGACCTGTAGACCCATTTTATGTGGCAAACCTTAATTATTCTACTCCCTCACAAGATACCACTCGTACTTAAAGCATATTATTTTAGAATAAAGGTTTCACTTTGCCTAAGCATTAAGACTTAAAAGAAACATTTAACTTTGACATTTCATTTATAGGCATTTTAATTATCTGGATGGTTTCCTTTAAATGCTAGATGTAGGCAGAGAAATTTTGTACTTATATAGAAGAAAGTGCTTCCAGGACTCCCTAATTTTCATGTGTTATGAATTTTAATGCCTTATGTGGGTCAGGTTTTCATAGCCATGAAGAGGGAATACATTGACCTTAAAACTATTGTACAGTTGTAACAGTATTTTTAGTCTGTGTTTGTTATGGGCAGACAGGAAATATATTTTGTTTATGTTTTCTTTTTCAAAAGTTCTTGCAGCAGAAGTAAGAGAGCCCCAGGCATCTAAGAAAGGTCTCGCATTTTTGCTATTTTCTTTCTTTCTTTATTTATTTATTTGATGATGAGGTAGCAACGAGACAGACTGGATCTGCATGGCTTAAAATCAATGGAGTACTGCCTAGCAAGTAAGGGTGGCTAGGCTGGCAGTGGCCCCTCCCTGAAGAAAGGACTCTGGTGCAATGCACATAAAATTGGTTATCTGTGACCTTCACTTTTCCAGTCTCTGACCCCACCCCTCCAAGATAGTTTCTCTCAGGTGTCCAGAGTCCCTGTTGCTCCTCGACACTCAGGATTTTTACTTGGCTGCCCTACCCAAGCCTTTCCTCCAAGGGTGACAATCCTGGCTACGCGTTTCTTGTGTCTTCTCCTACCTTATCAAAACTTAACCATCCTCTCTACTGTTATCTTTCTAAAGTCTTGACCAGTGATATAGCCGATAGAATTAGAATAAGCTGATTAGGCATATATACTATCTCAACTCCTGTGTCAGTTATTGCAGATACGGACAAGTGAATTTATGGATGGATGAAAAGAAAGATGCCGGAATATTGTTTCATTTGTCATTATTTCCAGACAATACATGCCCTTCAAGTTTGGGTACCTGGAGGCACAACAGTTCAGCTATAGCAAGTGATTCACCAATGGTGTATTTTCCAGCTTGTAGCAAGGATATATAGGGCATCATCTGTGCAGGTAATCAAATGTTCTTAAAATAATAGCCTGGCCTGGCTACAGTCATGTTGACAAAGTGACAATTTTGGTTATTAAGACAATGGAAGCCAAATTTGTGATTGTGCACAACTAGCTTAAAAAATGGGCAATCAGGAATTTTTAGTATGAAAATAAAAATATTTTCCTTTCTTTACTCCCAGAATGCATATATCCTGTACCATACAATTTAGTTCATGGTAAACACCTGAGATTTATTATTCTCCAACAATTTGGGCATGTAAATATTGTCTCTTCCACGTGATCTCTTAAATTGCATCTTTTGTATCCCCAAAGTATCCAGGACAGGGCTGAGCATGTGACAAACCATTAATAAATACTCACTATAAATACTGTTGGACTCCCCTTGTGTTTCAAAGTCCCTGTGTGTCATGTAGGCCACTGCCAACAAGCCTACCATGGCCCTGCAACCGCACATTTGCATCATCCCAGGGAATCCATCTAAATGAAGTCTTCTGCATCTTAAAATAAAACTGTGCCAGATTCTTTTATGATGAAGTTAAACCACAACCCACAAACTTTAGTAAAATGGAAGATTTTCAAGGTCAGAAAAATCTAGGAAGGCTCTGTACCCCACCTCCTGAACCCCCTCCTTGGACCTGGAATGGCCATCTGTTGCTCTGGCAGATTTACAGTTCACTCACACTGTGAGTGATAGGAGGAGGAAGTGAGCAGAGCTAATCAGAGCTAAGTAGTTAACGAGCAGAGGGCTAACGAGCTGGTGAGTTAACGAGCTAAGCAGAGAGTTAATGAGCTGCTGTTTCCCACTACATGCAAGCAAATATATCTTTCAGGTGATTGTTTACCTTTAGCATTCTTAGCAGATGTCCATAATGACATAGCTATGTCTTTGACGGTTCCCCAAACGTCTCAGTTTAAAGCAAATTCAGCCATACCTTCAGCCTAGTCTTATGCACCTTCCATGCCACCTGTGTGACCTTGAAATAAAGCCACCTTACTTTTTGACTCAGGTTGATGACCATTCCATCATGGGTTTTTTGCATAAATATTATGGTCATTTACATAAAATTAATGACCATTATCTACAGGGCACCTATTCTGTACTAATTAATAGGTATAGTACTAATGAAGTAGGAGAATAACAAAATTTAAAACATTAGTTTCCATCCCTCAAGAACAGGCCGTCTAATTGGGAAGAGACCTGAAGGACAGTTGAACAAATAGAGTACTGGGTATAGGTGATGATTGTTACTAGGAATTCACAGAGATCACAATGTACGGGGGAGCCCAGAGAGGGCCTGAGGGGTCAGGGAAGGCTGTGCTTTATCTGGGCCTTGAGTCCGAGGTCAAGTGATACATTCTAGAGATGATATTCTAGAAGAGAGAAAGGGTAAAATCATGGCCTGAGTCGAAAGTGGCTAATTATTGCAACAATTACCCCAAATGTAATTTTGCATTAATTAACTGTGAAGTGCTCCTACTGCCACCTGTGTCTGAGTCAGCTTGGCAGAACTGCTAGCAGAGGGGAGCTCACCCGAGGCTGTGGGAGAGCAGGCCAGGTTAGATGAGGGCTCAATGACTCACCCTGCTATGAGTGTGGAAAAACATGTACAGTATGGATTAGTGCATTTTAACTTTCTACTGTGATTGAAATGGCGATTCAAGGTCTTCCTCAGTTATGTGCTTGGCAAAGAAGAGCTAGGTGCAATGTTGCTTCTTATCATCTAAGTTGGTGGTTGTCAAATAGGGATAGGGATGATTTTTGCCTCCCAGGATTACATTTGAGAATATCTGGAAACATTTTTGATTGTCACAAATGAGAGTGAAGGCTGTAGCCCCCACAATGAAGACAAATCTGGCCCAGGTACTAATAGTGCCAAGGCTAGGAAACTCCACCTAAATCTACGCTTTGAAAAAGGACCATCTTTTGTTTCTCACATAGGTCTAGTCTCACAATGGTTCCTTTGTCGTTTTTAGACACTTCTTCATTTTGCTTCCTACTTCTTGTATCCTCCAAATTTGTCATCATATCCAATTTTTAACCATTTATTTAATTAATAAATATTTCTGTACTCAAAGGGTGCAAGCCTTGTGTTTGAAGTTATAGAGAGGAAAAACTATAAGTTGGTTGTGCTATTCCTAGAGCTAGAGACATAAAATCTGCACTCTCAAAGATCGAATAGCAAGAGTTAGTTACCAATGCAGATTGGCAATGCAGTTGCACACCATGATATTTATTTATATACTAAATGAATAACAAAATTGCATTTAGATGTAACAGTTCCAGATTTTTGCAAGAGACTCCTAAATAACCTTTTTGTCTTCTGATTTTTCTTCTGCACTCATTCTTCATTAAAGAAAAATTTAATTGAGCCTATTCTAAGGCAATGACTGTTCTCAACACCAAAAATAAAAGTGGTGAACAAGGAAAGCAGATGGGCTCGTAGAGTTGATCTTAAATGTTAGCAGCAAGAAACAAACAAATAAAAAATAAAGAATGTTTTTAAAATAAGTGCTAGGACAATAAACAAAGCAGAGTGAGAGGAAAGAGAAAGAGATTATGAGGTGGAGAGAGAAGACTGTTTTAGAGAGGTGGTTAGGTCAGGTCAGGGAAGCTCTCATTAAGGAGGAGATATTTCAGTAGAGACCTGACTGGGGAGAGACATATAAGCTTAAAATGATCTGAGAGAAAAGAATTCCGGTTGATAAAACCTCAAGGGTGAAGGATTAGACAGGATAACAAACAGGATTGAGGTGTTCCCCAATGGCAAGAAGGCCAGTGTGGGTGGGTAAAGGATAGGAGATGATGACGATCGAAAAGAGTGAGCAAGGTTTGCCATAGAGCAGGGGTCCACAACTCCCTGGGCCACAGACCAGTACCAATTGTCCTGTTAGGAACCGGGCCTCACAGCAAGACGTGACTGACTGCAAGTAAGCCAAGCTTCATCTGTGCTTATAGCCACTCCCCATCACTGGCATTATCAACTGAGCTCCGTCTCCTGTCAGATCATCAGCAGCTTGAGATTCTCACAGGAGGGCAAACCCTACTGTGAACTGTGCATGTGAGGGACCTAGGTTGCAGGCTCCTTATAGAATCTAATGCCTGATGATCAGTCACTGTTTTTCATTACCCCCAGATGGGATTATCTAGTTGCAGGAAAACAAGCTCAGGGATCCTGCTAATTCTATATTCTTGTGAGTTGTATACTTAGTTCATTATATATTACAAGATAATAATAATAGAAATAAAGTGCACAATTAATATAATGCACTTGAATCATCCCTAAACCCCCTCCCCACAACCACTGGTAGAAAAAATTGTCTTCCACGAAATCGGTCCCTGGTGCCAAAAAGATTGAGGACCACTGCCATAGAGGATTTTGTGAGTCAAAGAAAAAAGGTTAGATTCCATTTAAAATGGAATAGCCAGTTATTGAAGGATTTGTGCTAGAAGAGTTTCATTAAAGAATTTACATTTTAGAACACTTATTCCAGTTAATCCATGTTTAAAAATGTGTTAAAATTTAAGCGTTACCAACATGAGAGAGAATGGGGAAGAGCAAGTCTCTTGGCTGGTGAAGTACAAGATGAGATCACAAAGGTTTGTTTTTCTTTTGTTTTTTTGTTTTGTTTTGTTTTGCTTTGTTTTCAGATTTGTTAACTTTGAGAATCTTACAGCACTTTAGACTGCATGCACATGCCATTGGATTCCTCTTCCATTCCATCCTGTTGTCACTTCCCCCCACTGAAAACACATATTTTTTCGATATCATCTCATTCATTATACTTTAAAAAATTACTGTCTCCTCATTTATTGTCAACTGAATAAATTTCAAGTTATTTAGAATGGCATTATGTTACCCTATTGACTAGCTTTAGTCAACCTGACTACCTTTTTTGTGATGCTTTTTTTCATAATTATTTAATAACTCATCAAATCAAATGAATTGTAGTTGCTCATATGCAGCCTGTGACTTTTATTTGTTCATGAAGTATGTTTTTCTTGACACCTCTCTCTTCAACAATTTTTCCATTTTTTCCAACTTTGCTCAAGAATGGCCTCTGCTGGCAAGCATTACGCAAACTTTCGTTCTTCTAAATTCTCCACAGTTTTGAGTCCATGGGGCTCTTCTTACTTATTCCTTCTCCTGCACTCCAAGTCTCTTGAAGACAGAGACGATGACTGCTTTATCATCACCACTTATGGGGAGCTGGGCTTGGTGCCTAGGAAGTCTTTTTTTTTAACATAATATTTGTCAAATTACTACCTAGGAAAATCATAGAGAAAAGAGGAATTGATGTGCAGCTGAAAGATAATATAAGATCTGGATGTGTGGGGAAAAGAGGGAGACATGATTATGAGGGAAAGAAACAGAAACTTAGATTTGTGAAAGTGAGGTGTACTTGCAGAATGGCCAGGGAGAACACAGAACATTTTTAGAAAGATAGTTTTGGTTCATATTGTATAGGATATTAAACAGTAAGCTGAGGAGTATTGAATTTGTATACTCCTATTTTTCCACCTTTTTTACTTTAAAATAGACTGTCATAAAATGTCACATTGCAGCCAGATGGAAGCTGAAGCTGAGCACCTTCAAGGAGGTAAATAGATAGTTGTCATTCAAGATGGTGTCAGAGAGCATGGATCCCAAAATCTTACATACAAGAAAATTCTATAGGGCTCACAATAATCTGCAGCTAGTGAACATGACATTGTCATAGAGGAAACCCTGAATGCACTCTGGTATGCAAAGGACAGATAGAATCATGACTTGAAAATAAGAATTGGCATGTAGGCCTACATTATATGGGTATATATAGGGATGGGTTTAGAGAGCATAGCCTGGATGTGTGAATGACCAACAAAGGCTGGAGACCAACTCTCTAAATTATAATATTATTTACAACCAGCAAACACCCATCTATTCAATCATTCATTTCAAAATTATGTATTGAGTATTTCAATGTGTTAGGCACTGTTATAACCATTGGGAATATGATAGTAAAAACAAAAAATTAGAGACAAAAGTCTTTGAGCCCATGGAACTTATATTCTGGGAAAATGGCTTTGATCCAGTGAAATAATTCTGATCAATAGTCAATAAATCTCCACAGAGGTTTTCTTAGTTTGCAACTGAATACAGGCCATTGCTGGTGTCACTAGAAGCGTAGTTCAATCTCTAGGGAAAACAAAACAAAACAAAAACAAAAACAAGAAAAACCTGGATTGGAGGTTAGTCTCTACTGTGGAAAACCCCTGTAAGTGTGACTCTTAACACCTGTGGGGCATAAATATCAAGAAGTAGGAGAATGTAGTAGCAAATTAAGTATTTAGATATACACACATACTGGACCTGGGGCAGTCAGATTTATTTTATATCATACCTCCAGCTGGGAATGAATCTCCCATCTGATTAAGCATTTCTATATGGATGGAAATGAGCTGGTTGAAGACCCCTGTTTTCATGTGATAACTGGTGAAGTGGCAGTGTTGGGTGGTGGTCTTACACATGGATTTTACCAGTACCTACATCTGGTTTTAAGTACTAATTGCTTGATGTTAAACGACTTACTTAAAACCCCTATATTTTAATTATCTCTTTTGTACAATGTACTTGCTTCATAGAAGTATATGTACATGTGTATGTTTGCGTTCATACTCATGTGAAAGAGAATGACATAAGATGATTTTTTTTTAAATGTAATAGGCCAGACATTTTACTGGCCTGTAATCCCAGCACTTTGAGAGGCCAAGGCAGGTGGATCACCTGAGCTCAGGAGTTCGAGACCATCCTGGCCAACATGGTGAAACTCCCTCTCTACTGAAAATACGAAAAAATTGGCTGGACGTGGTGGCGCATGCCTGTAATCCCAGCTACTCAGGAGGCTGAGGCAGGAGAATCGCTTGAACCCGAGAGGCGGAGGTTGCAGTGAGCCGAGAGTGCACCATTGCACTACAGCCCAGGCAACAAGAGTGAAACTCCATCTCTAATAATAATAATAATAATAATAATAAAATAAAACAAAAAAGTAATAGTATGGTGTCTGACACATAGCAAAACTCAAAATTGACAGCTCTTATTCTATTTTAGTAGAGACAATTAATAACGATAGAAACAACTGTAATATAATGAGATTGGCCTTGAAGCAGTGAGAGATTTAGAAGATGAGAAAGATCTTAAGGTTAAGGGAAGTAAAAAGGGAAGTTTGGTGGATTGTGGACTGCACACAATGTAGTCTTTCCTGACTGGGGAAGTGAAGGTATATAAACCCTGTGTCATGACACAGAGTTCCATTTATATAAATATATAAAAAGACAGTCCCCTGGGAGAGTTGTGACCTGGATATTTGATTTGCATATAATCAATTAAACCAACTGCCTTCAATTTTCTCATATGTAAAATGAAGATAATATTAAAATTTCTCCCACAAGATTGTCTTGTGCATCTTTAAAACCTTGAGTGTTAAAGTGCCTATACTGATGCTTACCCTGTGATAAGTACTCAAAAATATATATTCATCTAAACCTGTTTGGAGTTGGATAAAAAGAAAGATAGTTAAGGGGAGTATCAGTTCTTGACATAAAGCAACTGTGATGGTAAATTTTATGTGTGGCCTTTGCTGGACCACAATGCCCAGGTATTCGGTCAAATGTTGTTCAAATGTTGTTCTGGATGTTTCTTGGAGGGTGTATTTTTGGATGAGATTAACATTTAAACTGGTGGACATTTAGTCAAGCTGATTGCCCTCCAGAATGTGAGTGGGCATAATGCAATCTGTTGAAGGCCTGAATAGAACAAAAGACTGACCTCCCCTGAGCAAGAAGGAATTCTGCCAGCCATACTGCCTTTGTACTGAAACTGCAATTCTTCCCTGGGTCTCCAGCCTGCCAGTTTACCCTGGAGATTTAGGGTTTACCATGCAAGCCTTCATGATGTGTGAGTCAATTCCCCAAGATAATTTATCTTTCTTATTATATATATATATATATATATATAGTCACTGTATATGTGTGTGTATGTGTGTATATATTTATATATATATTTATATATTTATATATATTTATATATATATTTATATATATTT
The DNA here is from genome assembly GCF_000001405.40 of Homo sapiens. NCBI lineage: Eukaryota > Metazoa > Chordata > Mammalia > Primates > Hominidae > Homo > Homo sapiens. The sequence continues at coordinate 39,193,026 of NC_000018.10, read as the reverse complement.
ATATATATTTATATATATTTATGTATATATTTATATATATATTTTTATATATTTATATATATTTATATATTTTTTAATATATTTATATATATATTTATATATATCTTTATATATATTTATATATTTTTATATATATTTATATATTTATATATTTTTTATATATTTATATTTATATATATTTATATATATTTATATATTTATATATATTTATATATATATTTATATATATTTATATATATTTATATATTTATATATTTATATATATATTTATATATATTTATATATATATTTATATATATTTATATATATATTTATATATATTTATATATATATTTATATATTTATATATATTTATATATATTTATATATATATTTATATATTTATATATATTTATATATATATTTATATATATTTATATATATATTTATATATTTATATATATTTATATATTTATATATATATTTATATATTTATATATATTTATATATATATTTATATATTTATACATATTTATATATATTTATATATTTATACATATTTATATATATTTATATATTTATACATATTTATATATTTATATATTTATATATATTTATATATATTTATATATATATTTTTATATATTTTTATATATATATTTTTATATATATTTATATATATATTTTTATATATATTTATATTTATATTTATATATATATTTATATATATATAAATATATATATAAATATATATATGTTGGTTCCCTTTCTCTAGAGAACCCTGAGTAATACAGTAACTTGAGTGTTATAGTCAGAGAGACAGAATTTCCAGCAGCCAGCAGATTGTCATCTTTCTTTGTAGACCTGGGAGGCAGTAATGTAGCAAAAGACTGACAAAAGCAAGAACAGATGTTGATGAGTGCTTGGATAAAGATATCTCCCTAGCTAAAGGGTTTCCCTGAAGAGACATTGGTAGATAGCAAATGACAGGGCCCTACTGGGAGAATGATTATGTATTGTTTGAAGTATGCTGAAAGTTTTTGTAACTCATAGTAAATCATTTGTTCATTCCATAGTTAAATTTTGCTTAATTAAAGTTCGTAGTTAAGAGAACTATTTCAGATATATATTTTTAATTTAAATGCTTGAATTGAGTGGAACTTAATGGCATTTTAAAACTTTTTATGGTATTTTTATTTTAAAGAATTCTAAAGTATTGCTATAGACTGAATATTTGTGCCCCCCTAACATTAATGTTGAAGCCAAAACCCCCAGTGTGATGGCATTTGGAGACAGGGGTTTGGGGAGGTAATTAGGGTTAGATGAGGTCATCAGGGTGGTGTCTTCATAAGGGATTAGTGCCCTTATAAGAAGAGACCAGAGAAGTAGCTCTCTCCCCATCTCATGATGGCACAGAAAGAAGGCAGCTCTCCTCAAGTTAGGAAGAGAGCCCTCTGCAGAAACTGACCATGCTGGAACCCTTATTTCAAACTCTTAGCCCCCAAAACTGTGAGAAAATAACTTTCCATTGTTTAAACCACCTAGTTTAGGGTATTTTGTTATGGCAGTCCAAGTCAACTAAGATAAGCATATCATCATTTTAAAAAATGACATTTTAAACTAGAGCAATGAAAAATTCCTATAAAATCATTCTTCTATCTTTTCATATTATAGTCCATGTATTTGTCTATATACATGGACATTTTTAACATAGCTGTTGATCATAAAAATGCCAACATTTGAAGTCATTATCCTTCTGATAACACTAGGTAAATCAAGTAAGTGCATGCCTTACAATTACGCAACAGTCTTTTTAAGCAGAATTTTATGAACATGTGGGACCTAATAGATATACGGTTACTTAAAAATTTAATTTATCTTAACCCAATAAAATTTTATGATCACAGATAATGATATGATGAATAATAAAAAAAACCACCATATATGCCCTGGATGGTATCATATGCTAACATTTGCATAAATGATGTATGTTAATTCCATTTACATAAATGGTTTAGATAAATTGTGACTATTACTATCATTAGGTGTATTAATAACGTGTGTCTGGTGGCAATTTTAATGGAGTCTGTTTGCAATTGGTGACCCTCAATTTCAGCCTCTTTTTACTCTTCCTTCAAAGCAGGATTAAGTGTCTATCTACCCTTAGAACAGAATGAAACTGACACTGACTTTCAAAACCCTTTTCAAAAAATGTAGTCATTAGAAGCTCCTCTTTTATGATAGGGACATAGAATTGGAAAATGTAACAACTTGCTGCCCACAGGTTTTAGGGAAGTGAGCCCTGGGCATGGCTCACAGGAAGTCATTGTGAACCAGCAGAGCCAGATAGTCTTGCCTGAAAGGTCACTAATCCCATGACCAGTCAAGACTATTCCGCCAGGTGTATGCTGCAAGTATGCTGCAACTAGATATGGGCTGGTCTCTCATTTAGCTCGACTGAGGTCTTGGTCAGGCTGCTAGTTCTACCCTTGGCTTTGATCTGAAGTCATCGATTCCCTGTCATTTCACATTTGCATAATGAGTGAAATACTCATTAGTAATAAACTTGAGAATGTGAAACAAACACAGTTGCACAGGGAGCATTCACACCTTGTGGATATAACATCTTAGTGTTAAAAGGGTTAGGGCTTGGTGTTTGTGAGAGGATCTAGGAAGGAAGGGGTTTGAGGTAGAAATTTGTCATCAAATCAAAGTGCTAGAACAGAGTCTCTCTCTCCCTCTCTCTTTCTCTCTCTCCCTCTCTCTCCCCACCACCCGTGTGTGTGTGTGTGTGTGTGTGTGTGTGTGTGTGTGTGTGAGAGAGAGAGAGAGAGAGAGAGAGAGATTAGAGAGTAGAGAGGGTCTTTTTTATTTAGTCTATTTCTCTGTTTCTGGCTAGGAAGACAATAGCAAATTATGAATAGTAAATATTTATTTCATTTGTGTTGCCTTCCAAGAAAGATATCAGTCTCTCCATATGATACTTAAATAACAATCACCCCTCAACTGCCCCACATGCATTTTGACACTTGTTTACAATGATTAAGACCCTTGACTATATAGCTGTGTTTTCTAACTTTATCATGAAGCTACACAGTGTTGGAAGATAGCTGGAAACCCAAACTAGATGTTTTTGGGGAAGCATCTTCTATATATCCAGAAGAGTGTGAAATATTTTCTATTCTATCTCTTACCTTTTCTGTATTTTTCTTAACTTCTAGTTATAAAATAATTAATAGAGGGTGCCCTCTGAATCTTCAGCCCTTGGTATATCCTTGGTCTTTGAAACTTGGTCAAGTGTAAAAGAAGACACATAAAAGAAGCAGTCAAAATATGGTTCCTGCAAGATAGGAAAAGCCATATTATATATGATTGTAATTATTATACATACATATATGCTTTTGTGTGTGGGGGGGTACACACACACACACACACACACATCTATAAAATGGGAAAAAAAATAGTGCCTGGTGTGCCTACATTACATTTTGGTTAAAAAAAATCAAATAGAAGGATGTGTGGGAAAGTTTTAAAAGCTCTGAGACACTATAGAAATGCAAGGGACTATTATTTACACTAGAATATATATATATATACACACACATACATACACACACGAGCATATAGTATGTATAATAATTATGGAACCAAACAAAGTACAACTTGTTCTTGCCTTATGCAACAGGAGATATTACAGAATTATGCTAGAAAAAGTTGGTAATTATATAGTATAGTCTATAAATGCAAGAAGGAGTAGGGGAATGAATATAATATAGGGAGGGGTGCTGCAGTTTAAACATGCTTTCATTTATTCTAAAATTAACTCTAGTGTAAATAATAGTCCCTTGCATCTCTACAGTGTTTCAGGACTTTTAAAAGCTTTCTCACACATCCTTCTACTTGATTTTTTTAAACCAAAATGTAATGTAGGCACAGCAGGCATTATTTTTCCCCATTTTATAGATGAGCGCATTGATTCCCAGAACCGTTTAGTGATCTGTACAAGGTAAATGGCTAAGACAGGAAAGAGCTACCTCCCTGCAAGCCAGTATCAGTATTTATTCAACTGTTCTGTGTATTCCAGTTGGAAATAACCAAACCTGTCTGACTCCCTCGCAAAATTTGGTCATTAGGAAGAGATTAGCTTTGGTGGTTTGTATTAAAGTATGGAATTTGAATAGTTAGGTTGTACACTAGATTTAATAATTCTTCAATTGTGGAGATATGGACCTTTTGAGGATCATGTGATATTTATTTATCTCACAGGTCCACCAGTAAAAAGCTAAAGAAAGGAAACCCCTTTTAAAAAATTAAAGAATATGATAAAGGTAATAAATATTATGTATGTGGAGAACACAAACATATATACGTGTACACTACCAGTTTATGAAAGCTGGTACTTTCTCCCTCAGCATATGCTGTTCTCCCAGCTCTCAGCTGAATGCCTTATTTTTAAAGGTTTCAGAATAATTGCTGAGGCTTTCTCCCAACTTGAAGGATACAGTTGGCAGCACTTGTTGGAACACCTGTTCAGAGCACATCCAGGTTCTAAGAGCCACTCTGCTGGGAAGTGATTTCAGGTTGTGCTTCTCAGTGGGAGGTTTCCTGCTGAGAACTCGTTGAAAAATCTCTGACATTCAATTGCAAAGCACTTGTTTACTGATGATGTTGTTGTTATTGTTGTTGTTTTAGTAACATCTTCCTCCATTAGGGTTTCATAAAGTTGAAAAAAGGATTCATATCCAGATGCCCGTGTCTTCAGCTCAACCCAACTGAGGCAGCTCAAGTCATATCCAAGACTCTGAAACTGCTTGGGAAGAAAAGACAAAGGAATATACAGCCATTTTATGGTCACTTAACATTTTTAAGGGAAACATTTATTTTTTAAAGAGATAATTTAATTCAATAATACTCAAAAGTTACTTTGGACTTTACATTTTTTTTCCTGAGAACAGTCACCAGCTTCTGTCCTTGCCTCAGTTTAACCTGTGGTTCATCTCTCATTTGCTGAGTAAGAGCACAGCCTCTCTTGTACATGTACTCTTGTGGCCTTCACGTGTTACATGTTTCTTTCCCTTTTATCCTGAAGCTAAAATTGTGGATTCTTCTTATTCTCTAATCAACACAAAATTTCTTTGTTTTAAAGCCCATTATGTTCATATTGTGAAAGGTAATTTACTCTCTTCCTGGATGATGATGATGATGATAATGATGATACATCTAAAACTTCAGTGGTATGTGACAGACACTCAGTTGAACAATTTATAAATATTACCACACTTAGTTTATAAGACAGTCCCATGAAATAGACTGCTGTCTTGTCCATAAGATCGGGGAGGAAACTGAAGCTTAAAGGGTTGATTATCCATGTTCACCCAGTTATGAAGTGGCAGAAACAGGCATTAAAGGACAAATCTCTCTAGAGCCGAAACTATGCTCTTCATATTTGCATTATTTGAACTCTAAGCCTGTTTCATGAAGGCAAAATGTTAATGGTTCCTATATAAATCAGAAAAAGCTAGACTTTACACATGATACTCACTCAATGACCCAGTGGACAGAGGCTTCCTCACAGCACATGACTATCCATGGAAAACACAGGAAAAGAGGAGGAGGCAAGGTCTGCACAACCTCTGAGAGCATCTGGCCAGGTGTGACTCATGTTACTATATTTTATAAGCAGGAGCAAGTCCCACAGGCAATCCTATCTTTAGTGGCATGGGGAGTTGTAATTTGACAAGTACCTACAGGGAAAATTGACCTGAATATCTGTAAACAACCCTTAGGGTACCCACCATGCTTTGTGTAACTCTTTTCTCAAAATAGACTTGTTTCTGAACTCTTTTACAATAGGTGCCTTATAAGTTCTTCTATTATTTTAATCTCTAAGTTCCTGAAGTTCACTTATTTAGGAAACCTCTTTTCATACTAATTGGAAAAGTAGAGGTTGGAGTATATGGATGTTTATGTTAGATGGTGTTGGGTCCTACCTATAATGCACACAGACCTTATAATTTCTTCATTTGGAAAATGGTGATAATGGGACTTATAGCTCTGAGATGAGAATAAAATCACATAAAAACATAAAAGTGTCTAACGTGAGCCTGAAACACAGTTGACACATGGTAAATGTTAGAATATATCTCTACATTAACTCATTTTTTCCTTTTCATCCTATAGTGTATCCCACAAAAGTTAAAGAACATGATTTTCCAAAGTCCTTTCTAACATATTATTTTTACGAATTTAAGAATATTTACATCACTGGAAAAAAGTAGTGATGCAGACGGTTCAATATTTAAAACTCTAGTAAGGGACATCTGTAATTCTAATCTTCATTAAAGTCCTTTTAACTACAATAATTTTCTATAGAAATCAGAACATGAAATTATAAAATAGAAGTCTTATGTTTACTGACTTGTCACTTCTAAGGCAAGCCACTGAGCCTCACTAACAGCACAGTTTTCTCTTCCCATGGGGCATAAAATAGAAAAAAAGCTTGAACACCAGTTGTAAAAAGTCAATTAACTGTCTTCAATTTCTGGGAAATACAGTGTGGAATTAATGCCCGAACATGAGGTCGAGCAGCCAAATGCTGATAGATTTTACTCACATGCAGGAAAGGGGAGACGTTCTTTCACATACTCCCTCATTCGGGATCTTCTCGTTTCACTTTAGTTCAAAAATTTCCCTGTCATGTATGTTCATATCAGAAGAGTGAAACCTACTATGACCATGATAAAAATTGTGCAGATGTAAAATAATGTGGCTACAAACCTATTATTTGCATAGCTTATTTATTAAAAAGTCTGAGTCATTCTAACCACCATGTAGTAACTTTGCAGGTACTTATTATTAGAAAGCTGTTCTTTTACAGTGAGTGACTTAGGACTCTTTGGAGTTGGACACTGCAGTTACTAGGTCTAGAGCTTTGAAATTTGTACCATCTGCATTTGTTTAACATTCAATAAACAACCAGTGACTTGGCAGCTGCTTTGAAAGCACCTACTAAGTAAAAAGCACTGAGTTAATAACTACAAGATACAGTCTAATTGGGAAAATAAAGGTGATACATGGCAAAGAAAACCTATTAACACCAACATGATGAAATCTTGGTTCGTCCCAGAAGTTGTTTCTGGCTATGGCTCAGGGCATGGGGTCATCCGCTCTGCATTTTGTTTTCTCAGATTTTCTCTGACGTGTATGCATTCATACCTGGGTCGCAGGACACTATCTCTGGACAAGCTGGCTCTCCACTGCCCCAACTTACCCTCAATATGAATGTCCTAGATGTTTTTCAAGGGTTTATTTGTTTTGTTTGATATATTTCCATTAGCATGCTATTGGGGTAGTTATCCACTTAACCACAACATCTAAGCCTCCATTTTGGACATTACTCTCCTTTTGGCAAAATAGATTATTGTTTTTCTAACCTATGTAAACTTCCATTACTTAGGGGCATTTGTAGCACTCAATGCAGAGTCTGTGCTTAATCAACCTTTGTTAAATAATTGGTAGGAAAAAGTTGACCAACAATAGGTCTTGACTCCCAGGATGACCCAGTCTTCTGTTCTACAAGTAACCAGCCATGTTCCTTGTTCAGAATTTCTCTTAATGAGTTACTGTGGAGATTTTTTCCCATGGGAGCTTTTTTGTTTAGAATATTGACACTATCATTTTATTTTTAAAAAATGCATGTAAAATACAGGAAATATAGCAAAAGCAATTCCTACAAGGGAAAGAAGACAAATAGCATAGTATATAAAGTCTTGCAGATCTTCCAAACTAAATTGCATTTGTAGAGGCAGATCCACAAGAGTATAGAATCCCTTTCTACAGTAATACTAGAGAAAGTAACAGTTTTCCCAACAGTAGTTTAGAAGCCAATAAATTCAGCCCCACTAGTTATAAACTCCCAGGGACAGGGAGTATATCTTCTTTTTCTTCTGACATACTTAGTAGTGTATCTCAAAGGACAATAAACACACTATGAGAGATCAGAAAAAAAAAAAAAAAACAGAAACAGGATAGAGGGGGTTGAAAGGAACTACATTATTTCTAAAATGCATCCTCAATAGGGAAGTTACAGGAGGAAGAGGATACTCTCCATGCACCGTAATGGAGGTTTCTTTACCATTTTCCCCCTTTGTTCCACCACTAAGAGTCCAGTCAATGCTGGTTAAGTCAGTGGCTATGCTATTAATTAAATTCCTGTTTGCCATAAACCACTGGTGCCACAGATAGCACTGGGATGGAAAATGTATATAAATATATAATGGAAAAAAGAATCCTCTCTAAAATCTAAAATAATTAGTTAATATATTCTGATATATTTAATGAAATTTTATTTTCTTTTGGAATTGTAGCTAATATTTTAGAAAACTCAAATACTCAAGAATCAAAATTTTCCAAACAGCTGTTCACCCATATCTGGGTACATGAAGATACTATATTGCAAAAAATACAACTTTCTTGTATTTGTTAGAAAATGAAAAAAGGAATTATATGATATCCAGGATATGAGAGATTCCCAGAGAGATGTCCCTGTCCTTAATGAGAAATCACAGAGAAGGCTGCCATCGCTTGCCTGGACGCCTGGGCTTATCAGCAGGTCTCAGAGTTTAGGCTTCTGCGATATTGAGTGAAGATTATAAGCCAGATGGGCCACAAATTCTGTCAAGCCTTCTTGGCAGCTGTTCTCATTACAAAAGCCAGCCAGCCTTTTCCAAAAATAAGAATGTGAAGCAAATTGGGCTTATAGACCCTTATAATGCAATTGCACGCAGAGATAGGGGCCTGAGCGGGCAGGCAGAAATATTATTGATGGCTGGTGAAAACAGGGAATAAGATGTTATTAAGGCAACTCAGAGATAGATATCGATAGCTAATATAAAGCCTTTATTGGTTTACAGGCTCTAGGAAAAAGGGTTCATAGCTTCAACCCTTTACTTTGCTTTTAATTTCACTGGAGGTGCAAAGTTTATGAATAAAACATATCTTCACTCATGATTCTGATATTAGTCACTACTTTCTCTGTCCCTTGTTCACCAGGAGCAAGAAACATACATTAACAACATGAACCTTAGAGGCTTTTTCTGGGAAAGGGACTTCTATGTAAGTGTTGGAATGAGGAGGGACCATTTTCTAGAAACACTGAAACTCAAAAAAAAATAAATTGCATTTAACAGAAAATTTCCAGAACAAGATACTAAGGCATAATATAACACCCCAAATAACCTACATGATAAAACAGAAAGTAACTTTCATGACACAATATCTCAAACTGGGAGACTTCAGGAGGATCATCAAAGGTCCCCCATGTGTCATACTTCTAATGCTTAAAAAATCATGGTTCTGAAATGATATTGACTTGAGAATAGGGGATCGGATGGAAGAATTAATTATTAGTTTCTTCAGACTTCGCATATTACAAGTAAGACTGCTCCTTGGTTCCTATCTGCCAGGCATTACCATGATGGTGACAATTTTGTTCAGTTTCTTCCATTCTAATGGAAAATAATAGCTAAAATGCATATAAAACTAACTAAGCTAATCAACCATCCATTTGATGTGCTATTATGCAGTCACTGCATTTTCTTTCAAATTATTTATAAAATCAAGGGTGATGCAATCCAGTCTGTATTACAATTAGAAATAGAGCTCAATTTGCACTAATCCTTTCTCTCTTTCCTTCTTGCACTCCCAAAGAAATGTAGAAAGCACAAGGATAATATTCTTAGCTTATACCTGTAAACAACTCATTGGATCAGGCTCTGTAATTTGAGAGAATGTGTTTATCTGTTGTATATCTCAGGCTGGGTCAGGAATATACTTTTTAACTAGAAAGCCCTTTGTGTATTGCTTATAGTCCTCCATGAAACTGTTGGGGAACTCTATAATTGTCACTTGAGACATGTCCTTCATACACATCACAGTTAAATTATTGCCATGTGTGTTATTATGTTGGAGTTGTGATATATCACATATCACATATCACATATGTGATATATCACGTATCAACTCCAAGAATATCTATACCATGTTAAATTATCTGAAGAAAACATGAGAACTTCAGGCAGCTTTTTTTTTTCTCATTGCTATTTAAGTTTGGTTGAAATTTTATAAGAATTTTATTTTTCTTTTAATTTCATCAGAAAAAAATATATTGTTCTTTCAAACTAATCACAATGTTTTACATTTTTAAATTTTTTTACAAATTGTTTTATAATGACTGCCAGTTTTTAGATTTTCAATGAGTTTGGAACTTCTGTTTCTATTTTTTTATGTGCAAACTCCTAACTGATGTGTTTGTGGTTGTGTGTGTCTGTGTGTGCAGATGTGGATTTATTTAATGGTTGCTGCACTTATGTCATTTCCAACAACTAAACTATGAAAAATTCCAAATATCTGTTTCTTTTTTCTTTCCAGCTTTATTGAGGTATGATGGGCAAATAAAAATTGTATGTATTTGAAGTATACAACATGCCTTGGTATACATATACAATGCAAAATGATTGCCACAGTCAAGCTAATTAAATATCTATTATCTCACAGTTATCCCTTTTTCTGTATGTGTGGTGAGAACACATAAGATATACTCTTGTGGCAAATGTCAAGTATACATCATTATTAACTATAGTCATCATACTCTATATTATATCTCCAGAACTTTCTCATCTTATAATTGAAAGTTTTTACCCTTTGACCAACCTTTTCCCCATTACCCCACCTTTCACTATGTGGTCATCATTATTCTACTCTGTGTCTGTAAGTTCAATTTTTATTGATTCTACATATAAGTGACATTAGCCAGTTTTGTCTTTCTGTGCCTAGCTTATTTCACTTAATATAATGTCCTCCAGGTTCATCCATGCTGTTGCAAATGGAAGGATTTTATTCTTTTTTAAGACTGAATAATATTTCAATATACATACCCAGTTACTTTTATCCATTCATCTTTTGGTAGACACTTAGGTTGTTTCTATATATTAGCTATTTTGAATAATGCTGCAATGAACCTAGTAGTGCAGGTATCTCTTCAAGCTAGTGATTTTATTTTCTTTGGCTATATACCCAGAAGTTGAATGGCTGGATTATAGGTAGTTCTATTTTTAATTTTTAAAGAAATGTCCATAGTATTTCAATAATGACTATACCTATTCATATTTTCATAAACAGATACAAGGGTTTCCTTATATCCACAATCTTGATACTTGCAATCTTTTGACTTTTTAATAATAGCCTTCCTAACAGGTGTAAGGTGATGTCTCATTGTGGTTTTTAATTTGCACTTATCAGATGATTAGTGATGTTGAAAACTTTTTTATATGTCTATTGGCCACTTGTATGTCTTCTTTGGAAAAATGCCTATACAAGCCCTTTGCCAATTTCTTAATCATGTTTTTCTATTATTATTATTCACAATAATATTATTTTATTTGTTTGGTTGGTTTTTGTACTATTGCGTTGTATGAGTTGTCTATTTTGAATATTAACCCTTAGCCAACATAGAGCTTGCAAATATTTTCTCCCATTCTATAGGTTGCCTTTTGATTTTGATGATTGTTTCCTTTGCTGTGAAGAAACTTAATTTGATGTAACGTCATTTTTAAAATTTTTGCTTTTGTTGCCTGTGTTTTTGGAATCATATTCAAAAATCATTGTCAAGCCAATTTCAAGGAGGTTTTCTCCTATGTTTTCCTCTAGGATTTTTATAATTTTAAGTATTATATTTAAGCATTTCATCCATTTTGATTTGCTTTCTTTGTGCTATGGTATGAAATAAGGGTCTCTGAGTTCATTGTTTTGCATGTGGATATTCAATTTTCCCAACATCATTTATTGAAGAGACTATTCTGTTTTCACTCTGTATTCTTGGCATTTTTGGTGGAAGATTAGTTGACCATATATTGTGGGTTTACTTCTGGGCTTTCTATTCTGTTCTGTTGGTTTATATATCTTATCTGTTTGTGCCAATTGCATACAGTTTTGACTACTATAGCTTTGTAATAAAATTTGAAATCAGGTAGTGTGATGCTCAAGTTTTGCTCTTCTTACATAAGATTGCTTTAGCTATCTGAAGTCTTTTCTGGTTTCATATCAATGTAAGGATGGTGTTTTACTATTTTTGGGAAAAATGACATTGGAATTTTGTCAGGAATTACATTGAATATGTCGATCACTTTGGGTAATATGAACGTGTTAACAATACTAATTCTTTAAATTCATAAACATGAGATATCTTTTCATTTATTTTTGTCTTCAATTTCTTTCATTATTGTTTTCAGTTTTCAGAGTACAGAGTTTTCAACTTCTTGGTTAAATTTATTTCTAAGTTTTTTATGTTGTTATAAATGAAATTATTTTCCTAACTTACATTCAGAGAGTTCATTGTGAGTGTATAGACTCGCAACTGACTTTTGTATTTTGTATGTTAATTTTGTATCCTGCAACTTTAGTGAATTCATTTATTAGTTCAGACAGTATTTTTGGTGGAGTGTTTAGGGATTTATATATATAACATCATGTCATGTGCAAAGGGAGACAATTTAGTTATTACTGTGTGATTTGGATGCCTTTTATTTCTTGTTCTTGCCTTTCATTTCTTGTTTCTTGGTATGTGTTCCTTGAAGTTTTGTGTTGCTATCTTTATATTTGAAGATACAGTCACCTCCTTCGTCTTTACTGACTGGTTTTGGGAAGGAAAAACCTTTACCAGTCAGCCTGTCTAGGGATTATATGACTCTCCTTGTCCTTTTCTATGAATCTTCTCACTCCACTCTTCTTATTCCTTCTGGGAGAAAGAGGAGAGTTCTTGAGATTCTGTGTCTTTTCTGAATCCCACAAATGAGGCGTGGTTTTGAGAACCTTTCATTTATTTTCCCTAGGTGCCCTAAATGTTTGTTTTTCTACCTTCTTCTAATATCATTATTTAGCTGAGTGACGGCAATGTGCTTATGGGCCATCTGCAAAAGCTTGTACTTACCATATGCGGGCATGTGAGAAAATCCTGCCATCCATGGGTGGGAGGAACATGTGTGTCAGGAGAGTCTGTGGCCATTTAAGGGGTCCACAGGCAAGTCAAATCAAATGGATCATGTGTGGGCCTCCTGGTACAACTTACGAAGTAGTTGGTAAGATATGCAACCCTTTTTTGAGTTCCATGACCTGACTGCTGTGAGTCCCTTCCTCATATCCCTGATTCAATCTCTAGCGGCCATGCAGCCATGAAAATTTCCTTAATATTCTGGATAGGTTGAGAAAGAGGTATTCCTCTTGGGTAGAATCTGCAAAGCTGTGGAAGACAGGAGCTCACCCTCAATGCTCGTATTTTCTCCCATGGAGGAAATTACAGGTTAAAGGGTTATCTCTTGGCATTGGGTTGTGCCACCTGAGGAGATAGGTGACATGGGGAAAGTGAAACTGTTATTCTTACCCTTTCCAATGTGTCTATTCTTAGATTTTTTTCATTCCAGTGGTGTACTGGAACTTCTCTGCTGAAATCCCAGACTCCCAAAAAGGCACTTTCTTCAGTGAGTAGCTGTCAAAATCTGTGTACTTTGGAAAGATGATGGTAGAAAGCTTCTATTTTGCCATCTTGCTGATGTCACTTCTCTTTTAAACTATTTAGATAATAATAGTCACTGCATTGGTTGGACTGGCAGAGATAAAATCTATTTATATAACATATTATCATTACTTTTATTCCATCTAAGTCATTTGACTTATATTAGCAAAAATCTGTAACATTTAATTGGCTTATTGTTCTTTAGAAGTTCTAATAAATCTGGGTTATTAAGGTTACTGCATCCAAATAGCCAAACTACTTAGAAGTCCTTTATTCTCTGATTATATAACAATGGTCATTAAAAGTGTCACCAAATAGTTAAATGCAATGTGTCTATTAATTTTAAGCTCACTTCAATAATTACTTCATTTATGTGTGTATGACTATCAAAGAATTCTGAGAAATAGTTACCCAACATTGTTTAGAATATTTTAGCCTAGACCCTCCAGATAGATTGTAAACTCACTGAAGAGAAGATGAATAATTTTAAATTTTATTTTTTTTATGTTTTGTTCTTTTTATGATGAAAAACCTAATGGTAAACCACATAATTAGCAAGTACAGAATATGTATTATAGTGATTGCTTATTCTCACCTGCATTTCTTTAATGGAAACTCCTACATGGAAGATATTTTCAGACCTTGACCTTCCACTTTTGCGTGTTTTCTGGCACTGAAAGAGACTTGTATTTCTTCTTCTTTTATCTAACTATTGGTCCTGCTCACACAGACTCAGTGTTTAGTAAAACACATCCACTAAAATAATTGGAACTGAGTAAGTGTCTTTTATAAGAGAACGGGGTTGTAGTGGAAAGAAGGGAGTATATCAGATAAAAAAGTATATCAGATAAACATATGTATTATGCAAAGGTACATCTTTTTTTCTTTGCAATGTGAGCTTAGGAATGACATTAAATTATAATAAAAATTATCATGTCATCACATGTAAGCCAACAGAGAAGCACCTTTTGTTCTGATAGTTGCTTTATTTCTTTTCCCACTGACTCCAGGGAAACTGCTCCTTGCTTCCTTGCTCTATGCTCTATGACCTCATTTTTGTACCTTGTAATGTCTATGTCCAGAGGGCCACTCAGGGGCATAGGATTCTTTTCGTGCTTTTCTGCTCTGTGCTGTCAGGTCTTCTTAGCATCAGCCCTCATGTTGCCTGTGAATTGGCAATTGTTACACAGGACGGAGATCTTAGAGATTTGGTACAGACAGACTGTTGAAGTGTTGAGTATGAGAGAAAAACAGAAAATACCTTGAGTATGAGAGAAGAAACAGAAAATACCCTTTTGTCTTCCCTATTCTTGCTGGTTTTACAGATTTCCTTAATTACATTGATGCCTAATAATTTATAGACAATATCATATAATTCTTGCATTTTTCATTCTCACTGCTACCTTCCAGGATAAAAGTTTGGTCCAAGCTTCATTGAGTGGGGAAAGGGACAAACTTGTCTTGGTCAAATACTGTAAGTTAAACACTATTCTAGGTACTTTTTGCATGTAAATGTTAAATAAATGAATACCAGATTTCCTGTGCCACATATCTAACCACTTATTTTTAAATTGAGTACTGGAGATTCCTCAGAAATGCTTCAAATCTTCATTGTTCTTGCTCAGCAAAGATACTATTGAATTTGAATACAGAATAACAGTTCTGAGAGTTTCTTAACATTGCTTATTTCAAACTTAAAAAATATTTTTCATATTTGACTAAAATCAAACTTTTTTAATGTGCAAAAAGTTATCTGATTTTTTAGAAAGATCTTAATAAAAATTAAAATGTGTAAGTAGAACATAAAAGAGTATGAAAAAATAGACATTCTGGATTACTTTAGACCCACAGTAATACTGCCAAAAGAAAAAAAAAACCTCTAAAACTTTTTAATATTTTCTCAGCAGTCATTGCAAAATGAATGAGAAGATCAAGTGAATAGTTGCTCTCAGATAAATAGAATATAGGAAGGCATGGGTTTACTTGTGAATATTGTTATAGAGAAGAGTTTTTTGGCTGTTACCAAAAATAAATTATACTTAGAATTCTTAGAATTCTGGTTTTATTATGGCAGAGAAATAATATATCTGCCCCACCACAAATGAAAACAATAAAAATAAAAAATATATTTGTGTGATGAATCTAGGAGAAATCTGTAAATCCAAATCACAATGTAGGAGAAATGATTATCATATGCTTAGCAATGGGTGAGTTGTATGAGAACAGATACTGTCAGGGGTTACCTATGACCATGCATTATAAAGAGAGCTGAAGAACAGAGCATTCTCTCCAGAAATGGGACAATGATGACTGGAATAAAAGCTTTGTATTTGAAATAAGAGGTTTTGGAGTACACAGGCTGACTGCTGAAGATTCTTGGAGCCCCACTTGGCATTATAAAATCGCGGAGAGAGAAAGATATAGTTCACTGATGTGATATTTTTGAAAGCTCTGCCTGTCACTGCAGCAAGGTCTAAGAGAGACTGGGCTTTTGTCAGCAGCCTCATAGCTGCCCCACTTTGTTATTGAGGAAAAGTGGTAGATTAACTCTTTTTCTCTGACTTTCTCATTCTCGATCAGTGTTTACGGGTTTCAGTCTCTATCTTTCTCATCTATATAGTCAGACACATGTGCACAGGAATTAATAAGAGCATGATTTTAATGAACAGATAGACGAATGTAACTCATTGAAAAGATAAGAATATGACTAATTTTATTCCAAAAATCAGATACATGTATAAAAATATATTTTCGAACAAGTCCAGAGATTTTAACAAAATAAATACTCAGTATAAATACAAGCCCATGAAAAGATAAATGGTTTTGAGAAAGAAATACTAAAATAACAAATAAATTTAATATCTTATGCAAGATCTGGAAAATATAAATGAAATGAAAAAAATAGAAATTTCAACACAGGAGAATGAGTACTATGCAAATCACAGCCAATAAGATAAAAATAAGCCTAAAAGGAAGATTAAAATTAAATTTACAATACACAATTGAAAAGGACTGGAGTTGTAAAGACAGATATGAAAGATAGGCAAAGTAAAAGAATATAAGCATAATTGGTACCCCAGTAGAAAAACAACCAATAAATGAGAAAAAAAAGATATAACTCAAGAAAATTTCCAGGTGAAAAATAAAGCCTAAAATCTAAAAATTGATGGGGGAAATTATTTCCCAGGGAAAATTGATATGTATCACTCCAGAGATATGTTCTGGTAATATTATTGGACTTCAAATGTAAAAAAATAATCTTAATGGCATATAAGCCAAAAAAATTAAAAAATCATCTCCCCTGTAAAGGCAGAAAAAGTAGACTGGCTCTAAACTTCTCCACAGCAACATTCAAAGTTAGAAGATGGTAGAGTACTGTGTACATTGTTCATATTTTCAATATGATCAATAAGAAAATTTCTTTTCTCATTTGACAATGAGAAAATTGTCAAAAGAATGAAAATTTCTTTTCATTTAAAACTGTTAGGTATGTCCAAAGGCATTTGATAGATCGATATTTTCAGGCTATTAAGTGTTCAGACAATTGTGTCTTATGAAAAAAGAAAAACTAAAAGTAATATTCATCCAATCTAGAAGCAAATGGATAAATTAGTAAAAGAACAAGTAAAGAACACACAATATATTTAAAAGTAACACAAGGAATAAAACAACTGTCTGAAGTCAATGAGCATTAGATTTAGGATCCCTCCTCTGCACGTGCACCTTCCAAGGCAGGTGTGTATGCCTGTGTTTCAGGGCCAGGGGGTCCTAGCATTGTGTTCACATGTTCATATATTTTAAAATTTACAAACAACGGATATAACTACTATGGTTTAGGACTTCCATCTCTACTTCAGCTTCCCTTCTGACATTTTTTTTCTTCTGTTGAAAAACTGCAACCACTTTTGGGAACCGGCTAAAGGGAAGCTTACTTGGAAATAATGTTTAGTTGGGGTTTAATAAGATATACTCATGTGACTCACTGTCATTTCCATGGACTATGGTAGCAATAACTTATTCCTATCACCCACTATACCCAGTGCCAAGTTACAATGTTGTAAAGCCACAGGACATATGACAATGAAAATGAGCAAGCACCAGAGGTGCCCTGGTAGCAAAAGAGTACAAGGTTTGACAAAGATAGAGCTAGAAGCTAGTCCTTGAAAATCCTTAGAATTATGAAACATTCTATCAACACCTAGTCAAAAATGCATGTTTTCTTACATCAGAAATACACTCAATATGCAGTATATACAGTTTTAAATGCACTGTATTAATTTATAACATTTCTAGTTGGAATCATGTGAAATAGAAATTCTATGTGGGTAGAGAATTAATCTGTATCAATGCTACCAGCAGCAAGTAGGTCTGTGTGGGAAGTCACACTTTAAATCATTTTTTAGTGTACATAGTGACATATCTTGGCCTGATGTCTGAGGGCTCCAGATAAAACTGAAAGGAAAATGGCCACCAGTGCAGCAAATGAAACATAAATGACAAACAGGTTAACATGCGTTTTCATTTAAAGCAGAGTTTAATCATGGCGTGAAGAAATTTAAAATGCTCTCATATCTTATAGCTTGTTATTTGGATAAATGTTATCCTAAATTTAATAAATATGCAATAAATTTATTTATCAAATTAAAAGTTTGTAATCAATAGCAAATTATGAAACTGCAAGGAACTTTTCTGGCTATAAAAAATCCATTGACTATTCTAGAAAGTAGACTGAGTTATAATTTTGTTCATTTTATAGGAAATATTACAAATTCGTCATATGGAAAGATGAGCAAAGAGTATACAGCAAAAACATAAAAGGACAAAAGTATTTTGAGGCACATCTGACTATTAGTAAAAATATGCAATTTCTATAGATTTTGGGATAATGGTATTTACTTGATTTTTGAGATTTCTTATTTGTTGTGATTTCTCAAAAGAAATAATGCTTTTAAATGTACTTTTTCAATCATAGTTTTAGATTTTCTTAATTAATGAGGGACATATTGTTTATGCTTTGAGCACCACCAAACCCAGATCTACACTTTGGTTATGGAAAACAAAATCTTACATCATATAAATAATGACAATGTGGGAAAAACAGATGGTCAGAGTCTGTGTACGTAGGCCCTCAGTTGTCATTTTTGATAGGTGAGGGTCAATAGATATTTTTAAATCCTTATAACTCAAATTATAGGAGTATATTATTGAAAGTCATGACTACAAGAATAAAACTTTCTAAGAAAAAATATATAAAATATCAATGAAGAAAAAAGCTGTAAAAATGAAAAAGGATGGTTCATTTACTTTTATCTCATGGTTTGGTGTCTCAAGAGTTGTTGATAAAGTTGGAGAACAAAAAGCAAGACACACAGGCATAAGAATATTTAAAAATCTTTGAAATCATTTTCTTATGCATTTATTGAACTTCATGTATTTTAGGGCAATATTAACTTTCAATGATGGGAGGGAGAATGTTGTATATCAGAAAATTTAGTAATTTGTTGTTATTTATATTAGGGTGCTAATAAATACCCCTTGAGGAAAAGAGAAATTAAAGCTATAAAAACAAATAGATTTTATAAATGTGCAAATACAAAACAGGAAAACACATCTGTCAGAGAGATATTTATGTATTAAAGAGCACTGAAAACTGAAAGTGTAACAGAAATTTTGAATGAACATTGCATGGAATCGCTTCAGAAAATATAGTTTGAATTCAATTTATTGGGACCTTTCTCAGTCTAATTGTTACAGTTGAAGTTTTCACAAACAATGCAACTTTCCAAAGGTATATAATGAATCTAGAAAAATAATCTCTGATTAGTACTACATCTTGTAAAATTATAGATAAACTTTAGAAACACTTCTACCTCAAAAGTGGGTACATTGTATGTGTATTTTGCATGTGTGCATCAAAAATGAAAAAAAAGTATTCCATATTTGTATGATAGGATGCTTTTCCTAGCCAGCCTTCTCAGGGTAATATAAATTGGATTCTGTTTACATTTATAAAATAAATAGTAAATGCAATTGCAAGTATTTGGACACCTATCCAGTGAGTAAAGTAGAATAAACCCTTACCTTGCTTGTGGTTTCAGTTCTAGGACTGAGTGAACAGCCATTTTGGAACCATGTTAACCAGTAATAATAGACCTGTGTAACAAGCAGGCAGAAATGGAAGGATGAATACATGATTTTTTTTTCCCCAGCTGAGCTTCAAGAAACAGTCACTGTTTCATCCATGACATTCCTACATGATGACTGTCCTATCACACCTACTTTGAAAAATCCACATCAAAGTCAATGCAAACCGACAGAAAAATTCACCTTCAAAACTCTTGAACTAAATCACAATCTGCAGGGTGATGTGTGGGAGCAGTCGTCTATTTATTTCCAATTACCTGCGAATAGCAAGAAAAATTTGCTTCCAATATTCTTGCACCCCAGCTGGTCCTCAGCTTTCTGGGATGTGACATCGAGGGTCATTAAAGCCAGAAGCACTTGTTTTTCAGGAGATCTGACTAAATGTTTCACTGTGCTGGCTGCTGTTGGCTCAGCTGCTACTTGCTCTGGGTGTACTTCAATTTCTCCTTTCATTTTAGATTTCAGTCTCCCCTTTTTCCATTATAGTGAGTAATATATGACTCTAAATGATTTGTGTAATGGGAAACTGATGTTATGTTTGTACTTTATTGACACAGCTGCCCAACAAACAGCTTAGCCCACATCTCTAAGTAGTGTAATTTATTGTTCACTATCCCCCTCTCACCCACATATAATGGTAAATGAAAGGGAATGATATATTGTAATTTCAACTATTTCCCTAAACACTTAAATATTATCCAAGCCCCAATAATTAAATATGAAGCATGTAGTTCTTTCTTCTTGGATTTTCAGGTCCTGAGATATAGCTTCCATTGCAATACAACTGTTCACTAGCTTTGGTGGTTCCTTCTCACCCATCAAGGGGACAAGTTGAGGCTCAGTTATCATCATTGCATTACCAAAGAGCCAGAGACTGCCCTTGGAGAATATTCCCATATCCTTTACTAAGGAGGTGAAGTGATACATCACTCCTTTCACTCAATATAGAAACCTTTCAGCATCCCTTATGGGCCTATGGTGATGGTGAGAAAAAAAATTCTTCAGTGATATGTTGGAAGAAATTGTCACTTCATGTTTTCAATTTGTAGCTATGAATTATACTTATTGTACATTAACTGGCTAATGCCTATCAGTATCTCCCTAGCACAGGACAAATAAACTTCTGTTTTCAAAAAAAATTTATATAGAGAATGCTTTATGTGCTTAAATATTTGTGTTAGAACAGTTAACTAATTTATTTATTTAATTAAAGTAAGTATATTGCAAGAATCAACCTTGGTAATCAAAAGTGTAAGTGTCAGCATTGTATAACATTTTGCCAGAGATCAAAAAATATTACTTGTGTGTGTGTCAGGAGAATGGAAGAAGTGGAGGATCCAAGAGTTTATAATGAGGATAAAAATTATCCATCAAAAGAACCAATATTCTTACAGACTAAAAAGCCAAGCTGCAATTCTGCTGATTACTAATGGATTGTATCTACTTGCTATGGATTAAATATTCCCCTCGAAACTTATGTTGAAATTCCAGTATCATTTTAACAGTATTAAAAGGTGGGACCTTTAAGAGATGATTAGGTCACGAGTGCTCATGAATGGATGAATGCAATTATCATAGGAGCTGTTTAGTTAGTGTGAAACAACTTGTTACCAAAACAAGTTTGGCCTGATTTTTTTTTCTGTCTCACATGCCCTCCACCTTCTACTCCTTCACCATGAGATGACCCTCACCAGATGCAGGTGCCATGCTGTTAGGCTTCTCAGCATCCAGAACCACGAGCCATATAAATCTTTCTTTTATAAATGACTCAATCTGTGGTATTCTATTATAGCAGCAGAAAAGGACTAAGATTTTACTTGATCTGAGATTGTATGTGTGTTATTTTGTATGTGAACTTTGTTTTATGTACAAATGTAGCTATACAATAATGAGTATTTTGTGTATATTTTGAAGTATTAAAAGGAGAACACATTGTACTTTGCAGAAAGAAATCTAATCTGAAAAACCCTGCTTGGAAATGAGATATAAAAATAAAAATACTGTGTAAACAGTAATATGTTACACATGTGCTAATAATTGCTATTGTTATTGTTATTATTAGTGCATAGTAAAATGATCATTTTCCCATAGAATTGTGAGCCACTTCTTTAAGTAGTTTGCCGAAATTTAAATTGTTCTACATTTGAGTGTTACAGTTTTGACTGTGAGTGCATGGCCCCTCTGCAGTTCCTCAAATCCTTAGATTAGATTTAAGAAACTTAAATTTTTCTAGTGCAATGGAATCATCACTAAACTATCTTGGTTATTTTCCAGCAGCTTTCATTTTAGATAAATAACGATAAATTATTTTTATTTTTATTTTTTGTAGCTTCCAAGTTATAGTACATGCTTTGAATCACCAATGCACAGTCAAGGCAGATCTTGGTCTACTTTTATAAGATAAAATTATTTAATTATTTTCAATAGAGAATCTATTTTTTCCAATATATTATCAATCCACTGAGTTCTCTATGTTACTTTATTCAATCAATATGTATTATATATTATTACTCTGTGCCAGGCACTCTACTACCACTGCAAATAAAGCTGTGAACAAATAGATACAGTCTGTCTTCCTGACACATTGAGTCTAATGGAGATATAATTAAATACCTGTCTTAGTCCGTTTTGTGTTACTATAAAGAAATACCTGAGACTGGGTAATTTATAAAGAAAAACGGTTTATGTAGCTCATAGTTCTGCAGGCTGAGAAATTCAAGAGCTTGGCCTTGGCTTCTGGCAAGGGCTTTCATGCTGCATCAAAACATGGTAAAGAGGGTCAAAAGGGACATGAACATTTACGAAGAGAGAGAAGCCTGAGGGGCAACCTGGCTTTATAACAACCTACTCAAGGGAACTACTTTATTCCCATGAGAACTAATCCAGTCTTGCAAGAGTAAAAACTTGCTATCTTTAGAAAAGCATCAAGCCATTTAGGAGGGATCAACCCCCATAGCCCAAACACCTCCCACTAGGTCCCACCACCCAACACTGCCATACTAAGGATCAAATTTCAACAAAAAATTCAACACAAGAAAAGTATATCAAACCATAGCAATCCCCAAATGCATATTTTAACCCAATTACTGTAAGTACCACTTGGGAAGAGTAAAGAGTAGAGTAAAATAAGACAAACTAGATGTCTGGTAAAGTTAGAACAAGAGAGAAGCAACTGGCTAAAAACAGTTATCTGAGAAGTAGAAATTTAAAAATACAGTGGAGTTAGGTAAGAGTGATGGAAATAAAAGGTGTGCAAGTTCTGAGGTAGGTAAGAGCTTGCAATGCTCAAGGTTAGCACAGAAAGGTAAAGAAAGGCCGCCTTAGCAAAAACACACCAACGGCTTTGTTTTTTTTCTTGGTGAGATGAAAATCAATAGAGATTACAAAGGAAACTTGAATGAAATTAAGAGCAGTATGGAAATAAAAATGAAGACATTTCTATCCACAAAATAATAAATTTATAAACTAAAATGCAACCTACCTTCTGATTCCCTAGTGATGGCAATGGAAGAGTGTCTACTGAGGCCAGATATATTTTGGAACAAGAAGATACAGTATTGATTATAGATTGAATATGAAGAATAATGGAAAAAACATTTCAGTACTATCTGTTAAGAGTCATCGATAAAGTGAAATGTACTGAGATTGGGAACACTGGGGAAATATAACTGTGGAGCAAGAACAAAAGTTTATTTTGCATCTCTATTTAGTTTGAGATGCCTCTGAGCTATCTTCATGGTGCCAGAGATGTGCATCCATTCCTCATGTAATAAAGTCCAGAAATAGAAAGTTCAGAAATCCTGTAGACGCTGCCCATCCTCATCAGTGTCTGAGACTTCTTCAATCTTTCTTCTGTTTGTATATGGTTTCTTTCATCCTTACGGCCATATTATGTTCACAAATGGCTAGTCTGTCTCCAGTTTCACATCTACATTCCAAATAGGAAGGAAGAAGGAAAAAACAACAAGGAGGAAAGTGAAGCAAGTATATCATGAAGCGTCTTTTCCAGCAATTCTCCATAGACTGCCAATCACAATTCCTAAGCTTCAAAGGAATGTGTGTAATGTCTTCTTTTTTTATTATTATTATTAAGCTGAGTACATTGTTTTCCTAAACATTCTTTCTCTCTCTTTCTGCCTCTATTTTTTCTCACTCTTTACCGACTTAGTGAAAAAAGAAGAGGGAAATGGATATTAGAAAGGCAACTGTCAGAATCTGCCACAGATGTTGTTTATGATCTGAGTGAGAATAGTGTCAGTGGTGAAGTGGAGGCAAAAGTCAAATTTAAAACTTTAGAGAAGTAATTGAAAGAGAAAGTCTTGGTAAAAGCAAGCCTGGGCAGAAGCTTGCCTGAGAAGAAAAGGAGAGAAAAGGGGCCATATAAATGGATGTAGAGGCGAATCCATTCATGTTTAAATGGTGTAGGAAATGACTCTTGGCTTTTCTTGCTCTGTACTCCCTTGGCACCTGAAACTTGAGTAGCCACTCAATAAATACCTGTGAAATTAATGAGTAGTATTGTATTGAGATCATTGAATTTTTTTTTGTTTTTGGTCAGCCTTTCCCACATGTAAGCAGAAGTAATGTAAAGAAAATGCCATGAAATGCATGAAATGGAACTGAAATATTGGGAAGCATCAGACCATGCAGAGCTATGTAAACCCTGCTAAGGTTTTTGTATCTTAATATAGAAATTATGAAAATCAATGAAAGATTTACACTTGCACAGACATGATATTCACAGTTTATAAGGACTCTCTTTGGGTCCAGGTAGAATTGGAGGGGGAGAGTGAGACTGCAAGTCAAGAATTCAGTATCTACTGCAATAGAAAAGGTGAGAGATAAGAATGCATGGAATGTACTGGTGATGGTGACTTGAACTTCCTATGTTCTTTGTTATATAATAGAAATATTAATGAAGAATATTTTAAGTGCTGTTTATGTGCTAGTCATGATTCTAGTGTTTTCTGTCATCTATATTACAAATAGATAATATAGATACTTATATAAATCAAATTCCAATATGTAACTACCTTTGATTAAGTGACATGTAGCTGATAACAAATCACTGCAGGTTCTTGCCAAAGCCAGAGCCAGGATTTAAACTCAGGTCTATCTGGCTGAAGAGCCTACTAGCTCACCACATACTCCAACAGGCAGCAGCGTTGCACTGTGGTTTAGGGCCAGGCCTTCTTCGTGCATAGTATAGCAATTCAGAGCCTGCAATTCTGAGCTGACACATCTGTGTTCAATTCCAGCCTCCATCCCTTCCTTATTGTATGAACACCAGTATTTGTTTACCAACCACTCATTGCCTCAGTTTTCTATTTTGTAAAATGAAGATGATGATAATAATGTCTAACTGATAAAATTGATATGAAGATTAAAAGAGTTAATATTTATAAGTCCTCTTAAAGTAAGCATGACATATAGAATAATATAGGTCTTAATTAAATAAAAGAATTTTTTTCTGTGTGCTAGCATTTAAGCCCTCTGTGCAAGTATTACTTTGATGTGCCTCTTTCACTCAGATATCTTACTTTTAAGTGGATATGAAAACTTAATATTTTATTTGACTGTGTCCTTTGTTTTTCTGTGTCAACTTTGACTTCAGTTGCTCAATTGACTTAATAGCTTCTTGAAATGGAAGAAATTTAGTATTTCATGCTACTCTACAAATTTGGATTATCTTGAAAGTGTGGCAAACATGCTTTCTTTTACTTTAATTGCTCATGCGGTTGTGGGGAAGTAGTTTTATACCTTGGGTAATTCTCATATGTAACTAGCCTACATATAATTAATATTTTCTTTTAACTCCTTCTGTTGGTAGACACTGTGTCATTTTTCTCAGAAATTGTCTTGTGAAAGCAAGACCCAGAGAGAAAGTAGAAAGTATAAGAGAAACAAACCTGTTTCATTGCTTGGTTTTTACTTCTAACAAACAGGAAAAGAAGTCACTTCTTCTCTGGCTGAAACAGTTTTAGCTGAGTCCTGAAAATTACATTTTATGTTGGTTATTGCCACTGTTGAAAAGTTCACATTTTTTTCTCATGTGACAGTAATGATGTATTTGCTAAGCCAATCATGAATCTAACTATAAGATAACAGTACCCAAGACTACCTGAGACAGGCCTGTAAGTACTGGGATGGATGTTAAGCCAGGCATCTGACTAGAACTGAATTTCAACTCTCTCAGCTTCACTGTGATAACTCAAGATTTTATCAGTTACTTGGATCTGGTATTGGGCAGATTGTTGGGCTGTTATCTCCAAAGCTCCAAGCATCCAAGAAAATGGAAAGTTTCTTTAAAGACCCAACACAATTCCTACTCTCAATCAGGGTATCTGTCTGGAGAATGTGCATTCATGGAGTTAGGGAGGGTCATCAGGGAGTATGGCTGAGATTCTTTCTATACATATCCTCATGCACTTATGGTCTTGAATCATTCTCTATCTCTTGTCTAGATCTGTTGATATCTTTTTGTCTTGGACTACTGTCTCCATGGTGACAGCCATGGAAATAGCAACACTGAAGAGAACTTTAAACTTTACTAAATTCACAGGGAAGGGAGATAGAGAAGGAGACATAGATGTTAAAAAAAAAAAGAAAACTTTTTTATTTTGCATTCACACCACTACTAACACCAAATGTCTGGAGTTTTTATACAGGAAGCATTTCTCCAATTTTCCTAACACCAACCGGGTATTTTACAATTTAATTCAATTCTGACATGATCTACCTGAAGTTGTGGTCAGATCCCACAAGTTAAGGGGTCAATTTCATTAGACTGCCCCCATTTCAGATGTCAATCACAAATCTGGGCTTCCAGTACTTTTGACCAACTGGCTGTAAATTGGGGATTTCCATGATCCCTTCCCTTGGGTTTAATAATTTGCTGGAATACTTCACAGAATTAAAAAAAAAACTTACATTTACTAGTTTATTACAACTGAGGAAATGCCAAATGGAACAGATGCATAGGGCAAGGTAGGGGAAAGGGGAATGTGGTTTCCACACCCTCTGTAGGTGTGCCTGGCTCCTAGCACATCTAGGTATTCATCACTCGGGAAGCTTTTCAAACCCAAATTTAGGTTTTTACTGAGGCTTCATTACACAGGTAAGATTGATTAAATCATTGGTCATTGGGAATTAACTCAATCTCCAGCCCTTCTCCCCTCTCTGAAGATAGGGGGGCATTAGGGATTGCTGAAAGTTCCAGCCCTTTAATCACATACTTGGTTTTCCTGGCAGCCATTTATCTCCATCCTTAGGGGCAGTCCAAAAGCCAGCTCATTAACATATACTCAGGTGTGGTTCAAAGGGGCTTGTGATGTATTGCAGAGAACACACCTTTCACCATTATCACTCTGAGCTATCTCAGGAAACTGGGAAGACAAAACCCCACATATTACAACAAAATATGTTCCCATAACTCTTGTCAATTAGGACATTACGTGGGTTTCAGAAACTCCAGCCAGTATTTGGGGATAAAAACCAAAATATATATTTATTATAATATTTACAGATGTTATGATTTGGACCTTTTCTGTTGCCTAAGCATTGAGGAGTAAAGCCTTCAAAGCTCAGAAAAAAGGGTTGTCAAGCAGACCAAGGGCATCCCAACTGGAAGAGACTGCAGATAGCAAGATAGAAATACTTGAATGCATACTCACGTAACAAGATTTTTTTTCCTGCATGTAAAGGCTAGATGAAATTGAGGTTGAGAGAAAGAGAGGTGATGTAGTGAAAAGAGGCAGGTTTGGATAAGAGGGAGTTACTGGGGTGGTTGATCTTAAGGAAAATGCCATATTCAAAGTAGAAGAGATTTGCGTGGTTCACCCTTTTCCCCACCCAGAGACCAATGAGATTCTAAGGCACCCTTCCTATAGTATATGAAGACTATACTGTTTACTTTTTGAATGCATGCCTAGGCTTTAGATTTGAGTGCTACCCCTGTGCCTATCAGAGGAGAGCAGAGAATTGGAAAGAAATGGCAGGACCTGGGGAAGGAACAGCTTCTTCACTATGCAATGGCAATAAATTTTCACTGAAGCTAGTGCATATACTTGAAAAAGTATCCTGGATAGAGCCACACTTCATCTATGTGGACTACCTCCTTGTTGAAATGACCACAGCAGCAGAATAGACTGAGGTCTATAAAAGCCATACTATGTACACATCTCGTCTACTTGCTGCAACTAGAACTCCAGCTCAAGATAGTACTGGAGAGAGAGAGCAGGAAATAGGATGTAAATTGAGTTTAAGATTAAAGTTTTAAACTGGCTTGAGTTTTGATTGCTGGATCAACTGGAAAGTTACGGTTTCCATCCAAGATGTCATTAAAGGACAGGAAAAGGAAGATTTAGGAAAGCAGCATTCAAACCAGTGGTTGGGGAAAACATTCATATTTATACCCTATTGCATAATTTAGAATAATCAATAAAGTGTTGACATATAATATGTATAATATATGTAGTAAAAATTAATCTTAAATCTTCTTGTTTATTTGAGTGTTTATTTGTTTATTTTCTTTCTCCTTCCACTAGATTATAAGCTCCATTAAAATCCCAGGGAAAATAAGTGAATTTTAAAGTTATGCTGCATTAAATCAGCCTAACAATGGTAAAATATAAAAAGCAAATTTTCTCAATCCATCAATGTTTATTATTATACATTTAAATTTCCAAGAATCTCCCAGTCCTCTGCTGTCCCAAGACTTAGTAATTCAATTGCTCATTTCCCCATTTATTCACTCAATAAATATGTATTCAACTTCATGCACATTGCAGTTTGTTAGGTAGTGTGGGGACTGCACATGGACTTAGAAACAGATTTTTCCAAAGAACATAAAATCCGAGCTGGGCTAACAAGATGGAATTCAATAAATCAGTTGAGAAGAAGGTGTGAATTGTAGAATGAAGCTGTATTTATAGATGCTGTTAGCTTTTCAGAAGATGGCAGGTTGGTCAGATGCATGGTTATCAACGAAGCAGTAACAGACCTGTAGAGTGTGAAGAGGGAGTGGAAGCTATTTGCATCAGTTAGAAGAAGTGAGGAAGGGGAAGAAATAAGTTGGTGTCATTAATGAGATTTGTGGGCCTCTCCAAGTAAATCATTAGTTATGTATAGGGTCTAATAGGAGAGGACCTAGAAAACAGGACTGAGAAGTTTGACTTAACTGGATGGAAAACCTTGTACCATCTTTCCATAGGAAATCCACAAAACACAGAATTAAGATACAGACAGTGAGAAGAGACTACTGACAGCCAGCCTGGGTGTGTTTAAGAGCAGGATTGGGCCTAGAAATTGGGGTAAGAGTCACGATTCAGGTGGAGGTAAGCTGCAGGTAGTAGAAGTACATAGAGGTAGAAAAACAGGCAGTTGCATTCTTCCTTCTCCCAATAACTATTATAAAGCTAAATTTATAATCTTGGTCATAATATTTCCAATATGATTAACATGACTTTTGAATGGCATTGGGGTAATAAATGGATAACAGTGATTCTAACCCAAACTTCCTTAGCTGACTGGTTTAAGTTGAGAAATTTAGAAGGTTATGGAGAACAGTTTTTGTCCCCATGGTACAATCCAGGAGATGTATTAATAAAAGACTGTTACATTTGATGTAAACAATAGGGGCCGTATTCATGGAGTTTGCTACTTCTGTGGTTTTGTGGCTCAGCCACTGGAACATCTACAATGTGAACAAAGTGAATTTAAGACCTTTTCATGTCGCTTTCACCCTTAAGAAAAGCTCAATAACTACTGATCAATATGCTGTGCAGAGCTCCTTCCTGAAACTGCTGGATAATTTTTACTGCAGTTATAATTATAACATTTGCTCATTTTTTGGTGTAATTACTGATGTTCACAGTAGCTCAACTTGAATATTTCAAAATCATTTGAATATTAATTTAACATACATTTCTTCTGTTTATTCTTCTTTTATTTTGAGCTGCTATGGTTGCTTCCTTTCTAGAAGGAGCCAAAGAAATGTCACTTCTTGGAAGCCTGCCCTGACCTTTGCCACCAAATGATGAAGTTGTACCACATGAATTCTGCACTATCCATTTGTCATTGTGATATTGTGATACAGTAATAAATACATATTTGGTCCTCATCCTGAGCTCCTGGCACGGAGCTCCTAAAACCCTTGGAATTCCTGAGTGATAGGGGTGAGAAGAGTGTCTTTTATTATTCATGACAAATTGCTTTAAACCATACCTGAATTTGTGCTAGTGAGGTGACTGTGGGAGGATGTGGGCTCCTTGCCAGAGAAATTAATCATGTGATTAGAGGGTGGAAGTTTAGTCCCAATCCCTCACCTCCAAGGAGAGGAGAGGAGCTGGGAATTCAGTTAATCACCAATGGCCAATGATTTAATCAATCATATCCACATAATGGAAGCTTTAGAAAAATCCTGAACTATGGGTTTAGAGAGCTTCCAGGTTGGTGAATGCAGTCACATACTGGAAAGGTAGTTCCTCCCACTAAAGCTCCTGCACTCAGGACCTTTCTAGACTTCGCCTTATGTAACCCTTTAAGGTAGGAGGTGGGACTTGACTCCGGAGGTAGGCTTGGGCTCCAAATCAGATTGAAGACTAGCTGAAACAGGGAAGAGGTAAAAACACCTCTTCATAAGACATGCCTTGTCAGTTTACCACTGCCATGGCAACATCCAGAAGTTACCGCCCCTTTCCATGGCAACAACTCAAAGACCCAGAGGTTACCACCCTTTTCCTAAAAATGTCTGCATAATCTGCCCCTTAATTTGTGTGTAATTATAAGTACGTATAAATATGACTGAAAAACTGCCTCTGAGCTGCTACTCTGGGCGTATTGCCTGTGAGGTAGTCTGGCTCCACAAGGAGCGGTACATCTGCTGCTGCTACAAACTGAGGCTTCAGTGAAAGTTGCTGTTTAATGTTACCAACTCACCCTTGAATTCTTTTCTGAATGAAGTCAAGAACGCTCCTGGCCTAAGCCCCAGTTTTGGGTTTGGGACTTTTCTCCTGTCCTGCATCACCTTCCTCAGGCTGTTTATTGGTACCTTTATAATAATCTTTTTTTTGTTTTTTTTGTTTTTTTTTTTTTTGAGACGAAGTCTCACTCTGTCACCCAGGCTGGAGTGCAACAGCGCCATCTTGGCTCACTGCAACCTCCAGCTCCCAGGTTCAAGTGCTTCTCCTGTCTCAGTCTCTCAAGTGGCTGGGATTACAGGTGTGCGCCACCAGCCTGGCTAATTTTTTTTTTTTTTTTTTGTATTTTTTTAGTAGAGACGGGGTTTTGCCAGGTTGGCCAGGCTGGTCTCAAACTCCTGACCTCAGGTGATCCACCCACCTTGGTCTCCCAAAGTGCTGGGATTACAGGCGCGAGCCACCACACCAAGCCCCTTTATAATAACCTTTGCAATAAACTAATAACAGTAAAGTATTCCCCTGAGTTCTGTGAGGTGTTTTAGAAAATTATCGGACCCCAGGAGGGGGTTGTAGGAACCTTCAATTTGTTGCCAAATTGGAAAGAAGTGTGAGCAACATGGAGACCCTCTGCTTGTGATTGGCTCCCGAAGTAAGGGGGCAGTCATTTGGACCTCAGCCCTTCATCTGTGGGGTGTGCACTAACTCTAAGTAGTTAGTGTCAGAGGGAATTTAATTGGAGGGCACCCTCTGGTGTATGCAGAAAATTAGATAATTTCTTTTTGAAGAAAATTCATACATTAGGTGTTACAGTTTTGCAAGTAGAGTAACATTTTTCCATTTAGTCATTAATTATGGAGTGAAACGTATAAATTTCTTATGTTGCTTTTAAATCATTAGTTTTAACTCTGTATATGCTTGTGAATTTAACCAAATTTTAAATTATTTGAGAGAAAAAAGGTGGACTGTCAATTACTGTAGCCAGAAATCATAGCTGTTATTTTTTTAAAGGAATATGCCTGAATTGCATAAAATATGACCACTTTTCCTTGAGTCATTTTCATTTGCCTTTCAGAGACAGCAAACAGGGCTAATTTTCTTTTTGTAACACTACTCAAATATTCGCACACGGTCTGAGTTGTCTAAAACCTCTCTCTTTTTCTCCACAAAATTACCTACTGAGTACAATGTCCATTATTTGGGTAATGAATATAATTGAAACCCAAACCTCATCATTACACTATATAGCCATGTAACAAACCTATGCATGTACCCCTTGGGTCCCCTGAATTAAACTTTCTTTTTTTAAATTTTGTTTCCTACCAGTAACTTTATGAGTTTCTTCTCAGATGCTTTCACTTGCAGCCATCCGGTGCTCTGCCTGAAAACCAGGACACTAGTTTCTGCAAATATGTTAAATAAGCAGTGATCTTACCCAGGTAATATAATGGCATAGTGACTTAATAAGAGAAATTATGTTAGAAATTTTAGAAAAATGGTTGTATTGGGACAACTTTTGTTACCAATAAAATCCAGTTGTATTGGTAGTTATCTACTTCACAACCTGTGCAGCTTAAAATCTTGGTAATCCTAAAAAACCTTTATTTAGAGTGCTAATATGAAGCTCTTTAAGTTAGTTTGGAGAGTGTTTTTTTTTTAATTTTTGCAATAATGCCATTCTCTTTGCACTGATTTTTCTTCTGAACAGAGAAGTGTGCACAATTGGAAAGAGATCCACAGTAAAAAAAAAAAAAAAAAAAAAAAAAAAAATTAAAATGTGGCGATTAAGACCCCAGAGAAGCAAATATGGATTGCTGCCTACATTAAAATGTTTTTGAGAGCACAGTGGCTCACACCTGGGCTTTGGGAGGTGGGAAGATTACTTGAGCCCAAGAGTTAGTTTCAGGTTACAGTGAGCTATGATAATGCCACTGAACTCCAGCCTGAGAGACAGAGTAAAACTCTGTCTCTAAATAAAAATGAAAATAAAAATAAAATTCTTTTGGCTCAGAGCAAATCCATATGGTGTGAAATAGCAATCCATAAGTAGTATGATAGAGGAAGATGACCCTATACAACTTATAAGGAGTCCACTTATTTCTTACAACTCTGCTGATCTTGTATATACCAATGCACAGAGCAGTCGTTTACACTATGCCTTTCCCCTGTGTGATACATTCTGTTGGGACAGAAAAAAGATTTAAGTGACACACAGTCTCACCTTAACTGCATGACACAGTGCTTGGTAATTAACAAACAATCCATCTGCTCATCTCTTTTAAAGAATAATTTTCATTTCATAACAATTCAAGTGTTTATTTTTAAATCAATGATCTGAATTAGATGCTCCAGGAGGAATTGCTGAACTTCAAAATGCAACATGCTGCTAAGATAGAGATGAAACCCACCCAGTTGTCCCATAGAACTTGTATTTATGGCTTCTTTTAATAAACATAGAAACTGATCTTCCCAGTGTTAAAACTTGAGAAAGTTGCATTTGTCTTTTCTGAGTTCCTTTCTCACGAAATCACCCATCAGGGCTCCCAGATAGTATTAAGGAGCTAAAACTTACCAGATCACCACATCTGGACAATAAGAAGCCAGACCCCTCACTCACCATGATTGCCTATCCAACCACCTGTTTCCTGTTGACCAACTCCTCTTCCTTACTTCTCCCTAATTCCTGTTTTCCCATACATGGTTACATTTCTTCCCTGCTATATAAACCCCTAATTTTAGTCAAGGAGATGAATTTGAGACTGATCTCCCTTCTCCTCAGCTGCAGCACCCAATTAAAGCCTTCTTCCCTGGCAATAATTGTTATCTCTGTGATTGGCTTTCTGTGTGGTAAGCAGCAGGACTTAGACCAGCCCTCTGAGATTTTGGTAAAAGAGATAGTTTTCCTGTTTGAAATGATTTTAGCTAAAATAAGAAAGGAGAGTTCTAGAAAGTTCCTCAAACTTTCCTGTGACATCCCAGTACCTTTCCCCACCATGGACCAAATCCAAATAATCCTTGAATAACATATTTTGATGGTCAATTAGTCAATTAATATCTCGTGTGGTAGCCAAAATAATTGCTCAACTTTGTTCATGGTTCTAAGAACAAATTTCTGGCCATCCCACACATTTTGCTCAAAATGTTATTTTTATTTCTTCAACTATAGAAGTGTAAAAAATAAAACACAATGTTGGAAAAATATGTCAGTTCAATATAAATTTTTATATAAAAGTTGATCACTAAACTCTATATCAACATTCAATGGTTCATATAGTTTACTTTTGTAAAACTGCCAAATCTTATTATTTCAGACATTAAAATAACCAAAGCAGATTGAGCATTTAACCCGTTGGTGATGAATTCAGTCTGTAAACGTTCAACCTGGTGGTGTTGTCTTTAATGGTGCAACTAGTGAAGAATGCAGGTGGGAAGAAAGGTATGACCCTTGATTAATTTGCTATAATCTCTTCTCAGAACAGTATGAAGTGACTATTATCCTAATGACACATATGGGAAAAATGATTTTAAAAAATGTTGTGGTTTGCTAAATATTACTGAAATAATGATGAATGGTTAATATCCAAAGCCCCTAATTGATGATGAATCTGATCTTTATTGACTGATCTTAACTGCTTCAATTTTTGCTGGCCATTTATACCTGCATTTTTCTCATTTACATCTCCAAGAAGATTTTAAATTTGGTTTCTTGTTTCTATATTATGTTTGAGGTAACAGAGATCTAGAAAAATTCTGAAACTTGATTGCTAGCAAATGATGGGATGAATTTGAGGCCAAATCTATCAGATTTTACTCTGCTAGTATGTCACACTATATGCCACCCACAAACCAACAAGAAGGAAATGTTATTTCCTGAATATTTCCAAATGATTGCAATGTTGCGGGTTCATGATCATGGGTACATCTTTCTTAAGTGAGAAAAATATACGATTTTCTGTTTTAGAAAGAGATTATAAATATTATATACTATATTAAGGCCTACAAATCTTATTCAGATGTATTATCTTGTATTGTTATTTCTATGTTATCATATATGATAAATAAGTACTTTTATTTTATTCCTTTTGTTTTGTTCCTTTTACATTGGAAAAAGAATATTAATTAATTCAGGAACATGTTTCTGCTTAGTTTCATGGTTTTCTGGGACCAGAGGCATTCTCTACAAGGGAAGCACCAAAGCAATTAATGACTTGATAAAAACACGACTCTGCCCCATTGCCATTCATGTCAAAAAGGGACACTTGTAGTGTTAGCAATTCAAGTACATATACATACAAATTTATAAGAGCTACTATGCTTTAAGCTATCTTTAAACAATGTATGTTTTTCTCTCTACCATCACTTGGATAATGAATTCAATAATAAGTTGAGAACTAATTTGTTAAAATGGTACCTTCATTTATTTACACTGTAAGTCACTCAATTAAACTTCAAGTCTTCATAAGAGAGAAATAGGCCTTCTTTCTCTTTACTTCTGTGTAATTCCTGTAATTCTGTTTCTTCTCTTGAACTACAGTCCTATTTTTGCATACTAAGTTCTCTTACCCTCTATTTATCTCTGCCTCCTTCACAAATAGGGTCTCATTATGTGTTCTCTGAAACTTCCTTACATTTGTCATTCCATTGATGTAAACGTACTATTAGTCAATTCAACATTCAAGGTGAGTTCATAACACTGACTTACAGAAGAGCATTACAGTGTTTTTTGTATCATTCTCAATCATATCCTCATTTTTTTGCCAACATTGTACATTGAAATACTCACAATGATGCATAGATCCTTTTCCTGAGAGGTTACAATGCAGGGTGAAATAAGAATACTTTCTGGTAATATATTACATGTCACACAGTGATTTCAAAGCACTTTGTTAACAAAGAAAGATTATTATCATCAATTTAACGGAGACTGAAACACACAAGTTAAATTACTTTTTCAAAGTTGAACAGAAAGGAAGTTACTACATTATGAAGATAATTCATATTCTTGTCATTATGGTGTTTAATTCTATCTACTGGAATACACTTCCTTTCAGGCTGTCTTCTATATGACAATTTACTGCCCACTTGGCAGAGCAGAGGCTCAAATTCATGAATATGAGAATCCACATGTATGTAGGCAGCATCTGGGTTTATCTAATCGTATGGTGACATGGTTTGTCTGGTTGGAGCCAAAGTGGAACTGGTTCACTGCATCTGAAGCTGCTCACATTTTCATATGTACATAGTTTTAAAATTTGGATAAAATAATATAGTAAAAAACTAAACAAGATAAAAAATAAAAGAACAAGCACACATTTCATTAACTGAAAATCAACCCTGAACTAATTTTGGTATTACTCTTTTTTTTAATCATGTGTATATGCACATAGGTGTGCATTTTAAGAATTAGGATTATAATTTATATATCTGTATCTTTAAAATTTTTCACATAATATTATTTCTGAGTATTTAAACATTAATGAGCACTTTTCACAGTATTTTAATGAGTCACTTTTAATGGGCTCTTAATTTCTTATATATGTATAAGTATACATGCATATTTATACATAATTTATTTAAATAGTCCACTATTATTGACCATTTCTGTTGGGATTTACTATTTATTTTAAAAACCTTAAAATTTGTTATGTGTTTGTCAAATTATCAATTTCTTCCTTCTGGACTTGCCATTTTTTATATTGTTTAGAAATATCATATGCTACCTTGAGGTAACTGAGATACCCTATATTTTTTCTAAAAAATGTGTTTGCATTTATTTTTAATAATATATTTTTAAATTTTGAATTATACAATAAATTGTTGTTATATACAATAAATTATTATTAGCTATTGTTGTCCAATTGTGCTACTGGACACTAGATCTTATTTTTTCTCATGCAGGATTTTTCTCAGTTACTTTGCCAGCTGGGACCTCTGGCTGGCAATACCCCTGCCCAGGCCTCACTTGGGCATGCTCACCTGCTGCAGGAGGTGCCCCACCCACTCAGCCTGCCCAGGCCAAGACTGGCTTGCACACCAACTCAGCCCGTGGCTAGGCCTGGTGTGCCCCAGTCTGCCTGTGCTATAGCTTATACCCACATTTGGTGATTCCCAAGCTCTTGTTTTGCATCCAAGAAGAATGAGGATACACTGACAATTGAAGGGTAAGGAGGGCAGAGAAGAATTTTATTGAGTGACAGAGCACCTCTCAGCAGAGAGGGGATGCAGGGTTAGTCCCCCATCCCTGCGGTTCAGTGATTTCTCTTCCTGTGTGGCTGAGTCTGGGGCTTTTATGGGCTCGGGATAGGGAAGTGCATGCTGATTGGTTTGTGAGTGTGCAAAGAAAGGCTAAAGCAAAGGCATCTCTGAAAGATGGGCACAGCAGCATAGAAAAGCAATTAGAAAAGGGTAGGTATGGCCGGGTGCGGTGGCTCACGCCTGTAATCCCAGCATTTTGGGAGGCCAAGGTGGGCGGATCATGGAGGTCAGGAGATCAAGACCATCCTGGCTAACATGGTGAAACCCTTTCTCTACTAAAAAATGGAAAAAATTAGCTGGGCATGGTGGCGGGCACCTGTAGTCTCAGCTACTCGGGAGGCTGAGGCAGGAGAATGGCATGAACCTGGGAGGCAGAGCTTGCAGTGAGCCAAGATAGTGCCACTGCACTCCAGCCTGGGCCACAGAGTGAGACTCTGTCTCAAAAAAAAAAAAAAAAAAAGAAAAGGGTAGGCATATGTAAAATATGTGAAGGGTGGGGATCAGTTAGAGGAAAGCACACCAAATTGGAAGACAGGTACTCAATCTAGTCCATGGAATTGATTTGAAGCTTGGCTTTCAAGCTTCAAACTGTCTCTGGCTTGGAGGTTGGGTTTCATTGGGGACTTACCCCTATCTGCCTAGGCATTTGTCTACCTCCTGCCACTGTCACTTCTATCTTACTATGTTTGTACCTATTAACTAATACTTCTATAACCCCCCTAATGCCCCCCACTACACTTCTCAACCTCTGGTAACCACCATTTATAATGGTGGTAATTATAATAATTTTTTTTTTAGCTCCCACATATGAGTGAGAACATGTGATATTTGTCTTTCTGTTCCTGACTTATTGCACTTAGCATAATGTCTTCCAGTGCCATCCATTCTTTTTTAATGGCAGAATAATATTACATTGTGCATATATGCTACATACATTTTCTTTATCCATTCATCCATTGATGGATACATAGAATGATTCCATATCTTGGCTATTGTGACTAGCACTACACTAAACATGGAAGTGCAAATATTTCTTTGATATACTGATTTTCATACTTTGGATATATACTCAGCAATGGGATTGCTGGATCATCTGTTAGTTATATTTTTATATTTTTAAGAAACATCCATATTATGTAACATAATGGCTGTACTAATTTACATTTCCACCAACAGTGTATGAGAGTTCCTGTTTCTCCTCATCCACACCAAAATTTGCTATCTTCTGTCTTTTTGTTGATAGCCACTCTAACTGGGGTATGATGATATTTTACTGTGGTTTTGATTTACATTTCCATGATAATTGATGATTTTGAGCAAGTTTTTCATATACGTGTTAGCTATTGGTGTGTCTTCTTTTGAGAAATGGCCAATCAGGTTTTTTTGTCCATTTTTAAATTACATTATTTGTTTTTATTGCTATTGGGTTGTTTGATTTCATTATATATTCTGGTTGTTAATCCTTGTTAGCTGAATAGTTTGAAAATATTTTCTCCCATTCTGCAGGCTGCCTCTTTACTTTCTTGATTGGTTTCTCTGCTGTGTAGAAGCTTTTTAGCTTCATGTGATTCCATTTTTAAATTTTGGCTTTGGTTGACTGTGCTTTTGAAGACTTACTCAAGAAATCTTTGCCCAAATCAATGTCCTGAAGCATTTCCCCAATTTTTAAAAGTAGTTTCATAGTTTCAAGTTTTACAGTTAAATCTTTAATCCATTTTAATTTGACTTTTTGTAGGGTGAGAAATAGGGTTCTAGTTTCATTCTTCTACATATGGATATCCAGTTTTCCTAGCATCATTTATTGAAGACTGTCCTTTCTTCAGTGTATGTTCTTGGTGACATGGTGAAAAATGAATTGACTGTAAATGTGTGGATGGATTTCTGTCTATTCTGTTCCTTTGGTTTATATGTTTTTATGCAAGTATCATGCTGTTTTGGTTATTATGGCTCTTTGTAGTAGAATTTAAGTCAGGGAATGTAACTTAAGCTTTTATCCTTTTTTCTCAGGATTGCTTTTTTGGTTTCATATGTATTTTAGGATTTTTTTCTATTTCTGTGAAGAATGTTATTGGTAGTTTGACATGGATTTTATTAAATCTGTAAATTGCTTTGGATAGTACAGATATTTTAGCAATATTTCTTCTTCATAAGATTTACTCCATTTGAAATTTATTTTTATTGTTGTAGAGTTACATCAAACCAAACTACTAGCACTGGGAGCCAGATATTAATATATTTTTAAAAACTTTCCCAGTTGATTCTAATATTCAAGGAGCATAGAGTATGAGTGCTTCATATAAATAATAAAATTGAAAGTTAGTTATATAAATATAAAAGGTAGTGACTTTTTTGTCAAAATATTATTGTTATTAGCATATACATTTTTCTCTGTTGTATAATTTTTTGGCTAAAACCTGCAAGTTTTATTACTTAATGATTTCAGTATATTTTATGCAAAACTTTT
Source organism: Homo sapiens (assembly GCF_000001405.40). Classification (NCBI taxonomy): domain Eukaryota; kingdom Metazoa; phylum Chordata; class Mammalia; order Primates; family Hominidae; genus Homo; species Homo sapiens. The sequence goes on along the minus strand of NC_000018.10, from coordinate 39,153,701 downwards.
AGGTTTCCATTTTTAATTTTCTCATTGACAAAGTGTTGTTTATGAGAAGTCCCCCATTTCCTAATGATAGGTCCTTTTTGAAATTAATTTCTCATTATGTAATAGATTTTTTATTTTATTGCATCAAGAACAGAATCAATGGTCTTCATTATTTTAACACATTGGATTTTATTATTATTTTATTGTAATCTAATATTTGATAGGATTTTGAGAATGTTCTTTTGTCATTTGAAGGAGTGGTGTGTTCTTTAATATGATGGTTTAGTATTTAGTATACACATTGACCAAATACATCTTATTTACTGTGTCATTTAAGGCTTCTATAACCTTAGTTGAATTTTGTCCAGTTGATATGTCCTGGATTGAAAAAAAAAATCTTACTTTGTTTTTTTTATGTGATTTGTTTTGTTTCCTTTTCTTTATGAAAGTTTCTGCTTTGCTATGTGCTGTATTCATATTAATAAATGTGATAAACGAAAAATTATACCTTCATCTCATTTTCTGTGTTTTTGTCTGTATTCTACTTTCTCTAATTTGAAAAACATAATTTCTTTTTTTTCTTTTTCTTTTTATTTACCTAGTAGAACTTTTGTCATATCTATCTACACTTTTAAATTCTTTATTATTTTTGTTGCTTAACAATTTTACTTTAGGGATACTTTTTGTTCTATGAAATAGATTGAGATTTCGTTTTGTGATCCAATCAGTAAGGAGTTATGTGAGATTATCTATAGATAGATATGAAAAAAGTTGTGTTCTTTTCTATCATGTGTATTGTTTTAAAATATATTAAAGTCTTTTACTACAAATTTTTTTGTTCCTCAGTTATTCTGAAATTCAGAAAGTTTTTTTTAGGCTACTGGTCATCTTCATATAATGTCCTTAGCTTCTATTTTTTTAGGTAGTATCCTTTTGTTTCTTAGAATGAACAACCTGAAATGAGCTTTTATCCTATTTTTAATGCTTCCTACTTTCCTTCCCAATCCATTCTATAAATCATCTTTTTTAGTATTTTCCTTTGTATTTTTAAATATGCTTTAAAGTCTAATACTTATTTTATTAGTTTCTAGTGGGGTCTTTGAGTTTTGCTTATTATAAATGAGGCAATGAAAAGGCTTATTCCACTTTTCATCTTTTAAACTTCTTCCCCCATTTTTGTTAGCTGTGTCATTTCTACATTCATAAATAGCTGGCATTCAAAATTGTATTCTATCACTCCTTTTTCCATCTAAGTTTTTGTTTTGATGTGGCAGTTATTTTGCATTCACCTTCCAGGAATCTCTGGAAACTCTGAGCAATATTTCTTCATTTATTTTATGTTCAGAACAATAGGCTTTATCCTTGAGAAAGAGTTTATTGGGACATAAAAATATGGGGCCGCCCATTACCCTCCTACAGTACTTGTGGGCAGTATTCATGACCTCTGCATTGATTATTACTGTAGAGAAGTCAGACACATTCGTGAATGTTTTCCTTGGGAAGGTCTTGATCTTTTTGTGTGTATAGTTGCCTAAAGAATACATTCTTTATATCTGAAGTCCAATTGATGTAGGAGATCAGCATTTATTATTTTCCAGTTATGACAGGATGAAATAAAAGAAAAATGGGCAAAACCAGTAAATGGTGCTGAAGGCATACTATATTAGCCTTTTATACTCATCCGCCTAAGAAACTCCCACTAGTGCCATGACAGTTTATGAATGCGATGGCAACATCTATTAGTTACCACGCCTTTTCTAGAGATTTCAGAATAAACCAACTCTTAATTTGTGTATAATTAAAAGTGGATATAAATATAGCTAACCAACAGCCTGTATGCTGCTACTCTAGGTGCACTTTCCATGCTCCCTGCTCTGCATGGAGTAGCTACTCTGCTGTACACTGCCCCTTCAAAAAACCTACATTCATCCACTGCTGGATCACTCTTAAATCCTTTCCTGAGCAAAGCCAAGGATCCTCCCATGCTAAGCCCAAATTTTGGGGCTTTCCTGTCCTGCATCATCTGGTGCCCGACATGGAGTCAACAAGAAAGCAAGAAGTGAGAGAGCAGGTGAGGCAGTGATCTGGCAATCAGTAAGATGGCAATAGATGATGAGGTGGCAGTTGAAGCTACAGAGCTGTAACCTGAACACTAATACTAAAGAGCTGCCAACACTGCAGAGATGTGTATTAACCAAAGACTCTTTCCAGGGCCATCTTATTTCCTGGCAGAATGGCAGAACTGAGCAAATAAGCAAGTGGCTGCAGTGCTGCCACTTCATGTGGGACCCACTGCTCTTGCTGGCAGGTCAGTCATCTATGCATTGATCCCCTTATGACAGATGAGCCCACCCATATCAAGGAAACCCAGGGGAGACCTTTACCAGGGCCCCAAGTTGGAGACTAGTCAGTGTCATTTTGACTCCTGCAGACAGGTGAGTGTTCCCCCTGCCCTGCCTTTGATATTGAAGGAAATCACCTACACCCCAGACTGCTGGTTTGCTTAAGTCCATTTTTTTTTTCTGGGGTTTCCAGATTCCCAACTTGACAGATGACTCCCTGCAGCAACAGACAAGTGGTCACCTAAACATTTTGGTGTCTCCACTTCTGCGTGAGTTCTCTGTTGGCTTGGGAACTCCAGGGCACCCTTTGTGCAATTCTATTTACCCCTTCCTTCTCTTCTTTCATTAAAAAAACATGAGATAAAAGAAGATTTGAAATCAAAATTACCATGAAAACTACCTTACACAAGTTCTGGTCTGTAGCTTTCCCTGGATTACTTATCAAGGCAAACAAAGTTTAGCCTTGTAGACAGGTCTTAATCTTGTGAAAAATAATTTGAAATCCATCTATTTTTTATAAAGTGGTGAATTTATATTGCCATCTTATGACTAGAATTCTGAGGTAGATGCTATTGGACCTTTGTGTATATGTATACACATTTAGATATTTTTGTGTGTATGTACGTGTATTATGTGTTGTGTCTAGCATGCTATCAAATTGGCTTATAAGTAAGTGAATACTTATAAGTTAAGTAAGTTCATATGCTTTTCAAGTTTACATGAATCTTGGATAAATAAAATTGATTTTAAAATTATTGATAAAAATAGAAATGTCTTCAGAATTACACAAATAAGGCTAATTTAAGATTGTTGGCTCAATAAAGACAGCTGAGTCTTCTGAGTTATTGACAAAATAGTCATATGTTCAACTTTAAGAGTTGTACCTAGCAGTTTACCTAATGTTTAGACTTTAAAAATCATTAACTAGGATATAACTTTCAGTGATTATTAGCTTTGTCTAATATTGCATTTTTTCATAAACAATTTCAGTAAACTCCTAAAAATTAATAATGATGAATTAGGTAAATGAAATGAGATAAACACTTATAGATGAACTCTTTGTGTAATTTAAAATTTTTAAATTGTTTTGGATGCTTACTGGGTGTCTGGCTCATTGACACTTGAGAGGATTTTTATATGGGAAAGCTTCTTTTTTTAATTGTTAAATGTTTCTTGTCTACAAAATACTAACATCTAAAAGACAATTTAGAATTTCTCGTTTGCTTGGTTCATATAAAATGTGCCAAAGACAATGTGTTTTTATTGAGAAAAAGAACAATTTTGTCAAATTCAACTTTTATCAAAGGTTGTTTAAATTATGGACTTTAAAAGGTTAATTATCAAACCAGGCAGAGTAGGGGAGAGAAATGTGAAATTTCTGTGAAGAAATGTGAAGTAGGGAAGAGAAATTTTGTGGATATAAAGATGTATTTTTGGTAAGGAAAGATACAAAGAAAAGAGTAATTTTATATAAGAAAGAATTTTCTTTGATGACATAGCTTTGCTGTATTCCCACTCAAATCACACCTTGAATTGTAGTTCCCATAATCCGCATGTGTTGTGGGAGGGACCTGAAGGGAGGTAATTGAATCATGGTGGTGGTTGCCCTCATGCTGTTCTCGTGATAGTGAGTGAATTCTCACAAGAGCTGATGGTTTTATAAGGCACTTTTCTCCCTTTTGTTCATTCTGCTTCTCCTTGCTGCTGCCTTGTGAGAAAGGATGTGTTTGCTTCCCTTTCTACAATGATTGTAAGTTTCCTGAGGCTTTCCCAGCCATGCCAAACTGTGAGTCAATTAAATCTCTTTCCTTTATAAATTACCAAATCTTCAAAAGTTCTTTACAGCAGCATGAGAATGGACTAATACATATGGGAAGTTATTTTCCTAAAGTAAAACGACTGGTTATTAAGAGATAGTATAGGACAAGTCAGAAAGTCCAAGCATGTCATAGATAACCCGTGTAAGTTGTGATAATGTTTGTAAAGGGCAATTTGTGAAGAAATTTTGCATATGATTAAGTTGACTGAAATTAAAAGGGAATTGTTTATGTTTATAATAGTCTTTGTAAAGATTGGTCTCCTATGTTAAAACAAGTTTTCTCAACTTATTGAGAAAGCCTGAGATGATAGCTCTCTATTTCAGCTTTTTCATCAGCTCCTGAAATTTTTTTCTGCTACGATTCTAACTATTGTTATGGCCTGATGCTGAAATATTTTATCTTAGAGGTCTATAAAAGCAATCTTTTTCTCCAATGTAGCTTGATTCTATATTCTTGGTTATTTGAGATGTGTACCTTTATTTTTGCATTTTGAGTTTTGACTCTCATATTGCTTAAAAAAGGTTTTAAGGGCTAATGAGTGCCTTCCCACCCCCATTCTCATAAGGCCTGGAAAATTTAATTGGCTATAAGAAACCTGAAGAACTAACTTAAGACAATACAAGAAATAGGGAGTCAGACATGCTTCACTATGCCCCCCATTTTGGAATTCAGGCCAGGTTCAAAAGGCCCTTTGAAAAGATGAGATGAAACATTACCTCCTCCCACAAGGGAAAGAATCAATTCCCCCATTCATCCAGGGAATTAGGCTTACTATAAACTTGGAAAGAAGTATCCCCTGAGGATTAATTTCAACCAAAATGGGAAGGCCCTCATCAGATATTATTAAATACTTCCACTACTGTTTAACTTCTGGGGATCACTAAATGGGCACACTTGTCCAGAATACTTCCATCTGTAGATAGGTGGAAGACCTCCACACCTATTTAAGATAATTAACATTCAGTCAGAAATGGTAACATGATGCTGTAAGTAGGCATAAAAGCATACATTTTTCTGTTCTTTCTAATTGTAATTTTTCTATTCCACTGTTCTAGACAGTTTTTCCCAGGTAAAGACCTCTTTTATACCTGCTGTTGGAATTCAGTAAATGGATTTCTAGTCAGTCTCTTGTTTTTTACCTTTTCTAGGACCTTTAACAAGCTATCTTGTTAGTATTAATCATTAGCTCTTGCTTATTTAAACTCTTAGTAAAATTTGTATTATCTACATTACAACAATTCAATGCAAAGACACTGCTGGCAGAATGCTTCCAATGTATCCCATTTTCTGACCTGGAAAACAGACATCCTGCCTTTGGGTCCCTTAGATCACTTATCCAGAGGTTTATACTCCTCCAATGCTGGGCTGGACCTACCCTCATAAAATCATCAGGAAGCAGTTAGAGAAGACAGACCTTTGCCCTTCTACAACCCTTTAAGATTAAAGAGGAGTATATAATCTCTGAGGGGAGAATGAGGTAGGAGACTGTCAGGACTTATTTCCTGTTCTTAACAGGACGAAAGGAAGAAACTGACTGAAACCAACAAATGGTGCCAAAGGCATCCTCTAGTTGCCCTCATTGATCATCAGCATAAGATCCTGTCACCAGCACCATGACAGTTTACCAATGCCATGGCAACACCTGGAAGTTACCATCTCTTTTCCAGAGATTTCTAAATACCTTGCCCATTAATTTCCATATAGTTAAAAGTGGGTATACATACAGCTAGCCAATAGCCCATACACAGGGTGCACTGCCTGTGAGTTAGCACTTCTCTGCAAGGAGCAGCCACTCTGCTGTACACTGCCACTTCAATAAACCTGCTTTCTTCTACCATCAGCTTGCTTTTGTATTCTTTCTTGAGCAAACCCAAGAACCTTCCTGGGCCAAGCCCCAACTTTGGGGCTGGCCTGCTTTGCATTGCAATAACTATTTTTACATATTTAAATTTACATTTACATTAACTTGTTATTATGAAGCATTCTGAGCCAACTTTGCTTTGCATATTGCATGAATGTCTAATTTTTAGATGCAAGGCTTCTTTCATTTCAGGAAAGATTTCTTAAATTATATATTTAAGTATTTTATTTTGCTTTATTATTTTGATTTCAGTTGCATATTCCTGTTAGGGAAACATGGTATGTTATTTTCCTTACTCTTCTTTTTTTTTTTTCTTTTTTTGAGATGGTGTTTTGCTCTTGTCACCCAGGCTGGAGTGCAATGGCACAATCTCGGCTCACTGCAACTTCTTCCTCCTGGGATCAAGTGATTCTCCTCCCTCAGCCTCTTGAGATTACAGGCATGCACCACCATGCCCAGCTAATTTTTGTATTTTTAGTGGAGATGGGGTTTCACCATGTTGGCCAAGCTGGTCTCGAACTCCTGACCTCAGGTGATCCACCTGCCTCTGCCTCCCAAAGTGCTAGGATTACAGGCGTGAGCCACCATGCCCGGCCTAATCTTCATTTTTTCTTACTCTTTTGACCTTTATCTCTCTTTTAGCTTGTTTTTCTGTCTCAATTCTATTCTTTGTAGCTTATAATGCAATATCTGTGGGATCTATTTTCCTTTGCACTCATGTTAGTTTAGTATTCATTTCTCAAATTGCTTTTTTCCCTCCTCTATTTCTTACTTTAGTTCTATAAGTTTTCCTTTCACCCTTTCATTTGGCCTGGATACTGCCTCTTGTTTTCTGGTATTTCTATTCCTGATTTCCTGTTTTGGTGTTTGGCCTTCTTTCATAGCTGGAATTACTTCATGTACTTCAAAAATTAATATATAAAATTATTGCTAGAAATTTAATTTGTGTACACTGCACACACACACGCGCACACACACACACACACACACTGAGTGGCTACATTGTCTCCTAATTTCACTTCTCTTTTCTTTGTATCTTCTGATGGTTACTGTCTTTACTCATTTTTTTGGTATTACATATATGTAAATGATATGAGTTTTTGTTCAGTTTTTGCAGAAACATCAAAGGCAGATGATTCCTATGGAAAATGACGAGAAATCAAAGAAGGGGTCAAATTTATATCTTCAATGTTGTCCTCCCCTGTAGATACAGGGATGGATACTTCCTTAAAAATATGGTCCCCAGGTTGTAATCTCACTTAAGTACATTCTTTCTCCACCAACATTCACCTGACTCCTTTCCTTCACTGGCTATTGCATCAAAGAATAAAACCTTTCCTTCCTTCTCTCAGTCTTTGGCCTCTCTTAATTTTTTTTCTAATTCTAGCTCCTCTCGTCATTCATGCTCTGTTCAATCTTGAGCCTGATCACAGAAGTGCCAGTCAAGGTGAGGCGTGGACCTTTGGGTAGCAGTTACTGGCTTGTCCATTCTAAGATCTCTTACCTCCCCACCTCCACCCCACTGTGGCACCTTCCTTTCTTCCTTTCTTGTTGCCCAGCTGTAGTCTTGTGCCTTGATTCCACTGTTTTTGGTTCTTTCTGGCCCACATACATACAATTAGAGGAACATGGTTCTTTTTGTTTGTTTGTTTGATTTTTGTACTTTTTTGTCATCCAACTTTAACCTAGGTTAAAAGTGTGTCTGTCTTTGTATGTATGCACTTGCCTGTCCTTCTTGTAGCACTGCATGGCTTTAGGACACTAAATAGAAACCTTCAGAATTAAGCTGACTTTATTCCTAGTATACCCTCTCCCTTTTTTTTTTTTTGAGACAGAATTTTGCTCTGTCACCTGGGCTGGAGTTCAGTGGCATGATAGCTCACTGAAACCTCTGCATCCCATGTTCAAGTAATTCTCGTGTCTCAACCTCCCAATTAGCTGGGATTACAAGCACATACCAACACACTTGGCTAATGTTTGTACTTTTAGTAGAGACAGGGTTTCACTATGTTGTCCAGGCTGGTCTCAAACTTCTGGCTTCAAGTGATGCACCCTCCTTGGCCTCCCAAAGTGTTGGGATTACAGGCGTGAGCCACCACACACGGCCCTTAGTATAGCCTCTATTTAAAAAAAGAAATCTTCATATATAGGGTAAAATTGAACACATAATTACCTTATTAAATATCTATGCACTGTGAAGAATTAAATGTGAAGTAAGGCTTAGATATGCACGAAAGAGGTGTGTCTTTCAGGTGTGTCTTAAACTGTGGAAGGTTGAACCTTAGTAACCCTGGACCATGATTTTTAGTGAGGTGAAGTTAATTGGGTGTGCTTCTTTGATTTTTACATTTAAGAAAACATCTACCTTCTAAACTTATAAAAATTCTATAAGTAGGTATATATTTTTCTGGTAAAGTGAAATAATTCTGTAAAAAAATGGAGCATTGATTTTGAAAAGAGGGAGTTTTAAGATAAAATCTGATCATGAATATAAGAAGGATGATTCATCTTAGGTTCAGTTGCCACAATGTCTTATATTAGCACAAATTATTTTTCAACTGCAGTCAAACATACTAGACATACACACCAAATGGAAGAAGTAATATGCTGAAATTTCTCACATAAAGACATGCTGAGTTTCTTTGTTGTGTTTTGTCATCTTAAGTTGGATGACAACTAATTATCAATGAAAATTTTCAAAGTCCTCAACATATGGGAGGTAATAGAATTTTACAAAATTTTTCTGCAGCTTGAAAGAAAATAGAGTCATTCTGCAGGGAAGCTACTTAGCTTCTTTCAAAGTTTATTCAAAACCTTAAGGTTACCATTGAAATTAATCAAATGAAACTTAAATATTACAATGAAATGTACTTACATTAGTAACATCAGAAAAATGGATTGTTACATTCCACATGAAGGCAAGACTCACAATGGAGCAATTGTGCTATTGACCTTAAAATGTTTGTTATGTGGTCAAGCTATTTATACAATTTTATAAGCAGAAAGTTTCAAAACAGAATTAAATATGTAAATGCAACTGTATTGGTGAGCTACTAGAAAGGCAGGGAGGGATGTGGGAAATATTTTCATTCTGCTTGGAAGAGAGTAAAGCTATGAATGTTTACATCTTACTTTGCTTTTGTTTGGTATGTACATGCTGGAAACTCAAGAAGAACTCATAGTTAAAAAATTTTGACACATTAGGAGAAAAAATTAGATATTTGGATATATTTTTATTTTATTATGAAAAACCTAGGCAAAAATTAGCCAACATTGATACTGAAACTGATAGCTATGGCAGAAACACACACTCTAAACAACACACACACACAAACACACACACATGTATACAAAGATGATGGCTCCTCCAGAAGCTGTTGCCAACTTTATTTTCCCAAGAAGATGGGGAAAATATCATGAGTTTTTGGCTTCTTCCTCTATCCTCATCTAAATCCAACCTTGCAATCCTACAGAAGGAATTTGGAGATTTTCAGATCTGTGAAAGTAAATACGAAGTCTCTGAAATCTCTGTGTAAGAATAAAATGGTTGGTTGCCAGTGAGAGATGGAGGGAAGGGAGCTGAAAAATGTGCACTCCATAATCAAGGACTTCTAGCTAAAGAATAAGAAAAGTAAGATCTTTACATTTGTGTTATTTCTTGCCCCCAAATTGCCATTAGTGTATCACTACTCACCCCAATATTCTAGAATCAGTTGCATCAACTTAGAACAGGCCAGGGAAATCCTTAAGGACTAGTTACATTAGGGCAGAGATTTCAACAGATTCAGAGAAAGACTCTAGTTCCAGAGAGTTGTCTTGTCCCCGGAACAGACACGTTATGGTCCAAGGCAGGTTTCTTTGTTTCATTTTGTTTGTAAGATGAGCACCTCTAACTTATTAAGGGCAGCATTATCTGATATGTGTTGGTGAAAGTGGTTGGAGAGAGCTGGCGAATGGGCAGCACTGAGGCACAAACCCTAATACCAGCCAATTTAGTTGATAGCCTCAGGAAAACAGGTCAAGACAACTAAAAGGTTATGACTGCTAGATAAAGACAGGAAACTAAGTAAGCTATGTGTTATGGCAAAGAATTAATGGGATTAATAAACAAAAACCTGAATAGACTTTATCCACAGGAAGATATAGAAAGATATTGGAAATATAACTTAGGCCAAACAGCTAGGCATAAAGAAGAGTCTATTGGAGATGCTGGGTGTCTATAAAATTTAAAAACAAGGCCAAAATGTAATAAAATAAAACTAAGAGAAGCTTAAAGCATTGAATGAACCCTGCCAAGAAATCAACTTGATGTATTTAGTGAGAGAAAATAAAAGCATAGTGAAATATTGCATATTTTGAAATGAAGCAGAAATAAGTTGTAATATTAGAGTAATGCTTATGAATAAAAATAGGCTCTACTCACCAAATAAAATCTAGAGACATAGGTTTGCATAAAAAGGAAGAATCTGTAAGATTGGTAGTTCATAAGAAGCACTTCAAATAAAAATAATACAGAAAGCTTGAAAATGACAGATTGGAAAAAATATAACAAGCTAACAACACAAAAAATGCAGCAATTTTATGTTAAACAATACAAATTTTTGATAGAAAATATAAATATGAATGGCTATTCTATATTAACAAAGTAAATAATATAATGAAGATATAATTAACATAATCATCATTAGCATATAAATACATAACAAAATAACTTAAAAACCAAAAAACTGACAGCACTAAAGAGGAAATAGACAAATCAGCAATTCTTGCTTGATATTTTGTCATAAACTTTTCAGAATCTGAGGAATTAAACAGAGAAAAAGTAATAAACATTGATTATTGAAATAACATGATTAAGAAGAACAAATATTCTACATATTTGTTGGACATAAAGTAATAAATATTTCTAAATAGTGTATTCACAGTAATGTTTATACATACATAAAATTTTTGTCCAACAAAGGCAACAGTCATAATTTCCAAGAATACATGGAGCATTCGTGAACAGTAACTGTGTCTTGACCTACAAATGAAACATCAAAAATTCCAAAAAAATAAAATAGTTTTTCACATATATTCTCTGATGAGCATACAATTGCCTTATTAATTAGTAGGCATAGTCTAGCATTAAAAGTGTATATAAATTTAAGTTGAAATTTTACTACTAAACTTTTGAGTTAAAGAGCAATCTAATTCCAAAAGAAACTATAAAGATCTTACAGAAAATTGACTTATAATAACTAACAGTTTTATATATATATATACACACACATACATATATGTATATATACATACATATATATACACACATACATATATATACATATATATGTGTATATATATATGTATATATATGTGTATATATATATGTGTGTGTGTGTGTATATATATATATATTTGAAATGGAGTCTCACTCTGTCGCCAGGCTACAGAGCAGTGACATGAACTTGGCTTATTGCAACCTCTGCCTCTCAGGTTCAAGCAATTCTCCTGCCTCAGCCTCCCAAGTAGCTGGGACTACAGGCATGCGCCACCACGCCCTACTAATTTTTGTATTTTTAGTAGAGACAGGGTTTCACCATGTTGGCCAGGATGGTCTCAATCTCTTGACCTTGTGATTTGTCTGCCTTGGCCTCCCAAAGTGCTGGGATTACAGGCGTGAGCCACTGCACCCAGCCTAAAATCTATTAAACACAGCTAAACCAGTGGTACTCAGAGAAAAATTCATATTTAGCTATAAAAAATACCAAGAAAAAATCCAGAAAGACAGAAACTAAATAAAACATAATTAAAAGATAACAAAAGAAATCATAAAGACAAGGGCAGACCTCAAAAGGATAAAAATTTCAAGATTATGAAAAGCCAAACTGGTTGGGGTTTGGGTTCCCTTTAAGACTATCCTTTCAGCCATCATTTAGTGAATTCAGTGGATGTGATAGAGTAAAAAGATAAATAATAGATTGCAAAGAGATATTTCCAATGCCTAAACTCCATAAGGAATTAATATTTAAAAATATAATAAATAGCTCAAAAAATTAGAAAAAATCGGAAAGCAAATAAAGGACAAAATATCTGAATAGGTAATTACTACTAAAGTGATCAAGAGTGCTGGAACAGAAAAGTATTTCTCACTAATAATCATATAAGTACACATTAGAACAATGTGATACATTTTGACAAACTTCAGATTGTTGAAAATTAGTTACTCACATAATACTTTGGCTAACTTGTGAGAGAAAGGAAATTTCACGTGTTGCTAGTAAGAGTGTAATGTGATACTTCCATTTAAGTGAGCAAACTAGCCATGTTTAGTGAAAATGGTTGTGCATACCCTATCTCTTTTCTTGTGGAAATATGCTGTAGAGAATCCCCTGCAAAGGAACTATGTATGAATTTGTTTATCACAGCACTATTTGTGGTTGCAGAGAGTTGGTTACAACTGAAGTGACAATTACAGGAGCTGGGAATATTGTTACTGACAGAGAATCCATATGAGTCTGTAGCAACCTCAATTCTTGCCTCCTCAGAAGAAATAATTTGACTGACGGGCATAAGGCAGAGCGAGATACTGAGGCAATTTTAGAGCAGTAGTGAAAGTTTATTAAAAAGCTTTAGAGTAGGAATGAAAGGAAGTAAAGTACACTTGGAAGCAGGCCAAGTGGGCAACTTAAGAGATCAGGTGCCCTGTTTGATCTTTGACCCTGTTTTATATGTTGGCATACTTCTGGGGTCTTGTCTCCCTTCTCCCTAATTCTTCTCTTGGCATGGGCTGTCCACATACACAGTGACTGGCTAGCACTTGGGAGGTGAGCATGCACGGTGTATTTACTGGAGTTGTACATGCTCATTTGAGGTGTTCTTCCCTTACCAAATGTCCCTAGAAGGTCATATACCAGTTAAAATGTGCCATTTTGCCTCTTAGTGAACATGCCTGAACCCACTCACTCAACTCCTGAGATCTTGTCAGGAAACTGCTGATCACCAGTTTCAGGTTTTTGTCTGTTAGGAGACTGCCTTTCCCTGGATCTGGCTGGGACAAATTATTCTTTTAGTGAGACAGTTTACAACCACCTCAACATCACCTGATGGTCGCCTGACATTCCTTGTGGGGTGGGGGAGCCCTCTCCTGCCCTGCTCATGCTGACCTACTGTAACAGTATGAGTGACATTAGATATGTGTACGTGTGCATGTGTGTGTAGAATCTGTGAAAGGAAAATAAACCTCGGGACCCCCAAATCACTAAGCCAAAGGGAAAAGTCAAGCTGGGAACTGCATCAAGTAAACCTGTCTCTCAGTATATTCCTAAATAAGATAGCTACAAATATTTTTATTTATTTATTTATTTTTAATAAAAAGCTACATACCTCCCTCACAATTTGCCCACTAGGAAATTCCCTGTGGGCCCCAAGATCTTTATTCTAAAACGGTTCTGTTGAATGTCACCATGGCAGTATATATCGATAGCTTATCTTCACAGATGCCAGAAAAAGGACAGAACTCTAAGTCATCCCTCGGCTCACCTGAGACAAATGCATATCTGATTGTTTCCTCTGATGTAAAAATGCAGATTCACTGAGCTAGAGGAAGGCATAAGTCACAATTCCTCTACTCGTCTTTTACGTGTAAATTATGTATTTGGTGAAAGGCTGATCAGAGACTCAAAAGATTCAACCGTTTGTCTATTTACCCACACCTTTGTAGAATTTCTTCCTCTTTCCCCAATATCCACTCTTTCCCTTTTAAATATTGAAGCTCTCAAAATCATATTTGAAGAAGGCACAGAACTACTTGTATGCATGTCCTTATGCTTGGCAAAACAAACTTTCTAAATTGATTGAGACTTGTCTCAGATATGTTTTGGTCCACAAATCCATGCGTGTAATGAAATACTAAATGTATTAGTATGTTAGGGATGCTGTAACAAAATCCCAGAGGCTGAGTGACTTAAACAACTGAAATTTATTTTCTCACCATTCTGAAGGCTGGAAGTCCAAGATCAAGGTGTCATCAGGGATAGCTTCCCTGAGCCCTTTCTCCTTGGATGACAGGCTCTCTTGTTTATCTTCACATGGTCTTTTCCCTGTGCACACCTGCCTCCAATGTCTCTTCTTCTTCTTATAATCCATCAGTCATATTGAATTTGGGTTTCATTTTAACTCAACCATCTCTTTAAAGACCTTATCTTCACATACAGTTACATTCCCAGGTACTGGAGAGTTGTAATTTCAACAAATAAATTTTAGGGAGACACAATTCGGCCCATAACATAAAGCACTTAAAATTAGAAGCTCCAAAGTATGTCTGGCAACCCAGATAGAATTTGAAAACTGTCGAGTGAAAAAATATAAGAAATATTCTACCTACAGCTCAACAATTTTTTTTGGTAATTTACAAACACATAGACAATAAATAATTACCATATGTTGTAGAAGAAGGCATACATATATAAAAGATATTTGACATGAAAGTTGGAGCCAATGAGAATGATAGAATAGAATTGAAATTTGGGTAAAAAGAGAATAAACACTAAAAGAAATGGCCTTGTATGGACTGATGATGATTGCATCCTATAAACTGAGGAGTTTGATAAAATCAGATTTCAAAATTGAGGTAAAGATTTTTAAAGCTGATAATAAAGTGTTTGCCGATAGCTATGTTGCATGGACTTACATTACATTTACATTTGAAGGCATTTGTAAATGTTTAGTGGGCACTGTCATTGCCACTATTAATTTTATTGCTGCAGTGTCATTAAACTACATAATAATTATTGGGTTTATACAGAGGGGACACAAACAGGTAGAAGGACATTAGTTTTAAAAAAGAGTGCTGGACAGAAGAAATAAAATAAGAGCCCACAGTAGACACTGGGATACAAGATTAATGTGTGGTTACAACAAAACTAAATTGACATCAAATTCTGCTGTTGCAGGGGTGAATATTCTTACAAAGAAAAACATGGTAGCAGAATCTGTTGCTGGACTTGTTTTCATCTATAAGGGTTGGGGAGCTAAAGGATAATAGAGGGCATTATTTAGAGCCAACATCATGGAGAAGAAGAACAATAATATCCTCATCTGAATTTTTTTCTGGTATCCTGGCCAAACTATATGGGTTGAATAAATTCAAAGCTTGACCCTGAGCTATGTTAGAGATTATTTCATTTTCCCCCTCAAATAAAGAGAGTTCTGTCTATACATAGAATTTAAATATACATAACCTCACTGGGGCCTCTACCTCAAAATGACCTTATGTTCCAGCTAGATTTCTTTCTATTCATTTTTTATACAAATTAAGCATAATTTGGGCTTCATTGAGTTTCTCACCTAAACATTTAATTATTTATGACCATGTAACATAGCAATAACTGTACATAATAGTTACTACTCATTTTTGAAATAAATATTCATTGATTATCTAATGTGTACCAGGAAATATCCTAAAAACAAAATATTAAAGACACTCTGTCAATAGTTTATCTCATATTCTTATAAAACAAATAAACAAACTAATACAAACACAGCATCATTTCCAGCACTGAGGAAGGTGTGTTCTATTTGGGAAATTGGTGGTAAGTCCAGCTGGAAATGTTTTGGAGGCAGCTGGCTATATGTGTCAGAATCTTAGAATGTGGCCAGGATATATAAATTTTGAAGTCATTTTCATCTAAGTGATGGTGAAGCCACAAAAGTAGATTAAATTGCTTAAAGAGAGTTTGGGGAATGCTTGATTTAACATTAACTTTAATTTGATTTGATAACTTTGTTGTTTATAATCCATGTTTGTAATATATTGTTCATGGAACCATCTTATCTGTTCATGACTTAACAACTATGAAGTGTATCTTTTTACTTGGATTTTGTTATAATTCTAATGAGAAGCAACATTATGCCAAACAACCTTGTCTTTCCAAACATGCAGACAAGGATTGAAATCTAGTGTGACACTCGATTTCTGAGTGGCTACAATGAGGTACCCAATGTAAAATGCATAGCACTTACTTTGAATTAAGAGTGAACATTTTATTAAATATTATCAGATTTTGTTCTTTGTAAATTTGTCATTTTTGTGGGCATGGAACAATAATTAGATCAGAATCAACAGTTATGGATTATTGAAAGATATCGAGTGCCTCAATAAGAAACCAGGATTTTAATTGACTCTAAACAAAGAAAACATCTAGGGGAAAAGGAGACAGAAAAGAAAGAGTTCTATATTTCCATCCTACATGAAGCATTATTGTTTCTTCCCTTCCTCTGAACTTTTGGTTATTCTTGCTCTAAAGCTCAGTCAAAAAGCCTGTGATTTAGGTTTTTAGTGCCTCTAGAGTCTACTAGGAGAAAATTATGCCCGGCATGATAGAAAGAAAATGGATTTAGAAATCAAATCCTGTTTCAGGTCTTAAAGTCATGTTAACACACCATGAACTGAGAGACATTACTACATTTTGGAGGTCTTCAGTTTTACTATCTGTAAAAGGAGGTTGTATATATTTGCACTGCATATATAATAGAGCCCTGATGAGAACAAAATAAAATGAGTATATATTAAAGTGATATTAAAAACATGATATTATAAGTTTACATATACTTAAAGGGCCTATTACCATGTTATTCTCAGTATTTTAAAACAATATGAGAATGTCAACACTTTATTTCATCCCATTAAATGTGCTGTTATACTTGCGAAGAAATGAGACTGACTATACTTGCACGTGGAGCTTTTCATCTCAGTTTTTTTTTTTTTGCTTTTTTTATGTGTTGTCATCAGTCTATGATTACTTTTTTTGCAGTCAGTTTGTACAAATACTTCTTTCATAAGAAATTGTGCTATCTATAAATTGCTGAAATTTACAATAATTATAATATACTTTTTTTCACTGATTCAAGGGTACTATTATTTAGAAAAAGCACCATTATTTTATGTTGAACTAAGGAGACAAAAAAAGCACCAACACTTAAACTCCAACACACCTCAATCTTAACTTCGGAGTTGTTAAAATTTCAAGAAATATGCCTATAGGGTATGTGGTAAATGTTAATAAACGGTGTCTTAAATATGTATAACTATTATAATTTAAAAATAAGTTTTTGCATACATTGTCTCATCTCACCATGGCAGGATATTCATATTTCCCTTAATACAGAGTGGTGGAGGTCAGGCGTGGTGGCTCATGTCTGTCATTCCTGTGCTTTGGGAAGCCAAAGCAGGAGAACCACTTGAGGCCAGTAGTTCCAGGCCAGCCTAGACAACACAGCAAGACCTCATCTTACAAAAAGGTGAAAATGAGTCAAATGAACTTAGCTGGGCAGGTGGCATCCACCTGAAGTTCTAACTATTCAGAAGGATGAGGTGGGAGTATTGCTTCAGCCCAGGAGTTTGAGGTTACAGTGAGCTATTGATATGGGAGTTAAGAAAAAAATCACTTAGGCAGATAGTGCGGGTATGAGAGTCCTTGGTAAGGCATTTCTTCTTAATGAAAAGCAGCCCCAAATCATTTTATAACAAAGAACAGCCTGTAAATTCGAGCTGCAGACATAGACAAGCTGGGAGCTTGCATGGGTGAATGATGCCAGGAACTAGGGACTAGACATGTTCAAGATGGCCGCTCCATCCTCCCTTCTCTGTAAGCCACATGTACTGTAGGAACAGATAAGATGGCCCCGGTCAAGTGGAGAATTTATTTGCATAATAACATTAGAGTGGGGCGACCAGCTTTCCCCGAGCTCTGTGTAAATACCACACCTGATTGAGCCAATCTGTGAGTCCAGTGTTAATCAGACACCGCCTCCTCAAGCCGGACTATAAAATCCTGTGCATCTACCGCCAGCCGGCTGGTCTTCCCTTTTGGAAGTCCCCAATCTCTCTCAGTAGAGAGAGAGCTGTTTTTCTTTCTCTTTCTTCTGCTTATTAAACCTCCACTCCTGAACTCCTCATGTGTGTTCGTGCCTAAATTTTTCCTGTGGAAGATAACAAACCCCGGGTATATACCCTAGACAATGTAGCCACTTCACTATGATCACACTACTGCACTCTAGCCTGGTCAACAGAGCAAGATCTTATCTCCAAAAAAAAAAATAAAAATAATAAAAAATAAATGAAAAATAGTAGTGAAACTATAATTTACAAAACATAAATAATTTACATAACATCACAGAGTATAGTATATTTTGGGAACAACCCAAGTTTTCTTGTAAGGGAATTGATCTTTCTTTTGTATCATATATTTTTATTTTTTATTTTATTTTATTATGTATTTATTTATTTGTTTTTGAGACGGAGTCTCGCTCTGTCGCCCAGGCTGGAGTGCAGTGGTGCGATCTCGGCTCACTGCAAGCTCTGCCTCCCGGGTTCACACCATTTTCCTGCCCCAGCCTCTCGAGTAGCTGGGACTACAGGCGCCCGCCACCAAGCCCGCTAATTTTTTGTATTTTTAGTAGAGACGGGGTTTCACTGTGTTGGCCAGGATGGTCTTGATCTCCTGACCTCGTGGTCCGCCCGCCTCGGCCTCCCAATGTGTTGGGATTACAGGCGTGAGCCACTGCGCCCGGCCTGTATCATGTATTTTAATGGAAAAATGAGAAGATACAATTTTGACAGTCATAGAAACTTGGAAGTGATGGGAATAATTGAGGCACTAGTTTACCTTCTCCACTAATGCAGAGATCCATTATTTAGCAGTTTATTTGCTGGCTTAAATTGAGCACTTCTCCCAAAATTAAAATTTGACTTAGGCAATTAGTATGACCCAGTGAATAGAGAGATTTAGGATTCTATCAGTCATGATGAAATGAGAATGCTAATGGAAATACACGCATGCGCGCACACACACACACGCACACACTGGTGTCTTAGTTTGGATGCAGTCAATCATGCTTTTCACAGATAACCACAAAAAAAAGAAAGATGGTGAAATAGTCAAAAAATATTAAGACCTGAAGGCATATATAAATAAAATAAACACAGACCGTTTGTATCTTGCTCACAGAAAAATTCTGATCTCACTCAATAGTTTTTTTTTCTAATACCCAAGTTGAATTGTTCTTTATCAAACAGAATATTAAAATTAGTTTTCACTGTCTTAGATTTAAGTGAGGAATGAAGCCAATAGATATTACATTTCAGATTTAGACTGTGATACTGACAGCAGATCTTCTTCAGGTAGTCAGTGATAAACTGGCACAGCAGGAGGACCTGCCCCTTCCTAAACCTTCCATGGCAATCCATAAGCAATTAAATAACAATACAGAAAGAGATCGGGGGCTTTCATCTTGAGTACCACCCACAGTGTATTCAGTTATGCCTGACCCAATCTTCTCCCCATGTTATACCTGCGCTCTCAGTTCTGTTTCTGAAGCAGCACCATGTAGCATTTACGGTCTTTTCCTCACTGCTTAATCACTCAATATAGATCACAATGCAGAATATCCAAAAGAGATGTCTTGGTTTTATCCGAAATATAGGAGGCATAAGAAAAAGGCTAGAACAAATGCAATCAGAAGAGACAAAGCAATCAAGAGAACTAGATTCCTGTTTGGAACTAATCATGTTGGAACTGTATGAGAAGGAATTTAAACTATCTATGATTAATATATGAAGCTTTCAATAGAAATATTAGACAGCATGTACTGTTAGATGAGTAATTTCAGAGAAGATATGAAATCTATCCAAAAACATTAAAAATGTGAGAAATAAAAAACACAATGAGAGTGATGAAGAATTGTTGTTTTTTTCAATGAGTTTATCATCAGTAGATTCATCTGAGTTAGAAAAGAATTAGTGAGCGTGAAGATGGGACAATAGAAGCTACACAAATCAAAACAGAAAGAAATAAAACGCTAAAAACACTATAACAGAGCATCCAAGAATGGTAAGAAAATGTTAAGTGTTCAAACATATTTGAAATTGGAACCATGAAGTATAGCGAAAAAGAGAACAGAAGAAATGTTTGAAGAATAACATCCAAGGATTTGTCAAAATTAATTTCAGACAATAAAACAGAAATCCAAGAAGCTTAGGGAACATCACATAAAATAAAAACCAAAAACAAGCAAATAATCAATTTGGAAAAAAAACAACTAGCTATATCAAAAATGTAAACTGCTAAAAGCAACAAAGAGAAAATTCTGAGGGCAAAGAGAGAAAAAAGTACATATTGTCCATGAAAAAAACAATGCTAGCAATTACAACGAATTTCTTTTTAGAAGCCATATAAGAAAAAAGACGATGGAGGTACATGTTTAAACTCTTAAATAAGAACAAAAAATAGAAAGCAATTAAATAACAAACAATCTTGTCAATCCAAAATGCTACAGTTAGCAAAAATATTCTTCAAAAATTAAGGAGAAATAAAGTAATTACTAACTGACCTAACCTACTCTTCAATCAATGGTAAAGGACAAAGTATATAACACCCATCAGCAACGTGGATCTACAGTAAAAATCAAAGAGAGTTAGAGAAAGAATAAATCAATGAAAAATAAAATTCATTTTCTTTTAATTTTTTATTAATAGATGAGTGACTTTCAAAAGCAAAAATAGCAAGAAGGTATTGTGTGCTTACAATATATAACAGTTAAAAAATGACAACTATTACACAGAGGTAGAGAGGGAATAATTATTAATGTAATATTGTC
This sequence comes from Homo sapiens, assembly GCF_000001405.40. Taxonomy (NCBI): domain Eukaryota; kingdom Metazoa; phylum Chordata; class Mammalia; order Primates; family Hominidae; genus Homo; species Homo sapiens. Next base: position 39,133,062 of record NC_000018.10, on the reverse strand, counting down.
TTTAGTTTACATATAAAGCACTACAATTTTATCTTAATATAGATCATTAATTTTTAAAAATATGTATAAATAATAACTAAAAAGCAGACATGGAATCATAAAAAATATTCAACCCAACATAAAGCAAAAAGAAAGGAAGATAAATAATTAAAAAAAAAATTACACACAACTGGCCAGGTGCGGTGGCTCACGCTGTAATCCCAGCACTTTGGGAGGCCGAGGCAGGCAAATCATGGGGTCGGGAGTTCAAGACCAGTCTGGCCAACATGTCGAAACCCTGTCTCTACTAAAAATACAAAAATTAGCCGGGTGTGGTGGTGCACGCCTGTCATACCAGCTACTCAGGAGGCTGAGGCAGGAGAAGTGCTTGAACCTGGGAGACAGAGGTTGCAGTGAGCAGAGATCATGCCACTGCACTCCAGCCTGAGTGACAGAATGAGACTCCATCTCAAAAAAAAAAAAATGACCCACAACTTGGATGAATTTCAAAACTATGCTTAAAATTTGCATATTCTATAATTCCATTAATATAACATTCTCATAAAGACAAACAATAGTGATGAAGCACAGATCAGTCATTGCCAGGTGTTAGGGAAAGAGAGAGGATGACTATACAATGATAGCATGATAAGAGTTTTTTAGAGAGATTTAACTGTTTTATATTCTAATTGTGTTGGTAATTACATAAATCTATAGTTATGTAAATATTTATAAAAGTAAACATCCTAAAAAGTAAAGCTTTTGGTATGATAATTTAGAAAATACAATTTAAGTACAAAAAAAGATACAATAAGCATATAACAGAGTGGGGCCTGTGTTATCAGACCACATCCTAGGGCCATAATTTCATACAAGTATAGGAATTGATGGTAGTGTTACTTATAAAGTGAAGTGCAGCAAAGTTTCCCAATTGGGTGGTCATGAGTAAGAAAATAAAGAAAAATACTCTTGATTTAAAGAATGTCATGCATGTGTGAAGACAGGAAGTAAAGAGCCTGGGCCATTCATGGATTTGTAAGTAGTTCTATATGGAAGGACAGTAAAGTGAAAGGGAGGAGAGCAGCAAGTGGAAGTGTACAGAGGTCAGCTCAGGGAGAACATAAAAGTTATCCAAAAGATCCTATTTTATCCTGAAAGCAATGGGGAAGACCTGAAGGATTGGAGAGCTGGAAAGCAACACGAAGAGTTTAATATTTCAAATGACCAATTTGGTAAGAAATAAGTGCTATGCAGGGTGCATGGGTGATATGGTTTGGCTCTGTGTCCCTACCCAAATCTCATGTTGAATTATAATTCCCACTGTTGGAGGTGGGGCCTGGTGGGAGGTGACTGGATCATGAAGGTGGTTTCTAATGATATAGCACCATCCCCCTAGTGTTGTCTCATGACTGAGCTCTCATGGGATCAGTTGTTGAAAAGTGTGTAGCATCTTTCCCCTTGCTCTCTCTTTCTCCTGCTCCAGCCATGTAGGATGTGTTGGCTTCCACTTCACCTTCTGCCATGATTTTAAGTTTCCTGAGGCCTGCGAGCCATGCTTCCTGTTCAGCCCATGGAACAAACTAATACAAGGGGGAAGATGGTCCAGTCTGTAAAGTAGCATGAGAGATTTTTTTGTGGTGATGGGAGAATTGTATATCTTGAGTAAGATGGTAGTTAAATGAATGCATATGTATGTCAAAACTCAAACAGTATACTTGAAAATGAGTGCAGTTTATTGCATGTCCAATGTACCTCAATAAAGTTGATTAAAGAATACTGTAGGGCAATTAAAAAGAACAAGTACCTCATATATGTCACTACATGGGTGGATCTCATAAATGTATTGAATTTTTAAAAGGTTATCTGTTTACAGAATGTTGAAAAACAAAGTTAACCCCTGTTACATAAGTCAAAATAAACATTATTTTTCTGATAAATAATGATCAAAAGGGTCATAAAGGAGGGTCAAGTGTGTTAGTGATCATTCCTGTCTTTAACTGACTGGAAATTACATGTGTGTCCTTTGAAAAATTCACTGGAGATGTACTCATAATTTGTATGTTGTATATAAATCTGTTATACATAAGTTTTTAACTACAAAATAAAAAAGAAAAAGGATGGCTGGAGAACTCTAGTTGGTATATACAGTATATGAAGAAGGAATTTAACTATATTACAATAGATGACATAAGCTCACTGAAGGGGAAGGAAAGGAAAGGAACTCATCTAAATACCTTGGTAAAACAGTGCCTTGACTAAATACTGATAGGCTAGAAAAATTGTACACAAAACATTTAGTCTTATGTCTAGATTTATTTTTCACAGGGGTACAGTTTAGCAGTTTTGACTACATTTATGCAAGACTTGAACAAGTAAATATACTATAGATAATGAGAACCAGTTTTGCCCTTGTAAGAGAAGTTAACAAAAAATAAGCAAATAGAAAAAGCAACGAAGAGCTCTGAGGTGGTTTGTCAGAGTGGGAGATATCAGAATAAACTCATGATTATTTTAAAAGATAGATTATAGATAGATAGATTAGATATATAGATAATAGGTAGATAAAGTAAACGTAGATTGTGTGTATACATAGGTTAGTATAAATATATACACTCCCTACCATGTTGGCTGAGAGGCTTTAAATTAGTGAAACCTCAGGAGAAATGAACACACCATTTGTTCTCTGAAGACTGTTTTCCAGGGCCCCTTGTGGAAATGGTTAAATCTAGAACTGAGACAAGGAAAATATCGGAAGATTCAGATAAACCTAAATGGTCAGAAAGTGTACTATAAAAGACCTGCTACAAAAGAAAAAGAGAGGATAGGCACATAGGTCAAGGACATAGGTGTAAACATGAAAGAACTCCCAATGGCCAAAGCTGAAACAATTCAAACAACAAAACAATAGCAATAGTAATAAATTATTACCTAAAATATACATCCATGAGTCCATTCTAATATGAATAAAAAATAAATAAGGAAGTATGACAACCCTTCTGTAGAGAATAATAAATTATTTTATATTTATAAAAATATGTTTTTATAAATACAAATATCTATATATTTATATATGTTTATAAATAAATAAATAAGGAAGTATGATAACTCTTCTGTACAGAAGAATTTTAGTTATTAAATGTGGGAAGAATGTGGAAAGTAAAACAATTATCATTGCTACATCATAGTAGTAATTATTTTGGGCAAGATCAAATGTGAATGCTAGAATTAGTAGGCAAAACTCTAAAGAGGAACAGTCACAAAGTATTTCCCCATGAAATTTTTAATTGCTGTGCTTTAATTAGTTTTAATATTTTTTAATTTTTAAAATTTTATTTCAATAGGTTTTTGAGGAACAGATGGTGTTTGGTTACATGAATAAGTTATTTAGTGGTGACTTTTGAGATTTTGGTGCACTGGTCACCCAACCAGTATACACTGTACCCAATGTGTAGTCTTTTATCCCTTGCCATCCCCCAACCATTCCCCCGAGTTCCCAAAGTCCAATGTATCATTCTCATTCCTCTGTATCCTCATAGCTTAGCTCCCACATATGAGTGAGAACATATAATGTTTGGTTTTCCACTCCTGAGTTACTTCACTTAGAGTAATAGTCTCCACTTCCATCCAGGTTGCTGCGAATGCCATTATTTCATTCCTTTTTATGGCTGAGTAGTATTCCATTGTGTGTGTGTGTGTGTGTGTGTGTGTGTGTGTGTGTGTCTGTGTGTGTGTCTATACAACATTTTCTTTATCCACTCATTGATTGATGGGCATTTGGGCTGGTTCCATATTTTTTGCAATTGCAAACTGTGCTGCTATAAACATGGATGTGGAATTTTTGTGTGTGTGTGTGTGTAATGGTTTCTTTTCCTCTGGGTAGATATCTAGTAGTGGGAATGCTGGAACAAACAGTAGATGTACTTTTAGTTCTTTAATGAATCTCTACTCTGTTTTCCATAGTCATTGTACTAGTTTACCTTCCCACCAACAGTGAAGTGTTCTGTTTTCACCATGTCCTCAACAACTATTATTCTTTCTTTGATTATGGTCATTCTTGCAGGAATGAGGTGGTATTGCATTGTAGTTTTGATTCACATTTCCCTGATAATTACTGGTGTTGAGCATTTTTCCATATGCTTGTAAGCCATTTGTACATCTTCTTTCGAGAATTGTCTATTCATGTCTTTGTCCAACATTTTGTTGGGATTGTTTTTGTTCTTGCTGATTTGTTTGAGTTCTTTGTACATTCTAGACATTAGTCCTTTGTCAGATATATAGATTGTGAAGATTTTCTCCCACTCTGTGGGTTGTCTGTTAACTCTGCTGCTGCCGATGATGATTATTATTATTTTTGCTGTGCAGCTTTTTAGTTTAACTAAGTCCAATCTATTTATCTTTGTTTTTGTTGCATTTGCTTTTGGGTTCGTGGTCATAAAGTCTTTGCCTAAGCCAAGGTCTAGAAGGGTTTTTCCAATGTTATCTTCTAGAATCTTTATGGTTTCATATCTTAGATTTAAGTGTTTAATCCATCTTGAGTTAGTTTTTGTGTAGGGTGAGAGATGAGGATCCAGTTTCATTCTTCTGTATGTGGCTTGGCAATTATCCCAGCACCATTTATTGAATAGGGTAACCTTTCCTCATTTTATGCTTTTGTTCACTTGTCAAAAGTAAGTTGGCTCTAAGTATTTGGTTTTATTTCTGGGTTCTCTATTCTGTTCTATTGGTCTATGTGCCAATTTTTATACCAACACCATACTGTTTTGGTGACTATGGCCTTATAGTGAAGTTGGGTAATGTGATGCCTCCAGATTTGTTCTATTTGCTTAGTCTTGCTTTGGCTTTATTGACTCTTTGTTGGTTGCATATGAATTTTAGGATTTTTTTTCTAGTTCTGTGAAGAATGATAGTGGTATTTTGATGAGAATTGCATTGAGTTTGTAGATTGTTTTTAGCAGTATGGTCATTTTCACAATATTGATTCTACCCATCCATGAGCATGGAATGTGCTTCCATTTGTTTGAGTCATCTAAGATTTCTTTCAGCAGTGTTTTGTAGTTTTCCTTGTAGAGGTCTTTCATGTCCTTTGTTAGGTATATTCCTAAGTATTGTATTTTATTTTTTTAATTTTATTTTTGCATCTATTGTGAAAGGGGTTGAGTTCTTGATTAAATTCTCAGCTTGGTTGCTGTTGGTGTATAGCAGAGCTACTGATCTGTGTACATTAATTTTGTATCCTGAATCTTTGCTGAATTTATTTACCAGCTCTAAGAGCTTCTTTGATGAGTCTTTAGGGTTTTCTAGGTATATGATCATTTTATCAGAAAACAGTGACAGTTTCACTTCCTCTTTATGGATTTGGATGCCCTTTATTTCTTTCTCTTGTCTGATTGCTCTGGCTAGGACTTCCAGTACTACGTTGAATAGAAGTGGTGAAAGTGGGCATCCTCGTCTTGTTCTGGGTGTCAGGGTGAAGGCTTTCAACTTTTCCCTGTTCAGTATAATGTTGGCTACGGGTTTGTCATAGATGGCTTTTATTGCCTTAAGGTATGTCTCTTTCATGCCGATTTTGCTGAAGGGTTTTAATCATAAAGGGATGCTGGATTTTGTCAAACGGTTTTTCTGTGTCTCTTGAGATGATCATGTGATTTTTGTTTCTAATTCTGTTTATGTGGTGTATCACATTTATTAACTTACATATGTTAAACCATCCCTGCATCCCTGTTATGAAACCCACTTGATCATGGTGGATTATCTTTTTGATATGCTGTTGGATTCAATTTGCTAGCATTTTGTTGAGGATTTTTTGCGTATATGTTCATCAGGGATACCGGTCTGTAGTTTTCTTTTTTTATTATGTCCTTTTCTGGTTTTGGTATTTGGGTAATACTGGCTTCATAGAATCATTTAAGGAGGATTTCCTCTTTGTTTATTTTTTGAAATAGTGTCAAAAAGATTGGTACCAACTCTTCTTTGAATGTTTGATAGAATTCAGCTGTAAATCCATCTATTCCTGGATTTTTTTTTGTTGGCAAATTCTTAATTACCATTTCAAGCTTGCTGCTTGTTATTGGTCTGTTCAGAGATTCTATATTTTCCTGGTTTAACCTAGGAGGGTTGTATGCTTCCAGGAATTTATCCATCTCCATTAAGTTTTCTAGTTTATGCATGTAAAGGTGTTCATAGTAGCCTTGAATAATCTTTTGTATTTCTGTGGTATCACTGTGGTATCAGTTGTAATAGCTCCCCTTTCATTTCTAATTGAGCTTATTTGGATCTTCTCTCTTTTATTCTTCATCAATCTCACTTATCTTTCTCTGCCCCTTTACCTTAAATTTCTGTGAGTCCGTATGTGTTAGGTCAGTCTCCTGAAGACAGCAAAAACTATATTGGTGAATTCTTATCCATTCTGCCATTCTGTGTCTTTTAATTGGAGCATTTAAGCCATTTACACTCAATGTTAGTATTGAGGTGTGAGGTGCTATTCTAGTAATTGTGCTATTTATTACCTGAATACCTTTTTTCATTGTGTTATTGTTTTATAGGTCCTATTAGATTTATGCTTTAAGGAGGTTCTATTTTGGTGTATTTCAAGGATTTGTTTCTATCGATTTTATTTATCTTTTAAAAGAACCAACTTTTTGTTCCATTTTCTTCTTTTTTTTTGGTTTATGCATTTGCTATATTATAATTTTATTGTTATTTTAGAATATGCTCCCTCTATTTATTTATTTATTTTTATTTTATTATTATTATACTTTAAGTTTTAGGGTACATGTGCACAATGTGCAGGTTAGTTACATATGTATACATGTGCCATGCTGGGGTGCTGCACCCAGTAACTCATCATTTAGCATTAGGTATATCTCCTAATGCTATCCCTCCCCCCTCCCCCCACCCCACAACAGTCCCCAGAGTGTGATGTTCCCCTTCCTGTGTCCATGTGTTCTCATTGTTCAATTCCCACCTATGTGTGAGAACATGCGGTGTTTGGTTTTTTGTCCTTGTGATAGTTTACTGAGAATGATGATTTCCAATTTTATCCATGTCCTTACAAAGGACATGAACTCATCATTTTTTATGGCTGCATAGTATTCCATGGTGTATATGTGCCACATTTTCTTAATCCAATCTATCATTGTTGGATATTTGGGTTTGTTCCAAGTCTTTGCTATTGTGAATAGTGCCGCAATAAACATATGTGTGCATGTGTCTTTATAGCAGCATGATTTATAGTCCTTTGGGTATATACCCAGTAATGGGATGGCTGGGTCAAATGGTATTTCTAGTTCTAGATCCCTGAGGAATCGCCACACCAACTTCCACAATGGTTGAACTAGTTTACAGTCCCACCAACAGTGTAAAATTGTTCCTATTTCTCCACATCCTGTCCAGCATCTGTTTTTTCATGACTTTTTAACGATTACCCTTCTAACTGGTGTGAGATGGTATCTCATTGTGGTTTTGATTTGCATTTCTCTGATGGCCAGTGATGGTGAGCATTTTTTCATGTGTTTTTGGCTGCATAAATGTCTTCTTTTGAGAAGTGTCTGTTCATGTCCTTCGCCCACTTTTTGATGGGGTTGTTTGTTTTTTTCTTGTAAATTTGTTTGAGTTCATTGTAGATTCTGGATATTAGCCCTTTGTCAGATGAGTAGGTTGTGAAAATTTTCTCCCATTCTGTAGGTTGCCTGTTCACTCTGATGGTAGTTTCTTTTGCTATGCAGAAGCTCTTTAGTTTAATGAGATCCCATTTGTCAATTTTGGCTTTTGTTGCCATTGCTTTTGGTGTTTTATACATGAAGTCCTTGCCCATGCCTATGTCCTGAATGGTAATGCCTAGGTTTTCTTCTAGGGTTTTTATGTTTTTAGGTCTAACATTTAAGTCTTTAATCCATCTTGAATTAATTTTTGTTTGAGGTGTAAGGAAGGGATCCAGTTTCAGCTTTCTACGTATGGCTTGCCAGTTTTTCCAGCACCATTTATTAAATAGGGAATCCTTTCCCCATTGCTTGTTTTTCTCAGGTTTGTCAAAGATCAGATAGTTGTAGATATGCGGCGTTATTTCTGAGGGCTCTGTTCTGTTCCATTGATCTTTATCTCTGTTTTGGTACCAGTACCATGCTGTTTTGGTTACTGTAGCCTTGTAGTATAGTTTGGAGTCAGGTAGTGTGATGGCTCCAGCTTTGTTCTTTTGGCTTAGGATTGACTTGGCGATGTGGGCTCTTTTTTGGTTCCATATGAACTTTAAAGTAGCTTTTTCCAATTCTGTGAATAAAGTCATTGGTAGCTTGATGGGAATGGCATTGAATCTGTAAATTACCTTGGGCAGTATGGCCATTTTCATGATATTGATTCTTCCTACCCATGAGCATGGAATGTTCTTCCATTTCTTTGTGTCCTCTTTTATTTCCTTGAGCAGTGGTTTGTAGTTCTCCTTGAAGAGGTCCTTCATGTCCCTTGTAAGTTGGATTCCCAGGTATTTTTTTCTCTTTGAAGCCATTGTGAATGGGAGTTCACTCATGATTTGGCTCTCTGTTTGTCTGTTATTGGTGTATAAAAATGCTTGTGATTTTTGTACATTGATTTTGTATCCTGAGACTTTGCTGAAGTTGCTTATCAGCTTAAGGAGATTTTGGGCTGAGACAATGGGGTTTTCTAGATATACAATCATGTCATCTGCAAACAGGGACAATTTGACTTCCTCTTTTCCTAATTGAATACCCTTTATTTCCTTCTCCTGCCTAATTGCCTTGGCCAGAACTTCCAACACTATGTTGAATAGGAGTGGTGAGAGAGGGCATCCCTGTCTTGTGCCAGTTTTCAAAGGGAATGCTTCCAGTTTTTGCCCATTCAGTATGATATTGGCTGTGGGTTTGTCATAGATAGCTCTTATTATTTTGAGATACGTCCCATCAATACCTAATTTATTGAGAGTTTTTAGCATGAAGTGTTGTTGAATTTTGTCAAAGGCCTTTTCTGCATCTATTGAGATAATCATGTGGTTTTTGCCTTTGGTTCTGTTTATATGCTGGATTATATTTATTGATTTGTGTATATTGACCCAGCCTTGCATCCCAGGGATGAAACCCACTTGATCATGGTGGATACGCTTTTTGATGTGCTGCTGGATTCCGTTTGCCAGTATTTTATTGAGGATTTTTGCATCGATGTTCATCAAGGATATTGGTCTAAAATTCTCTTTTTTGGTTGTGTCTCTGCCCGGCTTTGGTATCAGGATGATGCTGGCCTCATAAAATGAGTTAGAGAGGATTCCCTCTTTTTCTATTGATTGGAATAGTTTCAGAAGGAATGGTTCCAGTTCCTCCTTGTACCTCTGGTAGAATTCGGCTATGAATCCATCTGGTCCTGGACTCTTTTTGGTTGGTAAGCTATTGATTATTGCCACAATTTCAGAGCCTGTTATTGGTCTATTCAGAGATTCAATTTCTTCCTGGTTTAGTCTCGGGAGGGTGTATGTGTCGAGGAATTTATCCATTTCTTCTAGAGTTTCTAGTTTGTTTGCGTAGAGGTGTTTGTAGTATTCTCTGATGGTAGTTTGTATTTCTGTGGGATCGGTGGTGATATCCCCTTTATCATTTTTTATTGCGTCTATTTGATTCTTCTCTCTTTTCTTCTTTATTAATCTTGCTAGGGGTCTATAAATTTTGTTGATCCTTTCAAAAAACCGGCTCCTGGATTCGTTAATTTTTTGAAGGTTTTTTCGTGTCTCTATTTCCTTCAGTTCTGCTCTGATTTTAGTTATTTCTTGCCTTCTGCTAGCTTTTGAATGTGTTTGCCCTTGCTTTTCTAGTTCTTTTAATTGTGATGTTAGGGTGTCAATTTTGGATCTTTCCTCCTTTCTCTTGTGGGCATTAAGTGCTATACATTTCCCTCTACACACTGCTTTGAATGTGTCCCAGAGATTCTGGTATGTTGTGTCTTTGTTCTCTTTGGTTTCAAAAAACATCTTTATGTCTGTCTTCATTTGGTTGTGTACCCAGTAGTCATTCAGGAGCAGGTTGTTCAGTTTCCATGTAGTTGAGCTGTTTTGAGTGAGTTTCTTAATCCTGAGTTCTAGTTTGATTGCACTGTGGTCTGAGAGACAGTTTGTTATAATTTCTGTTCTTTCACATTTGCTGAGGAGAGCTTTACTTCCAACTATGTGGTCAATTTTGAATCGGTGTGGTGTGGTGCTGAAAAAAATGTATATTCTGTTGATTTGGGGTGGAGAGTTCTGTAGATGTCTATTAGGTCCACTTGGTGCAGAGCTGAGTTCAATTCCTGGGTATCCTTGTTAACTTTCTGTCTCGTTGATCTGTCTAATGTTGACAGTGGGGTGTTAAAGTCTCCCATTATTATTGTGTGGGAGTCTAAGTCTCTTTGTAGGTCACTCAGGACTTGCTTTATGAATCTGGGTGCTCCTGTATTGGGTGCATATATATTTAGGATTTTCTTTTGTATTTGTTTGTTTGTTAGTTTCAATTTTACTTAGTTCTGCTCTGGTCTTTGTTATTTCTTTTTTATGCTGGGTTTGGGTTTGGAATGTTCTTGTTTCTCCAGTTCCGTGAGGTTGACCTTAGATTGTCTATTTGTGCTGTTTCAGACTTTTTGGTGTAGGCATTTAATGTTATGAACTCTCCTTTTGGCACTGCTTTTGTTATATCCCAGAAGTTTTGATAGGTTGTGTTAATATTACTGTTTAGTTAAAATATTTTTTTAATTTCCATCTTGATTTCATTGTTGATCCAATGATCATTCAGGAGCAGGTTATTTAATTTCCATGTATTTGCATGATTTTGAGTGTTCCTATTGTTTTTAGTTTAGTTTGTTTTCTTTCGTTTTGATGGATTCTCATTTTGTCACCCATGTCTAGCTAATTTTTGTATTTTTAGTGGAGACAGGGTTTCGCCATGTTGGCCGGCTTGTCTGAAACTCCTGACCTCGGGTGATCTGCCTGCCTTAGCCTCCCAGTGTGCTGGGATTACAGGCATGAACCACCATGCCCAACCTGAGGGTTCCTTTTGGAGTTGATTTTCAGTTTTATTCCACTGTGGTCTGAGAGAGTACTTGATATAATTTCAATTTTCTTAAATTTACTGAGACTTGTTTTGTGGTCCATGATATGATCTATCTTGAAGAATGTTCCATGTGCTGATGAATAGAATGTATATTCTGCAGTTGTTGGGTAGAATGCTCTCTAAATATCTGTTAAGTCGATTTATTGTAGGGTATAGTTTAAATCCATTGTTTCTTTGTTGACTTTCTGTCTTGATGGCCTGTCTAGTGCTGTCAGTGGAGTATTAATGCTCCCACCCCCCACCTTATGTTGCCATCTATCTGATTTCTTAGGTCTAGTAGTAATAGTTTTATAAATTTGGGAGCTCCAGTGTTAGGTGCATGTATATATTTAGAATTGTGGTATACTCCAGTTGGACTGTCCTTTTATCATTATATAATATCTCTCTTTGTCTTTTTTAACTGTTGTTTCTTTAAAGTCTAATTTGTCTGATATAAGAAGAGCCACTTTTGCTCACTTGTGGTGTCCATTTGCATGGAATATCTTTTTCCACCCCTTTACCTGAAGTTTATGTGAGTCCTTATGTGTTAGGTCAGTCTCCTGAAGACAGCAGAAACTTGGTTGGTGAATTCTTATTCATTCTGCCATTCTGTATTTTTTAAGTGGAGTATTTAGGCCATTTACATTCACTATTAGTGTTGAGATGTGAAGTCCTATTCTATTCATCCTTCTAACTGTTGCCTGAATACCTCCCTTTTTTTAAATTTTATTATTATTATATAGGTCCTGTGAGATTTATGCTTTAAGGAGTTTCTATTTTGCATATTTTGAGGATTTGTTTCAAGATTTAGAGCTCCTTTTAGCAGTTCTTGTAGTGCTGGCTTGGCAGTGGCGAATTTTCTCAGCATTTGTTTGTCTGGGAAAGACTTTATCTTTCCTTCATTTATGGAGCTTAATTTCACTGGATACAAAATTCTTGGCTGATAATTATTTTGTTTAAGGAGGCTAAAAATAAGACCCCAATCCCTTCTAGCTTGTAGGGTTTCTGCTGAGAAATCTGCTGTTAATCTGATAGGTTTTCCTTTATAAGTTATCCGATGCTTTTGCCTTACAGGTCTTAAGATTCTTTCCTTTGTCTTGACTTTAGATAACCTGATGACCATGTGCCTAGGCGACAATCTTTTTGTGATGAATTTCCCAGGTGTTCTTTGAGTTTCTTGTATTTGGATGTCTAGATCTCTAGCAAGACTGGAGAAGTTTTCCTCAATTATTCCTTCAAATAGGTTTTTCAAACTTTTAGATTTCTTTTCTTCCTCAGGATCACCAATTATTCTTAGGTTTGGATGTTTAACATAGTCCCAAACTTCTTGGAGGCTTGTTCATTTTTTAAAATTATTTTTTCTTTGTATTTCTTGGATTTGGTAAATTCAAACGCCTTGTCTTTAAGCTCTGAAGTTCTTTCTTCTGCTTGCTCAATTCCATTGCTGAGACTTCCCAGTGCATTTTGCATTTCTCTAGGTGTGTCCTGGATTTCCAGAAGTTATGATTGTTGTTTTATTTATACTCTATTTCATTGAAGATCTTTCCTTTCATATCCTGTATCATGATTTGATTTGTTTAAGTTGGACTTCATTTTTCTCTGGTGCCTCCTTGATTAGCTTAATAATTGACCTTCTGAATTCTTTTTCTGGCAATTCATAGAGTTCTTCTTTGTTGGATCCATTGCTGGTGAGCTGGTATAATTTTTGTGGGGGTTTTAAAAACCTTGTTATGTCATGTTATCAAAATTATTTTTCTGGTTCCTTCTCATTTGGATAGACTATGTCAGAGGAATATCTGGGCTTCAAGGGCTACTGTTCAGATTCTTTTGTCCCACAGTCTGCTCCCTTGATGTGGTGTTCTCCTGCTTTGCCTAGCAATGGGGTTTCCTGGGAGCTGAATTGCAGTGATTGTTTTTGCTTTTCTGAGCCTAGCCACCCAGTGGAGCTACTGGGCTCCAGGTTGGTACTGGGGGGTGTCTGCCAAAAGTCCTGTGATGTGATCTGTCATCAGGTCTTGCATCTGTGGATACCAGCACCTGCTCTGGTGGACGTAGCTGGGGAGTGAAGAGGACTCTGTGAGAGTCTTTGATTGTATTTTTGTTTAGTGCACTGGTTTTGAGTTGATTGTCCTCTGGCTAGGTGGTGCTTTCAAGAGTGCATCAGCTGTGATCTTATAGGGAGGGCACAAATTTGCCCTAAGGACACCTGGTTAAGTATTCCAGTTTCTCAGCTGTATGTAAGGCCATAGGGCTCCCAAGAGATTATGACCTTTGTCTTTGGCTACCAGGGCAGGTAGAGAAAGACTATCAGGTGGGATTAGAGATAGGTGTGTCTGAGCTCAGCCTCTCCTTGAGTGAGGCTGCTGCTGGGATTGTGGTTCCCAGTCCAGTGAAGTTATATTCCCAGGAGGATTATGGCTGCCTCTGCTGAGTCATACAGGTTGCCAGGAAAGTGAGGAAAGCCGGCAGTCACAGGCCTCATCCCACTCCCATGCAGCCTGCTGTCCTGAAGGCCAATCTCACTCCTACAGTGCACCCCCAACAGCACTCAGCCTCTTTCCAGGCAGCCAGTGACCAGTGCTGAGAACTTGCCCCAGACCACGAGCCTCCGCATTGAGAAAGCAAGCAGATTCACAGTTTTTTGGCATCTCAGGAAGCCTTCAGGGATAATCCAGTTCCTTCGAAAGGTCTCTGGATTCTCTCCAGTTTCCTCATACGTTCCTGAAGTAGTTCGTGAGCAAAAGTTCATGATGTGAGTCTTCACACACTGCTCCGTCTGTCCAAGTGGGAGCTGCAAGCTAGTCCTGCCTCCTACTTGCCGTTTTAATCTGTTTTCTGCTCTGCTTTTATTAACATATGATGTTGAAAAACATTTTCACAGGTCTCCCTTCAGGAATTGAAACTTAATTTCTCTCCCTTTTTGTGTGTACTGGACTTAGGGACTCAATTTTTAAAAGTGGAGCATGGAAGATAAAAAATAGTAGCTTCATATTGGAGAAACCTGGAAGAAACTCCCTTTACCAAGTTGCCAAGGTTAACATCACAAATAATGAGACATAAGATAAGATGAAGTGAGAAAGACACTTCTTTCTTTGGTATTCTTTCCAAATATCCATAACATCAGTCTAATCATGAGAAAAAGTCAAAAAAAAAAAAAACAAAGTAACTGATTGCAAGTTTGAAGGTCATGAAAAACTTAGATTGAGAAGCTGTCACACACCAGAAGAGACTAAATGCAATGTGGTGTCTTAGATTGGATTATTCTACAAAGAAAAACATTCGTGGAAAACTAAACAAATTCAAAAATGTCTGTAATTTAGTTAAGAGCTTTGCACCAGTGCTAATTTATTTCTCCTCCTTTTCCTCCTTCTCCTTCTTCGAAACAGGGTCTCACTCTGTTGCCCAGGCTGTAGTGCAGTGGCATAATCATAGCTCACTGCAGTCTTAACCTCCTGGGCTCAATCTATCCTCCAGCCTCAGCCTCCTGAACAGCTGGGATTATAGGTGCTTACCACCACACCCAGATAATTTTTGTATTTGTTGTAGAGATGGGGTTTCATCATGTTGCCCAGACTGGTCTTGAACACCTGGGCTCAAGTCATCCTCTCGCCTTGGCCTCCCAAAGTGCTGGGATTACAGATGTGAGCCACCACGCCCAGCCACCAATGCTAATTATGATAGTTGTGATAATTATTAATGTGATAATAGTTAGAAAAGAGGTCAACATTAGGGGAAAGTGGGTGAAGGGTATCTGTGGCCTCTCTGTACTCTCTTTGAAAGTCTTTAGTAAGTTTAAAATTATTTCAAAGTAAAAAATTTAAAAACAACTCAAAAGATTAAAAAAATAAAGTTGGCAACATAATTCTGGAAGACAGAAGAGAGATTAGAGCTAGAGATATAAATTTAAAAGTTGCAGTTGAAGAGGTAGAAGTTGAAGCTTAAAGAAGGAGAAATTAAATTACCTGGAGAGAGTATGAATGGTTTTGAGGAAAGAGAGCTGAAGCCCAACTCCTCTAGAACAATCAGGTCGGTTCAAGGATTTAACAAATGGAAATAGCATAAAACTGTACCTGTGTGTTTGAGACCAACATCAATGGTCATGGTGTAGCTTTAAGATTAGATAGACATGTTATCTAAACTTCATCTCAATTTCAGCTCCAGAGAATAAATTAATTTATTAATCTACTTATCAACAAATTAATAATTTAAATTCACACTTAATTCAATTATATTTTAAGTAATGTCGTTCCCCCCACCCACACACCATTTTAAGGGACTCTTGCAAGAGATGTGAGTACTTAAGTATTTAGCAGTGTGTCCAACACTTAATAAACACTGGGCCATTTTTAATATTCACTTTGAAAGATGTCTAAAGAAGGTGAAAGGCATGAGGGTTTGATTTTTTAAATAACTACTCTTCATTAATTTTCAGCATAAAAGTTTGGTGAATTTGAAAAATCCCGAGGGAACCAACATCAGCATTCAAGGGTTGACAAAGTGTCTGTTTGTGCTTCTTATCTGCTAAACCTTTCTACTTGATTTTTGCAGCCTTTGTTTTTATCTTGGCAATAAGGGTCTTACCAATGTTAATAGGTAGAAGCAGAGGTATGAGGCTCTAGATATGAGACAACATTGTCTCTTAGGGATTTGGTTCTGTTTAGACCCATGGCCTCATCACCCTTCTTATCTCACCTCTGAAATTATTACTTGGAACAAGTGCAGTTCAACATTGGAGTGCCTCCAAATGACCAATGCTTCAAGCCTCAACCACATATTTGCCCTTCTTCAATTATGGATTTTTAAATTAAAGGTTTATAATAGCAATACAGCCTTTGTGCAGTTATCTTGAACCTGAGATATGTAGTATATGTAATGACAAGATTTATTGCCTAAGTAAACAGGCAAGAAAGTCTATAATGAACTGCAGTAATCCAACCAAGATGTAATGGGACATGAATTAGTGTCTCATTCTCCTCTTGAAGACAGTAGTGGTTTTGTGCTTCAGAAAAGAAGACAGTGAGAATTACTATTGTTATTTAAAATGGACTTATGATGAACATTAGAGTTAGAATCTGATGTTGAAAATCATTCTGAATTTTAATGAAAATTTATGTTAAGCATTTATTTCAAGTTTATAAAGTAACTGAAAATACGTTTAGTGTATTAAAGTTAGAAGAGAGGCAAAAGAGAAAAAAACCTTTCCCACTTTCAATGTCATTTTCTAACAATTTAACTGCAAGACATTCAGACACTCAAGACTGAGTGTCAATTGACTGGAAAGAGCTTCCTTTTGGTCAGGGAAAAATAATTCATATATCAATGTTATCTTAAGTGATTCCTTTGAGTGATGATATGCAACCACCTGGGAACAAGGAAGTGAACCCTATCGGACTATGCCGCACATTTATAACTAGTTTGGGAGAGCTGAGCCGTGATTCCAAGTGGTGTGCCCTGCATAAAATAAGTCCTGAAACTTTTTTTTTTTTTTTGAGATAGAGTCTCGCTCTGTCGCCCAGGTTGGAGTGCAGTGGCACGACCTCGGCTCACTGCAAGCTCTGCCTCCCGGGTTCACGCCATTCTTCTGCCTCAGCCTCCCAAGTTGCTGGGACTACAGGTGCCTGTCACCAGGCCTGGCTAATTTTGTTTTGGTATTTTTAGTAGAGACGGGGTTTCACCATGTTAGCCAGGATGGTCTCTGTCTCCTGACTTTGTGATCCGCCCGCCTCCGCATCCCAAAGTTCTGGGATTACAAGAGTGAGCCACCGCGCCCAGTCGAAACTTTCTTTCAAAGTGTCCTAATATAGTAGTGTAAAGTTCTAGGTATTTTAATAGTCCATAAGAACCAGACTGACAGGAATTTGTAACTTTTTATTATAACCCCATTCTCTTCTGGATTTGTAAGTTTCCACCAGGTACCAAGCAGCTAGCTCTCCTTCTGTGCCCTTTTCTGGGTTCTCAGCCACAGGATCTCCTGTGTCAGCAGCAGGGAGCAGAGAATGGTTGACAGCATTGAGGGGGGAATAATCAGAGTGTCTGGGTGGGAGCTAGGGTAGGAGATACTCTGGAATAGTTATTTCCTAAAGCTTCACGTTCCACTCGGGCAAGCTATGTATAGTGGAATCCATGAGTGTAAGCAGAAGAAAATTTCTCCATCTAACTTGCCACTTATGGAAAATTTAAATTTCACTTGTTTTTCACTAGCCTAATCTCTGTCCTCAGGTCAATTTTCTGAAGAGCAGATTACATTAGGCTAGTGGAAAACAAAGTGAAATTGAAATTTGCATTGAGTCTTTCTTTTTTTGGTTTCCACAGGCTTGCATGAAGGTGATGTGATCAAGAGCAGAGCTGAAATAGTTAAAATATTCAAGACTGTCCAAGAATTTCAGTTACTCATATAATTTTCTTGTTCCTTGAATGTGGGTTGTTAGGAATTTTTTCATTAAAAAATAGAATCCTTATTGCATACAAAAAAAAAATGGTATGGCTTCTGTGTTTGAATACTGGCTCCTCCCGTTACTAATTGTGTGACTTTGAGAAGTTGCATCTCAATTTTCTCATCTTAAATCTGGGGATAAAAATAATATCTATCTCAGAGAGCTGTATGGGAGGATTAAGTGGGCTTTATATGTGTAAAGGTCTTCTGAGAGTGCTTGACACACAGAAACAGTAAATAGTATCTATTTTCAAACAATCATAGTTTTTGTATTTGAGTTATTTTCTTTGCAAATAACATAAAACACAACTAAAGCTGACTTATAGAAAGGGAAAAAACTCACTGGATCACAGAACAGTACAGGAACATGTATGCATTCAGTCACAGCTTGATGTAGGGTTTCAAATCATTTCAGCAAAATCTGATTTTTGTCTTTCATGTCTTGGGCCTACAAACTCTGCGAATATTTCACTCTCAGACATGTGTTGAATTTAGTCACAGAATGGCTGTTAGTTCTCAGGGGTACATGCTTTCCAGTTGATATCAAGTAGAAAAAAAGCAAGAGAATGTGTCCCAGCATTTTCAGCTAAAGTTTTATTGCAGGTCAGTTCTTGGACAAATATTTGAAGTTGAGGAAATGCAACACTGATTGGCTTATACCTAATTCACTTCATTTGTCTCTGAGGTAGAGTCAGGGCCTCTGGAAACATATGAACAGACTCAGGGTAAGGAACGGAATAGTTCCAGAAAGAAATTGAAGAACCATTACCCAGAAGAGGATGTGTCTGCTAGTTGGCAGAAACAGATGACGCCCATAACAACCGAGAAATAAGAACATAGCAAGCAAGAAATAAGATGATAATCTCAACATATGCATGAGATTCACTGGAATGAGAGAGTAGAAATTTAGAACAATGTAGAAATGATGATGGAAATAATAACAGGATAAAAAATGATAATGAATACTATGCTTTAATATTCAATAATGTTTTCCAGTTTTTTTTAAAAATTCATACGTGCAATCTTATTTTTTCTGTGCAACATCCTGTGAGATGTCCGTGCCATCATATTTACCATTGTACTTAGAAGGAAACTGAGGCTCAATTTTATTAAACAATTTTTCCTAAGGGTATACCAATGACTGAGAAGAACTAAGATTGGGACCCAGGTCAACTAACTTTTAGTCTCTTACCACTTTCATTATATTTCTCTGTTTTATTAGAGCAGTTTAACCAGCGGTTCGTACTCTGAGATGTCAGAAGGAAGGTTTACCTATATTAGGTGTTGACACCTTAACAAGATATACAAAGTGGGTAGAAATTGGTAAACACTGCCTGTTTGATGCTTTAGAATTCTACTATAGGATACAGCTACAAAAATCATGCCATTCTCTCTAGAGAGGGCAAAAAAAAAAAAAAAACAACAAAACTTAGTTAATGGAAAAAATGATTAGAGGTAGAAAGCTGCTCACCAGCTCTAATGGTCTCAATTTTGTTCACAAAATAACTTATAAACCATTCATAGTATTCTACCAGTACCTCTTTCTCTTGATTTATAATCTCTTTTTTACGGTTTCAGAATGGAATCAATGGTCTGGAAGAGCACAGGAGGGTAATGTTTCCCAGAAGAGATGATGTTAGAAAAAAATGTGCTGCCCCTGCAGCTTTTGATGCACTTTCTTATTGGTCTACAGGTTGTTTTCTTTCTTGACTGTGATCTGGAAATGTACAACCAGAGGATCTCAATAAATGCTCCAATGTGTGACCAGCTAATTTTATTAACATCAGTTCTCTATGAAATGATGCTGCATTTACTCGGTAACAGAATGAAGTGGCATAAATGAGAGGCGGTGGACACTAACCTGTGACTGAGAGAGAGGAGCTACCACCGATGAAGACTGGTCATTTGGGTTTCACATTTCTCTGTGAATGAACAGTTTTGAAAAACTAAGCCTCGTGTATCTATTCTCCTTTAAAAGTACTGCCTTCCTAAGGAAAACACCCTCAATGTATTCATTTTGTTTCAGTTCTTTGTCTGGAGCTGTTGCTACAACTGCTTTAATGAGAGACAATTTTTTTTTCTGTCATCCACAGTGTCTTTTGCAGCCCTCTTTTGAATTAATAAAACGCATTTTCAAAGTGTTTTGTTGGACTTAGAAGTGCTCTTATAATCCTCCACAAAGTGAAACTAACCATAACTTCATGAACGATTTAATAAACTAGTATCCAGTTATTCCAAAGAGCCATTTATTCATTTATTAAGCCAATTATTAAGCCTTGAGACACGTAATTACCTGGAATTTAAGAGACTATATTCTCATTGCTCTTACCAAAAACTATCACCTCAAATTTCACTTGCAAG
Organism: Homo sapiens; assembly: GCF_000001405.40. Classification (NCBI taxonomy): domain Eukaryota; kingdom Metazoa; phylum Chordata; class Mammalia; order Primates; family Hominidae; genus Homo; species Homo sapiens. Next base: position 39,113,232 of record NC_000018.10, on the reverse strand, counting down.
TTACTGTCTGCCTAACTCAAGACAGTTATTTGTGATAACAAAGAAGTTTATCACCATTCTATGTAAAAGAGTCTGCTTGTCAAAATCCATAGTATGTTTGTCACTGTTGCTATGGGACACAGCAATGGAAAGTAATCATAATTGCTGTTTTAAATATGTGACTTATATCAGCATTTGCCTTAGGGTAATTTAAATAAATTATGCTAAAATAGCAAATTTTCTCTTTCACTTTTGTCTGGTGCTTATAAAAAAGTTAAAAAGATAAATTAATTATCGTCTACTAAACTCGTATATCATGTTAGGATTATATTCTGAGGATTGAGAATTTATATCATTTAGTGAATTCTAAATGCAAAGATAAAGCTCAATGCATATATTGTGATTTCAGATACTGAAATATAATGATCAGACTTTTGATTGTGGTGGTAAAGTTATGTTTAATTGAAAAAAACATGAAAAGAAGACCTCCAAGAACTTTTAGATAGCAGTGCCCTGAACACCACAGAAGCCTGCATGATGGCCAAGTTGGGAAGCATACTCTCTAATGATTGAAACTAATCCCTGCATGTTCCAGAAATGACTACCAAATATAATCAGAAGCATCTATTGTATTATTGCAGGAAGAAAAACAAATTCACACTTGACCAACCAAAGGTGCAATGAGATCCATAAATCAATATGAGTCTGGGCTCTGTTCTTCCGCATTTGAGCACAGCTCTCTGGCAATTCTTATGATTTATGGAGGTTATCTTTTTGCCCTACCTGTTCATGTAGTAAACAGATTTTCACTGAGTGCACAAGGATGCGAACATCTCTTTCTTCTCCCCCTGCAATCCCCTCCATGGTAGCAAAAATCATAGAATATTAAAACTGGCTGCCTTCTAGTTCAGAGGCTCTTACTCACCTGAGACTGTGTGCAAAATGATTGTGCATTTGTGATTAATACGTTTTTTTCCCCCAGTGGAAAGGATCCACAGATTTTACTTCATTTGAAAGATCTCCCCAAAAGTTCAGAACGACTGGTCTAATTCAGTGCTAATGAATCACAAAAGAAGAGAGGACCATAGATAGATAGGTCTCAAGAGAGGCAGTTTGTACCCACAACTCGTTTGAGTCAGAGGCAGAACTGCAGCTCAAGTCTTCCTCACTCTAATAGTTGCTACTTCGACAGGAGGACTGGCCTTCTTGGAGGACCGTGCCAGTGGCAGCCCAAACAAAAGAAGTGAAAGAGGAAGGAAGTGAAAGAGGAAGAAAGGGAGAAATGGAGGGAGAAGGGGCTGGAAAGAAGAAGTATTGGAAACACAATGCCTCCAAATGTACAGGCTTCAAAAGCTTATATCTTCTGTTGTTAGCACAATCTTTCATTATTTACACATTCAACATTCAGGGTTATTATTTAAATTAAAACTTCCCTTCCTTTACAGAGACAAAAATTAAGAATTGGTTTTTTTGAAGGTGGCTCTAGGCCCTCCCTAAAGCTAAATCAGATACTAAAATTGTAACTCTATTAAATGGAAAAGCTATTGATAAAAATATCAATTAGCATATACTGGTCAGCTATAAAGAAATATATTTTTTAACTTCAACTTTTAGTTTCCCTCTATCAAATTTTGGAATCCATCACTTTCAAATGCAAGATAATATATCAAATAACATAAATATAATATATGCATACTTTGGAAAATGAACTCACATATGCAAACATGTATATTAACACATATGTAGACATGCACATTTGTCTTAGGAATTGATTAATGCATGCATAGTAAATTCTGGTCATAACAGCATATGATTTATGTGTTATATGTGGGTAAATTGTTGATTACTCAGAAGGTGGTTTACCCTACCACCTTCTCCTCCCAATTTTTGAATATTTTTTTCTAGAGAAGTGAATTTCAAAGCTTAGACTCAGAATTTATATTAGAATCAAGTGATACTAATATGGTTTTTCTGCAATTACTGCTTTTTCTGCAATTATTGAATTAGTAATTGTAGAAATTTTTCTAAAATTACTGAATCAGTATCTCAGGGAGTAGTCCCAGAAATCAGAATTTTGGAAGAAACTCCATAAATAGTGCTATTGCATACCAATGTTTGATACCCATCCCATCCCTTCCCTTCAGCAGCTTTCATGTGCCCTATCCCTGTAGGGCACTATCACCATTGAGGAAGAGGATACAATTTGATTTGTCACAATTATTGAAACTCAAGTTCATATATTGCTTATGGAAAAGAAATTAAAATATGTAACTTAATAAAAGAGGAAATTAAAGTACTACTGATTCTCCTTTAAAAAAAAACACAATCATACAAAACACAAAAACAAATAAAAATCCCTGAAATTGGGCCTACTTTCTTATCCATTTTATTACAAAGACATAATGTTTTTGTTTTCTTGTTTTTTAAATAGCTTTATTGAGGTATAACTGATATTCAAAAAGTACACAGTTTAATGTATACAATTTGATGAATGTAGACATAGCCATACACCCAATAAACCATCATCATAATGAAAGTGATAGACGTATCTATCACCTCTAAAGGTCTCCTTATGCCTTTATTAAATTTTGTTGTTGTTGTTGTTGTTGTTGTAAGAACACTTAGCAAGGTTTATACTATTTGGGGAAAGAGACAAATATTGTTACTTGTCCCTATTTCATTTAGCATTTGTAAAAGTAAGTTTCATTTTGTTTACTTTTTCCGTCAATAAAAATATTGTTACTAGAAAAGATTTATAAGGTCATCCCAGTAGGTTTATTCACTTGAAAAACAACTTAGCTGTTTTAAACAACTTATAGAGGTGGTCAGTCTCTGTCCTTTAAATCTGTTAAATTATAATTACAGGCATGGATATAGCAGGAAGTAGTATTACTCAAGTGATTCCATTTATCAACCATGTAAGAAATTGGTATTTGACTACTCTATGACTGGATTCATGCAGCAAGCAATGTTATGTAAAATCATGATTTAAATCTATCTATCTATCATCTCTCTATCATCTATCTATCTAATGTGTGTGTGTGAGTGTGTGTGTGTTGTGTATAAGCAACTGCTTGCAAAATCCAAAAGTCAGTTTTCAGTCTTCTTACTCAGCTTTCCCATGTCATTTTACAGAACTGGCTACTCTTTTATGTCTGAAATATTTGTTTCAGACTTTTTGAAACCACATTCATCTGGTTCTCCTTCCACTCCACTGGCTATTCTGTCTTAGTCAATTTTACTTGTGCCACTTTCTCATTGTGACCTCAAAATGCTCTTTATCTATATACATTCCTCAGGTGAACTGATCCAATCCATATCATTTAACTGCCAAAACATGCTTCTCACATACAAATTTCTACTGCTGATTGTGAGCTCTCCCCTGCACTCTATACTCATATATCCAATTGCCTACTTACCATGTTTTCTTGGTTGACTGTTCAAGCATCTCAAACTTCATTGCAAGTAAATGAATAAACAGAAAGATATTATCTCCAAATACACTTTCTCTTCTCTACACTTTTCCACTGCAAGTAGTTGCTCAGGCCCAAAATGTAGTGTCTTCCTCAATTCTTCTCTGTCTTCACACTACTCTTCCCATTGCCTTTTCCATCAGCAAATGTGATTGATACTGGCTTCTGAATGTTTATTATATTCACCAATTTCTTCCATTTCCAGCACTATCACCTCTGAATAAATCACCATTATTGTTCAGAGACTACTGAGATAGCCTTTTCTTTGTTTTCTGGGTCTACTGTCGCACCTGTGTGTTACATTCGCCACATAATAGCCAGGGCAATTTTATTTTATTTAAGATCATGCTATTTCCATGCTTAAAATTACTCTATGGTTTCCAACGATGCATAGAACAAATCCAAACTTCTTGCCATGATCTTCATGGCCATATAGGATCTCACCCTTGCCTACTTTTCCAATATCATTTCCTAATGCTTTGCCTCTCATTGGCAGTGCTGTAGCTCAAAGACAAACATTCTTTCCTACTCTGGTAACTGTAAGACTCATCACCATTTGCACCTCTTGGTCCCTCTGGAATTACACTTCTTGGATCCCTTCCCATCATTAGATATTAACATAAATGGCATCACCGCTGATTGTAAAGCAAATCATCCATTACTATCTCATACCACTTCATATTATATTTGACTTTATTATTTTATGACTTAATTACTCTCTAAACTCATAGTATTTATTATTGTTCAATTCCCCACAAACCCTGATTATAATGGTTCTTGCCATGGGGGCAGAATTTTCTTTTATTCAACATTGACTCCCATTATTTAGATTAGTGCTTGTATATGATAGATACTCAATGAATAATTATTGAGTGACTATATTTATCATTGTCACTCATTCACTATGAAAAGAATTTTCTTAGTAAACCCAATATAACAAAACTTGGCTTAATCAAAACTGAATTAAGTATACAAATGTAGATATAATCATCTTCTGATTTAAACCAAACGTCTAAGTGTTTGTTAGGGAAAAAGTCACAAAAGGAAACAGATATCTCTATAGTAATTTAATAAAATGTTTAAAAATAAATCTAATTCCATGAAACCTTTTCAAAATAATGACCTTGAGGCCTTGTGAAATTTGTAGTGATGAGACAGTTTGTTTTGACCTTGACTGATCTATTTAAGGTAAGCAAAAGTATTGGGAAATTTTGAAATGTGTTTTGATAGTCAGAAATAAAATGTGTATTTTCAGCCTTACTGATAATTTTGTTTAAGGTGTTACTATATAAAGATTGTTCTACAGAGTATTTTAACTGTTGTATAAAGTCCCATAACTGTTGTATGAGGTTATTTTTTATCTTTTCATCTGAAAAATATTCAGATGCCCCAGCAGCAATAAGAAAGGACCTGAAGAGAGCATCTCTGTGGCAAGTCTGCACCCCACACTGTTGTGGCATTGATACCAGCTGTATTAGTTCGTTCTCAAGCTGCTGTGAATAAATTCCTGAGACTGGGTAATTTATAAAGAAAAGGGGTTTAATTGACTCACAGTTCTGCATGGCTGGGAAAGCCTCAGGAAACTTACAATCATGGCAAAGACACCTTTTCACAGGGCTACAGGAAAGAGAATGACTGCCAGCAGGGGAAAGGCCAGATGCTTTAAAAAACCATCAGATCTCATGAGACTCACTCATTATCATGAGTACAGCATGGGGGAAACCACCCCCATGATTCAATTACCTCCACATGGTCCTGCCCTTGGCACATGGAGATTGTGGGGATTACAATTCAAAGTGAGATTTGAGTGGGGACACAGAGCCAAACCATATCACCAGGTTTACTCCAACCAAGTAGTGTTGCACTCCCCCATCTGACAGGTAGGTAGGCAGGTACTTGCAGAAGATACTTCATCCAGACAGTTACAGCACAGCTGTGATTGATTAGAACTAGTTCTAGATATAAGTCTTATCACTTTTTAAAGTGCATTTATTTTCATGGGGAAGCAAATAATTCCAATAAATAAAAATTGCTCATTTCGGCCAGGCGCAGTGGCTCATGCCTGTAATCCCAGCACTTTGGGAGGCCGAGGCAGGTGGATCACCTGAGGTCAGGAGTTCAAGACCAGCCTGACCAACATGGTGAAACTACCCGTCTCTACTAAAAATACAAAAAATTAGCCAGGCATGGTGGCAGGTGCCTGTAATCCCAGCTACTCAGGAGGCTGAGGCAGGAGAATTGCTTGAACCCAGGAGGTGGAGGTTGCAGTGAGCCGAGATTGCACCATTGCACTCCAGCCTGGGTGACAAGAGTGAAAATCTCCATCAAAAAAAAAAGGCTCATTTCACTTACTTAGCCAGACTTATTCAAACATAATCTTTAAAATTGTGAAAAAAATTTGTTTTTGTCTTCTAAACAAACACTTCCAAAAATTTTTGCTGTAAGAAGTTAAGGCTACAGGGTCACTCAAGGTCTCATTCTGAGAGGATTAAAAAAAAAAAAAAAGGCTGGGGGAGAACTTTGTAAATCATGTAGGTTACAGAACTGAAAAGAAAATCCTTTGAAGAATAGGTCATTGGTTTTGATATTAGAGAATAAGGTATGAGATGCACTTTGAGGAACTGTAACCTAACCAAGCAGCTCACACATAGTGGTTTTCATTAAAAAGTTGCCATTTATCTTATCGTGGTGAGTTTATCTTACCATGAGCTGTCATTGAAAGGATAGAGAAATACTATGACTTACTACAGCATAGTAGATATCAAAAAAAGACAGATGGCAACTTTTTAATGACAGACACTGTTCTCCAGGCCTTATTCACATCTCCAAATTCAGAAGCAGCCACCATCAATATCAGCCTTTGGGACTGGGCGGAAAGGAGACACTAATAGAGTGAAATCTGTATTAGTATTATAATCTGGAAGCCTTGGGGAAAATTTGATTTCTTTTGGAATTAGTCCTGCTTTAGTTGAAAAAAAAATTAGCATGATGATGAGAGACAAATTTGTATTTTAATGCTTTCATTTTAACATTTTTAACAATGTATATTTTTAATAAAATTTGTGAATTTTAAAAATATGACTTCATAGTTAAAAGCCTACAATTTTGAGCCACATATGCTTGGAATCAATCTACTTTATTTCTGTTTCTCATTTTCCTCATTTATAATGTGGGAAAAAAGAAACGTTCCCATCTCACGGGGTTGTGCTTAAGGACTCCAGAAGATAAGGAATAGAACAATAGTGTTGTTATTGTTTTTGCTGTTAGCATTAACTAATGACTTCCATTGTACTTACTGTTGTATTTAGTGAATCAAATATTAACTCTCTAAGTAAGAAAAGTGACTCTACTAGTGTCCCCCAAACACACAGAGACACATTAAAAAAATTGATTCTTAAATCAGTCAGTTAAATGCCACACACCCATAAATTCCAATTCTACACTCAATGGCAGGCATTTTTTAGTTCTTTTGTACTCTCAAGTCCTGATTAACTGTTTAGAGAGAACTTTCCTTACTTCCATAGTCTTTCCATTTGGGATAGCTCAGGGTCATGTCTCTTTTTCTTGGCCACTGAGAGCACTCATTATTCATGCACACATTTTGATCCTTCTTATACATTACATTGTATTGCTCTGTATCTGAGTCTTTCTCTCCCAACTAGATACAGATTACTTGAAAGTGAATATACGTGACATTTTTCATAGGCTTTAATATTTTATCTTAAAATAATATACATTAATTTACATAAACAATTTATAATGCTATCATTATATGTAGCTTCCTTACATTCCTCAATCAAACAGTGTGATGAAGAAACAAAATACGAAGCTGAAAAATTGCCAATCCTGTATTTTAGAAGATGACTTCCCTAGAAAAACCATTTATCCTTTTGGGGCCTTGGTTTCATCATCTGTTAAATAACAAATTGAACACTTTACCTTAAGATCTATTCCAGATTGAATATTATTGAATGTCATTTAATTAAATTTGGCAATATTTGGAATATGCTCACTAATTTCAACACGTATTTCAAAAAAGTGGACCAACATATGTTCTAACCACATGTAATGGCATTAGCCATAGTCTTAACAATTTGAAACAAAGGTAAAAAATAGACAGCATGACCACTAGTCGTTTTACTTTAAGACAGAATAATACTGAAAATATTTAAAACCTGAAAGTCATTTCCTATTAGAATGCTTTTAATTTCCGTCAGTGCTTCACTCAGAGCATTTTTCTTTATTTCCCCGTTTATCAGATGCTTAAAAACTCTGAAGAATGAAGTTAACTAATTGTCCATTAGATGCCATGGATCTTTTGTCTATTTAAGGATGTCTCCTTGATGCAGTTCCTCTCATTAGACAGAGCTGAGAGCTTTGCTGTGTGCTCACAGATGGGATCCTGGCTTCTGCAGCAATGGGCACTTAAGCTCCAGGAAGCCCTGTTTAGACAGGGATGTTTTAATAGAGCAGTCCACATCCAACCTCTCACTCTTGTCTAAGTACCTGCTGGTGATGATCACTTAGCTTCCTGCTGCTCTAAGTGGAGTCATTAAAAGAAATGCAAGTTTCAGCACGATTGGAAGAGAGTGGAAACTTCCTTCTTCACGAGAAGGTCAGCTCCATCAAACGTTTTACGTGTCCACCTCCATTAATTTAATCATTATGAGAAAATCCGATAACCCTTATTATTAAAGAGTCCTAAGAGATTAGTAAGTCTCTTTTTCTTCCTAGCAGTTGAAAACAAAAATTTAGAAAGTTAATAGTCTTTCTTATTTTTTAATTCTAAGATATTGGCAGGAAGATTATAGTACCCTTCAGAATATATTTCAATGTTTGATATAATTAAATTTTGGAGATATTTTTATCCAGCATCTCCTCAGCCCTCTATCCTGTGGTAATAGAGGGGACAGTGATAATTTTTTTAATTTGCTTGGGATGATCGTATGAGAAATGAAATGAAAGAGAAAGGAAAAAACCAATGGTAAATGAGTAATTTACACTATTTATGACATTAGTGTTATACGCACATTTTCAATTAATGGTACAGGTATTTCTCAAGTAGTTATGGACATTGAGCTATGCTACTTCCTGAGGGATATACGAAAGACTCACCTGGATGACATCTACTCTCAGGTTTCTGAAATCCATTTGGATAAGAGGAGACAAACATATATAAAGGATGTAATGTATAATTCAATATAAAACAAGCAGAGCAAAACTATCAGCTAGGATACAGTCAGGTACTACGTTTAGTATCATCAGTTACAAAAATAAAGCCTGCAGCTTATATTTGCAATAAGTAGTCAAGAGATTCAAGATATTATGATTATTTAGGTTAATGCCTCATATAGAATTTTGGACTTTAAATGATTTTTGAAAAAGCAGGAGAGAATTTTTAGGTGACAAAGTGCAATGAACAGAAGCTATGAACTTCTTTAATTCGGGGATTCTAATGCAAATACTCATCTGGGAAGAGCTCTACCTCTTTATCTAGCTCCTGAAGGACTTTATCACTTAATATCCACATGGTCTCTATGCCCATCTGTTTTATTTTTTTCTTATTTCAATTGTATATTTATATAATTGCACCCTCCACTTTCAACAGCCTCAGGGTACAAGCACCAGTAAAATTTCCATTGATTAAAGTATTAAAATACATGAAAAGGAACAATAGCCAGCAGCAATAATGATTAAACACGTAAGTATCAAACAAAACAAATTTGTATTAAAAACAACAGTCCCCTCAAATCTATCCCTTAAAATGGAGCAGGTTTGCTTATAATGTAGGAAAAATTAGGTGAATTGTAACTATATATAACATCTCTGGCTGTAATATATAGTAAAACTCTCGTATTATTATTTGACTTAGTTTCTAAAGATTCTTGGTATAATTTTCTTTCACCTTTATGTGCGTCCATCTCATTAGCTATCAAATAAGAAGGATACTGTTTATCATGGAAAAACACTGTCTCCTAGAAACATTGTAAGAAACAATAAAATAAGAAATTTAAAACAACTTAAAAAGTGGATCAATACAAATATTAGTCATTCCTAACCTTACCTATCATTCTAATATTTTTGGAATATCTAATCTTTGCCTGTGACCTTACTCTGATAGTAGAGTCTGTATTTTCAGAGATGCATTCTGTGGTTGCAGGTGTTAAACGTCATACATATAGGAATACTTATGGCCTTATCATTTTGTAAATTCTTATGGCTAATGATAACATCAGAGGTAAAAATGACTCTCCCTTCTCTGATACACTTCAAATGTTGCTTGGCACATTTATAAAGCTCTTATTGCAACAATAGAGACTGAATTCTACCAACTTTGCATTACAAATTCAACAGCCAGGAGCATGTGTCTACCTAGGCCTGTGAACACAACTCTACAAATGAACCTATTTTCCAAGAAGAATACCAGTCTTATTTCCTTTCAAGCCTTAATTTCCAAACTCTAGGAGACTATTCTTTATTGTAGCTTTCACAAATGCTTAGCGGACACTCACATGCACAAACACACACATAGCATTTGCCAATCAGAATGTCCTAGAAAGAGTAAACATCATTGTTTTTTACCCTCATTGCAAAAGTGTACTGGGAAAATAATTCAACAAAAATCAGATCAACTGTGCATGCTATTTAGCAACAACAATGACAGCAAAGGAGGGTAATGATCTTTATGTTAATTTGTCATCAAAACAGTGGCAGTTCTCATTCTTTGTTGGAAAACTGGTGAGGTGGTTACCATGCCAGTGGCAATCATGAAACATTGCAAGAATAGGATTTCATAAGAATGTCTTACGTACTGAAGCCATTCTTCAGTATGTTGAAGGCACTACAAACTCAGATGCATCTCTTCTGACACTTATGATGTATCTTCTGGTTAAAATTAATATATATTATATAATTCTAAGATTGTACTGAATCTGTTATCAGCAAGATTATATATAGTAAATGTGTCTTTAGACACTCGGCAGATTTTTCTTAAGCTCTGAGTTATGCACTGCTGTAGAAGGAGAGAGGTCTAACATGTAAGGTCAATGCTATATAAATGAAGGAAGTACTTTGATGTAAAGAGGATAAAGAAGCTCTATTGCACATACAACTAGATTTTCATCTACAGTAATAAAACCTGAAATCTTAATTTTTTGGGCTTGCATAAGTCTTTGGGTTATAGTTATTTTTACTACATTATGAGCATACCATGATATATTTAATAGAGAGAGATTTATTGAATGCCTGTTAATGGAATTTATAATTTCAAAATACAAGTTATAGCAGTAATTAAAAGATAAGACTCTCATCTGAGGGGGCAAACAATTTACAGACCCAAATATATATTACATCAGGTGATGATAAGTGTTGGGAAGATAAATAAAGTGTTATAAGAGAATAGAAAGAAATGGAGATGGGAGAAAAATCATTTTAGGTAAATTGGTCAGAGATGACATTGTATAGAGATCTGAGGAAGTGAACAGGTATTTGTGAGAAGACTATTTTGTGGGAGAAAATACATTTTTCAGGACTCTACAAGTATTCTTGGGACTTTTATGAAATAGGAATAGCCAATCAAATTGAGATGAGTGAAGAAAGTTTATGATTTCAATGCAAATTCCTGTAGCCCCATATACATTATGAAGAATTTTCATCTCATTGTCTGATTTTAGTTTACAACAACCAAGTTCCTTACATAGCACAATATTGTGAACATTGTCCCACAATTTTCAGATAACAAAATCTGAGTTTCCAATATTCATTTTTATTTTCTAAGATGCTGGTGTAAGGATGGCAAACCTTGAAGCTAAGTTTATTAACTTGAAGTTTAGAACTTTTTCCAGTACACCACATCTTTCCTGCTGGTAGATTACTTTCAACTCTAGAAGTCTGTCTTTAAGGATTTGTTTTCAAACAGTGTATATAAAATCTTTATATGTTCATACAAATTGTCACACTAATATATAAATACAGAAAAAATGATATATATCAAAAGTAGGGCTTTTGTATAACAGAATATGGATTAGAAAGAATTCAAAGAGAACATAGGCCTTTTATCAAAAAAACATAAATTTTTTAGGGGAAATATACATTTGAATATTTATTATTCATGTCAAATGCCATAAAACAAAGGGCCCCACGAAGGAAGCTTCTGGTGCAGGTAGGCAAAAGACCACTAGACAACTTGAAAGTAGTGCATTACAAGATGTTTAGGGCTTCTAATGAAAGTTTAGCTCAGAGAGACCAGTTGTAGCAATAAAACAACTCTTAAATTCTGTATAGTGAGAGTCTCTGCATCCAGAAGATGTCTGGAAAAAGCAATGAAATAAAAAATACAATAAAAATACTATTACAAGATGCAATACAAAAAATACAATTAAGAATTCAGCAGTGAAATAAAAAACTCAGAAAAATATAAATACAATAAAATACCCATTTTATTTGTTGTCAGGAAGAGCATCCATTAGCAGCCCAGCCACTCCATTAGTGCATCAACAGTGACAATAATATCTGTACTTCTTCATAATGGCCCGCCTTGCCTACTTCTTGGCAAACTCAGCCAAATGTAAAACTCACAGCAAAACGTAAAACTGACTATATTTGTCTAACTCAACCTCAGCCTTATACACTTTGAGAACACGTACATGTGTGTGTGCACATACACGCATTTGTCTCTATTTGTCTGTATTCCATTTTAGATATGAAGTATTCTTTGCATGTATTCACTTTCCTTAATCTTTCATCCTAATACCAGAATATGAGTGACAATGGATATTGGGTTAAAAGATATACTTTTATATGCAAAATATATATTGTAAACAGTTTCACAAATGTGAAGCTACTTTGTGCCCAAGTAAATTAAATTGGGATACTAGTGTGCAGATAAAGGTGTGTGTGTATGTGTGTGTGTGTGTGTGTCTGAATGTTTTTGGAAGCTCTTTAGTAAATAACTTGTTTATAAAGCAATGACCTGTTCTTCTTCTGGAATGTGCAGTTTTGTTCCTTTAGGCAATGCTCTGAAAGGAGGGGTTGGGGGAGGGAACTTTTCTGCCCAATGAAATATGCTGCACTGAACAAATCCGAGAAACTTTGGAGAAGATTATATACTCCTGACGGCCCAAATGTGATAAGTATATCAAGATTTAGTGTCCCTTTATTAGTTTCTCTTACAAGAGAATACCACAGCTGCCAAATCTGAATCATTACCCTCATTTTTCCTGATATAATCAGTATGAAAATGGTGACTACTTCGATATTGCCTCAATGTGAGCTTTTCTAACTGAATAAGGTAAGATCAACCTTATTGTATCACTCATTGATTAGAGTTCTGATTAATGCTTCTTCTTTTATTTTCATTCCCCAGGTTGAGATCATGCATATGCTCCTGAATTACTGGGCCTGGCACCTGTCTCTGAATCAGGCCTTTTCTAATATGTTTGCTAAGGGTTTGGGAAACTCATAGGCTTCTCAGAAAGTTTAATTACTGCCAGTGTCTGCTCTTTCATCCCTCATTTATTTCTCACAACTTTAACTAAAAATAAATAAATAAAAATGCCCTAAAGCTGTGCAGTGTGTTTATTTCATTATATTGAACAACGTCCTGGTCCAAATATCATTGGGTCAGCAGCTCTAAATACAGATACTTTACATTTTCTACTGAAACTCTTTTGAAGAAAGAAGACAGAAAAACATTGAAAATTCACTACCCCCCAAAATTCAACTGACAGAAAATCTTTTGTTCTTATCTGAAAAGATTTGGCATTAAGTATACAGACAATTGAGCTGGATTGAGAAAATAATAGGTGGCTCTCTCGTTGTTCACTTTTCTAAAAGGAATAGTCTCGTCCCCTGTAAGTAAAACGGGGAGAAAATGCCTCCCTCAGAAGCCTAGGAAGTATAACAGATAATAAAGCGGCTTCTTGACCATTGCAAGAGGATTGCTTTTTTAAATGGACGATTCCTGTCCCCTGCCAGAGACACAGTATCACTTTTGTCTAATGCTCATTATAATACTTAATTTACTTGAAAAAGAGTAGGACATATACTAGAAATTACAGACTGAGTAATTGCAGAGAATATGCTGTGCAATATATACTTTCTATAGAAACGGCACTGAAAGTTTTTTTCTAAGTGAAGCATCTTATGACAGCAAATAATATAAATACGATTATACTTCAGAAAAAAAGAAAATTTTTTATTTTGTATCAGAGGTTGACAAACTATGGCCTGAAGCCACTGCATATTTTTATAAATAAAGTTTTATTGGAAAAAAAGTCATATTCATGCCTTTATGTATTGTTTATTACTGTGTTCCCACTACAACAGCTGAGTTGAGTAATTGAGACAGAAACCATCTGGCCGTCAAAACCTAAAATATTTACGGTATGGTCATCCACTTATAGAAAAATTTCACCAGCTCTCCTCTTCCTTCTTATATAATTAAATTATGCAAAGATGATTCTAAATTGAGAATGTTTAGAGCTTAAGGCCTTTCTCCTCCACTCCCATTTCTTTATTTTCTTTCTCTTTCTCCCTCCATCTCTCAGCACTGTATTTAGTAAGTTAGATTCATTCCTAGGTAGACTTTTTCAAAAGGGTGACAAAGAAGCTACCACTGGTAGCTTAATATTCTTACTATCATGTTAGCAATACTTCAGAAAGCAAAGCGTCTTTTAAACATGCGAAGCAGAAGCCCATGGTGGCTTCTGGCCTGACATGGCTACTATTTCCATCCTTGAACTATTTACAGAGGCCAGGGAAATCGAGTAGTGAGATTTGGCAGGCCTGCATTACACACTGTCTGATTAGTGACATGGGCAGAGTAAGGCTAATTCAAACCTCATACATTGAACATGATTGTTATTGACTTATGGAAGTGTGGTAGACCAAGGAGAAGTGGGGCAGATACAAAACATGTCCATGTCAATGGTGATGGAGAAGAAAGGAAGAGTGCTGGTAACTCAGCATGCAGAGGTTTGTGGGTTTTGCTTGCTATGAAAGGGTTAATCTGATTTCTCATGTGTTTAAGTCCCTCAAACCTTTGGATCCTCTATTTGAATGGCCATTTGGTACTATCAATTGGACCAACTGGCCCTCCTGCTATTACAATAAGAGAAGATTTAAACCAGGATCAAAACGAAAAATGTGAGACTTGCTCACACATTCGAGATACTGACAGGCCTGAAGTCTGTATATTTTTGTCATGCAAAAGAATACTTTTTGAATTCCAGTTATGATGGAGTCATGTCCTATTTTCAGGTGCTCATTATAACATGAGAAAACGTGAAGAAACACGTTATATGACTATAGACAAATTCCCGGGAAATTTATAGTAGTTTCTTATTGTTTAAAGGCAATGAAGTCCCCTGTAAACTCTCTGTGAAAGAGAAACATATGCATTCTGAAGTGTCAAAGTAAGAGCATGCTATGATTTGAATGTGTCTTCTCCAAAATTCATGTTAAAACTTAATCCCCATTGTGGTGGCATTAGGAGGTGGGACCTTTTGGGAGGTGATTAAGATATGAAGGCTCTGCACTCATAAATGGATTACTGCCTTACAAAAGGGCTGAAAGGAACTAGATTAGGCCCTTTTGCCCTTCTGTATTCCACCATGTGAGGACTCAGTGTATCTCCCCTCTAGAGGATGCAGCAACAACTCACCATCTTGCAAACAGAAAACAAGGCCTTCAGCAGACATGGAATCTGTCTGCATCTTGATCTTGGACTCCTCTGTCTCCAGAACTGTTTTTCATACATTACTCAGGCTGTGGTATTTTGTTATAGTAGCACAACAGACTAAAGCAGAACATATTTCTGATTTGCTAAAATTTTCAAAGAAAACTTAAGAAATTTTTATGCTATCATAACAGTATGCTACGTGAATATGTTAAACAGAAAAAGATCATTTCATGGACAGAATGAATTAAGGTACAATGATCTGATATAAAAACACAATGAAATGAATGCAAAGATAAGAAATAGAAATGAAACAGGAGATTATTGACATAAGAAATATTAAGATACTATTTAAAAGAATGAGCTTTGAGGTTTCACAAATCTTGCTTGATTTCTAGGCTTTTGCGTTATTTAACGTCACAAAGCTAGACAACTTCAGCTTTCTAGAAAGTCAACATATGTATAGTAACTACTTAATCATTTTAACTTAAGGCTAAACTGTCCATATATATATATAGAGAGAGAGAGAAACAGAGAATGTAACAAAAGACCAAATACAACAGAAAGAGCAATAAATCATAAACAAAATATTTAAGAATATAGTCACAAATAAAATCAAACATATTAATTATCAAAATAAATATACATTTATTAAAATTTACTTACACAGGTATTAACTCTCAAATTGGGAAAGTGTGGCTAAGAGGAAACATTATTTTAAAAGGTGACATCATAGAGCTGTTGAAGTAAATGGATAATATCCACTGGGTGCTATTAACCATGATAAAAATAAAATAGCAATATTATTTTTAGAGAAAGTAAAATCTTAACAAATTTCCATTAAAATACAATGAAAAGAGTCTATTAACTCTTCTCTCTCTATATATATATATATTTATACACACATATATAAATGGTTTAAGTTAACCTTAAACATTTTATGTATATATAAAATGTTTTTATATTTATAAAATATAAAATGTTTTTATATTTATAAAATATAAAATGTTTTTATATTTATAAAATATAAAATGTTTTTATATTTATAAAATATAAAATGTTTTTATATTTATAAAATATAAAAATTTATATTATATATATGTATACACACACACTGATATGATTTGGCTATATACCCACCCAAATCTCATCTTGAATTGTAGCTCCCACAATTCCCACATATTGTGAGAGGGTCCTGGTGGGAGGTAATTTAATCATAGGGGTGAGTCTTTCCTGTACCATTCTTGTGATAGTGAATACATCTCCTGAGATCTGATGGCTTTATAAAGGGGAGTTTTCCTGCACAGGCTTTCTTCTCTTGACTGCCACCATGTGAGATGTACCTCCACCTTCCACCATGATTGTGAGGCCTCTCCAACTATGTGGAACTGTGAGTCTATTAAACCTCTTTCTTTTGTAAATTGCTCAGTTCAGGTATGTCTTTATCAGCAGTGTGAAAATGGACTAACACACACAAACACACACACATACATAAAAATGCATATATCTTTCGTACATGATAGTCATGCAATTTTATGTACCAACTCATTTATCAACTATATATACATACATAAACTCTATAAAATATGAAACACTGAGAAAGTCTGTATAAAACCTCAAACATAACTCCATTAGCATTAGACATATAAAGTAGATGCAATAAATATTCAATATGGAAATAGATAATTTAACATAGTAATTTAAAGAGAGTAAAAAGGCTTCCAGATATGAAGCAAAAAGTGCTGGATATAACTGCTCACTATAAACAACCCACCTGGACTAAATGCATGAAACTATTTTTAACTATTGGATAACAGGCAGCTTAGCACTGTGATCCTGGGTAGAGGGAAACAAATAAGGTGAGTTCTATAGTCACCTCAGTTTTTTCTGGTGGGTAAATGTGAAACCATGTAAGTACCCACAACATTTCCAAATGGTTGGAGAAACACACTCAGCCTAGTGATGCCACTGAGATGAAGAGTTGGAGATTGAAATTCAGAGGCTGAAGTAGCTAGAAGTTGTAGAATAAAGAGAGAGAAAGCATGGACTATTCAAAGATCTCCAAAGCGAGATTAAGATCCTGTTGGGTTTTTGCTAAGCACTGCATCATGTATAGAGTGAAACGTCACAAAGCTGGTGAAAGAATGTACAGGGATGATATGCTTTGTAAAAAATATTTTTTCCCTTCAACACTACATGATGCAAGGAAGCCTGACACAGCTTCTATTGAACATTGCATTTGAGTCCTATTCTGGGCCTAAAGTAATAATGGAAATAGAGAAATTATTAACAGAAATGAAGGAGAATATTTCATAACAAAGAAATATTGACAGTAGTAAAGGTATAAAGACTTAACCAAAGGTATATTATATACACAAAATTATAATTTAAGTTTTTAATACCCAACTGTCAGTAACTGATAGAACATTCAATAGGTTATATGTTCAAAAAAATTTGAACAGAACTATCAAAAACATACCTAAATGACATTCATACACTACTAAATTCAACAATGCAAAATACATATTCTATTTAAATGCACATGGAAGAGTGCCAAGGTAGTCCATATACTGGGCCATAAAATAAATCTCAATAATTTTCAAAATCATAAAACATGTATACTATGTTTATGTTGACAATTAATACATGAAAATAAGCAACTGTACTAGTCCATTCTCAGGATCCATGAAGAAATACCTGAGAATGGCTAATTTATAAAGAAAAGAGGTTTAATTGACTCACAGTTTCGCATGGCTGGGGAGGCTTCAGGAAACACAATCATGGCAGAAGGGGAAGCAAACACATTCTTCTTCACATGGCCACAGGAGAGAGAACGAGAGCCCAGTGAAGGGGAAGCCCCTTATGAAGCAATCAACTCTCATGAGAACTTACCCACTATCATGACTACAGTCTGGGGGAAACCATTCACATGATTCAATTAACTCCACCTGGTCCCACCCTTGACACTATAGGGATTATTAAAATTCAAGGCAAGATTTAGACAGGAACACAGAACCAAACCATATCAGCAACATTGTTTTAAATAATGAATGGGTCCAAATAAATTTGTAATAAAAATAAGAAAACAGTTTAATATAAATGATACTAAAACACAATATACCATAATTTGTGAAATGTTGCTAAAGCAGTTATTAGACATTTATAGTTTAAAATGTAAATATTAGAGCAGAAAGAAGTTTTACAATTAATGGTCTAAGCTTTCAACTTGAGGATTTAAAAAAATCACAAATAAACTCAAAATAAGTAGAAAAAATAAATAATAAAAATATAATCAAAATAAGAGAAAAATTAATTAATTAGAAAATGGAACAACAAAAGAGGAAATCAACAGAAGCCAAAAACTTTTTAATATAAAAATTGATAAAATCTGGAAAAGTGATAAAGAATAGAAGAAGAAAAATAAAAATTTTAAGTATTAGGAATGAAAGTGAAAACATCACTAGAAAACATGACAAGAGTATTATAAGAAAATGATATATCAGACCAATAAAATGCATGAAAACAATTATTCTTAACAAAAGATTTGCGAAACTAATCCAAATCTTTATTTGACAAAAAGGTGTCAAAGCAGTTCACTAGAGAAAGAAAGAAACAAACAAAAAAACCCATAGGATGCCTGAAAAACTGGATATCTGGATGAAAGAAAGTAATGAAACTCAATTATTTACTTAGCATCATATACAAACATTAATTTCACACTGATCATAGATACATTTAAACATAAAGGCTAAAGCTATAAAGCTTCTTGAACGAAGTATAGAAGAATATTACATAACTTTGGGGTAGAGATATTTTGCAGAAGAAAATAGAGGGTTTTTGCAGAAAAGAGAAAAATGAAGTAAGCTCAAAAGAAAAAAAAATAAGCTAGAATACATAAAAATTAAATATATCTGCTATTCCAAATAAATCATTAAGAAAATGAAACTGCAGACCAGATTGGGAGAAAAACAGTATTCTTAAATATATGTGATGAAGGATTTTTTACATCAGAATATACTGTTAATTGCTACAGCTCAATACAAAGACAAAAATCCAAAAATGCAAAACACCTGTGGAGATCACAAAAGAAGACAAAAGAATAGCTGATAAGCAAACTTAAAGGAGGTTAATATTGTTAGATATCAGAAAATAGTAAATTCAAATTACAATGAAATATCACTTCACATCAACTAGAATTGATAAATACTGGAATCTGAGTACCAAATGTTCTTGAAGAAATAGAACAACTAGAACCTCATAGTTTTTTGGTGGGAGTTACAAATGTTGAAACAACTTTGGAAATCAGTCTAAAAGAGTTTATTTTATTTATTTTTTGCTCGTTTGTGTTGATTTGCTTGTTGGTTTTAATAAAGTTAAATACAGTCATGCCAATCTACCGTTAGTGGATAAATGAAAGCATACATCCTGAAAGATATTTTATTCATAATAATTCTAAACTGGAAATAAAAAAAACTAATACTCATCACCAAGAGAATGGAAAAAATAAAATTGTGTGATATCTGTATGTAAGATATTCACCAAAAATTATAAATAAAAAGAGAATGAATTATAAATCAGTGCAACCACATGTACGAATGTCAAACGTTATGTTTGGCTAAAAAAGTCAGGCACTAGCCTGGTGCAGTGGCTCACTCCTGTAATCCCAGCACTTTGGGAGGCTGAGGCAGGCAGATCACCTGAGGTCGGGAGTTCAAGATCAGCCTGCCCAACATGGAGAACCCTGGTCTCTACTAAAAATATAAAATTAGCCGGGCATGGTGGTGCATGCCTGTAATCCCAGCTACTTGGGAGGCTGAGGTAGGAGATTTGCTTGAACCCGAGAGGCAGAGGTTGCAGTGAGCTGAGATTGCACCATTGCACTCCAGCCTGGGCAACAAGAGCAAAACCCCTGTCTCAAAAAAAAAACAAAAACAAAAACCAGGCACTAAAGAGGACTCAATTCAGGCACTAAAGAGGACTCAATTTATAGGAAGTCTTAGGTAAAACTCCATGCTAATATAAATCAGAGCAGTTTTGGGGAATAAGAATTGCTTGAAAAAAGTGTACAAGGGAACATCTGGGTTGATAAACTTTTGCATATTTTTTTATGTATTTGTCAAAACTCATCAAATAACATTATTTAACACCCATTCATTTTAAATTGTGCAAAATTTACAACAATAGATAATCAGACAAACAAATGGGTAAATAAATATAAAGTTAATAAACAAAACAACATTTATTCCTGGTGACTGTCTCTTTCTAAAGGAGAGCATTCTGGGCAAAAACAGTTAAATTGTTTAACTTGAAATTCCAGGTACATCACTTTTAACTATAGCCTTAGCAAGTTACTCTATTATTCTTTGCAAAAATTTTCTCATCATCTCTAAAATGGGACTAAGAAATGATTAAACATACATCAACAATATACAATAGAATTTATCATGTCAAAAACTACATAACTATTATTATTTTTTAAATGACTGTTAAACAAAACTAAAAATAAACATATATCAAAATGCACAAAGTTTAGCCAACATAGCTTTACAATTTTACATACGTTCATTATTTTTATTTATTTATTTTTTAAGATTGATTCTCTCTCTGTCGCCCAGGCTGGAGTGCAGTGGCGTGATCTCGGCTCACTGCAAGCTCTGCCCCCTGGGTTCATCCCATTCTCCTGCCTCAGCCTCCCGAGTAGCTGGGACTACAGGCGCCCACCACCACGCACAGCTAATTTTTTTTGTATTTTTAGTAGAGACGGGGTTTCACAGTGTTCGCCAGGATGGTCCCGATCTCCTGACCTCGTGATCCGCCCGCCTCAGCCTCCCAAAGTGCTGGGATTACAGGCATGAGCCACTGCGCCCAGCCTTACTTTCATTATTAATGAAAAGAAAAAGTACTAAAATACAAAGAGCAAACAATACTGAAATAAACCTGTTCCCAGGCAGCTTATAAAATATGATAAGATGACCCGATACACAAGAAAAACAAAATAAATTAATAAATATGTAAAGTTAAAACAAGAGGTATGTAAATTAAATTTAAAAACCTCTTGTTTAAAACAAAGTAAAAATACACAAAATTAAGACACTTTAATGAGAGACAAAATAAAAATAATCTATAACATGAAGTTGTAAAATAATGCACAAAATTATGCATGTACTTCATAATATATTTGCTAAAAATTTGGTAAGTTTTTAAAAATATGTTAATTTCTGGCAAAATATAAATTATCATAAGAAATACAAAAGGTAAATAATGCAAAAATTTACAAAGATATAACAATTTATTATAGATTTAGCTTCTTACAAGAAAAGATAGTGTATTATTGAGTTAATTCAAATTGTTAAATAGGAAATAATTTCTTTAAGATTATTTGAGAACATAAAAAAAATTTAAAACTCTTCAATTAAGTATTGAAACTTAAATTACATAATCATTTCTATTTTTATGTGTATATTCAAAAGTTTTAATGAAATACTTGAATAATTTAACAATATATCAGTTGAATCATTCTAGAGAAATAATTCCATTATTACTAGGACATTTAATATTATAAAAACTATTTTATCATTTGAAAATCTAGGCATATTACATTAAAAAGCACAATAAGAAATATATTTATATTTTTAATATATTGTTATTCAAAACAGTATTTACATACTTATATAAATTGATTTTTAACATTGTCTAAAACTAAATATTAAATTAACAACTTAAAACTAATAATATGAGTAAATCTTGCCTCTCAGTATTTGAGATATTAAATAGGTTATATATATGACATGACAGTAATTAAAATAACAATGTTATGTAGAAAAACATAGATTGTTTTTCTAAAACAGGCATGTGTGTTTTTCTGTGTGTGTGGCATAATATAAAATGAAGATAAAATTCACCATAGTGAGAAGTAGAATTAAAAAATTAAGAAAGCATCTAACAGAAAAGTAAAGTTAGAGTCACATTTCAGACCACATTAGAAAACAAGTGTGTGGTAGGTTAAAGAGAAAACTACATCACAAAATTATTTGAAATATAAACAGTAGAATTCACAGATAAAAACTGATCTTAAGAATGACAAATGTTAAGGGTGCAAATACACTATATAAGAAAATATTAATATGTTTACTACCCCCAAAAATCTCTGTACTTTAAAACTTGACAAATAATAAAAGCCTAAATGAAAAACTATGGAAATATTTTTAATATATTTGACAAAAGGTTATAACTAAGAGACTTTAGAAATTAAGAAAGTCTAAGTTGATTAAAAATATCTTAAATATTTCAGAAAAAAACTGGAAATTCCTAATAAAATATAATAAATGTTTCCATCATTAATAATCAAAATAGGTAAATTAGACATTGTTATGCATTAGAAAAGGCACAGTAAAGGTACATTAAAAAGTTTTTCTTAATCCCCTTTCAATGAAAGAGTAAGTTAATATACTGTTTCAAAATATCTATTTTTCAAGATAAATCAAGAAACTTATAAATGATAATATCCTGTAAACTCATTATTTTTTTACCAGGATTATATAAAAATAATAATCAGACATATAGAAAACATTAATGCACAAAAATAACAAGTTTTGCATTTATTAACAATAAGAAAGGGAACCAAATAAGTGATGAATAATATTGAAGTGGCTGAATAAATCAATAAATAAATCATGGATTATTGAGTAGTTAAGTAAAATCATGCATTGAAAACCATTTATAAACTTGGAACATTCTCACATTTCTTAGGGGAAGTCAATATATTAAAATTTAAATAGATTCGATTATACCATATGAAATGTCCAGGGTTTAGCTGCTTTTGATCAAAAAATGGTAACATCATAAGATTCAATTTCTATAGAAATTTTAGAATATTTAATGATATTTAAAATATAGCTCAAAATATTTAAAGAATTTCAAATGGTTCCAAAACAGATATCATTTCTATATTAGTAAAATAGTTTAAAATGTACATCCTGTTTCCAAAATGAGGTCATTAACATTTTTTACATGTGCACTCTGGTGTGCTCTCGCTCTCTCACTCTCTCTCTCCTCTCTCTTCCTTACACACACACCCCACAGCACACCACACCACACATACATAAAGATATGTGGAAAACCCAGTCTACTGAACAAGTCCTATAGGCTTCACACTAGGCTAGATTCTTTAGAAAATTCAAAGAGCAATGTAAAATAGAAGTCACATATTCTAGTAATTTGTTAGGAAAGATTAAGCATATAAATATAAAACATTAAATTAATAATTTGTATTTTACATATATTTACATCAAAATAAGACAGGTAGATTATAAATATTTATATAAATCTATAGATGTAGAAAGAGACATTTTATTGAGCTTGGGACTTGACTTTGTTCCTGAAAAATGAAATCTGGGTAAGTAGAGGTTACAAATATTTCCTAACAGAAGTATTTGGTTAATTCCTTAAGAAACTAGGTAAGATAACATAAACCCATAGATAAAATCTATTTTCTGTACATATGCTCTGCCAATGGTGGGTCAGCAGAATCATCTTTTGCTGTGAAAGATGGCATAGTAATTGTGGGCCCTTCAATAAGTAACATAAAATGCAATCATGAAGCAGCCTCCAGAATCAGTCAGCCGGAAATGCTGAGATGTATTCTGCACCAGAAAATAGCAGCTGTCTTAAAAACAGTTTCTTATTGATTAGAGAGTAGGGAATGCCATTTTTAAGGCTCACTCTGTGGAAATTTTACCATGTTGTTTGTCATCATGAAAATGTGTGTGGTTTGTTCCAGAAAAAAATTCTTGTAACAATAGAAAAAATGTTAGGATTAAGAATCCAGACACTTACTTTCTTTCTGTCCCATATCAACAGTAAACCTGTTTTATAATACCTCCCCATCCCAGGTATTCCTAGGTAAATTTACTGTCTATGGCTGAACCTATATCTCCATCCTCAGTGACTTCCTGAATCACCAAGACCACATTTATTCTTTATAACCCTTACTAATCTATACTATACCAAGCAAACAAGCTCAAAGTACTGCTCTGGATTTACACCACAAATCTGCACCCCCCACACATCTTTTTCATCATAGTAAGTAGACACCTTGTTTTCACCAAAGACAAAAATGTAAATATTATCCTTCCCTCCACAACCAATCTCTCAAGAGATCCAGTCAATTTTACCTTCAAACATATTATAAATGAATCCACTTCTCTCCATCTTGACTACCATCATATCAACACATTTCCTAAAAGACTGCAACTGCCTTCTACTGGGTTCCCTCTTCATTGTGCCCGATATTCATTTTCCATATAACATCCAGACTGATCTTTTAAAAGTGAAAATAAGATTATATGATCATTTTAAAGCATCTAATAGTTTCCTATTATCCTTAGGATAGAATCCAAACAACTAACCCTTGAATTACAGAATCCTTAAAAAATCTTCAACTGTATCTACAATCTCATCTCATGCCACTTTCTCCTCCTCTCTGCATTCTAGTACTCTCTGATTGTACTGTGTCCCTTAAATTTTTCAAGCTGTTTCTCTACCTAGGGGAGATATTATGAGGGTTCACCACTATCCAGTTCTTCTCTGACTCTAAGCATGTTAGGTTTCATTTCTAAGCCCCCCCTTTCAATTGTGGAGAATGTTTGATAAGATCTAGCCAGAAAATGAAAGCAGAAATGACACCTAAATTCCAAGCCAATTCAGTGAAAGCCTATGTGTGATTCCCTACCTTCTCTTTCCTTGCCTTCCCATCTGTAAAGGCCTTGTGTTGCACATGGCACAGCCAAAATATTGGTAGGGTCTCAGTCAGGTGAAGCCTAAACAAGATTCTAAGTGGCTTGATGAAACAATATTTGCGAACCCCTGTTGCAAAAGCATTTGAGAAGTAATCTTTTATATGTTAAGCCATGATCATTAGCTTTCCCTAAATAATATATCACCTTAGGGTCTTTGAGCCATTTTCTTTGCTTTGAAAAGTCTTCCCTTTAATCAGTCCATTCCTTACTTCTCGTCATTTAGTGTCTGGTTTAAATAATATTCCATCAGAAATATGTACCTATGATTACACAACCAAAATTAGCCCCACTCCTACCCCACCCCCTGACATTCTATATATTGTCGCTCTTTCAAAAATTCTCTACATAACTCTATCTGATATTTTTCTGGTCCATTTATTTATCTGTTTGTTGTTTTCTCTCTGTCTCCCCTTAGCCTCCATAAAATAACCTTCAGTTTTGTTGGCTGCTTTACCTCTAGGAGTTTTCTTGTAGCTTGGAACACAGAAGTGATGAACAATACTTCCTGAAATATTTGTCATATTAGTGATTATTAGTTTTCTCATTTTGTATTAAAGATTCTTACTTTATGATTCCATTTTTATGACATTAAATTAACAAATACATAAATTCAAAAGGTCAATAATTACCTGAATAGTCAATTCAAGTAGTTTCTAAGAATTTGTGAAATTATATGTCTAGGTTTATTGGAAGAGGTACAATAGTATTTTGCATGTGTATTATTTAAACTTTTATGTTTTTTATAGAAGAAAAGTATATTTTCCCAGAGGTGCTTACATAAGTAACACAGTATAAGCATTCTGATATTGGAATAGTAATATCAAAAGAGCTTCTTACAAGCCCCAGCAAGTGTCCCCATAAATAAAGCCATATTATGCATATACCTTATGTGCATGATGCCTGAAGGTACCTTAAAGGAATACTACAAAAAGTGTGAAATTGTTGAAAGCTTTTCATTTCTGAAAGCATCCAAGGCAAACATCAGAGATAAAGATCACTTGAGCTATGTTTGTCTGCCTCATGGAGTTAATTAAACGCCAATTTTTTTTTCTCTTGAGAAGCTCAGAATTAGATTCATATTGTCCTCTGAGGAAGACAAGATCATCAAGTATGCTAGTCACATCGTATAGGCTTCCCATCCTTGTGTGTAATCCCCAGGTGGTATTTTCTGTTTACATATTTTTCAACAGTTATTTTAGGTTGCAATTTTTAAAGTACTATATATATTTTATCAGAGTATTAAATCTTGCAATTTTATATAACCTAAAAATAAAGCAGATATTATTTTTTGGTGTAATTTTAAAATTCAATCTATATCTTTTATTGATGATAACACTATGTTTGCTTACCGTGTACATACTATGTATGTACTTATAAAATGTGCTAGGTGCTATTGATGGTAGAAAAGAAGTACAACACAAAATCTTGATGTTAAAGAAAACTTAAGGCCATGAAGTTAGATTTAACTGTATAAAGTCATAGGACCCCAAAATAAGCTAACATATATTCAAGGGTTATGCTGAAGGCAGGAACACTTTCAGAGATGTCAACAATTGTTAAGATTTGTAGGGATAAAGATGAGACATATGCAAAATTTCTAAGTGATAAGACAGATATCCTAAAAAGACAAAAACAAAACACAGTTTTATAAAAGGTAGCTTCAAGAATACCTTGAAGTATGTGAAATGTTATATTATTATTTCAAATGAAATGATGTCATGTAAAAACTACTGTAATATTCCAGTTATCTGGACTTCTGTTTCTAGCCAAGATGGAGAAATAACCAGACTACCATCTTCTATAGGTTGCATGTCCCATCCAAAACTCATGATGAGATTTAATTGCCATTGTAACAGTATTAAAACATCGACACTTAAGATATGACTAGGCCAAGAGGGAGGGCTCCACCCTCATGGATGGTATTAGTGCTGGTATGAAAGGGCAAGTCTGACCCTTGTTGCTCTCTTTCTTTACTCTTCAGCTTTTCTGCCATGTGAGAACAGTGTTCCTGCCCTTCACACCTCCACACCCACAACAGAGGATGCAGTGTTCAAGAAACCATCTTGGGAACAAAGACTGAGACTTCAGTAGACACAAAACCTTCCATTGCTTTGATCTTGAACTGCCCTACATACAGAACTACAAGAAATAAACGTTCGTTCTTTATATATTACCCAGTCTCAAGTATTCTTTACAACAATAAAACATAGACTAAGATACTAACCCAAATGATCTCCACCCCCAACCAAAAAGAGAGAAAGTTTAGGCTAAAACAGTTTTTAAGATATTGGACCTTAAGAAATAGAGGATAGTCTTTTTTTGACAGATTGGGGGGAAAGTGAACCACGTGATTTATCCCCAGATTACTTCATTGGGAGAATTTCTAGTCTACAGTACAGGGAAGTGAAATCCAGGCAAAGCCAGACAGTCATCTTGAGTGAAAAATACAGAACTGAGAGTCCAGGAAGACCAAAGCAGCTGGAGTTTTCAGGACAGAGTGACTCAGATTTGAGACTGAGAAGTGAGAGAATTCTAACATAAGCAGATGTGATTATACAGCAGAGTACAGTTTCTTGCATGTATGTCAGGTAATTACTTGAGTCCAGAAAAAGAACCACCAAAGGCGGTGGCTCACGCCTGTAATCCCGGCACTTTCGGAGGCCGAGGTGGGCGGATCACCTGAGGTCAGGAGTTCAAGACCAGCCTTACCAACATGGAGAAACCCCGTCTCTACTAAAAATACAAAAATTAGCTGGGCATATTCCCAGCTACTCGGGAGGCTGAGGCAGGAGAATCGCTTGAACCCAGGAGGCAGAGGTTGTGGTGAGCCAAGATTGTGCCATTGCACTCTAACCTGGGCAACAAAAGTGAAACTCCATCTCAAAAAAAAAAAAAAAAAAAAAAAGAGAGCCACCAGAAAGAACCAAGGGAGCAGTAGGAGACACTAGCACAGAGCTGAACATGGTTTCTGTTTTTACCAAAATGACTGGAAAATGTCATAATTTGTGCAACACTGGCTAGAGTAATAAGAAGGGTCTTGCCTTTCAGTTCACATTGCTGAAGTATTTCACAGCTCTGGTCCCACCTGACATCTCAGAAAAAGCCCAAAATAATACAACTATTTATAAGTAACTTAAATTGTGCTAAAAGAAAATTCAAAAATATATTTAGTACCACAAAAATGTATTCATAATAGCTGTTATTTAATCAAAAATTATTAGACACACAAAGAAGCAGGAAATTGTGACCTATAATAAGAAAAAACAACTAATCAAAATTGACCTAAACTAATGCTAGTTAAAACTTTAAAACAGCTAACTACATCTTTTCAAAAATTAAAAAAGACTTAAGATATTTTCAAAAAAGATGCAAACCAAACTACTAGAGATAAAAACAATAATCGCTAAAATTAAAAATAAACTGGAAGATATTAATGACAGATTAGATATTGCAGATAAAAAGATTAGTGAATTTGAGCACATTAAAATATAAATTAAAAATAACAAAAGTGGAGAAAAGAATTTTAAAAATGAGCACAGCGTCAGTGATCTGTGAAAGAATTTCAAATAGACCACTATATGTATAATTGGAGTCCACAAAGACAAAGAGAAGGGATACAAAAATATTTTAATAAATATGGCCAATTTTTTTCCAGAATTAATGTAGCCATTTTTTCCAGAAAACTGTAAAACTGCAGGTTTAATTAACTCAATAAATCTTAAGCATAAAATAACATAGACTACATCACAGTATATGAAAATCAATGCTCTCAAAATCAATATTTAATAGAACTCTTAAAAGTGTAAGAGAAAAAAGTCCCATTACATACAGAAAAACTATTATGGGATGTCAGACAATATTTCAAAAACAATGTAAGCCAAAATATATTAAAGCAGCACCTTTAAAGTGCTGCAAAGACAAAACCAAAATACCTACCAACCTAGAATTATATGTCAAGTAAAAATTTTATTTTAGAATAGAGGCAAAATGAAGATTCTTTTTTTTTTTTTTAATTATACTTTAAGTTTTAGGGTACATGTGCACATTGTGCAGGTTAGTTACATTTTAAATAAATTAAAACTAAAAGAATTTATCAATGCCAGACCCTCCATACCATAAATGTTAAAGGAAGCCCTTCAGGAAGAAGAAAAATGTTAATGGATTAAGATATGTACTACCTTTCAAATCAATGTGAAATACCAAAAAATGATAACTATATGAATTAACATATAAACTTATTTCTTACCATTTGAATCTCTTTTGAATATAACTACTAAAAATTAACAATGTACTATAGGCTTTACAGATATGTGAAATAAAATGTGTAACAATGGAACGAAGAATAGAAAGTAAGATTTGGAAGTGTACTAATGTAAAGTCCTTTACTTTATAAGTGGTGTAGTATCACCAGAAGGTAGATTGTGATGAGTTAAAGATGCACACTATAAATCCTAAAAAAACACTAAATGTCTTAGAAACATAAAGACACATAAAACTGCCATAGCTAATAAGGCAGCAAATTAGATAAAATAAAAAAAAGGAAGGAAAACAGGTAAAAGAAGAAATAACAGGACAAATAGAAAACTAATAACAGGATAAAATATTTAAACCTAAACATATGTAATCATATAAGTTGTAAATAATCTAATCTAAAGACATTACTAGATTGAATAAAAAGATAAGACTTGACAGTCTACTGACTACTAGAAATACACTTCAAGACATTCCCAGAGTAAAATATGAAAGTAAAAGAATGAGAAAAACATGACATGGTAATAATAACCAAAAAAAGGTTGGAGTGTCATTATTAATATCAGACAATGAAAATATAAAAAAAAAATGTTATCTGGGATAAAGAGGTCATTCCATAATGACAAAGGATTCAATATATTAAGAGGACACAATAATTGCAAATGATTATGGGTCTGATAGCAGAATTTCAGAATATTATAAACAAAATTGAAAGAACATCAAGAAGAAGTACATACCTCCACAGTTACACTTAGATATTTATATATCTCTCTCTTAATAATTGGTAGAACAAATTGACAGAAAATCAGTAATGGTATAAAATATTTGGACAGTATTTAACAACTTGACTTAATTGACATTTATAGAATGTGCCAGCCAATAAAATCAGAATACACACCTAGACCATATGTTGGATCATTAAAAGTAATAATGATAAAATGATTTAGAAACAACTTCTCAATAGATTTAAAAGCTTTAAAGTCAAACTAATTGCATACCCAGATCACAATGAAATTAAATTACCAATTAATAATGCAAAAATTTCTGTAAAATCCCTAAATATTTGAAAAGTAGATTACATATTTCCAGATAATATATGTTAAAAGAAAAAAATAAGAAAAAATAACTGAAAGTGTTTTGAACTGAGTTAAAATGAAAACACAACATATTAAGATTTATGAAGTTTCATGGACACTTTGTAATGATTAAAGAGTCAGTTCATTACAAATATATAACAACCCTAAATCTCTGTGTCCTCAATAACATAGTGTCAATATGTATAAAACAAAAATAAAATAAAATATTTTTCAAAAAGGATAAAACAATAAGTCCATGATCATAATGGAATATTTGAACATTTTCTTTTTGGTAGTCATTAGAGAAAGCAAACAAAAAAAATCAGTAAATTTATATAGAAGATTTGATCAATACAATTAGCAAACTTGATTTTAATGCACAAAACAATGACAGAATGCATCTTTATTTCAAGTGCACATGGCATATTCACAAAAAAAGTACCACATGCTGTTATGTTAAGGAAGCTCAAGATGTACATATTTTTAAATTAAACATATTCATACTCTGATATCTCATCACAGTGAAATTAAACTAAAAATCAATAACAAAAACATAACTAGGCATTGATCTACTGCTTGGAAAGTAAGCAGTATACTTCTAAGACACCTATGACTCAAAATAAATGAGAAATATTTTATCTATATGTAATCTTATAACATGTATATACTATATTTACACCTTATAAATATGTATTTATAAACATATAATGGTATAAGCATATTTTCCTTTATCTTTAAATTTTGTATAATTTTAGAAAAAAATGAAAAATAAACTGCTTTTCAAAATTAATAAGATCAACTCCTTTCATCTGTACCCTCTTCAGTGCAGTGATGTTACTAATTTGTAATATGGTTAGATGCATTTGTCACAGTCTGCATTCCATGTTGGCTTCTTCCAGTGTCCTGATTGATACTTTCTTTTGATGTTCTTGCTATAAAAGCTAACATTTTTAGTGTACAGTTCTATGGGTTTGATAAATGCATAGACTCATGTGCATACCATCGTAGTACCACAATAATCAATTCCATAGCTGCAAAAATATTCTTATATTACCCTTGTAGGCAACCCATTTTCCTACCCCAAACCCTGGCAACCACTCATATGTTCCCTATAGTTTTGCCTTTTACAGAATAAATAAAAATCAAATATGTAGCTTTTTGAGTCTAGCTCCTTTCACATAGAAATATACACTTAAATTTAATCCATGTTTTGTGAATTACTAATTCTTTCCTTTTTATTGCTGAATGGTATCCTATTGCATGTATGTAAACAAAATATTTGTGTATTTACATGTTGAAGGAAATATGGGTCATTCCCGTTTTTGGTGATTATAAATGAAGCTCTAAAAACATTAGTGCACACACATTTTTCAGTTCATGTGAGTAAATATCTAAGAATAGGATTCATGAGTTGTATGATAAATGCAGGTTTAACTTTAGAAGAAACTGCTAAACTGATTTCTAAAGCGGCTGTGATTTTATATACCAGCCAGCAGTATATGAGAGTTAGATTTATCCTATATTTTCAACATCATTGATATTGACAATCATGTTAAGCCATTTTAATACATTTTAATTTATTTCCAATTTGTGCTGAACTTTTTTGATGCTAGAACATGCTTATTTCCCATCTGTCTTTTTTAGTTTTGTTTCTCTTTGTGTATTTTGCCCATTTATAATTGAGTTGTTTGTTCAGTTATTACCGAACTGTAAGAGCTTAAAATTTCTTTAGTAGATATTTAATTTGTCAACATTTTATTCGTTTGTTGACTTCTAAAATTATTTGAATAGTATCTTTAACTTAGAAAGCATTTTTAAATTCTTAAAAATTCAATTAACATTACTTCGTAAATCATATTTTTGGTGGCACATATAAAAACTGTTTACTGGGCTGGGTGTGGTGGCTCATGCCTGTAATCCCAGCACTTTGGGAGGCCGAGGCAGGTGGATCACCTGACGTCAGGAGTTCAAGACCAGCCTGGCCAACATGGTGAAACCCTGTCTCTACTAAAAATATAAAAATTAGCCAGACATGTTTGCTGTTGCCTGTAACCTCAGCTAGTTGGGAGGCTAAGGCAGGAGAATCATTTGAACCCAGGAGGCGGAGGTTGCAGTGAGCCGAGATCCTGCCATTGTACTCCAGGCTGGGTGATAAGAGCAAGACTCTGTCTCAAAACAAAAAAAAACAAAAAAAATGTTTACCCAACCCAAGAGCCCACACATTTTCTTCAACATCTTTTCCTAAACTTATATTTACATTTTGCACTTAAATTTATGATTGTTTTTTAAAATTCGTGGTTTGTTTAATTTGTTTTCTTTTTTAAAAAAAACTTCCTTGGGACTAACTCTTTGTCTTAAGGTTATACTAAAATGATATTTAAAATTTTCAACATTTTTGGCATTGTTCAGATTACCTGTCTGATTGCTATTTAATTTACTTCTGTTACGGTCTGGTCAACTTATTTTATAGGAATTCTACTATTTTAAATTTGTTATTGTTTATATTATGGCTCAGAATGTGGTCTAACTTGATTAATTTTTATTGAGAAGTTGAATATGAAATATATTCTGCTTTTGCTGGGTGGAATGTTTTATAGATGTAATTTAGATGTACTTTGAAATTGTTGCACAGCCTTTTTATATCATAAATTTTTTTTCTAATTATTTTACCAGTTACTGAGACAAAAGTGTTAAAGCCTTCACTTATAAATTTGGATTTTTCTATTTCATTTTTTAGTTTTATAATTTTTTGCCCTAGGCATCATGAGGTCCCCTTGTTGGATGCATGCATAGGTAGTCTTTTTAGAGGATTGACCACCTTTTTACCATGTAATGCCTTAATTTAGCCTGGATGAATTTCCTACTTCTAAATTCTACTTTATGTGCTATTACAATATTTCCATAAGGTTTCCTCTGGAAAGTGTTTGCATAGCATAATCATTTTCATACTATTACTTTTAACTTATCTATTTATATTCAAAGCTGAATCCTTGTAAACTTCATGTTCATGGATTTTATTTAATACAATCTGACAATCTCTGCCTTTTATTTCATATAGTTAGACCATTTATATTTAATGTGACTGTTGACATAATTTGATTAAAATCCATCATTTTTCTTAATGTTTCCATATTATGTTAATCGAGAATTTTAAGGACTCCATCTTTTCTTCTCTATTGACTTATTATATACACCCTTCATTTATAGTGTATTTTTGCCCAAGGGTTTACTTTATTAATTAATCTTTAATCCAAGTGTATACTCATAAAATATAGTAATGCTTCATGTCCACATAAGTACTTTACAACTATATATTACGACTTCATTCCTTACTGTTCTTTATGCTACTTTTGTCATAAAAGTTACTTTTTTCATGATATGAGCACATACTACATTGTTATTGTTTCTAGATATGCATTAACATTTCAGAACAATTGAAAGTAATAAAAATTATTTTACTTCATTTATTTTATTTCCAGTACTCATCACTTTTTAACAAAATGCAAAATTTCAGTCTAATACACACACACACACACATATATAAAATATTGTTTTTCTGAAGAACTTTATTTACTTATTTGTAGAATAATTTTTTCTGAGAAAGTATTTTTGAAAGATATTTTCACTGAGTATAGAATTCTAGGTTGACTTTGGTTTTTGTTGTTCTTTTTCATTCAGCAGTTAAAAAGATATTTCTTTGTTGTCTTCTGGTTTTATGGCCTCTGGCATAAAATATTCTGTAAATCTTATCTTTGTTCTTCTACATATGATGCTTTTTTTTTTAATCCATCTACCTTCAAGATTTTCTTAAAAGTTTCATCAGTTAGAAGATATATTGTATTCAATATTCAGGTTGTTTTAAAAACAGTCTTTATTCTGCTTAATTTTTCTCTGAGATTTTTGAATATGTGGTTCAATATTAATGTTGAGAAATTCTTTTATTAATGTTGAGAAATTCTTGGCCATTATTTTTCTCAAATAATTCTTCTGCCTTGCTCATTCCTATTTGTAAAGCTATTTGATATAGGCTCCAGGCTTTAGACACTCTTTTCTTTCTTTTTGTCCTCACTCTTTTTTCTTACTATGTTTCAGTTTGGACAATTTTTATTAACTTGTCTTATAGTTGACTGATTATCTCCTCTGCTTTGTTATGTCAACTGGTTAACACATCAGATATTCTTTGCCTCTGTTACTCTGGTTTATTTCTAGTATTTACATAATTATTCCTTATAATTTTCATCTCTCTGCTGAAATTACTTATCCATCTCAGTGTTGATCTCATTTTCATTAGTGTTTTATCATATTAATCTTACTTATTTTATATTTTCTCCCAGCTAGGTCTAATATATTTGTTCTCTTTGAGTTTTCTTTTGATGACTGTTTTACCCCTTGGGAGTATGCTTTCTTCTTGACTTTTTGCAGACCTCATAATCTTTTGTGGAGAGCAAGACATCTTAGTAAGATAGTAGGTGACAAACGTAAATTGTTTGCTTGTTTTCTTGACCTGGAAATGGACACATCTTCCTTCTGTTTGGCTTTTCAATAGATGTTTGAGTTTGTCTAGTTAATATTCGGG
This sequence comes from Homo sapiens, assembly GCF_000001405.40. Lineage (NCBI taxonomy): Eukaryota > Metazoa > Chordata > Mammalia > Primates > Hominidae > Homo > Homo sapiens. The sequence continues at coordinate 39,078,403 of NC_000018.10, read as the reverse complement.
CAAGTTTTAGGTTTATTGTTGCTATGGTTGCATTCACTGCACTACTACCTTCTAATTTCTGTAGGGATAAACTTGTATTTAGGGTACTTTTTGATTTGCCAGAGTAATAACTGTTCAGCATTATACTTTAGGCACTACCTTTGTACTTTTCCTTCAAGAAGGTCTTTTGACATTTTCTTGCTTTTCTTCTGTCCATTCCCCTAGAGTGTTCTGCAGCTGCTTTTTATTTAAAGCATGTTATCTTGATATAAGTTTAGGGTGATGTGGCTGTTATTTGTTGTTTTTATTGGTTTAGCCATGCATGGTGTATGAGAGTGTGGTCATTTCACTTCTTCCCCTCTCCCAGTAGAGTTCCGGGTACAGCATATATTAAGTTCTCTCTTTCATGCACAGGGGCTTTTTTCTATTGACTTTCCTCAATTGCAATTAATTTTGACAATTTTCCTTAAAATATTGTGTTTTATGTACCTCTTGCCCCAGATTGAAGATTGGTTTCATAAGGGAAAGGGGATAAATGTCTATGTATAGTTTCTTACTCCTCCTTCCCTGCCCTCTACTAGGTCTGTGTTATAATGTACTCTTTCTTAGAGCTGTTAGTATATTCTGTAAGCATCTGTGTGGGGTGTGTGTGGGGTGTGCATTTTTTATATAACTATCAAGCTGTAGGGTATCTAACCTTTACACTTTTCAAATCAATTTTATTATTACTATTTCCTTTAATTTCACAAATTGGCTTTTCAGAAAATATTATTCTCTCCAATTTGTGGACACATAAACTGAGGCTCAGGACACTAGGTTAGTGATGTGTCCAAATTCACACAAATAATGATAGACATGTTCATAATCAGGGTACAAGATATCTGATCCATTTAGCAAGTCATTCAATCATTCATTCATCAGCATGTACTAAGAAGCTATTATGTATCATGTTCCAGAAGGTAAAAAAATAAAATTTCTCTTTGAAAAGCTTATTTATCTCACAATATTGATACCTCTGTTGTCAGGTCTTCAAACTAGTTTTTAAAACTGTATTTTATCTTGATTTGAAGTCAGAAACAGAAGGCTATACTTTTTTTCATTATTCTATATTCGTTTTGAGATTCTATTAAAACAATACCTATTTTAAAAGGCAGAAACTAACAGTAATTTCCTTGATAATAGTAAGCATATGGAATAATGTTAACTGACAGGAAGTGAGATTCAATGTAAAGTACAATAGTGGCAGAAGTAAGAGCCAATCTATTGGAAGTTCTTGGGTAAGTCTACATATTCAGAGCCAACATGTCTGAGATGTTGTATAAGATGCTAGACTGAAAAATATGAAAATTAATGACAAAATTAGTAAACTAGAATGAAGTTCTTTGTGCCTTGCCTCCTCAGAATACTGGCTGATTCTAAGACTGGACCCTAACTTAATTTACTAATTTTGCCAATCTCTTCTATGACAGAGAGGAAATAAGAAACATATCCCAGGATAGAAGGCCCAAGCTAAAATAAATAACAATAATAATAATACATATTGGCGGAGTGAATAGAACAAAGAGTTGAAAATATTTTTCCATACAAAAGTGTGACTTTTAACTCAATTTTTGAGCTCCACTCAGTAGAAGTTATGGCCTGATTAACAGTCTAGAATCAAGGCAACCATGGTGAATAAATGACCTGAACAAAAATAATTTCAAGCCTGGTGTGATACAAATATATATATGTATATAATAGTGTATATATAATCATTGTAAAGTGTATATATAATATATACAGTATATAAAATGTATACATTTTATATAATGCATGTATTATATGTATTATACATTAACATAATATGCATTGTATATAATATATCACATATAGTATATAATATAAATTATATAATATACATATAATACATGTATGCATATTATAATATGTATTATATATTCTATAAAATATAATATACATACATATGTACATATAATATGTATTATATATTATATGTATATATGTATCTACATATTATATATGTTAATATACATTATATATTATAATATGCATATGTTATATGTATTATGTATTATAACATGTAATATATACATAATTATAATTATAATATGTATGACACATTATATATAATATAACATACATGCACATATACACATATATCTCATATTATATATAAATTTGTGTATATAAATTTTAGTGTCTATATACACACACACAAAATTTATAGACACAAAATATATATGTATACAAACAAAATATATATGTATATACACATACACACATTTATGTTTTAGAAGAAATGTCTTCAAATTATGTTCATTACACAACTGTCCATCATGTTCACATTCATGGTCATTTCGCAATTTATAGAGATACAGAAATCATGAAGGTTTTTCTTGCATGACATAGGATAGATAAGAATAAAACACTTGTTTTATTTCAAACTACTCAAGTTTATAACTGTTTTGATGTGCAGGACAACTGGATGAGGATGATGGTATTTACCATGTCTATGCCAATTTTCATGTGCCAGAAACTGTGCTGAATGCTTTCTATAAACTGTATAACTTAAAAATTATTGAAATCCTAAGAAATATTTTTATTCACATTTTATAGATAAACAGAGACTAACGTTATGCTACTGTAACTTGTATATGAATGATCCAATATTAATGCACACATTTCTGTCTCTTGTATTTACTATTAATAATCAGTGCCTTGCACATTCTCAGTACAAGTTCTCAGTTTGGAACTTACTCAACCAAATCAATGTTTTGTCACTTGTTAAGACACTTAATACCCAACATCACCATATGTATACACAGCAGATATCAAAATCTTTAAAATACATATGTCATCATTACGGCCTTCAAAGTCTTAGAAGAAAATGATTAGTTGCAAGAGAGCTCTTCTGGGCCAATCATAATAAACATGAAAACTTTTAACAAGTGCGTCTTGATTGGGGAAAACATACCAGAATTAGTGGGAAAACAGAAAGTTAGGGTAGCAAATCATATAATTGTTAAAGTCATAATTGTGGATTGTGTCATTAACTATTTATGTGATATAATGTTAGGGACAGCATTGAAGACTGCCAGACCTGTAGATGTCTTCTTCACAGTGTAAGACCTGAAATTTCACGTTCAGAGTACCTCATAGTTCCACTTAAAACTTGATAATTGGTAAAATGAAAATCTTCTTGAGGGGAGTGATGGTGAAATTCCCTAAGAGGAATAATCTTGAGACAATTCCTATAGGACAGCTTTTGAAAATAAGATAACATAATCATTTGGAAAATTTAAACTAGCTGTTTATGGGTAGGGAAATGGATACAACAAACTTCTTGACTTTTTTTATGCCTGTGGCCAAAAATCATTTTATCAAAAGATTCAGTGTTCTTCCAGATCTTCCTGTAAACACAGACTGAATCTAATTCATACCTGAAGTCTAGGATTTGAATTAACTGTTAATATAGTTTATATAATTACTGGGTAACACAAAAGTAGGTAGAAAACAGGTTTATTCTATATGAGCATGACTTAAAGGGGGGGAAAAAAGCTTTGGTCTATGTTTGGTTTCACATGTTTAATTCTTCATCATATTCATTAGAAAAAAGCAGGTATTTTATTAAATAGCTGGGGGACCAAATTTTAATTATACTCAAAATAGATAGAATATAAATTCCATGAGTGAAGGGATCTTCAATGACTTGTTCACCTCTATTTTCTCGTGTATTTCCTGTGCTTACAGCAGTGTCAAGTACATGTAACTATCAGGTGAATTCTATACCAACATGGCCCTAAATGTAGTAATTATTTTCCAACTTGCTGGCACTTGCTGAGCATGTGGTCTTTATTAGTCTGTTGATAATACCAATCTCACTGGATTGTGGAAAAGATTGAGGCAAATAATGTATGTTAAAGGTTTAGTCAGGGTCTGATACATGGTAAGCACATAACATGTTTCAATTAAAGAATTTTTAAAATTTTTGAAATTCTATTATTAGTCGTTATGTCTTTTAATTTCCAGTTGCTTTTATTATTTTTCATAGATGCTTAAGTTTGTTGAGAAGTGTTCTCAATACTATTTTGATCTGCTTTTACCTTGATGACCAAATAAATATTTATTACATCTCTATGTTCAAGGATGTATCCTAAACTCATATAGTCATGATAAGCTCCTGCTCAGTCAAAATCACACATACAATTTCTCAATAAAGCTAGAATAAACTTATTTATTTAGTTCCCTTTTTCCCCCTCACCATTACCCCACTGGGATACACATTTTTAATATGGAGGAGTTGAGAACCTTCCCCAGCCTATGAGAATTTCATTCATGTTAATCCAATAAAATCAAATATAATGGCTCACGCCTGTAATCCCAGCACTTTGGGAGGCCAAGGCGGGCGGATCACGAGGTCGGGAGATCGAGACCATCCTGGCTAACACGGTGAAGCCCCATCTCTACTAAAAATACAAAAAATTAGCCGCGCGTGGTGGCGGGCACCTGTAGTCCCAGCTACTCGGGAGGCTGAGGCAGGAGAATGGAGTGAACCTGGGAGGCGGAGCTTGCAGTGAGCCGGGATCGCGCCACTGCACTCCAGCCTGGGCGACAGAGCGAGTCTCTGTCTCAAAAAATAAATAAATAAAAATAATTAATTAATTAATAAAATATACAGAAGAGCTTGTAGAAAAAAAATGTTGACTTACTATAACCGCTAAGTAGTATTAAGATTGAGATTAATTGGAGTCACAATCTCAAGAAGTCAGAAAAAAAAAATGAAATAATTCAGTCCAGTATCAGTGGTTACAGATCTCAAAATAACTGATACCTATGCTGTGAGTTACAAACTTTCCACATTCCTGTTGCATTTGACATCAAGTAGCGTCAGGCTTTCCCTTATGGTTCTATAAGAAAATAAGGTTTTATTCTATGCCCTGGTGAAGTTCCCTTTCAAATCTAGGCAGCAGACAGGATGGAATTGCTGCATGACCCTCTTCTCCTTAAAAACATATTATCCCCTAACGGGTATATCCTCACCTTCCAACCCTTCCCTAGGAGAGAACAGTCTGTGGCATTTTAGAAATATGTGCTGTAAATTGGCAGGCACAAGCACCCTAAAAGACTATAAAATAAACATGAATCCCCTTTGAAAAAAACTTTATATTTTCATCACATCCCTTGTAAGCTAACACACTGCACTGTTTACAGTCTTCCACTACAATATATTTTGAAACGATTACCTTCTTCTGAGTCATTTGTGTCATAATGCTCTCCATAGGTACCCATAAAATGAAAATGTAAGCCGTTTTTATTGGCCACACTACATCTTAATTGAAAATATTAAAGGGGATTGCTCTCCTACTGATTTTTTTTCTCTCCATTTAATTGGCTAATCATATGATATTTTTAATGGAATAATCGTGAAAGAAAATATGAATCTAATTTAAATTCAAACTGGATTTGGGATATTTAAGAGATTATCCCAGAGTAGCAGAGGGTGCATGAGGCAATAAACATCTGTTCATTCCTGACCACTCGCCTTGGTGTTTATGAGCTTGGGGCATATTTATTTTCAGGAGACATGATTCTCTACATTTGAGCTTCAGCTGTTTTACTGCTGTGTTTTTACCGAAAAATTTTAAATTTATCAGCAGATTTTTGTCTATTTTTTTTTTTACTTTTCTCCTTGCATGTATATCCAAATGCAATTCTGACAAATGAGAAATTGTCCCAGGGTGTCACTACACCCTACTGAGAGGAAGCATTCAGCCATTTATTTATTATTGGCTACGATATAGTTTAAATAGATGAACTATAAAAAAATCATCATGGACTTAGTGATGGAAAATTAAATATTTCATTCATGCATTCATTCAAGTGCTTTTGACTATCCACCATTGTTATGACATAGGAGAAACTACTCTAAGCTAAACAAAGACAAGTCTGAACAGCATTGGAGAGTTTATAGTCTAGTAAGGGAGATAGAACCTACTTTTGTGTGTAGAACATTTCTGCAGTTTTAGGCATTCAGGACAATAATACAAACAATGACACACACAAGGATATAATAAGCTCATTAAATGAATGGTACAGATGATAATTGATATGTAAATTCAGAGAACAGACACAGACCATAGTGGACTCAGGTAGCCAAAAAAGTGTTCAATCTAGAATATTGGCTTTGAATTTCAGATATGTAAAATCTGGAATTTTGATAAAAAGAACTCGGAGATTCTACAGGGTGTATAAATTCTCTTGGATGGTTAGCAAATGGTAGGAAACAAAACTTGTAAGTGTATCAGGTGAAGTTTCCTCAGCCCTATCAAACCGTGAGTACAAAAGAGTTCGTGTTAACAGCGCTATTGCATATATAATGGCTTTCCATCTTGTTTCTAATACAAGCTGAAGTCTGCTGCAAAGTTTCCTAAAGTATATCTAAGAATCTACAGGTGGCATTTCACCCATGTTTATAATTGTCGCTTTGTTGGGCCTTACAGAACTTTCCTTGAGCAAAACTATTGCTTCTCTAAGTCTTCCCATACTTTCTCCAGTTTTCATAGTCTTGCTTTTGGCACTCACATCGCAACCCTGGGCACAGTGATTTCAGCCAACACTCTGCTAGGCATCATTATCTCTTGGGATGTTTTGTTGCACACTACTGGTAAGAAGCCACATGCAAAGAAGCCTATGGTGTCTAAACTTCATCTTTTTCCAAGGTAAAGTGGGGTCTACTTCTCTCCACTTTGCATTACAGTCACTTAGAAGAATCTCAAGAATATATCATTTATATTCCAAAGACCTCAAAAGCTTTTGGTGAAGATACTCTTCTATATTTCTTATGCCTCCCACACTAAGGCTCTTGAAGCCTCAGGCATTAAGCCAGTGAGTTCTGGGCCATCTGTTTATTTGAAGCCAAAGCTTTGCTATGGGTGAGCTCATCAAACTGGACTTCTCCCCGTCAGATTAGTTTCAATCAGGTTGATATTTTCATTCTTTTGTAGAAATACATTTCTGTGGAATCTTTCAACAGATTACCAATCCTATGTAGTGAAGCCTGAGGACTCACGGCAGTAATTCACACTTGCATTTGAGATAATGTGCAAAATTTAGTATCTCACTGGAAACACAAGACATTGATGCATACCAGACATTATCATTCTATTGGACATATATTTTGACAGCTGAATTATTCTTACAATATGTCTTTAATATATGAATTCCATTACAACATAAGGAATCTTCTTTGGGCCCCTTTCGGCACTTCCAAGTGATTTGTGTGAGATTACAAACCAGCTTCAGAGACTGGCCTTCAGATTAGCATTTGGTTTAAGAATAGTTACAAAGAAATGCATGTGATTTTAAACGGCTTTAGAGAGCTTCAAGGAAGAAGAGCAATGGCAATTTTGGAATTGTACATTACTCTATTAAATAGCATATACTCCATCCTTGACTTAGATCCTTTACTGCAGAAAAGAAATACACTGGACAGGGGTTTAAGCAACCAAACTGTTATTGATTGTCAGTGGTTTAAATTATGATCTTAGTTCACTGTAGTCCATGGCAAAATTTCTTCCCAAGGTGAATGCCTCATAGAATGACCATTCATTTTAATTTGGGGCCAGGATTTCAGTGATATTCTTGCTCAGAAAACAGAAAAAAAAAAAACCTTTAGAAATAAAAAAATATATATATTGGGTGAGGGATCAAAGTAAGTTTAAGTGAATCATGAGGCAGAAAGGAGTAAGGAACCATGGTCTGACACCTCATAATATTGTTTTTATTCTTTTATGTCTAAGGTCTGTTATTTAATGTCCTTTGTGAAACCAAGGCCTTGGGAAGGGTAAATACAATAAACTTCTTAAAAGGAGGTCACACATAATAATATTCACTTAACTATTAACTCTTAATATTTACTTAATCTTCACTCTTTGGATATTACCACCACTAACTTCATCTGACAATTTAGATAGCCCAGTTGGAAGTTAGGGCGTGTGGTTTCGTTCCAGGTGAAACTTAAACGTATGTTTCTCTAGGCATATGTTTTTCTTACCTGGTCCTTAGTTTCTTCCTGTAGAAAATGAAGATTATTGAATCTCAGATTCAGAGGTGTTTTGTTCTAAGATTCCATGGTGCTTCGATTCTTGATTATCACATTAGCTAAGAACCAATTATAATAGCTTTGGTGTCTACCCCATAAGAACTACAGAGACGATTAGAGCATGAACTTTCTGGATCAGTCCAGTATATTTATTATTATTTTCTTTTATGTTGCATGTACAAATTTTTCCTGGTCTGCAATTACTTATGTAAAAGTTTGGGTTGACTTTGTAGTGGAACCACTTTTTGAAGTGCCTTCCTGATTTCTTACCATTTTGTTTTCTGTTCACTGATGCTGTTCTAAAACCCAGGCCTTCCTTGAATTTTTTTTATATATGTTGGCCAAATCGATTTTTATACACTCCATATTCCTAACATTTGATACATACTAAAGATGAGACAATCTTTAGTGCCCATACCTCAAGGCTGATGTATATATTTTCTGCTTTGTATATGCTGTGTTTAAAAGTGATCTGGATATAAGGTTCATATTTTCAAAATCTCATGGTATCATAATGATAACCACAGTGGAATAGAAATTAAATTTTTTTAATAAAATGTAAGATTTTAGGTTTAGAATGTTAAGAAGTTAATATGAAATGTCATATGTAAAGTATCCTGTTTACTTTTAAACTTCAAAAACTTGAGATCCTGAGGTTCTGATTTCTTGTCAGTCCATATAATCAAGGCAGTTTTCCATTTTCACTATAGCATACATGTATATATTGGGGAAAATTAATATTCTCCCTTCTTTGAACCATCTCAAATTTGAAAATAGAAGACATACATAGCTTTCTAGACCCCAGAAAGGGTGGGAATACAGATAAGTAATTTCATTTAGCAACAAATGTCCATAATTCTAGTGCAGAAACCAAAGGGATTCTCTTCCAATCAGCTTTATGGTTCTTTAGCCCATAACTCCATATGTGACTGGGCACACTATGGGACATTATGAAGATAAAATTTCTTTTTGTATATTTGTGTTAATTATTCAGAAAAATCTCTGTTTTTACCTTATTGTATATTAGTGCAAAGGTAGTTTTGGTCACATAAAATGTGAGACTGGGGTAGAATATTGCATGTCCTACATATTTTAGCCACACATTTTACTCTCTGGATTCCCAACGTACTTCACTGGGACTCCTCTTTCTGAGGCTGATCGCTCAAATTGTGTAAATATACAATATAACCCAAAGAAACAATAAAAAAGAGGCAGAGAAAAGGGTAAAGATTAGAACCTAGGGGGCTGCTTGTACTGAAATATTATATTAATGAGGAATAGCCAAAGAATACAGAGTAGTGGAGTTATAGAAGGAGAACAAGAAGACTTTAATGAGATAACAGGCCAGGGAGAAGAAAACTTTAAGAGATAATTGTGTTGAATGCTACAAATGGTAAAGATTTTAAGAACAAGAAGAGCACAGCAAATCTAAAAAACTTGGAGAAAATTACTTTTGTACTATCTCTGGGGAAATATGTCATATTTCTTTGAATTATTTTACCCCTAGTACAGCACACTCAGTGTAATATAGGATAATATTTTGTATATAGACAGAGTTTATAACCACCTGCTGAGAGGAAAATTTGATAGTTAAATGTATGTCAAGTTAACTGATTATTTCTCTTTGGAGAACAATGGATAAATTGTACAAATGAATGAAAATTAATTCTGCAGAATTTAGCCCTAAGATACTCATCCATAAACATTAAAATTTGATGCACATCCTATGTCTTTCTTTCTTTTTTTTTTTTTTTGAGATGGAGTCTTGCTCTGTCGCCCAGGCTGGAGTGCAGTGGCGTCATCTTGGCTCACTGAAAGCTCCACCTCCCGGGTTCACACCTTTCTCCTCCCTCAGCCTCCTGAGTAGCTGGGACTACAGGCGCATGCCACCACACCCGGCTAATTTTTTGTATTTTTAGTAGAGATGAGGTTTCACTATGTTAGCCAGGATTGTCTCGATCTCCTGACCTCGTGATCCATCCACCTCGGCCTCCCAAAGTGCTGGGATTACAGGCGTGAGCCACCGCGCCTGGCCCCACATCCTATGTCTTTCTTACCCAATATCACTGCATAACCTCTTTTTAATGGTGGACACTGCCTCCAAGCCTCTCACTTACACTCGCACATGCAAATGACTCATCTTCTTATGAAGCTCATTACTATATTGAAACTTTATAGGATATGAAGTGACAGAAAATTTAGAGTCCCCCACTGTCATTATGATCACATTAATTAAGCAATAAGACCCAGCAGTGCAGGAACTACATTGTGTTAATTCATATCTTGGGATGAATGTTCAAAGTGGTGCTTGGGAATGAAGCCACAGGACTCCCATTAACATCATGAGGCTATGTGGATTAATGCCGGACACCTGCTCCTCAACTCTGCCGTTGCTGTTAGCAAGGAGTCCTGGCTTATCTTAACTCCTTGTGGAAATGTGAGCATTCCCCACATTTCTTTTTAATGCCTCTGTTCAAGACCATGCTATTTGCCAACATTTTCCTTCATATTAGAGATATAATTCAAAAGTTGTAGGTAAATTAAAATGTGAAATTAGAAAATAAGACATGTTTTGATGGACATGTTATTAGCTTCATGAGAAGACATACTATCATGATGTAATATTAACATGTTGGTATAAACAAACAAAATAAGGCTGGAGTAGAAACCCAGCTAAGGATATGTTTGGAATACATTATAGGTTTAAAGAAGAATATAGACCTGTAAAACTGGGAAGTATAGCAGGTGCTCCAGTTATGGACAGGTGAGTTTCAGAATCTGGAAATGCATCCATCCAGTTGATTTTCAAATTCCATGAATCTAAGGAATCTCACCTTTAGACAAGGCTGTTTTCTTCACCTATGTTTTCTACCCCTGCTTTACTGTCAGTGGCTTTGGATCAATTCTTATTAGTGAAACTTAGGAGAAGTTTTACTCTAATCCAGGGGTTCTCAAGTTGTACTCTCTGGACCAACATCATCATTATTACCTGGGAACTCGTTATAATGCAATTTATGATGACTTATGACAGATATACTAAATCAGAAACTCTGGAGGTGGCCCATAAATGTTTGTTTTAATAAGCTCTCTGGGTGATTTTGAGAAATGCTAAAATTTTATAAACAAAGCTAGAATTGAAGCAAAAATATAAATGCTGTAATTATTTATGCATAGGCTCTGTCATTTGCTTTGTCTATGAGAGATAGAATTTTGGTTATGGGCCCTCTAGAAAACTCTTTTAGGTGCTTATGTTAAATTTTAAAATTGCTTTAATTTTAGTAGCATTCAATAAGTCAGTTTGGCTCTCTCTACAAAATATGCCCATCTGGATCTTCCTGGATTTGTACCCTTGAAGGTCTACAGTTACCTAGACATAAGGAAGATATCTATAACGCTACCTAATTTGGCTTTAAAATATGCAATTACTGAGCTCAGCATCATGTTAGTGTTGTTTCTAGTTTGTCTCCGACCTTGTACCTTTTTCTGGCACAGTAAATGCCTGTCTTGATCCTGAACACAGACAGTAACTTTTTTTTTTAACTTGGTCACTGTATCCTTGCTTGATACTCTACTTCTGTTTCTTGATACACACTTTCTATAGAACCAAAAATGTACCCTTCACTAGTAAGTTTATCTGAGAGACTAATCAGTCCCAGAACTGAACTTCCAATCCTATCTTACTGAATTTCTGAATATGGCTCTTTTTCCTGAAACATTTTCATGCCCCATTATTCTGTTAAGATCCTCCCTTTGTGTTGAATTTGCCTGATGTTGGCTGCTTGTCTGGGCATGATGTATGAAGCTACTCTTTCTAGACTCCATGTCCAGTCTTCCTTCTTGCCTATCTCCTGCAATAAACCCTGTCTCCACTGCTAGACCTTCCCAGTGGTTATATCTGGATCTACCCTTTTGCATGCAACACCACTCCATTCTGATTAGCTCTTCTTACTAACCCCACCTTCCATACAGGACTCTCTCCATTGCCTAGCTAAAATAAAGAGTATTATTACTACAGAAGTGTCAAACTGTATCTCCACGGACAAAGTGTAGATTCCCATCAGGACTACCATATTCATAACACAGAGGCTAAGAGTTGAGTTATGAAATCAGACAATATTATTTCAAAACCCAGCTTAAGTTCTTGGTGGCTATGTGATTTCAGCAAATTGCTGAATCCCCCTAAGCATCAGAGTTTTGCTTTTTTTTTTCTTCTACAAACTAAGAATAATAATACTACCTTTGACATGGATTTGTTGAAAAGAGTAAAAGAACCAAGAAGAGAGCGCCTGGAATATATTAGTCTCCAAAAAATGTACATTACTGTTGTCACTGCATTCATTTTCTGAGGATACTCAGGTGATTTGCATTGTGGTTCCTGTTCTCAAGACACAGACAATGAAGTAGAGGCAATTAAATAAATGTTTAAATAGTAATAAGTATTAATGAAGATGTACAAATAAATTATGTATTAGATTGAGGAAGCAATATTTTTGACTAGGGGAATTGGGAAAAGAATCTTGGCAGTATTGGCATTTAGCTTTATCATGAAATTTGGGAGTGATTATCTTTTCAGTAAAGCTGAAAACATAACAACGGGTGACATGAGGGGTGGGGGTTACAATTGATCCCACATGCTAAACTAGGCATTGCTAAGGTACTATGCAATTTAATTCTCGCAGCAAAAGAGCAAGTTTGGTTTTATTATCTCCTTCTTAAAGATGAAGAGACTGAAAGCTTGAACGTCAATGTGAATAGGGAGGGTTGAACAAAAGGCTGGAAAGTTACAGCCAGAAACCCAAAAGGAGTCTTGGAGTCCAAACCTTGGTTTAGATAACAATTTCTCTTCCAGCAGCCTGGAAAGAAGAAGCAGGTAACCACATCTTTCTTTGAATCCCTTCACTAATGAGGAACTCATGAGTTGATGTATCCTATCACTAGAAAGTTCTAGTTTTCTAAAAATGTTGTTTATAGAAATACCATTTCTCTGATTACTTTTGATTCTTTCTCTGTCTTTATAATATTATGTTAGAAAAACAGGCAGTCTAAGGCTGAATCCTTGTGACTGTAGTTGTAGAGCTCAGTCAGATGTGGACCATCTGAAGCAAGATGGTTTTGAGGGGTTTTAGAGTGGAATAGATTAATTTGAATAAGATGCATAGCATTTATTTTTCAGAGACTATTTGGTGCAGCACTACAGGGTGGAATAAATGCAGCTAATATATTTATTTTCAAGTTAAATCATGTATTACACACAACCTGTATGACACAAGTGAGAGAAAAACAGAATGGTAACTATTGGATATACATGGAAAAAAATCTGTTTAGATGCTTTATCTGTTAGGATTGTATGCATTAAAAATAAATTGTATGCATTAAGAAAAGTATTTGAATCAAGAAGAAAAGGAGCTAGAATGGAGTTAGATTGTGTTTTAATCCAAGATACAAATTGCTTCAAACTGAATTTTAAAATCACATTATTATACACTATCATCATTCTTATAATCCAGTTTAAATATGAGTTTTATTCATACCAGGATTTTTTATGCCTTTTTGCCTCTCCTAGGTATCCTTCAAGGTTCATTTGATGCCCTAATCCCTGATTTGTTAAATATTCTAGTCTCTATGAGATTTTCCTCTTTATAACACTTATTTTCTATCCCACAAAATCTAATAACAGATTAAATAGAGTCTAGTTTTTCTCCAGTTTTTGTATGTGTTTGACTTTCTTCCCTAGATGACTATAAAACAATCTCTAAAAACAGAAGTTATGTCTTGTGCTTTTTCTCTGGATTTCAGTAAGCACTTGATTGAATGGTGGAATTGATGGAGTGAAATTGTGTGTGTGCAAAAAGAGTATGTGTGTGTGTTTAACTTCTCAGCACAAAAAGAAAGAAAATAATTCAGAGAAAAGTAGAATTCCAGTAGAACCTGTTATAAAAGAAAGATATGAAGTGGTAGAGTTAGTGTACATTATATAAAAACATGGGGGTGGCTAGGTTTCATTTTTTTTTAATAACTATCTTCTAGATAGTTAACCATACCCCCTGCAATGTTGTTTGTGAATGTGTTTGTTTTTGAAAGTTTTTTTCTCACAAGATTGACTTTAGCATTTATTTCAGGCAGTGTGCAAATGAGAACAACCTTGGATTTATGGTAGTACTTTATGAATGTACGTGTGTACACCTCTGGTTCCCAACTGACGGGTGTAGAGGTGGGAGCGTGGGATTCCATCTTCTTGGTGAAACCATTTCTCATCATGAAGAGGAATACTATGTGGTGGTTTATTTTTTGTGTTAACCTGACTGGCCCACAGGCATCCCCGAAGGAAAGTAGTGAAGAGAAATATTCCTAGTGGGCAGAAATTCCAGCAGTATACCTGGGCATTCACTTTGCTTGGAAGAAGAAATGGCTAGATGTTTGTTTATATACTGATTCATGTGCTTTGGTCAATGGTTTGGCTGGATAGTCAAGGACTTGCAAGGAACAGGATTGGAAAATTGATGACAAAAAAATTTGGGAAAGAAATATGTGAATAGACACCTTTCTGGATGGACAGAAATCATGAAGACATTTGTGTCCCAAGTTAATGCTTAACAAAGGGTGACCTCAGCAAAGGGGCATTTTAATAATCAAGTGGTTCAGATTGCCTGTTTTGCGGATTCCAGTCAGTCTCTTTCCCCAGAAACCCCCATCACTGCCCAATAGGCTCATGAAAAAAGGGCAAGGATGGAGACTACCCATGAGATCAGCTACACAGACTTCTACTCACCAAGGTCAATCTGGGTATTGGCCACTTCTAAGTACCAAATCTGCCAGCAGTGGAAACCAACACCGAGTTCCCAGTGTGGCACCATTTACTGGGGAGATCAGTTTGATTATATTAGACTGCTTCTATCATAGAAAGAACAATGTTTTGTATTTACTGGATTAGACATCCTGGATAGAGATTTGCCTTCTCTGCACACAATGCTTCTGCCAAAATTGCTGTTCATATACTTAAAGAATTCCTTCTCCACCATCATGTTATTCCACACAGCATTGTTTCTGATCAAGTAACTCACTTCACAGCAAAAGATGTAGGGCAATGGGCTCATGCTCCTGGAAATCACTGGTTTTATCACATTTACTACCACTGTTTTAAATCAGCTGGTTTGATAGAAGTGTGGAATGGCCTTTTGAAGACTCAAGTTACAGTGATAGCTAGGTGACAATATCTTGCAGTGCTAGTCCAAAGTTCTCCAGAAGGTTGAGCATACTTTGAGTCAACATCCACTATACGCTGTTCATTCTACTATAGTCAGGATTCACAGGTCCAGGAATCAAGGGGTCTAAATGGGAATGTCATGGCTCACTATTATCTCTCATGAACCACTAGCAAAATTTTTGCTTCCTTACCTTTTGTGACCTTATCTTCTGCTGGCCTAGAGGTCTTGCTTCCAAAGGAAGGAATAGTTACAACAATGGTTCCCTTGAGTTAGTAGTTGAGAACAACACCCAGCCACTTTGGATACCTCCTGCTTCTAAATCAATAGGCAAAAAAGGAAGTTACTGTGCTGACTGAAGTGATTAATCCCGACTACAAAGGGAAAATGGAACTATTGCTCCACAATAGAGGTAAGAAAGAGGATGTCTGGAATACAAGAGATCACTTTGGGTGTCATTTAGTATTAGCATGCCCTTCAATTAAGGTCAATGGGAAATTCCAACAACTCAATTCAGGAAGGACTACTCATGGCCCAGACACTTCAGGAAGAAAGGTTTACATCACCCCACTTGGTAAAGAACCACAACCAGCTGAGGTGCTTGAATTAAGCAAAGGTTATACAGAATAGGCAGTGGAAGAAGGTACTTATATTATAAATATCAGCTACAATCAAGTGATCAGTTACAGAAAAAAAAAAGACTATGATTGTCATGAGTATCCCTCTTTATTTTGGTTGAAATATGTTCCTGTGTGTATCAAGCAAACAGTTTTCTTCTCTCTCGTATTTCCTCATCATGTAACTTAAGATATATTGGCTATATATCATAGTATTTAAGTATTGTTCATTTTACGTCATTGTATTTAAGTTGCATAATATCAAAGAGAAGAGTAAACATTACTCAAAAACTTTATCTCCTCTTCTGGAGCTGGTGTTAGTGCCTTTCAGGTTGTGCACAGGATAGTTGTATCAGGTTAGGTAAAATTATGACCTTGTTAGCGCCTTTATTTGGAGTTTAAGTATGGTTTGTAAAGTTTTATCTGGGTGCCAAATTGACAAGTGTTGGAATCACGATTAATTTTATGTGTCAACTTTACTAAGCTATGGAGTGCCCACATATTTGGTTAATCTTTATTTCTGTTGTATATGTGAGGGGCTTTTGGATGAGATTAATATTTGAATTGGCAGACTGAGTAGGGCAGATTCCAAATGTGTGTAGTTCTGATCTAATCGGCTGAAGTCCTGAATAGAAAAAAAGGGAGAATGTTTTCTCTCTACTTGATTGTCTTTGAGCTGAGACATTGCTCTTCTGTCTTCAGATTTGTGCAGGAAATGGCACCATCACCTTTCCTGTTTCTCAGATCTTTGGACCGGGGCTGGTACTATACCAGTACAATCACAAGCTGCAGATCTTGAACTTCTCAGCTTCATTAACTGCACAAGCCAACTCTCTCTCTCTCCTTCCATATATATATGTGATATATATTCCATTAAACTGAAAGTTAATAAAATGTATTTTATTATATATGTATGTATACATACACATGTATACAAATCTATGTAGATATATATGAGAGAAATAAATAGATATTACATTACATATATATAATTTGTGTGTGTGTATACATATACACATACCTGTGTGTGTGGGTGTGTGTGTACATACATGAGTGTGTGTGTGAGAGAGAGGAAACCTAGACTAATACATACTGATTCCCACTGTATGATTCCCAATAAAACTGATTAACTCCAGCCTAACGTCCGTGGGGTCAGAGGTTAATTTTTCTAGGGGTTGGTACTTACCAGCAGGTGACTTTGTTGCTCAATAGAGGATCCCTCAATGAGTTCTTCTGCCTCCTCAGCAGTCTGTCAAAAAATTTTACTCACTCAAAATCTTGAATAACTTCTTTCTTTCTTTCTTTCTTCCTTTCTTTCTTCCTTCCTTCCTTCTTTCCTTCCGTTCTTTCTTTCTCTTTCTCTTTCTCTTTCTTTCTTTCTTTCTTTCTTTCTTTCTTTCTTTCTTTCTTTCTTTCTTTCTTTTTTTCTTTCTCTCTCCCTCCCTCCCTTCCTTCCTTTCTTTCTTTCTTTCCTTCTTTTTCTTTCTTTCTTTTTTCTTTCTTTCTTTCTTTCTTTCTTTCTTTCTTTCTTTCTTTCTTTGTTTCTTTTTCTTTCTCTCTCCTTCCCTCCCTTTCTTTCTTTCTTTCTTTCTCTCTGCCTTAACTTTTCATTAGTTTGGTTTTTAATTTATTACTTAGCTGATAATATGTCTTTCTGAATATAATTCAATAAAATATATTTTAAAAATAGGGTGGAATAGTAGAGTCATCGTGCTTCAAATAATTTGAAAGTATAGAAAGTTTTCACTTGTACGTGTATGTTTGTGTTAGACTTCTTATGTGAAACTTAGTTCAACTGAGGACAGACTTGCATACATGCATTAATACACATCTACATGAATACATACACACATTTAAATTAAGGATATTGTTGAATTTCATTTTAGATTAAAAAATTTTTTTTTATTTTCAGAATTTAGGTCTAAAGAAAGTTTTATAGGTGCTTTTAGATATATCTCTTTATTTATAAATTAGATCAGAAAGACCGAGCAAAATCAATATTCTTTCCAAGATTGTACAATTAGTTCTGGGGTTGAACTAAGAGCTCTTGAACCCTAATATATTTTCTTTCCAATATATCATGTTATGTCAAACAAGAATTAATTGACCACCTACTAATATGTCTCAGATGTTAATCTATATTAAGAGAAAAGGATGATTGTTTCTTTTAAGGGTCTTACAATGTAGCTGGGTGGATTATAATAACTGACATTTTCTCACACTTACTATATGCCCACTGACATAAACGCATTTTGTAAGTCTTCAATTTCCTTACAAAATAAATCCCATGTACAAATGAACATGCTAACGTTCAGTCTGGTAAACCAAGAATTCACAGTAAAAGAATTGAGATTGAATTCGGGTCCTTTTCCTCTCATTACATCGAGGTCTCTCAACTCTGGCCAAGAGTTAGTTCCAAATGAGGGAAATTTCAATGCTCAGGAAAAAAGAAAAAAAAAGATTGCCATTTTTCATTTATTCTTGAGCTGGGCTTTTGGAATTGATGAAAAAAGAATAAATAAAAAGAATTACGCATGCAAAAGAAAGAGCCCTGCTGTCTCTCTCCAAGTTGAAAACATATTAATACTCAAAGCTAGAATATGTTCACAGTGTCTTGTAAGAAGTACGTTTCTATTTAGCTTGTTGTACCTCCCTTATGTAACCTGTGCTCATGTAAGTCCCAGACCCTTGATAGAGTATGATCACGTTGTGTTGATTTAGAGCAAACCATATTGCCTTTGCATTGGGCAATGATGCCTGACCTACTACAAAGTAGGAATACTTGATTGCAAACATGCTACATCACATATATAAATGCATACAATAGCTTTCACCTAGGCAAATGTAATGAAACCAAACCTGCCATGAATTTTCTCAAGCCAAAAATTGTCTTGGGGTTGAAGAGAATCAATTTATAATTTGAAGAGCAATTATTTGAGCCTCTAGACTCCCAAAGGAATGAAGTGGAACAAACAGTTACAGCAAGAAAAAATCAAGCATTTCACCCTCTCCTCACATCTAAGCTTGAACTTCAGCTCTGGGGCATATCTCAAGATTTGATATTAAAGTGTTTCATTTGCAGCCAATTAGGCCTAGGATTAGATTCTTCAGCCTCCTTACATATGAAGACAATAGTGTGATTCCCAGCAACCTCATTTCCACTCCCTCACCCCTTCACTCATTCCTTCAGCAACATTGCTGCCTTCATCAAAACAATTTCATTTGTACTTATGAAAGCGTTGCAGCAGGTAAGTGGAAGGTACGGAACAAGCTTAACCACTGTAGCTTTTCTCCCATCTGAATATCACGAATCTTGTATCTCACCGTGGTGTAAGGTCTCTGATTACATCAACCTCTCCAAATTATGCTGAAATAAAGGCCATTCAATTTGCTACAATCAGTAACTTTCGAGAGAGCCCACATAATTGATTTCACAGTAATATAGGCATAGGTGACTGAGAGCCTCAGCTTCATTTAGACGTTGTTTTCTTTCATTCCAAAGTGCAGTATTCAATAGAAATCAAATTTTTTTTCCTCAACAGTTGGCAGCTAAGCTTTGGCACATATAAAGGCTTTTTTTTTTCTTTCTTTTTTTTCGTGGTGCAGAAACATGAAAATTGAAATTAATGCCCAGGGTGATCTAATAGAAGTCGACAGGCTTTAGGTGAAATAAGTTCTTTTTGGAGCTTGCCCTGATGAGGATTTCAGCCAGCAGGCAAGAAGCCATTCTGAATGCTATTCAGACCTCCAGCAGCATTTGTTACTGAGG
The DNA here is from genome assembly GCF_000001405.40 of Homo sapiens. Taxonomy (NCBI): domain Eukaryota; kingdom Metazoa; phylum Chordata; class Mammalia; order Primates; family Hominidae; genus Homo; species Homo sapiens. The sequence goes on along the minus strand of NC_000018.10, from coordinate 39,058,735 downwards.
TAGTTTCTCAGCACCCAACCAATGGAGAGCTTAGATGTGTACGTGGCTATTATCTCAAATGCTGCAATCTATTGTTTGCCTATTTATAGTGTGATCTTGTTTTCACTACTTTTTTGACCTATGACTGCTAATGAGCTCCCCTATTTTCAGATGCACGTGTGACTTCGAATCAGCTGAACTTCCTTCTCTGACCTTCAGATGGATAACAATGCATGTGGAGTTCTTATTTTACTGCCAATAATGGGAACTAGCTGCCAAGTTATGAAGGAAGAAGCAAGTTCTGACCCAAAGAAGCTTGTCGTCAAATACTCTCTGACTTTTCATTTGGGAGCTAGGCAGGTTATACAATTTTAAATTCATGACTTTTAGTAGGCAGACATTTGGTTGAGAGTAGAAAGAAAACATACTTTAGCTTGAGAAGCTGGCATCCTTAAATTCAAGCCCCAGATGTAACTGTGGCACCTATATGGCCTTGGGAATGCCACTTATTTTCTCTGAATACAATTTACTCATCTATAACATTAATGCGATACTTACTTCATAAAATCATTGTGAAAGTTATCTCCTGAATCATTGATATTCCTGATTACTGTAGGGTATGTATTGGGTCCTAGCTGGGTGGTCCTACACAATCCTCTGAACCTGAATTTCTTCCACTCTAACATTGGAATTATAACGACCCTTAGAGTTATTAAGAAGGTAAAATTAAGTAATTTCTATCAAGATTTTACCACAGTATCTGGCATTAATCATAAAAGATTTCATAGTTGCTGTTATTGTAAAATTGTATTGTATTGTTCCAAATCTCCTTGCTTGATGACTCAGTGAGTATGAGTAAGCACTGAGTAATGTTATATACTCAAATTCTACAGTTGCAAATCATAATGTGCACTATATTTTCAATGCAAACATAATACAAAAGAAAGTATGTTCGTTTAACTACTATAAAGTCATAATGTATCATTTTTAAAGGTTATTTGCTTTGGAAACTGAAGGATTGAAAAATCAATTCTGATAATTTGAGCATTTGCAGAATTCATGGTTGGCTTTGATCCAATGGGACTGGGAGGCTGATGGCAACACAATGAGCAAGATTGTAAAACTTCATCAAGGTTTGAAGAATAAGCCAGCTTGTATGCTTGTAATCCCAGCACTATGGGAGGCTGAGGTGGGCAGATCACCTGAGATCAGGAGTTTGAGACCAGCCTGGCCAGCATGGTGAAACCCGCATCTACTTTAAAAAAATACAAAAATTAGCTGGGCATGGTGGCATGCACCTGTAATCCCAGCTACTCCACAGGCTGAGGCAGGAGAATCACTTGAACCCTGGAGGCTGAGGTTGAAGTGAGCAGAGATCATGCTACGGTACTCCAGCCTGGGCGACAGAGCTAGACTCCATCTCAAAAGAAAAGAAAAGAAAAAAAAAACAATAAAAAGAAGAAGAAGAAGAAGCCAGGCTGGGATGTAGCTTCAGTGTGTTCCATGGAATGGAACATTTATGATAATATAGGTGCCCTGCATTTTCCATTCCCATATAGTTTTTGTTTTTTCTGTGTACCATCAGACTTTACCACACATAGCATCTGTAAGTACACCATTGTTTCTTATTTTATTTGTTATTTTTAACTCTAGTTCTTCTTCTCCAGTTGCTTTTAATGTCCACCACATTAAAAAGACATTAGTCTCTATTTATGACAAAGATAATTTTATTATCAAAAATCTTTATGTGGTTATGCAGTATCAATAAAATAGAAGCTATATGCTAACAGAGAGATATATAGGATAGGTTTCATAGATCATCTAGGAAGCAAGTGCAGAGAGTCATTTTTAAAAGGACAAAGTTTAATATGGCCTCACAAAAAAAATCCAAAAAAAAGACTTTTGCATTATTTAGTATCAGTCTGTTATTAACCTGAAGAAAAAAAAAGAAATACTCAGAGTATCAATTTTCCCTGCTGTAAATAACAATGGTGCATGTATTTAATGAGTTGTTTAGAAAAGATAACATAGTAATTGTAAATAAAAATCTACCATGTCGCATCATTAGAAAATCAGATTTTTTTTTTTTTTTTTTTTTTTTTTACCCAGTAGCCTTAATGTAAAACATTGCATGAGTCTCATGACCCATGACTTGAGGGAAAACCACAACTGACCTCCTTGGATGCTCAAAGTGGAGACAACTGAGGTGAGGGAAATAAGATTATGAGCAAAAGACCAGCAAAATCCAATCAAAGATCTTACTAACGATAAGGAGACTATTTTCAGGTGATTCTACTATTCATTCCCTCATTCATATATTAGTATAATGAAATAGTTTTTGAAAATGTGTTATTGGTGAGGCATCTCAGGTTTTTAAAAATTAGTCCAAAAATATTTGACTAAACTGCATGATTCATATGGTTCAAAAAATGCTTTGACCTTCAAAATCAGAGATAGTTTATAGTAAAAAATCACACTAGATTTTCAAAATCATAATTTTTAAATTTCAGGACAACATTTTTATTTGGAAATATATAAGCTTCCACAGTGAAAAATTTGCTAATATTTCAAAAAGTTGTTTCTTGGTCTCACCTGGTCACTCATTTGTGTAAGTTATTTTGTTTTTGTTCCTCCAAACACACTCTTAACACTTCCCCATCACACTTTGTGCCACAGGGAGCTAATCTTCATGAAATAAATGAAATGGCACTAGCCTTCTGGCTTCCTCTTGGGCTTGGCCACTGGAAGTTACCTATAGATGAATAGAGGGCAGTGGAGTGTTGAACTGGGGTATTCATTCTTGCTCCTATCTGGCCAAGTTGCCACAGGTTGGCTGTGTTCTTCTACCAAAGGCCACAACTCCTGCCTGTGTTCCTGTCCTATATCTTCCCTTTTCAAGTTAAGAAGAAAATCAATTAAGAGAGCACCATCTCTTATTGGTTTCTCTTAATCCTGCTTGTATTTTTATACGTAGTCATTTATTAATCTCTCCTCAGTTACTCATTTGAGTACACCATCTGTTTCCTGATGGGACCCTGAGTGATACCCTGAGGTGGGCAATGCTGATGCTTCCCAGAGGTATAGCCTCCTCCAGTTGTCCAATCAACTGGCCTAAATTGACACTCTGAGATGCAAATTGAGAGACAAATGAGAAAATACTCCCAATAGCAAAGTAAATCAATCTGGGCTCTAGGAAGTCCTGTAGTGGGAAGGATGGACAGGAGGAAAGGGAGTGACAGATTGTCATCCCATATGCACATACCAGGCATCATTAGAATAGCAATTTTATAGCTTGCTTTTTCACTTAACATATGATTTAACCATTTTGTCATATTCTTAGGGATTCATTGTAAACATAATTTTGACTACATATTATTCCAAATGAAGGACTATGTTTTAAAGATTCATAAATTCTGGAAATACAAAAAACATCTTTCAATTTTATTTGCTGCTCTCTTTCTCCCATTCCTAGCATGCACTGTACAGTTGTACATGTTGCAGATCTCGTGCAAAGCAGACTCAGTAGCTGAATGAATGCATAAACTGAAGTTTTCTCCAAAGATATCTGCATTCATTCTAAGCACTCCTACCTAGGATTCAGGTGACTTTTCCCTTTCCCTGGTTTCTTACAGTTGGTTCAATAGCTTCATGAAAGGTCTAATATTCTAGATTAGATATATTTGTCAGTACATTAATGATATATATGAAAGGAGGTTTCTGTGATTTACCTTACAAGAGTAAGCAGTGGAAGGAATTCCAAACACAATGGCAGGTAGAAGTGAGTAGATGTTTTGGAAGATTTTATAGCATATTTTAAGGTAGTCAGATCCCATAAAGAGAGGTTTCTGGGTGAAATGTGATTGTCTTTTAAACCTGTGTCTAGCACAAAGAGTGGGACTCATGTCCAGGATGTCAGAGTCTGGCCAGAGAGAGGAAACATAGGCAATGGAACAGTCACATCCAATTGTGGAGAAAAATAGAATCAATAAACAAAGTAAGAATTTTTAGAAGATAGTTTGGGTTATCAGCTTAGAAATTACCCAGCCTCTTAAAAAGGAATGGAAAGATTATCCCACAATTGTTTAAAGGACCAAAATTACCTGTGACCATCTATAGCAGCTTTTACATAATTGGATACAAAAATGGCTCGTCTCTACTTGTTCTTATTTACTAGGGCTAAGCCAGGAATCCACTGCTGTGAGATGCTGGCAATCATTAGTCTTCAGGTACCTCGATCAGATATGCAGAGACCTCACCACATTACCATTCTGACACATAACTATCCCTCCCCTATGGGAAATCTTTCTGAGTGTGCAAAGCTAGTTAGACAAGTCAACCTTCTCCCATGTCAATCCCATTTTTAGATACATTTGAGAGTTGTTTAAATTCACAGGTCGCCCTCTATTCTGGAGGCTTTGACTTTAGAACAGTCAATAAGAAAAAAAAAAATCTTGTGAAATTTACTTCCACATCCCACTTGGGTTCAGAAAATCTGGGCTTTTCTGTGTGTCAATCTATGAAAAAAAATTTAAGAGTTGTTTGTTGTTGTTGTTGTGATGTGTGGTTTTTTTGAGCATGGGAGTGTAATTATAAACTAGCCAGGAGATATACTTCTACACAGCAAATTTGAGCAGCATTAAGGTTTTTGCTGCTTAGATCACTTCAGATTGTGGGATATTCACATCTCTGAATTTTATGATAATGTCAAGAGAGCTTCTGGTGAGTCCCATTAATTTTTTTTGGTATTGTTTAATTTTACATGAGTAAATATAATTACTCCTTTTGTCATGAAGAGCAAGTTCTAATACCAATCTATAATTCATGGAGCTAATTATGTTAATGAGGAGGCAATCGTTCCTCTGCTATCTCCCCTGTAATTTTAAAGGATTTTGATTTTTTCCCCTTTCCTCTACAATTTCTCTTCCAGCTATGAAAAGGAAGTGTACACAATTCATCTGTGATATAATTATTTACCATGGCAACAGTTTGTGAATGGGATTGGGAAGTTGCACAGAAGGAGAAAGCAGCTTAAGGGAAACAGCCTAAAAATCCTTTCAAGACAAGTGAAGAGGCCTTTCAGGTGGGAACGGTTTTTGTTTTCCTGACATTTTAAGGAGGGGCTTAGGTTTGCCTAACATTGTAAAAACTGTTGTTGATCCTAAAATAAAAAAGTCTATTTTCTACAGTTGCATTTCAGAAAATCGCCTTGATTAAGAGAGTGGCAGAAAAGACAAACCCACATTTTTCATCCGCATTTGAATTAACAGCCCCCAGGAAGACAGAGCAAAAGTGTTTGCTGCTATATTATCAAATGGCATTGCCAGGGGACCCTTGGAAAAAGGAGACTCCAGTTCTTTGTACTCCTGAGACCAGTAATAACCTGGAACCCCACTCAGCAATAAAACCTCTTTTCAAGGGTGACTACAGATTGCAAAGAAAATAGAAAAGATAAAATCTATCCAAATCCAGTGGTCCAATCTTTGGGCTTCACCTGAGGCTACCACAAATTCTCTCCCCATCTTCTCTGTTCAATGGGACATTGATTATTTTATCCCCTTTTGTATAATGCCAATGAACACAATCAAGGTATTTCCAAAGAACACTAGCATGCATCTTAACAATAATATGAAAACACAAGCCACCATCTCCTAAGTGTTTACAGGCTTATGTGCTTTTTCTCACCTGTGAGAAATGTTACTTCTCTTTTTTCTTATAGTTTTCAGTGATAACTAACATATAGCCCTAGCTGAAGCATTCTTGATTGCATGATAAAATTACCTCTGTTTAATATTCCAGTATGCTAATTGCATCAAGAGCTGTGGGAAGAGCTCACAAGTAAGAATTGCATGAGTAGAAGGTTTCAAACAGCTCGATCTCCTCAGAAACATACATAAGCAACTGTGGCTGGAAAGATGTCTGGTGATACAACATGTTAGAATAAAATGATTTTTTATTGATTTAATGAAAAAAATGATTTTTTAAGCAATAATTTGATTCTGCTGAAACACAGAGTTCCTAAGTTTTAGTTGCAGAACCAGCAGTCCAGAGGCACAGCCAATGTAGGGTGGTCGCATTGGGTTACGATTTTTCTTAACCCAATTTCTGCTGCTGCTGCTGCATGTGGCAGGCTGCCATTTGAAAATACCTATGGTGTGCCTGGAGCCCAGTACCAAGCCTTGCTGTTATAATATTTACTTAAATTGAATTGAACACAGGATGGTGCAAATTAAACAAAGAAAGATATATATTTTCCTTTCCATCTTTCATAGTTCTCTAGGAAAACAGGAATTGAAACCGAGAGAATGCAATCACTTTTTTAGACTATTTAGCTTGATTGAAGAACTTTTAGGAAAATTTACAATAGAAAAAAAAAACTTTAAAGACCATTTTTAGAAATATGTATGTGAAAGTGATAAAATAGCTCACCCCTGTGTAATAAAACAAATATTTTCATGAGCCTGCGATTTATTCCATTGTCCTTTCCTATTGCACCTGGTAGATTTAGGATGACAAGAAAAGCATCACAAAGTTTCACAAAATACTAGAACTGGAAGAGAACTTTGAGGCTTATATTCCCATTTCCTTATCTTAATAGATAAGAAAATTGAGTTTCCAGGAGGTTAAAAGAGCAGCTTTAGGTCTCAGAAACTTCTTACCTCCAGAGTTTAACTGCTCATCCAAGCAAGGTGTATAAATAGGACACATGGAAAGGGCTTCAAAATCAAACACAAACACTGATGATACAAGAGTGATAAACTGTACAAAAATTTGGGAAAGAAAAATCACCTGTGCTGGGCAATCATGGGAGCCTTCATGGAAGAGGGGATGTTTAAATAAACCACACATGATGTGTGAAATTGAGTTTTGGGGAGAAAAGGAAGAGTTTTATTTTTTCAATTATAGGAAAGTAAAGACTGTCCCTCAGTTTGTCATGAGCAGCCCCATTAATGAAATCCCTTATTAGTTGCAGCTTTGCCTTTTTGGCTTAGACAATAAACAAGTGAGGTTACACTATAAGTCCACTTTCATACTGCTATAAAGAACTTCCTGAAACTGGGTAATTTACAAAGAAAAGAGGTTTAATTGACTCACAGTTCAGCATGGCTGGGGAAGCCTGAGGAAACTTACAATCATGATGGAAAGTGACGGGAAAGCAAGGCACCTTCTTCACAAGGTGCAAGGAAGGAGAATTGCCAAGCGAAGGGGGAAGAGCCTCTTATAAAACCATCAGATCTTGGGAGAACTCACTATCAGGACAACAGCATGGGGGAAACTGCCCCTATAATCCAGTTACCTCCACCTGGTCTGTCCCTTGACATGCAGGGATTATGACGATTATAATTCAAGATGAGATTTGGGTGGGGACAAAAAACCTAACCATATCAGTTACTCTTCCAAAGTAAAAGTAATTAATGTCCACAGGAAAAGAGAAACTACCCTTAATTTAGTCTCTACAACTAGGAACAGCTGAGATATATGACTAACAAATTAGTTTATTCATTTAACCACACTCTATCTAAGCAACCCAGACACCTGATTCATTGCTGTTGAGATCATCATTTCAGCAACCACAGTGTCCAAGCCACTACTTACTCTGTCACTATTAGTTTATAATAGGCATAATTTTAGCCCAGTTGATATATCTATCTTTTTGTCTCTCTTCTCTTCTAACTTTGTTATATAATCTGCTTATTAAATTATTCATGTTCTTCCCTTAGATATTCTCATTCTGCTACCTTATCACCAAATTTCTCAAATTCAACTGCTTTTCTAGACTCTTCCCTATTCGGAAATTCCTGCTTTGTACGAGAAACTCTCCTTAAGGTGCCCATTCTATTATTCCACTCTGTAGTGGAAGAAAAATGAGTTACGAATTTATTCACACTAAGTTGTTTATGTCCACAAGTGACTTTTAAAATGCCTCTTTGGGGGCATTTTCAGTCTTGACAGTGGATTCCCCTAAGAACTAGAAGAGCCAGAAAATGCAACTGCCTCCTCTAAGTTGAGCTGTCATATCAACATGTAATCTTTCTGGTGGGAAGTGGCAGGTGGGCAGTGGGGGTGGTGTTTACCACTGAGATTGAACAAAAGAGAAGAGAGGAAGCAAGGATTGGCAGCAACCATCTCAGCACTACTCAGGAGAAAAGGAATTGTTCCAGGACCTGAGCTATCTCAGCACATTAAGATGGTCCTGGATTTGGGGAAAGTTACCCTTGGCCACATCACCCTATCAGTAAGGAGGTGAAGAGTTAGATTCCTTTTTATTCCCCTTGTTCCTGTTCCTTGAACACAAGAATATCTTCTTTTCAGGATTTGGCTGGCTTACCTGTAATGTCTGCACTGGCCATTTGGAATTTGCATATTCCAATTCCCGTTGCGTTATTATTTCTCAATATATGCGACCTAAATCAGCATTCTGTTTCCAAACATCAATCCTACAAATTTAGTGGATGTGAGTGTTCTGTGAGTGATGGGAGCACAATCTGCTGACAGAAATCAGGCTTTGGCACTGGCAGGGCTGAAAGTCAGTTTCAGGTCCAGAGCAGATCCCCCAGAACAATGAACGCCACTTCTCGGGATGCCTCCTGGGTGAAAGCCTGCCGATCTTTCCTAACAACATTTTCACTATGTTTTTATCTATCTTTGGCTGTTTGAGAATGTTTTTTTCCAATAAAAAAAAAGATGACTTTTTAAAGGAATCCTTGGAGGCACAATGTTTTTATTTAAACTGATACTTTTTTGATGACAGACTTTTATACATTGAGGCAGATTTGTGGTAAAGATAACTTTGATCAGCCTTTGATCAGGCTGATTCCTGGGGCACAGCTAATTCCTAGTGCTCAGGCAGCACTTACTCTGTCTGTACATTAAGTTAGCTCTGGTGATCACTTTACCCTTCTGTGAACATGTGGCTTGTGACTCCTGAAAATCTTAGATGGAGCCTATCAAGCCAGACATCTTTCTGGGAAAAATGGGGTGAACATGCAGGCTGGACTCCTGCAATAACCAGAAGCTTCTGTGCCTTTGGGTAGGAGCAAATAGGGGGAGAATATTCTTATTGGAATCACAGCACACCTGTCTGCAAATCAACAGTTCAGGGCCACCCTGTAATTATACAAAAGTGACCTTCTGTGAAACACTTCTCTGGTCCTTTCCCTGACCTCCAGGTAAAGGAAAAGTGGCTGTTTAAGTCTCATTGACCATCTATGTCCATCCTCATCCATAAAGAAGTCCTTACCATGTGGCAACTTGGGCTGTAACAGTTACAAAATGGTATTTCTCAGCCCCTTCTGTGTCCAGATGGCTGGTTTAAGCATCATGAGGTGAAAGGAAAAAAAGGAAAACATTAGCACAGACAGAATCGTAGCTTGTTTGCAGAAAATTAGAAGATGTGCACTTTGATTCCTTTGTCACTCCCTGTCCCCACCTCCAAATGGCTTAGAATTAAAATAGGGACAAGAAAACATCTCCAGATTTATTTGGCTCTGCCGTATTAACCATAAAAAAGATCTAGCCTGTTCCAATCTTAACCCAGCAGTAAACTATAAATCCAACTTCCCCTCTCTGCTGGGGAAATAAAATCCAAATACAGTAGCATCCAAATAATTATCAAGAGTTGAGCTGTGCTGGCAGGGTGCAATGTACAAGATTCAATTTTAACTAGTGATTACAGACCGGCAACCTTCTAGCCCTGAATGTCAAACGGCCATGTCACTTTCTCCTGTCACAGAGTAAGTCAGGACTCACCATGGCCTGGTGACTTTTCATCAGAGGTAATGAATCTTGTACTCCTGAGATGGGAAATGTCACAGTGCCTCCATCCCCTCCTTCTCCCCCAACCCCCACCCCTCATTCCCTTCCTGCCTCCTGTCCAGGTCCTGATAATTAGGAAAAAGATGTTGTGTGTGACATTGCTTTTCACATCTGCACCAGGGCCCTGCTGCTGTCGATTTACATTGTGCGGTCAGTACTCAGCTTGCAACCATACGTGATGAAATGGCCACCTCAGTAGACGGTTTATGGTGCTGGAGTCTCATGCATCATGTTCTCTTGTCCTTGAGCAATAAAATGGAAAAACAGTTAAGTTCTGACCTTATAGCCTATATGGTTTGGGGCTCCAGTCCAACTCCTGATAACTTGCCTTTAAATCTCATGAACTTGGTGCCTTTTGTTTCTGACCTTTCTGCTTCTGAGATGCCATTTGGGACACGGATGAGGATGGAGCCTAGATCTGCATGAGTAGTGACAGGGAAAGAGGGTGTGTGGTTTTCACCACTGAAAACTCTGAGAAGTTAGTATCCAACATAAAATGCAACTGGATAAACATTTTATTATCGTTTATTTTTTGTTTGTTACCTAATGAAAAAACAGACAATACACATACAAATATAACCACTGCTTTTGAAAACTATTTATTGACTATCTTAAACTTTTAATATAAATCCCAGGATCTTGGAGGCTTGGAAGGAATATGTATGAATTAAATAAGAAAAATAAGTATATGTATGTGTACTAAGAACATTCCCTTTTATACAAATGTATACCTTTAAAATGTATACCTATAAAAGGTATACAAATGTATACCTTTTATACATTTATACATTTCACCATTTTAAAACACACTGAGTATCTATCATGTTCAACACAATATGCTAACCATTGAAAGATATAACACAGCAATGTACAGCATGATTCCTGCCTTCAGTTAATATGAGCAGTATGACACGTGCCTGATAGGTATAAAACAAGGAAATATGTAGTAAGTGGAAGGATATAGTCTGTCCTGTGTCCCACAAGTCACAGTTAAACTCACCCCAGATAATGGAAAAGACACAAAGCCAATATAATCTGAAGTCACAGAGTCAACCTAAGAAAAGGCATCAAAGAAACACAATATGTGTCAACACAATACAACATTGGGTATTAGGGCTAGGAACATCTCCTCATTTGGCTATTGTAATTAAGTATCCCATGTAACACAGCAGTAAATTATAGCTGAGGTCAGTTGACCCACTGTCATCGAATGAAAGTCAGACGAGACAGAAAAATCAAGGCTAATCATGGTGTCAAGAATGGATCCAAAGGACCTGCGGGTCAACTCGTTTCCCTTACTAAGTAGGCACTTTGTTGTTTTCTGAACAGCTTAGTGCTTTCTTAGCAGTAAAGATTCTAGGAGAAACACTTAAACCTAATGTACCAAGGCCATGCGAAGAAAGTTTATTATTTCTAGATTGGAGACTCACCTGCCTATCTTCCTACCTTCTTTCTTTCCCCCCGTATGATGTTCCAGACTTCAAACTAAGCCCAAGAAATGAAACAGTAAGCAAGGCAAACAGGATCCTTGTCATAATGTAGCCTAAAACTTGGTGGAAACGATGGGCAAGTTTCCAGGTAATTAGAATACAGTGATAGGAAAATGAGAGAGGCCGCCACATGCTATTGGAGCCTTAATAAGGGTACCTGCCTCAGACCAAGAAGAGTAACAGGAAGAGCATTCCACAGGATGCCCAAAGGTAAACAGAATTCCTTTTTCTTTGATTCTCCAGGGAGCCATGAATCCCTGGATACATTTGAGGTTCTTTGATGGGGTCTAAAATTTCCTCCCTCAGTCACTAGAATGAGTGTCCTCACTGAGGGAAATGGAGGATCCCCCAGATTAACACCAGTTTCTTTCTGGTCAGTGGTTAGATGTCAAATTTAGAGGAGACTTTCAATGACAAAAGGGGGCTACATTTGAGGCATGTACAATACTCTGATCAAGATTTCCTGAAGTCATAACACAAAGCATAACATACCTTCTTCTTCCTTTTATCTTCTCTGTGCTATTACAAATTCATTAGGAATGAGGATTGGGCAGTAAAGTTAGGCATTTTTCTTTAAACCACCTCCTTGAAATACTACAGAAAGTTGATTTTCAACTTTATTTATTCTCCTTGAATCTATATTTTATTTGTTTTTATTTTGTGTTTTAAATGTATTCAATAACTGAGACCCTGACATGTGGCAGGCAAAGTTCAAGTCATTGGGGGATCCAAGAGTAAATAAAAACAATAGTTCTTTTTTTGTTGCATAATTAGCAGTCTAGAAGGAGAGACAGATGTGGATACATAACTACATTGCAATATTATGCCTATTTTGATATGGGAAGCAATGAATTGTGCTAGACATTCTCCATATACAAAGTGTGGGATTGTGGTCCAGTAAAGTTTATGGATCTTAAACAACAACAACAAAAAATCAAATGTAGATTAGCCAGTATATCTATTTGGTTTAAATAAGCTGCAAGCTGCCATTTCAAAATATAGAGGTGATTCTTCCCTGACAATTAGGACTATTTTTAGCTTCACAGGTGGGAGAGATGCTGCTCTGGTCCTGGAATGGTCCTGGACAGTGCAGAAGTGAGGGAGGGGACAGGTGTGGCAAACAAAAAGAAGGTTCCTGCATGCTCCCTAATTGGACAAATTGCATGACAGGCACATATATTTGGGAAGGCCTCTTATGAGTCAAACTGAATTAAATTGCAAACGTTCTCTTTTCATCACCAACCCTTAGTCCCTGGTCTTATCTTCAAGTCAGATTGATTGAAATGCATTTCCCCCGAGACAGAGATGCCCTGCCCACTGAGGCTGAGAGGATAGGTGAGTATTTGTACAGGCAATCATCAAAGGGACACAACCTCCTTGCAGTGCAGGTGTGTCTGGGATGAAGTTGAGTGGGCATAGAAATCAAACTCTAATTAGCCACCACACAGGAAATCATTACAAAGAGAAATTATTCTGTATGACACTATCATGCTAGATGCATGTCATTACACGTCTGTCAAAACACATACAATGTACAGCATAGAAAGTGAACCCTGATGTAAACTATAGACTTTAGTTAATGGTAATGTATTGACATTGGCTCATCAATTGTAATAAATATACATACTAATGGAAGATGTTAATAACAGGGGAAACTCCAAGGAGTGGGTTGATAAGGGTATATGGGAAGTCTCTGTACCTTTATTCAATTTCTTCGTAAACTTAAAAGTGCTTTAAAAAGGTCTATTTAAAAAATGTTTTTATACTGTATATTGCATATTCATGTAATCAATCCTTGGTCCTCTTGCTAGTCATGAGCTATGAAGTAAAGGTCCATGTTTTTAATTTTTAATTTTCTATTCAGTTACTTAATGAACATTTATTGAATGAAAACAAGAATTTAGGGTTTTAGAAATAAACTTCTTGTTAAAAAAATATGAAACTGAGATGCATAGGAATCCAGACAAAAGAAGATGGCTGCAGTGTGAAACAGATGTCAGCCTGCTCGGTGCAAAAGTGGAGTTCATTGGACAGTCTAAAAGTGCCTCCACTTGACTGGAGAAGAACCAAGATCTTGGCCCATGGCTATGGAAATGTGCAAATGTAGCTCCTTCTACCTCTCTACTCAATGTCCTGAGATTACCTTTTCTGGAATGTCCATATAGCTACATTTATCTTATTATCTTGCATTCTGGCAAAAAAAAAAAAAAAAAAATCTGAGAGTATACAGAAAAAAAAAAAACAGCTGTCATACTTGAAGCCAAGAAATACCATCATGAAAATTCAATTTAAATGCAAACTTCATAAATTATATTTCAAATAGTCCTTAGAGGACTAATTAATAATTGTAAAGTGCTTTGAAGATGGAAAGTGCTAAATTAACGTCAATATTTATTTATTAATAATCAGAGAAGGTGATGCTGCCATCTTGAACTTGCCTCTTTTACTATCAAGTGCTGACTACTACCATGATTTAACCCTCTTAATTGCCTTCTCTAGCCACCATTGCCATGTGGGAATTCTACACTTTATGGTTGTGTTTAATATTTCATTATTTTAAAATATTGCCAGTTCTATGTATATGATTGGAAAGAACTTCTGCACTTTTCATGCAGGAAGGCTGTGCTTTACAATGGCACCTGACAAATTTGACATCATATAAAAACAAGTTGAGGCCGGGCATGGTGGCTCACGCCTGTAATCCCAGCACTTTGGGAGGCTGAGGTGGGTGGATCACCTGAGGTTGGGAGTTCGAGACCAGTGTGACCAACATGGAGAAACCCTGTCTCTACTAAAAAATAAAATACAAAATTAGCCTGGCATGGTGGCACAAGCCTGTGATCCCAGCTACTCAGGAGGCTGAAACAGGAGAATCGCGTGAACCTGGGAGGTGGAGGTTGCAGTGAGCCAAGATCGTACCATTGCACTCTAGTCTGGGCGACAAGAGTGAAACTCCGTCTCAAGAAAAAAAAAATTGCACTTAATAATTAGCTCTAAGTACAGTGGCCATCACAAAGTGGGTGCTCAGTGACAAGGTTTGAGTTGCTAAATAAATGAAAAAAACAAATTAATCTAGTCTCTTTTATACACATTGAAATATTACCGTTAGACATACTTCATAACTATTTGTAGCATTGGGAAACTTGCTTCATATATGTATATTGAATCTATAAAAATATGCTACCATTTTATTCATTTCATTAATGCTAGTTTGTAATCTTCACCACCCTATATGTTTTCTAACAGTCCATATGTAAGTTCTTACTTCCAATTATGTTTCAAGGTATGCCTGTGGAGAGAAGACTCTTTTATGCAGTGAAGGTATGCTTTACAATGGTACCTAAAAAAATTGGCTTTCATACAAAAAGAAGTTAAAATTCATAATTAACAAAAAAAGCTCAACAAATAAAATGTTAAATATACCTGAATAGCTAGCATCACAAAGCTCAAATATCAAGAGGGTTTCTGGGCTTTTAAGTGAAAGTTAGCTGTTTTGCATTGCCCACAGTGGACATGTTGTAGGAACTGCTAGTGGAGCTTGGAGCCCATGACTCAATTTCTGTCTTTCAGTCTTTCACTACTTACTAATTACAGAAAGTTAGGACTCTGGTGTGGAAGATGCCCATCTGCACCAGCTGGGTTTCTTGTTTGTTTCTTTGTTTATAATTTCATGTGTTATTTTAGATGCAGAAAGTACACATGCAGATTTATTATATGGGTATATTGTGTGATGCTGAGGTTTGGGTTATAAATTATCCCCCCATCCAGTTGGTGAGCATAGCAACCAATAGGTACTATGAAAAACCTACCCAACAGATTTTTCAGGCCTTGCCTCCCTCCCTCTTTCCCACCTCCAGTGGTCTCCAATGTTTATTGCTCACGTCTTTATATCCATGTCTACCTAATTTTTAGCTGTCACTTGTAAGTGAGAACATGTGGTATTTGATTTTCTATTACTTCATTAATTCACTCAGGATATTGGCCTCCAGCTGCATCCATATGGCTGCAAAGGTCATGATTTCCTTCTTTTATGGATGTGTAGTATTCCATGGTATACAAGTACCACATTTTCTTTAAAAGTCAAAAATAACAGATGCTGGCAAGGCTGCTGAGAAAAGGGAACACTTATACACTATTAGTGGAAAGATAAATTAGTTTACCTACTGTGGAAAGTAGTTGGAGATATCTAAAGAACGTAAAACAGAACTACTGTTGGACCTGGCAATCTCATTACTGTGTATATACCTAAAGGAAAATAAATCATTTTCTCAAAACACACATGCACTCGTATGTTTATCACAGCACTTCTCACAATAGCAAAGGCATGGACTCAACCCAGCTGTTTGTTCCTAGTCAGAAATCACAATCGTCTCTAGGGAAGAGCAGCTATCTTTAGTTGACTATACATAAGGATAAGGATTATCACTCAGAAAAAAGGGAGCTGGCAAAAGAAAAAGGAACAGCCAGTAAAATTTTACCTAAATGAGATGAAGTTGTAGTGTTCATAACCAAGATTTATTTATTTGTTTTTTGTTTTTGTTTTTTGTTTTTGAGACGGAGTCTCGCTCTGTCGCCCAGGCTGGAGTGCAGTGGCGCGATCTCGGCTCCCTGCAAGCTCCACCTCCTGGGTTCACACCATTCTCCTGCCTCAGCCTCCCGAGTAGCTGGGACTGCAGGCGCCCGCCACCACGCCCGGCTAATTTTTTTTTTGTATTTTTTAGTAGAGACGGGGTTTCACCGTGTTAGCCAGGATGGTCTCGATCTCCTGACCTCGTGATCCGCCTGCCTCAGCCTCCCAAAGTGCTGGGATTACAGGCGTGAGCCACCGTGCCCAGCCATAACCAAGATTTAAATCAATATAGAAAGGAGCAAGTAAGAGGAATGGTATGTGGGCCAGCAGAGAAATTCCACTTGGAATATGGCACAGTAGGTCCTGTTTGATAGGAAATGCTGAATGCTCTGGGTTATCTATTGAATAAATAAATATATGTTAAGCACCTGTCATTCAAAGCCCAAAATTTGGCTTTGTGACTGACACACTTGGGTGTCATTGTGAAGATTTGAAATGCTGATTTGAACAAATCAGCATTTGATTTGAACAAATTCTTGAAGAACCCTCACCAACCCAACAGTATTTAGACTGAAACACTCAGCAAATGAGTGACAACACAACACCTGTGAAACCTTGCCACTTCCATGGGGCTTTGCTTAGTTCTTCAACAGTTATTCAATAACTCCCAGATAGTACTCTTTTGGTTAAAAGCCTTCACGAATAAGAGAAAATTAAAGGTAGCTAAAATTTTTAAAGGTAGTTTTGTACATATTGAATGCAGATCTCTTGGTAGAAAACTGATTCTGGAGAAAGCAAGAAACCTATACGATCATTTATATATGGGCAAACTAGAGTGTTTGCAAAAAGCTAAGCATGTCCTCTTTGTAATCAGCAATGTTTTCTGGTCTAAGACACCATTCATCTATTACGTGTGACAGGTTAATGCAAATTCTAAGTGACAGGAATACAACTGTAATGACATAATTGTTTATTTGTTTTTCACATTTATTTGATCTTATTTACTAGATTATATGTTTCTTAGGGACAGAGGACAATTCTAACTAAAATTTGTACATATTGCCAGATACACACTCAGAACGGACTATGGTTGGCCCATCAATATAAAACAGACAAGGAACAATATAAGCCAGTCTGCAGCTAAATTCTAACATCAGTACTACAGACGCATGAAGAGCCATGAGAAGAATCTTCAGTTTTACTATTTTGAAAGATGCTGATGCTCCACTTCTCAGTATGGAATTATAGGATGAAATAGATATATAAACTGAGGTTTAATTCCTGAAGCCAACTCAAATTGTTCCTGATAAAGACAATCCTATTGAACTTATTGTCCTATCTTCACTTATCCTGTTGTAATGTTAGTGCCACTTCCATACCAGCTGGGTGCTGTTGGTAGCTATATTCGTATTAACAGCCCAAGTATTCTCTAAATATTCATTGCTAACATATTTGGGAAATAACAAGGCATCTCTTAACTGTCTGCTACTTCTACTTGAAATATATTTTCTTTCCTCTGGTTTCCTATATATCCATCCTATTGGTTAAGAGGTGAATTGCTCTAAAACTGACATTTTAAGAACAATTTTTTTATGGTTTGGCTTTTCAGACACGCTCTTCCCCCACATATTCGCAAGCTACATACAATGGTTACCTATACTCTGCAGAACATGGCACCATATTCTTGCCACCTCCTGCCCATCTGTGAGGTAAGGCAGGGCAGGGGAAGGGAAGGGTGCTGGAAGCTGCTCTAAAATGTCATCAAAGAAATTACTTGTGAATGTTGACATTATGTCTCAGACTACTTCCCAAGAGATTATGTTGAAATAAAGTTAATTGAGATTCTCCGGAATTTTATTTTAGGAAAAACATTGTTTCAGTCTGAGGTAAACTTTTTGACTATTTTAATACCCTCTACCTTTTACTGCACGTTTTTCTATCCCTCCTCAAATCTTTACCACCACGTTTGTGTTTCCTACTAAGTAAGAGCCCTTACCCATTGTCTGCCATCCTTTTTGCAGTTTTAGTAGTGAGGATGCTTCCTTCCAGAGGTAAATCAACTACCTTAAACTGCTGGATGTTTCACCTCTTATGTCCTTTATAGTCTCTTCAGTTATGCTCTCTTTTTTTAACTCCTAATCACTCTTGTTCATTCTGTTAATTTCATTTTGAAGTTATGTTTCTTCATAAAGATTTGAATGTCCCAAGAAGGTAACTGCCAACCTCAGAAAACTTTCAAAGGTTGGAATTATGTCCTATGATTTCACATCTTCTGCCATATCTGGCACAGACCTGGGTATGTTGGAAATGAGCAGATTTTATTAGACATTTGATTGATTGGTTGACTGAATCTCTGTAGTATAGAGCACACCAGAGACAACTGTTATTTCAATTTGTTGTGATTCTGTGCTTGGTAGATAGATGGTCTAAGGACAGTTGAGATAGAATTCTGAATACAGCATGAGATAGCTACTTAATATTTTTGGAAATTATGTGATCTAAATTATAATATAGTTTCTATTATATTTTACAACTTCATATAGATTAACATGGTTTTTTTACTTTCTTTTGAAAAAGAGAACAACAAAAATAACATTACAAAGGCATAAGAAATTGTGTGGTCTCTCTCTCTCTCTCTCTCTCTCTCTCACACACACACACACACACACACATACATACACACAGACACACACACCCCTGTATATATCAAATAAACTCCACATGAAACACTGAGCATCTTTGTTGGGGCTTTGACAGCTAAATTAAATTAATTTAAGTTAAGTCAAATATCTTGCATTGTATATTTAAGTTGCCATTCAAGTAGTACAGATTTGTATGCCTGTCATTTAGAATGAATTCAGTACCACAAGTTTTCCATTGAATGAACAGAGCTAACTGAGGGCATCCAAGAAGAAACCTTCGTAGATAATTGGCTAGCTCTGGGAGCTAGTGTAGTGGAACACGATTCCAGATTGAATCAAATTCTGGAGCTCTCCTTAAGAGAGGACTGAAGGATGAGAGGGGAAGTTTATATGCCAATTAAAGAATGATTTGTACTTTCATTTTTATCAGACTTCATTATTTTTGCCTGATATGCGAATGATTTCATGAATATATTTAAGAAAACTTGATATCTGGTTTTATATATTATGAATTAGAACAAGGGCAAATTTCTGGAAATCGGAAGAACAATCAGCAGATAAATCAATCAGGATTCTGTCTTCCAATTTTTTTTTTTTTTTATTTTGAAAGAAAACTATTAGCTTCATGGAGACATTGATAGAATTGTCACCATAACATTAAAAATGCACAAAGAAGTCCTAGGCTGAAAGTTATCTCATATAAAATATAAACACTTCATTGACAATATAGAGATTAAAATTATTTTAAGTTCAAGCAAACATCATTGTATCTGATGCTAAAAATTAAATACCATTACATTTAGTAAATCAATTATTTTTCATGTTCATGGATATATCACTAAGATTAAAATTGGTCTCTTTTATTATCTACCCCAGGGGTTCATTTTTTCTTTCTCTCTTTCTCCCTCCCTCCTTCTGTCCTTCCTTCCTTTTCTCTTACTCTCTCTTTTTTCTTTTCTCTTGGTCTCCATCCACTCATCCTTTATTTTCTCATCATAATCTCTTTACATTTCAACCATGTATTGTGTTCCCCATTTATATTTTCTTTAATATATACCTTGGGTTCTATTATCTGTCTACAGCCACACAATATCATATCTAAAGACATAAAAGCAGACATATTTAAATACATCTGAGTTTTCTGTGACTGCGAGGATATTTATTATAAATTATCCTGCTGGTACACATCATATGTGGTCTATATTATAAAACTTACGTGTTTTTTTTTTTTTTGTAATTTTAAGGCTAGATACCTCCATGTTCAAATCACGGTGCCCTTCTTCCGTTCTTTAATCACTCCATCAAATGCTTATTTAACTCTCTTTTCTGTCAGATCCCTGGTTCCTTTGAGGGTACTGTCTTACTCATCATTGAATTTTCCATAACATTTAGCATAATGCATTGTACATAATGTGTGCCTATTGTGTCTTTGATAAATTAATGAATCATTTATGTTTGATTTCAATGGATAAGATGAGACCAACATTTCAATTGTAAATATTCTTTTCTATTTTTCCTATAGGCATACTAACGTTGCTAATATAGCATAGCCTGAATACTCAATGCAACTTTCTGTTCTATGTGGCAATGGAATTCTATTTTTCCCTAAACAACCTCAGTGTCTACTTTTGCTGATTGTGGCCAAAGAACAGAGGTTCTAAAAGGCCTCCAGAGGATTGCAGAGTCCCATTCACTGTAGTCTTTGTGAATATCACACTTAAAAGTTGTTCGGTGCTCAGTATGACAGCCATAGATGCAGTGTCCTACCCTCCCTCACAATTCACCCAGCCTCACAATTCAGAAACCAAGTAGCTCCCAGTTGACCTTGCTTGGGTTGTGAGCTTTGCAACCTGTGTTGCACGTTATTGTTGTATGAGACATTTTCTTCTCTTACTCTGTGCACTTGGAAGCTAGAAATGAAGACATTTCCAAATGCTTAGAACATTGAAGGCATGACAAAGGAGAAAACAACAGTTCTTCCTAGTAGAATAACTCAGCCATATATAATGGTAGCATGGAGTGTTTGTTCTCTCTGTGAACATAAGTGACGTTCACAGAATGACCTTTCCTTTGGCAAGAGGCCTAAGTGGAAGACTCTATTATAAATGAAATTCACTGAGGTGTATAACCCAACACATTAATGAATAGAAATTTTTAATGGCATTGTTGTCTGAGGAAACATCCAGAACTGAGCCAAAGGATCAGCAGTGATTTATGGCTCTCGTTAATTTTTAAAGAGGACTTAAGGAGTAGAACAGTATCTTCAAACTATTCTAGGAGAACATCAGTGGAAAGATTTGGACTTGTAATTATGCAAGATAACTTGCCAGATGGCCTAATTAAAAATACTTTTATTAAGTGTTCTTATTTGACAAACAAACAAGTGTGATTAACAGGAATTTCTTAACTAGCTACCCTCAGC
Organism: Homo sapiens; assembly: GCF_000001405.40. NCBI lineage: Eukaryota > Metazoa > Chordata > Mammalia > Primates > Hominidae > Homo > Homo sapiens. Next base: position 39,037,819 of record NC_000018.10, on the reverse strand, counting down.
ACACTTCCAATAAACGGCAACTCTTTCTTATCCCCTGCCATGGGCCATGATAGAGCTTACTGGAAAGTTGTCCTTGTCATCTTTCTTCTCCTGTGCTCCCCAGAGGTATTCAGGGTTGCCCTGATTACATGGGTTCCAAAAGCCAGGGTGTAAAATTCTTTTTTTTTTAATCTACAGCCATAGTCACAGTGTATCCTTCTAGTCCAAAAGTACGTATGCTGCTACTTACAAAACATTGACACATCTTTCTTCTTTTCTCTTTCTCCATTAAATGTAAACTTACCTCTCACTCCTCTGCCATTTGCCAGGTTTCTTCAAAGGTAGTGCCTTGGTTGCCATTGAATTTTCCATCATATTTAGCACAAAGCATTCCAATCATTCTTTGTAAATGCATGAATCATTCATGTTTGATTTCAATGGGTAATAAGTGGGATGAGACTCAAATTTCAATTTCAAATATTCTATTTTATGAAGTATCTCCATATACAAAAGCCCAGCTGTGAACTCTAGCCCCTGTCTCTTTTAATCACCTCCACCACTTTCAGTTGATTTTTTTCCCAACAGATGTTTTCATGCTCCAGTATTCTCTAGCATTTCACACACCTTGCATTACAACTACTTTAGCTTGACCAACAGTTCTTCTCCCTCAATGTAATGTAAAATTTGACTCTGGCTTGATGCACAGAGATGCAGCTGGAGAAACGTCATTTGTTTCTTCTTCTTCCCATCCCTATAGGACTCTAACCAGCAGTCTAATGTTTGGGAAAAAAATGCTAAGGAATGTGGAGTCAAAAGAGGCTTGGACATATAACTTTGAATAAGAGAGTCATGGTTGACATAAATGAGACAACGATCCAAATAGGATATCAGAAGGAGGGGGAATGCGTGGTATATACCAAGAACTAGACTGCATCACTGAAATCCCAGAAATTTAAGGAGGACAAGAGCAAAGGGAAGTTAATAAAAGCAGACGGACAGAAGGGAGGCCTGGATAGATTCTGAAAACCATGTTGCTGTCAACACTGAACATTTTGAGTAGACACGATTTTATACACCAAACATAGGAAGGATTTAAGCACCAATAAATCACCCACAAGTACTTGTGAAAATATTTTTCAGGAGCACCATATGTATTCTTGTAAGAACTGAGGAAAACGACTGAGGAAATATTTATAGAAGCAGGAAATTACAGAAATAAAACCTGAATTTGAGATTCTTTGAGAAACAACATCTAAAATGCAAATAGAAAACCTAGTAAAATGTTTTAGTTTTTCTGATACTGACTACTATTATGTTTTTTATTTTCAATTCCACTAAGTCATTGCAATTAGGTATGTTTAGAAGCAGAACTGCTAGTTTAATAATGGAATTTGAGGATGGTCATGTTCAACTTGTCCTGAGGCCCAGTCAAAAAAAAAAAAAAAAAGACAAAGCAAGAGAAAGGGCTATTGACTGAAATCCTGGCTTTCATTTGTTTCCCATTTTCCTACTGCTTTATTATCAAATAGCTTAAAAACTATTAAAAGATCATGATGTGCTTTGTGTCTAGGTAGCACTAAAAATGCCTCCTTGCATTCTACCTGTTCAAAGTTATCGCTTGTGGCTCTCACTGAGGACATAGAGTGTACCACTGCAGATGCACAAAGTGTGATGTAATTCTTAATTTTCCAAGTACATAACATGATCTCTTGTTGAATATGGTGATCAAGTACCTGAATTTGCCTCTATTTCTCTAAAATGTGAGAGAATAAAAACAGAATTAAACCCATAAACCTGAACAGCAAAGAGAATGGGAGAGGAATCATTATCTAATATTAGATTTTGAAGCACTATTGAGAGATTAAAAAATGAATGGGAACAATACATTTGAACAAAGAAAGTTGAGGAATCTACAGTCAAAAATTAACATAGAAAGGAATGGCAGGAAAAAAGGGAGCTAATCTTTCAAGCAAGTCCCAAAGAGTTTTGGAAAAAAATTGGTAGTCATGGAGGGTGGAATTATAAAAGAGGTGCAAAATTGGTAGGGGAGAGTAGAGGGTCTGATTGAAATTCTGTCCCTGGAACAAGAAGCCAATCAGCTCTCTGCTCCTCTCTTCTCTCTCCCGTGTTCCTGGATATAAGAAGGATACAAAAAAGTTCACATTGATTCTAAGCAAAATAAAACCAAGCAAAATGACAAAAATCATTATAACACAAATGATGACTTCTTCACTTAAAAAACGTAATGTATTGATTGGGGGGGACTAGCAGCACTAGTGAGTGCTAGCATCACAGAATAAATTTCTTCCTGCTTTGGCAATCCCTTATTAAAAGCCTGGCAACTTAGTGATTTATATGCCTAGCTGACCAGGTCAGATTCCTGATTGAAAAATAAATATTGTGGGGAAAACAAGCTTACCTATACAACAGTAGAGAGCATTTAGTTCACTACCTGGAAAAGTCAGCCAATACCTCTTGTTTTAAATATGCTAAAAATAACCTATAATCACTCAGGAATATAAAAAACAGCATCAAAATGAGAAAATAAGTAGATAAAACAAGTCTTGTGAAAACAGAAATAACTCATGAAAGAGAAGAAACTCAAAAAGAAAATCTAATTAGTCTTTTCAGAGAGTTTTGAAAGATACCACCAAAAAAATAAAACAAAGTGAAGGAGCTCAATATGAACACAGAGGAAAATTGACAATGAGGCAGCAAATATGACAAAATATACAAAGTGTAAAAGAAAAACAACATCTAATAAATATGAGCTCTGGGAGAAGAAAGTGGAAAATAGAAAAGAGGAAATAAGCAAATAAAATACAGGAACAATTTGCATATCTGAAAAAAATACATGAGTTTTTCTATTTAAAGAGGACCTCAATTACACAAAAATCATGGATGGAAAAAAATCAAACAAACAAATCTCCTACACCTAAAAATATCATTAGGCAATTTCAGAACATGCAAAAAAAGGCAGCCATCTCACACTTTGCCAGTTGCTGTGGCAGAGGAATTAGAACTTCGCACATAAATGCCCAGATCTGATCATGACTAAATTTCCTGTTCTTCAATTCATTTGCCAAAGGTGGTCACCTGCCTGCATCAAATGCACAAGGTCCAGAAAGCTCAATCACTGCATGTGCATAGAAGAGAGAAGGAAAAAATATTTGGTAACAGCACCCAAAAATGTCTGCAACCACTGTTTCTGCATAACTTTATTAAAAAGTATGTACATGGAGATCTAGTATAACAAATGAAAATTGAAAAAATATGGAGAAACCTGTTAATTTTACAAAGAGGAAATCAAAAGATATGGGTAAGAGCTAAATTATATGTTATATGTATAATATCTACATAGTGATAAATTATAAATAACATAAAATGTACAATTTTGACCATTTTTAAGTTTGTGGTTAGGTGGCATTAAGTACGTTCAAATTGTTGCACAGCTATCTCTACAATTCATCTCCAGAACTTTTATCTTCTCAAATTAAAACTCTATAACCACTAAATGAAAACTTCGTATTCAGCTCTCTCCACAGTTCCTAGCAAACATCATTCTACTTTTTGTCTCTATGAATTTGTCTACTTTAGGTATAAGTAGAATCATATAAAATTTGTTCTTCTGTATCTGATTTATTTCACTTACCCTCATGCCTTCAAAATTCATTCATGTTGCAGCATGTGTAAAAATTTCACTCTTTTTTTAAAGGCTGAATAATACCTCATAAATATGAAACACTTCCCAAATGTGCATGGCATCCTTGAGCAGAGGTCATGCTAATCTCTGTATTATTTCAATTTTAGTGTACGTGCTGCTGAAATGAGCACTAAAGATTTTTTTAAAATTGTTTAATAACAATGATAAGCAACTGAAGATCAAATAATGGAGAGGAAGATTAAAAGTAAGGGTCATACAAATGAGTTTAATATTTATCTTCAACAGATAGGAAATGGTAATACCCATATGTTATAGATCAGAAGTCATATTAGTGCCATGAAAAAGGTATGAATGTCACCTCTACAAGAAGCAAAATTTTTAAAAAACAACAAGGAATTACCTTTGTAACAGGCACTAGGTAGTTGTAAAGATAGAGCAAGAGAAAGACATTTTTATTTTAAGGCATTCTGCATTTCTGGTTTTATTATACACATATGCACACACACACACCCAAATTATAAACAGTGTCTCCAACTACACTACTACTTAATAAACAGAATTGTAACCCAGTACTCTTTGCATTTAACTGTGTCTATTTTTATGACACTGGAGTGCCTCTCCCAAAACACTTTCATGAAGACTCTGCCAACCTGAAATAATCGAAAAGATCAGAGTCCAGATTATTCAAGAAAAATCTGGGGATGGCCATTAGAGAGACACAGACTCCAGAGAAATGGGGTCAGTGTTCCAAAGTTAAAAGTTAGGTTCTTGCTTATATAGGCAGAAAACAAAGAAATTTGAGAGGAATGCAAAATGTTATATACAAGGTTGTCTTATGAGTTACAACAATTTAATTAGTGCAGTCTTTTTCATACAGCTCATTTTCATTTCATTTCCAGTTTGAAAGAGTATACATAACATTCCATCTAAAGACAATATAATAGCCATGAAGTCTTTGTGTGAGAACTGTGAGAGGGAAATTAATCTATAATGAAGATCAACAACAATAAAGGGAGAAAGGATCTTCTCCAGAATCCTTCAGTCATTTGTAATATTTTACAAAATAGTGAAGGCAAGAAAGAAGGCTTAATCTATAATCAGAGAAACAAAGCTACAACTGCCTTGGTTACAGCTGCCTGTCACATAAACCAGGCCCCATAATCATGTTTCTTTAAGACTCAAAATAATTTATACTTCCAACAGCTTAGATTTTGATTCACTTATTTTCACAATCTGTATTGCCATAGACAACAAAACCACATAGAAAAGCACATAGAAAAATACATAGAAATTCATAGCAGTAGCCTGACTCCAAATGTCCCCTTTTGTCCTTATCTTCATGTAGGACTCCTCATATTACTGATGTTATTCTTTTTCTGTAGCAGTATCATTTTATGACTATAAGTGTTACTGCTACAGTTCCTTTTAATGAGATCTATATGCTTCTTTTTGCACTGACCTTTTTACTTACCTGTGTTTTGGCTCAGAAAACAATACCACAAAATGAAAGCCTCAGAAGCAGCCTCAGAAACAAAAGTTTTTCTCCCATTCTTCCTCGAGGTTAGCCATAGAAACTGGAATTCCTTTTCCCCAAGGTGGGCTATAGAAACAAGGATCTCTTTTCCCCAAAGCCAGCCATAAGACTTAAGAACATCACTCTAACTTTCCCTCCACACTATCTGTGTAAAAACTTGTCATAAAGAAATTATCTAACCTGACTTGTTTGACTGTGGGTCATAAGATCCCTATTCCAGTGAGAGTCCTGCCCCATACCCAGAAGGAAAGAATGCATGCTCAGAGATGCCAAGAAGTATCTCCATAGACAGACCTTGCTGGGTTTCCCCACTCAGTCTATTAGCATTAGATCATACCCTTTTTGTCTAGTCATATTTCTACATAGCTGTCCATACTTTATTGGACCTAAGCATAAAAATGAACAATTTTCTCTGTATCTTTGGGTCTTCATTCTGAAGGATCCCATGTATACATGTTAAGTGAATTTGTATGCCTTCTATTCAATTAATCTGCCTTTTGTGAGTTGACTTTTTGGTGAAACTTCAGAGGGCCAAGAGAAGAGCTCTCCCTTGGCCCCTACATTGGAATGTGTATGAGTTAACTGAAAGCATACTAGCTTACTTCCCTATCTACCCCTCAAATTTTTTCAAAGGCCCATTCTTGTTCAGCACAATTTCCACATCAACCTCAGAGCTCACCTGACTGTGTCAGGGAAAGGCTTCAGAAGCCAGAGACTTGTGTAGTGGCCCTGACTTCCATTATAGCTGTGTGAATAAATAGCGCCTATGCATTCTCTGGTGCCCTGCCCTTTTCTTGGCCATCCAGGGACAATCACGCCTAGTTCATGTTTATCTTCCTGACTAATTTGAAAGCCTGAGCTCCTCTTAGCAACGTTGCCTCATCAGAAGCTTACAGTGGAGCTCTTGAATCCACAAGAGGGGTGCATCTTCTGTGTGGTTGCACCCAGGCAGCTGAGATAGAAACACATGCACCCCAAATTTTGACAGATGGAGGGAGATGTCACAGTACATCCCCAAATGGACTAGGGAAATTATTTAAACTAAGTCTATACTCAGTTTTACAGAGAAAATTATGATGTTTCAAACAAATAAAAAGAACCCTTCTGATGTGAAACCCACAATAGGGTTTTCTCAAATGTAAGTGCTTTTTTCTCCTTAAAGTTTTGTATTTTGATGTTCTTCTGATGTCAATTATCATCTTTGCTATTAATAATTTTTGCAAATGCAGAAACTTGGTTTAGAAAGGTGATGAAGGGTAGCAGTAGAATTTTCTGTATGCCTCACTTGTCAAACCACATTTTCAGTATTTTTTGCAGTTCAAGCTTCCATACACTAGAAAAGAAAGCTAGAAACTTGTAATATAAAATCTACTATAATCATGTGGCAATTGAAAGTTATATTAAATAAGAAATACTTAAGGAAGTTGGGATGTGCAACCTGGAAAAAAGAGGAGTAAGAACACAGTGTAATTGAAATGTGGTAAATAAGGAGCTAGAGGCATTTGTGTGTGCCCAGTATGTAGAGTTCTGTAATCAAACAGAACTGGGTTCAAATTTTAATTCTCCACCTTTGAGTATTGTGACCCTCATGAGGTCATTCTAACACTCTATGTTTCAATCCTTCCTTCTTTAAAATAGGAGTAAATCATAATTCCTATAACATATAAGCTTTGTGGTGATAAATAAGAACTTAGACATATATAAATTTTTATTACATGCCTAGCACATAGAAAAAAAGTTCTGTTACTCATCAGCATCATCATTATTATGATTACTACTGTTTTATCATACATCATTATTACTATTCCAAAGGGGAGAGCAAATACTAATGAATGAATGTCCTAGCTCAATAAAAGGAAGACTTTCTTAACAAATGAAACAACTAAACATGGGATGGAGAGTTCAATGAAATAATGAGCTTCCAATGGCCATCTCACAGGAATTCTGTAATTAAAAGGAGTTCTTGCATTAAGAAGTAGGTTACACTTGATGATCATTAAGGTCCCTCTTACCTTTCAGATATAATGTAATGGATAAATTCACACAGCTCATTAGTGCCAATAAGTTTGGGGGTATCAGTGTGGTCCCAAACTGTTCTTTCTTCTAGTTAATAAGGAGAGAGATTCACGGGGGAGTTTCCAGTCACTGTTCTGCACAACGCTGCCAAGCAAAGTTGTTTCTTGCAGCCCACTAGCAGGCAGGCCTCATTCTCCTTTTCTTTTTTCATCATGAAAGCCTTAGGAAACAGAGGCTGCCTGTTCTTCCCTGTACTCCCCCAAGAAAATGACAAAATGACATTCTTTCCCACTCTCTGTGAAATGATTTCTGTTAATGGCTCTGGAAAATGCTGCAAAGATGTGAGTGAAATGATGGCAGGATTTGTTGACAAGAAGGCAAGATGAGGGAATTCAGAAAAAAAATCACCCACATTAGTGGCTGAGGGGCCTGTGGGTTCCATATGCTCCTTTCTCCTCAGGCCTGGGGTTGTCTCAGAGTCATCTCCAGGGGATGGCAGTCTTATTTTAAATGACTCAATCAATGGGGATTCTAATAGAGTCTAATGGATCTCACCATTAACAATTTTTTTTATGTTCAGCCTAAATTTTTCCTTTGATTAATTTAACCTATTTTTTTCATTAGATGATGGCAGTAATTTTGAGACAAAGGACAGCATGAAAATTTGAAAGAAAGTCATTGTAAATTCTGCATAAGATGCTTTTATTTTTGTAGCAACACAGGGCAAAATAAAAAATCTTTCAGGTCTGGGAGGAGTGGATCATGCCTATAATTTTAGCATTTGGGGAGACTGAGACAGGAGGATCACTTGAGCCTAGGAGTTTGAGACCAGCCTGGGCAACAAAGAAAGACTTCACAGATACAAAAATTGTAAAAATTAGCTGAGGTTGGGGGATAAGGGTTAGTACACACCTGTAGTCCCAACTACACTGGAAGTCAAGGTGGGAGGATCACTTAAGTCCAGGATTTCCAGGCTGCAGTTAGCTATGAGGGCACCACTCCACCCAAGCTTCGGCGACAGAGCTAGACCCTATCTCTGAAACACACACAAAAATCCTCTGACCTGAGAGTCTACTGGATGAGCATATTCCTGTCCTTGAGGCTGTGCTTAGAGGGATCCAAATAAATGTTACCTGCCCATCAAACCAGGCCAGTGTGCCTAAAATTCAACCTGCTGAGCCGCACTCCAGACTATTCTACACATTTTTTTTTTGGTTACACTAGAAAATCCTTCAAGTTATTACATGAATCAGCTAGAGGATCAATGAAAAATATATCACTCTAGGGGGAATAGTCAGTAGGAGATAGGCATGGGTATTTGGGTCAAAGATTCGTGGTTTGTGACTCTGCCACAATTGTCTTAGACAATTTACTCATCTCTCAAAGCCTCAATTTTTTGTCCTGTAAAATGGCCATGATAATCTGTACTTCACAGAGTAGATCCAAAGCAATTTTTAAAAAGCCCTTGGCATAAAATGTGGCAGAAGTCTAGCACTCAATAAAGATTAAAAATAATTATTGCTTCCTTGTTGTGAATTAGGTTATCATAGATGTAAGTGTGAGATTTGAGAAAGGTTTATTGAAAATGTTTTAAGACTACTGAAATCAGGCAATAATAGGCAGAATGTAATTAAATTAGGAATTTACATGAGCCTGAGGAAAGGGAAATCATTTAAGAACAAAGTAATAAAGTGCGATTCCAGAACTTTCCAATCTTGGTATTCCAGGGTGGAAGGAGGATTAAAAAAAGAAAGTTGCATTTCAGGTAGGGAAACACATGGAGCTTTAAGCTGAGCATGGGGTAATGAAAAAAGTATCTGATTTAAACAAACACCTGTACTGGAAAATTAGTAGACAGAGAGAGAGAGCTGGAATAGGTGGGGGTGGGCAAGGATGGCAAGTGTATAAGAAGCCAGGCAGGCATCATCAGAATCTGAGACATTCCCTTTTGAAAATGCTCATATGTCTTGTAAAGAAGCCACTGGTGTGTATCCTAAGAAATATTACAAGTGTATTACCTTGTGTCACAGGCATGAAATGCTGTGCGTCTAATATAAAAGTGTTCAACTTGGAATCAGGAGATTTGATTTCAGATCTTTTTTCTGCCAGAAAAACCTGGGCAAGTTATTTAACTTTGTGTAAGTCACCTAACTTCTTTGTGCCTCAAATTTTTTATCTGCAAAATGGGTACAATTCTAGTGCACTGCCCATAATGATGTTGTAGTGAGAAAATAAGGTAATGTATGGAAAGTATTTCACACAGTTTCTGGGACAAAGGATGATCTCAGTAAATGTTGGATTAAAAGAAATTCAAACACACAAAAACTCTTAGCTCAGCAGGTTAAGCCAATCACTTTAAACGCAATCATATCTCACAGAACAGCTCCTAAAATAATGCTAGTGAAATTCTCCAACGCAGTGACTAGTAACTGATTATGTTGACTGTAATGCATATTTGGAGATGAGTATGATGGTAAGGCAGGCTTATTGCAGGATTGACCTATAAAATTTGGGATATGTGGTTTCAGTACACAAAAACAGGTGCTTAGCACATTTAGCAGAATCTGGAATTGAATAACATAACAGAGAATGAAGTACCAGAAAAACATTTCATATGTGTTACACGGTAAGTGGCCATTGAGATATTTTATTAAATGATGTTTGAACAAAAATAGTTTTCTCCGCCAATTTTCTGATGCTTGCACTTTCTGATAATAATCTAACCATGTTGTTCCTGACCTAGACAGAGCTCACCTTTCCTGGCATATGTTTTTTCTTCTCATTCACCAGACATTTCTTGGCCCATGAATATGATTGGTTAGACTTGTTAATTCACCACACAAGTGTTTTGCTGCAGATAAGATTCTAAGATCTGTTGTAAGGCAACTAATATCCTTATGTTTTATGTAATAAAATCATTGATCACCAATAGAGAGCAAACCATGTTTCTCTGAATCCTTGTCCCCCACCCATCCCCAACTACCGAAGGATTTATTCATAGGGAAAATACTTACCTATAGGAAATTAGCCGTGTCTCTGCTTCGCTGACTCTGGCCAGTAATGCCTTGTGCAAATGAATTTAGAGATTTTCTCAGCTTGTGTTCATATGCTACAAAAGGGAAATAGCCCAAATTGCACCTACTTGGGCCTGAATTATCGACTTCAGCTTTGAAGTGCAAATGAGCTGAATGAAAATATACTTAGGCTGCAACACAGAAACTATTCCTACTAGCTCACTTGATGGTGTATTAACTGCCTTGTACGGAAAGCCTTGTATTGCAATGGATTTGTAGCCCTCTGGTCCAATTATCTTACAGTTGAAGGCAAATGCCATCCACTGTACGAACCAGTCAATAGTGGTCTTTTCTTAAAATTATTTATTTTCTCTCTTTTCTTGCAATTCTAGTTACTGGATCACCCATAAAATAGTTCTTTCATGGTTTATCGGCCTTGCTACTTCTAAAGCTAGACTTATGGACTTTAGTTAAGAAAGTAAACTGCTATAAACAACTTCTCAGTAGGCTAAAATCATTGGTATTTTTGTGAAGGCAAAATCTTTGGAAATTTCTAATCACCATAATCCGTCTACATAAAAATAATCCTTGACTAAATGAATATGTCTGGAAGGAAAAATCAACAGAGCATTTACACAATCACACAAATGTCATGTGTGAACAAATTATTAAGGAATTTTCAATATTTTGCAACTTCAAAAACAGCAGCATTTTATGGAGCCTAAACATGTATGATTGATTTTGGAAAATAATACTAGAAATTTTGGTAAATTTTTCATGAAATCATAGATATTTAAATGAATAAATATACTCTTTGTTCACCACTTCCCAATTGTATCATCTTAAATCATGTTTCAGGCGTAATTGAGAGGCTCTGCATCAAGATGTCCCCAGAAAATCTCTCAATGATGTTACCGTAGTAGAATTTATTTCTGAGAAATGTTCGCTTCTCTGTTGCAAGAGTGACAGATAAGAGTATCCATTTATGTTAAAAGTATAATATACATTCCTTTTGTAAGATGATGAATTTTAACAAATCACTCATTTATCTTTACTATTCTTCCAAGAGAAATTTAAATATCCTAGAAATAATGCTTGGAGCTTTTAGAGAGCAGAGAAAGGAATCAGAATGACAGAGGGACAAATAAGGTTGCGTCCATTTTTCCTTTTGCGGACTCCTTTGTTATAGTATTTATATTCTCACAAGAAGTAAAATTATTTGTGAGAATTTTAAAATACTGTCTTTAACAAGACAAAAAATTAAAAAGTATCCAACTTTTTTTTTAACACAAACCTTTTTTTTTTTTCCTCCACAAATGGCCCTGGGGGATGTTTGGATGGAGACTGTAACATTATATTCCCCAATAATAACAAAAGGATGGGTCTGAGAGTAATGAAAGGTAGAAACATTCTTCAAAATTTCTAGCACTTTACCCAATAACTTTAACGGTTTCTCCCATGGCATATTCACGCATAGAGGTAAGAGAAGAGCAAGATTCGTTGAACTGAATTTCCCCATTGCTCACAAACAAAGGACAGAGCAAAGAGGTCTTGATAACCAACAAATGAACTAATCAAACTCCAAATAATTAGCAGGTATCAGTTCAATGGTGCTAAAGTTTGAACTCCTTAATAAAGGAGTAAAATTAACATGCGGTGGGAACCAAACGAGAAAGAAGGAAAAAAGATGAACCCATTTGACTATAAAATTGTACCTGAGCCATTCCCTTAGATTAGATAGACCTAAAATCCAACTTTTTGCAGCTTTAAAATGGTTTCAGAAAAGTTTTTATTATTATCATTGTTCAATTTCATGCATCTCTGCACTTGAACTTCCAGCCAGGAGCAGGAGTTGAACTGCCAGAAACGCTGTGAAGAAGCTGTTTTTTGTGTCATTTCCAGTCAATATTTTCAGGCCCAGGAGGTTTGAAGGCACATCCAAACTTTTGAGAACTAATATGATTTGAACCTCTGAGTCTTCTGAGATTTTTCTTCCCCAATCAGAACCAAATTATGAGCTAAGGAAGTAGAAAAATGGAATACAATTTCAGAAGTTATTTTCCGTACTGGATTCAGTATCTGCAGCCCTCCCAATTTCTGTTATGTTTCTTCTCTACTCTCAACATTAAATGTAATATCTATAAAGCTAATTATGATGCATATTATCAAAAGTGACCTATGTTTCTTGTGAATAGCCTCTTTGTGAAATTCCAATTTCTATTTGAATGAGTATTCAGTCTAACAAGGAAATGTATACGCTTAATGATCACTATAGAACAGCTGTGTTCTATACAGAACATATTAAATTATCATTTAATTTATCTGGCATTATAAGGGGGTGGTTATTTTCCAGATAACCAGAAACTAGTTTCTCAAGTCAAAAATGAGCTTATTTCGATATAGTGTGATAGAGATCTTTCTAAGCTGTTTCATCACAGAGAATGCTAAACATCATTTAAACCATTGCTTGATAACTCACAGTTACCACTATGATTATTTCATTGTTATCTGGAAATACATATTTTATTTTTAGTCTGAATATTTTGTAAAACACCTTATTGTTATCATCTATAATTTCTTGCAAATGCCAGTCTACCTGATTCAAACAAAACTGCTACCGCTTCTCTAATTTCAAACTTAAAATATGTTCTGATATGAACAAGCAGATAATCAAGTTCAGTGTTTTAAATCAAAGTTGTTATGTGTTGAAAGGAAAGCCCAAATACCTGCCTTTGATGCTGGAGTTTTATGACAATTAATTTGTGTGTCAGAGGATTTCTTTTTTTCTGTTTATTTCTAGAAATGGGTTTACAGTCCTGTGAGACAGGATTACTGCAAGAGTAATCTCTGCACACATGTATTTAGCAACTACATTCATCACTGATGTGCATCTTAGTTAGGACGCTGGTGGTATAAAAGTTATTCTACACTTTAGAAACAGAAATTGAACCCACACACACAAAGACAAAGAAGACAGCTGTCTGCAGAATGTGACTGCAGTGATGCTGACCTGCCCCTAGATATCTTGTATAAGGTTGTTTTCAGAATAACCTCAGCTTATTAAGCATAGCATTAGATTTTCTCCACATAGAGAGTCATTATCTTCAAACAGTTAAAATAATCATGAAAAGACTGAAGTTTCTGGAGTCAGCTTGAGTTCTAATGCAGGCACAAAAGTTTTCTAGTTTTTTGTCACAAGCAAATAGTTTAATATCTATTATTAACATTTTTTAGGATGAAATAAGTTAATTTGTGCATTAATATCAGTAAGCCCTATACACATTCTACTATATATCAAACATTGTTCTGAATACCTTACATACTGAGTAACTGAATCTTATAAGAGCTCTATAAAGGGGTTTCTACTGGCACACACCTCAATTTCATAGCTAAGGAAATTGAGGCATAGAGCTTAAGTAACTTACAAGATGCCACATGGCTAGTAAGTGGAGTAGTCAAGATTTGTACCCAAGGAGTGTGATTTTAAAACCTGTGCTCTTAATCATCAAAATATACTATAATTAGGAGAAAACTGAGTGATTTTTAAAATGATTAATGTTCTTTTAATTGGGGAAGGAAAGGGAGGTCTGCCCTATTATATTACCTTCTTTTGTGACCTGCTGAATATGTTCGTCATGCTGATCTGCTGTCTCCTTGAAATAGCTAGGATCAGCCAAAGGGAACTGAACACTGTCTGATAAAGATTTTAGGTCTACTGTTGCCGGATAACATGTTGTGAGGTGCAGGGGAAAGACAAGTTCAAAGTGGAGAAAAGCAAGGAGGAAAGAAAAATGATTAGGAGATTTGCAGTCTGAAGCCAGTATAAAGGAGGCAGGCACTCTCTAGAGAAACCTGTGAGCAGAGACTTGAAGTGTGAAGATTGGTCGGGCACAGGGAGAGGGATAGAATTTGAGATTTCCAGGAAATTGAAGGTTCCCATTACTCACTTTTGTCTTACAATGATCTAGATTCATTGTAGGTAAACCTTTACATCCTTCTCCTCTCCATCTGTGCAATAATTATGTTACTACAAATGATCAACAAATGTGACATTTCATCTACACTTAATTCTACCTGGCAGAGATGTCTCTTAATCTAAACAAGGTCAGTTTTGTGTTTTAAAATATATGTATTGAACTAATTAATGATTATACTATATATTTACATTGTTTAATTTTGATTTTGAGGAACAAGGCTAGGTATAATGAAGAGCTTATTATATTTTACTTCTATGTATAAAAGATATACACACATACACAAAGTCACCCTACCTATAGTGTGAAATTATTACAAACCAAAAATAAAATAATTTATATAAATGCGTGTTAGGAATATAAATAATGCTGCATAATTGGTATGACCTCAGTGAGATTCTTCTCCTTCAGAGCCCTGGACAATACATATCTATATGTGAAAAGTGATTCTGTGTGAGCTTTTAAGAAAGCATATCACTATCTGAAACTAACATCCAGAACTTCACCTAACTCCAAGGACATAAATCATACTGTTGTCACTCTAGGGAATAAAAATTGCATTTTGTAAATGCAGTGAAACATGCTCCTTCCTTCTTCATCACCACCCTGATCAAATAACTGCGAAGAACATGACAGTATAATCATGGTCACATGATTGACTGATCAGGAAACAAGACTTATATATATTTTTCAGTTCTTTGTCTTACTTTTGTCCTCAAATCTTATTTATTTCATGATAGGTTTTCAATTTACAGTGGGTCTTAGGGTAGCTCAAAATAGATAAACATAACGACAAGGGGCCCACATTAAAATGGGTATGTCTAATATCTGGGATAATATATATCTTTAAAAATGGAACATTTTGTTTATCTTATTTGGAACATATATTTTGAATATTTCATTTATTGTCATATTCATAGCAAAAGTCAGGAAAGGAGTTGTTAAAAGACATTAGTTAAAAGGAAGCTTAAATTTTGTTTATGAAAAAATTCTATTCAGTTTTTGACGTGTGATGTCGAGTTTCTTTTGTCTCTGATAAATTTTAAATGGCTTATTTTATTGAGGGCATTTATTTTTTATTTTGAGACTCTTAAGATAAATGGAAAAAGGGAAAAATAAGGCAGTTTATTATAAAGCACACTAGGCTGAATGAGGAGACTCCTGGATTATAGACTCTGATTTCTATGAATGTACTTAGTGCCTGACTTTAGTTTATTCATGTATCAAATGGGGCTGATAAACATGTTCTCTCTGACTTTGACAGCCATTGTGAGCATGAACTCAACTAACATCCACAGATCCATTTTTCAAATGTACTAGGAATGAGGAAAATAGTAGTCTCTAATTGTCATTATTCTTAATTCCCAGATCCCAGCTCAGCTACTGACATATAAAAATAGCCAGTAATGGAATGCAACTATGTAAACAAATGAAACATGCAAACAAATAAGAAAACAGTTTATTCATTGAAATGTCTTGGGTAAAATGACAGTTTCAATTTTGGAGTATTATTATCAGAAGGTTTTTAAATAAATGCAGCATTTCTGATGCATTCAATAACAAATTTAACATATTATTTCTAGCTATAGGTTCCAGGGAAATCATCTTAAAGAGTAAACAATATTTCATAATTAATAGATCTAACTAATATGATGGAAATTGATGTGTCTAAAACACTTGGAAGTGATCTATGAAGTTTTCTAGACATTCTTCTGAGAACCTAATCAGACTCTGAACATACTGTGTAAGTTTGATTTTATTACATGTTTTACCTGCCTTATTCATGATTCAGCCTATTACAACATTGATTCCAAATAAAGGAAATATCATGGAGGGAAATATTTATTAGACTTAATAGAGTTTTGCTTTTTTGGTATTTTCATCAGAATTGTAGTCCTTACAGCAAGGAGAAGGTACCAGAGAAAATGTATAGATGATATAATAAAGGATAAAAGTCAGTATTCTTCCTGACCTCTTCTTTCCTTATGCTCTCAGCTGTATAGGTTTCCCTAACCCATACAGGCACATTTTGCCTCTCAGTTGGGTTTCTAAGAACTCAAATCCACAGTCTACCTTCAGACCAAACCAGCTGTGAAATGGCTATTTACCACATTGGCCCCAAGAAGAATGATGGGACTAATGAATCTACCAATTTTAGTAGACTTTCTGCCCACAAGGGCTATAGAAGCATAATTTTGTCAGACCGGGGTTAGTATAAAACTACCTCCCTATGAAATACAATACTGAACTTAATGGAACAATTTTATGTCTTGATTGTTAACTGTATTTTACACTGTCTTCAGGCATTGTTTTTATTTTATTTGGTTTGATCTGGCCATTAGCTGGCAGCCTCAGCAATCCAGGGGCTATTTAGTATGTATTGGCTCTGACTATATAAGAAACACTAGAGGATCGAGTCTGTTAGGCCAGTGAAAGAGAGTTCCATAGCTGTATTTTTGGTGTAAAAGTATATTAAAAAGCCTCATGTTCTCTTTCACAAGTGGGAGTTGAACAATGAGAACACATAGACACAGGGAGGGGAATATCACACACTGGGGTTTGTCAGTGGGTGAGGAGCTAGGGGAGGGATAGCATTAGGAGAAATACCTAATGTAGTTGACGGATTGATGGGTGCAGCAAACCACCATGGCACGTGTATACCTGTGTAACACACCTGCAAGTTCTGTACATGTACCCCAGAACTTTAAGTATAATAATAATTTTTAAAAAGCCTCAAAGGTGAAGTATTTCAGGAAATACAGCCAACCAGGTTGACTTTGGTTATTCCAGAGCTTCTCAAATCAAGAGAAGCATATTACAATAAACCTGGTGTCTTCCAACAAAGGTAAATTACTCATTCCAGAAAATACTGATTTTCAGTGGACCTTTGATCATGAACATTCTATTAGAAATATGATATACTTGGTCAAAAATATATAGCAATTATCTAACGTCTGTCTAAACTTGAAATTTGATGGTCCTATGGTCCTCTGAAATGAAGGAGGTTTGGTGGAAAAGAATTGCAAACCATTGTAGGGAAACTAAAAAGCTAACAATGTTGAAACTATTCTGCACCTAAATAAGCTTGCCTAATGTTATACCTATGGCTGAATTCATAACAGAACCTTATACCATGCAATTGCCTAACTTCAAAGTTCAGATGTTACTTTGTAATGGCAGAATTAATTTCCTTGATTGCTAATCCATCACACCTAAGTGTGATGCATGTGGTATCAAACATGGGTATTTCTGCTATCATTAATTGTGGCATATTGTCACAACCGATAAGGAAATGCAGTAAGAGGAAAAGAAGAGAGGCCCTGGTATTGGCAGTTTAGCCTTGTTTTCCCATAAGTCATGGCAGGTACAGCCAGAGCCCTCAAAATAAAAGGAGAGGGCCCTTGTGATTCTCACAAGGAGAAAAGACAGGCATCCAGAAGCATCAATCACTGGGCGAGCCTTGCTCTCCATTTGCAAAGCTGTTGTTTATTGTGAGATAATGATTGATAGGGTCTAAACAAATGCTCGGAGAAATCACCAAAGGTGCAGGCTCTTAGGAATGACATTTGGCCACAGGAAATCTGCAGGGAACAGGCCAGCTGGCAATGAGGACACTGAGGAAATGAACACAAATGCATTCAAAAGAAGAGCAAACAATAAACTGTGGATTAAATGACAGCAAGGTAAAATGGCAGTTATGGATAACACGTAGACTATGTGCCAGAGAGGAAAGAAAATGGGAAGGAATTGGGGCAATATTAACTATTTGGGCAGATTTCATTAAGAAAAGTGTAGACTATATGCCAGAGAGGCAAGAAAATGGGAAGGAATTGGGGCAATATTAATTACTTGATTAGATTTCATTAAGAAAAGGGCATCTTTTAAAGCAGCCACTTAATAAAAACGGAATGTTCAGTTAGGAGGGCAGAGGGTTTAAGAGATAAAGTGTAAATAAAAGGAGTAGGCTTGGAAAATTTTGTTACGAATATAGGCACAACTGGAAAGAGAAAAGAGTGTGAATTATTGATATACATGTTTTACTCCATTAAAATTAAATGAAAGAAGGATCAAGAAAGGCAGGAAGGCTTGTTTGCCAGCATCAGTATCACGGGCTCTTAATGCAATCTCAGCATCCAGGTACTACTGAGAAACTTCTGTAGGCTGAGGATGCATACATAAACATCCATGCCATTGACATCATTTTCCTTTTTGCCAGAGAAGAGGGGCATTGTGCAGATCAAGCCCTAGGTCAGAACTTTAACACAAGGACTAACTTAACACAGGTGAAAGAAGACCTTTCTCTACTGCACACCCTGTTTTTTTCTAATACCAACTCTTCAGTTTTGATAGGTTTCATCAATAGCAACAATTAGCTCAGCTGTTCTCAAACAGTTTCTTCTCATCTGTGCTTTAGGCATGCACCTCTTGAACAATCCATTTTCATTGCTATCTTTTGCATATGGCATCTCTTTTCTCTGCCATTTATTCCTGGTATCGCTCTGCATTGGGCCTTGTTCCATGCTTCTCCCAAAAAGCGATACCAAGTTTCTTTAACCAATTCCAGTATTGTTTTATCTTCTTTAAATGAGAAAGTGTGGCACCTACACATAGAGCTATAAATGTTGTAAGAGTTAAGGTGTATACAACTTGGTGCATAGTTCCTGGCTCAACAAATATACCTGTCTTCTGCTGTCTTACACATTTCTTAAAGTGTTGTGGTTGAGGTGTTGCAATGTTGTTATGAGACATTCTATTATGTGGACATACAGTGAATGTTTTTGTATAAGAGAAACAGAGGGGGTTCTATTTTATTTTAAATCCCTTTTCTGACATTGTTGTGGCTACCAGTTGACCCTGCTTGTCCACAATAGCACATGGCGTCGTATCTACACTTGCTACTACATTTCTTCAGCATGTGAGGTCTCAGTTTGTCCTGTGTGGATGAGTGCTAATGGCTGTATTGAAAGTCATCTTAAGAAAGAGTCATGACAGGGAAGACAGCATGTCCTCTGAATCTTATGTGGAAGCTCACCCATCAAGTGGTGGTGAGAAAATGGAATGGAATTTAGAATGCATTTTGCCCCATCAAGACTAAGAGAAATTTCCTGAAAATAGCAGGGGTATTTCTGTTCAACAAATTCTTGTTCTATGCCTTTCATTAAGAAAAAAAAGTAAACATAAACAAATACATACTAGTACACATCCTGCCATAAAGGAGCAAGAAGGAGGTCACAATCATGCAGGCAAGGCTAAGAAGTTTTTTCACGAACTCCAACTTCTTCCTGTGTGAACTGGGGGGAAAACTCACTTAATATTTTTGAATTACAGCGGGTTCACATGGTAAATAAGTACAATAATGAAATCAACATCTTCTTACCAGCAGAGCCCAGTTATTGAGAGAATTAAATACAGTATTTTTCATGGAAGTGCTTTGGAAATTAAAAAAATAATAATAATTATGAAGAAAGGAGAAAATAAGGAAGGAAGAAAACACAGTACAGGCATGAATTTTTTTTATTGTGCTTTGCAGATAGTGTTTTCTAAATAAATTAAAGGACTGTAACAATCCTATGTTGAGCACATCTACTGGTGCTATTTTTCTAACAGCATGTGCTCACTTTGTCTCTATATCACATTGTAGTAATTCTTATACCATATTTTTTTCATTATTATTGTATATCTGTTATTCTGATCTGTGATCAGTGATTTTTGTTGTTTCTCTTGTAATTGTTTTAGGGCACCAGGAACCCTTCCCATAAAAGACAGCAAACTTAATAAACATTGTATGTGTCCTAACTGCTCCACTGACCAGCAGTTCCCACTTCTGTCTTCCTTCCTTGAGGCTCCCTATTCCCTGAGACACAGCAATATTGAAATTAGGCCAATTAATAACCCCACAATAGCCTCTAAGTACTTAAATGAAAGGAAGGGTCACACATCTATTTATTTCAATCAGAAGCTAGAAATGATTAAATTTAGTGAGGAAGGCATGTCAAAAGTTGAGACAGTCTAAAAGCTAGGCCACTTATACCAAACAGACAAGTTTTGAATACAAAAAGAAAGTTCTTGAAGGAAACTAAAACTTCTACTTCAGTGAATACACAAATTACAAGAAAGCAAACAGCCTTATTGCTGATATGGAAAAAGTTTCAGTGGTCTGGATAGAAGATAAAACCATCTATGGCATTACCGTAAGCTAAAGCCAGATCTAGAGCTAAGTCCTAACTCTCTTCACTTTTATGAAGACTAAGAGAAGTGAAGAAGCTGTAGAAGAAAAAATTAGAAGATAACAGCAGTTCCTTTTGAGGTTTAAAAAGCAGTCTCCATAGCATAGAAGTTCAAGGTGAAGAAGCAAGTGTTAATGGAGAAGCTGCAGCAAGTTATACAGATGATCTAGCTAAGATCATTGATGAAGGTGAGTACACTAAATAACCTATTTTCTGTTTCTATTTTCAATCTTCTATTGAAAAAAGATGTCATCTAGGAGTTTCATAGCTACAGGGAAGTCAGTGCTTGGCTTCCAAGCTTAAAAGATAGGTTGACTTTCTTGTTAGGAGATAAGCTGGTTATTTGAAATTAAAGCTTATTCACCATTCTGAAAATCCTAGGACCCTTAAGAATGATGTTGAATTTAGTCTGCCTATGCTGTATAAATGGAATAACAAAGCCCAATGACAGCACGGTTTACTGAATATTTTAAGCCCACTGTTGAGACCTACTGCTCATTAAAAAAGATTCCTTTCAATTAATTATTGCTCATTAACAATGCTCCTGGTCACCTAAAAGCTCTGATGGAGATGTACAAAAAGATGAATGGCATCTTCATGCCTGCTAAAACAGCAGCCATTCTGAAGCCCATGGATAAGAGTAATATTGAATTTCAAGTCTTATTATTTAAGAAATACATTTAATAAAGCTATAATTTGCATAGACAGTGATTCCCCTGATGGATCTGGGCAAAAAAATAAAAAATAAAAAAATGAAAGTCTTCTGGAAAGAATTCACCTTTCTGGATGCCATTAAGAACATTTGTGATTCATGGAGGATGTCAACATATCAACATTTACGGGAGATTGGAAGAAGTTGATTCACCCTCATGGATAACTTTGAGAGATTTAAGACCAGTAGAGGAAGAAACTGCAGATGGAAATCACAAGAGAACTAGAATTAGAAGTGGAGCCTGAAGATGTGACTGAATTGCTGCAATCTCATTATAAAACTTGAAAGGACGAGGAGTTGCTTCTTATGGATGAGCAAAGAAAGTAGTTTCTTGAGATAGAATTTACTCCACGTTGGACATGAGGGCAATCTGGCTGAGACATCTGTCACCCCATTGATTGTCAGGGTTGATTTGTCTGATGTGGCTGGTTAGGCCTTCTTCCAGCACCACTCCATGTCCATCCCTCCTGAAGCTGAGCACTGGGTCAAAGTAGAAGACCATCCATCATAAGGGTGGACTGGTCTTCAGTCAAGGGTGTACGAGTAGCTGCACTACCCTATTAGAACTTCCAAACAAACTATCAAGAACTTATTCCAAGTGAAGATGCAATGAAAATTGTTGACATGACAACAAATGATTTATAATATGATGTTAACTTAGTTGATAAAGCTGTGGTAAGTTTTGGGATGATTGAAAAAAGTTCTACTGTGGTTAAAATGCTATCAAGCAGCATCTCATGCTATAGAGAAGTCGTTTGTGAAGAGTCAATTGATGTGGTAAACCTCATTGTTGTCTTATTTTAAGAAATTGTCACAGCCATCCTAACCTTTGGCAACCCTGATCAGTCAGCAGCCATCAATATCAAGGCAAGACTCTCTGCCAGCACAAAGTTTACAACTTGCCGAAGGATCAAATAATCATTCGCAATTTTTAATAATAAAGTATTTTTAAAGTACATACATTGTTTATTAAACATAATGCTATTGTACAGTTGATAGACTACAGTATAGTGTAAACATAACTTCTATATCCAATGGAAAACCAAAAAGGTTGTTTGACTTACTTTATTGTGATATTCTTTTTTATAATGTTGGTCTTGAACTGAACTTTCAGTATCTCTGAGGTATGCCTATATAAAACCATCAGTTAAACATAGTTAATTAAGCTATTTTCTCTTACATACCCAGTTAGACAACAAAACAAGTAAGAAAAACAATGGAAGAAGATATGATAAAGACTGTTGAAAGGTTTCACCAAATCCTTTGTTCTCTCTTTCCTCCTCTCAGAAGGAAATAGGGAAGAAAGGATAGAGGAGGATAGAGAAGCCTCCTCTTAGACTCCACTTCCCAGCCTTCCAGTTAAATCTGGCTGTTTTCTGGAGTTTTGATTTATGGAATGAGGATGGAAGAGAGATGCACCGACTCCAGCTAGGTCCTTTAAAAGTCTTCCCTATCAGTGCTGGAGTTATCAGTGAACTGACAACTTCCTCCAGCAATAAAAAATATTGAACCAGAAAGAAAATGTGCTCACAGCATATACATAGCTCAGTGATGAAAAATTATTACAGAATCTTGTGCAAAGTAAGTACAAATTAGACCTTAGTCTGTGCTGTAACCATATTGGGAGGTGGAGGAAAGGGGCACCACAAACATGAAGCACATAAAGCACTGAATCTCCACCTCCAGCCACAGAGAGGAATCAACACAGTGAAAATTGCCATCAAGTTATAGTATTAGAAGTAGATTATTTGGAAGTATGTAGTTTAAGAAAATCTAGCTAAAAGGATAAGAATCTGTTGCCCAGGGAGTAGAAACTGAGAACATAAAGGTCCTATAATTTCTCATTATAATTCTTATACTATGATTTGACTTTCAAGAATTACCTAAATATATTAACTATTTTAAAATATTCTTTTTAAAAAAGGAAGAATAAGGTGAAGAAAAGTATTATAGCATTAACATCTAAGGCACTACAGTTGAGGATAGGTGCACCAAAGACCACTTACTGGGGTTATAAGATAGATTCTAGCCTCCCCAAAAGGAGTAAGCAGAAAACTTAAATAGTCATACAATTATCTTAAGGCCAAATCGTATCCCACCGATCCTAAGTAGTAATCCTGGCTCTGCTGTAGGTTTAAACTTGACCTGAAGTGAGTATCCTTTCTTTCCTGACTCGTCAAAAATAAGTAAAATAAAATAAAATAGGGTGCAAGGGAGATAATGCACCATGAATTTCAAAAACTGAAAAATGGCTTTGCCCACTTAAACAGAATGAAAATAGTCCTGCTGATTGCCCATATCCCATGTCAAAATATTCCCAGAATTTTCTATTAAGAAGGTTTGCTAGGGAGTTTTATTTTATAATGACTAAGGAGCCTCATGAATTCAGTAAAACCCTTAACCACATCCAATCTTCTCAGGCTCCTTTTCATTTAGTTCATGGATGTTGGCATCAATTGAACAATATTTTGACCTTTTTTAAAGGGCAAATATAATACTCCATCAGCTTGGTTTGCTGAACTTTAGACTCCTCTGAATTGGAGAGTATTTGGGAGCTTCTGGGTAGATTTCATATATAATGTCATGGCAGAATTAATGATTCATTTCTTATAGGAATTACAAAGCTTTCCTTTAAAAAACAAGTTAAAATATATATCATTTAAGCTTGAACATTCATACCTATTGTTGAATCAGCAGCCCTCAGGATAAGTAGAACTAGATTGAAAAGAAAACAATGATTGGATCAAGAAAAATATGCAAGATCAAAGGCATATTGTTCACAATTTAGAGAAAGAACAGGAGTGGCTCTAGGCATAAATAGAAAAAGGCTAGCACTTATCAGCAATTGAAAATATATTTTTGTGACCCTCTCACTTGATTTATTCTTTTCTCTCTGTCCAAACTCTGTGTCCTATCCTTGGCATTCCAGATTATTTTCCTAAAGTAGATTTTTCCCTCATTTAAATTTACTCTTTGAGCATCTCATCCCATTGAACTTTGAACACTTCAAAATGAAATACAACCATTTTGATAAACTAATTATCCTCATCTTCATCATGAGTATCTTCTCAATCCACAGCTCAATTCACAGGATATATCATTCAGTCTTCATAATCAACCTGTGAATGTTGGCGCTAATAATCTCTTCATTTTGAAGTTGATGTTGGTAACATGAATACAATTTTAATTATAGTATCTGACATATTATAAGTACTTAATACATACTAGCTATTAATTTAACATTATTTTATCATCTTCCATGAAACAGTAGAGGGAAAGAAACTGTGTGTTTAAGGAAGAAACAATTCTCCCATTTATGTAACCCCGAGATATATTAAAGGAAGCACCACATGTTCAAATCAGATGTGAAACAGTTTTAATTATAACCAGTAAATGGGTATTTATTGACACTATTGTTTAAAGTACCAGGTAAAGTAAAATGAAGACAACGAAGAAATAAATAATACCATCTTTAGAAATAGTCTGATCTGGAAGTGAAGCCATACACATGAAATAAATTAAATTTTAAAAATAAAAGAGTAAAGACCAGAGGACAAAAGAAACACCATCCTATAGCGAATACTTGATGGATTAATAAGCAGAAGATAAAACATTAAGTTCAGGAGGAGAAGCTGCTATGGAGTCAAGTGGCATGGGAAGCATACATGAGGGAAAGAAGGGAGAGCTGAGCAGGAATGTGCTTTTGTAGCTCATTGGTGGTATGTGAGCTGGAATGTGCAAGAAGCTTATCTCTATGGCTCTGGCTTTGCTGCTGGGGAGACCCTCCTATACTCTGTATCACCAAAGCCCACTTCCTTTCTTCTTCTTCTTCTTTTTTTTTTTGGACAGGGTCTCACTCTCTCTCTAAGGCTGGAGTACAGTGGCTGGGACCTTGGCTCACTGCAGGCTTGACATCCTAGCCTCAAGTGATCCTCCCACCTCAGCCTTTCCAGTAGCTAGGACCATAGGCATGCACCACCACACCTGGCTAATTTTATTTTATTTTTTGTAGAGACGGGGTCTCACCATGTTGCCCAGGCTTAGTCTCTAACTCCTGGGCTCAAGCCGTTCTCCCACTTTGGCCTCCCAAAGTGTAAGGAATACAGATGTGAGCCACTGTGCCTGGCTCCACTAGAGTAGCAGCAGGCTTATCTTAGAAGCCAAAACACTCATGGTGAAAACCTCAGAAGAGCCAGGCAAAATGGTTGTGGAGGACTCCAGCCAAGAGGTGGTAGTTGCTGACTTCTTTTTGCAAAAAGTAAGCTTATCCTTGACGGTAGTAGAGAGAAAGGAATCCTCTAATCATCCGCTGTAACACCACATGATCAGTTCTATACTAAGTCCCATCTTCAAAAGGAGAAGGGATGGCCCCTGATTACAGGGATTTATCATGTTAAGCCTCTAAGACCCAAGGGAAAAATAAATATATTGCTACAGAGTAGGGATAATATCAGACCTTGCTCTGTCCCCAACTAGTGTTTCATACTGGATAAGTCTTTTCTGTCCTGTTTACTCTTTCATAAAGTAAGAGGTTGAGTGAGTTGTTTCTTGGCATCCTCAACTATGTTAGTCTTTAAATAAAACTAAGTGTGAGATATAGCAGCACGAGGAACATTTGGCTATTGGGGTTAAAGAAGATAGAAATGTATAGAGGATGGTTAAGAATATTGTGATTCCTAGGGATTTCTGTCATAAAAGGTGTTTGCTGTCATTCCTTCTGAAGGTAGCTAGCAAATGGGTGCAAAGGAAGCTGGGAGTACACCATTCCAATAATTACATGCTTTGGGAATTAATTTCTTTAATTATGGCTGTTGCCTCAAGTCCTCCCATTTGACTAATGTATGTTGCAGCCACACTGCCCTCCAGGACACCTTTCTGTCTTTTCTCTTTATGCACATACCAGTGTGCCAGGGAGTAGAACTGTCTTTGGGAGAGACACACAGGGCAAAAGGCTGGTTCCTTGGGCTCCAGGAAGCTTTGACATGGTGGAAGTCACCGAGACAAAGTTTCTAGCCTTACTCATTTGTCCATGGTTTACATGCCTCCTCAAACTCAAACCTTAAATCACATCAAAGTCTAATACTTTCGACTGAAAGAGAAATAAAATCACAGTCCGGGAAAACGTCACAGAAGGAAGGGGAAAAAAGGTGTTGCATTTTCAGGACATAACAACCAACAACTATTTTCTCTTAGTTATGAAGCAGAAGAGAAAGATAAGGTAATGAGATTTAGACGTATAGGTCTCAATAAAAATGAGAATGAAACTACATTTCATGGACCAATTATGACTTGCACTGTCCTACACAGTCTCTCAGGAGTTCATATTGTCCCACTATCTCTGATGCCCAGGCAGCAGGCAGTGTCCGTGCTCCCGGGATAAGGCTCATTCTTAATCCCAGCCAGCTCCTGCCGGAAGCCTCCACTTCCTCAGTGGTTGGCTCAAGTGTAACCTAAAGTGGCAGGAACAAACCAGCAGGCTAGGTAGTTCTATGTTATTTGCCTTGGCACAGTCCTGCTTAATGATAGCTATTTAAGACATGGTATGGGGGTATGCAGAAGAGGAAGGATCAAGGACATCTGAGCATCTACGGAGTGCCAAATACTGTGCAGGCACTTAAAAAAGTTATTTGATTTAACCTTCTAAGATTATTTTCAGGCCAGGCGTGGCGGCTCATGGCTGTAATCCCAGCACTTTGGGAGGCTGAGGCAGGAGGATCACCTGAGGCCAAGAGTTCAAGACCAGCCTGGCCAACATGGTGAAACCCCATCTCTACTAAAAATACAAAAGTTAACCAGGTGTGGTGGCAGGCACCTGTAATCTCAGCTACTCAGGAGGTTGAGGCAGGAGAATTGCTTGAACCCGGCAGGCGGAAGTTGCAGTGAGCCGAGATCGCGCCATTGCACTCCAGCCTGGGTGACAAGGGCAAAACTCTATCTCAAAAACAAACAAATAAAAACACATGTAGAGAGAGAAGCATGCTGGGATGAAGTCCAAAGAAATTAATTTGGTTCTATCTAGACACCTACATGACAGAGAGTCTAAGTTTTTCCTCCTGTAGCTCTAAGAAACTGAAAGGGAGTAATAACAACGAATACATTATAGAACCAATTATAGGCCAGGGGCCATTTTACATGCTTTACAAATATTTTATCTATCTACATTAACTCATTCAAATTTCACAATAACCCTACAAAATGAGGTGCTATTATTATCTTCAGTTTTACGAATGAGAATACTGAGGAAGAGAAAGGAATTTGGTGGAGCTGGGACTTGAGCTAGGCAATCTAGTTCTAGAATCCATAATTCCAAACTGTATATACACACATGTACACTCATCAATTGAGACACATAATTTTACATTTTCTCTTTTATATTGAGAATTGTAGACATCCTTTGAGAATTCCAAAAAAAAGCTTAGGATTTCCTGGATATTCCAGGGTTGAGATTTGTGGAGAGTCAAAGCATGTATTTTGGGAGGGTACGATTATACGTTCATGACAACCTAGCTATGACAATTCTCATTCAAACCAATCTTAAGCTATATGAATTAATCACCAGAAGTATGTGGGGACCTAGCTAAAAAATTTATTCAGCAGATTTGTGACTCAGGGAAGAATTATTCTGTGTTTCCATGTTCTCATTTATAAAATAAAGGGTTAGCATAGGAGATACCACAGTCCTTCCAAACAGACCACTCCATATTGTAATGCTACAAAGCATGTTTCAGAGTTAGGTTCCTACATACAATATCTATACTTTAATAGTCAACAATATCTTCAATGAGGGAGATCAATAAACAAGAAAGAGTATAAAAGAGTATAGAATCAGAATAAAAGGATGATGCCTGAGCACAGTGGCATATGCCTGTAATCCCAACACTTTGGGAGGCTGAGGCAGGAGGATCGCTTGAGATCAAGAATTTGAAGCTAGCCTGGGCAACATAGCAAGACCCTGTTGATATGGTTTGGCTGTGTCCCCACCAGAATCTCATCTTTAATTGTTGCTCCTGCAATTCCCACATGTTGTGATAGTGATCTGGTGGGAGATAATTGAATCATGGGGGCAGTTTCCCCCATACTGTTGTTGTGGTGGTATGTAAGTCTCACAAGATCTGACGGTTTTATAAAGGGAATTCCCTTTCACTTGGTTCTTTCTCTTTTTGCCAACTGCCATGGAAAACATGCCTTTCACCTTCTGCCACGATTGTGAGGCCTCTCCAGTCACGTGGAACTGAGTCCATTAAACCTCTTATCCTTTATATATTACACAGTCTTGGGTATGTCTTTATCAGCAGTGTGAAAACAATTACACCTGTCTTTACAAAAGTGTTTTTTTCTTTTTTTTTTTTTTAAGTTAGTGGGGCATGGTGGTGCATGCCCACAGTTCCAGCTACTTGGAAGCTGAGGTGAGTGGATCACTTGAGCCCAAGAAGTTGAGACTGCAGCTGATCCCCACTGCACTCTATCCTGGGTGATAGACTGACACTCTGTCTCAAAAAAAAAAAAAAGTGATGAGATCAAACCACCAAGTTAAATATATTTCTTTCCTGAGATAAAATTTGATGTAGGTATGTCAAAAGAGTTATTTAAAGAGAGATATATGTAAATGAATTCAATATAAAAATGTATATTTAAAATCTAGGGATCATATGTAAGGGAGAATTCATAGCAATAAATAATTTTAAATTGAGAACTCTTTAAGTTCTATCTCAGTATCGTAGTGAACCCACCTTAACATCCCAGTTTTTCCAGAATATAGCACCCACAATTAGAGATGTGGCACCATCTATCCAAAGAGAATCTTCAACCTGGTAATATATAAGTGCTCGCATGCAAGAGAAGCCATCTTTCTACAGACTTACCTAATGTTAATTAGATAATTAGGCAGATAGGAGCAGGGCAGGAGAGTCTTCCCCCATCCTCCCCAACCCCAACATGACCCAAGAATGCCAGGTAACCATCAGGGGATGATCAGGTAGTTGTTCAACTGTCTCGCTAAAATAATAATTGGTTGCAGCTGGTGCCAGGGAATGCAGGCTCCCAATAAATGGAAAACACCTAAGACTGATGATCAGCAGCATCCTGATAAGATCTCAGGAGTTGGCTCAGTGAGTTCAAGCATGCACAGCACGAGGCAAAATGGCAAAGTTCAACTGGTATAAGACCTTCCTCTAGGAATGCCCAACTGGTAAGGGAAAAACACCTCAAGTGAGCATGTGCACCACTTCAGTAAACATACCGCACATGCAGCCCCTTCCAAGAGCTGGCAGGGGAAGAATCAGGGGAGAAGGAACACAACCCTGGAAGCATGCCAATGTATAAAACCCCAAGTCAAAGGTTAAATGGGTCACTTGGATCTGTCAAGTTGCCTGCTTGGCCCTCTTTCAAGTGTACTTTGCTTCCTTTCGTTCCTGCTCTAAAACTTTTTAATAAACTTTCACTCCTGCTCTGAAACTTCCCTCAGTCTCTCTCTATGCCTTATTCCCCTTGGACAAATTTTTTCCCTTTGAGGAGGCAAGAATTGAGTTGCTGCAGACCCATATGGATTTGCTGCTGCTAACACTAAGATTTCTCTTAAGAGTCTGAAAAAGACATTATGCAGGATGATGTGTCTATGTAAAGGGTCCACAGAAGTCAGCAATATTTACAGGGAGGAACTGAATGTTTTGGTTAAAATACGCTAAGGAAATAATACAATATTGTTCTCTCTGATGTTTTTGCAAAAAAAAAAAAAAAAAATGCCCTTCATGAAGCCATGTTTGAAACATCCCAAATCTATCTTCCTAACCATGTCCAGAATGTGTCACGTCTGCCAGTCTGGCATCTAACTGTGATTCACTGGAATGTGTTGGAAATGTGATTTGTGTGGGACTCAAATAAAAATCAGATTGCCCCCATCCCTTATATCTATATCTCTCTGTATACATTTGACTTTGACATTCATCAAATTATTCTGTCCTAACAAAGCTTTCTTACACAAAGTAATCTCAAGTGACAGTGAATAGCTATGTGTATAATATGAAAGGAGTTGAATGGCTAAGTAGCTTGACAGTATCGCTGAAATCTTTTATTGCATATATTAGAGAGTTAAACATTGCAATCTGCTTTTCCTGTGAGACCCAATGAGTTAGGAAAAAGCCAGGTTTACTCTGGATTAGACTGGTTTTCCTTTGTTTTCTTGCCAAAAAAAAAAAAGTCTTGATTAGCTTATGGAAGGCAAAATTTGCATCTTTGTGCTTAGAGGGGTAAAGCTTTTCTGCTAGAAATCCATTTTCAGAAGGATCCTCTTGAGCTACATATTTCAGCTCACTCTTCTGTCTCCTAAATTAAAAACAACTTTATTTTCATTTCTGATTTTGTAAATGGGAATTTTATCCACTTCATGAGAATGACTCATACATGAATCCTACACTTTGGGGAACTGCTGAATTGAAAAGCGTTTTTGTTTGTTGTTTGTTTATCTCACTCCGGAAGCAGCTCTGTGCTCAATCCAGCTTTCCTGGACATGTCGGCCTCAACACAATCTTATAATGAGATGAAAATAAATGATAACAATGCCCATAACAATAACAATGGAGAATGAAGAGGAGAGAAAGGATTCCAGTTCTCAAACAACCACTGATAGTCTGTGACCAGAATATTGGCATATTGAAAAAAAATGTGTTTGTATACACATACACATGCATATATATAAACAAAATGTTTCATGACACATGCCACTTCATTTTAGATTGGAGTTTGTTCCATGGGGAAGCTGCAAGAACTCTTCTAGCCTTTCTATAATTTTCTAGAAATTTGACTAATTTTCTTAAAATAACTTACCCCTAATTAAGCATATTTTGACTCCAGGTACTCTATAATATCTATTTTTTTATTTCCTGAGAGCAAAAATAACATGGCATTTTACATTACTACATAAACTGCAACACCGAATCCAGGATTAATTAATTAATTATACTTAATAAAGCTTGTAAAGTATATTTAAGGTGCCAGATGCATTGTATTCTAAGTCTTTACCAACTATGACTCATCTGATGCTCATAAAACCCCTGTTGGGGAGGTGTAATTATTATGCTCATATGAGATACAGGGAGGTTAAATAACTTACTCAAGTTCACACCAGTAGGAAGTCTCAGGGCTTCCCTTGAACATAGACAGTCTGGCTCTGGTATCTATTATCTTAACCACTCTGCTATAATCAGAAACTAGAAATCTATACTGAAAGATTAAAATATAAAGAATAAGTATCAGAGGGCCGGGCGCGGTGGCTCACGCCTGTAATCCCAGCACTTTGGGAGGCCGAGGCGGGTGGATCACGAGGTCAGGAGTTTGAGACCAGCCTGGCCAATATGGTGAAACCCTGTCTCTACTAAAAATACAAAAATTAGCCAGGCATGGTGGCGGGTGCCTTTAATCCCAGCTACTCAGAGGCTGAGGCAGGAGAATCGCTTGAAACTGGAAGGCGGAGGTTGCAGTGAGCTGAGATTGCCACTGCACTACAGCCTAGGCAACAAGAGCAAAACTCCGTCTAAAAGAAAAGAGTAACTATCAGATTGGCTAGAAACATTATGTGAGACTGACAAGCCTCATGAAGAGTATCTCCTCTACTATTTGGAATTATACTGTTAAACATTCATTGTGGAATTATAACATTATAGAGTTAAAAGACAGGTGAGAGTTTACCTACTGTTCTGGCAGATAATAAACTGAGAACTACAGCCGTTGAGCAATTTATACAAGATGATACGACAAATAAATTTCAGAACTAGAGCACCATTCCTGTACTTTCAATTCTAGCAGAAATGTCAAAAGGGAATCATGTGGGAATAAATTAAATCTTAATAACCATATATTTAAGAGGAACAGTTGTGGCTATTTTACACATGTTAAGATTGTCTTTCTACCTCAATCATTCATAAATAGTGCACACTACAAAAGCAGGCTAATTACATTTTTTTGAGTTGACAATAAAAGATCATGAAGACAAATGCAAAATGCTCTAGAATGAATAGTTCATAAACAGTATAGAGAATATTTCAAAACACTATTTTACTTCTAAACAGGAGCTCTGAGAAGTTATGAGACTTTCCCATTTTACTTCATCCATTTTATTTTTTAGTTTTCTATTTTTAACTCTTGTAAGAAAACAAAGCACTATTTGTAAAAAATTGGAGGGAAAGTATTCTAAGGATGTTAAAAAAAAGAAGATAGCAAGTAACAAAGTTGATAAATTGGAAAAATCTAATCCAGAGATGAACATAATTAGTTTTTTTAACTTTCCATTTTGAACTAACTTTAGACTCCCAGAAATTTTGCAAAAATAGTAAAAAGAGTGCTTACATATGCCTCACTCAGCTTTCCCCAATATTAACACCCTATATAATTATAGTAGAAATATCAATACCAGGAAACTAATATTGTTACAATACTATTTACAAAAATGTAACCCTTATTCAAATGCCACCATTTTTTCTTACCAATACGCTTTTTCTATCCCAGGATATTACATTACATTTCACTGTTATTTCTTATTTGTCACCTCTAATTTATAACATTTCTTCGGTATTTCCTTTTCTGTCATGTTGTTAACAGTTAAAAAAAATTTGTTAATTATTGTGTAGAATGTCCCTCAATTAGATTTGCATGACATTTTTTTCATGATTACATTGAAGTCAGGCATATTTGGCAAGAATACCACAGAAATAACATTGTGTTCTTCCCAATGCATCTACCAAAGAGTTCATGATATCAATTTGTCTTACTGTTGTTGATATTAACTTTAATCATGTGATTTTACTCATGTCTGCCTTAGTTTCTTCACTGCAGAGATACTAACTTTACTTTTGTAGTTAGTAAATATTTGTAGGTAGATATTTAAAAAGAAACCATACAAGCCTTGTTTGTCCTCAAGCTTTCACCCTCTAATTTTAGCATCCATCAAGGCAACTTGTCTGCAACAATTATTACTCTGTTGTTTACTTGATGCTGATTTTCTATTTTCCTTTTGTTTCCACACTTGTTAGTAAAAAAAGTGTAGGAAGAAATCATCCCTTCTTCCTCATAAACTTATTTATTTAATTACTTATTTATACCATAATGAACTAATAAGTGTTTGTTTTATTAATATTCAGTTTTTTATTACTTATTTTGTTGCCCAAATTGTTCCAGCTTTACCCATTACCAGCTTCTTCAGGTTGGTTCTTATATTCTTTAGGCAAGTGCCTACCCTTTCTTGAGAACTCTCTTACTTTCTGATTCTCCAAGATGCTCCAGGCTCATCTTTAATTTGCCCTGCCCTAGAGCTAGAATCCACCACTTCTCCCAGGAGTCCTGGAATATGCTGTTTAGCAATCAAAATTTGTATGCTACATGTACTTATTACTACTAGGATATCATTGACTCTAAGCCCTTTTGACAAATATAAGAAATATTTATTGATATACTAACCCCCAAAATACATACACCCCTCTCTTTCTTAAGAATATGTGTTTGTATGTGTATGTATATATACATACATATATACACCCATATATACATACATACATATATATACCCAAACACACACATATATTTGTATACACATATTTAACTAAAGAGACCTTTACAGATCTGTATATACAGATGGTTTGTTAATAATTTAAAGTAGTTCATAATTATAAACAATGGTGAAAAGAATTTATGCAAATATATTTGTATATTTTTAGAGTTATATCTTCAGGGAAGATACCTAGAAGTAGGATTTCTAGGCCAAAATGGAAGTATTATTATGTTCTGTTAGGTATTTCTAATTTGCCTTCAGAAAGGCTATATCAATTTGTGAACCAAAAACCAAACAAACAGCCACATATTAAGTATAACTGTTTCCTCCATGATTTTGAACACAGTGTTGTCACATTTTAAATATTTGTCAGGCCAATGTGTTAGAAATGGCATTTCTGTGTTGTTTTAAAATGAATTTCTCTAATTATAAGTAAAAATAAACATTTATTTCATAAGTTTGAGGGTCAACTTAATCTCTTTTATTTCTGAACTGCCTATTCATATTTGCCACCGTTTTTCTATTGGTTTTTGGGTCTCTGTTCCTGCATTTTAAAGGTGTTATATATTAAGGGCATTAGCCCTTTGTAGGTGGTCTATGTTGTGAGTATTTTCTCCCAATTGGTCATTTGCTTTTTGAGTATAATAGTGTTTCTTTTCTTTCATCTTTCTATTTATATGAATTTAAATTTATCAATTTTTTCATTGTCTCTGGATTTTCTGTCATAGTTGGAAAGCATTTCCCTGAACAAAGTTTAAGGAGGACTACATCCATGTTTTATTATGGTACTTTCATAGTTTATTTTGTTTATTAGATCCCTAATCTGTTTGGAAATTATACTCACATGGACCTAATTTTGTCTTTTTACAAAGGGCTACTCAGTTGTTTCAGCATTCTTATTAGAAAATCTTCTTCTACCTGAGTGGTCTAAAGTGGCATATAATAAATCTGCATACATAGTTAAGTCTAGTTCTGAGATTCACATTCTATTTATTTATGTGTATATTCATGCACAACTATTATCAAGACCTAATAACATATTTTTATTTATAGTAAGACTAGCTGTCCCTTGTAATAGGCTAAATGGTGGCCTCCTAAAAGATGTACTTATGTTCTAATCCTTTGAACCTGTGAATACCATCTTCTGTGGACAACACTGAATATTGCATTATGTGACAAAAGATGCAATTAAGTTAAAGAGCTTGAAAGGAAGAATTTACACTCGCCTACCTGGGTGAGCCCTAAATGGTAATACATGTATTTTTGTAAGAGACCAGGAGAGAGAGTTGTGAAACAGACACACAGAGAAGAGGGTGATGCAGAAAGATTGCTCCACACATCATAGAATTCTGACAGTCAACAAAAGTTGGAAGAGTAAAGGATCTAATTCTCAGAGCCACCTGGGGAGTACATCCCCTGTTGATGCCTGGATTTCAGACCTATGGCCTTCAGAACTTTAAAAGAATAAATTTTCATTGTTTTAAGACATCTAGTTTGTAATTATTATTATTATTATTTTACAGCAGCCATAAGAAAGTAATACAACTCTTACAGTTTTTATTTTCAGTGTTTTCCTAGCTACTCATGCATACTTTTTTCCATATGAATTTTAATGTCAGCATTTCTAAGTCCATATAATATTTTATTGGCATTTCTAATTAAAGTTGTATTTAATTTTATAAATTAATTAGAAATAATTGACATTTTTATAATGTTAAATCATCCTAGCTGAGAGTAGAGAATACTTTTCCATTTTTTCAAGTCTACTTTTCTGTTTTTTAGCATTAAATTATTTTGTATATATTTACACATTTTTTGTTTATTTCTGGATTTTTAATCTTTTTGCTTTCTATTATACAATCTGTTAACATCATATTTACACAGAACAAAAAAAAAGATTTCAAGTATTAAATTTTTATTCAAGTAATTATATAATAAGTTAAGACTACTCTCTTTAAATATATAAAGTGTAAGCTGGAAAATATTTGCAGCAAAAAAGTATAAGGAATGGTACAGCAAACTAAAAAAAGAAGCAAACGTCATTTCTAAATATATTAGATGTAATAAGTAAAATTATATGTTTAGTGGATCTATTTAATAGCCTATTAAACACGGTTGAAGAGAAAATTAGTGAAAAGTAATGAAAAGCAATAGAACCTAGAAAAGGTCTCATTTTTCGGAATGTAGCACAGAGATACAGACACAAAAGGAAAATAACAAAGCTAGGCTGAGATTTATGAAGGATAAATATCTAAGCTATGTATAATTGGTTCCCTAAAAAGAGAATGGGGAAACATCAATATTTAGAGACTATGGAAGAAACTTTATCAGAATTTAAAGACAAAAATGTATACAAATCATAGCAATAGAAATAAAAAGAAATCCAAAGCTATATACACATTAGAATAAAACTTTAGAACATTAATAAGAGGAAGATAAACTCAAAATGATAAAAAAAGATTGTATGCAAAGACATGCTAATTTCTAAATGATAATCATGACAAATATAAAACAGAAATGAGAATTTTAATATGTTTAGAGAAAATAACTTTAACTTATAATTCTACGCCCCAAAAATATTGTTGGTAAAGAAAACAGATAAAGATTTTTTTCATGCACGAAAATGGAATTTGCCAACTGTAGACCCTCAGTGAATTAAAAACTTCAGATATAAGAAAACTGAATTTAAGTTCTGAAAAACAAGAAAGAATGAAGAACAAAGAAAATTGTGATTATGTCTTTAAATCTAAACATCATTGACTATATAAAACAACAATAATTAAAATGTCTTTTGTGAGTAAATTGACAGAATTTAATTACACAAAACCAAAATATTTAAGTATGAATACAATGAATAAATTTGATAAAACTTTGTATTATTAAAAACTTGATTTTTTTGCTTCAGTAAATTTTTATGCTTTAATAAATTGATTATTTTATGTCTAGGTAAGTTAAATGTTCTAGAATAGCCTCTAAAATAATAAAAATTTAATTTATAAATTCCAGTTAGCAATGATAAAATAATTTTTTAAAATTAATGTGAAAGAAAGCAAATATGAAAATAAAATAGAAGAGACAAATGAGAAACAAAATAGGATTAACAAATGGTAGACATAAATCCAAATATCAAGAATGACTATAGATATCAATGTAACAAAAAAATCCAACTGCAAAATATCAGATTAGATTTTTAAAACCCAGCTTTGTGGTTTACATGCTCCCCTTTCAAATCATAAAGATATAAATAATTCAAAAATGAAGAAATTAAAATTGTTATACTGGGCAACTACCAGACAAAATAAAGCTGGCATTGTTATATGAATATCTGATAATATATGTTATGTTAAAAAGCATTATAAAAAGTTTAGGCTGGGCATAGTGGCTCACACTTGTAAGCCCAGCATTTTGGGAGGCCGAGGTGGGTGAATCGCTTGAGGCCAGGAGTTTGAGACCAGCCTGGGCAACATGGTGGAACCCTGTCTCTACTAAAATTACAAAAATTAGCTGGTCATGATGGTGCACACTTGTAATCCCAGCTACTAGGGAGGCTGAGGTACAAGAATCACTTGAACCCAGGAGGCAGAGATTACAGTGAGCCAAGATTGTGCCACTGCACTCCAGTCTGGGCAACAGAACAAGACTCTCCCTGCCCACACAAGAAAAAAAAGTTTAAGAGGACCACTTTATGATGGAAGATTTAATGATTATTTGTTGGTGTATACTTAATAACATAGTATTGAAATGTATAATACAAATATTAGTATATGTACAGGAAAAAGAAAAAATATAATACCACTGTGTGAAATTTTAGAATATTTAACATAGGTTTCTCAGTAATCGATGAATTAAATAACAAATAAAATCATTAAATATATAAAAGATTTTAACAATCTTGATGTTAGGAATTATATACAGTATACACACACACAGACACACACATACATACACACACATATATACACACATGTCATATGTACATGTGCACACACATATAATGTAATATATGCATGACATATATGACTTACACAGTATGTGTCACTCTACACTTTACCTAACCAGAAAGTTAATAATTTTTACGTGCATGTTGGAAATTTTACCAAAAAAAATCACCATGCAATTTAACAAAGGCGCACATCAATATCCATTAAGGGCACTGAATTTAAGTTTAAACTACCTACTAATAATATGAAAAAAAATTACATGCATTAGATTATTAAGAAATACATGCCCAGACTTTCAGTTTTATGTTCAACATTTACTCATCATTTCCATCCTTACAACAAGAAAAAGTTCAACAGGTTTTCTTGGACCTCTCAGATAACTGAGGTCATGGGGCAAACTGTCACTCCACAATTTGGAGAGAAGTTGCCTCCAGAGAGTACAGGATCTGAGATTTGCTTACCTAGCGCAAAAGCTGCCAGATGCCATAAACTTGTAGAACATAGAATTAATAAATTGGGTAAATTGCTGTAATCTAAGTGTGGACTGGCATGAAAGAAGCTCCTGGAATCTGTAGAGTTTTGTTTGTTTGTTTTTTGGTAGGGGACAGAGGGAGCTCAATTTTCTATGCTTTTGCTTCAGGATATATTCCAGACTTTTGCAGGGAGGATCCAAACAAACCCACTATGTGATGCCCACAGAGAAGTGGAACAGAAGCCATTGTGAAACACCACCCATCCCCAGATGATTCTCCCTTATAAGGACTTAACCTTTAGGAAGAAGGACTTTGCCAGAGGGAAATACTAAAATCTCATCTACGGAAGGCAACTCTGCCCCATTCCAGGCCTTCCTCTAATCTTTGTATCTCAACTAAAAGAGCAAACAAGCCCAATCATTAGGGAAGAAAGAGTCAAGAAATGAGATTGGGAACTCTGCAGTCAGGAAAGGGAATGGGGGTAGGGTGGGAGAATTGAAGAGAGAAACAGAAACACTTGGGAAGGCCACATCCCCAAGACACAGGACCACTGTGCACCCATACTTGGAATCAGAAAATTGGTAAACATCCCAACATCACCTCTCAATGGATGCCTTTGTTAGCGTGGTGATACTAAGAAGCCTTCACTTGGATCACATCTGAGAGCTTCAAGACATAGCTTCTTTCTGAGAAGCAGTATAAAGGAAGCCCTGAAGACAAAAAGAGAAAACAATGCAAGTTCACTAGTGGAATTTGAAGATTTTGGTGCCTGTAACTACAAGAAACAATATACACAGCCCAACTTATATACAGAGAAATATATATATTCACACTGAACACCTACATAGCTCAATACTTACTCCCTTTAGATGTTAAGATTTAAACAAACAAATAAACAAATCAAAAAGTAATCAAATACATAGTTTGACCACACATAGAAATCATCAGAACCAAATTAAGATATGATAAAAATGTTGAAGTTATCAGACAATAAATTTAAAATGGCAATTATTAATATATCAGATGCTTTACTGAAAAACAAAGTAGACAACACTCAAGTCCAGAGGATGACAGTAGAGAGAAGGATTATAAAAATAAATCAAAAGAAATTGCTAGGAAACACACACACACACACACACACACACACACACACACACACACAATAACAGAAATAAAAAATGTTTTTCACAAACTCATCAGTAGATTTGACACAACTGAAGAAATAATCAGTAAACTGAAGGATATAGGTCAATAGAGACTTCCCAGTCTGATGCCAAAAAGAGAATAAAATGAACATAATATAAAAGAACTATGAGACAGTATTGAAATATATGACATATGAATAATCAGAATAACAAGAAAGAGAAAAAAAAACAGGGCAAAATAAATATCCAAAATAATACTGGCCAAGAACATTAGGAAATTAATGACTGACATCCAACGACAGACCCAATTAGCTTAAAGAACACCAATCAGGAGAATTAAAAAAATACACACACACACACACACACACACAGAAACACACACACACACTCCTTTAGACATACTGTATTCTAAATTTGGAAAACCAAACACAAAACAAAAATCTTGAAGGCAGTCAAAATAGTTAAACACCTTACCCAGAGGAAAAAGAAAATAATTACATCTGAAACCATGCAAGCAGAGAGTGTAGCTAAATCTTTATACTGTCAGAAGAAAAACAAAAAAAGCCAGCCTACAACTCTATATGTAGTCAAATCATTTCATAAAAGTGAAAGAGAAATAAGGACTTTCTCAAATAAACTATTTATTTCTCAGATAAAAATCTAAGGAAATTCATTGCCACTAGACCTTCCTTGCAAGAAATGTTAAAAGTTCTTCAGAGGAATGGAAACTAACATATGTCAAAAACTGGCATTTATATAAAGAAAGGAAGACTGTTAGAGAGGAAAGTAAATAAAGATAAACTATTTTTCTAAACTTTAATTAACTTAAAAGATAACCACCTCTTTAAAGCAATGATAACAATAATACATTGGGTGTTTGTAGCATATACATAAGTGAAACTAATGATAATCATGTCAGAAGAGACAAGAGAGAGAAGAAGAGACAGCAGAATAGGGTAGGGGTCATGAGGCAAAGGACGCTCCCAACTGAAATTGGTAGTGGTTTTGACTGGGCATGAATTTTCTTGAGCAGATTCTGGGGACAAGAAGGAGCTTCTACAGATAAGAGAGAGAAGTGGAAAATAATATTATCATATGCTTACACGACAGTGTAATATTAACAGAAGGTAAAATTAGTTAAAGTGTGTGCTATAAACTCTAGAAAAACCACTAAATAGGTGTCTTTTTTAAACTATAAATGCTATGCTTAAGGTATAAAATAGAATCATATAGAATGCACAATTATAACTAAAGAAGGTATTAAAAGGGACATTAAAAAGGAGAAAGAATTAGGAACAAGATGGTGGATAGGGGACAAAGCTAATGTGCAGCTCCCACTTGGGCAGACAGAACAGCCTGTGGAAACTCACACTGTGATCTTTTGCTCGAAAAACCACTGCAGGAACATACCAGGAAAACCAAAAGAATTAGCAAATCCTTTGGAAGAAGTGACATGCCACTGCAAATTTCACAAAACAGGTAAAAAACTGTGAGTTCCCAAAGTGTGAGAGGGGAAAATATGCCTCTGAACACACGTCCCTGCTGGGGAATCTGAAAATCCAGACCAAGGGAGAAGGATTTAACCTTCCCTAGAGCTGAAATATATTTAGAGAGTCACACAAATATAAAGGTAGAGCAGCAGTGGGAAGTGCCTTGCACTCCCTGTCTCCAGCTTGAGCCCAGGGAAGCCATCTCTGATTACATCTCACTGGACCCTTGGGAAGGCAGCCAGCAGAATTGGGTAGGGGTCATGAGGCAAAGGCCTCTCCCAACTGAAATTGGTAGTGGTTTTGACTGGGCATGCATTTTCTTGAGCAGATTCTAGGGACAAGAAGGAGCTTCTACAGATATGAGTGCAGGAGCCACTGATAGAGTGGGCAGATGGGGTCGGGTGAGGTCTAAAAGCCATGCTTGCTTTCTCAGTGGGGAAGGTCACAGCTTGGGGCAAGGTCTGAGCTGGGCACTGCAGGAGCAAGACCAGCCTCACCATTTGGTGAGGCCTCTTGCATGGGAGCTGGGTAAGGCCTCTTGCTACTGGGTATCCCCCACTTCCCCAGTGAACAATATGACACAGCAGAGGCAGTCAAGATCCCCTCTGGAACATAACCCATTGGCCTGAGAACCACACTCTCATCCCTAACAGTGGCCATGGCAAGCCCTTCCCAAAGAGAGTCTGAGCCCAGACCTACCTAACCCTGCCTTCACCTGATGGTATTTATCTACCCAACCTGGCACCAAACACAAAAGAGAGGTTCTTGGGAGCTTTAAGGGCCCACATATCTGAGAAACCGAAATACTTACTACCTTACTACCGCAGCTGGTGCACTCTTGAAAGTGCCACCTACTAGGTGGAGGCCAGCCAACTCAGGCCAATACAGCAACTGACAACAGAATAACCCCGGTCTCAGGAAGGAGAAGACAGCACCTAATTCCACCTCCTGCAATACCCTGGCTAATCAGAGGCCCTGAGTATGTTCACATGATGACTTCACTGCTAACATAACCAGCATTTGAGAAAGCCAGCACACTAAACTTATCTACAACTGAGGACTCTCACAGAATCTACCTCACTCCTCTGCTACCTTCACCAGTCAGGTGCTGGCATCTGTGGCTGAGAGACCTGAGAAGAGAACACATCACAGGACTCTTTGCAGACATTCCCCAGCACCAACCCAGAGCCCGGTAGCCTTGTTGGGTGGCTAGACCCAGAAGAACAATAACATTAACTGCATTCTGGCTCTTAGGAAGCTCCATCTCTCAGGAAGCTCCATCTCTCAGGAAGCTCTCAGGAAGGGGGAGAGCACCACAGCCAGGGATCACCCTGTGGGAAAAGAGAATCTGAGCAGCAGGGCTTGAGATACAGGCCTCTCCACTGAAATACTCCACCCAAATAAGAAGGAACCAGAAAAGTAATTCTGATAATATGATAAAAGAGGGTTCTATAACACCTTCATCATGTTGAGTAGGCTGAAGAGGAGGAGGAAGATGAGGGGTTGGTCTTGTTTTCAGGGTGGCAAAAAATGGAAGAAAATCCAGGAATTATAAGTGAACCCATGCAGTTCAAACCTGTTTTGTTCAAGAGTCAACTTTGAGGGAAAAAGCATTAGTTAAGACAAAGGAAATCCAGGTCTTAGCTTGGCTTCACTGCTTGCTTGATCATATTTAACCTCATAGTATGCCAGTTTATTTTAACTCTATTTTTTTTTTTGGAGGAAGTTTCAGTCTTGCCGCCCAGGCTAGAATGCAGTGGCACGAATTTGGCTCACTTCAACCTCTGCCTCCCAGGTTCAAGCGAGTCTCCTACCTCAGCCTCCCAAGTAGCTGGGATTACAGCCACCTGCCACCACATCCAGTTAATTT
Source organism: Homo sapiens (assembly GCF_000001405.40). Taxonomy (NCBI): domain Eukaryota; kingdom Metazoa; phylum Chordata; class Mammalia; order Primates; family Hominidae; genus Homo; species Homo sapiens. The sequence goes on along the minus strand of NC_000018.10, from coordinate 38,995,242 downwards.
TTTGTATGTTTAGTAGAGATGGGGTTTCGCCATGTTGGGCAGGCTGGTCTCGAACTTCTGACCTCAGGTGATCCACCTGCCTCCGCCTCCCAAAGTGCTGGGATTACAGGCGTAAGCCACTGCACCCGGCCTTTAACTCTATTAAATAGAGAAGAATTATATTAGTTTGATTCGTAGTATTACTCAAATGATTAACCTCAATATGACAGTTTTAAATGTATAACATGCAATACTAATTTAAATAATTTGTTTAGACAGTGGGGGAAGAAGCATTGGTGAACTTTAGAAAATAGGTAAGGCGGGGTGGTGTGGTGGCGGGAGTAACATAAAGTTAGAGGAAGTAAAAGTTGAAGGGTAGAAAATAACTACAAATCCAGGAACAGAGGTAAATCAGTCCATCTATCTTTTTAAAATTACTGGTGGTGGAATTATTGTTTCAGGAGAATTTTAGTCATACTCCCTCTTTTATTCACATTCACTGTCTTTACCCATCATGCCACAGATGTTCAGTTAAGCAAGATGTTTCAGGAACACCATCCAGAATGCTTCCCAGACACAGAATGCAAAGGCAACTGCAGCCTTCAGTTTTTAAGATTTAATTCACTGAAAACTCCTTGAAAGCCAGGAGTTTCAATAAACGCACCGGCAGCTCAAGCAATTTCAGTGATGGAGGTATTGTTTTGGAGATTGACATGTAGCTTATAAGTATTAGATGGAAGGATCATAAAAAATCTTTATTAAAAAAGGAATTAATGAAAAACTAATTGAGTTTTATAGAAAACTTTCCACTCAGCTGGAACTGCCAGTATTCAGACCTGGAGACTAAGCAGTACCAAGGGGCCATCAGGAAGACACAGCAGTAATGACAAGGGGAGAGATCAGTTGCGGGACAGACTGATCAGGCCTCCAGGGTCAGTTCCAGGCTATAATTGTGATAAGCAGACTTACTTAGTCTGCAGATTGTGGGGACCCAGGGAAGGTATGGGTGGCACCAGCTTTCTTGGCTTGTTTAATCCATCTTAGATTATCAGTCCACAATGGCTCACTGCACCCTATCAACTTAAAAAGAAATTTTGTTCAAAATTCTCTCTGCTGCACATTTTCAGCTACCAGTTTATAATTTCCCCATTATCCACTCCCCTTTGCTTGAGAGTGACACACAACACACCTACAGGGAGGTATCTAGTGGAGAAACTGTCAGTTTATTTATCCACTCACAAATTCATTCATTCAATACCCATATTGTGAGTGAGAGACTAGGGTAGGATCTAAATAATACAATGTAAAAAAAAAAAAAGGTAGTCATGACCTCCACTCCAAAGAAACTTGGTTTCAAAATAAAGTCAGTTAACAAAGAAGAGTTTTAAATAATGGAAACTTGTAAGAATAACTTTATGCTATGGCAGGTACTTTTCTTTGGCCAGCATCACTTACAATCTCAGCCTCCTTCTCCCTTGCTCACTTCCCACAATGGGAAATATAAAGTCATGCACTGTGGCTGGTCCTCTAACCTCTTTTGCAGCTAGGACAGGCATGAGGTCTAGTTTCTGACAAGGAGGTGGAAGAATAAATGACTGGTAGTCTTCTTTTAATTTCGGATAATAAAAGAAAAGACACAAGAGAAATCATGCTGGCCCTAGCTCCTTCCTTCCTTCTCTGCATTGTATATAAATGTACAACTGAAGGTGAGTCAGCCATCATGTGACCTTGGGCAACAAATAATAGTCAAATGCTGTGGTGTGATCTGATCATGATAGCAGAGCAAAAAATAGAAAATGACTTTGTTTTTATTATTACAGAGCAGGTGAATCAATATCAGCAGATTTTCTGTTATGAATAAAAAACAAACCCCTATTTCTTGTGAATACTGCTCATTGGTTTGTTGATGCTGTTGTTGTTTACACCTGATAATTAGAAATATATCTCTTAAAACAAAATAGCTTTTCATGTTGGCTACTTTGAGGAGGACTAGTTTTTTTTTTCAAATGGATATGTTTTAGTATGTTTGATTAAAAAAAGTCATTATATTATAACATTACCTCAAATATCAAAATGCCTTTTACCAACAGAGCTCCATGTTTATAATCACTGACTCCATAGCAGTGAACAAAGATTCCATGACCCCAAAAATAAATATTTTTGTAAGTTGTATTAAAGCCATAACAAATTAAATGAGTCTTTTATTCCTCTGCTTCCTCTGTTGATGGTCTGTAGAAATCTGGAATTGGGTTTTTACATTTCTTCCCTGTGACACTGCCCCTATTGAGTCAATAAATAAATTCTGTTTAAAAGTGTAAGAAAGTTGAATTTTGAACATAAGTGTTTTCTTTCTTTGTGTATAGAACAGAAAAGAAGAAAAAAAAAGAAAAAGAAAAACCCGCACCCACCACTCCTCTTGTACTTATTAGTATTAGTTCCAGGCCCAGTGCTAAGTCAAGTATTTTGAGAGGTTGGTCCATGAATAATAATGTCATCGAAGCACAATAATTAACAGAACAGGAGAATGCTCCCTGAAGAGGAGACACAGCTCTGCAAGGGGAGAGAAGCCCTCGCCTTTCAAACGCATCTGATACGGATGCTTGAACTTTGATTTCTAAAGGTGGGGGCGAGGTAAAATGAATTACACTTTACTAGCAATGTGCAGGGAGACACAGCCTCCAGTCTCTAGAGAAGCAGACTTTAATTGTTAAACTCCCAGTATTCTCTGGTGGATGGCAAGCCATATTCGCTGTCCTGATTCTGCTGAACACAGGTAGTACTTTTTTTTTTCCATGGTTGGCTATAATTTTTTTTCTCCTGTCTGTTATCATTATTGCATTTATTTATTTATTTATTTATTTATTTATTTATTTATTTAACTATGCAGCACTGCTCATACATAGAACACAGAGCTTCGTAGCCACATTGGCAACTGATAATCACCTGCCTTTCTGTTACCCTACAGCACCCAACTGCAATTCTGGTTAGGCAGCATCCACAATTAAGTTTGCTCCCTTCTCTCAATGCCTCATCTATAAAATGCAAAGAGAGAGAGTTACACTTAGTGCTAGGTGGAGAACAGGATTTTCCCTGTGTTTATTTACTTTCATGCCATCTCCCCACAAAGTAGATTTTAGGCAGCCTGTAGAATTTATAAGGAAATAAGTATTAGATTTAGAGTTAGGTTTAGGGGCAATAAAATAAAAATAAACATATATATTAAATAAGGTAAATAATTAAATATAATAAAAATAAACAATGTGTAAACTTGGTATTCCGAGATATGTACAGGGAGAATTTGTAAAACTTCTTGGAAAGAGTAACAAATGTATATCTGTGCTACAAGTAGAAATTTAGGAAAGGCATAGATGAATATTCTACTAGATACAGAATTCACAAATAAAATAAGACTGTCAGTTCATTTCTCAAAGACCTAGAAAGAATCTAGAACAACTATGATTTTCTCAGAAGTTATACTGTGCTAGTTCCAATTCACACAAAAAAGGGCCATTATATAGACCTTAAAATTAAATGCAATCGAAAGAGATCTCAAAAATTTTATTTTTTATTATGTTTTATTTTTATTTTAGATTCAGGTTGTACATGTGCAGTTTTCTTACATGGATATATTGTATAATGGTGGGGTTCAGGCTTCTACTGAACCCATATCAAAACAGAGAACATAGTACCAAATATGTAGTTTTCCAATCCTTGCCCTCCTCCCTCTCTTCCTCCTTTTGGAGTCTTCAGTGTCTCTTGTTTCCATCTATATGTCTCTGCATCCCCATTGTTTTGCTCCCACTTATAAGTGAGAACATGCAGCATTTCATTATCTCTTTCTACATTAATTCACTTAGGATAATGGCCTCCAGCTCCATCCATGTTGCTGCAAAGGATATGATTTTATTCCTTTTTAATGGCTGCATAGTATTCCATAGTGTATATGTACCATATTTTCTTTATCTAATCCACTGTTGATGGATAAGTAGGAAAATTTTCGAAGTAAGTCACTCTGGCCCTCAGAAAATCACAAGCATGTATCCATAAAATCTGTAATTTAGGTAATATATCTTGGTGAATCATTTGTGGTAAATTTCATACAAACTTTACCTCTCAATAATTAAATGAATAAATGATTTTAAGCTATGGCGATTTTAGATATAAGCCCAATATATTTTGAAGGGAGTTCGACAGGAAGGTTGATTTATTTTTTCAACACATAATCTGGAGCCAATCTTTCAGGACAGGGATTTGATAGTATAAAAAATGAATAGGGCAGATTAGTGACAGTTAATGATACTAGCACCATATTATCAGTTTTGATGGAAACAATCAACTTAATGTTTTTATAGATTGATGAAAAGAGTGGGGGGTGGAGAGGGTGGAAATGGAGGCCAGGATAGTACAGTACATTATTTACACATATAAATAATTATTTTAATCATTCCATTGTTTTGCTCATACAAAATTATTTCATAAGAACTTTGGTACTTATAAAAATATTATTGTTCCAAAAATGCATTAACATTTACTGCTATCAATATATGATAATAGTTACAATGTAAAGCTTTACAATGTAAAGCTTCACCCAACTATAACTCACTCTTTCCCCCTGAGCCTCAGTCCATCTTTGATTCCACAAGGCACTAGCATACCACATAGCCTTTACATTCTCATTCCACAGAGCTGCTAACCCTACTTAAGCCTATTTGCCCGCATTTGAACATGCTAAGATCTCTCACCCTTTCTTTCCAATTTCTATTCACTGGATGACTATCTTCAGTGTTTATTCTTTATTGAGTTGACCACCGTTGTTACCCTTCTCAGGTGCACCTGTGACTTCCTCAGTGAAGTCTCCAACATTTCCTTGTACTCCAGTGGCATTTTGTTCATATAGCTATTGGAACTTTAAAAATCTTCTATTGTAATTGCTTATATATTGTATCTTCACTATATGTTATTCTCTTTAATTTTAATGTTGAAGAATTTATTTTTGAATTGGCAAAGTGAAACAGAAATTATAAAATATGATTGTTGCTTTAAATCTTTTATAAAAAAGAAAGAAGAAATGAATGGATGAATGAAGGAAAATGGTAAAAGTCAGTGGGATCTTTTCAAGGAATGTCAAGAATCAACTTTCCTGTAGGAAGAAAATGCAGGTGAGTTGGGAGAGACTCTTAGAGCCTCTAAAGTCATGTAGCTTGCCCCCTCCGCTGCCACATATACTAGACTCTGACCAGGAGTGCTATCTCTTTCAATGAAGGATGGCACATTTCATTTATTTAAATCACCAGACACCTGATGAATAATAAGAGTTTTTATTTAAAGCCAACTCTTTTCTTATGGCAGTGTAAGAAACCTGAAGCATCACTGGCATTGGGCAGGTGGAACTACAAGGAAAATGATAATCTTCTAATAAGAATGAGTATATATGATTGGACATAATGAAATGTTTTTAGGCACAGTCAGTAAAAAGACATTGTAGAAAATACAGTTCAATGATATGGTAACATAAAATGTTCTGGTTCCAACCATTAACCAACTTCCCTCGAAGTAAAGACATCTCCACTGGATGACTGGCCTTGAATTAGGCCATCCGTATAATGCACAGTGACATAAATTGCTATTACAAGCAAATGAACATTTACAAAGTGGGACATGGGGGAACAGTCAAAAAACTGAAAGGCTAGGCCTAGGAACTTTGTGTCTTATGGAGATACTTTCATAAAAAGACAGGGAAACCACAAAGAATCACTGACACTTCTAAAAATAGATGTTAATAGTAACATTGTGTTTATGTGTGCTACTATTAATTTTTAATGTATTTATAGTCACAAAAGAAATCATGCTTTTAAAAATAATTAAATCATAATATGTGGCATTTATTATATTTTTCAAAATAACGTATATCATTTTCACTGTGAAAAAATTATATTTTGATTTTAATGCCTGAAAATAATTGCATATTTATAACAAAATTTATTTGACCAGTTGGGAGGATGCTTTTGATGACTTGCCTTTTTGTCATACAGATACTTCAAAATAAATCTAGCATTTTTTATAAGATAGAGTCTGCTACTACCATATAAATCAAAGCTGAGGTGAAAGGTAAAAGTAATTTTTAAAACCCTCACATTTATGAGATATCTATCATGTAATGATTGATTATTATACTTTGTTATTCTATATCTAAGCTCATGTAAGCTTCATGTAATCATGAAGATAACCTGACCAGGTAAGTATCCTTTCAAATGAGGGGTGTTAATCTGTTTGCAGGACTATAAAGGAATACCTGTAACTGGGTAATTTACAGTAAAAAAAAAAAAAGAAGAGGTCTATTTTGGCTCACTGTTCTGCAGGCTTTACAGGAAGAATGGTGATAGCATCTTCTTCTAGTGAAGGCCTCAGGAAGCTTACAATCATGGAGGAAGAGGGAGGGAAGCTAGCATGTCACATGGTAAGAGAAGGACCAAAAGAGAGAGGAGGAGGTGCCAGTCTCTTTTAAACAACTAGATCTCAAGGCGAACTATGAGATTGAGAACTCACTTATTACCATGGGAATGGTACCAAGCCATTCCTGAGGTATCTGCCCCCATGACACAAACACTTCCCACTAGGCCTACCTCTAACACTGGAGGTCACATTTCAACATAAGATTTGGCGGAGACAAAACATCCAAACCATATCAGGAGATTAGTGCTCAGAGAGGTTAAAAAACAAACCCAAGATCTAAGATTTACTATGTGGCTAATCCAGCATTTGCATACTGGTGTTTCTGGCTTCAAACTGCATGTTTTTGCCCCTACTACTACTATATTTCATCCCCACATGTTCAAATTAGATCAAAACTTTCTCCTGTGTGAGAACAATGGAACAAGCATGCTATCCCTCATATTCCTTGTTCTCTCCACTGCAAGACAAATCTCAGGACACAAAATGTAAAACAGAAGATAAGAACAAATATCAATCCAGATGTCTCTTTCCAATTTCTATTAGAGTGCTTGGAAGCAACACAGATATTTTTGTCCTCACATAGACATGTGTGTTAACCTTTCCCTAGCACGACCGGCAGGAGGAATAGCCTCAACGTTTTCCTGCAAATATTGGGTACAATCTCCCAATCTTTTATGGCTATGGCTCCAGGGAAGTAATAGCATTATTCTAGCTGGCCAGGTGTTACCTACCCAACTCTGAGTGTAATTCAAGGGGCCAGTGTTTCCTTTTCTTTTATCTCCCATTGTTTCTTTTTTATCATCAGGATGTCAAGTGGGGAGTTCTAGCCTGTGGTTGGTCATTCAAAGTCCTTTATTACTATGTATGGTGTTCTTTTTGATTGCTTAATTTTATATTTATAATTGACACATAATAATTTTACATATTTTGGGGATATATTATGACATTTCAATGCCTGTATACACAGTATAATGATCAAATTGGGATAATTGCCATATCCATCACTTTAAACATTTATCATTTATTTGTAGTGACAACGTTCAGAATCTTAGCTTCTAGCTATTTTGAAATATATACTACGTTATTATTGTCTAGTCACCCTACTGGTAATAGAACACCAAAACTTATTATTTCTGTTTAACTGTAATTTTGTACCCATTGACCAACCTTGTCAGGTCCCCCTCTATCCTCACTACCTTCTCCATCCTCTGGTAACCACTATTCCACTCTCTACTTCTATGAAATCAACTTTTTAAGATTCCACATACAAATGAGATGATGTAGTATTTGTCTTTCTGTGCATGGATTATTTCACCTAGAATAATGTCCTTTAGGTTCACCCATGGAACGGCAAATGACAGAATTTCTTTCTTTATTTGGCCAAATACTATTCCATTTTTTATATATAGATCACAGTTCCTTTACTCATTCATCTGTATATAGGCATTTAGGTTGATTCCATATCTTAGTTATTGTAAATAGTGCTGCAATAAACATGAGTGTTCGGATGTCTCTTTGACCAACTGATTTTATTTCCTTTTGATATATGTTTTTTAATGGGATTGCTGAATCATATGATAGTTCCATTTTTAAATTTTTGACGAATCCTCATAGTGTTATTTATAATGGATGTACTGATTTACATTCTCACCAACAGTGTATAAGAGTTCCCTTTTTCCTGCAGTCTCACTAGTATCTGTCATTATTTTGTCTTTTTGATAATAGCTATTTTAACTGGAGCAAGGTGATATCATATTGTGGTTTTGATTTGCATTTCTCTGATGATTAGTGATGTAGAGTTTTTTTTCATAGAACTATTGGCCACTTGCATATCTTCTTTTAATAAATGTCTATTCAGGTGTTTTGCCTATTTCTAATTAGACTATTTGTTTTATTGTTACTGAGTTGTTTGAGTTCCTTTTATAATCTAGACATTAACTCCTTGACAGATAAGTAATTTGCAAATACTTTCTCCTGTTCTGAAGGTTGCCTTTTCACTTTATTGTTTCCTTTCCTGTGCAGAAAATTTTCAGTTTGATATAGTCTCATTTGTCTATTTTTGCTTTTGTTGTCCATGCTTTTAAGGTCTTATTCAGAAAATCCTTGCCCGGTCCAATATCACGAAGCATTTCCCCTATGTTTTCTGGATAAACAAACATTGTGGTCTGAGAAAATCAGTTTCACAATTGTCATAAAATAATGATATACTTTTCCATTCACTTGTCTTTTTGCAAAGGGTTTTCTGTCCATTTCATCAAATTTTATCTAAATGATAAATGTTAACTGCAAGATAACATTTCAATTGTCTCTGTGAATCCAGACTATACAGACGTATTAGTCCATTCTTACATGGCTATACAGAACTACCCAAGACCTAGTAATTTATAAAGAAAAGAGGTTTAATTTACTCACAGTCCCACAGGCTGTACAGGAAGCATGGCTGGGAAGTCCTCAGGAAACTTACAATCATGGCAAAATGTGAAAGAGAAGCAGGTAAGTCGTCACATGGCCAGAAGGAGAGAGACGGAGTGACAGGGAAGTGCTACACACTTTTAAATAAGCAGATCTTGTGAGAACTTACTATCATGAGATCAGCAAGAAGAAAATTTGCCCCCATGATCCAAACACCTCTGACTAGGTCTCTCCTCCAACATTAGAGATTACAATTCAACATGAGATTTGAGTGGGGACACAGAGAAAAAACATATCATTTGCCCCTGGTCCTTCCAAAATCTTATGTCCTTTTCACATAAGGACAATCCCAATTCAAAGGACAATCATGCTTTTTCAACAGTTCCCCAAAGCCTAAACCCATTCCAGCATTAACTCAGAAGTCTACGTCCAAAGTTTCATCTGAGACAATGCGAATCCTTCTACCTATGAGCCTGTAAAATAAAAAACTAGTTACTTCCAAGATACAATGGGGTACAGGCACTGTGCAGATGATCTCATTCCAAAATAAAGAAATTGGCCAAAACAAAGGGGCTACAGGCTCTATGCAAGTCTGAAATCTAGCAGGGTAATCATTAAATCTTAAAGCTCCAAAATAATCTCCTTTGATTAGATGTCTTACATCCCGGACACAGTGATGCAAAGGATGGGCCCCAAGGTCTTGGGCAGCACTTTTCCTGTGGCTCTGCAGGGTACAGCCCCCACCATTGTTTTCACAGGCTGGCATTGAGTGCCTGCAGCTTTTCCAAACTCACAGAGCAAGCTGTTGGTGGATCTACCATTTTGGTGGCTGGAGGATAGTGGCCCTCTTTTCACAGCTCCACTAGGCAGTGCCCCAGTGGGGACTCAGTGTGAGGAATCCAACTCCACATTTCCTCTCTACACTGTCCTAGTAGAGATTCGCCATGAGTACTCCACACCTGCAGCAAAATTCTGCCTGGACATCAAGGCATTTCCACACATCCTCTAAAATCTAGGCAGAAGCTCCCAAGTCTCAAATCTTGCTGTCTGCACACCCACAGGCTTAACATCATGTGAAAGCTGCCAAGGCTTACAGCTTGCATCCTTTAGAGCAGAAGCCTAAGACATTGTATCTGGGGCCCTTTTAGCTCTGGGTGGAGCTGGAGCAGCTGGGAGGCAGGGCACCATGTCCTGAGGCTGCATAGAGCAGCTAGCCTTTGCCCTGGCTCATGAAACCATTTTTCCCTCCTAGACTTCTGGGCCTGTGATGGGAGGGACTTCCATCAATTTCTCTGAAATGCCTTGGAGGCATTTTTCCCATTGCCTTGACTATTAACATTTGTTTCCTGTTTACATTTGCAAATTTCTGCAGCTAGCTTGAATTTCTCCTCCAAAAATGGGTTTTTATTTTCTATCACATGGTCAGCATGCAATTTTTTGAAACTTTTATGCTTTGCTTCCCTTTTAAATATAAGTTCCAGTTTCAGACAATCTCTTTGTTTATGCAAATAAGCATACACTGTTTGAAACAGCCAGGGAAATTCTTTAATGCTTTACTGCTTAGATATTTCTTCCACCATACGCCCTAAATCATCTCTCTCAAGTTCAAAGTCCCACAGATCGCTACAGCAGGGGCACAATGTCAGTCTCTTTGCTTAGGCATAGAAACAGTGACCTTTAAGAGTTCATAATAAGTTCCTCATCTCCATCTGAGACTTCCTCAGCTGTCCATATCACTAACAGCATTTTGTTTACAACACTTAACAAGTCTCTAGGAAGTTCCAGACTTTCCCTCATCTTCCTGTCTTCTTCTAAGCCCTCCAAACTGTTCCAACCTCTGCCCGTTACCCAGTTCCAAAGCTGCTTCCACATTTTCAGGAATATTTACAGCAATGCCCCACTTCTCTGGTACCAATTTTCTGTATTAGTATGTTCTCGCACAGCTATAAAAAACTACCTGAGATTAAGTAATTTATAAAGAAAAGAGGTTTAATTGACTCACAATTCTGCAGGCTGTACAGGAAGCCTGGTTAGGTAGGCCACAGGAAACTTACAATTATGGCAAAAGGTGAAGATGAAGGAGGCATGTCTTCCATGGCTGGCAGGAGGGAGAATGTGAAGAAGGAATTGCTACACATTTTCAAACAACAAGATCTCATGAGAACTCACTCACTGTTATGCAAACAACAAGGAGGAAATCTGCTCCCATGTTCCAATCACCTCCGACTAGGTTCCCCCTCAAATACTGGGAATTACAATTCAACATGAGATTTGAGTGGGGACAGAGAGCCAAACCATATCACTAGACAACATTTATTTCTACTTTTTTGATTATATTTATCCTTGTATTTGGAAATTATTATAATTTTTTCCTATATATCAATATTAATTTAGTTTGCTATGGCATCCACAACAAAATACCATAGACTAGGTGGCTTAAACAACAGAAATTTATTTTCTCACAATTCTGGAGGCTGGGACTTTTTAGAGTGGGATGCAGGATGGTTGGGTTCTGGTGAGGGCTCTCTTTCTGGCTTGCAGATGGCCACCTTCTTTCTGTGTTCTCATGTGGTAGAGGCAGAGCTCTAGTTTCTCTTCCTAGTCTTATGAAGTCACCAGTTCTACTTCATAAGGGCCCCACTCTTGTAGCTTCACCTACCATGATCATCTCCTTAAAGACCCTGTTTCCAATAGAGTCAAGGGGTTTAGGGCTTCAACATATTAATTTTGGGATTATGCAGTTCTCTCCATAGCACATGAATTTTGTTTTAGCAGGTTTTCCTGGTATGTTTCATCAAAAAGTCCACTTCGAACCCTCTCAAATAATTAACACTGCTAATTTGATTGTATAGTTATGAAATTTAGGCTCGAAAATAGCTTCAGAAACACTGATGCCAAAGTAAAATGTTCATAATGGAGGCTACTGCTGCTAATCCTGTCTCACAATAAATGTGTTTTTTTAATTGTTTGATGTTGCCAATATTCAAAGTTAGACACATTGGTGTTTGTTCAATTCCACTCTACTCTAGCACTGGTACCATTTTAGCACTTGGATAGAAAGATAGGGGATGGCAGAAAGAGATTGTGTGTGTGCATGTGTGTGTGTGACACATTCACACACTCCTACCTGAATAGTGTAATATAAATGCAAATAAACTTATTGATGGACAAAGGAGTCCTTGATTAAATACCATAGGAGAGCAGAACTAAAATGTAACTCTTATTTTTTGAAACAATAGTTTATAATTCAAATAATGCTCTTCTAACCAAAGGACAAGAAATGAATCCAAATTGTAATTCTGATAACCTTTATAACTTGGGCCTAGCCAGTAAGATGAAAAATATGGAAAATATGGCTTTAAACTCCTGTAGGCTGTAAAGGAAATTATTCACTGAGGATAAGAGAAGAAAGCTGTCTTTCAAGCACCTCAAAATATTATGCAGTCAAGTAGACCAGGCAAATATAAGACAGGTAGCATTCAATACAAGCTCTTATTCATATTTAAAGGGCAACTGGGTCGAAGCTAAGATCTCTGGCTCTAAGATAAAAGGATCTCAATTTTCAAAAAGTGTTCTGCAAAGAAATTACAAAGGAAGAAGATAATGTTATCAAAAGAGATTCTAGCGTCTTTGTTGCGCCCTAAAGACAAAGTCTGTAAATCACCATTGTGTTCTGCACTAGTGCGGATTCTGTTTCAGCATGACCAGATCCCCAGATCTACTGCTTCAGAAAGCAGCAGGGCCAGGTCTGTATAAGAAGTAGAGGGAGCAAGCTTATTAAAGCAGAGGGTAACGGAAATCTCGGAGGGATTTCTGCTGTCGCAGAGGTGAAATGATTAACCCTCCATGCCAAACTCAAATACTTTACTTTTTTTTTTTTTTTCTACAAAAGAAAAGTACCCAGCAAGTAGGAGACACTTTCTGGAAGCCCTCATAATACCAGCTAAGGAAGCTGCTTAATCCAATGGGCTCATAAATTTCATAGCTGAGTTTGCAAATAGATGTACTTATAATTATAAGATTAAAATGAACCAGTACTCTGAGTCCTTCAGTGACTTGGAGGCTTTGATGATGCCATCTAACTGACAGTCTTCTAAGGAAAATGTAAATGTACGATGATCCCCACAGTGTGAGTCAAAGCTATGTAGCCAGCATGGCCTTAGTGAGTACCTCCATGTGGTTCCTCATGGTCCAGGCACTGTGTAGCAGCACTAAGGGCAGGGGGAAGAAATTACTATCCTCTTCACTTTGTTTATTGTGCAGTTACAGGTGAAGCTCTGAACTGGGGAAAGTGCAGCTACTGATATTTTGCAAAAGGAGTAAGCATCCAGACCTACAGGCCCCTAGAAAACAATAAGAAAAAGAAAATTGCCATGAACCATGAGGGTGTCAAGGATTGTTTAATAAAATATAAAAATGAGGTTTGGCCTGGACATTGGAGAGTGGCATGATCTTCTGTAAGAGTAGCCCCATGGATAACAGAATGGAATGTGGTGTGATTTTGCTCTGAACATAGAATTAGCACAGGCTGGAAAGCAGTTTATGTTACGTAAATAAAGAGCAACAGCTAACATAGAAGGTATTGCTAGTATGAAGAGCATTTTAAGCCTTTGAGTGAGAATTCAGAATTCAGTGCTGTAATTGAGAACTATCAGCTTTTGAAGAGGGGACTGCCATTCATCAGTGAGTATTCACAGGAAGGACTGGTTAATTTTGTCTTAGAGTGGATGGGTAGTAAACTGAAGGGGTTAAAACACAGATTTTCCAGTTCGACCTGCCTTCATTTTAACCTCAGTTTGACCTCTTCTTGCTGCAAGATCCAGGAAAAGTTATGTAATCTTTCTGAACGTTAGTTCCTAATATATAACATGGGACTATTAGTAGCCTCCATGTGTTTCTAGGGTATAGAGTAAAAATATATCTACAAAGAAAGTCATTAAACAAATGCTTCAGGACCTCTTATTTTCTCCATTGTCCCTAGGAAAATCTCTAGCAATTCTGTGTCCATAATTTTCTATCTGGTTTTCTAAAGAGGGATCCTCAATTTGTATAAGCTTTAAGTCCCACAGAATGTAGACACACCCCTATGTATGTAGGGTATTTATCTCATATAGAATTCACCCAGAAAATAATAATTATATATCAAAATTATATTAGTGTTCTCTATATTTCTTTATTATTGTCACCCTCTCCTTATGAAACACTTGGTAATTCTTAGCAATAGATGATCTAGCTAAACTCTTTTGTAGTTCTGGAAAATATGTATCCATTGGTGTGAGAAGTAATACCAAATTTGCGTGTTCTCTAGCATTTTCTTTCAAATAAATTAAGAATAAATTTTGGAAAAAAGAGAAAAGTATTGTCAAAATATTTACAAAATAAAAAAAGATGCTTGTAAGTATTTCAACTACAATCTTTCCAGAGGTAAAAACATGAAGGAAGCTATTGCTTAATATAGGTAATCAATGGTCAAGAAAACTACAAGAGAGAAAGCTCCTTCAGATATGATTTAAAAACAAGTTGGACTTTGTTATAGGTAGACAAAATGGCTCCTACTTTTCCACTTCAAATTGATGGGTGTGGGATCCAGCAATCTGAATTTTAACAAGTTCTCCAGGTGATTTTCATGCACACTAAAGTTTGAAACCATCAAGCTAGAAGAATGGCATCCAACCAATTCAGTTGGTGAGCAGAACAGAGAAGTGCTTGGAGCTGTGGCCCAGTAACCAAGTAAAAACAAATAGATAAAGAGATAGGAGGAGATCCAGAATAAATTGATGCCACAAAATCCAAAATACCAAAGTTCAAACAAGGAGGTTGAGGTTGAACAAGTGACCAGTGGACAGAGACATCAATATTTACAGACTGAGAACATGTCCTATTGTTTTAACATCCTGGAGGCCACTGTTGATCACAAGAAGGAACATGCCACTGGGTGCTTGGGATGCAAGTCAGACTGCAGTGGGCTGATGAGCAATGATGTTGAACCATAAATGTCTAGGTATTTAAAAATGTGTGGCTCCATAAAGAAATAGGAAGATGATAATGAGGGAGAATTTTTGAGTCGACAAAGAAAAGATTCCCCCCATTAGAATAAACTTGAAGATGTTAACATATACTAAGAGAAGAAATTGAAAAGAGAAGGGGTTAAGTCTTTAGAAAAGATTATAGTGGCTTTAAAAAGAGAGGTAAGGAAGGAGGAATTTTAGGAAGTTTGTCTAATAAATTGGTGGTCCAAAGATTGCAGGTAGAAACACACAAAATAATTACAAAACACTATTTTAAATATATATACGTCCACTCATATACCTACAGATATATAACACATGTTTTATGTGTATGTATGTATATAAGCTTTTTTTGTTGATGAAGAAATCCTGGCATCTCCTACCAAGTGAAGTTTATGACTGATTTGCCCTCTGGTCCTGCCTCAGTGCCCACATAGGTTCCAGTAACTTGCCCATTTTGACACCCACCCAAAGGGGCGTGTGTGTGTGTGCGTGTGTGTGTGTGTGTGTGTGTGTGATGTAGCAGATGTTGAAAACGGAAGTTAGTATTAAAAGTTGAAAAAAGTGGCCTGGTGCGGTGGCTCACATCTGTAATCCCAGCACTTTGAGAGGCCAAGGCGGGTGGATCACGAGGTCAGGAGATTCAGACCATCCTGGCTAACACGGTGAAACCCTGTCTCTACTAAAAATACAGAAAATTAGTCGGGCGTGGTGATGGGTGCCTGTAGTCCCAGCTACTCGGGAGGCTGAGGCAGCAGAATGGCGTGAACTTGGGAGGCGGAGCTTGCAGTGAGCCGAGATCACGCCACTGCACTCCAGCCCGGGTGACAGAGCGAGACTTATCTCAAAAAAAGTTGAAAAAAGCATAGTCCATGCCGTAAACAAGATCAAATTAATATATACATATGTTCACAGTTCCCATTTCTTCTATATCCTGCAATAGATGTTGAAATTACATTTAATCTAATAATTTGAATAACTATGTAGAATTATTTGAGGTATTCCTAGAAGATTTATCTGTCTCAGCATATCTTACCTACCCATCTAAGTGCCAGGTGAAAGTCCCTCTAAATTCAAATAATTTCTGGGAAAGCATACTAAAAAATAGAAGCCATGAACTACTTTCACGAGCAATTTTCATTTGTGCTTCTCATGCCCCCCCCCATCACTTTTTATTGTGGCCCAAATCAATAAGATGAAATAGGATGATAGAGAAAGGATGTAAATTAATAAAGTGCAAGTTTAGATCTCTAGCTTCCTAAGTTCATGAATTCTTTGCATCAGAAACACTGCTGTGTAGACAAAGCGTTGAATACTTTTACTGTCAGTTGCGGCCCCTTTATTCAAGTCTTATTTTCACAGCCCCATCGGTCCCAGGTGCCATCCATCTTCAGCCAGAAAGATTACCTTATTACCACATTCATCAATTTGTACTCTGGGCTTGAGTTAGAAGTGACTTGGAAAGACAAAACTGTTACCTTAGTAATTGAATATGAAAGTCTTGTTAGGATCCACTTTTACTAATCTGATATGAAAGTCACTAATGCAATATGACTTTAACACTGTATAAGCAACAATAAATTCTGATATGATATGAATATTAATACAATGCAATGGGATACTGCTAATATGTTAATGTGATGAGATACTACTAACAAGATATGAGGACCTTGATTGAAAAAATTAATATTACCTCGCCATAATTCTCTGAAACTGCAGTCACCAGTTTCCAAGATAGCTCTTGTCTAGATTTTAGAAATAAATCATTTGCTTTTAGAGTCATAGGCAAAATAAAAGGTCATATTATTTGGATGTTCCAGGTTATGAAATATTTGTGAATACAGTAAACGATTGCTGCTTGTGTTCTTCTTATTCCAATTGTGTGCATCTATTGATTAAGTTACATAAGTTATATAAAATGCAAGTTAACAGTGTCTCAGACATCAATACGGACTTATACACTCTGGGAGGAAAGATAAGGAAAAGTGATAAGGCATGTGTACCCCCATACAACACCAAACAGGCAGATAATCTGTTAGTCATTAAAATATTATGATTGTGTTGTCCTTCCGTTTTCAAACTTTTTGCACTCCTTCCTAAATAAGTGCAATTTTGGACTTGTATCTCTTACGTTAATATCACTCCAAGAAAGATTCAGGGGCGAGCTAGTGAGTATTTTATCATAAATCATGATATGTGAATGACCTTAATTTCACTCTAAGTTTTGACAAGTTGTAGTGCTTCAATTCTGTTATTAACGATATGTCTCAGAACTCATAATGACAAATGTCAAGATTCCAGGGCTGAACACCACTAGTACAGACATCCAAGGAGTGGCCCAAATCTCCACTATTTAGCTTAGTCTTGTAATTATACAAGTTGGCCATAATAGCTTTAAAGATCTAGTAAATTGAAATAAACATTACCATGACCAATTATAAATATATAAATAGAGAGTTAAGGGTTTTTTTTTAATAGGATGCCTAATAGACAAACAAATTGTGTAAAATCTTGCCAATCCACGTCTGCATAAAATTTCAAGGCGTAGGGTAGCTGGGGCCGATTATTACCATTTCTAAATCAGTTTATTTTACTTAGAGTTTTTTGTAACAAGAAAATATAGCCATAAATTTATAGAAACGGACTCAGTAGAGGCCTGGGAGTGAGGTGATTGTTACATAATTGGTACATTTTCATGGTAGTAATACATACTTAATAAGTCATGCATAATAAGGAAAGGAAGTGAATTCTAAGTCCAAAGATGTAAATGAACTGATAAAACATTGGGGCTGCTGGTTGGTAGTGACATTTATTGTTGGCACAGGTAGAAGCTAAGTTAAGCTAACACATAATTTCATAAACTCTGACAAATCAAAAATGCTAACACAATTTCTTCCCCATTTGCTGAAAGAAAATTGAACCCCAAGTTAGCATACAGTAACAAATGCTTCCTTCTCATTTACCTATCATCTGGATGAAACTAGGTGATATCTACATAATAACAACAAATTGACATTTTATTTACAATGAAAAACAAAAAATTAATGATAAGGAAAAATAAATGTATCTTTTTTAATTGAAGAAAAGGAAGTGAATTTTTAAGAGGATTAAATTGGTTGATTATTTTATCCACTACTGCCAATTTCAGAGTGGCTAGAACTGATTAGTAGTTATGGCAAATTCTATTATTGGTACATTATTTGATGTATGTTTCTTAATGACTAAATATATCTAATTATCAGTTTGATGTTGTTTTCCAGCTTGATTGTATTATGTCAGAGTGTATATATATTAGTATTATTATTTACAATTTCAGGTCTTTAGATTTGTTGAGAGTTGTTTGATGGATAATTTGATGTATTTGGGTTTTACCAGGGATCCTCCTCATGGTGGGCTTGCACTCCAACTGTTAGTATTTCGATCCTGTAGCCTCCCATGAATGTCAGCAGCACTTCTCAAATTCTCTGCTGTGTCTTATGAAGTTGACATACATATTATCTAGTAAAAATAGCATTTTAAAGTCCTGGATAATTTTCTTCTTTTTGTTCTTGGCCTAGTCATTCTTTACTACCTTATTTTATACATACATAATATTAAACATATATTATATGACCTATGTAAATATATGACAGTATAGATTACACATATATATGTATTATGTATTATTTATAATACACAATTATGTATATATAATTTATATATGTAATTATATAATCTAATTCTGTACATATGTATATATAATTCATATCTATTTAAATTATTTTATATATATGTATATATAGAGAGAGAAACACACACACACACATACTTTTTAGCTTTTTAGTTTTTCTAAATGTGAGGAATGCCTCAAATTTCCAAGCCTAATGATAATGGCTCCTTTATATCTCTTGACACTTTTTTTTTTGCACAATTTCCATGTCTTTGACTTTATATGAAGCTTTCTGAAAAATTTTATAGGCAAGATTTTTTACATCGTTAATTTTCTTTTCTGCTGTGCCCATTTTGTGTAAGATGACACCGAGTATTTAATTTTTATTATTTTTATATTCAAGCTCTCTAGTTAGTTCTATTTTCTTGATCCCATTTGTATAGACGAAATGTTATTTCTGATCCTTCCCAGAAAATTTGTTATGTTTATGTTTATGTTTTGTGGAGTATTTCCTTGGCTATAACTTATTTAATCTGTCAAAATGCACTGTCTTTGTTAACAAATTGTAGGGAGCTTTCATTTTGTCAGCACTTTTGTAGCTGTAGTGCTTTGTACCTCTATTTGCTGCAACTTTGGATCATGCTGCCTTCTTGGGGTTATGGTCCAGAGATCCTGCTTTGTCTTGCATTCTACAATGCATGCAGACAGAGTCAGAAAGGGGAAAAACAGACTGTCAGTTAGTGGTTTGGGTGCTCTTTATTTCCCACAAAGCATCACCAGCCCCTTGAGAGCTGCTTCGTCTCCAGTCCAAGATCCTGGAGCGTGTGTTGCTTCTTGGGAGCAATCAGCCCAGTACTGCTCACAACATGAGGGCAGTGGGGTAATCGGTAACCGTGCCTCTGACTGCTCTCATTCTGACACCCCAACTGATCACACTGCTTGGTGCCCCTCTCCTTCGCTTGCTCTAAGTTCCACCAGTTAGGAAATAGTTCTCTGCGTGTCTCTGTTACAGGCTCTCTCCTGCTTACCCTGGACTGTGGCTTCCTCTTTAATCCTATCCTCTGCTTTTCTCTTTTTATGGTTCTCCCATGGTTTCCTCTCCCATGGTTTCCACTCCTCTGAGGTCACCACACCATTTTTACTGTGTTATAGGTTTATTTTCTTTTTATTAATCTGCTCCACTATTTTTAGGAAGGTGCTATGAGATAAATATTCTGCAGAATAAACATAGTATGTCTTCTTGAAATGAAAAATCTCTCTAGATAAGAATGATTTCAAGAGGTGAAAGTAGATAAGGGTGTTTCAGGGCAGACCAGAACACCTCGAATACATAGCCCTAGGTGAGTCACTGTAGTGGGAGACACTGAAAAGCAAGACTTAATGTGCAGAAACAGAGTGCCAGGGACATGGGGAGAAAAGGCTGCAAGGAAAAGGAGAGTGTGGAAGGTAGGGAATTTACACTGGTGGGAGTTTTTTGTGACCAGAGTCAGAGCCCCTGTTTTGTTTCTAAATGTGGGAAAAATGGTAACATGGCAACAGGCGAACTCCTTGAGTTTTTTCGTCTGCTTGTATTTAATGCAGTTTCCATTTCATCTGTAAATGATGTCCCAGCTGGAGGATACTGAGATTGATAAAACTTAGTTATATATTAGCAGAAGGACTAATCAAGTATAATGAGATGGAGTCCAGTTGGCTGGACTATCTAGTCTTAAGAGAGGCCGTGAATATCATCACAGCATTTACTGACCCACATATTTTCTACCTGCCATGACTACAGGCTCCCACAAAGTCTCATGCATTAAAGTTTCATTGCCTCCGTTAGCAATTAAATACAAGTTTTCACTGCCTGTAAGGCACTAGGTTAGGCATTTTTGAGGATAAAACATGAACAAATTGTTGTTCCTGTATTCAAGAAGCTTACAGTCTTGGAGAAAAACTGTTATGCACGTTACAATACTGAGTAAAAGTCCTAATTTTAATTTAAAAAGGCAAATAGGTTATACCACTTTAGATGACAGGGAAATAAAGTCTAAAGAATCACAATTTTAGAAGTGGAACATTACAAAGAGAAATACCTCAAATAGAGGCAAAGCAATAAGAAAGGCTTGGACATGTTTGGGGTACAATAGTTTATTTACTCAAGCACAGAATTATTTAGAGAGAGTAGTGTGCCAGATTTTAATGTAGAATAAACATAGTATGTCTTGGACCATTTCTTGCAAATCCTTGAGTGTCAGGCTAAATACTTGTAGCCTGGCTCCCACCCAGTTTGAAATCAAAATTGAGGGATCCTTATACTGAAGATTGGAAATCTGTGAAGCAAATATTGACCCCATCTCTCTCTAGCTCACCCTGGCCCACCCAAAACAGGGGGCTATGCTGAGCAATAGTTAATGAGTTAATTCCATGCAATGCAATAGATGGCTGGATTTCTCACTTTCACTGTCGAGTGAAGGGATGAAGGCAGAAGCTGTCTTCTCCATACTTAACGCTGTGGGGGAGGTTCTCAGTGCGTGGGTTGTTGTAGGAATGATTGCATGCATGCAAGGACTTTGCTGGTCAGAGCACAAAGATAGAAAACACCGTTTGCAGGGGTAGCAGGGTAGAGTAAATTATTTCTATGCTGTATTATAAGTTTGAGTTAATCAGTTGCACAGAAGAAGAAAAATGGCACAGTCGAAGGACTGAGCTTCTGGATTCAAAAGAGAGAATTTAATGAGGCAAGATTCCACATCTGGCTAACAGTGCACAAACTATCATGGTGTCGGTAATGGTCCCAGCTCTTGAATTCGCCTCAGGCAACCCCACTTGCTCCAGCACAATAGGCACTTTGTACCCTCAGGGATCAGCCTCCTCCATGACCACCCTCACCCTCTGGGAAACGGATTAATTCCCACACATCGCAGCTCTCACACATTTCCATCCAAGGACATTTTCTTAGAACCCAAATTAAATTCACTAGGAACCATAATATATAATGTAAATAAACTCAAATTTAAAGCGGAAACATTAATGCTGTTACCTTTTATTTATCTTTGCAAACATTTTATAAAGTAAACTCAATTAAACATATATGCCATCTAGAATACATTTTGTGTTCTTTTTTAGGCAACAACAAAATAAAAGTTTGTTTAAACTCTGAATAAGATAGAAAACATAATCATAGTCATGGAGACTTGAATCTAACAAGGGAGAAAACTTTGGCTACATTTGCTTAAGTTCTAACTCATCTTCCTCAAAAACAGATGAGAAAACTGAAGTTTGGATAATATCAGGATTGTTGTCAGATTTTTTGTTTGCCCACTACCAACTTCTATAAAATAAAGTGTTCCCTTTGACCACTGTAGAAGGTAAGAAGAGCAACATTGGGCCAAATGGATAATAAATGTTTCTTTAGTATTTCTAATTGTTATTCCTATGCAGTATATAAATCTACCAGAATTAGCATTGTCTTCTATAGATATAAGATGTATTTCAGTAGCAGGCAACTTTATAGATAACTTGCCTACTGCTTATCATAAAAATTAAATGAGATACTGTCAAATGTCAAATATTTATGGTCTTGTAAGAACCATGAGTAACTGCAGTAAAAAGAACTTTGAAGTTAACAGCCAAGTCTAAACCATGCCCTCCATTCAGAATAAATTACTATTTCAAACTAAATTAAGAGTTTCTCTACATCTTATCCTACCCACAGCATACGAAGTAAGTGTTTCTGGTATTCCTGATTTACAGATAAGGAAACCAAGGCCCAGAGGATGAGATATTTTGTAAATTCTTGGGTCTATTATGTAGTGGAGCTGGAATTTGAGGCCAAACTCTCAGACCCCAGAGAGTATATTTTAAACCCAATTCCACACAGCCTTCAAGAATTGGTGTTAAGCAGTTGAATGAGAAATGTTGGTCAAAGGTTCTCTCATGCTGAGAATACAGGATTTCCTAAGCTGATAAGAAGATAGAGGAGAAAGGGCTGGAACCCAAGAGAAAACAGTTTTTCAAATAAAATCCCTAACATATCTCTCACCCACCAACCATGGTCATGATAAAGCTTTATCTGTGGAGCAGGAGGCCATGAGATGTGTTAGCCTAGGGCTAACTCTTCATATTTTTCAATCTGACAGTAGGTCATCCATGCAAACTAGGGAAGTTCTGATTAAAAGTCAGTATGACGTACCAGAGCAGGGCTAGGTAGAGAGACAGTCATGACTGGATCCAAAAGGGATACAGTGTTTTCTAGCTGCCAAGGGGTCAAATAAACTAATTGTAGTTGGAGGATTCAATGGTAAGCCATGAGAACATTGCTTCAGTTCATCTGTAAAACAGGAATAGTCATAGTTCCTGTAGAGAATTTTATAAATATTAAATGAGATATAATTCTTAAAAACACTTAACACATTGCCTAAAGCTGTACCCAGACATCTTGTTTAAAATCTTGCTCTCACAGTGTATTTGTTTGCTTGTTTTTGTGTGAAGCTCATATTCCACTTCTTGAATACATGGAAAGGGCAAAGGGACTCGTGGCCATTGAAATCTGAAGGTAAGTAATATGGGAACAAGTGTGAGCGTGAGTTGGGTTGGCATCTCCTAGGCACAGCCTTGGAAAGTCATTTGGCAGGAGGAACTGCAAGTTTTACACTTCGAGAAGCCAAGAAGAAAATAGACACGGAAGTGAAGGAATCATTGTTACATGTGACTCCATGAGAGGAAGATGAAAGCCGAGATCACAGGAAATGCAGCAGGCAGTAGTTTGTTAAAAATGAAAAGTAACTAATTTTAGTTAGAAACTTTCTTTGGCTGCAATTACGTTCATCTGAAACTAGTTGTTGATTCAAAGTCAAACGTCTGTAGTGTTAAAATTATTCATGATATGAAAAAAAATCACCCAAGTCTCCTGCTTATATAAATATGTATGGAGGGATGCAGGCTGTTTGTATGCACAATAGGATAGCAATGGCTAAAGCTTTTCTCCCATAACCACCCACTGCTAAATCATTTTGTAATGCAGTAGTCCCCCATTATACAAGGTTTCACTTTTCGCAGTTTTGATTACCTATAGTCAACTGTGATCCAAAAATATTAAATAAAAAATTCCAGAAATAAACAATTCATAATTATAATACACCATTTGGAATAGCCTAGGATGTGAATCCTCCCTTCGTCCAGTGTCTCCACTCTGTCTACCCTCCTGTCCATGAGTCACTTCATAGCAGTCTTGGTGTTCAGATCAACTGTCATGCTATTGCAGCACCTGTGTTCAAGTCATCCTTATTTTGCTTAATAATGGTCCAAAAATACTAGTGTACTCTGCCTACTTCATAAATTAAACTTTTTATAGGTATGTATGTATAGGCAAAATCGTAGCATATATAGGGTTCAGTACTAGCCACGGCTTTGGGCATCCACCGGAGGTCATAACCTGGTGGATTAAAAAATGCATCAGAGCTGAAATACCAGCTCACTCTTCCAGAGATGTTGCTTTAGGTAAAGTGTAGGAAGGAACAGACTTAAAAAGGTTAGTGTCATACATCCCTCTCTGCAGGACTTCTCCCTTTTCCAGAAAGCACTTATTAAAAACAGGAGTCTGTGGAGTGCAGAGGGGAATGAGGGGTCTGCAAGTATTGTATATTAGTCTGTTGAAAAGCAGGTTGGAGAAAATATTAAGGTGCATGGCTTCATATAGCAAAAGGACTGTCTTGTACGATAATTAACTTTGTTTTTCTTCAAAAAGTAGGATGAGAATCCAAAAAAAATAGAGAATGAGTTCAATATTTTCTCAGTAGAATAACTTTCTAATGAACTCCTCAAGACAGAGCAGGTATTACGGGAATGTTGAGTCTCCTGAGATTTGCGGTATTCAAATGATTCTCATATATGATCTGTTCACACAGAAGCTCTAGTGTGATCCTTGCCTCAGGTAGGGAAACCCTTATTCCAGAGTTTGCAATGTAACTCTCTGCAGAACCCCGACGGTGCCCAGCCTCACTGGTCATTCTGAAGCCGCTTCTTCATGAGAGGAAAGACCAAAGCCAAGTCAGTTATTGTGAAATTCATCACTGTCATATACATAAAAGAAGAGCAGTTTTAAAGCTCCTCCAAAATCTTCCCTTTCAAATTTAATGAAATAGAACAAAACAAGCCCAGTTACCCATAACATTTATTTGCGTTTCTCCATTCACCAAAGGCAGCCATGATTCTGATGCTTATATATCTGTGTGTGTGTCTTTCTATCTATCTATCTATCTATCTATCTATCTATCTATCCATCCATCCATCTATCCAGCCTCCTGTGTGCTTTTATATTTTTTCTTTATATATAAAATTTTCCATAAACAATATATGGTACCAGCTTGTTTGGCTTAAAAATGTATGTAAATTTTCAACTTCTTTTACCCAGTATTGTTTTTAGATCTATTTATTTTAATATAAGTTGATCTAGAGCATTCATATACTGCTTCATTATAAGAATAATGTTAGATATTTTTCTTTACCAGACTGATAAGCAAAGCACACTCTCCCATTTATTTTTCAGTTTTCCACAGTGTTGCAATAAACATATTTGTATGAATCTCCATCAGCACATGTTCAAACAAATGTTTTCTAAGGTAAGATGCCAGAAATTGGAATATATGTATCATAAACTATAGACAGTTTTGACTTCCCTGCATTTCATCCAATCACTCTGCAAAATAGTGGTACCAAAGTACACTGATATTTGCAGTTTATAAAAGGTTATATTCCTAAGGTTTTCACCAAACGTGGTTATCATATTTATCTAATTTTGTTCATCTGACATGTATGCAATTTTAAATATTTTGATTTAAATCTCTTTTATTAGTAGTAAAGTTAGGTGGTGTGGTTTTTGGTTTTTGTTTGCCAGTAGATTTCTTCTCTGAATTGCCTATTTAAGTCCTTTACTTATTTTAAAACACCTTTCTTAAGGGATTGTGAATAATTTTATATGTTCTAGATAATTTATATTAGTTCATTGGGTAGTCATGTGGGAATAGCTCATTATTAGTTTATTGTAAACAAAAATCAGTTTTAACCTTTGTAATGTATTACTTTAAAGTTTTATTTAAAACATTATCTTAAATTGGTATAAAGAAGATATTCTCATAGATTTTCTTTTAAAACTGTCTATTTTTTTAAAAACATTTTTGTATTTTAATCCATTTGAATGGGATTAGATTTTTTAATAAGGAAAGTAAATTGTCACTATCCAGTTACTGAATTGGCTGTCATTTCCCTACTTACTTGCAATGCCTCCTATATCACATAATAAATTCCCATATTGTACTCTATGTGTTTATGCTTTGGCACTCTCTCATCTGGTCTACTGTCTATTACCTACCATACTGTTTTAATAACTATTGTTTTAAAGTAAGTTTTTCTTGGCTCGGTCCCAATAATTAATTTTTCCAAAATAGTCTTGGCTGTTTTTAGTGGTAACACTTTTCAAATAAATTATATGATCAGTTTGTCAGATTGCACTGGAAAAATTGTTGGGAGATTTAATAAAATTGTGTGCTCCTTACGGATAAATTTATGAGGGAATTTTCATACTTGCTACAGTAAAAGTTCCCACTGATTGAGACAGTATATATCTCTCCAGTGATTTTGATACTATTATATTTTCTTCAATAATTTTTCAAAATTGTTTTTGTAAACTATACATCTTTTGTTATATTTATTTCTAGGTTCTTTGTAGATGCAATTATAAATTGCTGTATTTTTAGAAATTAACATATCTAATCATTACTTTCGTGTGGAAATACCACCAATTTTTCTTTATATTGATCATTTTGGTTTCAATAATTGTACTGAAATATCCTATTAGTTATAATGGACTGCTTGTATATTCTCTTCCCTTGGATATTTTTTTGCCAACAATTATAGGATCTGTGAATAATGAATATGTTATTTTGTCCTTAAATTACTTAGAATTTTAATTTTACTTAGAGCTTTCTTTTAGTTCTGTCCAGTTCTCCAACAAAATGAAGAGCAGCATTGCATTCTTCAGTCATTTCTATGAACTCAAAAAATGTTTGCTAAAAATCATCTTTGTATTTACTAGTTATTTATGGTCTACCAACAAGTTCCTCAGAGAATTGTGTTTAAAACCCTCAAATCTAATTTTATAGTTTTCCATTTTCCTTTTATTTCTGTCCATTTCTTTTCTTGTCTTTTTCTTTTTGTTCTTTTTCTTTTTCTTTTTTTTTAAGATGTGGTCTCACTCTGTCACCCAGGATGGAGTGCAGTGGCATGATCGCGGCCCACTGTAGCCTCTACCTCCCCAAGCTCAGGTGATCCTTCCATTTCAGCCTCCTAGGTAGCTAGGACTACAGGCATGCCTCATCAAACCTAGCTAATTTTTGTACTTTTTGTAGAGACGGGGTTTCTCCATGTTGCCCAGGCTGGTCTTGAACACCTAGGCTCAAGTGTTCTGCCTGCCTCAGCCTCCCAAAGTGGTAGGATTACAAGCTTGAATCACCCTGCACATGAGGCTTTGTTTTTTAAGATTGTAATGTGTTCCTTATGACTTAAATATTTTAGAATTATACAATTACCTTCTTTAATAATATTTTATTTTATTTTTTCTTTTCTCACAGAATGTTTTGGGTGATATTTTAAAAGTTCCTCTAGGTTTCTTCTGGCTAGTCTTTGCCAGTAGGTATCTTTTCAATCACTGTACTTCCAAACTTTTTCTTGGTTCTTCATGTTTTACATTTCACTCATATAAATAGCATGAAGAACATTTTTCCTTGGGTTGTAGCCTGCAGGTCCCAGTTTTATTTTAGAAAATCCCAATTCTTAGTTCTCATTTAGCTCAGGCCTATGGCATTGTCCCTTCTTTATGTAAGTAGATTAAAATCCAAGGCCTGAGCTGTTATTGGCCCCCTTATCTTCACTGCTTTCTCTTTGCTTTGGGAAAGTGAATATTTCTCTTTCTTTTGTACAAACTCAGCCATGTATTAAATATTTTTGGTCATATTTTATTTCATTTTATTTAACATGCTGTAGTGGGAGAATGTCAGCACTATTTTAGTCCACCATTTTGCTAGAAACAGACCACTCCAGACCCAGTTCTATTTTGAAATTACCCACAGCCTCTTAAATCATACTTTCCATCTATAATTAGACTTATTGCCTAGTGATCAGTCATTTGGGTTAACAAAGAACAATTAAAAGCTTGAGGCTTGGCCAGGCATGGTGGCTCACACCTGTAATCCCAGAACTTTGGGAGGCTGAGGCTGGTGGATCACCTGACATCAGGGGTTCAAGATCAGCCTGGCCAATATGGTGAAACCCCATCTCTACTAAAAATACAAAAATTAGCTTGGTATGGTTGCACATCCCTGTAATCCCACCTACTTGGGAGGCTGAAGCATGAGAATTGCTTGAACCTGGAAGGTGAAGGTTGCAGTGAGCTGAGATTGTGCCACTGCACTCCAGCCTGGGTGACAGTGAGACTATTTTATCTTACGGCAATTTTATATTTTAGGGTCCTTTTCTTGTACATACTCAACTTGATGCTAGTAGGTAAAGCAGTTACACACTATATTTGCTATTTTATGGATGGCAAAATGGAAACTTAAAGAGTAGGATGAAAAGATTGAGAGGAA
This sequence comes from Homo sapiens, assembly GCF_000001405.40. Lineage (NCBI taxonomy): Eukaryota > Metazoa > Chordata > Mammalia > Primates > Hominidae > Homo > Homo sapiens. The sequence continues at coordinate 38,967,118 of NC_000018.10, read as the reverse complement.
AAGCCACAGTCTCTCCATCTCTCAGTCACAGACCTCATCACTACACAGCACTTCTGGCATGCCATGACTCATTGCATTTAAGATTGAGTCAAAAGCTTGTCTATCCTAACATTGGAGGCCATGAGGAAATGGTGAGTAAAAGTGGGAAATAGAAAACATCACAGTCCAGTGGGATGCCCCACCAACTTGGAAGTCTTTTTCATTTTTGCATTTGCAATATACTCAAATAAGGCTTAAGGCTTATTGAACCAAATTAAAATGATTTTATATTCATCTATTTGGGACATTGTCAAAAAGACGTAGTTATGGTAGAGAAGATAGAAATATGTTTAACCTTTTTTTGAAACCCATTAAACCTCAATAGTGTATTCCATTCTTGTCATTAACAAGAATTAGAAAATTTGTACTGTGAAAAATAAAAATAATAATTTATCATTGGTAACATGCTTTCTAACTTATTTTATAATTTTTATTTGAATTGTTTAATGTTGCAATATAAATATCCTTGTCTAACAAGGATTGTTTAGTGACTGATTAAGGCAATCAATCACTAAATCATGTCTCGTACATTATTTGAGTGTTCTCTCTGTTCAGGTTCTTGGTCTGAATACTGAGGAATGTACAAAGAAGAATCGAGCCTGATGCCTACCTTCCAGGCTCTTAAAACCCAACAAGACTGGCGGGTGCCTATAGTCCCAGCTACTCGGGAGGCTGAGGCAGAATGGCGTGAACCCGGGAGGCAGAGCTTGCAGTGAGCCAAGATCGGACCACTGTACTCCAGCCTGGGCAACAGAGTGAGAATCCGTCAAAAACAAACAAACAAAAAAACAAACAAACACAAAGAACAAGATATCTTATTTTATGGATATAAGTTATGTAAGCATATTATTACATAAGTTTCTAGTTAAGAATCTACTTTAGGACAGATAAAAATAAAGTCATAGAAGTTGAATGAAAAGAAATAGTAACGCTATCCATGTGGAAATAAGGTTTCTATGAGAGGTTATAATTCTCTCATAGAAATTCTTATATGGTTCTTCTTCTTAAGTGATGAGAAAATTGGTGATGCCCCAATATTAAATGGGTTATCAAAGATACAGAGACCATTAATGATGACTTGGACAAATCTCAAGTCTTCTGAATTCTCATCCAGTACATCTACTAAGATTCTTATTAATGTATTAATAAAGGATAAAATATATGGTACTTAACAAATTTCTAAGGAAACATGTACATTTAATGTAAAATGATATGGTTTAGCTATTATATTTCCGAGTTTTAAACACAGGCAGAAGAATCACCCTAATATGTCTTTGACTTTAAAACTTCAATAGAATTCCCACATATATGTCATTGAAATCACACCCTAACTGAGTCAGCTTAACAACCGGTAATCCATCTCAATTGTAATGAGAAGATGATGAGGTCCATGCCTTCAATGGCAGAAATGTAACTGAGACTGTTTGTGCGGTGCTGAAGCTGCAGCCACTGGCTCTAGAGATAAGTTTGACAGCATTTCTTCTCAACTCCACATTCAATTATGTCATATAAAATCAGCTATGGTGGGAGTATTTACACCATGGAAATTAGCAAAAGCTACAAATCAGGGATAATTTTTGTTTGTTTGTATTAGATCTGTTTGCTAAAAATTTACTAGCACATAATTTGGCTTTCTATTCCTTCAATAGAAGATGGAATCAAATTAAGTCATTCTTTAAGACCAGCAGAATTATAGCGCAAAGACCTATTTCCTCACCCTCCTTCTGCTGTGGATGGACCAAACCACTGGCATAATCAAAAGCAGCAAACAAACACCATCAGAGGTTTTCCCACACCCAGCCAGGGCGAAAATGTAATTAGTAAAAAATGCTAGGCGAGAGCGTTGTGTGACCAGAACTATTCAATCAGAAAGTGCTGATTGAACATATATAAGCACAATCAAACCCATTATTTAAATAGGGGTTACAGTCCCAATAAAACACAAAGGGAAGTAGGGGCATAGGCCTCCTCGACAGGTAATGAAAGAAAAAATTAAACTCATCCAATTACATCTGGGGAAAAATCCATTACCTATAACAGAGAGAGGACTGCCCCAGGAAAATTCAGATGCAAAACTAATAATGAAGGCACACTGTCCTTTCAACAGATTCTAAATGAGCTCTAATTTTCTTATATCCACCATTCCCAAACTATATACATTTCAACTAAGCAGAAAAAAGTGACATGCTAGCACAATTGTTATTCCAAACAGGCCCAGCTGCTTGCTCACCTTAATTAGACCTAATCCCAAAAGGGAGCCAATCTTTCCTTATTTTCTTCTATGAGCTCACCTGATTTCCCTCAACTTTTCTTTTCTAATAGATTTTTCTGTAACCTTTCAGCAACTGTCGTTTTAGATACTCTCCCAGGAATCACAGTAGCTCTGGTGCCTTGGCCAAACAGAACTTGAGCTCGTGAGGCACAGAAGAGGAGAAAATTGGGGTGCTGATCTGAAGGCAGTGTTTATAGGAAAAGTTCAACTTAGCCACCCTCCTTTAAATCCCTTCCTATCTCGTGTGCATATATGTACATATATTTCTGTTGATATTTGGAAATCTAGAATGATAGAATTAAATACATTTGAGATCATCTTGTCCTGCCCTCTATTGAATGACTTTTGAAATGGCTTTCAGATACAATGGTGAAAAGTAAATCTTAAAGCCTCAATTTTATCAGGGAACTGAAGGGGTCTTACAAGTTGAAAAGTAGTTAACCCCTTAAGACCCTACATCCTGTGAAGGAATTCTGCTGCTGTCAGTGGTATTCAGTTTCGTTGGGCACTAAACTCTGTGAGAACTTAAGATACCTCCTAAAACTACTTTTATCTCTAATGTGACCAGTGCAAGCTGGAAGTGTTCCTTAAATGTTTGTAAAGAGAATTTGGCTTCAAGTCATAGAAACAAAGTCCTATTTGATATTAGAGCTGGAAATGAATTTGGGTATCCTTCCAATGAGAGGAATTTATCCAAGGTCTGTTGGTTATACATCAACTCAGTAAATACTTACAGAACAACAAGGTGGACCAGCGGATGCTTTTGGTTTTATGAGCTCTGTATGAGTACAAAAACCCTTCTCTCTCTCTCTCTCAAAAAAAAAAATGCATTTTGAAAGAAAAGATAGGACTTAACTTATACACACAAAACAAAGTAGAAATTAGAACATGTGGGCTGGGCATCGTGGCTCACGCCTGTAATCCCAGCACTTTGGGAGGCTGAGGCAGGTGGGTCATGAGTTCAGGGGCTCAAGACCAGCCTGACCAATATGGTGAAACCCTGTCTCTACTAAAAATACAAAAATTAGCTGGGCATGGCGGCATGCACCTGTAGTCCCAGATACTCGGGAGGCTGAGGCGGGAGAATCGCTTGAACCTGGGAGGCAGAGGTTGCAGTGAGCCAAGATCACGCCACTGCACTCCAGCCTGGGTGACAGAGCAAGACTCCATCTCAAAAATAAAATAAAATAAAATGAAAGAAATTAGAGAACAAGTTGTCCACTATTCCACACATGATAGAGAAGCACTGACCTAGAGAAATTCAGAGAAGGAGCAGCTGCCCATGGGCTGAAAAGACCACAGGATTTTTCATAGAGTAGGTAAAACTTAATCAAAACTTTGAAAGCTCAGTAATATTTAGAAAACATTTTGGAAAATATATAGCCAAAGCACTGTAAGATAATCCGATAAAAACCTGAAAGCATATATATAAGCTTCGTGTGCTTCCAGAAGAGTGAAAGAAATTAACAAACATTTTTCTGACCATGCAGTCTGCACTGATCTCTTAACTAAAAGCTGATAGTACTTATTGCTCATCTGATGTATATTCCTATATTGCCACTCAAATCTTGAATCTTTATTCAACATTTTATGCATATATATCGTGTCTTCTCAAATAGCAGCAAACTCCTGAGGGCAAGAGCAGCATATAATATTCTTTATGTTCCCACAAATGCATTATGCATTCCCATATCCCCTAATGTATTAGATAAGTAGAAATAGCAATATAATCTGCATTGATTAAAGGATGAACACAAGGAGATGAAGAAAAGAAGGAAAAAGAAGATACGGAGAAGGTGTAGAAAGGAAGAAAGGAGCACAGTTGTCCAAGTGGATGACATGAAATTGGAATGTACAACCCAGACACGGGAAAGGTTGCTTTCTTCTCCATCCCCAAATGCCTTTGCCTGCCCTCATCAGTTTCACAATAATGCTACTATGAGTTTGACTGAACAATACCTATTTTCAAAACACAGCCTGAGAAATTGGACACAAATAAGTGTTCACTAACTGAAAAAGGTAACATTTAAAAATAAATCTGGCAAGAACTGCCACCTCTCTATCCCCACACATTTTTAGTGGAAACCCCTGTATTTGTTCTGTTTGCTGAATTTGAGGAATGTCTTTATTAAGGAAAACAACGAAGCCCAAACTAGATGCCTCCCAGCTAGCTATTTTTACAAAAGCAGTTACATTTGGGCAAATGCCTCCATTTCGGTCCCATTAACAAAGATCCTCAAAAACACTACCACGCACACTTCATTTTCATGTCTTTTTCTTCTTCTTTCTCATAGTGTCTCTTTTCTGAGCGTGCAGTAATAACATGCCGTCAGTGTCACCTCTACAAAGGCATAACTTCAGTTTGGGCAAGTGTAACTATTCCCAGAGTAAGTCGCCAGACAGGCATTCGCTCAAATTAGCTTTAAAAAAGTTGTCACATCTGTGTATGTGGGATGTCTTTGGAGTGCAGAAAGAAAGAAAGCAGAGAAATTTATTCTTTCAAAAATCTGCCACTGCAAACTCCTGCCACCCATTCTCATGTGTGTGTTTTTTTTTTTTTTAAAGGCAGTTTGTGCTTATATGGGGGTGGGAAGAGCAGTTACAGGAAAAGAGAGGGAGAGGCTGACAGATAGAAAGAGAGAGACTGGTATTTCCCTAAGATTCATCAGAAAAAAATACCCTGCCATCTGACAAACAGAATAACAGAGCACTCCTCCCCCCAGCACAAAAGGCTTTGGAAGGCAGCTGTAGTGCTTGCAGAAGGAGACATCCAGTCACCAATCGGGAAGGAAGAGAGGTAGAAGCAACAGTTGAGACACTCATACATATTCATGACATTTGCAACTACAGCTTCCTGATTTTAACCTAGCAAAAGAACATTCAGGACACAGCTCCACCATTTTCAAGATCATTACAAAGGCATAAAAACCTACTGATAATTCACTTCTTGTCTTACATGATCAAGAAATAGAAGGTAGTATGAAAACTGATCAACTGGACAGCTGCTTTGTCAAGGATAATGGATGTTACCTTCCCACTGTCATCCTGGGTACTTATCAACAGATGTGTAAATAGTTGGTCCTGTGCTAGATACAGTGATGAAAAGCATGGTCCCTGTGCTTGAAATGCATTTAGTCTAGTTGAAAAGGCCAAGCACACATGAAACAACAAGTGCATATAACAAAACGATCCATAGCACATACTAGATTATCAAATCCAGAGGGAGGAAATCATCGTCATCTCCACCAAAGGTTTTTATCACATTCCCCATTCTCCCATATCTATGTCAAAAAACAAAAACCAGAAAAAAAAAAAATCCTGCTCTCAGAAGATTTCTTGCAGTCTGATAGTCCTGTCTTGAATATTCAGAATACAGGATTATGCAAAACCCATAAGAATTGCTCTTTCAATAATCATTAAATGAGCACCTTTTATCTTTTACGTGTTCATATATATATGAGCAAATATATATATTTCTCCATACATATATGGAGAAAGAAAGAGAAATCTCCCCCGACTCAATTCTTCTCTCTTTCTTTTCACTCTGGGCTAGAACGGACGTTTCTGGGAGGAGACCTGGGAAGTTAGGGTGGAACTAATTCTTGCTAACCACTCCACCCCACCCCACCCATACCTATAATAAAGCAGCACATTATCTCTTGCAATGGAAGAAGAGAATAACACAATGGGTCTTGAAAGGACCTCCCTTGATGAATAATTGAATTTTATTACTCCACTTCAATATCATTTTTTTATAAATGCTATCCTCTAGCCCCCAGACTTCATCATACCCCTTTATAATTCACTTTTATCACACTGCATTTCCTCTTCATTATCTCAACTCTAATTAAATAATCAATAAAGTAATTATTTGTTAAAAGACCATGTGCCCTACTAGAATATAAACTCATTGAAGGAACAGACTTCATCTCCTTCACTTCCCTATTATTAGCACCACAAAGAGTGTTTGAGAATTCTACTTCCTTGACAAATATTTATTAATCGAATAGAAAGGCTTAGAAGGTTGTTTATATAATTAGTTAACCAATTTTTAGTAAGCCAGTAATTCTTAGCCCTTTCAGCCACACTACCTCTGCTTCGTAAGCCAGTAATTCTAAAATTCCCCTTAGCATGTGTTGCTATTCAATTTTTTGAGCTTTAATTACATTAAACATTAAGAAAAAATACATTCAAACTCTTATTTGAGGTATTCTTAAATACCACAAATTCTAAACAAGGCTTTCATAAGTTTTCAGTATGCACTTTTTCAAACAGGCTGTGATCAAACACCTCAGTGATTCCACTTCTATAGTCACATTTGTTCTATTGAATAGCTTGGATATTATTCTTGAAAGAAAATTTGGCTTTTCTAAATCTCATATTTACAAATATGGGAATGAAGATTCTGAGACCATAATTATTTCCCAGTAACAAAGACAATGTGTCAGGCTGATTAATGAGCAAGTTGAAACCAAAACGTAAGCTTATGAAAGTTTACAAATTTCTTGAATGCTCAGGCCCATGGTATTTCTTGAATCACGTATTTTTTTTTTTAAGGGCGAATAAGGCCAAAAAAATGGAGAGAATCTTTGAGATATCTTCCCTGAGAGCTAATGTGTGTTCTTGTTGTTTTCTCTTCCCAGTTTATCTGATAGTTTATAAAGTTTCTTCTACCCTTAACCACTCCCTGCTTAAAATTTACAATGTTCCAGAGAAGAAGGGCTGCTATGACCATCCTAAATCAGAAAAATGAGGTAACCACCTTCAAGTAACCTCTGCCTAATCACAGAGAAATACTAACTCCTTGGATTATCCTGAGAAGTCAATTCAATCAAAATATTCAATCCATTTGAGAATGAAGAGACAATGAGAAAAGAGAATTTATTTGCATCTTACAATTGTCTATGTTTATTTTTAAATTATTTTCAAATGTTATTCTGTTTTTTGAAAGGTTTTATTTTAAAGTTGATTTTAAAATGTTGAATTTTTAGTCACTTAGATAAATTTTGGATTACTGAGAAGTCTTTGATTTTTGGCTGTCTCATTTATTAACAAAATAAATGACCTATGTAGATGTAATACTGGTCTCTGAAATTCAGCATTATATTCAGAGCTTAATGAAGACAAATCATGAAAGACAACACATTTGATATATTCATACACCCTACAAAACTATTTAACATGATTGTTTTTATGTTTGTTACATGGTCACAAATAATATTTCAACCATAACTCATGAACTAGCAATCTCTGATGAAGTCAACCAATATTTAATGAGTATACATCATATATACTGTGCATATACGCTCTTTGCTTAAACCACAAGGAAACTTACAGACAAATCTGACAACGACCATTTCATGTTTACTATTTTCCCTTTGCACCAACTACCTTATTTTTTACATTATTTTTTAAAATTTAATTTTTTTAATTGACACATAGTAATTATACATATTTACAAGGTACATAGTCATGTTTCAATACATATAATATACGGAGATCAGATCATGATAACTACAATTTTCATCACCTCAATAATTTATCATTTCTTTGTATGGGGAACATTCAGTATTGTTCTCCTAGCTATTTGAAACTATACAGTATATTACTGTTAACTATAGTCATCCTTACAGTGCTAGAGAACACAACATATTCCTCTATCTAGCTGTAATTTTGTATCTTTTAATAAATCTCTTTCTATTTCCTGTTTTCTCCTATCTTTCCCAATTTCTAGTATCTTCTCTTCTACTTTTTATTTCTATGAGATCAACTTTCTTATTATTCTTTGTTCTTTGTTAGTTGCCTCAAATCTTTGGGGGAACCAGGGAAATATCCATTTATAGATACATAAAATGAATGGCTATGCAATTGAGATTTTCTTGAGCCAATCCCAGTTTAAAATATTCCGCCTCACTTTTGTCTCAAAAGGTATCAATTATCTATGACTGTCCATTTAAAAAAATAAAAAATTAAATGAACGATATCAGTAAACATAATAATTAAAATTTGGATTTGTTTCTAAACTCAAAAGCCACAAAAAGACGGGGCGTTATGGGCCAAAGACATGCCAAATTTTCTCATGAAAATGGGGCCTTGACAAAGTGTTTTATGTACATTCCTTGCATTCAGAAACCTATCTACTTGATTTTGGAGTCGGGATCCTTTTATGTGACTTTTGGGATGGTCCACCATGGGCAGGAGAGACCCTAAGTATGGCTGGTCCAGCCAGACAACAACAGATGAAATACTTGTCTGTATACACGTGTATTTGTATTTCTTCTAATATACGCAAGTCATTAGAAGTCTAACTCTTAAAAGTGTATATGCTTGGAGGAATTTTAATGTCATTAGATTCACAAATTGTGAAAAAGAAATCCATACTGAAACCACACGTTCTGCTTTGGGGTTTCTAAAACATGGTCATTTTCTCCATTTATAAAAGCACAAATACAGACATTTTTACACAGTGTGTTCTGGGGAAAAATAAAGTTTTCTAGAAGACAGAAACTATAACAGAAGGAGAGAAAGAGAACTATGTAGATGGGTGAAAATTCAGAGATACACACATAAATGTTTACATTCTTCTCTACACCAAACTACCATAAGGAATAAGGGGTCTTTTTGTTTATTTTTTTCTACTCAAAAGGGAATATGAGAGTTATGATATTTAGTGGGCAAGATATTCACATAATCCAAAACAACTCAGGTGAACCTCTATCTTGCTCTTCAGTTTCATTTATGTTGTGCTTATAAAGTTTTTATACATTTTTTTGTCTTTGTCTTAGTGATAGGAAGTCTTGTTTTGTTATTGTTTGCTTTGTTTGGTTTTTGTTTCTCTTTTCCCAGATGTGACATTACACAGAACTTGGTCTTAAGTTCCACAAAATCTTGCCAATTTTACAGAGATGGAAAGTGGAAAGAGAGAACAATGTAAGCAAAATGTCCAAATATTAATGAAAAAGAAATCTGGTAAACTTCTGTAAGATAAAGGCTAAAAAGCTATTGCATAATTTTTTTAACCAAATATTTTTCTTTTCTTCCTGAAACGTGTGGTTTTTACTAAGCAAACAAACTAAAGATGGGAGCAAAAAATAGTATTCGTGCCTGCCTGTGTTTTGAAGGAGGCCTGCAGTTTTCGATTTGTATAAATTTCCAAACCTCAGTATTAGATGCAGCAGAAGCTAAGGCATCAATATGTCCAATGTACCCAAGATGAAACACATTAGAAATCCATAAAACCAACACAGTGTCAATTTTGTTTAAATTATCGCCCTTCAGCATTTGAAGTATCAGCTTTATTTAGTAGCACAGGATAGGGTAAGCTTTTTTTTTCCCTGTGACTCAATGCAACTTTTATTTTGTGCAATGTTCTCACATATCAAGTAAATTGTGTTAGCCATAGGGGGACATTTCTGAGAATCAAAGAGAAATGCATGTTTCGTAATCATTACTGGAGAATGAGAAGAAGCATTATGATGTTGAAGAGCTCTGCCTTACCTGAGAGTTCATAAAATCGGGACCCTAATTCTAGTTCTCTCGTAAACTAGGCACTGGGTTGACCTTGACCAAATCTCTTCACTCCTTGGAGACATCAGGGTTGTTACTAAAAAAATAAAGTTGGGGGTACATGACTTACTGCCTGGGAGTTCCATTATGTAAATGCCTTTTAACTAGGAGGGAAAAAAGAAAGAAAACACCTTTGAGAAAGTTATTATTTTTTCTTTTTTTCCATCTCCTCATCCAAAAATGATTTCTAACAAACCTAACATTTTAGATTATAGTTTGCATTATTTATGGTATTTTGCTGTGATTTTTCCCCACAATGTAAAATATACATGTTTTGGGAACTGCCGTTTAACCTTATTTCATCATTTATACTTTGATGCATTAACAATTACAGCACATCTGATGCAACTAATTAAATAAAAGTAAACTCATATGAAGTTTCATTATTATAATTGATTTGTAACAGAGTAATACAGCCATATCTATTATTTTGTTGACAAATTAAGTTAAAATATTTCTTATTTTTATTGCATACTTTATAGATAATTTCTCAGTTCTAGGAAAAAGAATCTGTTATTTTGGCTTTCTGCATAGAGAAAGATTTTAAATTAATGCATTTAGGACCTTCTTTGTTTCTGTTGTGGTTAAATGTTTAATTGAAAAAGAATAATTTATAATGCCTAATTGCCTTTTTTGAGATGAATTGTACCAAATTAATACTAGAAATGGACTGGAAAGTCACTACAGGGTCCTTCCAGACTAGGTCGCTTGATTCAAACAGTGCCTAGCAGAACATTTGGGTGGGGAGAGGGTATGCTAATAGGCTAGGCAAGGGAGTTAGGAGGAGAATAACAGCCTTTCTGCCAGTCACTAGAATGAGCATCGCCTGGAGCACAGCAGCTAATGAAGCCAGGTAAGCTTCTCCATCTAATGTGTATACATAGCAGAGATAAAAGGCAGGTGGGGCAATTACCTTTGCTGAAGTTCATAGCCACAGACTCAGCCCAACTTTCTACCAGCCGTCATGAACATTAAAGTGTCAAGTCATCAGGAATCTCAGGAAAACATGTCGGGCACCAAGGTAGATCCATGGAGGCAGTGAGAATAAAGACATTGACTATGAAATCTGAAATTCAGGCTCTGATCTCTGTATTGCCTCCCTGTAATTTTGATTTAGAGTTAAATCAAAACTTAAATTTAGAACATAGCTTGCTTATTTTCAAATCAGGAAATGATAGATGCTCAATAAATATTTGATGAATGGATTAATGAATTCCAAATTGTTGATTCTTATTTCATGTGTCCAAACAAACAAACAAAAAACACAATCTCTTTTTTGTTTTCATTCACTGTGCTATTACAAGCATCTTTAGGACTCAGTTGTCCATGAAAACTGGGCCAGAGGATAAATCTCAATAAGGGAGACCCTGATGTTTTTCAAAATTACAGTTCCCAAACTCTGGCCCATTATGTGTGATTCGAACTGCATCTGAGTTCTGGAAATAACTAGACTTCAATAAATCTTAATATGAATGTTTTATACAAGAGGCCCCTTCTACAAATGGGCATTGCTTGTTCCAACTATCTTAAAGGATGAAGAATAATCCTTTTCACTTTTAAATTCCATTTGTCCAGGCTAGCATTAAAAAAAAAAAGTTTACATATATATGTAATGGAATTTTGCATTTGAATAGGTTTTAGTATTAACAAATATATGAAAGCAATATTTGTTACCCTTAAAAAGTTAATAATTTTAACACACAACATTTATTTAAAAAACAAAGTGTATGAAAGACTATGTACTCTATGTTTAGTGGAAAATTATTTTTAAAACTATCTAACATGAATGAGACATGATCTCTCCCTTTGGATACAGTAAAGTCCAGGCACGGTGGCTCACGCCTGTAATCCCAGCACTTTGGGAGGCCGAAGTGGGCAGATCACGAGGTCAGGAGATAGAAACCATCCTGGCCAACATGGTAAAACCCCATCTCTACTAAAAATGAAAATATTAGCCGGGTGTTGTGGTGCATGCCTGTAGTCCCAGGTACTCAGGAGGCTGAGGCAGAAGAATCACTTGAACCTGGGAGGCAGAGCTTGAAGTGAGCCGAGATCGAGCCACTGTACTCCAGCCTGGCTACAGAGCGTGACTCTGTCTCAAAATAAATAAATAAATTAATTAATAAATAGACTTACAGTAAAATGTGGAATGCAAGGCTTAGCTCATATGCAAAGGTTAATGAAATAGTAAGAAATAACAATGTTGGGTACAGATTATATCATAAGATAGTATATTAGTAATTAATAAATTTGTAGTTCTGACAACAAGTACTACATGGGTCATACAAAGATGAGATCACTGTGGGCTAAATTAATCAGGACAGATTCCAAGGAGGAGATAATTTAACCAGTCCTTGAAGGAGATGTAGAATTTTAATGAGTAGATCTGTTACAGAAAGTCATCTATGGCTGAGGGAACAATATAAGCACAAAGGTGTGAAATGTAGACACACTCAAGGGACAGTAAAGATATGAGTTGAGTATTCATTTATTCTGAATGCAAACAGGAGAACTTTGGGGAAAGAAAATAAAAATTATTACTAGACCCCTTTGATTTTCCACTCTTTAGCATTTAAGCTCTATGCTATTTGTGCAAACCCTTTAGATTGCTTGCTCAGCATCCTTGACCCCTTCTTCTATACCAACCAAATCCCTAGTACTGTTCTACCATCCACCTAACCAATGAGATTCAGGGAAAGCTGAGCACAGTCCCAGCCCTCTCGTCAGTGATGGGTTCAGGCATCCAGGCTCCTGCCAACCAGTGCATAGTGTGCACAGGCATGACATTTTCCTCACAACTATCCGTGATCCTGAGAGAAGACAGTTGAGCAAAGTTAAATCAAACTGAGTGAGAGTTTCTATCCCAGAATTAAAGGACAGCATTTTTTTTCTTTTCAATTTGATGAAAAGAACATTTCCCTAGTCCTGGTTTTGTATTTTTTTTTTCACATATATATGCATATAATGAAAGTAAGTTTCAGCCAAAAACATACACAAAGATGCAAGGGCACTGATGGTATCAAAGAAAAGGAAACATAGTCCCTACTGAATCTTCAGTCTTTCAGTTACATGAGCAGCTTACATACCACATTATTTTTAAGCTGCTTTAAGTTGGGTTTTTTGTTATTTGCAGCATAATGCATTCCAGTTATGAAGATTCAAATATTTTCAGGAATTTAACAGGAACTAAAACTACCAGCACTAATTAAAACAGGTTGCAACCAAAAGCTTCTTATCACTATAGTTTAATAAGAATAGTAGGGGAGTGGGCAATACTTTTCCAAAGGAATTTTGCTAAGAACTTGTGAAAAATAACAAATTTAAACAGCCACGAAATAAGAACTGATAGATTCTCACACTTCATTGCATCATATCTTTACTCTATGATAACTAAACTCTGACCACAGACTTCCTGCTTGACACAATCAACACAGGATTTATTCCTTTTCCTACCTTTTGTGTGAAAACCTACTCTGTACTTTATGTCCTTCTCTATTGAATTGGATCTATAGTTGGCCTGATTGTCAATATGGGGATCAGAATACCTAGCCTGCTGGGGCAAGTAAGACACATCCCTTAACTTGTCACAAGTTGGAGAAGTCTATTCCACAGATCAGTCAGTTTTTTTTTTTTTTTTTTTTTTAAGATGGAGTCTCGCTCTGTCACCCAGGCTGGAGTTCAGTGGCACGATCTCGGCTCACGGCAACCTCCGCCTCCTGGGTTCACGCCATTCTCCTGCCTCAGCCTCCCAAGTAGCTGGGACTACAGGTGCCCGCCACCACGCCCGGCTAATTTTTTGTATTTTTAGTGGAGACAGGGTTTCACCGTGTTAGCCAGGATGATCTGGATCTCCTGACATCGTGATCCACCAGCCTCAGCCTCCCAAAGTGCTGGGATTACAGGCATGAGCCACTGCGCCTGATCAGTCAGTTTTATAAAATATATTATAGATAAACATAAACACATCTTTGAGTTAAACTAAGCATTCAACCGGTGACAAGTGAAACCTGCTCATTCAAATGATGGAGTATATTCATTAGCTGTATAAAATCTCAGTGGCTTTCAAGATCAAAGGTCTATTTCTTGCTCAAGTTACATACTAGGAGCAGACCTCTTGTTGAAGATTGTTAGAGGTCCTATGTGACTCTGAGGGCTGCTTCTTTCCAGGATTAAGATGGAAAGTGAAACCTCACAATGTCTTCCAAAACTTCTGCTCAGGTATGGTACATATTATGTCCACATATTATTTACCAAAGCTAGATATACACGGACAAGGCTAGCATTAAAATTGCAGCATGGCAAGCAGAAATGCATACTCCCATTGCTTGAAGGCAGCAGGAAGAGTTGGAAACAATTGCACCGTAAGCTACAACTAGTCAGTTATCCTTTTTATTACCATTGAGAGCCCCTGATGTTTCAATCAACATGTTAGGGTTGGGAGTAAAGCTATGGGAAAGACTTGACTTCTTTCCTCAAGGGACTCAAAATCTAGCATTAAGATTTGCCAAATATCTACCAAAAAAAAAAAAAGGATTGATTTAATAAGTGATTTAAGTTTAGTTGCCAATGTTGTAGGTGTGCAGTAGTTGATTATTTACTCAAAAGTATATTAGTAACATTAAAAATTAAAGTTAGACACTTCAATTGCTATTATTAAAAAATAAAAGGGAAGAGTCAATAAAACAATTAAAAAATCCCCCTGGGTTTTTTCCTAGTCAAGTTTCCCTTGTTTTCAATTACTGGTAACTACTAGCTCAACAAGTGATTGACAAGTACAGTAACCTTCGGCAAGGTAGAACTAAAAAACTACAGTGTACATTTTTAATATGGCAATTAACCTCAAGTATCCTTGGAAATGCACAATTTACTGCAAAATTAATAATAAACTAAAATATGTGCAGACTGTAAACATTTCCACCCATTAGTTGTGTTCAGCTAAACTTAATCAGCAGTATCAGTGAAATGCAGAATTTCCATATAACCTACACACATTCTCCCATATCATCTCTGGACTATTTATAATAGCTCTTTATATCATCTCTAGATGACTTATAATACCTAATATAATGCAAATGCTATGTAAATAATTGTTTTACCACATTTTAAAAATTGTTTCTTTAATGTTGTGTTATTTTTCTTGTTTTGTTTTGGTTTATTTTGAATATTTTTTATTCATTATTGATTGAATCCAAGGATGAGGAATCTGTGGATATGGAGAGTTGACTGTATAGCCACTATATGAGACTATGAGATGTTTCAACAGTACTAGTTGATGCCTTAATCCATCCTAACAAGGTTTGGGTATTCGAATTAATGAACTGAAGTCACACTTTATTATTTACTTAGTCACCCGGTCAGTTTACTGGGTGACTAAGTCCCACTAAGTTTGTGACTTAGTCACCCAGTAAACTAAAAAACAGATCAGCTCTTGGACTGTTTCCTTAATCCATTGTGCTAACTTTTGGTATGTAGATAGAAAAAGACTTTGTCCCCAGACAGCTTGGCTGTCCTTGCCCTTCCTGCCAAGCCTGCCTACTGCAAACTTACCATCTGAATCTCCAGCTTAGCCCAATCCCCAAACTAATTAGAACTCAGCCTGACTATACTTTCTAAGCTTTTCTTCCCTGTTAGTGAGGGGGCTGGAAGGCAGTCTGCTATTTCTACTTCTGGGTTCTGGAGATAGTGGGGTAAACTCCCTCCCGTGGATGCCCAGGTGATCATTTGTCTGCACATTCTGCCTTTTTAGGAGGTTTTACCCCTGACTCTAATCTCCATGCTAGTAATCTGCTGCTGTCAGAGCCTGGCCCTGCAGCCAAGACAGCATCTTCTGGACCGTGAAATAATCTGTGTTATTTATCTTCATTCCTCATCTTTGGGGCTTGACCTTAACTTGACTTTGGTATACTTCTCTGACACAGGGATTAGAAGTCTTTTTGATATTAACAACTGCCTGGAAATTCTGGGCCTGTGCTTTAAACTATTGTCAAATTCTGCTGTCCTTGGCTTTCGATACTAGACCAGAAAGATACCATTTTCTTCCTTCTTCCACCAAAACTTGAATGCTACTTTATTATTTAGGTTGGATGAATCCTCTGTTCATAGTAGTGCTCCTCCTTCCTTCTCTATTTTATCCCAATGACCATGTATTACTCCTTCTTTAAAACCAGACTTCCAAGAATGCCTCGGTCCAGGACTGTACGGACACTAACATTCTACTTTTATGCCAACAATTTAATATGTTAAATGTTAGAGAAGAAAGAAATCAGGAATACTAATTTCTTTTTGAAATATACTGAGAAATGAGATTTCTCAGGTATAGAGGAGTCACAAATTTAGTTTTATAGATATTACCAAACACTCTTCTAAAATATTTGATCACTTGACACACACAACAGTGTGTCATTAGTGTTATAAACATTTCCACTTGATTGACATTCTTGGCAACCCTTGATGTTGTCTGTCTTTTTAATTTTAGCCCTTTGATCAGTGTATTCTTCAGTTAGAGTCACCTGGTATCTTATTTTGGATAGTTATTAGACTTTTGAATATTTTCATTGTGAAATGCCTGTTAATACATTTTGTCAATTTTTGAGTTATTAGTCTTTATTAAAATGGATTTGAAGATTTCCATATAAATTCTGAATATTTGTTTTTTATTGGATGTATTGGATGTATATATTATGATGATCTCCTCCTAGTCTGTGACTTGCAGAAGTTAGCCTTTTGCAATATGACTAAAGCTACATATTTTTTTTTAAAAAAAGAGAAAACACATCTTTTTGAATAATATAGCACAAGCATTATACTAATGTTAACTATGTCATGCTTAATTTTATGTGTCAACATGAGATATTTGTTATATGTATTTGGCTAAGGAGCCAATGGTTAAAAGCTATCCTCTGTGAGATTATGACCGATTGCCTCTAAATCAGAATATTACCCAGGTAAAACAATAATTGTATCATGTTAGGTTGAATTATGACCTTGTTAGTGTCTTTGTTTGGAGATTAAATATGGTATAAAGAGGAGGGTATTAATGCCAGGTTGACAAGGGGTGGACTTGTGATGTTTCATTTTATGTGTCAACTTAATTGGGCTGAGATTTCAGGTAGTTGTTAAAATATTATTTCTGGGTGTCTCTGAGGGCGTCTCTGGAAGAGATTCACATTTGGATCAGGTGACTGAATAAAGAACAACCTCATCAATGCTGGTGGGCCTTACCTAATCCATTGAGGGCCTGAATAGAACAAAAAGGTAGAGGAAGGGTAATTTTTCTCTGTCTGCTTGAGCTGGCGCATTCATCTTCTGCCCTCAGACAACAGCATTCCCAGTTCTTGGGCTTTCAGAACTTAAATCATTGGTCCCTAGATTCTCAGGTCCTCGGATTTGGGCTGAATTACACCACTGGAATTCCTGATTCCCCAGTTTGTGGAAGACAGATCATGGAACTTCTCAACCTCTATGACTATGTAAGCCTATTCCTATACTTAATTTCTTCTTATTAATTTTCCTATATATTTTATTGGTTCTGGTTCTCTGGAGAACCCTCACCAATACAAGTTAATTTTGGCAAATGAAAACATTTTATGTTATATTTGTTATGATTATGAGGCTAAATGGGGAAAGTTTTAATTCTTATCATTCCCCTGCCTCATTCACCTTCATGCTTTACAGGGAGGAATTCTTCAGTAAATAAATCCCTGACAATCAGAGTTGAAGTTCATGAAAGAAAACAGAAAGGCCAGCACAGGGATTCAATAAACCCTGGTTCCCTTGAGCAAGTATTAAATTTGGAAGAACTCCACAGTGAGGAGAAATACCCTCAGGGACTCTAGGTGCATGATCAGTGGGCCTTTGGAAGGTTTGGAAGGAGACTAAGGTCACTGTTAAGTTAAATAGAGAAAGAGGTGGGCTCATTTAAACAAAGCAAGAGATGTCTCTGCTGATTTCTCATCTAAAGGAGTTGTGGAGAGTCATATAGTCATATTAACTAGAGTAAGATACAGAATTTTTCTTGCTGGTGGCTTCCTCCCTCCCTCCCTCCCTCCCTCCCTCCCTCCCTTCCTTCCTTCCTTCCTTCCTTCCTCCCTCCCTTCCTTCCTTCCCTTCTTTCCTTTCATTAAATAAGTTGTATATTTTTCTGCCACCTACTTCTCCAATACTTTAGGAGATTAAGGAAATAGTAATGCGCTACATATGAAATAACATCTGAACTACTTACTTATATGTTTAAAAAGATATTTCATTCTGGAGAGTATTAAGGACATGCCCACTATGTAATGTGGCGAAAACATTAAAACGTGATTATTTCCTTCCCAGGAGCTGCAATTTTGTGACCATATGTGCATGTCTATCATGCCTATGATATTTTCTGATACAGAGTTCCAATGCACATCACGGTGTCTAATACGATGTTTTCAATATGCCCTCCTCTTTTTCTTCTCTAAAATAGAACACAAAAAAGAGGAGGGCAGATTCAAGGCAGGCACAACAAACACTCTTTGGGTTTGTGATTTTAGGAAAGCAATCACCAGCCAAAGAAAGGGACTATGACCGGATTAAGAGGCTTTGTCAGAGCACATTAAGGAACACTGCAGTTGCTAAACTCTCACAAAGAAAACAAATAGGGCAGGCATGCTATAGACTTCAGCATCAGACTGTTAAGTGTCTTTCAAGTTATAAAGATTCCAGCCTGATCATAAAAGTGTTCCTTCAATCAGGTGAGCCATCTATGTTGGTGAAGCAGGGCCCAGCACTTTTACATGCAAACACACTCACATAGGCCATTCAAGTGGATAAGAGGGGGAAGGAAAGCAAACAACAAAACTTGTTTATCGGATTCAAGTTGAACCATCTGTTGTTAATGATTAGATCTTCAGCTTCCAATCTTCCTTTGAATGTTATTGCTCATTTCTAGCAGGGCACTGCGCTGCTGCTTTCCCCTGTGTGTGGATTCTAAATAAAATACAACTTAGATTGAAAGCCTGTTGGAGGAAGAAATCATGCTTAATGATGTCTGGCAGGTTTTCCTTTTGCCGTGAAGGAACATTCAAGGACCTAGGTCAAGAAAGAAGTCAATTCTTGGCTCAACATGGCTTGATAGGTGTACTCTTTGGGGCTGAATTTGCCCAACTGAAAATGAATATTGTCATTTCTGACTCCCCATAAGCTGACGCTAGGTAAAAATTAACTACTTTTTTCCATCCACTTTTGTTGAAAAAGTCAACTTTGATGCAAAGTTTATAAAACTCATTTCAAGTTTCTTCTGTGGCAATAAACAGGTTTTTGGAATAAATGTTTCTTTCCTGGAGGGTTTTATGTCTCTGTAATTGTGGTTTGCAGGAGTATCTTAAATCACTGTTTTTCGTAGCTCCTATTCACCATTTGGAATTGGTTGTATCGATTGCAGGTAATTATATTTTTCATGCTACATCAACTACATATGGGAGACATGTGAGATTAAACAATCCCAAATCTTGAAAATAATATCTGACAGAATATGTTTTGTGTGTTTATGTGTGTGTATGATATTGTGAGCAAATTTAACTTAAATGCCCCCAAATAATAATGTAATTCTCTCTCTCTTTCTGGCTCTCTATATGTATTAAATAAACTGACACACACTTTCTGCTCTGAAGAATATATGCACATTCATGCACACACGCATATAATAAGGGGGGGCAAATAGTATGGCAAATTTAGAGCATTCTTTTCATGTTCAATATACATAATACAATAGATATTATATAAATATATACACACATACACTCATTATATATAAACACACACTTATTTACACAGGCATACCTTCAGATATTCAAGGTTCTGTTCCAGACCACCACAATAAAATGAATCAAACAAATTTTATGGTTTCCCAATGCATAGAAAATGTATGGTTTTTCCATATTAGAGTTTACTCAGTGTGCAATAGCATGATTTCTAAAAAGAAGTCCATACCTTAATTTAAAAATATTTTGTAGCTAAAAGTGCTAATGAACATCTCAACCTTCAGTTAGCTGTAATATTTTTGCTAGTGAAAGGTTTTATCTTGATGTTGAGGGCTGCTGACTGATCAGGATAGTGGTTGCCCAAGGTTAGGGTGGCTGTGACAATTTCATAAAATGAGACACAATGAAGTTTGCCACATTGATAGACTCTTTCAGGAAAAATTTATCTGTAGCATGACGTGCAGTTTGACAGCATTTTACCCACAGTAGAACTTCTTTCAAAATTGAAGTCAATCCTCTCAAAACTTGCCACTGTTTTATCAACTCAGTTTATGTAATATTACAAATCCCTGGCTCTTATTTTTTTCTAAGCAGTAGATCTCAACAGCGGGCTTAAAATATTTAGTAAACCATACTGCAAAAAGACATGTTGTCATCCAGGCTTTGTTGCTCCATTTATAGAGCACAGGAAGAAGAGATTTAGCATTATATTTTCATACAGTAAATAAATATTAACTTTATTATAAGCTGCATTGACCCCCTAATAAGAGAGTTAACCTGCCCTTTAAAGTTTTGACGCTAGGCATTGATGTTTCCTCTGTAGCTATGAAAGTATTAAATAGCATCTTTTTCCAATAGAAGGAAGTTTCATATATATGGAAAATCTGTTGTTTAATGTAACCACCTTAATCAATGATATTGGCGAGATCTTCTGAATAACTTTCTGTACTTGCTGCTTCACCGTGTACTTTTTATGATGATGGCATCTTTCCTTAAATCTCATGAACCAATCTCTACTAGCTTCTAACTTTTCTTCTGCAGCTTCCTCACCTCTCTTAGCCTTCATAGAATTGAAGAGAGTTAGGGGTTTGTTCTGATTTGGGCTTTGGTTTAAAGAAAGATTGTGGCTGGTTTGATCTTCTATCCAGACTAGAGAAACTTTCTCCATATCAGCAATAAGATTTGGTTGTTTTCTTACCATTCATATGTTTGCTGGAGTAACATTTTTAATTTTTTTCAAGAACTTCTTCTTTGCAGGTACGACCTGCCTGTTTGTCCTAGCTTTTCTCCTATCTTGGCTTTCAATGAGCCTTCCTCGCTAAGCTTCATCATTTCTAGCTTTTGACTGAAAGTTAGAGACATGTCACAGTTTCTTTCAGTTGAACATTTAGAGGTCATTGCAGATGCCTGGGGCCACCCGATTGCCTGACACATAACAATATTAAAATTAGGCCCATTGTTAGGGTCTAATTATGTCTAATTTCAATACTGTTGTGTGTCAGACAATAGGGTGGCCCTAGGAGAGGGAGTGAAATACAAAATGGCCATTTGGTGGAGCAGTCAGAACACACACAATATTTATTGATTAAGTTTGCTATCTTATGTGTGTGTGGTTTGTGACATCCCAAAATAATTATAACAGTATCATCCAAGGTCACTCATCACAGATCATCATAACAGATATGATAATAATGAAAAAGCTTGAAATGTTATAAGAATTGAACATGTGACACAGAGACATAAAATGATCACATGTTGTCGGAAAAGTAGCATCAATAGCCTTGCTCAAGCCACGGTTGCCACAACATTCAATTTATAAAAAACTCAATCTCTCTGCCAAGTACAATAAAATGAGTGCCGTAAAACAAGGTATTCTTGTACACGTTAGGTATTATTCATTATATGTATACACTTATATGTAATTATATATATTATACATACATATGTGTTTGCGTGTATATATATATATATATAATCAGTTGTGTATATGCACACTCACATACCCCTACATCCATTCAATATGAAATGATGCTCTGAATTTGCCATACTATCTATTTGCATCCTGCCTATATACTCATTTTTAGTATGTATGTATATTCATATGTATGTGCATATAAATAAACATATATGTATATATAAACAGTCACACTGAGTGAAATTTAGAACACCCAAGAGAACTGATGGTTTTGAAAATATTCACAAATTTTCCAAATAACTAGCCAACAGTAAAATTACCCTGACCCATTTTGGAACTATTTCTCTTAATCAATTCAGCCAAACAAGTCACAAAGAGCACATAAATATTGAATAAAGAACTTAGAGGTGAAATATCAACTGTAACTTTTGATGTTAAATTTTCAGATTCCATAATTTTAATTCTCTTATAATTCAAATATTTGTACTTTTGTGTCAGGCATATCTATGAAGTTTGTAAGGATAAAAGTAGTGAAATACTGAGACTGACTTAAAAGTTTGCTGACTCATTGGGCAGACAATAAAAGTGAATGTAAAACAAAACATGAAATGCTAGCAGAAAACAATTATGAAAATGTTATTGAGAGGTGACAACGTGCTGGTGGCCCTCGCTTGCTCTCAGCGCCTCCTTGGCCTTGGCGTCTGCTCTGGCTACACTTGAAGAGCCCTTCAGCCCACCGCTGCACTGCGGGAGCCCCTCTCTGGGCTGGCCAAGGCTGGAGCTGGCTCCTTCTGCTTGCGTGGAGGTGTGGAGGGAGAGGTGCGGGCTGGAACCAGGGCTGTGCGTGGCGCTCATGGCCCGGGACGAGTTCCGGGTGCGTGTGGGCTCGGCGGGCCCCGCACTCGGAGCAGCAGGCCTGTGTCGCCGGCACTGGGCAGTGAGGGGCTTAGCACCCCAGCCAGCAGCTGTGGAGGGGGCACTGGGT
Source organism: Homo sapiens (assembly GCF_000001405.40). Classification (NCBI taxonomy): domain Eukaryota; kingdom Metazoa; phylum Chordata; class Mammalia; order Primates; family Hominidae; genus Homo; species Homo sapiens. The sequence continues at coordinate 38,944,613 of NC_000018.10, read as the reverse complement.
CCCCCAGCACTGCCGGCCTGCCTGAACTGCACTCAAATTCTCGCCAGGCCTCAGCTGCCTCCCTGCAGGGCAGGGCTCGGGACCTGCAGCCCGCCATGCCCAAGCCCCCCCACGGTAGGCTCCTGTGCAGCCTGAGCCTCCCCGACAGGCACCGCCCCCTGCTCCACGGCGCCCAGTCCCATCAACCACCCAAGGGCTGAGGAGTGCAGGCGCATGGCATGGGACTGATGGGCAGCTCTGCCTGCAGACCTGGCACGGGATCCACTAGGTGAAGCCAGCTGGACTCCTGAGTCTAGTGGGGACTTGGAGAACTTTTATGTCTAGCTAAAGGATTGTAAATGCACCAAGCAGCACTCTGTGTCTAGCTCAAGGTTTGTAAATGCACCAATCAGCACTCTGTCTAGCTCAAGGTTTATAAACACACCAATCAGCAACACTTGTGTCTAGCTCAAGGTTTGTAAATGCACCAATCAGTGCTCTGTGTCTAGCTAATTTAGCGGGGACTTGTAGAACTTTTACGTCTAGCTAGAGGATTGTAAATACACCAATCAGCACTCTGTGTCTAGCTCAGGGATTGTAAATGCACCAATCAGCACCCTGTCAAAATGGACCAATCAGCTCTCTGTAAAACAGACCAATCAGCTTTCTGTAAAATGGCTGCCTGAGCCAACTGTGGCAACCCACCCTGGTCTCCTTCCACAGTGTGGAAGCTTTGTTCTTTCACTGTTTCCAATAAATCTTCCTGCTGCTCACTGTTTGTGTCCACACTGCCTTTATGGAGCTGTAACACTCACTGCGAAGGTCTGCAGGTTCACTCCTGAGGCCAGCAAGACCACGAACCCACCGGGAGAAACGAGCAACTCCAGATAGGAGGAATGAACAACTCCAGATGTGCCACCTTAAGAGCTGTAACACTCATCACGAAGGTCTGCAGCTTCACTCCTGAAGCCAGCGAGACCTTGAACCCACCAGAAGGAAGAAACTGCGATCACATCCAAACATCAGAAGGAACAAACTCCGGACACACTTTCTTTGAGAACTGTAACATTCATTGCGAGGGTCTGCGGCTTCATTCTTGAAGTCAGTGAGACCAAGAACCCACCAATTCCGGACACACTATGATGTGGCTGCAATTTCCAGCCTATTAGCAAAGTTGTGTAATAACTAGTCAGCTACTTGGAATAGCGATCAGAGTGTATGTGGGAAATCAGAGAAGACTGCATAAAGGCAGTGAGAAGGGAGCTAGCCCTTAAAGATCAGATGGAATGGGTCAGGGCAGAAAACGTGACTGTACTGTCTCTAAGTTATTGAAACCACTCTGGTGCAATTTTGAGAGACAGACCGTGTCACACACCCATGAGTGGGATGCTGACTCAGGTTGGTGCCCATACAATTCTCCAGTAAACTTCTGCTTCCACTGTCTTCGAATGCCATTTGACAATTTCTTCAATCCCTTAAATCTTTTACCTCCTGTCTCCTTTTCTTAGTATAAATGAATGACATTGTTTCTGATTGTTTCATGTTTTTTTGTTCCTGTAGTTAAATTCAGACTTTATATAAAAATACTTTTCTTAGAGTGAAGCACAAGAAATAAGACATTATTTGTTTAGTTGGACATAAGCTACATAATATATTGTTATGTAGTAACAATTCTAATAAGATTATGGAAAGGGCCTACAGAATTGTAAAGAAAATTCATGAAAATCATCAGAAGGGAACACTTAGTAGAGCTTTTGTCAGGTGTTTATTCCTAGACCAATCATACACATCTATGGAAAAAGAAAAAACTTTAGATAAAATAAATGTAGCAGAGTTTATGTTAAAAAAGAACAATTCGCCAGGTGTGGTGGTTCACACCTGTAATTCCAGCACTTTGGGAGGCCAAAGCGGGTGGATCACCTGAGGTCAGGAGTTTGAAACCAGTCTCACCAACATGGAGAAACCCTATCTCTACTAAAAATACAATATTAGCCAAGCGTGGTGGTGCATGCCTGTAATCCCAGCTACTCATGAGGCTGAGGCAGGAGAATCGCTTGAACCTGGGAGGCGTAAGTTGCAGTGAGCTGAGAGCACGCCATTGCGCTCCAGTCAGGGCAACAAGAGCGAAACTCTGTCTCAAAACAAAGAAACAAACAATTCATGAATCAGGCAACACTCAAAATTGCAAAAGGTTCAGAGAGCTTTGTTCCAGCAAGTTTTCACAGGCTGAACGCAGAAGTAAAGTAATTCCTGGCTGGCTGTAGCTAGGCATTTGTCTTATTTGGGTCTGGTCTGGTCTGATCAAAAGCTCCTAATTTTATAACCAATTGGCTGTTTGAATGTTTGTTATTGGTGGAAGCTCTTTTGTTTTGTTTTGAAGTTCTTTTGTTTTATTTCTGTAAGTCAATTACAGGAAATGACTCCAAGTTAAGTTTCAGTTTGCTTAACTAAGAGCTTCTGGTACAAACTATCTCTGTCTAATGGCCCCTTATTTGCTTTAAAAGAATGATGTTACATGTTACAAAAGGATCCACCAGGAGCCTTTCTGTTATAATCACGTGCATTGGGGTTGATTGAAGAAGTCCAAGAAAAGAATGCCTAAGAAGACAAATCTTTTGTGAACTTCACTTACACAAGGTTAACAAAATGCAGACCCTTTTCCACTATATTAGCAGTTTGCCTCCCTCACCCCTGCTGAGTCCTAGCAAAATGACACAATGATTGAGATTATTGCCAAGCCAAAGCGTGAGCTGTGAAGGAAAATCTCCAGCCTCTGCCTAGAAATGAAGCACAGTTCGAATGTCCTTCTCTAACTCTAAACTGCAGCTAATTGCACTGTAGAGCAGTGGCTTTCAGCGCACAGTCCCAGGACAGGCAGCATCACTGTCAGTTGCGTCACCTGAATACATCACCTGAAATTCTCAGACCCTAACCCCAAACTACTGAATCAGAATCTCTAGGGTTGGGCCCAACAACTTGAGCTTTAACAATCTCCCCTAGAAGATTCTGAGATGAGAAGTCTTCCTATTGAAGGTTTTTCTCAATTGAAGGATTCATGGTCTCACGGGCTTCAAGGAATGAAGCCCTGGACCACAGCGGCTAATGTTATAGCTCGATTAGAGAAACGCGCAGACCCAAAGAGTGTGCTGCGGCAAGATTTATTAAAGCGAAAGTGAAAGTAAAGCAAAAGCGAAAGTAAAGCAAAAGCGGAAGTAAAGCAAAAGCGAAAGTAAAGCAAAAGAGAAAGTAAAGCTTCCATGGGGATCCGGAATGGCTGCCGTTTCTGGCTTGGGTGTCTTAGGCTTATGTCCCCTTATGACTCCTCCCCTTTTCCTTTTCCTGTCCTGTAGGATTAGCTTATTTTCTATCCGCTTGTGGGTTGGTGGGCCTGCTTGGTTAAAAACATCAGGCTGCAGCTAGAGCTTAAACTCCCTATATGATTGGTTGAAGTTTCAATGCCTTAGTTTGCAGCTGTGACTCATTTTGGCTTAGAAGAAAGTCCCCTTTGATTGCTTGAAATTTCAATCCCTTAGCTTGCAGCTATGACTCATTTTGGTTTAGGGGAAAGTCCCCTTTCATTGGTTGAAGTTTTAATCCCTTCGCTTGCAGCTATGACTCATTTTGGCTTAGGGGAAAGTCCCTGTTGATTGGGTGAAGTTTCAATCCCGTACCTTGCAGCTATGACTCATTTTGGCTTAGGGGAAAGTCCCCCTGGGGAAGTCCCTGTTGACCCAGGAAGTCCAGCCAACTTAGCCACTTAGTCCCTCAATTCTGATATATGTCAAAGGTTGATCCTACTTTTCTAGACTCTAGAATCTAGAATATTGTTATTTTTTCAACAAGGTCCTGAAATACAAGTCAACTAAAGAAATTTGAATATTAGCAAGAAAAGAGCAGGATTAAATGGATGTTCTAAACTTGTTGAATGAGTGTGCTTCTTATCACACAGGGCATCTGCAAAAGTTTGTTCTCTTTGCTGATTTAAGAAAATCATTCAAATAATTCTGAATTTCATCACTTCTGTTTGCACACATTTGGCTTTACTGCACACCAGTAGCTCAGATTTTCCAGGATGGGAAGATGAAAGATTGGAGACTTAGCCTCAAGAAACTCTTAGTTTGATGTTGAGAGGCAGATGCTGAAGAGAGGAGGCAAAAGACCTAGACAATAATAATTAAATTACAGCAAAATGCCAGCAATAATGGAAATGCCATTAAGGGAGGAGGTGAGAAAAATAAAGTGGCTAATCCTGTTGAGAAGCAGTTCACAGAGGCTTCTCAGAAGAGTTGGCACCTGGTCAGTAAAGAATAATAAGTAGAAGTAAAGTCAACAACATTGGGGGTGGGGGGTGGGGGTTCATTTCAGAAACACGGTAGGCAAAGGAATAAAATTTTAAAACTGGCATTTGAGAGGTAGAGGAAGTAATGTTTCCAGAGAGGAGGCCACAGACTTTTATGGGCTCAAATAACAAAGGCTTTTCCCACCACGCTTATAAGGTTATGCTGAACATGGTAAAAATGCTTCCTTCCTGGACAGGATACTCTGCTGTTCTTATTCCCCTCCTGGGCATATGTCCTAACTAATTTATTCAACACTACCCTTATTGGAGGTTAGTTGTGCATTGAAAGGTGACAGGTTGTTGACCCTGAGGATCCTTAGCAATTAGCAGAAACTCAGTAATCTCAATTCCTCTTGAGTGTCTCTTGATTTCACAGACCAGGAAAGGGCTGAACTCTATTTTCTATATTTCCATAAATGCTTTCTACAGGGCTCTCTTCCAGGTGGTATTGTGGATGGAGTCTGAAGGAGAAGACAAGTTCCAGATAAACCTGACCTTACCTTTTTAGAAAGAGATGGGTGAAAAGAGATGGGGGCACAGAGGTGACTATCCAGACCAGCCCTATGCACTAATAAAAAAATTTTCAAGTAGCTCGGTTTATTCTTCTCTTATTGTTCTTGTAGGGAAGGCATTTAAAATTTTATCTTTGCCATTATCTCACATCTTAACCTTCAGGAAAGGTAACAAGAGTTTTTCACAAATTTGATTCCTTTGAACTACCAAGGCAGACAAAAAAGTAATGATGTGAAATACATATGGTGTCAATGAGAATTGATGGAATATAAATGGCTGAGGATAAGCATGAATACTACTCTCCCTGTCACATACACACACACACACACACACACCACCCCTCAAAAATAGTACTTGAAAGAATATGGTAAACATAAATGTAAATTAACTTAGAGAGAAGACTAGTTACATAAAAATTAAGTGACTTGACTCATATTTCTCTATTAAAATACTCATTAATAGCAATGGCAATCGATTTATTGTTTTGCATAAAGTCATCTAATAATTCATATAAATTCATTTTAATTGTGAATTTCACAATTCTCCCCTTCTTAAGATATTATGGGCATCCTCAGTGTATCAAAGTGTGTATATTCACAGTGCATTTGTCTACTTCATCTCTACTTTCAGCTAAAGATTGGGAGAAAGGAGGAGGTAATGAAATCTGTAAAAGAATCTTGAAAAGTGGAAAACTTTCCACTTTTTCTCCAAACCTGGAGAGAAAATCTGGACGACTTTAAGCCAACCTGAAGGTAACTCCTTCTGCCTGCTTGTGCCCCCACATCCACCCCAGAAGGGCACTTCAGTTTACTTGCTTTCTAAGATTTGACATCACTCTGGCGAGATTCAAAATGTTTATGCTCCGAGCGAGGGAACCTTTTTCATTGTTTGCCAATCTGTGTCAGATTTAATCTAGATCTGTAAACACCAGTGCATTTTCGATTTTGATGCAATTTCCTTTAATTTACCCTACAGAGGAGGCTTTTTGTTGTCGTTGTTTTCTTTCTTTCCTTTTTCTTCCTTTTGGTAATCTAAGAGTAAAAAATCCCTGAACCAATTGGTCAATCGATTAACAAATTAACTGCTAAATAATGGATTGGGCCCTGTCTACATGGTGACAGGGTGCCCAGAATAAAATATGTCTCTACAATACTTCTTTGAACACATGCCTAACAAAGCAACACTTGCTTTTCCTAACTAGTTTACACAAATGCCTAGAAACCAAATAGAAAAACATGGACCGATAATATTTTATCATTCATACAAGCTGAACAGAAATGGGCATTGCATTGAGAAATGAACAAAACTCGTTTTCTCTCGAATTAAATTTTAATGTAGCAGAACTTTACATGATCTTTTGAACATAAATAAATGCAGGAAGGCAACAAATTATTTTCCACTGCTAATTATGCTATTTATACTGAATATGGTGTAAAAGTACATAAGAAATAATGTTACTAAATAGATAAAAATATTAGAGTGAAAGAAATTGGAGGAAGGAGAGGATGACAGAACCATATAATGAAGTTCGTGTTATGTAAGAATTATCCTTCACAATTTTTCAAGTCTTGGGTATTTACTTAACGGCTTTTAGTCTGGAATAATGATGATATGAATAATCATCTGAAGCCAAGGCTGTAGTTTAGAAACCTAGTCAGAAAGGATGTAAGGAAAAAAGAGGGAGCTGTATATTAAAAGGAGGATATTTAGGAATGCTCTTTACTGATAATATTCACATGACTTCTGAAAAGAACATCACAGCAGAGAACAGGTCTCTCTCCCCAACCCACATTCTCCATTCATTTTGGGTTGTTCAGACTGATGGTTTTGAGGCATGTATGTGGATGGATTTAGATTGGAAGCAATTTCCAAATAACCAGTTTGAAGGATTTTCACAAACTAGATTTTTAAGCTGTATTTACACAATGCAAAAATCAGCTGAATGTTGGGGACCCAGGTTGGGAAGCAGTTGGTTGGCTTGGACAACCAGAAATAACCTAAAAAATATTTCCTTCTTTATTAAGTGTGATCCACTTTTATTCAGAAAGTGTTATTGATTGACTATATGCACGACCCTGTTTTGAATGTGTGCTGTTGGGGGCGGTTTGGAACTCATCCTGGAAAATCACTCATAGAATCATATAAAATATATTGGAAGATAAGATAAATGGATATAAATAAATGAGAAACAATACCAGCCAGAATGATCAAGCATTTGATTTTGGTATCGGTTTGATTGTGGTATTGGTAGACTGAGTTAGGGTGGAATGTAAACCATTTTTAGACCAAAACAAATTTGGAATTAAATATTAATTATCAATAATTATTTTTCAAAAGAATAACTAGATTACTTGACAACATTTTATTTTAGTGTGGTTGAAGGGAGTGGAGTGCTAATTAGAAAGTGCAGAGTTTCCAGGCTGAGACTGGGAGGCTGACATCTAGAGAGGACAACCTGGCATTGAGGGTGTCTCTCCGGCTAAGGGTATTTGCAAGTTCTTAAATGTGAGAGGTAGAACTGAACTTTGACACTTTCAGGACTAAAGGCACAGCAAAAGTAGTATATGGGTGTGGGGTGTGTGTGTGTGTGTGTGTAAAAGAGAAGCTAATAACATGAGCAATAAATACGCTGATAGGTTGATAAAAAAAGAAAAAAGAGAGAGAAGGCATCAATATTCATAAATGAAACAGAGATATCAATACAGATTTGACCAACATTTAAATTATGTGAGGATAGATATTGCAAACACATTTTTGCTAATTTTAAAATTTAGATAAAATGGACAAAATTATAGAAAATAAAATACCATCCACCCACATGGACACAAGAAGTATTTTAAGTAAATAAGTTGAATCCATAAGCAAAATTAAAAACTTATACGGTTTAAGGATTTAATTTTATCAAGTACTTAATGAAGAAATAATGTCTGCCTTCTTAACAGGATTCAAAAACACTACCCTAAAGGAAAAGATTGACAAATTTGGTCAAATGACACTATAAAAAGATTAAAAAGGCAAGCCACTGTTTGGAAGTTGATATAATTAATGAAAATCTTGATTTTGGAATACATTTAAAAATCCAAGCCATTCCACAATGTGTATATATTTTAAAACATCATGTTTTATATGGTAAATGCATATAATTTTATGTCAAATTTAAAAATTAGAAAATATAAATTTAAAAAAATCTAGAATATATCCTCCAAATCAATAAGACCAATGCTAACAAGCCAAAAGAAAGGTTAGCTAGGGATTTAAATTGGTATTTCACAAGAGAAAATACAAAAATGAAAAAAAATTCAACCACATTAAAAGTGAACTGAGGGTTAAAATCAAATAAGATATTATTATGTTCTCACATAATATCTAAAACTAAGAAGAATGACAATATAAAATATTACCATAGAAAAATGTTGCATATGGAACTCTCCTGTGGTGCTAGTAGAAATGTAAATTAGTACAAATCCTTTGTCAAACTGTTTGGCATCATTTAGTAAAGTTGGAGATACATATTTCCTGAAACCTGGCAATTTCACTAGTACAAACCCTGCAGGAATCTGTGAACATTTGCACTAAGACATGTGCATAAAAAAAGTCTGAAGTATCATTTTCATAGTAGACGAAATACAGGAAGCAACCCAAACATTCTTTAATGGCAGAATGGACAAGTAAATTGTGATATGTCACATGATGGAATAGCAGGCAGCACAGGAAGTAAATGGACTATGGCTACATCCAAAAAACATGGATAAGTTTCACAAATACAGTATTGAGTCAAAGATGCCAGACACAAAATATCACATGTAAGACATGATTCATGTAAATGTTAAAACATAAACATGCAAAACTTAACTATAGTGTTTAGTAATCTATGCTTATCTGATAAAACAATAAAGAAAAGTGACTATGGAACATCAGAATAATGATTACTTTGGGGGAGCAAGGTACAGTGGTTTGGAGGGGTATGAGAGCTTTTGGAGTGTGAGTTCTATTTCTTGATTTGACTATGTCATGTTATATAGGGGTTTATACTGTGATAAATCTATCATATTTATAAACAATTCATGCTTCATCTGTGTGTATTATAACACACACTCATGATTTAAAATATATATTATATATATATATAATTTTAGGTTTTAAAGTTCTATATGGTGGAAGGCTTTGTAAACCTTAGATTTTTTTCCTATATAAAATGGAGATAAGAACTTCTATCCACAGTTTCTAAGAGATGTGAATGAGATAAATTACCTGACACAGAGCATATACTCACATACTATAAATATACTTTTTCATAGAGGTGGACAATTCTTCATATATGTGAAAATTAAACGGGACAGCAGGTAAGTTAAGGTAGATGCTAAAAGATATGATCGAGATTTCCTGTGTTCAATTTTAAAAGCTGATTAATTCAGTCAAGCACATGCTTGGAGGAACATCTATCAAGCATGTGTGAATCGTTTCTGTGTTGGGTAGAAATGTATCTGAAATGTATCTAGAAATGTATCACCATACTTCGTATGGAAAAGAATGTTGACATGGAACATTAAAAGTTATCTGTATGCCAATTCTAACAGAGCAGCCCAAAAGGAGAAAGTTTTGGTCCAAGATCTTGATTCTTTATTTAGCACTTGTGGTAGAGAAAAAAAAAAAAGGCAAAAGTTATGGATTTATCCAATTATCTTTGTCATCTCTTTTTTATCTCATTGCCTACACACAATCTCTCAGAAAATCTGCTGGCATTAACTTTAAAATATAACCAGGATAGGGCTGGGTTCTGTGGCTTATGCCTGTAATCCCAGCACTTTGAGAGGCTGAGGCAGGTGGATCACTTGAGGTCGAGTTTGAGATCAGCCTGGCCAAGATGGCGAAACCCCATTTTGTATTTCATAAAAATACAAAAATTAGCTGGGCGTGATGGCAGGCACCTGTAATCCCAGATACTCTGGAGGCTGGGGCAGGAGAATCACTTGAACCCTGGAGGCAGATGTTGCAGTGAGCCAAGATCATGCAGGAAGCCAAGATTGTGCTGCCACACTCCAGTCTGGGTGACAGAGGGAGGATCTGTCTCAAAAAAAAAAATGTGTGTGTGTGTGTGTGTGTGTATATATATATATATATATATATATATATATATATATAATAGATCTCCAGGATTTCATCATTCTCCCTGTCTCCACTCTTTCTCAATGCCAATTTTTTATACTTTTTATTTTAAAGCTGTCCCTAATTGCTCTCTGAACACTTTCCTTTGGCCACTGCAGTCTACTCTTCATACAACAAAGTGACCCTTAAAAAAAAAAGAAAACTCAGAACTGGTCAATCTGGTAAATTCCCCTCCTAAAACTGCCTAGAGGCAATGACAAGGTCCTTACATGGTCTACCAGAACCTTGGTAATCTACCACAGCCTTCTGCCCACACCCTGGGTTAGGCCTTCTTGCTCTTCTTCAAGACAAGCCTAATACACTCTTCCCTCCAGGCCTTCTCACTGCTCTCTCTCTCTCAGATTTTCTTCCTCCAGATGTCTGTGTGACTCATTCCCACACTTTCTTAGGTCTCCTCCCAAATTATTAACTTTGGTGACCAAAGTATTAACTTTGGTGACCAAAGTATTTGGTGACCAAATTATTAACTTTATTAATAAGGTCACAGGGTGACCTTATTAGAGATGGTCACCCTGACCACCCTCATCTAAAGTGGCCACACAAGTCACCTCTGTCTCACTGTACACCCTTTGAACCAACCCATTCTCACTGCCAGACATTCTATACATTTATTTACTCACCTGTTCATTGTCTGTCTCCACAAATGCAGGGATTTTTTTTTCCTGTTTTGTCCTCTGCACTATTGTGCCAAAACCTAAAATAATACTGAAATGTGGTATGTGTCCCCCAAAATGGGTTAAATGGATAACTTTAGAGTGGATTTCAAGAAACCCACCAAGATCTGCACAAGAACACTATTAACCATTTATTTGAAAACCCACCTTACCCTCAGTTCAAACTCATTCTTACATCAGCTGAACAATTCTAAATTTATTTATTTCAACTAAAGTGACCCCATTTCTTCTCTTTACTTGTGTCCACCTACCCTCCCCTAAACACACACAAACACACATGACAAACCTGTCTACCTAACTATGATGTAGATTCCTGCTGAAAATTTGTAAATTCCTAGCAAAGGTCTTCAAATGTAAATAGCAGTTCAAGCAAGTACTACTGTCTTAAGGAGTGACCGCTTAATGAATCACCACTAACCAAAGGGGTCAATGAGGCGAGTCCCAGATATGTCATGTTATTTTAACTCATTTGCAAATGAGCACATTAATATTAACTGGAAGATTGCACACCTTTCTATTTATGTAAAACTGATTTGGGAAACTACACAACTGGGAGGTGTTAGGAGAGTTTCCACAGCGTATCATCCTGCAAATCAAGCCATTTTGGGGTTATTACTTACATGATATCAGAACATCTGATTTTCAACTTTTCTCTCCCTGATAAAAAGAACTTTTACAAATAAAGTGATACTGACATTTTGCTTCAGGAAATTTAGCTGATAAGCAGCTCCCAGGCTTAATTCAGAATCATTTCAGTAAATAGAAGGTACGTTTCTAGGAGACTGCTGATGTCACACCAACCTAGGTGTTTCTTACCCACTGCCTTATCTGGAATTAGAAGATGTTGTATTTCTTGATTGAAATGGGTGCTCTGCAGAAATCTCAGCTTGCCCGTTCAGTACACATCATGAGAAACTCTGTTGACCGTTTCACAACCTAGAACATGAAGCATCCTCTGACCTCACATTCTGGTTCTCATTCTTGAAGCACCCCTCACTTGGGCTGAAAATGACTTGGTCATTTCCAAACACAGGTGTTTCTGAATGTATGATAGCAGCAGGTTCAGAGGAGTTCCTCTTGAATGAGCCTGCTATGCTTTCCTTCTTGCCGTCTCATTTCCTTTCTTTCCCCTTGTTTTCATCCTCCCCTTTTTGAGACATAATTTTTTCCCTTTATTCATTGCCCCTACACCTTCTCTTCTGTTCTTTTCTTTTATGTTTTACACTATGGCAGTAAAGAAATTTATACTAAAATGTATACTTGAAATAATAATGTATAATTTTTAAAAATCTGCTTCAATGATAAGGGGAAGACAAAATATGAATTAAAACTTGTCTATCTAGTTGCCATGACTTGAGTTTCAAATTTGCTTTTGAGATTTCTTGAAACTGAGGTGAATAGTTGAACAATCACTTATAATTGTTAAAATAAATTGAAAATCACTTATAATCTGAACACCAAAGAAGCACATTTTAAAAAAGTATTGGTATATATTTTTCAAGTGTATAATGTTTAATTATGTCTAGTAGATAGGTAATAGCTAAACTGTACATATTATTTTATATTCTAGCCCCGAATTCTAAAAATAATTTTGACATTGACTTTTGTGTAGCCATGTGATGAATAATGTCAATGACAATATACTTTTTTGGAGAATCCAGTCATGTTAGCCATCTTTTCCTTTAGGGCCTTGGCTCTCATCTGGGGCACTCATAAGAATCACATGGGTCGATCTTTGTAAAAAGATTACAGGGCTCAAATCTAGGGCTGAAATCACAACTGTCGGCAGAGGATAATGCTTATGAAATTTCCAATATCTTTCTGGGCATTTTTGAAAACCCACTTTCCAATAAGGTAGTTATAAAAAGGCTATTTCTTTCTGCCTTCGAGTTTAAACATTTAAAAGCTCCATTGCATTTATGTTAAGAAAAGATGATGTTATATTTGCATCTCAAAACTTTGATCTCCATTTTATGTGTGCACCCCCATCAATAAGAAAACTTGGCCTGCATGGCCTCATTTTATGTATATCGAGGCTTCTTGGGGCCGCAACAATGGTATGTACAGTGAGTGAGGCATGCATAATCCTTGACCTGACCTTCCGCAGTGAACCAGGTTTGTTCTGAGAAACAGTCTATTCTCACCCAGACTCCTCATTTCACAGTTGAGAAAACTTCAGTCCTAGATATGCCATGACATGTCCAAAGTCAAAAGACTTGATAAGAGCAAGGCCTGGACAAAACCCCAGGAGACTGGATTCTCAGCACTATTCCCTTGTCACTGCTCCACACAGTCCCCGTGGCCCCTGAGCACCCTTCTTGCACTCAGCTCCTTTCAGCAGGGAGCCCTCCTCTTTCTGGAGGTGCAGTATCAGTTGCCTTCTATCACAGCCTCCCTTTGTCTCCTTTATTCTCCTGCTCTTTGAACACCCTGAGAGAAAATATGTATTTGTTCTCCTCAGTTTGGATTTGCTTCTCTACTTCCTTCAACTCTGCCAGTGTGATTCCTGCTGCTATCTGTGAGGGGCTTTCTTTTTCCCAACATTTAAAATATCTTTGTATAACTCAGAGAGCCATGCAAAATTTCTCTATTGAAATTCAAAACCCAACCAGGCTGACCTCATTTCAAAATAAGACCAAATCTCAAACCAGCCAGTTTTAATCAAACCATTCTTTTACATATTTTTATTTATTTATACGAAAAAAATATTTTTTTTCCTGCGGATATTTTGTATCTGCATGAGGGATTTGGGAGTGTTAATGAGAAAGGGGCATGATAATGGCATACATTTGCATAACACTTCACAGCCTTAGCCCTTCTGCAAACAACATTCCTTCTAAAAAAAGTCTGGTAAGGATGTTGGGCAAATTGTATGACACCCCCAACTTCCCCTGCACACACAACCTCCCCACCTCCACACACACACACACACACACACACACACACACATGCACACTTGGTAACTGACTCTTTCAAGAACTGTGAAATGAGTTGCCCAAGGTCTCTAGATTGTTAAATAACATATATACTTACACATACAATAATTGACACAAACTCAATCAGTCTTATTTATTATGAAATCTAGACACCCAGTATAACATTATGAAGCTTGGGCTATCTTTTCAAAAAAATTATTTATCTTTTAATAGACATGTTGTAATTGTACATATTGGTAGGATACAATTTGATCTTCCAATATATATCTATGTTGTAACTACTCCAATCCAACCAAATAGTTAATGCATCCATTATCTCACACATTTATTATTTTTTGTTGTGAGAACTTCCAAAAGCCCCTCTTCTAGCTATTTTGTAGTATGCAATATTTTACTGTTCACTGAAATAGTATATTACATACTCATCCTACTATGCAATAGAACACCAACATTTATTTCTTCTTATTGTGATCTTTCCCTGTTATCCCCTTTCCCCTCCCCTCAGCAGTCTCTGGTAACTATTGTTCTACTTTCTGCTTCTATGATGTTAACTTTTTTCCCTTAGATTCCACATATGAGTGGGATTATGCAGTGCCTGTCTGTCTGTGTCTGGTTATTTCACTTAGCATAATATCCTCCAGGTTCATCTTTACATGTTGTTGTAAATGATAGGATTTCATTCTTTTTATGACTGAACAGTATTTCATTTTGTATATATACCACCTTTTCTTTATCCATTTATCTACTGTTTAACACTTAGGTTGATTTCATGTCTTGGCTATTGTAAATAATGATGCAATAAATATGTGAATGCAGAGATCTCTTTGACATACTGATTTCTTTTCCTTTGGATATATACTCCGTAGAGGGACTGCTGTATCTTTTGGTAGTTATATTTTTAATTTTTTAGGAACCTCCATAATGTTTTCTATAATGGTTGTACTAGTTTACAATCCCACCGACAGTGTGTAAATATTCCCCTTTCTCCACATCTTTGCCAACACTGGTTTTCTTTTGTCTTTTTGAGAATAGTCATTCTAACTAACAGATTGAAATGGTATCTCATTATGGTTTTGATTTGCATTTCACTGATGATTAGTGATGTTGTACATTTGGGCTTTTAGTGGGCCAGCATCTATGGATCTCAGTTAATTTGGGGAATTCACTAAGCAGCATTTTGGTGTTAATTCCTCATAGGAGAGAAGTTAGTAGCAGAATAACATGATAAGAAATAATAGATTTATTTTAAGATGCACATTCTTAACAGAATTCCAATGTTGTTTGTAGTGACCCTTCTCTTGAATTAAGAAGGGGAATTAAGCCTCCCCCTCAGCCTGGGAACATATTCTGACTTGTCAGTCAGTAATCATACCTGGCATGTTAACTGGGATTTCTGTGGCAGTGGTCAGTTTACAAAGGTGCTTTTGAACCACTTCTGATCTATGAAATCTTAGAGAAAAGCCAGTTAGGTGCTTTGGGCAAAGTTGTCATTGCTCCTAAAAGTTACATAAAAGAGACGTTCCTTCTCCTTCTTGTTGTTGATTCCAGATGTAAAACCTGGAACAGATAAAGCCATTTTACTATTTTCCTGAAGGAAGAATTAATATGCCACAGAAATTTCTGTTACTTGAAATCCAAACAGCCTAGCTGACTTCTGCTAACTTTCCCTTTTCAGGGAGAATTCCTATCCAGATATCTTCTGCCATAACCAAGAGTCAGCACATCATAATCTAGCCATACTCAGACCCATGAACAGGATCAAGAAGACAGATTTTTAGAATTTAGAATTAAGAAAATCAGGAATTTAGAATTAAGAAAATCAGGATGCTCTGCTATGGGATTCATTTAAATATTATGTAAATTTGGACATAGAAGACCCAAGATAAACTGTCCCTGTTCAAACTAGAGTTATTTGAGAATTCAGGGTAGGAAAATCAAAGGTGGTTGGCCAGAAGTGGGAGAGAGAGAAATTGCAAAGCTTGTGCACAGACAGAGAAAGAAACATGAGATAAAATACAGTACTTGGCACTTCTTAGGTACCCAATAAATATGTGTTGATTTTTAATGTAGAATGTCAGTTTCTTATATGCGTTCACATTTTTAAATGTATATTGCAAAAGCAAACTCTGGGATCATAAGATAGCTATTCCAAAAAATTAGATTTTTACATATCTTTCCTATCAAGTATTTCTAAAAGTAGTCTCTGGATTGGCAGTTGTCTTCTCGATCTTGCTCATGGAATCACAGCCAGTTCAAGCTCCTCACAGGAGGGGCAGGGTTGCATTTCTGTCTGCTGAGACTCTACTTCAGGGGACACACACATAATTCTTGAATTACAGTATCATTAGAAAATTTTTTTATGTATACTGAAATAATATCATAAAGAATTTTATTCTCACAATACCAAAGAAAAGACATTATAAATGAGGTGTATATATAGAAAATCGGTATCAAAATATCTGTATGATGACTAAAGACAGATGACCAGATAGTATCACATGTAGACAATATTTTTGTGATAAGATTAGACTTCTTAGAGAGGTAATAATTATACTCATTATGAAACGGGTTGAATACTAAAATTTAAAGTGTAAAAAGTGCATTTAATTTTAAATTGATGCATGTTCTTGTTTTAAAGACTCCTCTGTCTATATAGAACTGTTCCCTCAGTCCCTACATGTCCAGCAGCAATATACCTTTCTATTGCTTTTTAAAGGGTATCAAAAGCAAGGACAAATAGAAAAAAAGCTCTAAAAACTGCATGACGATGTTCTTTTAAATTATGTAAACCTCGTTTTATGTAATAGTGTCACTAAACAAATAATCAGTTGGCTGAGGAAGATTAGTGGCTGTAATTATTTATTCATTTTAAGGTTTGTTATTAAGCCTTCCTTTTGCTATTTGTGGCCATTATATGATGAAAGATCAATACAAAGAAGATGAGAAAGTAAGGAGATGATGGTTAATTATGAGAAAGGGAAAAGGTAGGCAGATGCCTGGCTTCCTGCTGATAATCCCCTCTTCTTCTCACAAATGTTTCTCTAGTTAACATTTTCCTTGGCCTGAAATAACAGAAAGATAAGCAGCTATCCTATTCCGCCACTGTAGGTCAGCATCATACACTGGAGTGGGTTTTATTAGGCAGTCTGTCTGTCCTGTTGGCCGCTGAACCCCAATGCCCAGAGTATCACCTAGCACGAAATAGGCACTCAATACATATTTGCTGAATGAATAATAAATGAACAAGAAACACATTGAGATGCATCATATCCCATCTAGAAGACTCAAAATTCACATTAGCATTTTCAATGCCCTGAGAAGGCCTGCAGTAAAGGATCTTGCTTGGTTAGTTTCTACTTGGGATCACCAAATAAATTTGTTTCCTGTTTATTTGTTGCACTTCAGGGAAACACGTTGAGAGATATTTTTGAGACTATTTTTCCAATCATGATATAATATTATTATTTTGATTGCCTAAAAATATGTTTTATAATCACATGAAAACATAATTTCCAATGAGAAAAATTACAGTATAAAATGGCCTGATTAGGACATCACCAAATGTCTTGCTTGTGAGTCAACAAAAATAGACCCTTTTCAAAGACTTCAAATGTTGCCTTCACTATGCATGTGGCTTTCCTCCTCTATTGACAGTAAAACCAGAGCTATGGTATAGCTGGTCACCAATTTATAGTGGTCCCAATCTGCCTTGATGTGTAATTTTCATTTTACCCAGCAGCATTAGTAGCCACAGGGTTAAGGAACAGAGATGATTCATACATCATGAAGCAGGTTCAAAGGTATATGCCTTAAGAAACAATAAAAAAAGTCTTCATTTTAATGATTTGCTCTTCAACAATGGAATTTATAAAGGTCTGTTTAATTAGACAACAAAACAAGTTAAGCCAATCACACTATCACTGTGTTTTTGGCTAGCCACTTAAAATTTGGGGGCCCCAGTTTCCTCCTCTATTACACAGAAACAACAGTACCTACCTCCTATACTTTTTGTGAGCATTAAGTAACATAACCTATGTAAATTTCTTAAAGGTGCATTGGTCATATACCAAGCATCTATTAGTACCACCTTTCAAAATTTTCTGTTTACATACAAATCACTGGCCATTTTATTCTCAGTTATATCATGAAGATCATCATACTAATTAAACACTAAGAGATGAGAGTGCCAGTCTAAATAATGAATCAAAACCAAGTGTATGTTCATTTGCAGCACTATTCACAATAGCAAAGACATGGACTCAACCCAAATGCCCATCAGTGATAGACTGGATAAAGAAAATGTGGCACATATACACCATGGAATACTATGCACTCATAAAAAGGAATGAAATCACGTCCTTTGCAGGGACATAGATGGAGCTGGAAGCCATTATCCCCAGCAAACTAACACAGGAACAGAAAACCAAACACCACATGTTCTCACTTATAAGTGGCAGCTGAACAATGAGAACATATGGACACAGGGAGGGTAACAACATACACTGAGGCCTGTCAGGAAAGTGGGGGAGGAAGACCATCAGGATAAATAGCTAATACATATGGGGTTTAATACCTAGGCAATGGGTTGATAGGTGCAGCAAACCACCATGGCATATGTTTACCTGTGTAACAAACCTGCACATCCTTCACGTGTATCTTGAAACTTAAAGTAAAATAAATTTTTTTTTAAATGTTCAAAATATTCATTTCATTGTAATGAAAATAAAAAATATAAATATGTGCTGTACTGAATTGTGACATCTGCCTCCTTGCTGTACTCTGTTTAGGCTCTCAAGTTTCTACTTCATTTCTCACTATAAATGAATAGTGATATCACTTTGATGATCCCTTACTTTGCCTAATGAGCCCAGCTGCCTAACAAATTCCAGATTGTTCAGATTATATAAGCATGGTTGTTTTTTGTGTTCCGTAATGTGTATTTTGATTTTAAAAATTGAACTAACCTTTTATTTGGAGTTTTTCTCTTTTTTCAGTTTTTCATCTGTTTGTGATTGTTGCGTGTTATTTTTAGCCCTTTTGTTTTAGGAGGTGAGTATACACATAAAGGCCTGAGCTCAAAGCAGGAACAAAGAGAGTGCCTATTTTTTGTGGTCCGTGTTGTGTATTTTTGTTTTTATTAAAGAACTGAGATGTACAGCAAACAGAAATTACTCTGGAAGAGATGCACAGTGAAGAATCTATAAAGTCTTTTTGTCACGTGTGTGTGTGTGTGTGTGTGTGTGTGTGTGTGTGTGTGTGTCTGTGTGTCTACGTGTGGGTGTATATATATTTTGTTTGTTTGTTTGTTTGTTTTGAGATGGAGTCACACTCTGTCACCCAGGCTAGAGTGCAGTGGCACAATTTCAGCTCACTGCAGCCTCCGCCTCTGGGGTTCAAGCCATTCTCCTTCCTCAGCCTCCCAAGTAGCTGGGATTACAGGTGCACACCAGCACGCCTGGCTAATTTCTGTATTTTTAGTAGAGACAGGGTTTCACCATGTTGGCTAGACTCATCTCAAACTCCTTACCTCAAGTGATCCACCTGTCTCGGCCTCCCAAAGTTCTGAGATTACAGGAGTGAGCCACCACGCCTGGCCATGTTACATGTATATTTTTATTAAATGGCCAGAAAGCAGGTTTATTTTTTCCCAATCACTGCCTTTACCCAGACATTGTCAAATCTCCCTTTTGCATCATGCCCATGATGTTTCTGGTCAATCTAATCGCCTTCCAAGCATTTAAGCTCTAAAAAGCCCATTCCCATTTAGTGTCAAATTTAAATCTCATATGGAACTTAATGCTCCTTTCCTCTCACTCTCCCTGAGGTAGATGAGTTTGAGACTTAATGATTAGGAACATAGAGGAGTCTTAGTCTAGGACACGGTACCCTCTACTTTTTCTTCCTTTTGATATCTACTCTTCAGTTGTGAAGAAGAGGGAGAAGAGAGGCTGAAAATGGCCAAAATACAGTACGATTGCCTCAGTGCAGCAGGCATGCAGATGTTCATTCTACTGTGTGACTTGAGTATGAGTTCTTTGTGGAATCTTACTGGAACTCTTCACTGCATAGTTTCTGATGCCAGTGATCCAGTGTGTTGTGACCTCACCAGAACTTCTCCGCTCCAGGTCCCATAAGTCTGCCCAACAGCCACTTGCTGCTGGAGTCTCCTCTCCCATTAGCCAGCTCTTTTGGGTTGACTACTGGCAAGATGGCTCAAACATGACTACCTTTCATACTTCCTCTTCACCCAAGAGATACTCATACTCATGCCAAGCCAAATAGCAGGACTGCAAGCCCTTCATTGAAGCCCCTTCTCTCCAGTCTGTCCTCTCCAATTTTCCCCGCATTAATAGTCACAGAAACCCAGCCCACACATATGTCCAACAAATTAAAAAGAAAGAGATACCTCTTCTTCCTGCTATGTCCTCCTCTCAGTGATTCCCTTTGAGACCTTTAGCACCATACTTTCAGTGGGGTAGATGCATAGCCTTCCATTTTCCCTTGACTTGAGGTAGAGACAGAAGAATCCCTGCACTCTTTTTCTTACTTACATCCTAAATAAACCCCCTGACCTCTCCTTCTCTTTCTTATAGGCTGAGGGAGGAGAGTAGAGAAAATGTGATGGGAGAGTAGCTGACCCTGCTCTTCTGTTTCCGAATACGATCTGCAAGGGTTTCCCACCCCCTAATAGTTACATGATAACTCTTTTTCTGTCCTTTTGTGGCCACTTGCCAATTCTAGGACTATAGAAAAAGTCCTATTCAATATCTAGGTAATCACTAATTAAAAAAGCAAACATAATAATTATGTATACCAACAGACACACACATATAAATGTACTTATATCTATGCACATATACATACATATGTGTATATTTACTTTTTTACAGAGAAGAGTTCTCTGTTGAACATTATACTATTGAATTCACCTTATAACTTTCAAATGGGAAGCGCTAATGAAATCAAAGCCATAGGTTAGTATTTAGCATTTATATAACACTTGTATTTGCAAAGTACTTTAGAATAATTCAATCCTTAATCCCCATAACAGCCCTGGGAGGGAGGCCCAGTTATCATCTCCTTCATAAATGAGGAAAGGGAGACCTGGAAAGGTTGCGTGACACGCTCTGTGGCTGATTGGTGGCAGCCACCAATTAAAGTACAAGGGTCTTGACTTAGAGGAATGCTGTTCATCCTCTGGGCCCTAAAGAATGAGATTTCTTAATAAACCCGTGAGTCATGGAGAAGAGGCACAGGCTGACTATGATTTTACTAGGCTGTTTCCACTGCATCTCATTGATGGCTTAAATCATCTTAGTGCTGCTGAACTCTTTTCAGCAATAAAATAAAAAGTGTATTAAGTGCTAAATTCTGCCCATAACTGGTATTTCTCATTGACTGCAAGTTTATGGAAGTTGTCAACTTCAGAGACCAGCTTATATGAAGGCACTCCAGCCTCTGTAGGTAGATGAATTGAACTAGTCAGACATGATGAGAATAAAATTAACAAATTTACCAGGCTTTCGGAGCTGAGGCTACATTTGCCAGTTTTCATACCCCAGACCATCACCCTACAAAACCCCACAGCAGAGGCATTCATCTTCTCACCTTCAGACACTGTTAACTAGATATCTCAGGTCTAGTTACAAACTTGAGATCACTATAGCAACCAATTAGTGTTTATGTTGCTAAGACAGCATGCAGAGAAAGGGGGAAGCAGGATGTGCTTACTCATTTTTATGTGATCTCAGTGGAGGGAGGATAAAATGCTGATTCCAGTTTCCAGATTCCCATTGACTTCTTCCATCCTAATTTATATTCACATTTGTCTTCTCCACAGGTAATCCACTTGATGGCAAGGCACTTATGGTATCTATAATAAATTCTACAATTGTTAATAGTGCCAAAAATAAGTAAAAAAGAGGAAAAATAATTACATTTTCTGGCATGCTGGCTTATTGCAGGATTATTCCATTCTCAAATATCCCTGAGCTTCAAAATCTGAGCCTTCATCTAACATTTTCTAAAGCACCTCAGCCTCACAGGAAATACTCTCTTCCTCTTTAACAAAATATAAACAGTGCCATCAATTTTTTATTATTTATAGTTTGGTTGCCTTTTAATTTCCTTGTTTTAATTGTAAGTGACCCAATAAACAGAAAGAGCATGGATCAGAGTTGGGACCAAATTCCAGCTGTAGTACTAACTAAAAAAGGGGCCTCCGTTAAGTTTCTACCTTCCTTGGCTTTTCTTTAAGATAAGCACAGGAATCCATTCCTGGAGCCAGAATGAACATCTTGGGACCAGCATCGGGTAAGTACTCATTAAAATTTAGATCTTTTCAAATAAAGTATCTTTATATGTTTGTATGCATGTTTGTGTGTGTGTGTGTGTGTGTGTGTGTGATCTACATTAAATATTTACCTCTTTTCAAAACCCTAATTCTTAGAAATCTTTCTATACTAAAAAGTGTGGGAAGTGATGTCCAAATCTTTTCTAGTATGACTGTGCAGCAAACACATCCAAGCATATGACACAGAGGTTTCACAATTGCATGGCCACGTGGATATCGTGATATCAGCAGTCACTAGCAGGATTTAAGAAAATCTCCCTAAGCAGCAAAACTTCTCCTCAGGTTCATCCTTGAAACAATTTAGCATCCTTTGGAATTAATGAAATAGACTAAGAAACTATTACTTTGAAAAGCTAAGTGTCTATGTAGTTTGGATAAATTGAGTAAAGAATTAAAATTTTCCTTTCATTCAATTTGTTGTGGACTGTTTTAATGGCAACTAAATGGTAAAAGCTCTGTTTGTAGACTGTATAGGAAATGGAGCAATCTTCTTGGTCTGGTCTATTTTACTTCCCTTACTTCATTTGTTAAATCAAGTAAGGGAATTTGTCAAATGAATTGACAAATTACTTAAATGAAGTTCAGTTCATATCTTAGCTGCTTCCAGTAGATATTCCCAGTGAACCACTGCCTGTATAATTCACATCAGAACACTGTTTCTTCATGAGTCATAAGAATACCTGGTTCTATCCTACATGTCACCTCCCCAATCTGACTGTAAACTCTGAAGTCAGCTCCGAGTTCCACATCTCCTGCATTCACTCTCTGCTCCCCTTCACCCTACTGTCTGTAATAGCATTGTTATAGATACTGATAAAGTGGAATATTTATTAAATAATTGGTAATGCGAAAACAATGCAATAACAAAAAAATAAAAGCTTGCTTGAGCTAAATTGATGGCAATAAACAACCTGTATTATTATTTTGCTAGGTAATTTCTTTGCCCATTTTTCTTCCTTATGTAGAAATATGGCCGGCATGTTGGCTCACGCCTGTAATCCCAGCACTTTGGGAGGCTGAGGCAGGTGGATCATTAGGTCAGGAGATTGAGACCATCCCTGGCCAACATGTTGAAACCCCATCTCTACTAAAATACAAAAAATTTGCCAGGTGTGGTGGCACACACCTGTAGTCCCAGCTACTCTGGAGGCTGAGGCAGATGAATCGCCTGAACCCAGGAGGCAGAGGTTGCAGTGAGCCAAGATCGCACCACTGCACTCCAACCTGGTGACAGAGCAAGACTCCGTCTCAAAAATATAAAATAAAATAAAATAAAAATAAAATAAAATAAAAAAGAAATATATTCTCAATATTTTTCCATGCAATATATAAACATGGTGATGTGATATTGTTTTTCCCCCTGGACAGGCAATTTCAAAGGTGGAATGATGGACAAAGCATTAAATATTTATTTCTGCCAACTACTTTATATAAGAAGTTGTTAAAAGGCTTTACAATTATTATTCTTAACAACATCTTGACTGCTGTAGACAAAAAGTAAAGTTGTTTAAATGTGAGATTTTTCTTAGTTTTTATTTTAATAGTAAGTAATCATCTATTTTAAATTGTGCCTTTCTCTTGTAAAGACCAACTATTTTGATTCTAGAACAATTTGCTCCCTCCAAATCTCCAGTGAGGAAAAATATGACGGAATTATGCAATTATACTCATAGAAGAATGAAAGGCATTATCTGCGTATGAAAATCCTCCTAGACCTATTATAAAATCAAATCCAGGCAAATTAATTCAATACAATCAAAAGTAACAAATTTATTTTAACACCTACAGTGCACAATGCCACATGTGAGACTTGGTGAAATACACAAATGTGAAAAGTACACAGCCCCTTCCCTTAAGAACTAATAAATCCTTTGGGAGGCAGCATCTAAATAGGTGAACAATTTAAATAGCTTTAAGAGATGAAAGTACCTATAGAAAATATATTGAAAGATGGCTGAATAGGAGCAGCTCCAGTCTGCAGCTGCCAGCAAGACCAATGCAGAAGGTGGGTGATTTCTGCATTTCCAAATGAGGTACCTGGCTCATCTCACTGGGACTGGTTAGACAGTAGGTGCAGCCCATGGAGGGTGGGCCAAAGCAGGGTGGGGCGTTGCCTCACCCAGGAAGCGCAAGGAGTCAGGGAACTCCCTCCCCTAGCCAAGGGAAGCCATGAGGGACCATGCCATGAGGGAAGGTGCTATCCGGCCCAGATACTACACTTTTCTCATGGTCTTCGCAACCGAAAGACCAGAAGATTCCCTCTGGTGCCTACACCACACGGGCCCTGGGTTTCAAGCACAAAACTGGGCAACCGTTTGGGCAGACACCAAACTAGCTGCAGGAGTTTTTTTTTAATACCCCAGTGGCACCTGGAATGCCAGCAAGACAGAACCATTCACTCCCCTAGAAAGGGGACTGAAGCCAGGGAGCCAAGTGATCTTGCTCAGCTGATCCCACCCCTACAGAGCCCAGCAAGCTAAGATCCACTGGCTTGAAATTCTCACTGTGAGCACAGTAGTCTGAAGTCAACCTGGGATACTAGAGCTCAGTGCAGGGAGGGGCATCTGCCATTACTGAAGCTTGAGTATGCAGTTTTCCCCTCACAGTGTAAACAAAGCCAGGGAGTTCGAACTGGGCAGAGCCCACCTGAGCACCACAAAGCTGCTGCAGCCAGATTGCCTGTCTAGATTCCTCCTCTCTGGGCAGGACATCTCTGAAAGAAAGGCAGCAGCCCCAGTCAGGGGCTTATAGATAAAACTCTCATGTCCCTGGGACAGAGCACCTGGGGGAAGGGGCAGCTGTGGGCACAGCTTCAGCAGACTTAAAAGTTCCTGCCTGCCAGCTCTGAAAAGAGCAGCGGATCTCCCAGCACAGTGCTTGAGCTCTGCTAAGGGAAAGACTGCCTCAAGTGGGTCCCTGACCTCCATGCCTCCTGATGGGGAGATGCCTCCCAGCAGGGGTCGACAGACACCTCATACAGGAGAACTCTGGCTGGCATCTGGCAGGTGCCCCTCTGGGATAAAGTTTCCAGAGGAAGGAGCAGGCAGCAATCTCTGCTGTTCTGCAGCCTCTGCTGGTGATACCCAGGCAAACAGGGTTGGAGTGGATCCCTAGCAAACTCCAGCAGATTTGCAGAAGAGGGGCCTGACTGTTAGAAGGAAAACTAACAAACAGAAAGCAATAGCATCAACATCAACAAAAAGGATGACCACGCAAAAACTTCATCCGAAGGTCACCAACAGCAAAGATCAAAGATAGATAAATCCACAAAGATGAGGATAAACCAGCACAAAAAGGCTGAAAATTCCAAAAACCAGAATGTCTATTCTCCTCCAAAGGATTACAACTCCTTGCCAGCAAGGGAACAAAACTGGACAGAGAATGAGTTTGACGAATTGACAGAAATAGGCTTCAGAAGGTGGGTAATAACAAATCCTCTGAGCTAAAGAAGCATGTTCTAATCCAATGCAAGGAAGCTAAGAAGCTTGATAAAAGGTTAGAGGAATTGCCAACTAGAATAATCAGTTTTTAGAAGAACATAAATGGCCTGATGGAGCTGAAAAACACAGCATGAGAACTTTGTGAAGCATACACAAATATCAATAGCCAAATCAATCAAGCAGAAGAAAGGATATCAGAGATTAAAGATCAACTTAATGAAATAAAGTGTGAAGACAAGATTAGAAAAAAAAAGAATGAAAAGGAAAAAACAAAGCCTCCAAGAAATATGAGCCTATGTAAAAACAGCAAACCTACGTTTGATTAGTGTACCTGAAAGTGACAGGGAGAATGGAACCAAGTTGGAAAACAGTCTTCAGAATATGATCCAGGAGAACTTCCCCAACCTAGCAAGACAGGCCAACATTCAAATTCAGGAAATACAGAGAACACCACAAAGATACTCCTCGAGAAGAGCAACCCCAAGACACATAATTGTCAGATTCACCAAGGTTGAAATGAAGGAAAAAATGTTAAGGGCAGCCAGAGAGAAAGGTCGAGTTACCCACAAAGGGAACTCCTTCAAACTAATACAGATCTCTCTGCGGAAACCCTACAAGCCAGAAGAGAGTGAGGCTTAAAGAAAAGAATTTTCAACCAAGAATTTCATATCCAGCCAAACTAAGCTTCGTAAGTGAAGGAGAAATAAAATCCTTTATAGACAAGAAAATGCTGAGAGAGTTTGTCATGACGAGACCTTCCTTACAAGAGCTCCTGAAGGAAGCACTAAATATGGAAAGGGAAAACCAGTACCAGCCACTGCAAAACAAACCAAGTTGTAAAGACCATCAACACTATGAAGAAACTGCATCAACTAACAGGCAAAATTACCAGCTAGCATCATAATGACAGGATCAAATTCACACATAACATTATTAACCTTAAAGGTAAACTGGCTAAATACCCCAATTAAAAGGCACAGGCTGGCAAATTGGATACAGAGTCAACACCCATTGGTGTGCTGTATTCAGGAGACCCATCTCACGTGCAAAGACACACACACAGGCTCAAAATAAAGAGATGGAGGAATATTTACTGTGGAAAGAAAAAAAAGCAGGGGTTGCAATCCTAGTCTCTGATAAAACAGACTTTAAACCAACAAAAATAAAAAAAGACAAAGAAGAGTATTACATAATGTAAAGGGATCAATGCAACAAGAAAAGCTATCTTAAATATATATGCACCCAATATAGGAGCACCCAAATTCATAAAGCAAGTTCTTAGACACATACAAAGAGACTCAGACTCCCATACAATAATAGTGGGAGATTTTAACACCCCACTATCAATATTAGACAAATCAATGAGAGAGAAAATAAAGAAGGATATTCAGGACTTGAACTCAGCTCTGGACCAAGTGGCACTAATAGACATCTACCTCAAATCAACAGAGTATACATTCTTCTCAGCACCACATAGCACTTATTCTAAAATCAACCATATAATTGGAAGTAAAACACTCCCCCAGCAAATGCAAGAGAACAGAAATCATAACAAACAGTGTCTCAGACCACAGTGCAATCAAATTAGAACTCAGGATTAAGAAGCTCACTCAAAACTGCACAACTACATGGAAACTGAACAACCTGCTTCTGAATGACTAATGGGTAAACAATGAAATTAAAGCAGAAATAAATAAGTTATTTGAAACCAATGAGAAAAAAGACACAATGTATGAGAATCTCTGGGACACAGTTAAGCAGTGTTTAGAGGGAAATTTATAGCACTAAACCCTCACAGAAGAAAGTGGGAAAGATCTAAAATCGACACTCTAACATCACAATTAAAAGAACTAGAGAAGAAAGAGCAAACAAATTCAAAAGATAGCAGATGACAAGAAATAACTAAGATCAGAGCAGAACTGAAGGAGATAGAGACACAAAAAAATCCTTCAAAAAATCAATGAATCCAGGAGCTCGTTTTTTCAAAAAATTAACAAAATAGATAGACTGCCAGCCAGATTAATAAAGAAGAAAAGAGAGAAGAATCAAATAGACACAATAAAAAATGATAAAGAGGAGATCACCACCGATCCCACAGAAATACAAACTACCATCAGGGAATACTATAAACACCTTTACGCAAATAAACTAGAAAGTCTAGATGAAATGGATAAATTCCTGGACACATACACCCACCCAAGACTAAACCAGGAAGAAGTCAAATCCCTAAATAGACCAATAACAAGTTCTGAATTTGTGGCAGTAATTAATAACCTACCAACCAAAAATTACAGCCCAGGATGAAATGGATTCGCAGCTGAATTTTACCAGAGGTAAAAATAGGAGCTGGTATCATTCATTCTGAAACTATTCCAAACAATAGAAAAAGAGGGAATTATCCCTAACTCATTTTATGAGGCTAGCACCATCCTGATAGCAGAACCTGGCAGAGACACAACAAAAAAATGAAATTTCAGGCCAATATCCTTGATGAACATCAGTGGGAAAATCTTCAATAAAATACTGGCAAACTGAATCCAGCAGCACATCAAAAAGCTTATCCACCACGATCAAGTCAGCTTCATCCCTGGGATGCAAGGATGGTTCAACATACAGAAATCAATAAATGTAATCCATCACATAAACAGAACCAATGACGAAAACCACATGATTATCTCAATAGATGCAGAAAAGCCCTTTGATAAAATTCAACACCCCTTCATGCTAAAACACTAAATCAACTAGATATTGATGGAACATACCTTAAAATAATAACAGCTGTTTACGACAAACCCACAGCCAATATCATACTGAATGGGCAAAAGCTGGAAGCATTCCCTTTGAAAACCGGCACAAGACAAAGATGCCCTCTCTCACCACTTCTATTCAACATAGTATTGGAAGTTCTGGCCAGGACAATCAGGTAAGAGAAGGAAATAAAGGACATTCAAATAGGAATAGAGGAAATCAGATTAACTCTGTTTGCAGATGACATGATTGTGTATTTAGAAAACCCCACTGTCTCAGCCCCAAAACTCCTTAAGCTGATAAGCAACTTCAGCAAAGTCTCAGCATACAAAATCAATGTGCAAAAATCACAAGTCTACAGTAACCAAAACAGCATGGTACTGGTACAAAAATAGATATATAAACCAAAGGAACCTCAGAAATACCACCACACATATGCAACCATCTGATCTTTGAAAAACCTGACAAAAATCAAGCAATGAGGAAAGGATTCCCTTTTTAATAAATGGTGTGAAAACTCTCTAGCCATATGCAGAAAACTGAAAATGGACCCCTTCCTTACACCTTATACAAAAATTAACTCAAGATGGATTAAAGACTTAAACATAAGACCTAAAACCATAAAAACCCTAGAAAAAAACCTAGGCAATGCCATTCAGGATACAGGCATAGGTAAAGACTTCATGACTGAAACACCAAAAACAATGGCAACAGAAGCCAAAATTGACAAATGGGATCTAATTAAGCTAAAGAACTTCTGCACAGCAAAAGAAACTAGCATCAGAGTGAACAGGCAGCCTACAGAATGGGAGAAAATTTTTGCAATCTATCCATCTGACAAAGGGCTAATATCCAGAATCTACAAGGAACTTAAACAAATTTACAAGAAAAACAAACAAACAACCCCATCAAAAGGTGGGCGAAGGATATGAACAGACACTTCTCAAAAGAAGACATTTATGCAGCCAACAAATAGATGAACAAAAACTCATCATCACTGGTCATTAGAGAAATGCAAATCAAATCCACAATGAGATACCATCTCACGCCAGTTAGAATGGCAATCATTAAAAAGTGAGGAAACAATAGATGCTGGAGAGGATGTAGAGAAATAGGAACACTTTTACACTGTGGGTGGGGAGTGTAAATTAGTTCAACCATTGTGAAAGACAGTGTGGGGATTCCTCAAGGATCTAGCACTAGAAATACCATTTGACCCAGAAATCCCATTACTGGTTATATACCCAAAGGATTATAAATCATTCTACTATAAAGACACATGGAAACATATGTTTATTGCAGCACTATTCACAATAGCAAAGACTTGGGACCAACCCAAATGCCCATCAATGTTAGACTCGATAAAGAAAATGTGGCACATATACACCATGGAATACTATGCAGCCATAAAAAAGAATGAGTTCATGTCCTTTGCAGGGTTATGGGTGAAGCTGGAAACTATCATTCTCAGCAAACTAACACAGGAACAGAAAACCAAACACTGCATGTTCTCACTGGTAACTGGGAATTGAACAATGAGAACACATGGGCACAGGGAGGGGAACATTACACATTGGGGCCTGTTGGGGGGTGGGGGGCAAGGGGAGGGATAGTATTTGGAGAAATACCTAATGTAGATTATGGGTTGATGGGTGCAGCAAACAACCATGGCACACGTATACCTATGTAACAAACCTTCATGTTCTGCACATGTATCCAAGAACTTAAAGTATAATAAAAAAATAAAAAAAAAATATTGAAAAGCACAATGTGACTCTAAGACCTAAAACAAGACAGTATGGACATTAAACAGATACAAGCTCAGACACGGGAAAAATCATTTCAGATGGGGAGCGCTCAATTCATTCATCCTTTACAAGCGTTTCCCAAAATTGTACCATGTACTCCCTCAGGGAGAACTCTGTGGAAGACAGAGGATTAGAGCTTGGCTTTGTGGAACATGTACCGTACATACCAGTAGCTTGGAATTTATCACAGAATGTCGTGTACTATTGCTTATGTTCTTAGAAGTGTATCTAATACAACAGTGTCAATAACAATAGCTGCAGTTTACAAAAGTCAGACATTATGCAAAAGGTTCTATGTACATCATCTAATTTCATTCTTACAATGGCAGCTTGTGGTTAAAATTTATAAATCCTGTTTAAGAAGATAATTTTTGGCTTACTAAGAAAATGCAGTGGCCTCAACATAGCCTGATGATAGTAGTTCCATCAGAAGCATATGTGTATTGCCTCAAAGCCTGTACTCTTAATCACTTAGCTCTGGAGCTTCCAGAACTAGATTATGCATTGTGTGATGGCAGAGTCAATGAATCTGGTATCTCAAT
Source organism: Homo sapiens (assembly GCF_000001405.40). Lineage (NCBI taxonomy): Eukaryota > Metazoa > Chordata > Mammalia > Primates > Hominidae > Homo > Homo sapiens. The sequence continues at coordinate 38,914,115 of NC_000018.10, read as the reverse complement.
AATCTTCATAGTGATTGAGTTTGAATCTGACAATTGACACTTATACTGAGTAGCACTTTATTAGTTTATGCAGAAATAACTGAGACTTTGGGAGCTTTAAGAAACTATAATTCAAACATGTCTAAATTAGATTAGTAGCTTCTTAATGTAAAGACGCCCTTTTACAAGAGTGACATATGGAGGACTTTGGCTCTATCAGCCCTTGGAAAAATATTTTACATATTTCATCCTGCCAGCTTTCATCTACAAAATGAAGATAATAATAATACCTACTTAATGATGTTGTTGTGAGGATTAAAAGAGAAAATTTATGTCAAGTCCTTGGAACTCTGCCTAATGGGTAATAAGTGATCAAAAATATTAACTATTATGACTATTCTCTGGCCTTTGGAGACATTTAGATACTTTCTGTAATGGAGAAATTTAAAGGTTGATCATTAGCTATTCCTCAATAAGTTTTCCATGCAGAAGAAATGATCTGAAATGGCAAGTCAGGGTTTGCAGAAAAATCTAGAAGTGAAAAAGCCAGACACAGAAAACAAAACAAAATTTTAAAAACAGTGCTGAATAGCATCTCAGAGTCCATGCCTGGGGTCAACTACTACCTTTGATGAATCTGGTATAAAGTTGGGAGACGAAAATGAATCCTTTCATTGCTGAACTTCCCAAGGGCATTTGAGAATGGAGTTCTTTTTAAAGTTTTTTTTTTGTATGTGTTTTAGAAAGACTGTGCGTGTGTGCATACTTATGTATTTTTGTGTGTGCATACATGTGTGTTTAGCACTTGTTTTTGCCCTAGAATCTTAAAACATGGCTTAGTATCTTTTCTTTAAAATTTGTTTTAAATTGTTTTCGAATCATTCTGTGTTACTTAAGATGCAAAGGGAGGAAGTTGAAGTTGGCTTTTGTTTCAGTGGCCTTGTCATTCAGTCTCAAGACAGACATTTTTGACATGGAAATTCTCAAATGAAAAATCAAGACGTATTCAACATTCCATATCTTATCAAGCCTATTTTTAACCCATCCCAAAAGTGCATTTCACTATAAAGACTACAAAAATTCCTCCAATGAGTTTTTGACACTCAATAATGAACCAAAATGACAGACTGAGAAAATGTACTGCTTTTTCAAGCCATAGAAATGCACATTCATTCATCTCTCAGTATTAATCAATTAATCAATCAATCCTATATCAAAATGCTATACTGATAGCTTATTGAATTCATAACCTTGAACTTCGTTTTGTGAAAAAGGGCAGAGAGAAAAGAGGCTAGCAGTTGTTGATCACTTGTAACAGAAAACTTGCTTATGAATAACTGTGCTCTATGGGCTGACTATACTAGAAAAGGGTTAAGATAAGACCATTATTACATAAATCAGTTTTCTCTGGCTCTACCTCAATGCACAATCAGAAGAACTTCAAATCTCCTCTCTTAAACTGCACTCTCAGTTATGTTTGAGAATCCCTGACAAGCAACCAATGTGTTCTGAGGTGTCCAGTCTTCTGGGTTAGTACCTTGCTGTGATTCATCCCACTGTGTCCCCTTCAAGCTCTGGCTATGACCCTCTGGCCATAGCCTTCTACCTTCTCAGTTTCCTCCTTTAATTACTTCTGCAAACATCTTCACAATACTTCTGACCCTTTTAAGGCTTTTATCTCTACCCACACTAACAATCTCCTTCTTGTCATTACTTTTCTCTTGATCTGGTTTATATTTCTTGGTCTATCATTCCACCTCTTATCTGCCCAAAAAATCATATCAAAGACATTGATTCCTATTTTCAACATCTTTCTTGACTCCTAGCTTTCCCTCATACCTGACATCCAACAGATCAGCTAGTCTTATCAGCTGTAACTTTAAAATATATCCAAATTATAATTATTTCCCCAGACTATCATTGTAGCATTTATATGCCAAGTCACCATTTTTCTGTTTTGAACCACAGTAAAAGCCTCCTATATGAGCATCTCTCAATCTGATGACTGCAATAATTTTAATAGAGTTATCCAATCTATTTTATCCACATGAAATTTATACTACTTTTAAAAGACATAAATCTTATTATGCCATGCTTGTTTTTAAAGCCTTTTAGTAATGGCCTGATTTTCTGAGGATACAGTTCATTGTTTTTCCCCCTGCCTGCTCTTCCACCCTTATTTTTGTCATGTTAATACCACCCAGTTTGGCCATGCTTAACTTCTTTAAGTTGCCCAGAGATGTTATATTCTCTCTTCATCTTGTACCAGCGCACGTTCTCTCCTCTACCTAGAGTAGACTCCTTGTAATCTGTCTCCTACCATCCTTAGGTTGCAACTTAAACTAAGTTATTCTAGAAAGGTGCCCCTGTGCCCACTGCCCACAACCAAGCCTGCATATGGTGTACCTCCCATGTGCTCACACAGTGCCCTGTACATTCCTTATCATTATACTCTACTATTATCAAATATTTGCTTGGTCTATTTTCCTCAACACTGTAAAATAATAAGGCAAGTGTCACTAACAACATCTTGCAGGTGACTGGCCTATGGAGGATGCCCAATTAATATCAGAAGAATGAATGAACAATGAAAAGTGATGGCATGTGCTGCTAAGGCTTCCAATGCCCTATCAGTGAAAATGATGCTCCTGTTGAGGACAATAATGCCACTAATGTCACCTGAGAACACTAATGCCCAGGGCCGAATGTGCAGCACCTGCTGAGCACGTGACACCCCTGCTACCATGGTGGAGTCTGTGGACACAGAGCTGAGAATCTGCTTAGGTTGTCTGGCACATGCAAAACCCTTCTCAAAATAAATAAATAAATAAATAAATAAATTAGTTAAACAGATCTCTTTAGTTGTATCCCCCTGTTAGCTCATCCTTTATAATTCAGACATAATTCAATGAGACCTGGGGCAGAGAATAGCTGAGTGGCAGGTGTTAAATAATTAATTGAAGATTATTTCCTATCTTGCTATCCTTGAACCTTTCTTGAACGCCCCATCTTTGTCTTCCTAAAATTAGTCTTTATGAGAATGATACCAAGTGTCACATGGAAATAAATTCCCACCTTTTTAAGCCAGCCATGCCCCTCTCCGATCCAATAAGAAGTCTAAGGTTGAACACAGATCAAACTTAAGTTTCCTAGTACATATATTACAAATCTTGTGAGTCATTTGCTATAGTCTCCATCTTACTGATAGGGATAATAAAAGCTCTGAACATATTTCCACACCTTAGGATCATTCCTGCATTTTATACTACCTTCCTTCTGAGGCAAAACGAGAAGTTTTAAGATATGAACTAATAGTTTATAGTAGTAGATACCCATTAAGAAAGGTTCAAGGATACCTGGATACTAGTTTTAGATCTGTCCCTAATTAGCTGTATGGCATTCAGCAAAACAAAGGTCTCAGGGAGCCTTTTCCCTCATTTGTAAAGCAATCTGGTTCTATTAGACAATTATTAAATTCTCTTTTTATATAAAATTTAATGAAATAGTGATCTCTTTCCTCTAAGATACAAAAATCTAGAATGGTAAGACTTAACAAAGAAACAATAACAATACATGATATAATTAAGAGTTCTTAAAGTTAAAACTACAAAGAGACCTGGGATAAGGCGAGTGATTAGAAAAGTAAATATTAGAGTTAGAGCACTTGAGTCTTGAGTCTGCCTTGAATGAAAGATAAAATATAAAGTCACAGCACTTATAATGATTTAGTAAGCATCTAAAACACACCTACATATTAACTTTTGGAGTCTAATTTGGCCAGGGCCAAAAAAAAAAAGAGAGAGAGAGAGAGAGAGAGATTAACATAAATAACATTGATGTAGCTTGCAATCTATTAAAATAAAGGATTTAGCTTAAAGATTTAACATAAAGACTTAGTCCTCAAATTGGCAGACCTTCACCTATCAGGAAACTCAGCTATACAGAATGACTCATGTCTGTGTACTCTGAATAGTTATGGCTTTACTGTAATAATGATAACCACAGTGCTGGCAAAGAAAAAGACAGATGCACACAACTTCTAGGCCTTCCCATCACTCCTCCTGATTACTCTTGCTTATTTCGAGTATCGACAAAATGGGGTTGCTGTTATCATAGATCTTTGCATAGCATTGATTCAAGTGTGTGTTGAAACAAGCCTGCTTCTGTGTAATTCATTTATATCACTAGCTCTTACCTGCCTCTTTCCCCTTCCTTCGATCTTACATATCTCCAAGATGAGCATTTATCTTACTTTGCTCTCCTGTTCCTCTTCTGTTGTCAGTCTAGCAGGTGTTCTTTTCAGATTGCTTTCATTCTTCATTACTCATTTTGGGTCCCTTTCTACTTTTGTGGCCATTTTTATCCTTCTCTTCGTATGTACCTCAGGCGTCAAAGCCATCCATTTGTCAAAACGTTTGGTACTATTTGTTTGTGGTTATTTCCCCCTCATACTAGGGCTTAGAAAATCCACCTGGTGAGCTCTTTCTTGTTTTCATGGGAAGAAAGACTCTCTATGCCTAGGAGAAGTTAGAAATCAGGACTGTCATTTGTGTTCACACCTGCTCCAGGCTTGATCTGACCATTCTTCTTAGGTGGCCCATTTGGTTCCAAACGACATCGCCCAATTTTTTCAACTTCAAGTCTACATGAATGCATTTCTATATACTGAAAATTGAAAATAATGTGTAAGTGAAACCTCATTTGATCCAGCAATGACTCCTTCATTTTGCTGGTGGGAGGTGGCGGGGGAGGGGGGGAAGGAGAAAACATAGTTTAGCAATAAATTCAATTGAAGTGTTTTTAAAACTGCATGGTCCCCAGTTTTTCTGTTCCCCAAATTCAGAAGTTTCACTCACTTTAGGCTTACATCTGGCAAGTTGTTAGTGTTGAGAATCACAGAAAAGTATTTAAGTGTGCAAATACACTTCTTTATGCATTTTAAATTGCTGCTCTTGGATGCAGTCATGAGAGAGTCGCCCTTATCCTTTCAAAGTGATTTAAAGCCCAGCAGCTGGCTCTGGCTTGGAGACAATCTAGTACAATGTGCTGTTGTAGCATCTTCAGGGCAGGAAGACATGCCCAATAGGCATCAGAAGGTGGCCAGTGACACTACCCAGGCACAAGCGACACAAAAGCTTCAGAATAAATAAGGGCTCTTGATTAAACTTCAGTTCAAAAAATGCCTTCCACATTTTAGGGACTTGTTATATACCACACTGCCAACAAGATGCAGAAAGCCCTATTTGTTTTTTTTAAAGGAAAACTGAAAGAGATCTTAGAGAAAATAATCAATTCAACTCTTCGTGTCTTTCTATCCTTTGCACCTTACCTGTATTTGTATTTACATTGTATATTTTTCTGAGCTATGAATATCAGAAGTGTGTGTTTCTTTGGCTCATTTGGCTTCACTTTATCATTATGAAATTGTGAAAATTTAAAGGGTTAATCTTGTTAGAATCGAGAATAATTTCTGTGACTTTCCTTTATATGTGTATATACATACATACATATGTGTGTGTATTTGTATATATTTCTAAATAGATAACAATTTCTTTTTACATGCTGTGGAATTTAGAGGAACCAAAACCTTATAATACGAAATGTAGAGTTACAAAAGGAAGGCTTAAAAGAGTGGCAGTGTGGACCCAGCACAAATAGTGTGTATGCCGCAGCATTTCCAAAGCCTGTCTATCCTTAACATAATTTTCTAATTGAGCAGTTTATTTTTCATTTTAGTGAAATACTGTTGTGGTGTCCCCAGCTTGTAGACTTTTTTACTTTCAGATCTGAATATATGCAGCAGCATGAACTGACAACAAAATTCTTTCCATTTTAAAGTAAATATTTCCAATTTATTTTATTCTGTAGTTGTAAGTAAACATTCTGAGGGGGAAAAAATAGCATACATTGTCTGATTCAGAAATCAACTTTTCATCATTCAGGGATTTCTGCTGGGCATGTGTTATGTTATCTACACCTGTGAACACATTTCACCTCTTCATGCGTCTATTAGCAATTGGTTCTGTTGATCTTGTAAAATAAACTTTCAAAAGGCATTACTCCATTTTATCCAATATTTCTATAGTTTCAACGTTACTATTCTGTACTATATTTTTATTTTGTCTTATTTAAAGCAGCAGCTGCAATACCTACAACTCTTTGCAAAGGTGTCTAACATAATATCATGAGGAAGTAAATGTTAACTTTTTGGTAACAGCACAGACATGTGTCTATTGCTACCTGTGAGAGTTTTTTCATACTTCTTGAAGAGTTCGTCAACAAAACAAAATGTTTTATCACTATCACTATTCAGCAGAACATCAGATAGTTTTGCAAAAGTACATCAGATATTTGAACAAAAGTTCATTACAATGTTATGGGATGTTCATTCTCTCCTTAGCAATATTTCTGTAAAAACCTTGTGAGGTGTTTATCTCACTTTATACTTTCTTTTCTCTGCACATTTCTCCATCTATCTTTCAAGACTTCAAGGCACAGCACCTCACTGATTTTCTCTACCCAGATTCCTTTGCCCATTCGTATTTTGTCTCTGAAACAGCATTACCTACAGTATGTCTGCTGGGAAAATGCTGAGAGCCCTGTAGAGTTATAGAAACTTCTGCTCAGTTTCTATTTTCAGTTATTGATAATGGTGTTCCAGAACCTATAGTGCTCAAAAGTTGGATGATATTTTTTCTTTTCATCTTTGAGTAGCATATTTTCTACAAGAAAAAATAATGAGCAACTATACCCACAGCTGATTAGATAATATCCAACGGCTACAGGGTGTTGATTTGATGGATCTTGGTACTGCTAAAATTACAAAAGCAGCTTTAGAAATTGATATTTGGACTTAAGAACAGGAGAGTTAGCTATTCAAATTTTCTTCACACTTTTCACATTCCTAAAAATAGTTTAATAGTATTTTTTAAAATTATAAATACAATATGCACTCAACAAAGCATTTAAACAATAGGGAAAAAGTAATCCTCCATCACGCTGCTGAATCCCCATGCACGCTCTCATGATTTGAAGTGTCGGGTATTACGAGTACGTTCTGTAGCCTTTGGGACATGTGTATGCACTTGCGTTTTTCTACATAGAAATAGTATAGTGCACCATTGAGAAAATTTTATTTTTCAATTTTCAGAACTGTTAGAAGATAATGAAAGTCTTTCGCCAACACACGCAGAAATCTCACCCTTCTGTTAAGTGGCTCTAGACCATTCATTCCCCACTGAGGATGTGTTACACTGCCGCTTACCCTTCCCATACTGATGGACGCATAGGTTGCCTCCAATTCTGCATTGTTTCAAAGAAGGTGGAGTTGAACACTCTTACCTATTTTTGTAGATATTTATAAAGAATAGACAAATGAAAGTGGAATTATTTGCCTGACTCTCACTTGTATGTAAAGTTTTAACAGATACTGCAAATTGCTTTCAACACAGGATTGACAAGTTACTAACTTGCCAATAATGTAGGAAACCTTTATTTGACAAAGTTAAATATAATTGCCCTTTTAATTTGTGCAAATGTAAAGAATTTAGAATGTAATCTTATTATTGTCTTTAATTAGTGAGCATCTTAGCCACATACTTAATGTACATTTTTATTTATTTTTTATTTGACATGCCTCTTCATGTTATTGTTATTCATGGAGTTTATTTTTCTTCTTGTAATTGATTTGTATTTTACAATGAACACAATCAATAGCTCTTTGAATATTAGGGATATCCATCATCTGCCTACTAAAATTGTTGCCTGCATTTTCTCCAAATCTGTATTCATTGTGGAAATTTGTTTTTAGTGTCTGTTGCCAATCTGAAGTTTCTACTTGCATTTATCAATCTTTTCCTTCATTGCTTCTGCGGGAAACTTTAAAAGTAGAGATCATCCCGATAATAGTTGAAAACATACCTTTCAATTTCCAGAATATGAAAATTGTTTGCTTTATTTCACAATAACTTCAAGTCTACATTAATGTATTTCTACACACTGAAAATTAAAAATACTTTGTAAGTGAAACCTCATTTGATCCAGCTATGACTCCTTCATTTTGCTATTGGGAGGTGGTGGGGGAAAGGAGGGAAACGTAATTTAGTGACTGGCTTAAAATATAAATATCAGACATCTACATTAACACATTTAGTGCTGGCCTCCCCTGAGGGTTAACTGTAAACAACATTGGGTCCCTACAGGCAACTGATTTTGCCACAAAATCTTGGATTACTAGGAATCCAATTACACTTTAAAAAGGCAATGTGAAAAAAAAATGTGAATGTAGCTAAATTGTTTTATATCCTCGATTTAGATAAATGTAAATGTGGTAGGGGGTCCAGACTTATAGATGCAGAGACCTTACAATCAGGAAGCTTTTTGACATGAATTTGTGAACCTTAAAATCACAGGGCCATGAGGAGGTGGGACCTACTTACCCTTCAATTTCTATAAATTGTTTAGGTTTGCTTTTCTTGTTTTTAAAGCCTCAACTATTAAATAAGTAGGTCAATACTCCCTTTCTTTTTAATCTGTGAAGGAATAAATTGTTTCTTCTGCCAGAGCCATTCCGATCCCAATTCCTTAATGCTTGGTCAAAAGGAAAAGAATATATGGAAAGTCAAAAACAGAACGCTCACTAGCAAAGAAAGCACTGAAACTCTTATTCCTGTTTTTATACATACATATTCACTGTGCATATATAAAAGAATGAAGGATGAAGAGTATAAAGGATGAAGTATTAAAGGATAAAGATAGATAGATAGACAGAGGATAGATAGATGATAGATAGATAGATAGATAGCTCCCTAAAGGTCAAAATATACTAGATTTTATCTATTTTGCTTTGGAGAACTGTGTGCTACTGAAATACTCTAAGCAAGCTTTTTTCGGAAGCTACTATTTTTGTTGTCATAAATCCATAGAACTCAAACAATTATGATGAGTTGATTTTTTAAGATTATTACACCTTTAAAACAATCACTTTTAGAGAGTAAAGGCTATATTGTAAATTTGTAATACTTTATACATCACAAAATTCAAGAAAATGAAAAACAAAATTAAAAAAGTACAAAAAAATAAAAAAATAACGTTTTATTTACTTATGGGGGTTCGGAATGCCTTGGACATGGAAAGTCCATGTCCTCAGAAACAATCGAGAAAAGTACACAGGTTTGTTTGTTTTTGTGTTTTCCCCTCAACACACACGTTTAGTACAAACTCAAGAAAAGTTTGCTAACTAAATAATGCACATAATCCCTCTATTTTAATGTTCATATTTTAGCTATTTTACCCTACATTTATTTCTTTGCAGGTAAGATCTCAATTCTTTTTTGAATGATAAAATGTAAAAACCAAGAAAGGGCAACCATAAGCTCTTCCTTTGGGAACTTTTCAGGTGTCGAAGGCAAGTAAACTGCGAGCTTACATATATATATTATTTGGAACTCAGGTAGCTGCCTTCACTTTAGGGGAAAAGAAATCAACTTAGAACCTTCTAGATTGAAACTTTGCCCTTTTGCAGCTGCTTTCCTTTTAGAAAACAAGTTAAAAGGTACCACTGGCCAGGTTAATTGACTTACAAGTGTGTCTTTTTAATAAGTGTCATAAAGTATGTCAGGCTGCTGAAACTTGCTTTCAGTGCGTTTTTTAAAAACTGTTGTCAACCAGATTAAAGTTTATTGTTCACATGTACATTTGGTTTTCAGGTTGTAATGAAAGACACTGAATTGATCTGCCATGTGTAAGAGAAAGGGGTTGTGTCCTTTGCTCTCTCTCAATGTGCCTTTCCCTCTGAGGTCTCCTCCAAACTGTGCAGTTAGCAGAGATTGTCTGATGCTGGACTTTTCCATGTGCAGAACATCGCTCACACGCCTTTCTGTGTCTCCACTGAGAGACTTTCTGGAGGACGAAGAGTACTATCTGAGAAGTGTTATCTTATAGTGTCTTATTAATTTGAAAATAAAGTATTTTGAATATAATGACTTGTAAATGAATCTCTTTTTCCCTCAAGGACTTAGATTGTTTTTGAAAGAAATATTTTCTTTTGTTTTTAATTGGCAGATATTCACGTTCATGGAAAGCCAACCTGACCCTCTTAACCCACAAAGTCTCAACTTGACCTTTACAGCTCCATGTTCCCCTGAATGACTGCTTCCCAAGAACACCTAGAGCAGGTTTTGGTAAACAGAGTCAAACTATTTGATCTAGCAAGCATTCTATTATCTTTGAAATTTCAGGAATGTAGGAAGGATGAAGAAGTTTCCAAGTGGTCACTGATGGTACAATTTGCTGTTTGCCTGACCAGTTCCATGTATGGTTATTCTGGAATTTTCAGTCTTCAAACATTATTACTGTGATTCTACATATAAATTTTAAGCTGAAGATTTAGCCTTCCTCTCAAGGCTCAATTTGGCATAAAATATATCTATAAAACATCAACCACTGAACTAGCTGAGGAGCAGGCAGAGGATGGGATAGCTTATTTTCTCAGTCTGAGAAAAGCCTCTGTTCCAATAATCCCTGTACTTTCTCACCCAACTTTGCTGAAGTGAATAATGCTATAACCCGAACAAAAAGGATTAGTATCAGAGCTAGAAACACCTGATTTCTGCCCCATGTCATAAATGCCGCCACTTGAGATTCATTTCTTTGAGTTAAATTATCATTAATCCAGATATATTTGTCATTTTAGTGCTGTCTCTCCACATTAGAATCTAAACACCATGAAAAGAATGGGCTTTGCACACTTCTGTGTCTCCATTGCCTGGCACAATTTAAACTTCAATAAATATTGGTGGGAAAAATGAAGTTTTATTTTCTGTATGTTAGTCATCTCTGAAAAACACTCCTTTGTCCCCAGTACTCTAATGATAAGGCGGTTGTCCCACAACTTTCTCTTGGATGAGACGAGGGCTGTTGCCACAGGATGGAGCGGGACACACGGAAGGGGTTATGAGTCACACAGAAGTGACAGATTGCAGAAAAACAGCAGCCAACTTCTCAATGTTAATGCAGAAAACTAGCTTCTCAGTGGTATCTAGTTCACAACGAAGGGAGGGGTTAAAAAGCAGAAAGCCAAATTGAAATGCTGTGAAGTAACAGGGAAAGAATAGCCATGAACAGAAAGAGGAGAGAGAGGGGAGACAAATGGAAACAGGAAGAGAACATACAGGACTTGCCAGTATTCACAAAAGCCATAGTGCCTCCAAATGATTGCTTTGTAGAGTAGCCAGATGACAGCATATGGAATATCAAGTGAATTTAAGAAGGCTTAAAACTTTTGGAACTAACAGCTTAGAAGCATTGGAAATGTCATGTGTTTTAAACTGACCTGTGCTCTCCAAAGCTCTGTGACTCCAGGTTTTCTTTTTGCTCTGGAGCTGATACTTGGTGAGTTAGGCATGGAGGATGCAGGGGCTGTGTGTGTGTGTAAGGGGAGTTAGGGAGAGCACACCCAGTAAAGTGAGTCTCTTTGTGCTGGTTATCTTCTGGAACTGTGATGATGGAGGGCCTCACCCTGCCCTTTGGCCATTGCTGAGGCCATACATTATACATTTGGCCCATCTATATAGCATTGCTCCTGTCTAAAACCAACTGTCCTTCTAGGGCTGGTAGAATATTTGGGGAGCCCTAAGTTAGTGCAAGGCTCAACTCAGCATCAAGCCAGGCTGACCTTTTTGATGCCCTTGGTTCTGGTTAATGGGATTTCTCTTGGTCCTAGGCTGAGGGCTCCTCAGGTTTAGCCCAAGTCTAGTCACTTGTTTCGTGGATTCTCACCCTAAGCCGTTTCTCAGCATTTTCTTCTAAGAGTCAAATGCAGCTTCCCAACATCCTTGAAACTCAGCAGCCATATCCTACCACTGTCAGTTTCTCAATGAAAAGCCATGGTAGTCCCAAACCAAAAGGATTATTAGGAGCTTCTCTGATGACACCAGGTTTTCTTGATTTCTCTGGCCTTATTTTCTATTTCTCAAAGCACCAGATACCACAGTATAAAACGCATGCAATGGTTTGCAGTTCCTATGATCCTCTCTTTATGTACTGTCTCACTTGTCCCTCCATAGCCTTGAGAAGTGGGCTAGGCAAGGCTGGTGTCCCTATTCATGAATTATAGACTAATGGCCACAGGTGACTCGGTCTGCTTCTGTATACTCAGTCCTGATTCTGAGTGGCACCCATGTTCTGTCCTCCTCAGTCCCTTCTGATTTAGGAAGAGTTTGCAGTATGGAATGAGATGGGATTACCTAGGGAAAAAGTCACAGAAGAGGCAACTTTTGAGTCCATAGATTATTCTAGGTGGGAGAGTAGCAGAGACTAAAGAAAGAAGCAATCAGTGGGTTACAAGGTCTGAGAACAAGTGCCAGGGAGGGGCAATTTTGAGGGGGTTTGGGATTCTTGGAGAAGTGGTAAGAGATAAGGCTGGATATATTTAACTTACAAGCATGTGTTTGGGCACATATGTGCGCACACACAAGTGTGTGTGTGCATGTGTGTGCGTGTGTGTGCACTTGTGCACATATGTGTGAGGTAGGGATGCCCATGAGAGATGGCAGTGGGAAAGGTTCCAGGGCAACATTTCCTTCACAAACTCTCCAGCTAGAAACAACAGGGAGGGCAGGGTTAGCACAGAAACAGCTCTAGACTTCGAACCTAAAGACCTTGTTACTTTTCAGAGCAGCCACTTGGGAGCTACATAGCACTTGGCAATACCACCTTCCTGAGGCTCACCCTTGTGCCACATGAAATGAACATGGTAAAATAGCTATTTCAGCAGCATATGCAATTACAGGGCGCTCAACATAAAAATGAGATAATATGTTCGAAAGCACATCGTAAGCTAGAAAGAGCTCTATAAAAATAATATTTTATTCTCATTTTGAGAAGTATTTTAAAAAGCCGTGGTAGAAAAGCTAACACACAGGCATTTGCCTGAGCACACTCACATACATGTGAATGCATCCCTTGACTGGACATTGTTAAAGTCCCTTGTCTCTTTCCCCAAGTTTGGATGGTTGTCCAACAATTCCCTTTACCACTCCAAGGCCTTCTTCTCTCTCTCCCCACACCGTGGAGGCCCCATGAGGCCCTTGCAATAATGCCTTTTAGGATACCCACACCCTTCTTGCCTTCTTCCTAACCTTGCCCCCAACCTTCATGGAAAACAAAGAGCCCTGCATGTTGTTGTTCTCAGAACACAATCAACGTAGCCAATTGGAATCTGCATGAATAATTTAACCTCCCGGCAGGGACTGGACAGAATCAGAAGATGCAGCGGCTTTCCAAAATTAATAAAGGCTTTTATAGAGCCATAAAAAGCCATAATTCAATCATTTTAAAAAGGGCAGCGAACACAACACTTATTAAAGGATGGGTGCCGCTGAGGAGTATTCAGGGAGGCCAAGAATGCTCACTCAGCAGCAATGGCCCCAACACACGCCCACCCGCTCCTCTTGACAGGCAGATAACCTGACTCAAGCATTTAATAAGCAATATTTACTGATGATTCTTCCCTGACTGGCTTAGTCATGGGAGAGTACTAATAAAGAGGATGATTGAAACAAGGGAGGATTTTTTTTTTTCTCTGAACAGTCAGCCATTGTGCTTGGAGTGGAAGAATCATTTATTTCTGAACAGAAGTTATGTCTTTTCTTTTGTCTAGTCAAGCATATTGGGGGTGAATTTTTGCAGGCCTCCCTACCTGTGCTATATTCTTCTTTAAGTAACTTAAACAGGACAATTATAGAACTTGCTTTCTCTAGAATCTGGTTGCTTACTTGCAAAAGCAGAGGACAGCACCAGGTGTTAGCTTCTAGATGAAATATTCCTTTCAAGACGCCATGTTTCCATAGTCACTGCCCGCAGTGGCTCAGCATGCCCAGCCTGGTTATTGAGATAGCTCCTCTATGACTGCAAGTTCCCCAAGATAAGACTAAGCCAGCCACACTGTGCTGAGAACTCAAGACCAAGTTTGCACAGTTTGTATACAGCACAAAGATGGTCACCAGAGAGAAAATGGGAGCTGACAATGGACTGCTTAAGTTCAGAGAAAACAGCATCTTTTAGCAGCTCTTTAACTTGGAGGAAAAGGGATTTTCTTCTTATAAATCACACAATGGTACAATTAATGCTGGCCATGGCCATGGTCTGGTCAATCACCTACTCTTATTCCCTAGGCCTCAGTGTTCTCACGTGTTCAGTAATTTCTCTGCCCAGCCCATGGTGTCAAGGCTGCCTTTTGGAAGGGGCAGGGAGCAGGGGTAGGAAGAGGGCAGGTTAGAACATTGTCCTTTTATCAAAGGGAATGAAGTCTCAAACCCCAAGGATCTCAGCAGGTTTGCTCCAAGCATGTCTGACTTTACAATTTACTGGGACACATGTCCCAGGGCTGCCACAACATAAGAATTTTTAGCAAACAAAACATAAATAAATAACTAGATGTGCAGCCAAGATGGGCTCTCAGTGACTTGTCTGACCCACATAGCTCACTGTGTAGTTTGCTCTCCTAGCTATCTCCTCAAAGCATGAGGGAGTATGTCTTTGGGCACCACAGGTACTAAGTGATCTGTCCATTTGCCTAACATCAAATGACAAAGTGCTGGTCCTCATATATCACAGCCTTTCTGGCAAGGATTAGGTCATGCTGGGCCGAAGTATTGCTAATGAGATCATGCATAATCAATAAGGGTCAGCTGACATCCTGTCAACTCTTTCACTGTCACTATGGGGCTGAGGTACAACAGTGAGGAGGGGAGGCCTGTTAGCTATTCGGAATCTAAGCCAATGAACAACACCCCATGGAGCTGCTCCTCCTCAAGCAGACCCAGCTCTTATTAGCAGAGAAGATAGGTTGATGTATTCATTCAAGGATTCATCCCTTCCTTTGCCCATTCCAGAGACAGTTATTGATGTGTCAGGTCTTATTGGTACTGCTCTTACAAGAGGAGACCACACAGAAAAAGTTGCATGTGTTTGGAGTTCTTCCTGGAGCATCCACGTTCTAATGGAGGTGATGAAAAAAAGAGCAAGAAGGAGCAAAGAAGAAAGAAGAAAGGGAAGAACTTTTGGGTCTTTCTGCTTTATATTGTCCTATGTTAAGATTCTACCTATTGTCTCTCTGTAGGTAGAGTCTTAACATAGGACAGTATAAAGCAGAAAGACCCAAAAGTTCCCTATGAGAGGTGAGAAAAGACCATGGCTATTTCCCTTTTCAACCAGCCACATGCTCTGTTTAGGGCTGTCAATTGTCCTAATCAAAATTTTTGTGAATCTCAAAAGAGAGATAAAGTTCAGTTTGCTCAGATTTAATGGTTAAGTTTACTTGTCATTGGATCCCATGTTGCATGTAATTGACAATTACACCATTCTTAATATAAAATTTAAATCTAACTTTCATCAACTTATAGCCATGCATTCTTATCAAACACATACAATTCTCAGACTTTTTTATTGGGTCACAGAGTTATTATATTTATGGATATATATATTATGCATGCATATGGGTGTATATTATGCATGTATATGCATATATATAATATATTTTTTAATGGAAGTGTTCTCATTCAGTCATTTGGGGTACAAAATAAAGTCACATCTCTTAGTAAGTTTTACATAATAACATCAAACTCCTATTTGTCTATTAGAAAAATGCCTATTTTCCTTCCCAAATCGGCTTCATTTGCATTCTTATATCCAGGAGACTTACTCTATGCAAATTGCAAGGATCTCACGGAAAGAATTCCATTGTGAGAGAGGAAAGACCAATTACATTTCTTTTCCAGGCTTAGTGCCTGACTCTTGTAGGCTTGAACTCTTACAACTATTATAGCTCACTCAGACTGTTGTCAGGATTGAGTTGCGTATAACTATAGACTGAGGTCCCTGTTTTCTTGCTGACTGTTGGCTGGAGGTCACTCTCAGCTCCTAGAGGCCTCCCTCAGATTCTTCTTCCTGGCTCTCTTACAGCATAGCAGCTACTTTATCAAAGTCAGCAGGAGAATTTCTGCCTTTTCGGCTATAACAGAGTCTTACGTCAGGTAGCATAGTCATGCGGGTGATAATCCCATCATTTTGTAATGAAAACGAACCTAATCAAATAAGTGACCATCCCATTATATTCACAGGTCCCACTCACACTCGAAGGCAGGGACTTAGGCAAGGTATGTGCAACAGGGGTTTGGAAATTGGAGGGGGGGCATCTAAGAATACTTTCTATGGCAAATACACATGGAATATTTTGCATATATCATAAGGTTACAAAACAGTAAATTCTCACAAGCTTAATGCACTCACTTACCTACTTCAAGGTACAAAATCAGAATATTAGCAGCACCCTAGAAGATCATCTCTTGTTTCCATCTACTCACTACTACCGCCACCCCCAACGATAATAACTGCCATCCTGACTTCTGATGACATAACTCAGTTTTGCTTTTTTTTGGTTTGTTACATACATCAGTATATATATAAATGAAATTATACAATATAGACTCATATTCCTAGAATCCTTTACTCAAAATATGTTCATTTTTTAGTGCTCCATTGTGTGGATATTTTCACTCTGCTGCTGATGGGCGTTTGAATATACAGCTGGAAGGTGTTACAAGTACTGTTGTTGTGAATATCCTAGGACATTTCTGTCTGTGAATCTATAAGTGTACAGCATCTAAGTTGGACTTTCCTGGATTCAACCTCCATTTTCCCGTTGTAATTTGAGGTCAGTTACTTAACCTCTTGGTTTCCTTTCCTAATATATAAAAACAAACAAACAAACAAACAAACAAAAACAAAAAACAGGAATAACACCTTATCATAATGTTGTCAGTGTATGAATGGCGAGGTGGGCCTAATCAACTCAGTGAATGTGCATTTTTCTAGGCATTAGGGATATAGCATTCAGCAAAATGGACACAGTTAATGCCATTGTGGAGGTCTATTCTAGTTGCACAATTAGGTGGGAGAAGTTAGAAAGAGAAAAAGCAAAATGTATGTAAGCAATGTATATAAAATATTAGGTAAGTGGATCTGGAGTGATGGGTGATATTAATTTAGGTTATCAGAGATGCTCTCACTCAGGAGTGGGGTGTTAGAGCAATACTAAAGGAAGGAAGACATCTTGTAGATAGATATCTGAAGGAAGAGTGTTCTTGGCAGAGAGCCTGAGACATGCATATGTTTAGTGTGTTTGAAGGGTCGAAAGAAGGCCAGGGTAGGATACAGAAGATCAGAAAGATAAGGATTGCAAAATGGTGAAAGTGGAGATTAAGTAAGGTCTTGTGGGTCACTAGAAGAGTCTTCCTCTGAAGATGAGAAACTACTGGATAATTTGTTCAAAGAGAACTGTGTTTTCACAACATCAACAGAAGCTGTGATTCAGAATACACTACATGAGGCATGATAAATGAAGAAAACATGAATAATAAGGGTAAAGAAGGTGTAAAGGGGTAGGAACATGTATATTTTACTGTGTGTGAATGTGTTGTGTGTGTACATGTGTGAGAGAGCTGATCCTATGAACATGAACCATAATAATTAATCTTGAGAAAGCTTTTCAGAGGAGGTAGGGCTTTGAGTGTGTATTTTGAATTACAGTTTCAATAGATGGATGGATAGGGCAGGATAACGGATTTCCTGGTAAACCTGAAGACTTAATGCCATTTCCTTTCTTTCCCATTTTAACTAGAATACACTATGGTCAAGTGATTTATTCCTCCCATGACTCCATGCTGTGATTCCTCCAGAAGTGGCTAAATTTTCACCAAACTAGAAAAGATTTAGTTATCATAATCTACCAGTGAAACCCACAGGAAACATCACCATCTTCATCATTATCTTTTTTCTCAATGGATAATTTTCAATTACGTAAAAACACCAGGAAATGTGGTAGATGGGGGAATTCTTTGGATTTTTTAAGGATATATTTTCACTCCATTTATTTCAGCAAGGGCTACCTATTCTTCTTGTAAGACCAGTCCACTCCGTTGACACATTGTTTTAAATTTTCAAATACTTAAGATTGCACCTACTTATTTTTGCATTTCACTATTCCCTATCTTTGCATGTCTGGCTCTGAATCCTAGGATTCTATTAGAATGACTATAGTTAGCATGCATTCCTCACATCTTCCAATTAAATGCAATATTTCCTGGTTTTTCATAGTAGTAGGTTTTCATGACTACTGTTGATAATGTTCTTGCTTCAATTTATGGCATATTTTACACTCTTAAAACTAGACTTTTAAAAAGTGCATTAACTTTTTGAGATGCTATTTCCCCACATATACCCTGAGGAGCATTTCTTATCTGAATATATAATGATCAGTCGACCCTAGACGTTTGCTGATTTCTTTCCTACATGTCATACTTGGCTCCAGCCCCAGACAAGGTCCAGAATAACTTCTGCCTGCCTTGGTTGCTAAGAGCAAAATGTAAAGAGAGCTATTCTCTCACAACATGTGTGTACTGTGCCTCAGTAATTCCAGATTTGGTGTCCTGTCCTTATAAAGAGATTTACATTTTTTTAAAATTAATGCTCTCTCCTTTGATTAGTCCATCATAGCTGGGGAAAAATTAAAAAGCTTTTCATCTCATCTATATCTTGGGCCCATAGACGTATGCCAGTGGTCTGAGATGACTTATCATTTCCGCATCTGTCATGTATTTTAATCTAGGACATCTTTCTGGAGGGGGTAAAACTGCATACATTTGCTTCTTCAGACATCATGCCCTTTCTCATCCATTTGATTTAATAAATCAGTGTTCATGTGTGGACTGTAGATCTTCCATGTAATTTCACAGCCTGTCAGTCACTTGTCATAAACAAACTGGTCATCAACCCCAAAAGGCCTGGACACCAAGTGGTCTCTCTGACAGTGTCTGGGTTTCCTTCATGGCCTTTACTCCACAGAAATCTTAAAACATCCACACTGACCCGACCAGGGCTGTCCTATCACCTCAGGTAGATACTACTTCTCTAAAGCATGCTAATCATGAATGTAGTTCAATAC
Source organism: Homo sapiens (assembly GCF_000001405.40). Classification (NCBI taxonomy): domain Eukaryota; kingdom Metazoa; phylum Chordata; class Mammalia; order Primates; family Hominidae; genus Homo; species Homo sapiens. The sequence continues at coordinate 38,895,133 of NC_000018.10, read as the reverse complement.
AATGAGGAAGAGTGAATTGATACACATACATACATACACACACACACATACATACACACATACATAAAATAAGGTATTTCTTTCCACAGTCAGAGGCAAAACCTGAGTAGCAAGTAGGCCCCAGTCAATGTGTGGATGGCAATTAAACCACTTCTTAAAAAGCATAATAATAATTTTGTACAATTAATATACAGTGAATTAAAAAAGTTAATAACAGTTTCACTTTTTAGATTTAGTGATATTACCAGGGTAAGTAATTAGATTTTTAAGTCAGTTGGCCAAGATTTGATGAGATTTATATTGTTCTAGAATGGTTATGTTGCACCTACAGTAGAATTCAATTTGTAAAACCACATATTGAGAAAGACATGGAAAATCTAGACTGAATCTTCAGAAGAAAGACTCTGAAAGCTGCACTACAAGAAGAATGATTGGGAGATGGAAGTGATTAGATCCAGGAAGAAAAATCCTTGGAAGGTTCTTCAAAATCTCTAGTGCTGTTATTTGGAGAAGGGTCGATGTCGATTTTACCTTACTCCAAAAAAAGAATTCACTCATTCATTTTTATGAGATTTGTGATCATCTAGGGCAGTAATCTAGGGACTTGGATTAAATGAGACAAGACTAGCGAGAGAAGATTGACTTGGGATAGATGATGTAAAGCCTTCTAAGTCAATGTAGGCACTTTTAACTTGAATGACATGAGGTGCCACTGCAGGGTTTTGAGCAGAGGAGTAACGTAATCTGGGATACTTCCTTTGGCTCATTCTTGATGTTAGGTTGAGAAAGACTGTGCAGAGACAAAGTCAGCAACGGGAAGAATAGGTAGGGAGCTTTGGCAGTAAATCAGAAGGTTGGTAGTAACTTGCACCATGTAGTCACAGTGACCATAATGATGTGGTATGTAACACCAAGAAGAGTAAGAATGACTATGCATAGTTAAGGTCTTCAGGTCAGAGGTTTTAGAACAAGAAAACAAGTTTGGAAGAAAACTCAGAGATTTCTTCTTACACTATTACTAAACAACATTTTGGAAAAATCAGAATGCTATGCCGTGTTCTGTTGTAAATATATGAGTAACAGTAAAATATGGGCACTTTTCTCAAGGAGATAATTTATTTTTGGAAAGAAAAAGATACAAATAATTTTAATGTGATGTGATGCTGGAATGAAAAAAGGTGCCACATAGATCCAAATGAGCAAATACTACTATTTATTTACTGTAGAAACTTGGATATATTTTTTTCAGAGCATCGTTTTCTCACTTGTAAAATGGAGATAAGATTTTGTATTTTATATGCCTGCTATGAGAACTAATGATTCAATGGTTATGCAATATCTACCACTTTCTCTCTGCTGTGATGTCTGAGAACTACCTTTGTTTCCCTCTCTTCCCTGCCCTTTTCACCTCTCATATCCAGCCAGAGCAGGCCCATCAGCCTCCATGCCTCACCCACCCATTTCTACCATCTGTATCTTGGGCTGTGCAACCCCCCTACAGATAGGCTCTCTTTCTACCTCCTTGTTCCATGTGAAACCTGGATAACATCTGATAGTACAACTGCTTTGGAACAATTTTATAATGGACACTGCTTCTTGTCTCAGTCCCCCAAACAGAGGTATTTCAATAAGCCTATTATTTACTCTGAAGTGAGGCTGAGAAATGACAAAATTATCATTATTCCTTAAGAACGTACTTTGGGTGTTCTCTCATCCTTAATGTTCTTTGCTGCTGGTCAGTAATACCCAGAAGACACTTGAGCACATGATGCTTTGTCCCTAGGCAGAGTGGCCCCAGATGTCCTCAACTATAGCTCCCTTGCTTTTGTACCAGGGGATTTTTGTGCTCAGCAGGTGGTCACTACGAATTTATTGAATAAACAGGTCTTAACGTTATTTACCTACAGACTTTAAGTTCATCCTTCACTATCTCAGAATTTGTATCAGGATCTCTTCTAGACACTTCCGCTAAATTATTTGATTTCAATGGCTTTAAAGGGTATCTTTTCAAATCTATTTCTACTTCACATGTCTTAAAGTGAAATTGCTGCAACTTAAACATCCTGAATTTAAAATTCCCTGAAGGTATGTAACATTTGTCCTCAAGTTTAAGGAAAAATAAAGCAAAATGAAACTAAAATGAGTGTTTCTCATCACCTCATGCATCTTGATTACGAGACCTACTCATTATATGTTAGATTCAAATGTATGGCAGTTTCACTCTGGGATTCCACCAAAAGGAATCTGTAGGGAACAACTGTACAGAACACAGAACTGACAATGCCCTGTTTTTAATCTTTTTTTTTTTTTTTTAGGAATGAGTTACTCCTGGCTATGAGAAAAATGATCTCCATGGACTGTCAGAACTCACGAAACAGAAAAAGGAGCCGGGAGCAGTAGCTCACACCTGTAATCTCAGCACTTTGGGAGGCTGGGGCGGGCAGATCCCTTGAGGTCAGGAGTTTGAGCCTGGCCAACATGGCAAAACCTTGTCTCTATCAAAAAAATACAAAAATTAGCCAGGCGTGGTGGTGGGCACTTATAGCCCCAGCTGTTTGGGAGGCTGAGGCAGGAGAATCACTTGAACCCAGGAGGCAGAGGTTGCAGTGAGCTGAGATGGCACCACTGCACTCTGGCCTGGGTGACAGAGTGAGACCCTGTCTCTAAAAATTCAAACAAACAAAAAAACCAAAAGGATACCATAAACAAGAATGATTTTCAATGCCAAGACTAAAATTTTCTGATGCCATCACCCTTCGCAGTGAAGCCTTCCTTAACTGTTCTCTTAAAACTCCAGCATTTCATTGCCCTCTCTCTAAACTTCAATATTCTTGGTACCACTTTATTAATAGTTGTGATTCATTCACTCTAACAGTAGGATCTGAGTACAACTGGAGACAATGTCTACTATCAAACTTCCAAGTTCTCATCTGCTGCAAACACATTCTGCATCTTTTTTAAATCCTGAGTTTCCCCTTAGCCTTTCAGCCCATTTCCACTTTCCCATACCCTAACAGCAAGTTCTCTTTTTGAGTAAGTTAGCTAGAGTTTTATTTTTATATATATTTTTCTCTGTTTGATTGCAACTGAAGAACCCTCACTGATACAGAGCAATAAGTATGGCTTTTTAATTACGACCTCCACAGGCCTTGGGCCTAGGGGGCATTGTGTAAATGTTTATTTAATGAGTGAATGAATAAAAGTGATTTTAGTATAGCAGGAAAGATGAGACAACACAAATGAGCATTCAGACTGAGCTGAAAATGGACCTGCTTTGTCCTTGTTTCCTTTGAAAACACTTTCTCTCCTCTCTTTCAGTTTTTTCCTGCCCTGGTTTCTGGTTTTCAGTTGTAATTTGCTTTAAAGATAATACTGCCGAGTTTCTTTGAACTGAAACTATCCAGCAATTTATGGCCAAATTTAAGTTTGGCATAACAGGCTTAATGTTCAGCTTTCCATCTGTATTCTGTGCTTGGCAAAAACCCAAGGAAACTTGGGATTTTATGCTCCTGAATTTTATAAACCAGTAAACACAAAGGTATTGGAATTGTATATCTTAGCATGAAACATTTTATCTTGTGCATAAGAAATATCAAATTGGACTGTAGTGTAGGCAGCTCAGGGATTTGTGCTACTTCCTCCCTTTAGAAATGTTCTTATTTAAGAACCAATGTCTGTAGGAAGTGATGATAAAACAAAAACAACCGTTTACTTCGTTCAGTGTTCCCAGCTTCTCAAGCTATTTTCACATGGATTCTATCATGTTGTCTTTCTATTGGCCCTAAAATAGTTGGAATTTGTGTTATTATCCCATTTTATAGAGAAGTATGACAGAGCCCTGAAGAACTGAAGTGATCCCAGATGTCCATAGCTGGTTAATACAAAGCCATGACCAGAATTTAGATTTTCTTTGTTCTAACCACCAAATGTAAAGTTAATTTATTTTTTGATTAATTCATACACTTTACCAACAGAGTTTTATTTTGTTGTCTACTTTTTCACTTACTATGTGCCAGATATGGTATAGCTCTGGGGACATTGCTGCGAACAAAATAGGTGGAATCCCTGCTCTTAGTCTTAATGTGGAGGCAGCTGGGCATGGGACTGAATAATTTCTAACACCTGAGAACTTCGTTTAATCTATTGAAAATCTCAACCAAGTCTATCCTGAATATGGATAACATTGGCCTTAATGGTATAACTGATCTGACCATGATAATGAAAAAGTTGCCGGAGGTCAATCCCTCATTTTGTGCATTAAAAAATCATAATTAAATATCTTCATTCTCTGAGCACATGCTCTCTAACACATATGCTTCTGAAAACATGTTTGTTCCATGAGGCTTTATTTCTGTGACATTGTCAATAATATCACTGTTCTCCATCGCCACTCCTGTCAAGTTCAAGTTTATATCAGGGCATATGATCTTTCTGTAGTCTGAGAGTCAGCCTTACCCTTGCTTCGCTTCTGAGACTTGATTATAAGAGCCCAATGTGGGGTTAAGAGGCAACCTCAAGTAGAGAAATATTGAATCGGTAGCAAGATATAATAAATATGCAAATCTCTTTTTTTAGAAGCTTTATTCCTGGCCATCTAATAATATCTCCATATTTCTTCATGTTATTATTCTCTCTGCTGCAAGGGGGAGGAGGTTGCTTCTGCAGCAGTGCTGTTCTGCCTTCCCACCTGTTTACATTTACTATATGGCTGCCTAGGGAACCCTGCAGAAAATAATGCTTGTGTGAGCCATTTAGTTGACTACATGTCAAAAAGTAATTTGAATCAAAGAGTCACTAACTTAATTGATGGTGATGGCTCCATCCAAAAACAACCAAAGAAACTGATGTTGTGCAAATTTCACATATATTACTCTTGAATTTGTGAGCATATTCTTGTTTGCCTTGACAGGATTCAAATTATCTTTCGGACAGCTCGACACATTACTTAAGATGTGCCTGTATGTGAATTTTAGCTGCTAAAGGGGGCAATAAGAACCTTCCTGTGAAATTAATTCTCATGACTTCAACTTCATCTTGCCATTTCTTTTACTCATTCCCTGCACATGCCCCCTTCTATTCCATTACAATTTGTATTTTAACCTCTAAGTCACTCTAGTCATCACGGAATATAGACCTATTGTCTTTGCAGATTCTATAGAGACCTGAGGTCTTAAGAAGCAAAGGATGATGCATTATAGTCAATAGAACAATTTTCAATTCTTCAGATAAATATCCTTCAATGCCACTGGGCCCTATTTTTGAAGCATCATTGAGTCCTGCTTCCGGGATGGAGATCTTGAGCATGCAAAATAAGCTAATTTCCCAATCAGTCTACACATCTCTGAGAACCAGAAGTTAGATCCTTGCCTAAGGAGGCCAGTCCTGCAGCCACTCCCCCAGAATATAAGGCAGAGGAGTGGGTAAGAGTAAGGAATACACTCAGATTACAGCGCTTGTAATTGTCTACATGAGGATGTAAGACTCTTAAGAGTCTCTCTCATCAGTGGTGCTGTCCCAGGCATTTTCAATGAGTGCCAACTCCAGCAGACAGTAAAAGGAAGAGAGTACTGGCTGAATAGGGAAGAAAGCTTCCAGGTATTCTCTGGTCATAGAGGAGCTTTCAGACATGGCCCACTGACTCTTTATCGTAAGACAAGGTGGTAGTTAGAGAAGATTAGTTGTTGTCCAGTATTAGAGGGTGGAGTTATTGAAAGGTCAGTAGGAAGGGAAGTTGGATGGCATCCTCTTTGTTTGGCCTATCTGTCTGCTCCTGGCAATCACCCCATGGAGCTCCAGATATCTATGAAACATAGCTTGAACAACAAAAGACTACATGGTATTCAGGGGTCTTAGTAAATCTTGCATTCCAAAAATATACTTGTAGCCAGTGTAATATGTACAGTAGCAAAAGTCAGTTTCATAAAACTTAATCTTTATTTCTTTAAAACTGAAATTAGCTTTGCTCTGGAGCCTTATCCATGCAGATGGTGGAAATTTTTATTTGCTGGCTCAAGTTAACTTTACTTCTACATTTTCTTTCTGCCAGGAGATAATCTAAATTGCCAGGGAGTAGGTGAGATGTTTTAAAAGTGAGGCATCCACCTTTGATCACTGCTCTGCTGGTTGGTTACTGCAGCTGACTCCCATGCACATAAATAGTCTTTCATCTTTGGTAATACCTGATAATCACTTGTAGGTCAAGCTTGGGCAGTTGACTTACCCACATAACTTGTCCCTTGTTGCTCATATTCTGAAGCCTGGCTTCCTCCCTCAGCCTCTTCTAAGAAGTTACCCCATCACACACCATACCAGACACTTAGTTCTTTGCTCCCTCTAGCTCTCATGATGACTCACAGAGACTTCCCAGGTATTCCTCATGCTCTATGATGCCAAAGGGAACTCAGCTTTGGAAACCAGAGCCCCTCTCCTCTCCTCTCCTTTCCTCTCTCTCTCTCCCTCCAGATCTGCCTGCTGCTTCTCCAGTCTGTCTTAGCCTTCTCACTTTTAATATAAGACTCTTCCAGACTCTCCAAGACAGTCTCAGAAAGAAGGAGAGAGTTCATTGCTATGAGTGCTCATTGACCCTGTGGTCCAGTAAGCTCTTACTCTCCCCTCCTAGTTCACTCTTGGCCTCACTGACTTTACTCCATCCCAAGAAGAAGTCTTAACTCTCTTCTACTCTTCTGCTTCCCACAACCCTATCATTCTGGGATTTTGGAGCATAAACCCTAAGATATACTCAAGCTTTACTGTGTAAACATTTAATGTAACATACTGTAGCTCAAAATTTTAGTTCTTGAATAAGTAATTTTGCCTCCAAACTAATTTTCTACCACAGACTTTGTAGCATAGAATTCAAACTCAATTTTAAATCTTAAAGCTGGACAATAATATTTGATAACCCAAATCACAAACATTGTTTAGTCTTTGCCCATAAACATGCAGCATGGCTTTCATAGTTGAGAACAGGAAATTGACTGTTTATTTCTGATCTATTTGTCTCAATTCCAGAGCTACTTCTTTCCTGGTGAGGACTCCACCATATATCAGGGTTTCAGAGATGCGGATAGTGAGTTTGACTGGCTTCACCCACCCTACACTTCACATCAATTCTATGATCTCCTGCATTATCACCCCTTCAATAATTGCCCTTACTACAGGCTTGGGTCTCTCCATCTTAGCCTGTGATTTGCTTAGGCCACCTGTCTACGATAGATACTGCCATTGTTTATTATGATAATATGAACAGCCTTCTAGACCTCCCACAAGTCTGCCCCACTTCAACTCTCAGCAGGACTCCCTATCTTCTACACTGTATCCAGAATGGATCTCTGCGAAGCTCTCTGACTACATGCACCTTATTCATGTAGAATTGAGTCATGATAAAATTCTTTTATTGAAAAAGAAAAAGGAACTTCAACATTTCAGCATTCTTTGATTCCTTTGGTCATTTAAACAAGGGCTTATCAAGTTTTAATGGGCGTATGAACTATGTGGGATCTTGTTAAAATGCAGATTTCTACTCGGTAAGTCTGGGGTGGGGCCAAAGATTCAAACAAGTTCCCAAATAATATCAATTATACTCTGTGGACCAAAGGCTCTATAAACTACACATTATTTATTTCAATTTTCTTTGAATATGCCTCACTTATTATTCTATTATCATTTTCTACCAAGTCCCTCTAATTACCCAGCTATTATACTTTTGAGGTAATCCAAAATAAATGGTATTTTTCTTTTATATAAGAATTGCTTAGACATGCATATTTTAATAAAGTTTCCATTTGTTCCTATCCAATTGTGCCTACATTGTGATTATAAATAATTGTCCATTGAATTGGGTAATACAACACACTTCATACAATGTGTTAAAGAAAATGTTTTAAAGCCCTTTCTTCAGCAAAGCCATTTTCTTATGCATATAGTGACATTTAAATGTATGAAAGCAGTCCGAGGAAAAAAGCACCTTTATTCTAGGTGAAAAGTCACATCAGTGTGAGCATTTGAGTCAACTCTGCGTCATTTACTTTTGTCCCATACACAGGCTGCACTTGTTTGCACCAGTCAGTCCAACCCTGACTGTTCTCTGGTCTAAGATAAGAAAGTCAGAGGCCCTGTCAGCCTCATCTCCACAAGGGGCTGGGATGGCTGCTGCTGCTTGCTGACTCCCCATCTGCCTGTTCTGACCTTAGGTGTGTGTGACCTCCTCAGTCACTGCCTCTGTACTTGGATCTTCCTGTCTTTCTGCCCCACTCTCTGGAAACTGCATTCCTATACTATCTGCCCACTCCCTTTCAGCCCCTCACCCTGTCCTGTACCTATTCAGAGTAGAAGTGGGTAGGTTAGGGTTGGGGAGAGATGATTGAGAAGCAAAGGTGCTTAAAGAGAAATGACCAAATATACAGTAAGTGCCAAGTTCTACGCGTTGTGTGACTCTACAGGAAGCTGCCTCACCACTACGCCAAACAAACTGAGAGTCTTTGCCTGTGAAAATTCATTTTTCATTTCAAAGGAAATTATGATGGAAAAATGAAACCCATTGTGCCTTTTCTCTTTCAAGTGACATCTCCCAAGCATGATTTGCTGTTTTGCTGGCAGTGAAAAATGCCAAGCACAGATCTAGTCTGTGCACTCTCAAGGCGTAAGACCTTTTACTGGGCTGGAACAACACCACCACAAAGCAAAACCCATCTTTTCTGCCACTGTCAGCAGGCAAGGGCTGCAAAACAGGAAAGGTTTGCATAAGAAAGCGCCCAAATGTTAATCCATTTTTATAACCATGCTTGACCCCAAACTTCTTATGAGCTTCTGAAATATTGAGATAACTCTTTGCTTGCTTGCTTGCTTGCTCTACCTTCCTTTACAAAATGAAGGTAGCCTAGAAAAAGAGAATTAGCTGGTGTCACAATGAAAGCGACACTCTGTTTAGGGCAGGAAAGTAGTGGTGCAGGACGGAAGGGCCAGGGGTCTGGACACAGAAGTTCTGGTCACACTGTTACATAAACTTGGGGGAAGTCTTAGGGGTCGCTGGCTCATTACTTGTGAAATTAAGGTAACTCAAAAGCTCCTTCCAGTATGGAAATCCTTTCTTTCTAGCAATGAGGTCTGAAATTTAACTGACAAAGACCACAACAATAGCATATATTATTCTGAGCATGTATCTATTCTGAGAAATAGATATTTCTCAGAAATGTGTCTCTAATTATGATCAAATCAAACACGAATGCTTGTTTAGCATTGCTTACCTGGAAATGAGGAAAATTTTTATTTCTTGGTTTCCTGAAGGTCTTGCTAAACTGCTGCCTTAGTAGAAAGGATTCATGTATAATACAGCCCCAAATTCATAGAGTTTTAAAATGAGGGATTACAAATTACAAAACTTAAAATCACTTTTTATTTCATCACTGCAATGTACAGAAAGACTATAAATTCTTGAAGGAAAAAAAGATCAAAAGACACAGATTTCTTAATACATCCTTAATATGTTAGTAGGCAGTTTTTGTTTTTTAACTGGCAGTAATTCTAAGCTGAGGCTAATGGACTCTTGGGGTGGCGGTGGCATGGGGAATATCAGAAGTACTCCTGTTAGGTGCAGAGAGATAGAATCTTTTAAAATACATCTCTGTGAAAGCTCTGAAATATATACCCTGCACCCCAGGGTGATGATACTGAGAATTATAAGCAACATTTCCTAGGAGAGTCATTTAAGCATGCATGAGGAGTGGAAGCAGAAAAAAGTATAAGAGGGGGAAGACTTCAGTGTACATTTATTAAAAAGCAAGATAGATCCATCTGACTCATGCACAACTGTTCTCAGAGGTTGCAAATAAGAGAAAGAACAATAGAGAGCATTGTCAAAGATATTCATTTTTCAAATTGTCTTTGTCAGGGTTCCACATAATATTCTTTTTAATATCACTGATTACATTGGGTCATATGCAAGGATGTCGTCAAGCCATGAAGTGAGTCCAACTCTAATCTCATTTAACTGGGGGCTTAGAGAGGTTGGAGAACCCTCGATGGTCCTGAGTTGGCAAGCAGTGGAACAAGTCCTCTGCCTCTGGTGGCCTGGAGAAGGCTGTATGTTTTGACACCACTGAGGCCCACAGAGCTGCTTTAGTCTGTAAATGGGCAGGTTTATGCACATTGGATTAAAACTCTGGTGTGTTTGCTCCTATAATATGTGAAGCGCCCTTTGGGTAGAATGAAATAGAGACAGAGAGGAAATAACATAGAGAAAAGGTAGAAAGCAAAAAGTGGGAAAAGAGCAGAATCTAAAATTAAAATCTAAACTATCAGGAAAGGAACAGAAGCTTAAGCACCAGCTTGCTCAACAAATCTCACATATTAAGTCCCTGAGGAACCTGTTGAAATGTGAAAGAAGTCGTTTTTGTTAAATCAGGGGAAGATCTATGTTAAAAATTCAGTGGCCACTAAACTCCTACTTTTGGGAGGGAGAGGCAAAGGAAAGTACATTTAATTTCTAGAAAGATTTACACAAATTTAGTCACGTTGGCCACTCTTTGGGTTGATAATGGAAGATGTATCTTTGAAGGTTCTGTCTTTAATCAGTTCACATTGATATCTGGGAGGACAAAGTCACAAAAGCTGATTGCATCACTTTATAAACAACTTCTGGGCTAGACTGAACATGGGGATGAATCTGGAAGGCTTTGTCTTGTGTTGTTAAATTTTCTATCAAAGTTGACAAGTCCCTCTTATGTTGCTGAAATAAATCCATAAAACATGTAAAACCGACCAGCTAGAAAACATATTTCCCTGGGAAATGCAATCTTGGGGACATCCCCAAGCCCTTGTAGGTTAAAAATAATGTTCAAGTCTTCTAACCCCAGTCCCTCAGGACCCTGGGAATCACATCCGACACTAGAGGTCCCTCTCAAGCAGAAATGAGTTTTGCAGAGTGTTGTTTTGCTGGAGATGAGTCAAGATCACTTGGGCACCTTATGATTCTGGGTCAGGGGACAGAAAGGGGAGGTTTTATATTTTCTTAGAAGGAAGACCAGTATAAAGCCATTCTTTTTAAGATCCAACTGTGCTCAGGGTACAGTGTTCAATCCTGGACACAATATTTTGAAAGATAAGCTGAGGGATTAAGGGCCCTTCAAAATTGAGTAGTAGAAACTGTGAAAGGACGAGGAACTTCTTTAACCCAAGGATAGGGAGAAGTGGAAGCAAAGTAGTTAAAACCAATATAAGCTGAATTCTGCCACGCACCCTCTCTGCAACCTTCCTAGGCATATGCCTGAACCTTATTTAGGTCATTTTTTAAAACTTCTGTGTGGTAAACATTGTGGAACATCCTGATATTTAAAGCTCTGACCTAGCTGTTCCCTTTAGAAACTGGCTATTTTGGGATTAGGAAGGGACAAACATGCAAGTTAATTCCATTTACAACATACAAAGCAAAGAACATCTATAAAATAAATAATTGGGGCCTGGTAGTGTCTAAGGTTTCATCTGATGGTAAAAGCTATCAACAAAATATTGATAGTTTTCCCAAACAAACAACCTTGATAAGAACTAGGGGGAGGAGGAATACAATCTGTGACTTATACTTAAATTTAACTAGATGGGAGTAAACTGTAAAATAATTCATAAACTCTTCTGCCAACATCATAATATATTAGCTTAGGCACTGTGATGCCTGTGATGATTTTCTGAGTTTTCACGATTCCCCATCTGTGCCAGACTATACTGGAAATTTATCGGAATATGACCTATGTCAAGCATGGAGTCAGTTGTGAGATGTCAATGCGTATTCAACATATCCAAACTCCATGCCAGACTTCTGGCAAAGTGACTCTCAGGCTGTTTCCTTCCAGATGTCTCAGAATATAGCTATGCTTGTTTATGCAAATTAAAGATGCCTCCTCCTTTGGCAAAGACATCTTTTAACCCATTTATTCTATTTGTGTGTACAAGAAACATGTATATTTCTTTTTCGATGAGACCAGGCATTCTTTTTTTTCAAAATAAAATGTAAAAAATACAAGATGAATATGTGTTGTAAATAGATTGCTCTTTTATAATTTGCTTTACATTGATAGAATGGTATATATTTAAGGTTTACAATTTGGTGTTTAGTTCTGTTTATACATTGTGAAGTGATCACCACAATCTAATTAACATATCTATCATCACACATAATTACCATGTGTGTGTATGTGTGTGGGTGGATGGGGCAGAACTTCCCTCTTAGCAAATTTCAAGTATACAATATAGTATTTTAAAATATTGTCCCTATGCTATATACTACAACTGCAGAACTTATTCATCTTCCATAACTGAAACTATGTACCCTGTGATGAACATCTCCCCATTTCCCTCCACCACTTAGCCCCTGGCAACCATCATTTTACTCTCTGCTTCTGTGAGTTTGACTATTTTAGATTCTTTTTATAAGCAAAATCATCCAACATTTGTCTTTCTGCACCCAGGTTATTTCACTTAGAATAATGTCCTCCAGGTTCATCCATGTTGTTGCAAAAGACAGGATTTCCTTTTTTAAACTTGAATAATATTCCATCATATGTTTATGCCACATTTAAAAATCCATCCATCTGTTGATGTGCTGACTTTGGCAGCATATATCATTCTTTTATAAGTTATCAATTGACTGATGTTGAATATAGAGAAATCTCATAATTCTAAATGATAATTTGAAAGCCAGGACATGATTTAGCAATTAATTGGGCCTCTGTGCAACATATACTAGGAACTGGCAAATAGATGTTATAGTTGTTCTGATGATGCTATTGCTTGGGTCCAAGAAGTGCCTATATCCTATTACATCAATCACAATTTCTTCTGTTGATTTCCTGAGGCAGCAGCTAAATATGTGAAAGTCAGTAGAAGAAAGAGAACCAAAATACCATCCCAAGTACTTGTATTTTAGGAAGAAGCCTAATTTGGAATGCAAGGTTTAAAATTTAAAACTAAGTTTTGGATCTTTCCCTTCTCCCTCCCTCCATCCCTCCCTCCTTCCCTCCCTTCCTTCTTTCTTTCCTTTTTAGACAGGGTCGCACTCTGTTACCCATGCTGGAGTGCAAGGTGGATCTTTTCTATTTCATTCCATTTGTCATACCTCTAAGATTAGGCTAACAAATTTGAGACTAACACACCATTCAGGCATACCATCCAAGAAGACTCCCACCCATTAGTTCTACCAACTGCTAATTGTCCAAACTTTGTTCCCCACTTTTATAGTTAGAGAGCCCCCATTTTTGTGTTCAGATCGTGGCCACCATCATGAAAGCATATTTTGCACCCACTCCTTTCCGTCTATATGTAACCATGTACTAAGGGGATATAAGTAGACATGCCTTGTACAGTTTCTGAAACTTCACTGAGGAGATGACTGAACATGCCCATTGCTCCCTATTCCCTCTCTTCTGCCTCCATCATGCTAAATAAAATGAAGGTAGGATTTCAGGAGTTCAAACTACCATCTTGGACCAAGAGGCCACACCTAGGGATGTCAAACAACAAACTAGATGAGCTTAAATTCCTGAGGACAATGTGGAACAGAGTCAACATACAAGCCATGGACTGCATATTTCCTGAATTTGGTGTGAGAAACAAATAAACATATATATTTTTATAACTTACTCTTAGAGTCTTCATTACTCACTCATATCATTGACTTATTCCTAACTGACATATTCACCCAAACCCATCTAATCAAAGCAATAACAAAAAGTGTCACAAACCCAAGGAGTGCCCTAACTCAGAGGACCAATTTTTCCTTTTGATATGGAAGAACAGAGGAGAAAGAATTAAGTCTTTGCCTGTTAAAGCAGTGTGACCCTCCCTTACCGTAATTATGGCTTAATCTTACTAGAAACTCCCTCTCTGCTGAAATATTGGTCAACCCAAGGGTCTGCAGAGCAGAGCCTGGCATAATAAGAGCTTGCTGAAATGTCCTTCCCTTGCAGCACATGCTTACAATTTGAGTTTGGTTCAGGAAGCTACTCTCCCATTTCTCTTAAGATCCCCTGTCTGTATATGGTGAATGGGACTTATATCTGCTTTGCTGTCTGTAGAGAACTCTAGAAAAAGTGACAGATGGTAATTTCTATATGGAATCTTTAACGTTAAGGCATATGGGATAAAGATTCTGGTGAAGGATCAGTGATGTTCTTCATGATATGTGCTGATAAAAATTGTCTTTGGAGCACAGAAACTGCTACAATGAGTTAAGCCATGGTTAATATATCCTAAAATTTGACTTCCAATTTCCACCCATACTTGTGAAAGAAGGTCTCCAGGTCTTTTCTGATATAATCCTATAGGTAGGCTAGGGGTTCCCTCTTGGATGCTTTCAGGACATTTTTATTTATGAACATTTTCCATGAAGTTGAATGTCATTATTGTTGCTCTAAATTTGCTTGGCCTATTTCTTTCTCCTTCCCTAGCTTCCACCTTTCCTTCCTTCTTTCCTTCCTTCCATTTTTTTTTCCTTTTTAATTTTTACTTTTCATGTCTTTCTTTCTGTATTCCTCTCTTCAATTACTTCCTTCTTTTATCTTTCTTCCTTTATTGCTTTTTGTCTTCCTTTTATTTTTTATCTCTTCCTTATTTTTCTTCACTCCTTCCTTCCTTTCTGCCTTTCCTTTCCCCTTTTCTCTCCTTCTCTTCTTTTTTTCCCTATTTCTTTTCTTCCTTCCTTCTCTTCTTTCCTGTCTGATTTTTCCTGTTTACTTCTTTCATAGCTCCCTGCCTCCATCCCTCCCTCCCACTTTCCTGCTCTTCCTTCCTTCTTTTTCATTTCCTCTCTTGTTTTTCTTTCATCCTAACATTTCTTTTTTCATTCTTCCTTTTCTTTATTCCTTTTTATCCTTCTTTCAGTACTTTTGTTTCCTCTTTTTTCCTTCATATGTTCTCTTCTTTTTATTCCCTTTATATTTTTCTTTTTTACTTTTTGCCTTTAAGACATTTTTTTCTTTTCCTTTCTCCCCCTACATTCTTTTCCACTTTTCTTCTTGTCTCTTTTTGTTTATTCCATAAAGCATTTACTAAGCATGTGTTGGCAATATTTGGGTGATAAATGTTATATAAAACACAGCTGCTTCTTTAAGAAGACTCTAACATATAAACACTTTAATCCAACGCAATAATGTCTACACTAATGTATGTATAAAATGTTACAGTACAAAAATGAGGAAAAACTTATGACTAGTTGGAATGGAGCTAAGTGACACCATAGCTTTGATGCATATGACTTCAAGTATTAGTTTTCAACATGAGCGTTTGTCAGATGGCAAATGAAATGGAATCACAAAGGCAAGCAGTTATGCTAAAGCAAGGTGTATTTGGGGAACTCTAAAAATTTTAGTATGAAAGGAATGCAAATAGTAAAATAAAAAAGGCAAATTGAGATCAGGTGTGAAGGGCCTTGTATACTATGATAAGAAAACTAAACTTTATTCTGTTGGGATTTAACAGAATAGGAGTGATTTTTAAAAGTGCATATTTTTACAATGTTGCTTTGGAAGCCATGAAGAGGTTAAAGTTAAGAGACTAGGACAAGGGTACCATTAGGAGACCACGGCAATAACCAAGAGTACAGATGCCCTCAGATAAAGATCAGCAAACTTTTTTTTTTTCTGTAAAGGGCCAGATAATATTTTGTCTGCCTTTACTCAATCTTACTTTTGTAGCCCCAACCATATACAACTGTATACAGGAATGACAGTATACAGTCATTTACACATACATATATAATACAAAATACATACATTTATGTATATATAACTAAATTTTAGTAAAACTGGATTTATGATCACTGAAATTAAAATATGAAATCATTTCCATGTTTTATGAAATATTATTCTTTCAGTATTTTTCTATCATTTAAAATGTAAATAATGGTTTTAGCTCATGGGTTGTATAAAAACAGTTGGCAGGTCCATTTGTCCTGGAAGCTAAAATTTGTTAACTTCTGGCCTAAAAGGTTTCCACCCAACTATCCGGAGTAGGAATAAAGAGTGTGGGAGAGTTTCTAGGTTGATTTTGAAAGGTAGACTTGGCAGGATTTAGTGACTATTTCGATGAAGTTTATGAGAAAGGGTGTCAAAGATGCTTTCAAATTCCACCTTCAGTAACTAGTAGTTGGTACAGGTTAAGCATCATAAGTCCAAAAATATGGAATCCAAAATGCTCCAAAATTCAAAACTTTTTGAGTGCGGACATGATGTTCAAAAGGAATGCTCACTGAAGCATTTTGGATTTTGAATGTTCTGATTTGGGATAATCAACCAGTAAGTGTATATAATACAAATATTATAAAATTTTTTTAAAAGTTTAAAATCTTAAACATTTCTGGTGAGGGATAATCAATGTGCAATCATAAATAAGATACTGGTAAAGGAGATGAATGCCAACTTATACAATATGAAGGGAACAAACTGAGATTTAGCTATGTGTATCTTTATTTTTACAGTCTTAAGATATTTATATTTATTTTACTGACTTAAAATAAGCTGCACATATTTAGAACGCACAATCCAATGAGTTTTGACATGTGCATACACCCATGACACCATCACTACAATCAAGATAATGAACATATCCAAACATCGAAAAGTTTCCCCTTGCCTGTTTCTTAATCCTCCCTCCTACCACTTACTACTCCCACTCCTATCCAGTTACACAGGCAACTACTGATACATTTTGTAACTTCTGGAATTTTATATAAATGAATTCATCAAATATGTATGTTTGTCTACTTTCTTTTGCTCCATATAATTATTTTGAGATCCATTCTTGTTATTGTGTCTATAAATAGTTGATTACTTTTTGTTAGTGAGTAGTATTCTATGGA
Source organism: Homo sapiens (assembly GCF_000001405.40). Lineage (NCBI taxonomy): Eukaryota > Metazoa > Chordata > Mammalia > Primates > Hominidae > Homo > Homo sapiens. Next base: position 38,878,290 of record NC_000018.10, on the reverse strand, counting down.
AGGTGCACAGCACAAATTGTTTACTTATTCACTTGCTAATGGGCATTTGAATTATTTCCAGTTGTGGCTATTGAAAAAATATGGCTGGTGGCTGAGCATGATGGCTCACAACTGTAGTCCCAGTGCTTTTGGAGGCCCAGGCAGGAGGATCACTTAAGACAAGAAGTTTGAGGCTAGCCTAAGATCAGCAGAGCAAGACCTTGTTTCTACAAAAAATAAAGCAATTACCTGAGTGTGGTGGCATGCACTTGTAGTTCTAGCTACTTGTGAGAGGCTGAGGTGGGAGAATCACTTATGCCTAGGAGTTCAAAACTGCATTGAGCTAGGACTGTGCCACTGTACTCCAGGTTGGGCCACAGACCAAGAACCTGTCTGTAAAAATATGTGTGTGTGTGTGTGTGTGTGTGTGTGTGTGTGTGTGTGTGTGTGTGTGTAGAGAAGTAATTGTGTGGACTTATGCTTTCTTTTCTTTTAGGAACAGAAAAGTTTTATACCATTTAACATCCCTACCAGCAGTGTATGAAAATTCCAGTAATAATATGACAATACTTGGCACTGTCTTTGTTGTTGCCTTTTTGTTTTTGCTTGTTGTTGCCTTTTTGTTTTTGTTTTTTTAATATTATGCATTCTAGTGGGTGTTTAATGTTATCTAATTGTGGTTGTAATTCATATTCCCCTAGCTATGACAATTTTGAGTTTTCTGTGCCTCATCCAAATAGAAGGATCCAGTAGTTAATTGGGAATTGAGATTAACTTCAAAAGAAAAGTTGCATCTGGAGATACTCTGTCCATTAACAGACAATCACATTTAATTCTGGATTTTGAAAATGTGATGAAAATGGCTAACATTCAATATCCAAACTTATTTGATATTTACGAATTTTTGATATTGTAAAATGATTTTTCTCCTTTAGAAAATGTCACTACTGGCTGGTCTCATACCTGTAATCCCAGCACTTTGGGAGGCCAAGGCTGGTGGATAATCTGAGGTCAGGAGTTCAAGACCAGTTTGGACAACATGGTGAAACCCCATCTCTACTAAAATGCAAAAATTAGCCAGTCATCATAGTTCGTGTCTGTAATCCCAGCTATTTGGGAGGCTGAGGCAGGACAATCTCTTGAACCTGGGAGGCAAAGTTTGCAGTGAGCCAAGATTGTGCCACTGCACTCCAGCCTGGGCAACAAAGCGAGACTCTGCCTCAAAAAAAAAAAAAAAAGAAAGAAAAGAAAAGAAAATGTCACTAAGTGTCACTAATCATTTAGTAATCATTTTAGCCCATTTCATTTCATTATTTCCCTTTTATTCTTTGGGGCAGAGGCTATGATCATTGATTTGAGAGATGTCAGTTTTATTCTGAGACTTGGAATATTTAATACTAAGAGTCAGTAGGAAAGCTATTGTTTTGCGTGATTATATTTAGATTTTAGTACAAAAATTATTGACCTATCCTTAGGAGAAAAGCACCGAGGAGATATTATGTTGTATTAAACATATTTTCTTCATATGAACACAACATTTAAGGTTCTGGAACACAAGAATAGCCAAAAGTAAGTAGAATAGTTTTTCTTTGGTCTTGATGTACAAATGGCTAGAAAAGAACAAATGTTACTTTTCTAGAAATAATGTCTCATTGTCAGTGGTCCTTATCATAAGTATGTGGAAAAGTGAAGTTAAATGAGTAAAAGGTAAATAAAATTATATTATTAATGGGCCTCTGTTAGTAAAGAGAGTTGAAAAATACTGTAAAATCTTGAAATCATTTTGTTGGTTAGATCTAGTCATTCAGTGCTATATTACCAGAATTTTGTACACACTCTTTACTTTGCTCTCTTAATTCACAGCTGAACACATAGTTGCTGGCATTAGCCTAGCAAGTAATTGATTGGGCCTAAAACAACCTTTAAAAATCATTAATGATTTTCATTCCTGTCTGGATTTATTAAGTTTCAGATTTATTATTAGTGTAAAGGCATGATAATATGCAATTTCTTTCAAGGCCCTAGTGTCAGAGATATGAAGTACTAATGTAAAATTTCAGAACAAAATGAAAATTCAAACTTTTGGAAATGTAGACCGCAGCCAGTTTAATGGCTTGTAAACTTCTCACACCTGTCAAGGTTTTAACTATGTCTTAGATTGGAGACTGAATGAAGTTCAGTTTTACTTTCTTTAAATTTTAAAAGAATTTCAAATTTATAGAAAATTTGCAAGTATAGTACAAAAACTTATTTTGTATTTTTAATTTAAGAAGAATAATTTTACACATTCATGAGGTACGTAGGGATATTTCCAAACATATAATATGTGATGAGCAGATTGGGGTAATTAGTATAACCATCATCACAAACATTTATCAATTATTTGTGTTGGGAGCATTCAATATTCTCATTCCAGTTTTTTGCAACGATACAATATATTATTAACTTGTTAAAGGATACAAAATTATAGCTAGCTGGACGAATAAGTTCTAGTGTTCTATACCAGAGGTCCCCAAGGTTTTTGGTGCCAGGGGCCGGTTTCCTGGAAGACAATTTTTCCACAGACTGTGGGATGGGAGTGGGATGGTTTTGGGATGATTCAACCCCATTACGTTTATTGTGCACTTTATTACTATTATTATTACATTGTAATATATAATGTAATAATTATACAACTTCTGATAATGTAGAATCAGTAGGAGCCCTGAGCTTGTTTTTTCTACAACTAGTCGGTCCCATCTGTGGGTAATGGGAGACAGTGACAAATCATCGGGCATTAGATTCTCATAAGGAGAGTGCAACCTAGATCCATAGCATGCATGGTTCACAGTAGGGTTTGCTCTCCTATGAGAATCTAATATCGCTCATGACCTGCCATGAGGTGGAGCTCAGGTGGTAATGCAAGCGATAAGGAGCACCTGCAAATATGGATGAAGCTTCAATCACTTGCTGGTCGCTCACCTCTTGCTGTACAGTTGGGTTCCACATTGGCCATGGACCCATACCAGGCTGTGGCCCAGGGTTTGGGGATATCTGTTTTATACCCCTGTAGGATGACTAAAATATTATAATTAACAAAGAATGATTTACCTGAACTATTTCCAAATGAGTTGCCACACTGTTGCTCCATGATCCCTGAATATGGAAGTACTTATTTCCTAAAACAAGGAAATTCTGCTCCATGGAAAAGCACAGCAATTAGAATCAGAATATTAGCATTGGTACAATGCTACTCTCTAATACTCAGACTTCATTCAGCTTTTACCACTTGTCCTAGTAATGTCCTTTATAGCAAGAGGATACAGTTCAGAATCACATATTGTATTTATTTTTCATGTCTCTTTAGTCTATTTGTGTTTGAAATAATTCCTTACTCTTGCTAGGACTTTTGTGATCTGAACACTTTTGAAGTCTATGGAACAGTTATTTTGTAAAATGTCCTCTATTAGGGTATATCTGGGGCTCTCATTGTTAGATACAGGTTATGCACCATTGGCAGAAATATAACAAGAATAGTGCTGTGTTTTCCCTGCATCCAATCAGGTAGCAACACACTTTCTACTTCTATCATTAATTGTGGTATTCACATTGTCCAGTTGAAGTGTTTCCCACTTTCTCCACTATGAAGATATTATTTTCCCTTTGCAATTTAGTGGTATTTTAGGGGAATTTATTTGAAGCTATATTAACAGCCAATTTCACAGAAAACATTTTATTGATTATTTATATCATGTAAACTCATGGATACCTATTTTAAGAGGTTGTGACCCCTTACTATCACTTACTTGGATGCTCAAATTATTCCAGATGTCCCAGTGGAAGTTCACTCAAGTTGGCTTCTCCATCTTTTTGAGATGCCTCAATCATTCTTTGATCACATCTTTACTTTCTGGCGGATGTACCAGGTTTCTTCCATACTTCACCTGCCTTAGACCTGGAATCAGTCATTTCTACAAAAAGCCCTGGTTCCTTTACTTGAAGAATAGTAGTTAGATGCCAAGATATTGGTACTAGGTGTTATCATTATCATTGCATTATCACTTTTATCAGGCCCCCTGAGTGGACAGAGCTGGGGAATTCACATAAACACACATTTACACACAGAGACACAGATATATGTATGTTTATATATGTATATATCTCTACACCTATATACAAGCCTACATAAAACCATTATATATAAAACCATTATGTATATACATATAAAATTATATATATGAATATGTATTTATATAAATAGGTGTATCAATGGTGGATAGATCTCTATCAATTTGTACTATTACTCTCAAGTCTAATAATTAGGATCTGTACAAGTTTTCCCCATTTCTATAATTTTAATTACTTCCTCAACAATAAAAATCTTGGTTCCCATTAACCTTATTATATTTCTTTATGTTGAATTTTATGTTGTATTTATTTGACCACACCTTGCATCACCATCTCCCCATTCACCATGTAAAAGCCTTCCTCATTCACTCAGATTCCAACATGGTGTGCTATGCTAGGTGCTGCATAGATGTCCTCCTCCTACTGTGTGGACTCTGACACTCCATGCCAGCTGCCACCCCCAAGTGGGCACCCTCCTCACACTGCTCCGGATTCGATTCCATACAGCAGGAGTTTCTCCTGTTTGAATGCCAGTCTCACTCTACTCGGGCCCCCAAACCTTGTGCTGGGATGCCTTCATAGATGAGTAATCTTCTTGCCTTATCTAAGCTGCAACGCCTCACATTCAGCTTTCCTGCCATGTGCATGCCTTCTTCACTCCGTTAAGGCTCTGAAACCCCATACTAGCCCCTCTCCCCAATTAATGGTCACTTTGGTAGTCCCAATTAATGGTTTAAGATTGAATTACTCAGAAAGGAAATGCACAGGAAGAGATAAACTAAGAGAAAGTGGATGAGGAAGAAAAAACTGAACGAAGAAAGAAAATTTCTGGAGAGAGAAGTGCCAAGTCCCCAACCCTAGCCTGCAAACATCAGAATAAAGAATACAGTGTTAAGAACATATTGGACAGCAGAGTGAGGGGAGTGCCCCATCAGGGATGGCAGACTGGAATGGAGTCCAGAGTCTATGCAAAGTGAGCACAGCCACCCAGAGAGAGCCCCGCATAGAGGAACGTAAGGGTTGAGATGAGCTGGCAGATAAGACATGGAAGGGATTTGGGCTGGGCCTGCAATCTCCAGGGTTATGGGGAGAAGCGTTGAATGACACTTCCCATGGCTCATATGGGGCCACATGACTGAGAGAACTGGTTTGCAGGTTCTGTGATATCCTATCAAATGGAGTTATGAAGAGGGGCAATGAAAACTTCCTTATAGAGAATCTAAATACACTAGGTTTTAGATGTTTGAGAAAAGATAATTGACCACAAGGAAAAGACATACAACCCATTGTGTCAGGGGCAGCTCAGAAGATAGATTCCCTAATAATGTGAAAAGCAAGAGGAAAAAAAAAGAGAGAAAATACTCTACAGGAAAATGCATCAGTTTAATCATCTTCCAGGCACAGGGAATATAAAGCCAGCTGATACCAGGACAATCGAGTAGCAATGTTCGTATATTTCTTGTATCTATTCCTTCCCTGTCTCCAACCCTGCAGAATAGAGGAGTGAGAAATACTTTCCAGAGAATTATGAGAAGATGAACAAGAATAGAAGAAAAGCCAAACACAGTCTCTTCTGATGACAGGCTGGTCCCCAGCAGTAGCCCTAGCTAGAGGAGGATGTTCACTAACATGCTGATTTCTGCATGAGGCTGGACCTTTTGAAATTGGAAGTGAGGCTGTATTTGCATTGGAAAGTGATAGCAGGACTCTGTATTACTGAAGAGTTACCAGAAACATGTTCACGGGACATGTAGGAGTCTTCATCCAAGGACAAAATAAGAACTATCCCGAGAGAGAGAGAGAGAGAGAGAGAGAGAGTGAGAAAGGAACAGTGAATTTGTAACTTCTTTGAAAGCGTCTTGCTGTTTAGTGAAGCTGGTCACACTCATATCAGGGGGTCAGGGGGTCTGGGGGTCAGGGGGTCTGGATTCAAATTCTGTCTCTGCTGCTTACAGCTCTCTGACCCTAAGCAAATCATTAACCTTCCCAGGCAGCAGTCCCCTCATTTGGATAAAATTTAAAGTAAGTATTAAAATAAGTAATCCATGTAAAGAGTTTACCACAGTGCCTGTCAGTAAGTTAGCACTCAACAATATTAGCAGTCATGTTCATTACTATATGTTGCCATTGGCAACTAATTTTATAAAAATGTAACAAACTTAATAACATGTAATTTCACAACATTGTTCTATAAACAAAATTAACATCTTTTAAAAATAGATAATGTACCACTGGGTTGCTAAAAATATTTATTTGTGACTTGATGTAAGACTCTCAACAAATAGTATACAGTTATTACAGAGTGTCATTAGCCAAAGGGCAAGTATGTGTTGGTTGTAAAAAGGAGCTTGCTATACAGAAGTGAAAAGAAGCTTTTAGGAATGTCTTTACAATTACGTTTTATTCCCCTATATTAAAGTCTTATATATTATGAATAACTTTGAACATGTTGACAATAAACAACAATTACTTTAATATTTCTCTGTGGTTCAAAATGTCTGGACTGACGATAAAGATTCTTCAAATTCAGGGTCACACTAAGTTTTGAAATTAATCTCTACCAAGGTAGAAAACAGGTAATACGTTCTACTCTGAAAGAAGGATATTTTTCATAAAATTAGGATAACTGTATGAAATTCTTCCCTGTATTATTTCTCCTTAATACTATTTTTATTTGATATTTTCAAAAAGAAATTTTTAAAACGAAGATTATCGGCATTATTTATTGCAAGGTTGTATAGTTTGAGGTTTTGGTTTTAATAATTTTGAATGTGCTATGCTTCTCTGGCCTAGAGAAATTACTCAACTGGGTAAATAAATGGATGTGTAGATTCAGATGAACTTGGATTTGAAGTCTTCTCTGACACTCACCAGCTCCTTGACCTTAAAAACTCACTTACATTTCACAGCTTTGTCTTTGAACCACTTCTAATCTGGGCAGAATAAATTTATGGAGTTTTACTACAACACTTGGAAAGTCATCATTCCATCCTTCTTCATGATTATTGGGCTTAACCTTGAATTCCAGTTCTACTTTTTCCTTATGCTCATCTTTATTTTTCAATTCCATTATTTTAGAGTTATCTCCATTCACACATACATCTATTCACTTATCCATCCATCTAACCATCCACCTCATTTTTCAAACATCGAGTGACATTGTGTGCTAGACACTGCTAATTCCAGGGATGTTGAAAAGGGAGACACAGCCTGGTGAGAAAGATCACATAAAAGTTGTTTGCAAGATGTTATCAGGCCACAGAAAAGAGACACTGAGTCAGTTTGGCTGAAGCTCTGAGAAGCTTCTTGGACAATGAATGGAGATGGGCAGAGCAGGATTGGGAGATGAGCAAAGATGTGGCAGGGAGAGAAAATAGTGTAAGAAAGGACAAAGATAAAGTGGCAAATAGTACAATCCAACTTGGACCCTGGCTTATGTCCAGACAACTCACCTGAAATGTTGGTCTTTTTAGGTCTTGGGCCCTTCCTTGTCTAATAGAGCTTCCTGGTGATAGACACGTAAGGGAAACCCACCAGATTGCCCACCATGTTGCCCCCCTGGCCTCTTTGGAGGTGCCCTTGTGCTCTACCAGACCTTGCAGATGGGGTCAATAGCACATCCTGTTCTGGAAGCATCTCCTTATAGTCAGGGGCACAAATTATCTCAGATATTGATATTTTCTTGTTTACTTCATAAGGCCAAAATTTATTATCTGGCATGATCCAAAGTCTGGCTGTAGTATTTGTTAGCATATTTTATAAAACTCAAAACTATGCTTCAGATATCAAGTTCTGAAGATTGCTAGTGTTACTTTATCGGCCATAACAATTTGCATGGACTGGGTAATATCTTTTGCAGAGACCCATGGAACAAGAGAGAAGACTGGAGGAAAATGTAATTGCGATTCAAGTAAATGCCAAGTGAAGTTAAAAGGGAAGTAGAAATATCCGATTAGAGGCAGGGAGAAATAAGAAGCTAAAACGTGCACATCCTTGAGTTTTTATCCCTCTAGTCAAACTTTCATCAACTGTCTCTAGTTTAATAATCTTCTCTTTGTAAACTCCTTGAGGCCCAAATGATACTTGGCTCATCATTACCATATCCTTAGCACCTAACACTAAAATAAAAATATCTGTGGATCTTTCTGATATCTAACATTCATCAGCATAGCATAGGTTAAAATATATCCTTTCATGGCAGCCCTGTGATGTACATTGCAGTTTATAATGTCTTTCCTTCTCTCTGTAGCAGTAACAATTTGTGTCTTCAGAAATTCTACCTAAACATTGTTGCTTCTCAAATGCCTTTCCTTAGTAACACTCCTCAGCTTTGACAATCTCTATCTTAGGTCTTCAGTACTTAGTATAATAGCAGTAAATACATACTATGTTTATATTATATTTTATAATATAAAATTAACAAACTAAAGTTTATAAACCATTCTCCTGTCAGATAACATGTATCAATCCTATGTTTTTGCATAGGAGGTTAATATCATGTGTGCTTTAAAACTGAGGAAACTGAGGCTTAGGGGAAGCAGTAGTTTTCTTATGGGCTGCCAGCAAGTTCAAATTAGATTATGAATTAGACGCTTGTTTCTAGAACATAAACTGGACTTCCAGTCTAGTTCTCTGTAAAATGTGTCTGATATTTCTGTATTTGTACTAACAGGGTTTAAAAAAAAACTGAAGGAAATGCCTTTCCCTAATTTCTAGTGTGTGCCATGTAGCTTTACATATACTGTGTTGGGATATATGCTGGCATGCCAAATACATTGGCACCATAATAAAAATTGTGTAACTAATGCAAAAGTCTAAATCTACAGTAACCAACAGGGAAAATAAAACCCAGTGCTTTTAGACATGACTTTCCCCAACTTTTTTCTTATTTTCTGTTACAAAATACAGACAAGAGCATACTTTCCTATCAGTGTGGAGACTGAGATGCTCTTACATAATTCAATCTAACCGCAGGGTCTTCCAAGGGGAAAATAAATGCCTCGACTGAGGCTTCACTAGTCTACATCGCACGCACAAGCATGAAGGATTCCTTTGCTGTCAAACTTTCAGTTGGGAGCAAAATCCCCCTGCTAAGAGCCCTGTTGCTCATTGCAACACTTAAGATTGGTTTGGCACAGGGAGTCTTAGGCATCTCTGAGCTGGTAACTCTCCTTCCATGTGCCTAAAGTTTATGCAGCTACAAGAGATGGGATTCTTGACTATCGGTTGGTAACAGATGTGGCGAATCTGGAGAGCTGAACACCTGCAGTGCAACCAAAGATAAAATCATGGCCCTGCCACCAGCAGACCATGTGTTTGCAATTGTGTTTCTGGAAGAGGAAATATGTCTCATTGAACCATGAGAAAAACAAATGACAGAGAAGAAAAGGATATTGTCTTGATATCCTTATTAAGTTAATAAAATGATGCTGTGTTGCTATTTTTTTAAGTTATAAAGCAGAGCTCACAAAGAAGGGGCTTACAAGCTCATTGTAGCCCCATAATTAAGAATCTGAAAGATACATGATAACAGAAGATAAGATATGAAATTTGCCACATTATCAGTGTAACTATAAATACTACAGGAGTCCTAAGAGGAAGTGTCTCTAGGTGCCAAGGTCGGAAGTGGAATGGAAAGATCTAATGAAAAAGAGAGATAAGTTACAGATGAAATTTAAAGAAAGTTTGGGATTTTAAACAATGATGGGATAAGCAAATTTGGGCACAATGAGCCAACTAGTAAAATTGAGTTAGAAGCAATAGGCATTTGGACTAAATGCTTACAGGCCACATAAAGCCTATCATAAGGAGAGTGGAGTATGTTCTGCAGGCAACAAGGAGTCATCAAAGTTTGTGGAAAACAGTGTGAGAAGTAAGAAGCTAGGCTTTGCGAAGGTCAACTTTAGAGTGGATAGTTTGAAAAAAGGAGAAGAAATTAAGTCAGGGATATTTCTAGGAAATTATCAAATCATCCAGATACAAAACAATGAGTGCTTTCACATAGCTTTCAGTACTGGAGAGGGGTAGAGGAATGAAAATGTCAATAGGAAGGCAGTAATTACAGATTCTATAGGGCATCGCCTTTAACTGACAGCGTCTGTGATTTGATGTAAGCCTGCTAATGTCAAAATCATAAAGTGGGAAAAGTTTATCTTCAGAGCTTTCCACTTTTCTTTCTGGTTCGTTCACTCAATAAAGGTTCATTGAGTGCCTGTTTTATGTGCCAATCCCACTATCAATTTTTGGTGCTGCAATGGTTCTCTTCAACAAGCTTTAGAAAATGTACTCATTTTCTTTCACCAGGTTCTTCACCAACACTGCCTCCTACCTGCTAGGTAATAAATTAACGCACAGGTTTTAATTTGATAAAGAATTACTACTCACAGGTAAAGTCCTTCCAATTCTGTTTTGAATACATTCCATAAGGCCCATACAAAGAGGTGATAAGGATAGATTCATTCCTTGCATCCACTTGGCAAAGTAAGAGAGGAAGATGCTTCTATTCTCTTTCTCTGTTTATTCATGGGCACGTGCTACAGGCAAAGGCTTCTGATCACCCTTCTACAAATGTTCCAGAACAGCCATGTTACTGACAAGCTGTTAACAGCTTTCACTGCCTCCCTGCTTCTTGATTTTGTGTGGCTCCTTTGTACAGCTCTGTAAACAATGCAAAGCGCCCTAGCACTGTACAGTCCAGGTTATCACGTAGTCCACAATATTTGTGTGACTCGAGGATGAGAAGGTACAATGCATTGTCACTCTGTATTCTTTGAAGATTGTTCATGTTGATTCAAGTTTATTATGAAAATTCTAGGCAAGCAATAATGCAGAGAAAAGAAATTTGCTTCTACAAAGGGAAGACCCAGCTGAACTGATAGGAGAGATACTTGATGCACACAATACTGGGGACAGACTCAGGAGTGGGAGAGATGACTGATAAGCCAAGGTCTCATTCTTGATGATGTCTACATGACATTCTGTGCCTCATGCTGCTGGAAGGACAGGAACACTCCAGCCACTCCATCACAGACAGCAGCTAATTAAGGGTGCCTCTCCACTTCAGCATGTGCCTTACCGTGTCCTCTGGTAAGCAGAGCTTGCTCCATTTCTCAGAGTAAAAACCCCAAATAATCCTATTGGTTTTGTAGGGTTTTCATGGGCCCAGAACCCCTCTAGTGTATCCTCTCTAAAATCCCCAGACTAGCGGAATGGATTTTTGAGTAGGGGGAGACCTCCAAGCAAAGAAACCAGAGAGCATGACTTCAGATGACTCATCTTCCAGAATGCTTGGGGTCAAGCTAAAGCTCTGAAAGGGGTATTTATGGACAATTGGGGGAAGAGAACTCTTGGAATATTATGGCAGTAATAAATAATTCATAATGCAAAAGCCCAAATAAAATAGAAATTATTTTTTTAAATCCAGTTTTGCTTCAGTTTTTAGTTCTGTGAGCATATAGAATAGTGCTAGGAGAACAATAAAAGAAACCAAAAGTAAGAATAAGCAAGGGAGAGAGGGAGAGAGGAGGACCAAGAAGTCTGTATAACAAATAATTTACTGCAAGAAATGCTGTTCTTGCATTAGCATGCTGAGGTGCTCCCTTCTGTCCCATGAGGTACCTGTATAGAAAAGGTACTGACTAGGTGCTCTACCTCTGCCTAACATATTTCAGTCTCAATGAAGGTTGTGTTCAAAAGATAGTAAACAGCTCAACTAAACACAACTTGTTCCTTTTTGTGTGCACTGAACATGCCTGCATTTCTACTCCTCAATACATCATGGTCTTCGTGCCACAGAAACTGCATAAGAATTTTCCTCTGCCCAGGGATGGCACATAAAATAGAGGACAACACGCTAAATTTGAATTTGAAATAAACAATGAATTTTTAAAGTATAAGTATGTCTCACGCAATATTCAAATTTGATTGGCCATCCTGTATTTTCAATTAAACTTTGTATTTTGAGATCATTTTAGAAATATATGAATGTGTTTGAAATAACACAGTGATATCCCATGTGCCTTCTGCTCAGTTTCCTCCAATGGCAATAATTTGCAAAACTATAGTACAATATCACAAGCAAGATATTGTCAATATATTAAAGATAGAGAACATTCTCATCACCACAAGGATCCCTTAGGTTGTCCTTTTAGATCTATACCTGTTTTTCTCCCATCTACTCACTACTAATTCCTGGCAACAAATCATCTGTTCTCCATTTTTATAATTTTGTCATTTCAAGAATGTTATATAAATGGAGTCATATAGCATGTAACTTTTTGTAATTGGCTTTTTTTATACAGTATAATCCTCTGGATATTCATCCAGGTTGTTGTGTGTATGAAAAGCTCATTCCTTTCCATTTTGGAATGCATTTTATAATATGGATGTATCACGGTTGTTTAACCATTCATCCCTGAAGGACCTCTGGGTTGTGTCTTGTTTTGGGCCATTACAAATAAAGCTGCTATAAATAATTTTGTATGAGTTTTTATAAATATAAGTCTGAATTTCTCTGGGATAAATTGTCCAGGAATGCAACTGCAATTTCTGGATCTAATGGTAGTTGCTCGTCTATTTTTTTTTTTGAGAAAATGCCCAGTGGATTTTCAGAGTGGCAGTACCATTCTGCTTTTCCACCAAGTTTGCATGAGTAAACAGGAATCTCTGTGTACTCTCCAGCATTTGGCATTGTTACTATTATTTTTTACTTTTGCAATTCTGATATGTGTGAAGTAATATTTCACAGTGGTTTTAATTTGCATGACTCTAAGAACAAACGATGTCAAATTTCTTTTCATGAACTTCTTTGTTTTCATATCCTCTTTGATGAAATATCTCTTTGTATAATTTGCTTATTTTCTGATCAGATTGTTATTGACTGTTGAGTTTTGAAAGTCCTTTATATAGTCTAGATAGTAGCTTGTGTTAGTCCTTTCACATTGCTATAAAGGAATACCTGAGACTGGGTAATTTACAATGAAAAGAAGTTAATTTTGGTTCACAGTTCTGCAGGCTGTACAGGAAGCATGTTGCTGTCATCTGCTTCTGGTGAGGCCCTCAGGTAGCTTACAGTCATGACAGAAGGTGAAAGGGAAGGCAGGACATCACCTGGTGAGAGAGAGAAAGGTGCCAGGTTCTTTTGAACAACCAACTCTTCTGTGAACTCAGAGTGAGAACTTACTCATTACCAAGGGGAGGGACCAAGCCATTCATGAAGGATCTGCCCTCATGACCTAAACACCTCCTACCAGGCCCCATGTCCAACATTAGGAATCATATTTCAAATCATATCAATATCCAAATCATATCATTCTGCCCCTGGCCACCCAAATCTCATGACTTTCTCATATTGCAAAATATAATCATGCCTTCCCAATAGTCTCCCAAAGGCTTAACTCATTCTAGCATCAGCTCAAAAGTCCCAAGACCCAAGTCCAAAGTCTCATCTGGAGATGAGTTATTTCTCCCGATAAGCCTGTGAGACCAAAAGCAAGTGATTTACTTCCCAGATATAATAGTAGTATAGGCATTGAGTAAACATTCCTATTCTGAAAGGGAGAAACTGGCCAAAAGTAATGGGCAACAGGCTGAGCACAAGACTGAAGCCCAGCAGGACGGATACTAAACCTTAAAGCACCACAATAATCCTTCACTCCGTGTCCCATATCCTGGGCTCACTGGTGCAAGTGGTGGGCATCCGAGGCCTTGGGCAGCTCCTCCTTTGTGACTTTTCCAGGATGAGGTTGCAAGCTGCTGGTGTCTCTATCATAAGAGTTTGGAGAGAAGTGGCCCCCTTCCCACTGCTTCACTAGGCAGTACCCTGGTGGAGACTCTGTGGGTGGGTGGGGCTCCAACCCCACATTTCCCCCTCATTACTTCACTAGTAGATTTTGGTTATAAGGGATCTCCCCCCACACTAGGCTTCTGCCCGGGCACCCAGGTTTTCCAATACATCCTCTGAAATCTTTGTAGAAGCTGCCAAGTTTCCTTCACTCTTGCATTAGGCATTCCTACAGGCTTAACACTACATGGTAACTATGAAGGCTTAAGTCTTATGCTCTTCAAAGTGGCAGACAGAGCTGTGTCTGGAGCACTTTGAGCTATGGCTGGAGCTGGAACAACCAGAATACTGGAAGCAGTGTCCTGAGGCTGTGCTGGGAAGCAGGGACCTGGGCCTGGTCCCCAAAACCATTCTTTCTTCCTAGGCCTCTGACACTGTGATAAGAGGGGCTGCCTCAGAGATTTCTCAAATGTCTTCCAGGCCTTTTCCCCACTGTCATATCTTTTAGCACTTGGCTTTCTTTTAGTCATACAAAGCTCTTTAGCAGGTGGTTGCTTTCCAGTCTTCCTGTATTCCTCTCCTGAAATGCTTTTTTCTTCTTTATCACATGACCAGGTTATGGCCTCACAAATTTTTGTGCTCTGCCTCCCTTTTAAATATAAGTTCCAACTTTTAGTATTTTTTTTTGTTCCCTCAACTGAGTGTAGACTGTTAGAAGCCACCTTATCAACTCTTGAACACCTTGCTGCTTAGAAATATTTTCTGCCACATACCCTAAGTCATTACTCATAAGTTCAGCCTTCTGCAATGTCCTAGGAAATAAACATAATGTAGCCACATTCTTTGCTAGAGCATAACAAGTGTGACCTTTCCTCCAGTTCTCAATAAATTCATCATTTCTAGCTGAAACCTCATCAGCCTGTTCTTCACTGTCTATATGTCTATTAGCATTGCATCACAATTATTTAACCAGTCTCTAAGAAGCTTAAAACCTTCCTTCATCTTCCTGTCTTCTTCTGAGCCCAGCAAACTCTTCCAACCTCTGCTAATAATTACTCAGTTTCACACTTGCTTCCATATCTTCAGGTATCTTTATAGCAATGCACAACTCTTAGTACCAATTTTTTTGTGTTAGTCCATTTGCATTGCTACAGAGGAAGACCTAAGACTGGGTAATTTATGATGAAAATAGACTTATTTTGGCTTATAGTTCTTCAGGATGTACAGAAACTGGTGCTAGCACCTCCTTCTGATGAGGGCATCAGGAAGCTTACAATCATGATGGAAGCTGAAAGAGGAGCCAGCATATCACATGGTGAGAGAGAATAAAAGATACGCCAGGCTTTTTTTAAACAACCAGCTCTAAGGTGAACTCACAGGATGAGAACTCATTCATTACCATGGGAAGTACACCAAGCCACTCATGGTGTATTTACCAGACCCCACCTTTAACAGTGGGAATCACATTTCAACATGAGATTTGTAGGGGATAGATAGCCATACCATATCATAGCCCTTTTTCAGATATTTAGTTTGCAAACATTTTCTCTCGTTCTATAGCTTTGCTTTTCATGCTCTTAACAGAGCAAATATATATATTTTTGATTTTGATGATATCCATTTGATCAATTTTTACTTTGATGGTTCATGCTTTTGGTGTCACATCTGAAAATACTCTTTCTTGCTCTATATCCTGAAGATTTTCTTTTATTCTTTTCCTACAGGTTTTATACCTCTACAATTTACATTTCAGTTTTTGATTCCTTTTTAGTTAATTTTTGTTTAATGTGTGACACCTGTATCAAGGTTTACCTTTTTAGTTGTTGTTTTCCCTGTGTGTATACTCATATCTCTATCTCTATTTGTTGAAAAGGCTATTATTTCCTCATTTAATTGCTTTGATATCTATGTATATATATGTGTGGGTCTATTTCTGGGTGCTCTGTTTATTCCATTGACGTATGTACTTAGTCTTCCACCAACCTTAGCCAGTATTAATTACTGTAGCTATTAATTACTGAAATTCAGTAGCCTGATTCTCCCAAATTTACTTTTTCAAAGTCGTTATAGCTATTCTAGTTACTTTGCCTTTCCATATAAATTTTAGAACAATCTTGTCTGTATCTGCAAAGAATCTTTCCAGTATTTTGATTAAAATTTTGTAAAAACTATAAATCATTTTAAGAAGAATTAAATTCTTTACTGTGTTTGGCCTTCCAGTTTATGAATATAGACTGTCCATCCATTTATTTAAATTTTTTATTTGTTTCATCAACATTGTACGGTTTTCAGGATACAAATCCTGTGCTCATTTTGTTCGATTTATAACCATGTATTTCATTTTTTTCAAAGGATCAAAAAAGGCATTGAATTTTTAATTTTGGTGTCCACATATTTATTACTTGTATATAGAAGCATAATTGATTTTGCTGTTTATCTTGTATCCTGCAAACTTGTTGAACTTATTTAATAGTTCTAGGATGATTTTCTTTTCTTTTTATTTATATTGTATTGTAGAACTCTTGATGCTTTCTACAGAAAATCACATCATCTGCAAATAGGGACAGTTTTATTTCCTTATTTCCTATCTTTAATGCATTCATATATGTTGTGTTTGCTTTATTTCACTGCCTAAAATGTATAGCACTGTGGTTGAATAAGAGTAGTGAGAAGTAACATCCTTGCCTTGTTCCTGATCCTAACGGGGAAGCATTCACTTAAATGCTTAAAGCATTCACCTTTAAGTATAATGTTGACTTTATGTGTTTTGTAAATGCTCTTTATTATGCTGTGCAAATTTTCTTCCATTATTAGCTTTTCTGTGATTTTTTTGTCAAGAGTGTATGCCAAATTTTGGCAAATGTTTTTAATGCATCAATTAATATGACCATGAATATTTCCTCTTTAGCCTGTCAATGTGGTGAAGTACATTTATTGATTTTTGAACACTGAACCAGCATTGTATACATAGAATAAACCCCTTTTATTCATGATGGATAATTATTTGTATATATTGATGAATTTAATTTGCTGGTATTTTGTTGAGAATTTCTATATTAATGTTCATTAGAGATATATGTCTGTGATTTCCCTTCCCTATAATAGTTTTATATGGTTTTTGTATTAGGGTACTAAAGGTCTTATAGAATAAGTTAAAGGAGAGATAGTATCTGGGAGATACAGTACAAAGGTGATACCATTTTATCTTTAAAAATGTGGTTAAATTCTCTATCAAATAGTGATATCATGTGTGGGTCACGGTATTTCTTTGGGAGGAGTTTTAAAATTATGAAGCCAATTTCTTTCATAGATATGAGGTTATTCAAATTATCTATTTCATATTGTGTAAGTTGAGGTAGTTGTGTTTTTCAAAGAAGAAGCCTATTTGTTTAAGTTGTCAAATGTATGTGTGTAAAGATGTTTGTAGTTTTTCTTTATTAACTTTTTGAGGTAAGTAACGTCTGTAATGATATATAATTTCACTCATGATAATGGAAATCTGAGTCTTTTTTTGTTCTTTGTCAGTCTTGCTGGAGGTCTGTCAATTTCACAGATGGCTTTTCAAAAAAGAAAGGCTTGTTTTATTGATTTTCTTTATTGTATTCAATTTTATGTCTTCTCTTATCTTTACTATTCTTTATTTTGTTTGCTTTGTGTTCATTTTGTTACTCTTATTCTGGATTTTTGGGATAACTTAAAAATTTATTTGGTAATTTTTTTTCTTTCATGTTGTATGCATTTAGTGATACACATTGTCTTACCAGGACTACGTTAGCTGTTTCCGATAAATTTCATTTTGCTATTTTTATTTTCAATATATTTTATGTTTTTTTATTTATCTTGAAACTTCTTTGATTGATGGGTTATTTAGTTTTCATTTGTTTGGAATTTTTTCAGTTATCTTTCTCATTGATTTCTACTTTGTGGTCTGAGAACCACATTTCAATTCTTTTAAATTTGTTGAGATTTATTTTATGACCCAGGATATGGTCTGTCTGGGTATATATTCCATGCCCACTTGAAAAGAATGTTCATGCCAGGCACGGTGGCTCACTCCTGTAATCCCAGCACTTTGGGAGGCCCAGGTGGGTGGATCACAAAGTCAGGAGATTGAGACTACCCTGGCTAAACAGTGAAACCCCGTCTCTACAACAAAATACACAAAAAATTAGCCGGGCATGGTTGCAGGTGCCTGTAGTCCCAGCTACTTGGGAGGCTGAGGCAGGAGAATTGAATCTCTTGAACCCAGTAGGTGGAGGTTGCAGTGAGCCGAGATCACGCCACTGCACTCCAGCCTGGGTGACAGAGCAAGACTCCGTCTCAAAATAATAATAATAATAATAATAATAATAATAAAGAAAACAATGTTCAGTGTGCTGTTGTTGAGTGTTCTATAAATATTGAATAGTTACTGTGGCTGATAGCATTGTTGAGTTGTTTTGCATCCTTGATAATTTTTGTCTAGTTGTTTTATCAGTTGTTTAAAGGGATGCTGAAATCTCCAAATATAATTCTTGATTGTTATATGTCTTCCTTCAATTCTTTCCACTTTTGTTTCACATATTTGGAAGCTATAGTTTGGTGAATAAAATTTAAAATTTCTATATACTGCTGGTGGATTGAATTTTTATTATTATATAAAGTTCATTTGTCTCTGGATTTTTTTGTTCTAAAATCTACTTTATCTGATATGAAAATATTCAGTCTTGCTTTTCTTTGAACAAATTTTTCATGATGCATCTTTGTCTACCACTTTACTTGCAACCTGTCAGTATAATCATATTGGAAGTGATTTTTGTGTAGACAGCATATAATTGGGCCATATTTTTAAACTTACTCTGCCAATCTCTATCTTTAATTGGCATATTTACTTCACTTTTATTTAATATAATTTTGATGTGTTAAGGCTTAGGTGTGACGTGACATTCCATTTTTTAATTATCTGTTTGTTCTCAGTTTTTTTCTCTTTCTTTTTCCTGACTTCTGTGTTATTTGAATTTTTTTTAAGAATTCTATTTTATTTGTAGTGTTTTATAGTATATCTCTTTGTGTTACACTTTTAGTGTTTGCTTTAGATATTGCCTTATTAAACGCAACCTATCATCGTCTGGTTTGATAAAGTATAAAAATTTTACCTCATTTTACATCCCTTTATGCTTCACTGTTTATCTTAGAATTGTCAGAATATTTTCTCCACATGGCTTTAGAGCCCTATCATAGAGTGATATAATTTTTTCTTCAACTATCAGCCATATTTTAGAAAACTCAGAAATAGAAAGAAAGCCTGCTGCACTTATCAATATTTTTCCTTCACATGGTCTTTTATCATCCCATGTGTTCTAAGCTTCCTTCCTGAATTGTTTTCTTTTGCTTTGCAGAACTTTCTGTATACATCTCTTCTTAGGTCATATCTAATGGCAATCAATTGTCATCAGTTTCCTTAATCTTACACTGTCTTGAAACCTTCATTGCTGCAGAATATTTTCTGGGGTATAAGATTCTGTTTTGATAATTCTTTCTTGTCCCCATGGTTTCTGATAAGGCACTGCCATTTCAATTGTTTTTACCCTATAAGTAAAGTGTCATTTTTATCTGAGTACTCTCAACATTTGTATTAGTTTACAGTTTTCAAAAGTTTAATTTTGATGTGTCTTGGCATGGTTTCTTTGTTTCTCAGATTAGGTAATTTCCATTGTTTTATCTTCCAATTCACTAATTTTTTTTGGTCTGTCTCTTCCATTCTGCTATTGAGTCAATCCACTTATATGTCAGTTATTGTATTTAATTTTAAAATTTCTATTTGGTTCTCCTGTGAACCCTCTATTTCTTTCATGAAACAGTTTTTACTGAGGCATTCTTATTTTTTATTTGGTTCATGCATGTTTATACTTATTCATTGAAGCATCTTTTATCATAGTTGCTTTAAAATCTTTGTTAGGTACATGTAGACTCTCTGTCTTCTCAATTTTTGCATTTATTATGTTCTTTTTTTGTTCAATTCATGAACTTCCTGTTTTTTAGTATGGCACATAATTTTCAAATAAATCCTGGAAATGTTCATATTTTCTTATGAGACTCTGGATCTTATTTAAACATTTTGTTTTAGTTGTCTTCCTGTAACAATGTTGCATCCAGAGAAGAGCTGCAACCTTATTACTGTCAGAGGTAGATAGAAGGTACAAGGTTCTTATTCTCTTTGTTGTCATCCAAAATTGTTGGATGGTGGTGATGAGGTATGCACCTTGTTACTGCTGGGTGGGGATGGGAATTTTTGCCATCTATGTGGTCTCCACTGATACCACAATAAAGGATGGTGTTGTTATTGTTGACAGTTGGTGGAAGTCCTTCCTCTCCACCAGGCCTCACCTGACACTACATCTGTTGGGACATGGAGTGGTGCCTTGTTATTGCTGGGTGAAGGTGGAGGTCCAGGTTATTCACATTATTTCCACTGATACTATGAGACAATGAGGCAAGGAGTGGCCTCAGTATTAGCCAGCAGAAATGGAAGTCCCATGTTTGTAATTGGTTCCTGACATCACCTTGTCAGAAATATTGAGGCACATTATTACAGCCTCTTGAGATTGGAAACCAAATGAAAGTCCAGGCTCCTCATCCAGCCGTTGCTGGCTGGCAAGGGTAGGAATGAGAATACAGGTGTTTTTTCCATGATGATTGCCTCCAGTAAAGCAGTTATTTTCTAAAGCTCTCCTGTCTTCTTAGCCACTTTATTTGTTCTGTGGCTACATAGAGAGGGCTTTTACTGGGGCTTTTTTCGTCTGTGCACCTTGGCATTTCCAGGTTGGCAGCTTCTTCAGCTCCAAGTCTTGGATGTATGAGATAAAAAGAAAACCCAGGGAACTCACCACCATGTTGTTCCTTGGGTCTGGATGTGCCCACCAAGCCTATCTTCTTCTTTCCACCTTTCAAGAGCTTTTTCATACTTATTCTATATATAAAGATTAGTGTTTTTGTGATAGTGATATTTTACAGGAAGAATAAGAAAAAGTGTTTATTCCACCATCATGAGAGGGACATGATGGAGGGCAGGATTCCCAGACTGAGCATGGAAGCTCTGTGCCCTTCCTCCCATAGCTTGACCTATGCATCTCTTCATCTGGCTGTTCATCTGTATCTTTTGTAATGTCCTGTATAATAAACCAGTAATTGTAAGTGGTTCCCTGAGTTCTATAAGCTGCTCTAGCAAATTAATTGAGCCCAGTGGGGGAAGGGTGTGAAAACCCTGACTTATAGCCAGTTGGTGAGAAGCACAGGTAAAAACCTAGGGCTTGTAACTGGCATCTGAAGAGGTGGGAGCAGTCTCGTATAACTCAACTCTTCACTACAGGATCTGATGTTATCTACAAGCGGATAGAGTCAGAACTGAATTAAATTATAGAATACACAGTTGGGGATGGGCGTGGTGGCTCACGCCTATAATCCCAGCACTTTGGAAGACCAAGGTAAGCAGATCACCTGAGATCAACAGTTTGAGACCAGCCTGGCCAACTTGGCGAAACCCCATCTTTACTAAAACATATATAAAAATGAGCCAAGTGTGGTGGTGCATGCCTGTAGTCCCAGCTACTTGAGAGGCTGAGGCGGGAGGATTGTTTAAACCCAGGAGATGGAGGTTTCAGTGAGCCAAGATCACACCACTGCACTACAGCCTGGGTGACAGAGTGAGAATCCATCTCAAACAAACAAACAAACAAACAACAACAAAACCACACAGTTGGTTTCCACTGGAGAATTGCTTGGTGTATGTGAAAAACCCACACACATCTGGTGTTAGAAGTATTGTGTTTAGTGATGTCAGAGTAGAAAAAACAGCTTTGTTTTCCAATTTTTTGTAATATCCCACTTCTGACACCAATTCTGATCCATAGGGGGAATAAGCATTTTTGAGTTTTTTGATGTTGTTGTTTTTCCTACTCTCACACACCACTTATCACAATACTTCTGACAGTAAATATTTGGAGAAGCTTACACAAACATCAAGCAACTCTTCATTGGGTTTGTCCTATAGTTCAACACTATTATGACATCATCTACCAGCAGACAGCATCAGATCCCACAAGTTAAGGGCTCCATAACAAAAGAGTGCCCCTAATTCCCATTTCAGATGCCAGTCACAAGGTTCAGCTTTTGATCTGTGCTTCTGAGCAACTGGCTATAAAGCAAGTTTTCCACTTCCCTCCCTACCTTTGGTTCACTTAGTTTGCTAGAGAATCTCACAGAACTCAGGGAAATACATTTACTGGTTTATTATAAACATATATTACAAAATATGAACAGTCAGATGAAGAGATGCATAAGACAATGTGTGGGAGGGGAGTATAAAGCTTTCATGCTTTCTCTGGGCATACCACCCTCCAGGCACCTTCATAAGTTCAGTTTTACAGAAGCTCCCTGAATCCAGTCCTTTGGGCTTTTATGAAGGTTTCATTACTTTGGCATGATTGGCTCAATAATTGGCTATTAGTTATAAGCCCAACCTTTAACACCACTGTTCTCCCCAGAGGTTGAGGGGTAGGACTGAAAGTTCCAACCCTCTAACCATGCTTTGGTCTCTCTGGTGGCCAGTTCCTATCCTGAAACTACTTAGGGGACCCCAGCCACTAGCTGTCTCATTAACATGCAAAAGACATTCCCACTACTTCAGAAATTGTAAGGGTTTTAGAAGCTGTGTGCCAGAAAACGGGAATTGTTATCACAGGTTACAATTAATTAAATTAATTAATGACTTTTTTTTTGAGACAGAGCCTCTCTCTGT
Source organism: Homo sapiens (assembly GCF_000001405.40). Classification (NCBI taxonomy): domain Eukaryota; kingdom Metazoa; phylum Chordata; class Mammalia; order Primates; family Hominidae; genus Homo; species Homo sapiens. The sequence goes on along the minus strand of NC_000018.10, from coordinate 38,855,647 downwards.
CACCCTGGCTGGAGTGCAGTGTCACACTCTCGGCTCACTGCAACCTTCACCTCTCGGGTTCAAGCGATTCTCGTGCCTCAGTCTCCCTAGTAGCTGGTATTACAGGTGTGTGCCACCACGCCCAGCTAATTTTTGTATTTTTAGTAGAGACGGGGTTTCACCATGTTAGCCAGGCTGGTCTCAGACTCCTAGCCTCAAGCAATCTTCCTGCCTTGGCCTCCCAAAGTGCTGCGATTAGAGGGATGAGCCACCGTGCCTGGACAAATTTTTAAATTTAATTATTATTTCCTAGAGACAGGGTCATGCTCTATTGCTCAGGCTATTCTTTAACTCCTGGCTCCAAGCAGTCCTCCCACCTTGGCCTCTCAAAGTGCTGGGATTACAGGCATGTGCCCCCATGCCCAAACTTATACACACACGCACACATTTCTAATGTGTGTACACATTAGAAATCAGAACATCACAATTTATTAAAGTGTTCACATCAGTACACCAGTGCATGACACCTAGATTGGTGAGATAAGTTCAATGGGTGGAAAATCTATTATTGAACTTGTTTTACCTCAGCTTTTTTCTGTTAGTAAGGTAAATAGAGAAATGATGATATCTCCAGGAAAATGGCAGAAGTATGTTGTTTTAAAGGAAGGGTAGGTAAAGGGGAAGTACGATTTGATGTAGGAGAGAAAAAAACAATCATAGCAACCACTTGCATTTACTAAAGGACCACTAGTCAAGGCACTGCTTGGCTGCAGCTGTCTGTGGACTCAGCACAGCTGCACCTCTTAAAACAAGGTCAGATAAATTAACCAAAGTTAATTTCTCTAAATGACTTTGTCATCAAACTTTTATATCTTTTCTCTTGTCATAAGTAAACCTTTGGAGTGACTCTGCTTGTATCTCTGTAGGCTGAAGGGAAAGACAGGCATAATGTATTATTATTCTTTTTTGTAAAGGTCACCATCAGTTCTCTTCAAAACTCAAATAAGTTATGGGAGAGGGAGAGAGAGGAGGTTAATATCATATCATAGCAGAAACCAACACTTAAAATGATGGAATTTTATTTAATTGTTGAGATCAACAATAATGATCATTTAATATAAATTGATTTTATTTTCCCCCAGAATTTTTCATTTTTATTTACGCTTTCATCAAACTTCTTCAACTAGGTTTAAATAAATTATATGTATTGTGACCTCAAAACAGAACGAAGGTATTGAGTGTCAGTGTGGTAAGAGAGCTGAAAATGCAACAGTTGGTAGTAAAAACTGGTTTGGCAACTCATTAAAAAAAAATGTTTTCTAAACTAATGAAACAGATCCAACTGAGAAGAAGTTGACCAAGGATTATTAATAGCTTTATTCTTGGTAGAGTACACTAACCGCTTTCTCTCTTCAACCATTCACCTCTGTTCCTGGTGCAACTTGAAGCCCTGGTCTATTTGAGGAATTTGAACTTCTCTCCTCATCCCATCTCCTTCCTCAAGCCAGCTCCTGGCATAGTCCCCACAGCCACAGCAGGATCAGGAGCTGCTAAGAATGGGATGGCTGGGGATATGATTTGTCAAACTCAAACTGTCCAAGAATCTGGTGGATTTAAAGTTTCAAAGAAAAACTAAAACCTTCAGGTTTGGAGTTTGGTTAATAATACAAAGGATTTAAATGGGATTTTTCTTCCAGGCAGTTCAAAGAATTTTATTTCTTAGTCTGCATTTTTCCTGAAATCAGTGAAAGAGAAAAGAAGGAGCAGAAATTATCAGCCTAACTTTACAAGGCAAAAAATTTAATGCCATTTTCCCAAATGGCAGTGGTTAGAGGAATGACATGAACGGTGCTTTATTCATGGCATTGGTGTGGCTCAGGGCCCATGTTAAGAGGATTCCAATTACTAAAAGCTGGGGTGGAGAGTTTATAAATTTTAATGTCTAACTGATCATTAATAACATATTAACTGATCTCCTTCTTACATGTAGACGACGTTAAGGAAGAGATACAGAAGATTAAGGTTAAATTACCTTACTAAAGGCCCATGTAACCTGTTTGTAGAGCTGAATATAATTTAAGGTTTTGAGCAGAATAAACTCAGAAATTTAGAGAAGGGATTTATAGTCATAAGATAAAATATTCAGTGAAAGCATTGCACAAGAGGAAAGGTTGAGCTGAGCTTTGAAAGAGAAAGATAATTTAAGCAATATGAAAAAAGGAAAATTGCATTTGAATATCTGTTTGTTCTTTAGGTTTCAATGATCCCAGTAGGCTGTAGTAATTCTGGATACAAGATACAAGCTATCCTCTTAGAACAGAACTAAACTAGTTGTTGAGAAGATAGATGTTTGGGCTTAGCTAGTTTGGGCAAATTTGTGGGGTATTAGTTGATAATTGTCACTGGTTGATTCTGTGCATGGCAATATTTTGGAAACAAGATGCTAGCTAGGGCATGTTCTTTCTTTCAGAACATGGAGTGTTGCATCCAAGTTTCAGAAGACACTAGATGAGGGAGGAGAAACATTGGGGACAGGGAGGAAGGTAAAGACAATGAGATCTAACAGGAGGATTGACTCCCAGACCAGAAAAAGGAAGTGGCTCATATGGCAAACTTATAGTTCCCTTTGCAAATATTTTTACTTTAAGCTGAGGCAATTATGCAGACCTGCTTTGTAGCATTTACATATCTCGTCACCAGCCCCACATTTACCCATTCTAATAAATCTCCCCAAATATATCTGATCTTATGTTATCTAGGTGAATGGTCCCTCAGTATTTGTCCACATTGATCCATGTTTCCATATTCTGTATATCTTTTAACACCTAGGCTAAGCTCAGCCTTTCCAGTAAATCCTCCCATAGCCAACCCAAACTCACATAGTTCTAGTCTATTATTTCTTTTCTATTGATAACTGGAACATGTATACTAAAACTCTTTTCCTTTTAGAAAAACACTTCTAAAACAGCTCATCCTTCAATCTTCCTAAGCTCACAGCTAGTCTCTGATGCTTTCCCTCAAACTAAAGTTCTTCCCTTCTTCATCACTGAATTAAATTCCATTACCTTTTTGCTTCCACATAATTTAAACACATAAGTAATGTAAGGTCTCTAATGCATTCCCTGAAGATATATTTCTGCATCATAATGTTCTACTTAGATCATAAACTACTCAAGGTCAGTGCGAGTGCCTATTTAACTCTCTTCATGTTCTTCTTACAGCAGCGTGTACTAAGAGATCCTGAATAATTGTCCTCATGAAAAGTAGTTGAAGGTGTTTTTCTCCTTAGCATTGGAAAGGAAATCAAGGTTAAATTAAAAACTTATTAGAAACATTTGAAGTTTAATGAGAAAACACTATATTGTATCTAGGTATTTGTATTTCTTTATATCTTGACTCAAGATTAGCTTTCTTAATAAAAACATTTCAGTAAGTGCTAATAACTACTAAGTAGTCAGGTTTATGCCAAAATATCAAGGATAAAGTAAATTTTAATAAAAAATAGAATTCAAAATATAGATGAGATCTTTGCCTTGAGATTTCACAATATAAGAAAAAGTAGAACACTGACTTCATAGGTAGGGTCACTGGGGGGCTGAGAACATCAGGGTTGGCACATCATCATAGAAATCAGATGTTTTCAGGGGCAAGGTCCACCAGAGCATGTGCTTCTCAGAGTAAGTGCACAGTTAGTCTTGTCTTACTAGAATAAGGCAGTTCTCATGTATTCTAGCAGTTGGCAATGTGTATTCTAGAAACTAAGAGTTCAGTTCAATTTTAACACTAATGTTAATCAGCTGTGCAGTTCCCCAACCCCAGCCAGGTCATTACAGATGGGATTGTTGAGGTCCTCCTGAAAGAATTTATTCAGTCACTTTGCTAGCTTCTTCTCAAGCACAGATGATTCACAAGGTCAGATATTATATGTACCCACATTGCCTTAGGACATTCAAAGGCATGCCTGGACATAGCAATAACATACATGGTTCAAAAGGAAAGGTCTGAGACCAAATCAAACATGAGTAAACATTGTTATAGGAAGCTTGCAATTAGCCTGGGTTCACCTATTGTGCTTATTCTATATTATCTTGTAGTAGCTTCTAGGTCTTATTCACAAAACTAACTTTTCTGGGACTTGAGTATAGAAGCAGAGAAGAGACCGTGTGCACATACATAAAAAATAAAATTTTGACATTAGCCTTGGGAGTTCCTATGAGTCCTATTGTAACATTTCAACTAAATTGTATGATGTTGAATGCATTCAGTGATTCTCTACTGAAATTAGAAGATGGCATTCAAGACTGTGATTTCCTCTATAATCTAAATTGCTGTCACTCTCCTCTTTTTTTCAGAAATTCTAGCCATAGGATCTCCCTTTCACTTCTAGAAAATGCCACATTCATTTCCAACACAGGGCATTTGTCCCTGGTGATCATCCACCTAGATTATGTACTCCTCTGCCTGCCTGACTCCTATTCAGCCCACAGGTAACTGCTTGAAGGTCACTTTCTTACCTACACCTTTGGTTTTGCTGAGCACTTAAATCTAATATAAAGTAGATTTCTCTTATTACTTTCTTTCAAAGTACAATATTCTTTACCTTTATAATACTCACCAAAATTGTCTTCTTCAATTTTGGTGAGTATTATAAATTGTTTCTTCAATTTTGTGTTTCTCTCCCTATTGATCTGTTTATAGCAATTTTTCACACTACACTGTAGGCCCTCAATTCATTCACACATAATGGCCACACTGGCCTGTTGACTAAACTGTCACACCAGAACTTCCCATTCCAGGCATCTAACTACCTGAAGTGATGTGGAGAAGGAGGGTGGAGAGTGGAAGACCACTGACTTTTGAGGTCTAGCTCAGGCCTAGACTCTGGTTAGATGTAGGAACAGAAGACGTTTTGTCTCTATTCTTGGTCCAGTCCCTGAGACCATATCTCACCTCTTACAGAGAAGACAATACAAGCAGAAATAAAACTTAGATCACTCTATTGACAATGTGCTTTTTGAACTCAAGACTGGAGACATAAAGACAAGAAGTTAGGGAGGGAGGCTTTCTCTGCAGACCCTTGATGGGGGAGCTGCAGTGCAAAGCAGTGGCTGCACCACAGCAGTGACCCAGTAGCTGACCCTACTATGCTTAATGGAGCAGCCAGGGAGCAGCATTATCATAGAAGCCACCAGCAGCTCTGGAAGGAGTACAAGAATATGAGTAAATGAGTTTCTAAGCACAAGGCATCCCTGGGGGTTCCCAAAAATAATAGGACATTTTGAGGGGCAGCATTGATGTATATCCCTTAGCTTTGCTTATTAAAATTACTGAATTGATAGTAAAAGACTAGAAGAATTTGAGGATACTTAGGTTCACATTAATGAATGTGACCATTTCCTTAATCAATTACTTTGATTCTAATACATACTTTTATTTTGTTATTATTTTTTACATTGTAATTTTAAAAAATCAGAATGCTTCTTACAATCTATGTCAAAACACACTTGCCAATTGCTCCTGGTGGAACAAGTTGAGATATATTCAGCATGGCTTGGGAATTTACTAACCTAAATGTGCTTAATGTTATCTGTCCTTCCGTTGAATGACTGGCCAAGTCACTGACATTGGTGGTTATTTAAACTTGAATGCCTAAATGTCACAGTGCTTTCAAAAGGCCCAAGGTGGATGTAGTGTTGAAAAAAAATAGTTACTATGTAACAGAACAGAGCACAACCTCTTACCAGGCAAACCAATTCAGGAAGCAGAAATTGTCAAATCTCTGGAATATATCAATACTTCATGAAAGAATAACCCTTAGGCTCCAAACAACCATGTGTTATAAGATTTTCGATAAGACTTCAGAGTTTTTCTTACTCCCATTGAGGGGTATTTCCCTTATCGAAAAATATGAATATTAGTTTAACCAAAAAGGAAATGCAAATTAACTCACTGGTATTTTATGTGCCTAAAAATTACGTCTGTTGTAAAGCTGCCACACCCAATTCTCCCAGGTTATAGGGGGCTGCCTGTCCCTGTGATGTTACGTATAACTTTTAATTTCCCAAGACACTTTGGTCTCTGGATGAGAAGTTTCTACTCATATGATATTGGCACATGAAGCTCATATGTTATTTTGTAGATAGATTTGTGTTAGAGCTTTGTTGAAAGAACAGAAAGTATATTTGGTGAAGACAAGTCTATTTAATTTTTGTGTATCCCATAAAAAGATAATTGGCAATATGAACGAAATACAGTATATGTGTGTGTACATGTGTGGTACTTATTATTATGTTATATGTGGTTGTCACAAATTCTGGGATTCAACTTTACTGCTGAAGTCTCAGGAGTACATGGCCATGAGCCATGCTTAGGATAAGATCAAGGTAAGAATGTAGTCTCAGATATGGAGGCTAAGACTGGATGATATCAATAGGGTTCTAACTCAGCAACAAAAGCCTTGAGGTTGAGGCTTAATAGAACTGTCAAGACAAGATTAGGAGCCTGCCTGGAGACAGATCAAGAAAGGTGCTGGCCGAAGACCCTGAGAAAAAAATTATTTTACGTCTTAGATCAGAACAGAACCTAGAATCCAAGAAAATGTTTAGGCTAGGTTGGCAGATATTTGTGGCTCTAATGAAATCTTTCAGCTGAAATGTCACAGAATTTCCCTTAGTACTACCTTCTGTCTTCAGGGTTCCAGTGGTCCCCATCAATTAAAAATTTTATTTTCTTCATTTCAACCATGAAACTCTTTGCTCTTTGGAAAATGTTGGTACTATCTTCTCAACCAGCTAATTCATTAATTGGTCAATTTATCTATTTATTTGGTATGCATATATGAATGGGCTACTTAGAATTGCCATGTAACTAAAGTAAAAACCTTGGCCTCAAGAAACTTAGAGTTAAGTGAGAAAGACCAGCATGAAAATCATGTAAGTAGAGTATTCCCCCACAGGCAAGCTAAGTGAAAGATTTTTTATTTCTTAACCATTTGTTTGTATGTTTTTTTCCTAAGTTTACTAGACTTTCTGCATTGGATTATTTCTTTAGAGCTAGGTGAGAGTCTGAAAACATTTTTTAAAAATCTATTTATTTGATCTAATTGTAGTCTGCTGGAAGGAAATTGAAGGTGTGTGGCATAAGAGAAGAGCAAGACCTGACGGAGGGAGGAGTCTGTCTCTCTCGCTAACACTGAAGGCTGTCTTACAATGAATATGCAAGGAAACCTTATGGAAAAATGTTTTCACAGATGTGGAAGCCAAGGGCATGGGCCTAGGAATGCTTTCCTACCATCTGTCACCTGGACCGAGAAGATAATTGCTGACGTCTGTGTGAGAAGCTGCTTCTAAATGCAGCGGGACAGCCATCTCTCTTAAATTACCATGCCCAAAAGACCATGACTTTCTGTTGTTTCTGTGGAACCCCTAAGGTCCTGCCTTAGATTAAGATTCCCATTCGGTGAATGTGTGTTGGAAATGCCATTATCCTTCTTGACAGACAGATGTCCTGGAAAGACTAATTGCAGGAAAAAAAAAACAAAAACCTTAAATTAAAAATAAAAGCCAGTGTTTCAGTCAGGGATCCAACTTATGAAGAGCAAAGACCAAAGTAAGCATTGTATCTTATAAGTTTATAGAAAAGAGGGGATAGTTATAAATAAATGTACACTTTTCTCCATTCCATTTCATGTTCTTTACCAACTTTTTCTGTCATTCAAAAAGAAAGTCAGGAAGGTATAGCTCTTAATCATTGTTGGATTACTGTCTTTTTATAGTCCATGTAAAATATTCCTTCTCCATGAAGTCTTCACTTACAATTTAAGTGCAGATTAAACTGTATGGATGGGAAAAATACTAATCCTAAAAGATAATTCCTCTCTTCCTCAGTTAGTGGAAAATGGTCCATGTTCAACTTAAAGGAAGAAGAAGTATGAGGACAAAATATCCTTCAAAGGTAAGCAATCAGATACAACGAGTGAAAACAGGGCCTTGCTGAGGGGAGCCATAGAAAAGGTTGAAAAGTAGGGGATAGGAGGAAAAAGTAAATTTCAGGGTAGTAACTTCAGCTTGAGCAATGATCCAAAATGGAAGTATTCTAAGGATCCTTAAGAGACCACAAACAGACAGGCCCAGTCATGTATGGTCATGTTTCACAAAGAACAATCTGCAGTTCATTGAATGTCAATTCCTCATCTGAACCCTGCAACGTTATGTTCTGTTTTACTGGAGCTAAAGGCAGAAGCTCAAGGAAAAATGATTCCAAATACAAAAGGATAGCTATCAAGACAAATGTGAAGCTTCTCCTCCCTTGTAATAACTGTAGGTCAACCAGAATGGCATGTGGCAAAGTTCAAATAAATTCATGGCCATATAAAGGTAAAAATAGTGCTTGGCATTAGGCAAGACTCTTTTGGTTGTTAGTGACAGAATAAAACACAAACCCATTCAAGCAAGAAGGAAAATTAGCCCATTTAACCAAACAACACATACACACACAATGGGAAGAGAGTCAGCTTCAATGTCAACTGAATACAGTTCACAAATTGTGTGTGTTTGTGTGTGTGTATGTATATGTGTGTGTGTGTGACAGAGAGAGAGAGAGACAGAGACAGAGACCAAGACAGAGATGCAGAGACAGATATATAGAAGTAAAGAAAGAGGAAGGGAAGAAATGATATAGATTGTAGGGCTCATCTTAACCATATTCTAAATGTGTGTTAGCTTCAATCTTTCAGGGCTCTGCACATGGCAGGGATAATGGTCACTGACAACTCTGGGGTCACATCCTTATAGCTTGCTATTCAAGGGAAAAATATCTTCTTTATTTTTGCCAGGTACTGGTAAAAAAAAAAAAAAATCCCCAGGAGATGTCTGCCTGACCTGACATGCATCCTTTGCTGTCCGTGAGCCAATCTGTGTAGCCACAGAAATGGGCTGTTCTCATTGGCTTGCCTGGCTCCCATACTCATTTCTATGGCCAAATATGTTGTTGTGATTGGAAGCCCTAGCGGAATCATTTGAGACAAGAGGTCTTCTCCAAATACGTTAAATTTAGTTCATCATTAGAGGAAAGCAGAAAAGGAGTTGGGCAGACAGAAACAGATTTCCTCCATTATCCCATATAAGACCAAGTTTCTACCTGCAATGGACTGTCTGGTTCCACAGAATGCACTTATAAGTGATGATGCCAGGCTACTAGGAATAGCCCTTAGGTGTCAAGTCTTTATGTATATTGCTGACCATCTGGACTCCCTTTAACCCTATTCTTTGCTTGATTTCATCCTTCTTACTGGTTTCATCTTGTGACCCTTTCTACATTTATCCTCCATGATTATGAGTCATAGTGTTTCTCTCAATCAGCCCAGTGTCTGAAAAGTAGACATAGATCTTCACATACTCATTACTGTTGGCCAATTAAATTGCCTCCCAAGAAGAGCAGCAATGGTATTTTCCTTCTCACCCACTGACTGCCCCTAAAATTTAACATGTAAGTTGTAAAACAGTATTCCAGATTTAGTAAGTTCTGCAAGCTGTAGTTGTACAGACATTGTGTGGTATAAAATTTATTTTATTTTATTATTTTTTGAGACAAGGTCTTGCTCTGTTGCCCAGGGTGGAGACCAGCGGCGCGATCTCGGCTCATTGCAACCTCCAACTCCTGGGCTCAAGCAATTCTCCCACCTCAGCCTCCAGAGTAGCTGAGACTACAGGCATGCACCACCACACCTGGCTAATTTTTGGGGTTTATTTTTTGTATTTTTAATAGACATGGGGTTTCAGCATGTTGCCCAGGCTGGTGTCAAACTTCTGCATTGAGGCAATCTGCCTGCCTCAGCCTTGGGATTACAGGTGTGAGCCACCATGCCAGGCCATAAAATTTATTGGGATTAAAGTGTTGGGATTACAGGTGGGAGCCACTGTGCCAGGCCATAAAATTTATTTTGAACAGTTTCCTGTGTCAATAACATATAGCTTTAAGTATCAAGACTAAGGAGTTCTTCCACCACCAAGAAACAACAGTCCAATTTGTAAGTAAAAATTCATGCTTTGTTAATCTTTACCTCCCTAACAAAATAGACATGGCCAGTTATGTATACACACACACACACACACACACACACACGGGGCACACATACTTATATGTGTGTGTAAATACAAATTCAACCTATTTTAAAAAATGTAAAACTGTTTCTGATGCAATGTTGTATAAAATAGAGATGAGTTCTAGGAAGCCGTTGTAACATGGCCTTCCCCTCAGCAGAGGATATATGAAGTTTTCAGGTTCAGTTCTAGAGAAACTGTCCATGTAACAGGCCTTGGCCCACCCAGTTTGGGTTATAGATGTGAGATATGTTTAAATAGAAATGATTAGCTGTTTTCAGTCACATTAAATTAGTGACCCATTAGTCTGGGTGAGTCTCTAAGAACTGTTATTTTTTTTTAAAGCTCCCAAGTTTAGAAACCATTGAGTCATAAGAAGGCAATTAGACCTTCCATTTCTAATTAAATTGTCATTTCTGAATACTTAAAACACTTCTGGGCTGTGCCAGCTGCTGCAGTATATACAGAGTAGAGGAAATTGGTAAAAATTTCCAGCGGAGTCTCTTCATACTGATTCCTCTGGCCTCAATATTCTTTCACCCCCATCAAAATATTTTTTCCTGTAACAAAATTGAGGTAAAATGGCATCTTCTCTGACACTGTCCCCATATCTATAGGTTTGGGGTTGCCAGATTTAACAAGTAAAATATAGGATTTCCAGTTAAATTCGAATTTCAGATAACCAGTGACTTTTTTGGAAATTTTCATTTATTTATTATTCTTTTATGAGTATGTTCCAAATATTGCATGGGTCATCCTTATAAAAATAGCTTATACAGGATGTCCAATCAAATTTCAAAAATTCAAATTTGATTGAACATCCTATATTTTACCTGGCGGTGCTATTTTTGGTATTATGTTACTTTACTAGGGCTGCCAAAACAAAATACCACAGGTGGGTGTGTTAAAAGACAGAAATCTATATTCTCACAGTTCTGGAGAGTGAAAGTCTGAGATCAAGGTGGCAGCAAGGTCAGTTTTTCCTGAGGCCTCCCTCTCTCCTTAGCTTGAAGATGGCCACCTTCTTGCTATGTATTCGTGTGGTCTTTTCTGTGCGGTTGAGCATTCTTGGCATCTCTCCATGAGTCCTAATCTCTTTTTATAAGGAGACTAGTCATACTAAATTAAGGCCCCAACCTTATGACCACATTTAACTTAATTATCTCTTTAAAGGAACTATCTCTAAACTATATCCATACTATCACAATCTAAAGTACTAGAGGTTAGGACATTGACATAAGAATTTTGGGGAAACACAATTTATTCTAAGTATATTCTCTCCTCTGAGCTGACAAGGCACTCAGGTTTATTGCTATTATTCCTTCAAAATCATGTTTTGAGCATTCTCTTTTTTGTACTGTTCTGGTGAACATATGGACCTGTCCCTTCCCAGAGGGAGCTTACATTCCAGATGTAGGAGTCGGGTCAACAGAGAAGTGAGTATGTAGGTAGTACTGATTTTCTTGTGCACACCTCTTGACCAGACTGAGGTTCTAGGTTATTATTCTGAGTTATTCTGTTTTTCTTCTGGTCTACATATATGCTGTGTCTCAACCAAAGCCTGGCCTGGGTAGGAACCCATTAAACATTAACTTTGCATATCTTTGGAAACAGGTGCCAAGAGCCCCAAATTTCCAAACTTGTTGAACGACATGCTCATCCATCTTTTGAGGACACTCTACTAAGTTCCTTTGTAAATGCATCTGCAGTTGTAAAATCATTTCAAACCCAAACTCTGACTTCTGCTTCGTGTCATTCTAAACTACTTTTTTTTTGCACTTTTAACATCTCAAAATCCAGGCTCCTGGAGAAGAGGGAAGAGTAATGCATAGCAAGTGTTTCTGCACCCAGATTGTCTGAAAAGACACTCAGTTGTGTGTTGTCAAAAAATTTATTTATGACTTTTTTGTTTGTTTTATTTTGTTTCTCATAAAACTGGCTGAAGGAAATTAGGATTAGGAAAAAAAAATGTAAACATATTTTTGGCTAGAACAAAGACTGGACTCCCAGAAATAAAAATAGGATTCTACAAAGTGTTTCCACATGTCAGGTTTTCAGAGCCTGCCCATTAAGAGGCCTTAGGTCAGGGGCTTCAATAAAGGAGGATTCCTCTACGTATCATCTTTGTGTTTAGAGAAGTCCTCTTCACATTTACAATCAGTGGGCGGCTATTAAACTTATGAGGGATTTTGTTGCTGCTGTTATTGTTTTCTCTTTTCCTTTAGCAGCTTTCAGTCACTAGGAACTGCAAGTGAATTTAAAGTAAGAGGTATGTGTCTTAAACGCTTGCAATTTCCTGGTTCCTCAGCCCCTAGCAAATGTCTCATTGTGTTTAACTAATATTTACAACATTTTGCAACACAGCTATTTTACATTATTTTCAAGGTTACATTCCCCTGCCTTGCTTTGGAAACTCCTCAAACATATAGATTGATTATCTAGATGTATACAAATGAGACCCTTCTTAGGTTCAAAGACACTCATAAATAAGAGAAATGTGGTATTTTCCTCTTCTACTAAAGTCCTCCAAATCTCATAAGCTTGAGATAGATCTGTGACCTTCCCATCATATAAAGGCCCATATTTAGAAGACAAAGGATGTTTGCTCATTCACCCAAAGCAGCATTATATAGTGAACTTCCAACCTTCAGCAGAAAGAGGATGGGGAAGCTACATAAGATTTGTGAACTATGTGCTAAATTACTATAATATGTCCCCCATTGTGCTTCTACAACAACCTCACTGTGATGAGTACCTGAGTGTAACTAAGGTCATAGACTTGAATCCCAGCAGCGAAATCATTGAGTGCGAAATTGAGCATAAACAGGAGGGCGTTCTGAAGAAAACCTTGTGACTGGGGAGGCTGGGCACTAGGGAATGGCAAGTTGAGGTGGAGTCAGCCAACTTCATTAATTGTTAACACAGCTTCCAGTCAATGGTTTGGTTTTTCAGGGAGATCGGGACTAATTTAGACAGATGACAATAATAGTCTGTGTCACTAGAAACCCTTAATCACAGAACGTTGAGACAAATCTATAGATAAGTTGTGGTGTCCAGGAAGTAGACTTATTTCTGGTATACACAGCAAGAAGCAAAGAAATATGAAGAAGGTTTCCTAAGGGTGCCCATCCAAATTTGTCATTGTGTGTAGGCGTTTACTGTAATGTCCTCTAAGCTTGAAAGAAGTATGAACAATAGGACACTTTCCTATTGTTCTATGCCAAACATCATGCTAGGCTATTGCAGGTGCATAATCTTTTGCGTCCACCTACCAGGGCCTGTGGAACAAATAGATTTCCTCTTATTATAGTTAATCAACAACAACAAAAAAACAAATATGGACACCTTCCTATGTGCTTGCAAAACCCTACAGAAGCAAAGGAATGAAACAACAGTGACAGCACAGAATGAAGACGATGGCTGTGAACTGAGTTCTGTTAAATTCCCTTGAGTAAAAATGAAGGATTGTGCCTGTATTTCCTCAGTTTTCCTTTACCTTCTTCAGAAAGCAAAAAGACACACTTTTGCTTAGTTTTCTCAAAATACAAAACTCCAGCAGACATTTGTTGTGTTTTCCACATGCAACACCGAAGAGAGATCTGCAGATGTTGCATAATCTCCTCATTAGTTGCAGAGATACCCTTGGGAAGGGTCACATAGACTCTGGTATATACCAGATAAGAAAAATAGACAATACTCACAATCCATCAACCTTTGATATGAACAAAATACAAAATATACCGTATGTGGGAATCAGGCCTCACATAGTGGCCTTTTCCTCTGGGGATTCATCGCATGCATTTTTAACACTCAGTTTTGTTTTTTCTGACCTTAAAATAAAACAAACAAAATTAACTGATAACATGTTAGTGTATTTAAAGATATTGTTTAGAGCAATTTTAACACAATTCAGTGTGTGGTTGAGTTAGATACTTTTCTCACTGGATTTTATTCTTTATATTTGTTTTATATAACACTGGAAGTTTTTTGCTTTAATAGCTCAGTTAATACAGAGAAAATGTTCTAGTGTGCACTAAAAGTTTTCCAAAATCAAAATATATTTAGAGAATATATTTAGAGAATGAATATGACACAAGTTTGTAGGATACATGACAATAAATTCTTGCAAAGACACCCCATTTCACCTTAGATGTTTATTTACAATCATCTTCACATTTTCAGTAGTGAGACCAAATTTCCTTCTATGTTGTTTCCTTTCTATTTAGTCTTTCCAGTCTTGGAATTACAATATTAGTTGGAGAAAAAAATAACCCGTGAACAGTAAACTGATCTTCATGACCCTTTGTTTTTCTAGCTATTTTCCTGGTAGCTATTTTCTAAAACATAGCAATGCTCTCCTGTCAAATTCATGCCCATATTTGTATATAACTTCTATTTAATCTTCAGAATACTGGATTCATTTGTCGATGCTCTAAGAACGTAGGGTCAGAGAATCTTAGGTCTTTTGAAATGGAAGAGGTCTTGGAGATCAATTTAAAAATGAAGAGGTTATGTTGTATAGTTCCTTGAATACACTTTTTTTCACATGTTTTTGAAACTTCAAACCCTTTTGAACACTCAGAAACTCAGATTCTTTTGAAAAATATTAAATATAGCTATTTACAGAGAAATTTAGGAAGAAGAGGTTTCTTGACATACAGTTTTTTGAAGAAAACTTAAATTTTTCGAACATGTTTATTTCTGCAGAAAAATTGAAAAGATAAGTACAGAAAGTTTGTATATACCTGGCACACATTGTCACTTATTTTAACACATTACGTTAATAAGACACATTTCTTACAATTACTCAATATTGATGCATTATTATTTTAAAAGTTCATCAGTCTTTTCAGTATTCCCTACTATTTTTTTGTTTGTTTTTTGTTTTTGTTTTGAAACGGAGTCTCGCTCTGTCACCCAGGCTGGAGTGCAGTGGCGCAATCTCGGCTCACTGCAACCTCCACCTCCCGGGTTCACGCCAGTCTCCTGCCTCAGCCTCCCGAGTAGCTGGAACTACAGGCACCTGCCACCACACCCAGCTCATTTTTTGTATTTTTAGTAGAGACAGGTTTTCACCATGTTAGCCAGGATGGTCTCGATCTCCTGACCTCGCGATCCTCCCGCCTCAGTCTCCCAAAGTGCTGGGATTACAGGTGTGAGCCACCGCGCCTGGCCCAGTATTCCCTTGTTTTTACCTAGTCTTTCCCCCTCCAAGGATTCTATCCAGAATACCACATTACATTTAGTGGTCATGTCTCCTTAGACTCCTCCCAGCTGTAAGGGTTTCTCAGAATTTCATTTTTTTTCGATGTCTTGCCAGTTTTGAGGTCAGGTATTTTGTAGAATATGCCTCAATCGGGGTTGTCTGATGTTTTTCCCATGATTGGACTGGGGTTATGATTTTTGGGAAAAAGACCCCTGATCTAAAGTGCCGTTTTCATCAAAGTATATCAATAGTTCATATTATCAACACGACTTATTGTTGATGTAAACTGTGATCACCTGGCTAAGTTACTGCTTGTCAGATTTCTCCATTGTGAAGTTACTATTTTTTTCCCTGTTAACATACATTATTTTGGAGGAAAATAACTCTACACAGTCTACCCTTAAAGAGAAGAAAGTTATGCTCTTGCTCCTTAAAGGCAGAGTATCTATACATATTATTTGGAATTTTTCTGAAAGAGAGATTGGTCTGTTCTCCCCTACTAATAATGTTATTATTTATTCAATCATTTATTTATATCTTCCTGGACTTGTGGATATTTATTTTATACTTTGAGTTATAATACAGTACTTCTTCATTTTGCTGCTCAATGGTTTTGAATTTTGGCCATTGGGAGCTCTTTCCTTATATTCCTGTGCATTTTCCTACTCTCAGTTACTACAAGATGTTCCAGTCTCATGATATATGTTTACTGCCCCATTCCTTGGATCAGCTATTTCTCTAAGGAGCTCTAGTTCTTTTCATTGAAGAATGGTACTGGAAACCAAGATCTGGGCACTAGGTATGCGTCTTACCACCAGGTGGTATTGCTTTTGATAGAACAAGAACATATATGTGTGTATAGAAATCTATGCATATGAGCATTTCTATAAATATATCTACATGTAATGATCTATATTTTTAATTAACAAAACATGAGTTCATAACTGCTATCTTAAACTCTAATCCATTACCAAATGCTTTTTTTGTGTCAACTGATATGATCATATGATTTTTCTGCCTTAACCTGTTAATATGATGAATTATATTAATGTATTTTTAAATTGTGTTTGTAACTACAATAAATCCAACTTGTTCATGGTGTATTTTTTTAATAAATTGTTAGATTCAATTTGTTAATTGTTTTTGATGTTTTTTGCATTTATGTTCACAATGGTCTCTAGTTTTCTTGTAATGTTTTCTGTCTGGTTTCGGTGTTAGGGTCATGCTGGCGTCATAAAACAAACATAACTTCCTCTTTTATTTTATGAAAGAGATTGTTTACCATTGGTATTGTTTCTTCCTTAAACATTTGGTATAATTCATGAGTGAAGCCAACTGGACATTGTGTTTTTTTTGGAAAGCTATTAATGACTGGTTCAATTTTTTAAATAGATATGGGCATGCTAATTATTTATTTCTCCTTGTAGGAGTTTGTTTTACAAGGAATTGGTCCATTTCATGTATTTGTGGGTGTAAGATTGTTTCTAACGTGAATTTAGCATTCTATTAATGTGTATGAAATCAATAGTGATGATGGCTCTTTCATTTCTTGTATATCTAAGTTGTAACTTTTCTTTAATTTTGTTAGCCTAGCTAAAGATTCATCAATTTTTTTGATCAATTCTAAAACCGGCTTTTGATTCCTTTGATTTCCTATATACTTTTTCTGATTTCAATTTCATTGTTTTCTTTATTTTTATTTTTTGCTTTATACCTAATTTTTTTCCTCTAGATTCCTATGGTGGAAGATTAGATTATTAAATATGAGTATATTTTTTCTAATATGTGCATTAATGTTATAAATTTTCCTCTAGGAAGTGCTTTCCCTGCAGCCCACAAATTTTAATAAGTTGTATTTTCATTTTCTAGTTCAAAATATTTTCTAATTTTTCTAGAGACTTTGTTCTCTACACGTGCTCTCTAGAAGTGCGTTGCTTAATCTCCAAAGATTTGGGAATTTTTCAGCTACATCTCCATTATTGATTTCTAGTTTACTTCCCTTGTGGTCTGAAAACATATTTTGTATTATTTGTATTCTTTTCAATGTTAAGTACTTCATGGCCTAGAATGTGCTCTATGTTGGTAAAGGTTTCATGTGAGTTTGAGATGAATGTTCTGTTTTTGCATGTCGTGTTCTGTACGTCAATTAGATCAAGTTGATTAAAGTGCTATTTAGGTAAATTAGAGTGTTACTAATATTCTTCCTGCTTGATTTATCATTGAAAAAGAGATGTAGAAATCTCTAGATATACTAGTGGGTTTGTTGATCTCCTTCCAGTGATACCACTTTTTGCTTCCTATATTTTAAAGCTCTGTTGTTAGGTGCATACACATTAAAGATTGTTATATCTTCTTAGATATCTGATCAGTTTATCATTTTGTATTGTCCATCATTATCTGAATAATTTTCTTTGTTCTGAAGTCTTCTATCTCTGAATAGAACAAGTATTATTTAATAGCTCCTGTATCTTTCATTAGTTTAGATGTTAATTTGTACCTTTACATTAAAGTGGACTTCATGTAGATAACATATAGTTGTGCCTAGTTTTTGTATTCACTCTGACAGGTCTGTTTTTAATTGATAGATTTAGTCAATTTGTGATAACGTTTTTATGGATATACTTGTTCTAATATCTACCATGCCTGTAAATGTTTCATTTTGTTGCATTTTGTTTGTTTCCTCTTTTTTTCTGACTTTTAAAATTTTAATTGAGGATTTTACATCTCCGCTTTCCTTTTCTTCTTAGCATGTCAGTTATGCATCTTTAAAGTTTATCTTTTGGGGCTGACATGGGGTTTACAATATGCAGTTACAATCAATTTAATTCAATTTTCAAATAATACAATACAACTCAAGAGGAATGTCAGTACTTTAAAACAGAGTATTGCAA
Source organism: Homo sapiens (assembly GCF_000001405.40). NCBI lineage: Eukaryota > Metazoa > Chordata > Mammalia > Primates > Hominidae > Homo > Homo sapiens. The sequence goes on along the minus strand of NC_000018.10, from coordinate 38,837,471 downwards.
CGTTTCATATAACTTTTGTTATACGCTTCACTTATTTTTATACTGTAACCACAGAATACACTGATATGATTATTACTTTAAACAAAGTTTTTCTGCAAGGTCAATTAAGATGAAAAAGAATAAAATATTTTGTTTTACCTTCTTTTATTACTCATCTAAAGCTTTTTCTTGTTTTATGTAATCTAAATGTCTGACCTAGATCATCGTGCTTATGTCAGTAGATTTGTTGTTGTTGTTGTTGTGGTTGTAACATTTCTTACAGGGGAGATCTGCCAGCAATGAATTTCCATTTTTTTGGTTTGTTTCTCTGTTTTGTCTGAGAAAATGTTCATTTCTCCTTCACTTTTGAAGGGCAATTTCCTGGATTAAAAAATTCTAGGTTTATAGTTTTTTCTTTTAACATTTTAAATGTCTTGCTCCAGTCTCTTCTTGCTTGCATGATGTCTGACAATAATCTTCTATGTATTCCTTCTCTTTTTCTTTTCTTCTTTTCTCTTCTCTTTTCCTTCTTTTCTTTTCTCTTTAGGGAAGGTAAGTTTAACCACTAGACTTTTTCAATATTTTTTTCTTTAATTTCACTTTTCTGAAGTTTGAGTATGACATATCTGGGTGTAATTTTTATTTATTTATTTATCAGTCTTCATGTTTTATGAGCATCCTGAATCTGTGGTTTTCTTTCTGGCATTAATTCTGAAAATTGCCTAGCCACTATTGTTTTACATATTTATCCTGCTTTGTTTCTTCTTTCTTCTATTTTATTCACAGTTAGACTATATTTTTGAAATTGTCTTACAATTTTTGAATGTTCTGTTCTCTCTTTTACATTTTTAAAAAATTTTATTTCAGTTAAAGAAGATTCTACTGACATGTTTACAAGGTCTTTGATCCTTTCCTAGCCATGCCGAGCTATTAATGAGCACATTAAAGTCATTCTTCATGGCTGTTAGTGTTTTTAATTTTCAGGATTTCTTTTTATTTCTTTATTAGATTTTTCATCTTTGTACTTATATTAGCCATCACTTTTCCATGTGGTCTACTTTTTCAGTTAGAGCCCTTAACCCATCCATTATAGTTATTTTAAATTCCTTTTGTAATAATTCTAATATATCTGTCCTGCGATTGGGTATGATTTTGATTTGTCTCTTCAGATGATGTTTCTTTTCTGCTTATATCATGACTGAAAATTTTTGTTGAAAGACAATTTGATAACTTGATATTAGGAACTGAGTTAAATAGGCCTTTAATATGAGGTTTTATATTAATCTGATTAGAAATTAAATTGTCTATAATGTTAGCCACAGGAGGAGGAACCAAGATTTTCAAATTCTTTAAATGTTCTTATTTTTCCCTGTATTGTCTTCAGATGTTCCTAAAATTCCATTTTAATTCAATCTGAGACTTGCAGTTATAGAATCTGTAATACACTGATATTTACCATGGAGCCTTGTGTTAATATGGTGGTAGGGAGTTGCAGAAAGGAGACATTCTACAATATTATGATTAAATCATTCTTTTGGTGGACCTCTGTCCCTTGGCTGTGACCTCAGGAGTGTTTTTTCTTCCTCAAGTGAGACAGAAAGATTAACCAGGGTTGGAGTTGGGAATTGTACTTCCACCTATGTGAGGTAAGGCCCTGAGGAGGTTTTTTTTTTTTTTTTTTTTTACTGGGAAGCATGCATTTTTTATAGAAAGCTGTGATGGTTAAATTTTTAGGTGAACTTAGAGTATGTTTTTGGATTAGGTACACATTTAAGTCAATAAACTCAGAGTAGGCAGATTGTCCTTCATCATGTGAACGGTCCTCATTCAATCAGTTGAAGGCACAAGTAGAACAAAGACCTCTGCCTCCCTGCTAGAGAGAATTCTCCAGCAGACTGCTTTTGGACTTCGTTTGCACAATCGGTCCTCTTGAGCCTCTTGAGTCTCCACCTTTCTTGACTTTTAGCCTGGAACTGCATCATCATTTCTTCCGGCCCTTAAGCTTGTCAGCCCAACACACACAATATAGATTTAGACTTGTCAGCCTTCATAATTGTGTGGGCCAATTCCTTACAGGAATTAATCTCTCTCTCTCTCTCGAACCTTCTACATAGAAGCAAAACCAATAGGATATAAGTATTCTGACCTAATTGTAGATCATACTGGATGTTCAAAATGGTTACTTTCCTCTTCCTCTGCCATAGTCAAAAGGCAATTTTTTCTCAGCTCTACACTGTGATAACCTGGTGGGGTACTTGGGGTTTAAACCCACAAATCCTAAGACCCTCCTATATCTGTAGCCCCAGGAATTTTTCACTCTCATACTAGTGCACTCTCAGCCTCCTAGTATTACTCAAAATTACCTTTTAAGTGTTTCTACCAGTTTATGTCTCCAGTGGCTTCTGCATCCAGGTGAGCTGATCTCAGCTATCTGCACATTTGATTATCTCTTCTGGTTTTGGTGAGCAGTTTGCCCTGTAACCCCAATTCTCTAATGGGTCCAGGAAAAGTCATTGATTTTTGGTTTGTTCAGCTTTTTTTCCCGTTTTAAGGATGAAAGTAACTTCCAAACTCTTTACTTGTTGGAGCTGAAATGATACATACAGTTTCAATGTTGCCCCTTAGCAACATATGACTGTAGGATAAAAAGTTTGCTTTACAAATAATGCTAACTAAAAAATGTTCTAAATTAACCATGCTTCTTAAAAAATAAATGAAAAATATGTAGACATTCAACAAATTGGTTTAATCTCATTATTAATTTTTATTATCTTAGAATTTAATTTGGGCAGCAATTTTAGGTGAATATATTTCTATAAGCCTTAGCCAAAGTAAAGTAAAGGATAATCTTTATGTTTGAGAAGACTTGAATTATTAATATTAAAAATTCATTTAGAGTTCAATATATTTAATATGAAAATTTAGGGAAAATAATCTCAGAACACATAAGGGAGTGTGACTATAATTTAATAATATCCATGAGGTATCCCTTCCAGAGGGATAATTCTGACAAGTGTGTCTTTGAATAGAGAGGTTTCCTTTATTCATATCTTTAAAGCATCCTCTGTCCATAGGATGCAAAACAAAATCACCTGAGAAGTAAAGAGTTTTTTTTCACCCTTTGTCAATTTACATTTAGTCTCGTGTAGCTCTTTTATTTATTTTACTTTCTTAAATTATTTTTTTTTCTCCTGGTACCATCGGTACTTAAAGGATCTGTTATATGGATGCTGTTCTTTATTTTCTTCTAATACCTAAAATAAGCCTTAATAATTGCTGCTGTTGCTTATTATCAATCTTAGTTATCCCATTAATGCATTGATGCAAAGAAGCTGCCTCTACCCTAATAGACATAAACGATCTGTGCTTTGTCTTCCATCAAGGTCAGAAGTTGCAGCCATTGATCATATCCTCCCCCTTAGCAATAGATGGATTATGCATAGTATTTTCCAAAAGTCTGTGCAAATCTAATCGTAACTCCATCTCTTCAGGTATATTTGACAGAGAATAATATTCCGTTTCCTTGACAATGGAGTTTGCCATACTGATCATCTCAGTTGGTTTGGGCTGCTATAACAAAATACCCTAGACTTTGTGGCTTAAACAACAAACATTTATTTCTTTTACTGCTGGAGACTGGGAAATACAAGATCAAGGTGCTGGCAGATTTGGTGTCTGGTAAGGGCCCACTTTCTGGTTTTCAGATAGCTACTGACCAAGCCCATTCCATTCGTGCTGCTAAAACAGAATTCTAGAGACTGGGCAACTTATAAGGAACAGAAATTTATTGGCTCACAGCTATAGAAGCTGAGAAGCCCAATATTAAGGTGCCAGCAGGCTCAGTGATTCTAATTCCAAGATGGCATGTTGAATGCTGTGTCCTCTGGACCAGAGGAATGCTTCATCTTTACATGGCAGAAGAAAAAAGAAGCAGAAAGGGGTAAAACTCACTCTTCTATAACAGCATTTATTCCATCCATAAGGGTAGAGCCCTCATGGGTTAATTACCTCCCAAAGGATCCACCTCTTAATACTGTTGCAAGGGCCAATAAATCTGAACATGAATTTTAAAGTAGATAAACTTTGAAACCATAGCAGCTACCATTTTGCTGTATCCTCACATGGCTGAGAGAGAGTTCATCTCTGTTATAGCTCTTCTTACCAGGCCACTAATTGCATTGCATCATGAGGGCTCCACCTTCGTGACCTAGTCAACTTCCAGAGGCCCCACATCCATATACTATCACATCGGAGATTAGTTGTCAACGTATGAATTTTAAAATGACACAAATATTCAGTTCATAGCATTAAAATATAAAAAAGAGTGAAATCCTCCAAAATACTCTTTTATAAGTACCAAATAGTTCAAAATTAGCTACAATTAAAGTTGAAACAATCAAACATAAGAGTAAAGAATAACCTGGGAAGGCCACACCATCCAATTTCCTTTCTTCACCACAGAGATAACTTCCTTATTTACTCATATCTGGGAGTATGTGAGACTGGTTTTATTAATAGAGATTGAGTACATTTCTATAGATGGAGACGGGGACAGCATTAAGCTAAGTATTTAAAATTGCATTGTTATGCTCTAATTTCAAATAGTACAGTTAAAACTGATTATACAAACACCACCCTATGGGGCATTTGCCTCCTCTACTTAGCATATAGTCCTCTAACTATTTAAACAAATAGTTTTTTATTGCTGTTTGAAGATTTTTGGTTGACCGTTTTCTTGTCTATCAGGGTTTGGAAACTCAGAACCTTTGGAAGCCCACTGATGGCTTTCCATCCGCAAATTTTATGATAGTGAACTTTCCAAAATGCAAGTAAATAATGAGAGCTCTTGGAGCCTGTATTTCTCTCATTATCAGTACCATCTTTTGCTGCTTTGACAGAGTAAAACATGTAAGCAGCTGCAAATGCTGTGTGCACAAGATATTACATGGATACAACATCAGTCATCTATATCATGCCTATTGCAGTTTTCCAGAAACAATATAAGTTTGTCCTGGAACAATCACCCCATGAAGAGGGAGTGATTTGGGCACTTAATAGTAATACAGTAAAATGGCAAGTAAAGGAGAAAAGCAGATCAGTATAATTGCTATCAAATTCCCACTTTCTGAAAGACCCTTAGACATCTTAAAGTCATGCAGGGGTGAAGGATCACAAAGAGGCAGGAAGAGTAGAGCCTCACAGCCTAAATAGGCTTCTTATAATTTACCCCCCACTTTACCTTAATAATTACCCCATGAATTAGCTGCTACTACAATTATTCCTCCTTAAAGGAGGAGAAGTGGAAGGCACAGGTATAAAATTCCTTAGTTTATACAATTCTTTAGTTTGCTACGAGGATTGACATCAAGGTCTTTAGCTCAGTGTTCTTTCTGCCTAGAAATTAGAATAGAAATTTCTTCACTGGACTCAAGATAGTTGACATTGGATATTGTAGCGGTCAGTGTTAATTGTCCACCTATATTCATTTTCTTCTCTTTCTACATTCTATCAGAGACTTGATGGAACTCAGGAATTATTCCCTCTCCCAATATTACCCCTGTTGACTGAAGGGATGTTGATCTCATCCCACCCCTATGGATAGGGCTCCTATTCAGCTAAGAGCAGCAGGTAATACTATCCTTCATGCTATTTTTCAGTATAGAAATGAACAGATGAACCACTGACTCTCTGAAAAAGTTTTCTGGGTGACTCTGAGAAGGGATTTCCTTTTCCCTAAGACAGATACTTAAGAAGTAAGATTCTCTCTCTTTTGCAGCTTGCACTTTTCTAAACAACCTTAAAAAGCAGGAAAGAAGACTAAGTGCATATACAAAGTGGTGCATTGCTGAGATAGTTTACAAAGAAACAATGTCAGAGTCCTATAGTATGAGGACTGAAGATGCTATATTTCTGGATGCTGTGTTGTGTAAAAAATCCCTTATGAGTTCAGCCACTTTTAAACAAGTTTCTGTAACTTGTATGCAAAAACTTTCTGATATAATAATATAGCATTTTATTTTTAGGAATGTATATCCAACTATTCCAAACAGGAAGTGATGTTATGTTCCCCAGCATGACCTGAACTCCTATTCTCAAGTGATTCTCTCGCCACAGGACCCAAAGTTAGAAGGGACTACAGCTAAACTTTCAGAATTTTATCCAGCCTTTTAATCTGCAAAGGATGTACCACCATTTTCTTCCCATCAAATCATATATCCTCCTTCTTGATGCTCAAAATCTTCATTGCTGGACAAATTTTCCACACTAATCAATTCATCTCACTTTGGATATTGAAAAAAACAGTATATACTCATCTTCCAAATGACTTTACTTTCACAATTCTACATAGCCTCTACAAGTTATATGCTGATCTGGCAGTGTCTTTAATCTGTGTTGGTATTGCCTCTTCCATTATCTTTCAAGCTCCTGCAAAAAGACAGGCTTAAGTTTCCCTTTTTATTTTTCAAAGCACATAACATTAGACTCAAAATTCAAAAGCTTTTAATCAATTTATCCTGATAGTAACTGATATAAAATATTCCCATAGTTACATGGGCGAAGCAATTATGAAGTTCTTTGGTTTTCTGCTTCATAGATTCAATTCATTTCTTATCATAAAATCTGAATGGGGTTGACCCAACAGAAGCATTGGACTAATATTCCCAAAATATGAGCTGAGTGGAAATCAAGGACTAACAGGTGTGGCTGTTTTTCACAAATCTCTGTGTCACTTTAACTTTATATTACTTGTATTTTTTTCTCGTGGTGTAATTCTTATTTCTGCTCAGGCTAATATGGCCCCATTTTTGTGTCCTTGCATCTGACGTCCCTCCTGACGGACAGTTCACCTTTGCTATCCAATTTGAGACCATCATCTCCTGACATAGTGCTGTCCTATGAAGGCTCACCTTGCTTCCTTTGGGATGAGGTCCTGTTAATCATCACCGACCTAATAACAGTGATGTTAATGCTGCAGCCATAATACTCTTCTCTCCCTCCCTAGGCCTTCTGGGCTGTTCAGACCGCTAATGTCTTGTTAAAACTTTTTTACTTATTAATTTTATCTGTGACACAGCCTGATTAGCTTCTGAATTACTTCGTGCCTATTTTTAGTCTGCCATGCTTCTATCCTTCACAGACAGTTTAATCCCAAAGTATTAATTCGTCTCTATATAATGCTGACTTGTCTTTCTACAGGTATCCTAAATCTTCCTATTTTCATTCAAGGTCCATCCACCTTGCTTTAACTTGCATTCTTTGCCCATTACTTTCATTTTTTCTGTGGATGCAGAGAATTCCTTGTCTGGAGGCCAAGAGAAAGCCTGAGGCCCATCACCAAACTATCATCAACACATGCAAGGAGGCATATAAGATTATTAAAAATCTGTGATCAACAAGGACTCTGGAAGAATCTAGGCTCACTCTTATGGGAGACACTGTTGAGATGCTCTTTCTGCAGTTTAGATGCTCATAAATTCTGTTGTTGAGGAAAACTAACAAATTCAATGGCAATATATATATAAGATGGTTTGGAATAAATATGCTCTGGAATAAACTGTCTATAACCAAGTGATAAAATATGTGGTCCGAACATTCAGTGCTATGTGTACACAGAAGGAAGACAGAGGAAAGTGGTAATTAGAGGGTTTGTAGAAAGCATTAACAGAGGATTTTGACCAGTGTTATGGTATGAATGATGTCTAATATGCCAGAAAGAAACAAGGAGGAATGTAATCAGGACAGGAAGAACATTACAAGGGAAAAATTTGAGAATGTACTTAAAATAACATGAGTTAGTAAAGATATGAAAGAAGAGTAACCCTTGGAAAGGAGGCATAGAATAAAAGTTACATAGACATTCTGAGTTGCACTGAATTTTAAGTTGAGGGGCTGGATATATTTATACTGGGACAGGGAGAGTTATAGATTTAACTTAAAGTCAGTTAGATATAAGTGTTGGGCATCCAAACATTCAGCTGCTATTATGAAGCCCCATGGAATCTGTTTCACCCAAGACTTGACTCAGAAGTGCATTGATCTACATATATGTATGTATGACCTATATATGTGCATGTGTGTGTACACACACACAGAGATAGCATGCACTCATGTGTGTATGTATCTATATGAACTGAATTTCATGAGCTTCCCAATCAATTCCATTGTGCACATCTTTCTTTTCTCCTTTAATTTGGGTCTTCTGGCTAACAGCCTAATTTTCCCATTACTGATCCAACCTCCACATACTACCTCCTTCTGACTTTAGATATAACTTTGTTTGTACTCCTGATCTCATTTATGTCACCTGATGACTTGATGCACTCATGTGCAAACCTCTACTCTTTATTCTGGCTCTAGTGGGCCTTTGGGATCTCTAGCCTCTCATTCTATGAGCTGTTTCTGAGGATAGCTCTCCATCTGTTCTGAACTATGTACACAGACAAGATTTGATAGTCAGGGGACAATATTTTGTGAAAGGAAAAATTCACTTCTATTACCAGGACCATAGAGTAAGTCCTTTAAGAACAAGGGTGATAATCTACTCAGTTTGGCATACCCACTCTGCAGTGACTGGCATGGAATGCAAATTCAACAGACTCTACATCCTAAATACATGCAAATTTTATTGGTCAATTATACTTTGATAAAGCCAAAAAATAAAATTAAATCAAGAACAAATGGTACCAGCTTTTGAGATTAAACCATTTTTATTAAACAGATATCTATTAGATGAATATGGTCACAATCTTACCTCATTAAAGTATATTGTATACTTTAGATATGTGCAGAATATTAGTATCAGTTATACCTCAATAAAAGGGGTCAGTGTATGTATTGATAAGCTGTATGACAAAAGCTTTACAAAGAAGTGGAAGAAGATAAAATGATGAAAAGGTGTATTGTGCTGAGGAAACACATAGTAAATGAGTGTTACTAAAAGCAGCAATATGGATTGATGCAGTTGGCTTGGATGAGTCTGGGAAGTTTTCGCAGAAACACAGAACTAAGACTTAAGGGATAAATAATAATTTTCCAAAAGGACAGGTAGAGGGATGATGCTCCAATGCAGGCAGGGAGGCACATGCAAAGTTGCTGAGGTATAAGCACGCCAGGTGTGCTTAGTATGGGTGGAGTGTAAAGAATGACGTTGTCAGTTCCAACTAGCAAATGGTACTTGTGATGGTTAATACTGAGTGTCAACTTGATCGGATTGAAGGATACAAAGTATTGATCCTGGGTGTGTCTGTGAGGGTGCTGCCAAAAGAGATTAACATTTGAGTCAGTGGCATGGGGAAGGCAGATCCACTCTTAATCTGGTGGGCACAATCTAATCAGCTGCCAGTGAATATAAAGCAGGCAGAAAAATGTGAAAAGGCGAGACTGGCCTACTCTCCCAGCCTACATCTTTCTTCTGTGCTGTATGCTTCCTGCTCTTGAACATGGGACTCCAGATTCTTCAGTTTTGGGACTCAGACTGGCTCTCCTTGCTCCTCAGCTTGCAGACAGCTTATTGTGGGACCTTGTGATCATGTAATTTAATACTTAATAAACTCATATATATATCTTATTAGTTTTGTCCCTCTAAAGAACTCTGACTAACACAGTACTGTTGATGATAGGTTATTAGCCTGGGATGTCCAGGCTCATACAGAGCAGTGAAAGTGGAGTAATTGATGAGATCTACTTGACCAAAATAAAGAGTTAAAAAGGAGTAGGAAGTAAGATGGATTTAGAAGGAGGGACAGAAATGTCATGAGGAACAAAGAAAGGACAAGTCATTCCACAGAGAGACAGGTGGTATGAATGAGCACTCCTCTCCCTTATTTAACTTGTGATGCCTTTCATTCTTGCTGAGAATGCATTTTCAAAAGTAGATAGTGGAAACATTTGTCCTTCTGGAACACAGGGGGTATGTAGAGTCAGTCCTACACTTTATCCAAAACTAAGTGGATTGTGTTGGATTATACTCAGAATCTAGGCTCTAGCCTGAACCAAGTGAGCTTTCTAGGCAAATCAAGTTTTCCATGCCATTTCTTTGTTGTGGTGGTATTGTTAATAATTATTGTAACTTAATTCTGAATCATTTCTGCATAAACCATTTTGATACTTATCAAAAAATGTTATTCATGTTCATCATTTTATATTGAAAGTTAGGTTTTTGACATGGATTCTTATTTCCATTGGACAGAAAATGAGACTGAGGTTGAGATTAAAATGAATTGACTACCATGACAAGGAAAATTAATCAGGGAGAACTAAGTGAAGCCTCACTCTATTTACAGTTTTTCCTGTGGCATGTTTAGTCTTTATGCTCAAAACACTGAAAAACCTCCAGAATCCTATGTTTCTTGCATTTCACTATGCCAAGATTTTGGATTAGCTATTTATTTTTTCTGAAACATACAGCTAACGGAGAAAGAGAGAGAAAGTCATATTTTAATAAATATGATTGTTACAACTGCACATTTTCTGGGAAGTATGATAAGCTCTATAATTAGCATGGATGCACAGCCTACTTACGGGGCATCTCAATGGATTCAATAGACTATCTCTTGAAACATTCTTGTCACACATGCTGAAAATAAGGAATATGAAGATTTGATTGGTTTTCTATTTAATGTTTTTGTGCTGCTTCTGATAACTTTAAATTGTCCTGTAAATTGCATTTGTCTGAAGTGCTGACTAAAGACTCATGGCGCAGTGGCCTAAGGAACCGGACACTTGGAGAAGTAAGTCTAGGAGACTTTAACTTAGCCATGGCCAAATGCAGTCATGGTTAAATTTAGCTCTGAGTTAAATCCTTCCTTTTTTTTAATATTCCACATCAGTAAAATATGGGAATCTATTCAACCACCAGCCATTTTGCATTTATCTTTGTCAATTCTTTTGTAATATAACTTTTAAAAGCCTCTAGTGACCTTGGCCTATAATCTAAGGAATTCCAAAAGACAGGGATTGATTTAGTTTGTGGCTTACTGTCCAAATCTTTCACAGTCCTATCTATATGTGCTCCCACCATCACCTGGTTACTGGTTGCTGAGTCAGCCATAAAGTTATCGATGCATCCAGGAAAGTTACCCATTTCCTGGCTGTTCATTGCTCACTGCCGCCCAGCTCTACCCCATTTAGCCTAAATTAATCTTTGGGATTATACAATGAAAATAAATAAAAGCCTTATTGAAAAGCCCCACAACACTGTTCCTGAAGCCATAAAGGGCTTAATTAAAGGCTATAGAATATATGAAAAAACGCTCAACCTTACTAATGATCAGAGCAATGGAAACTAATACCATAATGAGATACCATCACATACCAGTCAGAATGTCTATTATTAAAAAACCAAACTTAACAGGTGTTGGGGAGGATGCAGAGAAAGGGAATACTTATACACAGTTGGCAGGAATGTAAATTAGTACAACTTCAGTGGAAAACAATATGAAGATTTCTCGAAGAACTAAATATAGATCTACCATTTTATCTAGCAATCCCACTACTGGGTATCTACCAGAAGGTACAGAAATCATTATATCAAAAAGATACCTGTATTTGTATGTTTACAGCAGGACTATTCACAATAACAAACATATGGAATCAACTTAAGTGCCTATCGATGGGTGATTGGATAAAGAGAAAGTGGTATATATCATGGAATACCGGTCAAGCCATAAAAAATAATAAAATTGTCTTTTGCAGCTACACGAATAAAACTAGAGGCCATTACCTTAAGAAAGTCAAATACCATATATTCTCACTTATAAATGGGAGCTAAATAATATATAAGGCCATTACCTTAAGAAAGTCAAATACCATATATTCTCACTTAAAAATGGGAGCTAAATAATGTGTACACATGGACATAGGGAGTGGAATAGTAGATATTGGAGACTCAGAAAAGTGGGAAAGTGGGAGGAGGGTGAGGGATGAGAATTATCTAATGGGTACCAATGTGCACTATTCAGATGATGATTACACTAAAAGTCCAGACTTCACCACCACACAATATATCCATGTGACAAAACTGCACTTGTACCCCCTAAATCTATAAAAATTAAAATTGAAAAAGAAATTGCCAATATCTAAAAGTCATTGAGAGAGAAAACAACTTTGGGACACAAAACTATCTTACTGCCAAATTACTACTACAATTTACTGTTAATCAGCTTTTTATTTTACAATCATTTTACATTTACAAAAAAAATCATGAATATAGTACAGAGATATTTTTATTGCCTGTGCTTTTGAAGTCTTACTCAAAAGAATCTTTTCCCAGACCAATATCCTGAAGCATTTCCCCAATGATTTTTTTCTAGTTGTTTCAGAGTTTCAGGTTTTGTATTTAAGTCTTTAAATTTTAATTTGATCATATACTCTACACCTGGTGTTTTATTATTAAAGTCTTACACTCATTTTTATTTAATGTTCTTTTTTTGTGTTTCAAGATCCAGTCCACAATATCAGGTTACATTTAGTTATCATTTCTCTTTAGGTTCCTCTTGGCTGTGAGAGTTTATCAGAGTTTCCTTGTTTTTGATTACCTTAACAAAGAGTTTTGAGAAGTACTAGTCAGGAATATGGTAGACTATCTCTCAACTGGTGTTTGTCTGATGTTTCTCACATTATTACGCTGGGTTATTGGAGGTTTTGGAGCAAGACCACAGATCTAAAATCCTATTTCATTATACAACATCAAGAGTACATATCAACATGACGCATCATTGTTGATGTTAACCTTAATCACCTGGCAGATGTAGAGCTTGTCAGTTTTCTCCTCTGTTAAGTTACTCTTTTTTTCCTGTTAACATGCATTACTCTTGGGAAGAAAGTAACTATGCACAGTCCATAGTTAAGAACTAGAGGGTTATGTTCTACCTTTTTAAGGGTAGAGTATGTACATAAATTATTTGTAATCCTTCAAGACATGAGATTTGTCTTTTTTCCTATTTATTTATACTGGTATGGATTCATGGCTATCTTTTTTATACTTTGGATTATAATGTAAAACTTATTTATGTTGTTGCTCAAATTCTTCCAGCTTTGGCCATTATAAATTTTGATATATCTCTGCCATTGTAGGGGTTTTTCCTTCTCTCTCTTTCTCTCTCTTATTTTCTGAGGCTGCAAGATGATCCAGGATCATATTATATATTTCCTATTTTTCTTCTAGCATTAACCATTTCTCCAATAAGCTCCTGATTTCTTTTATTGGAGAATGGCATTAAAAATCAGAATTTGGGTACTAGATGTGCTCATTTGTACTGTAGTGTCATTGCTTCTAAACCCTCTCAGCTGACAGAGCAAACAAATGAATACATATGGAGAGATCGATACATACATACATATATCTATATATAACCATATGTATCTATAGTAACCTAAGCATCAGTTCATATTGATGTCTACAATTCTAATCCATTACCAATGGAACATTGTAGCCTCTTCCTCTTCCTGATCTGAAAAGTTCCACTTCAACCAGAAGAAACTTGGCCTCCAACATCGGCCATCCATTTATTTAATTATTGAATTCCGGGATACAGGCATAGTGGCTTTAGAATTTTCAAACTGTATTCCTAGGAAACACATATTTATCAATTCATCTTTTGTCTTCAGTTTTATAGACTCTGCTGATTATCAGAGTTTCTTAGGTCTGCATCATTTCTTTTCACCATTGCTTCATATATTTGTAATTAAGTGACATTGTTTTGTCACATTCTGCATTCTCCCTTGGTGTCCTCTCACATCCTAAATAATTTTGTTTAAACTTTGCAAACATAATGTTCACTCTTTGTGCTGAAAATTTCTAAGGGTTTTCACAAATGCGGTGTTATGTGTTCAACACTGCAGTGTCATATAGAAGAGTTTCACTGTTTTAACAATTTTTTTGTGCTTTAGTTATTCAACCTTCCATTTCTTTCTCCCTGTCAACCAGCAATATTTTTGCTGTTGCTACAGTTTTGTTTTATTCAGAATGTCAAAAATTGACATCATATGTTATGTAATCTTTCCAAATTGGCTTCATTCACTTAGTAATAAAGTTTACAATTTATCTATATATTTTCATTATTTAGTAGCTTATTTTTATCACTGAAAGATATGCCATCGTGTGAGTGTATCACAGTTTGTTTATTCATCTATTAAGTGAAATCTTAGTACCTTCTAATATTTTGGCAATTATGAAGAAAATCCCCACTCAGGTTTTTACATGGACGTAAGTTTTAAAATCACTTCTGTTATGTATCGAAAAAGGTGATTGCTTGATAGCTGGGTAGGTCTGTGTTTAACTTTGTAACAAACTGCTGAATTGTCTTACAAAGTGGCTGTACTATTTTATATTTCTATCAGCATTGAATGAGATTTTACCATGCTTGACATTGTGACCAATTATTAGCATTGTCAGATTTTTGGATTTTAGCCATTCTAATAGGTGTGTAGTGGTATCTCATTGCCTTTAATTTGTAATTCGCTACTGTCAAACGATGTTGAGAATCTCTTCATATCCTTATGATATTTGTTTATCTTCTTTGATGAGATACTTGTTCATAAATTTTACCTATTTAAAAAGTGGTTTGTTTTGTTATTATTAAGTTTTGGCTATTCTTTTATATTTTTAATACCAGTCCTTTAATAGACATGTGTTTTGCCAATATATTCTCCATGTCTGTTGCTTTTTAAAATTTTTACACATGAGAATTTGTTTTGTTTTCATTCAGTTATTAAAAGACATGTTGGCTCATCCCAATTTGTGGCAATTATGAATAAACCTGCTACAAATATTTGTGTGCGGATTTGTGTGGACATAGATTTGCTCATTGAAGGAAATAATTAAGAGCACAATTGCTGGATATAATGGTAAGCTTACATTTAGTTTTGTAAAAAAACTGCTACATTGTCTTTCAAAATAACTGAACCACTTTATATTCCTACCAGCAACGAATGAGTTATTGTTGCTGCACATCCTTGCCAGCATTTGGTAGGTATTATTATTTTAAACTTTAATTTTAGGTTTTGGGGGTACATGGGCAGGTCTGTTATATAGGTAAATTGTGTGTCACAGAAGTTTGGTTTACATACTATTTCATCATCCAGATAATAAGCATAGTATCCTATAGGTAGACCCTCCTCCCATCCTCCACCTTCAAGTAGGCCCTGGTGTCTGTTCCCACTTTTGTGTTCATGTGTACTCAGTGTTTACCTTCCTCTTATAGGGGAAAACAAGCACTATTTGGTTTTCTGTACCTGTGTTAGTTTGCTTAGGAGCATGGCCTCCAGCGCCATCTGTGTTGCTGGAAAGGACATGATCTTGTTCTTTTTTATGGTTGCATACTATTTTATAGTGGATATGTACTAAATTTTTTAATCCAATCACCGCTGAGGGGCATTTAGGTTGATTCCATGTATTTGCTATTGTGAATAGTTCTGTAATGAACATACACATGCAAGTGTCTTTATGATAGAATGATTTATATTCCTTTGGTTGTATATCCAACAATGGGATTTCTGGGTAAATGGTAATTCTGTTTCAAGTTATTTGAGAAATCACCAAACTGCTTTCCACAGTGGCTGAACTAATTTACACTCCTACCAGCAGTGTATAAGTGTTTCCTTTTCACTGCAACCTTGCCAACATCTGTTGTTACTTCCTTTTAACAACAGCTATTCGTACTGGTGTGAGATGGGGTCCCATTGTGGTTTTGATATGCATTTCTCTAATAATTAGTGATGCTGAGCATTTTTTCATGTTTGTCGGCCACATGTATGTCTTTTTTTTAAAAGTGTCTGTTCATGTACTTTGCCCACTTTTTAATGAGGTTGTTTGCTTTTTGCTTGTTAGTTTAAGTTCCTTATAGATGCTGAATATTAGGTTTTTGTCAGATGCATAGCTTGCAAACATTTTTTACCATTTTGTAGGTTCTCTGTGTACTCTGTTGATAGTTTCTATGTAAAAGCTCTTTAGTTTAATTAGGTCAAATTTTTCGATTTTTGTTTTTGTAGCAATTGCTTTTGGCATCTTTGTCATGAAATCTTTTCCAGGGCCCATGTCAAGAATGGTAAATCCTAGGTTATCTGCCAGGGTTTTTATAGTTTTTGGTTTTGCATTTAAGCCTTTCATCCATCTTGAGATAATTTTATATGTTGTAAGGAAGGGGTCCAGTTTCAATCTTCTACATATCCCCAGCCAGTTATCCTGGCACCATCTATTCAATAGGGAGTCCTTTCCTCCTTAGTTGTTTTTGTCAACCTTGTCAAAGATTATATGATATAGATGTGTAGCTTTATTTCTGGGCTCTTTCTTGTGTTTCATTGGTCTATGATATGGTTTGGCTCTGTCTCCACTCATATCTCATCTTGAATTGTAATTCCCACAATTCCCATGTGTTGTGGGAGGAACCCCGTGGGAGGCAATTGAATTATGGGGGTGGGTCTTTCTTGCACTGTTCTCATGATAGTGAATGAGACTTACAAGATCTGATGGTTTTAAAAATAGAAGTTTCCCTGCACAATCTCTCTCTCTTTGCCTGCTGCCATTCATGTAATATGTGACGTGCTCCTCCTTGCCTTCTGCCATGATTGTGAGGCCTTCTCAGCCATATGGAAATGTAAGTACCTTAAATCTCTTTCTTTTGTAAATTGTCCAGTCTTGGGTATGTCTATCAGCAGTGGGAAAAGGGGCTAACACAGGCTATGTGTTTGTTTTTGTACCAGTACCATGCTGTTTTGGTTACTGTAACTTATAGTATAGGTTGAAATCAAATAGTATGATGCCTACAGTTTTGTTCTTTTTCACTAGGATTGCTTTGGGCTATTTGGGCTCTTTTTTGATTCCATGTGAATTTTATAACAATTTTTTTCTGATTCTGTGAAGAATAACATTGCTAGATTGATAGGAATAGCTTTGAATTTGTAAATTGCTTTGGGCAGTATGATTATTTTAATGATATTGGTTCTTCCAATACATTGAATGTTTTTCCATTTATTTGTGTCATCTCTGATTTATTTCAGCAGTGTTTTGTCATTCTCATTGCAGAGATCTTTCACATTTCTGGTTAGCTGTATTCCTAGATATTTTATGCTTTTTCTTTCTATTGTGAAAGGGATTGCCTTCTTGATTTGGTTCTCAGTTTGGACACTGTTGGTGTATAGAAATGCTACTGACTTACATAGCATTCATCAAAGATATTGTAGTAGTCCATTTTCATACTGCTATAAAGAAATACTCAAAACTGGGAAATTTACAAAGAAAAAGAAGTTTAATGGACTCCCAGTTCCACATAAAAATAATTATATAATAATAATTTCATGAAAATATGGGGAAAAAAATCTACAGATGTTTCTCAAAACAAGAAATACAAGTGGCCAACAAACTTGAAAAAAAGCTCAACATCACTAGTCATCAGAGAAATGCAAATTAAAACCACAAGATATCATCTCACACCAGTCAGTATAACTATTATTACAAAGTTAAAAAACAACAGATGCTAGCAAGTCTGCAGAGAAAAGGGAGCAATTATACATTGTTGGAGGAAATGTAAATTAGTTCAGCCACTGTGAAAATCAGTTTGTAGACTTCTCAAATAGCTTAAAACAGAATCACCATTTGACCTAGCAATCCAACTACTGGGGTATATATCCAAAAGAAAACAAATCATTCTACCCAAAGAAACACATATTAGCATGTTCACTGTGGCACTATTCACAATAGGAAAGACATGTAATCTATCTAGGTGTCCATAAATCATAGATTGGATAAAGAAAATGTGATGCATATAACCCGTGAAATATCTGCAGGCATAAAAAAAATTAAATCCTGTCTTCACAGTAACATGAGATGCAGCTGGAGGCCACTATCCAAAGCGAATTATTGGAGGAACAGAATAGTTCTGTTCTCACTTATAAGTGGGAACAGATGCATGTTCTCACTTATAAGTGGGAGCTAAGTATTTGGCACTTATAGACATAAAGATGGCAACAATAGACACTGGGGACTATGAGAGGGTGAAATGAGGGAAGAGGACAAAGGTTGAAAACCTTAACTACTGAGTACTATGCTCAATAGCTGGGTGACAATATCACTTGTGCTCCAAATCTCAGCATCACTCAATATACCCATCTAACAAACCTCTACAAGTACCCCCTGAATCTAAAATAAAATTTGAAATTATTTTTAAAAACTCATTTTTTTCTTAGTTAACCAGCATACAGGTTTATCACTTTTAGTGATCTTTTCACTGAATCAGTTTTGACATTGTGGCTTTTATCTTTAAAGTTCATTGATTTATCTTCTTCTTTTTATCATCCTCATTATTGTTCTGCCTGCTTTATGCTTAAATCACTTTTTGTTTCCTAGTTTCCAATGGTGGAATCTTATATTGCAGACTAGAACTTTCTTATTTTCCAATATGTGCATTCAATGTCATAAATTTCCTTCTAAGTACCATTTTTACTGAATCATACAGATTTTTGATAAGTTACAATTTTATTTTTACTTAGTTAAAAATATTTTAAAAGTTTTTGTTGACAATTATTTACCCATGTATTGTTTAGAAGTGTCTTATTTAATATCCAAATTAATGATAACTTTTCAGGTATCTTTCTGTTATTGATTTCCATTTAAACTCTGTTGTATATGAGAACATACTTCTTATCATTTCTATTATTTCAAATTTATTAACATGTGTTTTATGGGTGAATATTCCATGAGAGCTTGAGAATTTTTATGCAGTTCCTAGATGGAGTATTTGATAAATGTCAATTAGATAAAGTTGGTTGAAAATGCTGTCAAGTCAAATATATCCTGATAGTCTGTCTTTTTTATCAAATACTGAAAGAAGGATACTGAAATTGACAGCTTTAATGGTGCATTTAAAAAAAATTTCTTGCAATGCTATCAGTTTTTGCCTTATATATCTTCACAATCTGTTATTAGATGCACGCATGGAAAAGATTGTTATATCTTCTTAGAGAACATTCCTTTATCATATAATGCCTGTTTTATATCTCATAAATTTTCTTTATTCGAAGTCTGCTTTGTCTGAAGTTAATATATCTAATATAGAGGTATTTTGATTAGTTTTAGCAAGGTATACATTTCTCTATTTTAATCTATGGCTTTGTATTTAACTTTGGTGAGGGATGACATAAGTTGGCTGCTGATTTTATATTAATTTCTGACAATCTATTTTTATTGTTTAGACCATTCCCATTGAAAGTGATTATTTATATAGTGGGATTGGCATTTATGATCATTGTAACTGTCTTTTTTCTTGTACTTTTTCCTTCTCTTGTCTCTTTTTCTTACTTTTCTGGTTTTAGTTGAACATTTAGTACGGTTTCATTTTATTATCTCTATTAACATAACAATTATATCTGTTTTAAAAATTATTTTAGTTATTGCCCTAGAATTTGATATTCACAAACACATACACACAAATAGATATTATATATATATGTTTATGTATATATGTATATGTGTGTATATATATATGTATATAAAGAGAGAGAGAGACAGAGAGAGAAAAGGAGAGAAAGTCCATCTTATTCTGTCACTCAGGCTAGAGTGCAGTGGTGCAATCATGACTCACTATAACCTCAAACTCCTGGGCCCAAGCAATCCACCCTCCTCAGCCTCCTGTGTAGCTGGTACTACAGGTGCACACCACTATGTTCAGCAATTTTTTAAAAAAATTTTTCGTAGTGACAGGGTCTCACTATGTTGCCCAGGCTAGTCTGGAACATCTGGCCTCAAGCAATCTGCCTGCATCAGCCTCCCAAATTGTTTGGATTACAGGCATGAGCTACCACACCTGCAAGTTTTAATGAATCTATGTCTACTTAAAATAACACTGTACTGCTTTACATTGAGTGTAGGTAACATAGAACAGAGTATTCCCAAATCTTCACTCTCAATTTCTTATGAAAGTTCTGTCATTCTTTTCACTTATCCATGTGCTATAGACCACCAATGTGTTTTTTTTTTTTTTTTTTTTTTTTTTTTTTGAGACAGAGTCTCACTCTGTCGCCCAGGCTGGAATGCAGTGGCGCAATCTCGGCTCACTGCAAGCTCCGCCTCCCAGGTTCATGCCATTCTCCTGCCTCAGCCTCCCCAGTAGCTGGGACTGCAGGCACCTGCCACCACCACCAGTGTGTTTTTACCATTATTACTTTAAACACACATTTATCTTCTAAATCAATAAAGAATAAGATATCTTAGTTAACCTTCTTTGACCTCTTCTCTGATGCTGTTCTTTTTTATGCAGATCCAGAATTCTGATCTGTGTCATTTTCCTTCTCATAAAACATATTTTATTTAACATGTCTTGTAAAGCAGGTCTGCTAGAGATGAGTCCTATTCTGTGAGCTGAGATTTGTGTGCTGAAACTAATGATATATCTCCTGCTTTAAGAAAGTAAGGAAAAATCAACATTCTCCTTAACATGTAAAGAAAACCCACAATCTCAAAATATTTAGAATAAAAAAATGTAATCCACAAATCACTTGACATTCAAAAGACCAGGGAAATATCAACTTTCAAGGAAATAGAAAATCAAGAGATGCCAGCCATGACACAGATACTGGAGTAATCAAGGACTTTTAGTCAGCCACTCTAATTATGTTCCAAGAAGTAAGAATGAACATTTTTATAATAAATGGAAAATTAGAAATTCTCTGCAAAGAAATAAATAATATAATGAAAAATCAAATTGAAAATTTAGAACTAAAACATACAATAACAAAAATTTAGGATATATATTGAATGGACTTAACAGACTCATGGAGATGGAAGATTAAACACCAATAAACTTAATGATTGATCAATAAAAAAATCCATTTGCAACAAAAGAAAAAATATTGATGACAAATAAACACATTTTTTACTAAGATCTAATATTTTTATCATCAAAAGCCCTAAAGGATAACAATGATAGAAAGTAGGAGTGGTTATACTGATATCAGACAATGTGAATTATATAATAAGGAAAACTACCAACAGTGAACTGGGACATTATGTAGTGCAAAAGGGTGAATTCATCAAGAAAACATAATAGTCCTAAATGTTTATGTGTCTAATAGCAGAAATTGAAAATACATTAAGAAAAAACATACAGAATTGAAAGGAGAAATAGACTAATCCAAAATTATAATTGGAGACTTCAACCCTCTTTTCTCACTAATGATAGAACAAGTATATTAAATGAAAAAAAAGTAAAAAATAATGAGCTGAATATCACAAGCAAAAAAATGGATCTAACAGATATTGATCACTCCACTATCAACATCAGAATACATCTTTCTTTTGAGTGTATATGGAATATTCACCAAGATAAACCTATTTTGGGGCATAAAAAACCTTTAACACATTTAAAATAATTAAAATTATACAAAGTATATTCTATGACCAATATGGATTCAAACTAGAAATCAATAACAGGAAACCAACTAGACAATCTAAAAATAAATTTTGAAAATTAATCAATACATTTCCAAACAGTCTATGAGTCAGAGAACATCTGAAAGGTATTTGGAAAATATTTTGAACTGAATAGAAAATATAACCTATCTTAAGTTTACATTTTACCTAAAATAGTTTTCAGAACTTTTACAATATTAAATTTACATGTTGTAAAAGAAAAAAGAAGAAAAATTTTAAAAATCGAATATTCTGGACCAGGCGCAGTGGCTCACGCCTGTAATCCCACCACTTTGGGAGGCCGAGGCGGGCGGATCACTAGGTCAGGAGATTGAGACCATCCTGGCTAACATGGTGAAACCCCGTCTCTACTAAAAATACAAAAAATTAGCCAGGCGTGGTGGCAGGCGCCTGCAGTCCCAGCTACTGAGGAGGCTGAGGCAGGAGAATGGTATTAACCCGGGAGGCAGAGCTTGCAGTGAGCCGAGATGGTGCCACTGCACTCCAGCCTAGGTGACAGATCAAGACTCCGTCTCAACAAAAACAAAAAACAAACAAACAAACAAAAAAAACGAATATTCTAACTTAATAATTTGAAAAACAAGAGAAAAATAAAACCAATAGAAACAGAATTTTTAAAATTACAAAGATCAGAAGTAAATGTAATTGAAAACAGAATAATAATAAAGAAAATGTATGATACCAGAAGCTACTTTTTAAAAAAAAAATCAATAAAATATCATTCTAGAAAGCCTGGAAAAAGAGAGAAGAGAAATTACCAATATCATCAATAAAAGACAGCAGGTAACCAAATAATCAGAGATATTTGAGATATAATAGGGCACACTATGAAAAACCTGATGTTTATAAATTTGATCATTTAGACAAAATAGCCCAATATCTCAAAAGACACAAACTATAAGCAACTAAGGAAAAATAGATAACCTATACTTTAAAAAAGCAAAAAACAGAATTAGTTAATTTCATACTTTAAAAGCTTTCCAAAAAAGAAAATTTCTAGGACCAGATTATTTCTCTGGTGAACTTTACTAAAAATTTAAAAGAAGATGTAGTAAAAATTCTATACAATTTCCTCCAGAAAACAGATTTTATAATACTTCCCAAATTATTTATGATGCTAGCATTACCTTAATAACAAAACCAGGCAAAGACATGGCAAGAAATGAAAACTGCAGATAAATATGTCTCATGAATATACATACACAGATTCTTCTCAAAATGTAAGTAAAGTATACCCAGTAATATAAAGTAATACAAAGTTTATTTAAAAAATGAAAGAAAAAAATTAGTAGATAAAATCCACCACATTAATGAACTAAAGAGGAACAATTACACGATCACCTTAACTAAAGCATTTCATGAAATTTAACATTGAATCATGCTTAAAAATTCTCAGCCGATTAAAAATGGAAGAGGAGTTCATTAAGTTGGAAAAGGCTATCTACCGAAATTAATAGATAACAAAAACTTAATGACAAAAAAGCTGAATATTTTTCCATAAGATTCAGGTCAAGGTAAATATGTTGATTCTAATCACTGTTATTCAAATTCCTATGGGAAGTTCTATCCAGTGCAGTAAGACAAGGAAAAAGAAAGGCAAAAGTCATACACATTGGAAAAGGAGGACACAAATATATCTTTTTTCACAGATGACATGATGTCTTTGTAGAAAAAGTTAAAGAATTTACTCATGTACATATACACACACATGTACACACAAGAATACCTAGATCTTGGAAGGCTATCAAAACATTATGCTGAGTTAAAGAAACCAAAGGAATGCATACTGTGTGCTTCCATTAACATTACATTATGGAAAAGAAAAAAACAACAGATTGGTGTTCGCCAGGAATTAGGATTGGGGGAACTGTGTACCTACAAAGAGCTAACACAAAGGAATTTTGAGGTATTATGGCACCTAGTATCTAGATTTTGATAATGGTATTCATTACATGACTCTATACATGAACCACAACTCATAATACTGTACACTAAAATTTTACTGTATCTAATGAATAATAATTTTTAAATGAACAGGTGATGAATGAAAAGAATTGATGTGACAGTCATCAATACTGAGCATAGAGAAAGAAGATTACATAGACACATAATAGAAATCACTGATTTTTAAAAAAGTAAGGAAACAAAATAAAAATTAAAAGCAGTAATTTAAGAAAATGTTGCACAAACTTATGTGTATATATTGATATTATATATATTTTTTTGAAATTATATGTTGAGAAAGCAACATGGTATAATACAATTTCTGGGAAAATAAACCTCAACTTAGTACAAAAACCACCAAAACATATTCTAGTAAAATGACTAAATTTTAAGTAAAAATTAATATAAAAAACCATTTGGATACCTAGAAAATGAAACCGTGTAATTTATAAGAAAAATAAAATTAGAATACTATTAGTATTTGTTTACAATTTTATTTAATTAAAAAATGAATGGCATATTAACTCATGATAAAAGAAAGTGTGAGTCAACGATACCGTATCCAATAAAACTCTCAAGTATAAAAGGTACTAAAGTTATCAGCATTAAGAAACAAGGAGAATATTGTTCCAGCGGGCATGTTTTAAGGAAATCCCCAGAAGAATGAGCTTTAGACAACGAAAATACCTAGAGAGATATTGACATAAGATTTGGTTGTGAGCAAAAAATATATAGTTATCTGCAGAACTAAGAGTAATTATGGGCTAAGGGGGAGACTATAATTCTAATGACCATAATTTCTGAAAATATAGAAAAAAATGGAGAATTAAAAGTGCATACACAAAACTAGTTTTAATGGATTTTGTAATAATATTGGTGGTAGTATTAATATTCTTTTTGAGTCTATGTGTTCATAATATGTCATAAATCAAATGAATAATTCCAGCATTGTTTAATTCTATCATCTCTCTGTTTTTGAAAATCAGGATGTTTTTCAAGGAAGAATTCTTCTTATGTGGGATAATGGAGACATGAATATAATTTAAAATTTTAAAATAAAATTTCTGTAGTCTGAAATGTAAACATATGAGGTAGTTTATTTCATATTGTATATATATACCATATATATGTATATCATTTACATATATGATGGTATATTTATATCAATCCATTAGTAATGAACATCCTTAGAGTCCAGATTATGGCCTTTAAATACCATTTCTTACTGTAAGAAATAAGCAGGGATCATTGGAGAAATAGCTAATTCCCAGTCTGGAGTTGTAAATGTACAACTTTTACACTTTGTAATATTAAAGAGCAAGGATGATATCAAAAACTATTGGGATCATGTCAAATGGACCCAGGTACCACCTAAAAAGGCTCTCATCAGCCAAACATGGGAATATGCATACTTCAATAATTACAATACTCACAGTGGAATGAAACCCATCAAATATGTTTAAATTCATGATTTCATAATGACATTTTTGTAAATTGATCACCTCCAAAGGGTGATAGGGAACTAATTCATTATCATAGAAACTGGTAAGAAAAGGGAAATAAGGATTTATCCACTCTTTTCTATAAGAACTTGTTGCACTGAATAACCCATGAATAGATGAGGGAATTTGTCTCCTGATAAAAGTATCACAACTTATAAATAGAAACCGAAATGATAAAATTAGCTTATGCCCATTTTGCAACTCTCATTTAATAAATAGATACAGGGTTTAATCATTAATGGTTGCTAAATTCATAAAAAGAGAGACAGTCAGATGTCATGTGCCTCATATCGGCTTGCCAAGCACTACCTATAGTTTTGCCAATAAAATCTAATCTTAATCTGATCCTATATCTGGACCCAGCTGCCAATTTGATGTAACTATAAAGGACTTGTTGAAAGGAATAAAAGGGAAATCGTAGAATACAGGAAACTTTTAAAACTATTAAAATTAATCACGAGAAAGATAAATTATATTGTCTGCCAAAGCACATTTCAGTTGTAAATCTATAAAAATGTAAGGAAAATATATACCATAAATGTCAGAACAATAGTTACTCTTGAAGGAGAAAGACCACTGTAATTGGGAACAGACACATGACAGGTATTTCAGAGGTGGCTGGAAAGGTTATAATTCTTGACCAGAATAATTTGCTTTATAATAACTTACTCAGCTATGTTTTTAGTGTTTTAAAAATATTTTTATTTTACCTTAAAATAAAAGTGTTTAAAAAATGATTCTAAAGTATTTACCCTCAAAAGACAAAGAAAAATTCTGGTTATATGCATTAAAAAAAAAGTTAGTATTCATTTTAATCTGAACATCTTGAATGTAGAGTCAAAGGACATTTTATTAACAAGTAAATTTGTGAGCACTTGCTTTGGGCCAGGCACTGTCCTATAAATTCTTTTTGTGCATCATGTTCATTTCCTATTCTCAGCATTATTAGACTGCATTTTACACATGCTGATGCAGAACTGGGTGCAGGCAAACAGGATGACCTACTCCTAATTACACAATGATTTAATTGACAGAGTCTAGACCTACCCAGGTTGTTGGATTCCAAACCCTGTCGTATAATTCATTTCACTATACAAACTCCTTTTTTTAAGTCTGAGAGGGACTTGACTTACAGAGGATACAGTTTTAGTTCATGAATACCAGAATACTCCCTTCAACACATTTGAATAGAATAAGTTTTTGGTACGATGCCAAAACAATACCAAAATATTGCCTCTCATTTTTCTTTATTGAAACTACCACTGCCCATTCTTATAGAAACCCTAAAACCTTTAGCAAACAGAAACACAACAAATGTTGAATTATGGAGCATAGTCAATATTCCTGGATTATTTTACTCAAAAAATTAATTATTTTCAAGTTGCTATTTCAGGAATTATTATATTTGTGTTAGGTTTGACATAACTGCAGATTTTTCACCTGCTCTCTTGTGAAGTCTGGGCCAGAGGAAAAAAGCCCAAACATTTTATCAAAGTGACAAGACAATGATCCACCATGTATCTTGGCTGCAAAAATATGTTATTAGATTCAATTTATCATGAAAAATTGCTAGATTCTGAGAAGACTGAAATGGCAGCATGGCGAGAGTGCAGCTCTTCGGTACTAATTATCTTAAGAGTTGACCTTCCAGGTCACCCCAAACCCTGTATTAATTCAGGAGGAGAGTGTAGATGGCCAGCTCAGAGACGTCAGAAAATTCAGACGTCAAAATAGAAAAGGGTTCAGCTTAACTCTTGCAAGACTGCATGAACAGACACACATTACAAAGATATTTAAAGCCTCAGCAATCTTATACCAAACTGTCTTGCAATCTTGCTTATCATCTCTCTCTGTACCAATTTCCCTGCCTTAAAATGATACTACTATTCCTACAAGAAGTTTTCCTTTTTTCTGTCTCTTGTTGCTGTTTCAGACCTTAAGAAAGCCCTCTTTTTCCCAGCCACTTGCTGGGTGAATAATCATTCCTCCTGGTCAGCCTCATCTTGTGGTCTTTCTCCTTAAGGGATCCAAAGGTCTTTCTCTAAACAACTGAACAAGATTGTTCTCCCCCTATAATGCTATAACACTTACTGTCCATGCCACATGTTTAACACTCAATATATACATTTTCAATGTGGCAGCTGAATTTATCCCTCTTATCTCTCTAATTTACTAATTAATAGTTGAATTTCTCTCTCTGCCTGGGGTAGCAATTTTTATGTAGAAGTAAGCATGAGTGAAATAGTTGCTGATTCTTTCATTGATTGTATCCCAAATGCCATTTTGCCTTCCTTTCTTTGCTATCTGCAGGCCGCTTTTCTTCCAACTTCAATCACAGGATGTGCCTGGAAGGCGGCACAGGTAAATTGCGTTTATGGGTTGAATTGTATTCCCTCACAATTCAAATGTTGAAGCCCTAACACTCAGTACTCAAGAATGTGACT
Source organism: Homo sapiens (assembly GCF_000001405.40). NCBI lineage: Eukaryota > Metazoa > Chordata > Mammalia > Primates > Hominidae > Homo > Homo sapiens. The sequence continues at coordinate 38,810,178 of NC_000018.10, read as the reverse complement.
GTATTTTGGCATAAAACCTTTAAAGAGATCATTAAGTTAACGAGGATAGTAGGCCCTAATCCAATCTGACTAGTGTCCTTATAAAAAGAGGAAATTTGGCACAAAAAAGGACACCAGTGATGTGTGCAACATGTGGACACAAGGAGAAGGCGGCCAATTCAAGCCAAGAAAAGAAACCTCAGATCAAACAAGTGCTTCTGACACCTTGATGTTGGACTTCCAGCCTCCAGAACTGTGAGAAAATAAATTTCTGTTAAGTCACTCAGCCTACAGTATTATATTATGGTAATCCTAACAAACTAAGACATTGAAATTTTTTTTTTTAATTTTCTAAGCTAAAGTGGGAATCTTTGGCTTTGGTAATTAAGGTGACCCAGAAGGTATCCAAGGGAAAACCATTTTCATCTCTTTGTTTTGTTTTAAACCACATAAATCAAGGGACAAATGAAAAAAAAAAGTTTGCAAAGAGACAGAGAGCAAATAATGAAGCAGGTGTTAGGAGAAGCAGAAATGGGGTATCATAGATTAGGGAGAAAGAAGCTCCTTGGTTCCAAACCTTAGTGAACAGGTCAAACTTCCTTACCCTGTATTCAATGAGAGAGTGCTTGACTTAGGAACTCTCCTTTCTGTAGGAGCTAATTTGAATATTTTCTTTGTACTTACAATGAATAGGCTGGGCTAAGATATCCATTGAGACAGAGGTAGCAAAGAAGTTAACACTGATGTGTGTATGAACCTTCAGTACTTGTTTAATTGCAATCTAGTATGCGGTTTAACCCTAAATACTAATTTTCAGTTGAAAGTATATTGCTTTATTGATCCCTGGATTATCTACAAGGAGCAGAAATCCCTATTTACAGTGGCTAAATTATGAAGATTTTTTTATCTCACATTGTAGAAAGTCAAGAGGGAGATGGCTGCTAGAATAGCTTGCCAGCTCATTGTCAGGGTGGATTTGCCTGGGCATTTCTCTTATATTCACTACCTCTTGTTGCAACATGACTGCCCTCAGTGTCCAACATCATGTTTGTGTTCAACGGAAAAGAGGGCCGAGTGAAAGAAGAAAGGCCATGCCAGCTCCATTTGTCCCTTTTTATGCCTGATGGGCCAGACCTGGCTCACAAATACACTGCTATCTTCAAGAGGAGACAGGAAAACCATCCAGCATCTGTGGTTGGAGGGGAAAAGAGAGACTGGTATGGAACAGACTTTAGGTGGTCCAATCAATAGAATTTTATTAATATAAATTTTAGTACACTGTGAACTTCTAAGCAATCTGTAAATATTTAAGTGTGTGTTTGTACTTACAGCTTTTGGAAATATGAATTACCAAATCTGCTATTTCCAAAAGCTAGCAACACACACACACACACACACACACACACACACACACACACCAGCCGCCACACACACATTTAAATTTGGTAAATTTCAATTACCAAAAATTTCCAACACTGAATGAGAGATGACGAGGGGCCAAAGAGCTGGCTTGAATCATTATTTCTTCCTTTCCTTTTCCCACTCTATGGTCTCTCCTGCTCTTGGAATCATCATTTATCTCTAGAAGATTTTTTTTCCTGAAATTCCAGTTTGAGTTCTTCTCTTAGGATCACTGTTGATCCTCACTGTCAGATTTAGGTACCAGTTAGTGTACTATGTAACTATATAATGTGTGATTCACTCTCTCTCTCTCTCTGAAAAGCAGAAAAATCAGCACACCTTAAATCATTCCCCACTCCAGCCATACAAAGAGAATCTCTATTTCAGATTATGTTAGCATGAGTCTTGTAGTTGACATTGTTTTGTTCTCTTTTTGCTCAAAAATCAATGTAAGTTTAAATCCTATATCATAGTATTATTTGTGATAATATCCATTGTAGATTACAGGTATAGCTTTTCATCATTATCCTTTAATGCAAAGTGCTTGTGTGGGAGAGTGGCTTTCCTATATCTAATAGCACCGAAGCTTCTTGGTGCTGGGAGTTACCACAGCAAGCCCTACCTTGTTTGCAGCTGCCTGTAGTTTCCATACTCTCTTTCAGTTCTCATTCTTTGCATATTCTCTCTTCAGTTGGAGGAACAATCTTCCCCTTCTGCTTTATACGGGCTGCTCAGTGTTTACCTCCATGCCGTTGAAGGCCTTCCTCATTCCCAGTGGTGTGATGTCAACCCATACTAACTCATGAGAACCCATGAAAAATTTTTAGAGATTTTGTGACCCTATTGTTGTTATTATTAAGCACAGCCATGATTAACTTAAAATTAAGTTAACTCTATTGTAAACCATTATTAAAATACTAAAAACTAATTACTTCCTATTTTAACATGTTTTACTGTTATCTGTGCTCTTGAGATTGACATCTACTGTGTGTGCACGTTGTAAGTACTTCACCTGTGTGTGGGCTAATGTGCGTCTCTTCCCAGCTCATTATTCAGAGATATCATGGTGAAAGAACGAAACTAGCCAAGGTGAAAGATATTGGAAATCCTAAAACTCAGAGTTTGATTGTTTTATTTTATTGATTGTGTAGAGTGAGAAACTGATGGAGAAGATATTAATAATGCAGAATAAACTTAAAAGTGTGTCATGTCTCTCAGTAACACGCAAAACCGAAAAACGTATTCTTCCAGTATTATTCTGTTATTCAATTTTCTCACATCATTGATGAATGAGTAAATTTCAGATGTATATCTTTCTTGTTCCACTTTCATTCTACTCATTATCATAAATGAATATACCAAACAACTTTCATATCTTCACTACACTAGTTTATCAACTGCAGTGATAGGTTTGATAAGGATCCAAGAGTCAGCAACAATCAACAGCAGGAGTCTGAGCATCAATGGGCTATAAGAAATTTATGTTAAAGAATATTGTATATTTTATTATTTTGTTAAATTTTTGTCACACATCTTTTATATTACTAAGATTTATAGTAAATGCATGCTTGTATATAAATACATACCTTTTTTTTACACAGATAGTTGCTTGGTAAACATTTACCAGCATATCACTGATCATTCCCACCATTTCAGGTCAGGGATTTCTTTTCTGGGCATTTGTTTTACCCAGTACAAGGTTACCATACCCTATTTTGATGAGTAATTAATTATTTGTCACTTCTACCAGGTTTTGAGCCCCTAGAAGGGAGAAATGGTGCCTCCTATCTTTATATTCTTACAACTAATGTAAGGACTTAAATAAATACCATGAATAAATGGATCCCTGTTTCTAGTGTATGGGTGCAGAAATTCATGATCAGGAAATTAGGTCATTTGCCTACTATTACACAGTTAGTCAGATGCAGAGCTGGCATTTGAATGAGGGTGTGAGGCAAAGTTGCTTATTTTTGGGTAGAAAAACAAAGGTCTCCAGGATCAAAATTCCAATTTTCTGTAACAGTTTGACATGGAGGCAAGGGCGCTCTTTCTAACTACTAGAATTTATACTGATAGCTAGCAAATTGAGAGAGCAGAAATGAGGAATTTGATTGAGTTGGGGCTTGGAAAATGATACCCAAAATACAGCACTTTGACATACTGAACTAAAGGGGCAGCCTCTAGTTCTCTCTGATCTTCCTTCACTTGTGTCTTTCAAAACTTTTTCTCTCCCGTCACACAGAATGAGGCTGTTCACCGAAGTTCCTTTATCTACTTAGAAACTGGACCACCCAAAAGAAACACGATTGCCTTTCATCTCTTCCTGGAAATTTCATTAACCAGAGAAGATTAAAACCCACATCACAGAGGAATAGACTAAAAATTAAATATCACATCTAGAGTCCAGATGGACTTTGTCTCAAACTATTGTTTGTTCTTATGTCCCAGGATAATTATTCAATTCCCAAAGAGAATTATGTACTAATCATTGTCTAAACATTGGGATTATTCATTCCCCCTAAAAAATTATTTACTTCTATGTGCACCCTCATCTACCCATCCCCAGATTATATACGCATCTGTGCCCCATGAAGTTACTGAGCAATTATTCTGCAATTCCCCATGCTATGCAAGTCATAATAAATTTCTATGTCTTTTTCTTCTATTAGTCTACCTTTTGTCGGTTTCTTTTCAGCAAACCTTCAAAGGATAAAGTGGGAAACTTTCCCTCTGCCCCTACAATTATGCTTGAATACCTTTCTAAAGCCTCGGTAATCTCAGGAGACAAACACACAAGATCAGAGTCAAGCAGCTGAGAAGAGAATAAAGCATACTTGCTTAGAAATGCCAAACAGCATGGATCAGAACATGTTAGGAAATGAATATCACCCAGTGATCCTGAAGACACAGGGACAGTAACTTGAATTTGTGGTTGTTTCTTGGAACAGAGTCTGAATCAGAGGGAAGGGTGGATCTTATGATATTGTGACTGATATTTTTGTTTTTGTTTTCCCTCTCTTTATCCCCTTTCCTCCATACCTCTATGTAGGAAGAGAGTAATCAGTAGCCCTAACCTGTCACCAGGACACATTTTGTTGAACAACAGATTCCCGGAAGAAACTCCAGGTAACAAAGGCAGATAAGCTGCACACTTTTCTTCTTTGATAATAAAATCATTATTTTTGTTCCCTTAAGGACTATCTACTTACAGTGGAATTTAACATATAGTTTAATTTTCTTATCTAATCTTCCCCTTCACTTGACTAGCTTACATTTTCTGCCCCATTTAAAATCCCTTGTAATTCAAATGGCAGCAGCCTGCTTACAAAGGCTGATTGTATTGACAACTCTGAAGGAGGGAAAGTTTGGGTTTTTTTAAAAACATCCTCTCACCCCTTAGTACCTGCTACCTCCTGCCCCTATACACATTCATATAAATTTCAGTTTGTATCTCAAGTGGGTGCTGTCCTCCCGGATCTTAATTCCTAAGGAGTTGGTTTATTACATGTGATTCACCCTATCAGCTGAACTCTCTGTTGCCCTCCTTTAATTATTACTGTTTGTAAAGAGCTCAGAAGATGAATGGTGCTATAGAAGTGCTAAGCATCATGATTTCATTGTCCTATTTCAGTTCTTATTGGAATAAAGTATCATCATAATTACCAGCTTGTTGCATTTGTAACTCAGGAGGGGGAGACATATAGCAGTAATACCTTTAGTAGTTCCATTTCTGAATTTCTAGAGAAGCCACTGAATCTTGTAGTGAATTCCTGGGATCATTCTCCAGCTTCACACAGTGACTAGCTGTAGGAAAACAAACTTCCTGAACATAAATCATATATAATAGGAGAATTTTCAATAGTAGATTAAAATGTTTCTGGAATTTTTACTCAAGTGCCTTAGGTTTCTGGCTTTAATTAAATGATTATATGAATCAGGATAATCATTTAATTACACTAAGTCACAGTATTTTCACCTATAAAATGGGTGAAACATTTTGTTCATTGAGTCCAGAGGGTCATTATGAGAAGAATCAGGTTAGGTAATATACTTAAAAACACTTGGTAGCCTCAAAAAGACAGTTTAAATATTTATTATTTTATTTTTTATAAAATAAAGGAGATTAAATTTCTAGAACAAGAACATGTAATGGAGACCTTAAGAAATGTAAAATATGCTACTTAGAATTTATTTTTCTAGAGGTGAAATGATAAAAGTGACTCTGGCCCATAATTATTGACTCGAAAAGCAGAAGTCCCCTCTGGTTTACATTAGGTAGAAAGAATTTATAATGGGCCATTGGAACAAATAAAGAAGATGGTAAAGAAAGGAAGAAATAAAAGATTACTCAGAGGCCAAAGTTAAGGGAAATAGAGAAGAAAAATGGCACAGACATGAATAGGGAAGGTGGGAGAAGTGCCAAACTGAGAGGAAAGAGGATAAATGCAGCGTTGACTTCTTAGGGCCAGTAATGATCATGGTTATTGTCCTTTCTCTCATCAGTAAGTTTTATATTTGGTTGACTCTGGCTGAAAGAAAGGCAGAATTGCACCGTGGTTGAAAGTGTGGGCTTTGAACTTAGACTTCCTCTGTTCAAATCCTGGTACTTATCAGATGTGAAAGAGTTATGTTCTCTCAGCACCTTATTCTCCTGTTTTCTGGATTCTATTTGTGCTAATAAGAAGTCACCTGATATTTTTTCTTATCTTTTGAAGATTCATTCTCACCTTTCCCCTCACCCTTAGATCTTCTCTTTGTCTTTGTGTTCTCTAGTTTTATTAGACAATATGTAGGAGGGGGTGTCTTGGGATTTCTTGTAATATATTGTGTTTGAGGTTCTTTGGATTCTTGAATTCATAATTCCTAAGAATCCTTCCTTTACTTTTCAGCTCATAAGTGCATTAATGAAATAGATACATAGATACATAGATGAGTACATGGATGAAAAGATAGGGAGAGGATGGATAGATGATAGATAGATTTCAAGAGGTTTCACTGTTTTCTACTAGCTGCCTTATTATTATAAACTTGGAAACCATCTTGTTCTATATCCAAGCTGAATATCACCACTACCCTTCCATATCACAACCAGGAATTTCGAATACACAGAGAACCCAGATGGCTGTGGTGATCATATCTTTGTGACTCTGTTTATATTTTCACCTTTTCCCCACTCTCTGGCAAACACTAATTCAGAAGACTTTGAAAAAAATCAAAAGTAATTTCTCTTCAAGAAGAAAAAAAATGAATTTATCCAACCATTCAAGAGATGAGGGTAAGTTTTACCTCCTGAGAAGAGGAAAAGCTGAGGTTCAACTCTGTTGAGCAAACTGTTACCAACAATTGGTGTGATTTTTCATAAGCAATGTATCTTCCTTAAAATTTCTAATCTTCTATCTCTAATATGAAGGGATAGAAATAAAAATCTTAAGGCTTCACCATACTTTAAAAAATTGTATAAATCTTGATTATTAAGACAATGCCTTTAGAAAAAGTTATTGCACATTCAAACCACTTAGGAGATACCGCTGCTGACAAGCCCATGTGAAGAAATAAGTTTAGTGGAAGATTTCAGAGCACTTACTATGAATGGGGTCTATGGATGCTCATCCAGTCACTACTGGTCTTACTTTGGGATCCCAGGGCATATGTTCCAGGCTCTGCCCTTGTCCTTGTTGCATCCAGGCATTTCTAAATCTAGTAGAAAAAAGTTATGGCACAAAAGGTATTGAAACCATGTTGTACCAAATGTTCAGGTAAAAGGCCTCACCCCACCTATTAACACATTGGATGTTATTCCAGATATAATTATAGATTCAAAATTTTACTTAGAAATATGTAATCCGTAACCAGATTTTGCCTATCTCATCAGTATGCACTCATAAATGTCAATAATCAACAATTTCAAATGATTTACACTGAAGGCTAAATCCCTTTCAGAAATTATGAGGAGCTAAAAGATTGATAGCTCATACCTATATAGAGGTCAGACTCCACATAGATCTCTAATAAGTTTACAACCCCAGATACTCAAGTCTTCTTTTAATGAAGACATAAACCTCACAGAAATGTTCACGCTTACTGATAGGCCTATTTTCCGTTCTGCCATTTTGCTTCTATCAGCCTTGTTTCCCAGACTGATTATTAAACATATCAAATTATGTTACTGTACTGTGGCCCCTCCAGTGAGTCGCCATTTGGGGTTTTGTTGCAGTTTGTGATGAAGTATGCTCACGAAATACCATTTGATGACTACTGCCCCACCTACAGCAAATGAGAAGCAGGCAAGACACATTTGGGAATTTCTTCTAAGACTATAGGTAATTGTAGTGCCACTTGGACCCTGTTAGTTCAAAGCACACCCAGGAAGCTCAGTGGGATTTCTTCACTTTTTGGGTTTCAGGAACAAACCCAAAATGGAGGTAATGGTCAATCCTTTAATCATTTACTGCAATTGTATAAGCAACAGGTTAAAACCAAAGAAAGTTTTGACACCTCTCATTTTATTCTCTTTCATGGAACAAAATGCCTTTTGAGAGTCAGGTAGACCAGTACAGATGTGAGAGGAAGAGCCACAGGGGTGGAGGAGAACTAAGGGAAGACAGTGAAGGAGGAGCAAATGCCAAGTGAAGTAAGAGCTAAATAATGATTCTATGATTTAGCAAAAAGTTTACTGCAGGTTATTTTAGGAAGGGCAGATTTAAGCAGGTTTGGTAAATAGTTGAAGAAGTTCTCAGAATTACATAGGAGAACCAGTTGCTGAGATGAAATTAGATACTTACAGCCATGGGCAGTAGGGTGCAGTAGAAAAGACCAAGGTGTCAGACTTAGGACAGGATTATAAGACTTGCTTCTAGAGCAGCTTATGCTGTTAAATCACAGAGTGACCTTAAGCAAGTCATTAACACTCACTAAGCCTTTGAGTCCTCGTCAGTCACAGTGGGGGTCTTTGTTTCTCCTGCCAGTGAGATGCAAGGTTGTTATTTAGAGAACTTCGTGCATGGAAGCCAGTGATGCATGCTGAGAGGATGCCAGGGCACTAGGAGGAGTACAAAGGTAAAGCTGAAAAGGATGTAAGAGAATAGGACTTACATAGGAGAAGGCTGTGTAAGCATATGCTAAGAAGAAATAATGGAGAAAGAAAAAAAGGAACTTAAAGTAAAATTTAAAAAAAGGAAATGAAAAGACTAACACCAAAAATGAAAGTGCCCAATAAAACTATAAGGTCAACAGCAGTAGGAGTAAAATGCTGGCAAGTAGAGATACCTTATGTGCAGAAGGGGTTCCTGTGTGTGTGTGTGCATATAGAATATATAAAAGATATATTATACATCACATGTTATATATAATATATACATAATATAATCTATACTATAATTACATATTATATGTAATGCATAGGAGAATTAAATGAGATACACATATTCATTCACACACATAGCACTTGATTCATTAAAGATGTTAAGAAAATGCAATTGTCTGTCACTAATACCACTTATCACATGTGATCTGGAGCCACTCACTTAAAAACGAAGTCTCCATTTTCTAATTTTAAAAATGCATTTAGCTATTATGAGTACTAAAATATGCACACACACAAATACGCAAATACATGCACACCAAATAAAGTACCTGGCTTACCAACATTGTTTAATAAATAGCCTTAACTGTCATTTATAATTATCATTGTTACATAGTAAAAATATTTGTAATAGTAGGAGATATTCATGGAAATGCTAAGTAATTAGGATAAGAGAGAAGAGTGGAAGGGATGTAGGAAGAATTAAAAAATGACAGTATAGAAAAGCAAGAAAAGAGCTGAATGAGTATTCCTGCAGACGAAGAGGAAAAGAAGACAGTATGTACATATTGAGGAGTGGGAGGTATCATTTCATGGGAAGATTTGTGGGAAACAGTGACACCAGAGATAAGAGCAGAGGCCTAAGGAGAGATCACACTGTGAGAACCCTGATTATTAATTCTATTGGGTATATCAAGGGACATATTTGCTGTAATTCAAAATCTAGGATGCAAGAAATTTGATATGAGCATTGGATGAGATGATAAATTGAATTTATTATAGAGAAGGTGTCGAAAATATAAAGGACCAATACTATTCAGAGAACTTTGTGATGATTCTACTGAACAGGCCAAGGCTAAAGACCCTGTTCACTAATATGAGGATGAAACAGTGCCTATGGGCAATTTTTGTTTAAGAACTAAAATCAGTTATAGCAGTGCAGAGGACATCTAAAGATCAGCTACTGATGAAACTCAGGAAATTATTTAAGTAAAAGGCACAATAAAGTAAAGGTTTTAGATCTGGAGAATAAATACCATTTGTATAAGGAACTCTGGATAGCTTCTTGGGACAAAAAGGACACATCTATCCAGACTACACAAGAAAATAAAATAATAAAAAGGGGACCAAGAACAAAAGACAGACTCCAGAACTTTGATGGGAAAAAAATGTCCATGGAGCTGTAGCATCTGCTCAAATTAATACAGAAAAAGATGCTCAGAGTGTTGTTAACATATTCACACAAGTGTCCCTTCCTTTAATAGGCATCTTTGAGATCCTGTCTCATTTTGGGTTCTGTGATAATCTCTAGGGATAAAACCCCTTTCCAAATAATAACAAATAAGTATGCAAATAAGATAATCCTTACATTTAAGAACCCCACAGTGTACTAATAATGTACCACTAAAAACAGCTTCTGGGGGTATTAAAATATAGGAAGGAGGATAATGAGGATGAAGTGCAGGTTGTGAAATGAAAGAGGGAAAAAAGTGAGAGACAAATGTAAAAACCTGAAGAGATCTGGCAATGGAGAGAGCACTCTCATCTCTTTCCAAAGAGGCAGTTGCTCTGAAGGCTAAGGAAAAGGAACTAAGAAAACCCATTTATATAAGTCAGTAGATAGTGCTGCAGTCTTGCCAATGCACCACAATGTTTTAGTCTTGTTGTCTGAGGTAGTACATGGAGTTCTTTGTCTCAGGACTAAGAAAATTAAGGAGCATGGACACAGGGTGAGGTTGGAGTGAAAGTTTAATAAGAGAAAGAAGAAAGTTCTCTGCAGTGTAGAGGGGGCCCAAGAGGGCTGCCCACTATGAGGTTGGGTCAGGGGTCTTTTATAGACTGGAAGAGGAGGAATGTGCTGACTGGTCTTCAGGTTGTCTTGAATAAAACACTACTCAGCTTGACCTGGGACCTTGGTCGAGGACCAATCAGGGGCTGAAGTGAAAGCTTTGCCCAGGACCTTGGCCCAGGACCAATCAGAGGCTAAAGTGATGATTCATAGAGGCTCGGCTCACAGTTTAAAGTATGCCCAAAAAAGAAAAGGAAGGGGGCCACCACAGCCCATTATGTATGTGCCTACAAAGCGAGAAGACGCTATCTCCTGGAACCCCTCTGGTTACACAAAGGATAAAGGCATTTCTATGTTGGGCCTTGTTTCTTTAACTGAGTGGGCTGGAGGTTTCTGTAAGTTTCCTTATCTGAGTGGGCTAGAGGTTCTTCTACCTGTTTAGCTACCAGTGTGTTTCAGGCACAACCCCTGTGTAAGTTTATTCACTCAGATGTGGGGATGAGGCACTGACCTGTGGGTCGGGGGGCTCTCTGTGGACATTTTTCTTTCTGTCTACCTAAGGCAAGCTAGTAAACTCCTCTCAACAGCAGGTATAAACAAAACGAAAGCAACTGGACTAAAGTATATGGAACTAGGTAACAGAAAGAAAAGAGTAGAGGAATGGGTAAATTGTAAGTCTCCCACACAATGGGAAGAGGTAGGAATAGAGAATGTAAGATGTCTCATTTATACAGTTTACACAATTAACATTGGGGAATATGATTTAAAAAATAATTAAATGTCAGTGGATCAGGACAATTGATACCTGCGCCAGACATAAGAACAAGTGTGCTCAGTTGCTTTTACTTAGAATATTAGGTGACGGTGTCTCATACAGCTCAGACACCATTCATCATTTTATGTCCCACAAAGTCTGGAACAGGTGTCACTTTATGATAAAATGTACATAATGAAGCCAGTCTGTCAAGACTCAAGCTCTACCTGACTAGCTGTGTGATCATGGGCAAGCTTTTTAACCTTTTCTTCTTTACTTACCTCAGATATAAAATGTGGAAAATAGTTGCAAAAAACAGCACTTAGGATTATGTTCACAATTAGATTACCTGTGTAAAGAACATAAAGTCCTTCTGACTTAGTAAATACTCCAAAAATATCAGCCATTCTTATTAGCATCATAAGTACCATAATAAATAATTGGTTCAGAGGTGTAATAATGCCACCAAGGACTTAGTTCTTCATAACAACTTATTCTGCTAGTCTGGAGCTTAGCAAAATCTCCCTGTGGTCAAGGAACCAGTAGTTCTAAAGTTCATTTCTTCAAAAGATAATGGCCAAAAACCAGAAGAGTGGTAGTGTCTGATTATTTTCCAAATATAAATCAGGGGATATTCCTCCCCACCTTCTCTTGTTGTTAGAGAAAATGGTCTCTCCCAGAAACTTCTCAGAGGACTCGCTTATGCTTCTCTTTGCCTAGACATGGCTTATCAATCATTCTTAGTTATTGGGGAGGTCGGGACAGCAATAATTTGGCATTTTCAGCATCATTTTGGAAGACGGACTCTTTCATTAAGAAGTAAAGAAGATGTCAATGATTTTTAAATTGTTAAGCATCAATGTCTACAATATTTTGAAATATAAAGCAAAAGTCTTTTATCATAAGTGTTATTGATTTTTAAGAATTTGATAATATTCTTAAATAAGTTTGTGTTGAATTTGAAAGAAACCTGCAAATGTGATGAGTAAAAACAGAGGTTGTACTGAGTGAAGTAGATATTTTAAGCTACAGAAATATACAGAGAGTATAGATCAAACAAAGGTGAGGGGAAAAATAAGGAAGAATGAGGGAAATTTGTGTAGATAGGGTGAAGGTTAAAAAAAAGAAAAGATAAAAAAAGGTGAAGTCATTATCTATGAAGAGCTTAGAGAACCCAATCATAGTGCAACAGAGCAATGTTGGATTTGAGATAAGAACTTATTAGGTTAAAATATTGATAAAATTATTTATTTATGGTAGGAAGAAAAAAATCTATGCAGTAAAATATAAAATTATAGATTCATACTAGAAAATCTATTTGAGAAATTTAAAAAATCATCAAAAATCAAATATGTTGTTGATGAAGCAAAAGTGCTGCTAATTTTATGGCATTGTAAAAATCTCTGAAGGAACATAAAGAATGATTTTGAATTTTTTTTGCCATTGTATGTGGAAACAAGTGAAATTCCCAGGTCATTAAAATAAAATAGATTAACAATTATATTTTATGGCAATAAAGATTAGAGATTGGAGACAACAAATACTAATAAAAATTCTAGAAACTCTGAAAACGCTAAATGTTGGATCAAAAAGAGGTGGGATATTTCTAATTATTGGTCCCAATATAAGTCAGGTGACATATAACAAGAGGAAAATGGGATAGGCATTTACTTACAAGCAGCCAGCTTTTATTTGATAGATAATTTTTCATTAATATTTCATAAATATAAAGTGTGTCAGAGGAGCTGGTGTGAAATGTTCCAAATCTGTGTGTGTATGCCAGCCTGAAAATTTCATGGGACCTTTTATTGTATATCTGTAGACCTTCTCATCAAAAAAATACATTTGATAAAAGTACAGTGAAAATGTTTCGAAAGGAGCCATATGGCATAAGCTAGAATGAGCTGTGGTTTATGCACAGTGCATTAGAACAGAGATAGGAGTAAAGCTGTTCCTCAACCTCAGCAGCACTGAGATTTTGGAACAGATAATTCTTTGTTATAGGGAACATTCTGTGTATTATGGTGTGCATAGTAGCATTCCTGTTCTTTACACATTGGATAGCACCACTTCCTGGCTGTGGCAAAGAAAAATGTCTCCAGATATTTTCAAGTGTCATTTGAGGAGCAAAATTACTCCCAGATGAGAATCACTGGGATAGAGGAAAAAGGCTACCATATAATAATGATAAAGTAAAGAAGAAAATAAAGAGGAGAGGGGAAAAAATCTCAAATACTGTAATAGCAAAATGGATAGAAAAGAAGGAATGATGAATAGAGAAGAGGAATAAGAAGAAAGAAGAAAATAAGGAAAGCGAAGAAGGAATATGGTAGTCTCAGAGAAAAAGGACTTAAGAGAAAATATGACATATATAATAAATGAGAACTTCTAGAAAATATTTTTAAAGTAAAGTTGTAAAGAAAAGTTGAGAAATGAAACAAAGAATAAAGGATAAAATGAAAATTATATTAGGATATTATGTAATATCATTGTGTGTGGTAGGCATGGAGTATGTTTTCTTTTTTTTTAACATGTATTATGCTTCCATTAGGTTTTAGGTCAGATTATAAAGGGGAAATTTAATACATATGGTCCTATGAAATATTAGGATACATTTAGAAAACATCTTAGGGATCACCTATAGGAGAAAAAGGATAAAGCATAATATTTAGATTTATTTAATATTTAATATCTGCAATTTTACCCTGAATATGAAAAAGAATAATAACTAAGATTCTCCTTACCCTTGATAGGGTATACCTGTCTCCCATAAGAAATAGTGGAAGACTTAAAGGTTTTTAAAGGGTTGAGGGAAATAGAAGAAATTGAACAAAGCAGAGATACCACATATAACGTATAATCACAGTTGGATCCAGCCAAATGCTGGAAAGACTGTAGCCATCCATTAGAAGATAAGTCTTTGGTTTCCAAAGGTACCTTAGTTTAAAAATTACACCTAAATTCAAGTAGCAAAAATTATTTTAAAAAGAGAAAGTGGTCAAGTCCTCATTATAGGAAAAGAGGAAGACGAACTATCTTTGGGGCAGACTATCTGTGAACCACTGATGCACATACGTTAGTAAGAATCTGGAAGGAGCCAGAATGGTGAACTATTATTGCAAAAGCATAGGTGAGATACGTGAGGAGAAGCAATAACTTTGAGAGTATTGTGCCATAAAAAATTGATATGCAATGACTGTGTAAGTTTTACTGGTTTCCTTCAATGAAATAAGCACTGAAAATATAAATGATAGGTAAATATCCTTTATAACAAAAAAAAAAACTTCTGAGAATCAAATGAGAAAAAGGATGTAGTAGTGTGCTAAGTTGAATGAATGATTTAAAAAAGATACATGCTGTCATCTGGAACTCTAAACTCTCTCTTGTGAACTCTTAAAACATTATTTTTCACATCTGCAAGACCTACATGACACATACAGGTGTCTCATGAGGAAGGAAAAGACAGGATGAACAGGACTAGAAATTTCCAGTGACCCTCTATCTACAAGGCCACACAAAAAGCTGCAAAAGAAATGAAATGCCTGAGAATGTCTCATCATCCCTAAATTTCTGCACACATATACAGAGGCATAATTATTAATGATAGCACTAACAAGTAGTGTTAATCTCATAATCCTCCACAAACCAGATGGAATGACTTCTGGAGGTCACAAATTGGTTTCCTATCACTGTTGTCTTATATTTCTGAAGACAGTTCTCCAAACTAACACTAATATTGACAGAATTTTCCAAGGCACCTAGATTATAGCCTCCCAGTAAACAGAAATATCGTATCATTCGTATCATTCACTTTATCATCACTATTGCAGACTACTGCTATACTAAGCATGAAGTGGGTATTCAAATATTAAATTTAATATTAATTTAATACATAATATTAAAATTCAAATATTAGACTGAAATGAGTGGAATTAAACTGATCAGAAGAAATACACATAATGAAAATTGAAACAATGTATTGAGCCACAAGAATTATAGTTTTGCATTGGCAATAGGTTAAAAATAATTGTGCATGAACTCAATATTCTCAGCAATGCAGGGAAGGTGAACCAAAAGTAAACACTATGGTAAACACTACGGTGAAATAGTACTACTAAACTCCTTTCTCTGTCATTCAATGACTCTTACAATGTGGTTACACGTTTTCCTCTCGATATAATCTTTCATTTCACAACGCGAGTATTCTCTTTCAACCAAAGTTGACTCTCCCCTCAAACATACTTTGCATGAGTTTTAGCTGGCATTAGCTCTTGCTTGCAATGCCTTTCTGAGTACATGTATACAAATCTACTTGTCTTTCCAGGGAAGTCACTAACACCACTATCTACATCCAGATTTTGTAACCTCCTCTAACTCTCAGATGTCTATAGCATGTTTAGTCACACACATATTTATTAAATACTGTATTATTCTCTTTCCTGTGTTTCAGTGTTGCCTTCCCTACTTGATTATAAGGTACTTGAGGATAATGCCCTCTTTATTACAGCCCAAGACTACTATTTAATAAAATTGTATTAATTAATTGATTGCTAGGTCCAAATTTTAAAAGGTGTAATCAATTATAACAACTTATTCTTCAGATAAAATCTACCTTTAGTTATCTAGAAAATTTAATCTTAAGAAGTGTACAAGTAGAGATTTTGACTCATGTATTTTGGTGATGAATATTCTGGGTAGATTTTAGTTTTTTAACATAAGAAAAAGGAAAGAAAGCATAGGCAAACAAATCCTGTTTTGGGTCTTTCCTCTTTTCATCACATAGAAAGAGTTGGCTGGCAGTGCTCAGAACCCTAGAGTCTGAGTATATTGTAAATACAGTCTAAAGCACACCCAAAGGATTCTCATATTAAAATGGAGAGTGTATTTTTTTTTAAAAAAGAACTGTGCTCCCATAGTCTTCTATTGGAGCCTTCCACAGGAGTTGATAAAAGATTGTCATTAGTCCTAGAACCAAAGAATTTGAAACAGGGAGCAAAAAACCACAGGGCTAATACAGTTGGATTGGGATCTACAGGTGTTGGTGAAAATCTTAGGTATCTTCATGGTTGATATAAAACCAGCTCTATCTGTCTATGTCTATGTCTATGTCTCTATCTATCTATCTATGTAATCTACATATCTATTGAATTGTGGAAGTAGTATGTTGAAATAATTGAGTGAAGACATTTCAGATTTGAACTTGGCATATGAGTGGACTGAACCACAATATATTAGTGGAAAAATTATAGAAGGAAGTATCAGTTTATTTCTATTTACCTGTCTTTTGTCCCAATTTATCAGCTCATTAACAGTTCTCCTAACATTTGTGTTGGGGCTATTGTAAAACCCAACACTAACATTCTTTTTGTTGCTTGTTTCTGGACAAAGCTAAGAAATTTGCCTGTAGACCAGGAATATAGCATCTGTCATGTTGCTCCCTTTTTCTTACCCCAGATTCTGTATATTGTGGCCCCAAACTCCATAGAAAGAGCTTTCCAACTCACTGCTCTCTGCTTGCAGGCAATGGTGCATACTGTTCATGATCAAATTGAAGTTTTATTTGTTGCACTATTGGTTGTTTTGAAATATGATTTGGGCAGAGTTGAGCATCCCTAGCTGTCTTCAACACACTGGGTAATCACACCATTGCTCAGTAGGCTAAACTATTTTAAATCTTTCAAAAAAATAGCTTCTCTCCTTTCTGCAGGTTTTCCAGGAACAATCTCCATGAAAACGACTCCTAATTTAAAGGAAACTAAGGCATTCCTCACCACTGACAAGGAAAATGACTCTTTTTGGCCAAATCATAGAAATGAGCTTTCTTAAGTACATTGCACCTTTAAAAGCTGACATTATTGCCGCAAAGCCTGAATGGTACCTTGTCAGCATGGAATAACCAGACTGGGCCAAGTTGTCATTTTTGACAGGTCAGTGTAATGAGCAAAAGAACGCTGAGTTTGTCTAAAAGTTTTCACTTGCATCAGCAGGGTAGAGCTGTTTGAGGCGATAACAGCCCTACGTATGTGACTCATTAAATGTGTTGCATTATCAAACATTGTGTCCCACACTATCACAGCCACCACATTTATGCTTTGTTTCCTCCCCCAAGTACCCCCCAGAAGTCTTTACATTTCTAATTTAAAATGAGTACACATTGCAGAGCTTTGAGGCACTGGATATTAGCTGTGTGTGATTAGATGAATACCAAACGTTCGGTTCCTTTCAAAACACATCACAGAGATAAATACTAATCTAACTCAATGTAGACTTCTCTCTGGACATTTCTCCCCTATTTTCTGGAATTTCTCTGGTAACATTTTTGTTATTAAGAAAAGAGGGGCAGAGAATAAATAAAAGGAACAAACAGGAATTGGGTAATATTGACATCCAATGGCCCTTCTGAATTACTGGTGACAGTTGATATACATGGTGCCTATTTACACATGCCGAGGAACCTGCACAAAGAGTTACCATTTGGATAGGAAGCACAAATGCAGAGATGTGAGATCACCTGAATTCAGATTTGTCAATAGATAGCAAAGCTTGAGGGTTCAGCTTCTTCCAGTGTACCAGCTAGCTGCGATGCCCTCTCTTAATCAGATGCATCAAACAACAGAAAACATTCTTCCCCCGCTTCAGAAAAATTCACTTAATGTTCATGACTAATTAAATTCTCACTCTAGTCATGATTAATGTAACAAATAATTACAGCTTAGATCTAATATAGATACAACTAATTGTTCTGCCCACAGTGCATCGTGAATAACAATTAAACACAGCTTTTAAAGCATAAGGAAGAACTGCAGAGTGACCTTCACCTGGCTTTATAGCGTCTGTTCTCCTCATTTCTCGTTTCATGGAAAAAGGTTTTTTATTTGTTTGTTTGTTCACATTTCTCTTTTATTTGATGTTAGGTAAGCCTTACTTCTTTACACTTCTTGCCACTGGTTCAACTTGTTGGATGTTGGAGTTAGCAAGTGGATCACTATTAGAAAGTAGTAGAGGGAGGTTGTATCAACTGAATTTTCCCCAAGGCTCAAAGTGCAAAAGTGCCCTTCACATTGTCATAGTGAAAGATAACAGGGAACTGTCAAAGCTCAGACAGCAAAGTAACAAACCTGGGCCATGTGTCTGTCTGCTTTGGTACCAGTAAGTCCCATCCCAGGAGAATTTTTTTTTCTTTTATTCTGCAGCCCTAAAGTGGAAGGGACTGCAGCTGAGTTGCTGGAGAGACATTGGGATGATCTCTGAATATACAGTCCACCACTGCAAGCATTCACAGAACCTTTTGGGGATTCTCACAGATGTGGATTAAAACAAAGTTCCTAGTTTTCTTAAATATCCGATAGTATTAAAATTGATAACTTCCCCACATACTTTGGCAAATAGGGGGTGCATTGAATGCTCTACTGAAGATCTGCTTACACAATTAGTATATAAATTTCCATATCTATCAACTACTTTGCCTTTCCTCAACAATTACAAAAATTCCTTTTTTTCAAGGAATATTAAGCATAAGTTATCTATATGAATTAAAACTCCATTAATTAAAATGCCCAGGGAATGAAACCTCAGATATAAGTATGCTTCAAATAATATTTTTAATATGCTATTACTAATATTTTTAAAATATACGAGGCCAGTTTCTTGACTTGGTAGAATCTAGTAGACAGACTATTATTTTACTGTTTAAGAAACTAAAGACATTTTGGATAGATTTGGGAGCCAGAAATAGAAAATTCTATTTGTACAATTTACATAATTAATCTGATACAATTCTTCTAAATATATTCACAGCTATGTAATAATTTATATTGTTTGAATATCTACCAGGTGACCAGTTTTTGTCTAGTGATAGTGAGTCAATAATTTCTACTTTTTTATCTTCACTGGATAAAGTATATGTAATTCTAGACAGCATTCAGTTAAACTAAACTCCAACTCAGGCCATGCAGGGCAAAGTTACTCACACAGCACAAAGCTAACACTGCAGACATCTGTCCTCCTCCACACTTTCAGTGCTTTGTTTTTCACAGCAAACTTTGCAATGACACATTTTTTATTTAACCAATAATTTTTGGCTAAGTTTCTCTACACATTTTAGATAAATTCTGTCCCCCGTAAGAACTAGTTTTGAAGAAACTGGTTGGATGCTAAAATTTAAGTAGTGACAATAATACTACTAGCCAGATACAGATGTGGTGTGTTGATCTGAAATTTCTTGGTTCATTCTTTTCAATGAATTCCACCTTTTTCACTCCATGTATGAGTTCCTATTCCAATTGCTTTCCAAGTCTTTCATTTCCTTTAGAATTCAGACCTTGTCTTACTCTAACCAATCTTACTACCCTTAAGCTCCAATAATTCATGTCAATAAGACTTGAAGGATGTGTTGTGTGGACAAAATGAATGGGGCAGCAAACTCAGAGAGCCATTGTGTCTTGCCATCTTTGTACCCGCAGGGGGCAGAGCAGAGTGCCAATGATCTAGGGGTGGCTGAAATATGTTCATAATGGATGAGTGGATGGATGAAAGAGTACTGCAGAAGACAGTTTTGTGGTAGATATTTCCTCTGGCCCCTATGGTGCCCATTAGTATCTTCCATGGTTAATTTTCTATGGCAACATTATTCTATGATAAGCACACAATTCCTCAGAAGCCCGCATTTTTAGAAATTTTAGTATGTAGACAATCAAATTTGACAGGGTCATTGGATGGTCACAACCATCTTCAAATTTCCAAAGAGGATTGAATTTAAAAATAGACTCAACATGTAATTTTTATAATTCAGCCTTTTCTGTATAAAATTTTAAAAACAAATATGAATATTTACAGCCATTATTCAAACTTTTTAACCACCAAAGACACTCTCCTTAGTTTATTTCCATATGATGCTAAATATTTGAGATGCCATCAGCAACTAATCAGAGCTTCTATCTAGTTTAAAAACACAAAGGACATTCATTATTTGGACAGTAAAATGATATAATTTCAGCCTCAAGCAAATTGACTCAAATGTACTTATTCTTTGCAGCTCCATCATGAGTAAATATATGATTTTTGATAGACTTCTTGAAATATTGAAAATAACTTGTGAGTAGGATCCTCACCCTGTCCATTATGACCTTGCAAGAATCTGAAGGATTCAGGGGCTCTAGGTTAGGAACATAGCTTATAAAAGCATTAAATCATATAAAGATGGTATTTTATGTCAAATCTTTACATATATATATATATATATAGCTTACACATACATACACACACACACACACACACACACACACAGAAAATATTTCTTGGCTGCCCAAAGTGTGAGATTTTCTATGACCCCTTTATTTTTATTCTGTGTAAGCTCCTTTAGATTACTAAAACCCATAACAAAGACAAATTAAATTTACTCTAATTTTAGACATTACTGAAGAAATTCTGTAATCTTTGTTTCATTTGGAAGCAAATAAATAATATTTGTATCTTGACATATTTATCAGTGGTATGCTCATTTCAAGCTGGTTTTCTGGGAGACTTTAATTTATAGCTCCTATTATTTTGTTTTTCTTTTTAGATCTCAAAATGAATGTCATGCCCATGAAAACCACCAGACAGGAAACTAAAGTCTTGTGTTTATTCCTAGTCCCTAAATCACCATGGGACTGGAGGAACGTCATCTGTAGGAGCCTGGCTTTGTGAAAATATTGTAAGAAAATGGAAATCAGAGGTTCCAACAGCAGAACAGTTACTCTACAATCACTTCATACCACAGGCTTTTGAAGACAGTAGTATCATGGCTACAATCTCAAAATGCTATTTAAAAAAATATAATTCCTTTCTAACTTACAAAGCCTCTATTTCTTTCCTGAACCATTCTCCTTTGATCAGACCCGCTGGTTTCACCCTTCGAATAAATTTTACATGTTGCTGATCTGTTTCTTTGTTCAGAAGAAAAACACTCTCCTTTCCTTCCATCCTTTCTGCATCTTTCTAGACTTTGAAGCTCAGTTCAGTTGTCCTCAACTCTGTGACGCTTTCTTCAACCACATCACACTCCTGACAGTGCCACTGTTCGATTAGAAGTCTCCACTCACAACTGTCAAGAGGATCACCTGAGCAATGTGTAAAGAATAATCATGTTTGGGCCCAACCCAGGCCAAATATCTTGGCTTGGAAAACTAGTTTCGATGAGTTTTAAATGTGTCACAGTTGAATACAAACTGAGTATCTCTTAATGAAATTTCTTGGGACCAAAAGTGTTTCAATTTTTTTTTTGGATTTTGAAATATTTGAATATGCTTAATGAAATATCTTAAGGATGCAGCACAAGTCCAAACACAAAATTCATTTTTGTTTATAATACACCTTATACACATAGCCTGAATGCAATTTTATACAATATTTTAAAATACTTTTGTGTATGAAACAAAGTTTGTGTACAATGAACCATCAGAAAGCAAAGATGTCACTATCTTAGCCACTCATGTGTACAATCTGTGATTGTATGGCATCACCATGATTTCTGACTCTGATTTTATGTGCTACCAGTAAGCCAGCATTTCCTTGTCCCTATTTATACATAAGTACTTAACAGTAAAATATATGACATGTCATTAGTACTGGGAAAAGATAATGTGTTCAGGGTAAATAAGCGGCACGTAGCATCACCAGAATACCTGTATCAGCTCTTAAACAATAGCGACAACAAACAATGCCAGGCTTTCCAATCTCTACCTACAATAGTGTACTTTGATTAAAAATTTACTGTACATGGTCTTTTATGTTTTCAGGTGAGAAGGAACATCAGATTCAGGGACCAGGAAGTGGGTCTTCTAGTGATGAGGAGGCATTCTGCTGGATAGCTTTTTAAAATGTTTTCTCCAGAACCATCTGCCTCATTAACAATATTTTTTGTTTGGAAATCTCTCTTTGATTTTATAAACTGACATAATTTCTTGTTCTGTTGCAAATGCATCCTTTCTAGCACTTCAATAAGCCCATCATACATTTTTACCATGTTGTCTATAGGTACATTTTCTGTAGTGTTAGCAATCTTATCTTTATCATCACTATTTTCATGATCACCTTGATTCAGAACCATTGTGGTTATTTCATCAACAGTCAATGAATGAACAACTGGAGCCTCATAATCAATGTAGAAAACTTCAATATCCACTTCCTGCTTACTGACTGCCTCTGAAGATATATCTTTTGCATACATAAAGAGGTCATATATCACTTTTTTCTCACTTGACATACGGAATCCTTCAAAGTCACTATCTTGTTTAATATCATCACTGAACATAATTGCACACCAGAGGTTGTGCCAGACATGCACAACTGTGTCCTTACTCACTGTGTTCTAAGTATTAGCAACAGCATATAGGGCATCTTTTATGCTAAATTCCTTTTGAAAATCTTCCACACCCATACCTCTGTTCACTGCTGCTAACATGCTGTTCAAGAGAATGATTTTATATTTACTCTTCATTTATCTAAAGATACTCTAGTCACATGGATGAATTAAGGAAGTTACATTTGGGGAAAAGTACATGGCATAAACATTATTTTTGATGAGAATTTCTGCTGGAGGATGAGCAGAACAATTGTCAAGGAATAACAAAATCTTGTAATACTCGTCCATTCTAGCTTCCCTGCAGTGAGCACAAGCCGCTGGTAAAAAATATGCATGAAACCAGTCAGAAAGGATGTCCCTGGTGATCTATGTCTTGTGTTAGCAAAATAATAGAGTGATAAGAAATTTACTCTTTGAAAACAGTGTGGATGCAAACTTATTCTTATCACAGCAAGTTGACATTTATGTATGCCTGCTGCATTAGCATATCCCAGCACTGTTACTTGTTAGCATCTTTAGTTCCTGGGGTAACTGTCTCATCAGCTGTACTCTATGTCTTTCTGGAGCAATAATACCAAACAGTCAGAATACATCAGCATTATAACTTTGTTGTTGTGTAAAACTTTTATCAGCAAACCTTGGCAAACCTATCAATGAACTTTTCCACTGCTTCATAATCAGCAGATGCTTTGTCTCCACAAATCTTTATAAATTTAATGCTGTGTCTTTTCTTTAATATCTACAATCAGTCTTTTGAATATTCACAGTTCCCTTCAACTTTCAGTTCGTGATAGATGATAGATCTTTGCTTGTTTCATGATCAGCATACAATTATGTGGCATGTGTTCACTGCAATGCCAGTGGATCCACTCTTTAATACACATTCAAGATCTTCATTTTCACCTTTTGCAGTGTTTTTCTACTTTTCGTCTTTTTTTTTATTTCTGAGACAGAGTTTTGCTCTTTTGCCCAGGCTAGAGTGCAATAGCATGATCTTGGCTCACCGCAACCTACATCTCCCAGGTTCAAGCAATTCTCTTGTCTCAGCCTCCTGAGTAGCTGGGATTACAGGCATATGCCACCATGCCTGAGTAATTTTGTATTTTTAGTAGAGATGGGGTTTCTCCATGTTGGTCAGGCTGGTCTCAAACTCCAGAAATCAAAGTGCAGGGATTATAGGCATGAGCCACCGTGCCTGGCCTTTTCTATTTTTTATTAACTTCTGTTCTTCACTTTCAGCATAGAACTTCAATAGTTTATTCTTCTGCTTATTTAAGTCCCATATAGTGGTCATTCTGACACCATATTCTCCTGTAAGATATTTCACACTTACACTGCTGTCTGGTTTCTCCAACAGCTTGGCTTTCTAGACTATAGATAAATATAAATGCTTTCTCTTTTTCTTATCACCGTTATCCACAGAGGTATCTTCAGGCCTTTTTGACATTTTCAGTGATATCTTCTCACCACAGGGCAGAGAACAAGCAAATGAACACAATAAGTAATTCATGTAGGTGGGGTATTGTGGGGCATTGCCCATGTGGGGCATTGTGGGGAACTTGCCATTGATGCATACAGCCCACACACATGCCATTTATCCCCCTTTTTGGATATACTTTGTGGGGAAATATGGGCATGCATGGAAAACACATGTTGCAGGTAAAGGGGGCTGAAAGGGGTTTTTCTTCCCTTGAGGACACAATAAGCTGTGTGTTGTGCTTCTGCATTTTGATTGATACTCATCATATGAGGTCAGGTGGGGAAATTTCCATTTACGGTGTCATTTTGACACTCAATTCATTTCTAATTCTAGAGAATTTTGGATTTTAGATTTTCAAATTGATGCTCAAGCTGTACAAAGTGTAGCTGAGATTGAATTGCACTGATCCATACTAATTTTAGATGCACCTGTAAGTTGAGATAAGCAGATAGCAGCAATGATGTCCTACATAACCTAGGGAAAAGGAAAGTTCATCTGGGCAAAATAGTGAAAAGAATCCAGAGCTTTACTCTCTTTTCTCTTTTTCTCGCTATCCTTTTTTTTCCCTCTGTTTCCCTTTTTCTTCTCTAGCAGCACTGATGCACCAATAAGTCTCTCTATTCCCACCCAACAATACAATAGAAAAGCACTTCAAATTCAATATTCTATAAAATGTTTTCCAATTTTGAAATCTGGTGATTTATTTTTATATCTATAATGTAGTCACCAAATACTAAAAATTTACCAACAAATAAAAGGACAAAATACTGCCTGAGAGCTATGCTGATCCCACTTTCCATCAAGGCCAGATAATCTCCTGCATTTTAGTGCCTAAGCAGTTATCATTCTGTGTCCACATTCCAAACTCATCAACAAAGTTGTAAGACCTTCTGGGCAAATACAAGGTATGATTCCCCACATAAATCTTAAACACTAGTACATAATTTAAGTAGGCACTCAACTCTGATTGAAATGTTGATAAAAAATGTTATAGACAATTGTGATTAACTTACTAATTGTGCTATTCTTTGCTTATTGTCTGTTCCTCAATATGAACCAATGGTTCTAAACCTTGTGTACATATTGGAAACACCTAGAGGGTTATAAAAAATATTACCCAATTATTTAAATGCAGAATCTCGGGTCCTGCTCAAAAACAAATGAATCTGAGCTCACCTTTTAAAACGGTTCCCAAATAATGCTATATCCTTCAAAGATCAAGACTGGCTAGAATCTAGAGTGTCAAATAGTTCTCAAATTTAATAATGCATTAGAATCATCTGGAGGTCTTATTAAAACACCAAGTTGCTTGGCTCCTTCCTCAAGAGTTTCTAATTCAGTGGATATCAGAATGCTACCTGAAATGATGAGGATTTTCAGGATGAAACCTGAAAATTTGAATTTCTGACAAATTCACAGGTGATGATAAATGACATAGCTTGAATATTTGTCCTTTTCCAAATGTCATGTTAAATTGTAATTCCCATTGATTGAGCTAGAGCCTTGTGGGAGGTGTTTGGATCATGGGGGCTGATCCTTCATGAATCGTTTGGGTGATTCTCTTGGTAATAAGTGAGCTCTCACTCTGACTTAACATGAGATCTGGTCATTTAAAAGTGTATGGCACCTCCTTCTCCAGTGTCTCTCTCTTTTGCTCCCACTTTCACTAGGATGTGTCTGTTCCGACTTTATCTTCCACCATGATTAAGTTTTTTGAGGCCTCTCCAGAAGCCATGCAGATTTTGGCACGATGTTCCCTGTAAACTCTGCAGAACTGTTAGCCAATTTCTTTATAAATTACCCACTCTCAGGTATTTCTTTATAGGAATGCTAGAATAGCCTAATACAGAAAATTGGTACCAAGGAGTAGGGCATTGCTATAAGGATAACCCAAAAATGTAGAAGCAACTTTAGAACTGGATAGCAGAGAGATGTTGGAAGAGTTTGGAGGACTCGGAAAAAGAAAGGAAGATGAGGGAAAGTTTGGAACTTCCTAGAGACTTGTTTAATCGTTGTAACCAAAATTCTTGTAGTGTTATGAACAGCAAAGGCCAGGCTGATGAGGTCTCAGATGGAGATGAAGAATTTTTTAGGAGCTGGAGCAAAGGTCCCTTTTGTTACACCTTAACAAAGAACTTGGCTGCCTTGTGTCCCTGCCCTAGGGATCTGTGGAACTTTAAACTTAAGAGTGATCATTTAGGATATGTGGTGGAGGAAATTTCTAAGCAGGAAAGCATTCAAAATTTGGCATGGCTGCTTCTAATAACCTATGCTCATTCGTGGGATCAAAGGATGACTTAAAGTTGGAACTTATGTTTGAAAGGGAAGCAGAGCATAAAAGTTTGGAAAATTCACAGTTTGGCCATGTGGCAAAGAATGAAGTTTTTTCAGGAGACGAATTCAAGCAGACTTGGAACAATCACTTGCTAGAGAGATTTGCATAACTAAAAAGGAACCAAGTGCTGATAGCCAAGACAATGAGAAAAAGCCTGCAAAAGCATTTAAGAGATCTAAGAGGCAAGCCCTCTCATCACAGGCCTGGAGGCCTAGGAAGAAATAATTGTTTTGAGGGCCAGGCCAAGGACCTCACTGCCCTGAACAGCCTCGGGACACTGCTCCCCATATCCTAGCCATGCCAGATCCATCTGTGGCTCCAAGGGCCCAGGTACAGCTCGAGTTGCCACTTTGGAAAATGCAAGCCATATACCTTGCTGGATTCCAAATAATATAAGCCTGCAGGTATAGAGAGTGCAAGACTGGTGAACTTTCAGCAACCTTGGTCTAGATTTCAGAGAATGTATGGAAAAGCCTGCGTGTCCAGGCAGAAGCCTCTTGAAGAGGCAGAGCCCTTACAAAGAACCTCCACTAGGGCAGTGTGGAAGGAAAAATGTGGGTTTGGAGGTGCCACATAGAATTGCCACTGGGGCACTGCGTAGTGGAACTGTGGGAAGAGGCCCACCACCTAATCAAGAAAGATGGATCCCCCAGCAGCTTGCCCCCTGCTTCAGGAAAAGCTGCAGGCACTCAACTCCAGCCTGTAACAGTAGCTTCAATGGCTGCACCCTACAAAGCCAGAGGTGAAGCTGCCCAAGGCCTTGGGAACCCACCCCTTACACCAGTGTGCCCTAGATATGGGATGTGAAGTCAAAGGAGATTATTTTGGAGATTTAAGATTTAATGATTGCTCTGCTCCATTCTGAACTTGAGTGGGGACTATAGCCTCTCTCTTTTGTCAAATTTCTCCCTTTTGGAATAGGAATGTTTACCAAATGCCAAAATTCCCATTGTATCTTAAGAGTAAAAACTTATTTTTAATTTGACATAGTCATAGGTTGAAGGGTCCTATCTTGTTCCAGATGAGACTGTGGGTTTTGAACTTTTAAGTTAATGCTGGAATGAGTTAAGATTTGAGTAGAATTATTGGAAAGGCATAATTGTGTTCTACAATGTGAGAAGGACATGAAATTTGGGAGTGGCGAGGAGTGGAAGAATATACTTTGGATATCTGTTCCTGCCCAAATCTCATGTTGAATTGTAATCTCCAACGATGGAGGTGGGTCCTGATGGGAGATGTTTGGATTATAGGGGCAGATCCCTCATGAATGGTTTGGGCCATCCCCTTGGTGATAAGTGAGCTCTCACCCTGAGTTCACGCAAAATCTGGTTGTTTAAAGGTGTGTGGTAACCCCTGCTCTCTCTCTCTCTCTCATTCCTGCTTTCACCATTTGACAATGCTTGCTCCCCTTCACTTTCCACCATGACTGAAAGCCTCCTGAGGCCCCTCCAGAAGCCTAACAGATGTTGGCAACACGTCCTCTGAAGTCTAAAGAACTGTGAGCCAATTAAAATTCTTTTCTTTATGAATACCCAGTCTCAGCTATTTCTTTATAACAATGCTAGTATGGCCTAATACACTGAGGTACCTAACTTGTCCAAGGACAATATTTGACAAAATCACATATTTAGAACACTTGTTCTACAAACAAACAAACAAAAAACCAAAACTGACCTTTCAGCCCAAACTGAAGAGATTTTCATTTAATTTGTCTAGGATAAAGCTTGGATATTGAATTTTAAAAGATTCCCAAACAATTTTCATATACAACAAAATTTAAGACCCACTTGTCTAGACTACGGAATAGGACATTTGAAAATATTGAAGTAAAATTTAAATAATATAAAATTAACCATTTTAAAATGGACAATTTAGTGGCACTTAGTGAATTCACAGTGCTGTGTAACCACTACCTCTACTTAGTTTCAAAAGAGTTTCTCCACTTCACTTCAAAGTAAGACCTTATAACCGTTAAGCAGTTTATCTTCATCCTCCCACTCCTATAGTCGCTGGTAACCACTTATCTGCATCCTGTTACTATGGATTTGTCTATTCTGGATATTTCATATAAATGGAATTATGCAACATGCAACCTGCTACATCTGGCTTCTTTCACTTAGCATAATGTTTTGGAGGTTAATCCACATTGTAGTATGTTAGTACTTCATTCTGCTTTATTGGTTAACAATATTCCATTGTATGTATGGGCCATAATTTGTTTATTTATTCTTCTGTTCAGGACATTTGAGCTGCTTCCATTTTTTGGCTGTTGTGAATTGTGCCACTATAAATATGCATGCGTATTAACTTATTTGAATACCCGTGTTTAATTCTTTCAAGTTTATGCCTAGATGTGAAATTGTAGGGTATCTTAGTCTGCTTTCTATTGCTGTAACAGCATACCCCAGACAAGGTAATTTATTTAAAAAAAATTCTCATTTCTGGAGGCTGAGGAGTTCAATATAAAGATGCCAACATCTTGCATGAATCTTCTTGCTGTATCATCCCATGATGGAAGGCAAGAGGGTAAGAGTGGGCAAGAGTGCAAAAAAGGGTCCAAATCACTTTTATAACAAACCCACTCTCATGATAATGATGATAATGACATTAATCTATTCATCTCTCATCACCTAATCACCTCTTTTAAATATACATATTTAGTATATTTAGAATATATATATTTAGTGTATTTATATATATTTAGTATATATACATTTAGTACATATAGAGAAAGAAAGAAAGAGAGAGAGACAAAATCATATTCTGTTACCCAATCTAGAGGTCAGTGGCGTTATCATAGCTCAATGTAACCTTGAACTCTTAGGCTTAAGAGATCTTTCTGCCTCATTAGGTCTCACATCTCAACACTGTTGCAATCTCAACATTGAAAATTTAGTTTCTAACAGATGATATTTGAGGGACAAATTCAAATCATACCATACGGTCTTATGGTGATTTTATCTTTAATGTTTGGAGAACATCCAAATTTCTTTCTACAGAAACTAAAGCTTCTTACATTTCTCTAAGCAATGTACGACACTTTCAGTCTCTTCACATGCTCTCCAAATTTTGTTATTTTCATTTAAAAAAATCATTACTGTCATCTTAAAAGGCATGAAGATACCTCATTGTGATTTGATTTGCATTTTTCAAATGACTAATTATGATGGCATCTTTTCATGTGCCTGTTAGTCCTTTGTACAGACAGTCCCCAACTTATAATGGTTTGATTTCTGAATTTTTGACTTTACACTGGTACAAAAGTGATATGCATTTAGTAAAAAGTGTGCTTCAAGTATCATACAACTATTCAATTTTCCCTTTCAGTACAGTATTTAATAAGCCAACCTATATATTTAAAACTTTATTATAAAATACGCTTTGTATTAGATGATTTTGTGCAACTATAGGTTAATGTAGAAGTTTTAAGTACATTTAAGGTAGGCTAGGCTCAACTGTGATGTTTGGTATGTTTGGTATATTAAACGCATTTTGACTTATGATATTTTCAATTTACAATGGATTTATTGGTCATTATCCCATCATAAGTTGACAAGCATCTAAATATCTCTTTGTATAAAAAAAGTTCTTTGCAATTTCAATACCTTCGCCCATTTTTAATTTTGTTGTATGTCTCCTTTGTTGAATTGTACAAGGTCTTTTTGTATTCTGGATGTTAAACCCTTATCAGATATATGACTACAAATATTTCCATCCATCTGCGAAGTGTCTTTTACTTTCTTGATAATGTCTTCTGATGTACAAAAGTTTTACGTTTTGGTTAAGTCCAACTTATCTATTTCATCTTTTGGTGTCATATTTAAGAATTTATTGCCAAATTTAAGGTAATGAAAATTTACCCCTATTTTTCTTCTAAGAGTTTTATGGTTTTAGCTCTTCTATGTAGCTTGGTATTCCATTTTTATATGATTTGAGCTAGGGGTCCAATTTCATTATTTTGCAGGTGTATATTCAGTTGTTCCAGTACCATTTGTTGAAGAGACTATTATTTACCTGATCGTATAATCTAGGTGCCCTTGTTAAAAATTAGTCAGCTATCAATACCAGGGTTTATTTCTGGTCCGCTAATTTTATTTCATTGGTTAGGCCCATATGTTTGTCCTAAAGCCAGGACCACACTGTTTTGATTGCTGTTTTGTAGTAAGTTTTGAAATTGGGAAATGTGAATCTTCCAACTTTACTCTTTGTTTTTAAATTTTTATTTTGTCTATTCAGTACTACTTCACATCTTATATGAATTTGAGGATTGTATTTTCCAACTCTAAAAAAACAGTACATTGTAATTTTGATGAGGATTTCATTGAATCTGTAGATTGTTTTGGATAGTTTTAACATTTTAATATGAAGTATTTGAATATATATGTACAAAGTGTCTTTCTATTGATTTATATTTTCTTTAATTAATGCCTGCAGTTATTGTACTGTTCATTTTGTAATTTTTATTGTATAAGTCTTTTACCTCCTCGGTTGAATTATTCTTAAGTATTTTATTATTTTGAGTGCTATTATAAATATAATTGTTTGGTTAAATTCCTTTTCAGATAGTTCATTGCTGCTGTATAGAAATATAACTGATTTTAGCACATTGATCTTAAATCTTGCAACTTTGTTGAATTTAGTTGATCTAGTAGTTTGTGCATGTGTGCGTTCTTTGTGATTTCCTATATATAGAATCCTGGTATCTGGGAATAGAGAAAGTTTCCCTTCTTCCTTTCCAATTTGGAAACATTTTATTTCTTTATGTTGTCTAATTTCTCTGACTAGAATTTTAAGTACAATTTTGAGTAGCAGTGGTGAAATGGGAGTCATTACCTTGCCGACCTCAGTGAAAAAATCTTTTCCTCTTTCACCATTGAGAATGATGTTAACTGTGGGTTTTTCATAATGTACTATGTTATACTGAGAAAGTTTCTTCACTTTCTACATTTTTAAATGGTTGAAAAACAGTCAAAATAATATTTTGTGACATATGAACCTTATATGAAATAAAAAGTTCAGTGTTCATACTACATTTTCATTAGAACCTAGCCATGCTCATTCTTTTTCACAATGTCTAAGGCCCCTCAGAGTTAAGTAGTTGTGACAGAGATGATATGGCCCACAAAGCCAAAAATATTTGTTAACTGAGCCTTTCCTGGAAAATATTTGCCAGCTCCTCATTCAGCCTTTCCAGACCATACGCTCTATGAATGCAGGCACTTCTTCTTTTATTTAAACACTGAATCTCTGATACATCATACTATTTACTGTCTAGTAAATAGTACACACTTAATAAGGATTTTTTGAATTAATAATTCTACAATCAACGAATCTGGGAAATCTTTAATCTTTTATTACCTGCTAGTTCCAATGGTTATCTAAGAAAACAACAAATAAAAAAAAAACCTTATAGATATCTTTATTGAATCAGCACCAGAGTTTAAGGTATAAAGTTGACTGGCATTACATATATGAATTAAATTATATTTGTGCATGTGTATCTGTGTTTAAAGAGATAGACTCATATACACTGTGCTTGGTACACAAGTAAGAATTTGATTTTTAGTTGCTTTTCCTTCTTGGAGTCAAAATAACTAAAAACTCTAGCAAGCTCTACATCATATTGAGTGGTATTATGTATTTTGATTCTTGTTTTTATGTAAAATTATCATAATCATGTCTGTCATAGGACTTTTGTGACTATTCCTTGAATAGCAAATGTATAGCACCCAGCACAAACCCTGGACAGAATAATATTGGAAAAAAACAAAACTATGGATTCAGAATTTAAACATCACTTTGCCAATTTTACTAAATTTCTGAATGCAGGAATGAACAGCTTTATATTGTAGATGGATATAACTTAAGATTCTGTCTGATGGATCATTTATCTCATGTCATTCAAGGTAGTGGGACGTATTATAATTCATTGAGGACAGGGGAATCATGTGATACTATAGAGACAATGTCCCAATACCAAAGAGGGAGAAAGTCTCTAGCCATCCAACTAAGGGTGACCTTGTAATAATGAGTTAGAAACCTCAGTCTTTTATAAAAGGTAGTATTAGCATGCCTGAGTCACTCTATTTGTTCAGTACAACATGGAAATATTTGCTTGCCTTTATTTCTTTCAAGGATATGAAATTGGAATCAAATACCTGTGACCATTATTATGGTCAAAAATAATAAACATGTCAGACCCTATGTTAGAAATTGTGAAGTGATAGGAAAGACCAAGAAGGAAGAGAAAGACTGGTGACTGGAGGCAGTTGACAGAGCATGATCATGTGTGTGTGGTAGAGGGTGGTAGGGTATGCCTCCTCTCTCTGCCTTCACGTGGAGCTCAACATTCTTACACAGATAACACTGGAAATCATGACTTTGTCTTTTCTCTTACAGACATCACATCCCACAGATGTCTAGAAATGGGAATTTTCACCTCAACTTTTTATATTGAGAGACTTTTTAATCCTGTCTGGGTGTGATATCTAATGTCTCCTGGCCCATCCGGGACACATCTCTGCTTTATCAGTACAGTGTGGCCAATTACTTAAGACAGTGGGTCCCAAGTTGCTGAACTGTGTTCTGAAGATCAATGCCAGACACTGTTAGAACATTTACCAGTCCATAGCAAAATTAGAAAAGGTAGAAATAACAAATTATATTCTATATAAAGCTAAATGCATTTGATTTAAAGATAGCCCTTTAACATGAAGTTATTTTCTCAGTATTAAAATGTCCCTTTTGTTCACATCACAGAGGCAAAATAAAAAGTTGTCAAGACTCTGTCAGCACATATCCTCTCTTCTCTCCTCACCTTCTTCTCTTAACATTCTGCTGGCCTGTGAAATAATTATTCTGTGAAAAACTGATTTAGACATAAGCTACCTTTGGCTGAAGTGGTCATGGAACTTAATTTAGATTTTTTTAAAAATGGACAGAGCAAAAATAGGTAGAGAGAGAAGGTGATGTGAGATTTCCATATAGAATAAACAAGGTCAGAAAAGGTACATAGAAGGCATATGTTGGTAAAAGAGTGTGTGAGAAGAAAAGACATTCAGTTTGAACAGAATTGAAGTCACAGGAAGGGTGGAAAGTAAGCTGCAGAGGCAAGTTTGAGTCCAATTGTGAAGGAAAATGACTGCAGATTTTTGCACAAGGAGTGATGTGTTTGACAGAGCTCTTAGAAGATTATTTATCTGAAACTAGTGTTCAAGACTGTTACAGTGAATGCAATGCCAGGGAGGCCAGTTTCAACTCTAAGACAGAAGTCCTAATATGTATGAGTATTAACATGAGCATAAGAAATCACCTGCGGGAGTACACAAGATAAATTCACAGGCCACCCCAAAAACCACTGCCCCCAAATATCTAGAGATTGGCCATATATAATTTATACATAGGGACCCAGGAGACAAAAGCTGAAATTTACAACAAGCAATGCGGTCAGACCCCATCCTGGGGCCATACTTGTAAGAATTATTGCCCCACTAGTGTATAAAGAGCCTCTAGGATATGTGTGCATGCAAGGGTGTCTGTGTGTGTGAGACAGAGAGAGAGAGAAAGAGAGAAAGAGAGAGAGGGAGGAAGAGAAAGGAGAGACTTGGCTCTTGAATAAAAAGGAACAGTGAAACAGTGCACTTGGAAATACATGTCTAATGCAAAAATAATACACATTTTGTCTCCATTTGGACTGTACTTCCAGGTAGAGGTTGTGCTCAATGAGAATCAAGTTGAAAATGTTTCTCTGGTCCCATTTAAAAGGTTATACATAATGAGATTTCTGCCGTTGTGGGAAAGTTAAGAATTCTGGGTGACTTGCCAAATCTTTTGATCGCAAAGAGTGCTTTTAATACACATTGCAAAGCGTTTGTCTTTGCAAGGTGTAAAATGCCAAAGCTCAGCTTCCTTTTTTAGTGTCTGATACTCTCCATAGCATCATTTATCTTCAATTTCCCAGCAGTGTTAACTCTTTAAGCTCAGTAGCAACAGAGCTACATGTAGATACATATGACTTCAGTCTAGGGGTCAGTAGAGTTACCTCTGCAGTTTTACCCACACTTGGGATTCAGAGACTATGACAAGCAGCAAAACAATTTGTCTTTTCAATTAATCAGTACTGTTGTTGAGCACCATATACATTCTCAGGCCATTTCTAAGAAATATGGCACATGATCAGTGCTCTCAGAAGAGGATGTAAAGCCTATGATATTTATAGAATTTCCTAGAAGGGTATATAAGAGACTGATAATATTGGATGCCTCTGATGAGACAAAGGGGAGAAAGGGAAAGGCTCCTCTTCACTATTTACCCTTTAATACCGTTGAATTTACACAATTTGCTTCATTTACCTATTTAAAAATAAAATATACAATGACAACTTAAAAGTTGGTTTGAAGGTAAACATTTATCGGTAGGAAACAACTAAAATGCAATTTCACAGTGTGTGTCAGATGTTTAGTGTCACATAGATTCTAGGCCCTAGAAAAGGGAAGGAAGAAGAATGAAAACTGGAATAATTAAGGACGATTTATCCAGGTCTCTTGCACTGCTTGTAGATTATGAATGAGGTCATGCACACATGGACCACAGTATTCAAAAAGTCCTCAGTCATTTTGGGTAGTCCACAAAGGTGACTCAAATACACTCACTAGCATCCTTCTGAAATCTCTGCCCTTGCCCTTTAGGCATGTGCTCTGTGTGCCCACAGTTGGGGCAGAGCCTGGGCACTGCTGTTTCTGTCCATCTTGCTCCTGCCTGGGGTGCATCTCCGCCCACAACACTGCGAGATGTTTAAGCTAAGCCAACACCTCTACAATTCACTCACTGCTCATCCTGCAGGTGTCACAGCAAAGAATGGCCTTCTGGAACTCCAGCTCTATGCTACACTTTGTCACCTGGAGTTTCTCAGATTTCACAAGCTCTATCATGGAAACAATTTTTTAACCACCTCTGTACTGTCAATTACAGCTGGTCTGTTCTCTGCATAAGGCTGGTCATGGAATGAATACCAGGCTGTTCTCACACTGTTCACTCTTTCCTGACCCTCCTTTCAGAAGCCCACATATAAATTACTGCCAGGAATATGGTTTCATGCAAAAATATAACTGGATAGACCAGTTCACCATATATGCAAAATATACTTATATATAGACTGTACATATGACATTAATAGGAGATAGTTATATGTTTTTATTTACAAATGAATCATGCAATGCTATATGCTTGTTAAATTTACATTCATTACATTTTATTCTGAAACTTTTATGATAGATGCAGTGCTGGAGAAACAGACCCCAACTCAATGGCACATCCCATGAAATTTATCAGATGGACTTAATTATCTCCAATTTATAAGGACATGAAAATTAATCTCTTCAAAAATATTGAAAGGCAAGTTTCAAGAAAAACATTTCACATATTCCAACTCTTAGCACATCTTTTGTTTTGAATCCTCTTATTAAAAAGAACTTTTTAATGGTGTACCACAGCTCCCATTTTTTTCCCACAGTTTCACAAACACTTGTTATATTTTGTCTTTTTGATAGTAGCCATTCTAACAGGTGTGAGGAAATATTTCATTGCAGTTTTAATCTGCATTTCCCTGATGATTAGGGATGTTGAGCAATTGCGTCTCCTTTTGGAAAATTTTTATTCAAATCCTTTTTACACTTTCAATTAATTGTTTTCATAGCAACTGAGTTGTTTAAGTTCTTTATATATTTTAGATATTAACTCCTTTTCAGATGTATGGTTTGCAAATATGTTGTCCCAATCTGCGGGTTGTCTCTTCACTCTGGTGATTATTCCTTTTCCCATGCAGCAGCTTTTTAGTTTGCTGTAATCCTCTTTGTCTATTTTTGCTTTTGTTGCCTGTACTTTGGGGTTCATACCCAAAAGCTGCCCACTAAATTTTCTTTTAGTAGTTTTACAGTTTTCAGGTCTTATATTTAAGTCTTTAATCTATCATGAGTTGATTTTCTATGTGGTGTGAGATAGGGTGTAATTTCATTCTTCTGCATGTGGATATCAAGTTTTCCCAATACCATGTATTGGAAAGGTTTGTAGACTCACAGTGGGAATATAAATTAGTACAGCTATTATGGAAAACAGCACAATAGTCACTTCTTATTCATAAATGATACATTCCAAGACCCTCTGCAGATGCCTAAAACCACAAGTAGTACCAAATCCTATTTACGCAGTCAGGCACCCCCATAGCTACATTTCTGTCAACAATAAACTGTATATTCAACACCAATTTCATAAGATTATAGTGGAACTAAAAAATTCCTACCATCTACTGATTTTGTAGCTGTTCTAACATTGAAGCAAAATGTATTAATCACATGTTTGTGTTGGTACTGGTGTAAACAAACCTACTGCACTGTCAGTCATATAAAAGTCCAGCACATATGATTATGTACAGCACATAATACTTGATAATGATAATAAATTACTATGCTGCTGGTTTATAGAGTTACTATACTATAATTTTTATCATTATTTTAGAGCATACTCCTGTTTATTTTTTGAAAGCTAACTCTAAAACAGCCTCAGGCAGGTCCTTCAGAAGGCATTAAGAAGAAGGCATTATTGTCATAGGAGATGACAGCTCCATGTATGTTATTGCCCCTGAAGACCTTCCAGTGGAACAAGATGTGGAGGTGGAAGACAGTGATATTGATGATCCTGACCCTGGAAACAGAGCATAAAAGTTTAAAAAAATTGCAGCCTGACAATGCCATAGAAAAGAAAAACCTAATTTTCTGGAGAAATTCAAGCCACCTGCAGAAATTTGCATAGATAAATAAGAGTCACCAAGATAATAGGAAAAATGCCTTCAGGGCATGTCAGAGAACTTCACAGCAGCTCTTCTCATCACAGGCCTGGAGGCCTAAGAGGGAAAAACGCTTTCATGAACTGGCTCCAGGGCCCCCTTGCTCTGTGCAGCTTCAGGACATGGTGCCCGGCAGCTCAGCTGCTTTAGCTCCAATAGGACCAAGGTACAGCTCAGGCCATTGCTTCAGAGGGTGAAAGCCTTAAGCCTTGGCAGCTTCCATGTGGTGTTGGTCCTGTGGGTGCACAGAAGACAAGAATTGAGGTTTGGGAACCTCCACCTACATTTCAGAGGATGTATGGAAACACCTGGATGTCCAGAGAGAAGTTTGCTGCAATGGTGGAGCCCTCATGGAGAACCTCTGCTAGGGCAGTATGAAAGGGAAATTTGGGGCTGGAGCCCCCACACAGAGTCCCCACTGGGACACTGCCTAGTGGAGCTGTGAGAAGAAGGCCACTGTCCTTCAGACCCCAGAATGGTAGATTCACCATTCTGCTTGCACTGTGCACCTGAAAAGGCTGCAAGCACTCAACACCTACCCGTGAAAAGCAGCTGGGAGTGGGGCTGTAGCCTGCAAAGTCACAAGGGTGGAGCTGCTCAAGGCCATGGAAGCCCACCTCTTGTATCAGTGTGACCTGGTTGTGAGACATGGAGTCAAAAGAGATCATTTTGGAACTTTAAGGTTTAATGACTGCCCTGTTGGGTTTTGGACTTACATGGGGCCTGTGGCCCCTTTACTTTGGCCAATTTCTCCCATTTGGAGTGGGTGTATTTTCCCAATGCCTATACCCCCATTTTATCTAGGAAGTGACTCACTTGCTTTTGATTTGCAGGATCATAGGCAAAGGGACTTGCTTTCTCTCAGATGAGACCTTGGACTTGGACTTCTGGCTTAATGCTGGAATGAGTTGAGACTTTTGGGGACTGTTGGAAGGATATAATTGTGTTTTGAAATGTGAGGACATGACATTTGGGAGAGGCCAGGGTAGGAATGATATTACTTGGCTGTGGCCCCACCCAAATCTCATTTTGAATTATAGTTCCCATCATCCCTCTGTGTTGTGGGACGGAGAGGGGGAGGTGATTGAATCATGGGGGTGATTACTCCCATGCTATTCTCATGATAGTGAGTAAGTTCTCATGAGATCTGATGGTTTTATAAGGGGCTTCCCCCTTCACTCATTTATCATTCTTCTCTCTTCTACCACCTTGTGAAGAAGGATGTGTTTGCTTCCCCATATGCCATGATTGTAAGTTTCTGAGGCATCCCCAGCCCTGCAGAACTGTGAGTCAATTAAACCTTTTTCCTTTATAAATCACCCAGTCTCAGGTATGTCCTTATAGCAGTGTGAGAACGGACTAATACAGTGCCTAAAGCCAATAATGCTGCAATTCTCAAGTATATTTTAAGTGTTCTCATTTCAAATAAATAAGTGTATGAGGTGATACATGTTAGTTATCTTGATTTAGCCACTGTACAATGTGTATATGTTTTAAAACATCACGTTTTACATAACAAATATACACAATTTTTGTTAATCAAAAATTGAAGAAGAAAGGATTAGATTGGTGCAAAAATAATTACAGTTTTTGCCATTAAAAGTTAGTAATTGTGGTTTTTGTGAAAGAAAGAGCGAGAGAAAGAGAAAAAAAGAAAGAGAGAAAGAGAGAGAGAAAGAAAGAAAGAGAAAGAAAGAAAGAAGGAAAGAGCAAAAAGAAGGAAGGAGAAATAAGAAAGAAAACTCTTGAGTCAAACATCTCATAGTGGCTTGATGGAAGAAGCATTAATTATTTTCTACCTTTGTAGAAACTCCTGGTAGATCTAAGGCCTAAATAG
Source organism: Homo sapiens (assembly GCF_000001405.40). Classification (NCBI taxonomy): domain Eukaryota; kingdom Metazoa; phylum Chordata; class Mammalia; order Primates; family Hominidae; genus Homo; species Homo sapiens. The sequence goes on along the minus strand of NC_000018.10, from coordinate 38,771,119 downwards.
CTCTGTAAATTTCGTAGTAAATGCTCTTTGCTGAAGTGTGTACAAGGACTGAGTCAGGAAGTGTTGGGTATAAATGGGCAGAAGTTGCCATGAGAGATGTAAGAGGAAGATTTACAGAAAGAATACAAATTTACATTCTTAGCGGATGTTCTGTTGATGGCTTGTAATAGTCTCCTAGGAGGTTTACCTTGCATGTCTGGTATCTTCAGAAAAAATAGCCTTAGCTTGCACTGACCTTGATATTGTTATGAATTATTTGAACAGGGCAAAACTTGGAAAAACATCTCTAATGTATTAGATACCGTCCTGCTAAATGCAGCTTCTGGAATAAAGGTCTTCTCTATCTGTCTGTTTACTGTGTGCTGGAGACATGCCAGGCTATAGAAGCCAGCCAACATAAATATGTAGATCATTCTGCCTTTGCACAAGTTGATATCCAAGTTTGGAATTCTTTTCCATTAATATTTGCAATAACCTGTGAATTTTACAAGGATGAGATGCAGAAAGTTATTTAAATATTTGAGGTAATGTTATATATGGAATCAGTAAAGACAACTTCTTAGGGTAGGCATACTTCAAAAGATAATGACATCAAGTAATTTACTGGACCCAGCAAGGTATCCACTAGTTTTCAACCTGATTTCTTTATTTGATTAGCAGATGACTTTGGAAAAAACTATTTATTGTGTCTCCTATCCCAGTTTATAAATTCAGAAAGTTGACCTAAATGACCAAATAGGTTCCTTTTGGCTTTAAAATTCCATGAGTCAATGAATGCAAATGGAAGTAAGACACCTGAAACACTAAATAGACAAAATTTAGAATGCATAATTCCTTTTAAAAATGTGATTCAGGAATGCATGTATAGCAGTTTGTGCTAAGAAATGCGGGGTGGGTACCTGTGCTACCTAAAGAGGGGAGGGGCAATAACTAATTCACAGGGCAAAACAAGTTTATAAGTTTATAAATAACTCCTTTCTGGCATTCAGAAAAATAATAACCAAAGAAGTTTATTTTGTCTGTACATACAAAGATGTGCATGTCATTGCATGAGTATATAGTTTATCTGCTGGTTCACCTAGATTATGCCTGAGCTGTAGTTCTCCTTTCATTCTATTCATGGAGGACAGATTCATGGACTGGTGGATGAGGTAGGATCTGAGGGACAAAAATAATTTACTCTTTACCCAAAACAATTCTCTCTGAATTCTTACATAAGTGAATGCATTGAAGACTTTCACAATGCATTTCATCTGTCATTGCAATAATATATCAGCCTCATTTACAGAAATGTGATTATCACATCAGGCTGTCCAAGGACACCGAAGGGCTGAGATATAGGATAGGGACATAGTGACGAGTGAGAAAGGAATAAAAAAGGTTTCTACTTCTAAGAATGCCCATTTAAAAGACCAAGTGAAAAGTTCAGCAGTGGTGTTAAGAATATCAGGCACAGCAGGAGCATTGACAACACAAGGGATTGATCTGATGTGGGACAGAGGGTATCAAAAAAAAAAAGGGCAAGGCAAATGCCATATGATGCAAACTTCATGAACTGAATGCACCCACTTCCCTTAGGGGAAATGTCCATATGTCTTACCTTGAATTCTTTTTTTTTTTTTTTTTTTTTTAGATGGAGTCTCGCTCTGTCACCCAGGCTGGAGTGCAGTGGCACAATCTCAGCTCACGGTCACCACAACCTCCGCCTCCCCAGTTCAAGTGATTCTCCTGCCTCAGCCTCCTGAGTAGCTGGGACTACAGGTGTGCGCCATCATGCTCAGGTAATTTTTGTATTTTTAGTTGAGACGGGGTTTCACCATGTTGGCCAGGATGGTCTCGCTCTCTTGACCTAGTGATCCGCCCACCTCAGCCTCCCAAAGTGCTGGGATTACAGGTGTGAGCCACCATACCCTGCCCCCTTGAGTTCTTAGAGTCCTCATTTACTCATATTTTGCTCATTAAAATAGTTTGATTATCTTATTTCCACCAAGGAGATCGAAATGAAAGGATGATGCTAGTAAAAGATACAATAATAACTGTAAAAAGTGACCCTTAATATAGTTATTGAAAAAAGAAGGCAAATTTGTTAGAACCAGACATGAAATCTTGGAAAGTCAGGTGGTCTGGACCACTTGTGGGGCTAAAGGGAGATGAGCCACATTAACAATGGGCCAGGTGCCTTTTTTGTTGTTGTTTAAGATATTCTGCTATGAATAAATGTCAGGAACTCTTTTTCAAGGGTACTTTGCACTGCCCTTCCTTCTCCATTTTCCTTGCTCTTCTGAGGCTGCTGTGGAGGATCCAAAGCTTTCCCTCTACCCACTACGCTCTTGGGATTGGAGTAGAGTGAAGCCATCTGAAAAGAAGGTATGCCTTACTGTCTCATGCAGAGACATCTGATTATAGCTGACTATACAATTAATTTCTGCCTACTTGTGAGAACCCATATATATTATGAGAAGATAATAAACATTAACCAACTTTTAAAAAAGCAAACAAATGACCAAATCTTTACAGCATCAAGAGAGTCAAATCAGTAGAAAGACCCATGGCATTGAATAGAAAAAATATTTGTTTTTTACTGAACTGACAAATTCATCTGCAGTTTTGTTTCTATGCAGTCAGGCAAGGAATATTTATTGAGCACCTATTGCACTCACATAACATTGCTTGGGAATGTAAGATACTCTAACATCTTTTATGCTAAAGTTTCTGCAAAAAGAGCATAGCCTGTCTAAATAAGCAGTGCAAATAAAGGGCATGTGAGAAATAAATTAACATGCATGATTGGAGTTTTAGGGAGACAATAGCCAATTCTAGATGAGGCAAATAGGAAATGATTCCCGGATATGCTGACCTTTGAACTTGGCCTTGAAAAATTGCTAGTTATGGGAATGAGGACATACCATATTTTTCAATTATAACATACAACTTAGGTTTTTGGCATTTAGTATTACCGAAATCCACAGGTACATGAGTAATGAAAGTATACATTTAACTCAGTAAATGTATTTCTATCTCCCGTCAACCTCAAAAAGCTACACTTAAGTTGATTAAGCATTTACACAAAAATTATATTTTATAATTGAGGAAACCTAATATGTTCATAGAGTGGCATGGCAGGGACATTGTGGAGCAAAAATGGGAGTAGCAAAAATGTAAACACGTAAAAGGAGATTTGCTGCAGGGATGGGTAACATACTTGATTTTCTTGCTGTGTGACATAAGCCTAATCACCTAACCTCTCCGTGCTTTGGGTTAATTACCCAGGAGACAGTGCTAGAAAGAAGGGAAAAACATGATTACAAAGAGTTTAGGGCCGGGCGTGGTGGCTCACGCCTGTAATCCCAGCACTTTGGGAGGCCGAGGAGGATGGATCATGAGGTCAGGAGATCGAGACCATCCTGACTAACACGGTGAAACTCCGTCTCTACTAAAAATACAAAAAAATTAGCCAGGCATGGTGGCGGGCGCCTGTAGTCCCAGCTACTTGGGAGGCTGAGGCAGGAGAAAGGCGTGAACCTGGGAGGCGGAGCTTGCAGTGAGCCGAGATCGCGCCACTGCACTCCAGCCTGGGCGATAGAGCGAGACTCCGTCTCAAAAAAAAAAAAAAAAAAAAGCGTTTAGTTGATTTAATAAAATTCTATATAAATGAGTAACAATTATTAGAAAGCATGTTTAATTAGATATTGATTAAGTTATAGAGCCATATTTGAAAGATTACTTTGCTTTATAGAAATTGTGTTTCTATTTACACTTGGCTCCAATTTGTTTGTAAACATACACATTGTTGTAACCATAAATAAAATAAAGAGATCTCACCAGGAAGATGAAGAATGGATTAGCTGGAAAGCCAAGGTAAAAGGTGTTAAGGCTCAGCCAAATGACAATGTAAAGAATAATAGATTCAACCTTCTTTGAAATACTGAGAGTTACACAATGAATGTGATATCTCTTTCATTTTAGAGTCAGGAAGAATGGAGGAAGCAGGGTCACATTGTGATAAAACATCTATGGATCTCACCTAATAGTCTATTCTGGGCTCTTTGAGATAGGGGAAAGGAAAGTGCTAGCTGGGATTAATGGGAAATTCAGTTGTCTCTAGCCATGGATTACCATGGATGCACGTGGGAGTCACTAACAGTAAATGGCACACTAAGGTCAGAAAAGGTGTGAACCAAAGTGGGCCATCATCTGAGATCCCTTCTCATTGAGAAGGCAGCCTGGTCCCTTACACTGCTCCTCTCTTAGCACTTCTAATCTGCTTCCCACCATTCTGAAGTTACCCTGCAGCTCTCTCAACTGAATCTGGCCATGCATTGAGATTGACTATGTAGAACCCGTGCCAGCTTATCTCACATTCTCTGTTCTCTTTATTGCTTCAACCTAATCACACATATTTTCTGTACACTTAACTTGTAGTGTATTATCATGTGACATATTGATGTTGTTTTCTTGTATTGTTACTTAAATCACTAATATACCAGAAGCTTAAAATCATAGGGGAGGTGAAAGACCCCCCAGAGGAAATAGAATATATCATATTCACTTTTATACTCTACTGGACACAAGGAAAAGGAGCATTTCTTAAACATTTCTTCAAAGGGTGAGAGAAGGAATAAATAATTTATTCTTCATCATGTAGCAGTGTGGTCAACCGCTGTGTGTCCTCAACTTCTGTGAGGGACTACATGAAAAGAGTGAGGGTGGCTGTACCCCCCAGCCCTGGTTACAGCCTGTATTTCTGGACCCTGAATCAGCACTTCATGTCATAGCGCTTTTAGTTACACCTTCCATAAAGAAGCTACGAGTAGCTAAACAGTATCCATATTAATGCCTAATTAATCCTGCCTGTGAGCTTACTGATTGGGTATTGCAGTGCTCAAAATATGCCCAGAAACAGAGGTCTGCTTTGGTATTTTTAACTTTGTGATTATTTCTATTTGACTTATCCTCACATTGACTATTTTAAAATAGCTCTTATTGTGCAGTTTTTTACTCATATAAAATATTATATATGTGTATATATGTACACATGTTCATACACACATGTATATATATTATACATATGTACTGACAATGTTATATTTCTCCTGAGTCTTGTGATAGATCCTGGAAAATAGGGAAGGTTAAGAAATACCCCCACCCTTTTGTGTTCCAGAAAATAGCCTCCTGCAAAGAGTCACCCTTCTTCATATGATTTAGGTAAGACAATACACACACATATGCATACACCTGCATATATCAAATATGCAAATATACACACATATATATTATAAAATTCACATAATAAAAAAAGGTTTAAAAAACAGCAAATTCCTCAAAAATAATCACCTAATATTAGGCAGATATTTTGTGTTACATATGGAGGTATGGAGGGAGAAATGCAGGAAAGGAAGGAGAAAGAGGAAGGTGAGGGAGAAGGTATGGATGAGAGAATGCTAGTTTTATTGATCTGGGTTTCTTTTATATGGATGTAATTTTTTAAATGGAAAGTATTCAATCTCTATTTATGTGAATATAACCAATGAAAACAAGTATGACTAAAATTGCAAGAATAACTGAATTTGTTAAAAAACTTTAAAAACAAAATTTTTCCAAGAGATTCTGTGATGGTTAAGAAAAGCAGATTTTTAAAATTCTGCGTTTCGATTTACGGCAGCATCAATTTACTTTACATCTGGAAAGAAAAGGGCACTAACATTCTCACTTGTCATTACACCTCCCCTCTCCCACTTTTCATATTAAGGTGATATTTTTATTTTGATTATTTCAAATGTATTGAGATTTAGAGTAATTCTTAAAATTTTTAAATTTTTCCACAGGTTATTGGGGTACAGGTGATATTTGGTTACATGAGTAAGTTCTTTGCTGGTGATCTGTGAGATTTTTGTGCACCCATCACCCTAGCAGTACACACTGCACCCTATTTGTAGTGTGTTATCCCTTGTTCCCTTCCCATCCTTCCCCCCAATTCCCCAAAGTCCATTGTATCATTCTTATGCCTTTGCTTGCTCATAGCTTAGCTCCCACATATCCGTGAGAACATATGATGTTTGGTTTTCCATTCCTGAATTACTTCACTTAGAATAATAATCTCCAATCTCATCCAGGTCGCTGCAAATGCCATTAATTCATTCCTTTTTATGGCCAAGTAGTATTCCATCGTACATATATATGCAAGTTTCTTTACCCACTAGTTGGTTGATGGGGATTTGGGTTGGTTCCGTGATTTTGCAATTGTGAATTGTGCTGCTATAAATATGTGTGGGCAAGTATCTTTTTCATGTAATGACTCCTTTCCTTCTGGATAGAAACCCAGTAGTGGGATTGCTGGATCAAACGGTAGTTCTACTTTTAGTTCATTAAGGAATGTCCACACTGTTTTCCATAGTGGCTGTACTAGTTTACATTCCCACCAGCAGTGTAGAAGTGTTCCCTGATCACTGCATCCATGCCAACATCTACTGTTTTTTGATTCTTTGATTATGGTCATTCTTTCAGGAGCAAGGTAGTATCACATTGTGGTTTTGATTTGCATTTCCCTGGTCACTAGTGATGTTGAGCATTTTTTCATATGTTTCTTGGTCATTTGTATATCTTCTTTTGAAAATTGTCTATTCATGTCCTTAACCTATTTTTTATGGGTTTTTTTTCTGATTTGTTTGAGTTTACTGTATATTCTGAATATTAGCCCTTTGTCAGATGTATAGATTGTGAAGATCTTCTCCTACTCTGTGGGTTGTCTGTTTACTCTACTGACTGTTCCTTTTACCATGCAAGAGCTCTTTAGTTTAATTAAGTCCCAACTATTTATCTTTGTTTTTATTGCATTTGCTTTTGGGTTCTTGGTCATGAAATCTTTGCCTAAGCCAATGTCTACAAGGGTTTTTCCAACATTATCTTCTAGAATTTTTATAGTTCCTGGTCTTTAAGTCCTTAATCCATCTTGAGTTGATTTTTGTATAAGGTGAGAGATGAGGATCCAGTTTCATGCTCCTGTATGTGGCTAGCCAATTATCCCAGCACCATTTGTTGAAAAGGGTGACCTTTCCCCACTTTATGTTTTTGTTTGCTTTGCCTAGATCAGTTAGCTGTAAGTACTTGGGTTTATTTCTGGGTTCTCTATTCTGCTCCATCGGTCTACATGCCCATTTTTATACCAGTACCACACTGTCTTGGGTACTATAGCCTTATAGTATAGTTTGAAATCAGGTAATGTGATACTTCCAGATTTGTTCTTTTTGCTTAGTTTTGCTTTGACTATGCCAGCTCGTTTTTGATTCCATATGAATTATGGAATTGTTTTTACTAATTTTGTGAAGGATGATGGTGGTATTTTGATGGGGATTGTGTTGAATTTGTGGATTGCCTTTGGCAGTATGGTCATTTTCACAACTTTGATTCTATCCATCCATGAGCATGGGATATGTTTCCATTTGTTTGTGTCATCTATGATTCCTTTCAGCAGTGTTTTGAAGTTTTCCTTGTAGAGTTCTTTCATGTCCTTGGTTAGGTATATTCCTAAGTATTTAATTTTGCTTGCAGCTATTGTAGAAACAACTGAGTAATCTTGATTTGATTCTCTGCTTGGCCGCTGTTGGTGTACAGAAGAGCTGCTGATTTGTGTACATTAATCTTACATGCAGAAACTTTGCTAAATTCTTTTATCAGTTCTAGGAGCTTTCTGGAGGAGTCTTTAGGGTTTTGGAGGTAAACGATCATATCACCAGCAAACAGTGACAGTTTGACTTCCTCTTTACAGATTTGAATTCCTTTTATTTCTTTCTCTTGTCTAATTGTTCTGGCTATGACTTTCAGTACCATGTTGAAGAGGAGTGGTGAGAGTGGGCATCCTTGTCTTGTTCCAGTTCTCAGAGGGAATGCTTTCAACTTTTCCCCACTCAGTATTATGTTGGCTGTGGGTTTGTCACAGATGGGTTTTGTTACATTGAGATATGTCCCTTGTATGCTGATTTTGCTGAGCGTTTTAATCATAAAGCGGTGCTGGATTTTATTGAATGCTTTTTCTGCATCTATTGAGATGATCATGGGATTTTTGTTTTTAATTCTGTTTACATGGTGTATCATATTTATTTACTTGTGTAAGTTAAACCCACCCTGCATCCCTGATAAATTCACTGGATCATGGTGGGTTATCTTTCTGATGTGTTGTTGGATTCAGTTAGCTATTATTTTGTTAAGAATTTAGGTGTCAATGTTCATCAGAGATATCTGTCTGTAGTTTTCTTTTTTGGTTATGTCATTTCCTGGTTTTGGTATTAGAGTGACATGGGCTTCATAAAATGAATTGGGTGGGTCCCTCTTTTTCTATCTTGTGGAATAGTGTCAAACAGATTGGTGCCAATTCTTTGAATGACAGAATTCTGCTGTTAATCTGTCTGGCCCTGGACATTTTTTTGTTAGTAATTTTTAAACTACCATTTCAATCTCACTGCTTGTTATTGGTCTGTACAGTGTATCTAATTTTTCCTGATTTAAGCTAGGAGAGTTGTATTTTTCCAGGAATTCATCCATCTTTTCTAGGTTTACTAGTTTATTACTTTTTAAAACATTTTTTAAAAATTTATCTCTGCATTTTGAATTTGATTCATTCTTTAATTTGCTGAAATTTATATTTGGGATATTTTCTTGTTGTTTTTAAGAAAGGCTTATGAGTATTAAACTTTCTGAATGTCTTCATATTTGAAAACTGCCTGTTGTTGTCCTACTTGAGCTAGATCTTGGCATGTACTATGATAGTATTATATAGTCATATAATATTCCTATAATATCGTGTGTGTTGTATTTATGTGGACTACTTTATTCCTTCCCATAATATTTGAGACCTGGGTGCTTTCCCCTCTGAGCTAGGAGCGAGCTAGCCAAAATCTTTAGAGTTTTATTCTGGCCCTGGCCCTATATCAGGCAGCTGGATCCTGTAATTCTAGCAGCATAGCTCTATTCAACTCCTCATCTGCCCTTCAGATGTTATCATGTCTGACTGGCTTTCCTTGTCCTAGAGGAAGATTCATTTCACCAGGTTGTAGGGTGCTCACCATTTCCATAGACTCTGTGGGTTATTTGTTCCACCAGATGTGTGGAGTCAGAACATTCATATCTACCAGAAAAACGGCCCTTTCATTCATGCCTCCATTTTGCCCAGTAGTTGTGTCTAAAACATGTCAGTCAAAAGAGAGAATATGTTAGCATATAGTCAGTTTGCTCCATATTTGAGAATAATCATGAGAATTCTCAATATTGTTACTTCTATTCTATTACAGAATCTTGTGTTTCTTTCTTGAGCTCAACTCAGGAATCGTATGGCATTTGTCAGTGTCCCTTATTCTGGGGTAGCTATAAGAGAATTTCTTTGGTGATTTTGACTATATTTTGGGTCATTTTTTTTAACATCACCTTCAAGAGTCTCCCCCAGTTGTCTCTGAATCTCCAAGTTTGTCCTGCATATTCAACTGGGAAGTTCTTCCATGCTTTCGTGTTAGCCTCCAGTGATGCATGTTTCTTGCAGGACCCATGGGAGCAATATTTTATCACTGCCCCTGATACCAGCCCTCCCCTGCCAACATGGCTTCCTTTTCCTGGAGGCTGCCTTTCTCCTAGATTCCTCAACATTGCTAAGGCCCCAAGCATCCAAAAGTACTATTATGTTATACCTAGTCCTCACAGCCCCTCTATATACTTATTGAACTTTGTCTCTGGAGAACTAAAGTTGTCCAGCCTATAGTCAGAATCTCATGAAATCCCTTCTTCAAACCAATGTCTTGAGCTTTCTTTGCAGCCTACTTTCTCCTCGCACTCAGACCTGGTCCATGTAGCTGGATTAAGGGAACAGCCATATTCTTCAACTATCTCTCATTCCATGTCCTTATAAGCCTGACAGAGAATGAAGAGGACAGGGATCAGATGTCAGTACACCAATTCCTTGGAAAGAAACCTACATCTCAGTTTAAAAATGTTATGATAACTATGTAAAAATAATTTATATATTAGTATATGTTTGTGTGTATGTGTTAAAATCAATACATCTGGCTAAGTCTTTGCGTAAGTCCATATATTTGTGTATAATGAATTTCTTGAAATCATTAATAGGAATGCAAAATGTTTAGACTTTTCCTCCTAAGAAACCCTAAAGCATCACACTGACAGAAAAAGTGCCTGTATCATAACAGTCTTTCTGTGGTGTGTCTTTTTTATTGTTTTAATTTTAGCCAACTTAATGAATTAAAAATAAGCATAGTTGATTTAATATTTCTTTGCTTACTAGTAAGATTGGGTATTATTACATATGCTTACTGGAGAGTTGTATACCTGACCCTGTCCTTTATCAATTTATTTTGTTGGTGTGCTTTTTTTTCTTATTGATTTATGTATAAATACTTCTATCAATCAATCTTCTATCTTTTTTTATGTTTTGGTCATAATATTCTTTAGGAAAAGTGAGCATGCACTTTTATGTGGACTAATCTTTTTTTTTTTTAATGTGGACTGATCTTTTTTTTTTTTCTTTTTTGAGATGGCAGGAGTGCAGTGGCATGATCTCAGCTCACTGCAACCTCCGCCTCCCAGGTTCAAGCAATTCTCCTACCTCAGCCTCCTGAGTAGCTGGGACTACAGGTGTCCACCACCATGCCCAGTTAATTTTTGTATTTTTAGTAGAGATGGGATTTCACCATGTTGCCCAGGCTGGTCTCGAACTCCTGACCTCAGGTGATCCACCCATCTTGGCCTCCCAAAGTGCTGGGATTACAGGCATGAGCCACCGTGCCCAGCCTATGTGAACTAATCTTTATAGGTCCCCTTTACATCATTCTTATCCCAATGGCCTCTGTCTTCATTTTTTGATATTGTTGTTATGTTTTCATTTTGTCTCAATCTCCACTCTTAAACCTGTGACTTGTCACTTTGAAACCTTGCTTTGCCTTTTGCCTGATACATTCCTGGAAATCCACCCCAATTTCCATTCTCTGGTCAGAAGTCTTTGTATTTGTCTTAATATCTCTGTTCTAAATGATGGGTTTTGTTTTTCTCTGGGTTGATAACCTCTGGGAAGATAACCTCTCTATTCTATCTCCTCTTCCAGTTTTGTACTTTCTTCCAATACTAAACCCCATCCCACAGCCCATTTACTCTCTTTATTCTCTTGTTTTCTAGATAGAATCTGACATGTAACATTTACATAAGCAAGTGAATAGTTTTAATGTATTTTGTGCCCTTCCTCTATATATGAATATTACAGAAACAATGAGACTGCACGCCAAGCAATTTCAGGAATTATAAAACTATGGATGTATGTGAGACAATGCTTGTAGACTTACAATACAGCAAATTTTTTCAGAAGTGAATTAAAAGTTGTCTAAGGTAAATTGTCAGTTTCTCCTGCTGTAGACATTCCTGACAATTTGCTCATGCTAGTAAGCCAAGAGTCATCCCTTTAAAAATATTACTCATAGGAGACATAGTGTCTTCTATTGTGTGTAATTACAATGAATTATTTCAGATAATAACATTGGAAAATGATAAAAAATGTTGTATGGCCCCTGTGCCTTGTGTACTGCCCTATCCACATCCATATTGCCTTATAATAAAATGGCAAATGGCTTATTTGCTTTTTGGTTTGGGTAGGTACTGGCTGAGTTGACACACTCTTAAATTTCATCTATTTTCAATCAAATGCTCTACATAAACTTGGCTTCTCTCAGCTGTCTGAGCCCATTACTAAGTTATATATTCCTTTTTCATTGCTCCATCACAGTGCTATAGATTTGAATGACACAAGTCATCTGTGATTGCACTTATGAAAGGTTCTATAGTAACTTAAGATATTGTTTTCAGATTGGACCACATTGTGCAACTCATATCCTAGTTCTGCCTTGACTCCCAAAAGGACTTCTTATGTAGATAATAATATATTTGAATAAAAAACATCCAGTCCAAAATATTTGCACACACAGTAATTGAATGACTGCAGCTAGAAGATAATTTTCTTATTATTAATCCTGAACAGTTTAGCTCTACAGAATACCTGTACATTTCCAATATGTGCTCAGTTTCATTGAATTTTTTTTTCTCTCTGACATCTGGTTATTTAATCTTCTGCCAACATTGTGTCTGTAAAGCATATTTTTCCAGCTATGCCCACTCAGCTTTTAGACTATTGATGTTTTCATAGAGAACAGTGCATGTGTGTCAAATTTAGCTATTGATCTATGTTTATTTGTTAATGCATACAGTTGTTTAGACAGTGTTATGGCTTGCCTGATTATGGATGTATAAATAAAAGGAGGGAAAAGAAAAAAATACTTCTTTTTATATAAATTTCATTGTTGAGTAAAGACTGTTTATTTGAATCGAAAATCCATTGGAATCAATGTTTCTTTAGATATGAGTTATCTTTTTCCATTTTTCAATATCAAATGGAAGTAATAGGATGTAGAGCTATAATATAGAGAGAATTCTATTTTTCAACAAAATAAATCTTTTTTAACCATATTGTGTCAAATTGTCTTAAAAATAAATTTTCTGTATACTCCAAAATATTTCTCCCTATTAAATACTGTCAAAACAAGATTTATTTTTTAATTCCCACCTATTAAAGATTCTTTGCTAAAAGTTTTCAAATATAACATCTTGCTTGAGTAATTTTGTTACTAGTCATTTTCCAGTACTGATTTTCTCTACTTATTCTGTGCAATATTTAGGATGAAGCTGCAATTTAAATAGCTTTAAAAGTATTAATATTGACCTTTATTTTCATCAAAACTGGCAAAAAGCAATGCACAAACATAATGTTATCATCGTGCAATTTCAGTGTGTGGCAGTCTTAAGGCAGATATAAAGAGAAGTAAAGCATGAGTTACTTGAGAGAATGTAAACATGAAGGCCCATATTTAAGATAACTAACAATCAAACATCCAAACATACAGTAAGTTGCAATTAGAACTCACCACTTCACAACTACATGCTTTCGGCTAGGCATAGTGGCTTGTAATCCCAGCATTTTGAGAAGTCAAGGTGAGAGGACTACTTGAAGCTAGGAATTTGAGACCAGCGTGGGCAGCATAGTGAGACTCTGTCTCCACAAAAAAATTTTTAAAATTAGCAAGATGTGGTGGAACACGACTAGTCCTAGCTACTAGAGTGGCTGAGTGGGGAGAATTACTTGAGCTCAGGAGCTTGAGGCTACAGTGAGCTATAGTCACTCCCCTGCACTCCAGCTTGGGTGGCAGAGCTTTGGACATTTCACAGAGCTTCCATACCCATGACCTTAAGCAGCATGCTACTGATGAGAAATGTGTACTTTTTCTGAGAAACACACCTCTTTGACTTAGGGAGGAGACTTACAAAAATGAAACGAAATAATTTGCTGAAGACCATATAGCTAATCATTATCACATTAGAACTAGGTCTGAGGTATCCCAAGCCCAGATTGCCTTGGAAAATGCTTATTACTTAAACAAGAATCCAGTATGTTCTAGCACAATATAGGAAAAACTATAGTATACCAAAGGCCTGAGTTTAAATCTGGCTCTACTAGTTACAAAAGGTTTGACCTTATGCATGTCACTTATTCTCTTTCATGTCTGAATGAATCCTCAAATCTTTAGGTTGTTTTAAAGATTAAATAACAAATTTTTAGGAGCTTAAATAGTATGCTAGAAGCTGAGGATATATCAATGAATAAAACATAATTCCCACTTTCCAGAAGAGCACATTCTTTTGGAAGAGAAAGAAAAGTAAACTAACATTCAGTGAGAGTACTGATCCATGAATAAAGATCAACACAGGTGTTAAAGGAGCACCTGGAGGAGCACCTGCCCACGTCAGGCCAGGTGGGGCTGAGGATGAGAAAAAGCTTCCTGAAAAGATGGTGCTTGCCTTGGTTTTGAACAGATACACAGATGCCATTCAGGAAGGCAAGGAGACATTCCAGGAAGAGGGATCTGCAAGTGCAAAAGAAAGAGGCAGATAAACCATAATAATTTTCAGGAACTGCAAATGATCCCATATATAGTCTCTGGATAGGGAAATGAGAATATCGAGATGAATCATAAACTCTTATAAACTTTAAAAAATTTATTTTGATGTGTTTGGATTTTATTCCAAAACAAACATGTACCAGTAAAGTATTTTGAGTACAGGATTTTCTTTGAAAGATCAGTTTGATGACACCATAAAGTATTTACAGTATTAAAACTATGTTCACACCCAAAGAATGTATTATAGGATAAATACATTTCCTTTGTTTATAATTTTTAATTGTTCTCGAAACTAATAATCTTTTTTTAATAGTTATTATATATCCCTCCATTTGTTTTTACTTCTTCACTTTGAACAGGCATATACTACAGTTGCCTCTTAGGAAAGTGTGTATATGAAGGATACTTGAGACTTTTCACATCTAAATCTTCATTCAACCTTCAGATTTATTGACTACTTGCCCAGGAGTAAATTCCAGTTGGAAGCAGATTTCCTTTAGATTTTGGAAGTATATCTGCTTGCCTTCCAGATTCTGGTGTTATCGATCTGAAATTTCATGCCTTCTGCTCTGCAATTCTTTGAATGAGACAAATCCTTTCCTCCTGGGGGATCTCCCCTCCATCCCTTCTCCCCTTCATCTCTATTATTCAGAAAATTCATTAAGATGAATCTTGGCTTGAATTTAATGGGTCTTTTCCATCTGGAAATCTATGTCCCTCAGTTCTGAGACATTTCATTTTATTATTACCTTGATAACTCCCCTCTCCACCAGTCCTCATTTTCTATTTTCTCTCTTTCTGTGTCCTCCATTAAATATAGGAATTTCTGATTTGACCCTTTAATGATCTTACATTTGTCTTTCTATTTTCTATGTCTTAATAATTTTGTTCTAGTTTCCAAGAGATTTTCTTAATTTCAGTTCTAACTCTATCCATTTTTATTGTATAACTTACGTATTTTAAAAAATTCTAAGTTATCCTGTTTATAACATTCTATTATATTTTCATGAATGAGATATTGTCTCACATCCACCAAATATAACTTCCCAAGGCAAAATCTATTCATCAACATATCCTGAGTGCTTGGAACAGTATCTGGCATAGATGCTTTATGCTCCTGCTTAATGAATATTTGTTTCATGAACAAATAAACGATGCTCACTGAAGCATTCAATTATAGTTTCACTGAAGATTTCTTCAGATTCCTGTTTTGTCTCTATTTCTTTTGGTTTGTTATATTGTGTGATTTTCTTTCCTGTCTTTCATTTAAAATTTTACTTAAAGACAAAATAAAACAAATCAATGGTGAACCTTAGATATTATCCATATTTAAGAGTGAGATCCAAATGTGTTGATGAGAAACTATGCATGTCATGGGCAGGGCTAGAATGGCAGACTCTACCACAGTATTATAAGATGGGGACTTGGCTGTCTCATTCTCTTTGTCTTTTCCAATATCTGCACATCTTTTCTCTAGGGCTGGGGGATTTCCTTGTAGAATAATACTTCCAGTCTCCTGCCTAGGGGCAATAGTCCTCACTTTCAATATTCTGGGAGTTTGTGAAGGGAAAACAGCTACAGAAGTGGGGAATACATATGTAGCTTCTTTTGTTTGTTTTTTCAATTCTTTCATTTTTATCACGGCATCTCCATCCCTCACCTTTGCCCGTCTCTGAGGCAAGTACATTGCTGTGCACCCTCTCTCAAGGGTAAACTTTATTTATTCTTCTGAGTGGAGGAGGAGTCTCTTGACAGCATGGACTTTGAATTGGAAACTTTGTCTCAAACTGTTCTTTTAATAAATGCCAAAAAAAGTCCACTCTATTTTCAAACCCAATCTGAAACTCCCAAACTTGACAGTATCTGATACTTCAATTTCTGACTTTTTTTTTTTCCCAGAGTGGATCATATTTCTGTGTTTTATACCATAAAACTAATTATCTTCTCTAACTCTCCAGTCTGCTAAATCAGTTATTACTCATACAACTGTTTAGTCAAAAGTTTTGCTTGCCGTTTTAGTTTGATGTTTTCTCCTGTTAAATTTTCTTTGTTTTTGTGGGCTTATTTTTTTGACAAGTTGCCATTGTAATGGAGTTTCAAGAAAGAAGAGCTACAAATGTATATGTTTTTGTTCCAAAATGTACAATTAAATTATTTTGAACAGAAGGATAGATACAGAGAAAGAAAACTGGAAATACCACAATTTCTTAGAACAGTTCTTCTGTAAACAGCAAGCACACCTGTAAATTATTTTTTGTAGCAGAGTCATTAATATTGTAGGTATATTTCAGGTTTCTTTTTCAGTACTACTACTGCAACTCTGGTGTGTTGAAAGAGTGATCATGCTACCCAAAAAGAATTGTTTTCTCTTTTGTAACCCTTTGCATGTTCTGTGTCCAGTTGAAACTTTCTGGTACTTCTTTTCTTGTTTTAACCTGGGAGACTCTCTTATATACCTTAAATATAGTAAAAATATCATTATATTACACATATGTACCACTGATAGAATTGTTTTAGGTAGCATAGATGGCTAAATTGAACAGCAGAAGTCTTCCCAAATAACTCGCCATTCTCTCTACTCCAATTCACTTTCCAATCTCTAACCCACTAGTTTTCCTACTCACATTTTTGTGCACTTTAGGAATTATTTAACTCTGCTTGTTACATATATTAGATTTATTTATGAAGGTTGAGTGATGGAAAGAGACTTAAAATCAGACAGACCTAGATTTGAACTTGAATTTGGCCTTCCCTGCTAGCCACATGACCTGAAACCAGTTATCTAATGTCTCTGAGCTGCAGTTCTGTAATCCTTAAAATGGGAATAAAGTAGCACACACTTCATTAGGCAGTCATGAAGCATAACGCATGTGATAAACTGAAAGAGTACAGCTTTTTTTCCACATATTTGTTTGCAAGTGATAAATATATAAACCATTAAAAGTTAGAAAAGAGGTCTATATTTTGATGAGCCTTTATACATACTATATTCAAATATTTTAAATTTGAGTAACTAACTGAGCTGACTGAAAAATCTCTAAAAATAAAGACAAGATAATCAGCAGAAAAACAGAATGAAAAGGAAACCTGAAATTGGCAGGTTTGGTGAGGAACAGTCATTTAACTAGGATACCTTCTGACCATAAAGTCTGTTTTTTTTCCTAGTTCAGGCTAAACATTTTATAATATGAATTTAGTTATGTTTCCTGATTATATCTGGCACCCTGAGTGATATAATAAAAAATATCAACAATTTTGTCAATCTCTACCCAGTGCCCTTAACAAACCATGTTCCCCTCAGAAACACAGAGACAATCACAAATACTGCTATTAAGGATTCACATTCTGTGACCTCTAGGGCTTGACCTCTTGGAAATATGCATTGTTCTGGGAATTCAGAGAAGGGAGAGAAATGCAGACTGGAAGATATGAGGTTGCAGATGGGAAGAGGCCTTAAGTAAAGACCGGAAGCATGTCCAGGGTTTGATGGTTTGAGGAGAGTGGGACACATTAAAGAAGGAGAATAGTTTAATTGAAGACCCAGACAGGGGCATGTGGAGAAACATACAGGAGACTGATGATATCAGAGAAAACCACAGCCATGGTTGGACAACTGGAGTTGGCCCCAAAATATCCAAAAGATTTGATTGTAAAATAAAAGTTCAGAGAAGTGAAGTGACTTATTCAAGGTCACAGAGCCAATGAGTAGCCAAGTCATAAATGCATCCTTTAGTCCGGGCCTCTTTTTGATTCTGTGTTCTAAGGTTCCCACGGAGTTTGAGTCAGCATTCTAGGTATTAGGGCAAATACATAGAGGCACACACATTTGATCAATTTTTATAAGAATCGTAAATTCGGAAATCCACACATAGTCAATGCTAGTAACTGTCACCTGGACCTGATATAAAAGCCAGGTCTGAAAATGCAGCCTGAAAATGAGCCTGCTTCAGTCTGGAGTTTTCCATTCACACAGCGAATACAGCCCACATCTAACAGACACCCTGTATGATATGCACATGAGTTGCATATGGATAACTGCACACTGGTTACATGACTTCTCGCTGAGGCCCTGCTTCCCATGGCATTACACTGGGCATCGCTTAGGCCCACAGTACGTCTCATGAATGATTTGCTCCTTGCACTGGTCCATGTCCTGTTCCTTTTTGCTCATAATAAGGTAAAGTGCCCCAGCACATTTTTGTCTCCTACTTATTCCTGTTTCTGTGTTCCATTTCTTGGTTCTAATCTCCATTAAAATAAAGACTAGAAAGGAGAATATCCCCCAAATAATGGGTAGAGTCTTGACATCAGGAATGGTACTCTATACCTAATTGGGCACAAGTCATGACTTGGCTACTAACTGGCTTTGTGACCTTGAACAAGTCACTTTACTTCTCTAACTATACCCAACTGGGCACAAGTCATCATCTACCTTCTTTCTGTTTTCCTGAAATGAGTCACTGTCTTCTCACCTTCTTTGTAAGCTCCTCTATGCAGGAACTGTGCTTTATGCTTTGTCCTCCAACCCACAAAAACACAAATTGCCCAGCCTAAAATTTGGGCATCTAGCATCTAACAACTGTTGATTGATGGGTGGATTGGTTGAAAGCAGAATGAGTATTACTGGCCAAGTAATTATGCTGATGGATGAAGAGAAAGGAAACGAAATTCATTAATGCAAGTATCATTGTAGCCTTCTCTGCAGCAGTTTCCCTATTTTTGTGTATCTTGTTTATCCCCATCTCCCCTGGAATGCCTTGTGTGGTTATCCAAGAATATCTTCCCTACACTTTCTCCCCCTCATGTAAACTCTCACCTCTTTCTTCCCCTGGTACCTCCTGTGCCTTCTCGGGGTTTGAATTCTTAAAAGAGAACATGTAAACATTCTCCTGCAGCCTGCTGCCTGCCAGAGCCAAAGGCGTTGTCAGCGACAAGCCAGCAGCGGCAGCACGGTGCTGGGCTGTGTTTTTGCAAGTACAAGACAGAAAATCCATGTAATTACCTCTGAAGCCTGAGAAGCTGTGCCGCCTGACAGAACAGCATGTGTAGGAAGCACTTTGTCAGGACTCTGCTGACTAATTTCCCACTCCACCTGGGGTTGTGTGTGTGAGTGTGTGTGTAGGCGTGGGTGTGTGTGAACATGCTGGCGTCTGTAAGTCCCACCAGCAGCTCCCTCATATTTAACTCCAAGACTCCAGCCCCTCTCTTATTTACTGGCAATCCCAGCACTGCTTTATCTTAATTCAGAGGAAATCTGGGCTTTGGAAGGCCCTCAAGATAGCCTTACAACATGGCAGGAGGCAGTCTTCCCTTTCCCTGGCATTCAGTGCCGCTGTTCAGAAATAGAGCAAAATCTACTTCCTGCAACACATTGGCCATAAAGAAGTCCAAACCCGGCATTCCTGAAGGTGAGAAAACCAAATCTTCCCAAAGTAGAGTCCCTGCTTCATCCTGAGAAGCTGTAGGACCCAGAGCATCTCAACACGTGCTCTTGGATCTTGCACCCTCATTCATTTAAAGGTGTTGCAAATTAGCTTGAATGTCTAGGTCCACTTTCCAGGGGAAACCTAGACTGAGAGGGAAGTCCCATGGAGTCAAAGAGGAGGGATATAGTTATTCTTTATCTTGCCTTACTACAATTATGAACCTTGGATGATTCTTTACCTCTTGCTGACTGATAACCACATATGATGAGGGGATAATTGAGTGACAGAACTGGGTTCAAAGCATATGGCTGTTAGTGACTACATTGGGGCTTTCCCCACGAAATTGCAATATCTTAAGGTAGAAGGTTTGGTCTTTTTTTCCTCCATCTCTGTATCACCAGCACATGTAACAGTGTTTGGCACACAGTAAGGACACAATAAATATTTGTTGAATGAATGAAAGAATTAATAAATGAACGCATCAAGACAATTCAGCTTTCTAAGTTTCTTTTTTTTTTGACATGTTAAAAAAAGTTCAATAACATTTATTTCCAAGGTTATAGTGTAGTTGAATGGAATAAAACAGTCATGGGACTCTATATAAATAGGCACTACCTTATTTCCCTATCATCAAAAACGAACAGCTTAAGGAACATTTTTCCCCAATTAATGGTTGGCACCCTGAATATGATTCACTCTATGACATGCCTGGAGTTTTGCCATGGACATGTTTGGCATCATGTGGAGAAAGAAATAACCATAAGGGGAAGCTCACACTATTGTGTAGAAACTTGTTTCTCCCTGTAGCCTGACAGATAAGTTCCAAAATCTATAAGAATCCCAGTAGGAATCTAGGAGGCAGGCATACAGCTCAGTGGGCAGCCAGTGTTAAGACTCGCTGCCAGGCCTTCTGGATCCCTTGGTTGCAAATCCCACTCCCCGCAAACAGAGAGGCTGTGCTTTCAATCCATTCCCTTTCCAATTGCCTTGGACGAATAATTTGATGCACAGATTTATAATAAAAGATAGGGAGCTGGAGATGAAACCCTTTACTTGGATATTTGCATTTTATGAGTGTACACCTAAATGTAAAGAATGGGTCAGTATTAGTGACATTTAAGGTATCTGTGAAAAATAAATCTCTGACTGCTTGAGATGTCATAAGGAATGGTCTATCGTACTGTTGTACATTAGCCACCCATCACTGTGCCCGCTACACATGGGCTATCGATGAAGAGTGGGTTTCAATTTTACTCATGAAGCTGGCTTTGCTACCAAGTTCTTTGAGTGGGAATACTCATTGGCTTCAACCTATTGCTTTGATAAACTTTACTTTTTTGGAAACTTTGTGTTTGGAAAGTATGAGCAGTCATATATACACAACATCACTGGTGTTAGATATAGAAGGTGGCTGTAATCAGCCAAACCAGGCCCCAACAATTCCCCATAGAATGTCTGCTAATGTTTTGTCAGCTGAGTTTTATATGACTTAAGCAAAAAGACAGAGCCCCATGAGCAGCATGGCTGGAATTATGAGAGCTAATAATGATAATGATGAATAATTCATAAATGATAAATCTGTGGTGTTTCCTACATAGAGATTTCTCTAAAGGACTTGGGCTGAGAGACTTAGGCAGCAAAGCACTTTCTAAGCATGCAAGGGTTAATGAAGAAATAGAGCAAGACTAACAGGAATTCTTTCTCTGTTGGCCCAGGATTTAGTGCCAGAGGAAGCGGCTTTGCTTTTCTCTCCTGCCCCTGACCCTCAGGCTACCACCTTGATTAATAAACCCAATCATTTCTGACTTGTACATGCTACTGTTCATGCTACCAACTACCCCTTTTGAAAAATCTAACCTAAATAAGAACTTCCATTCCCCCACAGTAAATATTGAAGTTTCTCAAATCTCTAATAATAATAAAAGTTTGTTAGTAAGAAGACTGCTATGGTGTGACTGTGTCCTCCTAAAATTCACATGTTAAAACTGAATCACCAAAGTGATGGTATTAAGAGGTGGGGCTTTTAGCAGCCTTATAAAAGAGGTGGAGAGAACTGTTCACCCCTTCCACCATGTGAGGATACAGCAAGGAAACAGAGCAGCCCTCGACAGACACTGAGTCTGTTGGTACCTTGATCTTGATTTTTCAGTCTCTGGAACTTTAAGATAAATTTCTATTGTTTATTTGCTACCCAGTCTCAAGTATTTTGTAATAGCAGCAAGGATGGACTAAGCACCAAAATTGTGTGGCCCCAAATTTTCAGGGTTTTGTTCTTACATTAACTTGTAAACTGTATTTCTATTATACTTGGCCTAGTTTGAAGAATTGGTCAATAAATTGACTCCCCTTATATCTCTAACAGATATCAGTTTCGTCTTGTTCCAGAAAATTACTTTTCTCTCTCTTGTTTTTGTGAGTTCTAAATAGGGTGTGAGATAAGAATTAAGCCTACAACTGAAAATATTAATTATTTCTGTGTGAAGAGTAAGTGGTAGCTTGAGGATTCATGAGAAGAGAATGAAGCAAAAGAAAGCATAGGATGGGAGAAAGTGTTCATGAAATATCTGGGCAGAAACTGGAAAAATAAGGATCCACATCAACAAAAATGATCTGCCTGTATATTAAAAATAAAACACTGCACTGAAGTCCACTAAAACATTTTAGTGGACAGCACAGCAGCATATTCACTGTTTCTATGCCCAAGGAATGTAAAACTGACTTGATATGCAGGGCATTAAGAAATAAACAAAAGTAGTTACATAATCATACATGTGACAATATGGGAGATGTTGGGGAAAATAGACAATTAATTGTGAAAGGAGTAGTAGTGAGGACGTACTGTAAGTTTAAAGGCCTAAGAAAGTCTGAAGAAACTCAAACCAGATGCTATCTCTGTTTACAAATTCTAAATGCCTGGTTTCACACAAATGCATCGCAAATATGCCCCCACAATAAAACAAGTTCTGTGAAAGTTAAATAGCATATGCTACTCAGAGTTCACTCTATGTAGGCAGCCAGTCTCCCCTAAATGAACAAGAGGGTGGATGGGAAAGATAACCAGTAACATCAGCTCACTGGACAGGTTTTTCTGAATGCCCTTGAACCTCAAATAAGACTGGGAACTTACAGAGACACAAAGAAAGTGAAGATGTGAGCATTTTCCTTTGTCTGTCACTTGCAGACTGCGTGGCCTTGGTCAAATAATATCATTCTGATCTTGTTTTCCCTTCTGTAAGGACAGAATAAGCTGGGAGTGGTGGCTCACACCTGTAATCCCAGCACTTTGGGAGGCCAAGACGGGTGGATCGCCTGAGTTCCAGCAGTTCAAGAGACCAGCCTGGCCAACATGGTGAAACCCTGTCTCTACCATTAAAAAAAAAAAAATTAACCAAGCATGGTGGTGTGCACCTATAATCCCAGCTACTCGTTAGGCTGGCAGGAGAATCACTTGAACCTGGGAGGCAGAGGTTGCAATGAGCCAAGATTGTGCCACTGCACTCCAGCTTGCCTGGGAGACACAGCAAGACTCCATCTCAAAAAAAAAAAAAAAAAAAAGACAGAATAATAGTAACGATTCTAAATGCTATCTATCAGTGTCATGAAGTGATTAGGTGAGACAGCATATATCAAAGCACTTTTGGATACTTAAGTACAATGCAGAATTTTTAACGGCTTTCTTGAAGTATAACTGACAAAATAAACTGTAAATTTTTAAAAAGTATAATTTGGCAATCTTTGACATATGTGCCCCTGAAACCATCATCCTAATCAAGGTAGTGAACATATCCATCATGTCCAAAGTGATGCTCCTCTGTAATACCTCTTTCCTGTCTTTCCCTCCTTGCACCTCCCCAGGCAACTACTAACCTGCCTTATGTCACTGTAGATTAGTTAGCATTTTTCCAGAGTTTTAGATAAATGGAATCATGTAACATGTTCTATTTGTTTGGCTTCTTCTACTCAGCATAATTATTTTGAGATTTTCTCATGTTGTGTGTTACTCATTTTTACTTTATTCGTTTTCATCGATGAGTAGTATTTTACTTACTCCACAAATTGTTTATCCATTCACCATTGAAGAATATTTGGGTTGTCTGCAGTTTTTAGCTATTATAATAAAACGGTTATGAACACTTATGTACAAATAGTTATGTACAACTAACTGAATAAGCAAGCTTTCTTTTCTCTTAGGTAAATATCTGGAAGTAAAATGGCTGGATCACATAACAGATTATGTTTAGCTTTTTAAAAAAACAGCCAAACTGTTTATTGAAAAGATTGCTCCATTTTACATCCTTACCACCAGTGCTTGCGGGTTTCACTTCCTTCAAATCCTTGCCGAAACCAAACGTGATGAGCTTTTTAAATTCTAGTCATTGTGTAGGTGTGTGGTGGTGTTACCTCACTGGACTTTTAATTCGCATGACTCTAATAACTAACAATGTTCTGCATCTCACGTGCTCATTCTTCATTCCTTTTTTAGTGAAGTATCTGTTTAAATATTTTGCCCATTTATATTGAGTTGCTTTTTTTTTCTTATTATTGAATTCTGGAACTCTGGATATAAGTGATTTTTCAGAAATAAGATTTGTAAATATTTTCTCCTTCTCTATAGCCTTTTTTTCTTAACTGTCTTTTGAAGAGTAGGTTCTAATTTTGATAAAGTCAAATTTGCCAATTTTTTTTCTTTTTAATAGTGCTTTGGTGTCCTATTTAATAAATTTTGGCCTATCGTTAGTCACAAAATTTTTTTTCTATATTTTTTTCACTAGAAGTTTAATAGCTCTAGATTTTATATTTAAATGTATGATCTATTTTGACTTGATTTTTCCATATGGTGTAAAGTGTAGATGAAAGTTCATTTTGTATGTGCATATTCAGTTGTTCTAAAAACACGTGTTGAAAATACTGTTTCCACAGGACTGCCTTTGCACCTTTGTCAAAAAATTATTTTATACATATATAGACAAGTCTGTTTCTGAACTATATTCTCTTCCATTAACTTATTTATCTATTTTATGCCAATACTACACATGCTGTTTTGATATCATAGTTTTGCAATAATTCTGAAAACCATGTGATGTCAGTCCTTTGATCTGTTTCCCTTCGTTAGAGGTGTTTTAACTATTGTGTTACATTTCTGTATGAATTTTAGTATTAGCTTTTCATTTAGCCGTAACTTACATCTTAATAATAGTGAATATTCTGGCCTATGAACAAGATATATTTCTTTATTTAACCAATTCTTTAATTTATATCAACATTTTCTTTTAGTTTTAAGGATACATGTCTTTCATATTGTTTGCCCAACGAATCTCTCCAGATTTTACAGTTTTGATTTCTTGTGATTTTTTTAAAGTTCTTATTGTTTATTGCTAGTACATATAAATATAATATATTTCTGTATTATAATCTTGCATCTTGCATTCTCTCTAACCTAAGTTATTACTACAAGTAGCATTTTGGTAGATTCCATCAGATTTTCTATATAAATGATCAGTTAAACATCTTTCTTTCCAATATAGTGCTTTTAGTTTCTTTTCCTGGCTTCATGGCACACATCATTTTACTTAGCCTGCCATTTAATGTTGACTGGAAGTGGCATATTTGTCTTGTACCTAATATTATAAGGAAAGGATTCGTTTTTACCATAGTGTATGATGTTATTTCCTGGTTTTTTTCATAGATTTCCTTTATCTGGTTGAGAAAATTCCCTTCTATCCTTAGACTGCCAATAACTTTTGTCAAAAATCGGTAATAGATTTGGTCAAATACTTTTCCCCTTTGATTCTATTTAGCAGAGCATGTGATTTTTTTTCAGTTTGTTAATACAATTAGTAGCATTAACTGCTTTTTCATTGGTAAATAAATCCCACATTCCTAGGATAAATGTCACTTAATCATTATATACTATCCTTTTATATATTGCTGAATTCAAAGAGCCAACATTTTGTTTAAAATTTTTGTATCTAGTCACATGAAGAATATTGGTTTGTAGTTTATTTAATTAATAATCCCTTTATTTTTTTCTATCAAGGTAATATTGAAATCAATATCTACTGAAAGAGTGTGAGTGGAGTTGGTATTATGTCATACTTAAATGTTTGTCCAATACATCTAAACTGTTGAAATACTAGGCAAAAAGTTGTTCTTAATATTTTATCAACACTTAATATCTATAGAATCTGTAGTGATGCCACATGTCTCATTTCTGTTATTGGTAAATTGTGGCTTTTCTCTTTTTTTCCTGATCAATCTGGCTAGAGTTTTACCAATTTAATTAGCCTTTTCAAAGACCCAGCTCCTGGTATTATTGATTTTCTTTTGGTTACATTTAAAAAATATTTCACTGATTTGCACCTTACACTATTATTTACACTCTTTTTCTTTTGGGTTTCATTTGTTGTTATCTAGCTTCTTATGGTACAAGCTGTGGTCATTTATTTGAGAACTTTTATCTTTTCTGAAAAGATGTTTAGTGCTATAAATTCTGATCCTGCATGTATTTAACGATATCCCACAATTTTTTAAATTTATTCTCTTGTTTTTATTCAATCTCAAATATTGTCATAATTCAATTTAGATTTTATGTTGCCCCATGGATTATTTAGAATTGTGTTAGTTTTCAAACATTTTGAGATTTTTCAGAGCCCTGTTACTGATTTCAAATTTAATTCCATTGACAGAAAATTAGATATTTAAAAATATATCAAGATTTATTTTATAGCCCAGAATACAGTCTACATTAGCAGATGTTCTATAAGTAATTTAGAAGAATACATATTTTCCCAGTGGCAAGAGATGTGTTTTATCAATATCAATTATACTGAGGTGATTGATTTCTGTTCAAATTATCTGTATTTTATTAATTTTCTGCCTACCAGTTCTATCATTATTAAAAGAGGAATATTAACATCATCTTGTATAATGTGGACTTATCAATTTCTTCTTTTTTAAATCTGTTTTTGCTTTTTGTGTTTTGACACACTGTTCTGAAGGGCACATTTAATATTGTTATATCCTCCTGATGCATTGAACCCTGTGTCAGAGATGACTTTCATTTCCTCTGATATTACACTTCTGCCTTGGTATCTATTTTCTCCTACGTTAATGTATCCTTTCCAGCTTTCTTTTAATTAGTATTAGCATGGAATTTCTTTTTCTATACATGTTTTGTCATTATATTTACATTATGTTTTTACTATTCTCATCATGATATTTACGTTATTATTTTTGTAGGCAGCATTCATTGAGATTTGCCTTTTAACCAATTTAACAACCTATGCTTTTGAATTGGTGAATTTAGATTATTTACACTTAATGTGATCATTGATATGGTTATTTTAAATCTATCATCTTGTTATTTATTCTTTTTTTTTGTTTTGTTTTAGTTTTTTCCAATACTCCTTTTGCTTTTTCCCTGGCTTCCTTTGGGTTAATGGAGAATTTTTTTTCTTATTTCATTTTCCCTCCTTTGTAGGCTTATTACTAGTAACTTTCAATATTGTCACCTTAGTTGTTGCTTAAGAGTTTACAATATATACTTCTAGCTTATTACAGACTAACTTCAAGTGATAGTATACCACTTCGGGGATAGTACAAGAATCTTAAGCATTAGACTTCCATTTCTCTTTTCTTGGCCTTTGTGCTATTGTTGTCAAACATTTTGCTTTTATATATATTATAAGACACAAACTACATTTTTTATTTAAGCAATAAATTATTTTAAAGACATTTAAATAATAGAAAAAATTACATATTTACCAATACAGGTATTATTTCAGGTGCTCGTTTTTTGTATAAATTTATATTTTCATGTAGTATTTTCTATCTGCTTGAATCACTTTCTTTAAAATGTCTTGTAGTGTGACTCTTCTGATGATGAATCGTTTAAGCTTTTATATATCTGAAAAAAGTCTCTACTTCACTTTTAGTTTTTAAAAGATATTTTTCACACGGTATAGAATTCTAGGTAGTATTTTTGTTTCCTATTTTGATTATTTAATAATTTTACTCCACTGTCTCTTCCTTTGCATTACTTTTAGATGAGATATTTGCTATTTGTTATCATCCTTATCTTAGTTGCTCTGCATGTCTTCTTCGGCTAAAGGATTTATCTTCATTTCTGATTTTCAGCAATTTGACTATGATGTGCTTTGTTACTTTTTTATTCATCTACCTTTTTTAAAAGTAAATTTTAGTATGTATATTTAAGGTATACAACATGATTCTATAAGATATATGTAAATAGTAAAAAGCTACTACAATGAAGTACATTAGCATATCCATCATCTCACATAGTTACCCATTTTTGTGGCAAGAGCAGCTAAAACCTGTTCATTTATCATGACTCCCACATATAGGACAATTTGATTACCTATGGTCTTCATGTGATAGATCTCTAGACTTCTTCATCCTACATTATTTGCTACTTGGTATTCTCTGATCTACATCTTTGTGTTTCTTTTGCTGGAGATTTCTGGAGCTTCTTGAATCTGTATGTATTAATAACTTTTATCAGATCTGGACAATTTTTAGCCATTATTTTTTTCAGTTTTTTTTTCTGTCTCCTCTTTCTCTCTCTCTCCTCTCCTTTGAGGATGCCAATTATACCTATAATAGGATTTCTGCATGTTTAATCTTTTTATGATTAATTTTGGACATCTCCCATTACTGTGTCTTCCAGTTCACTGTATCCTTTATATTTTATAAGATGTCATAAGATCCATACAATAAACTTTTCATCTCAGATATCTAAGTTTTCATCTCTAGAAATTTGTTTTGAACCATTTTATAATATGTTCCATGTCTTTCATTAATTTTTGAAGATAATTATCTTATTGCCCTTTTCCAATGGTTTTTTACATCTGCATCAGTCCTGAGTTGATTTCAGTTATTGATTATTCTCATAATGTATCCTATTTGCACACCCCTTTGAATGCCTAGCAATTTTTTTATTGGCTACCAGATATTGTGAATTATACCTTCTTAGGTACTGGCCACTTTTGTATTTCTATAAATATATTAGAACTTTGTTTTTTGATGTTGTTATGTTACTTGAAAAACTGACTCATCCTTTTATGTCTTGCTTCTGTTTTTCTTAGGTGGGTATGGAGTAGTGCTTCATATAGAGCTAATTATTCTTATTACTGAGGCAAACCCTTATTATTCCCAATGTCTTATGGATAATGAGTGTTTCCAGTAGAGCTGGAAAAAACAGACTATTCCCTCTCCTAGATGAGTGCCAGCCTGTGTTAATTTTTTGGATAGTTATTTCCCTTGTCTCTCCATTTATTTGCTGATCAATATTATGCTGAGTACTTGAGAGTGATTATTTGCAAATCTTCAGGGTTCTCTGTCTGCATACCTCTGTCCTTTTCAGAGTTCTCTCCTATGAGCTCTAGCTCCCTTGGCCTCTCAAGATTCTCAACTCTGTGTGTACAACTCAGGAATTTATCTGCTTTCTGCTTCATCTCCCTCTCCCTGATGTCATCCTCTAAAAATACTCTCTAGGCAATAAGTTTGGGTAAGCATAGTCGTACTTCCTTTATTTTCAATCACTCAGGGATCATTATATTTCATTGCCTTATGTCCAGTGACTTGAAAACAAATTTTTGCACATATCTAGTCCATTTTCTACATTTGTTTGGTTATTTCATGTATTAGGTTAAGTCCAGCCCCTGTTACTCCATCTGCACAGAAGCAGAAGTCCCTGAGGTAAAGTATTATTATTGAGAAAATTATTATGGCTTAAAAATATAAAGATTTTTTAAAGAACATGATAGTAACAAACAAGATGAATAAATAGACATAAAAATAGACACATAAATAGATATAAATTTATTATTTCCAAAATATGCTAATGCATCTAAAGCAACCAGGGGGCAAGAAAAATGGAGAGGAGTAAAGAAGGGCTTTCTGTTGTTTTTTGTTTTTTGTTTTTGTTTTTGTTTTGAGACGGAGTCTCGCTCTTTCGCCCAAGCTGGAGTGCAGTGGCACTATCTCGGCTCACTGCAAGCTCCGCCTCCTGGGTTCACGCCGTTCTCCTGCCTCAGCCTCCCGAGTAGCTGGGACTACAGACGCCCGCCACAGTGCCCGGCTAATTTTTTGTATTTTTAGTAGAGACAGAGTTCCACCGTGTTAGCCGAGACAGGGTTTCACCGTTTTAGCCAGGATGGTCTCGATTTCCCGACCTTGTGATCTACTGCCTCGGCCTCCCAAAGTGCTGGGATTACAGGCGTGAGCCACCGCACCTGGTCGGGTTTTCCGTTTTAAATATTCCTCCATCCTAAGCCTCATTATGTTTGTTATTATCTTTTTTATTCACTAGAACTCATCAAATAATTGTCCTTGACAAAAAAAAAAAATCCACTATATGAAATGGTTTGAAAAGAATTGGCTTTCTTAGTGTAATATTAGCTGCCTTTAATAAACTACCTCTACTTGATTTTGCAGATTTGAGCTGATCACAGATTTCACTTATCCTAAGCACTTGAATTTTTCCAATATATCTGTCTGTTTCAGGCTTCTTTGTGTCTATTTACAATACATCTTTATGTTAGATGTATTCTGCAGGATTTTTGTCTGACTTGCTTCCTTTTCTAATGATACTACTCATTTGACCGCCCTGAAGTTTTCATGATTTATACTGTGACTTTAACTCCCTGTGAGCCATAACAGAACGCATCTCTTCTTCTATGATCTCTGTGTCCTATACCTACTACTTTCATGAAACTTAAACAATGCATTGCTCTTTTATCCTCCTTACAACTCTGTCAGATTTATTATATTATTATATATATTATTATTATATTCCACATATGTGTAGCACATTATGATGCATAAATATTCAACAATATTTTCTTAAATGAATATCAGCACATATGCACAAATTAATAGTACCAAGTGTGTGAGGGTTTGTATGCAGTATAATTTGTCAGACCCAAAGCCATGCTCCATTCTCTTTCCATTTCCATGGGTTCCATTTCTACCTGTAACTATGACCAAACACTGAGGCAACAATAGTGAGGAAGATCCTAACTTCACAGCCTACTCTATGGTTTCTCTTTGTTTGTTTATTATTTGTTTTTATAATGTGTTGATTTGATCTTGGACTCAGAGTTTCAATGGTACCCTGAATCATGTCCTGTCCTTTGAGTTTTAATTTTCTCCTTCTGTGTTAGTACAGAATTCAAGGAAGCATTAATTGATTTTGACAGGTGGTAAAACTGGGTGGGTGGGTCAAGGAGAAAGATTATGCCCTGAGATGAAGGAATGAGGCAACATCACCTTCCAATGCCCTGCACATTTTTGTCTAAGGGTTTTTTTTAAAATCTCAGCCTGCCAGGCAGTTGTAAGTGGTCTCAATTAATCAAGATTTCTGAAGCTAAAATCAATTTCTTTTTTTAAAATTCACATTGATCAAGATTATTTTATTATTACATAGAATGAATTCAGCAAATAGAAACCTATTCACTCACCCAGCACAAGGAAGACTCGAAGTAAGAACAAGGAAAAAGTAATGGAGATATGATTTAACTATGGGAATGCCATCAGTCAGACGTAGGTAGTACCAGTTCACTCACGCTTTCCTATCAGACTGAGGTGCCCTTTCTTTCCTTATTGTGTAAATAAATTCCACCCATCCTTCATGGGCCCTGTCTTCCAGGAAGCCTTCCTTATTGTTGCCTGTTTTCTTCCAAATTACCTTAGCATTTTAGTCTGAAACACTTAGTCTTGTGCTAACTTGCGAATCTTACATCATTGTATAGCACCCTGTCATATACTGTGCTAGCTCTTCTTGGGACAGAATCTTGTGTTTTTCTTCAATAATTTCCACAGTAACTGGCAAAAAATGAAGCATATAGGAAGAGTGTTGCTGAAGACTTTTTAATTACTGCTTTATAGCTTGGTTGATGAGACATGGGCATTTGTGAGCTTTTTTTTTTTTTAGCATTTCTTCCTATACCCATGTTCTCCAGGGGCATGCATATAGAAGCTAGTGAAGGGCACTATGAAAACATATTTTTTCTAACTTTGAGAAATGGGTCAATAATGTCTTAGGGAGATTGTGGAGTGTTTACCCTCACTCTCTTCCCACCAACCAATTCCATGTTTGACATACTGAGCCTCCGAGCATACAGTCAGCCAGTCTTTCAAAACAGCAAGCAATCAAGTTTGCTGTTTGTTAAACTAGTACAAGAGCTTTTATCTTAATCTGAACCATGAGGCAATCAACTATATTTTGAGAAAATAATACACTTAATGACCTCTGATGCCCTTTTAATGTTCTTGAATTTTATTGAGCAATGTATAAGAGAAAGAAAAAAAATCTATCAGAACTGCTGAACAGTTCTATTCACAAGCAAGCTATTTGTTCAGAATATTGAAGCAACAACAACAACAAATGTAGAAGACAACAGGTCACCTAATTGGGGAGAAGAAGTGGGTAAGCAATTCATATCAGGAAATAATTATAGTCCAACATTGTGCTGTAAACGAAAATCACTGTCATTAATAACAGCAATCTAGTTCTAAGGGAAGCTGATCGTTGAAGACAAAGATGTTTGTAGCTAACATTACCTCTCCCTCAGTCATTCTCATGAGGATTTAGGCATGGGCAGTACTCCACATTTAGGGTCAGAAAAATCTATATAAGGTATTCTCTTATGGGAAAATTTCTTTGGTTTATAGACTTTTTTTATTGTTGTTTCTGGATACTGAAGTAAATTGTTCTATGGCTGTATCTGTGTTAAGCTTTTGCTATGGTTTCAATGTGTCTTCTAAAGTTCATGTATTGGGAACTTGATTCTCAATGCAACAGTGCTGAGAGGTGTGGCCTAAAGGGAGATGCTTGGGTCATGGGGACATTGCCTTAAATAGATAGACAATGCCATTTTTATTGTGGGAGTGGGTTTTTAATAAAAGGATGAGTTCGGCCCCTTCTTGCCCTCTTCCTCTTATCTTCTTTTGTCTTTCTACCTTCCACCATGGATTGACACACCAAGAAGGCCCTTACCTTGGACTTCCCAGCTTTCAGAACTTAAGCCAAATACATTTTTTTTATTATAAGTTACCCAATCTGTTGTATTCTGTTATAACATTAAAAAATGAACTAAAACATCACATATGCCATTGTAAAAGGGCCATAGTAGCAAAATTCTGTTTCATGGTCAGCCTACTCTGAGGACTGGTTAACATTTTATGTACAAGTTGACTGCCCAGGTTACACACCTCTGTTCTTACACTGAGTTCCATACTGTTGGCTCTCCCAGGATTGACAGTTATATGCTGAGCCTTGCCCTATTTCCATCACTGCCCCCAGCATTGCAAATTCTGTTATAACACGCTAACATGAGAAGCACAGTGGATGTCTACAAAGAAATGTGAGGTATGAACACCATTTCAAGATTCCCACACATACCTTTTCACAGAAAGACTCATTATACCATGCTTTTCATATCTAAAAATGAGGAAGCCATTTAGCAAGAACATAAACTTTTTAAAGATTTCTTTCAGGTGGTTATGAAGGTTCTGTACCTATCTACCCACATTCTTGTGCTCCCTTGACTTTATGAGGTAATTAACAAATGAGATGTGAACAACACCCTTTACATACTGTTATCTAAATGTCACCTCCTCCAATTGGGGGAGAACATTGCGTATTCTCCCATTCTGTTAACTGAGAGCCTGTCTTGGAGTCATACTTGAACTTTTTTCATTAATATAATTGCTGCCACATCTGGCTCCTGTAAGGCACACTGTGAGGTCTGATGTTGTCAACTCACAGGTCTGGGAAGGAAGACAGGTTACCAAATCAGCCCTGATAGACATGCCAATAAACCAGGCTGCAGTTGGATAAAGAGTAATTAAGGGAAAGGTTCTCTCTTCTTTATGCACCGTGTGCTATTGGATTCAGAAGCTGGTGGCTGGGGAACTGAATGTCTCGTTCATGTCTCAGTGAGTTGGATCTGGGAAATAGTCTCTCACCTCCATCTCATCAGAAGCTGCTTTGCTCCAACCCCCTTGGGGTAGGCAACCAGACTGGAAACAAATTAATGAGGAAACCTCTGTGTCCAGGTGGTAGAGAAAAACTGAAGGATGGGACTGCCAATCTTAAACTTCAATTTTATTTTCCTTTTATCCACTAACCACTCTCACTTAACTTTATCTGTAAATCCTCTTTTGTTTCTCATTTTATTATCTTGTTTTCTACTCTCCAGTTAGTGTTATGTGAAGGTAGAAGAGGTAGTTACTCATATGCTCTAATTTTGTAGTATTAGACAACACCTCTCCCAAATACTATGTCTTAAAAACTGGTGTCCAGTCCCTAAATCTGTTCCTCTCATTAGAAAGTCATTAAGAGGGTTCAATGAACCCTGAAAGAAGATATCATATGACAAAGATAGTTCTGGCTTTAAAAAAACAATAAGAAGTTAGAGAGGCTAATTTTGGTTAAATAGATTCAAGATCTGTCTACAGTTTCAGCTGAACACAAGATGGTGAGTGGTCTAACATGGTCCTTTTATCACAGAATCAGGAAAGATATAGAAGTTTCTCTGAGATACTGCCTTGGTTACTGGAGGCTGGAATGTTGGATGACCTACTGAAGTTCCCAATTCATCTTTCCACTTCAAATGGGGCAGGCTTGAGCATATCTGCCTTAAAACTTCAGCTTCATTTACATTTTCTCCTAATGAAATGATCCCACTGCTAAATACTGTTTCAACATTTTTCCCCTAGTGTTTCTGTGGTACTATGTTCTTATGAAGAGAATGTTTAATAATGTGATGAATATATTCTAGTTGTTACTAAAGCAAAGTCAGTTTTGTAGGATCTCTGCTTGTGGCTTCAATTTTGTTATTGAGGACAAAGGAGGTTAAATTTTTTCATAGCAGAACTATTCTATGCACCCAATTATTTTACCCCTTGACCAAATTCACACTATAAAACAATTTTTTAAACTTGTTCAAGCATTTTGGTAAGTAGAAGAATAAGGTGAAATTGTATTATTTTAAAAATGTATGTTTACATTCCTTGTGCATACTCAACCCTAAAAGAATATTATTTAACTGAGGATAATAAAAAATCTTGGAGAAAACAAAATACTTGAATGGTTTCTGCTATAGTACATTGCTACATCAATTCTACCCACGAATGCCACTAGTTTCAGCTTCTGAATGTCCTAGCCACCCTGGAGAGCCCAACACTGGACATGCTACCAAGCGTTTAACACCTGTTTAATGAATGCATATTGGTGGAATGGATAAATGATGCTGCTGAGTCTCTGCTTGTGGGTCCTGATGGGATACTCTGTGGATGCACAGAGGGTCAGCAACGTCACTTTTTCTCATCTAGATCTCTGTTCCCAGCAATGACCTCTTTGAGAAAGACTGGTTTCAAAAATAACCTTCCATAAACACTAATAATATTGTGGTAAACCACAGCAGTACTAGTCACATGGATATCTATTGTATTATTTTTTGAAACACGCATATCATTATGTAAACTTTTTTGTGAGAATGACATATCTCATACACACACACATACACATACACATTGACACTCTGTACTTCTGAAAAGAGAAATGAATTGGCATATAGTGGACAGTCTAGGTCCAGTTTGTATTAAGTGGAGACTAGAATGTTATCTCAAAGATAATGAGCAAGAAGTTTCTTGCATGAAACTTGGAATTTTGTTTGGACATCATGGGCAGTCATTGGTACAAGGCGAAAATAAGAACACTGGGGGCCCTGACATGAATATTCTGCTACGAGCGTTTTCTACTTATCTCCTTGTGAGACTCATGGAAGTTCCTGCTGAAAGAAAAATATTTGTTTCAAGTACACTTCTCCAGTTCTAGTTTCTGTATTCATACCTTTTATTGTTCTGTTCCAGCAATTCTGAATTTTCTCTTCTCCCAGATCATAGTATTTTCCCTCTTGCTTCTCTGCCTTTGGACGTGAAATTTCCTCTTTTGGGGATTCTTTTCCCAATCTGTTTACCTAGCAAAATCTTGCTAGTCCAGAAGCGAGTCCTAATGTCACTTATGGAGAGCCTCCCCTGACTTCCCATGTAACTTCACATCTGCCCTTTCCAGCTTCCACTGCAGCACTCATCCCATGGACCATCATGCAGTCAAATGCCATATACCACCTCTCCCTCTTCATGAGATTGCCAATTTCTCAAGGGTGAAGCTCAGGATCTTCTCATTGTGCCGCCATAGTGACTAGTCCCATATAGCACCTTACTCAAAGTAGATGGCCAATATATGTTCACAGAAAAGAGGAACCAAAGAAAGGGGAAAAAATTAAAAATATGAAAGGGGAAAAATGAAGAGAGAAAGAGAAAGGAAATTTTCACAGAAGAATCCATTTAGCTGCTGCCATTATGGTGTAAGTGAGTCATGCAAATACATATTTCTACATACGTCAGAGAGCTGTGGAGCTATTTCAGATGTTCAGGAAAGTGAAGAGAGAAGTCCAGGATATGAGGAATTGTCAGAGAGAAGGATCCTGAGTGACTAGGAACAACCTGATTGAGAGTGGGGGTGTGACAGGTTTATAAATGTCAAAAATGAGAGTGGAACATTGGAAAGCAAGGCTGAAGTGGAAAGGACAACTCCTCCTGCACAGTGCTGTTCAGGGCCACCCCATGTTGTAGAGAATGTGGCAACATAGCCCTGCATCACCTCGGCTCCCTCAAATCCCACATCTAATTTAACGTGGGATAAAAGTCATCTAATGTCAGCGGAAGCATGGAGAATAGGAGAGAGGAGAGAAATGTCTATAACTGGTGAAGGCTTTTCCCAACCTGTTTACCTGGCAAAATCCTGCTATTCCAGGAGCCAGTCCAAATGTCACTTCTGGAGAGCCTCCCCTGTTGTTTTGATACACACAAGTGCTAACCTGAAGAATTTTAAGAACAATATTTAAGTGTAAGTTCAGGGCTATTAGTGTAATTAAACTGATATCAGAGGCACCTGTTGCAGGCATGTAAGAATGGAGTTTTGTCAAAGGCCCAGAGAGAAGGACCCACACCAAAGCACATAAAGACGCCCTCATACAAGTGGCCCTACCAGCCTCCTTATACCTAAAACTGCTGTAAGAAATGTACCTGCTTCTGTCTTATAACACTGAGAGAGTAAAAACGCTAACAAATAGAGGGAAAAAAGCATGGTGCCCAAGATTCATACTCATGTGTGAAAGACTGAATGTCGGTCACATACCTTTATAGATCCAGAAGTTGGTTCTAAGCCCTGTGCTCCAGGTGCGGGAAAAGGTACATGACTGAGGAAGGAGAGCAACTAGAATCCAGAGGCCGAGAGCATCAAAGTCAAGTACCACTAACTCAGCAATGCTGCTGGTCACTCACTGTGTGTCTATGCAGGGCTGGGGTGAGATGATAATTGTGGCATAGTAGAAGCTGGAATGATCTCTGTGTCTAAAATTCTTCTTTGAACAGTTAGGGAAACTAAGGTTGAATAGGAACATGGGATTCTTTACTCTAACCATACTTGGTTAATGACCCCTACAGCTAGATTTCTTATTTTTTGACTCCTAGTCCATTGCTCTTTGCTTTAATCATGATTTCTTCCATAGTAGTATCCATGACCTGAAATTGAACCTTGGGTGATAAAAATAAAAATTAGGAGGATTCTAATTTTTATTGTAGTTTTCTTCATTTCAAACTTAAGAAAAAACAATATAAAACAAAAATATATCCCGTGAGGTTATATGAGATACAAATAATAAACTGCAATTTAAAAAAATGTACAATTGCCTTTTAATCTGTAGCCTACAGCAAGTGGGAAAATGCAAGGGAAAAATTGACACAAGAATCAACTGGAATTGAAAGAAGTTTCCATTTGTCTTTTCAGTGTTTTATTATTTCTGGGTCAAGTTGCATGATTTGGAAGTCTCCCTGCTTTCCTAGCAAGGGGCCCTGCTGTTTATGTAAGTTAATCCTTTAAAAGCTTTATTTTCTTTTTCCTAGGAAGTATGGATAGGTAGAGGCAGAAAGAAGGGTCTTAAAAGCATGACCTATTCCTTGGAGATCTGCAAAGAGTATCAGATTATCTTCATTCAACACATAACACAGGCCTTGGAGACCTACATTTGCAGGTGGTAGAACCAAGTGAAAAACCTAATCAGAAATCAATTCTACAAACAGGAGGAGATGTTCCTTTTTGTCTGACTCAATTACGTGGGAAGGAAGAGACAGTGTGAGAATGGGCTGGGGATAATATATCAGTAGAGATTAAGACATTAATACCCACAATCCTTTGGGTCACATGATTTTTCTTTTTGAGTTCTCAAATGTAGAAAAATGA
Organism: Homo sapiens; assembly: GCF_000001405.40. Taxonomy (NCBI): domain Eukaryota; kingdom Metazoa; phylum Chordata; class Mammalia; order Primates; family Hominidae; genus Homo; species Homo sapiens. The sequence continues at coordinate 38,733,365 of NC_000018.10, read as the reverse complement.
AACTTTGAACCAAGAAGACTTTTAGAAGCAGTCTAAACCAAGATCTTTAATTAACAGAAAAATCAGAAGCCCAGTCAAGTGAACTACCAATGAAATAAACAGCACACAATCGGTTGATGCATAGAAATAGTGTTTGCCTCAATGAACTGATCTGGACTCAAGCCCTTTAAAAGAGACAACCTGAGGCTGCTCTGGATCTGCTATAGAGCAAATAAAGTTTTATCTCCATGTTATTATTACTAGTTCCACTTCGAGCAGAAACAAAGAAAATCTGTTTATAAATGTCTCCAGTTATGTTGAAGGTTGGTAAAAACTAAATTCTCAACTTCTTATATTAATCAAACAATTCTATTAACATATTGATTGCTTTTGTAAACATTATCATGAACCTGCAGTAGCCAATGCTATATTTAAAATGTTTCCCAGCTCAGAAGAACCTGAGTTAGAGATATTTCTTTCAGAGGGAACAATTACTCATTATATCTAATGAGGATTCTGAGTATCTTCTTTGCCACTGGACAAAGGGAGAGAGATTCTCGAAGTAAAAAATTCTGGGTTAGGTGACAAAAACTTGGCCATCCTTGGCCATAGAGAAAAGAGCAGCCATTGGCGCAAACTATTCAATGCTTTCTAGGTTCCAAATGGAATGGTAAATGGGGTATATTTGAAGCATTAGGAGTTCTTCCAATAGCAATGTGCTCCCTTTCCTTACTTTGGTCTGTCATGGACATGGTTTCTGCCAAACTAAATCAAATAAAAAGAAGGTCGTGAACATACTTTTTAAATGCTAAATTTTTGATCAAATATTAATTATTTCAGGTTTTAAAAAGAAGTGAAATGAATGTACCCCTTAGGGGTCTGGATTTAATGTTAAGGAAATCTGAAGGTGCAGTATCTCACAACTGCTAGCCACCATGGCCTTCAGAGGACAACCTGTAATTATATCACTTCACCAGGAGATTAATTAAAAATGAGGACTGCCATCGAGTGTCTAACACTATCAATTGTGTACAAATTACTGCAGTATTTACTGTATATTAATTGGTTTGTAGAACATGAATGCATAGCTTTTAATATAAATAGTGCACAATATGGCCAGGTGCCGTGGCTCACATCTGTAATCTCAGCACTTTGGGAGGCCAAGGCAGGTGGATCACTTGAGGTCAGGAGTTCGAAACCAGCCTGACCAACATGGTGAAACCCTCTCTCTACTAAAAAAAATACAAAAATTAGCTGGACATGGTGGTGGATGCCTGTAATCCCACCTACTCGGGAGGCTGAGGCAGGAGAATCACTTGAACCCGGGAGGCAGAGGTTGCAGTGAGACAAGATCATGCCACTGCCCTCCAGCCTGGGCAACAGACTGGGACTCCATCACAGAAAAATAATAATAATAATAATAATAATAATAATAATAATGCACAATATGGAAGCGTATCTTTAGTTCACATATACCCTTTATAATTACTTCTCTCTGAAAACTACATCTGACTCTGATCATGTAATGAGAACACAACACAACATTCACGAGTGATAGCAGAGTTTAATAAGCCCTATGAAAACAGACCAGCAAAACCACCTGAAAGATCACTATGATCTTGGCACTATAAAATTTGTTGTGGAGGAGAAACATAAGAAAAAATCAGGATCTCTGCCCCAAGTCTAATACTACAAAGCAGCTTAAAATAAAATGAAATAATTCCAATACCAGTTCTACCATGATTCAGAGAAAAGAAAGTTGAGATAATAAGAAGTTACTCTGGAGAGGAGACATAAAATATGGAGTAGAAATTAATTCTTGAAATCTGGATACAGAGTTTCTCTGAGCTAGAGGAAAAGTCAGAGAAAAGTTTTTTTAGCAGAGGGAATATTTTGAGTAGAGCAAGAAAGAGAGAGGGAGGAGGAGCCAATGATATTGGAGGAGAGTGAGTTAAGAAGTTTGCTGGAGCAGAGAGTAGATAAAATGGAGACAGTCCATAAAAAGCTTTTGCCTACCACAGGTCTTAAGTTCGGTTCTCCAGGAAACAGGCTCTGAGATGGAAACTCGTGCACAATTTAGGTAGTTCTCTTGAGAACACCTGTGACAGTATGAAAGAAGCTGAATAAGTGAAAGCTGGTTGATGGTCTCTCCTTGTGGTTGTTTTTTTTAATTATTATTATTTTTCTTTTTCTTTCAGACAGAGTCTCACTCACTCTGTTGCCCAGGCTGGAGTGAAGTGGTGCCATCTTGGCTCACTGCAACCTCCGTTGACCTGGTTCAAGCGACTCTTTTGCCTCAGTCCCATGAGTAGCTGGGAATACAGGCGCCTGCCACCACACCTAGCTAATATTTTTGTAATTTTAGTGGAGACAGGGTTTCACCATGTTGGCCAGGCTGGTCTTGAACTCTTGACCTCAGGTGGTCCACCTGCCTCAGCCTCCCAAAGTTCTGGGATTACAGGCATGAGCCACATGCCCAGCCTCTCATTTGTTGTTAATCATTCAAATGTTAAACTATACTTATTGGCAGAGGGTATTTTATATTTGTTTTCGATAAAGTCTTCAAATGAATCAATAGTGGGCCACACACACACACACACAAATATCTAAATAAAAATAAATAAACTGCAAAGTTTTACCAGGAGAAACAAGTTCTGTCCCCTTATAGGAGGCAGGAGAAAAATATTTTGTTCATTATAAAAATATCTCAAATTCCAGTTTTCTTTAAATGTTCATGCAGAGATAAAAAAATGCATTTTCAAAATGCCCATCTTAAAAAAAAATTTAAAAACATCCTTCACTGCACCAAGTCATAACGAGGCATACCCAGCAAATGCTGCACAGTTAATGTTGCTCATGGACCCCCATGGAGCGGAAGGATTTTACTAGAACTGTATGAAGTGCCTTGAAATTAATTTTCCTATAATAGAAACTACTTAAAAGAATTATCTTGCTGTGCAGCAAATCAGTTCATGTGTCAGATTTATGCTTTCATCTGGAATTTTCTTAAAGGGGGCAAAGGCAACAAAGAGATGGTTTGGATGAACTTAAAATCAGAGTCTACCCAAGCCCCAAGCTTTGTTCTTGGGTTTAAAAGACTTCAGAAATGTTGAGACCTAAAGAAATGCAAGACTGTTTTGGATAATTTCAAGCTAATGGAACTTCTAATATACACCATTATCTTAGAGATGAAGGTACTGAGGCTGTAGGAAGGAGACAGAGAGTTGGTCAGTGGTGAACAACACACACACTTACACAAATGGACACACACATACACACAGCCACACACCTATCTGTTGAGGTGTACATAGACATGTCTCTTGTCTAGGGATTTTTCTCAATTAATTATACAGTTTATCATCTGTATTAGTGTGGCAGGGCTAGGCTTTAGGACAATAACAAACCAACTCAAACTTAACACACTAAAAGTTCACTTCTCATTTGCTTCACAGGTAGATGCAATTTGGAGGGCCTCTCTGAGTGGTCCCACTACCCCCAGATACTGACTCAGAGAACCAGCATGAGGTTCTACCATCTCAAAGACCCATGCTTCCGGTAGTACTGATGGAGGAAAGAGAAACCAAATAGAGTGGGGAGATCAAGCAGCATGTTTTATGACCACAATGGGAAATGATGTCCATTCCTTCTGCCATTTGCTAGAACTAGTCACAAGGTGCTAAAGTAAGTACACGTGATACCATGAAATAGAGTTTTATATTTTTTCCAGGAAGAAGGAAAAGGATTGCTGAGCATCCAGTCAGTCCCTGCAACAGAATGAAATTCATTACTCCTCCACCTGACATCAATAGCATTATCCACACCTTACACTGGATTCTACACTCTGTTTCACCCTATGGGAGATTCTAAAGATATGGGTGGGGGGGGGGGGAAGGATCAACTTTCCAGAAGAAATTTACATTCTAGTGGTGCATAGAGGGAATATGCTATAACGGAGATAACAGTCACATTCATCAAAAAATCTGAATAATCAATTCAGAGAAATATATGAGCAGGAACATGGGAGCATGGCTGTGACTGCGGTGAGGGAACAGTATGGTAAAAGATGATAGGAGAGTGGAATAAAGGATGAGCAACAGAGGATGTAAAGATAGAGGCAGATTCCAAGCAAGCATATCAAAGCAACAATAACACAGGTTGTGAGGGTGTGGTATGTTTCTATGCCTAGCAAGAACAGACAACAGATATACTCAGATCCTACTAAATTGTCCTTTTCCATTCTTCTTATTTTTTTTTTTTTTGACAAATATTTTTGGACCCCTTCCTGACCTGAAGAATGGAGCAGGAATTAGTTCATCAACAGCAAATTTTGGAGAAGTCTCTAGACTAATGCTCTCAGTAGTCCCCTGAAAGGTATCATTGTCTCCTTCTTTAGAGCCAAGATGAGCTCTAGGATGATTAACTTTGGCAATAAGTATTCACTGGGTACCTGCCATGAACCATGCCCTACATTTCCTTCTGGATCAAAGTCATAATACTTTTAGGGAATGTGAAAAGGATATTAAAATAGTCTTAGGACCGAAATCCAAGACTTGATTGTATTCAACCATAAAATACGGGAATCTAGAAAAGAGAAGAGTCAAGAAAATGTAGAAATGGAAAGGAAATCAGTGTTGGGAAAAAAATGTAAAAAGCAAAAGACGCAAAGATTTAGGAAGAAATATCCTTGAAGTAAGAAGTAAACATGATTGAAAACCCAGTTTTTCAATCTTCCATGCCATAGTTTATGAGAATACTGCATAATAATACTGAGGGCTTGTAAACAAACAGCCTTGGAACCCACGAAGTGTTAAGGGAGAATCATGGATTAGCAGAGATTGTTCCTTCTTGCTCTAACACATCACTAGAGACACCACTCACTCAAAATCACTGGCTACAATCATGAAGGAAATGAGGTGTGTATGTGTTTGTTATGAGGTGTGATTTCCAGGCCCTGACTAAGCATTGTTGCTGAGAAACAAATGGACAAACAGCTTGTTACTTTGTGTCTCTTCAGTTAAGCAATTTTTTTCAGCATGCTTAAATCAAGTACCAGACAAATCTCCCTGATCAAAGTGCAAAGGTGAGCTGATGTGTCAGAAGAAGGGGTGAAATCTGCAGCACTTCTGTTCAACATGCCCAAGAGGAAAAACAAGCAACAGCGACAGCACCAGAAGAGGAAGATTCCTCAAGGTAAAGCTCAATGCATATTGATCATACTCTTTACTATTCATTATCATCCCTTCCACTCTTTGTTGGTTGAGTTTGAGTACCAGTTGGAGTTTTGATCTCTAGGTTTTACCTTCCTATGTCATGAATCATTTTCAGGAAAGCTTTAAGGAAATATTCAGCAACTGAAATATCTGAAAAAAAATACTTCTCTTTGTTTTAATTACAGTCCTCACAATGTGAAAAATATTCACCATCAGGTTGTATAGTGAGATTGTGACCATTGTGCTCAAATTTGTCTGCAACACATCTTGCCATTGCTGGAAGAGACAACTCTCTTTTTTAATCAGTTTTGTTCCAGGCAGAACTTCTTCTCTTTAGTTTGAATGAGTAGGGTATTTTAGCTCATTCTGTACTCTAACTCTGGAACATTCATCTCAATCCCTTGATCAACATACATCTTACTCATCCTGGTAGTCAATTTCTTCTTGACTCTGTAGAAAGATATGCTCTAAGGGGCTGAGTAACAAGCCTTTAACTTCTGTGGGCCGAGATTCCTAGCCAGAATCCCTGTTCAGTACCTCTGATCTGTAAACCATGTCTATGCAGTCTTCTATTTCTAAACTCTCCTTATTCTAGATTTGTATTTCTTATTTGAAATTACTTTTTTATCAAAACCATTTTAATATGGGCCCCTCGTTTTCAACATGAAGAGATGGTAAGTTTAGGGAATTCTCTATGATTTGTCAATGAGGTTAAAGAAAGCAGAGACTGTATTTGTGAGTTCTAATACCTAAAAGTAGGTGATATGTGTACTTGACAGCTAACCAGTGCTGGTCCTTATAAATTCTAGAGAAGAACAATTATAAAGTCTATTAGTTTCTAGTCAACCCTCTATTCTCAAAGCTTATTGTATTTCTAGTCAATGAAAACCTTCTGCCTGATTTGAGGAGTTAGCATGTGAAAATATTTGCTGAACCTGGTTCCCTGATGGGAAATACAATCCACTAGAATCAAATGTATTTGTGAAACATAAACACATTTTCATTATCTGTAGCTTATAATCAAAGCAAAGTTTCTTGCTTTGACAAACATCCTATTCACTTTGGAAACAAAAGTGAAGCACAATTTTTCCATTTATTAATTGTACATCCCTTCGGCAAACATTAGCTACCAATTTGCAGTTGAATCTTAAGTCAATCTCTAGCCCTAAAAGGCACTGCTCAGTTTCCAAACTCTTAGGCTTCACATTCAGAGTGGGCTATAATCCTGGCAAGATGCATTTTTCCCATCAACATCCATAATGCTTCCCTAGGTAGGAATTTGTCAACGGAGGAATTTGTAAAGTCACCATCTTCACAGAGGCCCTAGAGAATGAATTTAGCTGATGTGTGTAAAGACCTCCGAAGGTGAAAAATGGGGCAGGATAATGCCAGAGGGACTTTCTTGGCAGTGTTGGGGTATCTTCCATGAATAAAACAGAAGCAATTCTCATATGACCAAGAGAGAGGGCTATTTTCTGAAAGAATTACCAGACATCATATGTGAAGTTCAAGAAGCAGTTATTTAGATGAGATACCTTTACAATGGCCCATATCTACTCATTTCAAATTTTAAAATGTTTTAAAGCAAGAAGGAGATATAAAACCTTGAAACTTAACAAAAATATTAAAAGGCCCAAAGGAAGAGATTGCAAACCTTTGAAGATACTAATCCTCAATTCTAAAGGGAGAAAAGGACTGCTAACAGTCTTACAAGATGTCCCATCTATAGAAAACTACTTCAGCCCTAGAAACCTTGCTCTGTTACATAAATTATTTTGTAAAGTTAGAAAAAGAAAATTCTACCTAAACCTAGCTCTGATGTTATAGTTTTTCTTTTGATGTACATGTCTTCTAAATATTAGACAGTGGGCAAATAGGGAATTCTTTTATACTGTGAAATATATATATACACAGTGGAAACATATATATATATATATATATATATACATATATATAGATTTTTTTCAATCAGTAAGCTTAGTAGTTTATAAATAGGAAAAGTATGAGATTCAATGGAAACATCTACATTTTGGCATCATTTATTGGCACTAGGACATATTTTAATAGGAAGTATTACGTCAACCAATCAGTAATTAATAAAGAAGTAAATAAATAAACATTGCCTCGTTCTTTTCCTTTGAGCACTAATTTGGAACTTTTGATGGCTTTACCTACCAAAACTCCTCCAGTCTCTTTCTTAATTAATTAATGACTTCTGCAGCAGGCTGTCTTTTAAATACAACACTTCAATTCTAGTTGCCAAGCTCTCAGTTTCTTTTTATTTCCTAGAGGATAAACTCTTATGCATAAATTCTTAGCATGCTAGTCACACTTTCTACAATCCAACAAATCCATTTTCCCTTTTACTCCCTTTGCAATTGCTACGTAAATCTGGATTTGGTGCTCTAACAAGCCCTGCATTACCTGACTTCCCTTCCTTGCTTCATACCTACTTCCCCTGCCTATATGTATTTGCTCCCACTTTAAACAATCCTTCAAGGCCCAGATAAAGAGCTCCTTTCTCTAAGCAGTACTCTCAGTTTACTGCTATATAACTACAATTTCTTGCTCCTGTGAAATCATATGAGCCATTGTTTTTACAACAGAACATACCTTGCCTTGTGACATCATGTACAGATATCTTCTATTGTTAACTAATTAAGTTTATGTTCATAGTTTGTTACTCCAAAATGCTGGTGAGTAACTTACAATTAAGAATAGCTTCTTTTTTTCCCCACCTCTCTTTCCTCTTTGTTCATTTACAACTACAAAGGACTTTGTACATAATCAATACTCAAAAACTATCTATTAATTAAGAAGTGTTATGAACTCCAGTTCCCACTCTAGTCTTCATTTTGATCATTTACATGTGAATATTTAGGAGAATGACAGAGCCTTTGAGTGATTCCAATTTCATCATTTTTTGGCTGTTGTGGTTTTTGTTTATGTGATCCTTTTTTTTAAATCCAACTTTTGAAAGTGGTCATTTCCTGCCTAGTGTTGATCACAATGTAATTTTGAATAAAGCACTTTCTCTAGGGTCCTTTGAGCTCTCAAGTAAAAAGCATAATGTAATGCAAAATTTGTACTCTTATATATGTATTCCATTGCTTATCAAGTAAAATCCGAATGATTCACCTATTGGAGTTGCAAATGTGATGCTTGCCAGAACAGTTTTCTTATAACACACATCCACAATTTAACAGATTTAATCATCTGACAGTTTCTCCAGATGTTCTAGATCCTTATTGTTTCATTTAATTTTATTCAATTAAAACTTTCTGTCCTCTTTTTCTTATTTAGTATCCAGTCCTTTATCTGCCAATAGTAAAAGTTTTCAGGATCATGGTCCTATAGAACCTTTTGTGAAGCTTCTACATGTGTCATGTCAACATTACACTGAATCCGTGGAGCATCTTTTTTTTTATTCACAATGGCAGGGAACCAGTGTAGTTACATTTAGTTTTCAGCTTATTCCGTGCAATGCTGGTGAGCTAAGAACCCTGAGGGAAACAGGTCTTTGCTGTAGCTGAGTTCCTTCAGATCCTTAATTTTATAGATTGAAGACTTATAACTACTAGTTGTGAGTACCTCACTACATTGACCTAATAGTAAACAAGTGTAATACAGCACATAAATATTTGAAATCCAGTCTTAAATGAAAAAATATGTATTCTATAATGAATACTTAATTAGGACTGCAAACTGAATATAAGGAATAGAGCCCCTACTGCTTCTGAGACAAAGCAGAGTAAAATGAATTACCATCATGCAGGGAATGATATTAATAGTGTCCAGCTTTATAAATGAATCCAATTTTAAGCCACTTTAGTTGCTATCATACTGAGAAAGAGTGCAACATGTCTAACATATCATTTCCTTTCTGGCAAATGACAAGATTCAAACAGAAAACAATTTTAACTTGCTGATGTTTGCCTGCATTAAATATTTCTAATTACTGAGCACTCACAGTCAAACATCATTCAGAAACAAACGTCAGTGCTCTTTTCAGCATCAGCATGTTGAGAAGAGCCATCTTTTTATTTTTCCCCTTTTACAAAAGAAATAAAGTAGTTGAAGGATTGTTTGGGTGACTTTACAGCATCGGTAATTGTTGGTTTACTCCCTTCAGTCTATCTGAGGGAAACAGTTGATGTTTTACTATATGTGGTAGCTTAGGTTTATGTGCTATGTTTGTTATTCAGATTGTTCACAGATGGGTGAATTCACCAGGAAGTAACATAGCAAAGAAAGATGCCAGATTAGCCCAGGAAATACCATTTCCACCTGGTAGGAGCAGTGGCCGTTCTGGTGATTATTGTAGTAACGGGAATGATAACTATATAAAATTGAACCTAAAATAAATCTATTTTTCAGAACTTTTTGTTTTGGTTGGGGGGATGGAGTTTCGCTTCTGTTGCCCAGGCTGGAGTGCAATGGCACGATCTCTGCTCATTGCAACTTCCGCCTTCCAAGTTCAAGCGATTCTCCTGCCTCAGCCTCCCAAGTAGCTGGGCTTACAGGCACCCGCCACCATGCCCAGCTAATTTTTGTATTTTTAGTAGAGACGGGTTTTCACCATGTTGGCCAGGATGGTCTCGAACTCCTGACCTCGTGATCCACCCACCTCAGCCTCCCAAAGTGCTGGGATTACAGGCGTGAGCCACTGTTCCCAGCCCAGAACTTCTAATTATGACAATCTATTCACCTACTATTGAGATTCTCTATTGTATGCTCAGCCTGTGCTAATCTTTGGATTAAATAGAGAGCTGGCAATAATGGAATTCCAAATTTGGAATTTAAGTCTTGCTCGGCAGAAAAGACCAACATACATGAAAAGTATTGCTCAACTCCACATGATACAAAAATCCTAAATAAGGTGGTTAAGAACTCCATGTAAGGAAGGGATAATCAGCCTCAGCTAAGAGGTATCTATTCCATTGCTGAGACAGGAGGATAGCTCATTTTTTAGAAGTCCCTCATTGTGTTTAACCAGAGCAGGGGCTCAAGGGCTTTGCTCAGTTTGGAAACACTCCCTTCCTCTAAGTCGTCTTACATGATTGTTTCTAGGCAACAACCATATTCTCAAAGGCTTTATATGAGAAGGAAATAGTAAAGAGAAGACAGGGTCAAACTCCTTGGGATCTGTGCAGCAACTTGAACTTAGGGTAGTGCTCAAGGTCCTCTTTCTGAACTATGGCAGGGCTGGAGGAGAGATGTCCTACTGCCTTAACTACCAACCCCCTTCCATTGATAACCTCATTCATGGCTATGTTCAGGGTGAAATCAAGGCCCATACATGCTCTAGTATATAACAGTATATGAATATATATCTTTATATAATACATGTAATATATATTATATAAGTTATATATATGTGTGTGTGTGTGTGTAACTAATATAAGTCAGATGAAACACAAGTTTAGGTCACCCAGATGCCCACCCAGGCTACCCATCAACAAACTCTGCCTCTGTAGATTATCTAGCCTCACATTCTCCCTCAAGCGTTGACCATCAGGAAAAAGTAGATGTATCATTAGGTTAAGGGAACAGGAAGTCCTCAAGCACATTTAATTAAACCACCAAACTCCAAGGCACTAAGACAGTGGGTAGATGGATGGATGAATGGATAGATGGATAGACTGATGGACAGAGGGCGGATGAATGGATGGATGGAGAAAAAGGACTAAATGGATTAACTTCTTCCTGAATTGTCTCTTTCTGAGCTTTACTTTCTCTTCTCTAGCTAGTGTGAAAATGTGAAACCTGAGATATCTCTTGCTTGAGAAGCTCTTTAGTTATTAAAAGAATGACTCTTCAATTTTATGACTACCTTGAATATCTTAGGCAGAAAAAAAAAGACGATAATGACGATTACCATACAGTGAAGACAATGTAAGTCCCAGGCTGTATGCTGAGGGTTTCATTTGTATTTATTCACTTATTGTTCACAATAATTCCATGAAGTAGGTAATATTTTTCATATAATACCCACTTTTGCAGTAAGAAAACTAAAAACAAAATGAAATGTTCAGTCACGTGCCTGAATCATGTAGCTAGGAAATATTTGATCAGATATTTGAACCCAGAAAACGATGACCTTTGAGAACTTGCTCTTATTGCATAGGAATTAGGCTCTTCAAGATGCTAAGAAGAGGCTGAAAACAATACCTACTGGAGGACCTCATATATTCTCACCTCTACTTCTTTTTCATTGTTTCACAAAGCATGCTCCCCCAAACCTTCACTCCACAAAATGCTGACTGATTTTGCCCCTCTCTGCAGATGAGCTCTGGAGGGAGTCAGCCGGCCTGGATAAGATTGTAATCGCACAGATATGTCTTGTTTGGGGAAAAAGCAGTGTCAGGAGGGAAGAATGGATGCTCTCCATCCATGGGCGACACCCCTTCCACTTCATGATATACGGACACCAAAGACACCGTGTATCATGGTGACATGCACTTAAACTTAAAGCTGGTCCAAGCGCTTCTGTGCTCCCCGGGGGAGCTGCCATAAGCTGTGATCTATGGAGAGGGCCCAGGGCTGCTCTCTGCTTGAGTTTGTTCTGTTTAGAGAAGTCCTCCAAATATAATTATTGACTCCACTACAAAGAGGCATTACTTGGAAAAAAATAAGTGATATGCCTCAGAAAAAGAAGGAATATGAAAAAGGAATTTGGTTTTTGTAGAAGTGGCTGTCTAAAATAAAGCGGTATGTTGTAATACAAATGAGTTAGGCTGGGAATCAAAACACCTAGTTTCTGGTGGTTTTCTCACATCAACTTCAGTGACTCTGAACAAGTCATTTTACACTGTGGGTCTCTGTTCTTTCACATGTAAAGCAGTAAAATTAAATGTGTCCTTTAATGTTTCTTAAAGTTGTCTAGAAAAGGAATTTCATTGTTACTGAAAATTAAAGTTCATTTTGTGTCCTTTTGGTATCTTTCCTGTCTAGTACAAGGCAGGCAGAGAGGCTTGTAATAAATATTTGTTGAATTAGGAGACAGGAAAGTTTGCTTATGGCTGCACAGAAAACAGGAGCCATAGGACCCTGACCTTCAGTCTGAAATATACATTTGATAAATCTGCCTCAATTTTTCACTGGACTTACTAGAGTTATTTTTATGAAAAGCCAACAAACCAACAAAATATCTTATATTGTGCTTAAACATAATGATAAAAATGAGGTTCTTGCCATTCCCCAGTGATGGCCTGGAGCCATTGTTATATTCACCAGGGATTGATCATTATTGTTTTGGTAAAGATATTACTGCGAAAGGCAAAAACATTTTTCACAAGTCAGACCAATAAAAATGCTAGAGCTATACATTATATATATATAGTCCTGGATTTCACTGGAGAAGAATGTAATTAAAATAGCTGTTCATCTTACCAGTTCTATTTTATTTAAAAAGATGATGCAATTTAGAATGTAATTTTAAGTTTTAGTGTAAAAATGTAGTTCAATTCTACAAGGCAGGCACACTAATTTTTATAAAATTTAAAATTTTGCTCAATATATAAAAATGTTCTACATCATACCGTGTCTCACAATAAAGTAAGTTTAAAAAAAAAATAACCTTTTTGATGGTTTTATAGATGATAGAAATGCTTGTTCTTTGGTATTGTAAAGAAATAGCACTTGAACATAAATTTAATTTCTACTGCTGTGTCCGGTTTCTGTTGGCTGGAACGGGACTTCATGTTCTGTATTTGTCCTGATTGGCTAGCAACTTAGAACTTTTAAAAGAGGCAAAGGCAGAGGAGAACAAAGGAAGGAGGAAGTAACTTGTGGAATGCTGAGAAAGGTAAGAACACTTTCAAATAAGGAAGAGGAACAGGCTATGAGTTAATGCTTGCTTGGACTAGTATAAGCATGCCAGGGCAAATATTTAGGCTAAATTGTGGGAGCTAAGAACATAAAGTACATTGCTTTCTTTATTATGGCTAGCAGATATTTAAGAATGTTAGCACAGGTCTTTGAATACATTTTGCTTCTAAAAGAAGTTACTATTTATTCCTAATTAGACGGGGAGGAAAGTCTTTGAAGAGGACTCTCTACTTTACTTTTTACATAGGGTTTTTGTTTACTGCTAAACTACCCTTATTTTCAAATCCCCAAAACCATCTACAATATTTTGTTTTGTTTTGTTTTTTTTGAGATGGAGTCTCGGTCTGTCACTAGGCCAAAGTGCAGTGGGTGATCTTAGCTCACTGCAACCTCAGCCTCCCGGGTTCAAGGGATTCTCCTGTCTCAGCCTCCTGAGTAGCTGGGACTACAGGCCCGAGCCAGCACACCCAGCTAATTTTGTATTTTTAGTAAAGACAGAGCTTCACCATGTTGGCCAGGATGGTTTCTATCTCTTGACCTCATGATCTGCCCTCCTCGGCATCCCAAAGTGCTGGGATTACAGGCGTGAGCCACCGCACCCAGCTTACACTGGTTTTAAAGCAGCTGGTGATTTGGTATAACATCCCTGAATTCTGTACCTTACTCTTAAGAAGACTTGCTTATTAAGGGCATTTGTACTGTTGAAGCATTGAAGGTCACATTTGGGATATTTTAGACCAGCTCTATTCAATGAAAATATGATGTGAGACACATGTAATTTAAAATTTTCTAGAAACCACATTTAAAAAGTAAAAATAAACTAGTAAAATTACTGAACTCTCTCTATGTATACTATTTTAATTCCAACATGTAATTTATATAAAAATACCAATAAAATATATGACATTGTGTTTTCCTCTCAAAGCCTTCAAAATACAGTGTGCTTTTCACATTCACACAATACACCTCCGTTCAGACCCACCTCACTCTATGTCCTTAGCAGCCTCATGGAGCCTCATAAAGCCCAGTGCTGCGTCAAATAACAGCTTCTAATGCGAGAAATGCTAGAGTCTGATTTGTTTGTTTATTTGCTTTTTTTTAAAGTTTGTTTTGTTTCACCTATTTGTTTTACATATTGGGTCAATTCTGAGATTTTGTCAGTACAATGTAAGTTTCAGTTATTTTTTTCCTTAGTGTAAATAATTCTGTAGCTGTCCCTTTTACATTCCTTCTCATCCCATTTTTGACAAAGGATTTCCAACAATGGCAGACACTGAATCAGAAGAAAAGAAAAGAACAAAGGGTCTTCTACTATATTGAATGATTAATCTCTCGCTCTCTCTCTCTCTCACACACACACACACACCACACCCATGCATGCACGCACGCACATACCCAAATGAGAGGTGACAGCATGCTGGCAGCCCTTGCAGCCCTCGCTCGCTCTTGGGGCCTCCTCAGCCTTGGCGCCCACTCTGGCCGCACTTGAGGAGGCCTTCAGCCTGCCGCTGCACTATGGGAGCCCCTTTCTGGCCTGGCCAAGGCCGCAGGCTGCTCCCTCAGCTTGCGGGTAAGTGTGGAGGGATAAGCGTGGGCGGGAACCGGCGCTGCACATGCGCTGTGGGCCAGCGCAAGTTCCGGGTGGGCGTGGGCTCCGCCGGCCGGCACTGGGATCAGCCCGCCAGCCCGCAAGCCCTGGGCAGTGAGGAGCTTAGCACCTGGGCCAGCAGCTGCTGTACTCGGTTTCTCACCGGGCCTTAGCTGCCTTCCCGTGGGGCAGGGCTCCAGACCTGCAGCCCTGCATGCCTGAGCCTCCCCCACCCCACCCGCATGGGCTCCTGTGTGACGGGAGCCTCCCGGAATAGCGCTGCCTCCTGCTCCACGGCGCCCTGTCCCATCCACCGCCCAAGGGCTGAGGAGTGTGGGCGCACTGCGTGGGACTGGCAGGCAGCTCCAGCTACGGCCGCGGGGCGGGATTCACTGGTTGAAGCCAGCTGGGCTCCTGAGTCTGGTGGGGACTTGGAGAATTTTTATGTCTAGCTAAGGGATTGTAAATACACCAATCAGCACTCTGTATCTAGCGCAAGTTTTGTAAGCACACTAATCAGCACCCTGTGTCTAGCTCAGGGTTTGTGAATACACCAATTGGCACTCTGTATCTAGTTAATCTGCTGGGGACCTGGAGAATCTTTATGTCTGGCTAAGGGATTGTGAATGCACCAGTTGGCACTCTGTATCTAGCTCAAGGTTTGTAAATGCACCAATCAGCACTCTGTATCTAGCTCAGGGTTTGTAAATACACCAATGGACACTCTGTATCTAGCTAATCTAGTGGGGAGGTGGAGAACTTTTGTGTCTAGCTCAGGGATTGTAAATGCACCAATCAGCACCCTCTCAAAATGGACCAATCAGCTCTCTGTAAAACAGACCAATCAGCTCTCTGTAAAATGGACCAATCAGCAGGAAGCGGGTGGGGCCAGATAAGAGAATAAAAGCAGGGTGCCAGAGCTAGCAGTAGCAACCCGCTTGGTCCCCTGTCACTCTGTGGAAACTTTGTTCTTTCGCTCTTTGCAATAAATCTTGCTACTGCTCACTCTTTGGGTCCACACTGCCTTTATGAGCTGTAACACTCACCATGAAGGTCTGCAGCTTCACTCCTGAGCCAGCGAGACCACAAACCCACCAGAAGGAAGAAATTCCTAACACATCCGAACATCAGAAGGAACAAACTCTGGACACACCGCCTTTAAGAACTGTAACACTCACCGCGAGGGTCCATCAGATCAAGAACCCACCAATTCCGGACATACAAACATACTACTTTTCAATTCTCTGATGAGTGGCAGAGTAGTTTAAAATTGCCACAAAATCCAGGGACTTCTATCAATTCAAGATACCATGAGGCTATGGTAACATCAGCGAATGTATTTTGAATATCTACTACATGGATGGCCTTGTGCAGACAGTAGACGACAGCGAGAGGGGACTTACTAAAATGCTTTTAGAGGTCTATTGGGAGAATTTTTTGCTGGATAATTGGTGAGAAAATAGTCACATTCAGAGCCTACGAATCTAAAACTGGGCTGTACATTCATTGGGAATTCAGAAATTCCAGGCAGCTAAGTGGTCTGATCTAGTATTTTGTAACCATATGTACTTTCCACTTTGTGTGATACTGCCAATGAAATGGCTTCCTGGATCCTGCTAGCATCCGTTTTACATAGGCATAGTGGGGAACGAATGTATCTATTGGCAACTCAGGAAGCCAGAATACAAAGAAGTTTGGTAACTTACTCAAGGTCCCATCCAGGAGATGTGAGACCAGAACCATGGGGCTCTGGCTGCCATTCATTTACTTTTTGTAAACTCTATTTCCGTAATCATTTTTGAAATATTTGTCAGTGGGGAAAGGACTTAGAAGTTTATTAGGATTTAATTAGTTAATAAGTTTAAGAAAACACAATGTTTCCTCTGCTATTTCTCCAGACCAGATACCCCCTCTTAAGTGAAGCTTAACTGGGCACCACTCCCTTGTTGAAAGTGTCTCCTCCTTTGGTGGATCTTTCTGTTAACTCCTTCCCTGCTAGAGAGGCTCTAATAATATTTTAGTGGGCACTCACACATGAGTTAGGTAAAACTGCCCCACCCTCTCCTCCTCTGGGCTGAGTCTGCGCTGAAAACAAGCTTCTCCCTACAGCAGTACACACAGTGTTTGTCATGTAGTAAAGTTTCAGTCCCGGCATGGTTTGACTGACACTGATTAGGAGTCTGGGGAGCTCAGACTTCCACTTTCCAGTGACCTTCTGGTGGGCCTGGCATGAACTTCCCTGTTCCCTACCAGTCAGTTCTCTGTCCCAACATGCTTGTGTTTGGCTTCTCCAATGGCATTTCGTGGAACTCCTTGCTTCTCCTGCTTTCAATGCAGCAGGTAAATGAACATCACACTCAATTTCAGCATCAGACCCATCCACACCTCTCCATTGCCTTCACAATGAGATTCTTCTTCCAGCCCTCAATATGGTTCTATGATAGGGCTGCTTATACAGATACTTGATGTGTTTGTCAAAAGGGGGATGCCCTAAACACACAGTGCCTATATTTCAACTCAGCATTTGGCTACACTTCTTAGATTATTTTGTATAAATATGTTCTAGTTGTAGCTGGCTGAAGGATGGGATCAACACACCAGCATTAACCTGAAGAGAGATCTCCCGTGGCCTGACACTAAGCTCTGCCCATGGCCTTGACCTGTTCATCATTCTCATCACTTTATCATTTGCAGGTTGAATCATCATTTGAAGTGTGTTTCAAAAAGGTCATTGTCCCAGAGAGCCAGTATTGCTTGGAGTTGTATAGTAGCAGTTAGGTGCAGAAATGGAACCAGAAGTGCACATACTGAATCTGGAAATGGAAATTTCAGTGGTTTCCAGTTGATTGGAAACTTGTTCCCACAGAGTATACCAGCTCAAACATGAAGAAGTAAACAGACTGCCCAGCAGGCAGATATACCTGGACATTCTTCAGGTGGACAAGCCAAACCCTTTATGAGCATACCTTGGAGCTGGCTTCTCCACCAGTTTTCTACATCTTAGTTAGTGATGTTGTCTTCCATACAGCTCCCCAGTCAGATATCTGAGTATCATCCTCATCTCTCTCTCTCTTTTCCCTACCCTCAGCTTATCACCTGACCTTCTCAATGTCTCACAAATCCACCACAAACATGGGAAAAGGACAGAATCAGGACAACAAGTACAGTTTGAAAAAGCTCTAAGTATGACCCAGATAACTCACCCACCTCCAGTTACCTGGATTCAGAAATGCAGTATTATGGTATGTCATCTCTGCAGGGACCATTCCTATTTAGCGACCCAGCCTTTCCAAACACATTTGGGTTATGTAATAATACAAGTAAAAACAGAGACTTGAGGATCAACTAAAAATCTAACACATATTTCTATTGCCTCTGAGATTTGTAAAAATATTTGTGAACAGGAAATTATATGAGGGATTTTGAACCCTCAACCCAATTAAAGGTTAGAGTGAGCCCCTGCACCTCAGAGGTAATGGCGTTTGGGAGTTTGTATCATGGTAAGAACCACCAAGTGGAACTTTTCCTCTCTGGTTGTTATCTGCTTGTTGAGTTCCAATGTATGGCTTGGGGCTGAGGGGAATGCACAACAATACAGAGAGCCCTAGAGGCCAAAACACAGTCGAGCTGTGCAGACCTCACAACAACTCAGCCAGCCAAAGAACTGGAGAAGAAAATGGCCTGAGGAGGTGATAAAGAATATCTGAGCCCTGGTGTCCGGAGAGAGTAGAAAGGGATTTGGATACATCCCGGCCCTGTTTCCCGAGGCCTTTGTCTCTGTCACCCGGTTTGTGGGGACCTGGATAGGCAGTAGCCATACTTCATGTGGCAGAATGAACAATGTAGGCTGAGGGACAGTTGGCAAAACCTTGGCAGAGTTTTTGATGCTTATTTGAAAACCTTCACCCCAGGCTCAGACCCTAACTTGGATCTGCTGTTCTCCTGTAAAACAGATGAACTTGACACACATCCAGCTTCCCTCCACATACGCAGTTGGTTCCACAAGGAGACTAGGGCTCACAATCATGGAAGGATCTACCACCAGAAAGCATTAGAGAGCCTCGTCTCTTGCAGTCAGAGATGTTAAGCAATGACAAACCCCATTTTACCTCTAGGAAGTTGCTGCTTAACAGAATTACAACTGATTCCTGGATGTTCTGAAGAACGAGGCCAACAGGCTTATGCACTGTAATACTTTCTGCACTGAGGATAAAAATAATTCGCCAACTTCACTGAGATTCAAAACAAGGGTCCCGTATATCTGAATGCATGGCCTCATGCATGCAGCAGCTTCCCTAGAAGAGCTTGTACAGGAGGTCCCAGACCAGAAAGGTCTCGCTGGAATCTGAAGGTCCACTTCTCTGGCAGTCTGTGACCTTTTCTCAAAAATAATGCTTTAAAGCACCTGAGCCAAAATGCATAGAATTACCAAAGAGACCTATTATTTTA
Source organism: Homo sapiens (assembly GCF_000001405.40). Classification (NCBI taxonomy): domain Eukaryota; kingdom Metazoa; phylum Chordata; class Mammalia; order Primates; family Hominidae; genus Homo; species Homo sapiens. The sequence continues at coordinate 38,714,309 of NC_000018.10, read as the reverse complement.
AAAATTTATCCACAAACACCTTTTTCTCTCCGCAAACATTTTAGGAGCATCAGAACTACTGGGAGGGTCCATGGTAATAAAATAGTTTGAGGTAAAAAGAAAAATAAACTATGTATACAGCTGAAATCATGTCTTAGGACTCATCTACTCTTGCAATAACCATACACAACCCTGCCAGTATGCACAAGAGAAAAGAATCCATGAAGCTACCTACACCTTCTGCATTCTAAAGTCACCAAGAGTCGGAGTGGGAAGACAGTCGCATCTGTAAATGAACAATAGAGTCCTTCTAGGGGTGAAATCCTAATCTGTAAGAGTTCAAGCTGACCACTGAGGGCCACGTGGCTGACACATGAGAGGAAAGAAGAGGAGAGGCAAATAGATCTTTTACTGTAGGACCTCACTGCCTTTGTGACACAAATGACAAAAAGGGGAGTTTTGGAAGCCTTGGGAAAAATAGCTTCCACGGCTGACGCTGGGTATCAAGTAATTGCTTAGATCAAGTATTATGCCGGGAGGTCCAGTTCCCCACCCCATCCTGTCTATCCCTGTGTGGGTGGACACTAATAATGAATAATCCCTCGTGGAAGAGGCAGTAACCAACAGTGCCACTTTTCTTGAATTTTCTATAGGGAACCATCTCAAATTGTTGGTATTATATATTACTTTGCTCATACTGCAGCTTGGTCCTAAGTTTATTCTTCTTGAGTCCTGTGGTCTTGCAATTGTTTTTAAGACCATAAAGTCCTCTTAAAAAAAAAACTTGCTGACCCTCTGTTTTTATGTATTTAGTTAGTTGCATTTCATGTATGTCCTGATGTGGTATTAGATCCACTCAAAATAGGAATCATAAAAACCTTCCTTTATATTAGGACAGGTAATTTCATTTTCCTAAAATGAAAGCCAGTCCCTTTACTGTAACCCCCAGCACACACATATTCCTGAATTCTGGCTTTGCTGTGAGTTGGAATGCTCTAAGGGAGCTGCCATCTACAAAACCATAAACCCATAAACAAACTCTCTGAACACCAAGGATAAGCTTTTTGTTATTCTCCTTTTTTTCTGTGGGTTTGGCTATTGAATTGCAATGACCACTGTTTCTTTTAAATGCACTTTATGCTACTTCCCATAACTGCTTATTTTTATCATCTCTTTTCACTGATAGAAGCTTCCAAAATCACTGCTTCGGCCCGTCCCTCTGTTGCCTCTCCCACAGTGAAGCACGGTGATTTCTCACAGTACCTGCTCAGGGAGATGGAATAAGGAGCTATTACAGCTTCAATTGGAAACTGTGGAAAAATCAGAAGAAGTCATTCTCAGATAGTTAACTGCATTTGGTCCAAGATAAACTGCATGAAATGGAGCATTTGGGTCATTGGATAGATGTGGCAAATAGCAAAATATAATAAACAGACTCCAGTCTTCCCATCCAAAACCCACTAAACAAAAGAAGTACTTTGCGTGGCTGCCACAGACACCCAGATAGGTTTTTATTTCTAAATATTGTGATTAATCTTTCAGTGTCCAGGGCTTGGGGAGGACCCAAAACATCACTGCCCAGTGAACTTCTGTAAACTCACATCTTCATTAAGGGTGATATAATCTATACCTTTGCAGATTCGTTTACCCTTAAACCGTCCAATTGTCATTTTATGGGAGGTGTTTAGGGCCCCTAAAGCTCTGAACTATTTTAATGAGCCATCTCAGGCTTCTGTTTCTTTGTGAAAACAGTAAAAAATTGGGGCACCTCTTCCATAAACTCTACTAAGTAATAGAGGATGAGACAGGAGCCTAGGTTACATGACGCAGTCTCAATCATATTTCTGTGTTGGATTGGTCCCTTGATGAGAGAGTTTGAATACCCAAAGTTTCCTTATGCTCAGCTTCTATACTCCACTGAGGTCACTGGCTTCCTTCTATACAACACCACCTCCTCCTTTTTCTCTCCCTCTGGCAATCTGTTATGAACTATTCCTTTTGCTCCATCAGGAAATTTCTCGGGATGTCCACCTAGTCCTGTCCACATTTCCTACTATATATTGGTCAAGCCCATGGAAAATCTAAGCATTTCTGCCCCACACCAGCCCCCACCACACATATATGAAAAAAATTGACATTTAACATGTGAATCTTGGTGTCAAGTCCTGGCTTGCCTGACCATGAACTGTATACTGTTAAAGAATACCAGCTGGGATCTGGGACAAATCTGTGGGTCTTGCATATCAGCACAGGTCCAACAGAGATGGGGAAGAGAAGCCAGCCTCAGCCTGGTAGATTCGTATCCTCCATCCTTCCAACATGACCATATAGATGAAAAGAAACCTCATGATCCCCTTTATCCATAAAGAGGACAAGGAAGAGAGACAAAAGGAGAAAATGCTATGAAAATTACCTTCATCAGATTTTTATCCTCCAGATGTCTTTTTTAGCTATTTTTCTATATCTTCTGAGGCTGAAAGAGCTATATCCACTTAGCTGCATTCCAGCCTTATAGTGGATACTGAGGTCTAATATTGCTTATATTTTAATAGACAATAAATGCCATCTCTTTGCCTGTGCTGTGAGTTGCCTACAGAGTAGCCCTAACCCACTCTCTAGGCAATAAAGAATCTGATGTGGGGCTCCACAACCCAAATAACAGAGGAAACACAGAGATAAGGAAAGTGTGGAATGCTCCAGAAGAAATCCTGTGTTTAAGGAGTGGGGGAATCATGTGTGCAGCAGACTGCAGGAGATAAGTTACACAATCCAAAAATTCTGTTGGAACCAGTAAGGCTGTGTGGAAATAAAATTCTGCAGACTGTGAAACGTTTGGTATCCTCCCCCACTCACCTTGTCCCATTTCTGGCCCTGGAAATGCCCAGAGTCTTTTAGCCGGGCTCTACTGGCATGCCCTCTCTTCAGCCCTCGCACCTACAATTGACCCATATTAGTTGGCAAGAACAGAGTAAGAGTGCCACTATATTTGCCCACTATATTTTGTGTGACCTATTTGTTATACCAACATAGGTATATAAGTAAGTAAGATGTCAGGGTGGAGTTCTCTCTCCATCCCACATCATCTGTGACATTGGGAAGTCACTTAGCAGCAAGGATGAAATCCCTATTACCTTATCTGTGAAATAGGATGAGAGTAATACCTACCTCATTGGGTTATTGTAAGGATTAAAGGAGATAACATGAATGCTTAGAAGAGTTTCTGGCACATCTTAAGCCCTCAATAAATGTTAGCTGCCATCATTATTTTTATTAAACGATTATGGTTTAATATGTAACACTTCCCAAGGGAATTTTAAAGGATTTCAATTCTCGAACCCAGAAGTATTGGGTTTCAGTGATGGAATTCCAAACACCTTAAAAAGCCTATATGGCTACAAATTCAGGGCTTTTTTGGTGTGTGATCATGGAATTATAATCTGTCTGTCCACGTTTAAGTTTACTAGTGGATCCATGTCTGAGGTTAATTTATTTTTTTAATTTCATCTCTAAACTAAAGATAGTTTCCAGTTTTCAATGTGATTTGAGAATGTGGGGACTTGGAAGGCATAGCTTTGAACAGCATTGGCCTATAAACAAATGCACTGAGGCATGTTACTGAAGGCAGGCTCTGCATCTCAGGAAGGGGCATTAATTCATTTTTATGCAAGAAAGCCCATTTCCAATTATTAATGAATATTTTTAATCCTGAAAATATCGTTCAGACTTAGTCACACATCACTGAACCCATTTTGTTTAAAAATTTAAAAAAAATCATTGTGACTGAGGTTAATCCTTGCTTTTAGATTTTCTTTTGAAACAAAGAAAGTATAGTGTTCTTAATAAAGGCAACTATCAAGCTTTGAACTAAGTATGTTTAAAATGGTCACAAATAAATTCCAGTGTCCTAATTTTAGTTTACACATCAAACATCTATGTTGATGTCTACCATGCTGTCATTCGTGTATACATTGATTTGTTTAATAATTCATTCATTCTCAGCATACATTTGGTCCGGTAAGGGCTACCAAAAGAGGTAAACACTACAAAACAGCAAAGAAAAGCCTCTTAGAAATACTTAAAAATTGGAATAATCGAAAATGTTAATGAAACAGTCATTATAAAAGTAATATCGAGATCAATTAAAGCCATTGTTGATGTAGAAGGGGATCCCTGGAACTACAAGGAGGAAGAAAAACATAATAGAATATAAAAAACTATTTTTATATGAAAATATACTATACATGACAGCAAAACTCAAACAACAGATTAGGAAAGATACAGATGAGAAACAGTTTAATATTTTTAACACACATACAATTCCTATAAACCTGTAAGAAAAAGAATCTCTATTTAAAGGTCTGCCTTAACGTTATTTTAAAAATATTTGTACCGAGGTGATAAAATTGTTCTGTTATTTCTAGCCATTGGTCAAAGTGTTTGCACTCTGTACTCTGTAATGACAGAATAAGCATGGGAGATGGGACATGGGGGGGGGGGGGTAAGAAATCATGGTCCAGTTCAGATGCTCAAGAGTGTGTATCTATTGATCTGTTTTCAAAATGACTGATTTTTAAAAATAAAAATATTGCTCCTTTCATTAATCACCAATCAAAACTTTCATCTATTAGGACCATTCATGATTTCCTTCACAATCATCAGGGTATTGTTTCACCCAGCAACACAAATCAGGTTTCATATGAAAGAAAATAGGTACCTCCCTTCATGTTGTCAAATGCTCTCTCACACAAGAAAACTCCCCTTTTCATAAAAGTATATACAGTGTTTCTTCTACTTGCCTTAAATATGCATTAGCGATGTGTCTGTTTTACTAGGCTCACTTTTATTTATTTTTTATAATTTCAACTTATGTTTAGGATCCAGGGGAAATGTGTGCAGGTTTGTTACATGGGTATATTGTGTGATGCTGAGGTTTGGAGTACGAATCCTTTGTGTGCTTACTCAGTGCATTAGTCATTTACATCATACTTTGAATTCACCTGATCACCGGCTAGACAAATACAAGGAGAAAATTCGTACATTGCTGGCATATAAGAGTGTTAGAAATGTGGTATAGGAGAGGCAAAAGGAAATTGCACAACTTCGGTCCAGGCTATGAGTCTTGCCCTTCCCCAAATCTGACTTCTCTTACCCCATCACCAAGTTCTAACAGCTGTCTGAGGAATGGTGACTTATGGCCAAGGAGAAACTAACTGTCAATGCTGTCTGATATTTGGAAAACATAAAAATTCTCCTTGTATTTGTGTAGTCATCATTTTCCAATTTCCTGTGATCCAAGTTATTTATGAGCTTTTTAGTGTGGCCAGCACGGGGCTGAGTACGGCCCCCAGAAAAATGTGGTTATAGACCTTGATGCCTGCTGGTTAAAAATACACGGGGCTCTTATAAATACACAGACACTGCCTCTGGTCACTCACAGGGCTATTATCCAGATGCATCCCTGCCTTACCTTGAGGATGTTGTTCTCAGATTACAGATTTTACTGTCCTTTCTCTGACCGTGTAGAAAATAAAAGAAAAAGGCAGAAGGAAATGAAAAGAGACCAACCATTAGCCTCACACAGTTCATGACGGGCACAGGAAGAATAGAAGAGCAGGGGACGACAGATGGGGCCAGGCGGGACGAGGTCGGAGAGGAGTCAGGTTCAGTGGAGGAGAGTATGAAGCCATAGGTAGCTCTGGCCATACAATCAAAGAAAGTGTAAGCACATCTGGGGAGAGAAGGAGAGTAAGTCAATCACAGTAAATGTGACAATGTGTGAAACACCTCCAATTCCCACTCTAGGCTCTAAAGTTATTTGAAATACATTTTTTTCTTTCCTACTTTATACTCATATTCATCTTGAAGAAAATCAATTCTAAAGTAAAATAATAGAAAACCCAAATTTTGCACAGGAACTGTGGAGTCTAAAGTTTTAACGTTTATAAGAAATGGCAGCACCAGGTCTGGTCTTATGCATGTGAAAGTCATGGAGCTCAGGGTTTTGGAAACCTGGCCTTTACCCAGCATAGCCAGGAGCTACTGAGCACAGTGCAGCCTCAGCTGGTTTATGATTCTCAGAGCAAACATCGCCCAAGTGGAGCTGCTCTTCAAAAGTTCAATTTACAAGGGGATAAATATTATTTTGGAAAAGAGAAAACAAAAAAAGTTCTTAACGAAATCTAATATATTCTGGAAACAGTCCTAGACACTAAGGATGAACTACCATGAACACTCAGCAGACAGGAAACTTACCTTCATATGGCATAGACTCTATTGGGAAAAATGGTTGCTGAACTTTGGTGGTAAGTGCTATAAAGAAATCACTGCAGGGTGGGCAGACAAGTACTGATGAGGGATGTTACTATATATATGGTAGTCAGGGAAGCCTGTTCTAGGTGGGTGACAATGGAGCAGAGATCTGAATAAAATAAGGACAAAAACCTGTGGTATTAAATGAGTCCTACAAGCAAGACTCTTCTTCCTATTCAAGTTCAGAGACATGAATTAAGAAATGGAAATTAAGAGATGGGAAATGTATCAGTCAGCATTCCAGCAGGAAGGATATGCCACCCTTTAAAGGGTAGTCAAAGTGGAATTGGTTTAATGAAGAGATAATTAACAAAGGTGTAATGGGTTAAGGATAACCAGCAAAGTGTTGACCATCACAGGACTAACAACAGGGGAAGCCACATTACCCTTAGACCTGGAGATCTGGGTAGGGAGAGCAGTTATCAGTCTGGTCAAGAGAGAGAGTTAGAAATGGATAGAGAAAGAAAGCGAGAGACAGACAGACTGCAGAATAGAAGTTGTGGCCTTCAGAACAAGAATGTAACTGTCCTAGTCTGTTTGTGCTAAAACAAAATGCCACAGACTGGGTAATTAGTAAATAAAAGAAATATTATTTGTCACAGTTCTGGATGACAGGGAGTCCAAGGTTAAGCCATCAGCATTTGGTTTCTGGTTTCTGTTCCTCATAGATGATGCTGTCTAGGTGTCCTCACATGGCAGAAGGGGCAAATATGGTATCCCTACGTAGCAGAAGTTAGAAGAGCAAAATAGGGCCTAAGCTAATTTCCTCCATCCCTTTCATAAGGCATTCTTCCATTCATAATAGCAGATTTCCCGTGACCTAATCACTTCCCCAAAGCCCACCTCTTAATACCGCCACAATGGAGATTAAGTTTCAACACCTGAATTTGGAAGAACATTCAGACCGTAGCTGTAACTACTGCCAAGTGATAGCCTTGCAGGAAAAGAGTGGGAGGAAAACCTCAACCTCACCTTTCTCCTATCCTCTGATCTTATGCTGGTGCCTCCCATCGGTCAAAGCCAAATGGAAAACAGCAGGCAGAGAAGCCCTTGACAGAGAGCAAAGGTGAAAGTTAGAGAGTAGGTAAGAAAGCCAAATGGAAAATATCCAGTATGAACAATTTTTAAAGCATGTAGCATTCAAAACAAAACCTTTGATACTTATAATGCTGATATTAAGGAACTGGAAGTGTATGGATTCTGATGAAAAGGAAATATGCATGTCTTGGATCACTGGGAAGAAGGGAACCAGTGCTGAAAGGGAGCACTAAGAGGAAGTACAGAAAGAGTAGTAACAGAAACCCAAAGCATACATCATTTTCTCTGCTCACAATGGTTTCTAGAGCTGGCTGTCTGCTCACAATGGTTTCTAGAGCTGGCGAGGGGAAGGTGGATAGAGTCCACGACACTATAAGCCGTGTTATTTCCAGCTGCCTCTGAAGCCTTGGGTTTTATCTCTGATCTGCAGTGTGCTGTCATGTTCTGCGATTGTAATAATAGCAGCAGAGATAAGCACTTTTGAAATAGATTGCTGTGAAGATGAATAGACTGGATGGCTTCACAGCACCTTTTCCAGTTGCAACTTTCATGTTAACTAATGCAACATTTCGTTTATTTAAAATGCACTGAGATATTCAAAATAAGAAAAAATTGTTCTTAGCTGGACTTTGATTAAAGTAATGGGTACATTTAATCTGTTTCCACTAATTAGAGCAATTCAATTTAAAAAGAAACTTGGTTACCCCAAATTAAATGACTATCTCTAATTGAAGTATATAGGTGCAGTTTAAATTAGCCCTATAGCAATGACCTCAAGTAGAACTCTTAATAGTTTGTCCTATTGATTTATGAAAAATTCTTGTCATCTAAGTGGTAATATCACTGGACCTACTTAGGAAGCACATGTGTTTTCGCAAATGAAGAGTGAGTCGTATAACCCAGGCAGGTCCCAGACCTTCATTTTGCCAGATGAAATAGTAACCCAACCCTAAATCTGTATCAAGTACGTGCTGTGTATCAGGAGAAGAAACTAAAGCTCAAGGAGTTTAACCCTAATTGACTCTATTAGAGACAACCAGGGACAGGAACTTGGAGAATCTTTGTCCTAGACTTGGATTTTCTGCATTGCCCTGAACTCCCTTCAGATTTCACAGTACACTTCCATTCCTGAATAGATTTGTGGGGAAGAGACATTTCCCCACAGGGGTCGGCTAGGTGATATAAATGTGTCTCTCAAAAAATAAACACCATAAACGGTGTGGCCTGTGATAAACTGAAGAGGATAAGTTTCTCATTAAAGTATGCACATCCAATTTAAAAAATAAAACAAAAAGTATATTGTCACTGAAGCATATCTGTGGGCTGGATTCGGCCTGAGACCTGCCAGGAGGCCCACCTTGAAAATTAGGCTTCTTAGAAAATAATTCTTTCTCTACAATTGTGCATGATCCTAACTGAAACCTTTCTCTCCTTCCCTGCCTACAGTATTGTCTTTCTTATTTAAATGACTTCATGTTTTTCACCACTAAAATTCTGTGTTGATATTAGCAAATTTTAGGCATAATTCATTTTCAAAATGGCTGCCCACACACTGACAGAAAGAGAAAGGTAGGATTGAATTTAAGTATTTACATGGGATTCCAAAGTGTTTCTGATATTTACAATAAATTGAAATACCCATAAGAGTAGAGGCCAAGAGAAAACTTACTACTTTATGTACTTCCTGAAGCATAACATATATTAAACATCCCATCGTGCTGTCAAGTGCCAAATATTCAGGTCTATTTCAGAGGGGTCCAATGTTTTGGCTTCCCCAGGATACACTGGAAGAAGAAGAATTGTCTTAGGCCACACATAAAATACACTAATGATAGCTGATGAGCTAAAGAAAAAAATTGCAAAAAGGCCTCATTGTGTTTTTAAGAAAGTTTATAAATTTGTATTGGGCCACATTCAAAGCTGTACTAAGCTACATGCAGCCCATGGACCATGGGTTGGACATGCTTGTTCTATGTGTTCAACGGGAAGTAGTAGCAACTTCTGGAAGAAAACAAAGCCAAACTTTGTAACTATGCCGAGAAATGATTCAGCATGATTTCATATTTCTGCACTTAGCCTGTCTATGCTAGAGTCTTATATTTGAGAAATATGGCTAAAATATGTTACAATTAGAAGTTTTTGAGATAATAAAATCTGCAAATAGCTATAACTACAGCCTTCCCTCTCTTGAAAGGTGTAGCCATTTTATATGTCTAACAGAATGATCCACTGTAACATGGAGAGAATCAGATATTCCATAGACATTGACTGTCACAAAAATAAATTGAATAAATGAGCAGTTGAAGTTTATAATTATGTCTAATGGACTTGTCTGTAAGTCATACACATAAACACACACAGAGAACTATTCCTCAATAACTCTGGAAATATTTAATCCTTAATTTATGCCAACTGAAAATTTAGGCAGGGAATAAAAATCTGATAATGTATGAAATTCCATCCTTGAACACTTTTAGGAAGTTTTTCAATGCAAATGCTTTGTATGTCTCATATCAACATCTGCATTTTCATATTTCCATGCATACAAAGTATGTATTGAGTAACATGATATTTACAATAAATTTGAATACCCAGAAGAGAGAACACATACTGTCTGCTATGAACATAGGAGAAATGGTTCTCTCTCAGTTTTATCTTCAAAATGTTCATAAATTAGTTAGGGAAAGAGGACTTGAACATAATAAAATTACTAAATTTATGAGTTTAATTGTTGAGTTTATAGTATAAAAAATAAGTGCTATTGTTCCAATATTGTACCCTGGTGGGGATAAGATTGTCCCATGGAATAAATACTTAGTCTTGTGGTAGACTAGGTGTTTCATCACTTATTTAAGAAGCATATGTTGAATTCCCATGCTCCAGGCAGTGGGTTCTTTGCTTTGTGGTGACAGTACAAAAAACTGACAGTTTCAGTCTTTAGGAATAAAGGAAGGTATATACTCGTCTTGAAATATGGGTATCATGTGGTTAAGTGGAAAGGGGATGGGGAAGGCACTCCAGAATTATGAAAGCAGGTCACACATGTGGGAATGAATGAGTGAGTTGGATTTGGAGAAGAGCCTGGCTGAATAATTTATTAATCAGATGGGTAAGAGGTATGTTTATAGATAGTCACAGCCATATTGCAGAAGATCTCCTTAAATTTGATATTTTTCCCATTGAAAGCCACTGTTTATCAGAACTTTTTTGAAGTCTATGTCTTACTCCTTTGACTTTACCTCAGCAATCTAAGGCAAAATAATTATGATACAATTGATAGTAATTATTGGTATTGATACATATAGTACCTATTTCATTGCATTATCTCATCTTGTCATCTAAATAAGTCTGGGGAAAATGGATAGCACTGTTACTACCTTCTTTGAATTAGGAGGAAAAAGACAAACAGAAAACAAAAAGAGGTTCACCTTTGGTTACTTAGACTGCGGCCATGCACAGATGGCCAAACTCCTAGCCTAAGACCCTTGGAGCAAAAAACAAAAATCGTAAGTGTGTTAAAAACACATATATTGTAAGTATCAATGATTGAAAAAAAAAACAAATTTCAAAGTTTAAACTAAAAGTCTTCATTTTATATATTTTTAATTATTTCTACTGTATAAGTAACTGCTATAGTCTGGAAAGTCAGTCTATCTGAGCAGTAGCCTTATTTTACCCCAGGAGCAGGCACAGTGCACTGTTTATTCTGAAAACCCATACTTTAATCCCATAATCTCCCTTCATTACTTGGTTAGCATGTCTCTGTGGGTTGACACAATGTGTGTGAGTACTGGGAGAGAAGGTTATCAACTAGAAAAATCCCTTGATCATTATCTGAGCTCGATATGGCCTAGAACCTAATCGATCACTTTTTAAAACAATCCAAGTAATATAGTGAGAGATGGGGATTGGAGGAAGAGTCCATTTAATGACAATAAATAGCCATGTCTCAACTCTGCTACCGGATTGAAGTAGGGATTTATTGAAATATGTATGTGAAATTATAAATAATTTTCAATGAAGAAAGAATGATAGGATGAACTGGAAATCCATACTCCTAGCCCTCTCCAAGGAAATGGGAGGATTTTGATTTCCAAATAATATAATCAAAAGTGGCATCACTACTCCTAGAGGGAAAAGAAAGCTGGTTAAAGATGCTAAGAGCCAAATTCTCTATACGATGAAGGTTTTTTTTAATCTTTCTTTTCTTGCTTTATTGAGAGGGTCAACATCAAAATCATGCTAATAGGGGAATACATTTTAATCAAATGTTGTGTATTCTGAGAAAACCCAGTGTTTGTATCTTGAGTAAATGAAAATCAACCATTGATTTTTCCAATATAGAAGCTGATTTTAAGTGATAACACCTTCCCTACTTTTATAAGTAGAAATCTCAAGGTTGTAGAACTTAATTTCACCACCTTGCAAACCTTTCCATTATTGTTTGACAAAATTTTATGAAGTTTGTCATACAATAAAATCCCAAGTTTATAAAATCCCAGAAAATATCTAGGGACAAGCTTTTTCCTCTTCTATGGGAAGAGGTAGAATTTTCTTGAAAGAAAGGTCTATGTGCAAAAGAAAAAGGGAGGGAGAGAAAAGGAAAGAGGGAAGGAGGAAAAAGTGGGAAGGGAAGAGGGGGAGAGAGAAAAGATAACTCATCAGTAGGAAGCCTGAGAAAGACTTGATTCTCTGAGTCAACCATCAATCCTGCCTCAAGCTACCAAAGAGTTTCCTAGAAGACAGAAGAGGAGTACCTTTCTACTTCAAGTCACACATCCAAAGATACTGTATACTATTTTTATTAACAATGTTAAATATGAAGTTGTAATCCGTGAGCAGCAACGAGAGATCTGGTTGCAAACTGAGTCATGGTTTGTCGGTGGTAATTATATGGTAGGATCATATTTGTGTTTCATATTCAATAGATTTAAAATTTTGATATATCCAGCAAATAGCAGACTATCAGGAACAGACTATTGCCAACTATTTTCACTGGAGACCAAAATGAAAAACAGAATTCTGAATCATATAATTTCAATAAATGATTGGTCTGATGGAATTAATGCATAGAATGATACATTTATTCATTTTATTCTCAGAGAAAATATATATAATTTATCCACTGAACATCAGAAGATCTTACTAAAGAGAGTCAGAATAAAGAGATTAGTGTACACTGAAGCACTGCACAATTAGATCCTCCAAAGAGGATAGGAATCATAGCTAACAAATACTGAGTGTGCTAGGTACTGGTCTAAGGTCATTCCATGAATGTATTCACTTAAGTGGGGTGGAGGTGGGGGGCTCAACTGTTACTTCCATTTCACACATGAGTAAAAGAGGTGTAGCGAGATTAGTCCACTTGACAAATGTGATACAGGTAGTAAGTGGATGATGCTGGATTTACTGCAGATCGTCTGGCAACCTAAGCATCCTAGATGCACAGTGATCTTTCTGCTGATTGAGACACAGAGCTTCCAGTGAGGCATCCGAAAAGATGAGATCTGGAACTCCACATCTTGACAGCTCCAGCTGGTTCTAGCAGAGCCAACACAATGATATGTGTATTAATGTCCACTGAGCCTGGACCCATCCACCGTAACTATACCATAGAACAGGAAGTGTTGTTCTTATGTTTGTCTTCACCAATCATCTAGCATGGATAGGCCTGCAGTTAATATTTTTAGTTTATTACATGGATAAATCAGTAAATCAGTAAACCACTGATTGGATTAGATATTTAGGCAGCTGGACTTGGCCTGAAGCTAATCTCTGAGGTGCTCTCACAGAACCAGGGTTTGGAAACTCCTTAATCACTCATACAATTTTCTGTGGAATATTGTAGAGGAAGACAACTTTCCACATTTCTTTTCCTTTCACTTTTCCTAATTTCATTCTAAGTGTTTTGCGATGATCTTATTGTCACCATATCACTTACCCCAAGAAAGCCACACAGACCTCATGATTGTTTTGTTTTCTTTTTCTTTAGAATGTAGTATGCTTATTGACTTGTAGACTAGCTGGATTTCCATAGGTAATCTTTTGCAGGACTTGTATTAGCATGTCATCCACATAGGGATCCATTTAGAATCATCATGAATCGATTTGCTAGAGCTTATGTTTTTTCAGTCTTTGGAATTATATCCTAGGAAAACAGAAAACACATTCTTTCCTGCTGTATGAAATATGCAGGAGACTACTTTGGGTTACAGTGCTCTTTTGCATTCGCACAGATGCTGAAAAGCAAATTCTCAGCTGGTCGGTCTCACTTAGAAGGTGTGCTTCACTAATAACTGTGTATGGGGGAGCACTGCCAACTCAAAATATAACAAGTTAAACTGCATGTTTTATTAGCATTATTCTTAATGCTAATGTAATGTCTATCCACGAAGGCAGCATTGTTAGATTGTTAGTACAGTAGATTGTAATGACAAAAGGAATTAGATGGGTTTTCTATGTTAAATCAATCATTAAGCAGTGCTATAATTATTTGCTGTTGGGAACGCTCTTTTTTCTATTGTAAAATTGACACAGTCTATGAAAGTAATTGCTGTGTTTTCATCCTAGGGCCCTTTAAGATTAGAGTCTGGGAGGAAGATGTGGCACTTCTAATCCTTCTGACATTTCAGAGGGACTATCCTGGCAGGAATAATATCACATCACCATGTAATTAATCAGTGCATTTTTCCTGTGGTCTGTGAAACCCATGTTTCCCTCTGTATTTGAGAGACAGAAAGGTGGCATGTTCGAACCTTCTGTAGCTTTAAGTACAATGTGATTTTGGGTCCAATTATATTCTTGGCCAATTTGACCTTTTCAGGTTGCATATTCAGACCATTTCACTTATTCGGGGGGTTGAAGATTTTAGGCATCAATGTATGTGGGTTTGAAATCATTGGATACCTGTTTCCTTCATTTCCCTGTGAATAAGAAAGTCTTAAAGAATCTAAGCTGGTAATGATGACATTGCATTAGAAAAGAAAAACCTTTATTAGAGAAAATGGCATGCCTTCACCTCACAGATAAGGCCAGCATAGCAGGAACCTTTGTTAAAGTGCAATAACTCTCTCCTCTCCTCTCCTGTCCTCTCCTCTCCCTCTCTTTCTCTCTCTCTCTCTCTCTCTCTCTCTCATGTGTGTGTGTCTGTCTGTCCCTGTCTGTCTCTCATTCTATAATAAATGTAAAGAACTTATATATCTATGTGTGGGATTGTGATAAAATAATCTATGTTTACTTTATGGGTAATTTGCCTTTGAGATAGGTACACCAAACTATGTGTGGTTTTGATGTTGCATGGTATTATCATTAATATTAATATCAACAAAAATGAAAGAGGGACTCTTATTTGCAGGGTAATGGAGCAGATACTGTGGGAGATGCACAAGAAAAGGATATGATTTCTTTTCTCCCAGTCCTCCAAGAAAAACACACAGCAACTAGTAGCTAGAGTAGAGAAGAAAATATGATAGGATCATAGAAGTTGAATAAATGTGAATTCAGAGAAGAATAAAATATCATGTGCATAGGATATTCAAAGATAGATTCCTGTAAGAAGTGAGATCTTTATTTGGATCTTATTTTGTAGAAAATGAGAAACTCATGGATGTTTTTAAGTAGAGTCATACTATGTGAGAAGTAGTGATTTAGTGAAATTAACGTGGAGTCATTGTTTGAGTAGGAGAGGAAACACAGGAAATAAAGGGAGTAGGTTACCTGCTATGAAAGGTTTCCATCTTAATAGTGTAGGACTATATGGCGTCCCTTAGATCATGGGAATAGTTAAGTCTGAAATAATTAAATTAATATATATTGAGATCTAAGGGCGAGCACTTCAAGGAGATGCAGGAAGCATTCTGAGTGTCCATCATTAGAAAACTTTCCAAAACATTAAAACATTAAAGTGCACATGGTGAATGAATGGTATATGTAAGCATTGAGTGTGTGTGTGTGTGTGTGTGTGTGTGTGTGTGTGTTTGTAAATCTGACACTATAACTTTCATGTATTTTATTTCATTCTATTTTATCCTTCCAACTCTTGTCAAGTGGTTAATATTAACCTCATTTTATAAATTTGGATGCTGAGATCCATTTGTTCAAGTCAAATAAATAAAACAAAACAAAGTGACAGAAATAGTACTCAAACCCAGGCCTTCTGACTCCATATATTTTATTTTTTCCACTCAGAATTTCCAGGCTACAAGTCAGGAAAGGGAAATTTATTAAGTCTCTACATGCAAATGTGAAACTTTTGTAGTTAGTTATTTTTCAAATCTGTGCTAATGAGATAGATTGGGAAGCAAAAATATGGGCTTAATTGCAGTTCACAGGGTGAAAATGCACTGTGACTGCAAAAGGTTCTTGTCTGTGGCAGGTGCTGCTTAACGATTCATCATCTATTAAGGCGAGACCGTGGAAAAATACAATAAGGCTGTGATTTTCAAGAATCATAATTCAATTTTTCAAGGAAACAGAATAGATAGTGTGGACTTTATGAGAAATTCAGAAAGTATTTATGACTCTTTATTTGGTTGGCTTTTATTTATTTGGTTGTTTTTCACTTTGCTGTCTCCTCCCTTAACCTTCTCACAGTCAGGGATTTTCAATGTATGTATATTCATATGCTCACCAAAGGAGGCCTGACTTGCCCTCCCAAGGGCAGGCCTTTGTTCTAGCAGGTCTTTGATGTCCCTTGTACTGGGTGCTTCCCTGTCGGTCCTTAGTTCTCTTTGTTTAGGGCCCCTGATTTCCTCAGTTCCACTCCCCACCTCAAATCTAAGCTTATTAGTCTCTCAGCTGCAGTTTCAGCTACACCCAGGGCAGGAGACATGAGCCTCAGGACCTCCCCTCCCCCGATGGGGGGACTTCAAGATAACATCATCATCACAGCAAGGTCAACCTACTGGACAAAAATCTAACCTCTTTATTTTCACAGGATTCCTCAGGTCCCAGCTAAACCTTACCCTACAATATCCTGGATCTAGGAATGGAGCTCCTGACCTTAATCACCAAGGCCTGATGCTCTCTATGGTCTTCATTCTTAGACTGACCTTTTGCTTTAGTCCGTGTCTATTACATGAGAAAAGGATTTGGTTCTTTGTTTTTTCCAAAGTATTTTCTTGGGGACTGGAAAATGTCTCATAAAGCTCCTCACTGACACAATGAACAAGACACAGCACACACATGAAAATTTTCATTAAAGAGCTGCAAAGAGAAGAGATATTTACCCTGAGATGCCTGGTTTTACCAAGAATATTAGCAAGTGAAGAAAGCAAGCCACAATACCTTTTACATGATTTCAAATGTCATGCAATAAAACACCAGTCCACAAATTTACAAGAACAATTACAAAGTAATATCTATTAAATGCAGTAGAAATATTTCCTCTAGGATGGGGGTTATGAGAAGACTGAGTATGAGTATTTTTGTAAAAGCTAGTATATCAATTAAGAGATACCTCTTGTGGCCTTATGATCAAGATGTGCCTTTATGTGAGTAGTATGACCAAGTGGAGGCTCTAATATCTGAAAAGGCAAAATGGAAAAATAATAAAAATAAAAAAGAATGGTGGTGGTTTATTATCACATTTTCTTCTAAATTTCAATTTAACTTTCACTTTTAATTCACCATTTAAATCAGGTAAATTCACTCTGCAAATATAATCAAGGGATGTTCATATTGTATTAATAGATTGCTTTAGTTTTTTAGTTCTCACAACTTAATTATTTAGCGCCCAATTCCCTTATTTAATGTTAGCATATTAAGGCAAAATCTAATTTGCAGTAAGCAGCTTGAGGCCACAGAATCACAAAAAAGAGTAGATGGAGGCCTGTGAATATGTTGAATTTTTTATTTTGTCAGTGCATCTAAGAAGCTGATGGATGTAGTCTTGCGTCTTTCAGCATTTCGGTTGAGTAAAGCAGGGTAGATATTTAGCAGGGATGCTTGCATTTTAAGAATATTTAGTAGTTCCCCGTCTGAATAGGGGGCAATGTCTGTCACTGGGCCAAAAATACATTAGATATGAGCAAAAAATAAAGGAGAAAAGAATTACACAAGAAAAAATGAGTAAAATTTTGTCGCATAGAAGATGATTGGTAAATAAACATTTACAGGCCATTTCTGCTCTAGCAGTGTTGAATGTATCTAATCTACTCATGACGCCCTCCCTGTTCATACTGCTGTATGTTTCTACCTCAGAATATATTCTTAGACTGAGGTGGAGACAGCTAAACTAAGTAAAAGGTAAATTAAGGCAAATTAGAAAAGATTTATTCAGAACACCTATTATGGGTCGGCCATTTGCCGGACACTGTAGTTGACAATAACTGGAAGAGAATCCTCATCCTCAGCAGCAATCCTGGTAAGGAACCCCTCAGTGCTTTTGGGGTTTAGATAATCACTAATTCCACCCCCCATCACCCCTCACATTAAACAGCTGTACAACAATGTGTCAGTGTGGAGTCAAGAACTGCTTTGGATCTTTACATAAAACCTGGAGTTGCTAGAGGACTTAAACATAGAAGCAATGAGGTTGTCAACATGTAGGGAAGGTTTGTTCTTAACTGCTGAGTGACTGGAGAGGCTGTGGCTAGGCAGGAACAGTAGAGTAACCTTGGCATTTGGATTTGAAGGGAGGGATGTAGAGGGATGTTCAGCTTGAAACTCTCCCAAATGCTTTATGAAACCATATGAGTTTGGCGATTATAAAAATAACACTCACATATAATGATTGTCTCCTCTTAAAATGAGATCTGAGCGCCAGTTTGAAGCTCCAGTGATGGGTAATTCAGTGGAAGCTGCCTTTGGCAACTTGCAAAGAACTGTCTGAGGATACAGCTTTGCTATTTCTTAGTAATATTTGTCTTTAAGGAGAAGAAATGAGTCACGGTCAAATTTCACAAGTCCCTGCCTTAGACTGATTGAATCATCCACTATGCCCAGCTTCTAGCCTCCTCTAAGTCAGTCTAATTGAAAAGAAATTCAGATTTTGAGTGACTCTAAAACAGATCATTAATGGAAAGGCTGAAAGAGAGATTTGAAACCAGCTTTTATATTCCAATTACAAGAAAATTTACAGTCAGCAAGTACTATGTTTAGATTAGCCTATTACATGTTAAAGGAAGTGGCCATGGTGGTTCCAGCAAAGAGTTCACTGAACTAACAAAACACATCTCTATCCAAACTCACAGGCTTCAAAAGCATATGCTCATTCATAGACTTCACTGTGGAACACCAGAACGAGTAATTGCTCTGAAGACAGACAGTCATCACTTTAAATCTCTACTCTCCTCTTTGTCATTTATTATCTATGTAACCTTGGACATGTCTATTCAATTGTGTTAGTTTCAGAATGCGTATCTGTTGCAGAGTTGCCATGTTTATCAAGTGCGTTTTATAGTTACCTATTTAGCACAGTGCCTCAAATAGGGTAACCTCTCAACAAATGTTAGTTACCATTATTATTATTATTATTATTATTATTATTATTATTATTATTATATCAGACATTATCACCATTGCTTTTTTCTTCCTTGCAGGCAAAACTACATTTCTCTGGAGTGCCCAATCCTCTCCAATGTGACTTGGATAATTCTCAATAATTTAAGCAACTTGGAGTCCTAATGTTTTTTGCCAGAGACTAATTTAGAGTTTGCCAATGGACTGTCTCTGACCAATGAAGAAGTGAGGGGTGGTCTCCTGGGAGCTTCTTTGAAAGGTTCCCTCACTTCACAAAGAACATGAGGAAGAAATACTTGCTCTTTTGAATGTTATGTTCCTGTATAGGGCACCTAAACTGATATTGCCATGGGCATCAATGAAGGACATTAGGCAAAGGCAAAGACAACATGTAGAGAAAGATAGAACTAAAAGGCAGAAGCAACCCACGTTCAAACGTCATCATGAAGCCACTGAATTAGCCTAGTAATGGACCTCAGTGCTTAACTATTATTGAGATACTTCATTTTCTTTATTGTGTAAGCTAATTTAAGGCATATTTTCAGCATTCTGAATCTTAAAGCATCCTAAATGATGCATTATTAAATAAATATTATATTTTTCTCCAGGCCCCGACCCTTCTATCATATAAACAGACATATGTAGATGTGTGTATAAAAGCATACACACAATAGAAAAAGGCTGACATATAGAACAGCATGCCAGCTTAATATGTGGCCCTACTAAATGATAAGTCTACTAAGAAAAATCTGTTTTATTTTATTTGTCTGGGATTGGCTAAGAGTCTCATATGGTAAATATTCTGAAAAAGGCAGTATTTTCTCTCAAATGACTTATAATCAAGCAAAGAGCAAAAGTGTATAAACAACTTTCATGCAAGTCTGTGTGTAGTCTGTATCTTAGGAGAGGTATAAGACTGAGAAAGGAAAGATTGCAAGGGGTGGCTCATGATCTCTGACCAAGGAGGCACCATTTGCATCACAAACAATATGCATTTATGTTCCATTTACTTGGCATTATAATTAGTACCTCTAGTCTAATAAAAATGTTGCCCCTTCTTGGGATGGTCACCAACATCTATTTCTTATTTCCTCTCTGACATTCATCTTTCCTGAAGTCCATTTAATATTTGCCAATTCCAGAATAGAAATACCAGCTTTCATCACCAGACATTCTTCTTACATCTATTGTTTCTTCTTACAGTCTGTTGGCATAGACTGAGTTTTGAGACTCAGTTTTGAGATTCAAAAGCCTTCTCTTTCCACTTTGAGTTTTAAAAATCTATTTTAAAACTAAACAAAATTGAGAATTGACTTTTTTGTTGTTATTTGTGGCTCTGTTGTAACCTCCTGTCCCTGAGGCAGAAAATCTAGACTGCCCTGGCTACTACAAGAAATGGAAGAGGGCTGGGTAAGGATGATGAACATAGAAGAAATTTCATGGAATAACAAAAACACGTAGGATGATACAAATACCATCTCTCTACAAATGAAAAAAACTAGAGACAGAAGGAATTCTAAAGAAAAATGAGTAAAGTCACAGAAGGGGAGGAGTGAATTTTCTGTGACAATCTGGGATGTGTCAGTAATATACAGGCTCATTTTAAGCAACTTTCTCCAAAACAGTTGCTGAGTGAA
Source organism: Homo sapiens (assembly GCF_000001405.40). Lineage (NCBI taxonomy): Eukaryota > Metazoa > Chordata > Mammalia > Primates > Hominidae > Homo > Homo sapiens. Next base: position 38,693,886 of record NC_000018.10, on the reverse strand, counting down.
ATATGAACTTGCTGTGCCTTCGTTTCATTCAACAATACATGAGATAAAAATACTGGGAAGTCAACTTGGCAGAAACTGTGATAGATTCTAGTATATAAGCAAGGGTCATGTGAGACCATCCCAAAGTCCTAAGCAGAATGCTCTAATTGAATCCAGTTGAGAGGACAGAGATGAAAGGTAAGATCACAAGGACATAGTTGTTCTCTAAAAAGGCAGTTTTAAGACTGAAGTTTTTAGATTTTAATCAACAATTGACCAAACCACTAACATATCTAAATGTATGCACCCTCCTTCTCAGGGTCCATTCCTGAGAAATACCATCTCTTGTATCATGGCCCATATCTAAGTCAGCTTTTTCAGGGCTTTTTGAATGCAATTGTTTTTCCTCAGCTTTCTTTACTTCAAGATAGAGACTTCTCTCAGAACACGTTCCAGTTCTCTCTCCCAGGCTGCCACAGCTCTTTAAGCAGACATTTGAAGAACTGTCAGAATCAAGGGACAAAGAGCAGAAAGGGCAGACAAGGGAAGCAGAAGGCAGTGCAAAAAAAATGGGAAGTGCTGCGGTGGCTGGCCATTGTGCCAATTTCATGCTTTCACACCTTTGAATGAGTGTTCAAAGTGTTTCATTTTGGGAGCCTCAGACAGTGGAACACTGATTGCAATGGCTTCAGGCATTTCAGGGCACAGCTGGCCACTCGGCCACCCCTGTGTCCTCGGCGGTTTTCTGAAAATAAGGGAAATAAAATATAGGTTATTTTCAGCTCTGATAGGTGGACCTCACTGTGAACAACTGCAGGATCAGTGTTGTTTTTTCCCTTTCTTTCATTTTCTTTTCTTTTTCAAACACAGACCATGCCACATCATCTTTGAGAAATATGATTTTTTTTTTCACATAGTATGGAAGAAATAGCAGGAAAGGGAGATGCCATTTAAGATAAATAATAACAAATTCTGAGCCTGGGTTATCCCAGTGGTGTAGACAGTCCCAAATTCTGTCTCAGAGAAAAAAAAAAAAAAAAGCTGAGGATGGGGTAGAGAAACATTCTGTAGTTATTGATATAATACATGTACTAAAAAAACTTTTAAATGAATGCTTTTATAAAAAATTATTAAAAGTAATTAAAACTTTTTATTAAAATTCTTTTAATGTTTAGCCATATTACCTTTAGAATAGTGCAGTGATAAATAATGTCCCCATATTATCCCTTCTTCCTGTGTTCTCCCTTTGAAAGCTAAATGTCAGAAGACCTGAATACTAGACCTAGTTCTGCTGTTTACTGCTTGTGTTATGCTGGCAAGTCATTTACTTTCTCCAGGACTTCAATTTCTTGATGCACAAAGTGAGGACTAAAATATCTGTTTTTCTTGTAACATAAAGTCAAAGAATTAGTTAAAACTTGAAGAATTTTAGAGTTCATGTAGTTATTATTTTACAGATCAGAAAGTTACCAATTCACACGTGGTTGGTAGCATGTTCATAATGATCACCCAGCTGTCCTAATTACTAAGGTGTGCTTTACTCACTATTATTATCTTCACTTTTGCTTCACATAAATCTTCCATTTCTATAAATCTAGTCCACTCATCCCTACCCCAACCACCAATATCCTAGCCCTTCTATTTTCCCACAAATGGCCACCATCTTGGAATGCCCTCACGTGTCAATAATATCTACTCTGCTTCATGAGCACAGGAAGTACATCCTCATCACCGCAGCCTTCCTTGACCACCCTTGCAAACACACGTGCTTCTCCTCCTGAACATCATAGCACCTAATAGATCCATAATCTACTGATGCTTAAGTCATCAATCTACAAATCCAATGAATAATGCATATATATTAGTCATGACAAAGGAGCCTGACTCACACTGATTTATGTCCTCAGCAACTGAAATTGTGTCTTAAGTCACAATTTCCTTATATGTCAAAGCGGAAAAATAATAGTGATTATTTCATAGGACTTTTGTAGAGATTAAATTTTATGTGTATATCTATTTCAACATAGAGCAGCGCTTGACCCTTAGTACATTCTACATTATCTTGATAATTTCTATATTATTTGTGATTGTTGATGATGATTATAATGACGATGGTGATAATACCTCGAGGTGATGAAAATGTGTCTTCTGGGTGAGTGCTGACCAATCCCCAAACACTATTCCTAATGGTACTTACCAGAAAGTAAAGCACTAATTAAGGTAAGGGCTCCTTCATCCTTGCTTAAAGAAAATTCTATTCCTTAATTCCATGAATGCTTAAGATTGCCCGAATTTCTTGGCGCCAAACTAAAAATACAATATAATGTAAATTTCTAGAACAACTAAGCCTTAATTGCTTTACCTTATGGTTCTGATTTCTTATAACATTGGTTCATAGATAATAAGAGTTGACAATCGATGACATTTCTGGATCTTTTTAAAACTTTTAAAGATAGAGGGGGTATATAGGCTTCTTTTTCGATCTGAGAAGACATTGGTACCAGAGATATCTTTCCTATACCTAGAATTTCTCTAAACTTTAAACACTAAATTGGAAGTCATAAATCAGGTACCTTGTCATTATGGGATGTCCCCACCAGTGAAAGATGGCATTCTCAACTGAAATTCAGGATATCAACATATTTTTATAACTTTGCTTCTGAGTGTGTGGCAGACAAACCATTTCTTCTTTCTGAGTTGCAATTTTTTCATCTTCAGTATTCTAAGTCCAACTTGACTTAAAAATTTAAGTTTAAAATTCTGACAAAACAATGGTCTTTGGATAAAGGTTAGCAGAAAAATTTCCCACCCAATTTGGGCCAACTTTACATTGCTTAATCCCACAGGTGTTTCTATTAATGGACCAGCATTCCTGTAGTATCAACCCCAGGCTCACAATTAAAATTCCATGATATAAAATTTTACAAAAAATAAGGAGAAAATATATAGAATCTTAGTGGCCCCACTCTGTATCTATAGAGCATGACTAAGCAATCTCGTGTGCCTAGCCCCAGTTAAACAGTTCGTTCATCAACACAATGTAGCTGACAACGTACAGGAAGCCTACAAATTATTGATTGTGCGTAAGAGCAACAGGGGAAGAAGGATACAGGCTTCCTCAGAGAGTATTTCATTCGACAGGAAAGAATTCACAGATGGGAAATATAGATAGTACTTACTTCCCTTCTCTTTCTTCACACTGTAAGTAGATCTTACGACCCTAAGTTATGTCAGGTTAGGGCATTGGTATAAAATAGTGTGATGTTTTTGTATAATGTTATAGTGAGGTCATTTGAAGAACTGGTATATTAGCGCACAGTTAACATATTTTTGCATTCCTCACAAATAATCATTGATCTCTTTGTAGATATTTACTCTGAACATCTATGGCACTTAATCTATAACTCTCTTAAGAAAAAATTTTATTACTTTATAGTTATGAGTTTCTATATACTACTTCCCCAACATACTATACTATATGAACTTTCAGGATATGTAACTTTTATTATTTTATCTGTATATTCTCTAAGATCTACCACAGTATCTGACACAAAAGATGACGTTATGTCTTGATTTGCCTAAGGCAGTTCTGGTTTATGCCCATGGTCCTAGCATGATTATAAATAGCAAAACCTTTCATTCATAAAAGAGCCCCCACTGGATGATAAATTATTTGTTCAACCTGCTTATACAGATATGTTCCTAATAAATAGTTTAAGTGATGAATCCCCAGTGTAATACCCCCTCTCTTGACTGGATTATGTGTCAATGTTCATCTTCTACTTTATAAGTAATCACACAGCTCCACAGAGCAGTAGTATCTGATGAGAGTGGTCAGGAATTACTTTAGGAATTGTAAAAATTTCAAGTTTGATGTGAATTTGGAAGCCATTTTTTTTTCATTCAAAGCAGGGATTCTGCTACACACTCCCACAAAGATGGCTATATGTATATATATATATATATATATATATATATATATATATATATATACCTTGTTTATGAATTTAATACAATTACATGTGCCTGGCAGGCATTGTCCTAAGTGCTGAAATGCAGCGGTGACTAGAGCAGTTGTGTTGCTTGCATGTATAAAGTGTATAACTTAGTGGAGGAGGCAAACATTTCCCAGAAAAATCAAACACATAAACATCTAATGGAATTGTAATACTTAATGGAAAAGTGTCAAGGTGCCATAAAATCAAATATCAAGGTCTAATGTAAATGAAAGTGGCAAAGGGTCAATTAAGGCCTCTCAGGGAAAGTAGCATTGATGGTTCAACTTGAATGATGAGTAGGGCAAGGTTTGCAGAGTGTGGACGAAGGGTGCTCCTGGATGTAGGAATAGCATTTAGTGAATTTCTGAACTCGAAAAGAGCACTGAGATTTTTAAAATCTGAAGGTTGGCTAGCCAAACATAGTCAAAGTTAGTGATAGAGATGGAGGTTGATGCAAAGTAATATTGGGAGAGGGAGGACAAGACCAAATTATGTAGATTTGAGATCACTCTTTCTTGCAGCAGCCACTCTTTAATTTTGTCTCAATCCTGGTTAAGTTCCTAGACCTAGAAACTATGCATAGAGGAACAATACTCATTTATAGTTTACAGCCTTTCTCCACCTTTAGTGTTGTGGTTTTTTTTTTTGAACATTTAAATATTCATTCACTGAAAGGGGGTGAGGGTGAAGACAGGGAACTGAGAGTAGAAGAGGGGAGTGAAAAGGAAAACCAGATTCATTATTTCAAAGTAAACTATTCCAATCAGTGGGACTATCTACTCATTCCTTGTTTTTTTTTATTTTTATTTTTTAACTAAAACAGGCATTTACATGCTAATTGGATCTTTATTCCTTGAGAGTCCCTCTGCTCTTGTAAAGTCTTCCTCTTCTGAAGCATTTAATCCCCAGCTTGAAACATCACTGTTGATTGCAGTGGAAAGACTGTGATGTCACAAATGGGGGATTATGACTTCACAGGGGAAATAAGAGACCAAGACAGACACTTTGAAGAGACTAAGATCTTTTATTTATGAGAATGTCTCTATTAATCAAAAGGGGAGAGAAATACCAAACATATAGAAAATGACAGCAGAATTGTAGCTAAATAAAATGTTCTTCAAAATTATCCTGGCAATGTCACTTTCTCTTTAGAGGATTCCTGAGAAATGCTATTACAGAAGATAAGTTTGAGATCCAAATGTCCCTATACTTAGCACTTGAGAAATGCTTAGCCCTGGGGTAATCAAAAGTATAATCAGACCACAGAGCAAAGTCCAACACGGTGTGCTAAAAAGTAGAGTGCAATGTTATTACTCATGGTTCTTCTGCAATGTTCTAATGGGTACTTTGAAGAGCTCTCTTCATTTCCTTGAGCCCATGACATAATCTAGCTTTGAACACAGGTAACCACTACCAACAGGTACATTTTTTCTCTCAAAAGAACAGCTGACTATTTCCAACCCCAACATTACATTTTTTGATCAAGTTAAAGTTTCAATTTAGGTAATTGTACAAATTTAAAATTAAATTATGGCTGTTAATAATAACAGATTTTACTGTTTATTGAATTACAGATATGTTGCAAAGTGCTTCAGTAAATTATGTGGTTGTCTTTTCTAACTTCACGCTTTTGGTGCCAACTTTGTTGTAATACCCATGCTCATGGCTATTCATGTACCCCAGCCTCAGCCAGTGTTTCTCAAAGTGCTATTAGTGGACCGCGGGCATCAGAATGGCTTAGGGATTTTATTACAAAGGGAGATTCACAGTCCCTAACCACTGGAGATGCCTGGATGCACGCTGGATGAGGCCAAGCAATCTGCATTAGTAACAAGAGTCCCACATGGTACTTAACGCACACTGAAAATTGAGAACCATAGCCTTAAGCTTATTATGAAGCAGTGGGAAAATCACCTGAGAGCAGGAAGTCCTGCGTAGCTAAAAACTGAATGTAGATGTAGGGAATTGCCCTCCTACGTAAGTACTCAGCTTCTCCTCACTCCACCCATTACAAATGTGGTCTTCCAGTTTCTCCTTGTCCCACAAACACTTTTGTTTCCCACTAAATCTCAACATCACCTTTTTGAAGATCTTTCATGGGCCTTAGTTTAGAGCTTAGTTTTATGGGGCTTTACTCACAGTGCTGCCAACTTTTCTCTCCATAAAAATAGAACAGCTATGTTATTTTTTTTCTGTAACTGGTTTTATTGAGGTATGGTATACCTACAGAAAGGTACACAAATCATGAGTGTACTGGTTGATGAGTTTTAACCACGTGAATAGACTCATGTAGTCATCTGCTACAAAAAATAAACAGAATACCACCAGTACCCTGTAAGTTCTTCTTTTGTACCTTTCAGTCAGTATCTTACCAGGGTAATTACCTTGATTTCTGTTTCTGAGATTTATAAAAAGTGAATGATACAATATGTACTCTTTGGAATGTAGCTTCTTATGCTCAAAAATGATGTTTGTGAATCTCACCTATGTTGTTGCATATAACAATATGCACTTTCTTCTCATTTTATTAAGTGAATATACTTCATATGTTAATCTGTTTTCCTGTTGATTGACATTTGTGTTAATTACAAGTTTTGGCTATAATAGTGATATTATGAATATTCTAACATGTCTTTTAGCTAAAATGTGTATATTCTGTGTTACATACTTCAGGGTGAAGTACTCTTAGCTTTAGTACTAACTGTTAATTTAGTATGCATTTTAGTTACTAGTGTGTTATATGCATTTTTTCTTTTTCGTTACAAAATCTTTCATGAATTAATTCATACTTTTCTCCATTTTCAGCTAGAGTTTCTTATTAATGAAAAACTGTTTTTAAGACATTAAACCTCTGTTACGTATTACCAATTACACTTCTTCATGTTTTTGTTCATTATTTTATTAATATTTATTTTGATATTTTACTGCTTATATTTGCAAAAAAAAAAAAAAGACCAAACTGTAAGCACGTAAATATAATGTGCAGTGGGTTTATTATCTCAATATCACAAAAATTCTTTTTTGCTGTATTGATTTTTCATTTTAGTTCACTTGCACGTATGTGAGAAAAAAAGTTTGTATATGTGTATATACATATTTAATATTAAAATTTGTATCTGTAAAAAATATGTGTATGTAACATTTAATTTTATCTACATTTAAAAATTTAAATCTATAATCCCTCCAAACATTATGTGGGTGTGACTTCTATCAGGATCTTTATTAAATGAATATTGTGAATATGTTCTAAAAATGCTGTCAATTTGCAGTATTACATGATAATTCCCACTGCACCATTTTATAAGTATGAGATAAAATCAAGTTTTTTAAATTTGACATTTTTATAAGTGAAAATTGGTCTTATTGAAGTATAATATATCCATAGAAATATAAAAAAATTAATGCACATAGAACTGTATGTACTAACAGGGATCTCATTTTCTTAGCACCATTGCTTCATTTCATCTCCTTTCTTCAAAATGATTATCATATATAATATTATTGACTCTATTTCTGAACTTGAAACTTTGTCCATTCTTTTTCCTTATTGTCCCTTTCTGACAAATATACTCTTTAAGTATGGAAGCTTTATGTTTTGATATTCAGTGGTGCCATTCACCACTATTATCCTCTATTTTTCTAAATGTACTGAAATATTTTCAGTTGTTTCTTTATTATTATAAATTTTAAAGTTGATTTGCCAAGCTTTAACACTTAAAATAGGGTTTTTAGTTTGTTTTTAATAAATTTATAAATTGGTTTTTGGTGAATTAGCATGGTTATACTATTAAATGTTTCCATATAAAAAATATGTCGGCCAGGCACAGTGGCTCACCCCTATAATCCCAGCACTTTGAGAGGCCGAGTTGGGCAGATTCCTGAGCTCAGGAGTTAGTGATGAGCCTGGGCAACACGGTAAAACCCCGCTTCTATTAAAATACAAAAAATTAGCTGGGCATATTGGTGTGCGCCTATAGTCCCAGCTACTCGGGAGGCTGAGGCAGGAGAATTGCTTGAAACCAGGAGGTGGAGGCTGCAATGAGCCGAGATGGCACCGCTGCACTCCAGCCTGGGCGACAGAGTGAGACTCCGTCTCAAAAAAAAAAAAAAAAGAAAGAAAGAAAAAAGATATGTCTCTCAATTTTTCTCTTCTCTGTCTCTCTTTTTCTTTTCCAGGGGATTTTATAGCTTTTAATGTGTAGATTACAAATTTTTCTTGCTAAATTTTTATTTCAGAACTTCTTTTTTCTTATTTTTGCTATTGTGAATAGTATCATAGTATCTCTGTTTCCTTTCATTTATTCTTCGATTGCTATTAAAATTTCTTTATTTGGTTAAGTTAATGCAAATGTCTCTAGTTTTCTTTTCAGATTTCATGTAAAACTTTTGAAAATCTACTAGCTGCATGCCATTTATAGATATTCTCATACCAAAATAGTATTTACAGATCTTTTTAAAGTAATAGTACAAGATTATGGATTTTGAAAAACTTTTTTATTTTGAAATACTTTTAAATTAGCTGTAAAGTTAGAAACATAATAGAGTTTCTGTGTACTCTGCCTTCATTTTCACCTAATGTTAGCATCTTACATAACCATAGCAAATTTTTCAAACTACGTAATTAACCTTGGTGCAATACATTAACTAAAGACTTTATTCAGAATTCATCCCTTTTTTCAATAATGTCTATTTTCTGCTCCAGGGTCCCAAATTTCATTTAGTAGTCTAGTTTCCTTAGTCTTCACCTATCTGATATTTTCTCAACCTTTTCTTATTTTTATGACTTTGACAGTTTTAATATTGGCCAAGTATTTTGCAAATGATCTTTCAATTTGAGTTTGATGCTTTCTTATGATTAGGCTAGGGTTACAGTTTTTTTGAAATACAACAGAAATACCAGGTTAAGATGGTATCTTCCAGGTTTCTTCCCATGAAGTTATTGTTTTTCTCTTTTCATGCCTATTCATTGTAACAAGTCTCTAAATCAAGTCCACATTTCGGAAGAGGAGAATTAAGCCATTTCCCCACTCCAGGGGAGAATAACTACATATATTATTTGCAATTATTCTATAAGGATGTTTTGTCCCTTCTTCCTCATTTCCTATTTTATGGTATCATTTGCAAATTTGAATTTGAACTCCAGAATATTATTTCATACTTTGGGTTATAACTTAACAGTGTCACTACACATTTTATTGCTCAAATCATTCCAACTTTGGCCATTGTTGGCTCATGTGTCCTTTTGACAATATCCATTCTCTAATTTATTTAATTTTTTTAGTAGTTCCTTACTTTCAAATACCACAAGATCCTTTGGACTCATCCTGCATTTTCTCTGCACATCAGCACACTCTAAAATAAGACATTTCTCCAAGGAGCCCCGGTGTTCTTTTTACTGGAGACTGGTATTTTGAAATCAAGACTATTTGCATTTCAGTCTTTTCACACTCACTCATTTAAGAGCGATAGTACATTTTACATCTATACTATATAAATAAATATAGAAATATATCATTTACACATATTTATAAATTATAAAAATAAAATATATAAAATAATATATATATAAATTACCACCTATATCAATAAATTATATAAAATTTACTATAATTTAACTGCTTATGTATTTGTATGTCTGCAGATAAATGTGTTTATATATGCATATATATGTATATGTATGTTCATATATATATACCTGTATATATATATATACACATATTTGTATTTACATGTATATATATACATGTACCTGTAATATGTATGTTTATGTATTCATTACATACACATATCAATATTTATTGCTGAATATATCTGTATATCTTTTAAAATAGAAACTAGTTCATACTGACATCTGTACTTCAGCACCACAAAATTCATTCTAGCCTTCCCATTCTCTTATTTGTTACTTCTTTCTCTGTCACAAAGAAACCTGGATCCCACTATCTACAATTTATTTACTTCTTTATTCAACCATATTTATATTTTTATATATAGATCTATATAAATCTATTGCTGGATTTTATATATATGTGTGTGTGTGTGTGTGTGTGTGTGTGTGTGTGTGTGTGTGTATATATGTAAAGGCGTCTCAAGACCGCTAATTGTACCCCTGTAAGAAATAAATTAAACACTAGAGTATGGTGTTTATTCACAGTTTCTTTGACCTAAGCCTTACGTCGAAAAGAATGTTTCTAACGTTATTTAGGTCAGCTCTGCTTTTCTATACCACCTTTTGTGAAATTAAGTCACACATTTGTTATATAGTTAGATCTATTTTGGGATTCCTCCAAGATTCTGGTTGACTTATTTTTACAGTAAAGTTTGGTATATGATAAAGTTTCTTTTTCTTGAGATGTACATTTTTATGGACTTTGATAAATGCATAGAGCTATGTATCTACCAGTCTAGGACTAAAGAGAATGGTTATACTACACTAAGAGCTCACCTGTATAGCCCCTTTGTATTTAATCACTTTCAAGTTTCAAAACTCCTCACAAATACATATCTATTTTCTAAACCTACGACTATCTTCTTTTCATAATGTCATATAAATTTAATCATGTAATATGTATGATATGTAAGCTTTTTTCACTTTGCAAAATCCATTTAAGTTTCATCCATGTTGTTGCATAAATCAATAGCTCATTCCTTTTTATTGCTGTGTATTATTTCCATTTATGTAAGTATCACAGTTTGTTATCTATTCAGCTCTTAAAGAAAATCTTGGTTGTTTCAGGTTTTTGGTAATTATTAATAAAATTACTCTTAACATTTGTATATAAGTTTTTGTATGAGTATGTTTTTGATTCATTTAGGTAAATGCCTAAGGGGTGAGATTGCTGAATCTTATGGTAAGTGTATGGTTAACTTTTTAAAAAACATTCTAAACTCTCTTCCAAGTGATTATAACATTTCAGCTTCTCATCATTGACAAGGAACAGTTCTCAGCACTTGGGAGATAATCTGTTAGCCTTATCAGCTGGTATGATCATTTTTTTAAATTTTAGTAAATTGTATATTATTCCAGTTTTAATTTGGATTTCTCTAATGACAAATGATTCTGTACAATGTTATACAGGCTTATTGGCCATCCATTTTTCTGCTTCAGTGAAGTGTCTATTCAGATAGTTTCCCATTTTTTATTAGATTGTTTTCTTATTGACGAGTTTTAGAACTCCTTTCTATATTTTGGATACAAGTTCTTTATTCAATATTTAACATATAAATATTCCTACAAGACTCTAGCTTGTGATTTTTATTCTGTTATAGTGCTTTTCTTGAAATATTCTTCTGAAATTTAGATAAATTCCAGGGTATCCATTGTGTGCTTTTTATTTTTTTTAACTTTATAAACAGCACTTTTGGTGATATATCTAAAAACTCATTGCCAAACTCAAGATGAAACATATTTTACCTATGTTTCATCTATTTTTATAGTTTTGTATTTAATATTTTGGTCAGTAGTTGCATTTTGAGATAATTTTTGGGTAAGGTATAAGGTAAATATCAAGATTCATTCTTTTGCATATGAAGGTCCTATTTTTCCAGCACCATTTCTTGTAAAGACTATTCTGTCTCCACTGAATTTCTTTTGAATCTTTGTCAAAAATCAGTTGACTTTCCCTGTGTAAATCTATTGCTGGACTTTCTATCCTGTTTCATTAATCTATATCTATCCTTTGTACACTATTGATTTTTGCAACTTTACAGTAAGAACTGGAATAATGTAGTATGAATTCTCCAAATTTTGTTTTTCTTTTTTACAATAGTTTTGGCTACTTTACTGACTTCAGCATTCCATACAAATTTTAGAATCAGCTTGTCAATATCTATATAAAAGCTTTCTGGGATTTTGATTAGAGTAGTGATGAATCTATAGATCAAACTGGGAACATCTTAATATTGAATTTTCAAATCTATGAACACAGTATATCTTTCATTAGTGCTTAATAGATTTTAGCACAAAGATGCTGCAAGTATTTTGTTAAATTTATATCTAAATACTTCTCTTTTTATAGTTTTTATGCAAATGATATTGGAGTTTGATATGGTTTGACTGTGTCCCCACCCAAATCTCATCTCGAATTACAGTTCCCATAATCCCCATGTGTTGTGGATGGGACCCAGTGGGAAGTGATTGGCTAATGGGGACAGTTTCCCCCATGCTGCTTTCTGATAGTGAGTGAGTTCTCACAAGATCCAAACTTTTTTTTTTTTTTGATGGAGTTTCACTCTTGTTACCAAGGCTGGAGTGCAATGGTGCAATCTCAGCTCACTTCAACCTCTGCCTCTTGGGTTTGAGCAATTCTCCTGCCTCAGCGTCCCGAGTAGCTGAGATTACAGGCATGTGCCACCACACCCAGCTAATTTTGTGTCTTTAGTAAAGACGGGGTTTCTCCATGTTGGTCAGGCTGGTCTCGAACTCCCGACCTCAGGCGATCCACCTGCCTCTGCCTCCCAAACTGCTGGGATTACAGGTGTGAGCCTCTGCACCCGGCCGATCTGAAGGTTTCATAAGTGTCTGACATTTCCTGTTTGTACTTCTCCTTCCTGCCACATTGAGAATAAGGTGCCTTGCTTCCCCTTCACCTTCCATCATGATTCTAAGTTTCCTGAGGCCTCCGCAGCCACGCTTAACTGTGACTCAATCCTCTTTCCTTTATAAATATTCCAGTCTTGGGCATTTCCTTATAGCAAGGTGAAAACAGACCAATAAAGTAAATTGGTACTGAGGTAGTGGGGTATTGCTACAAGATACCTGAGTATTTGGAAGCAACTTTGAAACTGGGTAATAGGCAGAGGTTGGAACAGCTTGAGGGACTCAGAAGACAGGAAGACGTGGGAAAGTTTGGAACTTCCTAGAGACTTGTTGAATGGCTGTGACCAAAATGTTGATGGTGATATGGACAATAACATCCAGGCTGAGGTGGTCTCATATGGAGATGAGGAACTTGTTGGGAACTGGAGTAAAGGTCACTCTTGTTGTGTTTTAGCAAAGAGACTGGCAGCATTTTGCACCTCCTGCCCTAGAGATCTGTGGAACTTTGAACTTGAGAGAGATGATTTAAGGTATCTGGCAGAAGAAATTTCTAAGTAGCAAAGCATTCAAGAGGAAGAAGAGCATAAAAGTTTGGAAAATTTGCAGCCAGATGATGCAATAGAAAATAAAAACCCATTTTCTGAGGAGAAATTCAAGCCAGCTGAAGGGATTTGCATAAGTAGCGAAGAGCCAAATGTTAATTCCTAAGACAATGGTGAAAATGTCTCCAGGGCTTGTCAGAGACCTTCATGGCAGCCCTCCCATCTCAGGCCTAGATGCCTACAAGGGAAAATGGCTTCCTGGGCCAGGCTCAGGGTCTCCCTGCTCTGTGCAGCCTTGGGACATGGCACCCTGTGTCCCAGCTGCTTCAGCTCCAGGCATTGCTAAAAGGGGCCATGGTACAGCTGGACGATTGCTTCAGAGGGTGCAATCTCCAAGCCTTGGTGGCTTCCATGTGGTGTTGAGACTGTGGGTACATAGCAGTCAAGAATTGAGGTTTGGGATTCTCCACCTAGATTTCAGGGGATGTAAGGAAATGCCTGGATGTCCAGGCTGAAGTTCATTGCAGGGGTTACTGTTTAAGGTGGTGGACAGGAGGCAGGACTAGCTTGCAACTGCCACTTGGATGGACAGAAAAGCATGTGGAAGCTCACACTGTGAACTTTTGCTCCAAGAACTACTGTGGGAACATACCAGGGAAGCCAAGATAATCCATAGACCCTTTGAAGGAGCTGGATCACCACTACAAGCTCCCTGAGATGTCAAAAACCTGTGAGTCTGCTTGCTTTCTCAATGGGGAGGGTCACGGTCTGGGGCAGGTTCTCAGCCCTGGTCACTGGCTGCCTGGAAATAGCCTTGGTGCTGTTGTGGGAGCCAGGGTGGGGGTAAGATTGGCCTGAGGACTGAGGGCTGCATGGAACTGAGGGCTTCATGGGAACAAGGTGAGGTCTGCAACTGCTGGCTTTCCTTCACTTGCTTGGCGACCTTTATGACTTAGCAGAGGCATCCATAATGCTCCTGGAAATACAACTCCATTAGACTGGGAACCACACTCCATCCCCCACGAAAGCCACAGCAAGCCCTGCCCAGGGGGAGGCTGAACTCTATATAAACATGTGTATATCTGCCCCCACCTGGTGGTCTTTCTCTACCCGTCCTGGTAGCGGAAGACAAAGGTCATAAACTCTTTCCAGCTCTGTGGCCCTTCCCACCACCTGAACACTTAACCAGATGTCCCTAGGGCAAGTTTGCATCCTCCCTATAGGACCATAGCTGACGCACTTTTGAAAGTGCCACCTTCTGGTGGAGGTCAACCAACAAAAACCCAGTGCACTAAACAAAACACAACCAAGGACCCTCATGGAGTCCTCTTCACTCCCCTGCTACCTCACCCGAGCAGATGCTTATATCTACAGCTGCAAGACCTGAAGATGGCTCACATCACAGAACTCTTTGCAGACACTACCCACTGCCGGCCCAGAGCCCAGTAGCTCCGCTGTGTGGCTAGACCCAGAAGAGCAAAAACAATCACTACAGTTCAGCTCTCAGGAAGCCCCATTCCTAGGGGAAGTGGGAGAACACCACATCAAGGAACACCTTGTCAGACAAAATTATCTGAACAGCAGCCCTTGAATCCCAGATCTTCCCTCTGACAAAGTCTACCCAAATAAGAAAGTACCAGAAAAACAATCTGGTAATATGACAAAACAAGGTTCTTTAACACCCCCAAAAGATCATATCAGCTCACCAGCAATGAATCCAAACCAAGACGAAATCTATGAATTGCTAGAACAAGAATTCAGAAGGTCGATCATTAAGCTAATCAAAGAGGCACCAGAGAAAGGTGAAGTCCAACTTATAGAAATCAAAAACATGATACAGAATATGAAAGGAAAATTACTCAGTGACATAGATAGCAGAAATAAAAAAAATCACAACTTTTGGAAATCAAGGGCACACTTAGAGAAATGCAAAATGCACTGGAAAGTCTCAGCAATAGGACTGAAGAAATATCTGAAAGAACCTCAGAGCTCAAAGACAAGGCTTTCAAATTAACATGATTTATCAAAGACCAAGAGAAAAGAATTTTAAAAAAATGAACAAAGCCCCCAAGAAGTTTGGGTCTATGTTAAACATTCAAACCTAAGAATAACTGATGTTCCCAAGAAAGAAGAGAAAGCTAAAAGTATGGAAAACATATCTGAGGAAATAATCAAGGAAAACTTACCTGGCCTTCCATATACAAAAAGCTCAAAGAGCACCTGGGAAAATCATTACAAAAAGATCATCACCTAGGCATGTAGTCACCAGGTTATCTAAAGTCAAGATGAAGAAAAGAATCTTCAGAGCTTGAGGCAAAAGCATCAGGTAATCTACAAAGGAAAATCTATCATATTTACAGCAGATTTCTCAGCAGAAACCCTACGAGCTAGAAGGGATTGGGGCCCTATCTTCAGCCTTTTTGAGGAAAACAATTATCAGCCAATAATTTTGTATCCAGTGAAACTAAGCTTCATAAATGAAGGAAGATACAAGATTTCTGGATAAACAAATGCTGAGAGAATTAACTACCAAGCCAGCACTATAAGAACTGGTAAAAATAAGCTCTAAATTTTTAAACAAATCTTCAAAATACACCAAAATAGAATCTCCTTAAAGCATAAATCTCACAGGACCTATATAACAATAACACATGAGAAAAACAAGGTATTCTGGCAATAAATTGCACAATGAATAGAATAGTACCTCACATCTCAATACTAACATTGAACATAAATGGCCTAAATGCTCCACTTAAAGGATATAGAATAGCAGAATGGGTAAGAATTTACCAACCGAGTTTCTGCTCTCTTCAGGAGACTCACTTAATACATAAGGTCTCAAGTAAACTTAAGGTAAAGGGGTAGAAAAAGATATTTTATGCAAATGGACACAAAAAGTGAGCAGAAGTAGCTATTCTTATATCAGACAAAACAAATTTTAAAGCAACAACAGTTAAAACAGACAAAGAAGGACATTATATATTGATAAAAGGACTAGTCCAAAAGGAAAATATCACAATTCTAAATATATATGCACTTACCACTGAAGCTCACAAATTAGTACCAGACCTAAGAAATGAGATAGATGTCAAGACAATAATAGTGAGGGACTTTAATACTCCACTGACAACACTAGACAGGTCATTAAGACAGGAAGCAAACAAAGAAACAATGGACTTAAACTATAGCCTACAACAAATAGACTTAACAGATATTTACGGAACATTATGTCCAACAATTGCAGACTATATATTCTATTCATCAGCACAGGGAACATTCTCCAAGATAGATCATATCATGGGCCACAAAACAAGTCTCAGCAAATTAAAAAAAAAATTGAAATTATATGAAGTACTCTGTCTGACCACAGTGAAATAAAACTGGAAATCAACTCCGAAAGGAAAACTCAAAACCATGCAAATAAATGAAAATTAAATAACCTGCTTCTGAATGATTATTGGTTCAACAATAAAATCAAGATGGAAATTTAAAAATTATTGGAACGGACTTATAATAATGGCACAACCTATCAAAACCTCTGGAATACAGCCAAAGTGGTGCTAATAGGAAAGTTTATAGCCTTAAATGCCTACATAAAAACATCTGAAAGAGCACAAATAGACAATCTAGGGTCACTTCTCACAGAACTGGAGAAAGAAGAACAATTTAAACCCAAACTCAGCGAAGAAAAGAAATAACAAAGATCAGGGCAGAATTAATGAAATTGAAACAAAGAAAACAACACAAAAGATAAATGAAACAAAAAGCTCATTATTTGAACAGATAAATAAAATTGATAGACCATTAGCGAGATCAACCAAGGAAAGAAGAGAGAAGATCCAAATAAGCTCAATTAGAAATGAAACAGGAGATTTTACAATTGATACCACAGAAATACAAAAGATTATTCAAGGCTACTATGAACACCTTTACAGGCATAAACTAGAAAGCCTAGAGGAGATGAATAAATTCCTGGACATATGAACCCTCCTAGATTAAACCAGGAAGATACAGAATCTCTGAACAGACCAATAGCAAACAGTGAGATTGAAATGCTAATAAAAAAAATTGCCCAAGAAAAGTCCAGGAATTCTATCAGACATTCAAAGAATTGGTACCAATTCTATTGACACTATTCCAAAAAATAGGGAAAGAAGGAATTCTCCCGAAAACATTCTATGAAGCCAGTATTACCCTAATACCACAACCAGGAAAGGACATAACAACAACAACAAAAAAACTACAGACCAATATCCCTGATAAACATAGATGCAAAAGTCATCAACAAAATACTAGTGAACCGAATCCAACAGCATAGCAAAATGATACTCCACTATGATCAAGTGGGTTTCATACCAGAGATGCAGGATGGGTTTAACATATGTTAAGTCAATAAATGTGATACACCACATAAACGGAATTAAAAATAAAAATCACATGATCATCTCAATAGATGCAGAAAAAGCATTTGACAAACTCCAGCATCACTTTATGATTCAAACCCTCAGCAAAATCAACAAAGAAGGGACATAACTTAAGGTAATAAAAGCCATCTACAATAAACCCACAGCCAATATTATACTGAATGGGGAAAACTTGAAAGCATTCTCTCTAAGAACTGGAACAAGGATTCCCACTTGCACCACTGCTATTCAACACAGTACTGGAAGTCCTAGCCAGAGCAATCAGACAAGAGAAAGAAATAAAGGGCATAGAAATCCATAAAGAGGAAGTAAAACTGTCACTGTTTGCTGATTATATGATCGTATACCTAGAAAATCCTAAAGACTCATCCAAAAAGCTTCTAGAACTGATAAATGAATTCAGCAAATGTCAAGATACAAAATTAATGTACACAAATCAGCAGCTCTGCTATACACCAACAGTGACCAAGCTGAGACTCAAATCAAGAACTCAACCCCTTATCCCACACTTTTTAGAGGTCCTGTTCTTTTCTTGTTCTCCTTTTGTATAGTTTTGTATTCGAATCAGCAATTTCTTTTGACCTATCTTTGTGGTCTCAGATCTTTTCCTCAGATGTGTCAAATGTACTCATAACATAGAAGAGATTTTTTCACTTATTGTACATTTTGAATTCTAACATTTATATTTGATGTTTTCTTATAGGTTCTATCTCTCTGCTGAGACTGTTTATCTGATCTTGCATGTTGTTGCCTTTTCTCTTACAACTTATTATTCTCTTATTAGTCTTAGTTATTTTAAATGCCCTGCTTGATAGTTCCAATGTCTTTCCATATCTGAGTCTTGTTCTAATGTTTGTTTTATCTCTTTAGAATGTGTGTTTTTCTTGCCTTTTCATATATCTCATAATGCTTGGAATTCAGCATATTTTTCCTTCTGTTAGATCTTTAGTGTGGGTATTTTTGATAATATAGTCAGGAATGGGGCTTTATTTGACATTTATTGTTGCCCTGGGTACATTCGGAATACCAGAGTCTTCTAATTCCTGTACTGATACTTTCTTTCTTTCTTTTTTTTTTTTTTTTTTTTTTTTGCCACCAGGTTTGGAATCTTCCCTTTGTACTACTCTCCAAAGGAAGTCTGCTTCTCCCATTTCTCCCAGGTGTATTACACTGTGATTTTTACTTTATACTTGTTAGCATGATAGTGGGGGTACAGGAGTGAGTATGTTATCTGATATTCTGTTTGAGCCTTCATCTTAGGCAGGCACTGTGAACCTGCTCTTGGGGTGTGGTCTTCAAAAAATTGCTGCCTCTCTTCCACATGTAATGTTGAATATAGCATTTATTCTGCTCCACTTACAAGGAAAAAGTTTTTTTTTTGTTTCCTCTGTTTCCCCATCTCCTTGTCCCAGCTGCAATGTATTTCCTACAGTACCCCCAGACTACAATTGTGCTGCATTTCGCATCCCCCAGAAGGATTAGGCAATTTTTCCTACATAACAATAGAGGAGATAGGTGTGGGAATTTTCATTAGTTGGCTCCATTCCTCAGCTCAATTGTAGCTGCTATGGGGTTCCACCAGTGCCATTACGTTACAAGTATTTATGCCATTTTCTGTCCAGATTAATGCTTTTATTCTTTAAGAGAGGTAGGTGATGGGTTTTGGCAGTGAGAGGGTTTTCTCAGAATTCCCTCAAATCTTTTCCATTGGCACTTGATGAGGTTTCTGGAGTAAAACTCTGCAGGAGTGTGTGAACTCCCATATATCCATGAGAGGTTCCATACTCCCACAGTGGGCCAAGGTTTACTTTTAGCTATCCTTTCCAAATGTCTACTTAAATTCATTTACAAGCTTGTATGTTATTAGGTGGAATCTGACCGAGGTAAAAAAATGCCCAGATTTTCCTACTCCTCTCAGGGGCCTGTCTCTCTCTATCATGATTGCTGTTTACCCTGTAACCTCAGTTCACTGATAATCCTAATAAAAGTCATTAATGTACTGTTTGTCCACCTTTATTCTTGTTACAAAGGTGAGAATTGTGCTATTTTACAGCTTTTTATGTCTGTGAGATGAACCCAAATGTCCCCAAGATTGTGCTTTTACTTTAACTAACTGAAAATTCCTGCTGTTCACCACTGGAAAAAAAAAAAGTCACTTAAAGGTTTATGTGTATCTGTGACTATATGCTGAATATTAACTTTTAAAATAACAAGTTTGAATGTTTTATCATTCTCTCCAGATTATTTTTCTTGGACTTGACTTTACAAATTCATTGCAGCAGTATGAGTTCTTGGCTTTGATAAATTTTGACAGATGGACAATGCAGTGGGACAAATAAAATAAAAGCTTAAAATAGTCCTCATTTTAACATAACCCATGGGCATTTGAAAAACTAGTTTCAACAGGAATATTCATCACCCAAGACCCCCCCTAAAAATAACAATTCAACATAGAACCACCTCAAAGTAGATCATACAAAGTGTATTGGTAAGGGTTCTCTAGAGGGAAAGAACCAATGGAATGCATACATATATATATATATATACACACACACACACACACACACCCATATAGCATATATATATACCCATATACCATATATATACACACCCATATACCATATATATACACACACACATATATACACACACATTCATATACCATGTGTATATATATATGTGTGTATATATACACACGTGCCCATCCAGATTAAGGGTGGTTCTGCCTTTCCCAACCCACTGACTCAAATGTTAATCTCCTTTGGCAACTATCCATCACAAGTCCCACTTGAACCCATATACATCTCCTGAGATCATATGCAATCTTCAAATAAAGACAATAATAAGGTCATAATTATGCCTAACATAATACAACTATCCTTCATACAACTGGAAACGCACCAATCACCAACCCAAATACTGTTACATAAAGTTAACAATACCTAAATGTTCATGTGAAGTTAATAAATCTTATGTCACATGATAAAGGAGAAAGGAAATAAAATGAAGATATTTCTTAGTACAAGTGTATATATCCACAGTCATGTTTTTAACAGAAGGAGGAAATACTCATGACAACTACAGTCCTCGTTTCTGCAGCTGGTCATGTGGTTGTAGCTGGTATTGATGACTACTTTCTTCTACTACCTATTCTGTATTCCCTTTGTCTTCATCAAGCACCTCAGCAGGTCATGGTATTTTCTTGGTGGAGTGACCCAAATCTTCATTCCTGAAGGGTCTGGGTCAGGACCCTGATTCAGAGCACACACCACCTTCTGAAGAACTTTGCCCCAGCCCTGCAAAGTACTGTCACCTAGTTGGTGTAATTGTGAATTCAAAAGTTCATTTGACCAGTCTGTCAATCCAGCTGCTTTAGGATGATGGGGAACATGGTAAGACCAGTGAATTTCATGAACATGAACCCACTGCTGTACTTCTTTAGCCATAAGTGAGTGCCTTGGTCAGAGGCAATGCTGTCTGGACTACCATGACAGTGGATAAGGCATTCCATGAGTCCATGGGTGGTAGTCTTGGCAGAAGCATTGCGTGCAGGATAGGAAAACCCATATCTGGAGTAAATGTCTTTTCCAGTGTGGACAAACCTCTGCCCTTTCCATGATGGAAGAAGTCCAATATAATCAACCTGCCACCAGGTAACTGGCTGATCACCCCAAGGAATGGTGCCATACAAGGGCTCAGTGTTGGTCTCTGCTGCTGGCAAATTGGGCACTCAGCAGTGGCCATAGCCAGGTCAGTCTGGGAGAGTGGAAGTCCATGGTACTGAACCACCATCTCTGCCACCATGGCCCCTTTGTTCATGGGCCCACTGGGAGATGACAGGAGTGGCTGGGGAAAGAGGTTGAGTGGTGTCCACAGAACAGGTCATCCTGTCCAGTTGATTATTAAAATCCTTCTCTGCTGAGGTCACCCGTTGGTGAGCACTCACATGGGATACAAATATATTCACAGTTTTTGACCACTCAGAGAGTTCTATCCACATACCTCTTCCCCAGATTTTTTTGTCACCAATTTTCCAATCATGCTTGTTCCAAGTCCTTGACCAACCAATCAAACCATTGACTACAGCCCATGAATTAATATATAAATGCACATCTGGCCATTTCTCCTTCCATGGAAAGTACACTACCAGGTGCACTGCTTGAAGTTTTGCCCACTGGGAAGATTTCCCTTCACCGCTGTCCTTCAGGGATGTCTTAGAAAGAGGCTTTAGTGCTAAAGCTGTCCACTCTCAGTGGTGCCTGCATATCATGCAGAACCCTCTGTGAGCCAGGCCCTAGTCATCTCTTCCTCTGCCAGTTGAACATAGAGAACTCCCTGTGAGGCCACTGGTGTATGCTGAAGGAGAGAAGGCAGGGTGGCAGGAGTGGAGACCATCAGCATTTGAGCCACTTCCTCATGTAACTTACTTTTGCCTTCAAGACCTGCTCAAGCCCAATCACATATATACCACTTCCATTTAATGATGGAATACTGCTGTGCACAACCCACTTTATGGCTAGATGGGTCCAAAAGCACCCAGTTATGATAGGCAGTTCAGGTCGCATGGTGACATGATGACTCATAGTCAAACATTCAGTTTCCACCAAAGCCCAATCACAGGCCAAGAAATGTCTCTCAAAAGGAGAGTAGTTATCTTCAGAAGATGGCAGGGCCTTGCTCCAAAATCCTAGAGGCTTCTGCTGTGATTCATCTATGGGGGCCTGCCAAAGGCTCCAAACAGCATCCCTATCTGCCACTGAAGCCTCAAGCACCATTGGATCTGCTGGATCATATGGCCCAAGTGGCAGGGCAACTTGCACAGCAGCCTGGATCTGTTGCAGAGCCTTCTCCTGTTACGGGACCCACTCAAAACTGGAAGCCTTTCAGGTCACTCAATAAATAGGTCAGGTAACACACCCAAATAAGGAATGTGATACCTCCAAAATCTGAATAGTCCTACTAGACATTGTGCCTCTTTCTTGGTCGTAGGAGGGGCCAAATGCAGCAACTTATCCTTCACCTTAGGAGGAATATCTCAACCAGCCCCACACCACTGGACCCCTAGAAATTTTACTGAGGTAGAAGTTCCCTGAATTTTAGTTGGATTTATTTCCCACTTATTTAGTTGGATTTATTTCCCACCCTCTTAGAATGTGTGTGTGTGCGCGTGCATGCGTGTGTGTGTGTGTAAAATACAGATTGTTATAATTCTGGTGAAATTAACTGAACCATTATCAATCCTGGGAACATTTTTTTTTGTCTCTAATTCAAGGAACTAAGTAAAAACAGATTCGAAACTTTATCCTAATTGGAATTAAACTACTGCATTTTAAGTCAAAGGTGTGGAGGTAAATGAACAACCAAATGAGACCAAGGAAAGGCTATTATTCAGAGCTTGCGATAGCAAAGGAATCCTCCACCCCACCACACCACTAGCATTTTGACGGAAACATAAAGGTAGGCAGAAAAATGGGAAAACCTTATAGTGGACAAAGGGAAGGGTTCAGATATGCTCTGACTGAAAGCTGTTTGCATGGAGAAAGCTGTTGGAGAGCAAACTAGCAACAGGACATCCTATGTGATTGGTTAAGGGTACCTATTTGATTTTCCTTTGCTGGTTCTAAATTGAAAGTGGGGACACAAATTATGGAAGTTGTTAGTTATTAATCAAGTCCTGGTCATGTTGGGCCAATTGTTACAGAGTTAATTATTGGCTTCCTGGGTTGGTTTCCTATGCTAATTGCTGCAAGTTGTGGGTCAGAGTTCTACTTTTATTATGTGATCTGGTGATTGTCTCTTTGTATATTCAGTCTTTCAGTGGCAAAGAGAGTAGGGCCTCAGTAGTCTAGAGTTTATCTATTCAAAATCACCTCCAAACCAAGACACAGCCCCAGATATACTTTTCTGCACTGACCTCATGTAAGAAAGCAATAAAAGAAGGAAATACATCTCAAAAGAAGACTAACCACCATAGAATCAATAACTTGTACTCACCCCTTTTATGTAACTAAAGTCCCATTCAGCTAAAACCTATTTCAAAATTAAACTTGAGCTGGAGTCACCCACAATCACCCCCGTCTCTGCTTAGGGCACGGTGTTTAGGGAAAGTTCTCAAGAAGCCCTAGAGAAGTGTAAGGATTTTTGAACCATATTAACGACAATGTTGTGTTAGAGACGTCCTTCGCAAATTCAGTTACATATTACTTAAATTAGGAACTTTCCCAAATCTGTTAATCCAGCATTGTGGAATTCATAAGTAAATTTGGAAAAGATCAATAGTTTTACATTCGTACTCTATAAAAATTGTTGGAAACTCATTAGTTATTTTCAGTATTCCATGTGGCTTAATGGACAAAAATACTGCAAAAAGACTACACAGATTAACAAAAATATTACATACCATAATTTTTCTTAATGCAATAATATTAACTGTACATTAGGATATGAGTCTTTGAATATTAAAACTATAATTCTTCATAATACATGTGGAACATGCAAACTGTTTCAAAGTAGTGTGTCTCCAGGGGGTAAAGAATATACTCATTATTTTGTAGTAAAATAGTGAAAAACCACCTGACAAATGACATTTTGGGTCCCTTCTGATTCTATGATTTTATGCTTATAGCCGACTTTTGGCTAAAATTTTGTTTTTAAAAAATAACACAAAGGGAATCATTTTTAGTGGAATTTGTTTAATATAACTAGAAAAAACAGTTATAACTAAAGAAATATTGTCAAACCAAACATACACATTTCAATTTGAATTTGTAAAATTGAATTTCTAACAAATATGAATTAAAAATATATTTTTCAAAGGAAAAGATAGTAGTATAAAATAAATTACTAAATATAATAAATTATAAAATGTTTTTTATAAAATAACACGATATAGATATTTTTTCTTTATTTCTTCTAAAAAAAAAGAAACAGGATACATGTGCGGAACAGGCATGTTTGTTATATAGGTGTACGTGTGCCATGGCGGTTTCCTGCACCTATTGACCCATCCTCTAAGTTCCCTGCCCTCACCCCCCATCCCACAACTGGCCTTGGTGTGTGTTGTTCCCCTCTCTGTGTCCATGCTGGCAAGGCTGTGGAGAAATAGGAATGCTTTTGCACTGCTGGTGGGAATGTAAATTAGTTCAACCACTGGAGAAGACAGTATCGCGATTCCTCAAGGATCTAGAACCAGAAATACCATTTGACCCAGCAATCCCATTACTGGGTATATAAACACATAAAATTTTTCGGCTAACTTTCATTCAGAGATTTATTTTAATGAGTATTCATATTACTCAGTGTTCTCTAGAGGGACTGAAGTAATAGGATATATATATATATATACATACATATATATATATATTTTTATATATAAAGGGGGAGTTTATTGAGTATTAACTCACACAATCACAAGTTCCCACAATAGGTTATCTGCAAGCTGAGGAGCAAGGAGAGCCAGTATGAGTACCAAAAGTGAAGAACTTAAGAGCCTGAATGTTCCAGGGCAGGAAGCATCCAGCACAGGAGAAAGATGTAGGCTAGGAGGCTAGGCCAGTCTAGGCTTTTCACATTTTTCTGCCTGCTTTATAGTCTAGCCTCACTGGCAGCTGATTAGGTGGTGCCCACCCAGATTAAGGGTGGGTCTCCCTTTCCAAGCCCACTGACTCAAATGTTAATCTACTTTGGCAACACCCTCACTGATACACCATGGATCAGTACTTTGCCTCTTTCTTTTCTTTTTTTTTTTTTTTTGAGATGGAGTCTCACTCTATTGCCCGGGCTGGAGTGCAGTGGCGCAATTTCGGCTCACTGCAAGCTCCGCCTCCTGGGTTCATGCTATTCTCCTGCCTCAGCCTCTGGAGTAGCTGGGACTACAGGCGCCCGCCACCACGCTTGGCTAATTTTTTTATTTTTTGTAGAGACGGGGTTTCACCTTGTTAACCAGGATGGTTTCGATCTCCTGAACTTGAGATCCGCCTGCCTCGGCCTCCCAAAGTTCTGGGATTACAGGCCTAGCCACCGCACCCGGCCTGCTTTGCATCTTTCAATGCGATCGAGTTGACTCTCAGTATTAACCATCATAGTATTTAAGGTTTATTTTTTATTTTTTATTTTTATTGGTTTTTTTTTTTTTTAGCTTTTTTTGCATTATAAAATGGTTGCTTTAAAGAGCTTATGAATTGTCACCCCCTAATGTTTAAACATCACTCTTGGACCGAATTTTTCTAGTTACTGTACTCATTAAACTTTTTGCTTTTAAAATGCATAGGGATAATCTGTGACCCTCCCTCCACTCCACTCAGAATTGAAAAATCATTCTCTTTTCTGGATAGGGATCTGTTTGACCACTTGGCATGGTCAAAGGACATCTGTTACAGACCCTGGAGCATAAAAGGGGAAGAACTTTAGAGAAACCATTGGCAGGAAGATTTTCAGGCTTTATGCCACTGCCTCCTATCATGGCCCCAAATTACATGATGAAACTGCACTAAATGGTAGCTTTTACGAGTTGGAAGAATGGAAAATATAACCTCCACATTTCTACTCCTGTTATTTAATTACAAAAGTTGCATGTAACTTTTGAAAGCATATCAGAAAATATTCAAAGCTGAAGAGAATTGATTTTGCATATGCATGTCCCTTTTTCACTGTAAGAGCCAATAAAATGACTTCACTGAGTAAAATGACGCATTTCCAGACACCAACTACAATATCAAATTGTACAATTTTATTTCGTCTCCACACGGTTACAAATATCTTAACAAAAAACCTTCAAGAAACAACATTCCCAAATATAATAGATAAAGTACCACATAAACATTGATCACTTTGATTCTGTTAACTCTGAAGATGTCCTCAATGAAACCCATAACTTGGTGCATGAACTGAGGTCCTAGGCGACTTTGTACATATGATTTCAAAATACAATAATTCAAGGTGATCTTGCCATTGATTCATTATAGGGAACAAGGAGTTATTAAGTGATATAACCTGTTGGTGTGTATTTTACTCTGTTCATATAAACCAGTGAAGCAAGATCAATTTGTTTCTCGGTTGAATTAGTTTTCTTGTGGGCACCTCAAGCACACATTCAAGAACAGCTTCCAAGAAACAAATTTATTTTCCTGAAATGATGGTCTTTATTGGCAACATCTAGTTCTTTTAATTTTACAGTTGGTTTCCCAGCTATGATCTGTTTTCATGAAGCATGAGAAAAATCCTAGAACAGTTAAATGTGCTTACCATATAGTTTATGAATTAGTTGCTTCTTCAAATTGGCAAAAGACATAGAATAAAACTGCACTCTCAGTAACTCAGTCCTCCTTTTCCTGACTCTCCATGAATAGTACAATTATTTTCCCTGCACGCATCGCAGCTTGGTCATGGCAGGTACGAACTTGTTATTGGCATATATGTATATGTGTGTATGTCTGTGTGTACACATACACAGACATACACACACACAGAAGTAAATGAAGAGTTGGAGAACCTCCAGCTCTGACTCTACTTTATTCATTCTTTCATCAGGTGTCTTACAGATGTCAGGTAAGTCCCTCAAGCCATGGAGGCCTAATCTGTAACAGAAACAAGCAAGAGACTTATTTTTGGCCCATCGACTCCCAAGTGTGTTGTAAGGTTTGAGCAACTCGGAACTAGAAATAGGCTTTGAAAAAGCAGAGTATGCACTGCACATTTAAGGGAGTATTATTTTTCGGTCTTGTCTTATATCATCAGATCCCGCTGATGAAACTGAGATACATATGCCATATTTAGTGTTTCTAACAAAAGGAAAATATCTTTTGGGGGTCACCTTTTGCTGTATTTGAAGGAAGGAAGAAACACAGGTACATTTTAAATGACTCTTCCACTCTGCCCAGAAGGGCTTGCTCAGCCAGGGAGGGACTGCCATTAGTGAGTAAGTGAGAAGTGACATGTTCTGTCTCTCAAAGGGTTTCTTCATGTCCACTTTGGTAGCTCTCATTACACTGCCTGAATCCATTAAGACAGAAACAAGGTTTCCCCATAAAATGTTTTTGTGACTAAACAGGACATGCAGCTCTTTAATCAGTGACAGAACATCTCCTCTGACAAGACTGAGTGATACAGTGTGCTCCAGTCCCACCTTTGCTGCCGAGAGGGAATATCCCTTACAAGGACAGACAATAGTCTCATTAAATTGCCTTTGGCTGATCTATCAATGCTCCAGTGAAAACAATTATTCTGAATATATTTAATGTAAATATCTATGTCAAAAGAAATCTTACTTTGTATTGTGTGGATATCTCATCCATGATAATTCAGTTAATGTTTTGAAATTTTGGAAGTGACTGTCAGCTGGTTTTGGATTTTCCAGGGGTCTAGGTGACACTAAAGTACTAGCAAGGAGAGGGAGAACCCTGCCTAGTCCCCAAATAATAAAATTAAAATGAATCATTATATTTTTATATTATTTTATAATATATATTATATTGTATTATATAGTATGTATTTTCTTTATGAAATAAAGATAATAACATAATAAAAATTTGAAAAACCAAGTGATAGGGGAGGGGTGGGAGTGTAATGCCTGCTGTCTATTCTCTTAGCAACAGTGTCAAATGGGATCTAAAGTGATTCTGTAGCTTGAGACCTTAAAGCGAATGTGGCCTGCACTATGTAGCTTACTTCAACATATTTTTAAAGATACATGTGTGGCTGAATATGGGTCAAAGTGATATATGACATGAGTAGAGAGTTATTTATAGAAGGGACCATTCTCTAGGAAAATGTTCCATTAGCTGAGTTGGCTTGCATATACAGTATATGCTAAATTTGGAGACATTGAAAGCTAAGTGAATGTAAAAATGAAGTGGACTTTAGAGTTTCTCTAGTCTAACTGGATGAGAGGTAGATAAGAAATACGGTGCCCAGAGAACTGAAATGCCTTGCTCAGAGTTGCACCAAGAGTTAGTCTAAAACCCAGACCACTGACTCTCACATCCATTCTATGGATATTACAAACCATACCAAAACCATCAACAATTTATTTTGGAAATAGGCCATTAATTGACAAATGTCTCTGCTCTGGTATACCCCAATCTACATAACTATAGAAACAAATATGTCTCTCTTTTCCTCTTCCCAAATATTTCTCAGTAACTCAAGGGAACTGTAAGTATGCTTCTAAATTGGCCCTCTGTCTCCAGGGTGGCAGGTTCCCAAGGTTAGCCCTGGTTACTAGACACTGTGCTGGCATGTTACTCCTTTTGCTCCCAGCTGTGAACTCTCTGAGTGTATCTGAAAGCTGAGAAACACTCAAAGAGTTTCAGAATCATCTACCACCATAACTCTCCATACCAGGTCACTGTCTCCAAGCCCAGAGGCTGGGCAATGGCAAGATATTATCCCATGCTCTCAATCGCACTTCATTCCCCTCAGTCAGTCAACAAGAAAAATTTGTTATGTGTAACTGCTGTGCAAATAGAAGTCTAAATGGGCCAAACAACCTGCAGATGAAAGGTTCTGATTCTCAGCTGGGGGGCTCAGACAGAGCTCCCTGTGACTTAGTGACATCTCCAGCTGCCCTCACAAGTCACACACGGCCTTCAAGTCATCCTCTCCCTATCTAGGACCCTCACTACACAGCCTGACTCAGCTACCTGGCTAGACTTGTTTCCACTGAAAATTTCTTTCTCTTCCTCATCTAACCATGTGCAAAGAAGAATTTAAAAGACTTGGATTTTGAGTTTCTGGGTATTCTCTACACTGATAAATATTTAACTGTTTTTTCTCCAATATAAACAATTTCTGTAGATTGTGTTCTGAATGCAGACTAATGGAGAACATGGCCCAGTATAATTTTACCTATGAGCAAGATGGAGGTTTTTGGCAAGACAGGGGCATGTTCCAAAGCAGAAAGCCTACCTGTCCCATTATTGTCCATTCATGGTCAGTCTTGGGCTCTCCCAAAGAGTTCTGGACTTGAAAATGTCAAGATTCCTCAGTATCCTAATCTATCCTCATTGTACACTCAGAGAACCCATGCTATATATAAATATTTTTATCTCAGTAGGGGTCATATTAATTTTATTGATTAGATACAGTAATATTTAGCTTCACAGAATGGAGACTTTCTTGGTGTGGGATAGAGAAAGGTCCAAGGATAATACATGCTTCTGTATAGGCTCACTCACCACAACTTTTACTCGTTTTTCTGATCCCAGGCCATGAACTTTCCTTTGAGGAAACATACACTTGAAATTAACTCTGCCCCATGCTATTACTATTTAAATTTTTTCCTCTCAATATGCACTTCAGTTTATTTTGCTTTCACACTTCAGAAATGACACCCATAAAATATAATGCTCTTTCTCAAAATTGTGGTGTCTTTGAACATACAAGGCCATAAATAAGCTCAGTGGTTAAACTTCTACGTTTCAAACTTCTGCCTCTTTATCTCTGTCACTGCAAAGGTCTATCTGGTCTGTCTTCCCTTGTGCCTATGATAAAATGCTTATGTACTAGTAATCAGTCTTGCATTCTCCCCTCCTTACCATCCATTTATTTTTAGTTTTCCAGTTTCAAGCAACCACTACTTTGGGAGTTGTGATATGCCTGAGTTTGGTGTGCTCCCATGGCCTTTAGAAATTAGTGTTGAAGGAGTACAGTGACTGAGTGGTCTCTTCCCAGGTCTTCCTGATGCTTGCCCCCACTTTATCTGCAGGCCACCTTAATCCCACACATTTCTGATTTACCTACCTATGGGATGAATATAGTTGCTCTTCAATCCTTTTTCTTGACACTTTTTGCTAAACCCAATGAGTGGCCCAATTAGTTTAATCTTCTTTAATATCCATCATTCTCATTTCTTCCTGGTTTTACTAATTTCTTGTGCTTGATCAACACAGCTCATGAATGCCCATATCTTGCAAACTCCTGCAGTTGCAAAGCCTCTGTCACTTTCTATATTTATCTTTAGTTTCCCTTTTGTCTTGTTCTAACACATTAGTCAGTGTCTAATATTGCAAGGGCAAATGAAAAATAGATGTAATACTTTAAACTTTACCTTTCAATGTTCAATAATTAAAGTGTTCATATAAGGCTGTTTCCCTATAAATGTTTTTTTTTCAATTCTATTTTTTTTAATTAAAAAAAGAGAGAAAACTATGTATATACAGAAACCTGCATTTTCTTAGCTAGAGAGCAGCCAAGTATTCTTGGAGAATTCTATTAATAAGAACTGCAACAAATCCCGTTTTTAAGAATGTGACCTTTCTTCAGTAATAAAGAATTTCCCAAGCATCACGTTGTTTAAAGTCACATCATCACAATTATCTGAACAAGGAAGTAGGCGAGACTTTTGTAAATCAAAACCCAGAAGCAGTAACAGGTAATCAAATGTCTATTGACTCAATGGAAACAAAAGCCAGGGTATCTCCTTGTCTTGTGAAAAACCTTGCATATTTCATAAAGTACAGAGTAGGAAAACAATAGATATATTTTACTTAATTTCCTGAATATGTAAATAGAATACACACTACAAATAGCTAAAGTATTTGAATAATTAATTGACTTTCTGCATATTTTCAGAGTGAGTATTAAGGGTTACAGTCCTATTTTCTTCAAATCTTCATCATCTTTTTCTTTAACTTTTCACATTTTTTGTAACTGTGAAATATATCTAAAAATATGTGACTAATTGAGTCAATAGCAAATTGTACTTATGGCCATTCTCCATAATTTTTCAAGAGAAAATAAGATACATTGACTTATTTAGAGATTTTCAACCATTTAGGTAAAATGTTTTCTCTCCAATCTTTTGTACAGAACACAATTTGCCGGTTATTCTGTCCTGTATTATTTCCCCTCTCCAGTTGCTTCAAATTACAAAATAATAATTTTCCTGATAAAGTGACTAGTCTCTCAAAAGCTATAACAGTTTTCTATTAGTTTCTATTTCTATTAGTTTTCCCAAACTGCTATGACACTTTTTAAAATACTAATTTAAACATTTAAAAAATAACAGCTTTCTGTTTTGCAAAGCAGCTATGACACATATTGGTCGTGAGAGTGGAAAACAGCACAACTAGTTAGGAGTAGTGTTTGGGTATCGGTCATAGCAGTTTATTTAACCTATGAGATCTGTCAAATTTCATCTAACTCTACACAGAAAACCCCTGGTTTTCACTGCATGTAAACTATACCTAAATTTTTTGAAAAAGTGACTTGTTCATCATATAAAATATTATGGGATCTTTAGAAAAAATCTCTGAAAAGGAAAGAAAGAAAACAGTCATCAGGGTAATGTAATATTGTTTATAAAATTAAAACCAAAATCCAAAATAATTTAAGTAAGCTAAAACCAAATAATAGGAATAAAAGCCAGGTATATTAATTATCTTTTAGAGTAATCAAGGAAAATACTATAACATAGGTTTTAGGTGAATAAGAATATTAAGAGTAAAGTTGTTCAGATAGAAAGATACAGAATTATAACTTGGATTTAAGTACTCTAGAATGTTTTCTTTAGGTATCCTCTTTATTAGAAAGAAAATGAGCGGTTCTCACCCGACCTCCTAAACTAAGCACTTTCCTTTCATCCAAGACTGCTTCAGCCCTGCCTGCATGCATCAGAAGTCACTCCTCAGGCTGCATTCCCCAGTGACAGTAGGAGGGTCAGTTTTTTGCCTCTTTTCCCTCTTTATCAAGAGTTAGTCCGATGTTCTTATAACTGTTTTCATGATGAGTTAATTTGACCTAAAATATTCATAGATTCTAATAACTTAGTATGTGGTTAGATTTCAGTACTTAGTCTCATAGGTCAAGGGAAGAGAGGAGAGATCACAGACAATGTATAACAAGATGTTTATACCTGTTAGTGACTTAGATAGACATTAATTTTCCAAGCTTCAGATCAGTACTTATGAAGTTTCCTTAATCATCCTGTAGGGTAAATGGTACTTTGGAATTAAAATAATTTAGGAAGGTAAAATTAAGTGAAGCAACATAATATTGTTCTACTTGAAACCAAGGCTCACTGAGTGAAATCATTCTCTTTAGGTAGATTTAAAGAAGTGACTTCTAAACTATGACTATGGACTCAGATATATACTGATAGAGGTGTTTAAGATAAGTTCAATGTGTGCAATTACCATTTGAAGTTTGAGCTGTTGGAGCGGTTTCTTTCTGATTTTATGCATGTCTCCCTGTTTTGGGATAAAGTTTTGTCAACTCATAATAGCACCATTTGTGAGCTCTTGTGGACCACAAGCTCCTATTGGTAGTAGCATACAGCCAATTATTTTTAAGTGAAAAGCTGGATTAACTATTACTCAATGATGGTATTTACTTCCTGGATTAAACCAGGATTGTAATAAAATTTACTTCTATCTCAAAACCATAATTTTACTCCAGTATTTGGGAAATACTAGACAAGATTATGCCAAGTATTGCTCAGGGACTTCGATCTCAGTGTCTTACAGGTCTACCTTTTCCCCAGATGAAAGTCATGATCATAATGTGGAACACACTGTATTAGTTATCTATTGTACCACAAGAAATTACCCCCAAATTTTGTTACATAAAGCAACAAACATTTATTCTCTTGCAGATTCTGTGGATGAATAATTCAGAAACGTTCCAGTTGGATGGACTGATTCAGGGTCTCTCATGATGCTGCAGCCAAGGTGTTTGCAAGCATTGCCATAAACTGAAAACTTGACTGGGGCTAAAGAATTTTCTTCTATGATGGCTCATTCATGTGGCTGTTGGTGGGAGGCCTCAGTTTCTCCCATGTGAACCTCTCCATGGTACTCCTTGGGTGTCTTCATGACAAGGCAGTTGGCTTTCTCCTGAGCAAGTGATCCAAGAGTGAGCAAGGAAGAAGCCTCAATGCCTTTTATGGCTTTGTCCCAGAAATCATACATTGTCACTTCTGTCACATTCTATTAACTAGAAGGTAGTTAGTAAGTACAGCCTACACTCTAGGAGAAAGATATCAGGTTACACTTTTTGAAGAGAAGAATGTGTGAACATATTTTAATATCAGCACACAACGAATGCCTTCAAACCTCAGTAAATTTCTGGCCCCTGTAAAAAAAAAAAAAAAAAAAAGGGAGGGGCAGCTTACTCTGTAGAGTTTCAATAGTAAAGCATTGGTTTCAACAACAAAGCATTAGCATGTAGAGGGGGAGGCATAAAAAAAGGAAAATCATTTCCAAAACTGATACTGGAATGAAGTCAGTAAAACAGGAAATGTAAAGGAGGAACTTGCCTTGGATGCAAATTAAGGGGGTAAAAAATGCAAAATGATTGTTTTGCTTTAATTTTGCCTGATTTAAAAAAAATTGCATTAGAATATTATTTGTCTTCATTACTGAGCTTTTTACCCACACCCCCCCATATTACAGTTTGCACTTGAGAACAGTGCCTCACTTCCTTTGTTTGCACCACCCTAGTCACACCCCACTGTCTTCCTATTTTATATATTAGCTGCTCAGGACAGTTATTTCCAGCTTTGTGAAATTAGTAGATTGACAGTATGCTGGAAGCAGACTAGAGTAGCACAGAACAGCAGGAAAACTGCCTGGCTTGATATCAGGTGGCTTGGGTACCAGTCAAATCTTCTCTAATTAGCTATGGAACTTTAATAATATCATTTCACCTAAAAGTGTCTCAGTTTCTTGGTGATAAATTTGAAGAGGCCAAACTAGAGATTTTCTAAGGCCCAGTAAAGGCTTAACATTTTAACAGCATATAGCCTTAGAGTACCAGATGACATTTTCCCTTCCCTTACATCCATCATCTGTAGCTAGAGACCTGAAATCCATTACTCTTCAGAGTAAAGCTAATGCTTTCTTATGTGCTTGTTGTTTTTAATTTTAATTTGGAATTATGCTTTTTGCAATCATTTGCCCAATCTTGCTCTGGGGTAGTCATCGGGGCATGATGCAGCATTGGTATCATTTTCTATTTTCATTAAGGTGCCCTGAGGACTTCCAGCATTAGATGCCAACAAATTTAAATTATTAATTTTATTACAACAAGAGTTCTACAACAGCAGAGTTACTGAAATGCTTTTTAAATTGGTTTTTAACTAGAAAAATAAAGAGATAGAATATGGACACTTGGGAAATAATAAGAAAAGTGAGACAGCACTGCTACTGATTTAAAGTCAGGTAAGGGGATATTTCTTTTAAGTTCAATATTCACAAATCATTGGACTTGGATAAGATACTAATGAGAGTACTGAACAGCCTCATAGGTACGAAATAATGAAGAAGAAATCAAGTAATAAAAAAAACCCAAAAACCGTGGTACTGACATGTAAGAATGGAAAAACTGATCTCACTAATTGATATTCTTTTAATTGATTCCACTTCTTAATTAAAAAACTATATTTTTAATATGCCTACCTAAAGGCCTACTGTAAGCAGTAGATATATAATCAGAGACAAGCGGTGAATTTTCCATTTCTGAATGATCTTGGGTAAATCACAAAAGTCAATTTAAAACTGTCTTCACCTGAAAAATGGGGACATTAAAACCCCCACATAGGGATTTTTGTGTGGCTCAAATAAGGTATTGTGCATAGAAGCAATTGTAAACTGTAAAATACTCTGCACATATGAAGAATTTATAAATTTATAGATATTTGTCACTTCCAATTAATATTACTGGGAGTCTTGTGATGATATTAGGGATGAAAGAACAGTGGAATTCTAAGGTGACTTTATCCATCCAATGACTCAGACCTGACCCTGAAAAATACAGGCATACATAAATTTCACATCTCAGAGTGATGGGCTTTATAATTAATTATAATATCCCAGAATATTTTACCAATTCTTGTCAGTATGTGTGTTTGTTAGATTCTTAAATAAGGAGAATCTCGGCTGGTAGACACAATAACAAACAAGTTCTCAAAATTCATTAGGGTTATCCTGTGCCTGATCTGCCAAATCAGCCACCCTTATGCTCCCTATTCAGTTCTGTTTTATCAACCCTGACAGTGGGTTACTCTAAGGGTGGAAAGAGGCTCAGCTGAAGAGCCAATCTAGGATGAGACTGGAGACATGTCCTTGTGCAGATTTAAGAAATCTGTGTTGGCCCCGTGGATGAAGAAAACCTCTGGGGTTCTCCCTTGGGATCTAACAGGAGCTCAGAACTATTTTCTTTTCCAGAAATTGGGCAAGGTTAACCCAATGCCCCAAAGCTAAACATCATTTTTAGGAGGAATCCAGAAGCTTAATTGCTCCTATAAAAAGTTTGGCTAGTGTGGGAGATTATAGAGCCATAATCTGAAAGTTAAACCCAGGTATCAGTTTGGTAGAAACATCTATGAGTGATATAGGAGGTAGAAGCCATGAAGACTCCAAGACTAGGGGATGGGATGAAGAGTCAGTAGCCAAGAACTGGTAGAGGAAGAAATGCAAACCAGTCACATGGCAAATGTCACCTCCTTACGTTCCCTTTTATCATGAGGAGATTCTGAATAAAAATAGTGAGAATCAGAGCCGTTCCTTGAAAATTGAGAAAAACCAGTAAATGCTGAAGTGGTATTCTGATAGCATGCTTGAATAATTTGTTTGTTGGTGCTATTGATTCAGGCCCCAGATAGAGCAAAAGAACATAAAGTCACCCTATTCATTGCTCCTGTAGAGCAAGACCAGGAGCTGCTAGTGGGAGAACTCATTTCTCTAGCACAACACTGCAAGGAGAATATCACTAAGTGCAAAAGTAATGTTTGGATGGCATAATTGCTTAACCGAATATCATATAAGAAAAACACTGGGTCCATATATCTGTTTATGAACTAAAATCTGAGGAACTGTTTTTATATTTAGCATCCTTTTTCTCCTAGAATCTTGTTAGATAGAAATGAATGTCAGAGAACTGTTTGGAATAATAGAATAACTATGCTTTATTGAAGGCTAACTGTGTGCCAGGCTCTGTGCTAACTGCTTTCCATTGTGAGCTTATTTAAGCTTCAATTCAACCATATGCAGTAAGCAGTATAATTTCCATTTTACTGATGAGAAAATCGAGGATTCCAGATAGTAAGTGGTAGAGTGGGACTCGAACACAGTTTTATTACAAGCCCTGCTTTACAGCACCACATTCTACTGTTTTGTTCTGGGACTATGGAGGAAACTTGATGACTGCATGCTCTTACAAAGTGTGTGTAGTTTTTCTGATGGTGGAAAGTGGGAGTGGAGTTTCTTCTGGTGGAGTGACCAGCTGGTTGGGTTGTTCATATGAGCTGGTCTATAAATTAGAGGAAGGAAACCAGATCAAGAGTGAAGGGAGCACACAGCACTCACCCACTTTCCAAGAGTAAACCTTGAAGTAACTTCTCTAAGGAGGACTAAGAAAAAGACCAAGTTAACTACCTATATTTCCACCTTTGTCCTTCCTATGGTGTAATGCTCTTCTGAGAGCACTCTGAATCTTCAGTAAAGATGTGCTTTGATGTCTGACAGGCAGGACAGATGGAACCTAAGGAGAAAACACAGGCAAAGGGGTACTGAGCAAGCCTAGCTACATTTCCAGGAAAGAAGGTGGTGCCGAGACCTCAAGAGAGGACCCCAGGAGGTCTTCCACATCCACAGAAAAATCCAATGCTTAGGAGTACAGGAGATGGCACATAGGAAGAGAAAATGAAACTCAATTTCCAGGGTAATTAAGGGTTCCTTTTGATAGAGCTCAGAATGCTGAACTTATATTCAAACAGCTCAAGAAGTTACTCTCTGATCAGTTTGCTGCTGGCATGCTGCTGACTTCTGAGCATCTATTATCTGTTCTTAAAGGAGAAAGGGACAGTAGCATCCCCTGTAGCTGACTACTTTATTGATTTCCTTCCATAGCTTTAATGTACAACTTCAGATTTTATGATGACTGCTGAAAGATCTTTCCATATCTCCTACTCATGGAAATGCCCATCTGCCTGCATTCCATCACTTCTAGCTGGATTTGACACAAGTTTGTCACTAATAACAAGTTCTTTTTCCTTACTTTCCCCAAACCCTAGACTGAACATCTGCCTTATTCACTGGCAAGATTAATATATCCCACTTGAGCAAGTGCAATATGCTCTCTTGGTGTCACTCTTAGAGATAGGATTTAACTTGCCAATGGTGATAATTGTGCAATATTATACCAAGAAGACATACATTCCATACTGATCTAGATATCATGCAATCCTTCATATCAAAGCTCATGCCACTGACCACTGTCAATGACACACTGGGAGTGACATGGGTGTCTTTCTCCTGCATGTAAGAAAAAATATGCATAATTGCCTTTGTAAGACAAAGAAAAATTTTCCATCCTTACTTCTCTTATAATTATCTGTGGATGTTTTTATAATATGTGATTTCATACTCAGAATATATCTCACCCATATCATGGCCCCAGTGTCTAACACAGTGCAAGGGAAATTATAGGCCCTCAAGGGGTATTGGTTGAATGTGTAAATTAACCTTGTAAGAGACTTCTTACATCTTAAACAAGTTACAGTTACTCTACCAAAAACCTTATTTACAAAATTTTCTCTTTCTCAAAGAATTTTAGAATATTATTTAATTTATCATTAGAGAAATCATATTTCTAGATTCCAAAATGTAATTCTGACTCCACAAACTATTAGGCATCATCAAAGTCTAAAAAATAGAAAGATCTTCCTAAAGTGAAGGTTCATACAATCATTATCGAGGTGGGGATCCAGAAGATGGTTTTTAAATACAAATAAATTGATTTATTTCTACCTTTTACTTTTTCACAGTTCTATTACATGAAGTAAAGCATCTGTAACCTAGAAATGATGGGTAACGTTCAAAGCTGATATCCCAGATGATTCTGCTATGACAGACTTCCCCTGCCTATTGAAATCTTAAGGTTGTCTAACCCCAAAATTCTAGACTATGAAAAGTTGTATTGTAATTTTAAATTCAGGCTACAGAAATAAAAACAAACAATCTTTAGGAAGCTAAACTAAGGTATAACCATTTTCCAAAATTCCCGATTTCATCTATTTTAGAAAAAGACCACTCCTGGGAGAAACACAAGTTACATGGTATTGCTCTTCTCACATGAACCATCTCCACAACCAACGTGCCCTGAATCCCAGTGCTTGGCCAACCCCATCACTAGTAATCAACCATCATCCCAAGAAGCGAACATAATCAGAAGCTAAATCAAATAAATATGTCTTACTCTCTGTTCTGACGTCGGCCAAGTTCCATTTCTGGTGGGAGGCCAAGGGGAACAAGTGCCAAAGGCATATGGCTGTGGGCACCATTGCGCCAGAAAGATGTCAACACATTGGAAAGGATTCAGAGAAGAGTGGCGGGGGTGATTAAGGGGCTGAGGAATTTACTTATGCGGGAGATTAAGAGAACTAAGTGTGTATACATTGGCTAAGCAGTATATGGGAGGCAGTGGAGCTGGAGATAATTTAAAGTGTCGACAATTCCATACAAGGAATTCGTGGCATGGGAGCCAGAGGAAATACTGAGGCTTGGGAAAAGGAGGAGCAGGAAATAAGCACAAAAGCCAGGCTCCAGTTGTCATCAAAATGTTTTATGGGTATGCTGATTTAAAATGAGAGCATTTTACAGCATCACATGTAGAATACTCATAGTTAAAAAGGAGGCAAAAAGAACATGAAAGCAAGCCAGGTGGGCCTGGGACATGAGGTATAAGAAACAAAGTATGTCTTCCCCCTTTCTTCCCCTATGGGATCATGATTACTAAGAAAATGCCTACAACCCCCTTCCAACTATCTGGAGTTCTCCAGTCATATCATAAGGACTACTGGACCAAAGATCAGCCCTTTCCTTGTGCCTTCTCCTTCCAACGCTTTATCATCCCTGACTCCTTTCAACAGTAAAGTGATTGATACATAGTGAGTGCTCAATATACAGTAAACTATAAATTTGTTAACTTTATTAAAACATAATTTACATAATCAAAACATTATTAACTGTATTAAAACATTTACATAAACTGTATATAATTTACATATAATGTATCACATAATTCACTCATTTAAAGTGCACAACTCCACAACTTTTAGTATATCCTAGCATTGTGCATTCATTGCCATTGTTAATTTTGTAATATTCTAATTACTTTAAACAGAAATCTCATACCAATTAGCCATCATCCCCCAATCCTCACAAAAAAGTAAGTCTAACTATAAAACATAGACCTTGTCAAAGTCCATTTAAAAATGAAAAAGATTACACAAAAATGATAAACATGCAATTAATAATTTGATAAGGATCCAGGAGGTAGCTTACAAATACGGGTGAATTGCTTTTTCTCCATATTTGGATCCTTCACAGCTTCCATTGCACAACGAATTAACAATCTCAATCCTTTCATTCTTCAGCCATAGAAAAACAGTGTCTTAGTCAGGTTCTCTAGAGGGACAGAACTAATAGGATATATATATATATATATCCATATATCCATATATATATATATCCATATATCCATATATATATATATGGAGTTTATTAAGTATTAACTCACATGATCACAAGGTCCCACAATAGGCTGTCTGCAAGCTGAGGAGCAAGGAGAGCCAGTTTGAGTCTCAAAAACTGGAGAACTTGGGGTCTGATGTTCGAAGGCAGGAAGTATCCAGCAAGGGAGAAAGATGTAGGCTGAGAGGCTAGGCCAGTCTCTCCTTTCCACATTTTTCTGCCTGCTTTATATCCACTGGCAGCTGATTAGATTGTGTCCATGAGACTAAGGGTGGATCTGCCTTCCCCAGCCCACTGACTCAAATTTAATCTCTTTTGGCAACACCCTCACAGACACACCCAGGATCAATACTTTGTACCCTTCAATCCAATCAAGTTGACACTCAGTATTAACCATCACAAACAGTAATCTATTTTCTGTCTCTGTAGAGTTGCCTATTCCGTCCATTTCATAAATGTGGAATCATATAACGTGATCCTTTGTGACTGGCTGCTTTAAATTCGCATAATGTTTTGAAAGTTCATCTGTGTTATAGCATGAAACAGTATGTCCTTCCTTTTTATGGCCAGATAACATTTTATTGTATGGATATGCCACATTTTATTTATCTAGTCATCAGTTAATGGATATATATTATTAATAGCAAAAATCACATAATTTTTCTCCTCTTGAAAATACCTAGGTTTTCACTTAATCACATGATTTACACTAGGGCGTTAGAAGCTGATTTCATCACCTCTCTCGGGAAAGAGATATACTTTCTATAATGAAAGAAATGAATGATATTAGAATTTGATGTTCCAGGTTTGGTTTGGCTGGAAGTCGATTTGTGCATTGAGTTCCATGTCCAATGGCTTAAATATATTGTATTTCCAGTTATGTAACTTCTAAGGAACATATGCACACTGTCTCTTAATAGCTCTTAGCCTTCAGTCCTTCCCATAAAAATTAAACAGATTACTCCAGCAGAGGTTGGTGCAGCCTTCCCACTCGTCTAACAACAATGAAGTGAGTTTCCGTGTGCCTTCTCTTAGAGCAGATTTCCTTCTAAGAAAGTAGTGGGATGGGATGTTTTGGAATGTTCTTTAGGTGGCTTAAAACCACACTCCAACTCTTGATAGTGGTGTGACTGAGAAAGTTATTTAAAATCCCTGAGACCTTGTACACTTATGGTGGCAAAGAAACTTTGACTATTGTAATTAAGCAAAGCAAATGACATACAAAATTTCCTGGCACATACTAAGGACTCAATAATATTACTTGATTTTTAACAAGATGTGATCCTACAAGGAGTAGAGGAGTGGGAAGCGCATGTAGGCAGGAAAAGGCTTACGGTGAATTAGGACAATATTTGATTATACCTCCAGTAAATAAGAACGTCACAGCAGCTATCATTTAAAAGACCTACATATGCCTGGCACTGTTCCCCAGCTCTGTTCATATATTAACCCTTGCAATAATTCTACAAACTAGGTACCAGTAATACCTTCCTGTATTAACAGAAGGGCTTGCTGAAAGTCTCTCAGATTGTCAGAGGTGGGATTTGCATGCAGGTAGCTAGTTTGTGGACTGAATTCCCAACCAACACCTCCTGCTGCTGATCACCCAGTTCCTCTGCAAGTGACTGGGACAGGCACGCATTTCACTGAAGGATATATTCAGGTTTGGGGTGTAT
The DNA here is from genome assembly GCF_000001405.40 of Homo sapiens. Taxonomy (NCBI): domain Eukaryota; kingdom Metazoa; phylum Chordata; class Mammalia; order Primates; family Hominidae; genus Homo; species Homo sapiens. The sequence continues at coordinate 38,652,259 of NC_000018.10, read as the reverse complement.
GAAGCAATTTGTTCTTGAAGGTCAACATTTTAGCTTACATTGTTAATTTTAAGCATATTGTTTTAAGTTACTGCTCTTTTCTCCCTGTGATAACTTCAACTTTTACAACTCTCTCTTTCACCATGTTAAAGCCTAAGAAAAGACCTTGGTAAAAATTGAGCTGTTCATCTCTTTCAGAGTTGTCTTTTGTATGCCATCTTTCATTGCTATAAACTCGCAAAGCGAAGCAGGTGGTGAGGATAAAAATATTTTAGTATTCACATTTCTAGCCAAAAGTCACCTACATTTCATTTGAGGCAAATAGGAAACAAGCAAAAATACCTCCCTTCTATTCCTGCCTCATTTATGCCCAACAGCCTAGTCAGATCCTGATCCTCCGTTTCTGAATTATTGCCACATATCCTACGCACCCACAGACTCTGTTACCTTCAGCCCTTCCTATACACTGCTGCCAGCCAGAAGATCCTTTGTATAAGACATTACCACTGTTAGTTCAAAAATCATTTTTTTATTTTCTTCTTCTTCTTCTTCTTTTTTTTTTTTTTAAGAGACAGGGTCTTATTCTGTTGCCCAAGCTCAAGTGCAGTGGTGCGAACACAGCTCATAGCAACCTCAATCTCCTGGGCTGAAGCAATCCTCCCGCCTCAGCCTCCTGAGTATCTGGAACCATAGGTACATGCCACCATGCCTGGGTAATGTTTTCAATTCTCTTTTTTTTTTTTTGCTAAAGATGAGGCCTCGCCCTGTTTCTCAAACTGGTCTTGAATTCTGGGCTCAAGCATTCCACCTGTCTCAGCATCCTGAGGTGCTGGCATGAGAGTCATGAGCCACCACGCCTAGCCAAGAACCTTAAATGCACACCTTCTGTCAAAGAGATCCAATTTCAAACTTCTGTACTTTACCTTGCCCCATTCAAGCCCTCCCCCAGTGTATTCCTCTGTCTCAGATATATAAATCTTATCACAGTATTCTGAACATAGTCACCCTCACATCTTAAGGCTTTCCCACTGTATGTATACATACACACACACACATGCGTGTATGCACACACACACCCACACATGCACAAGTGTGAGGTAGTAGAGAGAATGGTAATAGATAGTAAATACTTGTTCTTGTCTCTTCCTCTCTTCAGCTCTATAGGTAAGTCTTCTCTAATTTCCTCAGCCTAGAATACTCTCTCTGCTTAAATCACTGCCATAAATGTTGTCATGCTGCTTAGTATTTGACTATTCTTTAATTGTCAATTATCTCTATGATGTATAAGTTGAGGAAATGTGTTAAGCTCTATTTCAGAAACTAGGCTGAGTGTTCAACAGTTATTCAATACCTTTTACCTAATTGATTTATTCATCAAATCTGAATCAATGGCTTGAAATTAAATATCATTTCTATTCTGTAGCCTTCACTGATCTGAATATTTCTGAATGATCCCCATAGTGTTGTGTGTTGTATATCTACCACTACAGATAGAATTCTACAGTCCAGTTATTGTAATAAAGCTATTTTCTCCAAATAGAATATACACTTCTTGAAGGCAGGGGCCTCACTCACTCACCTTGTATCCCCAAGGCCTCGATACCTAATAATTAATAAGTTGCTCCATCAACCTTTTGAATTTAACTTAATTAAAAGTGCAGAACTCTGAAAGAAAAGGATTAAATGTGTTGAAATGGGTCCAGGGGTGAAGAAGTTGGAGTGGCTCAGATGTACAGGGTGCTTCTTCTTTTCATACATTGCATTAGATTTGCTCTCTTTCCAGGACCTACTGTGCCAAATCAGGCTTGTGATTAAGATCAAGTCTACCGGGAAATCAGCAGAGAGTTGGAGAGCATTTGAAAAGGGCCTTGCTGTCCAAAGTGTGCAACTCTGGCAAACAGCTGTTATGGTTCTATTGTTTTATTTTTGCTTCCTTTAAAGGGCAAGGTTGGAAAAATCAGGGAATTTATAAAAAGAATTTCAGTATAAAGAAAACACTTCAGGAATCATTCTCTCTTGGAACAAAGTGAGTTTCCAGCTGCACAGAATGCTCCATAAGGTGGCTGCACCAGCCTCGGGAACTGCTTAGACCAAAATCACCTTTTTCAGACATAAAAGACCTATTCTGCCCTTGGGCAGGACTTCAAATATACTGACACTATTTTAGAGAAGACTGCTTTCAGACCCATTTAGAGCGTCTGAAAGAATATGTCTCCCATTCCCTGGAGAACCAAAAGTGTTTCCTCTTTGGATCAAAGAATATTAGGGCTGGAAAAGACCTTAGAGGTAATCTGGTTTAAATGTCTTTTCTTTTCGTCCTTTTTCTTTCTTTCCTTTCCTTCTCTTTTCTTTTCCAAAAGAAAACCAGAGAAAGAAAGAAAGAACAAAACAAAACAAAACACAGCTCCATGTTACAGATGGAAGACTAAGATATCAAGTTAAGTTCATTTCTGCCACACCTCAGAGCCTCTACTAGTATTTATTTCTATACAACTGCAAACCAACATCTACTCAGACAGTGTTATTAAGGTAAAATGCTATCTAATATTGTGTCTAAACTACTTTTTTAAAAAAACAGTGTTGTGTAAACAGAAGCTCCTGGATTTCTTTATTCCATTTGCATATATAGAGGACGGCAAAGTTGAAGCCTATACTTAAAATTCCATGTTTGTCATCCAAATCACGTGTGTGTGTGTGTGTGTGTGTGTGTGTGTGTGTGTGTGTGTTATAGCCACAAATGGTTGTTTTTGTGAGACTGGTGAGGTAAAAGGTAATGTATTGGTGAGGAAGAGAAGTGGACTTGATATTTGACTAAGAAGGCAACCTAGTATCTAGTGATTTCAGACAACTTGCAGAAGAGAAAGGCAACCTTGAACTCTGGAATTAAGGAAGGGACACAGAAGCATTCTTGGAAAGTAATATCCCTAGACTGACACTCCTGGGGAAGAGCGAGAGGTAATGCTGCAGCTAAGGCTGGATTCACAGAGCCAGCATGTCAGTCAAATTACTAATGCAACTGCCTGCTTGGGTTCCACTTATCTTGTCTGTGATTCTTTGTCCAAGAATGTATACTAACTGGAACCAGGAACATTAAGATGCTCTTAAAACAATTGGTCATATAAGAAAAGTCCTTTGGAAAACATAAAGGGATAGTTAAATAGAAGGCATCAGCTATTTTGACTTCAAGGATAATATCTTCATAATGTAAAAGTGTTTCTCCATGTATAGATATAGCAAGAACTGGTATAGATTGGTCCAAAAATAGACCACACAGAAAACCGTGTTTTGAGAAAAAGGGAATACTTAAGAACATACATATCTCATTAAAAACGTGAACTGTTAGTAATGGTTGGGCATCTATTCAAGCACTGGCTCTCACCCTGCCCAATTTGGCTTTGGAGAAACCTTCTTTCTAATTAGATGCAGACAATAGAAAATACTGATAAAGGTCCAAATCTGTGTGTGAGTAGAAGTCTTTTCATCTTTCAGTCAAATCAATATTTTATTTTTGAACTTCTTGAAGTCCAAAAATCCTTGAAATTTTGTGATTTAGTCATAAAATGAAGCATGGCTTAACAACATTGCCTAAGAAATTCATACAAAAAGAGCACATTTGGGTACCCCAGTAGTAAGGAGATAACTGAGCACCTCGGGTGTCTGTGGTGTTCGAAGTTTCTTTGATTTAAACCAATCACACTGTGTCTTCAGCTCAGCCCACTTTATAACTTTAATTAAACAAAATTAAAATTAATTATTTATGGGAATGATTAGATGAATTAGCTAAGGTGGCCTGATACTTATTTATTAATTTTTTGTTCTCTGTAAGGAGCCACCAGTATACCCAGCACGAATGGTTTAGCTTGAACAGTGCTGAATAACAACAAAGTTCTTGCCCCAAGGTGGTTTCCTTCTATAAATGAGTCAGTAAAAGACAGTTTATAACTTAAGCTGTAGCTGGCAGAATTGCTACTTCCAAACTAAGACAGTATCAATGGCAAATTCTCATCAAGAGATGCAGTTGAAATGTGATTCTCTAGAGAATCTAACTAAAGGATTAATTCAGTAATTGATGTGGGTTTTATGAATATTTACAGACAAAAAATACGAAGCTCCTCTGAACTCTAGAGCTAACACTGTTCTATAAAGCAACTTCAGTTTATACCATCAATTGAACCTGTTATAGCCACTGGATAGTTACTAGCTGATTCTTACTTCATGTTTTGGATTGCTTAGTTTTTCACCACACAAACCTCAGGAATTTCTTACATTTCCTTGAAAGATATTTCTTTAAAATTACTTACGGACCAAGAACCACATGATTAGTGTACAATGGAAACTAAAATAGGTGTGAAAAGAATGCATTTTAGAAAGAATTTGATAATGTCTGTTACAAGAAAGTAGGGCAGAGGTGCTGCATCAACTCTGAGGCTGAGCATTCTGAGTTGCATAATGTAATGGTTGCAGGCGGGACTCACTGAGAGGCAGAGCAAGTGCACAAACTTAGAAGGAAGACCCATGGGTCAAGTTTTAATCATGCTTGTGGGTCAATGCTTTAATCATTTCTATCGAGCTACTAGAGAAATATCTAAATGTGGGACCAAGAGAGCAGTTCTGTGTAGGGGTTGGAAATTTGTGGCTAAGTCTGGCCAGATATTTTTCACTCTCATAAAAATGACAATAGCTACCATTTATTTTAATTTTTGCCTGGGAGCTCATATCCACTGTATATTTACCTGTAGGAGTCTCTGAGTTTGGCTAAACTTGCATGGTCTCACAGACTATTCAATTTTGCTTTTCCTAGCTGACCAAGACCAAGTTTGCACCACTTTAACATAAAGTCTAACTTTAAGTGTTTTAGATGACCCAGGCACACAAAATTTGGACCATAATTGACAAACTCACATAATGGTTAACCTGATGTTACAAATCCTTTGGAGAGATTTTTAACTGTCTTCAATCTAGCATCCAAATGAAACCAGGAGAGTATTTTTGCCATACCTTTCTGTAGGCTGGGTTTATTTACAATCCTCTGGGGTTCTAGTTTTATACAGAAGACTCCTTTTAGACTACCTTTGATCCATAGGTTCTAGATAATGTCTCCTCTTTACTCCTTTCCTCACAAGGTCAAAATGAAAGCTGAGGTTACCAAGCTTGGCTTTGGTCAGACCTTGGCATTTGTGAGCAAACTTCCTTCACTGGAGTCCAGGCTTCGTTTGACTTTTGGCTTCTGAACTTACCTTAATTTCCCACCAGCTAAGTAATGCATTTGAAAATGACCTTTAAAATATCTATGGGTATATTGTATTCTGAAATTTTAGTTGTTTTAGGTGGGGTAGTTGTTCAGAGTATCTTATCTGTCATGAGGACTGAAAAAAAAACTGTGATATTTTATTTGTTATTGATTATTTTCCAAACATCTGTTATTGATTATTTTCCAAACATTTGTTATGTGACTTACATCCATGATGTTATCCAATCCTTAAAGCATCACCTGTAGTAAATGTTTTTATCATTGCTTCCAGAAGAGGAGCCTGAGGTTTGAAGAGATAAGTAATTACCCAAGGCAACAGAACTATTAGTGTCTATTACTTCATATTTGAGCTCACAGCTGCTTACCTTCCAGCTTATGTCTGTAACAATTGTAGGCATTGAGTCATTGCAACCCTTAGGTAATGTTACCACCTATACTTTTTTCTATTTTTGTCCCCCTCCAAAATGTGTTTTCTTTATTCCCCAAACTTCTTGATCATAAATCTTTTCTTATCTCAGTAAACCACACCACCACTCTTCCTCCAGTTGCTTAGGCTAAAACTGTAGAGTCATTCTTGTTTTTGTTTTTTTAATCAGCATTATAGCTATCCCTCTGGTCCAGGCCACCATCACAGATTGCCTAGATGTCTGCAAGAGTACCATTACATGTATCCCTTCTTCCACTAGAACATTTACAGTACATTTTCACCAAGCAGCTAGGCTAGCTTTCTTGAAAAGTGAATCATACAACATCTCTTTCTTCATTGAGAAATGACATGTTTTCCATCTTCAAGTAATAACTCACCTCTTAGCCATGGCCTTTAAGACACTATGTAGCCTGGCCCTACTATTTTTCCAATGTCATCTTGTAATACTCTCTTCTTGATTCAATGCTTTCTAGTCTCACTGCTTCCTCTCAGTTTCTCAAACATGCAAAGCCTGTTCATGTTCTAGAGTGTTGTACTTACTATTCCTTCAATTGACATGTGTTTTACTCAGAGGTTTGCATATGATTCTTTCTTGTCCACTATGTCTCAGGTCAAATATCACCAACAATTGAAATAATCCCTTCCTCTGTATCTATTATATTGTTGTGCTCAATTTTTATCTTGCAATTTCTCTCTAAAATTATTCTATTTATTTATAAATCTACTTTATTGTATGTTTCCTTCACTGAAGTTCAACTGCATGAGAGTCAGGACCTTGTTTATCTCATTTAAAACCATATTAATAAGGGCTGCCCAAAATGTGCTACTCAATGAATTTATTTTTGAATAAAATAGCCTATGGAATTGGATCATGCCTGAGTAGCACTTTCCATGATCATAGTTCATCAATTTGGACCACTCTGAGCATGGGTTCAAAAGAGTTGGATCATTGTTCACCTGTGAGTCTTGGCCAGGAAGTAGGGTGGAACTTAGATAAATAAAGCTGCAGGAAAGAGAGCAAAGATAAGTGCCAGAGAAGGGTATAATTGAGTCCAAGAACATTATTCCACAGATGTGATCAAGGAATCAGAAAGTCAGAAGAAGGAAGCCACTGCAGCTCCATCTGGCTCTTATTCACCATAAAGCTGATGACTGAACACTGGAAAAATGAGTCACTCCTTCAGCACTCATTGGTGCATCTGTTTCTTGACACCCATGATGTTAAAGACTTGACACTTACACACTGTTTCAGGTAAACTTCAACTTTCCAGCCGTACTAACTGGGAAAGGCAGCCAAAGCAGCAGGAAGATGCCTGACCTCACTTGTGTCTTCTAAATCCCTCTCCAGTGCCTTGCATTCAAATAACTTAGTTTTCCCTGGATCTTTAGCTTTAAGGAAAAATATATCATATTTAAGTTTTTGGACTCTATAATATAGAGGGCACAACAGAATGAAGAAGGAGCAGGTGCTGGATACCTATTAACCACAAAACAGCACACCTCGACATCACTAGAGATGATTCACAAAACCCAGTGTTCCCAGTATAATTTCTTGAAGAAACTGAGCTGGGCCGGACTCCAAACATCTGTCATTCACCACGTAGTTACCAGTCATTGTGCTATATTCTAAAGTTATAGTAAGCCAGTACATATGATCCATTCATGCACACAAGTTAAACTGACAGATGGATTTATACTTCTGAATAATTGAAAATGGCTTTACCATTCTCAAAAAAAAAAAAAGTGGATCACTGATTATTTTAGGCAGAACACCCCTAACTTTAGGCTCTTCTTCATTAGTGTCTCCATAGGAGGGAAGGTTGCTTTCTAGAGTCAGTCTGGGACAAATATCATACTAAGCCTCAAATAACATGTCATAAATGACCCAATTATTTTTATTTGAGTGAGACCGACCACTCTTTCCATACTTACTGGACTTCCCCTAGGTCATCAGTGCACATCCCAAGAAGCCCCAAAGACCTTGGGCTATCCCATAAGGAAATTAAACATATCTACAGAGATTAGAGAATGTATTTTCCAACTTTGTGTGAAAAAAACTCAAAGCAGTTTCTTCCTGAGTAATGTTAGGGGGCTTTTCAGAAGTTTTCCCTTTTGCATTTAAAATTCATTAGTATAAACACGTGTAGCAGCTGTCTTCCTTACAACTAAGGAAAATCAGGTTGTGTTTTGGAAGCAAACTTTCTTGAAATTTGTTCTCAATTTGTGTTTCTTCCAAGCCAATAAAAAAATTAGAAATGTTGATGCCTTCGAGGTCTGCCCCATCTGGTAATCCTATTGTTTACTTCTTAATCTTCCCTTTCCATTTTCTTCTATGTTGTCTGCATTATTATTCAAGTGTTAACTAGGTGATGAACTCCTTTGTGGATACTTTGTCTAATTTTGCATAGCCTTTCCAAGCTGTGGTTATAAAAATAGACACTGGACTGCTGAAGATCTCTTGAAAATAGCCATTTGATCATGGCACAAGGGCAAAACCCTCCAGGAACACCTGGTTTTCTGCCTGCAAATCTGGCATGTAAATATTACAAACATTAGCAAGAAATGTATCCACTAAAACATGTTCACACCCCCTGGCTAACTATACACACTTACACAGAAAAAATAAAGAAGATTCTTCTTTTCCTTTATTTCCTGCCTCTTTTCCTTCTCCTTACCTACTAGTTAAAAAGCAAAAATGGGCCAGGCACAGTGGCTCATACCTGTAATCCCAGAACTCTGGAGGCCAAGGTGGACAGATCACTCAAGCCCAGGAGTTCGAGACCATCCTGGGCAACATAAAGAAAGCCCTCTGCAAAATATACAAAAAATTAGCCAGGTGTGGTGACATGCACCTGTGGTCCCAGCTACTCAGGAGGCTGAAGTGGAACAATCACTTGAGTCCAGGAGTTTGAGGATGCAGTAAGCCATGCTCAAGCCACTGCACTCCTTTCAGCCTGGGTGACATAGTGAGACTCTATCTCAAAAGAAAAAAAAAAAGCCTCCTTGTTTCTAATAAGGAGATTAAGACCAGAGAAACTGACGATATTCTTAGGGTCCCATAGCAGTTTGTGGCTAAGCTGTCCTGTGGCTCCCAAGTTATAACTGATTGCTCATATTTCTACCCCGTGGTATCTTCAGGAAATGTGCCACTCAGAGGAGCAACCAAAGTTGCCTTTAATACCTGAATGCCCACTCACCTATTTCTCATTATTGGAAATTTTATAGGCAGGGTTTTTGTACCACAAGGTGTTGTGGACTGAATGTTTGTATCCCCTGAGAAAAAACCATATGTTGAAATCCTAACCCTCAATGTAACCATATTTGGAGACCGATCCTGTTAAGTAGGTGATAAAGGTTAAATGAGGGCATAAGGGTGTCCTGGTGCCCTTTACTCTAGAATTTATAGAGAACATTAGACATTTATATGCAAGGACATTTTCAGAATTTTATTATCTGATATTGGCTTTCCTAAAGGAGATGCTAGCAGTTAACTTATTTAAAAATGTCTGAGGTCATATCTCATTTGTAAAGCAAATAATAAAACATATTTGAGGAAATTAACAGTCTTTAATATTATGTTATGCTATAATTCTTTTTTTCTTTAACTTGCTATTATGTTTTTGTTTTATTTTGCTGTTTTTAAGTATTCTTGGCCTTTGTCCAAACCAGAATTTTTACTGGAGTGGACTGTGGTGATTCTGGATGATGAAACTAAGGAAGTTGTACATAGCGAATAACAACCTCCTGCTCAGCCAAAGAAGATACGTATAAGATAGTTTGTTTTACTAGCACTTTTTATGTCCGATAGGAAGTAGAATATTTGATGCCTGTGAGAGAATTAATCTGAATGATTATAAGTGATGTAAAATATTTCTGCTTAAGTTCATTATCTTAATATGCACTTGCCTATCAATTGATATTACATATGTACATTCTTCCTTGTAAAGCATGAGTGCGTGCGTGTGTGTGTGTGTGTATGCATAAACCTTCATTTTATTGAAAAAATACACCTGATTCAGTGCCCACTAAAAGCAGAAAACCAATCCTGTGCTGAAGGCTCCAGGACACCAGACTTCCCTCCTCTGAATGGGTGGGTTGTTGGGTAAGCTAACACACACAGGGTTTCAATACAATACTAAGGCAGAATTTCTGGTGCAGAAGATAAGTGAGCCCCTGAATTGTGTGGGACTTCTGGAAGGTAAAGTCTTTCAGGGCAACATGAGACTCAATGCGGCCTTAGAGGACTGGTCAGATTTAGTTGGGCAGTGACAAGTAATCGGGATGTTAAAAGGAAGAGATTATTGCTAAAACTAATAATCTGAACGTTAAAAGGAAGGGATAATATTAGACTCTTTACAAAGATCTCTTGGAAGCTTTGTGAAAAGAGTCTAATATTCTCCCTTCTGTTAATCCAATACCCATAGTAAACCTCTAAGCTAATATGAATTGTGTTCTTTACTCACAAATATCACATTGTCGGGAACTTTTGCTTGCCAAGTAGTACTGAGTGTGCTATCCAAACTAGCCCTGCTTGATTTGTGCACAGAAGAATCTTCTCAGAGATTGTGGCCAGAGGGGCCACCATAAGCTCCTTCTCCATCTGTGTCTCAGTGCCAGGACATTTTTGTTTCTTGGCCTCTGAATCTCAAAGAAACAGCAAATACAGAGTGGTTGTCAGCAGCAGGCAGGCCCAGCTGCCAGGCAGTATATACTACAGACCAGCATGGCCAGTGGGAAAGTCATAGTGCCACACATGGAACTTTAATTTCAGTTTTAGTAGTCACATTTAAAAATATTTCAAAAATAGGTAAAATTCGTTTTATAAATTTTATATATTATATATATTTATATATATTTTATAGATGTAATTTACAGCTGGGTGCCATGGCTCACACCTGTAATCTCAGCACTTTGGGAGGCTGAGGCAGGTGGATCACTTGAGGCCAGGAGTTCGAGATCAGCCTGGCCAACATGGTGAAAACCTGTCTCTACTAAAATTACAAAAATTAGCTGGGCTTGGTGGTACACAACCGTGGTCGCAGCTACAAAGGAGGCTGAGGCATGAAAATCACTTGAACCCCGAAGGGGGAGGTTGGAGTGAGTCAAGATCATGCCACTGCACTACAGCCTGGCCGACAGAGCAAGACTCTGTATCAAAAAAAAAAAAAAATATATATATATACACACACACACACACACACACACACACACACACACACAATACATATATAATTCAGCCCAATGTATTCAAATACTATGTTATTTCAATGTGGAATTAATATAAAATTATTAATTCAATTTTTTTTAATAAAAATTCCTTGGAATCTAGAGTCTATTCATACTTATACCACATCTCAATTGCAACCAGCCACATTTCAAATCCTTAGTAGCTCAGGAACATAGCAGTGTTTTATCAAACTTAAGCAAGTCAGGGCTTTGTGTTAAAGAAAAAATAATACATATATGTTAATAAATATGAATATTATATCATATATACATATGTCATAGAATCTCACTATCACCAAACTAGGTACACATTTCATATGTCTAGCTCATACACAAGTGTAAAATAAAAGGAAGACTAAATAAATACAAAGCAAAATGCAAATTAACAACATTAATTCAACATGATAGATGATATTTTGCTTAAACTAAATCATCTCTGTGCAAAATAAAAAGGCAAGTTTAGGTTTGACCCACTGCAAATCTTCCTTCCCCTAGGAATATGCTAGAAGTTCTTCAACCTTTTTTTAAAATGAATTTCTCATTTAAAGTCTTTGTTCTCTTCTCATTAACAAAAATCAAAGTACCAATACATAACAGCAACACTAATCAATTGCAGAGCCAATGTGATCAAAAATGTAAATGTAAAAGAGGGGGCTGAAATCACTCAGATCTCTACTAATCATACATAATTACTGTTGAAGATTTTCAAATACTTCTCTACCCTCTACCTTCACCTTTAAATTGGCATCCTTTAAAACAAGTGTACCTACTTTTTTCACTTAATGTAGCACCATTCAAAAAATTCACTTTTTTCATAGTTTCCACAGGATTATGTTTAGTGGTTGTATCATATCGGATCCAGGACCTATCCCTGGTATCAGCCTTGGATCTCACTGCTCATTGTGGGAAGTCAGGGACCCCGAACGGAGGGACAGGCTGGAGCTGAGGCAGAAGAACATAAATTGTGAAGATTTCATGGACATTTATCAGTTCCCAAAATTAATACTTTTATAATTTCTTATGCCTGTCTTTACTGCAATCTCTGAACATAAATTGTGAAGATTTCATGGACATTTATCACTTCCCTAATATTCTTATAATTTCTTATGCCTGTCTTTATTTTAATCTCTTAATCCTGTTATTCATAAGCTGAGAATGTGCATCACCTCAGGACCACTATTGCACAAATTGATTGTAGAACATGTGTGTTTGAACAATATGAAATCTAATTGTAAAACAATATGAAATCAGTGCACCCTGAAAAAGAACAGATTAACAGCAATTTTCAGGGAACAAGTGAAGATAACCATAAGGTCTGACTGCCTGTCGGGTCGGGCATAAGACAGCCATATTTTTCTTCTTGCAGAAAGCCTATAAACAGATGTGCAAGTAGGAGATATCGCTGAATTCTTTTCCCAGCAAGGAATAACCCTGGGGAAGGAATGCATTCCTCGGGGGAGGTCTATAGACAGCCGCTCTGGGAATGTCTGTCTTACGCAGTTGAGATAAGGACTGAAATATGCCCTGGTCTCCTGTAGTACCTTCAGGCTTACTAGGATTGGGAAATTCCAGCCTGGTAAATTCTAGTCAGACTGGTTCTCTGCTCTCGAACCCTGTTTCCTGTTAAGATATTTATCAAGACAACGCTTGCACTGTGGGACGTAGGCCCTCATCAGTAATTCTAATTTTGCCTTCGCCTTGTGATCTTATTGCCCTTTGAAGCATGTGATCTTTGTGACTTACCTCTGTTCGTACACCCCCTCCCCTTTTAAAATCCCTAATAAAAACTTGCTGGTTTTGCAGATCCGGGTCATCATCACGGTCCTACCAATACGTGATGTCACCCCTGGAGACCCAGCTGTAAAATTTCTCTCTTTGTACTCTTTCTCTTTATTTCTCAGATGGGCCGACACTTAGGGAAAATAGAAAGCACCTACGTTGAAATATTGGGGGATGGTTCCCCTGATAACTGCTGAATATACGTCATCCTTAACATGCCTGTTGTATTACATACTAATGAAAATACTGCCCACTGCCTCTCTGCCCAACCTTCTTGAAACTCTTTTCTGATTCCTCAGCACCTTAGTCTACTCAATCTCATCTGCTTTCCAGTTGCTAAGTGTCTGCCCCTTCCTGGAATCCTGCAGTAAGGCATTCCTAGAGGTGACAGTGAACCGCCTCTTTTCTCCCTGCCACTCTTAAACTCACTCACATCTGGGATTTCGGCTAACACTGCTATGCTGGGAAAGCCATCCCTTCTCTCCCCAGGTTCTAGCTTGACTTTTCCTATACCCTATGAAACATGTCTACTAATTCACCTCTACAAGAAGCTAAATTCTAAACTGGGTTCATTTTTGCTGCCCCAGTACCTCCTCATCACAAAATTCCCTATATCCTTCTTTGCTTTTGTTTGTTGTTGTTGTTGTGCTTTTGCCTAGGTATGGTTTTATTTGCATTTTTTTTTAAAAAAAATTTCAACTTTTATTATAGATAAACGGGTACATGTTCATGTTTGTTACATAGATATATTATGTGACACTGAGGTTTGGGGTACCAATGATCTCATCACCCAGGAAGTGAGCATGGAACCCAATAGGTGATTATTCAGCCCACTTCCCCATATCCCCCTCCCTTGACTAGTAGTCCCCAGTGCCTATTTTTCCCATTTTTATGTCTATGTGTATTTAATATTTAGCTCCCACTTATAAATAAGGCCATGTGGTATTTGATTTTCTGTTCTCATGTCAATTCACTTAGGATAATGGCCTCCAGCTGCAACCATGTTGCTTCAAAGGACATGATTTCTTTCTTTTTTATGTCTGTGTAGTATTCCATGGTGTATATGTACCACATTTTCTTTATCCAATCCACTGTTGAGAGGCACTTAGGTTGATTCCATGGCTTTGCCATTGTGAATAGTGCTGCAAGGGGCATATGAGTGCAATTGTCTTTTTAATAGAATGAGTTATTTTCCTTTGGGTATATACCCAGTAGTAGGATTGCTGGGCCAAATGGTAGTTCTTTTTTAAGTAATTTAAGAAATCTCCAAACTACTTTCAACAGTGGCTGAACTGGTTTGCGCTCCCACCAAGAGTGTATAAATGTTCCCCTTTCTCTGCAGCCTCACCACCATCTGTTATTTTTCGACTATTTAATAATTGCCATTCCAACTTGTATGAGATGGTATGAGATGATTGGATATATTTTCTTTTTATTTTTTCTTTCTTTTTTTTTGGTTTAGACAGTGTGTTGCTCTGTTGCCCAGGCTCCAGACTATAGGGCTGTAGTGCAGTGGCATAGTTATGGCTCACTGCAGCTTTGGCTTCCCAGGCTCAAGTGATCTTCTCATCTCAGCCTCCTGATAGCTGTGACCAGAAGCCTGTGCCACAACATCTGGCTAAGTTCTTAATTTTTTTGTAGAGATGGAGTCTCACTATATTGTCTAGGCTGATATAAAATTCCTGACTTCAAGTGATCCTCCTTCCTTGGCCTCTCAAAGTGCTGAGATTACAGGTGTAAGCCACCATGTCCAGTCATCCATTGTAGATATTTTATTTCTGATCTCAGAACACATTTCTACTGTCACCCAGTAACAGAGAGCAACTTTAGATTTGGTGGATATAAATATGTCTCCTTTCCCACACTTTAAATTTACAATTTAAAGATTTTAAGTTTTGATGTTCAAGGATTGTATTTTAGTTACATGAAATATCCAACTATATTCATAGTCAATACTTAATCAATATAAAAATTTTAAAATGACTAACAAATTGGCATTCCTTGGCACAAATGCCTTCATCCAACAACTGACAAGAAGAACACTGTGCCAAGAATTGGTGGCAACTAAAAAGCAATATATGGCAAAGGCATGAAAAGGCCCCCAGTGTAGGGTGACCTGAGATGCAAAAGGGAGACTCTTGGGTATCAAGACAGGAGGCTGTAGGCACTAGAATCACAGAATCTGAGAGCCTGAAGGACCATTTAATTCACATCCCAGGTAGTCTCATTGTACACAAGAGAACATGATCACAAATTTGGAAAATGATCTCCTTTTACTACTTCATTACACTGTGAGTCTCCTTACTGACATAGTTCCAAGTTTTACTTACATCAAAATCATCTGTCTTGAGAAATCAGTTTTCTTATGCAGGTTTTTTTTAATCTTTAGTTGATCAGATTGAATCCATAACCAAGTCCCTATTGCTTAAAGGCCTTTCAGAAAGGAAAACTTGGCAATGACCACAGATAAACTTCTGTAAAAGTAATTAACATCTATTTAGTACTTTGCTATTTTTCATTTGAAAGGCATAGCAATCTTTGGAAAAGGTCAGGCAATTATCATTATCTTATTTTACCAATGAGAAAATTAAGACCCACTTTCCTTATGTGGCCATATGTCATAGCAGGGCCAACGGTAAATCCATTTCTTCAAATGCCTGGGCCAGTGCTTATTCTAGTATTTATTGCTCATTCATTTACTGTTTTCTCAATGATTAGACCTGCTTGCAAATATCTGTCATATGCAACATTGCAAGTACCAGATATCATCTCCTCTACTGTAATATATTCTAAGTTAAGTTTCTGACCTGTGTTTTTCTTTAGAAAGTTTCCATTTTGATGCTTGTAGAATATGTTCCTGTCCCTTAACTTGAGCTCACTTAGAAATAATAATCTTTTAAAGAAAACATTTGTTCAATATGAATGAATCAAATTGTAATTTTTTCATTATTTAATTTTCTTCCCACTCTCTTCAACTTCTATTGTGGATTCTGAGCAGTTTATCTACAACTCAGAGCTCACATTATACAGCCTTGTGTTTCAGGGTTCTAAGAGCATTTCCTCTGGGTTTAGTTATAGCTTCAATCTGATCAATTAAAAGTAAGAAACCTACACTTACGAGACACGATGCCTAAAGGCAGATGATTTTGGAATAAATAAAACTTTGGAATTCTTATCTCAAGGAGGAGACTCACAGATTTTGTTCCTGTTATTGTTGCAGATTTTCAGCTTTCTATTTTATAACATAGGGAGCAGCTGAAGTAAAACATGTTTTTATTTTCATTTTCAACTTGCATATATTAACAAATGAAAGGCAGATCAAGCTGCAAGAGTAGTTCAAGTTCTTTCTTTCTCCCTTCCCCCAACTGCATTTTAGGAACTTACAGTAGGGCTACCAGATTTTTTTTCCCTAGCAAATCTAGGGACACATATTTGCATATCAGTTTGCATGTGTTTGAATTTAATTTACATAAATTTGCATACTAAGTGCAAAAGCCTCAACTGCAAGTATGTAAAGTAAAATAAAATTGATTAATTACTGCAACCTACTATAGTTGTACCCAATTCCATTAATCTGGTTGTGCTGGAAGACTTGTAGTCAATAGTGGCCTGAAGTCTAGGCAGCCAGCTTCCCAGCTGTTCCCTAAACTAGGGCCAGCTCCATGAGCAATGAATTGCAGGAAATGGGAGGATCAGAGTTAAAACTGTTCCTGGAAAGAAACATACATTCCTCCCACCCACACACACCCACAAAGTTTTATTTTGAGCCAAAGATCAAATTAGAGTTTGGTACTGAGCTAGGTATGGACATGGATTTTATGGTCCTATATATCAGTAAACAGTGAATGAAATAAAGCCTCTTCCAGTCCCACAGAAATCACTTAACCCTGAACCAGTCCACTTACAAATATATTGCAACTCACCAAGGAGACTTGGGGAGAGTACACTGCCACTACCATCAAAGCCTCCAACCTATTGATCCCAACTTTGCCAGTCTGGTCTCACATCCCTTCCAACACAACGTCACTAACCCCTAGTCCCAGTGAATTCTCCTTTTCTTACCTTTCTTCCCAAGTTCTTTTCTGACTTGTCCCTTCCTTTACGCTAGCTGCTTTTCCTGTCGTTCATCACCAAAGTTGGAACTTTAAGGCTTAGTCTATCCATATATCCTTACAAATCAATCCAAAAAACAGTACAAAAATAGCTATGAGAAAAATCTTTCATCCCTATTTCAGTGCATATGTCTTCTCTTCCTGGACCTCAGTGGCATCTATTCTGAGTATGACTCACCTGAGGCTTCAATGTGCCTTGTGATTAAATTTCTCTCATATGCATATGACTTAACTGCATACAAGGTTGCAAGGTTTTGTGCAATAAATATTATACATTTAAAATCTTTCTAAGCATTCATAATAATTTTGTGGGCATACCAGAGGATCACTGCATTTGTGTTAGTTGAATATTTATTATTTAAATGAAGAGTATTATACAACTTAAAATGAAGAATGATGTGAAGAGAAGAGACAAAGATATGAAATCAGTAAGTGCGAGTTCTTTAATGTGGGTCTTATTTGAAGTTTTTATCTTTGGCTTGTATGACCTTAACAGTCGGTAGAACCAGTTAAAATGTTCCTTGCACTTACAGGCTAAAATGTACCTTGCCATCCACTGAGGTAAGTGAATTATAGGCAGTGTTTTATTTAATCCCCACAACAGCCTGATGGCAGAGTGACCATTTTTAATCAACATTTTGCAGATTAGGAAACAGAGATATTAGGTGATTTGTCACCATTCAGTCTTCTGGGTAATTTGTCCCAGTTCTCCCTTCTAGGTTGCAGTAGAGATAAGACTTATACCTAATAGGTCAGACACCAAATCCTCTGTTTCAAACCACCAAACTAAACTGCTTCTCACTTAAATGCTTCTTGCCTTAGCTTCCTCATCAGAAAATGTATATAATTACCTTAACCTCATATAGTATGTGACTCAAATAAGATTATATAGAGGAAAGAACTTTGTGAGCTATAAAGAAATACTAGTTCTGTTTATGATTATTATTGAGAAAGATTCTCTTCTAGTCTTCTCATTTTATATCCAGCATTTCCAGAAATCTTGAAAATTGTGACTTACCATTTTTGCTTTGATTCAAAAGAACCTTCCTAACTGGCCACTTGTCAGACTGATGGGAATGCATTTTGACACCACTAGGACACATAGCTGAGGTCACTTCTCTCGGTTTTTCCAATTACACAGCTTGTTTCGAGGAGCTGAATCAACTATGAATGTCATCCCACTCCACACTGGCCAGTGAGGTGCTATCTCTTTGGCCCTTGGCATTTAACCATGTTGAATTATGAATGTGTTTTCAATCACACTATTTGCCTACAAGCTGGTTAGGATGAAGGCAGTGTCTTTTTTTTGGAATTAGATTTATAAAGTGGACTATGCAATTTTTAAAGCAAAGTTTATTCAGAAAGTTCTGGTTATCTCAAGATTTGCCAGATTACAGGAAATGACATTGACTGCTAGATGAGCTTGCAGAGAAGTTTTCTGCAGAGCCTGTGGCCTTATTTAACATTAAACAAAACTGACCAGCCAGGCCAGTGTGGGTCCTGCATAATCAGATAGCTGATATGTTTGTCTCTCTCTTTATACTAAGTACTCCAGGGAAACTTATGTTTAGGTTTTGCTTGAGATGAGACCCTTCCTTAGATGAATATGAATGTTATCTTATAATTAAAGAGGAAAATATTCTCTTCTTCCCAACATGTAAAGAGGTTCTTGGGGACAGAATGTTGATGAATGAAACTCCAGGTAAATGTTATTTTATTCACTGTGGTCCTTTCTGGTTGAGAAGCCAGAAAAAGGCTGGAAAATAGAGGTAGATTCCATATATATACTGATAGAAATTCACAGGTTTTTATGAAGTTCTTCAGGGTTGGACAAAGTTTCTTTACCTTAAAAAAAAAAAAAAGGAGTTAGAGATAATTATAGGTATTTTTAAAGGATGACTTGTGTGTCTCTACTCCAATAGGCCCATTACTATTTTTACCAGTTCTTTTTAACGGTTCAACAAGTAGATAAAAAGCTGAGGTTACATCACTTTCCCAAGAATAGAGACTTAGATTAGGTAGTGTGTTCTGTATTGTGAAAAATAATATGTTGCATTGAGCATTTCAGAGAACCCTTTATTTATGTTATCAAAGAAGATATATAAATGGCCAATAAACACATGAAAAGTTGTTAAACATTGCTAGTCATTAGGGAAATGCACATTAAAACCACAATGAGAAACCACCTTACACTTACTAGAATAGTTATAATCAAAAGACAATAAAAATCGTTGTGAAGATATGGAGAAACAGGAACTCTTATACATTATCATGTCATTACTCTGATACTCAGAGTGGTTCATTTAGGAGTCATTGCCTCAAAAGAAAGGTGTCCTATAGGACTCGCTACATGCATATCATGAAAGAGTGACCACTCCAAATCTCTCCTTGAACTGAAAAAAGTATCAAATAATCAAAGAGTGGAGCAAGACTTCTCTCCTACATTCTGGTACCAGAAGACAACTTTTCCTGTGAAGCAAAGAGGAGAACAAAGTCTCAAACATGAAACAAAAACCAAAATGAGTTCAAGTTTAACGGGTTTGGCAACTATATAGCTTAGTTTTCAGCCCAGGGAACTAAATTATATGCCAAGTTGTTAAAAGACAAGGTTCAAAATAGATACCTATTAAAAAGCTGAAAAAATATAAGGTGACTTACAAATATAAGTAACATCATATTGTTAAAAATATTATATCACATATTCTTAATAACATATAGAACATAGTATAAAGCCTTATATGTAGCATAAATTGGTTTAATTTTCTTCCCACTATATTGGAAGTAAAAAACCCTGATTGCTTTAAAATTCTATAAGCTCTTGGTAGGATGTCATTAAAAGTTACCCTTAAGTTAAGTGGTTATAGAAAATGATATAAAAACCTCTCTAACCTAATCAAGCCACTTCAGCATTTAGAGTAGATTTTCAAAAATGAAAACATTTTTGACATTTTTGATGAGTGTTTGGCCATTCAACATTTTCTAATGTTGAGAAAGAAAATGATTAGTTTAAGACTCTGCAGCCAATTGAAATGTTAGTACCCCACAAACTGGGAACAAAATACAGGTGGTATTTTTATTTAGAAAAAGCTAGCATATGGAAATTCAGGTTAATAGAGAAGACACAAATTAAATATGATAATTTTCATTAAGAAATATTCATGTAACAAAAGTATTTTCCTTACAGATCCCCCTAAATACCAGGCTCTGTGAGTTGATTTAAATGTGACTCAATTTGTCCACCAATTTTCAAGAGCATGTTCATTATGGAAAGTTTTTATACTCACATAATGACATGTGCCCAGCCAGACATTAATCCTCAGAATCTAACACAGTGCTTGGGGCATGCAGCAAATACTCACTCAATGTTTGCTAGGTAAATGAATAAATGAATGAATGAATGAATGCATGTTATATAATCAGAGATCTCAATTATATAAATACCCATTAAAGATCTTTTGAGTGCTCAATATTGACTCCAATGAGCATGAAAAGTGTACAGGACGATGTCTGCAGACTGGAAAATATCATTTTTTAGAATTTTAAAACAAACAATTTGTATAGTAGCTTCTCATTATTGAGTAAACAAACTAATGAATTTACTTAATAAGTACATTTCCACTATCAATTTGTGACTAAGGACAAATCATAATGTGGCATGTAAAAAAAAATAAACAAAGTCATTCTACAACCAACAGACCAATTATGAGTGTCTCTCAGCTGCTTTGTTTGATGCTGAACCTGAAGTATACAGACCATTACTTGGGGCATCTTTTGTTCATTCTCTTATCCTAAGCTTTACACATTTTGGCTATTACTACTACTGTTAACAAAAGCCAGCTTTTCAGCTCTTTATTTTCCTTTATTACCCTTCGGACATAATCAAACAAAACATCTCAAACTTCTCCTTTTCCTTTGCAATATTCAAGTCAATTCTCCAGCCCACTGACCTGAAGCCACAGATATCTAAATTCTGGGTAAGGAAGCCCTTTGCTAACTCACATTGAAGTGGGTCAGTTTGGCACAGGAAGAAAGTTCTCCAGCCGGTAGCCTCCACCATCACATTAACCCTACTAGTTCCTCTGGATGAGAAGTTTTTTCTGCGTAAGTATCTTCATGTTGTCTCTGATTCCCCCATATCTTTGCACCCCCTTTCTCTCCCTTTACCCTGGCTATCTTAAATAAAATTCTTCCATTTTCCTATCAGCACTTTTCTATCTAACAACTGAAACCAGTCAATAGCTTACATGGAAATGGGTTTTTAATTCAATGAGGACAAGGTTAGAGAGGAATCACAAATAAAGAAAAAATGGGTAACCAAGGTAGATAATAGACTGAGGCACTTCTCAAGGAAAGCTGGGCCAGGGAAGGACACAGAGATCTGGGCTAATGCTCTGCCCTCCAATCAGCCTAGGATGCTCCTCACTGAAGGATAAAGGATGAGGGCATGCCTTGTACTCCAGGGAGAGGGCTGGCGGGGGACAGGCCAACTGTAAGAGGCTCAAAGTCTGCAACTCTCCAAAGAAAGCCAGATGCTGTAGGGTGGCTGTCAGGTAGCATTGCTGTCCGCTGCTTCCTTCAGCCCTAGGAAGGCTCTTGCTGCAACTCTACTAGAGCCTTCAGATGTGAAACGCTCCTCTCCCTAGCAATTCTAGGGAATCACATTTCACCATCTGTGGATGTGCAATGTGGATCTGCCAACCCTCTTTGCAGAAGAGCACCTCCACATTCTCCATAGAAGGAGGCTAGAATTGTAGTCTCCACATTCTCCACAGAAGGCACATTTCTGCAACAGATCATTGGTAGATCCACATTGCCCAGGAACTTCCATCCCAGGGGGTTGCATACCTCCTGCCCATGGTAGTGGTTGAAATATAATTCAGCAAGAAGGGCCACCAAAACTCTTCATTCCTTAATACTTGCCAGTTTTAGTCCTTTCTGCCTGTCTGTTACTCCCCTGCCATCTTGCAAAGCCCTGCTCACTTAGTCTTTTTCACTCCTTAGTCTCTGTCACATTTCAAGCCCAGTTCAAGTCCACCCTTTTTAAATGACCCTCTAGGCCTTATCCCTTTATTTTCCTCATACCACTCATGCTTACTTTGGATTAGACATTATCAGACATTGTATTGGAACGTACTATTATTTAATGCATCTAAATGCGTCTTCCCACGAACATCCTCTAGTCTTTGAACACAAAGCTTATGCAGCATGGAGTATGTTTTTCCTTGTCACTCCCTAGGAACTCTACATGGTACCTGAATAACTCCCTTTACTCATTAACTGCTATAGGTGCCTCTCTTTGCTCACAAGTTCTTCTTCCAGCTTCTGATTTTCGAAATGTATATTGCCTTCTCCTGCATTACTTCATGGCTGAATTCATGGCTACACTGATTTGATGGCTGTTTTGGGAGATGTCATTTCAAGTGAGTTTCAGTTTCCTCATTTATAAAATGAGGAGATTGTATGAGATACACTCTAAGATTGGTTTTGCTCTATGAGATTGTGGTATACTTCTCTCTTTTCCACACAAAGATATTGGAGTATCTCAATTTTGCAAAACCAACAATGGTTTGAAGATTAACCTGGTAGAAATTGAGATTAGTCCCATCTCCAGAACTCTTAGCAACTCTTTAGCTGGTTGTAATTAATAGCAGCATTCTGAATAAACTCTATCTCTGAGTTATACAAGCTAAGTTTATAATTTTATCACAGCTATCCATCTTTACTTCTAATACACATTTCGAGAATTTATAGCACCAAATGATCAGGTTCTAGCTGTATAAAATGCAAGGCAGATTCTTATTCACTAAATATTATAGGACATATCTAGTCAATAGAAACTATTCTTAAGATATTATTAAAATGACAATATAATTTGCTCAAGGATCAGGAAATTCTAATGTCTGAGATATATAAGAACCTAGTAAAAAAATAAACCAAAATAACAATAAACACTTACTTCGTGGAGTGAATGAGCAAATAGCATGAATACAGTGCCATTAAGGTGTGATATTGGCTCTAAACCTCAAACTGTTTCCTTAAAAGTCACTTCATTTGGTGTTGTATATGTTTAGATGTGTACTTTCTCACTGTTGCCAATTTTAAGCAACTTATTAATGGGAATCCATGTGCTACATGTATCTTCTGATAAATTAAAAAATAAAGGTTATGAAACATAATTACTCTCCTTTTGAAGGATTGTACAAGGACGAAAACATCCAAATTAATATAGTGTCATTCCTCTCTTAGAGGCTAGTTACATATTCTACTGATCCGTTTTCTATCATGTTCTGAACTTATTTCAGGAGCTTATTTTGAAAGATTGTTGTTCAAGATATCCAGTTATATCTATTTCTGGCCAAACATATTATTTACCCACAGCGTGATCAAGTAATTTACCAACAGCATTTCCATGGTTGCTTACAGATCTAAAACTCAGTATCTCTCTCCTTGGCACCAAGTAATTCCTGAGAGTTGACTTCTTGTAAGATTTTTAAAAAAATTAGGATGGGGAGTAGATAAGGGGTTTGAAACACATGATTTCCGAAGTAAAGACTGATTTGAAAGAAAAGTATTCACATGGGTGAAGAAGTTCTTGTGTATTTATTAAAAACAAACAACAATGAAATTCACTATATTAAAAAAATTATAACCATATGATCAAATTCCTATTTCAAATAGAACAAAATACTGGATGTACAGTAGCTGTTTCAGTGTGTTTCAGTGCTTGTTCACTGGACAAATGCATAAATGAATAAAGAAAAAGAAATGCAACCTTGGGATGATATATTTTGCCAGTACTATCCTTTCCTTTAAAAAAAGAGCTTTAGTACTTGTGAGTAAAACATAGTAGTTACAAATTATTATTGACTATTCAGAATGTGCTGCACTCTAGCCAGGGTGGGTGTAAAAGAAACAACTCATTGGAGAGGCTTTATTTGATCTGCAAAAGTTTTATGATTATTACTATTATAAGACAAATGGAATGGAATTTAATTGAAGACATAACCAACCAGATGTGCAGGAACAGAAAAAGAAACCAATGTGAAAAGCTGTATTATAAAAAAAACAAAACAAAAAAACCCCCAACAACCCTACAAGCATAAAATATGATCCAATTTTGAATTTTGAAAGACTGGAAATAAGAAAATTAGAGAAGACTTTAAATATATAAAGAAGAGTTTATAATGTTTTGTCAGTAATACCAATAACTTAGAACACTTTTCTAATTTCAATCTACCTTCATCTAGTTTGCTTCTAGTATTTTGCATACCTATGTATACACAGGTACACATATAAGCTATTAATTAGTCATTTTGAGCTGCATAAACACGTACATGAATCAAAGTAAATCAAAATCCTACTGTTCTTCAAACAGAACTTTGGGCTTACAATATCAGAAAATTACTTTCATTTTTCTGCTTCACTTTCTTGTGTAGGCAATATGGTTTACTTTGAGAAGCCAGAACTACTTGGTTCCTTTTGCTGGCCATTTTCTTTATGCAGAAACACTTTATGAGAGGCTAGCATATGAAGATGATATTTGGAGAATAGAGAACATATAGTGTGGACTCTTTGGGTTAGCGAACAGTTCAAGGTGAGGGCAATCCAGCATTCATTGAGCACTTTTTAATATTTGCTGGGTGAAATGTTAGGACTTCAACACATGCCTTCGTATTTAAAACTCAAAACCACATTGCAAGAAAGGCAGACAATATTCTCATTTTGCAGATCAGGAAACTGAAGCTTAGAAAATTCTCAACTCACTGAGTTTACATGGTTCTTTAATGGAACACTGAAGTTTACATCCATGTCCTCATGGCTCCACAGTACTTGTTCTTCTGTGGCCATGCAGGTTACCATATTCCTCCAGTGAGAAATGGAAACAATAACCTAGCCTGTCTTCTTACACTGTTGACTTTAAGAAGTAGTGTATTCATGCACATTTAAATAATAAACATTGTCCAGAGTATTTTCTGAAATTGAAGTCTTTCTTTCATATTTTTATATCATTAGACTATGAAGTATTAATAATAAATTTGAGCTTTCCAGTAATTCCCATGTATGGTTCTGCAGCGTTCCCAGTGAGGAGTTGGGCTAGCAGCCAGGCCCAGTAGGCAGCTCCTGTGTCTTCAGCTTTAGCCCCCAAATCAATAAGAGATATCTGCAGAAAAGGTCAGGCTCGCCTGCTCTAAGTACTCACAAAGAAATGCACAGCAACACTTCCCCTTTTATTAGATATTCTAATTGCCTTCTATACTATTTAAGAAATTATTTTATTTCCCTTCATCATCTCTGAAAACTTCTATCCCATCAAAACCATTAAACATCCTACTCCCTTATTTAGGATGCCTGAGGCTAAAATACCTCCAGCCCTACACAATCATTTTATTGGGTTTGTGCTGTTCTAAAATGCTTTGAACATTTTGAGGGCTACTGTGCTATGTTTGTCATGGCATTAAACTCATTTAAGAAAATTCTGTTATATAGAAGATATGGGTACAAATCCACTGTGAAAGCAAGTGCTCGTATAGTACTATAATCTGTAAAGACTTGAGATTCACATCTCTTTGTAAGAAAAAAATGTGTCTGGGACTATTCTATTAGGACTTCTGTCTCAGAAGAGCCACATGTTCATTCTTATCATGGCTAAACTTCCACCATGCTACGTGTGTCTCTAAAGATTTATATGTGTTTTTAATTTAGAGAAATTGAACAAGATCAGCACCTATCAATGGGACATTATATAACAGACAGGAATTATTTTGTAGACTGATAACTCAGAAGACTGAAGCAAAGGTGGAACAGAAATAGAATAACGTCATGTTTTATGGTCACTTATGGCCAGATGCCTCAGGCTGCCCAGGCATCCTCTGTATGTGGTCATATCCTCCTTAATGGAACAAATTTTCTGGCTCCATATGTTTTGGACTTCGAGAAACTCATGTATCTTTCAAGTTTCAATATTCAGTTTCTAGTACATGATCTATCCTAGTCCTTACTTTGTAAAAACAAATGCCAGAAAAAAATTAATTCCACAACAAGCAATAAAGAGAACAATGAGAAACAAAGAAAGATAGAAAATGGCAGTAATTGAATTATCTCTATGATATATTTAACTCATTTTTTTTCTGTTTCTTGTGAAGGTTTCATTAAACAGGTAATCATACCTGTCCATGTTACCTATAGAACCTGTATAGGGAGAGGCCACGGGAGTTCCTATTGTAGCAATATGAAGCTGAGACACAGAGGAGGGCGAGTCCAACCCTCACCAGGGCCCACGCCTCTCAGTGGTAGAATCTGAGCAGTGGCCCTTCCTTCTAGCCAGGCCATTTGCCTTCCCACGTGAAACCCTCATGGCCTTCCTAGATTTTAACACATCAAAGGTGAGGTGACCTGGCCTCTGTTTCCCAGTGTGAGGAAAAGCTCAGCGTCACTCTGTGAGTGGGTGTGTACTTGCATAAGTGTGTATACATATGTGTGTGTATGTATATGTGTGTGCACACATGTGTAATGTGACTGTGTTGACATAACTAGGATGATTTATTTCCAGGGCATTCCTTTCTTCCCCCTGAGAAAGGTTAACCCGTAATTGATACAGTAAAAACTTGATAACTGATCTATTTTTCTTATTAATCATTTTCCATCCTCTTCTTAAATTATGATGTTAGAAGGGGTTTATTTTGTTGCCTTTGGAGCCAAGGAGTACTATTCAAATCTTTTGCAGGGAGAACAAACCCCAAGCCTTTGCCTTAAATAACTGGCTACCAAGAGGGAAGGAAATTAATGCATTGTCTTTTGGATACCGCTCCTTTAAATGGTTAAATGCCACCAGCTCTCTAGAGGTTTTTGGAATAAAATGAAATGATAGACTGGAATGTGCCTTAAAAGAAATGTACAAGTTCTTTCTTCAGTCTCAATCTTTGCATCTGTTAGGGACTGAAGGCACATTTGGGCAATGAATAAATTATCTTTCTATTCACATCAGTGGCTCTTAACTATTTATTAGTTTTGCATCCCTATGAGACATTTATAAAATGAAAATATAATTAAAACTAACATTTATTTATAGATTACTATTTGCTAGGCACTGTTTTAATTACTTTCCACATTTAACTCTTATGAATCATCACAACAAATCTACTATTCCCATTTTACAGTTGAGAACACTGAACAAAGCAGCTGGTAAGTCACCAGCCCAAGGTCACCCAGCTGGTAAAGTGTGGGGCTGCAATTTAAACTATGCATTCACCTCCAAAACCCATCTCTTAACCACTCAATTACCATCACAGGTGTAAGCTAGAGTTTTCCCCATCAGACAAATAAATACAACATGTTGACCCAATTTCAGAGGGATCACAGAATTCTTGAAGTGCAACCTTGGATCCTTTGTTAATAATTCATGTTTAGATTGAGCTGGCTCTGAGTAATGCCTTAGTGAGTTTGCTTTTGCTTTTGTGGTAACAACAGAAAACATACTGCGAATGCATTTTTAGGATCTAAAAAGATAGGAGAGGAAAAATAAAACAAAACAAAAACAAATAAACAAATAAAAAAAAACAGAGGTGAAAAACCATCTAGGCCAAACTTTGTACATATTATAATTTTGATGAAATTGAGGCTGGCATTATTCTGAAGTAAAGACTTAGAGCTTCTTCACCCAAAAGCAAAACTTATCTAAATAGAATATGAGTATGAAT
Organism: Homo sapiens; assembly: GCF_000001405.40. NCBI lineage: Eukaryota > Metazoa > Chordata > Mammalia > Primates > Hominidae > Homo > Homo sapiens. The sequence goes on along the minus strand of NC_000018.10, from coordinate 38,624,788 downwards.
GTGTGTGTGTGTGTGTGTGTGTGTGTTTAAAACTTAAAGGGGAACCATGAGAACCAAATTTCCAGCAAATGCTATCTACTTTCCTCTCCATACAAGGTAGAATGTGAAGGGCAGGTGCTTCATAGTGAAAGGCAGGGTGAGGAAGATGTCAGTGTGGTTGTTTGCAACTGCTCCTTCCTGGGAAAGAAGCCATAAAAGAAAACACTGCTATCCTTTGAAAGTAGCTGATCTTGTCCTCTCTCCAGAAACATGTCTGTCAGTCAGGGAAACTCAAAAAGGAAGTCTGACCTGCACCCTCCATTCTCTTTTCTGTTCTGTGCAGTAGTCTTTCATCCTGCCCTAAAGTGCTGTATTATTTCTCACTTTAATCAAACCTGTCCTCAAAGTCGGACGCTTTGAAAGAATGCAACCTGGCTGATGCTCCTGTCTGCCCAAAACACCCTGGTGTGTCTTTAGCATTGACCTCCAGAAGACAAGGACTTGCCAATTAGCCTGGCACACTAAAGTCAGGTGGGTGGGGGAGCTGAAATGCCACACAGCTAGTCCTCTCCAAGCCCAGCTTTTCTCTGCCCTTGGAGGAGAGAATGAAGATATATTGCCAGGGTTTGGGAGACAGAATGAAAGAAGATCAAGTTTAGGTGTGACCCAGTATCATCGAGCAGGGACTTTGTTTACTGCTATTCAACCAGCACTTAACACAGAGTCTGGCTAATTGTAAGTGCTCAATAAATCTTTGTTGAATAATTCTATACATATTTTCCCACTAGACCAGTGGCTTTTGTCTGTTAATGGTTTTGCTCCACTGGCTTTCTTTTCATCTGAGGCAAATCCCCTTTGTTTTGTTAGGGATGAAAGGGAATTGGAAGGGGTGAAAGATGGGTATTCTATGCATTTAGATCTTCCCTACATTTTCATGCTTATTAAAAAAAACTAGGAGCAGTAACGAGTGTTGAAAATGTGGAATGACTGAGTGAAATAATAAACAATTAATTTTGTAAATCTCATACACATCTGTCCTTTCCTACTAATAACTTCTCTCTTCTGAATATCCTTTACCTATGATTACACTCATCATCTCTCAAACCTCAAACTTGTCTATTTTTTAAGTAAAGTTTTATTTTGGTATACTTTTAAACTTGCAAAAATGTTACAAGAATAGCACAAGGAACTTATATATGCTTTTAATCAAATTCATGATTCATTTACATTTTGACTTTTATATTCTCTCAGATCTGGCCATTGTGAGCCGCTTCAAGTCACTATCATGTCATTTTGAAACGTTTTCATTGTGTTTTGAGTATGCCCTTATTCTCTGATGCAATACAATATTCAACTTTTATCTTGTATTTTTCCTGCCCCAGCCTTCGAATTAGAATTTTTCTCCTGTTAGATCTTTTTCTATTTAATGGAGAATGGAATTTAGAAACCCAAATCTGGTGCTAAGTGTGCTCATTACTACTGAAATGCCATTGCTTCTAGACCCTGTCCTTTTCAATGGACATAGCTAAAGCTATGTGTATGATGCACATACATGAAGGCACACATATAGATTTATTTCTGTATTTGCATAATTATGTTTCTACATACATACATTAAAACATAAACTCATACTGATATCTCTAATTCCAATCTATTATTACAAAGTACATTCTTTTGTTCTTCCCATATTAGCTCCTCTCTTCCATTACTTCAAGATATTTACTTTGTTTCTCAATTCTAGAACACAGAAAGTAGGTAATTTTTTTTATATCTCACAGCAAAAAGCCAACCTGTGAACTAGACCTCAGTACAGATGTTACAGATGTTTTGCGGTGAGATCCTTAACTTATAATGAGTTCATCAAGATGTAACCCTATTGTAAATTGAGGAGTATACAGCTTTAGCACCACTGTAATGTCAAAAAATCCTAAATAAAACCATTGTGAATTGGAGACTGTCTATAATTGTGTGTGTATGCGTGTGTACAGTTTTGATTTTGTATAAAATTTACAATCAGAGGAAAGCACAAACTTAAGTGTACAATTTGATGTTTCGATGAATACACACACTAGTATAACATATACCTCTAACAAAATACAAAGCATCTCCATCACCTTAGAAATTTCCTTCATGCCCATTTCTGTTGAATCACTCACCAAGAGAAAACCACTTTTCTAATTCGTTTTAATCATGTTAATTATGTTTTTTATTATTAATTTTGTTTTAATTTTTATTTTGTTTTTATTATTAATTTTGTTTAAGAATTACATATAAATTAAATTTATAATGCAAAACTCCTCTGTTTATAAATTGTCTCTTCACTTTTTTAATGGCATCCTTTGAATTATAAATATTTTAAATTTAAATGAAGTACAATTTCATTATTTTTCTTTTGTTGCATGTGCTTTTGGTGTTATATCTAAGAAGGCTTGAAAAATCCAAGGGAGCAATGATGTACTCCTCTTTTTTTCTTTCAAGAGTTTTATCATTTTAGCTATTCCATTTAGGTCTATGATCCATTCTGAGTTACTTTTTGTATGTGATGTGAGATCCAAGTTAAGATTTTGCATTTGGATATCCAGATTCCCAGCACTAGTTGTAAAAAGGAATATTCTTCTCCATTAAATTATCTTGGTACACTCATTGAAAATTAGTTGACATTAATGTGAGAATTTATTTCTGCAAGTTCAGTTCTGTCCTAGTAACATAAATATCTGTCCTTAGGCCAGTATCGTACTCTCTTGTTTGTTGTAGCTTTGTAGTGTATTTTCAAACTGAGAAGAAATTTTTTCTTCATTTAAGATTGTTATGACTATTCTGGGATCTTTGCATTTCCATAGTAATTTAGAATTAGCCTGTCAATTTCTTTAAAAAGGCAGCTGAGATATTGATAGGGATTTATTTGGAAAAAAGTTTCATATTAATAATTTAAGCCTTTCAGTTCATGAAAAAAGTATGTTCTTTGATTTATTTAGCTTTTCTTTAATTTCTTTCAACAGTGTTTTGTAGTTTTCAATATATGTCTTTTGCCTCTTTTGTTAAATTTATTCCTAAGTATTTTATTCATTTTATTTTAAATAAAATTGTTTTCTTTTTATTTAGACAGCCATTGCTACAATACGAAGAACACTTGATTTTCATATATTGCTCCTTTATCTTTTAACCTTGCTAAACTTGTTTACTAGTTTCAGTAGTTTATTTATAAAGTACTTAAGATTTTCTAAGAAAAAGCTTATGTCATTTGAGAATAAAGTTAATTTTGCTTCTTGCCTTCTACTCTGAATGCCTTCAATTTCTTTTTCTTGCTTAATTATGCTGAGCAAAACTTTCAATACAGTGTTAAATACAAGTAAGTAGGGTGGGCATCTTGGTCCTCCTGTTCCTGATCTGAAAAGAAATATTTAAGTCTTTTATTGATAAACATGATGGTAGGTGTGAGTTTTTCATTGGTGGCCTTTATCAAATTTAGGAGGCTCCCTTATGTTATTAGTTTGTTAGATACTTTTTTCAAGAAAAGGCGTTGGATTTTGTCAGGTGCTTTATTGTTTCCATTGAGATGACTGTGTGTCTCTTCTTAAAAATTATATTGACATGGTATATTATACTGAATTACATATAATTGATTTATTTATAATTGTTATCTCCTCCAGATGAATTTTTCTTTTATCATTATAAATTGTCCTTCTTTATTTCTACTAACAATATTCGTCCTAAACTCAATTTTGTCTGGTATTAATATAACCATTTAAGCTCTCTTTTGATTATTATTTGCAAGGTATATTTTTTCTTTTTTTACTTTCAACTTATTTGTGTCTCTGAATCTAAAATGTGTCTGTTGTAGTCAATATATATTTAAGTCATATATATTTATCCATTCTGCCAATCACTGCTTTTTAATTGGTGTGTTTAGTCCATTTTTGTAAAATGTAATTACTAATAAGATAGGATGCATGTGTGTCAATTTCCTGTTCGTACTCTATTTTTCTTATGTTACATTTGTTCTCTCATAACTCCTTTTTGTGTTGGGTAGATGTATTCTAGTGTACTATTTGAATTCCCTCTTTTTTCTATATATAGTTGCTGTGAATATTCATCTATGTGTCATTTAATGGACACGTGTTTCACTTGTTTTGGGCAAATACCTTAGAGTAGAATTTCTTGTTTATGGAATATATACATGTTGAACATAACTGAAGCCACCAAAACTTTTAGCAAAGTTCTTGTACAACTCTAAATTCCAAACAGTAAAGTATAGGTCTTTTTGTTTTGCTATATAACCATGACGCATTTTGATGTTGTCAAATATATATATTTTTTAATCTTAGCCATTATAGTGGGATTATTGTGGTGTCTACTTGTAGTTTTATTTTCTATTTTCCTAATAAGTAATTACACTAAGAAGTTTTAAATGTATTTATTAACCATGTATATATTTTGTTTCTGAAGTGTCTGCATCTTTCATCATTTTATGGGATTATTTTTCTCTTAATTTTTGAGTCGTGAGAGTTTCTAAATATAATATGAATCAATATCTTTTGTTAATATATGACTGGGGTGAGCAGAAAGTGTAGAGAGGAAGGGTGAGTGAGAGAGACACTTCCAAGACTTGATAGGGAACTGCAGTGCTTAAAGTTTAGAGTCGGAATATGGGAAAGTAATAGTACCATTGGCCCATTATCTCTCATTTGTTTCTGACTTCAAATGCATCTATATTAAACTGTGTGCTATTGCCCCATAGGCCATTGAAACAGCATTAACTTTATTTTTTAACTTGCTTTCCTCCATTCTGAGACCATATAATTTATGTTGATATATATATGGATAAAATCAATGATCCTTTCTTATGCTGTCTTCAGTATAGTATCAAGTCCATTAGTGCATTTTTCATTTCAAACACTAAGTTTTATGTCTACAATATTAACATTGTTTTTATTTCTCTTCTGATATTTCTCATCTCTTAGTTTATCAATTCATCATAGGATTCCTTTATTTAAGGTAGCTGGCAGCTTACCACAACAGCTAAATTTTCATATGCAATTCTAATTAAAACAATAGCTGAAAGGAGCTTTAGGGTGCTCCCTGATTTCACGTCAAGCATTCAGAATTTGTAGCAGAATACGTTGTCTGTCTACAATACTATGCTTCCTGTTTCATGACCAACAACAAGCAAGAAAGAATGAAGGAATGAAGGATGAAGGGGAAAAGAGGAAGGAAGGAAAGAAGGAAGGGAGGCAGGAAGAAAGGGAGGCAGGGAGAAAGGGAGGCAGGGAGAAAGGCAGGCAGGGAGAAAGGCAGGCAGGGAGAAAGGCAGGCAGGGAGAAAGGCAGGTAGGGAGAAAGGCAGGCAGGGAGGCAGGGAGGCAGGGAGGCAGGGAGGCAGGGAGGGAGGGAGGGAGGGAGGGAGGAAGGAAGGAAGGAAGGAAGGGCATATGATACCATCTAAACAAAAAGTAAAAGTATACTGGAGAGATGACTCATATACCCCTTAAGCACCAAAAACTTCTTTCTTCATAACTTGGTTCCTCTCTTCAATTATGCCTCTGCTCAAATGAGATATCTAAAATAGGAAACCCAGGGCATTATGGTCCCTTCACCCTTTATTTTTACCAACACTAGATAAATTATCTAGTGATTAGTTGTTTATGTTGCTTGTCACTATCTACTTGAATGTAAGCTTTATTAGTGCAAGAACATTTTTAAAAAACTTTCTTTTTACTTCTAATAAACCCCAATATCTGAGACATTTCAATATATTTCCATGTGACTTTTTATAAATTAAACTCTCACTATTTTTGAATTTATATCCTGTACTGGAGTCGCGTTTAACTACCTGCCTTCACCTTTTTTTTTTAACCTCCTGTATCTATAGCAATTTCTTACTCATCCTTTGAATTCTTCATTAACCTTTCCTTAATTAAGTATCTATAGCACTTTGTTTGATGCTCCTTTCTGGCATTTGCCATTTTTTGACTACTTTTATGTATTTTTCTATTTGCCATTATGCTCTAGGAAGGATGCCTTGCTGATCTTTTTGTCTCTATAGCATCTAGAAAAATTTATTTCTCATAGCAGGGGCTTTATAAACTTAATCCAAAACTTGTTCTGAATGAATTGCAGTTTTTTAAATTATAGGTGGAATTAATCAGCATCATGCAAGATGTAAATCTGGAACTAGTGTATGAAAAAGGTATAATCATTGGATTAATGGAGGATGAAAATGAAGGCCCTCCTATTAGGCAAAAGGAACCTCATAACTCGAGGTACAGAAAGGGCACGACATTTTCAAGGAAGGTAAAAAGGCTGCAATGACCTAAAAAAGTGCAGAGGTTATGTTTCGTTGCTACAGTTTCTTGGGAGCATAGATTACTAAAACAAAAACAAAAATAAAAGCAAACTTCTCCCTCGTAGATTGTGTGTTCACACTCTTGGATTTAGGACCTGTTCATTTTTGCAGTGTGAGCCCTCTTTTGATTGGAAACATCAGTTCCTCTTGGGAAAGTGATAAAGACCCTGGAATGCAGTTCTACCAAATAAGACCTTGCAAAAAATGAATAGAGAAAAAGAGCCTGGCAGCCATATAATTGAAAGGGAGGGAGGTGAATCAGACATTGTATGTCCTAAGGAATCACATATAGTGTAAGCAGTTCACTGATCTGTATCAACACATTAATGATTTATGTAGCTTTTAATTTACAACACAGACATATCTAAAATAATCAGGTAGAAGTAGGCATTAAAAATTCACTGCATGGGTCATAAAATGATTAGTTATTCAAGTGACTTCAGATTTGTATTTCATTAAGGAATAATTTTAATTTACTTTTAAACAGTTTATATACAGAGATTTAAGAACTCTTGCAAGACGATTATGCATACTCCAGCTTTTATGTATCCAATATATTAGACACACTTGCATCTCCTTTTTTTCTCCTTGCAAGCAGTATTAGTTTCAGAGCACACATCCAAAAAATATGGCCCATAATTTAGTAAAAACAACTTTAATTTACAGAAAATGCTTGACATTTATTTCATTATTATTTCTATTATGTACTGTTTATGTGGATTTGGGGCTGGAAGGGGGTCTCTTTCTGCTGTAACTGTGAAATTAAATTATCTAAATATCCTTAAGTCTTCCGGTCATTCATTCAAGGTAAATACGCAACCTCTTATGTCACAATTATCAACACTGTATTATATAGGATTATTATTAAGAGACCTCCTAAATCATTTGCTCCGACTTGTTCATTTATAGATTAAGGTTAAGTGGCTTGTTTAAACACTCACAGGTAGAAGGAACTCAGGTATCCCGCTTCCTAGCCTAATATATGTCTCCCCATTTCTTTAGGTTCATTAGCCCCATCTTAGCTGTTGAAATTGTTTCTACTGTTTAAATAGCCAACTTACTCATTCACTGTGAGTGTTTATTTTCTGCCTCCTTTCTGATCAAATACTGCTGCAATCTGTAAAAACATAACCAGGCTAGGGGCAGTTTAACTTGAAATTAATCTTATCTAGGCTATTAAGCACCTAGTTCCTCCAGTTTCTGCAATTCTATCACAATAAACATTTTGAGATGCCGCTCTCAACTCCAAAAACTAACACAATTATATAAAAAAGCTTAGCCATTATCAAACTTATCTGGAAGGCAATGTAGCTCACCATGTCAGCGGCATCTCTGTCCTTAGATTTTTTTTTTTTAATCTTTTTTTTTTTTTGAACTAGTTCTTCATTCACTTCCATGCTCTACCCTAGATCTCCTTAGCTCTTGCCTTCAATGGATGGCTGTCACGTGGAACTTTATTGAGGGCCTTCTAAAACTCATGATAAATCAGGCTGCATGCATTGACACTGTCAACCTTGTCTATAACCTTCTCAAAGTCAAAGAAGTTTGGCAGATTCTTGCTCTTGCCTAGATGAGGTTTTTCTCTGTCTGTCTGTAGAAGATGATAAGACTTGTACCTTACACACTGAACAAAGTTTCTATTTTTGACCCAAGTTATAAATGCCAAGTTAAATGATCCAGTGAACATTTACTTAAAATATGTAACTTGTGATACATAAAGTTATCCATGCCAGGCTAATGTTCTCTTTCTTTGTCTGTCAACTCTCATATTACTTCTAAAATCTCCTGCTTCAGACCCCTATTTTGTCCTTAAAAATTAAGGATAGCAAATGACAATTTAAACATTGAGTTATACATTAGCACGTTCCACGATGTGCCAAATATCCTAAAACCAGACTTGAAAGTCTCACAGCAGTTATTGCTATCTCTCCACTTTTGCCATCTGGAGCTCATCATGCCGACGTCAGTGATCATTCTGTGAAGAGTTCTGGGACTCTATTCTAGTGAAAAAGATGCTAAAACTAACTTTTGCATAAGCTTTTAGAAATGATCTTTTATCTCAAGTCTGGCCCTGTTTCTCACTTTTCTGTCTTCTAGAGGTTTCCCTCTGTAGGTCTAAATTCAGCCTAATTTCTAGGACCTTCTGCAATCTGTATATTATGTCCTACTTGATCCTGACCAAGATCCCTTACTCCTGTCAAAATAACCACTTTCTCCAACCAAGCTTCGTACTTCCTTATTTTGACTCCTTTGATTAAGTTGTTCTTTGTCTGTAAGTCTCTTGGCACAATTTTCTTTTCATGAAATTCCCACTCATTCTTTAGGACCCACCTAAAGTCTTCAGTCGTTCCCTCAGCTGTCCTTGACATGCCTGTCTGTGCTCATTCCGAAGCCTCTGTGCTCTTATTGTCTTATTATAACCAAAGCTCCAGGATGAGAAAGACTGTGTCTCACCATCCAGGTGTCTCTAGAACACTGTCCCAAGTGCCTTGCTCTTTACAGGGGCTCCAAAAGTATTTTTAGAATAGAATAGCATTGAATTGACTCTGTTCCCATATTCACTTGGCTGATATATGTGCTACTTCATGAAGTCTTCCACTGAACTCTGTGTATGCACACGCATGTATATGTGCAAAACCACACTTTATATCCTGTGTCCACTTCTAATTTATAATCTCATCAAGGTCAGCTGCCAGGCCTTAAACTATTTTATATTAACTTCTGTGACTGGCTCAGTATGCTGCCCATAGTGATGTTTAATAAATACCTCTTGATTGGTGTATCAAGGGGTGATATTCAAAACATTTAACTATTATAAGGGCCGCTCAACCACTCAGAATGGATGTTGGCCATAAACATTCAATAAAGTTGTACATAGGCATACTGGCTCAGTATCAGCTGTGGCTGTGTCCTATAAATAAAAAGAGAGCCTATGTATAGATTAATATAGGTCCAAGATGCACATATTGTCAAAATAAATTTAGACAAGTAAATACTTTTAATGTGCTGGAAAATGTGATTGATTACACAAGTCTGCAGTTAATATTATTTTGTCTTTGTAGTCTAGGAATAGACTAAACTCTTCCTGTTTCTATAATACAAATTTTCCTTCTATTCCTTTATAATAAGGAAATTGAACATGGAAGGAAAATATTAAATGTAAGGCAATATCAGAGAGGTAATCTGGCCATTCTTTGAACTGTTAGAATTACCCAGCTAGCTTCCATGTAGCCTCTGATCCTGGAATGCACTAGGAATATGTTAATATTATGAGTATTCAGTTTCCATTAAGGAAATTTGCTCAATTTTCCCAAAATTTCTTAATGTTGAAATCCCCTCATAATGGGAAACCAGGGAGACCTTGTTGGTTTTTGTCCTAAGCTATAATAGAGATTTGTAATCCTACCTCGTGCAGTTCATTGTAAATAAGCTAAATCTATGTGAAGAAACTGAAAACCAGTGCTGAGAGACCAAATACCGATGCAAATGCCAGAGTAAAAATGAAATTTTTTATAGAGGTGGAAGCAAGAAAGAGATGGGTTCAGAGATGAGGAAGATGGCAGGAAAGACCAGGCAAGTGGCCATGTCATATCCCTGGAGCATCTCTTATTCCTCCATTTATATTTGTCTGTGAGGCTTCTAGGGGTGACCTGTATCCAGGGAAGTCACGTGCCTTCAGTTACTTGAATTCCAAAATATAAATGCATTCATCCCTTCTTCTGTATTTCCTTCAATAAATATTTAGTTCTTACCAAGATCCAGGCCCCGTACTAAGCAATGGGAGCTCTGGGAGAGCAAGTCAGACAAGCTTCTGACCTCAAGGACTTTAGTAATGTGGGGAAGGTGGGGGAGAGAACAATAAAGGATTATAATCAGTGCTAAGTAAACAAATAGAGCAAAGGCATGGAAAAGTTACTGGTCTTAGAGAACCATATCAGCTATGGTTATCTGAAGAGTGACCCTAAAGCAGAGACAAAGGGAACGTTGAAAGCACGTGGAGGTGGGGTATCCCAGGAAGAGACCACAGCAAGTGTTAAGAGCTTCAAACTGGGAATGAGCTGGTCATGTTAATTGGATGTATGTCCAAATATTACCCCTGGTTGCTATATGAAGAAGACTGATGTGTTCAAGAATAGATGTAAAGTGACTATTTAGAAAACTAATTTGATAGCCTGGTGGGAGACCATGAGAGCTTCAATCTGGGGTTGGAGATGGGTAGGGAGTGAGGTTTCAGGGAAGTGGACAGATTCAGAATATGTTTGAAGTGCAGAGTCAAGAGTACTTGCTCATCTATTGGAAGTGGCAAAGGTGAGGGTTGTCATTTGTTTTTATGTTGTTTCACAAAAACCACTGAATGAATAGTTCAATCTATTTACCTTCTCATGTTTAAATAATGATGACTGTCTACTACCATTTTCATCTCTACATTTTAAAAAAGTCATTGAGGCCCTTGAGATATTTAGAAAGAAATCATTTGAGGGACCACAGTATGGAAAATTAAACTTCTATGGAAACTCAGGGATTCTTCATTCTGATTGCATATTAAAATCACTCGGAAGCTTTTAAAGTATTTATTCCAGGGCCCCATGCAAAGCCAATTCGGTCAGGATCTGAGTGACCCCAATAGTGTGGAGCCATGAATAACAGCTACTAATTTAGAGGAACTGGGTTACCAACCAGCCAACTGACAAGTACTTAATATCTATTTACATCTTATACTGTAGTAGATATACAATGTGCAATCTGCCTCATAGGAAAGATCCTGTTCTACTTGTTGAGACAAAAACTACCAAATTATTTAATTACAGTAGAAGGCAAGGCTGATATGCATCACTTACATCAGTACTTACATATATTTTCTCTCAACAAAGCAAATATCAAGAAAATTGCTCTGAAAATTTATATAGAATTTCCAAAAATGCTGTTTCTGTGCCAAATATTTGGAGAAATTTACTCTGGGAAAAAAAATGTAACACATTTGCTAGAATATTCTCTATGCTAACCAATTATTATTCAGTAGGAAGAATTTACTCTTTGAGAAACACCCAGAAGTCATTTTAGAGGCAAATCTGGCAAACTTGGGTAAAACTAATTTTTGAGGAAGAGGGACTTTGATGTAATAAGATAGCTGTTTCTTCTGTGGATCATAACACGGTTTCAAGTTCATTTTCATAGAGATACTGAATACATTTTGAAGAATGCCGCGTCTTTGGAAGGAAACACAAGTCTTTCCCACATGACTATTTTGAAGGACAACACTTATCTAAATACAAGTTTCATCTACATCTTTAAAAATAATCAATGACAATACTGTATATTTATATCTTGTACTGGTCAGTATTGAATATCACTGTGGTTTCAGTACAGCAGCACTGAAATGAGAAGTATGTCCTGAAACCACAGTGATATTTAAATTAATAACAATACTAAATGTATTGTTCTCCCACCAGGTTTTTCTGCTGGTCTTGAAGTTTGAAAACCAACAAGAATTTGTTTAATAAAGGTAAAATAGGTAACCTCACTAATAATATTAATAATCCTGGATCATTGTCATTCCCAATCATCTCCCTCTTGAGGAGTAGACCCTGAACCAGGTACCTTCTGAGAAGCCCTGTCTAGTGCTGGGAATCTGTGAATGATCTTTTTCTAGTCTACATGAATGATGTCACAGTGTGGCCTTTCTTGTTTCCTTGGTTCTTGGTGCATACATCCTTTGTCTGGTTATTGATTTCATAATCAGTCCATAAAAATGTTGATTAGTGTTTTGTTTATTTTCCATTTTCTTCCAATTTCTTTGGCCTTTAATATTACTTAGGAAATATTACTTCTCACTTTCAGGCCAATAATTTGTACCAGTATTATCATTATTAATGGTAATTAGCTATTATTAGTGATGATGATATAGCTTGTGGTCTACTCAGTGCTTCACAGTTATAATGATAGAGTTTCCTATCTCTCAAACGTGTCTAGGAAAGTGCATACATTCCCAAGTATAGAAAGAATGGGGAAAGAAAGAGGCATATGCTCTTTTTCTCTCAACTAGAGATGCACTGATTTTGTGCGTGTGTGTGTGTGTGTGTCTGCCCACACATGCACATGTGTACCCCCAAATTCCCCATGGACTAGATACTTTCATGATCCTTAATTTACGTAATAGAAAACTTAAGTCCAGAGAGGTTAGGTGACTTAGCTATGGTCACACAGCTAATAAGTGTCAGAGACAGGATCCAAAAGAAGTTTAATAGCTTCTTGCAATATTTTTAAAATATAGATTATTTTGCCTATTATTGTTGCTATTGGAATTACAGTAATACACATTTTTAGACCAGGAGGAATCATTTATACAATATAATTTGTCCTTGTAAGTTAAATTGATACAAGGGAGGTGATTAATGGGGGTTTATATGGATGAGGGAGCTCAGGGAGACAGGTTTGAGCTACTAACAGGAAGAACCCAGGGGATCCAATGGTTGTGAAGTAAGGAATATGGGAGAAGGAAAAAGTGACTATCTCTATTGACATGCAGCATATGCACTATTGCTCAATTGTAGACCAAACGTTTTGAAAATCCTGAATTCATAGGGACTTTTGCAGTCATGAAAATTGTAAAAAATGGTAAGATAAAGAGATACATTGGATGACTAAGGATTGTATCAGGAGGTATCTGTGTCACCACTGGTAGATACAAGTCTGGATATAGATGTAAAGACTCTAGCAGATAGCAAGAGGATATATGAATTTATAATTTTAGCCCTAGGAAGGAAATTAGAATTGTGTTGGCCTAGTCTACTTTATCCAATTTCCAGATGAATGTACAGGCGTAGTCATCTGTCCACAGTCACGCACACAAGAAACCAGTTGTCATGTCAGGCTGTTTAATGTTCTTTCCGCCTCCCCAGTCTTCTGCTTTGCCTCAGTGGAAATTCACCCTGAGATGCCCCCTGCTCCTGTCTTACTGTAGCTCTACAGCAACTGCCTACTCTGAAACAATTTTTTTTTCTCAGGCTCAGCAGATAGAAGTGTGGTGGCACACCTTCCCAGTGAACAGAGGAAGACAGATGCTGTTCAAGGAGGCATCTGCGAGTCCTTTCACTCGTTGGCACCTGGGCATCCACAGTGTGCACGTATATGCAAGCAGAGTCTCACTTTCCATTTTCAAACTCACAGCTCAGTTCTAATAATAGCCTGTGGTGAGACCTGTCCCCAGAGGCTGTGATTCTTCCATGCGGTGGAGCAGCCACTTCTAAAACCAGCCCTCTGTTCTGCTTTTCTTTAAGGGAAAGCTCTTGGGAAAATCCCACTTAGAGGCATGTTCAAGAACAGCAAGCGGCAGTGGTGTCTTCATCTCAGAACAGAACTAACCTCAGTCTAAGCTAAAAAAAAAAAAAAAAAAAAAAAGGGTATGAGCAGTGAGAAATGGTTCAGCTGAAGTTCTGGTTTGAGTGCCACAAACTTTCCACATAAATGAATTAAAATAATTCTGCTTTTGGATAGCCATACAGGATTACATCTTCTAACATTTGTTAAATATTTTGAAAAGTGACTGGACTGATAATAGTTGATTAGGACATAACTTTTGCCAGTTTTCTCATTTAAACTCACAGAAATAGCACAGGCTTCAGGGACTAATATGATATGTTGACAAAGCACCAGACTAAAAGTTCAAATGACTTAGCTGGGCACTGTGGTTCACACCTGTAATCCCAGCACTTTGGGAGGCAGAAGTGGGAGGCCTGCTTGAGCCCAGGAGTTCGAGACCAGTCTGGGCAACATAGGGAGACACCATCTTTACAAAAATTTTTAAAAATTAGCCTGGGAGGATTGCTTGAAGCCTGGGAATTTGAGGCCGCAGTGAGCCATGATGTGCCACTACACTCCAGCCTGTGTAACAGAGAAGGATCCTGTCTCAAAAAATAAATAAAAGCTCGGAAGACTTTTTCTTTGTAACCCTCACCACCCATCATAAGCAGCATACTTATACTGCTAGTTTGCTTTGTTACCTTATCAGTTATCTCTCTGGTCCGTTATCTCATTGGTAAAATAGGGATCATAACTGATAGAAATGGCTATATTTGATTATATACATTCTCTGTCATTGGTTTAAAGCATCTCATCTGAAAGTAGGTGTAATAATATTTCTATATTCTATGAATGAGAAAACTAAACCTGAGAAATTAGATGCCTTACCTAATGTCATGAAAGTAGTTAATGGTAGCAACAGAATTAGGGCCCAGGACTTCTAACGCTTGGTTCAGTGTATTTTTAAATACACCAATGATCACAGTTCAAACAGAAGCCTGCCACTGAACAGTTTTGTTGTACCACAGCTGGGGCCCTACTTCACGGGCTGCCAATAGCATTGAGTGAGCAAGTGGGCATGAAGTTGTCCAATGGAGGGATTAATGGTACCCAGGTTGAAATTAGCTCTAAAATCCTGATTGGAAGTCAATCTCCCTTACACTGAATTTGGCTTAGGAAATAGGGAAAAGAAAAGCTGTTTAGAGAAGTGTCTATAACCTCAACTTCTGTGGTCAAGCTGTGTGTGTTTAATTCCAGGGTGTGATATTTAGTAGCATGTGACCTTGAGACTATCATTTAGCGTTTATAGCTCTTCCTTCCTGAAGTGGGGTTAATAATAACACCTACCTTCTGAGGTAGCGATATTTTAAAATGGCAGTGCATATAAAAGGCTTAGCATGTTCACGGTTAAGCGCTCAGTGGACGCTTTCCCCCTCATTCTGTCCTTTTCCACTGCCCTTACCAGGGAGCTGGGACACTATCAGAAGTGACGCTGCTCATGTCACCACAACAGGAAATGCCTGAGCAATGTTAGATTTAAAGATAGGCCTCTATGCTATTTTCAAAGCATTGGTTGGTATTCCAGAATTAAAATTGTCCAAATGCCTATGAGATGGTAGGCTCTGCAACACAAGATGATTCTAAAAATGGACTTGTCACGTGTAATATTATGTGCTCAGTCTGTATCCATCTAGAACTTATAATTTCTGCTCTATACCCAAAGAAGGTATGTCTTGTAGCCATCTTTATTAACAGATAAAATCCATTAAAATATGTGTGTGTGTGTATATATATGTGATACGTATATATAAGTATGTATATGTGTGTGTATGTATGTATATATGTATATTCATATGTGCATCTATATACATATACACACAAACTACACACACACATATATATATGGTGTATGGTAGTTTCATAAAAATTAATCCTCTCAAATTTCAAGGTAAATGGAGATGTTCCTTTTTCTTAAATACATTACACATTGAGGTGTAGTCTTCTTTTCCTTTAATATTTTGCCACTCTGACTAGGAAACTTTCAGGTGAATTTTTCGTTCTTGGAACCCAGCCTGGGTGCAGGCTCCCAGGGAGCCCATCTGCACATCCTCGTCAAAGAGGACTTTGTGAATGACTAACCCCTTTGAATGGCCTGTAAGAAATTCAGTCTACTTGAGCCCTGCCCGGCCTCCCTTCTCTCGATTCCT
The DNA here is from genome assembly GCF_000001405.40 of Homo sapiens. NCBI lineage: Eukaryota > Metazoa > Chordata > Mammalia > Primates > Hominidae > Homo > Homo sapiens. The sequence continues at coordinate 38,608,961 of NC_000018.10, read as the reverse complement.
GCTCCTTCATTAGGACACCTAAAATTCCAAAGAGAGGATCCCAACCTCTTCTTTTTGACATGGGAAAATTACCTACAAGTTTGATGGTACCACTAGTTGCACATATTACATAATACTGGACCATATCAGCATTAGAACATCAAAAAGCCCATATTACCTCTACCTCTGATTCCAGGTAAAATAAAATGAGCAAAAAATCACCTAATCTTAAGAAAATGAAACTTGAGGGTCAGTTGCCTTCAACTTTTCATTTACAAATTTAAAAAAATGAGAGAGAGAAAATTTGTCCAAAATTAGAATTTCACTCATTGGTTTTAATTTTTACTATTTTATTTTTGTATGTATTTCCCCACCAGAAAAAAAAATATTTTGCTTTCATAAAGAGAGAGAGAGAGAGAGAAAGAAAAGACAGAAGAAAAGCAACAGAATTTATCTTTATGAAAGCAAATTCTGTAGATATTTTGCCAAAAAGGACACATAGTGAAAATGGATTAGTTCATTTCAGTGGTTTGTGGAAAATATATATTTCCCGAAGCAGGTGGTGCTATCAAAGTGAATAGGGAGAAAAATGTCGTGTATGGAAAATATTTTTTTCAAAATGCTATTTTTCAAGTCAAAAGGGAAATGACACAAAATCCTACCACCGACTACGACAGCATAGTCTAATGGGTTCTGGCTATATTTTAGAGAAACATGCACCCACATACTAATAGAAACAAACATTTTCAAAAAGGATATGTATAGAAAACACTGGAGGTTTTACATTTGTTAGATGGGAGAAAAAAAGAAAGACAAACAGCCTGCCAGATAATGAGATGAGTGGGCAAGTAAGTCATTGGAAACTCACAAAATGCACTTTTTTGAGACATTTCTAGTATTGTTGATCTAAGCAGAGGAACATGGATGGAATAAGAAACCAATCATTGCCTCATGGACACTTTATTAAAATTCTAGAATTCAGCATGTTAAGAAAAGTGGCTCCCTATATTAATGTTTGAATTAATTTGTTTTTAGTGTGTTTCTATCCTACTGTATTTCTTATTTTCCAAAGTTTCTTTTTTTAATGTCTACAGTAGTAAAATTCAATTCAATAGGCATTTACTAAGCTCTGGTCATAGAATATGGTTTGAACTGTAGTGGATAGAAGAGAAGAAATGACGGGGAAATGGGCTAATTCATTAGAAAAATTAGCCTATTCCATTAAGTACTAAACTATATGGTGATCTGTAAGTGTCAGTCCTTGCCTTCCTAGAGACCATGTAATTCATCATTCACACTAGAATACTTTTTACATCTTTCTATTGAAATGTAATATACATACTGAAAAGTGCATATATCATAATTATACAACCTCATGCCTTTTACTCCTCTGTATTCATGGACTTATTGATCTATCTTTTGAATGGACTAACCCATCTTTGCTTCTGTTTGGTGGGGTGTTCTATCCAGCAACCACATGAAGGACACTGTTGTCCTGCTTTAATTTACAAAACTTCTGTTCGTAACAGACACCAGAACAGGGGCACTTAGAGAGAAAGGGCCAGAATCCATGCCCAGGTGTACCCTGATTTAAATTTCTGCTGTTCCGGAGTACCACACAGCCTTTGCTTGTGGGCCCACGCTTACTTAGGAGGCTGCTCCTCTTAGTGTATTGAAAGTTACTTCAAAATTTCAGCTCTTGTATGAAGCTCCTGCTGATGCTGGTACCACTTGAACACATTTCTACAGTTGTTTTGATTTTTTCCATGCGAAAAATTAAAAGTATTTAACCGTCTATGTTTGTTTTCACTATTGCTTTATAAGTAATTCCATAATGTAGTCCCTAGCACACAATAAGTACTCACTGATTGAAATCTGTACTTGAACTTGCCTTTGGGCTCCTCTGCAATCTTGGTAGGGCACAGAGGTTAAGTGGAAACTTTTTCAGTCTTGCTGGTAAGTTTACACAAGGACTTTCTTTATTCCTCATATGAGTAAAGCATTGATGTCTACTTAGTGTCTCAAGCTAGAAGACTCAGAAACTTCACAAATAAGTTCTCAAATCTCATGCCCTGTATACAATGAGTCACAATCTTGTTAGTTATGTATCTTAAACCTATATTAAAGATGTTTCTTCACCATCATTCCCAATACTTTCTTTTGGTTCAGTCCATAAGTCTTTTTCTGAAGCATTAAAGAAGTTACCTATGCCAGGTGCTCCCATACTTTAATCTGTTCTCCTTGCCATCATGTAGTCAGGGATGCCTTGTTAGAATGACAGTGAAATGGATCCATGGCCTTGCTTGAAACTTCTAATGGTGCTTCTTTGATAACAGTCCCATGATGTGAATCTCAAGGTTGTTCATGATACCTTACTCAGAATAAACATGTGTATGCCAAAATGCTTAGCAGATCACAATGAGAAAAGAGAGCTAGCTAAACTTACTGTTTAACATCTTTTTTGAGGGAGAAAAAATTTCAGATTAAATAGCTTTCTCTCCCAGTTTTTATTTAGCAAGCAGAAACAGACTCAATTTATGGCAATAAAAACACTAATTAAGCAGAGTATGGGAAAATGTCAATGAGAATTGACAGCTGTGACTTCACACTTAAAATATTAAGTAAAAGTTGTCTGCATTCCTTTTCCTTCTCCATCCTATCTTCTGTCTTGCTTCTTCAGCATTTGATTAAACACACTAGAACAAAACATCAATTCACTCTAGTTAGAGGGCAAGACATTGCGAATTAATGAAGTCAGACTTGTGGGCAGTTTGATTCAATTCCATTACTTTCAAGTACTTATGATAACTGGACCTTAATCTTTCTGACATAGAAATCATTAGTATTATTTAGCACATATGATATTCTTCAGCTTAAAATTTGTAACTAGCATATATGTGTATATATGTGTTTATATGTGTATATATGTGTTTATATGTGTATATACACACACATAAACACATATATAATACCTATATATGTATGCTTGAGTGTATAGCAGATCTATATAATTATTACTAAAAGTAACTAATTATATTTGTGTTTGTGACGGTCTGAAATTTCAGTGTTTATTAACAATCAACATTTCTAAAAATAGTTTGTTCTCTTGTGCTTTTAAGCCTATCTGCTATAACTGTGTCACATTTCTCAATCTCTCTATAAAGAAAAGGGATTTTAAAAACTTTTTATAAAATGTTAGTCCCACCTCTTCTCAATTCAGTAGAATATAAATTAAAAGGTTTGACTACAAGAAGTATCAAGTTAAAATAATGATTATATTTATTGCAAGAGCCCTCTAATATTAGTCAAATTGCTTTCTGAGCTCAAAGATAAGAGTTTTGAAAGCTGTGTATTACTGGATGAAAATCTTGAGAGCAACAATGATACAAGCTTCATTACCTGGCGTCATGCTTATAACAGTGAGGGTCTCGGATTTAAATGGTGTTTATTGAAAGCTAACCAGATTGTGAGCATTTAATTGAATATATCAATTTTCAGGAGACCAGAATTGTTGTGTTTGCTTAGAAGCTTGTTCTAGAGAGTTTTTTCCCCTCAACACTAGAAAATATGTAATAATTTTTTGTCTGAAAAAAGCTTCAGGTATAGCTGTAATTTGCTTTTGCAATCATATCAGTTATTCCTGCAAAATGCAACCCCAAATCTCACATGACAGTTTACAAATTAAAACCTGTAGAAATAATTAAAAAAGGAGACATGTACAGGAGTGTTACGTGAAAACGTGAAGCTTCAGCAGCCAGCTCAGCTGAGTGATAACTAGACGTGAGGCACAAACTAATTGTCCTTATCTACTTCTTATAGCGAAAGCTCATGCAGGCAGCCTCTGCAATAGGAGGGAGAAAGAGTGTGCCCGATATTTTGATCACTTAAAGGTTCATATAACAGAGAGAACCAGCACCAGGAAATACATAAGAGAAAAAGTGGGGACAGTGTTAACAATTTGGTATTAAGTAAGCCGTTGTGGATCTTTTTAATCTTTTATATAGTTCTACTCTCACATGCTGGTTTTGTATTCTACCCAATGACTTATTCAACAAAGGCTTTTAAGGCACCTACCCTGTTTGAGGCATTGCACCATAATCAGTGACTTGTTCTTCAAACTGGAATTCTAGTTTCCTGGAAGCAGGCTGTGTATCTTCCTTTTACATTTTTGCTTCTCTCTTATTTCCACACTGTAGCATCCAGCATGGACAATGGCACTTGCTGTACACTCAATAATTACTTTTAAATAATTTAAAGGGTAAAAAGAATTTTTTTTAATTTTAGAGATTTTCTAAGATGCCAACAGCTATTTTTTTTTTCTTTCCAGCAGCTCATTCCCCCAAATTCAGATCCAACTCTTAGGTATCCCAGTGAGAGTTTTCGTCCCAAGGGCCTGGCCCCAAAGTAGAATAACTGTCAGCAGCAACATTAATTGCCCCCCTTCTTGGCAGTGGCAGTGTGAAAATTGGTGTGGAGAAAGAGACTGAAATCTCTGTTCATCCCAAGAGGTAGCCACTGGGGACTTGATGCAGCCCATTAGGCGGACAGCTGTGTGGAGGCAAGTTTCATAACTGTCTGAACAACTCCTACACTGTGGGTAAATAAATACTTTCAATCCCTAGACTCAAGAAACTTCTTCAGAATTTTCTTCTAATCCTTTGGAGGCTGATTTTGCCTGGACTGAGGCATTTTCTTAATTGTGAGTAATTTACCTTCCAATGCTCAGAAGCCTGCATCCTAGTGAGTGTGGCCATTCAAAGATCTTGAAGAGTACTGCTCATTCCCACCCTCATCCCTTTACACAGACACTCCTTCCTAGAAATGTGTACCTCACCTTCAAAAGAAGTTAAACAATACCCATTCTTTAAGGATTAAGGCACAAAGTCCTTCTCAACTACTTGCATTCACTGATGACTTCCTCCTCCCCAGATCCTTCAGCCTGACCACTCACTGACTGCTTCTCATATACCCTAGGCAGCTTCTGCTGCATTTGCAATGTCATCTTTCTCTGTCTCTCCACCTGTGTTATAGTCATCCAAGTTCAGAATTCAAGTTTCTAGCCATTGTCTAATGCAATATAAAATGCACACAGGGTGCTAGTTCATAGAGTGCCTGATTAGATCGAGTCAGTCTGCTCACAGCAAGAATGGGATGTAGGAACTTTGATCAGAATGATTCCTGCCCTCTTTAGTTACCTATTTGCAGATTTTTATTTAATGGCTCTTCCTTTGTGCACTCATTGCTGGCGTTTCTTACTAGAGTGAGCTCCCTGAAGGCAGAGGCTTTGGTAACTGCTTGATGACAGAAGACTCAAAAGAAAAGACTTAGTTGGGAAAGCACTTCATGCTGAAGAAGTATTTGAACAAGAGTGTCAAAATATGAAAATGACTAGATCAGACATTAATAAATATTTCAGTCTAAATTTCCAAAAACGGAGTGGGCCACCTGAGAAAGTATAATGTGAGATGCACATGAAAAATCTACATGACATTCACTTGCAGAGGCAAAAAAAGTAAATAATAAAAATAAATAAATAAATAAATCTGTCCTGAGTGGGGATTTAGACCAAATTACCTTCAAGTCTCCAATTTGCTGGAAACCTTGACTTCCAGGTCAGTATGATGGTTAAGTTTTTGTGCCAACTTGACTGGACCATAAGGTACTGAGATGTTTAACCAAACATAATTCCGGGTATGTCTACAATGGTGTTTCTGAGATTACATTTGAATCTACAGATAGATTAGAATCTATCTAATCTAAAGTAGATTGCTCTCCCTAAAGTAGGTGGGCCTCATCCAATCAATTGAAGACCTGAATGGAATCAAAAGACTGAGTAAGAGGTTACTTCTCCTGCCTGACTGCATTAGCCAAGACATTATTCTTTTCCAGCCTTCAAACTAGAACTAAAACATCAGCTCTTCTTGGGCCTCAAGCCTGCCAGCTTTTAGAGTAGACTTTACTACATCATTGGTTCCCTTGGTTCTCAGACCTACAAGCTCAAACCAGAGCTAAACATAGGCTCTCAGGGGTCTCCAGTTTGTCAACTACAGATCCTGGGACTTTTCAGCCTTGATAATTGTGTGAGTCACTTCATTTTGTTAGATCTGTTTCTGTCTGTTTCTGTCTCTCTCTCTCTCTCTCTACACACACACACACACACACACACACACACACACACACACACACTCCTTATTTATTCTTTGCCTCTGGAGAATCCTAACTAATACAGTCAGTATTGTCTGGTATTTGTAAGTGTTGTTTTCTGATTAGACAGGATCAAGCCATGGGGAAGCTGGCTTCAGCCTTGTCCCAGTCTATAAAGCAATGCCTCTTGCCTTCCAACTGGATTCCTTGCTTTGTTTGTTCTGAGAGGGAAAATAAGTTTTGTCTTTTTTCCCCCACTCTGTTCTTACCAATCTGTCCCTTGCTACTTGGCAAGAAGTGGTAGTTTTTCTTGTGGTCTGACTGGATCTGGAAATAAGATAGTTATTTTTGTTTAAACATAAGGGCAAAGAGGAACTTGAGCTTATATGCAACTTAGCCTTCTCAAGCCCAGACATATTTTATGTACAACCAGCATGCCTGAGTAATGTCAGAAGACTCTGAAAACAATATATTCTGAAGCCAGAATTGTTACTGGGTAGAACCCCCAAATAAGCATTGTACATATGATTGAAACTATAGTGAGTTATGTAGTCCAATACAACCTGCTTTAGTTCATACAGCATGTTACACATTCCAGAAACATGACAGGAAAGAAGAAAAAAATGAAAAATAATGGGCTAAAAATATGGAGAAAAGTGAATATTTGGGCATTATAGGCACCTGATAAATAGTAGTAGAATGAATTATGACTTTGGAAATAAGAAAAAATACGTGTATATGTGTATCTGTGTGTATACACATACAGATGCCTAGAAAGATGGCATATTAGTGATATTATAAAGGTACTCATGAGTGTTGGTGTGATTGATGGATTGTCTCACACTGAGATATTCAGGATGCCCTTGGATCTTTGTTGTAGTCTTGGTCTTTTTTCTTTCCTGGTGGTGTCTTGTCTTTGCTTTACAGTTAGCTACCCTGGACACACTGCATTCTATATGTAACCCATTCCATGCACACCCAAGCTATTTCCCATAAAATGGGCATTTCCATACATCCATGATGGTAGCACTGCCTTCTCTGAATTTGTTCACAAAATGAGGACTACCCACGTCTCAGGAGGTGCATTTCTAGCAACCGTGCTAGTTTTAGTCCAACTTGCCTCTGCACATATGTATACAAGAAGAAAGTAGAAAAGTTTTCATTAATAGTGTGTGCTCTTAAAATAACATGCCCTTTGCATTGGCAAAATATAATATTCTGTCACCTATGGCTTTCTGCTCTACCCTCTGCCCTCTAACTTATGATCTTTAAACATACCCCACGGATTGATGACTATAATTAGATGTATTGATAAGTTTTAGAAGGCATTTTATATCTATTTTATACTCAGTTCATGAAAATGATGCTTGTAAGTGATAGAGGAGATGGAATGTTGAGAAAATAGAAATTCAGAATGCTTGTTCTAGACAGAGTTGCAAAGGAAAATATTCCTTCACTTTTTGGACTCAAAAGGTAGCAAATTATAACCACCCAGACATTTTGTCTCAATCGCTGAGGTTTCCCATATCAGTAAATTTTGATATAGAATATTGATTCTTAGGCTCTGTTCCAACAGATATAATTCATCAGGTTGCTGTGGAGGCTTGGAGACCTAAATTTTAAATTAAAAAATGTAGAATGTTCTGATGAAGGTAATCTGTAGAAACATGCTTTGAAAATAATTACAGCCTTGTTTCTTATTTTCCTTCTTTCATTTATAATTAATCCAGTAAATTTCTCCTAAGATAAGGGATAGAGAAATATATCTTAAAATGTGTAACCAAAAGACTTTTGGACTTATTTTTAGAGATTCCTCTAATATCTATTTCTAGCTTTTCATTTGCTGACTGTAACTATAGGATATTTCCTTAATCAGTCAGAGCCCCAGTGTCTCTAATTATAGGAAAATAAGAGTATTTACTGTCCATAGTTCCCATACTATTCAAGAAAATAATGTTTCTAGAACTACTTTGGAATTTGTAAATTGCTGTACAAAAGCAGGAAATTGTTCATGTTATGTTGTATGCACACTGGCAATTCAAGCAAGGAAGCATTCAGAGTATACCTGGTTCTCACAACCTGATCAGGCTGCACAATGGGAGATGGAAGATTGAGATGGAAAGAAAATGTTGCCTTTGGTTCTTGAGGCATTCAGAGCCCCTGCAGCAAGCCACATTAAACAGCCATGAGGTCATAGCAACAATGAATGACAAGGTGTATCATTCTTGAGAATTTCTAAAAAGGGAGAGGACAATGGATTATGGAAACTAAATGGATTATGTGGAAGGACATCATAAAGGAACTGGGCTATAAGGTGGATTTGTTGCCAAGTAGAGAATATTGGTGGAGACATTCCAGGGAAAAGATAAAGTAAATGACAAGGCCCAGGTATGAAAACCAACACCTCAGAAAAGATGGGGAGGGACTGAAAATAGCAAGAAAGATGGTTTGAATCTCAGGAAATCAGAAAGTTCATCCCACCTAATTCTTAATTTGAATACAAAAGTCTAAAAATCCCTTATCTGTTTGACAGATCAACATGCTAAAAGTACCAATCGATGGATACAAATCTCTTCAGTAGCAGCATTTATAGCAATAATACACCATCCAAGTAAACCCTCCCATAAAGACTGAGTTAAGTACCACCCCATTAACAGCATGGATTAATTGACCTATTAATATGTTTAAAAAATCTCTATCATAAAATTAGGGAATATGTAAATAGGATTAACTTGAAGAAAAGGACAAACAGAAAAAACCCTGTCCTTGTTATTGGATTCACTTGCTTCTTTTCCAATATGTCACGTTTTTTGGGGGGAGAAAGGGATATTCTTCTTAAATAACTCTAAACTTTTTGGTATAACTTTCTACTAAAAAAGGAAGAAAAAACTCTAGTCAAACTTCCTAAACATGCTTTATACTTGTCTATACTTTACACAAGAGCACAGAGGGATATTTTTCTCTACTTTGGGCATTATGATTTAATGGACTTTTTAAATAGAATGTCAAAAACAAAAGAATAATTTCAGTACAATGGCATGAGAACTAAATGTATGGATTGATCCTCTGATAGACCATTTACTCTCCATCTCCCTCTCATGTACTTGTTAAGTGATTCATGTAAGTGGCTGGAATGTTAGAGACTCAAGTTCCCCACTTATATCAAATTGAATGGGCAGGAAGTTCTCAGCCCTTCTGCCTCAACACTCCAAATGGTAATAGGTATAAAAGTACATTGATGACTATTTCAGAATTCTTTTTTATATCTCAAAAGAGAAATCAAGCTTTTACTGACTGCAGTATGTAAGAGAGTCTATTTACAAGTGTAGAGGACCTGCAAAAGAGGCAGATGTCTTTGGGGATTTGGCATCTTGCTTGCAAAATGCAAAGTGAACTGTTTCTTCCTGAATCTTATCACATGAATTCTCACCAAACAAAAGGGTTCTGTTCAGAAGCTTGGATAAGAGGAAAGAGCCATAGGCTCAATGACAGCAGAATCATGACAGCAGGTTTTGAATACTTGAACCAGTCAGGTTACATATTTCTGCTTTGTTTTCCATATGGGTAAAGTGCAATGCCTGTATCGAAGAATATTTGAGGTTCTGTTACGTGAAGTTCCAGAGTAAATTTAACATGGTTCCTATGCTGGCTCTTAAGCTATTGTCTTTCATCTCTATACCCAGCTTCCTACTCTCCTAGGAAAAGAAAGACCAAGAGAAAGACAAAGGCTGAAGGAGAAGAAGCTCTTGCTGCTTTTTTTGTTGTTGCTGTTGTTTGTTTCTAGGAGCATACTCTGATATGCATATTTGGTTGCAATAGCAGTTAATTTTAAATTCATATTTTTTTATCTCCACTCCTGGGCTAGCCCCGCTGTGACTCTTTAGAGATTCCAGCATGCTCCTTGAAGGTCTGTGTCCCAGCCCTGCCAGGGCCATTCTCACAACTTCTGAGGCAGCAGCTATGTAGTGTCTCCTCCTCAGAAGCCTGGTTCCAGTTCTGTGAGTTCCTCCCACTGTCTGGATTCTAACAACCTCTAACTTTTTTTTTTCCCTAAGGCCTAAGAGTGGAAGCTGCTCCAGTCAATATATCATCTTGATTGTATGAATTAATGAATGAATGTTTAAATAAATAATGTTGCCAGCAAAAACTGTCTCTAGTATCTACTTCTGTGTTATGTCAGTGTTCCCTTTTTGTCTTTTCATTCCGTCAGTACTTTATGTTTTTAGATGGAGTCTTGCTCTGTTGCCCAGGCTGGAGTGCAGTGGTGTGATCTAGGCTCACTGCAACCTCTGCCTCCCAGGTTCAAGCAATTCTCCTGCCTCAGCCTCCCAAGTAGCTGGGATTACAGGCATGCACCACCACACCTGGCTACTTTTTTTTGTATTTTTAGTAGAGGTGGGGTTTCACCATGGTAAACAGGCTGGTCTTGAACTCCTGACCTCAAGTGATCCCCCAACCTCGGCCTTCCAAGTGCTGGGATTACAGGCATGAGCCACTGTGCCCGGCCCCTTTGGTACTGTTTAAATTAACTTGCACTATTACATTCTATTAGTTAAAATAACTGGTGTGCTTTCTGTTTTCCTAACTGGAGCTTGATAGAGTCAGTAACGAAAAACAAGTTGAAACATGTATAATCTTAAAAATATTTTCAAATGACCTATCTTCTTCAGGACTCTGAGACTCTGTCTTCTTTTCAATGGGAATTCTTTCTATAGGATGATATTTGAGCAAAGGCCCTTTCTCTTCCATCATGGAGATCACATACGGGTCTTCTCCATTGAATACTGTTCATTGCTAGAGTTCTCACAATACAAGATGCTACTGCACCATGGAAGGAAGTCAGATAGTCTCACTATGAAGACTTCTGTTAGATTGAATCATAATTACTCTCCAATCAGGTCCAACATAAGCCTTAATATCTTTTCTGCTTAATAGTGTTAGAGTTTGGGGATTAGAGTTTTTCCTGTGGACTGACATTTGTAGGCGAAACTAACCAGGTGGCCATTATATCTATAGCCAGGAATTAATGTGCAGCAGTCAGTGAACTTGCCTTACTGCAAAACAAAAGCCTTCTGAAATAATTGGCTTCTTGCTGCAGCTCTGCCACAACAGGTAGACAGGGAGGCATATGGGAATTGGTAAGCTTGGGAACACAGACACTCCTCTCCTAGTGTGGCATTATTCATGTGCCCTGAACCTTCTATTCAGAATATTGGGTGATAGTTCAGGAAGATAATGGCCTCTGCCCAGGATCTGAATTCCTGGAGGACAAGAGGCAGTAGCACAGGGACTTCATTATAAGTTGGTCCTCCTGTAAGTTGCTGCAGCATGGAATTGGGAAAACCTTCCACAAAATTGACAGTGAGTTTAGTTCATAGCTTGAAACCATGTTCAAAATACACCCCAACTGGATCATTTATACAGTCTGTCTGTAATGGATATAAAGCGTGGGCCATACATCCTGAATTATCTTAATGTCAATATTATTTTCTATGAATTCTATAAGCCATGATATGCCCTATAAATTTAATTGGGATGTTGCACTTTAAAGAGTGGCCTTTAGCAATGGGAAGGGGCACAAAATCATTAATAAGATCACATGTCCAAATATCAAATGTAGACAGCATGGCTAACTGAATTATTGGCATCATGTAAGGCTTTTTAAATATAAAAGTCTAGTTAGGGAGACAATCCTAAAACATTGAAAGCTAAAAGACAATTAAGTATTACTAAGTGATTTAATGAGTTAGGTAAGACTGAAGGACTTCAAGGAGGGAAACATTAGCATGTGCTTTCATGGATGGTGAGCGCAAAAGGAGGAAAAGAAGATGGAAACTGCCACTCAGAGGCCTACTAAATGCTAAGTAGTCATCTAGGTGCTTGATGAGCATTATTATAATTGTACTTTTCCCAAGGTTACCCCAAATTTAAGTGATTTATTCTTTTCTGGAAATAAAAATACAGTCTTAAATCATGCTTGTAAATTTCAATTGGAGAAGTCTTTGTTCCACCAGAGTGCTTTAAAGATCTAACTGAAGGAAAAAGAAAATTGCGGGGGGAAAGAAAAAGGATGCATGGACGAGGCTTTATCAAAGGAGTTCAAATTTAACACATCGGGTTTTTCTAAGAATTCCTGGAAAAAAAGACTTTTACTCTATTTGAAGGAAAATTCTTGAAAACACTGTATCGCTTACTGCCTTGTATTCCACTTAATTTATTCTAATTTCAACAGCTCTACTTGTTTGTAAACTCCTTGATAGAAATAGCACTAGGATTAAAGTAAAGAAACTGTGAGGTCATTCTTTGCAGCCTCCCTTTATATGGATTTTTGGCCCTCTACCTTCACTTAAATATCTCTTAGGCTCTGCCTGAACACTGCCCCATTGTGGAATTCACTAGCCAATAAAGCAAACCATCCAAGTGCCTAAAGTTTGCTTTCAGAATGAGATCTCATCTTCCTGTTTATTATAGAATTTCACTTTAATGCAGCCACGAAATATCCCTAAAACTTTTTTTTTTCCAAAGCAGAATGTGCAGTTTTTTTTTGTTTTGTTTTGTTTTGTTTTGTTTTGTTTTTTTGCCATGCTATGATTGAGATCCTTTGATACCCTGATTATTTTTTTTTCTGGATAACTTCCAGTTTGCCAGTGTCCATATTTGACACACCCCAAAATAAATATAAACAAATGTTCCTACAAACAACACTAATCGTATTTTAGTGAAAACTGCCTAAGTGCTGGTCATTGTTTCCCCATGTTTACCATGTTAACATTTCCCAAAATGCCATAAATTAAGGTATTTGGGTCCTTATTTTTGGAGATGAGGGACATGAAGTTAAGCAAAAGGCCAAAACTCAGTTACTGGCCGAAGTAACACTAAAGCCAGGACCATGTTACTCTGGAGCCCATAAGCAGGGCTGGAAGCAGGCATATCCTGGTATAGTCTAACCTGTAAGGGTATATTTCTCATCTTCATACCCTCACAGCACCTTACTCAAGGCCTTGAATAATATATCATCTTGATTGAATGAATGAAAGTTTAAATAAATAACACCACCAGCAAAAACTGTCTCTTTATAACCACGAGTATGAAGAAAATTCAAGGAGATTTAAACAAACAAAGACTATCTTTATTACTGCCCTTCTACAGAATTTTATATTCAACTGCCTCCCTTAACACATCTGTTTAAACATATGTAAATTAAAGCTCCTGCTTTCTCCCCAAAACTCTTTTCCTAGTTTTTCACCAGAGATGCAACGTTATTCTCAAACGCTCCTCCCTTTTCTTTACCCTCCCTAACTAACACATCAGCCAACCCTGTCATTTCTCCTAAACCCATCACAAATCTGCCATCTTTTTGAATGTCCTCACTTCCACTACATTAGTCCGGACACCTCAACTCCCTTGGATGACGGCAAAACTCTAACTGTAACCTTCTGCTTTTCTGCCTGCCTTGAATTCTCATAAGTATTTATTTATAGATGTAAATTTGATTGGGCCATGCCCCTCAAACACCCAGAGTGACTGCATATGTTCTGTGACTCCAGCCCTCTTACCCAGTGATAGGGTCCTACATCTCACTCCAACTTTGTCTTGCAGCACTCTTCCTTTTTCTTGCTACCCTCTTATAATTTGCTCTTTCCATCCTTCTATTATGTCAAGGTTTCACCTGTCTCAGGGTTTCAGAGGCCTTCTCCTGATATTTACAATTGTTTGGTTCCTAACTTCAATGTTACCTTATTAATAAAATTTTTCTAGATTATCACATCTAAAATAAATTTTCCATTATTCTCTATCATCTCCTTTTTTTAATGATTGTAGTTCTTTTTAACTATATGGGATTTAATTTGCAGGCATTTGGTTTTTTGGTCTGTATCATTCATTGGAATACAAGCTTGAAGCAGAAAGGAATTATGTCTGAATTTCCATGAAATAGTGGTACATACTAGTCCCCTTTAGAAGTTACTTTCAGTATAGAGAAATCCACCTTGACACAATTGCTAAAGTCTTAGCTCTGCCCATTCAAGATTTCATTTTTTCTCCAGCAGAGTGCTGAGGGTAGAAGAAGACTTAATATTTTTTTGACCACATTTTCCAATATTCTTTAATCTCTGTATACATATTATTAAGGGGCTCATCTCCTGACCTTTGTGTGATGATGCTATTGCCTCTGGTCTATTGGCATGTCCTCTGCTACAGTTGGTGCCTCCACAGTGCCCATCATTGAAAACAAGAAGATCCCAGAAAGCATCATTATTAACTCACCACATTTATGGAGACCTACACTGGATCCTAGGTCAGAACCCCTGTGAAGCTGAATCACCTTTACTCTCCTAGAGACAGCAAGATTGTTCCCCTCCACTGTGAGATGGCATCCCTTCTTCTACGTTTCACCATTTCTGTTCACCTCAAGATTTCCCTCATACCCTGTTTGGCAATTTCTGGAGCTCCCAACATGACCAGTGTGAGGTAGGCAGACCAACTCTCCTCATTTTATTGGTCATCCTAGATAAATATTCATATCTGTAATATAGTTGTGTTAATTTACCTAAGTGTGCTAAAGGCAGTAATAAGTTAATTGCTGAAGAAAAGATTACATTTTAACAAGACCCATCTTCTCTAGATAACGACACAACTCAAAAGTTTAATAGTATGTACTTTGTACTTCAGCTGGTGGAGATGTTTTCGGAAATAAGAACTTTGATAGCCCAGAAATCCCACCTCATGGTCTCCACGTAATTTATGCACAGGGTCACAAATGGAACATTATTTTCTGCCATTTTATGTACAGCAAATGGAACCAGGTTCTGAATTTGCTTAATGTCAGTACTATAAACTCATATACATAAAAGGAAAACTTTATCCAGAGAATGACTAAATTATTAAGAGCCTGTGGTAAATTTGTGTTTCCTGGAACTAGTTTTTAGGAAAAGATGCTTTGGAAAACACCTCAGCAGAGGATTATTTAAGTTGAGTTCTTTTGGTTCCGAAGAAGGTAATTGCAATAATGAGATGAGGGTGAGAATGGGCTGGAGTACAGTGTTGCACACCTGCCCTCTTTTGAAGCCACGTGATGCCATCTAAATGACGGACCACCACCTTATTTGTAGGTAGGTCAAGAGGAAGACAAAAAGTCATTCTTGATTCCAGGCCAAGAGAGGACCACTTTCAGCACTATCAAGTAAACTCTGTATGACTTGGAAAACTCTAAAAAACATTGCCTTATTGAAGCCAAATAAGGTATTATATAAATTCCTTCCATTCATATGCAGGAAATGCATATCACTAATAGCCTTCACTAAGCAATGGAATAGCTGTATAAAGGTTTATGTAAACCTCAGCAAAGGCCCAGAGCATGTGAATGTATATGTTGTCTCTGTCTCTCTCAACAGATGAGCTGAGCTAAGCAGCAAGGTTTCCTGGCATTTCATTTATCTTTCCACCCATTTTCTTTGCCAGAAAGGGTTTTGCCACACTTAGGAAACAAAAGACAAAATCATCTCATCCTCCTGTTTCTTGCAGCATCCCTGGGGGAGATGTGTGAAAGTGGGCAAATGTTTGAGCTTTTAGAGCTGATGAGAGAAAGAAAGAAAGAAATGTTTTTTACAGATGCCAGGGATTGTATGAAATCCTTTAACTATTATTATGTTGCAAAAGGTGGTGGAGGAAGTGAGATGCACTCAAAGCCACATAAAGAGGGGAGAACTGACATGGACCAATACAATAAGAAATCTAAAACCAACAGTATTTATGCATTGTTTTAAAAGCCTGGAAGTATTTTTTTTCAACCTTAGGAAATCCTACCTTGTATATCATTAGAGACTCTTAAACCATTTTATGTGTGACATGAATGTTGCCAATCTTCTTTAGTGGAGAAAAATAGACAACAAATGCATCACACTTATGCATAATTCTACTTCAAAAACTTTTTAAAAATTGTTGAAGAAAGATTATAGCAGTATTAGAGCCATTAGAAAATTCAAGTAATTTTTAATTTATATAAGTATTCCATTTCACACAGGAACGAAGCTCAAGCAGAATACTGATACACTAACATATCTACTCAAGGTAAGTTTTTACTTAAATGCTATTATAGTAGGACTTTTTGTTAGATAAATTGAAATACAAGTATGCCACAGATCAACTTGAAACATAAAACTTACTATAGTGATAGACTAATATAACCTAGTTGGCTCACAGCAACAATTAAATATGGTATTTTTATGTATATTTTATTTCTATCTAATGTATAAGTTCCTATTCTGTTTAAATCCCTTATGGTGATAGTGTAGTTTACTATATGGCATCGTATAGGTGCTCCACAAATGTGTGCTAGTGGCTTATTGATTTGTCCTGTGTCTTAGCACCAGGCTTAGAAATATAAATGTAAACAGAATTATAATTCACCATTCAGCATGTTACTAATTGTTTGAGATTTCTGGAAATGGGATATTAATATATTTTAATTATTTATCCATGATATATCTATGTGTTGATGATACGAAGCATTAAAATTCAACCATTGATTTAAAGACTTGAAATCCAAATCGACACATTTTTTGCTGTTTGAATAATCCATTTTAACTTCTCAGTAAAGGAGTTTGAGTTTTAGATTTTCTCACATCTCTCTCATTTTGGGCTTTGACCAAGATTGAGTAAAAGCAGGAGCACAGAGAATTGGACTAAAAAAAAGTTTGTGATTTCTTATAGGAAGTATCCAACGTCCAAAATTGAAAATCACATTTAAAAAAATGTTTTTGCAAAATGTCCAAGGTAGATGCTAGACCAAACAGAAAAAAGATGATCAAGTTTTAAGTTTTTTCTTTATCTTTTTTTTTTCAGAAAAACATATGATGAAATACAGTAACTTTTTCAATGGTGATTTCGTGGTTTAATGAATATTTTCATTCTTTTAGGAGTCTTTCTATAAAGAGATGTAAAAGCAGTGGCATTGCAATCAACATGTTAACAGCTACTTCAGAGAAGCCATTAGTCCCTGAGTTGCGGAGACACTTCTACTTCTTCTGGCCATTTAAGTGACCACACCATCTTACTGATATCCCAAAGTTCCCAAAAAATTAAGCTTGATATAAACTTGAAACCTGGTAGATTTTGAGTTACTTCCTACATTTTCTACGTGAAACTTTCAATTCTGTGTTAAAGATAAAACTAACATGTAACAATAAAATAAAATGAATTATTCATTTTATTAGATGATTGCAAAGAGGTTAATCCATACAATTTTTATCTTATGGGTTTCATTTTCCAGAGAGGTGGTTTTGGTGAATAAATAAATTATAAAGTTCACTTAACATTAATCAAATAATCATCAGTCAATCAATATTTACCAAGCAGTGCTATGCAAGTCTCTGTGCTAAGCACCATGAGGGATACAAATCAGTGATAAAGACCTTAAGCCCGGGCAAAGATAGGGAAGCTGCAAGACTAAAGTGACATACCAACATGAAATCTAATCTACCTTCCAGACCCTGTCCTGGATTTTAAAGACCCTGGAATTCCCTTTCTAAATGGTCCTGAGTCCGCTTCTAGGAACTGGAAGAAACTTTGCCAGGTCTTTTACTCCCAAGGCTGGAGAGTATCTTGGATGTGCAAACCCCTAGACCTGAAGGGTGGCCATGGGGCACTTAAGGGAGATATTTCCAAAGGGTTAGGCATGTAGGCTGGAGAGTTTTCTTGCAGTATGAGACTAACTGGGCATGGGGAGAAAAGGCAGGTGGGATGAGAGGACAGCCAAGAGCCACTTTCCTCAGCCTCCATGTTTAGAGACATAGCTCCAAGGAACCTGAGAATTTTAAATTCAAACTTGCCTTCCAGGTTGTTATGAAGGTACACTTGTCAAGATAAGGAAATATAACTTTTTTTTAGCCTGATTTATAACTTTTAAATTTATAGTAGATGTAGGATATGTGGCCCCCTTGCCTTGAGTCCATCAAATGTTTAGGATGCGCCAAAG
This sequence comes from Homo sapiens, assembly GCF_000001405.40. Classification (NCBI taxonomy): domain Eukaryota; kingdom Metazoa; phylum Chordata; class Mammalia; order Primates; family Hominidae; genus Homo; species Homo sapiens. The sequence continues at coordinate 38,590,864 of NC_000018.10, read as the reverse complement.
GAATTATCGTTTGTACAAGAATTTTACATTTAAGGAGATGAAATAAAGCAAATGATAAAATCAACAAAAAATGTTCATTGTCACTCTTAAAGAACATTAAATATGAGTTATTTAAACCTAGGCTATTAACCCATTTGTTTTAATTCTTTGAACATAGGTAAAGCATTCTTAGCTGGGCTTAGGTCCCTTAAGAATACTTTGTTCGGATGACTGGTTCTTCCTGATTTGCTTTTGAGGCTATTCCAGGATTATTTCAACATGATGTCTTCAGCATATGCAGTGTTACGTTTGTGTGTGGGTGTGTGTATGTATTAACATAAAAATCTAAATTCTTTCAGGAGTTTGAAAAGTGATGGCTGGAGGGACAGATATCTACAGTGAATATCTTGGCTAAACACATTTAAATATGTAAGAGCTCAGATTTGTTATTAGATTTTCCTAGTTTTTTCAGTATATATAAAAATTAAACATACTGAACTCCAAAAGTAATTGCTTTATGTTAGAATGACTTCTTAATATGATCTAACTACTTTTGATATTAAAAAAGAGAAGAAAAAATGAACGTAGATATGGTCACTGACCCACAGCATGAGTAAATATGATTTTCTACAGGTACTTCTTATAACAGAGTTTAATATGCAGAGCATGTGCCTTCAATCTGTTTACACAATGGAGAACAGAATTAAAAGGTAAAAGATTTTGCCTTTTAATTTGCTTTCATTTTTTTAAATGTATTTAAATTAAATGGTTCTAACATTTAACTGTATCCCATTGCCTTCACCTAGTAGACCAGCTGTTCAAGCCTCTTAGGTAAATAATTAAATGTTTTTCAAAAATACACAAATACATATTTAACCAATAGACTGGAACAAATAGAGCCTCAATGGGCCATTTGGAGCTTGGGACAATTGGAAGATTATTGAGCTGGTAGCCCACTGTGGCTTATGTTAACATTTTTAGAGCAGGTTAAAAAAGGCTAACCTGAGCTCACTTTAATGAAAGTCTTTAGATATTGCACATTAGTGCAAGATTAAAAAGTCATAACAGAACATTATTGTAGAGGGGGAAACCAGGATTAGAAGTGTTCTCAGTAATGTTGTTTGTTAAATACGCCCTATCACACAGAAGGGAGAGAGAGCTTGGACTGGTTTGAAAACAAAATAGAGTATTTTTTAAATTGTGAGCATACAGTTCCAATATATGCAGATTTATTTTATTTATGTTTATATGTTTATTTATATATTCATTATTTGCAAGTTCTTTGAAAAAAAAGGGTAAGAGACTTTATTTAAATTGTTGCTGAAAAAATATAGAGGTTTGATTTTATGTTATAGATAATTTGCTTTTATATGTTTATGATCAGTTAGTCTCTCAAGGGACAATCTATGCTTAGAGTGAGCTTCTTGCTAATATTACTAGAAATAAAGCCATATTTTAAAGAGTTATTGATTACTTGAAAGTTTGGGTCAATTTCTTATTATATTTAACTAGCCTCTTCCTGTATTTTTTACACATCTGAGAAAGACCATGCACCAGGCAAGGGGAGTTCTGTTTGTACACACATCAGTGATACCATCTTCAAACTGCAGCAATTTTTCTGAATTTACTCTAAGCCTCATGTCCATTTTTAAGATTCAATCTAATTAATATTAAAAGTAAATTCTCTAAATACACATAACCAGATAGATACAAATTATAAGTCATTGCAATATGGGAAAAGTAGTGAAGCACTGAGGTCTCCATCACCCCTTCTGAATTGCAAAAGTTCAATTTTTCTCTTAGAAAACATTACCTACTCTATGTTACGAGTGTACGGATAGACTGAGGGAACAAGTGGCAATTTGTAAAGTAAATATTTGTGAAGTTTACTCTCTTTCTTTTTATCAACTGAAATGCTCATATAGAGAGGTTCTATTTTCTGCATCCATCTGAATAGAGATGGGTACCTGCTGCCATGCATGTGTCTTATTTTGGAGACCACTGTTTTAGGATCCTGCATATGTTTGGACATCTTGAAAAGGAACAGAAAATCCTGTATATTAATGAAGCTTCAAGGGAATTCCAGGGATGCCTTAGATTAAGAAACCAGGAGGTTGAAGCTCTTACTTTTTAAGAACTGCCTCAGTGTCATTTAATTCCTGGAGTAGAGGACTAGCACATTATAATTCATTTACACTCTCATAGTGTCTTTCACAGCACTGAGCAGGTAGTAGATGTATTAGTACTGGTAAATCAAATACAAGCATGAATAGAAAGAGAGAAAAGTGTATTTCTGATGAATCTCTTAATTTCCTGTCTCTTCTTGCAACAGTACTACTCACACATTCCTTTTTTATTTTAATTTTTTTGAGATGGAGTTTCGCTCTGTTGCCCAGGCTGGAGTGCAGTGACATGATCTTGGCTCACTGCAACCTCCACCTCCTGGGTTCAAGCAATTCTCTGCCTCAGCCTTCCGAGTAGCTGGATTACTGGCGCCCACCACCATGCCTGGCTGATTTTTTGGATTTTTAATAGAGATGGGGTTTCACCATCTTGGCCAGGCTGATCTTGAACTCCTGACCTCATGATCCACCCGCCTCAGCCTCCCAAAGTGCACACATTCTTAATAAAGAGAACAGATTCCAGCAGAGCCACCATTTCAGTGATGCTCTGTGTTGTGAGTGCTAGCTCCAGGGAGCACCACTAACCTAATATTTTATGAGAATAGCACCACCCGGAATTGTGCAGTGAGTTATCTTCATGGTTTGTTTACACAGTGGCACTGGAAAATGATACAGGAGTTGAAGAGTCTTCCAGGCAATGGAGACCCACTAAATAGGATAAGCTTTGTTAAGTCATTGTTCCTGAACACATACTGCATGCAGAACACAGTTCAGAAAGCACAAATCCATCGCTTCCTTATAACTGAAGCTCATGTATATAGTCTTTGTCCATTAAGAAATTAATTTGCCAAAAATCTACTGTACCTTCACAGTTTAGAAATAAATATACAAACCATAATGGGGCTATAAATATGTATAAAATATGGACCATTCATGGGTCATGAGGAGGATGTGAGAGTGACCCAGAGCAGAACTAAATAGATGCTATATGCCACCCAGTAGTCACCACCTCCTACATCCACAGTCTGTGTGCTACACAATGCTCTTGCAGCAGAGCTGAATGTTTCAACACTAGAATAGTGCCAAGGCCAAGGCACATTGAGGGGAAATGGATGTTTTGTATAAAGTCTAGCGGGGCAACAACAGATATTTTATAAAACCTCTTTTCAATATACCTGTTCTCAAAATTACTCAATAACTCTAACAACTTCACTTTGTCTTAAAAATTATCTTCATTACGTTAATTTTTGTTGTTATTGTTGTAGGGAAGATATCCTATTACCAATTCCTGTCCTTAGGTTTTATATCTCACTTAGCAGAATAAGAGCCTGATGGTTCTGTTCTTCAAGACAGACCTCAGTAGTCTCCATTTTGGAACACAGAGCCTCGCTGTCCAAGATGGAAGGATTGACGTTGATTTGGGGAATTGAGACAAGCTTCCGGAAATAAGTAGCATTTGGCCTAAAATTCTCTGAAAAAAGTTTCCTTAAGCTGGTATATATATTTAATCTTACACTACCCCTTGATAAGAACAGAAACTATGGAAACGGTCTTCAGTGTAATAATTATTCCCCAGAGGATCGCATGAGCCGTGCATGCAGGACGGAAGGAGTTGGGGAGTTGAGTAACTATTCAGAGATTTTGATCAAGGAAGACGTCTAAATTGGATCATGGAAATGCTAAGTATACCCACGCTCAGGCCTTGTATGCATTGACAAATTAAGTGGAAAACAGAGGGAATTAATTATCCAGATAATTCAAGCTAATATTTCACATCAATTATTTGTTCTAAGAAGAAACAAATGTTCTTTGGCCAGAATTACTTGGTTTAGTTTATTTCATTCTCCTCTTCCTTCAGACAATATAGACCTGGTATCCTTTAGTCACTTCCCTGACCTTTTTCTCATTTTGCTGTGCAGACGAAATCCAAGTTCTTATTTAGAAACCTGGATAGCATAAGCCTAGGAAACAAGATTTTGTGTTTTTAAAACTTATGTTTAAGATGTGACTCATACACTCTCCTCTGAGAGGCCAAGGACAATCTTGATAGTGTGGCCAGATCCCAGCATAATTGCAAGGGAGACAGGGGCTTCAAACATAATTGCAAGGGAGACAGAGGCTTCAGAATGCCTCCACCCAGCCAGCGTTCAACACACTCTTTGCCCTCCCTAGTATCCCTATCAGTGATATTTATTCTGCCTTGCTCTCCTACAGGGCCTTGCTCTTCTCTGGCAGTTCCTACAGTGGAAAGCGCAGGCTGAAATAATTTTGGCTGGGGTGTTAATGCTTGATAATGGCTTGAGGTGTTAACCCTCCTCAAAGCAGCCACCTCTCAACAGGGGTATCTTCCTGCCTGGGAAGACTTTAAAAATGAAGGGACTTTTTCTAACTTTTTGTAATGTCAGTGTGCCTGGCAATAGGGAGATATTTGAGCAGAAAGTCCTTTCAATTCATTTAAATTCTATCACTAGTCTTCTGTTTATTCTGAATATGAGTGATATTGGTATTACATTTAAAAAATCAATTAAAATACAAAGTATTTTGGTTCAACTCATCACTGTGACGAGATCATGCCACTGTTTCAATCAATTGCTAATTATACTGGCAAAAATTTCGTAGAATAGAACACAGAGTGTATTAAGAACCATAAATAAAAATGAAAAGATGTCTTCAATTTCCATGACCATATGCATATTCTGTTCTCAGGTAAGGGTCCTAGTGGCTCTGTGTAGCAATGCCATCAATAATGAAGTAGAACAGGATTAATAATTTTAAATATTTCTAACATATCCACTCATTAGCATGAAATATTCTATAGATGATGATAACCTAGGGCTCTCTGAAATCTGTCAAACCTTACATATGTATTCCCCATAGTAGTATTTGGACCACTTGAAGATCTCCAGTTAAGATACACTGATTAAGAACTATTGATATAGTAATACTAAATTAAACTGAATGTTTTAAAACAAAGGGCTCCCTATTTATTTTGTCTCAACCTTCATGTGCTACCCATTTGCTGAAGTTCTCTAAAGTCAGCCTAGAAATTGACTAAGTTGATAGTATGCATTGACTTGCCTTCTGATTTTTTTTCTGCTTAAGAATATTTGTTGTCAGTGTTTTTCTAAAAATAGCTATAGGAGAAAAGGGACTACAGATGTCATGTCTTAATTAACCTACTAACTCATTCCATCATGCCATCTACATTAATTAAAGTCCTACTATGTGCTAAGCTTGTGAGATAAAAAGACATAATGTAAAATTATATTAAGGTATGGAATAAGAGGCAAATATACCACTTTCTATTTACTGATTTATATACAAAAATATTTATTGAGCTCCTACTATGTATTTGAAACTGAAAGTCATTCATTCCATCAGCGTTAGATTCATACATCCAACTCAAGAACTCTATCACTCATTTTACCATGCAAAGAATAGAAAGGATGAACCTGCCTGTAAGTGACTACCTAGTGGGTACCAAGGACACAGACACTGGCAATGTGAAAAGATGGCCAAACAAATGTTTGTCTCTTCTTGATGCCGTGAGAGTCTAGAAGTGTCTGAGATGGCCTAGTAGAGTAAGAGAAACAAAGAAAAATCCTAAGAGCTACCATGTAACAAACCTTCATGAGGTGCCATAGTGTATAAAAAGCATTTGTCACACAGTATCCTTTCTTTAAGCTCCATTATTGCCTATGAGGTAGGGCATAATATTATGCTAATTTTACAGATATAGAAAATCCAGGCAAAGAGATATAAAATAACTTGATCAAGAGCCCAAGAAGGGGAAGATCAAAATTTATATCTCTCTAACTCCAATGTCAGGCTACCTGGAGGAATGAGGCAAGGGTGCACTGGTCACAAAATTACCTATTAGTGTCTTGGGTAAATCAGCTAACCTCTCTGGACCTCTATTTTCTCATATGATAAAAGTATGACACCAGAGAATTTCTAGATACCATTTCCAGGTAAAACAGAGGGTATGGGATGTGTTGGGGGCATCTCTCTTGTGTGAGACTTCTGCATCTTTGTATTTTACGTAAGTAACATTAGTGTATTATATTATAATTTTCCTATTACTAATAAAAGCTTATGATAATGTTGGTCCTGTTAAATAGAAAGTTGAAATAAAGGTGGATGAGTTTTAATAAATTTGGTAAATGTACTTCTTTCACTTAGATAATGTGCTTACATATTTAAAATATATATTTAAGTTATTTCTATCTCCTCCATCTACCAAGCTAAATTAGTTGCTCTTTCTCTTTTAACTAATGGCATGCCCTATTTGTCTTTCAAACACAGAGTCAAGAGACTATAAATTTTTCAAATTATCTTGGTTGGAGATCTCTTATTGGATCCTTGCAATTAAGCAATGATCTCCAGTTCATCTCAGGAATAAAATAGGGAACTGGACAAATGTCTTCAAAGCTATAAACTATTGCTTTAATATCTTTTCAGGGAAGCATCCATGTCACAAGGACAAGAGCAATAACCAGGATTACAGCAGGATTAATTGTGGGGCACCTTGCCTCACAGTGTATGAGTTGCAGCACGCTTAATGATTTTGATATTCTGACAAAGAGCAAACAAACTGATAAAAATATAGACACAGTAACTAATGCTATGGAACTAATGCTACGGAACTCTTGGATTGAAATCTTCCTTCATTCACTTTTGATTGAAGAACTCAGAAACTTGAATCTACTAAGGGCATATTCAAAATAAAGGATCGGTTGGGCGAGTAAAAGTATAGGCTGTGTGGTCTCAGCAGCCATGAGGCTTGAGTTTAGTTCTGCCTATAGCACTAATTACTAATATTGGATTAAAATTTGGACAAAACCTTGGATCTCTATGAGTCATAGCTCTCCTGCTATAAAAAAGAAATTGAGCTGCTGTGGGAACAGTATTTATAATAACACTTTGCAAAGGCAATCAGATAAATATTAATTATTCTCTAAGCAATTTTTAGAAGAATGAGAAGCCATCATTGACACAGATTGAGGACAACGAGATTATTTACCCAATATCAAATAGAAAAAAAAGGCCAGGCGCAGTGGCTCATGCCTGTAATCCCAGCACTTTGGGAGGCCAAGGCAGGTTGATCATGAGGTCAGGAGTTCAAGACCAGCCTGGCCAACATATTGAAATCCAGTCTCTACTAAAAATGCACAAAAATTAGCTAAGCCTGGTGGCTGGTGCCTGTAATCCCAGCTACTAGGGAGGCTGAGGCAGGAGAATTGCTTGAACCCCCGAGGCCCTGGTTGCAGTGAGCTGAGCTCGCACCATTGTATTCCAGCCTGGGCGACAGTGCGAGACTGCGTCTCAAAAAGAAAGAAAGAAAGAAAGAAAGGTGATGTTGCCTTGATAACATTTTTTTATTTCTGACACTAAGCCCAGTTTTCTTTTTCCCATATTCTGACTGCCTTCTCTATAATTTGCACCAGCATTTTCAAAAGATAAGAGAACTATAAGGAGAAAGAAATTTTTATTATTAATGAGTATTTCTTTAGCTCTCCCCACTCTTTTTGGGGCTTAGACTTTCTTGCTTCCTAGGTTCAATGAAAATCTGAAATCTGTTGAAATTTCAGATCTTCCAGGAAAAAAAAAAAAAGGTAGCTGCAGAGATATGGGAATATTTCTCACTAGACCCTTGAAAAGTTCAAGTTAAGATAAAAATTGCTGGAATAAGCATAGGACTTTTTTGTTTTCTTTCTTTTTTTAATATTAGAGATGGGGGTCTCACTATGTTGCCCAAGCTGGACCTGAAGTGTTGGGCTTAAGCCATTCTCCTGAATAGCTGAGACTACAGGCATGTACCACTAAGTCCAGCTCAGCATAGGACTTTTTTAGATGGTGAAACTTTAAGTTACTTACCTCTTCTAATCTAAGTAGCTTTAATGGTTAAACTTACAGAGCAGCTTGAGATGTTTTGCCTTATGTTAGAAGGCCATTTAACCATCCAATTGTTCATACAGAGTATTTTAAAATGTGAATGGAAAGGAATGTCCATTCTGTGGATCCGTTAGCAAGCAAGTCTTTTATTTTAATGATGGTGAATTAGCCAGATGCCATACCTGTGCCACCTATTATACTTCAAAGTTGTAGGTGCATTGAGGATAATGGCTAGAAATTACTATTGCCCTCAGTGAATATTAAAGGTACATGTCCAAAGGAGTCTGCTACTATAATATTCTAATGTCCAGGGCCTTCAGGGGTTTCTATTCTTATCCTCAAATTTTACCAGAATCACTTATGTCTTAAATCACATTAAGCTGGGGCAAAGCTTGTGGAATTATTATTAAAAAGGTAGTGGATATCATAGAAAAGCATGGACATGAGACTCAAACAGATGTATGGTTGAACCTTTGTCCAGACTCTTGCTTGATGATTGACTATTGACAGTTACTAAGCCTAAATTTGCTTATCTACAAATAGTAGATGACAGTTTATTAATAGCACCAGTTAATACATGCAAGTTAATACATGTAGAAGTATCTGCTATATGGTGATATATAGTAGATATTCAGTAAATCCTACGTTCCTTGGTTTTGTATAATGGTGTTAAAACTCTGCTTAACATTGCTATAATTTTTATTTTCTTAGGTAACAATATTAAGGCTTATAGAGGTAAATAACATTTTCCAGGTTAAATAGTCAGTTTTTAGCTAATTTAGAACCAATTCCCAAAGATTTTTAAGCCCTCCAAGTGGTGTTCTATTAACCCCAGTATGCCTCATCTACTACATAAGAATAGGGACACAGTGGTAATTGCTGGCAAACAGTAATGGTAAAGATAAGAAGAGAACTGTGTGCTTTAGACTGTTAGGTGGGTTTCTGCACAGAAGACGTGGATTGAAACAAGTCTTCTAGATAAGATGAACTTTTGTTTATTTTATTTATTCATATTTTTATAATCCAGAAGGATGTAAGGAGACACAAGAACAACAGAATCGGTATTCCATTCTGCTGAACAACAAAGAGAGAAAGAGAGAGAAAGAGAGAGAGAGAGAAAGAGAGACAGAGAGAGAAAGAGAGAGAGAAAGAAAGAGAAAGAGAAAGAGAAAGAGAAAGAAAGAAAGAGAAAGAAAGAGAAAGAGAAACAGAGAAAGAAAGAAAGAGAGAAAGAGAAAGAAAGAGAGCGAAAGAAAGAGAGAAAGAGAGAGAAAGAAAGAGAGAGAAAGAAAGAGAGAAAGAGAAAGAAAGAGAGCGAAAGAAAGAGAGAGAAAGAGAGAGAAAGAAAGAGAGAGAAAGAAAGAGAGAGAAAGAAAGAGAGAAAGAGAGAGAGAGAAAGCAAGCAAGCAGGCTAGAAAAAAAGAGGAAAAGAGGGAGGGAGAGGGGAGAAAGCGAGGGAAGAAGCAGAAAATTAGGAGAAAGAAAAGAAGTAAGATGAGTACAGAAATACCAAAAACGAAAGGAAAGCACTGTTCTTTCCAATAATTGCCACAATGAGAATCCTCTGAATTCTTCAGAATAGTTGATGCACTATCCATACATATACATTAATATAGTTACTTATATTGTTTTATCTACTATTTTTCTGAAAACATTTTAAAATTGTCTTAGGGGCTGAATCGTGATTCAAGTCTCCAAAAATAATAAACCCATAACTAAACTAAATTTTTTTCTAATTGATGGTATGAAGAAAAGCAGGTTATGTATAATCCATTAGTCAGGATTGCTGCTGAAAAGCTAAACAACAAATAACCCTATAATCTCATTGGTTTAGAATGACAGTATTTGTTCTTCTTGCTCATGGGTAGCTGATCCTAAGTAGGCTTGGCTAGACTCAGACTCAAAAAGGCTTTGCTGCAGGCTGCAGAGGAGATGTGGAACCCCTATAGGCGTTGCCTCCATTTGCTTGCACCAATAGCAAGCTGAGACGTGTTCTCACAGTGGACTGCAGAAGCACAAAACAACAGAGGAAATCATAAAAGCCCATTTATCATCTCTGTTCTTGTCATATCTGCTAACATCTCATAGGCCAACGTAATTCACATTGTCAAAGCCAACTCATCACCAATGGGTGGAAAAACATGCCAATTGTTCATACAAGGCACTGCCTATGTGGTAGGAGTTAGCCCAGGTCACATGGCAAGGAATGCAGATACTTAAATCTTTAACAGGAAAAGATTTAAAAATTGGGAATAATAAACTAATCTACCATAAATAGTAAATGTGGGGTGATTTTAAACATATGTCTGGACTACATGTTATTTATTGCTTTATTCATGTAGTTTATTATGATTTAACAAACTTTTTGGAGGTCAAGTTCCTTACCACTAATGCTTGGCTATCCAGGCTAAAATCTAAAGAAATACATGGGTAAAATAACTTCACAGGGTGTTATATTATACATTTTATAATCCTTAATAATGTACCTCTCTAAGAAGAAATCCCAGGAACAAAAGGAAAAAGAAAAATAAATGCATATTTGCAACTTTCTTAAAATTATTTCAGGACTAGCCTAACTTATAAACAACTTCAGTGTCTTCCTCTATGATATAAATTGGAAGTAGGGTGGTGTAATGCTTGCTTTTACTTTCCTTCACCCATTGCCTATTCATGGCTGCTTACAATTGTGTTTTGCACAGGATGAAGTTTGATTTCATAACTGCACCAATGTCAAGGTAACTGGGAACAAATTATTCCCTGATAATTGAAGTTTTGTAGGCAATTAAGGGTAACAATGGGTGTTTGAAACAGTGTTTCAGCAAGTTTCAAGCAGAGAACCAGAACCAGTAGGAGCTGGGCATTAAGAGATTTGTTACGAGGAATTGGCTTATATAATTGTGGGGGCTGGCTAGGCAAGGCTCAGATCTGTAGAGCAGGCTGTCAGGAAGAGTAGGCTGGAACTCAAAAATGAGCTGAAGCAGCAGACCACAGGCAAAATTTCTTCTCCTCCTACTTCTTCCTCTTCCTTCTACCTCCTCCTTCTCCTTTCTCCTCCTTGTCTTTCTCTTCCTCCTCATCTTCCTCTTCTTTCTCCTTCTCCCCTTCCCCTCTCCTTTTCTCTTCCACCTCCTAAGCCCCCCACCTCCTTCTGTTCTTCTGGGAAGCTTCAGTTCTGCTCTTAAGGTTTTACCACTGATGGAATCTGGTCACCCAGATTATCTCTTCTACTTAAAGTCAACTAATTAGGAATTTTAATCATATCTTCAAAATACCTTCTCAGCAACACCTAGTGTTCAGTTGTATAAGGGGGTCTGTAGCCCAGCTAAGTTAATACATAAAACTTACCACAACAAATGGATGGAGAAAATAAGCCCCAAATAGGAAAAATGGGGCTGTGAAAAAACAAACTTTACTGAGATATCAGTTTTGCCCAAGGCTGGCAAGATCTGATTTCTAGATTTAGATTGAAATATAGAAGTCATTTTCTTGTGGCTTTTGTCACCATTCCTAAAGGCACTTTGTCATAATCAAACTGACAACCTGCCTCCTTAGGAGCTTGTGGGTAGAGTTTCTCAGAGATGTGCTTAATTGAAATCACACTTGGAGATTCTATCTCCACTTTATAGTCTTAGGATTTGCTTTGTTTTTAAACTGGAGCAGAATAAAGGATGAATGGCTGGTATATTTGATGATACATAATCACATTAATACTTTATTGCCACATTTGTCAATATATTAGTGCAATATGTTATCATATACATTATTAACTGTTGCTGTTAAATGTTTTATACTGATCTTTTACATTTTTTATTTCGATTGTGATAAATTTGGATCCAAGGGATCTTTTTTCTTTCAGAACAAGGAGAAGCAAAAATATTTCATTAAAGGAACTTAGCAGGACTGAGCCCAGTCTTACAAACAAAGAACACCAGTATTTTCTTCACCCAGCCTTTTTACCTGCCCTTTCCTTTCTCTGCGACTGCAGGTATTAGCACTTAAAAAGTGGCAGATCCACTGGCTCTGCACAGAAGCAACCCGATAATTCCCATCTTTGGCAATATCTCTGTAGTTCATCGACAGAGGCTCCCACGTTGTGTGATGGTTGTGGGGTGGCCTTCAATAAACCCTGGATTTACAGCTAAGACGTCCTCATCCAGTGGAGTATTATTTCTAAATGTTATCTCTTGAAGTTGGGATTATGTTCTTAGATGTAATTATAGAGCGGTGTCATTCTTCCTGAGCAGAGGCCAAAAATTAAGGCTGATTTGACACGTTCCACTATCTTGTTTTGTGTTTTTTTTTTTTTTCCCTCATTTGGGGAGGTTAGAGGAGAAAATAAATGTTTAGAATTTGGATTTCTTTATGGTGACTTTCATATTTAAAAGATTACCAAGAGAGTGATGATTTCCTATCCTGAGTTTCTTCTTTGCCTCACAGAATATAAATTGCTTCCTACATTTCCAAGACTACCTGCATTTTACAGGATCTCTATATTCCTAAAAGATTTTGTGTAGCTAAATTTTTTGCATACATGAAATGAGTTTATAATTTAAAGAAATCATGTCATGTATCCTTTTGTAAAGCAAACAAAAATTACTTTTTAAAATAAATTATGATTTACATATATTAGATTTGATTAACATAAGACTCACAAAGCTTCTTGGCTATATATTAAAATTGGTCAATAGGAAGAATGGGAGATCAGTGGGCTGGGCACAGTGGCTCACGCCTGTAATCCCAGCACTTTAGGAGGCCAAGGCAGGCAGATTGCTTGAGATCAGGAGTTTGAGACCAGCCTGGCCAACATGGTGAAACCCCATTTCTACAAAAAAAATGCAAAAATTAGTCAGGCGTGGTGGCGGACATCTGCAGTCCCTGCTATTTGGGAGGCTGAGGCATAAGAATAGCTTGAACCCAGGAAGCAGAGGTTGTAGTGAGCTGAGATTGCACCGCTGCACACCAGCCTGGGTGACAGAGTGACGCTCTGTCAAAAAAAAAAAAAAAAAAAGAGAGAGAGAGAGACAGAGAAAGAGAAAAAAGAGAAAGAAAAAGAGAAGAAAAAGGAGATCTGGAAATTTCTTCCGGTATACTGTATAGAAACTAAGGTGTCATCACTTTGCCATTACAGATCATCACTGACTTCATAATGGTGTTATTGTTTTACCACTGAGGAAACTGAGGCTTACATTCTCTCAGTATTCTAAGCCTTACTTTACTCAGTTTTACGATAGAGTAGCAAACTAATAACCTCTAAAATCCTTTCTAGTTTTGATTTCTTTGGATTAGCTTCTCAAGGATACTTTCCAATCACTTCAAGCAGCAGTGCTGTGTCTCAGGCTGATATTCACTCTTCTTTATGATCACCAAGGTAATCAAATATAGATTTCTAACAATTTACTTTATTTCTTTGACCCACTGTTATAGACCCTTATAAAAAATATCTTTAGAGGATGTGTGAGCAAGGAGCTCTCCTGCCATTCTTCAGCATAGAAATCCTCCAAAACTAGGCCAGTTTGCCAATCCCAGAGTGGCACTCCAGTGATTTTTCCTACTGTTCAGTATATAGATTAAACGAAGGTTAAAATATGCATATTACACATTTCATATGTATAATAGCTTATATAAACATATGCTACTTATGTGATGTACCAAAATACATTCAGAGGGAAGAGAAAGAAAAGAAGCAGATCAGGCCCTCTATATCTGTGAAGTGAATTGGGTTAGTAGAAACAGCTTCCTGCTTAAGGGTCACGTGACTGTTCACTGAACACAATGAGGTTAACAGACATCAGAGAAACCAGTCTACTCTTACTGCAAAGACTTTTTTTTTTAAACAACTTGGAGAAAAAGCGGTCTGGATATAGTTTAATAAACTTCATAAATGTCAAAGTTTTACCCACGCATTATTAAAAATCTTAATTCCTTTTTATGAGCCCTATTACCCATTATTCTCAGAATTGTGTCTTTTATCAGAAGCATCATTAAAGTGTTAAGAAAAAAATTGCTTTTCTGAAGAACCCATCCATTTGTATAACGCTAAAACTGATGTTGATATTCGCCTGTCCTCTTGTCCCTTGATATGGTTTGGCTGTGTGTCCCCACCCAAATCTCATGTTGAATTGTAATCCCTAAGTGCCAAGGGAGGGGCCTGGTGGGAGGTGATTGGATCATGGGGGTGGATTTCCCACTTGCTGTTCTCATGATAGTAACTCAGTTCTCATGAGATCTGATGGTTTAAAAGTGTGTGGCAGTTCCCTGCTTGCTTTCTCTCTCTCCTGCTTCACCATGGTGAGACATGCTTGTTTTCCTTTCACCTTCTGCCATGATTGTAAGTTTCCTGACCCTCCCAGTCATGTTTCCTGTACAGCTTGCAGAACTGTCAGTCAATTAAACTTCTTTTCTTCATAAGTTACCAAGTCTCAGGCAGTTCTTTATAGCAGTGTGTAAATGGGCTAATACATCCCTCATTTTGAATATCACATTTCATCAGTTCATCACGACATTTCTTAATGTGTCTACTTTATATAAACTTGGATCTCAAGTTTTGAGGATTACTGCTATTCTTATTAATAGATGTTGATCCTATTTTAAGGATCAATGTCTATAATACTAATGAGATTGCCCATATGACAAGTTTATTGTTATTCCCATTTTGCAGATTAAAAAAAAAATCTCTTCTCATGGCAGTTAAGTGACTTGCTTAAGTTTAGTAACCAAAAGAGAGTAAAGCTAAATTTCAAACGCAGGTCCAAATGTCCCCAAACTCTGCAATCTGACACATCATAGAATCATCTTCTGTAGGAAATGTGGGGCTTTTAAGGCCAGGGGCCATGGTAGAGTCAGTGTTTCTTCAAGTGCCTGGCTTGATGTCGGGCATATAGCACTTTCAGTTAAGCATGGCCTCCAGACACACTGCCTGTTTCACGTCTTTCTCTGTCCTGTCTAAGCATGGCTTACACATCTCAGTCATTATCAAGCAATGACTGCCTCAACCTCCCCTTAGTCATCTCAATGCCCTTTTCTTAAAACTTCCCTAGTTACACCATGTTTATTTTGAGTACTGTGACTAGAACTGCAGGTGAGATCCAAGGAGATTCAGCACATCTTCATCTTAGCTTTGTGGTTTCTCTTTTCAGCACCTCACCAAAGGCAGAGGAAATGCTGACTTTACATTGACACAGACTTCAGAGAAACTTGACTGTTTAGTCAACAGGTTTGCCATAATGTGCACAGACCAATATTAGCAGCAAAATAAGAAAAAAAGGAAATGTTAAATAATTTATTATTTTATATTTTTGACTGCTATTCTATGTCATCTTCCTGGTAAACTAAATATTTCTTATTTTATTATTCTTTTCATGATGGAAAAGGTACCCATCTTGGCTTGTGTTAAAAAAAAATGGTTCACATGATTTTGAAGTTTGAAGGTAAATCTAGCATCAGGCATGATTTTGTCTAGAGGTCAAAAAGATAATGTCCGAGTTTCTTCTCTTCATTTCTTTAGCCTCAGTCTTTTTTAGTGTGTTTGACTCATTCTTTATAACTGCATATGATATCCTACAAGTGGCTGACTGCGGCCACAGAGGTGTTGGTGCTATTTCTGGGCCAAGGTGTGTATTGGATGTGGTCCCACCACACTCCTTGCTCTCTTGCCCCTCCCTCTGCCTGGGTGAAGCTAATAGAGAAGCCCTGAGGGATGGTGATACCACAAGCCGTCAAGAAACTCAGTTACTCAGTCATCAATGGAGGAAAACTTCAGGCTGACTAGCAACGCCTGCTTGAACGATTAAGACAGCAGGAGGCCGGGTGTGGTGGCTCATGCCTATAATCCCAGCATGTTGGGAGGCCGAGGTGAGTGGATCACCTGACATCAGGAGTTCAAGACCAGCCTGACCAACAAGGTAAAACCCTGTCTCTACTAAAAACACAAAAAATTAGCCTGGTGTGATGGCAGGTGCCTGTAGTCCCACCTACTCGGGAGGCTGAGACAGGAGAATTGCTTGAACCCAGGAGGCGGAGGTTGCAGTGAGCCAAGATCACACCACTGTACTCCAGCCTGGGCGACAGAGCAGGACTCTGTCTTAAAAAAAAAAAAAAAAGTTACAAGAAATAATCTTTAAATTATTATATATTTTAGAGTTTGTGTTATTATGTATGTTGCAGCTAACCGAATCCCAACAAACATTCTGGAATATATGGCCAACAGATAATTTCAGTTTACATTATTCATAAGGTCTACACAGATTATTATTATTATTATTCATAAGGTCCACACACAAAAAGGAGCATATTTTGGGATAACTTTTCCTGGAAATAGTGAAGGGGTATTAAAGATAAAAGGCATCTCTAATATACAAAAAGAATAGATGTTTTCAGAACTTGATTTGATTGGCATATAAACCAATATTGTGATTAAAGGAATGTCTTAAAATGTAGACTTTTGAGCCAAACCCTACAGATCCTGATTCAGATGGTTTGAGACGTGAATCTACATTTTAAAAATTCCCATGGGATATCTGAATACAAGTATCTAATTGATCAAAGTATAAGAAAAAAAAAAACTATTTTGACCAAAAAGGCCAATTCAGCAACTAGAGCTGGCATTTTGAGTTCTATTATTTCATTTTTTTGTCAAAAGAAAGTATAGTTAATCAGCAAAAATAACATTTAAAAAATCCTGTAATTAAGCTTAAGTATTAATTTGTAATATGAGTCACTACATAGAGTATATCAATACATGTCTTGCCCATAACAGATGACAATTGAATTGAATTCACTAAAGCTGGTTTGAACAAAGACATCCTTAACCCTGGCTGCACACTAGAATAATTTGAGGAGCTTTAGAAGCCACAGATACCTGGAGTCCCACGCCAGAGTTGACGTAAGTGGATGAAGTCACAGTCTAGACATTGAATTTTTAAAATATTCCTAAGTGATCTGAATGTGCAACCAGTGTTCAGAAACATTGGTTTAGGCCAGCGGTTCTCAAAATGTGATTCTGCCATCAGCATCTTGAGCATTACCTGGAAACTGATTAGAAATGCAAAGTCTCTGACTCCAGAACTGCTGAATCAAATATCCAAATATGGTTGCTCATCACAGTTATCTGGGGAGAATTTTGAAAATAGGTACTCCTCATCTTCACCATCAGTTCCAGTTTCTGATACAGAAAATGTGGGCAAGGTCAGGAAATGCCATTCTTCTCCTCCACCTGCTTCTTCTTCCTCAAGAATTCTAAAGATTTGACAGTTATGGGAGCCATGTTGAAAATATATATTTTGAAAAGAGTTGTAATTGAGGAAATCTGAATTTCAGTCCCGCCACTGTAGGTAACTGACCAAGAGACCTTGGACCAGGCACTTCTCCTGCCTCCCTTGAATCAAAGCTTCTATATCAACCACTGCTGACTCCCACACTTCCAGGGAAGTTCCAATGAACTTGAATGATGTTTGAAGCTTCAGAGCTCTATGTAAATGTGAAGTATTGCTATCAAGACATCTTAGAATGAAAGATAATATTTTCTTCTTTACTTTTACTCCTTAGAAGACTATTACCTACTAGTATGTCCCTTTTATTTCTTATTTAATAAAAAACCTACAGAAAGATAAATTGGACTCAGCTATCTTCATTTCCATAATTACTTACAGCTAAGCTTGGTCCTAGGAAGCTCATATTGTAACAATGCCTCTCAGTCTTTTCTCCCTCTCTCCTTTTCTCACCTCTCTTCTCTTTGTCTCTTTGTGTTCCAGACAGGGTCTCTCTTTCCACTCTCTTTCTTTCTCTTTTTTTTTATGATTAGTATTTAAGAATCAAAAAGTGGAAGTCAAGTTGTTGAGCTTTCTGAGACAGATGAGGCCAAGCCGTCCACTGGGAGCACTCAGCACCAGCGTCTTGCTGTAACCCAGCATATGGAGTCCAATCTCCAGGCACTGACATTAACACTCCTGCTTCAGGTAACTCATTTAGCTTTGGTGTCATTTTACAATAAATATACCATCCACTGACACAAATTAGACAGCTATTGAGATTAATTTTGAGGCACTATCGGCAACATCTTAAATCAAAAATGATTCTTTATTAGCATGCTTGGCGGTATAGTGTGCCTGCCCTCCCCCTCCTGATCCCTGCCACAAGAATAAATGAGGCCCCATGGTTGACATAGCGCATCAAGTGTTTTATAATAGTCTAATTGTAGCTAATGGTTTGTGCAGCTAATTAAGGCCCTATGAATTACAGTAATCAGTCAAGCTCATCCTTTAAACCAGATAGTTCTATTCAACCGTTCCTTCAGTAAGAAACAAAATATATAACTATATATGACTATAAGTACATAGGCACACACACAGACATCCAAACTGGCCATGCTGATCAGGTAGGTTTATTTGAGCACAAAGAAGTTAAAGGACTGATTTTGTTCCTTTTACTTATAAAAAAATATTTATTTCAAGAGACACAGGTTTTCATCAACAACTGCAGTTACCATGGGCAGGACAAAGGTGGAATCTTCAGTCTGGCATTTACCTGAAAACTGAGAATGGAGTTGGCACTAAGTGTAGCATATCTCCCCTCTTACCTCAGAGACTTCATGCAGGTTGCAGCTCAAGAGTGACTATTTGGCATTTATTATGTTGTAGGAATCCAAATGTCTGAGAGAAATGGTGACAAATAAGCCATCTGAATCCAATAGTTGAAAATTCAAAATGCACAAAACTCTATTTGCCACCTGGATAGTTGACAAAGCCTTCAACATGATTAGGTTCTTTTAGTGGCAGTAAGAATTTAGTGACCAATTCAGGGGCAATTAGAGGAATGGGATGGTTTGTCTTTTGTAATGAACTTTTTTTGAGAAAAAAATATCCTAAATAGAAGATGGATTACGTTACAAAAATCTCTCCAGAGGCCCAGATGGATATTCCATGTCTTGGTTTATTTAAAACCTGACTGGACATTGCAGGAAAGAACTTTGGAAGCAATTCCGTAAAGCCCCTGGGGAACAGAAGAAGGGAGCAATAGGTCTTTTCCAGCACTTGTATTTTTGATTCTTTGAGAAAGAGAAAAATCCATAGAAATGTCATCAGCATGACCTCTGCTGGAACAACATGTGCCCCAGTCCCCCAGGGTCCCATTGCCAATGAGAAGTAGGAAAAGAAACAGGGATTTTCATGAAGGTCACATGTTTCCATTTTTTCCAGCTCACAGAGCTGGTTAGTACCTTGCAAGATCAACCAGTTCTTTACCTCATTTTTAGACAAGATTAGATTTAACTACCCCACATAGACGATTGCAGAACCATTTCCATTATATAAAATATGTTTCTGTGGCATAAGCTAATGGTATATTCTCACTTCCGGAAACTACTTCCTTCTATCTGGTCAAAATTTTCTTACTGTAATGGAGGGTCATTTCTTTATAATTTTATAGGAAATGAGTCAGTATCCCTTATAAGTCTGTGCCACTCTTTTTCATTTGCCAGGTCAAATTATTCTTGTCTCATTAAATTACCCCTGCAGGTCTTATTAGCTCATCATTGTGATGTAGTGGAAAGCTCACTGGTCAAGAAAAGTAAGTGCTACCTGCCTTTTAAACTAGTCAGTGTTAGTAATTTATTACAACTCTCATTATTTATATCTATAGGTGGAAACCATGTATCTTCTTTCTAAAGAATCCAACTATTAAGTGTAGAGCTTTCTTTATTTTTGAAGTAGGTTGATCTGCTTAACAAATATCAGTGTTAGCTGTTCATAAAATGTTGTTTGTTATTTATGTATTTTTATTTATATTTCTGCAAGGCTACTAATATGCTTTTCATGGTCGTCCATGATGGCATTATAAGTGTTCTTTTTATCTATTAAATACACTTGTGAAGCATTAGCTTCATGTTGACATTTGATTATACACACTTCAAGGCTTTCTGTGACGTTTTCTCCCTTGAAGATGACCAGATGTTATAGGAAATCAGATTGATGAAGATAAAGAGTGTTATTTCCCTGGCTCTCATGCTACCTTTTCTCCCTCCTTCTTCTGTTCTTTCCATATTTTCCCTGACCTGTCACAGAATGGTCCCTGTACTCTTTATGGGGTTATTAACCCAGGTCATTTTTAGCTTGTTTTGACCCAGGTAATTTTGAAATAGATGTTTCCGGTTCAAGCCAAAAAAAAAAAAAAAAAAAAAAAAAAAAGCCTATCCATACTTGGGATGCTGGTTGAACAGGGTCTTGAGCTTTATTTACACTGTACCAAAACAGACAGTTGATAAGTGCTCTTCCTCACCTGCTGTTTGCCTTCTTCTGCAGGATAGCGTCTATAGTCCTTTCAGCATGTAAAATGACTTTACCAGTCCTTCTGGACACAACCAATATTGCTATTTTATCCTGTTGGGTTTTGGCCATACAGGGGAGTAGACATTCTGTTCCTACCACGTTTTACATTCTAAATTTCAAGCATCTCAAAAGTAAGGACAATAATGCATAAGTAATTCCATTAACCCACCACGGTGCTCACTCATTCCCATAAAGGTATGAAGTACAAAATATAGCTTTGGCAGCTAAAGAAATGTCAGTTCTAGCTAAAGTGTTTACGTTATCTGCATAGCTGGAGCTCTAGAGCATTCCTCTTGGATAGACATACACCTATCTAAAAATGCAGACCTGGGCCAACTGAAACTCAAAGGTCCCTTCAGCTTCACAGACCTACTCCACACATCCACTAAATAAGGGCAACAAAACCCCAATTGCTCACAAATAGCTGAATGCAGAGTCCAGCCAGCTGCTTTTAGTTGACTTAGTATTATTTTTCTCGTTTTGTTTGATCCCGCTCCAGAAAGTGGACACTATATTAATCGTATTTATAAATACTGTATGTACCAGTTGCAGAGCCACAGGGCTCATTTAAAAAGAAAGATTAAACACATAAATTATTATAATAAATTAAGCTGTCAAATTTATTACTCCCAGCACCCAGAGTATCTAAAAAGACCTTGGTCGAAATCAAGGGATAATATGGAAAACAATGGACCACCAGAAACACCAACACATCATCGAAATGTTTCGGAAAAATCATCTGATATGTGGATCCCTCTTCAAGATGGTTCAAGGCCTCTTGGTAATAGAGAAAACACAGCATTTCCTCTTACGCATTCTATACTTCTTCAGCTTCCACCTACTGCAGTTATCCAGTTGTCTCAGCATTTAAAGATGTGGGCTTTGATTGCCTATATGAGCAATCCAAGAAGGATGGATTCACCATTCCTACTGCCTATGCCCAGAACAAATTCAAAAGAATCACTACCTTGCTTTGTTCAGTGTGCCAAGGAGCTCTAATTCCTGTGGCCCAAGACTCATTTATTTATGTTAATTTTGACAACTAGGCCTGGGGGTAGGTTAACAGCATTGTTGGGGCTAAAATGCAAGCCAACTGTGGATAAGAAGAACATGCATGATACAACTCTAGATTGTGTTGTGGAGAGAAATAGGTGTTCAGAGAAGGAGGCAGAGAGTATAGATTACAGTCATCCACTGCTTTTCAGCAGCCAATCTCAGCTTCTGCAGCCCTGGTGTCACATGAATATCCAGGAAGAAGGATCTGCACACCTTGGATCAGTTCTCTAAATCCAGCATGTTCTCTCTTCTCAATTCTAGATACTATCTATCTTTCAGGATTCTGTGTAAGTCTGGATTTCACCAGGAAGCATCCTTAAGGAACACCAGATTATGTCACCTCTTCTGTTTCTGAAGAGGAAAGTCTCTTATTGTGCTGATCATTTTGAAATTTAATCACATGCACCCTTTTATTTGTTTATCACCTAGGTTATGATTTGTGTAGGCTAATGTAGAAATTAATCCCCACCTCTAGAATATATACCAGGAGACACTGATGAAGGCAAGAAGCCTAAGAAAATTTTACAAAAAAAATTAAGGCAATATTTTACAAAATAAAACAGATGAAAAAAATAAATAAATAAAATAGATGATTTGAGGATGAGAAAATGCAGTAAGGGGTAATAAACTGAATTTATCTCAATTGCTCTGGAAAGGTTAGCTTATCAACCAAGGAATTCAATTTACAGGTTATTTGAAAGCTGACTTAATTTAGCTTTTACAAATTCTTTCCTAAAGAAAACTATACTGAAAATGAGTATGATAATGTAGCTAATTATGACATTAATTTTCATTTTGAGAAGTAGTGAAGCCATTGTAAAACAGAGACTCTAGAGCCAGGTGGTCCAGGTTTGTCTCTGAGCGCTGGCAATTAGAAGCTGTGTGACCTTGGGAACGCTACTTAACTCTTCTGTGTCTCTTTCCTCATACATAAAAATACCGATAATGTCAGTATCTATTTCATAACAGTGTTATGATAATTACATGGTAAAATTCTAAGACTATTATCTGGCACATAATCTCAATATAAGTCTAAGCTGTTAATACTTTTTTACATAGCTGAATGATCTTGGGTATTAATATACATTAGAAAAGTCTCATGTATAAAGTGGGCTGGATGATAGTGAATTACAACCTAGATCTGAGTTATATTTCACATTTTTCTGAGGATATATTGGCCCCAAGATGTGTTGTATTATTTTTGTGGGATGGGAAGTAGAAGTACAAAATTTGAACCATTTTCCAGGATTGCAGAAATAGAATTGGAAGTTTAAAAGAGAATTTCATAATATATTTAATAAAATGATAAAACATTATAACTTTCCATTATCATTCACTATCTACAAAATTGTAATTAGTGTTTGTTAAAATCACAAAAGTGACAAAACCACTTATGTGCCAAATTAAATCAAATTGTTGGAGACTAGAATTAAATTTATTTTGATGTGATTTGGATGAAGACCATAGTAGTAATCAGTTTTGTTCTATGGCCATGTTTTCAGTTCTCTGCTATTTGGACTTGTTTAAAGGAAGTGCAGTCACCTTTTGATGTTACAGGAAAAAAATAGAATTTTAATAACTGATTTAATAACTATGCCTCTCAAGTGCTTCATTTCATTCATAAAATTGAAAGTTATGGTAACTAAAATTATAGTTACTCCAGTGCAGTAGTCAGTTCCTAACTAATCAGATATTATATGTCAAATCTCCCTTCAATCACTTGTCATGTTTGTTATAACTTCCCTCCTGTTTCCAAAAATATGTTTTGGAGATACTTCTGTAGGAGTCAGTTGGTCAGTTTTTGTACAGAAAGGACAATACCATCTGCAGTAGGAAGACACTCTTGCAATGTGATACGATTACCATTTCCACATTTTCTCAACCATACACTGGAACGGATGAATCTATCTATGTCTATATCTAGATATTTAAAGACGTCAGAGAACAGATTACTTGAAATAGACTCTGTATCCCAAAGTGTGGCATCATGCTCATCATAGAGTATGTAGTCTGTTGATGGATAAGTTATAAAGAGTAGCTAAAGACAGACAATCAAAAAGAGCATATCAAGAAGATCAATCTCCTCTTCTCTCTTCCTCACCATCTTGACTTTATGTAAGGACAGGAAGGTCCCTGTCCCATTCCAGCCCTCTCAGCCTCTATCATATTTGTAGATCCAGGCTAACCCAGATGGATGTTCCTCCCCTCTCTTCAGACGTTATTTGTATTATCAATGAGTGTGCCACTCAAAATCAACTCCCAAGTAACCGCTGCACAAATGCCATGAATTTTTAACTTCTGATTGAGAAATATCACTATTGTCAAAGTAGGAGAGGGAAATGGCACATTCTAACAGTTGCTTATTGGTTTAGGCCAGGCGAAATCTTCCAACATGAGTGGTTCCTCCTTTATGTGTCTATACATCATTGTTTTCTTCAATACTTGGGAGGGAGTTTCCCAAGTATTGGCGAAAACAGAGGCATCCACTGTGGCAACTGTTGCACTGACTGTAGTACATAAAGACTGTCATAGGCCGATGGAGATGCATGCTCATTTCTTGTGTTTGATTGTATGTAAAATTAATCTGATTTGCTGAAGGGAGGACAGGAATTCCTTCTATGGTCGAAGATGTTTATTGGCTTGCACACAATCCTTTGATACTGGAAGAGGGAAACAAAGTTCTCTAGATTTACTGTGTTGACTTTCTTGAGAGGAAAATTTACAACTATATTGGAATTTCTATTCCCTAGAATAACATTTCTCTCTTCCTTCCTCTCTCCCTTCCTCCATCCCTCCATCTGTCCATCCATCTGTCCCTCCGTCCCTCCCTTTGGCCCTCCCTCTCTCCCTTCTTCCTTCCTTCATTCCTTCTTTTCTTTCTCTTTAAGGACTGTTATACTTTTAAAAATTTTTCCTAAGATGAGATTTCTAGTGTTTTTGGCTTCCATTTTAAATGAATTATTCATGAGCTGTCTTGGTAAATATATTAGGCAGGCTACCCAAACTTACAGTGAAATTTTAAATTTTGTTAATACACCAACCTGCCCCACAACCCATCCTCTCATGTCTAATGGGTGAGCATTCACTTTAGGAACTTAGGTGTGCTGTCCAGACTTAGGGCTTTTAGTTGTCTTTCTATTGTTTATATATTTTGGCTTAGTGTGATTTTTAACAGAAACTCTAGTCTTCTAACTGTCTACTTGTAAGCTTTGGTGAAAATTATTCCAACTTCTTCGTTTCTACCCAACAACCATCCATTCTCTAAGAAATGTTGGCCACAGGCAAGACTGGAAAGTCAGTATTCTCCCCTGTTCACATCATTTTGAGTCCCTATGATGTTGCACCCTTGGGTGTTCAGTGCAGTGTACTCTTCCTCTTACCATATCTTCTGCTATGAAGAAAAGAGATACTAGCAACAATTGCACTTCCTTGTCAATGTAAGTTAATGTTTTTCTATAGCGTTGTGTGTCCCCAGACTAATGAACTGTTTTCCACAGGTGAGGGGGAGAGAGGGAGAGGGAGAGAGGGAGAAAGAGAGAGAGAGAGAGAGGGAGAAAGAGAGGGAGAAAGAGAGGGAGAAAGAGAGGGAGAAAGAGAGGGAGAAAGAGAGGGAGAAAGAGAGGGAGAGGGAGAAAGAGAGGGAGAGAGGGAGAGAGGGAGAAAGAGGGAGAGAGGGAGAAAAGAGAGAAAGAGGGACAAGGAGAAAAAGAGGGGGAGAGGGGGAGAGAAGGAAAGAAAGAGGGAGAGAGAAGGAAAGAAAGAGGGAGAGTGAAGGAAAGAAAGAGGGAGAAAGAGAAAGAGAGAGAGAGAAGGAAAGAGAGAGAAAGAAAAAGCAAGCAACCAAGCAAGCAAGCGGGGGAAACTGTACTACTTTGATTAAACATCAACTATTCATCAGAAACTATGCTATAAACCTCATAGAGTCAACTTTCCCTATTTGTGAGCTCTGCATTCATGGATTCAACCAACTGTAGGTAAAAAATACTCAAAAATTTATGTGTATACTGAGCTTATAGACTCTTTCTGGTCATCATTCCCTAAATAATACAGTGTAACAACTATTTACACAGCATTTACATTGTATTAGGTATTATGAGTAGTGTAGAGATTAAAGTATATGGGAGGATGTGCATAGGTTATCTGCACATACTCTGCCATTTCTTATCAGGCTCTTGAGCATCTGCAGATCTTGGTGTCTGTGAGAAGATCTGCAACCAAATCCCCATGGATACCAAGGGACAACTGCATTTGCTAAACCATTTATTTTCACAGAAAATCTATAATGTATTATTATTGGAACCACTTTTTAGATGATAAAAATGGAACCTTAGAAAGTATTGTTCTTCATTTAAAGATTCAGACAAGAGCCAGAATTTGAACCAGTTATGTAGGGCCATATGCCTTTGAAAACTCACCATGGAGCGCAAGACTCCATTTCAAGGAAATGCTCCCTTGTATTCCACTTGCAGATAATGCACTGCTTTGTTTTCTAGAATTTTCCATTACATTGTCTCTTTCTTACTTGGAGTTTCCATAGCACTAAGAGTCTGTGCCACAAAAATTACAGTTTTACTGTATGTTGCCATATGTCATAGTAATGGTTTTATTTGGATCTAGCAACTTTCTAACAAGACTGTAAGTTATTTCTAAGAACCACCTACCTTGCCTTTGAAAATATACTCAAACCACCTGGGCTAGTGATCTGTGCGTGGAAAATGTTTTATAAATCCTATTGACCTTCTGATAGTTGGTTAGATATAATGAGATGAGGTTAGTTTCCCAAACAGTGTGGAGGAAAATGAGAAAAATGAGAAACAGTTCCTATGACAGGCTTCTTATTTGGGGTATCTGTGAAGTCCCTAACTGGTATTTGATATTCGTCTTCCTTACAGGCTGTATATTAAAGCAGCTAATCAGGAAAATCTTTTTAACTACCCAATTTGTAAATGATACCTCCTGACACTACACTGTGCAGTTCTAGGGATTCACTGTGAGTCAGGGATTTGCAAACTTTACCCCTGAACTGTACAGTGCAGGGATGGCCCTGTCAACACCCATTCCTCCCTTTCTTAGTCAATTTTGTGCTGTTATAACAGAATACCTGAGACTGAATAACTTATAAAGAAAATAAACTCATTTCATATAATTCTGGAAGTCAGGAAGTTCACAATCAAGGGGTCCATATCTGGTGAGGACCTTCATGCTGTCATCTCATGGTAGAAGGTGGAACTAGAGTGTTTATGCAGGAGAAAAAGTGAGAGAGAGAGAGAGAGAGAGAGAGAGCGGGGGGAAGGGGGCCAAACTCATCTTTATTTTTGTCAGAAAACCACTCCCGATAAAGGCATTAATTATTCAGGAGGGTGTGGCCTAATCCCCTCTTTCAGGTCCCACCTCTCAACAATGTTGCATTGGTATTAAGCACATAAACTTTGGGGAACACATTCAAACCATAGCACTCCCTGATGATGATCAAAAGTAGTTTATGGAGACAAGTCTATTGTTTGTAAGAGGATAACAGAATAGTAGGGATCTAGTGATTTCTTTACACCTATGTGGCATAACCAAGTTCTGCCTTTGATTCTGCCAGCTGGGATGCTGTTTCACTTATGTCCTGACTGAAGATAGTTCTTGCACAGGATAGTTTGGATGACTCGTAGAAGTAGATGACTCATCTACTACTTCTGTTCATAGTAGATGAACAGAAAAACTGTGCTGAGATTATCATAAAACTTTTTCATTTTTGTGGGAAGATAAATGGTGGCATGTGGCTTGCCATTTCATACTTTAGAGACGCCAGGTGACATTGTTGACCAATCAGAGCTCCTCTTTCTTCTGAGACTTTTCCATCATACACTCAAGGCAGCCACTTTCAATTATTCATCATTATGGCAGCTTCTTAAGTTGTAGAGCTGTTCTCTAAAGGATAAGGTGACCACAAAAGGCACAGTATATAAAGGCTTGCATCTCCCTCACCCATTAAGATATTAACATCAGGGAGCATATATGAGTGGATATAGTACAAAAGCTGGGGCTATAGGAAACATGCCTGGAAGTGTTCAGATGCCTGTCAGTGCCTAGAGGTGCCAAGTATTATGGTAAGTTCAGGGAACAGAAGGAAGAACAGGTTGATTCTTGCACACAAGAGGTCACCATGTGGTGAATGAGAGACTCATACCAGGTAATTTAGGTGACATAGCAAGTGCTGTGACAGGGTGTACAGAGATTATAGAAGAGAAGACAATTAGACTCTACCTGGATTGGATGAAGCAAACTCAGGAATTTTCTTGGACTTAATCCTCCAACTACCCCCAAATGTGATTAAAGTGAGAAAGAAGCCAAACATCCTGAGAAGGACGTTCCAGATAGAATTCTAGGCAAAGGCTAGGAGGTGTTTAGGCACAACAAGAAGCTTGTTACTATTCAGCTTTGGCTGGCATATCCTGGATGTAAGGCTGGCAGCTGGATCTTATTTCTGGACTGCAGGTCTGGAGAATAATTGAAGCTCAATTTAGGATGCATGATAAAAGATGTCAAGACCAAAGCAAAAGCCTAACCTTATGAACTGAACCAAAATAAAACAATGGCTTACAAGGGGTGTGAGAGTTAGAATTTGAAGTCCACTGAGGACAAGCCCCTGACCTGACTGGCAAGGAAGCAGATTTGAAAAGAGAACTAGACCAGTAGTTATAACTAAAGTGAGGGGTCTTAACTAAGTCCCATTAGAGGATTTCCTGAGACAGTTTAGTTTGGATCAGTGATTCGAAGTGTCTCAGTTCACAGGTGGTAGGTGTTAGTTGTGAGAAGCTGGGGAAGGTATACATTTGGGGATGAACTTTTCCATTCTTCTGTGAGTTTTACAGGAGTCTTAGAAATATCAAGACCTTGTTTTTCTAACCTTAACTATTTGCAGTATTAGATTTTAATTCTAGAGATGTTATCATGAGAGTGATTGTAGCAACTGGCAATGGTAGATTTTAAGGTCTTTAATTTCAGATCCATAAACCTCAGTTGGCAATTTAGATGGTTGTGAACCTCTTAAAAATGTATTCAAATTGCTTGCATTCTTTCATCTTTTTAGGTAGAAGGTTGCTAAGATTTTATCAGAAGATCCATAAGATCCAATATCTTATCGGTTTTTCATTTGTTTGTTTGTTTTTGAGACAGACTCTTGCTCTGTTGCCCAGGTACAATCTTGACTCACTGCAACCTCCACTTCCTTGGTTCAAGTGATTCTCTTGTCTCAGCCTCCTGAGTAGCTGGGATTACAAGCATGCACCACCACATCTGGCTATTTTTTTTTGTATTTTTAATAGAGATGGTGTTTCACCATGTTGGCTAAGCTGGTCTCGAACTTCTGACCACAAGTGATTTGCCTGCCTCAGCCTTCCAAAGTGCTGGGATTAGAGGAGTGAGCCACCATGCCCAGTTTATCAGCTCTTTAAGGAAGTCTATGGTCGCAAAATGTTTGAAATTCACTGGAGTAGACCATAAAATGTCTCATGGGTTGCCAGAGGTCATACCCACTTTTCCTTATGAGACACAACACAGTTAAAGTGAAAGCAAAGATAAATGTGTTAGTATTAAATAGTCTGTGATCACATCTTTTATTTCCCTGGCTATTATGCTTTTCTTTAACATGTCAGAGCACTGTGGAAGCACGGTAGACTCCAACACCACCTTTACTGTTTCTAGAGCACATGGCAAATTCTTATCAAGAGAATATTTGCTATATGTACTGCATTGATACTACACCTGATTGTTTCTCTCCAGATGGAAATTGACTTCAGGATTCACAGTTCAGCTAATTGGGAAGAGGACTAAGGCAGGTGGTTATAACATAGAACTAATGTCCCAAACTCAATACAAATCTCAAATATTTTATGCCCTGGGAACCAGAATGCTCTATCTGGAATTCTGTTCAAGGTGCTAGAAGGACAAAGAAGCTTCCATTTGAAATTCTGTTTGGAATATCTGTGCTTATATTGTCCTCATTGTTCTTTCATATTAAAAAAAAACCTTCCCCAAAATTACTTCAGCTAGATTCCAAAAATAACCTAGCTGGTTGTATAACTTCTAGAGCAGGCAAAGAAAATATGCCTCTCCTTAGTGTCCTCCATACAGGGCAGGCCTCTAACTAAAGATGCTGTTCTCGGGAGTGTTATTTCTGGTACCTTTCCCATTTTCTGTGACATTTCAGGGAATATTTGGAATTCTACTTTTAAAAAGGCTGTCTTTCCCTCATATAGTAGAGAGCTAGTCTTTTTTATAATCTATAATCAAGGCAAAAATTGGGAAAACCATATTCTTGTTCTCATGGGAGAAACTGTGTTTCCTTATTAACAGAATATTTTTGAGAGTTCCTGGAATACCCAGTCTTGATCAGATTTCCCTTATCAGTTTCTAAGGCCATGAGCATCTCCAGGTAATAGGTGTTAAAAGAGAGTTTGGAAACAAGGACTCCCATCTCTCGGGCTGTTACCGCATATCTGGTCAGGTCTGAGAAAAAGTGAAGGTTTTCTAATGATCCTGAATATGCCTACTTGAGATTAATTCAAATGCAGTTAAAAGGTATTGCCTTGCTATTAGTAGGAAACATATTCACAAATGGCTTTATTATTATCATTTAAGGAGACATGGAAGGCCTCCATGGAATAGAAACTTTTAGTGCTAATCTCTATTTGGTATTCTCTTCTTCCAAAAACACTAGAGGACTCATGTCTGATACCACCCCACATATTATTTGGGTGGAACCATGTGGCTAGCTCTGGCCAGTGGGTTGTAGGTAGACCTGATGCGTGTCACTTCCCAGCCAGATTGTGTAGTTGCCCCTGTCAGACCCTTTTTGCCAAAGCAATTATGGAAGGACTTGTTGATATCACAGTGCCAGCAGGAGAAGGACACTGCCCTGCAGAGTGGCCCAGAACACAGCACACTTCTCATGGGTCAAAAAATAAACTTTTGTGGTATTTAGGCACTGAACTTTTTGTCTGCAGGATAAGCCCAACCTGACCACAACAAGGAAAGAGATGTTGTGATGTATAGTTTACGAAAGGATTTTGATAGTTGATAGAAGTAGGAACATTTTTAAAAGATAAACTGTATTAAAAAAACAAAAGTGGAAAGTGTGGTTTTTATTGGGGACAAAGTGAATAATTAATGTTGACTGGAATATAATGAGGAGTAGATAAGACAGAAGAAAGTTAGAATGTTAATACTGGATTTCTACTGAATCCTGTAATCAACAGATAATCATCTGTTTTGAGATAAATTTTAGGAAGAATTAAAGTTGGAGGATACTGGAAGAAAAATTGAGGAATTTTTGAAGAATAAAGGTAAGAATAATAACACCTATAGCATCTTAGATATAGGGAAAAATAGAAAATGTATTTGAAGAAAAAAACAATTTACAATGGATTGTAGGGATAAGGGAGAATTTGTGTCTCAAGAAACAACGATGAAGGCCCAGGTTATAACACAGGCACTTTGTTATTTAAATAGGCTTTGTGTGCCAGTCTAAGCAGCTAATGTTGCGTCAATGGAAAATTGCCCTCTGAGTTCCAAGGAAATAACTTATTTTGGAGTACAACCTGTTTCTACAATGGCACTGACCTCTCTAGAAAAGATGGATGTTATATATCCCTAAGCCCTCACTTTGTCTCAGCCAGTCCTTGTGATATTGACCCATATTATCATTGGGACAATCTCAGCATAGCCCAGGTCAACTCAAGTGATTCAAGTCTGCTTTTCTGGAGGGCAGACGCCTGGCTTCCATATATAGTTAGCATGTGCATGGAGTAAACATACAGATCTTCTCTAATTTGCAAATACTAAGAAAACAAAAGAGAAGGAGATTGCTGTAAAATATAGAAAGAGTAAAAGCTCTTCTAGAGCCATAATATAGCTAAGGTTTAAAAGAATTTAGGAGACAATAAGAATTTATGGTCAAGAATAACAAAATTTGGAGATAAGTGTATCTGGTTTTGAGTTCCTGAACTGCCACTACAAGCTTTCAGCATAACTCAGTTTTTCTCTTAGAAAACATAATCCACCTTGTAGGCTTGTTATGGTCATTTAATGGGAAGTTGCGGGCAAAGTCCTTAGCACAGTATATTCTCAAAGTAGCTGCTGGAGTGATTTGGTTAAATGTATGTCATGTTGTTGCCTGCTCCAAATATTCCACTTGCCTAGCAATGACCTTTGGGTCCTGATATGACCTGGGCCCCCATTATCCCTTGGACCTCACTCTGATCACCCTTGCCCTCACTCACTGAGTCCCCACCACTCTGATTGCTTGCTGTCCCTTCACCACACCAAGCTGCTTTTCACCCAGGCTTCCCCACCGGGTCTTACCTTAACCTGCATAATCCACTCTGTAAGCTCCTTTCAAAACTTTGTTCAAACGCCCCTCTGCAGTGAGGTCCTGCTTCCCTCCCTATCTTGGTTAAGCCAACCCTTCCCCATATACTCCACAATTCCTTCTTTACTTCCCTCACTCTTTCACCTTGTAACACATCTCTAATTTACTTATTTATTTTTTTGTATGTCTTTCCTTAATAGACTATATGTACTATGAGGGTAGATTGTGGTCTCCATTATTCATCAATGTGGAAGAGTGTCTAGCACATTCTAAATACATAATAAATGTTTGCTGAATAAATGAATTTTTATAATTAAAACAAAAATGAAATGTACTCCCAAAATCAGTACAGTCTTTTCTATCTAGTGCTTTGTTGTATTGACTAAGTCACTTAAGTATTTCTGGCTTCCCCCAGCCATAGTCTCTGATTCACCACACATCTCCTAAGCATGTAGATTAGAGTAGACAGCACTTGTCCTGGTGTATATAAACAGATAAAAATAAAATAAACATGCATTCCAGGATTCCAATCTAGTTGAAAAGGAATAACACTTGAAGAGCACAAAGCAGATAAATGCAAGAGTAGAGATAAAAATTATGAAATTTTAGATATTTCCAGTTCCTTCTGCCTTTCCCACATAGCCTTCTCAATGCAAAAGTCTTCATTGGATAGTAATCCTAATAAATTCTTATATAGCTCTTACCATCTGCCAAGCATTGCTTTAGCTCTTTTCATGGATTAACTCTCTTAATCCTGACAATAACCATGGAGAAGTACTATTGTTACCCCCATTTTACAGAGGAAATAGGAAAGTTGAGCATTTTGCTCTACATACTTAGTAAACGATGAAACTGGTCTATAATCCCAGGCAGTGGTCCTGCAGACTGTGCTGTTAATTGCATTGCACTAGGCATATAAATAAAATAGTCTTTCTATATGTGAGTCAGGCGAGGCATAAGTGAATGTTTCTCAATTGAGTCCTAAGTGGACATTTGCCCTTCCCTCTGCCATCATTATGGGAGAAAATGACTGAGTTTAAAGTGATATGAAATAAGATGCCTAGAAAGAAAGAGCAATCTATAAGACAGGACAAGACCTGGTCTAAGGGTCAGAGGACTTGACTCCTTGGGGGTATCACTAAGTAGCTGTCACCTTGGTCGGATACTTCAGCATCTCTAGGCCTTTATTTTCTCATTATATAAAAGTGCTGCTTTTGGAAGCAGTGACTCTCATGGTCTCCCATAGAATACAATCTATGACTCTATAATACCACCAGACAAGGTCTGTGTTGTTTGGCAGCTAGCAGCATTAATTTGAGAGCAATAGGGAATATGGCTAAAGGATGGAGTTATCCCTATTTCACTTTAAACTCAGATCAACCTCTCTGGAGGAATTTAAGAATTGGATATATATGGGAACAAACATGATCAGGCATAACAGCTTTGGAATTACATCCTATTGGGGAAGTATCAAGAGACTAGGAACAGCCAGAACAAAGACAATGAGAAAATTAACCCTGCACTGACTCCTTGTCAATGGAGATAACCAATTGTTCTTAGAAACAAGTTTCAAATGCATCACTGTTTTAATGAGCTCTGACTGCACCCCCTCCTCCTTGCCATTAGTCAATTTTCATTGGCTTAGAACCACCCACCTTTAAGAACAATGAGGCATCAAGTCACTCTCATTTTTTTAAAAAATGCAATTCTTGATGGATATTTTAAGAGTCAAGGTAAAGTCAAACGTCGTGAACAGAAGGGTCTTATCATTATAACGTTTGTCACCAGCTGGAGAGAAATCAGGGCTGGAGCCTCTGTTAGCTGTGAAAGAAATGTTTGCAGGTGTGGCACCAGCTCAGTATGTGCTCACAGCGACTACTATGGAAAACTTGGAAACAGATCCTGGAAGGGGCAGGAAAGGGTTGGATCAGCTCCAGTGTCTGAGCTGCTTGTCAGTAAGCTTAAGAAGGAAGTCTGTTGCTGCTGTGAGTGGGGAGAAGGGGAAGGACTCAGCAGGATGCTACCAGGGGCAAACACTGGAAAAGAGGGCAGTGGGCCTAGCTAAGTATAAAAAGGTACAATAGCAAACTAAAGCATGTCAGCGTGAGCACATCAGGTATTCTCAAAGCTTGGAGGCGTACGCCCTTTCAGAAAATTTTCTTTTGATTGAGACTGCAGGTCCAGTCACAAGAGAAAATATTGAGGGTAAAAGACTGTGCTTTTCTTATATCTTTAGAAAGGTGTATGGGACTGTGTATCCATAAAGGTGTATGATTCTGTAATTTTTGTAATCAAGTAGAAGTTTTATAACAATCATTAATATTAAATTTCAATAAATAAAAATGACTTTTTAAGAAGATAGTGACTCTGTTTCCCTACCCCTCAAATGTGAGAAGGACTAGGCAGGCTAAACTGAAACATCAGTCGGGATGTGTGTGTGTGTCCCCAGAAGTCCCCAGGCCATGTCTTGGATTCAGAGAACTACTGCTATGGCATCTGATTAGGTGCACGGACCCTCTCTTCCAGGATGAATCCCAGTGACAGCTTAGCTCTTGTCCCACTTCATCCTTCATGAGATGGGTAGGAGGACACAAAGTGGCTGAATAAATTAATCAGACAATGTTGTAGAATTACCTCCAGGACCCACCAGAATGGAGGTGTCCCTCTTAACACCTTAATAATAAACTCCACAAGACCATCCCAAATGCTGTTTACTTCTTTATGCCTAATGCCCCAAACAAGTGATTATTCAATAACTAATTATGTGTTGAATGAATGAGTCAGAGAATAATTACCTTATGTATCAGTCTTTGTTGAAAAAAATAATGCAAACATTGTCTTCTACCAGTGTTACGTATCTGTTCCATTAGACTTGAATAGTGTTATTTTTGGCCTCCTTTTTAACTGCCCCACAATTTCTAATTCACTTTTCCTACTATCTCTCTCCCTTCTACCACTTCACTTCTATTGTCTGAAGAGGAATAGTGAGAGAAAAAGAAGGAAAAAAGCTTCACCTTCACCCCTGGAACATTCATATTTATTATTATACAAGGCAAGTTGATGTTGAATAAATTCAGAAAAAGAAAGTTATTCATAAAATGAGAAGTTATGTGTGATTTTTCTTCCTATGTTTTTCACATGGCATTTCTATTTTTTAGTGGTTTTAAGATCATTGTGATGGAAACCTGGTTACAAAGATACAGATTTGCTTTCCATCATTACAACATGGACTTCACCACGTAAAGATGCAATTTGTACTTTAAAAATACGTAGTAAATTCCATTCCAGTCTCAAAAGCTGTGCTTCCCAGCTTTCCCCATCCTGCCACATACAGATCCTCACTGCTTGAATCAAACCTGATGTATGTAAATCAGAATTCTCTTAAACTCCAAGGTGATTTTCTCTTTTACAAGAGTATTCACCAAAATGTTCCTAAGAAAGCTAGTTCCTCCTCCGCATTTAAATGATAATATGACATACAAAAATTCAGTCCAGGAACAAAAGTTGAAGGAGTTCAACTATGCTTTTAAATGTCACAAAGATAATAACCCACATATGAATAGTGATTTTTATTTTTCAAAGTGTTGTAATCAATCACCACAATCCAATTACAGGAATAATTGCCTTCTAAAGATAACATAGGGTGCTAGGGCAAATGATTCAAAGATAATAAAAAGACACAGGCTGTGCTTTCAAGAAGCTTATGTTCTAATTGCAGAGAGAGCTAGGTAAATATTTAGAACACAGTGTGATACGTCTCATCCTAAAGGCATAGAGCAATACATAGGGAGCACAATGGAGGTTATGTGTGGGCAGGGCGAGAAAGATGGATGGAAAGAAAGAGAGCCCTCTAGACAACACAAGCACATGTGGAAATCTACTCTCCTCAATGCTGATACTGGGAGCAATGGAAAGCTCACCCAGAATGCTGGAAACTGCAGAGGAGAAAAACTACTGTCTTCTTCCTCACTGCCAGGTTCATGGCTGACATATCTATAACAAAACATATTAACAAGGAAAAAACATAGAAATGTACTTTTTTTTTTTTTTTTGAGATGGAGTCTTGCTCTGTCACCTGCGCTGGAGCGCAGCGGCATGATCTCGGCTCACTGCAAGCTCCGCCTCCCAGGTTCAAGCCATTCTCCCACCTCTACCTCTGAGTAGCTGGGACTACAGGCGCCCACCACCACGCCTGGCTAATTTTTTGTATTTTTAGTAGAGACGGGGTTTCACCACGTTAACTAGGATGGTCTCGATCTTCTGAGCTCGTGATCTGCCTGCCTCAGCCTCCCAGAGTGCTGGGATTACAGGCGTGAGCCACCATGCCCAGCCAATATATAAGTTTTATATGACATAGGAGTTTTCAGAAATGAAGACCCAAAGGAAAAGGGAAATTTGTGTATTTTTATGGACAGTCATGCAGAAGCAGGACTGAAGAATCATAAAGGGTATGATCTAAAGGTAATAAAGTGGGGTGAACTTAGCAAGGCTTGTTAGTTCAGATTCTTTTTGGCATCCCTGTGTTACATTTCTTCCCTCTGAGTATAGGGCAGGACACCTGTCACATAAGGATCTACTAGGGAGAAGGGAGGAAAATGGTCAGACTATGTTATATGGCCTGCTTCAGGGAAGAAGGATGGGAGGAAAGTGGAAGTACCCTTCCTGCTTCTGCTGTTTTCTCAATTTTCAAAGTGCAATGTTTTCGGGTAGCATTTTCTACATCCCATCATTAGCTTCTCTCTCTTACCACAATCTGAGTATGTTACTATACTGTCCTGTTTTGAAGCTATAGTAAGATGTAGGTTCTAATTAACTTGATATGCAGCATAGGACCCTAACATACCAGGTGTCTTCCCTTGATACACCAATGTCTCTACATAGTCTTAGATGGTAAACAAAATGCTGGGCTTTCTGGATTGATTGATTGTATGTGATCTTCTTAAGTTACATGCATTTCCTCCTTAGTCCTCTAGTGGAGTTATCAAAACTCACTCAGTAGTTAC
The DNA here is from genome assembly GCF_000001405.40 of Homo sapiens. Lineage (NCBI taxonomy): Eukaryota > Metazoa > Chordata > Mammalia > Primates > Hominidae > Homo > Homo sapiens. The sequence goes on along the minus strand of NC_000018.10, from coordinate 38,554,131 downwards.
CTGTAGTAGTCAGTAAGAACAAATCTAGTTGAATCCAGTTGCTCAAGGGTAATTTTAGGAAAAGGTCACAGAAGATTCAAACCCAAACCAGCATAGTGGAGTAATTAACCCATAACTGGGAGGAAAAAATGGCTTTGTAGTCAAACCAACCTGTCTCTCTCAATTCCTAGCTATATGACTTTGAGCAACTCACCCTACCACTGTTAATCTCAGTTCCTTCAACTGTGAAGCAGAGATTAGAATCTGTCTCTCACAGATTTTGTGAGAATGAAATTAGATCATTCACATAAGTCTTCTAGCATGGTGCCTAGTACAAATGAAATCATTAGGAAATGACTATTCTTTAAATTATTTTATTCTAAAAAGTGATACTGTCTAAGCTTGTCCCTTTGGAGAGTACACTAGGCACTCAAGAATACTCCTTGAGAATATCTTGGATCAAAGGAAAATCAGTTAAGATTCTTTAAATGCAGTATCAGTCCTGACCAGTTATTTCTAAAGCCCACATAACTAGAATTAGTTGACACTCTCTCCACCATCTCCATGTGACTTTTTTGTCTTTCTCCTGATGAATCTTCTTTCTTCTAGGATCTTATGCCTACATGAAGTTTTTCCTCCATGAAAAATTGCTTTTGTATTCTCTGTGCTGCTATTCTCCATTTATATCCCCATTTATAACTCGCTGCTCTGTCCTCGAGAATGCTGGGTGCTGATTTCTAAAGGCTGAATGCTGGGTACCCCCTTTGCTTTCTGGCTTCTAGCTGGGTTTGGCCAGTAGGATAAACCAGTAAAAGATGAAAGGAAAGAAGAAAGACTCCAGGCATGTCTTCCTCTGCCTTCTCCCCACTTTGCTTTGTTATCACGGTCTAGCAGCAGCTATGCCTCTCTCTCTCTCTGCCTTCTAGATGGCTCTTCAGCTGGGGGCATGGCAATGGCTTCTTGCTGTGATTAGTCCCTGGAAGCCTCAATATCCTTTGTTGATTTCCTTAACCCTGTTCAGCAAGTAATTTTCTTTAGAATCCCATCTCCCTTGGTTTCTGCTGGGAAACTGATTGTCTTTCATTCTCATTCATTCTTTTTAGCCATTCATCCATTTATTTAACCATGTATTTGAAATAAAACATACCAGTCACTATGGGACACTGAAGTGCGAATGAGAAAGGTGACTTGAAAAGATGTGATGAGGGCAAGCCTGTACCTTACTCTGGGAACTGTGGAGTTTCCATGGAGACTCCCACCCCTCCTGTTTGCAGGGGCTTCTTGATCAGTTGTCTTGGTGGAGCTGTAAGGTAACACACAGAAAGATTTCAGAGAATGTGACTAAAGCTCACACTTGGAAGCAGGTTCTGCATATTCTCCCTTCCCCTGAGACATACACACACACACACACACACACACACACACACACACACACAAACTCTAATGGGAGAGCTTTTCCTGGAAAAGGCACAAAAGTTTTCCTGAGTTGGGCATGCTGGCTCAACGATCCAAACATTTTGTCACATTTTAGAAACAGAAGTTGTCAGATACCCAATATCAGCAATAAAACCAAATCAGAATTTTTAAAATAAGTGGTGGTAGCACATAAAGATGGTCTGGAGTCCGCAGTAGTGAGAGGCTACACATATGCTACAAAAAGCCAAAGCCATCAGAATCACAGACACTGTACCAGACTACAGAATCCGAGTCCCAGAGAGAAGAGGCTTATTCAAGGTCACATGGTTAGTTCCTGGCATAATTAGCATAAACCGACTTCTCATGAATCCCTGTCCCTGCCTTTTTAGGACAGATAATTGTGAAAGGAATTATATTTTCAAACAAGGATCAGAGCCATAAATAGGGCATGGTGGAATTTCAGGAAATAAATTACATCTGGAGGAACTACTTTGGGACCCTAGGGCTTTGATGGCCCCTCTAAGTCACAGGGAGTAGCAGTCACTTCCTCCACCCCCGCACATGGCCAGGACTGCTTCTGGTCCCGCTGACTGGGAAGGGCTTGGCTGCGATGTGTGTTTTCTTCGTACTTGAATGCCCTCAGGTAAGGGTGGATTAACTTTCCTGTGGCTTTCTTGGAATGAGGCATCATCCGTCACGCCGTATGTCTTTTTACATTTTTCTTGGCTTGAACCTTTCCATTTTGTCATCACACGTAAGATTGCCGGCAGTTCCAACTGTGAGCTATTTGAGTTCTCAGGTGTGTTTTTGAGGAGACGAAGACCTGTGCCAGGAATGCAGGTAAATGTCAGTGCCAAACACAAATCCACTTCTATCAGATTCCTGAGAAATTCTGGAAGTGACTGTTAGAATAACACAGATCAGTCACATGGTGTTCTTTTTCTGAGAAGAGATGCATTGGATCCATACTATTCTTAGGGAAAGGTGACTAGTCTGAACTGAATTTTTCATATGTGCAGGTGTTTGTGATTACAATCCCATCTTTAACCTGTTCAGCCCCATTTGTACTGGGTGCTATGAAAGTTGACCAGAAGCCCACCATCATGACTGAAGCATTCATTTCCCCAGGTGTTGGGAATATTAGTGTAGGTAGCTAATATTAGTGTAGGTAATATTAGGTAGGAATATTAGTATAGGTAGCTTGTCCCTTTTCCAAAACCTGCCTTTGGCTGGCTAAAGAGCTGCTTTGTCCAAGATCACACCCTCTCCCTAGGGAATGCCTTCTTTTTTTAAAACTGTCTGCAGTAACGGCAAAATACTAAGGGATATAAAAGCCTGGCCCCTTTGCCCTAATTTGGGTTATTTCTTTAGGGCAAATCCCAGATCCCAGTAGAATTGGCTTGGGCCTCTGCTGCTACTGCATTTTAGTACAACTGCTCTTTCTGTCTGATCCTACATTCATCATCCCCCTCCAACAGGTACTATTCCTAAGAGTATTCACCACTGAACCATATGTGTGTCAATCTCTGTCTCAGAGTAGGTTTCCAAAGGAACCTGACCAGTGACACCCATCATTCCAAAACACTCCTAAAATGCTAAGACATACTTGGCATAATATATGCAAAACACTTTCCTGTCCATTGTTTCATTGGAAACTGATCACCATCTTCAGAGGCTGAGAGGGCTAATTGTTTATAACTTTATAAGGGCTCCTTACCCAGCTCATTCACTATAAAAGCACTAATACTCCTCCCTTCTCTGAGTAAAAGCAACTCCCTTGTAACTCTGCCATCCTGTCTTTCTGCACTATCACCAACTCCTTCGTTTTTATGTGGCACTTTGCTCCAAGGAGCTCATAAAGCATCACTCTGGATTGTATCTTGTTTGTACCCCCACCAGTAGATATCATTAATAATGACAGTAAGAATGGCAAATATATAACAATTATTTAGATGTGGTAAGTGTGGCCCTAGAAGACTGAACCTGATTCATCCTCATGTGGTACCTAGGAAATGAAACCTGTAGTGGGACAAGGATAATGTCATGGCCATTGATGTGTCATTCATATGGAGATTAAGGAGAGAACCTCTATTTCTTTGCTTGCCTGTGCCAGGACTTTTGTGTATTGATTCCCCAGACCTCAGAGGTCTAGGGAAGGAGAGAGGTGGCTGGAATGGACAAATAGACTAGTAAGTGAATAAAGGGAGGGTGGAAGAAAGTGTTACAGAGAGTTCTGGCCTATTAATCCTAATGAATGAAATCTTCCCTTAAAGAAAAAGAAAATGAAAAAGAGGTTACCTTTCCTCAAATGGTATAATATCTTTTTCTATTAAATTTTCCCGTATGAAAGATTCTCATTAGGGATCCAAAGTAAAAAACTGGGACACGCCAATAGCTTGTTCAAGATCCCTAGCAAACTGAGAAATATTGAGAGACCAACTCCTAACCATGACTGGCCTTCCTCTTCCCTAGCCTCTGCAATAGAAAATCTGGACATTTCCATGTGCAGGGGACCTATGTTTCTCAGGAAATAGGCAAGTGGAGTCCTAGATTTAACTTAGACAACAATTTGATAAATATTTTTCCCACTAACTTTTAAGAAGTGTCTTATAACATGGATTTATGGTTCTCTTTTGCTCCCCATACCTCTCTCTGTGTTAAGTATTTTGTTCATTCATCAGGACAGCCATTAGAAAAATATGGTAGATGAAATTAGGGGAGAAAATATTTTCCCTCTTAATTTTCATATATCTGAATGCATTGACATAGGATTTTACATTAAGTTTTTAATTTTAACTAAAAAATATTAAAAATAACAATGACATATCTTTGTTGCTTATTTCTAACTTCCATTAAAATTTAGATTTTGTATATGCAAGGGATTAAAATAGCTCAAAACCCAAAAGAGAAGTATGGTGAATAGTCTCCACATGAACTCATATGCCAACCAGTTCCCCGTCTCCACAAAAACCTGTAGTCTCAGGTTCTTGGGCATCCCTCCAGAGATACACCAAGTAAATTCAGGCAAGTTCTATAAAAATATGTTAAAAATATTTTTTTCCTATCATGTTACACAGAAGTTACTGACTATATTTTACACGTGTTTTTGTAACTTCCTTTAATTAATAAGGTGTTTTAGAGATCATTTCCATCAATATAGAAATATTATATCATTCTTTTTTATTGCTGCATTGTACTTCTTTGTATAAATCTACCATAATTTTTTTAAGTCTTTCCTATTGATACACATTAAGATTGTCACAAACTTCTGCTATTAGAAGTAACGTGCCATTAATCACATTTGACAAACATCTGTAGGATATTATCCTGGCAATGGAATTGCTGCATCAGTGAGGAAATATATTTTTAATTTTGATAGCCATTGTCGAATCTCCCTCCATATAAATTATAACAATCAACACTTCAACAAAAATATATGTTTGTAGTGTTTAATTAAATTTTTATTTATTATATCATTGCTAATCTAATAGATTGTACATGGTAGCTCAAAGCTGTTTTAGTTTGCATTTTTCTATTTTGAATCCTGCTTATTATTTTATACATTGGAAGCATCTTATGTTTATTTTTGGATAATATATACGTTGTCCATTTTTCTATTGGTCTGTTATTTATTGATTGAGGATTTTTTTAATATTAGTGGAATTTGCCTTTTCTGGTTTTAGTAGTGGGAGTTACAAATATATTTTTAGTCTATGGTTTTCCTTCAGGTGCCTTTTGTCATGGCATCTGTTTCCCCCTAATTTTCATATATTCAAATTTATTGGCATTATGGGATTTTGGATTTTATGTCAACTTAAAAAAATTCTCACTCTGTAATTTAAAAGAATTCATTCATGCTTTCTTCTCATGTCCTTTACTTAAAATAGTTGTTAGTGCCTTTCTGAAAGAACCATCACATTCATAAGTATTCTCATCCATTTGCTAATTGTTTCAAAGAATCTGCATGTACTGGATTTAGACCAAACACCTCCTCAAAGATATTTTTTAAGCCGAATGAAAACACATTTACAGAGATAAAAGGTTACGTGATTTTAAGATGAAAGGTTATATGGCTGGCAAGGCATAGAACAAAAGTTTATAAGATCCTTAAACAAAAGAGAAAACCCCTGGTTGGGTGGCCAATTCCCAAAACATCCCAAGTGGAGAAAGCACTGTTAAACCTGAAGCAGAAAGAAAAACACAAGGCTGTCTGATTTTACTATGGCTGGTAGGAATTTGGAATTAGTCTCTGTGAAGAGGTGGCATAAACTGAAAATTAAGAGATTCAAAATGTTTCAAAAATGAAAAATTCATGTATAGCTGATCTGTCTTTGAGTTTTCTCATTCAGCAAATCTCATGTCTGAGAAAACAAAACAGAACAGACCTTTTCTAATGCCCTTCATTGACATAATGCACCCAAGGTGAAGTAACTATGGGATCAAACAAGGAAGATACTATTATCTCCTCACCTACTTAAAAGATGTAAAAGAACCAGAACTTATCAGCCCCCTAATTCCTCAAAAGTGAAGGTTTTCTTTCTTTTTAATGGCAGTAGGAAAAGTATTAGAACTTAGTTGATGTGGGTTTTATTAACTGTGTAGTTAATAACTAATACCCAATGTTTATTGAGGGCTTATGATATGTCAAGCTCCATGCAAAATATTCCCCATACTTCACACCCCATCACAGAGTCTTCACAGCAATCAATAAATTGATTGCATCCCATTTCAAAGATAAGAGACTGACACAGCAAAAGATTAGGCAAACTTGACCTGAAATCATATAACAGAGATAAACTCAAGCCTTGCAGAAAACAAATCGTGGGATTTTCATCTTTGTTTGGTCCAAATTTGCAATTAACAACCCATGTGACTTTAGACAAGTAACATAACACCACAGAGCATTGTTCCATTATATTCTTACTACATTGTACTGACTTTAGAGTGATTGTGAAAATCTAACAAAATGTGTATTAAATGTGAGAACATAATAAGAACTAAAAAAAAAATCAGCACAAATAATAAGAGGTTATTCAAATAAGCTCAATGCAATGAGAATGGTGGCTTTTATTTACAAATTCAAGCCCATGGGACCTAACAGAAAAAACTGCACCAAACTGAATCCTCCAACTAACTAACATTTTCCTGGTTTTATCTGTAACTTCTTGGTAAAGCTGTAAAGTAGGCCAAGGTTGCCTTAAAACCACTCCTATTGCCTGATCCAAAAGTGAGCCTGGGATCAGCAGATTTAGGGATCTGTTTCCTTTTCTTTCAATTTTTTCAACTTAACATATAATGAAGAATTTCACCTTTGTTGCTTGGTTCCTGGATGGGATACTTTATATCCTCCAAATTTCTAGAGTGGTAGAAATGTCTGTTAATGAGCCCCTTTGATCACCCCTAAGTTCATGCTAATAGATAAGATGATTCAAGACAGGGGCTGGTCATCACAGAGATCAACGACATAACTAGAAAATTAGGACTTTGAGCTGTTCCTAATTCTAGGAAGGGAAGGTGGGCTGAAGGTTGAGTTCTTCATGTGGCCAATGATTCAATCATGCCTCTACAATGAAACCACAAAGAACATTCCTAGAGCTCTTCTGGTTGGTGAACACATCAAAATATCTTTATTTACCTGGTCCTCATTTGTATTCTTTAGAACAATACTATACTCATAAGTGTGGCAATCTCCTGAGTTTTGTGTCATGCTAGTGAATTCTCAGGGTTGTGGGAATCCCTGAATTTGTAGCCAGTTCATCAGAAGTGTGGGAAGTCTGCTCTGGAAATCCTGCTTGTAGCTGGTGTCTGAAGGGAGGACAGTGTTTCTTAGGGGCTGTGTCCTTAAACCTGTGGAGTGTGGTGCTAACTCTGTGTGGTTAGTGTCAGAGTTGTATTGTAGCACAACAGTTGGTGTCAGAACACAATTTGTCTCTCATGCCCTCTGCTTCTGGCCAGCTGTCCTGAATCCTATGCAGCAGTGCTTCCCCAGAACAAACAATCCCAGGATGATGGTGTTTCCCTGACTCCCACCAATTCCAAATTACATTAGCTACTTTTAAGTCTGCCTTCTCTTCTGTCCTAGGTCGGCCTAATTTAACTAAGATGGTATTTGACACTGATGATAACAATGCATTGTATCTCTCAGACTTCAAAAATGCATTATGATATAGGAGGAAAAGCTCTGAGCCAGGAGCCTGAGCACCTGGGTTCAAATCCCTGCACTAATGAACTTCCACGCTGAGTGATCAAGTCGCCTTGTCACTCTGGAACTGTTTTTAAAATTATATTATTTGTTCTAACTACCACAAGGAAATATTTCCTAGGAACAATTATATGTGGATGTGAGAGTGCTATGAGGATTCTAAACTTCAGTTACCAAGGTCAGATGCTTATTACATTATTTTAAGAAGTATCTAAGTTTCAAGACCCTCTAGGTAGTGGTTTACATATGGCATCTACTTTAGTCCTTATGAAAGCATGAGGTAGAAATTTATTTCCAATTTACAGATCAATAACTGAGATGCAGATTTATTTTTGTAAATCAGATAGCTAGTAAATGCCGAGACAGATTTAAATTCTGTTTCTAATCTGTCACATCATCTAATCCCAGTAACCAATGGTCTTTCTATCATAGCTGACTACTTCTTAGTCCAAATAGTGGCTCAAATAACATATCTAGGCCAGGCACAGTGGCTCACACCTGTAATCCCAGCACTCTGGGAGGCCAAGGCAGGCAGATCACCTGAGGTCGGGAGTTCAAGACCTGCCTGACCAATATGGAGAAACCCCGTCTCTACTAAAAATACAAAATTAGCCGGGCGTGGTGGTGCATGCCTGTAATCCCAGTTACTCGGGAGGCTGAGGCAGGGGAATGACTTTGAGTCTGGGAATTGGAGGTTGCGGTGAGCTGAGATGACGCCATTGCACTCTGGCCTGGGCAATAAGAGAGAAATTCTGTCTCAAAAAATAAATTAAGAAATAACAACAACATATCTAGGAGTCCTTCCCAGAACTCATCAAATTGACCACCTTATTCAGCTAGCCCTGGGTATCAGATACGTTTATATCTGGTAACATTTAATGAAAAATCTAACAAAATACAACACAAATGGCTCTTCTTTCATGGAAATCATGCAAAAACTTAGGCCATTCAGAGGATGTGTGGTGGCCCCAGGCATCATCATGGACCTAGAGCTTAAATTGTTGATTTGTTTTGGTGCTATGTCATCATCAGTGCTTCAATCCATGGTCCTGTGCAGCAGCTAGAACTCTGGTCACCAAGGTCACATTTCATGCAGCAAGAATAAGAAAGAAACGAGAACATGGCCAGTTTCCCAAGTCTCTCAGCTCATTTTAAGCAGTCTCCTTGGAAGTCCCACACACACAAAACTTCCTCTTACATTACATACCTAGGCCTTTGCCTCAAGGCATGATCTGGAGGTGAGGGAGGAAGAGAACAGCATCAATGCATCTCAGCAGCTCCCCCTAATGGGAGAGAGAGACTGGGTGTCAAGGAACAGCCAGTTCTCCACTCTTAGGAATACATTCTTTTGGAACAGAAAAGATAATGCATCTGTCAGTACCATATACTCTGTAAGGATAGCATTTACTCTACTATGACCATGACTTATCTGAAATCTAAATAATCTGACATGATGACCTTTCAGTCAAAGTGGAGTGAAACTCCTTTTTTATCTGCATCATTCAAGCCAATAATTCCTCCTACTTTACATTTATACTTCAGCACGTATTGATTGGTAAAATTTTGGTATTTACCTCAAATTTCCAGTTAATTTTTTGTATTCATCCATTGATAATCCATATTAAGTTAACCTCCTAAGGGACAGAGGAGTGAAGTGCTATTCAATGGTACACAGTGGGTCAGAAATTACTACTACCACATCACCAGATTATGCTGATTCACAAATAATGTTTAAAGGAAATGCTTTGGGCCAGGCATGGTAGTTCACATCTGTAATCCCAGTACTTTGGGAGGCCAAGGTAGGTGGATCACTTGAGGTCAGGAGTTCCAGACCAGCCTGGCCAACATGGTGAAACCTTGTCTCTACTAAAAATACAAATATTAGCCAGGCATGGTGGTATGCAGCTACAGTCCCAGCTACTTGGGAGGCTGAGGCAGGAGCATCAATTGAACCCAGGAGGCGGAGGTTGCAGTGAGCCAAGGTCATGCCATCATGCCATTGCACTCCAACCTGGGAAACAGAGTGAGACTCTTTCTGAAAAAAAAAAAAAAAAAAAAAAAAAAAAAAAGAAAAAGAAAAAGAAAAAAAAAACTCCATTTAAGAAAGGAAGAAAAGGAAGAAAAGGAAAGCGTGGGAAGGGGAAAGGAGATGAGAGAGAGAAAGAGAAAGAGGAGAGAGAAAGGGAGGAAGGCCTAACATTGAATGACTTCTCACTTGGGTAAATGAAATGTCTACTCTCCTCCATGTTTTTAAAAATGGATTCATCATATCTGACAGCACATTGCCAAGCATATTGTTATGAGCTAAGTATTTGTGTAGCCCTAAAATTCATATATTGAAGGCTTAACCCCCGATGTGGCTATATTTTGATATGTAGCCTCTAAGGAAGTAATGAAGGTTACATGGGGTCATAAGAGTGGGGCCTTGATCCAATAAGATTAGTGTTCTTATAAGAAAAGACACCAGAGAACTCACAATCTCCCTCCCTCTCCCTCTCCTCAGTGCATCGAGTAAAGGCAACGTGAGGACAAAGCGAAAATGTGGCCATCAGCAAGTCAGTGAGAGAGCCCTCATCAGAAATAGAATCAGCTATGCTAGGTGCAGTGGCTCATACCTGTAATCCCAGCACTTTTGGGAGGCTAAAGTGGGACGATTGTTTGAGCCCAGGAGTTTGAGATCAGCCTGGGCAATATGGAGAGACCTTGCTCCTATTTAAAAAAAATTAATTTGCTGGGCATAGTGGCTTATGCCTGTAGTCCCAGCTGATGTAGAAGGATCTCTTGAGCCTGGAAGGTGGAGGTTGCAGGGAGCCAAGATTGTACCACGGCACTCCAGCCTGGGCAACAGAGTGAGACCTTGTCTCAAAATAAATAAATAAATAAATAAATAAATAAATAAATAAATAAATGTTGTAAAAAATTATCAGCTAAAACTTTTGTCTTGGACTTTCCAGCCTCCAGAACTGTAAGAGAATAGAATTTGTTGTTTAAGCCACCCAGTCTTTGGTATTTAGTTATGACAAGCTGAACGGGCTAATACACATACATAAAATATTTTTTATAGATAATAATGGTTTCCTTATTTTGAGGACCCTGTATATAAATAGTCTCTTGGGCTCTGACCCTTGACTCTTCCCATGGTATGAGTTTGGGCTTACCTATTGGCTCTATATGCTCCCAGCTGTGAGAAAGTGATGCTTATGTCACTTTGTACTGACATCAAGGCACAAGTAGCAGCCACCAGCCAGGTCCTTCTGACCCCAATGCCATGGAAGATGAATCTGATATTGAAGCCAGAGATCTTTGTGAACTAGGATCTCTGCCCATCACCTATGTGGGTATAATAGATTGGCATTATGCTCCATATTTTAGATATGCTTCAGAGGGTGTGCACTAAGGTTAGCACAGCCAGCCACATGACCCAACCCCATGGTCTAAAGCCACACCATAGCACCTCTGCTACCACCCAAAAGACTGATAGAGACCACTAGAGATCACCCAGCTTTATTCTATTTGTTGCTGTGATATGCTTTCATTTCTGGATATACTCAAGTTTCTTATCTTTTTTTTTTGGACTTTCAGAGAGGAAATCACAGCCACTAAATTTCTTTTTGATTCCAGAAACCCACTGTGGGGATATTGTGGGTTCTTTCTTACATCAGAAAACATGTCAGCTTGCCAGGCCCATGTAAGACAGCTATTAGGTTAATCTGGCAGAGCCAGGGTGGCTGTGAAAGAAAAGGATGCCTGATGGCTAAAACACCATTTGACCTACATCTGAGCACATGAAGCAGAATGAGGGAGGTCTGTGGGAGCTATTCTAAGGAGTCTCCAGGGAAAAGGCATTTGATATAACTAGAAAGGATGGAGACTTAAGTCCTCCAAACTCATGATGGCTGTGTGCATGTTAATGAGAGGGTCTGTGGTCACATGAGCTGGTTTTCCTGGGCCTTTGATAGGGAAAGGAAGACAGAAACATGGGGGACATAATCTACATAGCAGGCTATTTCCCCCCTCATTCCTATTGATGGCTCAAGGCTGGACAGACCATTTTGCCAAAGAATATTTTCCGACAATAAAAAACTGTAGGCTATCCTATAGAACCGTAGGCTATCCTATAGAAACATGAACCAAAGCACCTCTAATTTTCCCTCTTCATTTGAGACCAAAGCAAATTGGAATAAGGAAAACTGAGGGGGACCTGATTCATTGCAGGGGCAAAATGCTTTGGCATAGGGATCAAACCCTTACTGAGTAGATATAGCAGTCTTCCTGATATAGCAGTCTGCCTGACTGAAGGCTTCCCCGGTGTGGAGAGATCCACTGAAAGGTGTCTTATGGCTCTGGGGCAATGATTCCTGCTGATCCACAGAAATCCATGGTAGAGGAGATGCTGTCATGACTTTCATCCTACTAAACATGGCTTCTCTTGACTTTTGACATTTACTGACATTATCCCAGATTTTGTTCACACCAGTGCCAAACTCATGTCTTGTATGCCCCCAACCTAACCTTATACACTTTATATTCTTCTATTCTCTTTTTAGGAACCTGAATATTTTATGAAAGTCCTACTGGATGAAGAGAAAGACTAGCTATTTTAAGACTTGGTGTTGGCTAAGTGTCTTCCTTGGAAGTAATTATTTCATTCCTGCCAACTCTGGCATCCTCTCAGAATGCATTATGTCTGATTGAAGGGTTGGAGAAATGCAGGTATGAGAGGAGAAAGGGTACAAAATATGTCTCCTTCATCATACAGAAGGAGTGTATCTAGAACATCATGGCAACTCACCATAGAAAGAACAACTGCCCAGAATTGGCTTCACTACTCTTTTCTGGGCCATCACTTTTGAACCACTCAATCTCTAGGCTCTACTCTATGACTCTCAGTACCTGCCATAGGCACCAGGATGTGATAAGTAGATGGGAAGGACCAGCTGCCTGGATTCTGGCAACCTCTCAGGTACCATGTTTTCACACTATCATAGTAGCACTTACAAGATGCGTGGGTCTTGTGAGGCTCAGGTTGGACTAATCCTTCCTGTCCAGCCTCCATGGTGGAGAGGAAGATGGAGGAGGAACATGGGTCTTATCCTCATATCACTTTCCAGGTCCTAACATAGATTTTCTGATAAGATTTGAAGAAGTATGTCTCTTTCTATGTAAAAACTGCCATTTTTTAAACCAATATTTTATTGAGATGGAAGAGCTCCTTCATACAGTTAGACAAATGGCATTTAAGGTTTTATCTGTTTACTTCCTGTTCTATACTAGGAAGATGGAAAGTGATGCTTAAAACCTTCAGCAGCTATACATCAATTGGTTAGGCCAATTACAGAGGAGTTTTCACATTGTTATTTCACCTCCTTCCCCATACACTCAAGTGGCTCAGGTAGTTCCAAGATACCACCCCATTGAAAGGCTGGGAGGCAAGTCTATCTATGCTGCTGTGATTTGGGAATCCATCTGTGGTTTCTACCTGTGGCAGAGTCTGAGGTTAGAAGGATGATTAGGAGCATTTATCAGATACCCTATCAAGGAAATAAGACTTTAAGGAGAAGGGAGTGTTTTTAAAACTAAAGTTATGTTTATTGATAATTTCTTCACCATAACAACCAAATTTGCCCATTTTCATTGATTCAAGCAGAGATCTATACTTGTTTTTAAGTTTCTGGAGCCTGTCAGTCGCATATGTGGCTCCCAACCTCGGCTGTCATTTTGAATTTTCTGTTCAGGAGTCATTTAAATACATAATTAGCTATTTTTAAACACAAAAATTTGTGATGTTCATATCAGACATGACAGTCACAAACTCCAAACTGGAAATTCTCATAAACAAGGTTTTACTCCTACATTATCTATTCTGATACCCCTTCAAATATTCATTTGCAGTTATTTTTAGACAGTTAAAAGATCATATAACTGAAAAATGCTACCCTCCATATCCTTAATATCCTGGCCTTTTTTTGATTCCTCAAACAAATTAAACTGCTTTCTATTTCATGGATTTCTATTTGCTACTTCCTCTGCCTAGAACTCTCCTTTCCTCATCTTATAGGAATGGCCTTGGATCTCAGCTCAAATGTGGCCTCCTTAGATGGACATCCCAGACTAAACAATCTAATTTTCTCTCTCACTGTATTATTCTTAACTACATTACCCAGTTATATTTTATAGAATTACTTGATATTTAGTTACTAAAATTCTGCTATATAAAATGATATCAGAACTTTAAGCAGGATTTTCACTAGACATATTGTCCTCTTGTTATGTGAAACACAAATATCTTAGGATCTGGGGATCTTACACCACCCACCCCCTCAAAATAACTCAATCTACAGTGGTAGTCTCTTCTGAGATCCAGTCACTCAGTTTTCAGGCTATGCCTTCCATCTGCATGTGTTACTGTCACTGCATTGCTGCATGCCTGAGAAATTCTCCTGTGGGGAAATTTTCCAGTACTGGCAAGCATCAAAAGAGAGCCATGTTTGTGGGATAGTATGCTCAGTGTCAGAATTCCCTCTCCAGGCTGGCTCTAATAAACTCATTATAGTAAGATCAAAATGACTGACCAGCTGTTCCCCTTCCCTGAAGTATTTGCATTTTAAAAGGTGAGAAAAAGCCTAAAACAGAGACAAAGTTTCTATTTGTTTAAATCCAGACATGGGGAAATAGGCAGTGAAATAAGACAAAAATGCAAGGAAATAGAAAAGGGTTGTATTATTACTACTGGAATAATTTCACATGAGGAACTGGCAAGATGGGCCACTAGATCTGCTTTCTAACATTCTCAAATCATTTGCAAAGCTCTCTGAGGAATCAATTGGTTCCTAAATTCTGCCTTGGTTCTTATATTTGGCAGGGCCTTAGGTTCTTTCAAATCTCAGGAGTCACTCCAGGGACTCAAGTGGAGTGGCCTCATTTGGGACCAATTCTGTCAACATGTTGGGCACAGGCTGACTCCCAGTAGGGGTCACAGCTGGCCTAGAAGAGTTAATTATCCTCAGGATGTAACCACAAAGCCATGAGCCTGTCAGTCAGGCCTTTGCTCTTGCTTGCCAGTAACTTTGGATTATCAAGAGAGGCAAAGAGGAGCCCTGGTCATCAATAGGATGAGATACATTTCTTCTTCAGCATAATGAGGGACTAAACTACAAAAATGTAAGGTGAAAACCATTGTATTATTCATTCAAATTCAACAGATCTTTATTGAATACTTACTCTGTGCCAGAGACTATTCTAAAAATATGAAAAAGCAGAAGTTATAGAGATGAACCAGGTTTTTGCTTCCATAAATGTTATATTCTAGTGACAGGAAATAAATACCAAAATAGAAAAATAAACCTAAAAAGAATATATCTGGTTCATCACTATGAATAAAATTAAAGAGTGCAATGTAGTAGAGAATGACATTGTAAAAGAGAAATTAGATTCTTGATCTGGGATAGTCATCCAAGAAGGCAGCACTTAAACTGAGATCCAAGGCCACCCCCATCATGATGTAGAAAAGGAAATTTCAGGCAAAAAGCATATCATAGAGAAATCCATGAGATGAAAACAAGTTTGGTTTGAGGAATTTTTAAAAATCAGAAGAATTTCCACTTCTGGGAGAAGAGACTAGACACACTTTTCAATTTTGTTCATGCGAGGTAACTAAAAACTCTGGAATGTTTTTTCTACAGTAAACATAAGATGACTCTGAAATATGGAGATAATAAGGCAGATGGGTAAACATCTCAGGACTTGAATAACAACATTAACTAAAAAAGAGTTGCTTCCCTGGGTTTTCATGTTGTTTTATTGGTTTAATTATTTAAATTTTTGCCTCATGTATCCCAGACTTGGAGCCGAAGACACTGATAACTCAGAAGCACCAACATGTGCAGACAAAAAAATGTCCCAAGAAAAGCCTGTCCTTGCTAGGTAAAAGTGTAGCAAAAGGGAATCCTAAAAAGAGACCATTTTGGGATAGGAATTTCTATACTTTAGCCAAATACCACAGGAAAAAAAATAAAATGTTGCTGAACCTCTTCCCTGATCAGCCAGCTCTGAATGAGAGGCCTACATGTCCTCCAAACTCATGAGACTGTGATGAGATGCTCCAACATTTCTACTGGATCATGTCAGAGAAGGCCAGTGGTGGAGCCTGGACTTTTATCCTCACTGGATAGTAATGAGCACCACTGCCATTACTATCCACAAAATCAGTGGATACTACATGAGGAGTCTGGATTTTACCTCCACTCAACATTAATAATATGCCCCTCTCCCTCCATGATAAGACGTGTCAGAATGAGGGCTAGCAGAGTCAGGTCATCCACCATCACTGAGCTATGATAGGTCCATCCCCTTCTCCACATGCATTATTAATAGAGACCACATGGGGCTGGAATTCCCACCCCTGCCCAGCAGTCAGTAATGAGGGCCGCTATCTCAAATGTCAATGCAGGCTGAGTGGGGAATTTAGCCTTTACCTCTTTACCTCCATCTGGGATTAACAAGGTAGCACTACTATTCCCCTACTGGAGTGGTATTGCAAAAAAAAAAAAAAAAAAAAAAAAAAAACCAGAAGTAGAATGGTGAAATAAAAAGGTTAAATTGTCTCATAACATATCACAAAAAAAATTATAGGTTTTAATAAAATAAACCTACTCATTCCAAAACAAAGTTTCACACACATACACACACACAGAAAAATAGTTTAAAAAAACACCTGAGATAAAAATACTATGATGATTGGACAATTTTAAAGCAGCCATTATCAATGGTTTCAACAAGCAATTTACAAACATCTTTGAAACAAATGAAAAATAGTGTCTCGATAGAAAAATTAGAAGTTGTCGGTACAGAAACAATAGATATAAAGAACCAAGTAGAAAATTTAGAGATGAAAAATACAAAAGTAAATAAGCTCAGTGGGTTGACTAACAGCAGAATACAGAAGATGGGCAGAATAATCAGTTAAATGAAGGACAAAGCAATAGAAATTAATTAGAAAAATAGGAACTAGATTGGGGAGAAAATGAACAAGCACTCCAAGACCTGCAGGATTACAACAAAAGATTTAACTTTCATAACACTGGAGTCCTAAACAAAGAGGAGAAATGTAACAGGGCTGGAAAATTATGAGAATATTTTATGTCTGAAGTTTTTACAAATTTGGCAAGAAACAAAGAAGCTAAGTGAACCCCAAGCAGCATAATTTCAAAGAAATCCATGCCAGCACCTAAGACACATCACAAGTTTTGAAAATTAAAGAAAAAAATATAATGCCAGCCAGAAAAACATGGTCCCTTATCTATAGAGGAATAGTAGGTCACATGACAGTGAATTTCTCATGAGAAATGAGAAGACCAAAAAGAAGTAGGACATTTTTCAGGTTCCAAAGAAAAGAACTGTTAATCCAGAATTCTACACCAATTGAAATCTCCTTCAGGAATTAAGAAAAAGTCAAGACATTCTTACATGGAAAAAAAAATTAAGAGAATTGGTCACAAAGTGACCTACCCTGAAGGATTAGCTGAAGAATATTCTCAGAAAGAAAGGAAATAATAAAAATAAATGAAACTAAGAGCATTAGGAATGAAGGAAGAATTGTAAGCATAACTATGGGTGAATACAATAGGCTTTCTTCTCTTGGGTTTTCTAAATTTTTCTTAAGTGGTTAAATCAGAAATAAAACACTATCCAACGTGGCTATAGATTTATGTAGAGAAAATATTTAAAACACTTATAAATGAGAGAGTATAAAGAGGCATAAAGAGTTAAGATGTATATACTTCACCCAAATTTGTAAAATAATGACACAAGAAAACTAAGTTATATATATATGGCATAATATTTGGAACCATCATTAAAAAGCTATAGGCTTCTGGTTTCTGCACAAACATTCTAAAACCTTGCAATGACTTTTTAGATCTTGCAGAGAATTGAGATCACAGGATAAACAGTCACCCTGAAAAGTAGAGAAATAGGTGAATACAGAAGATACAGATCAGCCCACCTGAAGCAGAAAATGCCGATAGCCAGTAATAGTGAGATGGCAACTTTGACAAATTCCTAGAGGATGAAAGTGGAATAGATTGAGAGTTAAAAACTTCAAGTTTCCACACACTTTCATGAGTTTTACCTCAGGAGTCCCACCAGGTTCTCAGAGTAAGGATTACAGAAAAGTCCTCTCATGTTTGGTCGGTGGAAGGGAATAAGTAATCATTTTGAAATATACCCAAGAAAAATAAACATTTTGGAATAAATTCAGAAAACTTGACATGGACAATAACTTCAACAAACTGAGCAAAGAAAAGTAGTTTCCTGAAAACTTATCTCGGATGAAGGATAGGAAATTGGAAAACCCCAGCCATTCCTAGCCTTCCTTTCTTAAGGGGGAACAAAAAGTTGAGAAGGACTTGTGAAGGTCACAGACCAAGGGTACAGGCCCACTAAAACACTAAGAACTAACTATAGCATTATAGAATGCTTCCTCTCCCCTCACATGTTATTACTGCATCAATAGGACATCTTTTAACAGTGGATCAAAGTAAAAGAACTGATGTGACAGACTGCCACGGTTACTACTTGAGACTGTCATTACAGCAGTTACTACTGTTACTTCTTGAGACCATCATTATAGCAGTTACTACTATTACTGCTTGAGACCATCATCATGAGACTGAAAGAAGGGAGGAAGGTAGAAATGATAACTTAAGACAAAAAAACTGTTTTAAAGGAAGGGGAACCGGGGAAAAAGAGAGCTCCCTGCTTCTAGTGAGCGAAGGCAGCCACTGAGCTTCCACAGCCCTTCATATTTATTGGGTAACAAGAGCAGGGAGGAGGAGGTGATTGGTCTGAGGTAATGATTGGTCAGCTGCTTAATTGATCACAGGTTCATATTGTTATTAACAGGCTTCAGATGTACCTAATCACAAGAAACACTTGTGCCTGGGTCGTGACTGCCCTCAGCATTTCATCTGGGTGGCATATGCAGTTTGTCAGTTTGCCAACATTCTGCATTTATGAGAAACAGTTTTGCTGCTTACTCTTATAGCCTCCAGTGGTATACTGAGTTGATCATGACCCTCACTCTTTCTGGCCTCCAACAAACTGACAGTCTCAGACTTTATTTAAGAAGAAATTTCTAGGGAAACCCAAAAACTACAGGGAAGACAAAAACAAGGACACCAGAGGAAATTGAAGCCCCGACACATATAGCTACATTAAACAAGATAAACTTTTATCATTACATAAAGTCCTTCTTTGTCTTTTTTCTTACTGTTGTTGCTTTAAAGTCTGTTTTGTCTGACATAAAAAAAGCCACTCCTGCTCACTTTTGGTTTCCATTATGTGGAAAATCTTTTTCCACACCTTTGCATTAAGTTTATGTGAGTCCTATGTGTTAGGTGAGTCTCTTGAAGACAGCAAGCAGATATTTGGTTTGTAATTTTTTAATCCATTCTGTCATCCTGTACCTTTTCAGTGAAGCATTTAGGTCATTTACATTCAATGTTAATATTGAGATATGAGGTACTGTTTTATTCATCATTTAGTTGTCACCTATATACTTTGTTTTTTTTTCATTGTGTTATTGTTTTATATGCTTTGTGAGATTTATGCTTTAAGGAGGTTTTATTTTGGTGTATATTGACCTTTCATAATAGTAGGCTTTGATTCATTTTTCTTTCTCTTTTGTACAATTACACAGGTATTTTTTTCTTTGTAATTACTTAAGCTTACATAAAACCTTTTATAGTTATAGCTGTCCATTATAATAACTTGGATTGCATACATAAATTCTACATTTATTTCTCCTCTTATTCCACATTGTATGTTATTGATGTCATAATTTACTTTTTAAAATATTGTGTGTTGATTATCAATTTATAGTAGCTATAATTATTTTAATATTTTTGTCTTTTTAACTTTTATACTAGAGTTAAGGGTGATTAGACATTATCATTACAGTACTAGAGCATTCTGATTGACCAAATGGTGAGATTTATACTTTCATACATTTTTATATGGCTAATTAGGGTTCTTTCCTTTCAATTTGAAGAATTCCCTGTAGCATTTCTACTGGTAATGAAGTCTCTCAGCTTTTGTTTGTTTGGGAAGGTTTGTAATCTCTCCTTCATTTCTGAAGGACAAATATTTCTGACACAGTGTTCTTGATTGGCAATTGTTGTTTTTTATTTGTTTTCTTTCAAAACTTTAAATGTATCATTCCACTTTCCTGGCCAGTAAATAAAATCCATTTATAGTCTTTTGGGAGTTGCTTTGTATATAATAAGTCATTTTTCTTTTTTGGTGATGGTTTCAAAATTGTCTTTGCTTTTATTTTTAATATTTTGATTAAAATGTGTCTCAGTAAATATCTCTTTGTGTTTAGTCTACTTAAAATTATTTGAGCATCATGAATCTGATTGTTCATTTTCCTCCTCATACTTAAAAAGTTTTCTGTCATATATTTAAACAAGATTTCTGCCTTGTTCTCTTTCTGTGCTCTTTCTGGGACATCCGTAATACATATATTGGTTCCTTTGATGGTTCCCCATAAGTCTCATAGGTTTTCTTCAGTCTTTTTCACTCTTTTCTTCCTTTGAAATTACCCTCTGACTGGGTAATTTCAAATGACCTGTCTTTGAGCTTACTTATTCTTTCTTCTGTTTGATCAAGTCTGCTGTTGAAACTCTGTTGAATTTTTCAGTTTAGCCATTCTGTTTTTCAGCTCCAAACTTACTACTTAGTTATTTTTTATGGTTTCTATATATTTGTAAAATTTATCATTTTTATGTAGTATTTTTCCAATTTAGTTTAGTTGTCTATGTTCTACTGTAGCTCATTGAGATTTTTTAAGGTGATTATTTTATTTGTCATACAGTTTATAGATATTCATTTATTTAGGTTCAGTTATACATGCTTTATTTTGATCTAAACACAATTTGGTTTTCTTGTCTTTCTGATTTTTTAAGCCTTGTGCTTGTGTCCACACATTTGTAGGAATAGACACCTTTCTTGTCTTTACAGACTGGTTTAAGCAGAGAAAGACATTTATCGTCATCCTAGCCAGAAATTCTGGGTAGGAAATGTGGTAACATCATTGAGTGCACTTTCTACCTAAGTTTGTGGGAAAACTGTCCTGGTGCCTGGGTATGTGAGAAGAGGCCTAGAGCCTGAATGTGTGACAGCTTCTGTGGAATCTATGACCATGGGGGCCTTTCTGACATTGGAGTGGGTCTGGAGCATGCATCCACTTGAGTCGACTTGGAATCTGTATTTCTGGGTGCTGGTCTGGCACCAGGCTTTCTGAAGTGGTTTTGTAGTCTGGGTCTATGAGGGCCTGTCAGGAATCAGGGCACACAAGTACCGGCCTGGTTCCAGGGATCACTGGGGTGGGCCTGCAACCGAGTACCCAGGGGCCAATCTGGAGCCTGGGTTAGTAGGTGACAGCTTGCAGCCTGAATCCATAAGGGCCATGTGGGCACCAGAGTCTACAGGGGCAGGCCTGGAGCCTGGGTCTGATCAGGCTGGTCAAGTCCTGGGGTTCAATGTGGGTAGGCCTGGTACTGGGGTCTGTGACAAATTTGGATGCTCACTTTACTTTGCTTTCTCCATACAGAGGGTATTTCCCTTGGTGCTGTGCTAGGTGGCTTTAGGGAAACGTAATGTAGGCAATGTGAAATGTTCTTTCTACCCACTTCAGTGCATTTTTTTTTCCATTTCTGTGCTTCATCACTTACCTGGATCTAAACCTCTCATTAAGGTATTTTAATGTATGGATGGTTGTTAACATCAGTGTTTCTGTGAGGAGATGAGCACCAGAAACTCTCCTCGCTGGCACCATTCTCTGTCTCTAAGACGTTTTTTAATAGGTAATGTAATTGTCTATGTAGAGAATCCCAAAGATTGACCAAAAGAAATGTCTGGAACTAATAAACAATTATAGCAAGGTCCTAGGATATATAGCAAGGTCATAATATAAAAAAAGTCAATTGTTGTCTCATATACTAGCAGAGAATAATTAGAATTTGAAATTAAGAAACAAAAATATTTATATTAGCATCCCCTAAAATAAATAGGCAAAAATGGAAAACAGGTATAGGACCTATATGAATAAAAACTACACAATTCTGATTTAAAAAATCAAAGTATTTCTAAATAAATGGAGTGATATTTTATATTCACAGATAGGAATACTCAATATTTTTTAAATGCCAATTCCCTCCAACTTGATATAAATTCAGTACAATCCAAATCAAAACCCCACAAGATATTTTTTATATATGGACAAAAAATTCTAAAATTTATATGGAAAAGAAATAAGACCCAGTAAAAGCAATACAAAACTAAAGAAGAAAAATAGATTTGAAAGACTGGCCCCATACCATTTTAAGACTTATTAGCTACAGTAATCTAGAAAGCATTAATATAGTCAGCATGTATTTGGCAAAGTAACATAGACAATTCAATGGAAAAAAACTGGAATGCTAATAAACTTCTGGTGAGTATGCAAAATCGTACTACTTTCTTAGGAAGACGGTTTTGAAGGTGGTTTCTTACAAACCAAAATTTAATCTTAACATATAGATCAACAATCACACTCCAAGTCATTTACCTAATTTAGTTGAAAACATATTTACACAAAAATCTGCACATGAATGCTCACAGAAGTTTTGTACATGATCACCAAAAACTGGAAGCAACCAAGATATTCTTCAGTGGGTAAATGGATAAACAAACTTTGGTACATTGATACTATGAAATATCATTTAGAAATTAAAAAGAAATGATATATTGAGCCTCAAAGATACCCAGAGAAATCTTAAGTACATATTGTCAGTCAAAAGCAGCCAATCTAAAAAGGCCACATACTCTACAATTACAACTTTGTGGCATTTTGGAGACTACAATTTAAAAAATTAGTAGTTGCCAAGGGTCACAAGGAGAGAAGGAAGGAATAAGTAGACGAAACTCAAGTGATTTTTTGGGTGATAAAGCTATTCTTTATGAAATTGTAATGGCAGATATATGTCATTATGCATTTGTGAAAATTCATACAACTATATAGAACAAAGAGTGAATCTTAATGTGAACTCCAGAGTATAGTTAATAATAATATGTCAACATTGGTTTCACTAATAATAATCAATGTACCACACTAAACTAAGATGGTGATAATAGAGGAAAGTATTTGTGGGAGGTGAGAGGGGTATGTAAAACCCTATATACAGTTTGTTAAATTATTCTGTTAATGTAAAACTGTATTCAATATAAAGTCTATTAATAATTTTTAAAATCTATAAAACTATACATTCAAAAATGCCATAGATAAATCAAAATAAAATCCTAAAATATGTTTGAATAACCTATAGAAGAAAAAACATAGATACGAAAAACAGAAAGAACAAACACAAAACAAAAATAAATGATAGACTTAAGCTCACATGTTTGTGATTATATTAAATGTTAGTAGTAAAATATGTTAATTAAAAATAGATGTTGCCAAAGTGAAATAGGATTAAAAAATGGCCAACCTACAGGCTGTCTAAAAGAAACTCACTTCAAATATAAAAATATAGGCAGGTTCAAACTAAAATAATGAAAATGATAGTTTGTGCAAATACTAATCAAATAATGTATAAATGACTATATTAATGTCATATAAAATATACTTCAGAGCTAAAAAACAGCAGGATTACCATGGGTATTCACAAGCATTAGAAAGAATCTAAATAAGATCTTGGAGGTAGACAGGGTGCAGATCAGACTCACATTTTGTATAAAACAAATTCAGAATTGTATTGTAAGTGTAATAGGATATGTTTAGGAAGTTGTAAAAAATATAAAGGACTTAGTAGAGTGAAAATACACCCATACATTATATATGCAAAATTAAGATTTGTATACTTTCTCATCTGTTTCTTATCAATAATGAAATTAGCTCTAAAATAACAGAGGCCAGGTCCTCTGGCTTACATGTGTAATCCCAACATTCTGGGAGGCTGAGGTGGGAAGAATCCTTGAAGTCAGGAGTTTGAACCAGTCTGGACAATATAGTAAGACCCCATCTCTACAAAAAAAATGTTTTTTAAAAATAGCCAGGCATGGTTGTACAGGCCTGTAGTCCTAGCCACTCGGGAGGCTGAGGCAGCAAGATAACTTATGCCCAGGAGTTTGGGGTTACAGTGAGCTATGATTGCACCACTGCACTACAGCCTGGGTGATGGAGGGAGACTCTGTCTCCCACTGCACCTCCCCAATCAGAAAAAAAAAAAAAAACCTCAGCAGGATGATGAGAATGGTTCTGTAACAATCAATAAATTCAATGGCTTAACACAATGCTTAACACATTAGCATATATTTTTTTACTTGTAAACTATTAAATGGGGTGTCTATGGTGGCTTATTCTCTTGCAAAGCTTTCCACCATGACCTTCCATTTTGTATCTCTACCACCTCCCGAACAAACACTGTTCAGTAGAAATATAATACGACCCATGTGTGTAATTTTAAATTTTCTAATAGCTACATTAAAAAAGTAAAAAGCAGGTAAATCAGTTTTAACAATTTCTTAATTAGCCCAATATATGTGTAGTATTATATTAGCATGTCATCAGTATGAAAATATTTAGTATTTTGTATTATTTGGTTATATGTCTTCAATATCTATTGTATATTTTACTCATGACATCATGTTTCAACTCAGATTAGCACAGTTCAGTGCCTAATAGCTGGATGTAATTAGTGACTACTATATATAATTGTACAGTTTTAAAGCACTGACATATTTCCAGCCACGTACATATGGGCTGGGGAAAATAGCACCAAGGGAGCATGGGAGGTTTCAGAGGGTTTGCTTGAAAAAGCCTTATATCACATTTACTCGTATTCCAGTAGCCAGAACTCAAATTATCTGGAGCCAGTTAATGGCAAGAGAGTTTTAAAAATGTAATATTTAGGACAGAGAAAAAAGAAACATTGATTAACTCATGAGCTGGTTTCAGCCGTACCTGGTTTCTGAATCATATCAGTATCTTCTTCCTTCAACTCTCAGAATTGACTATTCCTTCTGCAGGGATGAGGAATGGTGATAAAATGTGCAGACTTGGCTGTCTCTGCTGAAGCATCAGTGAGCAGGGAAGACAAGTTGGAGATAAGTGTACATAGAAAGAAAAACTTCCAAACTATAATGGACATTTTCATGTTTTAAAATTTTACTTTGCTTCTTTTTCTCAAAGTATAACATATATAGAGAAATTTACAATATCATAGAAAAATATGATGAACACAATTATACCCTTCAATAGATTATCACAAGGAAAAAAAACAGACATGTAACCACCAGATACATGAGAGATAAGCTATTTGTGTATTTAAATTTAGAATGTCACTTGTTTATAGCACATAATTGGTTCTGTGTGTATGTATGAATACATATATGTGTGTATATACATATATATAATGAAAATCTCTGTATTATTACAGCATATAATCCATTTACTTTTATTGTAATCATATATGTGACTGAATATATATCTGCCATTTAGCTATTTGTTTTCTATGCGTTTTATATCACTTAATTTCTCTGCTCCAATGGTATTGCCTTTTTATGCTAAAAGACATTTTCTATTGTATAATTTTCTTTTCTTTTTTTTTGATATAGGGTTTCACTCTGTTTTCCAGGCTGAAATGAAGTGTTATAATCACAGCTCACTGCAGCCTTGATTTCCTGAGCTCAAGTGAGTCTCTCACCTCAGCCTGCTGAGTAGCTGGGACCACAGGTGCCTGAGACTACTCCGGCTGATAATTTTTATTTTTTGTAGACACAGGTTCTCCTTCCTTTTACCCAAGCTGGTCTTGAACTCCTGGGGTCAAGTGACCCTCCTGCCTCAGCATCCCGAAGTGCTGGTGTTACAGGCATGAGCTACCATGCCCAGCCTTCTTTGGGTTTTTTAAAACTACTTTTTGAGTAATTTTTATATTGCTTGCTCTAAAGATTAAATATGCATTTTATTTTACCATAATCTATCACAAATGAATACTTTCTTAATACCAGAAAAATATAGAGATTTTTTTAATATAGCTGTCTATGTGTATCATTATTATATATATTTCATCTTTATAGGTGCTAAAATTCAAATTTATACTTATTGTTTTTTGCATTTCTTTTAAATTTTAAGAGTAAAAAACTGAAAAATATATTTTTTACGGTTTTCTACATTTACCTACATAGTTACCTTTACTAGGTCTTTATTTCGTTGTGTGGATTTTCATTACCATCTAGTTTCATTTTACTTTTTTCTCTGGTACACCCTTTAGTATTTCTATAAGCAAGTTTACCAACGATAAATTCTTCCCATGCTTGTTTGTATGATAATTTCTTCACTTTCAGTTTTGAAGAATAATTTTGCTAAATGTAAAAATCATGGTTGAGAGTTTTTGTTTTTCTTTTTCTTTCAACACTTTGTGCCATCATACAGCCTTCTGTCCACTATTGTTTCTGATGAGAAGTCAGCTGTCAATATAATTGTGGTTACACTTTTGTGATTAATTATATTATTTGGCTATTTTCAAAGTTTTATTTCTGTTTGTCTTTAGTTTTCAGCAGTTTATCATATATCTAGCTAGGTGTGAATATCTTTGTATTTTTCATACTGAGAATTTGTTGAGCTTCTTGGCTATGTAGATTAATGTTTTCATCAAGTCTGGGAAGTTTTCAGCTATTATTTCTCCAAATATTTATTCTAATTATTCGCCTCTATCTTCTTTTTGTTCTGGAACTCCCATTATGCTTATGTTAGTACATTTGATGATATCACACACGTACTCAAGTCTCTATTTTTCTTTAATAATTTTTCTCTATGTTCTATTATATTGATTTATCTTCAACTACATTGAGGTTTTTTTTGCATATTGAATCTGATGTTATCCTGTAGTGATTTTTAATTTTAGTAATTATATTTTTCAATTAGAGATTTCATATTCAGTTATTTTTGGACTTCTATTCTTTTATTAGTGTTTTCTGTTTGGCAAGTCATTGTCATCACACTTCTCTTTATTTAAATGTGGTTCCCAATAATTCTTTGGTCATATTTATAATAGTTGCTTTGAGATCTTTGTCTTTAAGTTCAATATCTGAGTCCTTTAGAATCATTTTCTATTGACTTTTTCTTGTATGCATCACCCTTTCAGTTTCTTTGCATATCTTAGAATACTTTCAATGAAAAGTAGACATTTTATATAACAGTTTCAGATTCTGTTTCATCTCTTCAGGATTATTATTATTTCTGCTTTTTTGTTTAATGGTTTGCCTGGATTAATTCTGTGAAGTCTACTTATCCCAGAGCCTACAGCCAACAGTGCATCTATTGTTTTTTTTCATTTTCACTTTTAAGTCTGGATTGCTAGGTGTAATGCATGAGTCAGCACAGATTAGTGGCCAGCCAATTATTGATGTGAGGCTGTGTTCAAACACATTGAGCTATTAAGACTTCTATTCTTTGTCTGTAAATCTGTGTGGTGTTTGAGAAGTTGAATGTCATTTCTATTTTTGCTCCTCTATAGGTAAGTTTTCTTTTCTTTCTCCTCTAGCTTCTTTCAATGTATTTTTTCTGTACATTTAATTTTCTAATCTTGAAAATAATATACCTAGGTGTAGTCTTTCTGAAAATCATCCTGCTCGATGTTCTCCAAACTTCTTGGATCTGTGGTTTGGTATCTCACATGAACTTGGAGGACATTCTCTGGCATTATTGCTTCCAATATTGCTTCTGTTCCTTTCTTCTCCTATTACTGTCCTCTGGCACTCCCAGTATGTGTATACCTTTTTTCTTTTTGCTTTTCAATTTTGGAAGTATCTTTTTTCATAGTTTCAAGTGCAGAGATTCTTTCCTCAATTGTGTCCAGGCTACTAATAAGCCCACCAGAAATATTCTTCATTTTTGTTGCAGTGTGTCTTGATTCATTCCAGCTTCTATAACAAAGACTGGAGAATTATAAACCATAGATTGGAAAGTTTATAAACAACAGTAATTTATTACTCACAGTTCTGGGGGCTTGGAAACTCAAGGTCAAAGCACTAGCATATTCATTGTATGGTGAGGGCTCACTCTCTGCTTCATAGATGGAGCCTTCTCACTGTGTTTGCACATGATGAGAGGGGCAAACAAACTCTCTTGGGCTTCTTTTATAATGGCACTAATCCACTCATGCCCTAATCATCTTCTAAAGGTCCACCTCTTAATACTATTACATTGGGCATTAGATTTGAACCTGTGAATATTGGAAAGACACAAACATTCAGACCATTCCACAGTGTTTTTTATCTTTAGCATTTCTTTTTGATTCTCTCCATTTCTGTGTTTACATAATTAATATGTTCTTGCATGTCTTTTTTTCCATTAAAGACCTCAGCACATTAATTAGTTTTTAAAAAGTGGTATAATTCCAACCTTCCTGCCATATCTGTTATTCTGCTTCTCATTCAGTCCCTTCAAACTGTGTTTTCCTTTTAGTGTATTTTATATATATTTTTTCCTGATGGCCAGACGTTATGTACTGGGTAATAGGAACAGCTGTAAATAAGTCTGCAGTGATGTGGTGGTGAAATGTTGGGTGGAAGGGGGGAGAATCATTTCATAGCCTTAAGATCAGGTCTCTGTCTTTTGATGAGCCTGTGGCCCCTGCACTGTGAAATTCACCAGGGCTTCTCAGTCCCTCCTAACGCCTACTCCTTAGGGAGGACAGGATGGTTAGAGTTCCTCAAATGGAAGGCTAGAGGGAACTGGGGTTGAGTAAATTTCCTTTCGCCATATGAAAAGCTGGAGCTGATTAGAGTTGGGTCTTTTCCTTCACCCAGGAAGGTTAGGTTCTGATAAAGCCCCAGCAGATTAGGCTTTGGTAAAATAAGTTCTCCTGAGGACAGAACTTGTTAGGAAGAACAGAATGTTCTGGTGTATTTTAAAATCGTTACTTTCCCCCCACCGCACCTTGCCGGAAGCCTGTGGAGATTTTCTTCTGATATTCACTGAGAACCTGGTAAGGCTCCTGGAGGGAAATCTCACAAAAGCATGCAGGATCTAGGACTGGATCCTACCCCCCAGAACTCAATCCCTCTAGGACTGGATCCTCGTGAACTTTTTACCTCTCAGGCTTGTCCACACTGAGCCTCTAGCAATTCATTAATTATAATTCAGGTTTTCCTACTTCAGCACTGATTCCCACAGAGGTTTCCGCTTGTGGGTTTCTGCTCAGGTAAGCTGTGGTTTTCCGTGTCCACCTGTCTCTCTCTCCAATTTGGCGTCAGTGGTTTCACCTGTGACCTCACTTATCTGAAGGGTTTAAGAACAGTCTGCTTATTCAGTTAAGATTTCTACTTGCTGTTAGGATGGAGTACAGATTTCTAAGCTCCTTAAAACTGAAAGTCTCTCAGATTTTTAGTAATGCTTTTGAAAAAGTATCTACAATACTATGGTTACAACCGTTCTCTTTTTAAATATTTGCACACTATAGTTTTTCTACTTTTAATATTTTGTGTTTTTATTTTAAACATGTCTTTTGTAGAATAGCAAAGTTTGACGAGCTTTAAGTCTGAAAATCTTTATCTCACATGGGGCATTTGTTCTACTTATATTTAAACAATTCTTTAGGGGTGCTTTGGTTGGCTGAATAACTCAACAATTATTTTTCTTTGAACGCTTTGAAGATGATTCCATTTTTCTTCCTGTTTTCCATTATTCTGTAGATAAGATGTCCTTTGGTCTTGTTTATTTGGTCTTATTGCAGTTCTTCTGAAGGGAATCTGGTCTCTCTTCCCATCTCTACTGCTTTTAATATTCTTTTTTGTGTTTGGCTCTCAGCCATTTTAGTATGATATATGTAAGTAGAAGTTTATTCTATTAATCCAGCTTGATGTTTGTTGCACTTCTAAAATAAGTAGACTGATGTTTTTCCTCAATCTGGAAAATTTCCAATCTTTATTGCTTCAAACTTCCTCTATGGGTCTCAAATTACACTTTTGTTAGAATTTTTTGCTGTATTTTATATGCCTCTAATGTCTTTCATTCTCTTATAGAAATATTTTACATTGTTTTATCTCTAAGTATTTTCTTATGTATCCTTGGAATACTTAATTTCAGTTGTATTTTCTTTAGAAAGTCTATTTCTTTTTATGGTTTCTTGCCATCTGGTTAAATTCTTCAACCGTCCTTTTATCTCTTTGAACCTACTACGCCTAGCCCTTTAAGGTATATGCCTAATAACTCCATAGTATGGAATACTTATGGTTCTTTTTCTACTGTATATTGTTTCTCTTATTTTTCAATCACATTTTTCCATTTTTATACCTGGTTATTTTCTATTGACTGCTAGATGCCGTGCATATAAAATTCAGAGACAATTTAAACCATATATTATGTTTTCTTCCATAAAGTGTTATGTTTGCTTTGAGCAGGCAGTAGTAAAACTCTCGAAGCACCTTAGTCTAATCAGACGTTAAGATTATTTGAAGCTGGGCTCTAATAACCACAACTGCTATTTTATTTTATTTCTAGTCCTAGGTTGTAGTCCTAGGGATCCCAGCTGAATATCTTTAGGAGTATAAGTTACCAGGACTTCCACTGGCTGACCTTGAATTCCAATGTTCCTTAGTTTAGTGAGGTGGTTGTAAACAATTTTCAACTTCTTGGCCTCTCAGAGTACCAGCTCTTTTTCTAGAACTAAGAGATGCCCTAAGGGGAAAATTAGCCTTAAAGATCAGTCTCTCATCTCTGGGTTCCTTTCTCCTTTTAGATTTTGTCCCATAATTCTTTACTTTCCTGTAAGTTGTCATATGATTTCAAACAATTTATTACAAAGATTTTTGTCTAGCCTTACTTGTTTTGGTTTGCATTACCTAAACATTAACTCCCAGAATATTTTTTCACAGTCTTGAACATGGCTTTCGTGTTAACAGATAACTTTCATTATAAATGTACAACTTTCTCTACTCTTCCTCTCCCTCATGTCAGGAAAAACAGTGGTTTCCTGACATATGAAATTTCAATCCACTTTCCTGTTGCGGGTTCTACCATTTCCCCCCCAAGAGATATGTTGAAATCTTTACCCTTAGTACCTGTGAACATGACTTTTTTTGGAAATAGGGTTTATCAGATGCAGTCAATTTAAGATAAAATCATTCAGGTGGGCTCCCATTCAGTATAATTAGTGTTCTTATTAAGAGAAAAAAAGACACAGACACAGGGATACGCAAGGAGAATGCCATTTGACAATGAAAGCAGTTTGGATTGATACGTCTACAAGCCAGTGAATGCTAAGGAACCCCAAGGACTGCCAGGAACACCAGAAGCTAAGAGAAAGGCATGCAACTGATTTTCTCTAGAGCCTTCAGTGAGAGCATGGTCCCGCTGACCCTTGATTTCAGACTTCTGGCTTCTAAAACAGTGACAAAATAAATTTCTGTTTTGAGCCACCCAGTTTGTTGAACTTTGTTCAACTTAAGACTTAAGAAATTAGTACACTCCAGTTCTTGCCCCAAATAATCTCTCAAAATCCTAGGTTGATCAATTGAATATGGCTTCTCTCTTTCCACCCATTCTATCCTCATATCCCTTTCATAGACATGAATAGATTCCCTGTCAGCAGCTGGTAAGATTTGTGGTGATTTTTTCTGTTACCTTGCTTTTCTTGTCTATCTTCCATGTGAACACTCTTCACTCATTTTTTAAAAATAAATGTACATTTTTTATTTTGTATATACCAGGGATTGTTTATCTTTTTGCTATGGTACTAAGTTCCCTTGTGTTCCCCTAGAGAGACTTCTCAGGGCAAAAGAAGCATCTGATAAACTTACATTTATCTGTCAGGAATAGATTTCCTCTCTGATGTATTTGCATGCCCCAAAAGTGGTGAAAGGTAGAATTTGAAGCACAGTGGATAGATAAGGTGTATTTGGGTATGTTTACATTTTTAGTGTTTTGAAAATTTGATTGCTGACCCACAGTAGGAAATGCATTTTATGTCATAACTGAATTCACATATGAATACATATATGTGCAAATATAACTGAAAATATATTTTGATGCAATAATGCTTACATTATAAGGTACAAATCTACTTTCTATAATTTTTCAGTTAACAAAATGCAATTTGAGAGCAATTACATTGAGTTCACAGAAATAAATTAGAATTAAGAATTTGAAAATCACTTGTTGTTTTCTCTATGTACTTTGTGATGACCATTATGTGAGATCCCATGTTAGTGAATCCTCCATGTTAGTGAAGCCCCCGGTTAGTGAAACACTATGGTAGCTAAGCAATAGAAAGATCAGAGTACGGGTGTGATAGCTCATGCCTGTAATCTCAGCACTTTGGGGGCAGATTGCTTGAGCCCATGAATTCAAGATCAGTCTGGACAACATGGCGAAACCTCGTCTCTATAAAAAAAAAAAATACAAAAAATTAGGGTAGGAGCATCAGCTGACCCCAGGAAGTCAAGGCTTCAGTGCGCAGTGATCACACCACTGCACTCTAGCCTGGGTGACAGAGGGAGACCCTATCTCAAAAACAAAATACAAAAAAACAGGAAGAGTACGTCACTCTCTCATTTGATTTTCTGATTCTCTTCAGGTAAATCTTTGATATTTATAGTATCTATTTCCTTCTGATTTCTGAATACACGGGAAAAAGGTATATTTGCAAGGGTTTTAGAAGAGATTTCTGCCTGAAGGCAGGGTGGTACCTCAGTCACTCTAAAGATGATATTCTAGCAGAGTAAACTATGACTTCAACATCTGCTTTATTTGAAACCCAATCGTTTTGTTTCCTGTCTCTTTGTTGAGTCAGAATTAAATTCCATGAAGGGACACAAAGACCTACCTAACCAGGTACCTAACCTACCTAACCAGGTAGGTCTTTGGTGCTGTATTTTTCCTTTGTGTTTGATAAAGCCATTCACAAACTTATTTCTGATTTAAACCATTGAATCTGATAGATGGGCAAATTCTAATTCAATTATAAGCTACATTCTCATAGAACTGTTAGAGATCAAGCGTGAAACCCAACAACAGCATGCTCTGCTAAAGAGGGCAACGTGCTTGCTGCACTATTGCTTGTTGCTTTTCTGAATGGCTAATATCACAGGTTCATTTTCACATTGGTTCTTCTCTCCACAATTTGGGGCATGACAGGGAGCAATTAGATAAATTGTTTTTGAAAAGAGTTAATGGCAGGTGCCATGCTTGTTTATTGCTTTCTGCAGCCTTCAGGAGTTGATGCTTTTTGCCTTTAAGTATTTTCACATATAGTTTTCTATTTGCCTTGAATTACTGAAATATACTAAGCATATTTCTCCAAGGACCTGGAGCCATGGCGTAATAAGCTCCTGCTAATAGCTCGAAACTGTACAGCAATCTGGTTTTAAAATACAACACAAATCTTTATCTAAAAGCAGTAACACCTCACTCTTGTGTTCGCAAAGTATGTTTTCACATTTCCTCTTGCGATGCATAGGAAGGGGGGAAAGCTACAAGAGAAATGATGCATTCTGGGCAAGGAGCCAATTTAAAAAGTCTGTTCTTTCCAGTTTGCTGTCACTTGTCGTAGTTAAACAAAACATGGAGAAGAAAAAGAGAAATTGGCTTCAGTGTAAATGTCAACATTCTGATTAAAGCAAACACAAAGCATTCAGAACTCTTGACAAAAAAAAATTAAATTGAATTATGAAGGGTATGCAAATAGAGGCCTTCCTCTGTATCATTACCAGGACTTATGCATTTTGTATTTTCTGTCTATGCTGGAGAAATCTGTGCTGCAGGACAAGGTGTTGAGTAACAGGGAAAGGAAGGTGAACAACACACTTCCCGGATCATGAAAGCTGGAACCTACCAAAATACTGGTTCAGAAATAAGCCTAACACTTTGCAAACACTGGGGAAGGTTAGAAAGCTGACCGTAAGGCCTGCTGCTTTTAGTCTATTGTCTTTCCAGCTAAACAGGGTCCTCCCTGAGGACACAAACCCCAAAAGTATTTATTTAAAAATTTCAAAAGCTGTCATTTGTCAAGCGGGAGGGCATTAAGGAAACTCATATTAAAATGCAGATATGTAAACGATAGTGTCAGTTCCTTCCTATCTCCTTTAACACAGACCTTAGAAATTGAATTGTTTGAAATTCAGTTTGAAAGGGCTCTCAGCATGCATCCATGATGTGAAATTTTAAAGGTTGCATAATACATTCCATTTCTGTAATTAAAATTAATGGGAAATGAAAAATAAGTGGTGTGCATTGGTCCCCTTTCCTGAGGGGAGAATATATTTGCTGTCTTGGATGAACATATATGGTCCTGTGTTACGAAGCTGTAGTGTGTGTGCGTGTTTGTCTCTGTATATAAATAAGGTTTTATGCTAACTGTGAGAAAAATTTTATTGCCTTTCATTCTTCGTTCTCCACGATCCCCAGCACCACTGTGTTCCTGAACTATACCTTTGCCTGCAATTTTACAATTGCATTCTGACTTATCACTGTTCCTGTCTCTCCCCTCTCTGGTTATTCTGAAATTGCTTCCAAAGTTATGGTGTGTTCTAAGCATGCTATTTCCAACTCAAAAATCTGAAATGGCTACCCAGTGCCTATCAGAAAAGCCCACACCCTAGCCTGTCACTCAAGACTTTCTCAAGTGGCCTCAAACTCACTTTGTATTCATTCCATAAATATTTCCTGGGTAGTTACTCAATGTCAGTCATTTTACTTCTTCTTCACCTTCTTGCCCATAAAATTCCTACTTTTGCCTCATTTATTTCTCTCCTAACATGCTCTGTGCTTTTCCATTTCTGCAACCTTATTCTAGCTCTGCCCTTTCCTTGAAAGGACCTCTCAACATCTCTACCTGTCAGACCACATATTTCTCAAGGCTGTATTTAAAAGGTGCCCCTTTCTTGAAATCTTCCCTTATTACCATGCTTATGAATGGCCTTTTTCTCCCTATTACTTTTATAGCATTCTATTTGTATCCCTTGGAACCCATTAATACTGCTTTGTATTAGTTATATATGTATATGCTGCATCTGACCTAAAATCTTTAAAGGTTTGTTTTATACATCTTCATGCCCTACACAAAACTAGCACATTAGGAGGACTGAGATACCAATCCAGGTAACATATATCACCTACCAATATTCCACTTCCCTTATCCATAAATAAAGACGATTATATATCTCTCTTGGGGCATCATGAAAAGTAAAGAAGATAATGTTTGTAAAACAGTGTATAGTTTGAAGTATTAACTATAATTTGTATTCCAATTTTTATTGATAAAATATCCAGATAAATAAGTGAATGTATGCGTAAGTAGACATGAAAGCAGGAGCTCCAAGTATTTGCCAGACACTTTTCATAGACTATAATAGAATTCTCACTATCACCTTCTAAGACAGGTATTAGAATCTTGACTGTGTAGACAAGGCTCAACAGGCTATATACAAGTAACCAGTCTGACTCCAAAGCCTCTGCTTTTTCTCAAACACTCAGGAATTTATTCTTTGGGCTGTCCCAAATACTAAGGGAACTTTGTCAAACTGGACACAGGGACAACATTCCCAGGCTCACTATGGGCCCTTCCCCCACCCTTTGTGTTAAAATAAGTTAACTGCACCTTAGGGGACCATGCATGTTTAGTTTAAACCCAATCCACTGCCCCCTCTCATTCTGCCATTGCTTTTTCAGACTCAGTGCTGTCTAGCCTGTCCCTAGATTGTGTTCTATTATCATACATTAATTAATTTTTTTAACAGTCCTCTAGGCTGCCTGTTACAAATGCAGAGTCCTGGCACCATTATAACAAATGTCCCAGGTGATGTGAATGAAACCTATCCACAGGCTACACTTTGCAAAATAACGCTATTTTTCAGTCAGTTTCAAATGTTTTTAGAGTATACTCTACCCCAATCATATGGGAACCACAGAAGTTTCCACATTGTGTGGAATGAGGCTCCTAATATTCTGCAGTATAGAGAGACTAGAGATTGTCAAATATTACTCTCCATTTTCAGAAAAATGAGACCAGGAGAGAATTTAATTGGATTTAACATAACAAATGAAGGCCAAAAATAATTCTTAAGGTGGTTTTTAAAAGAATTCTCATTCATTCCTTCACTGATTCAATACTGTTTCATTGAGCCTCGACATTACAGTGCCATTCACTAGAGAGAGATGACATAAATAGCCACTTCTCTCTGGAAGTTTACAATCCAGATACAGGAACTACATTATCGTATAAAACAAACTATTAAGCCTAAACAGGAATTCCAAGGAGATTATCACAGATGTATTTTGAATAGGAGAATCACACACACACACACACACACACACACACACACACACAGAGAGAGAGAGAGAGAGAGAGAGAGAGAGACCCTAAGCTTTTTATATGCAACATGGGACTTGGTGTGAAGCAAAGCAGGTGTTTTCGGAGAAGGTGAGGGTTTGTCCTCATCACACCACACCATCTTCCCGAGGGGAACTGCACAATTAGTGAAGGCTTTTCCTGATCTGTGTGTTCAGATTTGGGAATGATGACTTTTCATTGTTGTTGTTGTTTTCACGTGGAGAAAAATACATGTTCCTTGCTTCAGAGTAAACATTCTGGAAGCCTTTGCGATTGTTCAGATTTCTTTAGAGGCCTTGATGCCACTTACCATTGCTTTTTAGGCTGCAGGGAACATAATGAAACTGAAGTCTCTTGTGGAGCTTTTATTCCTCTTCTTTCAGACTTAACAGAAAGCAGTAGGGGACACTTGGGCCACCGATGTCAGTGTCGTTTCAGGGTCTGCTTTGGTGTTATTCTTAAGAAAAATGGCATTGGATTAATATTTCTTTTTTTTTTGTAAACAGATGTTTTGCTCAGACGAGTCTGACATTTTCCATTTATCTCCTCCTCTCCCCTCTCCTCCCCTACTCTCCTTGTCTGCCTTTTCTTCCTCTGGGCAGAACAAAGGCCTGAGATTGAATGGAGTCTTCTCCTGATAATGCTTTTGGCAATGGCTTTAGAACTTTGTTTGATCATGGCCCACAGTATGAAATATACTTTACATTGTTTACATTCTAGGTGTCAATGTAAACACAGGGAAACACATACACACACTCATTTTTGTACCCCTATCGGACAGTTAATGTGTGTGTGTGTATATGTATATATATATATAAAATTTTCTTTAGACATCTCCCACTTCCAAATATAACTTTGAAACTATCTTATGTTATTTGGTCTTTAGCAGTTGGACCTAATTTTTATGTGGAACCACACTGTACATATAATTTATTAAAGAATTCACTTTTCTTGACTTTTTTTAACTCTTTGTTCTCAGCCCAAAACACAGCATTTTTACCTCTAATTTCTCAAAATCCTAAGCAGCCAGCACCAAGACAAACAAAAACAACAACAAAACCAAACAAATCTTGGCCTTATTAGATCCCTATTAGCCTGTTTCTTGTCCCTAAAAACAGGCAAACTAAAACTTTATTTTGTGGTATACAAGTAGAGGTTGTTAGTGGCTTCCAACAATAAGTTGTGAGAAAGATTCCAAGGCTGTCCTCAGGCTCCAGTGAAGAGAATATGGGAGTTGACAGATCTGCTAAGGAAGTAACTTTTGGACTTTCCAGAAGGAATGGCATCTGATATGGTTTGGCTGTGTCCCCACACGAATCTCATCTTGAATTCTCACATGTTGTGGAAGGGACCCAGTGGGAGGTAATTGAATCATGGGGGCAAGTCTTTCCTATGCTGTTCTCCTGATAGTGAATAAGTGTCATGAGATCTGATGGTTTTATAAAGAGGAGTTCCCCTGCACAAATTCCCTCTTTGCCTGCTTCCGTCCATGTAAGAAGTGACTTGCTCCTCCTTGCCTTCCACCATAATTGTAAGGCTTCCCCAGTCACGTGGAACTGTAAGTCTGTTAAATCTTTTTTTTTTTTTGTAAATTGCACAGACTTGGGTATGTCTTTATCAGCAGTGTGAAAACAGACTAATACAGCATCCTTTGTGGTGCAGCTTTGAAGCCCTCTGGAAGCTCAGCATTGGACTCACATTATGAGCCATCAGGACTGTATTATGACTTTAAGGACTCAAAACACTCTTCCTGCCTAAGTATCTTCCCTCAATTAAAAAATTATTTTAGTTTTTTTCATAAGTGTTGGTATAAAGATAGATATAACTCAGGCTGATATATAATTGAATATTATTAGTATTATTATATTTGATTTTTCCTTTTGATTTTAAAATAAACATTGACACATTTTTAGGAACTCTGAATGTATGGCAGTGCCTAGCCACTGTTCCTGTTGTCTGGATGGATGGTTGGCCTAGAGCCTCTTATAGTGTAAACTGTACTTTGTGATTCAAAGATGAAGAAATGACCCATTTATCCTATGAGTAGAAACCATGTTCTAACTAATTTCTAGAATAATGAAGATGAGCTTGTGTGGGTACATCCACTTCTTTTAGTTAATAGTAAAAATTTGTAGTAGGTTATTTTTAGCGGCTGTGGTAGCATAACTGTCTGGGACTTGGGTTGCAGATGCCTGTGCCTAGGGTCAGGGCTAAGCCTTTGAAACCTTACAAAATTACTGGAGAAGTGTGTTAGTCAGAGTTCTCTAAAGGGACGGGACTAAGAGGTTAGATATTTGAAACAGCGTTTATTAAGGAGTATTGACTCACACAATCACAAGGCAAAGTCCCACAATAGGCTGTCTGCAAGCTGAGGAGCAAGGAAGCCAATCCGAGTCCCAAATCCATAGGGAAGCCAACAGTATAGCCTTCAGTCTGTGGCCAAAGGCCCAAGAGCCCCTGGCAAACCACTGGTGTGAGTCCAAGAGTCCAAAAGCTGAAAAACTTGGAGTCCAATATTTCAGGGCAGAAAGCATCCAGCACTGGAGAAAGATGGAGGCCAGAAGACTGAGCAAGTCTGGTCGTTCCCCATTCCTCTATCTGATTTTATTCTAGCTGCAATGGCAGCTGATTAGATGGTCCCCACCCAGATTGAAGGTAGGTCTACCTCTCCCAGTCCGCTGACTCAAATATTCATCTCCTTTGGTAACGCCTTCACGGAAACACCTAGGAACAATACTTTGCATCCTTCAATCCAATCAAATTGACACTCAATATAAATCATTGTGAGGAGGAAAGAGGTGGTTTGGAGAAGGGTTTTATAAAGTTTGACAAAGATAATGTGTTTTGTTTTAAAATTTTTGTCCAGAATCACTTTTCTGAAGAAAAAAGAAAATACATACATACATACATATATATTCTACAAGTAATGTTTTTAACAACAGTATAAAGTAAATAAAAAGACATTGATAATTCCAACAATTTCACAGAGGTCTAGCTGTTTGTATGTTAACTATAATCTTTAAGAAACTTACCCATATATGAATATATAAATGTAGAAAAATTCTAACAAAAAACAATGGCCTGTTATTTATACAAGTTATTCTGCTACTTGCAATTTTATTGAAGAATATATCATAGAAAATTTTCATATCACTAATTCTTTAGTTAAGATAACCATTCTTAATTCATGGTAAGACAACCATTTGTTGAATGAACTCTTTGCCTATACACATTCAGCTTTTCCTTAACTGTTAACTGTTTGCTAATGCAACCAGCTCTGTCCTAAACTTTTGTAGCCTGTGAGCACAGCTTTTGCATGTCTGCGTTTCCTAAGAACAAATTCATAGAAGGCAAGTTCTGAATTAAATTGTTATATACTTCAGATAAGTGACTCTTTATATCTTTAATGAACTATCTATTCTAGTCTAGATCTCATTTTTATTACTTTTTCTTGATTAGAAAACATATTTATATACAAAGTTAATCCTATGATTGTACATACTGAAAATACTTGTGCTAGTTTCTTTTTGAAGTTTTTTTTTTTTTTTTTTTACAATTGTTTTAATTTGTATTTGTAAAAACCTATCCATATTTACTGATTTGCTTCTTTGGTGATAGTAACATATAAAAAGCACTTTCACATCTTAATATTCAATTATTTTAAAGTTTAAAAATTGTTTGTGATTCATTTTGGTATAATAAAGTATGATCCTAACATTTTACTTTTTT
Source organism: Homo sapiens (assembly GCF_000001405.40). Classification (NCBI taxonomy): domain Eukaryota; kingdom Metazoa; phylum Chordata; class Mammalia; order Primates; family Hominidae; genus Homo; species Homo sapiens. The sequence continues at coordinate 38,514,435 of NC_000018.10, read as the reverse complement.
TATCTGTTTATTAAAAATTATATTCCTATTTTTGCTTCTGTTACTTACTAAATTCTGCTATGAAATGTGGCTGGTTTCAGACTTTCTTATTTTTCATTTATCTATTTGTCTATATCTGTACCAACATCATACTTTTTTAATCTCTGAAGCTATAAAACACATTTTGTCATCTAATAAGACAACCTCTGATTAGGCCTTTGTTATTTCCAAAAAGTGGTTACTCTATAATTATTTTTTGAAAGAAATATAGTTTACTTAAAATTAAATATTTGGAATATCTATCAAAATTGTACTGAAGTTGAAGCTTAATTCAAAATATTTTTACAGTATTGTATCTTTCCTTCCAGAATCATAGAGCTTTATTATTTTTGTTTATTTACATAAACAATAGACATGTAGACCTGTAAATACATTTATCAAAGTTTTGTAAAGATCTGTAAAAATACACATCTGCAAATACATGTATGTACAAGTTTTATAGACTTCTTTGACTAATACATTGCTTTGACTAACACATTTTCTTATTTCATAATGTTTTAAATTATGATTGCTATAGCAAATAGAATTTTTCTTTTTGTGGTTTTTGCTAATCTATGGAACGCTTTAGAGTTCTATACTAACTTTGTAACTGTAAATATTACTGAATTTCATTGTAAACTCTAAATAATATTTTTCAATTCACTAAGTTTTTGGAGTAGACGGTGTTATAATTTGTAAGTAATGATATTTTGTCACTTTCTTTGTAATATTTATATCTGTTTTTATTACCCTGTTTCATCAGTTAGAACTTTAGAAACTTCTTGAATAGTAGCAGTGATGGCGGGTAACTGTTTTGTTCCAGAATTTATTGAGAATGCCTCTAGAGTGGTGTAATCAAACAAGGTGTACACAGTTAGTTCAGAAAAGACTTATCTTTTATTCATAATTTATTCTGAAATTCTTTTCACTTTAATCTGTTGGTTTTAATAAGAGAAATGGATTTCAACTTGATGAAATGCATTCACATCTATTAAGTCGTACTATTTCTCTCCTTTGACCTACGGATGGGATAAATTATATTTATTATTTTTCTAATGGTAAGTCCATCTTGTCCACCTGGAGAAAACTTCCCTTGGCCATTATTGTATTAGTCCATTTTCACACTACTGATAAGACATACCCAAGACTGGGCAATTTACAAAAGACGGAGGTTTAATTGGACTTACAGTTCCATGTGGCTGGGGAAGCCTCACAATCATGGTGGAAGGCAAGGAGGAGCAAGTCCCATCTTACATGGATGACAGCAGGCAAAGAGAGAATGAGGAAGATGCAAAAGCAAAAAGCCCTGATAAAACCATCAACTCTTGTGAGACTTATTCACTACCATGAGAACAGTATGGGGAAAACCACTCCCATAATTCAATTATCTTTTATTCCACTGGGTCCCTCCCCACAACACATGGGAATTATGGAGATAGAATTCAAGATGAGATTTGGGTGAGGTCTCAGAGCCAAACCATATCAATGATGTATCAATTTTTTGATATGGTATAAGATTTTATTTGCTAGTATTTTGCTTAGTGTTTTTGCCTCTGTTTATAGATGTGATTACCTTGTAATGTATGTGTGCATGCATGTGTGTATAAACACATGTGTGTTGTTTATCAAGTTTGGTATCAGCTTTTTATGCCAGCTATAAAAATTGAGCCAAAAAGCTTTGTATTTTTCTGTGATATGGAACAATGTAGACTGCAGAGAAATGTGGCTGTCCTCTGAAGATCTGATAGAGCAACCCATAATACTCACACTGCTTTGTATTTCCAGTCAGTTTCTCCAGCATTAATAAAAACTACTTTCTCTCTATTATCCTTTAAGCTTTTATCAAGCCCCTACCATGCTGAAGCCTGCAGAGAGACACAGAAATGGTCACAGTTTGTCCACATAAAGATGGTCCCACAATACAAAGCAATGCATTCCAAGTCCAAGTGGGTGGAGCACACAAGGCATTTCGTTGGAATTCAAAAGAATGAGCAAATAGTCTTGGCCTCCTTGGCTTGGAAAGTTGATTGTTGCTGCTGTTGTGTGTTTTCTTTCATTTAATTTTGTTTTTCTCTGAATGAGGAGGGATTTGAATTGAATCTCAGGATAGCCTCAGTTGAAGTGCTGAGAGCACTTTAGTTTGTAAATATGTACTACTATTTGGGATATCGACATGTGTACTGGGGGCACTAAAGGGCATTCTGGCAGGAACAGAGAAGGCACATTAGGGATGTAATGTTAGAAAGAAAGATTGGTGTCAGATGCCTGGGGAACCTGTAATACAGTGCAACTCTTCCATCTCCAACAACTTAAATATTTCTGTCCATAGTTGCTCTAATGAAAAACTCCAGCTCACTGACATCTGATGTCAAAGGTTCAAACAGATAACCTGCAAACTCCCTTCCAATTTTTTTGACCCTATGAACTTCTGAGTTTCTGTAGCTCTATTGTGTCCCCTGGCCTCTGGAGTTGGGCACAATTTGACCTAGGACTTGGAAAATGAAGTGATTTTTAGTTTGTTCTGTCTAGTCCACTTCTCTCCTCAGTTATGAATTTCCAACTCTTTGTTAGCCAACAACAACAACAATAGTGGTTTGTATAAGTCACATAAGAGAAAGGCACATCTATATCTTATTACTCTATTTACAAAGGGAATTATAGAAGATGTCTGCTTGCTAGGAAAAAATCACCTAAGTCAAGACAGTGAATGTGCCATTAAGTCATTTTTTCATCCCTTGGAACCTGGCAGGGAATTGTTCCCCATGGTGCATTTTCCTGCTTCTCTTGCAGCCAGGTTTTAAACATCTTAAGCTATAGCAGTCCCCTCCCCTCCTCTGAGCGGTGACTATACTGCCTCATAGATCTCTTTGGTTGGAATTCTTTCTAACATACCTCTAGGTCCCTTGTGATGGATTTTTTTTTTTCTGCCCCTGGGAGGGCCTGTAGTTTTCTCATGTGCTAAAGGAAAGAAATCAGGAATTGGATTTGTGCAAACATCAGAAACGGAGTGAGTTGCTATTCTTTGTTTACTTTCTTAACACTAATTTGATGACATTAAATCTTACGGGATGCACCTCTGACATTATTACAGCAATTTCTGTGTCAATTAGTTGGGAATTTTGGTTACATTCCATGAGAGCAGGAAACTTGTACATTTTGTTCAACCCTAAAAACCCAGAGTCTAAAAAAATGCCTGTCAAACAGTAAGTGCCTAATAAGTGCATGTTAAATGTCTGGATGAATGAATGGATGGCCACTGATCAGGCACAATATTATGCCTAGTGGAATGCTAATGAAGGAAACATATGACTGCTGCCCACAGAAAACTATGTCTAACTGGGGAGGGAAGATTGCTGTTAGAAACTAAGCAATCTCTGTGTGATCAGGGCTTAAAAGCTCTATTGCAGACTCAGGCTGTGGATATAAAGTGTGATGTTAATGGAGGTGAGTACTAAGTTGCTCCTAGGTTGATGAACAGGTTTTCAATTGCCAGAGGAGGAGGGGAAATCCACAGAAAAGATCACTTATCTTCCTGCTTGTCTCCATAACTACTTCTATAAACAAATCATCATCATCTGCAGGTTCACCTCCCTTAGTTAATCCATAATTCCTGGGGATCTCTGTTTACTACCACAAGAACAGTATGGGGAAACCACCCACATGATTCAATCATCTCCAATTGCCACCCCCACCTTGACACCTGGGGATTATTACAATTCAAAGTAAGATTTGGGTGGGGACACAGCAAAACCATATCAGGATCCTCCTCTGTCTCAGTCACAGTGGCTTGTTTCCATGGATTAACCAGCTGGATTTCTGGCTATGATTTCATTTGAATAAAGACTAACACATTCTCAATCCTCAGGTTCTAAACAGAGATCCTCAGGAATTGTGTCTGTTCTCATGCTGCTAATAAAGACATACCCAATTACCTTGAGGTTTCTAGGTGGGTGGGATGGTGACACAAATTGTGGGAGGCTAAGAGGAAGAAGTATATGAACTAAAGATTGGCTTGTTATACAGATTAAAAAGTCAGCAGCCCTCGGTAGAATAGATGATAGTATGGGCATGGTGTCAGTTGATCTTTGCTATTAAGATTCCTGGGGAGAAGTTTCATAAAAGTTGGGTTCCTTTTGGAGGATCCATTGTTAGGCAGACAAGGGAAGTTGCTGCTCCCTACAAACCCTCAGTTTAAAGTAAGCAGCATACCAAAATGGCATATTTGGGGGTGGTGTTTCTTGAACTCCTTCAGAAGTGATTGCTCACATGGCAGGAATGATTTGGGGTACCATCCATTGTCCTAATCTATCTCCTGCCTCAGTTTTTCCTAAAGCTGAGAACTCTCATATTAGATATCAGTTTCCAAAGAACCTTATTATTTAGAAAATATTGCCAGGAGAAGTTAGGCAATACATTTTTGTTACTCATTAACACTTTTGCCTGAATTAGTTCATCAACTTAGCTGTCCAGTTACTTAGCTAGACTTTAAAGAAATGGAATATAAAAAATGCAAATAATTCTGATTGCTTTTGTTATGAAGTGACTTGTGTTACTGAAAGCACCTTTGCAAAAATTATGACAGTGAAAATATCTGGCATAGGAAAATTATGACAGTGGAAAAAATCCTACCCAACTGATTCCATCATGCTTCTAACCTCCAAGCTGTCCTTGTTCATTCTTGGAGTAAGCCAAGCTAACTTGCAGAGGAATTTATAGTTTAACTTTGAAACAAAGATGATAGCCCCTCCCAAAAACAAACCCTCTTCTTGCTTGGAAACCTAAAGCACCTTTGTAAAACTAACCAATTAGCCATGACTTTCAAAATTATGGCCCAGGAATTATGTACCCAGAGGCCAAAAGATTCCTAACCTCCTCAATTGCTCCTGTAGGTAACATTACTATTGTAAAACCTAACATTGGTGTTTGAGATATTTTTCAGACCCTGCATTCTAATGGCCCAGCTAGACCAGTAAACTGGTTTAACTAGTTTTGTGATCCCACCCAGGAAATGAAAACAGCAAGAAGAGAGCTTCAACAACCTGTGCTTTCACCCTTGACTCAACCAATCAGCATTCCCCATTCCCTAGTCCCCTGTCTACCAAATAATCCTTAAAAAAAAAAAAAGTCTCTCAATCTTGGCTGATATGAGTAGTAATAACAACCCCCATCCCCCATCCTCCTGCTTGGTCAGCCCTGCAATTAGTAAATTCTTTATTGCAAAAACCTGCTATTTTCAGTGCATTGGCTTTTCCGTGTAGTAGGCTAGATAAACCTGTCAGGCAATTATGTTCTCTAAAAACTCATATATATTGAAGCTGTAACCCCCAATGTGACTGTATTTGGAAACAGTTCCTTTAAAGAGGTAATTAAGATTAAATGAGGTCATATGAATGGGTCCCTAATCCTACAGGACTTGATGCCCTTAAAAGAGATGTCAGCAGTGTGCAAACACAGGGGAAAAGCTGCATGAAGACACAGTGAGAAGGTGTATGATGATGATGGGACAACTAAGCAAAGAGTGGTAGAAACTACCTAAGAAATTAGGGAGGAGCCATTTCATGACTAGCCATGTATGAGCAAGGCAGAGTTCACAAGAATGTTAAAAAAATAAATTAAAAAAATATTTTTTATGTGTGAGTCTATTGAGAAAAGTAATATGGGGAAGTTAACTTTTCATATAGAGTGGTTAAGGTCAACATTTATCTGGTCTAACAGAGCAAGTCTTTCCACTGAGAAGTAAAATAAAAGACCCCAAGAAGTAACAATCTAGGGGCCAAAGTGACTGAAAGAAAACGTGCAATGAAAATCACTTTTCAAAGGCTCTGAGGAGTTCTTCAGAAAAGAAATTCATTCATCTTTAACCAGCATTTTGCAAACTTATTTAAACTTGGAACATTGTTATTTTTCAGCAAAGCAATCTACACAGCTGGGTTTAGGGAATTCGACCTGCCAAGGCTCCCCTGATATTTACTTTAACCAGATCCTATGTGTCTGTGAGTATGAGGAATAGGATCCACGCTAGGACCAGAGAAGATCTCTGAATACCTTGGACATTTCCTTCTTGAAAGGGTTGACAAGGAATAAGGAGTTGAGTTCTTACTCAAGCCCTACTCTTTCAAGCTGAGTGAGACCATCCTCATATGCTATTAGCTCTTATGCTGAAATTTGAAGGCAAAGAAAAAGGACAAAGAGGATTCAACATCAGAGAAAAGAGAGAAAGAAGAATGGAATATAAAGATGAAGAAATGCCTTAAAAACTAGATACCAACAACGAAACATAAAAAACAAAAACAAACAAAAAAAACTCTGCCAGATGTAGCCAGCTAAAGTCAAACTGAAGTTTCACTTGCTGGCATTTTATCTGTCATATCAAAACATTTTCAATACCATCTACCAATACAGCACTAAATTCTGGACTGCCATTAATGTCAACCCATTTATAATTTTGGCCTGCAGCACTACAAAAAGGCAGATGACAGCTTACTATTTCACACCTGCTGTTGAAATGGATAAAAATGACTGAAACCCATAAAAGCAGAATAAAGAGAAAGGGAAAAAATAAAGTCAACAATAAGGTTGGAGAGAATTCCCTGCCTGCCTTGAGTTTTGAATACTAGGATTCGACAGATGTATCCTTTACAAATCTAAAAGCAATGAGTACAGCATATCCCAGGTGGGGAAACTGACATGCCTGGGAATAATTTCCTATTTTTGGTTGGCATTATTTTACCCACCCATTGGATTTAAATGACTTATCTCTTTCCACATTCTATCTTTTTGACCTAAATAAGGATGATACATACTTTCTGTAACATTTCTTCATGAACTTTGTCATATATGGTATTGGGAAATTTTTGATGGATCTATGTTCTCTGAAAGTTTGGAACTATTTTTGTACTCTTTTAGAGGCTGTTTACTGTTTTTCCCTAAAAGTGTGCAGTACAACATGGGGACCGTTGACTATTTAACATTGATGTGACTTCTGATCTTGTTTTCTCTAATCACCTAACCATAAGTGAAATGCTAAATACAACCCTAAATAATTAGATGCTCTGGTTGTTAATCCTTAAGTTTGTTTGATCTGGCCAAGTGTAATTATAATAATGTATAAGGTACCTGTCCTAAATATAGATAACAGATCCCTGCTTTTATTATAATACTAAGATAATATTTACCTTTTTTGTTGTCTTGATATTTTCACAAGCAGTAGCAAAGCAATGGTGGGTAAAACTGCTTGTACTTAAAGCAAATAAACATTTTTGTATTTATATTATCTAATATCAGTTGAAATTTCAAATTATTCATTAATCTATTTGGCCAGTTCAAGAACAAAGTAGTTTTCAGTACAGTAAGACTATTAATATAGCACAAATCCAGATTAGATAGAATGATATTGTACGGAAATAACTCAGATTAAAACCAAAACCACAACCGTGAAAACAAGTCCCATGTACACACCATTCTAAAAGAAGTCAAGTGTCATGCATGTCATCATCCTTCAGCTTCTCTATAGAGAAGATGAGGAATTTAGAGAAAATTTTCTCAACTGTGTGATTTCAATCATGGGAGAGAGTGCTACAACATTTTATTTTCTCCCTCTTTTAGGAAGGTATGTTTCAATGTCCAACTCTGTAGAGATTGATGGTGCCTACCAAAAAAACTCCATCTCATTCCCCAGTTAAACATTTGCTGAGGCATAGTTCTAGCTGATCTGATTATTGGCTAGTTTGGGCAGGAAAAAAGGAATTGGAGAGAATCTGTAGGACAAAGAGAAAGCACCCACACACTCATATTAGTGACGTAACAAAGGTGTACATAGTGAATTTCCCTTGGACCAACTTAATATGGCAAGCTTAAGCAGGCTTAATATGACTCGTATATATCCCATCCAAAAGACATCTCTTGAACTGGAAGATGCCCCAATGGAAAAGGGTCTTCGTATATAGAAAGGGTCTTTGAAAATATAATGGAAAATGTGTATTCTGAAAAAAATGCATAGATTTTAATTTTGCTCCAAAATAAACTTGTACTAGTTTGAGTCACTAAGAAGGATAAGACATCACTTCGAAAAAAGCTCCTATCAGAAACATGAATTCTGCTAAAATGGAAGCAAGAACAAACATCAAATTCATGGGGAAACTTGGGTGAAAAAATGGTGAAATCACTGATACTTTATGAAAAGTTTGTGGGAATGATGCCCCAAAGAAATCAGCAGTTTCTATATGAATAATTCATTTTAAGAAAAGACAATGTTGAAAAATGAAGCCCACAGCCACAGAATGTGCACATCAATTTGCAATGAAAAAATTAATCTTATTAGTACCTTACTTGAAGAGAAACAATGATCAACAGCAGAAACAATACCCAACACCATAGACATCTCAGTTGGTTCAGCTTACGCAATCCTGACTGAAAAATTAAAGTTGAGCAAACTTTCCACCCAATGGGTGCCAAGACCATTGAACCCAGGTCAACTTCAGACAAGAGCAGAGCCCTCGCTGGAAATTTTAAATAAGTGAATCAAGCTTGAAACATTTATTCAAAGAATTGTAACAGGAGATGAAACATGGCTTGATCTTGAAGACACAACACAAAACAATGTCTATGAAGAGGTGGAAGTGGTCTAATCAAAGTAAAAGCAGACCATTCAAGAACAAAGGTCATGGCAATAGTTTTTTGGGATGTTCAAGGAATTTTGCTTATTGACTTCCTAGGAAGTGAAAGAATGATAACATCTGCTTAGCAGGAGAGTGTTCTGAAAAAGTTAGCCACAGCTTAGCAGAAAAATGCCTGGGAAAACTTCACCAGAGAGTTCTCCTCCACCATGACAATGCTCCTGTTCATTCCTCTCATCAAACAAGGGCAGTTTTGCAAGAATTTCAACGGGAATTTATTAGGCATCTACTTTATATTCCTGATTTGGCATCTTCTGACTTTTTCCCCCAGTATTAAAAATATCTTTAGAGGGCACCCATTTTTCTTCACTTAGTAATGTAAATACAACTTCATTGACATGGTTAAATTCTCAGGACTCTGTTCTTTGAGGATGAACTAAATGGTTGATATGATCACTTACAACTGTGTCTTAAACTTGATGGAACTTATATTGAGAAATAAAGTTTATACATTTATTTTTTAATTCTTATCTTTTAATTCCAGTTTTTCAAAAACTTTTTGAAGTCTCTTTGTATTACCCAGGATTAGAAGTGAGAGTGATGAGAAGCTAAGCCATAGAGGACATCCTCTACATCAGGAAATTTATCTCTTTTAGGACTTAACATGTGCCCCTCTGAACCGCAATTGAATGCCTACCACATAGAGGTTCTCTACAGGGTCATGATTATGTAAGGGATACTTGATCTTTTCCACCGATTTCCCAGGAATCCACCCACCAGAGGAGAAAGAAGAAACAAAAGGAGAGGGGAGGTAGAAGGGCAGATCCTATTCTCTAAAAATAAAAATACTCCCTAAAGGAGTGGATTGTGTTTTAACTACCAAAAAGAGACTTTGTTAACCCTTGGAGCTACTTCTGTATCATTAGGAGATAGAAAAATTTGACAGAGCATAGTTGAAGACAATGATCAGAAAAAAATAAATACCTATTTCAAATTTGTTGCCCCACCCTCTTTAGACTCCAATCTATCTTTAGTAAACTTAGTTTGACTCTTAACTATTAAAATAGACAATATATCTCAGAAGATGAGATCATTCACCTTTTTTTCTAATACATAAAAATGTCTTCTTGCATACAATGCTAGGTGAGAAATGTCTACAAAGCAGCATTTTGATATTGTCTTCCATATGACCAATAATAATGTCTTTTCTGAATCTCACTAATTCCAGTTGTACTAATGTTTTTGTTTTCATGTCAATGATGTTACAATGAATGTTTGTACCTGCAAATAACCAATACGCTATATTGGACTATGTGCTGTCAGAATTCTCTAATTAAAATGAATTGGTCTCTGAAACACTCATCCTTGGCACAGATAGGAAAATCTGTCAACAAAGCATACGATTTGTAGGATACAGGAAAATTTAAAAAAAGAATAATGTTATCATCATCCATCATTACCTAGGGAACATCTAGAGGCAGTGTACAATATTTGTCCACTGAGTGAACAGTAGGATGCCTTGACTTTCCTGAATCAGTTAACTATATTAGGTAACCTCTTTCTGAAAAATATATAGATTACCCTGCAAGCTTCTGGCAGATTGAAGCCTGGTATGTGAAAACCAAGAAATTAAGGGAATGGTAACAGTGAGCTTCAAAGCTATTCAGTGTAAACTTCATAATTCATTGGTGAATGAATTCAGGTACAGATAAGTGGAATGATTTGTCCAAGGTTTAGAGGATCATAATTTAGGACTTCTATTTGCAGTCTAGTCTTTTTCCACTAAGATTCCAGTTCATAAAAACATCTGTTTACCCAAGGCACATTTTCAAGTCTCAGTGTAAGGAACTTAGTTGAAAATGGGGACCAGGAAGATTTTCTTTCATTGTGAAAGAGAACAAGAACAGACAGTGACTAAATCATTAATCCTTCTCTCCTTCTGGGAAGAAACTAGAGGACTGTTGGGCATGACAGATAAAATTAGCAAGTGTCAAAGAATGGGCATCTAGGACACAGTTAAAATATCAGTCTACGAATCCTCCTAATTACATATAATGTCACTTGCTGGGAACAACTGAAAGTTTCTAAGAACCATGGTCTCCACTCAGGCTATGATCCACAGGTATGGGATAATCTCAATACGAAAGAACAAAGATGATCAGTTGGAATGGATGATTATTTCTTCTGGGAACTCTTAGGATCTGATAGCTCAAAACATGAAAACTATAGGCTCATATTTGTAATATCCTGCATAACTGGATAGTTTGTAGCAGACGCCAATGGGAAGGGGATCAGGAAGGGTTGGTGAGCAAAAAATTGTTAGGGAGTAGATTGGTTGTTATTGTCAGAAGAGATCTGATTGGCAAAATTTAAAAACTGGACTGTTGCTGAAAGAGGAAATTTAAGACTGAATTCTGAGTGAAACCTGGGATAGACCAGTTGATATTGGGGTAAAATAGAGAAGTGGATGCAGAATGAACCAATGAATAAAGGCAGCCATGTTGTTGGGTAACAGTGGGTTTATCAAATATTGACAAACATGAAATGATTGTAATCAGTCACTGTCAAAAGAGAAAAGGTCCCCTCCTCTCTTTTACAAATGATCCAATTAAAGGAAACATGTTGGCTATAAAAGTCAAAATCAACAATGCACTATACACTGACAACCCATCCAACATAAAAAATCAATAGTGCATTCTGCTACCATCCAGCACAAAGCGACAGTAGCAACTTCCCCACCTCTTTAGTCAAATATGACACTGTATCAATCGATCAAAACTCAGCACTTATTGAGCAAGGCTTCTGAAGAGTACAAACTGCATTATACTTCTATACTTCCCATTTTATTTTGATAAATTTTAATTTAAAGGCATAATACTTGAGAATTTTCTGTTGACACATAGAATGTTTCTTTGTATAATCACCATACGATTTGACATTGACTATATTTACAGCAAGATTATCAAAATACTGTAGGGCTAGAGTTGCAAATGTCATTGAATGAGGAACTGTAATTTTAGTTCTGTCTCCATACCATGGCTTTGTGCAAGTCCTCCATTCAGTATGACAAAGAAGACATATATGGCTCTAATTAGTCATCAGACTTGCACTAGAACTAAACATAATTTGAAAGGAGGGAACTGAGCAAGGACTGGAGATGGAACAAATTGTGAGTTTGACAGAAGCAAAACCAATTCACAGCTTCAAATTTGGTGAACTGTGCAGAAGGCAACAAAATGGAATCTGGCTCTGACTCCATGTGTCTTATAACCTTGAGTAAGTCATTTGTCTTCTCCAGATCTCAAAGTCTTTAAGGAATAGGCTCAATGAATGGCAGTAACCATGCAAGCACTAAGCTTTAGATTCAGTTGTCTAAGTATTTTTAAACTTTTTCCCCTCAAGTTCTACAGTCAAATTTTCTATCATGACACTGTATAATCAAACTAAAATTGATAAATATGTTTACCAGTATGTTCAATGATCTCTAATCTTTTCTGTTCTATTCATTTTTATTTTATTTTTTATTTATTTTATTTTATTTTATTTTATTTTTTTGAGACAGAGTGTCACTCTGTCGCCAAGCTGGAGCACAGTGGCGCGATCTAGGCTCACTGCAACTTCTGCCTCCCTGGTTCAAGTGATTTTCCTGCCTCAGCCTCCTGAGTAGCTGGGATTACAGGCACGTGTCACCATGCCCAGCTAATTTTTGTATTTTTAGTAAAGACAGCGTTTCACCATGTTGGCCAGGATGGTCTAGATCTCCTGACCTCATGATCCACCCAACTCGGCCTCCCAAAGTTCTGGGATTACAGGCATGAGTCACCGCACCCGGTCTCATTTTTATTTTTTAATAAATGCTGAACATGTCTGTTTATGCGTCAGAACCTACAGCTTGATGAACAGTTTCAGGGTTCTTGGCTTCTCTTCCTCCCATCCTTCCCTCTCATCCCTTGCATGTACCTTCCTCCTTTTTCACTTCCTTTAAGCATCTCTGCTTTCAATCCCAAAGGTTGATTTCCTGTATTTAGCTGGATTTGTATTTTTCTTCAAATCTATATTTCTCCATCCCGTAGGAGTAGTGCAATCCAAAGACCCTCATTAGCTGGTCAATAAATACTTATTCAGTTAACTCACTAATTCCTTATCCTCTTTGCGAATAGGAATCATGTGGGAAAAAGGCCATCTATTACGTAGATTTTTGAAAATGTTCGATAATATAAAATAACATGCTTTAAAAGTTCACAAATTAGAATATGTTCATAATATAATTAAGTAAAGTTAGAGATACTACATTTTATAGAGAGAATTAATTTACAATTATCTCTCAGTATACATGGGGATTGGATCTTCCCTGACGCCCAAATCTGTGCACACTCAAGTCCGGTGTTCAGCAGTGTGGAATCCAGACACACAGAAGGTCAGCCCTCTTTATATGCAGGTTTCCAGTCCTGAGAATCTATCTGACTATGGCTGAAAAAAAATCTGTGCATAAGTGGACCCAAACACCTCAGATCTGTGTTGTTCAAGAGTCAACTGTAAATGCAAGTAAAAAAAGACTGGAAGGGAATGTTCAAATATAATAACCGCCTTTTACCTCTTGGTAGGGAGTTCCCAGGTAGTGTTTTTTTTGTTTTTTTGTTTTGACAGAGTTTCGCTCTTGTCACCCCGGCTGGAGTGCAGTGGAGCGATCTTGGCTCACTGCAACCTCCACCCAGGCGGTTTTTAAACTTATTTTTTATACTTTATTCTGCTTTTCAAATTATGTTTCTTAAAATGTGCTACTCTGATAATTAGAGAATGGAATTATTGAAATCCTGAGAACAAAAGACAAAATATGCCAAAAAGTTTTGTAAAATGAGTTGGAGTGGTATGTCATTGTACATTGTGTTTTTTTATATACATGTTACTTTCTTAAAAACAATTGAGATTCTTGTCTTTTTTAAAGCCAGTTTCCTTTGTATTTCTTAAGGGATCCAGTACTAAGATTGTATTGTTGCCAGTATAGTATTTGTTTCCTATAACCTAACAATCTAAAATGAATCAAAGCCTGACTGCTACCTCTTTCTATGTATTTTTCATACATGTTAATATTTATAAGTTATGGATATAACTGTTATTTATAGAAGACTGACCATGTGTCAGGCGTTGCTTCTTCTGTATACATGTGATCTTATTACTCCCCACAACTATCCAAGAAGGAGTTGCTATCAGTGTTCCATGTTTAATGGACAAGGAAACTGGGTGTTGAAGATTAAGTAATCATTTCAATGGTGGAACCCTAACTTGAATCTGAGCAATCACAAAAAACTCTCACTTTAGAGGTTGCTACATTTAATCTTCATGAATCTATGATGTTAGTTAGTACAATCAGCTTCACAACTTTGTACATGAGAAAAGGAGGCAAAGACACAGCAAGAGAATAGGTTGTAGAGGGTGAAGTTGTAATGTAAATTTAGAAGTCCTCAGCCAGGCACCATGGCTCACACCTAGCACTTTGGGAGGCTGAGACGGGAGGATCACTTGAGACCAGGAGTTCAAGACAAGCCTGGGCAATATACTGGGATCCCATCTCTACAAAAATCTTAAAAGATTAGTCAGGCATGGTGGCATGTACCTGTAGTCCCAGCTACTGGGGAGGCTGAGGTGGGAGGATTGCTTGAGCCCAGGCGGTTAAGGCTGTACTGAGTTGTGATTGTGTCGCTCCACTCCAGCCTGGGCAATAGAGACCCTGTCTCAAAAATTAAAAAATAAAAAAGTTCTCTATTAAAAATCATGTTTATAAAAATTATAACCAGATTCTTTAATTATATTCTACAAAATTTGATTCCCATAGGAGCTTTGCGAATTTTGACCCTGAAATTTCCATGAAGTAAAAGCAGGTGTGGGTATACTAATGACTCTTTCTCTTGGCAGATATTTGAGAGACATATTTATATTTTAAAAATATAATGAAGAAATAAAATTATGCTTTCTCAGTATTTTTGAGTTTTGACTAATTTACGAATATTCAAAAAACATGATGTAATTCATTTGTTGAAACAATGAAAAGGTGAAATGCAACAGATTATTCCATCATCTCTTCACAAATCTGACCAACTCTCCTCCCTACCAGGAGGAGTTCCCTGGTTAGTGACAAAATATCTGCATTCCATTACTGTGTTTCCTTGTGGATTTCTTTTTTATTCCATTTGATACTTTTACAAGCAGTATTTTCCTGTTCAAAAGCCTTCAGAAACTCTATTCACAACAAGACATAGACAAAATGGTCTAACGAGCATACAGGGTTTTCTACAAGGGATCCCCAATTAGCTTTTTCAATCTGATTACTGTTTAGGTTACTCTGTATGTAATTCTATACTTCACAAAAAGATTGATAGAATTTTAGAGACAGAAAAGACCTTAAGGTTCATCTCATTAAACCAGGTCATTTTAAATAAACTACTGGTAGTAGGAGTATTTTAGATCATACAGAAGCTTAAAGGTTAACAGAAACTTGTCATTTAACTTCTAACGATGTACTGTAATTTTCTCAAAAAATGTTTGTTGAATTCCCTGCATTTTTTGCCTTGTGTTTTCGATACATTGTGTGACCTGGTAGAAACTGCATGCTTGATACAATGTTTGAATGTAAATGAGTAGAATGAGCCAATATAGGAAACATGTATAGATGTTGAGCAGTTTAATACCAATAAAACACAATGATATTTTTCTGAAGACTCCTATCATTAGAAGGACCTAGTATGGAGGGAATGAGGAAGAAAAGTACCTGAATCACAACTTCCACATAATATGCCCATCAGTAAACTTCTAATGTGATAACCCTTTTATGAGAAAGCCCATCACTAAAAATTTGCTCATCACTTTACTTTCTGGTTGGGGTCATCAAAGCAACCTGGGATCACAAATCATTAGAATTGGAAGAGATGTTAGAGATAAGCCATGTACCCCAGCCTCTTCATTTTGAATGAGGAAACTCCAAGTCCAACAGTTTAGGATCTGGTATATAAAGAGATCACCATTAAAATAATTAAGAAAATCAGCAATGTTTTAATATCATATCCCATAAAGCCTTCCAGTTCCCTTGAGTACTGTCTTTGGTCTGCCTCTCACAACTAGAAGGAGACTAATGGGTCAATCTGGATTCTCCCATTACACATCAACACATGTAGCAATAGATTTTTCTGGTTTTAACATGGGGGGCTTTGGATTATATTATTTAGGACAAAAACAAAATCTCTGCTTATTAAAACTATTGCTTCCAAATAAATTACTTAGAAAAGTAATATAAAAGATGAGACAGAGCCTACGTGTTCATTTTTCATTCTACTCTTATGTATCCATCCGCCAATTTGGAGCTCCCACATTTTCCAGTTATAGGATTTCGTTAGGAGTGGGGGTAGAGAGGAATTTAATGAGGCACTGAAGCTTAATTTTTAAAATCCTTGTTAGTGTTTAAACTTTAAAATCATTTCATAGTCAGAGCAGTCAACTTTAGAACCCATATACTTATTTCAGAGATGTGAGCCATTTCTAGAAAGTCTTTTTTAGAATTGTTTTCAAAACCCAAAGCACATTATTTCAACTATTCTCAATCATGGCAAAGATTTGTATTTTGAATGTGGTTTCTACTTTTCACAATAAAAATGATAATTGGAATCAAGCCTGGTTAATAAGTGTGGAATCATTTGGGCTGTGAACAGTATGTGGTTGAAAAGGAATAAGGGTGATTTCTTTATGTGCTCTAGAAAATATAGTCTTGAGGAATTTCAAAAAAGATTTAGGTTCTGACTGTAAGAACCGAATAGTTGTTCTCTCTTGATGGCATCAAGCTAAAAGGCTAACATTAGTTTGGATCCAAGAAATGTTTTGGCTTAGGGAAGACTACAAAGAAAGTCAAAGAAACCTTGGTTGAAATTCCATTTCCACCATTTCCAAGTTGTGGGACCTTAAAATATGAACTTAACCTATCTGAGACGATTTTTCTTCACTCTAAAATTGGCTCATTAAAGAGGAATTTGCTGTGTATAAAGTACTAGCTTAGTTTTGGTCATGATGTGCACTCAGAAGTGATAGATCTTTAATACCAGAGTACACTTAAAAATATGTATAGTTTCTAGTCACATTGTTACTAGGCTGTGCTCTCCACGAATAAATATATATCAAAATTCCTGAGCTAAAGGCCTGATCTTGGCAAAATTTTCAGTAGATACTGAAAGACACCTTCTTCTTGCCAGTAACCCTTTTCTTTTTTGTGTCACCTCCCCCACCGCACAGCTTTCTGTTGCATGTGCCTGCCTGATGATATTCATATGTTCTTTTTAGAATGAATCATCTCATTTTCCAGCCAAGAGACTGGCACAGAAAGCCTCCCCTGTTTTATCTAAGACCACACCCAAGTTAGCTACTGCATATAATATCAAGGTCTTCTGACATTAAATCAAGTGACCTTGCCACTCTACCAGCTGTTCCTTATCCTACAAAGATATTAAAAGGATCTACATTCACTAAGTGCCTTCTTGATTTATTTATCTAATACTACTTCATTTTCATACCCACAGCCCCCAAATTATTAAAATCCACTCTTTCCATGTGGAAATATTTAAGTTCAGAAAGGATAAACAACTGGTCCCAAGTTGTACAGCATGGAAGCAGCAAAACTTGGTTAATTTCAGATTTCCCTAAAAGAAAGCTCTAATTCCAAGCTTATTCACCATAGAAATGATAATGCATATATGGCCACCCTATAAGATGCTCTAGCGGACACTTGGCAGACCATGAATCATTTCAGTCAAAATATGGTGGGATAGAATCTATTCACATTTGTTCTCACTGCTGCCTTTTATGTCCCAGTTCCAGGTGTAGGGGGAACTGGTTCAATCATGTGTAACCAAGTCTTTTTCCCATAAAAATCCTTTCTCCTAATTATTCCTCAACTGGATCTCCAGTCATGACCTAGAAAATAGAGATAAAGAAGCCACTTAGTTTTGTGGTGACCCTGAATTTAATGAGCTCTACATTCATGCCATTGTATAAATGAGTAGTGTATATTCCTTTCCTTTTTCCTTTCCTGCCTAGTCATGTGTAATTTCACTCTTCTCATTTTCTGAATTACTTACCTGTATGCTCTTCAAGGACACTGAGGTTTTCTCTTTGTTTCTACTCATACACACTATTTAGTCACAACCTCATGGAACACTAGCTTATTCCCTTGGTCAAACTCACCACTAAGCAAGAAAGTCTGAGTCATTTAGGATAGTGCTCCACCAATGCTCAAAACTGGCTTTTAGTGTGAAGACTTGGACTCTCATTTTGATATGTGGAAGCCCACTGAGTTTGGTAAACAGGTGTATCATCCATTCACATTAAATATTTTCTGCAAGTCATGCTGTAAAGGCAGTAATACAAGCATCCTAACTCTCAACAATGACCATTTCCCCTCATTTACTGAGGAGGAGAGACATTATAACAAGATGTTAGTACTGTGCTTTCAGTGTCACACAGTAAAATATGGAAAAGATTTCCTTCATTTCAGTAAGCACTTTCCTCCAGGGTTGTCTCTCTCTTGATGTTCTCGTGAACCTGGAGTAGTCAAATTCTGAAGCTATCACCTCCATGGTCATTGTGCTTTGCCAACTGTACTTTAGTTCTAGTTCTTGCAGTGGTTCTTGGGTCCATCCTTTGTCTTCCTCTATACTAGAAGTTTCTAACATGGAGGAGCCAAGAAGAGAATGAGCTGAAAAAATCAGAATGGTCTGTTGTCACAGAATCTTAGAGAAGTAAACAGGGCTTACATTTACCCAACATCTGTGCTCAGTGTCTCATATTCTGAAATCCATTCTGGCATCAGATGGCCAGTGAAAGATTCAGGGGTTTGGGAATCTGGCCCAACATCTTTTTGTCTCAGCAGAGCTCACATTGTTTAAAATGTATTTGGGCCTCCTCAATAAATAATGCCTGACGGAGACATGTTCCATAACAGGCCCTCCATGACTGTCGTTTTGTTTGACCAACAGTTTTTAAAAGTCAGATCTATAAACCACCTAGCAAAGTACTTGTATCTCAAAACACTTTTTACATTCTGGCACTATGTTAAGTGCTCTCGATGCAATAGAAGCATACAAATAGTCCTGTCCACAAAGAACTTAAAATTAGCCCAAAGAAATGATAGTTTACTTTCCACTAGAAAAAAAATTCTTGACTTTAGCCATTAAATAAAAAGAGAATTCATTTCAGCTTCATTTTCTCTCAGACTATGTATTAATATCTTGATTTCCCTGATAGTATCCAGGCATAAAAGTTATATTTTCAATTTTTCATTTAGCTGAAAGATATTTCACATTGCCTGCTATACCATTAAGGACTAAGTAAATGCTCTTCAGCTTTCCTTTTTAAAAAAATAATAACCCATGCTTATTTGGATGATTTTCTCTATCGTGGCTTGAGAGAAAGCAGTATTGGGTCTGTGGCAATATTGTTAACCGTGCAAATGACATTCTAATTGCAAAGACCTCCTGGCTCAACTGGGATATCACTTCTAAAATCATATCTCAGTAATTTATTCTCTCAATTCCCTGAAGTGCTGGCTTGAGGTCAGCGCCATCCTGTGAGAGAAAGCATCTCTCTTGCTAAAGCTACAAACTGCTGCTTTTTTCCTTTCCTCTTCCTCCCATTCTACTAATCTTTTCTAAAAGAAACTTCACATCAGACGTGGTCAAATGCTGATGATTTCATCCATTCAAATTGTCCTTTCCTGCAGACAGTTAACTCAAAATTATAAGATGAGGTCCCACAAGGTCACAAAAATGGCCTCTTTGTTCAGCACCAACTACCCCAAACCTAGGCTATGAGACACCAGAACTGCTAGAGTAATAGTTGCCAAGAAATTGCAGAAGAGCAAATGATTGCACGTTAGCTTAATTCTTTTCTCTGAACCACCAACTTTTTATAACTCAGAGTGAGAGTTTAGAGTTGAAATCCTAAGTCCTACACCTTTAGTAGATAGAGAATCCATGGCCATTAATCGGCTGCCAGGGCAGCATGGTGGTTTTGGGGTCAAACCCGTTGAGTTGGAAGTGTCCACCTTACTGGCCTGTCACCTTAGATAACTTTAGGAAGTTCTTTAGTTTCTAAGCATCATCTTTTCTCTTCTGAAAGAAAAAAAATTATATGAGCTAATACCAGTTCATTGCAAGTACTGAATTAGTATTAACTAATAATATTTTAAAAATGAAAAGATAAAAGGCAACCAGGGATTCCCTCTTATCTATAGCCTGAACAGTGTCTTCCTCTAGCCCAGGGCAGCAGAGCTTTCCCTTTTTGTCTGACCTCCTTTTCTCCTCAATCGTCCACAGTGCTTTGGTGCTGCATCTGGGAGGCCCAAAACAGATGTGAAACTTACCTGGAAAAGACTTTCTAATCTGTAGCAATTACTATTTTGAGTCATCAGAGTGGCATCTAGCTGCATATTCTACTTCCTGTCTCAGTCAGATTAAACTTCTTTTAACATTGCTTTCTACATGTTACGTACCCCAAATTTTTCCACCAATTTCTATTTCTTGCCTGAACAGTTGGTAATTTTCTGCCTGGCTCAGGGATCTCTGTGGTTTGGCTTCATGCCACCTAGTTACCCCTTACCTCTCCTGTCCATGAGAAATCTGCTTCCTTTCATCCAGAAATCTCTATTTCATAGCTGTTTTTCAATGCATGGCTTCATTCCCATTGCTTCCTTCTACAAGCATGCTCTCTTTCTCCTTTTTAACTCCAGAAGCTGCCAATCTGTAAATATCTGTCTGTTTTCACTTTTTCTCTAAGGCATTTCAAACCTTTACTAAACTTACTTTCTAAATCAGAGTTGGCATTTTTTTTTTCCCCCATAGAAGGCCACATAGTAAATATTTTAGGCTTTGGGAGCTATAGCATCTTTGTGAAAACTACTCAACTCTCTGGTTATAGCATAAAGGCAACCATAAACAACATATAAACAAATGGGTGTGACTGGGTTCCAATAAAACTTTATTTACAAAATGATTTTATAATACTTGACATCAATTCTATGGTGTTATGACATTTACTAGGAATATCATGATATTCTGTTATTTATTGAATTACATGGAGTAGCAGTTACTTTCAAACTCAGATTTTAAGCTTTATAATAGTAAGACAAACCTATGATAGCCCATATATCAACTAGCCTAGCACTAAGCATATAGGTTACGGTTAATACAGATATCATTAGTTGAGTAGTTGGTTGTTTTTCTGTCACTGGCCTCAGTGATCTCATCTATAAAATGACATATTTGAATTAAGTTTTCTTCTGCCTCTGGCATTTGATGTAGCTATATTATAAAGCTTTAAGCTTTTTCAAAATTTTACTTTATTAAAAGTTGTAATGGCTTTCCTTCACTTTAATTTTTTAAATTGTCATAAAATATGCATAACATTGTATTTGCCATCTTAAACATCTTTAAGTGTATAATTCAGTGGTATTAAGTACATTTATATTCCTGTAAAACCATCACCAACATCCATCTCCAGAACCCTTTTAGTCTTGCAAAATTGAAACTTTATGTCCATTAAACAATAACTCCTAGCACCTCCTCCTAGGTCCTGAAAACCAACATTCTATTATCTGTCTCTGATTTTGACTATTCTAGGGACTTCATATAAGTGAAATCATATAGAATTTGTCTGTTTTATGATTGGCTTATTTTACTTAGCATGACATCTTCAAGGTTCATTCATGTAACATATGTCCAACTTTCCTTTTAGGGCTGAAAATTACTCTATTTGTATATACTGCATTTTGTTTATTTATGTCAATGCACACTTGGATTGCTTATATATTTTAGCTATTGTGAATAATGCTGCTATGAACATGGTTGTGCAGATAAATATCTGTTTGAGAACCTGCATTCAATTCTTTTGGGTATATACCCAGAAGTGAATATGCTGGATCATATGGTAATTCTATTTTTAGTTTTCTGAGAAATCAGTATATTTATTTCACAGTGGCTATATGATTTACATTCCCACCAACCGTGCACAAGGTTTCCATCCTCCCACATCCTCACCAACAATATTTTTGTTTTTTGAGAGTAGTTACCCTAATGAGTGTGAGCTGGTATATCACTGTAGTTTTGACGTGCATTCCCTTATTATTAGTGATTGTGAGCATCTTTCCATGTGCTTATTGTACATTCATTCATATATCCTCCTTAGAGATATGTCTAAGTCCTTCACCAACTTTTTTAATCAGGTTTCTTCTTTTTTGTGTGTGTGTTAGAGTTTTAAGAGTTCAGTTTACTGCCCTTTGGCCTCCACAGTTTCAGGATTTCTCTGTATATTCTGGATATTAAATACGAGTTACAAACATTTTCTTTCATTCCATAGGTTGTATTTTCTTTTTTTTATTATTATTATACTTTAAGTTCTAGGGTACATGTGCACATAGGTTGTATTTTCACTTTGTTGTTAGGATCCTTAAAGCACAAAAGTTTTTATTTTTCATGAAGTCCAATTTATCTATTTTTTTATTTTGTTGCCTGTGACTTTATTGTCATTTCCACAAAATCATTACCAAACCCAATGTTGTGAAGCTTTTTCTTTGTTTTAAGAGTCTCACAGGTTAGCTCTTACATTTAGATCTTTAATCTATTTTGAGCTAATTTTTATATATGCTGTTAGTTATGGTTATACCTTCATTCTTTTGCATGTGGCTATCCAGTTTTCCAACGCCATTTGTTAAAAAGACTGTCTTCTCCCTCTTGAATGGATTTGAACACCTTATTTAAAATCATTTTACCATATTTGTAAGGGTTTATTTCTGGATTTTCTATTCTGTTGGCCTATAAGTCTGTCTTTATGTCAGTAACATACTATTTTGATTACAGTTGCTTTGTAACTGTAATTATCTAAATTCATGGTCTCAGTTTCTCAAGAAATAGTAAGGTGCCTGAGAGCAGACAGAGTTTTTGTACATCTTTATAAGTATCTGGGCAGCTAATGAGTGAGAGTTACTTGATTGCTATAGATGGCCAAGTGGACTCTGGAAAGGGAAGCATTTTACCTTTCACTATGTATTAAAAGATAAAAGGGAAACAACACAATAACAAATGCACAACAGGAAGCATTTTCACTGAGTGGATTCTGGGCATCGCCAAGTCTTATAATTTTTGCCCCTAAGAAAGTCTCTAAACAGAGAAAAACTTAAGTTTAGGGAGTACATAGGAAGACACTGGAAATGAACGATCATGTTCCTCAGATTCTCCATCCGCATATCTGCAATATACAGAAAAGTAGTGATCTCTCTGTAACGAGCAAGCAATAATGTTGGGTGGCAGGGAAGGTAGCTATGGAGAGTTATGTAATCTGTACTTGAATAGTCCATCCTTTCTGCAGCCTTTTAAGAGGACCAAGGTCATACATTCCAGTGGCTCTGAAGAGATCCCAGCACCTAATAAGAAAAATATGCATTTCAGCAGTTGTGCCCTGGGCCTGCCAAAGTGAGATCACAAAAACATTCGGGGGACTATATAAAATGGACCTTGCTTATATACTTTTATATTTTATAATATTTGTTCATTGGTCTTCATAATTTAACTTATAGTATAAATAAACATGTAACAGATAGCATCAGTTGGTGTTTATAGTTGCTTTTGTGAGAAACCAGAAAGGCTAGGTTTATATGTACACATTGAAAACATTCAGAAGAAATTAACACATTATAAAGACATCAGTGAGCTTCTGTGAAATACCATCTAACTTTCCTTGTCCCCTTTATAACACAACTAAACAAAGCTAGTGGTTCACTCTGGGTCAGTGGCAAGGATGGTGCTGGTGGAACAGGGGCAGGAGGAAGGGCGGTGGTAGTCCATCCCATTATTGTTTTTTTTCTCCAACAAAATAAGCAAGAATAAACCTGCTTCTTCTCTATACAGTGATGTCATTGTTACTTCCCCAGGGAGACACCATGGTTCAACTTAGACAAATTATTAACCTTCTACTTAGACAACTATCCATGTATTTGTTTTTCTTTCTTTATTCAAACAGCCTGATTTTATACATTAAACTGAATATTGAGACAGTCGAAGCCATGCACCCTTCCCCTACCTACCCTTGCAGTAACCTCACATTGCCAGTGTTCCTCACCTTGTCCAACAACATTACATCATTACTACAACACAAAAGTCACTTTTGAAATCTTGAGCTTGTTACAGAATAAACTGCAAAAATGTAGTTATCCAAACAGGGGTAGTGTCACTTTCTTGTGTTACCTAGAAGGAAAATATTGATAGTTTGTCTTAGACTGTTATGATATATAGACCCAGCAATCCATTCTGTATACACCTTTTCAGTTAAGATTTATTTATAACAAATATATTTGTCTCATCTAAATTCTCATTAGTGGGCTCCAGAAAATGACTGCCATTGTGAAGGGTACATAGTATCATAATGAACTGATACTATGGTGTCATAATGAACTGATCCTACTGGTGCAGCTACCAGCAACTGTGAAGAGAAAGGCTGCAAGTGTAACTACATTTCTCCAAGAGAAAAATATAAAGATGTATTTAATAATCATGTTGAAGACTTTGGAAGAAAATATTAATGACAGGAACATGGAAAACTAACAATGAAAAAGAAAAATGAGGAGTGAATGGCACCATAACAAACAATAGTATGTCACCTGCATCCGTGTGAAGAGACCACCAAACAGGCTTTATGTGAGCAATAAAGCTTTTAAATTACCTGGGTGCAGGCGGGCTGAGTCCGAAAAGAGAGTCAGCGAAGGGAGATAGGGGTGGGGCCGTTTTATAGGATCTGGGTAGGTAGTGGAAAATTACAGTCAAAGGGCAGGCAGGGGTTAGGGTGACAAGGCACTCAGTGGGGGAGCTCCTGAGCCACGAGAAGGAATTTCACAAGATAATATCATCAGTTAAGGTAGAACCGGCCATTTTCACTTCTTTTGTGATTCTTCAGTTACTTCAGGCCATCTGGATGTATACGTGCAGGCTTGGGCTCAGAGGACTGACACAGTACAAAAACAAAACAGAATACTGATATGCAACTTGGTGCAACCCTATTTAATAATAATTGATTAAATGACAAAAATAAAGTCAACTAAAATTTTTGATATATATCTTTTGAGAAGGATAGGAAAAGGTGAATAGGGATATTGAGTAAGAAGGTGAAATACTTATCTTCTATGGAGAAAAATACTATATAAAACTGGTAAATCAAAAAGTTTTAAAGTGAGTGTTAACAAAATATGGAAGAAATTACCAGAATAAACTGTTAGGAGTTGAAATTAGTTGCCTCTAGCGAAGTAGGGAGCTGAAGAGGCAAGAGAGAAGAAATGTCAGTTTTAGATACATTTTATAGCACAACCTGAGGGATTTTTTAAAAACTAGCTTCATGCATTATTAGAAAAAAAGTTTTCAAAACAGAACTTGGCCTGGGATTGATTCCTGAAGCACTCCAATATTTACAGGTCAGGTAATACAGGAAGAACCAGTGAATGAGAGCAGCAGTGGTTGCTAGTGAGGTATGAAAATGTCCAGGAGACTATGATGTTACTAAGGTCAAGAGAAAGAAAACATTTCGAGAAGGAAGGCGTGCTTAACCATGTAAAAGTACGCTAATGTTTTGAATAAGGACAGAAATATGGCATTTATTGAATTTGGCAAAATAGAGTATGTTGTTGACATTGAGTAGTTGACAGAATAAAGTAAAAGACTTGAGTTCAATTGGAATAGATTAAAGATAAATTGAGAAATGAGGAATCCGGTACAATGAACATAGACGAAGCTGAATAGTTTTACTTGAAGGCGAGCAGAAAAGTGAGGCAATATGTAGATTTAGGCCATGGACTGGAGGGATCACCTCTCAGTGTGGGTTCAATTGCACTTAGGTGGGAGCTTTGGCCTTTGGTAGCTGAAGAAGTTCTTCTCTGTCATTTTTCTAATTTCTTTACAAAATAAGAGGCAAAATTATAAGATAAAGATAGATGGTGAATTGGAGGCATAAGGATGAGAAAATGAAACGTTATGTCCCTAAGTGGTAGAATTAGGAAGAATAGAAAAAAATTCATGAGAGTAATTTGGGCTCAGTGTTAGAACAAACCTTATAGTCAAAAGGGTCCAAGAAAGATGATCTTCTTTAGGGCCTGTGTGATCTTGGACAAGTCAGTGTAAGTTCTCAAGTCTCTTCTCAGTTTTCTCACCTTGTGCATGGCATATGAATATGGTGGTTGTACAGCTTAAACATGGTTGTATCCAAGCGCATAGCATAGTGTGGGTTCACATCGAGTTCCCTCAACATCTATCTCTCCCTCTGTGGGAATGGTGGGTGAGCAGAGGCTGGGCTGCCTACCCTCAGGGGTGCTGATAAAAGATCTCCAAAGAGGGAGTAGGTAGCTCAAATGAGTGGTCATCAATTCTGACACCCTGCACTTTTGAGGCTTCAGCTCATCATTTCTACAAGAAAATGACCCCAGCTACTGTTTCAAAGTAGATACTAGAATTGCTTTTTACAGAGAAAGGGCAACCTGCTGCTTGTACATGTTATAGAAATTTGTGCATAAAATAAAGGTTTGAGTCAGACATGACAGACTAACACTGAATAATTTTATATAGACATTCAGAGGATGTCATTTAAATAACAAGTTATATGAACAAAAATTGCTTTCTCAAGAGTTAAATTTTGCAAAAAGACAAAGTCACCAATTAAAAAAAATAGTAACCTGTTGCTAATATATTTCTCAACTCAACTATAATTTTCTAAACCAAATTATATGTGTAGACATAGCCTGTGTCTTTAAGCGCAGGAAGAACTATTACAAAAAGATCATTAACTGGACTTTTCCATCTCCACAAACAAAAACAAACAAAAAAACAGTATAAATGGGCCACCAATTAGAAGCTATTTGAGATAAATACAAAATGTCCTGGAGGGTGGAATCTTACTTGTTCTGGTGTGATGTAGAAAGGAACATGCACTCTGGCGGGCTTCCTGCCTGCAAATGCATGGCTGAATGGTGAGTTCTCCAGTTCCTGTCCTATGCTTGGGATGGTGGAGCCCAAGACATCTCCCCACGCCTGTCAGGGAGCCTACTTCAGAGAAAAGTTTAAAAGAGAAAGGACTTGCCAATTTGTTAGGGAAATTTAGGTGATAGCTCACTCATGCTGGTTTCTTACAGCCAACATATCAAGCTACTTGTCAGGAATGTGGATTCTTTGCATTAAGTTATGTTTTTATTATGTAGATAGTACTTTTATTTGGAAGAATGTGTATGATATGCACAGAGCCAAAATGTTTCCAGAGCTTTTTTTTTTTTTTTTTGGTCCCTTTTATTCTCTTCCAGTTTTCCAGTTTTTGTTTTTTTTTTAAATCACAAGAGTACTAAATGTTTGTTTCATACCATTGGTAATTCTTATCCCTTTTTATCCATAACCAGAAAAAATAAATATGGTAGTATTTTGGTTTGGCTTCTGATTAAGATTCCCTCAAC
Organism: Homo sapiens; assembly: GCF_000001405.40. Lineage (NCBI taxonomy): Eukaryota > Metazoa > Chordata > Mammalia > Primates > Hominidae > Homo > Homo sapiens. Next base: position 38,487,294 of record NC_000018.10, on the reverse strand, counting down.
AATTTTATATCTGAGCTCAGGCTATCCAAACCCTTGCTAATTTTATTTAGAAAACAAATAAATTTGACAATATCTCGGAAATGATTACTAGCCTAATGAGATTTAAATATTCCAGTGCTGGTAGGCACACTACCAAAACCAACCACACATTCCACTGGAGACCAATCTAATTTTTAGGAAGCATTCTCTGAAATTAAGTTCAGCCCTTTCTCCCTACTAGTTTCATCCTTTGTTTCATTAATTTAAAAACCTTTGGTTATTTTAAAACATCAATATTAGTTTTAACTAGTTTAATTGAAGATCTTTACATGCAAAAATTCTTTGGATTCCAACATTTTTCATAAGGGGTTAGTTCTCATTGATCTGAAATACATTCACAGAAAATAGTACACCCAGACACTTCTTTGCCTTTAACATCAGTTATTTGTCAGCAAGGCCAGTTGAGAATGTGCCAGGTTGATCTGCTTTTAGGAAAATTATACTTTTAGCCAATGCGCTATTAAGTAGAAGAAAAGTATCCTCTGTACTGTGAGTCTGGGCTATTTGCAGGATCCCTTCATAGAGATATCAGTGTGTATGGTTCTACAATTGTATTTAAATGCTTCCTACTGTGACTATATGCTTATACTTATCTTTCGTATTACCTACCTTAGTTGGTTATTATGTTGGTGTACCCAAATGAATTATGCCTCACACCCTTTTGGTTCCCCTGCTTGAATCTGGGCTCAGTTTTTAACTTGATTTAACCAAAAGAGTGTGGTAGAAGTTGTATTCTGCCAGTTTTAGGCTTAAGCCTAAGAAAGAATAGGAGCTTTCTCTTTAATGCTCTTGATAACCCACTGCCATGCTGTGAGATGCCAAAACTCCATGGAAAGTTTACATGGAGGAGAAGCACAGTTTTCTGTTTGACCAGACCACCAGCACCATTTGCTGATAGCTGACAGCAAGATCCAGTCATTCATCACGCATAATCTAGTGAACCGTCTTGGAAGACCAAGTACAGTTGAGCCCCTTATGACTGCAAATCCAGTGATACTGTGGGAAGCAGAGGAGCTGTTTAGGTGAGTCCAGGCAACCAACAACATAATAAGAAATAAAGAAATGGTGGTTGTTTTAGGCTGCTAAATTTTAGTTCCTTATACAGCGATAAGTAACCTACAAGATACCTATCAAAGGACATATATCAAGCGACATCTGTACTAAAGCCATTGGGCTAGGTTCTGGAACCTAACCAACTTCAGTATATGTAAAATAAAGATTCCTCTCAAACAAAAATTGAATCAAAACTTCCAACAACTATGAGACTGCATGTAGAACAACCACATGCAAGACTGGAAAATTGAATGGCACTGCTGCATTCACGTTCTACATCCACCATACATACTTGCAATCATTGTCATCATACAATTCATCTGACTGTGTCTTTGTGACATACTTGATCTCCTTTTCCTGTTTCTACCCATTGGTTATTCTTTCCCATCTCCTTACAGCACTCTAGCCTAGGACACAAGTCTCAATCTGCAGCTGGTCAATTTCTACAAAATAATGTGGCTCTCACTCAGGACTAACCTCAGGAAGAATATCATCATCTTAGATATTAGCTATTATAAGTTGGCAGTCACTATTATGTGACTTTTTGGCAGCTCTGCGATAGGATGCTAGCCCTTAGCATACTGGAGCACTACCAGAGATAGCGTGTGTCACAGGAGGGCTCTGAGAAGTGCCCACCATCTGAATTGGTTAAAAGAAATAATTAGAGGTGCTTAAACAGTGCTCAGTAAGGCTACTGCCAGACCAATGAGAAAAAGAAAATAAGGATTGAAAAAAAAAAGATTAAACTAAATGAATATATAGAAGTGAAGAAGAGAGGAAGGAAGGAATAGGGGATTAAGGAAAAGAGAAATATATATTCTCACTTTCTATTGATTTTTGATATGCTTCTCAGTGACTTCCCAGCCCAAATTTTCCTCCTTGAATTTTACTGATATTATTTCTATTTTTTAATATAAATTTTTCCAAATTACTTGTTGCAGTCGGATGGCATTAAATAACATTAAACAAGCACAATGCTACATATGTATCTTACATGTACACTAAAGAGCCTAAAATTTTATTGAGGCAATACCTACATACGAAATATTGTGAAAAATAGGAACATTTCCACTGAATCAGTGATATCATTCAGGGTGTCAATAGGAATAAGCCAATAAGATGTTAACAAACAGCCTGAAAGATTTGGCCTCAATAACTTGATAAAACTGGAAGCAAAGAGCCAGGGCTGTGAGCTGAGCCTGTGATTCCATCGCTGATTGCTCTGGGCCTTCGGGTGGGTCATTTAACCTTGCCTGTCTTCAGATTTTCTATCACCAAAAAGGAAATTAAAACTGGAATTCATTCTCCTGGGTGGTGGCCTAAGAGCCAGAGAGCATCTTATCATTCTATTTATAATTGCAGAATTTTAGAGTTGGATGGATCTTTAGCCACCACCAAATTAATCCCCTCATTTTCCAGATGTTGGCACTGGGACTCGGCAAGGTGAAGAACCTTGCTCAAGGTCAAGCTAGTGGGCACCTGACTTCTAGCTGGAGAATCTATCATGACATCACACAGACCTGAATCCCTAAAGTATCCTTTTCTTTTTTCCTCTTTATGCCCATCAACACATCTGTGGTCAGTTAAAACACGTATTTAAGAACACAGGATCACCTTGAGACACACGCCAATTATGTCCAAATGATCAATTTAAAAATACTATTGCCTTTAATGTCAGATTTGATATTTGCCTGAAGATAGAAGGTCAGTGTTCTAACTGCATTCCTATTAGCCTGACTTGGGGAGGAACAGGAAAGGCTTTTGCTTAGCAAATTATATTTGAGGTTGGGAACATGAGTATACCTTGGCTTCAGATAAATTATCCTAGGATTATTCTATTACCTCTAGAGAATGTTTCTCTTAAGATGGCAGAAGAGGTTATGATAGTCCAAGCTTAAAATTATCCCATACATAAACAAAATGTCCATGTGCCATTTTTATAAACCCATGTGAAATCCACACGAATCATAGTATGAAAAATTAGAAGAAATTTTCATTGAATCCCTTTTGGTCACATCCTGAATTCCATTCAGCCCCACTTGATTTTTTTTCTGAGGATTTGAATTTCAGAAGGTGCATATGGATGTGCTTCTACAGTTGAGTTTTTTGTTTTTTTTTTTTTTTTTTTACATTTTGGAGACACAGCAAAAAGTATTTGGCCTGAAGTCCCAAGGATGCCTCCCTTTTACTTCCTGTAGAAGAAAGACATAGCCAACTCCATTTCAGCACTGCTTTAAGGCAGATGGAAATCAGAGCTCTGGCTTTGTGTATGGTGGCTCGCAAAGGCATTTTCTGTAATGTATGGAATGAACTGTTTCAAGTTTTTTTTTCCTTGCTGCTATAATTTTTATATCTCATTTTACCTCTGTAATTAAGACAGGTCTGGTAGGTATTTAAATTAGCCCAGCTTTCATCTCTATCACACATTCATTTCAAAACTTTTATGAATATTTAATAGAGGTTTTATAATTCATGGTGATATGATGAACAGCCTTTTGGCCGTTAAGTCAATTGACAGAAAAAAAAAATCTCTCTCTTCAGGCAGAAATAATAACGATTCTATTTCTGTTCCTAGATTGGTGATTACACAGTCACCTGTTTTCACATTAAACTTTGATGATAAATTACTCAGCAACCATGATAATATCAGAAGTTTTACTGGCCAGAACAAATCGCCAGTAATTGCTTGCAAGATAAAGAGAAAGCACTGCCTCTCTTTCCCCAGTCCTTCCCCCAGGGGGTTGTGGCTGAGACCCCGAAATCCAACTGGCTCCTATTTCTTTCATTTATTCTTCCCTTTATATTGTATTATATTTTATTTTTGTTTCCTTTTAAACCTCGATCTGTCCTCCTAGTAAGAATATATTAATATTCCATTAGCATGGCTGCAGATTTGGCATGCACACACAGAACGTAGGCTGTATAAAAACAGTTAACTTTGTGATGAATTGCAGTTCAATGAGGTTCATTTTCTCCCCGTCTCCCCACAGTACATGCATGCACATTTTAAAAAATATTTGGGGAAATGTCTCCAGATAAAAGCGTGCGCCAAAGATGCTGTTTTCAAAGCCACCTAGGGGTTTTATTTCATTTAAATATATCAAAGGTTTGGGAAAAGAGTTTGCTGATAATCCCTAAGTATGTATCCGAGAATTATAAAATCTAACTTTGGCATCAGATCCAGGTAGCTGGGGAATTGTGCCTTCAGCATTCATCTCAGAACCAAAGTGGAATCATACATGGTAAGATGTGAAAGAGTCTCACTTCACCCTCCATCCATTCCCGGTCTCCAAGGAGCCCAGAAGGCCCTCCTTATAGTATACTGGGGAGTTGGATCACCTGGCCAGCCTTTATGTCCTCTGTAATGGGGTCACAGACATTGCTGTCTCCCTGGGGATGTAATTCTGCTGCCTAATAGCTTCCACTCCAACAAACTTTTTTCCCTGATAGGCAGACAACCCCTCTCTGCTCATTTCTTCTCTGTAATGCCCCTTTTACTTCCCTGCAAATTCCCCTTTGGGGGTTTACTGCTATGCCCTGAGGCATAGGCAGTGATACCGTATCTCCTTAGCAGCAGCTTCACGAAGCTCCACACACTACATTCTCTTAATCTCACCTCGTATGTTAAGGCCTCCATCTCCTCAATCATTTTTGTGACTCTTCTCTGTACTTTGTCCAATTTGGACAAATATATTACTTGTATGAATGATGAATTTTACTCTATAAACTGCAGTGCATCAATGACTACTTGATAGTAAATACTCAAACATTCACTGTATCCGTACTATGGACACACACATGCACACTGGACCTTAATGTATCTCATACCCAAGGTTATAAATTCTAATGGCATTCAAGTATGCCTGGTTTTACCCAAGGAGAAATTCAGAGAAACCTCGATTACACATTCCTCCCCTAACTCCTTACAAGCTTTATTTTTCTCAGTGAGATTTTGAAAATCTGTCCTTGGTTGAGGGAAAGATAGCAAACCACATAACAGAACTATATTCTGTTATTACCCAAAGCAAATTTGCTTCCATAAAAAGGTATTAAACATAAGCATGCTCAGACTGAGTAGTACTCAGAGTCCTTTCCAAGAAATAAAGCTTTGTGAATATTCCCCTATCTCTGAACAGAGGTCTCATTGCTAAACTGCTCCAAGAAGGGTAGGAAGAGTCAAACATTATCTAAATTTCAGATGGGCACATTTTGGAAATCATACCCTTTAGCTCTCTTGAGAGGGAAGGGTGAAATTCACTATCAACATTTCCACACATTTGATTCCCTCTTCCTTCAAAGGAAACCTCAGAGATGAACCACCAAAGTGGCATCATGCAAACAGGAACCCGTTAAATATCAACTGTCTCTGTTGTATGGCTTTTGATGTGTGAACAATGTGTCATTGTGATGCTGGCAGAAGCCCAGCTCCCTCCTTCTTTATTGTGGGCTGCAGGGCCTAATAGGCATAAAATAACCGCCAACTGGGCCCACGTGCATTATAGTGTTTTTAGATGCTGAATAATTTAAATGATTATATTCCAGTGAGGTGGGGTAGACTTAGAAAAGCAAATGTTTACAGGATGGTGGTTGCGAAAAGCTGGCCACTCTGGGTTCCCGAAGCACATGCTTGTGCATGCAGCATACACACACACACACACACACACACACACACACACACACACACAGTGAGCCCCACAGACCGAGAACTAATGGGTGAGAAGGACTTTTCATTATTTTTCACCTTTGAAACATGTGCACTTTGCATTTGATAATTCAGGCATTTTATTAACTTGTAAATCCTTTCTATCTGTGAATCCTGGACCAAAAATATCCCCACATCTACATAACTGAAATGAAAGCCTCATGATGGCTTTCTTCTTTCCATTTCATTTTATAGTTATAATGCATGGAACAGAAGTTAGTGTTGATGTTATTTTATCATAAGCCATCTCAAGGAGTCTTCTGGCCTAGAAAGAAAGTCCTTATCTGTTACTTAGCATTACGATAACTGGTGGTTCTTATTTCTGAGTGAATGCAATTACTAGACCCCCAATTTTGATTTTGTGCTAGCCTTTCTGGGATGATATTTGTAGAGCCATGTTAATATTATATATACCTGTGTGTGAAAAGGTAGAAAGATTCATAGATGGGTTACATCACAGTTCATCACTCCATCATGTGCAATCTAGACCGAAGATTGGTCTGTGCACGTGCTGCTCTGGCTAGAGCCATGCCGGTAGACCAGATGAAATTGAAGGTCATAGATTTGGAAAGACACCGATGTGAATAGGAAATACATACGTGGGATACTTCAAAAATAAAGGTATCTGTATCTGAATCAGTGTGTTTCCTTTGGGCAAGCCAGGAGCTGATCACAGCTGTATAAATTACAGATAACTAGAAAGGCTATAACATATTGTAGTCATTATAAATTGCAGCTGCCCATGATAGTTTGTTTTGTTTTGTTTTGTTTTGTTTTGTTTTGTTTTGTTTTTAAACATCCCACCCTCCTGGAGTCTTGTTTCTTGCTTCAGAGACTGAGACCCTGGACATGAGCTAAATGAAAACAGAGACAAAGCTTAGAAGTTTTGACTTAGAAAGAAGCAGAACAGAAAGGATACTTAATAATCCCCTGCAATCTGGGCATTATGGCAGGCTGGGAACCCACATATGCTCATTTGATCCTTATGGGAAACCTGTGAAATAGGAACTACACTCCTTACACTTAGGAGTGATACTGAAGAAAGAGGAAGCAACGGAGGCTCAGGGTAGATCACCAAAGGTACCTCTGCAATCAGTGAGCCAAAATCCAGGTTCTGAGTCCAGGCTTTGTCACATAGCTCAGACATTATGTTCTCATTGTCTACCATGAGGGATGTAGCCTCAGAGTTTGCACTGGATTCTAAATTCTGACTCTGTGGGTCACCAACATTAACAGCTGGAGGGAAGAACTGAGTCATTATTTAGATGTATAGTTGCTTTAGATAGAAGCAGAATAGACTGTGCCGTTTTGGACGGATTTAAAGGTCTCTACTATTCCCCCACTGCCTGTTAGCTGGTGCCTGCCTTTCTTTATAGGGAACATCTTCCATTTTACAAACATGAAAAAGGTTTAAAATGAAATCCCCCAGGCAGTTGTACTACATAATCTGAAATACATACCTAGGTTAGACAAGCTCCCTTTCTGGGAGTAAGTTTCATGAGAGAATAGGAAAATATAGGAAAACATGGACTGGCTGAAGGTCACCCTTGAAAGAAGAGGCTGGAAGCATAAGAATTAAAAAAAAACACACACACAGATTAACAATTTGCCTAGGTCAGGTATGTTCTGATTATTTGATCAAGTAAATATGGGTATCTAAGAGCTATGTGATGTAGGCAGTCTAGGTTCTTCCTTTTTCCCCAGGTTTTCATCTAGAACATGGGGTCAAGGATTTCTGTGTACCAAGGATATGCAGTGACTTCACTAGAGATGCTCACATTGACTTGAGTAATATGTTGCATGAAATAAAATTCATACCTATTTCTCTGAGAAAAAAATAAAAATTAGAACTTCAGAAAAAAATAGTAAAGATAAGTTGCTTTCCCTTCTCCCAAGTACATAGCAGTTACTAGCTGAGGTATATTTAGAAAACATATGCAAGTATCAATGAAATATGCTAGCATGTTCTTCAGAGTTATGAAAAACAAAGAAAATAACCGTATTCTCAACACAATACTATATAAAATTTTACTGATAAAACTCCCTACAAAGAGAGTAACTACATTTAGCAGAACAAGAAGAAATCTGAGCAGATATAGTAAAAGCAAAAGGGTTCACATAAGCTGGAGGGTCTATGGTCAGATATAAGAAATAATTTACTGTTAGTAAATGGAAAAACAACTAATTTTTGTAAGGATCATTTTGTATACTGTAACTTTACTAGGTCCATTTGTTAGTTGTAATAATTTTTTGGTGGAGTCTTTAGGAATTTAATATATAAAATGTCATCTGGAAAAAGATATTTTAACTTCTTCCTTTCTGATTTTTGGAGGCTCTTTATTTCTTTTTCTTACCTAATTGCTTAGGCTAAAACTTTCAGTACTGTGTTAAACAGAAATGGCAAGAGTAGACATCCATGTCTTATTTCTGATCTTAGAGGAAACGTTTTCAGCTTTTCATTGGCCTTTGTACACTAACAATGAACTATTGGAATAAAAATTAAAATTTCATTTATAATAGCATCAACAATAATAAAATATTTAGGAATAGATTTAGCCAAGTAGGTGAAGGATCGGTAAAGCACAAGACACTGATGAAATAAACTGTAGAAGATATAAATGAATTGAAAGATGTGTCATGTTCATGGATTGAAATAACTAGAACTTTCAAAATGCCCACGCTATCCCAAGTGATCTACAGATTTGTGGCAATTGCTATCAAAATTCCAATGACATTTTTAACTAAAATGGGAAAAAAAAAATCTAAGATTCGCATAGAAAACAAATATCCAAAGCAATTTGAGAAGATTAAACCTGGAGGCATCACACGCCATGATTTCAAACTATAATACGAAGCTATAATAAAGCAGTATGATACTAGCATAAAAATGGAAACATAAACCAATGAAACAGAATAGAGAGCCTAGCAATAAACCCATGCATATATGGTCAACTAATCTTTAACAAGGGTACCAAGAATATATGAGGGAGAAAGGAAAGTCTCTTTAATAAATGATGTTGGAAAAACTGGATATCCAGACACCTGCCAAAAGAAACTGGGCTCTTATCCTGTACCATATACAAAAATTAACTTACATGAATTAAAAACTATGTAAGATCTAAAACTCCTGGAAGAAAACAGGGAAAAAGGTTTTTTACACTGGTCTTGGCAATTACTTTTTGGATGTGACACCAAAAGCATAAAACCAACAAGAACTGTTACCTGAAACCAAAAAGCTTCTGCATAGCATAGGAAATAATCAGAAGAGTTAAAAGGCAACCTAAAGAATTGGAGAAAATATTTGCAAATCATTAATCTGGTATGAGGTTAATATCTAAAATACAAAAGGAACTCACACTACTTAGCAAAAAACAACCTGATTTAAAAATGGGGCAAAAGACCCAAATAAACATTTTTTCACAGAAGACATATAACTGGCAACAGGTATATGAAAAGTTGTTCAACATCACTAATCATCAGAGAAATGCAAATTAAAACCACAATGAACCACCATCTATACCTCTTAGTAAAAGGTAAAAGACTTATGCAATCTGAAGAGAAAACAGAGTATATTAATACATGTTAGGATAGCTATTATCAAAAGACAAGATGCCTGTTAAGTTGGTAAAAGTGTGGAGAAAAGAGAACCCTGGTTCATTGTTGGAGGAAATAGAAATTGGTACAGCTATTATTAAAAACAGTATGGGGGTCCTCAAAAAAAAATCTACCACCATAAAATCTAGCAATCCCACTCCTGGGTATATATCCAAAGGAAATGAAACCAGTATCTTGAAGAGATGTCTATGTCCCCATGTTCACTGTAGTATTACTCACAATGGCCAAGATATGGAAACAATCTACATGTTCATTGACAGATGAATAACGAAAATGTGATATATATATAAGTATATACGTCTGTGTGTATAAAACAATGAAATATTATAGAAGAAGGAAATCTTGCCATTTGTGACAATATGGATATACTAGGGGGGACGGTATACTAAATTAAATAAGGCAGCCACAGAAAAACAAACACTGTATGATCATATGTGTAGTCTAAAAAATGTCAAACTGATAGCAGAGAATAGAACAGAGGTTATCAGGGGCTGGCGGTGGGAGATATAGGGAGATGTTGGTCAAAGGGTTAAAACTTCAGGTTATGTTATGAATAAGTTCTGGGGTTCTAATGTACAACATGGTGACTATAGTTGATAGAAATGTATTATATACATGAAATTTCTACATAATGTGATACTTAGTGTAATATCTATGTGTAGTAGTGTAATATCTATGTATTACACTAGTGTAATACATAGTGATTTTAAATTCCCTCAACACACACACACACACACACACACACACACACGGCAACTCTGAAGTAAAAGGTGTGCTAATTAACTTGATTATGGTAATCATTACACAATGTATACTTATATAAAATTATATTGTACACCTTGAATATACACAATCTTTAAATATTTAAAAATAAAAAATATGTCATATGTATAAAAAATTAAAACTGACTTGCAGTTTCACCTACAGTTAACCACAGTTAACATTTTGATATTTTTCATCTTTTTGTCTCTTCATATCTATCTTCAGAAAAAAGTATATAATATTCTTTATTGACACATGATTACAGATGTAGCTAAATACAGGGTATTCTTTGTGCCTGTTGCCAGAAGCTAAAAATACAAAACTGTACTGCTTTTTAAAATTAACATCCTATCATGAACATTATGAGTTAGTAAAATATTTTTCTTGTTGACATTAAGAAAAAAAGAACTTATTGACTAATAGGGATCAAATATTGACCTAGGGAGGTGAGTAATCTATTTCCCAGAGATATTCTGAAGCATATACATGTCTGCTCACTTTCCTAATTACACCAACAGAATCATTCTTTTTCTCAGAGGCATATAAAAGAAAAAATTGCCTTTAAATACATTAACCATTTTGCTTTAACTGTTTAACATATAATTAGTATTATGTTTCTAATTTTGTACTATTCATTTTACAGCAATATTTACTAGTATTTTTAGATCATCTCTCAGTGCCATGTATTTTCTATACATTAGTGGTCATAATATAGAAAATAACTATTGCCAGCCACATGGCTAATAAGTGACATTGCACAATATTTAGCAAATTACAAAGTTCAGCTACTTATACAACAATAAATTGCTTAAATATACTAAGGCATACATTTCCAACTTGTATTTTTTTGAACAGAATATAAAGTACTGGAGGGTGGGTGGTACATCTTTCTCATACCTGAGCTCCTTTCCTATCTCATCATTCATCCAACCACTTTGAATCTTCTTCCTCCTTAATATACTGTATATATTGAGGTATACTAATTTAAACATCTTCTTCCTACCTCCATCTTCTCTACCTCCATACAGGCCACATTGCTACTGTCTTTGATTTGACACACTAAGAAAAGTGAACTATTTTAGTCTTTCTTCCTTTGAGGTTGCTGTCCTTTAATAAATATCTCATAGATGCCAGACAGCATTCTAAAATGCAAATCAGATCAGGTCACACTCTTCCCTAGCACTCTCTAGTGGTTTAAATTGTCCCCAGAATGCTATCTGACCACAGCACACCTCTCTGGTCCTCCTCGTGCTATCTCCTCTGCCCAGCATGGCATAGCACATCATCTTCCTCAGACCAGCTCCCACTCATGCTATGTAGGATCCAGCTTAGATGACCCCCTTGAGAGGTCCTTCCTTTGTTTCCAAGGCCGCCTCCTATGAGAGTGTGCTTTTCTTTTCCTTTAGAGCACTTAAGACATCATGCCATAGGTTAACTATTTACTCATATTTTGCCTGTCAAGACTATGAGCTTTTCAAAAGCAATGACTTGGGGTTACTCATAAATACATCTTCACCAGTTTAAATTCTCAATAAATACATGATGAAGAATGAATCCATGATAAGGCTCTGGGCTCCATATTGGAGCTTAATAAATACTTACTAGCTAAATTCATCTATTTATTAAACTTTGTAGGACCTAGTCTACATTAATCAGACTTAGATAAAAACATTTCTTGCTCTCAAGGTACTAAACTTCATGTCAAACATCAAAGCAGGAGCACTAATTCAATAACCGGAGAAGAGAATGAGGACTCTTATTTTCTGAACAAGAGACAGGGATGTTCAGTGTCCACCAGTTAATTCTCCTCTGTTGTTTTCTCAAGGGTGTACACATAAAGCTGCTTTTCTTGTGACAATACAGATTTTTGGCTAGGCACCATTAACAAATGTGTTAAGTCCCTGTGACAACTGATTAATTTTAGTTTAAGGTTATGAATACAAAACAATGAGTGTTGGTATGTAACGTGCATTTTAATGATGTCACAGCAAAAGTAAAGGATGAGAAAGATAATTTAATTTGCTTTCTCTGAAAGGTCAGTTCTCCTGAGATGAAAATTGTCCCTTAGGGCACCAATGCCTTTCTCGGCACACGTTCCCTTCTGCTGCCTTTCTCTGGTTCTCTGTTCCTTAGGGATGAGAGCATTTATATTTAAAGACAATCCGACTATGTTGTTTGGAATGAAAGTGGGTTGATAGAGGAGAGCAGAGGACACCCGGTGCTTTTAAAATGAAAAAAAATTATATGTTTTTGCCCTTGATTTCATCATTATTTCAGCATACTTTAAGTTACTTTTAAAGTATACGTTTAAGAAAAGAAAAGAAATAGAAATGGATATGGCCATTTAAATACTACATTCGCCAGTCTTTGTATATACAAAGATTTCATGTGCAGGTGGAAATTTCTGTGAGAAAAATTGTACATCATTTGGGCAAAGCCTGTCCCAGGTATTTATAAGTGAGTTTTTATCTTTGGTCAGGATTGAATCTTTCATAACAGCAGGGCCCAGCACAGGGGTCTTGACAAACTTGGAGCTCCACATGAATCTGTGGAATCAATGGATTAATATCTGACTCTAGACATGTTGGCAAACAAATCAGTGTGCACAGTCCTTATGACTCACCCAGTGGGACTCAGTAGGCTTTACAAACAAGAAAACACATATTCAGAACATAGTTTATAGATTGAACAGAAATTTCTTTAAAAACAAATATTCAGCGTTAGGTTTCACAGAATTATACAAAAGGGGAATTTATGTGAGATATAATCAAAGCATCAAAAATACTTGAATGCAAATTGTAATTATATAAATATAGAAGTAATATACATAATCCCTGATATTAAAGATGGCACAATCTGGGTGTTAAATAATTAGTGAAAATGAATGCTTAAAAGTTAAATGGAAGTCTGAGAAAGGAACAGATACGTCACATTTCTGAGAAGTAATTTCTCAGAGGAGGGATTTTAGTTAATGAAGGTTATGAGTATTTGAGTAAACCAGAAGAATTCCAGAAGATGGATGTATGTATATCACATGTATATACACACCCACATATATATTCATATTCTAAGAATACGTATGTGTGTGTATATACACACATATATGTTCATTCATATTTCATTCTGTGTAAAAGATATCCAGAGAGAAAGCTAGATTTGAAGAAACTGACCAAGAGCTAAGTGAAAATGCAGGTAAGTCTGTGGAGACACTTGTTTTCATACATCTATTGTGCAGAGACACCCACATTCTCAGTCCTTCTGCCCTTCCTTGGGCCTCATGGTATCATTTTATATTCAGATTGCACTAGAAGTGGGAAGGTAGCAACTACTCTAAGGTTCTCCAAACACGGGAGTCCTCTTGTGAGAGGAAAAAACACATCACTGCCCTCAAGTGCCTCAGATTAGGTCAGGTTAAGGGGAGGGCCTTGAGAGGTGACTTGATACGGTAGAAAGGGCATGGAGTTTGCAGCTCAGGGATTGGTTTTCTAACTTTGGGTAACTAACTAGCTGCATGTAGAGGAATCAGCTACTTAGCCTTTTGGAGCCTGACTTTCTTTTTGTATTTGAAAAGTAGAGATAATAAATTGACAATGAGCACTTATGATAACTGTGAAAAATTCTCCTTCTAGCCAGGAGATGCTGCCCAAATAAAAACCATCTCATCCTCTTTGAAAAATTGCTTAAAAGGTTTGGTCAGTATATTAGTCTGTTTTCACACTGCTGATAAAGACATACCTAAGACTGGGTAATTTACAAAAGAAAGAGGTTTAATGGACTTACAGTTCCACATGGCTGGGGAGGCCTCACAATCATGGTGGAAGGCAAGGAGGAGTGAGTCACATCTTACGTGGATGGCAGCAGACAAAAGAGAGAGCTTGTGCAGGGAAACTCCCCTTTTTATAATCATCAGATCTCATGAGACTTATTCATTATCATGAGAACAGCACAGAAAAGACTTGCCTCCGTGATTCAATTACCTCCCACAACATGTGGGAATTCAAAATGAGATTTTGATGGGGACACAGCCAAACCATATCATTCAGGAAAGGCTTATTGGTAGAGGTGAGATTTAAGCTAGACCAAGAACACTGCGGTTCTAAGTTAAAGCTGATGAATATTTGAAAGTAATATTATTTCTATCACTGTATCAACAGCTATTTTCAGAGAATCCTAGCTGTTAGGAATACACTGTAAAAGCAGAAAAGCAAAGCTGGTAACTCCTCCCTTGGTACTTGAACCCTGATCTTGGCAAATAGTAGATTTTCTAATAACATTTGTTAGGAAGATAAACATACTTACTTTTAACAATTTAAACTATAATTTATTATAGTAAAATTGACTCTTTTGATGCCACAATTCTATCAAACTTACTTGTAGAAGAAAGGTATATATACTGACACATCTGTCCTTGGTTGGCTCATACCCACAGGGACCACAGTCACATGATTTGTGAGTACACTGGGCAGGAAAGAACAGTCCATGATATTCACACGGAGTGAAATAACTATTACACCTGCCACATTGGCTCCCACTGAGGAATGACTGCTTCCTTGATTACAAAAATGGACACTGAAGAAGATTCATAAGTTCCAGCTGCAATGTCCTCAAATAAGCCTGATTGTAAGTGTACAGTCAATAAACAAAGAACAAAATATAAGGGAAATCACCTCAAAGATGAAAGCAGAAAAGGAAATATAGGTGAAATATTGATCTTTCTAGACAGAATTATCAGTTTTCTAGAAATTGTTTGCAAAGTACATTTGTTTACTACCATATTACTAGTATGGTAATATGGTAGTACCATATTGGTATTACCATTATGGTAGTACCATATTGGTATTACCATTATGGTAGTACCATATTGGTATTACCATTATGGTACTACCATATTGGTATTACCATTATGGTAGTACCATTTTGGTATTACCATTATGGTAGTACCATAATACTACAGTGTTATGACTAAGCTGCTGCTTCTATATTTCTTAAGTTTGACCTTCTCTTTTACCAAGCTATTACAGTCACAGAAAAAAGTACAAATCTGTTCAAAATGGCATCTGATGGAAAGTAATCTTTTTATAAGCTATTATTACCAATAATCAATCAAAGTCTCAAGAGATTCATTTAAGCTAGTTGTTTTTCCCATTTGACACAATAAAGTCTGTAGAGAATAAAATAAAAATAACTCAAGTTAACAGAAGACTCTTTAAAATCCCATGGCTTCTAGAATTTCCAATTCTCAGTAGCCCACAGAGAAAGAGAATATACTCTTAATGTTTCTTTATAGGCCACTTCATAGTTCTGTGTGAAAAGGAAGATATTTTAAAATTAGCAGGGTAATTTGAGAGCTGAGGAACAGATGAGATCTGAAAATTAGGGAGGAAATAATGATTTCAAATACAGGGAAAGGAACAAGTAAGGAAATATAACAATAATTAAATAATACAAGTAACACGCAAAATAAATGAAATGCTTGGGGACTAAACTTATTTGCTAAAATACATGACCAAGGAATTCTGAATATGTTGTTCGTACTTCAAGTAACACTAATCAAACACACTCATGTTTTTTGGAAGCTATCTGGGGAATGCTAGTCTCTGGAGATGCCACTTTGTAGAGAAAAATAAAATCTTACATCATTGTTTCTCAAAGCTACAATTCAGCTTAAAAAACAACATGGCTAAGCCTTCTCCCTGCAAATAAATGACTGGCAATGATCAGAGACATGAAGTTTGGGTAGCACAGACAGAAACTATCAGATAGCATTTAGCCATCTCCTTTCTAACTGAAGGATAGAAGACACTGAGAGTTGGGGGGGTCACAGGGATGGTAGAAAACTCCAGCCTAAGAAACAATTTCCAATAAAGACTCAATTAAGTATATATACTGAAAGGTAAAAAGTACATTTAGGCTGGGCGTGGTGGCTCACACCTGTAATCCCAGCACTTTCGAAGGCTGAGGCGGGCGGATCACGAGGTCAGGAGATAGAGACCATCCTGGCTAACACGGTGAAACCCTGCCTCTACTAAAAATACAAAAAATTAGCTGGGCATAGTGGCGGGCACCTGTAGTCCCAGCTACTCGAGAGGCTGAGGTAGGAGAACGGCGTGAACCTGGGAGGCGGAGTTTGCAGTGAGCCGAGATCGAGCCACTGCACTCCAGCCTGGGTGACAGAGTGAGACTCGGTCTCAAAAAAAAAATAAAAAAAAAGTACATTTCATAATGTACTTTTGGGAAGCACCTAATTTATTAAGAATAATTTATGTAATGCCAAAATGCACATCGTCAGTCTCCAATTTGACATCATCATAGTAAAAGTGTCATCAGTTCTTAGCAACTGTTAGTTGCTAAGAGAAATCAGGCAAATCAAGGAAAATGAAATACTCCCATTTCCTTGAAAGCTTTTCTTTTGGCTGGAAATTTAAAATGGAATTTTAAAACTCTAGAAAGGAGAAGTAGGTGTCTTTGTATAGATGTAAGCCACCCCCTCAAAGTCACTCCTTGCCTGTTTGCCACATGCTTGAATTTCTACACATCAGAGTTACTTTTTTCAACCCTATGTCAGAGACACAAGCACAGAAAGAAAGTACATCCATGGGAAGATAATAGCAGCTCTCTTCCAAAACACCCTAAAAAGATTTGTAGATTTGTTTTGCACATTTGTTGCATGTAGAGGAAACCAAACATGGTGACCTATAAGAAGCTGATTTTAACATAACCTGGGTTAAATACAGGCTAAAAAAAAAAATTCTAAAATACAGGCTAAAAAATTCTTTAGAAATTTTTAAAAAAATTTCTTCTAGCATTATTCCCCAAATAAGGGTAACTTATTAAACAACTCTAGAATTCTATGTGAATACCTCAGCAGAATTACATAATGCACAATATCTGCAGCTGTATATGGCAGCCTCATTCAGAGCTCCCCGGGCATGACGAATGGTCACCTACAGAACTTGGTAGTTTTAAAGGAGAAAACTTTAACCATGGAGATGGTTAGATAAGTAGGTTTGGTAAATAATCAGTGAATATGGACCATATCGACAAGCTCTTTCCAAAGTTTCAGGATTTTAATCACATTGTTAATAGCTACTGAAGTTTTAAAATCAGCCTTTCAAGAACAGAGTTGGCATGATGTCTATGAAGACAGGGTACTTATTATCACTGACACCCCTCCCCAAAAATGTTCTTGATTAATTTCTTCCCTTGAACACTTATTAGCAAAGCAATGGATAAAATGCTTTAATCACAGATGTCTTATTTGTATGTAATATTTGCCATGCTTCAAATCAATTTCAACATCTATTTCATTTGATCTTCCCCATAAAGGTGAGTGTTGCTTACAGGACAGATGATGGGACTGAGAATCCAGAGGATTAGGAGCCTTGGCTCTGTGCCATAGCAAATAATCCCAGAGCTACAGTGATGCCTCACATTGTCTCTGTCCTAATCTGATTTTCCTCTCATCAACTCTATCTCTTAGTCCTGCCAAGTCTTGAACTCCAATCATCATCTAGATAGAAACAGGTGGTTATTCATCTGTTGTTTTGTTAATTTGTTCTTTTTTGATTTTTGGTAAAATATTAAACCAAATGCTAAACAAATTTACTTTGCCAGTAAGGAAGGAGGATAAGATCTCCTATAGTTTGCTCTTATTTTAGGTTTCCTGAAACTTGAACAGTATCTTCATGGTACAATTTGGATATCAACCTCACCCTCATCAGTTCAAACCCAAGAACCCAGGTTTATGCTGCAGAGCCATGCATGGGCAGCTCTTCCTCCTCACTGTGCCTCTGGTGACCATGGCTTTCTGTCCCATGCACAAACTCTCTGCAGCCTTCCAACAGGTGTCTGCCTCCAGCCAGTTTATCAGCACACTGTCCCCCTGCTGCAGCCCGGCTAGACTAAGTAGACAGTGTCATTATTAAGCCACTGAGAATCAGATGCCCTGTCACACATGCAGTTTCGGAAGAGTGGTTATAAGAGGGACAGCAGCCTCCCTGCCTGGTGACACTGATGGCTAGCCCTGTGGACAAGCAGCCTGGAATCTCATTAGCCTCTTTGTGGTTGCAATATTGCATGTTAAGTATCTGTCTCCTTTGATTGCCGTCCTCATCCTGGGGTATCTGGGGAATATGCCTCTAATCTAAGGGCCTTGTCACCACCTTAGTTTTTAACGTGACTGTAGAGGAGACCTTTTCAAACCCCTTTTGCCTCCCTGACTAGCTCTATATCACCAATCAGTATTTCTTCACTTACATCCAAGTTTTATCATTGTTTGGTAAAATTCTTCGTGTTTGCATTCTCTTAACAGATCACTCAGAATATTATATTTATCCTGGCTGAGACTAGGTGCTGGTTTACTTTATGACGCTCAACCAGTCCCTTTTCTGTGCCAGAGGACTCATTTAATCTAAACTTCCAGGACAGCTCTAACCTTGCTTCCCCTTGACTGGATTCTCTCAGGGTCAGGTTATCCAAATGGTCAGTTTGCTACGTAAACCAAGTGTTTTGGGCATATCAACAGTCTATACTTGGGTTAGCTGGTATAATTACACGCTGCCTCTGAACCTACTGGTAGCTGGTTAATAATCCTTAGGAGAATCTGATAAATGTGTACATCTTCTCAACCTCTACACTCTATCACCAGCATGAACGTTAAAGCAAAGGTATAGAATAGAACCATCCCTACTGTTCTCTATTCAGGCTATTTCTGTAGATCTTCATAGGGTTTATACAATGCTATTGTGGAGCATTCAAATACACTCTTGATTGTTTGAGCTGATTCTATTCCTCTTTTCCTCAAAATTAGTTCCATTCCATTAATAACATATGAAGCACTAACTGGATTTTGGTCATTGGCTGGAGTTTTAAATGGTCCAGTTCCCACCCTGAAGACACTGGTCTATGAAGAAAAGGCTCTGCTTTTCCTTGGCACTCGGAGCAGCCTTGTTTAGATGAAAATCACAGACATCAGCGGTTCATAAAAGGCAATTAGTGAGCACTATTTCTTAAGGCTGCTTTATGTTCCAGGGATGTGGAGTGGGACTTACAGGCATAGAAAATATGGAATAACAAAAAGGAGGGCCCTTGGTCAGGAAGAGTTTAGGAGGCAATTGAGGTGACATGGCAACACCATAAGTTCACTTTTGGCAGGAGTGACCAGGGCTAAACCAGAAATGGTTTAGAATGTCAGAATCTTGTTGGCAGGTAATGCATAATCAATGTGTCAAGTACAGTAGCTCACCTATAATAATTAATTAAAATATATACATTTTGGTTGATTCATTCATGAATGATTTAGTTCAAAAACAATGCTAACAGAAAGAATCTATTCTTCAATATCTATTCTACAAATAAACCTTATGGCCTATTTTTAAGCTTCCAATCAAATACATTTCTTTTTAAGATAAAACATTAGACTAATAATGGTAGCATTTTAAAAAATCATTGACTGTGCCTGGCACTATACTAGGTGTTCTCCTTCCATTATTTCTGAGTCACAGTAGTCTTATGAAGGAGCCATTTTCATAGCCCTTTTACCAAGACAGGCTCTGAGGCTCAGAGAAGTTAAGCAGCTTGTGCCTTATGAAACACATGGTAAAAGATGCAGCTGGGATTCAAACCCCAGCATCCATGGTTACATGCCAGGTTCACCCTGCTCTGCACCGTGAACCCACCTAGACTTGTTTCTCCCCTTGGCCTTTGCTCAAATACAGAGAAGAATAGATTCTGGGCCCAGGGGGGATTTTTTTTTTACTTAAAACTTCCCAAAATATCTTTTAAAGGGACTTCTAGGATCCTGTAGCTCTGCTCCTCCTTTGCACACCCATGCAGGTGGCTTACACAGCATTACTGTTGGGTTTATGTGCCACTCTCACATTATGCAGGACAGAGCCCATGATAATAGGACCATGCTTATTGATCTTACTGTGCTCAGCTCCTGGTGTCATATCTGGTTCATTGCAGGGGCCCAGTGATGATTGTTGAATTTTATTGAATCACACCAGGCCTGAGCTGGGAGCAAGAATAATACAATGGTTAGCTCATGGACTTGGAATCAGGTTCCATGCTCCAGATTGCCAGCTATTGATTGTGTGATCCTTACTCTTTTTCAGCCTCAATTTCCTCTTCTGTCACTCCCAACCTCATACTTTTGTTTGTGAGTATCAACTGAAGTAAGAAGATGAATGAAGTGCCCAGAGTAATGTCCAGCAGACCACGGACACAAAACCAAAGCTGGATTACTTTTTCTCTCCTCTTCTCTTTTGATGCTAATTTTGAAGGTGACATTGGGAGAAGAACATCCTTTGAAACCCTGACATTCTAGAAATCCAGAGCTTCCTTGAGTTTCAACTATTCTTGGATGTATGCAAAGTGGCCGGAAGCCATTAGTGATTTACTCATTGGTCTTAACAAGCAAGCTAATATGCCCCCAAAGGTCCTCTTGTAACACAAGCAAAAGGAAGCCAAGGGTTGAACCATTTATTCTGTGAATTTGATTGATGTCGACAGGCAATCTGGACAGCTGAGGCCCAAATGCACATTTTTTTTCTCCTCTTTCATGGCAGGATTGATTTTGGCCTGAATCATCTAAATAATTGCCTTCCCTCCCCTAAGACATGTCTTTCAATTTGTGGGTATAGACAGCTATAGAAAACAAGTATTATTTTAGCCTCTTCAAAACATAGAAACTCTCAAACACAGAGAGGTTAATTGATTTGACAAATGTCACACAGCTTCTCAGTTATAAAACTGAGAGACAGCCTCCAGGTCTCCAAGCTACCCCTCTTCTCAACACATTAAAGAAAACTGTTATAGCTGCTTAAACACATCCACACTTTAAATAGAAATAGTAACCTTTACAATCACATATTTTTTCCCTTTTGGGTGTAGAAAATTTTAGTTTGAAGCTGGTATAATAATGAGGTAGTCACGTGAAAATTTTTATTATGTCCATTACCTAAATGTCACATTTTCTCCTATATTAAACTTACACTATGTACTTAGGTAAAGCAGAAAATAAGTGGTTGGAAAATAAACAAAAGGCATTAAAGTCCTTATTTTCCTTATCAAGTGATAAATACTACAATTGGGAGTAGAAAATTCATTCAATCAAGTGTTCGTGATGGTCCTCCTGTGAGCGAGGCTCTGTGTGGTGGAAAGAAAAAGGCACCCATTGGTGTGCCCATCCCATAAGAATGAGGTGCTGCCCTGGGAAGAGATCAATACCTAAGATTTGAAGGTCTAGGGCTCCTGTCCTGAGTCTTTCCCAACTAACTGGGCAGATCCAGGACAGGAACTGGACAGACCTGTACCAATTGACAGCCAGGTCACCACTGACTCTAAGGGATGGAAATTAAAGTAGCCAGCTGGACGAACATTCATAAGTATTATTTTAGGACATAGTGAGATAATCTAGAAGAAACAACTTTGAAAACAGTGAATGACTACATGAATTACCATAAAAGATGAAAATAGGAAAATGTACAAAATATACCAGGCTATCCATAAGAGCTACCTCAATGGAGTCAATGTTACGTACTCTGAGTCTAGAGAAGGAAAAAATCCATGTCTGCATTAGTAATTGGAAAATACTCCTTGTTGGGGCTGAGTCTTAGGGTATCACTTTCATTTTAACCTTGTGATAACAAATATTACATTGGAGATTCTCGTTATAACCCCATTATTTCATGAGCCTATTAGGGAAAGGGTTATTAGCCACATTTTACCTTTAGGTAATTTGAAGTCACAGTTAAGGTTATTTTCTTGCTCAAGATGATGTAGCAAACTTCTCCATAAGGATAGGATATGTAACTATAAGCAGTAGGAATGGAATTGACCTCTAGAGATACGAATGTATGAACCGAGAGAGAAGAAAGGAATGTGTCATAATAAGCCATTGCCTCCATTTGGTGGGGGAGGATGCTGAACTCAATGGGAGTCTTAGCATGACCTGCAGATTTTATTTGCAGTTGTATGTCTCCTACTCCCTTACAAGTAATTGAAAGTTCTTACATGGCAAGTTCTTTGCTACCTAAAGTATTGATTGCACTTCCTTGAGTGTTGTTTCATAACACTGGAGCTCCGTGAAAAGTGGAAGGATTAAACACAAGGTAGGACCCAAGAGATCTCAAATCTACTCTTAGTTTGGGTACTAATTTGCTCTGTGACTTTGAGCAAGTCACTGAATTTTCTTCAGCTCTCTTGTACTTAAAATTGGAATAGTACCCCTTTTCCTACTTACCTCTTAAATGAAGAGATTATCCTGAGAATGTACTATGATAATACACGTTAATACAAAGGTTAAAATGCCACATAAATGCAAGATATCTCCTTAAGACTATTTCTCTGATGGCTATAAGAAAGGATAGTGTATATGATAATCAGTCAATCAAAATGTCCTGAATACCAAATAGGTATTGTAGAGAGAGCAAAGAAACCTGGCCACATCATAACAATTTAAAGGGGTGCATCATGCTAAGCAGGTGTGATGACTATAGACAGGTAAGCTCACACACAATGGAAGCATTGCTTCTTGGAGATTAAACAGGTAATCCACATCTTTTAAAATGCAACCTTTCAGAGGAAAGAAATTTCGGTCTCACAAAGGAGGTGGGACACTACTTTGGTCTGATAAATTGGTAGGACAGGGGAGGGTAAGAAGAAGAGATTATTCCTGTAGAGAAGAGTGTAATCTCTATGAGGACAGGGCTTTCATTCTATCTCATTCATTGATGTATCCCAAGGCCAGCTACCTTGTTGAGTCACCATAAATACATGGGATTCCATCAATGAGGGACAGTGTGAACAAGGTATACATGTGAAAATGAGCCAGTGTGCCAGGGCAAACTTAGCTGTCTTCCTGACAAGAGAAGGCTCATGATGGGGCTTAGTGAAAGATAAGTATGAACAATCAGTTGTAGTCAAACTGAAAGTGATGATGCTGAATGGAAGATCCAAAGCCTTCTAGATTGCAGCCATGAAGAGTTCTAACAAACTGAAATTTCTTGAACTGGGTGTTACGGACTCCTAGACAAGTGGTTTGTAGATGTCTTCTGGGGAATTCATTAGACTCTTGCCTAAAATGGTTTTGCACAATTGTGTATGTGTGTGCATTTCTCATGGTTGAGCTTAGCTTTCTGTCAGTTGCTTAAAATGGTATATGCCATAAAATGGTCTAAGTGTTTCTGACTGAGGTTATAAAAGGCCTTTATATGTAATATGTAGCTGATTTATTATACCAGGAATCATTTTATCACATATGATTGCATTTTGAGGAACCTTCATAATTAAATATATCTAATTACAATGTATTTATTTATTTTAAGTCTCTCTCTCTTTCTCTCTCTGCGTGAGTGTGTGTTTCCCATATTGTGAGAATGTGAGAACATGGACGGTGGCTCTTTATTGCCTGTGTGGGCTAGTCTGAGCCAGGTTGTAAATGCTTGAGCAACTTTGAGAATATAAATACATCTGAATCCAACAAATAATATACCCAAATGATATAGTTTTTTCCCCCAACTCATGAAAGCACAATGCTTATTATTTCATAAAGATATTTTTTCTGCTATGTGGCTAAATATCTTTGGTATTCAAATACATCTTCAAATGCCTTTGAGATGTTGTCTGTACTGAATTCAGTTTCAATAAGCCCTTCTTAAGGATGTCCCAAAATTGTCAATGCTATTAAGATGAAAATCTTAGGAAATATCTTCATACCTGCTTTTTTATCTAGGCAGAAATATAAGGCTTTAACACTTGAATTGGGTGTCCCTTCCCTACAACCAGAAGTTCTAAAAATAAAATATTCAGTATGAATTTTTCAGGTAAGAAGCCATGCTTACCATTAAAATTAAAGGAAGCAGTGGGAATATAGTTTGGCAATGTCCTCGGAGAACTTCAGGTGGCAGTCACCCCAGTGAGGAAGGAATGAAAGGCCATCAAGCATGGTGAGAACATGGTCACAAACACCGCTGTCTATAAAAGTTAACCCAGAAATAAAGGCTGAAAACTGGTTCTGAAATGTAATCAGTTTTAATTCTAGCAATTACAAAAATGCCTTTAGATAAATAACTCTCAGCAAGATGCAAGCAGCAATATTAGAGATTTCTGATGAACCTTTCACTCCTCTGAGAAATGGAGCTTATCCTGTCCCCAATAATTTCACCAGCCAAGTTTTCTAACTGGTGTCCCAATGAATGGAATTCCACACGTGCCTTCTCTTCACACCCATAAACTTAGGTCTTTCCAACATTGTAGCTGTGGTCAACATGTTTTGTTGCAGGAATGAAACTCTCTATAGCAACACAATCGAATCAATGGTACAAATAACAGTGGTGGGAATATCCACAAAAGAAAGCATGAAATTTCTGACATTTTGTACTTATTAGTTAAGGCAGCAATGGCACAGGGAAAGCTGTACTTTGGATGAAGTAAGTTAAGGATCTCAATATCTTTGTGCATTATCTGAGGATCTTAAGAAATAAAAGACTGGAATCTGGAAGAGCAAAATAACCATGTAGTGGCTGATACTTCTGGGGAGGCCAGGAGTATAGCTTTGGGCCTCAGCTGTGAATGGGTGGGCAGGGCATTTTGATCTTGGTTTGAAAGGGCTTATGATAGGCCAGGTGGGATTTTGAATTGTGAAATTGGCTTTTAACTACTTTGGTCATAGTGTAAGGCTTTTTGTGGGCCAGGAGGTATTTTGATCTTGGCAGGAGACTACAACGTAGGCATCTTTGACCATGGATGAATGGCTGCTACTCTAGGGGCAAGGCTGTACAGGACAGCAACTTGACCTGAACTTCTCTCGGGCTGCTCTGTCCTTAAGCAGAGGCATCTAGGCCTAGATGAAGGCAGGGGAGGACCTCAGCACACACCATTGGGTCAGAGACTCCCACACGACACCCATAGCTAAAGGAAGAATTTTATTACAAGGAAGAAATAACCTTTATAAATAAAGGTATTTTAGGCATCTTATTAATTTGCACATGTTGCTTCACCAGGGTGCTGGTAGCTTCACTAAAAGTAGTGAAGCCAACTCAATGCTTGGCTAATTATTCAAATATTAATTATTTGCTGTGTAAATTATTATGTGCTAGGTTAGGCTGGGGGAGATCTATACTGGATTATTTATCTTGGTTTGATTTTTTTATCTTTGACGACCCTGTGCCTCCTCCTGAGTATATTTCCAAATGGCCTTATCATTACTCAGAAGAAACATCCACCCCATAGAGTGCCATTAAAAGCCAAAGCTGCTTTAGAGACAGTGCCATGATAGTGTGCATAGTTGATGTTATTTGCCCTTCTTTAAGTGCAAATAACCATAAGTGCCAATAATGCATAGACAGAGACACAAGGCTGAGTATTCTCAGAAGTGATAAGATCTTAAATGCAATAATAGATTTAAAGAGTTAGGAAATATACCATCTATTGGACATTTGCACACCTTGAAGTTCCTTCTGTGTATGATAAAGACATATTAATCTAGGAATAAAACCACGTAAAGGAAACACAATAATCATTACAATTTTATATTATACTTTCTTGGGGATATAGTGCTTTATCATACTGAGAACAACCTAAGACGATGAAGTCAGCAGGACTCAAACTATCCCTGTTTTAGAATCTGTACTCATCTCCATATCTCTCCCCCTACCCTGTGACCCTCTGAATGCTGACTTCTGCCCTTTGGGACCTCTTTCCTAGTGTTCTGATTGTTCTTCTCTAACATTGGCCTCTTATTGATTGGTCTCATATTATTTAGTCTAATTAGTCACTAACTTTTACATTCTTCTAGAATACATCTGTTACACTCCAGTCCCCTATCGTACTTGAAATATCATGGAATTCTTATAATTAAACTGTCTTCATCTCTGACTCTCTGTCAAAGTTCTGGCAATAAACAAGATTCTAGGCTCAAAGGGTTTTGCTGAAGAGAGTTTAATAAAAAGATCATTCTCAGAGGTGAGCAGAGGGCTAAGAAAATAAAAAATGCATTACGATGGAGCCAAACTAGGAACTTCAGGAAGCCAGTACCAGCCCTAAAGGATTCTGGTGATAGCAGGTGCTGGAGAAAGTGCGATAGATGCTATGACCACAGAGGAACAATCATTGATAATGTGTGGGCAAGCATGGAGAGACTAAGGGCTAAATTCACCAACTATTCCTTCATCTGAATAACTCAACCTCTTATCAGTGCCTTCCATTATCAAGACCCAGCCAGAGGTGAAGATGGCAAGAGGCCTGGAAAGTACAGACTGAAGGGGTTCCCTGGCAGAGGACAGTGTATGTGTGTGACGGCAGAGCCAAAATGATTCATCCAACATGCGACGCTTGACCCAGTCACTCCAGTAATTTAAAAATTTCCCTGGCCTCCCCATAATCTACAGAAGAAAGCCCAAGCCTGACATACAAAGTCTTCCATGTCTTTGTCCTACTGATGCTTCTGGAATTATCCCCAGACCCTCTGCCTCATGTAATTATTTTAAAGAATTATATTGGAGTTTTAGTAATCTCCTTCACATACCACGTCACTCCTTTATTTTAGGCATTTGTTTAAGGAATTTCCTCTGGCATATCCTTCCCTCTTTTAACCAATGGAACTCAAATACCACCTCCTGTAGGAAGCCTTGGCTGAAAGTTACATAATCCTATAAATATTAAAAAAAAAACCTTGCCCCTAAATTAGACTGAATTGTATAAGATGTATCATGTTCTGATGCTTTTGACC
The DNA here is from genome assembly GCF_000001405.40 of Homo sapiens. Classification (NCBI taxonomy): domain Eukaryota; kingdom Metazoa; phylum Chordata; class Mammalia; order Primates; family Hominidae; genus Homo; species Homo sapiens. Next base: position 38,460,391 of record NC_000018.10, on the reverse strand, counting down.
AACGAAAATGGAATTTCTTATGTAGAATCCTGTCTGTCTTTCCCACAGGGAAGTCTCCTGAAGGTGGGAAAGTGTCCTCTTTGGGTTTATTTCTTAGCAGGTAGAACAATACCTGTAAATGGTAGGTGATTTATACCTGCTTATGGAACTGAATTGGATAAAAGTCCATATTTTATTTTTCTAGACCATGAGGAGAAGAGAACTTATTAATCTTGATTTCTCAGTAAATATTTATTGCTTGGAACATAAAACATATTTTAACCTCTTGTTTGTCAGTTCTCACAAGCAAGGGAAAGGGGGGAAAATTTTTTCTGTGTTTGTTTTGGATTTGAAGTATCTTAGTTTTCAGAAGACTCAGTTTGCAAAAGCATAAAAAACAAAAACAGTAAGTAAAACAGTTGTAGCAATTCTGAAAGTTAACTTAATAAAATGAGCTAGTCAATGCAATTGATCAAATGCCCTCATTAGCAAAGCAAAAGGAATGAGACAGTAAGTATTATACAAAGCACATTAATATATATGAATAAACCAGGTACAGGCAAGATACATTGTAGTTTTCTAAAAATCCCTTCTGGCCACAAACCGCATCTGATTATGTTTGATGTCATTCAAAGTACAAGAGCCTCCGAAGCCAAGGCCTAAATGGGGCTGACAACCAGACGTGGCATTTGAGCCTTCTACATTTATAGCCTATTTCCAAGTCGTTTTTCCTACTCTATTCACAAAAAAGAAAAGAGAAATGCCACCTGACCAAAAATGACCAATGAGTGTTCATAAATCTCTCTCAAGTCCTATCAAAACTAAGGTTTCCGTGGTAATTTTCCTATAAAAAGAAATGTAAAATTTATTCCAAACGGGGGTGGGGAGGGAGATGCTTGCCTGAATTCTGGAAGCCAGGGCTTTTGAGTAAAATTAGCTCATGCTGCTTCTGGCAGAAGTCACATTTTGGCCCCTCATTTCATGAGAAAACCATTTGTTGTGAAATAGAAGAATTCAGCCTGTGTGTGCATGTTCGTAAATCCCCCATTCCACACCCTCGACTGAACAGTGACGTGGGTCCCCATCCCTTCATGCCTCGTTAGGGCCAGGCTGGGCCAGCTCGCCAGGCTGTCCGTGTCCTCAGGCCTGGGCATCATTGTCCCTGAGCTCACCCAGCCCGCATCCCTTTGAAGCCGCTCCAAAGAAACTTTATCCCTCTGTTCCAGCTGGTGTTTCATTAAGCCCTGGCTTCATAGGATTTTCCACTCCCATTGACACATCAGAGCAAAGATGTAGCCATTAAAATAATGAAGAAAAAGGGAGCAGGCAGAGGAAAAACGGTTTGAGGGGAAATTGAAAAGGAGTACAAGGTTATATAAAAAAATAAAGGCCAACTGCAGAAAAATAAAATGTACCCACTTGCTCACCACTCTCTTTTTTTTTCTCCCCTATATGTGTGTGTGTGTCCTAAGCTGTCCAGATTTTTCACAAAGCCTCATAAGGAGCGACTTCAGAGAGGCACTGGCTCTGTGAAAAAGCCGACAGTCACAGGTCTAAATTAGAAACAGCTGATAAGAATCCCAAAGTCATTCTGAGTACACATGAAGGCAAAGGAACTCTGTGCATTAAAGATGTAGTGAATCTTAAATCTAACCTTCTCTCTTTTTCTGAAGAAAAAAAAATCATTGTAATCTCCTGCTGGTTAGACATCAAGTCCACCCAAGTTATTAAGGCCCTGTGTCTGACCTCCTTATTTCCACTCCATGGTGTAGCCCCTCCATTTCCCAACCTTGAGTGCCTCTTCCAGACTGTTTTTTTTCACCTCTTCAAAGGAACATTGGCTCCACACTTGTCTAGTCATAAAGTGCTTTGATGCTTACCTTCTCCATGGGTAATATATCTATGATATGGTGTTTAATCCAAAATTAGATTATGATTTTAAGAATCCAAGAATTGTTCCTTTGTTTTGCTATCTCAAACAAAGACCTTGTTCAAGACTCTGCACAATATATATTTTTCATAGCATCTGTCCAAGGTATCTGCAGACTTCAGTCACCACAACCTCAATGTAGACAAGGAAGATGTCACAGAAGGCCTTTAAGTTCCTAAAACAGCTGTGACAAAGCCTATGCACTAAACCTACACTCTTTACTCCCCTGGGCTCTACTTCAGGCATTGTGATTTTATTAACTATTGTCTTCCCACAGGAATTAAAGCAGTGACCTAGAAGTGGATTCTTAGATATATGCCTGATGACAGCAGGGTAAGTGACAGCTGACATGTAATTAGTGGAAAAAACAAAAATGTAAACAATGAACAACCATATTGCTTCTTGGTACAAAATTTGATGTCTACAAAAACAGATTTTGAAGTACACTCAAAAACTGCCGTTAAAATACAAAATGCACATATTCTTAAAAGATGTGCTACAAAAATGGCTAAAATTTTTTTAAGAAGGAGAGAATATCAGGTGTTTAAAACATTTTTATATATGCTTCCTATTTTAAGTATTTCAGATAAAATTGTGTGTCATCCACGTAAATGTCTGCTTTATATGATCATGAATGAGTTCTTGTTTATGCCCTTATTTGAAGACCATGAAAATGCTTGTTTAACCATACAATCCTAGTGATATTAAGAAACGCTCACTAGTCACAAGAAAAACCTACTAGTGTAGTGACCAGTGAAAATATAAACTAAGAGGAAACAGGGCTGTTCAGGAGGAGATCTTGGCTCCAGAAAAGGATGAATCCCTATTCAAATCTTAGCCCTTTTCTCTCTGCATTGGCATTAGGTGATTCTAGTCATATTCCTCAATATCTCTGAATTCTACTTGGCAACCCCTAGTGAGAACTAAGTGAGACTGTGTATGTTTCAGAGTCTATAGCAGACTCATATGTAGAAAACCTGCATTGAAGGACTTGGTTGTTGAGGGAGCTATTCAATAAGGCATTTCACAAGCATATGAGGTGGGGCTGAGTATAATCTTTAGGAAAAAAAGAATCAATAAATCATCATAGGTGGCTTAAGTTCTTAAGAACTTAACTCTTCCATGAGGAAAATACAAAAGAAGCGCTGAAAAAATATTTGTTCCCTTAAAGAAATGTAAGTTTATTTAAGAAGATGCCTTAGTCCATTTGGGCTATTATAACAAAATATCATGGACTGTGTGACTTATACTTGAAAGGTATTTCTTATAGTTCTGGAGGCTGGAGAGTCCAAGGTCAAGACACCAACAGATTTGTTGTCTGGTGAGAGCCCATTTCCTGGCTTGTAGATAGACGTCTTTCACTTGTGTCCTCATGTGGCAGAGGGGCAAGTGAGATCTCTGGGTTCTCTTTTGTGTGGACACTAATTCCATTCATGAGAACTCTGCCTTCATAACCTAATTACCTCCCAAAGGTCTTAGCTCTTAAAACTATTGCACTGAGGATTCGATTTCAGGATATGAATTTTGGAAGAATACAAATATTCAGCCCATAGAAGATAAAGATACACAGATGAACCAACACTTCCAGAGTAATCCAAGGAAATGGTTGCCTGGAAGATTAATTGCTATAGTTAACAAAATTGAGTCGATGTGGATTGGATATGTCATGAGAAGTTTTGTGGTGATACTGGGACTGGACAGTTGGAGAAAGGGCAAAGGCGGGGGGAGGGTATGGCAGGGGTGATGAATGAAGAAGGCACGAGTGTGGTAAGGAGCAGGGTCAGCAGTGGATGGGCTGACTGGACAATCAGAAGCCTCCAGCTCAGTGCCTATTTCTGTAGCAACCCCACACTAGAGTCACACAGAGGGTTTAGAATCTCACTGCTGCCACTTCCAAGCTCTGGGGCAAGGGGCAACTGAAATAACACCACAGGGCCTAGGTTTCCTCAGCTGTAAACTGAAGTTAATACTTACCTTGAAGAGTTGTAAAGAGAATGACATGTGAAAATGCATGACGACCACCTGGCGCAGTGCCAAGACTGAGCATCCCATCTCTAGCCATTTTTATTAGTTCCATTATTATCTATTGTTGACATCACCCTTCTATTGTCTACTCTGTCACATTGCCGCCTGCATACATGTTCCTTGTCTCTCACGTATTCTTTGAACTACCTCGCCTCTAATCTTTATCTATTGCAGCATAGAAATTGTTCTCTACCCTTAACTTCTATTCCTTCTGTTCTCCAGATTATATCTATCAAGTTGCTATCTTCTATCTCATCCCTCAAGATCTATATCAAATCACAGCACTTTTGCAATCCACTCCAAGATTCCTAGGCCCGTTTTTATTGCACTTTTTAACCTTGTTGTAGCCCTTGCCATAAGCTGAATTATATTATAATTTTTAAAGCAGGTGACAAGGTCTCATTGACTTGTGAGCCCTTATAAGGCAAGAATAATTGTTAAATTTAATTTCCTCTAGGGTTACTTTACCTGCACTTGATGAGATAGGCCCAAAGCATCTGATTCTCGTGTGTGTGTGTGTGTGTGTGTGTGTGTGTGTGTGTATGTGTGTGTGTATGTGTTTCCTGAAGATGGAACCCAAGTTACTCCTTCTACTTTTAGAATTCAATTAATATTTTTTGTTGCATGAGAATTCTTAAAAGGAAATGATTTAGGAATTAAAATAAATAATCTGATCATTAGTTCTGAGTTCAGAGAGCATCTTTAACAATGGATTTATTTTTTGTTATTACCTAACCCTTACTTAGAGAGTTTCCTAATCATAGCAATTTATGCTTCTTGGATTGTACACATTGTGGGGTGTGTGTATGTTTGTGTGTGTGTATGTGTATCCAAATGCTATGAGGTTCTGTACTGTCTGGCTTCATGCGTGTTTTTCAAGGTTTCAAAATCCATTAACTAGAGCTTATTTAGCTTCAGCTGATATGATAGCTTTTATTGTGTGAGTATGTGTGGGGAATTTTTTTTTTAACAGAAGCCAAGTGTGCCCTTTGGATGAATTGATTTCCTCAATCTCATGGTGAAATATTGCATTTCAGTTGTCACTTTTGATTTATTGTTTCTTTAAACATTAAATCTTCCTTTGCATTTTTATTGGTTTCATTAAAAATGTTCTGCTCATCTTTTTCATGGCCACCTCCATAAAGGCAAGGAAAGCCTCAGTCAGGGAGCCTTGAGGGATCTGCAGAGTCCCCTCCTCTCTGCTGAGTCCTCCTGAATGCTGCCCTTCCATTGGCTGCAAGTTCTGAAGAATCTGCAGACAAACCAACAAAAACCCTGCCTGCTTTTGTTATGGAGTTTATAAAAACATGTATTAAATCTAATAACTTTGGTGTGTAATGAGGCACAGAGCATATGTCAGAAGTATGGTGTCCAAACAGCAGTGGGCTTGAATGGTTTATCTTGCGGGCAAATGTGTTACATGAGATTTGACCCTTAAATTGAGCAGTGGGAGAGATAAATAGGGTAATCAAAAAGACTCCCTTACAGTCACAGGAACCTGGAGCCATCTGGTCAAGACAAAAATAAATCAGTAATGCAACTGGAAATGGTCTCCAGAGACCTTTGGGGATTGGTTTAGCATCACTGTCTCTCAAATTGTGGAGCAGAGGAAACTGACAGCAAAGATCATGAAACCAACTCTAATTAACACACACAGAGCAAAGGACTCAGAAGTCCTTTCAGACTGAAATGCCTCACACCTGAGGGACTAAAAGTCAGACAATAATTTGAAAGTCCCTCAGCTTGGTAAAGACAAAAATAAAAGCATGTATTGATTGTAGGCCTTATTCAGAAAAACAAAACAAAAACAAATTCCATTTAATCACAATTTAACAAGCCAGAGTTTTGGCTATGCAGCATTGTTTTGTTGCTTTGAGTAAAGAAATCCAATATCTGATCTATCTCTTTAAGAAAATCTCTTTTCTTAACTTTTTATATATGTGACAAAGTGGGAAATTAACAAAATTACATAAAATGTTTGAGTAAAACCATTTTTTAATTCAATATTTTCTTTCTCTCTTTTTTGAAACTCAGCCAAAGCCATTTTATTTGTTGTACCTGTTATGAAAAACTCTCCAGAGTTACACTTCAAAACCTCAAAAGATAAGCCTTCGGTAACACAAATTAACACAAAAAACTGTAAATACTGTTGTGATTTGATTGTTTTAAAAAGTTTTTAAATTATACAAAATGGTTTTTTACCTACATCACATAAAATGTTTTTGAATAGCGCTTACATTTTTGAAGTTATTTAGGATCATTTAATGGTCGATGGTATATTGGCACCACATCTACCCAATCTTTCATGACTCCATCAGTCTGTGCACAGCAGGATTCCTCATCCATCACAGCTTCCTTGTTTGTTCAGCTCACAGATAAGTGCTGAGTGCTCACTGCATGTGAGATACTCTACTTATAACTGCAAGAGTTAAAGAGATGTGTGAGATAATGTGCCTCTCTTCAGGTATAGATTCTGGAGGGGGATCAGACGTGCAAATGAAGAACATTCTGGACGGAGTCCCCAGTGAAGTTCCAGACACATAGTCTCATAGAGAAAGAGGAGCAGACGTCCTGTCTCATTGTCTCTGTCATGTTGAATCTCACTGCACCTCAGTTTTCTCACCTGGCAAATGAAAATCATAATTGTACTCAACTTGTGCTTTTCTTTTGCTGTTTTAATGAGTGAAGGTGCATAAAGCCCTTAGAACAGCACCGGGCACATTTTTAGCACCAAGTTAGTTGGAAACAACCGGTTATCCTACTTCACATGATCATTGCAATTATCTTATTTGTTAGGATTGTAATTTGGTCCCCTTATATGCTGACTCTCCTCGGGCCATGTGTTGTGTTTTGTTTTGTTTCCCCTCAGACCTAGGCTTAGTTATGTAAAAGGTTTCCTCACAGCTTTGTTTTCTTACTGGGACTTTGGCCACTGTTGTGGGGGATATAGAAAAGCAAAATATGCTTCTTCTTTCCCAAGGACCTCCAGTTTTAGGTGGAAAGACAAGATACACACACACGCACACACACACACAGATACACACACACACAAATTGTAATGACAGAACACAATATACACACAATGGGTAGAGTGGTTTCAATCCCATATGGCACAATGATAGAAACCCTAATAGCCCTACTATCTGCTACTAATATTTAGAGAAAATGAGGGTCTCTGGGACTAGGCAGTTGCAGTGGTTATCAGCAACTTGAAAGTGATAATGAGGGAACATCACTGGCATGCATACCAAGAGTGGCCTTCCTTGAATCCCATTCCAAATCTCCAGTGTGCATCTGAAATGCTTGACCAGGTTAAAGCTACTGGGGAAGAGTACTAGACAGGGAAATAAAAGAAGCAAACACAAAATTGTGGTCCTTATTTCTGCTCTGCCACTTCCATAAGCAAACCAGCTAACCTTACAGGGTTTTCAATTTCTATTAAAGAAGGCAATTATACCAGAGGGCATGCAACTTCTCTTTCCTCTCTAAAAATATTGTCATTCTATATAGGGTCACTTTTCATTGCATTCGTTGCTAATATACAACGATACACACACATACACACACGCGCGCACGCACACTATCTTTTTCTATAATGCCGTTCACACATTTCCCTTCCTATCGTTCTGTCAATTTGGGAGTTAAATTGACATTTGCTATTAACATTATAATGGACTATGTAAATACTGTTCACAGTTGAGCCATGTAATGAACTACAATTAAAATATAATTCTTGCCCAACTTTTTCTTTACTCTGAAGTTAATAATTGTCATTCTCTCTCGCTCTTCCTCTCTTTGGTTTAGTTTTCAAATTCACCCCAAAACTTTCTGATAGTGCAGATAATCTCTAAATATAGTACAAGGTCATATAGTAATCATCGTTGCACATTTCCTTTTTTTTTTTTTTTCTGGAGGCATCTCCGCTAAAGCCCTGTTTCATTCTGCTTCAGTCTAGGATGGTTACACTCCAGACACATTTATAATGCTGGGATTTCGCTTCACCATCATCACAACTTATTTTATTTTATTTTATTTTTTATTTTTTGAGAGGGAGTCTAGCTCTGTCACCTATGCTGTCAGTGGTGCTATCTCGGCTCACTGCAACTTCCATCTCCCACGCTCAAGCAATTCTCCTGCCTCAGACTTTGGAGTAGCTGGGATTATAGCCACAGGCCACCATGCCTGGCTAATTTTTGTATTTTATTAGAGGTGGGGTTTCAACAGGTTGCCCAGGCTGGTCTCGAACTCCTGACCTCAGGTGATCCACCTGCCTCGGCCTCCCAAAGTGGTGGGATTACAGGCGTGAGCCACCACACCCGGCCTAGAACTTTTCAGTTGCTTCTCTTTCTGTTAAAGTCCTACATCTTTGATCACATGTCTCCATCTTTCCTGTTTCAGTAGAAAATCTTTTATAGTAGCTTTCTCAGAAAGAATGCAGAAGGAATACATTTTTTGAAACTCAGTGTGTCTGAACATGACTTTATTTTCCCGTCATAGTTGATTGAGTTTGGGCTAGGTATTACATTCTAAGTCAAAGATTGTCTTCTCAATAAATTTGAAGGCTTTTCTCCATTCTCTTTTTGCTTCAAGTATCTCCTTTTTAGAAATAAAATGTGATTCTGATTCCAAGCCACTCTCCTCATCATCTCTTGTTTGTTTTTTTTTTTGTTTCATTGGTCTATGGATATTTTGGATTACCTCTTTAACCCCACAATTCTGGAATTCTATGATGTTATCCTTTGCAGATAGTCTGTTTTTACTCATTGTACATGGTATTAGGTGAACTATTTTACTTTTTTTTTCTTTTTTTAAAAAAAAACCTAGAAACATACCCCTTAAATATGGGAAGTTTTCTTACATTAGTTCTTTGAAAATAGCATAATTTCAGTTTTATATGCTCTCCTTTTCTCAAACTCCTATCACTCTTGTACTGTAATCCTGAACAGATATTCTAGTTTTCCTGTCTCTGTTCTTTTATTTTCTATTTGTTTTCCTGTTCTGCTTTTAGATTTCTTTATCTTCTATTCATTGAGTTGAACTTTTAAATTTCTACTCTAAATTTTCAAATTTCTAAAATCCTTCTCTATTTTACTAAATGTTTCTTTTGTGAAACAACCAATTCTCACTTTATGGATGTATTATCTTTATTTTTCTCTTTTGGAAAAGCCATTTTAGACTTTTGAAATTCTGTGTCTTCTGGTCTCTTTTGATCCATTTGCTTTGATTTCTCATTCTTATTTTGCAAGCCTTCCACAAACATCAGGTGATTACTTGTAATCCATTTATAATTAAGAGTGAGGCATCAAAACCTTATCTGGATTTCTGTATTCATGAGCAAAGCTGTCAGTGGGTGGCTGTTACTCTAAGGTTAATCAGGGAGTAACAGCTTTTTCATTTAAGCCACGGTATTTCCTGAGTCATTCAGACACAGACTTGAGAGGTGAAAGCCTGACTTCCAGCATTCTGGAAGATGATAAGGAGGAACAGGCCGGGACCTGGTAATTTTGTTATGTAAACGTTCATTAATAATCTGTTGTAGATGCAGCACTCTCACCTCCACCGTCAGCTATAGTTGTTGTTTATAAAAGCTTGTTATATACAAGCTTTTGTAGTCCCACTGCTGCAGTACACAAACCTCCAGTCTTCTGAAACCATTGGCAGGTTAAGTCCCCTGGATGCACAAAGTACGGAATGGCACCTGGGTGTTTAATTACTCCTAAATAGACTTTCAATCTATCCTACAGTTTTAAGTCCTAATTGACACTTTCATCCTCCAAGGTTCTGGTGTCTCTCAAGCTTAAAAACTCTCCATCTCTGTCTTCAATCATCTTAGCAATATTTGGCTATCTTCTTGTAAGCACTTTGATTTCAGCTTTCTTTGATATGCTCTGCTGGTGACCCTCTATTTGTCTCATTACAGTTCCTCAAGTTTTCTTGACCTCTTCCATCAGTTCTTGTATCTCTTTGTGACTATTTTGTTAACTCTTTTGATGTCCCATTATAGCTGGGTTTCAAGAGGGATTGAGAGACCCTTCCTAAAAATCAAGATAGAATTTTAATAGTTGCACTCCAGGCCTTAAGACAATGCATTGTCTGAACTATTTAGAGGTAAAACATGATATGTACAATTTTTCAAGTAAAAATATATGAGATTGAGCCCAAGGTTTTAAAATAAATACCCATTATTACAATTATTTATCTGGGGACTGTGAAACCCAGTACAGTATTTATTAACATATTTTTGAGAGTCATTGGAAAGACAATAGCAGCTATGATGTTTGCTTCCTGGTCTCTGGAGTGGAATCTTGATAGCAAAGGAATTTATTTCTTAGCATCTTCTGATATTTCATTGTTTTGAGTAAAACCACAACCTTAGGATTAATTATACCAGGTACAACTAGAAATTATGATGAACAGCATTGTCACTAGAGAAATCTTCAATATTTACTCTGACAGATCTAGATCACCATAAATACCCACAATGTTAACATCAGCTGTTTTTGAAAGTATCAGTATAAATGTGCTTGGAAACGTGCATGTCCAGGAAAGACATGAATTTTCCTGGAGGCTGCAGAGCTAGTGACGTGTGCAAGAGCTTTTCATCAGGATATGTTCTTAATATGGCATGATAGAAGATTAGAATGATGGAGTTAGAAAGAAGTCCAAGAAATTCATAGTTCTGGAATCCAGCTGAAGATATTGAAGATGATTTCTTTCTGTAGCATTCCTGATGTCACCAATGTTTGTAGAGAGATCACACTTTTATCCATATGAGAGGTAAACCTTCCTCTGTTAAACAGCTGAAATGGTTAGAGAGGTCTTCCTTGTGATTAACATCTATCTCATTGATTACTTTTGGATTCCTTTTATTTCTTCTTTCTTTTCCTTCTTCTCCCTCTTAGTGGTAACATTAAATAAAGCCTCTAATCTGGCCATGAACAAAAACAAACATCACAGGTAAAGCCACAATGGCATTTTCAGTGAAATCTGACAGATTTATCAAGAAACGCCTACGGATCTAACATCTAAATTCTAGGATTCTTGTTTTACTGATGCTTCCTTCAACATTCAATCGTTTCGCTAAAGACCACAAGTTTGGTGTATGTATACATGTGTATGTGTGAATATGTGTGTGTGTGTGTGTGTGTGCGTGAATATGTGTGTGAGAGAGAGTACATGGGACAAATTAGGGTAAGTCAAAGTATAAATAGAACTCTTGGAGAAGGATGTTAGCAAACTATGTTCAAAAGCAGCTCTAACATTGTTTCTGGACTTGTAAATGAAAAGCATTATTTGGAACAGACTCCAACATCATCTTACAGCAAGCAGGCCTCTTTCCTTATTTAGCTTTTCTTGACCCCCTCAAAATGTTATTGTTCTAAAATTCTCCCAGCCTCTCCAAGTAGTAGCCTCTTACATGTCTTCACAGTGAAATCCTGAACACAACGTATCATTTCTCTCAGAGGAGTTCATATTTAGGAGAGAAGCCTTATGAGGGCCATTCTGTCCTGGAACACCTATTAAAGGACACCTCCATACTCCTGTGCTTGGTGGGCTTTATTTTTCTGCATGTAAGATTGGCCCTATTTAGCCACTTAGTTGAACCTCTTTCTTTTTTAGACAATAATGATGATGATGAGAATGATAACGATGGGTAGAGATGAGGATGATCTTGTGGCAATCTTTCCCAACGTACAGATGTTTAGAGCTAACTACCAAGATGTCAAAGCCTTTATTACTTGGAGACGATGTGAAGTGGTTAGAAATTTCAGGGCACAAACTCAGATGTGCAAGGCACATTAGTTCCTGCTTCTATAATTAAACTTAATTTCAATTTAAAGTTCTCAGTCTTCAGAATTATAATCTTAGTTTAATCAGTTTTCCTTACACTTTTCTCCAAAGGGTTTGGTCTCAGTTCAAAAGTGTTTAGGCAGTGCCGAGGTGTTAAGAGTAAGAGTATATCTAGAACTTGGTCAGTGGTGAATATAGGTTACCATTGAGATGACCTTTCCCTCCATTGGCCTTTCTCTCCCTTTAGTTCATGATTCTGTTATATACACACTACACATTGGCAACATCCATTTCACAGTTCTGGGTCATGAAAAATTTTCCTTGCTTTCTTTGTCACAGCGAGGCTAACTATAACTATTCCTCTCCAGGATTTTCTTATTTAAACACAGCCTGAGTGTCTACCAGGGAAATGAAGCATGGATTCCTTACATTCCACAAACTTATCTGGCATTTTACTGACTTTCCAGCTATCCACCTAGGGTGCAGCTTCCACGTTCCTATCCCTGTAACTACAATGTCTGTTGTCACCATTTTCCTTTGTCCCATGAAGACTAATATTATTGTTCTATTTTGTGGTATTTTCCCCAAAATTCCTTCTATGCTTTGTGTCTCCTTATTTTCCCTAAAAACATCAATTTTTAAAATACTCTAACCCCCCCCATATCCAAATAAATATGGCAGAAAGGTGTGGAGGTGGCAAGGATCAAAGGTGACAGTAGATCACCTTCCAAAAAGTTGTATAAGAATAAAAAACTTTTACTCAGGTCCCATGATGTAAATGTATGTGAAGCTTTGGAATTTCCTCATGTCAAATCTTTTCAACTACTCATACTATTATAGTGTCTTATTCTTTTTTAAAGTATACACTGTTCCCTGTTTGTGATGCCATTATTTATTCATTTGTTCAACACACAACTATTAAATTTCTATAGTCTAAAAAGATTTATAAAATTTGGATTACCTCTCTGCACTCAAGATGTGCTTGAGTTACAATTTCATATAGAGGGTTGAAAACCACCAAGACCATATTAATTTTTGACCAAAGGAAGTGGAGTCATGAGAAAAATGCCTTTGTTTATACTATTTTTTCTCCTTTGAGTTCTTGTCAGGCAGGGCATTGCTGGAGAGGAGGAAGAAGAGCCCAGGGATGAATATTGGAAGCACTGTTTTGGTAGCATCTTTCAAGTGAGGACTTGAGGGGTGGTTTCAGCTTTGAATTAAATATTTTTTGAACTCCAAATCACACTATACAATATTTCTTTTTTTTTCATCTTTTAAGTTCCAGGGTACACGTGCAGGATGTGCAGTTTCGTTACATAGGTAAAGGCCTACACAATATTTCAAACAAACAAAAGAATAAGGAAACAATCCAAAGAACAGAAAACATAAAGGGAGTGGAAGGGAAAGTCACCTATCTTTAAATATGAGCAACAGGTAATATAGGTAAAACAGGTGGAAATAGTGGTTTCCATCCATTTGCAGTCAGTTAAGAATTGCATTCAGTTGCTGGTAATCAACAATGGACACAACAGTGGCTTAAACAAGATTAAGGTTTATTTTTCATATTGGAAAGAAGAGGTGGAGAAATCAAGGTCAGCATGGCAGCCAAGTAGGATTTTCAGCATCTTAGACCTTCTCAATATTTTCACTTCCTGTAATTATGCCAATAAGCTTGAGCCAATACGAATTAGAATGGAGTGGTGGGAACAAAGGATGGTGCCCAGTTTAATGAGCTCAGGCTGTCCATTGCTGAATAATGGTAAGCAATGGTGACGGATGCACTGAGGGAAGGTGACATGAAGCCGTGCTGTAACCCAAGGGTGTCAGGAAGGCTTTTCAGCATTCTAACAGCAGAAAGACAAGGTAGTGATGCAACTAGTGTCTTAAAATGATCCGTCTGACACTGACATGAAGAATGGCTTTTTAAAAAAAAGATGAAATTGCAGTAAAAATAATTTAAGGAACATGGAAATAGCCACAAGGGAGTAGTGGCATTTGGAATAGACAAAGATAAGTGCAGCTTAAAGACATTTGTGGATTCATTTCATTTTAAATATAATCATTATCCATGAGCTCCATGAAGGGATAAGTTGGGAAACTAGGAAAGTAAGCAAAATGATTTAATTATTTTCCTTATCATTTTAGCCACCATATTTGTTGTATCTCTTCCCCTATCTTGTTACGTGCTCATGAACTGCACTCAGGCGGAAGAATGAATTAGCAGCCACCACATGATGCAATGAAAGGAGACCCAGGACTAGTCTGCCAGCCCCATCAGAAAACAAAAGTCTTGATTCTTTCAGTTATCTGAAGGCTGAATTTTATAATAATTTTTGTTTTGGTCTCCTAGAGGCTTTTTGATCTTTAAGAGTCTGCTCTTAAATGCGAATACACCTGTGAGGGAAAAATATGTTAAGCAATAGTGTTCCCACTTTATCCTGATAATTTTCAGGTGAATTTTAAGGCATGGCAGGTCTCTGAGACCCAGGCCAGTAATATGGGTGTTTTGAAGGATGAGTAAGCTGGAAGGGGAAGATGTATCAAATGCCAACTTTTTCAAAGGTATGGAGGGAATTTAATGTGTTCATTCATTCAACATGGCCAGTCCCATCTCTGTGTCTCCTCCATAGCCAAGTGGAAGGACAGAATCAGACTGCAGTTCAGCAAGTTTCTCTTTTCCTGGGCTTGTCTGAAACCTGTTATGTGACTCTTGGAAACCACAGAATGTTGTATACCTACCTTTCTCTCATGAAGAACAAGAGTCATGGGTTGGACGGGCTATGGAAGAATAAAGAGAGTGAGTGATCAGAACAGTTTGAGATTTCTATGATTCAGGATTTTGGCTACTGACAGAATGGCAGCAGAATTGGAGATTAGCAATAATCTGGAATACTCTCCTAAGCTGAGCTATCCATATTCCCTCCACACTTCACTGGATGTTTCTGTCAGTTTGGATTCAGTGCCTAAAGAATGAGGGTGTAGGAGTCACTGGGAGGCTGTTTAATGCGGCAGATGACACTGAACAGCAGACATGTGAGCAAGCATGTCATTTCTCTGTAGGGTGCACAGAAAATACACAGCCTTAGTGAGGGTTTGCTCCCTCCAAGGGAGAAATATTCTGTTTACCACTGTAGCTTGCCATTCATTTGCAGGAAGAGAGCATTGTTACAACTGAATGCTGAAGTTAGGGAAAATGTCAGCCTAATTGTTGACACACTCAGCCATCTCATGGGCTAGAGACTAAAATCCAAAGCCTCTGGAGCAGGCACATCCATGTGGGTGGGAAGCCTGAGTGAAGGGAATGCTAGGAGGAAGAGGTGCACATTATGAATAGGAAGGACGTTCTGGGGAGCGATATTTCTTACCGTCTAATTGCTCTGTGTTTTATAGAAACTGATCATTAGGGGATCCTGGGCATGATTCCGCAGAGATGTTCTTGTGAAATAAAGCAAGAGGCTATGAAACAGAAAGTTTAAATATAGCTACAGGGAGACATACTTCCTGACAACTTGACAGATGTCTTGGAGTGACGACTCCTTCCTTCATCGCTAATTACAAAATCATTTGTCTTAAGGAAAGGACAAAAGAGAAGTAATTATGAAAAACATGATTCTTAAGGGATAAAAAGATAACATCAGTTTAAAACATGGAAGCAATCATAACCACTTAGAATCATTATTAGTTTGGTGGAACCAATGACAGGTTGCTTTTTAGAAACCAGAGGGAATGGGGTTCCTGAAGCAGAGGGGAAGAAAACATTCAGTTTCTTGTTATGCTAAACTTATCCCCAGACTCCCGAGACTCCTTTGATGAACAGTTCATTAAAATTTCCGACCGCAGATGAATTTGAGCTAAAATACACAAATGTTTTAATTATACATTCCTTTTTAATTACACTAATGACTTGTAATGTGTTTATGTTGGTTTAGAGTTTAATTTCTTCCCTTAGATTAGGTGGTTGACTTAAGGACTGTGCTTTTCAGTAAAATAGCATGATTCATCAATGTTTGATTATGAATTAATGCCCAAATGTAGAAGAGCTGCTGCCCTTGGAGGGATTGCTCTGCTCATGAACAATTGCCTATCTTTTGGGCCCTAGGGAAAGCATAGATCTGGCCATGTTGCAGGCCTAAGGGATAGGAGTTTTGAGGAAAAAGTCATGAATAGTTCCTAGGAGGGGAAGGTGCTGGGAAAGGGAAAGGGAAGTAGCTGAATGGGGAATGGAAGAACCTCATTTTTGAGACATGTCCATTCACTGAGGGCCCACTGATATGATGGCATGAGAAGAGTCAGAGCCAGCCCAGGATCAGGCTGTGAGGGAGCAGGTGCACTCCTGTCAGTGACCATCCCTTTATGCCCTCTTTGAGACCTATCATTTGAAGTTCCTCTTGCCTTCTCCCCCAGAGCAACCTATTGCTGCAGCCAGTCCCAGATAAAGAATAAGATCTTGATAAACATTTTCACACTGATATAAAACTGAACATGAATCTTCAATACTTATATTTCAAAAAAAGATTCTTAAGTGAGCAATGCTTAATTTATGGTGCTCTTTTTACAAGAGTTAAAAGCTAGCTAGACAAATATGCCCATTTATCTGCTTCTCTCATGTGATGGATATTGGTGGTTGTTTTTCTTTAATAGCATCCTTTTGCCCCATTCTGGTAGGAAACTCCCCTTTTTACTACACAGAAACTATTCCACGTGATACAATTGAAGCAAAAACTATCATCCCTTGCCCTCTCACCACAGGCCCTGACCTCATGTGACTCCAGCCAGCCAGTCAGAGTACACAGCCTTCCTAGGCACAGAGACTGGTTGAGGCAAGCACCTTGCAGAAACTAGACCTCTCAAGGTCCTCCCTAGGACATTTTTGCCAAGCCTGTCATGGTAAACAGAATAGTGCTCCCACCTGCTCCTGAAATATGTCTATATCCTAATCCCTAGAACCTGTGGATATGTTACCTTAAGAAGCAAAAGGTACTTTGCAGATGTAATTCAGATGAAAATCTTGAAATGGGAGATTATCTTGGATTATATTCACTTATAAGTTCTCTTATCTAATCATAAGAGACCTTATAAGTGAATGAGAGAATCAAGAGAGTTAGAGAAAGAGATATGACAGTAAAAGCATGGTCAGAGTGATGCAATTGCTTTGAAGATAGAGGAAGAGGCAACAAGTCAACAAATGCAGGCAGCCTCTGCAAGCAGGAAAAGGCAAGGAAATAAATGTTTCCCTAGAGTCTGCGGAGATGAAGGCAGCCCTGCTGACATTTGATTTCAGCCCCTAAGACCCTTTTCAGACTTCTGACCACCAGAATTATAAGATAACGAATGTGTGCTGCTTCAAGTCACTATATTCACTGTAATTTGTACAGCACCAATAGGAAACTTACGTATTTGTGGGGGAAGATGTTATTGCTCAGCTGAGAGCTTGATGATCTGAAAACCATCATGTCTGTTGCATGGAAAGAAGCTATTAAAAAACTCCGGAAAGAGGCAGGGATACTTGATGATGCTATTTGAATCTCTTGGTCAGCTTGGCCTAAAACCATACCCGACTGTTCTTCTCAGTTGTATGAGGCAGTACATCCTTTATAAAATCTTTGGTTTATGCTAGTTTTAATTATACATCTGTCACTGGAAAGTATTCTGGTTGGTATACTCCCTTAATATTAGTAGCAAAATATGCAAGATAAACAGGGATTTTTCAGTAGATTAGTTTATAATGTTATGGTAAAATTTTGTTGTCATATACAGTTTGATACTGCTGTATTAAATTGCCAAGTGGTATTTGCATTTTTTGCGGTTTTTGCATTCTTGCAGTCTTCTTTCCAAAATGGCTCTATTTCAGAATGTAGGATGGAGACTGTATACCATGCTCAAATGAATGTAATCATGACAATTTAACATCAATGGAGAAATATATATTGGGGTGTAAACACTTCAGATGCCTGAAATTGCACCATTATAGCATCTGCCTCCTCTTAGTAGCTATGTGGCCACCTCCTTCAGTGACATCCATCTGTCTCAGCTGCATGTAGTAGTCTTGTAATTGGAGAAGACAAGTTGAAAACCACGAACACAGCAACTCTACTAATTGTTGAAACAAGGAGATTTAACACACATACAGTCTAATATGGCAGAGTGAAGGTGTTCAACTGTAGGAGGACTTCCATATGAAAGGGTAAGTGACTGTGGCTTTATTTTATTTTAGACAGGGAGGCAAGGCAATCAGTACTCTGGATGCAGATCCAGGTAACATGCACAGGAGGTTGATATGTCAGAAACCAGGAGAATTTGGGATTATCTACAAGGTCTGATTCAGGGGCTTTCCATAATCCCTGTTCTTGTCATATGCCAGGGTAAAACAGAATGAGCTCAGTTAAGGGGAGTACTTGATAAAGCTAATCCCTACAGGCTTAGCCTTCAGATGTGAGTCAAGGGGTCCCAGAGGCAGAAAAGAGGGAGAAAGTCAATTGGGAACCTACCTGCGTGGACCACTGTTACTCTTCTAAATACTCTCCCTCTCCTACGTATGCTACCATTAAATTTGTACTTATTTGCCAATGGACTATCCCATATCCATTACTTATAGGAAAATTCCCATTGGCAAATGGATAACCATTTATTCTTTAGCATGCGTTTAGTTACAAATTTTTCTCTAGAGCATAAGCATTGATGGAGTTCAAGAGATCATTCATTCAAACAACTTTTACTGAGTGGTTGTTATAATCTAGGCTCTCTGCTATGTATTAGAAAATAAAAACAGGATTCAAAGCAAATACGCTTCTTTCCAGAAGGATTTTATGGTATAATGTGAGAGTGTCAGGGAGCTTTGATGTGTGATATTAGGTTGAAAAAGTTAAAGACACATATTTTCCTGTTTCCCAATTTTACCAAACACAAATCCACTGTATCTCATTTATTCATGGAAATTCTACAGCCAATCTTTCTTGCCATTTTCCAAAACCTTTTCCTTACTTTGCATATAGCATTTATCCATTAGATCAGCATTTCAGCCTCTCTCTATATATATATATACATATATATATACATTTAGAAATATAAATGCTAAATGATAATTTTATTTATCTTCTTTTGTTATATTGGTAATTCAGAAAGATGAAGCAGAGGTTTAACAGAAATTTTAATCTATGAATTCCCTAACTGTCATTGAAAAGTTCTCTCATTACATCATGTCTGTGTGAATCCAAATGCCAAAAAAAACAAAAAACAAAAAAACAAACAAACAAAAAAACACAAAACACTGGCTTTTCTACAAAGTCTACTGGATAAAGTTCAAACAACTTGGCCTAACCTTTCAGGCCTTCCACAAACTTAAAATGAAGCACATTCAAGTTTATTCTGTCACCCACCTGGTAAAACTATATGGCCATCATTTCCAGAATAATCTCTGTGCTTTTCTCCTTCCATGCCCCTGCCCATGCCTTGCTCTCAAACACAGCGACGGACCAGTATCATCCTCATGTAGTGACTTTCTTCTAATCCTTTAATGCTTTGTCAAGTCTTTCTCAATCTTGCCAGAAATGTTCTCTAGCTACTTTATTGAACTTTGTTTGCACTATTCAAATGGCTCTTGTCACATCCCACCTTCTGTCACAGGTATTTTGTCACTATCTCTTCTAATAGAAAGCAGAGATTCTAATGTACATCTGGGATCCTGCAGTTTCCAGCATATTGAATGCTGAGCATTATAAATATCTGATCAATGACTAAATGAATTGAACTGAATTCAAGTCATTGAGAGAAGAGGGAGACCAATCAAAGCAATGTAATTACAAAACTTAGCCTATCTGGGGTAGGCTGGCAGGGGCAGAATGTGGAGAGGCTAAAATGAGCCTGCAGGGGAACCAGTTAAGGGACTTGCACAGGTATCCTGGTATAAGGAGATAAAAGCACACTCTCTCTGGTAGAACTGAGACAGGAAGGGAGCAAGCAAGTTGGAAAGACATTTCTATCCAAGACATGGTGCATGCAGGAGATAAAAATGACGGTTTTTGCTTGGGAGACTGAACATGTTGGCACCATAGACCAAATATGTGGACAGAAACTGTCAACCTGTTAGGTGCCTCCTTGTTGATATAAGGTCTGAGGTGTTTTTTGTTTTTTTTTTAATAATTGCACATTTTTGTTACTTCGCTGAAAGTTTTTGCATTCTCCCAGGCACAGATATTCAGATAAGTAAGCTGTGTTCATACGAGTTCTCATGCTCAGTGCAGTTGCCTCAGGGCTACCTGGGACTGCAGAAAGAAAGAATAGGCAGGGTTGTGGGACCTCCAGCAACTGCCCAGCCTCCCCACTTAGAGTGATCTTGATAACTGCAGTTTAGCATAAGATCACTCCTGAATAGAAGCTTTGCACTGCTTTCAAATGCCTTGAAACATTTGCTCTAGAGATGGGGTAAGCAATCCACGGCCAATACCTAAGGATATTTATCTTTTTAAAGAGTTGTTTAAAAACAAAAAGAAATTAGAGTTATACAACAAAGGCCAGACCTGGCTCAGGAAGCCTACGCTATTTATAATCTGGTCTTTTAAGAATGTTTTCCCAGTGTAAGTACTTTTATAATAAAGACTTTTTTCCCTTATATCCTAGACAGAGATTGTTATTGCTATTTGATGGCATTGCTCCTTCATGCCACCTAGAATGGCACATGTCTCTTACCACTAGCCTTCTTTCCCTGCATGAACCAACTAGAAACCTTGAACTCTGTGTTTATAAGCAGCGACCAGCTCCTCCTCTCTCACAATGTTTATAAACCTCTTCAGGATTTCAGCCAGAGCTCTTGAAAATATTTATGCAATAAACAACTAATTTTTCAAGATAGTTATGGTTATACATATTGGGCAGGGGATATCCTAAAAATTCTAAATAAAGTACCTTATTTTAGTTATATGGTATGACTTTCCAATCACAGCAGTCACCTTTCATAGAGGTACATCAAGATAAATAGAGCAATATCCATATTTTACAGTCTATAAAACTCAAATCTTTGCTTAAAAAAAGAAACTTTACATGCAATGCATACACCAGCTAGCAAGTTTATTTATCAACATATATTTATGCAATATGTGCATTGTAAAGTTAGGACATCAGTTTTAGGGTCTGGGCAAATATTTATAGCCAAGATCCAAACAGGGGTGAGTGCCTATCAAAATATTTTGTGACAGGCAGTTGTAGTTCATGGAGAAAAGAGCTACCTAAGGGCTAGCTCTCCTCAACATTGGGAAGTGTCGAGTTTCATCTTCAGGAACTAAGGCTTCATTGCCTTTTCAGAGGAGCTTTTTTCTACCTCAACTGTTGCCTGGAGTTTAGAATCATTGTTATTTTACCCTACCCCTATGTTCCTATCATACATTTAAGATTATGTAAAACTCATATTTATATACAGGTGTACATGTTTGATAATGTACGTAATTCACCTTTCTCCAGAGACGTGTGTATTTTAAAAGCAACCAGAACCTTCAGTCAAAGCCATGGGCATATAAAAGCAGAAACGTAAGAAAATGGTTGGTCAGAAGAGCTTGCTATTTTGAGATGGAGTTATGCAGTTACCTTAAATTATACTAACACCACGGCTTGGGAGCTGGTCCAGGTTGAGATTCTGGTAGGATGGCTGGATTTTGGGCCTCTGTCCAGAGAGTGTGGTACTGAGAACAATCCATGCGATGGCAGGCAGGGGTGACAATGACTGCTAAAGCCTACCAAGGAGTCTAGAAGGAATGTCAATTCAAAAGGTGACAGAAAGAGGCAGAATCAAGGTATGAAAAACATGAATGGAGATTGGGGATGTCATATGAGAGCAAGAGAGTTTGGAACTCTGATAAACAAAAGAGGGCTTGAGCACAAAGAATGTAGCCTCAAGCACTTGTCTCGGACACCTCTGATCTTGCCAATGGGGAAGGCATCATTAGAGGCAAGAACATCCTGAACGCTGCCCTGTGGGATCTATGCATGGAGTAGAGAGGCCAGGGTTCCCCACATTTGCCAAAGCATCTAAGCAATTCTCAAGAGGGATGTAGGTTTGGACACATTACTGCCAGATACTCTCACTCTTGCTTGTATACTTGTAAGCCTTAAAAACAGTCTAAATGAGGAATGAAATAGTAGGCTTTCATTGGGACCAATTTTGAAAAGTCTCTGCAGTTGGTCTTTTTTCAGACATATCTCCCAGAATAGTAACTGAGGCCTCAGTTTTGACACACAGGGCTAAGATTATACCTAAGAATATGGTTTAGGGAACACTACATAGGTCTCTGAGGTGCAAACAAATGCACTCCAATTTTTATTTATTGTGGTTGTTGTCGTGTTGTACGGTTCATAAGACATGTTATTAGGAAAGTAAGAGTGAAATCATGATTTGATAATGCCCAGAGTAACTAGGAATCAACCCCCAAATTATAGAATAATTTGATACATAAGGGGTTTCCCACTATAGGACAACTGACATCACATTCAACATGATGTGGACCCCATTGTTGGAAAACATGTCAGTCAGAAACTTCACCCCAGTCCTCTTAAACATGTGTTTTCCATAATTGCTGAAAAGATGCTAATGTAGTAGCAAGTAAATAGTTTAAAATATTCTGGCTCAGGAGATTTTGGGAAGTCAGGTCATGGGATAACCTGGAGATGCCAAGCCCAGATCAGATCACCAGTCAAAGAAGTGCTAAATGATTGTATCGCTGGCTATTTATAATGCCTGAGGATGCCTGGGAGGCTGTTTATCACTCTTTGCCACCACAGAGAGAGATGGGATTCTTGGTGTTTTATGATCTAATTTCATGGATGTCCCACAGATTTAGTTCATTAAGTTGGGAACAGTAGAAATAGCCAGAAACAGGTAGGTCTCTAATAGTGACAGCACTGAACACGCTGAAGCTTTAGCATGTAAGGGCCTGTACCCTGCTACAAAGTGTCATAGGGGAAGGGAGAGGTTCTGAAGGCTCCCTCCCCCTGGTGGGGTTTGCATGTTTGTGGAAGGCTTATCCAGAAATTCCAGGCAGGGTTAATTGAGATCTAGGCACTGGTCTATTCAGCAGTCTCACACAGATGGCTTTGGGGATCATAGCTATTCATTCATCCGATCTATGGACAACACAGCTCATGAAGCATATTTTCTTGGAACAACTAGCCTGATGACAGAACCACGCTGAGATGAACCATCCAAGATGTGGTGCATGATGTACAAATTCTGTAAAACTCCAAGGTCTCAACCACTTCAACCTATAGAATTTTCAGAGACTGTTCTACAGTGATTTCCAAAGAGCTGTGTTTTTTCAACCTTGGTTATCAAAGGGCTAGAACACTATAAGGTTATAAGGGTAGCAGTTCCTGACAGAACCTAGGGGATAGTTTGGTGAGTGTCTCCTTCCAGGCCAGGTGGGAAGGCAAGATGCTCATGCTGTGAGCTCCTGGCCTGAGCCACAGCTAGAAGCCTCTTAGCTCTACTAATTAAGGGCCCAGGGAGCAGCCGTAGCCTAGCAGTTGGATTTGTAATATTCCTGGCACCTGGGTATACAAAACAGCTGGACCCACAGAGAATGCCTTTATTTTTAATGAATACCTTATAATTTCGATCAATGTACATCTCATTACATCCATTAATTTTTATTTTATTTAACCTTCAAAATCATCACTGAGATAGACTATTAATACCACTTTTAAATAAGGGAAATTGAGTTTCAGAGTTATTGAATATTTTTGTTGTTGATCACACAGTCAAAAATAAAGCACAAATCATTAAGGAGACACACACAGATACCTCTGCAGTGATAGTGGCCCAAACTGCAGGTGCTTTACTTGGTCCTCATTTAGTAAAATGACAATACTTCTGTTCACTGAATGCTGATTTTCTGTCAGGTATGAGCTATGGCTTTTCTTCTGATTGAGAAAACCATGATTATTTCATCCACCATCAAGACTAGATATTGAAAATAGCTTAATGAAGCCTTGCTCTAAGAACCTTTTTCACTTTAAGAAACATGGGGAAAGAAATGAGTAACCTAAAAGAGAAAAATTACTAATTATTAAATGTTAGGCTTTGTAACAGGCAGTGCAAGGAAACTTTATGGGTCAAAGATGCTCTTAAAAAATTGTTCATTTTTCCACCTTCTACCAAATCATGCTACAGTTGGTTTCCCAACCCCAATTTTAGCTAAAGTGACCCTAAAGCAAAGGCAGATCTGACGGAGAGGTTTGGTGAATAAAAAATTCTTGTAAAGGCACGAAATGCACAGAGACAAACTATCCCAATTCCATTATCATAGTGTCTCAAATTCCATTATTAGAAATTAATTTCTTGGACTTTCCTATTAATTTTATCTCAAAATCCAAATATTTTGGAAGGTCACATACTCTAGATATTATCAGTTCCACTGTGGTGTGAATAAGCGTATTGTTGATCAGTTCTGAAAATTAGTTAAAAAGACTTCTCCATTGAGGAGTAGAAAACAAATAAAAGTCGTTGATCAGGATCTTTAAACAGAGCCACAGAGGACCAGCTTATAGGACTCCAATGGCTTAAAGGACGAATTCTGGAAGTGGTGGCAAGGTGAGAAGTGATGGGAATGAAGAAAGTTCTGGGAAGTCATGCCTATGTCAGGGGCAGCTGCAGGTGTAAGGAAGGACAGACACAGAGCCAACTGCTGAAGCCTTGGTTTAAGTCCCAGCTCTTCCATATCCTCTGTCTGGGCCACTTTCTGAATCTCTGAATCTGTTTTCTCACGTCTAAAGTGGGGAAGAAAAGTAATAACTTTCACGGGAAAATAATTGTGTGATTAAAATCAGATACTGTGTTTGGGAATTTTAAGAGTGTAAAATACTAAACAGTTGTTGGTAAGAAATGTTGCATAATGAGGACAAGCAAAAGGTCCCAGATTCTGGCAAAGTTGAGAGACTTTACAAAGTCTTAGTCTTAATGAGGCAAGTAGCAGCTTCCTAAACTGGTAACACTGAGAAATCTGATGCTGGATAGTCTGTAGATTAACTTTTCCATACTAGCATAAAATAACACAAATCACAGGTCAGTGGCATGCAGAAAATCTGCACAGGTTCATGGAAGCATGAGCTTCAACATCTGGAGGCACTGCAGCCTCCATAGCCTCTGTGCTTGGTGTTTTTTTTTAGAAAAACAACCTTAGTCGCTGATGTGACTGCATTGAACCTCAGCTTAAAAGAACTGCTCTTTGGAATAAACGACATGGATAAAATGGTCAGAGAAGCATGGGTCACCTGAGAAGACTCTTCAGCTAAAACTAAAGGGTTAATTTGACTTGATTAGGTGAAAAGGTAGAGAGATCTAGCATATCTATTTTATATGCTGATTTTAAGTGAAGACCTGTGACCACACCAGAGTCTGTGTCCACAGAAGAAAGGGATTGAGCTGAAAAGCAGCCCTTTATGATCCTAGCTTACAGGATCTTGTCCACAAAATGGACTTGCAACCAGTCTCTTGTATAATTACATGATGGACAATATTAATTCATGCTTTTTGAACTCATTTTTAGAATTAAAGCTAGCACCACTTTATATCTTTTTGTATAGACTTTCCTCCATTTCCTTGTGACAGGATCTGCTGCAATGGGTTGGCAGGGAAACTTGCATGGTCAGAGGATGCACTGACCTGTTTATCGATTTCCCTATCTCACAAGCATCACCAGGATGGAGGACAGGCCATCCATACTAGGTTGATCTGTGGCCTCTGTTGCTTTCCAGTAAAGCACCCAGGACTTACAAATCTCAGATTTGCATCCTCCATCCAAATTCTAATGCTATTTACTGCAAGTGCAGCCTTGGGATGTGGGGGATTTTAGGTTTAACTATGCCCAGAAGAATATGCTGAGTGGCATATTTTAGTACATAAAGAATGATATCCAAGTGTCTGTGTTGCTCAAAAATGCAATTTAAATTAAATTACATTCCTCCCCATTTCCACCCCACCACCTCTGCACTCACATCTGTAGGCTAGCAAGCAGCCACACTTGAAATAGCAGCAAATAAAATCAGAGACATAATGAAAACTTCAGGCATGGAACCATGGTCTGAAAAGTGATCTAGTTGGCTAGCTAGATAGAACGCCAGGGACATATCTTTAACCCCATCTGCATCAAAGCCTCCAGTCCCCAGCATACTGATGCCTGAAACATACCTTTGAAAAGGAACAATGTTTGTTTCTTTATTTTGCTTTTTTATTCTGCTACTAAAGATGAGGCATAATAGAAAACAGGATGAAAGCAGTGGTTAAAAACATCACTCTGGGAATTAAACAGAACTGAGTTCAAATCTTGGCTTGGCACCCCTACAAACTTTTACAGTGCCTAAATGTCGACTTCTTCACCTGTGGAATGGAGTTAAAAACATTGACCTCACAGTGTAATTTAAGATGTTATCTGAGCCAGAGTAGGGAAAGCACTTTGTGTATGCAGCACACTTAATTTACATGTTGAACAAATGGAAGCTGCAACAACAGCACATGCCTGAAGATATGATGACCCAGGACGTGCAGTGCCTTGTTGTAACCTCTCAACTTATTGTTTACAAAGTGAAGTCTTCAAACCAGATCTCCTGACCAGGCCAGGGCATGAGGAGGAGAGGTGGTTGCAACAGATAAGCCCTACGCAGAGGGAGGGCAGGGATTTGTCTTCACACTGAAGTGGAAGTGGTTGATCCTGGCCAACGTCATTGACTTTTATAGCCCTCATGTTTTGCACAATGCTAGTTTCTCTCTACGTCTCTGTACCCACTGCAGATATGGGGGTGTGGCAGCATGGAGGCTGATGTTTTCCCATCGCCCTGTGGAACAGCTGCACCCTACTGGGCTGTGATTCCTGAGAACAAGTTCAGGCCAGGGAAAATGATGTAGAGGCCAAGGAGAATTTTTGTTGGTCTTCATCTATCCCCCATCTGGAATTCTCTCTCCTCTTTGAGCAGATTCCCTTTTCCTCCTGGGAGCCCGGGTGGCTGCCTGCAGAGAGCCTATGTGGCCATCTTCATGTTTGCCCCTTCAGGTGCCTCCTTTCCCCTTACCCATCCTAACTAATCTGTCCTCTGGCCCATTTCTTCAAGGACAATCATTCAAGCTAACTACAACTCCGGGTTTTATCCCTGATAGAGGTCTGTCTTCTCACCATCAACTCATTTCTTTCATTCTCTCCTTTAGAAAGATCTGAATTCAAAGACTAGAATTTTGCCACCTTGACTGGGTTCTGTAAAGAAGTTTTTGAATGCATGGGACCTTTTTCAGCTCTCTGACCATTCTCTGTATGGTTCTGGCCATAAGTGAAAATAGCTAGTCAGATAAGTGAAAAACAATCAGGGTTTAAATGTCCACATTATGTTTTCACCTTAAAACTACAGCACGGGGTAGAATGGACAGTAGATGTGTGGAGAACATTTTGCAGAATATGACATTTGAGAGGCATTAGAGTGGAGGGCTTAGGGGCCTGGCTGTGGAATCCACTACCATGGTGGTAATCTCAGCCCTGCTACTTGCTAGCTGTGTGACCTTGGGCAAGTTGCTTGATCTCTCTTTGCTACTGTTTCTTTATATGTAAAATGGAAATAGCTGTGCTCTCCTGACAGTGTCGTTGTAACTATTTAATAAGCTGTACTTACACAGTGCTCAATCACCTGGCTCATTATAAATATTCAGTTAGATGTAGCTTTTATTATTAATGAAATTTGGATTCATTGGTTTTGGCATCACATAGACTAAGGTTTAGGCCTTGACTCCTTCACCTATGGGACCCTAAGCAAGATATTAACCTTCTTATACTTCAGTTTCCTTATCTGTAAAAAAGCAGTAATAATGCTATAGGGAAATTGGTAAAATTAAATAATTACTCTACATCGTTTAGTACAGTGCCTCTACTAATTATTAAATAATTAGACTGATGCTCCATGGTGAACCCAGTGCCTAGGAGAATCAGCATTATTCTACCTATGTGGTTTCTGTCCATAAAGACCTGTGACAATGGCACATTTAAAAGTCTGGCTCAGTTGCATCCTTTTCTGTAGCCTGCTTGACCAAACAACCCCAGCCCAGGTTGCAAATGTTTCACATTGACTTACAGTGCACTTGTTTGCATATAGTTTATCTTCTCTGGAATGAAGGTACCATCACGTATACATCCTTTCCACTCCACAATTTGGCAGAATGCCCTATCAACAAAGTAGATAGATATTGGCCCTTTAAATTCTCTCCTAGATGCCATCAATTTTCTTCCTCCAGAGCTGTTTATTCTGCTACTGTTTCAGTGGCATGCTCTAAACATGATAAACCGTCCTTTTCTTTTAGTTACGAACACAGTAACTTCTTGGTGGTACATGGAAAAGGCACATGGGCTCCTTCAGCCCAGAACTTAATAAAAACAGAAATGCTTGAAGTATCAGATACTTCAAGTACTTTATTTTTTATCAAATAGCCTGAACTCAAATTTCCAAAGTTGGCATTAGTCTCAGGACAGAGCTTCATCCCCAGGGTCTGTGCTTGCACCAACAAGCTCCTCATGGATCTAATCAGTCTTGACAGTGGTCTCTCCTCCCTTCTCTCAAATGACAAATTTCTTGAAAAAATTGATGTCTGCAGAAGTTAGAACAAAATATCTAATATCCAGATTAAATACTGCTAAGGGAAATTTTTTACTTCCTCAGGTGGTTGAAATCACTTAAGTCTGATTCTTTTTATTCCTGTATCATGTTTTATTTTTCCCCAAACTTGGAATTCTGTCATCATTACAGTCAGAATTTTTTGCAAGGTGTCCTAGTTGTTGCAGTTCAACAACAATGATGGCTTTTGTTGGATCATCTCAAACATCTTGATGATACAGGCGCAATGGACCCAGGCACTCATGGCAAAAATGCACTCTAGGTGTTAGTCTAGGGAAAGGATCCTACCTAAGGAAAGTTTGGAGTTTGCACCTTGAAAAGTCTACATATGGAGGTCACCAAACAAAACCCAACTATAACCTGTGGTCCCACAAGTTCCAGCCTTAGCATGTGTTGGATTCAGTGAAACACAACTCAGCAAACAAGAGTAATTAACATGTAATTCCTGTGTTTAGATATATTTATCAAAGACTGTAATAGGGTTTTCCACTAATAACTCATAGGATCATTAAAAAAAATTTTCTTCGCTTTCACTATACACTAGACTGGCATAGATGGACGACTCAGTTAGAAGGTAGAAAAATAGAAAACCTATAAAGGCAACAATAAATTTGCCCTAGCAGGTGGAGACACAGGAAGGGTAGAGGTTAGCCTGGTAATATTCCCCGATTACCATAGTTTTATTTTTATCTTACATTATTTATAGTAACATGGAGTACTCTTCCAATATACCCTTGATCATGCTCTTTCTGTCTCTCTCTCTGTCTCTCTCTCTCTCTCTCTCTCTCTCTCACACACACACACACACACACACACACACACAGAGTAGGGGGACACATTTTTAAAACTAAGTATTTACTGATTGATTGAATGATTGATTTAGTGAGTAAGTAGAAGACATGTATGTCCTCTATTACTTTTTTATTATATGAACGTGATCACACAGCTTCATGATCAATATATCTTGAAGAGGAAGTGGAGTAGATATTCATTTATCAGTTCACTCATCCTTTCAAGAAATTATTTTGGACACTTCTCAGAAATTAGACACTTTTCTGGGTGTTGGGGATATAGTGTTGAACAAAATAGCACAGACCCTATTCCCATGGAGCTTATATTTGTTGAGAAGGAGGTGACATAAACAAAGATAATATAATGCAGTGCTATGAGGAACAGGGCAAATGGACATGGAGGAAATGGGGTGCTGTTTTGCATGGAATGTCAGGGAATTCCTCTGTAAAGAGTAACATCAGAGCAAAGACCAGGATGAAGAGAGAAATGAGGTTGGAGGCAAGATAAACAGGTTCTGGGGAGGCACCAACAAGCTAGCATTGCTTTTTCATCCCATTTATGAATGGAATGTTTTTTTCTCTTTTTCTTTCCTTATTATTTTTTTTCTTAAGAAATCCTGTGCTTCTTGAAATGTGAAATAGGTGAAGGAAAACACAGTTCGGGACCATTAATTGTGCTTTCTTATTGAGTATATAAATTTGATGTCAAACGGGCCTGGCTGAATGGTATATATTTATTTCAAAAATATCATTCCTGTGAGGCATTGCTGCATCATCCTATTGATTTAGGGATTGGTGTGATTGTGCCTGATGCTTTTATGAAAGGCAGGCTATTAACAAACTAAATTGAAAAACTAGTGAGTCTGCCTTTCCGGGCCCAATCCAGCATGCTGTCCATGTGAGGCTTAAATGGGAAAATACTGTAAAAAGACTTATTTTAATGCGACAGACTCCTCATTGCAATCCATAAACCTTATTTGCTGTGGGGAAAAAAAAAAACCCTACAAGATAGAATTCTCACGTTCCAGCAACAATTTCCCTCTGGTTTCTCTCCCATCCATGGAAACATTAATCTTTTCATTTCAGAAGCTAAATCTTTTTGACCTTGTTGGACATTAGGATTAAAATCTTGTGTAAGACCAGGTATCTTTAAGAAAGTCAGAGGAACCATGGGTGCTAATGTAGGAAGCACATAGAAGTATTCAGGGTTTGAAGTTTCTGCTGAATTTTTGGTGTGGAGCTAGTAGATTAAGCAGGGAGGTGAAGGCTGGAAGTTACTAGATTTCACCTAGTTCAACTCCTTGCTTCACAGACAGAAACCAAGGCACAGACAAGGGGTGACAGTCTGATATTCGTCCACTATCATATAGCCAAACTGGTGGCAGAACGTAGGCCCCAGAGCTGTTCTCAATCAGCCTCACTAACTCCTTTAAATACTGCCTTCCTGTAACCATGCCCCATGGAGGATGGTCCCGGTGAGTGCTTAAAAAGAATTGAATCTTTAATACAGCAAATGACAACATAAAGTCAAAGAATGTGCTTGAGTTTTTGATCAAGAGAGAAGGAGTCCTGATGATAGCTCCTCCTGCCTGCTGTGCTGTGCCAGGCCATCTTTTGGCTCTGTTCCTGACATCAAATTAAAATAAGTCTTTTTACAGTATTTTTCCATTTAAGCCTCACATGGACAGCATGCTGGATTGGGCCCGGAAAGGCAGACTCACTAGTTTTTCAATTTAGTTTGTTAATACCAAATGGCTTCAATACATCACAGAGAGGAGTGTCAGCATGGAAAAAGACCCAATGGTGCTGTATACTTTTCTATCACAACAAAGAGGATGCCATGGGACACTTTTTGATACGTCTAAAACTTACATATTCCTTGGAATAATTTTATTTGTTAAAAAATTTGTATTATCAAAGGAAATGACTAATCCAGATGTGTATTGAAAACCTGATATGTGCTCAAGTCTGCAACATGTCACATATGAAATATGCAAAAGCAGGAGGTCATGCAGCCTTGCTTTCTGTTTTAATGGTCCCATACTCAGCTGAAAGAGGAAAAGGATCCTAATGATTGGGGTACAGGTGCACCCGGCTGTGCACCTCACAGACTGGAAGCTTGGGGAAGACCAGAGAGAAAGAAATGATGAACTGAGGCTGTAGAGCTTCTTCCCTGGGTGAGTTTATGTAACTCTCTCTGTAGGGCCCTGCTTGGGAACAATCTGAGCATGAGGTAGAAGTCTAAGTAAAATTGCCACAAGTAAAATGGGCACCACATCTAGCATGTGGTTCACAATTAGTTAGGCTGAACGCTTTCCTCCTCCCTTTTGAGGACTAAGCTCTGATTTTTTTTTTTTTTTTAATCTTGCCCAAATTCCTATGTAAGGGGTCTTTGGAGTCACGCCCTACAAACCATAAATTCTCATCAGATGGGTTTTGTTTAACCCTATATATCATCACTTACTTTCCAGTCTGACTCTGGCATAACATTATGTGACAAAGAAGAAAGTCAAATTATTTTACCCCAAAAGCATGTTTCTTTGCCATATTTTGAAATGGTCCTGCAAAGCTGTCCTTTGTGGGGAGGGGCATGTACATCTGTAAAGAATCTCTTAACATAGCTAGTTTTTTCTTCCAGGCCCTCCCAATCCTGAAGAGATTAAGTAAGAGTCTAGCACATTTTAAAGGTCTGAATCAGAAACACTTGTTATCTATTATCTCTAAGAGCAGCCACTATAAGATTTCAAAAGAACCTGGGTCTCCACAGTCTTTTATCTTAGCCTGAACATTTCCTTTCTCTCCATCCCAGGTCTTTAGACAAACTCGACCAATTGTCAATCAGAAAATGTTTAAATTTACCTATAGCCTGGAAGCTCTCCCTACCTCCTTTGAGTTGTCCCACCTTTCTGAAAAAAATCAGTGTTATTTATTAAATGTATTTAGGAGGCATGTCTCATGCCTCTGTAAAATATATAAAACCAAGCTCTACCCTGACCATCTTGGGCACATGTTCTCAGGGCCTCCTGAGTGCTGTGTCATGGGCCATGGTCACTCATATTTGGCTCAGAATAAAACTCTTCAAATATTTTAGTTTGACTCTTTTCGTGGACACTTTCTTCCTCACTTTCTTCCCTTTTTTCTAACCTTTTTTCCTTCCTCCTTCTCCTTTTCCCTCTCTTCCTATTTCCTTTCTTTCCACCTACTTGATAATAGTGTCTGCAAAGTCACTCCAGGAAATAGATGCCTGTGTGAGAGAAAGGCATTTCAAAGGCAGCATGGAAACCTTTTGCATTACATTAGGAGAATTATGTCATTTCTGTAAAGAAGGAAAAGAGCACAGTAAGTGGCAACTCTTCCCCAAGGAAACACACTCAGGAGATGTGCCAGTGCTGGATTTCTCATTCTTTAGAAGCTGGATGACCTTGGGCTTCCCTGCTGTGTGCAACCTTGGCCTCGTGGCTATTTTTTGGTGTTCTGCAATGAGAAGTATACGCTGGTCCGTTACCCCGCATTTTTGTTTAAGTTACACTTCATTAAAGCAGAAAGCTCTCTGAATTTCTCTCATTTTCCCTCATAAAATCTTTTATTTCACCCATTTTCATTCATCTTCCCTTTCTACTTTATGTCTTCCTCCTTCCTTCCTTCCTGTAACACTCACACTCATTTCTGCTTGCTAGAATTTCAAATGACTGTTCCAACTAGACAAAAAGAAATCCTGTTTCTATGCTCAGACAGCCTTCAGACTGATGGCCCATTACATTAGCATACAATAAAAGCCAGCAGGGGGTGCATTGCCATGCTGTGATCCTGGGTCTCTATGCCCCAGGGGGCCAATGAGGTTCCCAGTGTGCAGCTCCTCTCTCTGGTAATGAGGCAGTTGTACACTTCGGTGACAGCTTCGTGGCCTCAATGGAAGCTGCAGTCTTAGTGGGAGAAGAGGAGAGAAAATGTCTGCATGGTGCATCCTGAGATCTGATATGGGCTTCCTGGTTTCACTAGCCTCTTCAATCTCTCTTCCACCGGCCTAAGGACTGCCTGAAGTTCATGTTTTGTGTCCATAATGAGTTAGACAGTTTTTGTTGCGGGGTGCATTGTTTCTAGACCTTCTCCTTTAAAGTAACAGGGCAGTTAATTAGACATTTACAGTGCTCCACCTACCTGCCAATCCTATATGAGAAGATGTGAGGACAGGGGTTACAGGAAATGAAAAGTAGGGTTCTTCCCTGTGGCCATGAGACACTTCTTCAATACAATACTATAATGCATTGCTTGCTGGCATTGTTTGAAGACCCCAAGCCTTCAACAACCAGATTGGATTTCAGGTTCCTTTCAAACCCCTGCAGCGACAGAAACATGAACTCTGCCTTCACCATGGAATCAGGTGGGACCCTTCCATCAACACCAAAGCCCTTCACTGCCACCACATCTAAATGCTGTCTTGATCCTTCATTCAAGCCTTCCTTATCCTGGGGTAGCCATAGCTACCATCTTGGCAAATGGTGGTCAACTGCTTCTTTGTTTAAACTTGTGACAGAGGAGTGTGTAGATAGGGGTGAACTGAGCCCAGCACATATGCAGCCTAGGCATTTCACTTCTTGTTGCCTCTCTAATGTAAGAACTCAGAGAAAATAGAGCAGAGGTGTGGGCAACATCCAGTTGCTTTCCTTAAGATATTACCCTCATTTTCTGTTCAGAGAGGGAATGGAGAGAAATAAGCAGATTAGCAGCTCGTGAAAAGGGAGCGAGCTGTAAACTCCAGATAAAATTAGTATAATTGATCTGCAGGCCTCCTTTTGATAAAATGGCAAATAGCCGTGTCCTACCCCAAGTTCTGTTTACAATCTGCCTTCATTCCCATGATCAGTTCAGACCTGAATCCATCTTCCCCCAACACATGCAGATTCCTTGAGGCCATGTAGTCTTAGAGCCTCTTTCTGAGAAGTCGCTGACTGCTGGATGACAAATCACTATTTAATATGAAGTTAGGCTGGACGCGGTGGCTCACGCCTGTAATCCCAACACTTTGGCAGGCCGAGGTGGGTGGATCACAAGGTCAGGAGATCCAGACCATCCTGGCTAACACATGGTGAAACCCTGTCTCTACTAAAATATAAAAAAAATAGCCGGTCATGGTGGTGGGCACCTGTAGTCCCAGCTACTTGGGAGGCTGAGGCAGGAGAATGGCGTGAACCTGGGAGGCGGAGCTTGCAGTGAGCCAAGATCATGTCACTGCACTCCAGCCTGGGCAACAGAGCGAGACTCCATATCAAAAAAAAAAAAAAAAAAGTTAAAGCTCCCCAACTGACCAACATTTAACTAGAGAGAAAAAAATGCATAAATAAAAGTAGGTAAAACTTATGGTTGGAAAAGGCCAGATATCCCTGACCAGAAGTGGGGATTGGGTCAGGGGAGGACAACTGAGGAAGGCATGGGGTCTAACTTCTCAGACATCCTCAACAGGAAAACCCAGCATCACGCGTTCGGACTGGTTTGTGCAAAGTGAGCAAGGTTGTACATTCTATAAGGTGGTATATTTCAGCCATCCCTGCCCCTCCCAGAAACTTATGTTTCCAGCTGTGGATTGGGTACTTTCTAAACAGAGATGTCTGACCACTAGACTGATGAAGCAAAAGGATTTACATGGAACACAGAAGTGTGGATTTACAAACTCATGGTGGCTTTGTGAGTCTGGGTTATGTCGGAAGTGGCCTTGTGGTAGGCAGGCAGGTAGACAACCTTGAGAGTTTGATGAGAGCCAGGAAACTCACAGCTCTCGCCTGCCCCTGACATTCACTTTTCTGTGACCTTGGGGAAGTCACTTAACCTTGTGAGGATTAATGAGTTAATCTCAGGGAAAGTACTTTGAGATCATTGGCTGACAGGTGCTGTATAAGTACAAAGTATTATTATTAAAATGTCACTGTGCTGGCTGCCTTTGCTCTTGAGGGCACAGAGGCAGGAATGACAGCCCCAGGTAAGTGAATAAGGATTACGTAAGACATGGAAATAGAGAGTTCTGTCATGAAAAGTTCTGTCCTGCAACACTACTTCTCTCCATCATTATCCCCATCCAGCATCTTCTCACTTGTCTCTGGACAGAGGCAAGTTTATTTTCCTAAAATGAACTGTACGAAACAGTTTTAGCCAGAGGCTCTATATCCATAGATCTTACCGTTCCTTAGCATACCCTTGGAAGTGAAGGCTGGAGAAACTTATTTTAACATCTCCAAAACTCCTTCTTTTCTCTCACAACAAACCAGAAATGTTCCTCTAGCTTTTTCCACATGTGAACAGAGATAAAAATCCTGGGGTCTCAGATTACAGTGGTAAAAATTCAAACTCCCATTGTTAGCAAAATATTCCGTCTTATTTATATGTTTAGTTTTTAGTTTAATTTATCTTTATTCCTGAATCAATGACTTTTGAGGAAATTATGTATTGTTTAGGAAAATGTTTAACACATAGATACTCAATTAAAAATTGATTAATGGGCCGGGCACGGTGGCTCACGCCTGTAATCCCAGCACTTTGGAGGCCGAGGCAGGCAGATCACAAGGTCAAAGAGATTGAGACCATCCTGGCTAACACGGTGAAACCCCATCTCTACTAAAAATACAAAAAATTAGCTGGGCGTGGTGGTGGGCACCTATAGTCCCAGCTACTCGGGGAGCTGAGGCAGGAGAATGGTATGAACCCGGGAGGTAGAGCTTGCAGCCCGGGTGACAGAGCGAGACTCAGTCTCAAAATAAAAAAAAAAAATTTAAATAAATGTAAAAATTTGAATGATTAGTATAAAGCTTGCATATCAAAATTCTAAGGAATGTCAAAATTTTAAAAAATCAACAAATAGCTATTGATTGCAGGGTCCTTTGAAAGAAACTCAACATATGAAGGACCCAGTTGCTCTCTTCAGAGAAGAATGTGTTTGGGGGATGACAGGATTCAAGAAAGAGATGGAGGAGGGTGGAATCTGGAAGCAAAAGTGAGCATTCACACCAAGTGAGAGCTGTGTTTGTTTTGTTTTGTTTTTTAGGAGAGAGTTAAATGGTAAAAATATATCAGTGACAGGGACAGAA
This sequence comes from Homo sapiens, assembly GCF_000001405.40. Classification (NCBI taxonomy): domain Eukaryota; kingdom Metazoa; phylum Chordata; class Mammalia; order Primates; family Hominidae; genus Homo; species Homo sapiens. The sequence goes on along the minus strand of NC_000018.10, from coordinate 38,424,170 downwards.
AGAAATAGATAAGAAGTCATGAAAAAAAAACAGGAGACAAGACCTACAGCAAGTAAAGATGTAGAAAGGGCCTCTCTGTGTACAAGCAATTAGGTAAAATTTGTAAGGGGAGCAAAGATGGACCAGGCTACACCTAAGTGTCTACAAATTACCAGAGGTTTGCTGCCAACTGAAGAGAGAGAGAAGAGTCCATGACAGGCTTTCGTAGCCCCAGTTGTGGCCCTTAGAGTTAGAGAAGAGTTTTTTGTTCATTTGTAGGTTTGTTTTTCTTATTGTATTTTATTGTTGTTTCTTAAAATAAGTACACTCTGTGCTCCACAATGGGGGGACGGAGACCCCCAGAGGGGTCGACATGCTGCATTGCATATTCCTCTCTTCAAGACTTCTAGATTAGGTGTGGTGGCTCATGCCTATATTTCTAGCACTTTGGGAAGCCAAGATGGAAGGATGGCTTAAGGCTATGAGTTTAAGACCAACCTGGGGAACATAGTGAGACCTTGTCCAAAAAATTAGCTGGACATGGTGGTACATGCCTATAATCCCACCTACTCAGTAGGCTGAGCTGGGAGGATTGCTTGAGCCCAGGAGTTCAAGGCTGCAGTGATTCATGATCACACCACTGCACTTCAGCAGCCTGGGTGACAGAGCAAGAACGTCTCTCTTTTAAACAAACAAACAAACAAACACAAACTTTTAGAAAGCAGTTTCTTCCTGGAAAGAAAGTATAGTTCCAAGGAAGAGGATGAAACCCTGTCTTTGTTACATGCTATATTTTACAGCAGGCTCATTTTGTGGAAGACCAAACCTAAACACAACAGAGGGATAGGGAAGGCTGTTCAGCTCAGAAAAGCACCTAGGCTGGCCTCTGAGATTTTACATGCAGAACAGAAATGTCACCAGTGTCAGCCAAGGGAGGACAGATAAATAGTTCTCTATTAAGAGCCGTGTGTGGTCAATTGCTCTGATTGTTTTTTAATTATTATTTTAGCAGCATTGTTACTCTCTGTATAAATTTCATTGGGAGTATTTTGAGGCTTTCTCACAAAGAGAGGTAGCTACATAAGTGAATGGAAAGACACAGAAAAAACCTTATTCTATGAAATGGGTTTCCTCATCTCCTTTTGCTTCTCCCTCCATACACTTCTCCTCGTATTCTCTCAAGCAGGTGAAGTCCTACTGTTAAGCTGGGTTCCCCACAAACCCTAACATTTGCCCCTTCAAACAATCTTCTCTAAGAGAAACTTATTTTTTCATTCTTACCCATAGGTGCCTCAACACTGAACTATACAACTAACTTGATCAACTACTCTGTACTAGGACGTTAACAGCCATGTATATCTCATCTTCCTCATAGCGTTTTGATTTTAACAATCACATTCAATGTGTTTCCTTACAGGGGAATACAGTGTGGGATCTTAGAAGCCCACAGAAGGCCAGTTTGGCAGATATTTGAGGTAGAGACAACCACTAATCATGGTTTCTGAGCGGCCACTATTAATACAGAAAAACAATAGTGGTGAGTATATGCTCCAATAACTTTTCTGGTCAACTTCCTTAATTTATAGATGGTAGACATCCCCAGATTAAATGACACTTAGAGGCAACACAGCTGATTTATAGCAGAGCCAGAACTCAAGCCTAGCTTCTGAATTTCAGACTGGAGGAGTAGCTCCAGCACCAAAATGTTCTGTAGATCCCGTTCTGCACCTGCTTTGCTGTGTGGCCTTGCACAGAAAACTCTCAATCTCTGGGTTTCTGTTTCATGCCCTGTAAAACAGTAGTGAGATTAATGAGTCTCTGAAAGGAGGGACTCTTTCTGCTGTTCAAATATTCTGATTCTGTGTATGTGGAATCACACATGCATTTTACATTCATCTACATATAGAGAGCCTCGGAATTTGACTTTATCATTTCTTCAAGTTTCCCTACGCCATGATGCTTCACTCCTAGGATAATGGTCTTTAGCATGTCAATGATTCAAATACAGGGCCATTTTCTTGGGCCTTCATTGTTTCAGAGTGAAATTGAAAGAGGGAATCCAGCTGTTTATACGCAATATGCAGCAATTATGAAGTTCATTTCCAGAAGCCACTGTAACCATGGCAACCTGTAATTCTGGAAGAATAGAGACAGGCTGTAGACTGACTTCCAATGGGGCCAACTTCTAACCAGGATAGCTCAGGAAATGCTGATGAGAAGCCTTACTGTTTACTTTAAGTTAGAAGCAGTTTTTGAAACTCAGACTTCCTTAATCCATAACTTCGTTTCTTCTTTAAAGTTCAGTAATCGGTGATGCTCAGATTTTCAGATTTGCTAGCCCTAGAGGGCTGAATAGCTCAAATGAAACAAGAGCCAGAATTGTATTGATGTTTATTGTACAGTTCCTTAAATGACAAACTCAAAGTATTAACATCCAACTGGGTGAACCTTAAGTTAGGGTTGCAGGGACCTCGGGAAGTTCAAATGAGGACCACATAATCTACTTTCCTGATATGCCAACTTCTTTAATATATCAAGAAAAAATAAATAAGACTCAAGTTAGAATCATTGATTGTGTGATATTTTGACCCCATCAGGCCAGAATGGAAGCAGGAATTGCTAAAGGGATTGGGGAAGATGGGGAAGAGCAAAAGGGCAAAGATAAGGAAATTTTGAGTCAGAAATTATTCAAAACAATTTGGCCAGGTTAGAGAGTTGATTGTCTTCCTTCCTTTTACCCCACGTGTCCCCTTTGGCTAATAGTGTGAATTTCTGAATACTCCAAAAGGGAATGAGACGATGGGCGGCTAAGGGTCAAAATTTAAACGCACACAACTCCTGAATGCACTCTGGGAAATTCATGGAGATGAAATGCTGAATGTCTGCAAGCTGCAAAGGCGTCGGAACAGGATTTTTGCTATTTCTGCCTCTTTTGACTCTGTCTTTGATCCCTGCTGGCAACACGCTGGGCATGTGTGAATACCGCAGCTCAGAGAGACTGTACCTACTGGGAAAGTGAAACAAAACCTGGGCCAACCAGCTGCAGGTTTTTCTCTCCGAAATTCCCAGGAAAGTCAACATCAGACACGCACTCCAAATAGGTTAAAATGTACCCCTTTTGAATGGGGACCTTATTTTATGCGTATTTGCCTGAAAAATGAGCAGGCAGTATGCATATGCTGGAAGCACCAGAGACATGAACTGATAAATGGTTTCCAGGATGCGTTTGCTCTAACTCTGAGCAGCAACTAGACTTGGGGAGGGACCAGATAAGGAACATCCAGAAAGGCACTGGAGATTTGATTGTGTCAAGACTCGGGCATAAAGGAAGGTTAGAGACAGGAGGTAAATACATACAAGGTAAATGCACACAAGGATTTTCAAAAGAGCCTTGAGCTGATTGCAGGAGACACTACCTGTAGGTCAAAAGGAAGATCTCTTATAATAATTCTCTGGCTCCTGGTTCTCATCCTTGCCCTTGCATGGACTCCGGCCAAACTTGACTATGTTTGCCAAGAGTCCTGTGCTCCTTCTGCTTGGATTTGGCTCTTCCTCACATGGTAGCCTGCTGTGGTACCATATTCTAGACCCTAACTTTAAGGCTGAAGCTAGCTTTGCTCTGCAGAGGGTCATAAAAAGAAATGAAGGTTTTGGAAGCTGAGAGTCCTGGCTTTGCCACTGTCTTAGTTGGTTTGGGCTTCTTTTATAAACAACAGAAATGTATTTCTCACAGTGCTGGAGCCTGGAAGTTCATGAGCAGGAACAGTCTGCAACTAGCATGATTGAGTTCTGGCGAGAGTCCTCTTCTGGATTGCAGACTACCAACTTCTTGCATCCTTACATGATGCATAAAGAAAGCTAGCTAGCTTTATGGCCTATTCTTAGAAGGGCAGTAAACTATTCATGGGGGCTCCACCCTCACAACCCTCATAATTACCTCCCACCAGTCGCACTTCTAAATACCATCACACTGGGATGAGGTTTCAAGATATGAATTTTGGGGAATACAAGTGTCACTCCATTGCAGCCACCAACCTCCTCCTGACCCAGAGAAATTTGCCTAACTTGTCAACACCATCTGTAAAGAGATAATCATAAAACACTGCTTGCATGGTTGTTGTGTATAATATGCTGAGCATGGTGCCTAGCAGGCAGCAGGCTGTCACTTATGACAATGACATACTGTCATACGCTGCAAATTGGCCCCATAAGATTATAATACCATTTTTACCATACCTTTTCTATGTTTAAAATGTTTAGATACACAACTATTTACCATGGTATACAGTATTCAATATGGTGACATACAGTGTAGATTTCTAGCCTCGGAGCAATATCATATAGCCTAGGTGTATAATAAGCTATACCATCTAGGTTTGTGTCAGTACACTCTATGATGTTCACACAACTATGAAGTCACCTATTGATGCATTTCTCAAAGTATATCTTGGTTGTTAAGTGACACATTAATGCATATCTAACCCCTTCTATATCATAATTCAAAGGAGCTATAGTAACACCCCCATTACACAGATGAGGAAAAGAAAGGCTAGGAGTCCAGGAAACCAGATTGGAAGTGAGGTCTCGAGAAAAGGTAATACTAGTCTCAGACAGGCAGCATAGGGCAGTCTTTCAGGTATTTCACATACAAAAGAATAAGATACAGCAAGCATTGTTTAATGAAAATAACACAGAATTAGGGCTCAGAAAACTGGATTTAAATCTGAGTAGGAAAAACAGAGCAAACTATTTCACCCACCACACTCTGATGTATCTGGGGCAAGTCCATTAGTCTCAATGGTCAAAGGAATACTCTGCACAGGTGAGCTGGTGGAATGATCAGGCAGACATTGAATGAATGGTCACTGTGAAAACTGATCTACCACTATTACAGAGAAAATATAAAAAGGAAGGCCAGAGAGAATAGGAAACATCATAAGGCAAATGAAATGTGAGGGATTCCTTAAAGGAATAACTAAAAAGAGGGAGATCAATTATCTGAGTGAGTATGAAGGTTAGGTACAGGGGGTAAGCAGGAGGGAATCCAAGATAGAGATTGGTAGAAAGATCATTTTTATTGGGATGGAAAGTTGTAATAGGAAACAGTGTTACACAAGCCCAGGAAAATAGACCAAGGCCAGCAAGTGGGAGTTAAATATGTATTATTATTTTATAGGCAAAGGATGACTGTTAAAAGTCACAGCAGAAGATATAAAACTAGTGTTTTGCCACTGCTCTTGCCCATATTAATTCATACGCGATCTCTCATCACTTCCCCCCAAGGAGATTCACGTTAACCACTTTGTAAGATGCATCCTTCTGTGTTTTTCATTTTCATGAAAGTGTGTGTGTGTGTGTGTGTGTGTCACATAGATATTTATACATTGTATGGCAACAAACCTCCTCATTTCTAATAAATGAGTTGGGTCACTATTATAAAATGGAATCATGTATACAAATATTTCTGCATCGTTTCTCACTCATAGAAATCCCTCTTACCTTAACCAACTCCTATACTGCTAAAGCACTGACGTATTCTTCCAACAACTCTGTAATATTCTACGGTGATTATTCAATCATTTTCTTATTTCTTAGAACTCATTATTTCCTCAAGGATTTTTTTTTTGTTTTCTATTTAAAAGCCCTCTGCAGCAAATGACCATGTGTGTATGTGTTTAAGTGTCAGTGGATTTCTTTTTATGACATAGATGCCTAGGAGTGGTATTGTTCCTATGTGTCAAAAATAATTTTGATAGTTTATGCTACATTGTTTTCAAAGACTATCAATTCACATTTCTGTGTGATACAGAAATGTGACAGTACTCTTTTTCCTCCATCCTTCTCAGCATTAGCTATTATTGTTCATTTCTTTTTCAGTGTGCTGATCATAAAGTGATATTTCATTATTAATTTGCATTTCCTTGAGCCATTAGTGAATTTGAGCAGTTTTCATGTGTTTTTCAGTCATTTATAATTTCTCTACTGCCAATTACTTGTTCATAAATGTTTTCATTTTCTGTTGGGCTATTTGTCTTTATCTTGTTAGAAAATGTTGTATTTTATAGACATTAACCTGGGCATGTGCTTGACGGAATTGCCTGGAGGAGGGAGAGTTGGAACCAATGGAAACAATAACATTGGTCTGAAAATGAGGTGATGTGAGCCTCCTCAAGACTTGGATCCTAGGCAATTTAAAGGAAGGGCTTGGAAATGTTCTGAAAAACAAACCACCACCACCAAGCAATTGATTGTATGTGGCTCTAGTGACAGGGGGTGGGGAAAGATTGCAGTCATTTTGTGGTTTGGCAAGTCTGATATTTGGGAAATAGGTTATTGCATTTTAAAAATAGGGAATTCAGAGCAGGAAGGTACACGAGTTGTAGGAAAGATGAATTTGGTTTACAAATGAGATGAGTTTGAGGTGACAGTGAGTCATTCTGATGACAATTAAACTTGTAGGACTAGAAATTGAGAGAAGGATCAAAGAATTTTAAGAAAATTGAAGAGTTGTATAAGAAAGAGTGAGACAAGAGAAGAGTGCAGCAAAGATTGTATTTTTCCCAGTCATGGGGAGTGAAGGACGCATGGAATACCAGAGAACTAGCTGTTCGTTTTACCTGAAAACATCTTAGACTATATTGGGTCACTGAGGGAGGCTGAACAGACATGGTGTGTGGGAGGGCAAATGGGCTTTGCAGTAAAGTCTCTGGATTTGACAAGTAAAAATACAGGATGTTCAATTAAATTTGAGTTTAAAATAAACAATATTTTAGGATAAGTATGTCCCATTCAATATGTGGAACACACTTATATTACAAAGACTCATAGGCCGGGTGCAGTGGCTCACACCTGTAATTCCAGCACTTTGGAAGGCTGAGGTGGACAGATCACCTGAGGTCAGGAGTTCAAGACTAGCCTGGCCAACATGACGAAAACCTGTCTCTATTAAAAATACAAAAATTATCCCATCATGGTGGCAGGCGCCTGTAGTCTCAGCTACTTGGGAGGCTGAGGAAGGAGACTCTCTCGAACCCAGGAGGCACAGGTTGCAGTGAGAGGAGATTGCACCAGTGCACTCCAGCCTGGGTGACAGAGTGAGACTCCATCTCAAGAAATTTTTTTAAATAAAAAATAAAAATACTCATTCTTTTGGACATACTTATTCTAAAAATATTTAATATTTGATACATGTCCTAAGAAATACTCACTTTCACCTGAAATCTGAGTTTAACTGGGCATCTGTATTTTATCTGATAGCCCTACTTTGCAGCTTCACATGTTAGGTGCATATCCTTGCCCTGCTATGCCTTAGCTGTGTGATGCCAAGCAAACCACTTCACCATCTCTAAAGAAAAGATGTTCTTTGAAATCAAAGAGCTTTTCATGATAATATTCCAGGCAGTGAAATATCTGACATTCTCTTTGCTAGCACTTTATCCATCTCCAATAATACAATGGTTATTGATGTCCATTCGCATCTATCCATTCTACCAACAAACACTTATTGAGCATATGTCATGTAAAAAGGTGTGTGGTAAGAATGTTCATAATAATGACCCTGAAGTAACTTGGGCATCATATAGTGACTGCAGAGCCATCAGAGATTTAAATCGTGCTCAGGAGATTTTAATTGTTTAAATTAATTTTATTATATTTTGTTTAAAAAATTGTTCTCCCATGAACTTCCAGAGATTCTCTATTAAGCAGAATGTTAATTCCAATCTCAGTAAGTAGTAGATGAGCAGGTGCAGTTTGGGGGCCTTTCTCTCCAGCAAATAGTATACCATTTATTATCCTTTAACCAGCTCACGTTCCTCAAGGATCAGGCGTACATTCCTTCTACTGTAAGCATTGGGCAAGGTGGTCCTTCTTTCTTTTTGAACTAGTTTATTAATAACATTTATAAAAGACCTACATGCGCCTTATAGTTTTATTTTGCCCTCATAACACACTTATGAGGGAGGTACTATGAGCACACCATTTTACAAATGAAGAAACTAAGGCACAGAGACCCTGAGTAACTCACCAAATCCCTCAGGAGAAAACAGCTAAGCAGAGTTCAGTCCCTGTGGATGTGGCTTCAAGGCCCTGACTCATACTACAGCACCTGACTCCAGAACCCACTTGAAGGAAGAAGTGCTGGATGGCACAGGGAGACCTTCTGAAGAATCCAGCCTTCGGATATGATTCAGAAGAGGACTCAAATATCACAGGAAGCCTGGGACATTAGGTAGAGAAACCACAGAGCTGAAATTCCACCAGAATCCAGTCCTGATGAACCCCACTGCTCCTAAGACCCACCAGCAGAGCCTGGTGGGCAGCACACGTGACTTGGGGTAGGAGTCACACGAGGTCCTGGAGCAGTCTGCCCGTGAAGGGCTCTCGGGGATAGAAATCATGTAGGAGCCACACATACCGGGGTACACCCCAAGCTGCTGGGGCTGTGGAGATTGTCTGACTTTTCATATCCAAAAGTCGATCAGAAGTTTCTATCCTCTTTCCTATCCCTCTAAGATAGACATAGCCCATCAGCATTACCCAAGTAAACAAAACAGAGGGAGGCATACACTATAAGGGCTGGCATACAATCAGGTGCTGAAAAAAATGTATATGATGTAGATGCAGGTTATTATAAGCCATGTTCATAATTAGAAACTTGAAATTCAACTTAGGAGGAAAACACACAGTTAAAGTATCCCTAAATATCTTTAAGAGAATTCATTATAGTTCTGAAAAACTATACCAAAAATTAAAATACCCAAACAAAAAACTGGATAGATTTTGTAAAGAATGAAGAACTTGGCCAGTATTCTAATTTCTCCTTTCAACAGTATCTGTGCAGTATGAAGAGGATGGAGCTCTCAAATTTTGATCATCAGATTGAGCTTGCAATACCTCACTCAGCTAAGTAGACACCTTGTGATGGAGGAAATCTCTGCTACATCTGCATTAAGAGAAAGGACATCATTCAGCAGAAGGGGAGGACAGCACACAGCAGCCCATCAGGGAGGAAGTGGATGATCAGGAGACAAATGTCAGACCCTGGAGAACAGAGTTCCCTTGATTGAAGATGGTAGAAACTGGCATGTTAGGGAAGCTTCAACCTGGTTACTCTTGAGCTAAACGGGGAGTGTGGGGTCGAAGTTTATTCATATGCCTACACTACTTACTTCCCTCTTCTCTAATCTGAATTATATTCTTTCAGCAATATTCATGGAACTTCTTCTAAGTGCCAAGCACTGTTTTAGGGGATGAGGACAGAATAGGCAATAGAACGGATAATAATTCCTGCCTTTATGGAGTATTCATTATAGTGTATATAAAGGTAAATTCATAACGCCTCAAAATTCTCTGTAGAAACAATGGATGGTTTAAAAGTCATTTGTATATAAATGCTTTCCCTTAGAAACCAAGATTGACTGGTAGTTGTTGCTATCCTATCAGTGTCCTTGTTCTAGATACTGAACCCAAAATATTCAGCCTCTGCTGCCAAAGGACTTACCACAGCTGCAAATATGGAAGTGCTGTTTTAGGCTTATATCCACAAATAGAAATCACAAAGATAATCAGGAAGATTTATACATGAGAATTACATATTATATAACATATACATATATAAATATATAATATAACATATATATGTTATAAAAATATATACTTTATATATAGACATATATAATGTACTGTATATACACATACACGCTAAACACGCATTGTCTTAACTCACAGCATATATGCTTTTAACAGTATACCATTTATTTTTATAAACTATCTGTGAGTTAGGGAGTGAGAAGCATTCATAGCCTCTCCTTCTCTATTTCTTTGGATAGGTAAGTAGTAACCAAGCGGTGCAATGGGAGTCATGGTGCATATGCAAAGGCTGCATCAATGGGAAGATGTAAACTAGAGCTCACGGATGACTTAAACCCTCATCCAGCCCCCTCACCTTACAGATAAGGAAACTGAGGCTAAGAGTAGATGCCGTAGCTGATTTAACAGCCACAAAGCTAATTTGCCCCAGGGTTGGGAGCAAATCGACATCCTCTGACCCTCAGTCCGGGGTCCTCTCAATTACATTGCATTCTCCCTCCTATTAAGGAGAGATCCCCTATAAATCATGCTCATGTTAGTAGGATTGTGCTTCAGAGCCAAGGCAAGAAGCCAAGGCAGGCACAGTGTAAACTGCCAACTGCAGAAGATGATGGAGTCAGCCTTTGGGCTATTTGCCCCAGGTGTCTATCTACAGGGCCCTAAATCACCACTATAAATGTAACCAAAGGGGAAAATTATATTTACCAAGAAGAAGACTGAATGGGATTTCAAAAGATATTTTGATAGGCATCCTAAGAGTGTACAGACAAAAGGGAAGCCCTTGTGGAGTATGTGCCCAAACTTAACAGGTGGCTAGACTGCCTTCCAAAGTGTGTGGCTGTGGCTAATTGCAGGAGCTCATTCGGCTGATGGAGGCCAGAGTTCAGGCCTGCGCTGGGAGTCCCCTTTTCTGCCCTGTCTTGTGCACCAGTCAACTTCTGCTACAAATAAAAGGTAAACACATATGTAAAGACTACCTTCCTAAAGAAGTTCAATTTATTTGCTTGCCTGGCTAATTACATGGTTGGTAATACATGATGGGTGATAGTCTTTCCCGAGAACCTATCTACCAGGGCTAAAAAAGTGGATTCATAAAAAATTTCTTGTACTGAATGTCACTACCCTGAGGCTGATCCAATAATTTTCCTTTGTTATTCAAAACTCTCTGGCCCTCAACATACGCTTTCTGGTTGTCAAGCACTGACCAGTAGGTTTCAGTTCCTAAAGTGGCCTAACAAGTTTTCTTTAGGTACACTTGAAACAAGGAACATACATGCTCAGTTGGTGAGGAAGAAGAGAGGATGGTTGTACTTTCATAAATTCATATTTTAAATAAACAGGTGAATTAAGGACTCAGAAAGATTATGTGTTTGGCTTAGGTTTGCACAGGCATGGAGTCTGAACATGCTGGTTCATCCCCTGCCCTTCTACTCTGCATTCTCTGAACTTGCCATCCTTTTTTTTTAATGTAAAGAAACTATATTATCTTGGGACCATTTACACATACACATTCACTGTGATGTCTGTGTTTAAAAGATATGTCCTGAGAATACTCTTTTTGATAAATTATAATATGGCTTTCCTATTCTTTTCTTTTACCTATGCCTTTCTCTGCTTGTTTCTTGAATTTTTATTTTGAAGGTAAAAAATAAAAATAAGAATGAATAACAAGATGTTATAGATAGAAGTATCATGTACAACTTTGCATTTATATGAATTAAATACTTTTTATTAGTATATCTCAAGGGAAAATTCCAAACAAACATTTATCAAGTTCTCACCTGACCTATTTTTTTTCCATCACTCGCTGCATCCCCAGCTTCCACACCTTCCTTCTCCTTCCAAAGAGGTGTTTGACTCTGGTTGGAGTAGTTCCCTGCTCCAAGCATTGGCCTTAATTGACCTAAGCCAATCCCAAGCTCCTTGCCATAGTAATCAGTTCAAGGATAGGCACTTGATCTAAGACGATCCAATTGGAAAAAAGTCCAAGATGGGTAAGGAAAAGAAAAGTCCTTTTTTCCTTAACACAAACAAGAAAAAAATGTAGCTAGGTTTGCTAAAAAGAGCTCTGATGAAACCACAAGGAGAGCCAGCTCTGACCTGAAGTCAGGACCTTGAATATCACAGCAGAGAAACCAAAAGGAAAATTGTTTCTAGGATATATCATCAATTAGCTGCTAGATTAAGCTTTTCTTGAAATTCAAAGAACTCTGTATTGCTCAATGTGTCACTCAATGAATAGTTTTGTTTTCTTTTTGAAAAAAATTGGTTTGAGATTTTGATGTTCTCATCCCTTGCAAACAAAATATCTTTAAGAAATATGTGGCCCAGCTGAAATCTATTTAATAAATATGGGCTGGTTTACCAGTTGCAACGCTTCCTACATTCAAAGCACACATATTATTCTACATATTCTATAAAAAATATTGCTATATTGCAATAATAGCAAGCATATTCTTCTACATGATATACATACTGCATCTATTTCAGAATATTTTCTTAAGAGAGAATTATGATTGCACCTGCTGTTTTTCTGGGATCTGAGTTCCTAAATCTGTGTTCTTGCTTTTCTTTTCTTTATTGATATACTTAAGTTCAATTTTAAGAATTCATTGCTCCAGTGATAATAACATACATTGGCCTATAACTAAATATTCTTTCTTTAAAACTGGGTAGTTAGCTCTGGCTTGAACAACCGCATCTTATCTACATCAAATTGCCAAGCATTTGCTTCTTATTTTCCTTCTTTAGTTGCATTCTTAGTGGCCCCTGCTCCCATGACACAATGATGAGTTTGGGATCATTCACGGTCTTTAAACCTTTCAGGAACCTTTTCCACATGAAGAATCCTCTTAAAGCAAATATACATCATTGAGCATGATTATCCGGGCTTAGAGGAACAATGCACAGAACAATATGGCCTCTGCGGAATTTCCTGGCAATCCTGCCACAACTCCCTGTTCACATTTTCGATTCTATTTTAGATTTCTTGTTGATTGAATATTTTGTTCTTTTCTTCCATCTCTTAGAATCAACATCTTAGGGTTGAAAGGAACTCGAATAGTGATCTAAACCAGTGATCCTCAAACCTTAGTGTGCATCACAGTTGCTGGAAGAGGTGATTGAAACAAAGATTCAGTGGACCACCACCCCTGAGATTCTGACTCAGTAGGTCTGAGGTGGGAATGAAGAATGTACATTTCTAGCAAGTTGTCAGGTAATGCTGATACTGCTGGTTTGTAATCACACTTTGGAATCCACCAATCAAAACAAACAGATACTAAAGGGAATCACCAGGGGGAGCTTATTAACTATGCGTGCTCAGACCTTTACCTAGAAAACATGTAGCAGTTTAAAAATATTTCCAAGTGACTCTAAATTGCACTCTGATTTTAAAATCCTTGATGAATCAGTTTATAAATTATTTAGAGGTTCTAATTAGCTTCACAACGTCTATACCTAACTATGTATGGATACCTTCAGTAACAGGCAAGTTACTACATTTTGAGATAATCCTCTCTAGCTATGGACAGTTATTTTAGGAAAATTTGTCTTTAATTGAACCTACAAGCTATCTTGTGGTAACTTCTGATCATCAATTTTAAATCTACCCCTCAGGAATTACATAGAAATTAGTTTTGCCTTTCAGAGGCCATCCTTTAAAATATATAAAGAGATCTGTTGTAACCACCCACCCCCCCTTGATTTTTTTTTTCTCTCCAAGGTAAACAAACTCATTTTCTTCATCATTTACATTATGGTTTTAAGTATTCTCCCTGTCACTCTCCTCTGTGTCAAGAAAACTTCTGATGCCTTTTCCACATCAGTAACCCTATTAGATAGTAGAGAAAAATAATAAAAGAGGTTAGCATTTATACATACATTTAAATCTTTCAGTCTTACAGTGAATTGAACGGTGCCTCTGTATTAGTTCATTTTCATGCTGCTGATATAAAGACGTACCCAAGAATGGGTAATTTTTACAGGAAAAAAGGGTTTCATGGATTTACAGTTCCATGTGGCTAGGGAGGCCTCACAAATCATAGCAGAAGGTAAGCAGGAGCAAGTCACATCTTACATGGATGGCATCAGGCAAAGAGAGCTTGTGCAGGAAAACTCCTCCTCATTATAACCATCAGACCTCTTAAGACTTACTATCATGAAAACTGCCTGGGGAAGACCTGCACCCATGATTCAATTACCTCCCACTGGGTCCTTCCCACAACACATGGAAATTCAAGATGTGATTTGGGTGGGGACACAACCAAACCATATCATTTTTCCCTGGCACCTCCCAAACCTCATGTCCTCACATTTCAAAACCAATCATGCCTTCCCAACAGTCCCCCAAAGTCTTAACTCATTTCAGCATTAACTCAAAAGCCCACAGTCTAAGGTCTCATCCAAGACAAGGCAAGTCTCTTCTGCCTATAAGCCTGTAAAATCAAAAGCAAGTTAGTTACTTCCTAGATACAATGGGGGTAGAGGCATTTGATAAATACAGCCATTGCAAATGGGAGACATGGCCAAAACAAAGAGGCTACAGGCCTCATGCCAGTCCAAAATCCAGCGAGGCAGTCAAATCTTAAAGCTCCAAAATGATCTCCTGTGACTCCATGTCTCACATCCAGGTCACATTGATGCAAGAGGTGAGTTCCCATGGTCTTGGGCACCTCCACCTCTGTGGCTTTGTAGGGCATAGTCCCCCTCCTGGCTGCTTTCATGGGCTGGCTTTGAGCGTCTGTGGCTTTTCCAGGTGTACAGTGCAAGCTGTCAGTGAATCTACCATTCTGGGGTCTGGAGGATGGTGGCCCTCTTCTCTCAGTTCCACTAGGTGGTGCCCCAGTAGGGACTCTGTGTGGGGGCTCCAACTTTACCTTTCCCTTCTGCACTGCCCAAGCCGAGGTTCTCCATGAGGGCCATGCCCCTGAAGCAATCTTTTGCCTGGGCAGCCAAGTGTTTCCATTCATCTTCTGAAACCTAGGCAGAGGTTCCGAAACCTCAATTCTTGACTTCTGTGCACCCGCAGGTTCAACACCACTTGGAAGCTGCCAAGACTTGGGGCTTCCACCCTCTGAAGCAACAGCCCAAGCTGTATCTTGACCACTTTTAGTTACAGCTGGAGTGGCTGGGATATAGGACACCAAATCCCTAGACTGCACATAGCACAGGGACACTAGGTCCAGCCTATGAACCATTTTTTCCTAGGCCTGTGGGCCTGTGATGGGAGGGGCTGCAGTGAAGACCTCTGATATGCCCTGGAGACATTTTCCCCATGTCTTGGGGCTTAACATTTGGCTCCTGGTTACTTATGCAAATTTCTGCAGCCAGCTTGAATTTCTCCTCAGCAAATGAATTTTTCCTTTATGTCGCATTGTCAGTCTGCAAATTTTCCAAACTTTTGTGCTCTGCTTCCCTTATAAAACTGAATGACTTTAACAGCACCCAAGTCACCTCTTGAATGTTTTGCTGCTTAGAAATTTCTTCTGCCAGATACCCTAAATCATCTCTATCAAGTTCAAAGTTCCACAGATCTCTAGGGGAGGGGCAAAATATCTCCAGTCTCTTTTCTAAAACATAAAGAGTCAACTTTGCTACAATTGCAAATAAGTTCCTCATCTCCATCTGAGGCCACCTCAGCCTGGACATTATCATCCATATCACTATCAGGCTTTTCGTCAAAGCCATTCAACAAGTCTCTAGGAGGCTCTAAACTTTCCCACACTTTCCTGTCTTCTGATCCCTCCAAACTGTTCCAGCCTCTGCCTGTTATCCAGTTCCAAAGTCACTTCCACATTTTCAGGTATCTTTTCATCAGCAACCCACTTCTGGTACAAATTTACTATGTTAGTCCATTTTCACGCTGCTGATAAAAACATACCCAAGACTGGGTAATTTATACAGGACAAAGAATTTAATGGACTTACAGTTCCACGTGGCTGGGGAGGCCTCACAATCATGGCAGAAAGTAAAGAGGAGCAAGTCACATTTTACATGGATGGCAGCAAGCAAAAAGAGCTTGTACAGGAAAACTCCCCTTTGTAATAACCATCAGATCTCATGAAACTTACTCACTATCATGAGAACAGAACAGGAAAGGTCTGCCCCCATGATTCAATTACCTCCCTTCAGGTCCCTCCCATAACAGGTGTGAATTATAGATTAGATTTGGGTGGGGACACAGCCAAACCATATCAGCCCCCAACAAGATAAGCCCATACCTTAGTCCCTGGAACCTGTCAATGTTACCTTATTTGGAAAAAGGAACTTTGTAGATGTAATTTAGTTAGGGATCTTGAAATGAGAAGATCATCCTGGATTATCTGGGTGAGTCCTAAATCCAATGACATGTGTCATGATAAGAGACACAGAAGAGGAGAAGTTCCTGTAAAGATAAGGGCAGAGATTAGAGTGAGGTAGCAGCAAGCCAAGGGTGACCTGGAGCCATCAGAAGCTCAAAAAGTCAAGTAACAAATGCTTCACTAGAGACTGTGGACTTCCGGGCTTCAGAACTGTGAGAAAACAAATATCTGTTATTTTATACCATCAAATTTGTAATCATTTGTTACAGCAGCACTAGAAACCTTATACGGGCTTTATTATCTAAAACTTAGGGGATATAAATAACTAGAAGACATTATTACATAATGACTTTTGATTGTCTCTGAGAAGTTGTAATGATCAAGCCATGTATAATTTTAAACCAAGGGATGAGAAAAGGGTCCTAATACTTGGAATATAGAACTGTTACCTGGTAATGTCAAATTTATTAATTTTTATTCTGAATACAGATCATTGATAAATTTCTTAAAAAGATGAAAGACTAGAGTCTCAACACAAAGAAAAGAAAGGATTCTTAAGAAGCAGCATAAGTGCAAATAACAAATTCCGGTTTATTTCTTTTCTTGAGAGGGTGACGAGGCATTCGGGTCAGGGATATGGTATTGACAGGATATAACTTGATTTTAGCCAGATATTTGGCAAAGTCACAATATCATGTGGGCAAAAATGCAGGAATGAGAACTGGATGATAGCAGCATTATGCAACTCACAAAGAAAATGAAAATGTTAATTGATGGATCAATTACTAGCAGAAAAACTTCAAAGATGCCACCATTCTATACTTTTCCTTTCAACTTTTCCTTTCAACCGTATTTTGGAAATTAAAGATTGTTTTTTCAGTTTATGAACTTTATGAAGAATGAAAACTATTACCATATATACTAGAAAACATTTTAGGAGCAAAATATATTAATAGGCTAGAAGAGTATATCTCTATTGTATTTTTCAGGACCCAACATCTCTGGAGCTGCTTCTTAGGCTGCTGTGGTTTGTATGGAGTGAGGTTTGCCCCTGCTACAGGTAGATACTTCTTCCTTGACAGACACAAAGCAGCGCTTTCCTTATTTCCTATATTGAGTCCTGCATGGTATTTCTTCTATCAAAAAGGCTAGCTCTTCTAAACAAATATGCCTAGAACCATTGGCCCAAGGCAAAGTTATGGTATTTAATATTAATTACAAAGTCCTTGATCCAGCCATTTTATTTAATGAACACTTAGAAAACCCTCACTATGTGCCAGGCATTTTTCTAAGCACTTTACAAATAGAAACTTTTAAAATATTCATGGCAATCCTACAAGGTAGGTGTTATTATTCTCATTGTATTGATGAGAGAACAGACGCAAGAGGTCCTTTGTCTATGATCACACTACGATACAATGACTTCAGTAGTCTGGCTGTGGTGTCCTTGTGGTTACCGAGTATCCTTTACTGACTCTTCAACTATTTTAGGAGCACAGGAAAGAGAAGATGTGGCTTTATAGCACCTGATGAACAGATCTGTGCTGATGATAATGCCACTTCCACTCTGGAACATAGTGTCAAGTTTGTGAAAGGAAACATCAGGGGAGACATTTATATACTGAAGCTTTCTCAAGTAAGAGCAGCCTGAACAGCAGCTGATAGGTAAATCGTGCTATATCCAGGGTGCTTAAGGGTAACAGGAATGTTGAGTCTGAGTCAGAGAAGATACGTGAGGGTAAAAATAATCAATATGTGCCAATATTTGAGGGACTAAGGGTGTAAAGTGATTAGACATACCCTGCACTGTGAGAAAGCATGGATTAAACTGATGGTCAAAATTTTAGAAACAATATGACCAGTAAAGCTTTCCCACAACTACTACAAGGCAGTGAATTCTGAGCCACATATTTTGTGTTAGTAAAAACTGGTGACCTTCTGATGGCATTGCGGTGGGAAATTTTTCTGCATTGTGTAGGAAGCTGGATTAGATAATTTGTAGGTTTTCTTCCAAATATTAGATTCTATATTTTTATGTTTATTTTTCTGCAGGCATGCTGAGAAATTGACATGGCAATCAATGAGAGTTTTTGTTTGAATAAATATTTCGAAGTCAAGCCCATGTTACTCAGGAATTCTATTGTATCTCCTTTCTCCACCACTTTCCAAATGCTTATTTCAAAATTGAAAGAAATCCACAAGAGCAATTTCTTTCTAATTGCATAATTGCTGCGTTTTGGCTTAACACTATTGGGGAAAAATGCTTTGACATCCTGAGATTTCAGCAAAGAATTACATAATAAAGAATCTAGACTCAAATAATTGTTTACTTAATACTGGAATTTACTGAAAAACCTCAAACACTGTTTCCTCCTTACTACTGCAACATAATTAAATAATTTCACAATTAATTACTTTCAGGAGAGATAATTTGTTTTCATTAAAATATGTAAATATGCATCCCTTGCTGGCTTTTTAAAAAAATTTCTCAGTGTTGTTTTCTCACCCACTGTTGTGATGATGATTCATGATAAAGGGTTCCACCATAGGCTTCAAATCTCAGCCTAGATCCTCGTTTATTCCTTAGCCTGAGAGGGAACTTATTTCCCACAACACAGCCTCCCCTGCCTCAGCCACCCACAGTCGTATTTCAGAGCACCCTCAAAGGTTAAGGATTTGCTGCTGCTTCCTGCCTCCGTCTCCTGCAGTCTTTAGTTTTGAGGGCCCAGTTTTGCTTGTGATGTTATTGATAAGGCATTAAATTCAAGGAAATCCAAAGAAGCAACCCAGTGGAGGGCTGGGGGTGGGAGAAGGGAGAGAAAACAAAACAGAGTTTGCATTTTAGGTTATTAAATAAGATTGGATTTAAAAAAAAATAAAAAAGGATCGAATGCAACCAAACTAATAGACATTAGATGTCTTCTATTTGCAAAGCACTGTGCATGCAGTTTTGAGGCATGAAACATAAATCTAGAAGAAGTCCCTTTAAAGGAATTTTTTTCTTGACTGAATGTGGTGGCTTATATTTATAATCCTGGCACTTTGGAAGGCTGAGGCAGAAGGATTGCTTGAGGTCAAGACCAGACTGGGCAACACAGCAAGCCCGTCTCTAGCAAATATATATATTATTGGTCGTGTTTTTACTTCCTCTTAAGACAAATACGTATGTGTTTATTTAGGTCAGAACTACTTGGGAACACTATTTAATAACACAAATTTATATATCTATCTATATATAGATATATAAATTATCCAGGCATGGTGGTGCAGGCCCATACTCCCAGCTACCTGAGAGGCTGAGGTGGGAGGATCACTTTATTCCAGCTGCACAGGCTGCACCCCAGCCTTAGTGACAGTGTGAGACTCCATCTCTAAAAAAAAACAATTACAATAAAATAAAAAGGATTTTTTCTTATCAGACCAAATATAAAACCTGCTGTTCGTGCTCTAGAGAGAATGTTCATGCAAGAAAGGCAACAAGATAAAGCAGTGTTCACACTATGAGTATCATCCTACATTTTCACTGTGATTATCAATCCAAATTATGGAAGGGATAGTTAAAAAGCAAAATTTATCTTGAATCATCCTTGCCTAATGAGGCATATAGCATACAAAAAAGACTATACCAACTACTAAAGAACACCATAAAGGATATAATCTTGGGAAGTTCAATGGCCTAAACCAAGAGATTTGAGGCAGAAATTCAGACCTTCTCATAGAGGGGTTACTCCCAACAGTTGCAGGCCTGACCAATTACACACACTGCCTAAGTGTTTGCTCTACCACTGGAGTCAAGATGACTTGCCAGGGAATCTTTTCAGGATTGAAACCTGTTCTAGATTTCAAGTGATAAGAGGTGAAATAGGTCCAAGGCATTTGTGTTATTGTCTTTAAAGAAACATTCCGGTGTATGTAGTAGCTACAGGATATCTCTTTTGCTAGCCAAGAGATTAATAGGCAAAGTTTTTTTTTCACCTAGGAAACTACCCTTCCACTTCTCTCTTATATTAAGTAAAGACATGGTTTATTGGTGGTGTTTTTACTTCATCTTAAGAAAAATACATATGTGTTTATTTAGGTCAGAACTATTTGGGAAACAAAATAATTTTTTTAATAATGCATTTTTTGGGGGGTGGGGGGAAGACTTTCTTCTTCCTTGATTGATAACATTTCATTGGAGAAAGTTGCTTAGGTGTTGGCTTTTCCACAATAGAATCATGTCATTTCGGTCTTTAATTTTTTGTCCCCACTAAAATAATTCTCCAAAATTGCAAGGAAACTTAGACAATTGAACACACAAAAAGGAAATAACCCCATTTAAAAATGGGCAAAAGACATGAACAGACACTTCTCAAAAGAAGACATACAATGGCCAAAAAACATATGAGAAAATGCTCCTGCATCACTACTCATCAGAGAAATGCAAATCAAGACCACAACAAGATATCATCTCACTCCAGTCAGAATGGCTATTAAGAAGTCAAAAAACAACAGATGTTAGTCAGGCTGCAGAGAAAAGGAAACACTTATACACTGCTGGTGGGAATGTAAATTAGTTCAGCCACTGTGGAAAGTACTGCACATTGTTTAGAGATTTGTCAAATAACTTAAACATGGCTACATTTGATCTAGCAATCCCATTACTGGGTATATATCCAAAAGAAAAAAAAAACATTCTACCAAAAGACATATGCACTTATATCTTAATCACAGCACTATTCACAATAGCAAAGGCAAGAATCAACCTACGTGCTCATCAGCCATGGATTGCATAAAGAAAATGTGGCACAAATACACCAAGGAATATCATGTAGCCATAAAAAAAGAATGAAATTCTGTCCTTTGCAGCAACATAGAAACAGCTAGAAGCCATTATTCTAAGTGAATTAATGCAATAACAGAAAACCAAATACTTCATGTTCTCACTTATAAGTGGGAGCTAAACATTGGGAACTCACGGACATAGAGATGGAAACAATAGACACTGAGGGCTACTCGAGTGGGGAGGGAGAGAGGCCAGGGTTGAAAAACTAACTGTTGGGTACTAAGCTCAGTACCTGGACGACAGGATTATTCGTATCCCAAACTGCAGTATCATGCACTATACATGGGTAACAAACATGAGCATATACCCACTGAATCTAAAATAAAAGTTGAAAAATAAAATAAAATTGCAAGGGAAGGGAAAACTGTAGCACAGATATAATAAAATGTTATTTGATCAAAAAGATTACAAGACTCTAAAAGAAACTAAATATATCATTCACATGAAGGAGTTATTTATCAGGTATTGAAATGGTTATATGCTACCAAAACCAATTTGTTTTCAACATTTTCTTTTTAAGAACCGATCATATTAGAGAAGGTGAAAGTATAATGTTAAAGAAAATGTTGTATTTCTAAGTGCAAACAAAGTAAATTAAGACCTTTAGCTTTTCTTGCATTTTTTGCTTTACATGGAACTATTTTTAAGGCGCCTACTTATTTGGTGGTTTCTAATTTGTTTTTCAAGGCCCCTTTCCTGGGTTAAGCCCTCTATCCCCAGGCCTTTAAAGTGAAATGCTAACAGACCATTAACTGCTGTGGCACTCAGAGGCCTCTCCATTAGAGCCTCTGCTTTGTTAATTAAAGAGACGCCATCAAGGCAGCAAGGGTCTGAATCATGACCTACCTTTTGAGATCCGTTTGCAAATGTCTCTTGGCTGTTTTGTGTACAAGTTAACTTTCAAATAAAACCCAAGATAGAATGAAAATTCCTCTCCTTCCCCAACATCTACAAGAATATATAGCATATCTGAAAATGGGATAAAGAGGAGCCTCATTTATCTCCTGTCATTAGGAAAGATAATGTGATAAGATAAATGGTTCTAGCATTTTTTTCAGTTAATTATTTGAATGAGAATATCTCATATTATAACATACTATATGTTTCCTGTATCTTTATTCATTTTTATTGTGAAATAACACATATAAAATGTATAAAATATGAATGCACAATTCAATAAAATATTATAAGCATATTCTCCTCCAGCAAGCAAGCTCCCTTCCCTACAATGTCAAGACATAGAACAATGCCAGCAAAGCTCATGAAAATAATCACTACTCTGACTTTGAAGGTAATCACTTCTGTTTTTTACCCTTTGTGTGTGCATTTTTCAAACCACCTAGTTATGCATTTCAAAAGGAAAAAAAGAAAAATAACATGGTAAGTTTATCAATTTCCTTGATATTTTGTTAAAGTAATCAAAGATTACATATTTCTCTGTGCCTAAGTTTTCTCAGTAAATATGATTTTAGAATTCATTCTCATTTTTATATAACTGTACATTTTTTCATTGCTATGAAGCTTCATTATTTGAATATATACAATTTATTTGTAATGTCTTTGATAAGCATTTTTATTGTTTTCAAGTTCTATTACAAACACTACTCTTATGAACATTTTCGTTTGTGTTCCTTGATGTGCGTGTATACATGTTATTCTAGTATATATTTCTGTTCGTGAAATTGGCTTACAGGCTAGCTACTGACAAATGGTTTTCCAAAGAGGTTATAGCAGTTTATTAGTTTCCAACTGCAACATATTTTAGTCAACATTTGGTATTTTCACATTTCCTAATTTTAGCCAACCTGCAGGTAAATAGGAGTGTCATTGTGATTTAAATTACACTGTCCAGATTACTATTAAGTTGGAATAACCTTTAATATATTTATTCATCATTTGTATCTTTTGTTGAGTGTCTGTTTAAGTCTTTTGCCTATTTTTCTATTGGTTTAACTATCTCTTTTTTATCTACGTACATTATTATATTTTGGGTGAGCCCTTTGTAAGTTATATGTATTGCAAATATTTATTCACATTATGTAGCTTGACATTTCCATTTCTTAAGGTATCTTGGTAAGGTAAAGTTCTTAGGTTTAATGTAGGTGACTTTATTAATAATTTTCTGTATGTTTAGAGCTTTTTGTATCTTGTTCAGAAATTTGGCATCCTGAGGTCACGCAGAGCTCTTATTTTTTTATTTCTAAAATATGTTTGAACAGATTTTCTTATGCTATGTCTTATGATATTTCTTATGATGTTTTCCAAAAGCATCATTGTTCCGTCCTGCATATTTAGACCTACAGCCCACAAGGAAGTGATTTATGTTAATGGTATTTATTTTAATTTTTGAGGGTTTTTTATGTGTGGATATGTAATTTTTCTAGTGATGTTTATTGAAATTACTATTTTTCATCTTGCTCTATCATGTTACTTTGTCAAAAAACAAAACTTCACATGCTCATGGGTCTTTTCTTTCTGAGCATATTGTATTGCCTGTTCCTACACTAATACCACCTGTCTTTATTACCATACACCATGTCTTTTCATACTTTTTTCCTGGCATATCTAGGCATTTTTCATTTTTCATATAAATTTTAAAATCAATCTCTCAAGTTCTGAAAATAAAATGTCATATTGGAACTTTGGAGATTTCATTTGTTTTGAAAAAAACTAGCATCTAGACAGCATTATGCTTCCAATTCATGATGACATCATATTTCTATATTTTTCAATTTCTCTCACTTGAATATTTTCCTTAGTAGTAATGAGCATATTTTTGACTTATTCCTAGATATTCAAAATGTTTAGATCTATAAAAATGACATATATATGTACAAATAGATGATGTTTATTTAATTTTTAATTGTTTTATATTTAGACATAAAGTTGATTTTTTGTATTTTGAGTTTGTATCAGCAACCATACCATGTTATTATATTAATTCCACTAGTTTAGATTCTTTTGGATTTTCTATACATGATATCATATGAGCTATGAATATCATTTGTGAATAATTTTTCATTCCCCCAAAATCAAAATTTTATAACATCTACCTATTATCTATCTATCTATCCATCTATCCACCCATCTGTCTATCAGTCTGTCTATCTTTTGCTGCCTGATGCACTGGCTAGGGTCTCCTTAAGCATGTGTTGAATAAAAGTCATAGAAATATACTTACTTTTATTAACCTCGATCACAAGGAGAAAGCTACATTTCACCAGGAACTACAGGGCTGACTTTTCCTCTTTAGGTATTCCTTATTAGGATTAGCAGGTAGCTTCCATCTTTTCCTTCTGTTCCTGGATTTCTAAGCCTCTTTAGCTTGACCGGATGGTAGTTTTTTTTTTTTTTTGAGACAGAATCTCACTCTGTTGCACAGACTGGAGTGCAATGGCACGATCTTGGCTCACTGCAAGCTCCTCCTCCCAGGTTTACACCATTCTCCTGCCTCAGCCTCTGGAGTAGCTGGGACTACAGGTGCTCGCCACCACACCAGGCTAATTTTTTGTATTTTTAATAGAGACGGGGTTTCACTGTGTTAGCCAGGATGGTCTCGATCTCCTGACCTCGTGATCCGCCTGCCTCAGCCTCCCAAAGTGCTGGGATTACAGGCGTGAGCCACCGCGACCAGCTGACTGGATGGTAAATTTTATCAAAAACTTCTCCATCTTTTTTTTTTTTTTTTTTTTTTTTTTTTTTTTTTTTGAGACAGAGTCTCGCTCTGTTGCCCAGGCTGGAGTGCAGTGGCACAATCTCGGCTCACTGCAGCATCCACCTCCTGGGTTCAAGGAATGTACCTAGAATTTTTACATGCATGTTCACATCATTTTCCCCTAATTTTCCTCCTTTGTACTGCCTTTTTCCGGTTTTGTTATCAAGCTTATGTTACACTTACATAATTGGGTGAGAAATATCCCATCTATTTCTATATTCTGAAGAATGTGTGTAAGATTGGAATTACTTCTCTCTTAAGTGTTTATTAGAAGCCACTTGTGAAGCCATTTATACAGTTTTCTTCGTGATCATGTTTTCAATTACAGTCAATTTTTTAATGATCATAGGACTATTCATACAACTATTCTTTGTTCAGATATTCTACTTATTTTTCTAGAAATGTGTCCATTTAACTGGATTTTTAAAAATGTTTGCATAAATATTTACTCTTGATATCTCCTAATTATCTGTTTAATAGTCAACGTTAATCTGTGGTGACTCTTCAGTCCTATATTGATTTTTACTCCTTCTTTTTGTTCCCTTGAGGCTTATCAATTATGTCTTTTCAAAGAATCAACTTTTGTAAAATCAGTCTTATTATGATGGCTTTCTATTTTATAAATCTGCTCTCAGTTTTATTTTTTTTTAATTCACTTAGATTACTTTGCTGTTGTCTAACTTCCTGAAATGGATTCTTAGTTCACTACGATATAATATTTTTTGTCTTTCTGTGTGTAGATTTAAGGCTTTACTCATAGTAACCAACAAAAACTGGAAACAATGCAAATGCTCACAAATAGGAGATTGAATAAGCATATCCTGGTATAGTAACACAATGGACAATGGCTCAGACTGAAATAAAATAAACTACTGATATTAGAAACAGCATGGATGAATCTTAGAAAAATTATGTTGAATAAGAGAAACTAGATAAAAACAGAATAGCTATGTGTCATTTTATTCATATGAGTTCAAAAACAAGTTTACTAATTCATGGTATCATGAACCAAAATCAAAATCAAAACAATGGTTGCTCATAATGGAAATGTTTTATTATTTTTATTTTGGAGGTGGTTGCATGATTTTAAACATTAGTCCAAACTTATTGAATTACACACTTAAAGTCAGTGAGTGCCTGGCAATATGGCTAAAATTTTACCTCAATAAAAATATTATTTTATAAAACATGAATTATGTGTTATGCGTGTTAATTGAGCACATAGGAGTTACCCAGGTTTATGATGCTATGTGCTCACACTTGTAACTTTTTGTTGATATTAATGCACTGTCATGTATTTTAATTCGTTATCCTTTGTCTATGATGGAGTGGGTAACAGGAAACTAAGTATGGAAATGTAGGTAAGTGAGAGTCAGTCTCTAAATGTCTATCAGAAGTAAAATTAGTAGTTATGTTATTAGCAGATGTTAGTAAATATTTTTTGGTATGTATTTAGTAAATTACAGTTCTCACTTGCTAATATGTAGATACTTTATTGTGATCCAGGGCATATGGTTACCTGGTTACCTAACAAAGAAGTTAAGTGAGTTGCTATACCTCTCCCAATATGCCCATATGAAATATGTTTTGTTTAACAAAAACCAAAAAAAAAAAAAAAAAGCAAAAGAAGGATGAATATCATGTGTCTAAAATCGTTTGAAAACATCTGCTGGACTGAAAGATTTGGTTTCTAATCTGTTTGATAATTTCAACACTTTTTCTAATCTCTTTCAGATCAATGTTTGTGACTCAATTTCCAATTCTCCTGAATTCAGTAGGGGAAATTGTTAGGCTTCATCCTGAAGTTCCCATCAGATATAACTGAATAGTTGTTATTTTCTTTATTAGGAACTTAAGCAGTTCTATTTGCACCTAAGAGGCAAACACCTCTTAAAGAGGTGTTTGCGTTGGTGTCTCTGTGGTTACAGAGAAGATTAAAACATTTTCTTTCTTTTGTTTTGTATTGATTTCTTCACTTTCTAGTGCCAAGGTGACATTGTGTGTAATGGTTTTACAATGTAGATTAGTACTGTTTGTGTTTGTTGGCCTGCTAGTTTGTTTGTTTTTATTTGTCCTTTGTTTGGGGGGTTTATTTATGTAAATGGCTCTGGGTTTGAACTTGCCTTACCAACTAGTTTCTGCAACCCTGGAGTCCAATTCTTGTTTTTAGGAAAGGAGAACAAAAACTCCCCTGAATGAAAAGTCTGTGAGTTATTTTTATTCGGTTTATACTGTCCCAAGTGCTGATGTGACCTTGCTATTTTACCATTCTGAAACAAGATTTCCAAGTAAGGAAACTATTGGTATGGTAACTTCTTTCACAACCATGTACCTTGTTCACCTACCAAATTTTTGAAGGTGGAATGGCACTTGCAAGGCTTTCCTGTCTAGACCTGAGTTGATGTTAGACCTAGTTCTGAATACTATAAATTAGATTCATTTGCTGTGAAGGCATTTCTACATGTCAGCATTTTCTATTACTTTGTCATTGACTTCTAATGCATTCCCAGAATGATTTGGGTTTTTCTTTTTCCCTTGAGCAAAGAAGAAAAATGAACATAGAAAAAATAAAAACCCTTGATATTCATTATTATGCAGATTTCACTTTGCAAAACACAATTTATAGCCAAAAATCTCCTTTTCTATATTATGTGCTACTTCAGATGTCCAATGCTAAACAGAAAGTGCTATAAAAATGTCTGTCCTCACTTGGAAAGATTCAAATACCTGAAAATACTGTGAGAAATGGCTACACATGTAACCTTGGTTCCACTTTCATAGAATATTGATTCATCAATGATTCTATTCTAGCCCAGTTTTGTGGTTGTATTATTTTCAATTGTGAACTCTTGGACTCTGGTAGCCACATCTTCCTGTAGGCACTGATATTTTCTTAGCTCTTTTTAGGTCCTATCTTTCTTTCCATCTATCTCCATCCTAATTTCTCTTTGGTTCAAGTTATTTTAAGAAGTGGTCAGAGACAAAAACCTCTGTCACAGGAGCATATGCGGGAAATTCCAGTGATTAGAAATAGAGTCGCAGGCTGCAACACAAGTTCTTTGGCTCCCATTTCAATAACATATAATCATTAGATTAAAAAAGAAAAGAAAAGAAAAGAGAAAGTGAAGAAGGCAAAGAATGTCACAGAAGAGGGAGAAACTAATCATCCTTTCCAAGCCATATTGAGATTCCATGCTGCCATCTTCTTTCCTAATTGTCCACACTGGAGTCTCTCCCTGAATGTGCCTCTTGTTACTATTGTGCATTTGCACACAGCTACCAGAGGGACTGACCAAGCTTTCAAATTTTGCTCATAAGCCTTCAACAGCTAATCAGGACTCTTTGAATAAAGTCCAAAGTGCTTATTTTAATTTTCAACTTCCTTCTCTAGCTAGGGTCACCACTACATGAACCCAAAACTATCTAAGTTCATCAGCTTAACAGTTATCAATTAATATTTATACTTTACCTTTTTTACTCATACTGTTATATTTTATACCTAAAATGATTCTCGCCTTTTAAACCTTACCCTTGTCTACTAAAAAGTTTCTTATTTTTCAAGGCCTTACTTAAGTGTAACCTCAATTACACATATTATTACTCTATTTCTTCAGTCAGATACCTTTTTCTCTTCCTGGAGGAAAGAGAAAAGAGAATATGTGTGTCACACCATATAGAAAGCAGTGGTCATGAAGGTGAGACATTATTTTAGGGTTCTCTAAAGGGACAGAAGTAATTAAATAGACACATATATATAGAGGGGAGTTTATTAAGTATTAACTCAAATGATCACAAGGTCCCACAATAGGTTGTTTGTAGGCTGAGGAGGAAGGAGAGCCAGTCTGAGTTCCAAAACTGAAGAACTTCAGTCCGATGTTCAAGAGCAGGAAGCATCCAGCACGGGAGAAAGATGTAAGCTGGGAGCCTAGGCCCATGTTCTCTTTTCACATTTTTCTGCCTGCTTATATTCTAGCCATACTGGCAGCTGGTTAGATTGTGTCCACCCACATTAAAAGTGGGTCTGTCTTTCCCAGTCCACTGACTCAAATGTGAATCTCCTTTGGCACCACTCTCATAGATACACCCAGGATCAATACTTTGGATCCTTCAATCCAATCAAGTTGACACTCAGTATTAACTATCACAAGTCTACCCCTTGTCAACTTGAACCCATACACATCTCCTGAATTCAGACATAATCTTCAAATAAAGACAACGTAAGGTCACAATTATGCCTAACATAATACAACTATCCTTCATACACCCGTGAAAGCAGCAATCCCCAACCCAAATACTATTACATAAAGTTAACAATACTTAAATGCCCATGTGAAGTCAATAAATCTTATGTCACATGATAAAGGAAAAAGGAAATAAAATGAAGATATCTTCTCAGTACAAGTTTATATATGAACAAACATGTTTTTAACAGAAGGAGGAAATACTCATGACAGTCCTCGTTTCTGCAGCTAGTCACACGGTCATAGCTGGTATTAATGACTACCTTCTTCTACTACCCATTTTGTACTCCCTTTGCCTTCAGCAAGTACCTCAGCAGGTCATGTTTATTTTCCTGGTGGAGTGACCCAAACCTTCATTCCTGAAGGGCCTGGGCCATTTGTACTCCTGCCTGGATTGGTCTGTTGTAGTTTCCCATTGACCTTAATCACAGGGCATGGTAATATTAAGAGATGCCCTAATGGGTCTCCTGCATTCCATGTATACTCTTCCTTACCTCCTTTGTGGAGTAGTAGACTGATTTTATCTTGATAGTCTGGTTCAATCACCCCAGCCAACACTGGGAAGATTTCCCTTCACCCCTGCCCACTAGGAAGATTTCCATTCACCTCTGTCCTTCAGGGATATCCTAGAAAGGGGCTGTAGTGCTGCAGCTGTTCACTTTCCAGTGGTGCCTGCATATCATGCAGAAGCCTCTGTAAACCAGGCCCTAGTCTTCTCTTTCTCTGTCAACTGCTCATAGGGAACTTTCCACAAGGCCATCAGTGCAGGCTGAGGGAGAAAAGGCAGGGTGGCAGGAGTGGAGACAGTGGGCATTTGAGCCACTTCTTCATGTAACTTACTTGTGCCTTCAGGACTTGCTTGAGCCCAATCACATATATACCACTTCCATTTGATGATGAAATGTTGCTGTGCACAACCCACTTTATGGCTAGATGGGTCCAAAATCACCCAGTTCATGATAGGCAGTTCAGGTAGCATGGTGACATGATGACCCATAGTCAAATGTTCAGTTTCCACCAAAGCCCAGTAATAGGCTAAGAGCTGTCTCTCAAAAAGAGAGTAGTTATCTGCAGAAGATGGCAGGACCTTGCTCCAAAATCCTAGAGGCCTCCACTGTGATTCACCTATGAAGGCCTGCCAAAGGCTCCAAACAGCATCTCTATCTGCCACTGACACCTCAAGCACCAGTTGATCTGCTGGGTCAAATGGCCCAAGTGGCACAGCAACTTGCACAGCCACCTGGACCTGTTGCAGAGCCTTCTCCTGTTCAGGACTGTACTCAAAACTGGCAGCCTTTCAGGTCACTTGATAAATGGGCCAGAGTAACACACCCAAATAAGGTAGGTACACATACCTTCATGATTGCTATCTCTTTATCATGAATGGTTCCATTCTCCCCATCACTTTCACGTACACCAATCAATAGTAGGTTTGGTCTTTACATGTAGTCCCATATTTCTTGGAGGCTTTGTTCATTCCTTTTCACTCTTTTTTCTCTAATCTTGTCTTCATGCCTTATTTCAGTAAGTTGATATTTAATCTCTGATATCCTTTCTTCCACTTGATCAGTTCAGCTATTGATACTTGTGTATGCTTCAAGAAGTTCTCATGCTGTGTTTTTCAGCTCCATCAGGTCATTTATGTTCTTCTCTAAAGTGGTTATTCCAGTTAGCAGTTCCTGTAAGCTTTTATCTAGGTTTTCAGCTTCCTTGTATTGGGTTAGAACATGCTCCCTTAGCTTAGAGGAGTTTATTATTACCTACCTTCTGAAGCCTACTTCTGTCAATTGGTCAATCTCATTCTCCAGCCAGTTTTGTGTCCTTGCTGGAGAGGAGTTGTGATCATTTGCAGAAGAAGAGGCATTCTGGTTTTCGGAATTTTCATCATTTTTGCACTGTTTTTTCTTCATTGTTGTGAATTTATCTACTTTTGATCTTTGAGACTGATGACCTTTGCATGAGGTTTTTGGGTGGGATCCTTTTTGCTGATGTTGACGTTGTTGCTTTCTGTTTGTTAGTTTTTCTACTTACAATCAGGCCCCTCTGCTGCAGGTCTGCTGGAGTTTGCTGGAGGTCCACTCCAGATCCTGTTTGCCTGAGTATCACCAGTGGAGGCTGCAGAATAGCAAAGATTGCTGTCTGCTCCTACCTCTGGAAGCTTCGTCCCAGAGGGGCACTGGCCTGATGCCATTCATAGCTCTCATGTATGAGGTGTCTGTCGACCCCTGCTGGGAGGTCTCTCCCAGTCGAGAAGCACGGGTGTCAGGGACCCACTTGAGGCAGTGTGTCCCTTAGCAGAGCTTGAGTGCACTGTGCTAGGAGAATCCTCCTTGTCAGGATCAACTGCTCTCTTCAGAGCCAGCAGACAGGACAGTTTAAGTCTGCTGAAGCTGTGCCCACAGCTGCCCCTTCCCCCAGGTGCTCTGTCCCAGGGAGATGGGAGTTTTATCTGTAAGCCTCTGACTGGAGCTGCTGACTTTCTTTCAGAGATGCCCTGGTCAGTGAGGAGGAATCTAGCGAGATAGTCTGGCCACTGTCACTTTGCTGTGCTGTGGTGAATTCCACCCAGTCCAAACCTTCCGGCCTCCTTAGCACTGTCACGGGAAAACTGGCTACCAAACCTCAGTAATGGTGGACGCCCCTCCCCCCACCAAGCTCGATCATACCAGGTCGACTTCAGATTGCTTGTGCTGGCAGTGAGAATTTCAAGCCAGTGGTTTTTAGCTTGCTGGGCTCCGTGGGAGTGGGACCTGCTGAGCGAGACCACTTGGCTCCCTAGCTTAAACCCCCTTTCCAAGGGAATGAACGATTCTGTCTCGCTGGGGTTCCAGGCGCAACTGGGGTACGAAAAATGCTCCTGCAGCTAGCTCGGTGTCTGCCCAAGAAGCAGCCTAGTTTTATGTTTGAAACTCAGGGCCCTGGTGGTATAGGCACATGAGGGAATCTCCTGATCTGCGGATTGCAAAAACCATGGGAAAAGTGTAGTATCCAGGTGGGGTAGTGCAGTCCCTCGTGGCTTCCCTTGTCCGGGGGAGGGAGGCCCTCAGGACTCCTTGCGCTTCCTGGGTAAGGCGATGCCCCACCCAGCTTCTGCTCACCCTCTGTTGGCTGCTCCCACTGCATACCCAGTCCTAATGAGATGAACTGGGTACTTCAGTTGGAAATGCAGAAATCACCTGCCTTCTGCATTTGTCTCGCTGGGTACTGCAGACCAGAGCTGTTTGTATTTGGCCATCTTGCCAGATCCCTTTTTTATCCTTTTAACAGGGTATTTGTAGCACAAAATATCTTAATTAGATCAAATTTATGACATTTTCCTGATAGGTGCTTTTGGTATCAAGTTAAATAAGTCTTTAGCTTACCTTAAATTCTGAAAATTTTCTCCTATATATTTCCTAAATATTTTTGTTTTATGCTTTACATTTTCTGTGACTTATTTTGAGTTAAGTTTTGTATATAACATAATACTTATGTCACAGTTTTATGTTATTGTTTGGTATTTTTCTTCTTCTTCTTCTTTTTTTTTTCAGTATTAGATCTAATTGCTCCAAGCAACATTTGCTAAAAAGGCTCTGTATTCCATGGAATTGAGTGCATAACTTTGTCAAAATTCAGTTAGGCACATTTTGAGCATTTATTTTTGGGTTCTCTATTCTGCTCCTTTGATCTGGGGTCTCTTCCATTAATTGTGTCAACTCATCCATCAATACTGCACAATCTTGATTAACATAGCCGTATAATAAGTATCAAAAATGAGCAGACAGATTGCTTCTTTTTTTTCCACAAAATTGATTCAACTATTCTAGTTCCTTAGTTTTTCCATATACATTTTAGAATTATCTTGTTTATATCTATAAAAGTCTTGCTTGGATTTTGATATAAATTGCATTAAATTTGTACATCAATTTGAGAATAATTGACATTTTTACTATGCTGAATCTTCCAATTCGTGAACATGGTATTTCTCTATATTTAGACAGCCTTGATTTTTGAGGTACTTAATAAACATTTTGTAATTTTAAGTATTCAGGCTCTGTATTTTTTTGTAAATTTATACTTAAGTATTTTATTTTTTGAGACTATAAATATATTGTTAGTTCTGATGTTCAAATGTTCATTGCTATATATAGAAATACAATTGATTTTTGTATACTGTAATTTTCTTGTATCCTGTAACCTTGATGTGCTCACTTAATGGTTTTATAAGGTTTTATTTTTGGTAGATTTCTCAGGATTGTCTGTGGATAGTCATTCATCCTGCAATTAGGAATTTTCTTCCTTTTTAAATTGTATGTACTCTCTCACTCATTTTTTCCCTCTCTCTGCCTCATTGCACTAACTAGAACTTTCTAGTACTATGTTAAATAGGAATGGTGACATGAACTTCCGTTCTTGTTCTCATTTTGTACATTTAAAAAAAATATTCTTTATGTTCTTTTATTTGGGTAGTTTCTTTTTTCCAACTGTAACTTCACTGACCATATCTTTTGTCACCATAATCTGTTGTTACATTCTTCAATTGGATTTTTTATTTCACTTATTCTAACTTTTAGACCTACAGTTTTCATAGTTTTTATAGTTTTTATGTTTATTCTCACCCCATTTTCAGGTGTTATAAAGTCATTTTTTGAACTATATTGGGGTTAATTACTATCAATTACTTTTTTCCCTGACTCTAGGTTACACTTTTTTGCTTTCTTTTTCTTTTTATTTCTTTACTTTTCTTTGAATATTCAGTTTATTTTTTTTAAAATACTGGACATTGTACATGCTATATCTAGTGACTTTGGATTCTGAAATCCTCCTTTTAAGGGGTTGTTTCTTGTGCTCTCAGACAATTAATTCAGCTAGACTCAAACTCTAAACAGTTATGTTCCCTGTGGCACTCAACAGCCAAAGTTTAGTCTTTATCTTTCAGACTTCCAGGTATTGGTTTTGACTGGGCTTCCTGGACCCTCCACTTTACAAGCAGTTAAGGAGTTGTCTAAGGATTTAATGCTCCTCTGTATGACTCACTTTTCTATTTTCCTCTCATTTTCCAGATGAACTTTTTATTTTAAACTTTATCCTTTGTCTACTCAAGCATCCTCATATTCCACGGACTGGAGAGTGCCCTCAGTTGAAACTTCATATATTATAGATCTCAGCGGAGACAATTTATAGCTTTCAAGACTTGACACCACTATAGTTTCTGCTTGTTTTCTGCTCTCTCTTCTGTGCCTTCAGATAGTTATTTTTAATAAAACATTTATAGAGTTATTTGCTGGAGTTTGAGCCAAATGTAAACTGCTCTGCTAATACAAATAGTTAAATTAGCTTAATTTTAAATATCTTATTTTTAATTTTTTAGTTTTTCGGCGGGCATATCTCCTGGAGTGTTCTGCTCCATAAAAACTTTTTTTTTTTTAAATGTTTTTTACCTTTTTCTAAGGTACACTGTTCCATGGATTACATTTCAGTCTCTTTCTTCCTTTACTCATTCATTATGACAGAGGGAATCCTCCAGTAGCCTTTTTCTAGAAACCATTTTTTTAAAAACTTGCAGGTTCACCAAAAATTGTCTTTTCTTTTGTCATACATGTTTGATATCTACTTGGATACAGAGGACATTATTTTATATTTTAAAGTTATTTTCCACTATAATTACTTTTGACTGTTTTTCATTTTATAAATTTTGGTTGTTTTTTTCTTTTCTACTCTGATTTTTCTTGACTGCTCTTTACTTTACTATTTTTTGGTTCCTTTTCTATTGGAGAGTTTTTTTTCAAATATCTAGTTATATTTAAATGAATATTTATATATAAGAGCAAGATAACAAAAAATTGTTTGGAAGCCCTGACTAGAGGTTGATGGCAGGATTCCTTTACTAACAGCCTTACCCTAAGGCTTTTGGCAATGGATTTGTCCATTTTATTGGAGAATCCACAGAAGGTAGTATCTATATTTATTCATCCATTGAAGAAATCTTCAGTTACCTGCAGTTGGGTAAGAAATTATTGATGGTTGCCAGTGTTCTGAGACCCAAGTGAAAGAATAAAACAAGGAGATTAAACCATTTAAGAAACAGATTTTCACTTAATGCCCCTTGCTTGGTTAGCAACCCAACCTCCAAATTCCAGATTCTAATTCATATTGACATCTCTCATCTGTTGTCTCCTCTCATGTCATCTTTTCTTATATGAGTTTATATCATTTTTAGTTCCTCTTGTTTCTCTTCCTTTTATTTTTCCTGAGACCGGATCTCACTCTATCACCCAGGTTTGAGTGCAATGACACAATCATAGGTCACTACAGCCTGGATCTCCTGGGCTCAAGTGATCCTCCTGCCTTAGCCTCCCAAGTAGCTAGGACTACAGGCACATACCATGCCCAGCTAGTTTATTTTTTACTTCTTGTACAGTCAAGGTCTTGCTATGTTGCCCAGTGGATCTGCAACTCCTGAGCTCAAGCTATCTTCTTGTCTTGGCCTCCCAAAGTGCTGGAATTACAGGTGTGGGCTACCATGCCCAGCTTTTCATTTTTCTTGATAACAAAAAATATATTCAAACCTCCATTTTTAATTAGAATAAAAAGTCACTTTAAATTTGATTTAATTTTAATATTATGAATAATTTGTATTACTTTAAATGTTAATATGAAATCATATTTAAACCAAATATCTAATTTAACTTAAACCTAATCTAATCAAAATTTAGAATTGAGCATAATTCAATTAAAACTTTTATGGATTAATGACAGAATGTTAAAGATTGAAAAAATATTGTGTCATTCAAAAACTTTGTTAAAGAAAATTAACTATGTGTGTAATAATTGTAAAATAATTTTTCCATCTGGTATATTTGGCAAATTTATTTTTTGGTAATTTCGCTTTAATTGGCTAGGCTTTTAGTGTTGTGGTTTTTTGTCAGTTATTTTGCATCTACAGGAAAATCTGAAAGGAGAAGGTGAATGAGTTGTTTCTCACTCCTCATTTGGAATTCAGGATAGAAAACCTGGTTCCATAATTCTTGCCAGTACAGGACTGCTCCAAGAAGCAAAAACTAGCTGAAGAATATGGTTGAGAAAGGAGTACCTAATATCTTGCAATTCTCTTTGCTTCTGTGTGATGTAGAAGGGATCCATAATTTCCAGCATATCTTATAGAAGACATGAAAGGAGGGTGATGATAACAGTATCATCACCAAGGTGATGGCAAGAAGCAAGGTGGACCCACCATAGAAATGATAGGAAGGTAGTCAGCACTAGGATATGAACTGAAGGTTCTTTTCAGGAATCAGAGTGACTTTCAACTAAAGACAAAGCTGAGGCTGCCACAAGGCAATGAGATAAGAACAGGAGGCTCTATATGAAAGAATAGATCTCAGGTTTGGGCCACAGACTTCACAGCTTGTGACACAAGTTTGCGCCCATATTTCATACACCTGGATGTCATCTAGGGGAGAACTGGGAGAAAAGGTTGAAAATACATAAAAACTGAGCATAGTTTCCAAGGAAACTGAGTTCTATATATTCATTTATTGATTCCTTCATTGATGCATTTATTCATTCAAGAAAGATGTTATCAAGTGGCTACAGCATACTAGACATCATTCTAGGCACTAGAGAACAAGAAAAATCCACCCTCTCATGAACCTTCCTTATCTGAGAGACACTGATTAGGCCAGAAATGACTAAGATGATTGGTATGTGTTAGTTATTCCTTGGGCTATGTGGCAGGTAGAGTTTTGGCAGGAAATTTAGATGGGTTAGAGAAAATAAACCATGTATTTTTGCACTTTTTGTTGCAGTGTTTTATCCACTATAATTATACCAGAGTTCATATTGTATAGTTATTTGAAGGAAACAGGATTGTTTTATTCATTTATTTAACTATTTATTATACAGAGTTCTAAAGTATCTATGATGGGCCAAGCGTTATTCTCATGCAGAAGATACAACAGTAGACAATTCCATATTTGTATTTCTTTTACTTAACACATGATACACACTCCATATTTGGAAAAAAATAAAGAGCAGAGGTAATGATTTTTGCCCTACTGACTATACTAGTTTTTGTAGAAGGCAACAAAGTATTTTGGGGTTCCTCCACCATCAGTCAACAAGAACAATTTACATAGGACCTCCATGGTTCCAGAGTCTAAGGTCTTCCATGTTTTCTCTGACACCTATGCTGATCCATCCCATTGTAGGATGTGCCAGGAAAGAAAGGATTTTTAGCACCTGGCAACCTGGGTCCTACTCTGACCCATGTATAGTAACATCCAATGATCATTTGTATTTAGTTTGGATATATCATAATTATCTGATATATCATGTATATCTAAATGCATGTATAGAATATATCATAATTATGTGATATATCTAAATGCATGTGCCTAGTTTGTCTTAGGAATTCTTAGTTTTCAAGTTTTATACTTTTTGAGAAAACTGCTGGGTTACAAAAGCTACTGAAAATACTGACATTAAATCAATTAGAAGACAAATTAGAAAATTATTCAGGTATAGGACATAAACTGATCCCCTGAGACATGACCAATTATTTAAATCATAATTATGTCATTTTTTATGGACACTAGATTAATTGGTAACTCCTTCACTTAACAAAACTTTATTTAAAACCTACTATGTTCATAACACTGAAATTCTGTAAATGCATTAAGAAATACTTAAATTTTTAAATTTACCAAATTGTGTAATAACAATTGGCATCAGGTTATTATTTATTTTCTGGTTTATTTTTGTTCAAATCTGTAGGGTTCCCAATTGCTTTAATTCTGGCATTCTTGGATTTAATAGAAAAGTTTCGTAGTATCTTGGTTTACTTCCTTTATTGTGTTTTTATACTCTTGTCATTTCTATTCTCAGATTTGATCTTTTCAGACAAATGTCTTTCCCTTTAGAGTATATTTCAGTTTATTAAATTCACTTTTAATGGAAGTTCTGAAGTGGTTACCTTATCATTTTTCACTCCTCTTTTTGTCTTCTCTTTCCTTTTCTTCCTCTTCCTCCTCAAGTGCACTTCCACCTTGGGAGAATTCGTAGGCTCTGGCCATGCTGCAGTTTACATCTGTCACTAGTACTGCAGCCTCCAGCAACTTTTTATTAAAGCCAGTGATGTAGTGGGCACTTTGGCCAAAGCTGTCCACATGATGGATAGGACCACATCTCCAGGGGCCTTTCCCTTGCAATGAGATGAGATTGGCTGATGTTGGGAGATGAAGCCTTTCCCCTCTAGGTCAGTGCCTGCAATCCATTCCAAGTCAGAGGGGAGAGGAAGTTATTACCAGCCAGTGGCTGTTTCCTGGTTACTGGGAATTCTATGACTGGGAGAGCCTCATCCCTCTTTTCTCTCTACAGGACCACAGCCCCTATCATCTAATGCTAGCCACCATGGTATCTGTCTCAGAGGAGATGCCCTGGGCAAAATGAACTGGAGTCAATTAACTAAATCTTGACCTGCAGTGGAAAGTGAGGCAGATAATTATACTCTTTGGTTTTCCTAGGTATAAAATGTAGTACCAACATTTCCTTACAGAAAGACTTATAGCCATCTAAACTGGAGAAGTGTAACACTGAACCCAGAAATAAGTGAGGATGGCACCACGGTAGTACGAAAAGAGAATCACAGACCCCATGTACTTTATTCCACATACACAGATGTGAAACCACTCTCAGGTAAATCATTCTTTATCTATTCTTTGCATAAAAGCAAATAAAATAATAGTCACTGAGCACTTACTACATACTGGGAAGTTTATATCTGTATCCATTGTCTCACTTAATGATGATAATATCAATATTAGCTAATGGTAAGAGTGTTCACCATGTACAGGGGTCTCCAAAATATATTTATTACTTCATTTTATCCTTGTGGGTTTCCTGTGATATAAGTTTTTGTTTTATTATGTTCCCCATTTAACAGATAAAAAAGCTGATTGTAAAAGAGGTTAAGAAATCTGAAAGAAAATGAGAAAAGTGAGGTTTAAGGAACCGGTGCAAATGGTTCAAGGCCATCCTCAATGCTGTACAATATCAAAACTAACGGTTTTGCTACTATAACAAAAACTCTGAGTGTATTAGGAGCTACAGTTTGCAAGCAGAATGAACATAAAGAAATATCAAAAAAAGTATAAATAATGGTAATGGAACACAACAGAAAGCAGGAGATTCCTAATCTTAGAGCTTTTTCTTGGGAAGCACATAGTTACTGGGAGCATTATTCTATTCGAGTGCAGTAGGATAATTGATATTCGTGATGATGACCCTGAGATACCCAGACATGGTTAATTTTGTTTCAATATACAATTGAATCAAGAAAGATTGTAAACAAAATTTGCATGAAGAAAAGTTTTGTCCTATATATCGCACTATAAACTGAATTCATATGCTGAGGAATTTTTCACAGAGGGGATATTTAAAGGTAACTGTAATCCTACAGTACATTTTACAGAATGTTCAAGTACTGCTTAAATTGATGATTTACATAGCTGAACCTTCAGGGAAGTTTGGACTCTCTAAAATACAGACCACATAGCTGACAATGCTACAGTGTATTGTTATTTTTAACTGCTGTGTTGCTCATTATAAATAGGACATGGTTATGTCAGAGATTAAGATAATTTCTATTTTCCCCATAAGAAATCAGCCTATACAAAGGTGTGCCACATTGCCCCAACCATATTGTACCCCTAATTTCCTCCAAAATGAAATATCATGATCACCATTGTGAACATAATGTGTCATAAATCTTCTTGAAATTAGGAGGCACTCAGAAAATGCTTGTGGAACAAATTCTTTGATGAATAGTACATACATAGTCACACTTTGCCTTCCTTGTTACTAAGAGTTCTCTTTGGCTGAACTCTTGACCAAAGGCCAGAGGGCAGATGTGATGATTGTAAAACCCTGAACTGGGTCTCATTAACAGTTTGGCCTCACTGATGGAGTAAGGTTATGAAGGACAATTACTGCGATCCAAGCTGCAGTCTGGTTGTCCATGCCCAGAAAAGCAGTGTATATGTTGAGAAACAATATAACCTTGGGTCTCTGGAAACTCATCACCGCTGATGGAAATATTGCCATAAATGAAATTTAGGTATTTTAGCCAAGTAGACATGAAGATTACTAAAAATATTTTACAGTTGAAAAAATATTCCCTATGGTATTATAAT
The DNA here is from genome assembly GCF_000001405.40 of Homo sapiens. Taxonomy (NCBI): domain Eukaryota; kingdom Metazoa; phylum Chordata; class Mammalia; order Primates; family Hominidae; genus Homo; species Homo sapiens. The sequence goes on along the minus strand of NC_000018.10, from coordinate 38,384,346 downwards.
AATTTAGTGTTATTTTCATGAATAGTTATATTATTTCCATGATGGGTAAAGTTTCAATTACTACATTTCCAGCTAGTCAAGAAAAAGTCTGAGAAGAAAGTGGTTGTAGTATACTCTTGACATTACATTTTTCACACAGGCATTTAAACAGGTTTTTGAAAATTTCCTAAAGATGCAATGAATTGCTTATATCTCATCTACATTTTGCAATACATAGACGAAGCCTGATTCTGTGTTCAGGTCTTTAAATCTATGTTAAAATAACCTTATTTAAATTAAGTGCTTTATTAGAGATCACAAATAATTTTAATTATCAATTATAAAAATGACCTGTTCAGTCTCCATCGAAATATCATAAACATTTCTAAGGAATCGTCAGAATTCCAGGACAATGACAATCTAACCAGTATTAGGTTTACTTAGCCCACACCTCCAATGGAAGCATAAACTCAGTTTTAAGAATATTGTATTTCCTCCAAACTCCTAATTGGGGGAAAAAGAAAATACCACATTGTACTTACTATCCTCTCAGTGCAGTCATCCTTTGCTGTTTTATCTTTTCATATTTTGGTAAAAATAAAATATTGGAACATTCAAATACATTATCTGTGTTATGTTTCTAGAGGCTTACTATTTATTTCAAGCCTTTTTGCCCTTCTGAAGCATGAAAACACATTTGTAAAGATTTTCATAGATTAGTTATCTTTAATATTAAAATGTCTCCTATAGTTTCCTATGAGTTCCAATTCTTTTAGTTAACAAACAACCTCATAATAAAAGGTCAGAGCTATTATCATGAAAGACAGACAACAAGAGCTCCTCTTGCTTTACTTACTCTTATTCAACCACACTTATGGCCACTTGGGAGAGTTCCCTTAGGACCATTTAACAGAGAAGGAAAAACCACAGGCCTAGTTTAAAGATGCATCTTGAGTATACAGATGGTACAACATCAACAGCAGAAGTGAGTGACTACTGCATTTCAGGTCCAATGAAGGAGTGGCTCAGAAAGACAGTGATGAAGAAAAATTCTCCCTCCAGGTAGATCTTTAGACAGTGCATCAGATTGTCCACTTTTTATGAAAGGAGAGGTGGTTAGAGGTATAATCTACATCCATTAATAGGCAGTGATTAGGCAGCTGGCCAGCTCCTTAGAGATTTGGAAAGAATAAGAGGGAAAGATTAGTGATGAGAAAGTTCATCAGAGATGTGTGGACATATGCAGCAAACTTGAAAGAGAAGATAAATATACTTCTATCTCATGTAAGTAAATGCCCTCCTTAGAGCATCAATTACACAGGGATGTCTCAATAGTTATGAATATAATGATTCATCCTGTGGATGTCAATCAGTTGATTTCCACAACTATCTCATTTGTTCAATAAGTCAAAGTGGAAAGAGCTCATTGCCACAGATGGAGACTATGCATGGGCTCAAAAATATGCATATTCTATCATCTACAGTGATCTGAATGCCACCACTGCTGACTGTTAACTACCCAATGATAATGACTGACACTGAGTTCCTGACATAGTACCATTTCCCCTGAAGGGTGAGCCAACCACTCAGTGGCAGATAGATTACACTGGACCTCTGTTAATCATGGAGCAAGTAGCAATTTATCATCTTGAGAATAGATTCATTTTCTGGATATGGATTTGCCTTTCTTGCCTGCAATGCTTATGTGGGAAAGACTATTTTTGGGCTTTATCTTATTCTTTACCATGCTATCTCATATAACATCACATCAGACCAAAGAACTAATTGTATGGTGAAGAAAATGTGGCAGTTGGCTTATTCCATGAAATTCATTTGTCTTACACAGTGCTCCATTTGCCAGACGTATCTGGCTTAACAGAAACGTGAAATGAACTTCTGAAGCCTCCCTGATTACACCTTCTGGGGCAGAACACTTTGTAAGATTGAAGGGCTGTCCAAAGAATCCAATGGATGACTTAAAAGGAAATATATAATGTGTTTTCCTCCATAACTATATTATGCATCTCTGTGAATACAGGTTTGGCAGGAAAGTGGCTCACTTGTTATATCCATTATATAAAAGAAACTGCAGAAAGCTAGCTAGTGCCTTCCACCATTTGAAAACACAAGAAGACACCACCTATGAACAGAAAGTGGTCTTCACCAATATTGAATCTATTGGTGCCTTGATCTTGGACTTCCAGCCTCCAGAACTCTGAGAAATAAATTTCTGTTGTTTATAAGCCAACCAGTCCATGGTATTTTGTTGCTTCCCCACCTGCAAGTACTTGTGTCTTGTGTGTTTGGAGGTCCTCTTGCCAAGGAAAGACCCCTTTCCCCAGGAAATGAAACCCTTCATGTTTCTGTTAAATTGGAAGCTAAGGGAACTAATGACATTTTTGGATTTTTATACTGTTAAACAAACAGATATGGGGTTATTTTAGTGGTTAGCATGGCTGATCCTCTTTATTATTCTGATATCGTACAATTTGCACAAGGAGAACTACTATCAGAATCCAGGATATTTACTAGGATATCTCATAATACTCTGAGAGCATTTCTGAGTAAGAGGAAGCACTAGCAAATCCATAACAACAGGAACACTAAGGATCATGTGGACACTTTTGGGTTACTCTACCAAGTAAAAGTTTTCAAGAAGCTTAAGTGTTGTTTGAGAGTAAAGGGACATGGAAAAGATGAAAAAAGCTGTAATTATCCACCTTGGCCTTTGACCATATGCAGAAGAGGTGACTGGAGCAGCTATATTTTAGGTCAATTAATGCATGTGACATTTCATGAAGTATACATTATAATTTGGGTTTCATATGTGAGAATAACTTTATTGACACAATGGTGACAATATAGTTTCACCTGTATAAGGAGGCAAGTTTCTTCTTCCAAATGAGGAAGATACTGCCAGATGCATTCTTCTTTATCCTGTCTTATGCCTGAGATATCTATGAACTTTATCCCCTGGGACACTTTATTCTCTGGTGTCTAGTTGATTTTGACAATAGGAACACAACAGGAGATCATAAGCAAAGAGAAAAAAAGATCTAGATACTGATTTTACCACCTCCTCCTGGGCTCCCTCTTTACCTGCCTCACTGTGGTTCTAACTACAACTGCTATCTATGTTATCTCCTAGTGGTTATTTTATCTCTGCTGACACCAAACTTTCTCTATATTTTGATAAGACGATTTCTCCCCTTGACCGTTCAGGGTTTGTGATGGCTTAGAGTTTCCCATACTTTGTAGTCTCTGGGCATTTCACCATCCTTAGCTGATTTCTTTAACCCTTACCACAATGCTATATAAATAGTTCCTCCACAATAGAATGCATTGGATATGTTCTTTCCCATCACTATGCTGGCTGACAATTACTACCTACCAGATACCAAGAAGGCAAAAAACTCTCCATGTACCCCTCAACAAGACGTTAAGCTCACGATACCACGGTTTCTTACCTGAATATGGGGATATTAATTACCTCATAAGCATGTATTGAGGATAAAAAATCAGAAGTACTTACAAATAGTATCTGGCTTTCTGATAAATTACTATTATTATTCTCCTTATTACCATAATTAATGTTATCATCAGCTTTATTATTATTATTATCGGTGATTAGTGTTATTGGTTAGAATTTTTCATCACCATTTCTGAGAAAAATAATCCTCTAGATTGACATTGTTACCAGGCATTTTTGTAAGAGGTTAATTTTACCAGTGTGCAGTAAGTCAATATACTGAGACACCAGGGATTACAGCAGAGAATGAGTTTAATAATCACAGGGCAGCCGGATGAGGAAACTAGAGGAAACCTCAAATTCGCCTCCTTGAGGAGTTTGAGGATAGAAATTTTAAGGAGTTTGGAGAGGGCCAAAATGTGGGGACCATTGATTAGTGGAAGAGTGCAGGGGAAGTCTGGGACTGGGACAAGAAGAAACTGCATTTTCATGCCGAATCCATTTCTCTGTGGGGGTCTTCCAACTAGTCGGCATCAATTATTCTGCTAGAATTCAGGATGTGAGGAACATCTTAAGCAATTCTTTTAAAAAAGCTTAATGATTCTAACATCAGTGATCCTATGTATAGGAACAGTGGAGGTGAAAATGGTCAGTATCTAGTGCTACTTGACTTTTGGTTACAAAGAAGTAAACCAAAGTACAGCCTAATGTTTAATTTTCTCTATATTTCTGCTCAGAATCCAGCATGTATTTATTGTTAACCATTTGAAGGTGTTTTTTTTTTTTCAAAGAAGTTCTGATATTTTAAAGAACTTTCAATATCATCTACTGTCCAAAGGAAAAAAACTGGAAAAAAATATCAACACTTGAATGTAAAAACAAAATGCTAACTAAAGCAGAATAATCTCAGAGTCTATTCTGCCCAGGAAAATGAGTATACAAGCTATGGTCCATTAGGGTGGAACTGTGATAAAAACAAGAAAAAAAAAAAACCCTCGAATGATCTTACATAGACTGCCTTTATGGACCTCATAACTATCCTCTCCAACTCACTGAGTATGTTGAAAACTATCTCTGAGCTAACAGGGGAGCACATTGTCTTTTGTATATTTTCTTTCTCCAACCACACCCCAGGAGAGACACAGAGGTGGCGCCTACCAGGAGCTCATAAAAAGATCTTTAAAAGAAATCATTAAAGTTATAATTGATGTAGAAGTAATTGCATATATAAAAGTATAGTATTTAATAAGAATTGAGATATGTATACACTTATGAAACCATTGCCACAATCAAGATAATGAGCATATCCATTATCCCCCAATTCTCTCATACCCATTTATAGTCTGTCTCTCCCTCTCCTCCCTTCTCCCGACCTCCATCCTCAGGCAAACACTGATCTGCTTTTTACTGCTATAGATAACGTTGAATTTTATATAATTTATATAAATTGAATGATACAGTGTATTCTCTTTTCTGGTCTGGTCTCTTTCACTCTGCATTATTCTTTTTAAAATCATCAGTGTTGCTGCACATAAGTTCACTTCCTTTTTTATTGTTGAGTAACATTTTGTTTTTACATTCAAGTGTTGGTGTTTCTTTCTAGTTGGAGGCTATTACAAATACAGCATTCTGAACATTCTTGTCTAAGTTTTTGTATGACCATAAACATTCATTTACCTTTACAAAATACCTAGGACTAGAATGGCTGGATGATATGGTAAGTGTATGATAATTTTAAGAAATTGCCATACTTGCTTTCCAAAGTGGTTGTACCAATTTTCATTCCCATGAGCAGTGTATGTGAATTCTAATTTCTCCATATTCTTGCAACATATGGAATGGTCAGTCTTTTTAATTTTAGTTATTCTAAGAGGTACATAGGGGTATCGTCTAGTAGTTTTAATTTTCAGTGATGTCAAATATCACCATCTATATGTCTTCTATGGAAAAATGTCTGTTCAAATCCTTTCAGGACTTTTATATATTTCATTGGAACTTTTGTATTCACATATCTTAGATATCAATCATTTATTATATAAATTAATATTTTCTTCCAGTCTGGGGCTTATCTCTTTTCTTCCCAGTATCTTTCAAAGAAAATATTTTTTTAAAATTACAAACTTCTGTTTATCCTTTTTTTCCCCCAATGGATCATGCTTTAGGTGGGATAACAAAGAAATCTTTGCTTAACTAAAGGTCATAAAGATTTTGTCCTAAGTTTGCTTCTAGACATTGTAGTTTTAAGTTCTACATTGAGATCAATGATCTATTTTTAATTAAAATTTTTTATCTCTTTGGGGGTATGAATCAAACTTCATTTTGCTTTGCATATGGATATCCAATTGTTCCAGATTGTCTTATAAAAAGATTTTTTTCTCTATGAATGTCCTTTGCATTTTTACTGAAAATCAGTTATATATACATATATGCACATATATAGTATACATATATATATATATATACACACACACACACACATATGCTGGACTATTTCTGAACTCCATATTCTACTCCATTGATCTATTTTTCTATCATTACAAAAATACCATGCTCCCTTGATTACCAGAGTTTTGAATAAATTTTGAAGTCAGGTAGTGTTAATTCTCAAGCACTCTTCCTTTTCAAAAATATTTTTTGCCTAATTTTCTAGGTCCTTTGCATTTCCATATGAGCTTCTGAATCAGCTTGTTAACTTCAATTGACAATCCCACTGATAGTTTTATTGGGATTGGTTTGAATCAATAGAGCAGTTTAGAGATAATTGATACCTTAATATTATTGAGTCTTCTGACTCAAAAAGATGGTGTATATCTCCATTTATTTAGGCTTACTTTAATTTCGTCAGCAATTTCTTCTTCAATTTACTTCAACAAATATATACATATACGTTTAATTTTTAATATACAGATCTCACATATCTTTTGTAAGATTTATCCCTAAGTACTGTGTTCTTTGATGCTATTGTAAATAATGCTATACATTTTAATCTCTCATTGTTTATTGCTACTATGTAGAATTATAACTCACCTACGTATGCCATCCTTGTATTCTCTTACTTTGCTAAACTCACATATTAGTTCTATTAGCTTTATTTTATATGCAGTGTAATTTGTATAGATAATATCTATTTACTTCTTCCTTTCCAATTTGGGTATGTTTTCTTTGTGTTGCTTTATGTCAATTGGTAAAGACTTCAGCAAAAAAAAGAAAAAAAAATTAGGTGACTAGAAGACAGATATACTTGCATTATTTCTCATCTTAAAAGTATACAGTTTGCCACCATTAAGTATAACGTTAGAAGCCAGTTTTTTATATAAATTATTGGTCAAAAGTACTTTATATACTTTATTTGTCAAGAGTATCTAATAGAAATGAACATGGGCTTTTGACAATTTTTTTCTATATAAACTAAGATAATCATAATTTTTTCTCTTTTAGTATGTTAATATGAGTGAATTGTGATACACTGGTTTTTACACATTAAACCAACCTTGCATGACTGGGACAAACTGTACTTGGTCATGATTCATCATCTTTTTGTATTGCTGGATTTTGTGTGCTAATATCAAGGATTTTAATGTACATGTACATGAAGACTACTGGTCTGTAATTTTCTTTTCTTGTAACATATTTACCTTGCAGTGTAATGTTGACCTCATAAAACGAGTTGGAGAGTACTCCTTTCTCTTTCATCTTCAGGAAGAGACTCTGTAGAATTGCCATTATTTCTTCCTGACATGTTTGTTGGAATTCACTAGGAAAGTCATCTGGATTGGCAGTTTTATTTTTTGGAAGGTTTGTAACTACTAATTCGATTTATAAAATAGAATTTTAAGACTATTATGTTATCTAATTCCTCTTGAGTGAGTTGTTGTGGATAATCTCTTTTAAAAAGTTTTTTTGGCCGGGCATGGTGGCTCACGCCTGTAATCCCAGCACTTTGGGAGGCTGAGGCGGGCGGATCATGAGGTCAGGAGATCGAGACCATACTGGCTAACACGGTGAAACCCCGTGTCTACTGAAAATACAAAAAAATTAGCTGGGCGTGGTGGCGGGCACCTGTAGTCCCAGCTACTCAGGAGACTGAGGCAGGAGAATGGCGTGAACCCAGGAGGCAGAGCTTGCAGTGAGCCAAGATCGCGCCACTGCACTCCAGTCTGGGCGACAGAGAGAGACTCCCTCTCAAAAAAAAAAAAAAGTTTTTTTTCCATTTAATTGCCAGGTTAGATTTGCTCATAGTAGTTATTTAATATCTTATTAATATCTTGGTTAATATCTCTGGAGAGCAGTGATGCCTGTACTGATAATTTGTGTCTTTTTGTCTTTTCCCCCCTCTTTTCAGCCTGAACAGAGGTTCATCAATTCTTAACATTTTCTAAGAATTTGCTTTTGGTTGTATTGATTTTATTGTTTTTTCTGTTTAAATGTTATTGATTTTTGCTCTGACGTTATTATTTCCAAGCTTCTGATTGCTGTGTGTTTAATTTGCTCTACTTTCGCTAATCTCTTAAAGTGGAAGTTTAGGTTACTGATTTTAGATCTTTCTTCTTTTCTAATACAAGCAATTCATGCTATACTTTTTCCCTAAGTACTGCTTTAGCTGAATCCCACAAATTTTGATGTTGTGGTTAAAATTTCATTTAGTTCAAAATATTTTTTAAAAATTTTCTCTTGAGAATTTCTCTTCATCTACAAGTTATTTAGAAGTGTGTTGTTTGTTTTCCAAATTTTTGGAGGTTTTACAAATTTCCTTCTGATGTTGACTTCTAGATTATTTTTATTATGGTTTAAACACATGCCTTGTATCATTTCTATTTTTTCAAGTTTCTTATGGTATGTTTTATGATCCAGAGCATGCTCTCTCTTGTTAAATGTTCCATGTGCACTTGAAAAGAATGTGGATTCTGCTTGTGTGAAGTATGCTACAAACATTAATTAGATCAAGTTGGTAGCTAGTGTTGTTTATGTCATCTGTAACCTGACTGATTTTCTGCTTACTTGTTCTGTCATTTACCGAGAGATGAGTATTGAAGGCTCCAACCTTAATTGCAAATTTTCTTCTTACAGATTTAACAGTTTTTGCTTCATGCATTTTAAAGCTAAATGTGGATACACATTTAAAATATTCATGTCTTCGTGGGGAATTTACCCTTTATCAATATGTAATGTCTCTCTTTTCACTAATGTTTTCATTATATATCTATTTCCATCCTTTATTTTTATCCTATATATGTCTTTATTTTAAGTGGTTTTCTTGTAGAAGCATATAGCTAAGTTGTCCTTTTAAATTTAATCTGTCAATATGTTTTTTAACTGGGGGTTAGACCATTTACATTTTAAGTAGTTATTGATATTGCTAGATTAAAATATACCATCTTGCTAGGTATAGGTGTTTCTTTTTTCTTCTTTTTCCTTTTTTCTTTTTTTGTTTTCTCTGAGATTAACTGAGCTTTTTAAAGATTCTCTATTGACATAAATATTTTTAGAAATTCTTTTTTAGTTGTCCAAGAGTTAGCAGTATAGATTTTAAAATAAACTGAATCTATTTCAAATAATATAATATGGCTTCACTTGTAGTAAAAGGACCTTAAAACTATTTCTAATTCTTCCTCCATCCTCCTGTTATTACTATCACATATTTTACTATTATATATGCTATAGACATTCAATACTTCGTGCCACTGCACTCCAGCCTGGGTGACAAAGTGAAACCTTGTTGAGAGAGAGAGATATTTATTTATTTATTTATTTTTTTAGAGGGAGTCTCGCTCTGTTGCCAGGCTGGAGTTCAGTGGCACGATCTCTGCTCACTTCAACCTCTGCCTCCCGGGTTCAAGCAGTTCTGCCTCAGCCTCCCAAGTAGCTGGGACTACAGACACGTGCCATCACAGCCAGCTAATTTTTGTATTTTTAGTAGAGATGGGGTTTCACCATGTTGGCCAGGATGATCTCGATCTCTTGACCTCGTGATCCGCCTGCCTCGGCCTCCCAAATTGCTGAGATTACAGGCATGAGCCACCACGCCTGGCCAAGAGGATATTTTAATGAACAAAAATGTAGGGAATGAATTGTTAGCAGACTTAATCTATAAGAAATGTTAAAGGGAGTGTGTGATAGGCAAAAGGAAATAATATAGGTCAGAAATTGGATCTCTGTAAAGAGATAAGAAGTATCAGAAATGAATTAAATGAAGGTAAAATAAAATCAGTTTTTCCTTATTTTTATTACTCCAAAGATAAAGGACAAATTAAGGCAAAAATTACCAACAAAGTATTGAATGCTTATCATGGCTTATTGCAGCCTCAACCTCTCAGGCTCAAGCGATCCTCCCACCTCAGCCTCTCAAGTAGCTGGGACCAGAAGCACACATCACCACACAGGGCTTTTTATTTCTTTGTAGCTATGGGATCTCACTATGTTGCCCAGGCTAGTCTTGAAGTCATGGGCTTATGACATCCTCCTGCCTCGGCCTCCCTCAGTGCTGAGCCTACAGGAGTGAGCCATTATTCCTGGCCTTCTTTCTCTTTTGAAGAATTGTTGCACTGAATGGAGAATTCTGAGTTCCTAGTTTTGTGTGTGTTTGTTTTTCTTTGCTTTCTTCACTATATTTTAATGCTGTGCCTAGCATGCATTTTTCTCTTCCCTGGGGTAGATCTCTTTTTCTTACTCTGCTTTCCCAATTACTGCGGGTTTTTCTCAGGCTTCAGCTTTTGTTGCTCTTTCCCCCCTTCTGTTTAAGGCTGCCTCCCAGGGAAGATGATTCTCATTGTATTTTCAATGTAGTTGCTTTTCCCGCTTTCACCTACACTCTCAAGCAGTTTTTTTGATCCTTCCACTGAAGATTAAGGCACTTGGCTACTCAGAAGAACTGGACGAGGTGGTGTTTTGGTAGTTGCTGTTCCCCTCCACCATCATGTGCCAAAAGGGAAGCTCTTTCTGGATTCTCCCCATGCTCCCTATAAATGACAGGTGGGATTCCTAGAGGAGAGTGAAAACCCTACTATGTGTTCGTTCTCAGGAATTTTACACTCTTAGCTCACCTATATGCAACCTTTAACAATTCTTTAACATTTTCTAGTTGAATCTTTTTTCCAATTTATATTAGGCATTTGGTGACTTCCATTCCAAGTAAGCAAATGCTTGTGTCCTATTTCTTCATGCAGGTTCCTGTCTCTCCCCATGATTTGGGACAGTTGGGTGACCTGTGAACTCACATTTGACAGCTTTAGGAAAAGCCATTCATTTGTGATTTGTCCACCTCTCTACTTTTTCTGTATTTGGGAGTGATGTTCTTTCCCATTCTCTACATCTCTAACCTGAAACTGAAGTGCCCAAGTTTCATTATGTATTATTATTAGGTATATAAAAATATATATGCAAATTTTGTATGAGTTAAGTATTAAATATAAACATGTATGTGCCTACCACTTAATGTAAGGACAAAAATGATATAATCCTTACATCTAGAGAGGAGATGGGACAGGTATGAAACACACAAGTAAATGAAATCCATTTTTCTCTGGGAAGCATTAATAGTATTTATAGTTGGCATCTTTGGAAGGCCTGAATTCAAACATGTTGCTTGAAATAACATATAAACTGGACATATTCAAATTATAGCTGTAGCTAGTGCTTAAACTCCTTCATTTTGTGCCAAAAGACCTAAGATTTAAGAACTAAATCCCATTTTAACTTCACCATCCCAATTGACAGCCAGAGAGCTGGGAATAGCAGCAAATCTTGAGTGCTACCAAGAATGCTTGTAATACTTTAGTAGTTTACTTCTTTCTGAAGAGAATTAGTGTCTTTGGTAACTATGTTTCTCCCTGTACTATGTCATCATGTGAAATTATATCCTGGGCACATTGTACAATTGGAAAAGCATGCAAGGTCCTGTTTTAATCCTTTTTCGTTTCCCTCTTCATCTTGATTTTTGATTGATATAATTTTCTCTGGTCTGTGAATAAATAATTCCCAAATTTATAATCTTATTGATTAATAAGTCATTTTACCATGATTAGGAAAGCAGTATCTACTTTCAAGGAAAAAAAATGAGCCTTCTATTGCCTTTCAATATCTTTGGAAAAGTAACATGGCTCTTCTCTTAGCTCCTTTCCCATTATATTAGTACATTTTATTTCCTCTAATAGGCTGCAGAAACCAGTAATATGATAGGAAGTCATTAATACAATATAATCATAGCAGAAGATCAAGCTCATCTTTTTCTCTTTGCATTGTCAAGTGTTTCAATATTTTATTTTATAATGTGATGACCAGAACTGATCATGGTAATCTAAGTGTGGATCTGACTAATGCATTGTATAATCAAAGATTTTCTTTTAGATGATGATTCGTTTACATTCCCTAGCTTGTCTCATATCACAATCAGGCCCACTGGAATAGCCATGCTAGTGTATAATCTCAAAAGGAAATCAGGGAATGGGGTGACTGCAGGAGAGTGACAACAATGAGAAACAGAAAAATGTGAACCCCAGCTCCATTTCACAGATTAGCAGTACACTGTGGCTCAGTATCTGTGTATGTAAAAGCTCCAGTGGGTGCCGCAAACTGAAATGCCTACAGGGTTGGGAAAGATCATGGAAATGATCAAGTAACAGAGGGATAGGATTTGGGAGAGGTCCTGGCAACTGGCAAATGACTCTGTCTGGAAGGGTGGTGGTCCCACAGCTCCAGCTCCTTGCTGCCCAGCCTTCCTAGAAAATGCAATTTCTCAACAGAGGCTCCAAGTACAGATTTTCATAAGGAATCTTCTATCTTTTAAATACAGAAACTATTTAAAAGCCTTGTAAAACTAGTGGCTATAGAACAAAGCAGTCTGCAGACAAAACGCCTCTTGTGCACTGCTTATTTGTGCCTATTTTATTAGAAGGTCTCCAAGGATCCTTCTGGTTCTATCATTTTGTATTTAAAGATTGTAGATCAGTATGTTTTTGAAGGGAATCAACTGAATTAATTGTCTAGGCTGAGATCATTTATAGAAGCAGCAGCAGCCTTATCCAAAGGTACTAATTAAGTGTCAAATTCTAGAGAACTATGTTAAGGATACTACAGAAGTTAAAAAGGCATAGTTTTTCCGTATAGGATCACAAACACATTATTCATTGGCTCAACAAATATTTATTGAGTAATGAAAGGTCAATTCGACTGAAATAATTCAATTTACCTTCCATTGTTCTCCAAACTTATGTATATTTTTTCACATCCCTGGTGTTCTCAGACCTTTGCAGGGTGAACCTTATATTTTGTATATTCTTAAATCTATGTTGTTGAGTTTTTTTTTTCTTTGCTTCCTCTGGGACCTTTCTCCATTAATTACTCTCTTAGTCTTTTGGCTGTGAAGTCCTTTAATTTCCTCTTGCTCCTTATTCTCAATGAAAACTATGTTTATGATTTACTGCATAAGAAATAATACCATGACTTACACCACACCTGCCTCCTTTTACCCCCTTCATTCCCCAATACACTTCGAAAAAGAGCATTACAAGACAAGGCTGCTGATCTCACTGTCACTGCCCAGCTTCCCTGAAGACCTTCAAATGACAAGGGGTAGTGGGGAGGGGGAGGTGTGGTGTGGGGTGGTGATGCCTGATTGCAATGGGCCAATATTGTGAGCTCATCTATCATCCCTTACCTCCAATACTTTGTAGGAAAAGAGGTGGAGGGAGGGCATCCTGTATAAAAGCAGTGGAGTCACACTGCCAGGGTTGGAAACCTGACACTGCCATCCTCTAGCTGGGTGACCTTGTGTAAGTCATTCACCTGTTGTGCCTCAATTTTCTGTGAAATAGTACCCATCTGCTAGGACTGCTGTGAAGATGAAATGTGTTAAAATTTGTAAAAGCCTTAGAACATACATGAACCATATAGTAAGCTCGATGTAATACTCTGAGAAATAATAATAGAAGTCTTTACTCTTAAACGAGAAAATTGAGGTATACAGTGATTCAGAATCTTGCCAGAGCCCAGGCAGATAATGAGTGACAGAGCTGAGAATTAAACCCTGGCTATCTTGCTGCAAAGCCCAGGCCTTCAACTGCCATGTTCCTCACCTTCTCAATCAGGTTATGTTGACCAAAACCAAGAAAAATGCAACAATGCAATAAATAAAGGTCATATACGTGGCATTTTACACATCTCAAATTAGTAATAACAGGCACTGTATTATTAATTTTCATTCTCCATCTCTTGCTCCACAGAAACTATTCATGATTTCCCTCCCTAGCAGTTTCAATAAGATGCTTGCAAATTTGTTTTGCTTTGTTGCAGATAATATGCTTACTAAGAGGCATTGTTTTCTTTATGGGGCCAGTTCTCCTTCTAAATGTTCAATGCCTTTCTGATTTTATGACTCAGAGTGGTTGATTGTTGACTCTTAACTCTCCCCTCCCACTCTCCAGGTCCTGCCTCCTGCCTTCCAGATTCACTGTAATTATTTACAGAAAGAATAACCTGGATCCTTGACATAGAAAATGCTTTAAGTAACCTGTACTTAACTTACTTATGGTCCTCTCCCACTCTCCTAAATGCTCATTTTATGCAATCTTGTAATTTTTGCACAATAATGCGCTTTCTTTCAGTATCCCACAATAGCCAGGGTGTAGGCAGATGGTTGATTGATCCAAGATTTGGAATTTGCAGAAGAAAGAGGAAATGCTTGAGGCTCTGGCAATAAATTGGTTAAAGTTACTCATCATTAGTTCTGGGCTCAGCAGGCAAGGAAATGAAAAATGAAACCATGAGGTATACGGGAAATGGGGGACGAGAGACTGTTGAGTTTATTCAGGTGAAATGCTTTAAAGTGAAAAAGGGAAAGTTGGGGGTTGTAAGAAGGACTTGGCACATTGGGCTGTAAGATCTCGGACACCAGGCTCTTAAGGGTGCTTCAGAGTGTAGCTGTGGGAGTACATTTGTGAAGTGGTCCCTCTCAATCTTCACTCTCACACCCATGGGGCATTTCCACCCCAGAGCTGCAGGAACAAGGTCTTGTCACAAATTAGCTCTAGTGAGTCTTTCAGGTTTTGCCTTTTTCTCTCTTTTCACTGGAATCTTTATTTTTGTTTAGCTATTTCTTTTAGGATATGAGCATTCTTTGTTACTTTATCATGTTGTGTCTTTGAAACTGCATGTATCATTGATCTTTTTGATCGAATTTATTCTCAAAATTCTTATTCTCAATATCCCAGTGCTATTCACCACCCATGGCCCACACTTGCTTGTCTAAAAGAGATTAGGGAGACATGTATGGAAGAGGAAGAACTCTGGGGTTTATGGGAAAAAGGACCTATGAAAGCAAAGGTCTCTCCACTGGATATACCAAGTGGATATTTTAGTGATTAATTATGATGTGTTATGGAAGAAGAATGGAACCAGGTTCCAAAGTCTTCGCTGAATGTGGATGAATGCATGGGCATTCTTTAGAAAACATTAAAGCTTGTACATATGGTGGCTAAAACCTCAAAGAAGGATTTTTGTGTTGATTTTTTTTTTTTTTTTGCATAAAAGTGAAAGAATACTGGTCTGGACATGGCAATGGGGCACTTACAGGGCTTGTGATCTGGAGAAAATGGCAGCTTCTACTTGAGGTTTGACAAATCCACATCAGCATTTCCCAAACCTCCTGGGTCACAAGTATCACCTTGAGGCACTTGTTAGATATATGATGCTGTTTATATATACAGATGACTAAGCTCTGCCCTGGACAAAGAAGTCAACCTCCTGGAATGTTTGGAAAATATTGTATTTGAGACAATCTTTTCACAACTAAGAAGAGCATGAAGAGGCACTGTTTTGTGACAATGCTGAAAATATAAACATGTTTGCTCACAAAGCAAGGACATTCCAAGAGGGTGAGGTGGAAAAAGTGGAAAGGAAGAACCAGGTTGAAAGCTGCATAGAGAAGTCTGGCAATGGCAATAATATGAGGGGAGTTGAAATGTAGCTGAGTAATGTGCAGAAAAATTAGTTTGACTTTTCTTGGGACAGCAAGCTGGCACTGGCTGAGGTTCCTTGAGACATAAGAGTTTCCATAAGGTTAAAAGATTCAAGTGTTTGCTCAATAGTTGAATAGAGTTTTGCAAAAATATTTTTTTCTGATGTCTATGAGGAGAGCTCTTCTTTCAAGGAAAGGTCAACTTGCTTTCTGGTTGCTTACCTTGGGATAAAATCCCAGCATCTGGCACACGTGAAAAGCTTCAAAAGTTCTCATGGTGAAAGAGGAAAGACCTGCAGCAGTCATGGAAATCTACCTGTGAATCAAGCTCTTTTTATAAATTGCTAAGAAGGCAGTTGGTCCTTAGATTCTTACCACTTAGTGGAGACCCAGCTGTCCACATAGGAAGGCTCAACTTTTATGTGGAGGAACTGGAGCACCTGAGGTGCCTTAGGTATAAAGAGCCCCATGTAAGCTGTTTCTGGTGGTTGAAAGGCAGTCACGGTATGCGCAGGTGTTTAACTCCCAGCCACCTGTGCTGGCTAGAAGCCATCAAGGCATCAGACCACAAGTATGTGGACAATATTTTTGGTCTTCCAACACCACACTGCACCTTGAGTGCTAAAACACCATAAATTTTTCTGCTCCCATTTTCAATGGTATGTAATCCAAGTTTTGCTTTTTTTTTTTTTTTTTTTTTTTTTGGTGAATAAGCATTCAAGCTTTCATTGAGCTGACCCCAGAGAAACTCTCCAACTTTCTCATTTTTTGCTATTTCTCTACATCTATCTTCTCTTTACCCATGCAGCCACCTCAGACTCTAATCCGTCTAGGTATTTTTATACAGTTTCAGAGCTCCTTGTTTGGGGTGCTGGTAAACTTTCACCACCCCATTTCTATTGAAATTCTGCTCATCCTTTGAGGACACATTTACATGTAGCATTCTTCTTCAACTTTCTTCTATACTCTGAGTTGGAATTAATTACTATTGGAGTTTCATAGCACTTTGTACCACTATCTAGACAACTTACTATAATCATTAACAATCAGTCCTGCCTTATGTTCCTTGTTCTCTTATTAGATTATAAACCCTTTGAAGGAAAGGTTGTGTTTTAGCACTATTATCCTCTACAGAACCCATTTTATCACCTTGAATACAGTGTACACTTGTCCAAATATTGGCTGATTGAATAACCATTTCCAGCGACTAAAATAGGCCTTATAAGCAGACAAAGAAACACTGCACACAAATCAAGTAGCAATTTATCAGCAGTCCCCCCAGTGGCTTAAATGAGTAAATGACATTTTCCAAACCACCAGAATTTCCTCATTTCCTATTGTTTAAGGAGAATCTTGAATAATAGAGGCATATATATTTCTGTGTAGTCTGCATTCTGTACAAATCATGCAATTTGGGGTGATTTAGAGACAGTTCCTCCTTCTTTTCAGAATGACATTAGGAGATATTGTTCCAGGTTCTGTAATGTGTTACAGGATGGCAGGAAATGTTTGAGACCTGGGACCACCAAGCACACATGCTGATGCATACATTGTGACCTCATGGAATATGAACAGACTGGAGTGAGGAAGCCTTCATTAACTCTGTCTCTGGACAAGCAGCTTCAGTCCTCTGGAATTCTGTCTTCTCCTATGTAAAATGTGGATTAAAATGTCTTTTCTGAATTTAAATAAATACATTGGGTGCTTCTTATTCATCATTTCAGAATCTCTCACCCTCATCTATCTCCTTTTTCAGCTGCTGCTGCAATGATCAGTTCTGCTAGCTCTATGAAACTTCCTGCCAGTACCACCTGAGCAACTGATTTCGTTTCTTGCCTCCCACCAAGGAGTGTCTCTGTTGGCACCATGTGGGAAGCCATAGGAACCCACTCAGCTTGCAGTCTAGGCATGCATATTCCAAAAGACCAAGGCAGTTAACAACTCATGAGGTGAACTATGACCATTGAAAGACAGAAACAAGTAGAAAGTTCTTTCTCCTCTTTGGCCCCAGAGAAATGGTCCTGAAATACATCTTCATAAAATAGAGCAACCAGTTACCTACAGCAGTGGCCAGCTGGTAATGTTTCCCTTTATTTGACTTTCTTTCCATGTCGTCTATTCCTCATGATTCCTTACTTCTGTTCTCTGGACTCACACTCAGCAAGCAGCATAATCACCTAGAAGCCTTTGTCCAGAGTCTGCTTTTCTGGGAACCTATGCTGTGACATCACACTTTTGCTACAATGTGGGCAGGAATGCACAAAAATAAATAAATAAATAAATAAAATTTTAAAATCCGTGATTAAAAAACATAAGGAGATAGTGAATTGGCTTTTCTCTAGGAAGGTAAATATGAAGAAAGTAAGTATGTGGTCGTAAGAGGATTTAAAAATTATACTAGATTTTATTTGATATGGAATCTTTTTGCCAAACCTGCCAATGATTTGAAAGACTTTTCTATGTAATCGCCATGGTCCTGTATTCCCTTGGGTGCTGGCCTGGTCTTAGCGAGTAAAACTGCATAGAAATCACAAGGGGGATTAAAATCACAACAGCCAAATTAACCCAAGCTGACCATATTGCTCTGTGCCCTAGGAAAGGTGCTGGAAGCTGGGAAACACTGATGGAAAATAACCAAGAAGCTAAGGAGAGAGATGTTATTTTTGAACTTTTAAAGAGAACATTATAAATAGCAGAGAAAATGGAAAAGCAGAAATTAAAAACAATAAAAACAAAAGCAAGTTGACAGCAGCTCTTTTAATATGACAATTTTGGTGCTTCTAAGGCCCAGGCTTAGGAACATAATAGCAGAGTCCCAGTGAAATGGCCAAGGACCATGGGGTTTGAGCACTTAGTCACAATGGCATTTTAGGTTAAACAATCATTGACTCAGCAGTGAAAAATGAGATAAATTAAAATTATTTTCTTCACAACGGCCGAGGGGCTTGGCAAGTAATATATTGAAGAAATTTCCTGGACATAATAGGTTACATTAATTTTCAACTGCAGAACAATTCCTTCAGCAGTATTTTTCAAGGAGAGAGAAAAGAAGGGGGGAGAAAACCACCCTGTTACTTGTGCTATTTACTTCTGGCCTAAATGAGAAAACATGTTTCAAAGGGAAGATTAAGAAAGGCGTATCAAGACACAGAGCAAATCCTGACTGTAAAGAATTCAAGCTAATTTGTTACCCATTTGCCTGTTCGAATGTGGTCAGTATTAATCCAAGAAAAATAGAAGCATAAGTTATGAAAATCGTTACATTGGGAAGCGGAATGTTAAGCCCTCTAATAGCTAAAACCACCTTTGTGTGGAATATGGAATTAAAATGGGTGCAAATTTTCTCATCTAAATGTGCTACCATTTATTCTTGAAGTGCTCAATGCCTGTGATGGGGGGCTCTTTGTCCCTGATCCTGAGCAAATGGGGTGAACACATCAGGTTCCAAACCTTGTGAATTTCAAAAGCTGCTTGGGGAGCCAGGCAAATGGAATTGTGTAGAGTGGTAAGAAGAGGATAGTGTCACCAACCACTACCAAATAGGAACAAAAGCCCGTATTACTTTTTCTATAAAGGGCATAAATATTTTAGGCCTTGTGGTCATATATTCTCTGTCATAGCTATTCAACTCACCATTGCAACCTGAAATCAGGCATAGACAATATGCAAATGAATGAACATGGTGATGTTTCAATAAAACTTTATTTATAGACACTAAAATCTGAATTTCATAAAATTTTTATGTGTCACGAAATATTTTTCTTTTCATCTTATTTCACTTTGTACTTTATTTTCAGCCATTTAAAAATGTAAGAACCATTCTGAGCTCTCAAGCTGTACAAAGCCAGCCAGCAGGCTGGATGTGGCCTGTGGGTCATTGTCATTCGTTTTTTACAGTAATCATAAAGTAATACAACAGCAATGTTATTAAAATGTATGTTGGAACTTCACTTGTTTGTCAGTGTGATGTGTGTGACTTCTTTGGTCTATTGGATAATTGTTTTCAAATATGGAAGTATGTTTTCTTAAT
This sequence comes from Homo sapiens, assembly GCF_000001405.40. NCBI lineage: Eukaryota > Metazoa > Chordata > Mammalia > Primates > Hominidae > Homo > Homo sapiens. The sequence goes on along the minus strand of NC_000018.10, from coordinate 38,364,918 downwards.
TTCATTGTATTATTCACAATGTAATGGCTACTGACAAAGTAAACTTTTAAGTTTAATCTATATTATTAACACTCTCTTCATAACTTTCCTATGTCATGACAATGAACAGAGTAGCTCAAACTGTGATTAGTGGCATTTGCCAATTTCCGCAGTGTAAAAACTCCAATTTCAAGCTCTTAGCATGACATTGCTTGCTTATGTTATGTGAATGAGTCTCTCACAAGCATATTGCAAGAGCAAGAATTTCCATCTTTGTTATCTCTGCTTCCATTCCGTGTCTCATATAAAAATAAGTACAAACTAAATGCTCAATAAAGATACATTGATGGAGGAATATATCCACTTGGTAATTTGTTTTATCTCTCACATCAAATCATTTTATGTGATGGACACAGATCTGTGACAACCAGATAGTCATCACCTTCTAGTCCCAGGTTTGGTTACAGACCTTAGCTCTATGACTAGCCTCCAACTAATACAGGAGATAACATGACCTCAGTTGCTCCCAACTTCCTTCCTATTTCTCTATTTCTCTGCTCTCCCTCTGCCCCTTCTCTCTTTCTTTTTTTTTTTTTAGATGGGGTCTTGCTCTGTCACCCAGACTGGAGGGCAGTGGCGTGATCTTGGCTCACTGCAACCTCTACCTCTAGGGTTCAAGTGATTCTCCTGCCTCAGCATCCTGAGTAGCTGGAATTACAGCTGCGTGCCACCATGCCCAGCTAATTTTTTTTGTATTTTTAGTAGAGACGAGGTTTCACCTTGTTGATCAGCCTGGTCTTGAACTCCTGACCTTGTCATCTGCCCGCCTCGGCCTCCCAAAGTGCTAGGATTCCAGGCCTGAGCCACTGCACTCGGCCTGCCTCTTCTCTTTGTTGGTTCTCTCTTTCCCTCTTTTGCTCTGATTCCTAGTACCCTCTTCTGGCTTTTATAGTATTCAAACCTTCCCAATATAACTAAATACCTATTATGGTGTTTATTTGGAGAGAGAGATAAGCTTGATTTACAAACAGAAAGCAAACTTTGAACTAAAGTATAGGTCTCCATTGGCTAAAATTTAGGAATTTAATGCATCAATTTGTCTTAGTTAACTCAAGCTGCCATAACAAAATACCATAGACTGGTTGGCTTATAAACAACAGAAATTTATTTATCAGAGTTCCGGAGGCTGGAAGTCCAAGATCAAGGCACCAATAGATTCAATATTGGTGAAGACCACTTTCTGTTCGTAGGTGGTGTCTTCTTGTTGTGTTTTCAAATGGTGGAAGGGACTAGCTAGCTTTCTGCAGTTTCTTTATGGGAACAAATCCCATTCATGAAGGTTCTGCCATTATGATCTAATCACCTCCCACAAGCCCCTACCTCCTAATACTGTTACCTTGGGGATTAGGATTTCAACTTAGGAGTTTTGGGATGACACAAACATTCAGATCCCAGTAGGAAGCTATAGGTATATATATCTCTGTGTATGTTTGTATTTTTACATGAAAAATGCTAAACAAATTTTACTACCCAAATTTATTCATATTCTTACAACCTTTAGAATTGTCTGAAATTTAAAAATTTCCTGTAGCCTATATAATTACACCCCACAAAATTAACCATTATTAACAATTTGGGGGGTGTCATTTTTATTTTTTCCACGTTTAAAATTATAAAACTTCTCTCTATCTCGTATATATGTGTGTGTTTGTGTGTGCATGTGTGCATACACATGCTCATATATAATATACATAATGGGTATATATGTATGTTATTGATGTGTATATATGTTATATATATGAATAGGTATATAGATATACAAATACACACATATGCACATCATGAAGTGCCCCTCCCTCCCCGACTCCTTCCTCACTTCCTTATACGCATTAGCCAGTTCATAAGACTTTAGTGTAGTCCCTCTTTTCCTTGGTCCTAGCTCAACTTCCACTCCAAGCCACTCCCTCATGCATACCCTTGAGCTCTTAGTGCCCAGAAGGCTCAGGGCCCATATTTGCACTCTGACACAGAGCTCACATCTGCTTTAGTGGGTACTCTCATTCCCCTGGACTTTATCAGTACCCTCCCACTGTACTCTTCATCTTTTTACATGATGACTCTGTAACTGGCATCCACAGCCACAAAACTATTTAGATTTCCTGGAACCAAACTGCTTTCCAGAACTCCAGTGGCATGAAGCTGATGTGGATATTGATTTCTTGTTTGTTAGTAGCCAGTAATAAGGAGCCCTAGAACAGGCACAGAGTGGTAGAAAGAGTACCTGTTCACATCTGTGAGCTGCAGGGGGCCGCCCTCCACTAGCAGCAGCAGCTGGACCTCCTGCTGCATACTGTGCCCTTTCTGCAGACTACCAGGATCAGGTAGATTGCAGCCACAATACTGGGCTCTGGGGCTTGCAGCCAGAGATCTCCTGCACCAGCTGCCACCCTCTAAATCCATTTTGCCCTTTGTCTGCTGAGGGCCTGATAGCAGTAGGGCCCAGCAGCTTGCAGCCAGTTCAGCAAATGTGACATTCTCTGCTGAGGCAAAATTGCATGTAGTGTCTGTCTGCAAGAAAAAGCACCACCTAAAAGAAGCGTGTCAGATCCCTAGCCAGCCAGACACCCAATTATTTGTCTTTGCATGTTTTTTCTTTCAATTTTTAAGTTCTGACAAAAATGTCTGGTACAAAGCAGGCAGCGGTGTGACTGATCATTTTTTCTTCCTTTGGCTAATTTAGCTTTCAACCCTGTAGGGCAAGACCTGGATGTCCAGTGCCTGGTCCCTGCTCATTGGGTTCCAAATGAACACACCTGACACATTGACAGGTGTTTGTAGAAAAGCTTTGCATTTACCCTATAGCAAATATTTAGTAGCAATATTGCTGTTGTAATAAATGTGTGCAGATACACCTTTTTTACTGTGCTTCCCTTTATTGTGCTTCAAATATACTGTGGGTTTTTCTTCACAAATTGAAGGTTTGTGGCAACTGTATATCAAATTTATCAGCACTATTTTTTTCTAACACCATGTACTCACTTCCAGTCTCTGTGTCACATTTTGATAATTCTTATGATATTTCTACCTTTTCCATTATTATTATATTTGTTATGGTGATCTGTGATCAGTAATGTTTAATGTTACTGTTGTTATTATTTGGGGGATGCCATGAACCATCCCCATATGAAATGGGGACCTAGTAAGTGTTATGTGTGTTCTGGCTGCTACAGTGACCAGCCGTTCCCCCATCTTTCTTTCTCTCCTCAGGCCTCCCTATTCTCTGAGTGACAACTGCATTGGAATTAGGCCAATTAAGAACCCTACAATGGCCTCTAAGAGTTCAAGTGAAAGGAAGAGTCACAGGTCTCTTTAAATCAAAAGCTAGGGATGATTAAGCTTCATAAAGAAGGTGTCAAAAGTAGAAATAAGTTGAATGCTAGGCTTCTTGCACCAAACACTTAACCAAGTTGTGACTGCAAATGCAAAGTTCTTAAAGGAAACTAAAAGTACTACTCCAGTGAACACATGATCGATAGCCTTACTGCTGATTTAGAGAAAGTTTTATGGTCTGGATAGATCAAACTAGCCACAACATTCTCTTAAGCCAGTATCGAATCCAGAGCAAGGACCTAATTCTCTTCATTTCATTCCCTGAAGCTGAAATGCTGATTTGGGTACAGGTGGAATAATGAGAAGGCACACATCCATAAGTATCTCAGAAGTGGCATACAATTACACTCGCACCAATTTAGGCATTGCATTTATGTTCTAGGGCCATCCTAAGACAATATAATGGAAAGGACTACAGTCACCATCTTGGTCAATCTCACATGAGAAACACAAGGCCTAGAGTGAATAATAACTTGCATAAGAATATGCAGCTACAGTTGGCCGAGTTTGGATGGAGCTCAGGAATTGCATCTCAATTTTTTGGTTTCTTCTTCTGTATCACTTTGCTCAATGGAGAAGTTGTTTTCCATGTGCTGCAATATACACCTATACAGAGAAGTGCTGTATTTGAAGATTCTGTTCAAGTGGCAAAATGATCAGAATATACTTAGATGCATGAGGGAAGTTCATTTCACTGTTATTGAAAGAGTAAGTAATAAAATAAATCATTGGTTTCTAGTCTGGCACCACAGACTAGAATATTAAGACTAATACTTAAAAGAAGATATCTCCAAACATTTTACTTTTCTTTTCTCCACAGACTTATTTTATTCTTTTAAATTATTGTTCATTAATGAAAAGTCATAAATAAAGGAAAATTTATCAATCTTTCATTAAAAAATTCCAGCCATATGTTTTCTGAAGGTCTAGGATGCTTTTGACTATATTATTTCAGATCCAGTAGCACCCCATATACATATGTATCTATGTGCTCTCTTTGAAACAACTGAAACATCAAAATCTGTAGGCCTTTTATGCACACTGTGTTCTTTGTCCAATGACCTTGAATAACATAAAAGCCAAGATTAGTGAAAACTTTTTTAAAACCTGACTTATCAATAGATCATGATATTGTCTTTGCCTTTTAGCCTTATTTAAGGGTCTAGGTTGCTGAAGCTGGAAGGTCCCTTAGAGTTCACCTAGGCCAACACCCTCATTTTCCAGATGAGGAACTTGCACCTGGGAGAAATTAAGTGAATTACTCAAGGTCACACAGAAAGTCACTTTCTGAGTCGAGCTAACATTCCTGTCTTTTGATATCAGTTCACTTTCCAATATGCCACAGGGTCTCAAAATTAACAAAACAGAGTAGCATTTTACTAATATTCGGCCAATGGATTTTAATTTGCTCCTTAATTTTTATTCACCTCCTACCTCTGGGACTTCACTTCAAGGTTAATCAAACCAGTAAAATGTGGGTGTAGTTTCCCAGAGGGCAAAGAATCTTATAAATCAACTTTCTCTCGAGGGTGACTTTCTTACCTTCTTTTGTAAAAGATAGTCTCGAAAGCAAGGCCTTATGAAAGACTAAAGGATTATCTAAATTCATTTTCTCCTTTAACATATCAAGAAGTAGGTCTGGAGTCCCAGGTCTTAGAGAGCCCTAGGGAGGCTGTGTCAGATGGAGTAAGGGGACTGTCCAGGACAGATTGGCTCCCTGTGCAGTCATACAGAACACAGTCAGTTTTGGGGCTGCTATATGGCTGGGTGCTCATGAAGAGGGGTGATTTAAAATGAATTAGAACAATGGTGGATCCCAAGGGGTACTTAGAGTTCAGAAGTTCTTGAATTATCCAAAGTTCGCTGAGGATTTATGGAACTGGCCAGAGGGGACCACCAGCATCGACAAAGTAGTCTTAGCACTGAGATGCTCAGGGCTGGCTGCCCAAGCCAGAGACTGAGAGGGATTCACAGCCAGGTTGAATAGACCCAAAATGCTGGAAAGACAGGGAGGTCTCGTTCAGGACGGGCAGACTGATGAATGCTTTAGAGCAACAGATCAAGCTCTGAGGACAGATGTGCCCTTTCATCTTGAGTTCTCTGCTTCTACCACGGTTTCTTTATCTCACCTCTCAATCTCCACCCGCTGCCTACTCTCACCTTACCGTTGCTTTGTACTCTTTCAGAATTGCAATGTCCAGAACACCCTCTGACCATGCAGCTCACTTTCTATCTCTGCAGCTCACTTTCAAAGTACTTCCACTGCAACTGTAAACAATACAAAACCAATCTGACACCCTCTTTCCCATGTACCTACCACTTTTTCTCTATCAGGCCCCTCTTAAACTCATTTCCTGTTTTACGTAGCTTGGATTCCAGGCACACAGTGATAGTCACTGCTTACGGATTCACAGCCCCCTTAACCCTTCTTCCTCTGTCTTAATCTCCTGGTCTGTTCCCAACTGCGGTTTAATGCAATGCTCTGCCTCCTGAGTGTCTCTGCCTTGCCTCCCTGGGAACAGTGTGGCTGCAGGAAAATCAATGATGACTGACATCAAGAAGGCCTCAGTGTCACAGGGAAACAACGCTACAGTTCTGCACAGTAGTTCATTCCTCTATTCCCCAGGAGATGATGGCACACCTTTTTCCATCCATCTTCCACATCCCTGCCCTGAACCACTCAGCTCATTACTTTTGTCTTTTGTTGATAAAATAGAAGTAATCCGAAGAGAATTACATTTAACCCTTCAACAGCATGGGTTTGAACTGCATGCATCCATTTTTATAGGGTTTATTTTTCAACCAAACATGGATTAAAAATACAGTACTTGCAGGATGCAAGTATTATAGGGATGAATTTTGGTATAGGCAGGTTCCACAGGGGATTTGGTATATGTGGGCCATCCTGGAACCAATTCCCTGCATATACTAAGGGACAACTGTATTTTGTCTTCCCTCTTACAATTTTACCACCTTCACTTCACCTGTCTCAAAATGTCCCACTATCTTTTCTGGCACAGTGGGTGAACTGGTACCTTAACTACCTGAGAAAATCTATTGTTCTTCTCATACCCTCTTGAATCCTCAAGGACTTTTTGATCCCTTTCCTCCTGCATCTGCTTTCTCCACGCTCTTTTTGCTCAGGAAGATGGAAGATATCACTAAGTTTGCGCATCAATGTCTGTGTCAATTTCTTTGTTCCTCTTTATTGATAAAATCCTTCCAAGGGATTTGTGAAAATTGGCACATTATCTAGCCTCATGGGCCTCACAGTTAAGCAGGGGAAAGGCACAGTTAAGTAAAGACAGAGAAGAGTATGTAATTACAAATTATCGTATTATTGATCGATAGGTAGATAGATAGGGACAGACAAGATAGAGAAGAATTCTAAACTAAGTAAAAATTTTAATTTTTATGTGAAAACAACAGGCACGCTCAGATATGGAATGTATCTGGAAGCATATTACACATACACACTCTTTCTGACACAATTCTACTCTCCTTTCCTCCCACTCCAAAAAATAAAACTGAACAAACACACTTTAGCCACAAGAGATAACCCAATATAGCAAACTTCCTATTGGAGAGGTTATACATGAGGAGACCAGCAATAAGCATTGAAGCCACCTAATCATGGATTTAAATCTAACTATAGTGCAATTCAAACCTTATAACTGTGAAGCAAACATACTGATGTGAAAAAAAAACAATATTGTTACTACAATCATTGGTTGCAGAAATTGCAGTGTACACTAATTTTGAGATGGGGGTTAGAAGGAAGTGAACAATGGGAGAAAGTGTGAGGATGCCAACTAATATATCTTGCCTAAATAAGAGCAACACAGACTTTCATTCTTGATTATGCTAATTTGATAAATAAATGTAAATCCAATTTTTAAAATAAGAGAAGGAATTCTGAGAGATTACAAAAAACTCATACTAATTTTCTATCATGTATTTGAGATAGAGGCATAGTTTAAAAAATTTTAAATAACATTTTACTTTATTTTGATTGAAACAGCAACAAAATAAAAGTATTAATTGGATTAGAAGCTCTTTGAAAACAAACTTTGAAGAAGCATATATAGATAATTTTCTATTGATCTTTGTGTTTTATTTATGTATTTGTGCTTCTCATTTCATGCCTTCAAAAGTAAACATTTAATTTTCACCCATGTTATCTTGTTTGAATGCCTACCCACACCAGGGAGTCACATTCCACAGGTGGTAATGGCATTTGGACTTACGAGGTTCTCAAACTTCAGCAAGGCTTTTTAAAACACAAATTGCTGGGTCCTAGCTGGAGTTTTTGATATTATTCCATGTGATGCTAAGGTTGCTGGTCTGGGGATCACTATTTGAGAACCATTGTTCTAAAAAATAAGAGTCCCAGGTTTCACTTCCCAGATATAGACCAGGTTTGGATTCTGAGCTCTGTAGTTAGTTCCCTCATTCTATGAGCTCAAGAAACATTGGTGGTGGTGTGGTACGGGGAAGGAAAGGCAGTGTGTTACTTTTATTTTATTTGTCTTAGTTCTGCTGCTGTTCCTTACATGAGAAAAAGACGAAAAAGACAGAAATGCATGTAGACTTTGTTTTCTTTCATATCAGAAACAACAAAGCTTTGTTCTTCCATTAGAAAATAATCTTAAGAGTTTTTCTCTGGCCCCGTGGGAAGGAAATTGAGGAGATGTACATTTATTTGTGTATTTCCTGTGTTTAAGTTATACCTCAATGAAAAGAAAATTGTGGCCGGGCGCGTGTGGTTCATGCCTGTAATCCCAGCACTTTGGGAGGCCAAGGTGGGCAGATCACGAGTTCAGGAGATCGAGACCATCCTAGCTAAACGGTGAAACCCTGTCTCTACTAAAAATACAAAAAATTAGCAGGGCGTGGTGGCACGCACCTGTAGTCCCAGCTACTCAGGAGACTGAGGCAGGAGAATCTCTTGAACCTGGGAGGCAGAGGTCGCAGTGAGCCGAGATCGCGCCACTGCACTCCAGCCTGGGTGACAGAGCAAGACTCCACCTCAAAAAGGAAGGAAGGGAGGAAGGGAGGGAGGGAGGGAGAGAGAGAGAGAGAGAGAGAGAGAGAGAGAGAGAGAGAAAGAAAATCGTTAGTGCAGTAAAAGCCTCAGAATGAGAGCCTCATCAACAGGACTATGGAGGGTGCAGGTCCCTCTGGACACATCAGCTTATGGATGTGCAGTTACCTCAGACCCACATGAATTAGCCTCAGGGGAGCAATGGTTGCCCTTGGGTCCATATTGACTCTCCTGCACATCAGCAAGGCATGGATCAACCCTTCAGTCCATGGGACCTTCCCGGGGCACTTTGAATAAAACAGCATGGATCCTCATTTTCTATCCTTTTTGTTTTCTTCACAGTCCTATACACCTCCAGACCCATGGAATATACCTTTGTATATCTATAATTACCTGTCTACCTCACCTTCCTGAAAGTGCCACAGGTATAGGCTGTTTTGTTTATACCACGTCCTCAGCAGAGCTCCTTACATGTAGATGGCACTCAATATATATATTTGTTAAATTAATGAGAGAATGAGGAAGTGAATTAATGAAACCACACATGCCCCATTAGGAACACTAACTAGAAGAAATACACAAAGAGAGATTTTAGAGTAAAGCAAGTTTCAGTTAGTCCAATTTTCTTCGATTCTGGCTGTGCCCACGGGGCTGTGTGAGGTTCTCAGGGAAAAGAGAGATCTAATGAATACTACTAAGTTTCAATCAACTAAAAGATACCCAATCTTTGAGGTATAGAATATACATTGAGTGGCACTGACAATTGGGGAGACGGTACCATTTACAGCTTTGGGTATAGTGCAAGGAGGCAACATCATTCTCTTTCCATTTGGTTGGAGATAAAGAGGCAATGCTATCTCCCCTTCCTATGTCCCCTACAAGCAAATATGTGGCTTTTACTCATTTGTACTGGGCTGTATCTGAGCAGCAACCAGCCAGAGAGGCATGCTTCACAGCACTGGAACGCGTCCCTGGGGCTCCATTTCAGTCAAACTGAGAATTATATACCGGAACACAAATCAAGGCAAGCTAAGCACCCTTCAATGGTCATCTCTGAAGATGCCCCTTGTTTGCTGAGGACGAAATACCATGCAGATGCATCTTCTACTCACTTTAAGTCTGTTCTCTGTTCCTGTCTGCCCCTTGTTCCATTGAGTTAGATGTAGTCTAGTTATGTGGTCCATAACTCTTGGCTTTCCATGAAGGTGTATCTCAAAAATACTCATCTCACTTTTCCTATCCTGAATGGACTAGGCAAAGATACTGGGCTTTATCTTGGGCTTTTTGGGACTGAAACCCTTAGCCTGAGCTAGAATAATAGATTCCCCTAACAAACCTACAACCTCAAAGGGGCTCTCAGACTCTGATGAAAATGGAAAGTTTACCATAAAGTAGCAAAGGGGGATAGCAAAGACATTAAGGAACATGCATATCAAGTATTAAAATCACACCTCTCCTCATCTTGTGTCGCAGTCACAAATTCAATAAAAGAGGAGTTTACTAGGAGCTGAGGCTCTATGGATTTCTTTGACACTAGAGCCATGCATGTTTTTTAGGTATAATTTGCATACAGTGGAATGCTAAAAGGTTAATCAGAGCCATCATTCAAATGAAGTAGTAGAACACCGCCAGCATGCCCAGGAATTTTTTCATGCCCCTTCTCCCTCAACAACTACTCTAAGGTCATCACTGTTCTACTTTCCATCACTATACACTTTTGCTTGTTGCTGAACAGGAAATGAATTAATCATACAATATGCCATCTTTTGTGTCTGATTTTTTTCTCAACATAATAGTTTTGAGATTCATCCATGTGACTATGTGTTTGAGTAGTTCATTTTTGTTGCTGCATAGTATTCCATTGTACAGATGTACCACTTTTGTTTTACTCCCAATTGTGGACTCTGGGTTGTTTCTTTATGGGGATATTATAAATAGTGCTGCTTGAATATTCTTGTACAAATGCATTGTAATCACATGTACTGAGATTTTTAAGATGAATACCTAGGAGAGAAGCTGCTGGAACATAGAAGCAGTGTATATTTAACTTTGGTAGACACTGAAAAATCTGTCTTCCAAAAGTGGTTGTACCCATTTTGCTTTCTCACCAGTAGTATATTTTGCATTCTCTCCACTTGCTGTGCATCTTCATCCACCAACAGCTGGTGTTGCCACGTACCTCATTTGATAATATTACTCAAATTCCTGCAGTCCAGTTTTGTCTAAACAAAGTACTATGCTTATTGGAAGTAATGTTAAAGTGAACCTGTACTTTTCAGATGAAAAATCAAGAGTACTGTGTTACTCTTAATAAAAAAGTTAACTCACTTGGGGGAACTCAGACAGTAGAGTGTTCTTTATTTTTTTTTTTTAATTCCCTCAAACAGAATCACTGATAGGAAATTCTAAAATGTACCAAGGGCCAAACACCTATGAATGTCAAGGTAGAATCCACAGGAAAGCAGATTCCATGGCTGGGTCAGCCCTCCTGAGAGTGTGGAGTGAACAGAGCTTTCCTGCTCTGCCCTTCTCCTGCCCAGGTGCCCAGCGTTTCCATGGCCCCCCTTGGTGGCCTGGTTTTCCCAACAGTCTACTTACTCCAGCCAGTGGCCCCTCATTGGTTGCATTTTTTAACCTTCGATTCCAAAACTCTTTGTTTGTAAATGTCATCCCAGGCCCAGCTTGCCTTATGAAGTCTATGCAGTCATCCCTAAGACATTACTCACAACCTTCCTGGCCATGCCACTGCCACTGCAGCAAGCCCTGTTCAGTTCCAGAAGCCTTAGCAGATGGAGCTGAGTGTCCTAGAACTTGGGGACCTAGAATGACATCAATGAGATTTATTTTATTCAGCAAATACAAATCAATGCTAGACTATTTACACATGAAATATGACTATATGAATTCCAACTATTTGCCCTCTCTAACATATACTTAAACATAAGAATTAGAACATGCATAATACATGAATAGATAAATATATGATCTGGTTAGGAAGAAATACATAATATAAATAAGAGACAATCAAACACCCAATAAAATAATAAAATTTCATTCTAATAGCAGTTTTGCCACAGACCAAAATGTGCTTAAGCCTGTCACTCCTCACTGTGTAGTCAGGCACACTGAAACCATTCTCTGACAGGATTCTGTCAGTATTGATGCCATTTAGACCTTAATACCTAATTAAGCCTCTTTTATTTTCTTCACAGCCCATTTTTCCTTGACATTCTACAGTGGCTTTCCTCACATGCCCCTCCACCCCTTGTCCACACTATAGCACACTATAGAATGCCCTCTTTACCTGCATAATTAGTGCAAAAAAATAAGCTTTGGTTTATAGTCAGTGTATTTGGTTCAAGTAATTAAAACAGATATTTCAGATATTTACTATCCAGCATTTGTTTTTTTTTTTTTTTGCATCCTGGTCTCTGTCAACATGTATAATTATAATTACTTATTAATTCAGGTTCTCTATAAAGTGATGGCTAGCTGTTCTGTGGACTAACCTATGTACCTTGCTTGAAAATGAAACAGCATTCATAAAATTTTCTGGAAAACAGACCAAAGAGAGAGGGTTTTTTTTTTCTCCCCAATAAAAACAAACAAACAAACAAACAAACAAACAAAAAAAACAAAATTAAAAGTATACCTTCCAAGTAACTTATTGACATTGTATCAAACACCTTGCTAACCCTTAACAACAAATCTGCTATGGCCTCAGGCATGCAGGTACATGCCTGTGGTGCTGTGTATTTTGAGTTTTGACATGCAAACAATTTTTTCCAGAAAATGCTTGTTTTTTTTTCTAATTCTGTTTTGCATAGACTTTATAAAATTCCTATTAAATCACTTGATTATAAGCCACATTTGATCCCTATAAAATTACTATATTATAACCTCCCTTAGGCTGAATCCTCCCCCCATAACACTGAAGACATGAATTTCATATAATAAACACTTAATACATATTTGGAGAACTTAATTCCAAAATGCTTTAAGATAATTGAAATTGCTATAATACAATAACTTCTGGATTAACATCTATTCTTATCCTGTTAGATGTAAAAATGTTCACTATATAGTGAAAGATAAAACTTTTATAATTAGGTAAAAATTAGACAAATTTTGACTTATTTTAAAAATAGTCTAATTTTTGATGCATAGAAATAAAAGAAGATGTCAACATCATATTTTCTAAACAAGGCAAAATGATAACAAAAATTCAGCTTTTAACCATTGCTTGGTACATAGGAAGTACACAATAAACATTTGTTAAATGAACAATTTCTTGGTGTCGGTGCATTGGTATAAGTTTTATGTAAGAAAATTAAAATTTTCTGTGAAAACTAGAAAATGAATAAATTATCGTTAACACTGATTGGTCCAAAGAGACAATACTTTAAAAATGGTATTTACCTGCAAGTGATCTAAAATGAGTGTGAGGTTTATTAGGTTGTAATGTTATTGCTAGTCTTTCTTTGAGCACACTTTGACTCAATTTTGGAGGAATGGCCCCCAAACTCTATGAAACACCTTAAGTTCTCACTTTTGTACTGTACATTGTAGTAAGTTGTCTTGGTGTCCCTGCTACATCCCCTGTTAATTGCTCACTGTTATATCCTTCTCTGAGAAATTGCCCTTGACCAAACAGGAGCCACTGTGCCCTGGATGTTATGCCCTGGCCTCCCCACCATCCCCACTCTGGGCAGCCAGCAGCAAATCACTAACTGAATGGAGTACAAAACACTGGCCCCTTGCCTCAGTATGGGACCAACTCTCAGTACAATCCATACTCTGGAGCACCCTGTGAAATTGGGCAGAAGCTAGACTCCAGCAAAGGTTACATCCTTGCTTAGTTCATTTTTCCTTCCCTATCCAGATCCCACTGCCTCTTCCCTGAGAGTCCTCCCTTGACAAGTCACTTTCACAGAATATCTCAAGTTTTAGGCTCTGTGTTCTAGGTCTCTTAACCTAAGACAGTTGATACAAATGTGGTCTTAGGAAGAAGACTAAATATGGGATCCTGAAGACTGATCACTCATCAGTCTAAAAGCCTAATGGCAACAAGGGGCCTCCTGCGGGTGGTAGATGAAGTATTTATGACCCTGGCAATCTCATCGCCAAAACTTTCATCTATAATGAACTGAAAGGAAACACAGGTGGAAAAGATGCACTAGCTAGTGTAAAGTCTCTTGCATTTGACAGATATGGTAAAACAGTAACTATAAGGACTCTAGAAATGGGTGACTATTTCTAGGAACCATTAATTTGTTATTGAAAGAAATATAGGGTCAGATTGAATAATCAGCAATTTAAAAGCTTTTAAAAAATATTTGTATCCTGCATCTGAAGGACAGACAGAGTTAAAGACCAGACAGAAGGCCTCATCGTGAGTGGCAGAACTTTAGAGAAGTGTGCAGTTTTAGTCTGAGGACTTACTGTGCTAAACTCAGGGTCCTGATGGGGAATAAATGGAATCCTGAATCTCGTGGCAGAGATATAAAGGTAGTTGCACTTCAGATCCTTAAATGTCCTAATTCTCCTGAACACTCTAGACCGAAACCAATCCTCCTTGTAGGAAAACACAATCTTTTTCTCTTTGCTGGGAACTATGCATAAGCATCAAATGAAGCAGGCCTTACAAGACAAGGCTTGCCGTACTCAAGATATGTTTCTACCTTTCCTGTTTGCCATTAGATCCATAAGTACTGTTGAATGTTAGCATACTCCAGTGAGAAAATGCTTTGTCTGCAAAGGAAGAGAGAGTTTGTATTACCAGAGAGGTTATATATCAAAAGCCTTCAGGATACAACTCACATGTACTGACAGCTACCAGGAGAGTGCTCCTGAAAGTGGATCCTCAGAGGTCTAGGAAGATATGAAACTACATAAGGGAGACAGTAGCATATACTTTCATAGTAACTCCTTGTATGCCCCCTGGGGGAAGTTTAAAAGAGAGCTGGTGCTTATTAATTACAAAAGAGATGCATTAACTGATGTTGAAAATTGTAGAGGAATGAACCCAATTCTCAGATGAGTGGGCATGGTAAAATGGGTTTAGCATAGTTTGGTATACAAGACTGGAAGATTTAGCAGTCCCTTCAAAGAGCCATAGTATCCTTTATTTACCAAAGTGATTAAGAAATGCGCTGATGATGAATCAGCCTTGTTGAGAAATTCAATGTTGCTGTTGTCTGTCAGGCTAGACTTGGTATATGAGATGGAGGTACAGAACTGAGCTCCATAGTGGCAATAAGGCCATAGGAGCCTAGAACGGCAGAGACCAGGTGGCATCATTTAACCATTAGAGGCAAGGTGGGGCATAATGACTGAAATGGGTGACACAGTTATAATAGCAGCCAGAGAGCCCGGCCCAGACACATGTATAAAGATGGCTAACAGACTATGATGACTTTGAAGCAGTTTGTAATTGGATGATGTAGACAAAAATATGCTTTACCCTAGGGGTATATACATTGTCTGCTTCTACAATCTGAAGGGACTTGACCATCTGGGCATTCTGGAGAACATCATGGTGCTCCATTCTATAGAAGACATCAAATCAGTTAAACTCGATGAGCATGGATTGGGAAGTCTGCTAGGTTTTTCGAAAAGAAGGATGTGCCCCAGATGGCAAAACATAAACCCTACCAAGGGGCCTGATACATCAACTATCAGGTAATATATTGGACTTGCTGGGGCATCTCTTCCAAGTATTGGCACCATTCAACTTGCACTTCTACCACTAAGAAGAAGCACAATAGTAGGCAGGCTTTGAGTTCTAGAGGAGGCACATTTCACACTTGGGAATCCTTCTCTAATCTTGTTACTGAATGACATGGAAAGTTGTCAGTTTTGAGCAGAGTAGAGGGCATGAGAGAATTGTGCAGTAGATCCAGGCTTTGTAAAAGTAGCTTGTCACTTCAACTACCCACAATAATCCTGCCTTAGTCCATTCAGGTGGCTATAAAAGCATATTATGGACTGGGTGGCTTATAAACAACTGATATTTCGTTTTGAAGGTTGGGAAGTTCAAGATCAAGGTGCCATCAGATTCAGTGTCTGGTGAGGGCCTCCTTTCTGGTTCATAAATACCCATCTTCTCACTGCATCCTCACAGGGTAAAAGAGGCCTTAGAGATAAGATGCATGCTCCTACCAAAGGATGCATTAAGTAGGTCACTAAATTTAAAGCTGCAGTTGTCTCAAGTTCACTTTTATCTGCTCCTATCAGTAGTACAGCAAACCCAAAAAGGAATATTTGGGCCCTATTATTATGAAGAGGTAGCACTGTTGCTGCATAATGAGAATGTGCAAAATGTATCTGGTATGTAGGTGACATGTTGGAACACATTTTAGTACTCTGGTGCCCTAACTATAAGTGGGTGGGTGTATAACCATAGCAGGAGAAGGGACTCACACCCCTCACAGATAGGGGTCTGCATTACCCCACCAGGCAATCCATCTGGCCAGCAGAAGTGCTGTTTGAGGATATGGGGGGTCTAGATGGGAGATGGTGAGCATCCTTAGAGCTTCAGGACTAATAGCACCAGCAGTACCTTCCACTCTTGTAGGTTTTCCCAGAAATTGTTACCAATCAGAATCTCAGGTTAGATGTTCTAATATGAAATGTGAACTTACTGTGAAAAGTAGGTGATTCTGAGTGGTATAAGGGGTGGGCTTTAGCATTTGCTGTTTTTATTCCACTAATGTTCCTTTGATCTAACAGTGCACCCATCCCTCAGTGTGTCTATCCCTCAGCAACTGTGGTAACTGCTGGTAACTGATCATAGCTACCCCCTTCTCTTGATAACTACCCACTGCCAGATGGGAGCCACTACTTAACTGGGAATCTCATCTGGAATGTAACCCCTCTATCTCTACTGCTGCCAGGCTGCAGTCAGCAGGCAATGACTAACAGACACAGGCATACAAACAACAAAACAAACAAACAAACAAAAACCCCAGCCCTCGTGGCCCAACTCTGTGGCATCAGTAATCCTTAATCCACTTTGAAATTAATATATTCAAAGATGCTTTTTTTGTCCTTGAGAAATATGGTGCCTAGTTGGGCAGCTAAACCTCAGGTCCAGAAATTACTAAGATTAATGAACCTAATTTAAACAAACCTTTATTATCTAGAAATACATTATCGAAAGGGTCTAGAAAATAGGTTTTCTAGATTACAGAGAGTTTATGGATGAAGCATTAACATTAAAATCATAACCAGTTTGGATGGGAGTCTATAAATTTTTATTGCAATTTGCATGCTTTCTTAGACAGAAGATATTGGATATTATTTCAACTGTTCTTGATGCCTCATAGTTATTGTTATTAACAGCTATTACTGCTACAATGTACTGTAATAGTGATGCCTCTGACTCTGCTTAGATGTGTTTGGATCTGCACCAAATGAATAATGGCTTTGTTTTGAGTTCTTATGTTTGATTTTGATCATGTTGCTATCTCTTTCCATTACTTCACAATTTTTATTTTGAGTGTCCTCACTCGTTGCGGTTCTTTACTCCCTTTCAATTTGTTATTGTTAGTATTTTATTGACAGGGGAATTAAATATTAATAAGTATTGAATGTATACTGTGTACCAGGCATTTTCTAAGTGCTTTACATATATTAACTTGTTTAATCTTCACAATACCCAAACTCATTAGAATGTTTTACAAATTAGGAGTAAATTGGTCCTGCAAAACATCATACATGGCTCTTTTGTATCATGTACATAAGCTGTAGTGCATCAACTTGCTGACATTTATTTATTTTATTTGCTGAGAAGCTTAATTTTTCTGTCCTCGTAGGTATTTACCTATAATTTGGATAACTAAGAGAGGTAAGACATTGAAAGATAGTTGAGTTCAAACTATGCCTATGAACATAGGAAATTATGTAATTGAGACTAAGAACACAAAGAAGTTGGAGTATTAACCACATTCCAGTGAGGTGTTGAAAATTTGCTTGTACAATGACAGAGTGAAGGGCATTCTAAATAAGAGAAGTCATTTTTATGATGCTACATACTAAACAGCAAGTTTACAAATTAAACTGTTTAATAATCACAGACAAAAATTTCAAAGCAATTCTCATTAATTCTATGAATTCTAAAATGTTGTCTTCTCACATGTGCTACGATAATTCTAAAGTGGGTCCCTTCTAGCTTTTCACTAATCCCTATAGCTTTACCAAGACTGTCTTAAATTTAACAGAAAAATCATGTTTCTATGAATAGTACATAAAAGAATGGATATCTTTAGATGTATCCTTTAATATACATCCCAGCATTTTCTTGGATTCCAGCTGGAACCTGTTGTGATAACATGACCCTCTCATTCTCACACATCTTAAGAAACAAGGATGAGACCAACCCAGAGTCATTGACCTTTTTACCCCCGCTTTATTTGTGCTCCAATAAAAGTAACATAGCACCATCTATATTATCCAATAAAATATATCCAAGTTTCCTCTCTGGCTGGGTTCTTAGCTCTTCCTCCAGGTGATGCTGGATTAGTGTCTCCATGGCCTCCCATTAGTTTAAGACATTCTTTTCAAACGTGTATAACACTGCCCGAAGTGTTATTGGTTTATAAATTACACTTGTTGTTTCAGGGCAATAAATGGAATGATGAATGCATGCTTTGTTCAATCACCTTTTTATTCATGAAAGGCAAAACAAGTATTCTAAAAAACATTTATCTACATCAAGAATAAGCTATAAACCTTTCAAAAATGCTGCAAGTAATCTGGGAAGGAACCACTAATTACTGTCATAACAAAGAATTCAATGGCTCTAAATGCTCACGGAAACATAGAATGTTAGAGATTGAAAATCTATTCCAATATCCTTCTTTTACAAATGTGAAACTAAGTTTTTTTACTTTTAAAAAAATTTTAGGTTCAGGGCCAGGCGCGGTGGCTGACACCTGTAATCCCAACACTTTGGGAGGCCGAGGCAGGCAGATCACTTGAGGTCAGGAGTTCGAAACTTCATGGCCAATATAGTGAAAACTTGTCTCTACTAAAAATACAAAAATTAGCCTGGTGTGGTGGTGCATGCCTGTAGTCCCAGCTACTCAGGAGGCTGAGGCAGGAGAATCGCTTGAGCCCACGAGACAGAGGTTGCAGTGAGCCAAGATTGCACCACTGCACTCCAGCCTGGGGGACAGAGCAAGACTCTGTCTCCAAAAAAAAAAAAAAAAAAAAAAAAAAAAAAGGTTCAGTAGGTACATGTGTTGGTTTGTTACATAAGTAAATTGCATGTCTCTGAGGCTTGGTGTATGAATGATTCCATCATCAAATTAGACAGCATAGTACCTGATAGCTTTCAAACCTATGCTTCTCTCCCAACTCTCCCACTTCAAGCAGTCCCCATTGTCTATTGTTCCCTTTGTGTCCATGTGTACTCAAAGTTTTAGCTCCCATCTACAACTAAGAACTTGTAATACTTGGTTTTCTGTTACTGTACTAGTTCACTTAAGATAATGGCTTCCAGCTGCATCCATGTTGCTACAAAAGGACATGATTTTATTCTCTTTAGTGGCTGCATAGTATTCCGTGGTGTATATGTACCACATTTTCTTTATCCAGTCCACCATTCATGAGCATCTTGATTGATGCTGGTATTGGGCCTGGTATTGTGAATAGTGCTGTTATGTACGTATGAGTACATGTGTCTTTTTGGTAGAACAATTTATTTTCTTTGGGTATATATATCCAATAGTGGAATTGCTGGGTCAAATGGTAGGTTTGTTTTAAGTTCTTTAAGAAATCTGCACACTGCTTTCCAAAGTGACTGAAATAATTTACATTCCCACAAGCATTATAGAAGTATCCCCTTTTCTCTGCAGCCTCACCAACATCTGTAAATTTTTGGCTTTTTAATAATATCTCTTCTGACTGGTGTTAGATGGTATCCCATTGTGGTTATGACTTGTATTTCTCTAATGACTAGTTATAATAAGCGGTATTTCCATATATTTCTTGACTGCACGTATGTCTTCTTTTGAGAAGTGTCTGTTCATGTCCTTTGCTCATTTTTAAATGGGATTATTTGCTTTGCTTGCTGATTTAAGTTTCTTATAGATTCTGGATACTAGACTTCTGTCAGATGCATAGTTTCTGAATATTCTCTTCCATTCTGTAGGGTGTCTGTTTGCTCTGTTGATAGTTTCTTTTGCTGTGAAGAAGCTCTTTAGTTTAATTAGGTCCCACTTGTTAATTTTTATTTTTGTTGCAATAGCTTTTGGAGACTTATTCATAAATTCTTTGCCAAGACTAGTGTCTAGAATGGTTTTCCTAGGTTGTCTTTTGGGATTTTTATTGTTTTATGTCTTACATTAAGTCTTTAATCCATCTTGATTTAATTTTTCTATATGGTGAAAGAAAGGGGTCTAGTTTCAATCTTCAGCAAATGGCTTTCCAGTTATCTCAGCACCATTTATTGAATAGCAAGTCTTTTCCCCACTGCTTACTATTATTGACTTTATTGAGGATCAGGTAGTTTTAGGTGTATAGCTTTATTTCTGGTTTTTCTATTCTGTTACATAGTTCTAGGTGTCTCCTTTTTTTTTTTTTTTTTAACCAGGACCATGCTGTTTTGATTTCTGTAGGCTTGTAGCATAGTCTGAAGTCAGTTAATGTGATGCCTCCAGCTTTGTTCTTTTCGCTTGGGGTTACTTTGGCAATTGGGCTCTTTTCTGGTTTCCATATGAATTTTAAAACAATTTCTTCAAATTCTGTGAAAAATGACATTGAGAGTTTG
Source organism: Homo sapiens (assembly GCF_000001405.40). Lineage (NCBI taxonomy): Eukaryota > Metazoa > Chordata > Mammalia > Primates > Hominidae > Homo > Homo sapiens. The sequence continues at coordinate 38,344,732 of NC_000018.10, read as the reverse complement.
ACAGAAATAGCATTAAATCTGTACATGGCTTTGAGAAGTTTGGCCATTTTAACAATATTGATTCTTCCTATTCATAAGCATGGAATGATTTTCCATTTATTTGTGTCATCTCTGATTTCGGTCAACAGCATTTTGTAATTCTTGTTTTAGAGATCTTTCATCACCATGGTAAGCTGTATTCCTGGATATTTTACCCTTTTTTGTGGCTATTGTAAATGCAATAGCATTCTCGATTTGGCTCTGAGATTGAACTTTACTGGCTTATAGAAACGCTACTGATTTTTATACATTGATTTTATACCCTGAAGCTTTACTAAAGTTGTTTACCAGTTCTATAAGCCTTCTGGTGGAATCTGGGGTTTTCTAGGTATAGAATCATATCATCTGTGAAGAGAGATAGATAGTTTGACTTCCTATTTGGATGCCTTCTTTTTCTTTCCCTTATCTGATTGCCCTGGCTAGGAGTTCCAGTACTGGGTTGAATAGGAGCAGTGAGAGTGGGCATCTTTCTTTTCCGCCAGTTCTCAAGTAGAATGCTTCTATTTTTTTCTCCTTCAGTATGATGTTGGCTGTGGGTTTGTCATAGATGGCTCTTATTTTGAGGTACTTTCCTTTGATGCCTAGTTTATTGGGGGTTTTTAATATGAAGGGATGTTGAATGTTATCGAAAGTCTTCTCTGCATCTATTGAGATGATCATATGTTTTTGTTGTTAATTCTGTTTATGTGGTGAATAAAATTTATTGATTTGCATATGCTAAACTAAACTTGCATCCCAGGAATAAAGTCTACTTGATCATAGTGAATTAGCTTTTCAGTGTGCTGTTGGATTCAGTTTACTAGCTTTTTTGTGAGGATTTTTGTGTCTGTGCTCATCAGGGATATTGGCATGAAGTTTTCTTTCTTCATTGTGTCTTTTCCAGGCTTCAGTATCAGAATTACGCTGGTTTCATAGAATGAATTAGAGAGGAGTCTCCTCCTCCTCAATTTTTTAGAATAATTTCAGGAGGATTGGTACTACTGCTTCTTTGTACATCTGGCAGAACACTGCTATAAATCAATCTCATCCAGGACTTTTTTTCTTTTTCTCGTTGATAGGCTTTTTATTACGGATTCGATTTTGGAACTTGTTATTGGTCTGTTCAGGAATTTAAGTCTTCCTCATTCAATCTTGGGAAACTGTTTCCAGGAATTTATCCATTTCTTCTAAGCTGTCTAGGGTGCATATATGTATTTGTAATAGTCTCTGAGGATGTTTTATATTTCTATGGGGTCCATTGTAATGTCACATTTGTTTTTCTCTGATTGTGTTTTTGTCTTCTCTCTTTTATTCTTTATTAACCTAGCTAGCAGTCTATCAATATTGTTTAATCTTTCAAATAACCAGATTTTGATTTTATTGATCTTTTATATGGATTTTCACATCTCAATTTCATTCAGTTCAGCTCTGATTTTGGTTATTTCTTTACTTCTGCTAGCTATGGGATAGGTTTGCTCGTTTCTCTAGTGCCTGTAGGTGTAATGTTAGGTTGTTAATTTGAGATCTTTCTAACTTCTTGATGTAGGAGGTAGGAATTTAGTGCTACACATTTTCCTCTTTTATTTATTTATTTATTTTTTTGAGATGGAGGCTCACTCTGTTGCCCATGCTGGAGTGCAGTGGCACAAATCTCGACTCGCTGCAGCCTCCGCCTCCCAGGTTCAGGCAATTCTCCTGCCTCAGCCTCTTGAGTAGCTAGGACTACAGGCATATGCCACCACGGCTGGCTAATTTTAGTAGAGACAGGGTTTCACCATATTGACCAGGCTAGTCTCGAACTCCTGACCTTGTGATCTGCCCACCTGGGCCTCCCAAAGTGCTGGGATTACAGGCATGAGCCACCACGCCCGGCCATAAATTTTCCTCTTAACACTGCTTTAGCTGTGTCCCAAATATCCTGGTATGTTGTTTTCTGTTTTCATAGTGAAACTAAAGCTTTTGAGAGTAGAAGTGGAAGTCATTCAAATAGTTGTTGATGGCGTCAATCCTCAGTTCCACATCTCTTGAGTCTGCATTTGTTGCAGCTTCATGAGGACATAGATATTGGGGTAGGAGCTACAAGAATAGGATAGAATAGGTCACTTTACTCTCTTATTTCACTGTTTAGAGTTTATTCTTCATGTAGATTCTACTTTTTAGGTTGTATCTGAACATGGAGGGATAAGGAGTTCTAAAGAGACAGCTCTCCTCAAAGCAAAAATACCTTTAAAAAGTTCTCATTTTGTAAAGTGTGCTACAAATTATTCCATGTAATGAAACATGCAGGTTTATCCAGTGGTATGACTGAACATTCTGTGACTCCTCTGAGGGATGGGCTTAAACTTGAGAGTGAAGAAAAGAGAAATGATACTTTACACAATCCTGGGAGACAAAAGATCACCTTTCTCCCTAAATCTGAGATTCCAAAATACCAATTTTAGAATTATTTTAATGTATTAACACATTACTTTCTCATTTTATCTCTTAAAAATTCAGGAAAAGTAATCCTTCAACATTTCCATGGACAATTCCACAGACTCTGTTCAAACAATATAATATATATGTGATATTAATCAATATCCAAAAAAAGGGATATCTAGTGGGGAATCTCTATATTTTACTCTAACACAGATAACTCTGCCAGAGCATGCTACCATTAACCCATCTCCCATCTTGGACCAACAAATATACATCTTTTTGTTTCTTATCTCTTTATTTTGAAATAATTTTAAATTTAAAAAGAGCATACAAAGAAGTTACAAGAATAGTACCCTTCACTCAGACTCCCTAATTGGCAATATTTTATCATTCTCTGTATATGTGCATGTATGTATGCATTATTATCTTTTGAACAAGTGAAAGTATGTAGCAAATAGGATGCTTCATTATTCTTAAACAATGTTCATTACCTAGAAAATAAATACACTTTCCCGTAAATGACAGCACAAACATCTTAATCAAGAAATTAACATTTATAAAACACCATTATCTAATGCACAGACTCATTCAAATGCTGCTCAATATTGCCCTTTAGAGGTTTTTTTCTTCTTCTAACTCAACATTCCAACCAGCATTACACATTGTATTTAATTGCCATGTCTCTTTAGCGGTTTTCAATATGAAATTTTTCTTTAGTTTGTCTTTTTGTGATCTTGATATTTTTAATTCAACTGTGGTATTTTGCAGAATGTCTCTCCATTTGGACTTACATGATATTTCCTCATGATTGCATTTAGGCTCTGGATTTATTGAAGAATATCACAGAAAAGATATAATGTCTTTCTTAGTGCATTACACCAGCAGGCGCATGATGATTTGTCCTATTTCTGTTGGTCACTTAGTTAAGGTGGTGTCTGCCAGATTTCTCTACTGTAATGTGACCATATTTTCCTCTTGCAATCAATGGGCATTTTGCGATTAAATACGTTGACACTATGTAAATAACTGTTCCTCCATGAACTTTTGCCCCTGATGATTCTTTACCTGAATCACTTGTTACTATGATGATTGCCAAAGAGTGACTTTCTAATTCCACTATATTACTATATATGATTAATTGTGTATACATGTATATACATACAATTTAAACACACAACTTATATGTGACATGACATATATGATATATAATATAGGAGATACATTATATATGATACATATATATGCATAGTCAGTAATAACCATAAGGAGGAGCTTTTTCTTCTAAAAACATTTACTTATTCATTCATTCATTCATCTTTATTAGTATGAAAACATGGACATATATATATTTTTAATGGATTATAACTCATTACAATAATCATTTCTTTTCAATCTCAAATTCCATCTTATCTGGCCAAAAGAAATCTGGTTAAGCTGATTCCTGTGTTCTTCTGAAAAGTGTCTGTTTTCTTAGCATTCCTTACATTTCTGGAGCAAAAGGGTAGTCAAGGATCATCTTGTACTTTCATTTCCCCAGTCATGTAATCAAACAGAAGAAACTCCCACTTCAGCTCCTTATTATTTCAAGGAACCTTGGCTCTTCTTAAGATCACAGTACTAGGAATGCCCATAGGTACTGAGATGTTATGCTTCTAGGCCTCCTCAATGAAGAGAGCTAGGAAATGTATGTGTGTATATACACATAAACTCTTAAACACACACATATATATACCCACATGTTTCTATCTCTCTCTCTATATATATATATTTCTTTATATATCCATATAACTCATACGTCTATATATCTATATTTGTACCTATATATGTGTGTGTGTGTGCGCACGTAGATATAAATAGATTCACGTGTATGTATGTGAGTATGTAAAAGTAAATACAAGCTTCAGAAATGTATATAAGTACATGTACAATTACATATTTAAAAACATGAATTCACGCCAATTCTTCCAATTTCAATCCAACAAGAGAGTTCATTCCAGACTTAACTTTTCCATATTTCTAATTATTTTCTTTAGCAATGAGCAATCTGAAACCCATTTTTAGAAATATATTTATATAGAATTAGCCCTCCATATCCATAGGTTCCACATCTGTGGACTCAATCACAGATAAAAATATTCAAATTTAATAAATGATGAAATAATATAACAAAAATATACAAAATTTAAAAATACAGAATAAAAAGTATATAACAGTTGTATTAAGTATTATAAGTAATCTAGAGATTATTTATAGAGAAGCATGTAAATAGGTTATATGCAAACCTATGCCATTTTGTATTTGAAACTTGAGCATTTTAATATTTGGGTGTTTACAGGGGGTCCTGGAACCAATCCCCCAAAGGAAACTGAGGAATGACTAATTAATTCTTTTTATATATAACTATTCTCCTGACAGCCCCAGATACTTCCTTGGATCCTGTTTTGCACACCCTATAAGCTCTATGGGCTCCCATTGCTTCTTTAGCATCAATACTCGTGTATTGGTTTACAGGCCTCATCATATTGGGCCCCTCTCTGTAGGCCTTGCTGGTGCTGGCCAGCTCAAAGGAACAGAAAAGAGGAGGCAAAGAAAGAGTAAATATCCACCCTCAAATTCTCAGTTATGATGGGTATTCCAAGAAGCATTTCCTCTCTATAAATGCCTTCCTTTCTTAGACAATAGTCTATAATTTCTCTTTTATAGAACTTACTACATAAAAAGGTCAAGCTTATCAACCTGTAGGTATCCACCAGCAGTATGTAATTTTTTGAGGGTTGAATCTATAACCATCTTATTACCTATCACATATATTATATGTTAGTGGTTTAAGAAATATTTTTAATAAATTAACAGAACTTATTTAAAATGTTTACATTTAATATGAAGCTAAGAAAAGGAGTTGATTGATGGATGATGAAATGAAGATTGAAAACACAGGAACAAATTAATAAGACTATTTATCAGTAAAAAGGGCATGGATAGCATGCATGAATTTGAGGAAACTTAACAATTCTCATAAAATCGGTTTTGGGGGATTCCTTAACTGATGCTTATTCTGACTGCCAGAAAGCAAGAATACTTTCAGGTTACATCTGATTAAGAATTAATGGGCTTGCTCAGTTCACCCACTACTTATTTTTATATCTGGAGCATGATATTCAACAGGCCGTTCCATTGTGTATACAGGCTGGGAGCTGACAAATCATAGCATGCCAGAAGACAGACAGAATGGCATGATGGCATCACATGAGGAAAGGATGGAGGGATCCAGGATGCAGAGAATGGGGTTCTGGAGATTCAGTATGGCTGCCCTCAAATAGCTGAGGAATCCTGTTTGATTTATTTATTCATTAACTTTTGCTTCAAAGGGCAGAACTCATGCCTGAGATAGAAATATATAGCTAAGCAGGTAGTAGCACAAAACAAGGCAGAACTATCAATAGACATGCCAAAGTCCAGAATAAACTACTTGGCAATATGTCAGTGGAAGGATTGGGCGACTGACCATCACAGGTGTCAGTGCGTCAGCACTGGAATAAAAGAACCCAAATGTTTTCTATCACATCTAGAATTTACAATTGCATGATTGTGAGTTGCTTTTACTTCAGTGTGAATTCCTATTCTTCCTTTTTAGAGACAGGGTCTCGCTCTATATCTCAGGCTGGAGTGCAATGGTGCAATCATAGCTCACTGCAGCCTTAAACTTTTGGGCTCAAGCCATCCTCCTGCCTCAGCTTCCTAAGCAGCTGGAACTACAGGCACATTCCACCACACCCAGTAAATTTTTGTAACTTTTTGGAGATACAGGATCTTACACTATGTTGCCCAGGCTGGTCTTAAACTAGGACCAAACCATCCTTCCACCTCAGCCTCCCAAAGTGCTGGAATTACAGGTGTGAGCCATCACCCTCAGCTCTAAATGGTTTCAATTGATATGAACCTTAGTCACTGCATTAGTTCTTTGGGTTTCTTTAACAAATTACCACAAACTTGGCAGCTTAAAACAACAGAAATTTATTCTCTCACAATTCTGGAGGCTAGAAGTCTGGAATCAGTTCCACTAGGTTAACATCAGGGTATCAGCAGAACCACTGTCTCCCCAGAGGCTTTAGGGAAAAATGTGTCCTTTGCTGCTTTCAGTTTCTGGTGGTTGCTCATATTCCTTGGCTTTTGGCTGCATCACTCCAGTCCCTGCCTTTGTGGTCACAGGGCCAACTCCTCTTAGGTTTGTAATCTCTTTACGTCTCCTTCTTATAAGGATGCCTGTGGTGACTTTCGGAAAAACCTGGGTAATCCGGAATAATCTGTTTCAAATTTATTAATCACATCTGCAAAGGCATTGCCATATAAAGTAACATTCACAGATTTCAGGGACTTTGACATAGATAGCTTGAGAGGGTGATGCAGAGGGTGAGGGGTGGGCAGGCATTATTTAGTCTACTACAGCCACCTTAGCAACAGAGGAAATCCTAGTTAGGACGGTGCAAATAACATTTTATCCCATCTCTGCTACTTCCTTTTCAAGTGTAATATAGCATGCAATCAAGTCTTTGCAGTGCTGTCCTAGCAGTATGTTCCAGTTCCTGTGCCTCATTCCTAGCATTCAGCCCCTGTCTGAGACCTCATCTAGGGAAGAAGAACAAATTCCCCTTCAGTAGCCACTGTCTGCCTTGGTCTCCCCTAGCCTTCTCTAGTAAGCATATATGCCGCTGTTTAGATAGGGCAGATGTAGCCTGAACCATCAAATTTGCTCATTTCCAATTAAGATTGCCATCTTTAGTTTCTAAATATTTGGTCGAATGGGCTGGCAGTAAGTCCGGAAGGAGAACTGTCTTTATGGAGAAGATCTCATATGCCAAGTAAATTAAGATGCTTTGCACATGCTTTTCCATTTGATCATCAAATAATTGTTGATCTTATCCTCATTTTAAAGATGAGGATCAGAATTAAAAATGTCACATCCTCTTTGTTTTAACCTCAACGTGATCTGTCAAGGAGGTAGTATTTTTCTCATTTTTATAGAAGTGGTAATGAAGCTCAGAAGTTATTTTTTTTGTCAAAGACACACAGATATTACATGATAGAGCCAGAATTTGAAAATATATTATGCTTCAAAAGATATGTCCCTAAAACCGAAAGGTTAAAAAAAAAGTTTTCCAGATAAGATGAACTCAAATATGCTATAAAAGCCCCTCAATTATTTTACTATGATGCCCAACTGTCCACTATTAGCACTTTATTCTTTTGGGTTAAGGCACAATATTTCCTAATAACATATTAATGTCTCTAAGATGTACTGTATACTGTAATGCTTTGTATTTGAGGTTAAAATTTAACCAAAAGAAGGAGAAAAATACAGACTGCATATCTAAACAAAAAGTCTGGCAAGGATGGGCAGTGATTCTGGACAACCAGCTGAAGTGGTTCAGCATGAGAATTTGGGGTATACTAGTGATCACAAAATAAGGAATGAAGAGAGTACCAGAGGCAAGAGTCTCGTCCTTTACAGTTTGCTAAAAACGAGCTTTAGCAGAATTCTGCACTGAGACTCCACAAAGTCCTTTTGATGCCGTTACTGAAAAACATCATTTAACTTTTCCGTGTATCTTTAAAGGTGAAATCACATTAATAAATTGAAAGTGTCATGAATAAAACTGTCTTTGGAATTACCTACCTTATTTGTGTGAATACACTCAGTGAATTTACGATGATTAATGGTAATACAATGAACACCACAGTGCATAATAATGATTTGCTACTTATTATAAAACATTGCCAATATTTTGTACACCCAAGCAGCACAACATGCAAGAAATTCAATGAAACCTTTTTAAACAAGCCATGGGGAAAGGGAAGAGCAGATCAAGCCACACACACTATCTCTGGGGACAGAGGCCTCTCTTCCGTCATAAATTGATTGCTCTGGCACCCATGAAAGGCAACAGGGGCAGTTGGAGGACTGCATAAAGAGATATGACTGTCACAAAGAAAGAGGAGACAGAAGACTGCCTCAAAGGAATGTAGTGTTTCTGAACCTGTGAGAACACAAAGACAAAACTTCCTTCAAAATTAGTAACTTTTGAATTCTGGGTAGCTGAAAACAATACAGGAAAACAACATTAAAAAAAACCCTCCACGCTTTCAGCATAAAGTGAAATCTGAAATAACTGAACTTCAAAATTAGCGTAAATTATTTAGTAAATGCACCAAAACTCAGCAGGTAATCTCTCACCTTCATTCCCCACTGCAAAGGCAGGCCAAGAAAGCCTGTGGGAAGGGAGACCAGGAGAGCTAGTCATGGGAATAATGTTAACATAAAAGCACCACAAGAAAGCTAAAGTTCACCCTCAGTGTAAAAATATTAAACATTTCTTAAAAGTGCTTTGGTAGATTAGAACACGGTCTAACAGTTTATAGCAAAGAGGCTTAAAAATGCATATTGCTGGAAGTGACAGTCTTCAAAATACTTAAATTCTGGGGAATTTTAAAAAACGAAAAAAGGAAGAAAAATAAGCCCTTTAGAAATTGAGTGGTGAAATATAAAAAGATGAAAAAGATCAGAATTTAGGGTCTTGCAAGACCAAGAGAACCAAAAATATCAGAGGACACACAGATCCTCTCGCATTACACATATACATGCACACAAACAAATCCATTAAAGAGTACAAATTTTGCTATAATGAAAAAAGTGTGCTTTCAAATAAAGAATCCTTCAAACTAAATCCAAGATAAATGGAAAGTGAACTAATAAAGCCACATAAAGTTATTATTTTTAAAAAGTTAGAAAATGAGATTCAATACATCTCAAGTAATGAAAATGCCCCCTGAACAACCAATCCTGTGTCAGAAGAAACTGTGAGACTCCAAAGTAAGTTAATTGTACTCAAACATTTGGAGATAGGAAAACCACTGATTTTTTTTAAATTGGAAATTCAAATTGAAGAATGGAAATTGGCAAGAGAGGGAGACAGAAACAGTAGAAAATAGTTATTTGAACTCAGAAAAGAAATGTAACCACCCAAACAAACAAAAGACTAATTTTTAAGGCATCCAAAGTCTAATAAAGGAAAATAAGTAACAAGAACCATTGAAGGAATCTGGAAAAATCTCAAACAGAATGAAATTGAAATAAATAAATGAAAAAGGTCCAGAGAAAAATAAAGATAAAAATAAAGGATGGGGAAAGAATACAATTAACATATTTGGAGTCCCCAAATTAAAAAACAAACAAACAAAAAAACCACCAACCATAAAGCAAAACAGTGTAACAGTACTAATACTTAAATGTATAATCCAAAAACAAAATTTCTAAAAAGAAATACCTGAATCTACATATTGAAAGAACCCATAGATACATGAAATATTCAGCCTGAAAGGATGGACTATGGGATGCCTGTACCACAAAGTATTACACAGCTGTGTAAAATGTAAAATGAAGCTGATTTCTATGAACTGATAGGGACTATATTTTGAAGTGACAAAATCAAAGTAGAAAGGAATATCTATAACATATATATTTCATGTAAGAAACATACATATTTCATGTAAGAAAAAAATTGATATAATGAAATATGTATGTATCTGATTATTTATGCAAGAATAAAATAAAGAAAAGAAAAGCCATAAATTAAAGAGATTTTCTTACCTAGAGGGTGTAGGGGAAAGACCAGGTTGACAGAAAGAAGAAATGAGTATATCTGTGTGGTTTCTGCTTTCTTTGTTTTTGTGTCGCTCTGACATTTAGGACAATGTTAAGGTTTCAGATGTTCAAAGAAATAATTAAATTATCCAACAGAATTTGGGGGAATCCAAACTGGAATACAAACTGTAACAAATTAATTTAATTTTCTTGCAAATAACCCAACCCCACTGAAGGAAACGGAGAAAAAATAAATAACATCGAGAAAGGTATTTTTCTACAACTAAAAGAGCTGTACCCAAACATTCCTCTTGAGTTCAGTGGTCCCTGACCTTTTTGGCACCAGGCACCACTTTGATGGAAGACAGTTTCCGCAGGGGTGTGGAGGGCAGCGGTGGCTGGTATGGTTTTGGGATGAAACTGTTCCACCTCAGATTATCAGGCATTATTGGATTCTAATAAAGAGCCTCAACCTAGATTTCCTCCCATGCGCAGTTCACAATAGGGTTTGAGCTCCTATGAGAATCTAATAACACCAGTGATCTGACAGCAGTTGGAGCTCAGCTGATAATACTCCCTAGCCTGCCATTCACCTCCTGATGTGCGGTCCGGTTCCTAACAGGCCACAGTACCCGTCCATGGTCCCACGGTTGGGGACCCCTGCTTTAGTTAGTAAATTAGTTTTTCCCAGCTGTATGGGCTAATTTTATTACATTACGTGCATTAAAGGATTGAGAAAATAAGTAAATATATGTGGATACTGAGAGGCAGGCTTCTTACTGTTAGGAGTTACAAATAGAGAAATCTAGAATAAATCCTTTGGTGTTGAATTGAAATTGAAGTATGAAATAATAGATATAGATGGAAGTGTGTGTGTACATATGCAATATAAATATATGTATCATACACATACTAGCATGTATGTCCTCTAAAAGGGCCTTGAATTAGTGACATTCCAATACAACGAACACAACTAGTATCTATATTTTGGTTCTAAATACCATTCTCTACTGAAATAAAACAGGCTTCCTTGAAGGAATGTCTAATTCAAGTTCCCAGTCAGGGAAAGTAAATGCAGAGTCTAAAATATCATGAGATTCCAATAACCAAAGTGCTCAAAAAGTTATGGAAGCATGCTCAAAAGACACAAAAGCAATTCAAAAGAGCTTTCAATGCCCAAATATATGAAAATATGAGCAAAAAAAAGATAGTAATGAATTATATTCTAGAAAATAAAATCAATATCCATGAGTCTATACTGACATAAATAAATGAATAAGTTAAGAAATATGTGTGAGTAGGGACAGTTTTTTTTTACAGTAGAATAAAAGTTAACAAATGTAGCAGGAAAAATATCAGTAGAAAATCACCATTTAGCAAATAACAAGTCATCATTGTTTCAGTTAGGAATTGGTGCCCAAATCAGTGAGCAAAAGTATGATGAGAAATAGGATATTTTCATAGTCTCAATGTAACTCCTGAAAAGAGACTTATTAAGTGGCGTGGGGGAGAGATTAATATTACATTGGAAAAACTTGGACATCATCTTAACCAAGTGCTCAAAGTTCACGTCACTCGGAATGGGGCTTGTCAACATCATGATGTTTAATAAATAAATAAACATCCTAGTGTGCTGTATTGATCAGGAGGCAACATTCCGTGTGTGGTATTTCTGTCTCAAATGCAAAGTCCAATTTTAACCATAAAGAAACATCAGATAAATTCATGCAGAGGGGTCTTCTATAGAATAACTACAAAATAACTGTTCGTACTCTTACAAAAATACAGATCTGTGGTAGTCAAAGGAAGAATAAGGAACTGTACCAGTTTGAAAGAGACTAAGGAGATATGAAAGATAAATTCATTGTGTCAAGTTCGATTGAATCCTGGAAGGGAAAAACGATATTAGTAGAACAATTGGTAAAATGTGAATAAGGTCTGTAGATCAGTTAACAGTATATTGAATCAACTTTCATTTCCTGATGTTGCCAATTGAACTATGGTTATGGAAAATATTAACATTTGGGAAAGCTAAGTGAAGGATGCACAAAAATTCTTTGCACTAATTTTGCAACATATTTGTGGGTCTGAAATTATTTTTAAGTTAAAAATAAAATAAATAAATTGTTTTTTTTTACAGATTTTTTTTACCTGTAACATATACTCTTCCCACTTTGAAAGAGTTCTAACAAAAGTTGGAAGATCACCCTCCCAAGCCAAAGTTTGACACATGAAAAAAACTACAAACTGGTTGACATAATTGAAATATACAGAATGATGACATAGTCATAAATTATCCCTGCACAAAATTAACTCATTAACGAAAAAGGGAAAAATAGATTTTACTAGATAAACACGGAAGACACCCCTTAACCATGTAATCAAAGGAGTGAGACAAATTGACATTGTGTTTTCTGGTATAATGAACAGAGAATACAGAATTTGTATGTGTTTGTTTTTGTCAAAACCTTATAACTTAAATCATGAGGAAATATCAGAAGACTCCAAATAGTCGGACATTCTTCAGAATAACTGGTCTTATTTCTAAAACATTATCAAGTTTAAAACAGCTAAAGACAGGCCAAGGAATAACTCCATATTAAAAAAGACAAAGAAGATACAACAACTAAATGCAGTGTGTGATCCTAGATTGGACCCTCGGTTAGAATAATTTGTTGATTAATTGATTTTGATTTCCTATTTTGTGAAAAACAACATGATTAAGCAAATGACAAAGTGTAAACAAGGTCTATAAATGTGTTAATAGTATTGGAACCAACTTAAAGTCTTGAATTTGGAAAATCGTTCTCAGGAAACTCAGAAGGAAGTATTCAGAGTTGAAGGTGTCATGTCTGAAACTTACTCACAAATGGTTCAGTAATAACAATGATGATAATAATATTAGAATAATATTAGATAAAAATAAAAGCAGAAAGAATACAACAAGAACAATATGTATATATGGAGTGAAAGTATAAAAGTGTGGAAAATTTTTAACAACTGGGGACAACAGAAAAGGGTAAAGTATAGTTCTTCTTACCATTCATACAACTTTTCAGTAAGCCTGAAATTATTTCAAAATAAAAATTTAAGAAGGAAAGAAAGGACAGGTTTAAGTGCTAGAAAATAAGCTGGAGAGAAACACCTGAATGTGAATGAGGCTCTGTCACTTGCTTGGGGACTGGCCTTGGACCTCTCTGCACTTCAGTTTACTTCTCTGTAAAACAGGGATAATAATTTTAAATAAACCCAGTCAACAGTTTTGAATATTAAGTAGCAAGAATATTATTAAAGAATAAGCATGATACAGGTGCTAGCTATTAATGTTATGAACTATATCAGTTTTAGTAGAGATGGAGCACAAATAAAATATTTTTGATATTAAGAACCTAGAAATTCTAGGCCTTAGTAACCATTTGGTCACAGATGGGAAAGAGAGAGAGATCTATTTTCAGGTAACCAAAATGAACAACTCTGTGGATAGCGGTGCCTTTAACTGGATAAAAGAATAGGAGAAGAACTGAAAGATTCGATGTGGCAGAGACACAATTTCAGTTGTGTACGCATTGAGTTAAAGTGCCTGACAGAATTTTTTCTAGATAGATCAGTAAATGTTTGGGTAAATAAGTAGGGGATTCAAAAGATCTGAACTTGAGTTGTAGCTTGGAAGTTACTGACGTGCATTTTCTTATAAAGCATATTTTCCCATTTAGTGTAAACTACCTGAGTCTGTGATGAAAAGTTCTCCTTGTATCTCTATAGCAGTTTGTAGCTTGTCAGGTAGGAGCTGCGTAATTGTATTCAACTGAAACTTTCATGTGGTCCCACCATGTGGGTAAGCATAGCAACCTTTGTGGGAAAGACGGTGAGCAATCAAGGGCTCTGACTAATGGGGTTAAAGAAATGTGACATCCTGGTTCTTCAATGAGCCTAGATACTACCAATACAACCCCATCCTGCAGATTGTGTGTATGTGTGTGGGAGAGGTGGTTTTTCCTACCATAGGAGGAGATAAAATTTGTCTTTGCACTAATTAAGCCACTTATCGTCCCCTCCCTTCAAGTCAGCTTTTGGGGTTGTCTTAAGAGGTCCTCTCCTGCCTAGAGAATATAGCTTATTCTACCATGTAACTCTACTCTCAGCTGGAGGTCTCCACCCTTCCTTCCTTCCCATTCCTTCCGGGTTTTGCCTCATTCCTCTAATACCATGTTAATGCCTTTTCTATCATAGTGAGGAAAGGAGAATATAAATTAAATCACACAATAGTCTTAACTTTCAAAAAATTAAAAATCCCAACAAATGAAACATAAAAATAAAGTTTCTCTTAGTTCAGATATCCGACATAGGAGACTGGCATAGAAGAGATGGTATAGAGTAAGAGGATGGGAAACAGAATTTGATAAAATACGCTGATCTAGTCTATATACTCCTTATTATGGAAGTGCATGAGTCTTCCTGAGACTTGTTTCTGTGATTCATTCTGTTGTTCCACATTTCATGCTTAAAATGGAAGCAGAACCTATAGCAGGGAAAAAGGAAGAAAAGCAGAGCGTGATTTGGCAACCTTTGTTTATTATCTGTTCGTGATTCTATCAACTAGAAGAGACAGGGACTTTATTTTACTTCTCATTATCACTATACAAGACCTTATGGAAAATACTAATGACTAAATTTACAGCTTATAAATGGCTTTCACATATATACTATCAATTAAACTCTACAAGGTGAAGATCTGAGGTAAAGTTATAAATCATCTTGATTGGGACTCTAAGGTTTAAGAAGTGAGCACAATGTTTCCCAAACTTCTCTGAACATTGGAAACCACCAGGGGAGCTTCAAAATTTACTAGTGTCTGAGTTCCAACTCCAGAAAATGTGATTTAATTGGTTTGGGATCTCACGTGGGCACTGGAATGTTTAAAAGAAAAGATGCTTCCAATGTGCAGTCAAGCTTGAAGTCTACTTCATAAGTTTCTAAAGTTCTACAACTGGAAAGAAACAGAACTAGGATTAATTTCAAGACAGAGTGTGTCTAGTTTGCTACTTTCAACATAGGTAAATATATATATATATACATACACACACACACACACACACACACACAGAGCTGGATCTAATAACCTCCTCATTCCTATCATAGGAAACTCAGTAAAATGAATTTTCACTCTTTTTCCACCAACTTTATTTCCATAGAGTTTAAAATTGGGTGGATACTGGTTGGTGGAAGTGAATTAACTGTATTTGGTAGATTAGATCAAGAAGATTACAGGTGAGCACAGTCAGGCTCAGGGTGAGTGGGGGAAGAGGTGGGAGAAAGAAGAATGCCTCAGGCCATTCCTGTGAAAAGCAAAAACCAGAATGATGCAGTGGAACATGTCATGTGGACCTAAGGGACAAAGCCAAGCCATGCAGCCAATGTCAAAAATCTGATGGCAACTGTGATAGATATCCTATTTTCCTCCCATAGAAAGAGATAAGAAACATTTCTCATCAAGTAGGAGTGAGGAGGTTATTAGATCCAGCTGTATACAGTAAAAATAAAAGTCGGCCAAGGTTTTCCACTTGTGGTAGGACTGGATCCTGAAGCAATTTTGTGGGCAATTGCCAGGAACATCAACCTACAAGAATTATACACCCCCTCAACCCACACACACACGCAATGGTGCTAATTCAGAAACATGGTCCTTATCACTTTGTGTTTCTACTTCAATGTTTTTATACTTAACCTGTTTATAGTTAGAAAAAATTTAATTGGTCTAGTCTAGTTCCTACTAAAATAAATAGCATTTTTAAAT
This sequence comes from Homo sapiens, assembly GCF_000001405.40. Classification (NCBI taxonomy): domain Eukaryota; kingdom Metazoa; phylum Chordata; class Mammalia; order Primates; family Hominidae; genus Homo; species Homo sapiens. The sequence goes on along the minus strand of NC_000018.10, from coordinate 38,328,863 downwards.
GGAAGTTGAAAAAATGCTAATGTTAACCAATTATGGTATTTTCACAATACATATAGACAAAGCCTGCCTATTTCTGAAACCAGAGATTTCATGGCTTATTCCTATTTACAAGGAGAAAAGAATTTATTGTTTCTGTTTCAAAACCTTTAATATGCTTCCCAAAAAGTTATCTGGTTCAGCAAATAAAACAGGAGAGGAGAAAATAAATAGTAATCAGAAGACAATGTAATGTCTGTGTGCCACTCCCACTTTGTCACAGAACAAAATAATTATATGCATATTTTCAAAATGGAAATGATTTGAAAATGTCCCAGAGTTTCCAATCTGTAAACTGAAAGATTACTGTGGTTGTTTCTCACTCACTCTCTCAGATATATTTGAGTTGTATTTTTTTTTTTTTTTGTAATTAAACTTAAACTCTGCTTTGAGCCTCCTAGTCCACTTCATCACAGAAGATGTGATTGTATTCATTTCATGGTCCATATAATCTATCCTGGCTTAAGTTCAGTCAGTTCAGGGATTTCCCCCCTCTTTTGCTTAGTCCTTGGGGTGTCACCTGACTTTCAGGGGAAAGTGTTTGGGCCATAGTCCTCATTTCTTGGCTCCCAGCCCACTTCCAACTTCAAAGGCAGTAATGTTCAGTGGAGTCTTTCTCACATCATATCACTCTGATGCTCCTTCCCTTTTCCCCATCTAAGGGCCTTTTTCATTACATTGGGTCCGCATGGGTAATCTAGGATAATATACCTATTTTAAAGTTAGTTGATTAGTAACATTGATTCCATCTTCTACGTTGATTTCCCTTTTGCATGTAACATATTCACAGGTTTCAAGAATTAGGAAGTAGACATTTTTTGGTGGGGAAAGGAGAACTTATTCTGCCTACTATACTAGCTATTGTCACCTTTAGGAAATATTTTATCCATTCTGAACCTCATTTGCATTTTCCATAACATGAGCACCTGAGATTGTTTTGCATTTTTCTGAATTTATTTATCTCAGTGATTCTCAAAGTAAGGAGAGAAGTAGGACCAAAATGTCCAGATGGATTTCTTATTGGTAGAGTGTATCCCTAAATAATGACAACATACCACTTTCCTACTACATGCTTATGCATTTTGAAGGGCTACTATGAGGAATAAAAGAGGTATTGCATGAAACTACCTGGACACAATGAAGGCCCAATAACTATTACCTTTTGTTCAATTTCTCTTTCTTATTTCTTTGTTCCATTTGACTCAAAGAGAAGGCTCAAGTGTTCAAATATGAATGATTAAGTCCCCTGGATACCACTAATCAAATTAACAAGCTTTTGCCTTAGTTCTGGTTCCAGCTAGATATTTTATCTACATACCTAAAGCTGCTCACATACTGTGATGGTTAATACTGAGTGTCAACTTGACTGGATTGAAGGATGCAAAGTATTGATCTTGGGTGTGTCTGTGAGGGCACTGCCAAAGGAAACTAACAGTTGAGTCAGTGGGCTGGGAAAGACAGACCCACCCTTAATCTGGGTGGGCACCATTTCATCAGCTGTCAGCACAGCCAGGATATAAAGCAGGCAGAAAAACATGAAAAGAGAGACTGGCTTAGCCTCTCAGGCTACATCTTTCTCCCGTGCTGGATGCTTCCTGCCCTCAAACATCAGACTCCAAGTTCTTCAGCTTTGGAACTCAGACAGGCTTCCTTGCTCCTCAGCTTGCTGACAGCCTATTGTGGGACCTTGTGATCATCTGAGTTAATACTTTAATTATCTATCCTATTAGTTTTGTCCCTCTAGAGAACCCTGATTAATACACATACTCATTGGTCCTTCCAATCTCCTTTCAAAAGTCTGCAGAACTCTGGCCTCTGGAACTCTATCTGCCATAGACCCACATTTCAGACGCCACCTACCCCTCCATCTGAGACCTTGAGTTACCTTCCTCACCTTGAAATGGTGATGGCAGCTAGCACTTGAGCCATGCCTGGAGACAGCACTAACTCCCAGGCACTGTGCCCTGTCTTTTGACATAGACATTCTGAGCTGTACATTCCCAGTTCTCTGCCTCATGCCCTGCTGCACTGGGCAAAGCTGTTGCCAAGGTCCTAAAGGTCCTGCCCTGCTTGAGGCCCATGACAAATCATCATGTCTCTCGAAAGACTTCCAAGGTGTGATTGTTTCAAACATGTTGAGGATGGTACATCTGAGAGTATACTAGCAACCCTTACTAGTGATCCCAGCTTTTTATGCTACAAAATTTGTTTCTATGTGTTTTTCTTTTTGTGTATGTTTACTGTAGATTAGGCTTTTTATCATATTGCCATAAATTCCAATTACCATAATCTAATTTTCAGACACTCATTTGATCATCATATTTTAGTCTTACTCTACCACAGCTTAAAGGGTGGGGAAAAAAAGGAAGATTAAGGTTGTCTTTGGACCTGAGGTCAAGGAGAGAAGCAGAACCTGAATGATATTCATGCATTTATAGTTGAATGTATTCCTTCAAAGACTATTTATTGAGAACATATCATGCAGTTTTATAACATGCTAGTCATATATTTGAGAAAAAAACTGACAGTCTTTCCCTCATAGAGATTATACATTTTTTATGAAATAAAGAGTTATCCTATGATTGTAAATACTTGTAAACATTTCAAGGGTGCCAATTACATTAAAGATGTTCAACTGCTATATATACATATATACATATATATACACATGTGTATATATATGTGTGTGTGTATATATATATAATTAGTAGAAACTGACCTTATCTGAGGGTTCATGGAAGTTGTAAGCAAAGGAAGTAACTAGCCAAATACATAATTCAATTTTGTGATAATAATAAATACTATGAAAAATATTAAGCAGAAAAGGAAATAGTGATGGCATGAAAGTAATTTTAGTTAAGATGGTGAGGGAAGACTTAGGGGAGATATTTGGGCAAAGATGTGGATGTCATGAAGAGCAAGCACTGTTGTAATATGAAGGAAAAGTATTCTGGGCAAAGGAACAGAAAGTGAGAAGACCGAGCTGGGAGACAGCGAGGATCTTTTAGGAAAGATAAGAAGATCTATAGTAATGGTACAGAATCAATGAAGGCCACAGCACTCATAGTCATCTATATCATGATATAGATTTTGTTTTTTAACACTAAAAGCATTATAAAACCATTATGACTCTTAATTTAGCTTGTGAGCTGGTAGGGAAAAAAGAAAGTAAAAACTGATGTTACTTTACTTTGGAAAAGGAAGAGCAGAGGTATGATGAATTTCTTAGAAGCAGCAATATTAGAGAATGGGAGAATAATTGAGGGTTTTTTTTGCAATAGTCAAGGTAGAAGAACACTTTTGTTAGAGAAAGAGAGTGAGCTTGGGGAAAAGTGGTGAAATGGAGATATATGTAAAAGATAAAACCCATATTTGTTAATTTATTGGCTACAATGGACGAAGGAAAGTTGTAAAGAATGACCCTCTAGTTTTTGTTTTGTACAAATCAATCCATGTTCGTGCCATTTACCAAGACAGGGGACACTTGAAGCGGCACAAGTTTTTTTTTTTTTTTACCAAGGTTGGGATTTTTATCTAGAGGATCTACATAAGGATCTACTCCCAGTATCAAATGGATTGTTGGCAGATGACTAGGACTCCATCTTCTTACCATCTGGTGGTGGTGGGTGCTCCAAGCTCCTAGAGATCACCCACATTTCTTGTCATCAGGCCTCCATTTTCAAAGCCAAGAAAAGAGAATTTTTCACATTAAATTCCTCTCATATTTTGAATCTTTCTCATCAGAAAGAGGATCAGCAACAGTAGGACAAATCTGTATCCTGTGCTTCCTGATACAGTGCACTGAACAGGACACAATGTAACTTCTACTACACAGTGAATACCATGAATCTAATCCTGAGCAATCTTCAGGCAGACACTGACTGAGAATGTTTCCAGAATAAAACTAGACCAACACTCAAACATGTTGATCATATTAGTAAGGAAGAGGTTCATGTTAAAGGAGAATAAGGAAACAAGACAACGAATGCAAAGTGATCCCTAACAAATAACCTGAGATGTTTCACATACTCTGAAGCCATCTTAACAAATACTCAACAGCAAACATAGGATTTAGTACAAATATGTGCTCCATTAAGTTCCAATGTGTGGCGGTTCTAAATTTTGTTCTACATAAAGTAGGGAGGATCTTGTTTAAAACAGATTTTCACAACCAACCACAGTCTTAGGATCAGTAGGTCTGGGGTGGAGTTCAAGAATCTGCATTTTTAATAAGCAGATCAAGTGATTTTGAAATACAGGTAGGAGTTTGTATTAGCAAGGGTTTGTCAGAGAAACTGCCTTTAGAGAGAAGGAGATTATACACACACACACACAAACACACACATAGAGACAGAGAGAGATACACACACACACACACACACACACACAGAATTTATTATAAGGAAATAGAAGGAATTGACTCATGCAATCATGCAATTAGGAAGCCTGACAATTCCCAAGATAATCAGTTGAGAAGCTGGAGACCCAAGAAAGCTGATGATGTAGCTCCAGTCCACATCCAAAGGCCTGAGAACCAATTGAGCTGATAATGTGGTTCCAATCTGAAAGACTGCAGGAGGCTTGAGACCCAGGAAGAGTCAAAATATCAGCTTAAGTTTGAAGTTAGGGAAAAACTCATAACCCAGTTTGAAGGTAGTCAGGCAAGAGAAGTCCCTTCTTATTTGCAAGAGGGTCAGCCTTTTGTGCTATTCAGAGCTTGATCGGAAGAGGCCCACCCACATTATGAAGGGCAATCTGCTTTACTTGTTCTACTCTTTCCAACATTCATCTCATCCAGAAAAACCCTTACAGACATACCCGGAATAATGTTTGACCCAATATCTGGACATCCCAAAGCTCAGTCAAGTTGACACATAAAATTAACTACCATAGTTCCTGAGGACTACACTTTGGGAAACACCACTGTAGCATATGAATCCAAGTGGCCCCTAAAAGAGGCCAAGATGACTTGCCTGCTTGCCTTTCCCCCCCGCCTTCCTTCCTACCTTCTTTTCTTTCTTATTTCCATCATTTATTCTTTTTCTTTGTTTTAAGTTATGAAGTATTTGATCCACAAAAGGTTAATGATTTTTATGTAAAAGGAAAGAACCAAAAACGTAATATAAATTTGTGTAGCCAGAACCCACTTTTATAACCAAAATATTGCCAATGCCTAGAACGATGCCAAATTTCCTTTATTTCTTACCCATTTGAAACCAAATGACTTCTCCTCCCAAAGTTAATCATTGTCCTCCCTTTTTTGATGTTTGCTTTTATCTTTTTGTTTTTTTAAGTTGTTATTTTGATAAAATTTAAAATTTTCTGAAAGTTGTAAGATTTCCAAATAATATTTTTATTATTTTCAACTTCTCCATCTCAATCTCTCTCTCTGTTTGTGTATATAGACATGTATTTTTCTTCCTGTAACATTTGAAATTAGGTTGCAGAATCATGCGTGACCTTTTATCCCGAAATACTTGCTTATTTCCTAAGTACATGGACATTGTCTTACAAAATCACGGAGCAATTATAAAAATTAGAAAATTTACCTTTAATCTAATATTATGTAATCTCATCTATATTCATATTTCATAAATCATTACAAAAATGTCCTTTTATCCTTTTATCCCCAAAATATTATTCATCCCTTTAATAGAGGATCTAATGTGGGATCAAATTGCATTTGCTTATGTTGTTTCCTTATTGTCCTTTAACATAAACCTCTTACTGTGCAATTGACATATTTGAAGTGTTGGTCTAGTTTTAATAAGAAACATTTTCAGTCAGGGCTTGCCTGATGATTGCTCAGGATTAGATTCATGTTATTCACTGTTGGCAGGAGTACAGTAGAAGTGATATTACGTCCTTCTCAGCACAGCATATCAGGAGGCACATGATATGGATTTGTCCTACTGTTGGTGATCCTCTTTCTGATAAGAAAGATTCAAAATATGAGAGGGATTTGTTATGAGAAATTCCCTTTTCTGGGCTTTGAAAGTGGAGGCCTGATGACAAGAAATGTGGGTGGTCTCTAGGAGCTTGCAGCACCCACCACCACCAGCTTGCAAGAAGACAGAGTCCTCAGTCTTCTGCCAACAACCCATGTGATATTGGAGGTGGATCCTTATGTAGATGCCAAATGACAAGGACTAAGCTCAAGGTCTCATGTGACCCCAATCAAGCCTAGACTTTTGATCTTCCCTATAAAACTGAAAAACAGATGTTATTTTACATTTTTAAGTCTGTGGTAATTTGTTACACAGGAATAAATAACTGATGAACTAAAATTTTTCCCTATTTGGCCAGTAAAAGTATCTTCAAGCAAACTACTGTGTCCTTCAGACATACTCCATCATTTCTAATGAACTTCCTTATTTTCTGGCACATGTGTGCAGGCAAGCTCACACACACACACACATGCACATCCCAACACACAATGTTTATGATTCATTCTGCACTTTATCAGCCCCAGTCACCACGGGTCACTGGTTCTTTGGAATGGAGAAAGATATTTAGAAGCTAAGATCTGTCTTTGTAGTTGTAACACACAGGCAGACACAAAAACATCCATACACATGAACACAGAACATTAAGCAATGCTTACTTTAGTTTTCCAATGTTTTATAAATGGTACTGTACTATACATAATTTTGTGTGACTCATCTTGTATTCTCAATAGGACACTTTTGCAGTTCATCTAAGTTGATGTAAATAGATGTAACTCAGTTTTTCATTGCTATGCATTGTAAAATTATGCCACAATTTCTTAACTTTCTATTGATGAATATTTGAGACATTTTCTTTTTTATTCTGTTACAAATATCAAGCCATTTATTTTCTGATCCTCATGAAGTATATGTGGATTTCAGCTTTACCCAGGTGATGCTCAATTGTATACCAAAGTGCTTTTGCTGCTGCTCCACAGCTTTGCCAATACTTGGTGCTGTCAAGCATTTTAATCTTTATAAATCATGTGAGTGTAAAATATCTCCTTCTGGTTTAATTTACATTTCTCTGGGTTCTAATGGGGTTGAGCATATTTTAATAAGTTAATTGTCCATTTGTATTTCTTTTGTGAAAGCCTTTTTAAGTCTCTTGCCTAATTTCCATTATCTTATTTGTCTCTTCTTACTGATTTATAAGTTGTTTGTATGATCTAAATGTGATTTATTTCCCAGTTATGTGTTGCAAATCTCTTTTTCTACTTGGTGCCTTCTGTTCATTTTTTAAAATTAATATTTCTACATGTCTGTGATGAGTTAAATTGTGTCTACCCCAACTTCATATGCTGAAAACGCAATGTGGCTATATTTGGAGATAAGGCCATTAAGGAGATAATGAAGGTTACATGAGGCCATAAGGATGGGATCCTAATCTGATAGGACTGGTGTCCCTATAAGAAGAGAAACATTAGCACTCTTTCTCCATAAGCAGGCACAGAAAAAAAAAAACATGTGGGGACACCACGGGAAGGAGCCATCTGCAAACTGAGGAGAGAGGCCTTAACAAAAACCAACCCTGCTAGCACCCTAATCGTGGACTTTTATCCTCCAGAACTGTGAGAAAATAAAGTCTGTTGTTGTAATCACCCAGTCTATGCTAGCTTGCTATGGTAGCCCTAGCTGACTAATGTCTCTGTTAATGAATGAACATTCTTTCAAATTTAATTTAGTCAAATTCATCGATAATTTATTTTAAGTTAGTGCTCTTTGTTTTTTATTTACTACAATTTCCTATATCTTATCTCATGGAGATATTGTTCTATATTTTCTTCTGAATAATTTAAACTTACTGAAAGTTGTCAGAAGATTCCCAAAGAATATTTTTATTATTTTCAACCTCTTTGTCCCAGTCTCTCTCTCTCTCTCACTATGTAGATGTTTAAGTATTTTTCCATTTAGAATTGACATTGGTATAACATGTGATAAAGAAAGTAGATAATATATGAAACATGTAATCATTCATAATGCATTATTTATAATGCATATTATATTCATCATTACATACAATTTACTGTAAATGTATGTATTTAATATGACTGATTTTCCACTCTACTTATTAAAGAATTTAGTATTTAATCCAACATTACACTGTCCTAGCTGGTTTAATTGTATACTATGTTTGGATATCTAAAAGGTATAATTTTCTCCACTTGTTCTTCAGGAAAGTCTTGCTATTTTTGTCATTTGCTTTTCCATACAATATTGAAATCAGCTTGTCAATTCCACTAAAATTGTATTGGAATTTTGATTGTCATTGCATTGATGCATAGATCAATACAAAAAGAATGGTCACATTTTATAGTGACTGTCAATAGACATTTTATATCTTTTATTTTGAACATCGTTTACAATTTTCTCTAGGAGTCTTGCACATCTTTTGCTATTTTATTATCAGACACCTTATATATTTAGATACTATTGTAAAGGGAAATAATTCCTTAATTATATTTTCTGAATTATGCTGTCATATGGAAATGCAATTGGTTTTGTATATTGATCTTATAGCCTACAGACACACTGATGAATTCTCTTATTATTACTAATAATTTGTCTGTAAGTGCTTTTTGGTTTTCCATGTAAACAACCATATCATCTGAAAATAATTTGTTTTGTTTATATGTTTTCAATTCTTATGCCTTTACATCTATCTTTTCTTATCTTACTTTACTAAATTCGGATGTCTAGCACAATGTTGAGTGCAGTGATGATAATGCGCATCTTGATTTTAAAGAAAATACTTTAATTTTTTTTTTTTTTTTTTTTTTTTTTTTGAGAGAGGTAGTCTTTCTCTGTCGCCCAGGCTGGAGTGCAGTGGCGCGATCTCGGCTCACTGCAAGCTCTGCCGCCTGGGTTCATGCCATTCTCCTACCTCAGCCTCCCAAGTAGCTGGGACTACAGGCGCCTGCCACCACGCCTGGCTAAGTTTTTGTGTTTTTTTAGCAGAGACGGGGTTTCACCATGTTAGCCAGGATGGTCTCCATCTCCTGACCTTGTGATTGGCCCGCCTCGGCCTCCCAAATTGCTGGGATTACAGGCGTGAGCCACCGCGCCTGGCCAAAAAAAACCTTTAAAATATGTATCAATGATGTAGAATATTTTCTAGTTTGGCCCTTGTTGTCCCTTTTTATGTCATTAAGATGCTTCCATTCCGTTTCTTATGTAATAGAAATTTTTAAAATCATATATTGAAATTACATTTTGTCTACAGAGATGTTCTTTATGGCTCTTCTCTTTTTAATCTGTTTATGTAATGAACTACCTTAGTAGACTGTTTACTATGAAAACAAGCATGCATTTTTGTGATAAACCCAACATGATATACTGCTAAATTTGATTTACTAACATTTAAATTAAGATTTTTTGGCCTCTAGTTTAACAATGTATTTGTCTGCAATTTCCCTTCTTTTTAATAATATAGATATACTGGGAGGATTGGAATCATCTGCTTCTTAAGGGTTAGTTATAGCTAATGGTAGCAATACTAAACCCTCAGCACTCACAGCCCCAGACACACAGATGATTTTTTAATGCAAACACTAGTGACTCTGCCTGAGGGCTTTCTCTGGCTTCTGGAGGCCAGTAGGCCCATTTCCAAGATTGGGCAGCAATGCTGGGGAGTAAATGCCCCTGGGAGCAGCACTCAACCCATAACAGATGAGTGTCAATGTATAAATACCCCATATTTCTTTCTCCTAGGTGCAAAACTTTGAAGGCTTTGACTACATAATCACTCAGAGGTTCTTCCTGGGACCCAGATCAATTGCCCACAAGCAAACTGCTCACAAACATATTCTTTATAGGATTCCTTCTCTTTCCTGCTTCCCTTCCCTACCTTTATCAGTAATTCTTGGGATCACTTTCCAAAGGAACAGTTTCACTCAAATCCTTGGGTTCAAGGTTGACTTCTGGGGAAATTCTGACTAAGACAAAAATACTCCCTTGTAAAACTATCTGGATTTGTCTTTGGCAGGTTTCTTAACCACTGCAATATTTCAGTGATTTTAATGTTTATTTATTATATTTATAATATGAGAATATTTGGTAATTTATATTATATATATTTCAGTTACATGTAAGTTTTCTAACAAATTGGAATAAAGTTGCTCATAATGTTCACCTACTAAATTTTTAAGCCCTGCCATAATTCTTATGACTCTTCTTTCAAAACTAACACTTACTCATTTGTGGTTTTACCTTGTTTTCTTGATCACCATCAGCAGAGATTTGTCAATTTTATTAGTCATCTTAATGCCTTCATTGTTGGCTTTATGAATTCTCTTGGTTGTGTCTTTACATTTTATATGGTATTAATTTCTTCTCTCTTTAAAAAAAATATTTCTGACTGGAGATAGTGGCTCACACCTGTAATCCCAGCATTTTGGGAGGCCAAGATGAGAGGATTTCTTGAGGCCAGGAGTTTGAGAGCAGGCTGGGCAACACAACAAGGCCCCATCTCTACAAAAATAAAATTAAAAAATTAGGCAGAGGAATGCTCAGGTTTATGCGTGTAGTCCCAGCTACTCAGGAGGCTGAAGCAGAAGAATTCCTTAAGCCCAGGAGTTTGAGGCAGCAGTGAGCTGGGATCACACCACTGCACTACAGCCTGAACAACAGAGCAAGACTGTCTCTTAAGAAAAAAAAAATTAATTTTTAAAAAGTTCTTTCTTTGGGTTTATTCTGTATTTAGTTTTCTAATTTTTAGATTATTGATGTTAGTCTTTTTTACTTTTGTAATCATTTAAGACTACTTTTTTATAATTACCAGTTTATTTGTTACAAATGTTTTTTATATGTATTTTTTTCCATTCTTTTTAAGTATTTTAAATATCCACTATGTTTTTTACTTGGAATTGTGCATTATATAGAAATATAATTTAGTACTTCTATGTAGTATTTTATCATTTTCTTGTTTTGGCCTTAGTTTTATTTCATAATTGTTTTTAAATTAATTATATTATCATCAGAGAACATGCCAGATTTCTTAACATAGGTTGAGATATGTTTTAAAACCTAGTTTAGGATCAGTTTTAATAAAGGTCCCAAATGTACCAGAAAGAAACTTGTGTTCTCCACTTGTTGGGTTGAATGTTGTTTGCGTATCTATTTAGTCAACTTTTAAGCGGTGTTGTTCATATATCTGTATTCTGACTGCTCATTCTTTCTTCTTGATCTATGATTGTTAATATGTTAACTCCTAAATTTTGATGGTAGATTTATTCATCTCTTTTAACAGTTCTGTAAATTTTTATTTCATATGTTTTATATCTATAAAGTTACGGGCATACAAATTTAGAATTGTTATATCACTCTAACAAATTGAAATCCTGATATAGTGGCACACTTTATCTCTGCAACATTATATTTTACATTGTGTTTATATAGCCAAATCAGCTGACTTTTGGTTGATATTTTACTGATATATCTTTTTCAATCTGTTTCCTCTTTTCTGGGTATTTATATCTTAATTAGTTATCTTGTAAAGAATATATAGTTAGCTATATTTTTTATATAATTAGGCAATCTTTGATTTGACCTAAGTTATGTCCATTTTTATATATTGTAATAAATGATATATTTAGATTTATTTTAATTTGTAATACTTTCAACTTTCTATGTTTCTTTTTTCTGCTTTTATGACATTTTATTTACATTTTTCCTATGTTGGCTTTTATACTCTATTCCATTTATCCTAGAAAAATTAATGCATATTGAAAATAATAAAGACAGGTTTAATGTTTTAAAATAAAATTTCTGGTCACTGTCACTGTGAAGTAGCAGAGCAGCTGCTGATGGCTTTAGTGGTAGCTTATACCTATAAATCTGTCCCTATTGTATTTTTTTAAAGATATTTACTGTAAAGTCTAATATTCAGGAATACTCCTACGACTCAATAATTAAAGGCCAAGCAACTCCATTGGAATTGGGCAAATAAAATACTTTACAATAGGATATATAAGAATATCTATTAGGCAAACTAAATAAAAACCAAGCATAGATCTTTCTATAGCCTAGTAATTTATCTCCACATATTAATTCAAGATAAATGACAATATATAACCACAAAAATTATTGTATAGAATTTTTAGCCAAGTGTTGTGGCTCATGCCTGTAATCCCAGCACTTCAGGAGACCAAGGCAAGAGGATTGCTTGAGCCCAGGAGTTCGAGGCCAGCCTAGCCAATGTGGCAGGACCTCATCTCTACAAAATTAAAAATTTAGCTGAGTGTGGTGGTGCATGCCTGTGGTCCCATGAGACTGAGGTGGAAGGATAGCTTGAGATCAGGAGGTGAAGGCTATTGTGAGCCATGTTCATGCCACTACAGTCCAGCCTGGGCAACAGAGTGAGACCCTGTCTCAAAAAAAAAAAATCCTAGAAACTTTTCTCATAATAAAAATCTGAAAACACCCTAAGTGTTTATCAGATGATGGATAAACAAAAGTTGAGGTATTTATTTAATGGAATATTACTTAGCAATAAAAAGGACCATGTTACTACTACATGGAAACACATTAATAAATCTCAAAAACACACTGATTGACAAAGCTGACAGAAATGAATACATATTTTATGTCTCCATTGATATGAAATTCTATAGCTGGTAAAACTAATCTATTATGGAAAAATCAGGTTAGTGATTATCTCTGGAGGATAAAGACAGGCTTTCACTGGGAAGAGAGATAAAGGAACTTTCTGAGATGATCATGAATATTTTATATTTTGATAGAATTATATGTTATATGGAGGTATGTGTTTATTATCAAAACTCAGTGAAATTTTTTTTAAGGTTTGTGCATTGCTTTGAATATGGATTTTGTATTGAATAAAAAATGGCAGAGTTGAACTCTGGTTGTATGCTGTATTATCTGAACAAAATGGGTTGATGACTGGAGTTTGGTTTGAGTCTCATCAAGGAAATGGGATGAAGGGATAACTGGATGGATGAATGGATGCATGATAAACTGTAGTGAAATGTTTCTGATGTAATCTGCGTGGTGGACATAAAGATGCGAAATTATTTCATCTTTGTTTTATGTTTTGAGACTGTCACAGTAAAATGTTTGAGATAGAATGAGAGGAGGAAAATTGAAGTTTGGCTCCTAATTGGTCTTTTTACTTCTTTCCTTGCCTCCCTCTAACATAATTTCAATGTAATGAATTAAAAAACAAACAACAATTCATATGAAGTTCTTTCTCTGCTGAAAAGCCTCTATTGGTTTCCCATCTCTTTGAGAATCAAAGATAAACCTTTAAGACCCTACTGATTTGACTTCTTCTGTTTTACTTCTTTGACCTCAGCTCAGACCACCATATGGATTGTTCACTCCACTCCCTCCACACTAATCTCCCTGCTGTTTCTCAAGCACATCCCACATGTTGCTGTTCCAAGGCTTCACCCGTGTTCTCTCTACCCAGACCACGCTTTCTCCAGATACCAGTGATCTCAGATCTCTCACTCTTTAGACTTTTCTCAGTCTTTCCACTCTGAGGGTCTTCCTTGGCCACATGCCTGCCACATCACCCATGTACACGATCTCCCTCTTTCCCACTTTCGGTTTCTTTCTAGCATTTGTCTATAGTAATGTGCTATACTTTTCCTTTTTCATTTTGTGTGTTTCTTGACTTCTGTAGAATGCAAACCCCATCATGGCAGGGATGTGTGTGTGCTTTGCCTACTGCCCTTTCCCCAGCACACACAGCAGGACCTGGCCCATAATGAGCATTCTGTTAGGATTCGTTGAGTGAATAAATGATCTATCCATTAATGTGTTAACCTAACACTGTTAATGAACTGTTTCTTACATCTAACAGGATATAGAAGGCAATCAAATTACAACAAATGTGGTGCCGTGTTAACTGGGAGTAAGACTACTTGATGACTGTGTGGTCGATTTGTCACTTAGTACCTTGGGTTATCACTGTCTTTCCCTTACAAAGTGATGGTATTGCATTAAGCTGGGGTCTTCAAAAATGCATAAATATATGGTGCACCCTTGGATACCTGGAGGAATGAGAGATGTGGGTGGGCAGGTTTCTAGAACTTCTTCCCAGGCTTCTTCCTTTCTTTTTTGTTTTTGGTTTTACATATTGAACTTTCATAACAGATTTTCTATTTCATTTGGCTTGGCAAAATTTTTTAAACTCATGAATAGAAACATCCATGCAGATCACTAACAACAAATTCGATCATTCTGTCTAAATCTGAGAATAGAATTTGTATCATCACTAGAGTACTTCTGAGGTCAGAAAGATCTAGGGATCAAGTCTTGGATCTACCTCCTTTGTAATTATGTGATTAGACCTCTTTGAGCTTCAGTTTCTTCACATGAAAAAGAGGGATTAAAATAATCTATGCAATAAGTTGTTCTTGTTTGTTGTCTTAAGATAGAATCACATGCGATCATCCAAGTAAAGCACTTATAACCTGGTACATACTAATGTTCCAAGGCTTCACCCATGTTCTCTCTACCCAGGCTACACTTTCTCCAGACATCAATGCCTGGTACTTACTAAATGTTTAGTAACTGACTGCTTTTATTTTTATTAATTTATTTTGGGGTTCCTAGTAAAACAGACCTATGAAGCCTAAATATTGCTCTTCAAATAGTCCACTATATTATCTATTTTATAAACAGACAAAGATAATTTATGTTTGGGATTTTCCAAAATATAAGCAGAAATGAGTTTTAGAACAAGATAAAATCAGTTGCAAACTTCCTTCTTGCTTGGTTCCTACAGCTCCATCCTGCCCCTCCAGCCACTACCAAGCATATCTCATCACCAGGCCCACATATGTGACAGTGATAAAAAGGTCTGTGCTTGGAACAATATAGTGGGTAATAAATCAAGCCTGGGAGTGGGGGAGTACTAAGCAGGGTGGGAGGAGGGGTGATGGCATTGTGAATAATCAATGCAACAGACTCTGTAAGAACATGGCAAAACATCTTACTTAACATGTTTAATAAAGCCAGAGAGGAGAAAGCACTGATAATATGGAAACAGGCTGCTGGATTGCTGGAGAGACCTTTGCCCACACAGCCAGGGCAAGCCATGGGAATGAATGAGAGCTGCT
The DNA here is from genome assembly GCF_000001405.40 of Homo sapiens. Classification (NCBI taxonomy): domain Eukaryota; kingdom Metazoa; phylum Chordata; class Mammalia; order Primates; family Hominidae; genus Homo; species Homo sapiens. Next base: position 38,313,754 of record NC_000018.10, on the reverse strand, counting down.
GCCACTGTGCTGGCCCCAGCTCTGACCACCCACCCCCACACTGTGCTCAATATCTGGGATGGTATATGTTCTTCCTCCTGACTGTCCATCTCAGCAGTTTCAGGAAGAAAGATAAAGAACTATTTCAAGCATTTCTAACCGTGGTTAAATTCAAGAACACATAGCAAAACTGCTACAGAGCAATGGGACCACTCCCCCAGCTTGGAGAAACAAGATAACAGGAGTATCCAAAGGATGTTAGATACTTAAAATGAGATATGGCTGGCACTTGTTCCTGAATGATTGTGCAAGAAAAGATTCCTGGGATACTCTAGGGCAGCCCTCTTGGTTTTCAAGGGAGAATATGCAAGCTCAGGGAGAACTAAGTCACAAGGTCATATAGATATTCAGTATCAGGGTAGGGGTTAGGGTCTAGGTATCAAGTTTAAAACATTAAATTGTCTAAAATGCCTTGCACACAGGAGATACTCCATAAATGGTGGGTCACTTATATTTTCCTTTAGTGCTGCTCTCTTTTGCTTCTCTTCACTGCATCTGGGGCTTAAAGAGAGAAAGAAAAATGAATACTGTACTAGGAATGTAAAGACATTGATTAGAAAGCTGATTCTTTTACAGACTGATATAATTTAGGCCAAATCACTGAATTCAGGTCTCAGTTTCCTCACTTCCAAATTGAGAGGCTAGTTTTACATGATTGAAAGGTCTTTTATCAGTCTAACATTCTTAATTTGAAGCATTCTCATTTTTGAATTGAATATGACCTGTGTGCATAATGAAAGAAGGAAAAAACAAAGAAAAAAAAAGAGCTACAATATTATAATAGCATCTTATCCCCTGGCAGCTTAGAATAGTGTGTTATTGTTAAATTTGGTGGTACCATCTTAGCAAGGCAAACAGAAATGTAATGTTTGCTAATTGAACTATAAAAATAATAATTACCTTTGATGTAGAGGAATGCAAAGTCGCTCAGCAGTGAGATCTGATTGTATAAACAGAAGCAGTTATCATCAGAGCCCAAACCAGATTAGAAGAGAGCCATTCCAATTACATCCGGATGGTGCTGAATGTATACCAGGCATGGAGTGCCTTTTATACATGCAGGAATATTCCCCTCAGTGCTGCAATGGGCTAAGGGGAACATGAAGACCGACTGCTTTAAGTGATCTGTATCTGGGAATAAGGCTGGAATCTCTTTTATCAAAATCCTAGCCTGCAGAGGAGGGTCAGAGTGGTGGTAATAGGGTGAGACACTGTCCAGGAGATGCCCTAACCCCATTCACAAGGGTCAACTACGCTGCTTGATTCAGTGGACTGTAAGGATGTTTTTATGACTCTAAAATTTGCACCAACTACTGTAGCTGGGGTTATGAAATCCACCTTCAGAAATTCAGGGTGTTGAGGGTGGGGCACATGCAGTTCCCATAGCCTGGCTCAGCAGGCTCTGGACAGAGGCAGCTAATGCCAGCGGCACACGTCTCCACATATAGCCATCCCACGCCTACAAAGGCAGAGAATAGGCACTTCCTCAGCGCATATGGGGCCAAGAAAGCATGTGGGACATAGAGGATTAGATCTCTTCCCCAGTTGGTATGTTCTGAATGTCTGAGTCCCCCCCAGAATCATATGTTGACATCTAACCTCCATTGTGATGATACTAAGAGCTGGGGCTTTGGGAGGCGGGGACCTGCTCACATGATTGGGATTAATATGCTTATAAAAGTGGTCCCAGATAGCTGCGTTGCCCCTTCCACCATGTAGGGACACGGTGAGAAGGCACTGTCTATGAACCAGAAAACAGGCCCTCACTAGACACCAAATCTGCCAGCACCTTGATCTTGGACTCCCTAGTCTTCAGAACTGTGAAGGAAGAAAGGACTCCTGGGATATTCTAGGGATACTCTGTGTCATATAAACTGTTGTTTGTATATTTTTTTATAGCAGCCTGAATGAACTAAGACACCAACCCTGAGCAAAGTCAAGAAATTCAAAGTAAAGTTGAGAAATTCAAAGTAAGAGAGTGAGGCAGTGGTGGATTAAGCTGTGGAACAACAGGTCAACTGCAGCTCAGAGAAACAAGTCCTGAAATCTATCTGTATCATTTCCTCCAGCTCACCTTTTGCATGTTTATTTTCCCTGTTTCCCACCTACACGGTGAGCTCCTCCTGGTCATCATTTAAGTTATTTTTATTTATTTGCTTGTGCATTTATTTGCTTTTCTCTTGACTCCCTCTCAAGTTTAAGAGTGATCAGGACAAAAATTGGTGCTCAGGAAATGAGTGTTGATTGAAGGATTAGATTGAAATATTTGATTGCCTGACTGATTTAAAACATCGTGTCCAAATCTAATTTACCATAATTCTCATAGAAACTTTAGGGAGAAACCATTTTATCATGTAGTCTAAGATATGTGAGAATTTTGTTAGGGCTCCTTGTCAGAATATTTTCAATGAGTATTTTATTATACAACAAACTTTCTTTGGAGACCCCCTTCCTCCTGCTTACAGCTCTCAGTTGGCTTCTAATTTTAGCTCAAAGCTGTGCCTCTACCAGCGTCTGTAAGATTTTACTCCCCATTTCTCTCTAGCCCCCTCCCCAACCAAATCATACCCATATTTTTTTCCCAGAATGTAAAATATAGAAACAAGCATCTGTTTGGACAAAATCAGTTTTCACTTGTGAAAAGTGGATGCTTTCGAAAATCACAGGCAACAAGAAAAATGTCAGAGAATGGAACCAACTGTTGGAGGGATAATAAAACCCTCACTCCCAGTTGGATGAGCTGAGAAAGAGGTTTGCAAAAGAATAAACAGGCAAGACATGTTTTGACTTCAAACGGTCATTGAGTTCCAACATCCCTAGCTTGGTTTAAACCCTAGACCCCTTGATGCTTGATTTCTCGATGTAAAGACTAAGAGACCCCTGTCTATACTTTTTGCTATGAGCAGATATGCAGAACCAACCATGTTAAAAGGAATGTCTGTTTTCTTGTTTCCACAAAGTGGTATTCCAAAGGACATTTCCTCTTTGATAGAAAACATTGTCTAGACCCTCACTACTAATGCTTTGAGAAGTTCCAATTCACTTAAATGCAATTATGTTTGTAATTCATAGAAAGAATGTTGTATGAATACTTGGTTCTTTAGCTTCTGGGCCTTTCCATCATGAGTTTAAACTGTGTCAATCTTTTGGACAATTAATTGTTCTTGGAGGAGCTAGAATGCATCTTTGCCATACATTTGAATTATCTGATCTGCTATTAGAAAGGATTTGCAGTAAGATGCCTGGCACATAGTAACTGAGCTCAACAAACATTTATTAGTAACCATTTCTTATGTACCAGGCACTACGCAAGATGCAAAATATGCTGACCTTACTGAACAGCTGAAGTCTAGAAGGAGAAGCAGGAGATTTCACATACTACAAATGCTTAAAAATAATGATGTACATGTAACAGTTAAAAAGCCTGTGCAGGTTCCCAAGGTTTTCTACAGTCTTTGTGTACACCTTCACGCTTCCCATGGCTTCTAGCCCAGCACCTCCATATAGTATGATCTCAATAAATGTTGAACAAATAATCACATTTTTAAAAGTCTAGGCACCTTTTTGCCAAGGCTGATAAATATTCTACAAACTTTGAAGTCACAAAACTAAACTCTGTATCTTAAGAGAATGGTTTTGAAATGTCTCAGAATATTTTCAGCTTTCTTTTAAAAAGTAATTTTAGAGATAAAATATGTTGTATTCTATCATGCATTCCATTTCCTCCTCCTTTCCTAAAGCAAAAATTGAATGATAGAAGCTAGACAGTAATTTTAAGAGTTCATAGATTTTAGAGTTATATTTCACTACATCTACCAGTGTTAAAACAATACGTACTCCTTACTGCTTTTCTTTATTCTGTCAACGTAATTCTCCCAACCAGAAGTTTAGCCTGTGCTTTGAAAGAATAGAGAGATGAATTATGCTCTTTGACCCCAAGAAGTTTACATTTTAAAACTGTTCATAAAGTACAGATTTATGTGATTTACACAGGCATAAGACAACATTATAGAAACATACCTAATCAATCCTGTAAGTGGAAGATTATGGGATTTATGTATAATTGCTGCATAAATTGGGGAAGCTCCTCTGGAAGATGTGGAGTTTAGATTGAGCTTTGAAACTTGCATAACAACTGATGTGGGAAAGAGTCAAAGACAAAAACCAAAAACAAGAATGCAAATAGCATGGTAATATAAGGTCAGAAGGGCAGAGTGAAATTTAAATATTCTTTGAAGAGTGCCTCTTAATTGTACAAGATAAAGACAAAACTTCCTAGCCAGGGGACTGAATACCTTCAGAATCTGGGTTCATCCTTTCTTTCCTGTTCTATTTCTGCACATTCTTCAATGACTAATCAGTGCCCCTCAAGCCAGTACTGGACTTTCCAATCTCTATGCATTTTTCTTACTTTTTCCCTTCTCTTAGAATGACAGACTAAACTCTACTCTCTATTTAATTCTTATAAAACTGAAAATAATTTATCTGTGATAGCACTTGCATGAAGGATTCTCAGCCTCTGAGCTCAGTTATCATTTATTGCCTGTATATTGATTTTCTTTTTTATGTATATTATACTGAAAATTTAATTATGTTTTCAAACACCATCCTAAATTGAAATTATAAACATATTCTGAAGAAAGTAAACTTCTTTTAATACCCCCAATATTTAGATATATTCCTATATCATCTAAGTACTCAATAATCACGATAACCAATGAATTAGCAAGCAAAGGGGCACATTGTGGCAGATATTCTTTCCAGATTATCTAAATCTTACTATATCATTTCTCTTCTGACATAGTTTCAAGTCCCACCGTGGTCTCTAGTCCTGGCTACACCATTACCCCACCATGGTGCTTCCGAAATCTAAGTTCTTGGGTCTTCAGAGCCTTTATCTGTAAATACTGTAGTTAATAAAGAGTTACCTCCCTGTTTATTTCAATAAAGAAGTCTTGAGAGAAAAAAAAACAGATTTGTAGTAAATGCTGACCTATTGCTTCAGAGTTTTTTGTTTGTTTGTTTTTGGGTTTTTTTTTTTTTAATTTCTAAAGCCAGGAGTGTGGGCAAAAGAGTACAGATTATTTTGATGCAAATACAAACAGATAATGGAGCTGAGAAAATGGACCAGAGTAAGGGAGGGGACAATGACAAGAAGAGGACAATTTTATCACATGAAATGTTAAGTGGCTGCAATATTGTCCCCTTTGACATCTGGATCTGGATGCAACTGAGTGATGCTGAAGGCTACTTAACATAATTCATACTCCAGAGCAGATGAGATCTTACAGAGCAAACATAATTTTTCAGTTTCTTTTGGACTAAATTTGGACATGACCCATCACCTAGAATTCTAGTGCCACCTTATTATTGTAAGGCTCTTGTGATATTCTTCAAGACCCAGAATGAGAATTACCGCAACTGTGGAAGTGGATGAATGGTTGGGCCCAGCAGATAAGTGAGTTCAACTGAGGAAATGAAGTTTACAGCCCACGACTTAGAGTCAGAACTTTTTTCTCTGCCTGTGGCTGACTGTGGACACCAGTGTCCCATGCCAAGACAGCATTTAAATACCAAGGGATGAGATACATCACTGCACAGGCGTGATGCCTGGCACCCACACTATCTCCAGATGGCTTGATGTGCAGAAATAGCCTTTGGGATCAAACTCAATGTGGCGAAGTCCAAACTCGTGATCTGTCCCTCAGGGCTTCTCTGTAGTTTAACTCCCCTCTGCTGCTTAGAGGCACAGCTCATAGTGTTTTAGGGTGCTGTTGAATATCAGAAAGTGTCCTTCTCACCACCAACAAAGACATTTATTAAGCTCCTACTGTCTACAGGGCACTGCACTAAGCACTTAGAATATAGAAATGGATTGTGTGATCACTGCTTTCAAGTGCTTCCAGCCTAGTTGGCGGTAAAGGATATGCACAAAAAGATATGAACATCTATATGGATCTGCATAGTAACGCCGCGTAATTTATGTACAGAGAAAGCAATGTAGAATTTCAAAGTGAAGATCCACATCTTGAATTCTTTAGTGAAACGTCCAAAAGACAAGCATCATAGATATTAACACCAGAAATTATTTTCTAGAGCTGGGCTTTCCAAGAAAACTTTCTATGATAATGAAAATGTTCTGTAGTGTCCAATGTGATAACCATTAGTCACAGGTGGCTATGTGTACCGGAAATGTGGCCAGTGAGACTGGGAAAGTGAGCTTTTAATCTTATTTGATATTAGTTAATTACATTGAGTTTCAATAGCCACATGAGGCTAGTGGTTTTCATTTTGGACGGTATATTTCTTGAGTACCTAACACTCATTTAGCATAAAAAAACACAGGTAGAGAAATGTGAAGTTCACTAAGTTAAAACGGTAAATTATTTAGAGCCTGTTCTAATTCCCAGTCCAGGAAGATCTTGACCTCACACTTACCCAATCAGGAAGAAAAACACCATTCTCATTACACTGGAAAGGTGCAGTCACTCTCAGTCAACTTTATGCCATCTTCATAAAAAGATGAGGTCAAATTTAAGGGTTCCTAGACTGCAAGCTTCATAAGAGCAGGGGCTTCATCTGTTTTGTTTACCATTATATGCATTATATTCAATATGCCATTGAATGGTATATGGTGCATATAATGGCATCTTGAATGTTATATTGTGTATATAATAGTAAACAAGCCCTTTACATAGTAAGGGAAAATAAATAAATGAACTAGTAAATAGGTGAGTAGATAAAATGCTTTGTGTATTGTTATAAACATCTCTACTGGGTAAGTTCAGCTGACATTTGTGATGAAAATTACGTACCTAGATAAAGAGTGTTGCTTCCTCCAGCATAGGCATGAGTCCAGCTGATTCTAGTGTAGGGCCTGGCACATTTCAAGTGCTCAATTCATATTTACTGAATAGACTTGATCCATGCATTTCTCCTTGATTCTCCCAGTTAACTATTTGCAACAAGGATTTTTTTCCACTTATTTTTTTTTCTTATCCCACAAAATGCCTATCACCACCACAGACAAGTTTCTCGAAATTTTGTTTATTGAACTACATGAGAAAGCATTAAGGTATTTTTGAGATGCCCCTACTCTTTCAGAGGGAACAAGTCAGAAAGAACTAGAAATGGTTTACTTTCTTTTCATGTCTTCTGTGTGGGGATTCAGCAGAAGTAGCTTTACAATATAAGGAATAAAAATATCTACCTTGCACAGTTGACGATTTGGGGAGTAAGAAGTATGGAGTCCCTATTTCTATTTTTGTAAACTGAAAAATGCTATTTCTGCCTCACCTATCCTCCTGTCTTTCTATCACTTCTCTGTTCATTTAACAACCTCTCACATGCATATTTTATGTAGATAAGTCAAAATATATTCCTGTGAAAACCAAGAAGAAGAAAGGAAAAGCTTTCTGCATCCCAGGGCTTGCAGGATGAGCACACATTGATACACTTGATCTTTCCCAGTGGAATGGGCACGGGAATTAACCCACACACTGGCACATGAGCTTCTTGTTTCTGCCAACCATGTCAGCTGAGATGGGGTTGCTAATTTATTTATGGGGACATATGTCAATGTCACTCTGAGAAAATGGTTCCAGGACACAAAAAAAGCCTGACTGCTGTCAGGGCTGACCTTATGCGTAGGTGGAATAGCCACCTGCTCGCTCATTTTTTGGGAGGTTAGGGGATCCAGGGAGCCCTGCCTCATCTCAGTCTTTGCTCGAACAGTCTTCTCTAAGTGAACTTCCCATAAATTCCATCTAAATAGAGTCAGTGGCCCTAGGAAAGAAGTGTACACTGCTCTGCTCTCATAGCCATTACCCATGAAGTGTAATCAGAAAGCAGATTTTGACAAGGGTTGGAAGCAGGTATGTGAGTAGAGGATAGTGCTTAACACAAATTCATGGTTGGAAGGGACGAGTATAAAAGAATGAGGCTGGAGGTCATAAAACTTCACCATTCTTAGAGATTTCTGTAGCTACCACAATGAAGTGCTTGCAATGTGAAAGGTGCATCTATCTATTCCTATCTTAAGCCCAAGTCTCAGATGTATCAGTCAACATAAAAGTCCCTTTGCAGCACTGGCCACAGTGAAAAAAAAAAAATTCAACATCTCTGTTTTACACTCCGTAAGTAGCACAGTTTTCCTGCAGGTATAAGAGATCCTTCTAACTTTGTTTAACACCTAGGCTCCAGAGCTGCTCACACACAGCAGGCAACAAAAGCAGTGCCTACCCTAGGATTTTTGCTTGCCTTCATGTCTTCTGTTCAATAGAACCATTGTCCCTGCCTCTGTGATCACTAAGTCTCTGGACCCTGACTGTTTGGGCTTTTGATATCTACCTGCCTAGCTGACTTCCCTGGAAAGTGAGCTCTGACCTGCCGACTCCCTGTACCTTCCAGCCCACACCTGTGTGACCAAGCCCCCAGCTCTGTCTCCTGCTCTGCCTGAGACTGTTGCTGTCCACTCCCCAGCATGGCACCCAGGGTCCTGCCTTGAACAACAAAGGGACATCAAAGCTTTGCTACAAGGCTGAGACAACTCGTAGGTTTGCTGTCTTTGTTGACAGGCTGGTGGCAGTGGTCCTGGCAGGCAAGGAGGTAGAAGTAAGCTGATATTAGAAATAATGGCAGAGAGGCAGAATTCAGTCTCTGCTGTTGTCAGCTGCATGACCTTGGGTGATAGGCTTAAACTCTCTGAGCTTCAGTTTCCCCATCTATAATTGGGCGATACTAATATCAACCTTGATGGCTCTTGGGAGAATTAAATGTTTGAAAGTGCCCAGGACAAGTCTTGGCACATAGTAGGTAATCAATACGCAGGGGATTCTTTTCTTTCTTCCTTAAAATAACTGAGCATGAGCCCAAGGTGAAGGTTGAGATTTGTTGGTGTCTATTTACCCCCTTGTGTTAGGAGGTCCATTTTTTATACCTCAATTCTATAGGCATTGCCCTTCTATGTCAGAGTGTCAGTCATGTCTCTGCCTTTAATTTGTGAGATTTAACCCCAATACTTGTTTTTCTTACTTGAAAAACAAAAAGAACACCACTTTTCTCTCGTAGAGATTTCCATTGGCTTCCAAAGATAATGATTTAATGGCTGCTACATACATGGTACCCAGATGGACTTCAAATCATCTGGTTTTAACCACAATCTTGTAGCAGAGGACCCTCATGTTATACAAGGGGAGTCTGAGAAAAGCCTGTAGTGAGTCACCAGCACTAGCTCAACTCACTAGAAAATAGCAGAGATGGGATTCAAGTCCAGGCCTCCTGAATTAAGTCCAACTTTTATCATATGACATAAGAATTAATAAAAAAAGCTTATAATGAAACAAAGCTATCTGGAAATAATATATTGACAATATAGTAATTTTGTCTATACATGAAAAGTTCTATCTCAAATATTATAATGTCTTGTTTCTTTCCCAAATCAGGAGAGACACACATTCTGCTTCACTGAAGAAAATTATCTACCTGACTAGTTGATTTTTGTGCCCTTAGATTTTTCTTCTTCATCTCCCTCACCTCCACCACGACTATCACCACAATCACATGCTAGTTGTTTTCTGAGAAACATGGATTAAATAAGAATCAGGTCACAAGTCAGCTCTAACAATCATATTTAATAACACCTAGAAGACAAGGGATGCATACATAAAACAAACTATCCAGCATACATAAATGAACATTCACAGAGCTTTTATCACTTGTCACTGTGTTCTGTGATTTTACATTTGTCAGTTCATACAATGAGTACCGCATTTTGCTGATGAGAAAACTGAAGCCTGGTCAGGTTATCTAATTTGACTAAATTCACAAATTTAGGTCTCTTAATCCACTGTGTATTCGATTCTTACCATCTAATTATTTTCAAAGTTGGTAGGAATCAGGGACAGTCCAATTCAAACTTCTTGTAAAACTAAAAGTTATACATTCCCTTTCCCAGGGGATTTTCTTTGGAAGGGAAAATATAGGAATTTCATGATGGCAAGATGGGGAAGAAGGTTTTTTTATCTACTGACTTCTTTACTTGTAGGGAACATAGCTGTGGTTTATCTCATTGTCTGAACACCTTCCCAAAGAGAGCAGCTTCTGAATAAAATTTTGAAACAAAACAAAACTATAACAGCAAGAAACACATTTGCAGGGACACTAACTCCATTGTGATGGCAATGAGGGAAGCACCTGAATGGCTGAAGCTGGTCTCCTTTGAATGTATTCTTGGGCATCAGGCTAAACAGTCTCCAATCCTGTTTGCATAGGGCCTTGTTTCCATTTTGTATGGCCTCCCTAGACCCAAAGAAAGCTGTGCATCTCATCCAAAGCTGCTCTTTGCAGACGCCTCTTTGAAAAGGTGCTGAGATCACTCATTAACTCTCCCAGAGGGTAAATGAATGCTCAAGCAAAGAGCCAATATATCCTGCCTGTTTTACTAAGCGCTATAGATACGCACAGCACTGGCCTAGGACCTTTTTAGGGTATAGGGAATATGTGGTGTTTGGCCTCAGACAGTTTTATGTCTAGACAGGGAGGCTGGAGAAACCATATGAAACACTTTATGACGCCAGACTCTCGTCTTGGAAGCTGAAGAATGAGATTCAAAATCTAAGCAAAGACAAAAGGACCATCAACAAAAAGATAGAAGTGAGTTATTGAAACAAGTGAAAGTTGACCCAAATTCTTAGATTCTTGTTTTTGTCATCTTATTGTAAAATATATTTGTAAGGAGAGACCTCGCAGTTAAACGACCAGTATCAATAACCTTCTTAATCATACTAGAAACTCCTGTAATCTCTGTGTTTTCCACATTCTATTTCCCTTTATTTCTACTGTATTCCTTCCTTTCTCCGTTTCACTCCTCTTTGGCTTATTACACTTCTTTCCCTCATATTTTTTCTTTTCTTTTTTTTTTTTTTTTTTTTTTTGAGACGGAGTTTCGCTCTGTCGCCCAGGCTGGAGTGCAGTGGCGCGATCTCGGCTCACTGCAAGCTCCGCCTCCCGGGTTCACGCCATTCTCCTGCCTCAGCCTCCCAAGTAGCTGGGACTACAGGCGCGCGCCACCATGCCCGGCTAATTTTTGTATTTTTAGTAGAGACGGGGTTTCACCGTGTTAGCCAGGATGGTCTTGATCTCCTGACCTCGTGATCCGCCCGTCTCGGCCTCCCAAAGTGCTGGGATTACAGGCGTGAGCCACCGCGCCCGGCCATATTTTTTCTTATCTCCGTGGCCTTTACTATCTTATATTCCTCTGTAACTTGACTTTCCCATGATCACTTTTTCTACCTCTCCTCACACATCTCTTCTCTGATGCTTCATTGTCAATTGCAAATTCATGAATGTTGACCAATAGAGACTCCTCAATTCAGTGGAAAAGTCCTGGAAAACCAATGTTTGGGTTGTCAAACATCAGAGAACTTTGAAGAGCCTCTGCTCAAATTGATACTCAGGATGCCTGAAGTTTAATTTGGAGCTGGCACCTCTAAATAGTATCATATCCATTTTTTGTGAATAGTCAGATTGGAATATGGAGGTCCAGTACTTGAAAAAGGATGAGCCCTGGTCCTGGATTATTAAATACAATGTCTTCCCCAGCTGGTTTCCCCATAGTCCACCAGCAAATATTAATACATCAGTCCCAGGGAGCACAGAAAAGTCATCTCCAGTCCTGCACCTAACTCAAGAATTACCTCTACTTGCCCATCAAATTTCCTGGGTCCCTTGTACCATGACACTTTCTAATCCTTACATCTTAATATTCTATTTCCATATTTTATAGACTCTAAAATGCATTTGTCCCACCACATTTTATACCTCTGAGATCACAAAATAATTTCAATTACTGTCAGTCAGATGACTATCACAGTAATGTTGGCATTGAATGAACACACCCATCATAACTTGCAGAATGAGTCATAGTAGTTTCAAAGATAATACCAGAAGCAATAATAGAATACCCTTTTAGGAATGCTGACTTACCAATTCTCTTCATGACACAGAAGATAATATTGTTTGCAAATTCATGAACATTGATGCCCAAGTAGAAAAGTAGTTGAGAAAAGTCAGTCAGAATGTACAGAGCACTGAGAACCTCCAAAACTAGTGTATGCTTCTTGTGCTTTCTTTTCTATGTACACAACAGAGTTGTCCACAAAAATTTATCTCTAAATAGGTCTAAAAGAACTCTTTCAGTTGATCAAAATGAAAATAAGAAAGCATTGTATCAGAGTGTAATTGGGAATTTTTTTGTTTTTTGTTCTTGGTAATCATTCTCCTTACAGCTTACAATAAATATTTTCCAAAACTACATGGTGTGTTGCCTTCTCCTGGAAACTCATTTAGAATTTCTCCTCCAGCTGCTGCCTTGAGGACACTCTCAACTCTTGATTCTACCTACAAATGTAATGGCAGGTCCCTCTGTAGTGTGGGGAAGAAGGCCACTTTTACTAGTTCCTTTCCTCACAAATATATATCATTACTCCGATCAGCCCTCTGCCTCAGAGTAGAATAATTTGGATGGATTATACACAAAACTGACTTTATAATTGCCTTCTCAAATAAGTGAGATTCTTAGTCATTGTTGCTGCAAGGAAGAAAAAAGTGTAGACAATACAATTTTGGAGCCAAGTCCTTGAATTTCTCATTTATAAAATGAGTTTTTAAAGTTGTTTTGATTTGTAGGCATGCTCAAAATATTATATAGGATAATATATTTGAATATACTTTGTAAAAATAAAAAATTGATACATTCAAAATATACTGCTCACTCTTATTATTCTTCCTTCTTATTTGTGTGTGAAGACATTTTGGCTAAAAGTTCTAACACCAGAGTAAACTGTAAAATCAGTCAAATCAAATAAAAACTTGGTGAAGAACAGCTGCCCAAGGTGCCTTTGCTGAACTGAAAGTTATGAGGAAAATATAATGAGTCCATATGGAGAACACAGCCCCTCACCCCAGCCTCTCTGAGCTTCCATGTTTGAATGACCACAGTCTGATATCGATGGAAACCAACTCCATTTGAACTTGCAAGGACTGAGGAGAAAGGAAACTCAAAACCTCAGTCATGGACTGCCAAGATTTTGAAATATTATTAGTCCTTGGATCATAAATCTGAAAGCAAAAAATGAATCAATCACTTCAATCTTTATGTGCAAATCACTCTGCTAAAACCAACAAAAAATATCTTGATTTTTATACACCAAGACAAATGATTGAGAGCTAATACGATTAGAAGTAGGCATAATAAAAACAATACCCTATATTTATGTAGCACTTTATAATTTACAAAGTAATTTCACACACATTTTTATTTTATCCTTACAACAATTTGTGGAAAAGGTATTATTCCGATGATAAATGAGAGAAATTAATCATTTTCTCAAAGTCATATGAGCTTAGTTCGCAGACGATAAGCACCATGGATAATTCGCTAGTGCATCCCCAACACCTAGTTGACACTGTGATACTGTATGTTATGTGATGAAGGAATGTTTCAAAGAGTATGCGGTATTGCAATGCAAATGAGCAAAAAAATTCTGCAGGGTTTTGATTGAGAAATGCTTTATGGAAGCCATGAAGCTTATTTAAGGGTGGCGAGAATTTACAATTCTCAAAAGAGTGCATATAGATATTCTAGATGGAAAAAAACTGAGAAAATAGTGGGGGAAAGAAGGAAACTGTGTGGCATATTCCATAGGATTTATGTGTTGGCTCCATAGCTTGACCACTAGGGATCAAATCCATGCATGGTCCTTGACTGTCATAATTTTCAGAAGAATCACAACTTGACCAGAAAGCAATTGGTTCAATCATCTGAATTTCAGGGAACCAGGATGAATTGCTGATATCGACGGCAGGGACATCATGTTGGATGTCCGTGGTATAGCTGTCATGCCCCATGGGTAGAAGTAAAATTAATAAGCACAATATAGAAACTAGTTAGTCCATGGGAAGAAGAAATAATGAAACTGGGGACCCTGAACATGCCCAACTAGTGCAGGGCTGCAGGGCTTGGCACCTGCCTGCCCCTGCTGTACATATACAGCCATCAGCTTCCACAGCTAATAAGCAAGCAGAGGGAATGACAGGCTTTACCTAATGAAAATGGCAGCTATCAGTCTGTGACTCAAAAGGTCTGGCTCCAATTCCTCTTACAGTTGACGATTTGATCCTTGTCGAATTAGTGGGTCGTAACAAGGAGGCTGCATGTGAAAGCTGCCAAGTGTTTCTTTTTAATCCTCTCTGATTTTTATGTTCATGCTTTTCCACAGAAAATTTGAAGAATGTGTGATCTTTACTTTCTCTTCTGGGAAAAGAGTGATATTATTAACTGAATATCACTAAGAATAGCACCAAATTACAATTAGAAAATCTCCAAACTATTTAAGTGAGTCAATATTTAATTCAAGAATGTAGTGACTTTGGCCAATCCTCACATTCACCTTTACATTTTGTTCATCATGTAAATGTAAACTCCTGGTGTATACCCGCCGTTTAAGATTTCACTGTACTTCATGGGGCTAGTTTTGACCTGAAGGTACTCAAACAAATTTGATCTCAGAAGGTTGCTTTTCATGATAGAGTCCCTTCTACCACATGGCTCTTAGAAAGCAAGAATGAAAGGAGTCACTTAAGTGATCTTATTTACATGGGACAGCACAAAGTGTTTAGCTTACAAATTTTCCATATGCTCTGATATGCACCAACTGTACTCACCATACCTCCAACCCCCACCCCTGCCACAGTGCCAGAACCTTCCCACTTTTCTTACCTCTAGTTCTCACAATTGGAAACATTGTATATTTTTAAAAGTTTTATATATATAAATATATATATTTATATTATATATATATATATATGTACAGGTTTCTCAAGATGTTTAATAGAGGTAGATGGAACAGGAATTTTCATCTTAGGAGATGGAGCAAGGCAAATGAGTTCAAAAAGATATTTGGAAATCCTATCCACGTGCTATATCCCTCTGCATAACTCTGAGTCTGGTCTTCTCTCCATCACTAATATTCTCTCCATAATTCTCTTCTATAGTCATGTGACTTAAAATGTGGTCATAGAAGGCTATTAAAGAAAAGATTGTCAAAGATCACAGGTGAAAACAACTGAGCTTAGAACAATTATGCAAGTTTCCCCAAGCCCACAGGTAGCAAACAAGGAAGTAAGAACTATAGCTCAGGACATTTGGATCTCAGCACAGCGAGTAGCCTTTCTATGCACTATAACAACTTTGTACTCATCAGAAGCAGATAAAAAAATAGAGTATTCTTAAATCATATTCCACCTATGCTTTTGAGAGCAACTCAGCAGTGCTTTCTAATCAGACAACAAACAGCAGAATGGTCAGCTTATCCACTCTGGATTCCTGAACAACAGCTTCCACTTGAAACAAGCAGCAGAAACATGGAGAGCTTACAAAGAAATCAAATCAAATCAAATCAAAACATCATTTGACTCCTTAAGAAAAGGTTTCCTGAGACAGCAGCCAGCATGGCTATCATGCAGGGATGTGTGGTGTGTAGGCAGCCATCCATTCAGGCCATTGGCTACCAACAGCTGACTCTAGGAGTAGCATTTGAATCTACCCTGAGGGGGGCCAGAGCCCACAGACAGCTGGGCCATCTGTTCCGATAATACCACATTACTCTCTACACTCAGTAATGAAGGCTCCTGAGTAATCTTTCATCAGAATGACTTCACGGCATTAAAAATGTATTTCAATACATAGCTTGTTTAAATATTTAACCCTCTTCGGCTTTGAGAGATTGATTCGGAGCTGCAGTGTTTATATGGGCAGGAAACATTGATTTTCATATGCATGCATGCATTAATTCAGGAAGACTTGGGCACACACCAAAGGTTTTGATAAATGGATCTTTAAATCTCGGACTTTAAGGGAGAATATTGGTTTGCCGCCCAGCTCCCATCCCTCTGCCAGTATTTAAATATTTTTAATTCTCATTTCCCGGTGGTGAGGAGGAAAAGTCGGTAGATGAACAGATTTTTGAGAATTATTTTGGGCAAAATTTGTTTACAGGACACACACATGCAAGCACACACATAGAGATATTATTCATTATTCTGGTCTGCAGTGGGAGTTATTTGTGCACAGGGCTGTCCAACTTTTATTAGATCTGTCTACAGCTCACCTTTTTCTGATATCTTGTCAATAAGCTCTGAAGACTGCTGTATATTCAGCACATGCAGAGAGGTCAGGGACAGAAAACCCTATTATAAATCTCTGTACATGGTGACATCATTTAAACTCATTCCAGTACCTTCTTTATCCCCCATCCCCTCACTTTATTGAGGTTTCCATGCTGGGAGCTCCGGTTAATGCCAACCATCAACTTTGCAAATGTAAACACTTCAGTGGGTTTGGAGGACCAGCCCTGCTGTGCAGAGGACATATGACTTGTAAGACGTTCTTAGCACTCAGCTCCCAGGTGTTGAATAAGTAATCATTAATATTGTATATGGAACCCCCATTCACCTGTACAGATCATTACTCAATATTGCCACCTTCATCTTTCCTTCAGATATTAACAACAGTTCCATGAGATGTCTAGCTGATACATTATTATCACCACTGAGTGTGTGAGGAAACATGTATCAGAAAGTTTAAGCAAATTTTCCAAGAGCAAACAGCTGGTGGGTGGGTATGCTGAAGCTATGACTCTTGGCTTTTTAAGTTTTCTATCATGTCACTGGAGACAGTTCATTCCTCTAAGATACCTATCCATGACTTAATTATCACAGTTGAATCAATATCTATTGACAAAATATTAAATATCAAACAATATATTGGCACTGGAAATACAATGATAAATAGGATGAAGTCTCGCTCCCAAAGAAACTAGAGAAAGTAAAGGGCTTAGAGTAGAGAATTGGAAAGTGTAAGTTGAATGATAGAGACACTATTGATACAATGGAATGAGATGTTCTGCAAAGATGATCAAAACAATAAATTAAGTGTTAACACAGCCCAAGTGTAAACTTTCTCCACTTGTTCAGCAAGAGAATCCAGTCCTTATGATCTAACGCATCCATGGAACATAATGAATTAACTTCTCTCCCTTGCATCTAAAATGGCGCTATTTATGTACCACTCTTGGGAGAATTAAGAAAATGGTTACTCATCATTTTTCATGTTTTGTGGTTGATTCTAAGGGATAATAAGTGAACTCTAACATGGAATGCTATTCAGAAGAAAGCAGCACTGAGTTTTTATATTTATGTGAACAGCAGATGCACATAGTTTCAAAAGCCAAATAGTACCTATGGCAGTTACCTCCTCCAACATTCCTCCTCTACAACCCTCTTGCTTTGTCTGCTGGTTATTACCTCAGTGTTTCTGAATATTATGCAGATAGTGCTACATCTATTGACTTTAGACATTATTCACTTATACCATCTGTATCTCATCTTCTACATGTATCCAAAATAGTAAGCCACTGTATTAATTAAAATAGTAGTCTTAATATTATAACTATGTAAATATTATTTATTACAGGGTCAAATATTGCTATATATTGCTACTGCATTTCCTTTCTTTATAGCAGCTTTCTTTTACATCAGCTTTGTATTTGTGTTTCCTTTTCTCTCTTCCTCTCCCCAGCAAATACAAAACCTATGCTCTTACTAAATGCTCTCAACTACTCTGTTACCTCTTTATATCCCCTGGGGACATCACTACCAGACCTCTCCAACCTCTTACTATCATCTGAAATTAGAGCCCTCTCTCTAAGAATGTATTTTCATAACCCAAGGAATTCTCTCTAATACTCTCCTAGTATGATTACTTTCTTTTTTGCCTATCATGTCGTAATCACTCTTGGTTAACTAACTGCATAGTTCTGGAGTACATCCTCATGTTGCTTCTCACAAAAGGGTTACTAGTAGGAAAATTTTCTGTGCTTTGCTTGTCCTTATTTTGTCCTTATATTCAACTGATAGTTTGGCTAACTACTGAGTCTTAGGTTGAAAATAAATATTTACTGAGACTTTTTTTTTTTTTTTTTTGAGATGGAGTCTCACTCTGTCACCCAGGCTGGAGTGCAGTGGTGCTATCTCGGCTCACTGCAAGCTCCGCCTCTGGGGTTCACACCATTCTCCTGCCTCAGCCTCCTGAGTAGCTGGGACTACAGGCACCCACCACCACGCCAGGCTAATTTTTTGCATTTTTAGTAAAGACGGGGTTTCACTGTGTTAGCCAGGATAGTCTCGATCTCCTCACTTCGTGATCTGCCTGCCTCAGCCTCCCAAAGTGCTGGGATTACAGCCATGAGCCACTGCACCTGGCCTACTGAGACTTTTGAAGGCATTAATTTCTGGCATTCATTCTTGTCGTTTTGAAAATAGAAGCCATACAAATTATTACTCTGTTTTTGGCTTATAATTCTATCAACTTTCCTTATTCTGAAATATCATAATAATTTGCCTTCAGGTGGGTATATTATTTTTTTCTTATGTTTAACATTAGAACATTCTTCTTTCAATGTAGAGTTCAATGCCCTTTAACATATATATGAAATATATATGTAATAAATATATAACATATATTACATCATTAATATCTATTATATCATTAATATATATTATATATATTATATTTATATATTATATAATTATAGATGATTTATATATAACACCTATTAATAAAATCTGCTATTTTTCCTTTATATAGAAATAATATATAATTACTATTTATGTATTACTATTATTTCCTTTATATAGCTATTTCTTATGTTTATTTTGTACTCTATATTGGCTCTTTAGACACTTAATTGGTTATATAAGTCTTTTGTCTTTTATAGTTCAAATTTTGTATTATACTTTTTGGAAAATCTGACTTTTTCAGAAACTTTTTCTTGTTCTTGTTCTTTAAATGTTTTTGTTTCTTTTTCTTGTTCTTTAAATTTTATGTTTTAATAGCATACTTCTTGTCTTTATTCTGAATTTTGTTTTTGAGTATATATTAATATAATCATGAGAGGGGTATTTAATTTTCATGTTTCCTACATTATTTGTCTCCATCAAGGAAATATTATTTCTTCAATTTGAGGTCCTCTCATGTATCTTACAAACCTAGGTTTCCATTCACATTTAAGTGTGAGGCATACTAAAATAATTGAAAATTAGAGTCTTTGAATAGCAATGATAGCATAATTTTTTTTTAAATCTCCTCTGCCCCAAACATATGGAACAAGTGATAAAATATTAAAAATGTAGCTGAATTAAAAACAACATAAATATCTCTGTGAACCTAAAGTTGAAAAAAAAACACAATAAGTTAAAATTGGGGCTAAAATTCTGAGTTATGAGCATGTATGCAGGAATTGTCAGGCTTCATGGGTGAAGGGAAAGGAAAAGTTTCCCTGTGAGATGGGACACCTGAGCCCAAAGGTAGCATGTTGGGTGGAGCTGCTTTACTCATGAAAATGGAGGCTGAAAGAAGTTGTGTTAAAAATTTCTAAGTTTGTAGCTTAAAGAGAGTCACTGCTCTTGAGCCGACTGCGCCACTGCATTCCAGCCTGGACAACAGAGCGAGACTCCGTCTCATAAAAAAGTCACTGCTCTAGTGGGCATCATGATCCTTCATGGCCAGGAAATGAATACATCTGCTAGCTGTGTCTGTGTAGGTAGGTAATAGTTGTGACTTCTCCATGAGACCAGGTATCTATAAGGCCATATCAAGGCTTAATACTTGGCTGGAGCTCAAGATCAGGTTAGATGCCGCAACAGAAACTCTATATTGGAGAAGATTACTGAAATAGGAGGCAAAGAGAAAGAATAAAAGGTTTAGGGGAGAGAGAGAAAGAACCAGAGTAAACCTGTAACACAAATACAGAAACATAAGGTAAATCTAATGCTAAAACAGTCAACAAAATACAAAATCAAAAGAATGAACTACATATGAAATTATTTTTATCGAACAGTATGGCAAAGCCTTACAAACAAATATGATTATGATACTCAAAGAGAAAATGAGAAATTATATCCATTAAAACACACATACAAAATACTATGAAACAAATTAATTAAAGCAGAAATGAAAAAAATAATTGGTAGATTTTTTTAAAAAATTACTTATAAATCTTGGAAATAAAAAAAGAAATTAAAATGAAATAAAATACAGTTTGAGTGAACTGTAGACTGAATAAAGTCAAAAAGAGAGTGAATAAATAGAAACATAATACTGAGAAATTCACTCAGAAAAAACAATCAAAAGATAAGGGAAACAGAACTGGAGGCTTTGGCTTACCTTCATTTGGAATTTCAGAATATGAGAGTGGAGGAAATGAAAGAAGGGCTATATTAGTAGTGGCAAGGGCTAAAATTTTTTCAGAATAAAAAAACATAATAACTCTCAAATTAAAATTCTGTTCTGAGTCCTGACAAGAATTTTATATTGTAATTAAATTTTAATACATCCACATTGAGTAGAAAATCTTAAGAGCGCCTAGAGAAAAATACATGAGAGCCAGAGGAGTGACAGTTTACCTGTAAGCAGATACTTCAGCAGAAACAAGAATTGCCAGAAAAAACAATGAACATTTTTTCAAAGTATTCGACGAAAATCACTCATCATTATAATAAACATACAATAAACCTACAATATCACAAACATTGAAATACAAATTTTCAGACAAATAAATTTAAGAGATTTTACCATGCAGAGATCACTTCTAAAATAAATTTTAAATGATATACTTCAGCAAGAAAAAAATTAACCCAAAGAGAAGAAAGAGGATAGGACAACCATAACAAAATCAATTTTAATAAGATATATTGACTTAATTTGTTGATTGTTAAGTGATAATTATGGCTGAATTATTTGGATTAATACAAACTCGTTGGAAGATAGTTGCATGTTGACTATATGTCTCCTGGCAGGCTTCATTTTAAGGTGACTATGTAGAGACAAGCTTTGCCTTAGGGGATTCCCAAATCCAAATTCCAGTTTTTGAAGGTCTCTTTTCTTGACTTACAAAGACACCGGAATATGAGACCTGAAAGGACTCCAAAAAAAAAACTCACTACAGCTTCAGATAATTCATAAGCAGTCATGTAACTTAAGCAAATATCTATCTGCTTGGCTTACAATGATGTTTGAAACTGAATCTTGAAGTGACTTATAACAAACAATCCGGAAAGTATTCTAAGCAGGCATAATTTAGGTCAAGTTTTTCTTCAAAAGCCTTTTCTTCACTCTCTCGAGTTGGGCTTGCCCAACTTTCTCTTATGCTTATGTCTCCAAGACGAATGCTAAGTTGCATAATGTTTCTTCCTCACTTTCCTTTCTTATACCTGTTCACAGACCCCTGTTTTATTGGAAGGTGTGATTAAATTCATGGAACAATTCAGGTACCATTTCCTAAAGAGATCTACAAGAAGATGATATAAGATTATATATGAGTAAAACTGGGAGGGGTGTTCTGTGCCCCTCCCTATGAGTCTGGGAAGCACTCATACTATAATCCTACTCTGGAAGATACTTATTTGTATAAGCATGTCAAAGGCCCTCCAAAACCCTGCATTTAAAAAGCATGGTTAAGCTGTTTCTAAAATTATTGAACATTGGACTCCACTTTTAAATACGCAATATACTGTTATACATCCCCAAGAACATTTGTATTTTTAAAAAGATAGTGCTTTGGTACACCAGGAAAACAGTGTGATGTAGTAAAAATATATATATATCTCAGATTGGAAATAATAAAACTAAAATTTTAATCTGAAGTCTGCTATAAAAGAACTGCAATAATTACTTCTTCTCTAAAAAATAGGATAATAGTTCTTTATCTTGTATAGTTCTAAGACTGTTTTTATAAATAAAATATTATTTCCATAATCTATTACAAACTAGAGTGAGCAATGCTTCAGTGAAGAAAAAAAAAGTCCTTTATCTGATTGCACAAGTAACTCATGCAGTCAAACGCCCTTCTGGGTTCCAGATAGGTTGGACTTGTACAGAGAGGTGGCCAGGCTAAGCATGAGAGAACTGAGGTTTCAGAAGGAAGACAAAGAAGAACAATCTTGTTTTTCAAGAACATTTTTAAAAAAGAAAGGAAGGAAGAAAGGGAGGGACAGAGAGAGAGGCATCTGCTAAAGAAGAGCATGCAAAATGGTTGCTCTTACAAAGTGCCTCAGTGAATATGAAACTGAATTACTACATTCTCACGCTGCTGATAAAGCATACTCAAGACTCGGTAATTTATAAAGAAGATGAGGTTTAATAGACTTACAGTTCCGTGTGCCTGGGGAGGCCTCCCAACCATGGCGGAAGGTGAGCGTCATGGCGGCAGCAAGACAGAAAGAGGGTCAAGTGAAAGGCGAAACCCCTTATAAAAGCATCAGATCTCGTGAGACTTATTCGCTACCTGAGAACAGTATGGGGAAAACCACCCCACAGTGGACACGGCCAAACCATATCAGAAATGAAAAACATTAAAGCAGAGACCCAAGATGCAGGGAAGGTTCACCTGCATCTTGAGAACCGCTTAGGAAAAAATAATATTCCTCTTTGTACCACTGAGAGCTAGTAACAAAAATGATAGTGCTTAGACCTAGGACGTGGCATTTAAATGAGTGCAGTCTACGTTCTATATATGGATTGGCTGTTGAAGCAAAGAAGCTTAATCATTACAAACAGAGAAAGGCCATGGCAGGGCACATGCTAAATGGTTGAGGAGGGTAGATCAATTGTAGTCATTCAACAAAGCAAGATAAATACAGCCTCCTAGAAGGATATGCTCCAGTCACAATTTAAACACACAAAGGACATTTTCCAGGTTGAAGTAAAGGAGTTTCCCACCAGTTGGTGGAGCACAGGAATGGTGTAAGATTCAAATTACCAAGAACAGCAGTCAAGGACTACTCACTGGATCAGAGATTCAGTCTCTGTTGATGTTAAGTTTTGGTTAATGAAAAAGCTCCACTAGGCAGCATTTGGGCCACCATTCCAGGTTGGAGTTGCAGAAATGATATTATATACTGAAGTGGAGTTGGCAGGTTTCTGAAATATCTGATGGAAAAGACATAGCATGGATCTATTGAATACTCCAAGGATTAAGCTTATTTAAAGCAGTCAAATGCCATTTGAAGATCCTGGCATCTATCTTCCTTCATGATCTGCTCTTTATGCATTTTGTTTTATGCTTTACAGTTTGGAGATCATTCTCCTTGATAGATAAAATGAGAGAAAAATAAGAGATGAATGAATCACCTTGCCTTTGCTGTCATTTTTAACAGTACCTTATCTACCATGAGTCATGTTCTTCTTCCAGTTCTGTACAGAGTGAAAATCACCCTTTTCCTGATTCCAGTATTTCTTCTTGCTCTTCACCACCTTCTGCTTTTTATCTTTCTCAATGAAGTTCTTAAAGACACAAGGGACCTTTTCACTTTGTTTACTTGTTCCCTCTTTCTATCTTTGGTTTACGTTGTTTACATATCCCTCTTTCTATCTTTGGTTTATGTCCTCTAGAATATGAATTCCTTGAATAATTCCCATAATGATCACTTTATTCCAGCAGGAGAGAGCTGACAATGCAGAGGTGAAGTAAACATATGTGCAATAAGCGAGTGTTTTCTTCAATCCAGGAAACGAGTACACATATCAAGCATCAAGAACATCTAAGCACAAATTACCCCATAAAATAGCTGCTGTAGATAATATTAATCCATATGGAACTGTGGAACATAAAAGTATTTTTTTAATCACTGCTGCCTCTAGGAAGGTTTCTCAAAATGGTACTGATAACCAATGGGAAGCACAGAGTCTGAATTCTGATGGAGCCAGGCACAGTCTATATGGTAAGCTATAGCGCCCATATTACATGCTTGTTGGTGTCCTCACAGACAGTTTGGGGGGGACTATGTTAACTATAAAAGGGCCCAGATTTCTTCCTCAAATTTATCAATTCCAAAATGACATGGTCATGTTTCCCAAGACTCTGATCACTGCAAGTCTACTGAATAAGATTATTTTTTATTATAGCGAATTATATAAATTGATGGTTTCCTAATTCTTATAAAGGGTCAATATGAAACTAAAAAACATCAAAGCAGAGACCAAAACTTTTTTTAAAAAAGGGAGTCAGAAAATGCCATACACTCTCCATTTTGCAGATCTAGACCTTCAATAGATTCATTTTTCATTTACTTATTCATTAAAATATTCAACAGTTGGTGTGTGTGTGCATGTGTGTTTGTGTGTTTGTCTCAAATTCCTTCAAGTACTAGAATGAGAACATCCTTGACCTCATGTAACTTATGGTCTAAGAAAGAGAACATAAATTAGACAAATACTTATGAAATTAATACAATTGTTGTAAGAGGACTGAGGGAAAGATAATGTTTTCAGTATATTTAATAGGAAGACTTAAGCTTATCTGAGGGATATGTTAGCTGATCCAGCTGATGGATAAGTAGAGTTCGCTGAGAGAAGAGAAAGGGAGCATTATAGTGGAAAAAGAATAGATACGAGAAAGTACAGAATCAGGAGAAAGCACAGAATGCTCTAGGATTGATGGAAGCCTCATGAACTTGTATGCTAAGTTTGGGTTGTAGATTAAGGCAGAAGATCAAGTTAAAAAATTAGGAAGGTGTCACATCATGCAAGGCTATTCAGCCTATGTGAAGAAACTTAGAATTTCATAGCAATCAGAAGTTAAAGATCTTAAGCAAGGGAGTGTCTTGAATAGATTTATGTTTAAAATACTGCATGAGTTACTGTGCAAAGAGAGATATAAAAGAGACCAAATGAAAAGCAATTGTAGGAAGCCAAAGAAGAAATGATATTAAGATGTAGATAGCACGGTAGCAATACATACTGTTTATATTTAGATTGTAGGGTTACAGTGGTAAAAGAAAGGATAGCTTTTATTGACATGTAAGTAAGAACGAGAACTGAGAAGACCTTAGATCTGTTTAATTTTTTTCCATTGCATAGACTAAAGAGCTACTGCTGGAAGAAAACAAATGAAAATGAATGTAATTGTGCAATAAATAGTTAACATGGGTTGAATAAAGAAAAAAGAGGTTAAAGAGAAGTAAAAGACTTTTGAGTCTAAGTACCATGTGTTATACACACACACACACACACACACACACACACACACATTCTTAGAAATTTCTGTCTTCCTTTCTCTCACCTCCTGTCCCTTTTTCCCTTCTCTCTCTATCTCTCATGCATACACACAGGACAAGCAAAAAACACTTCATCAAGTGTTTTTATGTTTTCTTACATTTTTGCATGGTTTTGAGAAATTTTAGTAAAAATAAAGTTGACTAATTTGAGAAATTTTAGTAAAAATTAAAGTTGACTAATTTTTTTCAGTGAATAGCTGTGATGAGACCGGACCATTTAGGCAGCTCAGTTTTATTTAGGTTACATATAGGACAAAATGACTGACTTGATTTGAATTTTATACTGGAGAAAAAAAAAGGTCCAGTATAATACTCAGGTCACTTACATAAATAATTGCAAAGACTGTGTTTGAAAAGTCCTCTGCCTCCCACCTCTACACTTTAACTTCTTTGTGTACCATTTTTGTGATCTATATTAGAAAAACTATAGCCATATATAGTTCATAGTGATTTTCTGTATAGTATCATCTCACAGTGATATCACTTTTGTTTTTCTTTTTTACTCAATCACCAAAGTGGTTTACACTGTACCTCAGATAAGTTTGGGGATATCTGTTCAGGCATATAATAGTTATTTTGATTACAGTGCCATTTCCTCATGTCCTTTATTTTAAATGCTTTTTTAAAGGCATAATCTTAATTGTCATCTTCTAATCATCCACCTGGCCTCACTAAATTTCGGTAACACTTCCAATATTGCATTTATATTCTTATGTCGAATTTCAAACTCATTATTTGGATAATAAGTACTCAGTTCATCGGTTTAGAGGATCACTCTCTTGTTTCTTTTTTGTTCATTTATTTTGATTTTTTTCTTTCTTTCAATGAAATCTACCAAGTATCTGCTATGTGATAGACATTGTCTAATTTCTAGGAATATAAAAATGAACACTTGTTTTTATAAATTGGCATTCTAGATAGAAGGAAAGCGATAAGAACAAATAAATGTGAAAAGGACAAGTGAAGATAATGTGCTCTTCAGATAAAAGGGTGATATCATAGTGACTAGGAAGCTACGTTAGATTGCCTATAAGGTGACACTTCAGATGCAATGAAATAACAGGCCATAGAAAACTCTGTAAAGATCATGGAGAAGAGCATTCCAGGCAGAGAAGACAGACATGAGAAAGGCCTAAGGCGAAAATGAGCTTGGGTTGTGCATGCAAAAGAAAAAGGATGATTGTGACTGAGTCGTAATGGATTAGGAAGATTAGTTAGAGATGATGGTCAGCACACATAGAGCCTTGTGGGCCGAGGTCAGAGGTTTGAAGATTTCTACACATGCTATTGGGAAACCAATCTTATGAATGATTTGAGCACATTAGTGGCATGATCTGGTTTAGTCTTTTAAGAATCCTATCTGCTGGCCTTTTGGAGGGTGACTTGGACACATAGATAATCAGGAAACAAGTAGATGTTTATGGTTAGAGTCCAGGAAATAGATTATTTATCCTTGAATTGAGTAATAGTGGAGATTTAGAGTAGTGAACCAAATTGAGAAATGTTTTAGAGGAAAAATTGATGATGCTTATTAAAGGAAGGAGCATGGTGAGTTGGGTAAAAGAAAGGAAACAAGGATAACACCTACATTCTAGATGTGTACAACAAACTGGATGGTGGTATTTTTTACAGAGATGGAGAAGAGTGATTGGGGGAATAATTTTTCAATGAGAAATTAGGAATTACCTTTTTTTCTATTTTACCCAGTTAGAGTTTTGGATGGCTTTTAGGCAATCATGTAGAACTTTCAAATATCAGTATACATTCTAGTCTGAAATGTCTAGAAACAGGCCAGGATAGAGATGATATTTTGCAGACTCTTTCACAAATGCAAGCAAAGCAAGGAGAATAGGTAAGGTGAACCAAGTCACCCAGAGAAAATAAATAGCAATCATGGCGCACACCAACCTTTACAGATATAGAGATTGGAGAAGTGAGGAGATAGAGGTTAATGAAATAAAAGAAAACCCTAAATGGGAAGAGAACATGTTTCCATTGTGGAACTTAAAAGGGAAAGTAAACAAGAATTTCACTAGGAGATAATCTTTCAATAGTTGATGGATTAAACAGCTATATATAAGAACTGCTAATAGATCAAGTAATATAATAATAGAAATATATGCATCAGTACCTGCCCCACAGGACCTGAAAGACGTGATATAAGTAAATTGTCTCATGTTTTTACAGGCCAGCTTTTCAGCATTTCCTCCTCTATACTATATACCACTTTCTTTGACTCAAGTTGTCTTCTACTGGTACTTTAATTATTGTTTCTGTGTTTATCAAAATCAGCAACAAGATAGTCCTCAGGATAATAATTCCATTCAGAGTAGTAACTTCACTACCTCCAAAATAAGTGTTTTCCCTTTATTTCTCCTTCATAGAACTCATCCACCAATGCCAAAATCCCATTTGCTTTGTTGACCACTGGAGAAGGACTTGAAAGCACCACCCCATCCCAAATTCTGTTTCTTCCTCAGAACATGGAATTTTCTAGTAATCTCTCCCAATTTATTCCATTTCTTTGATTTGTGTTCTTAGGAGAATCAACAGAAATGAAGAGCATCTGACAGGATTTACAAGTCAGTATGAATTTGGGTTATCTGCTTATGCTTTAAGGAGTCCAGTAGAATTTAGAATTACAAAGTCAGAAAGAATCAGAATTAAGACCCATTTCTGACACTTGTTGTGAGCCCTGGGGTCAAACTATATACCTTTCTAAAATAAGATCCTCAAATGTGAAATAGGGTCAATGAAATCTTCCTCATAGTGCACATGTGAAGATAAAATGAGGTAATAAATGCTAAGCACTCAGCACAGTGCCTGGCACATGGTAAGTGCTTCATAAATGTTAACTACCACGAATAAAAATGATGACTGCAATTTCAAAGCTGGCCTATGAAAGGTGGGGAGAATATGACTCAGATTAGAAGAGCATGAAGGTGCTCTGAAAGGTGGATTAACATGGGCAAATACAGGGGTACCAGAGGAGAAGAATCCGTTTTGACTGGAGCAGAGGTTATTCAAAGAGCAGACTCTATAAATCCTATTGAGTTATATCTTCATTTCTCAGTGAAACCATAGAACAGGCACAGGCTTGCTTCCATACTTTCAGAATTAAACTCCCAGTAAAACCCATTCTTTGTAGAATTAAGGAGAGCCTACTGAATAACCAGCTCCTCACTTAGTAGTCCGTGCCATATTTACAGGTCAGCTGCAGCTCTCAGAATTCTCTCACGATGTGACCCATATGGAGTTTTAATTTAGCTCTCTTTCCTTTCTCCTCCTTTTCCTCTTCACATTACCTAAGTGCTAATAATAATAATTCAATTTAATAACATCCATCCTCACAGAGTACTCAAGCCCATCCGGTCCTCAAGGACACCTAACCCTTCCCAGGCTCTCCTCTCAGCTTCTTTATCACACTTGAAGCACATCATAAACTACATCTTCCCCAGACCTTGTCATAAAGGGTAAGGCCAACATTGCAGGAATGAAGTCAGGGAAATACAACCTTGAACTGTTTTATCTCCTCTCTTCCCTGCCCTTCTCCTCCCCCTTGCCTTTCCCTCTTCTCTTTGACCAGTACTTTTCCTTCACGGCCAGAAAGAGAAAAAACTTAAACTCTTGTTCCCGAAGGGGCTTCCTGGAATGGTTCACTTTCTGTTTGGCAATTGAAGCCCAATCTAATATGAACGAAACTCAGCATTGATAGCTGCCTCAACAGTCATTAATTTGCTAATAGAAATTGCTTTTTGATGATGCAGGTCAGGATGATGGCCTCCGGTTTGTGGATAAAGAAATTGAAACATGAAATGTTAAATGTCTTTTACACAGTGACAGTGCTGAGAATAAGTCAGGGAAAGGGCTCACTTATCTGGTACTCAGCTTTCTGAAAACTTCGGCTTCTTGAAATATAAAAAAAGTGAAGAAAGGGGTAAAAATAACATCTATGAACATCCAAAATAATTATAATAAAATGTGCTTAGAAATACTCATGCATTTAATTCACATAGTTATGCTAGATTCATTTATTCTCAGTTGACACACAATTTTAACAGTTTTGTATATTTGACCTCCTGGTATATAAAAATACTTTAAAGCTAAAAATGGTATTAAATAATTAACTATTAAGGACAAATTATATTAAATAACATATTAGATAAACTAAATAATAATACTACAATATTAAATAATAGCAAATTATGAAGTACAAATTATAGAATAAACTTTATTGTTGTTAAATCTTTATTGTCATTATTTGACTCCTATTTTTTGCCACATTGTGGGTGAGAAAACTAAGACTCAGAGAGGCTATACCATGTAAACAAGGTCACACTGTGGGTTAAAGGCAAACATGGAATGTCACTTTTGTGTATATAACTCCTTACTCTATACGTCATAAAAAACAAGGATAACATCTACTACATGGAATTGTTATGAGGTAATGTGTGAATGTATAGTAAAGAGTTGTAGAAAGGTAAAATAGAAATGCTTTTAGTTTTGCAGAAATTCTTAGGAAGGGGTCACAACATAATTAGTGAATGTCTTAGCGAAGATTCATTGATAGCCATTGAGAGACAGGCCAGACTGGGCAAGAGAACTGGATTACAGGCAATATTACTAAGCACCATATATTCTAATGCCTTTACCTTGATACAGCACATTTGCATTAGTTCTTGCTTTGTTTTTTTTTTCTTTTTAACCAAGGTCCAATCTGTAACACTAGACTATACATGTTAGATTGTATAACAATGGGTCACTATCTCTTAGCCACTTTTCATAGTGTTATACAGTGCTCTCTGCCCACTGATAAATGCACACTACCCAGCCCAGGACTATCAGTGCATACACATAGATGATCCACAGAGGAATCTGGAAGAAGAAAGACCATCCAGGTATTAAGTTGGGAAAAAGTTAATGATGTTGTTGACAAGAAAGCCAAACTTTATGAAATATTTAAAGAGGTTTATTCGTGCCGATATGAGTGAACATGACCTAGGGAACAGTCTCAGGAGGTCCTAAGAAAGTGAGCCTGAGGCAGTTGCATTACAGTTTGGTTTTATACATTTTAGGTTGACAGAAGTTACATGCAAAGATATAAATCAATACCATGGAAAATGTGTGTGGATTTGGCTTGGAAAGGTGGGACATCACAAAGCGGGGACTCACAGGTCATAGGTGGTTTCAAAGTTTTTCTGACTGGCAATCTGATGAAAGAGTTAAGCTTTGTCTAAAGACTTAAAGTCAGTACAAAGAAATGCTTACATTAAGATAAGGGAGTGTATTAGGGTTCTCTAAAGGGACAGAGCTAATATAATAGATGAATATATGAAGGGAGATTTATTAGACTTGACTCACATGATCACAAGGTGAAGGTCCCACAGGAGGCCATCTGCAAGCTGAGGAGCCAGAAAGCCAGTCCAAGTCCAAAAACTTCAAAAGTAGGGAAGATGACAGTGCAGCCTTCAGTAAATGTTCAAAGGTCCGAGAGCCCCTAGGAAATCACTGGTGTAACTCCAAGAGTCCAAAAGCTGAAGAACTTGGAGTCCAATGTTCAAGGGCAGGAAGAATCCAGCATAGGAGAAAGATGGAGGCTGGAAGACTCAGCAATTTTAGTTCTTCCATGTTCCTCTACTTGCTAGTATACTAGCTGTGTTGGCAGCTGATGATGGTGCCCACCCAGCTTGAGGGTGGGTCTGGATCTCCCAGTCCACCCTCAAAGACACACCCAGAAACAATACTTTGCATCCTTCAATCCAGTCAAGTTGACACTCAATATTAACCATCAAAGGGGGATTGTGGAAGCCAACGTTCTTTCTTTCTTTCTTTCTTTCTTTCTTTCTTTCTTTCTTTCTTTCTTTCTTTCTTTTTTTTTTGACAGTCTCACTCTGTCACCCAAGCTGGAGTGCAGTGGTGCAATCTCTGCTCACTGCAACCTCCGCCTCCTGGGTTCAAGCCATTCTCCTGCCTCAGCCTCCTGAGTAGCTGGGACCACAGGCGCCCACCACCATGCCTGGCTAATTTTTTGTATTTTTAGTAGAGATGGGGTTTCACCCTGTTAGCCAGGATAGTTTTGATCTCCTGACCTCATGATCTGCCCACCTCAGCCTCCCAAAGTACTAGGATTACAGGTGTGAACCACCACGCCCCGCCAACAATGGTTTTGTTGTGTAGATGAAGCGTCCAGGTCACAGGCTTCAGACAAAATAGACGATAAATATATTTTTTCTATCTTAAAAGGGTTCAGACTCTTAGTTAATCTCTCTTAGTTAATTAGTTAATCTCTCTTAGATCTGGGAAAGACCTAGCTGCATTAATGGAGATTCTCTACAGATACAAAAGTTCCCCAATGAAAATGGCTTTTCAGGGCCATTTCAAAATATGTCAAAAAATATATTTGGGGTAAAATACTTTTATTTCCTACAGGGCCTGCTGTCATGTGTTGCTATACCAGACTTGAGTTGGAATTTGGTATCTTATTGCTAGGAGTCTGTTTTGTCAGTCTTATGATCTCTATTCTAACGTTAATGCGGAGAAGTTGTGCCTAAACTCCAAAGGGGAGGGTCTGTATATACAGAGGCTTGGTGACCTCAATTCCCATTATGGGTGGGAATTTTTTCAGGTTTCTCTTGGTCCAGAGTGGGTCCCTTCAGTTGGTTAGGAGGATTCGAATTTTATTTTTGGCTTAAAAAATTTCATCATTTTCACATTTTGTCCTCTTAATTTTCTTGATCTCTGTTTTGGAATTCTCTGCTTGCAAGGATCTAACGCTGTTTTACTTTCTACTCTTATATTCTGTATGACAAGGTATCTGACAACTTTAGCTGAAAAATCGTGTCTCCATTGACTCCATTGAAAAGAAACTGATCATAATTCACTTTTTTTTTTTTTTTTTTTTTTTTTGAGATGGAGTCTCACTCTGTCGCCCAGGCTGGAAGGCAGTGGTGTGATCTTGGCTCACTGTGACCTCTGCCTCCTGGGTTCAAGTGATTCTCCTGCCTCAGTCCTCCCTAGTAGCTGCAACTACAGGCCCACGCCACCATGCCTGGCTAATTTTTGTATTTTTAATAGAGGTGGGGTTTCAATATGTTGTCCAGGCTGGTCTCAATCTCCTGACTTCAGGTGATCTGCCTGCCTTGGCCTTCCAAAGTGCTGGGATTACAGGCATGAACCACCACATCTGGCTGATCATAATTTACTTCTAAGAGTAGAGAGAGCAGTTATATCTGTTGGGGCACAGAGAACAATACCCCAAAAGTACAGTGCTTTGGCATACTGAGCACGTTGGAATTAAAGGAAATTAAAAGGCCTTGGAAGCATCCTCAGAACCAAGAACTTACTGACCTTCTCCTGTGTCTCCCCTCAAATGCAGGGTAGAACTCTTTCTGAAATTCTCTTATCTGAATCTCCATCAAAAGGAACAAAATTGCCTTTCATTCTCTCCTTGAAATTTCCTTATCTATGGCAAAAAAGAAGACTGAGGAATGTAACCACATTTGGATGGACTCTGTCACAAGATATTGTCTGTTTCTCAGGCTCATTCAAATTCCAAAGAGAATCATTTACAAGCTCATCAGTCTCCAGGGCCCCTTAATTTCCCCTTACATTCATTTACTACCCCTCACAATTGCACAATTGCCCACATGCATCTCTATTTTCCTTTCCTCTATAAATAGGGTATATAAGTTTCAACAGTCCAGCCTTACTTGGTATTTCTTTTCTTTTCTTTTTATTTACTTATTTTTATTTTTTTGAAACAGAGTCTCATTCTGTCACCCAGGCTGGAGCACAGTGGCACAATCTCAGCTCACTGCAACATCTGCCTCCTGGATTCAAGTGATTCTTTCCTCAGCCTCCTGAGTAGCTAGGATTACAAGTGTGTACCACCATGCCTGGCTCATTTTTGTATTTTTAGTAGAGACGGGATTTCACCACATTGGCCAGGCTAGTCTTGCACTCCTGGCCTCAAGTGATCCACCAGCCTTGGCCTCCCAAAGTGTGAGGATTACAGGCATGAGCCACCATGCCCAGACTATATTTCATATTTTATGTGATTCCTGTGCTTCTGGACATCAATAAATTTGTATTCCTTCTTTCTTGTTAATCTGTCTATTGTTTAACAGACTCAAACCTTCAGAGGAGGTTCTTCAGAGGAGAGGGAAAATTCTCGTGGCCCCTACAATCTATATATCTTATATTGGATGCTATGATACTGTGCTGTGAGGCTCAGATTCTGTCACCCTCTTTAAGGAGCAATAGGATTCGGGAATATTTGCAGCAGACAGATGAATTTCTCTGTAAGAATTGCCATGACCTGAAAAGAGCCACTTTTACCCCTTCCAAAGAGCATCTTATATCAAATAACTTGTCCACATATGTCTATAAAGCCCTGGCTTCCTTGTCTCAATGTGGGAGAATTCTGAAAGGCCATTTCATGTCACGACATCTCATAGAATTGTCCTAATGCCTTTGTTGTGTCTACATCAAAGTTAACTTTATTCTCTTCCCAACACTGCATCCTTTGAGCTCCCACAAGAGTGGTCTCTGGAATAGTAAAATTGAACGGCATTTAGGTATGGATTTGCTTTTCTTGCCTAGTAGACCTTATCTAACACTTATATCTTAGGGCTTAGATAGTTTTTACTACAACATGGGATCATATTCTGTATAACACTCTACTAGACCAAGGGACCCTCTTTACAACAAAGGAGATATGGCAGCAAACATATGCCCAAGGATGGGACCTATTGGTCTTTCCATATTTCATGTCACCCACCATATGCCAGCCTGGTAAAGTAAGGGAATAACCTGTTGAAGCTGTAACGGGGGTTCCAACTTAGTGATGACACCCTGTGAGGAAGATGTGCACTTTCTAGGACATCTCAAGGATCCCAGTAGGTAGAGTCTTGGATATGGGATCCAAAAGACAGATCCAGGAGAGACCCCACTTTCTATCAGTTTTAGCGACTCACTTGGGAAATTTGTGCTTCCCATTCCTAAGCTTCTGGGCTCTGAAAAATTAAAGTTCCTGGTTCTCATCAGGGGAAGGCTTCTAACAGTTGAGAAAACATGAAACCCATGAAACTCTAAGCTATAGCTCCCATCCCTTTACTTCAGCTTTATTGTTCCATCAAACCAGCAGGGATGGAAAGATGGGGTAATTGACTCTGATCATCAGGAACAGGTTGGAGTGCTGTTACATAATGCAGGCAGAAAATATGTTTCATACCCAGGTCACTCACTTGGATACTTCTTGGTGCCACTTGGCTCAGTTTTGCTGAGCATGAGTTGCAGTTGTAAGACCAGCAGTAATGGCAACTCTAGTTCATCCTAGTAAACTTTGTTTCCACAGGAAAGGAGGTCCATCAGAATCCTGGAGAAGTTTATTTTACAAAGTATATTCAAGAGTAACAAGGGGCTAGTTAAGATAAATTGTTGCAGTGTGATGCTCAGATCCTTACCCTTTAGGACAAAGACATTCATTTCTCCATCTGCTGGGAATGTTGGCTGTTGACAGATGGTATGTTTAGGCTTTGTGTCCCCACCCAAATATCATCTTGAATTGTAATCCCCAGGTGTTGAGGGAGGAACCTGGTGGGAGTTGATTGGATCGTGGGGATGGTTTCCCCCATGCTGTTCTCATGATAGTGAGTTCTCACAAGTGCTGATGGTTTTATTAGTGTTTGGCAAGTTCCTCCTTCACTCTTCTCTCTTCTGCTGCCATGTGAAGAAGGTCCTTGCTTCCACTTTTCCTTCCCCAATGGTTATATGTTTCCTGAGGCCTCCCCAACCATGTGGAACTGTGAGTCAATCAAACCACTTTATTTTATAAATTACCCAGTCTTGGATAGTACCTTTATAGCAGTGTGAGCACAGACTACAACAGATGTCAGTTGGTAGCTCTCCTGGAGTTTCCCTCCACTGATAGCAGGCCATTAAATCTTACTTATGCCTTGCGAGTCCAGGTGTAATCCAAGGACCAGCAGCACCACCAGCACCTGGGAATTTGTTAGAAATGCAAATGCTCTAACCCCATCCCAGAACTATTGAATCTCAATATGCATTACAATCTTCAATATGCATTTAAAAAAAAGATGGTATGTGTACATATTAAAGTTTGAGAAGACATGCTCGAGAACATTGTTCTTCAAATTTTTTGAATTGCACATCTCTGGTATGAAAAAATAGTAAGCTACATGTATTCATAATGTTTATAATATTATACATTATAACCTAATATATTCTGTTTAAATTATGTATCTACTTTTTATATTACATACAATATAATACAAAATCTATATATTTGTTGATTATGATGATACTGTATACAGTAGTATTAAAATGTCATAAACATTAAAAAACATTTTCAAATATGGAAACTAAAAAGAAGGTGGAAATGGTCAATGAAATTTTCATAGTTTTCTCACACTGCTCAATGGATTATCATGTGTCTTGGCTGTATATACTCCATGTTGGAGACTGCTATTCTCTAGTCAGAAACACATTAATCTTGTGCATTAGGTAAGTCCCTGGGAGAGGAATTAATGAAAACAACAGGATCAGGGAAAATTGGGGATTGTATTTTTGGTAGACTGGGAATGGAAAGAAAATTAGAGTGGTTTGAATTGACATAAAATGGTGACAGCAACTAAATATGGCATGATTTCATCTAAGGAGGAGAGGAAACTTCTCCTTTATTTTCCATTCTGTGTAATTCCAGTCCAAGATGTTCACCAAACTTCTTCATTTTTCACATAGGATGCTTGCTATTTGCAGGTATCTGATTGAATTTTCACCAGCTGTTTAGCAGGTCTTTTTGTCAGGTAGATGAAGGTAGTGAGAATTTATCAGCCCCCTATTCAGATTCATGGCTGATCTGTCACCATGCATTTCTACAAATATTGCTCTTATTTACTCAAGATGTTACTCAAATTAGCAAGAGATTATCTATACATAGATGTATATGGTGTATACATATATGTATCTATATAATGTATACATGCATAAATATATATGATTATATACATGCAACACACCCATTATAAATCCAGACCAGACTTTAGAACTCCATTCCTGCTTTTTCTGGCATGAAGATGAACCAATATAGTGACAACGTGAGTGCCTGAATTGATATCTTCAGCTGATAATTACATTAATACTAAAGCTCAGGAGGTTGATATGGAATCTGTTCAGGACCCCTAGTGTGGGAGCTGAGCTCCATTGTTGCACACAAAAGAAAGCACCCTATAATTTCACAGAAAGCAGAAGGGCAGCAAAATAATATTGTTTAGAAACTGCTCAAAGTAATAGCCACTGTGTCAGCTGCCTTGTCAGCCTTTCTGTCAGCAATGGAATGTTGTAGGGGAATGGAAAAAAGTCCCTCTAAAAGTGTAAGACAATTAAGATATGAGTGAGGTAGGAACGGGGTATCAGGAAAGAAAGCAAGAGCCTTTGTTTTCTAACAAAAAGCGTTCTCTAACAAAAACGTGATGCAGGAAACACTCAAAACCTTTCAATATGCTGTGGGTGATGACAGAACGCTGTTCATGAATGTCTGAACTAGATGACCCACTGAGCAATCACTGTGAAACACTTCCTTGAACCAATTTTTCATTCCAACTCTGTTAGGGATATGTATAGGGAAAAAGTATTTCTATTCATGATGGCTCCTCAAGTTCACTCTTCATCATTCCTCTTTGACTCCATACACAGGCAATGGTAATGAACCTACAAAAAGAGAAAATGCAGGAAAATAAACTTTATTAGCCAAATGTCCCTTAGGACTGCTGGTTCTGATGACAGAAACAAACTATGATGCCCAGAAGTTCAGTTACCATGGTATAAAAGGAACTAGAAGTGTTCCACTTAAGGTAGGTCCTGAGCCTATTCTTAATGTTGGAAGCTGGGTTTCTGTTATTTTCTTTCTCATAATAGATATTAAAATATTAATTCCCAAATTGCCTCATGGGATTATTCTTTTACTGAAAACTACAGGGCTAGGAAGGTGAAAGAAAGGAACAGCCATGTGATGCTGAACTCAATTGAGCTAATCTTTGTCTCTGTAAGTGGATTTGCAATGTAAACACCCCTGCAAAGCAAAACTACTGAAATACCTGTAAAATAACTACTTTAGGGTTAACAGCCTAAGGCATCAATGAACTGACAACTACATGCTTCTTTTCAGAGAAGAATTATATAACCCAAAACAAGTCTGAAACAAACAAACCAAAACTTTCAAGTCAAATCAAAATGACCATACAAATCAAAATTTCAAAAACAAATTAATAATTCAAATAGTAAGAATGCCAGCCAACACAATTACTATTGAAGAATACTCATTCCAGATATTCTAAATTAAATGCATTATAAATATTTTAGATTAAATGCTTTTTAATTGGTCAGTTTTTCAGTCTGTTGTTAGATTGCTTTTTGTATGCTAAGGATTTTTAAAAGACAAACCATTTTCCTCATTATTCAGAAAAAGTTATAAATCCAAACAGGCAGAAAGAAAATAAGATTGGTGGTACAGGAAAAAGAACCAATTCATAAGTCTAGAAATGAAAAATTTAGGCATTTAAGTAAAAATGCAACCGAAGTGATGGAGACTAGACACAGCAGAAGAGAAAGTTACTGATTTGGAAAATAGTACTGAGAAAAACATTCAGCATGTTGGATAAAGAGAAAATGTTATGTTGAATTATATGAAACACAATGAAATTCAAGATAACACCAAGAAAAAATTCAGAATCCTATCTTCTATTTAACAGAGATTTAAATAATTAAAAATAATCAAGTAGAAATTCTGGCATTGAAAAATGCAATTGACATATTGAGGAATTCATGAATCTCTTACCAGCAGAATTGATCAAACAGAAGAAAGAATTAGTGAACTTGAAGACAGGGTGTTTGAAAGTACACAGAGGGGACAAAAGAATAAAAAAGAACAAAGCACATCTATAAGGTCTAGAAAATAGACTCAATAGGATAATTCTAAGAGTTGTTGGCCTTAAAGAGGAAGTAGAGAGAGAGATAGGAATAGAAAGTTTACTCAAAGGGAATAAACAGATAACTTCCCAAAACCTAGAGAAAGATATCAATATTAAAGCATGAGAAAGTTATTTAGAATGCCAAATAGATTTAACTCAAATAAGACTACCTCATGACATTTAGTAATCAAACTCCCAAAGGTCAAGCATAAAGAAAAGATCCAAAAAGCAGCAATAGAAAAGAAATAAATAACATGCAATGGAGCTTCTGTACATCTGGCAGCAGACTTTTTCATGGAAACTTTACAAGTCAGGGGAGAGTGGCATGACGTATTTATTTATTTACTCATTTGTTTGTTTATTTTTTTCTTTCCAACTTTTATTTTAAGTTCAGAGCGTACATGTGCAGATTTGTTACATGAGTAAATTGTCTGTTGTGGGGGTTTGATGTACAGATTATTTCATCACTCAGGTAATGAGCTTAGTACTTGATAGGTAGTTTTTAGATCCTCACCCTCCTCCCACCCTCCACCTTCAAATGGCTCCAATGCCCATTGTTCCCTTCTTTGTGTCCACGTGTACTCAATGTTTAGTTCCCACTTTTGAGTGAGAATATGTGGTATTTGATTCTCTGGTTCCACATTAATTCACTTAGAATAATGGCCTCCAGCTCCATCCATGTTGCTGTACAGGACATAATATCATTATTTTTATGGTTGCATAGTATTCTATGGTGTATATATACCACATTTTCATTATCCAGTCCACCATTGATGGGCGTCTAGGTTGATTTCATGACTTTGCTATCAAGAATAGTTCTGCAATGAATATATACATGCATGTGTCTTTATGGTAGAATGATTTCTGTTCCTTTGGTATATACCCAGTAATAGGATTGTGGGTCAAATGGTCTTTTTTTAAGTTCTTTGAGAAATATCTGAACTATTTTCCACAATGGCTTAACTAATTTAAATTTCCACCAGCAGTGTATAAGCATCCCCCTTTCTCCACTAACTCACCAGCGTCTGTTATTTTTTGATTTTTTTAATAATAGCCATTCTAACTAGTATGAGATGTTATCTCATTGTGGTTTTAATTTGCATTTCCCTAATGATTAGTTATGTTGAGCATTTTTTCTTATGCTTTTTGGCCATGTGTCTTCTTTGGAGAAGTGTTCATGGCCTTTGTCAATGTTTTAATGGGGTTATTTGTTTTTTGCTTGTTGATTTGTTTAACTTCCTTATAAAATTCCAGGTATTAGACATTTGTCATATGCATAGTTTGTAAATATTTTCTCCCATTCTATATGTTGTCTGTTCACTGTCTTTAGAGTTTCTTTTGCTATGCAGAAGCTCTTCAATTAAGTCCCTCCCACTTGTCAATTTTTGTTTTTGTTGCAATTGCTTTTGAAGTCTTTATCATGAAATCTTTACCAGAGCCATTGTCCAGAATGGTACTTCCTAGGTTTCCTTCCTGAGTTTTTATAGTCTTAGGATTTACATTTAAATCTTTACTCCATCTTGACTTGATTTTTGTATAATATAAAAGAAAAGGTTACAGTTTCAATCTTCTGCATATGACTATCCAGTTCTCCCAACACCATTTATTGAATAGAGAGTTCTTTTTCCATTGCTTGTTATTGGGCATGACATATTTAAAGTGCTGAAGGAAAAACCTTTTATCCTAGAATAATATATCCAGCAAAAAATATCCTTCAAACATGAACAATAAAGACTTTTTCCATTCAAACAAAAACTGAGGGATTTTATCAAGATCAGACCTGTTACACAAGGTAATCTGAAGGAATTTCTTCAATCTAAAAGAAAAGGATGTTAATGAGCAATAAGAATTATCTGAAGGTAGAAAACTCACTGGTTATAGTAAGTAAACAGAAAAACACAGAATATCATAACACTGTAACTGTGGTGTGTAAACTACCCATATCTTGAGTAGAAAGACTAAAAGATGAACTAATCAAAAATAACTACAACTTTTTAAG
Source organism: Homo sapiens (assembly GCF_000001405.40). Classification (NCBI taxonomy): domain Eukaryota; kingdom Metazoa; phylum Chordata; class Mammalia; order Primates; family Hominidae; genus Homo; species Homo sapiens. The sequence goes on along the minus strand of NC_000018.10, from coordinate 38,273,554 downwards.
ACATAGTACAATAAGATATAAATAGGAACAATAAAAAGTTAAAAAGTGGGGGATAAAGTTAAAGTCTAGAGTTTTAATTAGTTTTCTCTTCGCTTGCTTTTTGGTTTATGCAATCAATGTTAAGTTGTCATCTGTTTAAAATAATGGGCTATAAGAGATTATTTGCAAGCCTTATGGTAATCTCAAGTCAAAAAGTACAATGGATGCACAAAAAATTTAAAGCAAGAAATTAAAACATACCACCATGGAAAATCACTTTCACTAAAAGGAAGATAGAAAAGAGAGAAAAAAGACCATGAAACGTCTAAAAAACAAATAACAAAATTGTAGGAGTATGTCCTTACTTATCAATAATAACATTGAATGTAAATGGACTAAACTCTCCAATCAAATAATTAGAGTGGCTGAATGGATAAAAAATAAGACCCAACAATCTGTTGCCTGCAAAAAGCACACTTCATCTTTAAAGACACACACAGACTGAAAATAAGGTATAGAAAAAGATGTTTAATGCAAATGGGAACCATAAAAGAGTAGGTATAGTAATACTTATATCAGACAAAATAGACTTCAAGAGAAAAACTATAGTAATAGACAAAGAAGTTCATTATGTCATGAGAAAAGAAACAATTCAGCAAGAGGATATAACAATTGTAAATATACATGCAATAAACACTAGAATACCCATATATATTAAGCAAATATTATTAAAGCTAAAGAAAGTGATATACCCCAATATAGTAATAGCTGGAGACTTTGACACCCCACTTGCAGCATTGGAAGATCGGTCAAATAGAAAATCAACAAAGAAGACTTAGACTTTTCCTAGACTATGGACTAAATGGACCTAATAGATATTTACAGAACATCTCATCCAACAGCTGCAGAATACACCTTCTTCTCTTTGGCACATGGATCAGTCTCAAGGATAGACAATATGTTACTCCACAAAACAAGTCTTTAACGATTCAAAAAATTGAAATAATATCAAGTATCTTCTCTGATCATGATGGAATAAAACTAGAAAACAATAACAAGAGGAATTTTGAAAATGATACAAACAAATGGCAATTAAACAATATGCTCCAGAATGACCAATGAGTCAATGAAGAAATTAAGAAGAAAATTGAAAAATTTCTTGAAAAAAATGATAATGGAAACACAACATACCAAATCCTATGAGATAGAGCAAAAGCAGTACTAACAGGAAAGTTCACAGGTATAAGTGCCTACATCAAAAAAGTAGAAAACTTCAAATAATAAACCTAACAATGCATCTTAAAGAACTATACAAGCAAGAGCAAACAAAATACAAAATTAGTAGAAGAAAAGAAATAATTTTGATCAAAGCACAAATAAATGAAATTAAAATGAAGAAAACAAGATGAAAGATCAAAAAATCCAAAAGTTGTTTTTTTGAAAAGATAAACAAAATCAACAAACTTTTAGCCAGACTAAAAAAAAAAAGACAGAAGGCCCAAATAAGTAAAATCAGAGCTGCAAAAGGAGACATTACAACAGACACTGCAGAAATTCAAAGGATATTGAGGCTATTTTAAGCAACTCTATGCCAATAAATTGGAAAACCTAGACGAAATGGATAAATTCCTAGACACATACAACCTACCAAGATTGAAATATGAAGAAATTCAAAATCTGAACAGACCAATAACAAGTAACAATATTGAAACTGTAATAAAAAGTCTAGTAAAGAAAAGTCTAGCAAAGAAAATCCTGGGAGCTGATGGCTTTACTGCAGAATTTTACCAAACATTTCAAGAACTAATACCGATTCTACTCAAAGTATCCCAATAAATGGAGAATGAGGGAACATTTCCAAACTCATTCTATGAAGGCTGCATTACCCTGGTCCCAAAACCAGCTAAAGATAAATCAAAAAAAAAAGAATTACAGGCCAATATTCCTTATGAGCACTGATGCAAAAACCCTCAACAAAATATTAGCAAACTAAATACAACAGCACATTAAAAAAAAATCATTCATCCTGACCAAGCGGGATTTACCCCATGGATGCAAGGATGACTCAATATATGCAAATTAATCTTTGTGATACGTCATATTAACCGAATGAAGGACAAAAACCATATGATCATTTCAATTGATGGTGAGAAAGCATTTGATAAAATTCAACATCTTTTCATAATATAAACCCTCAAAAAACTTGGGAAAGAAGAAAAATACTTAAATACAATAAAAGCCACATATGACAGACCCATAGCTAGTGTCACACTGAATGGGGAAAGAAATGAAAGACTTTCCTCAAAGATTTGGAAGAATTTAAGGATACCCACTTTCACCACTATTATTCAACACAGTGCTAGAGGTCCTAGAAAGAACAAGCAGGCAAGAAAAAGAAATAAAGGGCATCCAAATTGGAAAGGAATAAGTCAAATTATCCTTGTTTACAGATTATATGATCTCATATTTGGAAAAACCAAAAGATTCCACCAAAAAAAATCTATTAAAACTGATAAACAAATTCAATGAAGTTGCAAGATACAAAATTAACATACAAAAATAATACCCTGTCTATAGGTCTACAGCTAACAGCCTGAAAAAGAAATCAAGAAAGTATTCATATTACAATAGCTACAAGTAAAATAAAATAACTAGGAATAAACTTAGCCAAAGAAGTGAAAGATCTCTACAATGAAAACTATAAAACATTGATGTAAAAAATTGAACAGAACACCAATAAATGGAAAGACATTCTATGTTCATGGACTGGAAGAATCAATATTATCAAATATCCATACTACTCAAAGCAATCTACAGATTCAATGCATCCCTATCAAAATCCTAACTACATTCTTTAAAGAAATAGAAAAATAATTCCTAAAAATTATATGGAACCACAAAATATCCAGAATAACCAAAGCCATCCTCAGCAAAAAGAACAAAACTGGAGGAATCATATCATGGGACTTCAAATTATACTACAGAGCTATCCTAACCAAAACAGCATGGTACAGGCATTCAGAACAGACCTATAAACCAATGGAATTAAATAGAGAACTGAGAAACAAATCCATGCATCTACAGGGAGCTCATTTTCAACAAAGTTGGTAAGAACACACATTGGAGAAATGACAGTCTCTTCAATTAATAATGCTGGGATAACTGGATATTCATATGTAAATGTGCAATGTATTAATAACTAGAACCCTACTTCTTTCTATACACAAAAATGAAATCAAAATGGACTGAGGATTTGAAGACCTCAAATGGTAAAACTACTAAAAGAAAACTTCAGAGAATCTCTTTAGGACATTGGACTGGGCAAAGATTTCTTGAGTAATATCCCACGAGCACAGAATAAAAGGTACTGTAAAAATTTATCAACCAACACAAAGCAGAAAAAGAACAAATTTTTTTAAAAGTTATTGTTAGATTGATAATAATTACTAAGAAAAAGATTTTTGAAAATAAAAATAAGACCCAGAGATTCAGAATCCAGGGCAGCTGATTATTAGGTGGCCATCCACGTACAACCACACCTCATTTTATTGAGCTTCACTTTATTGTGCTTTGCAGATATTACATTTTCTACAAATTGAAAATATGTGTTCATTCTGTGTCAAACAAGTCTATAGGTGCTATTTTCCTACAGCATGTGCTCACTTATCTTTATGTCACATTTTTGTAATTCTCTAAATATTTCAAACTTTTAAAATTATTATGATATCTTTATGGTGATCTGTTATCAGTGATCTTTGATGTTACCATTGTAAGTGTTTTGGGTTACTATCAACTTCCCATTTAAGACAACAAACTTAATTGATAAATGTTATATGTGTTTTGACTGCTCCACCATCTGGCCAATTTCCCTATTTTTCTCTCTCTTCTTGGGCATCCTTATCCCCTAAGAGATAACAATATTGAAATGAGGCTGATTAATAACTCTACAGTGGCATTTAAATGTTCTTGTAAAAGGAAGAGTCACACATCTCTCACTTTAAATGAAAAGCTAGAAATAATTAAGCTTAGCAAAGAAGACATTTTAAATGGTATCTCTGTTGTGCCAAAGTTGTAAATGAAAAGGAAAGTTATTCAACAAAACTAGAAGTGCTACTCTTAGTGAATACACAAAGGAGAAGAAAGCAGAACAGACTTATTGCTGAAATGCAGAACATTTTAGTGGTCTGGATAGATCAAACCAGCTACAATATTACCATAAGTCAAAGTCTAATCCAAAGCAAGGCCCTAACTAACTCTATTCAATTTTATGAAGGCTGACAGAAATAAGGAAGTTGCAGAAGAAAAGTCTGATGCTAGCAGAGGTTGGTTCATGAAGTCTGTGGAAATAAACCATCTCAATACCATAAAAATGCCAGATTAATCAGCAAGTGCTGATACAGAAGCTGCAGCAAGTTAGCCATAAGATCATCATTGATGAAAGTGCAGCAGATTTTCTATGTGGATGAAACAGCTTCCTATTGGAAGAAAATGCCATCTAAAATTTTCATAGCTAAAGCCAAGATGTCAGTGCCTGGCTTCAAAGCTTCAAAGGATAGGCTGATTCTTTCATTAGGGGCTAATGCAGCTGTTGACTTCAAATTGAAGCCAATGCTCTTTTACCGTTCTAAAAATTCTAGAGCCCTCAAGAATGATGCTACATCTACTCTGTGTGTGCTCTATAAATGGAAAAACAAAACTTGAATGACAGCACATCTATTTATAGCATGATTAACTGAATTATTTTGATTATACTTTAATTTCTGAGATACATACGCAGAACGTGCAGGTTTGTTACCTAGGTATACATGTGCCATGGTGGTTTGCTACACCCATCAACTTGTCATCTACATTAGGTATTTCTCTTAATGCTATCCTTCCCCTAAACCCCCACCCCCAAACAGGCTCCCGTGCGTGATGTTCCCCTCTGTGTGTCCATGTGTTCCCATTGTTCAACTCCCACTTAAGAGTGAGAACATGCAGTGTTTGGTTTTCTGTTCCTGTGTTCTCATTGTTCAACTCCCAGTTAAGAGTGAGAACATGCAGTGTTTGGTTTTCTGTTCCTGTGTTAGTTTGCTGAGAATGATGGTTTCCAGCTTCATCCATGTCCCTGCAAAGGACATGAACTCATCCTTTTTTATGGCTGCTTAGTATTCCATGGAGTATCTGTGCCACATTTTCTTTATCCATTCTATCATTGATGGACTTTTGGGTTGGTTCCAAGTCTTTTCTATTGTGTATAGTGCTGCAATAAACATACGTGTGCATATGTCTTTATAGTAGAATGATTTATAATCCTTTGGGTATACACCCAGTAATGGGATTGCTGGGTCAAATGGTATTTTTGGTTCTAGATCCTTGAGAAACTGCCACACTGTCTTCCACAACGGTTGAATTAATTTACACTCCCACCAACAGTGGAAAAGCATTCCTATTTCTCCACATCCTCTCCAGCATCTGTTGTTTCCTGACTTTTTAATGATCACCATTCTAACAGGCATGAGATGGTATCTCATTGTGGTTTTGAGTTGCATTTCTCTAATGACCAGTGATGCTGACCTTTTTTTCACATGTTTGTTGGCCTCAAAAATGTCTTCTTTTGAGAAGTGTCTGTTCATATCCTTCTGAATGGGCAAAAGCTGGAAGCATTCCTTTTGAAAACTGGCACAAGACAAGGATGCCCTCTCTCAACACTCCTATTCAACATAGTATTGGAAGTTCTGGTGAGGGCAATTAGGCAAGAGAAAGAAATAAAGGACATTCAAATAGGAAGAAAGGAAGTAAAATTGTGTCTGTTTCCAGATGACATAATTGTATATTTAGAAAACCCCATCATCTCAGCCCAAAATCTCCCTAAGCTGATAAGCAACTTCAGCAAAGTCTCAGGATATAAAATCAATGTGCAAAAATCACCAGCATTCCCATACACCAATAATAGACAAACAGAGAACCAAATCATGAGTGAACTCCCATTCACAATTGCTACAAAGAGAATAAAATACTTAGGAATCAACTTACAAGAGATGTAAAGGACCTCTTCAAGAAGAATTACAAACCACTGCTGAAGAAAATAAGAGAGGACACAAACAAATGGAAAAAATATTCCATGCTCATGGACAGGAAGAATCAACATTGTGAAAATGGCCATACTGCCCAAAGTAATTTATAGATTCAATGCTATACCCGTCAAGCTACCATTGACTTTTTTCACAGAATTAGAAGAAACTACTTTAAATTTCATATGGAACCAAAACAGAGCCTGTTATAGCCAAGACAATCATAAGCAAAAAGAACAAAGCTGGAGGCATCACGCTACCTGACTCAAACTATACTACAAGGCTACAGTAACCAAAACAGCATGGTACTGGTACCAAAACAGAGATATAGACCAATGGAACAGAACAGAGTCCTCAGAAATAACACCACACATCTACAACCATTTGATCTTTGGCAAACCTGACAAAAACAAGCAATGGGGAAAGGATTCCGTATTTAATAAATGGTGTTGGGAAAACTGGCTAGCCATATGCAGAAAACTGAAACTGGACCCCTTCCTTACACCTTATATAAAAATTAGCTCAAGATGGATTAAAGACTTAAACGTAAGACCTAAAAGCATAAAAACCCTAGAAAACCTAGACAATACCATTCAGGACATAGGCAAGGGCAAAGACTTCAGGACTAAAACATCAAAAGCAATGGCAACAAAAGCCAAAATTGACAAATGGGATCTAATTAAACTAAAGAGTTTCTGCACAGCAAAAGAAACTATCATCAGAGTGAACAGACAATCTACAGAATGGGATAAAAGTTTTGCAATCTATTCATCTCACAAAGGGCTAATATCCAGAATCTACAAGGAACTTAAACAAATTTACAAGATTTACTGAAGATTTTAAGTTCACTATTGATACGTACTGCTCAGAAGAAAAGATTTTGTTCAAAATATTACTGCTCATTGACAAGGCGCCTACTCAACCAACAGCTCTGATGGAGGTGTACAAGGAGACTAGGGTTGCTTTCATTTCTGTTAACACAATAGCCCATAAATCAAGGAGTAATTTTCCTCTCATGCATCTAAGAAAAGTAAATTGGAAAAAGTTTTGGAAAGTATTCACCATTTTATAATAGATGCCTCTAAGAATATTTGTGATTCATGAGACCAGATCAAAATATCAACATTAAAAAGACATTGGAAGAAATAGATATCAACACTCATGGATTACTTTTATTTTTATTTTTATTTATTTTTTTGAGACAGAGTCTCATTCTGTTGCCCAGGATGGAGTGCAGTGGCACAGTCTTGGCTCACTGCAACCTCTGCCTCCTGGATTCAAGTGATTCTCATGCCTCAGCCACCTGAGTAGCTGGGATTACAGACATGCACCACCATGCCCAGCTAATTTTTGTATTTTTAGTAGAGATGTGGCTTCAGTATGTTGGCCAGGCTGATCTACAACTCCTGGCCTCAAGTGATTCCTCTAACTCAGCCTCCCAAAGTGCTGGAATTACAGGTGTGAGCTACAGCACCAGGCCATGTATGACTTTTAGACACTCAGGATTCCAGCGGAGTCTTGCAGCAAGTAACTGCAGATGTGGCAGAAAGAGCAAAGGAACTAGAATTAGAAGTGGAGACTGAAGATGTAATTGAATTGTTACAATCTCATGATAAAACTTAAATGGAGAGTTGCTTCTGATTGATGCACAAAGAAAGTCGTTCATTGAGATTGAATCTACTCTTGGTTAAGATGCTGTGAACATCGTTGAAATGACAACAAAAGATTTAGTATAATATATAAACATAGTCAACAAAGCAGTGGCAAAGCTTGAAAGGATTGACTCCAATTTTGAAAAAAGTGCTACTGTGGATATAATGCTATTCAATAGCATCATGTGCTACAGAGAAATTTTTCAGGATAAAAAAAAGAATCAATGTAGCAAACTTCATTGTTGTCTTATTTTAAGAAATTGCCACAGCCATCCCAACCTTTAGCAACCACTACCCTGATCAGTCAGTAGCCATCAACATTGAGGTGAGACCCTCCACCATAAAAAAGATTACTATTTGTTGGGGACCCAGATAATGATTAGCATATTTTAGGAATGAGGTATCTTTTAACTATGGTATGTGTCTTGCTTTTTAGACATAATGCTATTACACATTTAATAAACTACAATATAGTGTTAACATAACTTTTATATGCATGGGGAAACCAAAAAATCTGTGTGACTCTTCATTGCAATATTTGCTTTATTGCAATGGCTAGAACCAAATTCTATATCTTGGAGGTATGCCTGTATTGATCTAGGGACCAATTTATATCTATTTTGCTATTATTCCATATCCACTAAGTCCTCAGAGTCCTTTATTTATAGCTGGCAGATATAGAAAGAGATGATGGAGAAGACATCTACGCTTAAACTTTTTGGCATGAAAGTGACATACATGACTTCCACTCATAGTCCATTGTTAAGAACTAATAATATAACTTAACATAGATTTAAAATGAGCAACTATGTTTTTAAAGAAAAACATGAGTCATTGATGAAAAAGTGGCCATCTCTGCCATAAGTTTTCCATGTAAACAGCAATATATCCATTTGTAGTCTTTCTCTTACCCAAAGAACAATTTTCCCTTCTGTAAATGAAATATCTCAAAATCCCATCCAATTATGTCATCAAGTTCAAATCCAAGATCTTCTGGCAATATTCAATTCACTCCAGCAGGTCCAGCTATAGTTCCTCACGGACTGATAGCTTTTGAAATGGAAAAGACAAGTTCTCTCTCTTCATTTCCTCTGAAAACGTCTAATATCATTGTGGGACAGGCAGGAAAATATCCATCAACCTTCCCATTGAGAAAAAGAGAAAGTTGTGAGATATAAACAGTCACTGGTCCATACAACTTCTAAGTTCCTCTTGGTCAGCTACTGCAGCAACTTCTTATACTAGCAATGGGTAAGGTGGAGCCTGATTCAGCTCTCTGGGAGGAATCCTTTTGCTCATGGTTCTGCATGGCTTCTGACTCCACTCTCTGAAATATTCTTTCTTATTCATTACCCTCCAAGGCCACTCCTATTGGGGATATTTCACACCTGGGAGGAGAGCAATATAACTTTCATAGCCTGCTTTTTAACTCAGCTTGTTTGGGGACATGCGCTAAGGACTCAAAATTTTGGGGGACATGCTAAGGACTCAAAATTTGCACTAAGGTCTAAATATCCAAAGGCTATTTGGGTCATAGATGCTATTTCTTTGAAAATGCAACTCTACAAAATATATAGTAGGATGTTGATCTATTTCCTCCCAGGGCCAGTAGTTCTGTTCTTGATGCTATTCTCAAGCCTAATTAATTTCTTTGCTTTTTGATTTCATGTATTTTTCTCAACCATTTAATAACAGTTTTTGAGTCAGGCCCTCAGCAGGAAAAATAATTTTCTCTAGATAATTCAAAGAAAGGAATTTCAATAAAGGGGGTATGTCAACAGGCATGAAGAGGGATAAGGAAACAAAGGATGATGGAGCCACTCAGTGAGTAGCAACAGAATGAAGCTGTTGCCACTCTTAGTGATGAAGGAAGAAAATAGAGTCACTAGAGTCCAGTGAGAATTAGAGCCATGGAAGGGAGACCACTGAAAGAAGCTGTAGTGATGGGGAAATATAGGTTCTGCTAAAAGAACAAAGAAATAAGGAGGGAATAGCCAAACTCTCCAAAGTCCTGCTGGATGCATTTAAACCCAAATAGAAACCTGCTGCAAGGCAATTCTGGAGAAGCAGTTCACAGGGATCAGCTTTCAGAGGCAAAAATAAAGCAGTGAAGGATGGAGAATTGATCCATGTTGGTTAGGAGTGGTGAAGAGTCCTCAAAGATGATTACCATGAGGCCAAATAACAAGACTGAGTGGAAGGTCACAACTTTAATCTGAGTTTTATGCAGAACTGAACATTAATGGGTGTTGGTTGTTCAAATCCCTTTTATTTCTATCCATTTTAGCTTTGAGGCTAGAATTAGTCAACTTTTTAAATCACTTCAAGGTTCTAAATTTTATGATTCTTTCTATATATTTTCATTTTTATTCGAAAACTTGTAAGTCCTTCCTGGAGTTTATCTTTTTTCTTCTTCTTCGAATACCTCAATAAACAGATCCAGTAGCAGCCAACATACACTACAATATTTTGTTTTCCAGTCTTCTCTTGAAGTTACAGTTCTAGGCAAATGGTTTGTCTTACTTCAGGCAATGGTTTACAGAAGTGTTGTCACTACATGACATGGATTTCAAGCTTTCCAGTTTCTGATATCAGTTGCCTTGCCACCTGCCACATGACAGCTATGACAATATATTTTAGGATTTTGTTATGGCAGCACTCTACTTTGAGGCAACATTTTTTGTAGTAGTTACGATAATACAAGTTGCCATAACAAACATGTCTCAAAATTTTACTGACAATAGAATTTTTTTTCACTTAGATGCAAATCCAATGTGAATTTTCAGTGGGTAGCTCCTCCTATATTGATTCAGGAACTCAGACTCCCTTCATTTGGTAACTCTACAAATCACTAGGCTTCAAATTATTTTGCATTCAGCCACTGAGTAAGTAAAGTGAAGATGAAGAAAGCATGCCTAATTCTTAACCAAGTTGGCTCAAAAGGAACACACATCACTTCTGCCCATATTTGATTGGTGAGAGTTAGCCATATGGACCCATGAAGATGCCAGGAGGATTGGAGAAGGCAGCTCTTGGCCTGGCACAAAACTCTAACCTAAAATAGAGGAAAATAAATATTTGGAGAAATAATAGCCATCTGTGCCAAAAAGGGAAAACAAATCACACAGAAGGTGGCAGGAATATGTACAAACAAGCAGAAATCACTATAAATGTGAAAATAATAAACAAACCATTTAAAAGACAGAAATTATGAGTTTACATTTTGAAATATATCAAAATTTAGCTTTCTGTCACTTATTTAAAGGGAAATTTAAAATAAAGCAACAAAGAAGTTGAAAATACATGTTTGGGGAAAAATGTTTACTGTGCAAATTTCTAATAAATATATATAGAAAAAACCGAATTTAGAACAATCTTTTATAACAATTTATAAAGCTATTGCATAAAAATAAAGGAGACAACCTATGGATATGAGCACAGCAGTACTAAAATATAGTATGTGTACCTGACCACATAGTTTTGAATTATATAAAGGAAAAATGACAGAAAAAGTAGCAAAGCTACTCACTAGCTTTAGATTTTTAACAATATCCAAATGGAAATATCACGCAAACATTATAATACTAAACTTAAAAATAAATCCTGTAATAAAATCAGCCAATTTGTGTTCTGTTTTCAAGGAAGAGGCAGTAAATTCTACCCTGTTTCTTCTGCTAAATGCTACTCTAAAATCTGAAAAAAATGCAAGACACATTAACAAGAAAACTAGGAGCATACATACTACAAACAGGTTATACACATACATTCAACACCTTTGATAAAATGGAGAGTATATTCGATATTATAAAGTACCCAAACTCATTCAAAATGAAATAACTTTTGTAATCCTGTAACTATTAAACATACTGAATTCAGAGTTGAATAACTTCTGAAAAAGGAAATATCCAGGCCTATTTTATTGATGAGTTCTACCAAATAATTAAAGAAGTATGATTAATTCTACACAATTTTCTTTTTCAAAAAAAAAATGTAGAAAAGGAGAGAACACTTTCCAACTCATTAATGAGGCCAGCATTACCCTAATTACAAAACCATAAAAAGAGAGCACAAGAGAAGGAACTACTGACTAATAACCCTCATGAACAGAGATATAAAATTCCTCAGGAAAATATTGACAAATTGAATCCATCAATACATAAAAAGAAAAATAGATAAACAAATGGAGTTGACCGTGGGAATGCAAAGTTGATTCAAGACGCAAAAAACAATCCATACAAGAAATCATATAAACAATCTAAGGAAGAAAAAAACACATGATTACTACAATTGGTGCTGGAAAACATTTGACAAAATTCAACACCCAACATGATTAAAATTTGCAGTGAAAGAGGAATAAAAGATAACTCACTCAACCTGATCAACGGCATCTAAAAAACTATTGCTACATCTTACCTAATAGAAAAAGACTGAATGTTTTCTTCTTAAAACTGGTAAAAAGAAGTGTGCCCACTCTCATGTCTCCTATTCAATATGTGCTGGCTATTCTAGCCATTGAAATAAGAAAAAAAGAAGTACAAAGTATGAATTTTGAGAGTAAGAAGTAAAACTTACTCTATGTCTAGGTGACATATTGTTCACATATAAACTCCTCCAAAAATTATCAAAAAGATCAATGAAAAGGTAGAACTAGTAAGGGAGTTTGGCAACGTTGCAGAAGACAAGGTCAAATAATATTTCTATATACTAATAATTAGCTTTTGAAACTTGAACTTAAAAGCAAATAAGCATTTGCAACAGTTCTGCAAAATAAAATACTTTGCTATGCATCTAAAAAAACTTATTTAAAACATCAAAAAAGATCCAAACAAGTGGAGATGCATACTGCTGTGTTCACGTGTTAGAAGACTGAAGAACATACATCAGTGTTTTCCAAATTAATCTATAGATTTGACACAATTCCAACCAAAATCTTAGTGGATTTTTTATGTATGTAGATACAATGATTCTAAAATTTATATGGAAAAGATATGAACTAGAAAGGTCAAAACAATACTGAAAAAGAAAAACAAAGTGGATTCATACTACCAGATAAACAGTTACTATGAGGCTACATTTATGAAAAATGTGTCATGTTGATGAAGGGATAAATGTATAGATCAATAAAGCTGAATATATAATCCAGAAGTAGGTCAATACAAATGCGTCCAGTTGATTTTTAACTACATTTTAAAGGAAATTCAATTGCTAAAAGAAAGTCTTTTCAACAAAGAATGTTGGACATTCTTGGAAAAGAAAATTCAGCCTAAACCCCACAACTTATACAATATTTAAATTAAAATGGATCATATAACTAAATGTAAAACTAAAAATGATTACACTTTCAGAAGAAAGCAGAGGGAAAAAATACTTATAACCTAGGGATGGACAAAGGTTCTTAAACATGATACAAAAAGCATAGTCCAGAACAAATACATAAAAATAGATTTGATCAAATTTGGAACTTTTGCTTTGAGAAAAACTTTTGCTTTGATAGGAGAATGATAAAATAAATTAAAGACTTGTATAAATCATTTGTTAATCTCATATGTGAAAAAGGAACTTGTATGCCGTCTATATAAAGAACTCTCAAAACTTGACAGTAAGAAAACAAATAACCCAAATAAAAACTGGGCAAGTGTTGAACAGATTTTTCACCAAGGAGTATATACAAAGAGCAACTAACTGTATGAAAAGGTATCAATATCAATAGTTGTTAGAAAAATGTTAATTAATACCATGATGAAATACCACTGCACACCTCTTAGAATGGCATAAACAAAAAATACAACAAAGGGCATATTTAAAAAGTGGTCACTCTCATATGTTGCTGATGGAAATGCAAAATGGCATATCATTCTGGCAAACCATTTGGCAGTTTCTGTGTAGCTAAAACGTATACTTACTATATAGTCTATCTATTCACTCCAGAGTATTTAACCTAGAAGACTGAAAACTGTACATGCATGGTTATATCAGCAATATTTATAGCCACCAAAAATGGAAACAACTCACGTGTCCTTCAATAAGTGAACGCATTAGCAAACTGGAATATCACTCAAAAAGAATAAACTATGTATGCACCAGCTTGGACACATCTCAAAGTCATCATGCTGAATGAAATAAGCCAGTATTAAAAGGTTTCATACTGTATAATTCCATTTATGTGACATTCTAAAATGAAAAAGACTATAATGACAGAAAATAGAGTGGTGGCTACAGGGGGTTACAGATTTGGGGAAAAGGTGACTAGAAAAAAGATAGCATGAGGTAGTGTTCTTGGAGTGATATAACTATTTTGTGTCCTGATTGCAGTGATGGTTACATTAATCTATTCACTGTTAGAAGTCATAGAAATTGAATACACAAAAGGTCAAATTATAGTATCCTAATTTGAAAAAAAAATGTTTTAAAAAATCAGCAAAATTATTGGGATACGTATGTGTGTATGTACTGCAAGTAAGAGATAAAGCATACGCATAAAATATTTGGAACCATTGGCCATGTATTCAGTCACAAAAAGGCTCAACATCTTTTAAAAAATCAATAATATACAAGTTACAACCTCCATCCAAAAGGCAATGTAATTATAAATAAACAAAAAGTGCACTTTGGACAAAGTATGTATTTGGATACTTAAGAATGAAATACTAAATAACTTAGATAAAAAGAAAATGAAAATTACAAAATGCTTAGGACTGAATGACAGTGTAAGTTCAACATGTCATCTAAATGAGAGAGTGTAAATAAATCTCTTAAGCATTTAGCTTATTTAAGGACATAAAGAAGGCAAACCTAAGTGAGCTAGATAGAAAAAAAATTAAATGGGAATTAAGAAATGATCAAGAGTATCAATAAAATGCAAAGCTTTTGCCTTACAAAATTAAAAGTAAAAATACACAAACCTTTAGCAAGAGTGGTCAAGTGGGTAAAAAGGAGAACAAAGGTACAAGTAAACAATATTGACCAGGAATTGGGTCATAATTACATAGAACATATAAAACAAAAAAAAATTAAGAGGATTTTTGGAAAAACACTATGCATCCAAATTTAAAAACTTAGATGAAATGAATAGTTTTCTGAAAACATAAGAATAAGCAAAATTGACAAGAAAAAATATAAAGTCTTGATAAATCAATAATAATTATTGAAATTGAGTCTATAAATAAGTTTTTTCCCCAAAAGTTAACAGTCTCAGAAATTTTATAGGCAAAGAAAATATGGTAAGGTATTTTAATTTGACAAATTTGTTTTTTTAGGATGAAAGTATACCTTGTGTTGTTCTCTGTATTATTCTGTTTGAAATATATCAAAATTAAACAACATTAAAAATAAATGACAAAAAGGCACTGGGATTGGAGCAGAAGACATAATATTCAGGTCCTGGCTCTGTCTCTTGTTCATGATGTGATAGACATGCAACATGTCCCAGGCTCAGTTTTCTGCTTCATTGTGAGGGGAGTATGGAGTAATATGTGTGAATGTGCCTTGCACATGCGTGCTATGTGCTCAGTGAGTAGTTGTAGATCTTATGTGGACACCTAGACTCAAGAGGCTTAGAATCTAGTACCGTGATGGTCTAAGACACCAGCAACAACAACCAGCATTTTACGATTGTGCCAAATAAAGTTTGTGCCTGAGTTTGTAGGAATATCAGTTGAGAGCTACATGCGGAGTCTGAATTAGGCAAACTGGGATTCAATTCATTGTTCCTAGAACATAAGAAAAAAATAAATTTCAAAACTGTGAAACTCAAATTTTAAAATTCTTGACTATGTGCACATTAACTGGAATGAAATATTTTAGAAAGGGGGTTAGAGCTTATGCCCTGGTCAAACACACTTAGATGTGTAAGACCTGCTTCTTCATGACACGCTCCAGAAGACAAACTGCAGCATGTTCAGAACACAGATAAGAGAGCAAAAGGACCAGCCAGCTTTTATTGTCAGGACCCAAACAAAGAAACGGTGATTTATAACACGGAGAAGGAAGCCCTGGGAACGGCATGAATAGATGGCTTCCTGTGTGTGAGGACAAGAAAGGAAAGGAAGTGGGCTGGAACTTCCATGGTGATGTAGTGATGAGATGGCATTTGTGTCACTTTAAGTTTCTAACAGACTGTCAAGAGAGGAGCTGGGTCATATGTCCTGTAGAGTGTATGACCACCCTGATGTCTTCATGCTTAGGCCTGATAATTTCCTAAGAGGAAAGCTACATGGGGTTTGGGACCAGATGAGTCCCAACTGCCATTCCAACTGGGGTACCTGTCCTTGTGGTCTATTCCCTTTGTTGGTTAGAGACCTTTTAGAATGACACACAAAAAAGTCCTGTCATTCCCACCTCATGGCCACAGATTGTTCCTAGAACTTTCGTGAACCACTCTGTGAACAGAGCTGTTGATCACAGGAAGGGAAGCTTACAAATGCCACCATACTCTCCCATCATTACCTGGTAATAATTTGATTTTTGGAGTCCCTTGCTGATTGATCCAAAATATAATTATCTGTGTTGATAAATGCACAATGGTGTTTAAATGTTTTCATATAAACTTTTGGAAAATAACAAAAGATTAGGGATTTGTGCTTTGTGATAATGAATCCCTTGGGGCAGGGGTCATGCATGAGTCTTCTTCAAGCCCTCTGCAAGAGTAGTAGGGTGGAGACAGGCTTCATAGAAGTGGCACTTGTGATACAGCAACAACTCTTTTTCCTATTATTGTATTATCAATGGTGCAACTAACATCTGCAGGGTGTGGTGCTTCTTTCATTATATATAGTACCTTAATCTTCCCAACACTTCTATAGGTCAGATGATATTTTTACAAATGACATTTTGTAGATGAGAAATTTCTGAAACAGAAAGATTAACTTACCTAGGGTCACACAGCAGGTATAAGGTGACAGAACCAAGATTGAATTCTGATGATCTAAGCTCACTGCCCAAACCAATCTATCTTGAAACCGCCAAAGCATTTACTGGGGAGAATTTACTGATTTGGCAACTGCCTGCTGTTTATTGTGCAGTTACACGGCCTGTAATTTCCATTCGAGGGATGTGAATCTTCATTGTACACTTCAGTCACCTGGCTCTATTCCCAATAGTGGCAAAGACAATAACAGACAATCGCAAACCAATACTGTGTTGGCATAAATTCTGTGCCTTTCTTTCCAGTGTCAGTAGATTTATGGTGCTAGTTATGTTTTATTCTGGGACAATACTAATAACACTGTCCATATCACCAGCAGTGTGGTAAGGTGCTGGCTCAGCAGCCTCCCTGGACTAAAGAGATGAATGATGACTAATCCTCAAAGACTTTACAAACGAGAGACAATTATCTGAAGAATCTCATGGTGTGTTCTGGTAAACAGTGCATCTGGGAACTGAAGGCCCTGAACTCAGTAGCCCCTAAGATTTTCTCTAGCTCTTCCTTTCTGCATTTAGAAACCAATCAGCAGAATTCTCTCTTCAGTGTCCACATCTGAGTGTTCTCAAGCTGGCATCAACTGCCTTTGGTGGAGCTTACCATTTGTTCCTCCAGGCATGGCCCTAGTCTTGATTAGAGTGTGTAAATGTAGATTTACACACTCTACGTATATTACATACTCTATGTATATCTACTGAGTATACATAGGGTATACTATGTATATCTATTAGAGTGTATAAATCTACCCATCATAGTATCTCTGCCCTCTCCCACTGTTGTTACGTTGTTTGTTATGAAGGTGCTGAGGAAAGAGCATAGTCTTGGTAAATGGCAGGAGTACAGGTGAACTCCACTTCTGACTTACCACTCATGTTGACCTTTAGGCAGAATTGCATATGCTGACAAATCTGGTTCAAATCTGAGATCTTTTCCTTCTTTGTGATGGAAATTTGAACAAATGACTTATCTTTCTAACCCTCAATTTCTTCACCTGCAAATGGGAATAATGCTAATTGCATTAATTATTCCATGGGACCAAATAAAATATCATACACATAGTTTATAGGGTAGTGGCTAGAACATTATGTCTGATAAATAGTAACCTTTATTTTTTAAATTTATGTGAAGCACCTAACCCAGAGCCCAACACTTCATACAACAAATTCACATATCTGTCAATGCCATTTCTCATCTTCCTTTCTAAGTTTATCCTAAATAAAGGTTCTGAATTAAAACCCATCGCATCACAAAATCTTTTGTAGGAAGTCATCAGAGCCAGTTTTCAGGCCTGATGACTTCCTACAGTTTTCAGAGGATATCATATGCAGACCAATGATAAGGACCTCCAAAGCCTTCAGGCCCAAGCCTGCCTCAGTTAGCGCTGCCCACCCTACCTGATGTTCAGTCATCACGCTATTTGATACATCTTGGGAGAATCTGTCTGTTTTCAGTGCTTTTAATTATAGCTAGTTCTTTAAAGTTTTACCTTATTTGAAGCAATTTGGGTGAAGTAGATGTGTGAATTTCTAGGAAAGTTCCAAAGAATCATTCCTCTCTGATGCCTGGATCCTACCATGTGTTAAGTATCCCTTTGAAGTAATCATACCTTCTTCCAAAGCCACTTTGAATCAAATACCTTGGAAGTGATAGGAAACATCTTAGCATATCAGAATAAATGACTGTTGTTAGATCATCTATTTTTTGGCAACATGAAGGCACTATCATCACTGGTATTATTAAAAATTTCTACTTGCATATGTATTTGTCAAATATTTGTAATATTGCCTTGATATTTATATTTGTTAAATAGCTTAGTAACTTTTTTTTTCTGTCTTTATATATGCTAGTTAAATGTTGAATGAATATCAGTATACTGGCTCCTATAGTGCTAGAGTTTCTGGTCTAAGGTCCTGTACCTGTTGCTACATGTGGAGAGAGCTTTTTAGGTCCAGCCTACTTTTCACTCCCATTTCTTAGATTTCATTGAATTACAACCTGAAGTCTGAACTCTAGATCAGTTTGTCAGGGAAGATTCCTGCTAAGGAAAAAGTACATATAAAGTTGAGTGCTGCTCATTGCTCTCTACTTGGAAGGCTCTCATTAAGCTACTGTTGTTGCTATTCTACCCTTTGAAATGTCCTAGTTCTGAGATGCCAAGTATTCTGGGCTCTTCCTCATAGTAGAACCCATTCTTGCATTTGCAGTCCCCCTTGCATGGGCTGGAGCCCTGATTCTGAATACCAGCTGAGCCTATAGAACTTACCTCAGAGCTCTTAGAGTCTCCTTCACAAGAGATTCAGCCACCATCAATCTTAGGTTCCTGGTCCATTTATTCATTTAGATAAACTTGTTCTTCATATCCTAGCTCTCAGCCGAATTCCAGACTCTGTGATTATTTCCTTAGCAAGCTTCTATGGCTAGTCACTGACCAGGCCAGCCTCTCAGAACCCCATCTTGCCCAACATTTCTCTAGCTCCATCTGTAGGGAGCTCCATCTAAGAAGTCATCTCTCACTGAATCCTAGTATTAGAACCATAAGGAAGCGTATAAGACTCTGTTCCATGCATTAATTATCAGCTTTTTTGGTGGCTGATGTTCAGAATTTCTGGGAGTTCTATTTTTAAAAATTAACCTTTACACTGAGTCTGTCAGTTTCCCAGGGCTTCCATAACAAATTACCACAAGTTGAGTGGCTCAAAACAATATAAATTTATTTTCTCACTCTTCTAGAGGCCAGAGTGTGAAATCAAGGTGTTGGCAGAGCCAATCACCTTCTGAAGACTCCAAGCAAAGAGCCTTTCTTGCTCCTTCTAGCTTCTGGTGGTTCCAAGC
Organism: Homo sapiens; assembly: GCF_000001405.40. Lineage (NCBI taxonomy): Eukaryota > Metazoa > Chordata > Mammalia > Primates > Hominidae > Homo > Homo sapiens. The sequence continues at coordinate 38,254,118 of NC_000018.10, read as the reverse complement.
CATCCTGGCTTCCTTGGATACCTTTCTCCAATTTCTGTCTCTGTGGTCACATTGCCTCTTCCTCTTCATGTGTCTCTGTATTCTCTTCAGTATCTTATAAGGACATTTGTTGTTGAATTAAGGACCTACCGAATAGTCCAGGATGGTGCCCTTATCTCAAGGTCCTTAAATTATCTCTTCAAAGATGCCTTTTTGAAATAAAGTCATATTCAAAGATTCTGTGGTTGTAGAAAAGGACATATTGTTTTGAAGGTCACCAGTGCACTTAACCACACTAGGCAAAGGAGAAAAACATAGAGAAAAAAAATACATGATATTTGTCTCCATTTCAAAATGTATATATTGCCTAAGGACTTGGGCACAGATGCAGTGTTGGCAGCCAGGATACATATTCCTTCTGCATAATCAGCCTTTGGAGGTACTATCTAAAGAACTGCATAGGATCACCTCTCAGATGAAATAATCAAGGTGTTAATTGACCTCTCTGTTGAAAATAATTCTTCTTGGAATACTTCACACAAGTGCTTGCTTTTCTGGTTTAAGGCCATTGATTCTTGTTTGTCCACCCTCTAATAACTCAAAATAGTTTTTTTCCTTATTTCTTACCTATTCCTAGTATTTATGTTCAGTTATCACATTCCCCACCCACTGTCATCGTTGCTCCAGGCTGGATGTATGAGTTCTTTTAATAATCTTTCTCTGTAGGTCATATCCTCTAATCCTTTTATCATTTTTGGATCCTCTCCAATTTATCAATGTCTCCTTCTAAAACAAGCAGCCAAAATTCTACAAGAAGCATTGTGTACCTTGTTTTTAAGCAGAGAGATAACCGATATTCACAAAGAAGTCAGGGGATTTTCAGAAACACATTCTGGAATTAAATCACATGTATTAAGTCAGCCTTTCCCAGTGCTTTATGCACTCCTCCACTACTTCAGCAACTGCATTAATTTCTTCTAACCATCAGGGGAAATGAGGAAAACAGACAATTCTGGGTGTGTTCATTATGTCTAAAAATAATAGCAGCTGCCATTTGCCCCATGCTCACCATATGCCTGCACATGTGCTTTCATGTGTCTGTTACCTCATTTAATTCTGTACACTCTCAGTTGCACAGATAAGAAAACATAGGTGGTGAGAAACTAGGAACATTGCTGGGGTCTACACCAATGTTAAGCAAGATGCCAGGATTCAATTCCAGGTTTGGCTGCAGCATTGAATGTCCATGATACTACACCTCAGTAAAACTCTGGGTTGGGTTTTAAATCCCTAATGAAACACTGAGAATACTTTATTTAAAAGATGGTTCACTAAATATTCAGCTCGCTGGCTGGATTCAGCTACTTTATTTTCTCCAAAATGATTTGCTTGTCTTGATTTGGCCTTTGAATCAAGAGTAACCTCTCTAAAGGGTCATTACCTTGAAAGGTCATATAGTCTATATCCGTGGGGGTGCCATTCAGTAAGCTAATTCATCAGCATCAGTAAAGGATTTTATCTGCAACTTTAACTCTGTTTCTTTTAAAACTTCTTTTACACAAGAATGCCACAAATCTACTTATAATGGGTTCAACCAAATAATTACATATAACTCAGTCAACTATCCTGCCCAGTTCGGATCTAGGTTCTGCAAGTTTTATAAGGGAAACATAAGAAAATATAACTCCCACTGAAGAAATCAGTCTTACAGAAGATAAATCCCAGGCTCAGAAAAATACTCAAGGTAGTCTATGATCCAAAGCTCAACTTCGTGGCATAGACATGGGTTCGAAAATCTGTTTAATCAGAAATACCTGGGAGGTTTAAAAATTAGATTCCAGAAGCCTGTCTCAGAACAACTGGATCAGATTCTCAAAGGCTGGAGTCTGGAACTTGGTAGTTGAAAAAGAAGAAAAAACTTTAGAGAATTATTATCAGTCAGATTTGTTTGTGACTATAAAATAATGGTAGAAATATATTCAAAGAAGGGACAGAAATATTGGTATTAATAAGAATAATATCTTACTGCTATCTAGTGTTTTTCAATTTTCAAGTTAATTTTCCAATTAACTTGCAATTACCCAAAATGCTGTTGTATGGACTAATTGCCAGTCAGGTCATACAAAATAAAAACTAAAGCCCAAAGAATTATGTCACCATTCAATACCTGCCTTAAGCCACATAAGTATTGAGAGCTCAAGCTGCTGAATACTTGGTTTTGTACTTTCTCCTACACTAAGCTGGGTGGCCTTCATGGAGGAAAGATGTAAACTAACAAGGAAAGAATTCTATTAGGGAGGAAAAACTGAAAACTGGATTCGCAAACCATCCTACTTCTCATATACTACATGACCTTTAATAAGTCACCTTGTCTCTCCAAGCCTCATCATCTTAAAAACAGAGGCTCTGGATCACATCATCCTAGGTTAAACCATAATAGCTGAGGGACTCCACAAACAAGTTACTTAATCTATTTGCACCTTGATTATCTTCACCTGTAAAATGGGCTATTATGAAGATTAAATGCGTGAATGTATGTAAGGACCTAGAACAGTTTCTATAAAGTACTAAGTATTTCATTAAGCTTTAGCTTAGGGAAATAATCAAATAAATGTGAAGTTTTAAATTAAACATTAGATGTTTTCAAAACTGACACTGAAAAGAGAAACTTAGACAAGAAGATCACATATAATGGGTTGTTTATCAATAGGAAAACTTTCCAATAGTAATTATTTTTTGTCTACTTTCAGGACAAATGTAGTTAGTGATACTTAGCATTTATCGGTTACGTAATGTGTGGTGTGCCAGACACTGTGCTAAATGACTAACATGCATTGTCTTCTTTAATCCTCAGTACAGCCCTATGGCCTGTGAACACTTTTTCGTCCTCATTTTACAGATAAGGAAACTAAAGCTTAAGGAAGCTAAGTAAATTGTTCACAGACCTGGTAAGTAGGGCGGCCGGGATTAGTTCACAGGTCATTTGTCTCCAGACCCTGTACTCTAAACCACAACATTCTTGCTGCTGCTGCTGTCTGTGCAGTACCAGCAAAATTTCCAAATGGGTGAAGTTTATTCTTCATACTCTCCACTTCTTTCTCTGATTCCCTCTCATCATCTCCCAAATGTTCCCCTCCCCCTGTAACCACAAGCAGCCTTTCATATTGTCTTTTAGTGACACAAATTCTACAATATCAACCCCCTTTTCAGACCAGCCCTCACTAGAAATGATCCATATGCCAAAAATTACCTCCCTCTTCACAATGAAATTGTCATTTTCTGTTCTCATCCAGGTACTGAATGCAGAGAAATCTGACTGTGTAATTCACAGTAAGGAATGCTTTAGAGTAAGAAAGATAATCTTTACATTTCTGGGGGAATTTATTTTTTACAAAGTGTTAGTTAACTGAACTACATCTTTACTTAGCGGCGTGTTAGACTATGAAAAGGTGAAATAGAGGATTTGGCCTGGACTTGGGAGATATTGCAAGGTAAAACGGCACTGCAGAGCCCTTGACAGATATTATGGGTATAGGTTTAAAAGGGAGGATGCAGTCATATTCCAAGAATTCACACATTTGAAAGTGAAAAAGTGCAGATGCTCAAGTAGGACTGCGTTTGAAGGACAAAGACACTCTTTCACCATTTTATTAAAGAAGCCACAGTGTGATGGCAGGAGGAATTGCATGTCCTTTCTTCACAGCAGCCTCCTTAGCACCCTCGCCTTTTTATTAATTCCAAGAAAGAAGCATTGCCCTTAGGTTGACAGTAAACTGCCTGTGCACCGTTGGCTCAGGCCCTTCCTAAAGCCAGGGCTAAGGTGTTCTATAGCATGATATTTACAGACTAAAGAAGGATGACATTTCCAGAATAAAGCAGCCAGCCCTGTGGTAGGATCAGCTGTCTGGAGACTCACGTCAGTTGGAAATGACTGTTTTTCCAGTTGTCCTATCACCTGTTTTCTGGAAAAAAAAAAAAAGTCTTTTTGTCTTTTGGAAGAAACCTACAGATTCATTTCAACATGCTCTATACCATGGCAGGAGGGATATTGCAGGTCTTTTCTTTAGAGCAGCCTGCCCAATCACCTCCCCTTTTTATTAAATCCAAGAAAGAAATATTGTCTTTTGGTTGACACGAAACTGCCTATGCACCAACAGCACAGGAGAACTTGGTAGGGAGCCTAAAGAGACGGGGAGAGGCTCTCCTATTTAGCAGAATATCCTGGGCCTCCCTGCCTCTCTGTATACTGGCTGGCTGTGTTTTGAAATATCTTTGAGAATTTCCTCTGTGAAGCTAGCCACTATAGGAAAATCAAAAGCTCTGACCTCAAGAAGCTGACATCTGAAAGTAAACACAAAGAAACATAATAATTCAAGAATTACATAGTGAAAGATAACAATAAGCTACTGTGTATATCAGAAAGCAGAATATGGTTTAGAATACAGATTGTAACCACAGCAATAATAATACTACCTTCATTGTTCTCAGTGCTAAACAATATATATTTGATGTATATGCATGTGTATAGGTAGTATACATATGAAATTGTATTCTATATACACATATAGACATAGGTCTACATGTATATACACTCATAAATAATCTTCTAAATAACAATATAAACTGTTCCTATTAATACTCAAAGATGTGACAGTTAGTGGGGACTTTCCAAAGAACATTTACTAGCAGTAAATCAGTTACGAGAAATTCTAGACTCAGCTTTGTCACTCTGAAGCACATGCTTTTAATTCCTATAACACTGCCTTCTAATAGTACAGTGAATGAAACAGATTTTAAAGAAAAAAAAATCACTAGAGGCTCCAATAATGTGAGGAAAACAAAAGGTTAGATTGGAGAAATTCTTACAAAATGGGAAAGTAAAAACAGAAGGGCAGCAGGAGGACTGGCATCATGTTAGATTACACAGCATGAACAAATGTGCACAGATAAGGGGTGGGGGGACAGTGGGAAGACTGTGGGTAGAGGATGATCTTAGGGTTGAGATTTCATCCACTCCAGGATGGAATCTGTGCCCTCCACAGGGCTCAGGGGGGTCACCAAATATTCTTAAGTAAGCCACATGGCACAATATTCTTCCCCAATAAGAAATCATCTCCTGAAGGCCTCTTTTAAATGTGGTCATCTATTGTGGTCATGTTGAAACAAACACATGGGAGAAAGAGTCCTTATATTTTAGAGAGATATATTAATATACAGTCATATATCACTTAGCAATGAGAATAGGTTCTGAGAAATGTTGTTAGGCAATTTTGTCATTGTGCCAGCATCATAGAGTGTACTTACACAAACTTGATGATATAGCCTACAATACACCCATTGCTTCTAGGCTAGTTACTGTACTGAATACTGTAGGCAATTATAACACAATGATATGTATTTGTGTATATAAACCTACCTAAGCATAGAAAAGGTATAGTAAAAATATGGTATAAAAGATTAAAATATGGTACACCTGTGCATTTACCACTAATGGAGCTTGTGGAACTGGAAGTTGCTCTGGGTGAGTCAGTGAGCGAATGGTGAGTGAATGTGAAGGCCTAGGCCATTGCTGGACACGAGTGTAGACTTTATAAAACTGTATACTTAGGCTACATTAAATTTGTTTTTTAAAATTTTCTTTCTTCAGTAACAAATTAACTTTAGCTTAATGTAACATTTTTGCTTCATACACTTTAATTTTTAAACTTTTTGACTAGTGATAACACAGCTTAAAACACAGATACATTGCATAGTTGTAAAATGTATTGTCTTTCTTTATATCCTAATTCTATAAGTTTTTTTCATTTTAAACATTTTTATTTTTATATTTTTACTTTTTAAACTTTGTTAAAAAACAAAATCTAAGACATAAACTCACAAAGTAACCTAGACTTACACAGGATCAGGATCATCAATATCACTGTCTTCCCCCTCCACATCTTGTCCCTATGAAAGGTCTTAAGGGACAATAACATGCATGGAGTTGTCATCTCCTATGATGACAATACCTTCTTCTGCAATACTTCCTAAAGGACCTGTCTGAGATTAACTTTTCTCTTATAAGAAATACTCTAAAATTATGACAAAAGGTATAGTATAGTAAATACATAAACTAGTAACATGTTTGTTACCACTATCAAGTATTATGTACTGTACATAACTGCATGTGCCATACTTTTATATGACTGGCAGTGAAGTAGATTTGTTTACATCAGCATTACCACAAACACATGAGCAATGCATTGTGCTACAATGTTAGGATGACTATGTCATCACTAAGCAATATAAATTGTTCAGTTCTAATATAATCTTATGGGGCCACTAACATGCAGTCTGTCCTTGACTGAAACATGGCTCTAGGGCACATGACCATATTTAATGATGAAATGGTTAAAAAAAAGTTTGGTGTTTGCTCTAATAAATCCACTGTGTGTTTGGGAGGAGGGAGATAGCAGTGGAAATAAACTTGGCCATATATTGGAAATTGTTTAAAACTGGTTCATTGGTACATGGAGGTTCACAATACTGTTCTCTCCACTTTTACAAATTTTCAAAATTTTCATAATGATAAATAAGAATCATTAGTAATTTAAGTATACTTTAAATTGTGAGTTTAAAATAAAGAGAAAATATTAAATCTGGATTTTTGATAGTTAATGTAAAGCATCAGTGAATGTTTCTTAATAAACAGCATGATAGGATCAGCTCTCAAGTTGCACACTGTTATATTTTAAATTTTGGATAATATGATAAGTATACCTGGTACACATATAGCCCTTTGCTACCAAGTATTTTACGTTCATCATTTCATATGATCTTCAGGGGTAATCCTGAGAGTAGCAGGGCCACCAGCATGAGATTTGTCCTACTTGGTACCTAATGAAAGAATTCTGGTAGAGACTTGTAAATCTCTTACTTTGACTTCTAAATTTCTCATAGCACTAGAAAATTAAGCAGAGATGGATAATAAAGACAAAATAATGGTAATTCTCACTGCTGTTTAACGAGGTACAAAGACCCAGACATATTAGCAAAAGACTGAAAGGAATAACCCCCAACTCTACTTTGTACACAGAACCCCCCAAAAATACTTGATGAATGAATTAGCCATTTCCATATCCATATACAGTTAGAATAGCCATCTACAGGGATTAAAAATTCAGCCACATCTATATATTTGTATATATCTACATTATATATTTTCTAAGTGCCTACCAAGGGTAAATTTTAATCTTTTCATGATAATTTTAAAAAGTTCATCTTTTAAAGTTTTCCTTGCTTTGCCCATTTTGGGTCTGTATGAGGAAGAAGCTGAAGAGCAAGGCATGTAACAAGCCCAACCAACTTGACAGGTATAGAGACAAAGTCTTTGAGAATTATGAATTTGAAAAAGTTGTCTTTGCCTTACACATTTGCTACCTGTTTACCCCTTGATATGATTTGGCTCTGTGTCTCCACCCAAATTTCATGTCAAATTGTAATTCCTGAGTACTGGGGGAGGAACCTGGTGGGAAGTGACTAAATCATGGGGTGGATTTCCCTCTTGCTGTTCTCGTGATGGTGAGTGAGTTGTCACAAAATCTGGTTGTTTGAAAGTGTGTAGCACTTCCCCTTTCACCCTCTTTCCTGCTGGCCATATGAATATGTGCCTGCTTCCCCTTCACCTTCCACCATGATTGTAAGTTTCCCAAAGCCTCCCCAGAAGCAGAAGCCTGTACAGCCCACAGAACCGTAAGCCAATTAAACCTCTTTTCTTTATAAATTACCCACTCTCAGGTACGTCTTTATAGCAGTGTAAGAACAGATAATACACCCCTCTTTCTCCTTTCTCTTAGAGAGCTAATGAGAGGTAGTATGATATCCAGAAAAAGAGCAAGGATTTCAATTCATTAAACCTTATATTGACTAAAGCAATTGTGTCCTTGGGAAAATGCTTCCTGGATTTTCTTAATTCTATGTTAAGATAAAATCAATAGCTGTACTTCCCACTTTGTAAGAAATATTAGTCGGCAAACTTGCTTGTAACTGATATGAGTTATCACCTCCAAGGTTTGGTATATGAGGGGCTGATAGGGATCTAAACGGTTGTTTTCAAGAATCAAACAAATGAAGCTCGTACGGTATAATTGGAAAACTGTGTTTGATATTCTGGACCAGGGTAACCTATCATGGACCTCTGCATTTATTTGCCCATATGTTGCAACCTGTTCTGCCCAGTTATAAGGCTGACAGGCGAGGAAGGCATCAGTGGGTTGGGAAGTCCAAATTAAAACAAAGCTCAGTCATTAAGCTGTCTATTGGCCAACCTGCTGACCTCTTTTCATGCATTGCCAACCATTATTCTGGTGTTTTAGAGGTTTGGCCATTAGGCCATTAAATGCTTTGAGCTCCATTTTCCTTCTCTATAAAAACAGTGTGACACTGATGACTAGTGGGCTGTTATATTTATGTCAGCATGAATAATGTAGTAAAAGTAATAACAATCATATAATGGTCATATTTTATATGGTAGTTACTTACTATGGTGTAATTAATGTATCCTAGCTTCATTATTTAATATGGGCCTCCTGGCTTGTTTCATGCAGACAGCTGTTTATGTGGGGACCCAGATGCTGACAGTACCATGTCTGCCATAGCCGAAGAGAGGAGTAAGAAAGGGAGCCATTCAGCTAATATATTCCTAATGTTTTCTCTTCCCCCTGCAAATAGTTTCTAGAACTCTGTATTTTATAACAGGGATAGCCACAGATTCTGCAACAATAGATTCTGCAAATGATAATTGACCACCTATGACAAATGTGTTAAGTGCCAGTCATAGCCCTATATCACTTGTGGGGTGTGGACAGATTCCTATTTTGCTCAGGCTTGGGGAGTGACTTGCCCCATCACCCACAGATAGGCAGATAGGATGTGGCTGAACCAAAACTGGTTTAGATTTTACTCTAAGTGCATGTGCTGGCCCTTTTCATACCCAGCCATTTCCTTTGCTCATGAAAGTGCCTTGACAGGAGACCAGGAGGAAGGAACAGGTTCAATACCTAACTCAGGCTAAGTATCATGGTTCGTGATTGCACTTGGAGCCTTAAATTAAGTTGCATTTTGTTGTGCAAAATTCAAAAGCAGTCGATAATAATTTTTAAAAGACATAGAGGCATTGAGGAGGTTGCTTAATATATTATAGTAGCATGGCTGTTGAGAAGTGCATCTTGGCATTCTCAAGGATTCTCAGAGCATCCTCTGTCTCTACCTCCACATGGAGCTTGGCATTTTGCAGGCACTCTGTCATCCCTGCTGATGAGACACCCACCTCTTTTTTAAAGGTGGTGAACTGCTGCTTTGACCAACTCTACTCCACCTGGTCCTGCCCTGCCTGCTGCTTCCCATGTGTTGTGTGGGTAATCGCATGAGGAAGCTGACCTGCCAATATAATGGGCCTGCTGAGATTATGGTGTAGAAAAAAAAAAACAGGCTGTTTGTTTTAGAACTTCCTTTCTGTTTCCATTTTTGATGAAGTTCTGGCATTGGATATCAAAAAGGATGTTGTTTCCTTGGCAGCAGATCTGTACTACCGCCGCTAATGAGGCCACCACAGTGAGTTTGCTCTCTGTAGAGATATGTGGAAATGGGTGAGTCTTGCACTGCTCCTCAAGTGAAACACTGTCCAAACCTGTCCCTTTTGCTCTCCATTTGTGAGATTTGTAGAATAATACTGTCCTACCATTAACGCCTTAGCTGCTAAGCATGTTGGGGTAGAATCATATTTGAAGGACAGAAGGTATTGAAACTGACTAGGTCAGGAGCTTGGAAAGAACAAATGAAGACTAAATAAGATCAGTGAAACAACTCAAGCCCAAGGGGCCTTCCTAGACACTAGTACTCTCTGGACCTTTATCCACACTCAAAGCAAGTACTCTCTGCATGTGCATGTGCATGTGTGTGTGCATGGCAGGAAGTAGGGACAATGGCCAGGTAGACATTGGGCTGTGGTAGAGACCAAGCACATCATATGGGATGTCTGTTCTTTCAATTGAAAGCCAGTTGATTCTTTGGGTATGTCAGAGAATCTCCAGGCTATGCAGCCCCAAAGAATGCTAAAAGCCACATGACAGAACTGGCCCCAGTAGAGACAATGTGATACCTCTGCCAGGCACAGGTATCACAGAAGCCAGCTAGTCCTGGGTGCATCTACTAGAACCTTAACCACCACTACCCCTGGGAACTGGATGTAGTTCCCACTACTATCCCCTGAAAGGACTCTGCATGGGGCCTGCTTTTTAAAACTACTATTTTCCTATATTAAATCCAGCTCTTGAGTCTAATTAACAGTACCTGGGTCAAATGAGTATACCCCAGCTCCAAAAGAGACTGGGGAACTGAGTACCTGGCTCCCACCAAGAATCAAAAGGTAGGCAATGTATTACCTCAATGTAAAAAGGGTGTCCAAAGTTGCTAGGAGGCCTCAAAATTAGTAAATGCTTATTGTAATAGCAATCTGTGCAAGAGAAATTGCAAGCAGAGAATGGAATTAGAAAAAACTAGGAGATAACCAAACCCCAAATGGCTGAAATGGACTAAGAGGGAACTAAAAGGACACCAGCATCTATGATTTCAAGTCAAGGAAAACAGATCAATGACTCACTTGGGGAATCAAAGAGGTTGCTGAGTCATGTTAAAACATGAATTCAGGGATGCTGGGAAATATGCTAGGAGAAGTTGGCTAATTAAGATCCCACTCTATTGAATATTAAGTCCCAGTCCAGGTCCTCCATAATTCAGGGACGGGGTAGATATAAGATTGGTGGTTTTGCTCCGGTATTGTAATGTTTTGCACTGACTTTTAGAGGGGCCAGTAGGAACTGAAAGATCCTATATTCATTTAGAAACACACATTACTGTGCATATTCAAAGTGCTCGACATATCGTTTAGGTACCAGGGATATGAAGATGAATCAAACAGCATCCCTCCTGTGGATATACTTGCAACCTATGGAGAGCAGATGTGAAATAATGGGACAGGTAGAGATGGTCTGGGGAGGCCGTGTGGAGGAATCATTGTTTTTCTTTTGTCTGATCTTTCTATCATAGAGTTTATTCCAAATAGAAATTAAGCATTCATTTTATTGTTTGTTTTATTATTTTATTTTATTTTACTTTATTTTATTTTATTTTTTGACAGGGTCTTGCTCTGTCTCCCAGGCTGGAGTGCAGTGGCATGATCTCAGCTCACTGCAGCCTCACCTTGGCAGGCTCAAGTGATCCTCCCACTTCAGCCTCCCAAGTAGCAGGGACTAAAGGTGCACACCCCCATGTCCACATAATTTTTAAACTTTTTGTAGATATAGGATCTCCCTATGTTGCCCACACTGGTCTCAAACACCTGGGCTCAAGCAATCCCCCCATCTCATCCTTCCATGGTGCTGGGATTACAGGTGTGAGCCACCACACTTGGCCCTGATTGTTTACTTGGTTAATGATCTCTTCCTCCCATTGGAATATAATGGAAATGAGAGCATAGATTTCTGTTTTTTACTCTACATCCTTTGGTGAAAGGTGGAAGTTCAATAAATATGTACTGAAAGAGTGAATAGGCTAGGCGTGGTGGCTCACACCTGTAATCCCAGCACTTTGGGAGGCCGAGATGGGCAGATCACGAGGTCAGGAGATTGAGACCATCCTGGCTAACACGGTGAAACTCCGTCTCTACTAAAAATGCAAAAAAATTAGCCGGGCGTGGTGGTGGGCACCTGTAGTCCTAGCTACTCGGAGGCTGAGGCAGGAGAATGGCATGAACCTGGGAGGCAGAGGTTGCAGTAAGCCGAGATCGCGCCACTGCACTCCAGCCTGGGTGATAGAGCAAGACTCTGTCTCAAGAAAAACAAACAAACAAACAAAAAAGAGTGAATAAAGAAATGAGGATGAGCCATTAACTGAAGCTTCCCAAATGAGTGTTTCCAGGTAGAGATTAGATGATGGAGAGATGGAGGAAATTCTAGAAAGAGGAGCCAGTATTGCCAAGGGCATGAGAGCAAAAGAAAGCTAGAGAATGGCTAGAACTTGCAAATCACTTGGTGCTGTTGAAATAAAAATGCTGAGGCTAGTCAAGATGACTAAGTTTGGAAATCAAGAGTTCAGACATGAAAGCACATTCCATTAGTTTCTCATCTGCTATAACAAATCACCACAAACTTAGTGACTTAAAACCACATGTGTGTATTCTCTCACAGCTCAGGAATCCAGGCATGGCTTAGTTGGCACCTTGGCTTATAGTCTCACAAGCCTGTAATCATGATGTCAGGGTGGGGCTGGTGTCCCACCTGCGTGTCAGAGTCCTCTTCCAAGCTTACATGGTTCGTGAGCAACCATGTATTTTTGTCAGCTGTGAAACTCAAAATGGCTTGCTTCTGCAATGCCAGCAGGAGAGCCTCATCAGAAAGAGCCCGCCCTCTTGGAAAAGCTTTAACCTGGTTAAATCAAGTCCACTTGGTACAATCTTCCATGGATACACAGCATAACCTAATTAGGATACTGACATGCATCGTATTCACAGACACATCCCGGGGAGGAAATTATAGGGCGAAATATACTAGGGCATAGAAGTTTGGAATCCATTTTAGAATTCTGCCTATCACATCATTGAACACTACACATGTACATGTACAGATTACATATACAACATTGCAAATGGAAAATTGTACAGAGAGCTTGTCATCTGTTGTGAAACATAGGAAGTCATTGAAAGGCTGTGAGAATTGGAGTGATGAGGGTATGTTGTTTTTTCTATGAATCATCCTGGCAGCTTTGTGGATGCTCTATTTAGAGGACCAAGGCCGCAATTCGGTGAACAAGATATTAGACTGTGACCGAGATCTAAGTGAAAGATGATGCTAGGGGTGGTGGGGCAGGAGGGTGGGAATAAATGGTAACCCTAACTGCCTGTTATTTAGGTTCAACATCTGGGCTTCATCCCTCATTTTCATATTTGCCTCACATTCCATATTTAGTTAATCAGCAAGTTGAATCAATTTAACTTCCTAATATTTAGAGAATTGTAAATTCTGCCCATAGCTATCACCTAGCTCAAACCATCATCATCTGTGTGGTTCATTTTTTAATATTTAAAAACATAATTTAGATTTATTTTACTATCCTTTCCAGACCCCCAATTGGCTTCCCATTGCACTTAAAATGAAACAAAATTCCTTATCATGGCCTACTGGGCTCTTCTCTCATAATGTGAGGCTCTGGAACCACAACCCCACCATGCTCCAGCCCAAGGCCCTTTGCTCTGTCTTACATATCTAGACCATTCCCCACCCCAGAGCCTTTGCACTTGCTATTCTTCCAGCTTGGACTATTCTGCCTCCAGGTACTTTTGTAGCTGGCTCCTTCACATCATCCAAGTCTCAGTTTAAATATCGCTCTGTGTGAAGAAGATAAGCACATCACTATCATAATACCTTATTTTATTAACTCTATAAGATATATATGCAATCATGTTGTTTATCTGTTTGTCATTTCCCTCCCCTACTAGAAGAAAGTTCCAAGAGAACATCTCAACTTTCACTCCATATTGCTAATGTGCAGATCTGTAGCTAATACATGTGCAAGTGTTTAACAGATATTTATTGAATCAATATACACATTTGAGGAAAAGGGCAAAATTGTTTGAACTTGATGATTAATGGCATGTGATTGACAATGGAAATGATATCTAAAATTCTTGGTTTTCTCATTTGGAGCCCTGAGATAAAATGTAGAGGGAAAGAAGTGGGTTTGGGACAGAAGAAAAAGGGCACATAATGGAAACAGAAAGACAATGGATAAGACATACTTGCATGAAAACCTGGTAAAAAGTTTTATGTTTTATGAAGTTCTAAGAAGCAAACTGATCAACAGTATTTTGTGATACAAAGTGATCAGACTAAAACAGAGCCATTACACTTAATATGAAGAACCTCCTGGTGCCTTTAGGGAGAGGAATTTCTTTATCACCTTTATAGTGAAGCTGAAGGCTGGGCAAACTTCAAGTATCCCAAATCCTAGTCATTTAATTAAAAAATTGCTGCGTGTAGATACTCAGGGAGACCTGAGGAGTATGGGATGTGGCATTAGAGAGCCACACCTCTGCCTTTCAGCACAAACACCTTTAAACATTCTTATCGGTTTAACAAAGGAATACTTCTTGTTCTTGCTCAGGGTGGGTAGATGTTTCAGCGGAAATTTTCATGCCCAGCATGTTTTGCTCCAAACGTTTTTCTTGCCTCTTTGAAAGGCTATGTTTATTTAAAGGAAAATTTAATCTGTCTGTGCCTGATGCTTTTCCATTTAGCTCAGCCAAATGTTTTTTTCCTAAGAATTACGTGCTGATCAAGCAATGTCGTTGCTTGTCAGAAGTGAAAGTCACACTTCCCAGTGAAAATCTCCTGACCCCACCAAAAAGCATGAATTCAGTTTAAGATGTCCCACCCCAGGGAGCCTGCCCCAGGTTATAAGCTTAACAGAGGTGAAATACCTTCATGTGTCCTTTTACTCTTGAGGCCAGCGCCAAAAATGAGACAATTCTAAAGAATGGTCAAACCTATGGCAGGTTTGCAGTTCTGCTTTTTCCCTGGTCCATCATCCATCTGGTAGTGAGTGAGTGTCCCCAAGTTTGTGTGCTTCCATTTTTCTTCCTCAGTAGGTAACACTGATCTACTGACTTCAAAGTGTGTTGAGAGACAAAGTGAAATCAAGAAAGAGCAATTATTAGTGGAGGTTTTGGATCAAATCACAGGCCCTCCCCACCCCCCATATAGAATCCACTCAGCAATGGGCGAAGGATGATGAAACTGCCTGGGTCCTGGGTGACACAGAAACTAAGAATGTAGATTTGAATAAAATTTGTTATTTTTATTTTCCATTTTGACTTCTCATTAAGAACAATTTCATTCATGGGAAAGAGAGACTAGCACATTTGGTGGCCTTCCCTGAACGTCCATGGAGCCTGGAAGATATTCATGCCCTATTCTCTCTGTCACCTGTGACCACAGCTTGACCCTTCCTGTGACACACAGCTTGTGCACTGGTTGCCTGGCATAGCTTCCTAGTCTTTACTTGTGTTCCTCCTGACCTCCCAATATCTGGATGGATTCACAAAATCTTGCCTAATTTCTCTCTCTCTTTTCCTTACTTCTTCCTGTGACAGACTTCTCATACCAATTGATCTGAAAATGAGTAGGCATGGATTGATAAGCCAGGCAGACATCTTATAGATTATTTTTCTCCATGTCATTGTCTCATATTCATTAATACTTTGTGAACACCTATTTTACATTTAAATTAGAAATAATTAAGATTATCCTTTAATAGCTTCACACTTTCCTTGGATTCCTATATGCTTTGTTAAGTGGAAAAGAAAGAAGTAAGCTTTGGCTAGTGTTGGGAATGAGAAATGAATACAAGGCTTTGGCTTCCAGTGTCTCACATGTGAACATCATCAATCCTGGCTTCAAAGAAAGAGATGGTAATTAACCCATCCATTCCCTGAGGAGAGCCTAAGCCTCCTGGCTGCCAGAGATCAGCTCGGTTCACTGTACCATGGTTCCACAGTTAGCAACTATGTCAGGCATGAGGTTGTATTTACTCTATATACATCAGCAAGTGACTACAAAATTAAATAATATTTGTGTGGATTAACTTCTCTCAACTTCCTATCCCCTAACTCCCCACCCCTGACTGTATAAATATATGGGCTCTCCTGAGTGCTGCTCACTGTGCTTAGAAGCAGTTCCCCATTTCCCTCTGCTCTCATGTAGTCATAAGACTGCCATAACACTGCCCTCTTCTGTGCTGTCCTATGAGATCTCCACTCCACTGAGAACCAAGGAAACATCACAACCTCTTCCCCTGCCTAGGAAGGATTTCCTGGGTTCCCCTTGGCCTCACTATAAATTGCCAAGGCTAAGCTGTTACCTATAATAAAAATTTACTCAATGTTCAATAATGAATGAAAGTCAAGACCTAAGTATAAGTTATATAGGACAACTAAATTTGGAGAATCAGAACTATCTAGAGGATCCACTTCCATGTGTCAGGAACAGCTATGAACAATGCTTGTAGTGTCCTGAACATCTTTGCTGCCAAGTCCAGACCATCTGCCTAGAGCCGGAAAAAAAAAAAAAAGGAAATCTGCTTTCACTGTGGTCTAATGCCTACTTTACCATTCCTCATTCCCTAATTAAAGATAGGCTTTGTGTCAAGGGTAATTGACAGTGAGAACAGAGCCAACCCCTGTGCAAGAGTCTGCTTCTACCAACAAGAGTGTGATCTTATACTATGGTGTCCAGTAGAAGTAGAACAGCTTAATCAAAATGTCATAGTTTCAAATTGGTATATTCTAAGTTATGCATTCACAAATGGCAGTATATTCATTCATTTATTCATTCATTCAATTTGCTCATTCATTCATTCATTCACTTAGAAAACCAACTCTTAATGAGCAGCTAATACTTAGCACCTAGCACAGTGGTTGGCACATAGCAGATACTCTATGAATATTGGTTTACTGAATGAATGAATGAGCCTGGTGCTTTTATTTGGATAAGCTGGTGGTCATTAAGAGAATCTCTCTAGATTCAGACAACTTGATTTCAAATCCTGATTCTCTACTCTTACTAGTGACCTTGAGCATGTTGCCTAACCTCTCTAAGACACAATTCCCTTATTGGTAAAGACTGATAATAATGATGATGGTGATGGTTATGATAATAAATGACTCCTTTATAGGTTTGTTGCTAAGCACTTAAGGTAGGGTGAGATAATATTAGGGTATCAGAGGACTCAGTGAAATCATGTGCTAGATTTAAAATGAATCTTCTGACCCCCTGAGCCTCCTGGGTCTGGTGAGTTGCAGTCAGCTCATAAATCTCATCATGCTGAGGATTGCCTCTGCCACATCTCCTACCTATTTTCTGTGTACTATTTTGAATGTCTGTGTAAAGGTCCCTCTCTGAATGGGAGCTCTTTGGGACTCTCACAGCATGTCTAGCACTTTCCAGCTTTGCTCACCTAGAAGCAGAATCCTATACCTTATATTTCCAATTCTATATGAAGACCTATTTTGAATCCACTCACTGCCTGGAACTTTTGACACAGGACATGCCTAGTCCCCAGTGTTACCCGCAGCCACACCTACCAAACAGAATAAACCACTTTATTAAACAGCGAGCAAACTGGGCCTCACCTGGGCTCCTGATAGCTCTTGCTTTTTAGAAGTAAAACTAGAAACTATGTTGGAGTTTTATCTCAAAGATTAAATTAACTAATGCACACAAAAGCACTTAGCATGGTAATTGTACTGAGAGGACTCAGTACAATTGACAAATTTTATATTTGTCAAATATAATGACAAATTTTATATTAATGATGTACTATTATCACTCACTTCCATATTCCATTCATATTCCTTACCTCTTTTTCACGTTCTTTTTAATGGTACAAATTAGCTGCATCTCCATGAATTGATTGGTAGATATAATCCTCATTTTCCACAACTCCAGAAGAGCAAAGTGGTGCCCAGCACTGCAGCCATAGTGATATTGGGCATAAAATTCATGCCTACAGTATCCTCTGGGCTAATTTATCTTCCTTTGTTATTTTTAATGCAAGACTCATTGAACCATAAGGGTCTACCCCCGCTCCAGGAAATGCTTGCCTATAAATTTAAATTTCTTCCTAGAATCTATCAGGTATCAACATTTTAATATTTTATATACTCCAACCATACCTTCAGGCCATGTGATTTGTTTACATAGCAAATGAGCTATTGGGAATTCCTTTCAAGAGAAGTTTTCATTCTTTGAATAATTCTAATGATAGCTGAGTTTCTAGGAAAATCTTTTTTGAGGTTTTGTATTATTCATGGAAGAAATCATGCCTCCCAATTTGTTGAACACCTAGATCTATTCCAGGGAAACTCACAGTAAGAAGTCATAAAAAGTTGGTGTAAAAAATGGCTATAATACTCACTTTTGCCATCAAGCTTGATGTTTTTAATACTAATTCGTTTTATGTAGGTCTTAGTATTAGAAGGGCAGTCATCTAGCAGATAAAATGAGAGAAAGAAAAACAAAATGTCTTGCCTTCTGTGTCTTCTTAAAAATAAGTACATGCGTGAGTTGTTTTCTGTTTTTGATTTTTTTTAGAACAAAATGTTTTATTATTAAAATAAAAACCTTTGTAAAGAAGCATTACAGATCAAATGCTGTATTTACACTTATTGATTCAAGGTCTAATTATGCATCAAACACTGAATGGGCACAGCAATGGTTTATACCTCAAAGTAAATTGGACACACAAACACTTAGATTCTACCTCTACCAAACAACTTGATTAATGCAAAGGAAGAGAGTGGGGATACTGACACAGGAAATCTGCCCAGAAACAAACTGTTGAAAGTTACATCTCGAAAAAGGCACTTCTCATTGTTATAAAAGTGCTTAATAGCTAAACATGAACCCTGTGGCTAGCTTATACTTTCTTCAACAAGCTGCAAAGGAATGGATTATGTTTTGATATGTTTGGACTACCGGGGAAATGCAGGGCTGCTCCCTCCATCAGCCCTCTCCATCCACATTCTATACTTCTTGAACAAGTGTGTACCTAGTTTTGTGTCTTCCAACGTATTCAACCTGGTGACTTTTACAATGCAGGCATCAAAAAAGTTTAACTTAAGACATTAATAATATTTATGATAAAAATAATAACTTTTTTGTTGGTTTTCTTTAAGGTTGAACAAAATATTAGGAAGCAAAAAGAGAGTAGTAAAGGGGCTTGGAAAGAAATATCAAAAGTTATAGCAAAATCTGTACTTCCTCTGAGAGGTGCTAGAAGGAGTAAGGCCAGTAAAACCATCATCATCATCATCATCATCATATTTTTATTTGATAAATATTTAAATATCTATCCTGTCTTCAGAGTTGAAAGTTTCCATTCCTATGTTTTAACCTGGCCTGCCTATGCACCTTCTGCCCTCGTGCTTAAGTCTTAGAGAAATGCAATAATGTCCTCTAATTATTTTTGTTAAAACTATAGGCCCCTGCGCAGGATCCCCATCAGACTTCCTACCATGGTGAGCTGGACAGAGCACAAAAGCAACCTCAAAGACACCAGTTATGCCCTTGTCTGACAGTGTGGCTGAAATCGTACCTAGAGAAGCCTCTATTCTTTTTCTGAGGCTAATTCCCTGCTCCTAGAACAACAAAGTAAAGCCTTTTTCCAAAATGAAAGCAGTCGAAATCCACATTTCTACCTTAAATGCTGCGTGCGTGAGAGAGGGTCTTGTCCCTTTCCATTCTTTGTCTCTAAGACTTCTCCCACTTCTGAGACTCCTAACAAGTGGGTCCCTGTCATAACCACTGCCTCAAGAGAATGAGAGCTTTGTACGGATTCTCCATCTCTCAGTAGCAGTTGTTCTTTAAAAGTAACTCAATTGTAGACACTGCAGGTTTCATGGGGCCCTTCCCTAATGACAGTAACCCTAAGAGGGAGGGTTTTTGTATGGAGAACTTAATCACTCAAGTACCTGAAAAGAAATCAAGAAATTATAAGAAATAAGAAAAAAAGATATCTATCTAAAATTCATTGCCCTGAGACACATTTAATTATTTGTCCCCATAGATTACATTCAAATAACAACTCATAGTTTACATCTTCTATTACTATGAATTTTATAAAACATTTGCATTTATCACATGTAAATGAATAATATTTTCAATTATATTTTTCAATTCAATTATATTCTATTTTTTTAAATAACAAAAGTGAGTCCTGCTTGCTAAATCGACTTCCCAACTCACTAATGGATTGTGAAGTCCACAGCAGAATAACCCTGTCTCAAAAGCTCACACTCTATGAGTTTATATTTTACAAACAATACTTAATAAATTTAATGATTAGCTATCCCAACATACTGAAACTAAAAGCAATCAATTGCACAGAGTTAGGCAAGATTGATAGACTTAAGAATACAACAAAGAAATGAACACTTCCAGCAAGGCATGTGAAGGAACAAAAACAACTCCAAAAGCACTCAAATGGGAATTAGTGACAGAACAAATAGCTGCTCATACCTCAATAGAGACCCTGAGGAGACAGCTGCATTATGGTGCAAGTCAATAAGTGTGCTGATAATGATAACCCCAAGTAACCAAAAAAACTTTAATTGATGCTCTTCATAACAAACATAGTTAAAGCAATTCAACAAGTTATTGAATACCTCCTTACTTAAAGCATTACATTTAAATACTATGTAGATCAATTTAGAGCTATTTCAACAAAAAATATTTATTACTAACATGAAAAAATAATTTGGCAATTTTACAACATATCTTCTGGTGTGGAAGGCCTTCAACTTACAGAAGTTCCTCCTCTGTGCACCATCCCAGTAAGAGAGCCTCCCAGCATACTGAGTGGTTTGACAGTCTGAAAACTGGGCCCTGTGGGAAGTACCATTTTTATTAATTTTCACGTCACTCTCCAAGTCTGCACCTCTGTTAGAGAGGTTGATACTGAATCCACACCTTCGTTTCTCTAAATGACATTCCCTAGACATAGTTGGGTAGATCCCAACTCTGTCCCACCATCTTCTCTCTGGACCACCCGTCCCTATCCCTAGTTTCAGAATAAGCAATAAAATTTCCACTCAGCCCCTCCTCAGCATTTTGTGAAACTTTTTTTGGTTTTGTTTATTCCCTATATTGTCTGTTTGTCCACCCCTTGTACTTTTTATAGGACTTCTGCTACCTTCTCTTCTACCCAAGGGTTAGGTGTCCTCTTTTATCCTAGAAACTTATATTCCACCTTTCTTTTTCTTTTTTTTTATTATACTTTAAGTTTTGGGGTACATGTGCACAACATGCAGGTTAGTTACATATGTATACGTTTGCCATGTTGGTGTGCTGCACCCATTAACTCGTCATTTAACCTTAGGTATATCTCCTAATGCTATCCATCCCCCATCCCTCGACCCCACAACAGGCCTCAGTGTGTGATGTTCCCCTTCCTGTGTCCATGTGTTCTCATAGTTCAATTCCCACCTATGAGTGAGAACATGCGGTGTTTGTTTTTTTGTCCTTGCGATAGTTTGCTGAGAATGATGGTTTCCAGCTTCATCCATGTCCCTACAAAGGACATGAACTCATCATTTTTTATGGCTGCATAGTATTCCATGGCGTATACCATCTCACACCAGTTAGAATGGCAATCATTAAAAAGTCAGGAAACAACAGGTGCTGGAGAGGATGTGGAGAAATAGGAACACTTTTACACTGTTGGTGGGACTGTAAACTGGTTCAACCATTGTGGAAGACAGTGTGGCAATTCCTCAGGGATCTAGAACTAGAAACACCATTTGACCCAGCCATCCCATTACTGGGTATATACCCAAAGGATTATAAAACATGCTGCTATAACGACACATGCACACGTATATTTATTGTGGCACTATTCACAATAGCAAAGACTTGGAACCAACCCAAATGTCCAACAATGATAGACTGGATTAAGAAAATGTGGCACATATCCACCTTTATTTTTCTATTTTAAATGATAAAGTCTTATCTAGTTTTGCACAAAAAGCTGAGAGAGGGAAGAGAGTAAGAATTGGAGGGTTGAGGCAGGCTAAGCTTTCCTTAATAGGATTCCAGAGCACCTTGAAATCTAAGGACCTCTTAGAAGGAATTTTCAACTATGGAAAATTGACTTGTGGGGAACAATTTCTTCCCAAATGATGCTTTAAAAGGATCTCACCTGTTTCTATGCAGAAAAGATTTTCACAGAGTATCTTGTGAAATGTGTGATTGTTTACACAACTTGAAAGTCAGAGAATGGATCAATTTATGTCTGACTGAAGAGAAAGAGTTTCACAAAGACCCCAAGTTATTTAGAGTCTTAGTGCTAAGAAGGAATGTTATGACCTGGAAAATGTGTATTTACCCAATCAAAATCCCAGTAAGTTACTTTGTGGATATTGATAACTAATTCTAAAGTTGATATGCAAAGGTAAATGATTCAGGAGAGCCAACATAATATTGATGAAGAACAAAGTAGAAGGACTAATACTATCCAATTTGAAGCCTTACTATAAAAGCTATGGTAATCAAGACAGTGTGATACTGGTGAAAGAAGAGGCCAATAGATGAGTGAAACAGAATAGAGAGCCCAGAAATAGATCCACACCAACATAGTCAAATGATGTTTGATGAAAGAGCAAGGACACTTTGATGGGAAAAGAATAGTCTTTACCAGAAACAGTGCTAGAACAACTGAACATCCGCAGGTAAAAAAATTAATAATTTAGGCATAAAAACTAACTCAACATAGATCATAGACCTAAATGTGATACACAAAATTATAATATTTCTAGAAGGTTACATATGAGAAAATCTGGATGACCTTAGATATGGCAATGACATTTCGATACAACACCCAATGCACTATGTTTTATGTCACAAGTTTGATTTAAAATTTTATCTTTCTTTTAATATTTTATATGCTCTATTATAATTTCTTTATGAACTGTGGGTTACTTAGAGGTGTATTATGTTATTTTTCAAGAAAATAGAACTTTCAGTTTAGGTTTTGGTTGATTACAGCTTAATTTTAATTTTGGTCCATAAACATGCTCTTGTCCCTTTCCCAGATATCAACGTGAGAATTCTCATGCTCTGTATGAGTTCAATAATTTAAAATTTGTTGAGAGTTGCATAATGAAGCACTATATGTTCAATTTTATTAAAGGTTTCATAAAGCCTTGAAATTAATGTGTGTTCTGTGTTGCTAGGTTGAAGGATTCCACTGGGTCAAGTTTGTCCATCATCAGGTTTGTCAAGCATGTTGTTCAAACCTTGTATATGCTTATCATTTTAAAAAGCTTTTTGCATGTTAGTTCTATCAATTATTGACAGGCTTTAAAAATCTATCTTTATCTTTGTAGATATGTATATTTCTTTTTACATATTTATCAGTTTGCTTTATGTATTTTCAGTCAATGTTGGCAGTACATATACTTTAAAATTGTCATGTCTTTCTGGTTCATTAAATAATACTGCAACATGACCCATTTATCTTTAGTAGAGCACTTTTTTGCCTTAAAGCTTCTTTGGACTGATATTAATATATATATAACCTTTCTTTACTTTCCATATCCTGATTCCTTGTTTTAAATGTATCGATTATAAAAAATACATTGCTTTTTTTATTGTTTTATTTACATCTACATACTTTATCTTTTGTTTTATTCCATATTTATTTAATGTAATTACTAATATGGATTTATATATATCACCTTAGTTTTTGTCTTCTTATTCTTTGTTTCTTTATGTATTCTCTTTCTCTTTCTTCTGTATTAACTATTCTTTCTCAATCCATTTTTCCCTCTACTAATTTAGAAATTAAAAATATATATATTTTTAATTTTTTGGTGTTAACTTGAAAATTAAAACAAGCAACCTTAGTTGATCAATGTACGAATGTATTAGTATGTTATTTTGAGATTTGTATTGTTGCTATTAAGAAATCACCTGACTGTTTAATGCTTGCTCTTGAAAAACTTCTAACATCCTCTTACTGATTTTCAGATTTATTTTTGTCTTCTATGTTCTGCTATTTTACTATAATTTAAATGGATGAAAATTTATTTGTATTTATCTTTGTAATATAGTTCTCCTCAAATTGGTATATTTCTTTATATGTGGAAAATTATTAGCCAAGTATATTCCAAATATTGATTCTGCTACGTTTCTCTCCTCTCTTTTTTCTTTCATAAAATTTATTTTTTATTGGCAAATAATAATCATATACATGTATGGGGTATATTGCAATGTTTTTATATAATTCATAATCTCCATACATTTCATAACTCTTTTTGCCTACATGCACAAAGTATATTGTGGTTGTTGTCTTTTCTTAAGACTGATACTGTAACTAGAACATATGTTGCTGTTGTTCATGACGGGTCAAGTGCACATTATTTTCTTTCAAAAGGCATTTTAAACTATTTCAGAAACTTCTTGAAAACTAGATTTTAATATCTATTCTTTTTTCTTGCTTTGATTTTCTTTTTAAGGACTCCCATTATACATATTTTTGATCTTCTTTTCTGTACTTAATGTCTCTCATTTTTTTGCAAAAGCTTTCTTGTTTGAATCTTTTTTAATTTCTTTACATTTGAATTTTTCTAAAGATATTATTTGTTGTGTTTATTTACTTTTGTATTTCTTCTAGTTTAGCCAATTTTCAAACTAATATTTACTTTTATTTTCTGAGTTCTTCTAATTCCAACTTATGTTCTTTCATGTATTAAATTTTGTCAATATATTTTAGCTATTTTAATATAGTACATTATAGTTTCAACTTATCTATTAAGTATGCCATTCAGGCATTGTACTCACTGGAGAAATGCCATTCTACTTCTTAGTTTCTTTTTCTTTATAACTTTATATGAAATTTTGCCTGAATGTTTTTCTAATGTATAATTATATTTAAAATTGAATGTCCTAAACTTGCAAATGGAGACTTGATTTAGATAGCCTTTACAACATAAAGAATTTGCATTCTCTATTGGTTTAGTGTATTGTTAGTAGAAGCATGACAGCTTGCTCCATGAGTTATCCTAGCTCTATTTCTCTCCTCTGCACTTTACATCTCCTCTTGCCTTTATCTCTGTTACTGTATTCTATTTAGCTTTGATTTTACCCCTAGCAATTTTCTCCTCAGTCATATGTCCTGTCAGAATGGAGCCTAAGCTGATCACGTTCAAAAGCTTATAAGGACTGAACTAGTCCAGGCACTTCAGGCCTTATCTCAAGTCCCTTATGTTTAGCTACGAGTGGAGGGGGCAGAACCTATTTCATTTTCCGTTGCTATTCTCAAACTGGCCTGACAATCTTTCCAATAAATATCTTTTAGCTTTTGAGATTATTTTGTTCTCATGTTGGTCATATTCCCCATTGTTTCCCCTTACTTATTTCATTGCAGATTCTGATACTGCACAAATCTTGTAGCTATTGGTGATTTGTCCTTACAGACTTAAGAGTTGGAGTATATGAGAAAATCCATTGCCTAGCTTTCTTATAGATTGCATTCATAAGTTTTTACTTTTTGCAGTCTTGTGGCTCTATCTTGGGTGAAATAGGGGAAAGTCCAAACACTATACTTCCTTTGTTATTGCCAACTTCCCAGATTTATCTGATTCATTATGCTTCATTATTTCTTTATTTTTTGATAAGCTATTTTTGAAAATTATTTGAAGCCTATAATAAGTGTGCATTGCTGACTTCATCTATATAAACCATTAAAAATTAACCTCATAGGCTTCTGATTTCAGACAAAATGGAATAAGCACATTCCATATTATTCTTCCCACTAATTATAATTTTGGAAAAAGTATAAAGCCAACTATGAGAAAACACTGAGAGATGGAAAAAAGACGAGGCAGTCTGTCTTGAGAAATTGACTCAAGAGATAACACAGTAGTGCAATTATGAATTCCATCAAATTACTTTTTTCCTTTTTTTCTTTCTTTTTTCTCCTTCCTTCCTTCCTCCCTCGCTCCCTCCCTCCCCCCTCCCTCTCTTCCTTCCTTCCTTCCTTTTATTCTTTCTTTCTTTGAAGCAAATGTTTTTCATCAGAAGCCAGATAGTTTTATGTTTGCTGGTCACGTGG
Organism: Homo sapiens; assembly: GCF_000001405.40. Taxonomy (NCBI): domain Eukaryota; kingdom Metazoa; phylum Chordata; class Mammalia; order Primates; family Hominidae; genus Homo; species Homo sapiens. Next base: position 38,228,438 of record NC_000018.10, on the reverse strand, counting down.
TTTGTTAGAACTACTCAATTCTGCCTTTGTAGCATAAAGCATGACTGTGTTTCAATAAAACTTTCTTACAAAACTAGATAGCGGGTCATATTTGGCCTACAGGCCATAGTTTGTCAACCCTTGCTATATATGACGATAGAGCTGTCCACAGATCAGAACAGAAAGAGAGAGGGCCCACTCTTATGCCACCTAGTGCTTCAGAGATTCTAGGTCAGAGCTTGTCAATCATCCCCCTACACTAAGGCCAACAGGGATAATACCCCTTCCCCTCTCAAAATGGGGAGATAAAGTCATAGTGTTCACCTCTTTTTAGAAATAAGCAAGTAACAGAAAAGAGAGAGCAGTCTCCCTGTTCTCAATGATAAAGTGTGTGGAGTTGCAAGAATTTTGAGAGCAGGACTACAGCATGGTATAATGCCCAGGTTTCAGATGAGCCTCTGGATATCACCAAATAGAGAAGATTACAATAGCACTGCAAGGCTTCAAAAACCAAATTGAAAAAGCACATTCCACAAAACTGACCCAAAACATGCAGAATGCCTGCTAAAATATAATATTAAAATAGAAAACAGTCTCATATGTAATACTAAAAATATCCATATAAATCCAAATAAAATCTAAATTTACTATTCATATCAAGAACTGGAAAATCTCAACTTGAGTGAGAAAAGACAATCAATAGATATTAACCCAGAGGTGAAATAGAGATTAAAATTATTAACGAAAATTATAAAACAGCCATCAAAATTTTCTAACATGCAATTGTAAACATGCTTGAAAAAAAATAGAAAAAAATAGAACATCTTAGACAAGAAACAGAAGATATAAAAAAGAGCAAAAGAAAGCTTTAGAATAAAAAATCCAGTAGCCAAAATAAAATACTTAGTGGGCTAAATAGAAGAATAGAAATGACAGAGAAAAGAATTTGAAGATAGATCAAGAGAAACAATCCCATTTTAATGGCAGAAATAAAATGAATTAAAAAAAACAAAGACCTGGGCATTAAAAAAATGTCTAACATTAAGGTAATTGTAATCAAAGAAGGAGAAAAGAAAGTTTTTCAGCTGATAAAATATTTGAATATACAGTAGTTTAAAAACTTCCCAAATTTTGAGAAACACATAAACACACAGCCTAAGAAACTCAGTGATTTCAAACTATTATGAACTAAAAATAATCCATATCAAACACATAGTAGCTAAGTTTATTAAAACTAAATATAAAAATAATACCTTGAGAGTAGTCAGCAAGTACTGATATGTTAACTATGGGAACAGTGATCTGAATAACTGCAGTTTTGTAGATCTAACACAACTCTATCAAGATCCTAGCAGATATATTTTGCTGAACTTAACAAGCTGATGCCAAAATACATATGGAAATGCAAAGCACCAATAATCACCAAAAAAAAAAAAACTTAAAAAAATAAGTAGAAAGGCTTTATTGTTTTCAAAACTTACTATAAAGCAATAATAGGTGGCTCACGCCTGTAATCCCAGCACTTTGGGAGGCCGAGGCGGGAGGATCACGAGGTCAGGAAATCAAGACCATCCTGGCTAATACAGTGAAACCCCGTCTCTACTAAAAATACAAAAAATTACCTGAGCATCGTGGCGGACACCTGTTGTCCCAGCTACTCAGGAGGCTGAGGCAGGAAAATGGCATGAACCCGGGAGGCAGAGCTTGCAGTGAGCCGAGATCGCTCCATTGCACTCCAGCCTGGGCGACAGAGCAAGACTCCATCTCAAAAAAAAAAAAAAAGCAATAATAATTAAGACAGTGCAATAATTTCCATGAGAGTATATATAGGTAATGGAACACAGTTTAGAGTACCTAAATAATTATGCAAATGATAAGTACATAAATAATAATTATTTATGTACTCTAAACTCTGGAAGATCAATTGGTTTTTGACAAAAATGATCCAATAGTTCAATAGGGAAAAAGATATTTATCTTTTCCATCAATTGTGCTGATACTATTAGATATTCATGTAGTAGTTGACTGAATCCAGGAGTGGGAATCAAGATTGACTGCAATGGAGTATGAAGGTTCTCTTTGGTATGATGAAAATGTTCTAATATTGAATTATGATGATGGTTGTAAAACTCTGTAAATTTAGCAAACATCATTAAACATAAAATGTGTGAATTTTATGTTTTAAAATTACATCTCAATAAAGCTGTTGAAAAGAAACAACAAAAAAGATAACTAATACTAGAGAGTCTGTATTTAACTATTTAGAGCTTTAGGAAGAGAACACAAAAAAATGGAAAAAATATCAAAGAAACTATTTTAAATAATGTCCTCAAAGTGAAAAATAAGGTAATACATGACACCTAAGCAAAACAAAACAGTGGGATCATACTTAATGGTGAGAGACTGAACTCTTTTTTTTTTTTTTTTTTTTTTTTGAGACGGAGTCTTGCTCTGTAGCCAGGCTAGAGTGCAGTGGCATGATGTTGGCTCACTGCAACCTCCACCTCCTGGTTCAAGTGATCCTCCCGCCTGAGCCTCCCGAGTAGCTGGGATTACAGGCACCCACCACCATGTCCAGCTAATTTTTGTGTTTTTAGTAAAGATAGGGTTTTACCACGTTGGCCAGGATGGTCTCAATCTCCTGACCTCGTGATCCACCCGCCTCAGCCTCCCAAAGTGCTGGGATTACAGTTGTGAGCCACAGTGCCCCGCCAAGAGACTGAACTCTTGTCACCTAAGATTAGGAAGGAGATAAAATGTTCATTACTGTTCTTATCACTCTTGTTAAACATCCTACTGGAAGTCCTAACCAGCTTAATAAGAAAGGAAGAAAAATCATTGTCTTATAGATTGAAAAAAAGCAAAACAAAACATATATATTTAGAATCTTAGGAAATTCTTAAAGACATACAAGAAGCTAATAAAACAAATAACTGAGCTTAGCAAGGTCATGGGTTCCAAAGTCAATGCAGAAAAGTCTATTTCATTTTTATATACTAGCAATGAACAATTAAGACTTAAAACTAATTGAACAAGACCATTCATTACAGCTCCAAAAATCATGAGCTATAAAATATTAGGTATAAGTATTATGAAGTATATGAAATATCTGGATGCTGAAAACTATAAAACACTAATGTGAGAAAATCATTTGTACATAAAACCTAAATCATTGTAGATTATACCATTTTTATAATTTAGAAGTCTGGATGTTATCAAGATTCCAATTTCTTCCCAACTAAGGAGAATATTCTGAGGGTAGTAATGACAGGGATTTCAGGAAGAACTGTGAGGCTGGTCCACAAAACAGTCATTTCAGAGCGCATCAGTTTAACACTGGGTTCCGGAAAGGAAGTTCCTAAGGAACATGTGGTGCTGCCTTTTTATTTGACAAATTACTCCCGATGAGACTGAATTTAAAGATGTTTCATATTTCTGAGAGAGTTCAGGCACAGATGAATGATAATAAAAAAAATTAAAAACATCACAACTGTTTACTCAAGGAAGAAAATATGGCACCCAAAAAAGACAATCTGTGTGTGTGTGTGTGTGTGTGTGTGTGTGTGTGTGTTCATGATTGTGGTGGTTTGAGCGATAAATCTTGACATTATAAGGTAGGAAGTCAGGAGAAAGTAATTTTCAAAATTAGGATATAAGATTATAAAGTGTTATTTAGGAACACAGTATTAAACAGCTAAAGAAATAACTAGGCTAGGTGCAGTGGCTCGTGCTTGTAATCCCAACAATTTGAGAGGACAAGTGGGGAGGATCACTTGAGGCCAGGAGTTCAAGACCAGCCTGGGCGCCATAGTAAGACCCCCGTCTCTACAAAAAAATAATACAATTAGCCAGGTGTGCACCTGTAGACCCAGCTACCAGGGAAGCTGAGGTGGGAGAATGGCTTGAGCCCAGGAGGTCAAGGCTGTAGTGAGCTGTGATTGCACCACTGCACTCCAAGCTGGGTAGCAGAGCAAGACCCTGTCTGGAAAAAAAAGAGAGAGTAATAACTAAAATAAAAGTGGAATTGGTGTGGAGCAAAGGACTGCTGCTTATTGTAATAAGTATATTGTAAAATTATATCATTTAAATTTTTTAATATGTACAAAGTTTTTTAACTATTAAAGTATGGCATATACACAGAAGAATAGATATATTATTAGTGTATTATTAGTGTACAGCTTAATGACTTTTACAAAGTTTAACTGAGCTTTGAAAATTGAGAAGGCTTTGTTTTAGTTTGTCATCTTCCATGAATTCTCTTACCTCTAGAGCCCTCTGTAATCTTCTCATTTACATCAGACATTCCATTAAGTGGCATCATTATTGCTACTGCTCATGTTAAGTCCACATATCAACATGTACAATCCTTCAGCCACAACATATATGTGCACTGACTCCAGAGCAAATTATAAGTTCTCTGAGAATAAAGGACCTGCTCAGACCCAGTTATTGGAGAGAGACAAACAGCCAGCTGCCTGGATCACCTATGGTAGTGCATTCAGTCATGACTGGGATAAATAGGAACTATGTGGCTAGTTAGTTCAGGTTTCTAGATACAAGTTTGTGTGTGTGTGGCTGGGGGAGGTGGAAGTAGATATAAATTGTTCCTACTACTGTTCAATCAAGGAATACACTATGTTTTTTTAGATGATGTCTCCCTGTGTTGCCTGGATGGCCTCCAACTCTTGGGCTCAAACAATCCTCCTGTTTCAGCCTCTCAAGTAGCTGGGACTACAGGCACACTCCACTGTGCCCGGCAAGGAACATGCTATTATCCTGAAGTAATTCCATGCATTTCTTCTAAAAGTGTTGAGTCCTAGCTACTGGCAGATCTTACGTTTACTGAGTACAAACAAAATCTACATCCTGAATGTCTTTCACATGCTTAAATGTCTTTCACATTCTTAAATATACTTAGTGTGTGTGGTTACATAAGTTTGGGGAAGGAAGCAATGAAAAAGCTAATTATTTCAAACAAGTAAAAGAGAAATGAGTGTACTAATCTTAGGCAGGTGGCAATCCTGATAATCTCTGGAAAGAAGAGTACAAGAGACCTAGTCACTCCATGAGCAAGAAAAGAAACTCAGGCAATATTTTATGTCTAATTTTATTTTTCAATGAAATGCAATGTAAACCTCTTTTTCTATTTGCCCAATGAAATCTTCAGTAAATTAACCAGTATTCACTAATTTTCAAAGTTAAAATTTACTTTAGATAGTGCAAATCAAAAGACAAGAGGGCAGTAACTGTAAGAACTACAAATCTTTAAAAAGAGATATACATGCCGGGCGTGGTGGCTCATGCCTGTAATCCCAGCAATTTGGGAGGCCGAGGAGGGTGGATCACCTGAGGTCGGGAGTTTGAAACCAGCCTGATCAACATGGAGAAACCCCATCTCTACTAAAAAATACAAAATTAGCCAGGCGTGGTGGTGCATGCTTGTAATCCCAGCTACTCAGGAGGCTGAGGCAGGAGAATCGCTTGAACTCAGGAGGCAGAGGTTGCAGTGAGCCGAGATCATGCCATTGCACTCTAGCCTGGGCAACAAGAGTGAAACTTTGTCTGGAAAAAAAAAAGAGAGAGAGAGAGATACATTACCTCAATGAACAGAAAGTCAGTTTGTTTCTATCGCCAGGAAACGAATATCGAACACATATTTGCAATCATAGGTTTTGAAAGGAACCAAATCATTAGCCTCAGAGGGCACTACATGTCTTTGTTCCACCCTGAATTTTTCTATTAAATAAAGTTTATTCTAACATCTTCATTTTTTTCCCCTCAAACATTTGTTATATGCTCTACTTTGGGTTACTAATTGAACTGGTTTGTGTGAAAGTTTCTGGGTTTAGTACTGGAAGTGTTTTTTTGGGGGGAAACTTTCAGTCCTGGGAAAACTAGGATTATTGGTCACTCTAGAACTCTGGAATGATCGGGCTCCATGTCAGCCTCGGAGATATTAACAGGTGATTGTGGGCTGAACTGACGAGATGAAAGGATGGAGACATGTCAAGGAATCTATGCTGCTTCCAGTTGGGGTCAGCTTAGGTTGACAGAGGAGAGGAATCACTTGAAACTCTCAGGAAGCTACATAAAACCACAACACTGGATTATAGGCAAAAAGTTTGCTGTCACACTTGCTGTTTTATCCGGCTTGTCTGGCTCTGCTCTGAATCCTGTCTTAAAAGCGGCATCCTCGTATTCTTAAGAAAACCTAAACTTTAAGTGACAGGACATAAATAGCTGGAGAGAAAAATCTAGTTCAATATAGGCCAGAGAAAATTCAAACCCCCACAAATCCCCACCCTCAAGTCCTCAAGGCTGGAGGAGTTAAGAGCATTACATCACCAGCGGCTGCTCCCATTGGCTGATGGTACCTCAAGGACCAGAACACCTGCTCCTTGGACTAACTCTTTCCTTCCCTTGCAAAGCATCAGAAATCTATGTATCATCGAATAGAACAAAAGGCCCGGGCAATGACAGCTTTTCAGAGGGGCACGCCCTGCTGGGTCACTGCTTCAGCACGCATGTCAGTATGAGCATGTCCGCAGGAGGACACAGTGAGCCCAGGCGAGTACCCTCCTTCTTAGGAAGTCTAAGATCCTGGCTTGACTGAGAGTTGAAAGAGATCTTGGGTGAACTAAATGTGTTTGCTTTCTTCTCTCACTAGTGCTATCGAAAAAAATTCTCATTCTAATAAGTTTTGACAAGAGCTGGCAAGAGGAGCAGGTGCCAATGAATCCAACTAGTCAGAGGCATTAGAGACATCCTGGGCACCAGAGGATAAAGGTGTTGCCATGGGAACCAAGTGAAAGGTGTTTGGTAGTGGCTGGTTAGGAGGTTTGTTTTCTCATTTAAGACAGAGCTGAACAGCTGCAAGTCATGCTCTGTTTTCTACTTTAGCATCAGTGAGTAAATCCCCCTTCTCTCCTTTTCCCCATCCCCAGACTTAAACAGGATTTGAGGAATTTAATTTCTCTGCTAACATGAATAATGCTTAAATATGAGGCACGCCAAAATCTTTTGAAAAAGGTATTTTCAGCAAATCAGGACAATTCTAATCACAGAACTCTTTATGTTGGAGAGAAAATTGTTGCTTCAGGGTCAGAGTGGTGTGTTTTTTCTTTTTCTTTTTCTTTTTTTTTTTTTTTTTGCAGAATTCAAAGACATCATTTTGAGCTGCAGAACTCACTCTCTAGCTTGCATATATGTCTTTCCATTTTGTGTTCTTTGGCACTCATACTTCTAGATTTTAGGACGTCTCGCTTGCCCTGGAAATGACCCTGAAACACATGACTGCTGAAGGAAGAGGATGGGGTCTCTGAATTTTGCTGGTTTATTTGAAGACTTTTGAAGACAAAAGAAAAAAGCAAAGACAAATGTCGAGTTTAAAAATAGTAATTCTCCAGCAACAAGTATTGTAATTAGGACTACCATGCATCTAGTCCTCTTATAAGAGCTGTGAAAGACACAAGAGGAGGGTCTAACTTAGGAATTTGATGATCTGCCAGACTGAGGGAGCAATAGATTTCTCTTGATCAGACAGAGGAACATGAAAGGTTAAGGGGGTTCCGAGATACAGGAGACTGGAGGAAAATTCAGGAGGATAAGGAGCTGATATCCTGAGTGGAAGGCCTCAATGAGAATAACCAGCAGATGTTATGGGTGCCTAACAAGTAGAAGTACACCATGAATGGAATAATGGTCACCCTGGTCAGTCCAAATAGGAGTTTGGTTGCTGAAATTAGAATTCAAAGTTCAGGCTTCGTTATAGGGATCAGGGCCAAGACTAGTTACCAGTATCCATGCATACAATTAAAATGGGAGGGGTCACATTTTTACAGTGATGCTGGATCACAGGGGCATTGGGCTGGCATTCTTCTATCCATCGCCTAATGAGGCACAGGGTTGTCTTTTTATTCACAGGTTGTAGTAGACTAATAAGAAGGTTATAAAAGGCAAAGGAGGAGTGTTATGTCAAATTCTCGGCCTTCAAATAATGTATAACTCCATTGTGAAAACTAAGGCTCTCAGACACACAGGTTGCAGTATAGTGCAATTAAATGTCAAATCAGATACACAGCTTCTCAGTGCAGTAGAGGGAACAGAAGATAGAGATTAGTCTGGACAGTAATAATTGGTGGGACATGGGCTCCTAAAAGAGCTGCCTTGCAACTACCCATTCACTCATGTATTCAACAAATATTTACTAACTAGCTACTTTGAAACAACACAGAATATGTGCTGATATAAAATAGCCATGCTCGTTGCCCTAAGGGAGATTACAGTCTATGTCATAAGGGTTCCAAGTGAATATAAGTGTGAGTGTTTGTTTTAACTGTAAGTTAAAATAGGCATTAGAAAAAAAAATGAAAACCTAAGTTTGTGAAAATTTGAGCAAAGAGGGAATTCCACACAAAAGCCAAAATAATCTTTGTGAGTGTTGAAGTTATTTCATAAGGCACTTTCATCAGGAAAACCTACTGGAAACCCTTGCTCCTGACCAACAAATGACTAATGATGTTTGGCATATTCTTCCAAGTTGGGAGTATCAGATGCATCTGGATTACAATCCTTCAGCCTATTAGGCATACTATCTCTGTGGCGTGAAAAGCCAGGGCCAGTCATTAAATTATCTGCATATCTTAATTTATCATATTAGTCAGAACTCTGAAAGGATATTAAAGAGTTTAAATGCAATATACAGTGTTTAATTTTGTTTACGTTTTTATGTAGGGTACATGGGATTAAGAAATTGTTAGTAAATAACAGGTCTAGATTATGAAGTCTTTACTAGTAACAAAGAAGAGGAGAACGGGCTCTGAAGGTTGGTGTTGCCAAGTGTCTGTTTTAACTGGACATTAAAATAGGCATTAGAGAAAAAATGAAAACAGAGATATTTGCATTGTGTGAATACCAGCACCCAGTGTGAATGGCCCTATCCTTGATCTAGATTAAGAGTAAAGTTATATTACCAGAGAAGATCAGAGCTGGACATGTTTTTTTTTCTCCTGAATTCCCCCAGGAAAAGATATTCCCCAAGAATATTCAGGTACTTCCTTGAATATAAGGAAATATAATGAATATAAAGAAAACATATTTCCTTATATTCAAGGAAATTTATTGCCAGAGAAGGAAAGTGAATTTTTCTATGGAAGACAGACTAGTAAGTATAGGCTTCATTCAAGTTAAAACTTCCCATTTATTTATACAATATCCCCTCTCAAATATCTAAATGGACAGTCACAGAGTTACACTTTGGGCCTCAGAGCATCTTATTTATCCCCTTATCACAATTATCATGTGTACCATGATGATCTACTTTCCACATTATTTTTACTATATGTTTTCAATTCATATACAGTAAAATTGACTTTTTGGTGTACAGTTCTCAGTATAAATACATACATTATAACAACCACAATAGGTATATGCAATAGTTCCATCAAGTCAAAAAACTTCCTGGCGTTGTCCTTTTGTAGTCATTCTCCCTATCCCTGGTGTATTAGTCCATTCTCACACTACTATAAATAACTACCTGAGACTGGGTAATTTATGAAGAAAAAAGGTTTAATTGACTCACAGTTCCACCGGCCGTACAGAAAGCATGGCTGGGAGGCCTCAGGAAACTTACAATCATGGTGGAAGGGGAGGCAATCACATCTTACCATGGCAGAGCAGGAGAGAGAGAGCAAAGGGAGAAGTGCAATACACTTTTAAACAATCAGATCTCATAAGAACTCACTCACTATCATGAGAACAGCAAGGGGGAAATCTGTCGAATTATAATTTGATATGAGATTTGGGTGGGGACACAGAGCTAAACCATATCACCTGGCAACTATAGATGTGTTCTGCATCTCCATATCTTTGTATTTTCAAGGAGATTATAGAGCCACTCACAGTGGTTTATACCTGTAGTCCCAACTACTCAGGAGGCTGAAGCACGAGGATGGCTTGAGCCCAGGAGTTTGAGACTTCAGTGAGCTATGATCACTCATTGGACTCCAGTGTGGGTGACACAGCAAGACCCAGTCTCCAAGAAAAAGAATTTTTTTAAAGGATTCTCATATAAATGCAATCATCTATTACATACCAAGAAAAAGAAATTTTTTTAAGGATTGTCATATAAATGCAATCATGTAGTACATAACCTTTTGAGACATTTTTTTATCCAACCAGCATAATGCATTTTAGATGAATCCAAATTGGTGCACATGTAAATAGCTTATTCTATTTTAATTACTGAGTAGTATTCCACTGTATGGGTGTTTCCCAGTTTGCTTAGCTATTCACTATTTAAAGGGCATTCAGCTGTTACAAGTTTTTGGCAATTAAAAATAATGCTGCTATGAATAATGCAGGTACAGGTTTTAGTGTGAGCATTTTTTTTTTTTTTTTTGAGATGGAGTCTCGCTCTGTTGCCCAGGCTGGAGTGCAGTGGTGTGATTTCAGCTCACTGCAGCCTCTTCCTCCCCAGCTCAAGTGATTCTCCCGCCTCAGCCTCGTAATAGCTCGGATTATAGGCATGCACCACCACACCCAGCTATTTTTTGTATTTTTAGTGGAGATGGGGTTTCACCATGTTGGCCAGGCTAGTCTGGAACTTCTGACCTCAGGTGATCCGCCAGCCTTGGCCTCCCAAAATGCTGGGATTACAGGCGTGAGCCACCATGCCTGGCCATTTTCTTTTATTTTCTAGGGTAAATGCCCAGGAGTGGAATTACTAGGTCATAAAGTGTGTTTAACTTTATAAAATACTACTAAAGAGTTTTCTAGAATGTTGCTTTCTAACCAGCAATGAATGAGCCTCTTAGTCATTCCACATCCTCACCAAAATGTGGTAATGTTGGTAACTTTTATTGAAGCCATTCTAATAGATATGTGGTGACATCTCTTAATTGCTTTAATTTGTACTTCCCTAATGATTAACAGTATCATCTTACGATATTATCTTCATGTCTTTATTTCCCATATGTATATCTTCTTTTGTGGATTGTCTGCTAAAGCCTTCAGCCTGTTTATCAATAGTGTTGTTTTCTTATTTATGAGTCTGGAAGTTATTTCCATATTCTGCATACAAATCTTTTATCAGATATATAAAGCAAATATTTTCTTACAGTTGGTAGCTAGATTTTTTACATAATTTTAATTTAATTTAATTTAATTTAATTTAGAGACAGGTTCTCCTCTGTCAACCAGGCTGGAGTACTGTGGCATGATTATAGCTCACTGTAATCTCAAACTCTTGTGCTCAAGTTATCCTCCTGCCTCAGCCTCCCAACTAGCTGGGATTACAGACATGAACCACAACATCTGGCCTTTTCTGTTTTCTTTTCTTTTCTTTTCTCTTCTCTTTTCTTTTCTTTTTTCTTTTCTTTTTGAGATGGAGTCTGGCTGTTGTTGCCCAGGCTAGAGTGCAATGGTGCGATCTCGGCTCACCACAACCTCCACCTCCCAGGTTCAAGCGATTCTCCTGCCTCAACCTCCTGAGTAACTGGGATTACAGGCATGCAACACCATACCTGGCTAATTTTATGTGTTTAGTAAAGACGAGGTTTCTCCATGTTGGTCAGGCTGGTCTTGAACTCCCGACCTCAGGTGATCTGCTTGCCTCGGCCTCCCAAAGTGCTGGGATTACAGGGATGAGCCATCATGCCCAGCTGGCCTTTTCTTTAACATAATTGTTGAGGTATCACTTACCATAAAATTCATCATAATTTTACAATTTACTGGATTTTAACAAATTTCCATAATTGTACAACTGTGACTACATCTACTTTTAGAACATTTTCATCATCCCAATATATCTCTAAAACCGTTTACAGTTAATTTTCATTTTCACTGCTATACCCAAATGACCACAAAGCTACTTTCTGTTTCTGCAGATTTGCCTATTCTGGACATTTCATACAAATTGAATCGTACAATGTGCCTTTTGCATCTGGATTCTTTCACTTAGGATAATGTTTTTGAGATTCATTTATGTGGCATGTATCAGCACTTTATTCTGTTTTAACTGCCAAATAATATCCCATTGTAATAACCTGTATTTCTTTTTTCATTTTCTGGTTGATGGACATTTGGATTGTTTTGCTTTGGGGATACCATGAATAATGCTGCTATGAACACTCACATGAAAAATCAGAATAGAAACGTTTCATTTCTCTTTGGTAGATACTTAGGAACAGAATTGTTGTGTGTGCGGTAACTCCACGTTTAAAGTTTTCTAGAGCTGCCAAACTATTTTTGAAAAAGGTTGTACCATTTTACATCCAAACCAGTGAAGTATGGGTGTTTCCCTTTCTCCACATCGTTACTAACACTTGAACCGTCTCTATATTTTTTTTAATTAAGCATTTGAGTGTTATCTCACTTTGGTTTTAATATACATTTTCATAATAACTAATGACAATAAGTATCTATTCATGCACTTATTGGCCATTCCTATAACTTCTTTGGAGAAATATCTATTCAAATATTTTAACTATTTGTAGTTGAGTTGTTTGTCTTCTGATTATTGAGTTTTTTGGGTTCTCTAATTATGAATACCTGTGCTTTATCAGAAATGAAATTTGTAAATGTGTTCTACCAGTCTATGGGTTGTCTTTTCATTTTCTTAATGATGTGTTTCAAAACACAAAAGTATTTAATTTTGATGAAGTCCAAAGTATTGATGTTTTTCTTTCATGAATTGTGTCTTTGATGTTGTATGTGGGAAACCTTTTCCTAAATCAAGATCATGAATTTTTTTCTTCTGTATTTTTAAAAATTTTTATAGTTTAGTCCTTATATTTGTACCTATGATTTATTTTGAGTTTATTTTATGTGTAGAGTAAGGTAAATGTTAAAATTAATCTTTTTGCATGTGGATATCTAATTATTCCATCACTATTGGTTAAAAAGACAAACAACAAAAATAAAAATAAAACACCCTAATTTTTTTCTGTTGAATTGCCTTGACAACTTCACATCTTTGATGAAAATCAATAGACTATAAACGTAAGGGTTTATTTCCAGAGTCTCAATTTCATAGATGTATAATTCTATATTTAAGCCAGTTCTGCACTCACTTGATTACACTAACTTTTCAGAAAGTTTTGAAGTTAGGAAATGCAAATTGTCCAACTTTATTCTTTTTCAGAACTGTTTTAGCTATTACGGACCCATGCCTTTCCACATAAATTTTAGGATCAGCTTATCAATTTTTGCAAAATGAGTATTGGAAATTTGACAGGGGTTGCATTGAATCTATAGAATACGTTGGGGAAAGATGTCACCTTAAGAATACAGACCCTTCCAATCACTCATCTTAGAATACCTTTCCACTTAGTAGAGCCACTTTAATTTCCCTCAGCAATGTTTTCACTGTGCAAGATATGAAATCTGTCTTTTAATTGCCATAACAATGCCTTTCATGAATTACAAGATTTTAATTTTCATAAAATTCACAATTTTCATTACATGATTTATTTTGTTAGAATGTGTTAAAACTCTTTGCCCCAAACAAGTTCATGAATGATTTATCCTTTATTTTCTTGAAACTGTTTCATATTTTTATATCTTGCATTTAAACCTATGTCTGGGCCGGCTGCATTGGCTCACGCCTGTAATCCCAGCACTTTGGGAGGCCGAGGTGGGCGGGTCACAAGGTCAGGAGATCGAGACCATCCTGGCTAACATGGTGAAACCCTGTCTCTACTAAAAATACAAAAAAATTAGCCGGGCTTGGTGGTGGGCGCCTGTAGTCCCAGGTACTCCGGAAGCTGAGGCAGGAGAATGGCATGAACCTGGGAGGCAGAGCTTGCAGTGAGCCAAGATTGCACCACTGCACTAGAGCCTGGGCTACAGAGTGAGACTCCATCTCAAAAAATAAATAAATAAATAAATAAACCTATGTCTGATTTTGTGTTATTTTTGTGTAAATTGTGAATATAATGCGAAAGGCAAAGGTACTTCTGTGCGTGTGTGTGTGTGTGTGCGTGTGTATTTCTGCTTATGGGAGTCCAGTTGTTAACAATATCATGTTTTCAAAAGAATAGTCTTTACGTAGGCTGTTTTTTTTTAAATTTTGTTTTCCTTTGCTGTGCAGAAGCTTTTTTAGTTTGATGTAATCCTATGTGTTTGTTTATTGTTTTGTTGCATGTGGTTTTGGTCTCCTATTCAAAAATGTATTGCCAAGATCAAGGACATTTTTACCTATATTTTCTTCTAGAAGATTTATGGTGTCAGGTCTTTCATTTAAGTATTTAATTCATTTTGAATTGATTTTTGTGTATGGTGTACTATAAGGGTGAAATTTCATTCTTTCACATGGTGCAAATCATATATATGGTAGGGGATTGATATTAAAAATATATAAGAAACTCAAACACTATACAGCAAAAATATAAAAGACTCAACTAAAAAATGGACAAAGAACCTAAACAGACATTTCTCCAAAAAGACACACAAATGGCCAACAGATATATAAAAAGGGCTCAGCATTACTAATCATCAGGGAAATGGAAATCAAAACCACAATGAGATGTCACTTCATGCCTCTTAGGATGGTATAATTAAAAACAAACAAAATGTAACAAGTATGGGAAGAATGTGGAGAAAAGAGAGATATTGTACACTGTTGGTGGAAATGTAAGTTGGTATAGCCACTATGGAAAGCCATTAGGGAAATTCATCAAAGTTAAACATAGGACTGCCATATAATCCAACCACCCTACTTTTAGGTGAATAGCCAAGCAATTTAAATCAGGATCTGGAAGAGATATCTGTACTCCCATGTTCATTGCAACAGTATTTACAATATCTAAGATATGGAAACAAACTAAATGTCCATTAATGAAGATAAATGAAAGAAAAATAGCACACACACACGTGCAGAAATATGATTCAGCCTTTAATAAAGAAGGAAATTATGTCATTTGCAATGATATGGATGGACCTAGAGGATATTATGCTAAGTAAAATAAGTCAGATACAGAAAGACAAAGACTGTTAATATTACTTATGCAGGGAATCTAAAATAGTCAAACTCATAGAAGCAGAGAGTAGAATGGTGGTTTTCAGGGTAAAGGGGAGGAAATGTGATGGTCAAAGGGTACATACAACATCTCAGACATCTTCTGTAGAGTCTCAGTTACACAAGGTAAATAAGTTCTAAAGATGTACTATACTGTATAGAACCTATAGCTAACAATCCTGTATTGTATACTTAAAATTTGCTGAAAGTACATCTTATGTTAAGTATTTTTAATAATACTTAATTATACTATTAAGTACAATAAGAACACTAAAGATAATAATGATAAAAGGGAGCAGAAGAAAACTTTGGAAGGTGATGGATATGTACATGGCCTTGATGTTAGTGATAGTTTTACAGATGTATACTCATCCCCAAACTCAACAAGTTATATACATTGACATGGAAATAATTGTACATATTTAATCATAGCTCAATAAAGCTTTCTTAGCAAAGAGACTTTCCTTTCTCGTTTGAATTGCCTTTGCATTAGTATCCAAAATAAATTGGAAACACAATTTGGCCATATATGCATGGATCTCTTTTTGGATTCTCCATTTTCTTTCACTGCTCTATCTCTTTATTATTGGTGTATCTCTTTATTAATACTACACCATCTAGATTACTATAGCTTTATAGTTAATCTTAAAATTGGTAGTATCCTACAATTTTTTTTCATTTTTCAAAATTGTTTTGTTCTTCCATTTTCTCTGCCTTTTCATATAATTGTAGAATCAGTTTGTGTAGATTTACCAAAAACCCTGCTGTGCTAGTGAAATAAATTTGTTTAAATCTGGAAATAAATCTTGGAAGAATTAACATCTTTAATATGTTGAGTCTTTCCTTTCATGAACACAGGATAATTTTTCATTGTTTTAGGCCTCCTTTGATTTCTTAAACAAGCATTTTGTCGCTTTCAGCATACAGACCCAATACATGTTTCATTAGATTTATATCTAAGTATTTAAATTCTTGAAGTTATTTTAAATTTCAGCTTCTGTTTATTGTTAGTATACAGAAATTCAACTGATTTTTCTGTAAATCTTGTGTCTTGAAAGCTTGTTAAACTCATTAGTTCTATGTATTGCATAGAACTATAATACACCATTAGATGTATTATTTTGTAGATGCTAGGGATGTTCTAGTTAGGTAATCATGAATTTGTGATAAGAAAAAATATTTTAAAAAAATAAATAATTAAAAAATAAATGTTTAAAAATTTTCTAGGCTTATTGTAATAAACAGAACTTCTATTATGGTGAATAGGACTATTGAGAATGAATATCTTTGCCTTGCTCCTGATCTTATGAGGACATAATTCAATTTTACTTCCTTAAATATGATGTTAACTGTTAGTTTTTTGCAGATGACCTTTATCAAGTGGATAAATTTCCTTTTATTCTCAATTTGCTGATAATTTTCATCATGAATACATGTCGAATTCTGTGAAATGCTTTTGCTGCATCAATTGATATGACCACATGGTTTTTCTTTTCATACTGTTAATATAATGGATTACATGAATTGTTTTGAATATTGAACCAAGCTGATATTTCCAGAATCAAAGTTAGAAGTTTACGAAATATGATAATTTATTTATTGCTGAATTAGATTCACTAATACTTTGTTGAGGATTTTTACGTCTGCCTTCATGAGAAATGGTGGTGTGTTGTTTAGTATTATTTCAATCTGATTTTGGAATCACGATTATTCTGGCCTTATAAAATGAATAGGGACGTGTTTCCTCTATTATTTGGAAGGGATTGTGTGAGATTGATCTTCAGCTATTTGATAGAATTAACCAGTGAACTCCTGTTGATGTAGATTGTTTTTCAGAAGGCTTTTATCTGTGAATTCAGTATCCTCTATAGTCACAAGATGCTTTAGGTTGTACATTTCATCTTGAGTAACTTTTGGTAGATTTTATTTTTTAAGGAACTACTCCATTTTATTGAAATTGTTGAATGTGTGTGCATAAAGATGTTTGTGATATCTCCATATTCTTTTTTAATGTGTATAGTAATATATACTTTTAAAATTTTATATTGCTAATTTTGTACTTTCTCTATTTTCTTTACTAGTCTTATAAGAAGTTTCTCAATTTTATTTATATTCTCCAAAATTCAGTTTTTGTTATCATTTTCTGTTTTATTTTTTCTACAAATCCATTGATATATATGCTTACATTAAATATCTTCTTCCTTCTTCTGCTTGCCTTCTGTTTATTTTTATTCTAACTCTACATTAGCAGTTTAGATTATTGATTTGATGCATTTTATCCTTTCTAATGTAATCATTTAATTCTATAAAATTCTTCTTAAGCACTGCTTTAGCTGCATCCCAAATATTTTAATACACCACATTTTCATCTTCATTCCATTTATAAAATTTTCTAATTTCTTTGAGACTGTTTGACTCATAAGTTATTTATAAGTATAATGTTTAATTTCCAAGTGTTTGGATATTTTCTAGTTATCCTTCCACGTTTTAAACTGTCTAGTTTAATTTCATTATGTTTAGAAAATATAATTGGTATAATTTAGTTTTTTAAGTTTGGTAGAATTTTACGGCCCAGGTTATACCCAATTATGTGTACTTGAAAAGAATGTTATTTCTTCTGTGTTGCTATGTGAAAAATCTTATAAATCTCAATTAGATTCAGTTGATTTACATCTTTTTATTTTTATAAACTTGCTGATTTTCTGTTTATAGTTCTACATATTATTGAGATAGACATCTTGAAGTCTTCAATGATAAATTTTAGATTTTTCTGTCTATATACTTCCTTTGGTTTTGCTTTATGTATTTTGAAACTGTATTGTTAAGTGCCTGCACATTAGTTTTGCTACGTTTTGGTAGAAGTTACTCTTTTAGCATCATGTAATATCCCTATTTAGACCTGATAATTTTCTTTGCTCCAAATAATACATCAAATATTAATATAGCAACTTTAGCTCTTTTTTGATTACTATTTTTATGGCTCATCTTTTTTTCCATTCTTTTACATTTCACCTACCTAAATAATTATAATTTCATAGAGTTTCTTATAAAAATAATACAATTTGTTCATGTTTTTAAATTCAATCTGGCACTCCCTGTCTTCTGATAGGAATATCTAAATCACTTAGTGTAATTATTGGTATGTTTGGAGTTGGGTCTACAATTTTACTATTTATTTTTAGCTTTATTTTCTCCTTACTGTCTTACTTTATTTATATATCTTTAGAATGCCATTTTAGTTTTTCTATTCTGACTACAACTCTAATTTTTAACTGTTCTAGACACTACAGTGTCCCTAATTAGCTTTGTACAATATTTTTTAAATAAATGTTTTACTATTGAAAGTGGAATGTAGAGTTTACCAACTTTTGCCCACACCAACTTGTGCAGTCCTATTCATAGCCATTAAAAATATCATTCCCAATCAATGTCATAGATTTTATTCCCTACCATAATACCTATTTTTAAATATTTCAGAAAAAAATAAATGCACAATATTCACCCGGATATTTATTATTTCTGTCCCTCATTCTTGATTTCCAATGTTTTGGGTTTCCACTTAGTATCATTTTTCTTTTCTCTGAAAAACTTTAGCAATTCTTTCAGAGTATATATACAAAAAATTTTTGTTGCCATATAAGGAATGTGTGTTTTTTTCTGTGTGGTTTTCGCTGCTTTTGATATGTTTCTTTGGCTCTTAATTTTCAGAAGTTTGATTTTGGTGTGTCTTGACATTGCTTTTGTTTTTTATTAAATATTTGTATGCCCCACTCCCTTTTCCCTCTCTTTTTGGAAGTCCAATGATATAAATGTTAAAACTGTTGTTACTGTCCCACAGGATGCAGGGTCTGTATTTTTGAAACCATTTTTATTCTTTCTATGATTTAAACTGGATAACTTCTGGCTGGGCGTGGTGGCTCACATCTGTAATCTCAGCATTTTAGGAGGCCGAGGCAGGCAGATCACGAGGTCAGAAAATCGAGACCATCATGGCTAACACGGTGAAACCCCATCTCTACTAAAAATACAAAAAATTAGCCTGTAGTCCCAGCTACTCGGGAGGCTGAGGCAGAAGAATCGCTTGAATCCAGGAGGTGGAGATTGCAGTGAGCCAAGATCACACCACTGTACTCCAGCCTGGGCAACAGAGGAAGACTCCATCTCAAAATAAATAAACAAACAAATAAACAAATAAATAAATATAAAATAAAATAAATTGGATAACTTTTATTGATCTATCTTTAATTTAATTGATTATTTCCTCTGTCATCTTCGTTCTCCTACTAAAAGTCCAGTGAGGACTTATTTTATTGTTGTTTTTAATTTAATTATTCATTCTACATATGTCATTTGGTTCTATAGCTACTGTATTTTGTGCTGATGCTTGATCATTTGTTTTCAAAATACTCCTTGCTGCTTAGGGCATTTTAATGATCACTGATTAATGTCTCTGTTACATAATTCCAATATTTGCGTCATCTCTACATTGGCATCTGTTAGTTATCTTATCCCATGAGAGTTGAGATTTTTCCTGGTTCTACAGATGCTGAATAAACTTGGATTGCATCCTAGGCATTTTTAATTTTACATTATGAGACTGTGTCTTATTTAAATCCCTTATACAGTGTTGATATTTTATTTTGGGGATTATTTTATACCACTGCTCAAGAGTTATTGAAGGCTGAAGGGATGGGATTAGGTTAATTTTCCAGCATTTCTGGCCTTCAGGTATGGGAAGCATGACCTTTCAAGCTTCCAGAAAAGTCCTGTTACAGAGACATGGATATCAGATCGGTAATTGAAAGATAGCCAGAGTACTTTGAAATGATAGAGTCCATGGGATATGACAGGTTCTGACAGTGTCTGCTATACTATGACTGTATTTTCAGATACTAATCTATTTCCACCTTTATTTAGCTTCCCACCCTATGTCATTCAAGGAATGTAATCTATTTGTCAGTTCTGCTATTTTCCTTTGGGGAAAGAAATGTGGATGAGTGTAAAACTGTAAGTCTTTCTGGATTTTGTATCCCCAATTCTTAAGCCCTTTGTTATTTAAGGTATAAAAATCTGCCTATGCAAGAAGCAAAAGAAGTTCTGTGGGATGAGTGAGAAAGACAGTGATGAGAAGGATATCTATAGATCTCAAGAACAAAGGAAATCAGGAACACAAATGGAGCAAGATCCAGAGAGAGAGGCATCAAGACAGCAGAGGTCTCCACAAGGTTTCTCAAGCCTTGAGTTGAAGGCAGAGGGCAGCAGGTCTGATGGGGCCATTCAGATGAGCAATCTGTGTGAACAAATGATATATGAAACATTTTAGAAATACTTAAATGGTTTAAAAGAAGACGATTGTGATTCAGAGCTATTTTTAGTAACTTTTATTTGATTATAAATTTTGATATACCAAATAACTACCTGGGACTAATTCAATGTGTAAATAATTAATACTCTGAATTGTTTAAAACAATAAATGCTGTTAGTTTAATTCCAAAAAATAGCACAGTGTATTAGAAAACTAGAATACCAAAGACTAATACTCAATTCTTTATATAGGAGCTATGACAATTTGTCTTGTCCTTATAAATTGTTCAATTTCTTGTTTAATTACATCACATAGAAAATTCCGAACAATGTAGAAAAAAGCAGTACTAAAGGGTATCTTGCATTGTTCCAGAATTTAAAGAGAAAGCCTTTGATATTGCACTACTAAGTATAATAATTACTGTAGTTACTTAGAGTGACCTTTGGTAAAAGAAGTTCCCTTCTAGTTCTAGTTTGCTTATAGGTTTTATTATAAATGAGTGTTGCATTTTATAGAATGTCTTTTCTGCATCTATTATGATAAATTAACATGAGCATATTAGTTTCACTTTTGGCCTCTTAAAGCAATGAATTACTTTAATTTCTAAAGTTCCATCATCATATTTCTAAAATACACTCATCTTGATCATAATTTTTCACATATCAGATGTAGTTTGTGAATGTTTTATATCCAGAATATGCAAATATTTTAATATTTTTGTGTTCTAATTTTATCTGGATGCGTTATTCAGATTATACTAGGTCAAAAAAGAGGGTGACAATGCTCCATATCTATCACTGGGACAAAATATGTGTAAAACAGGGATTATTCTTCAAAGAATTGTAAAACACATGAGGAAAGCCATTCAGGAGTGTTATTTTTGCAAAACACAGTACAAAGTTTTATTATAATGAATTGTCTTAGAAAATCTCAAGACTCGGTTTTGGTAATTGACACAGTTTTAGAAAAAATAACTGTTTTGTCTAAGTTTTCAATTTATCATTACAGATTTAAAGCATTACCATATAATTTTGTTGGTCTGGAGCAGATCTATATTAATGATCTCTTTTTTATTTCTAAAATTACTTATTTATGCTCTTTTTAAAAATAAATTTTGCCAGCAATTTGCCTAATTTATTAAGCTTTACAAGGAAGCCATTGATGGTTTTGTTGTTTCTTTATGTTTCATCTTTGTTTTCTATTTTATTATCTTCTACTCTTGTATTTTGTATTTCCTCTTATCTTTCTTTGAGTTTATTATGCTTTACCTCTTTCAAACTCTATCATTGAAAGCATCCACCATTAATTTTCCATTCTTTCTTTAAAGTTATAGATACTTCTTTTGGCATCTTTAGATGAGCCTCAAAGTTGTACTAGATACTATTTTTTGTCATTCACTGGTGATTATTTTCTAATTTTAATATGATGTTTTTCATTTATGGCTTATTCTGAGTGGTGCTATCATTTCTAAATTTATAAAATTGTTAACCCTTTTTTATTATTGATTTACAATTTTAATTCATCATAGCCAAGAAAATGTATTTTGTATATTCATTAGGAAATATTTTTCTATTTCTATATTTGGAATATAAATACATATGTATTTGGAATATAAATATGGTTGAAATATATGTATAAACATATGTATAGAAATGTATATAGTCAAACAATAAATTATAAATGTATAATATATGTATGTATATATGCATGTATATGTATGGATAGATGAATAAATAGATGAGAAAGACAGAGAGATGGATAGTTTTGTCTTATTATGCATCCATCAAATCAAACTTGATTTAATCATTGCATATTTAATGCATTTTATTTATTGTTCCAGGTTTGAGTGGTATATGTTACAATACTCAACCTGATTATGGTTTGAGAATATATTCTTTAAAATTGTATCAATCTTTGCTTTATGTTATATAATTTGAAATTTATTTTTAGACTTCCTAGCAAATCGTTTCTTTTACTCTCTTGAATTAATTCTCACTTTGCTTGTTTCTTTAAAATTTATACTATTCTCATTCTTTCTTTAAGTCTCTATGCTGAATTCTGAGCAATTTTCTTGGTTCCAACCTTCAGTTTACAAATTTTCTGTATTAAATCTGCATTTTAACTTTTCTTTTACTTTTTAAATTTCATCTGAAAATTGTATCATAATGTGATTCATGTCTCAGTGTTGCAGATGAGAAATCCAATGCCTATCTGATTTCTTTTTCTGTGTAGATAGCTTCATCTTTTGCCTATAAGATTATTAATTTTTTTCTCTTTTAGAATGGTTGAAGAATTTCCTAAGATATTCCTGAGTGTTTTTCTGTGGCAGAGGTGCAGGTAGGAAGAAAACAAGTACTTTTTTTTTTTGGAGACAGAGTCTTGCTCTGTCACCCAGGCTAGAGTGCAGTGAAACGATCTCAGCTCACTGAAACCTCCGCCTCCTGGGTTCAAGTGATTCTCCTGCCTCAGCCTCCCGAGTAGCTGGGACTACAGACATGCGTCACCATGCCCAGCTAATTTTTGTATTTTTAGTAGAGGTGGGGTTTCACCATGTTGGCCAGGATGGTATCGATCTCTTGACTTTGTGATCCACCAGCCTCGGCCTCCCAAAGTGCTGGGATTACAGGCGTGAGCCACCACACCCAGCCTACAAGTACTCTTTTATTTTCAGGTTTGTCTAATCTTAAATAGCTTCCTTTGTTTTTAATTTTTGTTTCTTTCTTCTTCTCATTATACCAGACAGAAACTTTGTGAGCCTATTTGAGACTTCTTACTTCAGCTCAGAAAAATTTTCTTCTCATATTCATGTAGTTACTAACATACACTTTCCCAAAATTGTTTTTCTTTCTCGGGAACTCCTGTGATTTGAATGTTACATATCAACTCTTTACCCGCTTTTTCATAATAGTCATCTTTGTTTTACACTCTGTTTTTTGATGTATTTCTTATATTCATCTAGATCACTAATTCGGGTCCTTATTAAATGATCATCTCATTTCACATAATACAAATTATTTAGTAAAAATTATATTTTAGTTCTGGAAGCATATTTTTGTGCTGCACCAGAAATCCTTTTGAAACCCATTTTTAAATTTATGTTTTATCATATTTATATGACAGTTTTATTTTACTAGGTGTCTGTTCTGAATTTCTGCCTTATCTTTCTCTTTCTGTATCTCGTATCCTCCCTTAGGTGAGGTGGTGAGGTGTTGACTTCTCTTTTTTTTTTTTTTTTTTTTGTATACTGGTGCTCAAATCTGATTTTTGTAGTTTCCTAACTCTCTTGAAAACTACAAATGCTGGAAGGCACAGGAGTTGTGATTAGTTTGGGGTTTCTGTGTAGCCAGAAACTGCCCACCTCCTGTTCAAACACTAGGAAGGGGCACTGGTTGTCTGATCTCTCTGTTCTTCCACCTCAAAGCCTGAGGAGACTCAGCCCTCTTACATGCAGGGAGGCCCAGTGGAGCCCTGCCCACAGGGTGTACACATCTCTAGAGACTATTTCTTCTCAGAATATGCTGCTTTTGAATCTGTGCTCTAGGTATTCTCCAGGTAGAGAAATTATTACATCAGTTCCTTCACATGGGATCCTAACACAGTCCAAGGTCTTAATCCACGGTATCTAAAGTGTCCAGTGACTAATGGCTCAAGAGAAACAGTAGCTTGGAGTTGGGATAGAGGAGAAGGAAGCTGTGCTAATGGTAGCTTTTCTCAAAATCCTCAGCTTTCAAATTCTTGAGGATGACATGCAACATTTTTCCTCTCTCAAAAGAGTAAGAACAAGTGTTATCAAGGACATGGAGAGTTGAAACCTTCATATGCTACTGATTGGAATGTAAAATGGTATGGTCAATTGGGAAAACAGTCTTCCAGTTCCTCAAAGGTAAAATATAAAATTACCATATGACCTGTCAATTATATTCCCAGGTCTATACCAAAGAGAAATGACTACATATGTCAGCATAAAAACTTGTGGCTAGGCGTGATAGCTCACGCCTGTAATCCCAGCACTTTGGGAGGCCAAGCCGTGTGGATCACCTGGGGTCAGGAGTTCGAGGCCAGCCTGCTCAACATGGTGAAACCCCATCTCTACTAAAAATACAAAAAAGTAGCCTGGCGTGGTGGTGGGCATCTATAATCCCAGCTACTCAGGAGGCTGAGGCAGGAGAATTGCTTGAACCTGGGAGGCAGAGGTTGTAGTGAGCTGAGATCATGCCACTGCACTCCAGCCTGGGTGACAAGAGTGAAACTCCGTCTCAAACAAACAAACAAACAAAAAACTTGTATACAGCATTACTCAAATAGCCAAAAAGTATAAATAATTCAAATGTCTATCAAGTGATAAATTGAGAAGAAAATGTGGTCTATTGAGGCAATGGATATTATCTGACAACAAAAGGAAATAACTACTGCTACATGCTACCACATAAATGAACCTTCTAAGCATTTTGATAAATTAAAGAATCCAGCCAAAAAAGACCACCTATTTTATGATTCCACTTATATTAAATGCCCAGAATAGGCAAATTTATATAGACAGAAAGTAGATTAGTGGAATAAGGGACTGGTAAAGGATTGGGAGAAATAAGGGGATGAGGGTTATTGATAAAGAGTACAGGGTTTCTTTTTGGGGTGATGAAAATAATCTAAGATTGATTGTAGTGATGGTTACAGAACTCTTTGAATATAATAAAAACTATTGAATTATAAACTTTAAATGGGTGAATTATATAGTATGTGAACAGTTTACAATAAAACTGTTACCAATAAAAGAAAGACTAGAGCTAAAACTAATTTGTTATGAAATGGTTAAGACCAAATACTTGTGGGTTGTAGTTGTAATGCTTTCATTTTTCCTATTGTATAGCATTTCCATTTTGTGAATATGCTATAATTTATATATCCATTTTACTGTTAATAGACATTAGGCCTCTTAAAATATCACTCTGAACATTGTTATGCATATCTCTGTCTGCATATGTACAATGTTTCTCTAGGATAGAAACTGAGTAATGAAATTGGTGCATAACAGGTTATATGCATCCTTAATTGGACTAGGTATTACCAACATTTTCTCTGATATTTCCCATTGAAGTTATATTAGAATAATCACATTGAAATTACTTTTTATTATATTCTTAGAATTTTGTTTTTTCTTCAGTTTGGAGCTGTAACATGAATCAAAATCTGAAAAACTGGTACAATTGTTTATATGGTTTGGCTGTATCCCCACCCAAATCTCATCTTAGGAGGGACCTGGCAGGAGGTAGTTGAATCATGGGGGCAGTTACTCCCATACTGCTGTTCTCATGATAGTGAGTGCATTCTTAGGAGATCTGATGATGTTATAATAGGCTTTTCCCCCTTTTGTTCTTCATATGTGCGGCTGCCATGTGAAGGACATGTTTGCTTCCCCTTCCGCCATGATTATAAGTTTCCTGAGGCCTCCCCAGCCACGCTGAACTGTGAGTTGATTAAACCTCTTTCCTTTATAAATTACTCAGTCTTGGATATGTCTTCATTAGCAGGGTGAGAACAGACTAATACAATTGTCAAAAAGGAATTATTGCAAACAACACGATTATCGAGAAATTTATTGTTGATTATCAGTACATGCTCAGCTACTCATTTCTGCAAAGTGAGGAGAGCTAGATTTCAACAGGGTAGTTTATGGTGAGGAAGTGAATATTGAGAAATAAGAACTTTTTAGGATTTAGATTATAAAGAGAAATAAAAATCAAATGGTGTTTTGAGGAGTGAAAAGTTAATTAAAAAAATTATTTGTGGTACAAAGATTTGCATAACTTAGAGAAGGAAGGAACGGAAAGAGAAAAGATGTTAATTACCAGAAAGGAATAATACAGTGAAGTTCCAGAGAAGCTGCAAGAAAATAGAAAAAAGAATACAAGTAAATAGGGAAGCAGCACAAATGACACATGGGGCCAAACCTTCTTCTATATGAGAGGGGAAGAGCAAAGGGAAAGTGGTGGGGAAATGGAGAGACATGGAGCAGAGAGAAGGAGTTCACGTCTGTAGCCTCTTAGTTTCCTGGAAGAAGCTGTGCATGCGTGTGTGGGGTCATTAGGTCAATACCATCATCAAGACGTCTTGCTAATAAACATTCAGAATATTGGAATTAAACATCTTTTAAAGGTTTTTCTCAATTGATCTCATTTTTTTCAATACTCTGTCAACCAGTCCAGCTCAGAATCCACTTCAACCCTTGTGCTTCTGTTCTAGTAGCTCAGCCCATTTGAAAAGAGGATTTGGAGATTTTTAAATTATGGTTTATGTTTGGATTGTTAGTTACCATTGTGTGTCTTGTACAAGAGTCTTAAACTCTCTAATAGGTACTTTTCATACCTATAAGATGAGAATAATAGCATCTCTCTAATATGGTTGTGGAGTTTATTAATGAGATAATATGAAGACATTTTGTAAATGCTTGGCACTAAAACAATGCAAATTGCTTCTTTGTTTTTATTTTATTTTCTGACCCTCTCTTCCATCTTACAAGAGGAGCATCTAACAGGTTCAGCAATTAAGATGAGACTATTTGTCTTGCAAACAGATTGATTGACTTGGCAACAAGGGCAAATATGGAGAAGAAAGTGTGAAAGCACAGATTTCTTACGTGGTGCCTTGTCATCTTGTACTCTACAGCTATCCAATTTTTTTTGCCAGAGTGTAAGCGGGTCTTTAAAACCCATTGTAATATGACACTACCAAATGATACTGATGGCACTCAAAAGAACCTGCATTTTAATTGGAGAGAAAACAAATGCAGGTGTAAACATATGAATAAAAATACAAGAGCTACATAACCACAGAAACTGGAATAGGTACCTCAGGGAAGAAGGTATCATTGTGGTCTGAATGTTAGATGAGTTATAAAGCAGTGGGTTTTCAAATTTCATGTAGAGCTCATTGCTATTTTCTAACCTAAATAGGCTATCTCTTATTGAAGTAGAGGATAAGAACTCAGACAGAGCCTAGGGCTGCTGCACCTGTTTTCTCACAACTCTTTCTCCCCATTCCTGGCAATTCTGCAGAAAACCTTGAAGCACCTCTGCAGAAGTCTGGGCTTTCATGGAGAGAAAGAGGATTGGATTAAGGGAAAAAGTAGAGAAATGAAGGAGTTTTAGCATTTGAAAAAGCATAGTAAACAGGGTGAAAATGAGCATGGGTGACACTGGGAGTTCCTGCTCCCCTGGTGCGGTGGAGTGATCGAATACTTCAAGCATGTGAGTAAGTAGCATGGAAATTTATGAAAGAGTTAAATTATGGAATGTGTTAAATGCTACACTTAAGAAACTTGCAAGTTAGGAATCCCCAATAAATAGACCAACAGACCAAAAGACCTCAAAAAATGACCTTGGTTCATCCCTACAGAATACTTGATGCTACATCTCTCCATCTTTTTCTTAATTTTTCTCGGGGTTTTACCAGTTTGAGGGGGGTGGGCTGATACAGATAATAAGCCAGTGCATAATTTATACATAGCTCCTTCAGAAATCCTGTCCTCTCTTCTCCTCTCAACACACACAGTCATGGAGAGATTTCAATGATTCAGGGATGTAAAAATTAGTTCCTAATTGCAAAGTTTTAAAGGCTCCTTCAACAAGCAATGGATACTTATTAAGGTTTCTTGAGTAGGGGAATACGATGCAAGAATAACTTAATTGAACCTCCCTGGAAAGGAAGGAGTGTCTCTGCTCTATGTGTGCAGGTATTTGTGTGTGTGGCTATAGATGTTTGCATATTTATATATTTTTGTGGGTTATACTTAAAAGGCAGCCTAAGGGTGGTTATGCTGCAATAAAGTTTCATTCTACAGAGGTTAGTGAGACAATTTACTCAGAGTAACTAGGATAATTTGGAAAGTTGTATTGTTTTTCAAATAGGAAAAGATTGAGTTAATTATGATGTCAGATCATCACAAGGTTTCTTGCAGTTGTAGAGGAGCTGAGAGAATATCTTTAGACACCTATTTTGTTCCTTAATCTTGGCAAATGGCTGTGAAAATTTAGCTCATAGATGTACACTTATGCACACATACAGATCCACCCAAGCACACACTCTCATTCAGTTTACTACACATAGGACTGGTGATTTGGAGATTTCTGATAAGTGGCAACACATGTGCCCCAATATCAGTGGAAGAATAGAACTACAGAGTTGGCCCAGCCCACATAGAAGAAACTAAGTGAACTTTGTCTAAAAGGATATAAAATTTCAGCAGAATAAACATTATACTCCTACACAAAGATAAAGGGAAATTAAGCTAAGAGCTCATTATTTCTCAGCCCTGTGATTTAAAAAGAAAATTCTGAAATTCTCACTACAGAACCCCCCATGGATTTCCCTATTGGAATAAAACAAATGGTAATAGCCTGCATTATTTTTGTCCTTGGAAGATGGAAGTGAGGAAAATCTTAATGAGTCTTAATTGTGGGTGATGGTGGTGAGAGGTGAGTAGCAGAGACCCTGTGTGTGAAGTCACTCCTCAGGCTAAAAAACCCATGTGTGAGAGCTAAAACTGAAAAGACTACTTTTGTTTATTCTTGACAGTTAATTAGAAAATGAAATAAATCTTGTTTTAAAGATACACGCCAACATTTTCTCTAGTTGGTGGTGCGGGTGGCTATATTGGCTTATAATACTAGCTAAAGTGAATAGACTTATTCTCATCAGTATCTTTGTTTTTCAAATTTCAGAAGAAGGGGTCAAAATCTTCCAATGTTCCTTTGAAATGTCAAAACTCAACCTTAATAATCCCAGCTTTTGCGGCAGCTCTGCATACCAAAGGAGCTGGGAAGCTGACAGTCAAGTTTGCTTCTCTCTGACTGAATGAACTCACAAGGGCAGCAAAGCCTCTTTGTTGGGGGTGGAGGATGGAATTTAAAACATCTTTACTGATTTAAACTAACTGAAGAGGGACAGTCCTGTGAATCAGTGATTAATGTGAATTATTGAACAATCTTTTGAAAATTTCATTCCAAGATGTCTATACACAATGAAGGTTAGATGGGCATGAAAAGACATGCTCTTTTACCAAGCAGGTTCATGGGCTTCCTGGGGATATGTTTTTAAAGAATGTGTTTTATTACATTAAAGTAAATATTAGAACATGAGCTCACCTAGCAAATGACTGTCCTTTGGAGACCTAGTTTATAAAGAAATAGATAATAGTTATTGTCTGGCAATGTATCAATTGCACATTTGCTGATCAAAGAAAGTCATAAGCTTGAGAAGACATAAAAAGTATGTTCCACATCTTAAGTGTTTTGTATCGTGTCATGGGCAATAAGCCCCCACTGCCCCCACAAATTAATATGTTGAAGTCCTAACCCCTCAGTACCTCAGGAAGTGACTGTATTTGGAGATAGGTCTTCAAAAAGGCAATTAAGTTAAATTGAAGTTATTAGGCTTGGCCCTAATCCAATATGACTGGTGTCCTGATAAAAAGAGGAAATTAGGATGTAGACACATACAGAGCAAAGACCATGTGAAGACATAGAGAGAAAATGGCCAGATACAAGCTAAGAAGAGAAATAACAGAAGAAAGCAAACCTGCATACACCTTGATCTCAGACTTTTATCCTCCACTATTTGAGAAAATAATGTTCTGTTGTTTAAGCCACCCAGTCGGTAATGATTTATTATGGCAGCTTGTTATGGACTGAATGTTGGTGTCCCCCTAAAATGAATATTCCAAAGCCTTAACTGTTAATGTAGCTGTATTTAAAGATGAAGCCTCCTAAAGATGTAATTAAGGTTAAATGAACTCATAAGGTAGAAGCCCTGATCCAATAGGATTTGTGTCCTTAAAGGAAATGACACTAGAGAGCTAGCTCTTCCTCTCTGTGCAAAAGAAGTGGCCATATGGGACACATCTAGATCACAGTCACCTACAACCCAAAAAATAGGCCTCAAAATGAAACTGACCTTGCTGGCACCTTGATCTTAGACTTTCCAGCCTCTATAACTGTGAGAAATAAATTGTTGTTAAGACTCCCACTCTGTGGTATTTTGTTGTGACAACCTGAGCAGACTAATGCACGGCCTCAGAAAACTCATATATACCATACATGTAAAAGTTATATTTCTGTCCTAGGCCCAGTCCTAGTCCTCTCCCAAACACAGAAACTGGAAGTTAAATGAATGTATTAATAATATTTTATAGTAAAAAGAAAATTATAATACATAATTAATCATTCGGTACCTATGTTTTAAGTAGTCATATATTTTCTGTGACAGTGGATTTCAAAATGTTTTGTTATAAGGTCTTTACTGGCCAGGTGTGGTGGCTCACACCTGTAATCCTAGCACTTTGGGAGGCTGAGGCACGTGGATTGCCTGAGCTCAGGAGTTCGAGACCAGCCTGGGGAACACAGTGAAACCCCATCTCTATTAAAAATACAAAAATTAGCTGGGCGTGGTGGCAGGCGCCTGTAATCTCAGCTACTTGGGAGGCTAGGGCAGGAGAATCGCTTGAACCGAGGAGGTGGAGGTTACAGTGAGGTGAGATCGCAGCATTGCACTCCAACCTGGGTGAGAGAGCGAGACTCTGTCTCAAACAAAAACAAAAACAAAAACTAAAACAACTAAGGTCTTTACCTTCAAGGCTTTAAATTAGGGTTGAAATGTATTATTATTTTATATATAATTTTATTTCATATTTATAATTGTTGTTAATATTAATCCATATTGTAATACATTTACATTTTCATGAACTTCTCCAAGTTCTTTTATAAGTTTGTTATCTTATTTACATCTCTCAAAAGCCTAGGACAGGTGCAAAACACAGCATCTGTATTTTTCCCACGTGCTATGGTTCGAATGAGTCCTTTCCAAAATTCAGGGGTTGCCAATGTGATAGTATTAAGAAGTGGGAACCTGGTGCAGTGGTGTGCACCTGTCATCCCAGCTACTCAAGAGGCTGAAATGGGAAGACTGCTTGAGCTTAGGAGTTTGAGACCAGCCTAGGTAACATAGTGAGACTTTATCTATAGAAAATGTAAAAATTAGCCAGGTGTGGTATCAGGCACCTGGAGTCCCAGCTACTCTGGAGGATTAGGGAGGAGGATCACTTGAGCCCAGAAATTCAAGGCTGCAGTGAGCTATGATCACACCATTGCACTCCAGCCTGGGAAACAGAATGAGATTCCATCTCTTAAAAAGAAAAAAAAAAGGGTGGGGGGCATATTTGACAGGTGAATAGGCCATGAGGAGTCCTTTCTTTTCAATGTTATTAAGGCCCTTATAAAAGAGTGTTCATGCAACATTTGGCCAGCTTGCCCTCTAGCCCTTCTGCCTTCTGCCACATGAGGATATGGCAAGAAGGCCTTCATCAGATGCCATATGCTGGTGCCTTTATCTTGAACTGCCCAGCCTTCAGAACTGTGAGAAAATAAATTTGATAATTTATTAATCCATTCCTTATACATTACCCAACTTGGGTATTTTCATAAAGCAACAAAAAACAGAATAAGATCATGGGAGGGGGGGCTAAGTATCCTGACCAAGGTCTTAGTGACAGGAAGGATGTATACCTTCTGGCAATAGTGGCTATATTGGAGATGGATGAGGGATGTGGTAGACATGACAAGACCTTTTGTCATACCCATAGAGTTTAGAATCTTTTGGGGATGATCGTTTTTAGTTATTGCTTATGTAAATGTAACATTAAAAAACAGTTACCTAAAACAACAACACAA
Source organism: Homo sapiens (assembly GCF_000001405.40). Lineage (NCBI taxonomy): Eukaryota > Metazoa > Chordata > Mammalia > Primates > Hominidae > Homo > Homo sapiens. The sequence goes on along the minus strand of NC_000018.10, from coordinate 38,196,418 downwards.
TTATAAAAGTGAATGTTAAAACAATGTGTAGACTCCACTTGGTTGGATCTAAGCCCAATATCCCAGACTCAACAGTTTAATTCAAGTTCTTTCTACTCTTTCCACTGATAATTTTAACTTGGCTCTGAATATGGAAAAATCTTCCTTCTAAGCTCTCCCCCAGTGTGACCATTAGACACTGTCATGAAGATAATGCTGATTCTTGGATCAACCATTGGTACAAATACTACTTTACAGACAAGAATAAGGAGGCTAAAATAACTGGATTGGTCCAACTGGCCACTTCCTGGGAGAAGGCAGGCATCTTTGAGAAAACAATGTGATAAGGGAAAGAGATATGCTTAGTGTGCTCCCACATAAACTTTTTGATTTCCAAGGAATCTGCATTCTTTTTTATGTCAGTAAGATAAATACCCAGGAATCTGCATTCTTAATAGGCCATAGTACTAGCCATAGTGAGAGGGCGTGGTCGCTGTTCTAAAAGATTTCACTTCATAGGTTTAGAGACAAGATTAACACATTATCAGAGAAAACTTGCAGTCCAAGGCACATTCAACATATGCCTAAAGAAAGGTGTCAATGTTCACTGGACTCAAACCTCCAGCTTTCAATGGACTAAAGACAGCACAAGTCACAAGAAAATAGGAGAGTAAGTATTTACTCTTGGGTAGGCATGCTAGCACCTGAGATTTTTAACTGTCCTATGGGTCACAGGCTTTGCTCCTCGTTCCCAAATCTAGCTGTAAACAGAAATCAAGGAAGGAGGAGAGTACAGAAAAGTTCAGATAACAGAATTCTATACAAAATTTAGACTCAGATTTGGACTTAGATATTAAATCATCCAAGTAGTATCTTGTATGAGGAAAATGCTTTAAGAAAAGAAAAAACTCTCACCAAATAAAAATAATGCAGAATATACAGCTCAAGATAGAACATCAATCTCAAGGTAAGAATGAATACTGAGCAATGTATAGTAAATCTAAATGAATATTGACAATACAACAAGCAATTGTAATATAAGTTTTAAATAAGGATTTCTGAAGGAATTAAAGAATAGACTGAAAATAAAAATTCTGAACCACGTAGAAGAAGTGTAAGAGATATGTGAAAAAGCAAAGGGTAGTTTGAATCTTGCCTTCATAGTAGCGGTGAATAAAGGTGTGAAAAGGTGAGAGTAGAGGTTCCATCTCTCTTCCAAAGAGATCCAAGAATCTCTGCTTTTGATAAGCTTCCATAGTGATTCCAGTGTGGATACTCAGCAGGCAGGATTTAGGAAACCCCTGATTTAGAGGATTTAGAGGATTTAGAGGACTGTTCCTGAAGCCGAAAATAAGCATGTCAGTACCTGGCTTCTATTGCCCACCTTTTTTTTTTTTTTTTTTTTTTTTTTTTTTTTTTTGAGATGGAGTCTCATTCTGTCACCCAGGCTGGAGTGCAGTGGCACAATCTCTGCTCATTACAACCTCTGCCTCCCAGTTCAAGCCATTCTCATGTCTCAGCCTCTCAAGTAGCTGGGACTACAGGCACGCACCACCACCTCCTGCTATTTTTTGTCCTTTTAGTAGAGACAGGGTTTCACCATGTTGGCCAGGCTGGTCTCAAACTTCTGACTTCAGGTGATCTGCTGGGATTACAGGCATGAGCCATCCTGTCTGGCCTATTGCCCACATTTTCTAGAATAACTCTAGATAATTTAATGAAAATGCATGTCTTCTGCCTTAATTCCAGCTTCATTAGGTGGAATTTTATGTAGCACAATGAGAATGACTTCCGAGAGGTGCATTCAGAAGATACTGTGCACTGGCACTTTGATTTTCTTATGAAAAATATGAATTGTATTAGATGGACTAAAATACCATTTATAGCTTCAAGTTTAAATGAATTTACAAAGTATCCTAAGTTATATTTAGGAGAGAGATTTAGAGAAAATGCAGAATTCCGTTCAGGAAATAATCAGAAGCCCACCATCTGGACAATTTGACATAGGCATCTGGATGAGATGAAGGAGGCATGATTTTATTTCTCCAAGTCTCTCCTATTCCTGTAATGTTTTGTTCACCTCAGACACAAAATAAATGCATGGGCTTTTTGAAAAGGTAGTGGATCTATGAAAATAAAGTTCTTTGGGTGGATCTTGGGAAATACAAGATGAAATAAAATCAGAAATGAAATAATTTAGTGCTACTACAGGCTGGTAACTATTGACTAAGAGGTCAAATCTCAAATTTGAATGTCTGGAATAAATGAATCCAAACATTTCTCAAAAGCCTTGCTGAAAACAAAATAGAAAGGAAACAGTGACAAGGGTAACAGAGGGCAGAATGAATAAAAAGTGGAGGTGAAGTTTTACGATAATTTTGTAGTCATAAAGTCATCAAATTTCAGGTTTGGCAGGAACCCCCAAGGTCATTCCTGCCAATCACACATCTAATTCTTGAAAACTCTAACTTTGCTCCCCTCCAGTGAGATGACTCAGTGAGGACTCCTCTCTCCCTCCTTGGAAATCTGTAACTGTAAAACGTTTCCTTCTGTAGAGCTTTATTCTATCTCCCTGACTCTTTCTCCCTTAGCTTCTGTTTTTCATGTGGACAAGTGATGGCTCAAGTCTTATCTCCTTTTTATATGTCAGACTTTATATATTTGTAATTCACTGTAACACACACACATATAAATTCACTTCCATCTCCATGGAATCTTCTATTTATTTGTAAAAGAGATCCCTAATTTTCTCAGATATTCTTCAAATAGTGTGTTTGTTAACCTCAATTTTTCCCCTCTGAAATTCCTTTAGTTTCTTCAATCTCTTTTAGAATGTAAAGCTCAGATTTGGGTAATCAGAATTGCTTGATGATTTTAGAATATGAATAGATTAATATTACCAACTTCCCCAATGTTCTACTTGGATGATTGTTCCCCCAAACCAACTCACATCTTTTGGTAGCCTCTTTCATGCAGTGAAGCTGTGTAATCAAAGTAAACATACCAAGACCCGTATTACTTTGCAGCTAGTATCTAACGTTTTCATATAGCAATATTTTGTATTTCAGTCCAAGCCATGAATCCAATTACCCAGCATAAAGCCTTGTGTTAGACCACTAAAAACTTTCTTCAATGTTTTCATTAATCCATTTACCAGCATTTATTTGTGATTTAATAACCCATTACTCTTCGAAGTACATAGCCATATTACTATTCCTTTTTTCTCATTACTTGCAATGGAAGCCATGCCCAATGCCCTACTAAAACACAGATGTGTCATAACTACCTGATTTACCACATATAACAGACTAGTAGCAGAGCAAAAGTATGCTTTTTTCCCTTTGGTTAACACATCTTAGGTCCTTTGGTAACATTTTTTTCCTTTTATTAACTTTTATTTTAAGTTCATGGGTACAGGTGCAGGTTTATAACATAGGTAAACTTGCATCATGGGGATTTGTTGTACAGATTATTCTGTACAACAAATCATCACTCAGGTATTAAGCCTAGCACACATTAGTTATTTTTCCTGCTCTTCTCCCTCCTCCCACCCTCCACCTTCTGATAGGCCCTAGTGTATGTTGCTCCTCTGTATGTGTCTATGTGTTCACATTGTTCAGCTCTCACTTGTAAGTGAGAACATGTGGTATTTGGTTTTCTGCTCCTGCTTTAGTTTGCTGAGGATAATGGCCTCCAGCTCCATCCATGTCCCTGCAAAGGACATGATCTCATTCTTTTTCATGCTTAGTGCTTTCAAACCATTTCTTTAATATTATTTTATGTAAACCCTCTGAAGTTTGATGTGACATTCACAAGTAGTTGAAAAAAATGACCCTTTTTTCCCTGTGCAAAATAATCTGTCATTTGGGCATTACAGTCTTCCACTCCATCATTCATTCTTGAGTCCTTCAAAGAATACAGAGCACCACATTTTCAACCTTATTCAGGACCCCTAAAATGTAACTGATCTCTGTCTCCAATCTCGAATTTATGTAGGAAACCAAGATGTCTTATAAAACTTCTTCAGCACTTCTGTAGACTTCATTAAGTTTATTCGACCCTTCCTTGACAGAAGAAAATTTTCTTTACCAGAAAAGGCAATATCAAAAACAAATTTGGAAATTCTACTTTCTCTCCAATCTCTATCCATATTTCATAATGAGAATTAACATATATATGTATATATGGAATATATGTCAGAAAAAAATTATGTTCCTGAATATCATTGTACTTGAACTTGTTCCAAACAGGTTTTGTTAAGTTTGTTTTGTCTTAGTCTTTAAGGAAAGATCATCTCAAGAACTGGTGAAATAACCACAGAATTTGTGGAATGAATTCAGGACAGCATCTAAGTCATCACCCAAACACCTCTGACAGAAGGACCTCAGTGGCTTGTTGGGTCTCTGGGAATTTTTAGTTTAGAACCAGTGCCTCCTCCAAACTCTCACAGGGCCAGGTGTTTCCCTTTTCCCAGTGTCTATTTATTATAGGTCATCTTAGGGAACGTTAGGAAGAAGATTAAAATATAATGTTCCTGAACATATTGTAGGATCTTTCCTCAAAGAAATTTTGTCTCATTTTAATTCAATAAGCTCTGGATCTGTGAACTGACTCAGATCTGAAAATTGGATAAAGGGCCATTACTCTCTATTATTTGAACTCGATTAAGGATACTCGTCACCATATGTAGAGGTGTTGGTGCCCATTTATTTTGGTCTTCGGTACTTCATCAATTCACCATTGCCAAAATATCAAGCCACTCTGATAAACTCTAATGACCACTGAACTTTTATATGAACTTTGCCTGCCTGGTACTCCACTTGGTCTTTGTCATCCAGGGTTCTCTCAGATCCACTGAGGTCACTGAGTTCAAATCAATGGCTATATCTCTCATACTCATCTCCAGTCTATGAGGGGTGACATAACACACACACACACACACACACACCCACACACACTCTTGTAATCTTGCTAAACTTGTTTATTACATCAAGTAGCTATTTTTGTAGACACTTGGGTATTATATACATAGCTAATTATGTTGTCTGCAAATAAAGGTTATTTATATCCAATCAGCATACCTTTTATTTCTTTTTTTTGACTTACTGTATTTGCTAAGACCTACACAATTTGAATAAGAGTTATGCAAACAGACATTCTTGTTCTTTTTTCCTCATCTGAAAAAGAAAGTATTCAGCCTTTTTTCTGAAAGTATGATACATTAAGTATGATACTAGTTACAAGTTTTTTAAAACACCTTAAGAAAATTCCTAGTTTGCTGATGCTGTTTTATCATAAATGACTGTCATATGCAGCAAATGTATTTTTATTTTCTCCTCCTATTGAGATGACCATGTGTTTCTTTTTTCTTTGTTTTTTATATTGATATGGAAAAATGGATTAATTTCCAAATTTTGATAAAACATTGCATTCTCATGTTAATAAAACATCTATTTGTGATATGGTATAATTATGATATATAATTGGATTATATTTGCTAATGTATTAAGGATTTTGAGACTATGTTTCAGTTTTCTTTGGCATTAGGGTAATTCATACCTCATTAAATAAGTTGAGAAGTTCCCACTTTTATATTTTCGGGAAGGACTTTTGAAGAATTAGTTTTATCTGTTCCTTAAATGTTTTGTGTAATTTTTTAATAAAGTGAGATAGGCTTGGATTTTTTTCTTTGTGGTTAGATACTTAACTATGAATTCCCTTTTTAAAATACATACAGGAATATAAAGTTTATTTTTTCTTGATTGAAATTTAAAGGCTTGTTTATTTTAAGGAATCTATTTTATAGAAATTATCAAATGTATTGGCTTAAAGTTGGTAGTATTTTCTTTTAAATCTGCAAGATCTGTATTAGCAACCCCTCACTACTGATATTGTTTATCTGTGGCTTCTCTCTTTTTCCTTACTATTTTGTATATAAGTTTATCAATTCCATTGATTGTTTAGAAAACCAGATTTTGGTTTATTTTCCTCACATTTATTTTCTTTCATTTTTGTATTTATTAATTTTAGGTCTTATTGTTATTTGCCTCCTTGTATTTACTTTCGGTTTAATTTGTTATTTACTTGTTTCTTGAGGTAGAAACTTAAAAGATTCATTTGAGACCTTTATTGTATTCTGATAAAAACATTTAATGGTATACATTTTCAGATAAGCATGATTTTAGCTGCACTTTGCCCGTTTTTATATGTTGTAATTTGATTTATAACCAATTAAAATATTTTCTAGCGTTCCAGTTTTTGGTTAGAGGCAGTTACAAGACTTCACTTTTTCTCTCTCACTGAATACAACTATAAAATATATACATAATGCATGGAATGGCTGTTTGAGGATGCTAGAATAAACAACAGCAGTAATGTTGAGAAAGAAGACAAGAATTCAAAGTACTAATGAAGTGGCAATGTGTCTAATATATGTTATTCCTCCAATATGCCTATTGGAAAGAAATGTTCCCCTCTCAAAGTTTTAGCTATTGTAGTCTTCTATGGCGACCTCTACAACTGCCCCCATGGGATTGTTTGGCATCTGGGTTGTAAAAAAAAAATGGAGAGAAGAAAGAACAGAAATTTGTCATGCTTTCTCTGAACATCAGGAGTTAACTTTTTTCTTGAGCCAAAATTAGCAGACTGGTCATGGTGCTCTGCCTGTTTATACTGCTGTGCACTTCTGAGTTTCAGACAGTATTGAGTTCAGACTCATGGATATAATTATATAAACTTCCTGTTCATTAATGCATCTTGCCAATTTTTTTCCTTTGCCACAAGAGCCATTAGTAGTTTAATTATAGCTATTTTTAAAACCTCTCTCTGACAATTTCAATATCTGTGTCATTTCTGAGTCTGGTTCCATTGGCTGCTTTGTCTCTTGAATGGATTGATAGGTTGTATTTTTCTAGTTTTTCTCTGTCTTGTAGTTCTAACAGTAGATACTGAGGTAAAAAACAGTATTTATTCAGATAAATGAGATGCTTCTCCTTCTACCAGGCTGTAAATATGGGCAGTTGAGTAAATCTAGTCAAGTATTGATCGGGATTTGGGCATTGCAGTTGTTACGGTTAACTTCAATGGGACAACAGATTCACATTTCTCTTCTGCAGGACTAGTGCTTAGCATTTGCACTGGGATACTAGTGCTATTTTCTCAGAGCTAGTGTTTCATCATCATCTTTCAACCACCCTTACAAACCTCTGCTACAGAAAAAAAAAATCATTCTCCATTCATTTACACCTCTTCTAACAGTAGACTGCTACTGCTTGCTACTTTTCACTAGTCTCACGCTTATGGAAGAAGAGGTCTCTGTTTTTCTCCAGCCCAGCCTCCAACACTGGGAGAATCTATGCACTAGAGGCTCAGGGTGAAGCTTTTTTAAAGTTCTAGTCTTCCTTCCCTGTAGCAACCTGTATCTGTGTTGTATCTGCAATTAATCTTTAGTGATATTTTCCTGTCCCTCTCCCAAAAGACAGAAACCGCTATTTGGTATTAGAAGAAAGTTTTAAGACCAAGACAGTTTTCTGTCTCTTCTACAAAAGATAGAGAGTTGCTTTTCACACTCTGTTCCATGCAGGCCATAGTCTTTGCTAACTATCTTTAAGAGGCTTTAGTTTACTGCTTCACAGAAAAGAAAAATTTGGCAAACTGCAGAATATAGTTTATAGTTTGCTTATCCCTATACTGTTGAATAGCTGATGATCTCTGCTTGTATTACTGCACCAACAACAGAAACCCCTCTTCTTTTTTTTTTTTTTTTTTTTTTGAGATGGGGTTTCACTCTTGTTGCCCAGGCTGGAGTGCAATGGCCTGATCTTGGCTCACTGCAACCTCCACCTCCCAGGTTCAACCGATTCTCCTACCCCAGCCTCCCGAGTAGCTGGGATTACAGGTGCTCACCACCACGCCCGGCTAATTTTTTTGTATTTTTAGTAGAGACGGGTTTTTGCCATATTGGCCAAGCTGGTCTTGAACTCCTGAGCTCAAGTGATCCACCCATCTCGGCCTCCCAAAGTGCTGAAATTACAGATGTGAACCACCACACCTGGACTGAAGCTTTCGTCAATCTCGTATTCTACCCACCATCTTTCTTGTGAACACCTAGTAAAGACCCATAGTAAAGAGTTTTTTGGCCAGTGCAAATTCCCTTTTGTCAGATGACCCAGATATTTTATACTGACATGCTAGCCCACACTTGACCTTTAGTAATTCTTTTTAAAAATTTAGCATGTAAATTTTCACCTGCTTATATTGTAGCTATCAGGATGCCTCTTCTCCCTTTGTACTGCCATAGGTGAAACAGTTTGCATATCCTGTCTCTCATTGAAGGGGCTAGTCACACTTTAGACTTCAGGTTACCTGATGGCCTCGTAAACTCAGCATTCTGTTTGGCTTTTGAAGTATTATGATTTGGTAGTTTAACCAGCATTTTCTAATTTTTATAATGGGAGCATTCACCTTTGCAACTTTCTACACTCTAAGTAGAGAAAGAAGACACTTGCTTTGTTTTTCATATTGTTTCTGCCCCTAATATATCTTATATTCTCACCTTTCCATGTATGGAAACTATATGCATGATTATTGGAATTCCTAATTCTCTGGAATTGGAATTTTTGTCCGTTCTGATTATTTGTCAGTTAGCATTTAGTACCTCGTATATTTGTGGGTTTTTTTTCATATGTGACTTTACATGTCCTCTGAGAACAGAATCTCTTTCTGTATACATTTGATAGCCCCCCAGCTTACCCACTTGAAATAAAATTGGGCTCCTAGTTAGCACATAGAAAATATTTTTGAATGAATGTAAATTTTTTGACAAAGCTCATCAGAGTAGGCAAATGTAGCTAATATTTCTCTTTCTCTCTCTTCATTACCACCAGGAACTTTCACAGAATTGGATTTTAAAGATGACTGATTGTGACTGTGATAGTTGTACTGATGCTCTGAATTGCAGTTTGGGCTGTGGCTGGAATCAGAGGATCAATCTCTTTTCCTGCTAGTGTCTTATGGCCCAGATTAGAGCTCTGTAAGAAACTTGGCCTGAAATAGGCCTGTGTCTATGTTTATGGTCTTATATTCTATTTATGGGTCAAAGACCCCTGTGTTAACACTGTCATCTGTGGTTGGAGTTGAGGCCAGATCCTTTTTGGTCCTTACTGAAAAGAGCAAGTCTAGATGACGAGCTTAGGATTTGACCCCATTGTATGTGCACTTCACTAACCTCAAGCTCTAACCAAATGAATAAACGTCCTCAAATATAACACTGAATGCCATCAATGTGTCAACCCAGAGAACGCAGCAGCACTCTAACAGTTGGAAACTAAATGGGTTCCCCAAGTAAGCTTTCTAATTAAACAATATTTTTAATTTTAAACCATCAAATTCAGGTAATTAAAAATTAAAAGATCTACATATTTATAGTTTTATTCTTCATACGTTGTGTGTATGTGTGTATGGAGGCGGGGAATCTAGGGGAAAAAACAACAAATAACGATCCTGTTTATATTTGTTTCTCAAATTGTGCTTTCAATTAATATATCTAAAATTGCCTTAGAACAGTGCCAGAAAAGATTAATGCAAAAGTGATGCATTCTATCTTTTATTTCGATTGTGTGACAGAAGTCTTACAAAGTTGAAAAGCTGCTAATTTAGTAGTCAACAGTGTCAAATAAAATTTCTAAACTGTATGTCTATAAAAGAACATCTTAGCAATAAGGCACAGCAAATATGCTTCAAAACAGTGCAGTCAGCAAATCTGCTTCAGGTTTTGAAATATCTAGCAATGACATTTATTAGAAAGAAACTATAATATATCAGTGATCTAAAAAGCTGTCTCTTCATCAGCATTGCTTTATTATAGGCACTAATTTTGTGCAAAATCCTTTAGATTCTTTGCAAAACACCTGCTGAACTTAAAGAAATATGGTGAGTGCTTGCACAGAGACAGATGCAGCTTAATCACATAATACTGAATTTGACTTTGTGGTGCTTAACAATAAATGAACTGAGCATACCAGTACAGAAGGCTTAAATCTTCCTTTAATTTGTATAAAGTTTTCAATGAGTATACTGTTTGTGCTGATTCTTTCTTCATCAAGTTTGAGGATATAAACAAATAGCAATTATAAGAATCCCATTATGATGGATTTTTTTAAATAAAATTAAATCAAATCAAAGACAATGTCTGAAATTACACTCCCTTTTCTCAACTCCCCTTCTGCCTTCTATTTCAATTTTTCTAGCTGGCTGCTTTCTGACTACTTTTCTTTTTGTAGTTTCCATCCATGCATCCATCCATTCATCCATTCATCATACCCTGTTTATTCTATCAGATTATTTGAAAATTTCACGTTATAGATGAATCTGCTTCAAGGTCAGATATGATGGCATTATGGCTCAGTAAAAGATGGAAATAGAATAAGAAATACCGTTTTCTCATTCTCTCTTCTGCTGCCCGTGATTAGTTTTATATGTTGATTGATTTTTGGTGGTAGGTTAAGTCGATTTCAATGAATTTCACTCACCTAGCGTGGACCAGATTAAGATCCACAATTGTTTACCCATATCACTATTTTTCTTCTTTCCCCAATATTCTAATTTATACATTCAGAAGATGTTTTATTTGTACATATATGATATAGTCCCTGTACACATACCTACATGTATTTACATTCTCTAATGAATTAACAATTCTTTCTTCATTGATTCTTATTTGCATTGTAATGTTAAATAATGGTACTTTAATTTTACTTCTTCAGATAAGCTGTGTGCTTGAGAAAACCATAAAACAATGAAACCTCATGAATATTTATATCAATGACTACACAGCATTATAGTAATAATCTCTGGAACTAGTTCTCACCAGTTCAGAATTAATTATCAAGTTCAGTTTTAATTGCATTCTTCTAAATTACAACCCCTCCCTTCCCCCCCTCCCCAACACACAAAAACTATAATGAATTATCTGGTAAGGACTTTACTGGGACTAATGCATCTAGGAGAGAGCTGCCTAAAATCCCATTCTTAATGTCTAATAACCAAACGAAGGCATATGATCCCAAACTAGCGTTCTAATCCTTGTTATCCAATGTATTAGACATTTGCGGCTGCTTCTTGGGGTTTAATATATTTCATTTTCACTCAAGATTCAGTAAGAATTTAATTGAGTTTGGGGAACTTTTTATTAAAAATTAAACCCTAAACACTCATTGTTTTGCTTTCTTATACTTGGGAATCTGAAATAGCATATGGAGTAAAGTATTGGATGGGGCAACCTCTGGAGAACAGTTGTCCCTTTATTAAAATAATAAATGGACATGTTTTACATAAGGATGTAGAGGTGTTAGGAAAAGAGTATTGATATATTTAATTTTAAGCAAATGAGACCATGTAAAAACTTTCTTCTCAGAATGCTAATTTCTGGGGAATATAGGAAAGAATAACCATAATATTCTTATAATAAAAATAAAAAGTAAAAATTTCTTAAAATAATGTAAAAATTAGAATTAAAAATGCTGATTAAAATTTGCTGGAGTAAAACTTTCAGGAAGCTTTTTATTTCATAAGGTAATATATTCTCTATGATGTCTGAAAACTTTTTTAGTTAGTTTTCAATGAAGACTTGTGACGTCCAGCCTGCATTTAGGTGTGATGGAAGGACTACAGGTGAAATTAGACAAGCAACAGTTTGACAGCATTTATTCTCAGAACTTTCCCTCATACTCAATAATTGTAATCTACTCCTGGTTGAGAAGGCAGAAATCAAAAGGGACAATTAGAACTACAATTTCCATTAAAAATCTAAATTCCTAGGAAGATATCATTGAAGCAACTGAGGCCCACTGATTTACCCAGTAGATTTCCTTGACTCAACTGAAGGTCTAGTCAAGTTTTAGTGAAGATATGGTCTTGACTGTGTCTGAGGTTTGAGCTCAGGAAGGGTAGAAAGAAAACGGGAAAATAAAAAATTTTCACAATGTTAGTGTGGCAGAAATATGTCACCAGACAGGAAAAAAAAAATGTAATAATCCAAAAAATCCCACAACAAAGAAAACAAGTAGTCAGTTAGGAATCAACGTAAATGAATCAATTTTGGGGCTAGACCATGAGAACCCATAGGAGAAGAGCCTAATTTAAAAAAAAAATCGCCGGGCGCGGTGGCACACGCCTGTAATCGTAGCACTTTGGGAGGCTGAAGCGGGCAGATCACGAAGTCAGGAGATCGAGACCATCCTGGCTAACACGGTGAAACCCCGTCCCTACTAAAAATACAAAAAATTAGCCGGGCGTGGTGGCGGGCGCCTGTAGTCCCAGCTACTCAGGCTGAGGCAGGAGAATGGCGTGAACCCGGGAGGCGGTGCTTGCAGTGAGCCTAGATTGCTCCACTGCACTCCAGTCTGGGCGACAGAGTGAGACTCCGTCTCAAAAAAAAAAAAAAAAAAAAAAAATTAAAAATCAGGTTCTGGCTTAAAAAGAGGCTCCGTAATCATAAGCTAAAAATAATGTTCAAATTAATTTATAAATACATGAAAGAATAAATAGCTACATATGTATGAAAGAAATATCTCACACCTGAGGGCCAAGTTCTAGAAAATCTGACTTTTTCAAGAGTCTTTAAAACATAAGAAGTGCTACATACATATTTGAAAGATGAATGAAGAAATTAGATTTTGAGAGTTGTTCCAAATAAGATAAAAATGTATTTGTCTAGAATTAAGAAGATAAATATTGTCACGTAAGGTATTTAATCCCATCTTTATTTTATTCCAGATTTGTCCCTAAAATGTTTATTATACCTCTACTTCTTTTTTTTTTTTTTTTTTTTGTGATGGTGTCTGGCTCTGTCGCCCAGGCTGGAGTGCAGTGGCGCGATCTCGGCTCACTGCAAGCTCCGCCTCCTGGGTTCACGCCATTCTCCTGCCTCAGCCTGCCAAGTAGCTGGGACTACAGGCACCCGCCACCGCGCCCGGCTAATTTTATACCTCTACTTCTTAAGAATAATTTAACGAAGCCATTGACAATGACACATTTTACCATTTCACCTTTTGGTTTAGTGAGCTTCCCCCTTGGCTTCCTTATAAGGGAGTCTGCCCATCTAGATAGCCCAGGAACTCATAAGATAGCTATACCAACAGGCGGCCTCTTCCTTTGACATTATTTATGTGGCAGCAATTTGGAGTCACGGATTATATCTTTTAAGAAAATATTTCTCCTGCTTTCTGGCCAACAAATGGTGACACTGGCCTATTTCATCAATGTAACTCCCGTTGAAGTCGGTTTCAGAAGAGAGTGAGTTACAACAATAATAGAGGATCAGATTAACATTTTTTCTTAATTCAACCTCTTTTTCAAAAGGTGGAAAATATCCCAATTGTGTGATTTTCATCATCTGCTGCTTGAATCCCATTGCTGCCCAAATCAGGCACAAACAACATCAGAGCTGTACGACCTGCCTCTTTTAAAATAAAGTTTTAGAGCATGCCACTAGTTTTTGACACATTTACCCAATAATATATTAGACACAGTGGAGCTTCAGTCATTATTAAACATCTTACAAATGTCCAGTTAGGAATACATTACATATAACATATGACACAGCATATGTTTTTATCACATTGCATTAGAATCATGACTAAAGCGACAAAGTAGATGTGGCATGCTGTTTTTACGGTACAGTGACAATGTAACAACAAGGATCACTGCAATAAAGATGAAGTAAATGTACATAGGAACTGTCTTCCATGGGCCTTAGGCAGACAACTTGTATGAAAAACAGTTTTATAACACATACCCCCTTCTTTACCTATTGCCTTCATTAAAATTCTGATATGGCTCAGATATGAAAACTGTTCCATGAAAAAAACCTGCCACACTATCTTTAATGATTAAATAAGCCTTGCCTACAATTGTAGAATGATTCTGTATTTCTCAGAACTAATAGAAATGCCAGTTTTTTTCAAGTGTGAGTTAGAAATGCAGGATTAGAATTAAAAGGGGTATAGAGAATTTGAAATAATATCTGTAAAAGTAGATTTATATGAAAGACAACAGGAGAGCAAAACTGATGGCTTCTTAGGCAGTAACTTGTTTATTGTGTTTGCTAAATTTTAAGTAAAAATTCCTAAGGTATTTAAAAATTCTTGTGTGTTTCTTCCACAAGCATGTTGTGGGCTATCTTACGTGAAAAAAAAAACTAGTATACCTTTTATTTATTGTTATACATTTACAAATAGTAGTATTCACATTTTGTGTATAGTTCTGTGAGTTTTAACACGTGATTAGATTCTTGTAACTACCACCACAAATAGAATACAGACCAGTGTCAACACCCTATGGAATTTCCTCTTGCTGACACTTTGCAGTTGCAACTTCACCTCCCTATGCCTCTAACAAAATGATACAGCCACTCTAGAAACAATCTGGCAGTTTCTCACCCTTTAATTTGACCCATAAATTATTACCATACTTACAGAATTATCTAGGATGAAAATGTGACTTTAACATATTGGATATTGATTTACCATGGAGTACACCACAGAAAGAGCCAAAAGTGAAAAAGCTAACATTTTTCATGCTGATGAAGACTGGAGTCTATAAAGAAAACCATCCCGCAGGTTATCCACTGTTGACACATACCTATGAGAAAGTGAATGATGAAAAAACTGAAGCTTAGAAGTCCGTGAAATCATCTTCTTTACATATTCTCTTATAGGGACTATCTCTCATAACCTGGTGTCTTTAGCTCGAGTTCAATCCCCATGTCACCTTACCTGGATATATGATACCCCCAGCTCTGTATAATGTTCTTTCCTGATGCATACCAGAACAATTACTCAGGATGAGTAAACTGGGCATTGATTTGGGAATAATAAACTCCCCCTGCCCCATGCACACTCTGTAGCTGTCCTCTTGACTTCAGCCACCAATCCAAACTCTTATATCGTCATTTTTACTTTTTTCTACATAAACTTTCTATTGCTTCATTCTGTTTTGAACTCACTGTTCTCTGTATACCTCTCACATAAGATTGGAAGCTAACTTCTTGAAGTATTAGAAGCAAACATGGTGTGTTGTCTTGCAATTGAAAATTAAGTTCCGAGAAGGTGGTGTATCTAACTTTGGTTACATCCATCAAGTTAGAAGTGAATGATGAAAAACACCCTTAAGAGGGTAATGGCTACAATGGCAAGTTTCTTGATTAGATGATAGGTTGGACCACATGATCTTTAAGGTATTTTCCAATTCTTAATGGCCAGTCCTAGAACACTACAATCCATGCAAGGATATGTTAATTTACTGACTGAATTATGCTGTGCCACCTCCCCACATCACTTGGCCTGTATAGTCCAAACTCCAGTGAGTTTAACAAGCATTTAGCTGCTTGTTAAGATCAAGCTTCTGGAACTTTAATTAACGATTGACTTGTTACTAGTTTTATTTTATTTGAGACTCTGACTTTTCATTTGAGGGCAAATTATGCTCATCATTTGGCAAAAGGTCTACTCTGGTTATCTGATGGCAGCCTTTTATGTAGCACATTTTTATGACATGTCACATTGACATGATGATCACTTCTCTACAGCTTTGCACACTTAGACCTTAGGATTTATACTTTTCACTGAGTTCTTTCCACTTTATATAAAGTGTATGGTAATTCAGAAAAATATGAGATGAGAAGAAAAGAAAAAAAGTCATGCAGTGTTCTGGCTAAATAAACAAATGAAATGTTAGCAATGAAGTGAGCACAAGATAGGAAGGGAAAAAATGATCTCATATGGCCTGACTATGATGAAAACTATGTCACCTAAGAGTCTGTACAGAAGACATCATTCAAAGTCATGTGCACCACAAACACACGCACACACACACAAACACACACGTGAAACATACTTTATACTAAACGAAGATTTGATGAAGGCATTTCCTTTAAAATTAAGTAAAAGCAAATATGTCTGATATCACCATTTTTATTCAATATTATGCCAGAAGGACTAAGTAGCACAGAAGGCCAAAAAAAAAAAAAAGAAAAATGTGTGAGGTTTGTAAAGGAGCAAATATATACCTAGAATTGTTCAAACAGGAACAGGATATAATTGAATACATAGAAAAGCCAAAAAATCAACAATAAATTATTGAATTCATAAGAAAGTTTAAACGCATTGCTAGAATCAAAATTAATACACCATAGTTTGTTGTATTTCTATATGACAGCAATTAGCACATAGAAAAAGCATAATTAGGCCGGGTGCAGTGGCTCATACCTGTAAATCTAGCACTTTGGGAGGCCGAGGCAGGCGGATCACAAGGTCAAGAGATCGAGACCATCCTGGCTAACACTGTGAAACCCTGTCTCTACTAAAAAATACAAAAAATTAGCCAGGCTTGGTGGCGGGCGCCTGTCATCCCAGCTATTCGGGAGGCTGAGGCAGGAGAATGGCGTGAACCCAGGAGGTGCAGCTTGCAGTAAGCAGAGATTGCGCCACTGCACTCCAGCCTGGGGGACAGAGGGAGACTCCGTCTCAAAAAAAAAAAGACAAAGCATAATTAAAATGTCATTTATTATAGCTAAATAAATAACAAACAATTTTAATAAACTGTATACAAGAACACCGTGGATTTTTTTTTATCTTATGGAAAGATATCACAAATAAGTTATCCTTCCCATGAATGTGATTTATATATGCATACCAAAACACAGCAATTGGTTTAGGAGTGCAATCACTCTTACCTAGAAAACTGATTTCTAAAATCTGCCAATTTGGCAACGATACATTCAGACCAAAGAGAAGGAGAACAACGTAGAGAAGAGAGAGCCTTGTGTCTTAAAACTTGCAACAAATGACAGAGATATATTCATGGATTGAAATATTATATTTCAAGTATTTTACCCACATTGATCTATAGACTTATAAAGTTGATGCATCCCAAATTCCCAATAGTATCATGCATGTAACTTGACATGCAAGTTCTAAAATTTACTAGAGGAGGCAAAGAACAAGAATAGCTAAATCACACTGGAAGAACAGAAAATAGAAAAATATGCTTTTATAGATATCAAGACTTAAAGATATGGTCATTAAGACTGTGTGACAGTAATACAGAAACAAATATTTTAATAAAAATTTGAGATAGATGAAAATTCAAAATAGTGGGGAAAAAGGAAATAACCAATAAATAATCCTATGAATATTAGTTATCCCTTAAAAAAATAATGAAATTTCCTAGCACAAAATCCAAAAACCAATTTTCTGTAGATTAGAATCCTAATAATGAAAGTTAAAACTAGAAATAAATTAGAATACAATATGAGAGAATGTCTTTTAGACCATAGAATAGGAAAAGATTTCTCATGCAAGACATACAATTATTAACCAAAAGAAAAAATATTAACATATTCAATTACATTACCAATAAGAACTTCCATTCATCAAGTGGTATCTTAAGGACAATGAAAAAAAAAGCAACTCAAGTGTTGGAAGAATTAAATCATAACACACATAAATTGAAAAAAGTTTAGGATCTAGAATATATAAAGTAGTCCTACAAATCATAAAAATATAATAAAAATGGGAAATAAGCTCTATATAAAAGAAAAATAGTAAACATATAAGGTAACCAATCTTATCAGTTATTAGGTGAATACAAATTAATATTGTAATGAGATACCATTTCATCTATCCTACTGGCAAAAAAATTAAGTTTGAAAATATCAAGCATTTGTAAGTATAGGAGCATCTGCATTGAAATGTTCAGCTTAAAACTACAAAGAGTTTTGAGACACCATATCTATTGCTATTGGGTGTGTAGATTTGAAAAATTATCAGCATTATCTAGTGAGTTTAAGATGATTTATCCCACAAGTTTGCAATTTCACTTCTGGAGATATACTGTTAAAAAACTCATTGATGTGTGCCTCAAAACACATGGCCAATACATTTCTTAGCAGCACTTTTGATAATAATAGCAAAACTTTGAAAAGTGTGGAAATTTATCAATAGAAAATTGTGGTATTTTCATACAATGCTCTAGTGTAGTACAGTATAATATAGCATTCAAAAAGAATGATTTGTGGCTACAGACATCACCACAGATACATCTCATAACCATAATATTAAATTTAAAAGCAAGTTGGAATTAAATATAGAAATGTTTTCCATTAAGCATGGCTGAAATGTTAAGAATAACTGACAGGTGCCTCTGTGTGTGTATACATTTTGAAGCAGGTCTTGCAAACAAATTACAGGGATGCGGGATCCTTCTCTGAGATTATAATAGTTTTGACACTTCACCATCAATGCTACACACACATCCTCACACACTTGTACACCTGTGGATATGATTAAGGTAGAAGTGTAATATTTGTCTATCAGAAAGTATTCTTGGAAAAGATATTGCAATATAAGTAATGTAAATTTTAATATGAAATTTAGTTTCCTGTCTGTCTCTGTGGTATTTATACTTCAACCCTTATTTCTAAATGCATAGTATTTTACAATTCACACACACACACACACACACACACACACATTTTCTCAATTGATCATTACATCTGTCTCTTGAAGTACTACTATCCTGTTATAGAATAGAGGAATGTGAGACTGATAAATGTAAAAGTGACAGTAAGAACACACAGCTAGTATGTGGGATGAGAGAAAAACCTCAAATACCACCAAATGACACATTTTCAAATTCTAAAACACCACCACTATTTTCCCTATCTATCATCTAATCATTATTCATTATTTCTCTTTCCATTAGTAAGTTAATAAGGACAGCTGAACTTTGAAAGTATACGTTGGCCAAAGCCATCTCATGGTCCTCTTGCAACCTTAACAATGACCCTAGGTGCTAAATTTTTCAGATATCATGATTCTAATTTTCCTAGGAGACTGAGATCCATACTAATTAACTGATCAAATCACCAGTACTTGGTATTATTATTCAGTATTTCAGTCCTATATTTAGATATTTGTGGTTTTTTACCCATCAGCAGTCTTTTGGTTTCAAATGACAAAAATGTATATTGTAACCAAGAAGTGGATTTGTACCTTATGTAGCAAAATCAAGGGAAGGTCTTCTACTTCTTGCCTCTGCTTACCCTAGCTTGCCATTATCATCCTCTGTCACAAATTCCTCCAAGTGGAACATGGGCACTAGTACCTCTTATATTTCACAAACTATCATTCTCTGTCACAAATTCCTCCAAGTGGAACATGGGCACTAGTACCTCTTATATTTCACTACTACCCCTGTACACCCAAACACCCCCCAACACACACACACAAAAGGAGACTATTTTTCTATGGTTCCTGGGAACAACAAAGGATGTACTTTGCTCTACCCTAGCTCATATAACCACAGCTGGAACCAGAGCGATTGGATATCTTACCTGAAAAAGAGGAGAAGGAGGGCGAGAACACTGTCCTCTATACCTGGTCAGGTACTTCACAGTTTCCCCTCCCATTTCAGAAAAGGCAACTGAGGACCAAAGCCACTCAGTGATTTACTCAATGTCACACTGTTAGTAGCAGAAACATGACTAAGTCCAGTTCTCCTGAGTCTCACCACAATCTTCCTTCCTTCCTTTCTTCCTTCCTTCCTTCCCTCCTTCCTTCCTTCCTTCCTCCCTCCCTCCCTCTCTCTTTTTCTCTCTTTCTCTCTTTCTTTCTTTCAGACAGAGTCTTGCTCTGTCACCCAGGCTGGAGAGCAGTGGCATGAGCTCGGCTCACTGCAGCCTCTGCCTCCTGGGTTCCAGCGATTCTCCTGCCTCAGCCTACTGAGTAGCTGGGATTACAGGCGCATGCCACCACACCCAGCTAATTTTTGTATTTTTAGTAGAGATGGGGTATCACCATGTTGGCCAGGCTGGTCTCAAACTCCTGACCTCAGGTGATCGGCCTGCCTCAGCCTCCCAAAGTGCTGGGATTACAGGAGTGAGCCACCACGCCCGGCCCACAATATTTCTTAATGCTGTTACCTTACCAAAAGTTTTAGATAGGCCCTGTATTCAGAGTTTTGTGCATCCCATTCTTTCCAAAATAACAGCCAATTCTTTGGGAAGCATGGATGACTTTTCCAAGCACCATCATCGGTGGTTGATTAGGAGATTCCTTTTGAATTGGAAAGATGGAAATTGACTATCGTGGTCAAATGGTTTCCTGGTCTCCCTACCCTCTACCTCAATAGCATTTGTTCCCACAAGTGCTCTTTACTTGCAAATGTTGGACAATGTAGCACTCTCCAGCAGACAGACAGATTAACTATAATTAGCTATAATTTTCTTAATGATAAAACCCTTTGGGGGCTAATTTATACATCATCTGGTTTTGGCACTGGAATCCTTTCTAAACATTTCAAAGGGTGTGCTCACACTAACACAACACCTGAAGCAATGCTTTGCAAATATCTGGTATTCAGTAAGAGGATCTTTATATTGAAATAAATGCAAGTCACAGCTGTATGCATTGAGAAAACAAGCAGAAAATATTTATCAAGCACTGTCTGAATACTCAGACTAATTTTGTGAAAACTGAAGAAACATTATAAACCTTCCAGGTAGTTAGAAAAAAATTGACTGACTTATGAAGAATAATTCTAAGCTGAGTTCTGGAGTGCTTGGTACAGATGATGTGCACTGTGGGGAACGGCAAAGGAAGACTTTGAATTAGAGATGACTACAGTGAAGGATCTGAAGTGGACCTTTAATGAACAACTCAATAGATGGAGAAAGGGGAGCAGGGAATAAAGGATATTTCAAAGGGGCACATTACCAGCAATTGTGCTGAGGCATGGTGGCTCTTAATTATTTTGATCTGCTGCTGCTAACTTTATTGAGCATCTCTCATATGCAAGCGTTCTGAAGAATAAAAGGATGAGGGAGATTTCTATCTTCAAGAATCTCTCTCTTTGAATGCAGAGCTGACAAGAGAAACAAATACACAAAGCTGAAAAATACAAGATAAGAATAGGGTTTCACTGGCTGAGGTTCAGAATCACTGGGAAAGTCTTAATAAAACAGGTACCTGGGGCTCACCTAAAAGTTTCTAATTCAGTGAGACTGGTGCTAACCTAGAGTCTGGTTAGAAGGCTGGCCATATGAATATCCAGCTATGAATAGCATAGGAAGGCAACCTATGCTGGAAAGGAATGGAGGAAGGAATCAGACTCTATGTCTGACAGATATCTCAAAAAGTCAATGTCATTAGTTCAAATGGAGATAGAGATAGTAATGATGTAGTTGTCATGTAGTTAAGAGATGGGGCTGATTTTAAAGGGGGAGGACAATGAGAGATGTATTCAGATACATTGAAGCCTGAAGAAACCAAATTTTGGGGGTAATTATCACACAACTCAAACTCCTCAATATCTTTGTAGACAGAGTATTACTTAAGAAGAGGGAATTATTTAGTATTAAGCCCAAGAGGAAGAGAATAAGCCCCCCCCCGCAAAAAAAAACAAACAAACAAAAAAAGAGAGAGAGAGAATTCTTGCTAAAGTTGGATGGAGGCTCTGAAATGTTTAGTCCAAGCAGGAATCAATAAAGGCAATCATGTACAATCAACACTTATGTGTATTTAAGTCATGTGATTCAAGAGCTTAAAATAGAGTTGAACTAGACCAGATGGCAGCTTTCAGAGCAACAGCGTAGGTGCAAGAATGCTTTACTTAAAGGAGATTTCACTGAGGTGTTACTGGCAGACAGAGCATTTTACAGCAAGTGGGGCAGGATTCAGAGTAAATCAGAGCTGAAGGCAGAAGTGGGTGTAACATAAGCAAGGCTTTATGGAGAGGTATAAGTGCTTCTACTTATATATGTGCAGCCTCGAAGAGACAAAAAAAATCACTTGAAGATTTTTCTGTCAGGCTGAGCTCCTCTTTTCCCATTCACAGGCAATTTACTTCAAGCTGAATCTTGAAAAGAACATCTTGACATCCAGCAAGGGGGTTAACCTTTTAGGAAGCTTTTCAATATTTATACCTCAGCACACTTGATAAGTTTTCCCCCCTTCAGAATAAGTCCTGCTTATGTACTAAGGGCCTTTACAACACTGTCCTAACTCACACCTGCATGAAGCTCTATGTATTTACTTCTGCACTCCCCCGCTTTTGTTAGGGAAATTTCACCTTGCTTTGCCACCATTCCAAGGGTGGGAGATCTAAGCTAAAAGATTTTGATTGGAATTTCATCAAATAGATAGATCAGTTTGGGAAACATTGACATCTTATTAATGTTGAGTCCTCTAAGCCAAGAAAAGAGTAGAACTGCATGTATTTGGGTCCTTTTAAATTTCTGTCTGTAACGTTTTGCAGTTTTCAGTGTACAAGATCTGAAAACTTTCTGTCAAATTTATCAAGTACTTTTATATTTGATGCTTTTGTAAAGAATATGTTTTACTTCAATTGTTGATTGTGCATTTCTAGTATATTGAAATACAATGGATTTTGTAGGTTGGTTTTCGATGGTGCAAATTTCCTAAACTCAAGTCTTCCTAGTCTTTTGTAGATTCCATAGAATTTTCTAAATAGGAGATAATATCAACTTCAAATAAAGAAGATTTTCTTCTTTTTCAATTTGGATGCCTTTCATTTCTTCTTCTAACCAGTTGCACTGTCTAAAATCTCAAGTTTTATATTAAATAAAAATGATGGAAGTGGACATCCTTGCCTTCCTTCTGATCTTAGGTGGAAAGCAATCAGTCTTTCACCATTAGGTATAAAGCTAGTTGTTGGTTTTTTTATACTTACCCTATATCATATTGGGGAAGTACTTTCATACTCATAATTTCTAGATGTTCTATTTTCTTTGTAATAAGGAATAGATATTGAATTTGTTAAGTTCTACTTATGCATTTATCGAAATCATCCTGTTTTTGTTTTTAGCCTGCTAATGTGGTGAAATATATTAATTTTCAAATGTTAAACCCACCGTGAATGTCTTGCATAAACGCCATTTTATCATAGTGTATTATGCTTTTTAGGAGTTGTTGGATTAAATTTGCTAAAAATATGTAGAAAATTTTTGTAACTATGTGTGTGAGCATTTTTGCAATTATGTGTATAGTTTTCTTTTCTTGTAATGTCATTGCTGGTTTTAGTATCAGTGTAATATGGTATTAAATAACTTGTTAGCATTTATTTTCTCCTCTTTAATTTTTGGAAGAATTTATGTAGAATTTGTAGTATTGTTTACTTAAGAGTTTGGAACAATTAATAATGAAGCTATCTGGGCCTGGAGTTTTCTACATGGGCAACATAGGCTAAGAATATTATATATTTCTTCTTTAGCAAAGTTTGGTACTTTGTGTTTTACAAGAACTTTGTCCATTTCTTCTAAATTGTACAATATACTGGCATAAAATAGTTAATAATATTCCCTCTCTCATTTCTGATTTTAATAATTTGTATCTTTATTTTTTGATAATCAGTGTGACTAAAAGTATATCATTGTATTAATTTTTTCTAAGACTCAACTTTTGCTTATATTTTCTATATTTTTTTGTTTTTCATTTCATTGATTTCAGCTCTGATCTTTCTTTTTTTATTATTGTTTTCTTTGTTTTCTATCTCATTTTTTTCAGCTAGAAGCTGAGATCATTAATTTGAGACTCTTCTAATAAAGCATTTGACAATTTACATCTTCCTCAAAATACTGCTTTAGCTGTATTTAATAATTTTGATATGCTTTCCTTCAGTTTAAAATATTTTATAATTTTAAAAGTGCTGTATATTGTGGAGATATTTGTACACTTTCCATATATGTATTTTATCAATTTTGAATTTAATTCCACTTTAGTCAGAAAATAATCTGTGTAATTTATGCCTTTTAAATTTAATAAATCTTTAATAAATATTACTAAATTTAATATGCCCAGAATATTGCCTATTTTAATAAGTATTCTGTGTGTGCTTAAAATGGATATATATTATATTGCTGTTGGATAGATTGTTCTATAGATATCAATTATGTCCAAGTGGTTGATAATATTAATCAAATATTCTATAACAGTACTAATTTTCTCTCTGTTATTTATTCAGTTATTGAGAGATAAGCTTTGTGTTTTCATGGGGTGTTTAGATCATTTATGTTTAATTGTTATATAGTTAGATTCAAATTTAAAATCTTCTTATTGGTTTTATATTTGTCTCATCTGGTTTTTTGTCCAATATTTCCTCTTGTGTATCATTTTGAATTACATGAGTATTATTTATGATTCCATTTTATCTCCTTGGTTTGTTTCTTAGATACAACTATTTGGGGGTGTTTGTATGGTTGCTTTTAGGTCTATACATTATGATTATTACTCATTAGAGTTTACTTTTGAAGTAACTTCACATACAGTGTCAAAATCTTTGATAGTGTACTTTCATTTCTCCCTTCTAAGCATTTATTGAAGTGCTCTTACATCTTTTATTTTTACATAAGTTATAAACTCAAAAAGTATTATTATTTTTGCTTTAAACAGTCAAGTGTTTTTTCAGGAGTTTTAAACAATAAGAGAAAAAGTAATTGTATTTATACTCACAGTTACTATTTCCAGTGCCCTTCCATATTTCCTTCTGGTATCATTTTCCTACTTAGCCTGCAGAACTTGATTTTGTAATTCATGTAGTATATGTTTGCTGGTTTTGAACTTTTACAGCTATTGTATGTTTCAAAACAGTATTTCACAATCCTTTTTAAAAGTTACTTTTGTTGTAGTAGAATTCTAATTAGACTTTCATTGTTTTTGTTTGTTTTTTATAGTTCTTTAGTGACGCTTTGCCTTCTTCTGGCTTGCATTGTTTTGGGCAAGAAGTCTGCTATCATTCTTATGTTTGTTTCTCTGTACATAATTTTTCTGCCTTCTCTGGATATTTTTAAATATTTACCTTTATCTTTGTTTCTAAGCCATTTGACCACAATATGCCTTTCTCTAGTTTTCTTCATTTTTATTGTGCTTGGAGTTCATTGATATTATTCAATCTATTGGTATATAGTTTTTATATGTTTGGAAAATTTTCAGCCATTATTTATTCAAATATTTGTTCAGTCACTATTTGTCTTTCCTCTGTTAGGAGATTTTAATTATAATATGCCACTCACAGTTGTTCCACAGCTCACTGATGCTTTTGATTCTTTTTTATATTTACTTTCTCTATTTAATTTTGGAAAGTTTCTATTGCCACATTTTAACTTCATTACTTTTTTTCTTCTGCAATATCTAATCTGCTTTTAATTCCATCCATTGTATTTTGAGTTTCAGATGTTACTCTTTTCCTCTGCAGAAATTTGATTTGGGTCATTTTTAGATGATTTTCATATCTGCTTATAGGATTAATTGTTCCTCTTTGTTCTACCTTCTTGAACATATGGAATACATTTATAAAAGACTAAATTAACTTTCTACAAATTCAATCATCTCTGTCACCTCTGGGCCTGTTTGTATGGATTGATGTTTCTCCTCTTTATGCATAATATTTTCCAGCTTCATCCATGCCTGGTAATATTATTTTTTTCCAGATGTGAATTTTATAATACTTTGTGTGTATTATAAAATTTTTAGTAATACAGTGATATTTTAAAATTTCTATAAACATTCTTAAAATTTTTTCTGTGATGCAGTTAAGTTACTTAAGAACAGTTTGATCATTTCAGTTCTTGCTTTTAAGCTTTATTAGGCAAGAGTAGAGCAGCATTATCTCTAGAACTAATTTTGCCCCACTACTGAGGCAAAATTTTGTTGAGACCTCTACCTCACACCCTGTGAATAATGAGGTTTTTCTCTATGGCTAGAAGGAAAAAGAACTATCATCAGCTTGGTATCGGCTCCAGGAACTGCTATCTCTAATACTTCCATAGTAGTAGCTCTTTCTCTGGCCTTGGATAATTCCTTCATATGCCTGTACTGATCTCAACTCAGTTGAAGATTTGAGAGGGACGTTCAGCAGTTGTGGAACTGTGTACAGCTCTCACATTTCTGGTACTATGCCTTATAAACACTTGTCCTTCCTAGACTCCCGGTTGTATCAACTCTACTCAGAGTTCAGCAGACTCTACCTTCATTCCTACGCTTTTTTTTATGTCCTCAAAGCTTTCTGCAGACAATGAGCTGAATTATCATAAAGTTCACCATGTTTATTTCCCAACACACAGGAATCCTGTTCTTTGTTGCTTGGTTCCGAATGACTTGAAGTCTGAGATCTTCTTTTGGAATGTTGGTGTTCACAGCTATATATTTCCTTCTCAGAACTTTTTCTATGGTATCCTATAAGTTTTGGTATCTGTATTTTTATTGTCATTTGTCCCAAGGTATTTTATAATTTCCCTTGTAATTTCTTCTTTGACTCAGTGATGATTGTAGACTGTGTTCTTTAATTTCCACATATTGATGAATTTTCCAGTTTTCCCTGCATTATTGGTTTCTAGTTTTATTCCATTGTGATAAGAATTTTTGACCTGAAAAATATAAAGAATGTAACTACAGCATATAACTTCAAAATTTTTGGAGTTAAATAATCAATATTTAAAAAAAACACTAACAGCGAGAAGAAATAATATAGAAATTATGGCATAAATAGTAAAAATATATTTACATAAACAAATTAGTATTTAAAATAAATTTAAATAGACTGTTTTATAGTTAAGATGAGAGGAAGATCTATTTGTATGTGATTTAAAACAGACATTCACATATCATGTGGGCAAAGAGAAGGAGAAAGTTAAAGGAGAAAAGACTGTGTGGCAATAATATCAGATGATATAGATGCACAGGCAAAGTAAGAGAATTTATATATCATCAATTCACAAAGGAAGAAAAATATTCTAAACATCCATAAGGATAGTAACATAAACTCGAATATTAATAGAAGAAATATTAAAAACTGTGGTAGGCTATTTTAATGCAATACATTCTGTAATTAATAGATCAATCAAAAAGGATAGAGAGGATTTGAATAACACATTAGCAAGATTGATCTAAGGAGCATATATAGAACCACACACCCAGTAACCTCAGAAAACATGTATTTCTGAAGCACACGTTAACCACATACTTGGCTGTGAAGCAAGTTTCAACAAATTTGGAATTATTGATATAATAAAAACCACGTTCATTGCCACAATGCACTTAACTTACAAATCAATAAGAAAACTAAGTGGAAAAACCACATATATTTGAAAACTAAGAAACACACTTAAAATAAGTCAAGGATCCAAAAGGAATAATAATGAAGACTGTAAGATGTTTATCAGCTATCCGCATACCCTAAAATTATGAGATACAATTACTAATACCAATTAGTAGTTATTCCTTAGTACCCATGGAGGATTAGTTCCAGGACAACCCCTGACCCTTCATACCAAAATCTGTGGATGCTCAGATTCCTTATATAAAAAGTGTAATATTTGCATGTAATCTATGCATATCCTCCCAAATCCTTTAGATTATATCTAGATTACTTACAACACCTACTACAATATAAATGCTATAAAAATCACTGTTATGCTATCTTGTTTAGGGAATCACAAGAAAAAAAACCTGTACATGTTCAGTATAGACATGATTTTTTTTTCAAATATTTTTGATCCACAGTTGGTTAAATCCATAGATGTGGATCCCATGAGTAAGAAGGGCCAAATATGGAAATGTGTAGCCTTAAATGTTTATTTTCAAAAGAAAAAATACTAATAAGATAATCATCCATGTTAAAAAATATATATATTTCTAAAGAGAGTAAAAAAAGTAAATTTTTAAAAAACTTAGAAATTAATTAAATGGAAAACAATATACCAAGGATTATCTGAAAAGCTAAATAGTCATGTGTGTGTATTTTAAAAGACTAACAACATAGACACCTCTAAGGAGACCGAACAAAAAAGAACATATGCTCAAATAAATAATCTATCTTTTAAACAGTTGAAATGAAAAGTATTGTGAATATTAAACAATAAATAAGAGAATATTATGAACAGCTTTATTTCAATAAACTTAAAAATGGACAATTTTTTTAAAAAACCAAAGCTTCAAAATTGACTCAAAAAAAAAACAAGAAACAACCCATTGAGTAAAATAAAGCAGCATATAAAAATCTTCTTATAAAGAAATATCAGGCCAAAATGATTTACTAACACAGTGTTTCAGAGTAGAGAAAAACAGGAGAAAAGCACAAATTTGCTTTTATAATTTTTGTCTTGAAATATAGAAGATTTGCAAAAATAGTCCAGTGAGATCCCATATACCCTTCACCCAGCTTCCACAAATTTAACTTATCTTGCATGATATATTTATTAAATATTAAATCTGAGAAGTCAACGTTGCTAAAATTGTATTAACTAAACCAAAACTTTATTCAGATTTCACCAGTTCATACATTAATTTTTTTCTGTTTTAAAATTCAAAACAGGATAAAACTTTTCATTTAATTTTTATGTCTCCTCAGACTCCTCTGCTTTGACAGTTTTTTAGCCTTTTCCCCTTTTTCATGACCTTGGAACTTAAAGAGTATCTCTCACTTTTAATTTGTATGTTTCTCTTAAGTTATGGCTACTAAGGAAGAATACCAGAGGTAAAATGCCCTCCCCATCACATCATATCAGAGGGAACATGATATTAACAAGACATTACTCGATGATAAACTTGATCACGTGATTAGGGTGGTGTTTGCCACTGTGAAATTCTCTACTGTAAAGTTACATTATTTTTTAATTTTCTGATACTATTCATTAAAAGTCAATCACTAAATCCAGCCAACACACAATGGATGGAGAAATTAAACTCAACATCCCAAATGTAGGAATATCAAATAATTTGGGGTCATATGTTAAAATCACCCCTATAATTAATCAATATGTTTGGGGTGATACTTTGAGGCTGTACTTCTACCGTACTTCCTTAAAATTTCACCCACTAATTTTAGCAGTGTATTTTCCCTGCAATAGTTATTATTTTGGAACTTAAATAATATTTTTCTATTTCCCTCATTCCTGTAAGGGGTTATTTAAGGAAGATTTGTCCATTCTCATATCCATATATTTGTTCATTCTAATATATATATATATATATTCTCATGTACATGTTTGTGTATTCATATTGTGGATATTTATTTTATACTTTGGGTTATATCCAATGTAATCATTTTTGTTGTTGTTTCTCAAATTTTTTCTGCTTTGGCACTTGGCATCACTTTCAGTTTATTGGATTCTAGAATATCATTTTGCTATGCCTCAATATATTTGTGTGTTTGTGTGTACTTTCTTATTTTCATTACAAGATACACCCAGCCAGACACATCTGTACTTTTCTTATTCCAGACCTAGAATCAGTCATTTCTCCAAGCAGCCGTGGTTCTCATTGTTGAAGAATGGTATTAGACACCAAGAACAGGGTGCTAAGTGTGCTTGGGCTATTGTGTCACTGCTTCTAGGAAATAAATGTATATATACTAACCTATGCATACACACATATCTATGCTCATTTCTATATGTATCTATGCATTATATATATAGTGTGTGTGTATATACAGACACATCTATATATATGTATATACACACACATATAATGCATAGATATCATGTGTATATACAGACACATTTCTATATTTATATATATATATATGTATATACACACACATGACATCTCCAACTCTGATCCATCAGAGTAGAGTTCATTTCAGTCTTCTCAGTTGCTTTTATCTCTGACAGTGACAAATGTGGCTCTCATTATCTACACTTTAGTTATTTGTTCAGCTATAGCATCTATGTAAAATAGTTTAAGAATTGCTAAGCCATACCCCATACTCCTGTAAGAAAGAAAGTTACCAATTAGAGGACATTGTTTCTGTATAGTTCTTTTTCTCTTTAGTCTTACAGTATTTAGTCAAATCATTATTTTTCAAAGTTACTTAGATCAGTTCTCACCTACCACCTTCAGTGATGTTATGCTATATATTTTGTAATACAGTTGAATTCATTTGTCACAGACTATATTTCATCTTAGAATCTCTGGACAATCCAGATAATTATTTTTCAATGTTAAAAAATTCAATCTTTGATATCTACTGCTTTATGGAATTTGATAAGTGCTTATAGCTATATATCCACCATTATGGGGAAAAATGTTTCATCACCTTAAAATGTCTTATACAGTCCCTTTTTAGTCAGTTCTCTTTTACCAAACACTCATCTATTTTCTGGCCCTATAATATTTTTCCTTTTTCCAGAATGTCATATAAGTAAATAATAAAGTACTGATCTTTTGCATTTGTCTTAGTCCATGTAATGAAATACATTTAAAATTCATTCATATTATACAAATCAGTTGGTTGTTCCATTTAATTGCTGAGTAGTATTTAATTTTATGGATGTTAACACATTTGTTTAAAACTTCATCTGTTGAAAAACATTTGGGTTGTTTCCAGTTTTGGCAATTATGAATAAAGCTGCTATAACATTAACATACAGGTTTTTGTATGAACATACATAAGTTTCCAATTCACTTCAAAAAATATCTAAGAATATGATCATTAGGTAACACAATAAGTGTATGTTTGCAACCAACTACCAAACTGTTTAACAAAGTGGATGTGTAATATTGCATTATCATTAGCAATTGAGAGTTTTTCTTGTGCAATCATTTGGTATATGTGATAGTTAATTTTGTGTGTCAACTTGACTGGGCCATAGGATGCCCAGAAAACTGATTAAACCTTATTTATGGTTGCATTTGTAAAAGTGTTTCCTGAAAAGATTCTCACTTGGATTGACGGCTGAGTAAAACAAATGGCCCTCTGCAATGTAGATGAGCATCAGACACTCCACTGAGAGACTGAATAAACAAAAAGGTGGAGAAAGGTTGAATTCATTCTCTGCTTGACTGTTTGAGTTGGTACATCAATCATCTCCCACACTTGGCACTCCTGGTTTTCAGGCCTTTCTTCAGACTCAGACTGAAAACACCACCAGCTCTCCAGCTCTCAGACCTTCGAACTACACAGCTGGCATTCCTGGGTCTCCAAATAAGAGACAGCATATCATGGGACTTCTCAGACTCCATAATAAAGCAAGTCAATACTTTATAGTAAATCTCTACCATTTATCAACTATGCATCTGTCTATCTGTTATCTATATATCCTATTGCTTCTGTTTCTCTGAAGACCCTGACTAATACAAACTTTGATAATGGGAGTGGTTCTAGAGGAACAATATTTTAAGAATAAGTTTCTGAATTGTTTCTAGGGTTTCTTAAATTTTCTCTTTAATAAAATTAGATTTAAAAATAGAATGACTTTATTTCCAGTAGGAAAGAGAGAACTGATGTGAATATGCAATAAAGATAAACAAAATATCACTATTGGATGCACCTAATCAAGGACACTATGTATACGACACTTTCAAACATTTTGGGGAAATTAGAGAATATAATATGGTGACTGATTATGCCTAAAGTTCTTGGACAAAGTAGCAAAAGAAATAGATGACCTCAGGTATTTGAATTCTCAGTGCAAGGGTCACATAAATGTCCTGAAGACTTCTATGTGTGCCATGAAGGAGACACTTATTTCCCATAGCCTCAGAGCCAAGATTGCTGAAAATCAGGTGCAGAATCTCATTTTGCAACTGCTTGAGTTAAAACTCAAGTTGAACTTCCAGCTTTGTAAGGTATCCACTGTTACAGTGAGTGTATGAATTGGGAAAGAATGAGACCCTATAAGTTGGAATGAGGATGTGTGGAACAACCCTAATGAAGCTGGGGACCTTGAGCTCCTAGATACTGATGAGTCTTCTTTTGCAGTGAAAGAGGTCTCTCAATCCCCAGTGAAAGAGGCTTCTCTACCCCCAAAGGCAGCAGCACTCCCATCCCGATCATGTCTGCTTTTTCACCTACATTTCAGAGGATTAACCCTGCATTTTTTGAGAAGACTGTAATCCCCACCACCACCTCCTGAGACAGTTATGAAGCAAGGAAATGCTTATTTTCATCAGGATCCACCTTTACCACCCCTCTTTACTTTACAGAAAAACCCTAAGGATGAGGTACAGAGTGTGAGCCATGAGGAAGTATATTACACTCCAAAATAACTACTTGAGTTTTCTAATTTATACAAACAGAAATATGGGTACATGTGTAGGAATGGATGCTAAAAGTGTGGGCCAATGGTTGAAGGAATGTAAAGTTGGATCAGGCTTAATTTATTGGTATGGGCTCAGTAAATACTGAGAAATTTTGCATTTAATTTTGTAGCTCTGGAGCTAGAAAGGACTCTAAGTTTGGTTGGTTTGCTGGACAAAAAGGTTACCAACATTGAGTAAGTTGGAAATGCATGCTTTGCCTTGTTTTGATGGAGAGAAAGGGATTCAAAGGCTTTTAGGGAGATTGGAAGGTTAAATCTATTCACCCACACTGGGAAGGTCAGGTAGACATGCCTTTCACCAAAATTATAAGAAATAAATTTTAGAGAGAAGCCTGGCAATCATGAAGAGATCTGTAATTGCTCTTCCCTATAGGCTAGACCTTACAGTGGGAATTGGGAACAGCAGTCACTGAACTGAAAAACCTAAATGCAATGGGAGTTCCTGGATCATGGGGTGGTAGAAGCCAATGGGTGGCATTCAACTGCTGAAGGCAAGATAGGCATGCTTATTATAATGGGCAGCAGAGTCAAAACAGCAATCCTAACAGTCTAACTCTTGCAGACTTATGGCTTTAGCTAGTTGGTCACAGTTTCCCTAGAAGTAAAACATATAGGAAGTCTACTAAATTTTTACATGATCTGTATAAGGACAAAATTCCTAAGTCAAATGAATAAAAGTCTAACCTCAATCATAAACACAGAGTTACAGCCCATCAATCAAGTTCCAGAATTGAGCCAGTTTACAGATCCAGAACCCCATGAATGAAGGAGAGGCCTGTCCCCTTAAGGAGGTATCTACCACACCACCAAAATTGTGTACTGTTAACACATGTCCCAGCCTTCTTCAAAGAAGCCTATAACCTTTTACCAGGATAACTATGCATTCAGGAATAGGAAACGACTGGACTTTTCAGGGACTACTGGACACAGGCTCTGCTTTGACACTAATTCCTGGAGATCCAAAGCATGACTATGGCCCATCAGAGGAGGAGCTTATGGAGGTCAGATGATTAATGGAGTTTTAATTCAGGTCTATCTGACAGTGGCCCCAATAGGTCCTCAAGCCCATCCTGTGGTTATTTCCCCAGTTCTGGAATGTGTAATGAAAATAGATACACTCAGCAGTTAACAGAATCCCCACGTTGGTTTCCTGAACTGTGGAGGGAGGGCTATTCTGGTAGGAATTATTAAATGGAAATAATTAGAATTGTCTCTGCCCAGGAAAATAGTAACCAAAGGCAATACCACATTCCTCGAAGAAATGCAGTGATCTCTGCCACCATCAAAGACTTTAAGGATGCAGGAGTAATAATTCCCACCACATCCCCATTCAACTGGCCTATCTGGGCTGTGCAGAAGACAGAGGGACCTTGGAGAATTGCAGTGGATCATTGTAAGCTTAACTAGGCAGTAATTCCAATTGCAGCCACTGTACCAGATGTGATTTTGGTACTAAATTAATAGTCTTTATTTCTTACAAAAGTTTTACATTTACATGTATTTATTTATTTATTTATTTATTTAGGACAGAGAAACTATTCCATATGATACTACAATGACAAATATGACATTATAATTGTCAAATTATTGTGCTGGAAGTTAAAATCTATTCATCCACACTGGGAAGTTCTCAATGTGTGTATCTCATCAAAGTCATGTAATCCACACATGGACTATTTGTATGTATATGCAATGACTACGACACATATGCATATATAAATATATATACCTATATATGTCTATATATTCCATGTATATAAGTATACATGTATATATAGGTATATATAGGCATATATGTATATATAGCCATATATACATATATATTGTGCATATAGGCAATTATGTGAATATATATACACATATATAGTCAATGTATATAGGTATATATGTATGTATACATAAATACATATACAGCATAATTAATGAATATAGCTATATAATACATATATATTATATATTTATTTCACAATTATAATATCATATCCAACACTGCAGTATCTTACAGAATAGTTTCACTTCCCCAAAGGCAATAGCAGTGAAGTAAAGTCTAGCACAAGGTGAGACAAAGGTCTTGACTAAATATCCCAATACCCACATAAAACTGAGAGCAGAAGAAAAGAATGTGAAAGAAAGGTCATATGCCAAGAAATTCTTAGAGAATATTGTATTTGCCATAAAATGGAAAATTTCTCCTCACTACCAATAAGATCTGAGCTCACCAGTATAGTGTTCTTCATCTATATATGACTTTTACTCATTGTTGAGATATGTTATTAGTATTTCAAGCTAGAAGGACAAAATATTTTAGACAAAACAGAAACAGAAAAGAGTTCAGGGAAATATAATGGTTATCTTTCAAAAATGTATTAGGAACATTCAAAAACAGGAAGAACCATTATTTTTCTATGTTAACTGAAACAATTAGAAATGGAATATAGAACACAAAGAAATAGATATAGAATTTGGGAGTTTTATAATTATTTTATTTTCCTACAAAATAAGTAGTTGCTTTTGATGAATTACAGTCCTGTCACTAACCAAGCCAAAGGAAATTTAATAAGCACTGCCCAGTCTTCTGGCAATTCATTCGAAATCTGAGGACCTGCATTTTCCTATGTGAGCATGATTGTGTATATGTGTGTACACATTTGAAAAAGTGTGCTTGTGTATATAGGAAAAAATATGTGTGTATGAGTGTGTATGTGAATAATTGCCCACAAGCATACTTCTGATTGCATTTCCATAAATTGCATTGCACTTTTATAATATATAAGAACACTTTGATTTTCAGGACCTGTGCTAGGAAATTTGTGAAGTATGGCAAGACTTTATTTTATAGAATTTGAGGACTGTTTCACCAAACAATTTTCCTCTTTTTTTCTTCAAGACATTTTTCTCAAAAATTCTTATCCCTACTCTTGCAAAATTTTCATAG
Organism: Homo sapiens; assembly: GCF_000001405.40. NCBI lineage: Eukaryota > Metazoa > Chordata > Mammalia > Primates > Hominidae > Homo > Homo sapiens. The sequence goes on along the minus strand of NC_000018.10, from coordinate 38,161,391 downwards.
AAAGAATTTGAATGTAACATGTTGGCTTTGTAGTACAGACTTAGGGCCATGTGTTTTCTCCTCCAGGCAAATCTGTTCAGATCTCTTACATCTAATTGAAAAATTAAAATGTCTGCCCTATCCCAAAAAGTTCTACCAATCCATGATTAGGTACAGAATGGGAATTATAGAGACTTATTGTGGCATCTCTCAAATCCCAATATCAAGCAGATATTTAGAAAATTATAACAGATTTGTAGAGACAGAATTGAAAGTGTTGTGAGTTTTCTTGTCCAAATGCTGTAGACTTAGAAGAGCAGCATTTGAAATGTGAATGGGTCTCTCTAATTCCCTTGTCACAATCACATCCCAATGCATGTGGGCAGGCATGTTGCCAATGAGTAATGGCTAATTTTTCTCCCTTAAACATCTCTCCTCTAAGTCACAGGACTGCCCTGCTAATAGATGCAACTTTCTAAAGCAAGTGGAAACATTGTGGGGGAAATGAATAAACAGCCTCTTTATTAGCAAGTCTTGATGGGATTTTTTTTCCATTTCTCCAATCTTCATATGTGAATTATTAGGAGAGAAATGAGTCTTGTAAAGTGAAAATTAAACTCAAAGTCAAAAGAAATCAGAGTCAGGCAGAGTGGTCCTCAGAGAAAAAGAACAAAGGCAAGAAAGACAAAGAGAAAAGGGCAAAGTGAAGGAAAGGCAGGGAAATAGAAGAAAACATGGGAGGCCCCAGATGGCCATAGGCAAGAATGAAAATGGCATTCTGCATGAGCTTCTCATCTTGGGAGACCCAGAGATAGAAAAGAGTGTATTGGGAAGACTCTGTGCCAAGGAAGCTATTTTGTGATGTAAGATTCCTCTGAGGTTTGTTATCCAAATGAAATTATAGCACACAATCATCTTTTATCATACAGTGGCCAAAGGCTAGAAACACGCACTTCTTAAAAGCCAAGATCAGTTCCAAAAACTGGAAGATGATATTGTCCAATTACTATTTGGAGTATTTGTCTAGGAATCCTTTGAAGTCACCCATCCTCTCATAATCCATTTTATTTCTTCTTAGCTTCCAACCTCTATGAATGCCTTATGGACAAGGACTACGTCAGGTTCCCCTTTCCTTATGGCCTCTTCTTGCATAAAGTTAGGAAAATATTTCTCTGCATTTAAAGGTCAAAGTTGAGAAAGGTAAAATCATCCTAATATGGACAACTAAGTCCTGTGAAGGAAAAAAGTATGGTTGTTTTGTTTCAAATTATTGGCAAGATATGAATAAACATAAAAGAGAGAGAAGGGTTTGAAATGGTATGGCACATCCATCAATTAACTGATAGAACTAATTACTCCATGCATAGCATAGAAAAAAAATACAAGTGGACCAAAGGCCCGTGGGTAAATTAGCTAATAGCAGGGCCACACATTAATCTAAATAGAAGCATTAATATATCCAACATTTCTGGGTATGACAAACAAGACATGTAGACCATCTGACTGCAATTCCTCTGGAGCCTATGTTGTCAACAGCTCACTGGCCTGAAGAGGACGAACTGTTGCAAGGAATCTTGTGTCTCTATGATTGGAGAGAAAGTAAAAGACAAATCTGAGGCTGGTATGAGTATGTTGTGTATGGAAGTGAAGATTTTGTGTGCTAGATGTGGATGGGGGTTAGAAAAGAGGAATTCCTCCTTGTCTAGGTCTTTTAGTGGGATACAGTACTGGAAATTTACTACTTCCAAGACTTCTCTTTTCATAATTCTGAATTTAAAGGCACCAGATCCTTCGTTTAATGTGTGTGTGTGTGTGTGTGTGTGTGTGTGTGTGTGTGGCAGTTAACATTTTACCAAGGGGCTCTACCTGTGGTTATCAGTCCATCTACTACATGTTTTGTAATTGATTTCCTTCACTTGAGCCTGGCTGGTATTCCTTTAAATACACAGAGATCTACAGCTTGATCTTCTGATCCTTATCACTCATGTTAGCAAATCCTATGATTTTCCCATCACGCTTTCCCCTGTGGCAGCAGAATCATCAGGGGTGAAATAGCAATGATGTCAATAGTCACCTTGAAGTCCCCAAACTGGTGTGCATATCACAAGGCCAGGATATGCCGCTTAAGTAGAAGATTCAAGTGATATCAACCATCCAGCTATTCAGGGCTGAATCAAAGCAACATTGCAACGCTAAAGTGAAGTTGCTAGCTTTTCTAAATTATTTCTTATAATGTACCAAATATCATGTTTGGTGCCAGAAATTCTCATGTTTATATATCCAGTTTTTACCTTGTTTCAGAAGATTTACAGATTCTTTCAGTGATGGGCACACAACTCAGAAACACTTGAATAGATGAAAGGCAGAACTCTTGGTAATTTCCAAATGAAAAGAAGGCTGCCATCCAGGGCCACACAAGATATGGCATCTAGGAACAGAGGAACAGAAAGCTGGAACTGTCTAAGGAGGCTTACGTATGGTAAGTATGGTGGGGTTAGTTAGGTTTCACTGACTTCCAGTTGAGTACTTTCAGTAATTCTCTGGGCCCACTTGAGAAAGGGCTGTTCCTGGATCCCCTAGATATCTGGGGAGCCTCTTGGAGCTGGGTATGTGTGTATTATATCCCAGGAATGCTACAACCTAATAAGGAAAGTATTGAGGTATTTACTTGAGGTAGGGAGTTAGCAAACTTCCTGCAAAGAGGAATTGAGGATTTTTAGCTATGACTTCAAAACTTGGTTAAGTTAGAACTTATGAGATATGTTATGGACTTCTCCCCGAACTCCAGTCTTAAATATTTAATTGCCTTCTAGACATTTCCAGTTGCCTTCTAGGCACCTTATACTCAAAATGTCAAAAACTAAATTTCTCATCTTCCTTACCCAGACCTGCTCTTTCCAAAGGCTCTTCCTGGATCTTAGTTGCTATAAGATTGACTTTTACCTTGTGAAGTATCAAGACTTTCACCTATCTCTATGTCTGTTTCCAAACTTTCTCACCTGTGTCATGCAGTGAGATGACAGTTGAGGTGGCAGTTTGCTATACAGTGAGATGGCATGGCTGGCAGCTTGACCTTCTCTAATATGATGTAGATAAGTGTTGAAGCAACAGAAAACAGGACTCAGACAGGTGGACCAGCTGTGACTTCTGATTTACAGTGAGTGCCATTATAAGTTTTTATAGTATGTCACTAGCTTAGTCTTAGACAATGGTGTTAATCTTGAGTGACAAGTCATGAAGGATAAGCAGCTGTAACTCTGAAGTTTCCATCACACATTTGACAGGGCTTGAAATCTTGACCTGAGATAAAACACCAGCTGCTCGTTCACTGACTATTTAATACCAAATAGTGCAACATAGAGCACTGAAGAAATGTCAAAAGTTCTTCAATACATATCTCATTAATACTAGCCAATTGGTACTATTAATTTTAGAAAATAAAAAGTATCTAGTTGTCTCCGTGAAAGGAAAAAAGGAATTAGTGTAAATTAGTTTTTCGTCCATAGTTTTTCATAGGGATAGTTTCTTGTTCACTCTATTGTGAACTCTACTCCACAACAGCTCTCCACCAACCTTGTTAATTAACTTTATATGTATGGATAACAAACTTAAACATGGTAATAAGATTTTTGGAATTGTCCTTCTTTATAGAATCATAAAACTGAAGGACTAAAAAGAACCTTAGAGTTAATCTGGCCTAAAATATCATTTAATCATGAGGTAACAAGAGCTCAGTAAGGAGTTCTTTACTTTACTTTAAGGGCCACACTGCTCTTAAATGAAAGAGGTAGAATTTCAACTCATGTCTTCCAACTGTGAGTCAGGGTTCTTTCTATTCATCACACTATCCTCTCTTTCTATGTTGATTCAACCATTTAAATGAAATTGCAGGAAAAATAAAGTAAATAAGTGAAATTATTTTCTTTGTATTATCTTTATACTTATAAATAAATAGGCAACTTCATGGTGAACATCGGGGTGTAATTTAAAGAAAAAGGATGAGGAAGCAACTGCATTCAGAAATGATATCCTTATATAGACCGAAAAAGTAAATAGTAATAAATTTTAGGAGGTGAAAAATGGTTAACTCAACATGGAGAATATTCTACATAATTTTGTAAGCACAGGATACTTTAGAAAATGCATTTAGGGCCCAGAGCCTGGGAACAGTGTGAAAATTTACAAAAGGATTCGTAGTTTGACACTTAGAAAATACCTTTCTGTTTCTTCATTAAAAATGTGATGTTTTGATAATTAAAAATATATCTTTCTGAAGAAAGGAGGCAGGGCATCCAGAGAAGGCCTTGCTATCATCTTAATTGTCAACAAAAACAAAGCTCCAAATGAGCTCAGTTGCTGCTTTCAAATTTTAAGTTTCTTTAAAAGCCAATTTGTCAATACAAGATCCAAATCCAATCCCTGACTTGGGCCCCTTCACCACATAAACTCACTGTCTATTTAAAATAACTTTCATTTGCTCCTGGTTCCTGTTGTGGGGAGATGAGCTACGTATGCCTGTTCTGGGACCAGCTGGTCCCCATGTGGCCATCCTGCTGACACACTTCCTTGACCAATGGCTGAGAAGAAGCACCACAGACATCCACATACAGAACAGTGAGTCCATTAAAAGGACAGAGACCAATTATTCTCATTAGCCAACAAGGACAGAGTAGGAGCTAATGGGGCTTCTGTTTCAACAGAGGGAGAATTTAGGTTAATTATTAGGAAAATCCTTGTAACTATTGGAACAGTTAGGACTCTGGAAACAAGGTACCCAGGGAGGAAGCAAAATCACCTTCATTTACAGATACTTCATGTAAGATTAATTCACCATTTATCAAAGATTATTAAATCAGAACCACTAAAAAAATACAAAAAAGTATATACCCTGACCCGAGAAGACTATCTGGCACCTCAAGGTTTGTCATTAACAGAATGTCAGGCATTAGTTTAGGCATTAGGGAGAAAACAGAATAGTAAATGAAATCAATAAAAAATCACTGCCCTAAAAAAGTTTATGATCTAATGAGGGTGGGGGAAGGCAATGGAGTCCACAATAAATACATAAGTAAACTAAATATCAATAACATGTTAAATAGCTATAAATTCTGAGGAGAAAACTAAAGCCAGAAATAGGGACAGGGGATGACTAAGAGGAGTGAACATTTTAGTTAAGGTTGGCAAATGAAAACTTCCTGAGAATATGGCATTTTAGTGAAAATGTGAAGAAAGTAAGGAAGGTAGCTACAGGAATCATGGAGCTGGGATGTTCCAGGCAGAGGGGATAGCAAACAACAGGCCTTGAAGTAGAGGCCTGATTGTTACATTAAAGAAAAGGCAAAGATTTTTTAAATTCAGATTCGAGTGTGGAAGGAGGAAGTAATGAAGATCAGGATGAAAGGGTAGCTGGATGCTGATGGAGCAGATCACACAGGCTTGGCACTGCCTGGCAATACCTCAGCTTTTATGCTGAGAGTGAGAAACAGGGAAGTGAGGTGATCCCACTTACAGTTCAGTAAGATCACTTGGCTGTTGTTTGGAATACACTAAAAAGGAGCAAAAATGCAGAAAAAAAATCGTCAAGGCTTTTACAGTAACTCAAGTAAAAGGAAAAATAAACCAAGATGGCTCCAGTGGAGATAATTTGGAGAAGTCAAATTCTGGATGTATTTTCAAAGTACAGTGAACAGAATTTGATGAAGACTGAAGAGAACGTACTGAGCGAGGTATGAAAGAAGGGAGCTCAAGAGTGGCATCATGATAGTGTAATCCCAAGAGAAATTATTTAAAATTAATGCAAAATGGTATACAAGTCTTACTGGTATATAAGTCCAACAGAGGAATTAAATGGAAACTAAAGATTAAAGAGAGACATAAAAAAATCTACAATCACAGCTGCAAATTTTAGTATCTGTCTCTCAGTAAGTATTAGATAAAATATTAGTGATGGCATACAGGACCAAAACAATACTATCAATGATCTTAATTTAATAAATACTTAAAAAACACTAAACCAGACAAAAAAAGAATATACATTCTTTTCAAGATCAGAAAAAAATAAACAAATAACATGTTAAGCAACAAAAAAGAGAAAGTGCCAGGAAATACCAAAAGCCTTAAATATTACAGAGTATATTCTTTTAACACAGTAAAAATAATTTTAAAATTAATGGAAAAATACACAGAAAGCTACAAATATTTATTAATTAAAAAACACATTTCTAAATAACCTATGAAGAGTAGGTAGAAAGACGGAAAAGAAATCAAAAGGAAAATCAGAAAATTATTTTCGAAATGAACAGTAGTAAAAATGCAGCATATCAGAATCCACAGGATGCAGCTAACACAGGTCTTAGAAAAGCAAAGAAGACAAAGTTAATTATCTCAATCTCAAACTTAAACTAAGGGAGTATATGAAAAGCTATTTAATCTCAAAGGATAAGAAAGACAATAATAAGATAAAAGCAGGATTCTAAAAAAAAGAAAACAGACAAAATACAGACAATTTAAAAGACAAAAACCTAGTTATTGTAAAGGATTAATAAAATAAAAACTAGCAAGACAGATTAAGAAAAAAAGAAAATGTGGCACATATACACCATGGAATACTATGCAGCAATAAAAAAGGATGAGTTCATGTCCTTTGTAGGGACATGGATGAAGCTGGAAACTACCATTCTCAGCAAACTATTGCAAGGACAAAAAACCAAACACCGCATGTTCTCACTCATAGGTGGGAATTGAACAATGAGAACACCTGGACACAGGAAGGGGAACATCACACCTGGGGCCTATTGTGGGGTGGGGGGAGGGGGGAGGGATAGCATTAGGAGATATACCTAATGTAAATGACGATTTAATGGGTGCAGCACACCAACATGGCACATGTATACATATGTAACAAACCTGCACGTTGTGCACATGTACCCTAAAACTTAAAGTATAATAAAAAATAATAAATAAATAATAAAAATTAAAAATTAAAATTAAAAAAAGAAAAAAGAAAACATAAATTGTTAACATCAATGATTACAACAAGTGCTAGAAATATCAAAAAGGTAATAAAATATATGAGTGATATGCCAATAAACATGATAATTTGGATAAAATAAGAATATTCTGAAAGGATAACTTACCAAATAAAATTTTTGAATTTTCTATATTTATCAAAACAGTGAATTTAACAAATATTACACACATACACACATGCATGCATGTGCGCATGCACACGCGCACACACACACACACACACACACACACACATCCAGGTCCCATCATTTTACTTGAGAATTCTACCAAACATGTATTTAAGAGAAATTTCTTTTAAAAAATAGGGTAGGAATAAAAACATTCCATCCCATTTTATAAAGGCAACATAATTGTGATTCCAATATCTGAGAAAGACATTACAAAAAATTGGAATATTTAAGACAGTGTTTTGTGTTTCTCCTTATAGAAATTGTTCATCTCCCTGGTTAGCTGTATTCCTCAGTATTGTGTGTGTGTGTGTGTGTGTGGCAATTGTGAATGTAATTGCATTCCTGATTTGGCTGTCAGCTTGACCGTTGTTGGTGCATAAGAATGCTAGTGATTTTTGCACATTGATTTTGTATCCTGACACTTTGCTGAAGTTGTTTATCAGCTGAAGGAGTTTTTAGGCTGAGATTATGGGGTTTTCTAGATTTAGGATTATGTCATCTGCAAACAGGGATAGTTTGACATCCTCTCTTCCTATTTGGATGCCTTTTATTTCTTTTTCTTGCCTGATTGCCCTGGCCAGGACTTCCAATAGGATGTTGAATAGGAGTGGTGAGAGAGAACATCCTTGTCTTGTGCCAGTTTTCAAGGGAGATGCTTTCAGCTTTTGCCCATTCAGTATGATGTTGGCTGTGGGTTTGTCATAAATGGCTCTTATTATTTTGAGGTATGTTTCTTCAATACCTAGTTTATTAAGAGTTTTTATCATGAAAAGTTGGGTGTTGAATTTCATTGAAAGCCTTTTCTGCATCTATTGAGATAATCATGTGGTTTTGTAAAGACTAACAGACCTAAAGAGTTCTGTTTATGTGCATATTTGCATATGTTACTGATTTACTGACTTGCATATGTTAAACCAACCTTGTATCCCAGGGATAAAGCCTACTTGATCATGGTAGATAAGCTTTTTGATGTGCTGCTGGATTTGGTTTGCTAGTATCTTGAGGATTTTTCCATCCATGTTCATCAAGGATATTGGCCTGAAGTTTTCTTTTTTGTTGTTGTTGTGTCTCTGCCAGGTTTTGGTATCAAAATGATGCTGGCCTCATAGAATGAGTTAGGGAAGAGTCCCTCCTCCTCAATTATTTGGAATCGTTTCAGCAGGAATAGCAGCTCTTCTTTGTACATCTGGTAGAATTCAGCTGTGAATTTTTCTGGTCCTGAGCTTTTTTAGATTAGTAGGCTATTTATTACTGACTCAGTTTCAGAGCTTATTATTAGCCTGTTCAGGGACTTGATTTCTTCCTGGTTCAGTCTTGGGAGGGTGCATGTATCCAGGAATTTATCCATTTCTTCCATATTTTACAGTTTATGCGCATAGAGGTGTTCATAATAATCTCTGATGGTTATTTGTATTTCTGTGGGGTCAGGGATAATATCCCCCTTATTATATCTGATTGTAGTTATTTGAATCTTCTCTCTTTTCATTTTTATTAGTCTAGATAATGGTCTATTAATTTTTTCAAAAAATCAGCTCCTGGATTAATTGATCTTTCCAATCTATTTTGTGTGTCTTAATTTCCTTCAGTTCAGCTCTGATTTTGGTTATTTCTTGTCTTCTGCTAGCTTTGGGATTGGTTTGCTCTTGTTTCTCTAGTTCTTTTATTTGCGATATTAGTTATTAAATTGAGATCTTTCTAACTTTTTGATGTGGGCATTCAGTGCTATAAATTTCCCTCTTAACATTGCCTTAGCTGTGTCCCAGAGATACTGGTATGTTGTATCTTTGTTCTCATTAGTTTCAAAGAACTTCTTGATTTCTGCCTTAATTTTATTATTTACTGAAAAGTCATTTAGGAGAAGGTTGTTCAATTTCCATGTAATTGTATGGTTATGAGTAAATTTCTTTTTTTTCTTTTTTTCTTTTTTGTTTTTTGTTTTTTGATGGAGTCTCTCTCTGTTGCCCAGACTGGAGTGCAGTGGGGCGACCTCAGCTCGCTGCAAGCTCCGCCTCCCAAGTTCATGCCATTCTCCTGCCTCAGCCTCCTGAGTAGCTGGGAATACAGGCACCCGCCACCACGCTCAGCTAATTTTTTGTATTTTTAATAGAGACAGCGTTTCACTGTGTTAGCCAGGATGGTCTCGATCTCCTGACATCGTGACCCACCCGCCTCAGCCTCCCAAAGTGCTGGGATTATAGGTGTGAGTCACCACATCCCACCGGTTATGAGTAAATTTCTCGAGTCTTGATTTCTAATTTGATTGCACTGCAGTCCAGGAGATTGTTTGTTATGATTTCAGTTCTGTTACATTTGCTGAGGAATGTTTTACTACTGATTATGTGATGAATTTTACAGACTATGCCATGTGGTGATGAGAAGAATGCATACTCTGTTGTTTTGGGGTGGAGAGTTCTGTAGATGTCTATCAGGTCCATTTGATCCAGTGATGAGTTCAAGTCCTGAATATCTTTTTTAATTTTCTGTCTTGGTGATCTCTCTAATATTGTCAGTGAGGTGTTTAAATCTCCCACTATTATTGTGCAGGAGTCTAAGTCTCTTTGAAGGTCTCTAAGAGTTCCTGTGTTGGGTGCACCTATATTAAAGACAGACATCTCTTAAGAATATAGACATAAAAAATTTTCAATAAAATAATATCAGACTTAATTTAGCAATATATTATATACCTTGAACAGGCAAAGTCGATTCCAGGAATGCAATATTGATTTAATATTTGTCCAAAGACAAAATTGCAACAAATTTAGTTTAAGATCTTAATTGGCTTTTATTTATTATTGTAGAGGTAGGCAACACCTCATTCAGACACAATGAGTCTTTTTATATGCCAAGCAGAGGAACCTGGCTTTATAGACAAAAAATGGTGGAGGAAAGAAGAAACAGAGAACAAAAGCAAACTGATGATTTCAAAGTTACTTTTCATGTAAAGATTAAAGCAGAGGTTTGGCGCAGTGGCTCACGTCTGTAATCCCAGCACTTTGGGAGGCCGAGGCAGGCAGATCACGAGGTCAGGAGATCGAGACCATCCTGGCTAACACAGTGAAACCCCATCTCTACTAAAAATACAAAAAATTAGCCGGGCGTGATGATGGGCACCTGTAGTCCCAGCTACTCAGGAGGCTGAGGCAGGAGAATGGTGTGAACACGGGAGGTGGAGCTAGCAGTGAGCCGAGATCGCACCACTGCACTCTAGCCTGGGCAACAGAGCAAGACTCTGTCTCAAAAAAAAAAAAAAAAAAAAAAAAGAAAAGAAAGAAAGATTAAAGTAGAGAAGACTAACTAATCATGCAGGCTAAAACTGGCCTGTTTAGAGTTTTGGCTATTCTGTCCTTCTCCTTCTCCCTCTCCTTCTCTCTCTCTCTCTCCCCTGATTGTTTAGAAGTTCAAATAAACAACTTATTTCTGGTGTGGTGGCATGGGACTTCATCATGAGTGACTCCATTTTGCTTTGATCTATTGGACCCAGTGCAGGAGGTCACTCCAAATGAATGACCTCCTATAAACTTTATTTAACATATTTTAAAACTGATTAATGTATTTTTATTTCAACACAATAAAGAAGAGAACTTACATGAGCAATTTAATATTGTGGAAATGACTTTTGACAAATTAAACACACATTCATATTTTTAAAAAATTCTAAGCAAACTGGAATTTGAGGGGAACTTTCTAAAATTGCTGAAGTGAAACTGCAAAATCATACAGGCTCGATCATGAAGTGGTAAACTCCTCCCCTGTAAGATCAAAAACAAGGGTGCAATTTTTATTTCCATCACCTCTATTTAGCATTATACTAGAGTTCCTGGCCAATGTAATAAGGTAAGAAAGATGAATTAAAGTTGTGCAATCTGGAAAGAGAGACAAAAACTGCCTTTACTTGCATATTTTATAATTTTTATAAAGAAAATTCTAAAGCGGAAACAAAAAATATTAGAAAGAATACATGAGTTGCAGGGGCTTAGGTTACATAATTAATGTACAAGTATTAATTATATTTCTATTACTAGCAGCAGTAATTGGGATATGAGATAAAAATGTGATTTATATTAGCATTAAAAAACCTCGAAAAACTTTAACTCTGTTCAAAAAAATTTTTTAAAAAACCTAGAAGAATTTTAACTGTTCAAAACTGCTATACTGCAAGGTACAAAACACTGAGAGTAATTAGGAAGATCTAAATTGATAGAGAAATCTATCATGTTCACAGACTGAAAGACTATGATTTAAGAATTTATAATTTTAAGATATCCAATTTTTCCAAAATTGACCTATAAATTTAAAGTAATCTCAATTATAATCACAGCAGGCTTTGTTATAGAGGTTTACAAGTTAATTCTATACTACATGTGAAAAGACAAAGGGCCTAGAATAGCCAAAATAATTTTGATAAAGAAAAAAAAGAAAATTTAAACCCCTTAAAATCAAGAGTTAATATAAAATATTCAAGACGATATGGAATTGGCATAAATATACATGCATAGATCAACTGATTTTCAACCAAGTTTCCAAAGCAATTGATGGCAAAAAAAGGTAAGTCAAATTGTCCTGCAGCACACATATGAAATAGAAAAATAAATCTCAATCTCCATGTCAAAAAACACAAACATAAAGACCTAAACATAGAAACTAAAACAACAAACGATTTCAAAGAAGGTATAGAATAATGTTTGTGTCCTGGGGATAGGAAAAGGCTTCTTAGATAGGATCTGGACAGCAAAAACATAAATGAAAAAAATTAAAAGGTCTGAGAAATTTAACTTCATTAAAGTTAAGCAACTTTACTCATCAAAAGGCAATTAGAGAAAATGAATATGTACAAATAAGGAGAAAATAGTGCCAAAACATTTCTCTTTGCAGATGTATGATTCATAGGGTTCATAGAGAAGGTCTGTATTTAGACATACAGCTGAAAGTCAATAGTGAAGAGATAGTAAAACATGAGATTGGTTTAAATTACTTGGGGAATTAGTGTAGATAGAGAATAGTGGAGGTCCAAGAGCAGAATTCTACTAATTGGAGAAAAGGAGTGGAGGCAAATACAGGTGGAAATGCTTTAGTCAAAGAGTAGGAAACAAATCAGGCGGGTATGGAATCCCAAAAGACATACAAAAAAGTGCTTAGATTCTAGGAAAGGATCTAAATACATGTCCTATACACAAGAATTTATGTTTTCACATGTGAAACTAAATTAGCACACATGGAAGGACATTCATACACAGAAAATTAAATATGGGGTAAGCCATAATATAAGAAATTCCAGAAGATGTTAAATGAGTACCAGATAAATGATTCAAAAAGTCAGGAATGCAGACTTGCAGAAAAATTAGAGTTTACTGTGTATGGGAGTTGCCAGCAAAGACTTAATAGAGTAAGTCTTTACATTGAGAAAACATTGAGAAAGAGCCTTCAAGGTAGGGGAATGGTGAGCAAATAAAGCCCATGTTATGCACAAAGATATTTTGGCGATGAGAATGCCAATAATGCAATATGTAAATAGAACAGGGACAAAAGATGAGACTATAAAAATAAGAGAATGGCCTAGATTTTTGAGAATTCTAATTGTCCAGCTAAGTATTTTGATTTCTCCCATGAAGCATTTTTAGGGTCCCTAAACCTTGGAGTCATCAGTAATAGCTGACCCTCAAGAAAAGGTTTGGCAGACACCATTCTAGACCTGTCAGCCCTAACAGTGTGAAGAAGGGCTACTAGACTGCTAAATTCCTACCTATTGATTTTTTTTTACATCAATGCGGGAAAGGTTTCATTATAGAACTTTATAAGCCAGGTGAAAGAGGGCCACATTTCTATTGCCCTGTTTTTCCTAAAACAAAGAAAACAACTATTAGAGTTTTACAATTTTCTCTTTTCTCCCTTCACTGCAAGAATCTGAAGCGCCCTCAAGTAGAGTTGCTCTGTGAAAGTTTCTGTCATTCTTGTACTGAGACTTGATGAGAAGGAGCTGGAAATACAATGCACTGGAGAGTGTTCTGTCTTGTGTCATACACCCAAGAAATAGCAATCCTGTGTTCCACAGGCTACTACTCCCATGTAGAAGACACTTTCTCTCTCCCTCCTTCCTCAAATTCTTCCTTCCAACACTACCAACATAAATATCCCTCCTTTGACCACTTTGAAAATTTCCATTTTATTATTGAAATCATTATGGGCATATACAGCCCTTTAAATGCTTTGCGATTTTTATCTTTCTAATGGAATGTTTATTACCTTGACGGAAATGACCTACTCCATCATATATGTTTCTATTTTCTAAGGCTTTGCCCAGGCCTGAATAGCGAACAGTTGCTGGAAACATCTTTGTCAAATTGACAGAATTAAACTTGAGTCAAGAAAGTTTCACACAGGAGGAGGTCTTAACAAATAAAGAAGCTGAGCAGCAGCTGTTAGAAGTTATAACGTTAGCATCGATCTGAAGGTTATTTGGAAGCTTCTTTCATTTTCCTGCTAATGGCATTAGGGGCTCTGCAGCAGATAACAGGCTCTGACATCAAGACCTTAATCCAGGCACTCTGCAGAAGCCCTGACCTTCAAGGAGTGCAGACATTGCTCAGCACTGAGAGAGTGGAGGGTCAGAGATTGAGAGTCATCAAACTATACACAACTGCAAAAAACAAAGTTGCTCACACTTTACTTTGGAAAAGGTCCATATTCAAGCCAGCCCAGGAAGAGGCACATCTGCAGGGAGTTCCTTATCAACTTGTCTTGTTGACACCCTGGATAATATCCTGAAATTTAACTGGAGATCTAGGGTGTGTTAAAATACTGGGCCAGCCCTTCCAAGAGAAGAATGGAATGGGGATTCTGAGACTACATCCATTCCTTCCATTCTCACTCCACTCCTATTTCCATAGACCTCTGGTAGAAGCTAAATTATTGAAATTTAGCTATCTTTTATGAGTGATTATCTTATAGCCATGTTCCCCTTTGGGTTTTCTTTACACAGGCCAAATTCTCAGACTACAGTGGTCTGGTTTTATGCCATCTGTCCTTCCAAATAACAGTAGCTCAGAGCAGAAGAAAAGAAAGTTTTACAAATATGATTTCATTTGAGGTCTCATGTGCTACAAACTTTCGTTATCTTTGTCATGATCCACCATTCTCTATTAGGCCTGCAATGTTGCGCTTTTGAGTCTATAATGCCTACAAATTTGAGAAATATTTTCAGGAAAGTGGCATTAATATGTATGATTTCTAAGAAACTGAGAGGGTGGAAGAAGTGGAAGTCTAATATTATTGAATATCTATTATAGTCAAGGAATGGGTGTTTTATATATTTGCATTTATTTATTTTGGTTCAGGGAGTGGTTTACATCAAATGTAACTTTTTTCCACCAAGCAGTATTTCAATGAATAAGGTTTGGTAAAATCATCACAAAGGTCCATTTGTATTATATGAATTCTCTCTCTCTTTCTTTCTCTCTCTCTCTCTCTCTCTCTCTCTCTCACACACACACACACACACACACACACATTCATTCATCCTGTCATATGTATACAAAATAATTTACATTAGCTTGGACCGTTGAGTTTGGTAAATGCACCTATACTGAAGGGGAAAAAAGCAATTTCAGTTATGGATTTCATAGACTTTCTCATTAAAGTTACATGTTTGAAGAAGGTTTATATATATGCATATGTGTGTATATATAATTTTACAAACATTAAATGAAATCACTGTTTTTTATAAAATATTCAAACCATGCCTAGTATACAATGAAAACAAAAACAGAAAAACTCACTTTCATTCATAACCACCTCCCCACCACTCCACTGCCACCCTGGGGAAGACAAGACTAGGTTTGTACACAACCACAGACTTGCTGGCATAGCTTCCATATGCCTATGTAAAAGGCTCCTTAAAGTGCTCAGGGGAAAGGGATGACTAGGATGGAACTTGAAGGAGTCTGGGAACTGCAAATTTCAAACTGGCCTTCCAGATTTCTATTTAATTATTTTTGTCAAGTTGATAGAATATATTTCATGTAACATTATGTTAGCTTGATTTATAACTTTTAAATATTTTGACATATGATATAAATTCCTCCATTTGTGCTTTTATATCAGACCCTGCCAATGTTTAGGGGAGGCCCTATATATAAAATATAAATTGAAATTTTGTTTAGATACTTCCAATTTACTTTTAAAAAGACTTTACTTTTTTCGTTTTTGGCCATAATGGAGCAGCAGGAACTGTATCTAATTTCTGATGTTAAACAAGATAACTGGAAAAAAAATATATAAAGCAACACTTTTCCAGACATTAAAAAACTAGCAGTGCAGAACTCTAATCCCTTAGAGAAGGGAATCAAAGAGTTGAGCCCAACATTGTCCTGGCTTTGTTCTATGGAGGGGAACATTCCATACTGGAGTGAAGGAAAGCTTCCAAGCAGAACATTGCTGTCTTATTGAGTTCAGGAGATAGAGATTAAAGTTCAGGGAATCATAGGTGGCCAGAAATTGCAGGGCAGAGCTCCAGAATGAAAGAAACCATGGAGAAAAACAACTTTAAAATGTGCATATTTTTCCTTGAGCTGAATAATAATACATGCTGGATATGGTGAACAATAGGTCAGGTAAGCCGTCTAGATTCCGTAAATCACGCATACCAGGAATTGCTTCAGTTCCTACCAAAAATTGTTCAGCCAAAGAAGATAACCATTACTTATGGCATTTAACAGGAACACCAAGAGGGTCATACCTCAATAGCCAGCTAAACACTCCCAGATTAAAGGCTACTCTAGACCTTGACTAACTAAGCAAGATTCAAAAACATCGAAATGAACTAAACAATTATTTAACTATCTAACAGAATAAAGAGCAAAGTTTTCTATAGAAGGAAAACAAATTTCATACACTTAATACTCTAAACATCACGTTACCAGGATAAAACAAATTAGTAAACAGAAAGATTCAGAAATAATTTTTTGAGAGATGGAATTAGTAGGGAAGAACTTTAAAATAGCTATTTTTTAAAAAAAATGAATGAGGAGAGAATAAAATGGAACATATAGAGATGTAGATACACTATCTGAAATGAAAATCTCACAGGATTTTTTGGACAGTAAACCATTTCTACAGAAGAAATGTCAGTGGACTTAAAGACAGTGATAGAAATTATTCAAAATGAAATAACACAGAAAAAAATTTAAAAAACAAACATGAACAGAGTATCTTTGACCTGTGGGACAATATTAAGAGGTCTAATATATTAGTAATTGAAGTTCCATAAGGAATAAGGAACATAGAAATTATTTGAAGAAATAATGGTACATTTTTTAATTTTATAAAAATTATGAACTCAGAGACCATTTACTTCATTAAAATGTAAGCAGGATAAACACAAAGAAAAATCACACCAAGACACAACATAATTAAATCTCTGTAAATGAAAAACAAAGATAAAGTTTTAAAAGCATCCAGAAGGGGGAAAACAGAAAGAGACAAAGAGAATATAATCACAGACTTTGCATAAAAAATTATGCAAGACAGAAGTCAATGGAATAATGTGTTCAAAGTGCTGATCCTGTCAACCTATAATTTGCCCAAATATTAAGGCAAATTAAAGACATTTTTAGAAAAACAAAAAAATGAGAAAAATTATTGCAAACAAAACTGGCCTGCCTGAAAAAAATAACAGAAGTTTTTAAAGCAAAAATAAAATAATTCCAACTGGAAAGTATGAGCACATATGAAGGTCCTTATTTCTATGTCTTCTTGATGTTTACAAATATTTGACTATTTAAAGAAAAAGTAGTGGAAATATTTCTAGGTCTTATATATGTAAGTAATTTTTATGAAAATAGCACAAAGGAGAAGAGAAATAAAAGTATGTTGTAGTTAAAACTTATATGTGAAATGGTAAAATAGCTCAAATAATAATAATTTAAAAGTGTATATTATTTATTCCAGAGCAGGATCAGCAAACTTATTCTGTGAAAGGCCAGGCAGCAAATATTTTAGGCTTTGTGAGCCATATAGTTTCTGTTGCAGCTATTCAGTGCTAATGTTGTAGCATGAAACAGCTATGCCCAGTACGTAAACAAAGGTGCATTACTGTGTTTTCATAAACTTTATATAACAGCTGGCTAGTTTTTGTCCATGGGTTATAATTTTTTCAACCTTACTCTAAAATTAAAGTGACGTGATGTTTTTAATAACCTAATTTTGTACATAAAATGTAATCTTTAAAACATTAGAAAGAAAGTGGGAAAAGGGGGGAAAGAACAAAAACAGATGAAATAAACAATATGTTGATAGACTTAACACAACCAAATTAGTAACTTCATTTAAAGGAAACCATCTAAATTCTTCAAATAAAAGAAAAATGTAAGTTTGGCTACAAATGTAAGACAGTACTATACATTTTCTATAAGAAACCCACATTAATTATAAAGACACACTGGGCTATATTAATATGAGACAAGTTTGATTTCAAAACAAGAAATAATGCCAGGAATAAAGAAGAATATTGTTAATGATAAAAGTGTCAGTTCAACAAGATACCACAATTTTAACATGTATACATACAATAACAGATCTTCAAAACGCATGAAGAAAAAAACTAACAAAACTGAAAGCAAAAATAGAAAATTTAAGAATTATATCTAAAGCTTCAATATTTTTTGTCAATAACTGATAGAATAAACAGAAAATCCATTGAAGATAGGAAGGACTTTAACTCTGTGACAATCTTTGCAAATTTGAACTTTATGGAGCATTCCAACCAACAGCAGAATACACATTATATTCCTGTGCCCATTAACATTTAATAATATATACCACGTGTGTTGGGTGACAAAACAAGCCTTGATATATTTAAAATATTTAAATCATATAGAGAATTTTTTTCTGACACAATGGAATTTAATTAGAAATTAAGAAATCAGAAAAAAATAAAATAAATATCAAGATATTATGACATCAAATAAAACACTCATACATAAACCATAGCAAACAAAGAAACCATATAGAAAATTGGAATATGTTATGAAGTAAACAAAATAAATATTTGTAAGATGCACCTTAAGTAGATATTAAATATGTAATTTTAAATACTTATGCCAAAAGGCAATAAAGTCCAAAAATGATTTAAGCTTCCATCTTAGGAAGCAAAAAAAGAAAGAGCAATGTAACTATAAGACAAATTAAAGGAAAAAACAATAAGCAGAAATCAATGACTTATCAACTAAAAACATAAAAAAGACAAGCAATAAAATTTAGAGTTTTTAAAAAGTTAATAAAATTATAAAGCTTTGTCAAGTTTGATCAAGAGTAAACAGAAAAAAGATGCAAATTATCAATGTCAATAATAAGAGTTTATCATTACAGATTCTATAGATACTAAATAAGTATTATGAACAATTTTATATTCATAATTTTACAAATTTAGATTAAATGGCCAAAATAGTTGAAAAATAAAAATCACTAAAACTAAACAAATAAAAAGTAGAAGTATTTCTCTATCCATTGAAGAAGTTAAATTATTAATTTCAAACACACACAAAAAAAAAGAAAAAGGAAAAAAAAACACCTTTCCCACAGATAATTCTAGGCTCAAATAGCCCCACTAGTAAGTTCTATCATATATTTAAGAATAAAATAATTCTAATCCTATTCACCTCTTTCAGAAATATAAGTTGAAGGAACATTTTTTAACACGTTTTTTGAGACCAACATTACCCTGTTCCAGAGAGGGGAAAGAGAGAGAGAAAATAAGATAAAAGAAGGGAGAAAGAAAGGAAGGACAATAGTTGACAAAATATTAGCAAATAAAATCCAACATCATATAAAAATATAATATTTAAAATGGATTTTAACATAGGTAAGCAAGATTGGGTGAATATTCAAAAATTGATCAATATAATTTATCTTAATTATAGAATATTTGTGATCCTCCCAATAGATTCTGAAAAGCATATGATAAAATTCAACATCCATTCATAATAAAATATTTTAGCAAATAATAAATGGAAAGTAACTTCCTTAATCTAATGCATAGACATCAGTGGAACATCCATAGGTAACAACAAATTAATGATAAAAACCTGAATATTTTCCCCTAAGATCCGAATAAGTCAAGTATATTCGCTCTCTTTATTTTAATGTAATATTGTACTGGTAGTTCTATAAATAATTAAAGAAAATAAACAGCATAAAGTTTAGAAAAACTATTAAAATAGACTTCATTCATGAACAGCATGATCATTTGTGTAGAAACACTAACAAATCAATAAGAAAAATTTCTAAAAGTAAGGAAATTAAACAGAGTTTGGAACAAAAGGTCAATATAAGCATAGCACGCATATCCCATATTCTTGGAATAGTAGGGTCAGAAGACACAATACCTTTAAGACCAGAATACTTCTGAAATTGATCTATAGATCCAATGCAACTGCTAGCAAAATGACAACTGGCCTTTTTCTTGTCTTTTGAGGAAAAGTGAAAAGAAATTAACCAGCTAGTCTAACATTAGCATGAGGATGCATGAAATTCAAAACAGCCAAATCAATCTCGAAAAAAGAACAAAGTTGGAAGATTCACACTTTCCAATTCCAATAGTTAACACTAAATTATGGTACTCATGATAATGTAATACTAGGATAAAGATAGGAGAGACACAGATGAATGGAATAGAATTGAGAGTCTGTAAAAAAAAAAAAACCTTACATTTATAAATGCATATTAATAGAGACAAATGCACATAATAATTGAAGATTTCAACACTCCTCACCCAGCAATAGACAGAACTGGTAAACAAAAAACATATCAACAAGGATTAAAAAAAAATTGAATAATACCATCAACTAACCAGAACAATTTGACATTTACATAGTACTCTATCAACAATAGAATATACATGAAACATTCCCCATGATAAGTTATATTTTGGGTCATAAACTTTAACATGTTTAAATAAACTGAAATCATACAAAGTATATTTTCTGACCATAATGAAAAGAAATAACAGGTCAATGACAGAAAACATGAACATCTCCAAATAATTGAAACGTAGAAAACATGGTTATAAATTATTGATACTTCCAGGGAAACTAGAAAACTTTTTGAACACAAATGAAAATACAACATATCTAAATTAGTATGATACAGCTAAGGCATGGCTTAGGGGGAATTACATAACATCAAATACTTCTGTTAGAAAACAGTTTCTTTGAATCAATAATCTAAGCTTACACCTCAAAAGACTATAAAAAGAAGAGCAAAATAAACCTAAAGAAACTATAAAAGGAAGAAAAAATAAGTCCGAAACAAACAGAAGGAAAAAAATAACAACTAGAAACTGAAAGCAATTACATAAAAACCAGAAAAACAATAAAGAAAATTAATGAAAACAAAAGCTGGTTCCTTGAAGAGATCAAATGAATTAATGCACCTCTAGTAAGAAAGCAAAAGTAGAGAAGAAACAAATTACCAATGCCAGGAATGAAAGGGGGAAATCATAGAGACATCCTTTAATAGGAGAATGGCTAAATAATCTGTTTGTCCATATAGTGGCATACCACACAACAACAGAATGAAATAAATCTATTTCTGTGTTAAAATTCAAAGAAATGCCCATCAGAAAAAAAATTCAATTTTGCTGAGACAATTTTAAAAACTAATTTACATTCTACAAAAATATTTTACCATTTTTACAGTTCATTTTCAAAGATAAATTAATATTTATTTCCTCAAATTCTCAATTATTATTTTGCCTTAAAATGTTATATATCCAATTATCACATATCTTTTAATTTTTATTTTTGTATTAAATGTAAAATCAGGCACTTGATATATCTATTCTTTATTTGGATTTCTTTTTTGTGACTGTACTTAAATTGTTAGCTCTCTTCTTTCCAAATTGTATTATTTTTTCTTTAATGCATCAAATTATTCAGTGATTTTCAACATCTGTCTTTATATCTCATTTAAGGTGGACTTCTTTGTTTCAATGTTAAACAATTTTCTACCATATCACTAAAAATTTTAAATGTTCCTGTAATCACATTATTTTTTACACTTTGACTTATTATCTATAAGGCATGCATAAATATGGAAACTTACTTTCTGTTTTCCAAATACATTTCCAAATATCCCAAACATTTTTTTTCTCTGTCTACTATTTCTATACTGATTTAAAATATCAGCTATAACTAGGTACATTTCCACAATAATATGAATAAATTTATTTGTTTTTTTCCTCCATTCATCTATCTTACAACAATATCAATTGTTTTAATTACTAACATTTTTAATATGTGTTAATATCTGGAACACTACTCATGTTATACTTTCTGGAAAATATGTTAAATAGACAGACATTTTCTGTACCATATGTACTGGAGAATTTACTTGGTAAATTTATTTTAAAATGTTGGTTACCATTAAAATGGATTGTTCTGCTTGAAAGTATCAAATGTGTTATTTAATTTGGGAAAATGGATATTAGCACCCACATCTTCTCATCTGGGAGCATAAAATGACTATTTGTAGTTTTTAAAGCCCTTCAGTGAAGATTTAAAATGTTTGTAATATGTGTTTTATAATTTTAATATAATTATTTCTATGTGTTTTTTCTTTTACTTGTTTGCATGTTTTCACAATTAGGGGTTTAAACACAATGAAATCTCTTGTGTATTGAAGAGTTGTTGGCACCACCATTGGTTTCCCGCTCCCCCAGTCAAGAGGGAAGCCCTAACACTCCATCCCTTGCCTACTGAGGTCCAAGCAGCTCTGTTGACTAATGCTGATATTTTCAGAGGATGTGTTATTTGAGTTACATGGTCCTTCTAGGCTCATGCTTTTTTCCAGATCACTAACAACTTTCTACATTCATTCATCTTCCCAGACACTTCCCAGCTTTTCTTTCTCACTGATCTATTATCAAAAATACCTTCTATCTCCCTATTACAGAAGCTATCATTATGGCAATTGCTATTTTTATACCTCCTCACACTGTTATAAAGATGTAATGATGACATTATCTTGCTCTTTCTAATGTCATTAATAACTCATAGCTATCATACTAATCATTAATTACTACAAATTTCATAGTATTTCACACTGAGCCAGGACACCTAGTTCTATAACTGCAGCTTTAATTGGGAACTGGAACAAGAAGTAGATCAAAGTGGAATTTAAAACGTGGGGAAGTTTTCCTGGCAGAAATGTGATTGCAGCAAAACTGCAATTGTGATCTGGGTATGTGGATGGAGAGGGGAACCAGAGAATGAGGGAGGAGATACCTGTTTACGGTCTTCTGTCCAGATATCTTCCTCAAGCCAGCCCCTGTTTACTCAGAGCAATCAGGAATCTGACCCCAGATAAAGTCAGCCTGGCCCTTGCCTTCCGGATACACACCTGAATTGGTCTTGCAAACCCAAACACATTTTATAACAACATTCTCTTCCTTAAAAGCCTTTGTGAAGGTCATGGCCTCTAATTCCCACATGCTGAGCTCAGTCCACTTCTACAATCCTGTATCCGACGTTTGCCTGTCCTATGCCTCTATCCCACACAGCTCTCTCATTTCCCCACAAAAGCCCTTGTTCATTACCACAGCTACACTTTCACTCATGCTGTTCTTGACTTCCCCACTGTCTCTTCTGAATCTCTCCAAGGCCAGGACAGGTTCCATGTTCTCTGTAAAATCTTTGTCATCATCCGAAGCTGTAATGCTCCGCAGATCATATACAGAACTCTCCATTAAAAGCAATGATTTGACAGGGAGCAAACACATCTTTTCTAAGTGCATGTTTCTTGTTGCTTCTGTGAGGTTTACACTCAATGAGGGCAGGGACCATGCATCAGTTTTGCCCTGTACACATGAGAAGCATGATAAATTATACAAGTCATATGAAACAGCATGCGTAAAAGATGGATGAAGAGAATATTTGCCAAAGGGTTATCATGGACAGCATTTTCTATTAAAAAATAATAAGCACTTGATAGATTCTAGTAGTAAGTGTTATGCTCGCAATAAATAAGTATTGAACATCTACTCTATGCCAAATACTATTCTAAATATAGTTTTAAACCACAAACATTTCTTATCCTTGTGGAGTTCACATTGTTCTTCTATTAATACTCATGGTGTTAATAACTACAGTAATAACAATAGTAAAAATAACAATGAAAGGTCTCATTTGTTCCATGCTGCGTATATTTTTCCAACATTTATTCACAGCTATGTCATAAAAACACTAGGAGGTGATTATTATCATGATTTTCTACAAAATGAGAAACATTAGGAGGAGAATAGGCAAGTCACTTTTCTCTGGGCACTCCTTGGTACATCTAAACATTATTATAATGGTTCTAAAACATCAGTGGGTATCTGAGTCAGCTATGGTCCTTGCTAAAAATGCCAAAGTCTGGGCTATAGCTCTCAAGATTCTCCTTCAGTTGGTCTAGAGTGAGGAGTGAGGCTAAAAGGAGAAGCACATATTAATAGATACCAATGGTTTGATTAAAAGGTATTTGTGTTTGTTATCTCAAGATTGTGAGATTATTAAATGGAGATAGTGGAGTCACAGCGTGTCCCTGAAGAGTGACGTTGCCATAAAGTGATAATTGCGGTAGATTGGAAATCATAGCTGCAAGGTTTTGAAGCTCTTCCCAGTAAGAGAGGAAATCCATTTACCCAGCCCTGGCCTTGGCCTGGCCTTTGGACTTGCTTTGTCCAAACAGATGGGGTGAAATGAAGTTGTGTGAGCTCTGGAATCAGGCACGTAAGAAGCACCAACTTCCATCTTGAGTTGATTTTTGTATACATGTAAGGATGAGGTCCATTTTTAATCTTCTGTATGTGGCTAGCCAGTTATCCCAGCACTATTTATTTAATAGGGAGTCTTTTTCCCACTGTTTGTTTTTGTCAGCTTTGTTGGAGATTAGATGGTCATAGATGTGTGGCCTTATTTCTGGGTTCTCTATTCTGTAGCTTTGGTCTATGTGCCTGTTTTTGGACCAGTACCATGCTGTTTTGGTTACTGTATAGAATAGTTTGAAGTTGGGTAATGTGATGCCTTCAGCTGTGTTCTTTTTGCTTAGGATTGCCTTGGCTATTCAGGCTCTTTTTTTTGGTTCCATATGAATTTTAAAATAGTTTTTTCTAGTTATTTGACAAATGTCATTGGTAGTTTAATAGGAATAGCATAGAATCTGTACATTGTTCGGAGCAGTATGGCCATTTTAATGATATTAATTTAACCTATCTATGAGAATGGAATGTTTTTCCATTTGTTTGTGTTTTCTTTGATTTCTTTGAGCAGTGTTTTGTAACTCTCCTTGTAGAGATCTTTCACCTCCCTGGGTAGCTGTATTCCTAGGTATTTTATTCATTTTTTGTGGCAACTGTGAATGGGATTGCTCCTGGCTTGGCTATGCTTGGTGTATAGGAATGCTAGTGGTTTTTATACATTTGTTTTTTTTACCCTGAGACTTCACTGAAGTTGATTATCAGCTTAAGGAGCTTTGGGGCTGAGACTCTTTGGTTTCCTAATACAGGATCATGTTGTCTGCAAACAAGGATAGCTTGACTTCCTCTATTCCTATTTGGGTTCCTTTTTATTTCTTTCGCTTGCCTGACCACCCTGGCCAGGACTTCCAATACTATGTTGAATAAGAGTGGTGACAGAGGACATCCTTTTTTGTGCTGGTTTTCAAGGGAAATTCTTCCAGCTTTTGCCCATTAGTTGGCTGCGGGTTTGTCATAGATGATGGCTCTCATTATTTTGAGGAATGTTCCTTTAATATCCAGTTTACTGGGATTTTTTAACATGAAGGGATGCTGAATTTTATCAAGAGCCTTTTCTGCATCTATCGAGATAATCCTGTGGTTTTTGTCTTTAGTTCTGTTTATGTGATGAATCACTTTATTGATTTGCATATGTTGAACCAACCTTGCATCCCAGGGATGAAACCTACTTGATCATGGTAGATTAGCTTTTTGATGTGCTGCTTGAATCAGTTTGCAAGTATTCTGTTGAGGATTTTTACATCAGTGTTCATCAAGGATAATGTCCTGAAGTTTTCCTTTTGTGCTGTGTCTCTGCCAGGTTTTGGATTCAGGATGATGCTTGCTTCATAGAATGAGTTAAGGAGGAGTCCCTCCTCCTCAATTGTTTAGAATATTTTCAGTAGGAATGGTATCAGCTCTTCTTTGTATGTCTGGTAGAATTTGGCTGTGAACCCATCTGGTCCTTGGGTTTTGTGGCTTGGTATGCTATTTATTCCTAATTCAATTTCAGAGCTCATTATTGGTCTGTTCAGAGAATCAATTTCCTAGTTTAGTCTTAGAAAGATGTGTGTGTCCAGGAATTTATCCATCTCTCCTAGGATTTCAAGTCTGTGTGTACAGAGGTTTTTGTAGTAGTCTCTGATGGTTATTTTTATTTCTATGAGGTGGATTAAAGACTTAAATGTAAAACCCCAAACTATAAAAGCTCTGAAAGACAACCTTAGCCATACCATTTTGGACATAGGAATGGACAAATATTTTATGACAAAGATGTCAAAAGCGATCACAACAAGAGCAAAAACTGACAAATGGGATCTAATTAAATTTAAGAGTTTCTGCACAGCAAAATAAACTAGCAACAGAGAAAACATGTAACCTACAAAATGGGAGAAAATATTTGCAAACTATGCATCTGACAAAGTTCTAATATTCAACATCTATAGAGAACTTAAACACATTTACAAGAGAAAAACAAACAACCCCATTAAAAAGTGGGCAAAGGGCCGGGCACGGTGGCTCATGCCTGTAATCCCAGCACTTTGGGAGGCCAAGGCAGGCAGATCCTGGCTAACATGGCGAAACCCCGTCTCTACTAAAAATAACAAAAAATTAGCCAGGTGTGGTGGCGGGTGCCTGTAGTCCTAGCTACGCTGAGGCGCAAGAATGGCATGAACCCAGGAGGTGGAGCTTGCAGTGAGCCAAGATTGCACCACTGGACTCCAGCCTGGGCGACAGAGCGAGACTCCATCCAAATAAATAAATAAATAAATAAATAAATGTGGGCAAAGAACATGAACAGACACTTTCAAAAGAAGACATGCATGAGGCCAAGAAGCATATGAAAAAAAGCTCAACATCACTGATCATTAGAGAAATGCAAATCAAAACCACAGATACCATCTCACACCAGTCACAATGGCTATTATTAAAAATTCAAAAAAATAACAGATGCTGGAGATGTTGTAGAGAAAAGGGAATGCTTATACATTGTTGGTGGGAAGGTAAATTAGTTCAACCATTATGGAAAGCAGGACGGCGATTCCTCAGAGAGCTATAACAGAACCATCATGTGACCCAGCAATCCCATTACTGGGTATATACCAAGAGGAATATAAATCATTCTACCATAAAGGCACATGCACACAAATGTTCACTGCAGCACTATTCATAATAGCAAAGATACGAAATCAACATAAATGACCATTAATGACAGATTGGATAAAGAAAACATGGTTCATATATACCATGGAATACCATGGAACCATAAAAAAGAATGAGACCATGTCTTTTGCGGGAACATGGATGGGGCTGGAGGCCTTTATCCTTAGCAAACGAATACAGAAACAGAAAACCAAATACTGCATGTTCTCACTTATAAGTGGGTGCTAAATGATGAGACTACATGGACACATAGAGGGGAAGAACACACACTGGGGCCTACTTGAGGCTAGAAGGTGGGAGGAGGGAAAAGAACAGGAAAAAATAACTAGTGGGTATAAGGTTTAGTAATGGGATGATGAAATAATATGTACAACAAACCCCTGTGACATGAGTTTACCTATATAACCAACAAGCACAGGTACCCCTGAACCTAAAATAAAAGTTAAAGAAGCAGCAACTTCTATTTTCTGGGGATGCTGCTGCTACCCTGTAGGAAAGCTGAGCCATGTCAGTGCATGGTAAGGAACCCAGGAGGATAAAAGTCCAGTGCTGAGGCCCCAGAAATGTGAACAAGGTCATCTTGGACCTACTTACCATTGTAGCTGCCATCTGATTGCAACCACATGAGTGAGCTTTTGTTTTTTAAGCACGAAGATTCAGAGTGATTTTTTACACAGCACTCAATAACTGAAACCAAAAATCTGCAATTAACAGCATAGTGGGCCATGTACTCATCTGACCCCAAGCCTGGTCCACATTTTCTTCTATACTCCTGTAGGTGCCATGCCTCACTGCTCTTCCTAGGGTATCAGTTCCATGGAGCCAAAGGAGATGAAAAGGCTTTGAATAAAAACTAAATCACAAAATTACATAGGAGCACAGTGTATTGAGTATATCCCTCAATTTCCTCTCCTGGGGCTCTATTGTAATTACTCTCTCACAGGCTGTTGTTATAATTTAAGACTTGCTTCAAATATCTGAGAATCAGCATGCACTCAGTCTCAAAGTTAACTCTGGACCCTGAAGCCCACTTTCAAATGACCTGCAAATGGACCATTCTTGCAGTAATTCAATTATTTGGACATCCACTGGGCACCTATAAGGTTTGGAAATTTGGCTTGATAGAACTATATAAAAGCATAAATAAGTTTATATTTCCCCCAGGGACAATTTTCTGACCCACAGCTTACTCCTGGTGTCAGAGACCAAGGCTGCATCCCCAGTGCCCTGAAGAGCGGATTTGCCAGATCATCCCAGCTCTGCTGTCCTTCCCTGCTGTGATTCTTCCCACAGCTCTGCTTTTACTTCATGTTCCCCATGAGCTCCTCCTCTCCTGACACATGCTGCCTCTTCCCTCAATTTCCTCTCCTGGACCTCATTTTCTGCTGTTTTAACTTCCACATTTAGTTCTACACATGCTTCATCAATAAATCTCTCCCACTCATTTATCTCCTTGAGTGTCTCCGATTCTGTTTCCATCACTCTCAATCTCAAGAAAATTCCTCTTTTAGAGTATGTTTCGGCATCTGGTGGAAACTGGATTAAACCTCTCTGGTTCTCTTCAATAACATAATCCCATCTGCCCTACTTGCTGGTCACAACCCCCTCTAGTTTCCAAGTTACTGTTTTCCAACCCCTGACAGCAGAAACATCACTAATGCAACACAAGAGCTGGGTGAATTTCATTCTTTACAGCCTAGGGCTGCATTAACTTCTCCAAAAAAAAAAAAAAACCAGCTAAGATTAAAAATAAAACCTTGAAACACCTACACTCCGTCAAACAATCAGTTGTTTTTAAAGTTTCTTTTAGATTTACTTCATATATTAATCAGTAATCAAAATTAAGCATCAAATGTTGTTTGAGCATCTTAGTCTATAAAGACACTACTGTGTGCTGGGGAAGAGACAATGTCCAGAAATCACCCATGGCCTCCAGGTACTTGAAAATATAACCAAGGGGGACAGGATTGACACATGGCAATATAGCTGACAGTCAAAGGCCTGTATATGCTAAATTTCTAATGACAAACTTGTTGAAAATGAAGCCATTACACAAAATTATTAAATCAACCACTAGGACCATCAATAACATGAGGTCTAATCTGGGCTTGTTGCTAGTTCATCTTGAGAAATAAAAAACATATATCTTCTTTGGGTAAATTGATTAGAAAATGGCACTTCTTTCTCTTTCTTTGAATACAGTTGCTGACCTGCGCCTAGCTTGGCAGATGGAGGACCAGAAGACTTCTGTCATCCCTTTGCTCTCCAGCCTGCACCCTCCCTGCAGTATACAACTTGCACAAACTTCCTCTGTGATGTTTCTGCCCTGGGTGCAGGAGGGAATCCAAAGAGGGAGCTTCAGAGGCTGTGGAACTTCCTGAAATGGAATGCAAATTGTAGTGTTTTACAAATCTATGCTTGTCCTCCGCAGAGACACCATAGTTTCCTCTGAATTCTCAAGAAGTTCATAGCAGAAATGCTTAAGAATCACCACTCCAGACACATAACCTTGTAAGACCCTCAGTCTTAGAGTTCACAGACCTGGTTTTGCACTTTCATTTTTCAAACTGTGAGCTGAATGACTTTCTCCAAGTGAATTGAACACTCTTTGTTTTCCTTTTTTGTTGTTTTCATGTTGATGTTGTTCTTGCTTCATGCACATAGTACAAATAAATATTCTTAGTGGGTTTAAACTCACAATGATAGTCCTTTGCTCTCATTCAGGCCATTCGAATGCCTGAATATAAAAGCTTAACTCATGATATTTAACTGTTTTCATACTTCAAGTAGTACAGAAATTTCTGACTAAAAAGCAAAAATATGCATTTAATAGGTCCAAGAAGTTTTTTCTGCCTCCTCCCAATTCTGTCTACATACTCCATTCTCCCTTTGGCTGAAGTCTAAAGCTTCCATTTTAAGATTTCCATTTGGTTCTGTGCCCAAGGGTGAAACTGTATCTCCCCACCTACCACTCTGCAGTGAAGGTGAAAGGACCCTATACCAGTCTTTTCTTGTCCATCCTTCACTCAGGTCTTTACTTCATAATCTACTCAGTATAATTTCCATGGAACTTAACATATAATCACTCCCTTGATAAGATCTTATTTCCCTTGCCCCTTCTATCACAGTCACTGGGGAAATCCTCAATCTGGTTGAACCTATCCTTCCACCTGTTTAGTGCCTGTATCTAAGCAACTGGTACAAACCGTTACTGGAGAGAGTAAAAATTTCTACCACCAATTTGGGAAAAAATTTGGCATTATCTTAAACTTGTGTCTACTCAATAAGCCAGCAATTTCATTCTTAGGTAAATAACTCAGAGAAATTGCATACACACACCAAGAGATCTGCATGGGAATGGCCATACAGCATTTCTGTAATAGCAAAAACAATAAAAATCTATACACTGAATGGAAATAAATGAGTCACATCCCTAAGCAACAATATGGATGTAGCTAATAAATATAGTATGGGACAAAATTAAGTCACAGAAGAACACATTTAATATATTTTATAGCTCAAAGCCAGGCAAACTAAGCAACATTTGGTTTAGGGCTACCTACACATGTATATGGTGACTACACAAACACACACGTGTAGGAGAGAGGTATAATTCAGAAGACTCGTTATATCTTCAAGAAGGAGAAGGCAGAAAGAGTCATGTAATTACTGGTAAGTTTTATATCAACTTCTTTACTGGTTTCACTTTAAAAATATGATCACACACTTCAGGTGGGCCTTCAGTACTATCCAGAGATCCTCTTACAACCCACTAGTGAATTAACTCTCCCACTTTTTAAGATGGATATAGAATTTTCTTCCTTTTCCTTTTTGTCAAACCACTAACACCCCCTTCTCATTCTCACCTTTAAGAGATTAAAAGTTAAGCCAAATATGTATTAATTCTGAAATTTTTCTTATTAAAATCCCATACTTTAGCTTTTTTTAGGTCAATCATCTCTTTAGAAGCCTAGGATAGAAAAATAAAGTTAACTTAAATAATGGTTCATTCAAATTTGACTATATCTGAGGCTTAGTGATTAGAGGTGACAATTACTCCATTCTGTTCTCCCCAAATTTTAATCTATGGAAAGAATTGGCACAAGAATCATTAGCCAAAACAAGACTAAAAATTTCGGCTTTATTAATCATGTAAAAACAGTGACTAACAAGTAGGATTTGTCGTAAACTGTGCTAAAAGAAATGGCTAAGGTTTGAGGACTCAAGTAGGATATCAAATTCTGTTAACAATTAAGTAGAGTCAGCTGAGCCCACAGGACTGCATAAACCTCATTTACTCACTAATCATGAATGGGGAGGCTAAAGGTATGTTCTGAGGGAGGAGAACCTCCAGTAAGAGGGAAGGAAGCAGGTGAGAACCCACTGCACTAATGACCAATCCAGGAGGCAAGCAGGGCCCAGGCAGAGTCAGGGTAAAACTATTAGAGGCGTTTGAACCAGAGTGACTCCATCTTGAATAGGGGCTGGTTAAAATAAGGCTGAGCCCTATTAGACTGTATTCCCAGGAGGTTAGGCATTCTAAATCACAGGACGAAATAGGAGGTTGGCACAAGGTACAGGTCACGAAGACCTTGCTGATAAAACAGTTTCCAGTAAAGAAGCCAGCCAAAACCCACCAAAACCAAGATGGTGATGAAAGGATGAAAGTGACCCCTGGTGGTCTTCATTGCTCATTATCCACTGATTATAATGCATTAGCATGCTAAAAGATGCTCTCACCAGCACCATGACAGTATGAATGTCATGGCAATGTCAGGAAGTTATCCTATATGGGCTAAAAAGGGGTGGGACCCTCAGCTCTGGGACTTGGCCACCCCTTTCCTGGAAACCTCATGAATAATCCACACCTGTTTAGCATATAATCAAGAAGTAACAATAACTATAAGCAGCTGAGCAGCCCCTGCTCCTCCTCTGCCTATGGAGTAGACATTCTTTATTCCTTTACTTTCCCAATAAACTTGTTTTCACTTTACTCTATGGACTTACCCTGAATTCTTTCTTGCACAAGATCAAACAACCCTCTCTTGGGGTCTGGATCAGGACTCCTTTCTAGTAATCAAACCTGTGGCTTATAGTCAAGTCCTAGCATCTGACTCTGACTCATCTCATTGGCTGCTCTTCTTTCCATGGAGAGGGGTCAGTGAGAAGAGAAAGGGGAAGGCAGTGTGTAGTTACTTCTCCCATCTTCTCAAAAAGGCACAAGAGTTGTGAAAAAGTTCCTCATCTCTGGTTCAGGGGAAAGAACATTGGTCTAAGGTAAACAGCCTCTTTTATCAACCACACCTCACAGCACGCTTTTATTTGCTAACCAGTGTCATGTTAATTGTTTTGTTTTTCCTAAGGTCTTTGAGTTTCTCTGAAGAATACTGTAATTTATCAGTCTGGAGCCCCTCAGTATGTTATCTGGGTTTCAAACATTTTAGTCATAAATGACTTGATCATCTATTGTTTTCTGTATTAATAAAAATCACAGATGTAATCATCATGTTCAGAGCAAGAGATTAAGATGTGTATCATTTGGGAGAGGGAGCTGATCCTAAGCTGTTTCCTACCAGTGATCTACAAATTTGGTTTTGTTAAATTTTATTACCTCGTATTTTGCTAGCTCCTCCATGTAAGCATGTTTTCCATTCTTTGCCTCTTTCTTCTTAAATGGGGAACGAACAATTCTAATTAAGGATTATGGCTCATTGGGTCCTGGTTAACTGAGGCTTTCTTGTGAATTGACAAGTACTCCACTGTCTCTTCAGGCACAAGGCACATTCCCCAAAATGATTCATAATAAGCAAAGGACTTATGTGCCTTTCAGCCAGAGCTTGTGTGAATCGCATCTGAGAAATAAATAGTGCTCTAGCACAATTCATTCGCCAAGCAGGGCTTGGTCTCCTATGACATCTCAACTTGGGACAGCAAGCAAGGAAATGATAGGAGGCAGCTGGAAACCAAGCATTTAGTGCACATTTGTTTAGCCCCTATGTCTAAGGCAATTTGATTAATTTAGGGCAGGAGAGGAGGGAGACATAAAAAGATGTAAAACAGCCCCTGCCTTCAGAGAGCCTTCTCCTAAAATGAGATAGAAGCACTGCAAAAATCCCACAAAAGGATGGACTGTGACAAGGGTCATTATGGAAAAGATTTCAAAGACAGTAGAGAGAACATTCTCTTGTTGACCACCATTTTCCATCTCCACATAAAACTGCCCTCCCCACCTTAGTCTAATGACTCCACTTCTTAGAAGGGGCAACTGGAAGAAAAGCATTGTTTAAACTGCAGCTATTAAGTTGGGACTATGCTACTATGTAGTAGCTCAAAAGAGAGGTAGGCAATAGTAATTTCTACAATAGAAGAGAGTGTGTTACCAAGCCAGTTTCCTTCCACTCATGCACAAGCAATCACTGAAACAATGGGTTCTACAAAAGATAAAATATCTCATTCACAAGGCTGCTATACAGGAGAAAAAAGTCTCAAATCTGCCTCCCCAAAAATAGAGCTTGGGGATATTTATGAGACAGAAAGTGGGGTGATCTAAAGTGTGCGGTGATCTAAAGTGTGGGGCAAGGTGATTGGTGGGTAGGAAAGATGAGGTAATCAAGGTTTCTGCATAAGCTTAATTGAGCTACATGGGTCTTCATAGGATACATGTGCAGAAAATGGCAGCGTGTTAAGCATGACTTAAGGGTGGAGGTTTTGGTCTTCTGACTTCAAAAGGTCACTTTTCAGGCAACCACCCAGGCCCAGTTAAAGGTCAGTGGCTTCAACCAGTTTGAAATGGACAAGAGATGCCCTGTAGTTCCTGAAAAACAACTTGAAGCAACTGTTTACTATAGTACCCCACAGTTGGAGATGTTATCTATAAGGAAGCTAGTGGGAGTTTAGTTATGCACTGTTTGGCTATGTGACTTGCTAGTGTTAGTTTTAAGATCAACCAAAAATAAGCAATTAAAAGCAAGCAAGGCAGATTAAGTTTGGAAGGCTTAATCAGGTTAGCCTTTGTTTTCAAAACTGTGACTTAAAGATTCAGAGAAACAGAAAAAATTACTGGAGAAGTCAGACTTAGGAGATCTACATGGGAACCATGGCTTAGAGTAGAACCTTCACTAAGACAAAAAATGCCAAGGGTTTGCATTGCCTTCTCAGTGTTAGTTTATGAAGTTGAAAGCAAAACTGCATGGCTGATGCTTGAATGTAATTGGCTTTGCAGTTATGGATGGGTGCTAAGGCTCCTTCAGGTGGGCTGCTATAATGAGCTGGATTTGTGATTCTGTGAAGGCAGATAGTATTGATGGGTGAAATTTAATAAAAGCACATGCTCACCAGTTTACATTCAATTAGAAACAAGAAATAAAGCTTGATTGTTGACCTCTTTGTGTCCAATTAGAATTGAAAGATTAGAATGTAGTAGACTGATTGCACTGTTTTTAGAAGTTAATATAAACTTTGCTGAGACTTTATTTTATTTTGGTTGTAAAAAGCAACAAGCTAAAAAAAAAAAATCACAAAACTTAAACATTGCTACCCCTCTCCTAAGCATTTCTAGAACTATTATCAGTAATAGAAGATCCTAGGATAAAACTATAGATTCCTATTGGCCCCTCAGAAGCTATTAATAACAACCAAGCCTAG
Organism: Homo sapiens; assembly: GCF_000001405.40. NCBI lineage: Eukaryota > Metazoa > Chordata > Mammalia > Primates > Hominidae > Homo > Homo sapiens. Next base: position 38,127,140 of record NC_000018.10, on the reverse strand, counting down.
GGACAAGATCAGAAATTACCTGATTGTATACTTCATGGTGGGTGTATTTGCCTAAGAGATTCTGTATGTGTTTTATTTGGGAAGTGGGGAGGAGGAGGAGGTGGTGGGGGTGGAGGGGGGCAGGTAAAGAAAACTGCCAACTCACAATAAAAGTTAAACAAGACTTGGCCTTTTGGAAGTGAGATGGCTTAGGCAACCGGCACTGGTCACTTTTGTTTTGAAATGTCTGGAAGTATTTTACGAAGTCTGCAGGGGCTCTTCACTGCTATCCTTGACCTGGTTCCTGTCATGCAAAACATTTTGGGTTTTAAATACCTTAGCTCTAATGGGTGCCCAATTCATGTTCATTGAGTGATTGCATGAATGAACGTATGAATTAATAAAAAGCAAAGTACTGAGAACTAATCAAGCAGGTAATATGGCTACATGAAAATGCTGCCTTTTGTTTATGGTTTATTTCATGTGGAAGAATCTCCTCTTCCTGGTGAGATTTGGAACTACAAGAAGGAATATGACTTCATTTGCTTCTATGCCCCTTCTCCAAAGAACTTCTCAGCAAATGCAGGTGATTTAGATTGTAAAACAAGTAAAAGGAAGTAAAAGAATCAAATTCAGTGGTAATTAAGTACTTGTACTTTTTCTTTCCTGCTCTTGTGCAATTCTCTGTGAAAATCTCTCTGTAAGACACCATGAGGCTGAGGGCAGCGTTTCAACAGTGGAATGAAATGGAAGTAAGAGCTCAATTCTAAGTTCTGTAAGGGCAGGATGATGAGTGTCTTGTCCAGGGTGATATTCTCAGCACCTAACAGTTATCTGTATTTGTTTAATCGTTTTTAAAAAGAAGAACGTATGAAAGGTAAGAAAGAAGAAATAGATTTTAGTCCTATATGAAGCAAAGGAAATGTGGTTCTTAATATTTTTTAAAAACCCAATGCCCCTGCTCTTTTTTTCTCCTGTACCCTTTCTTTTTGGGAAATTGTGATGACTTCCAAAGTATGGCAGTCATGGGCAGAAGTAAGTCAGATAATTCCCAGAAGCAGTATTAACTTTGCAGCTCAACTCTTCTTGTGGGCCAAGATCTCATTTTGTACTAGTAACCTCAAATCTGGAAACCCACCATACTCCAAAAATTATGGGAGAATGGAATATCTCTGTACTTGCTTTGGTTGAGATGAAACTAGCTCCAGATTTGCTCCTTAAAAACCCTCCTCTAATACCTTTACAACTGTATAAAGATGTAGTTTTCTCTTATTTGGACTACTTCTGTTTCAACAATCATTTCCAGAGCTTTAGAAAAGATAAACAAAGCCCAAATGGCTCCATTGTCAAAGCTAAACTTGCCCACCAGTGCACAAGCCTCAGAATAGAAAACGGATAGTTATTTGAAAAAGAAACATAAAACTCTATTCTCTGATACCTTCCACACAACCCCCTCACTAAATCATTGGAGCAGGTTGCCTGTTGGCTCGTTTCATCTTAATTTTATTATCTGGGGATAATTGAACTCCAAGAGGATGGATGACTCATTAAGACTCAGGTTTTTCTGGCTCTAGATTTTATAACTTTGTATCTCTTTTAAACCAATAAATCTTCATGTTATAACATTGAAAATAGTGTCAAAAGACAAAATTACAACAAAATTTAGTTTAAAGATTTTAATTGGCTTTTATTTGTGATTCTAGAATTGGCCAACACCTCATTCTATAAAATAGAATGAGTGTTCCCATGAGCTGAGCAGAGAAGTTTGGTTTTATGGACCTAAAAGGGCTGAGTAAAGCAGAAAACAGAAAGCGGATTGGTTATTTCAAAGTTACTTTTCTTATAAAGACTAAAGCAGAAAGGACTTCCTTATCATGCTGGCTAAAACTGGCCTGTTTGGTGATTTGGCTATTACCTACCTCTCTCCTGATTGCTTGGAAGGTCAGATAAACAATTTAGTTCCCACTTGATAACGTACAACTTTAGCGTGAGTGACTTCATTTTGGTTTGGTTTATTGAGCTGCATGTAAGAGCTCGGTCTGACCAAAGACCTATAAATTATATTTAACAATAGTAATGATTCATTGTTCTAATGTCTATCTTATAACAACCTAAAACTTTAAGAGTAAAATTTAAAATCTGGATTTCAACTGAAAGTCACCTCACTGGTTTAAATAACAATTGTTAAAGTCAGGTATCAAATCTGGGTACTTGACTGCTAGGCACAGTTCATTATAGCCTGTTGGCACTTACTGTATAACTCAGCTTTACAAGTAACATTTACCTTTCCAACACCAAAGCAGAGTCCCATCATCAAATTAAAAGGAAAAAGTAGCTCAATGAAATCACACTCAAAGCAGAAAGAACTGCCAGTAGCCTCAGAGTAAGAAAAAAAAAATAGAAAACTTTAGAAATTTTCACATGAATTTCAAAAACATAGCACTAAGCTCATTAATACTGGAAGCAAATTGCAAACTGTATAAAGTAGACAGCAATAATTGTTTTTAAAAGACACACTGTGTTTAAGAAATTGGAGGTATACAGCATGTTGTAACAATATACTCATCAAAACCATTAAACCTTTTAACATTATGATAAATAATTGCTTTGAACGTATTTTACACATTTTTGGCAAATGTTACTTATGTACATTTGCACAATAGTGACTGAAAACAGAGTTTAATACATAATTTATAACATTACATATATATGAATGCATGTATTATATGTACCTTCCTTCTTCTTTAATTATCATTGCCCTCTGTAACTTTCTGGCTCAGTTTCACTTGAATACTTTCCATTCATCCATTCTTGGCTTCATTATGCATCCTGTTTAATCCACAGTGTGGTTTTCATATAGGAGTTAAGAAGGACTCACTTAGGCAGATAGTAATGGTATGAGAGTCCTCAGTAAGGCTTTTCCCTTAAAGGAAAGGCAGACCAAATCATTTTCTAACAAAGAGCAACCTACAAAGTCGAGCTGCAGACGAGACAAGCAAGCTGGGAGCTTGCACGGGTGAATGCCAGCAGGAACTAGGGACTAGACATGTTCAAGATGGTGGCTTCATCCTCCCTTCTCTGCCAGCTATGCGTACAGTAAGGTGCAAACAAGATGGTGCCGCCCAAGGAGAGTTCATTTGCACAATAAGATTAGGGTGGGGCGATCAGCCTTCCCCTCCCCTCCCAGCACTATGCAAACATCACACCTGATCAAAACCAATCTGTGAGCCCTAGGTAAATCAGACACTGCCTCCTCAAGCCAGACTATAAAATCTGGTGCACCCATCTCTAGCCCATCTTTTCCAATCAGAAGACCCCTTTCTGTGGAGAGAGAGAGAGTTGTTTCTCTTCCCCTTCTCTTCTGCCTATTAAACCTCTGCTCCTAAATTCCTCATGTGTGTCCATGTTTTCCTGCTGTGAGACGATGAACCCCAGGGTTTATACCCCAGACAACATAGCTGCTTTAGTTTAAGCCCTTTGGGTGCTAGTAAATACTGAAAAGAAAAATTTTTTAGAAACCTGTAAACCCTGCTGTTTCACTAATTACTTCTTTGCGTTTCCTAGTCATTAGAAGTGGCCATTCCAAACACAGGATGTCACCAGATACTGAGGAAGGATTGCACAATGGTATTACTGGTCCAGGGAACAGTGAAAGATTCCAGGTGAGCACAATCTTAGTGGAGGTGGAGTTTTGGGTGCTTAGGTGAATCAGGAGAAGAAATAGGACCTACCCTGGGGAGGGCCAGAAACAATCATGCAGAACAGAGTTGGAGGAAGTTGCAGTAGGAGGAAGGATGAGGGTCATGAGTTGCTTTTTAGGACAAAGCAGAATTTCAATAGCTACCTATGGCACCCTAAAGATTGTAAAGCTTAGAACTAGGGATAATGTGGAGGGCGAGGGACATGCTTTGAATTCACTGGCAGAAAAGCAATTCTGCAACAATTATAACTTACCTTATTATCTTCCACCATATAATCTAAAACCCACAGTTGAGAAATAGATGCTGTCCACATATTCCCCTCATGTCCAAAGACACATTTTTGAGGGGCAATTGGCAATGGTTGAGGTCTCTTTTTAGTTTCAGGGGAAAAACAGTTTGTTGGAGCCAAGGATAGGGAACAGGCTTTTCCCAAGTTAGGAGCTTTCCCCTGCCTCCTACCCCCAACAATGTAAAAGTATCTAGCCATGATGCTGTCCAATGACTTTGATATGCTGAGTTAATCAGCCATGAGTTAGTTGGCTGCTGGTTTTCTTTGCCCTAAGGACTTGAAGGCCTGCAGTGGTGCACAACAACGTCTTGCTCTTGAATAGAGTATGCCAACTGCTGTTTGCAGTTTGACTAATCCTAGACCCCTAGTCATGACCAGCTGTCACTTTGGAGAGAACAGTTTTAGAATAGGAGCTTGCTGAGAACAGTGTCTATGTTAAAGAAAGGATTTGATTGCATCATTTTTGGTTCTTTGCCTTTAGAAGCCAGAGTAATTGAATCATTGTAGCCCTTCCTCCTACTCACCAAGTTCTCCCAGCTCAGATATCAACTCCTGTGGAAAGCCTTTCTTTATGTCTAAGTCTATTTTGGATATTTCTCCTCTATGTTTCCATGACATTATAGTAGTTCTCATATCTTCTTGTAATTAACTAAATGCTTGTCACATTTAGAATGCTATCTTGTTCCCCACTAAGATGTGAGCTTCTTTGTGATAGAAACTAAATCTTTTCCAGTGTTGGATCCCTGGCTCCTAGGGCATGCAATAAATATCTGTTGAATGGGTGGATACCCGAATCAAACCATCTCCATGTCTGCCTGCTCTCTTTATGCATTCACCATCTGGCCCTGGCCCTGATTCCTAATTTACTCAGATTGTGGATGATGACACATGTCATCATATATATGTAACCAACCACAGTCTGCTCCCAACCTACTTCTTCCTCAAGTTCAGACTCAATCACCACCTCGTATAATGAGCCAGGCCTGACTGCCGCAGGCCAAAATGATGTCTCCTTCCTCTGACCTGCAGCACTCATTATTTAAAATGTATACAAATAGCTCTTTATCACACACTTTCTTTAGTGTGATGCCTGTGGGTCTGGTGTTTGTGAGCACCTCACACATAAAGTCCATGTCTTCCCTTTCCCTTTTATTCCTCTGTGCATCTAAGCTCTGAACCGGGCACAAAGAACACTCCAAAGTGGTACCGAATGGCATGAAATTGTCCTAATCGAAATGAAGACATAAGTTCTGAGGGCAAGCTTTTTGTCCACAGAACTCTACCTGTATTTGCGCTACAGAGGCTGCTTCCTGGTGATGAATGGAGCCACTAGGCAATGAATGTAGGAGAGGATGGAAAGTAATTGGCAGAGGCAGAACTGTCCTTTTGTTATTTTGTTATAAATAAACTCCCACAGTGGAAACTTGTTAACCTCAGTCCTTGCCTTCACATCTACTTATATGCAAGACCTCCCTTGACAAATCAATCTTTATACTGCAGTGGCACTCTCTTGACAAGATATGTTTGGCTTAGCCACTGTTGATATTTGTTCTTGAAATCTCGGTTGTGTGGCATGGTACACTCTGAGAGCAGAAATGGAGACACTTAGTTTATATGCAAAGAGGACGGGCAAGATGCAAACAGAAAGAGACAGTCCACAGCAGGGCAGCAGGAGTGGCGGGAGCTGAGCAGCACTTAATATGTTGTGATGTATTGAATCTATGAAACGCCTGTTCAATAGCTAGTCAAAATAAATTTAGAAGGACACAGGAAAGGGATTTATTTTTTCATCACTGTATAAATGTTCGTTATATCTTATGCTGTTGGTCATGGTCTACCTGTGTCCTTTGGAGGTCCCAGTGCCCTTAGACTCCCAAATAGCACCATTGACAAGAAATAGGTGAGGTTTATATTTCAAGTTTCAAGAATCGAGGTGTTATGGGCGGCACTTTGGGGTTGAGCTTTTTTGCTGGATTTTAATCTCTGAAAAGAGAGAGCTCCCCCAGAATAAATTACTTAATCTTTTCTCTTCTCCTCTTGTGCATAACTTTATTGGATCATTTCCCAAATTTGACTGAGATCATTTAAATAAATGTCTGTTTTGATCATCAGACAGCATTTGCAACCTAGACTGAATCTTACTCATTTATGTTTCCCAATAGAGTAGCAAGGTGCCCAGCACATAGGAAACTCTCCTGAAATGTTAGCTAAAGAAGAAATCCTAATATCCATGAAAAATTGTATATGCAAGGGAGAAAACGAAAAGGTAAACAAAAACTATTTTGAGCCAACTTAAGAAAAATGCAGACAATATTAGATTATTAATTAAATTTTAATTTTCCTGTAAACAGTCTCCAGAGAAAAATGCTGTTTTAGCATGGTACCCTAGTCCAGGCTACTGTGTAAATACTTTCTGTGGGTGTAGTTTTAAGCTAGATGGCATGGAAGAACAATTGAATAAAACGTGGCCTCTGCCAACAAGAATTTTGGGTGCCATCTGGAGAAACAAGTTTCAATAAAGGACCCAAAGCATGAGGTAGAGTATGATGATAGGCGAGATGGAGGAGTGGAAGCAATATGGATCAAAGGAGGTCAAAATAGGACAAGATTACACGAGCTAGTACAATTAAAGAAGGCATTAGGAGGAAGTAAAACTGCATTGCAGTGAACTTCTAGTTGATAAATGACATGTGGGTAAGCATTAATTGAATCATGCTGCTATTTCATATAAGATTCAGGATGGGAATGTTAGATATTATATCTCACAAAGGAAGTGTTCTTCAGTGGTGTTGATGAATCCTTAGATCATGAGAGTTGCCTTAGGTTTATCAGTGAGCAATCTTGTCTTTAAAAAGACAGTTTGCTGTTCTGTAAAGGAAAAGTGTGCTGAGTGTACAGACCTTGATGTTAGGCTTTAAGTCTACTTTTAGCTGCATGACCTTGATAAAGTTAACCATTCTCTGAGCCCCACTTTCTTTTTTTAAAACATTGGCAACAGGAAAAAAAACCTGGCCCGACTTGACCTCAGGACATGGAAAGACTTAGATTGTCAGAGAAAGATCACTTGTATAAAGACAAGAAGTCACCTCATCCTTTGGCCTTTTTCAGACCAAGACTTAGATTAAAAGTGAAAGAACTGCATGATTTCTGCTCTTCCTCACAGCACTAATTTTTTAGGCATTCAGGACACTTTCTCCTACCCCTCAAATTTATTTCCTTTTGGCAGTGAGAAATTCTTAGAACACATTGAAGCATTTATGCATGTACATTTTAACACATAGAATAGGGTTCTCCCCAAGTAGAAAGTTACGTATATGGTACAGGATTGGGGTGAATGTCAGAAGAACCTCGATTAATGGGTATATTGCCAATTCTATTTTTCTGCCAGTCTTTCAATTTGGGAGGTCACTAAGCCAATATGGGTAGGAGTGAATTCATATTCTGTAGTAAATCTGCAGTAAATGGATGTCTGAAAAGTAGCAAGAACTGAAGTTGGGACTATTCAGAATAAGCCTAGAGAAATCTGAAACAATGTGCATTTAGAGCTAGTCCCAAAATATGTGACTAAATTCCACTTTTAAAGATGAGTAAAGAGAAAAAACAAAAAAACAAAATAGAATATGAGAAGAGAACCTACATAGAAAACCTCTGGAAATTACCTCCTATAGAGTCAAGAGATTGACTTTTTCACTAGGCTGCAATAACGTAGGATCTCTTCTAAAAAGAGCAGTGGCCATAAGGGTAAACCGACCAAGCTAAGATGCAAATACTAGAATATAAAAAGAAAGAAAGAAAGATGGATAAAACCATTTTTGTACATAAGGAAATAAAAATAAAATTAAAAAGCATGGTGGAGCATGCATAGAAAATAACTGATTTTAAATGGCAAAAGATTCAACCACTGTTTTGAAGAACAAATTTGAGAAGCTACCACAGATAGCAGAGATCAAAGTTCTGAAGTAGTTCATAACTTACAGTAATAATTGGCTGAGTACAATGGCTCACATCTGTAATCCCAGCACTTTGGGAGACCAAGGCTGGAGAATTGCTTAAGCCCAGGAATTTGAGACCAGCCTGGGTGAAATGGTGAGATCCTCCATCTCTACAGAATTTTTTAAAAATTGGCTGAGCATGGTAACACATGCCTGTGGTCCCAGCTTCTTGGGAGACTTATGCAGGAGGGTCACTGGAGCCCAGAAGGTTGAGGCTGCTGTGAGCCACGGTCATGCTATTATACTCCAGCCCAGATGACAGAGCAAGACTGTCTCAAATAAAACTTTAATTTAAAAAATAATTACCCAAAATGAGCCAGAAATACACAGATAAAAACATTTCTAAAAAAGAAAAAGAGCAATGAATGCAGAGGAAAACACCAAAGATATGCTGGGGGGTAAGTCCTCAGCTCTAGAAAGTGATGTACAAATTGAAAGGCCCAGAGGTTTTAGGGTAAAGTCAATGAAAAACATCACATTTAGATTCACATCTGGTAATTTCCTTGTAAGTACAAAACTAAGAAAAATAGGAAACTGGAGAAGTAAGCAGGCAACATTCAAAGATATAAAATTTATGTTGCCTCAAACTCATATTTGCAAACCAAAATGCTGAAGGTGGAGGAGTGCCCAAATATTAATGGCTTTTCTAGAAACAAGATAAATGGTATAAAAAAAGATAATTTAATAATAATGATTAGCACATGTATTCATCTGTTCAGGCTGACATGACAAAACACCAAAGACTGGGGGTGGCTTCAGTAATAGAAATTTATTTTTCCGCAGTTCTAGAAGCTGGAAGTCTGAGATCAGGGTGCCAGCGCTGCTGAGTTGTGGTGAGGCCTCTCCTGGTACAGATATCGGCCTTCTTGCTATGTCTGCACGTGGCCTTTCCTGTGTGTGTGCAATGAGAGAGATTTTTCTCCTCCTCTTCTTGTATAGCCACCAATCCTGTTGGATTAGGATCTTGCCCTTATGACCTCATTTAACCTTCATTACCCACGAAAAGCCTTATCCCAAATACAGTCACATGAGGAGTTACAGCTTCCACATATGCATTTGGAGAGGGACACAATACTAGCAGCATAAAAATTATATGAAATAAGACTGAATGAGAATATCAAAACCACATTATATTCTATAGCCTATAAATGGTGAGATGCAGAGGTAGTTTGTCTTTTAATACTGAAAATTAGAGAAACATGGATTAAATAATAATATTGAAAAATGTAAAGGTAACCATTAGTTATGAATAAAACCTTCTAAAATATGTAAGAATACAAAAAATATAGCACATATAGCAAAAGTTAGAAAACAAATACAAGGGGAGATAGACTGAACCAGGAAAATATAACAAATGCAAATGGATACAGAACAACTATACAGTTATTCTAATAGGGGTAAGTTATCATTACAATATATAGGCCTATATCTGTTTTGAAAAATGCTTATAAAATATCCTTCAATGTTAAGATAATAAAATAATTGAAACTTAAAAATGAGCAAAGACATGTTAAGTAAATTAAAGTGAATGAAAGACTCATGATAATAAATAAATCCCCCAAATCACAGAACTATTTCCGAGTAATAAAAATGCCCTTCACAATAAAGAAAGACCTGAGGGAATTTCATATGCAGTGTAGTGAGGTATTGATACACATCAGCCAAATTTTCAAACTACAGAAATATTTTACAGAAATGTAGTAGTCTTGGGAGAGTTTGCCAAAATGTATAATCCTTCATAGACTCAATGAGCAAAATAATTAATAAGTAGAAATACGTATACAGAAGAGGGACATGATAACATCTGTTTTTATAAAGACAGGAAATGTTTCATATACACAGAAAGGGGAATATACCCACTTTTACAATAAACACTGAACATTTACCAAAATTGGCTATGGCAAAGATTGTATTATTTTATTACTTGTACTGGATAAAAATACAGTATGGCAATATAATGGTTATCATAATCACTAGTAATCATTCTGTCTTCACAATATGCCAGGAGACATGCACTTCATGTATATTAGCATTGTCTGTACCTAATAACAATGCTATGAAATTTATGCAATTACATCTCTATTTTACGTATGAGGACATTTAAACAAATATTTTTTCTGAGTTGACATGGCTAGTTACATGTTAAAATCAGTGCTTCTCAAATGGAGTGTGCATCAGAGTCCTGTGGTGGGCTGCTGAGTCCCACACTCATGAGTTTCTGATTCAGAAGGTCGGGGGTGGGGCCCAGTAATTTGCATGTCTAATAGTTTCCAGGTGATTCTTATGCTGCCTGCCGGTCTAGGAGCCTGCATGTTGACAAGCACTGTGTCAGATGATGCCAAGAACAATACCTTTACTATACTGCTTTGGAAAAGGAGAAATTGCAGAGAGCAGGTTCTGACAAAAAAAATGCAATAAATTTAGAAGTTTATAATTAGCAAAGCTAAAAAAAACAGTGCTTGGAAATTTAATTAAAAATTAAAAACAATCATTCCCAAGTTAATCAATTTAATGCATTTCCAATTAAAATTCCAATTGGATTTTTTGCTTTGAACTTGACAAAATGATGGTAAACTCCATGGAGATAAATAATAGAAAATAGTAGTCAAGAAAAATTAGAAAAAGAAGAGTATTTGGTAGGAACTTGCCTGTATATAATAAAACATCATAGATTTCCATACAAGATTGCATACCAAATAGGTTTTCACACCCAGCTTCTCTAAAATCTCCACTGAAACAATGAAATGAAAGCTTTAAGATATGACAAGGAATAAACCAATAATAGTGGTATGGAAGGGAGCCACGAAAGAAGAGAGAGTACAAAGATTTGGGCAAGATAAAAATGGATGAAAATGTATTTGTAATACAATCAAAGGAATGAAACCTCCATGACCTGGTATAATCCAGAGAAAGCTGGAATCCGTAAAGAATTCCCACCTTTCAGAATCCTGGATGGAGGGGCCTTGGGCTCAGTGGAGGCAGATGCTAGATAGTAAGTGTGAGAAGTAGGGCTGACAACAAAGACGCTGATTAAAGTTCTCTGAATCTAGCAGGTGAACCAAGTGACTTTTTCACCCCTCTTCCCTTCTATTCTTTCCTGCTCTCCTTCCTTGAATTAGAGCAAAGGTAGCTTGATATTTATCCCCAGGCACAACACTAGAACATTACTGTCAACAGAAATGGGTCGAATGGTTGAAGAGAGTGGTCACATTGACACCTTGGAGTAAATCCGGGCTCACTCTGACATTTGGGAACCTTCAGCCTTGGAATGAACATCATCTTGTTCAGAGAAAATTAGAAAAAAGTTGTCTGAAGAAATTCTGTATCCCAAGAGATAAAAACGTCCAATACTGGTATGTGAGATCTCTTTAGCATATATAACAAGAACCCTAAAGCAAAATTGTAGCTCCAATAAAACCAGGGAGCAAAGGAGGAAACTAGACCCAACCCAGGAGACCATTTAAGACATAAATTAGGCTGACAGGATTGCAGGCAGGCCTAGGGAAGATCTAGGCCAGGATAGAGCCTAGGACAGGGGTTTCCAGAAGCAAAGGTGCTTGGGGGAAAAAAAAAGTGGTAATTAACATAATAACTATGTAGTGAAGATCTTGATTTTTATGAGGTAATCATTGGAAGGAAAACATTTCAGTAGGGACAAAACAATCTTCATTAGAAACTCCAATTACAACAAATGTATACCCTCTCCAAAAATGTGACCAAGACACACTAAGTGACTCTGCTGCAAACAATGTTGAACAAAGTACAGATAACACAGCCAGCCTTTACTGAGGTGCAAAACCACAGTTATGTAACCACGTGGGGGAGGATGAAAGACTGGAGGAAGGCAGTAAAAAAGAACTAAATCTCCACCCATAATAGCAGAAAATGATTTGATAATGTCTAAAATTGATAAAGTAGTAAATGTGTGCTCTTTGAGATTGAGAGCTTATTAGAGATAGGCCTTAAAACAGCTAAAATTGGTTGCCTCTGGAGAACAAAACCAGGGGATTGGCAGCCATGGGCCGTGGCAGGGTACATTTATCAGAAATCTTACTCCTTTTTTGTGGAAAGTTTCTCAATGATTTTTATTACTTTATGTTTCCATGCAAATTAAAAAGCCACTTCATTTAAATATCAGGTTGTACTTTCATTACGATCATGTTAATTTTTAGTTTAACTTAGGAAAATTTGCATGCTTATGATTGTGAGTGGTTCTGTTCAAGAATGCCTCTCTATCTTTTCAAGTCACCTTTTGTGTCCCTGGAAGAATTTTGCTCTTTCTGTGAAGAAACACACAGCAAAGAGTGAATAAAAAAACAGAATTAAAGCCATAAAAATAGGTTTTATAAGATAAATGACAGATCATGGGCTAAATAGATCAGTCATTCTTAATAAAGTAAACTTCTAAGCAGGTGAAACACTCCCATTCATAAAAAGAAACAGCTGGTAGGGATCATAAAATAAACCCCAAAACCCTGTTGAATGGCAAACACGTACAAAAAAGTGGCTTGGAACTGATGAGAATAAAATATGAATAAAGGCAAACTAGGTTAGTAAAAAGGTTAACATAGCAGATATCCATTCCTCATGTTATGCAGGTTTGAATTCAAGGCAAAGAGAAGTACAGGAGGTAGAAAAAGGTACTTTTTGATGATTGAAGTATAAAGAATTGAATGTGTAAAACCTTTAATGGTTTTTATTCTTCATGTACACAGCATAGAGCAAAAACCACTGGTAATACACAAGTAGATATGAGAAAACACATATTCTTAGCAGGAAAGCATAATTTACCTCTCTTGGTCTCTGAAGGCCACATACCCTACAAGCCACAAATGACTCTCCAGCATGGTTATGCCAATCCACGTGCTCAGTAAATGTTCAGGAGGGTTCCTGTATGTCCATGTCATTTATCACCCTATGCTTAGGATTATCCAACTTTACTCATTTCTCCAGGCTCTAATAGATACAAAGTATATCTTATATTTTGTGTTTACTTTACATTCACAGTTTTCTGATGAATTTGAGTATCCTTTGATATGTATTTCAGTCATTTGGATTACTGGATCTATAAATTTTCTGTTTATGTCCTTTGTCCATTTTGTATTTAAGTTTCTGACTTTTTCTAATTGATTTGCAAGAGTCTTTTGCATATTCTAGATATTAATCTATGGTTAGTTTCAAATATTGTAAATATCTTCCCCATTGTGTCACTTGCTCTTTATTTTTGCCTATGATGTCCTTCATTGAATGGAAAACTACTTTTAATTTAAACAAATTAATCATTTCTCCTTTAGGATTGTTTATGATTTTTTATTTTTTAAATCAATTTTATGTAAGTCTAACTTAAATACAATAAAATGTGTTTGTTCTATTGTACACTTCAGTAAGATCTGACAAATGTATAAACATGTGTAATCATCACCACAATCAAGACATAGACATCAACCCAAGAGGTTCGTTCCTTTGTGTCCCTGTGCAGTCATTCACCATTCCCTACTTCAAGCAACCTCCTGTTGAGCATTCTCTCACTGTAGATTCGTTTTGCTTGTCCTAGGAGTTTATAAATGAAGAATCATACAGGATATACTATTTTTTGTCAACCTTCTTTCACTTAGAATAACAGATTTGACTATGTTGTTTCAATAATCAGTGGTTTGTTTCTTTTTTATAAATATGCCACTTTTGTTTATTCATGTGATTAACATTTTGGTTTTCAGTTTTTAGTTATTATAGTAGTTATATTCTTTTTTTTGTGGAATCTCTATACTCTTTCTTATAATGACTGTACTAATTTATACTGACTAACAGTGTTCAAGGGTTTCTCTTTCTCCCCATCCCTGCCAATTCTTGTTATCTTTTGAATTTTTGATAATTAGACATTCTAACAGGTGTGAGGTGATATCTCACTGTGGTCTAATTGACACTTCTATGATGATTAGCGATGCTGAACATTTTTTCTTTTACCTCTTGGCCATTTGCATGTCTTTTGAAAAATTTCTATTCAGATTCTTCTCCTATTTGTATTCTTGCAATTTGACTTCCTTATATATTTTGGATATTAACTCCTTATCAGACGTATGGTCTGCAAATATTTTCTCCTATTCCATAGGTTGTCTTTCTTACTGTTTGTTTTCTTTGCTGTACAGAGATCTTTAGTTTTATGTAATCCCATTCATCTATCTTTGCTTTTGTTGCTTGTGCTTTTGGGTTCACATCCAAAAACTCATTGCTTAGACCAATGCCATGGAGTTTTTCTCTCATGTTTTCTTCTAGTTGCATTACAGTTTCATATTTTGCATTTAGGAGTTTAATCCATTTTGAGTTGCTTTTTATATATGGTGTGAGATAAGGATCTAATTTCATCCATCTGTATATGGATATCCAGTTTTCTCAATATCATATGATCCAATAATCTCACTACTGCATATATATCCTAAGGAAATGAAATCACAATAATAAAGAGATATCTCCACTCTCATGTTCATTGCAGGATTATTCACAGTAGCCAAAATATGAAAAAAAACTAAGTGTTCATTAGAAAATGAATAGGTAAAGAAAATATTATACATATACCAAACGAAATTCTATTCATTCTCTGAAAAGAAGGAAATCTTGTCATTTTCCACAAAATGAATGAACCTGGAGGACATTATGTTAAGTGGAATTAGTGAGGCACAGAAAGACAAATACTGCATTCTCACATAGTTTTTTAATGTGGAAACTAAAAAACAAACAAACAAACTCATAGACGCAGAGTAGAATGGTGGTTATCACAGGCAGGGTTAGAGACATATTGGTCAAAGGGTACAGAATTTCAGTTAGACAGGAGCAATACAGTTTAAGGGATCTATTTACAGCATAGTAACTATAGTTAATAACAATGTAATATATACTCGGAAATTACTGAGTGGATTTTGTGTTCTCATCACAAAAATAAGTATATGAGGTAATGCATATGCTAATTAGCTTGACTTCATATAAACATATTCCATCATATAAACATATTTCAAAACATCATCTTGTACACCATAAATATGCATAATTTTTAATGTAAATTTTAAGAGAACATCAACAATCAGCAGAAAATATGAAGGGACTGAGCATTTTATACATCTTTTTATAAAAAAGAATTTATCATTTTTTTATAAACACCTTTTAATGTATGAATAAAATGCACATTTATTAGAAACTACTAGAATGTTTTCCAAAGTAGTTTAATCACTTTACACTTCTGCTGACAAAGACAGAGGATATTATTTTCCCTATAGCATTGCCAGGACCTGATTGGAGTTTTAAGTTTTATTACACTGAGTAGGTATGTTTTGGAATCTCATTGCGATTTTAATTTGAATTACCCTGAACACTAATAATGCTGAACATCTGTGTTAGTCCGTTTTCATGCGCTGATAAAGATTTACCTGAAACGGGCGAGAAAGAGGTTTAATTGGACTTACAGTTCCACATGGCTGGAGTGGCCTCAGAATCATGAGGGAAGCAAAAAGGCTCTTCTTACGTGGTGGCGGCAAAAGAAAAATGAGGAAGAAGCGAAATCAGAAACCCATGATAAACCCATCAGATCTCGTGAGACTTACTATCACGAGAATAGCATAGGAAAGACTAGCCCCCATGATTCAATTACCTCCCCCAGGGTCCCTCCCACAACACGGGGAAATTCTGGGAGATAAAATTCAAGTTGATATTTGGGTGGGGACACAGCCAAATCATATTAACATCTTTTTAATGTGTTTTTGACTATTCATGTACCTTATTTTTTGCAGTGTTTATGCAAATACTTTGCCATTCTTTCACTGGATTGTTTGTCTTCTTACTATTCCATTGTTAGAGTTCTTTTCATATTTTGCGTATCAGTCATTTGTTAGATTTGTTTGGCAAATATTCTTTCCCAATCTATGGCTTGACTTTGAATTTTTTTAACACTATCACAATAGCAAAGACTTGGAATCAAGCCAAATGTCCATCAATGATAGACTGGATTAAGAAAATGTGGCACATATACACCATGGAATACTATGCAGCCATAAAAAATGATGAGTTCATGTCCTTTGTAGGGACATGGATTCTCAGCAAACTATCGCAAGGACAAAAAAACCAAACACCGCATGTTCTCACTCATAGGTGGGAATTGGACAATGAGAACACATGGACACAGGAAGGGGAACATCACACACCGGGGCCTGTTGTGGAGTGGGGGGAGGGGGGAGGGATAGCATTAGGAGATATACCTAATGTTAAATGACGAGTTACTGGGTGCAGCACACCAACATGTCACATGTATACATATGTAACTAACCTGCACATTGTGCACATGTACCCTAAAACTTAAAGTATAATTTAAAAAAAGAAAAAAAAAGAAAAATATTTTAGAATTCTGATTGTCAAATTATCACTTTATATTCATTTATAGTTCTGGGAAATTATTGCCCTACTACAATTTCATAAAGACTTTCTCTACGTTTTCTTCTAGAAGTTTTACAGTTTTACCTTTTAGGGTTAAATTCATGAAACATTTAAAGTAAATTCTTATAAATTGTATGAAGTAAAGGTCAAGATTTATTTCTTTTCCCAGGAGAATACCCAGTTGGCCCAGCACCACATGTTCAATAGCCTCACTTCTTAACATTGATATTTGTCCAGCACATCCATGTGCACACATCGATATACACAATTATACATATTTGTATATATATTTTCTGACTCTGCTGGTCCATTAATTTATACCTTAGTTCTTAAACCAAAAGCAAATTCTTGATTAATGTGGCTTTGTAATAAACTTGAAATCAAGCAGTGTAAGTCTTCCAGTTTTATTCTTTTTCTAAAAGTTGTTTTGGTAATTATAGATCCTTTGTATGTGCCCATAAATGTTAGAATCAGTTAATTTTTACAAGAATCTTGCTGAGAAATTGATTAGGCTCATGTTGAATCTATAGACAAATCTGGGGAGAAATTATACCTTAACAATATTGAGCCTTCTGATCTAAGATAATGGTGTATCTCTCCATCTTTTAAAGTCTTCAGTATCTTTTTGGAATGTTGTGTACTTCTTAGTGTATTGGTTTTACTCATATTTTGTTAAATCTATACTTAACTACTTGTTTTTAATGCTATAGTAAATAGTAATTATTAATTTTATTTTCCAATAGGTCATTTCAAAAATATAGAGATCTAGTTGATTTTTAGAGTGAGTTGGTGTCCTGCAACCTGGCTAAATTCCTTTATTAGGTTTTGGTAAGTTGTCTAGGAATTTACACATTATTATCTGCAAATAAAACAGCTTTACTTTTTATTTCAAATATGCATGCCTTTTCTTTCTTTTTCATACCTTATTGCACTGATTAGCACTTTTTATAAAATGTAAAATTCAAGTGGTGAAAGCAAACAACTTTGCCTTGTTTCCTATCCTGGGGGTATATTACTCAGTTTTTAACTATTAAATGTGATATTATCTGTAGATATTATCAGATTGAGGGATCTTCCTTCCAATCCTAATTTGCTGAGAGTTTTTTTTTTTTCCTTTTTTAACATAAGCGTATGTTGATCTTTATCAAATATCTTTCTGTCTCTACTAAGAAGATCATATGTTTTTAATCTCTTTTGTTCCATTAAGGTTGATTTGTTTGATTTTTGAATGTTAAGCCAACATATTCCTAGAATAAACTCCACTTTGTCATACATATTATCCTTTATATTGCTATATCTTTCAATCCCTTATGGTTTGTGCTTTTATATTTTTATTTTTGAAGTATCTGTCAACCATACATCACAGAAGCATTGTGATCTTACACTTTTCTAATGTCTTGATACTTTTATTTTTATATGTAGAATTTTAAACTAGGATCCAAATTTGTATGTAAAGTACAAATCCAGTTTTATTCATAAAGTAAATCATTTTCCAGAATTGTCTAAGAATTTGTTTTCCCCCCATTAATTTGTGGTGCTACCTTTATTATATATAATACTCTCAAATACATCTGAATCAATATCTGTTTTACTCATGATACTTTACTGGCCTATTTTTTATTCCTTATAACAAACCTATATTGTTTTGTTTTATCATTTTATTATAACTTTATATTACATCTTAATTTCTAATGATTTTTCACCCTTTCCTATCAACTTCAGGATTTTTTCAACAAATACACTTACTTCTTTCTAGATTTTTATTATTCTATATAAATTTCATATTAAAGCTCAGGAAGTTTAATAAATCTAACTGTATGTTTTTATAGAATCACATTGTAACTGTAGACTAAAATGAGAGATAGTTTACATGTGTATAATAGTTAATCACCCCGTCCAAGATGGGCTTTCTTTATCCAAATTATCTTCTGTGCACTTCTACATGCTAAACTTTTTAATAAGAAATCTTATTTTTTTTTGTTAAGTAAACTCTTAGATGCATTGTAGTTTTGTTGCCATTGTGAACTGTACTTTATTTTTTACTTAGAATTTCTAGTTGATTATTGCTGGTATTGTTAAATTTTCACTAATATTTAAAGTTTATCATATATATAAACACTGCACCTGTAATCTCAGCACTTTGGTAGGCCAAGGTGGGTGGATCACTTCAGCCCAGGTGTTTGAGACCGGCCTGGGCAACACAGCAAAACACCGTCTCTACTAAAAATACAAAAATTACCCAGGTGTGGTGGCACACACCTGTAATCCCAGCTACTCAAGGAGGCTGACGCAGGAGAATCTCTTAAACCTGGGAGACAGAGGCTGCAGTGAGCCGAGATTGTACCACTGCTCCCCAGCCTGGGCAACAGAGTGAGACTCCATCTCAAAAAAAAATTTTTTTAATAAATAAATAAATTGCTGAACTTACTTAAAAGTAAATTTTGCCTTTTAGTTATATTACTTTTTCAAAGTGATAAGCACATTATCTGAAAATATTAGCATTTTTATTTTCCCCTGAGTTCATCATTTTCTTTCCAGTAAATTAATTTGAGTCTTCAGGTTTTCTTCAGGTATTCTTTTACCTGCTTCCTACTGGTTTCGATATGTTGTGCATGCATCATTCATTATAAATAGTTATTTCCGTTTTCATTGACTCTACAGTGTGTTATTTAAACGTGTGTCTGTGTTTTTGTGTGTGCATGCATGGGCTTACAGATTTTAGCTGCTTAATTTCTAAGTGTATAGATTTTTATTGGACAAAAAAACTGAGTTGATAAATCACATGAGTGTCAAAAAAAGTCTTGATCTGAATGGCAAAGGTAGCAGATTGTTCTGGTTATTCTCTGTATTCCCCGGATACAGTCTTTACCTTTCTCTCTGCTACTGTATACCTGTGAGGCTCACCTCTATGGGCTCAGTCACTCAGGATGCTTGGACCCAGCTTCTGTGTATGGGGAGGTATTATCAAAAGACTAGAGTGTAGGAGGAGAGAAGTAGAGGTATTTATTTCCCCATTCCTTGCTTGCTTTGCTACAATTCTTCCCTGGCTGTAGCCTCCATGGCTGCAGCTCCTAAAGGCTGTCCCTTGACTTTTCTCATCTTCAGAGACAAGGCAAACCATTTTCTCTTATTGGCTTTTCAGGCTTTGAGTAGTAATTTCTTCCTATGGTTGCTGATTTCTCATCATTCTTTTCTGATTTCCTTAACTCTTTCCACATGCCTTTAAAAGGTCTCTTTATTAGCTTTCTTTTCAGTTAAAACCCTTTTTGAGTATGTCCTTTGTTTCCACTCAAGACCTTTACCAATGTATACTCTAACAGGAAATGTCAAATAAAAACATAATAGCACAATTTGGAATCATCAAATGCTTGATTTAAAACACCACCTCAAAGGACAAATGAGAAATTCCATTCCAGTATCCCATCTCCTTAAGCCTTCAGATTCTTTCCTGCATACATCCCCAAGTCTGACACCTCAACCAAAATGACTATGGAACATTGTTGAATGAAGGCTTTAAGTAAGCAACTCAGTAGCAGTTAACAACACTCCCAGGTACTTGAACTATATAGTAAATGAGGACTCCTAAGGGTGTGCCTCCTATCTGAATAAATTTGGCCTGATCTACCCTTTTGGAATCCAATTTGAAAGATCCTGCAACTCTTCTAATGCATTTATTACATCTTCCCAGAATACTGTTTTACTTCCATGTTTGGAATTTACCTTCTTACAGTGCTAGAAGCAATGAAAAGTGGTACTGGAGGGCTATGAGAAAGGGTATCTATGTGTAAGTCAACTGCTTCTAGTGATTTCACAATTTTTTCAATTTTCTTTTTTTTCCCGTAAGAAGACTGGATTACTCAGATTATGAGAAGAGCTTCGAGACGGATATGAGCATTCAAAATTCTCAGATTTCATCTTTGTCTACCCAAATTTCTTCATGCCAGATTCCAGATCATACTCTTCGCTAGCCAATACCCTTACTTAGCATACAAACTTTATGTGATGTCTATTGCAACTCTGAAATGTGTCCATGCATATCTCAAGTCTTTGGATTTTCATCCATGCCTTCTTGGTAGTTAAAAGAAGGGATTCCCTTAATGCCACCTTAAAGTCTTTCCAATTCTTTATGCCTTGAGTTAAGAGGTTAAATCCTTAAGCTTCTTTTTAAAAATATTTTTTCTGTAGGCCCTTTAGTGCAGTTGAAGCAGTTGCTCCACCACCCCATCGTACGTAATCACCATTATCACTGTAGCAATTAAGTGCCTCAATCACTCAATCTCTCTTTACTTTGCCCTCCATCTGTAATTTACTCCATATCATCACCAGGGATAATTTTAATAACTATAATCATAGATTATCAGTGTCTTCATGGAGATTATGTATGTTATTCAAAAATATGAGTAGTTCTATCTCAGTTTCAGTATTTTAGAGTATGAAGGGATGTAGTATTCCTGGTAGTGATAATTCTATTGGTTAGGGTCCCTGTAGGAAAAGACAGTACAGTTTAAAAGGAAATTTACAGAAGTGTGGGCAAGGTCAGGTATCACCAGGTAACAGTGAAACAGCCCAGGACAAGAGACAGTAGAAATCATCTCTCTATGCCTGAAGGATCAAAGAGAGAAACTGGAGTTACTAGAAGCTGGAAAAATTGAGATGCATCATCCACAAGAGTTAGAGCCCTAGAGGAATATAGCCACTGACAGCTTCATCAAACTGAGGGATTAAAAAGACACAAACACCTCAACCTCTCTTTCAGCCCTCTCCTCCCCTACTACTTTCTTTCAATGGCTGGGCCCAGCAAGAATCCTGGGGTCAGGGAAGGCTGGGTAATGCATTTTATTTTGGTCAACTTCTAGGAACACCGTAGAGGATAGAGAAGGGCACAAAATGGATTTGGGTGAAAGTGTGCCACATCTCTTTGTGAAGTCCACTTTGTAAAAGTTGGTAGTCGTTGCCACTGCTCTATGTGAGGATAGGATAATGAGAAATCTAAGTATTAGAGACAATGGTACACCAACTGTAATAGTGTAATAGTCTAATAAGTAAGATTCCTCACCAGTGGCTATTCCAAGCATGGATGCTTTTCACTGTACCTAGGCATCACCACCAAATCAGAGAATTGCCTTTCTCTTCAGCACAAGATCCTGTACTTTCCGGTCTAGCTGGAGGCAAATCTCTTCAAAAGTGATACTTAGCCCTAGGTTGGGTGAATGCTGAGAGTTTGATCAGCCAGGTTACTTCACTGAGATACTCCACCTGATAAATCAGCAGGTGCTTCCATCTGGCCTCCCCTTTCTAGCTGTTACCACTTCTGGGCATAAATCATCTTATATGTAACTCCCAATCACTACAGGAGAATTTCTTAAGCATGTCCTTAGCTCTAGTTTCCCACCAAGTGTGGTCCTGTGACTCTCTTTCATTAGTATTGCATAGTTTTCCTTTCACAGAAAACCCTGCTTTCTTGCTTTCCCCGTGGACACATGTTCATTTTAATATATTTTCTACCATTTTGAGGAAATCTACATTTAGCAGATATTCTTCAATATATCCTCAATCTGTGATATAGAAACATGAGTTCTCAATGCTATGAACATCCTAGTAACATTATCATAAAATAAAAATCCCTTGATTTGGAAATAGACCTATGATAAAAACTCATAAACTGTTCAATTTCTCAATTTTCTTCACTTGTTCATCTGTTCAATTTATGCTTATGGTTGAATGCATCAATTTAGAGGAGAAAACATTGGCTTAACATGATATTTATTTACATAACAGATATTTCTTAAGCAACTACTTTTGTAATGTCCTGTACTGATGGGATTGAAGAAGGCAATTGCTTTACCCCAGAGCAAGTTCAGAGTGAAAAGGTGACAGTACTTCTTTTTCTTAAACAGCCCACTTAGAGGAAAACACGTTTCATAGCCTTAAAAATCAAAAGGAATAGAGACTAAGTTTAAAGTAACATGCTTGCCAATACAACTTGATATGACTTCCAATACCCTTATCCACTTCAAATCTGTAACATTGGTAGTCCATGTTAGGGTGACAATGTTTCCCATATGTATAGCATTAGTCCTAATCCATGTAAATTTTGACTTGTCTATACTAAAAGCTCAGCCAAAGTAGATAATGGCTGAAGATAGGTAATAGTAACAGGTAAATCAAAGGGCATTATGTCAGTATGAATCACATTTTGGGGGTAGCTACAAGAAATTCTATATTGCAATAGACAACCTCACACTGTGATACTTAGTATCTGGTATATCAGAAATATGCAGGTGAAATCCTGTGCTATGGAATCTCACAAATTGTCAGTGCAAAATACCTTTCTAGTGAGCATACTCCCTTGACTTGCCTTAATCCTAATTATCCATCAAAGCCCATCTCAAAACTCTTTTCCATTATGAATTCCTATCTGGCGAACGTAGTTCACAATAATTTCATCCTTCTTTTTGGTGCCCAACTTTGCTTTTTTCTTCAGTCTTTTGGCGTGTCAGCATTATGCAGTTCCCTTTATTCTTGTACTTTTAACAACTTGACATAAGTTCCTTACATCCTAAGTTCTAAAAGGCAGGCAGATAGTACCTGACATGATAATATGTGCATTGCAAGAACACAAGTGTGGTAAAAAACTGAGTAACTATTCATCTCGTCTATCTTTCTATTTATAGTTGTAGATAGCAACTGAGGTTTGGATTTTCTTGGATATGAGGTTGTTTTCCCCAAAATATTCTCATTTACTTTTATTTTTTATATATCTTTAGTATAATTTATAGATTATTCCCTCCTATAATCTTTCATTTAATTGTCAGTTATGAATATGACTAACATTACTTCATATGTGAGATGATTTAAAATAGAGTAAATGCTTATTTTAACTGTGTTTCCTACTTTACCCTTTCCAGTTGACAACAGATAAGTTATAACATCCTTTGTCCATAACAATATGGTTTGTACCCCCATATTTATACTTCTGAATATATGGAATGCAAAATTGTATTAAAGAAAACTTGGTCTTACTTTCTAATATTTCTATGTAGTTAATTTTTTTCTATTAAGTTACAAGCTCTAAATTTAAGAATGTGTCATATTTTACACTATCCTTTCTACTCACGTGCTGGATGCATTAAAATTGTAGGTGGGTTAAAAGGAATGTTTCATAAATACATAGAAGTCTTACAATCACACCATACGGAACACATGATAGCTCCTTAGAAAGCAGCTATGAGTTTATTTTCGTAGTATTCTTATACTTAGCCAGGAAAATTCTCCTGGAAAATGTCTAGAGATACCATGTCTACAGTTAACAGACTTATCAACCTGGCCCAATGGTTAGTAGCTCACTGTTCCCTTTCTTTCATTTTTCCTACCCTCCATCAGTCCCTTCTTGTCACCAGGCAGTCAACCTAAAGTGGATACTCCAGTGGCTGAAGTTTCTGCTTTGGGGATCATAAAGTTGTCATCCCAATAATTTAAGGACTCTTTGGAAGCCATTTGGCTATAAGATATAGCTTGATAATTACAGTCATGTAAGGCAGCTAAATGTTGAGGGTACCTTGAAAGTTGGTCTCCAATCTATTATTTCATTTCCTTCCAGTCATATCCATTAAGATGGTCCAAAGACCTGGTTCACATTTTCTTTATGTATTGCCCTTTAATTATACTGGTATTTCATCTCCCATATTTCTTTATGCCATTGATACTAATAGCCATGTCTGAATTTTTCTCCCTCAGACTATGGCTAGATACTACATGAAAAAGAGGCATGTGTAATGTTCCATTTTAATACCAGTTGGAAAAAAATACTCCCTTTTTTCTTCCCCAGTTTACTTTGGCATGATCCATTTATTGCATTTTTTTTTTTTTAGTATTACCTCACTTTCAAGTTCTTGCATCCATCTTTCTTTTATTCCTTGTATTTTCAGGCTTCACTGTCCTATACTACTTCCTCGCCCTATAAAACTTTGTTATAAAATGAACACAACTCAAGATATTACCTTTCAAAGGCATTTACCACCTCATTCTTCTCCAGACAGTAATTATTTAAAACAAAACAAATGATTTTGGGCCGGTTGCCGTGGCTCATGCCTGTAATCTCAGCACTTTGGAAGGTGGAGGTGGGCAGGTCACTTGAGGCCAGGAGTTCGAGACCAGCCTGACCAACATGGCAAAACCCCGTCTCTACTAAAAATACAAAAATTAGCCAGGCATGGTGGTGGGCACCTGTAGTCTCAGCTGCTGAGGAGGCTGAGGCACAAAAATGGCTTGAACCTGGGAGGCAGAGACTGCAGTGAGCCGAGATCATGCCACTGCACTCCAGCTTGGCAACAGAGTGAGACTCTGTCTCAAAAAAACAAACAAAAAAATGCTTTCCAGTGAGAGCAAACGTGAGACACTGAAAAGGCAGTTGAAGAGAGAAGTCTTTTAGATCTTTAAATATTTTAAAAGGCAGTACTTCAGTATCTCTAGTGCCAATCTTATAGTCATATGGGCATTTCAGGTATAGTGCTTTGATTTAAGAAATCCATGAAGACGAAGCTTATACATCTAGAAAAAGAGGCTCCCTCCCAACTTGCCTTCCTAGACCCAATTTCAGGAATGGGAGAATGAGTCCCTTTCATCCACAAGGAGTGTCCTCCATGCCCAGTGAGTTGGCTCCCTGCTGTGTCTCAGAATTCAGGCTCTGACTTGCCATCAAAAATGTTATATCTATGTTGTTTGTGATTTTAATTAGTTTTCCAAACATATGATGAACTAAATTGAATAAATCAAACTGACCTTTAAATTTCCAGAATTATAGCCTATTTAAATGTCCATAATACTGCAATAATAACCCAAGTTAATAACCATTTCACTTTCCTCCCTGAGAGTCTCTCTGGGTGATACACAATGTTATTAATTTTGGCATGATTACAAATTATTCCCATAGTTCAGGTTTAATACAGTATTGATGTTGTTGTTAATATAGATTTGTCAGTAAAGATACAAAACTGAGTCAGTCCCAGCTAATGTCAGTTTTAAGGTTAAAAAATAAAGAAAGCTAGCTTATATTGCAGGAAGGTTGGGAAAACCCATAAGACCAAAGTTTCATTAGAAAGGTATTTGGCTTGGTATAAGCAAGGACTCAAAATGATAAAATAGCAAAAAAGGCATTGTAAATCTGTTAGCAGTTTAAGTTTTTTAAAGTATATATTGGCAATTTCTCTATTTTTCCAAATTTCTTGGGAGATTGATTAAATCATGTGACAATTTTATGAGGATTGTCAAAAAGTAAGTTTAGAAAGTTAATCATCAGGGTCCAGTGAAGAGTATAATAATAATTCACACCCTACTATTTTGTGAAGCAAAGCAAGGCAAACAAAACTAACTATATATGAGTGCTTTGGAAGGAACAAGAAAAAAAATCATGTATGAAGACTGGTATGGCAAGGCAATCTGGTACAGTGGTGACTGAGTTGCACTGAAGTGTGAACTTGGATTTAACCTTTGGCATTGCTTTGCTTGTGTTAATTACTAAAAAATCTTTGTGCAAGATATTTCATCTGAAATGTCATGTTAAAAGCATTAATATCTCAGAAGTTTGCAAAAAGTACTTGAGATAATGCATGAAAAGTGTTTAATGATGCTTGGCCCATAGTAAATGTTCAATGCATGCAAGTTCCTATTAACAGGCTACCACTATGTGTGAAAACAGACATCACTTTCATCACGATAATGTCAGACTGAGAGAAATAAAGTAATTTCCACAAAGACTCATAGTTATTAAAATTTGTGATGGGATTAAAACCGTATCATTTCTAATTACTCAATCAGTAACCACGCTACCCATTTGCTTTGATTGTTTTCTGAGGTATGATCCCAGGTAACGTGTATATGGATTTTGCTTTTTTTCCACATAAAAATTAAGTTTTCAGGATTTCTGCTTTCAGTATTCAAATAAACCTTTACAATAAGACAATTAGAAAAAGTGGACTAAATGCTTTCCTTCTTAAAGGTATTAGACAGTTATAATGAAGTGGGAATATATGGGTAAAATATTAGGACAATGGAGTAATTTAGAAAGATTAACTCAGTTTTTGGATCTGCATTTTCCTTAAAAGGGTCTACCGATATTAGAAGAGGTGGTGAAGAAGCTGCCTAATACTATTCTTTTTACTTTGTATGTATTTGAAATTTTCTATGATACATAAAATAAGAAAAAAAAGCTTTCCATGAATGTATCCTAACCCGCTTTTCAATCCCAGGCCCTACTGCTTATTGATCCTTGAACATTGTTTGCTGTTTCCTTTGCCTGGAATGTCAAATGTTCATTTTGCATAACAAAATATTTTCATTTTTCATAGTCTGAAGTCATTTTCTCCATGAAGTCAAGATTGCCACACAAATGAAAATAGCCTCACTGTGTCCACTTGCCACTTTATTTGACTTTCCCATTGCACTGAACGTATTCCCTTTCAAGTATGCATATTTGTGTATGCCTGTCACTTCATAAACATTTTTTTACAGAGAAAGAACTATGACATTCTCATAGTTTATATCCCTCTGCTTTAACAAACACAGGGGTAAATTAATTTCTGTGGAACCTGAAGCTTATGCATTTGCAGAGACGAACTCTTTAGTAAAAAGAATACAAAAATACAAATAAGAAATTAGATAGAGTGCTTGGGAGACTGTCATGCAAGTTAGGATTCCTGAAAACCTTAGCTTCGATATATCTACAGTAAATCCATTTCAGCTAAACATATTACAAAAAGTGTTTGGTTTACTGAAGTAAATCCTAATTAAGGGGACCATGTTCATCAATGTTTCAAAATGTTTTCTCTGTGATATTTTTGAAACTTTTCTCTATTCCTCTATATCTAGACCTCACAGTACTATGAGACAGATGAAGTGGCATCAGTGGGTTCTACATTTTACATTCCGGGCTTCCTCCTCAATTTTGTAGCTTTTTTTCTTTAAAGATGATTAACTCTTACACATGTCATCAAATAGAATAAAATTTTCCTAAGTAACCTGTAAACATAGGGCAAAGCAGAGTATACTACAGACTTTTTACTCCATGTTTGACTATTGAGTTTTTAAGCCTCACTCTTTCCTTTTCCTCTTCCTCTCCACATCTGGGCAATCTGACACAAAAGCCCATTTGCTGTCTTCCTTGGCCACAGCAGAACATCCAAACAATAAACACTCCAGCCCCCATACATGTAATACCCACTCACGCCAGCCTCTTCACCACAACAAAATCCCAGGCAAGCCTCTTTTCCGTGATCTCTCAAGAGATGAACCATTTTCATACCTGCCTGAGAGCCTGCCTTCTGTTCTCCCCAGAAAGCCTCATTATGTTTTAAATCTTCTCATACCTTCTTGCTGTGTGTGTATTTGTCCGTGTGTGTGTGGCAGCATTAGCCTTGACATTTAGATCAAACCTGAGGGCCAGAGGTGTGGTCCATCTCATTTCAGTAGTATGACCATGACATGGGAAAATTTCCTTATTAATGTAGAAAAAAAGACTGGTTTAATGAAGATTTAAATCTTGAGTATAGTCATATAAAATACAGATTTTATTTGAGAAGTAGAATGTTGGAGGTCACAAATTCCAAACTACACATAGATTTTATCTCATAGAGAGGAATGTGTTGAAGAAAAGTGACATGATTTGATGTGTGTTTTAGTAAGATGCACTGGAAAGCTACATGCTAATTGGAAGTAAGCAAAAGGGACATGAGAAAGAACAAGAGGATCTTGACAACACAGAGCCTGAAGGATAAAGGGGTAGGATTAGGGGAAACTCCAGGTTGCAGATGCTGGTTCCAACAAGGACAACAGGTGGTTGATGCACAATGGTCAAAGGGTATATTAAGATCAAGCTGGGCAAGTGCCATCATATGTGGGTGGGACCAGGGTAATAGGAATGGAAATCCAATCAGTCATCCAGTAAAAGTGTTTAGTGGCACAAGTCCTACCCCATAGACAAGAAATTTCATAACAGTGATCATACAGACAATAAACAGGATCTACCTCTGAGAAACGTGACTTCATATAAGCTAGACTAGGTTCCAAATTCCCTACTGTTAGGATCCCATCCTATACCGTGTCTAGGGATCTAAGCAAGGCAAGAAGTAAGACCATGAGAGGAGTATCTAAGTAGAATCCCAGTGTGATGAACTGGGCTAATAGAAGAAAGCCACAGGGAATACATGACTGGGGGCCACTTGTGAAACTGAGCATCTTCTTAGCCATTTAAGGTATGAGTGACACGTCTGAAAATTTAGGAAGCAGAAGAAAGAGGAGATGTCAAATAATTTTAGAGTGGAAAACACTGGAGTTCTGTTGTTTGTTCAGCTTCAGAGCCATGGGTTTGGAGAACATGGCTGCATTCTATGATTTAATGACGGTGAAACTCAAATTAACTGAAGGCCGAATCCTAAAATTCTATTTTGTACATCTTCTGATAGCTTACCTCTAGAAAGCTACCTATCTATCTACGTATCTACCAAATTTTTCTAACCTCAAAAAACTTCTAGTTTGGGGAGATCACTGAATATGACTTGTATCTTTAGATCTTTAGTATTTACATTTAGGAAAAGATAATAGTACAAGGTATGATCAAAGTAGTGCCAACCAAATGAGACCACAAATGCTGAGGAACACCGAAGAAGAGAGGGCTCATCCAAATACAGTCACTCTTGTTATCAACTGGAGATAGATTCAAAGGGTAGTAATTTTTAGGGTATTTGTAGTAAGTCCCAATAGTGGTTGTATCAATTAAGATGTCTAATAAAATAGTGAACTATTATTGGCTTCAACAAATGCCGTTTACTTTCTCACCCAGCAAAAGGTCCAGTGGTTGATGATTGCTACGTGGATATCAAGACTTTGAATCTGGATCTTTGTCAGTGACTTATCCTTCCTTTCATAGTCATAAGATGGATGCAGCCATTTCAGGAATCATTTCTCAAGTCCTCATACAAAGGCAGGAATTTGGCAAGTCCATCACCTTATATGTCTCTCTTTTATCAGAAAGGAAAGTTATTTCTGAGAACTTCCTTCCAGCAAAATCTTCCTTGCATCTTTCTGGCCAGAATTGCATATCCTGCCCACTCATAAATGAGCTGGTGATAGCCAAAAATATTCACCCCATACTGAAACAATAATGGGGTATTGTTAGCAATAAAGAGGAAAATGGCCTATAGGTGAGCGAACAACAGTCTCTATACAATAGGCTTCAGCATTTCCCTTTCCAGTTAGCCTTTACGTTTAATGATGGTGACTAGTGCTTCATCTAAGAAGTTCCTGGTAATAAGAGTTTCTGATACAACAATTGGCCAACATTAGACATAATTTGGGGCAGTGAGGCCTGCCTAAATTCACACTTTAGAAGCAACCATCTGCTTTACTTAGTTTATCTACAAGTGGGGACAAATCTGTCCTCCTTTAAATACCTTCTCAGAATTTGCTTCTTCTGTGTACCTTTCAAAGATTGACTGTCTCTCTGGTGAACCCAGCCCTTATCTCTCTTTCCTTGGTTAGCTCACATTATGCATAGCAATGCTTGGCCAAACACCATAACTCCTAGCAAGCGGAGATTTGTCTCCTTGTTCTGTCAGAAGGTGAGCCTTTTCTTATGCTCTGCAAATGAATAATAAACATGAGTCAAGTCAGCCTACTGCTTAGCAGATAATGAACTCACCTTTCTTCTATATGTGGACTCCAGAAACCACTGCCCAGAGATATCCAGGGATATATTTTTAGGTACTAAAATATTTGGGGAGATATTTTAATTATTTATTGGCATATGATGTATAGTGGAGAAAAGGAAGAATGTAAAGACTGTTCTCCTTTTCCCTCTTCCTTTTCTCTCTTCCCAAAACCCTCTACCCTATAGAATTAAGGTTGACTTTCCTATGTGATATTAAAATCCCAGTATATTTCTCCAAATGTGTCCAAAGTGCAGCTTAAGAATTTTGAACATAATAAAAGCATGAAAAACACCATCGTACCCATCTTCCCCATTTAACACTCAATAATAAAGAGTCAAATATGCTTTGTTCTGGTGAATAAAAATGAAAATTGTTTGCTTGCCTATCCTTTGTGAGCCATTCCTAATGGGAAGACCATAGTTAAGTCAGCTGAATCTATCTCTGACCCATTGCTTTAAGGGAGAAGCAATGTGAACTCTGCCAATGAAATCTACTGTCTTGAGTTCTTTATCTGTAATTGTCTTTCTTTTGTTTGACTTACATAAGTTGTACTGCATATTGGGTACTCAGAAAGGCACAAGGGTGTCCAAAAGGATCACACTATATAGAAGCAATCAGCACTATTTCATTTAGGATAATTTGAGTAGCACTAAAAGTTACACCCTGATCAAAAGCAGCAGCTCTGAAAGCCTCATTGCTACTGTTGCTATGAGCTAGTTAATATAGCTATTCTATGCATTATATAGATTAATCATACACTTTGTAAATCTAGTAACATCAAACCCCTGCTCAGAAACCTTCACAAGCTCCCCATTACCAAAGCGTTTTAGTAACTATATGATTCAACCCAGTAAATAAATTTTACACTTTTTGTCTTTTAACTAAACCAGGTACATACATGGTTAAAATGAAAGAGTTAAACCAATTATGAACATGAATGCAACTTAATAGTACCAACATGACCAGAGAAAAAACTGATTCCACAACAAACTGATGTACCATTAAGGCTTTCATTAATAAATTGTGTTATATCTTGAAGTTTGTATTTTTTTATTGATTACTTTGAAGTTACACAATCGTAATCTAAAGATTTATACTCAAGACGCTTAAATTAGGGAGACTGTTCTTCCTTTTCTTTGGATAATATCAGACAGGAAAGATGTTTTCCTCATGGAAAGAGAGCTTTTGGAATGATCCAAAGTTTCCAGGACCCTCTGAAGGCCTTTCCAATTCCAATAATGAGAAAAAAACAAGAAAAATACAATCAAGTTGTGCAAAGCCAGTAGCTCTGTTACTGACTGGCACCTCTATCTCTCCAATTTTCATCCAAATAAATAACTTATGATACAAGATAAAAATACCTTATTTTGAAAATAGCTTCATATAAGAGGTTAAAAACATATCCCAATAATTTTGTTCAAACTTGCTTTACATCCCTGGATATTTTAATCTAAAACTCACATCATGTAATTCTTCTCCTCTAAAATAACCTCATTTCTTTAAATATTAAAATTTCTTTTCCCCATTAGTAAAAATAAAATCATGTAGGTGCAATTTTGTTTTCTTTATGCTTTGGGGACTAAATTTAACTAATTAACATTTTAATAACATTCCACCATTTGTTCCTGCAGAATTAGGGGACTTGCTCAAGACAGATTAAGATATACTTTGAGCCATCTGGAATTCAAGTAGCTTTGATTTTAAGTAAGTACTTATTTTCTTATATGTTTGTGGACATTTCAAAGTGATTAAAATACAGGCCATAAGGTAAATGGACAGAATAGAATTTATTTATTTTCATTATACTTCTCACACTCAAAAGATTCTGAATTGCTTCCCTAAATGGGATTTAAATTTTGGTGAGTATTGTGGCAGAACAGGCACTCAACGTAATATTGTGAAATCTCACCAATTCAGAATGATTTGAAGGAACTCAGTCTGTATAGAAAAGCTTTTAAATTATAAGATTGTCAAGAACTAATATTTTTATTACCCTTAAATCTACATGTAGTAACTCGAACAAAGTATTATTGCTGATAGAGATGCCAGGGAACCCGGTTTAATGAGTGACTAAGGACTAGTTTTGTGTAAAAGACACATTGAGAGCAAGAGTCTGGATGGGACATAAACTTCCTAGATGGTAAAATAGAAGGCAAAGTTGAGATGAGACTGGGACAAGAAAGAAAGCATTGAATATGATGCTAGGCTATAAGACCTACAGATTAAATATATAAGCCAGATGGCTTCATCTGATAGAAACCCAAAGCCAGTTTAGGCCACCAAGAGAATTCCTTGTTATAGGACAAATAGGACTGGCCAAAGTGATCTTCCTTGGTAGTTGTGGGCATAGAATTTTTAAAAAGACATTGAGAAAGGATAATTATATAAAATAGTTGGTTTGAGGCCTGACTTACCTGAGAAATTTTGTGGTATGCAATGGCCCAATTCCAGGACTCCTGATTAGGTTTGGTGCTATGCCAATCCCACAGCAATAAGTCTCCTAAAATGGAATTCCAAATTCATGGATAGCCGAGAACAGATTCCATAACTCCCTGGAAAGCCATGCCAATCCATGTGTACCTTACCTCTATTTGTCTTAACCCATTACTTTGTCATAATTCCTTCTTTTTTTCCAGCCCTTTTTCTTTCTCCTATAACCTCTTTATTTTCTCACCTTCCTTCTCTATTTTTATCCTCATTTGTCTTTCTGATTTACACTCACCAAGGCACAGATGCCCTTATTTTCTGTATTTATAAGTGCAGTAATAATATACTCATATTTATATCACATGTAATAACTTTCAAGTGTTTTCTATTTGTGGCCTTACTTAATCTTCATAATAATGTTGGCAACTATCATTTTCCATCATTTTACAAATGAAGAAACTCAAGTCCAACAACTTAAGAGGCTTATTCAGAATTATAAGAACATTTCCTGATTCGACTTCATTGGGCATAGGAAAAATTAGTTTTAACTGTGGAGAATTTGAGAGAGAAAATGAATAAGAAGGGTCAAAGACAGCTATGGAAAAGCAAGGCTCTCCTGGAATGTTTCTTTAACTAGATCTGAGTTTGAAGGGGTTTTCCTCCATTAAAAAGATTTTGATATAATAAAAGTGTCACTTAACAAGTATTGATTTATTGAAATTTCTTGGGTATAAAGTAAGAAAAACCAAAATTCTGAAATTACAAATTTGCTTAAAATTTCTGAGTTCTACTCCCTTCCTTACACATATAGCTCATTCTAACAGGAAAACCAATAGGACAGTCTGCAAAGAGCAGGACATTTGGAATTGGAAAGTCCTGAATTTCAGTCTTCAAAGAAATTACTTAAAAACTTCTGAGTCAATTTGTTCATAATTGAAAGGGGAAATAACAACTGCTGGATATGGTGGTGGTAAGGGACTATATAAACCTATACATGTGGAGCCCAGCGCTATCGCTGGCATAGAGTACTTTTTGTACACCAGCTGTTAATGTCTCTGCTGACTCTGAAATTTGCTGGGCCTTGACATCACCTTATGGACTACAGGTTGGGCCCCACAATTTTCATCACAAATATTTAACTAATTTGTAGCTGGAAAGCAGCCAGAAACAATATATAATTAAATGAGCATAATTGTGTTCCAGTAAAATTTTATTTACAAAAAACAAAAAAATACAGTAACCCAGACTTGGCCTGTGGGTCATGGCTTGCCAACTCTTATCCTGGCTCCATGGCTTACAGGGATTTGAGGGTGATGATAGAAATGTATAGTAGACAAAATGGAATGTAACGCTCTAGAAACTTATTTATTACTAATATAAATTTCAAGATATGAGAATCTTTCTTTGAAACATGCCACTTCCTGCTAAATGCCAAGTTTTCTCTTTCTTTCCATCTTTCTTTCTGTCTGTCCATCCTTCATTCCTCCCTTCCTCCCTTCTTTCTTTCTTTTCTCTCTCTCTTTTTTTTTTTTTTTTTTTTTTTGCCAAGCTGGAGAGTGCAGGTGTGCAAGCTTGGCTCGCTGTGAACTCTGCCTCCTGTGCTCAAGAAATTCTCCTGCCTCATCTTCCCAGGTAGCTGGGATTACAGGTGTGCACCACCATGCCCAGCTAATTTTTGTATTTTTAATAGAGACAGAGTTTCACCACGTTGGCCAGGCTATTCTCGAACTCCTGACCTCAGGTGATCCACCTGCCTCAGCCCCCCAAAGTGCTGGCATTACCAGCATGAGCCACCAAGCCGGGCCCAAGTCCCAAGTTTTTGAACATGTTCCAGGTTAATCTAGGCTAGCCATGGCTTCTCTGACTTGCATTCCATCTTCACAAGGATCAAAGAAAAGTAGTCAGGAATGAACAGACAACAGAGCCTGTGAAGTAGGCAATTTTTCTTCGGAGTTATATGTGTACCTCTCTAAAGTAGGAGGGTCTCTTGAACAGTTCACTGTTTCTGGAATCAGTTTGACAAAGTATGACCATCCCACACCAGTTCTACCATTACCAAGGTTAGCACAGTTGCGGAAAATGCTCAACTACATGATTCCTTAATGCTGAAATGTTTACCTTCTTTCCCATTTGAGAAATAGCCATCTACCTTCCCGAGATGTTTGTAGGTATCACTTTCGGTATATCACTTCTTATCCAAACCCTTCTCTGATTACCCTTGTCACAGGTGGGTGCTCCTCCTTTGCGCTATTATATTACTTATCTAAATCACATTGTCTTGTCCTTGATTATATATTGATATGTATCTTTTAATTGTAATATTTCCATAAGTTGTAGCTCCCCATTTTGATTGGAGTAAGCTGAGTGTAAGGGTGGAGACTTTTCCTTCTCTTCCCTCCCCTATACCTAGATTAGGGACAGAAACATAGTCTGTGTTTAATAAGGCATGCATGTTTGATCTAATGGGAAATAGTAGTCTGAACACTGTTGTTATTCTTTCCTAGTTCTGTGGTAGCCCAGGCTAATGGAGCCCATCTCCTTGGGTGCTAATTGTTGCCTGTTCCAAGTAGAGTTTCAACAGTCATCTCAGCAGTGACTAGTGCTGATACTGCAGCCATAGCTCACAAATGTATGACATCAAATGCAACGAAGAGAAGGAGAGTGTGAGGAAACATTTTCTTCACCTTTTCCCATTGCATTCTCAATGTGTATCCCACAGAAAAGCTGACTTCATTCACCTCTGAATAGGCAAATCTCCTGGATATCCAATGGCTCTGATAAGGATCATTTTTGCAAGGCTGTCCTAGGTGCATTTGGAGATGCAGAAGATCAAGATTTAATTAACTTGGTGACTGATGTGAACAGAGGTCTTTGCCTAGAATCCACATTTCACACATGGTTTAAGACCTGACCTCACCAGCACTTTGGTAGATGGTTTATTGACCCTCCCACTGTTACTGGCCTTTTAACTCTGTCTTCCCCCAGGTGAGAGTTTTGTTGAATAAACTATGAATTAAGCAAAGGCCTTTTGCCAACATTTTGTTACCATGCCTTTTATGATGGAAATATTCAGTCCAATGACTTTGGTCAACAGCTCTCCAACTTAAAAACCTTAAGAAATTTTAATAGTAAGCATCTGTCCTATTTTACTCATTAACATTTCAGACCTTTTAAAGTCTTTTAACATTCTCTCTCATTAGCTCAGCAGTATAAAGTATGCAGGGTATGTTTAATGGTAACTCCTTTTTAAGTAGTAATCTCAAGGCTAAAGAAATGTGAACTATGAAAATCACACAGTAAGTTGGCAGTGGAGTCTAGCCTACATTTCAAGTCCCTGTCCCTTAAACTCATGTTATCCCCAGTACATTGTACCTCTCCTCCATTACCAACCTGTGATTTTAACTTTACACAGCATTAATAGTCACTTTATTTCCTATCTCATATATGAGAATTATTTACTTATCTCTATTAACTAGCAAAAATATTTTTTTCTTGAGGAAGGCAAATTTATTTGCTGATAACTAATGTAATTTCAATATAGAGCAGAAAACAGAAAGGAACTTTCTCTATAAGAATATAATTCTCTACTTCCATTTTAGAAAATTGAGTTTATTATAGATTCTATATGCTTAAAATATTTTGAGATTATAAAACATCTTCCCTGAAAGGAAGGGAAGCATGTGTGAAGGTCCTAAACCTAGGTAAGGATCTGAAGAGTATCTCAAGAAAAGAAGGAAGTTGGGGAAGAATAGATTATTCATTGAATTTTGGACATGCCAATCATCCCAGTTCCGAAAATACTTCTAAAGTAGGGGTGCTCTGAAAGTAATCAGATTTTGAGTAGGAGAAAGAGAGAGCCCTTTGAAACAGAAAACAGTGAATATCTATGCTAACCCCGGTAGGAACCTAATAGGTAGTGCAGCATCTTCTGAGACAATGCTTCTCAGCTTTGGAGCCCTAGGGCCAACAATGACACTAGGAATAAGCAGCAGAAAAGGAAATGGGAAAGACTAGTGTCTCTGGAATTCCACTCACATAGTCTGTCCCAGAGAACAGGAGTCCTGAGAAATGCTCCTTCCTAAAAGGGTTTTTGGTCAAATAATATGGAAATACCAGGTGCTATAGCCCCCTCCTGAAGACTCAAAATTCAAACTAACATCATATAATTAAAAACCCTGCAGGAAAAAAATAAAATGCAAACATGTTTCACTATTTTAATTAGAAAATACTTCACATATACTAAAAGTCACAGAGTAATAAAACACCCATATACTTGTCACTCAGATTAAATACAGATTACCATTTTACTTTCTTGCTTACCATGGTTTTTTCTTTAAGAAAAAAGTATGTTTCATATACAATGGAATCCTCAAACCTTTCTCTCCTCCCTCTTTAGAGAGTGTTAATCCCCCGTTCAAGTTTTAACTTTGATTAATCCAGCACTTCCCAAACATGTTTACTCACAGAATCTTCTTCTTATGTAACATCTATTAACAGACCATGGGAGATCTGAAGTAAGTTTATAATTTTGGAACACTGATTTAAGATTCCCATATGTCTTTTTAAAAAAACCAATCTGGTGAATATACTTCAGACAGAGAGAAATGGGTCAGAAAAGAAAGAAATGAGTTTGGGGCCAGATTGAACAATAATTTTTAGGGGAATAAAAGCTGCAAAGTGAGGCCTCCACTGTAAAGTCTGGCAATCAGGGGTGACTTCCACAAGCCAGATATGAAACTCTCTCCCTTTCTCAGGGTATCAACCAAGGGTAACCCCAGGAAGGCTTATCTGGGGATAGATGGGATACTCCAGGGTTCACCCTGGAAAAAAAGAGAGACAAATTCTGAGTAAAAATAAGCAGACTGCAGACTTCTAGAACTAGAAGCAATCCAGACGGATGTCCAACCTCCAGGTAAAATCTGCAAGGCCTCATATAGTCTATGCAGATAGGGTGCCTGTGAGAGACTCAGTCCTGAGGTCATCTACCTCAGAAAACTCTACTTCTGCTCTCAGGAACACATCTCAATGCCCCTCTGTGTTCTCCAGCGGTGGGGTGGGGTGGGGGCTCCCCTCCATCTTCCTTAGCCCCCAGCTATTTTGGTTGAAGATATTGGTTTACATTTTAGTCCATCTCACCCTCACTGCAGACATAAGGAAATGAGTATATCCATCCACTCATCTCAGATGAGCCCAGTTTTTTTTTTGAAGTGCATTAAACGACAAGGGAGCAGCAACAAGTACATTCTGAGCAGGGAGTAAAGAAAGCTGAGTTAGTTACACTTGCAGTAAATTTGCACAGAGATAACCTACACTCTTGGCTGTGGGCAGTTCTTCAAATGCTATAGAAACTTTTTAAATATAGTTCATCAATTATCAGGAGGAGCTAACTGCTTTGAGTGCCTTTGGCAGCCCCTTAGACTATTTTTCACTCGCCCAGTGTTTCCACTTTTGTTTCCCCTGTGACAATGCAGTGTGAGAGAAAGAGCACACATTTAGCAGGTCACAAGGCTGTGATCTGATCTACCACTTACTAGATCTTTGACTTTAGGGAAGGCACTCACCTCTGAACAGGTGTAACTATGTCTTCCCATAGATTTAACATAGGATTAAATGAGTCAATGCATGTGATATGCTTATCTTAGTGCTTAGCAAGTGATAGATCCATGAGGTTACAGCTATTTTAATTACTGTTATCATTATAAATAACTGTAGAACAAAATGGGCTATTTGTTTAGAGATAGCAAGGCATGGTTGTTTTAGAGAGTGGGAGGTAATATAAGAATCTGCTTGAAATGTTTCCAGTCAGAAGAGACAGAGTAGAGGACACTGATAAAAAAGAGAGAAAAGGGGCAAACATTTGTGACCTAATGGGGTCAGGGAAGTGAACAGTTTAACTAATATTTAATTAACACTTCACCAGCCTGAAATAGAGATACAAGCCTGCAGTTGATCTGACACATAATGTTAATGTGTTATTGGATACTACTAAGTATCTCTTTGTCCCCAACCTCTCTTCTCCCTGGGAATATGAGAGAAACTGCAAGGCACATGGGCATCTCTGCCCAGGCTCTTGTTTTATCCTTCTGTGAACCTGCAATATTAGGAGAAGAGTATGCTGCTGCCTAATCTACTGGCTTAAAAGAAAGTCCCTGATCACATTCTATATGGCATCACGGAGGAGGCAGGAGGATGGGCATGATGACAGCACAAGATACACTGGTCCAGGTGTCCCAGCCAGCCCAGCAGTGGCCCTGAGTATGCTCCATTCACACACACCCTTGTACCAGTCTAAATCTTCTGCACAGGTGCTTGTTCAAGTCTTCTCACTTCTCCATTCTTGCCTCTTTTCCTTTTCCTTCACCCCTTTTTTCTTCCACATAAGAGTGTTCAAGTCACCCCTCTTCTGGGAATTTCTTACTGAGCCCCTCAGCCCATGAACTTTTGTAGACAGCACTTACTGTGGCAAGCACAGTTTAGCACTTAACACCTGCCTGGCACTGGGATTGAATGATCAGCTGTACCCATATCTCTTTCAATAGGATTGTAAGCTCTGTTAGGGCAGAAACCATATCTTTGCATTTCCTTAACCTGCTAGCACAGAAGTAAGCACAGGAAAACTAATTAATAAATTCCCATGAAAAGGAATGTTTAGGGACCGAAGCTATGGCCAGAAAATTCTCTAGGGACATAAATAGTTTTAGAAAACTCCAAGTTCAAATACATTCTCCTTCACAAATGCAGTTACAAAGGACCTCCAGTGCAGACCCCAGAGAGCCTTCGAAGATATCTGTCATGTGAGCTTGAAATGCAGCATTGTCATTATTCAGAGAGAAAATAGAATCACTTATGAGATCATGGCTCATTGTCAATTCTCTATATATTTGCATTTATTGTGACAGATGCTGTCAAATCTCATCCTAGCTCTATTATTCTACAGAAATAGATTGGCCCTCTTATGCTATATAGTAATAATTAGGATAATATCACCCACTAACTCTCCATGGCCCTTCCTATCTGGAAGGCTCAGAGAAAGCTTTGATGATTGCAAGCCTGAACTCTACCCCATCAGTTTGAACAGGACCCTCTCTTCCTCCAAAAATTTTATTTTTGACTGAAATATTTTATAGGTTATTCACATCCCAAAGGGGATTTTTTTTGAAAGTTTGAGATAATGGGTTTCAGCCATCTTGACTTAAAGCAGAATGAATAAATGCATTTTCTCCACAGAAAATTCATAATGCCTTAAGCTGAGTTTGTGCCTATGACATATTCTTAACCACCTACGGAATTGCTTTCTCTTCATTTTTGAGGTTAAATGGGAAGCCTGGAGCCTATAGTAGAATTCCACCATATGTGCTGGTGGAAAATTAAAAAAATAATAATAAAGAAAAAGCTACAGTTCTGTAGTTATCAGGCAGCACAGAGAAAACAGTAAAATTTTCCAAGAACTTACTGTCATTTTTTTTGGTCAGGTGCCCACTGGTTACCTACCATCTGCAGGCCTCTACATTATAGAATTTTTTTGTCCTAGACTGAAAATGTAGTGATTGCTTATTTATCTTCTTAGGAGTATTTATATTTTAAGGAGGAAGAAAGCATGTAATATGTTGGACTGGTATCTGTGATTTCTCAATGATGTTCCATTTGAAGGCATTATGGATGACTTAAAAGTCATCCGTAATGATGATCCACGCCAATCAGATGGGTGGAGAGAGGAAGCAAGCCAGATTGGACAGGATAGGGGCTGAGGAATATTATCTCACTGTGGAAGAAGATGCAGTATTCAGGAGCTCAGTGGTTGGCTTCTCGACATCAAGTTAGAAGACAAGGCTCAGCCATGGCCCCAGGTCATGGGGCAATAAGCTAATAGTCTGGTATCTAGGAAGTAAGATTGGGAAATATTTTGATCTATGGCAGGAGACTTGGCAGTGAAGAGGAGTCCAGTTCTAGGTCTATCATTATGGAGGAGAACTCAGAGAAGATTGTCAAGCCATCAGTCTTCCAGATGGTTCAAAGCCAAAAGTAAGTCTCAAGTGACAAGGTGGAGATTGACTCCTGGGGACTAGAGGGCATCAGGTAGAACGGTCAAGCCACACACCTAGGAAAGGAGGTAGGTAGAGCAGTAGCTTCAACCAGCAGGCTCTGCAAGTCCTGGGAGCAACAAGTCTGGCTCTTAGGAGCATCAGGACAACTCTGAAAGCCACAGGTTAACTCAGCTGCCATGCCTAGGTCCTGAGACTCCGCCCGAGAATGTGCCCAAACATTCTCCCTTGCCTCCTGCATTGGCTTAGGAATTGTGTGGGCTTAAGTCACAGATAGAGGCTCTCAGGGGTGTTAGCCATTAGGAATGAGTCCCAGATTGACAGTGGGTAAAGAACCTAGATCTCTGATAAATCTTTTCAAACTGAGACATCTGTAAAACTGACTTGAAATCTGGAGATAAATTATTTTTAAAAAATATTTTGTTAATTTTGTCAAAGAAATGCATGTCTGTGGTTTAAAAATGCAAATAGTTACACCCTATAGAGAAAAACAGCAGTCCTAATTTCTTCCCTTTGTCCTGCCTTCTAGAGGCAAGTACAATGAAATTCTTACAATGTATCTTTTATACTGTATATGTTTAAATAGCTTTATATCCTTCCTATTATATGTTAATATTTTTCTCCAACTTCTAAAAAATATTCTTATATGTCTTTGTTTATGATACCTGGCATTACTTGTGGATATCCTTTCATAAAGGATGTTTTGAGTTCCCTAACCCCTCTTCTTCCCCAGGTATCTCTCTCTCTCTCTCTCTCTCTCTCTCTCTCTCTCTCTCTCTCTCTCTCTCCCTCTCCTACCATCTCTTTCCAATACAGTTGTGCCACAAAATTGAATCTCATGTAACACATGTATTAGCGTTCTGCTCTTTGCCTTCTCTGTTTGTTTCAATTTGTATTTTTTTATGTTTGTGGTTGTTGTTTCTTCTTAGTCTTTGATGTCTTTATTCAAAAGTCAGGCCATTCTTGACTGCATCCATATGTTAAAAAGAACTTGAGAGCTAATGGAAAGCTGAAGGCTTGGGTGGAGCTTGCCAACTTACTAGGCTGAGAGGGCTGTGGACTGGGCTTCCCAGTGGGAACATCAAACATCGAGATTTGTAGGACTTCTTGCCATACCAGGGTCATTATATTTCTTCCAAGAAATCTACTGTGTCCTCCTGCTTGGAGTTATATGCTCATCTGATCATGTTATGGAAACAGGGCCAAATAGGGAAAGGAATTTCACCGTCCAACATGCAAGACTCCTATAATTATTGAATCACTGTGTTTCAGCCTTTGTGCTCCACTATATTTGATGGAAAATATTCCATAATTGTTTTGATAGGCCTATGTGGTTTAATTTTTTCGGATGTTAAAATTCAGTTCCTCTGCAATTTAGGCAGAAAGGGAGTGATAATGAAGAGGAAATAGGTGGTCTCTGTGAGTAAGAAAGGTGCCTTCAGGTATCATTTGTACCATATAAAATTCTTTTCAGTTTCTGTGACCCAGATACTGTTAGTGTCTCCTATCTCTGAGCCTTTTGGGGGTTTCAGAGAACAAATGTTCCCACTAATTTGTCAATACCTCTTAGGAGGTACATGGATTATTTTTCTCTCTCCTCTGCCAAGACAGTTACCACTTCATCATCTTATTTCCACAGTCCAGTAATTTACTGAGGCCTTCCACCTTGCTCTCCTCCTTCTGTGGTTGTGGTCAATTCACCATGTTTAAAAGAAT
This sequence comes from Homo sapiens, assembly GCF_000001405.40. NCBI lineage: Eukaryota > Metazoa > Chordata > Mammalia > Primates > Hominidae > Homo > Homo sapiens. The sequence goes on along the minus strand of NC_000018.10, from coordinate 38,084,873 downwards.
ATCTATGGTATTTTTTAAAATATGTCAACTTCCTCCATGTTATTTGCTTTCAAAGAGAGGAGCCTCGAATGCATAATGTAAAAAAAAAAATGAAATGATGTGTTAGTAGTGGACATTCTGGACATTGTGGCACCTCACAGCTATTTTAGATTAGGGTTGATTCTAGGAAGCTCTCGGATGATGTCAATGGGTGGATCTCTATGATGCCTAGGCATGAAACAAACACGGCCCCCAACACAGCACAAGAAAAAGTATTGATTTTCCACATGTATGTGACTCAGTGGAACCTCACCTTGTCATTATTCTGCAACATATCTTCAAAGTGAAAAGGATATGGAAATGTATCAGCTGTGTGGCTTTCCTGAAACCATTACAGGACAAACATAGACTAGAACAAGCCAAATTTGATTACACAACCTAAGCTTTACACTGAGAAGTTCATACACACCCAGAAAGAGGGTCATCTGGAAAAAGAGAGGTTCACCATTGTCACCTTCAAGTTTTCCCCCATGGACAAGCCTAGGGAGGTGTTCAGACCCAGAAAACATCTCTAATATTTCAGTAGTGCTAGCTTTTCCCCTGCCCTGACCAACTAGTGGTGTGAAACTAATCAGAATTCCCCTCATGCCACAGCTATTTCTGAATCTTAGTTTGCGTATCTAGAATAGTAGATAATGAAATTATACTTTCAGGCTTTAATATATTTCATTTTTGATTGCAAAAGAAGTTATAGAGGATTATTTATGCTTGGAACTATGTCTGAGCTCTTCTAGGGAAGATGGAATTTGATACCACACCAATTCATTTACTTTCTTTTCAACTGGATTTCTGGAATAGCAATTTTTGTATTTATTTATAATGTTTATCATCGCCTTAATGTTAATTTAATCTCTTTGAAAAAAAAATCTTCAGGCTGGTAATAAATGATACACTGGGAAATAGGGAATTGATAATACTGATTTCAAACTCTAAAATTCCAGTTTAAATTTACACTTAGGAATTATTTATATCCTCATATGTCATATCAATTTAAATAATATCCCACTCACTGGGGCATAAAGAATAATGCTAATATTAAAGTTTCTATTTAATATCTGCTAATTGCACATGAAGGGGTTATATCAGCTGCATTTAGGGTGTTTTTTATTTAATTTTACTGTATTAGAAAATCTATGAGGTTAAGTATCCTGAAATTATTGCTTTTAAATATTGAGCAATAAGAATATTGTCCCCATGATGCACCCTATATCATCTGGCCTTGAATAAGCTTTCTCCCCACTGCAAGGGGGTGGGGTGGTAGAGGTAGCAGAGAGCTTAGTCTAAACTTGGTATAAATATGGGTGATCATACTCCCCTTTTAAAATATCAAATCTGCATTTAAAAAGCTCTTTTCTTCATGAAATCTAATATCATTAATGGGGCTATAGGCTTTATAAAACCAGAATCCCATGAAATGAAATAAATCTTATTACTATAAAGTTGGGTTCTATCCTAAAGGGATGCATATAAACCATAGTTAGTGCCCTATCTCAAACCCTTAGCATGATCTTCATTTGTTGGATTTTTCAATAAACTGTAATTGAATGCTTCCAAAGCATAGCAAAGTGGTAAGTTTGGAAGGAGGCTTAGGTCCGGAATCAAGATATAACCACGTATCTGTATGAGCTGTGCGACCTTGATCACATTGCTCAGCTTCTCTGAACCTTGGTGGTTTCTTGGGCTTTTGAAGGGAAATAATAATCCCTACCACAGAGGATTTTATAATATCAGTAAAAAAATGCTGTAAAGTTTCTAGTCCAGGATAGAGCCTGTGTTAAGTTTTCTTTCTTTCCTTTTTTTTTTTTTTTGAGATGGAGTCTCGCTCTGCTGCCCAGGCAGGAGTGCAGTGGTGCAATTTCGGCTCACTGCAAGCTCCACCTCCTGGGTTCATGCCATTCTCCTGCCTCACCCTACTGAGTAGCTGGGACTACAGGTGCCCACCACCATACCCGGCTAATTTTTTGTATTTTTAGTAGAGATGGGGTTTCACCATAGCCAGGATGGTCTCAATCTCCTGACCTCACTGTGTTAAGTTTTTTTTACTACAATATAATAATAGAGAAGGTAGTAGGAAACTTTTGGAAGTGATAGATAACTTTATGACATACATTGCAGTGATGGTTTCATGAGTACATACTTATCTCCAATCTCATCAGGTTGTATATATTAAGTATATATAGCTTTTTCTGTATGGATCATACCCCAATAAAGTGGTTTAAAAACAAAGTTTCTAGCCCATAATACATGTAAATAAATTGTTGTATAACAGAGTTCACAGACCACACCAATCTAAGGGTACAAATTGGTCACTGTAAAATAATTTAGATTCCATGAGCTCTGTTTACCACCTGCTGAAGGAGAACCTCTGACCCCCCAACAGAGCCCTCTCTGGCATCTCCAATGTGCTAATTGTTAAGCATGCATAGACACCATGCTGAAATCAATCCCGTATCTGCCATCCCGACTCCTGCCCTTGTCCACCAACATCCACAAACAAAAACCATTTTTTCACAGAGTTTGTCTGACTCCTTTTCATCCCACAGTAATGGTCATTTTTCTCCCTAGAGATTTCCCAGATGTGGGAAGACACACGCAGACCCCTCTCAATCTACTTAGATTCTAACTGGGACACCCCACAGGAGAAGCTGAGCTTTCTGTTGAGCTACAGCTTTGTCGAGAAGCAATGTTCCCAGAAACAGAGGCACTTACCTTCAGTGAAGGAAATGTCATTTAGACAAACAGCAACAGTTTCTGAAAGTATACTACCCAGGGAATAAAAATTCTATAGGCAAAATTCATGAGAGAGAGAGAGCCCTAAGTATTGATACCATGAGGAAGAAGTTCAAGGAAGGTATTGATTTTTAAATGGATCTAAAAGATAAGGCAGAATTTTAGCAGAAAACTGGGTAGGATAAAACCTGAAGGCATTGGAGATTGGTGGAGGGTTTTCTAGAGCAGAAGGCAAGTGTCAAGGGACATTGCAAAGAAGGGCTGGACAGAGATGAGGAAGGGAAACAACACTAAGGTGGTTGTGGTGATGTTGAAATACTGCATTCTTCTCATCTACCATCAGTAAGACATGAGTTTCCAACATGAAATGTGTTCTACCCTGAACTGTCCATACTTCCTTTGTTGTTCCCTTTATTACTCATATACCGTGTATACTGCATAGCAATGTAGTAGTTGTAAAGTGGGAGTAGAGAGAGGTTTCATCACAATGTTACAATGTGTATTACAACCCACTCTTATCAAAATAAGCAGAGAAATTAATGAGAGAGGCATAGTTTGAGGTAGAGCTGGTATGTCCCTTCATAAGGAAACACATATCTTCTTTGTTTTCATATTAATGAAACATAATATTTGGCTCATAAAATAAACCATGACTTGTCTCATCATTTGCAAAGCTAGCTTCCTGGACCCAAAGATTCCATGTTCTGTAGCATTTTTTCATAATTCTCCTACCCTCCAAACGTTGCCATTGTGTTATCAGGATATGGGAACAGCAGTGGCTAGTAAATTCTTATAACTTGATTGGAAGAGTGTTGTTGTACCCCCCTACTACCCTTCCTTCTATACTACAGTTTTACAGAGATAAAGAAGACATCTCTTTGCCAAAAACCACTCTTAATTTCTTGTGGCATTATGTTTTATGGAAAGATAATCCAGTGAGTCTCACACGTCTGTTTGCTTTTCGAAAGAGCAATCAAGGAAAAGAAATTCCAAGAAATGGAACTCCAGTTGTGGAATTATATGGCAACAAGACAATCATTTAAATAACAGAAAACAGGATGTTCTGGAAGGTACAAGCACCACCACTGCATAGAAATTATAGGGAATATATTCAGGTCTCTGTATACATAAGAACTTTTTTATAATGAGATCTGTGGGAGGAATGTTCCAGGAAGAAACCAGTACAGGGTGGAAATTTCAAAAACATTATCTCAAGGAGATCTGCACATCTATGAATCTCTGGCAATTTAAGGCGACCATCAGTCAGGGCAAAGATGTTTTTGACTGGAGAAGCCTGTGCAAATTTGTCAAACAATAGAAAATAGGAGGGTTCTGTAACACATGCACAGGAATCTTGAATCAGACACAAATCTCCAACATACAACTTAGTGAAATGTGCCAGGGCCCTACCATGAAACATTCTTTTTAAGCACAAATTGTTAATATTGAGTAAGGTAATCTATGAGGCTAGAGGACATGTTGAATAAATGTTTCTGGTTCTTGAGACTATGCATGAATTCTGCTTCAACATGTGGCTAATCAAATGAAGCTCAAGTATGTATATGTGGACACATCTATAGCTAATGGTTTTTAAAAACTTAATTTGTAAGGTCATAGTTGACTGATGAACAATAACTTCAACTTAATAAATGCTGATATTGATCAACCAAAAAATTAATAGCTGCTTAATAAATTAAAGAAAAATAAAAATATATTGGACTTAATCAGATTATATATAACATAAAAATTACTTACAAAGTATAATATTTGCCAAAAAAGTATAAAGAACACTGAATATTTAATTAGAAGTATGTTATTAGTGTGGCCATTCTTCAGAACCAATCAGAAAGGAAGGAAGGAAGGAAGGAAGGAAGGAAGGAAGGAAGGAAGGAAGGAAGGAAGGAAGAAAAGAAGAAACAGAAAAAGGAGGAAAACAGATTTGCTTCTCAACTTAGCACAAACAGTAATGCCTGCAAGACAGCACAACAGAATTTCCCCCTGGGTCTCTAGTACTATGGCTACCACACCCTCCACCCTGCCCTCCAGGAGCCACCACTCTCTGAGTGCTCGATCCAATGAAGCTAAGGCACTGCAAGAAGTCCATCCTCACCTGCTTGTATTAAGTAACTCAATTCTTACAAAAATTCTGCATAGTGGGCTCTACCTATTATACTTCCATTTTTCCAATGAAAAGATTAAAGATTAAAAAAGTTAAATCACTGGCAAGGCTGAATATAGACAGATGTGAAGTTTTAAAGTGTTTTATACTGCAGGAGAAAATGACGTGGTCAATCAAGGCAGGAGGAGCAGTGGAAAGGGGCCTAAGAGACCAGCAATGGTGGACACTATGGCCAGAGAGTGTGTGTCTGGCATGTGACATAATCCAGGCTGTTGTTCTGGAGTGACTCTGTTGAGGCAAATAGAAAAGAAAGTCACTGAAGATGGGGAACTTAAAAAGCAGAATACTTGGCTGTGTTCTGTGTCTTCCACATGCCTGGGGAAACCTCCAGCATGAAGGCAAGCTGCTTCCCTCAGTGGTGAGTCAGGTCAGGATCTGCCGTTCTTAACTGCACACTGTGCCTTGTCTGAAGGGAGGCCATCTTCTCAGCCCCACTCAGACCTCACCTGCCCCACTCAAAGCTCATATGTTAACAGTGTACTCCTACAGCTTCTAGTTGCAGTGAAAGCACCTTGAAACCTAAATGCTAATGTATATCAAAATGGCTAGAGTACTATCTCTAGTCCCATTTGAACTGAAAAATATCCAACTTCCATGTCCAGTGGAATGAATTGATTGAAACGTGCCTGCATAATAAGTCTTCAAGGACAAGATGAGCACTCGGGTGACTCTCAGTATTCCCCAGTTGGTCACTGTCCCTGTTGTTCTCCCGTCGAAATGCATAGTTTTAGCTTCAATGGAGTTCTCCTTTGTGACCAAAGTGTAAATCTCTCCTGTAAAAGCTGTGGTTTACACTGATTTTTGTTGCTTATAGCTTGGCATAAATGAGAGATCTAAGAGCAGGTGCTGAGAGAGAAATGAGGACTCTAAGAGAAAAGAGAAACTTGAAGTGGGGGAGTATCCTGGGGACACAAAAGATAAACTATGCTGATGTCTTCATTTTGCACACCCCTCCTCAGAAGTCTTCAGCCTTCTTTTTTTTTTGAGACGGAGTCTCGCTCTGTCGCCCAGGCTGGAGTGCAGTGGCGCGATCTCGGCTCACTGCAAGCTCCGCCTCCCAGGTTCACGCCATTCTCCTGCCTCAGCCTCCCGAGTAGCTGGGACTACAGGCGCCCGCTACCACGCCCGGCTAATTTTTTGTATTTTTAGTAGAGACGGGGTTTCACCGTGTTAGCCAGGATGGTCTCGATCTCCTGACCTCGTGATCCGCCCGCCTCGGCCTCCCAAAGTGCTGGGATTACAGGCGTGAGCCACCGCGCCCGGCCCAGCCTTCTTTATTCATTCAGTGCATAGGCCTCTAGCCTCATTCCTGTTTACCCTGGTCAAATGGTAACATTTCTGTTAGACAAACCAAGGAGTTTGTAGGGAGGAGGATTTAGTCAATAAAATCAATATCCATAACTAAAATTTAGTTTAGTCATATATTTTATTTCAAATGTGTATGGATTAATCTATCTGTTGCCACATAACCCCAGCTTCGGTAAGGGTAGACCATGCCTGCATCCTCCCTCCCTCCAGAGAGGTATTATAAAGTTTTTATGGTCATCACAGACCTTCCCTACCCTGAGGATCTGTAGCTTTTTTTTTTTTTTAATCTTTCAGACAGCCTCAGCTAAAGCTTGGAGGAATCTAAATAAATCATAAAATGTCTCCATAAAAATAGTTTGTCCTGTGAAAGAATAAATTAATGAAGCCAGTTTGGACAAAAGTAAATCATAGGAAAACATCATACCCTGACCCTTCCTAAAGTACTAGTATGTCTGGGTTCCTATTTCCATTTTTTGAGATGTTCCCCTGCCCAAATGCCAATGTGTCAGCTGCTAGGGGAAAAGAATCTCTCAAAATCCCTAAGGCTAGGCTGGCCGCAGTGGGTCATTCCTGTAATCCCAGCACTTTGAGAGGCTAAGGCGGGCAGATTGCCTAAGGTCAGGAGTTCGAGACCAGCCTGGCTAACGTGATGAAACTGTGTCTCTACTAAAAATACAAAAATTAACCGAGCGTGGTGGCATGTGCCTGTAATCCCAGCTACTTGGGAGGCTGAGGCAGGAGAATCACTTGAACCTGGGAGGCAGAGGTTGCAGTGAGCCAAGATCTCTCCATTGCACTCCAGCCTGGGGAGCAAGAGTGAAACTCCATCTCAAAATAAATAAATAAATAAATAAATAAAATCCCTAAGGCTGAGATGTCAGGGAGTAAATGGATCCCTTGCTAGGGGAGGTGGTATCCAGGAAAGCAATGGTTTGGCATGTGTGAGACCTGGGTTCACCCCTGGCTTTACCAGGTACCACTGTGGATACACTTCACCGTTTTGTGAACACTTCACCTTTTTATTAATATTAGCTGAAGCTCTTATTTCCAAGTGAAAAAAATTCAAGTCTAGCTTGTGTATGTAGAAGAGGAACCACTTTGGCTTGTGTGACTGGAAAACCGAAGTGGTGGGTTACTGCATTAGTCACAGCCGGACCAGCTGATCAAGTGACTCTCTTATGGGTTCCACAAATACTGGCTGAGGGCCTGCTTTGGGTTTGGGAGCTGTTCTAGGTGCTGAAGATACAACCGTGAACCAAACAGAAAAATCTGTAAATATATGGTATGACAGATGGTGATAAATGCTATGGAGAAAAATAGATTATGATCAGGCAGAAGAGGAATGGCTGCTTTTTACTGAGTGGTTGGAGAATGCTATGTTTGGGTAGAGATTGAGAAAAGCCAGGGTGCGAAGCCTTTAGGAAGCTCTGTGACTGCCTCTGTCTCTGTCATGGATTTTACCCTCTCTGCTTCTCTCTCGGTTCTGTTTTCTTCTGGCTTTAGTCTTCAGCAGATTCATTCCACATGGCATCAGGCATCATTCCACATCAGAGATGGCCACTTGAATCTCCGGGCCTGCCTGGCCCTGTCTACTCATCTCTTAAGAGGAGAGACATACTCTCTTTCAAAGTCTCCCCATCAGTCCCTGAGAAAGGACTTTGGTCATTGAGGTAACAAGATCCCTCTGAATGCCTCACCAGAGGACAGTAGTATTTTTATTGGCCAGCCTGAATCACAGGTCTAAACTTGGGGCAGGAGAAGAGAGCTGGGTGATTGACAGCCTCACCAGATGAAGAAATATTAGCTGGAATAGACATGGGTGCAGGGACACTGGCCATGGAAAAATGACAGGTGTTCACTATGTCACTAATCCTCAAGTAATCTTATTTGTAATAAGAGAATAAACATGCCTAAGTGAAGAGTTAAAACACACACTAGAGGCAGCATATGTGAACTGTCTTATGTGTAATGACAACTTATTAAATAGTGACCATTGTCCTATAGATCCCACGGGGCTTGCCCCTGCTCTATGTGTTTCTTGCTGGGGGTAGGAAGGTGAGGGAGGCAGGATCGCAGGCTGCTTCTGCTCTTCCCTAATCCTGGTGGCCGCCACAGCTCATTGTTTCCCTTAGGACTTTTCTTCCAAGAACGTAAGCACCCTCCACACTCTTCCTGCAGCCCACTTCCTTATTAACACTGAAAACAAGCACTTAGGCCTTTTCCTCATGAGAAATGTATTGCTAATAGTTCAGGGAAACAGATGCAGGATACTAAAATGATAGACCACTGAAAGCCACAAATATAATCATATGTTACAAAATCCTTATTTCTTTAATCTCAGACATGAAAGGTATATAGAATAATAAATGAAAGTCTACTTTCTGCTTTCATTCCCTAAATGGGGTTTCACTTCAACTCAGCTGCTCTCTGAGACCTCACTTTAACCTGGAACAAGTCCTCAAACTCAAAACAGCCCCTCTCCCCAGCATGTAGACCTGAAGGTAAACTCAGCACAGAACATATCATGTCTTTTTACCTTTAAGTCTTGATCTTCGGGATAACACTGAGAATGGAGAGGAGGGATAAACACAGAAGACGTATCAGAGGTCTTGGTCACTATGATGGTTGCTTTCATGTTTCAAGTTGACTGGGCCATGGGATGCCCAGATACCTATTTGGTTAAACATTATTCGTGGGTGTGTCTTTGAGGATGTTTCTGGAAGAAATTAGCATTTGAACTGGCGGACTGAGTAGAGCAGATGACCCTCCACAATGTGAGAGAGCATCATCCAAACTGCTGAGGGCCAGAATAGAACAAAAAAGTAGAGGCAGATTGAATTTTCTCTCTACCTGTCTGGTTGAGCTAGGAGATCTGTCTTCTGCCCTTGGTGCCCTTGGTTCTCAGGAGTTTGAACTACACCACCAGCTTTGCTGGATCTACACTTTACAGACTGTAGACCATGAGAATTCTCAACCTCCATAATAGCATGAGCCAATTGCTTATAATCATATGTGTATATGTATACCCTCTTAGATCTGTTTCTCTGGAGAACCCTGACTAATATGACTAATACAGTCACTGACTGGATGTGGAAATCAGGGAATGAGAGGTGGAGATTACAAATGACAACTAGATTCTGACAAACCAACAGGGAAATTTTAGATAGAAAGTCAAGGTAAGGAACTAATATGGAGAAGTTTAAGGTAATTAGTTGTATGGGTCAGTAGAGGAATTGCATGTGGAACTACAGGCACACTGTAGTGGTAGCAGTGGAGACAGAGAGAAATGGACAGGTTCATCAAGACTGTAGATAAAAGAGAAGACGACTAAAAAGAGTACCATAAGGTCTGAGCAGAGGAAGATGGGCCCATACAGAAGAATAAGAATGATTTGCCTGGTTGTAAATGCCCATTGGGAGGGGACAACATCCATACAAAATCAGTATGGACAACCCTGCCTTTGTCATACTTGGGCCTTTCTTTCACACACACCTTTCCTCTCCTTCAGTTGCTACAGATAAGTGTGCCAGTGTCCTTCATCTCCTCTCTAACTTGCAGGATTCTGGAGGCTGACTTCTTCCCCTAGAATACCCTCTCCATCTCTTAGACTTATGCACTCTGATGTTTCATTTTACACCTGATTTCTTTCTTCTCCCAGTCTCTCATGAAACTGTGCCCTGAGTTTATTCTCCCTGTCCCTGCATCCATCTTTCTTATCAGAATGGGGTATAGGCACACAGTGTAGCTTCATGGCAAGGAGACCCCCCTATAGCTTCCCAACTCCCACCATGTTAGCAGCTAACTCCTCTGGGTCCACACTGAATCTGTTCCTTGATGGAACTTGGCCCAGGACTAATCAAAACTGGAGGTATGCCACATGCAGTTACATCATGGGCTGAGCTGTGGCCACAGGAGCAGAACAGTCCTAGTGCACTCCCTTCGAAGTCCATTTATTTTCTAAATGATCAGCTTGAGTGAGGTAACCCTGGCAATTGTCAGGGAATGGATTACTTGGCAACACATTGCTTTTTACAATGTGGATGATGACAATAATTTTACGTACCAGTACTATTTCATGACCATTGCAAATGATGGTGTCCAAATGGAGGAAGAACAGTGTGATTCAGAGTGAGCCATGGCCCAGGGACAAGCACAGAACCCATTCTGCTTTCCCCCTGCAAAATGTCTCCCCTGGGCTTGAAAGTGACGTTTATCAGCAAACAGTTATTATTACTGTTTTATTATTGCCTCAGTTAGCATTTATATGGCACTTTGTATTTTCAAGGTGCTTTTCAATCATTTTTATTAGTGAGAGAGGGCAGATTCTCAGGCACAGGTGGAAGAAGCTAAGAGGCTGAGTTTTCTTAAGAAAAGGCAAGATGTTTCTGTAAACAGACAGTCATTCTGCTCTCTAAATTTGACTTTTTAAATGGTGGTTGAGGATACAGAAATCATTTGTGCAGTAATTATCCAATAAAAAGCCACTAAGCCGACTGAAATGCCAGGAGAAAAATTACAAATGCCATGCTGCTAGGCAGTCACAAGGAGAGAAATTCATTCATTCATGCATGTATGCATGCAATTCATCCATCATAATTTACTGGAAAATGAACACTTCCTCCCACCCCCCAAACTTTGGCTAGGCACTGCAAGCAATGCGTGGAAAAGTCGATTCATGGCCTTTATCTTAAAGTCTTTGAAATTATTATTTGGAAAATAAAATACATTAAATAATTATGGCCACAAAGCAAATAGTACTGATTAAAATCCAGGAGAGATCTAGAGAAGGAAGATATTTGGGCAGGAGTATTCAGAACAGGTTTCCTAAAGAAAATTGGGTTTGAGTTGGATTCTACAGGATGAAAACTGTAGAATGTAGGATGTGAAAACTTTTTGAAGTTGTGACCTCACGAAGACATGATATCTGTCCCCCAAGAATTTTCAGTCTAAATAGTTGATATAATAGGTTTCTTGTATTTAAAGAAGAAGGGGGTTCCACAGGCAGATATTATAATTAGTGGTAAAGATATGACATTCTTTAGAATTTCAAAGTAAAGAGATACTTTCCAAAGTAAAGTGAATTTTGCTTAATGAAAACTTGTCTCAGCTAAAGGTATAGAAGAGGGATTTCTAAGAGAGAGATAAATGCTTAAAGTGAAGAAGGAGCTACTAATAAGAGGGTGTCTATTTAGGGCTTTTTAATTGAACGTAGTCTCCAATCAGTCACCCAAGCAGAGATACATCACTCAGGATGTCCAAAGACTATCCATATCTTGGGTATCAGAAAAACTCTGTATTCATATCTTTCTCCTCAATAATGGATAAAATCCTAAGACTGAATGACTGAAAAGAGTTCAGCCAATGGGCTAAATTGAATCAAATATTTGGTAAAAAGAAAGTGAGATTTATGCTCTCAGTCCCAATTCCTTTTATACAATCCATCTATGAATATTTATCTATTAGATACTATGTTTCCAGTCTTGAGCTAGTATCTGAAATGGAATTCTAGAAAAAGGCCACTTCTGGCTCTTAGAAAAATTATTCTGCTCTAAGTGGCAGATCAGAGTATTAGGAACATAATGTAAATGACTCAAGGTAAAATTAGATGATTGTGTGGGTAGCAGGAGTAGAGAAGGTGACACAAGACATTATGCTCTTCCTTTGGGTGCAAATCACAGAATGGAGTCAATGAGGGAATTTTGTTGGAGAAAATGGAGATTTGGAAGAATCCTTTTATCTTTATACCAAATGTACAATATGAAAGGTATTAGAACTGAAAAAAATAGTGTTTACATACAAAATGACACTTGCAAGCAAAATATGGAAGAATAGGAGCTTAGTTTCCAATTTACTCTTCTCTTCAAGTAAGCACATTTTTCCTACCCCCTTTTACCAATAGAAACTTATTCCAAGTACTAAGTTCTCAGATTTTACAATTCTGGTTTCCTTCTAGAACCCAGCATTGGTATACTGTGCTGAGTGGAAGGCAAGGTTACTGAATGCTTAGGAACTTGAGCTTTGAAGACCTCTACTAGATACTGACATGACCTTGAGAAAGTAAATTAACTTCTATAATCTTTACTTATCACTGTATTTTAGGTGTAACTACCTCATTGGGCAGTTGTGAGGATGAAATGACAATATATGTATGATATTTAACATCTACTCCAGCACACAATAGACAACCACCTAACATTCTTTTTATTATATTTCAAATTTACCCAAAGTCCACAGGATTTAGCTGTATAAAATTCTTTCAGAATTTCAGTACCTTCCAAAATGATGATGAAATTGATCTAAACATTAATCTCTACTAATCAAATGATAACATTCACAACAGTTTATATTTCTTTGATGTATTAACATTTACAAAGCTACAACACATACTCAGATAGTGTTTAGCTTTAGCAGCAGATGAAATTATGATTTACAAAAATTAAACTATTTGTTAAATCACACAGCTTGTGAGAGAAGGGTCTGAGCCTTGAACTTAGGTCTTTGGCCTCAAGTCTTCTATAGTTTTCATTACTTCATGCTGTCTCATGATGTATATTAATATGAACCTGTTTAGAAAGATGAATGAGTCATACAAACAGGGCCTTCCCTCCTTTCTTAGGAACATATATTTATTTAAGAAGGAGCCCATGTTATATAACTCTAAGGAAGAGTTTCTAATGATTATTATTTTAGCATTTTGGAAGACTATTGGAAGGGATATTTTAGAAGACAATAAGGGTTGTAGATACTCAGTTCTTTCGTGATATGCATCGTCAGCCATTACATTTAAAACAAGAGCGGAGGCAATTTTGTCTACGAAGCACCTGCCCCTGCCTATAGGCATAGAAGAGAGTGGGATGAATAATCCAAATTCTCCCAGGCACTTTGAACATTTTTTTGAAATTAGAGAAAGCAAAGGGCCCAGCCAAAGCTTTTCTAGTGCTTCTACATGAAATTTATAGTCTTACCCAATGGTCCAATCAATAAAGTTGAGTAGGAGCCAGGAAATGAAGAATTTCTGTTTGCTGGAAACTTTTTGATTTGTTCTATTATCATAATTGATGACCTGGAATCAAGAACTTACTCAACCAGAATATCAAACATCTCACTCTCAGACAGACAAATGCCTCTGGAATCCAATTAGGAAAATGTTGATTCACTTAGCTGTTCCCTTTCCCAGTAAATTTATTTTTCTATTCTTTACTTATCCATCTGACTTACATGCTACTCTATAGAAATATGTGTGTGGTCAGGGAAACGAGAAGGTGTCTGAAGGGGCTATTTCATAGTCAGTGTGTCCAGAAAGGTCCAAGTCATGGAGAGAGCATTTATGAAACTTCCCTTTAAAAAAACTTGATTCCCTCCAAATAGGTCCTGCCCTAGATCCCCAGTTGCCAACCATCATTTGGCTCATGGTATTCAATATAACTCAGGTTGTTTCTTGTTCTCAAGAGCCTCTTTTATCTGGCAATTCCTCAAGCACATGTTTATCTTGGGATTCTGTTATTGGAGTAAGACAAGCCTGTGACCTTCTACCTCCAGGTTTCCCCATAGCTGGTGCCTTTTAAAATTCAGGACTCAATTCAAATATTGTCTCTTTAGAGAGAGTTTCCTTGACCTTTCTAGCTAAATTTTATCCCTAGGCCCTATGTGTCATATTATCCCATATTATTTTTTTCTTATAGCATTTGTCACTCTCAGAAATTATCCTAATTATGTGCTTACCTGGTTAGTATCTATTTCTCTGCACTTGAATAGAAGTCCCATAAGGGCAGAGGCATTTTCTGACTTTCTATGCCATATCCCCAGTTCTTAGATTAGTGTGTGACATATAGTTGATTCTCAATATTTGTGGAACTAAAGAAGTGGGGGCAGCATTATGGATTTAGTTTTCTCCATGTTTTGTACATATTCTATATTGCTGTAAGATTTATTTCAAATTACTTCTTTTATTTATTAATGACATTTTTTCATCAATTAGTTCTTCAAAAGAAGAGCTCATGTCTTCTATGTTTATTATATCTCCCAAGGCTGATTGTAAAACTGGTACTTGATAAATTCTTGGTGACTAATGGTTGAAAGTAAAAAAAAAAAACTGGTAATCATGCAATCCCAAACAAAGTAAGTCATTTAACATATACAACAGGTAGGTAAATAAACATTTGGAAGCCTTCAGTTACTGAAAGAATTAGCTTAGTTTTCTGCCTTGCCTTTATGTGTGCTTTTGGTTAAGATAATACAATAAGGAAATGTACAAATGAAGATGGCTAAGGACTGGGTATTGTGTCACCCCAACATTCATATGTTGAAGCCCAATCCTTAACATGGTATTTGGAGGTGGGGCCTTTGGGAAGCAATTAGGTCATGATGTCAGGATTCTCACGAATGGGATTCGTACCCTTATAAGAACAGACAGTTAGAGGACTTGCTTGCTTTCTCTTTCTGCTTTCTGCCCTGTGAAGATACAAGAAGACAGTAGTCTGCAACCTGGAAGAGGGCCCTTACCAGACCTGACCATGAATGCACTCTTATCTCAGAATTCTAGCCTCAAGAACTGTGAAAAATAATTATTGTTTAAGCTACCCAGTCTACTTGTTATAGCAGCCTTAACTAAGACAAAGATGAAAGCATGGATGCAAAAAAGCATTGGAAAGGAAGACTGGATGGGACATTGTGAATGGCAAGGGAGCTGGAAAAGGAGAAATTACTGAGGACATAGGCTCCTCAATCTGGTGGCAATGTCTTTGGTAGAAATCAAGAAGTCAAGATATTTTTAATAATTTTTGTAGATACATAGTAGTTGTATATATTTATGGGGTACATGAGCTGTTTTGATACAAGCATGCAATGTCAAATAAGCACATCAGGGAGAAGGATAAATGACCCATTGAAGATAGAAGGAGAGATTAATTTTGGTTTAGAAATACTGAGCCCAAAATCGTGGCAAACATGCAAGGAGAGATGCCCAATAGAGAGGGAAGAATGAAGCTAGAAATTGAAGTTAAGACATCCTATTAGGCTGGGCACGGTGGCTCATACCTGCAATCCCAGCACTTTGGGAGGCCGAGGCAGGTGGATCACGAGGCCAGGAGATCGAGACCATCCTGGCTAACACGGTGAAACCCCGTCTCTACTAAAAATACAAAAGATACAAAAAATTATCCAGGCGTGGTGGCGGGCGCCTGTAGACCCAGCTACTCGGGAGGCTGAGGCAGGAGAATGGTGTGAACCCAGAGGGCGGAGCTTGCAGTGAGCCAAGATCACACCACTGCACTCCAGCCTGGGTAACAGAGCGAGACTCCATCTCAAATAAAAAAAAAAAAATCCTATTAGTGGCTACGTTGGATTTTGTGAGAATGGGTGAAAATGATCAGAAAGAGGGTGAAAGGGTTGAAGACTTGCCCTAGAGAATTCCCACACTGGGAATTGAGAAGGAAAAGGAAAGATCAGGAAAGAGAAGAATAAAGAGAGGCAGGGTAGAGAACCAAAACAAAAAAATATTACAGAAATCAAGAAAAGATCGTATATCATTTTGTTAAAGTATGAAATATATCTATGAGTCTTATTTCTCCAACCAGATAATAAAGAACCTAAAGGTGAATGTCTTTGTTTTTGTGTGTATGATGCAGGGTAGGGAAATGTTGGTAAATAAGTTTTCTTTATGCGCATATCATTTATTTATTTATTTTATTTTTAATTTCTTTATTTAAATCAACTACATAAATTTGTTATAAATGTGTTATAGTAACAAGATATGCACACACTTCCTGACCAGCCCCCTCTCTGCATCCCAGTGCCCTTATTTTGTGCATGCCACCCCGATCCTTTTCCATAAATTGATATACCTACAAGGTAGAAATGTATAGTTGTTCTTTTTAAGTTGGTTTATAGTGATACCAAGTGGTATTACATTGTAGGTCATAACTTGAGGTTTTTTTTTTATTTGTTTGTTTTTATTCAACCATATATATTAGAGACTTTTCTGTGCTGGTACATGGATCTATGTTATTCATGTTTACTGCTGCATGGATTCCCAAAGAACAGCTGGACTTGCTTCATTTAACTAGAACCTTTGTCATGAACACTGACTCCCCTGTTCATGCCTCCTGTGCATATGTGTCACTTTTCCTGGTGTGGACACGCTGGGAGTTGGAGAGTACAGACCCCTTCTCTTCCAGATATTGCTTCAACTACCCAGGGCCTAATACAGGCCTGGGCATACAGTGGGTGAAATAAATGCTGGCTGAATTGAAATCCCTAGGGTGGAACATTCCTCTGGCCCTTTCTTCCCTTTCACATTACTACCACTTTGGCTTTGATCAGGCTTAGAGCAGCCACAAGGCAGTACAAGTATTGCAGAGGTGAATGCAAGCCCGTGTCCTGGCCCACCAGCAAGCAACTTGGAGCCTTTGCACTCTTGGCCTCTAGGATCAAATAAACGGCCACAGAAAGATGGCAAGCATCCTCCAAATGTCCCGTTGAAAATCAGGCATAAGAAAACTCATGTCTTTCCCTATTGCCAAGGCTTCTATGTGTCCTACCCACAAGCCCCAGAGGATTCACATTGCCAACTTCTCACTGCACTGACACACTCAAACACCCACCACACTCAACAAATTTTATACTTTTCACTTGGTCCCATTCAATCCCATGTGGTGTTTTGAAAATATGTAAAGGGAAAGTGAGGCTCCAATATTTTTCCTTTCCTCATAAATATGGCATTTTAAATAAGTTTCATACATATTCATCATTTGCTCTTTCTTTTTTCTAAATATGCACCTATAGCTTAAGTTTTATTCATACCCTTCTCTGGTTCCCTGGTTTGAATTGGAAAATTGAAATGTAAAATATTAACCAAATAGTAAGTTGGCTAAAACTCACCTTTCAGTGTGAGCCTGAAAAAAAAAGGAGAAAATCTTTTAATAATTAACAAGCATGGTAGTGAGAGAATATACACAGCTTAAATTAAAAAACAGCTATAGGAAGATAGAACAATCTGTAAACAGAATATTTATGAAGAGTGAGAAATTAGTCTGTGGGAGTAATTTGTGATGTCAGTGTTATTAATTTAGAATCACACTTCAAACATTTAATCTTAAGAATTCTCAGGTGGTTTGAGACCTTGCCAAAGTTTCTAAAGAACTTAAGGATCCTTACACATTGGTTCCCCTCAGCTACATGTCCAAATGTGTCCAGCATGGATGAACTCTATCCAAAAATCATTATTTTTTTTCTTTTTCTCCCTATCTTTTAAAAAAAGAAACTGAGCAGGAAATCTCACTTAAACAAGCTGTCTCACAACATTTCTGGCAAATCCTGATTCCAACTAAGTTGAAAATATCTCAAAAGCAGCCTGTCATACAGAATTTCAGTGCTTCTGCTCCGGGAAGTGTAGAAATAGATGGATATGTGGGATTCAGATTCAAAACACCTTAAGAAAACACATCTTGATGTGAACTTCAGGCTGACCTGCTTTTATGTGAGAAGCATATGCTGCCCCTCATGTATCAGTTAGCTATTGCTGTGTAACAAATCACCCCATATGTACGTGACTTAAACAATAAGTATTTTTATTGCTTATGACTCTAAAAGTCAGCTGGATAATTCTGTTCTTGGCTGAGTTTGATCAGAAGTGTTCAGCTCTATGTAATGTAAGCTAACACTGCTGTTCTTGGTTGAGTTCTCTCATATGTTTGCAGGTTGGCTGACTCTAAGGTAGCCTGGAATGATGCTAATAAGACAACCAGACTGTCTTGCACATGGTCACTCATCCCCCATCGAACAACTACACGGATATAGCAGTATTCTAAGAGAGGGCACACAAATGCAAGACTTTTTTTTTTTTTTTGAGATGGAGTCTAGCTCTGTCTCCCAGGCTGGAGTGCAGTGGTGCAATCTCTGCTCACTGCAACCTCTGCCTCCTGGGTTCAAGCAATTCTTCTGTCTCAGCCTCCTAAGTAGCTGGGACTACAGTCGTACACCACCACGCCCAGCTAATTTTTTGTATTTTTAGTAGAGATGGGGTATCACCATGTTGGTCAGGCTGGTCTCAAACTCCTGATCTCAGGTGATCCACCTGCCTTAGCCTCCCAAAGTGCTGGGATTACAGGCATCGGCCACCACACACTGCCATATGCAAGACTTTTTAAGGCCCAGCTCAGAAGTGGCACACCATCACTGCCTCTTTATTTCTTTGTCAAAGTAGGTCACAAGGTTATCCCAGGTTCAAAGACTAGAGAAATATATACCAATTCCTGACGCAGTAACACTGCAAAGGGTGTGGATATAGAGAAACAATTAAGTAGGACCACTAATGGATTCATCTATCACACTTCATTTTTACAGAAACATTTTTGAGAAATCCTATAAAGATATTTTTAAAGTGTACTTTCCAATATTCACCTGATCACAATATCTTCACAGACAACGGCACTGAATGAGGGTCCTGTGAATGCATGATTTATTTGCTAGAATTTGAGGATAAGTGAAGAAAGTAAAAAATAAACATTAAAGCACTAATACTGAGAAAATATATAAAGATTTATGTATATTGTTGTCTATGTCCTCAAGCATGTTGGTGATGCTTTATTTCTTAAAAGACTGTTCTGTTATTGTATACAGAACATTCTTCCAAACCACTGCCCCTATTTCTGCAAGTTTTGATGAAAGTGCTTTCTTGATCCTACCAGGTAGTGTCAACTGAAGTTTTCAGAAAAGAATCAAGATGCAAATTTCTTCTCCGAATGATCTTTAAAAGATGTAGTGACTAAAATATTGGGAAGTTATGATTTCTGAGCTACACCACCAAAAATAACTGAGTCCTCATATGTGCAGATGATTACAACTGGACCTCTCTGTCACCTGATCCACAACAATCACCAGCCTTCATTAGTTATAAAATTATTCCAGAAATGTTAAAATGTGAACATAGTGGGCATCTTCAAATTGATAGGATATAGTATTAAATGTCACTACATGCCAAAATGCTTTTCCAGAACATCACTCAATGCTTTTATACCACTGTCCCCAAACAGCTCCATTAGCTTTGCTGTTTTTCAAGATGAAATGTCTTCTTTAGAGTTTGTCCTTTTTTTTTTTTTTGTCTAATTGGAGAATCCTATTAGAATGTCATTTCAACAGCTTCCAGTGGCAAAGATTTTTCTTAGGATGTTAGGTGACATTGCCTCTGCAGATGAACATATGCCTTTCAAAGATCCTTAACATACTGGAAAGCATGGGGCAAAAAGGACACACAAACATAACATTCAGGGCACTTTTTGTTCTTTTACTATCTTTACCTTTTCAATAAATTAGTGTCTCAAAGTTTAACCTTTGTCTATAATCCATCTGGGGCTTCCTCTAATAATTCACTCCAGAAGGAACATTAGTGGATGTGAGTTTTCTCCCAGGGATTCACCCTCCTTCTGTTTTAAATCAAAAAATGCTTTTGCAAATTAGCCAAAGGAGACAGGCTATAAGCTTCCTGTAAGAATCCTTCAGTGTGCCCTCTGGACTTTTTGCTGGCTGTTTTCAAAAGTTGTGCAACTTAGGATGGACATTACAATCTACATGGAAGGTGTAAACAGCGCATGTGGGGACAAACACGTCTTCCATAAAAACAACAGGCATCTGCAGAGTTGCTGCAATTGAAATGCATGGCGTAAATGCTTACCAATCGGAGGAAAGCTGGTAGTTTTTAGATTTTTATGGTGCAAACAGTTCCTAGAGACCATGCTAGTACAAGTCCCTCATTTGACCTAGGAGGAAATTGAAGCTAATTATTCTTTCATTCAAAACATAATTATTAAGTGCTTATATTGAGTCAGGAACTGTTCTAGCCCCAAGATACAGCAGAATGAAGATCAAGTAACTTATCTGGGGGCACATAGCAAGTTAGCGATATCCCTGCCCTAGAACTCCAGTGCCCTCACACCTTGTCCAGTGTTCTTGAGAGTACCTGCACTTTAAATTGACTTAGAATATTTGGCAATAGAGAAACAGAAAAAAAAAAAAAATCCTGACTCCCAATGCCCTGATCAAATATTTGTACTTCTTCAGTTTTTCACTTACCTTTAGGATAGCAACAGAAAATCAGTAACAGAGAGCTAACTGGCAACCTCAGAAACACAACAGAACTGCCAAGTCAGCTCCCAGAAACCACTGCATTGAGGCATGGAGAAAATTTGTATTTCATGGTTTTACTCCATTGTTCACACTACACTGACCCTGTACAAAGTCTGTAACAAAATGCAAAAGGGGATATAAAAGGAGAAAGATGCAGCCCCAGTCCTCATAAAACTGCTTAATTATCCAAACTAAAAACAACAGCAACAAAAGCAAGTGTAATTCTTGGAGACAAGATACATTGTAGCATATATCAATTTGTGCTGCAAGAATAGAGTAAGTTCAGTACCCAGTAAGTCAAAAAGGCTTGTTGGGGAAGACGTATCTTAAGTTTGCTTTTGAAAGAAGTAAAGAAACAACTGAATAAAATTAAAGTCATCTTTTATTTGTGAAAATTATTTTTCATATTTAAGGATAGTTTTCAACCTAATGGGTTTTTTTTGTTCCTTTAGGATACTGCTATGTTTATGTTCTATGTTCAACCCCCTTGATTTGTCTTCCATATCTGCCATTCCACTATTTCTAATTTTGTTCACTTCATTTCACTTTGCTTACTGTTCTGAATCCTGATATCTGTCTCTCAATTTTATTATTTTTTTAACTTTGTTTTCTTCAAAGTCTGTTCTCCTTTATGTTGTATGGGCTTCATTTCTGCAATGGTTTGTTCCTTTCATCATTTTTCAAGATAGATTCTCTGCACCTTTCTGTTTATTACTCATCTTTGAGTGGGGCAGGTCCTCCAGGCCAGCTTCTGGTAGCAGATTGGAGTTTACAGGGATTTTCATCGTGGCTGGTCATAGGGTGAGGTACATGAATTCTCATAGCCACTTGTCATTATTTCCCTCCAGCAATGAAGATAAACCCCACAAGCCTTTCCACAATGCAGACTTTTCTTCCCCTCACTTCACCAAATCCCATCTTCCTGCAAATATGAGTTATAGTATTATCAAAAACAGCTTGATTCTCTTGGGTCTTATTAAGAGAATTTCTAGGCAAGACCACAGCAGCATTTATTCAAAGACTAGTTCTCCCTCACTACTGAAGAAAACTCCTCTGAGCACTTCACCAAAACCCCATACATTTTGAGTTTCCAGTCTGGCTGGTGGGAACAGGCACCAGTTGGGCACTACGTGGCCCTGGTGCCCTCCCTTCTCATCTTTTCCAGGTATTCTGTCTCTGGCCTCAAGTAGTTTCCTCACTTGCACTTGCTGATCAATACAGTGCTGAATTCTTGAGGGTCACCCTCTGCAGATCTCAGGTTTCTCTTTAGGGTCAGCTATCCTCTCAATCTGCCCTGCAAACTCTAGCCACCAACACTTCCTCATAGTCCCAACCCCATCTCAACTTAGGGGGCTCACTGGGCTCTGGGTTCTTCCTCCCTGCTCTATGGCCTGAAATTCTCTCAAGGCAATAATCTTAGGAAAATGTAGCTCTTACTTGTTTTCCATCTTTCATGGATCACTGTTGTCAGATGTCCAGGTTTTGGAAATGGTTGTTTTATAACTTTTGTTTCTTTTTTTTCTTTTTTTGGAGGGAGAAGTTGTTTCAGGTGGGAGGATAAATCTGGTCCTTGTTACCTACCTTAACCACATGGGAAAGTCTAGGTTATGGTATAATTATTTGTTTAACCCCAACTTTATTTCTATTAAAGATTTGCTTCAAAGGGTATCCAGGAGAGTTCCCTCCGTATCTGTGGTTCCAAACAAAGAATTGTAGATTTTGTTGCTCAGAATATGTCACTTAGGCTGGAGACCTGGGTGGTGGTTAAGATTCTCCTTCAGCATGGTCCTGCAAGGGTATTAAACATTTACTGCATTGGTAGCCCTTCATCTTTTGTCATGTCTCATCAGATGTCTCCTAAGTGTGTTTGTCCTAGGAGCAAATGTCTCCTATATTTGCTTTTCATTAACTTTAATGAATGTTTGTGGGAGGAGCTATCATATTGACTCTGCCTTCTCTCCACCTAATGCTGAGCTTCTCATAAGTCAATATGCATAGAAGGCCCTGCTCATGGCATGTAGCCTGCACAGTGTGACTCTTAAAGGACATTTGCTGATGATAAAGAGGAATGCAAGGAAATTAATAACATCTGAGGAAGCACAAGAGCATCATAAGGATTCAGCAGAGCAAATGGGTAGCTGAATTGACATACCACTTCTTTGTTCCTACCTGAATAAAAGTCTAAATGTGTAAAATTAAATCTTTTTAGTTAAAATGTGCATTCTAGAAGGGTTTTAATAGCCATCTAGATAATAATGGAAAGACACAGGGTCACTAAGCAAAGGAAGGAAGACAATATGTAGGAAAATAAAGCATATGGGAATACAGGCATGGCACACAGTATGTGTTTATATTTCTCAAAATATTGAGTAAGAGATTCAGCTTTCCTCCTTGCTAACAGACACCCCTTATCTTGGATTCTATTAAGCATTCACTAATTGAAATAAAAATGAAACAAAACTTAGAAAAATGTGATAGTGTCGACTGCACTCGAAGAAAAAAATAATTACTTAGTCACTCTAATTACACATGCAGAGTAAAGCAACTGCTTGCTATTTACTGGTATATGCCAAAAACAATTTAATATTAATAAATATTTGTGAGAAATTACTTGTTAAATTTAATTACTTAACAAAAGCAATAAAATAATTTTTAATTAAAAAGTATGTACACCCATAAGTAAAATGACCCCTTGTGTTCCAATATAGTGGCTTCTTTTAGAGCTGAAGGATAACATATCTGAATCCCTAACTATATACAAATCATGAGGGAGCAAAGAGGTTAAATACCACATTGTCTCTTCCCAATGGAAAATTAGGAAAGAAAATTGCCAAAGGAAAAAAAAATGAAGATTGAAATAGGCCTTTTTTTTTTTTTAGATACTCTCGTCTTATCTTTAAGGAACATGATCTTTTTTTTTATGCTGGTAAAGTAAAAA
The DNA here is from genome assembly GCF_000001405.40 of Homo sapiens. Lineage (NCBI taxonomy): Eukaryota > Metazoa > Chordata > Mammalia > Primates > Hominidae > Homo > Homo sapiens. Next base: position 38,061,558 of record NC_000018.10, on the reverse strand, counting down.
TCCAAAGTTCTTGGAATTGCCAAGGGTAATCTATAACCTTGACGTCCTGAGAACTACTTCTGTGCTCTTACTGCCATGCCAGTCTCCAATGGGCTAACTCATTACAATTCTTAACGAATGAATTAATTGATATTTTCTTTGGAAATTACAACCAATTTGCAAAAATTAGTACTGATGACTTTTTCAACAGACATAAATAGTTGTGTAATTCTTACTAATAATTCCAACCACTAATCAGCTGTAATTGGAAAACAACAACTTGTGGCGAGGGGTGAGGGATTAGTGCTCGGAAGTTCCCCCTATATGTCTGGAGGAAAAGGTTAAATGAAATGGCCTTACTTTGCCATCCCAGGAAATCAATTCTTCCAGCATCCCTAGCATGGCAATAGCAAACCATATAAAAAATAGTTTTCCTTATTTCTCATTCAGTTATAAAAATTCTGTCCCTAACTGGTGTATGCCAAATCTTCCTCATTGTTAACACAGAAAGCTCATCGAATGGAATTATTCTAGTCTTCTATGCAAGTTTTATAACTAGGTTCTTCACTGAATTTTTTAAGTTTCTGAAATCCTGGGTAAAAGTTTCTTTGAGTCTTATTCCTTCTTGATGGAGTCTGCAGCAGTAGAGGCGAGAGTAGGCAATGAAGGGGAACAAGAAAAGGACAGTCCCTAAAACAGACTTGTTTTCAGAGAGATGATTTACTAAATGACCTTCTTGGCACAGGCGCCCAACTAATTTCAGTCTGAACAAGGAAATAAGGTCAGACACTACCAACAAAGTACGACCATGGTCATTCCTCTGATAGCAACAAATTATCCCTGGAAAGGAATACCTATCAGCCTGAAAAATTCATGACGATTTGAATCTTCTGCCTAATTAGCCACAGTGGTTGATACAAGAGAGAGAAAAAAAAAACATAGCCTATAAGTAACAATGAATCCATTGAAATATCCAAATGCCCAGTTAAATACATGGAATCAGGACCACTAGAAAGCTTTTACGTGATTATGCCATCACATTTAAGTATAAGTGACTTACAAAGCATGCATTTAAGTCACACTCACTGTCAAATAAGACATATAGGTGTATGTGATCTGAGGAGGCTTCAAAAAGTTCATGAAAAAAGTGAAATTAAAAGATAATTTAAAGGATTAAATATAAACTTTATTTCTCAACATAAGCTCCATCCAGGTAAAATGACTGATGATACCAGCCATATAAGCTATCTCTAAAGAACTGAGGGTCTTGAGAATTTAACTATGTCAAAGCAGTCTTTTTTACATTAATAACTGAAGAAAAATGGGGTGCCCTTAACAGATTCTTTAGTAAACAAAAAGAATTTGGACCTACAAAATGGGAGAAAATTTTCGCAACCTACTCATCTGACAAAGGGCTAATATCCAGAATCTACAATGAACTCAAGCAAATTTACAAGAAAAAAAACAAACAACCCCATCAAAAAGTGGGCGAAGGACATGAACAGACACTTCTCAAAAGAAAACATTCATGCAGCCAAAAAACACATGAAAAAATGCTCATCATCACTGGCCATCAGAGAAATGCAACTCAAAACCACAATGAGATACCATCTCACACCAGTTAGAATGGCAATCATTAAAAAGTCAGGAAACAACAGGTGCTGGAGAGGATGTGGAGAAGTAGGAACACTTTTACACTGTTGGTGGGACTGTAAACTAGTTCAACCATTGTGGAAGTCAGTGTGGTGATTCCTCAGGGATCTAGAACTAGAAATACCATTTGACCCAGCCATCCCATTACTGGGTATATACCCAAAGGACTATTAATCATGCTGCTATAAAGACACATGTACACGTATGTTTATTGTGGCATTATTCACAATAGCAAAGACTTGGAACCAACCCAAATGTCCAACAATGATAGACTGGATTAAGAAAATGTGGCATATATCCACCATGGAATACTATGCAGCCATAAAAAATGATGAGTTCATGTCCTTTGTAGGGACATGGATGAAATTGGAAATCATCATTCTCAGTAAACTATCGCAAGAACAAAAAACCAAACACCGCATATTCTCACTCATAGGTGAGAATTGAACAATAAGATTGCATGGACACAGGAAGGGGAACATCACACTCTGGGGACTGTTGTGGGGTGGGGGGAGTGGGGAGGGATAGCATTGGAAGATATATCTAATGCTCGATGACGAGTTAGTGGGTGCAGCGCACCAGCATGGCACATGTATACATATGTAACTAACCTGCACAATGTGCACATGTACCCTAAAACTTAAAGTATAATAATAAAAGAAAAAGAAAAAAAAGAAAAATTAAAAAAATAAAAATAAAAAGAATTTGGAAGAAGCCAAATCGGGACTATAGGGTGAATGCCTAATAATTTATCATCAAAACTATCACAGAATTGCCCTTATTTGATAAGAAGAATGAGCAGGACAGTGGTCTTTGTGGAAAAGAACTCCCTGGTGAAGCTCTGTCTGATTGCTCTGACTGGTCCACTTTTGTGTTGACCGTACCATTTCCTACCACTTGGTAGCCATTGCTTTGATTGTGCTTTGTCTTCAGGGTCATATTGGTAATGCCATGTTTCTTCTCCTTTTAAATTCTTTAAGAAATGCTGCAGGATCTTGAACCTACTTGTTTACAAAGTCCTTTGAAAGCTCTGCTCTTGTCTGAAGCTGATCTGGGCACAATAGTTTTGGCACCCATCAAATGAAAAGTTTGCTAAACTTTAATTTTTCAGTCAGAATTGTGTAAGCTTAACTAATTGAGATGTCTATGGTGCTAGCTATTGTTTGTGTTGTTAATCATTGATCCTCTTGGCACCTATCAAATGGAAAGTTTTTTAAACTGTACTTTTTCAGTAAGAATTGTGTAGACTCAACTAATTAAGATATCTATGTTGTTGGCTATTGTTTGTGTTGTTAATCATTGGTCCTCTTTAATAGGGTACAAACAGGATTAATTTTTCCTTGCAAATTGACATGTATGATCTACTGCTGTGGGCTTCATCTTCAACAGCATCTCATCCCTTCTTAAAATGAGTTATACATTGGCAAATTGCTGATTTTTCTGAGGCATTGTCCCCATAAACTTTTCATAAAGCATCAATGATTCACCATTCTCCCACTCAAACTTTACCATAAATTTGATGTTTGATCTTGTTTTAATTTAGCAGAATAATGTTGCCCTGATAGGAGCTTTTTAAAACTGATGTCTTATCTTTCTTAGTCCCTCAAACTAGATCCTGTTCAGGAATATTATAACAAGTTAATATGAGTTGATTTTTGTGCAAAAACATTTTGAAATCCATGCATAATTTTTTCCTAATATGCATTTTCCATGAACTTTTGGAAGTTCCTTCATATTGATGTAAATTTCAAATAAATGTGAATCAAGATCAATAGTGACCATATACATGATTTCTTCAGAGACTAGAAATTTGCATTCCTTCTAACCTTCCCATCAATATATCAGTCCCTCTCCTCTATCAAAATAAAAAAAAATACAAACATGTACTTGAACACTTCTAGTGAAATGTATAATAATATGTCATAAATGTGTTCATTCCCTTAGGTCCAAATCATCTTTACTCCTCTCCAAAATCTTCACCTTAGTGATTCCCTGGCAACACTAACAGATGGTCAGTGAGGAGAATAATAAGAGTCTTTATAGCTACTAAAATCCTTAACAACTTAGATAAGAGTTGGCACAAAACAGACCTCTTCCATCCTTCTCTGTGTGTGGACATTCAAGAACTAAGGAGGGAAGTGGAATTTTCTGTGAGAAAAAAATACTTATAAGAACTAATGATGAATATTTAGAGAATATTTTATTAGCTTTTCTTTTCTACATGGAATGGCACTGGATACAGTTGGACTTGGAGGCCCAGGTACAAAGCTGAATACAGACTAAGAAAGATGGGACATGGTACCTTTTGCTTGGGATCTAAAGGATTAAAAGTTATCAAAGGGCAGTAAGGAAAATCAGAGAAAATGAAACAAGGAACAGTCTACTTACCTTACTGTTCCAGGCAGCAGATTTCATAGAGCAGTAAAGGGAATTATGAGGTTACCCTCTAGGTTTCCAGCATACCTCACCTTGGCAAGAAGAAAAAGCTCTATGCAGGAAAAGAGAATATGCATTTTCTTCAGGCAATCACATCATGTCACCTCTGAGGAAACTCAGCCTAATGGTGGATGGATGAATGCAATGTACCAAAACCTAAAAAGGAAAACCATTTTTCATTATTGAACCATTGTAATTGCTAGTTTCATACTGAGTGTTAGCCTACTTCCCTGTAATGCACCCCTACAGGTTATTGAAGAAAATATATTATGCATCTATATCTATGTAGATACAGATATAGGTAATATATGTATATATTCTGTAATTTGTGTAAATATGCACACATACATACATACGCTAAGTTATATGCCATGTGATGAAAGGAAGGATCCAAGACAAAGAAAAATGTGTGAGTTTATTTGAATTCTTGAGCCCAGAATAAATTTGTGTAGATAAAAATATACATGTGAAATATACCAAATAATGGAGCCCAATAAAATTCCCAGGTAATATGATGGATAGTAAGTGAAACAAAAGTTAACATTAGAGCATGAAATTTTCAGATATTTTGGAAAGGTCTCTTGAGGATATCTAAAGGCTGGAAAGGGTTTGATTCAATGGATGTGACGGAAAAATGGCAAAAGGGCAGAGGATTAGCATGAGAAAAGGTGTAGAGGCAGGTATGTGAACATTTCCTTGCAGATTAATAAATAGCATATCAGTGGTTGCCTGAGAGTCAGACCTAAGTTACCTTTGTACAAACCAATCCAATGAGACAGCTGCCTGACTCTATCTGGACCTTACCTTTTCTGAATTCCCACTGCTCCCTTCATGAGTGACCGTACATTAGAGGGAAGTGGGGACAACACGAGACCAACATGTTGCTAAAGGAATTTACTTTCCTAGGCTCAGTGCTATCCCCTCAAAGGACCACTTTGCATACTTTCACTTAAGCATCAGGCAATCAAAAGGGCTCTAATTGTTCCACATCTTGTCAATGTTGAAGTTAGTTTTTGATGACTAATATCTATAATAATATTAATATTTAACACATTTGCACTAAGGCAAATTTTTTGGTTGCATTTTAGGAAATTCCAGGTCTCTGGCTGTGCCATCTGTTCAAAACAAGGTGTAATTTCATTGCTTTGGGGTATTTGGGCCTCCCTCTCGTTATCTCTTGAAGTAGAGCCCATCTGGATGTCAACTCACGGCTGTGCTTCCTGTAGATCCAAGAATGGCTTTTAGGAAAAAGAGTAAATACTGTAATGGTTAATACTGAGTTTCAACTTGATTGGATTGAAAGATACAGATATTGATCTTGGGTGTGTCTGTGAGGGTGTTGCCAAAGGAGATTAACATTTGAGTCAGTGGGCTGGGAAAGGCAGACCCACCTTTAACCTGGGTAGGCAAAAACTATTCAACTGTGAGTGCTGCTAGAATATAAGCAGGCAGAAAAATGTGAAAAGAGAGACTGGCCTAGTCTCCCAGCCTACATCTTTCTCTTGTGCAGGATGTTTCCTGCCCTCAAACATCGGACACCAAGATCTTCAGTTTTGAAACTCAGACTGGCTCTCCTTGCTCCTCAGCTTGCAGACAGCCTATTGTGGGACCTTGTGATCATGTCAGTTAATACTACTTAATAAACTCCCATGTATCTGTGTATGTATATGTGTATATATATATATATATATATATATATATATATATATATATATCCTATTAGTTCTGCCCCTCTAGAGAACCCTGACTAATACAAATACCAAAGTGTTGGGTCAAATTATTTGTCATCTGGTATGTTGTCCACCAACCAGTCTTGCCTATTCTGCTATAGATATTCTAAAGCTAAAATGTGAGCTTTTGTGTTCTTTCTTTGTGTTAGCAGTTGGTGAAAGACAAAACTAAGGAACAAAAGCAAGTAACTTTGTTAAATTCAACTCATTGAATTTGTCATTTTCATTAACATAAAAACAGATATTTTGACTCAGAACTTTTAAGAAATACAATAACAATAAAAGAAAGAAAATTATCTCAGTCAAAAGCAAAAGAACTTGGTGACTTTTTAGCCTATCATTGATGAGTATTACTAATGATGGCTGGAAGCAGGCAAGTGGGAGTTATTCTAAAGGTGTGAATCAGGGGAAAAAACTCAAATGGCTCAGGAAGATGAAAACACAAAATCTTGACTGAACAGGATTGGCTGGTGGTTTTAAAAAACTGATAATAGAATCATTCTTGTAAAGTTTGAACCCTTCCAAGAGCTTTTTGCCAATGTGCAGCTCAGAGATAAAGCTGCTCAATCCTCTGGACACTAGGAAGGACCCCAGAAAGCAGAGTGTTAAATTCATCAGGGAGATTTTTCTTTAAGGCTTTGGTTTGGGTTAAAAGCCATGTATTCCTGGGATATATCACTGTAAACTGATATTGACTGTGTTTACTTTGAAGTGACTAAAGAATGTAACAGCAGGTCTTGTTAAAGAGAAACAGAATTAGGAAGGTGAAAGTCTTTGGTTCTGGAAACCTGAAACAGATGGAGAAGGAATCAGATCAGAAGAAATACAGACTAAGAAAGATGGGACATTAAAAACAATGATAGAGCATGGCTTATTACTGCATCCCAATAACTGATGTGGGAGGGCTCAGTGACAACGGGATGCCTGAAAGTTTAAGAGAAATTTTAGGGATTTCACGTGTATCTGGGCTACACTGTCTACCCCAGATGTGGCCACCACAGCTGACAAGTCTTTCCTTTTGTTTGCCTTCTTCCAGCCCTTAAGAACTGCTGAAAATCCATGTTAAAGATTTAAGACATTGATATTTCTCCTGTGGTATAAAAGGACAGGATTGCCTCCCAAGAAATGCAGAATGAGGGTTGGACATTTTTATTTACTAAAGCAGCACTTGCCTAATGTTCTGTATTTTTTCTGAAAAACATATTGAGAAAACCTGACCATCAATGTATCGAAACTCCTTAACATTTCTTTTAAGTATTATGCAGCACAGATATGTACCCTCCTTCCCAGACCATGTCACCTTGCTATTTTATTTTCCATCACACTAAAACTTGGGGACAGGGAGACAGTCAGAGAGAGAAACACAGAGGGGGCAATATAATCATATGAGATAAAGAATAGATGTTGGGATATGAGAGAGACTGACAAAAATGTATAGTGGCTTCTCTAGAAGTCAAGAAGGAAGGTCCTTGTACTAATACCAAGAGATCCATTAAAACCATGTCTCGTATGATCTTCTCTAGCTTTACCAGTAATAATGAAGAAAGGCAAGAGGAAAGGCCTAGAATCACCTGCCATCTTCACGTTCATCTAGGCATCTTCTCCGTCTGGCACTGCAGACACTCCACAGTATGGCCTGACCTGTCTCTGTAGCCTATACCTCCTCTTGTGTTTGACAAGCTCCAGGCTGCTCTCCATTGCTCATGTCATCCCTTCTTATAAAACACCCTTCCCTCTCATCTCTACTTTCCTCCATTCCATCTATTCTTTACCATGAACCACAGAAGGGTCCTCCTTGGTGAAACTCTCACTGCCCCTTCCAATGAAGCAGGATGTCTATTTTCTCTGAATAACCAGAGATGTTTGTTCAGACCATGCTTCTAACACTTAAAATATTCTGCCTTATTTGATCCAAAAATGTTTATGGAACACACTATGTGCCAAACTGTCTTTTAGGTGATATTCCTTGCCTTCATGAAATTTAAGATTGTTTGTATCCGATGTCCCTAAAAGTTATTTAAAAGAGGGCTAATTTCATTCATATTTAGGTCTTCTGCCTACCCACTGAAGATAGAAGTGGTTAGAAAGTCTCTGTCAAATCCAGTGGAATATAATTCCAATAACAAATGTTTCTTCTTTCTTTGAAGGACTGTGTTCTGTAAGATTAGTCCTTGGTCCTATTACTATTACTGGTTCCCTACCTCTAGCAAAGAGAGTTTCTTTCTTTCTTAGAAAAGCAAATGCATACAATATATGCTGAGGATGTTGAGAAGGCCCTTCTGGCTGGAGCACTTCAGTAAATGTCCAGGAATTTCCAAGGTTTTTTGAACCTCCTAACATGGCATGTTCTGTCTTGTTTTTCATACATTCTCTAAGGCATCCGCAAATGCCCAATGTTGAAAAATGTACCAAAGAGAAATTGTTCTTAGTTCTGAGGGGGAAAGCTACCAGGTTGACTGCTATCAGGAGTTTCTCTGGAGTATCATCTTCCAGACTGAAGAATTCCAGTCTACCCTGGCCAGTAAAAATGCAGTGGGAGCCATGAGCTGATGGCATCTCAGGGAAAACTCTTTTAATATGTTCATGTTTGATGCCTTTGTTTTGGGGATTGTGCCATAAAACCGCAATGAGTATTTATGTAATACATGAATGAATCAAAGGATAACAAAGTGCAAGTTTGGCAAACAGTGGCAAGATTATGCTGGAACACAATTATCAACCACAACACAGCCAGTTTGTCCTGCTCCTGGCTTCTCCACAATGTTGATATTTGCTCATATTGCTCAATGCACCACCATCTTCACAGTGTGTCTGTCTCCTCTCTAGAAGTTTGCCATGAATGAGGGAACGTCATCTTTTTTTGTTTTCAGTTAGCCCTACAGTTCTTTTTATATATGTATGTATGTATGTATGTATTTATGTTGAAATGGAGTCTCGCTGTGTCACCCAGGCTGGAGTGTAGTGGCATAATCTTGGCCCACTGCAACTTACACCTCCCAGGTTCAAGCAATTCTCATGCTTCATCCTCCCAAGTAGCTGGGATTACAGGCATGTGCCACAACAAATGGCTATTTTTTTTTTTTTTTTTGTATTTTTAGTAGAGATGGGGTTTCACTATTTTAGCCAGGCTGGTCTCGAACTCCTGACCTCAAGTGATCTGCCCACCTCAGCCTCCCAAAATGTTGGGATTACAGGCGTGAGCCACCACGCCCAGCATAGCTCCATAGCAGAGCTGAGCACATAGAAGTGGGCTGAAATGAACAAGAGGAAACTGATCTTGTAGGGATATATGTGGCCCAGCCACACTACAAAGTCTCTCAGACCTTTAATATCCTAAAATGCATCAGCTATGTCTTTCTCAATATGTATAGTCCTAGGTATCAATTGCTCTTTCTTCAAGATGACTTTTTTAAAAAACAATATTTTTCCCAGACTGCAAAAGCAGTGTCTATGAGAGGGAGGGAGAGAGAAAAGACAGAGGACACACACATATAATGAAAATTAACCATTATATGTCATGGTCCCATGGTAACAATGTTAACCTCTTCCTTCTATCTGTTCTTATGAATATACATATAATGTAAATACACAAAAACATAGAAATATAAATATCACATCATTAGCATGGTACAATTTAAGCAAGCCATGCGTTGTCATTTTCTTATCCTCTCCGAACCTTGATTGTCCTGTTTAACAATCAACCCTGATTGAGACCTGTCCCTAAAACCCTGAATCTGAACATTTGAAATTTACCTTGTAGAAACTTACTATTCCTAGCATTTAACTTGGTCTATTAGTTAGAAAGCTCTTTAGGAGCTTCAAGAAGTTCAAAAATTGGACTATTTCCCATAGATGCCTTTGGCACATAAGTTCTGATGAATTTTTAGAACAATGAACGAATATTTTGGTAATCTTATTCTCTACAACTCAAGATATGGGATCTTGATGATGCAGTAGGAACCTGGATGGCAACCAGAAGTCAAGCAGAAGCATCTCACCATGCAAGCTGATCTATTATCTCACTGCTTCAAAGTGATGGTGGTCATGGCTGCCAAATGTGTGGTGATGGTGATGGCCAAATGCATGCTGAGACCTTCTTGGGGAAATGTCAGTCCAGCAGGAATAAAACACAAAGCATGCTTACTTGCTTCATTTTAAAAACTATTTTGTCTTGCATAAAGACTTTACTTAGAGAAAATTTTCCAAGTTCACCTAATCGAAGTGTGGCAGGTTGCCTTGGCTATTGTCAGCATCAGCTCTAATAACATGAACTACTTTCTGAAAATAAAGAAGGTAATGTCTTCCCAGTTCTAGTTGTTAGCACAAATACTCTCTCACAGATTTATGGGAAAATCAGCTTCCCAGGAGGATAGTTGAGAGACCCACTGATGGTCCCTCAGGGAGAGAAAAAGAGGCCTAACTCACCTCACTGGATTTGTCCGAAAGCAAAGTATTTAGAATTCAGGAAATCTTCAGAGGTTAGAATTAATTAAACATGACATTAATAACTAGTGAAGTAAACGATGTATCTGTTGATACTAATAATAGGTCAAAATTCATTAACAAGGACTGTTTATCAGCAAGAATGTTACTGTGGGGTGTGGGTATGACAGGTCAGTTGTAACTAAACAGAGTCAGAGATGGCTGCCAGCCATAGCAAAACTGAAATTTTTCTGAAAGATGCCAATATGGAGTTAGAATAGCTAATAGACCAGGTTATCCAGAATATACATGATCTCTACCACCCATAAAAGAAATGCAGGATAAAAGTGGGCAATACCGGGTTATACACTCATAATTTACCAAGAAGCTTATAAAAACAATAATGCAAAAATAATGCCCATTTTGCTTTGTAGTTTTTTCTTTTTGTTTTTTGTTTTCTTTTTTTTTTTTGAGACAGAGTCTTGCTCTGTCGCCCAGGGTGGAGTGCAGTGGCGCGATCTCGGTTCACTGCAAGCTCCGCCTCCTGGGTTCACGCCATTCTCCTGCCTCAGCCTCCCAAGTAGCTGGGACTACAGGCGCCCGCCACCACGCCCGGCTAATTTTTTGTATTTTTAGTAGAGACGGGGTTTCACCGTGTTAGCCAGGATGGTCTCGATCTCCTGACCTCGTGATCCACCCACCTCGGCCTCCCAAAGTGCTGGGATTACAGGCGTGAGCCACCGCACCTGGCCAGTTTTTTCTTTTATAATTATCCCTTAAATTTTTCATTTGTTGATTTTTAAAATGAAATAAGTGTTACTAAAACCCTTATACTATGTTCCTTAACATGCCTAGCACATAAGACATTCAATAATTTTTAATGTTTTCTAATTGAACAGTTTCTGTTGAGGTCAACCAAAGTCCAGTTTCATATTAAATTTTTTAAGAATATTTTATTCTTATGTTATAAACTCTGGTGTATTGTGGCATTCAGGGTTTTCTCCCACTGAATCATGTGACGTTTAAAATCAAAATGATTTAAAGGGCAAGTAGGAAGTCTTAAACTAACTTAATTAGGGCTTTGTATTTACTTAAGCAAACCTCTTTAACTGCTTGGGACTCCAATAGTTGTGTGGATCTGTGTTAATTCTGCCTGTTCTGTGTATATTACATGTATATTGTCATTAAGAGAGACACTATATGTGAAAGCCTGAAAAAGGTCAAACCCTATGAACACTGAAAATTATACCATCATCATCATCAAGGAAGGTAAGCACTGCAATGCAAAACTAGCTTTTTAAAAAAAGAAAATCACTCTCACACTTGTTACTTCTGCACTAGAAACCTAGCAGACACCTAAACCTACCTTACCCTAAAGACACATGACCATATATCACTGACACGATCACCAATACGACCCACACCAAGACCAAGCTATTGGTGCTTGTTACTGGTGTTTTTCACAAGAGCAGCATGAATATTTGTAGTTTTTATCCTCTCTCCAAAATAAGCAACGGCATCGTGCTGACTGGATATGACACCCTGTTTCACGTTTTTCAGAAACTATATTTTCTTGGGAGACTGTTAATCGGTGGCCTGCAGGTGACCACCAATAGAGCTACAAGTCAGTAACTGGAGGACTTTGTGCTATAGTGCAGCATCCACTGAAGTGAGGGCACAAAGGCATGGCCCCCTTCATGGTGAAAAGAGGGTGAAGGTGGATGATAAATGAATAACCAAAGGGTCAACGTCTTGATTGAGTGCCTGTCCTGTGCCTAATGTGGAGGCTCAAATTGCAATAAAAGACACAGTCCTCTTCTTCAAGACTTACCCAATCTAGTTGAGATGATGAGTATAAAACATATTTTAAAAATACAAAATATAAAATTCTGTCCTCATGAGTGGACTTCAATGGCAAAAAACACATGCTGAAGGAGTTCGGAAAAAGTAACCTGAAGATTTCAATGAAGGGGAAAATTCACAGAGGAATTGAACTTGTGCTGTGCCTTACAAGCACAGGTGGAATACCTGGCTGTATGGAGGATAGAATGGGAAGTGAGGATGCTGGCCCATACCAAGCGGACGGACTGTGTGGGGAATAGTGGGATAATGAAAGGTCTTGACATCTTGTCAAAGTTTAGATTCAGTGCAGCTGGAAGTGAAGACCCACTAGAGATTTTGAGTTGGGAATAGCATGACAATATCAGACAGCTGGAAATACAAAACAGCAATCAGTTTGGGGCTTTTCCCATGGGTATAGAGAACTGAGGGATTAATTCAGGTATGACAGGCTGCATATTTCCCATGGCTTCCAAAGAATACCCAGCATTTCTAATGCACAGCCCTCCACAATCAATGCAAGTTTATGGGTGTGCAAGCCCCATCATAAGACAGGGTTTATTCAAGAGCAAGTTGTTGAAGAAAAAGCTGTGAATATTTAAAATAATTGATAGGAGTGACTGTTAATTCCCAATTTAGGCACTCCTAAACCAGTGAATGTTTACAAAAATACCCCTGTTCAGAATTGAAGACAATTGATCCAGAGATACCAATCTTTTCCCTTGTGAAAGGAACAGTGGTTAAAAGCACAGACTTCAGAGTCAGAACATCGGGGTTTGAATCCCAGATCTGCAACTTACTTGCTGTGTGACCTTGGATAAACTTGTTAACCTCTCTGGGCCTTGGTTCCCCACTTATAAAATGAGCAACCAACTTATGGGTATAACTTATGGCTATGTTATAAGAATTAAAGGAATTGGGGGCCGGGTTCAGTGGCTCACCCCTGTAATCCCAGCACTTTGGGAGGTCGAGACAGGTGGATCACGAGGTCAGGAGATCAAGACCATCCTGGCTAACATGGTGAAACCCCATCTCTACTAAAAATACAAAAAAATTAGCCAGGCATAGTGGCAGGCACCTGTAGTCTCAGCTACTTGGGAGGCTGAGGCAGGAGAATGGAGTGAACCCGGGGGGCAGAGCTTGCAATGAGCCAAGATCACGCCACTGCACTCCAGGCTGGGCAACAGAGTGAGACTCTATCTCAAAAAAAAAAAACAAAAAGAAAGGAATTCATATTTGTAAATCACTTAAAACAGTAAGAGTTAAGGACAGTAAGAGAAAGCAGAATTTCCCTAAATATTAAGGTGTGTCATAGAGTTTTGTTTAATCCACTAAAAGATGTAAATATTTTAAGAATTCTAGAGAATTAATTATAGTAGTGTATCTCAACATGGATGGATTGGGGGAATTATGCAGATTTATATTTTCTACCGTCACAACTGTGGAGTAGAGGTGTGGAGGAAGGGGGAGCTACTGTCATCTAGTGGGCAAAGACCAGGGATGCTTCTAAGCATCCTATAATATACAGGATAGCTCCCACATAATGAAGACTTACTCCGCCCAAAGTGTCAGTTGCATCAAGGTTCGGAAACCCTGGATTATATGGACTTGTTGCTGTTCATTATGAACAAGAGAGTCTCATGAAGAACATCATGGCAGAGTGGGAACAAAAAGAAAATCCTGAATCTATCTTCTAATGCACCTCTCGTATTCTTTCTATTCCTCTGCTAACCCATTTTTCAACTCTGGTCACTGATTAGGGTTTTCTACTGTAGGCTTTAAATCAGGATATAAGGAGTGAACATTGAGAAACCATTTTCTCAATTCAGTCCAGCACGATGTGCTAGCATCATCAATATGTTCATTTTTGTGCCAAATGGACTGTGTTGTAGAGAAGGAACAAAATCTCTTCCCTCAGGGATCATTCTCTCTGGTTGAAGAACCAAGAGCCACACCTAGGAAATTATTAGGAAGTCTCATACAACTGTATGTGACCAAGATTGAGAACACAGCTTGAGATCACAAGTGCCCCAGCTGGTCCTGGAAAGAAGAAATTGGCATAGCTATAGATTTTGTGAAGGCTTGGAGGAGGCTATCAAGTGTAAGTTAAGCTTGAGAGGTGAATAGGATTTCAGTGGATGAAGGAAAAGCATTCTTTTGAATAGTACTATGATTAGTAAAAGTGCGGTGGTGGTAATATTCGTGTGTCCAAATGATGGTGAGGCATTGTCTCTGGAAGGACTGTTTCAGGGGCTGGAAGGTAAGTGGAGAGAAGCTTGGTGAGAATAGAAAATAAGTTTAAATAAAGAGGGAGCTGGTGAAAGCATTTATTTTTTCCATTATGGAAAAATTTGTTCAAGTTCTTCATGCATGAAAACAACAAAAAGGAAAAGGTGTTTAAAAAGGCTGGGCTGTATCAGCATGAAGGTAGACTTCAGCAAGGAAAGAACACGGATGAATCCCCCTTTCTGCCCTTGCTATGAGGTGAGGAAAGGGGCCTTCTGCCCTGGAGTCCAACGCATAAAGCACAAGCTGCTAAATCAGTTGTGCTTCCTGGGAAAGGTGTTGTTTAACCTAGCAACAGTTTTAAGTTTGTACACATTTGCATGCCAAGATGTGCTACCACACAGTGCCATTTACAAACACCACCACGAGCCCAGCCTTTAGCTTGGGGTGGGTATTCATGTTTACTTAGCTATGTGGGTTTCTTTTTCCTTTTTTTTTTTTTTTGGTTGCTAAATTATACATGTAAATCAATATGTATCTTGAATTTACATACCAAATGCAAATGGTGTGACTGTCACTTTTTCTCCTGTTCCATATTTGTTCTCTGCAGAATGAATACCATATGCACCTTCACTGAATCACTCTGGGCCTTTGCCCTTCTTGCTTCTCAAAAAATCGTCATGGATGAAGTGGAAGGAAGATTTCTGCAGGGCATCCCAAACACACAAGCAGTGAGGCCTTACTGCACATAGCCTAAGAATAGGAGTTCAGAATTGGAATTGGACAGTTAATGTAAACTGAGCAAGCATGGCCGATATCAGACAATAGTGGATGATGGGAGCTGCTGTGACTGGAGAATGGATGCCTCATTTATAGATATTATGTTTATAAAGGAAACTAAACCTGTTGGGAAGTAGGGAACAGACACTAGGCCAAAGGGCCTAGGAGCTACTCGTTGGCTGCCATTGCATGTGCTGTATGTGGCAGCAGTCAAAGTGTAGGTCAAAGGTCATAATTCCTCCGAGGGATCTGGTCCTCTGTGCCCCAGTGCCCTCAAGGATAAGCCCTGGCACTCCTATAAGGTGACCAGTACTGAAGTGTACTCCCAAATTCCTCATACGATGGTTCCCTCTTTTCTTGGCTGACCTGCAATCTTTTGAGGGCCTAGGACTCCAGCTGATCTCTCTGGGCAGGGCCCAGGATGTTTTCTTTCCCCTTCTAGCCTATGCACATGGACTTGGAGACAGCACGGCTCATTTGCCTTCCTGATTAGTCAGTTCAGTGGTTATAACCCAAGCCCCACCCAGAAACCCTCCCCAGGAAATCCTTCTCCATCATTAATTTTAAAAAACAAAATCAAATAGACTCTAAGACATGAATTCTAGGAATATTTTGGAGCAGAAAAGCAAATTAGCTTTCCCCTGGTCCCTCTTCTAATTCCAGCTCTAAAATTCTACCCTTATTTCTGACATTGTCTTTCTTCATGTGAAATAATTCCTACTATTAACTGCATAAAATTGGCAAGATTAATTCTGAGGGTTTAAAAAAAAAAACTAAATTTGAGTTTGATCCTTTTCACCAAATCTCATTGCAATTTTTTTTTCTGCTAGTTCAATACAGTTTCCCATTAAGAACTATCAAATTCAATCAAGGTACTCAATTCTTATAGTTCAACTTTCCTGAAATTAAGCACTCTTCCCTTCTTCTCAAGGAACTTTGCTAACAACATGCATAGAGTTGTCACTCAACCTTAGTTACATCAAACAGATGCATTTCAGGTCTTTCATATCTAAGACAGGAGCAATAAGACCTTAATCATTTCCAAATGGAAACAAAGTTCTCCAATCATTGACAGCCATGCTGTGCCAGCATCATAGATTCCATCCTCCCATCCAACTGGTGGAAAGAGCTCCGCTCCTTTCCTTCTGACCTCTCCCCACTCCTCACCTATTGAAGGGCTTCTTTGAGAATCCAATCGTATTTGAAGGGCAATGGCTAATTTCAAAGACCAAAACATTTCAAACTTCTCACCAATCTTTAAGAATGAGAGTGAATGCTCAGAATACCCTAAAATAACTTAAGCTGTGCTTATTTAATTTACTTCCTCCATACCCACATGCACATATATCACTTTTTTGTGTGTGCGCTGGGAGAGAAAGCAAACCGATGTACACTGTAATGGAACCACTAATGAGCTGATGCTATCTACTGGCCTCTTTAAAATGCTGTTCCCTTCCTGTTTTGCATTTGTTGGGTTATAATTTTAAATTACCTATGCATCCCCAGCTTTCCTCCTTACCCCTCCTCTCCAGTGCTTTCCTCCCTCTTTCTTTCTGTAATCTAAGAATGACATTTTCTTAAGAACAGACAGAGATTCATACTTTTACATGCGCACACACATACATATATGCTCACAAAGACCATACCTTACAATCACCCAATTTTAGATTTTAGGTTGAAAAAGGCATGTGTGTGTGCACAAACTGTCCTTCTCTGTAGCTGCCTTCTTCCAAACAATGTTCTGAGCTTCAGTTTCCTGACATTTAACATTTTTTGTTTGCTAGTGATTCTTTTTTTCTTTCTTCTTCTTTTTTTTTTTTTTTTTGTTTTTGTTTTTGAGACGGAGTCTCGCTCTGTCGCCCAGCCTGGAGTGCAGTGGCGTGATCTCGGCTCACTGCAAGCTCCACCTCCTGGGTTCATGCCATTCTCCTGCCTCAGCCTCCTGAGTAGCTAGGACTACAGGTGCCCGCCACCATGCCCAGCTAACTTTTTGTATTTTTTCAGTACAGACGGGATTTCACCGTGTTAGCCAGGATGGTCTCGATCTCCTGACCTCGTGATCTGCCCACCTCGGCCTCCCAAAGTGCTGGGATTACAGGCATGAGCCACCGCGCCCGGCTGACTGTAAGTTTCTTAAGAGCAGGGACAGAATCATCCTTTCAGCACCTACCCAAAGGCTGGACATATGAAAGTTGCTGAGTGAATTTTGACTGATAATCACTCTAAGCCACTGGGATGAAACCCTACAGTTGCACACTGTGGTCAATTCATAACAGCTTCCGTGAAGTGGCAATGCCACCTAAGTCAGCTTCTTAGCCACTGAGTACTTACTGAAAGGGAACTCAGCCCTCCAGGAGCGTAACCATCATTTGGACACTTAACATTGTGAAGTTCATGGGTATCGGGTTTGAAAGGGCCTTAGAGACTGTTGGACTCAAATGCCTTGCTTTACAGATGGGAAATAGGCTGACGAGGTGAAGTGACTCGCTCAAGGTCACACCAGGAGTTGGTGGCAGGCTTGGATCCTAGAATGTACACTGATCTCCTTTCCTCTCCTGCTCTGTCCCTTCCAAGCCCTGCCCAGCCTTCATCAAAGAGACTCTGAGGCAGAATATCAATTTCCCTGTCAGGGGTGTTTGATTTGGCTGTGAAATAGAGGCTTGTTCTCCCTCAATATCATTTCTTGGCTTTCTTTCTTGTAATTTTGTGACTATTTGTATTTTTTTGGGGGGGGGTGGGTGGGTAACTATTTGGATTTTTTTCTCCAAAGTTGTCTCCAGACCTGCAATCTCCCGAGCTGCTTGTCCACAATCACTCTCTGCTCTCCACAGGAGGGAATCATCTGCAGAGTGGCTGCCAAAACTCAAGAATATTCTTCACAACATGCCTCCGCCAGGGCGGACCTCTAGGCCCACCGTCCCGCTCTCCTGTGGATTCTTGCTGCATCTTTCTCTGAACACTCAGGCGTCACTCAGCACTGGATTTGTGTGCTGTTAGCTTCTTCCACTCCCCTCTTCTTTCTTTTTCCTCCCTCCCTCTCCCCTTTGAGCAGACATTTGTATTTAAAGGCACTGTACCCTATCTGGCTCCAGTCTTTTCGCAGCAAATTCCTTCTCCCCAGCCCTGGACCTTACAGTGACCCCCTACAGAAGTTGTTTGACTATTTCTTCTAAGACTCAAGGCCCTTCCATGCTGCCTAAAAAGCTCCTTTCTAGAGAATCTCTTTTAAACCATCAAATAGAGTACAATACCTGACTTTGCTGTTTTGCTTAATTACTTTGTATAACATTTGGTAAATACTATAATATTCTGATATATAATTTGGAGTACATTCCTTGTGGTATGCGTGGTCTTTTTTCTATAAAAACTATTTACGTTACCAATCTAAAGGCCCATATCACAACCCTGTGTTACAATATTGTACTCAAGACAAAATCAGATTACATTTGGACTCACGATGCCTCAGGAATGTGGTTTGCATACCGCTTTTATTTCCCATAAAACATGCTATTGCAGCATAAGAATTCTGACAGTATCCAGCACTCTGGGCAAGGTAAAATATAAAATTTAAAAGTTAAAGAGAAACAAAAAACAAAGTGGTGTCTTATTAAAGAGGAAGAAAAAGGAGGTAAGGAGAGAGGCTATTTTTTTTCCAAATTAGCTGTTCATTATTACAAAAAAAAGAAAATAGACAAATTATCTTTTCCAAAGTGCCCACCCAGTCTTCACAAAGTCCCTAGCGTCCTCTCCACCATGCAGAGGACTCCAGCTGTGCCTGCCTTTCCCACTCCGGGGGCCCTTATTAGCTGTGACGCACACATGCACAAAGCATGCCTTGCTCTGTCTTCTGCTTACCCCATGCATTTCATATGAATCCCTTCCCTCTTCCCCTGAAGTTGCTTTCTCAGTATCTGTTTTCATTTTCCCCCAGTTTCAAAGGTGTAGGTTTTCTGAACAACTGAGCCCTGCCTTTCCTCTTCCACCCTTCCTCCAGAGTGACAAGGGTCTCTTCTGTCAGGCCTGCCAGGCCTCAGGGCCTTCTTGGCCTGAGTTGTCGGCTTGCTGGGGGTAAGGTGATACCCTGTGTGGCCTATTTCCAATAATACCCTGCCCGTTAGTCTAACCAGTCAGCTGGGGAAGGCATAGTGTCTGTGCCAGCTTCTTGGTCCATGGACCACATGGGTGCACAGCACTGTACTGCCCTCTTTCAGGAACGAGAGATTCTATAATAATACAAAGGGAACTCTGCCCTCCAGGAGCTGAGAGTCTGGGCAGAGAAAAGGCACATGCACACGGAAAGAAATAAAGAATACAAAGTAAAGAGCCATTTAGAGTAAATTATGGTATAGGCAGCGGGTGCTTGGGCAAGGAGAAAAGGAACGGGTCCTCATGGGAGAATGGCAGGAAGGGCTAGATAGAAATGGGGGCTTTAGGAGGACTGGAGTGCTCATGGCTCAGAAGGGAAGGGAGAGAGCCGATGCAATGCCCTCCACTACAGCATTCTTTCTTGTACCACCTGGCAGTTTTAAGAAAGCAATGAAGCTACAACAGCCAAGTACAGTCAGAAGGAGGTTTGGGGGTTAATGAGTTTTGTTAGCGTGTTACTTTAATTGCTGTCGTTATTTCTGTACATACGCCTAGAGGCTTGCAGTGAATGCATTTTATTATTAATATTAAGCATTTTGTACAGCACTTTCTGTTTGCAAAGTGCTTTACAATCATTAATTAGTTATTCCTCCTGACACCCTGGCGAGGTGATCCAGGCCTCATTCACTCCCCTGCTCGGTTATAAATGATGGCCCCAGCGTGTTGAGGTTAAATGACTTGGCCAAGGTCACCAGGCCCATCAGGGAAAGGCTAGGATTAGAATTCCCCTGTCTCCCTTTGGGCTGGGGCTGATACTGCTGGACCCAGCAGCTTCCCTGGACAGTGCTCATAAATGTTACAATAAATAAATAAATAAAGCCAGAGGCAGGAAAAAAAAAATCATTGCTAAGGCCTAGGGACACCTCTGTCACAGTGGCAGCAACTAGAAATTGCTGAGAGAAGACCAAAACTGAGCCCCAGTAATAACATAACCTTCTGCATTCTCATAGCCGGTTTTAACGCGTCCTCCTGGAGACCCTCGCTGTCCTTGTTGCTGACTCCTTCGAGTCCATTCCTTTGCACATTCCTTTTTAACTCTGAAGGCATTTACTGCCCAAAAGGGCTCCAAGATGTATAATAATGTGGTGATGCCTGAAAGAGCACCATGTCAATTTAATTTGAACCAATTTGACAAGTCTGATACACTTTCAGGACAGCAGCCCACCATGAGACGACACAAGGCTTCTCTTGTTAGGTCCTTACCCTCGCTATTTCTCCTGGAGGTAATTACCTTAGATCAAGAGACCGATTGTAAACACGTTATGTTTTGCTGACAACACAAAGCTGGGGAGAAGCAGGAACTCCAGTTTGAGAGGCAAGGAAAATGCAACACGATGTGCTTCCCTCTCTAAGCTGCTATGCGGCAAATGAAATTCAGTATTGACAAACGCACATTAATGGCATTGGCCAGGGAGAGGGGAGGACAGGAAAATGCTGACCTGCAGAAGGAACATTTTCTAAAGGTGTCCCTGGGCTGCACTGCTGGAAAATTCACAGAGGGAACCATTAGATTCCAGAGACTCTGGGAGTTGTATTTTTATTTTAAAATAATGCATCGACTTAGAAAAGCATTTCCCTCTACCTTACTTCTTTCCCTACACCTGCCCACACCCACTCTCTGGCACTTCTGCCAACTGGAGTAGCTCCTAAGACATTTTCCAGGGATTAGTGATCAAAGCCGACATCCTGTAAGGAAATAGAGATTTTTCTAAAAACAGGAGTACCCGATTTAAATCCCCTGATGACAGATGTTTTTTAAAAGAAAAACCTGTTTTGCCTCAATTCGGGCAGGACAAGCCTAGCCTTGATTTATGTTCATTACTCTCACAATCTTCCTTTCAGATGTGAGAGGGGATCATGATTGTTCAGTTTGTAGCACATTTCTCACTTCCATTTTGACGATATTTCCAGAAAAATGTCAGGACCAGATGGGCCACCTTCCCCCGCAACTCCTAAAGTTAGCTTTACCTTCAAGGAGAAGAAAACACCATCAATGGTTTAGCACATACTTCACAAGATTTCCTTTTTTGGTTTGTTTACTTGTTTTAAGCAATCCTTCTCTGTGTGCTAAAATGAGCATATAATAAGGATCTGTCACCCTGCTACGTGCTGGGTAGTCGGGGTGAGCAGTAGTTAGTGGACACATGAGGAAAAGATATCAGGCTCTGTTCTCAGGGAACTTACCACAGGGGTGAGAAAAAAAAAAGTGGACTTAAAAATAACAACCTCTGCTCAGCTGTACTAGAGGTGGGTCAGATGCCGAAAGATAATCAGTGTGACAGGAATTTGTGGGTCAGGGATAAGAATAATCTACTGGGAACTCATAGTGGAAGAAAGGTTTCAGCAAGGTCTTGAAGAATGAATGTCATATATCTACACGCATGCCCACAAACAGACACCTATGTTTTTTCCCTAATCTAAAAGTCCCATCTGACCTAGAATCACTGATCACTGCTCTTTGAATTCTACTTGACTGCCCTCAAGGTTCTAGAAGCTGGAGAGGAATTTGGTTTGGGGTTTATTTGGTTCACATCTCGGGACATCTCAGGACAGGCTCTGTATTTCTGGTTACAAAAATACAAGAGCACAAGACCACAGCACAAGACCTTATTCCAGGACATAAAGAACTTGGTTTTCTTCAGTGTGGATTTTTTTTTTTCTAGTGAGGCTCTAAATGCCTGAGCCAATCCCCCAGGGCTCCCACAAGGCACTGGGGCTCCTGGAGGAGGGCACGTACTGATTTTTCCTGGACAGTACTTGCTGATTGTCAGAGCCACTGGCAGAGAACTGCCATTCCACATGGCTTGTCTCCTTCCACTGACACCCAGGGCACTGTAGATCCCTGATCAAGTTTTTCAGGGTGGCACTCCCTCACTGTGCACATTTTTGAGTGCCTTTCTGACAAAGTGTCATTGTTTGAGTAGTTCTCAGTAATAATATGGAAATAATACCTAGCATTAATTAAACACCTATTGTTACTGTGTGTAACTCGCTATGCTAAATGCATTGTAGCATTACTTTATAGAATCCCCCTGACAGCCCTCTGAAGTAGGTATATCCATTATTCCCATGTTTAACATGAATAACCTCAGGCTTAGAGGGGTTGCTAAGAATTTCAAGCTTATACAACTAGTAATTGATGGTGCCGTGGTTAAAGGAAGCTCTGGCTGACTCCAAGCTTTCTACTCTTATTCCCCATCTCTTTATATGAACACAAAGGAGACAACAATACAGCATATACACAGAATGGCTGTTCTTCCATCTCAACTGTTTTTAACCCAGATGAAATCTTGAAAGTTAAGAAGAAAGACATGTGAACCACCAAAACAGATATCAAAATTTCCACTTACTGGTGAACTTACTTTTGACTCATAAGAGAATCACTCAGTGACTACTGAATATTCTTTAACAAATAATTATTATGTTTTGTTCCTATCACTTACAAAAGCAGATCAGACAGAGCAACCACTCCCATTTTAACTTATAACAAAAATGAAGTTGGTGGATATATGGTTACATTCCCAAGGAAATGATGCTGGCAGATGGAGGGGTCAGGATGCAAATCTCAGCTTGTCTGAGTCCTCACCATGATTTTGAGAGGGTTTTTCAAAAACATTCTCTGAAGTCAAATCTAAATGTTAATTTAATCTTCAGGAATCTAGAGGTCCTCATACAAAGGGGATCATAAGTCATGGGGTGCTAGAACCACAAAGAGATTCTTTTAATCAAAACCCTAATTTAATAGTTGAGCTCTAAGTCTTTGTAAAATGTGAGAAACATGGCAATTAAAGGATTCTGGACTTTTTGATGTGGTTGTACCAACCTAGGCTAGAATCTGTCATTACTCTAGAATGTGATTATTCCATGGGTGAGTTATAACAAGCCCAAAGTATAAAAATATATAATCTCAAGCAGCTTTTCATGCCTTAACAGATCATGCCATGACTAGCATGGAATCCTAAATCAACAGACTAGTTTCAGTTTCTTTGTCTTGACTTTTTCTAGTTCAAGTGCTAAAAAGTATCAACATAGTACTCCTATGAATATACATAAAAACCTTCAATCATCATATAAATAGGGATAAAATGAAATACCATCACAATAATAAAAGTAAGAAAAGTTGTGTGAAGTTTTACAAAGTCTGAATTAGTGGCTATGTCAAATAGATATAAAGCTTTATTTAAAAAAATACTTTGTAGCTATTCAAACTCACAGCTGTCTAGCAACGACTCCATATATTTTTCTAGTGAATAAACAGCAAACATGTAGTTAATGCAGGTCTTACAAGTTCACCTCTTAACTAGGCTGTCTAGCCCTCCATCTCCACTTTCAAACATGTTTGTGGCCGGGCACGGTGGCTCATGCCTGTAATCCTAGCACTTTGGGAGGCCAAGATGGGTGGATTGCCTGAGCTCAGGAGTTCAAGAGGGCAACATGATGAAACCCTGTTTCTACTAGAATTAAAAATTTAAAAAATCAGCCAGGTATGGTGGCGGGCATCTGTAATCCCAGCTACGTGGGAGGCTGAGGCACACAAATTGCTTGAACCGCGGAGGCAGAGGTTGCAGTGAGCCGAGACCGCCGTGCCACTGCACTCCAGCCTGGGCAACAAAGTGAAACTCTGTCTCAAAACAAACAAACAAACAACAAAATAAAAACATGTTTGCACCATAACTCTGCTTCATCCCCACCTTCTTTTAAAATTAAGTTCCTTGAGCACAACGTTTTGCAATGTCTTTTCCTGGGGCTGTTCATAATTCTATCATAAGGAATTTCCAATTTATGGTATCCATATTAATTTACAATTTAGTCTCAGTGATAGAACTTCCCTTTTCCTCTGTGGGTATGAGAAATTTAAGACAGTCTCACAGGACATTGGTATAGCAATTTAGCTTTGAAATCCCCAAATCTAATTTTATTTAATTCAGCATGTTTGCTAAACATCTATAGTGTATTCAATGCAATTTTTTTTGTTCTGAGGGATGTGAGAGAAAGTGCAGGACATTTTCCTGGGTAAATTTACAGCTTACCATAGAATAAAGAATGTGTATACATGAAACAACAAATAACCAGGTAATGGAGAATATTAAATTCAAAAACATAGTAAAATGTAGCAATAGTATAGACGGGAACATTAGGGAAGGAGAGGTCAATGTTGAAAACAGTGTTGTCCTGAGAAATTTAGTGGGTAAATGCTGAGCTAGGTGTGCATTGTAGAGAGAGGTGATCATCTAGAGATAGATGTAGGGTTTTCCACCAAAAGGAGATTAAGGTCATGACCAGCATTTGGGCAGGACAAAGCAAGATACTAAACAATCTAACGTGAGAGGCACATGTGACAGAGGAGGCAAGGACAGCTTAGAAAGAAAGTTTGGTGCAGTAGATAGATGGCCACCCCCATGCACCACAATACACAGATCTACAGGATGTTCTTCTATTCACAGTAGAAACAACAGGCTCAATTGTAACTTGGAGGGACTGGTCAGAGCTCCCTGCAGATTCTCATTGAAATATTTCTCATCAAGAGAACATTTAAGAGGATGGAGAGGGGTGCAAATGGCCAATAGAAGGACTTACTGAAATGAAAGCAGCAAAATAATTTCCCAGATTGCCACTGACTATTAAAATAGGCCATGAGGGTCCATGGTTATTACTTTAACAATTAGTTAATTTTAGCAGCAGGGAGGCCATTAGCTGACCAGCTCACTCTTCTGCCCAGCATATCCTAATCAATGAGCTGTGATTGGGGCAATAAAAATGAGATTGTGCCCAAACAATAAAATATTTAGACTTTTAATATGTTGGTGGAAATGGACTACATTTTAAAGTGACAGATCATCATATTTTCCTTCACTTTATTTATTTTTCCAAGGTCAATGTGCCTAATCATTGCCTCAGCAGTCTGAGAGAAGGTATAATAAAAGCAACTAAAAGAGGAAAGAGGAAAGATGGTGGGAAGAAACAAAAATTAATAAAAAGAAAGTATACAAATACATTCTGTGTGCTACAGTGAGTAGATATACTTGAATTTTGTTTCTAAAAAGGAAAACAGGATATGTGTAAAATCACAGCATAAATATCAAATTGGCATAATTTATAAAGAATATGGAAATTAATGATGTAAACATAACTTTATCTTTGAAGAGTGTCTATGGGTAATGTCTTCATCCATAAATGCCACCCAAATGTAAGTAAATTGCGAATTTTAAATTAATTTGCAGAATGCATGCAAATAACTTAAAAATTCTACGTACAAGTTAATGCAAATATTGTAAAACTCCTGAAAATAGAAATGAGTATGCTTAACTTTCTGCACCAATAAAGCTAACATTTACATTACTATTTCCTTTCAACTGAGGTTTGTTTTTCTTCACCAAATGAGTGTAATGTGATTGTGAGATTTATCCTGAGGTGAGCATTCTGACTTTTATCTTTCTTAAAATCCTCCCTGCTGCATATATGCAATAATGACCACCCAATCAGAATTGGTCTCTCTTCACCCATGGTCTGCAGTTGAGCATCCTTGTCTCATCTCACTGGGAATGTACTTTCTTTCTCTATCCTAATACTACTCAAACATTACAACATATAATGTCCATCATGAAAAACTGAGCTTCTTGCTTATAAGTGCACCCTATTTCTCACATGATATTAAAGGTTTTTAGTATTCTACGGAAATTTCATTGTGGTCTGAAGCAACCAGGAAAGGCTTTGAAAGGAAATGTAAACCTGAACAGCCCTTGAAGAACAAAGACTGTTTGGATGGGCAAGAGGAGAGGGCAAAGCCCTATGTTCTAAAAGATAAGACCTAGATGAGTGAGGGTTAAAGGAACACACTTGCTACTTTTCTGAGAGCAAAGGCCACTTGAATGAGGGTAGCTCAAATGCAGAGCAATAGCAGAGCCGACTACAGACTACACCCTACAGATGGTCCTCCAAACCAGCCAGTCCAACCATGAGACAACCCTCTCCAGCTCGGGTTATGCATCCCCTGGACCAGGAATTCTTTTGGCTTTAGACTAGCACGTGGGTAGCCCTTGCATTGCTTTCATGGCATTACATCATCATTGAGTTCTTGGCACATTGGTTAGCTTCAAATTTACTAGTATTCATTATTTGTTTTAAAAAAAAAAGAAGAAGGAAAGAAAAGAAAGAAAGAGGATAATTTACATTTCCTGATTCAAAGCCAGGGCCTATTCATCATCGCCTGCACATCGCTTATAAAGATGATAAATGAATGTATAGTAACTGAACCCTAAAACAAAATAATGTGTTTTTCTTAAAGCTTCACAGGGCTGCATTTCCGTTGTAATTAGTTTACTTTTTTTAATCAAATTCTGTTAAGCGGCAGTCAAAATGAAAGCTGATTTTCAGACTGCTAAAAGCAGCCCAAAAAAGAGGAGAGAAAATAAGGATATTTTTTCACATTTAATGGTGCAAAAATATCAAGGTAATTGCATAACTTTCAGAAACAGCAAGAATATAATCATGTCTCACTGATTGTATGATATTCAAATATAGGATGCTATGAGAGAACCTACCATTTGATAGAAAACCTAGTTCAATTGCTATTCCATCTTTGGAAATTCACATTAAGAAGAACATCTTTAAATTTCCATGGGTCTATATCACCCATAAGATAAATTCCAAACACCAAAATATTACCATTTCAACTTCATACTCCTTCCTAAAGTTAATCCCTGTTCTCTCGAAAGTATCCACTTATTTCATCTCACAGTTCCCTGTTTTTGAGCCTCATGTTATTCTCTCAGCCTGCAGTGGAGTTACTGCTACATTCTGCTAGTTTGCTTCCCTTCTCTGTAAAGCTTTCTCTGGCATCTTCACCAACAATGGTAGCTCATTATGTAGCTAGATATTTCCATCACTCACATTTCACTTAACACATAAACACTCTTGACATTTTCTGTATTGTTTTTAGATTTTGAATGGTTATTAATTTCTCAGATGTGTGGCTTGTCTCCCTGACTAGATTTCATAATCCTTGAGAGTAGAGTTTAATATACAAGATTATTGTTGAATACAAGACTATTGTTCGTAAACTGACAATATTGGGAGAAAGAAAGCAAGTTCTCATTGGGCTATGGCAGCGATGCTACCTCACTGATGTGAGCTCTCATCAGTTGCATCCCAGCCTTGGAGGACCTGAGAGTCCAGGCTAGCTTTCCTGTTACCAAGAAAGCAAGTAGAGGGGAGGAATGTGTGCCCATTGTCCTATGTGACATGTGCTGGAGAGCTTTTCTACATAGGACCTGCACATGAAATACAGTGGAGTACTTGAAAATTTCCTGGAGTAACCCTTTCCTTTTGTTTAACATTCTTTCTTTTCTTTTTTTCTTTTTGAGACGGACTTTCGCTCTTGTTGCCCAGGCTGGAGTGCAATGGCACGATCTCGGCTCATTGCAACCTTCGCCTCCTGGGTTCCAGCGATTCTCTTGCCTCAGCCTCCTGAGTAGCTGGGATTACAGGTGTCCGCCAACACACCCGGCTAATTTTTGTATTTTGGTAGAGATGGGGTTTCACTGTGTTGGCCAGGCTCGTCTCTAACTCTTGACCTCAGGTGATCCACCCTCCTCGGCCTCCCAAAAGGCTGGGATTACAGACATCAGCCACCACGCCCAGGCTGTTTAACATTTCTTGCCACTATTCTCTGAGGTCCTCAGCCACCATCCCCAAGCACATATTCGGTCACACAAAATATCCCAGAATAATTATGCTCTTAACACTCCTCTGCATTTACCATTTTATTTGGACCTGTTCTCAGATCTTGCCTTCTTTCTAGGGAAGCATGTGTAAATGGCCTAGACTCTAGGGCCTAGAGTATGGCACCTTCCAGGAAATGAGTCAGGTTCTCCCCATTCCTGTGCTCATGGTGCTGTAATAATGAGTAACTGCTAGCACTAAGTGAGCACAAACCGTATTTCAGGAAATCTATCATATGATTTACAAGTTTTCAATCTTACTTGTTTCCAACATTTTGTACATAATATTGCATCCTTACTGATAGCCTTGGAGGAAGAGGTATCCGTCTTCCTACATAAACCTAATGTGTTACTTTGTCTCTAGATCTGATGCCTACACAAAGATTTTTAGTCTTAGAGGCAGACTTTTTCCCTTCCTTCCTTCCCTCCTTCCTTGTTTATGAGATGTCTGTTCTTCTTAAGGTACCCTTTATTTTCCCCCAGAATTAATTAGCTGTGAGTCTTCTTGTTGACTTTGCCCATATTACAGAAAGCCTTTTCAATGCGCATGCACAGCTCTTCCCTAACTTTAGGAAATGTTTCTTCTACTTAATTTATATTCATATGTTGCATTTGGAATACCTTTAATACTCTTGTTTGGGAAAATCAGTTATTGATGACCCTTTCCTCTCATTTGGGTGTGGGGAATCTGAGGCACACATGCTCCCCAACTAGCAGAGCCTTCACATCTGCAAACTTGTCTGGATTTTGTATGTCTGGATCAGTGGTAGATGAGGGATACCTGAGGTGGCCAGGGAAGCTACCTGGGAACATTCTCATTATAGCAAGCAAGCTATTCTCCTAATCCAGTGGTTCTCAAACTTGAGCAGCATCAGAATCACCCATAGGGCTGGTTAAAGCACCAACTACTTGGCCCCACTCCCAGAGTTCCTGACTCAATAGGTTGAGGTGTTGCTTGAGAACTTATATTTCTAACAAGATCTCAGATGCTGCTTCTGCTGCTAGCCCAGTGATCATATTTTAGAATCACTGTCCTAAATAATATATCCAAATGATCTTGTCAGTATGAAAGAGAATTTGACAAATGGCTCTTTTGTTTTCAGAAATAATTAACAAATATATTTATCCACACCATCCAGTGGGTGTGTGTTTTTAAATCAGCTTTCAAGATAGAAGTCAGAGCAAGGCAATCTCCATTTTGGAAAAGTTTTTCAAGCTCATCCTTCGCATCACTGATCAATAAAGTTCCAATGTTGCATCACATTGCCAAAAATGAGGACTTTGGTTTTGGTGCTGCAATTTCTATTTTATCATGCTTTATTTTCTTATGCAGATTATCTTCCCACCTATGTTGTTATTCATTTCATCACATTTGTAGTTTGATTTTAGCCTTTTCAATACTTATGGATTTCTTTCCTTATTGCATGTAGACTATGCCTTATATCTTACTAAACATGGCATGCAGTTTTCTGAAATTTTTTCTGGTTATTTTAGTAAATTATTTTCAAGTCTTAACTTTCTATTAATGTTTAGGATAATATTTCATATTCTTTTGTCTTCAATATTTTTGTCCTAGGTTCTGGTCTAGTTTTCCTATGTTCCTGCATCCTTAAATAATGAGATTTACACATATCAGTTCAATATAGGCATTTAGTACTCCTTTTAGTGATTCCATATTTCAAGAAGTCGTGATATATTTCAATCCAACCTTTTTTGAGAGATATGATGTGTAAACATGCTTTGATCGGGCCGGGTGCGGTGGCTGACACCTGTAATGCCAGCGCTTTGGGAGGCCGAGGTGGGCAGATCATGAGATCAGGAGATTGAGACCATCCTGGCTAACACGGTGAAACCCAGTCTCCACTAAAAATACAAAAAATTAGCCAGGCGTGGTGGCAGGCACCTGTAGTCCCAGCTGCTACTTGGGAGGCTGAGGCAGGAGAATGGCATGAACCTGGGAGGCGGAGCTTGCAGTGAGCCGAGATCACGCCACTGCACTCCAGCCTGGGCGAAAGAGCGAGACTCCGTCTCAAAAAAAAAAAAAAAAATGCTTTGATCTTACTAGTCACCTAGCATTTGTCAAAAAGCAAACAAAAACAATAGCAAAACCTTCTCAAATCTTCAGCTGGATAGCAATTTGATAAATAATCCAACTAGACCAAGGCTGCTTTGCTGGATATAGATTCTTAATATCTTATTCTATTGCCTGATTCCTAGAACTGATGCTATCTATAATAAACAAATACTTAAGTAATATTAAATAATAAATTAAAACTAAATTAAAATTAAAACTAATTAAAATCAAACTAGTGTGAACTGTTGTTAAGGATGTTCTTATTTTTGTCACTCCCAAGAACACTGTATGTATGGGATTTATCAATCAAAATGCCAAACGCCAAAGCCATTCCTTGTTTGCACCCCATCCCACCCTCTTCTTTCCCTGTTATCTAAAGATAAAAGAGAAACAAACTCTGCTGCAAAATGCTACATCAATGCAGTGAATTTGGGTGATCTCCCAGTGTTATGACCAGCATAGACACCAAAGGTAATAGGTATTGAGCCTAAAGAGAAGACCCCAGACAGGGTAAATGAGCATCTTTGGGGTGCTCACTAATGTGGGGCTGCATGAAAGGCCACAAATGATTTTTCTCAATACAACTAAATGAACCATATAAGTGTTAAAATATCTCCAAGAATCTGGCACTGGCTGTCTGCCTTAGTTTCTCCAGAGGTTATGAGTAATCATTTTTTAAATTTGCGACAAAATTTCCATTGGCTAATGTGTGCAGACTATTCCAGAGACTGCTAATCAATGCTCATTTAACCAGAAATCAGAATAAATTTTCTAATATAAATGTTGTCATCTCTTCTCTTTTTCACAGTTAAAATCCTTCAATATCTCCCCATCAATGGCAGGATAAACCTTAAAATCCCTTAGTATGAGACACAAAGTGTTTCACGTTCTCATCTTGGCCACCTGTCCAGACTTCTCTTCCATCACCCTCTCCCAGTATTATGGACTGAATTGTGTCCTTCAAAATTCCTGTGTCAAAGCCTAACCTCCCAGTGTGACTGTATTTGGAGATGTGTCCTCTACGGAGGTAATTAAGGTTAAATGGAGTCTTAAAGGTGAGGTCCTGATCTAATAGGATTAATGTTCTTATCAGAAGGGACACCAGAGAGTTTGTGTACTCTCCCTCTCTCTGTGTCTCTGTCTCTCTCTCTCTCTCTCTTCAACCCCACTCACCACCACCCCTGCCCCTGTGCACGTGCACCAAGGAAAAGCCATAGGGGGACATAGCAAGAAGGGGGCCACAAGCCATGAAGAAAACACTTACCATAAACAGAATTTGCAGGCACTCAGTCATAGACGTCCCAGATTCCAGAACTATGAGAAAATAAATGTCTGTTTATTAAGCCAACCAATCTGTTGTATTATTTATAGTACCCCCAGCAGACTAAGACACTAGGGTCCCTGTTTTAGTCAGAGCTCATCAGGAAACAGAAAAAGATAGATGATCGATAGGTAAGGAGGTGGGTAGATGATTAGAAGGTAGTGGTTCACATGATTATGGAGGCTAAGATGTTCCAGTATCTGAAATTGGGAGAGAACTGGGAGAGCCTGGTGTAGTTCCAGTCTGAGCATTAGTTCAAAGTCAGGAGAAGAGTGATGTCTCAGTGAAAGACAGTCAGATAGAAAGAGCAAATTCTTCCCTATTCAGCCTTTTCTTCTGTTAAAGCCTTCAGCAGATGAGGCCCACCCACACGGGGCAGGGAGATCTGCTTTCCTCAGTCACTGATTCAAATGTCATCTCATCCAGAGACTCCCTCACAGACACACCCAGAATAATATTTTACCAAATATCTGGGCAGACTGTGATCCTGTCAAATTGACACATAAAATTAACCATCACAGTCTCCTTTGGTAGCTGTGATACTGGTTATCAAACACAACCACGGACTACACACAGTTTTACTGATTCAGCAGGTTGTCTGCTGTCTTGTCTTCTTAGCTTCCATGATTGTGCGAACCAGTACCTTGTAATAATCTTGGTGCATGTCATTTACTCCTCTGCCGTAAATGCCTTCCCTCTGCATCCCTTCACTGTCCGTGTTCACCTAAATCTCCACTCAAGGGCTGATTCCTCTGAAGCCTCTCCTGATTTCCTCAAGCAGAATTGCCACTTTAAGCAACTGATGAGAAAGCCCATATTAGGTACTATTGTAATTTTTATTTATAAATATAAAAGGCTTATTTCTCACTAGACTTTGAGCTCCTCCTGTTCAAAATTCGTCCTTATTTCTTTTTATATTTTTGCACTGAGTACAGACCATTATTAGAAAAGTACTTTAATAAGTTGATGTTTGAAGTAATGCATATTTGAAAAAGAGCAAGGTTAGAAATCGAAAGACAAGAGTATGAAACTGTGACAATGCCATCTCAGGCATTAGTGAGGGGCGCATTGCCAGGACTCCTGATGGCAGAGCATAAGGTGACTTCTTTCCCCATGCAAACATGAGCACTCTAGCCAGCCTCTGCAGCATCATCCCATCTTCTTCCCTGTTCCCATTCCCTCGATTTTGACAGATAATGGGTGGCTCCCTCAGAGACCTCTGTGGGAGCGCTCAACAATCTTAGCACCACACACCCGAAGAACAGAATTCTCCTGCCTGTCTCCACGTATAAGGAGATGGATTGCAAAGGAGAGCCCGGCTGAGTACCTAAAATGGCATCACGAAGGCCAGATCAGGCACAAAGTCCCCTGGAATCAGACAAGAAAGGCTGGCGGTGACTGGGGAACCCTCCAGGATGGGGGAAGACAAAATATGAGGATGCATAGCTAAAGGAAGCCTTCCTGTCTCAGACACGGTGCTCCCACACCCTGCCTGGTGGGGAGGAACACAGGTGCTGAGTTCCATGGTGTCAGAGCAGTCTCGCTCACAATGCCGGAGAAGTTCCCACACTCCTGGTCTGAGAAACCCGTTCCAGGAGGCAGAATGCTTGTTTGGAGTTCTAGGACAGAGAAAGACAAGAGGACAGGTAAGGTCCAGGCAATTACTGTAGTGGAACTCCTAGGTAAGGTGGAGGTAGGGGTTTCCTGCTAGAGGATGGAAAGGCCCGAGAGGAAATACAGGCACTCACTGGGAAAGTCTCGATGTGGTCTCCTATCTCTCTGTCCATCTTGATGTCCATGATATTGTGAGTCATAGTAATGCCCAGTCCCCCTATGTGTGTGCCTTCATTACATGACGGCAGACAGAGAGAAGGGTGGCCAGCTTTCAGATTTGAATGCTGTCTCTTGGCTTTCTGCTGTTTTCAAATCACCATGCCTGGGTCTTGGGATCAGATACCTGATTTCTTTAAATTTTAAGAAACTGAGAGCTTGGTTTTTCTCCTGACTAGAAAATTTGCAGCCAGTTTGCCTCTGGCTGTTGTTTTTTTTTTTTAGGGACCTGTATAAAAATTGGCCTATCTGGCCTCAACAAGTAAACCCATCCTAACTGGCGGCAGCACCACACTTAAGGTACCAAAGGGCTGCGGGTAAAGACGTAGTTACTCTCTCCCTGCTCTCGATGCCGATCTGTGTGTTGGGAAATGGAAAAAATATATATATTCAATGGCAGCTTGAGGGAAAATTGAATGTACAAGTTCATATTCACATTCATACAGACTCACCCTTCAAGTCCCGAGGGCCAGAGAATTTGGATACATTTGGCAGTTAATCTTAAAGTTTTGCTGGAATTGATAAACGAGTGCTGGGAGGGGAAGAGTGTGGTCCCTTTAAATGATACCGAAGTGGGGAAGGGAAGTGCTGGGTAGAGAAAGGCGCGTCCCTGGCTAGGGCTCCACTACCACAGACCTAGGTGAGGACAGGCACTCCTGCCTTCACGTCCAAATGTTGCATTTTCCAAGACCACTCTGGCCTGCCACGTCCCCATTCTGGGCCTATAAAAACCCCCAAGACCCTAGCAGGCAGACACACAGGCAGCCAGACATCGAGAGGAGCACCTCAGTGGAAGAAGACATAAGCAGCTGCACAATGAGAGGATGTGGAGGGCATGCACAGGCGGAACAGAACACCGGCTCACCAGCAGGCCATCCACTGGCAGGATGAGGCAGAGTTTGGCTGGGGCAGTCGGAGGAGAACCCGGGCCACCAAGCGCCCTGCCTCCAGGGGAAAACCATCTCCCTTCTGGCTCCCCCATCTGCTGAGAGCTACTTCCACTCAATAAAACCTTGCACTCGTTCTCCAAGCCCACATGTGATCAGGCTTCTTCCAGTACACCAAGGCAAGAAACCCCGAGATACAGAAAGCCCTCTGTCCTTGTGACAAGGTAGAGGGTCTAACTGAGCTGACTAACACAAGCCACCTATAGATGGCAAACTAAAAGAGCACCCTGTAACACATGCCCACTGAGGCTTCAGGAGCTGTAAACATTCACCCCTAGACACTGCTGTGGGGTTGGAGCCCCACAGCCTGCCCATGTGTATGCTCCCCTAGAGGTTTGAGCCCAGCAGCAGGGGGCACTGAAGAAGCAAGCCACACCCCCATCACGAGCCCTTGAACGGGGCAAAGGAACTTTTCCCATTTCAGAATGATTCGTTCTAAGTACCATTCAAAGTGGTGGAATCCGGCGGCATTGGCCCCGCCATCCTCTGAATTTTTAAGGCAATACTGTCAGAGTGGCAGGTAGAGCTCTGGATAGCCCACAGTGACACAGTGTAGCTGGTCTTGTGGTTGATGCGGTAGATCATGCTGCTACTGGATTCCAACCCACCGATGAGAAATCAGTGCTGTGACCACCTATGCTTTCTAGTGAGGTGGTAGCTCTGCAGAGCAAGAGAAGATATCATCTCTTCAGGGACTAGATGATCTGTAGGTGAAGTTGTGTTGTATGTCTGGGGTAATGAGAAAAGCTCTCTTTCGACTAGGTTCAGTGGCTCATGCCTGTAATCCCAGCATTTTGGAAGGCCAAGGTGAGTGGATCACCTAAGGTCAGGAGTTTGAGACCAGCCTGACCAACATGGAGAAACCCCATCTCTACTAAAAATACAAAATTAGCCAGGTATGGTGCCTGTAATCCCAGCTACTCAGGAGGCTGAGGCAGGAGAATTGTTTGGACCAAGGAGGCTGAGGTTGCAGTGAGCTGAGATTGTGCCATTGCACTCCAGCCTGGGCAACAAGAGCGAAACTCCATCTCAAAAAAAAAAAAAAGAAAAGCTCTCTCTCTTGCAGAGAGGGCTCCTGAGTGGGTCTTCCACTCTGTGAAGAAGTGCAGGAGATTTTATAGATGAGCTTGAGGAGGCGGTGTCTGATTTACACAGGGCGCAAAGGATTGGTTGGACCAGGTATGCCATTTACATAGCAAGTGAAGAAGCTGGCTACCCACCCTAATCTTTTATTATGCAGATAGGTTCTCTACCTGGCTGGTGCCATGTTGCCTGTTCCCTGACTAAACACGCGGTGACAAAGAAAAGGGAAGATGGAACCTCCATGTTGAATATGCCTGGCTCCTAGGTATCCCTTTTCTTCTGGCACTGCTGCCAGCATTTACCTGTGCAAGCTTCTAGCTTGCTTTTCTGTCTGCAGCTTGATTTTCCAGGCTGCTCTTTGTTAGAAAATAAATGATTTAGGGGCTGCTTTTTTATTCAAAGGGAAACCTTTCTGAGGACTCTCTTACCCTCACTAACTGTCTGAATAATTTCTTTTTAGCTCCTGTAACACAGGTACCTCAGCTGCCTCTCTCCTGAGGCAGGAGAAGCTGGAATGTGGGAGAAGCTTTGCCTGAGGACACAGTGAGGGCGGCATAAGTACTTCCTCTGAGTGCTCTCATCTGGGTGTCAGGGTTTTCCCTGTCCCCAACCCCTAATGTTGTCCAGGTTTATGCAGTCCTTCATAACATATTAAGTCCTTTTAATATACAGTTAGAAGTTGAGTCCCCATTATGCTTGAGTTCACAAGAAGTCAAACATTCTACAGAGTATTCATCACCAAGGAATTCCAGGAATTTCCAAGAAATGCTTACAGTTTATCCCACCCTCTGTCACTCCAGGCAAGCAGCTGCTTCTAAGGACGACACTGCTTGCTCCCCTGACATCACCTCTTCAAACCATAACTGAGTCCTGCAGGTGGCCACGGCCGACTTTGACTACATCACTAGATGCAGGAATGGAGCCTCCTCTAAACCATGCCTCAGAACAGGTTATGAGAGTTTAAATCTTTTTATTAAAGTTTTTCAGATAATAGAAGAGATTTACAATAGAAAAATTCTTGACACTGATTATAAAATGTGAGAATTCCTAGGTTGGAGAGACTGTATCTTCTATACAGCCAACCCTTCAATGGATATTTCTTGGACGTTGTCCCCCTGTTAAAAGTATGGACCCTTGTCTAACACCTCAAAGCTCAGCACTGGGAAGGAAGAAGTGGTTCTTCTCATTGTCAGTCTCACATTCATGTCCCCGTCTGCATAATAATCTGTGGACCTTTGTCCATAATGTCCATAATGGCACAGATTTATATGATGCAGCTGAACCGATTATCTCCTCCTTGTAAGTTGCACACAATCTACAGGTTCAGAAAAATATTCCTGCCACTGAAAAATAATATCAAGTAACAGTGGCTACATTTTATTGAAGCATTACTAGGCTCCAGGATTACCATCCTAATGGTATTACCTGTGTTAACTCATGTATTATTATTATTTTCATTTTGCTGCTTAGTAAAATTAGAAGCAGGAAAGTTAAATACTTTTCCAAAGCAGAAAATAAAGTAGCAACTAAATGTCAAGTGCAAATAAGACAGAACAAAAAATTGCCACAGTTACAGAACAGTAGTATCCCTATCTTCCATCGTTCCTGTTCCCTGCCTCACCCTAGCTCTGCCTCTAGACATGAAATGCAAATAATAACAGTGTCTACCCTCTTGGAGCCTCTGTAGAAGTCTGAGAGCAACTTGTTAAGGTACTGCCTTGCCATATGACATTTTCCACTGGGTGATGAATGGCCCTTTTCATGAACAGGACATCCTGTCACTTAATCTAGGCTGGTTCTGAAAGGGAATGGCACTCATCACTGCCAGCAATGTGGTGCAGTTGGATCCAAAGGCAGGTAAATTTATCTACCCCTCCTACAAACTACTGACTTCCATCCAGGTTTTCCTTCGCTGTTTCTCTGGCTCTCTTAGGAGTGTCAGTGCCCAAGCAAAAATCTTAAGTGTGAAGGGAATACTAAAGGGAATCTCTTTCAAGCCTCTTTTCCTGGAGATAGTTTGTTGATTTGGCTCAACTACAATAGAATAAAGGTTTCAGTTTAGCCAGATAGAGGAGAAATTTCCTCTAGATTCCCAATCCAGCTACAGTTCCTCCATTCTCAGAAAGTGGGCACATCTCTCAATCCCTGCATTCCATGCAGTAGGCAAAGATCCTATTAGGTGCAATAGAAAAAGTACTGGTGTCCATACTTGGAGTGGCCAACATGATAATCACCAGAAAGTCCTTCTTGCCTGACTCTATAGCTGAATATGCAGTGTGAAGAGTCATAGCTGTGATCCACTCATCCAGGAGAGGGGCAATTACGTTTCCAAG
The DNA here is from genome assembly GCF_000001405.40 of Homo sapiens. Lineage (NCBI taxonomy): Eukaryota > Metazoa > Chordata > Mammalia > Primates > Hominidae > Homo > Homo sapiens. The sequence continues at coordinate 38,024,039 of NC_000018.10, read as the reverse complement.
ACTTTCCAGCTCACTGCACTACCTAAGCCCAGTTGCCTAAGAAATAACTGTAGGTTTAGGGGCTAGAGAGAGACTTTTTGGCCTAAGTCTCATAATGAAAGAGATGGGACACATAACCTGAGGAAGCATCCAGTGTCAACCGGGGATTCAGAGGTTGGTAAGCTGGACAACAGGTTAAAAACACAAGACCTTTCTATTGCTAAATAGTATTTCATTGTAAAGATGAGCTACATATACTTGATCTATTCACTAGTTAATGCACATATGGAAATACCACTCAGCAATAAAAGAGAACAAAGTGCTAATACACACAAGGGCATGGATACATCTCAAAATACTGGGCTAAGTAAAAGACACAGACACAAAAGACTGCATGGATGGTTGCCTGGCCTGAGGCTGTGGTGGGAGTGGGGACTGACTGCATTGATACAGGAGGGAGATGTTGGGGTGACAGAAGTGCTCTAAACCTTGAAAATTATAGTGATTTTATGACTGTACACACATACTAAAAACCATTAAAATTTAAACTTAAAAGAAGTGAATTTTTCAGATATTTTAAATATACTTCATTAAAGTTGTATTGGTGTGTACAAGTCTGTGCACACCCACTCCCAGACACAAGTCCAAATTCAAGAGAAAGTTCTACAGCACATATCTGAAACCAGGGAATGAATAAAAAGGCATTAAGAGCCAGGTTAAAAAAGAATAGAAGAGACTACAGCTACAGGCTAAAAGTGTGCCTAGAGTTCTCTCCTGGAGAGCTAGATGTGGCCTTCAGTACTTATGTTCAATTCCAGTACGCAAAAACTACTGGAAACTGATTTGAACTCACTTGACAGCCAAACCAGACCTGAACTAACATTAGACTACTTACATAATATGAACATTAAGAGGTTTCACTCCAGAATACAACTGTGTGTTTATAGGTTTATTCTTAAGATTCCGCTGTATATATTACACTATCTTTGTAAAATCCAACAATTCAGAAACCTTTCTGGCCCCAAGATTTTCAGATAAAAGATTGTGGGTCCATATCACATTATGGAAATTCGGTAGCCTTAAAGGCCACAGTAGAGCTTCCCTAACCTACACTGATGAGTAACTGGGTTATGGTGTGTGTATTCAGTCTCTGACAGCTTTGTCTAGTCACACATACACACACACACACACACACACACACACACACACACACACTTTGACAAATTCTAAAGAAGCACAAGGGCACTGAATTAGTGGATTTGATAATGAAGAGTGAAGGAAAGATGAAGATAAAAAGAGAGGCAGTGGAGGGAGGGAGGATGAGGCAGGGTAAAGGCTGACCTGATAAACATTGCCACAGGTCAGATCTAATTTAGTCCTCCAAAGAATGGTCATTGGCTCTTAAATTTTCTAAAGAGCAATGGTGTCAGATTGGAAAGGGAAGGCACATTTTGTCTCAATCAGAATCATGACTTAATATATATCAATTATGGTGCCATTCAAACATGTGATTGGCTTTGGTCTCCCCATGTCTTATCTGGTTTCTATTGCAGACTGTGTCTCCACAGTGAGAAACAGAATCTAGCGCTTTCACCCACCATGAATGAGATCTGCACTGCTCTCTGTCAGCACTCTGTCGCTTCAAGGAAACAGATCAGATTAGCACATGACAAATGCAGCTGATGGGTAAAACGGGAGAGAGAGCATGGTACAGAAGGAAGCATATATGCCTCATCTAACGAACTCTCTCCATCCAGTTACAATCCTTATGTTCTTGAACAAATCACTTTGTCACTCAAAGTTATAGTTCTCTTGACTGTCCCAAACCTTACTTGAAAATGCATGCTATTATTGTGCAACAGAAATTAAATAATGAATGTAAAACTGCTCCCAGTATGTTTATGTATCAATTATTATATATCTACATCATCATTTTAATGACTGCATTTTATGTATATACCAATCTTACTGAGATAATCCATTATTATTAATAATGTATATTGTCTTCAGGTTGATCTCTCATATAATGGGATAAAGTTTTATATATATCATTATGTACTTATCTAATTACTTTCTTCAGGAAAAAATATAAAAACAGGATTAGTATGTAAAAGAACTTTTCATTTCAATCAACTTTATTCAGGTAAAATTAAATAATACAAAATGCACAAGTTATAAATATATATACTACACTGAGTTTTGACAAATGTATCTGTCCATGTAACCACCATGACAATTAAGATACAGAACAATTCTATAACCTTAAAGATTTGGGGGCCAATTCATAGTCAATTCTCATTCCCTATCCCTGGCCCCAGGCAACAGCTGATCCTCTTTCTACCACTAAAATTTAGATTTATGTTTCTTAAGTTTTATAATTAAGTGGAAGCATACAGTACATACTTTCTTGTGACTGGCTTCCTTTGCTCAGCAAAATATTTTTGAGATGTATATATGTTTTTGCATTTATTTTGAGTCTATTCTTTTCACTACATGGTAGAAGCTCATTGAATGAATATACCACAATCTGTTTATCCGTTTACTTATTTAATGAGCTCTTATGAGTAAAGCTGTTATGAACATTCATGTACAAATCTCTGAATAGGTATGTTTTCATTTCTCTTGGGACAATATCAAGGAATAAAATTATAAAGCCATATAGTATATATATAACTTTATAAGAAACTGCTCCATTATTTTCTAGAATGGTTGTATTATCATGCATTTTTCACCAACAGTGTGTGAGAGTTCAAGTCACTCCTCATCTTCACCAAAACTTGGCATTACAAGACATTTTGTTCATATTAGCCATTCTAATTAACTGTAACGCTATCTTATCGTGGTGTAAATTTTTATTTTCCTGTTGACCAAGGATGTTAAGCATCATTTTATATGCTTATTGGTCATTCCTATCCTCTTTCTGAAATGTCTTTTCAAATTCTCTGCACATTTTTAACTAGGTTATTTGTCTTCTTGGATTATTTAGGATCTTTATATACTCTGGATACAAGTACTTTTTTCAGACATAAGAATTGTGAGTTTCTTAGCCTGAAGCTTGCTTCTTCATATACTTAAATGTGTCTTTAAAAAAGCAGAATTTTAATCAATTGGTGATAGAAACAAATAGACGATAGATAGATAGATAGATAGATAGATAGATAGATAGATAGATAGACAGAATCTGTTTTATCAAATTATTTTTTTCAAGTTTTGTGATTTTTATGAATTAATGAATCTCTGCTTTCTCTAAGTTAGCAAGAATTTTCTGTTTTCATTAATAAATTTTACCTTTTAATTTGGTTTTTAATCATTCCACATTAACGTTTGTGTATGCCAACCTCTTCCTGCCATAAAAGTTAGAAGAACCAGTAAGAAAAAATTTCTAAACTTAAAATTTTTATCCACCCAAGCTATTATTCAAATATAAGAGCTATAAAAATATTGCTGGGTAAATAAGGCTTAAGAAGCTTTGCTACACAAAGTACCATATAGAAAATAGTTAGAGATGAAGAATTTAAATAACAGGGAGGACTAATTCAAGTGATAATATCACACACACAATGCCATATATGAAAAATGTCATACATGAAAAATATAGATATTATATAGGATATATGTATATAACATGATGTGTACAATGTTATATATTTCTCATATTTTGATACTGGCAGTTGTTGCTCTTAAAAGTAACTAGAGCAAAGCAAAAGAAAGCAAATATATTCATAACAGCCTAGAATTAAAAGCCTTGTTAAGTTCAATATGACAGAAGTTGGAGCAGAGAGACCAAGAGATGTGAAAACATACTAAAGTATTTGTTACCCATTAGAAGATACAGATATCACTTTAAGGAAATTATTAAAATAATACACACATGAGTGGCACAAGACAGTACATTTGAACACAGACTTTTCAATTACTGATCGAACAGGTAGATAACTAAAATAATTTGAAAGATAAAAACAATATAATAAATAACCTCGAACTAACGGCCATTTATGGAGTTTCACAAACAACAATTACAAAGTACACATTTCTCTCAAGCAGTAATAGAACATTTACAAAAATTTAATAATGTGCCAAGCCGTCAGAAAGCTTTAATAAATTTCAAGGAACAAATATAATTCCCATAAGCACATGGTTTTGTATACTCATATTTTCCTCTTTACGACTGTAGATCAGAGTTCTGAGTCATCAAAAGTAAGGGTAAAGACACCCTTGTTCTCAATATAGTATAGGAAGATAGAAAAACACAAAGAGACTCCAACTGTTTCTCTCATCTTTTTATGTCCTGTAGACATACCTGGTAACCAACAGGCTTATGCCAAAACCACCACTCTCCCTATGCATCTGTCTAAAATAGCCTGGTATGAGTTTCTACAGTTGGCTATGACAGGGCAACTTGAAGTAGAACAACACTTTTTTTTTTCCTGAGAGCAACCAAAAAAGCTGGATAAAATGCTGCCAAATAATTGCACTGACAAATAATATCTATGCAAATGCACTGGAGAGCTTCTGAGGAAGCCAAGACATGTGAGGCCAAGGTCTTAGAAGGGGAGCTCCGGGAATTTGTGGAATTTTAAGTAGTGAGGAGTAAGAGCCTGAAGATCTAACCATTTGTCTGTAAGAAACAGAAGGCAGTTGGACTTTCAGCAACCTCACAGAGCTACAAATGCCAACATTGAACATGGGCTATCAAGGCAGCTGGGCGTAGGGGTTTAGAATCCTTGTGAAAAGTAAGGACAGAAAGTGAGACTGACATCCTCTGCTTGCCAATGGATGAGGAGAAAGTAGCTAAAGAGTTCAACAGAACACCCCATAGCCACAAGGTTCTGTGGAGGAAAACTAGAATTCATACACTTTCCAGGAAGAGGTTCCCTGCTGATCACCCCAGGATCTCAGTGGTAAATCCTGGAGAACTACAACTAAGAGTAGGGGGCAACTGAGAGACATAGCAAAACTTACAAAGTCTGAAATCCAGCTTTCAGTCAGCTACATTGATGATTGAATAGAGGTAACATGCTCTCACTCTTATGCCTGCCAAAAATAAGTTTTATTCTCTTTGGAGGAATATAATATTATCGAGAGCTTCTGCAATTTTTTTTCTTTTTTTCTTTTCTTTTTTTTTTTTTTAGAGACAGACTCTCACTCTGTTGCCCAGGCTGGAGTGCAGTGGCATGCTCATCTCACTGCAACCTTGGCCTCCCATGTTCAAGAGATTCTCCTGCCTCAGCCTCCCAAGTAGCTGGGACTACAGGCTGCACCACCACCCAAGCTGGTCTCAAACTCCTGACCTCAGGTGATCTGCCCGCCTCAGCCTCCCAAAGTGCTGGGATTACAGGCATGAGCCACCACACCTGGCCTTTATTTTGTGTATTTATTGATGTATTTATGTATTTATTTATTTATTTATTTATTTTTGGCAAGTTTTTTTAATAAAAAAGTTCATCACTTAATCAAAAATTACCATGCATTTCAAGAATTTGGACCAACAGACAATAATAATAGTCATATAGTTATTTCGTATATTAGAGTTATCTATCAGATGTGGACATTAAAATAACTGTGATATATTCAGAAAAAAATAGATGACAGGATGGACTATTTCACCATAGAACTGGAAACTATAAAAAAGAGTTAAATGAACATTCTAGAATTGACAATTGTAGTATCTGAAATTAAGAACTCAATGGATGATGTAAACAGCCATTGAATCACCACTGCTAAGAATAAAATAAAATGAAAGATGGATTAGTAGAAAATAATGGAATCAAATAGAGAATCGAAAATATTAGAGAGAGAGAAATGTGTCATGATAAAAAGATGTAATATATGAGTAATTATAACCCAGAAAGCGAATAGGAGAGAATGAGATAACAGAAATACAAAGGAATAATTTCCAAGAGTTTTCCAAGAATTATAAAACCTTGAAGACACAGATTCAAAAGCTCAACAAAAACCTAAGCAACACAGTTATAAAAATAATACACCTAACATATGTCATAGTAAAAGTTTTGAAAACCAAAGCCCAAAAACAAAATCCTAAAAAGTAGTCAGAGGAAAAAGGACATTACCTTTGAATGAAAAATAATGAGTGAACACTGACTTCTCCTCAGAACATATAGAAGCCAGATAATGATATCCATAATGATCTCCTTGAAGTGCCAAAGAAAACACCTGCCAATGTAAAATTCTAAACTGAATGTAAATGTCCTTTAAAACTGAAAGTAAAAAAGTGAGATGTCTAATCAAACAAAAGCTGAGAGAATTGTTAATGAACACCTGTGCAAAAGGATATATTAAAGAGAGTATTGGATGCAGAAAAGGCCTTCAATAAAATTCAACATCCCTCCATGGTAAAAACTCTCAATAAACTAAGTATTGAAGGAACATACCTCAAAATAATAAGAGCCATCTATGACAGAACGACAGCTAATATCATATTCAATGGGCAAAAGCTGGACGCATTCCCCTTGAAAACCTGCACAAGACAAGGATGCCCTCTCTCATCACTCCTATTCAACATAGTATTGGAAGTTCTGGCCAGAGCAACAGGCAAGACAAAGAATGAAAGGGTATTCAAATAGGAAAAGAGGAAGTCAAATTGTCTTCGTTTGCAGATGACATTATCCTATACCTAGAAAACCGCATCGCCTCAGCCCAAAAGCTTCTTATACTGATAAATAACTTCAGTAAAATCTCAGGATACAAAATCAATGTGCAAAAGTCATAAGCATTCCTATACACCAACAACAGGCAAGCAGAAAGCCAAACCATGAATGAACTCCCATTCACAATTGCTACAAAGAGAATGAAATACCTAGGAATACAGCTAACAAGGGAAGTGAAGGACCTCTTCAAGGAAAACTACAAACCACTACCCATTCCATGCTCATGGATAGGAAGAATCAATATCATGAAAATAGCCATACTGCCCAAAGTAATTTATAGATTCAATGCTATTCCCATTAAACTACTATTGACATTCTTCACAGAATTAGAAGAAACTATTTTAAAATTCATATGGAACCAAAAAAAAGCTCATGTAACCAGGACAATCCTAAGCAAAAAGAACAAAGCTGGAGTCATCACGCTATTGGACTTCAAACTATACTACAAGCCTTCAGTAACCAACACAGCATGGTACTGGTACAAAAACAGACACATAGACCAATGGAACAGAATAGAGAACTCAGAAATAAGACTGCACGTCTACAACTATCTGATCTTCGACAAACCTGACAAAACAAGCAATGGGGAAAGGATTCCCTATTTAATAAATGGTACTGGGAAAACTGGCTAGCCATATGCAGAAAATTGAAACTGGATCCCTTCCTTACACCTTATACAAACATTAACTCAAGATGGATTCAAGACTTAAAGGTAAAGCCCAAAACTACAAAAACCGTAAAAGAAAATCTAGGCAATACCATTCAGGACATAAGCACAGGCAAAGATCTCGTGATGAAATCACCAAAAGCAATTCAACAAAAGCAAAAATTGACAAATGGGATCTAATTAAACTAAAGAGCTTCTGCACAGTTTAAAAAAAAACAAAAAAACAAACAAAAAAAAACAAAAAAAAAAAAACTATCATCAGAGTGAACAAGCAACCTACAGAGTGGGAGAAAATTTTTGCAATCTATCCATCTGACAAAGGCCTAATATCCAGAATCTACAAGGAACTCAAACAAATTTATGAGGAAAAAGAAAAACATTAAAAAGTGAGCAAAGGACAGGAACAGACACTTCTCAAAAGAATATATTCATGCGGCCAAAGAACACGAAGAAAAACCTCAGCATCACTGATTATTACAGAATTGCAAATCAAAACCACAATAAGATACCATCTCACCCCAGTCAGAATGGCGATTATTAAAAAGTCAAGAAACAACAGAAGCTGGCAAAGTTATGAAGAAATAGGAACACTTCTACACTGTTGGCGAGAATGTGAATTACTTCAACCATTGTGGAAGATGGTGGGGTGACTCCTCAAAGATCTAGAAGCAGAAATACCATTTGACCAATATTCCCATTACTGGGTATATACCCCCCAAAATTTAAATCATTCTATTACAAAGATACATGCATGCGTATGTTCATTGCAGCACTATTCACAATAGCAAAGACATGGAATCAACCCAAATGACCATCAATGATAGATGGGATAAAGAAAATGTGGTACACATATACCATGGAATACTATGCAGCCATGAAAAGGAAAGAGATCACGTCCTCTGCAGGGGCAGGGATGGAGCTGGAAGCCATTATCCTCAGCAAACTAATGCAAGAACAGAAAACCAAACACCTGCATGTTCTCACTTATAAGTGGGAGCTGAACAATGAAAACACATGGACACAGGGAGAGGAACAACACACACTGGGGCCTGTCTGGGGGTAAGGTGGAGGGAGAGAGAGCATTAGGAAAAATAGCTAATGCGTGCTGGGCTTAATACCTAGGTGATGGATTGATGGGTGCAGCAAACCATCATGGCACACATTTACCTATGTAACAAACCTGCACATCCTGCACATGTACCCCAGAACTTAAATTTTTTTTTAAACATAAAAGACCAACAAAAAAAAAAAACAGAAAAGAGAGTACTGGAGAAGAAAAGTATTAAAGATGGACTCAAAAAAGAAAAGTATAAAGAAAGGGTAAATATATGTATAAATACAAATGAACCCCACTTTGTCCCCTTAGATAATTTCTAGACTTTTCACCATTATCATGACTATCTCTGAACTGTACTTGTAAATCTTGCTCTTAAAGTGGAAGTCTCACTAGTGGGTAAGATGTGACAGATCTGATTTGTCTTACTGCAATATAGAAGTTCTGCTTCATAAATATAGTCTTTATCTGAATGAGTTCTATGTTAAGTCAAACCTCCTGATGGCTTTCTATTTTAGGGTAGGCATTTACCTAAGAACAGCAGGTCTTTTAAATGAACTAGTGATGCCAATCCATGACTTCTCATACCGCCACAGCCTCATCCTATGAGTCCCACATTTATATCATTAGGTTTCTCATCCTGACAACTTCATGTCACGAAATGTTATTAATGCCAACTTACGTCAGTTTGGTATGGTTCTAACCTCTTGGGTTTGAGGAAAACTAAAAAGTTCCCAGAACTTACATTACAGACTTCCCATTGCAGCATAGTCTTCTGGGGCACTATCCTCTTTCTCTGTGTGTGGTATGTCATCAGAAAAAGCGGAGACAAGTATAAGTCACAAAACTAATAAAATTCTGTTCCAAATATCAATTTATTATGCAAGGAGTAATTGTGTCAGTTACTTACCTAGTGCCTCCCAGTCCCACATTGATAGTTCTGTCTTCTCTGGAATGCCGAGGCTGGGTGTCTTTAATTAAATTTCCAGTTTCCTTTGCCAACCAGTTTTCTATTAGTTTTTCCCAAAGGAGGCATTAGTTAGAGATCAGAAGAGAAGGGGAGAGAAGAAATTATTCTTACTTGATTTCTCTCTGCTGCTGGCAGGATTTTTGGAAGTGTATATGCCTCTTCAATTATCTTCATTGGACTTTGATTGATATAGTGTTTGGTACCAAGAAGAAACTTGATATTTGCAGAAGTTGTAAGTTCTGTCATACTGCCATTTAACTAGTCTTGTTTACTATGCAGAAGATGACTAGGTCTGGGAAATGACTGTGGAGTTCTAGGAAATAAATCAGGTGGTACCTTAGACTGTAGCTGCCATTCCTGTGTTAGTATCTTTCCTCGAACAAAGCAAAATCCCCTGGCACCTGGCATGCAGCTATTTATATATCATATTTTTCCTCCTATATAACAATTTCCAAAGATGATGTGAAGCAGGAAGCTTTTGCCTCACAGGGTAGCAATACTCCTCAACTGACTTGTTCCAGAGCCACATAACCTTCCTGACCTCTGTCATAACCTTGTTTGCAGGGACCTTGAGCATCTTGTTACCCCAAGAACATCATGCTGGTCCACTACCTTGATGGTATCATGCTGATGGGACTTGATGAGTAGAAAGTGGCAACTACCTTAGTTGCCTTAGTAGCATTCAAGAGTGCCAGAAGTTAGGAGATAAACCCCATAAAAATATATGGACTTGACACCTTGGTAACATTTCTGAGAGTCCAGTGGAGTTTCCCCTTATACAGCCTACCACTAAGAAATAAGCACAATGCATGTTTGGCTTCTTTGGATTTTGGAGGCAACATATACTTTATTTGAAGGTACTGTTCCAATGTATTTACTGACTTGCTGAAAGGCTTTCAGTTGTGAGTGAATTCTGAAGCTGATCCAGGTTATAATGGATGCTGTTCTGACACAGTAACTTTAGTATCCAGCCTCTCCAAAGGAACACAGAATAACTATGGTGAACAACAATGCTGGAAGAAGTCTATGGAATTCACCAATAGAGAGATCACAGTGCAGTTCCCCAAGATTTTGGAGCAAAATAATGCCCCCTTCTGAGGATACTGTTAGCTTCTAGAATAAAAAGTTAATACTGGGCCCTGGTTTACTATCTGGTCACAGGACAACTGACCTAGCAACTTGAACTCTATCTTGAACTAGGTGTTTTCTTATTCACTAAATCACAAATATAGGGATGTAGAGCAGCACTCTCCCATCAAGTGGAAGTGTTATCTACTAGGAGAGATTTTGGAAGGGTCTAATGGCACAAGTGAATTGCAGAAGAGGAGGCTGAGAACTTCCTGGCACCTCCACAGATGCACTTTCTCTTACCACTTCTTTAAATGACTCCTATGGCCTTATGGAGTGATCCCCACAATCAGTATTTTGTAGTATACAAAGCAAAAAGTAACTCAGACCTAGTTTGCAAAAAGTTCTATATAATATTCTGTCACTAGCCATAAGTGTCATTTGTCAACCCCAATCAGAAATATCGCAGAAAGACAGCATAAGGAGAAAATCTACATTGTTGTCTTTTTATTTTCTTTCTTTACTTTTTTTTTTTTTTTTGAGAGAGAGACAGGGTCTAGCTCTGGCATCTAGGCTCATACAATCATAGCCCACTGCAGCTTCAAATTTCCTGTCTCAAGTGATCCTCCTGCCTCAGCCTCTTTAGTTGCTAGGATTACAGGCATGAAACACCATAGCCAGCCCAACTTTGCATAAAAGGAAATAGGGCCAGAATTGTACGTCTATACTAATTCGCAAGCAACAGATAACTATTTGACTTGAGAGTCAGGTATTTATGAAGTAACAAAGATTCAAAGATGAATTCTAAGAAGTTCAGGGGGAAAATCATGAGTTGACCCTTTCAGGATGGGCATAGCAAAGAGCATATATTTGTTCTATGTTATTGATTATCATAGGATATTCCAAGAAGAGTAAGTTCTGAAATATTAAGCAGAAAAGATGACTGGGCCAGTTACTGCCTCTGAGCCTCATGCTTTCCCTTCTTAATTCTATTCAGTAATGGCAAGGCTGGGAGTCTTTTTATCAGGCTTCCTGGTAGGTGTAACCATGAGGAGGTATTGGTGGGATGACAGACAGGAGTAGGGAAGAAGCAGCGCGTCTTCTTTGCTTCTCCCTTAATCTCTTGTGGCATCTGCAGAAGTGTCTGCAGCCCTGGTTTCAGCCAGGAGCCTCTTCATGGTTCCAGCACCGTCCATGTGGCCTTTGCTCAGTATTTTTGGACTCTGATAACACCACTTCCTCCCTTTCCTTCCACCAGCTCTAGGAGTGGTGGATGTTTCCTACATTCATTAATTCCTGAGTTACCACCCCAACCCCATTTACTTTCTCTTTATGAAACAGATACAATGTTTTCCATTCCCTGCCTTACATACCCTTCCTTTTCCCATTCTGTCCTTTTCTCTGGGACCTTTAACTATCTCACTTCTTCATCTGAATCAGTGATTTTCACACAGTTTCCTGGGGTCTTAGGGGTTTTCAGAAGCCCCCCACAGGGTTACTGATTTAAATAAAAAAAAGAGAAGGAGGAGAAAGGAGATCTAAATTGTTTGGAAAACATCATGCTCACTTTAACCATATTATTTCCATTCCTATATGTTTTATTTGTTTACATTTCTTAGAAAGATTTCATTAGAACAAAGGATTTTGCTTATAATAAGTGTTTGAAATCATGGATCTTTGCCACTGATACACATGTTAAATAGAACTTGGTCAAGGATAAAATTATGGCTATGGCCTCAGTGGACGTTGCTTTACTCTAACCAGAAGGAGTGGGGAAGACATCATCCCAGCCTGTTTCCTCCCTTTCCTCCCTCTTATCCCACCTCATCAATTATAATTTTCTTCCATGGCCCTGACCTTCTGCCCTTGTTTCTAGAATATTCTAACCCTCAGAAACTCAGCTGAAAAAAACTCCATGAATACACTGCATATCAAAGGGTAAATGCATCTAGAAAGCCTGCAATAAAAATAACCCAAACAAATGACTAACACATCACATGTCCTATTAGCAAAGTACTTGTGTGGGAACAAAATGTTGTTGTTGGTTTTGTTTTCATTTTTTTAATACAGTCAAGGCCCCAGTGGGGCATGAATGTAGAATATCATCCCATTTTATAATATATGCACCATAATCTTCTTAAAATGAGTTTTCACTTCAAGAAACATAAGGACTTAAATATGAGCAGCCTGTTTTGTGCATTTGTGTGTTTGGCATCTCATTACACTTCAGACCATTTTGTCTTCTTAGAACAATTGAATATCATTAGTGGAGGCATATTTTGTTGCCAGAACTTGCTTGGTTGTGATTGTGCTCGTTAAAATGTGTCCATTTGCCAGCTGATCGATGGGAGTTCTGAAGGGTGCCTGGTGGGTGAGCATTTGAATATCAGAAGTTTCATCTCTTTCTTCCAGAGAGAAAAATAGCTTTGCTACCAACCAACACAAAGCATGAATTGTCCTTGACTTTCCCTCCCTCCTTCTGTCTTCTTTGTGTAGTGCTCAGTTTAGCTCACTGAATTTCAGGCACCCAGAACTGTGCAAAAACATAAAAGCTTCAGAGTCAAGCAAACCTGGGAGCAAATGCAGGTTCCTTAGCATGATTTGCACAGTGACCTTGGGCAAATCGCTTAACCTCTCAGGGCGACAGAGTTTGAATTTGTAAAATGGCTTCCAAATATCTACTTTTCAGGGTCCTGACAATGAAAATCCCTAACCCGTTTTGGGAATATAGTAGATGCTCAATAATTGACAGCTGATCAAAGTGATGATGGACCAAAACACTGTATAAAACAATTAGAGAAGAGGTCAGAAGCAAATGTAGCAGATAATTAATTAGAGCATAATCAAGTACTAAAATGTAACGTACCTCAAAATAAATTATTTTAGAGACAAGACCTAGAAGATATCATTGATTCTCATTACTCACAGGTGTATAAAATTGTATAAAGTCACCAGGAACGCTGCACTGGCACTGAATTAACAAAAACACAGAATCATTTTGCTCCTAGGCTAAAAACAGGATTAGGTTCCTGTGAGCCCCTAGCCACAACATTTTTGTCAACTAATCAATATATAACATTTTTTCATGTATGTTTCTGTTTAAGATACCTCATTTAATATATTTCATTGATTCATTAACATTGAATTCACAACCAACAGCATTATAACTCATGCCTGAATGAAGCTTACCTAATGCACTTATTTTCACCAGAAGGTACATCCCAGGTTTCTTGCTTGACTTGCTGCAGAACATCAGACAGCAATTTAGCACTGTGTTTGAGAGCCATTTTAAACAGCTAAATTACCACCAAAAAGCATTAAAAAGCACAAAAATGTGAAAAATGTCACACCAAATAGATGACAACTAGGACCCTTGTTTACCATAGGAGAGCTGAAGCAAGAAAGCAGAGTATCTCTTTGTTCAACCTCTGCTGGAAAGTACACATAGGGTGACTCAAATTTTTCTCCATTCTGCATGCCCATGTTCTCAAATGACCATGGAAACACCGTGAGTATTGATTTGGGCATTACAAATAATGTTAGTAAGTACGGAAATTTGCAAAAATGGAATCTGCAAATAATGAACATCAACTGTAAATACCAAAGAGGGTTCTTGAACAAAGGAGGGGATGACTCAAAATGAGTGATGAGAGGGGAGATTCTGGGCAGAAAAAGCCACATTTGCATAAGGAAGAAGATAACTAATAGTTGGGAACAGTGTATGAGAAAAATTCATATTGGCCAGGAACCAGCCTGACTTAGATCTCATGTAACATACCTGCTCAGTTCCTTCAGATCTGATCGAATATTCCCTATTCAGACGGACCTTCTCTGGCCTCCCCATTTAAAAAGCATCCACCTCTGGTCATTTGCACTCTTGCTTTTCCCCTTGCTTTATTGTTCTCCAGAGTACACTTTTACAAGCTGATATATGTGGGGTTTTTTTGTTGTTAATTGTCAGCCTGTCCTTGCCAGAATGCAGACTCCATGAGGACAGGGATGTTGTCTGCTGTGTTCACAAACTCTGACATCTACAGAGTGCCTGCAACACCATGTCATTATCTATTGAATGAAGAGATAAATTGAGCGGCCTGAATAACACATTAAGAAATATATCTCTCATCTAAGAGGGAATAGTCATTTGGGCAGAGTCCAATCAGATATGGAAGATTTATAGTCTAACACTGTATGCAAAATGAAAGAAGAGAAAAATCATTCCTACCCCCATGGGGTAAGCAATTCAGGCAGAGGAGAGAAATGAGCTGAAGATAGAACTGTGGCTATTGTTCTAAGCTTGCATCAAGCATTATAGCTAAGCAAGATGATTTATTTTTTAAAAAAACGTTTTGAATGAGATAGGAGTCTATGGGGTTGTGGAGCAGGGGGGAGGAGAATGTGGATTAATGTTCAGAGTACATATGCAGAGTGGTGACAACTATGTGCCAAAACCAAGTAGGCACAGGTTTCTCTGTCTCAAAATCTTTTGGGATGGTTTGCACATAAAAGCACCAACCCCTCCACCAAATCTCAGCATGTAAAGCATGTCTGATTACCCGTGCCTGCTTAAGGTTCTTCCCTACTCAAAATTCTCACAGCAATTATAGAAAACATCTATCCTTAACAAAAACATTTTCTGTTTTCTGACCATTTTTCCGTCTGCCTCAATTGCAACTGCATTCTAAATGATGATTTGAAGGAAATTGGGAAGCTCTCTGCATTGACAATGGTGACTAAAGTGAGACTGCTGCAGAACCTCTAGGGTCTAAGGGCTTTCAAATTTCACTGTTCCTGGATAACTAACAAATTAAGCCACTGTCAGTCATTAATACTTTAGTATAAATTAGCTTATTCTGCATTTCAAGCAGTAATGATGTAATTCCAAACCTTAATTTTATAGAATGAGAAAACTGAGATCGATAATGGGAAAACAATTTTATAGCTAATTTAGTAATTTGAGACAGGACAAAAACCCAGGTCTCCTGTCATTTAATTAACTGTAGAATTCTGATCCAAAACCATTCCAAATGTGACAGCTTGCAGAGGTGGTTGAAACTATCTCCTAATGAAATTTCCAATTAGTGAATCCTTGTGAGGAAAGAGTATAGAACCCCCAGTAAGAGGCAAATAATTGAAAAAAAAAATCAAATAACTAGTAAAGGTATTATCTTCGATTGGTTTATTAAACTCGTTCTTCCCAGAAGTCAAGTCCCTTCTTAGGGCACAGTATTCTCCTTTGGAAGATAAACTGGGCTTCAGTCTTGTTTTGTTTAAAAAGGGAGCCCAAGAAAGTCCTGTACTTCTATAAAGACTTAGGACCAATGTGTCAAAACAACAAAATAAGGGAAGCTCAAAAGAGACAGAGGGGCAGTCACAGAGCTAGACTTAAAAGCGCCCCAAAACAAACATCAGGTTTGCCACTTGTCTACATTTGACTGTGGCATGTGCACAGGAGTCATGCGCCCACTGAGACTCGCCAGCAGTTACAGGGAGCCGGCTCTCCCTGAGCTCATAGTGACTCTCTGAGTCATGTAGAAGCAACTTCAAATCCTTGTGACAGCAAATGCTAATCAGGAAACTGATTACACCCCACCCAGAGGCAAAAGATGAGCTGATTCCTTAATGGAGGAGCTGGGTTTGACTAGAATGTCTTTGGGAACATTTCATTTAAATGCTGCTCGTTTCTTTAACGCATGCTATCATTGCCTTCACAACCATGTCCTACACAACACACATACACACACAGAGAAAGCCTGCCTAAACTAAACATTAAATCTACATTCCTCTTCCCTCTGTCCCACATCCCAATAAACCCTTGTCTCACTGAAAAGGACTTTATAAACAATCTCACTTAGCTGTTAATCCTGGATGCTAGCCTAGAATAATCTCCATAGTTTTGTCTTCAAATCATTTTTCTTCTCAATAAATAAATATTGCTTACATTCTCAGAAGTCTTTAAACTGTCAGAGAGAAATTTGCTCTTCTTCCTCCATGAAGGTAGGAATAAATATTCTCTTCTTTCATTTGCATACTGTTTCAGGAATCGTATTTTTGCTATGAATGGAATTGACCTGCTAAAGGTGGAACTTCTAACATGACAGCAGGTAAGTGAGTGAGTTACTTGGAGAACAACGATCCTCTTCCAGTAGCTTCCAAAACAAACTATATTTGCCACCACATTTTTGTAAATCCATCTCTTGACAACGTTTGAACACAGAGATATTGAGCACCAATAATAACATTATCTGCAAAACTATATAGATCATTAAGAGAAACAGTTGGCTTTCTATTTTGAAGCCACCATGTTTTGCTAATTTCTTTTCAAGATGTATTAGATTACTATGTTGGGGAAAGGAATAATACTGTTCTAAACCACAAGTCAGCAAAACAGTCTTTGGGCCAGTTCTGGCATACTGCCTTTTTTATAAAGATTTGTTAGTTGGACACAGCCATGTTCACTTATTTACATATTATGTATAGCTGTTCTTGTGCTAGATGAACAGAGATGATAAGTTGCAATAGAGATCATGTGGCTCACAATGCCAAATACATTTACTATTGGTACTTTATACAAAAAATTTACCAATTCTTGCCCTAAACCAGTATATTAGGTTTTGGACAAGGACATTTATGTCTTTAACAAGGCTTCCTGGAAAGTCTACTATTAACCAATGTTTGAGAAATCCCACAATAAAATCAAAAGTGCCAGGCTCCAGGAAACTGCCTGTGGTACAAGTGCAGAAGGGACACATTTAGGAACAGTTGCCCAATGTCAGACGCTAAGGAAATACCACACCGTAGCTTCCTCTTAACTTTTTCAGTCTCAGGTTCCCTCCAACTTCCTGATTTAGCCTCATATTTCCTGATACAAATCTTGGTACTTTTCCACCTGGCTCTTGGCATCCTCTTTTTAGACAGCCAGTTTTCATTCTTGGCATCAGTCTTTAGTTCCACTCTTGCCACTCATATTGTGTATGTTTTTCTGTTCCCACTCCACTGCTGATCCCAGACATCCAATTCCCATCTCAGTTCAAGTACAAGCAGAACAACAGCAAACATTCTTCTCAGTCAAATGATTTGTCTCTCAGGAGGTCTCTAACTCTTGATGTTTGATCCCAAGAAAAACAGAAAATTGAGACACTAAAGCATGATTTTTACCCCATATTTCAAGGTTAATCGGTGCTCAAGGAGTTGTTACATGGGATTTTCCAAGGATACATTAATTCCATGGCCTCAGGAAAAGCTCTATTACCAAGTCATGGAATGGGATACCTGGTACATTGATTAAATGTATAATCAGTCTTGTGTTCAGATTTTTAAAAAGCAATATTTTTCCCCAACTGTATCTATTTTTTCCAAAGACTTGGAACAGAATCTGTACCTGGATTTGCCTGTTGACAACGAAAAGGTGGGTGATACCAGTTTCTCTGTGGACAACCCACAACCTCTATGCAATTGAATGGTCTGAACTTTGGCCACTAAGCTACCCCAACATTTATTTTGACTGGAAATTATAACATACTAAAAATTATAACATTAAGTTGAAAGTATTGATCTCAGAAAATTTAAAGACTCTCATAATTAGGGACATATCTATTTTTAATAAACTGAAAGAGGTAGTTTAAAAAGCTTATGGAGGTCACTATATATTGTATATAGTCATACACATGCATAAACACATATGGTATTATTGTGGGATATATGTGTATATATATGAGATATATATGTATATGTATTATATAAATACTGCAGTAAAACAATGAAAAGTTGTTGTAGAAAGCCAAGCATCACTATAATTTGAAGTCATTAATAGTAAAGGCAGATAGCCTTTTTTATCATAAAAGCCCCCAATAATGCCACAAAATTAAAAATATAAAATAATATATATTTGTTATGATGACCTTGAAAAGCTACATACAAATTTTAATTATGCTCAATATCTCCTCTTAAAAATTTAAAACATTCATACGTTTTACAAACATACTCATTAAACTATTAAGACGGGAACTTCTCTAGCAATAGAATATAGCTTTTCTTATGTGGATTCATTTCCATAAGGTTTCCAAAACCAGGATTCTTGTGGGTATTTAGATGGAGGCTGATCATGATGTTCTGAAAGCTCCATGCAACCTGACGTGTGTTGCATACATTACTGCATACTAATATCTTGTGTGATACCTGGAATCCAACTACTTTCAGGAAATTTTTACAGCTTTGTCCTCTTGGATTCAAACTTCAGTTTGCATCAGGTAGAATTATTCCCCACCTTTGAATGCTGGGCCTTAGGACTTCAGGGTCAACTCAACTTCTTTCAGACTGGTCTATCCCAGCACTGGCTTCCTTCTCATCAGTGAGTAGCAAAAGTGTCTCACAGCTGTGTTCCTTCAAGATATAACAACTCTCTCCTCTAAAATTTGCATCATCCAATTCTTACTGCCTCTGAGAAACTGTATGAGCCACTTTCAGCAGTTCTTTCTAGGCCCCTGGAGTTCCTCTCAAGGAGGTAATGAAGACATGTGTCAAAGTTAAATGAGAGTAAAACCCCAGGGGGCAAGAGCAAATGCAGCCGTTGAGAGTGATAGAAATGACAAAGGCTGTGATATAGGGACTGGATGTGCTCCTGAGGGCACTGGGTGATGTAGATGTATGGAGGATCCTGGAGGAAAAATAAATTAGATTTTAAAAATTGGGATAGGATACAGGCCAGGCATGGTGGCTCACACCTGTAATCCCAGCACTTTGGGAGGCCGAGGTGGGCGGATCATGAAGTCAGGAGATCAAGACCATCCTGGCTAACGTGGTGAAACCCTGTCTCTACTAAAAATACAAAAAATTAGCCGGGCGTGGTGGTGGGTGCCTGTAATCCCAGCTACTCAGGAGGCTGAGGCAGGAAAATGGTGTGAACCTGGGAGGTGGAGCTTGCAGTGAGCCGAGATCACCCCACTGCACTCTGCTCTGTCACTGCTCTGTCACCTGGGCGACAGAGTGACTTCGTCTCAAAAAAAATAAAATAATAAAATAAAATAAAATAAATAAAAATTGGGATAGGATAAGACTTTGGTTAAAAGAAAAATAGTAAAAGAAAAAATAATATAGCAAAAGATGGTGACTCAAGAAAAAATGTTGAAGACACTCCAGTTGCTGACAGTGGAAGGGATTTCCCTGAAGCTTCTGTCCAAAAGGAATGCCTTGGGTTAGAAGTGACAAGACAGAACACACTTGTTACCAGAGGTGACTGTCCACAGGGCAAGTGGGCAGGGAGCATTGGCAGCAGCATGGCTGAAACAGAAGCAAAGAGGATGAGATCAAGGCTTAAGAGAGATGGAGCATGTATATGTAATTACAAAAGTCCATTTTAATTGTTTCCATCGAGTAACTCTTATTTTCCTACTTAGACTGCCAGTTTCCACAGGGCAGGAGAAATGTTCTGTAAGTATATGAAAACACAGTGAAATGGGAGCATTCATTTATCCCCCTTGCAGGACATGTGACATGGGTGTGGCTCGCCTGTTGGGCTGTTGCCACCACTCAAACCCCTGAGGGGAGGGGGAGCACATAGACAGACAGGTGCAGGAGCCCAGGTGTGTGTGTGTTACAGTGTGCCCTTTTAGCCCTGCCATCCTTGGACAGCTTGAGTGTGTTAACAGCTCAATGAACCCTCTGCCTTTTCTCAAGGGCAGAGGGCCAGTGTGACAGCTTTCTGTATCCCAAGCTCTTGCCCAACATCCCAGAAGAATCAGGTCACACATGGGCCTGAAGGATGAATGCAGGTTTTATTGAGTGTGGAGGTGGCTCTCAGCAGGATGGATGGGGAGCTGGAAGGGAGTATGGAATGGGAAGATGATTTTCTCCTGGAAGTCCAGTCCAGTGGTCAAACTCCTCTCCAACTGCCCCCAGCCGAACTCTTGGCACTCAGGAGTTCCTCCTCTTCTCTTTCTCTGCTGTGTCGTTCTGCCGTCTGTCTGCTTGTCTCCTCATCTCCTTACCTGCTCATCTGGAGGCATGGCAGGCCAAAAGGTAACTTTTTGGGTGTGAAAACAGCAATGCCTGTCCCCATTTAGGGCCACAGCTCTCCAGACTTGAGCGTGGGGTCTTTGCCAGGGAACCTCCCTCTTCTACCCAGTATTTCCCTGTCTCCTGTCTGTGTCAACAGCACTTACCAAATCTTATCCAAATTAATGAACAAACTTGTCCAAAGTAACATGGCTCATGAATATCAGAACCCTTTGACCCTAGAGTTTTATTGACCTATGTAGATAAAATGTACCCTTTTTATATGCTATGTATTTTATATATGCTTCATTCTTGGCTTCATTTTAAATCTCTTTTGTTGTTAATTTTTCTTTCTTACCTTCTCTTAATGTCTTATACAGTTATAGTTGATAAATCTCTATAAGCCATCCTATGTCCTTTCAAGTACAAAGCAGTTAACTGAATCAACAAGGAATATTATTTATGTGATACACACAGAGACACAGACACGTATGTGTGTGTGTATTTCCCCTTAGGTGAAATGATTTGCACTGTGTAGTTATAAGTTGGTTAACCTGCCTTTCAATCTCTGGGATTCCTTAAAGCAAAATTCTATCTTTTTACATTGCTTAATACAAAAATTACTTAGGAACCCAAGTAAAGGTAAACCCCTATTGAAGTCTGGGGTCCCTCTTTAATATCCTTCTCTTTCAAATCATCTCTCTCAAATACTTTCCTGGTTGCCCACCTGTGTTTCTCCTTTCCTATGAAATCTCCACTCCATCATGCCAAGTTCAAAGGACTCAGAATGAAGACAAAGGGACCCCCTAAGGGTCTTAAGGCAAGCATTTCTGTTATTTAATGCAGTTTCATTACTTTTTATCACTGGGAGGCATCTTGGCATATGGGAATGGAAATTTAGATTTAGTAACTTTCAGCAATGTCAAAGGAGCTATTAACAGAACCAAATTCTATGGTATCCTAGTTGCTCTTGGAATATAGGTTTCAGAGTCTCAGCACCACAAGATGACCTCTGAGTTTAATAGAAGTCTACCAATAAAAAATAAATAGGAAATAATAAAAATGACATACTGAGGAATTTAAAATCATAAATGCATGCAAATTCGTCTCAAAGATGATTAATCAATCATTAAATAATTAATGAGGACTTAATGTTTTCTCAGAACTGTCCTAGGCACTGTTGTGAATGAAAAAATGGGGGAACTTTAAGGCATAATTGTTGAAAACAGGGAAGCCATATGAAATATTACATTAAAAGGGTGAAGGGAGAAAAATAAAAGTGCTAATGTACACAGTAAATTTTACATATATACATATTACAGACAATATATATATAGGTCTCATTATTCTAAGAAGTGGTGTAAAGAAAGTATAAATGTGTTTGAAATGAAACATTAGAACAAGCACTAGATTAGGAAACAGGATACTGGGACCAGGTCTGGCTTGGCACCCAGAAAGTTGTGTGTCTCTGGGAAAGTGAGTGCCTATGCCTGGCTCTTTGTTCATCTATGAAAAAAAAGAGAACTGGATTATTTATAAACTGAAATCATATTTTATGTTATGAATATATAATACATTTCTTTATATTAAACACTGACTTACTGATCAAATGAAATTAGAAATATTTTGGAGTTGCCACTAAATTAAGAGGATAGTGTCAACAGAGGAAATCGTGGTCCTCTGAAAGTGTCCCTCAATAAGCTGAAATAGAGCCCGGAGCAGAAGGGCAATGAGAACAAGCTCAAGAGGACTATTTTTAAAGCGCTTATATTCTGCAAGAATATGAGTGATGGTATTAGTGAAAAATCATGCTATTCCAGTAGTTAGAATTTTTATAACACACTTCTACATTGCATTTTTCAGAGAAGATACAAAGCATTGTGACTAAGGCTCCAGGATGTGAAGATGAGAAAAGGCCCTGAACCAAAACCCAGCTCTTGCATTTATTAGCTGTTTCACTTAGAGCAAGTTAACCTCTAGAAATGAATGACCCGGACAAAGAAACAAAGGTAACATTATCATGTAAATCATCCTTGTGGGGGAGGATTAAGTTAAAAAAGCATTTAATAAAATGTAAACATTCTGATATTCATATTTACCCAGATATAGAAAAAATAAAAAGACAAGTTTATGATTGAATTAGAAGAGGTATCACCACATCTTGGAAAACTTAGTTGTTATTAGTATCTTGAGAATGCTAATATTGTCATACCAGCTGATGCCCATGTAAGTACTACTGAACTTTTATTCCTAAAATTAGTATTACCCAAAAGTTGTAGTCTTCATTTTAGTCCATCTTTCTAGGAGGAGAAATCTCCATGGTTGGTTATATCCACATTCACCCTCTGGCCTATGCCTTATTGTCTCTCCTTAATGCACAGGTAAAGGTGATTTCTTCAACTGAAAGAGTCTGCGGATTTTTTTTTCTTTTCCTGTCAACTCTTTGAGGGCATTGGGCTGACAGTTCTGGGTCCGACTGAGTTTAATCTTTTCCTTTCAAATCAAATTATGGGGAAAATGCCAGGGAAATGGCTCCCTAACAGCTGGCGTTGTTCAGAAATCACCGAGCTTGGTGAATTCGTAAGACAAATGTGTAAATTGTGGGGAGAGGCAGACAGCTTCCCCTCTTGGGCTGCTATCTGACGAACTAATGACTAAATGACTCCATTTTGCTCTCCACACAATGGCCTGTCCTGGAAGACTTGAGAGGCTCTCAGGGTTCAGGGCCCTCTCCAAAAATCAGCCTGCCTAAAAGCTGGCTTGGGATCTTCTCTCCTTTCTTTGCTCCCTATTTAATAAACTTATAACTTTTTAAACTAGTGAGAGTAGAAGAGGATAGATTCTTTCCTGGAGTAATATTAAATCCATGGAAACCTCCCTATCAGCATACTCAGAAAAATGGCTAAGAAAACAGAAAGAACTTGTAGGACAAAAGCCAAAAAGTGAGAAACAACTTTTAAAATATTATGAGAGGCACCACATTCGCATTAAATACTAAAATATTAAAATTGATTGAGGTTGTGAAATAAGTGAATTACTTAGTCTCCCATGCATTAAAATTAATTTTTCATCTCTTTCTGCAGGCCACTTCCCACTGGCTTTCCTTGAGCCCACTTAATATTTTATTTGCTGAAGGGAAAAGGTTTCCTTTTGACATATTGGCATTTCTGGGGTTGGTAGACTATCTCACTGCCAACTCCATGAGCAGATTTCTCAGTCCAAGTGAAGAAACAACAAAGAATAAAATATTTGCTTTGCATCCTAAGCCTGACACATTTGTTTCTTCTAACCAGATCCTTCCCTAAATACTTTTATCTATGGATCCACTCCTTTTGCTTGTTACAATGCCCAATGCTCCCTCTCTGATTCTCCCTCCAACATCCCCAACCATTAGCCTATTAGTAATGTATCCAGGAGAACCACCAAAAAGCAAAAAATAATAAAACAACAAAAAGAGAAGTTGTGATCCCTACAGTCGAGCTGCTGAAACTAGCTCTTACCTTTCTTTTCTTTTCTTCTTCTTTCCTTTTTTTTTTTTTTTTTTTTTGAGACAGGATTTTACTCTGTCGCTGAGGCTGGAGTGCAGTGGTGTGATCACAGCTCACTACAACCTTGCCCTCCTGGGCTCAGGCGACCCTCCCACCTCAGCTTCTTGAGTACCTGGGACTACAAGCATGCACAACCAGGCCCAGCTAATTTTTTGTATTTTTTGTAGAGATGGGGTTTCACCATGTTGCCCAGGCTGGTCTCAAACTTTTGGGCTCAAGTGATTCTCCCACCTTGGCCTCCCATCTTACTTTTCTTTACTGGGGCTCTGGGAAGGGGGCTTACCTTCTTGGAAATTTAGATCAGCCAAAGCATGATAGTCCCTAATCTCTGGAGCTCAGGAATTAATATGGCAGATCCTCTGTAGTTAGGAGGTGAATTCTAAGCTGATAACCAGGTATCAGAATAGATGCTAAAGGTAGAGTAGATAGTTGTACCAAAGGAGTCCAACAGGTACTCACTGGGCTTTAGAAACTTACCAGGAAATTAAACATAAAAACTCCAACTTTCCAATAGTGCATTTACATACTGAATCTGGATTCCTTCCTTTAAGAAAAGTCTACACTTGTGAGAAAATGAGATCAGAAATCCTCAACGTCTCTTCAGAATAAGAGAGGATTTGAAATCCTCCATCACTCTTTAACGTGTCCCTTCTTCATGATCACAAAAGTGGAGGAGTGCTTTTGTGCACTAATATAAACATCGGTGCTAGATCCAGAGAGGAATTTGACCTTAGCCTAGTCAAAAATCCTCCTTCCAAATATCATGAAGTAGCAGCAACGAAAGATAACTGGCTTGCCCCAGTCAAATCAGAATAAATGCCTGTTTCTGCATTAGAATCCTGTTTCTCAAGTTTCCAATGTAGGACCTTTGCACATTTAGAAGAATAAAACATTTCCCCCTGCCCTCTCAGGTTCTGCAGCCGGGGGGCCAGCAAATTAAACAGATGAAATATAGATTAACAGAAGAAAAGGCATATGTTTCTGTATTGATGTTAATATTTTTACACACATAGGGGCTTCACAGAAGATATGTAAAAGCTCAAAGAGACAGCTGGTTCTGAGGGCTTATATGCTATGTTAACCAATGGTAATAAACTGGCTAAGTGCCTAAGTGGAGATAAAGGTAGTTTGGGTTCCTACAGATGGTAAACTATGAGAAGGTGACTAGGAAATGTGTAGTAGATAAGAGTTGTTTGGTAAGGTTCGTTATGAAGACCTAGGCTATCTCTAGTGATGACAGTTGTTCAGCACTTCCTGGTAGGGGATGAGGAGGCCCCTTTACAAAGGAAAATTTATGCCCTGCTTTTAGGCAGAAAGCTCGTCTTGCATCTGCTGCTTCCGTATCGCTTTCAGCTCAAACAATCAATATACCAAAGTGACATATTTTGAGGGGCATATCCTGAGCCCCTTCACACAGATCATTTTTAGGGCAATTGGCAGCCAGACTATGTCTCCTTATTCTTAAAATTAATTCTGCTTTTATGAGATTACTCAAGATTAGGGGCCAATACTGAAACCATATTATTTCAGATCACTTGAGTTTAGAGACAATGGTACAAATAAATTATCTGGTTATAATATTAACACACTCCTGACCTGGTTCAGTATTCAGACTAAAACCTCAGTGCATAAAACCAGCAGCCCTCCCTGTATATATGAAACACTATCAACCTGTGAGCTCACTCCATTCCTGTGATGCTTGTAGGAGAGAAGACGGGAGTCATCAGCCCCACTCAGCCTATGGGAAAATATTGATTCAGCTCCATTATTCATCCCAAATCACACTGTTGGTCAGTCCTGAGGGCCAGAGCTAAGCTGCCCCGGTGTGAGTTCTGTGTTCTGTCCACTGTTCCCAAATTGGAGGAGAAGATGCATTGCAGCATTTATTTCATCAAAGACATCACTTAGATAGAAGATTCCCAAAGCTTCAACACAAGGGAACACTAACCCATGAGATAATAACAGTGTTTGCAGGAATCAAGGTAAATTGAATAACAACTAGTTTGGGAAAATAAGCTAAATAGAGCTAAACACATTTTTGTGCTGCAGAACTTTTTGGAGTCTTTAATATCTTGTTTGGCTTTGCAAATATATAAGAAGAGTATATACTAGTACTATCATCAACATTATGACCCTGGAAAGCATCAACTGAGGAGAATTTCAAGTGAATACTGAACCCTGGAATGCACCTCAGGAAACATGAGTTATTGCCTGCGGCATCTCACTATTCTTCATCAGGTTTGCCAGGATGCCAGGGAGCCAGGTAATAAAAGGGAACTGAAGGATTAGTTCTTTCTAACTCTAGTTACTTTTGCTAGTCTACATTCATATCCTCACAATTCTCAAGATTCCAACAATCAGCTCACTGTGAATGTACTAAAATCACAATATGCAATTTCTCTTCTCAGACCAGACCTATCACTTCATATCTAAACTCTTACCTGTCCGCAACTTCAGGATTATTTTTCACATTCATTGCAATCATACCCCTTGCTTTTATCATACTTGTCCATTTACTGTTCCTATAATGGCCATGGTGCTTTTAAGATCTTGTCTAGGCTTATAGTGTTCTTCTTATCTGTAATGAATTGTTTTCTTTTTCCTCTTGGTCCAGCAGAATCCTTATTCAGGTGTCTTATAACCTGTCTCCTCTTCATGTCAGAAGTGAATTTCTTCTGCTATAAATGTTTACAGTGTCATTTACTTTCTGCCTAGTTTTTCTGGTCATATTTCACAGATTTGGGTTTCACCTGCTATTTAGTTTACAAAGTCTTTTACTCATCTTTGTTTCGCTGTCAGCACAGAACCTGATGTCTGGCATGTAAAACATTTCAAGTAATTGATTGTTAAAGTTAAATGAGACATGGGAGTTGAAGTTCTATCAATATGTTGAGATCAGATTACAGAGGGCCTTGAAAGCCACATAGAGGACTTTGGTTTAATTTCATAGGTATTTGGAGGTGTTCTGGATTTCTTCTTAAAGAGAAGGAATGAGAGAAAAAGCACGATGCCTAGCAGGCCAAGCAATGTAGCTTGGTGGTCATAGGCAAAGCTTTCTGAATCTCAGCTCTTAGGTCTGAATCCCAGCCCTCTTCTGTCTCTGTGACCTTGGGAAAGTTACAAATTTTTCTGGCTTTCAGTGTCCTCATTTGTAAAATTAGAATAGCCTTACTCTTAGGGTCATTGTGAATTTTCAATAAGGTTATCCATGGAAAGCCTTTAAAGCAATGTCTGGTACCTAGTGAGCCTTCAAGAAACATTAGCTAGTATTATAATTAACAACAAGGAGAAGTGAAAAGAGCATTGCTTTGTGCATCAGGGATCTGAACTCTGCTGCAGTTTGAAGACAAGGTACAAATGAGGTCAAGTATTACCAGTCAAAGAGCCTGACTGGCCCTTAAAGAGGATGTGTGTTTGGTGAATTCACCATTCTTTTCACTCCAGGCTCAAAATCAAACGAGTAGCACAACAAATGCGTTAATCAAGCTTACAGAAACAATCGATAAAGCACAGAAGCTCAATTCATTAATATACAATAAGAAATACAACTATTAAATAGACGAGATGGTGGTGGTGGATAACATGTTCTTCCCTGTAGACAAATATATCCAGGAAGCCAAATCATAATCCAAGCGTTGTTTGATGAAAAGGGAACAGAGCAAGGAGAGAAAGTGGGTAAATTTGAGCACGTGATCAAGCTCATAGCCAGATGCATCCCACTCTGCTGTAGGCACATACCCACCACTTAAGAGATGCCCTGACATACTCTGCACCTCACCCTCCCAGTGACAGAGAGTGCCTCTCTTTCTTTTGCTTCTGAGAGCCCCCTCTATAAAAACCATGCATACCATTGTTTTCTTGTTACAATGCAGTCATTTGGAGGGATGTTTTCTAAGTGCAATCAAAATGTACTTGGAGTTTTGCCTGACTGTATTCTTGATGCTCATGGACCATTTATTAGGACAGTTTTAAGATAGTTCATCTTTTCTGTTAAACTTTGTTAGTGGTCCTCCAGTAGCCCTGAGAGATTCTGCAAAAAATATTTCTGTATCCTTTCTATTTTGAGTCTTCTTAAATTTATCTTTAAAAGGTATATCAATTAGCTTGGGTTACATAATAAACTACCCAAAACTTATTGTCTTAAAATGTCTATTATGAGTCCTTTTGTTCGTGAAGGACTCCGTGGGTCAGCATTTTGGGCTGGGCTCAGCTGAGCTCATCTCTTCCTCTTCACATGATGTCGGCTGTGCTCGAACACATGCCTGGGTTCAGACACTGCCAAGATGACTAGGACAGTTAGGGACTCTCGCCACATGTCTCTCCACGTGTCTCTCTCTCATCTTCCCTGTTCTGTTAGGCCAGGTCAGGAGCCAAATCAGGGTGAAACAGACTCCATTTCTTGATGGGAGAAGTCGTGAAGAATCTGTAGACAGATTTCCTGAAACCTACTATGGATGGGAGTAACTTACGAGTGAACAAATTAATGAATAAATGAATATATCTTCAGGAAGAAAGGTCACAGTAATCAAATACATTAGGCAGGTGAGTTGGCATCTCTGTAACCCATGAGTCCAGGAAACTCACTCATCTAGGCCACAGCGAAAGGGATCCCAGTGTAGCATGCATTATTCTCTCCCGACACTAAAATTTTGTGATCCTAAGGTAATCAGCAGGGAAGGTCAAAGTCCCTGAAGGGGGGCTGGCATCGAGTGACCCTTCCTGAGGAAGCTGACGCTGACCACTTCTGCCCAGTGATTGAATTTGATGGGTTTCATCATCTTCCTCCCCTGTCCGCTCTAGCTCTATTGATTGCATCGCCTTCAATATCTCTTTTGTGGTTAAAGGCTGCTCCTGAGACTGCCCTGTCTGAGTTGCCTAGTTTTGTCAATTCCAATTCAGCCAGACATCCTTTTACCCTTTCCTAGACAACAAAGCTTTCTGGTCGATGTTTTTTTTTTTTTTTTTTTTTAAAAAAAAAAAAAAAAAAGGAAAGAAAACTCATGGAAGATTTAGAAGCCTCAGAAAGTCTTACTAAACCCTTCCTTCCTTTAGACCAATTCTCCCTGCCTGGGTTGAGAGCAATTCTTCTTCTCTGATGAGAGCTCATATTTATCTTCTCTTCCAGTCTTTTACCTCTGCCTTGGGACCTCAGACAGAAGTCTCCTTGTTATTCTTCCCTTTCTTTCTTCTTTATGTTTACCAAATCATTTTTAATTTTCAGAAAGTTAACCTGCACATTTTAACCTTTACATGTCTTTCACCTTATTTTCTAGGTCAGAAAAATACCTTTTGAGAATTCTCATTAGGCCTAAATTATGGAACAGGGACACTTTATTTTATGCTTCAAATCCTATATATTTCTTTAAGATTTTCTGCAGAAATACCTCCTGAAACAGGGGAGTTATGAAACTGATACCCTCAGAAGAATGTTCCAGTTATCAAGTGTCTCTTGTGCCATCCTGTCTGTAACTTTGTGATAGACATGAATCAGATTGTCAAAAGCCAATATTAGAAAAAAGCACTCAAACTATAGGGTAAAATCCAATCACCTTATTATAAATAAAAGCAAAAAAACAAACAAACAAACAAAAACTCATCCCTGCCAATTTGTCCTCCTTTAACCTCAGCCACCCCACCCTGTCTGCTCTGTTCAGAAGCCACATAAAACCACTAGTCAGAACTCTCCTTTTTCCACCTCCCTGAGATTGCACCTGTTATTCTGCCTAGAATTTCCTCTCCATTAGTTTGCCTGGAAAATTCCTTTTCATATTTTAGGACACATTTCAATTGTATCCTTTTCCAGTAAGCTTTTCTTGCTATTCCTAAATAGTTGTTTATTTCCTCATTTATATCATCACTATATGTATTTTACCTCCATTAACCTCACTGCACTAAAAATGTTGTGCTTTTCTATAGATCTATAGAGTCTCTTCTTGAAGAAGTTGCAGAATCTTGTCTTAGTGTTTTTACAGATCCCTACCTTTGTGTCAGACCTTTTTCTGCTCTTCTAGGGGGCTGATGTTTGTACAATCTGCCTTTGTTTTTGTAGCACCTCCTCTCCATCACCTCTCTACATCCTATTTCCTCTTCATCTTCCAATGTCTCTCTCCATCAGAATACTGCTCTCACACCAGAAACACGATCTTGTCTTCTGTATGCTAAAATCTTGTCAATCTCTTCTTGCTCCTCCATTAACTTCCCTATCATTCTCTTTTACCTGTGTACCTAATTTCTTAAAAGAATAGTTTGCACCTGCTATCAAGTGCCGCATCATTCAGACACTCCTTGATTCTTTACAATCTGATCTCTAACTTCACCACTGTTTTTGTAATTGCCTTCAAAAACAGATAAAACTGGCCAGGCATGGTGGCTCACACCTGTAATTCTAGGACTTTGGGAGGCTGAGGCGGGTGGATAACCTGAGGTCAGGAGTTCGAGACCAGCCTAGCCAACATGGTGAAACCCCGTCTCTACTAAGAACACAAAAATTATCCAGGCATGGCAGCAGGCAACTGTAATCCCAGCTACTTGGTGGGGCTGAGGCAGGAGAATCACTTGAACCAGGAGGTGGAGGTTGCAGTAAGCCAAGATCATGCCACTACACTCCAGCCTGAGCAACAAGAGCGACACTGTGTTTCAAAAAAAAAAAAAATAGATATAACTTATTTTTTGCCAAAAAGCCCCACCTGTACACACACAAACACACATAGGTATATAAAAATATATGATTTTAAGCAATTTTTACTATCCTTAATCTTTCAGTAGCACTCACTCCTTGAACTCTCATCCTTCATGATCTTGCATTCTTCCTCTTCCAGCTGAGAGACAGTCTGGTGAGGGATGGTAGTTGACACTGAAGCACCACACTTTGGATTAACTGATGTTCTCTCTTACGTGCAAGGCATACTGAAAGCACTAGGAGTCAGTCCTCAGTTTTGCTACATATTCCTATTCCCATTTATGAGGTTCATACACACTGAGGGTCAGTCATGTTTATGACCAAACATATTTTTGCCATTTGGGCTTTCTATTATAATGACAGATTTTAAATAATACGTAGGCCATAAATAATAATGTAAGCCAATATGAATGCAAGAAACAGAATTATTTCTTTCATGAAAACTCAATTGTAAACATTTGATGAGGGCAATTTGAGGAAAACAGCACAACAAACCCTGTTGAATTAGAGTGAGATGTTAGTTGTAGGGAGAAAAACATCACAAAACTCTTAAGTGTCATCGTTCATGACATTTGGCATTACTTTAAAGAAATCAAAATGGGAAATAGTAGATGAGGCATCATGGTTATGGTTTATGCAGAGAAAAAGAGCAGAGTGCTTCTTCCCTGAAAATAAAATGCTAGTGGAGAGAGAGAGAGATGTTAGAATCCAGACAAAGATTTTTTACTCCTGGAAAGAGCATTTAAGTATTTTGATTAATCTACAATGACCAGTTCCCTTTACATTACATAAGAGGGCTTCTAGTAGAGGTAAGTGCTCATAGCTCACATTAGACAAATGTGACATTAAATCCAGCTCAGCTGCTTATTATCTGTGCATTCCTAGGCAAATTACTTACCCTCTCCAAGCTTCAGTTACCTTACATAAATAGAGGAAACAATAATATTTTACTTACAGTACTGTTATGAGGAGTTGAAACATAAAACAACCAATCACATAAAAAGATGTTTAACCTCATTAGTATGTAAAGTTTATTACATAATATCTGACACTAAGTGTTCAATAGTGTCAGCTATGATTTTTGTAGAAAGTGCTCAATAAGTTATCATCATCATCACTAATATCATGAACGCTGTTCTTTGATGCTTTTCTCTTCCCTCCATCCATCTTCATCATGGCAATTCCACATGGTCTGTATTCACTCCTCTCTTCTCTTCCTAATAAAATTTCTCCTTTAGCAAGAGCACCCATCGCAATAGCATCAAGACACTGCTCTGCCCGTCATTCCCCTGTGTGGAAAGGCGTGGATTACATATCTATTATGTGCAAGGTCCTGAGAGTAAAGTCTGGAAATGATATTGACCTCAGGAAGCTCAACCTCTCTATGATTGGCTAGCTCAGCCCACAGTTATTTCTTGTGACTCTGGAAGTGCTATCTATACCTCTCATTTACAAATTGTATGACATCTTGTATTGTTTTGAAAACAGACATTATATATATGTATATACATGATCTTCTGTTGGCTTTGTTTCTCTGGAAAACTCCAACTAATACTCCAACTAAAGCTGAACACAGCTTTCACTGTATGTGGAAATTATTGAGTCCTCTTGACTTCCTATTTTTGAAGCATAGCTGGAGTTTAGGCTTTGGATCTATTTTCTAATAGGCAGCAACATGGGCCTGTCAACCTAGGCAAATCCTGCTGCTTTGAGGTAAGAATGAAGTTGTATTCATTCCAACACTGGACAAGGCTAGCATCAAATTTGTGGGTTCACATCCACCAGTAAGTGACTCTAGACTTGGTTGTGCTACCTACCATGTAGTATTTCCCAAATACCTATATGCCCCCTATATGCCTCCTTATAAGCCCCTGCTGTGCTTGCTCACTCTCAGTGATGACACCTTAACTTGGGTTTCCAGTACTTCCTAGTGCCTGGGCCTATAACCTCAACCACCTTGTCTTGAATTTTTACATACTGTGTTGTTTTATGTTCCTGCTCTTCCTGCCCTTCCAACACCTCATCCCACCATATACTCCTTTGCTGCTATATGTGTTTCATGTGCAATGTCTCCAAGGGTCAATACATTTTGACTTTCTTGAAATAACAGCACT
Organism: Homo sapiens; assembly: GCF_000001405.40. Lineage (NCBI taxonomy): Eukaryota > Metazoa > Chordata > Mammalia > Primates > Hominidae > Homo > Homo sapiens. Next base: position 37,991,302 of record NC_000018.10, on the reverse strand, counting down.
ACCCAAATTTCCCTACTAATGAGTCTTTTTACACCAGACTGAGCCTTTTGCATATGCGTTCTGGCCTAAATGTGAAATGAGGTCACTATTGCTTTTTGGATTCCAGATGGAGGACTGCCTGCTCCCTTCTCTCATCTAGCTAGGTTGATATCCCACATTATGATCCACCCTATTCTATCTTCTTCTCCTTCTCCCTATCTGTCGCTGCTTGTGAGGGCACAGCATGACTCTTACCTTTGTTAACTCATGCTATGGTAGTATGCCACTGTTAAATTATTGATGATGAATTGGTTGATCCCCTTTGATAAGCCCCAAGGGCAGGCAATACATGGGACAGCTACATTGAACAGCAGGAGGAGAGTGAAGACAGGGGTCAGCTGCAGCTTGAAATTGCATCAGACAGAAAGCTAAGCTTGAGATCTTGGTTAGCCCACGGCGATCTTGAGAGCCAAGAGGTGGGGTAGTATAGGGTCCTCAAGGGATAGTGGCTATAAAAGACAAAGTACAGTGGTATCAAAATCAACCATCCCTACAACTCTAGGATATGTGTTAACATTTCCTGTTAATAAGAAGACAAAGAAGAAAGAAGAAAGGATAAACATATGGAAAAATCAGCAGGGAAAACACAGCAATTCTTTCCTCACAAGGAGCTGAATAATTAATGGTAGGAGGTGGGTGTTTTGTTAATGAAGAAAATAGTGAAAAACCTTATGGAAAGTGTTGATGAGGTCAGTGATAGGAGATGAAGGGACTTTCTAATCAACCCAGATTCTCATGGACATTGAAGTCAGGAATAAGAGCTTAGGAACCACACAGAGTGCAATTATGTGTGATACTAATGGAAAAGGAAAAAGCAATCTTTTGGGGGTGATTCACACAGTGAGTAATTGACTCTGGGTTTAGAGAGTAATTGCAGCAATGGCACCTCTGGACAAAATGATGAGGCTCTAGGGGCTGCAATTAGGCAGGTTCCAGATCCAGTGGCTTCCTGGGGGATCCAGGAGAACTTGGAAGGGCAGAGCCATGCCCTATCCTTATCTGTCCTCCTGAACCCTGAGCCTGAAAGCCAAACTCCCTGACATAGCCTCCTGAAGGCAGGTCAAGATGGGCATGGGCAGAGGCAGACCCTCATAGTAGGGAGGGAAACAGTAATTTCTGTGTATATAATGGGGCTGGGTCCATGCTCACAGCAGCTCAACAATGCATAGACTCCCATGGGTCTCCATAATCTCTGCTGCAGGATGGCTGCACTCCTAGCTGCCCTCTGAAATCCACTTAGTACCTCGGCTGACCTCCCTGGTCTAAAACGCACTCCATTCCTCCAGCATCCATCTCTCAAGGTCAAGCAGAACGGTAATTCCTTCAGTAAGATTTTCCTAGCTATTCTAACCTGCAGAGCCTCTCTCTTCCCTGGTTGTCCACAGCCCTTGGGGTCTAGTAAACTGTAGTACTGTCATTGATTACAGTTTGAGTCTTATCACCCTAAAAGATCATATAAGCTCCTTAAAAGCCAGAGCTGTATACCCAACAATAGCCAGCACAGACTAGAGGCATTAATTGCCTAGTGAATACATATTGATCAATTGATTATTTAACTCACTTAACACTTTCACATGACTTGGCTTAGATATCTGATGGTTAAAAAAATTCAGTGGAAATCAAAAGGATTTAATTCTAATTAATGAGGAATAGAGATGAGACAAATGGCTTCTTTGGGACAATAAAAATAGACTTTAAAATGAACAATCACATAAAAAGATGTTAAACTCACTAGTAACCAAGAAAATATATTTTAAAACAGTAATGAAATAAAAATTTTCACACATTAATTTTGCAAACACTGATGTGGGAGAATGGTTACTAACACACAGTATATGCTTTGGTGGAATATAAATAGATAGAATCTTTATGGGACTTAAACCACTGGCTTTTTAAAAATTAGTAATCCTGCTTTGGTGAAACTATCCTGTAGACAAATGTATACTTAAACCAAAATTGTAAGTATTAATATACTTTTTAATGCCCATAAGGAAAAACTGGAAACATCTGAACATCCACCAGTAACATATTGCTTCAATAAATTCTGAGGCTTCCTTATTATAGGACACCATCAAGCTAAAAACAACGAAGGCAACTGACAGGGAAGGATCTCATCAAGGTCCATGTTTAAGCAATACATTAAACAACTCATTAGAATCACATGTATATAGATGATCCCATTTAGGTTTAAAATTCATATGAATATATGTACACACATGAATATGTATCTCTATCTATCTATCTATCTATATCTGCATAGAAAAGGGCAGGAGGGATACACAACAAATTATCCATAGTTTTTAGCACCCTCGAGCAGAAAGGAATTAAGTAGGAGGAAAAATGAAGAGGTACTCTATGTGCTTCCATACAAAATACAGACTTCAACACAAAATAGAAGACTCAATCTAGGGCACTTCAGTCCAAATCTCACGAAAAAGATTTCTGCATGTGCGATGTGCACACATACAAATGTGGGATGTATATGCTTCAGCCAGCTGTCTGCATGATTGGGATTATCAAGGAACTGCAACTTCACATCACCCAGAAGACACGACTGCCTTTCACCTTTGCAGCGCTGTTCCTCCCATTCCACATTTCAGCACTATTCTTCTCTCAGGGCCCTTTGTGCTGCCTCAGTCCACATTGATCTCATCCCCTCAGAACTCCTATGGCATATGTCTGTGTCAATCAATTGATAATTAATTATGAATGATTTTGTGACTTTGGAGAGGATAACTTTCAAATGAGCTATGAAGCAATTGCTATATTGTAATGTTTACAGTTTTGTTATCTGACTTTCCAGCAAGTGGCAGAATTACAGAAGCCTGTTTTCTGTCTTTCTTTTTCTTCATTCCCTTTTTTCTTAATTTCCCTCTCTCTCCTCCCCCATTCTGGAGAGGCTCTGCTCAAAACAAGAACACAGAATACTCAGCTAGGTAGACAGCATGGAGCCTTCTCTGTCCCAGCGTACTGTGTCACAGTTCCCCCCAAAGTCCAAAGGCAATGTGGTACTTTAATTAACATAAAGGCCTTTATCTCTGATGGACTTCATGGCAATAGAGTAAATACCTGCCTGCGGCAAACCGACCTCCGCAAATGAGAGAGCCTACAATCTCATAGGTGAGCTCAGCTAGAGTTATATAACCGTATGAAAAATAAACACTGCAATAACAAGAGTCCCATTTCAAGTGTTGATTCTGGGTATTGTGCCTCTGTGCTAAAAAGCTTGGAAAATAGCTCTTAAGTGCCAGTCAATCCATTTGCATCCATTACTCAGTCTCCATTCAAAGGAAGGTCAGGCCATCTAGGATTGCAACTGGTCTCAGGGCAGAGTGGCCTCTGCTCAACAGAACTATTCCCCAGGGCTTCTGATTGCTGTGCTCTTGGAAAGACAGGGGGGTTGCTTAAAGACTCTCGGAGTCCTCTGGGTCTTCTCTGTTTTCCCATCCTCTCTGCTTTTACTCAACTGTGCCTTCAATCCCCAACTTCCCCAACTCCTAGAATTTCATAAAAGATGCACAATACATTTTTAATGAATTAAATTAACATTTTTAGCAACATCACAGAAATAAAATATCTGCCTCTGGCTGAACGTAAAAAAGGAGTTACTGCCTAAAATTTAGGTGCTATAGTAGAGAAAAATAGAGAGAGGGGGATTGAGAGAGGGATGTTTGATTTGAATTCAGGAAATGTATAGTTGAAAAGTAGAAGATAATAGAAAGCTAGCAAAAGAGAAGACATGGAGTTTTATATATACCATGCTGAAAAATATGAATTTATCATACCAGGAGCCAGTGAAGAATTTTAAGTAAGGAAAATGACATGACCGAAGGTTGGTTTTAGAAAGCTCACTCTATGGCAGTATAGATGGTAGACTAGGAGCAAATACCTTCAGCAAAAGAACCAGCAAAGAACCCACTGCACTGACCCAGGAGTGAGAGCCTGCACCATGGCAAGTCCCAGACATTGCAAGTGAGAAACTATCTGGGAGATGCTGGATAGCACTGTGAGGGTCTGGAGCCCAGAGGCAGCAAAGAGCCCACTGAAATGACCCAGGAGTGAGAGCCTGCACCATGGCAAGTCCCAGACATTGCAAGTGAGAAACTACCTGGGAGATGCTGGATAGCACTGTGAGGGTCTGGAGCCCAGAGGTGGCAGATGAAGTAGAAACACTCACAAGATGGTGTTTAGAGGGCTGGATGAATGACAGTGCCATGCACAGAGACAGAAAGTCCACAGAGTTGTTTGGATGGAGAAGAAGGTGAGTTCTGTTTGAGACACTGTAATTTCAAGGCACTGTGTGGGAATTGCAAGGAGGCGGAAACTGTGGCATGGCAGGGAGGGGAGAAGCTTGGGAACACAGCCCTGAGCTCTGGAGAGTATGCTTAGAGATGCCAGTCATCAGTTAAGAGACGGGGCTGACGCCCAGTGAGTAATGAGGTCACCCAACAGGTGATTCAAGTAAGAAAAAACTGAGGATCCATTCCTTAAGAAGGCTCAATTTTAATGGTTGGGCAGAGGAAAACAGAGTCTCTTTTGACTTTTCATTTCATCACCCGTATTTAATTTTAGTTTAATTAATGGCCTGGGTTTTTTTACATCGGAGATGAATCACCTCTCCTTTCAAGTCCCCATGCTACCTCCTGCATTTCTCAGTCTTGATTCTTTTCATTCCTGCCCAGAGGCCCTGTCTTGACACATTATTTTTCTTTGTACCCCCTCTGGCATGGCAGGAGGCTCCTCTGCATGTTTTCTAGGAGCACTTGCCTATGGAGGGCATCAGGGTTGGAGACCTATGAGGCTGGGGAGGATAAGATGGGAAGTGGGCCCAAGGCCTTAGCAATAAGCATCAAATAAAAATTCTCATCAATCCTCCATGGTGATATTTTAGATCCTATAGTCAATGCTTGCTCAATTGTTTAGGTACCATTATGTCTACAATCAACAGTTTCTTACCCCAAGCAGCTAAAACCTCAAATGTTTCCAGGGTGCTTAACGTTTTAGACATAATTTCAACACATTCTCTATATAAATGAATGCAATTCATCTCAGTCTATACCAGTAGGAATAAAAATACATTAATAAAATAAATACTAAAATACATAAAGTAGTAAAATAAACAAAATGATGTCACATTTCAATATAACATTTTTAAATGTCATATATTCAGAAGACACCCAGGAATGTACATAGATCAGGGATTATTCTCCCTCAAAAGAGGTACCCGAGGCAGAACCAGGACCACAACACAAGATCCAAGCACAGTATCAAACCCACCCATGCTAATTTCCAGTAAAATAACTTGTGAACATCCTGCCCATGTCTCTGTTTCTCCAGCCAAGAGAGAGTGTAAGTCTTTCTGTTTCACATGCATCAGAAAGCAGCTGGTATCTAAATGTACTATAATGAAAAACTTTCCCCTTGGGTGGGCCAAGGAGGTAGAGAGGGGGTGTCAGGAAGCTGTAACTGCAGAGATAAATTGGCATTGCTTTGTTGGAGTTAAGCAGAAAGAGCGTTTCTAAAGGGAACAGAAATGCCAAGACACAGAAGCAAGGAGCAAAGAGAGGAACTGGCTGAAAATCTAAACACAGGATGAAAAAAAGGAAGGCAAACAAGAGACAATGAGAAGGAACAGAGAATCTGAAAACCTGATTTGAGAAAGCATTTGGAAATTGGGCTTGTTTCACAGTAAAAAGAAATACATTTTTTGGTAAATAGATGTGATAAAAATTTTAAAAATGAGGCTACAAGGATAAAAGCATTTCAAGCATGGGCAAGTAGTTGGAAAGTATAAAGCACCGTAGGTAGAACTGCAGAAACTGAAAAAAAGCAGGCTCATTTAGGGTGGAGTCTGATACCAGAACCCCAGGGAGCAGCCCTGAGCCCTGACTGAGCCATCTAGGGTTTGCCCTTCACCAGTCACTTAATTCCCCTTTGAAGTTGCCTGTCAATCACACCCCTGAGGGAGCCCAACGGTGTTAGAACCATTCTTCCCAAGGCACTCCTTCCATTACCCTCGCTAAACCTGCCTCTGCCATAGGGATGCACGCAGATTGCTCACATTAAGAAGCAAATTGATTATGAACTGAGTTTTGTCTACCAACAATTTTTAATATGTAATCTTGTCATGAGTGAACGAAAGTCATTAATAATACAGTAAGCAAAATGTGCTACAGTTAACCTTAAATTATAACTTACAAAGAGCATTCTTGCAGTTTCTTCTTTGATTTATGAGCTCAGTTTATTCTATGCAAATTCATGCACAGTTTCTAATAAGAGGGAGGAGGAAAGATAAAAGAGCTTTGAATATTTTATGAGCTTTTTCCACTTACCTTAATTTAGAATTATGAGGCTGAATATGTAAGTAGAGAATAATTACCTATTACTAGTCTCCCACATAGTTTATCTATTTCAGCTCTGAACATCCTGAGCAATGCAAAGCATAACTGTTTTACTACCTGTACCACTGTGAATATGATAATTAGGCCTCCTTCAGCATTACTTGTTGCTGACACATGAGAAGATAGACACTGTAATATAACCAGACAGTCCTGCACTGTTGTTTGATATCCCTTTTTAAAATAATATACAGGACGTTCAGTATTTCATTCATTGTACATTGTTAGTGAACTTTTTAAAGAGGTTTGTGCCCTGAAAAAAAATTTCCCTGCCTTTCTTCTCCCATTGCTGTGTTCGTGAGCTCCAGGAATATGGGATTAAGTATTGCAAGAGGTAAAATTGATGGCCTGGAAGACAGAAAGCTCATTCCAGAAGCAGCATGGGAGCTCTGTTCTTTTCTCACCCTTCTCCTCAACCGCCTCCCCACCCCCTTCTCACACACCAATTCTGTGCCTCTGACTCCCTACCCACCACCCACAGTCTAAGGGTTTTAGACCACATGGATGTCCAGGTGAAATGGGTGAAGAGAAACAGAAAGAAGGCTCAGTGTTTAGGAGATATGGCAAAGAAAAGTTGAAACGATGCCTCAAGGTATAAAAGTTGCTGCTCAATTGTTAACTACAAGGAAAAGGAAATGGCTTTCCAGGGTCACTAGACCTTGATTAGGTCAATAGCAGGACTGAGTGACTAGTAGAAGACTCCACAGTGAGGCAATTTCTGAAGAGAAGCAGTAATTCTTAGGTGTAGGCTTAGGAACTGCAGTCCAGACCAGGTCACAATTGGTCATGCCCAGACTTCAGGATTCACACACACTTTCTCAGGGAAGTTGCTAGTAATGGTGGCTTTGCTTTTTCAGAAATCTGGACTTGGGTAGAATATTGAAACTGACCAGCCCATTTAATTTAGGAAATAGGATGGAATGGACGGCCAGCTCTTTAGTACTTGGACACACAAATGGATTCAGAGCTCACAGGAGGAAGAAGGTGCTGGCCTCTGCCTGCTCATCATTCGAGTCAGCTGGACTCCTCATTTGAAGGGATGCAGGATCTCAAATTTGTTTTGTCTTCTTTTATTATCAACAGAAACTCTTAAGCACCCAGTGATGTGCTGAATTATCTGAAAAATAACATAAATTGAGAATGAACAGTCCTTTGCTTTAGTTAGGGCTCAAGGCTAGTGCGATGCAGTGGTCTCCTCTTCTATCATAGTAAACGCTGATCAAATTTAAGAGAGGGAGCAAGCAGCTTCCAATAAAAAGGGAAGTAAAGGTTTTTCTTTCCCAGTAAATTGTATCATTGGATTTCATGATAATTAGCACTTCATATTGTATTATGGTGATGGTGTCAGACCGACAGCCAAACAGAACAAATGAGTTAAATATCTGTCAGCAGGATGTTTCAGGTCTGATTAAGGCCACTGCAGGTGTATCTGTCTGTGTCTTTTCTTTTTTTTTCATGGTGGACAGTATATTGAATTGTCAGAGAAACCATCGTTCTATTAACATCAATTATCAATGAGTCAAGAAAATTATAATCCCTTCTCTTGACCATAGGAAGAAAACTTCAGAGGATAATCATTAATATATTAAGAAGAGGGGAAGGCACGCTAAAATGAAAATTTATAACCTGCTCTTTAGTGCCTAATATAAGTGAATAAAGGAATGACGTATGCCTTAAATCATTCATTCCTTCCAGCTGCTGCTTCGCAACAACCAGGTAGCTTTGTGACATAAAAGTCACTAGTGAGTTAATCCTGGAGAATATAAAACGTATGGAGATTTACCAAGTGGTGTGCACTCTGCCTTTAACTTTACATACATTGTTTGTTTAATCCTTATATCAGCTCAATGATAATATTTTGTTATTCTAATTTTAAGTAAGGAAATGCAACATCAAACGGCAGGGTTTGTCCTTTATTATAACCACTAATATTTGTTACACACCTCTTTGAATCTAATTACATGCTGAGCACAGACTAAGGAAGACTATAACAGAAGGGGGAAATATCACCCCATCATGAAGGATTTTTGGATGAAGTTACAGATACAAAGCAAAAGGTGAAGAAAAATAGAAAAAAAAGAAACTTGAAAACAGAAGAGAGGAATAACGATAGGGTACAATGTAATATCAGAGCTGTCACAATGCATTATATAGTTGATTGTCAAATGAGTGGCAGAGATAGAAACTGCTATTAGTTTAGAAAGGAAAGAGAAAATTATGGGCTAAAGTGGTCTGAAGACTGTAGGAGAAGGAAGGGAGCTGACTTTGGTCATGAAGGATGCGTAGGAATTGGGTACAGCAAGGTCAGTGGGACACGGTTGGGCATTTCAGATGTTTCAGATGGAGAGTAGGAAAGAAACATTTGAGGGAATTGAGCAAGTACCAGCTCAGTTTGGGAGGCAAAGAGGTGTTCAGTCAGGTTGGAGAGGAAGATTCAGACAAACAGACAATGAGTAGTAAAGTTGAAGGGTTTATTCAGTAAGGCATTGAAGAGGACAGAGAAGAACTTTGATGGCATTCTTTTTTTTTTGTCTCTTTTTTATTTTATTTTATTTTATTATTATTATACTTTAAGTTTTAGGGTACATGTGCACAATGTGCAGGTTAGTTACATATGTATACATGTGCCATGCTGGTGTGCTGCACCCATTAACTCGTCATTTGGCATTAGGTATATCTCCTAATGCTATCCCTCCCCCCTCCCCCGACCCCACAACAGTCCCCAGAGTGTGATGTTCCCCTTCCTGTGTCCACTTGTTCTCATTGTTCATTTCTCACCTATGAGTGAGAACATGCGGTGTTTGGTTTTTTGTCCTTGCGATAGTTATTCTTTTTAAAAAATTGAACTATCCTCATTCTAATCAAATCTATTGTTGGCACTGGCTTGCGGTTAATTGCCCTAACTGATCATGTTGGCCAGTAGCCTTGTACTTTGCCTCTCCACTATTTTCTATCATTATTATTATGTTTGCAGAAAATATTTTCAAAAGAAGTTTTACATCTGTCCTATAATTCCTTATAAACCTTGAACCTCAAGTCTAGCGGCTGCCAACATTTTTTGGTCATACATACCTATCAGGAAAAAAATTTATACACACACACACACACACACACACATATATATATATATATATATAAAATGAATGAATATGCTACATTCATTATAAGATATAATTAAAATATAACTTGTAAAACATATAAGAAATGAAATAACCAATATTTACATTTTAATTTTATTATGTAATTGTAATATAATGTTAACATTTTTGCTGAAATTGAAATCATTATTCATAATAATATTTTCAATGAATGCAATGAGACTGAATATTCTTCACATTTCAGAAAGTCTTGCTTTAGTGCCTCATGATGGAACAATTGTGAGGTCCGGCACCAACTGCAGTTTATTTTGGTCCTTGGTTTTCACGGCTGCTCTAACTGTAAAAGGGACCCCATGAAGACTCATGATGACCACGAATAAAGTCAGAATTGCCTATGCTGACTAGTCATGGGCTTACTTTCCAATCCGATATATCCATAGAACAAAATTATTTGTTGGCGTTTTGCTAGTCAATTTCTAGCTTATTAAATCAGGAAGGTTAGAAAATGTTTTTTCTGATATTTTCAATGTGCTTATAGGAGAGCTTTCATCATTACTTTTGGCAATAATATCACTCAGATTGGAAACCTCCTTTCTAACCATGCACTTTCAAATGGAGTTATTTCCTGCTCACTGGCTGACCCCTCTCCAGATCTAAGTAGGTAGCCCTTGCTTCTATCTGGCAATGGGGCTGAGGAAAAGAAAGAGGAGAAGTGTTGGCTCCACCATTTCCTAATGAGACAATTCTCGTGGGCTGGCATTGTGAGAGTTATCTTCGGTCTACAGTTTCTTACAGGAATATCAGAAGCCACTTGGCTATTGTTTGAAGTTTGTTTTAATTAAAAGAAGATTATATAATTTACAAATTCACTTTACCTGGATGCATATGAACCACAAGAGAGCAAAAGAAAGAGTGGTCATGCCCCACCAAACTCTGCATTATGGAACCTTCACCCTCCCCTCCAGACACCTCAACTCACTGTGAGTCATGAACTGTCTGGCTTAAGCACCAAAAGAAAGGGCTCTTATGACAAACTAAAAAATTGAATGTTACTCATTTCATCCTTTCACTAATACAAGTTTCTGATGTTCTCTTTCCACACCTCAGTGGATCATCTTATTCATCCTCTGATTATGAGCATCATTCTAGAAGCAATTATTTTGCACTGTTTTGAGTGTATGGCATCTAAAGGCAAAGGACTGTGTGATTTGACCAAAGTGCCACACCCATACCATGTGGACGCTCGCATTAGAAACAGGTCTGTACACTCACAGACCCTGTGCCCACAAGGGAGTGTCTGTTTGTTAGGAATTCACAAGAAGTACACACAGAGAAGTCAGAATCTCAAATGTGATTTCAGATTCATTTGTGTAATTTCTTCCTTCACTCCCTGACCACCTCTCCACAAAACACACAATTTAACAACATATATGTTAGACTTAAATTTAATCCAAAGCACTTCCCTAGAGTAATGATTGGTTAATACAAACAAGTGCTTACAGGCATATACACAAACTAATGTACAGATGCAAGCTGTTCTTGAGATAGAAATGCCATCTAAGGGAACCCTAGCCCAAATATAACCCCTAAAGACCCAATATAATGTCAGAAATGTCTACCATCAAAGTTATTCTTAACAAGCTCTTTTCATTATGCCTTGCTGCTTGGGATATGAGCTTTGTGTACTTGAGGCAATAATGCCTAACACATGTCATGTTAAAATCATATTATTAATACTAACAGAATGGGCTATAATTCAGAGTTTAATTACAAGGCTTAAGTTTTAAATGCCATAGGAATTAGCAAAAGAAGGGATGCGAATGGGCTGGAGAACCAAGGGGGGTTTTTCTGAAGGAGGAAAAAATTAATCTGAATTTTGAGAGACTCACAGAGCTAGTCTGCTAGTCTGACAGGGACTCGCACTTGAAAAAGGTTTGAGGCAGGCAGCTCAGCAGCTGCGGTGTGATCTAGGTGTGTGTAGGGCCAGTGAGAGGGTCAGTGGGTCAGGATGAGCCTCATGGAGTCCAGCACACAATGTGCTCACATGGGCCTTTTCTCCTAGAGATGGCTTTAGTGCCTATTTCATATGGAAATACCCTCCTGGAAGTGTCAGCTCTGTCAACTGAATTTTCATATCTCCCCATTAAACAATCAGGATGTGATTGGGTTGTTACATTTATGAGGCAGTTTTTGAAATCTCTTTGAAGATAATTGTGTTACTGCAGTAAAAAATGTGCCCTTCATGCGATTTCCCCCCAAAAGTTCCCCAACTTCACAATCTAGTGGGTTTGCAATTCTTGGCTGTATTATCAAGTCCCATAAAGGCTAAAATACAGGATGATTTCAAGGGGCCCAAAGAGTGGGGCAGAAAATAAAGATATGATGCTCTAATTGCTATTTAATATTATAGTATTAGAAGAAAGAAGGTTAATGACCCACCCCAATGCATATGCAACCTTCCTCATTCTGAATGGTTCCCTGGCTTCTTTGATTAACCACTGAAGGAACGTAGCCTCTTCAGGAGGTTAATAGCATTCTCAGAAGCCTCTTTGCCTACCCTGTGACTAAGCCATAATTTTTGCCTGTGCAGAACACACATCCAACCTCTTCTCAGCCTTAAAAATGATCTTTCTAGCTTTTGCCTTGCCCTTAGCATGCCTGTGAGCATGGTATCACATGACTGTTTTCTAAGATAGTCACTATGTCCTATGTCCTGTGCCACCATAAAACCAAGTACAAAGAACACCAGCTGGAAAAATATGGCCAATGCACTTAAGGGAAACTGCCTCCAATGTGCTAAAAAAATAAATTTTATTTTACCACTAACATAAGCCCACAACTAGACCAAGGTATTCCCCATCATGACAAGTTCCTCTGCTTCTGAGTCCTGTGCACACATCATGGATAGGTTCAGAATCATTACACACAGTGCTCCCCTCCTTGATAAAATTCCTCAAGGATCAACTCAAGACTTCTTGGACACTCCAACATACCGAGGTCTTGTCCCTCCCTTTGTTCTTTCCCTTGAGCCCTTCTTAGCTAGTCCCTTTCCCTTCACTTTTAACCAAGGTCTGTGGTTTGTTTGTTTAATGTGTGTGTTTCTGCTTCCACTCTATTGCCTGTATTCTGAGACCATATGCAAATTTTTAGTCTTTTTAGTTCACATTTCTCTGAATCGAGAATACAGCTGAGATAATATAAGTAAGGACTCCCATAGACATTTGTACTTAAGGCAGATCATAATATTATGGACTCCCAGCCATGTTCTGTGATTAAATGAAACTTTTAAGATATTAGAAAGAGTGAGTTTATTTTTGTATGGGAGAGCCATGAATTACTGGGGCCAGAGGATAGACTGTTGCAATGGTTTAAATGTGGTTTGCCCCTGCCAAAACTCATGTTGAATTTGATTCCCAATGTGGTGGTGTTGGGATATGGGGCCTAGTGGGAAGTGTTTGGATCATAAGATCACTTCCCTCTTGAATAGATTAATGCTGTCTCTAAGGAGTGAGTTAATTTTCACTTTCACAGGAATGAATTAGTTATTGAGAGAGTGGATTGTTGTAAGTGAATCCAGCCTCTCCTGTGAGTCTTTTTGCATGCACCAACTTCCCTTTCTGCCATGAGTTGGAACAGCAAAAGGCCCTCACCACATGGGTTGTCCTATCTTGGACTTAACCTCCAGAATTGTGAGTGAAAAAAATTTCTTTTTTTTTTTTTTATAAATTTACAGTCTCAGGTGTTCTGTTATAGCAACATGAAACAGACTAAGACAACTAAAATAGATTGTTGTGAATCATGCATCCTGGTTTTCTTGCTCCTTTCTAGTGTCCTTCCATATTAATTTTTCGCTTTGACATGTAATTTTCTTTGGCCAACATGACATCAATAAACATGATACAAAGCTTGAAAAACTTGCAAAATGGAGCTTACTTTCTTGTAATCCAGCCACCATCATATTAAAAGGTCCAGAATCATTTGTTTGAAGATATATGGCCCAGCTGACAGCAAAAACAAAAAAACAGATGTGAGAAGCTACCCAAAACAATCAAGCCCCAATTAGCCGTCAGATGAGTACAGCCACAGTGAGACCAAGTGAGACCAGCAGAAGAATCATCCAGCTGAGCTCAACACAGATTTCCGACCCACAAATAGAATGGTTGATGCTTTAAGCCCCTAGGTTCAGGAATGGTTTGTTTTGCAACAATGGATAACTAACACATATTTTAAGCAAAATTGTGGTATAATCTAACTTAAGTTATAAAAGAATTTCTTGGGCTACTGTATGGAGACTATAACACAGAGAAATAGGGCAAAAGCAAAAAGACAGTAATAATGCAATTGCAGTAGTTAGGATTGATGTGGGATAGGAGAGAGACTCTTGGACTAAAAGGGACTGAGATAATTCTGAAACCCATCTGGGCACAACTACTTCTTTGAGGATTAGAAATGTTTCTTAACTGGGACCCAGCTCTGCTGGACTGTAACTAGGATATGGTTCTGCTTCCCACCCTTTGAAGTTTGGGGTTCAGAGCTGTCTTTTTATTTTGAATTATCTCAACCTCTCTGAGTCCAAACTGGCAGTGCTTCACTAATTTTAATAATGCAATCCTTTGAAAAACCTTTGGGGTTTCTTAGAAATCTTATTGATCTTCAACCAATGCCCCAAAGCCACATTTAGAATTCTTTTTAAAACAAACATTTCCAAAACTTGGGTGTGTCAGACTACTGTGAGATAGCTCACTTGAAGTATGTATGCTTTTTCTTAGTAAAGTTATAGAAAACACTGCCTTAAATATTTTTGAGGTCATTATAGAATTTTACAAACTCTTTGAGCTTTACTGAGGCACTTTTCACTTTGAGAATCATTGGTCAGCTGAGAAACTGGAGATGTGACACAGCTTTGTTTTCCAGCCTAACAAGTCCTAACTCCTCTACATTTCATCAAAATTTTACTTAAAAATTAAATAGTCATGATTTCAGCTCATCTCTTTCTTCCTATATCTTATACATAGTTAAAAGAAGCAAGTTGACACTGTTAAAATTCTGTTTGTAATTATACTTAGCCAAATCCACAAGGTCATCAGGTACCTTTTCAATCTTCCAAGTTACCACAGGTGATATTTTGGCCAATATTTTATAACTTCATAGACCACAAGTTTTTAAGCATCTAAAATCACTTTCTCAACATTTTTTCAGCCTTAACTCTTTCATTCACTTTTCTTCAGATTTCATCAGAAGATTTATTCCCACGTGTCTAGACCTCTCTTGCTGTCCAATCCCAAAGCCAATGCCACATGTTTAGCATTTTTGTTGCAATACACCTTGCTTGTAGGTACTTCAGTAAACTAGTAATGTTCCCCATATCCCTGATATCCATCACAACCTTATATTGTCCCTTCACACATAAACTCTGGAGTTGGTTATTTGACTTCTTTGACCAATGGGATATCAACAAACATGATGCAGCAGTTTGAAAGTGCTTGTCCATTGAAGATGGTGCTCTTAAAATGTTGTTGCTATCATATGAAGCATCTGACTCTTGTATTGGAAACATGTGGCCCAGGTGACGTCTCTAGCCATCTACCAGATATGTGAAACCATCTAAGATCATTCAGCCTGATGTAACTTGTCATATTACTATAGCCATAACAGAGACCCCAAGAAAAACTAGTATAAGAAATATCCACTTGATTCCGTCCAAAATTCCTGGACCACAGAATCAAAAGTAAATAAAATTATTGTTATTTTAAGCTACTATGATTTGCACTGGTTTTATATACATTAAATAACTGAAAGAGAGGTTAATACCAGAAGTGAGATACTGTCATATTAAATACTAAAACACATGTCACTGGCTAGGGAACTGGGAAACAGATAGAATCTGGAAAAAAAAATAGAGAAACTTATGACATATAGTGGCAGAACAATTGACAAAAATATTGTTGGCAAGGACTTGGAACATAGAAAATGTACTTAATGAATTTGTGATTCTGACTAAAGCAATATCAAGCTAGAATGTTAAAAATATCAGTTGGATCTTTCTAGCTGTGTATGATAATGTGTTGCAAGAAAGAATAAGCTAAAGAAAGACCGTTCTGTTTGTCAGCAAATTTGACAGGCATATGGAAGGCAGCATATGGCAGACTGGAAAATGAAACTATCTTTTATCCTCAGTTTCTCTAGCCAGACAAAGATTCTTAAAGAAAGAAACAGTCTCTGTGTAAATACCAATTCAAGAGTGTAGCTGTAACAGCATTCATTAAAACTTCAGAAAGGTAGAAGTGGCACCTAACAGATCCTCTCTGGTAGAACACATGTCTTCCATGAATTTAAAGGTTGGGCCCCTCACCAGCCTAACATGCCCCAAATAGAGAGAGGTTTATCTCAAAAATAAGTGTGAATGTGGCTTTTCTCACATATAATGACAAGAAATTAATCTTATACTTAAGAAACCCACAAGTTTTTTAAAGGAATTTGATTAGCTTGTACTAAGTTTACCAGAGACAGTTCACAATAGAGCCCAGAGGGATGAGCTACACCTGCAGTTAAAAAAAAAATAGACAAAGAAACTACCAACAGAAGCAGAATTGTTCCCTAATTGAGAAGTATCTCTGGCCCCAAACAAAAGAAGGCTAACACCATGTGCCTGGTTTAGTTTCATAATTACAATAGATTAGTTAGATATTCAGGAATTTAATACATTGATCGTTAAACCATTGGTTGCTTGAAGTCAACCATGGTTGGAATATTTACACAAAAAACATTAGCAAATGCTACAAATCAGAGATTTTAATTTTTTTCAGTGACCCAACTGATCAGAATACTATGGCTGCCAGGTGAAGAGCCCAGTCTTATTTATTGGAAGATGAGAGGCTACCTGGAACAGAGATGTGTGATCACAGATGAAGCCTGCCTAGACCAACAAGTCCACCAACTGTAAGATGTGTAAGTGAGGCCATCCAGGATCATCCACACCCAGCTGACTTGGCATATGACTTTAGAATGTCTCACCTAGTTTGCAAACTTGTGGGCAATAATAAAATGGTCACTGTTTTAGACCACTATATTTGGGGTGGTTTGTTTTGCAGCAACAGATAACTGACACAGCAAGTTAATAGTTTCCTATCCCATTCAGTCAAATTTATAATTCTTGCCATGATCTAGGAGCCCTGTATGCTCTAAACTCCTCCTAGGTCCTAATCTTACTTCTCACTACTCTTCCCCTTTGCCTTGCCTGCTCAATCCACACTGGCTTCTCTGCCATTACTCAAACAAGACAAAACACTTTCCAACTTTAGAGGCTGTGTGAACTCCAGTTCTCTCTACCTGGAACACTCTTCCACCAGTTATCATATGGCTATCTCTTTTGGGTTTCCTATCAAGCGTCACCTTATCAGACAGGTCTTCCCTCACTACCCTGTATAAAATAGGCCCCTTCACTTCATTCCCTTTTACATTGCTATATTTTCCTTCATAGCTTATGTAGTCACTTGCATCATTACATACTACATCATATACTATATATTATTACATACTCTATATACATATATACTTTTAAAAATGTGCTATTGCAATGGTCTATATGACTATATGTACTATATAACATATTAAATACACAGTTATACACACAGTTACAATTACATGTAATATGTTAAACATTACACAATTATTACTTATCTTCCACCAATAAAATATAAATTATTTGAAAGCAGGGCATTGTCTCTTTGGTTTTCTTCTGTATCTTGAGCCCTTAGAATTAACCTGACACCTAGAAGGTGATTAATAAATATTTGTTGCATAAATAAAGTGCATGAAACATATTAGTTACATATGTGTCTGGCACTTCACTGTGTACTTGAAAGAGAAGATGGAGAAACAGCAACAATCAGCCTATACTCTGATAAAAATAATAATAGTATATACATATACAGTGCTTATATATAACTGGCATTGATCTAAGTGCTTTACACATACTCATTTAATCTCCACTTACGCTGGTATGAAGGGAAAGGAACTTCATTAAGGATGTGAGTTTGAGTGGGCTAGAGACTGGCTTGGGAATACAATGTGAACTGTGCTGTATTCCTGTTTCTGGGGCTAGGAAAAGCTCATGGGCCCTCCGGTAAGTCTCTAGCAATGATCCTATGGCAAGTCTCCAGCAATGGCCCTCCAGCCAGTGCAGGCAGACAGGCTGTGTTGAAGCTGAATATCTCGGTTCACCAATACAGCAGAGTGTTCCCGGCCGGGTGCAGTGGCTCACGCCTGTAATCCCAGCACTTTGGGAGGCCAAGGCGGGCGGATCACGGATCAGGAGATCGAGACCATCCTGGCTAACACGGTGAAGCTCCGTCTCTACTAAAAACATAATAAATTAGCTGGGCGTGGTAGCTGGCGCCTGTAGTCCCAGCTACTCGGAAGGCTGAGGCAGGAGAATGGCGTTAACCTGGGAGGCAGAGCTTGCAGTGAGCCGAGATCGCACCATTGCACTCCAGCCTGGGCAACAGTGCCAGACTCCCTCTCAAAAAAAAAAAAAAAAAAAAAAAAAAAGAGTGTTCCCCTTCGTGGAAATTTGACCTGCAAGCACCTTCCACAGATCCATTTCTGTGCCTTCCACTTTGTTCCAGGAAGCCTTCAGCTCAGACAGGCTGTATAATGGATACTTTTCTTAAACTAAGAGTAGGGAGAATGAATGAGGGTAAAGGCAACCCTTGAGCATTAAGTCTCAAACTCCAGATCTTAATTCTGTGGATGAGGAAAGTGAGGGTTATAGGGTTTCAGTACTTGCCCAAGATCCCACAGCTAATAAGTATCAGAATCAGGTGCCAAGCAGCAGCTGACTCCAGTGTTCAAGCCTTTTGTCACTATTCTATATATCTCTCAATTAATTTATGGTAGTCGCAGAAACAAAAACAACATTCTTAAAACAGAAAATAGTTAAATGATGCACTGTGAAGCTTAATTGCAATTACAATAATAATTCAGGGAACCCGAGTGTCTATCAAAACTGGGATGGCCAGAAGAGGATTCCTGGAAAAGGCAGGGCTTGGCCAGTGCTAAAGAGCCAGTCAAGAGACAACCACTTTAGAAGGAAGATTCAACTTGAATAGTGGTGCAGTAGAAAGAAGGAACTCAGTAGGAGCAGGAACATGTTGACGACCAGTGGTGACCTAATGAATTGACCTTATATTTTGTTTTAAGGGAATCACAGGGTCTAATGAGACTTGGAAGAAGGATCAAGCAGAGCATCTCCTAGGTGGAGAAATGATTTATTCAAAAAAATCAATTTTCCGATTATTAATTAATTTCTTCTCTAAAAAGGGTACTTTCTTTTTTTTTTTTTTTTTTTTGACACAGTCTCACTCCATTGCCCAGGCTGGAGTGCAGTGGCACAACCTTGGCTCACTGCAATCTCTGCCTCCCGGGTTCAAGTGATTCTTCTGCCTCAGTCTCCCCAGTAGCTGGGACTATAGGCGTGCGCCACCACGCCCAGCTAATTTTTGTATTTTTAGTAGAGACCCCTGTCTCTACTAAAAGATATTGTCCAGGCTGTTCTTGAACTCCTGACCTCATGATCTGCCCACCTCGGCCTCCCAAAGTGCTGGGATTACAGGCGTGAGCCACCGTGCCTGGCCAAAAAGAGTACTTTCTGGGCACCTGCTCAGTAAGAAAGACCCTGCTAGGTACAGGGGGAAGTGTGAAGCAATGTAAGAGATGATCCTCAACTTTGAGAAAGTACATCCTAGTAAAGGAGATAAAGCATGAATTCAAAGACCTGCAGTAGGAGGCAGATCGGTTGAGCATTCTTGTGTTATTCAAGGGGCAGCGCAATTTGATAGAAAGGTAAGATTCCTTTCTGCTGAGAAGGTTAGAAAGGGCATTTTGTAGTAGTGGTGCTGGACTTGAGTCTTGAAAGGCAATTAGATTTCTCATACACTGAAGTGAGTGAAGATGGGTTCCAGGTAGAAAAAGAGGGGTGACAAAATGCACATGGGTCATTTTAGCAGAAGGGGGAAAATGGGTTTGAAGAACGAGTAGATTAAGTTTAAAAACAAACGAAGCATTTTCTCAGATTATATTCCCAGAAACACCAGACTCCCAAGATGTTAAATGGAAGAAAAAAAGGTTCTTTCCATTGAGTGTGTGCATGCTCTTGAGTTCATACATATGTGAGTGTGTTTGTTCTTGCGCATGTATGTGCACATGTGTATGTTGAGTAAACATTAAACACACCAGAAAACTGAAATAGAAGATACAAGTAGTGCAAATATGGCTACAAAGGTAAGTTGAGAACAGATTGTAGAAGTCCTTGGAAAGAATATGAACAAAGAGGTGACATGAAAATAGCAGCCTACCAAGATCCACCTGGGTGAGAGACTACAGGAAGAATGAGCTGCTGCTTCATACACTACATAGGGAGCAACAAAGTTTTGTTTTCATTAAAAAGTCTTACCAGAGGGTGATGCAAAGCAGTTTGTGTATGTTTAATTCATTTCAAAAAGCTCACCTCAAGCTTTTTTTCTCCTAAAATAAATGTATTACATAAAATAGAGTAACATTTTAAATTCTCATTGCCTAGACTACTGATACTCTGAAAATTCAGGTTTTTCTAAGGTTGGAGGCAGTAAGAGATGCCCCCTGGAGATATTGGGAGCAAGACGAGAGATCACTGGTTTCTGCTCCAGTGATGCAAGTCCCCAACTCTGAGTAGCTCAAATGATGTGCAGCACCGGAGCCTGAAACTAAGAGAACATCTTGCTCTTTGGACTTCTCATTCTCAGCTAGTTCTCAAGATTATCTCATTTTCTTCTCCCAGAGCCATTAATGCTATCACCCTGAATGCCGGTTAAAGGGCACCCTTTGCATGGCTTGGCATTCTTCCCAGATATGTATTTCATCCAAAATATAGAGAGCAAATTACCAATAAAGAAATTATGAGTGACTACCGCTGCTCTGTCTCTGTCATTTTCCTCCACAGTTGAATACTCTTCATTGTTAGGGACTAGTTTTTTCTTGCAATTCAGCTTAAATTTTCCCTCACTTGGCTTCATGTCTTCACTCCTAATTACAGACTAATAAAGCCTTTGGATTACTGTGAGCAATTTTCTTCCCTCTCTTCTCCCACCTCAACTTTGCTCCAGAGGTTTTCTGGACCAAGCCCCGGATTGCATAAAATTGTAACCAAACCATACAAGTTCATCCACAGAATTAAGATCTGGAGTTTGAGACTTAATGCTCAAGGGTTGCCTTTACCCTCATTCATTCTCCCTACTCTTAGTTTAAGAAAAGTATCCATTATACAGCCTGTCTGAGCTGAAGGCTTCCTGGAACAAAGTGGAAGGCACAGAAATGGATCTGTGGAAGGTGCTTGCAGGTCAAATTTCCACGAAAGGGAACACTCTTTTTTTTTTTTTTTTTTTTTTTTTTGAGAGGGAGTCTGGCACTGTTGCCCAGGCTGGAGTGCAATGGTGCGATCTCGGCTCACTGCAAGCTCTGCCTCCCAGGTTAACGCCATTCTCCTGCCTCAGCCTTCCGAGTAGCTGGGACTACAGGCGCCAGCTACCACGCCCAGCTAATTTATTATGTTTTTAGTAGAGACGGAGCTTCACCGTGTTAGCCAGGATGGTCTCGATCTCCTGATCCGTGATCCGCCCGCCTTGGCCTCCCAAAGTGCTGGGATTACAGGCGTGAGCCACTGCACCCGGCCGGGAACACTCTGCTGTATTGGTGAACCGAGATATTCAGCTTCAACACAGCCTGTCTGCCTGCACTGGCTGGAGGGCCATTGCTGGAGACTTGCCATAGGATCATTGCTAGAGACTTACCGGAGGGCCCATGAGCTTTTCCTAGCCCCAGAAACAGGAATACAGCACAGTTCACATTGTATTCCCAAGCCAGTCTCTAGCCCACTCAAACTCACATCCTTAATGAAGTTCCTTTCCCTTCAAGATCAAATTACCCCATGGAATAAAACATTGAAATAGAGTTTAGGAACAAGCATTAATTACTAATTGTGAGATCTTGGGCAAGTTACTGGATCTCTCCACATATTTATTTTGAAATTTCAGGGAAACATTTTGTAAAAGAGACTCATCAAAGTACAATGTGATAATTGTCAAGCCAAGTGTTATTAATATTCACTGGGGCAGAAGTTCTATAGAAGAAAAGCTAAGGACTGGAATATTAAAGGAGGGCTTCTTAAAAGGAGAGGAGATTTAGGCCAGACCTCCAAGGAGGATTAGAATTTAGCACCTGCAGACCCTGAGATAGGGCATTTCAAGCAGGTGAGCATTATAAACAAAGCTTAATTTTGTTAAAGAATAAGACCTTAATTAGCCTTGGCCTTTTTCCCTCATTTTATGTATATGCCCACATTATTAAGATATGAAATACAACCCTAAACCTTACTAGATTTTGTGGATCACTCCAAGTAATTTGGGAATAAAGGTCTACTATTACCTGCCCTATTTACACTTCAGTACTTAGAAGTATTCAATCCCAACCTCCCAGCCCTGCCACTGCCACCATCATTATCTACCACTCTACCCTACTTATCCCACTCAGCCGTAAATCATAAAGACCTGCTTAAATTGTACTTTGTAGAATGAATAACTCGAGAGAAATAAAGTTGGTTTTATGAATGACCCCAGATTGGGGGCAATGACATGGGCCTTCTAGTGCCATGGAAATCAGTCAGTATGGCCTGACTCTGGGGACAGGCCGACTGGCTCACAGACACCTCTGGATGACAGGGGAGGTGAGGTGAAAGCCCTCTCATTGGCTACCTCTGGCCTGGAAATCAAACATGATTTATCTACATTAGTGGGCTTCATCTTTGTCTTATTATCTCAGCCACAGCTTGCGACCCAGGCCGACTCTCCTGCCTTTTAATAAACAGATTTAATAGGACTGATAGTTTGGCAATTTGTAGAGTAAATTAGATTTAATTTGGCCTGAATGCCACTGATTTCTCATATTGTTCAAAACAATCTTATCCAGGGATGCATGTCATCCCAACACATTCTCTTCTGATACAGCTGAAAATAGCCAACTGACAGACTTAAATGAGCGTATATTCTCCAAGAAATCTGTGGCTTTTCCCTTTGCTTCTTGTGTCTTAATTCACTTAGAGACAAGGTGCAGTGGGGGTACAGTGACTATGATAATGACAAAACCAGTAATAATTCCATTGTGTCTTCACTATAAGGAATCTTTGCAGAATAAAGACCTGAACATAGTGTCCCTTTACATATAGAATATCAACATTTTAGGGATTTGGTATGGAAATAATTCTAATGTCACATAAATGCCCAAACCTTCTTAAAGAATGTACACAACACAATGTTACCTTTCCTTGATGACTACAAGCTTATCTGAGCATCCTTTTCTACACTGTGCTGGAAAGCAATGAGTAACTCAAGTCTGTGTGTCTAACCATCTGTCCCTAAACTATATGGTCCCAGTCTTACACCTTGACTTCTAGCCTCTTCTTTGTTTCTTCCTTCACAAGTAATTGTCATTCTTCAGTGCTGTGAGGGACCCTAACAGCTACCACATTCTCTCACCTCTGGAGTACTCATTAGTTCTGACCACCAAAAATTTTTTGGCTTTGATAGCGTTGACTTTTCTGGCTCCCTTGGGGTTGAAGGCATGTTGCCTGGACCTGTCATTTTTATCTGAATATAAGACCACCCCATCAGTTTTTCTCTCTGCTGTCATAACTGGCAGCATGTGGATATACTTATCTGAATGTGCACCCAGTATGGGATATTTGTGATCAATCAGAGGTGGGTGATTTGTCAACCAGGGCCCTGAATCAGAGCCCCCAGACAACTTACAATGACAGCAAAGAGAAAGAAATGTTGTGTTAGGCAATCAGGAGTTTGAGACTGTTTGTTAGTACAATTTAATCCAAACTACCCTGGGAGTCTTACTTTCCTGCTTCCTAATTTGAACATTCTGACATGATATGAACATAGACATACAATAACCAACCTTGTGTTTTGTTTTTTAATTGTACATAAAATTGTAACTTTTCAGTGGGCTCTTATCTACAGGTAAAAGGCATCAAAATGCACTAAATTTATGACTTTTGTTGATGTTTAGAATTTTTTTAACTTATCTATCACCCGTGGCAAATTCATATAGAGGGTGAATGTCTTTTCCAGTAAGAACAATGTGCTACACCTTCCATGATGGAATTAAGCCAATGTAATCAACCTGCCTCCAGGTAGCTGGCTGGTCACCCTGGGGAATGATGCCATGTCAGTGTTGGTCCTTGCTACTGGCAGATTGAGCACTCAGCAGTGGTCCTAGCCAGGTCATCCTTGGTGAGTGGGAGTGCATGTTGCTGAGCCTATGTATACCCTCCATCCCTGCCACCATGGCCACTTTGTTGATGAACATATTAGACAATGACAGCAATGAGTAGGGAAGGGAGCTGACTGTTACACACAGAACAGGTCATTCTATCTGCATGACTATTAAAATCCTACTCTTCTGGGATCACCCTTTGGTAAGCATTAACATGGGTCACAAATATTCCATACTGGGTGCACATTCAGATAAGTCTACCCACATGCCTCTTCCCCAGAGGTTGTTATAACAAATTTTCCATTCATGTTATTTCTAAGTCCCTGACCAACCAGCTAAACCATTCATAGTCCATGAATTGGTATGAACACATAACTCTTGCTGTCTCTCCTTCTGGGCACTGCCCAACGTTTTGCCACTGGGAAGATTTCCCTTCATTATTTTTTTCAGGGCCATCTGGAATAGGGCTACAGTGTAGCAGCCATATAATTTTTGATGGTGCCTGAATATAACGCAGAATTATCAGTAAAATACAAGACCAAGATTTTCTTCAGTGAGCTGGTCATAGAGAGCTCCTTGTGAGGCCACAGGTTGAGAGAAGACAGTGTAGTAGGAATAGGGGTCATAGGCATCTGGGCCACTTCCTCATGCAACTTACTTGTGCTTTCGGGCCCTGCTTGACCCCAATCTCATATATATCACTTCTATTTGGTAATGAAGAACTTCTGTGCATGCCCAATTTTATGGCTTGGGTGATAAGGCAGTATCAGTTTATGATGGGAAGCTCAGTTGCATGGTAACTTTGTGGCCCAGGGTCAAGCATTCAGTCTCTACTAAGACCCAGTAGAAAGTGACAAATGTGTATCTCAACAGAAGAGTTGCTACATGAAGAGATAATATGGTTTTATTCCAAAATGCTGAGGGTCTGTTTAGTGATTCACCTACAAGGGCTTGCCAAAGACTCCAAACAGCATCTCTATCTGCCAGAGACACTTCAAGTACTATTGAATCTGCTAGGTCAGATGGCCCAAGTGGCAGAGTAGTTTTCATGGCAGCCTAGACCTGTTGCAGAACCTTCTCTTATCCTGAACCCCATTCCAAATTAGCAGTTTTTTGTATCATTCAGTAAATGGGTCAGAAAAGCACACCCATATGAGGTATATATTGCCTCAAAAAAACAAAGAGGCTCTGTAGGCATTGCGCCTCTTTCTTAGCAGTAGAAGAGATAAGATGCAGCAACTTATCCTTCACCTTGAAAGAGATATTTTGACCTGCTCCAGACCACTGGACATTTAGAAATTTTACCATGGAAGTAGGCCCTTGAATTTTTATAGGATTTATTTTATACTCTGTAGCATGCAAGTGTCTTACTAATGTGTATAGAGTAGTGGTTACTTCCTGATTGCAGGGCTCAATAAGCATAATACTATCCATTTGATGAACCAACATGGTGTCCTGTGAAAGTGAAAGTCAAGGTCTCTGTGGGCTAGATTATGACACAGGGATAGACAGCAAGAACAAGTTCGATTGTACAAGCATGAGCTGGAGGCCATGAAGATAGACTGAAACTCATGTGAGTTCTTGCCTATGACTTTGAGGGCATCCTGCAGAGGCCAGAGCCCTGTATCACAGAGCTAAACATACACACCTGGCCTAGGATTCCAGGGAAGGAAGGGCAGTTGCAGGCCCAACTATTGTTTCACAACAAGGTGAGTCAGCAGAGAGTGATAATGTGTTTAAGATACTAAATGACTGTTTCTTCCCTTTAGCCCTTCAAACCTCCTATAAGAATCTCTTTTGTGGCCCAGCCAAACCAGAAACATAGGAAATGGAGTTCAGCCTAACTAAATTGGCACATTATAAAGCCACTGTGGCTTATAGATATTCTGGGTGTGTGTTTTCTTCTCACGTGAGTTGGGCAAATAGGGATGCATGGTGTGAAGCAGATTCATTCTAAGGATGTCACCATCATTTTGTAATGGAAATTTTGTCTCCATTATTGTCTGGGAAACCTGCCTGTCACACTTTGGGCTGAAGCACGATTGTTTGGACCACATGGTGGCAACCAAGTTCCCAACAACCATCTAGGAGAGTATATGCTGATTTTGCCAGCAAAGTGCTAGTCCCTAGAGTTCTGGATCTGCACTGCAGCACATTTTAATTTATACCAAGGATAGGTTGCATGCTACTAGAATCTCTTCAAGAGAGACAAAGAGAGAGAGAGAGAGAAAAGGGATGGAAAGGGGAAAGGGGAGGGAGGGAGGGAGGAAGTAAGGAAAGAAGGGAGGGAGAGAGGAAGGGAGAGAAAAAAGAGAGAAAGAGAGAGAAAAAAAAGAGAGAAAAAAAAGAAAATGACTTATATATGATCCTGCCCAGATTTCTTCTAGTTACCCAAACAGGACTAGGATCTCAGGTTGCTCTACAGTAAGTTTCTTAATTTATTAGCACTCACCAAAGAATCTCTCCAGACTGAAGTATTTTAGAATATGATGTATGGTGGGTTCTAAGATGGGATAGTCTTCTTCAGCAATCAACTCTATGAGGAGATGACCTTGAAACTTGGATTGGGTGACTTAGAGACCCTCTAAAAAGGAACATAAGGGAGTGCATGTAGGCAAGCTGGCATCAGGACTCCTCTGTGACTGTCGCTCACAGGATGAAGAGCTGGTATTCTACCAGTTCTGCCACTGAGCAACTCTTTGATTTTGAAAACATTCCTGTGACCCTCGGGAATTCGGACTCAGGACTCCTTATATGAAGGCAATGTCTCTTCTAGTTTCTGCCCAGTGACACCATCAGAGGCTGAAAAGAGTGAAAAAAATTCTCAGAGGAAATCTGGGGAAAACTTCAAATCTATGATGGAGCTCTGGAGCTCAGGAGGGCATCCCTGCACTACAGTATTCTTGCACAGAGCAATGGGTCTGGGACATGCAGAGAAGGGCAAGTTATCCTCTCCATCCTCTCTTACTGAAGAAAGAAAAATATTGAGAACAAAATATTAAATATGATGAAAAAATTCCAAGACAATATGTTTAATATTTCAAACTTTAGAACAAAATTCAGTTTGGGGATTTGTAAGTAGAATTCAGTTATTTAGAAGATTTAGCTCCGCAGAATCCCTCATCCCTCAGGATCCCTAAATGTGAAGCCATGCAGTGAGTAAAGCAGAACAACTTTCTTTTGTCATCTCTTCTCCATGAGTCACCATTATTATTTTTAATACCAATTGCTGTCTTGTGCATTGAGACAGGCTCGTTGGTAGGGGCTGAGATAAGCCACCTGATGTCAGGACTGAGGAGACCCTGCCCACAAAGTGTGGCCCCTTCATTTTCCAGATGAGGTGCCAAGGCCACACAGGTGGAGTGCCTTGCCCAAGGCAGTCCGAGTAGGTCTATGGCTCCAGAGCCAGGCCAATGTCTGGGTGCCAGGCCAGTGTTCCTGCTGTTACCCTGGACTCAGTTGGTAGGGACCCTCAGCTCCTGTGTCACCAGAAACTCTTGTCACTTTGACAAGCTCAGGCATTCCAATACATTTGTTTCCCACCTCCAGAAGTGTCTAGGGGGCCACAAGTGACTCTACCTCAGGAAAGTACTCTACGGTCAGTCTTACATCCTCTGCACCAGAAAAAAAGGAGATGGAAGTCCTGCCTGCCAAGGAGTTAGGGACTTCCGCTTTGCCACCACTACTTTGGAGACTGATATGGTTTGGCTATGTGTCCCCACCCAAATCTCATGTCGAATTGTAGTCTCCACATGTTGAAAGAGGGGCCTGGTGGGAGGTGATTGGATCATGGAGGTGGTTTCCAATGGTTTAACACAATCCCTCTAGTGCTGTCTTGCAATGGCATTCTCAAGAGATCTGGTTGTTTAAAAGTATGTAGCACTTCCCACTTCGCTTGCTCTCTCTCCTACTGCCACATGAAAATGTGCTTGCTTCCCCTTCACCTTCTGCCATGATTGTAGGTTTTCTGAGGCCTCTCAGTCATGCTTCCTATTAAGCCTGCAGAACTGTGAGTCAATTAAACTTCTTTTCTTCATAATTTACCCAGTATCAGGTAACTCTTTATAGCAGTGCAAGAATGAACTAATACAGTCACATCATAAAATTAAGGTCTTTTTCTACTCCCAAACATTGTCCTGCTGAGAACACTCCCTGATGACTTCCTACTAAGTTTTTCATTTTAGGTGTTAGCTCCAGAAGACGGCTACTTCTACAGAAGAGGGTGTATAAGAAACAAACAAACATTGGGAATGATTAAAACAAAGTCAGTGTCTTTATTTATTTTATCCCCTATCCTTTCCTTTCTTTATTCCTGTGTGTGTGTGTGTGTGTGTGTGTTTGTGTGTGTGTGTGTGTGTGTGTGTGTGTGTGTGTGTTATCTATAAAACAAACCCTCCCAAGGAGGAGCTCACAGACTCAGATCTATGACTCTAACAAGATGGCTACCAAAAACAGTTGTCCAGGTAACGTGTGGCAGAGGACAAGGAGAATCAGTATGTACTCTAATACCAGGCTGTGGTATTTCAGGTAAAATGAGCCGGGAAGAAAGGAGAGAGGAGCAGCAGGATGGTCTGTGGCCGCTACTGTGCTCAGGCTTACTGAGGGCAATATCTCATCTCATCATCATGGGGACTCTCAAGGGTGTGCTATTGCTATATGATCCCCATTTTACAGATAAGAAAGCTGAGGCCCTGTGCCTACAGCAATCTGCCCAAGGTCACAGTGCATATAGACACAGTAAAACAGGGCACAAACTCGAGTGGTTGGACCTTGGCTCCTTATCAGCATGCTGCCCAGTATCCAGGCTGAGAGTCCGGGTGGAGCACCGTGTAGGAGGGCAGGGACAAGAGCAGCTAGGGTCAGATTTCCAGGGCTCTCAAGAAAGCTCAGCCCTCTTCACACTGGCTTCTTTGTCTGAGCCTGATCCACCCCCTCTGTGTATGGCCTGGCCCCATCCGGGCTGTCAACACTGGGAGCAGATGCTCACTTAATCCTTGGGATCAGCTCCAGATCCTGGAGAATAATCAGCAGTCCGCCAAGGTGCAATGCAGGTGGTACCTCGTGTGCACACACTTTCAGATCCAGTTTCCTAAATGTTACGCTGATACCCAGTTTTATCCCTAAATTCTCCTCCATAATACATAAAAGAAACAGAAAGCTGAGACAAGCCTGCCAAAAGTTCAGGCTATCACACCTGACAAAGGAGATGTTGTCTTGTTATTTGGAAAATGCTTTGAAACCTATAAATGAATGACTGAGTATGTCTGTGTCTATGTTTCTATGTGTATCTGTGTATGTGAGAGAGAGACAGACACAAACAGAGAGAGACAGAGAAGAACAGAGAGAGACGAAAAAAGGGAAGATAAAATACACTCCAAATTTGATAGCACTGTATATTTAAAATACAATAACACAACTTTTGATGTATGGAATATATTATACCTGTGAATGTAGAAAGAAATACCAGTCCTTCTGATGAACTAAATATGTAATTGAGGGACAGATCTACTGACCAATAGATGCCAGGGTTCCTTAATGAGCTATGACCCAGGATGAAGGAACTGCACATTTTACCTTCACTCCTCATCTCCAAGATGGGTTGAGCAGCGTCTACCCTTCTGCCTTCTAGGCTTAAGGTGAAGGGATATATGTGTAAGTATTTTAGAAGGTAGAAAATGCCATGTAAATGAAAGGGATAATTATCAATAATCACCATCAACATCATAATTTGATCCTGAGTATAACAGGATGGTCAGGGAGAAACAGACTCCAATATAATTATCTGGCAGATACCGTCAAAAGCAAATTTCAGCCATATTTCCCACCTACCACATTTCCTACTTCGGTGCTTTCTGTTCTGAATCCCAGAGATTGATCAGGGAGCACTGCTGCTTTGTTACCGTAAGGCTATTACTGGCATAAAATCCACAAATTAAAAAGGCCTTTTTTCCCCCTATATTTGTTGAACTACCTCTAGGCTGAAAAAGCTTGCATGGATGTGAAAAGTCTTATTTGCCTTATTTTTCATAGAACATGTATGCCTTCCCAGGTACAGAGCCTTAGTAAATCTCATCCCTTCCTTCCCTGAGGACTTACTCCCCTTTGGGGAGCTCTTAGTAACCCCCAGCCCCTCTCAGTAAAGCACACTTGTTTGGGAAATTAACCTGAGCTAACCAAATGGAAAAGCCACCAAAATTAAGCAAACTTACTTTTAGACTCCCTTAGGGGGCCACATGCCCACCCTGGCTAAAGTGCACTAGTTAGCTAATTGTTGGCTCCTTCTAGGAATTGGTCTCAAGCCTCCTTCTCCAGTTGAGTTCCTTGTCTGGAGTTCCTTCTCTGTTTACTTCTTCTCCCAACCTTTTCACCCACAAACATAGTTTGGATACCTGTCACCACCCAAATCTCATATTGGAATGTAATCCCCAATATTGGAGAAAAGGCCTCATGGGAGGTGATTGGATCATGAGGCTGGTTTCTCAGGAATAGTTTATCACCATCCCCCTTGGTACTGTCCTTGCTGATAAGTGAGTGAGTTCTCCCAAGATGTGGTCATTTAAAAGTGTGTAGCACCCCGCCCCCTTGCTGTCTTGCTCCTGCTCCTGCCATGTGACTGCCTGTTCCCCCTTCCCCTTTCACCATGATTGTAAGTTTCCTGAGGCCTCCCCAGAAGCTGAGCAGATGCCGGCATTATGCTTCCTGCACAGCCTGCAGAACCATGAGCCAATTAAACCTCTTTTCTTTATCAATTACCCAGTCTCACATATTTATTTATAACAATGTGAAAACAGCCTAATGCACCCATCTCAAATCCCTTTACCCCCTCCCCATCCTGCAACTTTCTCTTCTTTCTCCTACTTTTCTGAAGGCTGGCACAGAAAGTCACAAATGAGGTTCTGGCTTTTTTTCCTTCTCTTGTCTCCCCCTTTATCTTTGCTACTTCCTTGGATTTACTTTCTCTGATGGTTTTGTAGGTCCTCTGATTTTTGTAATCTAATGTGATTGCTATTTTAAAAATAAAATAAGAAGCCTGTGCATCATTCTTCTTCTTTTCCCTTTTCCTAATTGAATTATTGCACCCTGCTCAGTTACTCTGGGTACTGGAGGGGAATGGACAGAAGCTGAGAACAAAATCCCTGTTTCCAGACATTATGGCTGAGGTAAGGGAAAGGGGATACATAATGACCTAGTCACTATGCTCACTTCTCGGTTGGTTCTTCTCCCTGTTGTATATTCCTGGGTCGCTTTCTACTGCCTCCACTCTCACAGGCCTGATACAGGGTCCGGTCATCTCCAAGACTGCAGAACACCCTAGAGGAAAATATACTGTTAAAGGAGCACCTATCCCAGGCCTGTGGGATTGTGGGAAGCTTTTGATTTATTCTACATCACTTTTCTTTATTTTCCAAATGTTCTATCTGGAACCAGTGTTGGTTTTAAAGAAAAAATACAATAAAGTACATATTTTTAACTTACCCTTGACAAACATCTCTGCTATTTACTGTATCTTTTCTCTCCTTCCCTTCATATCCAGCTGATCTCCACAGAAGATTCCACTAGGACAGTGGTCTATACTTCCTCACACTGTTAATTCCTTTGAAAGTAATGTTTTCACATCGAATAAACCCTCTTTGACCATTACTTAATGCTTTTTGCTTTAATTATGCATAGACCGATATTAATATTTACAGAACTGATTTCCTTTCTTTGTGTTTTTCTGTTTTATCTTTATCCAACTTTTTCATTTCTAACTTTTCTTTCTTGGTCATCTTGTATAGGTGATTCTTTCTCTTATATTTATTACTACTGCAATAGGAAAGTTATCACTTTTAATATTGAATATTACAGCATGTATAATTATGGGAGGAACATATATCTTGCCCTATTTATTTCATCCTGTAAGCTGTCTATTTTTTCAACATTCTTGCTATAACTTTTGTTTTCTATCTTTAACTCTATTGATACAATCTATCTGCTTATTGTTTCTGTAGTTATTTGTAAATGAAAATCATGGTTTTTTCTAATAGTTCACTAAATGTACATTTAAATTTCTCTCTAATTATCAAAGTTGATATCAAATCAATATATTTTGAGCTGATTCTCACTACTCTCACATTCGTTCCCCTTCTTTTTTCAAGAATTATTTCCTGGCTTTTGCAACTTGAGCTCCTGTGCATTCTCATTTCTAATATTTCCTTATTTCCGTTTGCTCCTCAGTTCCCAATGTCCCCTGCTCCTATTGTGTGGATGGCAGGTTCTTTCGTGTCTAAAACAGGACATGTTTACTTACATCAGAATAAGCAGCAAACTGGAAGAATTTGTGGTTTACTCGGGAAGACAGAAAGCATTTTGAGAGGGCATGGACTACAGTTAGGTGTGGTGGTGGTAGAGAAATAGCTTCTGCCCACAATCTGATTGCAGGGCAGATCCTGGTCACCTCTGCAGAACTGAAGGAACAGAGATAAATGTAGCTTCTCAAGAAGATGTTTTTGAGGCTCTGCGTCAATCTCTGCTGCTTTGAAACCAGTGTGGCCCTGAACTGGGAAGAAACCTTCCTTCCTCTGAGTGTGGCCCTTTTCAGGTCTGTGTCTCTGAAGCCTAAAGCACAAGGATTTCCAGACACTGTTGCCTGACTCTGTGTCCCCACAATGGGTGAGGCAGTAGGTGTGGACATACCAATGGACATCAGAGCAGAGCAGCCAAAGGGGGCAGGAGCCATGAGGTGATCCTGAGGTGAGCAACAGCTCTGCTTGCCCGTGAGTTACTCTCCTGGGACTCTCAGAAATAATCAGTGACCTTTGCACGGCAGTCTGAGGTTCTACTATATACACAGAAGGGGATCAACAGCAAGTTCTGGACTGCAAATTTCTTGACTAAATTGTCTGTATTTTTCTAAGTTATTTATCTTTTTCATGTTTAAAATAATATTTATAGCTATGCCACGTCTTAAAATATTCAAAGCACTATTTGTTATAAAATTACAGGCTTTAAACCTGCACACACACACACACACACACACACACACACACACACACACACACTTGGCATCTGGTAGTTCCCATTGCCTCCATGTTGCTCTGCACACTTTGGCCTCTGCCTTTCTGTAGGTCTTTTTCTGGCCCACATGGGCTCTGGCTTGCAGTTCCTGTTTCCACTGCAGTCATTACCCCTCTTGTTCTTATTTGTGACACTGCTTCCAGCCAGAGGGACTCCTCCACAGTTACATGGTAACACCGTGGAGCCATCTCTTCCACAAAACCTATCTAGTCCATTTTCCCACCCCATTCCTGAGCAAAATGGAGCTGCTCCTTCTTGTACCCTTCCTCTGCCCTAAGCAGACCTCCATGACAGCATTACAGTGGTTTACATCTTTGTATTTTTCCTATGGAATATTAGACCTTTGAGAACAGAAGCCTGTGTTTTTCTTGTTTGCACGCCCAGAACTAAGACAGGTGTAGTGGAAGAGGCAGTGAATCCATGTTTATGGCACAAAGAGTGAAATGAATGAATGAATAAGACAGATGGATGCTGAGAGAGCACTTGCAAACTAACTGCAAAGGGAAATGGCAGGCCCAGCTGAGGCTCTCAGTTTACTGGCAGTAGGGAGCCACTGAGAGCTCCTGACAGAAAATGTTCTGAGTGTGCTGGATAAAGCACCAATAAAGGGCAATCTCCTGGGCCCCTGTGTACTCTGACCTCAAGTGCACTTGATGCATGGAAATGGCACCCTGCAAAACAAGCATGTGGCAACATCCCTTCTCTGCAGTCTCCAGGGAAATTATGCCAGTTAGGGAGATAGAAACAAAGTGGAAATCATAGACTCATGTACCATGGGGGCCTTTTTTCCTATAATCATAGAGGTCATGATCTCAGGAGTTGTGTCTAACTGAATAGGAAATTCAAAATATAATACTGGAACCAGGAAAATAATTTAAAACCCCTCCACTTTTTCCTATAATTACCAATAACCCACTATTAGACTTCAAGGACAAAAATAACTCTTAAAGCCCCAGAGAGAGGAGCCAAACTAGTCTTTTTCACCCTGGAAGCATTTGGGAAAGATGATTTCTTTGGGGCTCAAGGATCTGTAATTGTCAGCATCCTCAAGCCATGGAAGCAGGGGGTCTCCACTCTATAATTATGCCTTGCCTAGAACATATCCTGACACCTTTGGGGCTGTCAGTCTGGCAGTATTTGCCCAAGGAGAAGGGAATGGGAAGGAGAGGAAGGCAGGGGTAGTCTGGCAAAGCAGAGGTTGGCCTGCGGACCAAACAAGAAGCTCATGGTAAACAACAGTGGCTGGAGAACAGTGGAAAAGAAAAGCAGAAGTACAGGCTCATCAAGGGGAAGTCCAACCTGTCCCTACTTAAGGGACTGAAAGAGCCACTGTATGTTTGCAAACGGTTCAGGCCTGACTCTCAACTGCTGCTGGGGAAGAGTGGTTATGGGAGCTGCTGACCTCTCCACCACCGACAAACCACTTCTTGTACTTCTCACACATGAAATTGCTGAGTGAGAAAGAAATCCTTCCTTTCACATGATGTGCAACGTCTTTCCCCAGGATAACATGGACAAATTCTGTTCAGTAGAGAT
This sequence comes from Homo sapiens, assembly GCF_000001405.40. Taxonomy (NCBI): domain Eukaryota; kingdom Metazoa; phylum Chordata; class Mammalia; order Primates; family Hominidae; genus Homo; species Homo sapiens. The sequence continues at coordinate 37,956,861 of NC_000018.10, read as the reverse complement.
GTGCTAATTGTGAAAGTAAGGACCACGTTGTGTCAGAGCCATTGAGATTGAGGAGACAGGGAGATGGGCAGTAAGCAGCAAGGGACCACACAGCCGGTGGGGACAGCAGTGGTTCAGGAACAAGGGCACATGAGGGCTTTATTCTGGAATAAGCACTATGACTTGGGTGGCAGCAGACATGTCCTCAATATCTGTGATGCTCCAGTTCCCCCTGTCACAGGCTTTGTAGCTCACTTGCCAGAACAGTTAAGGGTATATGAAATCAGAAGGCCCTGCTTGGACTGTGGAAGCACAACTCAGGCTTTCTGTGAGATATGACTTCTAAGAAGAAGAGAAGACAAAACTTACACTGAGCCAGCTACTAGTGTGATTGGGGAAACAGGATTCTTAGCATGAGGCAACGAATGAAGGAGGCAGAGCCTTGGCCTTTGAGGAGCCCAGACTCTGAAATAGAGAAGGTCAGAAAGAGATTTCTTATGGAAGCAAGGTCGAGGTGTTCAACCTAGATCAGGAGGTTTCCTGACTACCTGCAGACTCTGGCCTGCACTGTCTCTGCCTCATTTTGTATTCCTGCCACAAAGGAGTGGCTGGAGGTGAGAAGACCTGGAGAGAGGTGGCCCCCAGCCAGGGCATCCGAGAGCTGGATCCCTGCTCAGAATACCCAAACCCACTGGGAAGGCTCAAGCAGCAGCAATGAGCACTGCCATCAGTAGTATGCTTCCCTTTCATTCATGCACTGAGTGCATGAAAAGAAAACACTTGGCTACAGCTTGTTGAATCTGGAGAATACTGTTCTGTGAGGTCCAATTTGCAGAAGACTCTACTTGCTGATATCATCCTTCAGCATCTGAGGCTAGATCCCAGCTGCTGCACTTTAATCAGACAGAATGACACCAGCATAGCCTCTCTCTCCTCATCCTATACCCTCTCTTGGCTCACAGGAGGTAGGAGAAGGACAGCCAAGGCAGGAGACCCAGGATCTAAGAGCCAATTCAAATCCTTTTCTTTCAGGAGAGCAAATATAATGAGGCTCTGAGCTGTGAGTAGGTAGAGGGGAAGAAGAAGGGAAAACACACTGGAGCTCCTAGGTCACTGCCAGGAATAAGATGGGGATAGAAGTGAGGCCCCCTGGTTGGACTCGGACTGTCACTCAAACATGGGGAACCACAGAATGACCTTGGACTCAGGAAGAATTTCCCTTCTCCATATGTCTTCTTGCTCTATGTACAGCCAAGCTCCCTATTTCAGACGTGATTAGGAAGACTACATTCACCCTTTATTCATATCATCACAAATTTACAGTGGTGCACATTGGGGTTATAGATGTGAATAAGTGGGGGTAAGCAACCAAGAATGGTTACCCAGTTTGTTTGCAACCTACACAGCCTTCCATACTAGTTCAGCAGGGAGGTATCCGGCAGAAAGTCCTGATGCATGCTGTAGGGAATGTCTGAACAGAGAACTGCAGGGATCTTTCTGCCTGAATGACTCAGGGAGCATTTCCAAAAGGCGGTGAAATTTGAGGGAGTAGAAATTCTCCAGGTCATGAAGTGGAAACATACAAATGCAAGGAGCCATGAAAAAGCCCTAAGTGATTGTGCAAAAGGAAAAGTTTGATGGGGCTCCAGCATGGAATGGTGGGGATGGAAGGGGGGTTGGCAAAGGAGTGGCACTGGTGTCATTGGAAGGTAAGAAGCCACATCTAAGTGTAAAGGGGAAGAGCCCAAGGGCAGAGAAAAATAAGCACGCGGTTTCTTATGTCAGTGATATAAACAGATTATTAAGTCAACAGCATCCATTTACCATCTACCATTTGCTAGATACTACACAGGGTGTGGGACCATGGAGACAAATAAGATTTGATCCTCATCCACGAGGAACTCACTATCCAGTAAAGGAGGTATGGAAAGAATCGTATAATCCAGTATAATGTTGTACAGGAGCAAACTAACTAGGAAACTTAAGGGCCCCTCCCTCAATTTTATATTCATTTATAATTGTTTTTTATTTTAAAGAGGGTCCTCCAATTACATAAGCTTCAGACTCTACAAAATCTAGATCCATCCATTATTGCTGAGTTACGTGATAACAATGTCACACAAAGAATGTGCATGTAACTCGATTTAGGCTGAGAAAGGGTCAAAGAAGCTGTTACAATGAGTCATCACCTGGCTTAATTAAGCAAGGCTAGATCATTAATTAAGAAAAAGCTCAAAAGATAATGGAAGGAAGAGTAAAAGGAATCTTTTGAACTCAGAGAAGAGGCAAAAAACAATGAGGTCCAAGACCAGTGGTTTTTAAAGGTGAGGAGTAGGGTCTTCAGATCAGAAACATCAACATCTTCTGCAAACTTTGAAATGCAAGTTATTTGGGCCACTCAGATGTATTGAATTGGAAGCTCTGAGAGTGAGCCTAGGAATACTGTGGTTTAACAAGCCTTCCAGGTGCTTCTAGATACCAGTCAAAGTGAGAGAACCACTGCCTTACACTAAGGGGTGGGAAATAAGGATGGCTTCCCTAAGAACTCTTCTTAAACTGCAGTCTAGTTCAGATGAGAAAGGAATTCTGTCACCAAGAAAAAGTGATTTCACATGGTAAAGAAGAAAGGGAGGAATCTACACTCAGCATTGTGGTAGATTTTGCAGGGGGGGAAACCCATTAGTATATTCTGTCAAGACCAAACTTTTCACTGTTTGATCACACCTCATTTGCATTTTTAATAGCCCCATTAGACAGCCTCTGAGCTAATTAGGCAGGCGTCTATAATAGAAGACTTCTGTTTCCTGTTTTCAGAACTCAGAAACTAATGGCTGAAGCACTGCTAAAACAATTAAGTAATAAGAAAAAGACTGTGTAAGATTGGCAAAAGCACAGCTGCCATAAATCATTACAAATGACTCGCAGCTCCAAATGTTTAATTAGGGAAGAAAAGTAACCTATCACATGTTGGGATGGGAGGGGCAAGCTGAGGGAGAGGGACCCTGGAGCAGAGAGTTCCTTGCCCTCTGCCAAGTGGGGATGAAGAGGGGGCTCGAGAATCCAGGAATTCTAGAATTGATAACAAAACCCCAGGCCTTAGGAGTTATGCAGAGGCAGCTTTTACTATATCTAACTAGCAGAAAACGAAAACTACAGCAACCCGATAAAATCAGGACTACTGAAGACTCAGACTTACAGAACTGTAACGTGGGTTAGCCAACAGGAAAAGAACCCCAGTAAACTGAGATCCTGGCTGAGGGCAAAGAAAATATGTAATGAATAGGTAGTAAAATAAGGAAGTTGTAAATATCAACTACAGATTCATGATTACTTTTGGAATTGAGAACAGAATTTCTTTTCTGTTTCTTATGCACATATTTGTACATGTTAATTAGTTTCCTACTCCCTCTTTCCCCTATGTTTTTGTATCAGGAGGGTGGGTGATGGTTAGTCCTGCAATTTAGTCTTCAGGTTATATCCAGATGGAATTGTAACTGAAAGCTTAATATTACCCAAAGATAGATAAGTGATTGATAGGACTTCATATCTCTACTTTTTAGGAAAGGGCAGGCCAATCTTCATTAGTGTGAGATTCATTTGCTGTCTCCTAGGTGGAAGAAAGATGGTCTTAATATCATTATATGAAAACTTAACTATAAGCAGAAGAGGATGGGTGTGGATGCTGAGAAATCAAAGGGGTGGACTGTGCCAGTGAGTATCTCTTGCTCCTATCTGCACATTTGCTCTCATATTTCTCTTCTCTATTTTCATGACAGAGGCTCTGCAAATTATATTTCCAACTTTGTTTTCCTTTCCTTTATGAAATACCTGGAATAGTTTCTGTTTTTCCTGACAGGGCATTGAATGAAACATAGGACTTGATTGATTTGAATGTAATCTATATGCAGATCTATTTTGTTTGCTAGTGTCACGGTAAATAGGCTCACCTACATTCAAAATGCTGTTCATTTGTATTGTTTAAGGATGAACTCCTGTAATTCATATTGAGTAACGTATAAGTTTAATATAATTTCAAGACAAATTACACACAATTTAAAAAAAAAATTATTTTGGTTGTTCCAGAATAAACTTCAATTTGAATTTATTCTTTCATGAATTACATTTACTATTTGTAGACCATAGACCATGCATTCTGCACTGCACTAGGCACTGTGAGGGAAATAAGGAAGGATAGCATTTTTCTAGGTCTTCATTAAAAGAGATGTTACAAGGCAATAATTGAATGAAAAGAATAAAAACATGATTAATATACATTTAGGGAGTTATATGTTCATAGGAAAGAAAAGTAACATAACAGCATATTAAAGTAAAAATTCAGCTGAATCTTGAAGGAGCATTTAGAAAACAGAAAGAGAAAAGAAGTTAGTCTACACCAAGTTAACATTTCAAAATGTATTCTCAGTTTTACTCACTTTACCCATTCTTCTATCCTCTCATGGTCACTTAACACAGGGGTAAAAAAGTATGGTCTTTGGGTCAGGTCTGAACCACTGTCTGTTTTTGTTCATTCATGAGCTGTGAGTAGTCTTAACTATTTGGGGAAAAAATTAAAAGAAGAATAATATTTTATGATAAATGGAAATTACCAAATTTTAGTGTTTATAAATACAATTTTATTGAAACACAGCCATACCTATTTGTTTACATATTGTGTATGGCTGCTTTTGCCCTACAAAGGAAGAGTTGAATACTTGCAACAGAAACTGTATGGCCTGCAAAGCCTAAAATATTTATTATCTGGCTCTTTACAGAAAAAGTTGGCTGACTCCTGACAATACATTATCTTGCAATTCAATTTCACCATCTCAGTTCAAAGCTCAAAACATAGAAGGCATTTCCAGAAGCTTTGTGCTTGACATCCAGTGTGGCTCCTCACCTGTTAGTGCTCATCTCTGTCTTGTCGTTCACTTGTCTCTTCCTCCCCATTTTTTCCCACGTCAGGGTTCTTACCTTGCATTCAAATAGCTGGCTCACAGACCCCTGTGCACCAGATCCCCTGTTCTCACTGAAAATCTCTTCTCTCTGCTTTTTTATTTTGCTTTGTTTTGAGAGGGTGATAAAATATTGAGTAGATAGGAAAGAATAGACATGAAATGTCTCTCAGTTATAAACAATAACAATAAAATGAACATGTATCTTCTGATTAGTTCAAGAGACAAAACAAACATATCCTCTCTCTACCTCAAGAGACAAAACTCTATCATTATTTCCATAGCTCCCAGGACACCTGTGACTCCTTTTATATCTTTCATTCTCAAGTCTCACTTCCTTAAGAAAACCCTCCTAGGTAGCTCCTGCCAACACTGATGGTGCATGTAGCTTACCATCAGCACCACATACTTTAGTGATAGTTTGGAAATTCAAAAGTTAAAAATTAGGCTTAGAAGCTCAATGCATAATTTTAAGTATATTCAAACCCTCCCACAAAATATATGCAATTTCATATATAACTCTTTGCCTGTAATATTCTGTATCCCAAATACATTCATCCATATTTTGGGCTCTTTTTCAACCAAGAGAGTAGACAGTTTCAATATGCCAGCTATGATTTTTATTTTCCACTTTTCCTGAATCCTTTTAGACATTTGGAAGATGGGTGCTCCTGCTTTTCTCATGCTACCATCTAATGGTGATTAAAATCTATGAAAGCATGTGAAAAAGGAACTGGGTCAACTTCACAATTTTATGTAAGTCCAAAGATGACTCTTTATTAAACTATCCAGGTTAGTGAAATAAGAATCTAAACACTCCCTGTATCTTCCCTGCCCAAAGTGATAAATTTCAACCTCTTATACATGTAATAGTGCTTAAGCTCACAGAAACTAGTGCAGAGAAAAAAGTTCTGGGCTAACGGATAGTGGTATTGAGGTCTAATTCTAATTCATTGTGAAGTCTCTCTGAGATCCTTGGGAAAAAAAATTACTACTGTCTTGTCCTCAGTTTCTTCATCTGTAATTTCTGAGGTACCTTCTCTCTAACATTCTCTGCATTCATGGGTCATGGCAATCATCAACTGATAACAAGTCCAAAGCTCCCCTCTCTATACTCCTCCCTTCTTCTAAACTTCTCTCACAAACACAGCCTTCTACTCTGACAGCTGAATATTACTAGCCAAGAAATTGATTTCCAACATTCCATCAGCTACAGAATTTAGGCTTGGAAATCTATGTCCTCACCATGACCCAGCTGCTCATATGAAGCCTAGCCATTAAGAAATGCTCCAAAAAATATAAAAATAAAAAAAAGAGTAAAACTGCTCCTGTGAACCACCATGCCAACAACTTCAGCTGTAACGACCATCAGGAGGAGAGTGAGATTGGTTTTGTTATTGCCAAAAGGGAATTGGCACCAAAATTGCCAACCTCAGTTGTTCATGGAGCACAAGAGCCTGTTCGGAGGAACCGCCTGCCTCCCAACACAGCTTCAACACATTGTTTTGATAGGCAGCAGGCCTCCGTAATTATCCCATTCTTTTGGCCAGACCTTTTCTTCCTTTCCTCTTGGGTAGGTGCTTGTGGCTACTTACAAGCCAATCATATCACAGTTCTGCCTACATATGCCTCACTCTCAATTCAGTACCTTTCCTTAAGAATAATGTGAAAAATTAGGTATAGACTGCCTCCTTATACACTTCTCTCACTGCTAAAAACTTAAATCTGATCCTTCCTTGAAAACGTTGCTCGATCAAAACTTTAGCTATTTCATTCTCCATTTTCTGAAATGTAGCCTAAGATATTGTTTCCTCGGTGTTGTCAGGATAAAATCACTCTCTCTCTCTCCTTCTTCCTTCCTTCCTCCCCTCCTTATAATAAAATCACTCTTTTTTCTTTCCATTCCTCTTCTGTTCATCCTTCTCTACTTCCTCACTTTCCTTTTACTTGCTTGCTTTCTCTCTCTTTCCTTTCTTTTCTCAGTTTCTCTCTTTCTCCAAATGCTAGCCCTGTCCCCCCACCAAATACCCTGAAATCTAATGTGGGATAATGCATACCTGGGAGTATACGTTTTCCAAAAGCTCTCCTAGTGATTCCAAGGATGAAGGTAAGGTGAGAAACACTGATCTAGAACATGCCTGAGAGCCTAGGAAGACACTAAAATAGCCTCATTACCCAAAACAAATATCTAAATGTTCAGTTATTACATGCCTTCTCATGGAAATTTGTGTCTTTTCTTACTTAGAGTTTACCATACTTTAGGTACATTATAAAAAGTCATTTCCCAATTTTCCATAATAAATTTACCATAAATGAAAAGCATGTGCAAGATTTAACTAAGAACAGACATGCCAATCACACAAAGAAGTGACAATGATGACTCCCTACAAAAGGGATGCGAAGGGAAAATAAGAGTGTTAAGGAGACACTTGTGTCCTCCCCAGGCCTCTTCCAGCTCTTTTCTTGTCCTGCCAACAAGGGAGACTTTGAAGTTCGTTTTTGGTTATTTTGGTTATTTTTTTTATTATTTTTTATTTTCTACTTTCTAGTTCTTGTCATTTGGGTGGGTAATAAGCATCTGTCTCTTATTTCAACTTACTTCCTCTATGAAGCTTTATTAGGTTGGTGCAAAAACCTGCAATTACTTTTGCACCATCCTAATAAATGCAGGCCAAAGAGAAAGGTAGAAGATCTGACTTAGGCCACAAGCCTGAGTTTCAGGCCCCAAAGACCTCTGTCAGAGTTGTCCGTAGAGCTGTTAAAACCTAGAACTCTGAGAGCCACTGTTCTTTGTCTTCACATTTAGTAATTTTAGTCACCACAGTGGAGGAAGAAGGGTACATAGAGGTGATTTGCTAAGACAGATTTCTGGTTCTTATGCCCTCAATGCCATTAAATCACTACCATGGCAGTGTCCAAATATGGCTGCCAGAAATCCTTCGTTCCCTGTAAAGCATGCCACTTCTCATATCAAAAAGTGGGGACTACTCTCCTTCTCCTTAAATTTGTAGTGACCTTGGGAATTGCTTTGACCAATAGAACGTGACAGAAATGTTATGCTAGCATTCTTGAGCCCAGAGGACTTCTGAGGATGGCCAGCCTCTGCTCCCTCACTCTTAAAGCCTAGCCAGCACTCTATAAGAAATTGTAGAAAGAGAGGCCCTGGAAGGTGATAGGCCATCCCAGACACCCCAACCACAGTCAAGCTCTCAGCTGAAAGCAACTGCATGAATGAGCCCAGCTGGCGCCACATGGTGCTAACGATCTCCCCAGTTGAACTCTGCCTGAACTCCTGACTTACAAAATTGGGAGAAATAACAAACTGTCTTTAAGCCACTAAGTTTGGGGGTAGTTCATTATGTCACAATGGATAATCAAAACACTGTCCCTTGCTCTGAACTAAAACCTCATGGAGCATAGCAATTTAGATCTTGCTTGCGGCAGGAAAAACAGTGAGAAACTGTGTGTTACAGCAGAGTGTACTGATATTAATAACAATGATCTTAAGCCATTGTGATGGCTTAAATGCTGCTTAAGGAAATAGGAATACCCTGCCTAAGCCTGTATGATATATTTTAGACATAATCCATTTGAATTTGTTAAAATTTGAATATTAGAATAGCAAATTTAAGAATAAGTATCAGGAATCTGGAACATTGGCTTATGTAGGCAGCTTCATCCCTGAGGAAGTTAGACAAATGATTTGTTGTCATACAGAGGAATTACCCTTGCCTTGAGATCAAAGAGAAAGCAGATGAGTACAGGGCTTGCAGAGAGAAGACCAAACTTACTGTGAAAGGCATCTCAGGACGAAGGGTTGGAAGGATAAATTTTGAGCCCTAGAGAAACTTCCCTAACAGCCTACTACCTGTCCTGACCTTGCCACTGAACAATGTGCTTTGCACAGAAAACTCAAAGAGGAGGTCTGAATGCTAGCCATACCATCACCATTTATTTACTATTGGATTTTGACTAAATTATCTAACCTCTCCTGAACCTTAAAGAACATATCTGAATCCCACTGATTCTCCTCTCAGATAAACACTAGAGATGTGTGTTTAGGTGAAGAAATCCATATTCCTAGTTGGGAACTAGGACTCCAGGAGAGAAGAGGTTTATCATTGCTTGACTAGAGGAGCCTCCTGGGGTATTAGCTCTCTAGGCTTGCACTAACAAAGGGATACAAACTAAGTAGCTGAAACCACAGAAGCTATTGTCTCACAGTCTGGAGGCCAGAAGGCTGAGATCAAGGTGTTGGAGGGGTGTTTCCTCCTGAGGACTGTGAGAAATAATCTGTTTCGGGCCTCTCCCCTAACTTCTGGCAGCTTGCTGGCCGTCTTTGGCACTCCTTGGTTTATAGATTCATTATCCTGATCTCTGCCTTTATCTCACATGGCATTCTCCCCATGTGCATGTCTTTGTGGTTGATGTTTCCTTATTTATAAGGACACCAGTCATATTGGTTTAGAGCCCACCCTAAGGACTTCACCTTAATTTGATTACCTCTGTAAAGACCCTCTCTCCAAACAAGCTCACATTCTGAGAAACAGGGAGTCAGGACTTCAACACATCATCTTTGGGGAACACAATTCAAGCCATGACACCTGAGTCAGTTAGGACATGCAATTTCAACCTGTAGAACCTTAGAGTCTGAGCATCCATGGAAATAGCAAACCCCATCGATGCCTATCCTGATGTCTCACAGAGGCTGCTTCAGACTCTTCATTCCATCTTGGCCTGAAACTTCCAGAGAAAGAGTCCCATTACTTGTCCTGACAGCCCTTACCATCCTGGACCCCTGCTGGGCCTCCCCCATCTGCTGCCTCAAAATCCAGTACCACCCTCATCACTCAGTCACTCACCCTTGTCCCCCACTCACTCCACAAGCATCCCCTAAGGGCTGACCCCCCTGCTTCACTGCCAAATCCTGGTCCTCTCCAGGGTTTATTCTACCAAAGAGACCCAGACATTGAATTTAAGGAGCTCATTTGAGGTTGTTTTTGTTTTTGTTTTCTGGGTTTTTTGTCGCAATTTTTTTTTTTTTTTAGTTTTTCCTTTCCAAAAGAAAAGACACAATATCTGAATGACAAATGTGTCTATCCCCTTGCTTAGTTATTTCAAAGGGAAAAAAAAATCCTCACAGCAGGAAGGAATAAGCACTTAACAATTGAGTGGCTGTCTTGGTGCACATGCCTCCCTCCTAGTTAATTCTTCTATACTAACAAGTGCTTTGGGCACCATAAATTATATACCTGTTTTGACTAAAAGGAGTTGCATGACGAGTGGAGGGGCTTATCAAAATCGAGTCCACGTTGCAGGTGCTGTCAGTATGACAGACAGAAAGGCACAGCTTAATCCCGATGACTTCCCAGTGAAATATAGACAGAGGCTTAACCTGATCCCTGAAGGAATGACAAGGAAAATAAGGTGAAAGACCAATTAGCCTCTTCCCATATAATCTGAAACTTACTGGCTGGCTATTTTTACTCCTTCTACTCCCTGACTCACCAGGTAGCAGCCAGGAGGTGACAGAAGCCAATGCTTTCTCTTCAGAGCCATCTGATAATTTTTGGTGGAAAAGCTACCTGACTTTTACTGGACTAAAAAGTGCATCATATCGACCTGACCCACAGCCTTCTTTTTCTTTTACAGAGTTGAGAAAGACAACCCATGTGCACCTGTTTTTCTAAGTGGGAGGAAGAAGGGATGTGGAGAGAAGTGGCAATTCTCTCAAATGTTATCCATCAGTTGCTGGGTGCCTGCTTTGTGTTCACCCCTTGCTAGGCATTGTAGAAGAGACAAGAAAAGAAAAGTCATATTCTATGGCCTCTCAAAATCTAGTGGAGAGGAGTAAATAGATAAAACTCTGCTGTAGAAAGAGAAAGTCTTAATGATGCTGCTGGTTTTCATGTGTGATGAAATTGCCTCTTCCTTTTTAGCAGGTCAAGTATCACCTTTGGGGTTTTTATCCAGCTCTGGGGATGGGTGTGCACTGGATACTTATCTTTCTGGAGTCTTTCATTTGGCATCCTTTGTGGCCAATGGGATATAGTTGAAAGGAAACTAAGCAGGGTTTACAGCAGCATGTGTGGTGATACTTAGGGCTGAGAGCAGGAATACACAACCATCTGGCTTGAACCACACAGTTAGGTGTGGTGAGATGATGTACCCACAATGGGAAGTTGACCAAAGGTCAATGTGACAGAAGCTGGAAGAAGACCATGAAGGGTAAGGGAGTCAGTTAGTAATTCTAGAAGAAAGTTTACTCCATTTTCCTGGTGGTGATGTTTACAGTGCTCAAATGCACTACCCTGGCCACTGTAGCCATGTCTCCTCACTGAATTTCCCATATAACCTGTCCTGAGAGAGTTGATAAAGCCATCAAAGGTGTTTCACTTCTAGGACACAGATCAGTCACTGAAGGACCACGGCATCCAAGCAACAAGTTAATTCCCAAGAAATGGAGCAAGTACATTTAGGAGGCAAAACCCATGTTAATCACTTTGCCTGTTGTTTCTCCTCTATTACCTTTGCCCACATATGCCATGTTCCTGCCAATCAACTTCAATTAAATTTATCATAACAAAGATTGATAATAATTATCATTAGTATAAAAAACTTCTTTCTCTTCTCATAGTGCTTTTTCTTTCTAAACTATTTTCACACACATTAGTTAATTCAATCTTTATCATCTGCTGTGTGCCCAGCCAGGGTCTAGGTACTGTGGGGGATGCAATAAGCAAGGCTTTGCACACCACTGAGTGGCTAGTGCTGTCTCTCCCTTGGCTTTCACCGATCTTTGTGACTAAACCATCAGGCACAGATACCAGAGAAAGGGCAGGGCTCCATTCCAGGTAGAAAAAATGGAAATCTGTCACTCTGCCCACCCAGAACCTCCTGTTATCACTCTATCATAGTCCATGACTGACCCATTCCCTCCGGCTGCTCCCAGCCCCTAAGATTTTAGAGCTGCTATTTCACCTTTCTAGATGGCCCTGATGTCATCATTTCCAATCTTAGCCACACCCTCTTCCTACACGCATATCCTCATAACTTCTCCAGATTCCTTTATATTGCATTTTGGCTCTCTGCTGGGTTTGCTACTCCTCCCAATTTAGCAACATCTGAAAATTTAATTAGCAGGTGGTTGTCTCCCTCTTCCACATAATTAATGAAGATGTTAAAATAAAACTGGATTAAGAATTTATTACACTATAATTTGCAAATCATTGTCACAGTTACTAGATAAGTTCTAACAAGGCAGGAGGGAGCAACTTGAGAGGAGCAAGGGTGGCTAAGGCACCATCATCCTCCCTCTAAGCCAAAGGCAGTATGGTACAGGGGAGAGAACTCAGGCTGAGAGATGGTAGTCAGGGTACTGGCTGAGAGTCTGTCACTAACTGGTAGAAGCTCCCTCATCATAATCCATCCCTAAACCCCAAGGCACATGTTAAAGAACACCAAGAGAATCTCAGCTCAAATCACCAAGGGGCCAGGGAGGTTTTCCTCTGAGCTTGGAACAAATGCAGTGATCCATTAGAAAGGGAGGGAGTATCCTTTATTTCTATCTCTTGCCTAATAGCCCTGGCCAGAATTTCCAATACTATGTTGAATAGGACTGGTGAGAGAGGTCATCCTTGTCTTGTGCCGGTTTTCAAAGGAAATGCTTCCAGCTTTTGCCGTTCAGTATATTAGCTGTGGCTTTGTCATAAATAGCTCTTATTATTTTGAGATGCATTCCACCAATACCTAGTTTATTGAGTGATTTAGCCTGAAGGGGTGTTGAATTTTATCAAAGGCCTTGTCGGGATCTATAAAGTATATAAAAATAATCTTGTGGTTTTTGTCATTGGTTCTGTTTATGTGATGGATTATGTTTATTGATTTGCATATGTTGAACCTGCCTTGCATCCCAGGGATGAAACTGACTTGATCGTGGTGGATAAGCTTTTTGATGTGCTGCTGGATTCAGTGTGCCAGTATTTTATTGAGGATTTTCACATGGATGTTCATCAGGGATATTGGCCTGTAATTTTCTTTTTTTGTTGTGTCTCTACCAGGTTTTGGTATCAGGGTGATGCTGGCCTCATAAAATGAATTAGGGAGGAGTCCCTGTTTTTCTATTGTTTGGAATAGTTTCAGAAGGAATGGTACCAGCTCCTCTTTGTACCTCTGGTAGAATTTGGCTATGAATCCATCTGGTCCTGGGCTTTTTTTGGTTGGTAGACTATGAATTACTGCCTCAAATGCAGAACTTGTTATTGGTCTATTCGAGGATTTGACTTCTTCCTGGATTAGTCTTGAGAGGGTGAATACATCCAGGAATTTATCCATTTCTTCTAGATTTCCTAGTTTATTTGCATAGAGGTGTTTATAGTATTCTCTGATGGTAGTTTGTATTTCTATGGGATCAGTGGCGATCTCCCCTTTATCATTTTTTATTGTGTCTATTTGATTCTTCTCTCTTTTCTTCTTTGTTAGTCTGGCTAGCAGTCTATCTATTTTGTTAATCTTCTCAAAGAACCAGCTCCTGGATTTATTGATTTTTTTGAAGGGTTTTTCGTGTCTCTATCTCCTTCAGGTCTGCTCTGATCTTAGTTATTTCTTGTATTCTGCTAACTTTTGGATTTGTTTGCTCTTGCTTCTCTAGTTTTTTTAGTTGTGATGTTAGGGTGTCAATTTTAGTAAAAAAGGAAGTCAAATTATCTCTGTTTGCAGATGACATGATTGTATATTTAGAAAACTCCATCGTTTCATCCCCAAAACTCCTTAGGCTGATAAGCAACTTCAGCAAAGTCTCAGGATACAAAATCAATGTGCAAAAATCACAAGCATTCCTATACACCAATAATAGACAAACAGAGAGACAAACATGAGCAAACTCCCTCTCACAATTGCTACAAAGAGAATAAAATACCTAGGAATACAACTTACAAGAGATGTGAAGGACCTCTTCAAGGAGAACTATAAACCACTGCTCAAGGAAATAAGAGAGGACACAAACAAATGGAAAAACATTCCATGCTCATGGATAGGAAGAATAAACGTTGTGAAAATGGCCATACTGTCCAAAATAATTTATAGATTTAATGTTATTCCCATCAAGTTACCATTGATTTTCTTCACAGAATTAGAAAAAACTACTTTAATTTTCATATGGAACCAAAAAAGAGCCCATATAGCCAAGACAATCCTAAGCAAAAAGAACAAAGCTGGAGGCATCATGCCACCTGACTTCACACTATGTTACAAGGCTACAGTAACCAAAACAGCATGGTACTGGTACCAAAACAGAGATATAGACCAATGGAACAGAACAGAGTCCTCAGAAATAACACCACACATCTACAACCATTTGATCTTTGGCAAACCTGACAAAAACAAGCAATGGGGAAAGGATTCCGTATTTAATAAATGGTGTTGGGAAAACTGGCTAGCCATATGCAGAAAACTGGCTAGCCATATGCAGAAAACTGAAACTGGACCCCTTCCTTACACCTTATATAAAAATTAGCTCAAGATGGATTAAAGACTTAAACGTAAGACCTAAAAGCATAAAAACCCTAGAAAACCTAGACAATACCATTCAGGACATAGGCATGGGAAAAGACTTCATGACTAAAACACCAAAAGCAATGGCAAACAAAGGCCAAAATTGACAACTGGGATCTAATTAAACTAAAGAGTTTCTGCACAGCAAAAGAAACTATCATCAGAGTGAACAGGCAACCTACAGAATGGGAGAAAATTTTTGCGATATATCCATCTGACAAAGGGCTAATATCCAGAATCTACAAGGAACTTAAATTTACAGGAAAAACACAACCCCATTAAAAAGTGGGTGAAGAATATGAACAGACACTTTTCTTTTTTTTTAATTTAATTTAATTTTATTATTATTATACTTTAAGTTTTAGGGTACATGTACACAATGTGCAGGTTAGTTACATATGTATACATGTGCCATGCTGGTGCGCTGCACCCACTAACTTGTCATCTAGCATTAGGTATATCTCCCAGTGCTATCCCTCCCCTCTCCCCCCACCCCACAACAGTCCCCAGAGTGTGATGTTCCCCTTCCTATGTCCATGTGATCTCATTGTTCAATTCCCACCTATGAGTGAGAATATGCGGTGTTTGGTTTTTTGTTCTTGCAATAGTTTACTGAGAATGATGATTTCCAATTTCATCCATGTCCCTACAAAGGACATGAACTCATCATTTTTTATGGCTGCATAGTATTCCATGGTGTATATGTGCCACATTTTCTTAATCCAGTCTATCATTGTTGGACATTTGGGTTGGTTCCAAGTCTTTGCTATTGTGAATAATGCCGCAATAAACATACATGTGCATGTGTCTTTATAGCAGCATGATTTATAGTCCTTTGGGTATATACCCAGTAATGGGATGGCTGGGTCAAATGGTATTTCTAGTTCTAGATCCCTGAGGAATTGCCACACTGACTTCCACAATGGTTGAACTAGTTTACAGTCCCACCAACAGTGTAAAAGTGTTCCTGTTTCTCCACATCCTCTCCAGCACCTGTTGTTTCCTGACTTTTTAATGATTGCCATTCTAACTGGTGTGAGATGGTATCTCATTGTGGTTTTGAGTTGCATTTCTCTGATGGCCAGTGATGATGAGCATTTTTTCATGTGTTTTTTGGCTGCATAAATGTCTTCTTTTGAGAAGTGTCTGTTCATATCCTTCGCCCACTTTTTGATGGGGTTGTTTGTTTTTTTCTTGTAAATTTGTTTGAGTTCATTGTAGATTCTGGATATTAGCCCTTTGTCAGATGAGTAGGTTGCGAAAATTTTCTCCCATTTTGTAGGTTGCCTGTTCACTCTGATGGTAGTTTCTTTTGCTGTGCAGAAGCTCTTTAGTTTAATTAGATCCCATTTGTCAATTTTGGCTTTTGTTGCCATTGCTTTTGGTGTTTTAGACATGAAGTCCTTGCCCATGCCTATGTCCTGAATGGTAATGCCTAGGTTTTCTTCTAGGGTTTTTATGGTTTTAGGTCTAACATTTAAGTCTTTAATCCATCTTGAATTAATTTTTGTATAAGGTGTAAGGAAGGGATCCAGTTTCAGCTTTCTACATATGGCTAGCCAGTTTTCCCAACATCATTTATTAAATAGGGAATCCTTTCCCCATTGCTTGTTTTTGTCAGGTTTGTCAAAGATCAGATAGTTATAGATATGTGGCGTTACTTCTGAGGGCTCTGTTCTGTTCCATTGATCTATATCTCTGTTTTGGTACCAGTACCATGCTGTTTTGGTTACTGTAGCCTTGTAGGATAGTTTGAAGTCAGGTAGCATGATGCCTCCAGCTTTGTTCTTTTGGCTTAGGATTGACTTGGCCATGTGGGCTCTTTTTTGGTTCCGTATGAACTTTAAAATATTTTTTTCCAATTCTGTGAAGAAAGTCATTGGTAGCTTGATGAGGATGGCATTGAATCTATAAATTACCTTGGGCAGTATGGCCATTTTCATGATATTGATTCTTCCTATCCATGAGCATGGAATGTTCTTCCATTTGTTTGTATCCTCTTTTATTTCATTGGGCAATGGTTTGTAGTTCTCAAAGTCTCAGGATACAAAATCAATGTACAAAAGTCATAAGCATTCTTATACACCAATAACAGACAAACAGAGAGCCAAATCATGAGTGAACTCCCATTCACTTACAACAGACACTTTTCAAAAGAAGACATTTATGCAGCCAACAAACATATGAAGAAAAGCTTATCATCACTGGTCATTAGAGAAATGCAAATCAAAACCACAGTGAGATACTGTCTCACACCAGTTAGAATGGTGATCATTAAAAAGTCAGGAAACAACAGATGCTGGAGAGGATGTGGAGAAACAGGAACACTTTTACACTGTTGGTGGGAGTATAAATTAGTTCAACCATTGTGGAAGACAGTGTGGCAATTTCTCAAGGATCTAGAACTAGAAATACCATTTGACCCAGCAATCCCATTACTGGATATATACCCAAAGGATTATAAATCATTCTACTATAAAGACACATTCACATGTACATTTATTGCAGCACTATTCACAATAGCAAAGACTTGGAAACAACCCAAATGCCCATCAATGTTAGCCTGCATGAAGAAAGCGTGGCACATATACACATGGAATACTATGCAGCCATAAAAAAGAATGAGTTCATGTCCTTTGCAGGGACATGGATGAAACTGGAAACCATCATTCTCAGCAAACTAATACAGGAACAGAAATCCAGACACTGCATGTTCTCATTCATAAGTGGGAGTTGAACAATGAGAACATATGGGCATAGTGGGGGGAACATCACACACTGGGGTCTGTTGGGGGATGGGGGACAAGGGGAAGGATAGCATTAGGAGAAATACCTAATGTAGATGACAGGTTGATGGTTGCAGCAAACCACAATGGCACATGTATACCTATGTAACAAACCTGCACATTCTGCACATGTATCCCAGAACTTAAAGTATAATTTTTAAAAAAAAGAGAGAAAAAAACAAGAAGAAAGGGAGCAAGTAAATGATGCAGTGGGGCAACATGTATCTTTTACTGAATATTGTGTCCCTAGTAAGAACAAGCTTTTCTTGGAGACCAAACAAAATAGTGTTAAGTCAAATCATTTGACCCAGTAAGTCTTCTTTCTAAATATCTATTCTTGGCTAATAAAAACAGCCAACTCTAGACAGAAATGTCTAATCATAAGGAAGGGGAGTTTCTAACATTTAAAAATAATAGACCATGGGAAAATCCTATACCTTATTTTATCTCAGGTCATTCCCAACTAATCTCACTGTCTCTACTTTTAACTTCTGCTGGCCCTGGCCTGACTCCAGTTCCTATTGTTTCTTCTGACATGGGCTCTCTCAAGTATATCTCTTGCTTTGATTTTTCTCTTCTTTTCTTTGACTTTCATGACCTCACAACCTCATCTAGCCCCTCCTTCAGCCTAGCTCTTCCTGGGGCTACATGGCTCATATCCTTCCAGCAATAATAAACAAGACTCCTGTATCAGTTCGTTTTCACACTGCTAATAAAGACAGACTTGAGACTGGGCAATTTACAAAAGAAAGAGGTTTAATTTGACTTACAGTTCCACGTGGCTGGGGAGGCCTCACAATCTTGGCAGAAGGCAAAGAGAAGCAAGTCACATCTTACATGGTTGGCAGCAGGCAAAGAGAGCTTGTTCAGGGCAACTCCCATTTTTAAAACCATCAGATCTCATGAGACCCATTCACTATCACCAAAACAGCACAGGAAACACCCGCTCCCATAATTCAATCATCTCTCACCACCGAGTTCCTCCCACGACACATGGGAATTGTGGGAATTACAATTCAAGATGAGATTTGGGTTGAGACACAGCCAAACTATATCAACCCCTCACCCGTTGCAACAAACAGGCCAACCCCACCTCTGGTTCCTGAGATATTCTGGTGCAGGCAGCTCCACTCTGTCTTTTGCGTTAGAGCTGCCATCTGCTCTAAGGCCATGCCTACCCAGCAAGTCCAGAGAGCAAGCCCGGGAACAGGATTAAATACTTTTATGGTGGACAGACATAAAATGGATTATTGAAGGGTTATTAATGTGTTTAGGAGAATACTCTTAGCTTCGTAGAGCAAATATTAAAGAAGTCACTATACCTGTGAAACCTTTTCAAGAAAACAAGTGTTGAAAAATGGAATCCCTAAATCTAATTTGATTCCAAAGTCATTTTGTTATGTCCAACACATGATTTGGCAAATCATGCAGGACTTGACTGACTTGCTGGCCCCATATTGTGAATTCCAGATCAAGTTTGGTACCAAATACATTAATTTTAAAATTTGAGCTCCTATAGTTCTTTACCTCAATGTATTGTAAAAAAGGAAGCCTGTTTTGTTGAAAAAAGAAAAAAGAAATAAAAGACAAAGTAGTAATTCACGCAAGGGAATACCTTGAAACGGGTATAATTTATAAAACAAAATACCCTTAATATGACAGCAGTCAATTTAGCCTGATATAAAAGAGGGTCTGTGTTTTCTTTCATTTATATTTTTATGATACGTAATGTCTTTATAATTTCACCACTCCACATCAAAGCTGCCAACCGCTGAGTGCCTAAATAAGTAGCATGTGAAGAAAATGAATGAATTGCTAAATGTCCCATTATGTCCACAGAGAATATCCTTCTATTTGGAGTCAGGAATCTTAAATTGAGACAACAAATGAATGGTTTTCACTCCAATGGAGGGAGAGTTTTGGCAACTTTATTATGCTCAGCATTTGAATCGGAATAAGGGGAAATATAGAGAGAAATGAAGTTTTAAAAAATAATAAGTGTTGTTGGTGTTGGGTTCTGGCTCTGAATGTCAGTTCGCCTGTGAGACAGAGTGATGGGGACTGTAGGGGGCATAGCACATGCATAAAAGCTCCGGGGAGATAGAGCAGAGGGCCTGTCACTGTTGTGATTTCTCCTGCACAAAGAAGCTATTTGAAGAATCTTAACAAGTTCCAACGTGTTTGGCCCAACACATTAGGGCTGACATCAAAAATGGAAAAGCAGAGAATCTGTCGAGCTGGTTAAAGGAAATCACAATAATCAGCAGCTCTTAAGGCACTTAACCGCAGACACCCAGGGAGCCCCAAGTCAAGGAATAAGAAATGATGGGGGAGAAGGGGTGGTGATTGCAGCAACATCCAAGAGCTCATTGACCTTAAAAATCTACCCAAGTGCATCAGTGGAAAACAGGATGAATACTATAGCAAATATAACACAATTACGGATCTGTGTATGCTGAAGCAACAAAGGCTACGGAGATCCACTTTCACTGGCCCTAATTCTCCCTCTTAAAGCCTCAACATTTAAAACTTCTATTCTTCATATTCCAGATCTCATCTCTCTTTATCTTACTATCTGCAAACGTCCATAGAAACTTCCTCTCAGCACAGTGTTTTGTGCCACAATTGATGACAGAGAAGGGATGGGCTTACTAGTGTGCTATAGTGGCCTCCAGATCAGGAGGCTGGCATTTTCTGGGTAAGACATTTAACCTACTGGTTGAGAATTAACTATGAGTACATTATCAAAATAGGTCAGATATACTTAACTTTTGACCTATTGGAGTGATGAGATCATAGTCCAGGGTGAACAGTTAGTAATCAAGTCAAATGTTTCATTCTCTAAGTAAGGTTGATCTACACATTTGTGACTGTGTGAGAATACATGCGTTGTGCAACGTGCATGCAGTCAGAGCAGAGTAGGAAGAGGCTTGCTCTCTGACACCTTTTAGGGTCTATATTTTAAAGAAAAAGTTCATACCCAGATAGAGGGGAAAAGAAACTCTGAAATTCAGAAGGGTCACCTTTCATGCTAAATAGAGAATAGCATTTTATTCCTTCCACTGGGAAAATCTGCTCTATGTGTAGCAAATACAGTATTAAATTGCAACATAATGCATGTAACTATGAACATATGCTTTGAAGCTTGAACACTGTTCTTTTAAGACAAAATAATCAATGGACAGTCTGTTCCTGATATGGTTTGGATCTGTGTCCCTGCCCAAATCTCATGTTGGATTGTAATCCCCAATGGTAGAGGTGGAGCCTGGTGTGAGGTGACTAAATCATGGGGGCAGTTTCACATGAATGGTTTAGCAGCATCCTACTTGGTACTGTCCTCGCAATAATAATAGTGAGTGAGTTCTCATGAGATCTGATCATTTAAAAGTGTGTAGCACCTCCCCCTTGTCCCCTTGCTCCTACTCTGGCTATGTGATGTTCATATTCCCCCTTCGCCTTGCACCATGATTGTAAGTTTCCTGATGCCTCCCAAAACCTGAGCAGATGCCAGCATCATGCTTCCTTATAGCCTGTGGAACTGTGAGCCAATTAAACCTCTTTTCGTCACAAATCATCCAGTTTCAGGTATTTCTTTATAGCAATGTGAGAATGGACTAATATTGTTCCTCTCTGGCCTCAGTTTTCTAATCACAGGAACAAGCAGCTTAGATTATATAATTTCTAAATTCCAATCCAGTCTCATATTATATGGTCTTTAACAATATTAATAACAATATCACAACTATACCATAATGGCATATCACCAACAACAACTTTGTCAACAACTATTTGCTAAATGCTTAAGAGGCACCAGTGTGCTGAGTGGTTTATGTAATTTAACTTATTGAATCCTCACAATAATTTGTTAATGAAAGAATATTATCATTTTTATAGATGAAGACAAATAAATTTTCCAATATTACATAGTTTATGGGTGGCAATATTGATTTTCTAACTTAAATCTAACCCTGCAACCTGTGTCCTTAATTTTAAAAAACTGTATTGTATATTTCAGTTTTGTCTAGCATAGAGGGAGTGGAAGACAGGCTATAAGAGACTGAAAAGCAGCAATGTTTTCAGTAAGTGTTTACAATATTATTGAAGAGAAAAGAGCCACATGGGAAAGAGATAACCATACGGTATAGTATGTGTGTAAGTGCCAGATTAAATAGATCGGTCAATAAGAACTACAGGACTTAGAGAAGGGAAAATCATTATTAGTTAGACACTAGCAACAAGCATAGCTAGAAAGGGCTTTGTGTCATTGCACTTTCAAATGGAGAGAAAACAAGGCAGACAGAAAGGCTAGGACAAAGGTTTTTGGTGGGGAAAAGTGCATTAGCAGAAGCAAACACTGGAATTGTTGTAGCATGAACAATAGACAATGAAGAGAGAAGCTTGCATCTTCTAGTCTGAAAAAAAACATATAAACCTTCATATTTTGCAAAAATAAGTTAATATATTTTCCTTACAATAGAGAAGACTTCAGAGACAGCAGATTTTTGTAGCTAATGGTTAATTCATTCATTGTTGCAAAATATGATCAGCATTTCTGGACATACAATATTATGGCAGATCAATACTTTCACCACATATACAAGGATCAACCCAGGACTCTTGTTAAAGATGCAGAAAAGTGATTCTCACCACAGACCCAGAGTCAGAATTTCTATTAATGAACCCAGGAATTTGCATGTACAAATGCTTCTCAAATTATTGTTAAAAATGTTATCGCAGTATAGTTTTCATACATTAAAATGCACAGATTTTAAGTATTTATCATGATAAATTTTCACAAATATGTACACCCCTGTAACCTTTATCCCAACTAAGATACAGAACACTCCTATCATCCCAGAAAGTTTTTTGTACCCCTTCTATACTTTTGATATTTGGCCCTCCAAACCTCATGTTGAAATTTAATCCCCAGTTTTGTAGGTGGGGCCTACTGGGAGGTATTTGAATCATAGGGCAAATCCCTCATGAATAGCTTGGTGCAGTCCTTGCAGTATTGAGTTCTTGCTCTATTAGTTCTCATGAGAGATCCCCCAAGAACTGGTTGCTGATTGTTTAAAAGAGTCTGGCACCTTTCTCTTCTCTCTCTCTCTCTCTCTCTCTCTGTCTCTCTCTCTCTCTCTCTCTCTCTCTCTCTCTCTCTCTTCCTGCTGTCACCATGTGGTACATTCCCTTTTGCCTGGGTGGAAGCAGTCTGAGGTCCTCACCAGATGCAGATGCTGGCATCATGCTTCTTGCACGGCCTACGGAACCATGGGTGAAATAAACTCCTCTCTTTATAAATGACTCAGCCTCAAGTATTCCTTTATAGCAACACAAGTGGACTAAAACAGCCCCTTTGCCATCAGTCCCCCACTGCTCCAGGAAACTGTTGATCTGATTTTCAATCTCTCAAGATGAGTTTTGTCTGTTCTAGAGCTTTCTATAACCAAAATCACACAGAGTATACTTTTTTTGTGCCTGATTTCTCAACATAAAGTCTATGAGAGTCACCACTGTTGTGGGCATCAGCAATTTGTTCATTTTTGTTGCTGAGTAGTATGTCATTTTATGAATATGCCATGATTTGTTCTTTCATAGTCTTGTTAAAACACATTTGGGTGGTTTCCAGTTTTTCATTCTTGTGACAAACATAATTATATAAGTTATTTTATAGACAAACAGTTTTTGTCTGGGATAAATAATTCAGAGTGAAATCACTGGGTAATAGCATAGGTGTATGTTTTAGCTTTAAAATAAATGACCAGTTTTCTCAAGTGATTGTGCCATTCTATTGTCCCATTAGCAATGTATGAAAGTTTCAGTTGCTCCACATCCTCACTTGATATTGTCAGGCTTTTTAATTCACCCACTCATGACCAACTTTTTTTTATGGTTAGAGCTTTTGTGTCCATGAGGTACAAAAATTTTCAATATTTTCATTCTAGTTCATTGAAAATATTTTTCTAATTTCTTTTAAAATCTCTTCTTTGACCCATGGGTTATTTAGAAATATGTTTTTTTAATTTCCAAATATTTGGCTATTTTTCAATATATCTTATTCTTAATGATTTTAATTTAATTCCATTGTGGTCAGAAAAACATATTTTATAAGATTTTAATTTCTTGAAATTTATGAGATGTATTTTAGTGAACAATTCGTGATTTTTCTTGTGGAATGTCCCATATGCACTTAAAAATAATTTGTATTCTACAGTTGGGTGTGATGTTCTGTTAATGTCAATTATGTCAAGTTCTTGGATAGTGGTGTTTAGATTCTATACATTCTAAATGATTATTTGACTTATTTGTTTTATTAACTAATGAGAGGTAATTAATACCTCTCAGTATCTAATACATTTCAGTGTTAAGAGAATAGTTAATATCCTATCATAAAGGATTAGAGTAAATATATCCTACTGAGAGGATTTATTAACATTGCATCTATAATTGTGTTATAGATAGATGATAGATAGATTTCCATCCTTTTATATCCATTCTGTTTACATTACATTGTCTCTTGCACACAGTATATATTTTACTTTTATAGCCAGTCTGACAATCTCAGCCTTGTAATTTGAATGTTTAGTTCATTTATATTTAAAGTAATTATTTATATGGTTTGGGCTAAATATATCACTTTACTATATTTTCTACTTATTTATCTGGGCATTTTTTGGATATTTATTTTTTGGGTTAATTGAATAGTTTTGGTATTATATTTTCTTTTCTCTATTGGATTTTTAACTATGCTGCTTTTATTTTTTTTCTTTGTTATTCTAGAAATTATAATATGTATTCTTAATTTATTTGAGTATCCTTACAATTAATATTTTCTCAGTTCACACTTTACACTGCCAACTTCATAAATGTAAAAATCTCAAATCAGTTAATACTAATGAGCTCCATCAACTTTTTTTTTATTATTATTATACTTTATGTTTTAGGGTACATGTGCACAATGTGCAGGTTTGTTACATATGTATACATGTGCCATGTTGGTGGCACCAACTTTTATAGAATTATTGTCTTATATTTTATCTGTTACATAGGTTTTAACCAAATCTTCTAATGTCATTTTTGCTTTAACAAAGCAAAATGACATTATATAAAGAAAGTAAAAGAAGAAAAACTAAAAGTAAGTGTGTTTGTTTGTTTGTTTGTTTGTTTGTTTGTTTTGGGGTTTCTTTTTTTTTTTTTTTTTTTTGAGATGGAGTTCTGCTCTCATGGCCCGGGCTAGAGTGTGATGGTGCGACCTCAGCTCACTGCAACCTCCACCTCCCAGGTACAAGCAATTCTCCTGCCTCAGCCTCCCTAGTAGCTGGAATTACAGTCATGCGCCACCAAGCCTGGCTAATTTTGTATTTTTAGTAGAGATGGGGTTTCTCCATGTTGGTCAGGCTGGTCTCAATCTCCTGACCTCAGGTGATCTACCCGCCTCAGCCTTCCAAAGTGCTGGGATTACAGGTGTGAGCCACTACATCTGGCCCGTAAGTTTTTATATTAAATTACTATTTACCATTTTTAGTGCTTTTCATCTCTTCTTGTAGAATTAGATTTTCACTTGATATCATTTTCCTTCACTGTGATAACTTTTTTTGAGTATTTCTTATAGTTTAGGTCTGCCAGCAACACATTTTCTCAGCTTTTATTTATAAAACGCAATTTTAAAAAATACTTTCATTGCATATAGATTCTCAGTTAGTAGGTTTTTTTGTCTTTTCCTTCAACACTTTAAATGGCCATTCCATTGTCTTCTGGCCTTCATTGTTTCGATGAAAAATCAACCATCTTTCATATTGTTCCACTGTGTGTAATGTGTTGTTTTTCTCCCAGCAGCTTTTAATATATTCTCTATATCTCTTTATCTTTGGTTTTCATCAGTTTGATTATGATATCCCTAAATATGGTATTCTTTGTATTTACCATCTGGCAGCCTTTTGTTACAAGTATGAATTACTGATTCCTATCTCAAATCCATTGTATCAGAGTCACAGTGTAAGAAAGTTCCAAATGTCTAAATACTCCCAAAACTATCTTTACTGGCACTTAAATTTAGATAATCACTAGGCTGTAGCAATAAAACTCATCTCTAGCCTGAAGAAGTTTAGAATATTTAATACATTAGGATATGTACTCAAAAATATATAATATCATTAGGATACAAAAATATTCCATATCAGTAGAGATGATTTGCCATGAAAGTTCAGAAAATAAAGAAGAAATCTACATAGTAAGAAAGAAAAGCTTATTGAAAGGCATTTCATTTAAGTAGAATCTTAAAATATAAGTGACATTTTCATTTGGAGAGTTGGAGGGGAGTTGAACATTTCTAAATTCTATCATAAAGAATAATTTCACTATTCCAAAGCTAATCTTAAGACCTCTATCAGAGATGGAAAATAAGGGCTCTCAGCCAACCTAAGGGAATATTTCTGACAGACTTAAAATTAAGGTCTCCAATCTTTTCAACCTTTAATACAGAACTGTACCCCCCTCTTGCCACCCCTCACTCCCCATACACACATTGATAATCCTTTACCAAGCAGAAAAAGAAAGGTGGAATGCTTTCCAACTCACTAACAAAATGCAATGGCTTCTTATTTTTTTAATGCAACATAACCTGGATGTCAGGTTGCATTAAGATTCCTTGGGTTACGATGACATAAATAGTTCAACATAATGAAACATGACACTGAGAAATATGGGCATTGATCTGTGCCTCTAATTTAAAGACGCACTGGGTTTTGCCTTGATCTGCTTTTATGTCCTCAACAAGGAAATGACACATGGATAATGGGTATTGTCTGCTTTGTTGTTCCCAGGACGGGCAAATAAGAGTTTTTTCATTATTGACATATCCATTGTATTGACAAAAGGGTTATCATATTCTCTTTCTCGTGGATGCTTGTCAAATGGTCATAACTTACAGAAACAAGAATAGAATCATTCTAAAGACAGTCTTCAAGAAAATACATTCCAACTCTATCTTCCTCACACTTCAATCTGCATTGGAACTAAAATTGAATCTTAATTTATTTATGCAATCAATAAACTATGGGCTAGGTAATGTGCTGGGGTTAGGAATACAACGACTAAGATCCTTATTTCATAGTCTTGTCCAGTGTTTATCAAAATACATTTTTCAGAGATGTTACTAGGTATAGCCCTAAAAACTTGATGTTTTGGAAACAGAATTAAACACATAGCAAGGATTGGGGATCAAAAGTGGAAATTAAACTGATTGAGAATTGCCTGTCCCTTCCATATTGGAGCAGTATAGTCACAGGCCTCTGCTGTGTGGGAACTGGAACTGAGTTATAAAATCTGGGAGTTGTCAAGTACTTTTCTATTTATGAAATAAAGATTAAATAGTCCACCCATCAGCCTGGAATAACAGCAAAGAATCAGATTTTAGCTATTTATTGAGGCTATGGATGTGGTCACTAAAAAGTTGTTAGAGCCTGCTCTAACAAGGAGTTGTCAAACCTGCTCCAAATACAGGTATGAATTCCAAATTTGTATATATAGCATAGAGACCCCGAATCGGGACTAAACATAATATTGATTCGTAAATAGTGATGCCCCAGAGTGGCGAAATAATCATCTGTCATAAAGAGCTTTATAACAGTCCAGAAACTGATGAGTTCCTACAGAAAACAGATTCTACCAACTGTAGATAATAATAATAATAATAAACTACAAGCTATTTCAGGAAATCTCCATGAAAGAAAATGAACACAATAACAACAACATAACCAAAAAAAAAGAAAAGAATGTTTAAAACTCTTAAGGAGACTTTAAAATAAGTATATTAAAATGGCTTTATAAATCCATGGCTGGGCATGGGGGCTCATGCCTGTAATCCCAGCACTTTGGGAGGCCGAGGCAGGTGGATCACTTGAAGTCAGGAGTTTGAGACCTGCCTGGCCAACATGGTGAAACCCCATCTCTACTAAAAATACAAAAATCAGCCAGGCATGATGGTGCACACCTGTAATCCCAGCTACTTGGAAGGCTGAGGTGGGAGACTCGCTTGAACCCAGGAGGCAGAAGTTGCAGTGAGCTGAGATCACACCACTGCACACCAAAATCTCATCTCAAATTGTAATTCAAAGTGTAATCCCCTCCCCTCCCCTGCTACCATGCCCAGGGAGGGACCTGGTGGGAGGTGACTAGATCATGGGGGCGATTTCCCCCAGGCTGTTCTCCTGATAGTGAGTAAGTTCTTATGAGATCTAGTTGTTTGATAAGTGTCTGCCACTTCCCTCTTCTCTTTCTCTCTCCTGCTGCCTTGTAAAGGTTTTTCCCCTTTGCCTTCCGCCATGATTGTAAGTTTCCTGAGACCTCTCCAGCCACGCAGACTGTGGGTCAATTAAACCTCTTTCCTTTATAAATTATCCAGTCTCAGGTAGTAGTATCTTTATAGCAGAGTGAGAATGGACTAATATAGCAATGTCATGGAATCAACCTGTGTCCATCAATGGTGAATTGGATAAAGAAAATCTGGTGTATATATATATATACCATGGAATACTACAGAGCCATAGTAAAGAATGAAATCATGCCTTTTGTAGCAACAAGAATGGAGCTGGAGGCCATTATCATAAGTTAAATAGCTCAGAAACAGAAAATAAAATACCACATGTTCTCACCTATCAGTGGGACCTAAACGATGACTACACACGGACATAAAGGTGGAAATAATAGACACTGGGGACTCTAAAAGAGTGGAGGGTGGGAGGGAAGTGAAGGTTGAAAAACTACCTGTTGGGTATTCACTATCTGGGTATGAGTTCACTTGAAGCCCAAGCCCTAGCATTATTCATATACCCATGTAACAATGCTGCACATGTACTCCCTGAATCTATAACAAAATAAAGTAAAAAGAGAATAAAAAAAGAAAAGAAAAATATTCTTTTGACTGTCAGTGAAGTTTCTTGAAGTTTCTTTAAAAAGAGAGAAAACAAAATGAAAGGACCTACACATTTTGTGAGCCGTGGAGGCCACAGCCTGGCCCCTATATCATGCTGTGCCCTGAACATAAAAACCTACCTTTAAACCAGCCAATACCAGCATCAGTGGGATTGCTCAGCAATCAAGTTTCAACTTGATTGACTATTGAACTTCAAATCTTTAAGAAAAGTGGGAGCAAATTTTTTTTTCTGCCAAAGACTACAGGATTGTATTATAAGCAAACTCTCAGTGAGAGAGCTCCTAAAAGACAGACAATCACATATCAATAGGAGGAAGAGGCTCAGGAGAGGTTATGTTACCCAAAATCAACAAACTACCAAACAGCTATCAGTGGATCACATCCTGTGTTGGCCAGCGGTCGCTGGAGCCCCACTCCAAATCCTCTTCCCTTAGCAATCCCATTGCCCTCATAGCAACATCTCCTAAACCTTCAGCTCAGCAGTGGCCCACTTAGATTTGCTCACATTTCACTGGCCAAACCAAGGCTGGCATCCAGGAGGGAGGGAAGCATAATTCTATAACAGGAAAGACAGTGAATGTTTTGAACATAATATATCCTCTACATCTTGATAGGAGTGGCACGCAAGAAAAATAGTAAGCACTTAATAAACTAAACATGTTCATGCAATAAAAGTATTGATGGAAAATAATTTAAAAACTAAATTGAAGTTTTAAAAATAAGGCAGGAAATATAGGACAATGAAAAGTGGAAAAGATATGAATTTCAAAGATTCTAAGATCCTTTCACTTTTCTGTGTAAGGGTAAAGGTATTGATTAACTCAATTATTTTTAAACAACTAGACAAATTACATAAAGCTATTAAAACAATAGAAATGTAACGTACACTTTCCTATTTCAGTTGAGAAAAGGGGAGATAGAAAGAAATCATGTCCAATCTAATATAAATCAGAATGGCAGATTAAAAAATACTGAAAGAAACATAGTAAACTGAAAATACAAAATAAGATGGCAAAAATAAGTTCAAATATTTAATGGTGATATTAAATGTAAATGGATTAAATGTAACCATAAAAGACCTTTAAACTACATTTTTAAGAGATACATAATCCATCTACATGCTGTCTTTATAAGACAATCTTTTATAAAATGGTATAAAAAGTTGAATATAAAAGGATAGAGACATAACTAATGTGCATACAGTTCAATATGAACACAATTCTAGTGATACTAATATCAGACTAAGTACAATTAGGGCAAAGAGCATTGAAAGACCCAAAAAGTATTTAAATGTAGAATAAATTACACACAAGATACTATCATGAACTTATCTGCACCTAGCTACATTTTCTTGAAATATATAAAGCAAATCTGATAAAATTAGAAAGAAATAAATCACTCTAAAATCAGTGTAGGAAATTTTACTACAACTTTTTTAGAAACTAAAATTTCAAACAGACCAAAAAATCACTAAGATTAAAGGCAATTTGTATAACAGAATAACAAACTTTATTAGATAACTCCAATTTCAACAAAATAATAATATTAATTATTTGCAAGGGTACATTGTAAGTTTATAAAAATTGGCCATATAAAAGACTACAAGGTAAGCCTAAAAATTTTTCAAAATATTTACTGTCATGCAGATTTAATTTGATTTAGGTATGAAATATAAAACAAAATTTTAAAAAACTAAAAAGTGTGATCCTGAAAAATATAATGAGTTGAGAGAAGGTATCAGAGGCTCGTGGTCAAGATGGAGCAGTATTTTGATCATCTGTGCGCTCAAGATTTAGCTGGGCACAAATGCAATAAAAACATCTCTTGGGGCAAGAAATGGAACAGAGTACAAGTAGTTATGAGTAAGCTAAAACCAAAGGTTTGTGCTTTCCCATCAGGCAGAGAGAGGTTATATGGGTTTCAAAGCCACTAGACAAAAGGGGAGCAGTGTTGCCCCACTCAAAACAGGGGCCTGACACTTTAGCCTGCTTTTCTAAAGCTGTGGTGGAACATGCTTGCTTGAGAACTCAGGCAAAAAAAATAGTTTACAATTGCTGTCTTTGATCATGGCTAAAGCAATCTTCAAGCCAAAATAAGTACAGAAACAGGAACAGCCTTTCAATCAGTAACAGAAACAAGATATCCACTGGCTGGCCAACTGAATCAGCAAGAACCTCAAAAAAACTATGGAGACAAGGGTAGGAACTACCAATCATGAAAGACCTTGACAATTGGGTGAGGACAACCCAGAGAAATAGAGAGAGAATATATATATATATAAACATATTGCTATACATATATATATTTATAATTGTATGCATATATTATATATCAAAGAGACAGTATTTGCAAAAACACATTATAAATGTATAAGAATTGTAACATGGTATACCAAGGTGTAGACACATGTCTGCCAACTCTCTCCCTTCTTTAATCTTTTACCTTCCCCACCTTTCTTGGAGGAACTCGCTGAGGCCTGATTATGTGAAGAATTCAGAGATACTCCCAAGCATACATGTCTCTCCAGACTAAAGAGTGGGCAATTGATTCCAGGGACCTCCCCAACAGAGGTTGCTTTACAGCTGAGCAAAGATAGACCTTAATGATAAAATTAGGCTCTAGGAGGGAGAGGAAGACCACCTGTATTATTTTCCTAGGGCTGCCATGACAAATTGCCACAAACTGGTGGCTTAAAGCAGAAAAAGTGTATTCTTTCACAGTTGTGGAGGCCAGAAGTGCTGATCAAAGTGCAGGCATGGTTGTGCTCCCTCTAAAGAATCCAAGGAAAAATCTTTCCTTGCCTGTTCCTAGTTTCTGTTGGTTGCCAGTAATGTCTGGTATTTTTTGATGTGGTATCACTTCAATCTCTGATTCCATCCTCATGTAGCCTTCTTCCCTGTCTGTCTTCTGTGTGTCTAAATCTCCCTCTCCTTTCTCTTATAAAGATACTCGTCATTGGCATCCTTGGATACCAATCTTTGCATTAGGATGGGTGATAGTCCAGTGGGATATCATCTTAAATTGATTACATCCGCAAAGACCCTGTTTCCAGATAAGGTTATATTTAATTAAGGTACTGGAGATTAGGACTTCAGCATACCTTTTGTGGAGATGCAGTTCAACCCATAATACTACCTGTGAACCAATACACGTTTTTATCCCTTTCTGTAGTTTTGGGGAAAGAAAGTGAAAGTGCTGCCTTTTCCCTGATTTTCTCATATCTGGCAGAGATCCCTACCTAAACCTGATGTCTTATTAGGACAGCATCACTGTTTTAGGCCTCCCTGTTCCAAACCTTAGCTATGGCTCAAAGAGTTCTCTACATGCCATCAACACAGAAGCCAATATTTAAAGAGGAGGTTATCCCTTAAACTTGGTCAGGTAGGCTGCAACCTTTAACAAATGTTGTGTTGGAAGTTCTGCTCTAACTCTAGGATTCTCAGCAGTACCCTAGACTCCTCCAAAGTTCCTAATAAAAAACATTTGTAATTTTTTTTTTTTTTTGAGACGGAGTCTCGCTCTGTCATCCAGCCTGGAGGGCAATGGCGCGATCTTGGCTCACTGCAACCTTCACCTCCCAGGTTCAAGCGATTGTCCTACCTCAGCCTCCTGAGTAGCTGGGCCTACAGGCAACCGCCACTGTGCCCGGCTAATTTTTGTATTTTTAGTAGAGACAGGGTTTCACCATATTAGGTTGGTCTCGAACTCCTGACCTCAGGTAATCGACCCGCCTCGGCCTCCCAAAGTACTGGGATTACAGGCATGAGCCACCACACCTGGCCAATATTTGTAATTTTAAGTAATTGTAACATAGATTCAGGTGAAGTAACATAACAGGTGAATCTTGTTTTATAAAATGTCTTACAAAGGCTTTGAACTAAATGTTTATGATGCCTAAAAGACACACAAAGGTATAACACCTCCTAAAAAAAAACAAGAAATTATGAAACAAAATTATGCATGAGTGAAGCCAAAGCACAGAGATTTAAAAAAAATATCAAAAATCTTGAAAACAAAAATTTAGTTTTTGCTCCACCCTGGATATTAGTGAGTTGGAATTCATAAATTTGAAGATAACTCCAAGAAACACGTTTTTTTTTTTAATGTGGAAAAAGTAGTTGAGGGCCTAGAAAATAGGATGAGAAATTTCAGGGAAAAAAACATGGGAAGGGTAGAGAAACTTGAGGAGGTGCTATCTAAGAATTATTCAAATTGTAATAAAACCATTAGTCCTCAGATTTAAAAGAAAATGTTAAAAGAAAGTTAGAATATGGAGCAATGCATGTATATATGCATATCTGTACACACACAGACATGTACATAAGACAAAAACATACCACTTGGATTTGACAGCAGAAGTGATTACTGTCCTTAACAAGAGACAATTTGGGAAAATGATAAAACAAAAGTCTGACTAGTTGGGGGAAATCAAGAGATTTGGAGAGGAGAAGAAGTGAACAGATTGATATAGACAACTGTCTTCTATTTTCTTGGAAAGTCTGTTTTGGTTATATAAATACTAAATGAGTTTATTACCCATAGACTTTCATCACAGAAATTATTAAGGTATTCACTTCAGCAGGAAGTATGTGTGCTTAGAGGTAAGACTCACGATGATGAGCACCGAAATGGATTTTACAAATGAGTAAATTTAATTAGCTATGAAATATAAATAAATTTAACATTTAATTTAAAAACTAAAAATAATTTTAAATTAATAAGTTAGAAGGAAGGGTTGTTCAATGAAGAATATGTCATGCTAAAACTGACAGAATTTTCAGAACAAATGACTAATATATAATTATAGAGGAAATTTTAAAACAGATCTGTCAGGGACTGATACATTAAAATGACAATAAATCTCTACCAATATGGAAGTTTTGAACAACAAATTAAATATATCTATCTGATGGGCTTTTGTCGAATTCTGCTTTGAAAATAAAGATTATATATTATTTTAATGTACACATGAAATATTTTTAATTCACTATATATAAATGAAATCAGAAAGCAATTATCAAACAATTTCAAACACTCAACCTTATGAAAGCCATAATCACTGACCAAACTGCCCTTAATTAAAAATTATCAGGAAGAAGGCAATCAAAAAAAAGTTTGAATTGTTTTAATGGTTGCTAAATAACTTGTGAGTTAAGAAAGAAATCACAATGGAAATTATGTTTTAAAAAGTTACATTTAGCTGTAAAAGTATTAATTTAAAATTATAATGATTAAAAATAGATGAATTATGTTTCCCTGATAAGGAAAATAATAAACCTAAAAAGTAGAAGGAAATAACAATGATAAAATCAGAAATTAATTAATCAACTAGTTGTACTTTATAATGTTTATAATTAAAAAGAGAAATCACAAAGAAGCAATACAGAGAATCAACAAAATAAAAAGTGGTGTTGTTTTGAAAAAATTAATAAGAAAAATAAACTTCTAACTTCAATGTGTAAAAAATAAAGATAGAAAAGGCAAAAACAAACATTAGTAATTAATAAGGGACTCCATGAACAGATATATAAGATAAAAAGCAATAAACCAATCTGATAAAAACATTTGGAACAATAAATGGTACATAAATTAAAATGCAAATACGATTTTTAACTATGAAAAATAATACTTAAACTTTATAACAATGAAAAAGAGACTATAAAATATAGAAAAGTACTCTACTAAAAATAATATGTAGATGCTAAGAAAGAGATAATCTATTTATTACACGATTATCTCAAAGAAGGGGATAAAAACACCCAATTTTTAAAAATATTATACTGGCATAACTTTGACACAAAAGTTTAACAAGGATACTTAGAAATAATCATACTGTAGACTAACTCTCCTAAGTATAGACACATAGCCCCCAAATAAAGCATTCAAAGCTGAATTTTATGTGCATTTAGACATAATACTATGGTACGCTTAATAGACTACAGTATAGCATAAACGTAACTTATTTGCATTGGGAAACCACAAAATTCAGGTGACTTGCTTCATTGTGATATTCACTTTATGGCAGTGGTCTGGAATTCAACTTGTAATATCTCCAAACTATGCCTGTAATTTCCATAGTGTAAATTTTTTATTGACTTTCTTTTTCTTTTGGTATATAGTTCTGTGAATTGTAAAATGTGTATATATTTGTGTAAACAAAACAGTCATCATACTAAATGTTTATAACAGCCCCAATATCTCCCTAATGCTGTCCTTTATTAGTCAAACCTTCTCTTAATACCTAACTCCTGACAACAATTGTTCTGTTTTACACCATATATTTTGTTTTTTAGAATATCATATAAATGGAATCTCACTACTGTGATTCACTTCCTTCATTGAGCATGCTGTGTTTGAGATGCAGCCAAGTTGTGGCATGTATCAACAATTTACTCATTTTAATGTTTTTCTCCTATAATTTTCTGATAGCTTTATACATTTACAATTACCTCTATAATTCATTTTGAGTCAACTTTTATATAAGGTGTGAGATTTAAATCAATGCACATATTTTTGAATATGGATGTCCAATATTCCAATACCACTTATTGAAAAGACCATAATTTCTCTACTGAATTTATTTTGCACCTTTGTCAAAGATCAGTTATATTTTTATGTGTCTAATTTTAAATTTTCTAGTCTTTAATATTGATCTACATGTTTATTCTGTCACCAGTACCACAGTGTTTTAATTACTAGACCTTTACATTAAGTCTTAAAATAAGTTGGTATAATTTAAATCCTATTCTCTTTCACAAGTTCTATTTACAAGTACTATTCTCTTTCAAATTGTTTTAGCTATTTTAGTTCCATTTCTTTTCCCTATACATTTTAGAATTGCACTGTCAATATCTATTTTTAAAATCATAAGATTTTGATTGGAATTAAGCATAATTAATACCTTAACAATTTTGAGTCTTCTAGCCCATGAGCAAGACATACTTCTCCATTCAATTAGGGCTTTTTTTGGTACATTTTATCAGCATTTTCCAGTTGTCAGCATATAGAGCCTGTACAAATTTTATTAGGTTTAGTCTAAGAATTTTCTTTATTGAATGACTTCAAATGGTATTTTAAAAATTTAAATATTCAGTCATACATTCCTAGTATAAAGAAATATAATGTACTTTTGTGTTTTGACCCTATATTGTGTAAACTTCATAAACTTACCTTTGGGCCGGGGACAGTGGTTCATGCCTGTAATCCCAGCACTTTGGGAGGCCGAGGCGGATGGATCACAAAGTTAGGCATTCGAGAGCAGCCTGGCCAACATGGTGAAACCCCGTCTCTACTAAAAACACAACAATTAGCCGGGCATGGTGGCAGGCACCTGTAACCCCAGCTACTTGGGAGGCTGAGGCAGGAGAATCGCTTGAAACCGGGAGGCAGAGGTTGCAGTGAGCCGAGATCGCACCATTGCACTCCAGCCTAGTGGCAGAGCGAGACTCTGTCTCAAAAATAAATAAATAAATAAATAAATAAAATAAAATAAATAAAAACTTACCTCTAACTTTTCAAAGCTTTTTGGAAACTTTTTTGGGGGAATTTTCTACAGGAGCAATGATGTCATGTGTAAATAAGGGCAGTTTCATTTCCTCCTTTGCAAATCATGTCTCTCTCTCTCTTTTGCTCTCTCTCTCCTGCTCTCTCCCTCTCTTTCTCCCTCCCTCTCTTTTTTTTCCTTTGCACTGGTTAGAAATTTCAGTACACTGTTGATTATGACTAGTGAAAATAGACGTGCTTGCTTGTTCCCAATCTTAAAATAATTCAGTCATCATTAAGGATAATGTTATCTGTAGAATTTTTTTAAAGTCACTTTATCAGGGTGAGAAAGTTCTAATTCTTGTGTGCTCAGAATTTTTATCAAAATGGATATGCTTGTTCCGCATCAATCATATCAATAATGTGTTTTTTTCTTTAGGCTGCTAAAATGCAAACTACATTGATTAATTTTTAAATATTGAACCAACCTTTGCATTTGTACTACAAAACCTAGTTAGTTACAATGATATTTTATTTCTTGTTTCAGTAATCAGCCAACCTGGTTAGGTGAGAAGTTCTAATCTTCCTTCTATGAATTGTGGTTCTAATGTCAGTTCAATTTTCAAAGACTTTGCAGTGTTATTCTTCCCTCCTTGGACATTTTGTAACCCTGTCCCTCTTACATTTCTCTGTATCCCAAGATTTCTCCCTAAGATGTATGACTTTTCTTTCCTCACTGTCACATGTTTCTGCCCCAGTTATTTTTTACATCAAGTCATCAGGTCATATACCAAGTATAATTTTAAATATGTCCTTGGGAAAATTCTATACACATACCCCAAGAAGTATGCCCAGAGATGCACATTGCAGCATTGCTTAAAGTACTAAAAAATTAGGCCGGGCGCAGTGGCTCACGCCTGTAATCCCAGCACTTTGGGAGGCTGAGGAGGGTGGATCACCTGAGGTTGGGAGTTCGAGACCAGCCTGACCAACATGGAGAAACCCCATCTCTACTAAAAATACAAAAATTAATTTGGGAGGCTGAGGCAGGAGAATCGCTTGAACCTGGGAGGCAGAGGTTGTGGTGAGCCGAGATTACGCCATTGCACTCCAGCCTGGGCAACAAGGGTGAAACTCCGCCTCAAAAAAAAAAAAAAAAAAAATTTGTATCATGAGAAATGACCATTAATAAGTAAATCCATGAATTGTGGGATAGTCCTGCAATTGAATGTTATGAAATGAAATGAATCAAGTAGATACATGATTGATAGATACATAGGTAGGTAGGTAGGTAGACAATTTCAAAATCATAAGTTAAAAATGTTATAAAATCAGTATAATATAGATTGCATGTTTAAAAATTTAAAATAATGCACACATAACTACTATAGTATGTATTGTTTATGGATACATATTTATATATAGATATATTTATGTGGTAAAGGAATATATGTTTCTATAGTAAAATAAAACCTGGACCTGAGGGATACACATTAAATTCATAATAGTAGATGACATTTGGAAGAGAGAACAGATCTGGGAGGGGAGCAAAAAGACTTCTACCCTATGCATTCATTTCTTTGTATGTTTTTAATTTAAAAATTATAAAACAAAAGTATAAATTGTTAATATTCAGTATTCAGAGTAGCAGGGACACTGTCATATTATTACTGTTTTTTTAATGTGTTTAACTTCTCAAAAATAATAAAAGCAATTATGCAAGTTACTTTCCTGGAGGCATGTGATACATGATCAAGAATTAGTACATAACATTTCTCTTTTCTGTGGAACATCTGGTGACACAAGTAGAATACCGTCAAGTCTTGAGCAGAAGAAAAAATTATTTCAATATGGGTATATTCACATCCCTGTTTTTCTTTCTGCCTTTCCAGGCTCACATTTGAATGCTGTCACTAAGTATATTAACTCAACATTCCATTCAGTACATATATATAGATAAAATATTATGCTCCAAGTACTAACAACACCATAGTTTTATGAAGCCCTGGGCCTAAAGCTCTGGGGATCTACATTTCTCCTTTCCCTGTCCAGTGGGGATGACAATACTTGTCCTCACAGTCTTGTTGTAAGAATCCAACGTGACATGAAAGTACTTTGAAAAGTTAAAAGATCTACATCACTAGTTCTCAATGGGAGTCCATTTTTCCCCTACTCCCTCTACCCCTGCCTGCCAAGGAACATTTGGTAATATCTGGAGACATATTTTTGATTGTCATCACAGTGAGGTGGCATCACTAGATCTAGCGAGTAGATGTGAAGGATGCTGCTAAACATCCTACAATGCTCAGGAAAGCCCTCCTTCATACAAAGTTATCTGGTCCAAAATGTCAATAGTGCTGAGTTTTAAAATCCTGATCTAGATAAATGTAAGACATTATTATCATTACATAATTGAGGTTATAATCTCTTGAATAAAGCCAAGCTTCACATATCAATGGATCAAATCTCTGAAAACAAATATGTAAGAAAGAAAGAAACAGAGAATTCTGGGAAATTCTCATTCTCAGATTATCCCATTGAGGAAAATACAACATGGCTCCTCCATCCTTTCACTGAATGTCATATAGGACCACAACAAAGCTCCACTCTACTGAAGAAAACTCAGTAAGTCCTGAAGACTCATTTCCTAATGAATCTGCCTCACTTACACTCTCCAACAGGAAAAAGCATAATTCCATTTTCCTTCAAAGTCTTTCTTGAAACTTTAATTAAACTTATGCCCTTGAAAAACTACCGATTGTCCTGGGCCTAAAGTAGATATAGGCACAGGACAACCGCTCACTCAGCAATTCAAGAGGCAATTGGCACCACGAGGGTGCACATTGCCCAAAATGCACAGGACTCCTGAATCTGTAAAACTTCAGTGTGATAGTCATCTACCCAGGCTCCTCCAGACATTTTAATTTCTCAGTTGTAAATGGCCATGTTAACTGATTGGGGTTACATGAGCAGAATGGGCATTGGTGATGTGAGATAGAAGGAATAATGTTTGAGGCAAGAGAGTGGAAAAGACACACTATGCTTTATAACTTTAACTGTATTCATGCGGCTTATTTGTCTGTCCTCTGGGCAACCTAGAGCTGAAGTAGCTTCTAAGGACTTACCCATATTTAGTAAATGAGGTTTATGCCATGGTGCATCTGGTCATTCTGATTCTCATGACATTAGTCACCATGTTCATATGGAAAATGACCCCTTTAGTTTGGCCAATGTCACTGTCTTAGCAGCAGGCAGGAACGTGGCTATCAAAAGGCTGACTAATCCATCTCAAACAGACATCAAGCTGGAGTAAGAAGCTCAATACCTTTGCAACTGACCGGATGCATTCTCTTTCAGTTTGCAAAATTGAGGACTCTTGGTTTTGCAGTCTGGGGTTTGAGAAATGTTACTGTGTCATCCTCTCTGTTTCCTTCACATTTTTGAGCTATATTAGGTAAATGTATATGCCTGTATGTGGTCATTTTTAAATCCATTTACATTATTGATATATCATTTCTTGAGTCTACTCCCCTTAAAGAAAAACTGTTGGATTTTCCCAAATTTGTTCAAAATGCTTTTTCCATGGAAAATTCAGATGTGGAGAAATTTTCTCCATTATGGCCATAGTGTATTTAAGATGAGTCTTATATTGTACACTTTTCTGAAAGCAGGAAGATTACATCACATCACTTTAGTGACAGCTGAATATGTGTTGCTTTTAAAACACCAATCATTTCACTTTGGACTTGGACGAAAGGGGAATAATTTCAGCAATTTCTTTGAGAAAGGTTTAAAATTATGGTTTTTTCACAACAGCTTTCCTTGATAAACTTGAAGATGTTTGACAAAGAATTTACCTAATTCTACCAGGCAATAGGGACTTCAAATATTAGAAAAATCTCTAGGAAACAAGGAAGCATAAGCATACATTCTTATATGTTGGGCATAGAAGTCAGAAGCACATTTGACATAGAGGGAATAAAAAGGCACATTAACTGAAAAAGGGTGCAACTGGAGGAAACTTGGAGGAACACCTTTGTTTTCTCACATCCAGTGTGTTAACACACACATGATGGGGAGCCACCTGAGAGAGACCACCTCCAGTGCTCCAGCAGTCCTTCCAATCCAGGATTCTAACATAAATTACACCCCTGAAGTATGGTCTCACAGGATGTGCATGGAAGTTACAATTCTTGAAATTATCTTTCTTTTTGTGTGTGTGTGACAGGGTCTCACTCTGTCACCCAGGCTGGAGTGCAGTGGTACAATCATGGCTCACTGTAGCTTCGACCTCCTGGGCTCAAGCAATCCTCCCACCTTAGCCTCCTGAGTAGCTGGGACTACAGGTGCATGCCACCATGCCCAGCTAAAATGTTTTGTATTTTTTGTAGAGACAGGGTCTCACTTTGTTGCCAAGGCTGGTCTCAAATTCCTGGGCTCCAGTGATCCTTCTGCCTCAGCCTCCAGAGTGCTGGGATTACAGGTGTGAACCACCATGCTCTGCAAAATTATCTCTTTAAACCAAGAATTTACTCCTCCTCTCAAATCCCTGTTTTTTCTTCAATAATCCAATATGGCTATATCATTTAAGAAAACTTTCCTCTTTGAAAAACGGCTTCCATCAATTTATATCCAAGTATTTGAAAGCAGGACTTGTTGTTGTTGTTCAACTTATCTTCACCCAGATGCAAAGAATACTTCTATAGGATCATATTTGGAAAAGTGGTGAGAAAGTCCATGCTTCTCCCAACTGCAAAATGTTTAAATAGTCCTACTAATCTTAATTTTTTTATGGACACATAACCCACATATATTTATTCATCGCTGATTACAAGCACCATAACAGAATCAAAATACAAAACACTGTGTTCGTTGATCTAATGCGGTTTGAGGAGTATTAGAGGAAATGAGCCCATAAATAAATCATTATACTAACATGGGGTCAACATTGGTATCATGAAAGAATGTGCTGTGGGAACACGGTGGTAAGCTGCATAATTTCAAGGGGAGATCAGAGGTGATTTTGGAAGAGTGTGTTGAAGACTAATGGTCAGGAAGACCAATTAAAAGCACACTAGTCTGGGGGAACAAAATGAAGAAATACTGAACTAATAATACAGTAGCCTTGTTTACTGAGGACAGGTGACATATATGAGGACAATCCAACAGTTCTCAGGAACAGTTGAGATCACAAGGAGTTTATGATGACTTCCCAATTTTCTAGGACCAAAGATAGGCAATACAGGAGGAGACATGTAATACTACCACTGGTTACTCTTGTTACCTTTGGTAAATTACCAACTTTAGTTTCCTACTCTGGTAAAAGATAGGCCTCCACCTTGGGTACATAGGCCTTCAGGGGACTTTCAGTTGAAATGAAACTGAAAAGCTATTTTCAGTATCTCAAAAACCTACATCAAGAATAGGAACTTTCTTGATCATATCATTTGGCCTAATATTTTGTTCCTTCAGTTGGAATTATAGGAGCACTAAGTAGTAAATTTATATTTTATTCTGAATCCAAATTCTGATGGTAGTCAGGTAGGTCTGTGATGAATTAATATGGAAAACATACAGTTACTTAATAAATACATTACTATTGTTAAGTAACATTTTACACAGACCTCATGGAAAAACCCGTAAGGAGAACGTTCTTAAAGGTTAGGTCAACAATGAAGCATATACTTACTCCAGGTTCTGCATGCCTCTCTAAACTTGTTATAAAAACATGCTGTTCTCCCTGAAACCTTATTCACTGCTGCTTATAAGCACCATCATGGAATCAAAATACAAAACACTGTGTTCCTTGATCTAATGTGTTTTGAGGAATATTAGAGAAAACAGACCCATAAATAGATCATTATACTAATGTGGAATACGCATGTACAAACCATTTCTGAAAAGAATTTCTGAAAATTCAATATCAAGGACTAACTGTATGCGTGAGTTACTGTTTTTGAAGCACTATTTCATCATAAGGAGAAATCATGGTGACATCCATCTAACGTGTTAGAAAATGGATAGGGGAAATTGTTCTCTTCCACAAAGGTAAAAGGGAAAACATACTTTCTTTTCTTGAATCATACACCCTTAAACCACAAGGACCTTAGCAATTCTAGAATATATCCTCCTCTGTATGCTTCAAGACTTCCTAAAGACAGGGACATCCACAGACGTTACATGGTTTGCCCTACTGCACATTAGATAATGTGAGGGCAGTGGCAGTAGAAAACTGGGCACAGAGGTGTTCCATAAGATTCTCTCCATTCTGCTTCTGCAATTTTGAGAA
Organism: Homo sapiens; assembly: GCF_000001405.40. NCBI lineage: Eukaryota > Metazoa > Chordata > Mammalia > Primates > Hominidae > Homo > Homo sapiens. The sequence goes on along the minus strand of NC_000018.10, from coordinate 37,914,891 downwards.
AAATGGTATTTGGAAAAGAAGGAGGAGGGAAACAGAGAAAAGTGTATTCCTTATAGCCAGTAATTAGGTCACTGTTAAATGAGAGAATATATATTGCAGATAAACTTTACACATAACTGTGATAGACTGTACACATTTTTTGGTTCCAAATAAAGTAACATTTGCATAGAACCAAATGTTGGGATTCTGAAATTAAATAAGAGAGCCAGAATTTTCTGTCTAAGAAGTAAATACTAGAAGTTGGTGTAAAAGTATGCATTATACCTTGGATGTAAGGTACAATGCTTAAATGCTACTCTCAAAGAGCATATTTGAATGTACTCTCCATTTTATTTATGTTAATCTGCTTCAATATATTCTTTAATAATAATATACCATAAAGTTTCTTATTGTAATCTGGATAATTGATGAATAACGTCAAGTGTATATTACTGAAGCAAATTCTGCTACCTAGTGCCACTATACATAAATTGTAAGCTTAGCTTTTCATTTGGTTTTTGTTTTGTAGTGACTGAATCGATAGCGTTTGTAGGTTGAGTCTACAAACCTAAGGTTAAAAATAAATGAGAAATACAGGAATTTGTAAATGAATTAATATTAGTTATTTAATTTATTTGTTTGTTGGTTTAGTCAGTTAAATTTTGCATTCTTTGCAATACAAACTCTTCAGGTATCAGTTCCTCACTGTCTACCTCCCATATCCCTCTCATCCTTCCACAAGCTTTTACTCATATAAAGGCCAAATATCTCCTCACAATATTAACAAAACTTTTTTAAAAGAACGTTAGATACATTTCTCTGTCTCCAGGAAAACAGGAACTATAACAATTAATTAGCTTTTATCTTTCCATATAATAAGTACAGAAAGCAGTAATATCTTTTTTTTTTTTTTAGCTGCAAGACAATAGCTTGTGTGTCTTAAGCTGACGGTGTCACTCCTGCAGAATGAATTTCCATAGAAGATAAATGGAAAGTCACTCTCATTGTATCCTGGAAGTGTTTGTTAAAGCAATAATGATTGTGGTCTAAGCCATTGCCCCTGGGATTAATGAAAATCCAGGAGGAGCTGATGGTCCAAGATGCACAAAGAGTCATTAAGCCCCAGTTAACTATTAAGTCTCTGGTAATTCACTGTGGCTGAAGGAGGTGGATGGTGAGGCAGGCATACCACAGTGATGGGCCTGGGAGGGAAGGAGGAGACAGGTGTGTTTAGTGAAAAGGTGAATTTCCCAGTGCCCATAAAAATGATTGTGTTGTACAGTTAAATACTTAAAGGCATATCTCAATTTGACTTCACATCAACAGTATGAAGCTGAATGATTTTATCTTTGTAGTATTCAGTAAAACCATTCCTGCTTTCATGGAGTTGAAGTTAATGTCTCTTTATTTCTCCTCCTTCCCTACCTTGCCTTTAAAGGTCTATTTCATTTACTTCCATCCTGCAAATACCCATTAATACCAAGTAGTTGGATGCTATGAGGATAAACAAACAGCAGCAGACAAAAAGTGAACATTTGTATCCTACAGTCTGTGGCAAGATCTTTGCCACTTGAACTGAACTAGATGTGTGTCATACTCTAAATGTGTATTATACTCTGGAGCTCAGGGAAAGTAGAAATAAGTCTACTCACCCCAAAAGAGCATGTGCCAACAAGAGGGTTCTAACGATAAGAGTGAGTAAGCAGACCAACACTACCAAAACTGAGATTGGTGACTGTATTAGTCAATTTTCACATTGCTATAAAGAAATACCTGAGACTGGGTAATTTATAAAGGAAAGAGGTTTAATTGACTCACAGTTCCACATGGCTGGGAAGATATCAGGAAACTTACAGTCATGGTGGAAGGTGAAGGGAAAGCAAGGACCTTCTTCACAAGGCAGCAGGAGAAAAGAGTGAAGGGGGAAGAGCCCCTTATGAAACCATCAGATCTCATGAGAACTCACTATCACAAGAATAGCATGGGGGAAACCACCCCTGTGATCCAACCACCTCCCTTCCCTGACATGTGGGGATTACAGGTCCCTCCCTGGACACATGGGGATTACAATTCGGGATGAGATTTGGTTGGGGACACAGAGCCAAACCATATGAGTGGCCCTGCCACAGCTTCTTATTTTTGATTCTTCAATGTGTTCATTCAACATGATTTCAAATTATTCATTGGAGGCCTATTGTGTGCACAGAAGACACATGGATGAATAAAACAGTGTGGTTTCTGATATGCATTACTTTCTCTTGACAGATGGTAAGTTCTTAATAAATATTAGCTGTTATCATTGTTATTACTAGTATTTCCCAGACAAGAAGGATGAGATCTTGTAATCCCACCATGTTCTCAATGATGGGTGCCACTCTTAAAAGTATCAATTCCTTTGCTCCCACATCAAATATTCCTCATCAGGGTGCTTTAAAAATAATTATGGTAAACTAATTTTATTACCTCAGAAATATATTAAAAATGTAGATCTTTTATAATTCCTTCAATTAACAGTAGACACTTCCTGATTACTTTCTAATTAAATCATTTCACTCTAAGACTTGGTAATTACAACAAGAAGTTATTAAAATTAGAAAACATTTGCTAACTCAGTACTTTTGATTATTAAGCCTTTGTCATTTAATATTGCCAAACAGTCTATGAAGATATATGAGCAAAGAAACTGATTTTAATGTCTTTACCTGCAATAATTAACTACAGGTGTCCCAAACAATGCATGTTTCTTTCCTATCACATATTTTCCTGTAAAATCTATTGTTAGTGTCACCAATTGGATTTTTTTTTTCCTTTGGCCAATTAACTATGTTTCGCCCATATGTTACTTATTTCCATAGAAGAGAAATATATCGTTGAATCTCCTTTGCTAAGGAATTTTATCTGTCTTTGGTGCTCTGATGAAAATACATTCACAGCTTATTATAGGAATCAGAGTTACACTGACATTGATGGTTTTATCTGACTGATCACCACATTCCAATCTATAGAACAGTAAACTTCCCAAATCAGATACATTCCTAGAAAGAAAACTATCCATATTGCCGGGGCCTGGGAAATTTGCCACCTCAAAATGTCAACAGAATGACAATTTACTTTCATCAGATTTCTTAGGAGGTGTGATATCTTTTATCTTCAGTTGCTGGCTTTTACAGAGGTGGGGAGAAGTGGGGAGAGAGATTGTTCTTTCCTTCAGACAAGACTCATAGAAAACCAAATGACTTTTTTTTTTTCTACCCTGCTCTTTGCAAATTAGTATAGGCAAGGGGTACACAAATTTTCACTGATAGGAAACAGCTTTTAAAACATAACATTGGATTCACAGAACCAAATGATCCTTGCAAGCTGTGATCAGTCAAAGTAAATTCCCCCAAATGTGATTCTGAAGCATAGGGTGAGGTGCTAATGGCTGTCTATTGGAATACTGGTTTGACAAACCGCACCTAGAAAAGATATTGACAAGCTCTTCAGTGTTCTAGCAGGAAAGAGATTCTTGAAATCAAGCCCATTGCTCCTCTGCCTGCCTTCTGCTGAGAAACCAAGGGAAGAATTGAGCAAATTCATCACCTCTTAACAAAGCAATAAGTAAAAACTGATGAGTCTTTGTGCTTGATGGAAAGCTAGTATCCTGTTCACGGTGAATAACAGCTCCCTTATACTCTACACTGATCAGAGAACATCTAGGAAATCGTGTTCTATATGGGGCACAATGTTTTCCCAGAGACAATGAGAAATACCCAAAAGAGGGGAGACACAATGTGAAGAATGAAAGGGAGAATAGAATAGGAAAGCTGAGCCTGGTAATGGAAGATTGGACGGTGGCGTGGCAGGAACATGTGGTTGTCTTAATATGTATAAGGGATGTCATGGTAGGGTGGCACAACACAACGGGCAGGGGACAAACTAGGTCAGAGGAGTGGGAGTCAAACAGAATCTAATTTAAGATTAAAATCAGAAACAATATTCCTATGGCAGAATATGTTATTTCCATCAATGGTGGACTCCATTTATTGGATGTTTGCAAGCAGAGCCTGGTTGAGATGTTGGAAAAGCAATGAAAGTTAAATAAATGTCAGCTTGATATGAGAGAAGTAACATAGCCTGAGAGCTGAAAGCTCCATGCTCTAGGCCCAACTCTGAAAATAATCTGTTAGGAGAGAAGTCTAGGTTTGGCCTAAGTTTACTATGTGACTCTGGATGAGTTACAAGCCAGGGGTAACTGGTTATGCCAGGTTCCTAGAGAGATTGAAGAGGAGGTTTAAGTTCTGTGGATGATCTTTAATAATTCTGCCTGGGTCTTAAGAATGCATTTTTTATTGATGGGTGTACCTTATAGGTATACAAATAAAACTAATGAAATATTTGTATGTTAGCTTAATAAATGTTTACATGCTTACAATGTATATATCCCATGGAATTGCAGGAAGAAACAAAACAAAGAATTAAATGAGTGGCACCTAAGCCATTCAGGTCTCAAAAATGTTTAAATACTTAGGTGGCTTTAGGCAACTTCTTGTCTCTGGGGCTTTGTAGTGTCATCTGTAAAAGCAGACACCAGATGAGACCACCACTGAGGTTGTTGGGTTTTTTTTTTTAATATAAGAAGCCAGGATTATGAATATGTGCACAGAATATAAAAGCATATCAATGTATTAGCCATGTTATGAAATGTAATGCCACAGACAGTTTGCATTGTAAGAGTATTAGTTTTGCCCATGTGCCTCACATTTTTCATCTCTGGGACCCTCGAAGATGAAAGTGTTGAAGAAGAACTTTGGCAAGTGCTTTGATCCACTAAGGAGATTCACAACATAATCTTGATATTTCTTGAGTTTTAACCATGCTGAGATAAGCTCAATATCTCTGTTTCTGCATTATAGTTATAAGGAAAACAATGTAAATCTTCCCAAATGGCTTATTTACATACCTTTGAGATATAGACTCATAGACTATTAAAGCGGCAGGGGGGCTTTGAGGCCATCTAATCCCAACCCCCTCATTTGACAATGAGGACACTGAAACTCTGAAATATTAAGTGACTTAACCAAGGACACAGAGATTTTTTGGGCCAAGGCTGAGAATAGTTATCATGGCTTCTAACTCCTCATCAAATTATATTATTTTATTTAAATGTGCCCCTTGCCCATTCTCATTATAAAAGCCAGGTTTTTGGCTTTTATAATTCTACTAGGGTTATCAATATTAAGTCATAAGTTCACATTGAATAGAAATTTTAAACTTTTAGAAATATTCTTGTTTAGTTTTGCCCAGCATGTTTTGTTTTTAATCTCAAGTTTTATTTTAGATTCAAAGGGTACATGTTCAGGTTTGTTATATGAATATATTGCATCATGCTGAGTTTTGGGGTAGGGATCCCATCACCCAGGTAGTAAGCATAGTACCCAGTAGGTAGTTTTTCAACCCCACCTTCCTCCTTCTCTCCCCACAATAGTCTGCAGTGTCTATTGTTCCTAAGTTTATGTTCATGTGTGCTTAATATTTAGCTCCCACTTATCATTTAGAACATGCAATACTTGGTTTTCTGTTCCTGCATTAATTCACTTAGGATTATGGCTCCAGCTGCATCTGTGTTGCTGCAAAGAACATAATTTCATTCTTTTTTATGAAGTATTCTCTAGTGTATAAGTACCATGTTTTTTGATCCAATTCATCATTGATAGGCACCTAGGTTGCTTCCATGTCTTTGTTCTTGTGAATAGTGCTGTAATGAACATACAAGAGTGACCTTCCATCTGGGTTGAGAATAGATTGTGGAATTGAGAACAGAATGATTGTGGAAGCAGAACATTTCTCTATCTGGCCTGACCTAGGGACCCTCTGGAAGTTCTCCCATAACTAACTCTAGTCTCACAGGTAAAGGACAATAAATGGACAATGGACAATAAATAAAACCATGTTTGTAAGTAGACCCCTGGCTGGTATGAACACCTCCCCCATGTAGCTAAAAATGTAATACTGCTGTCTTTCTGGAAGAATGACTTATTTTGCCTTTGGATATATACCCAGTAATGGGATTGCTGGATTGAATAGTAGCTCTGTTTTAAGTTATTTGAGAAATCTTTAAACTGCTTTCCACAGTGGCTAAACTAATTGATATTTCCACCAATTGTGTATAAGCATTCCCTTTTCTCCACAGCCTCTCCAGCAGCTGTTTTGTTGTTTTTCTTTTACTTTTTAATAATAGCCATTCTGACTGGTGTGAGATGGTATCTCATTGTGGTTCTAGCTGTGGTCCAGCTAGCATATGGCTAGCGAGTTATCCCTGACCAATGTATTGAATAGGGAGTTCTTTACCCATTGCTTGTTTTTGTTGGCATTGTAGGAGATCAGATGGTTGTAGGTGTGTGACTTTATTTCTGAGTTTTATATTCTGTTCCATTGGTGTATATGTCTGTTTTTGTACCAGAAATGTCCTGTTTTGGTTACTGTAGCTTTATAGTATAGTTTGAAGTTGGATAGTACGATACCTCCAGCTTTATTCTTTTTCCTTAGGATTGCATTGGCTATTTGGGCTCATTTTTGGTGTCATGTGAATTTTAGAAGAGTTTTTTTTTCCTAATTCTGTGAAGAATGACATTAGTAGTTTGATCAGAATAGCACTGAATTTATAAATTGCTTTGGGCAATATGGGCATTTTAATGATATTGATTCTTCCAATCCATGAGTATGGAATGTTTTTCCATTTATTTGGGTCATCTCTGATATCTTTCAGTAGTGTTTTGAATCTCTCTTTGTAGAGATCTTTCATCTCCTTGATTAGCTGTATTCCTAGCTATTTCATTTGCTTTGAGGCTTTTGTCAGTCTCCATATTGATGGGCAGATGAACCTTGGACCTGAACTTTCTGCATCTTCAGATAAAACTTCTCAGAGGTAGGGTATAGAATCTGTAGGCCTACTCATTAAGGACTTGGGAAAACCAGCTAGGACACCATTTTAACATGAATGGATGGCAGAGAGGACATTCTAGGAGAAGACAGCAGCCTAAGTGGGAGCATCTGCGGCCCATGGCAGAAAGAAGCAGCAGTCTGGTTTTGCCAGAGAGCGAAAACTATGCATACAATTCCCAAACATTTGATCATTGTGTTATGATGACTTATTTGCCTAGCATCCAATGGGTCTGGCAGATTATGAGAAAATCAGCATTGTCTCTCTGGATAAGGCTCATATTCCATTCTGAGAGTACACTGAAAGAAAACTGTGGAAAATCTAGATGGTTTTCTTAGATTTCCAAAATCAAATAATTTGCAATTTAAAATGTATATCCCTCCAATGCCTCAAATAATCAAAATTTAATTTCCGATACTGTTCTTAATCTTCAAGAAGCTAGAAGCCTGGTTTGTCAGACTGAATTATTCAGGTAAAATAAAGAAAATGACTATTAATGGGTAGGAAAAAAAACTGGAATTGAGCAGATGGTTTGCCCACATGTAGACACAGTGTTTCAAAGAAATTCTGTGCATCATTTCAAAGAGATTCTATGCTTGTTTGCTGGAAATGACCTGGGGTGGTTGGGAAATGATGTGGGGCTTGGATCAATACAGACACAAATCAGTTTTTTAGTATTTCCAACAACTTGTGACCCTCCATCTGGGTTGAGAATATACAGAACGATTGTGGAAACAGAACAGTTCTCTATCTGGCCTGACCTAGTGACCCTCTGGAAGTTCTCCCATAACTAACTCTAGTCTCATAGGTAAAGGAGAGGAAGGACAATAAATAAAACCATGTTTGTAAGTAGACTTCTGGCTGGTATGAACACCTCCCCTGTGTGGCTAAAACTGTAATACTGCTAGAGTCAAAGAGAGTCCCCTGAAATTAATTCTTGCAATTTATTGTATGTCTCCAGCTAAGTGTCAGCAGATATACCACTCCCCAGCCTGGAGAATGAGGCCTCCTTGTTAATGTGGGCAGGCTATGATATGGTCACCCCTAGTCACTCATCAATCCAAATTATTTGATATGGTTTTAATTAGTCCATACAAGGAACCTAGTAGTTACTATAACTTGACTTTAGAAAGAGGAAAAATCAACTCTTTGTTTACTTCTGGTGCCCCAGACGCATGAAGACACACCAAAAATAACTGCTATTTATTTTACAAGATGGAAAAAATATTGACTGCCTTCTGGTCATAGAAGGCATTTTCTTTTGGGATTACAAGTGCAGAGATGAATTAGGTACACTTAGGATCAATATCTGTTTCTCTTCTTGGCTCAAGATGGGATTTGTCAAAATTCGAGAGCAGTTTCTATTGAGTGTCAGCTACAAATCCTTCCACTACTGAGTCATACACCTATTCAGGTTGAAATATAAAAGGCAAAGGGCTTTTTCAGCTACAATATCTGGGGTCAGGATGCTAAATCGCTTCTCAGCCTTTTCCTTTAATGAGCTTTAGTTTGATGAAGTGATCTTACTGGCAGAGAATGGAAGGGAGTAAAGGGTCTGTGCTAGCAAAGGACAGTGGCTCCTGGGGATGGAGGAACATGCAGGTAGAAGGACTGGGAGAGGAGAAGAGAGGGAGGCAAGTGGGTTCAAGAAACTATGGATGAACTACACTGGCCAAAGATATGGTGGCATAGATATGATAAAGATCAGTGAGGCTAGAGTATGGGGGAGAAATTTGCTTTAGAGCTGCCTAATTTTTAGGACTGCAACAATTAACTAAGGCAGTGTTCAACAAATGGTCTATCCCTGAGGACTTCAAATTTGGAAGATTTCCCTTTGCTTGGGTAGAGGTTAGGCAATAAGGTTGCCAGGCATCCCACAGTGAGGAAGGGAGAAAGAATTCTTAAAACTATTTCAGGCATCCCCAAAGTAGGCTTTTGGAGGTTTCCATTTCATATCCTTGGACACACATGGCCATCAGCTAGTCGAAAAAGCCCAAATGCAGAAGAGACTGCTTGTATTTGTCTTTGGGAATTCTAAACACTCAAGACTCTACCAGGAGTAAATGTGTCTCAGGTGGAATTAGGAAATAGAAGAAAGAAAAGATAGTGTCTGTAACCCAAGGCAGCAAGCCTTTTAGACAAGGAGGCAAAGCCAACCACAACGCTTTATAGAATAAGGCATGATAAATACCACAGAATGATAGAAAACAGTCCCTGAGAAATTAGCAGGGCTGCCTCAAGTGCTATGGAAATAGCACAGAGAGGACAGCCATGTGATGCAGGGTTAGAAGTTTTCTGTGAGGACCTGGGTCTTGAGCTAGACCCTGCAGTAGAGAAAGAATTTGGTAATGTAGACAGAAAGAGGTAGGCACTCTGAGCTAAGGAAACAGCTGAATAACAAGAGATGAGGAAGGAAATTGTTGCAGTAGAGGGGAAAGCAGCACTGAGGTATCGCTGGGGGAATAGAGAAAATGAAGTGGGAAGAAAAAGAAGGCACTCATGCAGTACCTATACTAATGAACTTCATCTTCATTTATTCTTCAAACTTCAGTTTTCTCTTCTTTAGAATGGGGACAATAATGCCTACTGCATAGAAATGTTGAGGAATTCAACACTGAGATGATATATGTAAATTGCCTACCGCAGCTGGTGGCTCAATATATTAAATTTTTCTATTCTGCACCTACCCTCAGCTCAGGGAAGGAGACTGAATTTAATTCCAGCGTTTTCTTATGTCTTGTGGTCACCCCTAATGAAAATCAGTGGTTGTTTCGCTGGCATATAATGATATCTGAGGGGGTCTTGACACCGAAAGCACTGTTAATTCCTATCTTGGTTGATTTCAGACTGCTGTGCCTTTTGAAAATCTTATGTCTGATTTTTAAATTTTCCTTTCTCCCTCCCTCTGTTGGACTATCAGCTTCCACTTTCTGATACTGCCATTTCTGCCTGCGTGGATACTAATCTGCTAAAGACTAGGAAGCCATTGTGAGAACACACTAAATTCATGTAACCCTGAAAATAGGGAATAAAGATGAAAAAGTCAATCCGGACACCTCTATAAATGTTTTCTTATGTAAATCTTCACATGTGGCTAATTTTTTAAAAATATTTTCTGTAGGGTAACACCAAGAGCTTTAGACCCATTGACACCCAATATGTTAGAATAATAGAATTGCACACACTAACAATCAAAGCTAAGCTTTTGCAAAACTGTGAGGGTGGCTAAGTTGATACATCCCTTTTTTGCATTAGTTACCCAGCAACCTAACGATTTAGTCTTCTTTCTCCAAAAATGGCCCTCAGAACTCTAATTCTATCTAATTCATCTAATTGACGAATGTCATCAATTAAATATGGCACTACTCAGATGGTGTGCATCTTAATAGAGACATCTTAAGTTGGCAAACAAAAGTTCTGCTGGGGAATCTTAGACCTTTGAAGTGGGTGAGATTTTTGAGGGCAAAGAACTAGAAGGACCCTGTTAAATCTCAATAGGTAGTTGGCCTCCTGCCTTCCTTGTGCAGTCCTAACTACTAGCAAAGTGACTAAATCATTGTAATGCATGCCACACTGTTGCTGCTTTAAACACATGACTGTCAGGTGTTCCGGGGGATCTATTCTTTTCCTTCTCTTAGTCTCAACTTCCCCAGATGGATACCATGATAATTTCCCTTTTTCATGTCAAGAGTATGTCCTAGAAACAAGTCATTTACCTTCAGGGCAGGGTTTGAGATTCTTTGGAGAATAATGCCATCTGAGTTTAACGTGGTTTCCTGGTCTCTCAGCTGCCTCCTCTCTGTATTAGACAGTAAAATTGACTAGGGCATTTCCAATTGAGAAAGACATGTATTTGGGTTAGATTTAACCATACAGGAGAATTAATATAAAGCAGCAATGGTTCACAAGCCAGCTCACTCCTCCTTGAAATTTCAGCGACTGGAAAAATTAGTCTCCTGTTGCCTTTTCATTCCTTTTTTTAAATTATAACTTGCTGAGGCACTAGCTAATACCCTTTAATCTCTTTTAATAACTACCCTATCCTCAGTTTCTCTAAGCATCCTTCTCAAGCCATCCACAAATCCAAGAATGCTCTTAAGATTGGCTGACTGACTGATCTCTCAGCTCTGTTGATTTACTGAAGCAAGGTCTATTCCTCCAGCCTTGGCTCTGCAAGGATGAAAGCAAAAACAAAGATATGAACTCTTTCTAGACCCAGGAAAGGGCCACCCCTTAGGAAATTTGGAAGGTAGCCAAGTGTAATTTTAGCCACCCTCGTCCCTCATTTCCTGAATGTTTTATCTCTCTCAAAGCTCACATCTCTCCTGCCTAGCATCTTCTCCATCCTCACTTTTTCCTGGGGTCTGGGAGTAAGTTCTCCTTTTCATGGGGATTTCACATGTCCAAAGAAGACAAAGGCATAATGAGAAACATATCTCTACTGAAGAAACTGCAGGCACCATGTCAGGTCTTCATGGAACAGAGCTATGGCAGTTAGCTCAGACAAACTCCTACAAGTCATAGTAGGTCAGAAGCAATTGACTCCTTCTTCTTGTAACACGCAGACCACTTTGGGTGAATGATGTCAAGCTTAAAAACAAGCCCCCACGGCTGGACACGGTGGCTCATGCCTGCCTGTAATCCCAGCACTTTGGGAGGCTGAGGCGGGCGGATCACGAGGTCAAGAGATCCAGACCATCCTGGCCAAGATGGTGAAACCCTGTCTCTACTAAAAATACACAAATTAGCTGGGTGTGGTGATGCGCACCTGTAGTCCCAGCTGCTCGGGAGGCTGAGGCAGGAGAATTGCTTGAACCTGGGAGGCGGAGGTTGCAGTGAGCCGGGATTGCACCACTGCACTCCAGCCTGGTGACAGAGTGAGACTCCGTATCAAGAAAAAAAAAAGCATGGCACCTGGTCTCAAGCTGCTTGCCATCATCACTGCCCTTCTCCACAAAAGGCACACATTTAATGAGAGGCCCTGGCAAGACAGAGGGAAGCAATGATGCAAGCAATCAAGTATTTATTAAAGCATCTACTCTGCTTGGCCCAGTGGGGCATAAAATATAACCTAGAAGACAAGACTTTCCACATGTGACATAAGAGGAAGACAATAGGCAGTGTGTGATCAAAGCTATAGTTCAGGAACTAAGAACCCAGGAAGGGGGATTACTGAAAATCCACATAGAAAGGGAAAGTTTCATAAGCCTTGAATAGTTCTGAGTGACTAGAAACAAGTGAGAAAATAGGAGTTTTTAGAAAGAGGAGAGCGAGAGAAAGAGAGTGGGATACTAGTATAAACATGCAATGGGGGCAACAGGAAGAAGATCAGCCTTGTTGAAGCAGACTTGGTTAGAAATACAAGTTTGATACAGAATATGGATGCCCTAGAGAGATGCTTTAGATTTAGAAGCCAAATAACTGATTTGGTCAATTGGGAAAGAAAGTGCCAAGTCATGCATCTATATGATACATATTTGTTTAACCAGCAGAGATCCCTCTCAGAAGCTAATTCAGGCAGGTTCTGCCCAAGAGAGTCCAGAACATGGGTACTTCCAGCACCAACAATTAACTCTGCATGTAGCAATCCCATGATTCCAAAGCCCTCTCTGCAGTTCAAAGACCGTTACTGGATGGTATGTCTATCGGCAATACTTCAATAGAAACAAGGAAAGCTACAAATGCAAGCTACACATGTAATTTTAAACTTTCTGTTGGCCACATTTTTAAAAAGAAGAAACAGTTAAAATTAATTTTAATATACTTCAATGGAATATATCCAAAATATTATCATTTCAACATGTAATCAATATAAAGCAATTATCAATGATACATGGCATTCATTTTGTCATACTAAGTTTTCAAAATCCACTATGCATTTTACACTTACATATCAACTCAGACATTTCAAATGCTCAATAGTGCATATGGCTAATGGCTACTATACCATATTGGACAGCTCAACTGTAGAGTCTTGCCAGTCTTCAGTTTTAGCCTCTCATGTCACTGCTTCCTTCAAAGGCTAGTCTGGTAAGGTACTCCATCCTAAGGTGCAAATAGCTAGTCATTATTTGTTGTGTAAGTCCCTTTAAATAGCATTTTATTTTAGAGTGGGAATCTGACATTCACACCAGACCCAGTGGGTAGAATCCTGCAAATGAAATTCCCATTATCTACTGAAATCCTCTCAACTCCAAAAGTCCTACCACAGGTTCTTCTCCACCTGTGGTTTTGGAGGGGCTGGACTGCTCTCTGTGTGATCAGAGGATCTTCCTAGGCGGGCTAGGCCTGTTTTTAACCTCAAGATGATCCTGAAGCACTCAGGATGCCCAGTGTCACATAAACTTGTTTACCCCTTTCCTCTGTTTAACAGATGGTTAGCACTTCCCTCTGGCCACCTTCTGTGACCCAGGACTGATCTTCAGTTTTGTAAGCTAGTTTTGGAAATGCCCAAGGGCCCAGATTGGAAAAGCAGTGAACTCTGTACTAGGGCAGCAAAATAGAAGCTCACTGCTTAGAAGTAGGTACTAAAAATGTTGTCTGCACTGCATTGGAAGAAGGAAGGTGGTCTGACTGTAGGCCTGGACACTTGCTGGACAGACTTTTCCAGGAGCATCATGGCTGGGGTTGTAGATGCAATGCTTTAAATGGGATACTGAAAAACATTAGAGCGAACACACACTGGCCCTAAGGCAGAATCTTTAAAAGCAGACTGTATGTAGAGAGCTGTGCCTGCTTGAATTTGATCCCCTGCTGGACCACTCACAAGTGGGCTGATCTCGGGCAAATTATTTAGTTTCCTAAATCTTGGTTCTTCAAAGTAACCTGGGGTTATAAAGGCAACCTCAGAGGATTGTTGTGTAGAAACATTTAACTAGGTGTTTTGCCGTATAGTATTTTCAATAAAGTTTGGCTGTTAAATAAAAATAGATAATAAATAGGTAGATAGATAAAGAAAGACTAACAATGACCCAGCAGAAGAGAAAGGGACAGAGGACTAGGCAACAGAGGATATGAACCCAGGACTCTCACATGCAAACACATGCTTAGTCATGCACACACATGAATGCACACTTATGCATGCAGGCTCACATAGAGGCACGTACAAGCAGCAGGTAAGCACATGCACTCACACCTACAAGCATGCACACATGCACATGCACATCTGCCTGCACAGTCTTTCTCTGACATTCTGAACCTCCGAAAGTTAGCTTGGGTCTCCAGGCTCTACACCTGTAGCCAATAGTCTCCGGCTTCAATACGCACCCTGTCCTTGTGACCTCATCAAGTAACACTGCCTCCCTTGTGCCCTGCCTCACACTCAGGAAGAGGAAAAATAAAACTGTGACCTTACTGGGAAAAGAAAACCCTGCCCTCCCTCCACTCGGTGTGGCAGACATTTGACTCCCTGACCACATGATCTCATAGGAATGGATTATGTTGCTTGTGTGTAAAATACTGTGTCCCCTCCACAGACAGCATCCAGAGGTACTTAGTAGAGACAGTAAATTATTATTGGTTGAAAGACCTTGAAGCCCTGGAGTAATCAAATTCTCCTTCCTCACTCACTCACTTCAGTCGCTGCATGAACCATGTGTAATTAATGCTATGACTAGATTTGTTGCTACAATTTATTCCCACAAAACATGGGGGAGTATGTAAGGATCTGTATCAGAACCGCATAGCAAGAGTCAAGGTAATACACTACAATGTGTAAGAAAAACCAAGAGAGGCAATTCAACAGGAAATTACTAGACCTAAGTGTTGGTTGCAAGGAAGTTCACAAGAAAAAGAGGCATCGTAGTGACCTCTAGGAGATTAAATGTTCAACCCATGCAAATGAAAAAACAACACTAGTAATATGACACTGCTCCTATTAAGTCGGGGTGGCCTTGTTGTGTGCTTCCCAAATACCTGCTTCTGTGCTAGGTATATATTACCTAGCTGAATTTTTTCAATAAGGTCAGTTAAATAATATTATCCCCATTTACAGATGAGAAAACTGAGAATTAGAGGATTAACTCACTTGCCCCAGGTCACACTACTTCATTGAAAAACACCAATGCTCCTGAATAGTAATGGAGCCAAAATTCCAGCCACATATGACTGAGTTAGAACTCACATATTGAACCCCTAGAGCCCAAGTCAAGGCTGGGATTCCTCCCAGCCACATACCTGCTGGCTTGTTTATACAAATCCAGTTGACCCTTCCAAAGCCAGCTCATTCCTTGCCTCCATCATGAAGTCTCTAAACTCCACCTTCTCTGACGTCCTGCTTAAACATTTTCTTGTCTAACATATTTAAGTTTTGTTTCTCCAACTAACCCCTAAGTTACTTGCACATCATGTCAAAACAGAGTTAATAGTATCTTGCTGCTATTAATACTAGTGATATTAGCCAGTCTGGAAAATGTACTGCTCATTTATTAACGAGATAATAGAGCAGTGACTCTGTCTTGTTCCTCAAAGTAGTGCCAGTGCCTGATGCAGTGCTCAGCATAAGGCATATATGAAAAAAGTTACACATTGTCCAAAACGAGAAAGGTAGTATGCAGAGCATGGGCATAGCTAGGGGAGGTGTAAAAAATAAATCAAATACCCCACTTTCCCTCAAGGCATCCTCAGTAAATATCATTTATGATACAAACCAGAAAGTGATAAGTGCAATAACAAGAATGAGATCCAGAAAAGGGAGAGGGTGTGAGAACAGATCGGCACTGGGACTTAAAAATATGAGGCTTAATTTAATCAGTTTACAATACCCGGATCCTTAGCTTTTTTAAATTTTCCATTTTACTTAAAGGTGTCTGCATCAATAAGTACAACAGATTTGATCTTGAATCTATAGAGTTCCCAATAAGGAAGGGAGGGACAGAGGATATTATGATTTGACTGTGGTGTAATCTGTTTTTTCTTCTAACTCCATTTCATTTCTCAGATCAAACCATATCTCTCTCCCTGTCATGATGACTTCCCAATTCCACCTGCAATAATGTGAGTAAATCATAAGTGTACCTTGAATGTCCCCTATGGCTGCTCACTCACTGGTCCCTAGATGGGTCATTGTACTGCAACTTGTCCTTAAAGTCACAGAATCAACATATTCACCTTTTGAGAGATCTTGGCTCTGCTCTCCCTCCCTGTGTCCCCAAATGTGGGAAGGGAGCATTTCTCACATTGTGTATGGCTGTCGCCAAATCCTCTGTTTGTTGCTTTTTGCATTTGTGTAGCCTCCTACTTCCAGCTGTGGGGCTCCCTGCAGTTCATGGGTGGCTTTCCATTTGCCTTCAGCATCCAGATCCTTGGTGGTCATCACTGCTGCTGCTTCCAGTGGTGAGGCACTAAGCTTTGGAGCCCAACTCTGGAACTCTCTCTCTCCATTTTTCTCACGGCCAGACCTTGAGGAAGGTTCCCGACAGCAGTCTGGTGCTGTCTCCTTCCGAGTGAGCATCAATCCTTCAGAAGCACTGGGTCAGGATAGGTTCAAGTGCAGCTTCCCACCACCAGACTGCTGTTCCACACCACCCTGACAGATGTCCTTCTCCCTGATGGGCTCTTTTTGTCCTCTCTGTTGTTGACTTATATCAGGCAATACCCCCATCCACAGGTTATGGCTTCACATGCCTGATCCCTAAATGGTGTGGCCAAGGGACCTTAAATAAGCCCTGATACTAAGAATGGCCTTGGCTGCCTGGGGCACAC
The DNA here is from genome assembly GCF_000001405.40 of Homo sapiens. NCBI lineage: Eukaryota > Metazoa > Chordata > Mammalia > Primates > Hominidae > Homo > Homo sapiens. Next base: position 37,898,288 of record NC_000018.10, on the reverse strand, counting down.
AGAGGCCTTCCAGGGGTGGGAGGTGCTGCCCAAACCTGTATATTTTCCCATGCAAGTGTCAGAGTCACATGGCGAAGAGTCACTCCTACAGACCAAGGGAGGAGAGAAATTTCTAACATGACTGGATTGTGAGGTGACCATTTCCTTTTCCTGCTATTTATTTTGTATCCAAATGCATAAGATAACAAAAAGATTCAGTTGACCCTCCTCTCATCAAATACACACAAGGTAAAATGACATATGGGTGATGGAGGGGGTGACTGATAGAAACCTGATAAAGACCCCCAGTACTTTCATTTAAAAAAACTTCATTAAACTCTTGAGAAATAATAATTATCAATACTAATAAAAATAATAAAGTTATTAATTACTTTCTACATGAGTGCTTCCTGATAAACTATTAGCATTGTTTACATAAAATCCTGAATAATCTCATGTGGTTCATCTAGACTGGGAACTACTGTTGCTGTGATCAAGTTCTTTCTCTTGAAGGAAAAGTGATAGACAGAGATCTGGGGAGGGGTGAGAGCCATGGGATCAAGTCTAGCAGAAGGCAGAACCTCCAAGAGGAGCACTGAATACAATCAGAGAGCCACAGAAGAACCTGACTTGCTCAGGATGGAAGAGCTAGAGGAGAATCGGGGTGGATTTGAGGCTGGGATTCGAATTGGTTTAGGGTTCAGGTAGGGAATGGGTTTGTAGAACATTGAATACAACAACCCAAACAACGGTTTAATACTCTCTATAAAACCATTTCCCAGATGCTCCATGAACAAGAGTTACTCAGGAATCTTGTTCAAAACGTTAAGTTCCTAGTTCTCACCCCATCACCTGCTGAAGCTAATCTCCAGTGATGGAGGCTAGGAATCTGTATTTTTCAAGAAACTCCCCAGGTAAGCCTAACATTCAGTCTGGTTTGGGAAACAGTTATTTTAACACCCTAAGTAAACTCAGCCCAGGCACAGGGACATAAGAGCCTAAGGCAAAATACTCCATCTTTGGGTCACTCTGCTTTGATGTTATCATATAATGAGCCAAAATGCATCTCTCAATGACCATTGCTGGGTTCTGCTTCTATTCCTTAGGACTTCACAAACCAAATTAAACCCTTTTTTTATGATTTGTCGTTTCATCCATAAAAGAGCCAGAATGTCTTCCCAGTGTAGCCTTGGCCTGATTCTGCCAGGACCAGGGCTTTGGGCTAGCTTTGAATGTCATTTTGGAACTCTACTGAACTACTGGAGAAGCCACAGCTATTATTTAAAGTCTACATCCATGTACATATAACATCTTCTGGACCTGGAAGCTGAGTTACAGTCTACAAACTGGGCCTGCTCCTATAGGCTTTTCTTGTTTCTACTGCTGTTTTTCCTTTGTTCCTCCTGCATCCTTAAAGTTTCTTTACTTCAGCTTTCCAGAAGCACAACTCTACAGATTTGCACATCAATAAAAGAGCCAGAACAGACCATCTTTCTGCAGATTCCTTCTTCTTGCTGCAAATGGACAAGTGGACCCATTGCCTCTTCTCTTCACATAACTACTCTTGGCTTTCTCTTCCACACGAAGCAAAACCACAGGGCAGTGGACGTGGGCTAGCTCTATGCCACTGGTTATAGCATTCCATTTTATTCCTTTAATGCCAGCTTTGGCATTTGGTAGAAACTGTGCTTAACTAGCATATATATGTACTTAAAAAGTGTTCCATGTTTTTTGGTCCAGTAGGCCAAATATATTTAATTTGAGGTATTAGGTACAAGAGCATGAAAAAATATCAGTTGTTAACAATGAAATTGTCTTCTGTGCCACAGTTTCCTTGAGGGACATTGAAAGGATGAAGGAGTTATTGGCTTGGGTCACTTATTCCCAAACTATCAAACTCACATAGCCATACCCAAGGTGCACAGAGAATGTGTGTGATTGCTTTATCATGGTGCTCCAAACTCCAGGCAACTTTTCAGACACAGGAAAGCCAACTAAAAGGACACGAGATAATCAGCATGTATTTGTACCACTGCACTGCTCAGTGTTTAAATGAATGTACATCATTTGGGTCATATGTACTCATACTGCATAATTCTTTTAATACAATGACAGCCAATAACTTGAATAGATGATAAGATATCCACAATGTTTTCAGAATATCTGGAGAATTTGAACTCAGAATTTATATTCGGACCACTGACAACAACATATGCTACTTGCACCTGAAATCCAGCCTTGCCCCTCCATGACTTGGTCTTTCTCCCCTGAGGATAGTGTACTAGTGCAAATATCTCCTTGAGGCTTCGGCCCCAGGCTGGCTGTCTGTACCTCTTATCCTGCACATGCACCTGATGAACAGGTTTCTGATTTTCCACTGTGACTTCGTAATCATTTCCTGTATGTCTCCAAATCCCTATGCAGCCTTGCCATCTGCAGGCGTTCTAGTCCCAGGGCACCTGCTTGATCCTGACTTGTGTCTTTCTGACCCATGAACCCTAACTCATTTCATGGGGAAGAATTTAGGAAAGAAGAAAGCAAGAGTGTGCCCAGGTTAGGCCTTGGATTTTGATGTACCAAAGAGTGCTTAGAGACATCTGGGTTCAGACCTTATCTCTAAAAAACACTGGCTATGTAATCTGTAAGACTATAGGCTCAATACCATCAACCTCATGGGGTGGATGTGGAAATTAAATGGGATAATATATTTAAGATTAATGGCAATCAGGAACCTCATAAATATTAATTTTTTCTCCCTCTCTTTCTTTTACCCTTCATGTGCTTTCGACTTGAGGAATGAGAGCTTGTCTCTTCCTAACGTAGCTAAATGTTCAGACTTTGCATTTGTATAATACTTTGTAAAATACAAAACACATCTCAGAGGACTTTCATTCTCAAAGTTCTTCTGTAAGTGGGTGGAGTAGATGTCATTATTTTCATTTTTCAGATTAAGAAATGGAACCTAACGGGGTTAAGTGATTTGCCCAAGGTTCCATGCTGTATCTCTTGAGTACAGACAATACATCTTCTTAAGAGATTGCTAAGCAATCTGAATATCTGATAGAGGAACCACTGCTAATCATTCCACGCTCCCATCAGGCCTGGCATTCCTTAGGAAACGAGCTCTTCTATCCCAGCTCAGTTCCTCTGAGAGCTTGCACAAAGCAATCTGACAAATGAATTCACATGAAGGTGCCAGGGGCTGATAATGGCTTAATACATTAACATTCCACAAGTATTGACATTTTAACAAAGAGAAACTCTGGACAATACCTTAATGCGGGGAGAGCAAATAGATTTTGTCCCAAGTGCCAGCTCTGATCAATTAGTAGTGGACTCTCAGCATTGTTTTAAGAGACCCTGAGGCTGTGTCTAGGCTCAGAGAAAAGCCTGTACGATCCATTGTCAAGGCCTGCATAGGTGTGGATGGGACAGGAGAGACAGGCTTGCCACTCAGCCCCTCCTCCTCCAGCTCTGATCCTGAATCCACCAGACAGCTCCAGAAGAGCATCCTCATCTTCCGTCTTCCCCACTTTGACCTAATCCCTTCAAGAGCTGCTATGTGAGCTAAAGATGACAAAATGAGGCTAGGCCAAGTCCCCTGCATGAGTCCTATTACCTCCTGAGTGCAGGTTTTCTCCTGATGAACACTGAATGAGATATTAGATGCAAAAGCACTTTGAAATGATAAAAGACTATCCACATATGACAAGGAACTGCTATTAGTCCAGGTACCGCAGCCAGCTGGAGGGGTGGGAGTCTTCAGGCATTCTCAGATGGCTCCTTGAAATAGTGAGTGACTTATTTTGCCAGATTGAGGAAGAGGGTTTGGTTTTCTAGGGTCACCTTCTTCTTTGCCTGTCTCATCCCCCCTCCTTTCAACCCTCCAGGAGATGAGCTGAACAAGCTGCCCCAGCAGCATTTCTTCCTCCCTCCCAAGCTGGGTATTGGCATCATTATCTGAATATCAGCAATAACAGATAGGAGCAGCAGATACCAATGTTTCATTACCTTTGGCGCCGCTGGGGATTGCTGTCTTTGGGAATTTGGATTCATGTGCTTTTCTCTCTGTGAAACTGACTTTGAAAAAAAATGAATTTGCCTCAACAGGTTAACCACTGCAGGCCTGGGGGATAGAGCCCCTCTGGCCTTTGTCCTACTCTGGGTTCCATCCTGGGCCCATGCTTAGTGTCACCTGGTTCTGTCTGTAGTAATACCAGGCTCATATTCCTGTAGTCACTTAATCACTTGCATAAACATATCAAACTGTCATGTAAGGACCTGCATAGCCCTCACCTGTCTTTCCAAATTATCACATCTTCTCCTTGTAACTCATCCTTCACTTCCAGAAAACAGGGCTATGTATTCATCCCCATAAGGGTCAGCCACATCCTCAATTTCACAGTTTCCCAGGCTGTCTGCTGTCCCTGGCTTCGAGTCACCACCTGCTAAGTGTCACCCTTTGCTTAAAGTCCACCCCAGATGGCACCTTCATGAGGTCCATAATGGCTCCTCTCAATCATGAGTCATCTTCTCCTCTTTTCAATATTTGATAATCACTAACATCTATGGGGTACATACAAGGGCCCTAGACTATGCTTTACTTCATATCCACAGTCTCAGTTAATCCTCACAATAGCCCTATGATTAGGCACTACTATTAATCCAATTTTATGGATGATGAAACACAGGCCAGAGAAACAAGGGATTTGCACACAACAAGGCAGATAGTAAGTGCTACAGCTGAGATTTAAACCCAGGCCTCTGTCTCCAGGATCCAGGCCTGGAAGCCCCACACTCCAGGGTTCATTAAGCCTACCCCTAAGCCCCAGAAGCATCTCTCTCCTGCTGACATGGATTATATTCTTCTGAGTGTGAAAGCTCTTTGTGGTCTTGTCTTCATCCCCTGCTTTGACTATAAACTCTTGTATAACCAAGAGAGGTCATATCTTCCTTAACTTTATCTCCCCAGTACATAGGACATGCTGAGGACCTCTCTGATTTAAATTAACCACCCTCTTATGCCAGTCTATTCTCATGGGCTCCACATCCTGAACCCACCTCCTCACAGCCTAATCTGCTGATATGTTTCAGCTAGCCAGTTCTCCCTGCAGCATCCCCCAACATCATGTTGTTTTTCCTGCATGCTCTTTATTTGTGCTGTGCCATTTACACTCTCCCTCCTGAATCACTCTGTCTTCTCAATTTTCTCCAAACTTCAAAGCTCTACTCTAAAGGTCCACCTCCTTAGGAGAACCCTTCCTAACTATTATAGGTCACATTGGCCTCTCCCTCCTTGAACTAGTAACACATATATAGGTCATTCCCCAGGTCCTTCACTAATTGGCAATTAGTAATACCTACCATGTGCTGACTTACATAGTAGGTACTGTGGGGATATTTTTAAAGTATGGCACATATATAGCCCATGGATTGAAAGGTCAAATACTGGTGAAACAAGGATTGCTCACATGAAAAGCTAATAGAATGCCCTGTCACTTAAATGTGTCAGGTGGGAAGTTCAGACAAAAATATGTGCTAGGCAAAGCAAAATGGCTCACATCTGTAATCCCAGCCCTTTGGGAGGCCAAGGCAGGAGGACTGCTTGAGCACAGGAGTTCAAGACAGCCTATGCAACATTGCAAGATCCCATCTCTACAGAATAACAAAATAAATAAATAAATTAGCCAGATGTGGTGGCACATGCCTGTAGTCCCAGCTACTCGAGAGGCTGAGGTGGGAGGATGTTTAAGCCAGGGAGGTGGGGGCTTCAGTGAGCCATGATCACACCACTCCTCTCCAGCCTGGGTGACAAAGTAAGGCCCTGTCTCCCCAAAATAAAAATAAAAACAAAAATATGTGCTAAAGGAGATCCAAGGAGGATGAGAGCACTGGGCATTCTGGTGGTTAGGCTGGAGGTGACCTGGGGGAAGCAAGGTTTGGAGGATAAGTTTAATCTGGGCAAAGAGAAAGGAAAGAGGAAATATCACAGGCAGGGCAATAATGCAATCAATTGATGAGATTATAAAACAAGAATGACTTGTGAAATAGGTGATAAGAAGACAGATTTGATGGGTGGGAAAATTAGACTTGGAATAAGACAGGGAAAATCCAAGCTACAGAACAACCCTATGCAAGCCTAGCTTCTATGGAGGCCATCTCTTATTCCATCTTTGATTCTTCATATGAGATAATGGAGGCCAAGGATGGGAATGTGGCTTGGGAATGGCAAAGCTGGGATAAAAACGAGATCCCCTAAGTTCCAGGTCTGTGCAAGCAAGTGGAAGAAGCCTTTAAGCTGGACAGTGCCACAACACCTTGGACTAGCTTGCTGATTCTCAGTCTTATGCCAGAAGCAGTACATCTTAGTGTTGCAACCATAGGTCTTAAAGACTATGTGTTTCTGACAACAGCCTGGTGGCCACCTTGTTCACTTCAGCTTATCAGAGCTTGTATTTCTTCATCTACTGGGAAAAACAAAACAAAAAAAATGTTTAAGGATAAGCCTAATTCCAGGGTTGTGGCAAAATTTAATGAGATGGGCTTTTCTAGTGCACAGCTCAGTGCCTACCACAGAGGAAATTCTCAACATAAATCATCTTTTATGTGAAATGGGGGTTACGGTGCCTCTCCCAAAAGGATATGCAGTCTATGCAATTAAATAACAAAGAAACCAAAACCAAGGGTTCAGGGGACCAGGAGTCTATTCCAACTTGAATCTACAAGTGCCAGCACAGTGTCGACCTGCCAGCCACAAATGTGGAAACCTGCATTCTCTAGCCCAGGGCACAATCCATCGTAGATATTTAATAAAGGTTTCTAAGCTGAATGGATTTAAATTGGATCAAATTTAATTGGATCCTTTGTTTAAGATTTAAAAGTCTGCCTCTGAGAAGAGACTGAATAGGACACTTCTTGAGTTTGGAGATTGTTAATTCCAGCGGTCAGACTTGGCCTGTCTTTCATCATATTGATAACTCCCAACAGAATGCCCTATGTTTTCCCTCCTCCACTGCTCAGAGAGTTGATTGAACATGAAATCCACAGCTGTGGTTGGGGTTTTCTGGGAGTTGTCAGCAGCGATTACTTCCATGGGATCCAGACTGCCCAACCCAGACCTACAGGCAAGATAATGAGATTTAGGATTTCAGGAGGAGATCCATCTCCCAACCACATCACATGCACTCAGTGTGCCAGATAGTGTGTACTGATATTCAGACCCAATTCTACCCTGCTTGCTTCCCTCTATTCCTGAGGCTGAAAGCCTGGAAACTGCCACCCAGAATCCTTGGCCAGAGTAGACTGCTGTGGAGAGGCACTCACTGGAGATTGGAAGGCAGAAGGTAAGGGGATGTCACTCTTCTCCTAACTCTGTCAACAACCACAGGGAATTGCAGGCAATGGAAGACTCTGGCAATATCACTGGGGATTTCAGCATCAGGGCTTAAGTTTGTGGTTTTCTTCTGGCAGCAAAGGACGATGATTTCAATGGCAGCAATATCTACCTGCTGTGTAGCTCCAGCCAGCAAGTGCTGCTTCCTGAGTGCTGGGCAAAGCCACATTGTCATTGTTCTCTTCAGCCATTCCAACACATGTGCAACCCAAGTGCCTGTATTAAATCCTCATCTGCTTGAAATACCTAGAGCTTCCTGTGTTTTTGTCACTGGACACTAACTGATATACCACTGAAAACCTTCTCTCAATTAGTATAGTATTACAGAAATAAACTTTTTATGCTATTAATGATTAATAATAAAAAGTTTAGCACTTCTAAGAGTAAGTCCTTTTTAATCATAGGCTTAAAGGAAAACAGTTCTGAAGGTAGAAGGGTTTCCTTCAAACTGACACATGATGAGGGATGTTTAGGCCCACAGGTTCTTCCTCACATATTGATCAAGCAGGACAGAAATAGCCATCTGCAAAAACGACGTGAATGGCCAGCCATAAAATGAACGGCCAACATCGAACAGGGCACCATGAGCAGCTGCCACAGGGGCTGCAGGTTATAAGATGGAAAGGGAGAAGGCAAGGAAGGTTCTACAGCCCACTGAGAAAACTCTGTCCTCACTCACTGGATTGGTCCAAGAATGGCTCATCCATTGTAGCTCTAGCAGGCCTCTGACGCAAGCAGTAGCCACTAGGGAGCAGAGGTGGGATTCTGTTTCTGAGCCAAGGCTCCAGGTTACCCCTGAGGCTGAGATCATAGAGAACACCAGTGCCCAACTCTGCAGTGTCCAGGCCAACTCCTATGCAATGCTTAGAAAGAACATTTCTTTCTTAAGTTAGCGTTATGCCCTGGTCTCTACCTCCTTAGTGAAACACGACCTCAGTATACACTGGGGGTTCCTCTAAGGTGAAACTGCAGATCTTAGCAGCATTCACAGCTTTGAAACGATGTATGCCTTAAAGTTATCGCTTTTTGCTTTGTTTTGTGTTTAGAGAGAAAAAGATAACAACAACAAAAATTCAAACCTTTAAGAAATCTAATTATATGTTTGAGTTATAGACTAGTTTTTAACAACAAAAAAAATTAACAAAAAAGGGGGCTCATTAAGAGGCTTTTGTCTCCAAAACAAGCGTGTTTTCGTAAGCCATAGAGCAAGCAAATTCTAATTGCTGGCTTCATTATACAGAAAAGTCTAAGTGTAACAATCAGAAGCCTTATTACACATACATAATTGAGTTTCATTGCAACTTATGAAAACATAAACTCTCTTAAACACACTTGCAGAAAATGTCGCATCATCAAATCAACACTTTTATTATACAAAAGTAATTGTGTTTAAAGACACCAAACATATGTTACTTATACAAAAAAAATGAGTTGTACTATGATTCAGAAGTCTAAATCTTGAATCTGAGAGCAATGTTTTGTTTGCAAATACAGGGTAAAAAAAAAGGCAAATTAAAAACTTTACTAATGAGATGTAAGGAAACTTCCTTTGGAAATATTCTACTTTGGAAAAAAATAATGAACCGAACCCTCAAATTCCTTTTTCTGGTCAGATCTTCCATGATATTACATTCCTCTGTGCCTTGCTCCTTCTAAATCTATTTCTCATCCTGCGTTTTCACGTTTTTCCTTTTGATTTGAATTCTTTCTCTCTCCAGTCTAAGCTGTGATCATTTGAATTTTTCTTTTGCTAACACCAGTAGTTTCTTTGCCCCTGCAAAGTTCCACTATTCTCACCTGGTCATGCCCAGCCCTCAGTTAATTGCCCCCTACTTCCTACATTCCTTCTGGGCTGCTGGGCCCACCAAGAATGTGTAAGCTCAAATCCAGCTGACCCTTGCAGGTTGCCCTGCAGCCCCCTTGCTTCTCCAGGAGATGCTCCTTCCTGGGGCAGGCTACAGAATTTGGGGGGCCTGGTAGAAAAATGAAAATGCAGGTCTCCTTGCTCAAACAGCAGAGGAAAGACCTTTTTCATTTTTCCAAATATTTGTATGTACTATTTAATATCTTGCTCCCTCCATTATAGGAATACTGCAGGGGAAGTGCAGACCCCCCACAGGCACCTCTCAGCACGTGGGGTATATGCCTAACCCCCACACCCAAATGGCAGTCCCTAAGCTACACCCTTTGCCCTCTTGTCCTCTGACTTCTTACTAGGTAACTCCCAACTTTTGTATAGGTACCTCCTAGATGCCACAGACATGCATAATGTCACACTCGTGAGAAAGTCAGAACAATAAACAAATTAAGTATACATCAGACACTTCATACATATCATCCTGTTGAATCTTCACCTGCTCTTCAAATAATAGACATGAGTCGGCCTGACGTGGTGGCTCATGCCTATAATCCTAGCACTTTGGGAGGCTGAGGCAGATGGATTACTTGAGCCCAGGGATTTGAAACCAGCCTGGACAACATGGTGAAACCCTCTCTCTACTCAAAACAAAAAAATTAGCCAGGAGTGGTGTTGTACACCTATAGTCCCAGCTACTTTGGAGGCTGAGGTAGAAGGTTTGCTTGAATCCAGGAGACAGAGGTTGCAGTGAGCCACGATTACACCACTGCACCCCAGCCTGGGTGATAGAAGTTCTCAAAAAAGAAATAAATAAATAAAAGAAATGAGAAGTTTGAAGCTCAGGACATCTAATTTCTCTCTGCACAATCATCCTGCTAAGCAGTCCAGAGCCAGGATTTCAGCAAGGTCTACTGACTCCAAGTCCATCTCCCACCGCTGCCCAGGTACCACTGCATCTCTGATGTGTCTGCCAAATTTCACCAGCAGATTTCTGACTTTCTCAGATTATGTCTCATACCTCAAAGTTAAAATACCAAGATTTCACTAAAGTGCTATCCCCCTGGATTTCCTATCTTAATTAATAGAATAGATATGTAACCATGCTTTTCCATTCCCTTGTTCAAAATTCCTGAGGGGCTCCCTAGTTCCCTCATGATAAAGTTGGAAATTTTCCTCCAGGGCATATAAAGTCCTCTGTGACCTGGCTGTTGTCTACCGGTACACTGGTCTTCAGTGGCGCCTGTTGAAAGCATTCAGATGTTGCAGTCAGATTGCAAAACCCCAGTACATCACAGTCTATGGTTCATCCAGTCATTCATTTGATGACAAGTAATTATCTATTGAGTGCCTACTATGTACCTGGCTCTGTTCTGGGTACCTTGGGCTATATCCATGGGAAAAAAAAAAAAAAAAAACCAGCAAAAACTCTCATTACCTTTGACCTTTCAACCTACCAAAGATAGAAAGGCAGACAAGAAATGAAAACTAACAGTAAATCATAAAAGAAGAGGATGAAACAAACAGAAAAGGAAAGCAGGATAAAGGGGAGTCGTGAGAAATTTTATGGTTTACAATTAAATGGCAGGCTCAGAGTGAGGCTCATTAAGAAGGGAAGACTTGAGCAAAGACATGAAGGAGTTGAGGAAGGGAGCCATGCTGCCATCTGGGAGAAGAGTGTCCTAGGTGAAAGGAACAGATTGTGCAAAGGCCCTGCAGTAGGGAATGGACGCCAAAGAGCCTCAAAGAAGGCCAGCTGTTACTGAAGCAGAGTCAGTAAAGGGGGAGGGTAATAACAGAGGAGGCTAGAAAGGTTAAGGGGGCCAGGTACTGTAAGGTCTTGGATATTGTGAGGACTTTGGCTTACCCTCAGTGAAATATGGAGCCCTTATAGGGAGTGACCTGATGTAATTTACATTAAAAAAAAAAAAAACACTCTGGCCACTGGAATGAAATAGACTATATGCAGGCAATGACAGGAACAGGGAGCCAGGAAAGTAGTGCTGTGACCTGGGCAAGAGATGATGGTAGGCAAAACAAGAATTATAGCAACAAAGGTGGTAAGAAGTGTTATGAATGTTAGCACATAATGTCCCCCTGGCCTGGAATGTTCTTCCCAAACCATCCAGGTGGCATAATCACCCGACCTTCAAAAACATTCTACTCTCTTGGAAATCTTCTCAAACCTCTTATCCTTGGCTAAATTCAGAGGTTCTTCTATTTTCTCTCCCTCTGGATTTTCATGATACTACAGATATTTCATTATTAGAGCATATATCTGTCTATGTCAAAATTACTGATATTATTGTCTGTCTCCCAACCAGAATGTGGGTGTCTTGAGGCCATGCTACTTTACACTTCTTTGTATGTTCAGGATGCAGTCTTCATAAATGCTCAGTAAAGGCCAGTAATTGAATGAATGACATAAATGTACAGGGTAAACTATCTATCTCCATCTAGACACTAAACCCCAGCATCAAGAAATTTAGACACTGCTCAGTTCTCAGAAGACTAACACTCAGCAGTAATCATCTACACAAGAGCCCTACCAGCTGGGGAAGGATAACAGGACCAAAGAGAAGTCCCACCATCTTTTCTTCAGCCACTGAATGAAGAAAAATCAGGAGGGTCAGCAATTGATGTGTAAAGTAACTGGATGGAAAAAGGCATATGTCCTGATCACCACCTATTCACTCTATTGGTGGGAGGGGAATCTCTTGTACTCAGTAATATGAGGTGGCAACACAACACCTACAGGAGACAGACGAGCCGGACAGCAGTTCATTACTCATGTTTACTCACAGCCTCGGGGAGCAGGACACCACACACCATGAAGGACCACACAGGCATTGCACTCAAGAATAGAGGGAACAAGCTCCTGGAGACAATTTTTGTAGTAACAAAAGGATGAAGTGACCCCCAATTTCCACAAGTGGATGTAATTAGCTTGTTTGAATGATTTCATGGGTTGACCTGTTGGTGTACAGCTGGTCCTGCTAATTAGGGAACTGAGTAGAAAGGTTTTCCTACTAAGCGGGGGTCATATCTGATGAGAGCAGGGGAATTCGTGGTTAGGCCTTTGGAGCTCAAAGATGTGATGCCAGCATTTAATATTGCATGTTAATTTCAGACCTCACATTACAACATGGAAGCAAAAGAAATGTTCAGGTTAAGACTGGAGGAAGAAGGATCTAGAAGAAGATAAAATTAGGAATAGTTTGCAACGTGGGGACAGCGCTGGAATATGGGGTTATCATTGATGCAGTAAATACAGAATGTTACTAATAACAAAAGATGTTCTGGTAACAACATATATCATAACACAATTCCAGGTCTAGATGGATAAGCTAATTCTAAAGCACACTAGAAAGACACCTCAGGGAAACTACAAATATATTGCATGCCTTAGTCTGTAATTTCCTGGAAAACTGAGCTGAGCTGATCTAGTAGTAGGGAAAATGTGTGGACCCAGCTGGTAGCTGACACAGAACCACCTAGAGAAAACCTATTATGTATTTTAGTACTATATTCAGAGCAACGTTCCTAGAACACAGAACTCCCACTACCAATGCATTCATTATCAACAATGCTTCCCCATTGCTGAACAATAAACTCTAAACTCCTGAGCCTATTGGTGAATACCCTCAAGAAGCCAATTCTACTTACTTATCCTTAGCTTTTATTTCTCTCCTACAAGCACTATCCTTTGTCAAGTCCCACTTTCTTTGTGAAAGCCTTCCAATGTAACGAGGCTCACAGTTATGACTCTTTTGGTAATTAATCTCCAGCTGTAAGAAATGCTTACTGGGTACCAATTAGATGCCAATACTATGCTAGGAGTTGAAAACACAAAGAGACACGAGATAAGCTCTTAACTTCAAAGGTCTACAAGTCTGACTGAGGAGCAGAACAATGCAAGGTTGAAACAAGTAATGCAGGATGAATGGTAAGAAGTGGAAAGAAGGAGAGATCTCTGTACTAATGTACTTGTAATGTAAATTGGGGGCAAAGAGACTTATATTTTGCTTGTTGTATCTCATTATATATGGTACAAAAACAAGGGTACCACCTTCTACTTTTCTACAGCCAGCACCTAACATTTTTTTTTAGGTTGTTGACTGATTGACTACACAATTTACTTATATATTGATGTTTGCTTGCCCCTTGGGAATCTTTTAAATATGTCTATTTCTATTCTCTAATCATATTAGTAACTTTCAAATTAACTCATCTTAAAGGGTCTTATTACCCTTGAGAAATTTAGTATCATTAACTTAATATCCTACATTTTCATGATGGAGGTAGGTATTATTACTGCCATAATTAAGACCATATTAATTATATTTTTCTCAGTCACCTTAATTCCATCAGACTCCAACACTGGGGGCTGGGTAGCTGTTTATGATATGGGATATGAAAGGCATATTTTTTATAGCCCCAAAAGTTTATGCCCAGTTGGACTCCTGTAGTGGCTAACACTGGAAATCAATCTCATTTGGTAACACCACTCCTGCCCATGAAGAAATTGTTTTTGGAACGTGAATGCCTCTAGTACAGGTGAAACCAAGTCAGCAAGGTATTTGTGGACTTGGGGTTTTGTTTGCAATCTTTTTAAGATCTTCTCCTGTGTACTAGATGTTGTGCTGGGCATCATAGGGATACAACATTGATCAAGTTTCATTTCCTCCTTTCAGTACATCACTATCTGGCTAGTTGAAGGTCTTTAGTTACCTGGCCATGCAGTGGGTATTTACAGGGCAGCAGCACATAATTAAGTGAAAATTATGGAGTTATTGTGGCAAGAAGACTTGGTTTAAAAGGGCTGGAATCCAGCCTAGATTTTGTCATTAAGCCACGTGTGTGTGACCTTGGGTATCACTTGCTTCCAAAGATTTGCCCTGGTTCTGATGCCCTTTGCTTCCATTAGGTGATCCCCAGCTTCAGGAGAAGTTCAGAACACCCTCAGTGATATCAAGGGAAGCAGAGATCAGAGCCTAGTACGGTGCCTGACACACAGTTGGTACCACCATCTTGGCTCCCAACTTTATTCTAACCTCAACCCCAGAAGGACTTGAAATTACTATCTCCAAAGCAGAGTGGGAAAAGAAACAAAAGTGAGCTGGAGTAGCTAGAATAACTTCAAAGATGATGGGGCATAAGATGGACTTCAAGGAGAAGGTAGGATTTGGAAGGAGTGGGATGGAGGGGCATGGCAGGTAGGGTAAGAGTCATAAGAAGGCTCCCCTTTACCCTACTGTGAATAATTTTTATCAGACATAGACCTGTGTAGGTGATGGTTTTAGATACCTTTTGGAGCTCATCAGCAATCATGCCTTTAGCTACGACAACTTAGAGGTGAAACTATCAGCATCACAGATGCAATCTGCTTCCTATGATTGTGCCCTTGTTTGCCCATTATGGTAAGAGAGGTAAGGATTTTCCCTGAAGCTATAGCAAGGCATTAAAACCGTGAGATTTGATCCTATGTTTAAGTTTGGCCCTTTGGCTCCTACTACATGTGACAGATCTGCTCCAATCTGAGAGATCTCTTGGGACTTATATTCAGTCTCCATGAGAAAACTAACTATAGCCCTTAGCCACTGCATTAAGGTCTTTGTTGTCATCTAATTGTTTTCTTTTGTTGTTTATTTATAAGTTTCAGGGAGGAAGTGTATGCTAGAGGTAGAGAGATGTTCTCTAAGCATCTCCTCTACTTCATGTCCTATTTGTGATACCCCACCTCATCCCTGCTGGAATCCTGAGAGGTAAGCATTAGGCTGCCTGTTTTACAGGTGAGGAAAATAAGGGTCAGTGAGGTGAAATAGCTAGCATAAAGCCCCAGCTAGGAAGTAGCTGAACACAGATTTGAACCATGCAAAAACAGCCAGGATTAGGTGAGGCAAGTGAAGTGCCTAAGGTACAAAGTTGCAGGAGGTCCTGACTCTCTGGGGCTGACTCTGCATCTAAACAAATGTGAAAGTGAATACCTTGCCTCACCCAAGGCCTGGCCCTGCTCACAAGGCTGTCTGCCTTCAAAACCCATATTCTTTCTCTTACACCACACTCACATTCTGTAAGGCCAACATTTCAGCATTCGCAATGTTCCCCTTAGGATCCCAAGGGGAGAAAGGATTCCCAGGCAAACCCAGGCCTAGGAATCTTTACTCCCAACTGCATTCTAACCACAAGCCCAGATGATGCTCAGTTAAGGTAGAGCAGGAGAATAACGATGACCAAATAACTGTCAGCCAGAACTACTCCTGGAGGTGCCACATAACACTCACATGTCAAGAGAAACTTGGCCATGATGTAAACCCTGCTGGAGCTAGATGGGGGTACAGGAGCAGTAGGTCTGAATATATCAACTTTCAGAGAGTCAGAACATCTACAAGAGAAGTTGTACACTCAAGACATCACAGTTCTTTTAGCTTGTATAGACACTGCACAGAGCATTCCCTTGAGAAAACTACCCTATTGGGTCAGGAAGTTGTTAAAAATCTAAGGGTGACATGGCCTTTAGGCCCTAACCAGACACTCCCCAGAAACAGACACAGTTGTCTTACACAGATGGTCCCAACGTCCTTCCCATTCCTTGTGCATTTAGGGCAAAGAGAGACCCATGCGCCAAACAACGAGCTGTGGTTATTAAGTTGGACAGCAGGGCCATAAAGCCACTGCAGAAGAGTTACATTAAAGCAGCAGCACAAATCCCTCAGTGGCAGCATTAAGTCTGTGTCAACACTGGCATCGAGTTGCACAAAACACATGGAGATCCAAGATGCTCACTGCAGTTATGTTCAGATTCTCTGCAGAAAAAAAAAAAAAAAAAAGACACAGAAGAGTAAAGAAACTAAGAAATGTCTCTGTTCTTTGATTGTTGTACATGTCCACCTGGTTTCCATGCAATTATCTTCTATACCATTCTGCTCCCAAGTTCCCTTGATCCTGTTTTATTCTAATCATCCCACCCCATCTCACCCTCTCCCACTGAATTAGTCAGGGTTCTCTAGAGAGACAGAACTAATAGCATATATATATTTGTATATATGAAGGATAGTTTATTAAGTATTAACTCACATGATCACAAGGTTCCACAATAGGCCATCTGCAAGGTGAGGAGCAAGGAAAATCAGTAGGAGACCCAAAACTGAAGAACTGGAGTCCAGTGTTTGAGGGCAGGAAGCATACAGCACGGGAGAAGAATGTAGTCTGAGAGGCTAGGCCAATCTAGTCTTTTCATGTTTTTCTGCCTGCTTCACATTCTAGCTCCACTGGCAGCTGATTAGATGGCACCCAACCAGATTAAGGATGAGTCTGCCTTTCCCAGCCCACTGACTCAAATGTTAATCTCCTCTGGCAAAACCCTCATAGACACACCCAGGATCAGTACTTTGCATCCTTCAATCCATCAAGTTGACACTCAGTATTAACCATCACAAGTCCATCCCTTGTCAACTTGAACCCATACACATCTCCTGGGATCATACATAATCTTCAAATAAAGACAATAATAATGTCATAATTATACCTAACATAATACAACTATCCTTTGTACAACTGGAAACACACCAATCCCCAACCCAAATACTATAACATAAATTTAACAATACTTAAATGCTGATAGGAAGTCAATAAATCTTATGTCAAATGACAAATGAAAAAGGAAATAAAATGAAGATATTTTCTTAGTACAAGTGTATACATGCACAAACATGTTTTTAACAGAAGAAGAAAATACTCATGACAATTACAGTTCTCATTTCTGCAGCTGGTCACGTGGCCGTAGGTGGTATTGATGACTACCTTCTTCTACTACCCATTCTGTATTCCCTCTGCCTTCAGTAAGCACCTCAGCAGGTCCTGTTTTTTGTTCCTGGTGGAATAACACAAACCTTCATTCCTGAAAGGTCTGGGCAATTTGTAGTCCTGCCTGGATTGGGCTGTTGTAGTTTCCCATTGACCTCAATCATAGGGCATGGTACTACTAAGAGATGCCCTAATGGATCTCCTGTATTCCATGCATACTCTTCCTTACCTCCATTGTGTAGTAGTAGACTGATTTCATCTTGATAGTCCAGGTCAGTCACCCCAGCCAACACTGTAACTCCCTTCTAAGCCTTTTTACTTAAAGGTAGGAGGAGCAGGCCGGGTGCGGTGGCTCACGTCTGTAATCCCAGCACTTTGGGAGGCCGAGGCGGGCGGATCGTGAGGTCAGGAGATCGAGACTATCCTGGCTAACACGGTGAAACCCCATCTCTACTAAAAATACAAAAAATTAGCTGGGTGCGGTGGCAGGCGCCAGTAGTCCCCGCTACTCAGGAGGCTGAGGCAGGAGAATGGTATGACCTGGGAGGCGGAGCTTGCAGTGAGCCAAGATAGCGCCACTGCAGTCCAGCCTGGGCGAAAGAGCGAGACTCCGTCTCAAAAAAAAAAAAAAAAAAAAAAAAAAAAAAAAAAAAAAAAAAAAAAAGGTAGGAGGAGCCCAAAGTGTCCAGGTGGCAATCTTAACTTCCAATTAAGGTTGGAGGCAGTATTTCTCCCTCTGACACTAAGACCTCCAGGCCAGCAGAAAATAATGTTGCAGAAACAGGAAGCAAACATTTTGCTAGTGGATCACTAGGGGTGATGGCAAGTGGGGCCACTTCTACTTCCACCCCTTGATTCAGGGACCTGTGAATCCTGGTTATGGAAGAAAGAGTACCATATATTGGACTCTGATTCAGAGCATACACAGCCTTCTGGAGAACTTTGCCTCAGCCCTGAAAAGTATTGTCACCTAGTTGGCATTGTAATTGTGACTTCAAAGGGCCATTCGACCATTCTATCAATCCAGCTGCTTCAGGATGATGGGGAACATGGTAAGACCAGTGAATTCCATAAGCATGAGCCCATTCCCACACTTCTTCAGCCATAAAGTGAGTGCCTTGGTCAGAGGCAATGCTGTGTGGAATACCATGACAGCGGATAAGGTATTCCATGAGTCCATGGATGGTAGTCTTGGCAGAAGCATTGCATGCAGATTAGGCAAAACCATATCCAGAGTAAATGTCTATTCCAGTGAGGACAAGTCAGCATATTGTCATCAATGTAATGGGCCAGTATGATATTTTGAGGAAGCAAAAGGTGATCAAGTTCCCTCCAAATAAGATTATGACACAAAACTAGAGAGTTCATATACCCCTGAGGTAGGACAGTAAAGGTATATTGCTGGCCTTGCCAGATGAAGGCAAATTGCCTCTGGTGGGCATTATGGACAGGAGTGGAGAAAAAGGCATTTGCCAAGTCAATGGCTTCATACCAGGTAACAGGAGATGTGCTAATTTGCTCAAGCAATGAAACCACATCTGGTACAGTAGCTGCAATTGGAGTCACCACTTGGTTAAACTTATAATACTGCACCGTCATTCTCCAAGATCCATCTGTCTTCTGCACAGGCCATGTAGAAGAGTTGAACAGGGATGTGGTGGGGATCACCACCCCTGCATCCTTCAAGTCCTTGATGGGGACACAAATCTCTGTAATCCCTCCAGGGATGTGATATTGTTTTTGATTTACTATTTTTCTAGGTAGAGGCAGCTCTAGTGGCTTCCATTTGGCCTTTCCCACCATAGTAGCCCTTACCCTATCAGTCAGGGAGCCAATGTGGGGGTTCTGCCAGCTGCTAAGTATGTCTATGCCAACTATGCATTCTGGCACTGGAGAAATGACCACAGGATGAGTCCAGGGACCCACTAGACCCACTGTAAGTCGGACCTGAGCTAAAACTCCATTAATTACCTGACCTCCATAAGCCTCTACTTTAACTGGAGGACCACAATAATGTTTTGGGTCCCCTGGAATCAACGTCAGCTCAGAGCCAGTGTCTAGTTTTCTCTGAAATGTCTGATCATTTCCCTTTCCCCAGTGCACAGTTACCCTAGTAAAAGGCCAGAGGTCTCCTTGAGGAAGGATAGGAGAAAGATTAACAGTACAAATTGTCGGTAGTGTAGTAGGGTCCTTCCTCAAGGGGACGCAGCCTCCCCTTCATTCAAGGGGTTCTGGGTCTGTGAACGGGCTCAAGTCTGGAAATTGATTGAGGGGCTGATTCTCTGTTTTTATAATTCAAATTAGTCTTTTGTCTATTTGATCTAGAAGTTTTCTGCTTATAAAAATTAAGTAGAAATTCAGTAGGCTTCCTTCAATTTTACATCTAGGAACACAATGATTCATTAGCCAATTCCAGAGCTCTACACGAGTCAGACTATTCTGATTGCCACTTTGCCTCTGCTGTCCATTACGGTAGCTATGCCCACCTTGCCTTTGATGGTTGAGTGCTGCCACTTGGCCTCTGCCACCTAGGGATCCAATTATTCCCATTATATTTAAATTTTGTAGTTGAGTGACTGCAGTTCCCACCATTAGATCTGATGTACACAGAAGAGCAATTATAGGGCCCTTCAAAGATACAGGTGCTGCCTTCCCAAATCTATTTCACATGGCATTGGTCAAGGGTATGTCTTCTGGACCCTCCCAGCTGGGATGAGTAGGTTGAAAGTGACTAATCCATTCCACCATCCCAACCTCCCTAAGCCTTTGGACCTCTTCCTCTACATTAAAGCAAGGAAGATCATGCATTTCCAGCTCGCTCAGAGTGGGCCATCTTTTAATCCATGTTTCAGCTAACCAAGCAAGTAAACTATTAGAACCTTTTTTAACTCCCAAAGCTGCAACATTAAATGCAGAGTCCTTACTTAGTGGGCCCAAATCAAAAAATTCAGCCTGATCCAACTCTATGTTCCCTCCACCATTATCCCACACCCTTAATATCCATTACCATGCCTGTTCTCCAGATTTCTGCTTATATAAATTAGAAAACTCAAGTTTTTTCTAGTGTAGAGCACCTCCTCATGGGTCACACTCTCAACCTCACCTCTAGGGGTCTGCTGGGACTTTAGTTTAGTTATAGGTTTAGAAGCAAACAGGGGTCTTGGGGGTGGCTCCTGAGGAGAATCAACATTATCTTGCCTGGCAACTGCCTCAGGGGAGGCCATCACTGTTGCCTCAGGCAACGCAGGATTTATCTCCTCAGACAAAGGTAGAAAGGCTGATGGCAGCATGGGTTGGGGAGGGGATGTTGCCACTACTGTGGATGGGGAAGCTGTTTCTTCTGGCAAAATAGATTCATCAGAGTTTACAAACTCAGTGTCCCCAGCTTCATCAGGGTTTTCCCACATGAC
The DNA here is from genome assembly GCF_000001405.40 of Homo sapiens. Lineage (NCBI taxonomy): Eukaryota > Metazoa > Chordata > Mammalia > Primates > Hominidae > Homo > Homo sapiens. The sequence goes on along the minus strand of NC_000018.10, from coordinate 37,877,845 downwards.
CCCGTTCTAAGTTCCAGGGTCCCATTCTTTTTCAATCAATGCCCTCACTTTAACAGTAGACATCTGGCAAGGCTGTGCATGTACCTTTCATTGCAGGTCAGCCACTCACATGATAAGAGCTTGTGTATGTTTTCCCACAATTTCACAATTTCTTTCTCTACAGGAGATAAGACTCTCACTCAGGGCAATCTTAGCACATTTGAGACTCAATATCTGCTTCTGAAGCCAGGAGATAAATAGAATCCTTGAGTTCATCATTTTCTTTCATCACTTTGTCCACTGAACTTAGGAGCTTCATTATGTTCCTTGGTTCTCCATATATGGTCAAAGGTATTACGTACAGAGTCACTAAACTCCTTGCCTCTCACAAGGGGTAAATCAGGACTGTCAAATGCATTTATTTTGCATAAACCTCTAAACAGTTCATGCCAAGGGCTATCAGTGTTCTCCATACTATTAGAAGTGGAGTCCTTAGCATTTTGGGGTCTAATCATATTAAGCAGCAACTCCAGAACCCCTAAAACCAATGAAATAACTCCATCCTTAATATTCTTTTACTCTGGAGCCACTTCTGGTATGAAAATCTGTATTAGTCAGGGTTCTCTAGAGGGACAGAACTAATAGGAGATAGATAGATATATAGATAGATAGATAGACATAAAGTATTAACTCACACTATCACAAAGTCCCACAATAGGCCATCTGCAAGCAGCTAAGGAGCAAGGAAAGCCAGTCGGAGTTCCAAAACTGAAGAACTTGGAGTCAGACGTTCGAGGGCAGTAAGTATCCAGCACGGGAAAAGGAGGTAGGCTGGGAAGATAGGCCAGTCTAGTCTTTTCACATTTTTCTGCCTGTTTTATATTCTAGTCATGCTGGTAGCTGAAGAGACGGTGCCCACCCATATTAAGGGTGGGTCTGCCTTTCCCAGCCCACTGACTCAAATGTTAATCTCCTTTGGCAACACCCTCACAGACACACCTGGGATCAATACTTTGCATCCTTCAATGCAATCAAGGTGACACTCAGTATTAACCATCACACCCACTCTATTCCATTCCAACTCATCTTACAGCTTACAATTTATATTCTATTCAGATTACAACTATTTTGTTCTATATTATCCCATATTTTGAAATCTAATTCAATCTAAAACCTATATATCCTTACCAAACAAACCTATCCCATACACAATAATCATCTCAGTGACCTTCCTGAGCTGGCGTGCTTATGAAAAAAGACATGTAAACATGGAGAGATTGGTATTATACTTGAATGAACTTCAAGCCTGCCTGCAGTGTCCAAAGACCCTAAATTATTGAGTAACATCTCTATGAGAGAGATTTCTGGTGGTTTGATTCTCGGCCTTTTTCAATTAGATATTTTTATCAGCATAAGGGCTGGAGACATAAAAAAGGGAGCTAACATTTGCTGAATACCTCCTATTTACTATGAGCTAGATCTTGCCTTACATGCACTTGCCATCTTATCCTCACTACAACTTTAAGAAGTGTTATTTTTGTCCCTGTTTTACAAGTAACTGAGGCTCAACGTCAAGAAACTGTGGTCAAGTTACACAGCTAAGAAGTGCTTTTAGACCCAATTGAGCTGGCCACATGGATCCCATCATCTTTCCAGAACCTCTGTCTTGTGTGGTTGGTGACATCAGTGCATGGTGCTGGTGGCGGGAGCAGTGGCAGTCCTGGCGTTGGTCATAGTTGCTATCACCATCAAACAAAATTGTTTCCCCATGGTTGTGGATGACACAAAGTGTGGAGAAAATATGGAGGCTGAGATACACAGTATATGAAGTAACAACATACTTTGTAAGAAAATCTGTCTCACCCAGCTCTATCATGTTTTATGTCATCCATGCATTGCTTGCTTACTCATCAAGTATCTCTCTCCTGTAACTTGAATGTAAGCTTCAAGAGGGAAAGTTTGCATTCACTGCCAAATACTCAGTGCTTATAAAAGTGCCTGACACCTAATTGTTGCTCAAAGAGTATTTGTTAAATGAATGAATGAATGAGTAGTGTAACACATTTCTAAAGGAAGTTCTTGATATTTCAACAATAAGAAAAAGATGGGATCTAAGAGAGACATTGCTCTACACCAGTAGAATATGAGAAATATATGACTTCATTTGGTTTAAACTGCTAGGACATAAATATGCTAAAATAAGAAGAGATCCCATTTTACCCCCCACAAAACTGCTGATTAAAATTCGCAACCATTCTGAGGGACAGGGAGAGACTGGAGGGTGTGCAGGCAGAACTCAGGCTGGCAAGAAGATCCAGGCCATTTTCCTGGAGAAATAAGAGCTTTTATTAAAATATTTGAAGACATTGCCTGTGGGAAGGGTCACAGGCTTACTGGGTACAGTTCCAAAAGCAGAACAAGAGCCTCTGGATGGAAGTCACATGGAGTCACATCATGGCAACTGCCTCATGGGAGGCCATCACTGTTGCCTCAGGCAATGCAGGGTTTATCTCCTCAGACAAAGTTAGAAAGGCTGATGGCAGCATGGGTTGGGGAGGGGATGTTGCCACTACTGCGGATAGGGAAGCTGTTTCTTCTGGAAAAATACAGGGATGGTGATTCTACCATGCTAAATTGTTAAAAAATGGAATTGGTGAATTATCCCTGAAAAGCCTTCCACATGCCGGGAAGTACTGGAGAAAAGCCTGGACCATCACTAGACATTGGTTGTTGTGGTGTGATTCAGGACTAAGTGAACTCTAAGATGTCTATCATCTCTGAAACTTCCTGGTTGTGTTTTACCTCATCTTGCTCATCTGGGAATCCTCAGCAGAACCCAGCAGACCCCTTAATGAAGCTCAGTCCCTGACACCAGAGTGAGCTAGCCTTGGCCTTCTGTTGATCCTGCTGTGGACACTCAGAATCCCCTGCTAAACCTTCCCTCAAGCCTCTTGCAAACTCCTGCTATAAATGACCTCATCTTGCTTCAGCACCTTTCCCTTCTCCCTCTCCCATCCCATCATCTATGCATGTCCCGAGTCTGCTCCCCCAGAGCCTGCTCTATGTTGCATGCCTGCTAATATTTATAAAGAAAATCAATCCCTGTTTATGTACCAGAAATATCAAACAGAAAGCCTCATCCAAGTGAAAATGCTCACATCTTTTGAAGGACATAGTCATAATCTTTTGAAGGAATAATCTTGCATATCATCAAAACCCATAAAGAAACGTAATAAAGGGTAACAGAAACCACAGTAAGGGTTGGGGGTTGCAATCCAGTTAGAAGTAAAAACTAGAGGGTCCTATTTTGAAGTTCCAATTGCCTCACAAGAAAACTGTGTTCACTTAAAATTTATTTGAATTGGCAGTAACCTTATGTAGAGTTTACAGAGATAATGGAAAGCTCTAGGTCTCTAAGCCCAATCTTAGTGTTGTGACTGATTTGGAAGTGTGGGAAACAGATGTTTCTCAATTCTTATCATGTTCAGAATATGAAGGGTATCTGAGGAGAAAGATAAGTCAGGAAGAAAAGGCTAATCATGGTCTTGAGAAGATGTGAGCATAAAAGCATAATCAATTGTACCATATAGAGTTGCCAGAACATACCCCCTCCCCCAGTAAATGCTTCTTTCAGAAACATGGATCTCAGAAATACAAGTTTAGGAGTAAAGAGCTAGGGTGTGTTTAAGAAAGTTTTCATAGATGGACGTACTCAGTAAGCAGGACTCCAGAAATATTCAGAGCCTCAACAGTGAAATAATAAAAAGGCAGCCAGGCACGGGGCTCACTCCCGTAATCCCAGCATTTTGGGAGGCCAAGGCAGGTGGATCACTTGAGGTCAGGAGTTTGAGACCAGCTTAGCCAACATGGTGAAACACTGTCTCTACCAAAAAATACAAAAATTAGCTGGGCCTGGTGGCGTGAGCCTGGTGGTGCATGCCTATAGTCCCAGCTACTCAAGAGGCTGAGGTGAGAGAATCACTTGAACCTGGGAGGCAGAGGCTGCAGTGAGCCAAGATTGTGCCACTGCACTCCAGCCTGGGAGACAGAGTGAGACCCTGTCTCCAATAATAATAATAATAATAATAAGGCTGTAGAAATAATTATTTTATAATTATTTTGAGCTAACTTGAACATTTGTAAGTTGGAGCTGTAACTGAAGTATTTGCTCTGGACCCAGTGGGGGATCTGACTGTGGCTTGTGAATTGCATTGTTAATCCACATCAGGTATGGGCTGGAAGAGGCCAAGGAAGCTGCTTCAGGGCCCTGTGACACAGCCACCCAGTTATCCCATGGCTCAGAAAGTTCTATAAACCCCACAGCACTCAGGGCTGCAGGCATTCATGACATGTTAGAGAGGCCAGCTTCTTGTTGAAATTTAATACAAAAATACAGATGTTCCCCATGGTCCGGAGGGAGAGGGAACCAGGGAAAAACCAGATGGCCTGTTTGCCCACTCCTGAATTCCAAGCTGCAGAAGCTGTGAGAGGCACTGAAGGAAGGAGGCTTATGAGGTCTCCAGGCCCTCTTTTCTGAGGCCACAGCTCTCTCCTTATGCCACCTGGCCTCACACTCCTTACATAATTTCTTTTGCAAGTGGCTTAGGTTCTCCCTCTCCTATTCTTTCTCAAAACACCTCACCTAGACTCCAAGTCCATAAATTTGCTTTTATCAGTGACAAGCTATTGACAAAGAAATACCTGCGATGTGTTAATTGATGATACTAGGTAAACCACTCATCTTGGAAACATTTGTCAAGAACCTCCTATGTACCCAACAGAGTTTCTTGTAGTCACTAGGCCCTGCTATCTGGATAGCAGAATAGCAAATAAATCTCAACCCTTTTCTTAAATTCTATTTCTGGCAAACTTAGAAAGCTTACTGGTAAAGCCTGTGGCAAAAAAAAAACAAACAAACGAGGCAGTGTTTGGGGGTCAGGGAGCCTTTGACACCATGCCACCCCACTGTCATTATCACCACTCACTTGTGCATATTAATGTATGTACTTTACACACCACACACACACACACACACACACAAAACATTCCCAGTTTCTGTATTGTGCCAGCTATGTCAACAGGCTGGAGCTGTAACCAGCAAGCTGGTACAGCCCTCAGCCCTAGGCTCTTGCCTAGCTCCCTGTCTTTCTGACTTTAAGCTTAATGAACCAGTTTTTACATTTTCCTAGCTGGACTGGTCTAGTCTTAAAGCTGAAGTGCCCCTCCTCCCTGTTCGGGGGCTTTTGCCTCTACCAATTGAATTGCATAATTTGATTTAATAAATCAGGAGAATTTGCAGTGGGTTTTGGATACTTTCATTAGGAAAGATATATGTGGTATGGCTGCTGTTTGGTCATGTGTTTAATTAAATTAATGAATTAATGTCTTCGGTGGTGAGGATTTCAGGAGCATATGCCCTTCTTGTTCTTTACCCCCTCAGGCTTCACTCAGGAAGGTTCCTATTTTTAGCACAAATAGATTGTGACAAAAGAGTTGGGACTTACTTGCTGTTCTCCCACTGCAAGAAAGAAAGAGTGGGACCTGATGATCCCAAATAAAGAGTTTTCATCAGTTTCTACTTTTGGAGTTAACCCTGCATAGCCCACCCATTCCATGCCCTCATCCCTATCCCGTGCCCTGACCCCTTAGTTTCCTCGCTCCCTCTTCCTGCTCCTTACATGGGGACACCTGCTTTCACACCGTCTCTCTCACAGAGGAGATGACACATGACGATAGCTTGACCCTGGAGCCCTCCTGGTGAGACAGGCATTTCAACAAGGTCTGAACTCAAAACCTAAGAGATGAGTGTGTATATACTTCAGAACATTATGTTGTACACAGTAAATACATGCAATTTTATCTGTCAATTTGAAAAAATAAATTAAAAAATAAATAAAACCTAAGGGATGAAACACCAACCTTAGTGATTCAGACCCCAAGCAGCAGGAAGGAAAGAGGTTCTGTGTGGGAACAGAACATCCATGGAGCCACTGAGGGCTGCTTTCCCAGCCTGGAGCCAGTGATGCTCAATGGAAGGAGGAGTGAGATCACACAGCCAGCCTCCTCCAGCCCCACTGGCCCCACCACCACTTGCTGGAGTCTATTATTCACGTTTACTGTGGCTTTAACTGGCTGCTGGAGTCTTGCATAAAGCAAATGAAGCTGTAATCAAGGTCTTTGTCATTGTCCTACATTTGCATGGAGTAAGTGCTGCAGTTTGGGGACAGCTCATCAGTCCTCAGTCTGCACAGAAAGAGGATTTTGTTTTTAAAGGAACAAAAGGAAAACAACTTGAAAAGGACCCTAAGCATTTATGGACTCTATGATTTTGGAGACACAGTAGACAAATTATTCTAATTCCTCTTTGAAGACACAGTAGATCAAAATATTCCAATTTCTCCTCATTTACTTTGGATAATATATTGATTCAAACAAGCCAAGGATTGGACTCACAAGCAGAGAAGGGGCACTTCTGTTCTTGATGCAACTGGGTAGCTTCACAGCTGGATCAGAAAGCAGGCTGCCCACAAGATGGTTCAAACAGCCCCACAGGCAGGGATAGCGTCCTAAATCCAGCTATCACAGCAGCTATCAAGAGCCATGGGGAGAGTCCTCAAGTGGAAAGGAAGAGGCTGGACCACACCATCCACAGGCAGGTATCAATTCAGCCATAAAGCCTGGCTTTGGGTTTTGGAAACAATGTTGTAGAGTCATCAATGGCCTGTCTATATGGTTAGACACATTGAGGATTTTCAAATCTTACTGTAGCATAATGTAAGTTTTCTAAAATAAATATTGCAAAGAAGCCCTACACATAAGTCAGAGAGAGAGGAAACAAAGGGGGGATCCAGGTCCTTGTCCACTCTGACCAAAGCCCTTCCTATAGCCCTCCCTGGAGTTATCCCTAGGGAACCTGTCCTAGGATAGTCTCAGGGTCACTGTACAAGTCCCTGGATCAGATAGAAAGTAAGGTCCCCTCCAAACCCAACAAGCTGTAACTCTGGCTTACCAACATAGACTTCACAGATGATGTGAAACTTCTTGGATCCTTCTACTTTCTTCCTCAGTGTCTGATTTCAGGGAGAACTACTACCTTCCATAAAAAGCACTCTGGACTACTGGTAAAAGCCATGGTACTTGGGGTCTAGTCAAGTAGGGGTCTACCCTTAGCCTTACCACTTACTTGTTGTATAATCTTGAGTAGCCCAGTTAACCCAGCTGAGTTTCAGTTTTCTCACATTTAATAAAAAATAAGCCTGGGCACGGTGGCTCACGCCTGCAATCCCAGCACTTTGGGAGGCCGAGAAGAGCGGATCACTTCAGGTCAAGAGTTTGAGACCAGCCTGGCCAACATGGTGAAACGCTGTCTCTACTAAAAATACAAAAAATTAGCCGGGTGTTGTGGTGGGCGCCTGCCAAGGCAGGAGAATCACTTGAACCTGGAAGGTGGAGGTTGCAGTGAGTGGAGGTTGTGCCACTGCACTCCAGCCTGGGTGACAGAGCAAGACTCCACCTCAAAATAAATAATAATAAGATTTCTCTTACAGAATGTTTGTAAGGATCAACCGAAATATAGTACCTACCATATAGGGAACAATAAAACTGTCAGCCATTATTATATACATCTCCAAATTTAGTAAGCATTTCAACCACACACTCACATACATTCTGGAGAATAAGATAAACATTTTAAATTTAGAGATTCATCTTTATATTTTATTTGACTTCAATAAATTGGATTAGTTCCAATCCCTGGACCATGGACCAGTACTTGTCTGTGGCCTATTAGGAACTGGGCCGCACAGCAGGAGGTGAGTGGTGGGTGAGTGAGCAAAGTTTCGTCTGTATGTACAGACATTACCCATCACTCGTATTAGCGCTTTCGCTCTGCCTCCTGTCAGATCAGTGCCAGCATTAGATTCTTGTAGTAGCGTGAACCCTACTGTGAACTGCACATGCAAAGGATCTTTGTTGTGCCCTCCTTACAAAAATCTAATGCCTAATGATCTGCAACTGTCTCCCATCACCCCCAGGTGGGACTATCTAATTGCAAAAAAAAAAAAAAAACAAGCTCAGGGCTCCCATTGATTTTACATTATGGTGAGTTGTATAATTATTTCATTATATATTACAATGTAATAATAATAGAAATAAAGTGCACAAAAATGTAATTCACTTGAATCATCCTGAAAGCATCCTCCCTGCCCCCAGTCCATGGAAAAATTTTCTTCCATGAAGCTGCTCTCTGGTGCCCAAAAGTTTGGGGACTGCTACCTTGGATGATTCTGCATGGAAAAGGGATAGAAAGAGTTTGAAGCCAGTCTGCTGGTGGTAGAAAAGATAATTATTATGAAATGATTGTCAACTTATCCACTTCCTGAAAAACTAATCATCTCTTTCTCAACTGTGGTGGTCATCATTGATAGTCACCAAATATTTACAGCTCTCTGCCTTCTGGAAACATGGTAGGATTGCCCTTCCTGTTCCTCCCTAATAGTTAGACGGGATTGTGGAGCTAGTTCTGGCCAATAAATTGTGGCCAGTGAACATTCAATTACTGATGTCAGGCTTATGGTGCTCTGTTTTCTCTCCAGCACAGCAACCAACAGATGGTGGCTTCCTGGGTGCCTGAATGACTACAAGGAATAACCCCTCCTCCCTCCAATGACCTAGGATGACTAGGTAGCATGAGGAGAAATAACACTGTGTTCTGTTAAATTACTGAGATTTGGGAATTATTTGTTACTGATGTATATTCTGGCCAATCCTGAATAATACATCCCCTCATGACATCGCCACAATTTCATAAAACAAAGGTCAAATTGATTGGCTTCATATCAGTAAGGCAACCAGCCAGTTTATTAACTAGTATTTACTAAGCTGAAAAAGTGCCCTGTCTCATGCTCATCAGGCATATAAAAGAAAAACAGATCTCTGTCCTCAGGGGCTTACTGTCTTAGCTGGAAATATATTTTTCATGCAGGGAGACATAGGGAGATATTTCAATATAAAAATGTGAGAGGGTGTTTGCTATAAGTGCCAAGGAATTCATACATTGGAGAGTGTCATAGACTGAATGTATGTACCCCGTCCCAAAAAATTTCTATATCGAAGCCCTAACCCCCAGTATGGCTGTATTTGGAGTAAGGAAGTAATTAAGATCAAATTAGGTCATAAAGGTGTGACCCTGAACTGATAGGATTAGTGTCTTTATAAGAAGAGACTGCAGAGGGCTGGCACTTTCTTTCTGTGCGCAGGAACTCAGGAAAAGCCTTGTGAGGACACAGCAAGAAGGCAGCTGCCTGCAAACTAGTAAGAGAGCCTTCACCAGGAACCAACCATGCTGAATTTTAATCTGGTACTTCTAGCCTCCAAAAAAAATTTTTTAATGAATTTCTGTTACTTAACCCACCGAGTGTATGGTATTTTGTTATGGTAGTCCAAACAGATTAAGGCAGAAGGAGAACCAGAATTATGGGCTAAGCTTCGAGGAAGATCTTCTGAAGGAGGCAGTACTGGCTCTGGCCTTGAGGAAAAAGCTGAGAGCAGCCATTAATGCTAGTTGCTTTACATATATTATCTCCTTTAATTCTAATAACTCTACATGGTAAGAAGTATCATCTCCTATTGTAAATAAAGCTCAGGGAGGTAGACAGGAGAAAACACAGCAAATCTACAGGTTGCTCCTGCCCTGTCCTGCCTCCAATGCTGGATGGATGTGGGTTGATTGGCAGAAGGGCAAGGGAGTGCTGGCTTATTGGGGGATGGCCTTTTCAGAGACAGAGTAGAAAAATGGACCTGAATAAAACTGAGGCTGCTTGCCCAACAGCAGTGGGAGATACAGTAGAGTGGGAAAGCTGGGATGAATAAGATGCAACCACATACTACTATAGAAAGAGGTAACTGGAAGTCCCTATAGAAATGCCTAATTTATTCATATTTAAAATCTGTTCCTGAAATTGTGTCTAGACTCAGTAGACTCTTTATATTTTTTTCTCGGCCATCTTAAAAATTGATCCAAGTCAGATGTGAAGATGTCCTAAAAAGCTCTCTCCACAGTTTTTTTTTTTTTTTTTTTCGACTTGATGTATTTCATCATCTTGACACAGCCTTGGGACATTAGCCTCATACAGGAAAAACTGGACATTAAGGTGACTACTTTCAGACACCCAATCTAAAATGGGGGATAGGAGAAGGTGCATGAGTCATATAAAACCTCCAAGACTCATTATTGCCAAAAATTTTATACTCTGAAATAACAAAACTTTAGTGTCCCTGATTGGTACTTCTTCAGAGCCTGGATTTGCTGGAGAGAACAGCAGATTGCCACTCTGCCCAGCAGCTGGCTCAGCCATCTCTCCTGCTGTTTTAACAGCCTTTTAGGTAGTAACCTTTTTTGTTAAGACAAACCCCCATACCCTTTAAGCCCCAGCAGAGATGAGCTTTAAAAATGAGACCTTCCAGGTGGCCACGGTGAGCTACTGAAACTTCTCTGCCCCTATTTTCCTGAATTTTACCCTCCCCTAGGGCAGGAGTTCCTGACCTGGAGACTACAGAGCAGCTTCTGCAGTCCACTAGCCCTTGAAATTTCATGCAAAATATTGGGTAAATGTGCATTTTTCCAGGGAGAAGGTCTATGGCTGAAATATCACATCCTCAAAGAGCTCTGGGTCTGCAAAAAGAGTCACTGCTCTAGAGATCCTTACCTTGACTCCCACTGAGACCACTAGACTCCAGAATGCCAAAGTGGCTCAGTAGAAAAGGTGTTAAATATAGAGACAAGCAGAATTGGGTTCAAACCCTGGCTTAACCATTATCATCCGTGGCCCCAGGCAAGGGATTCCATCACTCTAAATCCAATTTCTTTATGCAAGCCTCACTCGTTCCTTTGTAGATTTGTAAAAATAGGAGCTAAAGTATATAGCAGGCACTTGGTAAAACTCTTCCCACTTTAATACTCCTATGCCAGCTGGAATGAAATAATATTATTTACTCCAAAGAGAGTCTCCATGCAGCTGCACAAAGTTGTTCAGTGTACAACTCAGTAAACTCTCTTGCGTGCATCTGTGAGGGTAGGTGGCACCATTGAGTGAAGGATCTGATGGGCATCCAAAATCCAGGAAGGAAAACCAAAGGAAGGAGCAATGCAGTGACAGGATTATTAGGCCACTGGTAGACAAAGATCCGCCATTACCTTCTTGCAATATGATGAGAAGATGAATGTTACAGACCAATGTTACATACCCAGGTTCTAGTCTGGGCTCCAAAGCTATTCTCCTTAAGAATTCTTTTAACCAATAACTTTATCTCTTTGGTTAAAAAAACACAACCTACCTTGCCTTTTACATAGAATGGTAATAAAGTCAAAAGAGAATCTTGTATTTTATGAGTGTGAAACAACTCTGGAAAGCATCAAGGGCTGCGAATGTAAGGAGTGGTCATCTGCGTCAGTATCGTGATTTTCATCATCAATCCACAAAGGCGCCTTTACAGGATAAATAAGCAAACTGAGTTAGAGATGAAAGGATAGTGTTGCCCAGAGAAGCAAAATGGTCTGGCCTCAGACAGTGGGAGGCGAGCCATCTGTTCCCTTTCTCCATTTTATTTTTCCCAAGACATATAAGGATGTGTCGCATGATTCTTTCTGTGGGCACTTGTCTCCTCTATGACCAGTGTGTTGATTTTCTTGCTTTATATATTCACAAAAGGACACCCATTAACAAACTCCTTACGCCATTCCAATAATGAGTCTCCTCCTCCTCCTCCTCCTCCTCCCTTTTCTCTTTCTCCTTCTCCTCCTCCTGATGCTAATGCTTCCCCCCTCCCCCACACATACATATTTCTACCTTTCATGCTCTGTCCACGCTTTTTCACTTCTACCCACAGTGATACCTAGACACTGACATGTAACACAATTCCTGCACATCTCTCAAAGTCCAGTCAGAGGCCACCCTACATAGTCTTCTCTACTCATCCTGCTGCAGCCCACATTGGCCTGTCATCTACATCCTTATAACCCATAGAATCTGGGAAAGCTGACCATGCAATTTGATATACAAACTGGAATACTTAATCATAACCATCAGGACAACAGCTGTAACAGAGCCTGTCCTGGGACAACTCTGATATATGGTCACGCAAAGTCTGAGCTATAAAGTTGGCCCTTTGTTGTGTGGTGCCTAGTCTTATTATTGTACTGTTCCTTGTAAGAGTCTGCTCTTCCTGGCTGGGGTCCCATGGGATAAGATTCATCTTGCTTCTCCATCAACACTCCACCTCCATCAAGCATATTGTCTTCCATCTGGTTCCGTGGGCTAATATTCTGCAGTGAAGATTTCCATGCAGAAACTTCACTGGGACATGCTCTCAAGAGCATGATCCCTCCCCTGTGAAGGAGTTAGGGAAATAGGAAGAAACAGAGATAGAAGTTTAAACTGTGATGTAGCAGAGGCTTTGGACCATCTTACAAGCAGCACAAATGCTGGGATGACCCTTCAGAGTTGTCATAACTTGGGGGAAGGGGATCAATACTTTGTATTCCTGTATCAATCTGTCATTAGATGTAGGCTGCCATTAAGCAAGGGCACATAACTTGGCCAAGGCAGCTTCCTTCAGTCCAGGATGATTTTTGGAATGAGACATGGTTCTGAGCACTCCAGGCAGTTGGGGGAATGAGCAACTTGGACACTGTATTAGTTTTCTATTGATGCATAAAAAGTTAGTGGAGCACAAATTTAGATGCTTAGAGAGTGTATACTTGCGAGGTCACAGTTCATAATTCAGAATTCTGGTTGGGATTGGCTGCTGGGTTCTCTGCTTAGAATCATAAGGCTGAAATTAAGGCATCTGTTGGACTACATTCTTATCTGAAAGCTCCAGGAAGGCTTTGCTTCCAAGCTCACTCAGATGGTTGGAAGAATTCAGATCATCATAGTTGTAGGATTGAGGCCCTTGTGTCCCACAAACCTGAAGGGGTAATATTAGTACACCATAGAATCCATTATAACCAGCTACTGTCAATCTATGAGCTTCAGAGTTAGAGAAACCCTAGGGCATAATTGCAAGTTCTCTTCACTCCACTTGATTCTCACCTGTGATATCTATTCTAATCATGTGCATCAATAGGAGTAATATACAGCCCAAGTTCTCACCAGGATTCTAAGCCAAGAGGGCAGTCCCTACACTCATACCTGTCCACCCACACTCATACTTGTCCACCTTCAAGCTCTGCAGAGCCAGGCCCAGAAAAAGGCAAACTCAAACTCCTTCAATACATGGCTGGCATGTTCAAAAGCAATGTTACAGAGAATTGAAGAGAAAATAAAACATTGTGCTATGGTTTAGATGTGGTTTCTCCCTGCCAAAACTCTTGTTGAAATTTGACCCCCAATGTGGCAGTGCAGGGAGGTGGTGAATCATGGGATGTGTTTGGGTAATGAGGGAAGATCCCTCAAGAATAGATTAATATCCTGCTAATGGAGCTGAGTTCTTACTCTCATGGGGATTAATTTACTCTCCCTGTGAGAGAGAGAGTGGTTGTTAAAAAGAGTCTGCTTCATCAGTTTCACTCTTGCTTCCTCTCTCACCATGTGATCTCTGCACATGCTCACTTCCCTTCCACTTTCTGCTACAAATTGAAGCAATATGAAGCTTTCAGAAGATGCAGCTGCCCAATCTCAAACTTCCCATCCACCAGAATCGTAAGCCAAATAGACCTCTTTTCCTTACAAATTACCCAATCTCAGGTATTCTGACATAGCAACACATATTGTATCACTCCAAAAGGAATATTTTCAATGGGTTGATTTCTTGTCTTAGGGTACTGGCTAAATGGTCAAATCCCAGAAGAGCTCTGCCTGTGTTCAAAGCCTGGTCCACCATTTACTGTGTATATTAGTGTAAGTTATTTAATTTCTCTATGCCATGGTTTCCTCATCTGTAAAGTGAGTATAATACTCTCCCGATGAGGGTTCTGTGAAAATCAGATGACATAGTGCATGCATGTGAGCGATTTCTCATTTCCCCTTGAGATCTGCCCTGCATCCATTTCTGCTTTTCTTGGTTTACACCCCAAGAGACTGACTTGCCTCAACTATATTATTTGGGACCCTTGCCCTGTGGCTTCTAATTGGGTCTAGCCAATGGGAAAAGTGGGGCAGAGATCTAAGGGGTATTACTGCCCTAGCCCTCTCCCTCCAGAATGACTTCAGGCTAGCTACATACCAAAAGTCACAACAACTGTCAAAATGTACCTTCCACACAGCTATCTCCTTCCAAGTTTCAGTGATTGCCCCCAAGTCGTGCTTCTTCAGGTCAAAGAAGGTAACTCCCTAACTATTACTACACCGTGAAATATTGCACTACCTTGTTTTGTTTTCCTACATCCTGCCCATGCTTCTGTAAGTAGACCCTATAATTAGTTTCATTTATTCCAGATGGAACTTGTGTAAAACTGGCCCATAGAAACATTTGTTAACTGATGAGTATTAACAACAGTGGAATTACTGGCCACAGGATGGTTTGGTTTGTAGACCCTTCTTGGCCATAGGTCCCTATTCCTCTACTTCATTGAATGCAGTTGTGAAGTCAAGGTAGAAGGAGGCAGGACCCAGTGCAGCATTTAGAGAGGCTCCTGTTCTGTTCCACAGCCCCTGCTAAGGCTCCACTTGCAGCCAAAGACTACCTCCAGGAACCCTGAGTTTTGTTGTATTTCCCTGTGGGGCACTCACAAATCCACATCTCCTATATCTATATGGGGAAAGTACTTCCTGATCTGGTCTCCAGAGAATCCAGCACTCACTTGGCAGCACTTTCCCTCCCTTCTCTCATAGGTGTGTGTGCTCAGTCCTGCCCTCCATCCACTTTTCCTTTCTCTCTGTGTCTTCCAGAAGCACATTCATTAAACTCAATGGTTGCTATTTTGGTTATTTCAGTCTGCTATAACAAAATATCATAGACTGAGTGGCTTATAAATAAGAGAAATTTTTTCTCACAGTTCTGGAGGCTGGAAGTCTGAGATCAGGGTGTCAGCATGTTTGGGCTCTGGTGAGGGCCCTCTCCTCAGTTTTAGACTGCTGACATCCTGCTCTATCCTCTCTTGGCAAACAAGAGGGCCAGATAGGATCCACCCTCATGATCTAATCACTTTTCGTTTCTTCTCTTTATTTTTTTATTTTTTTGAGATGGAGTCTCGCTCTGTCACCCAGGCTGGAGTGCAGTGGCTCGATCTGGGCTCACTGCAACCTCTGCCTCCCGGGTTCAAGCTATTCTCCTGCCTCAGCCTCCCGAGTAGCTGGGACTACAGGCACTTGCCACCACACCCAGCTAATTTTTTTGTATTTTTAGTAGAGATGGGGTTTCACCATGTTAGCCAGGATGGTCTTGATCTCCTGACCTTGTGATCCACCAGCCTCGGCCTCCCAAAGTGTTGGGATTACAGGTGTGAGCCACTGCGCTCGGCCAATCTAATCATTTTTCAAAGGCCCCACCTCTTAATATCATCACACTGGGGGTTAAGATTAGGGTTAGGATTTCAATATATGCATTTTAGAGTCATACAAACATTCATTCCACAACAGCTATGAAGGATATTTAAACTGTTATAAAAACCTACACAGTAAAGCCCCCAAGGCTTCCTCTGTGTCAAGACTGAGCCACCCACAGCTGAGAGACAGCAGAGAAGACAGTCATCCAACAGCTCAAGCCGAGCCTACAGCCACACGTGCTGACTGAGAAATGTCAAAGCCAGTTCTCAAGAACTGACTGAGAGATGAGAGGGGTAACCCCAGACCAGGAGCACCTGCATCCTTGCCCCACATCTGCCCTTATAGAATGACCCCACTTTCCCCAAAGCTCACAGGTTCATGACAAGACCAGCAGTCATTTTACAGTGCACTGTATCAGCCAGTCCCCTTATTAAGCAGGAAATCACACATATGCATTGGGTCAGCAGTCTATCCTTTCAGGGAAAAATGGGTTTTCTGAGAAAATGAAAATCATTAATTTACCCTGAAATTTTATTTAGAGGTATTCTGTTGTATTTGAATACAGATGGGAGATAAAAAGACACTGGAGCACTCCATTCTTCCTTTATTAATGAAGTAGGATACCTAAAAGGCCTATTAAAATTACATAGAAGCCTCATAAGCATCTTTCACAACTTCTTACTCAGTCACTTTCACGTTTTGAGAGCAGCATTTCTGTGACAAGGTATTACCCACTCACACACATACACAGTTTGGTTGCATTAATCCGTTTATTTATTCATTCATTACTTCAAAAGGTAGATTTTGAGCTCTGAGGATGAAACAGGCATTGCCCTAGTTACTAGGACTCTAACCATGGATAAATTAAGTTTCCTGCTCTGAAGGTACTGACAGTTTAATGGGAAAAATGAATAAAGCAAATAGGCAATTAGGGTCACGGAAGTCCTTGAATCCTAGATGTTTGGGAAAGGAACATCTATTGCAGATGGGGACAAGAAGATAAGTCAGGGAAGGATTTTAGATTAAAACTTGAAGGAAAAGTAGAACTTACCTGGTGAAAAGGGAAGAGAGAGAGAAACAGAGACATGGACCAAAGGAGAGGAAGTGAGCAGAGTATTCAGTCCAAGAAAGGAGAACCCCAAAGAGCTCATAGAAAGCTTATAGTAGTTCAATAGGACTCAGACAAGGTGTTCAAAGGGAACCGAAGGAGGATGATGAGGAGGGAAAGGCTCCAAGGAAGGAATGGTAAGAAATAAGACTGGAAAGATAAGAGAGAGTCTGAGGCTGACCAGGAAAGCCTTATCAGAGGCAGTGGTCTGGGAGGTGAAACTCTTGGTTATACTGGATCTTTGCTACGCTGTGGTACATGTGGCTGCAGCTACAGCAAGGGTGCATTCCTAGCAAATCAACTGTGCTGCTGAGACCTAAAGTTCACTCATTTACTCATCTATCCATTTATCAAATTTTAATTGACCCTCTAGTACGTCACAACACTATGCTAAGGCCAATAGGAATCTAAAAGAAATCAGACATGAATCCATGCCTTTGACTTATTGTTAAGCCGAAAGTCAAGCTTCACTCTTTTGAAAGCTGCACTGTGACTGCAGGGTAGGAAGTGAGGGTGGGGAATGATGAAACTTGCAGGGAGCATTCAAAAAGTTGACGAGGCATAAACACCCCTTTCTGACATCAGAAACCATTACCTGAAAATGAAAGAAGTGATGCTTTCCCTTTGGAAAACTGTCTGACCTTTCCAATGATAACACAGGTTATCTTAAGACAAGGGCTGACTGAGCCACCACTCCCATTGACCCTGGAATTCCTACTAGTGACACACTTGAACATACAGGCTGAAAAAATTCATTCTTATGTGAGCAGGTCCAGGAGTTCAAATCCCTGTGGTAGCACCCATAGGCCATTTTACTTTGATACAGTTATTTAACCATTCTGAACCTCAGCTGTTTTGGTCTCTAAAATAAGAATGGTAATATCCACTTTGTAAGGTTGTTGAAATAAAATATGATAAATGATAAGTATTTATAACATTTAACTTTTTAAAAGAAAAAACAAAGTTGTATAGTGAATGCCAAAAGTTCTACATAAATTCTAGTGAAGTAGGATGTAGGTGAACAAAGTCAACGAAGAATTTTAAAAGATGGTTCATAATTGAACCTTGAAAATCATCAAAGGGCCTGTGTGGTTACTTTAGGGACTGCCTTATATAGGACAGAGCCCTTTCAGGCATTAATTCATTTATTCATTTAATAAATAAGAATCATCTCTGTACTGACCCATTGCCTGGAGTATCTGTCTTCCATCTTATCCTACAATGTTTTGTCTTCAGTCCAACCTGTCTTCCAGCAGCAGACATACTTTCCCTGACCCCTGTGGTAGGATCTCCTGCTGACTCCATTCACCTATCTTGGTTGGTCATTCTGTAATGACCATATGCTTGCTATTACATTGAGATTATTTTCTTTTTGAATATCAGACTCTTCCTGGAAAACGATCCCATTAACAGTAGGGATCACATCTCCTTTTCATAACTCTGATAATATTAGAAGTCTAATAAATGTGTGTTGAACCAAATGTATGTTGCCTTGTAGTTTATAAGATGCCCTGTGTTCCAGAGCTCTGCGTAACTGCGGTGTATAAACTATCCTTACCCTAAATAGAAAGACTAAATGATGAAATGAACCAACAAAAAATAATAACTACAACAAATTTTCAAGATGTAAACAGTACAATAAGATAAAATAGAAATGATAAAAAGTTTAAAAAGCAAGGGGAAAAAGTTAAGATGTAGAGCTTCTGTTAGTTTTTTTGCTTATTTGTTCATGCAAATAGTATTGTTATTAGCTCAAAATAATAGGTTATAAGATAGTATTTGTAAGCCTCATGGTAACCTCAAACAAAAAAATACACAATGACACATAAGAAATAAAAAGCAAGAAAGTAAATCATATCAACAGAGAAAATCACCTTGACTAAAGGAAGACAGGAAAAAAACAAGAAATAGAGACCATAAAACAACCAGAAAACAAATTTAAAAAAAGGCAGGCATAAGCTTTTACTTATCAATAATAACATTGAATGTAAATGGGCTGACGTCCTCCATCAAAAGATCTAGAGTGGCCAAATGGATGAAAAAACAATATCCACCAATCTGTTGCCTACAAAAAAACACACTTCACTTATAAACACATAGACTAAAATAAAAGGGTGGAAAAAGATATTTCAGGCTAACAGAAACTAAGAAAAAGCAGGAGTAGCTATATTTATATCAGACAAAATAGATTTCAAGACAAAAACTATAAGAAGAGACAAAAATGTCACTATATAAGGATAAAGGAGTTAATTCAGCAAGGGGTTATAACAATTTTAAATATATATTCACCCAACACTGGAGCACCCAGATATATAAAGTAAATATTTAAAGCTAAAGAGGGAGATAGGTTCCAATACTTCAACACCCCACTTGCAGCATTGGACAGATCTTCCAGACAGAAAATCAACAAAGAAACATTAGACTTAATCTGCACCATAGACCCAATAGATCTAATAGATATTTGCAGAACATTTCATTCAATGGCTGCAGGATCCACATTCTTTTTCTCAGCACATGGATTATTCTCAAGGATAAACCATATGTTAGGTCACAAAACAAGTCTTAAAATATTCAAAAAAAATTAAATAATATCAAGCATTTTCTCTAACCAGAATGGAATAAAACTAGAAATCAATAACAAGAGTAATTTTGGAAACTATACAAATACATATAAATTGAACAATATGCTTCTGAATGACCAGTGGGTCAATGAAAAAATTAGGAAGGAAATTAAAACATTTTTTGAAACAAATACTAATGGAAACACAACATAACAAACCTATGGGATACACCCAAAAGCAGTACTAAGAGGAAAACCTATGGGATACACCCAAAAGCAGTACTAAGACGAACGTGTGTAGCTATAACTGCCTACATCAAAACAGAGGGAAAACTTCAATTAATTATGTATCTTAAAAAACTGGAAAAGCAAGAGCAAGTCAACCCAAAATTAGTAGAAGAAAAGAAATAAAAAGATCAGAGCATAAATAAATACAATTAAAATGAAGAAAACAATAGAAAAGATCAATGAAACAAAAAGTTGGTTTTGTGAAAAGTTAAACAAAATTGTCAAACCTTTAGCCAAGCTAAGAAAAAAAAGAGACTATTTAAATAAATAAAATCAGAAATGAAAAAGGAGACATTATAGCTGATACCACAGAAATTCAAAGCATCATTAGTGTCTACTAGGAACAACTATATGCCAATAAACTGAAAAATCTAGAAGAAATGGACAAATTCCTAGACAAATACAACCTAACAAGATTGAACCGGGAAGAAATCCAAAACCTGAATAGACCAATAACAAGTAACAAGATTGAAGCCATGATAAAAAGTCTCCCAGGAAAGAAAAGCCCAGGACCCAGTGGCTTCACTGCAGAATTCTACCAAACATTTAAAGAAGTTTTAAGTATTTAACGCCAGTTTTAGAATTTAATACCAATCTTACTCAAACTTTTCCAAAAAAACAAAAGAGGAGGGAATACTTCCAAAATCATTCTATGAGGCCAGTATTACCCTGATACCAGAACTGGACAAAGACACAAAAGAGAGAAAGAGAGAAAGAGAGAGAGAAAGAAGGAAGGAAGGAAGGGAGGGAGGAAGGAAGGAAGGAAGGAAGGAAGAGAGGGAGGGAGGGGGAAAAAAAGAAAGAAAGAAAAGGAAAGAAGGGAAGAAAGAAAGAAAGAAAGAAGGGAAGAAAGAAAGAAAGAAAGAAAGAAAGAAAGAAAGAAAGAAAGAAAGAAAGAAAGAAAGAAAGAAAGAAAGAAAGAAAGGAAAGAAAGAAAGAAAGAAAGAAAGAAAGAGAAAGAAAAGCAAGCAAGCAAGCTAGCTAGCTACAGGCCAATGTCTCTGAGGAATTATTGATATGAAAATCGTGAACAAAATAATAGCAAACTGAATTCAACAATACATTAGAAAGATTATTCATCGCAACCACGTAGGATTTATCCCTGAGATGCAAGGATCATTCAACATATGCAAATCAATCAGCGTGATATATCATATCAACAGAATGAAGGTTAAAAACCATATGATCATTTCAATCAATGTGGTAAAAGCATTTGATAAAATTCCACATCCCTTCATGATAAAAACCCTGGAGAACTGAATATAGAAGAAACATATCTCAAAATAATAAAAGCGATATATAACAGACTTAGAGCTGGTATCGTACTGAATGAGGAAAAACTGAAAGCCTTTCCTCTCACACAACAAGGGTGCTCACTTTCACCACTGTTGTTCAAGATAGTACTGGAAGTCCTAGCTACAGCAATCACACAAGAAAAAGAAATAGAGGACATCCAAATTGGAATGAAAGAAGTCAAATTATCTTTATTTGCAGATGACATGATTTTATATTTGGAAAAACCTAAAGAGGCTACCAAAAAACTATTAGAATTGATAAACAAATTCAGTGAATTTGCAGGATACAAAATTAACATTAAAAAATTAGTAACATTTCTATATGTCAACAGTAAACAATCTGAAAAAGAAATTTAAAAAGAATCCCACTTACAATAGCCACAAATAAAATGAAATGCCTAGGAATTAACCAAAAAAGTGAAAGATCTCTATAATGAAAACTATAAAACACTGATGAAAGAAATTGAAGAGAACACCAATAAATGAAAAGATATTCCATGTTCAGGAATTGGAAGAAACAATATTGTTAAAATGTCCACACTACTCAAAGCAATCTATAGATTCAATGCCATCTCTATCAAAATATCAATGGCATTCTTGAGAGAAATAGAAAAGACAATTGTAAACTTTGTATGTAACTACAAAACACCAAGAATAGCCAAAGCTATTTTTAGCAAAAAGAACAAAATTGGAGCAATCACATTACCTTACTTCAAATTGTACTACAGAGCTATAGTAACCAAAACAGGATGGTACTGTCTTAAAAACAGAAACATAGACCAATGGAACAGAATAGAAAATCCAGAAACAAACCCATACACCTACACTGAACTCATTGTTGATAAAGGTGTCAAGAACATACACTGGGGAAAAGAGAGTCTTTTCAATAAAAGATGCCAGGAAAACTGGATATCCATATGCAGAAGAGTGAAACTAGACCCCTATCTCTCGCCACATACAAAAATCAGTTCAAAATTGATTAAAGACTTAAATCTAAGACCTGAACCTATGAATCTTCTACAAGAAAACGTTGGGGAAAATCTTGAGAACTTTGGTTTGAGCAAAAATTTCTTGAGCAATACCCCATAATCACAGGCAACCAAAACAAAACTAGACAAATGGAATCACATGAAGTTTAAATGCTTCTGCACAGCAAATGAAACAATCAACAAATTGAAGAGACAACAAATTGGAAGAAAATATTTTCAAACTACGCATCTGACAAGGGATTAATAACCAGAATATGTAAGGTGCCCAAACAACTCTATAGAAAACAATCTAATAATTTGATCAAACAGTGGGCAAAAAATTTGAATAGACATTTCTCAAAATTAAGGCATGCAAATGGCAAACAGGCAAATGAAAAGGTACTCAACATCACTGATCATCATAGAAGTGCAAATCAAACCTACAATAAGGTATTATCTCACCCCCGTGAAAATAGCTTATATCCAAAAGGCAGGCAATAACAAACGCTGGTGAGGATATAGAGAAAAAAGGACCCTTGTACACTATTGGTGGAAATGTAAATTAGTATGACCACTATGGCAATCAGTTTGGAGATTCCTCAAAAAACTAAAAATAGAACTACCATATGATCCAGAAATCCCACTGCTGGATATATACCCTGAAGAAAGGAAATTAGTATATTGAAGACATGTCTGCACTCCTATGTTTGCTGCAGCACTATTCACAATAGCCATAATTTGGAAGCAATCTAAGTGTCCATTAACAGATGAATGTATGAAGAAATGTGGTACATATACACAGTGGAGTACTATTCAGCTATAAAAAAGAATGAGATCCAGTCATTTGCAACATCATGGATGGAACTGGAGATCATTATGTTAAGTGAATTAAGCCCAACACAGAAAGACAAACATTGTATGTTTTCACTTATTTGCAGAGTTTAAAAATCAAAACAATTGAACTCATGGACATAGAGAGTAGACGGATGGTTACCAGAGGCTGGGATAGGTAGGAGGCGGGTTGGGGAAAGGTAGGGATGTTTAACGAGTACAAAAAGTAGTTAGAAAAAGTAAGGCCTAGTATTTGATAGCACAACAGGGTAACTATAGTCATAATAATTTAATTGTACATTTAAAAATAACTAAAAGAGTAATTGGACTGTTTATAACACAAAGGATACATGCTTGAGGGGATGGATACTTCATTCTCCATGATGTGATTATTATGCACTGCATGCCTGTATCAAAACATCTCATGAACTCCATAAATACATATACCTACAATACCCACAAAAAACAAAAAATAAAAATAAAACGCTCTGTGTTCATCATCTCAGGAAATTTTAGGTATTCCTCACAACAATCCTTAGTGTAGGCCAGAAATATCTATATTTTAACTCCATTTTGAAAATGTGGAACCAAAATGAAATGCTGTGTGAACTTGAGTTGCTTCTCAAGAGCATGGATGCATGACTCTACACTGTGGGCAAGTCACTGATCTTTACACACCAGGAGATTGAAGGGAGGTAAGACAAAGGAAAAGATGCATATTTCATAAGAAAGACACATTGTTACAAATCTTTCAGAACGGCTTTAGCAAGATGTCATGAAAAAGGGGAAATAACAGGGGCTCGGGTTCAGAAAAGATAAGATTCTAAGTTTGTTTCTGCCGTTTACAGGCTCAGTGATGTTTAAAAACAAAAAAAGTTGGTCTAACTGCTTGGAGTCTTCTTGCTCATCTGCAAGAAGACAGTAGTACCTTCTTAAATTATTGTCAAAATAAATTTTTAAATGTATATAAAACATACAAAGTATGTTTTCAAGCAAATATCCAATAAATAGTAACCAATCCATCTCTGACCCTCCCTTAGAGTTTGGGAAATGGGGTTGCACCATTTTGGAAGAGAATCAGTGGGGACTTCACGAAGTAGGAACATAAACTGAACTTCCACAGTCAGGGATCCAGAAAAAATGGGGATAAGAGGTGCTTCAGGAGGAAGGAATGAACTGAGAAAAGCTGAGAAGACAGTGTGTACAAAGAGTGCAGTTTAAAGACTAGTTAGAAGGGAGTGAATTTATGTCTGTAGTATATGTATGTCTGGATGCATGTGAGTACGTGTGTGTGAGTGTGACTGTATATGGTTATGTGCACACATGTGTTTGTATAATGTGTATGTGTTTGTACGTATAAAGTAGAAAAATGGGAAATTGGACATTTCAACTTCACTTCCCATTTCTCTGCTTTAGACTAGGGAAACCCCCACATGGACATGACTCACAAACATAAGGGTTCATTCTGCAGTATTTGGGGAGATTGGAGCAACTTATTAGGCAGGGAAGGGCACAAGCATGTCAGCCTTGCAGAAGAGGAGGATAGCATTAGCTTGTGTGGCACTTCAGAGGAAGGAGAGATCAGATCGGGAAAAAAGAGTAAGCCTGCAGTGGTGGGCTGAAGGCAGGGATACCACCCAGGTCGGGAAGGAAAGTACAGTTACCGAAGAAGTAAAACTGAAAGTACTTTTCGATGACTGGTTAATTGGGAAAGCAGTTAATGCTGATTCCAAGATGGGAAGCAGAGTCACTGGGGGAATGTGGTGCCACTCAAAGGGTTTGTAAATCAGAGGAATATGGAAAGGGTCAGGGTCAAGTAGCCAACTAGGCTTTTTGGTTTGGGGACAAGGGGAGGAAATCCTTTAAAAGCTATGTATTGAAGTTTTTACCCTTGTTTTTTTTTTTTTTAAAAAAATTTCCTCCTGTTAATTCTATCATTAGAAGTTTATTCTAAAAGGTCTACAAGGCTCCTTAGTTCCCCAGAGAACTTTCCTTCGAAGGCAAATACCAGGAAAGAGGTAACATGTTCTCCTTAGGTAACCAGTGGCCTGGGGAGGAGGCAATTCTCATTAGTCATGAGGCCAGAAAGCTCCAGGAGGAGGACTGGCCCCCACAGAGAGGAATTTGTGTGAACTCCATAAGAAAGATGCAAGCAAAATGCTCTGGTGCTCTAGGGGTGGCAGAGGACTAATGATGTGCCACCCGGGCAATCAGAGGCATGCCCATGAGGTCCTCACATTTAATCTGGGGCAGAGGAGGCCTGAAAGAGGAAGCAGGGAGGAGGTGAGTGTGATGGATTTTGCCAAGGGCCAACCTGAGCACATCAGGGACCAACAAAAGAGCAATTTCCTTATTCTTCAGCACATTTTGCAGAGATATTATAAATATGGCTATGGCTTTAGGCTCAGGCTGAGACAGAGATTCATTATCTCACCTGCTGAGAGTGAACTAGACATGAGGCCCCTTCACAAGGTAGCCTTGTGTCTTTTTGCCTCTTGTTCTCTCTCATTGTGCCCAACCACATGCCATCAATGTTGTCACAGCCAAACGTTCCCTCATGGATGAAATAGACACTGGATCTTTCTGAGGCAGTTGTTCTGTCTACCTGCATAGGAGAGATAGCTGACAGTTACAAGGTCTCTGGGTACACCTCTCCTAGCTCGCAGCTGAAAGCCCTGCAAAGGTCAGCACCCAAGGGCCCTGCATCGATGACATCACCATCTCCCCACTCTGTTTCTTTCAATGTGTTTTTTAAAACTTTTTTACACAGCACATATAATTATGGGGCATTTGGGCCCAATGCATTATCTCAGCTGAAACACAAACCTCGCCATGTGTGGCAGCACAACATCATGATCAGGGTTCAGACAATTTCACAAACCAGCAAAATATCAACTCATACAAAATCACACAGAAGTGCTTCAGTACATACCAACCCTCTTGATAAACAGCATGCACAGTAAAGGTATATTCTGGCACTTCCAATAATAGTGAATAAATCAAAGGTCATTTATTCTGAGATCTGGCCTGAACTGCATGATTTTACTGAAAGATTACTTATTTTGTGATTTTCTTTTATTTTATACAGAGTAATAGCCATTCATTCAACTGAAATTGTATTGAGTACCTAGTATCAGTCAATAGTTTTAAACTATTATTATATGCTTCTTTCAGTATTGGGCACAACCATGAAAGTGAAAGACACATTAACAATGCTGATAATGGTGAACTCAGGAGTTGAGGAAGGACTTAAAACTCTGGAATTCCAGTCTCCCCTCTAGTACTCTAGTGCCCCTTCCAAAGCCCCGCAAGACATCATAAAACTTCAGCTTCTGCAATCCATGTCAGGCAACATGATCTTTGAACAATAGCCCAAGCTGTTTTCAGACAGCTAGGATTCATACAAGTACTCCCACAGCCCTTTAGAACATCCCTCAAGTGTTCTGAATTTTTTTTAATCTGCAAGAAAAAAAAATTAAATAATATTTTAAAATACCCAGTCTCTCTTCTTTTCCATGTGATGATGGCAATTACTTTTGCACCAACCTAATATAAGAGAGTATCAAGTCTTTGTGATAGAATCATGTTTTGTATGAAAACTTTTGAAGATTTTTCACAGCAACAGATACATTGATTTTAGCAGAATGTTTGTGACCAGGTTGAACAGAATTGGCCATTTATACTGAGGAAAATGAAAGGTAAACTTCGATAAGAATAATAAATTCATATTCTGGAGAAACTAGGAGAATACTATCGAAAATTAGGAGTCCAAGAGTACAAATGTGAACATGTTGCATTAAGAGGATTTAACCTGGAGGCCATGGGCTGGACATGTCTGCTTGGAGTGGAGGCCTTAAGGTAGACAGCTTGAATAAGGGATTTTGCAACATTCAGACATACCAAGATGGGAAGAGGAGAGAGACTAGGCAAACTTAGAGATCAACCCTATATGGAGTGTGAGAGAAGAAGGTAGTTTGCTGTGACCTAGCAAGAGCAAGCCTGGAGAACTGGGAGCATGGTGAACTGATACAAATATACTTCCATTTACTGAGGTCCCAAAGAGTGCATGTACAGAGGGCATCCACACGTATGCTGAGGAACAGGGGCCATAGATCAATACTTGAATGCTCCATTCATTTGCTACAAAAAAAAAAAAAAAAAACACAAGTAAACAAAACAAAATATGAAACATTATCCTAATCACATTGCAGGGGTGAGGGTAAAGTAGGATTTTTCACAAATGTCTACAAAACCAGGCAGTATATAACATATGCATGCCCCAATGTAAAGTGCCTATGAACCCACAATGAAGCAAATAGCTCTGGCCTGGAGACCTACTGGGCCTGTTAACCACTGCCCCCATCCCCCACCAAGTAATGCCAGTGTAATATGATGTGGATCTTGTCACTCCCTGGATGGAAATGTAGTGGAAGTCACTTGAAGAAGGAGTGGAAGAATGAAGTTTATGTCTGCAGGGTGAGTGGAGACACAGCTAATCCTGGCTCCATTCACCATTGAGATAGGAAAGGCAAGCCAGGCAGTGGCCAGGGCCTGACTTGCCTAGCAAGTCCACCCAGCCTTGTATTGAGAAAAAGATCAACAGCTGCATGAGGATCTATGCCTTTTAACTCTGAGACCCCACCCACCAGTAAACCCAACCCAATCAAGTATGCCAGACTCAAGTAACGCAATTGGGCTAATCCTTCTTCCTTTTTGGGGTAGAGAGGAAGCTAAGAAGAGATGAGTGGAGGCAGGCACGCCTGACAGGAAGAAGAATGGAAAGATGGAGGTGTTCTCTCCTTAGATGGTAAGCATCCTTCAAGGTCTGAGCAAATTCTAGCTCTCTAAATTCCTTAAAAGCCTCACTACTTATCCTAAACTAAAAAAGAATGTCAAGTATACTCTTTATGTTACCAATTTCCTTTTTTGTTTTAAATTACTTGGGGTATAGGTGTTTCCTCCACCTAAATTATAAGCTACTTGGAGGTAGACTCTAGATCTTATTAATCCTCAAGCCTTCTACCCCCATGGCTCTTGGTGTAAGACATACTCAGTAAAAAGTAAATGTGAGCCCAAAGAGAGCATCACTAACTCCCTGGACTTCCATGCAGTGCAATCTTGGAAGAATAGAGGGCATACAAAGAGGGAGAGGGTAGAAGGAGCCAACTCCGAAAGGGAAAAGATGCTGTATGTGGCTGTCAATCAACTAAGACTTAAAGATAGAAAACTCTGTATCTTCAGTTAGGGGGAGGAAAAACTATGACCTGCCCCTCCACTTAAGGGCATATTCCACACCCCTGAGCATGGCATGCAACTTCAGGTAGCAAAAAGAAAGTTAAAAACCAGGTGAGCTGGAGGAGCTGAAAAGTTGGGGCTGATCAGCAAGTCCCTTGGCAGGTGGAGAGGGAGAGTTGGTTGAAAAGAGAGAAATCCATGGATTTTCCCCAATTCTATAAGTTACAACCTTCTCACATTCATGTGATACCCTTAGCACTTAGCACAGTGACTGCCACCAATAAAAGTAAACTGCCTGGATCCATGAGGCAATGACTAATCAATTAGTGAACTTCCAAAATGGATGAATGAATTCTGGACCTGTCTCAGGTGCAGCCTTTCCATAGAAAGGCCAAGTAAAAGGGATCCTAGTTCTCCTCTGTTTGTTCAGCTACTTTTCTAGCTTAGGAATAAAGGCAGGAACTCAGGACTCAAGATCTGCCCAGAATTAGAGGAAAGCACCAGGTTGTGTGGCAGCAAGCTGCCCTTCTGCTTTATTTCTTGGGGGCACTGAAACTATTGGGCAAAACAACATGAAGATTCTTAAGGTCAGATCTCAGACTTCAATATACATTTGAATTTAATAAGATCAAATGAAATGGACAGAACTGAATTGCAAGATGGACAAGTGAACAGACATGAGCCAAATGCACCTAAATAGATGGGAACTTCCACCCAGACTTTTAGATCTGCTTTGGCCCGATTGGACCCATAGAATTGCATAGACACATCCGAGTTCTCCAACAGTTTGTGTCATCATAGCAGGCGTGCAAAGGTGTGTGACTGCCACATAAACCATCTAGGGTCCCAGGAGTCAGCCCCTCCTGCACTGGCCTGTGGCTCCCTCTGGGCATGTATCTCCCTGCCCCACATGCTATTCGCGGTTTTATGTATGAACTCTACCATGGAAGTTATCCAACTGCATGAAAGAATGGAAGATATTTTTGATATTTTTCTTTTTTTTTTTTTTTTTTTGGCCTTTTGGGGTTCTTGAGGGGCATAATGCAATAAGAATTCATTAATAACACCTGTAATCCCAGCATTTTGGGAGGCTGACGGGGGCAGATCACAAGGTCAGGAAATCGAGACCATCCTGGCCAACATGGTGAAATCCCGTCTCTACTAAAAATACAAAAATCAGCCGGGTGTGGTGGCACATGCCTGTAGTTCCAGCTACTCAGGAGGCTGAGTCAGGAGAATCTCTTGAACCCGGGAGGTGGAGGGTGCAGTGAGCTGAGATGGCACCACTGCACTCCAGCCTGGCGACAGAGCAAGACTCCATCACAAAAAAAGAATTCATGAATAAAATGAATCCTCTCAGAGGGACAATCTCTAGGGTCCTATTACCCTCATTACCCAGAGCACTCCTCTCCCAAAAAGACTCTCTCCCCACGGGATCCTCAGATTCTACACTGTGCAAGAAGCTCACTCTTCAATGATTGCTATGATTTGAAAGTCCCCTCTGAAACTTATGTTGAAATTTAATTACCATTGTAAGAGTGTTGAGAGGCAGTACCTTTAACAGGTGATTATGTCATGAGGGTCCTGCCCTTATAAATGGATTAATGTCATTATGGTTGGAGTGGGTTACTTAGCAAGGGAGTGGATTTCTGATAAAAGGATGAGGCCCATTTTCTGCTCTGTCTCAAAAGCACCCTTTCTCAACATGGGATGCCCTCCACCATGTTATGATGCAAAAAGAAGGCCCTAACCAGATGCAATGTCTTGATCTTGGACTTTCCAGCCTTCAGAAGCATAAGCCAAATAAATCTCTTTGCTTTATAAATTACCTAGTCTGTGGTATTCTGTTATAGCATCAGACTAAGACAATGATTGATTTAAGGTGCACACTGTTCAATGTTCAGTTGTCAGCATGCCTTTTACGTTTGTTCTTGTCAGGGCTGGATAACACAGTCTGTAGACCCCCCAGGGGCAGACATCTTGCCTTTTCTATCACTTTATACAAGGCCCAAGTGGAGAGGGAAGTGGGGTTAAGAAATAGTGGGATTTTTTTTTAAAACAATAGGCAAATTCAGATTACTAACATAATCATTATTAACAGACAATAATGATGTGGTAATGACAATGATGGTAATTATAAAAATCCCTCAAAAATCATTCTTCCCCTCCTCCCTTTTGAATACACAAGCTGGCCCTCACAGTGGTTCACTACAAACTGCACACTTGTGGAATCCTGGGTAAAAACTTATTCAATTTCCCTGAGCTTCTGGTAAAGTGCACAAAAGGGGCATGTATGTGAGTGTGTGTGTGTGCACGCATGCAGGCAGGTACATAGACTGATTGTCTTATGTCTCCAACAGGAAATGACTCCAGGGTAAGGCACAGGGGAAGTCTTTGCCGTCTGCAAGCTCCTGGGGTGTGACCATAACCATAAGGTCTGAGGGTTTGGGGAAAAGTAGTTTGCAGTGTGGGAGATGTTCCTGCATTTGAGGGGAGCATTTCTTCAGGCCATTGTGGACCAATAAACGGTTCAATTTTTTCATTGTTCTAATTAATTAAGTTAACTTCCAAGGTGTGTTAAGAAGCAATGCCTTGGGTGATTAACTGTTCCCATATCAAGGTGTTTTCACAAACACATTTACCCTGATTAGTGTACACATTATTATGTAATTAAATACCTCACACAGAGGAATTTATTAGTGCCTTCTTGTCTCCTAACAAATAAAGCAGCCCTCCAAATCTCTTGGAAAAGACAATTCCAGTTGCTAGGAGAGAGGGACAGACAGATGTGGAGACACTCACCATCTAGATTGGGAGGGAAGTTCCGTGAATTCCATGGCTGCCCCCTGTCAAGATCCCACACCCCTCTGGGCAGTGCTTCCTCCCAGAGATTGCAGCCTGACTCACTCCTGAGCCCTTTGTCCTTCCTTTCCTCTTTTCCCTGCTTGGTCCCAGCAAGTCCGTATCACTTATCAGAAAGGCTCCTTTTACAAAATGGAATAAAGAGAAGGTCTTTGCATGGAAGGTATGAGGACTCTCCCTTCATCTGTGCACATCCCTCTGAGCTGGCCTTCAGAAAACTGATTGAGTTCACAACGTTGCATCTTAACCTCCTCCATCTCCTCCTTCTCTTCCATCCCCCACATACCACTCTCTGCAGAGCCAGTTTCTCTGGGGCCCACTCCCTATTGTATGGGAAGGAAAGGCTTATGTTTTCAGATATGGAAGTGATTAAGTGCTGGTCAGTTATTGGATTCTGAGACAAGTTAGAAGAATAGTTCTGCCGAGGTGGGTGGATCATGAGGTCAGGAGTTCAAGACCAGCCTGGCCAAGATGGTGAAGCCCCATCTCTACTAAAAATACAAAAAATTAGTGGGGCGTGGTGGCGGGCACCTGTAATTCCAGCTACTCGGGGGCCGAGGCAGAGAACTGCTTGAACCCGGGAGGCAGAGGTTACAGTGAGCCAAGATTGTGCCACTGCACTCCAGCCTGGGCGACAGAGTGAGACTGTCTCAAAAAAAAAGAAAAAAAAAAAAAAAAAGAATAGTTCTTTCTGGATAGGCCAATTTCTGAAAACCTTTTCTCTCATGGCTGCCAACTGTATTACATGTATAGTCAACCCTACAAATCCTAAGTGTGTTCTAACAATAGCAATATTAATAACACACTTATTGAACATGTCTGTCCCCATACAACTGTGTGAAGCATTTATGTCTCTTGTTGATTAAAAAAAAAAAACTCTGTAAAATATTTCAAGAGGTTTATTCTGAGCCAGTATGAGTGGCCATGGCCTAAGGTATAGTCTCAAGAGGTCCTGAGTCCAAGCGCAGTGGCTCACACCTGTAATCCCAGCACTTTGGGAGACCAAGGCGAGCGGATCATTTGAAATCAGGAGTTCGAGGCCAGCATGGCCAACATGGTGAAACCCCATCTCTACTAAAAATACAAAAATTAGCTGGGCGGTAGTGGTGTGCCTGTAATTCCAGCTACTCAGGAGGCTGAGGCAGGAGAATGGCTTGAGCCTGGGAGGCAGAGGTTGCAGTGAGCCATGATCGCACCACTGCACTCTGGTCCGGGTGACAGAGTGAGATCCTGCCTCAAAAAAAAAAGAGGTCCTGAAAAAGTGTGCCTGCAGTGGTCAGATTGTCAGGTTACAACTTAGCTTCATACATTTTTAGAGGGACAGAAGTTACAGCCAAAGACATAAGTCAGTATATGGAAGGTATACTTTGGTTTTGATCAGAAAGGCAGGATGTCTTAAAGTGTGGGGCTTACTGGTCATAGGTGGATTCAAAGATTTTCCAGTTGGCAATTGGTTAAAAGAGTTAAGCTTTGTATAAAGACTTGAAGTCAGTAGAAAGAGGTTTTGAGTTAAGGGGGGTTGTGGAAGCCAAGGTTCTTGTTATGTAAAAGAGGCCTCTCCTAGTAGCAGGCTTCAGAGAGAATAGATGGTTAATTTCTCTTTTCAGACCTTAAAATGTGTCAGACTCTTGGTTAAATCTCTCCTGGTGGCATACACCTATGGTCCCAGCTACTCCGGAGGCTGAGGCAGGATGATCGCTTGAGCCAAGGAGGCTGAGACTGCAGTGAGCTATGATCTTGACACTGCACTCCAGCCTGGGTGACAAAAGGAGACCCTGTCTCAAAAAAAAAAAAAAATTAAATATATTCTGGATCTGAAAAAGATCTAGAAAGGGAAGGGGTTTCTCAACAGATATAAATTTCCCCCACAAGACAGCTTGGAAAGACCATTTCAAAATATGTCAAAGAAATATATTTGAGGGTAAAATATTTTTATGGCCTTCAGGGCCTGTATCTGTCATGCGATGCTATCCCAGAGTCCCGTTGGAATTTGGTATCTATTGTCACAAAGAGTCTGTTGTGAGTGTTACAATCTTCATGTTATTGTTAATGCTGGTCAGCTGTGCCTCAACTCCAAAAGGAAGGGGATATAACGAGGCGTGTCTGACCTCCCTTCTTGACATGACTGAAAATTTCATTTTTCAGGTTTTCTTGGCCCAGAAGGGGTCCATTCAGTTGGCCGGGGGGCTAGGGATTTTATTTTTGGTTCATATCTTCATTTAATATAATCCTACAACTCCAAGAGGCAAGTGCTACTATTATCACTACTTACCTGATGAGGAAGCTGAGGCACTAAGTGACAGTGACTAGGTACCGTATTCAAGATCACACAGCCAGGAAGTAGCCAAGTCATGGAAACGAAGCAGGGCCTTCTGACTGACAGTCCTTGCCCTGGACCTCTGTGCTAAACACCTGCCCCATCCTCAGTGTTGAGCAGAGGAACCTAAGACTCTGATTTTCAGGTCTAGGGGCCCTCAGTCCCATTCCTTTGATGTGAGAAGCGAAGCATGTTTCTTTGCTTGTCTGTTCCTTTTGATGCAGTGAGGCCCAGGCAACTTAGCCACCTCTGAGAGGATAAATTAAGTGACATTTCTAGGGAATATAGAAAATACTACTGAAGGCCAAGTGAATCAATGCTGAATGCAGAACAAAACAGTTCCCACCACTGGGATCAGACTGCTCAGGTTGGTGGCAGGGAGAGAATTATGTGAGCCGGGGGCTAGCTCCTGAGGGAGCCGAGATTGATTCTGTATGATTGATGACTCGGGGACAGAATGCCAAGTCATCAATTGCCTCGGCTCATGCCACGGACGGCATCAAGATCACTTTTCCCTGGTGCCCAGCCTGAAAGATTTCTCTTCTGTTTGTTTGTTTGGCCTGGGGCAGGCGCCTGCTGGGCTCAGCTGTGTAACTTTACCAAGGCCTTCTGAGAAAAGACAGGTGACAACATCTGGCAAGAGGACACAGAACTTGAAGGAGAAGCAGCAAAATTGGGTGTGGGGTAGAGACTGTGAATGTGTGTGTGCTTCAGAGACAGAGAGAGGGGAGAGGCAGCAATAGCCTATGCTGAAAATCTTGAATTCTAGTTCCACATGTGCCAGTGTATAATTACTAATGAACTAAGGTATTTTCTCTGTGTCTCAGTTTCTTCATATAATGAATCACAATAATCAAAGCTATGCCTTCTTTCACATCAGGATGTTAGGAAAAGATTCATAACCCTCTCCAAAATTTGCTCATGTTAGCCTTGGGATTTAATATTTCCTTCTGTGCCCTTTATCATGGTTTTTGGAGAAAATTTATAGCTTCCTTTATATAATCTCACACTGTTGGATGGCCTATGCTAGCTCCCTATATGAAAGTCCTACCACTTAATTAAAATGGATGCTTCCTGAGGTCAGAGACCACAGCTTTTCTTTTCCTAAATCATCTATAAGCCTGAAGCTTAGCAGATCATATGCTCCATAACTATTTACCCCGATCAGTTTTGTTTTTATATGTATATATGTGTGTATATATACATATATGTATGTGTATATATACATATATATGTGTGTATATAAATATACATATATACACGCATACATACACATTCCACCTATATATGTATACACACACATATATTTTATATATATATATATGCACATATAACACATACATACCTCATACATCCCATGAACTTATATAAATGGTATCAGGGAGGCTACAGCGTGGAAGAGATTGAAGGCATTAAACACTTTTACAAAAAGTACAACTGTGATTGTAAAGACATTAGGGGAGGGATAAGCCTATTGGTCTTTGAAGATAATATCAGGTTAAGAGATAACAGTGTGAAATCTTAGTTCCTCCCTTCCTATTTTGCTCTGTTTCCTCTGATAGTGTTAATGAACTTTAACTGGAACAGCAGAATAACATGGCTAAGATGAAATTAAAGCCCAATATAATTGAAAGGATGGTGGCAAAACACATATCCACTTTTTAAAAATCTCTAGGTCTGATTATAAAATGGGTAATTCATACACATGGTAAACCAATTGGAAAAAAAGTGAAAGGCAGAGAGAAGAAAAAAATAAACCTCTACAAACATCCACAAACCATAATGTTCAGTGCTGAACATTATTAAATACTACTCATATTTTCTCTAACACTCCATTAGTCTGTGTGTGCCTGTGTATGTGTGTGTATTTAATTAGAATTTTAATATGTAGTCCCTTTAAATTAGTTCGAGTCTTTCGGCTCCAACTAAAACTCTACCCCAGGGAGGAGAAAGTGATTGGAATCTCTTACATCAGAAAGCAGTCACAGAAATCACATGTGAGTTAGCCACAAAAAGGAAAAATAGTCTCATTTTCTTCTTAGATAAAACGTATCTTAATTTTTATATATTTTTTCTTTTTTTATTTTATTTTATTTTATTTTTATTTTACTTTAAGTTTTAGGGTACATGTGCACAATGTGCAGGTTAGTTACATATGTATACATGTGCCATGCTGGTGTGCTGCACCCATTAACTCATCATTTGGCATTAGGTATATCTCCTAAAGCTATCCCTCCCCCCTCCCCCCACCCCACAACAGTCCCCAGAGTGTGATGTTCCCCTTCCTGTGTCCATGTGTTCTCATTGTTCAATTCCCACCTATGAGTGAGAATATGCGGTGTTTGGTTTTTTGTTCTTGCGATAGTTTACTGAGAATGATGATTTCCAATTTCATCCATGTCCCTACAAAGGACATGAACTCATCATTTTTTATGGCTGCATAGTATTCCATGGTGTATATGTGCCACATTTTCTTAATCCAGTCTATCATTGTTGGACATTTGGGTTGGTTCCAAGTCTTTGCTATTGTGAATAGTGCCGCAATAAACATACATGTGCATGTGTCTTTATAGCAGCATGATTTATAGTCCTTTGGGTATATACCAGAGATATAGATCAATGGAACAGAACAGAGCCCTCAGAAATAATGCCGCATATCTACAACTATCTGATCTTTGACAAACCTGACAAAAACAAGCAATGGGGAAAGGATTCCCTATTTAATAAATGGTGCTGGGAAAACTGGCTAGCCATATGTAGAAAGCTGAAACTGGATCCTTTACACCTTATAAAAAATTAATTCAAGATGGATTAAAGACTTAAACGTTAGACCTAAAACCATAAAAACCCTAGAAGAAAACCTAGGCATTACCATTCAGGACATAGGCATAGGCAAAGACTTCATGTCTAAAACACCAAAAGCAATGGCAACCAAAGCCAAAATTGACAAATGGGATCTAATTAAACTAAAGAGCTTCTGCACAGCAAAAGAAACTACCATCAGAGTGAACAGGCAACCTACAAAATGGGAGAAAATTTTCGCAACCTACTCATCTGACAAAGGGCTAATATCCAGAATCTACAATGAACTCAAACAAATTTACAAGAAAAAAAACAACCCCATCAAAAAGTGGGCAAAGGACATGAACAGACACTTCTCAAAAGAAGACATTTATGCAGCCAAAAAACACATGAAAAAATGCTCACCATCACTGGCCATCAGAGAAATGCAAATCAAAACCGCAATGAGATACCATCTCACACCAGTTAGAATGGCAATCATTAAAAAGTCAGGAAACAACAGGTATTGGAGAGGATGTGGAGAAATAGGAACACTTTTACACTGTTGGTGGGACTGTAAACTAGTTCAACCATTGTGGAAGTCACTGTGGCGATTCCTCAGGGATCTAGAACTAGAAATACCATTTGACCCAGCCAAATGTATCTTAATTTTTATAAGAGATTTGACAAAATAGCTCATGGTATGAAGATGAGATAGAGAACTATGGGAT
Organism: Homo sapiens; assembly: GCF_000001405.40. Taxonomy (NCBI): domain Eukaryota; kingdom Metazoa; phylum Chordata; class Mammalia; order Primates; family Hominidae; genus Homo; species Homo sapiens. Next base: position 37,841,405 of record NC_000018.10, on the reverse strand, counting down.
GACATACAGTCCAAGGATGCAGAAAGCAGATTTATGCCTAAATGTGTTGACCACCCCCACATAATGTTGGGGTGGGCCACAAAGGCTCTACTTCACCTTAGTCATTCATTCATTCATTCATTCAATTACTTGCTTAGGGCTTGCCCTGCCCAAGCACTACTCCTGGGGCCTCAGGACCCAGGGTCCAGCAAACAGAGTGAATTCCAGCAAGTGATCTCCTCAGGTGTCTTCCTGAAATGGTCCCAAAGAGGTGGCAAACAGGATAAGCAACAAGTCCTAAACTGAAGACATCGACCAATGATTAACAATACTGAGTTTACCAAGGAAGAATGTACAGGCTTCCATCTAAGTTTTAAAAATCAACTCCTTGGGGGCCGGGCATGGTGGCTCATGCCTGTAATCCTAGCACTTTGGGAGGCTGAGGCGGGTGGATCCCGAGGTCAGGAGTTCAAGACCATCCTGGCCAACATGATGAAACTGTATCTCTACTAAAAATACAAAAATTAGCTAGGCTGGTGGCAGGTGCCTGTAATCCCAGCTACTCGGGAGGCTGAGGCAGAGAATTGCTTGAACCTGGGAGGCAGAGGTTGCAGTGAGCCAAGATCACGCTGCTGCACTGCAGCCTGGGTGACAGAGTGAGACTCTGTCTAAAAAAAAAAATAAATAAATAAATAAAATAAAATAAAATAAAATCAACTCCTTGGGAACAGGATTGGAGAAAAGGGATTCAAGAGCCATTCACATGAAGAAGGACTGAGAAATGTTTCTTAAGTACAAATGTATCAACAGTTGGATGCAGACACTAGAAAAGCTGAGATAGTCCTAACATAGCAAGTATAACCCTCTGTCCATGCCAGTGGAGGAGCAGTCCCATGTTCCTGTGCTCATTGTGATTGTGTTATGTTCTGGGCTTGGAACCTTAAAAGGGACCTGGACAGGTCACCATGATGCATCCAGATGTGAGGCCAGAGAGGTGAGAGGCTTAGAAGCCCGGTCATGAGAGAAGAAAGAAGAAAAGTGAAATGTTTAACCAGAGGAGAAAAGCCACATGGTGATAGGTGAGTAATCAGCAGGGGACATGAGAGATATTACCATTTAAACCCCTGGAGAGACTTTTTTCAGAGAAGTAACAGATTAATCCTACAGAACTCCCAGGATAAAGGCTGGAAATTACTGAGATGCTCAGAGTTTTAAATTATTATAAGGAAAAACTTTCCTCTTAGCCAGGATGCACCATACCTGGACTAGTCTTGATTGTGAAACAAAGAGTTCTCTTTGTTAAACAAAAATGTATGGGAAGCTATTGTTTTGACCTAAGCTCCAGTACTAGGCCCCAACATACTAGACCAAACCAGAATATCGTCACTCATGCTATGTGCCACCAATCAAATTGAACTTGAAATGGCCCAGTTAAAAAAAAAAAAAAAAAGAGAGAGAGACTCACTGCAGCCAATCAGAAGAAGCCCAGTTTACAGGAATCCTCTTGATAAGGAATTCCCCTCTGTTATAACCCTATATTGAAAGTAACTCTGAAACAATCAGTCCTCCTTTTGTTACCAATTTCTGCTTTCTTCAGCCCTTTTCTGCCATAAAGTCCACTTCCTTTGCTTAGCTTGTGGGAGCACCTATTCTATTTTATAGAATAAGATGCTGCTCCCATTCATAAAATGCTAATAAAGGCCAAGGAGATCTTTAAACTAAATTTGTCGAAATTGTGTCTTTCAACAACTTCCATCAAGAGGGTATGCAAAATCAGGGTCACTATGTGTCTGGATAGTGTAGAAAAAACTTCTGTGCTGGTCAGAGTTTGAAGTCCATGCCTCCAGAAGTCTTTCTGTTGGACATTCCATGACTTTCTGACAGCTGCAGTTTGGCTATATAGCGGAAACCAGAAAACTGGGGAAAGATCTATTTTTGGCATTTTTTTCTTTCAGTTGTCCTCCAAATCCCATGATATCTTACTGGCTCAAGCACCCCTGAAAAACTATGTTCTCAGTTATTGAATAGGTAAAAAAGAGCCTGTGTCTGCTTCACTGTCTAGGGACTCACTCCCAAGGCTGTCAACTCGACCAAGGGGGTTAAAGCCTAAATCTAAAAGCTCAACTTCCATTGACATTGAAGGTGGATGTTGCTGGTAGAATACCATTCATCAGGCAGGTGGGCAGGGTGATAACTTCCTGAGGCAGTGTGGACTTCCTGAAATCCATCACATAGCACCACCCAGGCTACACTTGTGATTAAGCTTGCCATGGCAGGAATATAACTTGTGTTAACAAATTACCTCCTACAGTTACATCTCTACCTCTCCCATAAGGCTAGGACTGCACCAAATATTGAGGCTCCATCCCTTTTCTGAAGCCCAAATAGGTAGACCCAACCTAGCCTTTGGTGATGAATTCAGTTGAAGAAAAAACAGCATCTGTTTCAGAGCAGCAGCAAGTCCCAATGTGTTAGAGACACTCAGTTTGAAGACCTAAAGCCATGGGTGTTAGAATGAAACCAATCAGCAAAAGTCTTTCTTCATTGAAATTTTACCAGAAGGTATAAATTTTTCAAACGAATAAAAGTGCATCTAGTCTGAAGCAGTGATTAGAAGTGAAGGAGTCTAGAGGCTCATGTACTTAACCCCCTGCATCTTGCCTGTGTCTCTCAGGGGGACCCCTAAGAAGGCTCTGCAGAGCCGAGTTTGAAAACTGGAGAGCCACTTCGCATATTGGGACACAGTGAGGCAAAGGGCCCAGAAAATAAAAGCGACCCACACAAATTGACAGCTAATCAGCAATATACATGGAATCTATTCTCCTAACCCCCACAGTGGTCATGTGCTATGCATGATTACATGGGTACATTAAGAGAATCAGAGAAACATATTGCCAACTCAAAATGATGAGTCACTTTCAATCTTTTACTTATTGGATCTGGGATTAGTTACATCATTTTCCCTCCAAAGAATATGTTATGTTATGGTGAAAATGGGGGGAAAAAAAAGGTGGAAGGTGAGATGAAAAAAAATTCTGCTTTGGCAACACAAACACGTATTTTCTGCAAATTTACTTGCAGGCATGAATTTGGCTTTTTTTTCTTTTTCCCATGGAAAGTCAGCATTTTTAGTCTCAAAAACCGCTTTCTCAGCAAAATAATAGTTTTTGGTCCATGGAAGTTGCCCTTCGTTTTTGCAAAACAGAAGTTTGAAGCTCAATGAAAAATGGAATGTCTATACCATCTCCTCTCTCTTTCCTGGGATTCATAATACTAGATAGGCTTACAGCCTGGGGGCTGCATCCAGAGGGACATTTAAGAGAAGCAGAGGAGAGGTTTCCTCTGCAAAACCAAATGGTTCAATAGAGTGGATATCCACCTGTATGTTTTCTGTGAGAAAATAAAAATAGCTCACGGCAGTCTGAGCTCTGTGAGGTATGCAAAATTTATTAGGCCCAGGGAGACCTGAGTATGGGACTTCAGTCACACTTCCCCACTCATTCCTGGGGACAATTGTTTAAAGGCATTTTGTTCCTGACTAGCTTATCTTCACGTTCCTGGAATTTATGATACAAAGAACAATGTATAGCCAATCAATAGCTTATGTTATTTTTATGTAAATTGTTGGCAAGCAATTTAGAAACTGCTTCTTCTTTTCCTTTAGAAACCCACTTGTAACTACAGCTATATTCAGGACAACTTGAATTTATGCTCCTGAGTTACAATTCTCAAACTTGGTCCCAATAAACTGTTTGTATAGAGACTGCCTCCTTTTTTTTTTTTTTTTTTTATTTTCCACTTACGTCAACGTGTGTGACCCAGAGTCTAGCCTTCTCCCTCCAGGCCTCACCTGGCTGTTGTCCAGCTCATGAGACCAATGCCTGGTGTTCTAACATCCTGTCTATAGTAGATCCCATTTTATCTATTACTTTAAACTTACCCTCATCTCTCTTGATTTTGTTTTCTGTTATGTTTTGTTTTGAAATGGAGTCTCACTCTGTCACCAGGCTGGAGTGTAGTGGCACAATCTCGGCTCACTGCAACCTCTGACTCCCTGGTTCAAGGGGTTCTCCTGCCTCAGCCTCTGGAATAGCTGGGATTACAGGCACGTGCCATCATGCCCAGCTAATTTTTGTATTTTTAGTAGAGACAGGGTTTCACCATGTTGGCCAGGATGGTCTCGATCTCCTGACCTCGTGATCCACCCACCTCGGCCTCCCAAAGTGTTGGGATTAGAGGCGTGAGCCACCATGCCTGGCCTCTCTTTTGATTTTGCAAACTGTCTTCACAATAGACTTTCAGTTTTCTGAACCAGAAAAATGTTTGCTTATTCCATATGACCTGGCACATGGCTGAGCATATAGTTAGCACACAGAGAACAGTACATAAATAATTGAAAGGTAAGTGAAAATAATTGAAAAAGTAATTGAAGTCAAGTATACCATGCTGCCACAACCACACTTCCTCATCCTCATTCTTTTTCTTTCCTTTCTTCTGCAAAGTGTGTGCAACCTTGAGCAAGTTATCTTCTCTGAGCCTTAATTTCTCCATCAACAAATGAGAATATACATACTGTCATTGTAGGCTCTTTGTAAAGTTAAATAAGATGATGTGGGAGTGCAGTAAAAACAATCACTAAAGGTTTCTTTGTTCCTGCTTCAGATGTTTCCTTTGTCAACTGGAGAATTAGGCTCATAAATTTGGAAATGAGAGCTTTATTTCTCATAAAGGGTTTCAGGCTGCAGGCTGGCCATTCTGACAGGCTGGGAAGCATAGCCTCTGGCCAGAAGCCGAAAGCAGACACTTCAAGGAAGAGGCAAAGGGAACAGGAATTTATGCTGAGAGCAGTGGCCAAAAATACATATTCAATAAGCTATAGGAGGAGTCATTAATATTTACAAAAGGAGAAATGTGTGCATGTGCAATTCAGCTTCATGCCCCTCCACAGGACCCATGTTCAAAAAATGGCAGCATTTTCATGATCTGAGGGTAGAGTTTTTGGCCCTCTGACATCAATAGGTGAGGCATGGGTCACAAAAAGCCTTACTTTGCATTCTCCTTAGACTGGCCTAAACCACTCTCTGGCCAGTAGTCTCTTATCAGGCAAAAAAGGAGGGGCAGAATCAGGCAGTTGATTGATACCAGTGGTGGAGTCTTTTGAAAGGGCTGGTTTCTGTTTAACCCTTAGGGAAGAAAGCCTCATGATGGTTAGCAAGGGAGGGGGTATAATGAGGCATGTCTGATCCCCCATCCCCCATGGCAAAGAATTCAGTTTTCAAGGTTACTCTGCCATCCCTTTGGCCAAGAGATGGTCTGTTCAGTAATTGAGAGGCTTAAAATTTTACTTTTAATTGACACCTTTAACTTTCTGCAATCTTTTCCAGCACAGATATGTATAAATGCCTGTACTTCTCTAGTTAAGTGAGTAAACACTTGTCTACCCAGGGTGCCTTGACAAAAGGAATGCCCTTCCACCCCTTGTTTTATCTTACCAGAGGTATCCAGTTGACAGAACATTCATTCAGCAGTCAAGCCTTAGGAGCTGAGGTTAAGGGTTAGGTGGAGAGATGTATGGGCCAGGGATGCCTGAATCCAGGGACCATTTGTAGCTATCACTCACTTCAAGGAGCAGATAAGGAGCTATAACCCACCAAGCCATGCATTCAAAGCAGTAGAGTTCAGGACAATAGTGCATCAGACCCCCTGAAGGCCTGCCAAAAAACAAACAAAGAAAATAAAACTAATGCTAAGCACACAGATATCAGAGGAAAGAGAGGCATTGGAGCCCTGAACATTCTTCAAGAACCAAGCGGGCATCTGCAGCAGCAGAAGTGGAAAACCTGGAGTAAGTACCAGGGTGCCCATCCTTTGGCTCTGCCTAGCATCCTTGTCAAACAGGTCATAGCCCCTGGCACTAGGTGAGGCATCTTCAGCCAGGCTCAGGCATTCATAGCTCTTCACCAGCCTGGTGACATCAGCCTAAGGCTTGTTTGGTACCATGTTTATTGTTTACCCTGAGCCCAGCACAGTACTAAATGCTTTGCATGGATCATCCCTACAACCTTATGAGGGATATTCTATTCTTAGAATTATTCTTATTCCTTTGTAAAGGAAATTAAAACAAAGAGAAATTAGGTAAATTAAGTCAAGGTCCCACAGCTAGAGTGCAGATGTACCCTAAGCCAGGCTGATCAAAATAATTTCTTGGGATTTTTCCAGACTTAATCAGGGAAAGTAAATTTGTGAAGGTTGCACTGCCCAGTGCAGTGCCATTTGGGACCATTTGCACTGTCCTCCTTTTTCTCTGGTAGTGAGTTTGGAAGGATGTAATCCAGGATTTGCCTGCAGCCATAGTTCTTGCCTTAAGAAAAGGTTAGTTGGGCTGTCACCCCAAAATTAGAGAAGAGATGGGGAGCCCCAGTGAAGTCTGACCCCACAACCCCGAGGCAGGCTCTATTCCAGGCCTGCTTTTCCTTGGGATTTCATGATGTAAGCCAAAAGAGACAGAACTCTCCCCTGCCATACACATATGTTATTGTTGACTTAAGCTTGTTTAAGTTGGTTTTCTGTCATTTACAACAAAAGAGTCCTGATGAATTCAGTAACTCAGAGTTTCCAGTCTCTAACTTAGCTGCCTTTAGTCCCCTCACACAATGATACACAGTCCTGAAGGAGAATAATCTGAAGGTCTATACACCAGGCACCTGAAAATAGCAGACTGGACAATGCAGAGTGCCCAGGGAGGATGGCAGTCAGCAGAACTTACTGAGGCAGGAACCACAATAGGCAGTGGCTCTGACCAGCAAGGAGAAAGGAGAGGACCAGAGCAAAGCTTTTTCTTCTAAATTGCCCCATTCATTCTGACAGCACTCCACATATGCCTGCTCCAGGCCAACTGCTACACTCAAAACACCCTAGAGCGGGGTCCCCAAACCCCAGGTCACAGAGTGCTGCTGGTCTGTGGCCTGCTAGGAACCAGGCGACACAGCAAGAAGTGAGCAGCGGGCAAGAGAGCATTACTGCCTGAGCTCTGCCTCCTGTCAGATCAATGGTGGCATTAGATTTCCATAGGAGCTCAAAACCCTGTTGGAAAAATTGTCTTCCATGAAAGTGGTCCCTGCTGCCAAAAAGGTTGGGGTCAGCCGACCTAGACAATCATTCTGAAGGCCTCTATCATATTCACACCTGGAATGCTGACAAATATTTTTGGTCAAAGATTCACTAGCACATTAAATCTGTAAAAAAATTAAAGTTCTAAGTTGTCTAAAAGAAGCTCACCCAAAGCAAGAATCCCTGCTTTGGGATCTGTGATAAAGGGATTTTAGTTGCCCGGCAGCCCACAGGGACAGCAAATTCATTCATTTGTGAGAAAGAACGAATAAGGGCTGAGGTGTCTGGCTGTTAAACGCCCCTTACTACTCTTCACTATTTTTTTCTTTTTAAAATTCCTATAACTTATTCACTCACCACATCTTTATCCAAATTGTGATATATCCTGAGGGGGAAAAAATCATTTGTATTCCCCACCATCTAGATCTAATAGACATTAATATTTTGACATGTTTTCTTCAAATCACACTTTTTCTGAGAAAATAGATGGTTGCAGATGGAAACAGCTGAAGTTCCCTTTATAAATCCTTCAAATCCCATTCACCTGCATCTATCCCCAGGTGTAACCACCTCACTCCTTGTGACTTTACTTTTACTACATGTGCATAGCCATAAAAACATAGACATTGTTTGCAAGCTTTTCAGCTGTATGCACTGCACACTTTACATGAGATTAAGGTTTTCAAATGCTCCACATGTGTGCAGGACTCCTAGTTCATTCATTGTAATAGCTGTGCAGGTGTATTAGGTGAACATACAATTTATAATATACAATTTATTTATCCACTCTCATATTGATAGACATGTATATTGTTTTCAATTTGCTACAACAAACCATGCTGAAAAAGACTTCCTTGTGGGAATCTCACTTCAGCACCTGGGTCTGAGTATCTTTAGTATATATACACCAAATAGTAGAATTCTAAGGTCATAAAGCATTAGCATCTTTCACTTTAGTGCACAATGCTAAATTGCTCCCCAAAATCATTGTTACCTACTTATTTGTGTGTCAACAGTGTATAAAAATCCCTGTCTCTCTGAAGCTTCACCAAGACTTGGAATTATTAAACTTTTTACCTGGTGTGTAAAAAGGAATTTGTTTTCAAATGCTTCTTATTAATCACTGATGCATTTGTGCTCCTATTCAAATGTTTACTGGCTGAGTTTTCTTCTCAATGAATTGACAGGTTATTTTCCTTAGCTCTGGTTCCCATTATGTTCTTTAGCTTTTCTTTTGGGTTTGTAAGACTTATTTACATACATATTCTGGTTACCATTCCTTTGCTGACTAAAGGTACTGGAAACATCTCCGTATGTGTGGCTGTGTGGCTTGTCTTTGAATTTTGTGTATGGTGTCTTCAGTCATACAAAAGATTTAAGATTCAGAGGGTGGAACCAAGATGGCAGAATAGGAACAGCTCCAGTCTACAGCTCTCAGTGTGAGCGATGCAGAAGACGGATTTCTGCATTTCCAACTGTGGTACCGGGTTCATCTCACTGGGGAGTGTCAGAAAGTGGGTACAGGACAGTGGGTGCAGCGCACCGAGCGTGAGCCGAAGCAGAGCGAGGCATCGCCTCACCCAGGAAGCAAAAGGGGTCAGTGAATTCCCTTTCCTAGTCAAAGAAAGGGGTGACAGACAGCACCTGGAAAATTGGGTCACTCCCACCCTAATACTGCGCTTTTCCAACGGTCTTAGCAAACGGCACACAAGGAGATTATATCCCGTGCCTGGCTCAGAGGGTCTTACACCCACGGAGCCTCGCTCATTGCTAGCACAGCAGTCTGAGATCAAACTGCAAGTCAGCAGTGAGGCTGGGGGAGGGGCGCCCGCCATTGCCGAGGCTTGAGTAGGTAAACAAAGCAGCCGGGAAGCTCGAACTGGGTGGAGCCCACCACAGCTCAAGGAGGCCTGCCTGCCTCTGTAGACTCCACCTCTGGGGGCAGGGCATAGCCAAACAAAAGGCAGCAGAATCCTCTGCAGACTTAAATGTCGCTGTCTGACAGCTTTGAAGAGAGTAGTGGTTCTCCCAGCATGCAGCTGGAGATCTGAGAACAGACAGACTGCCTCCCCAAGCAGCAGCTGGAGATCTGAAAACAGACAGACTGCCTCCCCAAGTAGCCTAACTGGGAGTCACCCCCCAGTAGGGGCAGACTGACACCTCACACAGCCGGGTACTCCTCTGAGACAAAACTTACAGAGGAATGATCAGGCAGCAACATTTGCTGTTCACCAATATCCGCTATTCTGCAGCCTCCGCTGCTGATACCCAGGCAAACAGGGTCTGGAGTGGACCTCCAGCTTACTCCAACAGACCTGCAGCTAAGGGTCCTGACTGTTAGAAGGAAAACTAACAAACAGAAAGGACATCCACACCAAAACCCCATCTGTACATCACCATCATCAAAGACCAAAAGTAGATAAAACCACAAAGATGAGGAAAAAACAGAGCAGAAAAACTGGAAACTCTAAAAATCAGAGCACCTCTCCTCCTCCAAAGGAACGCAGCTCCTCACTAGCAACAGAACAAAGCTGGATGGAGAATGACTTTGACGAGTTGAGAGAAGAAGGCTTTAGATGATCAAACTACTCTGAGCTAAAGGAGGAAGTTTGAACCCATGGCAAAGAAGCTAAAAACCTTGAAAAAAAATTAGACAAATGGCTAACTAGAAAAACCAATGCAGAGAAGTCCTTAAAGGACCTGATGGAGCTGAAAACCAAGGCATGAGAACTACGTGACGAATCCACAAGCCTCAGTAGACCATTCAATCAACTGGAAGAAAAGGTATCAGTGATGGAAGATCAAATGAATGAAACGAAGTGAGAAGAGAAGTTTAGAGAAAAAAGAATAAGAAGAAATGAACAAAGCCCCCAAGAAATATGGGACTATGTGAAAAGACCAAATCTACATCTGATTGGTGTACCTGAAAGTGACGGGGAGAATGGAACCAAGTTGGAAAACACTCTGCAGGATATTATCAAGGAGAACTTCCCCAATCTAGCAAAGCAGGCCAACATTAAAATTCAGGAAATACAGAGAATGCCACAAAGATACTCCTTGAGAAGAACAACTCCAAGACACATAATTGTCAGATTCACCAAAGTTGAAATGAAGGAAAAAATGTTAAGGGCAGCCAGAGAGAAAGGTCGGGTTACCCACAAAGGGAAGCCCATCAGACTAACAGCGGATATCTCGGCAGAAACTCTACAAGCCAGAAGAGAGTGGGGGCCAATATTCAACATTCTTAAAGAAAAGAATTTTCAACTCAGAATTTCATATCCAGCCAAACTATGCTTCAAAGTGAAAGAGAAATAAAATCCTTTACAGACAAGCAAATGCTGAGTGATTTTGTCACCACCAGGCCTGCCCTAAAAGAGCTCCTGAAGGAAGCACTAAATATGGAAAGGAACAATCAGTACCAGCCACTGCAAAAACATGCCAAACTGTAAAGACCATTGATGCTAGGAAGAAACTGCATCAACTAATGGGAAAACTAACCAGCTAACATCATAATGATAGGATCGAATTCACACATAACAATATTAACCTTAAATGTAAATGGGCTAAATGCTCCAATTAAAAGACACAGACTGGCAAATTGGATAAAGAGTCAAGACCCATCACTATGCCATATTCAGGAAACCCATCTCACGTGCAGAGACACATATAGGCTCAAAATAATGGGATGGAGGGAGATCTACCAAGCAAATGGAAAACAAAAAAAGGCAGGGGTTGCAATCCTAGTCTTGGATAAAACAGACTTTAAACCAACAAAGATCAAAAGAGACAAAGAAGGCCATTACATAATGGTAAAGGGATCAATTCAACAAGAAGAGCTAACTCTCCTAAATATATATGCACCCAATACAGGAGCACCCAGATTCATAAAGGAAGTCCTTAGAGACCTACAAAGAGACTTAGACTCCCACACAATAATAATGGGAGACTTTAACACCCCACTGTCAACATTAGACAGATCAACGAGACAGAAAGTTAACAAAGATATCCAGGAATTGAACTCAGCTCTGTACCAAGTGGACCTAATAGACATCTACAGAACTCTCTCCCACCCCAAATCAACAGAATATACATTCTTTTCAGCACCACACCACACCTATTCCAAAACTGACCACATAGTTGGAAGCATTCCTCAGCAAATGTAAAAGAACAGAAATTATAACAAACTGTCTCTCAGACCACAGTGCAATCAAACTGGAACTCAGGATTAAGAAACTCACTCAAAACCGCTCAACTACATGGAAACTGAACAACCTGCTCCTGAATGACTACTGGGTACATAACGAAATGAAGGCAGAAATGAAGATGTTCTTTGAAACCAATGAGAACAAAGACACAACATACCAGAATCTCTGGGACACATTCAAAGCAGTGTGTAGAGGGAAATTTATAGCACTAAATGCCCACAAGAGAAGCAGGAAAGATCTAAAATTGACACCCTAACATCACAATTAAAAGAACTAGAGAAACAAGAGCAAACACACTCAAAAGCTAGCAGAAGGCAAGAAATAACTAAGATCAGAGCAGAATTGAAGGAAATAGAGACACAAAAAACCCTTCAAAAAATCAATGAATCCAGGAGCTGGTTTTTTGAAAAGATCAACAAAATTGATAGACCGCTAGCAAGACTAATAAAGAAGAAAAGAGAAAAGAATCAAATAGATGCAATAAAAAATGATAAAGGGGATATCACCACCGATCCCACAGAAATACAAACTACCATCAGAGAACACTATAAACATCTCTAAGCAAATAAACTAGAAAATCTAGAAGAAATGGATAAATTCCTCGACACATACACCCTCCCAAGACTAAACCAGGAAGAAGTTGAATCTCTGAATAGACCAAGAACAGGCTCTGAAATTGAGGCAATAATTAATAGCTTACCAACCAAAAAAAGTCCAGGACCAGATGGATTCACAGCCAAATTCTACCATAGGTACAAAGAGGAGCTGGTACCATTCCTTCTGAAACTATTCCAATCAATAGAAAAAGAGGGAATTCTCCGTAACTCATTTTATGAGGACAGCATCAACCTGATACCAAAGCCTGGCAGAGACACAACAAAAAAAGAGAATTTTAGACCAATATCCCTGATGAACATCGATGCAAAAATCCTCAATAAAATACTGGCAAACCAAATCCAGCAGCGCATAAAAAGCTTCTCCACCATGATCAAGTGGGCTTCATCCCTGGGATGCAAGGCTGGTTCAACATACGCAAATCAATAAACGTAATCCAGCATATAAACAGAACCAACGACAAAAACCACATGATTATCTCAATAGATGCAGAAAAGGCCTTTGACAAAATTCAACAATGCTTCATGCTAAAAACTCTCAATAAATTAGGTATTGATGGGACGTATCTCAAAATAATAAGAGCTATCTATGACAAACCCACAGCCAATATCATACTGAATGGGCAAAAACTGGAAGCATTCCCTTTGAAAACTGGCACAAGACAAGGATGCCCTCTCTCACCACTCCTATTCAACACTGTGTTGGAAGTTCTGGCCAGGGCAATCAGGCAGGAGAAGGAAATAAAGGGTATTCAATTAGGAAAAGAGGAAGTCAAATTGTTCCTGTTTGCAGATGACATGACTGTATATCTAGAAAACCCCATCATCTCAGCCCAAAACCTCCTTAAGCTGATAAGCAACTTCAGCAAAGTCTCAGGATACAAAATCAATGTGCAAAAATCACAAGCATTCCTATACACCAACAACAGACAAACAGAGAGCCAAATCATGAGTGAACTCCCATTCACAATTGCTTCAAAGAGAATAAAATACCTAGGAATCCAACTTACAAGGGATGTGAAGGACCTCTTCAACGAGAACTACAAACCACTGCTCAATGAAATAAAAGAGGATACAAACAAATGGAAGAACATTCCATGCTCATGGATAGGAAGAATCAATATCGTGAAAATAGCCATACTGCCTGAGGTAATTTATAGATTCAATGCCATCCCCATTAAGCTACCAATGACTTTCTTTTTTTTTAAATTTTATTATTATTATACTTTAAGTTTTAGGGTACATGTGCACAACGTGCAGGTTTATTACATATGTATACCTGTGCCATGTTGGTGTGCTGCACCCATTAGGAGATATACCTAATGCTAAATGACAAGTTAATGGGTGTTACCAATGACTTTCTTCACAGAATTGGAAAAAACTACTCTAAAGTTCATATGGAACCAAAAAAGAGCCCGCATTGCCAAGTCAATCCTAAGCCAAGAAAACAAAGCTGGAGGGCATCACGCTACCTGACTTCAAACTATACTACAAGGCTACAGTAACCAAAACAGCATGGTACTGGTACCAAAACAGAGATACAGACCAATGGAATAGAACAGAGCCCTCAGAAATAATGCCACGTATCTGCAACCATCTGATCTTTGACAAACCTGAGAAAAACAAGCAATGGGGAAAGGATTCCCTATTTAATAAATGGTGCTGGGAAAACTGGCTAGCCATATGTAGAAAGCTGAAACTGGATCCCTTCCTTACACCTTATACAAAAATTAATTCAAGATGGATTAAAGACTTAAATGTTAGATCTAAAACCATAAAAACCCTAGAAGAAAACCTAGGCAATACCATTCAGGACATAGGCATGGGCAAGGACTTCATGTCTAAAACACCAAAAGCGATGGCAAACAAAAGACAAAATTGACAAATGGGATCTAATTAAACTAAAGAACTTCTGCACAGCAAAAGAAACTACCATCAGAGTGAACAGGCAACCTACAGAATGGGAGAAAATTTTTGCAATCTACTCATCTGACAAAGGGCTAATATCCAGAATCTACAATGAACTCAAACAAATTTACAAGAAAAAAACAAACAACACCATCAAAAAGTGGGCAAAGGACATGAACAGACACTTCTCAAAAGAAGATATTTATGCAGCCAAAACACACATGAAAAAATGCTCATCATCACTGGCCATCAGAGAAATGCAAATCAAAACCACAGTGAGATACTATCTCACACCAGTTAGAGTGGAGATCATTAGAAAGTCAGGAAACAACAGGTGCTGGAGAGGATGTGGAGAAACAGGAACACTTTTACACTGTTGGTGGGACTGTAAACTAGTTCAACCATTGTGGAAGTCAGTGCGGCGATTCCTCAGGGATCTAGAACTAGAAATATCATTTGACCCAGCCATCCCACTACTGGGTATATACCCAAAGGATTATAAATCATGCTGCTATAAAGACACATGCACACGTATGTTTATTGTGGCACTATTCACAATAGCAAAGACTTGGAACCAACCCAAATGTCCAACAACGATAGACTGGATTAAGAAAATGTGGCACATATACACCATGGAACACTATGCAGCCATAAAAAATGATGAGTTCATGTCCTTTGTAGGGATATGGATGAAGCTGGAAACCATCATTCTCAGCAAACTATCGCAAGGACAAAAAACCAAACACCACATGTTCTCACTCATAGGTGGGAATTGAACAATGAGAACACATGGACACAGGAAGGGGAACATCACACACCAGGGCCTGTTGTGGGGTGGGGGGAGGGGGGAGGGATAGCATTAGGAGATATACCTCATGTTAAATGATGAATTAATGGGTGCAGCACACCAACATGGCACATGTATACATATGTAACTAACCTGCACGTTGTGCACATGTACCCTAAAACTTAAAGTATAAAAAAAAAGAGTCAATGTGAGGAAAATATAGAATATTTTCTTTTTGATTTCTACTTTGTATGTCTTGTTTAAAGAATCTTTGCCAACATCTGTATTATAAAGATATGCTTCTATATTCTCTTCTATAAGCAATAAAATTTGCTTTTCCTATTATGTCTGTAATCCACATGAATTTTTGCTTCTTTTTGGTATGAAATTGGGATCCAATTTATTTCCACATGGAAAATCATTCCTGGTAGTGCAATTTATTAAATAGTCCACCCTTTCCCAGTTGCTTTATAATACCATATACAGAGTTTCGATAGACGCTTGGGTCTGTTTCTAGGCCGTGGTTATCATTTGATGTATTTTTTTTATCTCTGTGCCAAAACCACATTATTTTAATTACTGTAACTTCCTACTAATTCCTAATAGCTGAAGGGCAAGATTCACTTATTATTCTTAAAATATCCTTGATTATTTCCATGTGAATTTTAAGAGCACCTTGTCAAGTTCCATGAAAAACATTGTCAAGACTGCAATTGAAATGGATTTAATTACAGAGTATTGAAGAGTATATTGACACCCTTATGAAACAGACTCTTCCCCCTAAGAACATAGTATAACTCTGCATTCATTTGGGCCTTCTATTTTCTTTAGATAAAATCTCTAACTGTCTCTATAAAGGTCTAAAATTAGTATACATTTAATTTGCTTAAGAATTAGAATTGCTTAGTATTTGCTTAAGAATTAGAATTGCTTAGTATTTGCTTAAGAATTAGAATTGCTTAGTATTTGCTTAAAATGTCCTTTTGCATTGCTTAATTTTAAAATTCTTTGTTTTATTTTTTTTTTTTTTTTAATTTTTTTTTTTTATTATACTCTAAGTTTTAGGGTACATGTGCACATTGTGCAGGTTAGTTACATATGTATACATGTGCCATGCTGGTGCGCTGCACCCACTAACGTGTCATCTAGCATTAGGTATATCTCCCAATGCTATCCCTCCCCCCTCCCCCGACCCCACCACAGTCCCCAGAGTGTGATATTCCCCTTCCTGTGTCCAAGTGATCTCATTGTTCAATTCCCACCTATGAGTGAGAATATGTGGTGTTTGGTTTTTTGTTCTTGCGATAGTTTACTGAGAGTGATGGTTTCCAATTTCATCCATGTCCCTACAAAGGACATGAACTCATCATTTTTTATGGCTGCATAGTATTCCATGGTGTATATGTGCCACATTTTCTTAATCCAGTCTATCATTGTTGGACATTTGGGTTGGTTCCAAGTCTTTGCTATTGTGAATAGTGCCGCAATAAACATACGTGTGCATGTGTCTTTATAGCAGCATGATTTATAGTCCTTTGGGTATATACCCAGTAATGGGATGGCTGGGTCAAATGGTATTCCTAGTTCTAGATCCCTGAGGAATCGCCACACTGACTTCCACAATGGTTGAACTAGTTTACAGTCCCACCAACAGTGTAAAAGTGTTCCTATTTCTCCACATCCTCTCCAGCACCTGTTGTTTCCTGACTTTTTAATGATTGCCATTCTAACTGGTGTGAGATGATATCTCATAGTGGTTTTGATTTGCATTTCTCTGATGGCCAGTGATGATGAGCATTTTTTCATGTGTTTTTTGGCTGCATAAATGTCTTCTTTTGAGAAGTGTCTGTTCATGTCCTTCGCCCACTTTTTGATGGGGTTGTTTGTTTTTTTCTTGTAAATTTGTTTGAGTTCATTGTAGATTCTGGATATTAGCCCTTTGTCAGATGAGTAGGTTGCGAAAATTTTCTCCCATGTTGTAGGTTGCCTGTTCACTCTGATGGTAGTTTCTTTTGCTGTGCAGAAGCTCTTTAGTTTAATTAGATCCCATTTGTCAATTTTGGCTTTTGTTGCCATTGCTTTTGGTGTTTTGGACATGAAGTCCTTGCCCACGCCTATGTCCTGAATGGTAATGCCTAGGTTTTCTTCTAGGGTTTTTATGGTTTTAGGTCTAACGTTTAAATCTTTAATCCATCTTGAATTGATTTTTGTATAAGGTGTAAGGAAGGGATCAAGTTTCAGCTTTCTACATATGGCTAGCCAGTTTTCCCAGCACCATTTATTAAATAGGGAATCCTTTCCCCATTGCTTGTTTTTCTCAGGTTTGTCAAAGATCAGATAGTTGTAGATATGTGGCATTATTTCTGAGAGCTCTGTTCTGTTCCATTGATCTATATCTCTGTTTTGGTACCAGTACCATGCTGTTTTGGTTACTGTAGCCATGTAGTATAGTTTGAAGTCAGGTAGTGTGATGCCTCCAGCTTTGTTCTTTTGGCTTAGGATTGACTTGGCGATGCGGGCTCTTTTTTGGTTCCATATGAACTTTAAAGTAGTTTTTTCCAATTCTGTGAAGAAAGTCATTGGTAGCTTGATGGGGATGGCATTGAATCTGTAAATTACCTTGGGCAGTATGGCCATTTTCACGATATTGATTCTTCCTACCCATGAGCATGGAATGTTCTTCCATTTGTTTGTGTCCTCTTTTATTTCCTTGAGCAGTGGTTTGTAGTTCTCCTTGAAGAGGTCCTTCACATCCCTTGTAAGTTGGATTCCTAGGTATTTTATTCTCTTTGAAGCAATTGTGAATGGGAGTTCACTCATGATTTGGCACTCTGTTTGTCTGTTGTTGGTGTATAAGAATGCTTGTGATTTTTGTACATTGATTTTGTATCCTGAGACTTTGCTGAAGTTGCTTATCAGCTTAAGGAGATTTTGGGCTGAGACGATGGGGTTTTCTAGATAAACAATCATGTCGTCTGCAAACAGGGACAATTTGACTTCCTCTTTTCCTAATTGAATACCCTTTATTTCCTTCTCCTGCCTGATTGCCCTGGCCAGAACTTCCAACACTATGTTGAATAGGAGCGGTGAGAGAGGGCATCCCTGTCTTGTGCCAGTTTTCAAAGGGAATGCTTCCAGTTTTTGCCCATTCAGAATGATATTGGCTGTGGGTTTGTCATAGATAGCTCTTATTATTTTGAAATACGTCCCATCAATACCTAATTTATTGAGAGTTTTTAGCATGAAGGGTTGTTGAATTTTGTCAAAGGCTTTTTCTGCATCTATTGAGATAATCATGTGGTTTTTGTCTTTGGCTCTGTTTATATGCTGGATTACATTTATTGATTTGCGTATATTGAACCAGCCTTGCATCCCAGGGATGAAGCCCACTTGATCATGGTGGATAAGCTTTTTGATGTGCTGCTGGATTCCGTTTGCCAGTATTTTATTGAGGATTTTTGCATCAATGTTCATCAAGGATATTGGTCTAAAATTCTCTTTTTTGGTTGTGTCTCTGCCCGGCTTTGGTATCAGAATGACGCTGGCCTCATAAAATGAGTTAGGGAGGATTCCCTCTTTTTCTATTGATTGGAATAGTTTCAGAAGGAATGGTACCAGTTCCTCCTTGTACCTCTGGTAGAATTCGGCTGTGAATCCATCTGGTCCTGGACTCTTTTTGGTTGGTAAACTATTGATTATTGCCACAATTTCAGAGCCTGTTATTGGTCTATTCAGAGATTCAACTTCTTCCTGGTTTAGTCTTGGGAGAGTGTATGTGTCGAGGAATGTATCTATTTCTTCTAGATTTTCTAGTTTATTTGCGTAGAGGTGTTTGTAGTATTCTCTGATGGTAGTTTGTATTTCTGTGGGATCGGTGGTGATATCCCCTTTATCATTTTTTATTGTGTCTATTTGATTCTTCTCTCTTTTTTTCTTCATTAGTCTTGCTAGCGGTCTATCAATTTTGTTGATCCTTTCAAAAAACCAGCTCCTGGATTCATTGATTTTTTGAAGGGTTTTTTGTGTCTCTATTTCCTTCAGTTCTGCTCTGATTTTAGTTATTTCTTGCCTTCTGCTAGCTTTTGAATGTGTTTGCTCTTGCTTTTCTAGTTCTTTTAATTGTGATGTTAGGGTGTCAATTTTGGATCTTTCCTGCTTTCTCTTGTAGGCATTTAGTGCTATAAATTTCCCTCTACACACTGCTTTGAATGCGTCCCAGAGATTCTGGTATGTGGTGTCTTTGTTCTCGTTGGTTTCAAAGAACATCTTTATTTCTGCCTTCATTTCGTTATGTACCCAGTAGTCATTCAGGAGCAGGTTGTTCAGTTTCCATGTAGTTGAGCGGCTTTGAGTGAGATTCTTAATCCTGAGTTCTAGTTTGACTGCACTGTGGTCTGAGAGATAGTTTGTTATAATTTCTGTTCTTTTACATTTGCTGAGGAGAGCTTTACTTCCAACTATGTGGTCAATTTTGGAATAGGTGTGGTGTGGTGCTGAAAAAAATGTATATTCTGTTGATTTGGGGTGGAGAGTTCTGTAGATGTCTATTAGGTCTGCTTGGTGCAGAGCTGAGTTCAATTCCTGGGTATCCTTGTTGACTTTCTGTCTCGTTGATCTGTCTAATGTTGACAGTGGGGTGTTAAAGTCTCCCATTATTAATGTGTGGGAGTCTAAGTCTCTTTGTAGGTCACTCAGGACTTGCTTTATGAATCTGAGTGCTCCTGTATTGGGTGCATAAATATTTAGGATAGTTAGCTCCTCTTGTTGAATTGATCCCTTTACCATTATGTAATGGCCTTCTTTGTCTCTTTTGATCTTTGTTGGTTTAAAGTCTGTTTTATCAGAGACTAGGATTGCAACCCCTGCCTTTTTTTGTTTTCCATTGGCTTGGTAGATCTTCCTCCATCCTTTTATTTTGAGCCTATGTGTGTCTCTGCACGTGAGATGGGTTTCCTGAATACAGCACACTGATGAGTCTTGACTCTTTATCCAACTTGCCAGTCTGTGTCTTTTAATTGCAGAATTTAGTCCATTTATATTTAAAGTTAATATTGTTATGTGTGAATTTGATCCTGTCATTATGATGTTAGCTGGTGATTTTGCTCATTAGTTGATGCAGTTTCTTCCTAGTCTCGATGGTCTTTACATTTTGGCATGATTTTGCAGCGGCTGGTACCGGTTGTTCCTTTCCATGTTTAGGGCTTCCTTCAGGAGCTCTTTTAGGGCAGGCCTGGTGGTGACAAAATCTCTCAGCATTTGCTTGTCTATAAAGTATTTTATTTCTCCTTCACTTATGAAGCTTAGTTTGGCTGGATATGAAATTCTGGGTTGAAAATTCTTTTCTTTAAGAATGTTGAATATTGGCCCCCACTCTCTTCTGGCTTGTAGGGTTTCTGCCGAGAGATCCGCTGTTAGTCTGATGGGCTTTCCTTTGAGGGTAACCCGACCTTTCTCTCTGGCTGCCCTTAACATTTTTTCCTTCATTTCAACTTTGGTGAATCTGACAATTATGTGTCTTGGAGTTGCTCTTCTCGAGGAGTATCTTTGTGGAGTTCTCTGTATTTCCTGAATCTGAACGTTGGCCTGCCTTGCTAGATTGGGGAAGTTCTCCTGGATAATATCCTGCAGAGTGTTTTCCAACTTGGTTCCATTCTCCACATCACTTTCAGGTACACCAATCAGACGTAGATTTGGTCTTTTCACATAGTCCCATATTTCTTGGAGGCTTTGCTCATTTCTTTTTATTCTTTTTTCTCTAAACTTCCCTTCTCGCTTCATTTCATTCATTTCATCTTCCATTGCTGATACCCTTTCTTCCAGTTGATTGCATCGGCTCCTGAGGCTTCTGCATTCTTCACGTAGTTCTCGAGCCTTGGTTTTCAGCTCCATCAGCTCCTTTAAGCACTTCTCTGTATTGGTTATTCTAGTTATACATTCTTCTAAATTTTTTTCAAAGTTTTCAACTTCTTTGCCTTTGGTTTGAATGTCCTCCCGTAGCTCAGAGTAATTTGATCGTCTGAAGCCTTCTTCTCTCAGCTCGTCAAAATCATTCTCCATCCAGCTTTGTTCTGTTGCTGGTGAGGAACTGCGTTCCTTTGGAGGAGGAGAGGCGCTCTGCGTTTTAGAGTTTCCAGTTTTTCTGTTCTGTTTTTTCCCCATCTTTGTGGTTTTATCTACTTTTGGTCTTTGATGATGGTGATGTACAGATGGGTTTTTGGTGTAGATGTCCTTTCTGGTTGTTAGTTTTCCTTCTAACAGACAGGACCCTCAGCTGCAGGTCTGTTGGAATACCCTGCCGTGTGAGGTGTCAGTGTGCCCCTGCTGGGGGGTGCCTCCCAGTTAGGCTGCTCGGGGGTCAGGGGTCAGGGACCCACTTGAGGAGGCAGTCTGCCCGTTCTCAGATCTCCAGCTGCGTGCTGGGAGAACCACTGCTCTCTTCAAAGCTGTCAGACAGGGACACTTAAGTCTGCAGAGGTTACTGCTGTCTTTTTGTTTGTCTGTGCCCTGCCCCCAGAGGTGGAGCCTACAGAGGCAGGCAGGCCTCCTTGAGCTGTGGTGGGCTCCACCCAGTTCGAGCTTCCCGGCTACTTTGTTTACCTAAGCAAGCCTGGGCAATGGCGGGCGCCCCTCCCCCAGCCTCGTTGCCGCCTTGCAGTTTGATCTCAGACTGCTGTGCTAGCAATCAGCGAGATTCCGTGGGCGTAGGACCCTCTGAGCCAGGTGTGGGATATAGTCTCGTGGTGCGCCGTTTCTTAAGCCGGTCTGAAAAGCGCAATATTCGGGTGGGAGTGACCCGATTTTCCAGGTGCGTCCGTCACCCCTTTCTTTGACTCGGAAAGGGAACTCCCTGACCCCTTGCGCTTCCCAGGTGAGGCAATGCCTCGCCCTGCTTCGGCTCGCGCACGGTGCGCACACACACTGGCCTGCGCCCACTGTCTGGCACTCCCTAGTGAGATGAACCCGGTACCTCAGATGGAAATGCAGAAATCACCTGTCTTCTGCGTCGCTCACGCTGGGAGCTGTAGACCGGAGCTGTTCCTATTCGGCCATCTTGGCTCCTCCCTCTCTTTGTTTTATTTATATTTAAACAAAATCTACTTTTTTGTTACTTAGAGGCAGGTATTCTCAGAATTTTGTTTCTTTCTATTAAATCCAGTTGTTGCTATTACTTTTTAATGATTAACAGCTATATAAATGTACATTTTATTTTTCCCTTTCCCTCCAACATTTTATCATGACAATGTTCAAACAGCAAATCTGAAAGAATTTTGCATTGAAAGCCCTTATAATCACCATCTATACTCTACTTTTAATATTTAAACATACTTATTTTATCATATATCTATTTGGTTCATTCCTCTGTATAACTATCTGTGCATCTTACTATTTGGTGTATTTCAGGACACATTACACAGATCAGTACACTCCCTGCTTGTTTCCGTCTTATAATTGATTATTTAAACCCGTGTTTATGTAATTACTGGTAAGTTTGAGTTCAGTTGTATCATTCATATTTTTGTCTTTTTTTGTGGCAGCCTTTTGGTGGGAAGTTTCTTTTCACTTTCTTGCTACCTTCTGCTATATTCTACTGAGAGGTTTTTTCAATAATAAATTGGTATTAATTTGCATCAAATGCTTTATCTGCAATTATTTAAAAGATCATGTGATTTCTCTCCTTGAAATGCTAATATATGTAATTATTTTGGTTGATGCTTTTATGTTAAACAAACTTTCATTCCTGGGATAACCTCACTTGGTCATAAAAGATTATTCTTTACATATTTTATTGTATTCTATTTGCTAATATTTGGTCAACAATTTTTGTGTCTATATTCATTAAGAATATTGTAATTTTCATTTTTCATAATGTCCTTGACTGGTTTTGTTAGCAGAGTTACACTGACCTCATGAAATGAATTAGGACGTGTCCCCTTCTCTATCTTCTGAAAGAGTTTGTAAAATACTTTCAAAGTATGATACAGTTCATCTAAACAAGACATCTAAACCCTGAATTTTATTTGAAGGAAGGTTTTTTTGTTCACTTTGTTTGTTCTTTTTTACATAGGCTTTAAGGACAATTTTATGCTTTATGTTTTATGGGAGGAAGGTACAATAATTTCTCATATTTCCTGTGCCAACACATGCATAGCCTCTCCCATTACCAGTGGCCCCAACAATTGGTACCTTTGTTACAATTGGTGAACCTGCATTAAAATATCATCATCACCAAAATTTCATAGTTTACATTAGCGTTCATTCTTGGTGTTTTTACATTTTATGGGTTTGAATGAGTGTATAATGGCATGTATCTGTCATTATAGTATTATTATACAGAGTAGTTTCACTGCCCTAAAAACCCTCTGTGCTGCCTATTCATCCTTCCCTTCTGCCTATCCCCTAGCAATCCCTCATCAGTTTACTCTCTCCATGGTTATTTCATTTAGAGAATGTCATATAGTTGGAATCATATAGCATGTAGCCTTTTCTGATTGGATTCTTTCACTCAGTAATATACACTTTGGCTTCCTCCATGTCTTTTTATGGCTTGAAAGCTGATTTCCTTTTAGTGCTAAATTTTAATATTCTATTGTCTCGATGTGCCACAGTTTATCCATTAACTTACTGAAGGACATCTTGATTGCTTCTAAGTTTTGTCAATTATGAATTAAGTTGCTATAAACATCTGTGCACAGGTTTCTGTGTGGACATAAGTTTTCAACTCTTTTGGGTAAATACCAAGGAGCATAATTGTTGGATCACATGGTAAGAATATGTTTAGTTTTGTAAGACACTGCCAATCTGTTGTCCAAAGTGGTTGTACCATTTCGCATTCCCATCAACAATGAATGAGAGTTGCTGTTGCTTCACATCCTCACCAACATTTGGTGATGTCAGTGTTCTGAATTTTGGACATTCTAATAGATGTGTAGTAGTACTTTGTATTGTTTTAATTTGCATTTCTCTAGCAACATATGATGTTGGAGCATTTTTTATATGTTTCTCATTTGTATAACTTCTTTGGTGAGTATCTGTCAAGACCATTGGCCCATCTTTTAATCAGGCTGTTTGTTTTCTTAATGTTGAGTTTTAAGATGTATTTATTATGTTGGATAATAGCCTTTTATCAGAAATGCCTTTTGCAAATATTTTCTCCCAGTCTGTGATTGCCTTCTCATTCTCTTGATGTGAGAAGGTTTTTATTTATAAATTAAACATCTCTAATGAAAATAGATTTCCAAGTTCTTGTTGTATCAGTTTTGAAAGTTATGGTTTTTCATTGAATATATCTAAACTGTCAACTATTTTGACATAATATAGTTTAAACTGTGCCTTTTTAAAATATCCTTTTAATATCTGTGAGACTTTTAGTAATTCTCACTTATTCCTAATATTGATAATTTCTATTTTCCATTGTCCTTGAATAATCTTGCTAGAGGATTATAAAGTTTATTAATCCTTTTATGAAACTAAGTTTGTTCATTTTCTCTATTTTTTGTTCATTTTGTACTATGTTAATATTCAGTGATCTTTATTTCCTTTCTTCTAATGACTGGTAGTGATTTGCTCTTCTTTTTTTAGTTTCTTAATATGGAAGGAGAAATCACTGCTTTTTATAACTTTCTTTGTCTATAATATAAGCATTTGAAGCTATAAGTTTTCCTTAGTACTGTTTTAGCCATAGTGCACACATTTTGATATATTGGATCTCCATTAAGTTCAAAATATTTTTAAAATTTTTGAGGTTTATTTTTTAGCCCATGAATTATTTAGAAGTGTGTTTTTTAATTACCAAACATTTGTATACCTAGCTATCTTTGTGTTATTGATTTATAATTTAATGTGTCTTTAGGAAATATATTCTACGTGATTTCGCTTCTTTGAAATTTATTGAGACTTATTTAATTACAAAGCATATGGTCTGTTTTGGTATATGATTCATGTGTGATTGAGAAGAATGTTTAATCTATTATTGTTGGGTTTAGGGTTCTATACAATGTAAATCTGGCCAAGTGTTTGACAATTTTATTCAAATTATATCCTTAGTGATTTCTTTTTATTTGTTGTATCAATTATCCTGATTGTGGATTTGTCTATTTATCAGCTTTGTTCTGTCCATTTTTGCTTCATGTGTTATATAGTTTTGTTGTTAAATGGATACACATGTGAGATGGTTATGTCTCCCTGATGAATTGATCTATTTATAATTATGAAATGTCCTTCTTTATTTCTGGTATAATACTCTTCATCTGAAAGTCTATTTGTGAATAAAATCTGGGTTAAGAGTGTGTCTACAATTTATCTGATACTAAGATGGCCAAGCCAGCTGTTTTTATGGTATGTATTCTTTCATGCTTTTACTTTTAACCCATTTGTGGCTGGATGTTTAAAGTGTGCTTATTATAAACAGCATGTAGCTAGATCATTTTTAGTAATCTAGTATGGCAATCTCTGCACTTTCACTAAGGGTGATTAGCCCATTTACATTTAGTAAATGTAATTTATTAATATAATTATTGTAATTTTTATATGTGGGCTTAGTGTAATATTATATTTGGGTTCAATTCTACCTTCTCAGCACTTGTTTTCTTTTTTTTTTTTTTTTTTGAGAGAGAGTCTCGCCCTGTCATCCAGGCTGGAGTCCATTGATGCAATCTGGGCTTACTGTGATCTCTGCCTCCCAGATTCAAGTGATTCTCCTGCCTCAGCCTCCCAAGTAGCTGGGATTACAGGCATGCACCACCACACCTGGCTAATTTTTTGTATCTTTAGTAGAGACAGGGTTTCACCATGTTGGCCAGGCTGGTCTCGAACCCCTGACCTTGTGATCCACCTGCCTCGGCCTCCCAAAGAGCACATATTTTCTATTTGTGCCACTTGATCTTTGTTCATCAGTTCCTTTATTATTTTCTTTTGGGTTAATTTAATATATTTTAGAATTCCGTTTTACTTCCTGTATTGATATTTTAGTTAGGCTCTTTGGGTATACTTGTGTGTTTTAGCGGTTGTTCTGGAGATTTATTATTCATCTCTTACTGATCACAGTTTATAAAACATTATCCTACTTTATGAAAAAACATAAGAAAGTATATTTCCAATTATCATCCTTCTGTCCTCTGTGCATTTGTTGTCAGATATTTCACTTCTATATGTGCTTGTCCACTGGACCCATCCCTTCGCTTCTCCTCTATAATTCTTCTCCATTAACTCTCCCCTCTCTCCCCTGACTCATTTCCTTTATTTTTATCGGATCATGTTTATTAGGACACAAACATGCTATTATTTCTCTCATCTTTAAAAAAATGCCATTAACACCACATCCATCTACATGATAGCCTGATTTCTCTGCTCTCCCTTACAGCAATATATCTTGAAAATTTTCTGTTCTTAAATCTTCTTTCCCATTTTTTAAGCATACACCAATCAAGATTTTCTTCACACTGTTTCTGCAAAAACACTCTTAACAAGGATACCAATGATATCTACTTTGCTAAATACAGTGAATATAATGATTAATTCTCAGTCCTCATCTTACTCGACCCATCAGCAGCACTGGACACAGTTGATCCCTCCTACCTCCTGAAGTATTTTCTTTGAATGGATTTCTTATAGATTTCCTCCTACAATACTTGATTTTCTTTCGCAGTCCTTTTTCCTGATTTCTCCTCAGCTTTCATAGGTCCCAGGGTTCAGTTGTTGGATTACTTCCCTTGCCTGTTTATAATAATACCCTTGGTGACTTCACCTTTCTTCATGGTTCAATTCCTAATTTATATCTCCAGTCCAGAGCTCTTCACCGGATTCCAGTTTCATACACTCAACTAACTGCTTGACATCTTCACTTTGATACTAAAATGGCATTTTAAATTTAAGATAAAAACCGAACTCCTAATTCCCCAATCATCCAAAATGTGCGTACTTCTACAATTTTCCCCATCTCAGTAAATGGCAACTTCATCCTTCTTATTGTTCAAGTCAGAAATCTTAGGATCATTTTTCCCCTCTCTTTCACTCACACACCACATAATCAGAGAATCCTATTTACTCTGCCTTCAAAGAATATCTAGCCGCCGGGCACGGTGGCTCATGCCTGTAATCCCAGCACTTTGGGAGGCCGAGGCAGGTGGATCACCTGAGGTCAGGAGTTCAAGACCAGCCTGACCAACATGGAGAAAACCCGTCTCTACTAAAAATACAAAATTAGCTGGGGTGGCGGCACATCCCTGTAATCCCAGCTACTTGGGAGACTGAGGCAGGATAATCACTTGAACCCGGGAGGCGGAGGTTGCGGTGAACCGAGATCACGCCATTGCACTCCAGCTTAGGAAACAAGAGTGAAACTCCGTCTCAAAAAAAAAAAAAAGACGAAGAATATCCAGCCTAACACCACTTCTCAGCATCTTCACTGCTACCACCTTAGAATTATCATCTCTCACTGCAGTTGTAATTTCCAAACCCATCTACCCTCCTGTCTGTTCTCAATTCTTATGTCCAAGTGATCCTGTTAAACTGGAAGTCAGGTATATCATTCATCTCCTCAGAATCCAGTTGTTTCCCCATCTTACTCAAGGTAAAACCCAAAGTCCCTACAATGACTTATGAGGCCCCATGTGACTTGGTTTCCTGTTATCTCTGTGACCCCGATCTCTTATGACTCTTCCCCTTACTCCTTCCGTTTCATGTTCATTGGCTGTCTCACTGTTTCCTCAATGTGCCTGGCATGTTTCTATCCCTGGGTCTTTCCACTTGCTCTTCATTCTATTAGAAGTGCTCTTTTCCCAGATATCCTCATGGCTCACTTTCTTACTTCCTTCAGGTATTTGTTCAAAAGTCCCCTTCTCAGTGAGGTCTTTCCTGGATACCCTATCTATAATTGTAATCCCCACTCCCACACATTCTCATCCCTCTTTATTTTTTTCCCCTCCTGTGTTAGGATTCTCCAGAGAAACAGAACCAGTAGGATGCATGGATAGATGGATGGATGGATAGATAGATAGATAGATAGATAAAGAGGGATTTATTATGGGAATTTCTTTATGCAATTATGGAGGCTGAGAAGTCTCACAGTATGCCATTGTCAAGCTGGAGAATCAGGGAGCCCAGTGCCTTAGCCCAGTCCGAGTCTGAAGACTTGAGGCCCAAGGAAGCTGATAATGTAACTCTCAGTTCAAGGCTGAAAGCCTGAGAACCTGAGGAGGCAGAAAGTGCTGGTGCAAGTCCCAAGTCCCGGAGTCCAAAGGCCAGAAAACCTGGAGTTCTGATGTCTAAGGCCAGGAGAAGAAGGGAGTCCCAGAAGAGAGGGTGAATTGTTTTTTATCTGTCTTTTTCTTCTATCTGGGCCTTCAGCTGATTGGATGGTGCCTGCTCACATTGAATGAGGGTGGATCTTCCTTACTTAGTCGACTGATTCCAATCCTAATCTCTTCCAGAAACATTCTCACAAATATACTCAGGAATAATGCTTTACAAGCTATCTGGATATCCCTTACCATAGGTCAAGTTGACACCTAAAATTAACCATCACACCTCATTATTTCTTCTCTACATATTTACCACGTATTGTCATCTCAGGGATTTTTGCTTTTCATTTTTGCTCATTCACTGCTCTGTCCCCAGGGCAGAGAGCACACCTGGTACATGGCGGACATTGGCAGCACCTAATCCCTTTGCATGCTCCATCTCGTCAGTTTGGCTTCAAGTTAGATGTTTAAATATGTACATTCTTTCTCCCATTAGCTACAAACCCCATGATGTTTACATACTTGTCAGTCCAGGAAAAAAAAGGTACATTTATTTAACAAATATTCATTGAATGTCTGCTGTGTGTCAGATATTGCATTGAGATGCTTAAGACAATGTCCAGCAAGTTATACAAGATTCCTACTCCAATGCCCAGTGAGTAGACAGACACCTCCTTCCCCCCAAAAATTAACAAGTAAAATAAATATGGTTCAGAAATAAATTGCTGTTGAGTAAAAAAAGAAAATAAAATGTTTATAAATGGCACATAATGGATCATATTATGAAGTGATCAAGATGGCTCCTATGACTCCATCAGCAAATTCAAGTACAGTATATTAATCTGTTCTCATGATGCTAAGAGACATACCTGAGACTGAGTAATTTATAAAGGCAAGAGGTTTAATCAACTCACAGTTCTACATGCGTGGGGAGGACTCACAATTATGGTGGAAGGCGTAGGAAGAGCAAAGTCAGGTCTTACATGGCGGCAGACAAGAAAGCATGTGCAGGGGTACTCCCCTTTATAAAACCATCAGCTCTCATGAGACTTACTCACTATCACGAGAACAGCATGGGAAAGACCTGCCCCCATGATTCAATTACCTCCCACCAGATCCCACCCATGACAAGTGAGAAGTATGGGAGCTGCAATTCAAGATGAGATTTGGGTGGGGACACAGCCAAACCATATCAAACAGTATATTTAATAAATGGCTCATATGTGTGTAGGGTCCTCTTCTAAAGGACCTAATATTTTAAAATGTTAAGGTGCCACCCCTTTGCTTGCTGGCCTTGCAACCAACTACACAGCACCAAGTCACATGCATTATAAAATAACAAATCAGAGAACATGCTACTAACATCTATCCTGTGTTTACTGAGCAACTGTCTTGGGGCTAGGAGGGAGAATTTAGATACTGTACACCAAGTATACATTGATTCATTTACCCCTCGCTGCTGACATAAGAAGAAGGCATTCCTAGCCTCATTTCACAATGAGGTAACAAAGTATCAGAAGATAATCCCTTCACTTTTAGCAATCAAGTGAAGATTCAAATAGATGATAATCACATTCCAAATCTTATATCTTCTATTAGTCTCCTGAAAAACCACTGCCACAAATTTTCTAGTCCTCACATGTTCTTTCTGCTCAGAGCTAGTCTGCCAAGCTCTATCAGAACAGTCACAAGTCCCAAGTCTGGAAATTTTTCTCTGCCCACCACACCCAATCTCCCACCACCCTCATTCCTTTCCCCTATCAACCAATATCTATTCCCTGAGGTCTTCCATTCTGCCTGAAGTACAAGGGATCAAGAACCGCTGAAAATTCAAAGCTTCCTATGAGAAGGTGTATTGAACATCTTTCAGAATTTTAGGCTAGGGCCAGAAATTTTAATGATGGAATTTTATCTGTTTTTTCTCTAGCCACATGAGAAATGTTCATGAATTTGAGCTTTCCCAGTGGTTCCTAAAATCACCCCTCAAGTAAATTTGGCACTGGAATGAACTCCTAAAAAGCTTTGTGAGGGCTTTCTGGCTGCAGCTCTGAGGCACTGATACCTATTAGGTGCACAGCGCCTAACTCTTGTCCCTGTGGTTCCCAAGCATACCTGCTGCCAGGGACTGGAAAGATGCAAGTGTCACTGGCCCTCTGGCCATGAGTACTCTAGTCAGTATTTTCCATATCTGAGGTCCTTAAATGAGTCATCGTGAGGATACAGAGATGGTTTCTGTAAAGTACTAGCACATAGTAGGCACGCAATAAATGGCGGTAGTGCTTAATGGTTTTCACTCTCTATCCTAATCAAGGGCTTTGGGTCCACCCATCCCTCCTCAAAACTGTTTAATAAAGTCAAGACACCATTTAAATAAAAATGGTGATGGAGTATATTGCCTAATTAACTGTGCTGGTAATTAAATTGCAACAGAAATGGCCTATATGCACTTCACTGGACATTTATTATAGCTTAATAAGGTAACGATTGTATGATAAATACATACCACTTTATTACAAGGAATAGATGCTCTGAACTTTAACAAATGCTGGCGAAAGGCTAAAACTATTCCAAAGTTTGTGAAGTCTCTGTCACTTAAGGAGGTTCATTAACTCCTTCATATTCTTCTTCACTTTTTTAATATCAATTGGTTGGACAAACATGATAAAACAATTTTGTTGGTCCTCATTGCCACACTTCATCCCTGCTCCTAGTTTTCTGATTAAGCATGGTTGGCATCAGATGCCACATGGAATGGTAACATATCAGGGCTGAGAGAGCTTGGGGAGGCCAGGTGGCTCACCCTGTCATGCAAAATCCAAGGACCAGAGAAGAGGTATGTATGCCTTGTCCAAGGTCACACAGGTGAGAGGCTCAGGACAAAAACCCAGCCCTCATGCCTTCTTCTCCCATGTTCTTCTCATGACACGAATATGTGCTTTTGGAAGTCAGTCTTCTCTTCTTCCCTGGAGTATCTTCTCTCCCTGCTCATTGACATGAAAAGGCCTGTTTTCTTTTCCAAAATGGAAAGACACATTCTCTGAGGCAGGAAGCTCAGGGGCTGGAATTCACAAAGGTGTAAGGGACTGATATACAATCCTGTTCAGATGGTGAGTTTTGACACAGATGGCAGGAGAAGCTGACAGCATTGGGGAAGTGATGTGCAGGAGCCAGCTTCTACTGGATCAGATTGCAGGAGTTCAATTTGTATATTCCTTCCCTGCTTCAATGAGACTTCAGGTTGGTAGCTTGCAATCAGCCACTGTGCAAGTATTTAACCATGGAAAAAGGTAAATACTATAAACTGGAGCTTTAAAAAGCAATGTTCTACATGAAAACCACTGATTAGGGCTTTACGGGCCTGCAGGGAGTGGGTAAGGAATGAGGGAGTGTGCGGGAGGTTGAGTTCAGTTGTATTTGATGAAGGCCAACAGAGCCCATTTTCCAATTTTGCCAAGAGTTGTTCCTGGGCACAGCTTCCATCCCCAGGATCTGTCTGATCCAAGTCCATGTGCACAGACTTTTTTTTTTTTAATCAAAAGAAACTGAACACAGAAAGGAGAAAAATAGGGCTACAGAAGAAGATAGTTCAAAACATGCTTCTGCTTGATTAATGCTGATTAGCATTCCAAAAAATATATTTGAAAGAGTTTCTCTATTGGTTGAATATAAATTATAGTGCTTGCCAAAAAGCATTGTAGATTTTTTAAGCTTTATGAAACTGAAGTTAAAAAAAAAAACCTTCCAAAAATCATGGCTCTCATGATCACCCGTCACTTAATTAAAACCCAATAATTGCCTTATTATATCAAAGGAATTTCTTCCTGGATGCACGCAACAGAGAAAAGAACCTTAACTTAATATTTTTTATTAAAATCATGCATTTGGTTCTTTGTTATACTAAACGATGAAAGAACACAATGATGGTATTATCCCAATCGTATGAGCCAGCATTGCAGGGTAGGAATTAGAAATTAAAGGAACATTGTATCAAGTGAGAAATCATATGTTTAAATCAATGACTTACCTGCTTTATTACTAACACACATTAAAGCCCACGAGATTTAGAGGGCACCCAGCACTGTTTTTCCTTCCTATTATTTCCAGGCTATGATTAGAGTTGAGGTCTGTGAAGGTTGAAGCAACCTTTGCCTCCTGTGACTCTACAATGACCTACCTCCTATGATAGCAGAGAATATGAATTCTCCCTCATCAGGCCTGGGAGGTGAAGACCAGCCGATCCCAGAGCCCTGTACCATGAACCTTTTGTGGGAAGTAGGTAGATGGGCAACTCCCCAGGTGAGTTTAAAATCTCAGATGACTTTAATGAGTAGCCAGGGCTGACAGCCACTGCTCCTGGTCTTTTTCATCATGCCTTGCCCTCTGTTTCAGAGTGAGCATGTCTCTCATGTTTATTATCAAATCACAGAGAACAGCCCAGATGCCTCTTCCCTTTTCTTCCATGATAGGCACCTGCTAAGAGTAACGTTCTTTATTATGTCACATTATTTCATTCAAACCTCAAAAGCATGCTGCCAGGTAGATATTATTATTCCAATTTTATGATAAAAAAGATATGAGCTGTTTTTATTCACACCATTTCTGGCCAAATGTGTGGATTTTTTTTTCCCCACACCAAACAATTTTCCAAATCTCTAGACACCAACTAGGTGTCCTACAATTCAACTCAATTCTGATGCTAACTACTCTGAGTTTGTGCAGACCCCACAGGTTAAGGGCTAAGTCTCACAAGACTGACTCACTTAGCACCAGGTACAAGTCCCAGGTTTTCACCTGTAATTCTGACAAATTGGTTATAAATTGGAGGTTCCTACAACCCCTTTCTTATGGTTGATAATTTACAAGAACAGCTCACAGAACAAAAAATAGTGTTTTTACTTTTTATTATTAGTTTATTATAAAGGATACAACTCAGAAACAGCCAAATGGAAGAGATGTATGGGGCAAGGTATGGGGGAAATACTGTGGAGCTTCTATGCCCTTTCTGGACATGCCACCCTCCCAGAACCTCACTGTGTTCACCAACTCAGACGCTCATGATTTAGGGATTTTATAAAAGTTCTATTACATTAGCATGATTGATTAAAATATTGACCACTGGTGACTGAACTCAACCTACAGCCTCTCTTTCCTTCTCACTTCCCAGGTTAAGGAATGGGGCTAAAAGTTTCAACCCTCTAATCACATGGTTGATTCCTCTGGCAACCAGCTCCGTCCTAACTGTTATCTAGGGGCCCTTCAATAGTTACCTCATTGGCACAAACTCACGTATGGTTTAATGGGGCCTTGTATTAGTTCATTCTCACACTGCTATAAAGAACTACCTGAAATGGGGTAATTTATGAATAAAAGAGGTTTAATTGACTCACAGTTCTGCAGGCTATAAAGGAAGTATGGCTGGGAGGCCTCAGAAAACTTACAATCATGGCGGAAGGTAAAGGGGAAGCAAGCACATCTTACCATGGCAGAGCAGGAGAGAGAGGGAGTGAAGTGGGAAGTGCTACACACTTTCAAACAACCAGGTCTCATGAGAACTCACTCACTATCATGAGAACGGCAGGGGGGAAATTCATCCCCATGATCCAATCACCTCCCACCAGGTCCCTCCTCCAACATTGGAGATTATAATTCAACATGAGATTTGGGTGGGGAAAAAGCCAAACCATATCAGGCCTCTTATGCATAACAAAAATGTTCCCATCACCTCTACCACTCAGGAAATTCTAAGGGTTTTATAAACTCTGTGTCAGACACAAAGCCCAAATATATATTTCTTATTATCACAGAGGGTAAAAAGTATGTTCATCCAAACCAGGACAATGCCAAGTAATACATCAGGACTCCATCTAAGTCCTGAGATTTTAAGAACCGGAGCACCCCAATTCCACTTGTGGAAAAATGCCTGGACCTCAATTCCCAAGATTCCAAATTAGTTACTGGGTCCCATGCATCATCATTTTTTAAAAGTTCCAAGAGAGATTCTAACATGCAAACAATTTTGAGAACCGTTGAGCTAGAGTGTGTGGTCAAAACTCCCTGCCATCCCAATAAGGATATGAAAAGATGTTAAACATCACTAATCATTAGAAAAATGCAAATCAAAACTGTAATGAGACACAACTTTACACTGTTATGATAGCTATTATCAAAATAGCAGAAAATACACGTATTCATGAGGATATGAAGAAATTAGAACACTGTGCATTGCTGGTGGTATTATTAAATGGTACAGCTACTGTAGAAAACAGTATGGCGGTTCTTCAAAACATTAAACAGAATTATCATATAATCCAGCAATCCCACTTCTGGTATATACCCAAAAGAATTAAAGGCAGGGACTCAAATGGATATTTGTACACCTATGTTCATGGTAGCATTATTCATAAGAGCCAAAAGGTGGGATCAACCCAAGTGTCTATGGATGGATGAATGGATAATTGAAATGTAGTATATACCTACCATGAAATATTTCTCAGCCTTAAAAAATATGTCTGACACATGCTACAGCATAGATGAGTCTTGGAGACATTAAGTGAAATCAGCTAGTCACCAAAGGATAAATATTGTATGATTCTACTTATGTGAGGTTCCTACAGTGATCAAATTTATAGAGACAGGAGATTGGTGGGTTCCAGGGACTGAGGGGAGGAAGAAAATAGAGTTAGTATTAATGTGTACAGAGTTTCAGTTTAGGAAAATGAAAAAGTTCTGGAAATATATGACAATGGTGAAAGTGGTAGAACAATACGAATATACTTCATGCCACTGAAGTATACACTTAAAAATAGTTAAAATAGTTAATTTTATAATATGTATATTTTGCCACAATAAAAAATACAATTAAAAAAACAATCAGAGGCAGGTCAAAGATGGCCAACTAGAAGCAGCAGCAATCAGAGGCTCCCACGGAAAAGAACCATAACAGTGTATGAATCCTGCACCAGCAACTGAGGTATCCAGGTCCTGTCGTCAGGACTGACTAGGCGGCTGGTGTGACCCACGGAGAGGAAGGAAGAGCAGTGTAGTGCAGCAGCCCACCTGAGAGGCACAGGGGGCAGGGGAGTCCCCACTCCCCAGCCGAGGGAAGCAGTGAGTGAGTGTGCTACCCAGCCTGGGAAACTGTGCTTTTTCCATGGAACTATGCATTCCATGGATTGGAAGATCCCACTCATGAGCCCAAGCCACCAGGGCCTAAGGTCCCAACCACCGAACTATGCCGATTCTCAACAGCCACTCAGCTAGAATCTTCTTAAGACTGCCAAGTTTCCAGTGGGAGGGGCAGCCAGCACCACAGCTGCATCTGTCTGCTGTCTAAGCCGTTTGAGCTCCTTGGGAGAGAGGTGGCAGACAACACTGTGACTGCTAGCTGCCTAACACACCAAGCTCCCAGGGGCAGGGAAAAGTAGCAGCCATCTCTATAGCTCCAGGCCCCACTTTTCTCCTGCTGGAGCCATGGAGGATAGACGGCTTGGTCCCAGGAGGTATTCCCCACAGCCTAACACACCAGCTGTGGCATACTGCAGCGAGAGCGCCTCTTCAGGCCTGACCCTGACCCATACCTCCTCACTGGGTGGGGCCTCACCGCAGGAACTCCAACAACTCCAGCCAGGGGCTCATGGACAGAACTCTGATCTCCCTGGGCCTGAGCCCTAGGGGGAGGGGTGGCCATGGTCTCCATGGACAAGCACACTTAGTCTTTCCTCCTGCTAGTTCTGAGGGATCCTGGTAACCCACAAGGATCCTGGCAACCCAGATGAGTGGGTTTCCCCGCAGCATAGCAAACCCCTGCCACCAAGGGACAGCCAAAGTGATGTGTTAAATGAGTCCTGCTCCCCATGCCACCCAACTGGGTGAGATCCTCCAACAGGGGTTGTCAGACACCCTATATAGGAACATTTCTACTGGCATCAGGTCAGTGTCCCTTGAGGTCAGAGATCCCAGAGGAAGGAGCAGGCACCCATTTTTGCTGTTCTCCAGCCTCCTCGAGTGACATCTCCAAGCATGGGAGTGAACCAGATGAATAGGGCCTGAAGTTAACCCGAAAAAAAACTGCAGCAGTCCTACAGAAGAGGGACCTGACCATTGAAAAAAAAAACAAACAAACAGAAAGCAACAACAACATCAACAAAAAAGTCCCCATAAAAACCTCATCCAAGGGTCAGCAGCCTCAAAGATCAAAACTAGACAAACTCATGAAGATGAGAAAGAATCAGTGAAAAAACACTGAAAACCCAAAAGGCCAGAGTGCCTCTCCTCCTCCAAATGATCACAATGCCTCTCCAGCAAGGGTGCAGAACTGGATGGAGGATGAGGTGGACAAATTAACAGAAGTAGACTTCAGAAGGTGGATAATAACAAACTCCGTTGAGCTAAAGGAGCATGTTCTAATCCAATGCAAATAAGCTAAGAACCTTTATAAAAGGTTACAGGAGTTGCTAACTAGAATAGCCAGTTTAGAGGTCATAAATGACCTGGTGGAGCTGAAAACAGCACAAGAACTTCGTGAAGCATACACAAGTATCAATAGCCAAATCAATCAAGCAGAAGAAAGGATATCAGAGTTTGAAGACCATTTTGCTGAAATAAGGCAGGCAGACAAGATTAAAGAAAAATGAAAAGGAACAAAAAAACCTCCAAAAAACATGGGACTACGTAAAAAGACCGAACCTATGATTGATTGGAGAACCTGAAAGAGACAGGGAGAATGGAACCAACTTGGAAAATACACTTTGGGATGTTATCCAAGAGAACTTCCCCAACCTAGCAAAACAGGTCAACATTCAAATTCAGGAAATACAGAGAACACCACAAAGATATTCCATGAGAAGATCAACTGCAAGACACATAATCATCAGATTCTCCAAGGTCAAAATGAAGGAAAAAATGTTAAGGGCAGCCAGAGAGAAAGGCCAGGTCACCTACAAAGGGAAGCCCATCAGACTAATAGCAGGTCTCTCGGCAGGAACCCTACAAGCCAGAAGAGACTGCGGGCCAATATTCAACATTTTTTTTTTTCTTTTTTGAGACAGAGTCTCACTCTGTTGCCCAGGCTGGAGTGCAATGGTGCGATCTCGGGTCACTGCAGCCTCTGCCTCCTAGGTTCTAGTGATGATTCTCCTGCCTCAGCCTCCCAAGTAGCTGGGATTACAAGCATGCACCACCATGCCCAGCTAATTTTTGTATTTTTAGTAGAGACTCGTTTCGCCATGTTGGCCAGGCTGGTCTTGAACTCCTGACTTCAGGTGATCCACCCACCCTGGCCTCCCAAAGTACTGGGATTACAGGCATGGGCCACCATGCCTGGCCTCAACATTCTTAAAGAAAAAAATTTTCAACCCAGAATTTCATATCCAGCCAAACTATGCTTTATAAGTGAAGGAGAAATAAAATCCTTTCAGACAAGCAAATGCTGAGGGATTTCGTCACCACCAGGCCTGCCTTACAAGAGAGCTCCTGAAGGAAGCACTAAATATGGAAAGAAAAAACCAGTACCAGCCACTACAAAACACACCAAAATATAAAGACCAATGACACTATGAAGAAATTGCATGAACTAGTATGCAAAATAACCAGATAGTATCAAGATAACAGGATCAAATTCACACATAACAATATTAACCTTAAATGTAAATGGGCTAAATGCCCCAATTCAAAGACACAAACTGGCAAATTGGATAAGGAGTCAAGACCTATCGGTGTACTGTATTCAGGAGACCCGTCTTACATGCAAAGACACAAACAGGCTCAAAATAAAGGGATGGAGAAAAATTTACCAAGAAAATGGAAAGCAAAAAATATATAAATAAATAAGCAGGGGTTCCAATACTAGTCTCTGAGAAAACAGACTTTAAACCAACAAAGATAAAAAAAAAAAAAACAAAGAAGGGCATTACATAATGGTAAAGGGATCAATTCAACAAGAAGAGCTAACTAACCTAAATATATATGTGCCAAATAGAGGAGCACCCAGATTCATAAAACAAGTTCTTAGAGACCTACAAAGAGACGTAGACTTCTACACAATAATAATGGGAGACTTTAACACCTCACTGTCAATATTAGACAGATCATCAAGACAGAAAATTAACAAGGATATTCAGGATGTGAACTCGGCTCTGGGTCAGTGGATCTAGTACACATCTACAGAACTCTCCACCCCAAATCAACAGAATATACATTCTTCTCAGTGCCACATGGCACTTGTTCTAAAATTGATCACATAATTGGAAGTAAAGCATTCCTCAGCAAATGCAAAAGAGCTGAAATCATAACAGTCTCTCAGACCACAGTGCAATCAAACTAGAACTCAGGATCAAGAAACCCACTCAAAACCACACAGCTACATGGAAATCGAACAACCTGCTCCTGAATGACTCCTGGGTAAATAGTGAAACTAAGGCTGAAATTAAGAACTTCTTTGAAACCAATGAGAACAAAGAGACAACGTACCAGAATCTCTGGGACACAGCTAAAGCAGTGTTAAGAGGGAAATTTATAGCACTAAATGCCCACATCAGAAAGCTAGAAAGATCTCAAATCAACACCCTAATATCACAATTAAAAGAGCTAGAGAAGCAAGAGTAAACAAATCCAAAAGCCAGCAGAAGACAAGAAATAGCTAAGAGCAGAACTGAAGGAGATAGAGACACAAAAACCCTTCAAAAACATCAATGATTGCAGGAGCTGATTTTTTGACAAAATTAACAAATAGATACACTGCTATCTATTTTATCTATTTATTAGCTAGACTAATAAAGAGAGAAGAATCTAATAGACACAATAAAAAATGATAAAGGGGATATCACCACTGACCCCACAGAAATACAAACTACCATCAGAGAATACTATAAACACTTCTACGCAAATAAACTAGAAAATCTAGAAGAAATGGGTAAATTCCTGGACACATACACCCTCCAAAGACTAAACCAGGAAGAAGTCAATCCCTGAATAGACCAATAACGAGTTCTGAAGTTGAGACAGTAATTAATAGCCTACCAACCAAAAAAAGCCCAGGACCAGATGGATTCATAGCCAAATTCTACCAGAGGTACAAAGAGGAGCTGGTACCATTCCTTCTGAAACTATTCCAAACAATTGAAAAGGAAGGACTCCTCCCTAACTCATTTTATGAGGCCAGCATCATCCTGATACCAAAACTTGTCAGAGACACAACAAAAATAAAACTTCAGGCCAGTATCCCTGATGAATGTCAATGTGAAAATCCTCAATAAAATACTGGCAAACTGAATCCAGCAGCACATCAAAAAGTTTATCCACCATGATCAAGTCAGCTTCATACCTGGGATGCAAGGCTGATTCAACATATATAAATCAAATCAATAAACATAATCCATCACATAAACAGAACCAATAACAAGAACCACATGGTTATCTCCATAGATGCAGAAAAGGCCTTCGATAAAATTCAACATTCCTTCAATAAAAGTAATGTTAAAAACTCTCAATAAACTGGGTATTGATGGAACACATCCCAAAATAATAAGAGCAGTTTATGACAAACCCACAGCCAATATCATACTGACTGGGCAAAAGCTGGAAGCATTCCTTTTGAAAACCAGCACAAGACAAGGATTCCCTCTCTCACCACTCCTATTCAACATAATATTGGAAGTTCTGGCCAGGGCAATCAGGCAAGAGAAAGGAATAAAGGGTATTCAAATAGGAAGGGAGGAAGTCAAATTGTCTGTGTTTGAAAACAACATAATTCTACATTTAGAAAACCCCATTGTCTCAGCCCAAAACTCCTTAAGCTGATGAGAAACTTCAGCAAAGTCTCAGGATACAAAATCAATGTGCAAAAATCATGAGCTTTCCTATACACCAAAAACAGACATGCAGAGAGCCGAGTCATGAATGAACTCCATTACTCCATTCACAATTGCTACAAACAGAATAAAATAATCTAGAAATACAGCTAACAAGGGAATTGAAGGACCTCTTCAAGGAGAGCTACAAACCACTGCTCAAGAAAATAAGAGAAGACACAAACAAATGGAAAAACATGCCACCCTCATGGATAGGAAGAATCAATATTGTGAAAATGGCCATACTGCCCAAAGTAATTTATAGATTCCCATCAAACTACCATTGACATTCTTCACAAAATTAGAAAAAAACTACTTTAAATTTCATATATAACCAAAAAATAGCCTGTATAGCCAAGACAATTCTAAGCAAAAAGAATAAAGCTGGATGCATCATGCTACCTGACTTCATGCTATACTACAAGGCTACAGTAACCAAAACAGCATGGTACTGGTACAAAAACAGACATATAGACCAACAGAACAGAACAGAGACCTCATAAATAACACCATACATTTACAACCATCTGATCTTCAACAAACCTGACAAAAACCAGTAATGGGGAAAGGATTCCCTATTTAATAAATGGTGATAGGAAAACTGGCTAGCAATGTGCAGAAAACTAAACTGGACCCCTTCCTTACAACTTATACAAAAATTAACTCATGATGGATTAAAGACTTGAATGTAAAGCCCAAAATCATAAAAAACCTAGAAGAAAACCTAGGCAATCCCATTCAGGATATAGGCATGGGCAAAGATTTCATGATGAAAAAGCCAAAAGCAATTGCAACAAAAGCTAAAATTGACAAATGGGATCTAATTAAACTAAAGAGCTTCTGCACAGCAAAAGAAATTATCATCAGAGTGAATGGGCAATCTACAGAATGGGAGAAAATTTTTGCAATCTACCCATCTGACAAAGGTCTAATATTCAGAATCTACAAGGAACTTAAACAAATTTATAAGAAAAAAACCACCCCATCAAAAAGTGGGCAAAGGATATGAACAGACACTTCTTAAAAGAAGACATTTATGTGGCCAGCAAACATATGAAAAAAAAGCTCAATATCACTGATCATTAGAGAAATGCAAATCAAAACCACAATAAGATACCATCTCACACCAGTCAGAATGGCAATTATTAAAAAGTCAAGAAACAATAGATGTTGGTGAGGCTGTGGAGAAATAGGAATGCTTTTACACTGTTGTGGGAATGCAAATTAGTTCAACCATTGTGGAAGACAGTGTGGCAATTCCCCAAGGATCTAGAACCAAAAATACCATTTGACCTGGCAATCCTGTTACTGGGTATATACCTAAAGGAATATAATCATTCTACTATAAAGACACATGCACACATATGTTTATTG
Organism: Homo sapiens; assembly: GCF_000001405.40. Taxonomy (NCBI): domain Eukaryota; kingdom Metazoa; phylum Chordata; class Mammalia; order Primates; family Hominidae; genus Homo; species Homo sapiens. The sequence continues at coordinate 37,800,344 of NC_000018.10, read as the reverse complement.
AAGCACTGTTTACAGTAGCAAAGACATGGAACCAACTCAAATGCCCATCAGTAATAGACTGGATAAAGAAAATGTGAGGGCAGGCGCAGTGGCTCATGCCTGTAATCCCAGCACTTTGGGAGGTTGAGGAGGGTGGATTACTTGAGGTCAGGAGTTTGAGACCAGCCTGGCCAACGTGGTGAAACCCTATCTCTACCAAAAATACAAAAATTCACCAGGTATGGTGGCGGGCACTTGTAATCCCCGCTACTCAGGAGGCTGAGGCAGGAGAATCGCTTGAACCCAGGAGGCGGAGGTTGCAGTGAGCTGAGATCGCACCACTGCACTCCAGCCTGGGTGACAGAGCAAGACTCCATCTCGGAAAAACAAAACAACAACAACAACAACAAACGAAAATGTGATACATATACATCATGGAATACTATGCAGCCATAAAAAGGAATGAGATCATGTCCTTTGCAGGGACATACGTGAAGCTGGAAGCCATCATCCTCAGCAAACTAACGCAGGAACAGAAAACCAAAACCAAACACCGCATGTTCTCACCCATAAGTGGGAGCTGAACAGTGAGAACACATGGACATAGGGAGGGGAAAAACACATCCCAGGGCCTGTCAGGAGGTGGGGGGTGAGGGGAGGGAGAGTGTCAGGACAAATAGCTAATGTATGCAGGGCTTAAAATCTAAATGACAGGTTGGTAAGGGACAGCAAACCACCATGGCACACGTATACCTATGTAACAAAACTGCACGTTCTGCACATGTATCCCAGAACTTAGAGTTAAAAAAAAATAAAGTAAAATAAAAAAAGTCCTGGCCATTATTCCCAAACCTGGGTGCGCAATGTTCCTTGGAGAGGTGGGCAGACTAAATGCAGATCCTGGAGTTTCACCTCCAGGGATTCTAGCTCTGCCACTCTATCCTGAGTCTCAGGAAGCTCAAGTTGATTAAAACGCCCATCTTAGTCTGTTTTGCACACCTATAACAGAATACCTGAGACTGGGTAATTTATGAAAAACAGAAACTTATTTTATCATAGTTCTGGAGGCTGGGAAGGAAGTTTAAGATCAAGGCACCAGTAGGTTTTGTGTCTGGTGAAGGTCCAGTCTCTGCTTCCAAGTTGACATCTTGAAGTCTGTGTCCTATGGACAGGAGGAATGCTATGTCCTCACATAATGCAAGGCAAAAGGGCGAAAAGGGATAAACTCCCACCATCAAATACTTTTGTGAGGGCACCAATCCAATTCACGAGAAAGGAACCCTCATGGCCTAACTACCTCTTAAAGGCCCCACTACTTAATACTACCACATTGGCAACACCTGAATTTTGAAGGGGACACATTCAAACCACAGCAATGCCTATGGTCCTAGGAACTCATTCAGAGAAACTCTATTCTTACTAATATAGATCAGAGAGGAGAGGCAAGTGTAGACTGTAGGCAGGGTTCACAGAAGTAGCAGATTTGAACTACCCCTTGAACTAGGCCTTAGAATATGGATAAGAAAATCTCCCAACTTACCTGTTTCCCTCGACCAGGCCTTCATGTTTTACCAGCTGCCTAATCTCCTGTAAGAAAGTGTTCACTGAGGATTTACATGGATCCTGGGCTCCGTTCACTAGACCTCACCCATCCCACTCAAGCACCATTGAGTCTGTTTCTAACTTAAAATGAGACCCACCCTATTGCTCAACTTCAAGGAGCAACACCTGCTTCCTTTGTAATCCAATCCACGAAAGGGCGGAGCCATGGAGAGGAGCTTTCACTAGTGCATAGCTCACACAGGGGTGACTCCAAAATCACAAAACATAAGACTGAGATATGGGAGCAGAGAAAATGACTACTTCCATGATATGGTCCCAGAAGAGGCTTTTTACCCTCATCTAGAGAGATAGGTGAAATTGCCAGGCCATAAGCCAGCTGCAGGGCCAGCCCCCATTGCCCCTTATTAGCACGTATCTAGCACACGTGGATTATTTAAGAGCGTCAATTAAAAGTCAGGGTATGTGCTCTATGTATTTGAATCTGCAATAATCCAGGCCAGAGGACCTTTACCGATGACAATGTTGGAAGTTATTTTTTCTCTTGTGAATTTCCAGGATCTTGGAAATACGGAAGCAGTCTAAATTCAGTCACTTGGGGATTTCGATGGATTGATTAGATTTTTTACGGATCAACATGTAGTCTCTTTGAAGAACTGTCCCAGGACTCTAAGGCAGCAGAATTGTCAAACTGACAGTCTTTGCTCCTCCTGAAAGGAATTTTGTCTGACCCCCTTTTGACTGTCTTCCATGCTGAGCGATATATCCAGAAATTCAGAGAAGCATAATCTATGTCCTTTAACCAAAAAAGAGGCTAAACACACAAACCCATGGAAATCCTATCCTTGCAGCCTTTCTTCCAAATGCAAAGAGTGCATAAGAGTGAAAAACCTCCTGCTCCTAAGATGCTTCTCTAGAGGCCTGGCTTCTTCGTAATTCCCAGAACTTTTAGCCTAGGAAAAACTTCAGGCTGACAAGGGGAGAAACTGAATTCCTCTACAATTTTCCCATGAGATACCTTAAAAATTGCACTGTAATCCCAGATGGAGCAGAGTGGATCCAACAAGCCCTGCAGGTGGCTTTCCCCTCACCTGGTTAGGGAGCCCAGAACATGTCCCATAACTTCTCTGGGCCTCAGTTGCCCTTCAGACAAAAGAGGGTTAGACAGTCCTCATGTCTACCCCAGAAGACAGTAAGTCAGGACATGATTAAACACATGTCTCTTATAAAGGTACTTGGAAAAAAGTCTAATAAGCTCTATAAACAGAGAGTGTCTCCACATTTTCAATGTTCATATTGCCTTTAATGTAGACACCCAGTCTATCCTGGGGGTGGGGAGTGAGGAGCGACATTTGGCAACAATTTACACTACAGATAAATACACCCACCTTGACATTTTCAAAGCCTGGCTCAGAAGAAAAAGTCCCTTTTTTCCCTGAAGCATTAAGAGAAAATGTGCATGATTATCATCTGTCTAAAAAAAAAAAAAAAATGAGGAAAGAAAGAGGGAGGGAAAAGGAATACAGCTGAAGTGACACCGAGAAACTCACCATTTTATTCTGCACAATTGAACTTCATTAATCATAGAAAATCAGAGATGGAAAAGACCTATTAGGTCACCCCATCTATCCCTCTGAAAGCATTAAAAGCTTTCAAATGAGACAGAAATCAGAGGTCCTGACTGCTGATGGCCATTAAAGACAGTTTTTGTGAAGAAAAATGTTAACCTTCGTGTCTCTGACAAATTACACTCTGGGTGGTTACAGGCTGCCTTTGCCAGAGCGCCCCAGTTCTGGGGTTGGAGATCACCACCCCTTAGCATGAGTGCTGCTAAGTGGCTTCGGCAGGGACCCCTATTAGATAACCACCACTCGTTGACAGCGAGGACCCTGCAGAAGCAAGCATGGCCCAGTTTCCTGCTCTTCCTCTGTTTTCCATGGACAGAGGAAGGATGCAGTTTCCTCTCCAAAACACCTTTCATTCAGGTCCCGCTTTTCCCAGGGAGCCATCCTTCTCTGGCTAGCCCACAGTGCAGCTCCTTTGCTGAGCCTTTACATCTTTCCATTCTGGGCCTCACCAAGCAGCCCTGGCCTACAGATGGAACACCTGCTGTTTCAAGATGTCCCAGATCTCTTTGACCCTTCCTCTGGCCAGAGTCCAATTGCAGGGAATTGTCTTCGTCCCACTCCATGTGGCTGTAGTGAGGTAGAACCCCCCTTCCTAGTTCATAAGAGTGGTCACATACCCCAGCCTGCTCATCATAGTAGCTCAGCCCTCTGACTACAGTTATTGGCCAGGGATGAGCACATGACCCAAGCTCCTCCAATCTAGGTCATTCTCTGGAAAGAGAAGCTTTCTCTTTCCTCCGATGACATGAAGGTGGCAAAATACAAATCTGAAACTGCAGTAGTGGCCACTCCCACTGCATGGAAGCAGCTCATGTAATCAGAATAGAATGAAGACAACACATGAGGAGGCAGAGAGCTGTATGTACCTCAGGAGTCCCCAAGGACAAGCACTCCTGTTTTTCTCAGTTATGTAGCCAATAAATTAAGCTTCTACACTTAAGCTACAGTCTTGCATCACTTAATGTTGGAATACATATTGTTAGACAATTTTGTTGTGAACATTATAGAGTATACTGAACAAACCTAGATGGTATAGCCTACTCCTAGGCTGTATGGTATAGCCTATTGCTCCTAGGCTACAAACCTGTACAGTCAGTATGTTACTGTATTGACTACTGTAGGCAAATGTAACACAGTGGTAATGGTACATCTAAATACACCTAAGTATAGAAAAGGTACCATAAAAATATGATATTATAATCTTATGGGACCACCATCATATATGTGGTCTATCATTGATGGAAACATCATTATGCAGTATATGACTATGCCTTGAACTTTATTTCTCTCCCTGGGACCTGTGGATTCCTAATCACCAAATGCCCACTAGGTTCTGTCATTCTACACTTGCTTACATGTGGAAATCTTGAATCCCCAACAGAATGATGGCTCCAAAGGGGCAGAAACCTTGCTTTCTCCTTCTCTTCAGTGCCAAAGCCCAAGCTCCACCCAGATGGTCATTATTAAATACCAGTTCATTGAACTGTATCCAAGTATCTTTGCCTGCAGAAAGTTGCCTTTACTTTTCTTTCCTGCAGGGACTGCTGGTAGCTGAGAAGATTCATGAGTCACACCCCACAACTCGCTAGCTGAGTGAGACACAAATACATGCATCCTCCTCTAAAGATGCAATAAACATGGCCCAGCAGGTTGCTCACAGCACTGGCCTCCTCTTCCCCAGGACATCTTGTGCTGTGGTTTTTCATTGAGGGCTCCATTTGCATTTTAATATATCATACATGACTCTGCTCATGCCAACCAAAGGCTGATTCCTTTATTTCCTTCCTATAACATCTTCTTGCTGTTGTGGTCATGAATCAGGCCCAACTTGGGGACCTGCCCTACAGGGCCAAGGACAGAATTTGGTGAGAAGAAATTTTAATAAAAGCAGAGGAGGCATCAGAACTATTTATCCCAAAGGCAGAAGGTGACAAGAACAAATTAGTCTTGGTGACACATAAGAAATAACTGAAGACCCTAAACAAAATCACAAAACTTTCATGCCCCCTCCCTCTCCTGTGGCATCACCCCCTTCCTACATCCCTTCTCTAGGGCTCTACCCTTCAAATTCACCTCCTCCCTTGTGTCTCTGAAGGACTCTCAAAACCTTCATGTGGCCCACCTCAGATAGGCATCAAAAGGTTACCTAATGCAACCCATTTTTCATTCATCATCCCAGCAGGGAGCTGTATGTTTTGCCTTTGCTTTCTAATACTGATAATAGCAGCACACACTTATCTACCACTTCCTAGGTGCCAGGCACCATTCTGACTGCTTTACAAAGATCAACCCATTTCATCCTCACAAGAACTTTAGATAAAGAGCTAATATAATCACCAGTGAGGTTAGGTAATTCACTCACATCCACATGGATGACAGACAACAGTACTGGCATTGTTTTTTTACAAGAAAACATCTGTAGTCAACAGAATTAGGAAGATGATGCATTATTTTAAGTAAGGGATCAGTCAGGGTATTGAAAGTTTGGGAACAAGCTGGGAAGGAAAATTAGGAAAATGGGAAAGATAAACCACAATAGGCAGGCAGTTGGGGCTTACTGTGTAGAAGGGAGCAACCACACAGAATTTGGACAAGAAGTCTTTGAGAAGCCTGGAGGTGGACAATAGCAGACTCATTGCATCCAGCAAGTCAACTGGTGGGTGGCAGGCACTCCCTGAGGAGGGCAGCACAGGCAGCAGAGGCACCTCACAGATGCTGTGGCTCCAGACTGGCCCTGGGCAGCCTCTGGGATGGCCGACCCCGGTGAGAATGGCACAGACCAGGGAACAGAGATATCAATCAGAGTTCTAACAGTTAGGATTCTTCTGGACTAAGACTTTGTATGTAGAAATATAATTTGAATTCAAATGTTGGTACATACAATGGTGAGAATGTGGGGATTCATATATTATAATAATAAATTATTTTGATAATTATACTCAGTAAAACACATGATTTATATTTAATTGCTTTGCTTAAATGAAATAAAGTGGTTGAACTATAATTATTACATACCATATAGAATTCACATTATAAACTAAAATAATTCTATTATCATAAACAAGTACATGATTTTGTTAACAATTGCACATTGCAAATGTTTGACCTGAAGGTTTTTTCACATCCAGGTTGATGCTAAGGTTTCTCAGGTGGAGGTCTATTTTGTAAAATTCTGTACCTCATTGCCAAATCAGGATGTGCATGGCCCCCACCTCGGTGATAGGTGGGCTGATTGTCAAAAGGAAAGTCTCCTGGTCCTTAACAGGTCAGCTTCATCTGAAGAAAGGATTACCTCCACTCCTTAAAGCAACTTTTTATTAAGGTATAATTTACCTATAATATACTACAAACATTTTTGGTGTACAAGTCAGTGAGTTTTGACAAATTTGTGCATCCACTTAATCATCACCACAATGCATGACCACTGCATAGAAAATAAAGAAATGCAAATAGGTACAGTACAGACAATGAATATTTCTAATGATAAGAAATAGGATAAATCCACATAGATTTAAAAATTTATAAATAAGATTTTAAACCCACACAGATTTGTTGGTAATGGGTTCAGAAGCACTTAGGGCAATGACTGACGCTTTAGGCTTACTATAGGGAAAAACAGTGTAAGTCACCAAATACCCAGGAAGAGATAGAGGAATGTGTGAGAAAGTAATCTAAGAGCAGCAAACCAAAAACTTTAAAGATATTCACTGATTCTAAGTCTTGCTCCAGTTACCCCTGTGGGTTGATGAGTTGCAACAGACCAAGTACAGGACAGCACTATCTATAGCTGTATTTTATGAATCAAATTAAAAGACTGGGCTCAGTGATCCTGCATGTGACCACTCTCCCTCACTTGCCAAGATGTCTCACAAATTTGCAGGTCTCTACGTGACCCCTCATCACCCTGGATCCTAAGAGGTTAAGCTTTGGTAGCCATCACTAATGTGACTACAAGGGAAAGCCAAATTGTTGAGCACAATGGGATTAAATGTCTATCAATTCTTTTGCATTTGATTCTCTCAGTACTCTTCAATTGTGGGAAATCTTAACCGTGGTTAAGGTTATTTTGGGAGCCAAGGGCATCCCCTGCCAAAGACCAAGTGTGATATTTACCATTAGGATCCAACGTTGAACGCAGCTGTTTTCTGAGACTGTGTTTCCTACAAGATGAAAAAGCAAACTGCCTTTCTCAGAATTATGGGTGCAAAGAGGACAAGAGGGTGATGGGCAGTTTGGGCACAAGCTGAGACTCTGGATTCTCAGGTCCACTTAAGACATTTCAGATGCTCTCAGAGCCTGAAGGACCTGGAAAGCACCTCACCTTTAGCCAAGAGAACTCTAAACATTTCCCCTCTTCTTGAGTCTTCAACTCCGAGTTTGACTCTGTCAGTCTCTGAAGACTGACACTATTCTAAACTAATAAATTAAAATACATGTATTGCTCATCCAATGTGTGCTGACACTCTGCTCCTAAGAAACTGACATATCCATTGAAGAGACAAGACACATGGTAATGAACACATAGATAATGAGTAATGGGCACAACCAGGACTGAAGGATTTCAAAGGTATCTAATATTACAACAGATATTGGAGATAATTTACAGTAAGACTTCCCATTCTCCTTATATTAAACAGAAATTTAAATTTTTTATACCCAACTCAGATTTCTCATGCCTTAATTTTCCCTCACAGGGCCCTGTACAGGCATAGAACTAACTAACTCATCACCAACTAACTCATAAAGTTCACTAATTCCTAAGATACAGATTTCCTTTAGAAAAAGACAGACAGAAATACATTTTTAAAATATTTCTTCCCTGGCTGTTTCCCTAGTTCTTTTTTTTTTTTTTTTTTTAGCCCTTTTTTTCTTAGTCCCTAAATGTAGATTTCTTTAATATTCTGACCTTACTTGTCCACTCTATTCTTTTCACACTCTTTCCTGAAACTCTCAAACACTCTTAGATCATTAGGATGGTAAAAGATCTTATGATTCCATGGACATTATGTGAGAGCATACTGTGTTGCAGACACCAAACTGAGGCCCAGACAGAAAACTGACAGTTTCTGAGACCATACCAAAACTTGATTTGGGAACCAATGATAAAACCTCTGTCTATAACAGCAAAAATCAAACAAGAAGACTGACTTACATGGCTTTTCATGGTTTTCACTGAACTGGCTGATGGGATGTTTTAGGATTATATAGACACAAAGTCAGTGCTCTAGCCTTGTGCTATTGTGAACAAGTTTAGACTAATGATTGGAGATTCAAAGATGAGCATCCACCTTACGGCAGAACATATTTCTTCTTGAGTCATCTAAGATCAGCGCCTCTAAGAATATACATTTTTGAGCTATTTTATTAACAAGGAAGACCCAAACATAAATCTTCAGTTCCTTTTCTTTTAGTAGTGAACTAACAGGTATAGTATATTTTTCAAACAAAAAAAGCATATATAGCTCCCTACTTTCCTCTCCCTTCTGCTTCCTTCATCTCCCAGGTGATACCAAGATCTTTTGAGAGTGGATAAGAGATCTACGACTGGTGCTGAAAATTGGCTCTAGTAAGCAGAATAAAAAGGCCACTGGACCAGTCATTTGATTCAAGTTCCACTATTAACTCACTAACCATATTACCCTCAGCAATACACTTAATCCTTAGGATTAATTGTCAAACAAGAGTAATACACATCCTGCCCACCTAGAGTGATCATTCTTTCTAAACCAAATACCTACATACATATGTGAAGTCCAAGCACCCCTACATATGCTATGGTTCCTTATTTCTCCACCATCTATAATGGTAGATGTTACCTTTATTTACTCAGGTATCAAAGACAGAAAAACTGGGATTCAGCCTATAGAAGCCCCAGAATCTGTTTTTTCAATACAACCACTTGATCCTTCTTTCATAATACGTTGTGAAGTCTTGCTTCTCTATCTTCTTTCTCTATTTTAGACTTTTATCATGCATCATCTGGATTGCTCCCATGGTTCCTAGCTGGTCTTTGGAGCTCCCTGCCTCCCATCCTTGTATTCCAAGTCATTTTCCACTACTACCAAAGTGACATGTCTAAAACTTATATCTGATTATATCATCCTCTACTTAGTAGCCCTCAATTGCATTGCCTTAATAAAAGCATTAATGTTCTTGGGTGATATTAAAACATTCTTCACCATCTCTATCTCCACAACCCCATCCTTGCTCATGCTATCCCCTCTACCTGTGTCTTCATTTTTTTCCTCATTTACTTCTGTCTTTTCTCACCCCACATCCTCACAGACCCAATTTTCCTAGATTCTTCATACCTCACAATACCATTGCTATTCTATTTGCTTATATAAGCATGCGTTCTTCATATTCCCAAGTTTCAAGAACTTTGAAGGGTCTGAGACTAGCCTGCCATAGTTTCATGGATGCTTGTAGAAGACATAAGACTCCTGAATCAGAGAAGACAGACAATTTATTCCTCATAGCATTGCAGGAGCCAGAGCATCAGCATTTGTTCCAGTTCCCAATTCCTATAGGATAACTTGAAGGGGCCTAAAAGACATCTACAAACACTGTGAACCATGTTATAGGAGAGGAATTCTGAGCTTACGGAAGCCAAATCTTTTGTAATGGGTAGTAAACACACCTGCCTTTTGCTCCTGAAAAATAGATTATCTTTGTCTTTCAAGATTTTCTGTTACATAACATCTTTGAACAGACAGTCTAAAACAAGGGATAATTAGTGCATCACTTAGATGTGCAGAAACTTGAGACCCATAGAGAGGTATCTGCCAACACACTGAACATTCTGTGATCATAGTTTTTATAACACTGAGTTCCTGTTAACCTTATAACTGTCTATCTCTGTCATTAGATGTTGAACTTTGTGACAATAGAAATTGAACCTTGTTATTCTGGGCTTTACATAGCATATAACACATAGTTGGGGTCTCAAATGTATGTATTGAATAATAATATGATAATTTAATCTAGATAAAATCGTAGATGCACATCAATTTGAGCATCTTTAAACAGAGAATTCATGTAATTTCAATTAGATAAAAAATGTGAAGTTTTCTAGAAAGTTATAATGAGCTATAGTGAGGTAAGATCTTTTTAAAGTCTTGAAAGTTTTTCTCCAAATTATTTCTTTCTTATTTTCAAAATGGAGTCATTGAGATGGAATCTTGCTCTGTCACCCATGTTGGAGTGCAGTGGCACCATCTTGGCTGCAACCTCCGCCTCCTGGGTTCAAGCAGTTCTCCTGCCTCAGCCTCTTGAGTAGCTGGGATTACAGATGCACTCAGCTAATTTTTGTACTTTTAGTAGAGACGGGGTTTCACTGTGTTGGCCAGGCTGGTCTCAAACTTCTGACCTCAAGTGATTCGCCTGCCTTGCCCTCCCAAAGTGCTGGGATTACAGATGTGAGCCACCACGCCCAGCCAGGAGTAGTTAAATTTTAAGATCCATTTATTAATCTAAGCCTCACCCACAGGTCTCCATTTTCTCAGATTTATCTGAATTCCTGTAAGACAACATATCCCAAACCCACACTGTCTTCAAGGAAAAATTCCTGATGGAAATAGTTGTTATTTCTACTTCCATAGACTCCTTTCAGCTATGTGAACACAAAAAAACCCACAAAAGAATATGAGGAAATTTTCAGAGGTAATGGATATGTTTACTGTCTTAAATATGGTATATACATATATCCAAATCCATCAAAATGCATATATTAAATATGTGCAATTCTTAAAATACCAGATCTTAAAATATCAAATATTTATGTCTCAAAGCTTTCAAAACAAAATATTTTAAAGCTCTTCTATTTAATTCCCATACAAAGCCTCCATTCTCCTTCAGCCAAATCCCCCAGGCCTGATTTCTCCATCTCTTCTCTTACATAGTGGCCACACTATGAAGTGCTTCCTTTCCAGGGTCTAGGAGAGGGTGGCATTGTCCTCTGATGCCCAGCCTCATGCATGAAGCTAGAATTTTCTGAAGTCATGCAGGTAATGTTCTGGGTGTATGAAGAACTGAGCTGAGGTTAAGGTTTGGAGATTAATACTAAATTAATATAAACAGTTTTCCTTAGTTATCTGAGAATAGTCCAGCTCAAAACCACTTTAATCTGCAGGAAATATATTTTTCCTTTGTATGTCTCAAATTATTACCCTCCCTGACCTGTCTTTTGCTACCTGTCTTCAAAATATTCTTGCCCCAAATACCATTGGATAGATTAGGTACACTGTTTCAAGGATATAATTGTAATAGCACAAATATAATTCAAGAAGAAAAAAAGGAAATTACTGGAGAAAGGGCTCACCTATAGTCCTTTTGCATTTGTACATCATTAAAAACATACATGAGTTTTATTGTATTTTATTATCTTTTAATGGGGAAAAATGTTAAGCATTTATATTTATTGCCATAATTGATGTCCTTAGGCTTTAGCACTTTATTTTCTCAGCTTTCTTGCCATTCTCTTAATTTTCTCTTTTGCTGGATTATGTTTTAGCTGCATTTAGTTAGCTATTTGAAAAGTTATGAATCCATGCTTTTATTAATAGATATTTTAAAAATATTTTTGATGAATCATAATATACACACAGAAAAGTGGAAATTATACATGTATTTCTGTTTTCAGAAATACAAAGTTATAGAAATAACAAACATATCAAGAAACAGAACATGGCTGGGATCTCAGAAGCCCCTCTTGTTCTCCATTCCAGTCTCTGGCTTTCCAATGATCATTGCTTCCTTAATTTTCAAAAGCATAAATTAGTTTTGCATTTTATGTAAATGGAATTATCTAGCACGTACTCATTCGTGACTGGCTTCCTTAGCTCAGCATTATATTTATGAGTTATATCCATATTGTTTTATGTAGTTAAAGTGCCCTCATTCTCATGGCTATATAGTAGTCCTTTGGATAAATATACCACAATATATTTAACCATTTGACTGTTAATAGACATTATGGCAGTTTCCAGTTTGGGGTATTAAGAATAGTGCTACTTCTGGCTATTGCTTAAGATGTAGAAAACTAGAAAAAGCATCACTTCAACTCTTGCAACAAAAATGCCAAACAATCCACAAATTTATAATTTTACTCGAACCCATCAGAGATCTGAGTTTACAGAAAAAAAAAAAAACCAGCTAATCTGAAATCTAAGTATTTGCAAGTGTCTACAAGGAGAGATAGAACATGAGCACTCAATTACCCAGGACAGATGCTGCCAGATGCTGGTAAGAATTTAGCTAAAATTGTTATTGAACTGTTAAGGCCAAGCAATGGATCTCAGGAGAACAAAGTACTCCTGAGGGTGCAGATATAAGAAAAATTTGCACCCATTCACAGGCTTTTCTACATGCAACTCACCAGTGATCACAAAACAGATTGATGAGAGTCCTGAAGAGTATCCCCTTGCAATGCAAGCCTGAAGGAAAAGAACAGTGGCTGTGTCAGGAAAGGCATAAAACCCCACCCAGATTCTCCTTGCCTTTTTCCTCTTCATAATAAGGCCAAAACTGCTGGAGGAAAGCCAACAAGCACTGTCATATTCAAGGCAATAGTGAAAGCCTACTGCATCTAGGGTAAGAGAAGAGAAAAAAAAAATCTGCTCTAGGGAAGGTGCAGGAATATATAATTGGGCTCAGAATTATGCCCAGCAGAAGCACAGGAACACTGAGAAGACCACAGTCCTGAAGCCCAGGCACAGTGCCTATATAAGGCTGATGCTTAATTAGAAGAATAGAGAATACACCTGCTCCTCACCACAAGGCTAAAAAACATTGAGTAACAAGTAATAATGGAATTCTGCTAAGACAGGGACAAGTGCATGAAAAAAAAAAAAACCTTGTCTACTTCTGCATAGCCAAAGAAACTATCATCAGAGTGAACAGACAACCTATAGAATGGGAGAAAAATTTTGCAATCTATCCATCTGACAAAGGTCTAATATCCAGCATCTACAAGAAACTTAAACAAATTTATAAGAAAAAAAACAAACGACCTCATTTAAAAAATTGGGCAAAGGACATAAAAGAAGACATATATGCAGCCAACAAACATGAACAAAAGCTCAACATCACTGATCATTAGAGAAACGCAAGTTAAAACCACAATAAGATACCATCTCACACCAGTCAGAATGGCTATTACTAAAAAGTCAACAACAACAACAACAACAACAGATACTGGTGAGGGTGTGGAGAAAAAGGAATGCTTTTACACTGTTTGTGGGAGTGTAACGTAGTTCACCATAGTGGAAGACAGTGTGGGGAATCCTCAAAGATCTAGAGGCAGAAATACCATTTGACCCAGCAATCTCATTATAGGGTATGTAACAAAGGAATATACATTATTCTATTATAATGATACATGTACATATATGTTCATTGCAGTACTATCCACAATTTCAAATACATGGAATCAACCTAAATGACTATCAGTGATAGACTGGATAAAGAAAATGTGGTACATATACACCATGGAATACTATGCAGCCATAAAAATTAATGAGATCATGTCCTTTGCAGCGACAAGGATGGAACTGAAATCCATTATCCTTAGCAAACTAGCACAGGAACAGAAAACCAAATACTGCATATTCTCACTTATAAGCGGGAGCTGAATGATGAGAACACATGGTCACATGGAGGGGAACAACACACAGTGGGGCCTGTTGGAGGGTGGCAGGTGAGAGGAGGGAGAGCATCAGGAAGAATATCTAATGGATGCTAAGCTTAATACCTAGGTGATGGGATGATCTGTGCAGCAAACCACCATGGCACACGTTTACCTATGTAACAAACCTACACATCCTGAACGTGTACCCCTGAACTTAAACATTGAAAATCAAAAAAAAGGAAAAGGATAGGGACACTTTTACGTGTTTGCTCCTCCAAACTGTCCATTACAGTTGAGGGGAAACATTTCTCCCTTTCTATCTTTACAGTAGAGAAATAACTTATTATAGAGATGATATTCTAAATCAAAACGCCCTCAAAAATCTCTTACATTGAAATTGAAGTACAATAAACACACAAAAAATAGAAATTTAAAATATGAAAAATAATAAAAATAAAGACAAAGAAAATCTCTCTAAATCATAGTATAAATGGAACACCTAAAGCTGAGAGTGAACTAGACATGGAGAAAAACTACATGGCAAAAGAAACGACAGCTTAAAGACAAGGTAGTGTTTGAGCAATTTGAAGCAGCTGATGCATTGCTAGTAACCATGGCAACAATTAATCTTAAATTCAGCTTAATTCCTAAGTAAATTCATGCAAATTCCCAAAGTTTCATCAGAAGGAAAGCCATGCCTATCTTCAAGCATATTAACTATTTACCTCAGCTTCAGAAGTCCTACACAAGCTGTGTGTCTTTCCACAAAAACTTACAAAAAAAAAAAAAAAAACACTGTCAAGAGACAATGCCATCAACAGAACCAGATACATTTATGACACAGATGTTGGAACTATCAGACAAGGAATTTAAAATAACTGTAATTAACATGTTAAAGGCACTAATGAAAGGATGGATACCATGCAATATCAGATGGGTAATTTCCGCAGAGAAATGGAAACTATAAAAGAATCAAATGGAAATGCTATAAATGAAAACAGTAACAGACATGGAGAAAGCCTTTTATGGACTCAACAGTAGACATGACACAGCTGTGGAAAGAAGTAATGAACCTGAAAATAGATTAAGACAAATGATCCAAACCGAAACAGAAAGAAAAGAAAATAGTGGTAGTAGTAATAGCAGTAGTAGTAAAAGAACCAAACACACAAGAGCTATGGGACACTGTCAAAAAGTATAGCATATGTATAGGACTCTCAAAAAGTGAAAAGAGAGACTATAGGTCTGAAGAAATAGTTGGAAAAATAAGGGCTGAGAATTTTTCAAAATTAATGATTGTTATGACACGAAACAGGGAAAAAAATGAAACAAACTAAGCATGTCATATTCAAACAACTTGAAACCAAAGACAAAGAAAAATCTTGAGAAGCCCGAGAAAAATGATACCTTACTTATGGAAAAATAAAGATAAGAATTATAGTAAGTTTCTCATCAGAAACCATACAAATGAAGAAAATGAAATGGCGGAAAAAAATGTATATTCAGAACTCCATACTCAGAAAGAAAAAGGAATGCCTTTAAGAAACAAAGGAGAAATAAATACTTTTCAAGCAAAAAAAGAAAAAAAAAATGTGAAAACTCATTGTCGGAAGACCTACATTATACGAAATATTAAAGTTTGAAAGGCAGAAAGAACAAGATCAATCAGAGACTAAGATCTGCACAAAATAAAATTAAGAGGGATGAAAACAGAATTAATGAAGGAAAAATAAAATTTCTTTCATTCTTATTTTTAACAGCACTAAAAGAGAACTAATGCAAAAATAGCAGCAATGTATTGTGTTTACGACATATGTGTAAAAGTTAAATGTGTGATAAAAATAATACAGAAAATATAAAAGAGAAATTGGGAACAATATTCATGCAAATAAGCAGTGTCTGTTGTATTTGGCAAACATAATTAACTCCATCCTTTCTGGTCTCCCGATCTGTATGGAACTACCAGGGTGGCCGGAAGTGCACTGGACCAGAAGAGAAGTCAGACAGGCTTCCGGCCCACAGGGTGGTCCTTGCGCACAGGCTAGGCAAGGGGAAACCCCCGAATAAGGTCCAGGAGTAAACAGACACAGAGGCACCTATAAACCAGGTGCAAGGAGAAAATAAAGCCAACTACTTTTATGTATTCCTGCTGCCTGCTTTTCTTTAGGCCCTGACAGATTTTTCAGACTTGGAGAAAGAGCCCATCCACCTTTCTCTCCTGGCTATAACTCAGCTTCTATTCTATCCTATTCTATTCAGCCCCAGCTCTTGGGACAAAAACTTCTCTGTAGAAACAAAAGTCTTCAGGCCACATTGGCTCTGGAAGGAGCAGTTCCCCTGTGGTGGTTTTTGTTTGTTTGTTTGTTTGTTTTTTCTTTCTTGTTCTCCTTTCCACCGTGCGAAAGGAGCCCACTTATAAGCAAATTTACAACACAAGCTGGAAATCCAATCTCTCAGGCAAGAAAAAGCTGGATTTTAAAATAACTCAGGAAGGTGGAATTTGAGAAAGGAATAGCTGCAGTTTTGATCATGTGTCAAATCTGCAACGGCTGAGTGAACTCCGGGAGCTGCCTGGTACTGCCTGGCTCTACGGGCTCTGAGCTGAGCAAGAGGTTGGCAGGTGGTGATGGAGACAGGGCAGGACTGCTGTAGGCAGCTCTGATGAGGAGGCAAGGAGAAGGCTGGGGATATGGCACAGACCCAGTTTTACCTCCAGAGATGCCTGCATCATTCTGTCATGATCCAATAAAACATGGACCTGGAAGAGCCATGGTTTGTAAGGCAGCAAGCAGCTACCTGTGCGAGATCTAGGCCTAAAACACACAGCAAGACTGAATCCTCTAGCAGTGACCAGCTCAGGCTGGAGGGTATAAGCAGTTGACACCACAGAGCTGCTCTGATAATGCCTGCTTTGCATGGGAAGCCTGAGAAGCCACCAAGGGTAAATAATCCACACACAGAGTCCCAAATCTGCCACCATTGTGTTTCTAAGGTGTCCCATTTCCAAAAGCTAGTCCTAGCACAGTGTCACAGTTGAAGGTGGACTCCTCAGCACCATGCACACTCTCTCCTCCACCTCCTAAAACTAAACTGTGTCTATGTCTACAGGAGGCAAATCTTCCAAACGCTGAGCCTCAGGACCGAGTGTCATTGTGACAAACAAGTTTTGAGAGACTTCCCCATGCAATTCAGTAGGTTTGAAGCCCCAAGACCACTAAGAATCCCAGGACATTGGCTAATGCCACTGTTCCTATCTTCAAGAAAGATATCCTCTGCTACTGGAAAGCTAATTATCCTTCAAAGTTAATGTTTTCTTCCACCACAAAGCCTTCTCTAAACAAGCCAGTCAAAACTTGATTTCCTAAAGGGCATTGTCTAATACTTAGATATGACTTTTTTACCTAACAAATAGCAAAGATAAAAATACCCAGTCCTGGCAAAAATGAAGGAAAATAAGAAATGCACTCATTGGTCCATTTCTCTAAAGGCCAGGTCAGCAATGAGTATAAAGTAGAGAATGTATATACGCCTGAACTTGGAATTCCTCTTGAAGGAGCTTTTCCCACAGCAACATATATCTATAGGGATGTTCATTGAAAGCCAACCCATATTGAGGGTAAGTCTGGAGACAGATTTCCTAGTTCTGGTTCCTGGCTCTGGCACTTAGAAGCTCTAAAATTCTCTGAACTTCGGTTTCTGCTTGCAGAGTTGATGTAAAGATTAAGTTACGTAATACATGTAGCCTGGTACATCATGAAAAACCAATAGCTTTCCTTTTTTGTTATTTTAATTCAAATATTTTAAATAAACTCATATTACCACCAGTAGGATTTGATTAGCTACAATGTGATTGATCTACACAATTGAATACTACACAAGCTTTCTATTTCTTTTTTTTTTTTTTTTAAAGACAGGGTCTCGCTCTGTCACCAGGCTGGAGTGCAGTGGTGCAATCACGGCTCACTGCAGCCTCAAACTTCTGGGCTCAAGCAATCCTCCCACGTCTGCCCCCTGAGTAACTGAGAGTACAGGCATGCACCACCATGCCTGGCTAATTTTATTTTTTCATTTTTTTGTAGAGACAGAGTATTTCTGTTTCCCAGGCTTGTCTCAGACTCCTGCATTCAAGCAATTCTCTCTCCTCAACCCAAAGCACTGGGATTACAGGTGTGAACCACTGCACAGGCCTATGCAAGCTTTTAAAAAATAAAACTTCTATGTACATATTGAATCAAAAGAAAAAATCAGATTCAAGAGAGCCCATGCATGTATGTGTGGGTCTATTTTTCTGCTATGCTTTGAATATGTCTCCTTAATTTCACGTGTTGGGAACTTAATCCCAAAATTAACATGTTGATTGGAGGTGGGGCCTTTGGGAAGTAATTAAGATTAGACAAATCATCAGAGTGGAGACCCCATGATGGAACTGGGGGTTTTATAAGAAGAGAAAGAGGCCTCAGTGGACACGCATGCATGCACGCTCCCTCATTCTTGCTATGTCATACCTTCCACCATGTTATAATACAGCACAAAGGCCCTCCACAGACGCCGATGCCATGCTGTTAGATTTCCCATTCTCCAGAACCATGAGTTTAATAAACTTCTCCTCTTCATAAATTTCTGTGTAGCAACAGAAAATGAACTAAGACAGCCTTTATGTGTGTATGTGTCTGTATGGTTGTGGGTGCGCGCTGTCTAGTGTGTACATATGTAATGTGAGTCCTGTGTGTAAATCTATGAGGTTTGTGTGTCCATGTGGGTTCTCTGTCTTTGTCGGCAGTGTGTGCATATGTGTGAGCTTTGTGTGTATACCGTCAATGTGTGTGCAAGAGATCTGTGTGTCAGTGGTAATGTGTGTGAAGTACATGTGTGTACTGTATGTGTGTGCTTTGTGTGTATACCGTCAATGTGTGTGCAAGAGATCTGTGTGTCAGTGGTAATGTGTGTGAAGTACATGTGTGTACTGTATGTGTGTGCATTCTGTGAGTGTCTGTGGGTTGTCTGTCTGCAATGTATGCATATGAGTTCTGTGTATGTGTGGTATATTTGCATGTGTGTTCTAGGTGCATGTGTGGTATATTTATAAGTTCTGCATGTGTGGTATATTTATATGGGAGTTCTGTGTATGTGTATGTGTATATGTGTGTGTGTCTCTACAGGGTGCACTGCGAGTTCTGTCTGGGGGAATGTATTTTCATGTGAGTTCTATGTGCATGTGTGGTATATTTGTGTGTGAGTTCTGTGTAGTGGTGTATTTATGTGGGAGTTCTGTGTGTGTGTGTATGTGTGTCTATAGGGTGCATTGTGAGTTCTGTGGAGGGATGTATTTACATGTGAGTTCTGTGTGTGTGTCTGTGGGGTGCATATATGAGCTCTGCAGAGCAGTGTATGTGTGTGTGAGCTGTGTGTGTCTGTGGAGTGCATGTGTGAGCTCTGTGGGGTGGTGTGTGTGTGAGTTCTGCGTGTGTCTGTGGGGTGCATGTGTGAGCTCTGTGGGTAGTGTATGTGTGAGTTCTGTGTGTGGTTGTGGGGTATGTGTGTGAGCTCTGTGGGTGGTGTATGTGTGTGTGTGTCTGTGGGGTACATGTGTGAGCCCTGTGGGGTGGTGTGTGTGTGTGTGTCTGTGGGGTGCATGTGTGAGCTCTGTGTTGTGTGTGTGTGTCTGTGGGGTATATGTGTGAGTTCTGTGTGGTGGAGTATGTGATCCCTGTGGGGTGGTGTATGTGTGTGTGAGCTCTGTGTATGTCTGTTTGGTGCATGTGTGAGCTCTATGGGGCAGCATATGAATGTGTGAGTTCTGTGGGGTGGTGTGTGTGTGTGAGCTCTGTGTGTGTGTCTGTGGGGTGAGTGTGTGAGCTCTGTGGGGCAGTGTATGTCTGTGTGAGTTCTGTGTGTGTGTCTGTGGGGTGCGTGTGTGAACTCTGTGGGGTGGTGTATGTGTGTGAGTTGTGTGTGTCTGGGGGTGCATGTGTGAACTCTGTGGGGTGGTGTATGTTTGTGAGTTCTGTGTGTGTGTCTGTGGGGTGCATGTATGAACTCTGTGGGGTGGCGTATGTGTGTGAGTTCTGTGTGTCTGTGGGGTGCATGTGTGAACTCTGCGGAGTGGTGTGTGTGAGTTCTATGTGTCTGCGGGGTGCATGTGTGAACTCTGCGGGGTGGTGTGTGTGAGTTCTGTGTGTGCGTCTGTGGGTGCATGTGTGAACTCTGCGGGGTGGTGTATGTATGCGAGTTCTGTGTGTCTGAGGGTGCATGTGAGAGCTTTGTGGGGTGGTGTATGTGCATGCATTCTGTGTGTATGTCTTCAAGTTGTGTTTGTGTCTGCATACATAGCCAGTATCAGAAGCTGAGTAAGAACTTCGGTTCTGAGTGAGAGGAACCTGAATTGGATTCCTGCTCTATCACATAGTATTTCACTCTGGACAAGCTATTCAACTTCTCTAGTTCTAGTTTCCTTATTTATAAAATCTCCATCTCCTCCTTCCTATGGGACATGTGAGAATTAGAGGGCAGAGTTTATGAGAAGCACACGGCACTATGTCTGACACATAGTAGGTGCTCAATAAAGTTTAGCAATTGTTCATCATACTTATAGAGTGGTGTCAGAACAGATGTTATCTGACATCTTAACTCAGCTAGGTGGTAGGAATCATTGCGCTTTTCATTTCCCTTTACAATTTTCTATATTGCTTGGATATTTTGCATGCATATCTATTGTCTCTATAATGGAAAAACCAATACATGTTCCTTTCAATAAAACAAAAACCTGAAGCTGGCATTTGTCACCTTCACAGTATAGATAAAACACCCCTCAATCCCTGACCCCAAAGTCAAGGATCTCCATCTTTCCAAATGCTTCTCCCCCTTCTTCCTGAAATTCCCACCCTCGTTGTAGCATTTCTGGATTAAAAGCTCAGACTGTGATTTTATGTCCAGAAAGTCCGGTTTTAAATTCCCATGATACCTGGGATTGGCTGGTTGTTGGGGCAACTTTCTATCTTAATCCCACCAGAATTGATTTTTTTAATCAGATTAACTTGTTGTCACTTTGGAAGGTATGGCGGTAAAGGGCAGCTCAGTGTCAGTGTCTGTCAGAGGGCGAGGACGGGAAGCCAGGTGGGATGCAGACAAGTCCTTGGCGGGAGGGAGATTTCAGAGGTGCACGGTTGACATCATGGGCTGGGGCTGGGGCTGGGGCTGGGGACTGGGTGTGGGGGACTGGAAGCTCAGCATGAGTGGGGAGTGGGTGGGAAGGAGACTAAGGGAAAAATACGCTTCCTTTACAATAGAGTTCAGGTCAGGTGTTGCTACAAGTGCAGGATTCCCATTCCACATGCGTGCCAGAATCACCTGGGAAGCTTGTTAAAACCTGAGATTCAGGAAAGACCCTTCCCTCCTCCAAGAGATTCTGATAATGGTGTGAAGGGGGCCAGGGCATCTTCTTCCCAGGTGAGAACTGGACTAACCGTTGTAAAGCAATGAGGAAGATCCTTGGCGTTAAAAAATCCCACTGTGAAAATCCAGTGCTCGACCACTTTCATGGCTGTGTGGCTTCAGTGCAGTTACTCAACCTCTCTGGGCTCTTCATGCCAGTAAAATAAGGGTGATGATTCGGAACAAAATGATGATGGGGTTGTTAGGGTTGGGCAGCTTCTGAGTGACGATAAAAGCTGGCTGGTTTGAAGCCAATGCACAGTCCTGCCATTCTCTGAGAGGAGACCCGGTGCTCTGAAGATGATTTCTGACCCTAGGGTCGCCTGTTTCCCCTGCCACAGCAGCTCCCGACGCCTTTTCCTAGTCCTGAGGCGGCCGGCAGCCTGCAGCCTGCGAGTGTGCTCCACTGCCCCCTGGTGGTCCCATCTGGGAAGGCGAACAGCATCTCCTTCCTTTTTCGGCTTTATTTAGGCCCCTGAGCAGACACAGCGCCAGCCGCAAGGCCTCAGGTGCAGAAGGGAGGTGGCCACGCGAGCTGACTTTTGAGGCTACGGGGCCTGGAATGCACCTCCCCACCACCGTCACTTGGTTGCTGGTGCCCGAACTGTCACTGTGGAGCATCACCACTGAAACACCTTTGGTGCTTCCTGACCCCTGGGCCAGGCTCTTCTTGGAGCAGGGCAGTAGGGGAAAGGGAAGGGCTGGGGGAGGGGGTGGGAGACACACCTGTTGCTTCTGCAGCTTGAAGAGAGGAGTTTGACCCATGCGATAATATAAGAGGCTGTGCAGAATTAAGCACTAAAAGTGGTTAAAATGCTAGCCCTGAGGGAGCTCACTGCAGGCTCTCAGCAGTCCTTCAGCTTGAAGGAGCTGAAGGCTCAACCAGAACTCTGTGCTCATGGGAAACACTGCCCTGAGGCTGGCTCTGGAAAATGTCTAAACTTAGGGCATGAACAGGGGCTCTGCCATGGGCAAGACTGGCACAGGCTAAAGTGGACGTCAGTAAAAACCAAACTCAGCCCCCACCCTCCTCCCACCCCAGGAACCCCGTTGCTACAAGCCTGACCTTCGGACCATTCAGGTGGTAGGCTGCCCCAACTCCAGAGGCCATGCCCCCCACCACACCCTCTTCCCCTCTTCCCACAATGAAACGCCCCTGCCCTGTCCCCTGACCCTGCAAGCATCTATCCCTGGGCAGGACCTTTAGGCAGGTGATACCTCTACTTGCATCTTCTCAAGGAAGAGCCCCCTCTTGGTCATCTGAGTCCTTCGTGACCCTGCTGATGTCAAGTGGAGACTATGAGGATTGGAGGGTGGGCTCATCGCAGAGGACCGGGCAGCATCCTTTAATCAAAAACAAGTCACCTCGGCCGTGCGCGGTGATTCAATGCCTGTAATCCCAGCACTTTGGGAGGCTGAGGCAGGCAGATCACCTGAAGTCAGGAGTTCGACACCAGCCTGGCCAACATGGTGAAACCCCATCTCTACTAAAAATACAAAAATTAGCCAGCGTGGTGGCACGTGCCTGTAATCCCAGCTACCCGGGAGGCTGAGGCAGGAGAATCGCTTGTACCCGGGAGATGGAGGTTGCAGTGAGCCGAGATCGTGCCATTGCACTCCATCCTGGGTGACAAAAGTGAAACTCTGTCTCAAAAACAAACAAACAAACAAACAACAACAAAAAAAAAAAACGTCATCTGGACATGGTCCAACCATGGGGAGTAGGCATTTTGGAGTGTCCATTATGGCACCATGTCCCTGTATCTGGGCATGTGCTCCATGGATTAAGGACTGGCTTACTTCATAGGCTGTGGTCACCCACCCTGGGTGTCTGCAAGGACAGAGGACAGAGCTGGAGCTCCCAGAGCTTCCCACCTGCCACAGTCAGCCACAGACAGCAACAGGAAAAAAAGGCAGAGATGGTGGCTTCTAAGCCACTCTCCTGAGCATGGGGAAATGAACTAGATTTCTGCTCAGGAAGCTGTTTCAGCTCCAAACTTCACTGTTCCTTCAGCAGGCTATCTGGAAGGGCAGACTATGAGCTGGGCTTCTTTAGGAGCTCACAAAGCTATGTCCAAGTATGAAGTCTCCTCTCTGCCATCACTGTCATCCTTATGCTGGAAGCGATCTTATTAGGGTTCCAATCACCTTCCTTGTTTTGCCCCGAAATTTCCTGAATACTCACTAACCAAAGACTACTTTCCCTGTTGCTTGTTTTTTTCATTGTTGTTCCTCTAGAAAACAAGCCTCCAGATCTGTTTCAATTTAAACAGAAAGGAGTAGCGAAAGTTACAAAGATGAAGAAGATGAATGCATTGTACTCTTATAGTGAACTGGGTCTCCATAAATTGTTTTTGGTATAGCATGTCCCATTTAGCCCTTACATAAGCTCAGATAAGGCAAGGAAATACTCAGTTTTAGAGGCAAAGGGACAAAGACTCAGAGAGGCCAAACAAGGAAGCTAGATTTGATCCCTGAATCCTGACCCTAAGTTCTCTTTACATTAGAGAAAAGTCCTGATTGCGTGTCTGTAGTTTCCCAGTGATGTTTCTTTGCCTCTCACCCTGAGGTGTATCAATAGGTGCAGGTGGGGTCTTATTGTTAGATACTAGAGACCCACAGAGCAAGGAGTGTTCACCTCAGGGTGCCCAGGTACTCATGGCTCCAACTCCCTTGGGAGAGGTCAGCTTGAGGCATTTTCTCAGCTTCTTACTACCTTTCCTCCCACACCTCATACTCACACACACACTGCTCATGACATAGCAACCCCTGTCTCCACAGGACCAGCCCTGGACTCAGGGCTCAGAGCTGACGTCTCACAGCTTCCGTCCTCTCCCACCAAATGCTGCTCCAAGTCGCTGTCCCAAAACATCCTGTACAGGTTGTGGTAGATCCTGGAAATATTTTTCTCACTTGGCTTAGGACATCATGCCACTTGCCTCCTTCCCACCTCTCTGCCTGTTTCTTCTCAGCCTTATTTTCTGGGGCTGGTCCTTCTAATCTGTAAACTTTGCAGGGCCCAGCGCTCAGTCCTTGCTCTCTTCTCTGTACTCACTCTCTCAGAGATCTCACCCTGCTCTGAGGGCTTCTAATACCAGATAGATAGATTGATAGATAGTAAAATAGATAGATAGATGGATATCTCCTGAAGACTCCTGCTTCTAACTAAATATGACACCTTCACTCAAATGTCAAATAAGAACATCAAAAGTAACACGCATCAAAGGTAACATGCATCAAAGGTAACGAACAACCAAACTCTTTCATTTCTACTCAAATATTATTTTCCAGCAGTCTCCTGGCACTTCCATAGAGGCAACTCCGTCTTCCGGTTGCTCAGACTGTGGAGTCATGTTTAACCCTCCTTTTCTCTCGCAGCCCCCATCCAATCTGCCAGTAAACCTTATAGCTTCCCAGTCAATATGGAACTAACATCCAACCACTCCTGCCCTCTGCTGACAGCCTCCAAGGCTCCTCACCCACCTGGAGTGAGAGCCAACGCCTCATACTGGCCTTCATGTCAGGTGGCTACACACCCTGGCCTGCCTCAGACCCTGGCACTCACGTCTATCCTAGTGCAATTACTAACAGCACCTCCTTTCACTATCTAGGGCCCCGACTGGATAATAAACTGCATGCTGTCCCCCACAACATGCACATGTCCAATCTGATCCTCATTCCTCTCCACGCTCTCTACTGCTGTCTCCTCCCTTGTACCACATTGTAAACACCTTCCTCCCCAACAGGCTGGGTTCCGTGCCTCTATATGGGACACGCTCTCCCCAGACAGTCTATGTCTCATTACTTATTTCCTTCAGCTGCTCAAATGTCACCCTATCTGCTCAATAAATAAAGCTACCCCACACCCACTCTCAGGAAAAACAGCCTGGTCACTCTCCATCTCCTGACCCTGCCACACCCCTTCTCAGAGCAGGTATCCCTACCTGGCAGCTGCATCTTCATTGTCACTCTTCTCACTAGAATATAAGCTCCTGAGCCCGAGCCTTTGTCTTTCTACTCACGGCTTCAACTCCAAGGCCTCGCACAGCTCCTCAAACATGGGGGTGCTCCATAAGTATCTGTTGAAAGAATGAATGAATGGCCAGGTTCAAGAAAAGTCACAAAATATGGAGTTCTGAAAGCTTAAAAACCTGTTACATCTAGTTACAATGCACGCAGAGGGCAGCTTGGATCAATGGAAACTAAATAAATGTTAGGAATCATTGTCAGGAGTTCACCTGCTGGTCTGAGGTTCAGAAAACATGGCATTTGGTTTGGACTGCATCACTTCCGCCTGTCTCAGGACTCCCCTGAACCTCAGTTTCTTAGTCTTTAGAATAGAATAATGTCTACAATTGTTTCCAGCACCAGAATTCTGGAATTCCACATGTTAGGCACCAGAAAGACAACAGCACAAGAGAGCAGAGAAAATAAACTGGGTCGCCAGAAGAATGAATACTTTACTGCCTTCCTGCCATCCCGCAGACCCCCAGCGTCACCCACCATCCCAAAAGGTACTTCCTCAACACAGGCCTGCTCTGGATGCTCTGGGACCTGGACAGACACATGTACAAGGAAGTAAACACGTTCTTTAGAGTGCTGTCGTCCCAGAGGACACTGACCTTCAAATATAAAGGCACAGCTACATTATCTGTAAGCAATCTGCATCATCCCATCCAAGCACATTAGCCCCTCACTGATCAACTACAGTCACCTCAAGCTGTGTCACTGGAAACAGAAAACTCAGAAGAAATGCACTTGTGGGGAGCAGGGAACACAAAGTGCCCTTCCTATGGTCATCTGTGGGCTCCATGAGGGCAGGAGCAGCCAGGCAGCTCTTCCCTGCCCCCCACTCCCTGCCCCTGGCTCTCCACATTGAGAAGAACCTTCCATGGGAGCAACACTCCCAGCCATGAAAGGACTAGGTCAGGGAATCAGGCGGGAATTTGAAAAATCAGCCCTAGATTTGGCAAGCCAGGATTCCCTTCCTCCAGCTCCTTGAGGAGATGAACCCTGTTCTCAGGGTGGCCCTTATTCTCACCAGTCACCAGCACCACCCCAGTGCCTGCAATATCATGGGCTCAAGATAAACATAAAAATATATTTCTGTACTATATATGTATTACTATAATATACATGTATTATTATAGAATATACATATAAACAATATACATAATATACATTTATTATTATGTGTAAATAATAAACATGTGCTGTGCAAATGAAGAAGTGAAAACATAAATGAATTAAACACACACACACACACACATATTTGTTCTGACCTATCTGTCTTGTTCCCCAGGAACCTAGGCTCTGTCTTGGGTTACCGTCTGTCAGTTCATCTGCTTCTCAGAGACTTTGAGACAAGGCTGGTTATAGAAACAACCCTGAGATTTTTCTGCTCAAAAATTACCTCCTGCTGGGGCTCCTCACCCTTCGTCAGTAGCACGCTATTGCCATGGCTCTGGTTCACAGCGTTATACATACACTGAGTTTGTAATCAGAATCTAGCAGAATCTATTTTAAATACATGGGGACTACAGTACATATGAATATGCTAATCAGCTAAGCTTAATAGTTCTCATTTGTATTAATGCAGATTAGGCAGCTGCATTTCCCACCAAATATTTTCTTTGGTATTTACTGACGAAATCAAGGTCCTGCTAATAAGTTCTAATATTTAATCTAAAAGCTCTAAAGAAGGTGCTTTAGTTGAGTATAATCTAATTTCACTGAACAAAATTGCATCTAAAAGCAATATAAAGTTACAATTTGTTCCTTGTCAAATAGTAAAAATGGCCTTTAAATTTTACATGGTTTTGACCTTTGGTTTTTGCGTTTCAATTAAACTTCCCTCAGAGCCCAGTGGATCAAATGTTCCCTGAGTGCGAATTAGGTCCTAGCAAGAGGTGCCTACTGGCCCTCTGTTTCTTCCCTTTGCAAACTGACATCTGTCTCCCTTTTGAAGCAGAGCAGAAATTTTCTCCCTCAATGGCTGGAGCAGAGGTAAACTGAAATATTAGGTCTGGCTAATATTTTGTCTCTGGACACCTGAAATTTCTACGAGTCAATCATCTAAATCCATTCCTGAATCAGCACACCAACGTGCAAGCCACCCTATAACTGGTCTGAGAATGACCCATCCTCTCCACTAAGCCATTTTTTAGCAAGGATTTTACCTTTGCAATACCTGTTGACATCTTGTATTATACTCATGCTTCATAAGAACCCAGGGATCCACAGGAGAGGTCATCATTTAACTTCTGACAGAATCAGATGCTCAGGTGTGAGAGACTGTGATGCCACCCAATATCCATTCTCCTCTCCCTTCTTGGTAAGAGTCCTATTTTTATTTAGGGCAATGATGTCTCCAGCTGTATACTGCATTTCCCAGTCTTCCTTGCATCTAGTGAAACAAAAAAACAGAAAAAGTCTTGGCATTGTATGTAATGAAACTATGGCATAGTAGAACCACCATACTAGCCCTGGCTACTACCTCTAGGCATCCTTTAGAAGACTGAAAGAAACCAAATGTGTTTTTCTGTTAAATGCAGCTGAAACAAATCTTGACTCTTGTAAAATTTATGTAGCACAGTTCCTGGCACGTAAGTACAAAATAAATTATAACAATTTCTCAGGCATCTGCTGGATGATCAGTTCAAATGATACTTCATGGAAACCAACCAAGTGCTCAGAGACAGAAAGAGAGAGAAGAGATAACACCTGCATATCTACAAAGATAAAGCAGAAACTGAGAACTGTATGTATTACCTAATAAGAAGGATAGTAAATATTTACTGGGTTTATAAGCAGCAAGCACTACTCTAAACATTTTACATGTATTAACTCCTCTGTATTCTCAACAATTAATACAGCACTAGGAAAACTGTGGGTCCACAATAAATGTGTTGAATAAACAAACGACAGAAAGCCAGACAACATCCTGCTTATCTGGATCTGAGCCTGACCTGCTGACTACCCTGAGCGTGATCTAGATTAAGTGACACACAAACTCTTCAGGCACACAGACAGCATATCCCTATGACCGTGGTTCCTCCAAGGTCAGGATCATTTTATCTCCAGCGGACTGGGGAATCCGTGTGTGCAAGGAATGTATCTCTTTCCTCAAAGAGAGAATTTCACCAGTGTATCTCTTTCTTGAATTTGAAAAATATATAGCACTCTTAAAGATTTTGCCATCTCTGTAACCTAGGTGGTTCCAGAATGAAGACATTGTCAGGGCACAGTATTGAAGGTGGAGGGGCCTCCAGGGGCCATCTGCCACAACATAGGGCCAGGCTCAAGCAGGAAGTTCTGGAGTTTCTGTAATAACCTACCAAGAACTGGGCACTTGCACGTGTGCCATCACAGTTCATGGTTACAATGGCCTCGTGAGTTACAAGGCCATTTCATGCAAAACACACTAAGGATTAGAGACATTGTGACTTACTTCATTCATCCAAACTTATTAAGCACCTACTATCTGCTAGGCATTAACTTCAGGGGATGTAAGAGAAAATACGGGCTATTACTTTAAGGAGCATAGACTTCAGTGAGGAAGATAGACACATAAACAAAAATCATATCTTGTGACTGTTGCTGTAATGAAAGTATCAGTTATTATGGAGACATATTGGGACTAGCTCACAGAAGACTGGCTATTAGTGCTCGGGCACAGATTGGGGCAGAGATAGGAGGCAGAAGGGAGGTAGTCCAGGAAAAGAGTACGGCTATACAAAGTATGATAAAGAAAGTGCAGTTATACAAAGTATGATAAGGAAAGTGCAGTTGGTGTAACTGGAGCATATGTCTGATGGCTTCGTTATGTTTTGATTTGGTAGGATGAACTACATTTTTCATAATGTTCTTTATTGTGTGTTTCTTTATTGTATGTTTCTAATTGTGGGGCCACAAATGAAATTCTTCGGAGAATTTGGAGAATAGGGAGGCAGAAATGAAGCAGTAGCCATTTTGTAGCTCACACATATTATTGCTTAACTGTTTATTTACTTCAATGGCATGGAGCAAGTTCTCTCCCTTCCCTTGGTACTCCTTAGTTCCACTGGCTCCTCTAGCTGTGTTTGTTTAGCTCCATGATGGAGGGCTCAAGATGCTTGTTGTTACAAAGGTCAGAGGCAACAAGTATGAACACAACAGCCTGTGCTCACGAAGTCTCAGCTTGTGCTTATGGGTTGCAGCCTGCTCATGACTTTTCTTCCCCAACTACCTGCTTTTGGACCTCAGTCTCTGGCATTAGATGAGTTGACAGCCTTACAGAGACTGCTTAACCAGTTCCCACAATTGTGTAGCCCAGTAACAAATCCTTACATATATACATATATATATATAAATACACACACACACATATATATATATACACATGAATATATCTCTTACTGGTTTTTCTTCTGTAGCTGAACTCTGACTAATAAAGAATTTGGTATCAGAAGTGGGATGCTACTTCAACAAACACCTAAAAATGTGGCAGTGGCCTTCAGACCAGCACTCTACCCAGGCAGTGGGTAGAGATTAGAAGAATTTGAGGAGCATAATAGAGAAAGCTTAAATTGCCCTGAATAGGCTGTTAGCAGAAATATAGAAACAAGAAGCCTGTCAGTAAGAGCTCATAAGCAAGGAAGGAACATATTACTAGAACCTGGAACAAAGAGGGGTCTTTATTACATAGTGGCAGAAATATCAGCAAAATTGTCATCTACTTTAAGGGGAAAGCAAAGCTTGTAAGGGGTAAACCTGGTTATCCAGCTAAAGTGATTTCCAAACAAAGTGTTGAAGGCACTGCCAGCAGCATCTTGCTGCTAATAGTGAAATGTGAGAGAAAAGAGGTAAATTGAGGGAAGAACTGTTAAATAAAAAGAAAGCAGGACTTGATGGTTTTAAAACTTCTCAGCCTCTCCAGGTGGCAAAAAATGCTGAAACTAAGAAATGACTTCTGAGCAGTCAGGAAAACATGGAATATAGATGAGACCACTCCCTTCCTGGAGCTTCCTGAATCACCTCATAATAAACTATTTGTTTCTGGTTCTAATTTATGAGTAACCAATCTAAAACGCATCCTTACTTGTTTTTCTAAATTTCAGGGACTTGAAGCTCAACCACATACTTCCTCAAATTCCAGGCCTCTGACCTTGATAATAAGACTATTCTGCAGAAGCTGGCTGCACCATTGTGCAGCTGAAAACACACACCTAGCCCAAGAGCCAGAGGGCCTGAGGTAGGGCCCAAGGAAGGTAGAGACATTTTTCACTGACCTAACCTTCACCCTACTCTTGTGATATTCTCACTCAGTGCCTTCTATAGTCTTTTCCTTAAGTGTATCACAAAAACACTGGTATTGGCCAGGGCTCCTCACTCACCTCTTCCAGGAAATTTTGTATAATCCTATGTCTTGACATGGACACATTACTCACTGTATTTCAATCCCAGCCCTTCCCCCTAAACTACAGCTTATCTACCCAACCTCCCCCTGGAAATCTACACTATGGTGTTGCAAAGGTAGCAACTCACATCAGAACTCATTCATTCTCTCTCTCTTTCTCTCTCTCTTTCTCACACACACACAAACACACACACATATCCCAGAGAAAATACCTTTTCCAACACACCTGGTCTATGAGACCAGACCACCTGGATTTGAGCCCTGACTCTAACATTTCCTGACTTTGAAACCTTGAACAAGTATCTGTTTTCACCTCCCTATGTTGCAACTTCTTCACATGTGATTGAGGTTAATAGTTCTTACCTCATTAGGTTATTGTAAAGATAAAATGAGCTCTATATGTAAAACAGAAGTGCCTGGCACATATTATACTCTCCATAAATTTTAGCTGTCAATATTGTTACTATATGATGAATTACATCACTCAATAATCCAAGGAATAACCCTTGAAATCCCCTACTGCCCTGCAATCCACACGTATCCAATTGATCATCAAACTCATTGGTTCTACCTCCTAAACATCTTCCTAATCCATTCATATTTCTCCATCCCAGCTGTTACCTCTTTAGTTCAAGCCTTCATGGTTTCCCCATCAATAAGGATCAGTGTATAACTGTCATGGCCCCCTACCTGGGTTTTATGTGAACCATAACCAAAACAACCCCACCCCTCTGTACCTATGGCCAAATCCCTTCTCCACACTGTAGCCAGAATGTCTTTCTAAACTAAAACTCTCATCATGTTTCTCCCCTGATTAAGAAGCCTTAAGAATAAAATCTTGGCTCTTTATGCCCTTCCTTCAGTGCTCCCTGCTGTCAACCCCACCCTCACTCTCTTGCATCCTACAATCCAGCCACATCGGACTCTTGGAAAATTTTGAACTGTATAAACTCTTAACGTGTCCTTCCTCCTACAGTCTTTGGTGCTATTAAACAAAACTAGAGCCAGACAGTAGTTAAAGCAGTGAAAACAGATTTCATTCAGGAACTACAGTGATAGGGGAAAAGAGACCTCAATATAGAACTGGGCTCAATTTTGAATATAGCAAGGACAAGTGGGGATTTATAGCCAAGGAGCAGGGTGGGTGTGAAAGGTAGGTGGTTGGAAAATTACTAAGAAGAGACATCAAGGGTAGGGGAATTCTTTCTAAACTAATCTAACGAGATCTTTGCTGAAGGCAAGTCTGGGTGATCAGATATCAAGGATGGAAGATGAAGAATTTAATCAGATATCAAAGGTGGTCAGATGTGGAGCTGGAGAAGCCCTTCCCAAACTTACTTAGTAGGATTCTTTTTTTTTTTTTTTTTTTCTGAGACGGAGTCTTGCTCTGTTACCCAGGCTGGAGTGCAGTGACCCAATCTCGGCTCACTGCAAACTCCACCTCCCAGGTTCAAGCGATACTCCTGCCTCAGCCTCCCAAGTAGCTGGGATTACAGGCATGCACCACCACACCCAGGTAATTTTTATATTCTTAGTAGAGATGGGGTTTCACCATGTTGGCCAGGATGGTCTCAATCTCTTGACCTCGTGATCCGCCCGCCTCAGGCTCCCAAAGTGCTGGGATTACAGGCGTGAGCCACTGCACCTAGCCACTTAGTAGGATTCTTGATAAAACTGATCTATGAAAGTTCAGTAAAAATTGGAGCCAAAGTCTAGGCCAGTTGAGAAGAGGTCTCAGGGGAGCCTTATCAAAGTCTGATCAAGGAGAGAGTCTTTGTCAGTGGTAAAATAAAACAAAAGAGGGGATTATTATAGCAAAGACTAAATTTGTATGTGGAAATCTAATCTCAAATGTGAGAGTATTTGAAGGTAGGGGCTTTGGGCAGTGATTAGGTCATGAAGGCAGAGGACCTCATGAATAGGACTAGTACCCTTATATAAAAGGCCCCAGAGAGATCCCTTACTCCTTCCACCATGTGAGGACATGACAGAAGAGGTGGCCATCTATGAACCAGGAAGCAGGCCCTCATGAGACACAAAATCTGTTGACACCTCAGTCATTGTCTTTCAGCCTCCAGAACTGTGAGAAACACATTTCTGATGCTTATAAACCATCCAATCTATGGTACTTTGCTATAGCAGCCTGAATGATCTAAGACAGAAAATTGATACTCAGAAGTGAGGTACTGCTATACCAAATACCTAAAAATATGGAAGCAGCTTTGGAACTGGGCAATGGGCAGAGGCTGGAGAGTTCTGGGACACATGCCAGAAAA
Source organism: Homo sapiens (assembly GCF_000001405.40). NCBI lineage: Eukaryota > Metazoa > Chordata > Mammalia > Primates > Hominidae > Homo > Homo sapiens. Next base: position 37,767,446 of record NC_000018.10, on the reverse strand, counting down.
AGCCAACATTGTTGTAACAGATCTTTAAGGGCAATTCTAGTGAGAGCTCAGAAAGAAAAGAGATCTGTAGAGAAAGCCTCAATCTTCTTAGAGAATATCTAAGTAATTCTGAACTGAATGATGGTAGAAATATGGCTGGTAAAGGCCATTCTGATAAGGTCTCAGACCTCATCAGAAATGAGGAACTTATTGGACAATAAAGGAAAGACCATCCTTATTATAAAGTGGCACAGAACTTGGCTGGATTGTGTTCATGTCTTAGTGTTTGGTGGAAGATAGAACATGCAAGCAACAGAACTGGAAATTTGGCGGAGGAAATATCTTTAAAAGTATTGAAGGAGTGGCCTAGTTCCTTTTGACTGCTTAGAGTAAAATGTGAAAAGAAAGAAATGACTTACAAACAGAATTATTAATCAATATGGAAACTGAACCTAAAGAATTGGAACATTTTCAGAATATCTGCATTGAAAATAATGAGAAAGACTACTCAGGAAAGAATACTAAGGGTGTGGCCAAATAACTGTCCAATAGAGATTAGTCAGTCATCTCAAAAGAAGCTACAAAAAAAAAATGCAGAGGAGTATCCACCTGCATTGCCCAACACTGCCTCACATCACTGGCTTCACTCCCCACACTGCAACTCCAAGCAATTCAGCCACCCCAAATTGTGGCTTCAGTGGGCCCTAGTCGGGGTTACCCTGTATCCAGCAAAGCTTTGGGGATGTGGTTACCTCCACCTAGATTCCAGAGGATGAGCTGACTGGAGCTGCTGGCATGGAACCCAGGCAGAGGGCCACTGAGAAGTTTGGGACCACCACAAATATACCCCATTAGGGCAATGCCCAGCAGAACTGTGGGGGTGAGTCCCCCTAGAGACCCTACACCTGTAGAGCCTCCAGCATACAATCGCAGCCTGGAAGAGCATCAGGCACACAACTCCATCCCATGAGAGCTGTGGCAGAGGCTGTGCCCCAAGCTGAGACAACAGGGCTACCCAGAGCCTTGGGGGCTCAACCCATGTCCAACAAAGCTGCAGAGGCAGAACTGCTGTCTCAGTCGGTCTAGAAGACAGAACCCCCACCACCGTATGCCTAGAGAGCAAAGCATCAAGCCAAGGAGACTTAAGGCATAATGTAATTTGCCTGTTGGGTTTTAGACTTGCTCAGGACCTCTTCCTACTTTCTTCTTTCCTATTTCTCCCTTTTGGAAGAGGATTGTCTATCCTATGTCTGTCCCTCCATTGTATCTTGGAAGCACAGGACATGTTTGATTTCACAAATTCACAGCTAGAGAGGAATTTGCCTCAGGATGACTCATATCTTGAGTCTCACCCACATCTGAATTAGATGATATTTAGAAGATAGTTTAGACTTTGGGCTTTTGAATTGACAACATGTGAGAAGTACATTAATTTTGAGGGGCCAGAGTGAAATGCTATAACTAAATATTTGCATCTCTCCCAATGTATGTGTTGAAACTCTATTCCCAATGTGATGGCATTTGGAGGTGAGGCCTTTGGGAGGTGATTAAGTGACTTAGAAATGGGATTAGTGCCCTTATAAAAGAAGGCCCAGAGGGATCTCTCACCCCTTCAGCCATGTGAGGTTACAGTAAGAGGACAGCTAGCTATGAACCAGGAAGCGGGCCCTCACAGAACACTGAGTCTGCAGGCACCTTGATCTTGGACTTCCCAGCCTCCAGAACTTTGAGAAATAAATTCCTGTTGTTTATAAGCTACTCAGTCTACAGTACACTGAAGCCCAAATGGACTAAGATAACCCCTATACTCTTAAGTGTCCCAAACAGCAACAGGTGAGTGAGGAGGTGTTTGGTTGGAGTCCTAGGTGGGAGAGGCAGGCTGGGTAGCAGGTGATCCAGGAGCAGTGGTACACCTGGACCCTGGACTGCCCTGGCCTGCTTCAGAAGGCCACTCCTGGCTGAGTGTAGCCCCAAATTCCATTTTGCTTGCTTGCAAGGCAAGGGATAACTCTGGCAAAAAGGTTAACTAGTCTAATCACAGCAAAGGTCAGGACCCCAGTGATGGAAGCAGACTTTTCCTGCAAGAGTGGAGGACATCTCCATAGGAGAAGCAAACCGAGGCACTCTGATAGAAAGGCTTTTATGTTATAGGGTTTGAGTTTCCTTTTTTCAACCTTCCAGGAAAAAAAAAAAAGTAGTCAAGAGGCTGTCAGGCAGCTCAGTGTCTCCATTAGAATTCAGAGTATTCCACGGTAATTACAAAACAGCTGTAATGGAAAATTGGTAGTCAAACCCATTTTCCAGCGACTAGAACGGTGAATGGGCTCCATTATGTTCCTAATTCTCATTAACTTAATTTGCATAGGAAATAATGAAGGAATACATAATGAGGTACAGTGGGCAAGCAGCCCAGCCCTGGCCCCCACGGTGCTGGGCTCAACCCACAGTGACCCACCCCAAGGGAGGGAAGGCCAAGTGCTGCTGTTGGGCTGGACTCCACTGGGCAACCTGAGGCTGCTGCCCTGAGCTAGTCCAAAAACTAGCGAGGTGGAGGATGACTGCTTGCCTGTCACTTGCCCAGGATCACCTTGCCTCAGCACGCCCAATGCAAATCCTATTTCTTCTCTCCACTTCCCTCCCCTACTCTTGGTAAGGCTGAAGAACTGGAGCAGAAGGAGGAGGGAACTTGTTTTCGGGTAAGCAATTCCAGGCTTTGGCTGTGTGTGCACGCATGTTTCTCCCTACAAATCTGGTTTTAATTATAATTGGCCCTGGCAAAAGAATGAGATCAGCAGCTGGGGAGTGGGGTGGGGTTGGGGTGCAGAGATAGGCCTGAGCTGAGCCCTGGGTGCTTTTGAGGAAGTGAGGACAGCAGAGCCTAGCTCCAGTTTTGCTACCTTAAGCCATAGTGACCACATCAGACCAGATCTTTGCTGGTGGATTGAATGGAACTCGAAGTAAGGCAGAAACAGGTCACAGCCAAAGCTCAAAGCTCAAACAGCCAAGCTATCTCCAATTCCACCTACCAAGCTGTGACGGTAGTGGAAAGCCAGAAGTTCTTTGTGTTCTCTATTTTAACAAATAAAATTACAAACCAAAAAAGATAGTGGTACCTTCAACTCACAGTGAGTTTAGGCATCTATGATATTTTAGACACTATACTGGACTGTCTCAATGAATCTTTACAGCAAAACTGCCAGATAAGAATTATATCAATTTCATTGATAGGGAAACTGAAGCTCAAAAAATTTTATATGCTGATGGTTTAGCTCTTCACAGGCAAAGTCTGGTCTTATGGACCAGCTAGTCCAGCCAAGCTGATACTTCCCAAACTTTATAGCTTCACGACACTCATAGAAAATGATCATATTTGTATAGGGTACTCAGGGTGAAGAAGAGAGAATATGGAACCTGAAGAAGGCTGTCCCAAACTCCACTTGGTTGAGGGGATCAGTATTTCAACCCATATGTGTTGGAAACCTCAAGTCTAATTCATAGGAAAATGCTGGCCCCTTCCAAGAGCTACCAGGAAGGTGTATATGCCAGCAATATCCCAACAGTGTCTCACTTGATAAAACAAAAATGTCTGAAATCCCACTACTAGTTTGGGTTAATTATTGCCCTCTGCATATTTCTCTTTTTAAATGCATATCTCTGTAGGTGATGTATAATATTCATCCCATAAAGAAATGCAATGTAAGGAGCATTTAACTCAAAGTAAGAGACTCGGGTTTGTTTCCTAATTCTGCCACTACATAGCTGAAAGAGTTATGCAATTCATCAATTCATTTCAAGGGAGCTGGACCAGATAACTTTCCTTCTCTTAAAACTCTGCAAAGGTACCTATGTAGGCTTTTATCTTGAGGTGAGAATGGGAATGGGTCAGTGCTGTGCCAAATGCTGAAAGGAAGAATGGCATAGGCAAAGTGAATGAAAACAACCTTTTTTTCCAAAAATTAATCATTCCAAGCTGCTCCACACCAACCCTATTATCCTCATCATCTCCAACAGCAATTTCCTGAGAATGTACTAAGTTCTGGGCATCACACATATATGGTTCATAATCCCTGTAACAACACTATGAGATGGGTTTCATCATCACTGTTAGATATGGCACTGTCACGATAAGAGGTTGAAGCCATAGAGCTGGGTGTTTCACCTGCTCTTCATGTGCTTCTCTGTCTTACCTAGAGCCTGCACTTTCTTCACTTTTTGCAACAACTTGCTGCCTCTCCTTTACCTCCTTCTGAGCCTGGAGTGGATGACATGGTCTTCACCATTTCAGTGAACTCTTGATGCTCATGGTGAATTTGGGAGCACAAGTGTGTCCCATCTCATTGGCTCCCAATCTCATCCTCAGAGACACTACCTATATCCAAAATAACTGGAGATGATTTAAGCAGAACTTTTGGTTGACTTGACCAATTGGATTGGTTCTTCAGGTGCCATAGCCATGCATCCCAGACAGAGACGCCCTTGACAACCAACACAGCAATCCTTTGTGTCCAAGGCCAAGGAAAACAACTAGTCTGCATTCATGTGCACAAACTCTTGTCTTTCTGTTTGTGCCCACCAGAAATCAGTTCATACAGTGCTCAGTGTTTGTTGATTAATGAGTTGACTTACTGCCTTTATTAATAACCAAGACTATTTACTCTGTGCCTGGTATGTGGAATCATTTTATCAAGAGTTATAGAGAATTTTACATTTCTCTAGTTTGTAAAGCACATTTAGATTTTCCATCTCAGTCTTCATATTGTTCCTCAGGACTGCTTGCTTCAGACAAGGCACTGAGAGATGGTCTCCTTTCTTGATGCCAACCTCATGGCTTAGGGAGTTGCTGTAGGATATGGCAGGAAAAGCCCAAGAGACCAAGTTCAATGTTCTAATGTCATCCAACTTCATCCCTGATTTTAAAGAGAAATACCAGCTGGCCTATTTAACCAAGCACCAGTTCCAAGCAACTCCCACTCTCAAATGGACTGGCTTTTAGATTAGTTTTCCTGCAGGTTCTCCAAGCACTGTCCCTCATTTCCTATATATAAGAGAGCAAAGCTGAACATGTGCTAGAAAGATTCAGGGCTGGTTTGTTTGTTCCCTTCTTGGGTTCACTCAATGGCACTTACACACAGACAAAAACCCACTTGTGGCTGAAGTCTCCCACGCAGAGTTGCAGGCACGCAGCGTTCCCTCAGTAAAGTGCCTCTTGCTGTGTTCCTGGGAACCAGCACCGCACCACACAGCTCTGCCAACTGCGTCACTTTTAGATTCTGGGCTTTGAAACCAAATAAAAATTGATATGTGTGTAATCACATTTGTTTAATTAAAGTAACACATCTGTGCAGTAAATATTCCAGCACGAGCTGGTCAATAGCAAATCCTCAGCATGTACAGTAATAATTGACTAATGTAATTAAATGCATGTCAGAGTTTTAAAAGAAAATATAATGAGATTTCATCATTTTATATGTACAGGTAATTAGTTCTTAGGAATGTGAGTAAAAGCAAATTATCTACAGATTTGAACTATCAGCAGATAATTCAAATGACCTAGTTTGGGAGAGAAAATGGTATCTAAAAACTAGAGAAATTTAAACCAAAACAAGCATTTTTTTACTATTAAATCAGAAAGCTACGTTAAGAAATGAGAACGAATAATTTTGCTCAACATGTTTTCATGGAGCTTTTCTCTTTGGATGAGTTGTGCCATAGTGAGGGCACCAGATTGGAGTGAAGTCTCTTCTGGCCTCCTGGTTCATGCTCCTCTTCCAGCTGTCTAGGTATCCAGGAACTTCCTAGCCTCAAGTTCCAGTTCATTTTAAACAAATCTTTCCTTTGGTTTCTTCTGTGTTTAAGGTGACCCACTTCCTGCTGCTTCTCAACAGTTCCTATTTCGTCCAAGAGTTATCATCCCAGTTCCTGGATGGCGCATGCACATAGAGGGCTTGGGAAGGGCATTCCAAGAGTAGGGAACAATATGAGCAGATGATGCAAAGATAGAGAAAAGTACATGTCCTGTTTGGGAAGCAGAGAGGAGCTCAGTCTGGCTGGGGAAGAGTCCAGTAGAAGAGAAGGAGATGTGGCTGTCAAAATAGGCAAGGATATGATGGGCAGAAACTTGAATATCAGCCAAGAAGTTTGAGCATCATTCTCTGAAGGCCATATAAAGTTGCTGAAGATGCTGTTTTTTGCTACTTCACTCAATGCTAATCATGCCAAATGCTTCAAAAATCTCAACACTCAAATACAAACTAGCTGCTTGTAGAAACAGTCAAGTCCTCATCACAAAAACCTGGTCATTTTGATATTAGGGTTATTTTTCTCCATGATGAAAGCTATCTGTACACTTCTCTCTCCCACTGGGTGATGCCTCAATTTCTTTCCCTTCTCTAAACCCCTGCAAATGTTGACACTGCCACCTTAATGGTCCACCTTAGTGGCTTATCTTAGCAACTGTAGCTCTGGATTGTCAATCAGAGTTTTATTGCCATAGGCAGACTAAGCATGGGCAAGGACAGCATGAGCCTGTCCTGTGCATGTGAATTTAAATTTTCCATATGTATACACAGGCTGTTTAGCTTCATCTTTGCTGCCATGATTCTGTGTCAGGAAATAGCAGTGAGAGAACAGAATGACCATGATAAATGCAAGATTTGGCCATCGTTTGATACGACAGCCAGATGTTCCTCACTAGTTGGAGGGCAGAAGCTTTATGGAGTTTCATGGTTAGTGGCTGTACTGAGGGATATGCCACTCACTCCCTGGCTTGCACCCCTTGGGATCAGAGCCTTCCTTCTCTGGGACAGTTTGTGCTGGTGCATCAGTGACCAGAGCTAAGCGTCAATGTGGCCCCATATTTACAGCTTAATAGTTGGCAGTTAATAGTTCCTACAACAGCAACAAAAAATGCAATAACAATAGTAATAAAGAGGAAACCTATAAATTAAAAGACACAGGCATATCAACCAAAAACAATGTACTTATTTAACAAATAACAAATAACTTATTTGGATCAAACAAACTGAAAATTTCTACATATAAAACAATTGGATAAATAAAATCACTTGCTAGATACTTGTGCATAAGGAATTTTTAAGTTTTAGGTATAACAATTATGTCATGGTTTTAACCTGTCAATCTTTTTCAGCAAAGCCCTTACATTTTAGAGATACAAACCAAAACACATACAGATGTTAGGATATAATGATGTCTGCATTTCCTTCAGAATAATCAAGGAGAGGGAGGAAAAAGGAGTCAGTAAGGTTATGAATGAAAAAAGAATGTACTGGTAATTGTTGGAGCTGTGAAATACACACATAGGGCTCAATATACTAGTTTCTTGACATCTATATATATTTAAATTTTTCATTTAAAAATTGATGATAATTCTGATTTTTAGCTAGCCAAAGAGTGAAGACCTTCTGGGTTGCTAATTTATGGCTAGAGTTTGAGGTTGAACTGAGGCTGGAGCTCTGGTTCCATTTGTGGCTAGGGTTATAAATTTATAATTTATCAAGTATGGAGCAATCTACGACCAAAGAAAGAATCCAGGAGTGGTCAGACAAAATATAAAGTGGATGATCATGATTATGGGGTAACTTGGGTCTGGTCTTGAGATCAGTCTGTGGCCAGCTTTAGAGATTGGTACAAAGCTGGAATTAAGAAGAAACTGTAGCCAAAGTAGGAGGTCATTCTTTCTGGAATTAAAGATGGTCTATGCCATCAATTACAGAATTATGTATTTCCAGAGCTAAAATTCAAACATGTGACCAAAGGGAGAGGAAGTTTTAGATTTTCTCTGTGGTGATGTGGGGTAGATGGCATGTTGGGTCTGGTATGACATCATATCAGTGATTGATAAGATTTAGAAGCCAGTGTGTTGAAGTCAGGATTAACTATGAATGATTTCAGGGAGCTTATTTGTGACTGGGGTTAAGGGAGTCTACAGTTCAGTTTCTCACTGGGGTTTTGAGGTGGTTTTACACTCTAGGATGCACAATTGGTATTACCCGAGGAAGGAGGGTAAGTAAAAATGTCAATAACTAGGCCCTACCTAAGGCCATTGATCCTGGAACTCTGAGGTCAGGGCCAAGACTTTGATGAGAAGCCCTAAGTTAGAGTGTCACAGAGTGACCAGACTAAGATATCCTTTACATCTGAAGTTAAAAGGTGTTCTGTGACTAGAGTTTCAAGTGTAAGGAGTTAGGCAGTGGCTACATAATAGAGAAATATGTGGGCCTCCAGAATGATGCAGCCAGTCTACTTTTTTTTTTAGCACTGTGCTAATCCTGGGGTCCCTGATTCAGACCACCCAAGAAGCACACATAAATAATGTGGTTCCTTGATTTAAAACAATGCTTCTGACCTACCTATGTAGCACATATTGGAGTCTTTTTACCTGAAGCAAGAACAGGTTTCTCCACTGAGAAGACCAAGGTCTAGAGCCTATCACCATTCAAGATCATGGATAAATGGTCCATTAGGAAACCGAACCTCAAATCATGGCCTCAGTTGATTCCTGCGCCAGCCCACTTAGCTAACTCACCTAGCAAGACCTTACCAACAACCCTATATAGAGTAAAATATATGATAAGCAATGGGGCTGAATGGAAAGAAAGTCATGAGTATTATAAATTTAAATGATAGAAGGAGGGTCTCTTAGTCCGTTTAGTGTTGCCCTAACAGAATGCATGAGGCAGGATAATTTATAAAGAAAATAAGTTTATTTTGCTCATGATTCTGATGGCTGAAAATTACAAGATTAAGTAACTGCATCTGGTGAGAGTCTCCTGCTGCTTGAATTCACGGTGGAAAGTGGAAGAGGAGCCAGCATGTGCAAAGAGATTGCATGGGAAGAGAAAAAGCAACAGAGAAAAATCAAGGAAGTGAGACTCCTTTTAATAACCTGCTCTTATGGGAACTGATACAGTTTGGATGTTTGTCCCCTCAAAATCTCATTTGGAAATAAGATTTCCAAAGTTGAAGGTGGGGCCTGGTGGAGGTGATAGCAACGTGGGGCCAGATACCTCATGAGTAGTTTAGCGCCATCCCCTTAGTGATAAGTGAGTTCTTGCTCAGTTAGCTCACAGGAGATCCGGTTGTTTAAAAATGTCTGAGAACTCCCTCTTCTCTCTTCTGTCTCTCTTGCTCCTGCACCCACCATATGATGCCCCTGCTCCCCCTTTGCCTTCAGCCATGATCGTAAGCTTCTTAAGGCCTCACCAGAAGCAGATGCTTCCTGTACAGCCTGCAGAACCATGAGCCAATTAAATCTCTTTTCTTTATAAATTACCCAGCCTCAGGTATTCCTTTACAGCAATGCAAAAATGGACTAACACAGGAATTAATTCATTCCCATGAGAACTAAAACTCACTCACCCACAAGGGAGTACATTTCTATTCATAAGTAATCTACCCCCATGACCCAAACACCTCCCACGGAGTCCTGCCTCCCTACACTGCCACACTGGGGATCAAATTTTAACGTGAGTTTTGGTGGGGCAAACAACATCCAAACCATAGCAAAGGAAGAGAGGAAAGATGTGTCTCCTAACTTTTCCTTAATTAGTAAATGCTTTCTTGAAGAGGTAAAATTCTGCAACCCAAAACGTTGCTATGGATTCCATTTAATTAGTCTATGACATGCTTAATGTACGCCTATTTTTTGTACCCATGAGGGTGTCTAAGTCATAGCTCTGTTCATAAGAAGCTTGTAACCTAGGACAGCAGGGGCTCAGAGTCAGCTGAACAGGAAAGACCTGAGAAATGATGTGAGTGGACTAGGTTGCAACACCACTAGGTTGATGGTCCCTGTTGGCTCACAGTTCTGTAGGCTGTACAGGAAGTCTGGTGCCAGCGTCTGCTTCTGGTGAGGCCTTTGGAAGCTTATAGTCATGGATGAAGGCAAAGGGGGAGTAAGTGCATCACATGGCAGGAGCAGGAGCAAGAGAGAGAGAAGGGGCAGGTCCCAGACTCTTTCAAACAACGGGATCTCCCATGAACTAACTGAGCAAAGCTCACTTATCACCAAGGGGATGGTGCTAAACTATTCATCACTATTCCAAGGCTCCAAATGGTCTTCCAGCATCTCATTGAGAAGAATAGTTAATCATTTTTTCCCTCTTAGACAGCTTCTGGGACCAAGAACTGGTCAGAATGCTTTTTATACCAATCCTGAGACCACCAGGAGGCACATTTGACCTCCTTTAAGGTGGCCTGCGTGCTATCGAAATCCTGACCTGGGTTCTGGCAACATCGAGAAAAAGCACAGAGAAAAGGTAGCTATGGGATGAAATGTTCCAAGAGAAGGAGCTCAGAGAAATGGAAGGTAAGGTAAGTTGACTGGTGTCACTGGAGATGATAAACACTGTAGTTGCCTACAAAATGCTATCACTTTTCCTTCCTACAAATAGAAATCCAATTTAATTCAGGGAGGCAATGCATTCAGTTTCAAAGACCATTTCCTGGCCTTCATTGCTATTAGAGGTGATCATGTAACAATGTAACTAATGATATATTAGCAAAATTCTACTGGAGAAATACATAAAGCACTCCTTCCTCCTTTACACACATACTTCCCAAGTTCCAACGCATTTTTTTTCTTGCAGCAAGGAAAAGAGCATTGAAATCACCAGTTGATACACAATAACATCCTTGAGTCTGTTCCAGAATTGGATGCACTCTTCTGAATCATTCTTCTCCAGCTAGTGACAAGGAAAGAGGCATTTTCTAGGTAGGAGTGTCTTAGTCTATTCACACTGCTAATAACAAAATACCATAAACTGAGTTACTTATAAAAGTTATTTACACAGTTCTGGAGACTGAGAAGTCCAATATCAAACAGTTGCAGATTTAGTGTTTGGTGATAGCCTGTTTTCTCCTGGCTTGAATCTTCTCACTCTGTCCTTACATAGTGGAAGTGACGAACGAGCTTTCTTGGGCCTCTTTTATAAGGGCACTCATCCCATCTATAAGGGCTCTGCCTTCATAATCTAATCACCGCCCACCTCTTAATACCATCACATTGGGGTTTAGGATTTCAACCTATGAATTTTGGATATTCAGACCCTAACAGAGCCACTACTAGGTCTATGCTAGAGCCTTGGATGGTGCTATGACCCCACCATGCTAGCCCGAACCATTGCAAATTGCCATCGCACATTGCCATCCAAGCAGTCTTGACAGACGCCCTGAGCATCAGAAGAAGCACCTCTTTCCCTAGTGCTTCCTCAACCACAGCAACAGCAGGAAAAGGACATAAGTGACCCATACCTCACCTTACCTGTGAACTTGTGACGTCTACAGTAGAAAAGAGGAAGGGTGTACAGACGACCTGCAGAAGCTTATTTAAGAATGTCAATGGATGTGGCGAGGGCTATGGCAAGAGCTAGGACATGCTGGATTCTAGGTTCTGAATGAAACCCTTCCATCTTCCTGTTGAATTAGCTGAGGTCATAGTAAGTCAAGGATCTAGAAGTCATGGCTAGCTTCAGAGTGTGTCCAGTGATATGTGAGAGTCACTAGACCATGAGGCTACAGAGGTAGACCAGACACCAATGCCGGAGTTCCTTGTGCAGTCAACAAAGAGGAGGTCTTGACTGAGTAAAAACTGGCCAAGGGGATGGGAATAGATCTTCATTGTCTCTGCTTACCAAGGTTGGACCTCAGAGAATAACTTTCCAATTCTCCCTCCAAAAGAAGCAAGAGCCAAAGGCTCTCACACAGGCTGTGTTAGGTTGGACACAAGAACTGGGAATGGAGGAAAGCTGGGTGGCCTCTGATAGCAAAAAGTAGAGCAAATGGGAAATAAAGTCTGCCATTTTAAAGGCCAACTCTAAATAGCTAAGTAAGGGCCACGAAGTCCAAATGAAGAAGGGAGAATCAGAAAGATTCTCTTGTCTCCAAAGAGAAAGGACCTCAGCAGAGGGCAAGCAAGATGGAAGAATTAGGTTCCAGAGGGAGGAGTCTGTCCTAGCCCATAGTGAGAAGATATTGTGACAGCTGAGTTCAAATAACAACAATCCTGTGTAACCATTATTATTATTACTTGATAAATATTATTATTAGTACCTATGAATGCAGATGAAGAAGCTAAAGGTCTGCAAGATGCACAGTGAGGCAAACGGCAAACAGCATAAGAAAGAGCAAAGCTCCAGCTTGCATGTTCTGCACATGTATCCCATTTTTTAGAATAAAGAAAAACTTTAAAAATGTTTTAAATAAATAAAAAATTTAAAAAAGAAGATCAAAGCTACAGCTGCAACACCAAAGCCCGAATTTTTTTCTTTTGTGTGTGCGTGTGGCCTTAATTCCATGCTGAAACATGGTCAGAGAAAGAGAAAAAGAGAGGGCACCTATGTGTTGGGGAAAGTGAATGAGAAGGAAGAGCGTCACCCAGAAGAAAATGATGATAATAATAGATAGTCCTGAATGTCTAACTGAGAGGTTTTCTGTTGATTTGACAATAAAGAAGATCCACTGTAACTCCTTGAACCAGGGCAGAGACCACAAAAATGGTGTTTGGGGATGTTTAATCTTGCAGGGAGAACTGGAAGATAAAAGCCTGGGGAACAGGGCACTCAGGCTTCAAGAATCAGGGTTACCTGTGTTCCCTCCTTGGCCACTGAGTCAAGAATAACCAAATTGTTTCTTCGTCAATTTCCTTTTTCAGGCTTGCTGTTTCCTGTTTCTAAGAGAGAACGAAGGTTACCAGTTATGATCATTTGTATTGGGATTCGCACCTCTGAGAGAAGTTTCTCCTTTAAAACATAGCAACATGTTCAATCCTCATTGGTCCTCATTTCATATGAAAGAGAAATGTCACAAGCAACATTCTCACCAGCTACATTAGGGGGCTGAAGTTAACCTCCCATCTAAAGAGGAAAATCCTACAAACAGCCAAATGTGGCAGACAGCCCTATATGTTACAAGATGGGAACTTCTTGAATAAGAACTTGGAATTGATGCTGCCAGGGTCTCCTCCAACTGTGATAATATGAGGATGAGATTCTAATTTTTTTAATATCAGGTCCAGCCTTCTGCCTTTAAGCAGACCTGCACTCTTGGAGGAAGCTCAAATTCCTGTTTGCCAAGGCTTTCTGCATTCCAGGGACTTGGCACTTGCTGATTCTTCTTCCTGGATGGCTCTTCTTGCTCTTTGCAAAGCTGACTCATTTTCTTCTTCCAGGTACTTGCCTGAAATGTCTTTTGCTCACAGAGGGCTTTCTTGACCATGTGCTTAAGTGGATCACCCTGTTTTTTTCTCATGATAGAACCCTAGTTATTTCCTACATGAATCTTACTACACTCTGACAATTGTATATATTTGTTTACTTTCTTAGTGTTTATCTTCCCAATAAACTCCATGCTGGATCCCCAGGATGTAGTAGTGTCTGGAACATAATGGGTAACCAAGAAGTGCTGGAGGGATGAGGATAGATGCTTAGATGGATGGATGGATAAGTAGATGGATAGATGGATGGATGGATGATGGGTGGAGGGATGATGGATGGATTATGGATAGATGGATGGACGGATGGATGCATGGATGGATAGAAGAATGAACAAATATTTCATTAAGTATGTCATGTAAAAAGAAGGTTAGGAGGTCAAATGAGTTTGGAATATGTGTGCTCTTCCCTTCTTGGAGATTCACAGTGCACATTAGCATTTTAAAGGGTATGAAAATTCCCCAGGAAGAAAAAACTTACTTAATTTTATTTTACCCAGCATTTCCTAAAGTTATTTTAACTCAAAATACTTCTTTTTCGTGGTACACTTACTTAACATCCTGCCAAAGAATGTTCCTTGAAACACCAGTTTGGAAAATCTGCTCCTTTATAACCATTGCCATGTTGAATAGTAATTATTTTTTAACTCTCTTTCCAGGCTGTGAGGTCTCTAAAGATATAGACTGAGACTTACTCATCTTCATATCCTCAATGTACAGCACAGTGCCACGCACAGAGCAATACTCAGAAATAACTGAGTACCTGAGAAGGGAGGAAACAAGAGGGAGGAAGGCAAGAAGGAAGGAAAGGAGGGAGGAAGGGAGAGAGAATGTAGCTGGGTTAGTCCATAAGTAATTACTTCCTGATATGTACTTCAGTTGACTTTGAGGCAAATAGTAAAATGCTAATGATGACCTTACTATGTCAGAAGTCAGCATTACATTAACCATCTCAGATAAATTTTAGATTAATAGTTGACCTAGGGTTAGGATTTAGGGTTAATTCACAATAAAACCTCCCTGTGTCTCCTACCCGCCTCCCCCAACACACACACATAGCATTCTTAAGCTGAACTCTCTCCTGTGTCTGAGAGTCAGATAATTATTATATCTAGAGACCACTAGCAACAGTGTTACATACTGGTTAAGAATATAGGTTTTGAAGGCAAATCCAGACTCCACCATTTACTAGCTGTGTGAACTTAGACAAAGTACTTAACCTTTCTAAGGCTCAGTCTCCTCCTCTGTAAAATGCAGATAGTAATAGTATATAATTATAGTGCTGTTGTGAATATTAACTAAGACTAAAATGATACGAGCTTAGGACAGCACCTATCATGAAGCAAGTAATCAATAAACTACTACTGCCTCCTGGAGGAAGACTCCCTTTCTGATACTGACATCAAGAGCTAAGGTAATTTATCTCCCGGGTGAATTGCCTTTAGAAGAATAGGTAGGGAAATGCTTAACTCAGAAGAACAGTGATAAAATTGTAAGATTTCAGGTCCACAGAAGGACGATTTCGGGGAATGGGGCTCTTCAAATCTTATACCAAGGTTCTATATCCCCTTTGAACACCTTATGAAATTGCACATGATCCTATTTCATCTAGCACTTTGTAGATGCCCTCTGCACCACAAGGTTGGTGAGAAACCAATAATAAGCACACTTTCTCTAGAGAAAATTCAACCCACACTGTGTAGAAATGCACCTGGAGCCAGCTTTGTCCCCTCCTTCTTTGTAATCATGTAGGATTCATTCCTTTTTTCTTCACTGCTCTTTGGGGTTTGTGAATTACAAACACAGGTAACTTCTGTATGCACAATGCCTGTATGTACCTCAGGGAAAGGAGGAATTGGAGGCGCCATGAAAGGCAGGACTATTCATGGTCTTGTCCTAGGGTGGTATTAAAGAGGGATGGGCTAGAGAGGGGGTATGGTTACAAATTTATCACCTATGCAGGGCTGAACACAAAATAAACACACAGGAAAGACTGAAATGAATTAAATACAAAAATACCATCCAACAATTATTATTTTTAAGGAGTATTCAGATTCAGAATAAAAACGATATTCTCCCTTTCTGATTTAAAATATGCCTCAGTTATGGCCCCAATAGAAGAGTTACCTGCTCAAAAGGCTGAAAGGAACTCAGACTCTAATATAGTCCCCCAGCCCCCAGACAAGATTCATGTTAAATCAGCTCAAATGGTCTTTACCTTTCTTTTAAATAAACTTTAAACTCGTCTAGAAAATCTCAGACTCTTAGAGGTGGAAGGTTCTCCTTCCTGAAATCCAACATCTTTGACAGATGGCTGTTCAGGCTTGGAGGGAGGAGGGGGATGAGTTCAAGAGCTTCATCCCACATCTCTGTTCTTTAGAAAGTTAGTTCTTGTGTCAAGCTGAAATCTGCTTCACTGTAACTTCCATCTGCTATTCCAGTTCTGCCATTTGGAGCCACACAGGACATGTCTGCTCTCTTCCATTTGATACCCTTTCATTCTTGACCTCCACCTCCCATTGTCTCTCCTCTGCACAAAACATCCCCCTTCTCTTTGAACATTCCCCACATGCTGTGGTTTCCATATTCTTTAATATGCTAATAGCCTCCCTATGAAGCCGCTGTTTGGTTATTGTCTGTCTTAAAATGTATCTTCTACAACTGAGTCCAAATGTCCTAGATATGTTCAGGCCCACATAGAGCACCAAGAAAATCAGTGGTGAAGAACAACAGCTTTTTCAGTCAGATATACTTGGTTTCATCATGTCCTAGCTCTGTGTCCTGGCCAAGTTAAACTCTTTGAACCTAAGTTTCTCCATTCATAAAATGAACATAATAATGTGGTTTTCAGGAGTTGTAGTCACGTATAAAAAAGCATTAAGCACAGTACTTGGTACATGGTTAGTGCAGCATAAATCGTGGCCACATAGAATGTTGATTTTTTTGTATTATTAGACATGATATTCCATTACTAGTATAAAATTTTAACAGCTATTCATGCCATTAATTCACAATGAGTCGGCCAAAACGTAACGTTTTTCTACAAATTATTGTCAAGAAACATCTCTCCTACCTTGTTTTTGTGCAACTTGTTATTTGAATCCAAATTCAGAATTTGTCTGTATTCATGTTTATCTTCTGGATCATTACTCCAACATACCAATGTCATCTTCCATGGGTAAAAAAGAAAAGATCCTCCCTTGGCCACAAGCCACAGGACTTGACTGCACACAAAGTCAGGAAGCTTTTCTAACATAAGCAGAACCCACGTGTAATTGGGGTCCTATTGCATCATGGTTTCTTTCCCCACCTGCGACTCCAGTGTCCAAACTTCCACTATCAGGAATTTGATGGGTTCATTCAACAAGTTAAAGGCATGTTTGTTGGGTGCCTTTTCCGTGGCAATGACTTCTCTTGACTGGAGCTATGCAGTGGATAAGGCAGGCAAGACCCCTACTCTTATCAAGTGTACATTCTGGAGGGGGAGGACAAGCAAGAAGTGCATATATCAGATAAGTATAGACCGTACATATTATGTTGTGAATAAAGCAGATGGCAAAATGGAGAGGGATGTGGGTGGGGAGAAGACCACTAGACTGGTGGTTCCAGAAGGCACCCCCTACCTAGAGCAAGACCAGGAGGTGCCAGACCCAACAGATGTACAAGTCAGCACTCCCCTGGTCTATTTGGTTGTTCCTTTTTTATAAATATGAAAGACACCAAAATGAATGTCATTAAAGGCAGTAAATTGCTCTATCTTCAAAGCTTCTAAAAGCCTGGCTCGAGTTGTCTACCCACAGTAAGCTCCTCTGGCTCATGCAACAGAGCCTTCTTTGCTGTTGCCAGGAATGACAGCAGTTTAGTGTGATAATCTGGAATATCACATGCTCTTTGGAAGTTAAGGGAGCAGTTAAAATGGGAAAACATATTTTTACTAAACTGGTTCTCTTGGGAAACAAAATCTTATGAGATCCATCAGAAGCTGGACACAGTAGGCCTACTTGGTGGGAAACAGTTCGGGCATCGTTTCTGTAGAGCTTGGAGCAGGTAGGGCCCAAGCTCATTCCCTGAATTGCTCTCCATCAGTGTGAGAGCACCATCCTCATGGGACTATCCGATTTCTCATGAAAAGAGGCCTCCCTCTTTTCTAATCAAAAGATTAGAGGTGCACTGGGGTAGGGCTTGTTGTTTAAGCCATTCTCTCCTGGGACTCCAGGTGTACTGCCACTAAGAGCAATTTGTCCTATTTTTTCCTCAAGATGGCCTCTTCCTACCTAAGTATAGGACTTCACTTTTTCTAAAGCCCCATAGGAAAAAAACATGAGAAAAGAGGAGACTAACAGTGCTAACTAACAAATACACCTTGGTCAGAATCTGGGGAGAAGCTCTACTGGTTCCATGAGCTCTGGAGCTGAGGCGGTTATTGATTGGGTACTTGCGCCTGACAAGGAGAACAAAGCCACAGCTTGAAAAGATGGTCTCATCTTTTCCTATGGAGTAAATTAAGTCGTGAATCAGAAGTCCAGGTCTACCTCATCTGACACTGGCCCATTCACCTGCTATTGCAGTGGGGCCTTCTTTCTCAGGTAATCAGGAGTTGTTTGGGCCCCTACCCATCCCCCAGCCCTCAAAATTCCTCACTGATGCATTTGACATATATTCTCAGGTTACACTTTCCCTGGAATAATACTGTGTCCACATTTACAGATATATCAGTATACACTTTTCCACATTTACAGATATGTAGGTGTAAATACATAGAAAACTTAATGGAAAGATTCATATAAAATGTTCACAGTAGTTACCTCTGGGGAAAGGGTTTGAGTTCAGAAAAGGGAGATCAAATAGAGTTTTTTATATATCTGTACAGTTTTAATATTTGGAAGAACAATGCTTTCAGAACTTACTTGTGCAATGGAAATTAATTGTGTAAAAAAACAAAAAACACTACCAGCATCTGGGTAGAAATGAATCAGATAGACTACAAGATAAAAAAAAAAAAAGAAAAAAGAACAGGCTCAAACTTCTCCTGTGCAGCACTAAGTATGAGAAGACTTGAGAGAAATACATAGAATTTGGGGGAAAATTCTATAACCAACCCAGTGGTTATTCTGTGATAACTATGACAACAACATATCTTCTGAATAAAAACGTGTCAGTTAATCCAAAAAGGAACTGTGTTAAATAACTTAGAATAAAAGACTACAGTTCAAGAGGAATGGTGCGAGTATCAAAAGCACTTAAATGTAGAATTGAGTCTGAATGATTATAGAAAATGTGGACTCAAAAAAAAAGAAAACATTTTAGTTTAAAGAATATAAATAATGCAAAAATAATTAATTATTAAAATTCCAGTTCTGAAATTCCCCAATAACAACAAAAGCAGGAAATGAATAGAGAGTTAAAAGCATGGCATAAAGTAAAACTGTATTAATGTCTTCATCCACAGAGTAGGCAACTGACAGTTTCTGCTTTACTTGGGCAAGTCACTTAACTTTCTGTGTCTCCAAATCCTGCTGTGAAGACCAATCTAATAAATATACATACATTGCTTAGCACAATAGCATGACCTACATTAAGAGCTCAAACAACACTAACTGATAATTATAATTATCATTATTATATTGACTTTTATACTTCTAAAAATACAGGCTCGAGTATATATTAGGCTACTTGATTTTTAGTAGAATTAAAAAAGATGCATCCTTAGCAATTCACAGGAGAAAACAAATGCAAATAAAATGTCATCTACATACATATAACAGAAAACCAAAAACTAAAGAGAAATAATACATAAAAAGCAAGAAATAAAGGTAAAAATATTTAAAATGAACATATTGTGTGGGTTCGGTGCTCTTTCTATAAGCAGCTGAAACCCTGATTTAAATTGGCTTATGGCCAGGCGCAGTGGCTCTCGCCTGTAATCCCAGCACTTTGGGAAGCTGAGGCAGGTGGATTACGTAAGCCCAGGAGTTTGAGACCAGCCTGGGTGACATCGTGAAACCTCGTCTCTACCAAAACTAAAAAAAGTTAGCCAAGCGTGGTGGTGCACCCCTGTGGTCCCAGTTACCCAGGAGGCTGAGGTGGGAGGATCACTTGAGCCTGGGAGGTGGAGGTTGCAGTAAGCCATGATCGTGCCACTGTATTCCAGCCTGGGCAACAAAGTGAGACCTCATCTCAAAGAAATAAAATAAAATAAATTGGCTTAAACAACAAATAAAAAATTGCCTAATTTTATGTAACAGGAGCACAAAATGTAGGACAACCACGAGACCATTGATTTAGAAGCTCAGGGATACTTTCAAGAGTCCCAATTCTTCCCTCTGTCATCCTTGTGAGGACTTCCCCCAAGGCAGGCAGCAAGACTGCTGCTATCTATCACATTTCCAGGAGTACCATTTCAGTGTGATCCAGCTCAGCAGAAAGACCACCTTTTCCTGTGGCTTTCTTAAGAATTGGATAAGAATTTCTTATCCAGAATTGAGTTACCTGCCCATTCCTAAGCCAATCACTGACACAAGTTGGGATTACTCTTGGACCAACTGGCTCACCCTGGGAGCTAGAGTGGAGTCAGGTTCTCCTGGGATGCAAGGGCTGAATTCCTATAAATATCTGGGCTCACTTGAGACGAGGCAGGAAGGAAAAGATTCTGGGCAGGGAATAGCAATGTTCACTACCCATATCAGTTTTGAAAATCACTGTCAGTGTAATTAACTCCCTCATTAATAGACAAAGGCTTTTTTTGTTTGGTCAAAATACAAAATACTTAAGCTACAACTCAAACAAGGTCAGAAATAAAGGCTAAGCACTTAGCCAAGATGTATGCACACAAAAAGGAAACAGGGATAGAAATTGCAAACAAAGCATTAAACAGGCCAAGAGGGGCATTTTAGATTGATTATGGGTGTAATCCACAATTAAGATACAAAAAAATGCACAACCTCATTTCACATTGTTATAGCATAATAGAACAAAAGCAAAATCTCTGACAAATGAGAGAAAACCAAGTGTCATACAGTAACCTCAGAAAAGTTGGACACATTTCTCTCAGGTTATGGCTGATTACATTGTCAGAAAATGGTGGAGAATTACAAATAATATGACAAATAATGCTTATCTAAAACATTTCTAATCTAAATGTCTTCTAACCTGGCTAGCCTGGTCTAAAATAAAATTCAATTGATGGCTCCAGTGATGATTATACCCTAGAAGGCAATAATGATCTCAAGGTGCACTCTGATGTTTCTTACAGCCCCTCAGGGCTCCTCATCCCAGGTCTGCTTCATCAGTCCCGAGGACTGAGCCCTCCTGTTCATCCATGTACCCCCACCACCTCCAGCTGCTTGGCCACCATCTTTGGTACCCTGCCACTGGGCCAAGGCTGCCCTTACCTTGGCAGAGGTCTCATTTCCCCTTCCTTCTCTGCACAGGTCTAGAAGATACCAGAGCAGATAACAGCCTTTAGCAAGGATTTACTGAGAGTTCATAAAGAAGGAAAGAGAGGACCAACTATCCCTGCCAGCGGATGTACCCACTTCTGGAGGCCTCAACCAGGGCCTGCCCTCAGGGTTCCTCCAGCAACCCTCCCTGCCCTGCCTCACTCTGTTCCTGAGAGCTGGACCTTTCCGTCCAGCTGCGCTCTACTGTACTTTCCAGGCTAAGATTGGCCTCCCCAGCCTTGACTGACTGACTGTCAGTATTAGTATTAGAGTCTATTCTAATTAGTATTAGAGTCTATTTCTGAAGCTGCTTCCCTGTACCACTGGTTCATTTCATAATTTTTGCTTTGACTGTGGGAAGGTCTGTCAGCTTCAGATGGAATCACTCATGTCTCTAATGGCTGTGTGTGCTCTAGCCCACTGGTCTCATCAGTGCTATCCAACAACTTTTACTTTCTATTGTGTTTTTGAAATTCTTAGAATTAAATTTCATCTTGAGTATCCCATTAAAGAAATATATCTAACTACAGATACTACCAACAGAGAACACTGTTATCTTTTCAAATACACATGAAGCACTAAAAAAAAAAATGCATTCTATATTAAGCCATAATAAAAATCTGAATAAATTGCAAAGAGAAGAAATTTTGCAAATGAATAACAAAGAGAAGTAACAATAAAATACAACCACTTGGAAAATTTAAAGGTATTCCTAAATCACACTGGAATTAAATGTTTTTATGACTGTTGAGAAAATTATAACAAATGGAAAATTATATATAAAACTTTTGTGTGGCAACCAATATGTTTTCAGTGTGAAATCTGAGGCCTTAAAAGCCTACAAAATTTAAAATGAAATATGAAAATAAATGAACAAAATGCCAACTTAGTTATCAGAAGAAAAATAAGATAAACTCAAAAAAAGCAGAAATTTATAAAACCATTTAAAAATATGAGTTAAAAATGAGAAAATTGATAAATCCTAGGAATAGATCTTTGGAAGGAGAAGCCAAATAGCTAAATATCTAGCAAGTATATGCAAGTAAATGATACAGAAGATACAAAAACAAAAAATTAAAAATGAGGAAACAAATATATTCATATATTTTTTTAAAAATTTTATAACAATGATGAAATGGGCAATTTTCTAGGAAAACATAAGTGAATCAAAACTTAATCATAAAGAGAAAAACTACCTGAACTGATCAAAAATACAGAGAAAAATCTCAAAAGGCAAATACGTATTACCTCCTAAATGGCACAGAAAAATATGTGGGTTATTTGAAACTCCATGTGATATAAAATATTCCAGAATATATTCTTAACAGAAGATTTCTAGGTTATTTTCCATAACCCTAATACCCAAACTTGATGGAGAAAGCACACTCCTAAATACACACACTCACACACACACACACCACCACCACATGCACACATCTCTAAACCCCACTTACTGGCAATACAAGTGCAAAAATCCAAAATAAAATATCAACACAAACCAAAATCATAAGGTTACTGAAGATAGAGATCAATACACATGATCAAGTAAATGTAACTTCAGAAATTTAAAGATTAAAGAAAAAATTATATTTAAATAAAAAATAATATTTCTGGTTAAAATCATTTCTATGTAAATTTACATATATTGTATATATATAAATGTAAATGTGTATATATAAGATATATATATATACACTAAGAATAGAGCTTTCTTCCTTAAAAAAACCTCTCTTAAAACTGGACACTTGGTTAAATGGTGAAACCAAAGGTCCAGCTTTACGATTCCTCCATCTACCTTAGAATGAGCAGCAATACAAATAATACAGGCAGTGTCCCTGTTTTTACGTAATACTTTGAAAGTTCTAACCAATGCAACAAAACAAAAAAAAATACATGAGTAATATATATTTTAATAAGCAAAAGGAAAACTTCAGAGAAGAAACCAAAATATTAGGGCCAAATACAAAATCCACATAACACACAGCACACTCCACAATCCACAACAACTTTCCACCAACAATATCAGCAAATGTATAAAATATCTAGCAATAAATGTAAGAAGTAGGTAGCACTTGATGAAGAAAATTGTTACACTTTACTGATGAGCATAAAGGAGTTTTAAATAAATGGAGAAACTAATAGAATTCCTGAGTAGGAAGAAATAATTTTTCAAAAGGACTTAATACTGTAAGTATATCATTTTCTCCAAAAAGAATTCATGTTTCCATAAATTTTAATCAAAATGGCAAAATTTTCTTCAAAATGAACATAAAAATTCATCTAGAAGGATAAACACAGAAGCCCCTCAAAGAGAGAGTAATGAAAGGGGACTAGTACTACCTGAAACGATGCTTACCATATTGTCAAGCTCAGTAATTAAAGCCATATGGTGCTCAAGCAAAAATTATTAAATGAACCAGTGGTACAGGAAGGCAGCTTCAGAAATAGACTCTAATGCTAATTAAAGTTCAGCATTTGACCAAGATCACATTTAAAATCAAGGGAGAGAGAAGAGAATGTAATGGCTCTTAGACAACTGATTACATTTTTGGAAAAGAAAATGTTAGATTTCTGCTCTATAGCATATCCCAGAAGTACTGACCAATTAGTTGTAAAATGAAAAAAAGGAAAGAAGGGAGGGAGAGAAAGAGGAAGGGAAGGAGAAAGAATAAAACAGAAGAAAATGTATGTTATTTTAAAATCGGATTGAAATCTAAAAACAAAGGAAACAAATTATTGAGGAATACCTACATTTTAATATCAGACATGTCTGTTTATAAGGAGAAATTATTATTTAATTTTTAAACAAAAGCAATATCTGGGAAAAATATTCACAGCATTTATCAGAGTTCTCCAAAGAAATTTTAAAAAGCATTTACAGATCATTAGGAAATGGACAAGAATATAAGCAGGCAATTCACAAAAGGGAAACAAAAAATAAACAATGATAAGAAGAAAGTATTTAGTATTTTATGCAAATTAAACAACTGTGTGATTTCCTTTTTGTCTGTTTATCAAAATAGTACTTTCTTAACAAGGTTGCAATGGAAATATGTACAAATGTTGTTAATGGGAGTTTAAATTAGTTCAGACTTTCTGGAGGATATTATAGTAATGTTTATCAAACACTTTAATATTTTTTTAAATCTACTTTTAGCAATATTTCCTAAGGAAACAATTTAAAATGTGCTCCAAAATATGTGTGTAAATATACCCACATATGATATATCCCTAATTTAAAAATGAATAGAGAACAACTTTCATGTCTTCAAAACAGGGCTCTGGTAAAATGTTTCTAAAAGTTTGACAAAGATGTTCATGATATAAGTGAAAAAGTGTGTACATACTAAGTGTGTAACCTTAATCATGTACAGCATGAATATGGACTTAAATTTGTAAAATCAAAACAAAGGTAGATAAGACAGAGAGAGAGAGGTGAGGGCAGGAGTGAATGAGAATGAAAGAGAGAGACAGGCAGAGACAGACAGAGACAGAGAGAATAAGCACACCAAATGTTAGCTAAGTGGTGGGAATAGAGATGTGTTCTATTTTCTTCTTAAATCGTACGGGGTATTTATTTTTTAATTTAACGACTAAGCATTGCTTGTAATGTCTGAAAAAAGGTGTCATTTTAAAACTAGTCATTATTTGCATCAGGATTCTTATTTAGGTGGAAGTGTTTCGATTAGAATCAAATCTTCTTGAACTGTATTTATACTTTAAATGTTGTATCTACAAATAATCATCCCTGTCTTTGTCATTATGAAGACACTTTTATTAAGCTTCTCTTCATTTCATGCAAACAGTGTGTCCAGTGATAGAGATATATAATAAATTCACTTACTTCAAGGACTTTATAGTCTAGGTTAGCCTTGTACATGGAACTTGATGTCCCATTGAAGATTTAACTTGTATTTATTTTATGTGTTTCTCTCTCTGGGCTAGACATAGTGTTGGTCTTTCTTAGGATAAACCAAAATGGAGGAGCAAAGATGACTCTTTCCCTTGCAGTGGCAGAAAGGGCACATCGTCACATAAAAGGCTATAAGCAGACCATTTGCTTCTGTTCTTCTGACAAAGAGAAAGTACCTCCTCCCACAGTGGTCCTGGGGAGGAAAAAAAAACAGTATGAGAGACACTAGACCCCCTGCTGATACCACAGCTGGGGCCTTAGGGGACAGCTATGAATGGGACTGAGCCAGTTAAGTAAAAGCATTGCAGCCCAGGGAATCACAGCAAAGGGCAAGCTTTTCCTGATGGCCCCAGGGAGAAAACAATTCTCCACACAGATGCTGCTGGAAGATTCCTCCCTCCCAGGGCAAATTTGATGAAGATGCTCACGGCATAACACACTAAGTGAAAAAGCTTGATGCAAAATTTTGTCATATGTAGCATGAATATGAAATTAAATTTGTGTAAACCAGATTTTTTTTATTTTTATATACTTATATATTTTTATTATACTTTAAGTTCTAGGGTACATGTGCACAATGTGCAGGTTTGTTACATATGTATACACGTTCCATGTTGGTGTGCTGCACCCATTAACTTATCATTTACATTAGGTATATCTCCTAATGCTATCCCTCCCCCCTCCCCCCACCCCACGACAGGCCCCGGTGTGTGCTGTTCCCCTTCCTGTGTCCAAGTGTTCTCATTGTTCAATTCCCACCTATGAGTGAGAACATATGGAAAACCAGATTTCTTTCCATTCAGTAGTGGACCACCAACTTACAAGTCTGGAGAAAGGGCTTTCAACACCATCGAAATGGCAGCAAGAAGAAATTGCAGTACTAGGAAAAACAGCCTAATTCATAACCAGAGTACTCCCCACACAGCTTGTCATTTAAAGATGACACGTTCCCCTGTTGGATTTTGTAAGACCCTGAGATTTCGTGTTTTCTCAAAATGTGATTATACATTCAAAGAAAGGGAGAGGAATTCCAGTAAGGAGAACTACATAAGCAACAGCAAAAAAAAAAAACAAAAAAAAAAAAACTGGAAATGCTATTTTATCTGCAAGAACCAATAAATGGTTGCATTTTCTTCCAGTGTGTTTATTATTACAGTTTGTCCCTGGTTCGAGTTTAAAAACAGTTTATCCCTCCTCACATCAGGATGCATTTTTTCAAAAGACATAAATTGCATTTACCCAGCTGGATTTGTCAACAACAACAAAAAGTTTTTCTGCTTTCCTTTCCTTTGTTTTACTCGAAATATTTGGTCCTCCTTGTATCCCAAATAGAAGAAAATAATAATCAACAATTGATTTATTTGTGTGGACAGAATGATTTGATGCTGTTTCTTGTCGTTGACAGAATGATCTGGGTGGAATTGCATTCCATTGATAAAACTGTGATGAAATGTTATTCGTTGGATGAATAAAGTTAGAAGTCAAGTGAAATTGCTTTGGCTCACATGATATTTTTTCTGCTGTCAGTCATTTCTTGGCATTTGATCACATCATTGTCTCTGCTCCCTTCATATTGACTCCGTTGTCTGTTATTAATTGAAGCATGACTCTTCTTTCAAAACTGCAACGAAGAGCACAAACTCCAGAAAATAGAAGAAGTTTCACTTTTACTTTTTCTGGCTTCTTAGCTGTCTGGTTCTCTACAGAGTGCCTCAACTTCCTTATTGGTAAGCTTTAAACATCATAGCCAGGGCTCAATGGCTCATGCCTATAATCCCAACACTTTCGGAGGCCGAGGAGAGAGGATTGTTTGAAGCCAAGAGTTCAAAACCAGCCTAGGCAATATAGCCAGGCATCATTGCTAAAAAAACCTTTAAACAAAATTAGAAAATTAGCTAGGCTTTGTGGCACCTGCCTGTAGTCCTAACTAATTGGGAGGCTAAGGCAGAAGGATTGCTTGAGCCCAGGAATCGCAGTGAGCTATAATTGCATCACTGCACTCCAGGCTGGGCTACAGAGTGAGACTCTGTCTCAAAAAACATTATAATAATAAACATTGTAAAATAAAAATTAAAAAACTAAATATCACAAAATGGTGTGCCTTTCTTTTAAAGATGTACTCTATGAAATGAAACTTCTCATGATTTGACTCTATCCAGTATGTCTTCAAAGAGCCTCATGAAGATACACACTTTATAATAATACTCCCTTGCTATGCAACAAGAATACCACACAGCACTGAGAAATAAACAACTGATCATGAGTAACAGCATGGATGCACCTCACAAGCATAATGTTGAGTGAAAGAAGCCAGGCAAAAAGACGTGTACTATGAGTCCATTTATAGAAAGTTTGAAATCAAACAAGGCTTATCATTGATGTTTGAAGTCAGGAGAATAATCACCTTTGTGGGGCAGTGATTGAGAGGTGATGGAGGGTACTTCCGCTAGGAAAGGTCTGATTTTTTTATCTGAATTGTGGTTATAGAGATATATATTCTACTTGGGAAAAATCCCATCACATTGTGCACTTATGGAAGCTTTTTGCATGGATATTATACTTTAACAAAAGTTTACTAACTAAAAAATAGTTTAATTACTATTTAATTAATTACTTTAATTAATTTTAATTAAAGGGGGATTTTTTTGTCATTAACTGATTAGATGTAGAAATGAGAGGAAACAAGACTGTAGGATAACCCGTATGTTTCCTTTAGGCATCAGTGGGTTAGGTGTACAGAGGACAAAAAGGACACAGTAGAGGGTCTTTTGTTGCGGGGAGTTGGTTTGGAGAAGTTGAGTTTGAGATGCCTGCAAGTCAGGACACCCAGTATGCACTCAGATTGGACACCTGAGATGGAGTATATGTTCAGGAGTACTCAGTACAGCAATAATAACTACAGCCTATGAGGGGATGCAATTGCCAGAGAAATGGCAAAATAAAAAGAGGGGGACTGAAGAAGGAGCAGGAGTAGGCCCCTGGGGTGGGCTACAAATTTCCATCCCAGGGCACATAGGAAGTATGGACTTCCTGGAAACTCAACTTCCATGGACCCACAATGCCTCTGGGGCCCATCCCACTCAGAAGGAGGTGCGGCTAATGCCAGGGCCAGTCTCCTTCCTCAATGACCCTTCTGACCTTGAGCTCCACTTTTTACATTCAGACCTAAGCTCCTTGCACATATTTGATGAATGAATGAATGAATGCTTCACAGATAAGTCCTTAGTCATACCAGCATTTATGCGCTTTTGCAATGCCAAACAAAAATGAAATAGAGGCCAAAGGTGAATGCAATTGATGTGTATGGGTGCTGGCAAAATGAAGAAAGCAATTTAAAGCACATATTGGAGAGGAATCAGGGACCATGGATATGGGAGTTTTACATCAACTTTGGGCAGAGCAGGGGTGGAGACAGTTATTGACAATTCTCTCTCTTATAATCCCCTATCCCCCTTCTCCCAGTTCAGTTCAATAAATACACCCAAAAATAAGTTCTCTCTTTCTATAGACAGTCAAAAAATATCTGACAAGAAGCAGGTCAGCAAAAATGGTAGTTGTATCTGCAGTATGGAAATCACCAAAGGAAACCATTGTTTGTTTGGAAATTAATGCCTGTTAGAATCAGTAATACATTGGAAAATTGATATTGACTACAATGTGTTTGTGGGTGGCTTTCAGCAGGGTTGGAAGGTCCATTAGCTTCCTTTTTACCGCAGAGTTTAAATAAGCAAGTCACAGTGCACAATAGTTATAAGGTCCCTGTCCGCCCCATTCCTAGAAAAGAGTACCTGACACCTAATAAGAGCTCAGGGAACATTAGCAACTATTTGTCAATTTGTGTTTTCGGTGTTAGTGTTTTGTCATTTGTTGGTTTTAAAAATCACCGTGAATTAACAACACTTGATATAATGAAGGATTTAGTGCATATGCCAATGTCACCTTATGCCTGGCTCTGTGCTACAGACTCTCAGGGAACTCAGAAGTAAGACAAAGTCCCTCTCAGGGTCAGAACCTAACCCACCTTTAACTAAAAAGGGTTTATACCAGCATCTTTGCCAACCACTTTGTTTTCCAGATGAGGGAATCTGAAGCGATAAAGGCCTAAGTCTAGAACTCAGTTTTCCTGAGTCCCAGTTTAGGGAACTTTCAACTATAGTATCAGATCTCTTCTGTACTTGAAATTTTTATAATTGTATTAAAGGAAACACAAGAAATACTTACAACAATGAAAACTAATGTGTTTGCAGTTTATGGTTCAGGGTCTACTGGCAACAGTGTTCTGAGAAGGGGGGAGACTCAGAGGCAATGTGGTATAAAGGGATTGTAGTTAGAGAGTCATGGGTTCAAATCCCAGCTAGCAGGATGACTGGAGATAAGCTACCTAACCCTCATGAGCTTCTTTAAAATGCAAATAAAATAGTAATACCTACCTTAGAAGCAGCTCTCAGGAAGAAACAAAATAAAGCATGAAAAATGACTAACAAGGCACCTGGCACATTAGACAATATGTGTTAGCTTCTTCCCTTTTTTTCTCTCCTTGTAGTACAAGTCAGGGGTTCATAGAGAATATAGACTGGCAATGAACCCTAAGCAATATAGCTGGTTTTTTTGTTTGTGGTTTTGTTTTTTTTGTTTGTTTGTTTGTTTGTCCCTGAGTTGGTGTGTTGAGGTTTGCCATCCAATATCCACAGTGCCCAAGGCCTGAGCTGTGAATTCCGATTATCAGGGTCATTGCTTACTTGAACTTGCTTGCCAGGGAGTAGGGTGTCTCAGCTCCTCCCCAGGTTCACTCTCTAGAGCATGGTCCAGGAAAACAGAAAACAATTGTGCAGCAGCCTTCCTTCCCACCTACTGCATGCAGCCCTGCTGACTTCCCAATATGCAGACCAACAATGCAAAACCAAGGTCTCCACAAAGGCTTTCATCTTTATCTCTTCCTTCTCCTAAGAACCTTTGAGAACATCTGGATTTCTTTCATTTATCCAGAGGACAGTCCCCTCAAAAATAACTGAACCAAGTCGAAGTTCACTGACCGCACTGAGGTGCTTGCCAGAGCTCCCTGGGCCCATGGGTGATTGTGCACTGACCTTGACTAACTCATCCACTTGGGGCCTGCACTCAGTCTTCATCACCAGGTCTCCCTTGGAACACTCCATCTCTCCTGATAATGACTGAAATCCACTCAATCACCCTCCTCCCTGGGCTGTACACATTGTGAAAGCAGACATATCACAAGAGTAACTCTCCTTGTTCCAGAACTGCTCATGCAGAGTCAAGAAGAGACGGCACAAACACAAAGACACAGGGTGTCATGCCCATACACTCCCTACACCAAGAAGACACCCCCACAACACACAGATATGCGGGAGCACAGAAAGACAC
Source organism: Homo sapiens (assembly GCF_000001405.40). Taxonomy (NCBI): domain Eukaryota; kingdom Metazoa; phylum Chordata; class Mammalia; order Primates; family Hominidae; genus Homo; species Homo sapiens. The sequence continues at coordinate 37,737,505 of NC_000018.10, read as the reverse complement.
CCAAGCACACAAATTATGGTACACACACACTCATCCGCACAGCTTCACACAAGAGCAATCACACATGTTCTGCATATAGACACACACCTCTGCAGAGACTACCATGACTGTGCATGTCTCTGTGTCTACCCAGGTACTATGTGTACCCCTCTCCAAAGCTTCCCCACTTGCAGCTCCCCCTGGCAGGGTAGTTCAGCTCTGGAGTCAGAAGAGAATTTGAATTCCTGTTCTAACTTTTCTACTCTATAGCCATGAGCCTAGAGCTTGGGCAGGTTGTTCAACCTTGCTGGCTTCCTTTTCTTTATCTATAAAATAGGGGAAATAGCAGTTTCTATCTATAATAATGTTTGTTTGGTGTTTTCCTCACAGGGCTGCTATGAGTTTTAAATGGGATCATGTATTTGAAGTGTCTGGCGCACTGCTTACCAAATAGTTAATGTTCCATAAATGATGCAGGCAGGTATAACAAGCCCACAATCACAGAATCCAAAAAGATTAAAAAACCAAAAGGTTTTTCAAAACCTGACCTGGAGAGACATGAGGCTTTTTATAATGCTTACTCACCCCACTTAGGATCAATGTTCATAACTTTTGCTGCAGAAGTGTGAGTATGTTTGGTTAGAATACTGCCCCAGTTGCTACTGGGGTTTTGCTTTATACGCATTATTTATCGCTTTACCTTTGGGAAGTTTGAAAAATTCGATTTTGAAACAAGTATGGTCCCACGGATTTGGACAAGAAACTGTAAACCAGAATTATCGTTAATATCATTATACTTTTTAACAAAAATAAGAATATATTATATGTAATAATAACATTACGATAAGATTCAATAGTACTGGAATAACAGCTCTCATTACTGTCATTACACTCATACTCTCTGCCTTTCTAAGGCATACATTTAAGTGTCAGCTCTGATGGTGAGCTCACACATTAGCCTGCCTTCCTTTCCCCCCTCACATACCAAGTCACTTTCTCCTGCCGTCATTTCCCCATTTCAGGACGGATTGAAGCTTCTCACAACTCGCCAGCGCAATGAGAATCTAGGCCATCGAGGCTGCCCTGGTCTTGCTCCTGCCCAGCCTTCCTTGGCTTGCAGCACATCCTGACCTCTCTTTCCAGCCCCCACTCTGTCACACACACACACTGGACTCTGATGTCCCCAGTCCATGGCTCTATGTGAGGTAGTGTTTCAGCACTGATGGGGTGTGGAGAAGAGGAAGCATCTCTCCTCATGTGTGCTGTGAGACTCTGGACAGCAGAGGTCTCAGAGCTCATTTCCTTGAATCCCTCACACATGTCTGAGGACCAGAACCATAAAAATGATTCGTAGATACCAGTGCATCCAAGACATTTACTTGCCTTTCTTCTCTCTTGTAACCCTGAGTACACTCAGGCCCTCTCTAAGTCCCTGTCAATGAGACTTCAGGCCAGACCTGCACTTTTCTGCACTGGTGGCTTTAAAGTTGGTCTTCAGTGTTTGGTGCTCACTAGAATAACCTGGGGAGACTTTTAAAAATCACAGTAGGGGCTGGGCGCGGTGGCTCACGCCTGTAATCCCAGCACTTTGGGAGGCCGAGGCGGGCGGATCACGAGGTCAGGAGATCGAGACCATCCCGGCTAAAACGGTGAAACCCCGTCTCTACTAAAAATACAAAAAATTAGCCGGGCGTAGTGGCGGGCGCCTGTAGTCCCAGCTACTTGGGAGGCTGAGGCAGGAGAATGGCGTGAACCCGGGAGGCGGAGCTTGCAGTGAGCCGAGATTGCGCCCCTGCACTCCAGCCTGGGCGACAGAGCGAGACTCCGTCTCAAAAAAAAAAAAAAAAAAAAAAAAAAATCACAGTAGGTGGCCCACATCCCAGACCAATTAATTCAGAATCTCTGGGGATGAGACCCAGGCCTCAGCATTTTTTTTAAAGCTCCCCTGTATTTCCACTGTGCAACCAACACAGACAGTCCTGTGCTCTGGACCACTGGAAGGAAGACCACACCTGCATGTATTATTAAACCTCACTACATGATTGTTTCTTGTCAATCCCAGGAGCCAGAGACTTTGGGGTAAGTACTGTGAGGAGGAGAATCTCCCACAGAAACCCTGGATGTGTTGCCCTGGAAAAAGAATCTGGAAAGAAGGCAGCAGCAGAGCAGATCCTTGGAGGACTGGGCAGGGGACAACCCCAGAACCAGAGCTCCTGACTGGGCTCAGTGGTAACTTGAGGCCTATGGAAGGTAGGGTTGCCAGATAAAATACAGGGCACCCAGCTAAATCTGAATTCCAGATAAAGAGCAAATTTTTTTTTAGTTTCAATATCAAATATTGCATGGGATATACTTATACTAAAAATTATTCTTTATCTGAAATTCAAATTTAACTACACATTCTGTAGTTTTATTTGCTAAATTTGGCAATGTTAGGGGGGACAAATTCACCCTGATTGCCTCCCACCTGTGTTGTGAAAGTTTGTTTATGCAAAAAAGAAGGAAAGCAGTCATGTTATTCCAGACGGCATTCGTTCCATTTGCCAAATAAATAGAACTTGCATTTTCCTTTATAAAAAATAAAAATAAAACTTTGTCACATTTCTTTCTTTTTTCTTTTTCCAGAGACTTGATCCTACATTTTATGCTGACACCTTAACTCTTTGTCAAAGGCTATTCCAATCTGTAATGGAAGGAATTCAGGGATGCCTTCCCTTTCTGTGTGCATTGTATAAAGATAGAATTGGAGATTCGCTGGCAGAAATACCCTCAGCTGCCTCTCTGGTCTTTTCCAGCAACTCCCAGAAGAGCCCTGATCTCAGGGCTCTTGTCTGCCCCAAGCCTGGGAAGCTTTGCTCAGGGAAAGAAGAACAGAGGGAACTGGGCTGCAACGGAGATGGTGTTAATTGGAGCAAAAGATTTTGCCTACTGGAAATAGTAGCTGTAAGCGAGATGAGATCCAAAGAACCCAGTGAAACTCTTCGGGCCTGCCTGCAGCCTGGCTCCTCCAGGGAAGACAAGACTGAACCCCCATTGAGGCAAGGCAAAAAAGGCTCAAAATGAATCAATTAACAGCACATATAAGATAATAAATGCCTGTATTTTTTTTTCTTCTGTCTCTGTGTGAATGTTAAAGCTTATTCTAAAAGGAGAAATATTTGCTCCACATCCTCAGGATCTGCCAGTCAGGTCAATTCAAGCTTCAACGCTGAAGGGTCATGAAGGATGGCCTTGGCTGGGAGATGTTACCTTACTGTCCGCAGCCTGCTGGAGCTGTGCTGGCCCCTCGGCTGGGTACTTTGCAGACCCCTGAGGCACTGGTTTTGGTTAGGTCTGGCTTCCTCAAGGCAACATCTTCCCTTATCTCAGGAGCCTCCCAACTGAGACCATCCCGCTTCTGAACCCCACAGCCCAGTGCTGCATCTCTCTTATGTAACCTTGCACCTCTCAGCCATCATCATTGATGTGCATCAAGCCTACCAGACACGTGAGGGTGGGAAGGGTATACAGTGCCCATCCCATCATCCTTTCATCCATGCATTAGCTAGCCCAGTGCATTGCTGTGAAATATTTGATGGATGAATGAGTGAAGAAATAAAGAGTGACAACCACCTTCCCTTTAAATATACATGCTTGCTATCTCCTTCATCTTTCCAATTGCCTCATCAGAGCAGAAGGGCTACAATTATTAAGCTCAACTTGCAACCTAGAAAACCAGGTTGGGATACATGACTTTCTCAAATGGGTTTTAACTCACTTGTGGCAAAGCCAGATTAGCGGTCCCCACCCTGGAGTCCTGCCTGGGTGCTATTTCCTGGCACAGCACTGCCTCTTCGCCAGGCTGCTGAGAGAAAGACACATTGGACATAAATCTCCCAATGCTTGAGAGTTTATCAACAAAAACATGGAGACCTGATATAGTCCATCTCTTCCATAACAAATAAATAATACCTAGTAATAGTTGTATCAAAATATTAGGGAAAGGACAGAAACTGCAATGCATGTTACTTGGGTAAAATACACAGACTGTATCCTTTTGAGTAAAAATTGTAGTCAGCTAGAACTTGTTTCCCAAAAAGGAAATCAAAGCTTTCCAAATCAAACAGCATCTCTTTGGGGCCGATTTATTTATTTAGTCATTAAGTAAAGACTTGCTGTGTGCCTGTTCTGGGCCAGGCATTACTTTAAAGGCTGGGATAGAGTTGGGGAGTGAGTCAGGGAGGCTTTCTGCCCTCATAGAGTTTCCATGCTGGTGTGGGGAGATGGACAATAAAAAATAAACCCAACAAACAGGCAACACAGTGCCAGGGTGTCATCAGTGCTATGAAGAAAATAAAGCGGGGTGGTGTAGGAGAGAGGGCGAGTGAGGGGCTTCTTTAACCTGGTCAAAAAAGGCCTCGTAGTCGAAGCGACATTTGATCTGAGACCTGCCTGACAGGAAGCAGCCAGCAAGAGCAAGTTGTAGAGCAAGAGCATCCCAGGCAAAGGAAACAGCCAGTGCCCAGGAACCGAGGTGGGGACAACCTCAGGGCCTCTGAGAAACAGTAGGTGGAGTGGGATGAGCAAACAGAGAAGCAGAACAAGAGATGACATCAGAGAATCTGGCAAGGGCCAGACCCCAGGAAACTCAACTATGTGGGCTAGGGTAAGAAATTTGCATCTTATCCTCAGCATGATAGAAAGACCCTGGCGGGTTTTGAGCAGAGGAGTGCATGGTTTCATTTATGTCCTAAAAATACCATTTGACTTTGTGAAGAGTAGATTTAGGTAACAGGTGAAGGCAAGGGGATGAGTGAAAAGAAGATTTTGCAATATTCCTGATTGTGAAGATTGTGGCCTGCCCTGGGTTGAGAGAGAACAATTTAGAAGAATGAAGAATATGTTTTTAAGCAAAGTCAGTAGGATTTGTCAATGAAAGATATCCAGGGAATAGAAGAGTGAGATAGATTAGAATTAGGCTTCTGCTTGGCTTGAGCAACTAGGTATATGGTGGTGGTGGTGCCATTGACTGAGACTTGTAAAAGAGAAGTTACAGAAGGAAGCAGAGCCTCCTTTGGGGATGTTTGAGGGTTGGGATTCCTATTAGATGAAAAAGTAGAGGTGAAGAGAAAACAATTGGGTACCTGAGTCTCAAGATCATGGAACAGGCCAGGTGTACACACTTGAATAATTTTGGAGTTATTGATATAAGGTTAGTAATTAAAACCACAAGGTGAAGAAATTTCCCTGAAAACAGAAAGTGTTTGTAAAGGAAAAAAGAGAGCCGAGCACGATGCTCTAGGTATTCCAACATTCGGGTGGGTGGGAGGAAGAGTGAGTGAGACAAGGGCAGTAAAGCAGGAGAAAAATTAGAAGAGTCCAGAATCCAAGAGAACTGGGGAACTAAAGAAATCATGAAAGGCTTCCTGGAGTAAGTGGTATTCAAACCAAGCCTTGGAGACTGGGTGGTGTTTAGATCAGTGTAGAGCAGTGAAGTGCATTCTGGGTGGATGTAAAGGTGTGAGCAAGGCCTTGGAGTGGGGCCCAGGCAGTGAGGATCTGCGGACAGGAAGAGGAAGAGGCAGGTGATAGTTACTAGGATCACTGCCCTTGTGTTGGGTGCCCCAAGTGACAGACAAAGCCAGGGCTGTGTGAAGGCAGGAGGAAACCAAAGCTGACTGCATCTTCTACACCCCTTGTCCTGCCTGCGCTTCAGATACCTTAAATGCCCTGGGAGTCGGGCCTGGGCACCTAGGGCTGTTGCTTTCTCCCTCCTCCAGGCCCATCAGCAAAGGGCCATGCAGCAGGCTGTCCAGGCCCCAGGGTACTTTGCCCACTATGCAGCCAGACCATCAGCTTCCCTGGCTCAAACCTGCTCCTTTTACTGCTGTCTGCTTTTGGGAGGGATGCCATGGGGAGTCTTTAACCCAAGAATTCAGGAAATTAGCTCTACGTCAAGCTCCACTCTCTCCAACCAACTTTCTATAAACCCCTCTCTGCCCCAAATTAAGGTGCTTTCTTAATTAAGGTGATCTCCTAGTTTCTCTGTAAGCAAGGGTACTTTGTTTTCCAACTTTCCTTCTCATCTACTTCTAAAAATTTGCTTAATGGTCTCAGTTTCTCTAGATTCCTCTTATATTGAAGAAAACTTAACCTTTACCGAGACAAAGAAGCTGAGTCCAGCCTGGGCAAAACACACATCATCGGCAGTGTCCTCTAACACTTGTGGACTGGAAAAATGCTTCTCATCTTGAAGTCTGAAAGCAAGGAGAAGTCTAGAGCTGGAATGGAGCTTCAGCTCTTCAGGAGGAACCTGTATCTCACAGGGAAAGCCAGCCAGACCAACGCAGGGATGAAGTCTCATGGGTTCACAGGGAACACTTCCTGGAATAAGAAAGAGAGCAGATTAGATGATTAGTGCATGGGCATATTCAGCCTCCCCCAACAGAAAGGAAGCCCCCACAAGTGTAAGCACACACACACAAACATGCACACATTCTACACACAATTATGCTCACATATCATAAACTCATGCATACAAAACACCTGAGTGATGCTGTTAGAGGTCCCTCAAATATGTCCCCTTGGTAATTTTCATACTTTCACATATATATGCATACAGTTGCACAGTATTCACTTTCAGTATTGTACAGCATTCACTACCTACAATTAGGGAGGACACTGGGTTTTCTAATAACTAATGCTTTATCTACAATGTACCTCCTGCTGCCTGGAGCTCCCCCCGCACCCCCGCCCTCATCATCACCTGATTTTGCTGAGGGGTGATGGGCTGACTCCATGTGTTTGGGACATCCTGCTCTCAGTTCTGTCTCTCTGTCCTGTCTACTGACACTAGCTACCCAGCTGTAACCATTTGCACATGTTAATGTCTTATTTGTGTCTCTTCATGGGTCTTTTAAACATGTATGTTTGTCCTAAATACTGGCCTGTGGCAGAAACCACATTTCTCAAATTAGGCCAGGAGGCCTGAGGCTCCCCAGGGTGCAGATTGTTTGTCTTCCACCAGACTTCAGACACCTGGTGATGATGTGCCTGTCAACCCACTTGAGCTGGAGGCTGCTCGAAGGCTGAGGCCTTCACTTCTATTTCACTGGCACCCTCTGTCTGGCCCACACCAGGGCTTGGCCCACAGGGGATGCTCTGCAGGCGTCATGGGACTATTTGAGATTAGTGGAGTTATGGGCCTCCTTCCTCCTAAGTACTGGTGTACTGGCCATCCTCTTTTCAGCCAGTGCACACAGCGGGGCAGTTGTCACAAAGACCCATACCTACTTGTTCTCCATCACCAGGTCTGGAGGTGCAGGACTGCATAACCTCATCTGTGCACATCGGCCCACATAGGTCCAGTGTCAGAAGCATCAGGAGGACCCACTGGAGGCTCCTAAATCTCACCCACCTTCTGGTTGAAGACTGTTTTCTCTTCTACCACTTAAGACACAGAGGGAAAGTCTCCCTTGGAGGGTGTCACATGGACTTTGATATTATCTCCCTAACAGGTCAGCTCTCATCCTGGAGCTTCTTCGTGGGAGGGGCTGAATGTGAGATCTCTGGGTGCCTGGTCTTGGTGACAGCGATGGTGAAAAGCCTCCAGGGAAGGAAGGGTGAGTCACAGATGAGAGGCCCAAACTGAACTCTCGAACTGTATCTGTATTACTCAAGGTTTGCCAGAGAAACATAACCAATGGAATGGATGAAAGGATGAGTGGGTAGATGGATAGATAGATAGATGGTATAGACGATAGATAGATAGATAGATAGATAGATAGATAGATAGATAGATAGATAGATAGATAGATAATAGACAGATCGATAGATGGATGGATAGATAGATAGATAGATAGATAGATAGATAGATAGAGTGTATTTATTATGAGAATTGGCTCATGTGATTGTTGAGTCAGAGAAGTCCCATGATATGCTGTTGGCAAGCTGGAAAACCAGGAAACCCGGTGGTATAATTCATGTGAAGCCAAAGGCCTGAGAAACTGGGGGCCACCAGTATAATTCCCAAATCCCAAAGGCCCAAGAACATGGAGTTCTAATGTCCAAGGACAGAAGAAGATGGATGTCCCAGCTCAAACAGCGACAGCAAATCCACCTTTCCTCTGCCTTTTTGTTCTCTCGGGCCCTCAGTGAAATAGATAATGCCTGCTCACATTGATGAGGGCAAATTTTCTTTACTCAATCCACTGATTAAAATGCAAGGTTGTTCCAGAAACAACCTCACAAGCATCCTGATAAATAATGTTTTGCCATCTATCTGAGTATGCCTTAACCCAGTCAAGTTGACATCTAAAATTAACCATCATGATGTCCTATATACCTTGGTTCTTGCACTTTTTTCTTTTCTTTATTGTCTCTCCTCTACTCACCACTTTCTCTCCTACAGCCCACCTAAAGTGAAATAAAGACTATCTGGTACATACAAGTTTGTAGGGGCAAGCAAGAGCAACTGTTGTTTCAAGAAGGGGTTCAGCCTCCTAAACAGACAGCTAAGAACAGTTAGAATGTATAGACCACAATGGCCTTGGCTGACCTCTTTGGCCAGGACATCAGCATCTCCCTCTTCAGTGCTCCCATACCACTTTTACATTGCTATTACAGCAGCTCAGACAGGGCACTGGAGGTGGCTGTTGACCAGCACCTCTGGTAGATGGCAAACCACTTAAGTAGAAACTGGGTTTTATTTCTCTTCATATTCCAAGCACCTGGCACAGAACCCAACATGGCAAGCACTCTTAAATACTCACAAAAGAATTATGAACCAGGAAGAAATTTTATGGATCAGGTTCCCCAGAAAGCAGACTCTGAGATTAAAACTGGCAGCAGGGATTTGTTGGAAGGTGTTTTTTGGAATCTACAAGTTCCCTTGACAGGAGTGGGAGAAGGAGGATTGGGCAAATGGAGCAGTTGAATTGCAATGCAGTGACTATAGGAAGCTCTGGAGGTGAAAGGGCCATTCAGAATTATCCTGTCTTCATACTTCTTCATCCAGCAGTCTCTACATAGTGGACCAGTGTACCAACGCCCCCAGCAGTAGGGGGAAGGAGTGCTTCAGTGCTGGACAGGGGGTCTGGGGCACCAGGACATCCATCACAGGAAACTTGATGGAATAACAGTATTTCAGAAATGGAAAGAAATGTACTAGCAGAAGAGCCACAGAACCCAAGCCAGGAGCCCTGTGCACTAGTCTACACATGTTTTCTGATGTTGGACAAGTCATCAAGCCTCTCTAGCCTCTAGTTTCTTTTATGCTGGTGGCACATTAAAATCTCCTGAAAAGTTTTTAAAAATTACTAACTCTGGTCCCCACCTCACACCAATTGAATCAGGGTCTCAAAGGGTGAGTGTCTAGGCATCAGTGTTTTTAAAAACTTCCTCGTAATTTTAATAAGCAGCCAAGTTGGAAAACCAATGGAAAATATATGGGCCTTAGAACCTCTCCTAGGTGATTTATAATGTCTATGGTACTGGATTTCTAGTGTCTATGCTCTGTAGCCAAGAGCTGGCTCCTCTACGAATAGAAGGACGTACGTAACTTCTGGTTGCAGAAGCTTCCCCAAATTCACTCCTTGTTATGTCTCAATTGTATCCTCACAAATTTTGTATGTTGAAGTCCTTACCCCATTCAAGTACCTTGAAATGTGTCTGTATTTGGAGATGGAACTTTTAATTAAGTAAAAATGAGGTCGTTAGGGTGGGCCCTAATCCAATGTGATGGGTGTCCTTATAAGAAGAGGACATAGTTATGTAGAGAAGGATGACCATGTGCAGACACAGACAGAAGATGGCCATCTACAAGCCAAGGAGAGAGGCCTCAGAAGAAATCAACCTGCCAACTCCTTGATCTCCAACTTCCAGACTCCAGAATGGTGAAAAAATACATTTATTTTGTTTAAACCACCCATTCTGTGGTATTTGTTACGGCAGCCCTAGCAAACTAACAGAGTCCTCAACTCCAAACCCCTCTTCTTTCTCTCAATTTCTCTCCCCAGTTTATTCTTTCACTTCTCCCAGAAACCAAAGTTCATAACACTCTCAAAGTCTCCCAGCTCAAATGCTGATATCACAGGATAGAGCTCAGGAAACTTTCACCCCTGTGAAAAATCAGTGAAAGCAACTGCAGAACTGTTCCCCTGGCATTCTCTCACCTTTCCCTCCAGTCCATCATGAAGAAAGCTGATTAAAGTCCTTCCAGAACAGCCAGCCCATTGGGCCCATTCTCAGAAAACTCATTGAGGGATTTATGAGGAAAAGAGGGCAGTCATAAGAGAAGTTCTTTTCTGTGTGGAGTGGTGGTGTTATTAAGAGTTGAGGAAAGCCAGCCTGCCCATAATAATCCTCCTACCAGCCTCTGGCCAGTTCCTGAAATTCAACCATCCAGGACATACTTGTATTAGTCAAGGACTCTGCTAAAATGCCAATGCCAAAGAGATGGGAAAACAAAGCCATTATATGCTGTTTATACTTTAGGCTCAATTTGCTATTGAAGTTGTGTCCTATGGGTTAGTTTGATTAATGGTTGTTAAGAGAGAATTAAGGCATTAGTCACTTCAAAGAAAAAGCTGGACTTGTAGAAGGCCTGTTGCCTGCAAAAGCTGCCTGCTTAACAGTATTGGCCACTATTCCCTTTCTTATTTCACCATAAGTCCCCCAGCAAATAATCAGGGAGTATTCCCCAGCCTGCGTTTGCACTGAGCAATCTTAAACAAGCATTCCTAGGTTTCTCAGTTACACTCAAAAGGAGGCCAATCAATTTGTCCAAATAAATATATAAACACAAAGTGTTTTAAAAGCAAAGGGGAATGGAAGGAACTTCTAGTCAATCATCTTCCACTGTAAATAAATAGTGGTTTCCAACCCATTCCCTCAATGACCTAAAAAGTCCTGTGGACACAGCAATGTATTTCCTGGGGAGAGTTTCCCCCTAAGAATGCAATCTCGTAACTCATTCCTTTGCATCAACAGGAATGAAGTGTGAAAAATAAAAATGCTCTAAACAAGAGATGCAATTATTTTAGATTCTTTCCTACAGGAAAAGAAAACATCATCCTGGTATAATTTTCTCTTTACTTCCCTCCCTCATTCTTTCCTCCTCTTCTACCCACTGTTTAATGAGCCCCAGAATTTTCCTCCAGAGAACTTTTCCCCATCATATAACACAACCTTGGAAATAAACACTGGCTCCAGTTGGATGGCGTGAAAAAACAGGGTGGGCCTAAAGAGAATGCATTCACCGTAAGGGAACAGAGCAAGTCTGTGCATTGGGACAAGGCTGGATGGTTTCTGCTTTTTTCCATTCCCTTATTTAAGAAAACATTCTGAGACTGATGTTCGGCCTTGCCCTAGAATTTAGCCAACACAGAGCTTAGAGAAGGAGTATTTCAGAAGTGTATTATAAGACCCTGGGACTCAGCACTGTGAGCTTTACTATGAACCAGACGTTGAGCCCTGGGAGCAGTCTTGCTTGATTCTGGCCATTGCCTTCTTGCCTTGCTCTCATGCATGAATCCCTGTCTTGATCATCGATCTAGTATCCAGACCCTCCCTGCTCCAGACCCCAGTGGCCAGCCACGGAGATGGCCCTTGTGTTGACTAACCCCATGCTTACCTGCTGAGTTTGCCTAAATCAGCTTCCTGCTGTGTTCCTCAGTTTCATGCTGCCCACTGTTAGGGCCATGTTCTGCAGAGAAGCAGTAGAAGGAAGTTGTTAAGGGCATGAACCCTCCAATCAGCTAGCCTGGGGTGAGGTCCTGTACCATTTACCAGCTGTGTTACCTGGGAATGTCATTTCTTTACTCTGCCTTGGCTTTCTCATCTGTAAAAGAAAGATGAGTACCACCTGCCTCCCAGGTGGGCAGAGAGGAGAAAAGGTGCTGACACATGCAGAGTGCTAAGAACAGTGCAAGACACACAAACACATGGGGATTGTGAGCTTCCTCACAGTGGTTCCCCCTTGGGCTGCTTGCTTGAACAGCCACACCCTCTGAACACCACATTTTTCATCTACTGGAGTGTGCTCCCCACAGTATCTGCTGCACACATATGGGCTCATCTAATTCCAGAGCCCACTAAGATACTATAAATTAAACAGCAAAGAACACACAACATCTCAGCCGAAAATCATTTATTGAGCACGTACTATGTGCCAAGCACTATACTGGATGTAGGGTATGCAATTAATAACTTATATTCTCTTACCTTCTTAAGGAGCTGGGGGTCTAATGCATTTATAGAATGTCTCTAAAATCACAGTGGAAATTAATAGGAAAAAGAATCTTTGCATCCCCCTGACATGTGACCAGTGTGTACAGTTAGATTTCCCCGAAAGCTTGATCCTTTTGTTTTTCAGGACTGAATTCTCTGGGTTGGATGGGTGTGGGGCAGGGGTGGGAACTGAGTCAGCTATCTCAGCATCCCATGAAGACTGACATTCTCTGGATTGTGGGGTGAATGGATCTCCAGGGAAGAGATTCTGGGGAAGAGTCCCTTTGGTAGTTTTCCAGTTCTTAGATATAAAGCCCTTGCCACCACCAGGGGATTGTGTTTACTGTGGCTAACCTGGGAGGCACAATAGGGTTATAAAATTAGAAAGCCAGTCAGGTTGATGATCCCCGCCCCTTCTCTAATTCATTCCCTCACTGTCTCTATCACTCCAACTCTTAGGAATCCAATATGTTTATATGCATTCACTCTTGTTTTCATCCTCCCTATTAGGAATGAAAGGTGTTGCAGTGAGCATAGTTACTCTGTGGAGACAAATCGGAACGTGTTTCCTGTGCTGGGGCCTTCAGCCAGCACCAACTGAGGATGGCTCAGGGTCCTGGTGAGGAGCAGGGCCCATGCCAGCCTTCACAGCCCACAGGCAGGGTGGGCACATGCACTGGTTGCCTTGGCAGAGAAACTATAATATACGTGGAGGGATGAGGGGCTCAGGCTGCAGCATTTCAGTAGCACACCCCTATAGGACTGCCTGTTTAGTGCAGTAATCATGTTTCCCATAGAGCCCTGGGAGCCCCAAGGCAGAAGGTACGGTAGTTCTAGAAGCCTTCCCAGAAAAAAACAATGCATAAATTAGACTTAAGGAGGGTGCCAAAGAGGGTGATGTTTAACCCAAATGATATAATGTTTAAGCCAAGCAAGAAAAATACCTCGGGCAGCCTTTCACCGAGCCAAGACAGAATGATGGGCAGAGGCACGGAGCAGGGAGACCTTGCTGGCAGCCCTAAGCTTTGACACCAGATGCACTGCAAGGATATTTAAGATGGCTCTGCAAACAGGCTATGTAAACTGAATGAAAAATCAGAACCTGAGGTACAGGGTACCCTTTAGGAAGCTGGTTTCCCAGGCCTCAGCCTCTAGGGATTTCCCTGGAGGATTAGCCAAGAGTTCCCTGTGTGATGCCAGAGACCTAAGTGGTCAGCGTGTCCTTCCTGCCTTCCCCCCCTCCAACCTGCCCCTCAGCCCCCAGGAGTTGCTGCCAGGTGGGTTCCTTTCCTAGGTCTACTTCCATGAGATGGGTTTTCAGGAGGCAACACAGAGGCGTGAAAGACAGCACTTCGACTCTTCCTTCTTTGTCTTTTAACACCACGTTAAAATACGCCTGTACCTGGGAAGCCTGTTTATGCAGCAGCAGCATCAAAAAGCCATTTCCCTACTTCTCTAATACTTTTTCTGAGACACACAGTACCTCACAGGAACTAGAGCCGGAGCTCTTCTTCCTTCCGTCTGTGATCTTTGTGTGTTCATGGCTTCAGCGTCAACATCACGGAGACTAACAGAAGCACAGGGTCCCTCCGGGTCTCCTGAGGCTGCCCCTCCCTATAACACACACACACACACACACACACACACACACACACACACACAGAACCGATGGTCTCTTAACGAGTCCTTCCTTCCTTTTACTCTCCCTCCTTCCCTCCTCCCTTCTTCCCAGCACTATTTTAAGTGTGACTGTCACTCTCATCATGGTGTATGACAAGTATCCCTTCGCTTGCTGGGGTCCCCTACAGACAGCCACATGCCCCCAGGGAGCCGCACACAAAGCTACCCAGTGTAGATGCTCGATCCATGTCAATTGCTTGTTGCCTTCACTCACCCGTTTTCTTCTCAAGGAGGTCTTCTTCCTGGAAAAATGCAATCCAGTTTCATCACTCCAGCCTCCTAAGACCTCACAGGCATTATTTAGAGAGTTTATCCCTTTCAAACCAATACAGATTATCCCTTTCACTATACTAGTTTGCTATGCCTCCCTCCCTTTTAGGGTCATGTCCCCACATCTAGTGCAGAGCCAGCTCATGGTGAGATTTCAGTATTTGTGGGATGAACGAATGAGTGAACGTGTCTTCCATGGCAAGTGGACCCCAAGAAAGCAGGCGCACCATTTCACTTTGGTCTTGACCTGCCTTCCATACTCCTTACGTAATTCTACACATAAAGACACTCAACCACGTTAGCTAATGGTACTTGCAAAACCATTTGGATGTGTTTCTTTTGAGGGATGCCTGCATTTTGTGCTCTCTACCTCTTCAAATCTCACCTATCCCTGTCCTAGCCCATTCCCCACCTAGACAGCACTGCCTGGGAGTCTAAGCAACACTGCCATCCTATTAAAAGTCCTTGGTATTTGGGCTGTTTCCCCTGCACAGAGGACGGGTCCCCCAGTGCAGATGTGCAGTCTCTACTGCCTCAGCTGACCCCCAGGAAAGAGGGTGTCCTGGGCTCACCATGAACTCTGAAACTTCTGGTTGACCTGACTTGAATCACAGCTGCAATTCACTTCCCACAGGCTTCTTCAAGGGGCCATTTCCAAAACCTGAGCGCTATGGCCCTTGGCCCTCAGTGACCACAGACCCTCCCTCAACAAGGAACAAAAGGCTACTGAAGAAGTCATTGCTGTGCAGCCAAACTCCTCTTTATGCCAGAATTCTGTCTGGATTTCTGTCTATAAAAGGGAGCGCCCTTCTGAAGGCAGTATAAGTTGGTTTGATTTAGAAAACCCTTCACTTGCTGGGCTTCTCTATAGACAGCCACAAGCCCCGAGAGAGCCGCACACAAAGCTACCCGGTGTAGATGTTCGATCCATGTCAATTGCTTGTTGCCTTCACTCACCCATCTTCTTCTCAAGGAGGCCTTCTTCCTGGAAAAATGCAATCCAGCTGGAGTGATGAATCACTCCAGCCTCCTAAGTGAGTTTTCTAAATCAAACCAACCTATACTGCCTTCAGAAGGGTGCTCCCTATTATAGACAGAAATCCAAATTCCTGGTCACACTCAAGGTTTTGTGTGTCACTAAAGCCTGATGGCCTTTCACTCCCCCCACCCCCACCTCCCATCTGTTTCCCAGATGCCCCCACCCTTTTACTGGCTCAGCTCTCTTCTGGGGACAAAACATGCCCTCAAAGATCACATGCTCTTCCTGTTCTGTCCTCGGCAAGTTCTGACTCACTCTCAAACCTCCCAAACCCCTGAAATCTCCCTCCATTCTACCAGCAGAGTTTGTCTCTATCTGCCCTGTTGTAAAACTACACCCTATGCCACATTTTCCCATACGATCATTCGTGTAGGTGCGGAAAATAAATGGACTCTAACTGCAGCAATGAAGACCTCTGCCTAAAGCAATCCTGTAGGGAATTGACAAGGAAACCACCTCTCCCTCTGACATAAACCCACATCGCTCAGGGTTGGCAATGCTGAAGACTCTGCCCACAAGGGACAGGGAGAAGCTGGCCCTTGGCCACCTGCACCTGCCACTGAGCCAGGCTGTCCTGAGGAGACTCTCACTCACTACCACATTCACAGCCAGGCTGGGCACACACACGTCTTACCTGCATTCTGCCCAAACTGAAACATAACCAGACTCAGGGGTAAAATAAGCAAAATAAGCTAAGAGGTTGGGCACCACCGGGATAGCCTGACAAAACAGGATGTTGGTGTGAGGCAACAGAGCCCACCACATGGGGCCTAATTCAAGTTCACTGGGACCCTCACAAGCTCCACAGCCAAGGGAGCAAGGCAAGAGAGGCCCAGCCCACTCAAGGTTCCCCTTTCCCGCAGAGAATCCACTTCTCTGCAGTCAACACTGGAAATTATGGCACCCTACAAAGGGCATCCACGTGTGTCCTTGCCTAATGACCTCAAGAAACCAACATGTATAATCCAATAATCAATAAGCCCGACATTTATCTAAGGGGAAGACATCTTCACTGAAGGCAGGTGGAGGGAGGGAAATCATGTTTTAATCTTTTTAAATTCAGTACTTTTTGGTAAAGGGAATGTTGCCTTTCTCCCACTAATCCACCAATAGAGATGTCTGCTAAATCCAAATTGCATGGGGACAAGCTCTACCATGTGAATTTGGGCTCAAGAAAGGAAAGCTGGGGGCTCTGGGTAGGAAACTGCCCACCACGAGGTGACAGAGCCAACAGAATACAAAAGTTAGTCTGATTAACTGATGTGGGTTGATATGCTGACAGCCTGGGCCCAGTGAGCCTCCCCATGCCTTCCAAGCAGCATCTGTGCTTGAGTGGGGGCGTCTGGAGGGCATCACCCACCTGATGATGATGGGATTGGGTATGAAGAGCAGAGGGCAGGACTGGCTGGTCTGGAGCACAAGCCTGCTGAGCTGCTGTGCACAGCCTCTTCCATGGCTGGGACACACAAGGTCAGCTCTAGGGCCAAGGGGGAGACTCAGGGGAAGCCCCGCAGAAAAAGCCACTTCTTCTTTTTCCTCCCATTATATAGAATACGACATGCTGTTAAAATGAACATATCAAGAGCAGCTTGAGCAACACATCTGAGAGTCTAAACATCAGCTCAGACTGAGAAGAAAGCGGAGAATGGCCTGAATAAAGGCTTAGATAGGGGAATGACTGCATTCTGTTCTGAGCAGAGGAAAGAAAGCAGCTGATTTAGAGAAAAGGTCTATTAGGAAAAAGAAGATTGAATTTTTTCCTTGTACCTTTTTAAAAAGAAATTAAATAGAATGTACTGATCTCCCACAAAGAAGGCCAGTCCTTCCCTTAAGGAGCTTAATGTCTATTAGTGGGAAGAAGATAATAAACACATATAATCAGGGCTGAACATAAAAAAACCACAGGACATGAGGGCGGGCATGGAGTGCACGGTTTCAGGGGAAAATAGTTCTAAGGAAGGTCAGAAAATGCCAGCATTTAAGAGGGTCTTGATGTCAGGATCATATCAAAAACACTTTTCCAGGACTCGAGAATGCTGCCCCAGGGAATAGCTTCTCCGTGTTTGGCCCCCAAACCCCAATGGGCTGTGGAGGAAGCAGGAAAACCATTTTCAGGTAAGATATCCCCAGAGTAGCTGCTTCAGTGATTCTGCAGGTGGGGACTCATATCTCTCCTGTCTCCGTGATTTACAGTAAATGCTGAGGGTGCCTGGAGCCACCACTCTGCATTGCTAAGTGTGTGTTTCATGGCCCTTTGGGGAAAGATGGAACAATTGGGCCAGGCTTCTAGTCCATACAGGTGAGTGGGTGGGGGGCTGTGCGATGGGCAGGGTAATAGCAGAAAGAGCTTTTCCCCTCAGCTGGCTGGCTTTTCCCTTCATCCTCCTCCTTTTGTTGACCCTTGGAACACCCCCACCCCATACTTAGCCTCCCCAGTCAGGGGCCCAGCAGAAATGGGTAATGAAGGAGAGCTTGTGCTCACAGCCTCATGGCCCCCTGCTGCTGTAAAGAAAGAAGAGCCAAGCCTGGACCAGTGTTCTACTCAGTGAGGTGCAGGACCTGTCTGGGTTGGATGCCCCCAAAGAAGCTTTCATAGCCTAGAGTTGCGGTGCCCAAAGCTGATACATGTGAGTCGTGGTGCTGAGACTGTGGGATTCTTTGTCCTTTTCAGAGGTCAGCTGCCTGCTTTAGAGCTTGTCTCCCTGGTCTTCAGTGATGCTCAGTAATTTCCGTTCCTACATGAGAGAGGATCTTCCCTACTTGGTCCAAATTCCTCTTCTTATTGTGATCAGTCCATGTTCAACCTGCAGGGAACTCCAGAAGAGGCATTTGGGCACACACAAACCTGGGTCATCTCAGCGGTGGATGTCATTTCAGATGACCACTCTATGTTGACCTTTGGGACCTTGAGGCAAATGACTGCATCTCTCTCAGTATGTTTCCTCATCCGGAAGATGGATGTGAGTGTGCCAAACTTTTCGGATAGTGTGAGTGACTGAGATCATGCACATAAAGCTCTTAGCTCAATGACTAGTGCATAAAATTAGATCTTACTTTACATCATTTACTAAAATAAGGCCCAGATGGATGAAAGACTTAATACTTTTTAAAAATAGAAGAGAATATTGAAAAATGTTTTTATGATGTTGAAGATAAGGAGAGTCTTCTTATAAATAGGATATAAAAGCAAAAGTCATCAAGGAACAGGGTAATATAAATGGGCTAAATCAAAATTAAGCACATGTATAGGACAAAAAACAAACAATGGATGGAAGAAATTAATGTCACCAAATATAACACAGATTACTGTCCAAATTATATATTTTTAAAACTTCAAAAAATAAGTGAGAAAAAGAAAGTTAACTCAATAAAACAACAGGCAGCAAACCAAACAGGTCATTCGCAAAAGAAAAAATACCAGTAGGCAATAAATATATAGAGGCTTAACTTTATTAGGATTAAGGAATAAGGAAAATTCAAATTAAAACATCAATAAAATTGCATATTCTTTGACACTGCTTAGATTGGCAAAATTAAATTTGGTAGTGTAAATGGATGGGGAAGCTGTGTTGTACAACCACTTTAAAAAATGAGCAAAATGAAAATCCTTGAGAAACCTTTAAGATATATTCATATATTAAGACACCTACAAGGATATTTATGGCAGTATTGGTGAAATTTTAAACAATGGCTAAATTAAACGTGGTATCCTTATAATGCGGAATAGCATAAAGCTGTTAAAATGAATACAGCATATCTCTATGTTCTAAAATAAAATAATCTCTAAGACACAATGTTGAGTAAAAAATGCATACATGTGTGATATCATTTATAATAGACACTTATATATTGTATGATTTTTACAAGTACATATATATATACATATATATGCCTTTTTAAAAATTGTAGAAAGCGGCATACCAAACTGAAAATGAATAACTGCTAGGGAGCTTGGCAATGCAGGTAGTCAAATGATATTTAGTTTCCACTGTAATGTTTTAATTTTTTACAAGGAGAATGTATTCATGAATTCCTTTGTAATTAAAATTAATTTTTAATTGAACAAATAAAATACAATAAAACCTATACCTCATTATAAACTTCAAATTCTGATCTAAGGGATGCATAATAATAACCACTAATGTTAATTGAGAGATTATCAAATGTCAGACAGACCCTGTTCTAAGTGGTTTCTATTTATGTTTTCAACGTTGCTATGTTTCTATATTTCCTGTGTTTTCACCTTTATCCTCAGGACAGCACTATGAGAAGGGCTTGTTATCAATCCTCCTGTATGGATCGGGATGCTGAAGCAATAGAGAAATGAAGTTATTGGCTAAGGTCACCACCTGCAAGGAGCTGTAGAGCCAGAATTTGAGCACAGGTAGGCAGACTGGTCAGAGGAGCCTGCTCTGCATTGTCCCTTAGCTCCTTCTGGGCCCACAGCAGAACATATGTGGCAGCAGTCTCCTCGCCCAGGGAATGGGCAGCCCTCCCAGCTCCAGACCCTGCACTTCCCAAAGAAGATCCAGTCTGCCTTCCCATGGCCTAGGCTCCCTGTCTCTGCAGGTGTGGGAGGATGGCTTGCTAAGGGTTCTGTAGAAGGTGGCAGGAGTGGGTCTTGAAGAGTTAGAAAAACTGGAGAGCCAGTACAGGCAAGTGAGACAACAGGGAAAAATAGGCCAGCAGGCCTTGAGTCGAACAGTTCTCAGCAGTGAAGAGAGGCTGAATCCGGGAGGGTTCCCAGCAGCCTGGCCTCTGCAGTCTGAGAAACCAGATTTTCACCTCCAGCTCTTGCTGGAGTGGGAGAACACACCATATTTAATCCTTCTAAATTGGACATGAATTATTCAAAGACATTTAAAAAGAAGAAGAAGAAAACCTCTCTCCTGGTAAATATGACTCTTATGGACGCTAATATCTGATGATTAACAAGGGGCAAAATGAGGCATTTGGCACAGGGCAAGAGCAATAAGTGAAACGTTTCCACTGAGACAGATCCTGCCTGACTCAGCCTCAGGGCACCAAGAACCAGGCACCTCTCTGGATTGCTGCCCATCTGACAGCCAGAGATGGCTCCCAAATGAAGTTTGCTCATGGAGGTCTTCTACCAGGGACAAACCTTTGCATGGGTGAGCAGAAGCCTGCAGCATACATATGATTTAAGAGTCATCATGATGTACTGCTGGTCTCAACTATGCCTCCACAATCAAAGTTTCCATGATTGGAATTCCCCCGTAGGCACCACAAGGGTTGAGGACATTGTCTCAAGAAGTCCCATAAAAGGGTACTCACTTGGGACACCAGAGAAAAGGGTTGTCCTGGGCCATTCCTTTAGGAAGTTCCCAGACTCATGGTTTTTAGAAATCCTGCATCAGAATACTAATGGGTAGCACTTACTAAGTGTCTGCTAAGTGCCATGTCTTTTAGCCATATTACCTAACTTAATCTTCACTGTAATATAAGACAACCGGTAATGTTACCCCCATCTCACAGATGAAGAAACCGAGGCACAGGGAGGTTAGATAACTTCCCCAAGATCATGTAATTAATTTGTAGGTGCCAGAGGAGGGATTTGAACCCAGGGAGCCTTGTGCCAAAGCCCACTCTGCTCTACTTCCTCTAATCATACAGGATAGTATTAAAGTGGAAACTCTAGGGCGGGACCAAGGAGTCTGCATTTGAATAAGCTACACAGGTCACTTTTATGCATTCAAAGTTTAGAAAATCAGAATATTGTGTGCCTTAAAAAAAACAGCTGCTTCTTTGGAACTAACTCTGTTATTTAGCTTATCTCACCATGTAGACTTTGCACTCCTTGGAGAAGCAATGTTTTCATTCTTAACACTTGCCTCCCCGACCCTCCAGCCTCCTTAGCACAGTTCCAGGTGTGGAACTCAGGCAATACTTATTAGTCCGGGGAGAAAGCTCTGAACACAAAGTCTGAAAATCAAAACTTGTATTCCGGCTCTGTTATTTAATTTGCCTAGGCAGGTCTCTGCAACAGATTTAGGCTCAGCATTCCCATATGTTCAATGGAAACAATGTCAAAAAGAGATTTTAAAATACTAATTTTTGGCTGGATGTGGTGGCTCATGCTAGTAATCCCATTACTAGCATGGATTACTTTGGGAGGCCAAGGTGGGTGAATCACTGGAGGTCAAGAGTTAGAGACCAGCCTGGCCAACATGGTGAAACCCCGTTTCTACTAAAAATACAAAAGTTACAAAAATTAGCCAGGCGTGATGGCACATGCCTGTAGTCCCAGCTACTCAGGAGGCTGAGGCCAGGAAATTGCTTGAACCTAGGAGGCAGAGGTTGCAGTGAGCCGAGATGGCGCCACTGCACTCCAGCCTGAGTGACAGAGTGATAATTAAAATAAAATAAAAATAATAAATAAAATACTAATTTTAAAAAAACAACTATCTTGTATTAGTTGCTTATTCTGTGATGGGTTCTACACCAGGACCTTTGGCATACATTGACTCTGATCCACAGGGATCTTCAAGGTAAGTTTTATTATTCTCATGTTACAGATAAAGAAACAGGATTTCAGAGAGATTGGGTTGTTTGGATAAGCCTGCACAGCCAGCAATGATGGGAAAAGCCTTCTTACCCAGGTCCCTTTGATTCCACATCACACGCTCTTTCCCCGACACCACCCAGTGTGATCAGCCTTTTCTCTATCCCAGGGACATAATGAGAGTCAAATGAGATCACAGACATATCAGTCAGGTTGGGCTGGGCTACGCTGTGATTTAAAAACAGCTCCAAATCTCAGTGGCTCAAAACAGCAAACATTTATTTCTTGCTCTCACTACGTATCTATCAGGAGTCAGCAGGGTGTTTCTGTGCAGCACAATCACTCAGGGACCTAGATGGAGCAGCCTCCATCCTGAGTGTTGCTCAAGAGAAGTAGGGCCAAATATTACAGGCACATTGAAAGCTTCTGTGTAGTACAATGAGCTGTACATCACATCTACTCATATTCCATTGACCAAAAGAAGTCTTGGCCAAGCCCAGAGTCAATGGGATGGGAAAGCATGGCAAAGGCAGAAAGGAAACAATAATTGTGAGCAAATATTTAATCTACATAGAAGACCATGGATGTACAGAAGGCTTTGGAAGGTACTCAAGTGAAACAGCCTGAAGTATGCTTTCTCCCATGGAGGCATGGTCGTGGGCCCCATGGCTCCAAGCTGAGCCTCCACATGCTGCAAATCTATGGATATCTCCCCTGTTACCAGGAATCTAATTATTACTCTGCTTTCTGCTCAATTATTAAAGACAAGGCAGTGAAGAGCCATGGAAGAGGAGAAAAGTCTGTTTTGCAGCAATGACAAACCATATTTCATATGCATAAAGGGGAGAAATAAAAGAGCATTGCTTTTACTCTTATAATTGCAATTTCCTGCTCGTTTCCTTTTCAAGTTAGTGGATCTAATTGTTTGGTAATAAAATATCTGCATAATATATTAGAGGCAGAGAACAGACGGGCTTAAGGGACAGTTGCCAAGAACAGGAGGGAGAGAAAAGATTGAACAGAATCAGAGTGTTCAAAGCTTGTGGGGTTTTCGTAAAATGTATACCAGGTTATTCCTGCCACTCTCCCTGCCTGACTCTTAATGGAAGCAAATGAATGGTCCAGACAAATCAGTAATCTTGACCTAGCTTAAAATTCATGTCGGTACCAGGTTCAGAACAGAAAAGGAGACAGAAAGTGCAAGAGACAGAGTGCACAAGAGAGAGAGTTCAGTAGGAAAAAATGACTGTGGTGGAGAACAACAGTTTTGAGATCATGCTTGGATTGGATACCAGCTCCACCACCCATTGGCTGTGCCACCTTGAGAAGATCATTAACCTGCCTGAGCCTCCATTCGTTCATTTGTGAAGTAGGAATAAAAAGATACTCCATCTCAAGAGTTGGTGCTCCATAAAGAGTAGCTATTCATATTATTAGAAAATTAGAATAGGTGGTTGAAGCCCTGCAGAGGGGATGTGATGGGCTGCAGGGGTCACCTTTGGCAAAATATCAAAACTGGGGAAAATGTTCTTTGTTGCCTTCAGTTCAACCATTAGCTGCCCTTTCCTCCATCTTGGTGCCCTGCTCCCCTACCTGCCCCATTTTTTCAAGGCCTAGCCCACTATCCTCAGGTCAATGTTGTCTGATGTTTACCATGGTATTAATGACTACCAAGGTGCTACCTGATAAAGAAATCCTGAAGGCGGCCATTGTGGAGGAATGAACAGCTCCTGGACTGGGGATGTGCTGCCGCCTCCTGCAATACACTGTAGAAGCAGCCACTGTCATTAATGCCTGCCCTAATTGAGTGGTTGGACCCCATAGGTGAGCCCTAAATTGGGAGCCATGGGAGGTTAGAAATTAAACAGTAGATTCAGTCTGTAACATCAGAAGCCTCTCAGACTGGTGGCAGGAGAGGCAGCTAAGTCTAGTGTGGAGGTTCTGAGCTCCCTGGGAAGTCACCCTACTGTCAGTGTGAGTTCAGGGACTTGGGGATCCTCCACTCCAAGGGAGAGCCCCTCCAGCTGCTCACAGGGGCTCCCAACCTTGACATAAGAAGTGATTTCCTTATTCAGACAATGGTGAATCAGATGCCCCATGCAAAGTATCCTCCATGCACCCTGGAATTTCACTGGCTGATTCTAAGGGGAGGGAGACCACCAGCACCATTGTAAGGAAGGTCACAGTGAGGGGAAGCAGAAGGCAGAATGCTGGGGAAGAACTTCTGGGTTCATCCCTGAATGCACCCCAGGGAAGGTGAGCCATGCCAGAAAAGAGGTCACAGGAAGTTGTTCCACAAAACCAGGAATGGAGAAATTGACCCTCAGTTCCAACAAAAGAAACTTAGTATGCATATAAAGAAGAACCTTCTGGCAAGGTACTGCTCAGTCACTATCCCCAAAGCCACCTGAATGCAAAATGCCCCTCGTGGAGGCTTGGTGAGAGTTTTAAAACAGAGATAGCAATTTGCCTCCAGAGGGAGAGAGGCTGTAAAACAAATTCCCCAAGGGAGACATCAAGCCAATATGTGCAAAATGGATAGGAAGGTGGGGAGAAAAGCCCAGAAAACAAAGGTCCTCAAGGGGCATCTCTGTCTTGTTAGGAGCACCCTCACAGTCTTGGCCTTTTCTTCCCCAACAAAGCCTCCTGGACCCCATCTTTGTCAGAGTCAAAGCCAGAGGTACCTTGCATCAGCATGACCCCAGAAGTTCCTTCTCAAGTTCCCATTCAATCAACCCACAAATCCCTAGGGAAGACTTACTTTGTTCCAGGAAGTGTGCTAGATACTTACCAAGCATAGCATAAAAATTCTCAGAGTGCTGGACTCCTCCAATGTAGGGGATGGTGACTCAGAGGCCCTGTCAGACTTGCCAGCACTCAATACAATCAGTACCTGTGCATTGTGAGAGCCCAGAGGCCATGACTGAGCCTAGAAGAGAAACCAGCACTTGGAGAAGTGGTGAAGTCCAGGTGAGACACAGTTGGTTGCAATCCTCTTGAAAAATTTTCCTGGATAATGACAGGAAGAAGGCATCTCTTCTTTTGCTGAGTTGAACCAGGTACTCTCTGTTCTCACATTCAGATATACTGTCCTCAGCAGTGAGTATAGCTATTTGCTGTGTGTCTCTCATCTCTTGAGCTACCTGGGAGACTTTAACTGTCTCTCACAATGCCTGGAATAGAGTCTTGAGCAAAGTGGTGCATGACGTGTGTGTGAGGGAGGGGAGGGGGGAGAGAGAATATATGTATATATTGAATGAACAATGATCAATGGGACATCCAAGTGCTTCTGCAAAATGAATATTGTTGATCTCAGTTTACCTCTTCTCCCATGTACTGAGTATCTAAGGAGGCTTCTGGAATTGGCCAAAAATGCACGTAGGCCGATAAGACAAGGTTCACATGCACGTGGTGCTTAATATAAGTGCTGTATTTCATCATCTTCAGCTCCTCACTCTAGGAGTTGCCTGGACCCTGGATGCATTTTCTCAGCCAGTCATTTCCAGCCAGAAGAATCCTTGAAGCTTGGCTCATCATCTCAGAGTGTTTGAATCTTGAATTTCAAGTAGGAAAGCAGTAGACTGCAACAAGACTAAAACTGAAAGCTTTGAACACACACTTCTGACTCCATCTCATTTCCCCCTTCCTACCACCCGCCCAAACCCTAACCTGAACCACAGAACTCATTGTCTGTATAACTGGGACTTGGGGCTACTTGACTTGTAACATCTTCTTTATAGATTTTAAATCTTTTCCTGTTTTTTTAAGCCCCTCCTGTAGACTGTAAGGCCCTTGTAAAAGAGAAACATGTGCAGCAAGACAGAATGAGACACATCCTGCTTCATTTCAACATCACTTCTTTATGCAGAATTTACAAAGGAAAACAAATGAACATAGTTTCTCAATTTTTGGACCTCCTCAGCTCAGTCAGGTATTTAGGGAGAGTAGAAATACAGCATATAGATTTCCCCAGGCCTAAGGAGGGATTATCCAATGGGACCACTTGCAGAAATTGGAAATGTATTTCTATACTTCAAAGACACAGAGGAACGCCCCCTGACACATCTGTGAAGGTCAAGGAGACTGGAACCTGATCTGACCCCTTCCTGAAAATCTACAGGGTGAAGGGGGAATTGACCAACTGCCCCACTGGTGAGGGCTGCTTCACCAGGATTGGCTTTCACTTCTAGAATAGAGGAAGAAATGCATGAATGTTTCTCATGAACTGGATGTGGATCAGATTGGGAGAAGCTGCCTGGGGCCTTCTTGGGTCCTAACTAATTGAGCTGCCTGGAGGAAGGCAGGACATCAGCAGAAAGAAGCTGGAGTTATACCATCAGATGCCCATGGCAAAGGAAGATGTCACAAGTGTCTACCTGAATTAGGTGGATTAGGGAATCACTCACTGGTCACAAAAACCTTAGGTCACAAGATCCAGCAGGAAACCTCTTAAGATCCCATGAAAGTGCTTTCAAGAGAATGAAATCAACTCTATCCCTTGGCCACTACCAGAGACCATGATGCCCTTAGCAAAGCAGATACTATCTCATCTGCTCACTTCTCCTCCTTCCCATGCCTCCACCCTTGTGAGATTCACTACAGCAGCTGGTGACCAAGTCGAGGAGAAGGTGAGCCAAGAATCAGGAAACAGGAGAGCGCCAAAGAACCATCCCCCATCTCCCACCCCAGACTTCCAGCCCGAAGCAGTCCAAGTCAGGGCAGGAAAGAAAATGTAATGTTAATTCCAATTCAGAGTTTTGATCATCACATGAGACTAGATATACTATTTATTAGCTCTAGCCTGTGTTTGTGGGCTATGATAATGGCCATAGGTCTCTCTAGTGTCTACAAATGAGCTGAAAAGCCTGGAGACCTGCCAAGTTTCTTGTTGAGCATAGGGAAAATTATTCCCACTAAACAAGTTTAAACAAATGTCAGGAAACAAAAATAAAGTTGCATTTTGATGATGTCTAAATCACTCACATTCATAGTTCCATGGAACAATGCCATGTTTCAAAGTTCTGGACAAAAGTCCAGATTTTTAAAAAAATAAAAATCATAGTCCTAATAGTAGGAGAAATTAGGCACCAAAGAACAAATTTAATAGGGAAAACTCAGGAAATGGTCACCAAGGCCCATTCCAAGCCTCCAATCCACCCAAGAGACCACAACACCCATCTCATGTGCAGTCAGAGAGGAGTGGCACGGACAGAGACCAAAATTTGCTGTATCATTTAAAGAGATGAACAAACAAGCCAAGATGTGTGTTGACTAGGAAAGTTTACAAAAGACAAACAAACAAATACACAAACAAAAAATCCTCTACTTTAAATACATAAAAAATGTAAAATCTCTCCATGTTCCTTAATCCAACTGAATCCTTTTGGTGCCAGCAACTCATTAAAGGCTTTAACAGGCCGCTTAAGAGTTACAAACATGGTATCTCTAAGTACCAGAGTCTCCTTGGAAGGTTATCTGAATGCAAGGCTCCACTGAATAACATGGTCCTTCTGAAAAGTCAGGAAAGATTATGCCAAACTAATAAGAATTATAAAGTGTCCAGGAAGAATATGGTGTTCAGATATTTGTACCTGCTGATCACCATTCAAATCACTCCAAAGTTGCTCTGCCCCAGCAACGGGGTTCATAATTTTCAAACCCTGAGGGTGGATGGCAACAGAAAAGAATGCTCATGGTCTATAGTGGGAAACTTCTTGTCCAGCAGGCTCTGGAAAAGTGAAAAAGTGAATTACAATGAGAAGCATGTTGATGGAAGCAGGAAGTTAGAGCCTGGGAGTTGCCCAAACGCTGGCTCCCCAAGCCTACTGCGGTGAGTGCCACACAGCTGCTCCCTCATGCTAGACTGTTCTTGGAAACACTGCCCCTCCAGCCACAGGGTCTCTCCAGGATCACTGCTTTCAAAGCCCCAGGCAGTCCTCTCAGCTCTCCTATTTGCATCTCAGTTTACCATTCCAAGGATCTCAGCTTGCTTAAGTTTATCTAAAAGGCTTGCATAAAGAATATTTTCTGGGCCAGGTAAGGTGGCTCAAGCCTGTAATCCCAGCACATTGGGAAGCCGAGGCAGGCAGATCACCTGAGGTCAGGAGTTTGAGACCAGCCTGGCCAACATGGTGAAACCCCATCTCTACTAAAAATACAAAAATTAGCCAGGCTTGGTGGCAGTTGCCTATAATCCCAGCTACTAGGGAGGCTAAGGCAGAAGAATTGCTTGAATCGGGGAGGCGGAGGTTGCAGTGAGCCGAGATCATGCATGCACAATCATGCACTTCAGCCGGGGAGACAAGAGAAAACTCCTTCTCAAAAAAAAAAAAAAAATACACACACACACACACACACACACACACACACACACACACACACACAGATATATACATATATATGAAAGAAAGAAAATATATATTTTATATATATTTTCTTTCTTTCTCTCTCTCTCTCTCTCTCTCTCTGTATATATATACATATATATATTTTTTTCTTTTTTCTCTGATAAAAACCATTCTGCCTCAATTTGCAAAAGGGGAAGGAAATCTTCAAAGACCAAACCAAGAAACCAACCTAAGAAGGAGGCTGGCTTGCCAGCATTGTCTGTCAAAATGTCTGCTTTAATGCTACCACCAATAGCAAAGCAGGCCATTATTAAATAATTATTTTTAAGTTTTCTTTTTACCCTTTTTGACATGAAGTCAGTTAATACAGTTGTCTCTCCTTATTCTTAGCATTAATTTCAAATAATCCTTCCTCAGATGCCAAATCCTCCTCACCACCCCACACAACATTTCCTTTACACACAAGAAAATGTCATTCACACACCCAAGGGATTTGTGGAGTAAGTCACTATAACTCAATTTCCTTGAAAATCATGTGGGAGAAAAGGGGGGAAAAAAAGAAAAGGAAAATGAACAGGAGAAAAAATGAAAGTCTAGCTAACCTGGCAACTTGAAAGAGGAATATAATCAATTGGCTCAGAATTTGAGGGAATCAGGGGCTCTATAACTAAAGGCAAATAGACCCTGAGTAGAAAAATCGTGTGGGAGGCGATAGAGAAGTGGAGAGAGGAAGGAAGAGATTTCTTTGGTACTTACCTGTATGGCATCGACTTCAAGTCGTCTTTAAGTGGAACTGACGGTATTACAAACACAATAAGCACTTCTAGACAAACTGGAATAGCAATCACTTCGGGAGCTGGGAAGCATTCACAATTTTGCTGCTGTCAACGCTTTCAGTAGCTTTAATTTTCAGTGGTAAGCACAACTTCTATATAGTGTTGTCAAACCCGCAATGAAGTTATGTCATTGAATATTAAAGGCCCAGCCCGCGGAATGCCAACACACAGATTTGAATTTCATGCTTGCTCCTAAACATCAAGACAAATATGTCTAATTTCATAAAAACCTGGCCAGCCCCAGGGAGGCTGACAATCATATCTATTGTTACCCAAGTTTACTAGAATAAAACCTGGCCCTGCTCAGTGTGTGAGGCCAAAAGGAAGCAGGGAGAAGAGGAGAGAGAGAACCAAGGACTATCAGCATAGTGAAAACTGGCTGACTTTGTACAGCACTTGTTAGACATGCAGGTTCCTGGGGCACTCAGTGCCAGTGAGTCTCATCCGGCAGGAATGGATCCATGTTTAATGATCAGCTTTAGGAAATTGTATGGCTAGGTCATGGAATGGATGTTGGGAAGCTTGCAGGAGATGGGAAGTATGACTGGAAGGGAGAAGGAAGCATATGGGCCCTCCATTACATTCCAAGGCATTTGGACTCCATCCTGAAGGCAGTAGCAATCCCAGTAGGATTTTAAGCATGGGTGAGGTCATACTTGTTTCTTAGAAAGATTACTTTGGCTTCAAAGTAAAAATTGGATCAAGGCAAGGAAAGCTGAAAACAAATAGAACAGTTAAGACTCAAACCCCACATGAGGCTCTGAGATGGGCAGATCTGAAGAAAACCAAAACTAGGCAGCTCTGAGAGGCAATCAGAAGATTAGGATCCTTGGTGCTGGATTAGAGGTGGGATGAGGAGGAAGGAGCAGTCCGGGGTGACATCTAGGTTTCTTGCTTGGACAATTGAATGGATAACAGTTGATGTTTATCAAGTGCTAGCTGTGTGCTAGGTTCTGTCCCAATGTGGAGGCACAGCAAGGTATGATAAGTTGCCCAATTAAGAAGTGGCAAATGGAAGATTCAAAAGCTCAAACCCAGGTCAACAAGGTCTAGAGCTCACACTTCTAACCACTGCATCATGTTGATGGCAGAGCTTGCTCCATGATGGGGAATGATAGCCAGACTGGGATTAGGAGTTGAGACAGGAAAGGAGAAGAACAGAGACAGAAAGAAGGATGTGGTGAATGGGCACAGAGAAAGAAGGAGACTACAGAGAAAGTGGTGTCCTAGAGATCACAAGAGGAAAGATGTTTACTAAGATCCTATAGGAGGAGGTTTATGCTCATTTATTGCAGAAAGCAAGATAAGAACTGAAAAAGTCCTATGACTTCTACCTGGAAGCCATGGAGAATTCACCTGTATTTCCAAGAATTGGTAAGGGAAGGCTGCAAGGACTTAGGTGAATAGGAAGTGATGAGAGGGGTGATAATTCTCAGCACTAAAGGCAACGTAAAGAAAGATAGGGAGAGTCACAAGGCCTGGGAAGCCACTTCCTCAGTTCCTTAAGTCAGAGAGTCATTACTTCTGGACAGAGCACTGGCATTTGTGCCCTCATCGCTCTTCTCTTTCTCCACATGTCCTCATTTCTTTCCTTCAAGGAGCAGATCAAATCTTGCTGTCTAATGAAATCTCTCATGTTGCACATTGCTCTTCCTGGGTATGACCTTCTATTGCACACAGAGTTTGAGCTGCATCCCACTGGCACCCTGCTTCACATACATTAACCTGTATTATTTTCTATGTCATGAGTAGATATGATACAGCTGCAAGAATAATCATGGTTTAGAGGCCAAAAAGCTTGGTTTTAAATCCAGCTCCAGTAGTATCTGGCAAGTCACTTGGTACCCTCGGTATCAGGCTTCTTTGTTTGTAAAGTAGAGCTCATAATACTAACATTGCAAGGTATTGTGAGAATTAGGAACAATTTACATACAGTCTACTATATGCCACTGTGCCTAACACATATTATGTGCTCAATAAATAAGGATATCATTTTTTCACGATCATTAGTTATATTGTTTTGATGGTATGTGATGTCTTATATCCCCAGCCAGTCTGTGGGTTCCCCAAGGCACTGTTCACACATTCTCATTTCAGCCCCCACCCCCATTGCCTCAAGCCCACACCAGTGTGCCCTCATTGGCAGATGACCTTCATTCCCATCCCTGGAAGTGATGTGGTAAAGTCCCCTAATCAAACCGTACACCAGAAAAGGGTAAGGACAGAAACCTTGGGTGACATAATAGGAAGAGTCCCCCATACCTATGGCCAAATCTCACCCCTACCTTCAGAGAGAACTTCTCATTGATGAGGCTCCAGCAGGAAATGCAAGGCAACCAAGCTGGGGTTTTGAAAAGAATTTAATGATGGGATTAAATGCAAATTTAAGGAAGCCAACAAGAGATGTCAAGGCACCCAAATATTTGTATAGCAGGGGCTGTTGCCACCCTTACTTAGCCTGAAAGGGCAAGGGTGGGAGGAAAGATGTTACCAGAACCCAGTGAGAGCCAGAACCCTAGAAGAGGGCCCAGCTGTTAGTAGCTGCAGGTATAGAGTAATGGTCATACCAGAACTGCTGTCCAAAGCGGGAGAGCAGGGAAGAAACACCTTGACCTCGCTCTCCTTCCTGCAGCTCCAGCATCCTGCTGGTGTCTCACTGTGGTTGAAGCCAACAGGGAGTTAGACAGAGGACTGCAAGGGAGCCTGGGGGGATGTAGGATGCAAGGGTCAGCATCCTAAGGCAGAGAGCAGGATAGTAAAGAGCAGAATAGGACAGTGGTGGAGCAGCAGATGTAGTGTCATCAGCACAATTAGCAAAGACAAAACTGCCAACTGCAGTGGTGTTTGCAACATGCTCGTCAAAGAGAGAATATGCTCAGAAAGGGCTGGACACTTAATTGGCAGGAGGTAGTTGGTATCATTAAGTATTTGCTCAGTAGTTGTTGGGGACACACTAGGAAAACCAAACACAGCCCATTCAGGCAGATTCAGATCAGTGCCACCAAGATGTGGGGATTTCTTGACCCAGCATCTAACAACAAATTAAGGGAAGATTGTGAAACGCTCTTAGCCAGTCTTGGTCTCATATCCAGCAATCACCATCACATGGCAATAAAATAAACAGAAGTAAACTGAGGCCTGGCGCAGAGAAGAGAAGCAGCCCTCAATGTGGCAGGCCTGAGACAATGAAACATGAGCAAGCAGGTATTAGTTAAAAGGAATGTTGGTGTAGGTGGTCCACCCTGGGGTCACTGGAAGCACGACACAGGCAGCAGCCAGAGGCTCTGATGGCATTTGGAGAGACTTTCTGATGTAGCTCACAGACCAGCGGTTATTTTCTTTTTGGAAGAGAAAGCAGTCTGGGAAATAAGCTATGATGCTCAGGGGATTAACGGTGCAGCCCCTGCCGGGAGCAGGTGGTAGCTCAGCGGGCTGAAGAGGCTGTAGCCCCATATCCCTTCCCCACAACAACTGTGAGTTTTATTAAGAGATGCTCAGATTCGATGAGACTGGGGATTATGTGGAACTTATCTTACCACCCATTCGACTCTGTTGATTAAGTTTCTTTCTCTAAGACTTTGTGATGTGAGTGCTTGGGAAGCCAGGCCCTAAAAACCCCATCCCTGTGGTGGCAGGGCCACAGGGACTCTAAGCACTGTTTCCACTTAGGCCCTGTCCCCATAAAGTTCTCCATAAAGGTGACACATAGGAGGAGGATAATAATGGTACCAGCCCCTTCTCTCTTTTTAGTTGTTTTGCGTCATAATACATGAAAAAGTTCTCTGAAAAGGCAAAAATAAGGGCCAAGAAATGTATCTATGTATGCAAATGAGATGTAAACCTAAAGTTTCCTCTTTAGATTATATGTATTCATAACACACATAGGTATGTATTACACATATATATCACCACAAAAGTATTTATATACATGTATGTAGCTAAAAACACCTCCCCTATTGGCACCCTGTTCTAAGCACTATTATCTCTCTCATGAACTATTATTCTCACTCCTGATTTTCCAGCTTACACCTTTGCTTCCTATAATCAATTTCAAACACAGGTCATGTCTCACACATGTCCATCACCCTTAAATGGCTTCCCATTTTACTCACAGGAACAACCAAAGTCCTCCAATGGCCTACAAGCCCTCCTGATGTGGCCCCCATCACCCCTCTGAATTCATCATCCCTGGCTCACTCTATCTCACTCCAGCCATAATGGACTCCTTGTTAGTCTTCAAACATGCCACACCTTAGGATTTAGCAGAAGTTATTCCCACTTCCTGGATGCTCTTCCTACAAATACCTGCATGGTTAACTGTCTCCTCTACTTCTTTTTCAATGTCACTTCAATGAAGTCTGCCTTGACCACCCACTTTAAAATTCTTGCACCCCAATCCTCACAGTCACTATATATTTTACCCTGCTCTATTTTTATGTTCACAATGCACAACATTCTATCACACTATTTAGTTTCTTTGTTATATCTGTTGTTTGTTATCTGTCTCCTTCTCTAGAATGTAAGCTCCACAAGGACAATGACTCACTCACGCATCACTCACAAGTGCTCAGCACAGTGCCTAGGATCATAAGGCACTCAATAGGTATTTGTTGAATGAATAAACAAATGAATGAATGAATGATCCAGTGCATACCAGGCTTTTCATTGCAGATCTTTATTCTTGCAATATGCTCAGCATAAATCTTGTCACAGATTAATGCTTCTTAAGGGCTAATGATGTTATTTATTCAACAGACACTGTTGAGAGCCTATTTTACCCAAAATATCATGGGAGACACTAAGAAATATAAGAAACCCAAGCTTCTTTCAAAACGTTATTATCTAATTAGGGATGTGTTCCCTAATATCTGGTTCTTTCCTCTTTCCAGATACCTGGAAATTTTTCAACTGCTGGTAAGTGGGTAGGGTTGTGTGATTAATTGGACAATGAAACGTGAGCAGGAATGGTAAGTGTCACATCCAGGATGGGTGAGTGAAACGCACAATCTGTCCAGTGATGGTGATCAAAGAGGCCCTGTGCTCCAAGGTACAGTTCCTTGATGGAAAAGACTATTTGGCTTAGATCCTTGAGTCACCACATGTAAGTCAATTGCTTGGAAAATTATCTAGACCTGCAACTGACTTCATGTGTACAGAGTATAAAGCTTTGTGGTGTTGGGCCACTGACATTTGGGAATCTTTTTTTCCTTCATAAAGCAGCCTATCCTGGTGAGTACAGAGGCCAGGGGTGGCAAGGAATGGGGAGAGGTGGCAGCAGGGAGCAGGGGCACTATGAAACTGATAAGAATGATGAGAACTGAATGAACAGCTTTCATGAAGCTGGATGTAAAAGGTGGCTAGTAAGAGATATAATCATTGAGGTATTCATTAAAAGGCAGGAATGTTAAAGAACTGTTGGGTAGACTGGATGTAAAAACCGAGGGTGTTATAAGAATGAGCAGGATTTAGATATGCAGAAAAAAAGGGAACATTGCAGTTTAAACAAATGGCTTCAAGGAAAGCATAATGATGATGATCATGAGGAGGTGGAGGAGGAGGAGCTATTGAGGGAAATGCTCAGTCAGAATTGAAGCCAGCTGAGACTGTAGGGACAGGCTGCTCAATTCACCCATCAGTGAGGCCTGACTTACAGAAGCATCAGCATTGGGACAGGCCCCAAACAAGGAGAAGGACATTTCACAGGAGCAAATGTTACTTAAAATTCGATTTACTCTTTTTTGTTGATTTAGGGTGGCTATTTAATTAGTTTTTAGCATTGCACATTGTTTATGGTCATTGTTTCAATAGAAGTTAAAAGTAAGAAACTTTACCATGCCCTTGATTTGTAGACAAAATAACTGTTCCAGATTTCTCTCTTGTCCCCTTGCCACATTTCTGATTTAACAGTGTCTCTGACCTGGTGAATTGCTTCTAAATCATATCACCAGGTTCCCCGAGCTTCTGTTGTGTGGAACTTCTCCCATAAGACAACATCACTAAAGCTGAGAAAACACATCTTCTCTCGTGTCTCAAGTGATAGGTTGTCTGATAACAAATGCAATAGGCCAAACGAACATTTGTGTTCTGAAAATGGCATTCCTCAATGTGGAAAATTCCACAAAATTTGTAGCTTAAGCTGAGAAGTTCACTTTGAAGTCCGCCAAGACTGACCCCTGAGCAAGCCTAGGACTTGCCCATGAACCAAACCAGGCTTGGAAAAGGCTCCAGGAAAGGCCACTTCTTGTCAGTTGTGGATCTCTAATTAATAAATACAAGGTATTCAAATTTGAACCATGTACAAAACTCTGTGCTAAGAGTTATAGGGGTAGGAGAGCAGACCAGGATCTGGCCCACACCCCTCCCAGCTCTATTTGAGTACACATAATCAGTTCTCGAGGAAAGGAGGCTAACAGGGTGTAACAGCAGCCATGGCGTTCAGGCTCCCTTCCTGTCTGCCACCAGCCTCACAGCCTGCTTGCCCAAGCACGTTTTGTGAGCCAAAAAGAGGAACAACCTCAGGAAGAACTTCCTGAGAGAATTCAAAGCACAGACAACTGATAGAAAGTCAAGATTACCTAAAGTTCTAAAAATGAGACAAGGATGAGCTTGATACAAACTTAGCATATGAAGGAATGGTCTATTTCAGGAATATTCCTATTTGTGGGAATTGCTATAAGTTGTTAGAGGATGTGCTCTTTGAAAAAGAGGCTTTCCTCAAAGCCCACCAGGATTTCTCCCTTTCAGAGCTCCTATCCTTCCAATCATTCCTAACTTCTTCTCCTATACTAATGTGGACTCTCTGCCCTTCCAGGTCAGTCTCTCACTACGTCAAATCTGTATACACACACATACACACACGAAGAGAGAGAGAGTGTGTGTGGAAACATAGTGCAGTGGTTAAGAGCTTGGATAGGGATGGGTGTGGTATTCATGCCTGTAATCCCAGTGCTGGGAGACCAAGACAGGAGGATCACTTGAGCCCAGGAGTTTGAGGTTACGGTAAGCTATGATCACACCATTGTACTCCATCCAGAGTGCAAGACCCTGTCTCTGAAAAAAGAGAGAGAAAGAGAGCTTGGATGGTGGAGCCAGACTGCCTGGCTCAAACCTGAGCTTTATCACTCTTTAGATATGTGACCGTAACACCAACTTACTCAGTCTCCCTTTACCTTGGTGTCCTCATCTATAAAATGGGGTTAATGACGGTATTTACCTCCTACGGCCCTTCTGGGAATTACATGGAGTGATATGTATGAAACACTTTGAACAGTGCCTGACCTATGCCTGTGTCATCTGTTGTTATTGTTGTTGTTGTTCTGTGTGCATTTCAATTTAATAGGCAGATGGGAGAGCCTTTGCCACATGCTAGGATATGGACTATAAGATAACTATTGTGCATTTCCCTCTCCCACTCTTTTGACTCAAAGACTGAGGCTTCCCACTGTGACCTGTGGTTCCTGCAATGTAGAAAACAGGGGTTGACAGGTGCTCTCCTCTGTTCTCCGAGCTACTATTTCTTAAACAGTCAAGAAACACCTCTCAAAATGGCTTGACTTGTTACAGCAGCTTTGGGCTTCCAATCTGCCACCGCTCATGTCTAGAGGAAGGACAACAAGCAGCACAATGGGTCCTCAGCTATGCTCAGGATAGAAGGGGGAAGTGCCACCTGCCATTCTGTCTGGCATCCTTTATGAGAAACCCACGCACTGCCCTCTTCATCTTAGCCCACCGTGAAACCTTTAGTCTCTGTCCTCTTTCCCTACACACTCTCCTACCCCAGGACACTGTGGGGCATTGTATAAAAATACAATAGTTCCTAAATGGTTCAATAACAGCATCCCATCTGTGTTCACATTTAAAACAATTCACAATTCCAGCCAATAGCTAGACTGTAGCAGCAGGTAGGGCTGGGGAGGGAGCTTTCCTGAGTCATTCTCCCCCATTGCTAGGGCTCACAATTCAAAGAACGGCAGTATTAGTGGTAGCTGGGCAGTCAAGAAATGCTTCTCGAAGGCCAAAGGACTTTAGCAGATGCTTGAGCAATGGTTCATAACAATACGTAAGGCTTGGTCAGAAACGGTCAAAGTGTGCCAGACGTGGGAATTGGCAAAGACAAAGGTGCAACAGAAATTGATGTGCACTTGCACAGGATGGTGATACAATTATGACAACAGGCAAATGAGTGTGCAGGGGCATAAATATACACAGATGTATTTATTTATATTAGAGGACATTTCACACTACACAATACATCAGCTTATGTTACCTCATTTGATTTTCACAGTTGCTCTGTTGGATTGGCAAGGTGTGATATGATTCTTCATGTCACAGGGAGGAAATTGAAGCTCAGAGAGAGAAGCAACTTGTCTAGTTCTTAAAATCAGCAAGTACGGAACTTGGATGTCAACCCACAAGTTCTAATTCTAGGTTCAGTGCATTTTTCCAGATGCCCTCTCTCCTTTCCTTCTCCCCTCTCCCCTCCACTCCTCTCCTCTTTTTTCCTTCTGTCCCTCCCATTTGTTTCTCTCTTTCTCCTCCCCACCTCTTAGCAGTCCTGTGCTTGGACAAAGGTTTTGCAGGTAAGTCAGGCTCCTAGAATAAGGCTCCTTTGTGCCAGATGAGCTCATATCTCCTTGCAAGTCTCTCTTATAAGGAATGAGTCCCAGTGGTTAGAGTGCTAGCCTGTCCATGTGTGCCATCTCCAGCCTGCTGCAGGGCTGGAGCTCCCATTTGTATGTTCTCTTACCACTGGGGAGTCGAGTGTACCTGAGGCAGAGGGGAGTCCTTCTCAAGAGACTCATCTGCTCAATCATGCCGCACCAGGGACATAATATCCCAGTGTGGGAATAAGAAAAAGAACAAGAGAAAAGGGGCCTGGGGAAATAACCAGCCTTAAGAGAAAAAAAAATGCCAGTATGGCTGGCTGGATTGCTTATATTGATGGAGCTAAATGCACTTAGGGGGCTATAATGATAAACAAAAGTAAATAGAAAAAGAATTGAATCGCCAAGGAGGAAAATGTCATGCTGCATATGTAAATGTCACTATCAGATAGTCATTCCTGGCCATCCAACTGGACCAGCAATTGATCACATCTTAGCCCAAGAGACTTGAGAATGTGAAGAAAGATACAACCTGGTCTCTAAGATCACCCCTTTTCAAGTGATTTCTGGAATCTTCTTTGGTTTGGGGACCCCATAGGAATCCTGGATGCAGGTGCAGGTGTCCCACCCCACCACACATACACATACACACACACACACACACACACACACACACAATCACAGATCCCATCTAGACTTGCACTCACCAAGATCCTGTGCCAAAAACTTCTCTTCATATCAGACCCTAGTCTCCTCCAAGATGCTCCACCTGGAAAGACTTTGATCATCTCATCCCAATATGAGTGACTTCCAAGAAAGGAGCTTCCAATGCTTTGTCCTGGGTAACATATGTATGCCCATGCCTTAAGCCAAGGAATAAGACTGCAGGCAAAGCAGTCTTGGAGGGCACACCCCTTATTTTCCCCCAGTGTCCCAGCACAGGGAAGTAGAGAAGTATTAGAAGCTCTATCCTTGACTCAACCTTCAATGGCAGTGCTATGGACAGGGACAGAGGGGTCCTGGACTCCCCAGTTCCCACTCCAATTTGCACTTCAGGAAGCTTAGGGCCTGATGTGATCTCCAGAGTTAGCAGGCAGTAGGGCCATCTGCTAGCAAATAAGAGTCCCAGGAGGCCTTGCTCACCCACACCTCCTTCTACTCCTGGACTCCTGACCCTGGCTCCTGAGAGGCCCCACGTCTGGAGAGAGCTAGGCTTGCCCTTGCTGACTAACCTGTTCTCTTTCACCCTCGCCAGTTCTTACAGGTGAGATCCTTCAGAGCCCCTCTGGGAGTCATTAAAACCCTTTGAATTGGTTTCTACTTCCCACCTTAGGAAAACAGTACCATGCAGTCATTCCTCTGTGATGCAAATTGATTTGTGGTTTCACCCTGAACCTCTCTCAGCATCCAGAAATACCCCGTCTAGGTGTTTAAACAACATTCTTCCTCTCACACTCCTGCCCCATTCTCAACTCAAGCTTTTCCACATTTTCTCCTTACCCCTAAACTTCCCCTCCAAGCTTTTCTGGACTTTTTACCTCTGTACTCTGCGGGAGCTGGTACACAGCAGCAGGAAACATATTTAGGACAGTGGCACTGGGGCCTCTCTGGAAAATGGAATGAGGTTTACC
Organism: Homo sapiens; assembly: GCF_000001405.40. NCBI lineage: Eukaryota > Metazoa > Chordata > Mammalia > Primates > Hominidae > Homo > Homo sapiens. The sequence goes on along the minus strand of NC_000018.10, from coordinate 37,698,390 downwards.
CTGGTGGGAAGAGAAAAAGGGCCTTCCCTCCAAAGGGAACAAGGAACCAAGGTAAGTAAAGCCATTAATGGCAGAAATGACTTTATTGTGAGAAGGACCTAGGGCCACCGGCCTTGCTTAAACCAAACGGTTTGGGTGGGAAGGTGGAAACATGAGATCAGAGAATAAGAATTTTCTAAACACACTGATCCTCAATGATATGGACATTATCTGGTCCTATGTGCTCCGTCTTGGAGCCCTCACCCCATCATGTGATATTCCATAGGGACGAACTTAATGGCTGGAGGCACTTATAGTCAGGAGAACCCCAACACCTAACCAAACACTACTTTGAAGAGTGCCATTCCAGGACATACTCTGCCTTAAGAGTTGTGTGTATATTTAAGTCTTACCTGCAAAGAAACTTTAGCTCTTCTAGGACAAGGACCAGATCTCCTTCGGCATTGCTTTTCCTCCTCGCCACCATTCTCAACCCCAGCACAGGGTTGGATACCCAGTAAGGAAGTTGCATGGGAACCATGGGAAAAGCTGCACTTGTGTACATGAGATCCAGGCTTTAGCCTTGGACCTGTCTAATTATCTTGTGACTTTGGGAAATTCACTAAAATCCTCTGAGCCTTTGCTTGCTCACCTGTAAAACGGGGCTAACTAGACATTTGGGCCACCTTACTTCTTTAATGGAAAACCAGCTTAAAAATACCTTAAACTAATATATGCTACTCAAATTGTATATACTGCAGACCCTGGCATTCACAGATTCTCTTACGCCATCTTTGACTGTTTTCATGAAACCCCAAATCATACGACATAACAGTAGGTTACCCTTTTGCTGGAGTCTGATTTCCATTTAGGGGCTGATATAGTAGGCTGAGGCAGGAGCCTAGAGAGCAAGCCTGGCTGACTGCCCCACACTCATCGATCCCCCAGTGTAGCGGTTCTCCCCTTTGGACAGGCACTGCACCTCTCGCTAGAGATCTGAAGGTGCCGCGTCAGTTCTTATTTGTGCCTCTATACCTTCATAACATATCTAGAATACCTCCAGTTGCCACTTATGCCCACCCTGGACTATCTCATTTTCCTTGGGCTGTTACAGCATCCTTATAACTCATCAGCTTATGTCTGCTTTGTCCCTGATGGACTGCTTTGAACACAGCAACTAATATGATCCTTGAAAATCATAAGACACATCCTGTTGTTCCTTCATTCAAACTCTCCCATGTCTTCCCAGCCTTCCCATCACACCCAGGACCCTCTGAGGGCAGAGACTACTGTGTCGAGGACACAGAGGGCATTGAGTAAATATTTGTAGAATGAGTGAGTGATCATTGTTCTGCATTTATAGAGAGAGGGAACTACACATGACTGTATTTTTCATGCGTTTGAGATTCACAGAGGCCTCAGGATATAATCTCACAGATGTCAAGACTCTCCCACATTACAGTAGCAAATAATCCATACATATTTAATTGTATATGGAAGTAAATTGAACGACACCTAAATCCACATTTCCAGACAATGCCCAGAATCGGTGTACAAATAAATCCATGATGGGGCACTGAAGCATGATGTTGGCCCACGTGCAACCTAAGAGAGGGTGGGGTCAGATGACAGGGTGAGAGGGAGAAGGCCACCGACAGGTAAAGAGAGCCCCCTGAAGCTGCCCGGGGCAGGGCAGTTATAGCTACCCATAAGGAGGGGTGCGGCACCTGGGTGATTTGCTGAGAAAATTCTGTGGAGTATGTTAATTTCTTTGGGACTTCAGAGGCCCCATAACTCTTGGAGATTAATAAGAATCTGGGAAGTATCTGTCTTTGCCGGCCGCTTTCATTTGCGCAGTAATAAAGCTCGCCTTTCTTGTTTAATAAAAACAATGTGGAAACAAATGGTTCTGTGCACAGTGGAACTTTAGAGAAATGAATTCGGCAGCACGGAGGGAAGTGTTTCATCACACTGCCAGCTCCCCAAGTCTAAAACGTAAGCCATGTTTTCTTTCCCCTCCACTCCCACTGCACTCATACACCTCTCCCCATGTTGTGGTGGTGCCTCTGGACTCAGTCCTGGTGCACCAGTCACATGGGCAGAATGGAAAGGGACAGGCAAGTCCACTGCGTCTGAAGGCCCACGCTTGTTCTGTAAACAGAAAGCCGGGGTTTAGCTCCTGAGACCCCAGTAGCTAGAAGTATGTGAGTTGAGGCCCAGTCCTAGACTGGAAATAAATATAATGAGGAGGAACTAGCTTTCGTGTAAAAGAAATCTGAGAAAAGAGACTATGGAACAATTTAGTAGTCTCACTGAGACATGAATCGTTAATGTGTCCCAAGAAGAAACTGGGATTCCATTGCTCACTGGTTCATTCATTATGCTCAGGTGGATGGACAAGGGCAGGCAGACAGTTCCCATCTGACTGCCTCAGCCACTGAGTCCAATGACCAGCTAACCAAGCCAACACTCTGGCTCAAACAGTGTTCCTGATGCCACCCTCCTTCTTTTCTCAATTGGGAACCCTTGAATTTCTAACATAGATAGGGCATAAAAGCAACAGCCTTTGCTGGAAAGTTGTGTTTCCTCTTTGGGGTCCTGTATGACTACCTGGGAAATGGCATTAAGGCTGCTGAAGATCTAAATGACATTTATGATGGGGAGAAAGACTAGTGGAGCACCTCCCCACTGCCGGAAAACTCAGAAAACACAGGATTTATTAACTGCCTACTATGTGCCCTGCCCTGCTGGCCATCATCCCCAGGGGGACACATGAATCACAGTAATGAATTAGAACCTCATTAAATTAGACAAGTAGGGGGTCTGGCCTATCTGCATTAATGAAGATCTGATTTATTAACTATCTTTAAAGAAATACAGTTTTATTACTTTCAAGTGTACGCATTGATTCATATCAAGTGCCAGCAAGCATTGCCAAGTGGAGGTCCTGATGGCCCTGCCTTAACGAAAAGATAAGATTAATTTGTAATTAACGGCATCCATTTGCATGGAAACAATTAATGGGCTAAAGCCCTCATAAAAACAGTGCAATCTATTAACTAGATTAATAATGCCCACCATACAATCTAGGATAACTTATTAGTTTTTTCCAGAAAAGGCAAAGGTCAGATCTAAGGAGCTTGGGTGCCATGCTGAGCCCAAAGAAAATTATAAAGGTGTCCAGGCTTGTTTGCATGGTCCCCAGCTCCCTCTTCTCTTTTTCCTTCTGTTTCTTTCAGCAGGCATTTCTTTTGGACAACTGAAATAAATTTAAAGAGAGAAGTATAGGATAATTATTGACCTCAAGGAGCTTTCAGCATGGCAGGGAAGATAAGATATGTACACATTAAATACTAGGAGAAATCCAAGTGTGGGATGAAGGTAATGTATAACTAACAAGTGCCAACTGTGGTTGAACCCTTCTATGGTTTGGCTATGTTCCCACCCAAAATCTCATCTTAAATTGTAATCCAAATTGTAATCCCCACATGTTGGGAGAGGGACCTCATGGGGGGTGATTAGATCACGAGGGCAGCTCCACTATCCTGTTTTCATGGTAGTGAGTAACGTCTCACAAGAGCTGATGGTTTTATAAGGGGCTTTTCCCCCCTTCACTCTGCACTTCTCTCTCCTTCTGCCATGTGAAGAATGACGTGTTTACTTCCCCTTCAACAATGATTGTACATTTCCTGAGGCCTCCCCAGCCATGCAGAACTGTGAGTCAATTAAACCTCTTTTCTTTATAAATTACCCAGTATTGGGTACTTCTCCATAGCAGCATGAGAATGGACTAACACGGACCCCTAGCTGTGCCAGTCCTTGTGGGAAATCCTTGACATGTATATGTTAATAAGTAAACAACACTCAGAAACAGCCCTTGTAACTTCCTTTCCCATTCTGCACACGAAAAAATGGAGGCACTGAGTGTTCTAGGCCTTGTCTACATTCACACAGCTGACACAATGTGAGGTAGCCTCACAATGAACCATACATACCTCCTGGTATTTACACCACTATGTGGACATTGCCTCTTAAATCTCCTCTTAAATCTGGGCTGATCCTATGGCTTGCTTTTAACCAATAAGAGTACTGCAGAAGGGGACCAGGCACGGTGGCTCACACCTGTAATACCAGCACTTCGGGAGGCCAAGGCAGGTGGATCACTTGAGGTCAGGAATTTGAGACCAGCCTGGACAACATGGTGAAATTCTGTCTTTACTAAAAATACAAAAATTGGCTGGGCATAGTGGTGCGTGCCTGTAGTCCCAGCTACTTAGGAGGCTGAGGCCAGAGAATCGCTTGAACCCAGGAAGCAGAGGTTGCAGTGAGCTGAGATTGTGCCACTGCACTCCAGCCTTCTGGGCGACAGAATGAGACTTTGTCTCAAAAAAAAAAAAAAAAGAAAGAGAGAGAGAGAGTGTACTGCAGAAGCGGTGCTGTGACTTTTGTGGCTAGATCCTAAGAAGCCTTACAGTTGCACCTACACCTCTTAGAATACTTGTTCTGAGGGCCGGCAACCTACAGAATGGGAGAAAATTTTTGCAATCTACCCATATGACAAAGGGCTAATATCCAGAATCTACAAAGAACTTAAACAAATTTACAAGAAAAAAAACAAACAACCCCATCAAAAAGTGGGCAAAGGATATGAACAGACACTACTCAAAAGAAGACATTTATGCAGCCAATAGACACATGAAAAAATGCTCATCATCACTGGTCATCAAAGAAATGCAAATCAAAACCAAAATGAGATACCATCTCACACCAGTTTAGAATGGTGATCATTAAAAAATCAGGAAACAACAGATGCTGGAGAGGTTGTGGAGAAATAGGAACGCTTTTACACTGTTGGTGGGAGTGTAAACTAGTTCAACCATTGTGGAAGACAGTGTGGTGATTCCTCAAGGATCTAGAACTAGAAATACCATTTGACCCAGCAATCCCATTACTGGGTATATACCCAAAGGATTATAAATCATGCTGCTATAAAGACACATGCACACGTATGTTTATTGCGGCACTATTTACAATAGCAAAGACTTGGAACCAAACCAAATGTCCATCAATGATAGACTGGATTAAGAAAATGTGGCACATACACACCATGGAATACTATGCAGCCATAAAAAAGGATGAGTTCATGTCCTTTGTAGGGACATGGATGAAGCTGGAAACCATCATTCTGAGCAAACTATCACAAGGACAGAAAACCAAACACCGCAAATTCTCACTCATAGGTGGGAATTGAACAATGAGACACTTGGACACAGGATGGGGAACATCACACACCGGAGCCTGTCATGGGGTAGGGGGCAGGGGGAGGGATAGCATTAGGAGAAATACATAATGTAAATGATGAGTTAATGGGTGCAGCAAACCAACATGGCACATGTTACCTATGTAACAAACCTGCACATTGTGCACATGTACCCTAGAACTTAAAGTATAATAAAAAAAGATATATATATACATATAGATAGATATAGATATAGATACAGATATAGATATAGATATAGATATAGATATAGATATAGATATAGATATAGATATGTGACTACTTGTTCTGTGGGAATCCAGCTACTATGTAAGAAGCCAAGCTATGGTGAGACTGACATTCTATGAGGAAGCCCAAGCTAGCCCCGTGCAGAGGCTGTGTGGGAAAAGAAAGATGCCTGAACAGTCCTAGCTATTCTAGTCATCCTCACTGAGATATCAGACATGTGAGTAAAGACTCCATACTGGACACAAGCCCAGTAGAGCTTTCAGTTGACTCCAACATCAGTCAATTATAGTCACTATAACTGAAGGAAAGACCCCACTCAGGAACCACCCGGCTAAGCCTAGCTGATCTACAGAACCATCATTTCTCATGGTTCTGTGCAACAGACAACCAGAACTAACTGGTAAGATTTTAATGTGATGTTCTAATGACAGAATTAAAAGCTTGGTCACTGTGCCACACCAGCAGTTGGAAAGTGTGGACCACTGTGTGATGTTCATGAGTTTGCCCACCTTATCCTTTCTTCTTCCCTCTTGGAGAACCCCAAACAGGTTTGCTCCTTCATTCTGATTTTCTGGCCTGTGAGAATGGGGTTTGTGAGCATGTCTCAGAGTAGCTGTGACCCTGCCCAGCTCCTGTGGATCAGCATCCATGAGACAGGTCTAAAATACTGGGGAGAGGGCAGGGTAGTGTAGACGGTGCCTGTCCTGAAGAGAGTTTGCCATATTGTTGTGAGTCTCTGTCCTGAGTACCCTATTTAGACTTCCATCTCTCTGGTTTGAGTCCTGGACCCTGGTCTCCACTTTTAAGCTCATACTTACCTCTCCCTGCTTCCCCTCTGAATCCATGGAGGTTGGCGATTGAGCTCTGCTCGTGCCTGATTTTGCTTGGGACCTAGAAAGGTGTCACTCTGAGCTCAGATAAATTTGTCCAGAGTCTGACCAATCCCTGGACCTTTGATCTACACCGGCCATCCTACCAACAACAAATTCATGCCTAAATAAAGTTTTGCCTTGTGGTCTGTTCTGGCTTTGGGATTTCCTGGCCTCAATAGTGCCAACCAAAGATGCTGGGACCCATGACCATTAAGGTGGACAAGTGATGACAACAGCCCAAAACATTAGGCTGTTGTAGCCTGCCCCCAACAAATGCATTTTGTCAGAGTCAAAATCTGTTACTAATAAATGAAACTCTTATTATAAAATTTCTGACATCCTTACCGTGTGGGCTAAGTACTTTGATGAGCCTCTTTTCAAAATCCCTAACCTTCTACCAGGTTGGATGGTCACTTCCACCATGTATGTATATCACTGGCTTGATCTTCCCCTCGCTGTCTCCACCACCAAGATTTTACTGAAGTTTTTTTCATGGCTTGAAACAACACCAAAATTTCAGTTGGAGGAATGAGGCTGTAACAAAGGAAAAATATATTTCTCCCTCTTCCTCTCAGCTGTTCACACCTCTTAGCCTTGAGAGCTCTGAAAGAAAATCCCAGTTGGGAAACCTCTCTCCCAGAGATAACACAGGATAAGCAAGTATGCATAACCCAGGGGAGGTGTCTTCCTGGAGACATCCTGGCTCTGACTGTGCCCCACTGAGGAAATCACATGGCCAGGGGCAGGAGCACCAATCTAGAGCCCACACCCTGAGTGTCACTTCTGGACTCTGTGAATTCCAGCAATTTCCTTAACCTTTAAGACTAATTTCTTCCTCCGTAAAAGAGGGTTATTGGTGTCTCTTGTAAAATTAAATGAGAAAACACTTTCAAAACTTTTATACATAATACTCAGTAAATGACATCTATTAGCACTAGTAGGATATAAAGTGGTGTGTCAATGACAGGAATATGTTCTGAGAAATGTCTCCTTAGATGATTTTGTCATTGTGCAAGCACCATAGGGTATATTTACACAAACCTAGATGGTACAGTCTACTACACTCCTAGGCTATATGGGGTAGCCCATTGCTCCTAGGCTACAGACCTATGCAGCATGTTACTATACTGAATACTGTAGGCAACTGTAGCACAATGTTGAGTATTTGTGCATCTAAACATGGGAACTGTGCATTAAAAATATAGTATAAAAGATTTTTAAAAGGTACATATGTATAGGGCACTTAGCATGAATGAAGCTCGGAGGACTGGAAGTTGCCCTGGGTGAGTCAGTGAGTGAGTGGTGAATTAATGTGAGGGCCTAGGTCATTACTGGACTCTACTGGTAGATTTTATATATTCAGCACACTTAGGCTACACTAAATTTTTTTTTTAATTTTCTTCAATAATATATTAACCATAGCTTACTATGACTTTTTTCTTGATGAACTTTTAACTTTTTACTCTTATAATAACACTTAGCTCAAAACACAAGCTCATTATACACCTGTAAAAAATATTTTCTTTCTTTATATCCCTATTCCATAAGCTCTTTTCTATTATAAAATTTTTTTCTTTTACTTCTTAAACTTCTTTGTTAAAAACTAAGACACAAACACATACATTCACCTAGGCCTACACAGGGTCAGAATCATCAATATCACCGTCTTCCCCCTCCACATCTTGTCCTACTGGGAGGTCTTCAGGGGCAGTAACACACATGGAGCTGTCATCTCCTATGACAACAATGCCTTCTTCTCAAATACCTCCTGAAGGACCTGCCTGAGACAGTTTTACAGTTAACTTTTTTTAATAAGTAGAAGGAGCACACTCTAAGAAAACAATAAAAAGCATAGTGTAGTGAATATATAAACCAGTAATATAGTCACTTATTGTTATCAAGTATTACATTCTGTACAAAACTGTGCTAGACTTTTACACAATTGGCAGCACAGTGGGTTTCTTTACACCAGCATCACCACAAATACATGAGTAATGCTTCATGGCCCTGTGACAAGATAAAAAAAAAATATTAATCATCCAAACCTTTTCAAGAGGTCATGACCTAGCAGGAGAAGCAAGAGAAATGTAAGTATTAAAATTATTTTTAAATGAAATTTTCAGCTCCATTATACTCTTATAGGACCACCATCACATATGCGGTCCATCATTGACTGAAACATCTTATAAGTCACAAAATTGTACTCATTTTTAGATTTTTAATTGACTTATAAATTTTCAATATTGGACCTCAAATTATATCTTCAGATTCAATATATATAAAATAGAGTAAGCTTTCTTAAATCAGATTTTATTAAGGCCTCAGAAAACCACTATCACAACCACACATTTTACAAAATTAAAATGAAATATGGAGCCATGCAGTAGCTTATATTATGCCAATTTTGAGAGAAAGAATTTGAGATTTAGAAAGAACAATGATTTTGTTAAGGTGGCACAGTCCCCTGAAAAAGAAGGCCACGTTTGAACCCTATCATTTGAACTTGAACTCTAAGCCCATGCCCCTCCGCCCTGACCTTGCTAATGTAATGGTTCATCTGTCCATAAACAGGTACTTGTTTGAGCACCTACTTGCTATCAAGTTCTAGAAGAGATACAAGATAGGAAGAAAAAAATTACCCAGGCCTTCTGCTGAAGAGGTCATAATCTAGCAGGAGAGGCAGGGGATCTATAAGCATTAAAATTATTTTTTAAATTAATTCAGAAAACATTACCAGATTGTGTGCCAAAGATAAGATTTACATAAGTTCCAAAACAAAATGGGGGATAGATATGGGGAGCCATATGTCAGGGACTCTCCAGGAAAGAATAAAACATTCAAATTAGGAGAGCTTCTTTACAGAGAGTTTATTACCATGGGGCAGGCAGGGTGAAGAGGAAGCAGAAGAGCTAGTGCAGGAACACAGGGACAGTAGCAGTGGAGTTGTGGCCAGCTTCAGGCTGAAGGGAGAAGGAGAGGGAGAAGCTACTGACTCAGAAAGGGAGAGGTCCTCATGTAGGGCAGACCACAGAGAAGGCAGGGACCTTACAGTGGCAGATGGAGGTGATCCCACAGCAGGGAATGAAGCGGGGAAATACTTTATCCCCACTGAAGTCCCTCCTTATTGGCCCAAGAAGCCAGAAGCCAAGGGGCTCACATGCCCATTGACATAATTCATACAGGATATCCTGCAGGTTAGAGGGCAGAGGACAGATGGGGAGTGGATCTGGAGAGCCATGGGAGATATGAGGCATGGGGGACTCTGAATTATAGATGGATCTGAGTAGACAGGGATGAAAACCATCACATCAGGAGCCAGTGTTTGAAGGCAGGATAAAGGTGTGAGTGAGACCAATGGAAGATGGTGGTTGGTGAGAAACCTGGCTGAGGTAGACTGAATGGGCTTGGTAGGAGAAGAGTGGGATTTGAAGTTGGGCCAAACATTCATTTCTTGAATTACAGGTTAAATTTTCAGCACTTAGTAGAATATCAATGAATGATTTTTAAAGAAATACATCAATCCCACCATTAAATACATGGGCATGAGAATCAGGGATGCCAAAAAGGAAAGCCTCTCTAGATCTACATGCAGAGAGGAGTGTTGTAGGTGAACTGGGAGAATATGTTTGGTGTCTTTCATACATTTTCTTCTTCCTGGCCTTTAGTTTTGAAATCTCTGTCCCATTCTTCAGTTATAGCCCAGTGAGGTCCAGGAGATACATATTTCCTTCAAAGAGAGTCTAATTCCAGGCTTTTCTCCCTGCCCTTATCTCAAGCACCAGTCCAAGACATTTCTATTGGGATTACTTAGGGGGAGGGCCTCTGGATGTGGAGAGTGCAGCAGGGCAGAAAAGAGCAAGGGAAGAGCTAAGTAAAAAAGCAAGGTCTCCAAACCCTAGCAGAGGCTCGCCAAGCTGATGGGCTGCTGCCATATCCCAGATCCAAATGCTTCCTCTCCCCAAACCCCACATTAACACTCAGGGCTGGTGCTCTCTACTAGCAATGTAACAGCATGAACATGTTGGTCTCCACGGGACTTTAGGCTGAGACCATTAAACACTCATGGAATGAAGAATGAATTGGAAAAAAAAAATAGGAAAGGAGAGGTGGAAGCGGGGAAGAAAGAATTCTCAAATACCTACTCATCAGCGGGGATGTCCTTACTGACCACATGTGTCTCCCCAGAACAATACAGGGTACTGCTGAAAGACCCGAGAAGAGGACATACTCCAGCTGAGGGACAGGACTGTGTCAAAAGGCAATCACCAAGGAGAATCATCAAAGGGCAGGCTAAACAACACAGAACTGGTCATAAGTGGAGAATGAATGCACAGAGAGCAGAGGTCAGGGGAGTGGTGAATCTGAGGGGCTCAAAGGGTAGGCTATGTTTCAACAAGATGAGTGGATGGAGAAAGGTTCCCAAGTGAAGGCAACAGCGTGAATGAAGACAGGACGTCAGAATAAGCAAGGCTGGTGTCCAGAACATTGAGGAGACAGCATTGCTAACTCTCCCAATTCACATCACAAATATCAACACCTCCTGCCCCAGTACTGCACAAGGCACAGGGGATCTGGAGATTAGGGAGAGTCCCTGCTCTCCAGAAGCTGTAGGGTTACTTCCAGCTCTGAAAATCTAAAAGTGATGATAAACTAGCCAGACTTCTTACCCCACACAAAGATTCCTTCCAGAGAATTCTGGAATTATGGTAGGCTAGCTTCTACTCCAACATCCCCAGATAAAGTCATCTTCATCCACTCTTGGACAATTTTAATTGATAGAATTTCTGGCCAGACGCAATGGCTCAGGCCTGTAATCCCAGCATTTTGGGAGACCAAGGCAGGTGGATCACCTGAGGTCAGGAGTTCGAGACCAGCCTGGCCAATGTGGTCAAACTCTGTCTCTACTAAAAATACAAAAATTAGCTGGGCTTGGTGGCACATGCTTGTAATCCCAGCTACTCGGGAGGCTGAGGCAGGAGAATCGCTTGAACCCAGGAGGTGGAGGCTGCAGTGAACCAAGATCATGCCATTGCACTCCAGCCTAGGTGACAAGAGCAAAACTCTGTCTCAAAAAAAAAAAAAAAAAAAAAAGAATTTCTATTATACAACAACTGAAATCATTCCCACACAACGTTTTTGTGATGAAAACCATCATGATTATGATCATGCCTGTCAATCTCTCCACACCCATTCCTCTCTGTGGATTCTCTCCCAGGACTCCACAAGGATGCTGGGACCGCCACCCTCCTGGGAGGATCTGTGATGACAGCCTCTACTCTTTCTCAGAACAAGACCCCACGTCTGCTCCAGCCTTAGATTCTCCCAGCACTCTGGGCCTCTGTGTTTCAGTCATGGCACAAAGTCCACCTAAGGGTCCAGTCTGGTGGTACAGCACACATTAAATGGCCAGAACCATCATAAGAAATGTCCAGGTGAATATCACAAGAACTCCCACCCACAACTGCTCTCTTTCTCTCCTTATTGACACAATCCTTTGAAAGCTGTAGGGAGTAGAAAATTGCTTCCTTTCTGTTAATCAAGGATACTCTTTAAGATGCTTAAGTACAATACTGTTTAAAAATGGGCAGTTTTATATAAAGGAAGGAAAAAAGTACAGCAGGAATGTACAGTATATCAGATTGAATTAGTTTTTCATGCCACAACATGTAAACAAATCTGTTTAATTAGAACACCTTGTTTTTATTGCATTCTGAGCAATTTTTCAATGATGAGAAAGCAAGACAATGGGGAAGAGATTGTAAAATTTCCCAGAGACACCCAGAGATCTTCTCTACTTCCCCTGATGAGCCCAGCTCCTGGGGGGTTCCCTTGTATTCTCCAGAAGTGCCCTTGGCACCCCCTCTTCCCATTTGCCCCCACCCCCACCACCTTCAAAATAACAACCTCCAATTATAGAGATTTCAACAAATTTTATGCACAGAGGGGAAATGAGATGTGGTCACTGACATGATGAAAGCTTGGAACCCCAAGAAATGAAGAGCAGGAAATCCTCAAAGCCCCCAAGGCTCCAAAAGAGAGGAGTGAGCCCCGGACTGGAGGCAGATATCTGGTTCCAAATCTGGTGCTAGGGAGGGCTCCAGGTTCACTTCCCCAGCTCAGGCCTCTGTCTCCTCAAGAGGCAAGCCCACTCTATGTAGGAGAGAGCTTGACTGAGTACCCTGGCAGCCCCTACACTAGGGATTCTGTGCTTCACACCTACACACATGCCTAATACATGGCCAGAATGTCATAAGCAACATCCAGGTGAATATCATGAGAACTCGCACCCACAGCTGCTGTGTGGGAGTTCACGTGATATTCACCTGGATGTTGCTCATGACATGGCATGTTGTGGCATGATATTCACGGAGATATTCTCCTGTGCTTCAGACCTACACACACACTTGATACATAAAGGCCTAAATCAAGGGATCTGAGAAGAATTAAGGAAGCAGCTGGTTGCCCCTCACCCCATTCAAAGCCCAGAGGATGCCCTGGCCTCTCCACATTCTCTACTGTGGTTCTCTCCTCCCCAAAGTGAACACTCTTGGGTCCTTACATACACCCACGCTTCTCTCCTCACCCCCACCATTGCACTCACACCTGCAGGGGTGTATGTGTTTGTATTTTTGGTTTCTGGTTGGTTTCCTAACAAGCAGAAGATTTAAGCTTTTAATCCATCTGTTGGGTGCAAAGCATAATATATTCTGGGAGTGGATTAGGGGACTAAATTTGGGAAATGTGTTGTCAAAATGTGGATTTGCAATGCAAGCTTATTGATGAGGGTGTCATTTGGAGTCTGAAGGCCTTTTTGGAGTCTCTGTGCGACGAGGGTTGAAGAGTAGTAGAGCAACAGGTGCACAGAACTCACCCTCCACAGGATGGTAGAGATGAAAACATTTCTTTACAGGGTACCCCAATCACTACTTTCTGGCTTCTTATTTTTCTCTTGTTTCTTCTCTCATATAGTGGGACCATACACATTTCAGGATCCCTCCCCTCCATAGTACCACCCTCAGGATACTGACTTATATTTAGTCTCGCTCAGGAGGGATATCTAATAATAAAACAGAAATCTCAATTTCTTTCTTGGGTATGTACATTTTAAGGATGATCAAAGTCTTATGTTCTTATGATGGTGGGAATGTGGGCACCAATCAGCATTTAAGGATGATGCTGGGAGAGACAGAGAGAACAGGCGACTCATCTCAGGGACCCAGAAACAAGCACCCCCTGGTGGCATCTCATTCATGTGGCACCTAGGATCATTAGAACAGATAACTTCCTCTGCATGGAAGTGGCCAAAAATAGCCTCAGTTTGTTTTGTGACCGATGCTATTCCCTGTAACCCTCACCTGTGTCACGGGCCTGAACTGAGGCAATGGGTGAATGTAGCCTGGAATTCAGGAGTCAGCTGCAGACTTGGGATAGGTAAGCAGCAGGGTAACAGGCTAAGAGTGTAGGTGGGATTAAGGGATGAGGAGGTGGGGTTGTGTAAGCGTAGGAAGTCGTCACTCTCTCATCCAGGCAGGGCTGCTGCACCACAGAAAACCAACATGGTCCTCAGAGAAAACTGACAGTAATGTAGGAGGCCCATCCGCAGCATCCCTGACTGGTAACTACCAGCCTCTAGTAGATTGTCTGCAGCAAGGGGGAGCTCAACACCTCCCGGGGAGGTACAGCACCCAGCTCCAGGCATGGACTGAGTAGGCAGAGGAGAGAAGACTGGCCGAAACTCACTTTTTATAAATCTAAATGCATCAGTAGACTAGGGTGATTGGATTCCAGCCTCCATACTACCTGTTTGATACAGAAGGTTGGGATTAAATCTCCCCATCAGACCCACTTTGGCCTTGTTCCAGCTGACTTAAAGATGGGGCTAAAATGTCTTTCTGTTTGTAGGCTTTGCTCCTAGCTGACCCCATCATCCCCCATCTGTGTACTGCCAAGTGTTAACCCACCTGCTGCCCTGCTCTAGATAAGTGCTTAGTGCACTAAAGCATAGGAGAAGCCCAGTCCTTGGCCTCAGAAATGTCACAACCCACATGGGGGAGATGCAGAAAATGCATTCAGCATTCAGAACATAGAGAGCAGGGGAAGGCCATAGGAAGGGATTTGGATGCCAGTTCAGTAAAGATTTTTTAAAAAGATCCTTGAGTGGGAAGCCACAGACACTGGAGACCCCCACTCCTCCCTGTGCCACTGCACCTAACGTGCTTCTAAGCAGGGTATTTCTCACCTCTCAAATTCCTCTCCTCCTTTTCTCTCTTAAACCCACTCCCATCCACTTTCACCCACACCTCTCAACCAGAGCTGTTCTTACCATAATCCCTAGTGACCTCCACATTATTGTATCCACCTGCCATTTCCCAATCCTCATGGCACTCAACCTACCAGCAGCATTTGACAACACTGGCCAACTCCCAGGGCTCCACACTCTCTGAATGTCCAGTGCTCTGGACAGTTCCTTGGTCCTATTTTCTATCAACACACCTCCTTGCTGATATGACTAGTATCATACACTTTGAATGGTGTTGCAGGATCATGAATGCTGAATTCATCTCTCCGGCCTGGACTTTGCCCATGAATCAGAGATGTGTATGTCCAAGTGCCTACATGATGTTCTCCACTTGAGTGTCTAAGAGCCCTCTCAAACTCCACATGTCCAAAATTGAGCCCCTCATTTTTCCCCACCCCAATGCTACTCCACTCATAACCTTTCTCATCTCAGCCACTCAGCCAAAAACCTTGAGTCATCCATGACTCCTCTTTTTCTGTCATACTCCATAGCTAATCTGCCAGTAGATTCTATTGGCTCTATCTTCAAAACACCAAAATCCGTGACACTTACCACCTTTGCTATCACCCCCGCAAGTCTAGTCAACACTTACGTCCTTCCTGGATTACTCAGTCTCCCTTCCCTCCTTGGAGGTGTTCTTAATGCAGACGCCACAGGGATGTTTTGAAATGTAAGTTTCTTGTCCTTTGATTTAA
This sequence comes from Homo sapiens, assembly GCF_000001405.40. Classification (NCBI taxonomy): domain Eukaryota; kingdom Metazoa; phylum Chordata; class Mammalia; order Primates; family Hominidae; genus Homo; species Homo sapiens. The sequence continues at coordinate 37,683,039 of NC_000018.10, read as the reverse complement.
GAATCATGTCATGTGTCAGTTTAAAACCTTCCAGTGGCTCCCCTTCCACCCAGAGCAAACTGAAGCCCTCACAACAGCTTATAAGACCCTCCCTCCCCGTGACCTCTTTTACCTCAACTCCTATTACTCTCCCCCTCACTCATCACCTTCAGTAACACTATCCTCCCTTCTGTGCCTCAAACACATTCTGCACCCCTACCTTAGGGCCTTTGTTCTGGACTTCTCCTGGTTAGAATGTTCTTTCTCCCAGTGCCTTCTTGGCTCACCTCATCACTTCCTTTCATGCCTCTGCTCTCACTTTCTAAGGAGGCCCACCTGACAATTCAATGTAATCCTGCGCCTGCCCCACAGCCAGTATGCCCAATCCCCTTACTTTCCTCTGCATTTCTTTCCTAGCATACATTGGCATACTCTATCATTTACTTATTTCCATGGGTTTGTTTTTGTTTTGAGACAGAGTCTTGCTCTGTCACCCAGGCTGGAGTGCAGTGGCATGATCTCGGCTCACTGTAACTTCTGCCTCCCAGGTTCAAGCAATTCTCCTGCCTCAGCCTCCCAAGTAGTTGGGACTACAGGTACGTGCCACCACACTCAGCTAATTTTTTGTACTTTTAGTAGAGACAGGTTTCACCGTGTTAGCCAGAATGGTCTCAATCTCCTGACCTCGTGATTTGCCCACCTCGGGCTCCCAAAGTGTTGGCATTACAGGCGTGAGCCACCATGCCCAGCCCTGTGTTTTTTCATGTGTATCTTCCCTTGCTGAAATATAGGCTCCAAACAAACAAGAATCTTTGTTTTATTCTCAAATACATGCCAAATACCTAGGGTGGTGCTTGGCACATGGGTGCTCAATACACACTATACCCAAACATAGCCCATTTCACCCACTCCTCCCAGCTAACAACTCTGTGAGTCCTGCTCTTTGGGATAACAAGTGTCAACATTTCTGACAATAGTAGTTATAACAACAGCTACGGTAGCTATAATTTATGGATTGCTTACAAGGTGTACAATCTACCAACCAGATGAAAGTGCTCACGATATACTAGATGCCACGCTAAACTTTCAACAAGAACTACGTCTCTTATTTTTTCTAATAGTTCAGTAAGGCAATGTGGTAAAATGCATTAATCAATCCAATATTTTACCCCTATCCCACCTGCAGCATCCATACCCTTGAAGTGTGCTTATGGTGAGCAGGGTAGACTTCCTCTCCCCTTGACTTTGAGTGTGGCCATGTGACTTGTTGTGGCCAATGATAAATGAGTGGAAATGATAGCTTCCAGTTCCAAATCCAGTACCTAAGAGGCTTTGCATGTTTCCTTCTGCTTTCTTGCACTTCTGCCACTCCCTTGAGAAGAACAAACCCTAACCGCGCTGCTGCTGTTGGAGAAAGATGAACGACCCATGAAGCAAAGCCACCCCAGCAAAACCCAGCCCAGATCAGATGCCCTCACCAATCCCCAGCCACAAAAGCAGTAAAAATAGTGGTTGTTTTAAGCCATTGAGCTTTGGTGTGGTTTGTTGCACAGCAATAGTTAAGTAATAGAGATATTCCCCTATCTCCAGTTTTAAAGGAAAGGAAAATGAGGCTTCTCAAAGGGAAGTAATCTACCCAGGATATCACATCTGACAAGCAGTGAAATCAGGGTGTAGCTCGGGCCTGACCCCAGAGCCTGAGCACTAACCATTAGGTAACACCACCAACACCCTTTCTGCCTTCTTTGCTCTTCTGTAGCACACATTGCTTAGACATCTTCTGAATTCCTCTCCAGATACACTTATTTATTCATTCATATTTTCAAAAAATTAAAACTAAAAAGTTGAGTACCCCATTGTGCCTGTAACTTGATAGTTGCTGGAAATGCTGAGATAAGATCTGAACTATGTAAACAGAAATGTAGCAGAAAAGGAGAAAACACGGAGTGTAGCTGGAGAGGCGTGCCTGAAGGAAGCTGAGAACAATCACAAAGAAAGTGCTGGTGACAACTGTCATCAAGGCTCCAAGAAAGTAGACCCTGATGTGGCTTGGGGCATCCAGCTTTGGGCAAGGTGCTTGGGATGACTGGACAATTTCTATCCTGGTTGCTGTCAGAGTGCCGCCCTCCCTTTTTTCCTTACAGATACTCCTTAACCCTTATGACCTTTTACTCCTCTCTGCCCTCAGAGTAGGACAAGAGAACCTAATATTATTAGTTACTGCCACTCAATGTTAAAAATAGACAAGCCATTTTCAGCCTTCATCAAAACAGTATCATGATGAGTCACTTATTTTTCAGGATTGTGAATATCCAGAAAATATTAAAACATTCCCAAGACAGTGAGACAGTTCTCAATGTAACGTGATTCTTCATAATGCAATGCAAACGTGATTCTTCATAAGAGTTTGTAGCTTGTCTGGTGTCACATGGTTAAAAAGTGCCATAAACCAAATGAGAGTTGGAGTATTTAAGGATGAAAGGACACAATGAGTGGAGAAAAAGAGCAGGTAATTCATTCACCTTGGATAAGTTGGTTAAACTTTCTAGATCTCTGTTCTATATTAATAAATTGGAAATGAGAAGACCTAATTCATCAGGTTGCGGTGATGTTTAGGTATGTTAAAAAAAGAGAGAGAGAGCCCAAGAAGGTGTTTGGCATTAATCCATGGGCAGAGATCAATCATCATACCATCCATTCAACAAATATTCAGCCAATGTCTACCATGGCCAGGTTCTATGCTATGTCCTGGAAATGCAGTGGTACATAAAATGGACCCATTTCCTTCTCATGGAGCTCACAGTCTAGTAAGGGATACAGACAAGTAAAACTGGCAGATACAATGCAGTGAGCCATGTGCTTTACTGATCTACATACAGGTAAAAGGGGAATGTTCACCAGTCTGCACAGTTTCAGACTTACTGTTCCCAAACCTGAGGCACTTTTCAAAACCTCAAAGGAGATATCAAATGGTAATGCAAAGGATGTATTCATCAGGATCTACTCATCCTGTAACAAGATGGGAAAGACCATTCCTAACATTCTGATGAAACAACCGTGGAATGGTGACTTCTAACCCAAAGGGAAATGGTCCTGCACTGGTAAAGCTCAATGAAATTCACTGGTCGCATCCAACCAGGGCTTATGAACCTGTCTCATTACATAGGATTCTTATCCGTCCCTTGTCCTCATTCTGCATTAATCCCACTTATATATTAAATGCTTGCTCCACAACCCCATGTAATCCTCACAGCATCCCTGGTAAGTGAGTGCTATTTTTTATCCCCTTTTCACAGATTAATGAACTGGCACTTAGAAAAATTCAGTAACTTCTCCAAAAGTCACACAGCTTGGAATTGACAAGTAGGAACTCACAGGGTTGCGACTCAAACCCAGGAGCTCCTAAGCATCCAGGGCCCTGCTATCCCTCTTAATGGGCCTGTCTGGTGGGGCAAAAGGGTCTCAAAGACATTTTGTAGGGTGCTTTTGCAGGCGAAAGCCTATTTATAACTGTTCAGCTACCACAAACCACAAGGCCAAATTGGGGTCATAAACATGAGGGCTGTGGATGATCTGTGCAACTTGAGTTATTAGGGAAGACTGTGAAATAGAGTTAGGACTTCAGTTCGTGCCTGGGTGAAGAATAAAAGCACCATCCATTCCGTAATTCTTTTGATAAAGATGCATGTTCTGTGCACTGAGCTGCAGTTTATTTCTTATTCGTCTGCTTTTGTCCTCTTTCTTAGAACATCTTAGATGCATAAAGAAAGAAAACAACCAAGCTTGCTCTATTACTGTAATTACAGCAAGACACGGTTGTGACTGAAGAGAAAACCACCTCAGGGGGTGGGGAAAGGAGGGACAAATGCCAAGGGAGTCACCCGTGCCTGTAGGAGGGCAGGTCGCAGGGCTTGCAAACAAAGAATGAAAGTTCTCATTACACAGGATTCTTATCTGTTCCTTACAGCAAGCCCAGCACGATCCTGACTTAGAAACTAGTTATTAGTTCATGATTCCGTCTGTGCCTGGCCCTCCCAACAAGAACAGTTCTCTCTTCTCTGACCTCCCCTAACCTATTAACTATGCCTCTTTGGAGGGATTTGACATTTTCCATTTTTTATAATATTTATGCATCTGCAGGTGATTTCCTTGCTCAACTTTCATCTCTGTGTGGGAAGGGCTCTGTTTTGATGTGTCTTTGGGTCCTTCATAGCCCATGGTGCAACACATATGCCCACCATACACCATACAATGTTTACTGATAAATGAAGATACAGCTCCATCCCCTGACAAAAAATTGCCTTAATCACAGTGTCTTCCTTCAAGGATCTGGATAGATGAGGGAAAAACTGTATTGTTCTCAATTCACACACAAGAAAGTCTGGCTCTTGGAAAATCCTGTTTATCCAAAGATCAGCTGCTAAGATCAGCTGATGAAAACCACAGGCAAGACCTGAGAGGGACATCAAATATTTAGAATGAGAGACAATAATGAAGGAACACTGAGCCAGGTAAGCACCCCTCACCTTCCCAGCCATTGCCTGCTCCTTGCCTCTCCTAGTCCTTTCTCCTCATCATTGTTCACTCCCGACCATCACCTTAGTTCAACCCTCACCAGCATTTAAGAAACTCCAGCATTTAAGAAACTCCCTGACCCCAGACACTTCCCTCCTTCTTCTAACCTGTACAATGTTTCTGGATTAACTTTCTCAAACTCTTGTTTGATCATATTGAGAAACGAATATGCATAGTGGTTGAATGCAGAGCTTTGAACATGGCCAGATCTGGACTCAGTTCCAGCCATACTGCGTACTAAGCCTCAATCATCTCAGCTATAAAATGAGGATAATAGCAGCTGCTTTGTAGGCACGGGTGAGAATTAAATGAAATATTATGTATATTTACAGAGTACCTGGCTCCTGGCAAGCCCTACAGAGATATCAAGGAGAAGGAAAAATCATTTTCCTACTCTCAGTCCTAAAATGGTCCTCAGTGCCAATGAGGCACCTTGCTCTGCCTGGCAAGCCAGGCCCTCCAGAATTCGAATGCAGTTGTCCTGCAGCCCTGACACTTCCAGCCCCAATAAGTGACCCTTTACTTCAGCCAGGTTCGCCTCACACTGAATGTGTGTGCAGGTTACAGGATGCTCACCTCTCCCCCTACCAACCTAAATCCTATCTGGGTAGATACTTGGAAAATAGCCTTTAGGAGACCCTACTCAGAACACATTTTAAGATACAGTCCAGATTGATTCAAGAATTGCATGGTGTATGTGTATGTGTGTGTTTGTGTGTGTGTGCGCACAGATGCATGCACATAAACACAAAGGAAAAACAAAGTAAAATTATCTTATTATTATGGCTAAGACCTTTCATGTATACGAGCAAAAGAAAAATATACAAATAAAAAAGATTACTAGATTTGACCACACAAATGCTAAAAAAAGTCTCTGCATTTGAAAACACACTATAAACAAAGCTGAAAAATAAAAGACCAAATCAAGGGGACAAATATTTGAGCTATATATGCTAAATAAAAGATTAATAATTTATAAAGCATTGTTATTAATCAATAGGAGAAAAATAACCAATAGGAAAAATACGCATTGGACTTAAACTAGCAAATCACAGAAAAAGAAGCCTAGATGATAAAGAAATATACAGGAAAATGCTACCCTTCTAATAATTAGACAAAATTACAGTAAAGACCAAAGTCTCATTTTGGTCTCTCAAATAGAAAAGCTTCTTTTGTGGCCAAGTAACAATTGGTATTGTCAAATCTGCAAATAAACATGGATTCACCCTGGCAGGGAGAGCAGTGAGCACAACCTGCCCCTACAAGCCACAATGACAAGATACATACAAGGTTTCTAAAATGTGTATAGCTTTTTACCAGTAATTCTAACTTTAAAAATTAATCTTAAGAGACTATTCATCAATAAGCACCAAGATTTCTGCATAAAGACTTTCATCACAGTGTTCTTTGCAATAGAATAAAAAGGAACATCTTAAATTTCCAGTAGTAAGATATTGAAATGTAAATATTAATGGTATATTCACATGAGAGAATGCTGTGCAACCATTCAATATTATATTTTAGAATAATATATAGGAGTTAAGGGAACTATTTGCAAAATATTATAAATAAAATGTTAGGTAGTATTCAAAATTGGCAATTCTCTATATATTTCCAGAAGGGAAAAACTCGGGTAGGATATGCATGACAATGTTAAGTAGCTGTCTCAGTATGAAAGAATTATCAAAAATTATAATTTTGTTTATTGTCACTTATTTTCTCAGAAGAGATGAACGTAAATTACACATAACCAAATGGACTTTACCAGGCTTCAAAATCAGACTTCCTTCGTCAAGTCTGCCCTGGCTACCACAGACCTCACTGAACTACTCATCCTTCACACTCTCTTAGCCATTATTATCCATGTTATACAATCACCCATTTGATCAGATGCCTCTTTGTACTGCTGTCTAATTATTCTGGGTTTGAAAGTATTAATTCCTCCCACTAATATCTGGATCTACCTCACCCATGGCAGGTTGTATTTTCCAAGACGGCTGCAACAAGTTCTCTCATCCCACATACTCTTCTTACTGCTGACATGGACACTCCTCCTATGAACAGGCAGGGCTTATGGTCCCTATCCTTGCATCTGAGTGGGCCAGTGCCTATGGCAAAAGTGATGCTATGTAAATTCTGAGGCCAGGATGTAAAAAAAGGATAGTGCTTCCACTCAGTTCTCTTGGAGGTGCTCTTTTTTGGAACCCAGCTGCCACATTGTGAGGAAACCCAGACCACATGGAGAGTCCACTTGTAGGTGGTCTGGCTAAGACCCCAGCTGAAGTCCCAATAAACAGCCAGCAAAAAACACCAATATGCAAGTGAGAAAGGTGTTAAGCTGACTCCAAACCCACCATCTGCCTGCACACATAATAGACCCTGTTTAAGAACTGCCTAGCTGAGCTTAGTCAAGTGCCTGACTTTTGACAGATAATAACAATAAAAGAATTGCTGTATCTTAAGTCAATAAGTTTTGGGGTGATTTGTTACATGGCAATTAATAACTGGAACTTATTCACACCACCTTTTTATCTCTGCTGCCTCAAAGATCCCCTCTCTGGACCACTTTCAGTCCTCAATCCCTTAGCTTTACAAAAACTAATCCATGTATATTTATTATACAAATGAACGAATGAATGAGAGTTCTAACCTTCACTTTATTCCTTAGATCCAAACTTGTACATGTCAAAAAGTCTTCTTAGTAACTTCCTCACCTAAGAGAACCAGAAAATAATTTTTATACATCTATGAACTTTATATTTCCTTCTGTGTAATTCCTTTCAATTATACCCCTAACTACTCAGCATGCAGAAAAATTTTACTTACTGAAAAAAGAAGACTGCATACAACAAAAGGACAAGTGAAGAAACTGACTTCTCTGGTTTGTCCTCTTCTCAGGAAGAAGCCACTCCCTAGGAAAAGGTGGGCCTGCTTTGGTAACCAATATGGTAATAGGATACTGATACCTTCCTACCCTTGGTAAATAGGGATGCCAACTACAGAACTGCAGCCCCAAAGAGCAAATAGGCCTCTCAGTAAGGCATTATTACTATAGCCCTAATGCATGGTGCCAACTATGTGGTGTGGTTTGGAGAGCAAAGGGTCTTTTCTATACTAACCCACCATGCCAGATCCAGTCATGGGTTAAGCATTTTCCTCTCCAGGCTTTTTTGTTAAGAAATTCCCCTGGGGAGGGAGCACACATTAACGGTGCAACAGAATCAGCAGCAGCACTCTTTGTTATTTTGCCTGATGTCAGCATTGCATGAATGTGTTCATGGGATTTTGTCCCTGGACTGCAGGCGGTAATTGGGCACAACCGAGGCAGGGGCTCGTGGGTGAGGATGCCCACAGAAAAGAGAAAATTAAAAGAAGGGAAATGTAGAAATTCCAAAATCAAGTTTCTTATGTTTTACAAGCTTCCATGTTTTACAATTGCACCAAAATTTTACTTGATGGGAACTGATTAAATTTGGTTCATCTTTTATTTTTTATGTTTTACTGACTTTGGTAATTAGCAAAATTGGGATTACCAGGAACTAGTGTTGCTCCCCTCATTTATGAGGCCTCAGAGACCCTCAACTTATCCTGGGCCGTTGGGGTGCCATTAATGTCATGCACAAGAGTCATCTAGACATCAAAGTTCCTTTTCCTTATTGCTGTCATCTCACCAGTTGGACCCAGTGACTCAGAAAGGCAAGGATGTCATGACTCACGGGAGGAAATAGGGAAGTAGAAGGACCTATTCCAAGCACAGCCTTACATGAACACTCTTCAAAGACGCGGGATTGTGTCAGATCCTGAAAAAGAGTTTGATGATTGACTTTCTCATTCCTCCTCTCCAGACACTGTTCAAAGCATGGAAATGAGCAACATTGGCACCTTTTTGTATTAATCTGACATTTTAGAGGTTGCTAATTTGTTTTGTGGCCACTCATATCAGCTTGAGTTTGTATCTCCATGTAACTTCTCTAGGATCACTAGATGTCCCCCTAGAAAGCCAGTGATATGATGCTTGATATACTTTATCTGCTTTGACAGGACTGACCACAAGCAAAAGGTATTTTTGCTTTCCCCTTTCCCAGAGGTAGATATTTTTTCTGCCAAGAATTTATTTTGCCAGACAAAAAAGTGAAGTTTATGTTAAGATTAGTTCCCTGGGTTTCTCAACAAATTTCTAAGATTGAGCTACCTGCTACTCCCATCACCATCACTATCCCCACCCTGACCATGTGCCCACCTACTTCATCTTTCCCAACACCTAAACAGGTGGGCCTCATTACTTTCACTATCTCCATGATTACTGCCAATTAATCATCACCACGAACATCATCAGAATGGCCTTCACAAACCCCAACTGGGAAAGGCCTGTTCCCACAGCTACAGAAATCTACATATTAAGACTTTCAAGCTCTTCAAGCTCGAGAGCTCTGGAATATACTAATGGAGAGAAACCGTGTTGGAAAAGACCCCTGGGAGAGGTAGGGAGGTAAAGTGTGCCCAAGTCGCCTCTCAAAATATCCAGCAAGCAGCCATCGGGGAGCATGTGCCCGTTCTTTGAACTCCCTCAAAGTACCTTTCATCTGTTCTAAATCCAGGATCATCTTTTGTACAAGGCTTGCTGTTTCTGGATAAATCCTTGGCCCTTGTTCAAGCCCTGGACTGTGTCAGGATGTTCCACAGACCCCAGCAGGAAAGCATTGCTAAACAAGCATTTCCAGCGGGACCCCTTTCTCGTGACAGGGATTCCAAATCCCAGCCCAGAGCATCTGCATTTAGAGTATCAATGACAAGGCAATACCGTTGCGTTCTCATTTCAACCCCAATTTTCCTGGAGGAAGCCCCCACAGCTCCACCAGGAGATAGTCTTTGGTTGGTAGTTTCTTTCCTGAGGCACTCTATTTTCAGCTTCATATCATAACACGGACTCTTTCCCTGCGGAGCAAGCTGGTAAAACATTTTTCCTTGCCTAAGCATTTGCCTCATCTCTGACTCAAATCTCCAACCTGGAAATGAGGGGGAGGGCAAGCCAACATGGCTCCAAGGGGAAAGCCTCCTGCTCTGCCAGCAGACGGCACCTCAGTCCTGAGAATTACTGTGTGAGGCTAAGCTGATATCCTCTCCTCTCTGAGTCCCCATCTCACCTCCCATTGTCAGAGAAAGAGTTTGGCACCATCTGCTTCCTTGGGAGTGGCAGAAGACTAATACTATTTTCCCAAGTGTATTTGCAAAATTAGACACTTTCTCCTGGTATTTTTATTTCCTGGTTGTCAAATGATCCTTTATGGAAATATTTTCCTTCATAGGTCTAAACTAGCTGGGCATTCCACTGCATCACTGTTGATGTCATCTATGATATCATGAAGGTGGTGGCCATCAACATTACAGCCCACAAACTGTGCAGTACTCCAAAGCTATTTTATGGTTCCAGAGTTCTCTAATTAAAGACTGGTGCTGCATCTGTTGGGCAATCTTGACAATGTCATCAAAAGTGATACTGTCACTGTGCTTAATGTTTTTCTGCTTCTTTCTGTCTCTGACTGGTTCCTTGGGGACTTTGATCATCAGGACAGAGACAAAAAGTACCACCTCAATTTGGCCTGTCTGTTCTGAATGGTCAGTTCCACTGTAATACTAAGACCATTCTAGTCACTGGTTGCTTTGGGTGATATTATCACCAACCGTTTTTGAAAACAGATAGATCCAGGAGGTCAAGGTCAGACGTGGCACCAACTTCCCCACTGGTGCACCTCAGGTACAGGCCTATAATCTTGTTGAGGTCAAATGTGGGCAGAATGGTGGATGTGGCCAGCGTCACATGAACCTGGATACAGGACGACTGAAAAAAGTTACACCTTGGCATCCTCCAAGCCAAAAGCAGAAAGCTCTCGTCGCATTTTTAAACAGTCTATCTCTTCATTGCATTTTCATTTAGTGTGTTTTCTAAGTCACAACCAAATTTGTGAGCAAAGAAAAGTGATTTCATTCCCATTTTACAGGTGAGAAAACAGATCCAGAGTAGTATATAGCATCTCTTTCAAGGTCTTAGCTATCTGCAAAATGGCCACTTTGGGGCTAGAAACCAGATGTTCTAACTGTCGGAGCTCAGCTCCTCACACTTCCCACCTACTGGCCTGTGTATAATAAATGTAAGTCACCAAACAAGCCTGAAACCAGTCAAAGGGAGCATGAATATTATGAATAGATTGTGAAATGTGAGTGGACTATAAAAAGTAGCCATTCAAATGTGCCTCACACTCTCCCATGAGGACACTTTCACCCTAAAACACACAAGGCCCACAGGTTACTCAGAGACACAGATACCCCACCCAGGACATCTGTGCTGGAAGAGGACTGAGGAGTCAGCTCATCAAACACCTCCATTTTATAAATGAGAAGAGTGAGGCCCTGCAAGATCACTGACTAGTCAAGGCCACTCCAGGACTCAGACTTATTGGATGCCCGTTTCCAAAACTCTCCTTTCAGAGACTTCGTCTGCCTTCTATGAGAAGGACATGACCTCTGGTAGAGGCCCAGGCATTTCACTGTGAGCCAGGAGAGTTGGCCCACAGCTATGGACACAGGCAGAGTAACTGAACACCCAGCCAACGAACTTCAGAGGGACTAGGAGGAGGAGCATCTATAAAACCATCCCTTCAGCAGCCTGCCTCAGTGCATGAACTTCTGAAACAGGAGTTCCCTTATCCCCCACAGGACATGAGACAGGGGTGTGGCTCACTTCTTCAGTGCCCCATTGCTCAAACCCCTAGGGGGAGCAGGCAGAGGGCAGGTCGTGGGGAGCGTTTTTGGGCTCTGACCCCATGGCAGCATCTCGGGTTGAGGGTTTACAGCTCCTGAAGCCCCAGTGGGTGTGTTACAGTGCGCTTCTTCAGTTTTGCCATCTGCAGGCTATTTGTGTTAATCAGCTCAGTTAGACCCTCTGCCTTATCGTGAGGATAGAGGGCTTTCTGTATTCCAGGTTCTTGTCTTAGTGTACTGGAAAAATCAGATCACACATGGGCTTGGAGGATGGATGCAAGGTTTTACAGAGTGGAGGTAGCTCTCAGAGAGGTGGATGGGGAGGCCAGAAGGGGGATGGAGTGGGAAGGTGGTCTTCCCTCCGAGTCGGGCCGCCCAGCGGCCGGTCTCTCCTCCTACCGAGTTCCCCTTGGCATCCGCATCGTTCCGCAGTCCATGGCCTGCCAATGTCTCCTGGTATGTTCTTTTGCTGGTGTGTTCCTCTCGACGTTCAGCTACTTGTGTGCGTGCCCGCTAGGGTCTCGGGGTTTTTACAGCCACAGGATGGGGTGCATGGCAGGCCAGAGTGGTCTTGGAAAATGCAACATTTGGGTGAAAAAAACTCAGGAGTTCCTATCCTCACTTAGGTCCATGGGCACGAGCTCGAGGGTGGCACCCTCGCCAGGGACCCCGCCCATCTCTACCCAGCACTTCCCTGCCCCCCACCTGCATCACTTCCACTATTAGGTATCCAGTTCCATGGATTATGGCATGAAGGACTATGGTCCAAATGTAAAAAGACCACACAGGATCACTGATATCGGGAGCAATTCGTAGCCATCAATACCCTGAGTAACTTAATCAAATGATCACTGGCAGAGGGGAGGACGCTAAAGAGACGGAACACAGAACAGGTGTGTTTTAACAAAAAGAAAAGGGAAGAAGGTGGTACCTGGCCTGAAACAGGGCTCTGACTAAGGAATGCTTAGTCTAAGCTCTGACTCCTCACTCTGGAGGCTAGCCTTGGAAACCTGGGACCCAGAGGAAGGGAAAAGTGATGAAGATATATGGATAGAGAAACATACTGCACCAAGTAGTGAAAACCGATGCAAGCTAGCTTAGTATTACATTTTTAAAATTTTTAAAGAATGTATTGGCTTGTGAAACCCAAAGGTCGGAAGGCGCTCTGGCCTCAGGCCCAGCCGTTTCTCTTACCTGCCTGGCTCTGATTTGCCCTGGGCTGGCTGCATTCTCCTCAAGGACAGCAAGCACAGTCCAGAGCTGCCCCAGGCTCACGGGCCAGCGGCTTGGCCCCTCCCAGCCTAAGGAGAGCTCCTTCTTTCCGAAGTGCAAGGCTGGCCTCTGACTGGCCATCCTAAGATCATGTGCCCTGCTTTAACTAATCCTTGTGCTCTGATTGGCCAGGTCTAGATCACGAGCTTTCTAGAGCGCCATTAGACTGACAACCACAACTTTCAATAAGGAGGCTGGTTTCGTCAGATCAGAGCCAATCACACTCCTACCTCCGAAGCTGCCGCACAGTGGGGGTCGCGGGAGGCCAGCCACTCTCTCAGGTGCTCCAGGGCCTTGGCCCTCATGGAAGGGTGGGGACTGCTGGAGGGAACCCAGGCCCTCCAACGCTGAACAATACTGTTTCCTCTGGAAGGGAGCTGTCAAAAACGCCATCTCAACTCGCGTCATTCTCTAGTTGTCTGTTATGTGCCGACCGCCTCCTCCCGTGTGAATTTTAGCTCTGTGAAGTCAGAGACTCCGAATGTTTTCTTGCTTGCGGAATCCCCAGCACTTGGCACACGGTACAGGCTCAGTAAATGTGTACGTGTGCACGACTGAAGCCTAGAGTGCGCCTGGGGATGCCCTGTGAGTCTCACGTCTGCTCAGGGTGGCATTCCCACTGCCCTCCGGGGCCCAGAGACAAGCTCGGAGCAACGGCGAGCAGTCACCCCTTCCCCTGGGCCACCTGCGCACACGGGAAACGTGCCAGGAGTAGCGCCTGCCTCTCCGTCTGTAGGTACTGCGGGGTCCTGCATTCCCTACCCCTGCAAAGGCCTGCTGACGCTTTGCTGAGGTTAAGCCGTGGAGGTGTGATGCCCCTAAACCGGAGAATAGCTGAGGGCAGCTGCACGTGAGGGGTTAAGGGCCTGTGTGGGTGTGCGTGAGGGCAGTAGAAGGCCAGAGCAAGGATTCTGGGAGCTGCATGGAAGGAGGTTCTGCTGGTGCGAGGAGAGAGCAGAACAGGAAGGGGAAATGGCAAATGGCCTAAGCAACGCTCTGCTCCCAGATCGTTCACTCCCTCTGTCTCTGGGAGGCAACAAGGGGATGAGGAAAGGTTGCTGCCGTTGTCTTCTTTTCTGCACAGTCACCTGTAATCAAGGGCTCCATCAGACTTCCTGTCCCTGCGTGGTAGCTGCTTGACACAGTGAGAACCTCAGCTCCAGACTGGAGTTGCCTAGCAACTCGGAATCCTGAAAAGAAAGCAAGAAAATAGAGGAGCCAGACAGAAAGGGCAGAGGGAAGTGGGCCTGGCAGAGGAAGGAATTAATCAGGAACAAACAGCCTTAAGCACAGGCTCAAAGCACAGGGCAGCTTCACAAGTCCTTAGGACCTCTCCACCCCAGCCTCTTGCTGGCTTCTCACCCTCTATTAGGTGCCTGCCAGTCTCCACTGGGGATACTTCCTGTCAAACTGCTTACCTCCCTTTAAAATGCAAATCATCTGGAGAGGGTTGTCCCATTTCGGTGTGGGAAGAGCTTATCAGACCCTTTGGGGAGGAGAGAAGAGGAAATGGGAAATGCTTCTAATCCCATTCTAATCCATCCTGTGTGTTTTACTCTATTCTATAGCAATTTGGTCCGTTTCATTCTTCTCCATTCTAAGTCTGTCCACTGGTGCAGGGCAAAGATGTCAGACTTGGGTGTTTGGCAGCCACCTGTGTGGCACTCAGTGAGCTGCTTACTTTAGGGAGCCTCTCAGTTCTGTCCAAAATAATCCCAAGTCATGGATTGTTGTGAAACCCATTAAGCAAAATCCTGCAATTGAGAATATCTGGCACAATATTTGACACGTAGATGGCACACAGTACATGCTAGTTTCCCCTACTGAAGAGTGGAGTCATAATGTCATAGTCATTGGGACCCCTGGGGTCTGTGTAGCCCTCCCACTTTGGTGCAAATTAACCAGAATCTAAATTTTGGAGGTGAAATTTAGTCTTGGAACCCAAAAGTGACTTCAGTCCTTGCTCTTAAGGAACACTCTGTGGGCAAGGCTGAACCCCAGCTGCCAGGAGAGTCAGAGAATAGGCAGTGGCACAATGTTCTCTCCTGAATTAATCAGTTGTTCCATTGTCTTTATTTTTCCAGCACCACTGGGACTATTCTTGCATCGGTTGCCTTTGATGGGTCCTTTCGGTGAACCTATGGTGGTGCTTCTGGTGCATCTCGCTGTCATCATGGCTGCAGGAGTCAGGGCTGGGGTTAAGAATTTGTCTGGAATTGGGTTTGCCATTTTCCAGGTTGGGGGTCAGGCCTCTGGACAAAACCAGGGCTTAAAATTTCACTGGCAAATGGAATTAATGTACAAACTAACAACGTTGTGTTTATCCAACCATCTATCCTGTACTTACTGAGTTGGGCCTAGCACTGCACTAAATGGAGAGATCACATGGAAGAGAGGATGCAGCCAGAAACAGCCTGAGTTTTCTGCCCAATAAGAGAACACTGGAGAATAGCACATTATTCAAATTCAAACAGAACAATTCCTTTTGTCAGGGCAGGAATAGTGCAGAGGAAATGGAGATGGCCTGGTCAAGACAGAGGTCTCCTGAGGCAGAGGGAACTTTTTGAAGCTCCTCTTCCTTACCCAAACTGGTGAAAACAGTTTGCAAAAGGTAATATGATCTTTTCTAACTTCCACATTTCTGGACCCAGCTGAACCCTGGAAAACAAGCATACCTAAGAATAGAAAGAAAAGGTACAGGCAAGCAAGGACCCCCAAAGCTTGAAGTATAATTAGAGCTGGTGGAGAATTAACAGGAGAGGAAAGAAGAGGGAACACGAATGCCCCAGTGTCATTTCTACAACTACCTGTGTGGGTGTTTGATGAACAGTGTCATACAGCATCTTGGCCTTGAGTCTTCATTTATTCACTGGTCTCAAGTTAGAGCAGTTCTGTCCTCTATGTTGCCAAGGCATGTGTGATTTTTGAGTGTTCATGTGTGCCTGCATGCATGATGTGTTGGGGTGGACATCTGTGTGCTTGTTAAGGGAATGAAGGGACATCTACAGTGCAGGCAGGTAGAGTCTGAATTGTGTGGATGTGTAATATTGTGTGGATTCATGATGGAAAACACCCTGATATTAAAACAAGAACTGGCTTGAAAGCCAGAAGTTTCTGGGACCTTTAGAAATGTCCAACAGTTTTGTTTCTTTTGGTGCTTCTGTCCAACTGTATTCCTGAGACAAGTCTTTAAGCAGAGAGATGGTCTGAGATAAGAGCTTTTCTGAGCTGCCCAGAGTCGTCCTGGTGATTATCAGAGCTACCCACACCATGGCTGTGGTTAGATTCCATATTTACCTCAAGTGGGATGGTCTCATCTATCCATGGGTGACCTACTTTCAGGGCAAGGCAGAAAACAAGGGCATCAGAAGTTGGCTCTCTGATGGTTAATTCCTAAGGAAAGATGCTGCCAAGGGGAGGAACCCTGTGGGCCATCCCTCCCTGCCCTTTATTTCTGTCCTACTCAGGAAGTTTCTTAATACCCCCAGTGTATGGCTTTTCATGTCCATTCTTGGCCTTTGTCTGTGCTATGCCCTCCACCAGGAATGTTCTCCTCTGTCCTTCTCTGTCTGTCCAAACCTCTGCATCCTGCTAGGCTCACACTGCACACTCTCTCCACTTCTGCTCCTGGACTGTCTGTGTGAACCACTCCTCCAGAATTCTATTCTGTCTCTAATTGTTTTCCATCTGAGTTTTGCCTTTCCAATTGAGGCACCTCCTCCCCCGCTACACTCCCTGACTTGGGCCGAGCTTTTAATAAAACCTGCTTCCCTTGAATTAACTCTGTAGCAGTGCTGTAGTGTTTACAAGAAGCCACTTCCCATGAATTACATAATTCAAGCTTCACAATACTCTTTTGAGGAAAGCAAGAAAGAGCTTATTGTCCCCATGTTACAGATAAGAAAGGTGAGTTTCAGAGAGATTAGTGATTTATTCTAAAGTCATGTAGCCTGGCTAGCAAATCCAGCCAGCCAATCCCAATGCTACTCTTCTCACTATAGCAGTAGTGAGACAGCCAGGCCTTTCCTAGATACCACTTACCTCCTCATCTCAACTATTTGTTCTCCTCATAGCTCAGGGCCGTCTAGGTAATGCGTCTTTCCAGCTGCCTCCTAACTGTCCTGAGTATCTGAAACCCCATCCGCAATGCTAAATCCTTGGCTCGTATCTACCCCAGCCAGATTGGAAAGAGGTTTGGAAATTCAATCACTGTTGCTAAAGTTTGATGAGGGATTAAAACAGAAGCACTTAAAAGTTGACTTAGAATGGGTAACAATCCCTTAATCTACTCCTTGTCCACCACAATAGCAGACATCTGAGGAGAATGGTCCGTTGGACCTGTGTTGTTTGGTATGGTGGCCCCTAGCCACGTGCAACCACTGAGCATTTGAAACAAAGCTCATCCCAATTACAATATGCTTTAAGTATAAATAAACATGGGATTTCAAAGATTTAGCATGAAGAAAAAGATGTAAAATATCTCAATAATTTTTATAACATTTTGTTAAAATTTGGAGATTTTACATATATTAAAAGTATATTAATAAAATTAATTTCACCTGCTGCTTTTTACTTTTTTAATGTGGATATTAATACATTTAAATTATGTATGTGGCTCACATTACATTTCTATTGGAGTCTCAGTATGGACAATAGGGCTTTTCTAGTACTTCAAATAACTCCACATGCAGGTTATTTGAAGGTATGCTCAGATTATGCTTGAGGTTCCATTATCTGCAGCAATAAGAATTCAGGACAGAATTCTTCTAGAAGATGGTGCTTGATTACTCCCAAAAGGAGTCACCAGCTGTCAGCTTCTTGGGCCCCCCAGGGTTGATGGTCTGCCCACCACAGAAACACCCGGCATCCCCAGCTGAGCCCAGACTGAATTCCCTGAGCCGGGCTCCCCACCTGGGCTGGGAGTCTCTCTAATGCTTCTGTCTTCCTGGCTCCCAAGGGAGGGCCTCTAGTTAAAGGCATGCCTAAAACTCCCAAATCTGCCATGGAACACTGAGAGGCTATGCTCTCTATGGAATCTTCTGAGAGATTGCTGACTTTGACCAAAACAAAAGATATCAGAATTAAAGGCTGTTTAAATCAAGGTTAATATCATTTAATTGGAGTGGAATCTGGGGCCTGCATTGATTGAGTCCTTGCAGGGAAAAGCCACCTCCCTTAAACAGCATAATCCAAACTTCTTAAGCTGGCACTGGAAAGAGAATCTATTTATAAAAGGCAACTTCTGCCTAGGGTCTTAAGTATGCCTCCAAACTTTTTCTTCACTTTAAGGATCTGACAATATTATCAGCATGCTGGCCTAAAGTGAACGCTACTTCCCCTTTGGAGAGCATGCTGCTAGACTCAGGGTCAGTTCAGGGGACCAGAACCATTGAGCTGAAATCAGTGGTCAAGTCCTGGACAAGAAAAACCCAGTCACCTTTTATTCATAGACCACCTTCAATGGGACTACTTACATCTCATGTCCTTGTCACCCCTTGATGGGATGGGGAAAGCCCCTAGAACTACAGTTTGTTTCCAAAGATTCCACATAAACCAAAAGAGGCCACCCTCAGAGGCCACTGCTGGCCTTAGCTGTGCCAAGCAGCTCCGAATGAAGCAAAAACAGAAACACATGATCAGCCATTTTCCAACAGAGGAAAGCCTGAAGCCCCCTGGAATGTGAAGCCACAAAGCCAGGAGAGTCTGAAGATCTCGGGCTGCCCCTCAGTCCAAGGTGGGGGTAAGGGACACATAACGATGCCATTTCATATGATTAAAAATATATTGCATAAATAAGGCCAAGGAAAATAGAATAAAATATAAACTAAAAATAAATGGTTGAGTCAACTCATCTTTAATGCTTTTCTGTGTAACATCTATTTTGTATAATGGAATACGACTTTCATACTCCGACTGCAAATTTAACCTTGGCCACAAGTTATGATGTACATTACAATACACTTTTATTATGTTATACAGTATTGTGGTGGTTTTTTTAATCTATTGCTAAGCCCCTAACAGTATGTCTGCATCAGTGAAGCCCATCTGTCACAACCACAGTGGAGACATTATTATGTAAATAGTTCTAGGGCCTCCTTTTGGGGGAATTTAATATACTGTCCTAATATCCCAGCCGGAAAAAAAAATGTTTATGAAAAAAATATATATATTTTTTTGGTTTGTTTCATTTGTAGAGAAAGGCAGGTTGAGTTGCTCAGGGTTTTTTTGTTGTTGTTTTTTTTTTTAATAGTCCAAATCTCTTTTCTTCTCTCACTCACAATGTCTTTAAAAGCTAATGATATGGCTCCCAATAA
This sequence comes from Homo sapiens, assembly GCF_000001405.40. Lineage (NCBI taxonomy): Eukaryota > Metazoa > Chordata > Mammalia > Primates > Hominidae > Homo > Homo sapiens. Next base: position 37,664,140 of record NC_000018.10, on the reverse strand, counting down.
AATAAAATAAAATAAAATACATGAGAGACTTCTTTTAAACACACCAGCTGAAGTATAGGGCATTAATATCGCACAGCCTAGTGCATTAGCCATCTTTCCTATATTACAGTCATATTTCAATAAACTAAGTTTTCTTAGCAGGTGCCATCTTGGATTATTTCTTCATTAGACTGAGTTATAAAATATGCAGAAGGGTATGCTGAATTTTTTATTTCTTGCCAGTTTTAAGCCTTTGCCAAAATCCATACATCTAAATTTTCCCTCTTAAAGGTGGAGGGCAACACCGGGAAGGGATGGACAGACACTTGTGCTTGCAGGGCTGAGGGAACAAGGGCAGGACCGAATGAAGTGTGGCTTGTAAACAGAAGATGCCAGTGTCCCAGACTTCTTATTGCATCTTAATGAACCAAGCCAGGATTTTAGGGCAGCACAAAGAAAGGAGCTAATCATTGGTGGGAGCTGGGCCACCTGGACCTCCCAGCCCCACATCAGCCAAATCCTGGCTTTTAATCAGGCCTCAAACATTCACTGAGCACTGGCCAAGCAGTGAGTTCTTTGAGAGAAGCAAGAGAAGTGAATTACATACTCAAGGGCATCCACTGTGGACGAAGAAAGAATAATGTGAGGATAAAGTGGTCACATGATGGTAAGGGTGGTTTGGACTAAGGGCAGTGTGAGTTGAACAAGGAAACTACAGTGCAGAACTGAATAATCAAGGGAAGCTTCTTGAGGCAGTGAGGATTCTGCTAGGTCTTGAAGAAGTAGAATTTAGGTGGTTCGAGTGGAGGAAAAGTGCCCCCAGACATCACAACTCAGGCATGCATTTCTACCTGCTTCGGGCAAGAGAGAAGACACAATGAAGGCCCAGAGGCAGAAGGAACACAGAGGACTTAATAGTCCACAGCGGTATCACCCTGAATGCACCTGATCTCATCAGAGGGCTTGATAAAGAGGCAATGGGCTTAGAGAAGCAGGCTTTCCATCTTAGCTTGCTGGGATCGAGACAGGTCTGGCAACAAGATAGGGTAATTCCACTAGGTGCCTATTTAAGATAATCCTCTTAAAATAAGCAGAAGTCAGGAAACCAAGCTTAATCCAGGACAGAGCAAGAGTGGTCAGTGAAGGAAGGTCATTTTGAGGCCAGCATGACACTTGTCCCTCATACATGCCTCTCATTCCGGCCATGTCTCAGGTCGAAGGGGGAAAGAGGGCTATAAGGAAAATCAAGAAAAAGCCACTTCACCAAAAACACTGCCTGACAGTCCTACTTGTGACCTCACCAAGAGCATGTCACACACAGGGTAGTGAAGCATTCTCTGACACCCTTAACTTATCACTGCTTACAGGAAAGTGCCTACGAAACACCACCTGAGAAGCTAAGTGTCTTAGCAGAGGTTGTTTGTGTGCATCAGCAAGTGGTCATAGTGAATGTGACTCCGTTTACCCACCCGCACCATGTCCTCAGTATATATAGATCCGGGTAAAGGAAGGAACGGCTGACAAGTTCCCTGGGGCCCAGGTGGGAGACAGAGTTCTTGCGCTAAGAGCAGCAACTTGCACCTGTCTGTGGCACGTGAGGACCATGTGGGTGAACGGCCATTCCTCTGGGTGAGGCGCTCTGTTGTGCTCAGTAAGGATCCAGCTAGACAAAGCTGGTTTATCTCAGAGCCAGGCAAATGGGAGCCTAGAAAAAGTCCCTGTGGCTTAGCTACACTAGTTACTCAGTTACTCTCTCTGCAAGGACCATGGCAAGAGTGTCAGGGAGGGAGAGCAGAAAAGGCCCCATCTAGGCCAGCCAGGAGCCTCAGTCCAGGCAGAGGAAAGAGTCCCATGTGAAGAATTAACTTACTCAATTCTTCCTGCCTGTAGTAACTCCAGATGACCAGTGGAGAAGAGAGGGTGCAAGAAGGAGGTATGTGTGACTTTCCCAGAAGACTGAGCCTGGCGCTAGCTTTGAAGAGTCCTAAGAACTGGACTTGGGAGGTAGTGGGGAGCCCACGGGGAGCAGAGGATGGTCAGTGCCCGGGTGTCTCCCTCATCCCACTCCCCAGAGCAGTCAAGAGCCAAGCATGCCTGTTCCCCCTTAACCAGGTTCAAGTCTCAGCTCTGCCGGTTGTGCTACATGTGATCTTAGGCTAATTTCACAATCTTTCTGAGCCCCTGTGTCATCTTTAAGGAGGAGCAATGATGCTTACCTATTATGATTGTTGTGAGGGGTAGATGAATATCAAATGGCATATAGTAGGTGTTCAACAAATGGTAATCTCATTCCTGCCTTGAAGGTCCACTTTGGTGGTTGGGATTTATAGTCCATGGACTCATAAGTATATCCGTGGCATCTAGTTACATTTCAACCTGTGCTGCCCCTGGGGGTAGCAAATCTCACACAATGACCCCCACTCCAGGATCTCCTGCTAGAGCTTCCTCAGTGCTAGACATACCTTCCCAGGTCTCCTGTGCTCACCTGCGGACACATTAACTCCATGAGTCAGCGGGGAGCTTTTAGGAGGCCAAGTCAGGGCCTAAAAATGGTTGATTTCAAGAGGCCATATGAACTTAAGCCTGGTGCCACTGCAGATGGAGGCCCAAAATTCCAGAAAGGGACCTTCGTCTCCTTAGTTTAGATCCCCATAAACCTGCAAGGCTGCAAGGGAGGAGCACAGTGTTCCTATCCAATCACTGGCCCCTTGGGGAGAATCTTAGCAGAGTGGGTGGGAGTGGAGAGCCTAGGTGGGAGGGGTTGCTTCTACAAGAGGACAGCTTCACTAGCACTGTGGATAGCCCCAGAAGATGAATGACAGGAGCTGCCCTGGCCACATCCAACAACAGGAGCTGAGGACTGTCTGTGTCCTCCCAGGCATCTCCCACCAGCCAAGCCTTCATTTCTGCCTCCTGTTCTCAGCAAGCGGTTGAGTGGATCCCCTGCAACCCCCCTCCATGCCCACAGAAGTAAGGCCATGAAAGGTGGCCCAGCCCCACCCGGCTGCCCAGGATTCTGTCCCCAAGGCTATCGTCCTCAGGCACCGTGGGAGTCAGGGAAAAGAAGGTGCTAAGGGTAGGAAAGGAAGAACCAGGAGATGGGCCATCTGGGAAAAGGACAGTGAACTTCCAAGTGAGATTTGCACAAGATCTCTTTTCTGCACAAGAACCTCTTTTCATCTAATAGCAGTTAGAAACTTCTAGGTCATGGGACAGCTTCACGGTGATTAATTATCTGTCAGCTGAGAGGCAGTGGTGCAGTTGCCTGAGGGTGACACCCGGGGATGGGACCCCAGAAGAAACTAAGAGGGCACCACAGTGGCTAGGGAAGTCTAGAGGACATGTTTTCCCTCTTGTTCAGGGCTGGAGTTAGGCTCTGACACCTGAAACCATCTGGTAGCCCCTCTCCAGGATAGACATAATTTCAGAGACTCCTCCAGTCAGACCCTACCACAAATCTGAGATGCTGCAGAAAGAGGAAAGTTGGTGAGGAGGGAATAACAGCTTCCAACTTCCATCTAAACTCTCTCTATCCAAGCTCAGAAGTCAGATAATCAAGAATACTACAATAAGATTGCATGACCTACAATCTCTCCCAAAATCATTAAGAAGGGTCTTCAGTGTCTTATCCTACAGATGATGGGATTGACTCTCAGAGAAGTTTCACAACTTGCCAAGACCACACAGGACTCTGTCCCCCTGACCCTGACTCCTATTTCTGTGTTCATTTAATAACCCCAGAGTTACTCAAGAAGAGGTCAGGGGAGCATTAGTACAGCTGTCTGCTCCTCCTGAGCCTGGAGTTGTGATGCCCAATAGCAACGCTTCTTCTCCTGGCTGAACCCAGGATTGACCATGTCCAGAGCTGAGTTAGCTGTTTGGGCACAAGTGGCTGATTAGTAAGGGGAAAGCAAGCACTTTGGGAAAGGCCTAACTGGGCAGGCACACAGATGCATATGGAAGAAGTCAGAGGAAGAGGCAGCTCCATTTGGAAACACCCCCACCAGGATGCAGATGTTCCAGCAGCTTGCTGGGCAGCAGGCCTGGCAGGAAGCTGCTCTGGCTCTGACCCCAAAACCCCCTTCTCACCCTTTCACTCTTTTCACTCTGCCCTCCTCCCTCCCTCCCCCACTGCCTTCCTCTCTCCAGGCTCTTTCCCCCCACCCCCACCTTCTCTTCCCTTTGCAGCACTTCCCACTCCCTCTGTCCCTCATACTCTGTCTTGTCCCTTTCTCTCCCTGACATTTGTGAGGACAGTCTCCCTCCCTCTCTTCCTCTCTCTCTCTTCCACTTCCTCCATGTCTAGCCATTCTGGTACTGAGTAGTTCATCTGGAAATAATAGCCAATGTGGCAATGTCTTAGTGTCTTGGGCTTTTTCTTCTGGCCAAAACCAGAGAGTGCAGACACAAGCAAAATGTGCTCAAGAGGAGAGGAGGAAGAGAAGAATCTTATCTAAGGACACGTTCCATTTTTATATTCCCTCCATATGACAGATGGATTGAAAAACAGAAAGATAATCTGTCCATTAAGCATCCAGAACTCACAGGGCACAGACATGAAATGATTTGCTTTTTCTCCAATCCCTGTTTTCAAACAGGTCCTGTTAAATTCCCTTTTCCATCCTTAATGATGACCTACGCACATCTCATTGCTGTCTAATCACTTCCAAATACTAAAAAGTACAAATGAATGGAGGCTTACTTAGAACTCCATGGTATATCCAATATAAGTGTCATTTCCTCCCCTCCCCAGCATTGGCCAGGCCATGGCTCAAAGGACAAAGAGATGAGAGAGGGAGCTCTGTTACTCTTAGGATACCTCCTACTCCCCCACTCTTTAGTATGTTATGACAAAAAAGGGTAGATACCAAGATGGAAAGTGACAAATATCTTTTACAGATATGGTACTGGGGTGGTTCTTCCTTGAATTCACTTACCATTACTGTCTGCTGGCTTCTAAACCTCAGCTTACTTGCTCTCCCATGATGGGCATGTTGGAGTCTTGGAAGACTACCCACAGGGGCTACCCCTGCACATTTCCCTAAGATGGGAGATTCAGCTCCACCTCCACCTCTCAAAGCCTCTCATCACCCTCTCTACCTCTGCAGTGGAGGTTTCTTCCCCAGGCAGCTAACTTGATGGTGGACCAGACAGTGGCAGGTGCTGTAGATAAAAGAGTATACGTGCTGCAGGTACAACCCAATGTCTACATCTTGAAATACTCCCTGGCTGAGACATCCAGGACTCTGTGTGTTCTGGTCCCTCACTAGCTAGCTCTGTATGTCAGTTGATCTTTGAAGTATGGCAGAGCTGAATTCAAATTCTAGTTCACAACATGCTCATTGAGTGACTTTGAACCAGCTATCACCCTCTTTTGCACCCCAGTTGCTTCATCTGCAAAATGAGGGTAATAATATCATCCATCCAGTGCTGCTAAATATGATCACACTTAGGCATAGGGCTGGCACAAAATCAATATTCAGTAAGTGATAAGCACATTATCTTACCTCTTGCAGTCTAATTTTCCCCATATTTAAAATAAAAATGAGGTGGTGAGTTCCCAAGTTCCTTCTCAGCTTTTAATTTTAGGGAGAGTGTACACATTTTTCTCCTCTATTGAGGTATTAGCTATGTCTATGCAGGACGGGACACAAATCTCCTTCCATGCCTGCCCAAATGTGCATCCTGAGCTGAGAGGCTAGGGGACTCAGCTATGAAACACTCATTCCCTTTATGGATCAGTTAATATCACTCAGGGCTTGGGCTACACACCCAAGCTGGACCTCTCACTAAGCCTAAAAAGTAAGCTCAATTCAGTATTGTCCACACCCAGTGCTAGAGATGGGATACCCAGAAGACACATCACCAAAAGGATCAGGACTTCCATCTGTGTATCTGGAAAACAATAATTTCTTACTGTGATATTTTTGTTTCTTAAAGTCACAAACCACACATTAACCACACAAGCCATATCTAGGAGATCAAGAATTGCAATATCGCTCTCCTACCACATTTGGGGGAATTGAAGAATTAAAAAAAAGAACTGCTTTTGCTCAAGGTCACACTGTCTGGAATCAAAACTCTCTTTGTCCTGAACTTAGTCTCCTGGCCAAATTGCCTCTGAAACACTTTCTCCCTCTCCTGGGCCATCCCTCAGTCTCTGCTAGGAACAAGGACAGGAGATCTAAGATCTCGAAGATGCTTCTAACTTTGTTCTTTTTCCAAGATTTTCAGACTCTGGGAGCCACTGAGACTCCTGGAGGGAAGAGCAGAGCTTTGCAAATTTGGAATGACTTTAGTTCAAAGCATTCTCCACTCTCCCTGTGTTCCCAGTGAAGACAAAACCCAAGAACCCTGGGATACCAAAAAGACCTCAAGATTATGTTGGTATTTCCTGAAAACTCACAGAGAACAGGGCCATGCAAAGGACATGTCAACAGCTTTTTTGATGACTTCAGTATAAGTGAACCAGAAAAAGATGGATTAAGTTTCCCTTCAAATACACATGTGCTGGAGAGTTGCAGCTGAGAAAATGCTTAGAGCCATGCATTTCCAAGGGCTGGTCAACTCCAAACAGAGTGGGATGTTTTGCTGAGTCCCAAACACTGACTTCTCTTCCCGTCCCTAAAAATAACTGAGCTGTCCAGCTGTTGGATGGATATTTTCTCCTTTGGTTTTTGTTTCATTTGATTTTCTCACAAAGTATCAGGGCGATAAACAACTTCAAAACCTGGTAGAATGTTCTGGGGGAATTAGGCATTCAGAAAAGTAAAAAGTAAAAATAAAAATCTGCCACAATCTCACATCATTGCCCTCACCAGGCATTCTGTCCTTTGAACATTACCTGTCATTACTTACCCATCTGTCAATGTCAACCCCAAGATCTGTTTCCTTTGGGATTATTTTGATCCTCATGAATATAGAAATCAATCATTGAAACAAGTTTTTGAGCACCTAGCATGTACCCACAGTGACTGTCTAAGACAAGGCCCTTGTCCACAGTGGGTTTATGACATAATTAAGAAGCTCCTACAAACTCATGAAGGAATTAAGAGGTAATAACAGATGGTACAGGTAGGTAAGAAGGTATGATACAAGAATAGGGGCTTTAGGCCTTCAGAGAATAGAGAAGGCACTGTGTGTATCAAAGAAAGTTGGAAATCATAATAACCAACATCCACTAACTGCTGCGTTTTGGGGACTTTCACAGATGTTTTCTCTGGACCTCCACAAAAGCCCTTTAACACAGACAGGGTATTGGTCATACAGATGGGAAATAGAGACTTGGAAATATTAAGTGTCTTATTCAAGGTCATTAGTAAGTGGTGGAGCAGGTGTAGAGACAGACTAAAGGCTTATAACCCAGGCACCTGTGCCTTAACGCCACACCAGTTTTCGAAACAGTTTGTTAAAATTTGATAGATAGATAACTATGGCCTTATACTGCAGATGATTGGAATCTGTGAGATTTCTGAATATATCCAAAGTTGACTTGCGCACCCCCACCTCTCCATTTTGCTAATGAATTACACCCATCTGGAATTTTCTCGTCCTTTCTCCTATTCCTAAAGATTCAGCACAAGCTTGTACTTGGATTTCCCCAGCCTAAAATGTTTTCTCCTTCTTTGGAATAAATAGGACTTAACGACTGTATCTCTCACATGTCAACTAATTATGTACTGGGAGTCACATCACTTCTGTTTTCTTGTACTTTTACTTAAAGTATCTTAGGTTATTATTTAGCACATCTATGTCTCATCTTCTGCAGAGATTAGCTGCTCTCTGAGGAGAGTTTTTATGCCTGATACATGGTCCCAACTGTTTTGAGAGTGGTCCAATGCTATGCTTAGTGAATATGTGTTGATAGGAGTGAAGATCTCCACCCTATGCTGAGTCCTGCATCGGCAGGCCCCGCTCCCATCTTGTTGTAGAACTCTGCATCTGCATGTTCTACATACTTCTCAAGCTCCTTGTGTTGAAAATGTTACCATCTTCCTCTAAAACTAGCTTCTCATCCAGAGGTTTCTCTTGCTGCCAGAAGCAATATAATTCTCCCAGTCAGGCTCCAAAGGTGATCATCAGTTTTGATCTTGATGCCCTAGGGTACTGTTGATTGTTCATTGAAGTTTCTTATAAATAAAAGGTGCCCTACCTTGTGCTGGATGATCTGGCAGAGATCAAAGGAAGAGCAAATTCCTAGGAGAGCTCCCAAGCAAAGAAAGGACAAGAAACACAGGGAACAAATTAGACAACAATGCAGGCTTTTGTGTGATCAGTTCACACTGCCAATGCCATACTTCAGAAGCAGGGAAGATGAGCTTGTGTTGAATTAGCCCACAGATGCTTCCTGGGAAAGTATTTGAGTAATCCCTGGAGGCAGGGAGGACTGAGTTGAGAGAAGGAGAAGGGGAAGCCTCTGGGGGCAGCCCTGTGGGGAGAAATAAGAAGATAAATGCAGGTCCCTACTCTCAGGCATCAGAAATTGTCCAGTTGAAGACAAAGGGAAACCGGTATAGGGAAGTACTTGAAATCCAAATGGAGAATCAGTCATGTCCACTGGGGCTATTTAGGAAGCTAAGAAAAAGATACCAGAATTAACATTCAGAACCTCAACTTGCTCTTCCTCCTCTTCCAGAACAGAGCCTGGTGTAGTCAGAATCCCCATGGCAGGATTCTGGGGTTATTCTCACCTTGCCATGGTGCATGTGCAGGCACATGTCAGAAAGAAATAGTACTCAGGGCAGGTCCCCCACACAATGCCTTTGAAAGCCTCTTCTCCTTCCCCCAGAGCTTGACTCCCAGCTTGGCTTGGGGTGCCCCAAAATCAGGAACCTCAGGTCAGCCTCCTGGAGGCTGGAAGGATAGGGGCAGCTGAGATCACTGGGTTTCAACTTTAGTGATGGGTTATTATTATTGCCCCTAAATGATTTTTCAAAGGCACAGGAAGAAGTCAGTCAACATTCCAAGTTCCCACCTGGAGGAGGCATTAGGAACTGTCCTGAGAATCCCACTTCTCCTTTCTTTCCTTGCTACCACAGCCATGAAAAAATACTTCCAGGCTGGGAGCAGTGTCTCAAACCTGTAATCCCAGCACTTTGGATGCCAAGGCAGGTAGATCACTTAAGGGCAGGAGTTTGAGACCAGCCTGGCCAACATGGTGAAACCCTGTCTCCACTAAAAATACAAAAATTAGCCAGGCGTGGTGGCAGGCGCCTGTAAACCCAGCTACTAGGCAGGCTGAGTCATGGGAATCACTTGAATCCTGGAGGCAGAGATTTCAGTGACCTGAGATCATGCCACAACACTTCAGCCGGGGAGACAGCGTGAGACCCTGAAAAAAAAAAAAAGAGAAAGAGAGAAAGAAAAGAAAAGAAAGAAGGAAGAAATGAAGGAAGGAAAGAAGGAAGGAAGGAAGAAGGAAGGAAAGAAGGAAGGAAGGAAGGAAGGAAGGAAGGAAGGAAGGAAGGAAGGAAGGAAGGAAGGAAGGAAGGAAAAACAGAAACAAAAACAAAAAACAAAAAAAAAAAAAAACAAAAAAAACCCTTCCATACCAAGATAAGAGACTCACAGGCAGCATAAATGACTGAGAGCTCCAACTCCTAACGTTTTATTTATTTATTTTATTTTATTTATTTATTTATTTATTTTCCTGAGGGACATAAGGCAGAAAACAGACACCAAGGCATGTTTCAGAGCAGGAGTGGAAGTTTATTTTAAAAGGCTTTAAAACAGGAAAAAAAGCAAAGTACACTTGGAAGGAACCCAAGCAGGCGACTTGAAGAACAAGTGCCCCCAACTCCTAAGACTTGAAATTCATCTCAGCATTCACACTGAATTGACAGCTCCCCAAGGCTGCTCCTCACAGTGACTAAATGTTGCCGGGATTCTAAGGAAGACCTGCTCCTGGGAAACAAAGGACTCTCTTGTTGATGGACTTTGGCTCATTGACACCCTGCAGCTTTGTAGAACCTTCCTCAGATTAATCCAGGACATTTCCGCCTATCTTCTTCTCTCCACTAAGTCAGACATGCAACAAACCAGTTCTGACAATTCTCCACCTTCCCTGGTTTCTTCTCTTTTTCCTGTCACAGAGGAAATTCTCTACTTCACCTCTCCCTGGGCTCAGAGAGCAGACAGGGAAGAGACTGCCAATGAATTTATCCTTGCAGAGGTGCCAGGCAACATCCACCAGACCTGTCTATGTCTACAAGCAGGTAGGTAATATTCCTTAATCCAAGAAGAATTCAAATTATTTATATCACTGTGAATAAGGGGCACTTAAAAAATCTCAGCCAGAGTTTATGTACTGCCATCAGAGCTCCAAATCCCTAGAGTATTGCTCCTCCTGCCCCCGCAGTTGCAGAGACTAATGGAATGGGTAACATAACTGCAGACAAACCCTGAGGTGACTAATGATTTCAGTCTGTTCTTTCTTTTTAACACGTCTTCCAAAATGCTTTGCTTTGCAGAACAAAATAGTAAAAACAGGAAAAAAATTGGGGGGAAAATATTTATTTTGCCTTTACATAAAAGAGTTCTAAAATGTGTAGACCTAGATTGTCAGGAAAAAAAAAAAGGAAGAGGAGATGGGGACAAGAGGGAAGAAGAGAAAAAGGAGATAGAAGACAAGTGTTGTTTATCTCTCAACTCTGACCCACCTCTTTTGTACTGCAAAATTATATCACATGTACAGAAAAGAACCTAAAATATAAATGTCTACTTTAGTAAGTAAGTACAAAATGAGCACTCGTGTAACTACTACCCAGGTCAACGTAAAAACCTGTCTAAGCATTCCTGTTTGATTTGGTTTTCCTTATAATCTTATCAACAAATTTGTATTCCTGAACACTATAGTTTAATTTTGCCTGTTCCTTATATACAAGGAATCACACATGTATTCTTCTGTGTTTGGATTCATTGGCTTAATGTTTAGTTTGTAAAATTCATCTATGTTTTGCATGTTGCAGTTATTTGCCCATTTTCATTGTTGTATAGTATGCCTGTATCTGAAGAGACCACATTTTATATATCCATTCTATCAATAATGGATATTTGAGTTGTTACCAGCTTAAGCTATTGCAAATCATCTCTTGGCATATGTGTGCATGAATTTGTGCTGACTGTACACTTAGGAATAAAATTGGTAAGTCATAGGGCTTGTATATCTTCAGCTTTGGGAAGTGTAATTTTCCAACATTGTTGTGTCAGTTTATACTCTCACCAGTGGTGTACAAAAGCTCTGATTGCTCTGCAGTCTCATGAAAACTTGTCATTAACAGGCTTTTAAAATTCCTATCCTATTGTTATGTAGTGTTATCTCATTGTGGTTTTAATGTTCATATTTCTCATTATTTCTGATTATTAATGAAGGTGGACACATTGCCATGTGAACACATTGTTTTTGTGTGGGATCCCTGTTTAAGTCTCTTGCCCATTTTTCTATTGCACTATCTTCTTTTATTGATCTGTAGAGTACTTTATTCTAGAAACAATATTTTTTGTTACTTATATGTATTATATATATCTGTCCCTCCCAGGGTTGCATCTTCACTCTCTGGAGGATTTATTTTGATGATAAAAATTCTACAGTTGAATATAGATAAATTGACAACCTTTTTCTTTATGATTGGTGTTGTTTGTTTCCTGTTTAAAAATCTTCCCCTCTTCTGCAATTATGAAGATACTCTCTATCTTGTCTTTCATAAGATTTACTGTTTTGCCTTTTACAATTATATACTATTAATATTTAATATATTAATTGTATACACAATTTTTACAATTTATAAGTTGTAAATTTAAAATTTACAATTATATACACAATCTATATGGTTTTTTTGGAATAGTGTTAAGTAGGGGTGAAAATTTTTTTAATTATATGGAGATCTATTTTGTTCCCAAAGCATTTATTCAAAACACCATCCTTTGCCCACTGCAACAGGTGCTGTATTTGTCATAAATCAAATAATACTTGCATGGGTCTGCATCTATTAACCTATTATTACTATAATACTATACTATCTTAATTTTTATAACCTTAAAATAAATCTTAATATTCAACAGAATAAATCTTCTTCAAGAGTGTATTGTCTATTCTTAGCATAATTTACATCTTACTTTTTTTAGATTTATTCTTAGTATTTTATGTTATATTTTGATGCTATAATAAGTGCTATATTTTAAATTTTATTTTGTAATTATTTATACCTGGTATTTAAAAATCAATTGGTTTTTGAATACCGTTTATTTAAAAAAGTGCTAAACTCACTTGTAAATGCTAGTAACTTATCTGTAAATTTGTTGAGATATTTTTACATACAAAATAATATAACCAATATATAAATACTTACAATTTTATCTCTTGCTTTCCAATTCAAATAATATTTATTTTTCAACTTTTCTTGATGCATTGCCTAGGACATGCAATATAATGTTCAATAGAAATGATAATAGTGAGTACCTTGGTCTTAGTCATAATCTCAAAAACAAAATCTGTCAACATTTCTATGAAAGAATTATTAAAGATGTGGTTCTTGTACATACTCTTTATCAGAAAGATTACCCTTCATTACAAGGAAGTTTATACTTATTCCTAGTTTGATAAAGACTTTTTATCATAACTTTTATCAGACATTTTTCCTGTACCTATAAAAATAATTTTTTTCTAGTGTATTCTACTAATGTGGTGAAATCTATTAATTTATTTTCAGAAATTGAATCAATTCTGTATTCACAGAATAAATTCACATGAGAGATGACAAATTATTTTTTCTACATATTGTTGGATTTTGGTTTGCTATTATCTTATTTATAATTTTTGTCCAAATGTTCAGGAGAGGCACTGACTTGTAATATTTCTTTCTTTTATTTTTTACAGGTTTTAGTGTCACATTTATGATGGCCTCATAAACAAGTTAGAAAATGTTTCTCTTATTTTGTCCCTCTAAGAAGAGTTTGGTTAAAATCACTACTATTTCTTTCTTATTATACATATTTGGGAAAATTTGCTAGAGAAATAATGTTTGAGAAGTTTTCCTTTTGGGGAAATTACAAATTAATTTATTAACTAATGTATTCATTAGCAATTTGAATTTTCAATTTCTTTTTATGTTTAGTAGATGGCTTTTTCTAAATATTTGTCATTTCAAATAAATTTTCAAATTTATAATATACTACTTTTTTCTTTTTTATGTTAATTAGATCCATGATAAGAGTCCCTTTTTTGTTATTTGTGACCTTTCTCTTTTTTCATGATTAATCCCATCAGGAGTTTATCAGTTATTATATCCTTTTCAAAGGCTGATTTTTTTATTTCCAATGATCCCCTATTTTGTGTGATTATTTTTAGTTTTATGTTTTCTGTTTTATCTTTATTATTTTATTCCTTTTACATTCTTTGTGTTCATTTTGAAATTGTGTTTCTAACTTTTAAAATGGATGCTTATATTATTTTCAGCCTTTCTTTTTTTTCTAATATACACATTTACGGGCATAAGATTTCCCCAGTAAGTACTTCTTTTGCCATACTCTACAACTCTTGATGTATTTTATATTTATTATACTCCAGTTTCAAGTATTTGCTATTGTGCTTTGTGACTTCTTCCTTGAACAGTGGGTTATCTAGAAGTACATTTCTTTCTTTCTTTTTTTAACCTTTAAGTTCAGAGACACAATTGCAGGTTTGTTACATAGGTAGACTTGTGTCATGGGGGTTTGTTGTACAGATTATTTCATCACCCAGGTATTAAGCCTAGTACTTACTCACTAGTTATTTTTCCTGATCCTCTCCCTCCTCTAACCCCCCACCCTGCAATAGGCCCCAGTGTGTGTTGTTCCCCTCTATATGTCCATGTGTTCTCATTATTTAGCTCCCACTAATAAGTGAGAACATGTGGTATTTGGTTTGAAAGCACATTTCTTAATGTCTAATCAAATGAAGATTTTTCTAGTTATCATTTTATTTGTCTGGATTATTTGTGTTTTTATCAGAGAACATAGTCTATATGATTTCAATGCTCTGAAATGTTGGGATTTGTTTGATGACTCAGAACGTAGTCAAACTCTATCAATGCTTTTGTGTGCTTGAAAAGAATGTACATTCTATAGTTAACTGCAGTGTGCCATACACATATACACACACACACATTTATGTATTTTTATGTAAACATTAATATTTTAAAAAACCTTTAATATCCCACTCATTTTCTTTTCTGTTTGTTTTCTCAGTTAATGAGCGAGGTAAGCTAAAATACATATTATGAGAATAGATTTGCTCATTTCTCCTTTTAGATTTGTCCATTTTTACTCTAGTTTAAGGTCATATTTTAGCTGTATTTAAAGGCAGAATTGTTATTTTTTCCCAGTAAGTTGAATCTTTTATCACTAAGAAATTCTTACTGTCTCTAATAACATTTTTGCCTTTAAGCCTACTTTTTCTAATCTTAATATAACACATATTTCCTTCCTTTTAACTTTTTGATATCATTATGTTTTAGTTGTACATCTCAAAAAACAAATATAATTGAGTTTTTTAACCCTGTCTGACAATCTTTGTCTTTCATTTGGAATATTTAGTCCATTTACATTTAATGCAATTATTGATATATGTATGTTTAAATCCACCACTTTACTATGTGTTTATACTTTGTCTCTCTTATTCTATGTTTCATTTTTCTCTCTTTCATTTCTCTCATGGTTTGACTTTTTTAACTTTCTTTTTAGGGGATGGTTATGTATTCATTGGCTGATTAGACATTTATTTTTCTATTCTCTTAGTGGTTAAACTAAAAGCTGAATTTACATCTTTAGCTTATCAAAGTCTAATGTTAATTGGAAGCTTGTTCGGGAAAAGAAAAAGACGTTAGAGAATTATAATTGTATTTATTCCTCTCTTAATATATATACCAGTTTTTATTTATTTTGCTTCTATTTTAATTTTAAACCCCAGAAGGCAATATTATTATTGCTTTATAAAATCAATAGTCATACAAAAAAACCCTTCAAAAAATCAATGAATCCAGGAGCTGGTTTTTTGAAAAGATCAACAAAATTGATAGACCACTAGCGAGACTAATAAAGAAGAAAAGAGAGAAGAATCAAATAGATGCAATAAAAAAATGATAAAGGGGATATCACCACCAATCCCACAGAAATACAAACTACCATTAGAGAATACTATGCAAATAAACTAAAAAATCTAGAAGGAATGGATAAATTCCTGGACACATACACTCTCCCAAGACTAAACCAGGAAGAAGTTGAATCCCTGAATAGACCAATAAAAGGCTCTGAAATTGAGGAAATAATTAATAGCCTACCAACCAAAAAAAGTCCAGGACCAGACAGATTCACAGCTGAATTCTACCAGAGGTACAAGGAGGAGCTGGTACCATTCCTTCTGAAACTATTCCAATCAATAGAAAAAGGGGGAATCCTCCCTAACTCATTTTATGAGGCCAGCATCATCCTGATACCAAAGCCTGGCAGAGACACACAAAAAAACAAAGAATTTTAGACCAATATCCCAGATGAACATCAATGCCCAAGGCTGGTTCAACATACACAAATCAATAAACGTAATCCAGCATATAAACAGAACCAAAGACAAAAACCACATGATTATCTCAATAGATGCAAAAAAGGCCTTTGACAAAATTCAACAACGCTTCATGCTAAAATCTCTCAATAAATTAGGTATTGAGGGGCATATCTCAAAATAATAAGAGTTATTTATGACAAACCCACAGCCAATATCATACTGAATGGGCAAAAACTGGAAGCATTCCCTTTGAAAACTGGCACAAGACAAAGATGCCCTCTTTTACCACTCCTGTTCAACATAGTGTTGGAAGTTCTGGCCAGGACAATCAGGCAGGAGAAAGAAATACAGCGTATTCAATTAGGAAAAGAGGAAGTCAAATTGTCCCCGTTTGCAGATGACATGATTGTATATTTAGAAAACCCCATCATCTCAGCCCAAAATCTCCTTAAGCTGATAAGCAACTTCAGCAAAGTCTCGGGACACAAAATCAACGTGCAAAAATCACAAGCATCCTTATACACCAATAACAGACAAACAGAGAGCCAAATCGTGAGTGAACTCCCACTCACAATTGCTAGGAGTAAAATACCTAGGGATCCAAATTATAAGGGATGTGAAGGACCTCTTCAAGGAGAACTACAAACCACTGCTCAATGAAATAAAAGAGGATACAAACAAATGGAAGAACATTCCATGCTCATGGGTAGGAAGAATCAATATCATGAAAATGGTCATATTGCCCAAGGTAATTTATAGATTTAATGCCATCCCCATCAAGCTACCAATGACTTTCTTCACAGAATTGGAAAAAACTACTTTCAAGTTCATATGGAACCAAAAAAGAGCCCATATTGCCAAGACAATCCTAAGCCAAAAGAACAAAGCTGGAGGCTTCACACTACCTGACTTCAAACTATGCTACAAGGCTACAGTAACCAAAACAGCATGGTACTGGTACCAAAACAGAGATATAGACCAATGGAACAGAACAGAGCACTCAGAAATAATACCACACATCTACAACCATCTAATCTTTGACAAACCTGACAAAAACAAGAAATGGAGAAAGGATTCCCTATTTAATAAATGGTGCTGGGAAAACTGGCTAGCCATATGTAGAAAGCTGAAACTGGATCCCTTCCTTATACCTTATACAAAAATTCATTCAAGGTGGATTAAAGACTTAAATGTTAGACCTAAAACCATAAAAACCCTAGAAGAAAACCTAGGCTTTACCATTCAGGACATAGGCATGGGCAAGGACTTCATGTCTAAAACACCAAAAGCAATGGCAACAAAAGACAAAATTGACAAATGGGATCTAATTAAACTAAAGAGCTTCTGTACAGCAAAAGAAACTAACATCAGAGTGAACAGGCAAACTAAAGAATGGTAGAAAATTTTTTCAATCTACTCATCTGACATAGGGCTAATATCCAGAATCTACAAAGAACTTAAACAAATTTACAAGAAAAAAAACAAACAACCCCATCAAAAAGTGGGCAAAGGATATGAACAGACACTTCTCAAAAGAAGACATTTATGCAGCCAACAGACACATGAAAAAATGCTCATCATCACTGGCCATCAGAGAAATGCAAAGCAAACCACAATGAGATACCATCTCACACCAGTTAGAATGGTGATCATTAAAAAGTCATGAAACCAGGTGCTGGAGAGGATATGGAGAAATAGGAAGACTCTTACACTGTTGGTGGGACTGTAAACTAGTTCAACCACTGTGGAAAACAGTGTAGCAATTCCTCAAAGATCTAAAACTAGAAATATCATTTGACACAGCCATCCCATTACTGGGTATATACCCAAAGGATTACAAATCATGCTGCTATAAAGACACATGCACACATATGTTTATTGCGGCACTATTCACAATATCAAAGACTTGGAACCAACCCAAATGTCCATCAATGATATACTGGATTAAGAAAATGTGGCACATATACACCATGGAATACTATGCAGCCATAAAAAAGGATGAGTTCATGTCCTTTGTAGGGACATGGATGAAGCTGGAAACCATCATTCTCAGCAAACTACCGCAAGGACAAAAAACCAAACACCACATGTTCTCATTCATAAGTGGGAATTGAACAATGAGAACACTTGGACACAGGAAGGGGAACATCACACATCAGGGCCTATTGTGGGGTGGGGGGAGGGGGGAGGGATAGCATTAGGAGATATACCTAATGTGAATGACGAGTTAATGGGTGCAGCACACCAACATGGCACATGTATACATATGTAACAAACCTGCACGTTGTATGCATGTACCCTAGAACTTAAAGTATAATTTAAAAAAAAAACTCGTTAGCAATGTAAAACAAACTTTAAAGTAGCCGTATCTAGCTCTCTAAGAAGGGAATGTAACAATGACTTTACTTGTGACTTTGCTGCCATCAGTGAGAATAGGTCCATTGAACACCAATTTAAAGAGTAGGGTTAATGTAGTTACATGAAAACTCATCAAGGAAAATGCTGATCTTTAATTCTAATTGCTCAATTAAATAGAACAACTGGAAAAGACCCATCCTATTTGGTGTCCAGGTAAAAATAAATGTAGGCCATAGAAAATTTTCAAAAAAATCAATGGTCATTTAGGTTTAATTGTATATTTCTTATTTTTTATTTTTTAATCCTTCCTACACCTCATTTTTCTCATGTGAGCTCATTTTTCTTCTGCTTGAAGAATGCCCTTAGCTTTTTATTTAGTATAAGATCACTGATGACAGATTTCCTTTTGTTTGTCCAAAAGTATCTTTATTTTACCCTCATTTCTAAATGATATTTTTTCAGGAGATAAAATTCTAAATGGGCAGTTATTTTTTCAACACATTAAAAATATCATTGTATTGTCTTTCAGCATTTTTTTTCTACTGAAAAGGGTTACTCATCAGTCTAATTGTTGCACTTTAAAAGCAACCTATTTTTCAATCATGACTGCTTTTACAGATTTCTTTTGTCTTTGATTTTATGCAATTTTAAAATGGTGGACTAGGTGGGGTTTTAATTTTTGCTTATGTGTCATAGCAGTTTTAAGTCTTGGCTTAATATTTTAACATTGTTAGAAATGTCTCAGATATTATTTCTTCAATAGTTCTTCTGCTCCATTCTCTCTCTTCCTTTTCTGGGACTTGAATTAAACTTATGATAGAACTTATCACTGTTTTCTCTGTTTTTTACCCTCTTTGCCATTTTTTTTCCCACCTTTCATATGATTTGGCTTCATTTGAGATATTTTCTTCTGACCTATATTCCAGTTAACTAACTCCCTTTTCAGCTATGTCTATTCTTTAAATAAACCATTCCATGTGTTTTTATTCATATGCTTTTTATGGAACTAGTTTTTGAAATCTGATATATCAAATTTATGGTTTCTTGATCTCTGCCAAAACTTCCATCTTGTTTTTAATTGCTTGAAAATAGTATATATTATTTTAGAATCTATAGTATATATTGTTATTTTAAAATGGGTAACATTTCCAATACCTGGAGACTCTGTGGGTCTTTCTTTAGGCAAGTTCTTGTTCATTTGGGTTTTTTTCCTTATATGTCTGGTTATCTTTGATTGCATGCCAAACAATACATTTGAAAAAAAAATTATAGAACTGATTTGAGACATAGAATGGAATTATCTTCTGCCAGAAGCTATTTCCACTTACTTTTGTCATACTTCTGAGGACAATAACAACCTTGGATTACCTTAATTCACTTTCAGATATTGGAAATTTCTGCCCCACCTAGTGATTCGAGCTAGGATAGAGTCTTGAGAGGGTGTGTTTACTTCTGATTCACCTGTATTACTAGGGTATAGCATTTTAGAGTCCCAATCCAAGTTAAGGGTGATTTGCTAGTATTTACACCTCTATATTTTGATCTCCTGAGAAATGCTTTACTACTTTGTTAGATTTCCAATGCCTTCAGGCAACTTGTTTTTGTTATTGTTGTTGTTTTTATCTTTTCTAATCCTCAGCAGAAGAGTTGGTCTCAAATTATCTAGTCCACCTATTTTGGTAGTGTCCCACATCTGACACCCAGGAATCCTATACTATCCTCTGACTCCAGAGAGACCTCTGCCCACACTCACACCCACAACTACCCTTTCTCTAAAGACATATTACTAGCAAAGGGAATTGAAAGACATAGATTGATACCCAGAGGATCCACTTTCAAGTTGCCTCTGCCCCCATCTGGCTGTGGCTTCATGTCTCAGCACTAGTAACTGGGCTACTGTCTCATTCCTGTGACCAAATAATACTCACTTCAATTCTTAGAAACTCATCCATCCTTTTCTGTGTTCCTAAAGACATGTTCTGTTTTCTAAACCCTCTAGGACTGGGGCTCCATATTGCTCCTTTTCACCTACCCTTTAACTGCAGCATCTCTGTGTGTATAAGGCAAGGAACACAGGATCTAACAATGTTCCTGGGATGCCACTTACTGGCCAGATCCAAGTTGCCAACACTTGATATCCTCCTCTTTTTGAGACACTCTATGCCCCTTCTAGGACTTTTCTGAGGATGACCACTTGCCAGGGCACCATCAGTGAGTGCTCCTCAGCACTCACCATAAAAGTTTCTCCTGCAAAGCTGAGATTTCCCCTCCCCCGACCTTAGGTTTGCTCATTCAGAGCTGTCCTTCCACCTAGCTGGGTTCCAGCTGTAGCCAGGCCTGTGCAGCCCACCAAATCCTATCACAGCTTCCATCTCTACACCCGGTCCCACCAGGAGGCAACCTGGTCACAATATGAGGAGAAGAACCTGAATCACAGTGAGATAAGCCGTACAGCATTCATTCAATCATTCATTCATTTATTTACTCATTCATTTTGTTCTTTACAACCTGTGATCCCAGAGTGAGGAAGTGAGTAAATAAATGAATGAATGAGTGAATAAATGCCTAATTACCAATAAATTAACTATCAAAATCAATTGTCTTTAATCTTCTTATGAAGTTGCCTTTTCAGCCTTTACTCTACAGTGGTAATACTAGGTCTGGGAGAACAATTTGTTCAGGACTTGGCTAAAATCTATAAAACCTTCAACCTAGGATAATATGTGTTTGTAATAAACATAGTAATCATTTTTATGTAAAGACCGTTTCTGTGGACAAACATTTATTTATGCAGGCTTTGAGCTGGGGATGCAGAGAAAAGGAACTGGGGGCATCATCTTCAAGGAGTTCCCATCTGTTGTAGGATTATTTACGATGCATTGTGCTAAGGGTTATGATGGAGGGCCACATGCACAAAAGGCACCCTGGGTCTCAACAAGGATAACAAGCAGATCAGGGAGGGTTTCCTGAGCACTTGTACTGGACCTATGATTGGTGATCAATAACCAGCTGAATCCCTCACCCCTGTTTCCCTTCTGACACTGCTCACTGACTTTACAGATACACTTTTCAAAGTGCAACAGTAAAATTCAGCTCTGTGGGTCTGAGTGATTGCTAATTCTAAATTAGTAGAGTTTGAGTTAATGAGGTTTAAGAAGATCATTCTTTTTTCCTTATAGTGAAGTGAGTCTGTGCTCTGCTCACGAAGCTCCTAGAATAACACTTTATTCAGTTTCTTATCACATATGCCCAGTTTCCTCACTCAACGGCCTAATTATAAATATATACCATTAATACCAGACAAGCTGGCCCAAAGTCCTCCAAAAGTCCCCAGTTGGAATGGCTGGTAGGCCATACCCTCTAATATCTTTTTTATGCTTTTCTGTTTATTTACCAAGCAGTAAATCAGTAAGCATTTAATAACCTCCAACTGTGTGCCTGGTCCTTAAGTATTGCAGATTTTTTCACATAGGGTTCCTACTCTAAATTTGCTTATAATCTAGGTGAGTGAAAAGGAGATGTTTCCATGCTAATCTAGGCAGCATACACTTACTTATTCCACAAATCATTATTGGATATTGAGGATGTACTGAGCATTGCTCTAGATATCAGAAGCCCTCAGCCAGTACGACAGATGGACAAGCCAGAAGAAGACTGCAGTGTTAGATACAGGGAACCATCTAAGTCTCCTCAGCACAGTAAGTAAATGATCACTGACTCTGACTACTACAGAAGTTGCTGTCACTTTAGCCAACCAGGCATATGGATCAGGCTAAGGTTTGGGATGCCTCCCGTGCCCACCACCGCTTCCAAGGGATCTTCCCACATAGGTCCCCCCACCCTCTGCCACAGCTGATTACATCAGATCCAAAGTGGCATTTAAGGAAACCAGCCTCTATCTTAGCAACCAGACTTTGAAGAAATAGGCATTTTCATTGTGACCAAATAGAGACAATGGTGCCCAGCTGGAAACATTTTATTTTCTTTGTTGGAAATTTTTTAATGGGGAGAAAGTAAACCAGTTGATAGTGGAACCACAGAAATCATGCCAAAAGTAGCAATCTGCAAAGGCTTTTAGACTTAGATTTGCCCAAATGAGCAGAAGCTACAAGTAAACAGAAATTTTTAAGTCAGGTAAGAATAGTAGGAGGCAGCTTGTCTTTAATGGAAAGAATAGGAGACTGTGAGCTTCTGCTTCTAAGAGGGCTCCAAGATATCCTGGGCACTAGAGTTGGGCTGGATTCTGAAAGCCTCTCAGGCCCCAACTCCATCACAGCCCTGGCATGGCCCTGTCCTCCTGATTTCCTGTTTCTAGGAGGTCCTGCCTGTGCCTGTTGTGGCCTCACTTGGTATAAACTCAAACTCTTGATGTCAACTGAGCATCTGCAATTTCACCTTAAAGAGTCTGAACAATGTACAGGAGAGGCCCATTCCTTACAGCTCTGGCCTCCTGGCAAAGGTTCAAGGAGGCCAGGCCTCTGCATGTTCCTAGGTATACGTCTCTTTGATACATCCTGTAGAGCTGAGTCATGCACACAGGCTGTGCCCAATGCAGGTTGCTGAAGGAGATGTCAGAGGCAAATTACTTAGGATGAAAAGGAAGGTGTTACTTAGGAATACATGGCTATATGCAAGGACTGATAGAGCCTGGAAAGAGGAAGAGGAAGGCCTCTCTGAGGAAGGCAGGATGCGGACCCATCTTGGTAGCCCAGAAGACAGGGCCACTCATCCTCACCCTTCAACCTCCTTTCATGCTCCGGTCTCCCAGATCTAGGTCAGGACAAGTGGGTGGATGTGAGGGAAAAGACATACAAAGTGACAAACCTCAGGTGACAAACAGGGAATAGGCCACAGGATGTATTGCTCCCCCAGGGGACACTGCAAACTGTGCCTACATTTTATGCAAATACAGCCCATATTTATGCAAAAACCCACAAGGGCTTTATTAATTGCCAGAGGCAAAAAGACCACATAGCAGGCTGAGAAAGAAGGTGGTTGGCTTCCGTTCTCAATCAGGTACCACCTCATTGCTCAAGTTCTCTAAAGGCAAAAGCGAT
The DNA here is from genome assembly GCF_000001405.40 of Homo sapiens. Taxonomy (NCBI): domain Eukaryota; kingdom Metazoa; phylum Chordata; class Mammalia; order Primates; family Hominidae; genus Homo; species Homo sapiens. The sequence continues at coordinate 37,641,211 of NC_000018.10, read as the reverse complement.
TGTGACCTCACTACCTTTCCCTCTTTGACGAAAAGGGTTGAGGCACAAGGCCTCAAATGCTGGGTCCTTAGGAAGCTCAGCCCAAATTACAAACAGACATGCCTTTCTTTAGCAGGACCAGTGCTCCCTTTTGGGGGTAGCCATCCTCACCTCTGCCTTTTAGACACCAAACCCAGACACCCCATGAGTTCTCTCTGTCTCTCACTGGCTCCACCCTTGTCTCTCTTCCACTTGCAGTGCCCCATGCTACGAGTTTTTCTGCCTCCCCTGCTGTCTACCCAACTGATCCTCCACCTCAGGACCCTGAGAAGCAATTAATGCTAATGATGCCTAGTTCTTGCTAAGACAGCCAAACTTCATACACATTTGAAGAGGTAACCCCAATATCTTGACCTAAAATAAAAGTATATCATAATAAAACTTCAAGCAGATACTTATTTTGAATGGTGGGAGGCTGAGGTCTCCCTTGGGCTCCCAAAGTCAGTTGCACAAGCAACCCCCTGCTGTCACCCCATCACTGAGCAATTAAGACCCTACCTCATGCTGACTCTTCCCTTTCTGGGAATCCTCAACTCTGCATGTTAGTTTCTCCTTCACAAATGGCCATACCTTATAAGGAAACTCTCTTGAAGGAAAGAAAAGGGCTGAATTTTTAGGAAACAAATTCCCTGGAATCAGGACCAGGGATGGCTTCTGGAATTCATTTTCCAGCTAAGCACTTTAGAACTGTGTTTCTTGTGGTTATTAGCACGAGTGACAACAGGCTTTTCCTCCCTGAGCCATGCAGATTAAGGAAACCTAAGACTACATTTCTAAAATTGTTTCCATTTCAACCCACAGAGAATCAATACAAGAGAAGAGCATCACCTTAAACACTAATGTTATCCAAACTCAAATTCATTTTTGATGGATTGGTAGCTGTGTTTTCTTAAGGCCAGGCTAGGATAAATATACACATTTCCTGATATTTTCTCTCTCTCTCCCCTCCCCTATCCCCTACATATGAAAAATGCAGCGAATGATACACTCACACTCAGTTGTCCCTTCAGGACACCATCTGTATGGGAAAATTGTGAAACCATTTCCAGTAAAGAGATCCCGGGGCTTTGCTAAGGCCATTGGCCAGCATTGACTGTATGACTCAGGAATTCCCAGTCTGAAGGGAGAGTCATGGCACAAGCTGCAGAGAGCCTGGGTGTAGGGTGCGACACAGACATTGGGACTGTCTGCAGCCACTGCTAGACCCAGTCCCATCTCTCCTCATCCCTATTGCTGGGGTCCCTGGATTCTGATTGTCACTGCCACTATGTGTTCAAGCCCAGCCCTGACCCCACAACTGGCTCAGAGCAAGAGAGGTTGACAAAGCTCCAATCTCACATTTTTGAGCCTGATATCCAATTGTTGCTGGCCTCAGGTGGCTCTCTTGCTCACCTTCTGCTGCCCCTTCCTCACCATCTTATTCTTCAGGATTCAGTTCAAGCATCACTTCCTCCGGGACATTTTTTCTCTGACTTCCTTGTTGAGTCAGTCACCCTCTTCTGTCTCCATCATTACATCTTGCACACTCGTTGGCTGTTGGCCACCCAGAACTGCAAATGGCTCTGTTTGTATCTCCCTCACTATAATGTGAACTGTCTGAGAGCAAGGTCTGAGTGTTTCTCAGCAGCAGGTCTGAGACAATGCCTGACACATAATAGATAATTTTTAGAAGGAGGAGGAGGAGAAGGAAGAAGAGGAAGAAGGAAGGAAGGAAAGGGAAGGAAGGAAACTGAATGAACCCCCAGCTTGGAGCGAGTACCCAATTAATAAACAGAGCTTCTGTTTTCATTCCTGAGATTATACTGAAAAATGGGGCATTAATATTATTAGATGCTGCCATCACGAGGTAGATTTTTCTGGACTTCACTTCAGGACTTGGCCATGTGACTTGCTTTGGCCAATGGAACATTAGCCAATGTAACACAAACAGGCTTGAAACACTCTTACTCAATGGAGTTTGCCTTCTCTTGCTGCTGGGAATCCTCCAACCATCATCTAAACAAGCCTGAGCTTTCTATAGAATGACAAGAGACCCCAAGAGAGGCCCAGCCATTCCCACCATGCTTGCCATTTTAGCTGAGGCCCTAGACATGTAAGTGAGATCATTATAGATCATCCAGCCCTATCCAAGCAAGACCAGATGAGAAGAAACCCACAGAATCATGAGATATAATAAATCACTATTGTTTTAAGCACTAAGTTTTGGGGTTGTTTGTTTTGTAGCAAAAGCTAACTAATACAGTTCCCACAATAAGCCCCTCTTCTGTAACTTGTTTCCACCTTGCCCATTCTCCAACCATACAGATGCCTTTATTTCCTTCAATAAGCCAACACTTTTCTGACTCAGGACCTTCGCACATGCTGTGCATTGCTCTCTGTTACGCATTGCTCTGCTATGTTCTGAACCTGGCTGGCTCCATCTCATTCTTCGAGTCTTGGCTTTCTTAACCATTCATTCTCAACTGTGTTCTCCAACGCTTCCTAGTTCTTTGTTAGCACTCTTTGTTTCCTTCATAGTTCTTTTAGCAGTTTGTGATCATTTTATGTATTTGTTTATCAGTTTTAATATATTCCCTTCCAAGCTCCAAGAAAGTATCTTGTCTGTTTACCAGATTGTCCCAAGATCCAGTAGAGCTACTGAAGCATTCATTAGTTACTTGATGAAGGAAAGAGGAAGATAAAGAGAAATAAAGTCAGCTCAGTCCCTCCTAGGATGGGGTGCTTCTTAGCTCTACTGCAAGACAGAAAAAGTACATTATCCCCATTTCCCTCCTCACCCTCAACTGTCATGAGAAATTTCGGGGAGGCGAGGGATGAGTATGATGGGAAGGAAAGGACAGAGGACCTACCATGGCCCAGCCCTGTGATCTCAATGTGAAAAAATACAAAAGGAGCCAAATACCAGCAAAATGAGGAAATCAGAGTCACCCACAGAACAATCAGCAACTAATCTAAGCTCCCTGTGATGCTGTCCTGCATTGTGGGGGCTTCAGGGAGAATCACACAGAGGCAATGAGGCAGGGCTGCAGCAGGTGGCTGGGGCTCACTGTAAGAGACAAATGGGGCAGCTGGGTGGACAGTGAATGCACAGAGCTGTGCTGGGGCCTGACCCTGGACAGGAAGCAGTCTGGTATGGTGTACACAAGGGAAGAGTTGTGGTCGAGCAGAACCAGCCCTGGCCCCAAACCTTAGGTGCTAACCCTGCGATAAGAGAAAGCTGGAATCTAGCTCAAAAGAGAGCTACTGTACCCCAACAAATGGAACTTGAGACCAAATCTGTGTTGTTCCCACATTTTATCAGCACCATAGCATGACTGGGAAAGGCTCACCTGGCAAGATTCCATCCACAAAGATGATGTTCAGCTGCCCTCTTTCCTCCAACTCTCCTGGTTTGGACTCCACGCACAGTTCTAGTCCTGGAAGTTGTCTCACTCACTCCGGGCATCTTCTACTCAACACTGGTGAGACCAACACTAGTGAGACCCTGCCCTCATCCACTGGGCTGGGTCTGACTTTGTCCGTTGCTTCTCCAATACCCATATGGGCCCTGCTGCCTCCAATGTTGTCTTACTGGGTGTTTACTGGAATATAAAACCATCACAAAGTTCAGCACTATCTTCTTTACCCTCTTACAATCATCCAGTTAGAGCAGACTGCTGGATTGCCACAGTCGTTTTCATCACCATAGTGTATTTCCTGGGCTCTCCAGGCACAGTGGCAACGGTCAATCCAGGCCACTGGCATTTGATGGGCGGGAAACAACCTGAGGAATGACACTGCACATTGCAAAGTCAGCTTCTTGGGAGTTTGGCAGAAGTTTAAATATTCTGCTTTCCTGGTTGGGTGGAGACAGGAAAGACAGTGGAGAGAAGAACAGATTAGAAAAGCATCATAGTGTTGGTCCCAGTCCCAGAATCCTCTTACATGTCTGGGAACTGAGCTGTGAAACAGGACTCCTGATCCAGGATATGGATGGACACCAAGGGGATCTCCAGAATGAGAAACTGATCTCTAGAGCCTATGGACCCACTGATCCGGCCTTTTATAAGCTGTGGACTGCACATTCAGTCACCTGCCAGGGCTTTGGGAGATAGTAAGGTTGGGCCCATTGCATCCCTAACACAGAGATCGTGGTATCTGCGTTATAGTGAAGAGCACATTCTCTGCCAGATGGAGGAGCCCATGGCCACAGAGGGTATTAAGAGCAGGTTAGAAATATCTAGTCCTCTTTCTCAGCTGATTCACCCCCCAAGAGAATATAATCTAACGAGGAGCCCCGGCATTGACACGTATAAAGAAATCAGAGTTGAATGCCTGTTGGGTGACTAATTTTATTATAGGCTAGATCTAAATTCCTCTTTTCCTGAGGAAATTCCTCACTTTTCATAATATAAAATTAACTACTAATTTTATGTTCTTAGAGGGCAAGGGTGGCATCTTTTTGGCTTGGTTGTCTCACAGCATCTAGCCATGTAAATGGAAGAATCATTGCTGCAGCTGACTGAGTTTGAATGAGGCCATGTGAACGCTCACAAGAGACAGACAGAGAATGGGAAGATTGACCAGTGATCAAAATGTAGCATTTGCTATTAGGATATCCTTTCCTTTCCAGCTTCAGATTTGGGATAAAGCAACTTTAGTCCAGGAAAATCAAAGTCAAGCTCCTTAAGTAGCTCAACCTAGCAGATGTGTTCAATACTATTTATGATTCATTTGTTAATTTATTCAATACATATATTAAGCTATGTGTAGGCAGAGCATTATACCTTCCCGAAAAGTTAGTGGGGAAATTGGGCAGGAGCTAGAATATTCAAATGAGCGATGGACATTGCTAATAAAGAATAAAGTCAGACAGCTAGGTAGGGGAAGAAAAGTGAGGACTTTCTCTTTGCATCACTATCACAGAATCCACCAGTTTCCTTCTATTTCACACAAGCCTTTTGTTTTCTCCAGTTCCTGCAGTGCACCCATTTTCTCCTTTTGCAATATTTATTCTGTACTATTCATTCTGATATTTAATCATATCAACCTCATCTGGGCAATTTCAAGAGTGAAAATCCAGGGCAGATATTGGGTCCTCCACAGAGCTAACCTTAGCCCCATCTGTACCTGCTTCATTCAACATCATTGTGCAGCTACTTCTGTAGCACACGGTCTAGCTCCCAACTATAATTTATCTCTGGCATGCTGTATTGTTTCCTATGGAGAAGCGTAGGTCCTCAAGGAACGAGTTCTTCTTCTTCTCTTGGGCTTCCTATACAGAACAGAGTATGTAGTTGTACAAAAAACATTCCAAATGAGTACATTAAAGGCTCAATAAGAAAACTATCTATTTGGGCCAATTAAATAGTTCTTCCAGATATGGGGAGACCTATGCACTTGGTAACTGAGTCTTCTAAAAGGTAACTTATACTAAAATATAAATGACTGATAATTAAAAACAGTCATTTCTGCCAGAAAATATTTGCGTTTAGTCAGAAATCCAGAGTTTTAACCCAAAGAAATATGTTACAGTTAGTCATTAAGTTAGATAGTTGTGACCTGAACTCATGGTGCTGTCACTCATTTAACCCACTGTCAATCCCTGGCTCCCCTTCACAATATAATCACTGTCCCCAGTTGAGTCCATAGTGGTGGCTCTGTGTGTTAAATGAGGCTCAAAACTAGGGGTCACATAAGTAGCCCCAGCCCGTGTTAGCAAGCTCCGACCTCCCTAAGGTAAATGGTAAGTGAGAAAGCAACTGTCACCAACCTCCCTACTGCCTACACACAAATATATACAACCATCCCTGGAAGTCTCACAGTTCCCCATAGAACTGCTTCTCTCAGGAGAGAGTGGGTTTTTAAGATAAACTCCTCTAAAGGTTGTGTGCCTGCCAGCCACTGATGCAAGGAGCATAATTAAGATGGAAAACAACCAAATTCTGCAAAGAGCAGAGACAGAACAAGACTGGGCCAACTCAGTGAAAAGGCCTCTCTCCCCTGTGGCTCTGTGCTCAAGAGCTCTCCACAAGCAAAGAAATAAGGGATGGTGGAAAGGAACACATGAATAAAACAAAAGGTATATTTATGGAGCACTGCTGGGTAACCCCTACAGCACCTCCTGCTGGTTGGACCCCTGGGGTCACCTTCCAGTCCAGGCTGGATCTCCATGTCCCACTCCATTCTTTCCCACAGGCCCCAGATGTGGCAAGTCAGCTGAACTCAGGTGGAAATCATGCTGAATGCACAGGATTAGGGGAGGTGGAGGAGGACAGAAGCCCAAAGGAGGGCTAGGGAAATTGTGAGAACTATAGGGACAACCTCAAGTCCATGACCAAGGGCCCTAAAGGGTGGTGATGAAGTCAGCCCTGGCTCCAGCAAGCCCTTAGATCCCTAGAACTACAGCTTGGAGGATGAGAAGTGACAGCAGGGTGAGCCAGATGGGAAGTGTTGTCAAATTCGGTTGGGGGACGGCATCATGATGTGGGTGTTTGGTTCATTAAGAGCCAGACACAAACCACAAGTTTGGGAGGCAAGGAACAGAATCCAGGCTCAGAGAGTCTACACAGAAACTTGCCAAAGAGTCAAGGCCAAACCCAGGGGCCTGGACTTCAAGCCAGCATTCTGTCCCTTCCAAAGAACTGGATGGCAAGGTAGAAAAGAACAACAGAAAACCAGTCATAATGATTGCATCAATTGGACTTAAGGGATTAAGGGAATGAGTTTTGGAATCAGGTCAATATGGCTTGTACATCCAGTCTGTTCCTCATTTGAAAAATATGGGAGAGACCTTCCTATGGAACTGTTAGGAAGACTAAATGAGATAGTGAATGAAAAGCACAGAGCCTGGCATATACACTATTATGTTGGTACTGATGGCAGAGATAGGGCTGCTGGTGTTGAAGGAAAAATTATAATAGTGGCATTTAGGGTCACAACCATACTATCTATTTTAGTCTCCACTGGTTCATGGGGCTGAGGTACCTAAAGGCTCACCTGCTGGGTCAGGGTTGATGCAGAAACTGAAGCGCTGTGGGCTGAAGGCACACCAGCTTCAGGTGTCCATTGCTGGGGCTGGCAGGAGCTGGACGCAAGGACACAGTCAGCTTATCCCTGCCCCAATATATACCACCACAGGCTCAGACTGTAGGGTTAAAAGATATGTTTGCAATCAACTAGCCCACTTGCCAGATCACAAAGCAAGTGATCTGCACAAGGTCACCCAGATGGTTTGTGACAGAGCTGGAAACAGAATTGAGGTCTCCTAACTCAGACCAGAGTTCTTGCCATTCTACTGGGGCTCCTTCATCCCCATGAAACATCCTTATCTAACACCCTCCTAGCCTCACTACCCGTACTATCAGCAGACAGATCTATCCCTCTAGAGTTGGGTAGTTATCTCCATGGGAAATACGCATGTGCTAATGAAAATGTAAGGCATAGAGAAGCTACACACTCTGCATGAGTCTCTTCTTCCTGGATGTGGAAGACACCTGCTCACTGCAGCATGGAGAATGGAGGCCAGATTCCATGGTGAGCCCACCATGAGGAAGGGTCAGCTTTCTTCAGGAATTCAGGTACTGGTCCTGTCCTCTTTTCCTCCATATCTTTCCTAGTATCTTGAGACACCAGCTACTCTATTCCAAACATGAGGCATGAATCAGAACTAAAATTCTGTTTCCTAAATTCACAATTGAAAAACAACAGCATTTACATTAGTTATTTTTATCTAGAATACCAGGGTAGTCTATGAATAAAATACACACAGTTGGAGAGGAGGAGAATATTCATCCCACAGCTCTCTGCCAACCCAAAGGCCAGTTGAACCATCTTCATTACTTTTCGTAATTAAGAACATAGTAACAGCCAACTAGGGTTGCTTAATCAGTGTTTGGGGTTTTGAATTCAATTCTCACCTGAGCTGACTTGTTGTCAGGTTGATTTAAAGTAGTTAAATAAAAATTAATTAATGTAATTCCATAAATTACTGAGTTGAAATGAGTTATTTGAAGTAAAGCAAAATGAAGTAAATCTAGGTTGGTTCATTTTTAGTCTCAGTACTCATTACTGAGTTGCCGGCCAATGGATATGGGTGTTGGCCTTAAGTAACTGAGAATTCTAGAAAACTGTCTTCAAGACATGGCCCAGAGCAAAACCACTGGTGGGTCCTGCAAGGTAAGTCCATTTGGGGCAAGGAAATCCAGATCTGGCAGCAGGGAGTTCATGTATCATGCTGGAAGCCCACAGATTGAGGGGATACAGGGACCGGAGGTGCTACATGGCTTGGGCAGATCCTATAAAATGCAGGCCTTGGTCATACTCTGACCTCTTAATTTAATGCAATCTTGTCTGTTACTGTAGTATTCAACTATTTGTCTCAAAATTAAGAACTATATGCATATGAAGTGGCTTAAAGAAAGGTCCCATGGGGTGGACCACACAAACCTAGAGAATATTTTAGGCATTCTCTCTGTGTCCTCTACTCTCCTTCCAAATAAAAATGAATGTATTCTGTACAGCAAATGTTCACATCTTCCCCCTCTTCCCCATCGAGCACATGATTCTACTTCTATCAATTCTTTCTTCCAATTCCCATTGTTACGTAAGCTGAATATCTTGGAAATAGGCATATGTCTTAAAAATAGGCCTATGTATATAATTTAGCTGTGAATGTGGTATTCAAGCAGTCTCCAACTTAAGAGCAGGCTCTGTTCCAAAAGTTTGAGTGTATGTCAGTTTTCTAGTACTCAAAATGCATTTTCCCATAGAAACCATGTTGTGCGTGGTAGTTAGGTCCCCCAGGCAGCCCACAGAAGCCTGTTGAAGCCCATGAAACTGGAGTGCAATACGGTACTAATAGAACCCTAGACCCCAACATGTTTCTGTGGGAGAGCACATATGGAGCTCTAACCCAGGACTCTTCCTCCTCTTCAAATCCTACCCTTGCTGGTTGTGGGAGTGGTCACATGGTCTCACCACGTTCTCAGAGAAATGGACCCTGCATCTCAAGTTCCAAACACGCCCTCTATAATTCATCAGTTTTTCCCTTTTTTTCCACAGCTTTTCTGTTAACAGTCAAATTATGCTCTTCTCCACAACACATCGGTGCAAAGCAGGGAAGCAGACAGACTCGCACCCAGGTTGTCCTGCCTTCAGGGAGGGAGAGCCCTGGGGAAAGCCTTCCCTGAGAGGCAAGCAGGGTCAACCTTCGCATGCTCTGCAGGCCCTTGGTGGCTGACAGAGAGGCAGAGAGAGGCCCCAGGAAGGCCACCAGGAGAGTGCTGAAGATGACTTCATTGTCTTACAGAGCACCCTTAGTGCCAAGAACTGTGTCAAACACATCCAAGAAGGAAGAAACTATATAGAGAGTTTCAAATTCAAAACAGAAAACAAAAAGACCTTATATAAGTCCCCTTTAAATGAACATTATCCCTAGGTATATTATTAGGTGAAAAACACAACAAAAAAAAACAAGACAGGATAAGAAAAGTGGAAGGAGAAGGTGCCCCATCTGAGTGAACCTCAGGGGTCCTGAGCCCACTGGCAGTTCGGGCACCCTTGTACCAGAAATCGAGTCGAAATCCCCTTGAGCTCTCTAGAGAAGTGATTTTGCAATTGCTCCTGACCACAGTTTTTTAATTTCAGGTTTTGTTTTTTGGTTTTAGCATTTAGCCTGAAGTCACCTATCCAATGAAGAATTGATATAAATAATGTTTGGAGACATAGCGTCCATTTTTCATTATTTATGAAGCATAAAGTAGATAACTAACTCATCCTCATAGCTTTCACTAAATTATTTCTACTTCTAACTTCCACTGTAGTACTTGGAGAAGGAAAAATAATTTCATACCCAAAGTTTTTGGACTTCCTCTAATTGTCCAGAGTTTTCTCTGCCTTAGCAAGTGGTCACCACAAATCTGTGGGAGAGAAAACTTGGTGGCTCTTATCCATCAGGAGGGTCGTGACAGGTGGTTGAGTCCACCTGCCATCCAATACACTAATGCTTTGAGCCTTCCACCATCAACATGGCCTTCCACCATCAACAAATGAATGGATAATATAATGTGGTATTACATACAGTGGAAATTCTGGCCCATACTGTAACATGGATGAACCTTGAAAACATTATGCTAAGGGAAATAAGCCAGACACAAAGGACAAATAGTGGATGACTCTACTTACACGAAGTACCTGGAGTAGTCATATTCATAGACATAGAATGTAGACCAGTGATTGCCAGGAGCTGGGGAAAAGGGGGGATGAAGGGTTATTGTTTAATGGGTTGAGAGTTTTGGTCTGGAATGATGAGAAAGCCCTAGAAATGGACAGTCGTGATGGTTGTACAACAATATGAATGTACTTAATGCCACTGAACTTTGCACTTAAAAATGGTTAAAATGGCAAATTGTACGTTATATATATTTTACCACAATTTGAAAAATATAGGGGCTTCCAGCCTCTGCTCAAACATTTCACCTCATTCCAAAAGCATAATGTATCAAAGGAAACTATGTGCCAAACATTGCTCATGCCATTTGTTTGGAGGAGGGTTGCAATTTTAATAGCATGACCAGAAGAGAACCTATTATGAAGATGAAGTCTGAGCAACAACTTGAAGTGAAGGAGTGAGTCAGCCATACCAATATATGGGGAGAGCATTCCTGCAGGAGGGAAGAGCCAGTGCAAAGGCCCTGAGGGACTTTCTGCCTGGAGGTCTGGAGAGCAAAATGATGCTGATGGGACTTGCGTGGGATTGCATGATTGTGAGTGCTATAATGCTGGAATTTCCCAGTGGGGATATTCTGCACTCAGGTAATGCTGGATCAGTGAGCATTCAGTGATGTAGATGACCGATTCAGATCTCATCCACGTGGGAGCAACATGAGCCATGAGTTTAATCACTATTTGCACTAAGGCACCACCCAGCCCCAACACCCCCATTATGGCCAATGATGCAGAATTTGAACCTCTGTAGTTCAATTTATCCAGAGACTAAACTTCCCTCTTCCTATCACAGTGTGGAGCTGGGTACTGGAGGGGTTCTGAAGAACTAACAACTCAAGCAGACTTTCAACAAATCCTCTTTTTTGCCCACTCCCTTGCTCTCAGTTTCAGGATGCCTGGGACCCCCATTTCTTTGCTGTTGAAGAGAGTAATGAATGGATAAATGAACACTATACTTGAAACAAAAGAGAATCTGGCACTGAAATATGTAGTTCCTGTTCCATGGGCTGTCTGGCGTCAGATGTGAGGGAGAAATTATGGGAATCTTTAGAAGCATTAGGAATCATCTATAAGGACAGAGACTGCTGCAGATGGAGCACATTAAGGGACCAAGGCCCAGTGTCTGGAAAAGCGGGGTTTACTGGGGGGCCCCTATTAAAAGCATGTTCAAAGTGCCAAAGTGCATCCCATGCATACCTGAGATTGTACTCAAAGACTTCTTCAAGTTCTAAGCCTTCTGTCCTTCTTCAACTCATTCTTTCTTGTTGAAGCTCTCACTGCGATAGGGGAAATGAGGAGTCCCTAAAAGTTTCCAGGAATTTTTGCTACTCTGGTGAGAAATTTTATTGTATGTGGCTGCGTTTGGTATCTGGGCTCCCAAAACATTTTGAGGACATTTCAAAACATTTAACACATTGTATTTCACTGTTTCCAAACAATATGTGACTCTCCTCATAAAGACCATGGCCTCATCAAAAGATTTATCTTTGTTGCTCACGTTGGTAATACAGCATCTGACCATAACTGGTGCTCAGTAAGTATTTATGAAATAAATCAGTGACTGACCATTACTGATGCCACCACAATAAGGTTTCAGTATTCAAATACATCTTAACATCCCCATGTTTCCTGCTATACTTAGGAAGACTGGTGGGAATAATTCCATTTTACAGATTGGAGCCATAAAGGGTATGTTAGTTTATTGCTACGTATCAAATTGCCCCAAAAAATATCATCTTAAAGCAACACACATTTATGATTTATTATTATTTCCAAGTTTCTGTGGGTTGGGAATCTGGACACAGCTTAGCTGGGTCTTCTCCTCCAGGGTCTCTCACTGGCTGTATCCAGGTAGCCACAGGAGCCAGTCATCTCATGGTTCAAATGAGGGAGGGTCTGCTTCCAAGCTCACACAGTAGTTGTTGGCAGGATTTGGTTCTTCACTGGGCTGTTGGACTGAGGGCCTCAGTTCCCCACTGGCTATCAGCTAGAGGTTACCCTCAGTTTCTTGCCATGTAGATCTCTCCACCATGACAGCTTGATTCATTAAAGCCCCCAAGCCAAGAAGGCAAGAGAAAGAGTGCTGCATGATGAACATCAGAATCATTTATAACTGTGATGGTTAATACTGAGTGTCAACTTGATTGGATTGAAGGATGCAAAGTATTGTTCCTGGATGTGTCTGTGAGGGTGTTGCAAAAGGAGATTAACAGTTGAGTCAGTGAACTGGGAAACCAGACCCACCCTCAGTCTGGGTGTACACAATCTAATCAGCTGTCAGCACGGCCAGAATAAAAGCAGGCAGAAGAACGTGGAAAGGCACACACCCAGGAACAATACTTTGCAGCCTTCAATCAAGTTGATAATATTACCCATCATGATAACCTAACCTCAGAAGTGACAACCCACCACCTTTGTGGTATTCCATTCACTAGAAGCATATCGCTAGGTCCAGCCCATACAGGGCATGAACACTGGGAGGCAGGGACCACTGGAAGCTGTGAGCTGTGTGCAAAGCAACCAAACACAGGGGCACTGAGCATACCCAAATCCTTCAAGATCACACAGTGGATTTGGGGTCAGAGCCAAGCAGATCTCCACTGTCCTCCTTCCTCCCTCCATCTTGAGCAGTGCTGTGGGGCAGGGCTGGTGGCATGGGCACCAGTAGGTTGGTAAGGAGGGAAGAGGAGTAGTGAAGGAAAGAGGGCACCAATCCATTTACCCAAATTTATTCTGGAAAAGAATTTGTTTTTCAAGTTATCAAACAGGCAAAAATAAGAAGTAACTGCCGGTATGGATTTATTACCACTAATGCAAAAGCTGTTCCTAATAATGTTTTAAAGTATTCCATGTAATACATCTGTTCAGTTCAAATTTATAAATGGGGTCTAGAAAGAAGCACAGCACCCATCAGGGAGTGCTGAAGAGCCGTGTTTGTCTGGCACTTTGTGTGTAGGTTCTTCCAGTAGGGAAGGATGTTGTTTGGGCTGATTCTGGTCCAGAAATCATTGCTGGTGGATTCAGCAGCTGACCAATCCCCCCACTCTACTCCCCACTCTGTGGTGCTGCTCACCTGCTCAGCATCCCTATGGTAGAAGAGAAAGAGCTTAGGACACAGCAGAGCAGTACTGGGCCAGGGTGATGGAATGGGGCTCTCAAATCAGAAAGCTGTGTGGATGGTTAATTCAAATGATCCCAAATACTTCCCCTCCTACAGCCATAATGCTCAAGCCTTCCTGCTGTGTGCTCAGTTTCTTCTTCTTGTGGGTTTAGCTCCTCTCCATGCACAAACCAGGCTTGACTTGGGGAGGACAAGGCATCGCCACACCATCTCCACATCTCTATCCAGTGTGTGTGCATGTGTGTTTGTGTGTATGTGTATATGTATACGTATATGTGTCAGGATGGGGGAAAGGGGTGCTGAAAATAGCAACATGTTATTTCTAGGCTCTTTGGAAAGAAATGAAGCAGAATGAGAATGAGAGAGAAGTGTGGAAAACTGAGTTAGAAGGGAGGGGAGAGGCAAGTGGTGCAGGGAGGAGTAGGGAGCTACACACCTGCCAGCTTTTCCTCACTCTTCAAATTAGCCTTTCCCATTTGGGGAACAACAAAACTGAAGCTCAAGGAGCTGCCGTAGCTTGGCCAAAGTGGCACAGGGGTGGATCCAGAATGCAGCCCTATAGCAGCCTGCTGTGCAGAGCATGGGATTGGTGGCATGGCACGCAGAGCAGTGCCTATCACCTTGTGATAGGTGGTTGGCAAACTTTTCCTCCTTCCGTCTTACAAATTACACACACACACAGAGACATACACATACACACACACGCACATACACACACACATATGGATTCTTGTTTCCATTGTTCAAACTATTTTAGATGGCAAATTCTTACTCTAGAGGCCATTCCCAAGAGTGGAATCCTGGAGGGTGTCATAAAATCCTTGTGGGGTGGGTGCAGAGCGCACCCAGCAGCAGGATTCTTTGTGGTGTCTAGGCATATCAGCCTCTTGGCCACAGCACTGCGCCATGAACAGAGGCTCCCTCAGACCAGAAATATGATCTAAGAGTGAGGTCTTCAAAGGACAGAGGGTCCTTGAAGAGGCTTCTGGTTACTGGGGGAGGGAGCTTCCTGGAAAGCTGGCATCTGCTGGTTCTTTATGAGAAACTTAGGCCAGTGTCTGTCCGTGTAGGAACTTCAGGTGACAGGCGAGAAGGCCAGCTTTACCTGAAGTTGGAAGCTGTCTTTCCAGCTCATATTTCTTATATTAGGAGGAAAGGGACAAATTTCAAGGAGCAGAAGTCAATTGTAACCAGTTATGAAAGAAAGAAAACTGCCTCCCCTAAAAGATGTCCATGTCCTAATCCCCCAAACCTGTGAATATGTTCCCTACATGGTAAGGGGGGATTAAGTTTGTTGATGGAAATAATGTTGCTAATCGACTGACCTTAAAATAGAGTGTCCTGGATTATTCGGGTGGGCCCAGCATACTCACACAGGTCTTTAGAAGATAGATGAGTGTGTGTGTCAAGGACATGTGGTCTGCGAAAGACTCCACGAAACTTGGATAACTTTAAAGACAAAGGGGGCTATGATCCAAGAAATGTGGGCTGCCTCCAGGAGCTGAGGGAGGCAAAAGAGAAGAATTTACCCCAAGACCATCTGGAAAGAAGGCCACCCTGCCAACACCCCGATTGTAGCCCAGCGAGACCTAGGTCACATTTCTGACCTCCAGAATTGTAAGATAAAAAAATTTTATGTTTTATGCCACTGGGCTTGCAGTCATTTATGACAGCAGCCACAAGAAACTAACAGGAGGCCAGGCATGGTGGCTCACGCCTGTAATCCCAGCACTTTGGGAGACCGAAGCAGGTAGATCATTTGAGGTCAGGAGTTCAAGACCAGCCTGGCCAATGTGGTGAAACCCCGTCTTAAAATACAAAAATTAGTTGGGCTTGGTCGTGGGTGCCTGTGATCCCAGCTACTCAGGAGACTGAGGACAGCAGAATCACATGAACCAGGGAGGCGGAGGTTGCAGTGAGCTGAGATCGCACCACTGCACTACAGCCTGGGCAACTCCATCTCAAAAAAAGGAAAGAAACTAGAAACTAACAGGAAACAGTGTAGGATTGTCTAAGTCCAGGGGGAAATTTTGTGGGGCCCAGAGAAGCGGCCTAATTCCTCACCTGATGCAGGCTGGGGGGAGTTGAGAATACATCCAGCCCCTACAGGACTTGGCAGCCAGGGTCACAGGGTGAGAGTCTGAGCAGACTTGTTTCACTTCTAAGTGGTCAAGGGCTGTCAGTGAGACCCCAGACATGGCTAGACAAGCTCTCAGTCCCCTTCTTGGGAACTTTTGAAGTCATCATTTAAAAAAGAATACAGGAACCACCAGCCAGTGACAGCCACGAAGAGAGCTCTGCTTCTTTGACCTCTTCACAGTCTTTGCTGTTTTGTTTATTTTCCCCATAGTGATTGACAGCTGAACCCTTCAAGGAAAAGGCCTTGTAAATTGTTTCATGAACAGAAAAGGAAAAAAACAGAACAAAATAAAAAAAGAACACTTCCCATTTCCCAGTCAGCCAGGACTGCCAGAAACCTAGGTTGGAGAAACAGGTGTTGGCAACAGGGAGAAGCAAAATCCTCATGGATCCCTGAGGCAGACAGGCAGACAGAAAGGCTTCAGAGGCCATGAGAAGGTCATCCACACAGAGCCAGGACCCACATGAGGAAGCAGTGGCTGTGCTTCCAGGGAGGACTACTTGGCTTAGCATGGAGTTGGCACTCAGCAAACATGAGCTGCTCTTATTATTATCACATAATAAGAAGGAATGTCAGATTACCCATTCGTTAAAAAGAATGCATTACATTGCATTCCTTCATACTCATTAGTTTACCTAACTATTCCATAACCACGTTGACATGGTAAGACTGGTGGTATTTTCCCCCACCACTTTATAAATGTAGAAATGTCAAAGTGAGACACATTCTCGTTTTGAATAAACAGGATGAGGAACTCAATGGTCAACAAGAGACTCCAGGCCAGAGAAGGAGACTCAGCAGGGTATGAAGGCAATGGGCTCAGAGCTTCTGGGAGACACCCTCTGTGACCTCCAGGACTAGCTGGGGAAACCAAGAGGCCAGAAAGACTGATCCACTGTCTCCAGACCTCAGAGCTGGCCACTGACTTGAATCCAGCTCCCAACTCTCTGCTTAGGCTCAGAACCACCCTGCTCTGAGACTTCCTAACTGCCTTGTCTCCAACTGATTGGGAACAGGGCAGAAAAGGGGATGAACCACTTGGCAGGGCTGTCACCCTCCCAAGGCTCATAGCTGCACCCTGGAAAGTCTTCCAACCACTTCTGCCTTCTAGTTACCAAAGAAAAAAATACTGATTGTAAACATCACTTTAAAAGCATGCCATCCGACAGCCGGCTCAGCTGCAATACATCAGCCTGAATTGTACTCATTTATGGTGAAGCATTTTATATTAATGTTTTCATTGCTTATCACAGACACTGGCTTTAAAGTGCTTAAGCCAGCTGTACTGAGTTATTTATTAGGCTTTTCTTTTTTCCAAGTTGCCTTTTCCTTAAATAAAGTATTTGTTTTACTTTCATACATTTAAGAATCTCTCTTGTCTCCTGCCCATCAGTTCTGATGGCTTGTGTGCATACGCTGTTTGTTTCTCTAGAATTTACTCAGTGCCTCTGGAAGTCAGGTGAACTGGAGCCAGCAATGCCCACGGAAGGAAAAGGTATAGTGAGGCAGAGAGTTCAGTCTCTGCAGGACCATCTAGCTTCCCTTCCTCTGTCTTCCTTCATCCTACAAGTTAGATTCCACCTCCACTATAATATTGAAGATCTTCAATGATTGCCCAAAGTCAACTGATTTGACAATTGGGATACAGTCAATGCTGCTAATCATCTCCCCTTCCATGGCTCTCCTCTTGCCATTATGACTACTCCTGTGTCCCCATCATTAACTCTACCTTCTTCTTCATTCCTAAGTATGGGTGGCCTAAGGGTCAGGCCTCAGGCCTGTCTCCTTCAGAACTAGCACCCTACATAAAGTGAAGTCCTCTAAATAGTGAGACACCCCCTTTCCTTTACCCACAGGGCTCCCAGAAAGCTGACAGCAAGACAGAAACCTGGACGGTTGCTATCTAGAGAGTCAAACTTTCTAATCTTGTGACTTTAGAGTTGGCTAACAAAATTCCAGGACCCAATCACTCCACACTGAAGCCCATCAGTCAACAAAGTCTAACAGTAACGATAGAATTCCAGTCAGCAACGTGGTTCTTCATTCTGAAATACAAACAGATAGCCAAGCACCAGCTGACACTTAAGAAGAGCTCTAACAAAAAAAAAAAAAAAAGAACAAAAATTGGAAATAGGGCCTTGTAAGAAACAAAAGTAAAGCAAGCAGAAAAGAAATTCTTTAAAAAAAAAAAACTGTAAATATCTTCAGAAAAAAAAAAGATAGGTATCCATGCAATAAGAACAGAAAGTTATTATAAAATAATTAGAAAAATTTAAAAAAGAATATGTGGGAATTAAATATGGAATACCCATAATACAAAAATAAATAGATTCCAGATGATAAATATAAGCAATCTCTAGAAGATAATATAATCAATAAATATTATTGGAACTAGACAAAGGATAACATGATGGAATGCAGGAAAGAAAAATTAAAGCATCTATCAAGTAGGTTCAATAGTCTCTTAAAAGAAATTTTAATGAGAGATCTGAGAGAAAACAAGGGAGGCAATTACAAAGAAAAAATTCCAAAAAGATTTCCAGAACTGAAGGGCATGAAATTCCAGATTTAAAGAGTCCATCAAAAGATCAAACATAATGAATGAATAAAAGAGACAAACCTAGATATACCACTGTGAAATTTCAACACACCAGGGATAAAGAGTAGAAATAAATACTTTCAGAGAAAGGTGCAAAAGAGATCATGTAACAAGAGTAGAAGTCAAGGAGGCATGAGACTTCTGAGTAGGAACACTGGAAGCTAGAACACAATGGAACAATGCCTTTAGAATCCTGTGGAAAAAGCACCTTCATCTTCAAATTCTATATCTAGCCAAATGGTAAATGAAATGTGAAGAGCAAATAAAGACATATTCAGATACGCAAGGGTTTTAAAATTTTACCCTCATGCATGTTTTTATGAGAACTGGAAAAGGCTCTTTACCAAAGCAAGAGAGCAAAGCAAAGAGGATATGACATCCAGGAATGAGGTGATCCGAGGAGCTTGGGGAGACCAAGGCAGCAGGCCCAGAGACAGCCAGTCCAAATCAAATAGGCAGGAGGTTGGGGCCCAAGGAAAAGCGGTTCCAAGAAAACAAACAAACAAACAAAAAAACACTGTTCAGTCACCCAGTGGGTTTGACTCTATTAGGAGATCTTGGTACCTCTGCCAGAGATTTTGGGAAAGAATCAGTGATAGGTACATAGAAAACTAGGCAAATTGTTAAATTGGACAATTATTAGCTCACGGAAAAACCAACAATTGTTTAAAAAGGAAAATCATAGTTGTATTCCTTTGTGAATATTTTTATAGATATAAATATGAAAATCCTAAAAATTCACTAAGCAGAAAATAGGAATATAACTGTGTTAGGAGGATGAAGGAAAGAAAAGGAATGGTATGATAGCTAAAAAAGAGAAAGCCTAAATTCCTGTGGATAGAAGGTAAAAAATATAGCCTATAGATATAATAATATCATATTATTTAGAAGTACGAAGTTAAATGCCAGCAAGAATTGTTCAAAATTTGAAAATGGTGTTTCTAAGGAGTAAGACCCAGGAGTAAGGAAGGATGAGCCAGAAAACTGCTAGGTTTTTTTTTCCTAAGTCTTGTCAAAAATTTGAATTTTGTAATTATGTACATATGCTAGTTTGACAAGTAAAAGTTTAATTCAGGTATACAAACTATAAAATATATGTATAGCTATATATTATAGAAAGGGCAAGAGTCCACGATGAGCAGATGTTTAATGAGGAGCAAAAGAGATACAGCCCCTGCCTTCTGGGAACTTCTCTCTACACATGGGATGCCATCTCTTATCTCTGCATCCTGCACATACCTTTAGCTGACTACTTGTCTGCCTGGAATATGCTAACTCATCTATTAAGTCTCCTTTCACATCCTCCTTACTCTCCCAGGCAATCAGGCCTTTCCTGGGTCCTACTGCCCTTTGTGCAAACAACCAATGCAGCAATTGCATCATTGTATTTGCAGGACATGTTTATTTGCAGGACTCTCAGCTAGCTCATAAGTTCCTAAAATTCAAGGACTTCATTTTACCCTGAGTGTGTCCCTAGTAATGAAGACAGTATCTGATTCTATGTCAATACCCAGTAAGTGCTTGTCAAATGAATACATGCATGGATACATGCATGGGTGCATATCTGGGTGGATGAAAGGATGGATACATAGACGGAGAATGGAGGATCAGGCTGTTTCCTTGTTACCACCCAAAAAAGAAAAATACTTGTTGATTAAATGAACAAAGAAGACTGAGAGAGCTGGAAATATCCAGGAAATTGATTGTACCATCCTCCCTCGGCCAGGCATACATAGGCCTATATAGTGCTTGTGGTTCACTACCTCATTGAAGCTTCAGTGAACCACTAGTTCACTGAGTTGAATGGTTCGCTGCCTCACTGAAGCCTCAGTGAACCACTGGCACCTCACTATTGCTACCAACTACATTATTGCTTCCAACATACTTGGGCCCCAAGGTGGCCCAAAACAATGTGCATGACACAAAAAGAGGGCAGGAAGGAAGGAAGTGTCATGGAAATGGGAGGCAGGGGGCCCTAATGACATGCCTTGATGGCAATGCCACCTGTCTCTACTTGTGACTTTCAGCAGAAAGATCAAATGCCTCTTGGGTGCTGCCAGATATTGCTCTCAGCTAAAAGTGCCCATGAAGGAAGAAGCCAGGGCATCTCCAGTAATGACAGCCACATGTAGTACTAGGGGCTGTCTGAGCTGGTGGAGCTCTTCTCAGGCCCATCCTGTGGGTGCTATCAACATTGCTTATGCTAGTAATTTGAATATTTCCACAAAGATCCCCAAGCAAGTGGATGACAAGATGTAGAGGATCATGTGCGCAATGCCCCTTCCATCCCCTGCCCCATCCAGCACACCCATTTCCTAAATTGGAGGGTAGGGGGAGGAGAAGACTTGATCATCTGAGTCTGAAGAGGAAAGGACATTACCAAAGACTCAGAGAGAGCTTCTAATGCCTGACTGATGCCACTTCATCCCCACCAAAAAAAATCTTCAGCAATCGAAAGTTAAAGTGAATTTCTCACCCATCCATCCAATCCAGAATGGTAGCTGGTCAGCGCTGTAGCATGATTTAAGGGCTCTGAAAAAAACCCACACTGCCCCCAAAATATCTCCCTGGCCTGAAATTCATTTCACTTCATAACCATGCCTGAAACTCCACCAATTAGAAATTCATTTACAAGCCCCTCTTGTAAAATGTGCAACAGTGATTAGCTTTATTTGATTCTGCTCCAGAATCTAAAATTAGGACCAATGGCTGGGCCTAATAAAGAAAAATTGATGGGCTTTAGTTTGACTGAAAAAGCCTCTTTTGTCAGTTCTTGCTCTTCAGCTATGGGACCGACAACTCCCATGAATGACACATAAACAATTACTTAAGACAAAATCTTCTCCTTCTGGACAGGTCAAAAGGCTTAGAAAAGTTCTTTGAGGTAGACTAAAATGGGCTTCCTGATGCTCTCAGCAGTTTGCCCTAGTTCTGCCCTTAGCAACACAAAGAGAGTCTAATCACTCGCCTCTTGTCAAATATTCTAAGCCAGGCTTCCTCTCCCTTGGAGTTTCTGTGGCCCTTTCTCCGTTTCTAACAGCTGGGCAATATGTGTGCATTGATTTGGTTAAATAAGACATGGCTTCAAGGCTCTGCTCCCCCACCAGCAAATGGCCTTTCATAGGGTAGAAGTTTTACGGTGTGTGTGATATGCAGTAATAACCTTGTTTTCTCTGCTTCTCACTGACTAAGCACTCTGGAACCTACAAGAGCATGTAGGGCTGGAAGCATCACGTGGGTGTTGTAGGCATCAAGCTTTGGGCAAGGAAGTCAAATCAGAGAGAAGGGCCCAAGAAGATACCAACACCTGCCTGGTTGGCTTTGATAAGACTTTCACCAGAATTCAGGAGACCCTGAGGGTGCACGCTGATGTCATGCCAGACATCATGTTTGTTCTGCATTTCTCCATGAAATTTCAGCTCCTGCAGGCTCACGATCTGGCCTTCTGTCCTAAATCAATCCCTCATTAATTGACACTTTGAGCAAGTTTCTTAATTCCCATGATTCTGTTTCTTTATCCACTACATGAAGACTTTTCTATCTAGTTGTCTGGTGGAGTTTTATGAGAATTCCATGAGATGATGAATGTGAGAATGCTTTAAGGTCTATATACAGCAAAGTGCTGGCAATGGCCAATGGTGGAGATCATGGTTGACTTCTGGCTTGTGGGGATGGCCCAGGTCCACAGCTGGGAATTATGGCCAGAAGGAGCACCAGCATGCTGCAATGAAGCACGTTTCTAGTTCAGGCAGAATCCAAAGGCCAAGTATTTAGAAGCATTACCATCAAATTTATGGCCTTTTATACATTTCTGCAGCCACACAATATCTGATAAAATTTTCTGCATGGTTGTATCCTTTTTCTAGATTTGCTGAGGTATAATTGACATATAAAGTTGTATATATATATATTAATATATCTGTGTGTGTATATATATAGCACATGTATATATATACAAATTACATATATATACACTGTATATATACAAATTACATATATACACTGTGTATATATATACAAATTACATATATACACAGTGTATATATACAAATTACATATATATACACTGTATGTATACAATTTTGTCTCTCTATATATAATTTTTATTCATCTCTCTAGATATACATTTTTTATCTTTCTATATATATTTCAGGTGTACAATGTGTTGATTTGATACATTGTGAGATGATTGCCACCATCAAGCGAAGTAACATATCCATCACCTCACATAGTTACCACACATAAGTGAGATCATATAGTGTTTGTCTTTGTGTATTTGGTTTATTTCACTTGGTATAATGTCCTTCAGGTTATTTTTTCCGACATGTTGCATGTAGCATGGATGATGTGGGTTGGTCAACCTACAGTATGTCTGGTTGCATAGAGGTACCTCATTGGCCAAAGGAGTATACAGGGAACACACTGAGCTACGAGTGGAGACATCTGTTTGGGTTATTCACCAGTTCAATCCTAGAGCAAATCTTCACTTGTACAGATATATAGAAGTCGAGGATGGAAGGGAATGTGGAGCTTCTCATAAGGAAGGTAGAATCAGAAAACTCAAGATAAAACATGATTAGATCTGTGAGTAGACTTTCCAAGGTAGCCTTAACTTAGATGTATCTATTTGATCACCTAATTCCTGGTGCAAATCAAGACCAGATGGTCAGAAGGCCTAGGTTCCTGCTCTTCTGTTCAATGTCGGTACAATTGGGAGGGTCTCCAGGCTTCACTGTAATTAAGGGAGCAGTACTGGGTGATCTTTTTCTATACGTTCCATTTTATCCTTGCACTCATTCCCCTCAACTCCCAAACATGGGTAATTTCTGCACTTCCTTCAAGACTTAACCTTAACTTTGCTTTCTCGGGGAGGTCTTCCTATTTTCTTTAAAGCCCCTGCCAGATAGACACAGCACTTCTACCCTCTTTTCCATATTCTCCCTGAATACTCTGTGACCATTATATCTTTTTGTGTGCCTGGCACAGAGTGGGTATGTAATAAATTAAATTTTTTTAAAAGAGAGAGAATTCTTAGTAAAGGAGAAATCATCAGCCCTCTAAGAATGCAAATGGAAACTAAGAAAGTGCCCACTGCCATAAGGAAAAGTTTTAACTGCTGTATAAACTGCAAATAACCACAAAATCTTAGCAGCAAAGCATCTTCCGTCAGGCAGTGCATATGATCAATAGAATGCACAAGTTCCAAGCCTAGACCTCAAAGACCTTGTAACTTCCTGTTTTGCCACCTTTAAAACCCTGAGACAACCGTGTGGATAAGCCCAAGCTGGCCTGCTAGAAATTGAGAGCCCCTGTGGAGAAGAACAAAGGCACCCCAGCTGACAGTCAGCCAATTCCTGCCCAAGAGCCTGTCAACTTCCAGACACATAAGTGAGGCCACACTAGATCATCAAACCACCAGCCAACTCACCAGCTTCCCAGACACACTTTCAAAAGCCCTGTAAGTGACCTCCTGAACCAGTCCAGAAGAGATAAGCTGCCTGTTGAAACCACCGAACTAGATAAATGGTTGTTGTTTTAAGCCACAACATTTTGTGGCCATTTGTTATACAGCAAACGCTAACTGATACAACCTTCCCTCTTCCCCTTTTTGTTTAACTTAGAAGATCCAACTCTTGCTAAGTGGCACCGGAAGCAAAGGGCAGAAGGCTCCTGGAGCCCTAATGTAATGTAATGAAGACAGCTGCCTTTGGAGTGGGGGAAAACCCATGTCCTAATCCCCGTAGTAAAAGCACGCATGTGAACCACAGGGACCATGATCAGTCATTCAGTCAGAGTAGAAAACAGCTAATAGCACCTTTAGTGCTTAATCTGTGCCAGACACTCTTCTAAGAGGAATCTTTATATCTATTATCTCATGTAATTTTACAACACCCCATGAGATGAGACCATTTTTATTTCCACTTTCCAGCTGAGAAAGCTGAGGCACAGAGATCCTAAGTAATTCTCTCTAGGAAGTGGTGAAGCTGGAATTTGAACGGAGACAGGCCAACTCTAGAGTCATTTCTCCTACTCAGAATGCTAATCGGCCGAGTAACGATAACTGGGGCCCCAAAGGGGACCTCCAAAGAGTGAAAAGGGGATGTGAACTTGTGACTAGGCCTGGGGGCCATGAGATTTTATAGGGACAAAGCGATTCTGACACAGGACATGGTAGAAATGGGAAATGCTTCAGGACCCAGTCACTCTGGAGAAGCTTTAGGGAAACAGTGGCCTAGCACATGAGAGTGTGTGAGTGAGGACCCAAGCATGGGAAACACAGGAGTAGCTGCTGGTACAGGGACTTGCACCCACAAGAGCATGATCAGGGTGCCAGGCAGGAGCCCACAGACATCACAGGCCCTGTGGACCAGAATGCAGCAAAGACACCCCTCCCCCACCACCAAGTAGCAGTGTCATAAACAGAGGGGGCTTTCAGTTTCTTCTCCCTCTGCTTTTGGGGGAATGCAAATGGGGGAAACAAAATGAGAAGCTGGACTTCCTGACGATAAAAGCAGTTGAGGTCTTAAGTGATTGATCAGGAAAATAAAGTCAAAATGGTCATATTTACACCCAAAGCAGGTGAAGTGGTCTTAGTGGCCTCATAAGTATTTCTTGAATAGAATTACACAGTTTATAAAGTGCTTCCAAATACTTTATTTCCTTCTCACAACAACCCTGCAAGGTGAGCGGAACAAGTGTCATTGTCTCTGCTTCTCAGTTGGCAGAACTGCAGCTTGGGAGAAGTGCCTTGCCCAGGGTGACAGAACCAGTGGGAGTAGAGCCAGGATGCCAATGTGGGGCTTCAGCCTCCAGATCTGCAATTCCCATCCTTGGGCCATGGCTTCTCTCCATGCACATGGTAATTCATCTAACAATCAAAGAGAAGTCATAACTCAGGACAGGAATCCAAGGGAATGGACATTGGTGACTCATTATCAAAAGAGGGGTCCCGGACTCTTAGAGGAGCTCAGAGGAAGTCACTGTATCCCAAGGTAATGGGCAATGGCTTCAAGGAAGAAGTGGGGGCTGGGGCTTGATTTAATTCATTCAAGCAACTCTTCGTTCCCCAGACAAATTGTTCTTTGAAAAGTTGCCGATGAATTCAATCCAGTCATTTTTTAGCAACAAGTTGCTTGGGGCTGATCTGCAAAATAGTTGGCTACCTGATGTAATCCATTTTACCGAAACTGTTTTCTGTGTTAAACAAATCATGGTGATTATTTTTGTGGTTGCTTTTTTGTTAGCTTAAAAGCAGAGGCTGTTTCTCAGGCAGCAGCCCTAGCTCTCAACCCTCAGCACCTGCCCACTCTGGGCCAAGTCCCAGCTGCTCCTGCAGCAGCATTGATGGCACATACAACTTTCCATTGCTTCCTGTTGAGCAACTGGAAAAAGACGGAAGCAAGAAGAGGACCCTGGCATCAGACATCAGCACTCTGGAAAGGGGTTTTTACTGGGGACGGAAAGAGAGAAATTGCTGAAATGGAAGAAATTATCATTTCTAGAGTCATCTCTGGATAACAAATTGCAGAGGCCTAAATATCCACAGATTATTCTATCTGAGTTTATCTTGTTGCGACAGATCTGCATGCTGTAATCAATCACACTGCGTATCCATAAAACAGCTTGATAGTACACATGTATTCTCCTCAAAATAAAGTTGTAACATTTACACATAATAACTTATTGGGCTGCAGGCTTTGCCTGACGTATGCTCAATATCATCTGATGTTTTATTGGATCCCACACAAACTTTTGCCTAATACAGTCGTTTCTACAAAGAAAAGTTAATTGAAAGTCTTGATTATAATAAAGTAAAATGTTTTAAAAGACAAGGAATTGCAACAACTACTCTGGGGGCTGCAGAGAGGCCAAGGTGGGTGGAACATTGTGGGAGAAGGACAAGGGTGGATTTGAAGACCCCCACTTGCTGGCTGTTGGCTCTGGAACAGGACAGTTCAGCTGTCCAGATCTCAGCTGCTTCATCTGTGAAATATTTGGCATTACCAAATGCTAAGGTGTAAATCATACAGAGAAAGTGAGACAGGTGGAAGAGGATGGAGAGATCACGGGAAGGGTTTCCTGGGCAGGAAATAGGCATAATTAGCCAGTGTAACACGCACACAGAAGACCACTTTGTCTGATTCAATGTGGGTTTGGGTAGTGGTAAAAGAGTTTGAAAAGGAGCTTAGAGCTATTTCTGAGGACTGTCATTATCAGTTACAGCTGTACGCCGTTCATTTCTCTCACCACACTAAAATCTGTATAAAAGTTATTTATTTGTTGACTTATTTATTATCTGTATCTCCCCATCTCAGACTCTCAGATCCATGAGGCAGGGACATGGCTATCTTGTACACTGTGGTGTCTGCAGTCCTTAGCACGTACTAGGTACTCACCAAATAATTGACAAAGGAATGAAAAATAAATGAGTGAATGACCAAATCAGGCCAGGAATGCACCAGCTCCAGTTTTTGTAGAGAGCTGCCACAGAGGTGCTACACTGACAGCCCCTCTGGCTAACGTCCTGTGCTCTCCCTCTCCCCCACCTCCATCTAAACTCCCCATCGGATGCCATGCTCTCAGCAATATAACCAACCTAAAAGCAAGGACCAGTGGGCATGCTGCCCTTTGTGGACAACA
The DNA here is from genome assembly GCF_000001405.40 of Homo sapiens. Lineage (NCBI taxonomy): Eukaryota > Metazoa > Chordata > Mammalia > Primates > Hominidae > Homo > Homo sapiens. The sequence continues at coordinate 37,614,466 of NC_000018.10, read as the reverse complement.
AAGGGTCCCTCTGCCCTCGACCCCAATCTGAGGACACATGAGATGTGGAAGTTGATTTGGGGACACACTTTAAGAAGCCACAGAAACTAGCAAGTGCCATATAAATAAGTAACTCTCTTTATGTTGTAGAAGTTCCAGTGGATTGGGTGACATGCAGGACTATGCATCAGGATCATTCTCAGAACATGAATATCACCTACGGAGCTTTGTCACCTTTCCACCCTGGCTCTGCTCTTGGAAGTCCTGGTTGAGTAGGCTTGCGCTGGGGCCTGGACACCTATCATTCCTAAAGTTTCTAAAGTTTCACAGATGATTTTGATATGCTCTAAAGATTGACAACAGCAGGACCGGACAATGGCTTAGGTCCCTTCTTTCCTGCTTCCATTGTAAGTGTAGTTTTATCCAAGACTGATTGAATTTTCTTTGAGGGAAAGAAAAAGGAGGAATGAATATTCATTGAAACCAATGAATATTTGAGGGAGGAGAAAGAGGAGGAGTGAATATTCATATGGTTTTCTTAAAACTCAATCCAGTCTCAGATAAAACAAGTGACTCAATTAGAGAAAGTTTAATATCTGGTCTTCTAGTTTAATAAAAATTAAGGTAGAGTTTTCATTGTCCGGTGAGCATGCCACGCTCATTTCCCACTCCTATCTTTGGTTTGTAGAATTCTTCAACGACCACCATTGTCCTTTCCTTCCTCCACAACCTATCCAAATCACACCCACTTATTTGGGGAAATGATGAGATATGGCTAATCATGTAAAAATCAGCTAACAATTGGGCAAAGAACTTACCTCCACCTTGTCTTGCTGAGAGCTTTGAAATTTGCATTGGGATAGCCCACTCCTATTCACTCATTGAACGGACATGTTGACTCTCAGCTCTATCAGGAGTTCTGTCATGTTTGACACAGCTCTATCAGGAGCTGTGCTAGGTGCTGGGTTCAGAGCAGTGAAAACACTGATATGGGAACATGATTCTTGCTTCATGCTTCAGCATCATTGCTTGAGAGCAATCTGCTGTTTGCAGCTTGGTGCTTTGGGAAATCTGTAGTGTTGACAGCTTCCAAGGGTTTAAGAAGACATAACTCTCATGAAGAATCACAGATGTTATCCTGAGGATAATCCGTTCAATCATCAAAGGTTTTATTCTTATACTCTGTGACAAGTAAAAGGCTAAGATTTCATGTGACTCCCTTTAGGTGGGGCTACTGTGCCCCAGCAAAATCCACAAATAAGCAAGTTGAGTTTAACTGTAAACTTGGGGACTTTTGCCTTGGAAATGGATCTGGTACCTTGGCTCTTCTGTCCAGGCCAGCGAGACCTTGCTGAAGTTGGGCTGCTGGTCTTCACAAGCCCGTGCATTTGGTTGCCATGGCTGTGAGGTGGGGAAGGAGACCCAGGAGCAGGCTGGATGCAGGAAGAAGCAGCAAATCAGGCTGGTGAATCCATGCTGCTGAGATAATCAGGGATATTAGGGGCAGATCTCTTCCCTTCTTCTCAAGCCAGTCCTTATTCCTTACACAAAGCAGCTGGAAATGGTTTGCATTGTGCTGAGCCAGGCTGGGTGACTGAGTTACAAATGCAGACTCAGGGATGAGAACTTTTCCCATGACAGCCTGCACTTACTCTCAGCCACGAGGACCCTGGGTTTGCTCCCACCCTTCTCAGCTCAGGCCATCCTGTCTCTCTAGAATGGTTTGAGCAGCTCCAGGATGGCCCCTGGAACTGGAAAACATCCCAGATCGGAAGGGATTAATCACTGTGTGACGTTCAGCATCTTCACTCCCCAATTCCTGTTGCCAGCAAGTCTCTGCTCTCCCTGCCAGGACCTCTGCTATACTCAGGGTACATAAAACCCCCAATTTACCACACTGCACACACCCTTTCCTTTTAGTTACCCAAAGTCAGGCTAGGACTTTCAAAAAGAGCTCTTATTAGGAAACCCTGGGAACACAAAGAAGAGAAATAGATGAGTGTAATAATGCTTCACATTTGTATAGCACTTTGCAGTTTGCAAAGCACTTGCACATTCATTACCTCATTTACCCAGCATGGATTCCTTCCCATAACTTAAATAAAGCCTAGCTAGAGATCGGCACGGGCTCTTCTAGGAGTTTCCTCCATCCCTGCCTGACTACCATTTCCCCAATCCAACCTTGACATCTGGCAACACCAACAGCCTGAGTAGAGAGTCCTGGTGAACCCTAAAAGTCTGATTCCTGATCCCAGGTCTGACTGAGATATTCTCCTGGCCTACCCAGCCCACCCCTCTCCCAGACATTGTGTTCTGGAAGCATTTTCACTAACTAGTTGCTAATGGTGATTCTAACAACAGAGGAAATCACTTTCACTTACTTGTTTCCAGAACAGTACTGGGATGGGCCACTATCAACTTATTTGTGCAGAATAATAGCTAACATTCATTAAGCACTCTTGGAGTGCCAGGCACTGCTTTTTATGTGTATTAGCTCATTTCCCCTCATAAGGAGCATCAGGTGGACTGTATGATCTCCACTTTACAAGTGAGAGAAGCTTGGTAAATGCAAGTCGTATTTTATGTTGTAGAGGTAATCATTGGATTGGGTGGGCTGCGGGACAATGAAACTGACCCCATTTCCTTCACTGAGTCATCACGTTATGAATGCATGAGTTCAAGATGCGTTCACCAACCTCCTCCCATGTGGCTGACCTCATGGATGCTACAGTGAATCAGGCCTGAGGAGCCCATGGGCTGGCTGGTCATACCAGCCTCTCTTGCTATTAATGCATAATATAATAAGTGTTATCGCAGAGGCTCAAACACAGTCTAGGGCCTGGGAAACTGTCCAGAGGATATGACTTGGGATGAGGAGGGGCAGAAGGGGCCCCAAGTGGAGGTAAGAGAGCAAGAGAGCATAACATATCTGGAAAGTGCAAAAATCTCAGTACTACTGGTCAAGTAGGGTGTGATGAGTTATATACTAAGTTATGAGATTTGAGCTTTATCCTGAAATTGCTAAGACACCATTGACGGGTTTTAAGCAGAGAAGTGACATGAAGGCGACTTTCCCCCAAAGTTATTTTTTACATTAAGTCTCTGCTTCTCATCTTGTTTTCTTGTGGTTGCCTCTTTCCAATAAAAGTGAATTCAGATGGGGGAATTAATTAAATAATACTCTCTGGCAACTGGTTGCTAATTAGCTAAAGTTTTACTGCCCTCTATTTGATGAGAGGTGAGATGATTCTTCCTCTGCCTCCCGTGCTCACTCTCTCCCCAACCATGGTGGGCTTAGGGGTGCTGAGGCCGATTTGGTCCAACAGGCTCACAGGGCAAGTCTGGGTGTGAGGCTCTTGTAGCTTCTGTTTCTACTCGATGTCTCTTTACATTTTGATGTCCATCTACACGAGTCACCTGCTGTCCACATGATGCTGTCAGAATTCACACATTGCCACCAATGACCAATACCCCATTTGTCAGGCATTGAAGAGTTTGTATCACACTGACCTGCTGACTGGCTGTGCTGATGTCTCCCCACCCACCGCCCCAGTGGGGAACTACTGGGGCTAGGACCAGGGCCAGGCTTGGAAAAACCCAGACACTGGCACCCGCTTGTCTTCAGGGAGCATTCTTTATTTAGTTCAGAATGCAATTTCAGCAGGCATCAACATACAGAAGAGAGGGAGGAAGAGGCCATGGCTTGCTGGCCAGTCCCACCATGTCAATTCTGATGATTGACAGGGCTGCAGGTGACACAGCCAGCACCTTCTCACAGCTGGGAATGTGTCTTACGTAGGTTCAAAATGTCCAAAACCCCCAGGTCACAGCACATATGTGAACTGGCCTTTGGCTGATTTCCTCTTTGGAACCAAAGTTCTGTTTTATTTCCACAGATGGGAGAGACCTCAGAAATAGGGCTCTGACCAATCTGTGCTATGATCTGACCATGGGACACCAAGACAATGGGTAGGGACCTTTACCTCTGGATCATGAGAGGGTAAAAGACTCAGAGAGTCTGCTGAGATTCATAAGCAATTGTACAGGGCGGCTGTGCACACTGCTTTCATCAAACCCCCATAGGGGTCTGCAGTCCCCCAAAAGGTTAATAAGCCCAGATTTGGAAGGTGCTTGCTGATCTGTACACATCAACCATATCGCACACCTCCAAGCCCAAGACCAGCCTTCCCCACGGCAAGTCTGCCCAATCACATCCAGTTGACCCAACTAATGCAAACATGGCAATAATTTATTTCAGTTCAAAGAAATGCAAATTGGGTTAATATTCCTTTCTCTGAACCATCACATATTCAATGTAAACTAATTCATTTCCACAGCAGTGAATTTTTCTAGAAACAAATGATACTCTGTTCTGCACAATTCAAACTAGCACATTTTTTAATGCAACAAACATTTATAAACCACTCATCCCTCCCCCCTTCCCTCCTTCCTAAAAATACCCATTGCAGCACCATCTTCGAGCCTACAGCCTGTCATCCCAAACTGCTGTATTGTATTTATATAATGGGACTGTTTCCATCCCAGTCATCAAATAACCCTGTTTATTATTATCCCCATTTTACAGATAAAGGAACTAGGACATAGGGAGGTCAGCTGACCCTACCAGCCCCAAGCCCCACAGTAGGGCTATAGTGGAGAAGTGTTTCCAGGCCACGGCAGCCTCGGAAGAGCAGAGGCCAGCAGTCTGGCTGGGCTATGCTTCTAAAGAAAGCAGGCACTTCAGGGAGGATGATGCCAGTTGTCCCTCACCACAGACCCAATGCAGAGATGACCATGCCAGAAATGTGGTGAGAGGCCCCCTCAGCCACTCCTGCCTGCACCCCAGTCATGCTGGACAAATTTGTGTGACTGCCTGTAAAAGCAGAAGTTCCAAGAGAGGTGAGAGGGAAGCTTCTTAGAGATGCCACTCAGGATCTGGAGCCTGAAGGCCATTCAGGCATGTCAAAGGAGACCTCTCCCTAGCCAGTGCCTTCACACTCAGGCTTCTCCCATCAGGAAGTGCCCCAGGCCTCCAGCTGCAGCCTGTGAGGCCTGCGACAGGGCAGCAGGCTCAGCTGGTCATCACTAGAGGCAGATCACAGGTTGGCATCAACCTTTCTATAGACACAAGACTTCATAAACACATATATATATATAATTTATCCTGAGGATACAGCTCTTAATTTAAAGAACTAACCCCCCAGGGGTAGGATTACTTCTAGCCCCCTTCCGGTACCATCAGGGAGGAATGTGGGGACTTCATCCTGGTGACCATCAAAGTGCCAGGTCCGTATTCCCTACCCAAGAGCTGTCTGTGAACCGGCCAGCTATAGGGACCAAGGGCAAAAGTAACTTCCATTTGCCTTGGACCCCACACTTGCACCCAAGCGTACCCCTGCGCATGCCCAGCCTGAGGTCCCCGACACTCCAGGCCTTGGTGGGGTTGGGGCAGAGGCTATAGGACCCACAGCATCAGCACTCTCCTGCAGCAGGACTCGTTATTAATAAACACGCTGCTTCGAGCATTTGCTCACGATTGTTTGATATTTCAGTTTTCAGTAATTTTCTCAGTTAATAATTTATTAAATGGATTATTTGTCATTTCAATTTATTAAAAATTGATAAAGGGCTCATTTCTTTTTTCCCAAGCTAGGACACACGGAGAGATACACCAGCCAGAGTACAAATTAAAGACTCTCTACTCCTTTCCCTTCCCCTGTCCCTGTGAAGTCACCTGCAACCAGTGAGCACCCTCAGGTCCCTTTCCTGGTGTCTTTGCACACAGAGCCCTGCTCCCTAGTCAAATGATGAAGCAAGAGAGGCTCGCCCTCACCCCCGCCCAGCCACCTTCACCACCCAGCCCTGAATCACGGCTTTTTATCACAGCCAGACCCCCAACCACACCAAAAGCAGTGCACATCCCTTGCACTGCCCTGCTCAGCAAAGAGAACACCCTCCCAGCTCCCTCAGCCTCTGAAGACTGCACAGTCCCCATCTGAGGCGGAGCTGTATTTTAAAGAACGAGCTTGGGATCGTAGTGGGATTTCAGGCACTGTGATAAAAGTAGGAGGGAGGTGTTTACTGCAGCAACAGAACTTGCAGGGGCGCTCGAAATGGCTACCTGCTCTCTCCGTGGGCAACACCAGCCCTGTCAGCCAGCTCTCTTGTCTCTGGTGCTCTCAACAATTTCACTGTTTCTATATTCTGATCCTGGCTCTGCCTGTGTTTACAGAACAAGCATATGAAGACACTTGAGAAAAAAAAAAAAAAAAGTAAGCAGGCTGTCTCCTGATCCTTCTCCTGTTCTTCTTCCTCCCCATCCTCCTCCCTGTCCCTCCACCGTCCTCTGGCTCTGATTTGCTCCTTCTCTCTCACTCTGGACTCTCTTACCATCTTCACCACCCTTCCTGCTTCTCTCCCGTCTCCCTCTTTCCTTGGTACTTGCTCTATACTCTTTCTGCCTGACTTTCTTCTCTTTGGGCCCTTCCTCTCCCAAGGACTTGAGGTCCACAGGCTGGTAAATACCTAGATTCTCCTAGCCATGGGTGTGGCCTTTGAGGGCCTCCTTAGAGCCACAGTGGAGCTTCATCCCCAGGGCCCTGGAGTCACAGCTGTTCTGTGGTTGTTTCTAGGCTGAGAGTGAAACCCCAGGACCATCCCATGTGCCCAGGTTCCAACCTCAGGTCTCAGAGTGCCCACCCAATTGCAGCAAAAATTAAAAAAGACAGTGCTTTCTGGATCCAAGATAGTGCCAGGGAAAGTCACCCCCTCCAACTCCAAGCACTGCTAAGGGTAGGGAAAAGAGAATAAACCAGACGAACAGGTGGGAGCCTGGAGAAGCAGCAGCCCCTCAGAGTCACTTTAGCCAAGAGCATCGGTCACCACTTTGCCATTTCTGTCTGCCTTCGCAGGCTCCTTGAGACCCCATGTATCACTGTTTTCCAGAGCACTTTTCCCCAAGATGAGTTTAATGGCCTTATAAAAGTCACATTGTGCACAAATTGGGAAGTTTCTGAAGCACCGCGCCGGCTCTCATGCATATACGCTTGCGAAGTTCCCGCAGCCGGGCTGGAAAGGCAATTCAAGGCACAAAAACATCCTTGGGTAAATTACTTCCTATTAGTATGTCACATATTTCTTAGATACGACTGTAGTTCCAGGAGGTGACAGCAGCAGTTGACAATAAAACTTTGCACTCTTTTTTATTTATATTTTCTCTGCCTTTCTATTTGTTTTATTTTTTCTTTCCCCTCAAAGTTACATAACATCGCAAGGAGCTCATCATCTCATTGCTCCTAAGGAAACAATGCCCCCTGAGGCTTTTCTTGACACGCTGTATGTGGAGTTGTCCAAGAAGACATCTAACTTCAAGTACCATAGAGGAACCTCAAAATAGGCATCACAGCATTGTTTAGACAGGAGGCCTGTGACTGGGGCTCCCTTAGTCCCCAGTAGCATTCTTCCCCAATTTCTCCCCTGACCACAGCATTCTGCCTAGTGAGGAGTAATACAGAATTCTCCACTGAAGGCTGGGCGTGGTGGCTCATGCCTGTAATCCCAGCACTTTGGGAGGCTGAAGTGGGTGGATCACTTGAGGTCAGGAGTTTGAGACCAGCCTGGCCAACATGGCAAAACCCTGTCTCTGCTAAAAAAAAAATACAAAAAAATTAGCCAGGCATGGTGTTGCACACCTGTAATCCCAGCTACTTGGGAAGCTGAGGCAGGAGAATAGCTTGAACCCAAGAGGCAGAGGTTGCAGTCAGCAGAGATCATGCCACTGCATGTCAGCCTGAGTGATGGAGTAAGACTCCATCTCAAAAAGAAAAAAAAAAAAAAGAATTATCCACTGAACAGTCACTATATGCCTAGGCCAGAGCTAGATGATCTGGAAGAGGCAGGAGAAGATGGGAGTTCATGGTCTAGTTCCTAAGTCCCACACAGTGAGACAGCCTACTCAACAGAAAAGAAAATATATGACAAGTGACAAAATGAGCAGACTAACCTGAACATGCTAAAGGAGCTGGGCTGGAAGGGACCAAGGTCAGGCTAAAGAAGGCTGTGACCCACAGCTAGGCTTCCATGGACAGGTAGAGGACAGAGCCATTAGGACCTTTATTCCATCTTTGGAAAAATGAGGTTTCCTTTAGGCTGTTCTTTGCAAACACAATGGCACCTTGGCATTTAAAGGCACATCTGGATGAGAAGGGAATTGTATTAATTCGTTTTCACGCTGCTGATAAAGACATACCTGAAACTGGGCAATTTACAAAAGAAAGAGGTTTAACTGGACTCACAGTTCCACGTGGCTGGGGAGGCCCACAATCATGGTGGAAGGCAAGGAGGAGCAAGTCACATCTTACGTGGATGGCGGTAGACAAAGAGAGCTTGTACAGGGGAACTCCCCCTTATAGCAGCATCAGATCTCATGAGACTTATTCACTATCAAGAGAACAGCATGGGAAAGACTTGCCCCCAGGAATCAGTTATGTCCCACCTGGTCCCTCCTGCAACACATGTGAATTCAAGATGAGATTTGGGTGGGGACACAGCCAAACCATATCAGGAATGCTCTAGTGAGTCTCCAGCACGGAATTGATACTCCTCATCAAGAAGTTTCTCTTCATTGTCCCAAGACCTTAAAAATTCCTTCAAATGGCCAGGCGCGGTGGCTCATGCCTGTAATCCCAGCATTTTGGGAGGCTGAGGTGGGTGTATCACGAGGTCAGGAGATCGAGACCATCCTGGCTAACACAGTGAAACCCCGTCTCTATTAAAAATACAAAAAAATTAGCTGGGCGTGGTGGTGGGCACCTGTAGTCCCAGCTACAGGTGCTGAGGCAGGAGAATGGCGTGAACCCAGGAGGCGGAGCTTGCAGTGAGCTGAGATCACACCACTGCACTCCAGCCTGGGGGACAGAGCGAGACTCCATCACAAAAAAAAAAAAAAAAAAAATTCCTTCAACCACGAAGAGGACCCAATCTGCCAGCCTTTGTCCTGGGGGTGGATGAAGCTCACCTCAGCTTCAGCTTTCTGGCTTCTTAATCCCTTTCCTTCCATCTCCAACACTCCCTCAGGAGCCTGATTCCTGTGGTCCACTGCCAAGCTCAGAACCATGGAGAAATAAATGGCAGTCCCTTTACTTGCTCCCTCCGAAAAGCACCCAGCTCATTTTTATTCTCAGAATATCAGGTCTAGAAAGTCACCCAGCTTAAGTTTATAGCTGAAGAAAGGGTTTGGTTGTTCTGCCTGGAGTGTTTTAATCATGTCTCTGTAGAAAGATGAGATTCCAGACCTCTAAAAAAACATGGGGACCACAAAATTTGAGCAGTGCCCACCCCAGGATGTTATTTAGTGTAAATCCCATAACATGGTGAATTTAATTATTTTTAACTTTTCAGCTAAAAGTTTTGATATGCCTTCGGTGTCATTGAAACAATGGGAAAACTATCACTAAAAAATAAAAGATAAATCCCTTAATTGCAAAGCAAATCGTCCTGTGCCTTTTTTTCTTTTTTTTTCTTTTTTTTTTTTTTTTTTTTTGGTCAGTGCAGATACATCCTGAATATTTTAGGACTCTTTGGACCTCAATCGTCTACCACTTATAATTCAAAATTGCGTCTCCCCCTGCCTTTTCCCAGGACTCTTAATTTCTCTTCTCTTTCCACCATTATTTATTTAAGCCTCCTAACTGTATTATTTATTTTAACACCATATCTGTATTATTTATTTTACTGTAGCTCCATAACGATATTATTTAAGTCTATAAAATAAAGCCTTTTCCCTTGAACTCTCTGTGCAAAGTAAAATTGTATTGTACTGAAACATTCTTTGAAATGCCCTTCTTTTCTACCACTGGATAATAATAATAATACTTTGCATATATATAGTACCTTTCATCCTGGGATTACTTAAGTCTGCAAAAGCAGTCTGTCTGAATTCTCTATGCAAAAATCATGTTATATGATAATATTCTTTGAATGTCCTTTATTTTTCACCACTTGCTGGTATAGAAATGCTCTGTTTTTATGCACAACTTTTCACCTAGAAATTCCCAAGTGGTTCTCTGATTAATGCTCATCTACTTAGAAGTGGCTGGGTTAATATTGCTCCCACTTCCTGAGTGGTGAAAAGGAAGCAGCAAGAAGACCTCCATAGATAGGAAATGTGTGTGACTCAGAGGACATCAGGAGGAAGGGTGTTCACCATCCCACGAGGTTCCTCTCTGCCATGGAAACAGCTTCTCACAGCCTATCTCCTCCTGCCCATCATCTGCATTTATCAAAGAAACACAGACTGAGCCTGGAGCCAGATTTCCTGGGTTTAGATGCACTTACTCCCAAGTGGCACATCCTGGGCAAGTCCCGTGGCCTCTTGAAGCCTCAGCTGGCTCACCTCTACTCAGCATCCTCCCGCACTCACACCCTGTGCTTTGCTCAGGCCTCTCTCGCATCCAAAATTATCCTTTCTACTCCTAGCCACCTATCCATCCATTAATGTCCAACTCCAGGTCCATCTCTAGGAAGAGTGTCTTAGTCCATTCATGCTGCTATAACCAAGTGCTATAGACTGTGTAGCTTATAAACAACAAAAATTTATTTCTCGCAGTTCTGGAAGCTCAGAAGTCCAAGATCAAGGTGCCAGTAGATTTGGTGTCTGGTGAGGGCCCATTTCTCGGTTCATAGATAGTACCTTGCTGTGTCCTCACATAGTGGAAGAGGCAAACTCACTCAAGCCTATTGTATGAGGCCACTAATCCCATTCATGAGGGCTCCACCCTCAAGACCTAATGACCTCACAAAAGGTCCTACCTTTTAATGCCTTTACTTTGAGAGTTAGGATTTTGATAAATAAATTTTCAGGCCACACTAGCATGCAGACCATAGCAAAAAGCAAATAGAAGCCCATTATATTCTCCAATAACAGCATCCAGTACCTGTCATTTTCTTTCTGAATGGCCCTTGGATCTGACGTTCTAGGCAAAATATCCTGGAGCTACATTTTGTTATTTTGCACAAGTTTAACTGTCTCTTCTGATTAAACTTACATTTATTAGTGGACTCATTCAACAAATATTTATTGAGTATTTGCTATGTAGTGGGCACTCTTTTTGGCTCTAGGAATACAGTTGTGAACAAAACAGTCAAAAACCCCAGCAATCTCAGAGTTTAAAATCTTGTGGAAAAATATATCTACTACCAGATCTGTAGAGCTAAGCCACAGCAAAACCCCCACTTTCTCTCATGGCTTTCTAAGGGCTGAACAGAGTATGGTGTACACTGCTGGGGAGCAGAAGGTACTTTTTATCTGATTTTTAAATTTTTAATAAGAAAATACAAGACTTTGAAATAATTGTAACCATTTTCTCTAGTTTCAAAAAAATTTTTTAGAAAGTTGTCTTCAGCCTTAACCTGGTTACTAAGTTCATGACTATCTTTATAAAGTTTTACATAGTCAATATAACTCTTCCCAGAGTTACCCATCACTGTGAAGAGGATCAAGTCTACAACCTCTAACTCTTAAGTTATTCAACTGTTGAGTGGGCTGGTGACTTCTGGTCTTATTGAGAGGAAGAAATCAGACAGGCATCCAAAGGGCCAGTACCATGCCCGACCATTAAGAGCAGCTAAATAAACCACAGTACCACATCCTTTCCCTTCCTAAGACTCTGGTACTAACTCCATCTGATGTCTGAAGGGCTGAAATATTTGGGCTGATGAAAAGGGCTGTCCGATCTCCCCAGCAAGTTCCCTCCTTAAGAAGACATGGCAGCACAGAATCGGTCTCCTGTCTCTTGCAAATTATATATCTGATAAGAAGTTAATAACCAGAATATATAAAGAATTCCTACAACTAAAAAACACAACAAACAAACAAATACTTGATTAGAATGGACAAAGGACTTGAATAGACATTTTTTTCAAAGATGATATATAGTCAACAAGCACATGAAAAGATGCTCACATTACTAAACATTAAGGAAATGCAAATCAAAACCACAAATGAGATATTACCTCATACCTATTAGGATAATCATATTCAAAAACAACAGAAAATAACAAGCATTAGCAAGGATGCGGAGAAATTGGAGCCCTTATGCACTGTTGCTGGGAATGCAAAATCGTGCAGCTGCTATGGAAAGGAATTTTGTAGTTCCTCAAAAAATTAAAATAGGATATTATCCATATGATCCAGCAATTTCACTTAGGGGTACATACCCATAAGATTTAAAACAGGGTCTCAAAGAAATATTCATACACTCATGTTCATAGTAGCATTATCCATTATGAACTGATGTTCATAGCAGGGGTATTCATGTTCACAGCAGCACTATAATAGCAAAAAGATGGAAGCAACACAAGTATCTACTGATGCATAAATGAATAAACAGGTGGATTTAAAATGAAATATTATTCAGCCTTAAAAATTCTGAAATGTTTAAGAACAGAAGTGTGACACATGTTGTAACATGGCTGAACCTTAAGGACATTATGCCAAGTGAAATAAGCCAGTCATAAAAACACAGATATTATATGATTCCACTTATATGAGGGACCTAGAGTAGTCAAATATATAGAGACACAAGGTAGAATGGGGTTGCTAGAGCTTAAGTGTGGAGGGAATAGACAGTTGTAGTTTAATGGGTATAGAATTTCATTATTGCTGCTGCTATAAAGACACATGCACATGTATGTTTATTGCAGCACTATTCACAATAGCAAAGACTTGGAACCAACCGAAATGTCCATCAGTGATAGACTGGATAAAGAAAATATGGCACATATACACCATGGAATACTATGCAGCCATAAAAAAGGATGAGTTCATGTCCTTTGTAGGGACATGGATGAAGCTGGAAACCATCATTCTGAGCAAACTATCACAAGGACAGAAAACCAAACACCGCATGTTCTCACTCATAGGTGGGAATTGAACAATGAGAACACTGGGACACAGGGTGGGGAACATCATGGCCTGTCGTGGGGTGGGGGGAGGGGGGAGGGATATCATTAGGAGAAATACCTAATGTAAATGATGAGTTAATGAGTGCAGCACACCAATATGGCCCATGTATACATATGTAACAAACCCGCACGTTGTGCACATGTACCCTAGAACTTAAAGTATAATAAAAAAAAAAAGAAAAGAAAAAAAGAATTTCATTCTTGCGAGATTAAAAGAGTTCTGAAGATGGGTTGCATAGCAATGGAAATGTACTTAATACTACCAAACTGTATACTTAAAAATGATTAAGATGGTAAATTTTATGTTATGTGTATTTTACCACAATTTAAAAAGAATAATGCAATTGAGAAGAAAAACTTTCTAAAAGAATTATCCTGCTGTTCAGCTTTGCTCCCAAATTTCAATTTTGGATCATTTTCTTCTCTAGTATGATGTTAGGCATGTCAGCAACAGACCTTCCCCTCTAGTCCTCTCAAAGACAGTTGAGAGATAGACATGAGAATCCAATAAAAGAACAAAATATCAGCTCCAAGGCAGCTAAGAACTGATTGGAAAGCAGAGCTTCAGCCCTGTGGCCAAGTGGACTAGCCAGTCCTTCCCCCTAAATTCAAGGCCCTGAAGCTTCCCTTCTCCTGCTCTGTATGCCATGGTGGAGTCCAGACAGGGGTCAGAATCCTGCAGACAGATTCTGATCAGAGGGAGAGCAAGAGGCTAAGCTCAGCATCTTCTGTCCCCGCCCCCCAGAGCCTCATCTCCATCCCCTAACCTGGGAAAGAGAGACTGGGGAGAAACCAGGGATACAGACATCCCTCCACTTGGAGAGGGAGGAGCATGTGTTCTCCCCAAAGAACTACTAGGCAAATTAGGGATTGGTCTAACCTGATGTTTTGAAAGTTTTATTTTGAATTACCTAAAGAGTAAGAGAAAGTAAAGGGGCTTCCTCATTACTGCCCCAATATTCTCACCTTTCTCCATAGGATCTGGGAATGAGCCCAAAACCTTGGCACATGGCAAGCAGCACATTTCCTAGAAGTCTTATTTGAAAAAAAATTTCTCCCCCAAAGTATTAATCCTCATGCTGACATCACTGTTGATGGGGTATGGGGTTTGCTGGTGGTGAGGTTTTCTTAATCCTGATGGGATATCTGTTAAGAAAGGACTTAAGTTGAAGGACTCCAATAGGCTGAAGGACTTGTGCATGACGGAAGTCTCAGTGCTTTGCTCTGGGTGGGTGGGGGGAAGTGTGTGAAGGAATCTTTTGCCTGAATGGTGGCCTTCTTCAGCAGTGAGCCCGTTAGAGCTGGGTCTCCTTACCACCCCCGCCCTGCCACCGCAATTCCCCTCTCTTTTGTATTTGGAGCTGGAGGGTGAGGATGAGGGTCTGAGTACATTTGTATCAGCACATCAGGGCCTTGGGAGGAAAGAGATGGAAAACCCCAACTCCTGTTTGAAGCCTGAAGTTACTGAAACACACTAGAACACACTAGATGGACTAGAGCAGGCCATACCTAGGCCAAATGGCAGAAAAGGAGAACAAAGTCCTTGGAAAACAAACAAACAAACAAACAAACAAAGGGCTCCATCAGGAGAGAGCCTGGGTTCCAGAGTGGTTGCGGAGGGTCTCTTCCTGATGATAGGCCCTCCTGCCGACTCATTCTCCCTATGCAGGCCTGTGGGACGAAAACTTCTCCGCAGTGAGATGGACAGGCTGTGATGGCTGGAGCTGGGGTTTCTGTGAGGCGCTGGGGTCTTCCTGATGAAGAGGCACCCTCTCTCACACATCATCTGGGCAGCTCACAGCTTGGGTAAACTCAAGAGGCACACCGCAGTGGACTTAGGGAAACACCTAACACCTGACTCCCCGCCCCAGCCAGGGCTCCAAGGAAAGGCTGCACACTTTAAAAATAAGCATAACTGAACATTGCTATCGAAGTCAGTCGGGCTTTTCCTACAACCCTTCAGATACCTCAGATAGACGTGCCATCTTCTCACGAGGCCTGGCATCCCTCAGCCTCAGGGCCTCTGCTGGTAACAGGTGGGCCTTGGTTGCAGCAGGGAGGTCTAGCACGTGGGTCTTGAGATCAGCATACCAGTGGACTTCTCCCTGTGGTGCAGCCTCCACCTGGCCCCAGGCCACAGAAGCAGTTTGTGGACTTTTTACCAATGAGAAATCTTTTCAGCGCAGGGCAACATGCTTCAACATATTCCCAACTTCCACTCCAGAAATCTAGTCGAATTCCTCTTACAGCAAATAAAGTATTCCCCATCTGGAGCTGCAGGAGTGGAAGAGGGAAACACGAGACACGTGCCAAAGAGCAAAGATACTGAGATCCTTGGTGCGATCACAGGGCTTTAGGACCAGGAAGGCTCATGTGTGCAGAGCTAGTTTCTGAAACTGAAACAGCAGACACAGGGCTGGCTGCCAGCATGGGTCACAGGCCGAGGAGTGGCTTTCTGAAGAGCTGGGTTCAGAATCGATTAAGCAGCAGGGCTATTTATTGACCACTTTAGATTCCATAGGAAAGGAGAAAAAAATAATCCACCACGAAAATGAAATCCTGCCACTAACCCCAATAGGCTTGCCCACCAACTAACGAGAACAAGGTAAATTTGAGCTCAATTTACTCAGATGGATAATAAAACTTTCAATTATGGTTGCATTATTTGTTGCTATATGGTTGAAAGATTAGGTGACAATATGCAAAAAATAGTTTCTTCATATTATAATATTTAGTAATGTCATTTTATTTTTTATATGTTTCATTAAATTGTTTTGTGGCTTTATTATCTACCCAGATGCACAGCCCAGAAATACAATTATTCAGATTTAGAAGCAATAAAATTTGGCATGCATTTTCTCGTATTCAGAATTCCTGCATGTTAAAAACAAATTATAGCATTCTTCCCACATTGCACTGCTCTGAGGCCCTCACAGACCCATTCATTAACCAAAGACATTACAGAAAGCACACCATTTAGGTTAAAGGGCCCTTCGGATAACAGATATGCATGCACGAAGCAAATATTTCACTGTAGTCCCGCCTTTTGATTATGACAATAATAGCGGCAAACTGATATGTGTTTGCTATAATGTGCTGCTCAATGATGGATCCATTAAGTGGTGAAAACTCTGATTGCAAAGCAGCACACAGAGAAAGCATTATGACAACAAAACCTATCTTTGTAACTATCAGGAAGTGGGAGTTTTACTACTTGGAGAAAAATGAAAGCTTCCTGGGGAACTGTATTTTAGAAGAGTTCTCTAGGATGTGAATCCTGAACATGTTTCATGGCCCATGGAGTGGTGAGTGTAGACAAGTATGAGTGGAGGGATGGCGGCTCCTCTGCCCAGAAATATTCTTCTACTGACAAGTCACAGTCCAAGGCCTCAGAACCTCCCGATCAAAGTGCAAATAAATACTGTGGGGATATTTATCTACCTCTGGGACCCTAACATGCCTTTAATAGATAACTACTTGAAATCATGGAAACCAAAATGCAGATTCATTAAGGAATTTAACACAAGACTATCAAGAGTCAGTTTTGTTTTGGGAACAGTTGATGGTGTTAAATGGAAGGGGTGCCAAAAGAGGGGTAAGAAGTGTCAAATGTGATCTTAGACCACTCAATATAGGAAAGGATAACTTAAAAATTGGAAAAATATATTTGCAGCACATACCACCAAAAACAGATGACTCTTGAAAATATACAAAGAACTACTATAAGTCCATAAAAAAGGAGCAAACAAAATGATAGAAAAAAAGGAGTAGAAGACATGAACAACAATCTCACAGAAGAGAAAACACATATGGCCAATAAACATTTGAGGAAATAACAGAGAAATGCACAATGATGTCTTTGATAACAACTTGATTGACAAAATTAAGAAAGAATACATCATAAAATATCAGAGATGATATGGAGACAGAGGATCTCCAGGGAAAGAGGAAACTGGTGAAACCTCATTGGAAAAGAATTTGGCATTATCTTATAAATAGTCCTAAACTCTACAATCCCCAGATTCTAGTTCTGGGTATATACTCAGAAAAACTCCTACATGTGTGCACCAGGAAGGATGTACAAAAGTATTCATAGCAGCACTATTCTTGGGAGCAAAAATCTGGAGATATCCCAAATGAATAAGTAAATTCTGGTGTACTCCACAATGAAAAGATTGTGAGGTACTCAACACTAACGAACTGCAGCTACACACAACAATATGGCTGACTTTTGGCAATACATTATTGTTGAAAATAGTTGGCTCCAGGAGACTATAGGCAACATGATTTCTTTTTCTAAAAAATTAAAAATAACCAACCAAGCAATATAATCTTAGGAATGAACATATATAGTAAAACTGTTATAAAGCAGAAGATGAGTGCAAGATTCAGGAAAGTGACTAGCTGTCATCAGGGAAGCCAGAGATGGGCTAGAAAAGCTGATGGAGGAGTATGCAAATTGTGCCACTGTCTAGTTTCCTGTGGCAGATGTGAGCTCTTGAGTGCTTATGACATCATAAGTACACACACAAGGTAAAAGGGGGATATACACAGACAGTGAGGGGAGTATGACACAGACAGTGAGGGACCAAAGAGTAACTCATTTCTAAGCACTGAAAATCCTAGGTGATTATCTGGTGTTCAGGCACCTTTAGTGTATATGTATGTGTGTATGTGTGTATGTACATATATTTCATCCACGTACTCACTGAGAAAAATGTTAGTTGTTTTTAAATCGGAATTTAAAAGTAATCTATTCTTCCTAAAATGATCAAGAAGCAATAAAACAGGGTGCAGTGAGTCACATCTGTAATCCCACCACTTTGAGGCGGAGGTGGAAGGATCACTTGAGCCCAGGAGTTCAAGACCAGCCTGGGCAACATAGCAAGACCCCATTTCTACAAAAAAAAATTAATAGAAAATTTTTAAAAGAAGCAATAAAACATATTCTGTGCTGAAAATGCTAATCATGCAAAAGATGAGGAGTGGAGACTAGAGGAATAGGACAAGAACAGAGAAAGCGATAAAGACCCAACTCAGGGAATTTACTTGCGGGGTAAGTCTCCCCTTGGAAAAAAAAGCCACAGAGGGTAAAGGGAGGCTTGAACAAGACAGGGGACATCATCCAGTGTGGTGGTCCTCAATTCCTATCAGGCCTCAGAAAACACCTGAGCTTTGAAAAAATATAGACATCTGGACTCCACCGTCTGAAATTCTAAATTCATTCATCTGATTCAGGCCTGAGTATCAGTAAGTTTCAACATCTCCAGGTGTTACCAAAGCTGAGAACCACTATCTTCTGGGAAAAGGATTAGATTTGAAATCATACCTAGGTGTTCTGAACCTATGTCCACCATTAGCTCGAGAAAATTTGGTCCAATAATTTTATCTCCCTGAACCTCCATTTCCTCGTCTCTAAAGTGGGCAGTCAGGGACAAGGAGGGGGCACTAAAGACCCTCACAGGCCGGGCGCGGTGGCTCACGCCTGTAATCCCAGCACTTTGGGAGGCCGAGGCGGGCGGATCACGAGGTCAGGAGATCGAGACCATCCCAGCTAAAACGGTGAAACCCCGTCTATACTAAAAATACAAAAAATTAGCCGGGCGTAGTGGCGGGCGCCTGTAGTCCCAGCTACTTGGGAGGCTGAGGCAGGAGAATGGCGTGAACCCGGGAGGCGGAGCTTGCAGTGAGCCGAGATCCCGCCACTGCACTCCAGCCTGGGCGACAGAGCGAGACTCCGTCTCAAAAAAAAAAAAAAAAAAAAAAAAAAAAAAAAGACCCTCACAGACTGATTTCAGAACCTCCTGTTTTATTCATGTTGTAGGTAGGAAGGAGGGGAATCTCAGCAAAAGAGACTACATTGTCTTCAACCCAGGGAGAAGAGAACAGGCCATCAGTCCTCTGGCTAGATGATTAGATAGCGCCTCAAGGCATGATTAATTAAAGAGGTAGTGTAGTCTAGTGGTTAAAAGCAGGGTGCTGGGGAATTTCCAAGCATGATGACTCAATTAATTCTTTCTCTAACAACCCAAGAATTGTTAGCAATTGTTAGTAGTTGGGTCTAACAACCCAAGAGTTGTTAGCAGCTCTAATAACTGCTACAAGCACTTAAAATTTTTAAGGAGAAAACAAACAAACAAACAAACAAACAAAAAACCATATCTAAGCTCAAAAACAAGGTAGCGATTGCTGTGGACCAGAAAAAGAACAGAATACCAAGGGATTAAGTGGATTCATGGGTCTCTTGGGCTCCAGAGCTGGAAGCATGAGTTGTAGTCCTGGAGTTTGGCTTCTGTACATCAACAGAGACCTTGGGAACCCCAAGTTAGCAGAAGACCACGTAGGATCACTGAGTGAAGCCAGGGTTGGAGTGCGGCTCCCGTTTGGGAAAGGGAGGCCTGCTGCAAGGGGCAACAGCCCTGTGAAGACTTTGGATAGTGAAATTGGAGAGAGGGGAAAAAAGGCTAGGAAGTGAAACCAGGCAATCACATGTTCTCTGACCAGATATGAGATACCCCAATATCACCCCAAAACAAGAGCCCCGAAACACACATCCAGCTAGAGGCAACCATAAAATTTATATAAAATGTAAAGTTTTCTAGAAAACTATGAATTACCAAAGTTGACTCAGAAAAATAGAAAGCCTGCATAAGCTGGTAACTGCTGAAGAAATGGAATCGGTTATCAAAATCTTCTCCCCAAAAAGCACCAGATGCTGGCAGTTTTAAAGATAACTTAGTGAATCTATAAGAAATTGATAATTCCTACTTTATAAAATATTTGAGAGAAAAGAAAATAATGGAAAGTTACCCATCTCGTTTTATTGATACCAAAATATGACAAAGACAGTACAAGTAATAAAATTATAAACCATTCTTGTGAATACAGATATAAAAATCCTAAATAAAATACAAGCAAATAAACTTCAGGAATATATTTTTTGAAGTGTGACCAGGTAGTTTTATCCAACAAATATAAAGAAAGATGCTCAAATATAAAAATAATAGAGAAATACTACATGACTTTTTCAATAGGTACACAAAAAGCACCTGTACTAGATGTTCTAGCCAAGTAATATTATCAAGATTAAAAGAATTGGAAATGAAGACTCGAAATAGCCTTATCTGCAGTAATATATTTGTATATGTAGAAAATCTAAAAGCATCTATCAACTATTAGAATAAATTAAAAAGTTAAGCAAGCCTTATGTACAAAAGATAATCTTTTAAAAACTAATAATGTGCCTATGTGCCAATTTGAAGAAATAATATTAAAAAAGGATTCTATTTACAATAGCAAGAAAAACTATGAGGTTTCTAAGAATACAACTTTAAAAATCTAGATTAAAAACTTTACAGAGAAAATTTTCAGTGTTACCGAGAATCATAAAATAAATATATAAAAAGATATACCATTTTCATGGTTGGGAAGACTCGACTATATAAAAGTGTAATTCCACTCCCAAATTAATATACAAATGCATTGCAATTACAATCCAAATTTTGACAGGGTTTTTTATGGAGTTACACAAGATGATCCTAAAAATGCGTGTGAAAGAAGAGTAAGAGGCCAAAATTACCTAAGGACAAAATTGAAGAACAACGTGAAGAGATGTGACCTGCCTGTATCAAATTTTATACTAAAGAGACAGCATGGTGCTGGCATGACAATCAACAACAGAACAACGGGACAGAACACAGAGCTCAGGAAGAGCAGATTTCACATGGCACAAGAATGGATTCTAAACAAGGGTGGAGATTGGACTAACGAGTGAAGTGTGCTGGGATAAGTCATTTTCCATTTGGGAAAAATGAAAATAGATCTCTACCTTTTTCCATACACAAACAGTAAAATCCAGACATACGTGAAAGCTAACTGGGAGCAAACTCTCTAGAAATTGAAATAAAAAGAGAATATCTTGATTATAACAAAGGAAAATATTTCAAAAATAGGACAAATTAGTATAGACATTAGGAAAAACAGTATGCGGTTTCCCCAAAAAATTATAAATATGATCTAGCAAGCCCGCTATCAGGTATATAGACAAAGGAAATGAAGTTAGTATGACAAAGAGGTATCTGGATTCCCATGTTCACAGCAGGATTATTCACAATAGCCAAGATATGGATCAACCTAGTGTCCATCAATGAATGCATAAAGAAAATGTGGTATATACTGATGCTTCTCAACTTCTGATGGGGTTAGGTCCTGATGAACCAATCATAAATCAAAAATGCATTTAATACTGGCAACACAGCATATGGTCCCTAACTAAAAATCATTCAACTTAAGATTTTTCAACTTTATGATAGTGTGAAAGTGATATTCATTCAGTAGAAACTGTAACTCCATCACAAGTTGTAAGGAGCTCCTTGACATACAAAGAGGATGCCTCCCAATAAACCTATCAAAAAGTCCAAAATTGTAAGTCAAACTGTTTTAAGTTGGAGACTGTATGTATATATGATAGAATACCATTCAGCCTTTACACAGAAGGAAATCCTGTCATTTTTGACAACATGGATGACTCTGGAAGACATTATGCCAAATGAACTAAGCCAGCTACAGAAAGACAAATACTGTATGCTCTCACTCATATGTGGAATCTAAAATAGTTGAACTCATAAAAGTAGATAGCAGGGTGGTTACCAGGGTGAGGTATGGCAGTGAGGGGACTGGGGAAATGTTAGTCAAAGGAAACAAAATTTTAATTAAACAGGAGGAATAAATTCAACAGATTGATTGTACAATATGGTGATTATAGTTAACAACAATGTATTGTATACTTGAAAATTGCCTTAAGTAGATTTTAAGTGTTATAACCACACACACAAAAAGATAACTAAGTGAGGTAATGCACATGTTGATTAGCTTGATTTAGCCATTCCGCAATGTATACGTATTTCAAAACATCATGTTGTATACCATAAATGTATATTTTTTAAAATTTTAAAACAACTTGCATGTAATAAATATTTGTCAAATTAGAGAATGATTCAAATGACTAAATGCAATAATGAATTAAAAACTAAAAAACACTCAAATAGCTCACTACAAAAAAATTCCTAAAAAGCTCCACAACAAACATTTGTTTGTAAATTGTTAAATTTAAATAAATGAAAATTTCTGCTTGTCAAATACCACCATAAGTAAAGTGAAGACAGTGCAATCCACAGAATTTATATTCAGACTCCACCCAAGAAATTCTATACATACATTTTTAGAAGACAGATATCCCAACTTAAAAAAAAGGGGGAGACCATGGAATATAAAGCAGGTGTAGCAGAATATTAAGATCTAGTAAATTGGAAGATGGGTACATGGATGCTAGATGTTGTTCTCTGAAGTTTTCTGTGTGGTTGAAATGTTGCATAATAAATTTAAATAAAAATAAAAGCTGTGCTTTCACATCACCCAGGCCTGCTGTGCTCACGTTTTAGTTCTGATGCTTACCAGCAGCCATGGGCAACACACCTGAATTTTGCAATTAAGAATCTCAGTTTCCTTATCTGGAAAATTGGAGGAGTAATAATACACATCTGTGGGTGGCAGCTTCACAGAGGGCTTGACAATAGCTAGTACTTAATAAAAGCTTGTTTCTTTTGTATTAATAATATTAATCCCATTCACTCCTATCTTTTTCCTCTCTCACACATAATGTCCTTAAGTCTACCCAAAATATGACCTAAGTCATATTAAGCCTTTGACCTAATTGATGTAGCACATTCTTTTGAGCAGTGTGTGAGATGCATTTATTTCTAAGAAGACTGGGCAAGTCCAGACCTGGATAAACTCAAAAGTATGAAATATAATAAGTACTTGGTACCCACACATCCATTAGAATCCCCTAACAGTTCTAAAGCATTTACCCTTTGCCTTAACTCTGTTATTTCCTATTTAGATGTTAACTGTTAACAAAGGTGTTCACTAGTATTCCCGTGTTTTAAGAAAGACTCAGAAATAAAATGTCTTTCAGATCCAAAGTACATATTAACAGCAGATTAATTCTGTCCTAAACCCCCTCAATCACACCAAGTAGGAATTTCTTGTAAAGTAGGACAGGAGCTGGAGCTGCAAAAGTCATATACCCTCACTTCTGAGCCAATATTCTTGCATTTACACATACACAGACAGAGAGAATTTCTTCACACACCCTCTGCTTCTGTATACTAATAAGTGGGGCAATCTAGAATAGGCTAATCATTACATCCTAATATCCTGTTGTGGTCTGTAGGGTAAAGGTCTTGGCCCTGGAAGTACTTGCAGTCTCCCTTGAGAGGGACAATCATCCCTAGAGTCAATTATCCAAAGAGGTGGCAGTTTCCCGAAAGGCAGGCCTCAGGCAGGGAAGAGAATCTTATTTCTCTCAGAGTCTCATTTTATAGGAGCTGTTCTTCAAGGAGTCAAGATGCCTGAGGTGAGCTCCTAGGCAAGAGAGGCTGAAGAGTTGCCCTCCCCATGGAGACAGGCTAGGAGCTGAGATGAGATGAATACTATCACTTTCAGAGGCCAAGCCATAGCTTCTACAGCAGATTATGTAATATAACATCCTCCCTGGGTTTGCTGCTTTATGACTTTTCTCCCAGGTCCTCAGTATTGTTGGAGCATGCCAGCACTTTCGTCCTGGGTTCTTACTTACCTTGCTAATTAGCATTTCTGTGTGAAAATTAATGATAGGTCCTCCAATAAATACTAATTTTTATGTCTTTAAACTTATAAGGTGAGTCCAGGATTATAAAGCATGTTTAAACATGGAATTACATGTCTTCTTACAATTTATGCCCACCACACACCACTTTCTCCAATGGAGAGATTTTTCCTCCTATACCACCTAGAGGAGTTAATTAGCTCTGTTTGTGTGACAAACCACTCCAAAATTTAGTGATTTGGAACAACAATTAATTATTATTAACTCATGATTATACAGGTTAGCAAGCTGGGCTAAGCTCAGCAGAGTGGTTCTTCTGCTGGGCTCCCTGGGGCTCACGCCTGTGGTTGCATAGAACTCACAGGTGAGATGGAGGCTGCTAGGTCTAGAATGACCTCATTCACATGTCTGGCAGTTTGTCATGGCAGTTAGCTGGAGCAACAGGTGTGAATGGGCCATATACTCCCAGCAGGCTAGCCCAGGATCATCAACATTGTAGTGGTTGAGGGTTCCCAAGAACAGCAGAGGAGGATGACTTCAATATGCAATTCTTTTTCAGATGTCTCATGTTACCTCAAGTCATCACCTCCCACTTGGTAATGTGTCACTAACTAAAGAAAAGCCCAGAGTTGGCCAGGCATGGTGGTTCAAGCCTGTGATCCCAGCACTTTGGGAGGCCGAGGTGGGCAGATCGCGAGGTCAAGAGATTGAGACCGTCCTGGCCAACATGGTGAAACCCCAGCTTTACTAAAAATACAAAAATTATTAGCTGGGCGTGGTGGCACATGCCTGTAGTCCCAGCTACTCTGGAGACTGAGGCAGGAGAATCACTTGAATCTGGGAGGTTGCAGTGAGCCGAGATTGCGCCACTGCACTCCAGCCTGGTGACAGAGTGAGAGTCTGTATCAAAAAAAAAAAAAAAAAAAAAAAAGCAAAGCCAAGAGTCAGTTTAGGAGGGCACTAATACAAGAGTATAAATACAAGGAAGGGGATTATTGCAGCCTTTCTTTTTTTTTCAAACAATCTATGCTAGGCTTGAATAACCTGGATCTTATTTTATGATACAGGGAAGAATTTTCCTAAGACATACGACATGTACCCACAAACATTCACACACTCACATCCATATATGCACATACTTACTACATATCCTCACACAAAAGCACATGTACACACACATCAGTCACACTTGTACTCACACAAACACATACCCACAAGGACAGAGTTACATAAAACCAGTCGCATGTATAGGCACAAAAGTCAATTTACAAGGCAAGGTTTTTGCTATACACACTGTTTCATTTTAACTTCCAGCTTTTCCTTGACAAATCCTGCCATAGCAAATTCTAAAGAAGGAATCTGCTGCTACAACCTATCCTTTGATATGAAGGGTTAAGCGATTAAGGATGACCCAGCCTGCCAGCTGCAGGCTCGTCTCTGTGGTCTGATTTCTCAAGATGATACAGCTCACTTCCCAGTGGTGATTGCAAGATTTAAATCTAAGTCAGGAGAGAGAAAAATGCGTTTCTTAGTACAATGTTAGTTAGAGCACAGATAGAGACAGCATAACCGATCAACAGACGGAGTTTTATAGAATTGTTTCACCATTTGACTAGATGGAAAATAAGGAGACGCATTTCCATACGGCCTCTGAGCTTCAGGGCCTTTAGGAGGTCCCCTAGTCTAGTTCCCTGAGTATCTAAAATGAATGTGTTATGTTCTAAAAAAGATCTGGCTTTTAAAATAAAGATATCTTCATTTACCACTGAAAGCATATGACTTTGTTCTATATTTTCACATTTCTATGCATTATCAACATATATATTATCAAAAATTTATAATTAATAAGTATTTACATTCATAAATTTTTAAGTGACAATATATTAAAATGTGTTAAAAATAGATTGCATGTATTTCCACTTCTCCCAAGTTTCTTATGCCTTTGGGAAAAAAAAAATTTTCTTTCCTACAGGGGCAAAATTTCTGGAGAATCTATATCAGAAGAGCAAAGTCATCTGCATGACTCTGACCACCAAAAACTCTACCCTCTGAAACACCTTTTAAAGTTGACTGCCCCCACCCCTGCTTAAAGCTTCTCTGATCCCAGCCAAGTACAGCCCTACCCAAGTTCATTGGCTTCAGATCACATCCATACTTGGAAATACAGAGGAGAAGCTATGGAGCTCAAAACAGGTGAGAAATGACTGCTTTGGTTTCAGAAAACTGGTTGTGATTGGCAAGGACAATAGTCTGAGGTACATGAGGTGCTCTAGCCTATCAATGTAAGAGTACTCACAGACACCCACCAGTGCAGCTGACCACTCCAGGGCTGCAAACTCAAGTGCTTCCAGACCCAAACAGGTGACCTGAGCTGCAAAGGCAGCTGGACAGCTTGTGTCTTGAGAGAGTACAGGGCGCCCTCTCTGCTCAGCCCCAGGAATCGGGGCCCAACTTGTCCAGACCTTCTGAAGGTTCTCACTTTTTAATGTTGGCAACTAATTCAAATTACTTCAGTCTGCAGGCCAGAGCACTCAATTAATTAATCAATCAATCAATCAAACCAGGAAAACAAAAAGTCTAGATTCCAAAGTGTATACTCTGATCTTTAGAATTCCAGTGAAACAGGAAAGAGTAAGAATGAGCCTCAGATCCCATTATCCTAAGACATTTTTGTTCTGATTCCAAAGGAACTCAATTCCAAACGCGCACCCATTAGTAAGGTTCCTTCCTCACCTCCAGCTCTAGGCTGAAGCCTGCAGACAGCCTTTTGTTCTACAGCTGGGGAAAGAGGCCAGACCTGAGCACAATGAGTGTCTGAGAACACATACCTACTTCCCCAATTAAACCTTGTCCTGGGTTAAATTTCCGGGTCCTCTAGGGTACCTCCCTTTAAGTTCTGCCTTAAACTGCTTTTAAAAGTGATCGGATAGGGAGCTACGAACCTACTGATTGATGAGATTGATGAACCTCAACCATTTCCAGGTTTCTTTTTCAGCCAGAAGTCCCCGTGGTGCGATTCTCCAACACACACACAAACACACACACTCTCTCACTCTCTCTCTCAAGGAAGGGGTCCTGCTATGATAAATTGGTACTGCTGCATGTTATAACAATACATTAACCGTACCATTACTCCATGGTAAAAAAAAAAAAAAAAAAAAAAAAAAAAAAAAACTTTAAAGAATACAACCCACCCCCCAAATGACCTATGAAACGAGATGGTGAAGTTTACGTTTACTGAGGCAGTCCTGGCATCACCCCTCATTCAGACACTGCCCTCATCCTCAGAAAAGCATTTCCCCATTTCCCCTCATGTTACCCCAGGTCATTGTCCCGCAACCCGGTGGGCCAGTAAGCAGTTGATTATACCCATTTCACAGAGGAGAAAATAGAGGTCCAGAGAGGAGAGGTCACACAGGAGTTGTACCAGAGGCAAGACCCAAAACAGGCCTGACTTACCCGGGGCACCTCTCCCCCACCTAGAATGGCTTTCCCAGGCCTCCCTGTCGTCCAAACCTCCCCATCCCCTGAGACCCAGCACTGCCCTTGAGACAGTATCCCAAGCTTCCAAAGGCAAAGGCCGAGACTTCTGCTTCTCCCATCTACCCATAGAACCTAGGACGGAGCAGGCTGCACACTAGGCCCTCAGGGATAAAACCTAAGAGAGTTTCTCCAGTCTGCCAAATACAGTCCAGAGAGGGGCAGCCCACAGAGGAAGGGGCGGGTGAGGGTCTGCCCAGAGGGCTGGACACACCCCTGCCTGCAGGTTGGAATGTAGCAAATGCCTATCTAGGGCCCCTTAAACTCAAATGCTGGCATTTCACACTTGATCCTCTACCAAAAAGAATGTTATTGTGAAGAAAATAAAGTCAGCAGAACAAAAGGACACTCTACGGATAAGCTATTCTAGCTGGCAACCATTCCTGTGTCCTGTCCCGTGCGGGGCATCTCAGGGAAGACAGGAAGTGAGAAGTCCCTGCCTTTTGGAAGCTGATAGGGCAGTGCGGGAAGTCACTGTGCTCGTGGACATGAATTAACAGTGACTCATATGTGTTCTCAGACCCTTAGATGCTCTTGGGGCTCCCAGTTCTGATCTCTGCAATATGTGAGGCCACAGACAGCAAGAAAGGCCATCACCAAGGGTTTGATCCCAGGCCTGGGCCTCCAAGAATGAGCAGGCCAGGCTGGGGTGCAGGATGGGGCGCGTGGGGGCAGTTGGGCATCACAGGCAGAGGCAACCAAGAGCTGCAGGCTCAAAGGAGTCCTGTTGGAAATGAGACAGAAGAGATGGCCCTACCAGGGCAAAGGGTTTGAAATAGGAAAGAGAGAACTGCCCCTGGAGGGTCACATCACGTGGGCCCTTGAGTGCCATGAGGAAGAAGCTGGCCTGTTCAGTCCTCAGCAGTAAATATAACATCAGTGATTTCCCCCATAGTCCTTTGGTATTAAGTGCAAATGAAAAGGAACATAAGCCAGATGGAGAATGAAACAAAAAAGTGAAAAACAAAGACCTATCCTTAGTCCCAGACGGCAGCTAAAGTCCTGTGTTGGACCAAAAGCCCTTGCAAATGGTCCCAGGGCAGGTGTAGTCTGCCCTAAGTCACTAGCGCAGTTCTGGAAGCTGGCAGGGCTCTGATGCCTGAAAGGTGCCTCCACATTCATTTCTTCAAGCCCTTCTCAGACGGCCATGCTGAAGCCAGCTCCTACCATCACACTGGAGTAGCGCCAGTGCTGGGGGCACCAGTCAGAAGCACTGGCCTCTCAAGAGCCTCAGGTAGGTGGAGGATGTGGGAATGGACTGTTCAGGTCTCCTCGGGCAGCTGTTTAACAGCTGTCCTGCCGCCCTCTGCCAAGGGTAGGAGATGGGGCACAGGTGATACCCTGAACTGATGAAGCCAGACACTCTTTGACACTGAATACCCCTCTCCAAAAAAAAAAAAAAGATTCAAGAAGATTAAGATATTGATTAGAAATCTAGTAAAATAAAAGAAGTTATTCATTTTTCATCTTAGTGTCACACCAGGAAATACAATGCAGAGCTTGTGGGTAAAGACCAATCATAGAAGAAAGTGGTGATGATCTGGGAGTGATTTGAGGAACACATGGATGGCCCATTAAAACATGTCCCCAGTCCACCCGCTCCAGTGCCTTTTTCCTACTTTTTCCACTATTAGACTCCTTGCTGATACACAAATGCCCCATTAGAAACTCCACAGTCTGGTTTTACTGAGCCACTTGCAGTTTCCCCAACACACTGTGTGCCAGTCGCCCCTTTGGTCAGAACACCTCCTTCCCTCATGTGCCAGGTGCTCTTGCTCCTTCCCAACTCATCTCAAACCTAGCACGCTCAAAGCTAGTCTGCTCCCACAGCAGGGCACCCAGCCCTCTGATGGCCTGTCTCATTGTTCTGTGATTATCTATGTAAATGCCTGTACTTCCCCTCCCTTCATAGGAATTCTCCGAGGACAGAGGCCATGTTTTATTTTGCCTCCTAGGTCTTTATAGAGTGCATCTAATGAATTAGTCCTAATAGAAATGTGAGCACCTTCACCTACGGGTATTCCCTCTGTGGCAGTTGTCAAAATGGGCAGGATTTGATGCCAGAGAACATCAGGAACAGGACAGGAATGCATGCTTTGGGAGAATATATGTGCTTCTTTATCACATTAGCGAGGCAGGTGGCCAGGCACAGGATGCAGTAGCAAGGGCTTAGGAAAGGTAAGGTAGGATACCCACATTAAGAATCCCTCCCACCCTGCCCTCACACACCTGAAGAAGTAATAAGAATAATAAGAGTTAAGAGTCTATCTGATATTGACTGTCCACCTGGGTGCTTCCTGTGCCTCAGATGCTACACTAAACATGTGGCATGTATGATCTCAGTTAATCCATAAACAAAGCCGGAGGTCGATTATGCTCATCCCAGCTCCACAAGTATGAACCCGGAGGCTCAGAGCAGACAGGTAACTTGCTGAAGGTCATGTAGCTGGCAGGTGGAAGAGCTAGGATTCAAACCCCTTCCTCTCAACTCTGGTGCTGTGGACTAAGAGATCAGGCTGAAAGTGTGGGCCCCATTTGGTGGAAAAACACATTTACATACATTCACACTATCTCCCTCAAATCCTTTAGACCACAGGAAGGCATTAAATAGCAACTGATAAATAAATAAGGATCTTAATAAATTCATATCCACTCACACCTGCCTAAAGTCAATCCTCCCCCTGAGCTAGAGTCTCCCTGGGTGGTGGGAGATGCAGAAGCCAGACTCCCCAAATTGTTGACATTATGTAAGAGAAGGTGATGGGAGAGGGAGAGGAGAAGGAGAGGCTCTCAGGACAAACCACCTGTGAAGGCATCTCCCAGTCTTGCATGATCTGAGACTCTCTCTTCACATAGCCCCTCTGCCACCCGCCATTACTGTTGAGGTTCATGACCCTGCAACCTGCCCTCCCACCCACCCAATTACCTGTGATTCCCTCCCAAAGATTCCCTCTACCCCAGCCCTTCCATGCCAATATGGCCTTCTTACCAATGTCAGCCTGGCCTTCCTGAAGCACAGCTCAGAGCATGTCCTGTCCCTGCTCCCACGCGTTCAGGGAGTTCCTTTGGCTTCTGATTGAAATCTAAAATCCTCAGCTTAATTCAAGGACTTTCACACTCAGCCTCCAACCAACCAACCAGATTTGTCCCCAACTATTGGCTCAGACACCTCAGGCTTCAGCTTCAGGTTGAAAACACGACTCACTCAACCCTAAATGAGCGTTGCCCTCTCTGCTCTCCTGTTTCTTGCTCTTTCTCTCTGCCCAGAATGCCACTGTCCTCTTTCAGACTGCCAGCAAACATTTGTGGAATTAGGAATTCCTAATTCCTAATTAGAATTAGGCACGGACACCTCCTAGGAATTAGGCACAGTCCTGGCTTGTAAGATCAAACTTCTCCTTCAACACTTTATCCAGATGTGGACTCCTGCAGGAGGTCTTCATCGATCTCCTGATGAGAAGAAACTTCATCCTTCTCTATGTGCCCAAATATGTATTTCCATGTTTGGCCTTAAATCACAGGCATGCATCTGCCTTGCCCAGCACTGGCAGCTCCTTGGGGCAGGGAGGATGGCATAGATGGCTGGTAGCCCATCATTGATCATAGTGAGCTCCAATCAAGTCTGTACTAGACTGATGGACAGTTATGGAGTTCCTGGATTATCATTTCCTGCTGACAGGTAAACCACAACAAAGAAAGTGTGTTATCAAAACAATTATCAAAATACTAAGGAATGAATTCTCTGAAGCATCTAATTATTGCAAAAACTAAATCACCCAGTCTCCTAAATAATTTTGATTTACCTAACATTTTCATACTGCATACCTACACAATTAGATAAACCATATAAATCCATAACACTTTGTGCTGTCAGACAAGGATGATATAAGTCATAAGAAAGAGGATTCATTCCCTCCTGGGTTTAAATTCTAACCTATAATGTTAAAAATAAAAGTGGATGTCAGGCTTAAGACCCATTCACTCAGTCAGCAAGTTGGAAGTGTTTCTTAAATTCTGGCTGCATGAAGTCTTGTAGTTGGGCTATAAAGTAAATGGACTCAGTTTCTCCCTCCCAGTATTTCTACTCTCTTCAGGAATACAAGACTTACTCACATGAAAGAGCAAAGCTAAGCAATACCTAAGCAAGAGACGGGTAATGTAAATTATTGACATGAATGTTGAAAAAACATAAAAGTAAAAGAAAAATCCAAACAAGTTGCGGATCATCAGAAAAGATGCATTTGAACAACATTTCTTTCTCTGTAGAGAATACTTTTCAAGCTTCAGAAAAGTCCTGCATTAGCCGTCTTAGAGTGTCAGGTCCAGGTGGTTCTCAGGGAGGGAGGAGATTCAGCATTAGGGCACCCAATCCTTTAGGTCTTTCATTTCCTCATGTATTCCCCAATTCATCAAATATTTATTGAGTGCTTACCATGTGCCAGGCCCCTGTGTAAGTGCCCAAACACAGTGGTAAGTGAGAGTGACATGGTCCTTATGAACTAGCAGGGTCTAGAATCTACTACATGAGAGGGTCTCTTTTACATTCAAGGAAGGTTGATATTCAAGTGACTTGAATGACTAGACACAGAATGGATGATGATGGGGATGGAGGGAAAATGGTGCAGAAGCAGGATGAAGGGCAGGAGGAAACCTTACTGAGAAAAAATACCAGTCATCATTTACAGCATTCCAAGGTTGAAAAGTCTAAGATGAGGGTGGTGTAGTGGGAATCGTGTATGACAGTCATGGGCAAGAAGAAAGGAAGGAGCTCTTGTCCAAGAAAGGGAGGCACACAGGGTTCTGCATCAGGGTCAACCCTCTCCCCCACCCTCAAGCTGAGACTTGGCACTGCTGCCATGGAAAGCAGAGCCAAGAAGTGAAAAAACAATGAAATGGGCCTGCCATCAATGAGGAAGCATCGTGCAATGCCAGCACTTGATTTGGAAAGTATTCATAAGGCTTTCTTGGCTAGGATATTTAAGACAAAAATAGAAATATTCTCATCAATGATTTATAAGATTGCTTTAGAAAGATGGGGCAGAACCCAGTATAACAAAGAGCAAAAAAAACACACTCCCACTTGTCACTGTGCTGGAGAGCATGGGTCAGGGGAGACAGAGCCATAAGAGGGTGCTTTTTGTTCCTGTCACAGAAATTAGAGCTGGGAAAAGCTACCAATTTTGCCAGTCTGAGCCTCAGAACCACAGCCACTTTTTGGACTCTTCCTACTGCAATTTTATTCTTCCCTGGGGTTGAAACCTCCAGATAAGATATCTGAAAGTTGCATCTGTATTGTAGAGACTAGCAATAATACTAACAAATTAGCAGGCAATTAGATAGGAACATTAGAAAGCATCCTTTTCTGGATATAGCCCTTGAAGGAGAAGATGAGGACCAAGAAATGAAATAAGAACAGATTTAGAAAAAACAGAAAATGGGGAGAAAAAAAAACAGAAAATGGGGAGAGAAAAATATGCTTCTCACAATAAGGTAAGGTCATTTCACAGCTATGGGCTGAGTTTATTATAAGCCCATTCCTGGACTCATTTCATTTTCATTTATGCACACATTGACTGCATCATCTAGACTCTCCACTGGAAGCAGATGGGATAGGAATGGAAAAGGTATCTCACACCTGTACTGTTGCCAGCACCCCAGTTCCCAATACCACCTGCCTCCATCCAAACCTACATGAAGCTCCCCAGCCAATCTTCCTAAACCCAAAATTTGATCAAGTCATCATCATATTGGGGACAACCTTCAGCACTCTATTGCTCACAGGATCAAGATCCTACTCAGGCTGACATTTGAGGCTCTCCAGCCACCCAGACAGACAATGAGTATTTCTTGTACACACAGGGAGCCAAGCCTGAAGATACAGAACTGAACAAGAAAGCCATAGTTGTGCCCTCATGAGCCTTACAATCTACTGGGGTGGGAGGAGGTGAGCAAGTAATTAATTAAACAATTGCTATTAGGCAGATGACTATAAAAAGCACCACATACCTTAAGAGTGCACAATGCGTTATCCTTCTTAGTCTGGGCAGTCAGGCAAGTAAGGCCTCCCTGAAGCAGTGATGTTCAAGCAGAAAAGTGAAAACTGACCAGGGATTAGTGAGCAAAAGAAAGAGGAAGAGGGTTCCAGGAAGAAAAACAGGGTGAGAAATATTGTGGATGGCTGTCAAACTGGATAGAAGCAGAGGGGGTGAGGATGAGAGTGGTAGGAGCCGGGTTCGGGAACCCAGGACAAGGGGAGGAAAGAGGTCACAGGAGAAGGGTCCAGAAGGGGTGGCAGATGGGACAGGGTGAGTGGTGAGGATCCGGGAAGACCAAGTCAATGAGCTGGGCTCTATCTTGGAGGTAATGGGGAGACACAGAAGGCTTTTAAGGAGGAAACTGGCAAGACCAGATCTGTGTTTTAGAAAGGTCATTCTGTGCACAGACTGAACTGTATTTGGGTCAGAAAAGGCAGGGTCAATACAAAGAAACCAGTTGGCTGACTTTGGCAACAGTGTAAGGAGAATGAGAAAGGTGAAAATGTAGGAGAACCAGTGGGATTTGCTGACCAAGGGCATCTCCAGGATGAGGGAGAGGATATGGTCAAGGGTGATGCGTGTCCAGGCTGAGATGACTGGGTAAAAGACGGGGTCACTAGCCAAGGTAGGGACTTCAAGTGGGGGAGATTCTTTTTCTCATGAGAAGAGAGTCACCCCAAATCTAGCATTCTTCTCTTGGAGCCCTCTAGAGGCTGGGAATGAGGAGCTGAAGCTCAGTAAGAAAGATTAGACTAGACATGTTGCCTTGTATGGAGAACTGCTACCCTATGCAAGCAGGTGGTGGCCCTAAGAGATTGTGAAAACTGCAAAGAAGAAAAGTTCAAAGATGGGACAAAGGTAACCCAGCATTTAAGGACTGCACAGAGAAAGAGGACCCAGTCGAGGGGACTGACAGAAAGCAGTAAGTTAACAAAGAAAGAACAATGTGTGTCCTGAGAGAAAAGAAAGAGATTTCCAAGATAAAGTGATTAACAGCATTAAAATGAAGACTTTAAAAATAGCTACTGGATTTGGCCAATAGGAAGCTACTGAGGATTTTTGTAAAAATAATTCTGGTAAAGTGCGGGGGGCAAAGGCCAGCTTTGAGTGTTACAGAACAACGAGAAACAAAGAGGAAAAAGCAAGGGTAGCTATCGGTTTCAAGAATGGGTGTTTTGGGGAGAAACACATGAGAGCCGGAGTTTGTAAAGGTATTGGCTGTTGTGTGAAGGAGTGAGCTCTCCTTTGATGGCAGTGCTTAAGCAGACTGGAGAAACAGGAATGCTGGAAGATGGCTTCCTCCAATGACCATAGGAGTAACAGAGAGGCCTTCAAAGGGCCATTCCAAATCTGAGAATGGAAAACAAGATCTGTCCAAAATGTCATTTCCACAGAGCTGGTTTAGGATTGAGAGCCACACTTCAGCACCAGAATACCAGGATTAGAGGGGGTTAGAGCAGGCAGCATTTCCCTGGGCTTTTTGGATATGAAGCAAATAGCATTGCATCTTCCCTAAAGGGGTAGTTGAACTGGAGGCTATGTGGCTTGGGCTAGAGAAAAGGATTCAGGAAGGAGCAGTGTCAAGGAGGAAACCCCATTTCCTCCCCTAGGAGAAAGTCAGCTCCACTTGGAGACAGCCAGGGAAGGGGGATCCGGTTGCAAACAGAGTCATCTGTCCTTCCTCTTTGCTCTTCCCCAGGACTGAGGTAGTGCTCCCTTAGGTTCCTGACTAATAGGGAAGCCAGGGAACACACTGTGCCTCCATTTCCCAACTCAGGGAGGAGGGGGGAGTTGGGGCACAGCCAGCTGCTGGGGCAGCCTCCCTGGGAGCTAGCCTCTGCACGCCCTGTGCCATCCTCAGCTGCCAGCCAGGACCACAGAACAGAAGGAGAGGAGGAAAGAGAGACAGACTGATGGAGGAAAGGAGGCACATGGAGAGGGGGAGAAAAAGAGAGGAAACAGCCATCCATTACCATTACCAGACAGTGAGTGTGGATGTGCATGTGTGCACGTGAGAAAGACAGAGACAGATCTACATTCTCTATCTAACCCTGAACAAGTCACCTCAACTCTCTGGACATTGCCAAAGGCGTAAAATGAGAAAAGTAGATTAGAAAATACCTACGGTTCCTTTCAGGTTGAAAATCCTGTGTTTCTCAAATTCCGTATCTGTATATATATAGCACCCCCAGAGGCCAAAAGCATTAGCAGCACAAAGAAAATAAACCCAATGAAGAAGACGTGCTCTCACACGTGTGTCCCTGACAAACACGTGCACGCTGCACGCGCGTACACACACACACACAGGAAGGAGGGTGCTGTGTTGAAGGACGTGCCTATACGTGATGACAGTGGTTAGAACATCTGCATATAAAACTTGTCTGATCAGTTTACAATCACATCTCTTCTACACACTAGTAAATGCTTAATCTTGACCAACCTAAATATTTGACAAATGAATCCTTTTGGATTGTCAGGCTCTCTAGGTAGCTAAGAATTTACACTTCACATGATCAAAACTAGTTTAAAAAGCCACCCCAGAAGGAAATATTTAATTTGGGTTTCGGTTTGGGGGTTTGGAGTTTTGGGGTTTTTTGTATTACAAATGTCTTAAGCAAATTCAGCACTCGGTGGCACTGGTTGTTTTCTGCTCTTTTAGCCACGGTGCCAAGCATGGTGCTGGGCTGGCTCACAGAGTGAATGAGCTATAGGACCGTCCTCAGTGTCTATGCACCTGCAGGAAGGGACATAGTGAGGAACAGAGTCCAGAGGCTGCCTTGATCAGGGGAGGATGAGGGCAGAGCAAGCCTCCCGCGGCACCCCAGCCAGCCACTCCTCCCATCTCAGAGCTGAAACTTAAGTAGTGAAGGGGGAGGGAGGAGAAAACAGGCCCATTTCAAACAAAGCTGAAAGCTGTGAAGACTGGGCTCCACCTCCTGTTTGGGTGGCTCTGGACCACCTGTGGCCACTACCTAGAGGAGTAAAAGGAGAGTGGGTCTAGGCAGAAAGGTAAGTTTAAATAGATCATCCCCCTCCTCTCCCTGTCCATCCTAGCTGCCTGTGGTGCAGGAGAGTTCCAGAAGTGATCTACGTGGGATGCACAGGAAGAAAGCTGGAAGCCAGGGTGTGCCCCAGGCCCCCTCCCTGAAGGGGATGTAGGAAGGTATAGGGGGACCCAGAGGATACCTGCAAGCACAGTGGCCAACCGGGGCTTGGTGGGCTGGGCTCTGGGGCTCCCACGACCCAGACAGTGGCAACCACACCCCATAAGGCCCACCAAGGCCCCAGAGGACACAGTTTGAGGACAATCCAAGGCCCCCTCTCCCACACAGGATGTGTATGTTTCCCCTACCTCAAATGCCATCTCAGCTAGAGGGGAGAGGAGGAAAACCTCTAAAGATGGGAGATTTGCCCATACAAGACTAGTTTACACTGAAAAGAGGGTGTGTTACCTTTAACTAGCAGGTCTGAAGTCTTCCTCTACCCTTGGCATGGGTGTGACAGGGGCCAGGGGAGTAAATGGCAGTTAGAGAAAGTGAAGGCCACTGCATAGTTTGGCCCTTCACAGTGTAAAGCCCTGGAACCGGATGCTGCCGCAGGGGGCAGCTGGTGTGGTGGGTTCTGGCCCCTTTCCTCATCTGCACTGCCCCCAGCTGAGGATCCCTGCCCAGGCTCTTCCTGAGAGGCCCCACCCCAGGGCTAAAGGCCAGGGATCTGACCGACAGGGGCATTTCCAGTCCAAGAAACAGCGTAGAGCAGGCAGAGCTGCTAAAGCATCCCCGCCCGCTGGGGGAACAGCGAGGGTGTGGAGCAGGAGACACAGGCCCTCTGCCTCCCTCAGCGCCAAGTCAGGGAGGGCTCCCAAGCCTCCCCGGATGGCACAGAAGAAGGAAGGAGGCCCCAGACAGCCCCATGGCAGTTTATCTTCAGGCCAGCCTCAGACTTAACCTGTAAGACCTGAAGGGCCAGAGAAGGCCCCAGGCTGCCCCAACACTGATTTCCAACAAAGGTTCCTTGCTGAGAATCTGTTTGCAAGACAAAGGAAGAAAAATGCAAGCAGCAGTGAGGAACATTCAGGCAAAGGATGAGTGAGCCCAGAAGGGAAAGGGTGTGTCCTGTGAGCAGGGCTGGGGAAGGACTGGCCTGGGGCCCAGACAAGAGGGTGGACCCACCAGACTCTGGATCTTGGCTCCACTCCCTCTCTGCTGATAGCCCAGAGCCCAATGTGACAGCCAATGGAGGACCTTCCAGATACAGTGTCCTTCAGAGCCTCCCTCAGCCCACAGCCCCCTGGTTGTTCTGGCCTGTCAGTCCAGCAGACTTGGGGCTCCATTTATCACAGGTCCTGGCAGTCCCCAGGCCCCAGGGTCCATCCTAGCCACTGCACTCTGGACCATGTGCACACACACACTCACTGACGAAGACAACCAGCCTCAGTTAGGGTCTGGACACCCTCTTTTGTCCGTGATCATTTAATTATTAGATTCAGAGTGACATGAAAATACTCCCACCCTCAGATTTTGCCATCTCCCAATGATAGCACAGAACCTGCATGTGTTTTCACAGCCTAGAAAGCTACTTTTATCATCACCATCATCATCACCCTCACCACCATCAGGGCCAGGTGGTACCACAGAGATAATTTAAATGTTTACCAAACAGATGGGCGAGGTCCCTTGTCAGGAGCAGTGAGGACCAGGCTCTAGGAGAGATGTTCATGAGAATGCGAGTCGAAGCTAAGAAGGGGAGAACGTGGACAACTGCAAAGGCTCAGCTTTATCCAATTTGCACAGTGATAGTTTAGGAACTAAATGACAGAGGAGAGCTAAGCAGGGGAACTCATCCACTGCCCACACAGGACCAAGGGAATCTCGGGCATGCTCAAGGGCTGTATGGGTTCAGAGCCAGACAGGCCAGGGTTGCTGCAGTGCTGAAGCTGGCTTTCCAAGAAAGGTGGCACCCAACAGAGCCACCAAGGTGGGTAGGACTTGATAGGAAGACAGGAAACAGCATAGCATAAGCATTAAATATGTGAGCCATGGAAACAGCCCATTGGATTTTGAATTTTTACTGTCACTTCCTGGCTATGTGACTCTAAGAAAGAAACCTAACCTCTCTGATCTTTAGTAGCCTGGTATGTAAAAAGCCAATGCCTCCCTTATAAGGATGCAGAGAAGAACAACTTAGCTGGGAAAGGGACTGGCCTGTAGCAATCAGTAAAGTGGACACACAAGGTAAAGGGTAAATAAAGGCAGAGGCTGAAATGAGAGTAGCGTGTATATAGAGGCAGGGCATACAGGAACAGCCCAGAGGGCCAGGCCCCAGCAAGGCAGGCTCCCAGGCTGCATGCGGCTGTGGCTGGAGGGGGCTGCCTCTGAGGCCCCGTCTCTCCTAGGAAGTCGCAGCCTGGGAGGTGGTGGCCCTGCCAAAGCATTGTCAGTCTAGCCCTGTCAAGGGCTTTCTTCCCATTGGCCATGACTCTGACAGGGAAATCAGCAGGCCGGCGATGCGGGCCTGGGCAGCGCAACAGACAAGGCTCTGGGGACAGCTTAAGTGGACAATAATTGCAGGTTATTATATACCGGGCTGCAGCCAAAAGCCAGGCAGCTATTAAGTGTGATTGGGAGAAATAATCCGGAGGAAGAGGATGGATGGGAGAGCCAGGCCGCTTTCTCTGTTCCAGGCCTGTTCTGAGGCTGGGGGCTGTGCAGAGACAGGGACAGGGTGGGTGGGGAGAGGAGCTTATTCACAGCATAAGCACCTTGCACTCTGAGTAGCAAGTCCACCCTCATTCCTCCCCACAAGGTATGCAGAGCAAGGATATGGTCCCCATCTCACGAATCAGGGAATGAGGTCCAGAAAAGGGAAGCAGTGACCCAGGATACAGGGCAAGTCTTGGCTGAGTCCCTCCAGAACCCAGATGGAGCTCCTTTTGTTGTTTGATGACCAAATACAGAATCCACTCTCCCGAGGCAGGAAATGCCTCAGTGGGGCAGCCTTGATGTTGAGCAGGGACTGGAAGCAGAGATCAAGACCCAAAGTGGGCACAGATCCCATCACATTGCTGCCTGCCCAGCAGACAAGATGATGGGAGAAGACTAAAAATCGGAGGAGAGGCAGGGTTATGATAATAGGGTTACTTCTCAGAGCTTTATCTATTCATTAGATGCTTCTCTAAGGAGAATTTTCTGCCCATTTTATAGATGAGGATACGGAAACAAAGAACAATGGCATGGCTTGTCCATGGCAAGGCGGTGATGTTGTAGTTCTTGCTGGTCTAGGGACCTGCACACCCCACCCCAGATCTGCCTATTAAGAGAAGCCCTTAGCAGAGGTGACCTTTACCCTGCCCTTTGCCACCAGCCTGGGAGGATTTGTGGTTTTATCCTTGTTAGCCGGGGTTTCCCATTTCTTCAGGAGGAGAGGTGGCTCTTTTTTGGGAGTAAGGATGGCCTGGATTGACCCCCACGGGGTAAAGCTGCCCTTTAATGATGTGTGGATCACACATACCTAACTTCCTACTCTCACACCCTCAGATCTTTTAAGCCCACACCTCATTTTGGAAACAAGGATGAGGCACCCTAGTCCCAGACACACAAAGACCATGGGCGTCTTCAAGGAGATTCCCGAAGACCAAACCATCCCGTTCATTATTTAACCAAGGCAGCTTCTGTGGAGATAGCCCTACAGTGATGGGAACATCAGTGGAGGGGATATATATCATGGGTGGGTGGTGGACAACCCTGACTCCTCCAAACACAACACCTCAGCAGACATCCAGGAGTGTCATGTAAAAGGCTCAGAGCCATCGCAGGTTCTAACAGCCTGTCCCTCCCTCCTGGGATCAACTCTCCCACCCAGCAGTCTCAGAACCCCAGCCTAGATTCAGCCTGGCCCAATGACCCTGCTTTGGGTCACATGAGAGTAGAAACCTGGCGCAGGGAGGGATCAATTACACTGTGACTCAGCGAGAGGGAACAGGGCCAGGGAGTGAGTCACAGCAGCGTGCCCACCCTCCCTGGCGGGGAGGTGGGGGGATGAAGGCCTGTGTGGGAGCCTCCCTGTGTCAGGATGTGCAGGTGTGTGGGTGCAGGCTCCCCTGACAATGGAGGCAGGGGGTACTAGGTGTTTACCACAGGGTGAGCGCCTCTCTGAGCCTGAAGGCAGGTGTGCATCAGGAAGCTGCGGCATTGAAAGAAACTCGTGGGGGCTCCTACCTGACATGGGCTTCTCTCCCTCACACCCTCACACAACTTTGCCCCCAACTGGAGATGTCATCCACTTGCTGTAATGTGGAAGGGGCCAAACTAGTTTCCCATTATGGATGTCTTTCATTTCCCTAACACCACTTGGAGGGCCACTGAGGAGAAACCCCAAATATCGTCTTTCTTAGAACATCTCCATGTGCTATTATACATATTCCAAAGTTATTTTCTGCAATGGCTTATACCTGGAAATGAGTTTGTTCATTTAACAAATACACTCATAATCATAGCTAACATTTATTGGGCACCCACCATGTAGCAGGCTCTATGTACGTATTACCTCTTTTAGTCATCATGACAATCATATGCACTGTTATACCCATGTTTCTGATGAGGAAATTGAGGCTCTGAGAGCATGGCTTACATGGCTGGTAAGTTAAAGATCTGTCTGGTTTCAAAGTCCAAACTCTTTCTAAAAACAATGCATGCACCTATGCACATATGTATATAAAAAGTACAGTAACTTAAGTCTGATATATACATTTTTAAGCAATAAATATCCAACTGTATTTACAGACTGTATTTCTTTAAACTGTACTCTTTGAACAAAATTTATATTAATGTATCTGTTTAATAAGACACCAAAATGTATATATACAATTCCATGTACACTTTGGAAGACTTTAAACTTACTAAAAGAAGAATGCCATCTAGAAATTATTGTGGGGGATATGGCAACTTTCTTGAAAACCTCTGACATCTCTTAAACATTCCTAATGGCAGCAAATTCTCATCCTTTGAGAGCAGAAATGATTTATGGAAAATGGGCCCAATATGGTGACCCTCCCCCTCAGCATATGTGTGTTGGGGGTCAGAGGAGTGATTTCTCCCTTTGTATCCTTCCGAAATACCCAGGCATCTTCTTTGTCCTGGTCTTGTACTGTTGATTACCCTCTTCTGTGTTACTATCAGCCAGTCAGCATATGGTCATTGAGTCCCCACCCTGAGCCTTTCCTAAGAGCTGGCCCTTCTGCAAACCCCCAACCCACGGCCACCTGCCACCCTTGGAACACAAGCCTATATCCTTCCATAGCTGCAGCCCCCTACTTGACTGTGCCTGTGCCCCCTCCATCCTCAGCCTCTCCCTCCCTCTCCCCAGGCCATGAAGTCAAGCACCCAGCTCCCGAGTGAGTGACCAGGAGGGTCCACCCAGCTGGGGGAGTCCGAGGTCTCCAGACAACCACCCTTTAAAGATGTAGCATGGTGCAAAGGTCCTATAGTCTCACCTTCCTGAGACTGTGTCCAATTGGTGTCCCCCTGGCCCCACCCAGCCACCTCACTCCTTCATGTCACATGCACAGCCTGGAGGCATTGCATTATCTGAAGGATTGTGTAGGAGCCTGGAGGCAGTGGGGAATGTTAGGATTAGAGAGAGCCCAGGTAGAAACTGTTGATCTAATGGCATTATCAGAGAAATCGTGGCCCTGCTGAAGTGACATTTACCCATAGCATTGTGTGTGTAATAAATACAACTTCCTATTCCAGTTTCCAAAGTGAGCCCAGTGCCTGAAAACCTCAGGGCTCATGTACAATAAATTAACATAATTAAAAACTAATTAGTAAAACATCACAATTAAAAGGACTTGCTGAGGCAACACCTCTCAGGTAAGAAGAAGGGACCACCAGAGTGCTGGCAGCTACTACGCAGAGCAGGTCCTAAGAAGAGGCTGTGATGCAGGACTTACTATCCCAGAAGGCCTCCTTCCCCAAGGGGCACCTTGAGAACAGTTGAGCAGCTTGTAAGGACACCCACAGCATGTCCATCTCAAGTCTGGACACCAAGTCCAGCCCCAGCCAGAGGTGGATGCCCCTCCTCCTTTGTAGGAGGTGGGAGGGGGCTTCAGCAGGACCCCAGCCCCCAGTGGCCTGTTAGTGACACTGATAATATTGGCTGGCCAGACATTGATCTAAGCACTTTACCTGCATTTACTCATTTAATCTTCACAACACCTCTATGAGGTAGGTTTTATTTCTCTTTTTATTTTACAAATGAGGAAACTGAGCCACAAACAAATTAAACAACCTGCCCAAGGTCACAGAGCTAAAAAGTGGAAGAGGCAGGACTTGAAGCCAAGGAGTCTGGCTCCAGAGCACAGGCTCTGCCAGCTTCACCTAAATGCAGCTAAAACCACATGCTTGTGCTGGATGGAGCACTGCCCTTTAAAAAAAAAAAAAGTCAATTCTTTGGGGAAGATAAGGAGTAAACTCCTAACCCCTCAGTGCAATTAAGTTCATCAAATTTATCTACATTCTTTTATAGCCCATTTAGACCCTCAATCCCCACTCTTGTCACCTTAATAATTTTTACATGAAAACTGATTAGTCAGCCTCACAGACGTGCCACTGTCTCATCTTTTTTGGATGTGATATGAGGAAGGAAAGGAAGGTGGAAGAAAGGGACCCCAGTCTCCACTTGATAGAAGAGAAAGCTGACGCCCAGGAGAGTGATGAGTCAGGTCCCCACTGCTGAGTTCTGGCTCTCCTGGCCACATCACACAGGATGCCCCTGTCTGGGACTCTGGGGTCCCTTCATTCCGCCTCTCACACTGCCTCTACATTTCCTACCTGTCCTCAGCACAAGTGAGGCGAACCCCCAGGGTTAGCATGAAAGCCTGGAACAGGAGCTGACCACGGACTCCCAAAACCATTCCCTGCCAGAGCCAGGGCTCCCCTCACAAGACCGAGGCAGTATGGCCCTGAGGCTCAGCCAGCAAGAAAAAACAGCTCTGAGACCCCTCTTCTGCCAGCCCTGGCACCTGTCTGAGACCTGGAGACAGCTCAGTCCTTCTAGGGAGCCCCTGGGTTTCCCAAACACACAGCGTTCTCCCTCCAGTGGGTTTCCTTCATGCCCAGACCTGCTGTGGGCTCACAACAGGACAGGAGGTCCTTCAATTGTCTACTTGAGTAGCAGGAGGCTGCCAATATTAGCTAAAAGGCAGTAGGGATTGTTTTTCTCTTCCTTTCTTGCCCCAATTATTGTTCTTTATATCACTGAACTTTCCTGAAGTATTCCAGGTCAGAGACACACTGGGTTTGTGGAGAAGACCATACTGCTGAGGCTGCCTGCAAAGCCCCATCTTGCCTACCAAACTGATAACCACATGGGAGCCTCCTCCTTCTGTGTGTCATGCAAGAACTCAGAGCCCACTCCTCACTCCAGGCCTTGCAACTCCAAACACCACTTCAACCTGAAGGCCACCTCTCTCCCCTCTTCCTGAGCTGAAACACCCCTTCCTACAGGGCCAGCAGGGCCTGCTCCTCCAGAAGGCCTTCCCTGAGTGCCACTGCCCACACAAGCTCCACCTTCTCTGGGGGTCCGTAGCCCACACAGCCTGCTCCTTTCACTTTGCCCTTCAGTTGGATCATACCCTTTGTGGCCATTTGGCTCTTTGAGTCCGTTTCTTTGCCCAAACAGCACATGAGCCCTATACAGAGTACAGGGGAGTCTCCGTTCCTCCAGCCTGCCCTCACTGCCCTCTGCAGGTCTGGGCAGAGCAGTCGCTCCATAGAGATGTTTAATTTGAGGTCTGGTCTGTTAGGGAGCCCAGTGTATATCTCAGCTCTGTTTTCAGCATGGTCTCAACATAACCTTGGAGTAATCCCTGCTTTTCTCCCTTCCAGTTTTAAATCCCCAGCATCACCCAGCGTACCACCAATCTGGCCCCCTCTGCATCCTGCCTTCTTCACTGCCTCTTTCCTTAAGGCTACTACCCCCATCACAGATCATCACAGGCAACTTGGATTGTTTTCTATTTTCTCCTATGTGGAACTCCTCAGGCCTGGAAGACATTTAACCATCTGTTGCCATTTGCTGTTCTGGGGCTTTTCACTGGGTATGACTTTGGTCTAACTAGACGGTGAGATCTTTGCAGCCTTGTCCTTTCTTGGCTGCTTCCAGAGGGAGGTCAGAAAGACTGGATGAATGCAAGAATGACTGAGTGGTGATGCTTCCAAGTAAAGCAGTGCAGACCCAGGATGCTGAACTGCTGCGGGTCTTCTAAATTACCTGTTCAAAAGTGTCCGCCTGGGGCCCTGCAGCTCCCCTTCCTTAGAGCCCATATGAATATAGTGTTGACACCACTCCCCAAGTCAGATTAGCCACCGGTATCTACAAACTATATCTTAAGCACCTACTGTGCTACCAGAAGGGGTTGCAGAGGAGGAGGAGAGACCAGATTACTGGGTCCTTGCCCTCCATGAGTTCACAATTGAGGGGGAAAGAGAAGATTTACAGGCAGGAGAGCCAAAGCAGGCCTGAGGTTGTGCGGCCATGGCCAGGGCTGCTAGTTCAGTGGGTGTCAGAGAGAAGAGGGTGACCAGTGACAAGTGGCTCAGCTGGAGGG
This sequence comes from Homo sapiens, assembly GCF_000001405.40. Taxonomy (NCBI): domain Eukaryota; kingdom Metazoa; phylum Chordata; class Mammalia; order Primates; family Hominidae; genus Homo; species Homo sapiens. The sequence continues at coordinate 37,569,693 of NC_000018.10, read as the reverse complement.
AAGCTGAGCCCAGTGAGGGCTCCCTCCCCTCCTTGAGGAACGAGAGAAGCAAAGGGAAGCGAAGGAACAGGAGGTATTGGCAAGGCCTGAGTAGCTAGCCCACCTGAACCTAATCCCCCACAGGACTTTCTAACACCCCCAAAGATGAATCAGCAACAACATATAAACACCAAGCCCAGAGAGAAAATGAGAAGCAATTGTTCCCAGCCCCACTTCCATTTGCTAGCCTTCTCCCTCTCTCTCAGTGGGTGAAATAATTGTGGCCATGAAGTGGCACTTGGAGGGAAAGTTAAATCTGCTTAAATGTCACAGTGAGTAATACTTTGCCCATCTTTCTCTAATTACATTTCTCTTTGATGATCTAAGGTTAAAAAAAATTTTAACTCAAGTCTTCCTAGAATATCAAGGGTGAGGATACCAAAGAGCCAACCTAATCATGTTTCATACTATTTTCTCAAGGGTCCTGCTCTTTTATTGCATTAGTCTGAGACACCTGTCTGTGTTATTTTATCCCCAACACTCTGCTATGGAGGAGAGGTAGGAGCCTAAGAGATCCAGATCTGCACCTTTAAGAGACTGATGCCTAAACAGAAGCTGCTTCTGCTGCTGTTTACACTGGGTAGCTCAGTTAGACAGGACTTAGTGTCCTGGGGCAGGAGCTGGGAGGGAGGACATTTCGCCATATATCTGTCAGAAAGATGAGAGGTAAGGGTTGTGCCACCTGCTAAGGTGAGATAACCCAAATCCAAAATAAGCCATCATCAGGTGGGAGAAGGGGGAGGGTGGGGATCTCTAAGGAAGGAGCAGCTCTCCACAGCTTTGAGTCCACGGATGAAGAGACACCAGGAGGGGCCGTGGTGCACAGGGCAGGGGAGCAGTCCTGGAGGGAACTGGCACTGCACAGAATGGAGGAGTCTTCATGGCATCTGAAATAGCCAGTGCCCCCTTTCATTAACAAGCCCACTCCCTGGCTCACTCCTGCCCAACGATTGCTATTATTTATGTATTGACTATTATTAATAATAACATGAGTAATTAACCCCCTGTGAATAATTTACTTGGACCTAGGGGTGCCTTGGGTGGTGGCAGGAAGAGGAGGGTGAACTTCAGTGACTCTCCCCTGAGCAGTTCCCTTCTTTTCCAGCTGCCCTTAGCTGGCCCCTTTCCCTTTCCGATGTCCGGGCTTTGCTTTCAGGGGTTGAGAGGCAAGGAGAGAAAAACAGACCTCGAGCAGGAATTTACTCTCCTAAACTCCCCTGTGATAGCAGAAAATACATGCCACTCAGCTGTAGGATCCTGGGTGCCATGCACCAGCACCACAGGATGATGTTGGAAGAGATATCTTGGACAGAGTTAATAGCCACTGCTGATGTGTCCTAGGGGACCAGAAGGAGGAGGTCTCAACCTGGTATGGACACACACATATATGCAGTGTGGATACACGCAGGGTCCGTGCAGAGACCCACGCTGCATCCACACAAGCAGGCACACACGGCCAAACCACACACACAAACTCTCCAAGTGCTTAGCAGGGACTTGCCCCCCTTATCAGGGCACTTCAAAGGCACACCAAATACACAACCACCACATGGCAAAGGCTCTATATGTGAGTTTCTGTTCGAGTCATCTACTTGGTCGATTCTTAGACCAGCATACAACACCGGATAACGTAAACCCGGTAAACCAAGTGACGAATTAACCATACTTACACCCGATTCCGGCAAGCAAAGGCAGGAGAAGCTAAAATGAAAGGATGAAGTTCCACAGTTCTAAAAATCATACTTGCTCTTTGGTTTGGGCCCGGGATCCTCAGAGAGAGGCGTCCTGAGCGGACTCGGGGCCTGGGGCTGCGAACCTCGGGCCTCCGGGCCTCCTCCGGCGCTGGAGAGCTCCGTATTGTGCTTGTACCAAATGGGGTTGGCCTGGGTTTGCAGGCAGCTGGGGTCTCATTTCTTTAATTAAAATTGCAGACATATCCTCTAGTAACGTAATGTAATCCGAGGGCAAGAAAAGAGAAACCCTGAAACCCGAAAGTGGCTAGCCGAGGGCCGGCGGGGGTTAGGCCAGCCGCTCAGCCCCGCCGCCCCAGCTCCCCAGCCCCGCAGCCCGCGGGGGAGCGGGCGCGTTATTTCAATTTGCCAGGCTTCTGAAGCGAAGAGGCTGCCCTGAAAAAGCAAACATGAGAGAGGACGGGGTGCAGGTAAATATCATTAACGTGAAAATCTGCTACCCCAGCCAAGTTCACCACCAGTATTCACCCCTACAGGCGGGGCCGCTCGGACCCTGCTCCCGGCTCCGCGCCTGCCACTCCCTTTCCCGCGCAGCCGAGATGCCAGCCCCAGTGGGCCTGGCGGGGAGTCCGGCGGGGTCCGGACCGGGCGGCTCGACCCCCGGTCCCCACGGCAGGAACGACTCAGCCTCGCACCTCGGGAGCTGTAGGTGCCGAAAACGAAACCCGCGGGGGCAGCGCACGCCGCGCGAGTCTCGGTCCGGCGGCAACCCAGATAGCGATTCAGGGGCTTTATTCTTTTGATGGTGATTAAAAAAATATATTCTATTTGAACCCGTAAAGCAGACGAGGGCAAATCAAGCCATCCCCCGCGCTGGCTCACCGGCCACCGCGCCCAGCGCCTTCCTCCCCCTCCGGCGGGCGAGCGGGCAGGGGCGCCCGACTCCTACCTTCCTCCCGCCAGCCACCGGGGGACCAGCCGCGCTCTCCGGGGCGGGGGAGGCCGCCCGGGACGGGGACCCCCACCTTCCGCCTTCGGAAGCGGGTTGGGGCGGGGGTCGGACCCCGAGTCTCTACTCCCCGTCCCTCTGCCCCCCGGCGCGGCCCGACAGCTCCCAGCCCCATCCTGGCAGGTGGCTTGGGTGGCGGTAGATGCCGGGCGGGAGGAAGATGTGGGGCTGCTCTGGCAGGTTGGGGGTGCGAGGAGGAAAAAAAAACAGAGAAAGACACACACAGAGAGACAGGGAGAGAGCGCGCGCGAGAGAGCTCTTGTCTATAGATTTATCCACATAATATATATTTATGTAGCTTTTTTTCTCTCGACACTGATGAATGCGCGCTCGGATCCCCGGGCGGACTCCCTCCAAGCCGGCTCGCTTTTCTAGTCTAAATAAATAAATAAAGCCAGATGGAAGAAAAAAGCGCCCATTCCACCTCCGCCGCCGCCCCGCCCGCCATCCCTGCCTTTGCTTCGCCCGCCTGGCGCCCTAATAGAGCATAGCTTGGTGGATAAAGCCCCCCTACATACCCACACGAAAATAAAAATCACTATTTTTAAAATACAAAAAGTTGCACCTGCTGCTATTACAAAAAGAACCCCCAAAAGGCAAAGAGAGGAGGCCGGCTGCCCGGCTCCTCACGGACACCCGCTCCCCGCGGCCGCCGGGCCCGGAATCTCAGCGCCTCCCGAAGAGCCATGCGCCTGGCGCTATTTATAGCCGGGGGCCGTCTCGGACTGTACCATCGCCACGGCGCGGGGCCGCCGACGGGGGAGGCGCGGTGGCCGCCGCCCCACGCCGCCCTGCCCCCGGCCGCCGCCCGCCGTGGCGCGGGCCCCCACAGCGCGCCCATTCCCGGCCCCCCGCGCCCTCCTCCGCGCGCGCACACTCGCCACCCCCACCCCTGGTCTGGCTGGGAACTTGAACCGGTCCAGCCTGTTTAAACGGAAAGGACAGAGATCCTGTCTGTTCAATGTAAAAAAAAAAAAAAAAAAAAAAAAAAGAAAAAAAGAAAAAAAAAATCAGATCAGACCGAGAGAGAGAGGAGAGAGGGAGAGAGAGAGGGAGAGAGAGAGGGAGAGAGAGAGGAGAGGGAGGGAGGGAGAGAGAGAGGGGGGAGAGCAGAGAGAGAGCGCGAGCGCGAGCGAGCGAGAGAAGAGGAGAAAGAGAGAGAGCAGAGAGCGAGCGGAGAGCGAGGTGTAGAGAAACCGAGGGGGAGAGAACCCGAGTGTGTGTATGCGTGTGCGTGTGTGAGCGCGAGCGAGCGAGAGAGAGGAGCGAGAGAGTGTGAGCGAGAAAGAATAAAAGGAAAGAAGATTTTCTCTATGTATATAAAGATGGCCACGTTAGCAAACGGACAGGCTGACAACGCAAGCCTCAGTACCAACGGGCTCGGCAGCAGCCCGGGCAGTGCCGGGCACATGAACGGATTAAGCCACAGCCCGGGGAACCCGTCGACCATTCCCATGAAGGACCACGATGCCATCAAGCTGTTCATTGGGCAGATCCCCCGCAACCTGGATGAGAAGGACCTCAAGCCCCTCTTCGAGGAGTTTGGCAAAATCTACGAGCTTACGGTTCTGAAGGACAGGTTCACAGGCATGCACAAAGGTGAGTACACCTTTCCCTCCCAACTTTGCCGGGGAGCAGGAGCGGGCTGGCGGGCCGACCGGCCGGCCGGCGACTGACGAGCGGCGGACTAAGCGAGAGGAAGCCTCGGGCGGGCGCGGTGGAGGGAGGCGCTCGGGCAGCGGAGACCAGAGCTGGGGTGCGTGGGGAGCTGTTCGCTGGGGCAAGACTGGGTTTTGGGCGAGGTGCTGATAGGAACGATGCCATGGAGAGAGCAGCGGGCGCCGATGAAGAGAAAGAGAGAGGGGATCGAGGAGACGGGGCTTGGATTTTTGGGTACAGCGACCTGAAAGATGGGGATGGGGAAGGCTGCACCGGTCGAGCCCAGGACGCTGAGCGGACGGACTCGCGGGCTCCTGGCCGGCCGAGGACCGAGGGTGCTGTCCATCGCCGTGGTGCTGAAAATACTAAAGGAGGTGGTCTCCTCATCCTTTGCTCCGGGCTAGAGTAGCAGGAGCGCAGCCGTCTAAAAGGGAGAGAGGTGACAAATTCAAAGAGAAATTTTTATTTAAATGTAACAGTAAACTCTCCCTGTCGAGCTGTGTGCCTCAATAATCTGATTGTGGTGTGAATGGTGGTGTGTGTTGGGGGTGGGGGGGTTGGATGTTTGAAGGAACCAGTGATAAAACCTAAGGCAAGAATTAGCAAGGAACCAGCCATCCCCTGGGTGGAGTGGGGGGTCTGGCAAGCCTGGATAGTCCCCTTCCCAGGAAAGCGGGGCTTTGGGAAAAAAATATGTGTGTGCGAGATTTGCATTTTGAAAGGTGTACCCTAATTTATCCCAAACTCACCATGCAGAGAGCTTTATAGTACATTATTTCTCCCTTGAAGCGATCATTGCCAGTGAGTGCTTGGGGGAGGGGGAGACAGAATAATCAAAGAATTAAAACACAGCAACTTTTTAGGAAAGTGGTCATGGGAATTGTCCGCAGCCTGCCTGTTTTCTCCTTGTTTTATTATCTTTAAAGCAGAGCCCCAAACGTGTTCAGTTGTAGAATGTGTGTGGGTGGCTGGTGGGTGACGAAATTAGCCCAGTGCTCCGCTTCCTAACAGTAATATATAGGATGTGCAGCGGGAATGAATCGGTGCTGGATCTATGTGGGCAAGTTAAATGCTTTCTGAGAGAGATTGATCGCCAGGCAGGGAAGGAGCACGGGGCTAAGGAAGTTGTAGGGGATGTGTATGGATGTTCCGTTTTTAATAAACAGTAGTGTGGAGAGCCGCCGAAGATGCTGTTACAGCTGGTGGTTTTAAAGATGAAAACACACGCACACCCACCCCCACATAGAGAGCAGCCTCATCCTTGGCCACAAATGGGCTATGGACACAGCTGATCCTCCAGCACATTAGGTGCAGAGCGCAGAGCTGTCTGGCTCTCTAAGCAGCAGCGATTTTCACTATCACAACCACCCTCTTTCTCCAGCCCTCCCTTCGTTCGAATACTAAACAGAGCTCCAAACTCTTCATAGTTGGAGTCCCAGAGAGCAGTTTTTATTGGCTTTAGTATCTTCCAGCTTGCCTGCTGAGGAGTAAATCTTAAAGTTAATGGCATGTTGAGTAACACAAAAACACAGCAGAATGGAAATATACTGGGTTTGTTGGGGTGGGGTGAGGGTGGGGGCTGTAATGGAGAGAGAAGGCAACCTTTATCCAATATGGAGAAAATGTCTGTCTGTTCAAAAGAGAGATTGGAAAGGTGGAACGGGGAGGCAGCCTTCAAAATAATATTCGAAGAAAAAAAGAAAACACTTTCTTTTTCCCCCCCTCCCTCTCAAGTCAACCATATCTTTGTAGTTTTTCCCCTTCCAATCAAGCTTCCTAGAAGCTAATCAAGGTTTGTATCAAACCTTTGTTATTCTGAATGTCCTCATTGTAAAAAATAGTAATAATAAAAATTTTGAAAGCATAGGTAGGGAAGTCTTCTGCTCATCTTAATGATCAGTTTTTATGGTGATTTAAGATTTTAAAGTTAAAAAAATCAGAACTCACTAGAGGCAAAAGACAGTTATGAGGAGCTGGGCTTCATATGGCATCTGGATTAAAGCACTTTATTTGCTTCTTCATTTCAAATGAAGATAAACTTTAACAATATTCCTTGGTTTCTTTTCTACAATCCCTGATATCATCACTTTGTTGCTGATGTAATTTGGACTCTCTCATATAATAGCAAAGAAGTAGAATTTTCATCATTTGCATTAGGGAGGTAGAGAAGGTTATGATTATATATATAATATATACGTAATACATATATTACATATATTTTATATATAGATATAGATATCGATATATAAAATCTGGCCAGAATTCCTAGGACAAACAAAACTTCATTTTCTAAATAATTTCTCCCCTAAACTGTCTCAGTCAGTGGCAAGCAGGCCCACTAGCTCCGGCATACTGGGTTCCTCGTTGTCGCAGCTCACCCTTCAGAGCCTGAGCATATATTTTTCCCAGTGAAACTTCCTACCTCTCCATCCTTCTGATTTTTATAATCGAGGTTGGACCACAATGTCCCTAACAGTGCTTGCAAGCTCTCAGAGAGCTGAATAAATGAGACCGTTTCCGAGGTCTGGTTTATTCAGTCCTAGAAGAGTTTAAACTCCTTCTTCGGTGATGGAGCCTGATTTATTAGCTAATCCTGATAAAATAAGCCTCCGGCCACCTTAAAAAATTACTCGCTTGCCATTGGTGATTAATTACTGTTAAGTCAGAAAGCATGATGAGGCTTGAGGAATGAGTGTTGCATTTGGTTTCTAGATTTCCCCATCTCTAAATTGACAACATAAGGTTAGGGATAGAATCATGCCTTTGTTAAGCCTGGTTTCAGGGCATATTTGTGCCTCTTGCTCTCCCCTTCCTTAATTTCTAACTTCTAATGAATCATACAGGATCAAATTGAGAGACACAGGACACTGGCCTCCAGTTTGGATGTCATGTTTATGTTAGTGGCAAAAAAAAAAAAAGGAAAAGGAAAAGAAGTAAAAACTAAATTAAACACAGGAGGTTTCAGGTGGGTCTCCATTTGTTGGCCACCTGCCATTTCAGATATCTAAAGAAGGAAGGAGTTCTAAGGGTTAATGGAATACCTGCCATGCGTAGAGTGCACCTTAAAAGGCAATTACTCCAGTCAAATTGGGAGTCTGTGGAGGAGGGAGTGGGTGGGTGTTGTGGAGCAAACCCAGCCATATCAGAGAAAGGCTGTTGGGCTGGGGAGGCAGCAAAGAGCAGTTGTGGACTGGGGTGATTACTGTAAAGGTAAATTTACCCCCTGGAGGCCAGAAAGCAATTGGGGAGAGGGGTATCTGGGTGCTAGGCAGAGAGAGAAAGGAAGAAAAAAGCCCAGAATTAAAATTCAAAGAAACAACACCCAAGGAAGAAAACCGAGTTTAGTGCAAACTCTCCTGACCAACTCAGAGTCTTCTTTTCTCCCCTATTAGAGCACTTTGGGAAAGATTGTTTTTCCAGGCTCCAAAGAGAAAGACATTGTACTATTGATTAAAGAGAAAAGAGATGAATTCCTCGGGTAGCAGCAGAAATGAGCTGAGGGCCAATTTTACCCCTTTTTGTAGAATTTTTCTACCCTGGAGAAGGGAACAGGTCACCCAGTAGTCCAATTCTTCCTTTCTCTCATTTTTAATTTGTTTCTCTTTTCTTCTTTTCATTTCCTGTAGAACAAAAAGAGGCAGTGTCTGAAGACACATATATGTACACATACCCATGCTTGTTAACACTCACATAAACAGTGGATCACACATGAAGAAATCAGCAATCCATTCATAACTTTGGTCCTGTCTAGCTGGATGGGAGGCAGCAAAGACTGAGTTACTGGGAGATATAAAGACTAGTGCTCTCTGGATAGCCATATTATAATGCATTATCTTTGAAGTCATTTAAGTCCAATTTAAGTGGTATTTAGTATAATATTTATGAATTAACGTAATCTAAACATAAGGCTGTCCCCAAAGGTTTAAACAGCCTTTACTACTGATGTGTGCTTGTTCCCAGAGCCTACGATGCATTTTAATCTAAACGGCCAAGTCCACATCATAGTCCCTCTTGTTATCCAGTCAGAACAGATCTGTGCCTGGGTAACCACTCTGCTTTGAGATTTTCTCAGCTACATGGAGGAAAATCTACTTTACCGGCAGCCTGGGGGACTCTCAGCCCAGGAGCCACAGCTGCAGGGATTTCAGCCCCTCATACTTCCACACTACATCCAGAAGTGTGGGGACAGAGCAATAGAATCTTCTGTGGATTTAGCTCCAGAGAGTGTATCATTTTAAAATATACTCACCACCACATGCACAATCTTCTATTTCAACTATACCTGAATAGGAAATGCCTAAAGCCCCTTGATTTGGGGTTTAGCTGTGTGAAAGAGGAAGGACGGGGATATGAATATGTTTTGCTGATTTGTGACCATCTTCATAAAATTATGTCTTGTATTTGTGTTTAAGATATAATAATTCTCAGAACACTGAATTTCCACCGCTTGACTTTACCCAAGATGGTTCGTTGTTTTGTGGGGTTTTGGGTGTTTTTTTCCTGCTGTAGACAGGTGATTTAAACTGTGAGGCTCTATGTGATTTCCATTTTCAAATGAGTCTAAGAGACAGTGCAGCTGAAGTATTAGCATGGGCATGAGCTCAATTAAGATGAACTTTTTTTTAATTACTTTGAAAAATAAAAATTCAGTTCTGTCCAGGGGGAAAGACTGGCAGAATGGCTAGGTACACACCTATAGCTTTTAAAAGAAAGATTTGCCTTGTCAGAGACAGGGAAGACTGAATAGCCATAATCAGAAAACAAGAAAAGCATTTTTTAAAAAAACAGGTTTCACCAAAGAAAATGATCAATAGCAATCATTACAAACCTAAAGCATATCAAAGCAACAATCACCATTAAAACAAACTCCAAATTCCAGATGTTGATAAGTGTCCTACTTAAGAGCAAAGAAAAAATATTGGGAAATGATTTGCTTATTTAAGAGACTGATGGTTATTTGCTGCTTATGCATAATTTCATTTGTCTTTTAAACAGACTTTCTTGGAATCAACAAACACAGAGATAAATTAACATGCACATATGCACGTATATGTTTTCATGTGCAAGCATGACTAAGCACATCCCACACATATGGAAACCAGGGCTGGCCTAGATTTCAGTGCAATTCAACAGGGAGATGTTAACAACGTCCCTCCCATCCCCAAGCACACACAGTTTTAATGGGAATTCTAGATTGGGTTGAAATAACCCCCTTGGTATACTTTCACTCCCTTCATCACCTGCTCCAATTGGCTGGATGTTTGTGGCCTCTCAAACACAACAAAATGAAATCTTTTCTTGAATGAAATCATAGCCATAAAACAACGCAAAGGAAAAAAATGACAAAACTGCCTGCCATCACTATGCCCCCTACACACTCATGTAGTGAAGTTCTGAGTTCTATCAGGGAGCTCGTGTCCCAGGGCATTCCCACTGCCCAGTGATCTTGCCACACTCCAGCAACTTGATCATGGCCATTATCATCACTAATAGTAGCATCTTCCTCCTCATTATTACAGCATCTATATCAGGAGGGAAGAGGGGCTTCTGAGTGAGGCCTTGGAATATATCCAAGACACCACCTTTTTGCTTGAGAAAAGAGCTTGTCTCAACTTTGCCTCTGTCCAGGGCTCACACCTTCCATGTCATCAGGAGAGAGTCAGTTTCCAAATTGACCCAGAAGGGATCTCACCTAAAGAGAATCTGGAATAAGTAGGCTCTAGAGGGCAGAAATGTAACAGAGAATAAGGCTCAAGGTGGCAGGTAGAGAAAAAAAAAAGTGAAAGTTGTAGGGTCAAAATGCCAGCTAGAAGCTGGGAGTGCCCGTTTACAGTGGCTGAAACCACAGCAGTTCTTGAACTTGGAAGGGAAATCCCATGTGACATGCAGAGAGAAGAGCTAAAGGGTGTGAAAACCTATGTGTCTGTGGGTAGGAGGAGGGAAGATGCTGCAGCCTGTGTGGGTGTTGGAGTGAGCATGTGTGTGTGCATACACACACACAGGGAAGAGATGACAGATGCAAGTGGCATGGAGATGATGTTAGGGACAGTTTAATCTTGCAAGGCTATATGCAGGATCAGGGAGAAGGGTGAAGGAGAAAAGGAGAAAATCTGGAAAGAATGATGCTGTCCTCATCATTACATACATGATCCACCTCAGAACTCCTGGCTTGGATTTGTCAGTGATCCAAGTCCTGGTGTGAAGGTGTGCTTTTTGTTTTATCTGCCTGATATCCCCATCCAGAAGTCCTGGTTTGGAGGAGGGTTCCATCCTCATTCCCCACCCATCACCCTTTTAAGGCTGGCCTGCTTCTGCTCACCCACTGACTCATTTTAGCAATGACCTTCCATCTGGAATCTGAGTGGCCGAGTGGCCAGCCGCAGCTAATTCCCTTCACCCACTGCATTTCCCACCTTACTCACTGCCTCTTGGTATTCCAGGCGACTTTCCTTTTATAGTGTACACACACACACACACACACACACACACGACCTGACAGCTCAGTCAAGTCAGGCCCTCCAAGCAGAATACTGCATTTTACCTAAATCCAAGCAGGGCGTGGCAGGGAGCCGGTTGCCCTCCTTTTGGGCTCTCTATAACAAGAGCAGAAAATCCACTCCTTTCACCTCTTCTTTTCCTGCAGGCCTTTAGATACGCAGCCTCTCCAAGAATTGCAGAAAGCATCCAGTCCTACCCAAACAGCCTAGGGGAGTAGAACAGAGCCCCCCCCACCCGCCCCCCACAATTTCACTGAAGCCCTTTCATCATCCTTCCTCTCCTTTTCTGTCTTCTCTGACATTTAAGATATCCACCTAAACCCCAAAGTGGGGCCTGAAGAAGGAGATAAGTGTTCCATTCGGCAACATAAGAGAAGTTAAAGGTACCAGGACAGGGAAAAAAAAAAAAAAAAAAAACTGTTACAGGGGTAGTAAAAGCTGCAGAGGAATTTCCAGTGTTGATGTATTTGCCCTAAGAGCTTCCTCCATCTCCACCCATCAAGTTCCGCATAGCCCTAGGTGGGTATAAAGCCCAAGCCACAGCCCTACCCACAGGAACAAAGAAGGAAGCCAGGTGGGAAGCCCAAGGTGATTGCCTTGATTTTTGAGTCCTCAAAAGTAGAAGGGGAATTAGTGGGGCATGGTGGTGCAAGCCTGTAGTCCCAGCTACTCAGGAGGCTGAGGCAGGAGTATCGCTTGAGCCTGGGTGGTGGAGGTTGCAATGAGTGGAGATTGCACCACTGCACTCCAGCCTGAGCAACAGAGTGAGACCCAGTCTCAAAAAAAAAAAAAAAAAAAAAAGTAAAAGGGATGTTTTCAGGACCATCCATTTACAGGGTTTCTCCCCTTCTACTTGTTCCACATTTGGTTTCTCTTATCCTTCCTTGTATCTCTTCTCTAGCATGAGCTGATCGAGGATTTCAAACAGGGTGATTCCCCGCAGCTCAGCTCAGGAACAAATCCTATGTGGCCTTCTGCAAGATGGAAATAAATGGGTGCCCTCATGGAGAGAGACATAGTCCTGCTTCTGTGGGGACAGAACAGCCAAAAATATTGATCAAACTCAGGAAAAAAATTGATAATGAACTGGCTTCCTACAAGAGCTTAATTGACAGAGACTTCCGAAGGCCGGCTCTGGACAACGCATAAACTGACCGCGATGTTACTTTATTGCAATGCACTCTGCTTTAATTAATTATCACCTTTGTTAAGAGTGGCTACAGATCAAAGGTTTCTAGATACTTAACACATCTTTTGAACAAAGCCCCGATGTATTAGACTATTCCACAGCTGGCCAGCAAGGCAAGCTAGCTTCCCATTTTCTTCCCTCTTAGCTGTTGGCTTCCTCCTCTTTGTTAAAGACAAAAAATCCTTTCTGCACAGCCACTGTGTTCAAGGACCGGGATTGTGAGAACTGTTGTGCACCGAGGGCAGGGTGCTGCAGTTCAGCAGCTGTTCCTAAAATTACACAACTTGGTTCACCCTTGAATCAATCTGACTGAAATAGGGAGTATCAGCAGAAGAAAAAGGAGTTTATAGAAACACAAAAGGGGGGTGTGTGTGCATGCACATATGCACGTGCACAAGCGACTATGTGCACATCCACATAAATATTGTGGGATCAATACATTTCACATCCGCTGCCCACACCTCTTAACTTCTCCCTCCCATCTCTTGAGCACCTGTGCTACTGTCGTATTTCACACTGAGAAATGCTTGCAGCTGAAGCATGCATAGATGATGCTGTATTGAACCAAGTCATTGTTTGGATTCAGTTGTGGAGTCTTGGTGCCCACTGAAGGATGGTCCTCACCTGGGGTATGTAGTACCTAAAGAAGCCACTTCTTAAGATGTGACAGGAGCCTCACTCTCTAGAGTCCCCAAAACCTACAAACTGACAGGTGACTTACTTGAAAGCAACCCTTGGAGTCATTCTAGGCAGATTTGAATGCCATACGTGGCTGTTTGTTCATTATTCTAATTTAATGATGCAGTCACACCTAATTAATCCATGTCTGGTTTATTCATACACTATGTCTGAGGATCCAAAAGATCTCTCCAGCTAGCCAGTTTCCCTTTACAGGGACAAGCAAGGGGGCATCCATGACAAGTGAGGCTGTCTGAGTTCAAACAGGATGGGATCACTCACTGTAGACCAAGCTGATAGAGGCTACTGACCCTGACACCACCTTCCATGCAGGTAGGCACAACAGCAGCCACAGAGATGCACAGCAATGAGGTCTGTGTGACCATGCACAAACACACACAAGCACAAAAAGCATGCCTTCTACTACAAACCTACACAAACCCATTCCCTCTAAAAGTTAAAGGGCCACATCTCACCATGTAATAAATCAGGCCTGCTGGCATGCCAGGCTTTCATATGATTGGAAGTTTTGGTGCAGAAGGTTGAGACCCTGAGCTCAGTAAACTTCCCCTCTCTGGTCTTTAGAAAGTAGAGCTGAATTAACTGTTGCCACTGCATAGATAAAGAGACTGAGGCTCAGAGTAGCGTATGCCCAAAGTCAAGCCTGCAGCATGGTCTTCAGTGCACCTCCCAGTGGCTAGTTCTGGCCAGACTGCTCCCAGTGAGTGCTGTCTCTTGCCTGGCAGGTAAATTGAGAGAATGAGGCATCAACCTAATAATATCCTTATAAAGCCAAGCCTCCTTGCGCAAGTCCTCGGAGACAAGAGGCATCTAAAGATCAAACGCTACATCACAGTGTATTTGTAGGAACTCTGTGATTCTGCTACCTCCCTATAATGCTGTAACTGACTATTTGATCAGCTCTAAAAGGAACAGTGTTCAAAACAGACTCACACACACACACTCATACACACAGTCACACGCACACTTACATACACGTGAACACGCTCGCATACATACACACACATACATTCACCACACAAGCATATGCGCACACATTCTTTTGCATACCACATGCCATGGTACCCACACCAGTTCATGCAACAAAGGTCAATTTTCACAGGAGATGCTTGAAGGTGAGTGAAAAGTATATACCTAAGATTGTATGTGCCCTTCCAGTAATGGGCTTATCAATACCTCTTAAAGCAATGTGACAGCCAGCCCAGAGTGATTCAGTTGTGTGGACAAAGGTCAGCGTATAGATATCCATTATTAATAATATCAATATCTTGGTTGACCAATATAACCAGAAACTGTATCATGTCGCTGTTGATGGGTGAGGCTGGGAGGACTCCACAGCAATAGCCGGAAATTATGCCCATGTAAAATTAATCATATTGACTGGTTCTAAGAATATACAGCTAGGCGAAGATCTTGGGAGAGCTTTTCATGGTGGGAGAGGGGGTCCTTGTTCCCAGAGGCTTTATGGTTTTGAACTCCTGCAAGGAGACCGGGGAAACAGAGGCGTCCCTGAGTGACCGGTGAGAACACTCTCCCTCATCCGGCCTTTGCTTTTCAACAGGGTGGGGTGGAGGAGAGGTGTACTCTGAACAGGAAAAGAAGGAAATAGGATCCCCTAACCATTATGCATCCAGTATATCCATATCTTTCTGTCAAATCAATACTTGGCTTGGCTTGGTCTCACCGGATGAGGCACGGAAAGCATGCTTGCCCCCGCTGTGTGAAGAGGTCTCTCTCCAAAGGGGTGGCATGAGCCTGAAGCCACATCCCATTCCTGGGGTGGGATATACTGGCTCCAGGAGATGCCAGTGTGCACTCTGCAGCCTGGGTATCCCAGGAGGAAAGGAAAGGCCCCCAATCATATCAATCACTGTGATTAAATTCTTGGGATCAGCAGAGCCAGGGACTCAGGGTGCTGCCCTGTCAGCATTGCTGGTAGGGTGGGAATATCTTGGACTTCAGAAAGCCATTTCTCACTGAGGCTTACTTTCAGCCCCAGTGACTGAGAAGGAAAGCCTTTGCATCCTTCCAAGGGAAGGCTTGGAATTCTCTTGGGGCAGTCCTGGACCCCTCACTCTCTTTCTTATAAGAACCCTGTCTCAGGACGTCCCTGGCCCTTCTTGGCAGCCATAGATAACACCTGGAAGGATGTCCTGGGGAAGAAGTGAAAAGGAGAGAACCCCCGTGTCTGGGCGCTCCTCAGAATGGAAAGAGGGCAGTCAGGAAGTGTCTCTGGTGACAGCCAAAGGCCCAACTGGCTTTTTGATCATTCTCTGTTTCCAGAGTCGTCAAGGCAACTGAAAGGGAGCCTGCCTTAGAGTCCAGGCCCCATGCTGGGCATGATGATGAATAAGAAAGGGGCTGCTAAGATGAGGGGCGGGTGATGCCTTTGATTGTAAAGGAGGGCAAGTAAATGGGGCCTGTCGCTGGAATGGGAGATGGGGCTGCTTGAGGTAGAGTGCTCCCCTTCTCATAAGAAACAGCTCAGGCCCCAGTTGACCAGCCACATCCTACCTTCCTTTGATTTGCTCTCCCACTCACCCAGGGTCATCAAGAGGCAAGAAGGTCCGCTGGCCTCTGCACAGTCAGGGTCCCACCCAGGTGCTCACATCCAGCCTGCGGGACAAAGAGCCCTGCGGGTCACTGCCGTTCCCTCCCCAGTGCACACAACCCAGCCTTCCTTGCAGAGCCCCAGCCCCCGAGGCTGCCCCAGACAGTTCCCAGGCCCCCGGACTGGCTCCCATCCCTGCCCAGGCTGGGCACAGCCTCAGAGGGTATATGGGGAGTGTGGGTTCTGGCACCAGCATTCAGTCATCCGCCCAAAGTGCCCTCTCCCCTCCTCAGCCACAAGGCCTGGCTCTAGGTAGCTCTAGGGAGAACAGCAGAGAGCCCAGAAGCTAGACCACTTCTTTACACCTTTTTCATACCTGGGGAGGAAGCCCCTAAATTGCGTGTGAGGGGAGGGTTCCTCTTTCCTCCAGCTGTCGCCTGCCCTCTGACGGTGAGACGAAGAACTTCTTACACACACACTGCGGGCCCCAGTCTGAAGTGCCCAGCTCCTGCAGCAGCCCAGGCCCTGCCTCACCCCAGGAGCTCCAACTCAAACCTCTCCCGCACCCTACCCCTTACCCTGGCCAGTGTTGGCTGCTCCTTCTGCACAGCAGCTCCCTGCGCGGGTGGGGGACTCTCCACGTCATTTCCCTCACTTGACAAGCCGGGCCTGAGCCTGGGACACCAGCAAAACAGGGACCGCAAAGCCAGAGAGGAGGATCAGAAAACCCAAAAAGTATTGTCATTTCTGTATCCATGTGAGTTTTGTTTCATTTCAAAAATTAATAATTACAGTCTACGATTTAGTGTGATTTTTATTCTTAATTCCATATGTTGGGGACTTGTTAGCAAAGCACCAGAATCTTTTGCATACTTAGGGCCTGACATGGGTCCAACTCCAAACTGCTGTGTCCCGGAACTTCTGCAAAGGAATCTCCAAATGCCCCCACAAGACGCACACACGTGGCACACTCATATGCTACGTGTGATGAAATGGATGGGCCTGGGTGGAGAACCCACAGATTAGTGATCAATTGGTACACTCACCACCCCGGTCCAGCTGAGGCCCCAGTAGAGCAACTTAAGCCCAGTTTATCATCAGAGTGACAAAGACACAGAGTATGACTGGCTTATTTTCAGGCTCATTTTCTTATCCAATTTTAAAAAAAAAATCTTTTTATTGAAAAACAGGACCTTCATCTGTACTGTCATCTTGACTATTTCAATAAGCAAATGATTACATTTATTTTAGAGTAAATTCTGTTGCCATTCTGTTGGGCAAGTTTGGAAATCTGGAATGAGGAACAAACGGCGAAGCCTGGGACCCGGCAGCTGAGTTGGGTCCCCAGGGAAAAGAGAGGAACAGCAAGTTAAAGGGTGATGTCTCAGTGCGAGAAAAGCACGTTGTTGAGCTGTGGTGAATGACTACTGGGCAGACCACGTCACAACAGCAGCTCAGGCCTTAGAGCAAGAGATCACACTCCTGAAGGGCTGACCAGCCACACACCAGCTGCAGAGGACATGCTTCCTCCAGGAGACCCCAGCTGAGATACGTGGGAAGCCAGGCAGGAAGGGCCAAACATGCAGGCTGAACCATCCAGCTGGAGCCAGCAGAAAGCCAGGCTCCTGTACCCTTTGTGTTCAAGTTCAAGACCCCCATCTGCCCCTTATGCCATCACCAGGGCTTTGGTTTATTTCTCCCTTAGTTTCTCAAGTTTCTCAGCAAAACATTAACTTGGAATGTTCTGACCTTGTCTTGGCTGAGCCAGTGATTAAGAGGGCTAGTCTGCAGCAGAGGCCACACAGCCAGGAGGAGAGCATCCCTGCAGACCAGCCAAGGCTGGAGGAGGAGCCTGCTGGGGCGGGAGTTGGGGAGTCACTGAACCAACTGCCGTTGACTTCTGGGATGCCACCACCCCTCTCGACACTCACCCTCATCACGCAGAGGCAGGTTTCTGCAGAGCAGGGAGTGGGTAGGAAATTATAGGCTGTGGCGGGACATACCATGGCCCCCTGCAGGAAAGCCCCAGGGTCTGACAGGGGAGACATAGGCCTCCCTCATGGAGGTGCAGATTCATGTCCAATTCAGGTGCCCTGAGTGTCAGGCTCTGTTCCGACAAGGTGGGGGACCCGCTTTCACTGCCACAAGATAACTTGAGATGTGATAGAAGACAGCAACCCCACAAACATAAAACTGTCCCGTGTAAATACGCTGTTGAGGGGGGATGTGGGAACCCCCGAAAGATAAGTAGTCAGGTAGGGGCACTGGCTCTAAGCCAGATTCCCACATAGAGAAAGACGGCATAAGCCCAGCCTGGCAGATGGGAACGGGACAGAGCAGGAAGGCTGGAGAGCTGACAAGTCGGGGAGTTGTGTTTTGTTTCTTTCCATTGTGTTTTGTTTTTGTCCCTCTGCAATGAAGTCTCATTCTTAGAATGGTGGACAAAGGAATTTCTCATTTTGAATAAATTTGGACCTGCCGCCAGCCTGGCTGAGGGAGAATCAGTCATGGGTGGGTGGGTGTGTTGCTGTTACTCCGAAGAAGTCAGTGATACACACTGAAACTGCCAGGGCTATCCTCACCTGCTTTGGGTCTGCAGTGTCCTTCAGCTGTCCCAATTGCAGCCCACTTGGGCTGAGAAATTACTCATGGAATATTTAAACCCGTGGCCATGTTTGCTGTCACCAAGGCAGGCATTCAGATTGTCCCCACAGACTCACTCAGCTGAACATCCCGAGCAATACACTATAGGATTCCAGGGGCTGGAATCTTCCTGCACCCTCACCCTTACTCTGCTCCTGCCCCCAGCACAGGAGTGGCTGGATGGCAGCCAGGCCATGGGGATGAAGCTGAGGACAGTTTCCTGGGGTGACACTGGTCTTGCAGCTGGAAAAATATTGCCAGGTCCCAGGAAGAACTGCCCCCATTGTCAACAGCACACCTGGGCAACGTCCTGAGCAGACATTTTTTACTGCAGGAGAGCAGTGGAATGGGCGTACTTCTCCCATCTCTGGAAGAGAAACTCAGCCCAGGGGGGCAGTCATGGCTGAGGTGGCCTTTGGGGCTGGCTCTTTAGGGGAGGGAGATTCCTCTCTTATGGACCTTCCACAGACCACAATCCTGGCATCCTCCTGACCCCAGGGATTTCTCAGGGGAGAACAGAACTGGGCTCAGTCATAGAGCTGGAGTGACTGAAAAACTCAGTTCCCTGCAGGGATATGGACGTCACTAGTGTTGGTCTTCCAGTACCCTCCGAGTTCCCAGTCATCCAGCCTCTACACTCCCCACCCCAAGTCCCAAACCCCAACCCCCAGGCCACCAAACCAGGACTGAGGGCTCTCAAGCAACGGTACCCAACCAAAAGTGACCTCCTTTTCCTATCATTTCAATGCCTTGCCCCTTGTTGGTCTGACAAATCAAACTGGGCCGATGTGTCCCTGGTGGCTAATGGACATTAATGCGTTACCATCTCTGTTGCCACGTGCCTTTTAACAGGGACCTTTTAGAGCCCAGTCCTTAACCCAAAGAAACGTCTCTAATCGGGGGGAATTTTCTGGCACAGGCCAGGCCAGAGGGAGCCAGCGTGAGGCAGGGACACCTCTGTCTACTGGGAGGCAGCAGAGGTCTGCCCGGCCTCCAGCTCTGTTGCCCAGGCAGAACTCCACCTCCCCTGCTGCAGCAGAGAGGGACCCAGGCAGCCAGCGGACGGGCTGATCTCTTTGCTGGGCTCCCAGTGGGGCCTGCGGATCACAGAGGCTGCCATGCCAAAGGTTTAATCAAATATTAAACATGGTCCGTAAACTTAAACCAACGTCATATCTGGAACACCACGTCCCTCCTTAAGAGCACCAACTCTGGGAAAGTTTCAGCTTAGCTTGGTCTGGGTACAGGGCAGGGGCTTCTTGGTTCATGCTCCCTTGGGGGCAGGAAAAAGGAGAGGCAGGCAGAGACCACAGCATGGGTGGGATGTGTGGCTTTCCTCCTCCATTCTATTATTCATTTCCCCTGATTTTTATCTAATCTCTCCCTGATTGTCCTGATGAAACTTAATAGACAAAGTGAATTTTTATTACATCATCAATATAATCTCCAGCTAATCAGCAGACACAGGGGCCACTGCAAGCCCTATAGCTCCTCATCTGGCTTCATAAATAGTAGGAACAATCACTGCCAAGCCCAACTCTTCCAGCTCCTCCTGAGAGGCCCCTTTCCCTGCTGAGCCCCCTCCCCAGACCTATTCTTGGGGTTTCTTTCTTCCCACGGATCCCCCCCCCCCACCCATTGGACCACATTGCCAGTTGATGGAGATATCTTCCCCATTAGTATTTTTAGTTTTCTTCCTCCCAGCTTCAGCTGTTAAAATCACAAATCTGGGGCTTGTGTTTCGAATGCCAAAATAGCCTAATGTCGACTGATTTTGATTCTACTTTTCTCTGAGCTGGGGATATGATATGTCATAAGATATTATATAATTGTATGGATCACAGGACATACTATCAACCACATTATATACCAGATTAAGTGATAGGTTATACTGCATATATATAACCTATATATAAAAGTGTTTTGGTCATTTAAAGTTGAACCATGCATCTTGTGCACTGTATCATAGAAGTTAAATTATGTATTTTATTTATATTATAGCATGCCTTCTATTTATATAGCATTTTAATCTGTAAAATACTTTCTTATATAGTACCTCTTTTTATCCCTATTGCAACCAGGTACAGTTGATACCTTTTTTATAAAGAAAAATGAAAAAGGGATCATGAAGGAAAATTACAACCTAGTCAAATCCTGCCAGGATACGGCAGAATGGCTTGGCTCAGGATGTGTGCCAGCAAGGCAGGGAAGGGGTCACCAGTGAATCAGGGATCAGGGGCAAAGGTGTACCTGCTGACCAGGCAGGCAGATTCGTAAGGCCTGGCCTGCGGGGCAGCCCCTGGCCAAAGGGCAACCTTTCGTTCAAGGAGTAGGAGTTTTTTTCCCTGTCTCAAACCTGCCCAAAGTTAAATGTACAAGTGAGTGCACCCCTTCCAAGCCCTCTTGCTATGAGACTAGTCCCATACAGTAACAGGAGGCTGCCTTCTCCTCTGTTCTCCAGGGTCCTGGTCATACTGCTCTAGGATGGTTTGGATTTCAGAAAAATAGCAAATGCTACTTACAGTCAAATCCTTTAAATAAAGTGAGTGATGAGGCTAATAAATCTGGCTTTGGGCACCCACAACAGCGTAGACTGTTTGGGAGAAGGGTAGTCTGCTTCCTGCTGATAATCAGGACCAGCTCTGGGAGCGACTGGCCCCGCTTCACCAGTCACCCCTCTGATTCCTGAGGGGAGGGCTGTTTCCACGCATCTGTTCGGTGGACGGTCCGCATGTGACTGGGGCTCATGCACAGGCCCCTCCAGCTTGGCCCTGATCATTCAGGGGTGGCCTGGATGTTGCAGGGCTCCTGGGGGTGGGCAGTGTTTCGTGCCTTGGACACTGCCTGCTGCAGAGGTAGCTGGCACGCCAAGGATGTACTCCACGTAGGAGCCACATGCCTGGGTCCTTGCCCCATGCTGGCTCTGGCTCCCGCACGGACCAGTGTCCTCACCTCCTTGCTCAGAGCCTGGGCCTTCTGCTCTCACATCACTGCAGCAACACCTGCTCAACCCATTGCTTAGGGTCATTGTGAGGATCATATGAGAAGGGAAAACACGGTGCAAAAGTTAAAATGTCCAGGGTCACTGTCATGCATTAAGGGCCAGCACCCCTATCAGCACCCCTATCAGCTCTGAGGGTCCGGCTCACTATCGGAAACAGCACATAAGGGGCGGCACAAAGGCCTGAGGATGGGTAGGAAGGGATATTGGCAATGCACCTACTACGTGACAGTGACACACACACAGCCTCTCACTTGTTTTATCTCATTACATCCTCGTGACAAAGCTTCGATAGAGATGTCACTGTGCCCCTTTGAATGCCAAAGAAATGGAAACTCGGAGAGCAGTAACTCGACTGAGGTTAGATACACCCAGATTGGTCATATGCTCAAGCCGGCCACGCTTCCTTGACTGCATGCTCCCTTTATGGAAGTAAATAAAAAGATCATCTCTTACATCTCCCTCATTTTGCAGATGGGAAAACTGAAGCCCTGGGACATTACTGGCTAATGTTTTCTTAAATTATCACACACTGTCTTGTATGGAGGATCTGAAAAAACACACACACACACACAGAGATGTGTACACATTTATGGAAACAAAGAGATAACTCACACAGACACACCCTCATACAGATACGCACATACATAGAGATTCAAAAATCAGTACACACAGACACCCATAGGAACACACTCAGAAATAGGCATTCATATAGATACTCATATATGCAAGCACACACACACACTCAAAAATGCAGACACATTCACAAACACATTCATAGACACACACATATAGAAACATTCTGGCACCCATAAAGAAGTGCACATAGAGATACACACACGGACCCAGATACATACCCTCACACAGACACACATACTCACATACCACTCCTTAAAGACAAAGCTTAATTAACCACAAGGCCAGAGACACAATTTATCCACCTAACTTTTTAGCAAGAAGAAGTAAAAGCAGCTGGTTTGGAGAGAGAGATGACAGGGGCCCAGCTTGGAAGGGAGACGGGAACACAGGGGCCCCATAAAGTCTGTGGCCAAATCCTCATTAGAAGTCAGCAAATAAACAGAAGGCATTTGCTGAGAGCACTCCCCCTGCAATCTCCCTTCTGCGTCAACCCACAGAATCTTGGCCAAATTTCTGTTCGTCTAACCAAGACTAAAGGCAGGACCTGGAGAAATTTTGGGCAGGCCTTCCAAGAGCCACCCAGCCCCAGGCACTGGCTATAGACAGCTCTCATGTAGGTAAGGGGAGGCCTGTGAGCAGAAGAGGCAGCCTCCAGGGGGTGGCAACTGGGAAGGAAGGAGAGGAGCAGGGTAGGTCTACAGCTGCAGCCTCTCCTGGTGACCAGCATTCAGGCTACCTCTGGCTGTGGCTGAGTGAGAAAGAAGGTTTTTGTACACCCAGCCCTCAGCCGTCCACCCAAGGCTGCTCCAGCCTGGGGGGGCTCCTGTTGGCTCATGGGAACACATTTGGAAGAGAAGATGGCCCTGCTCAGCTGTATTAAGAGAATACACACACACACACACACACACACACACACCACACACACACACACATACACTAAGCAAAGGGTTAATTGTTGTAAGGAGTTCGCCAGGGAACAGGAAACCTATGGTTTTCTTTTCTTTAAAATAAAATCCTGAGGATCCAGGAATGACTTCTCTGTTTCCTCCATCTGCTGGATAAGCTGACCATTTGGAAGTTGAGTCTGTCCCGGGATGATGGGGCAGCCTTCTTTCGCAGTACTGACTTGAGCTACATGTGCTGGACAGGAGAGATGAGGGGTTGTCACTGGAGGTACTGCATGTGTTGCCCTGTCCTGCGTAGACAAACTGTGCCAGCTGGCTGCAAGGGGTGAGGCTTGGTGGACACCTCTGGGGACTATGGCACAGAGCAGGCTGTGGTGTGTCTGCTAGAGGTGTGCCATGTAGATTCATGTTGTAGACATGGGTTTTGTATTTACACTGCATCCTGTGGTTCTGCTGGAGCATGCACGTGTGTGTTGGTGCTGTGTGGGTCAGTGTGTGTCATGTGTGGGAGAGCTGTGTTTTCTACGCTGTTCTGGAAAGAGAGGGGAGGATGCCCAGAGGGCTGTCTTCATTCCTCCCAGGCTGCAAAGCTCCCTTATCCTGGGACTTGCTATCTGGCAGAGCCCGACCCTTTCCCTCCCAGCTCAGGGTCCAGAGGTATCTCACACCAGGACCACGTCTGTCCACAGCCTGAATGAAGTGCTCTGAGTCTGACCAGGATTCTGGAATTGGTAGCCTTTTACTCTGCAGCTGCAGTGAGAACTGTGTGTGTGTGTGTGTGCGCATACATGTGCGTGGGTGCAAGTATGTAGTGAGCATGTGTGCACCTGCCCACACACCACTTCCAAGTGAGTACACTCCAATCCCGGCCTGTGAGACCTGGGCGAGGAGATGAGGAGATGTGCGGACGTGTATGCTCATACATGCTGAGTGTATGCAAGTGTGTGTGGGCTGCGACGGGCTCGGGTGGGCCAATTTTTAGTGACAGATTGTGTGTACGTCTATGACTACAGTTTCTACCAAGTGCATGTAAAAAACAGAAGAGATGAGTCCAACTCCCTGGGTGGGCACGCCTGCAGTTCTCTGCAAATGTGTGTGAGCGTGGGTGTCTTTTTGAGGGGCCTCTGGCCAGTTGTAGGGGAGGAGTGTGGGAAAAGTATGTGGGGAGAAAGGGCTCCACACACGTGTGGTTGTGGGCAACCTAGTTGGGTGGGACGCTAAGTCAGACAGTGTCCTCCAGAGACCTCGCCACTTTCTTGGATGCATGGCTGGGCCATCTGTGGCATCTTCTCACATTCTGCCCACAGATTCCCTGGGAGACCGGAAGAAGAGGGGGTCAGCTCCCCAGAAGGTAGCCCTGAGGTCTCTTCTTGGAGACAGCCACAAGTGCAGGGCCGTGTGTGTGTGTGTGTGTGTGTATGCCCACACACACGCATATGAGAGTGAGAGAGAGAGACGGGGCAGCCACAGGAAAAGAGAGGCCCCTGCCCCACTGCCTCCATCCAGGCTTGAGCAGATGGTGCTCAGACTCGACCAGCGAGGCCAGAGGCAGCACTTGGAAGCAACGTGTCCTGAGGAAAGGGCCAGAGTGGGGCCCAGGGAGATGCTGTCTGGCTAAATGCATCTCTGCTCTCCTGGGCCTGTCCTTCTGTCCAGAAACACCGATCTCCTGAGCCTAGCCCATGTGTCCAGCTACAGATGTTTTTATTCTCTTTGCCTCATCTCTGGGCCCCCTGGAGGCTGAATTCAGCTACTTGGGGTGCAGGCACAAAAGCCAGGCCATCCCCAAGCCTGGCCCCAGCCCACCTCTGGCTCCAGCGTGAGTCATTTTGCTACTAGGCAGCAGGAGGAAGGCCAGTCCTACCTGCCCAGGAGTCCTGGGATCTCAGGCACAGATCTGGTGGTTACCCATTCGCTCATCTGGAGGCCCCACCACTCTTGCCCCTGAGGACACTACCCGCTCCTCACACCCAGGCTGTGTGCTTTGCCCAATGCATCTGCAGCAAGCTGCTGTTGGGCACTGGTGCCCTTATTATGCCCGGTCTTCCTGCAGCTGAGGCCAGACCCTGACCCTTCCCAGCCTCTCCCAGAACACATGTATCAGAATCTCCTGGGATTCTGGTGGGAAACGAAGCTCCTGACCTCAACCCCACACTTTTGAATTCCCTGAGGATGAGGCAAAGGAATCTGCAAGTTGGAAAGCAGCTTTAGGGGTCTCCATGCATGTCACGTTGCCTGTCCCTGGAGCCCCAGGATCAGCTCCCTGTCCAAGTTGTCAACAATGCTGCGGCTTCCTCAGGCCTCAACCAGACACCCTCCTGAGTATCCCCTAACTTTCTGTGGCTTGCCTCATGGCCCCTGGGGCTCAGCTTTCTTCCTCGGGGGAATGACAGCCTACATTTTTGGAACCATCTGCTTATGCCATAAAACCGATTCCTTAGGCTGTTGTTATAACTGTCATAACAGACATGTCTTCCCCACTTGCAGGAAGTGGATCCCAATCTCACACTCTTAAATTCTCATCCTCACGTAGCTACACATGCACAGATACACTTACACACATACATACGTACAAGCACACACACGTACCCACATACAGGCCAGCCAACTCCTCTGGTGACATATTACGTGCAAGTTCTTTGTTTTCAATGGTGAAGCTATTCTGTGCCCAGCTGTGAAGTCATTCCCCTGCTCAGCACCTCACACAGCTTCCCAGCCCCTCCCAGAGTCCATTCAGTGGGGAGTGGAGGCTTTGAAAGCAGCACAAGGGCCATGCAATGCATAGCACTGAGGTCCAGCCCCGCAGCTCCGCTGACAAGCTGTGTGAGTTGGACAAATCCCTTTACCTACTGGTCGGCCTCAATCTCCCTGTCTAGCAAACGGGAATTTACACCCTGCCTAGATGAGCTGCTTGTGAACGTGGAACGCAGTGATTTCGGTGGAGCATCTGACAGAGCCTGAAACATAGTGAGCCTGAGATAATTGTAGCTGTTGAACAAATGAAAAAAAAAAAAAAAAAGGAAGTAAAAGAGTTCACAACCTAGGACATCCCTGGCCTTGCCGCCCTTGCCCTTACCTCAGCCCTCCCTTCCTGGGAGGTAAGTTGCATCTCTGCACCTCTGCTCAGGCTATTCCCCCACCTGGGGTACCCTCTTCACTCCTGCTTCCCCCAAGCCAAGGCCTGCTTCTCTGGACAGACCGCACCGAGCCTCCTCCAGGAAGCCTCTAACTGCTGCAGCCCCATCAGTCTCTCAGAGTCCCCCAAGCTTCAGCCTCCCTGGAGCTTCAGCCTCCCTGCCCAGCGGCACAGACCACGTAGCGGCCTCTCTCATTCATCTAGAGGGAATGGAGGGGCCATCAATTGGTCCCCAGAAAAGACCAGTTGTTTTTTCAATACTAAGTGTATTGTAAATATTTTCATTGCCAATAGTATTTGTCACAGAAAAAATAAACAAGATGACAATGTAGCAAGAAGAGGACACCCATATTCCCACTCCCCAGAGATAATGACTGTGAAGGTTTTGGTCATTGTGCTTAGGTCCGGCTGCTGGTTCCAGCCAGGTGCCTCATGCAACCTAGGCTGCGTTCTTGCTCACCCACACTGTGCCCAGTGCTGGGCTGCACATCATGTGAGGAGCAGGAGGCAGAGCCACAGCCCCTGCCCAGGAGGCTCACACACTCATGGGGAGGTAACACACAAAAAAAGCCATGCCCAAGCAAAAGTAAATTCAGCCCCTGCCACCCACCACCAACAACCTGACTTGAGAGGCCCTGTGTCCCTCACCTGCTTGGGGAGATGGCCGGGAAGATGCCCAGCTTGGGGGAGGTAGGTCAGGGTACGGCCTGGGTTTGGAGGAGGGAGGAAGCCTTTCATTCTAGTCCAGGAACTCCTTTGAGTAAGTCACTGGGCACCTGTGGAGCTCCATTTCTTCCTCTCGGGATGGGAATGAAATGGGTCACCTCGAAGAACGCTTCCTGTTTCACAGCCTCTAACCCTATGATGTAAAGTTCATGCTGGATTTAGAGTTCAGATTCCAGGGTGGTGCAACCCTTGGGGAGCTCTTGGAGGCTGGGGATGGGAAGGCATGGGAAGATTTGAGGGGTTGCTCAGAGACCACAGTCAGAGGTGCTGAGTCCATGCAGAGATTGAAGAGTTAAAATGGAGGTGGGTGTGATGGGGAGTCCTCATCAGTATTGGGCTCTAACCAAGTTCAAGGGAGGCAGGAGTGATGTCGTAGAAAGAGCACTGGATCTAGAGCCCAGAGACTTGGGTTTTCATGTCTGAGAGCCAGGCAATGGTCAGGGGCAAGGCATTTCATTCCTGGAGCTTGGAGCGTCTCCTAACCTGTAAGTCAAGAATAACAACACTGGCTTCATGAGTTATTATGGCAATTAAGTGAGAAAATGTAGAAACATCTAGAATAGTCTCATATAATGATAATAATCATAATCATAATAATAAGAGAGGAATTGTTAACATGTATTTATCATTTACCGTATCCCCAGCATGATGCCAAGTGCTCTAATGTGCTATCTCATTTAATGTTCCCAGTTTTCCTAGGAGAACATTTCAATTTCTGTTTTACAGACAAAGAAACAGAGGCACAGAGTTTAACTGCCCTAACTTCCCAGGGCACGGAGCAAGTAAGTGGCACAGCCAAGATGCCCAGCCATGCTCCCATGAGTCGTACGCTTGGGGAAGAGCGCCTGTGCCTATTGTGGTTAAGTACCCACATCCAGGGAGTAGAGGTCTTCATGACTGGGCTTCAGCCTTCCTAAGTGTAGATGCCACCATGGAAGATCAGAGCAGCCAGCTCGTGAAGTTCAGTGGGTGCACAGCGAGCACTCAATAACGAGTGTTTATTTATTGCTTCTGTTTACAGCTCTATTCCCAAAGTGAATTGTTTGTTTAAGTAAGGAGCATTTACCTTTATTACAGTCATTGGTAAATAAAATTATATTTGCATTTCCACAAATATGTATGAGTTTAATTAGTCTTGCAATTCGTACACAAGAGCCAGTCCAGGAAACACATTTATGAGCTCCCACTTCTACCCTAGGCAGAAGGCCTTCTCCCACAAACACCATCAGGATTGAATAATTCACTCATTCACAAACAGTTACTGATCACCCACTCTGTGCCACTGCTGGAGTCACAACGATGACCATGGCACAGAAACCTCTGGATCTCCTGGAGCTCACATTTTCATGAGGAAGTCAGATGATACATTAAAAATTAAAATTAAAAACCTGATCATAAGTGTTGTGCTGAGAATTAAAACATATGGATGAGGCATGACTGGGGCCGCTGTATACGTGTCAGTGGGGAGGGCTCCTCTGAGGAACTGACAGTGAAGCCAAGATCCAAACAACAAGCAGACATGGCGGGAGAAAGCACTTCCAGCAGAGAGAACAGCAGGTGCAAAGGCCCGGAGGCAGGAATGGGCTTTGTGTGTTCAAGAGACAGGAGGAAGAGCAGTGTGACAGGCGTGTCCTGGGGTAATGGGGAGAATTAGGTGGGAGGGGCTGGTGGGGGCAGGTTGTATCAGGCCTGGCAGGGGTGTCTGAATTGTTTTCTAAGGTTAGCAAGAAGTGTTGGAAGAGCCATGTTCCGATGTATGTTTCACAGAGATCTTTCGGCTGCTGTGTGGAGCCAGCTGCTATAGGAGAGCAGACACGGAGGGGGGCAGCCAGAGGAGCAATGGTGGGGCATGGATTAAGAAGGGCAGTGAAGGTGCGAGAAACAGACGGGGTCAGGATGTGTTTGGGAGATAGGGGTCCCAGGACTTGTTGGTGGATTGGGTGTGATGTGGGGAGAAAGAGAGGCGCCCAGGACGAATAGAGGCACTCAGTGCTGAGTGGGGCCGTTTACTGGGAAGGAACATGTTTTAGGGATGGATGATCAAAATTCTGATTTGGCCTTGCTGAGAGCGGGAGGCCTGTTAGATGTCCAAGGAGAGGCATTAGGAAGGCAGGTGGAATATGATCCTGGAGCTCAGAGTGGTGATCTGGGCTGGAGGTATAAATTTGAGAGGCATCAATATGTCATGGTATTTAAAGTCATTTATAATAGAACAAATTAAACAAGACTTCCTAGATGTGATTATTGTTCCTCCTCAGTGTGGACTGAGCATCAATTAGGTCACAGACTGTGTGATGCACACTATGAGGTCATGCATGCGTGAAGCCTAGAACAGAGGATGCTGGGAGTCCTCCTTCCCCATGCCCCCACTCCACCTCCAGGCAGGTGCTCACCCACACTGACACTGCCAGCCCTCACTTTGTCATTAATGAATGAGATAAAGGAAACTGTTCCTCCTGCCTCAAATTGTCCTGCACCATCTCACAGAACTTAGCCCAGCTCTGTCCCTCCCATGCTCCCACCTAAATCCCTCATGCTGTAGCTTCATTCCCTCCAGCCCTTGCCAGGGCCACTGCTGCTGCCCTTTCTTGGAGCATCTTTCCCAGGATGCCAAGGTTGCATTCCACGCAGCAGGGAGAGCGGGAACTGCTGTCCAGGGGTGAGTCAGCCAGATTCACAGTGGTGATGTAGGTCGCAGAGCTCCCTCCTCCCTGCCCCACTGCTGCGTCTGGAGCCTTCCCACCCAGCTTGCCCCACGATCTGTGTCCTTGTGGCCCACATATCCCGACCCAGCCACCCCCACCAGCCTGACCGTGCTGGCTCGTTTCTCTGAACCCCTAGAAGGGAAGAGCTCCTTGGGAACTTCTCTTTGGCCCCCAGAGCCATGACCAAATGCCTGAGGCAGACCGCTGGCCCGTTTTCCCTGTTTTAAAGTAAAAAAACAATAAAAGCAACACACAAAGAGAGACGCTGCTGTTTTACTTACAAATGAGAGATGTAATCATTCACCCAGGTACCTGGGAGGCTCTGGGCTGGGGCCAGGGAGCCAGTGGACGGGAGGACCCTAGGGCCACAGGCAACCTCTCCACATCCTCCTGGGTACCAGCAAGTGAGACAGGCACTTGGGTCCCCACCCCAAACTTCTCTCACAGGCACTCCAGAGCCAAGCCCTCCTTCCTTGTCACCTTGAGAGATACTCTGGGGTCTGAGCCCACAGTCAGGAGGGTGGTATTCAACTGCCCTGGTAAAGAATAATGGGGTGTCTGGCTGCAAGGCTAGGTGGAGACAGGGAGAGCTACGCACACATCAATGCATATGCACTGTTATAATTGGGTAGTTATTAATAAAGCTATGTCTATTGTCCAGCTCTCTAATGTGCCAGGCCTGCGCTGCACATGAGACCTGATCATCACCTCTCTCCATCCTCACAGCAAGCCCATGACAGCATGACCAATTTGGTAGCTAACAGCGGTGTGTGGCTATTTACATTTACATTTAAATTAACTTTATTCCAATGTAATTTAAAAATCCGTTTTTCAGTTTTACTAGCCACATGCCCAGGGTTCAACAGCCACAAGTAAAGAGGGGCTACAGTGGTAGGCAGTCTGTGCTGTCTACATAGCACATTTTCTGCATGCCAGAAAGTTCTATCAAACAGTGCGGAGAGCATTGCGTGTGCACTGACTAACAAGAGTGCATGAGTGAAGACACACACATGGGCATGTGTGACTGTCACTGGAATGTTCACACACGCACAGCACAAGGGACACAGCTGTGCATGTGTTTAGGCTGTGTGTCTGTGTGTGCACGTGCACGCGTGTGTGTGTGTGTGTGTGTTTGTGTGTGTGTGTGTGTGTGTGTCTTAGAGGTGCCCAGCCCTTGTCCACCACCCCAGGCATCCTGTTGCCTGAAGGAATGTCAGGAACAAGAGCTCTGGAATCAAACTGTCTGGCTTGGAATGTGGGCTCTCCCACTCTCTAACTGGGTGACCTTAGGCAAGTGGCTTAACTTCTCTGTGCTTCAGCTTTCTCTTTATAAAATAAAGATAATAACAGAGCCATTGTTGAGGGTTATTAGAAGCATTACATGAGATAATATGTGCAAAGCTCTCGGAGAGGCTCCCAGCACACTGTGAGCTATTAATAAACATTAGCTGTTACTGTCGTTTCCAAGAGGCAGTGTGTTTGCTGCGCAGGAGCAGCCTTGGAGAAGAGTCTGTCATGTCGGGGAGGGCGTTGAGAACCCTGATGAGACCGAGGATTGCTTCATTCTCAAGCCTGCCACTGCTTCCTGAGAGCAGCAGGGTGGGGCAGGGAGGGAGCTGCTGGGAGCAGCAGGGGTCCCCACCGGCCAGGGAAGGAGACTCCGCAGAGAGGGGTGCTGGGGTGAGGAGGTGCCAGGAGGGGAGGCACACGGGAGGTGACGGGAGGAACGGAGCAGGAGTCCCGCCTTAGCATGTTGTTTACAGCCTGGATCTTCCAGTCGGGCTCTGGGAAATGTGCTGCTGAGTGAGGGAGAGAGAACCCCGTAAGTAACTGCTCCACAATGTCAGAATTGCTTTCTATATTCGCTAAAGCACCAGGCCAGCTATTCCCTCACACTGCCCTCTAGGATCTAAAGTCTCACCTGGGAATGAGACCAACCCACAAGCGACAATTGGAATGAAAAAGAATCAGAGCAGAGGAGGCACCTGAGGGAATCACTAGTCCCAGGCAGCCATTTTAACACAAATCAATTCAACAGGTATTTGCTGAGTGAGTGCCTGCTCTGGGTAAAGACAGCGTTGTGGGTGCTTGGGGGATTCAGAAAAGCAAAAAGGGAGGAAGGAGCCTCTGCCCTGAAGGAGTCGAGAGCCAGAGAGAGAGGCTCCAGGCCTCAGCAGCCAAAGGTAAGACGGCTCGGGAGAGGATTACACACAGGAACTGGCATTTGTAATGGACTTTGAAGATGGGTGATACCTTTCAGAGAGCAAAACAAGGTCCAGAGAGGTTGGACAGCTTGCCCAGGGCTACACAGCCAGTGAAGAATCGAGCCAGGTGTGAGGTCTTTCTTCCATGGAGAGACAAGGAAAAAGGAATGCATCCCTAGGCACACAGTACAGAGAGCAGGGCCTCAGAGGTGCACACAGGAGAGACCAGGGCCATCCCCTGGGATGAGGAGGCCGCCCTCCCACCCCGCCATCCCTCTGGCCTCCCGGAAGGTCCGCCCGATGCGGCGAGAGGCCGCCTGTGTTTTCAGACGTGGCCAGCAGAGGGCACCAGGACTACTGCACAACCCGGACCAAGGAGCCGGCCGCCTCCAGAGCTGGATTCAGCGCCTGGGACTCTCCGGGGCACAGGGCACAAATGTCTGTGCCCCAATCACACAGCCCCGTGGGGTGAGCCCATGATGGGACACCAGGTCGGGGAGTCACGTCCGCGGCTTCCATGTGGAGGGTAGGGCTCCAAGGAGGCAGGCCTGGTTGGACGAGAGAAATCCCAAGACCCTCCCAGATCAGGTGGGCACCTCAGGTTGAATAAAAAAGTTTTCTCCCAGGAGGAGCTTGTGTCTGGCGGACATAAAATGAGTGTATTTTCTTTAGTTTACTTTCAGAGAAAGCAAAGGGAGGGGTGTCTCCATCTGTCACCACCTCCGGGGCTCATCCCTGAACCCCTACAGCGAAGCAAGGAAATAAAATAAACAGCCCCTGTCAGGCTCACATGTGGAGTTGGGGTGGAGACAGCAGCCTGAAATGGTCCCCGAAGACCTGTAATTTTCATGTCCTTTTGCAGAGGCATGACAGAGGAACCATGTCCTTTTACAGAGACCCGACCGGGAACTGGCCTCCCTGCCTTAATCATAAAGGCCATTTGAAGTTAGCACTCAGGTTGCCCTTTTGCAGAAAGACACCCCCAAGGACTTGCTGGGAACTCTTTCTCTTGGATAGAGAGCACCATTCTCCTCCGAGAATGCCAGGCTCTCAGCGTGTACACAGGGCCCCTTCAGTCCAGCCTGGGTGCGATTTCCCAAACTCCAAAGGAATTGGGTCCAAATTCGATTTTTCTTCTTCCTGCTCTGAGAACCAGCCTATGTTTGGTTTGGGCAGTGACAGTTTGGAGATTCAAATGAAAGTCATGATCAAGGTGGTGATAACTGAGTGCACAGCAGAAAATGTAAGGGGAGAAGACAAATACAAGAGGAGGAGGCAAATGCCAGGGACAAAGAGGCGAGGGCACAGAAGAAAGCCCAGGTAAGGGCTGAGTGGCCAGAAGGGTCGGGAAAGCCAGGCTGAGGATGGGTGACCTATGACACCCGCCAGTCGTGCTGTGGGACAGTCCCAGGGAATGTGCTACATCAGATCACATCTGTCCTTGGCTTTATGTGTAGGAATCTTGTGAAGTGAGTCAGCCAGCACCCCCTGGCAAGGTGGGGCATCTCCTCTCTCCCTTCGCAGAGCACAGCTCACATCACTGGGAGGTGTCCTCCAAGCCTCCCTCCAGGCCTGGGAGCTTTATGTGAGCGTGTGAAAGCCTGGGCCGCCTGCACACGAGCCTGTGGCTTTGGGAGATGGGGGTGATGGTGATGGCGGAGTGTGGGAGGGAGCAAGTGCAAGATGTGCGGGGACTTGCTGCCTGGGGACTGGGGCCAGGGCTCCTCCTGTCTCACAGTGCCATCTCAGGTGGGCCACCACCTCCCCCACTCCCTATCTGCATCTGTAAAATGCAAATAGCAATCTCTGCCTCACCCATCCCACACAGATGTTGTGATGCTCAGATTAGGCAAAAACGTGGAGAAAAGGCGCTAGCGAGCAGCACACAGGTGCCCTGCATAGACCTGTAGCTGGGGACCCCTTGCCGAGGGCTGAGAAGATGGCTGTTGCTCAGGAAGTTCCCTTTTAGGAGGGAGTGGGGGAGACAGGAAAGTACAAAGAAGAGAGTCAGACTCTAGAGAAGAAAGAGTTTCCAGTCCTTCAGGTTCCAATGCACCATTCGCCCTAACACCTGTCCCTTGGGACTCTGAAGACCACAAGCCTTACCCCACAACCATTCTGGCCTGTGCAGTTCTCAGCTTTCCCTGGAAAAGCCTGTTTGCCACCCCACCCCTCCCATCACCCCTCCAGGGAGTATCCTCCCACCTCCCCTCATTGCTCCAAACAGCTGTGATTCAGAGAGCGTCATTTCCAGGGAAACCAACAACAACAAAAAAATGTCCAGGCGTCAGGGGAAATTTCAACCACAATGCAAGTGGTTCCAGAGGAGCATTGATGACACCCAGGATGCAACTTGGGCTCCCAGCACTGTCAGCACCATCCTCAGAGGAAGAGACATAAACAGGACATATGTGCAGGGGCGTGGGGAGGGAGATGGATGTTCCCCAAAAACAGGAATTAAAGTTTTCAATAACATTTGTTGTTCAGCCACAAGGCCCTCGAGACTAGAGGAACCCAAAAAGAGACCAGGAAAGGTTAGCAAGGTCCTTTTTACCAGGAAGTGAATCGTGTTCTCTCTCGCTGCGTGGCCAGTGTGGATCCAAGTAGGGATCTCCACACTGTGATGGCAGGGCTCACCTGAGCATGCTCCTCTGTGGCCTGGCCTCCTGGTGGCCGCCCCTTTCCCCAGGGGTGCTCAGGGCTGGCTTGAATCCCGTGTTCAGAACGTGGCTGCTTACTATCCCTTCGGAGCTCACAGTACATATAAACGCTCTTAAGTAATACACGTGTATTACCTAACGGCCCACATGTGCACACAGGGGAGCGTGTACCATGTCAAGTGATGGGTTACGTGAACTCTTCCTGCTACTCTCATGATCACTGTAGACTAATATGATAAAGGTGGCTCCTGAATTTTGCCATATAGATCTCAGAGTTGTGTGGGGACTGGGAGCTGCTCGGAAAGTCTGCAACTTCGGATCCCTGGGCCACTGCTCTTTGAAACAGGAGCAATTGTCTTCAGAATTTGTTCCGTACAATGAATTCAGTCTTATTTTAACATTTTGAAAAGACTGACTAGGAAAAACAACAAAAAGACAATAAATAACGCCAATAAGGTATGTACTGTCATGTAGATTTTAATCTAAAGAGTCAGATTCCACCTGGTCCAAATCATACAGAGGCATTATTTTTAATTCCAGAATCACCAATTAGCTAATCCTCCATAGTCAGGGAGGATTTCCAGCATGGTGTTCTATTGTTGGAGAAGACCTGGGTGCAGGGAGGCCCACCTCCCATCCGAGGCCACACGGCAGCCAGGTGCCTAGGACTAGCCATGCCTTCAGACAGCTTCAAGGGTGAGGAAATGAGTACAGAGGACAGCTTTCCGTCAGCCTGCCATGTAGACATCGCAAGCCTTTGGGACATGGCACCTCAGTTTCTCTTGCTTCTACTGGCAGCATCAGGGTTCCACGACCTGGAACAGTGCTGTGCAGCCCCAGCCCCTGCTCGCTTTCAGAAGGGGTTCTGTAAACACCCGGCTCTGTGAGGCATGTCACCTCTTCTCTAAGGCTGAAACCGACCAGACAATAGGCCAGAGCAGGAAGTGTCTGCATTCATACCCAGTCCTCTGCCTTCCCTCCCTTCTCTTCCCCTCCCTCTCTTCCCCTCTGGCCCTGGGGATGTATTTTGCATCCTTTAAATGATCTTGTTTATTCTATGTGTCGGAATATAGTTATCTGAATATTAATTATGGCTTTAGTGAAGTTCGTCGGTTGAATGCAGGAATTGAGAATTCCTCCTTCACTTTTAGCCACCTGCTTTGATTTCTCTGTTTATCTGCTTGACTGAGCTGAAATCAGTTTCTGTAAGTGAAAGTCGGCTGCTTGGAGCAGATGTTAATGCTCAGAAATAGTGTACGGTCTGCTATTAGCATAAGTAGCATGATGCTAATAAATAGAGGTGTGCAGGGCTAGTGCAGTGGTGCCGGTGGGGACCGAGGGACAGCGGCCTGCCCAGTGACAGAGCCCATGCCCCACCCAGAGGAAGAGGGAGAGCCCCAGCCTGGGTGCTGGACACCTTCTGCCCAAGCCAGCCCTGCCCTTCCCCCTCCCCAGCACCCAGTATGCAGCCAGCTAGGGGCCGATGATTAATGACGGCGAGGACTGTAACCAAATTGTAGTGCCATTAGCACCAAGTCACAACTGACAACTAGATACATCATCTCTGAGGTTTCTATCCAGCTAACTAATTTAACTATGTGAATACGGGAAACGCCGCTCTGATGCCATAAGGCAAATATTGCCAATACCCAGGAGCCTGTCAGTAAGGAATGAGAGACGGGGAATCCATCGGGGCCCAGCGGCCAGGTCCACAGTCCTGGCTGGGTCAGCAGATCTGTCTTCACAGCATTTGCGCTTCAAGGCTCTGGAATAACTCCACCATACACCACAAGGAGCCAGGATCCAATAATCCGCCGAACCAAGCCCCCGACTCCAGGACCACCCCACTGCTTTCCCCTGACGTGGAGATGACAAGGTTTCCTTCCAAGTCAGAGAAGGACAGATTTGGTCACGGCAATGCCTTTCTCCCCATCCCCCGAATTTCTCCCCATCTCTGCAGCTCCCCACTTTCTCCAGGAGAGGGACATGCAGGAGCTCTGATGATATACAGGTGGGCCTCCATTCTCACAGTAGCTGCTCCCGAAATAGTGAATGCAAATTGTTATTATCTTCTTTTTTGTCATTTTACAATGAATCTTATTTGAAATGTGCTGTGTTTGCTCACCAGAAGAGCCTTATAAGGGATCCTTTTAGAAATAAAAGAATCCTTCTGCCATGTGAATAGTTGCCCTTTAATTCATCTGCTTTATGAGCTTGGGGGCTCCACATGGCCATGTTCTTAAGCCAGCCCCTGAATTACCA
Organism: Homo sapiens; assembly: GCF_000001405.40. Taxonomy (NCBI): domain Eukaryota; kingdom Metazoa; phylum Chordata; class Mammalia; order Primates; family Hominidae; genus Homo; species Homo sapiens. The sequence goes on along the minus strand of NC_000018.10, from coordinate 37,533,478 downwards.
GGTGATTTATTCTCTGAATCAGAAGGGCCCCCACTCAAATCACCCCCCTGCTGTATGGGCCAATTGCTGGGGAGGTTGAGGGGCCAAGACATTGACTCCATGTTAGAAACTCCGGATTCCCAAATTTCTCACCTGCCGTAGTGGAGGCAAAAGAGAGTCTAATAGGTTCTGTGTGGCTCAGCAAATCCAGTCTCCTCTCTGGGGTTCCCTACTCACACTCAGGGAAATGAGGACAAGCTCGTGGGATAATGTCTGTGAACCAAGACAGGAAAACTCAAAGCTCTCCAGCAATGGAAGGAGACATTCGTGCGTAAGCAGCCGTGTACCCGCAGCCACGTGCCTGGCTGAAACTCAAGGGCATGGTATCTGGAGTGGCTGGGCCAGCTTGCTGGAAGGCTGCGTTCTGGAAGTGGCCGCCCACGCCAGTAAGCTCAGAAGACAGTAATGGCAACAACCCAGATAATTCTGGGAAATTTAGCTTCCATGAGAGATATCCAGATAATGGAGATGGGAAGAAAGACTTTGGTGCCTGAATAATTGTCCAGCACCCCTCTTTCCAGGGCAGCCACTTAGACAAGAACTTTAGGTCACTGACAGTTACCTAAATAGATAATCCATGCCTCATGTAAAGAGCACTTTCTCCTTGGAGAGGTTCTCTCTTCTCTTTTCTTTTGTGTAAAATTTGCAACTGCCTTATAAGTGCAGGAATTATTATCCCACTTGGCAGATGAGAAAACTGAGTTTCCATATATGTTGAATACGGGGCTGTTACTTCTATAGACAACATGCTAGGTTTATTTTTGTCAGAAAATTAACACCATGTCACCTGACCTTTTTTTTTTTTAATTTTCTACTTTGTCTTCCAGAACATAAAAAGTCAAATCCCTCACCCAAGTGTTCTAATCTGTTTCTCTCAGGTGCCTGAAAGCATATATTTCCTGTTTCCCTCAAAGAGGCTATCATCATTTCTCTTAAATGTCTGGTCTTTCATCTGAATGCTGTTTCAGATGTTAATGGGGTACAGCCTCCCCAAAAGATAGCATCCATCCCTCCATCTGTTATTCCACAAACCCTGGGTGAGGGTTACAAAGGTGACTGAGATGCAGTCCCTGCCCTCCAAATGCCTACAAAGAAATAAAGTACAAAGCCGTATTTCCCCAAACTGCCACAGGAACACGCATTCAAAGTGCCGGGATGTTCAGAAGAAGAAAGGCTGTCTCCTGAGGGGCTGACTTGGGGAGCTGCTGCACGGGGTGTCCTTCGATCTTGGCCTTGATGAATGGATATGATTGTGAAATGCAAAGATCAGCAGAAGTGCCCTCTGCAAGGAGAAAGCAATTTGAGTAACAGCAGAGAGGTGCTAGGGAAACAGTGCAGGACCAGGTAGGCCAGTGGAGGACCCCCAGTGGACATGGTGGAAGGGGAGCTAGCATGAATCATCAAGTGTCTGGACCCAAGGCCAAGTAATGTGCGCCATAGGCGATGGACAGGGACACACACTCATGCCCTTCCTTGAGAAGATTTCTCAGCATTAACAGACCAGAGATTGAGACCAGAGTTAACAGGTAGATCCTGTTGGAGGGGCAGGGAAGGGCCACAGTGACCAAAGCAGACCAGTGCCCTGCCCTCTCACTGCCCTGCACCCAAGGACCCTAACTGCACCCGGATCTCAGGGTGCTAGAGGTCTGGTCCCCTCATGCTCAGCTGCATCCTACATCCTGAAAACCATGATGGAACGGCCCCTCTATCCTAGCACAGGACGGTGCCACTTCCATGATGGAAATCCTCCATTCCCAAACTTCTCACCTCCAAAGACACTATTGGTTCCACCCACCCCACCCCACTCTCAAGTCCTTTACTTTCTTAAAGGTTTTGCCGTTAAAACAAACTGCTGTTATTAAATAAATAATTGATTTCCTTCCCCATTTTTTATTAATCAAAGGCTAATCAGAGCTGCAGATCGGCATGCGGCAACCAGTGTTAGCCACACGGAGTGGATATAATTCTTGCTAAAAGCAGCGAGGTGCTATTTTTGTTTTCCCCGTGCAGCCTCATCAAGGGGACATGTGCAATTTCCATTAGGCTATGTGAAGCATCGAGAAAGAGCTGGGACTCTGGGACTCCAGGGCGGCAAGCTCAGCTAAACTGTCCACACCCTCAAGGGACCTTGGGGGGCTGCAAAGAAGCAGTATGAGGACCAGTTTCCTGCTCAGTGAGGAGTAGCTGGAGGGGGGCCCCAGCTGAGGCTGGAACCTGGGATAGAAGGGTCTCCCAGTACCTGTGGAGGTTGTCAGGACAGGCAGCCCTGGCCTCAGAGGGCTGCTCTGGGCAACGATTCAAGCTGAACCTTGTCCTGGCCTGAGGCTGAGGATCCCCAGAGCCACCGACAAGCCTGTGACCTCACCCCATCTTGCTCTTCCACGGGTGACCCCCACCCCAGCTCCTGCCTCAGCAGATAAGACACCTGCTTACCCCACCCCTCCCTCACCTGTGCTACTCCCTAGCTTAAAGATACTACTGGCAGCATCAGGGTTCCACGACCTGGACCAGATTCTTATCAGTCCTTTTTTTTTTTTTCTAATCCTGCTGACTTTTTCCTTCCTTTCTCTCTCCGTCTTTCTCTCTCTCTCTCTCTGTACTTATTGATCCCAAACGAGGAAAAAGTCTATTAATCCTAAACCCAGAGAAGATTAGAGATAGGGCCGAAAGGGCTTGTCAGGACAGAGCCGCACGGGCGTTATCTCCTAGGAAGGTGACCAGGTCACCACCAGGAGGAGGAAGGGGAACAAAGGAAAGGAAGAGAAAGTGAAACAAAAAGTGGCCACCCCAGAAAGCAAATGTGACCCCTACCCCATCGGACTGAGGGGAGCTATCCAGTCCCAGCTTTGTGCACACCTCCTGATTTGGGAGATGGAAGCTGGGGTGGCAGGGGGTAGGGGGAGTGGGGAAATACAATGATGATTATAACCCACCCCCATTCTTAAAGTGTCTTGCTGGGCAGGCAGCAGCTGGTGGATTTGCTTCTCCCCTAGGGCCACAGAGACTTTGGCTCTTGCTTGGAGTCACCCACAGTCAAGAAAAGCACGGGGTGATGGCATGGTCCTATACAATGTGGAGCAGCCTACTCTGACTGCTGAAGCCAGATGACCCACCAGAGACCTTACACAAGTTCCTTAGCCTCTCTCTGCCTCAGTTTCCTCCCCCGTAAAATGGACACAATCATTGCAAAAGCCTGATAGAGTTGTGGTGAGAATTAAATGAAATCACCTGTATGAAGAACCTGTGTACATGTCAGTCTTATTATGAATAAATACTTTTTATTATACTTTCACCCGAAGTGCAGGAAGGCTGGACTGTGGCCGGAAGAGAGTCTGACTGGCTGTCATCTCTGCAGGATGGCGTGGGTAGTGCAGTCTCTAGGGACAATACAAAAGTTCAGCAGTGCTCCAACGCTGATGTAACCAAAGTGTCTGGTTCTGTGCAGTGGCCATTGTCCATTCTGTGAGTGGAGGTGGTTTTGTGTGCAAAACAATCCAAGGACCATTCACAGTAGCCCCTCAGGACCAAACTTGCAGGTCTCAGCCCTTCTGGGTATTGCTCTGCATAGAATCAGAATGTCTGTGGGTGAAGTCCAGGCACGTACATTTTTCAGGGAGATATACGGAGGCCAAGGAAAGTCACATTCCAGTCCAAGCTCCAGTGGCTGTTGAGTGGTAGCTGGTTGCTGATACCCCCTGGGAATAGAACTCAGGTTCCTGCCCCCCTACCAGCACCACATCACACTTTCCCTCAAAAAATTCCTCCCTGGCTTGTCTAGAAGTCTGCCAGTTGCTTGCAAAGCAAATCCAAAACTGTCAGCTCCCCTTGGCTGTAGGAAGGCCAGGCAGCAGACTCTCTCCCCTATTGGAGCTTCCTTTCCTACTGCCAGTCCCCCAGCCTCTGTTCCACCCACCAGTTTCCTCCATTTGGGAGCTGGTGCTGAGCTATTGGATGTGCCCTGGTTTGCCTGCTCCTCCGTGAGCTCCCTCATGCAGTGGGTGTGGTATGCTACGTCGCGCCAGACCTGAGCTCCTTGAGGTCAGAGACAGTGTCGTAAGCACCTCGACCCATGCAGTCTGGGTCAGAGCACTGGACAGATAGTGTGCCTTTGTGTGCTGCTCACCAGGCTCACCTCTCACCTCTCAGGCCCTGAGCAGAGGCCCATTGGATCAGAGGAAGAAGTCCAGGTTACCCATCCAAGCACTTCCTGAGGACCAGATACATGTATGATCTCATCTATTTCTCCCACAGATGCAAGGAGGCTGGTACTATCATCATCCTCATTTTACAGATGAGGACACCGAGGCACAGAGCACCTGAGCGACTTGCCCAGTAAATCCCCAATTTGAGACCCTGGTTCTTAATCCTTTAGTACCCACCTCCACCTGGGTCATCCTACCCTAGAGCCTCCATCCTCTGGGAAAGTAGCAATTTGGGGTAAAAAAATAATAATAAAGGAATGAGCTAAGAGTAGATGGTTTGTTTGCTGTCTATTACCTACTTGAAATTATGACAATTAGCCTCCAAGTTACCAATTTACAGAAGAATAACAGCAAAAAAGGATACTGCTGGTACCTCCACCTGGTACAGTGGAGGAAAATGCTGCTGAACTAGGAGACTGTGGTGTTGAGGTTTTTCAATTATTAGTATTGTTACTACAAAAATAATACATGCAGTCAGTAACACGTGCAAAGGGGTATACAGTGAAGTGTGATTCTCCCTCCCACTCGAGACCCCATCCCAGTCTCCAGAAGGTGCAGTTTCCTGTGTATTCTTCTAGAAATATCTCACGTACAGACACACACAAACACACCCACACACACTTTCTGTTGTGGAAACTGGAATGTGCTCCCCGCACTGCCATGCACCTTGATTCCTGGCTTTGCAACATATCTTGGATCTTTCCAAATCAGCATGTACATAAATCTACTTCATTCCATTTAGTAGCTGCATAGTATTGCATTGTCGAGAAATTCACTAATTGCCATAGCCAGACCCCCCACCGATAAGACATTTAGGTTGCTCCTGGTTTTGTGTCTTCTTTTATTACAAACCACACACAGTCAATATCTCCGTGAGCATCCACTGCATACATGTATAATTCTACCTATAGAATACACTCTTGTAAGGAAAATTACTTCAACAGATGTAAGCATTCTACATTTTGATTGATATTTGGCTCCAGAGAGACTGCACCAATTTAAGCTCCCATTAAATTTTCTTTGTTGGATTTTCTGTTTCCTCAAACTCCTTACTCACATTATGTATTATCAGAAAATGCTTAATATTTGCCAGGATGTGAGTTTCCAATTTTCCCCTGATATTAGCTAGCTGTAAGGCCTTGAACAAGTCACTTTGCTCTCAGGGCCTCAGTTTCCTCACCTGCAAACTGAAGGTCAGGAACCTTTTTAGCTCTACTGTCTGTGATTTTAAGTATCTACCAAGTGTCTGCAGGTGTTAAAACTGTGCTAGGAACCATGAGTTCTCCTAGCCTAAAAGAACTTAAAATCTGGTTGGAGAGCTAGAACATACCCAGAGAAAATGTAAGGAGCAACTTGGGACAGCCTGAAATCAAATGCAGTGCAGCTTAGTCTGTGGGCCTATAGAAGGTCAGGGGAAAGTGATCAAAGGCCCAGTGGCCAGGGCTGTCATTGGAGGAGGTAAAGCATGTGTGGAAAAAGGAGGAAAATGCACAGAGGGGGTTGACTGGAAATGAAAAGAGGAAACATCTTTATCCCACCCCGCAGCCAGAGCCTGGAAAGCCAGCCTGCATTCTCTCCCCAAATCACCCCACAGACTGCTTGTTTTCTCACCACTGACTGAAACCAAGTGAAACATCAGGTTTGTCTCAGAGCATGGTTTGATGTTCCGGTTCAATGAGGATCAGCTCTTGTCCCAGCAGCTTCACTAAGTAGAGTTCTTTGTGGAAACATCAGTTCAGTTTACTATTCTGGAGGGGGTGGGGAGTTTACTACACGTAAACCTTGATTACCCCAACTTCTTGGAAAATGGAGGGTTCTAATTAATTTAGTTTTCTGAGTAATAGAGGGCACAAAGGGTTTGGGGGTTCAGTTTATTCCAAGAATAACTTTAGAGGCTCGAGCTCCTCTCCTGCTTGGGTCCGTCTGGGCTGGTGACCCTTCTCTAGTGCTGGATCCAAACTCACGGCCAGCACTTCTCAGGTCAGTTCTATGGTGGCTAAGTTGATATCAGGGAGTGCGGCTGGTATTTTTGGCTTCTGGTGGGCTCTACAAAGCACAGGGCTTGCTGTTTTCTTCTTGATCATTGTGCTCATTTGCAGGCGATTTAGCTTATATTCTTGCAAAGGGGATGGGGGCAATGGGAAAACCATTGCATAGGTTGAGGGTTCTGCTAAATTGATGTTATGTTATTTGGGGCTTACGTAAATAAATGGCATTAGCCACGGTTTGTTACAGCTGCAGAGGCTCCTGGTCTACTGCCCATTTTATAGATAAGGCAACTGAGGCCCGGACATGTCGGGTGGCTTGTTTCAGAGCTCTCAGAGAATCGGTGTGGTGACCATACCTTGCAAATCGAGTTTTCATAATGGACAGGTTACGTGACTTACCCAAGGTCCCACAGCCCACGAAGGGCAGAGTTGGGATTCAAACTAGGCCCAGTTGACACCAAAGCTTCTCCCAAGAAGTTCCCAGAAGTTCCCAGAAAGTGCAGGGACCCCTTTCTTCCTGCCCTTTGGAATACCTTTGTCAAGAAGGACGTCCAGAGTTTGCATTTTAAACCTAACATGATCCTGAGGCAGGTTGTGGTATGACAGGAGCTTCTCTGCAGCAAGCTGCCTTCAACGGTTCCATTAAAACATCATTCTTATAGCATTATCCTACTTTGACACAGGTGGCTCTACCCCAGGTCACCCACCTCCCAAGCGCTGAGTAGTACTCACTAGGGGAAACTTGAAAATCTAATACCTTTCTGGCCCCTATAGGACAGAAATAGGAAGTCACTAGGAAAGAAGGGGAAGAAGAGGAAGTCACTAGGGAAATCAGAAAATACCTTGAGACAAATGAAAATGAAAACACAACATACCAAACCTTATGGGATGCAGCAAAAGAAGTACTAAATAAGTTCATAGCAGTTTGCATTGACATGCTTACTCACAGCCACGCAAATGCAGGTCACCTCTCCAAACACAATTTTTGTCTCCTTTAAGGGTTGCTTGTGGGTTGAAAGAAAATGCATCCTCTAACACCCTTATGGGATGCCTCACACTGAGACCAGGAAATCGTCCCAGCCTTGGCCCTGCTACCATCTGGCCATGTGACATTTCTTTGCTGCTGTTCCTCCAGAGGTAAAAAGATACAATAATTTCCACCCCACCTACCTTCCTGAACTGCAGGGATAATTGAGGTCAGTGGTGCTCAAACTTCAGTGTGCCTCAGAATGCCCTGAAGTTCTCGTTAAACACAGTTGGCTGAACCCCACCCCAGAGTTTCTGATTCCGAAGGGAGGTAAGGAATGTTTAAGAATTTGCATTTCTAATAGATGCCTAGGTGATGCCCACAGAGTCCTCCTACAGGTCGCGGCCACACTTTTGAGAATCATTCCTCTATGAGACTGTGAACAAGGGATCTTGTGAAAGGGGTTTTTAATAATTATTTTCGATTTTGTAAAATGCAGGATCCTTCTTTAAAGGGAGAAAGTACCATTTCCTCCCTTCAGCATAATGTCTGATCAATGTAAATGTTCATGAATCCCATTCTCTTGTCATGGAAGTTTGAGGAAATACTGTAGACCCATCAGCCAGTCACCAAGGAACCCTAACAGTCTTTTCCTTCCCGCCCCTCCCCACCCCTCCCTCCCCTAAGAAAGGTCAGCTCTAGAAAGCAGAAGATTGTCCCCGAGAAATGTGAAAATATTTGCTCAAGTTCACAACCTGCTTGCCCTACACCCTACAGCGCAAACCTAGCCACAGACACAGAACCCAAACCTATGCAGACATGCCGGGCAGCTTCCACTCCCCTCCCCACAACCCAGAAGGCCACCCCGAAGGGCGCCAGGAGCACCGCTGGCTCCCAGTCTAGGCGTGGCCATGCCTCTTCTAACACGGGGCTATTGTCTGGAGTTAGAAGGCAACACATTAAAGATGGAAAGGATTCCCAGAAGTCATTAACCCCAAATAAGAAGGGCCTCTTGTTGGTTCCTGCTGGTGAAGACAGGTGTGAAAGGGCAGGGCCTCTGAAGAGAGCGACAGGCCACCGTCCCTCCAGCCGGGCCAGCGCAGTGCCATCCTCAGAGGGCGTCCAGGGGATAGGGAACCGGAGCCACCCTGTGGCCAGCTTAAGAGGAAGGGAAGAAAGGGGGAGGCACAAAAAGGGATACCAGAAGGGTGGTCGGCTGGCCAAGCAAGAGGCCCCTAGGAAAGAGAGGTGGTTAACAAAGGAGAAGGGAGGAGGGCAGGCGGAGAGAGAAGAAAGGGAGGGCCGAGGGCGAGACGCTTCAGGGAGAGGAAGCGGGGCTCAAAGAGCGAAGCGGGAAACCGAGCTCGGGACTGGGGCGCAGCCGCCGCGACCCCCGCGCCCCAGCCCAGCCCGGCTGCGCCCCATTCTCCTGCTGGGCGCTGCGGTCGCTGCCGGGAGCCGCGGCCGGGGCGCGGAGGGCGTAGAGCGCAGCTGCGCACCCCAGCGGCCTGCGGCTCGGGGGATGTTCGGCTGGGGAGCAGGGGCTGTGGGCCGCTCCCTCCGCGTTCCCGCCCTTAATGGCTCGGTAATTGATTGGCCCCGCGTCTTATTTTCACCGCGGGCGGACGGCGCCAGAGGTCGGCTAATATCAATATTTCCTACGGCTGCTCCGCGGTGTGGATCTTCCCGCTCCGGGGCTGCCCCGCCGGCCGAAAATTTACCTTTGGTTTAACAAGAAGTGGGAGCTGAGTCAGGGATTAGGGCGCGTCAAGTCAACACAAATAAAAAAAGCGGGGAGGTGGGAACAGGGGAGAACATTCGTCACCGCGGGGCCATCAAGACAGCCTGGAGTTAATTGTGGGAGAGAGGAGGAGGCAAACAGAGACAGGGATTTTAAAAGACCCTGGACTCCTTATTCCTCGGGTTGGCATTCGAAGCCATCTGAAATCGGCCATTTTCCTTCTTCCACCTTGTCACCCTCATCCTACCACCCACCCGCCAGCACCAACATCACAGGCCTCTTTACAGCCTGACTGGCTTCCCTGCCTTCCCTCCCCGAGGTGGATATCTGGTCCTATTTTATTTAAGTGGCCTTTTCTCTCCAACCAGATATGACTCATTCAAGGCGGGGAGAAGAACTAACATTTATGGAGGTCTCGCTGTATGCCAGGCACTGTGCCTGGTGACAGTCAAATATTATCTCATCTAACCTCCTTGGAGGCTCCATGGGTGCGGAGCACAGTGTCTCTCTGGGATATCCACGGCACCCAGGCACCCCATGAGGCTCATACACAGAACCATCTGCTGGGAGGCAGAAAGCATGGACAAATGAGTGGTAGTGACATGCAAAGGGCAGGCGTTTTGGGGGCTCAGTGAGCCTGAGTTGCAAGAAGCCACACGCTCATTTCTCCACCACCCTCCTCCCACCTTCACCTCTGTTGACTGATTAACTGTAAACTGATAGATCAGCAGCTGTTTATTAAAGACAGTGTAGAGACTCAAGTTTCACGGAAAGGAAGGACCAGAAGGGACTGGTGGCATGAGAATTTGTGAGATAAAGGGCTGGGAAGCCTAGAAATCTCCGTAAGTGGGGCTCCTCTTAGCAGGCCATGAGGTCTCAAGCCCTCCCCAAGACCCATTCCACTCGCAGCCTGAGCTGCAGGATTTGCTGATGGGCATCCTATGATGGGCCTGAATTTCCCAGAGGCAAGCATGGGCCCGAGTTTTGCCGCCTGTTCTCCCAGCAGTGATACTCCCCCAGCAAGCCTGTCTCCCCAGCCGGGGTCACCAAACTCCTTACCCTTGGTCAGGATTACAGGCATGTGGCTCAGGGTCCCAGGGTTAGGGACACATGGCAGGTACCAGGTGCTGAAAGATGGAACTTCTTCCTTGGGCATGTCTACCCCTGGAGGGGTGGTAAGAGATGTGAAGGAATTTCCTGATATCCCAAAAGAACATCTGGGGCCTCCTGGCCCCAAGAGAGACCTGGGGGAGCATGAGAATGGATCCATGTCAACTGTCACTTTGCAAGAAATGCCCAACAAACGAGCCTCTGAAGACTTCTGGATCCATGTGGTCCCGCTGTCTGTTCCTCATCAGATATAGACTATTGGAGGGTCCCAACCAAGCCCACGTGAATGTGTGCCCAGCCGGGTGCCCAGCCAGGTGGTAAGCCCCTCAGGGAAACAGAAAGGGGGAGCATAGCCATGCCTACCCGCCCCCCTTGTGAATCTGGTTGTGGGCAACGAACGTCTCCACTGCGAAATGATCACAGAACAATGCAAGGAGGCATGACAAAGAATATGGCCCCGTGGCTCTCCACACTGGAAATGCTGCAGAGTTCAGAGACAGAAGCACTCCGAGTCAGGGGACTAATGAGGGATGGTTTCATGGGAGAGGGTGGATGGGTAGGGAAGGAGACAATGCAATGCCCAACTCTCTTGAGGCAGGCCAAACAGATGCGGAAGCCTGGGAGATTTGGTGCTGCCCCACAGGGTGGGCTCAGAGAAGAGAGAAGGAAGCCAGGGAGAAGAGCTGTGGCCCAGGGCCTCCAGCGGGCTCTGCTGCCCTGTTAGGAGGTGTGAAGGGGTGATGGGACCACTGAAGCTCGTCTCAAACAAACAACCCTGCACCCATGGAAAATTCCCCTCATTGTTTCCTCAGCTCTCCTCTCAACGTGTCTATTAATGTGACAAGGATATTGCATTTCACAGGCTCAGTTCATTGCCCCCATCTGACATGCACACGTGTGTGTGTGTGTGTGCGCGCTCACACACACAGAGCTATCCAGTCAGACCTGGCAGGGTCTCAATGGAGAGTTGACAACATTTTCCCCTTAGAGACAGTTCCTTAGTCCTAATTTCAGTCCCTCTTCCATCTCAGCTCCAGCTGGGTCCTGGGCTGGGGGCCGGGCCGCAGGGAGATGCATGGTCCCTGTCATCTGGAGCTCACATCTGGCACTGGTCAGAGGCAGAGAAGAATTCACCATGGTCACTATGCTAACTCTTAGATTCTGTATGATAAGATAGGGAGAGAGGGACAGGAAGGAGCATTGCGTGTTGCACCAGTCAGGAGGAGGTGGGACTCATTTAGAAAATAATTTAAGAGCTGTCCTTTACTGAGGCATTACTGTGTGTGCTGGGCATCTGGCTTCTGTTATCTCATTCAACCTTCGCATGTCCACCAGAAGAAAGGCACCATTTCTCCTCTCCTCTTAGACAGATGCAGAAACTGAGGCTATGGAAGGTTATGAGCAGAGGTTAGCAGGCATTCTCCACTCTTAAACTCACCGGGTGCTGAGTGACGGTAACCCGCTATAACCCGGCACGGTGGAGGTGGAGCAGACAGCAAAAGTTCCTTTGAGACTTAAGAGAAATAAAGACGGAAGCTGGATTTTTCTGTGCCTACTCAGAAGTTGCATGAGATGGTGTCCCCTGCTCTCTGTGACTGTCACTCCTCAAGCCTTCCTGCCTGCATGGCAGGATGAAGGACAGGCTTTCACAGGCAGACGGGAGAGGCCAGGGTCACCGCTGCAAAAGGCTCGCCTAGTGCTGCTCCTGCAGCCCAGACGGTTGCTCTGATCCTCTGCTGAAAATGTCACGCGGGAGACAGGCACGCTCTGATCTTCAGAGGGCCGTGGTGCATCTGTGATGACATGTGGGCATCAAGATTTGCATATTTATTATAGATAAGCTGTCAAAATGTATGTTGTCAATTTCACCTTATACTCCAGATTTAATGGTGCACGTAGAGGACAGAAAATCTTTAATATTAATATTAATATGATTTTAGATTATAAGACCGCATTGTAGATATCAATCAGCCAACCCTTAAGGACATGTCACTCAAGTTGATATAGTTTATAGAAAATTAATGTAATCCATCCTGTATGATCTATTGCAGGGGGCATGAGGAGAGAATAGAGAGTGTGGGGACTTGGGGTGGAGGGCTGGGGGACCATTATTACTTGCCACAGTTCTCCATACGTGCTAATTTGTGTTCGTGCCTGAAACATCAGAGAAGGGAATCTGCCGATCTTAGACTTGGCACGGACCTCAGAGATCAGCAGTGCCAACTCTTCCACTTTGCTGTGAGGAAACGAAGGCCCAGAGAGAGAGTGATAGGGCCACAGTCACTTGGCTAGTTGGTGGCAGGTGTGGTTGAAGGAGGCTCCAGAGCCCCCTGATATATGTCTGTCCCCCAACCCCCGATACCCTCCCCTCTCCCACATCCCATCCCCTAGGCTGTCTGGGCAGATTGCTTCTTCATCTGTTTGAAAGGATCCTGAGGGACCCCTCCCCATGCCAAGGGGTCTGGAGGGTCATGGCAATGTGAAGAGGGGCTTTCCTGATGATTGCAGAAGTGCCAGGAAAACCCCAAAGTCCCCACTGTCCATCAATCTGCATTCCAAAGCCTGAAGCCCTGGCATTGACACTCTACTGAAATCATGGACTGAACACCTACTGTGAGCATAGCAGTGTGCTAGGAACAGAAGGACAGCCCAGAAATATATGACATCATAAGACTGTCCCCTCTGGGTAAGAAGGGATAATCCCCTAAATGTCTTGGGATCTGAGTGCTCTGCCCAAGCCTTCATAGGCCTCAGGGGCTTTCAAAGTGGGCTTTTTGATTACGGGAACCAGCCAGCTAGACAGACAGCACCAGTGGCTTCTAGGCTCCCGGCTCTGCTCTCAGGCCCTGTTATCCCCCTACCCACCCTCCCACAATCAGGAAAAACACCTTTTTTCCAGAGAGCAACCCGAAGCCTGTTACCCTCTGCCAGCTGAGTCAAGCAGTAACCCAGAGATACAACTCCAAAACCTGCTCTTTGAATGGAGCAGCTATAGTGCAAAGCTTGGTCAAACAGTGCCTCTCTGGGCCTTCATTTCTACATTCATGAAATGGGGAGGAGAAGACATGCCCTATTTAACTCACGCCTTCCTGGGACCGCTCTCTGGAAAGTGCCAAGTGCACACAGCACTCTGGCCTGGTTTCTATGCCTCTGGCCTGGACCCCTGCTCCCCTGGCCAGGCCCAGGGCCCAGCACATGAACAGAGAGGAGACACTGTTCCCCAGAGCTGGGGCCAGGGGAAGGAGCAGCCTATTCTTCAGGAGTCAGGCTCAGCCAATTTAGGGGCCCCGAGCTTGGGGTGAGAGAATGCAGCCCTGGTAGCATGGGATGGCCTCCCTCATCTCTAGGCCTCCCCGCCTTGCTTGGGTAATGCAAGCTCTCAGGAAGCCCCAGTCTCCCCCAAGGAGAGGGTGGTGACGTCCTGGTGCCTAAGTGACAACAGCTACCTTCTCCCTCCCGTTTTCCCAGGTCTTAACAAGGAACCCCTTGTCTCCCACCAGTCTGCCAGTTCAGGAATCTGCCTCTGTCATTCCAGTCCCTTTTCCTGGCTCAGGCCCCCTGCCTCACTGCCTCCCAGAGGACAGGAATCAGGAAAGTCCTGGCTGGAGCAGTTCATGACCACTGGAGTTTATGTACATCCACACTGCTTATCTGAAGTAAGACAGTGCCCAGCAAGCTCCATAAATCACAGAGGTGCAGAGCATATGCGAGCCAAGGCCCAGGCCACTGAGGGGGGACGCTTGTGGCAGGGGCTCCTCAGTGACTCTCCTAATGGGCCCAGCCAGCCAGACATACTCCTCGCTGCCCACAGATCTCGGCATCTTATTTACATACTGCTGCAGACTGACGAACACCTGAAGCATTTTTCATCCTGTTCAAACTACAAAAGCCTCCTCGGGTACTTCTGTGTTAGTGCTTCCAAACAACGGCAAAATGCTGATAGGAGGAATTTTTTTTTCTTTTTTAATCTTCCACTGAAGCCTCCAAGAAAGATGACCTGCAGAAGGGGGAGGAAGGCGCAAACAAAGCCAGACAAAGTGAGGAGGGCACGCCATCCTTGAGCACACTTCTTTCTCCTGGGAGATGCAGCAAGTCGGGCAAGGGTTTCAGTCCAGAAGAGCAGTACCACCACCCACCTGGCTGGCTCAGGACCCCCCAGCTCACCCCCACACCTCTCTAGGGACAGCTTCTTCCCAGCTGCTGTTCTGGGTCATGGCTGTTAGAAATTTAAAGCTGATGAACGCAAACCAGAGTATCCAGGAAGAAATGAAAAGCAGGTGGGGTTGGAGGGGCATTCCCAGCTGTGGCCAGGCCCTTGGAGGCTGCCCATCTGTCTGTGGGCTCTCAGGACCTCCAGGTGGAAGCTCCTGGGAGACAGATCTTACTTGGTTCAATTCAAACTCAAGGATTCTTAATCTTATGCTTTCAGTCCCCTGGAGGAGGGGGCAGAATGCATGATCAGTTTTCAGAGCTTGGACAACCCCCTGTACCTATAGGCAAAATTACTTGTGCGTGCATGTGTACATAATGCATGTGCATGTATGGAGACATTTTTCTAGAATCAATGCATGTTAATGTCCATCAGATTCTTAAAGGGCAAAGAAGACACCTAAAACTGTAAGGAACCACACTGGGCCATCCCTGGAGCTGCTCAGCTGTAGAGCTGAGGGCCTCAGGAGGTAGCAGACTGCCCAGTGTGGGGCACGCTGGACTCTGCACTTAGTAAATCACACTCCAACCCCAGCAAGATTGCCTGAGGTAGGGCTTGGGGATGGGAGGGTGCTCTTCAGGCCCCAGCAGCCTTCAGGAGCCTAGGGGGCTTTGTACCCTGGGAGGGAGGCCAGAAGGACATCCAAGCTCACGGTGGCTCTGAGCACATGGGTTCTTAGAATCTCTGATTCTCTGTTCCCCCTTGCCTGCCCGGAGATTGTTTTCTCTCCCTGACTCCTGTCTGTTTATCTCTGTGTCACCAATATCTGTTTTTATGTATTTTTGAGTCCCTTTCCTTTGTTTCCTCCATTAATACTTCTCGTTCAGGGGAGGATAAACAGGGTCATAATCACGCTATAAAGCGAGCCACGGGCTGTGTGTCGCTTATTGCCCAGGGGTCTGCTAATTGGAATTTATAAAGTTCAATAAAAACTATAATCCAATAAGGGCTGAAACTCTTCTTCATTTATCTTAGGGGTAATATTACGCTTGCCCGCCCACCAGCCTGCCTGCCAGCCAGCAGTGAGAAGCCAGGGAGGAGCCACCCAAGGGGTGTCCCCTGGGGGCCACAGCATTCCCTAGAGTGACCAGCACTGTATCTCAGGCTGGGTGGCCTGGACAGAGGAAAGAGGGAGCCTTGCTGGTCAGGTCTCCCCATGGCCCAGTGCCACCCACCAGCTCTGGTGGTTGTGCTTTTGAGGCCTGAGAGGGAGGGGGACCCCCACTGTTCTAACATCATCTATTGCACCATTACAGACTTACCCCCAGTTATAGGTGCCCCCCTACCATGCAACTGCCTCACACACACCCTGAACTACACAGCCTCTGGAACACAGGTGATCTGCCACGGGGAATCCTGTGTAAGTGCAATGAATCCTAAACCTAGGATGGAAGGTGCCTCCTTCCTTGACCCTCGGAGGTCCCACAGAGGGAGGTGTCACCATGAGGTGCACGCCCCAACCAGAGCTGGAGCCATCTTTGTCACCCAGCTGTGCCTCATCGGACACCCACCAGGAGCCCTTTCCCAGACTTGACAGTGAAGGAGACAAGAGAAGGCAGGGAGAGGGTGCCACAGCCACGCTGATGAGCCATGCCCTGGAGACAGTTAGACAGGTATGTTAGACACGGGGCGACCAACTGTTCTGGTTGGCCTGGGACTGAGAGGCTTCCCACACATATGACTTTCAGTGCTAAAACCTGGACAGTGTAAGAGGAGAGTGACAGAGGGAACCATCCAAGCAGTGGGCTGAGTGGTAGGGAAGCAGACTGAGCTCAGCACCGACAGACAGCTCCTGGAGGACCCCGCCCTGCCCCTGCCCAAAAGCCACCCTGGGAACCACATCACCATATGCCAAACACCTGCTTGCAAGACACCTTGCAGTTTCCCATTACCTTCCAGAAAGCCCACACTTGAAAAGTAAAATAAATGCTCTCCAACAGGAATCTGCCTGTACCCCAGCCCCAAAAGCAAAAGCTGGCCCTTTGCTCAGACTTAGCTCTGGACATTCTCTGAGTGGGGAGAGGGGACGGGACACTCAGCCAGCCCTGTCTTCCAAGCAGGGCATGGGGAGGGAGCAACTGACCCCACAGCATTCCTGGCTCTCTCAGTGCTAAGTAGAAGGCAGAAGCCTGCAGAGCCAGTTGCCTCACCCATCCCTGTGCTTGGATGGGGCATGCATGTGCATGTGCACATATGTGAGGGCTGTGTGATACCCAGAGTTGAAGGCACGGTCCCGCAGCCTCTCAGGGCTTCCCAGTCTGCAGAGAGAGAGAACACAGGCCATGTTATTGTCCTAATGCAGCTTTTTGGGGAGGGAAATTGTGTCAAGTATTAAAATGGGGAGGAGATCCCAGCCACGTGCCCCCAGAGCTGAGCTACACAGCTAAGGAGCGCAGTTGTTGGGAGCCAGCGCCCCATGCCAGCTGTGGGGGTGAGCCACCCTCTCCAAGCCCAAGGCCCTCAGAGCCAGCTACACAAGGGAAATAGCTAAAGCCTTGGAGCCAGACCTGCCTGGGTTCTGAATTGGCTTTCTGCCACACATATGTGTTCAGCCTTGAATAAGTCATTCATGGTCTCCACATCTCAGCTTGAGGAATAATGCCATAAATTATATAAAATGCTGACCACAGTGCCTGGTCCACAGTAGTTAATTCCTGGTCCTGGTAGTTAATTCTAGCTACTATTAGGCATAATTTATATTTTGTGTGAAAGACCCCAATGGAGATAACGGTCAGTCTGTGGCCGGGGCGAGGGCTCTGTCTTCCCCAAGCTCCCTTTGCTGGCCAGGAGCCAGGCTAGTGTTGGCATGGGGACAGCAGAGTTAGTGAGGACTAGAGCTAGCAGGGCCCCTGACTTGAATTTTGGAGTCAAGAAGGAATTCCAGGAGGAAGCGATGCTTAACAGTGGTGGGATGGGTGGTCCAGGTGGACGGGAGGAGGAGCCTCCCAGCAGAGGAAACGGTGTGTGCACATGCCTACCCCAGGGCCAAGAAGGGAGCAGGGAGGAGGCCTGGTCTACCAGGGGGCAGGAAGGGATGTTGGGCTCTATGATTAGGATGATGAGAAGCCAGTAAATAATATTTTTTGCCAGAAAAAAGCAGTTTGCTATCTGAGACTGAAAAGGTCTAATACCCTAAACCCTCTGAATCCATCTACAGCCTCTCCACACCTTCACCAGACCCTCATCATCCACATTCATTCATTCATTCACTCACTCACTCACTCCACCAAAGTGCATCAAGTGCCTCCATGCACCCAGCCCAGTCTAAATGCTGGGATGCTACAATGAAGAAGGCAAGTCCTGCTTTCACCGGGATGAAGTACTCTCATCCAGCCTGGTCTCCTGCCTTTGCCCTCCACCCACTCCAGCCTTTCAGGATCTGGCCAATGTCCTCCAGCCCCTCTGCGAAGCTCCATCTGTCCTTCCCAGTCAGCACTTACTGGCTCTTCTTGGTGGAGAAATAAAAGAAGCAGGACACCATGCCCACACCCCCAGAGCTCCCCATGCCCCAGCTGGAGGGCAGCACCCTTCAGTTCACTGCTAAGGCACTGGATCCACCGCCACCCTTGATACCATCCCTCGGGTGGGTCTGTTCAGTGTCCCAGTCAAGCTGTGAGCTCCACGAGTAGGGAGGCCTGTCTCCCTCCAGCGTTACGGTCTTGATGCAACCTCCGCTAGTTAAGAAAGCAGAGTGTGACCATTGCTTTAGGCCTCTACTGGAGGATGGGCCAAGAAATGCCAGTTCCTACCACTTGTGTTCAGGAAGCCTAGGCCTGCCAAAGATAGAAGGGAGAAAGACCCTTGATAGGATGGGATCCTCAAGGAAAGCACTGGCAGAGGGTAGCCAGGCTGGGGAGAAGCTCGGGGTCAGACAACACTGCAGAGCAGCCAGGAGGGGAGAACTTGTTGCACCAGGGAGGGATGAAAAGCAAAAACAGAAAAGGGAATAAGGAAAGGCATTTAGGGAGGCAAGATGCAGTGTAATCTGAACTGCAAATCCCCCTCCTCCAGGCTCCTTAAGGCTTTTACTGTACTATAAAAACCACTGCCGAACAGCAAGCCTGCTTGATGACAAAGAGAGATAATTGGCTCTCATGCAGATTTAAGCCCAGAGTTATCAAATAATAATAGCACTCAGAAAGAGACACAGGCAAATGGGCCTGGAGAGCCCGCTTCTTCCAAAGGATGAGGATTTGTTAAAAGTATCTAAATTATGTTCCCGCAATGGAACAGGGAAATGGGGCATTTTTTTAAAAAAAGATTTTCTTTTAATGCTTGGATACATTTTTAAAAGTTCCTTTATAATTAGGGCTGTAATTTATATAATTTATTTTTAAAATATCCTTTTTTTAATTTCCACCCGGTCCAGTTAAAGTTGAACTGAAAAGCCCACAGTAAATGATTTTTTTAATAAACCCATTTAAAGGAGCCCCAACCTGAAGCAGAATAGATATGTGGATTTTCAAAGGAGAGGGGGAAAAATCATATATTGAAAAAATAAATTTCCTAACCCATTTTATACCCCAGATTTTATTATCACCGGAAGGTTTTTAAAATTCTAATTCCCTTTGCTTTTCTGAAGTTGTTTGTTTACCGCCCAGGCCTCCTTGGGCTTGGGACCGGGAGCTCAATTGGTTGGTTTCAGTCTCCTCCAATTCCTCGTGTGATTGTCTGTTCATGTGTCTGCTTTGCTCTTCAAGGGGGCTCTGAGCTCCCTGAGGTCAGATACCAGGCTCTCGGAAGAAACTCTTTTCCTTCTCATCAGCATCCAGCACAGAGCCATGCATGCAATAAGTGTTCAATAAGTGTTTGCTGGTGATGTGCCATACTATGAAGAAGTCCTAACCCATGATTTCCATGAAAGCCCTGGGCCAGAAAACAGTGTTCCTTTTGCAGGAAGCTTTGGTTCCCATTGTAATGCCCTCGTCCTAGGAGAGAGAGGGGAAGAGGGCCGTACTTTCAGCTGTTAGTCAAGGACCCCTCAGATGATGGGAGAAGTGGAGCAGATTACCTTGAACACCAGGGCCAGAGAGGATCAGAGCCTCTAGTTGTTTGAGATGGGTCAGGGTACAGGAAATGCAGAAAGAGGTACCAGGGACCCAGTGCTCTGCTGACCAGTAGACCAGAGAGATCTGTGTCTCCACATTTCTAGGGACTTGCCCTGAGCATCTGCGTTTGCTGGACTTGGTAGAGCCATCACCTCAGAAGTCACCATCCCACACCTCTGTCAGAAGGTATACACACACACACACACACACACACACACACACACACACACACGGCACCACACAGAAGGGAAGAGGGACAAAATTAGGGCCTCATGGACCCATCAGAGGACAACACAAGAGAGGTAGTTAGGACTGTAACTGCTGGAGCAAGACAAGGCATGCAGAAGTTCATGAACCCTTCAGGGAGGCTCCATAGAGGAGGGAGCACTGCGGATTGGCCTGAAAGTACAGGTTGGATAAAGATAAGCAGAAAGTGCTAGGGAGGGTATTCCAGGAGCTGGAACCAGGATGAGCATGGACAATCTGGTAGGAATGAGCAGGTGTGTCTCAGGAACAGTAAGAAGATGTTCTTGACAGAAGCTTAGTAGGTAGAGCTGGAAAGAGAAGGTTGGTGCAGACTAAAGAGGCCCTGGAGTGAGTGAAAGAATGGAGACATCAAATCCATTCCATAAGAATGGTCCACGCCCCTGCCCAGTAGCTCTCCATGCCTTTCTCTTTGGAAAGTAAAGCTCAGACCAGAGGAAACCCATATTGCTGCCAATCCATGGACACACATTTGCTGAACACCTGCTGGACACAGAGGAGCCTGTAAGAATGAGGCTTTCTCCAACTCTCAGTTTGCTCACACTGTGCCTGGGAGTCCATCCCACCTCCCAGATGACAGATATGGATTGAAAGAGAAGGTCCTGCATGTGGCAGAGTAGGGATGGACCATTAGAGTTGGCAGAACTGGGAGACACTTTCTAGAATGGGGGATACCACAGAGTTTTCCTTGGAAGACAAAGCGACCCATATTGAGGCAGGGAACAAAGGGCTGTTGTTCCATTCTCAGTTCCCGCAGCAGCACCACACATGACTGGACCAGGTGGTTGGTGGATGCTAGGGAAGGTCATGGGTTTCAACTCTTCTCCCAAACCTCTAGAGAAGGCACTTTTCTCACTTTCGCCTGGGTCTCCTGTGCCCCTGAGATCCACCATGCATCTCCCAGCCTCTGAGACCCCACACTCCTCAAAATTCCCATTCTCCAGCTCTCTGCTGTCATCCATGGGCCCTGAAGGCCAATGACACCTGCAGAACTCCCGGGAGAAGGGTGTTTTTACAAAGACAAGGGCAGAGAGGAGAAGGAGGAGGAGGAGAGAGAAGAAAGAAGAGGAACAGGAAGAGGAGGAAGAAGAACAAGAGGAGAAAGGAAAGTAGAGGAGAAAGTATAGAAGGACTAAAGGGAAGAAGAAAAAGAGAAAGCAGGAGGGAAGAAGGAGAAAGGGGAGGAGGAGGAAGAAAAACAGAAAGGAGTCAAAGATAAAGAACAGAAGAAAGAAGAGGAGGAGAAGAAAGAGATGGAGAAGGAGGAGGAAGAAGAGGACAAAGAGGAGGAGGAGAAGGAGGAGAAAGAAGAGAAGGAGGAAGACGAGAAAGGTGTCAAGATAAAGGGTGGAAGAAGAAAGGACAGGAGATGGAGTAGGAAGAAAAGGAAGAGAAGAAAGAGAAAGAGGAAGAAGAGGAGGAAAATGAAGCATGAGGAGAAAGGGAAGAGAAAGGAAAAGAAGGAAAAAGGGGGAGGAGGGAGAAAGGAAAGAGAAAAGAAGGGAACCGGAGGAAGAGAAAGAGGAGGAGGAAAGAAGACAATGCCTTAAATGGTGCCTGGGCTTTCAGAGAGGCCGCAGCTCCACGGAACTCATCTTGGAGGGTGGGTGGCCGACACGGCCCCATCACGCTCAGCACATGGACATTGGCCTGGATATTATGAACTGCAGCCAAGAGACCAACAGAAAACAAGAAAGGTGGCTGAAGAGTGACTTGAAGACAGATTCTCTTCCAAGGGCCACAGGAGGAGGGAAACACTCTCGCCCCCTGCCCCCCAACTGTCCCTGGCCCTCCCAGCCCAGCGAAGGACAGCAGAGCACTGGGCCCCAGACTGCTGCTTTGTTGCCAAGGAAACAGCAATTACTCTGTGAGTTGTGTACGGTTTTTTCTGTCTTTCTTTCTTTCTTTTTTTAAATTCTGGGCCTGATGAACTGCAGTCGTGGCTGCCCCCTCCTCTATCCCCACCCCCAGCCCCAGCCGCTGACTCTGCATTAAAGGTCGGAGGGGCTGTAACAGTTGCTTTCAGAAATGACAGATGCCCCTGCTTGGGGTAAGCATGGTAGGAGAGAAACCATTTGTCAAAGTATTTATAAAGTGGGTGGAGATGCTGAAGTTGTATTCCCTCCAGCTTTACAAAAAAGAAGAAAGAATGAAAGAAAAAGAGCAGAGAGTGTGAGGGAAAGGATAACCAGCAACTTATCCCACCTACCTCCTGCCTTACCACTGGGAGATGTTGACTGAGCGCTAAGTGCTGCCATGGATGCACAGATGAAGAAGCCCATGCTCCCACTGTTTGGCGCTCACAGCAGGAGGAGATTCACATCTGGGTAGTCAATGGCAGTGTGAGGAGTGTGTCGAATGGGTATGTTAGACCAAGAGTGTCACAGGCTGAGTTTGGGGAAGGGAGAGTGAAATGTGGGTGAGCGAGACTAGGATTCAAGTCCTGAGGGAGGCCCAGGCTGAGCTGGGCCTGAGAGGAGAGCCTGGGGAATGCCAAGGACTTTGGGGCTGACCTTGATGGGCTAGAGCCTTGTGCAGGGGACCCGGACGCGGGGAGACCCAACCGTGCCCCAGGAAGCTTGGCTTGCTGGAAGCATCAAGGCTCACATGCTCATGAGGGCAGCACACAGTGGGCACCTGACCGAACAAAGAGCCTGCCTGTGGAGGGCAGCTGATGCATACCTGTGGCAGGATGGGTGAGTGAGTAACTAAGGACATGCAAGGTTTCGGCTTCCAACACGCAAGGATTTTAAGGAAGGGAGAGGTTGGTGAAAGGTCCTGAAAGAGACCATCCTCCCCTTTATTTATTCATCATTCAATCTTTTAACAAATCATTACAGAGCACCGCTGGGGGATGGGGGACACAGGAAGGCACCTTCTGGTGGGGATGGTGATGACCAGGAGGTGGGGTGATGGGTGACAAATAGTGCCCCTGGGTAATGGCCTAGAGGCTGCACAAGTTACTCTATGGAACAGAAAACAGACCACCCAGGAAGGCAGAGCTGCCTCCAGAAGGCCACCTCCAATGTCACTCTCAGGCACAGCCCCTGGGTCAGCACTGACTGTTGACACATCTTCTTGGATGTTTCTGTTATGTGGTGAAAGGGGGAGCATGTGCACGGCTAAGTGGAAGCACCTGGAGAAGGAAGGGAAGATGTTTCCAAAGGAAGCCCAGGAGCCAAGGAGAAAACAGAAGCCCAGGGCAGAGAAGTTACTGCTGGACCATCCTACAGGGAGAAACTCTGGCACCATGAAGTCCACCCCCTCAGACCACCAGGCATGTAGAAAGGCGGGGCAAGGGCCAAGGGCAAGTCGAGTTTCATTCTGTAAGTGGAGAGCTCATGATGGGGCTTCAGACCATCCTGGTGAGGTAGAGAGCAGAGACGGATTGCACAGGGTTGCCTCTAGAAGTGAGGGAAACCTCTGTGGCTGATGGAAGCCTGCTGGGGTCACTAAGGAAGCCTAGAGGAGCAGGAGAGCTGAGGCACCCAAGTGCCAAAGAGACAAATCTGCACAGTGGATCAATGCCAGCTTCTGGGGAAGAAGGCAGGGGTCCCTGCAGCAGATTGGCCAGCTGGGTCCAAGTAACATTCGGCCAGGTTGAGCAAGGAGAAGCCTGGCATGCACTGAGGAACTGTGCACTGAGGATTCTGGGCTGGAATATTGCAACTCGTGGGGCAGGAGGAGGGTAAAGTTGTTGTGCTTTAGTGTATTCATTTCCCCCATGCTTTCTTTTCTTTACTCTTCTTTTCTCTTAAACATTAACCACATTACAGTGTACAATTCAGTGGCATTTAGTACCATCTCTGTGTTGTGCAACTATCATGCTCAAGTTCTGAGACATATTCATCATCCTAGAAGGAAACCTTCGTGTGCATTAGGCAGTTATACCCCATTCCTACCTCCTCCCAATCCCTGGTAACCACTAATCTTCTTTCTATCTCCATGGATTTACTTATTCTGGATGTTTCCTATAAATGGAATCAATAATATGTGACCTCTTGTGTCTGGCTTCTTTCACTGAGCATATTTTCAAGGTTCATCCACACTGTAGTGTATGTCAGAATTATCTTCCTTTTGATGGCTGAATAATATTCCATTGAATGGATATACCATATTTTGTTTATCCATTCATAAGCTGATGAAAATGTAGGCTATTCCTACTTTAGGTTTTGTGAATACTGTTGCTGAGAACATGCATGTACAAGTATATGTTTCAATACCCATCTTTAATTCTTTGGGGCATATACCTAGGAGTAGAATTGCTAGATCATACGGCTTATGCCTTCTTATTGTTTGTCAATGTCCAAACTGACTTGTCTGTCTCAAGGTCCCCACCTTGATTCAGATGAACTCAATACTCATTGAGTGTCTGCTGTGTCATGCAATGCCTGCTCTCTCTAATCCTAGGGGCAACCCTATCTGATCAGTTTTATTCTCATTACCGATGACAAAGCTGAGGTTCAGATAGATCAAGTCTTGGGTCAACCAAATGAAAGATGCCAGAAACTCAGATGCCAATTCCTGGATTTTTTCACCACACACACATGGCTTTCCCACATGGGTAGGGCACCCAGTGCCTGGATGTCCTAGCTTCGTGGTGCTTTTCTGCAGAACTCAAAATACCTACATATTATAAATTTAGATCAATTCCATGTGAAAATGGTATTCTCTAGAGTCTACTATAGATAAGTGGTTGCAGGTGCTAATCTTTGTTTTCTTTTCATTAGAGGAGGGGGGGATATAAAGTGATAACATTCTTCCATTAAATTAATTTTTGTACAAGTGATTTGGGGAAAGAAAAGCTGAAGTCCATTTTGATGGCTGAACCCTTGAGCCCTGTCTGTGGGAGGGAGACTGATGACATCCCAGAACAATCGAGATGGGGCTTTGAGCTGGGAAGACCACATTAGGGCAGGAGTGGTGTATGCAGACGTCCCAGGAGGCAGAAGAACAGGTTGAGGCAGAAGAGAGGTGACACTAGTGACAGCTGAGCTGCCACAGCAGAGATCACCCTTCTCTCTCCAAGCATACAGATGCTAGATCTCAGGGTTTGTGTCAGCACGTGCACAGTTAAACTGGCTTGGCTCAGAGGGAAGAGGCCTCCCTCCTGCTTCCACCACCCCTCCTGCTTCCCCAGCTAGAAAGGAATGGTTAGCTAAGGAGACCAACCAATGGCCGCAAGGGGGGCTTCAGGCCCCCAGTCCACCAGACCACTTGAGCTCACAGCATGACCTTGAGCAGCACACACAGAGATGTGATGGGAGCAGCTGTCTCATGTCCCCTGCAGCTGCACCTGTGGCATTTGTCAGCGTGGAGAACAGGCATGCCCTACCTATGCATGCCTAGTGCCATCCATCAACCCAGCAGGAGGTGAGGGGGGTGCCTCTCCATGCTTATTTCAGTAGCTCTCCACCTAACCCCCACTCCGCAAAAGACCTCAGCTGCTGAGTGTGTGATGAGACCACAGCCCAAGACCTGGACACCTGCCCTGTAATTCTGTCAGGCAATTAGCACAGCAAATGGGCCCAGAGGGGCCTGCCTCTGGAGAGTCACCCTCCTGCCTCTGCACGCTCTCCCCTGGCTCATCCCATGTCCTGATTCCAGACTGATGATGACACAGACATGCCACTGCCTTGCTAGCACTTACCAACCCCAATCTCCACTGGCACCCACAGCTTCCAATGTCTTAGTCTGGCCTTAGAGATGCGGTGATCAAGCCCAGCCTGTCTCATATGCCATAGCAACTCAGTATCAGACTTCAGCCAAGCCAGGGAAAAGAAATGGGAGAAAGGAGAGGCCCAGAGGTGCCTGGCAGGGAAAAGCGGAGAGGAGGTAACAGCTCCCAGGAACTGCAGGAAACACAAACTTGGCGAGTGATGGCGAGGTCTGGACCTGGGCTGGGGCAGGGGCTGGTGGAGAGGAGGAATCCACTTTGGAGATGGCTGTGGGGTAAGTGAGGATGAAGGGGGAGGAATGTAGAACTGCTGGGTTTCTGGCTCGGGGGTGCTGATCACCAGCGTGGCAGAACCCAGGAGGATGGGCAGATGTGGGCACATAACAGGGGCCTCTTTGCACAAGTTAAATGTGAGGGGCCCTGGGCCCTCAGGCATTGTGTTCAGCAGGTGGCTGTGTGTCTGAGAGATGAGAACTAGCCATGCCACAGTGGGAGCCGCTGTGATTCCTGTGAAAACAGTGAAGTAGGGGACAAGCAGCCCAGTATAAACCCAGGTCTGCTCTCTCACAGCTGCCTTCTCTAGGAGGAGCCCGATTTAAAGTGATGCCTTGAACACTGAGATTTGACTAAGGAGGATGGCAGAGAGCAATATCACATAGCAGGCAAGCCTGAGAAGTGTGCACTGATTTTAGAGGAAATGGGAAGTCATGGAGGATTTCAAAGCAAGGAAGTGACAGACCAGAACCTGGCCTTAGGACAATCACTGTGCTGGCCTGAAACAGAGACGCTGGAGGCCAGGGGATGAATTAGGAGGTTATCAGACCAGAGAAGATGAGTGAGGAGATAGCAGACAAGAACATGCACAGAGAGAGGTGAGATTTCTGTCCCGAATAACAACCTAGTAAATCAGTTCTAGACAAATACAAATGCACCCATCTAAGGTGAGGGGCAGAAGAGAAGGGGAGGGGCCTCCTCCCCACCCTGTTCCTAGCACTCACTCAGATGACTGTCAGGGTCTCTGGGCCTTGAGCAGTGACTGAGGGGAGCATATGAGACCATCGTGCTCAGCTGGGATCATGGTGAACGCCTTGAGTGGGCAAGACAGTTCTCCAGCAGGGTAGGGAAGGCAAGAAGCAGCAGGGGACAGAGAGAGAGCCCTGGGTCACACCCTGAGACACCCTCCTGGCAACTGTGACTTTAGGCCAACAATTCCATCTCTCTGGCTCTAGTTTCCCTCACCTGAAACCATCCATTCAAGAATGTACAGGTTTCCTCACTCCTTTTCATCTGGCCCAAGGAAACGAGGGTGCCTGACCCCCTTCCAGCTCCCGGAAAGTGAGGAGCAGATGAGACGGAGGATGGAAGGGAGCTTAGGAAGCAGAAAAGTGCCCAAGGAGGAAACAAACTTTTCAAAGTTAGAAAAGCCATAAAATGCAAGGCGCGATGCTTCCCCCCATTTCCCAGGGAAGCGCCACATTGCGTTTAATGGCGCTGCTGCCGTTGGGCTGATGTGCAGTGGGAGTCTTTTGGGGCTGGAGAGTTGAATGGCAAAGGCAGGCAGGCAGGAGCATTCCAGGCCTGCTGGATGTGGGGGCCTTGTGGGCGACTGCAGCTCAAGTTCAGAGAGGACACCAGGCCCATGTGACCGCAGGAGACCCTTCCAGTTTGCCCAACCTCCCTCTCCATCTGCCTTCCTGGGATGGCATAGATGGGCTGTAAATGTGTCTTGAGAAGTCACCTCTGTGCCCATGAGGTCACTTGTCCTGGCAACAGCACAAGCCAGCCCCCTCTTGGAGGGGCAGATGTAGAGTTAGCAGGTCCTGTGATAGCCCATGGGCTTGACCTACAGGGAGCTGGCTGGTCTGTCCACATCTCCACATCTCCCTACACTGCGGGATTTTTTGGTCGGCTGTGTTTTCCCCAAACAAGCCTATACAATTAGTTTCTTCTTGTTTCCTAAATTATTTTTGCCACTGCTAATTATTTCACACTCCATGTACAAGAGTTATTGGGGTGGGTAATGGGACGCAAGGGATGGCTTTGCAGGAGCATCGCGGGCTTCAAGACACGAAGGCAACTTTGATTTGTTTTTCTGCTCAGCCACCCGCCTAAGAGAAGGAACAGAGAATGCCAAAAGAACAGGGGGGCGGCGTTGGGGGTGGGAGGGGAGGGGGGAGAAACAAACCAGGGCTGAGGCTTTGAATGGCAGCTCCTACCCACTACTCTCCCTGGGCCTGGGAGGGGCAACTTGCCCGCAG
Source organism: Homo sapiens (assembly GCF_000001405.40). Classification (NCBI taxonomy): domain Eukaryota; kingdom Metazoa; phylum Chordata; class Mammalia; order Primates; family Hominidae; genus Homo; species Homo sapiens. Next base: position 37,505,974 of record NC_000018.10, on the reverse strand, counting down.
ATCAAGGCCACCACCCTCCTGTCCCATGGAAAAGACGTGCCTCATGGAAAAGACTTGCTCCAGTGTGGTTCTGGGAGGACTGGGCAATCCAGAGGACACTTCTGCTTAATGGCATCACAACAGGAACACATGTGGGGCCTGGCAGTGTACTGGGAGCTTCACATGTGTCACAACAGGCCTGGGGCACAGTTCACACTATCGATCCCCCTGTAGAGTCTGGGCAGTGGGGCTAGAGAGGTTAAGGAACTCCTCCAACATCACATAGCCAGGAAGTGGTAGAGCCCAGATGGGATTCCAGGTCTGTCTGATGCCAAAGCCCATGTCTCTAACCACCCTGCTCCCCTGCCAGCCACTGAGGTCCTCTGTTCACAAAAAGGCTGGGGAGGATTCCCCTGGGAGAAGGGCACTCACCTTAGGCAGGAAGGACTTGGTCCCCACAATCACCCCACCTGGCCCTGACCCACCGACGTTTCGGCTCCCAAAAGCCCACTGTGCCTGAACTCCAGCCAGGATAGTTATGCCCATTCCCATGTTCCCCTCTAGGCAGACCCCATGGTGGATGTGACCCTTTCAGCTTAGCTCTGCTGAAGGGTTTGGAGCTTTTCCAAAGAAGATTAACCAGGAATCTAAGCGGAGATGCAAAACTAGAAAATAGAAAAGTTGCTGAAAGAAAGGGAGTGTGGAGACGAGACTGCTTCTTGGAAGCTACAGGTTGGCCTGGCTGGCCCCAGTCACCAGGCCCATGGGTCAAGCAGATGTAAGTTGGTCATCAATCTGGCCTCAGCCATGCGAGACACCAGTCATATGAGGACCTCACTTCCCTCTGGGACAGTTGCCCCCTGCCCCTGCTTCTCCTAATAGGACAGTTGCCCCCTGCCCCTGCTTCTCCTAACCAGAGAACCCCAAGGCACTTCTCCTGCCTTTCTCAGTCTCAGCCTTGGTGTCCTGCAGTGGCTGGAGGAGGATGGGCTCTGGCCAGCCCTAGGACTCCTCTTGGCCTTCCCGTGCTCTGGCCCAGGCCTGGTGGTCACCATCCTCACTGGCCCTCAAATTGTTTGTGGCTCAGGCCCTTTTCTTTTGTAAAGAAGCCTCTTGCCCCAGCCAGATGCTGAGACTTACTCTGTAGATGCCAAATTAGATCCATAATTCCAGGTAGCGCTCTGACCTCACCTCTCGAGGATCTCCATATTTCTCACAGACACGCCAAAAAATGAAAATAGAGCCAGTGGACTAAGTGAGAAAATGTGTGCTTAGTGCTAAGCACCGCCCCTCGCCCGAGGCAGTGCTTCATTGTGCTGGTGGTGACTGGTACTCTCTGATTACTGAGAGCCAGCCCTGCCTGTACACCAGGCATGTGTGTTCTCACTTAACCCTCAGCAAGCCAGGGAGGTAAGTAAGTGCTGCTAGACTCCTATTTTACAGACGAGGAAAGCAGCTAAGAAACCTGCCCCAAATCACATGCTAAAAGGAAATTGAGCCAAGCAATGTGCAAGCCCCATCCTTTTTTTTTTTTTTTTTTTTGAGATGGAGTCTCACTCTGTCACCCATGCTGGAGTGAAGTGGCGTGATCTCGGCTCACTGCAACCTCTCCAGAGTAGCTCGGATTACAGGCACGTACCACCATGCCCAGCTAATTTTGTATTTTTAGTAGAGACGGGGTTTCACCATGTTGGCCAGGCTGATCTTGAACTCCTGACCTCAGAAGATCCACCTGCCTTGGCCTCCCAAGGTGCTGGGATTACAGGCGTGAGCCACTGTGCCCGGCCGTAAGCCCCATTCTTAACCATACCATCTGAATGGAAGGGGCCAGGCTGCACAGATCAGCTCATCCAACTCCATTCCTCCCTATACATAAGGCCACAGGCATCCAAAGAAGAAAAGTGGCTTAGCTGTGAGCATAAAACCCACGTTCATGATTTCTAGCCCAGGTCTCTTCTAAGAGAAAGCTCTTCCAGGAACTCCCATCCTCTCCTGGCCCCAGGAGGGGCTCTCTGGAAGCCACTCTCTTGGCCCTGAATCTGGTTGCTTCTTACTGGAGAGGACAACTGAGCCCCGGCCTTACTTACCCACTCCAGATGGGGTCAGGGAAGGAAAAGGAGAGTCTTGGGAGAGCATGAAGCAGAGTAAATGGAACAGGGACCTTGAAGGAGACTGCCTGACATTCAAGCGGCTCTCAGTACTCCCTGCTGCCATCTCATTTGAAGCCAGCACCACCCACCCATGTAAGACAACTAGGGCAGGACTCAGCATGCCCATTTGATGGAAGGGAAAACTGAGACCCAGAGAAGTGAAGAGATTTATCAAACCTTGGTGGCAGAAGTGGTGCTAGCACCCCTTTTAGTGACTTTTCTGAGAATGTCTTGTCCTCCACGCATGAGTCTCAGAAAACAGATGCTAAGCATTCTGGGGAGGTGACTTGTGAGCTGGGACCTTGGCTTGGAGTGTCCCTGGGCACACAGCTAAGCACAGGATGTGGAAGGGGCTCTTCTGAGGGAGGAAGTAGCTCTTCTGCTGACTGGGCAAGGTTGGGACAGCACTCGTGACTCGACAGCAGGCTCTGGGCACCACTTGGGCTTTGTTGGCTGGAGTGCCAGCCACGGGCCAGGAGTCATAAGAGCTCGCCGAGCCTGCCCTCAACCTTGGTAAACCTCATGGGAAAATATATTCTCCTATTCTCTGGCTGCAAGTGCTCCTGGAACAGGGGCTGAGCGCAGAGCCCTGGGCTGACCTTTGAGGCAGACAGGTGGGAAAGAATCAGGCACTGCCCCAGAACCATCCCAGGGGAGGCCAGGGGAGAGAAAGCGCAGTATCTGGCCTTTAGACACACACACATGCATTTAAGTCCAAGCCCTGCCTCCCCCTAGATAGTGAGTGACCATGAGCATTCCATCCGACCCCTCTGTGCCTCATGGGTATCCTCTGCACCGTGGTGGAAATGTCATCTGCTCACAGATGTGTGATGATGCACCCACCCGACCTGGTACTGTGAGGCTCTGTCCCTCTAGTGCCCATCCTTCTTTGGGCAGCTAATGCAAAGGCTCAATTAGGAAGCAAGGAAAGCAGATCCGACCCCAGCACTGGGTGCCTGGGACAGGCCTCTAGAGTTGAGAATGGAGGGAATCAGCGCTACCTAGAGGGCTTGGGAGGGCTGCCTGGACGAGGTGAGATGTTACCGAGGCCTTGGCTGATTGGTGGGAATTCACCAGGCAGAGAGAGGGATGGGGCCCATCCTTAGTGAGGTGAGACAGGGAGCTGGGCACAGGCCAGGCTTGCAGAGGCTTGAGGGAGATCAGGGAGGGAAAGAAGGGAAGAAACCCTGCAGCTGGCAAGGGGCTGCCTTTGCTCCCCAATGGTGCCCAGCAGTGCAGTGGGGCCCGGGCCACACTCAGGCCACCAAAAGCAGATACTAGCCTTGCTGGAGGCCTGAGCCTTTCTCCTGGGCCACTGTCCTGTCTCATGAGATGCCCTGTACCACCTTCCCGGTGAGAGATGATTACATCCTTTTTGAAAAATAAAGAACAGGAGGAAGAAAAGAAGCAGAGCCCTCCCTCTCCTTTCTCCCTCCCACTCTCCCTGCCCCCCCTTCCTTCCTCCCTCCCGCTCTTGCTCTCTGTTGCTAAGTAGATGGTAGGTTTATTTGCGGCTGTCGGTTCCCAGTAGAAAAATTTCGTCTTGGAGAGCCGCCTGGATGGAAATGGCTTCAGCACCGATTTCATGGAGAAGGTCTGTGCGGTAATTAGTGTTCATGAGGGAGGAATTGGACTGGCAGGCTCCCAAGAAAACTACTCCCCAAAAGTTAGCTCGAGTCCAGAGGGCTACATCAAATCCAATTCCAGAGTGCGCATCTCAACCGCTATATTTAGACCCACAGACGAAGCGGGCAGCTCAGTGGCTCGAGGTTCACGGGGGGCCTGGTCATGGGAGGCAGAGGCAGCCCATGCTGCTGAGACCACGAGTGATGCACAAACATGATTCAGCCGAGGGCTACTGGTTCTCCCTTAGCCCCATGTGTGTCCTCCCTCTTCATGCCCCAGCTTCCCCAGAAGAGAACCTTGGTGAGAGAAGGGGGAAAATGGAGAGAGAAAGAGAGGAATGGAAGGAGAGAGGAAAGCGGGAGGCAGCCCGTGCTGGTCAACGTTGGAGTGCATTTCTACAGAGCACACTGGCTGACTGCAAATGCCCACTGCTCCTCCGAGTCCCACACATAACTTGTTCACTCCAACCACTGCAAGGCCCTCCCCTCCTCCTTCTTCCTACCTACCTCCACTGAGGCCCAGGCAGCCTGCCCAGCCTCCAGGAAGGTTCCCCAGATGCCCTGTTTCTGTCTATGGCTTCCTCAGGCCTCTACAGTCTGAAGCTTGGTTACTGGGCCACACACCAGCTTACCTGGCTTCCTCCATATCCCTCTGTCCCAGGCCCATCCCCAGGCAGGATGCCCCTGAGGTCAGGTGGTCTTTCTTCTTCTATTTCCCTGCCTTCTCTTCCCAGGCCAGGGCTGAGCAATTAACAGATACCCCAGACACTTAATGATGGAATGGAGACCCGCAGGCCCCAGAGGGCTGCCAGGGTCTGGGGCTCCACGTTGTCCCACCTGAGCCCTCAGCTGAAGGAAGAACAAGTAGAAGCAAGATTAAAAGCCATAGCTCTGACTCATCCTTCCCACTTTCATTCTCTGGAACTTTCCCACATCAACCTGCACTTAAGCAGAGATTTTATAGATAAGGTGGCTAGGCCAGGGACCTGACAGAAGGACCCTATCCTGGCGTCTGAGCTAACGTGCAGCTTCCAAACCAGTGTCTTGTCACAATGCCATGCTGTGGGGGCCTTTGTGCCCAGGGTCTCCCTATGGTTCTGCATCCCGGCCACCCCCACCTTCTCTCACTCCAGTCCCAGACCTCTGCTCTCAGCTGGCCTGAATCCTTGGCCATGGCCCACGTCTCTGGCACAACTAAGGCCTCTGATCAGCCCCACACCTCACAGGAAGGGTAGAGCTGGGGGTGAGCCTCTGCTCAGCCTCAGATTCCAGGCAGGAGAGGCCTCAGCTGGACCTTCTATCCACCTCACCCTACGTGCTTCAGCCTCCCCAGTGGGGCTGGGGTACATTCAGCTTAGCTGAGACACAGAAAGGTTCTAAAGAAAATGACCAGGTGTGGTGGCTCACACCTGTAATCCCAGCACTTTGGGAGACCGAGGCGGGTGGATCACGAGGTCAGCAGATCAAGACCATCCTGGCTAACACAGTGAAACCCCGTCTCTACTAAAAATACAAAAAAATTAGCCAGGCATGGTGGCAGGTGCCTGTAGTCCCAACTACTCGGGAGGCTGAGGCAGGAGAATGGCATGAACCCAGGAGGCGGAGCTTGCAGTGAGCCCAGATAGCACCACTGCACTCCAGCCTGGGCGACAAAGTGAGACTCTGTCTCAAAAAAAAAAAAAAGAAAAAGAAAAGAAAAGAAAAGAAAATGAGCTAGAAGGCAAAGAGAAGGGGTAAACTGAGGGCACAAAGACAAGATGTACTCAGCTGCAGGAGTCGGAAGAGGTGCTAAGGTCAGGCTGCAGGCTGGCTCTGCCTGGCACAGCTCACTAAGCCTGGGTCTGGGTCTCCACAACACCCCTCCTCGGCCCTACTCCTTCCCATCCCTGGATCCTCTCAAGGTGAAGTGAAGACAGAGAATACAGCCCTATGCAGCTGTCGAACTTGTGAGCATTGCACCTGTGCCTCCCTCTCTCCCCAGCCATGGCTGCCGCCTGCCGTCCACCCAGGCAGGGGCAGGGGCACTGGCTGCACTAGGCCTACACCTCCTCGCATGAATCTGTTCTCCCGATTCCCTTCCATTTGGTGCACAGCCTTGGAGACACACCTCCATCTGTTGACTTACAGTCAGCTTCCTACACAGTTTGTCTGGCTTGCTCTCCCTTTGCCAGGGCGGCACTGGGCTCCCCAGCCTTACTCAACCCAGGAGAAGGGTGGTGCACCTGAGCTCTAGCTACCGTACTGACCAGATGTGTGTTCTCGGGATGATTGACTCGTGCTCCTTTCCCTGGTGTGTAAAAGAGGGACGTGTACTTCCCATGCCCCACTCCTCCACTCATTCATTCATTGATGAGTCTGTGCCAAGGACCCACTTGGTGCCAGGACTGTGCTGGATGCTGAGGACACAGACTCATGGGTAGGGATCATCAAACCCACTTTACAAAAAAGGAAACTGAAGCCCAGAGAGACCTATTGACCTGCTGGAGCCCTCCAGTCAGCACTGTCATGCAAACCATTGACCATCCCTCACCCCATGCTTCCAGTCCCCATGCCAGGCCCTGTGCCAGGAGTAGGGCAGACAAGAGGCATGCAGAGGGGCCAGCCCTGCCATTGCAGAGCTCACAGGGTCCGCTTGAGAAGTCAACAGGTAACACGGTTGAGAGTGCTCAATCCACACTCCTTCCCTTCCCATGAGGGACCTGCCACCCTCTTGGGGCTCCCCGTCCCTCCCAGGCTGTCCCCTCTCAGTGCTGCCAGGACCCTGTTCTGCTCCTGTGTGGAGATCTGCCTCCTGTAAACCTTGTCTGCAACGCCCCAACTTTCCTCTCTCCAGCCCTCCCCAGCCCACATTCCCAGGTCTTGACAATTCCTCTCACAAAAGAAACAATTGGCACTGAGGTGCCTCTTTGGGGATGCATGAAGCCAGCTCTTTGTCACCTAGGCCCCTGCCAGCTCATTACCGCCTCCTGTCATTAGCATCTTAGACACACACACACAAGGGAAACAAAACACACCAGCATCCTAGACTCTCTAAGCAAACCATCTGTCGTTCTGAGCCCCGACACATGCTGGCCTGTGCTGTACAGGAAGTGCAATGAGGTCCCTGTCCCCTATGAGTGTGTATGAGTGTGGTTATAACCAAAGAACACACACAGGTCCTACAAAAGGAAGCAGACAATAGACAGTACAAAGGCCAAAGCCATTTTTCACACTGTAGGGAATTTAAGCATCACATCACAACTATTACTACGGACAACAACAACAAGAGTAACACTCCCCATTAATTATATCCCAGGTGCTCTGCTGGGCACTCAGGACCCCAGCAGGTGAGTGTCATTATCCCCATTTCACAGATTCTGGAAGAGACTCTGTAAACTACCCCAGGGCTCCCAGAAGAAAGCAGAGGCTACTGTCATAGCCAGACCCACCTCCCTCCCAGGCCAGGTGCAACCCTCTCCCGGAACTCCAGACACCCTGCGGATGGCAGCAATCAGGCCACAGGGGTTGGATGGCTTTCTCAGAGTCACCAGCTGGCTGGTGACAGGAACCTCAAGGTCCCATGTTACCACTGTGTAGGGATGGGAAAAATGCTGCAGCCTGGGATGGTCGGGGGAAAATTAAATAGGTGGACAAGAGATAATATAGGTGCTAGTCATGAGACAAAACAGAATGACAGGAAGGGAGGGAGGGAGAAGGTAAGGGAAGAGGGAGGAGTCAGGCAATGGAAAGGACATAAAGAAGAAAGAGAAAAGGAAGGGAAGAGGAGGGGAGGGGAAGAAAGGGGAAGGGAGGGGAGGGGAGAAGAGGGAAGAGGAGGGAAGAGAAGGGGAGATGATGGAAAGGAGGGAAAGGAAAGGAAAGGGAGGGGAGGGAAGGGAAGGGAAGAAGAGGGAAGGAGAGGGGAGGGGAAAGGAGGGAAGGGAAGGGGAAGAGAGGAGAGGAAGAACAGAAAGTGAGAAAGCCAAAGAAAGATGTTTAGGAAGGCACCTGGGGGAGCTTTGAGGAGATGGTGCTCTTACAGGCTCCAGCCCTTCTAAACCACTCCAGGGCCCCCAAACCCACTCTGTTCAGTCTTTGCATATGCAGAGCTTTGCCCTAGCACACCCTTCCCTTAAGGCCACTCTGGGTTGGTGATTCACTCAGGTGTCCCTGCACTGAGTTCTCCCCCAGGCAGAGTTGAGTAACCTCCTTCTCAAGGCTGCAGAGTCCAGAGTTCAGGACATGGGCTCTGCAGGCAGCCTACCCATCTCACACACTGGCTCTATCAGGGACCTGGTCACAAGATCTCGGGCAAGTCTTTAATCTTTGAGTGACTCCATTTCCTCACCTGTGAAATGGGGATGATAAGTCTATTTTATAGACTTACATTAAATGAGTCGAAACATATAAAGCCCTTAGAACAATGCCCAAAATACAACCAAAAATCAGTGAGTGTTTGCTGCTATCATTTGTGCCACCAATAGGCCCTGCACAAACTTTGGCTTGATAGGTATGTTGGTTGCACACTCATCACCTGGCCTTCCAAGCATGCTTACCAATTGTCTTTCTTTTTTCTTTTTTTTTTTTTTTGAGACAGAGTCTCGTTCTGTCATCGAGGCTGGAGCACAGTGGTGTGATCTCAGCTCACTGCAACCTCTGCCTCCCGGGTTCAAGCGCCTCTCCTGTCTCAGCCTCCTGAATAGCTGGGATTACAGGCACATGCCACCATGCCCAACTAATTTTTGTATTTTTAGTAGAGATGGGGTTTCACCATATTGGTCAGGCTGGTCTTGAACTCCTGACCTCGTGATCTGCCCGCCTTGGCCTCCCAAAGTGCTGGGATTACAGGCCTGAGCCACTACACCCAGCACCAATTGTCTCTTTTAAAGCAGGGGGTATGTCTTTCATGGCAAATTGTGGACCATCAATAAATGGTTGCGAAATGAATGAATGAATGAAGCATATTTTCACTCCATCCACAGAAGACAGCACCTCCAACCCCAGTCACATGGTTTGTTGGGTCTTGTGTACCAGTCAGCTGATAAGTTGGCTTCATTTCTCTCTTGGTGGGCTCTGTGGGCATGTGGGTGGTTCTCTGGGAAAAGAAACTTTAGAGCCAAATGCTAGGCTCTGTCTTACCCCATAGGCCAGGCTCCCCATTTACCAACTCCTCTCACCCACCTTGGGCACTCCTTGAGAGTCAGCAATGATTGCAGGATGACTTGGAATAGCTCTAGCCCTTCCCAGGACCGGGGCCAGCTGCCTCTAGAGCAAAACCCAGAGCCCCTACCCCTCTGAAAAATGAGAATGCTGCTTCCTTAGGGCCCCTCTGGATTTGAGGGATTGACTCATTGAGGCTGGCGTCCCAGTCACAGTTGCTAACTCCTTCTTCGCCGCAGCCCTCAGGTTAAATATTGCTAAATGCCTGTGATTGAACTTACCGTATTGATGTTGGGTGCAGCCCAAAGCCCGGCCAGAACAGTGGCTTAAATGGCCAAGATCATGAGAGAAAGACACCCTCTATCGACAGCTGGACTGTGGCCTACCAGGACAGTGTGAGATTGTTTTTCTTCTTTTAAAAAGAAAGTCACATTTTCCAAACATTGATCCTGTAATATGGGACTCCTGGCTATTGGTCTTTTCAAAATAGCCTGTCTTGGATGCTGAGGTTGGAATTTCTTGGTTGGTGTGCTTCTTTTTTAAAAAAAATTTATTGTTGTTGTTGTGTTGTTGTTCTTTAAGTGAATTAGAGCCTGTTAGGAAGAAGCCAGAGGACAGAGGCGAGATTATTTCACCTCACCAGGCAGGTCCTGAGTGCCACCATGTGACCAGACCCTGCAATCAAAGAGGGGTGGACACACCTTCCCCTCCTGAATTTTGTTCAGCTCAACCCAGCTACTCTTATGAAACCCCATCCTGGGGCTTGGTAAGGGGGTTCCAGAGAAGAGGTCCAGCCCTGGGCGCTGTGGTCTAGTTGAGGGACAGGATTCTCACAGATGAGAACAGCAGAAAGCTGCTCAACCAAGCACTCGTTTGAGGGCATCAGACATTTTCGAAGGAGACCCAGCAAGGGCTGAGAAGCTGGGAGGGTTACACTGAGGAGCTGCAGCTTGAACACGGTTCAAAGGGTTGGAGGATCTGATGGAGGGCCCAAGAGTGGGGAAGGCACTCCAGACATGAGGAGGGAATAAGAAAAGGCCCACAGTGATATGGTCACACACTGCTGGGGGAGGGAGGCATGGCTTGGCTGTGTGACCCAAAGGGAGGGTCTGTCCTAAGAAGCCACAAAGGGACTCATAGGTCCACTGCCTTGCTGTTATGATCTATTCTCCTTTCATGGGAGATAAGAGTCAGAGAAGCCCATCGCACCCCCCAAAACACACACACACACAAGCACACATGCACACAAATCATGAGGGCAGAGAGCTGTCCCTGTGGATATATCAGGGAGTGCTTCAGGCCTGGGGATAGGGATGGGGACTTCAGAGGCAGCCTAAGGACAGAGTCCTCTGAGCTTCCTTCTGCATGGGGAAGGCACTCCCTCTGTGAAAAATGACCCCCACCTCCACTTCACCAGTCCCATGGCCATGAAGAGCTCCAGCAAGGGGAATTCTCTGCCACTCACTCGGCAAGTATTTGCTGAGCTCGCTGTGCAGGTATAAGACACACACACAACCAAGCAAATGACACTAGCCACTGGAGCCTCAGATGGGGCATGGTGTGATTCTTATGTGCTGAGGAGGTCAGGGTGTCAGGCCAGGGCTGAGCCATGTGGCTGAGGTCAGCTAGTGAGGCTCTGAAGTTCTGAAAAAACAGGCCAAGAGGGAGAAGGAATCCAGGCAAGGGTGGAAGGAGTGAGGCAGAGGCTCAGAAGCTGTTGGAGAGGAGGGAGGTGGTTTCCCTCCCAAACAAGTGAAGATGCCTAGCTTCATCGGGGACCCTGTCTGTCGCCCATATCACGTAATTTAGCGATGGTTTTGGTCTTGCCAAGGAGGCCTCTGAGAGCCCCTTCCACTGTGGGCCGTCCCCACTGACTTGAGCCTGGCTTCTCACCCTGGTCTAAGAGAATTCAAACAGGAAGATCTAAACTCCCCTACCAGGTTCATCAGAAAGGAACATAGTTCAGTTTCTAGGTTCTAGCAAAGAATTTATCCTGGCACTCATGTGAATAGCAAATGCCCCAAATGCATTTGAAATCCACCCTTGATGCTCAGCTAGAGACCTCTGCAGAGGAGCCCATGGCATGCCTGCCTTTGACATTTGAAAGGGCACCTGTGATAGAGGAAGGACAGGCACCACCTCAGCTGACTCTACTTGGGTGTCTGCGGGAAGAAGATGAGGTCACCCTTGAGCCCCTTATCCCAAGAGAAGGCCACAGGATTGGGGGTGGGGAGGGAGGACCTCTCCCTTCCAAGGACCCTCGTGTCTCCCTGAGCATGGCCCGTCCTCACACTGTCCTCAGACACTGCCTAGGGCTCCTGGAGGGGAAAGCAGGAACTGAGCCCAAAAATAGCCATCAGGATACCAGAGTCTCTGCTCTCCCACTGTGGCCACATCTCAGGGCCTCTCCCAGTCTCAAGCTTCTGAGCTGTCAGATGCCGACGATACGCACCCCATCCCGAGCCTATGCTGAGGTGTAAGAATGGTGAGATCATGCACATGACAGCACTCTGGCAAATCAAGGCCCTCTGCCAAAAAAACACACATAAGGGAGCACCCTCATGCTCTCCTGGGGACCAGTAGGAGCTGCTGGCCAGAGAAGAGGTACAGAAGCAAGCCCCTGGCTGCAGGAACAAAGCCCAACAAATGTGGTCAGCTGAGCAGGCTTCACTTCTGCAAGCCCAGGTTGGAAAGGCTGACACCCACCCTGGGCCAGTCCCTACTTTCCTGAACCTCATGGGCCCATCAGCCCTGACCATAGATGGAGGAGCTCTTTGCTGAAAAGGGGGACAGGCCATCAATATGTCACGTCCACTTTGTCTTTTTTCACAGTGCTATAAAGATGGAGCAGCCGACACCAGACATGTAATTCTCAAGCTTTTAGGGCATAAACAAGGGCAACTGGAAAGGATGGACACTTGGCAAAGGACCCACTGGCTGGTTCTTTAACCCTCTGAGGTCTGCACCTCCTTGTCCAGAGCCACTTAGGTCCCTCGGTCTGAACACGCTGCCCTGAGCTCAGCAAGAAGAGAAAGAGAAGGTTGGTCCCTTTCCTGGGAGATTCAAATCTAGCTTGAGGAAAATCTGGACCACCCCAGCTCTGTGCACATCTCTGTCTTGTGGGTACAAAGGGCAGAAAGAGTCACAGTGAGCCATTTATTTTCCCATACCACACAGAGGAGTTTAACTCAACAAAACTCATTCGCACTCTAGAATGGGCCATGTTCTTCTCTGGAGTTTCTGATTTAAAGAGAGGAGACTCTGGAGGGCAGTACGGAGCCTGAAAGAAGAATGCATGGCCAAGGGGGAGATTCCAGCACTTGGAGAGCCCCTAAAGAGGAGAGCAGGCTGCAGCCTCTGATGCATTGGCTTAGGGGACCATCCATCTTCCCCCTCCCCCACCTCTGCAGTCCCCATCACCCCCACCCTGCAGGCTGCCTCCTCTGAGGAAGACGTATGGCTCCTGCTACCAGGGGCCTGAGCAATGTGTTCACTTCCCCAGACCCCATGGCCCACCTCCCCCACACCCGCATCCCTGCAGCAGCCACTTCCTGCTGCCACTCCGCTCACTCTCACCCAGCCAGAGGCAGAATGGAGCTCAGCAATCTCTGCATTCTACGCTGTCTGCCACTGGGGGAAAGGGGGCCCTGGGGTGAGCTACTCCTATAATAGAGTATTTACATTCTGGGTGAACACACACAAATGCAAGGCAAAGACGTGTATGATTCTAACTGCAAAATGAGACAGACCATTGCCAAGGGCTATGAGAGAGGTTGGGGTTGAAGTAGTCAGGGAAGGCTTCCTGGAGGAAGGAAAACTTAGACACTCCTAGAAAGTTACGTGGGCTCTAAAGGGGTGAGGCATGGGGGAAGGCAGCAGAGGAAAGGATGATGTTCTTAGGCTTGGGTTTACCCCATGGGGGTGGAGAAGCAAGAGGAAGTCAGAAATTTATTATGTGGGTGGGGAATCACTGTGTCACATGGAGAGAAGACAACTGCAGGAATTGTTGGAATACCAGCAGGGAGTACTTGGAGGAGTGGGAAGAGAGAGGGAAGAAGATCCAGGTGGAAATAACTAGGGAAACAAGAATGGCCAGAAAAGGTCCTGGGAAGATGGCAGGAGGGTCAACCTTGGCTGGACACACAGAGAAGAGCAGAGAGAGAGGCACAGACCCATGGGGTCTTTTTCCCGCCTGTTACTCAGTCCTGCTGAGCCCCAAGGGCCCAGCCTCAAGTTGTTCATGGTTGAGGTAAGAAAATGAGGCTCATCCTTGAGGCAGGCCATGGGCAGAGGCCACATGCGAATCCATAGAAGGTGAGACCAAAGTGGCTGAGGTAGATGCTCAGGGCTTCAGCTTGGAGTAAGACCTAAGAAGTGAGTCTTAAAGGCTGTGTAGACTCCAGCCGGGTACTCGAAGTGGGAGGACATTTGCAGAGGAAGAACATGTACATGATGAGCTGCTCTGTAGCTGCCTCTCTCTCACGTGGCAGCAGAACATCTGCTTCAAAAGGTACCAGGAAGACTGTCTTTGCCCACCCAGAGCACGAAAGACAGAGCCTGGATGGGGGAACAGATGTGACCTCAGAACATCAGTAACCCTCTTCCCAGGGAAGCTGGTGGACTTTCCCTCCCTCCCTCTTGCGATCCACTCCCAGAGATGCTACTATAACTTCTCTGCAGTGGCCTGCATGTTTTTTAAATCTTCCAGGTGATTCTCAGGTGCAGCCGGGGGTGAGGACCACTAAGGAGTGATGCTCCCAGGCTGTGATTTCAGGCACCATGGCAGGTGGATGAGTGGAGATTTGGGGCAGAGGGGCCTTCAGGGAGCCCCTTCCTCGGCCCCTAGGTCTGGCTAGTGGGCCTCCTGCTACCTTCCCATTCCCCACCGCCCAGCTTTCTCCCACTTCCTCCAGGCCGGCCAAGTCCAAGGCCTAAAGGATCTGATGTTTTATTAAAATCCAGACCTTCCTATTCTAGGGCCACCTTCCTCTGGCTAATTCTGTAATTCAATTAGTAGCAAGGCAAGACCCAGCTGGGGTGGGAGGAGGGAGAGCATCACATCGGGAACCTTCCCTTCCGTGATGATTACACCCCAGGCTTCGGCCCTGTTCAGAGTTGGGCAGGAAATTGTACTTCCTTCACTTCACAATGACAAGGGCCTTTTATCCCGGCACATGGGGGCTTTGTAAATTACTGCCATCTCCGTGCAATTAATTCTGCTGCACTGTGTTTTCCCCCCACATGGGAGAGGGCACCGCCCACCTTCTTGGCCACAGCAGTACCCCTTGCACCATGGTCTGCACGCTGCCCATGTCGGAGAGGGGCATCCGCCACCCCTGCGTGCACCCTAGCCCGACAGCACCCTCCCGCTGCCCACGCTGCCTGCCTCTCCCTGGCCCAGTGCTCACCTCTCCTGCCACACACTCCTTCTCCCTTCCCTCCTCACTCTGCCAACTTTTCCCAATCTCCCTTCAGTGCCCCAATCTTGGATCTCTTTCCCCCACCCCCATAGTCCCTCTTGGTCTCCAGCTTGCAGACCCCTGAATGAGGAGCTGGGCCCTCCACTTAGCCGTATAGACATAGAAGAGCCCGTCTCCACCCTCACTGAATTGAAAGTCTATTCAGAGACGAGGCATCAAGCTGGTAAATGGAAGGGATTAAGTAAATAATAATGGTAAGTGGGAGAAGGTGACATGGCTGAATAAGGAAACATGTGTGCCGGCCAAAGTGTTCAGCGTATGTGATAGAATCTCAAGTATTAGAGGACAGGCAGGTCTCTGCTGGCCAGAGGAGGTGGGCACGGCGTCCCTCTCAGGTGAGGAGAGGAGGTGGGCACGGCGTCCTCTCGGGTGAGGAGAGGAGGTGGGCACGGCGTCCCTCTCAGGTGAGGAGAGGAGGTGGGCACGGCATCCCTCTCGGGTGAGGAGAGGAGGTGGGCATGGGGCCCCTCTCGGGTGAGAAGAGGGTGCCATAGGGAGCCCAGGTGTCAGCTGCTGAGGGCAGCACTGTGGTGTGACTTCTCACCCTGCAGTTCTGTCACCTCTCTGCCCCCACCCCACCTTGGATGATTTCCAAAGCTGTCTCTGCTCCAGAACAGGCTGCGCTTCTATCCTGCTTGATCCCGTAACTCAGGAAGAGGTGGGACAGAAAGCGCTGACCCCTAACGGGTGGTAGACTCCATTATGAGCTGGTGCCGGGAGAACCATCCCAGACAGTGGGGCAGGAAAGGGGGCAGCTCAGGGTGAGGTCCTAGACCACCCAGAGAGCCCCTGGATCACTTGGGTGGCTCTACCTCATGTCCCGTCAGAGTCGCACAGCTGGGAGGGCCCTCCAAAAATGGGAGGGCAAAGACGGGGAGGTGTTTGCACCATCATGGTTTCCATCCCCCAAACACCAACCCCCAGAACTCAGGGCCAAAGAACCAGAATCATTTACATTTCCAGCTTGCTGAGTTGAGAGCACCTGTGTCAACTCCCAGCACCGCAGCAGCCAGCCCCGGCTCAGAGGAAGCTTTGAGGCAGGGCCACAGCCACCCCACCAAGGATAATTTCCCTCATGAAGTATATTTGCCAGGCGGCAGATGTGCAATGATCTTTGTCTCCTCAATACAGGCCATGGGCCCTGCATCCTGTCGGGCTCACCTATTCTCACCCACCTCCTTTTCATTTCATCCTACTCTTTTAGTAAAGATTTTTTTTTTCCTTTCAAGTTAATTATGCAAGTGATACATGAATACATTCTGGGTCTAAATGTGTCAAACAAAACAAAAAAAGTGAAAGTCATAGGAAACATACCCCCCTACTCCCCACCCCGTACTCCCTGTTTTCAGTTTGGTGTGACTTCCAGACTTTGTCTTTCACATGTAAATACAGGTCTGAGTATATAATGGGCGAGTTGATTGTGTCTCCATTGTATATACATGGCGTCTATTATTTCACAACTTGCTTTTCCCATCTGACAATGTGGCTTTCCATGCTGGTACATTGAGGGTCTTTTCATCTTTTTAACTGCTTTTGAGTATTCACAGTTTAAAAATGAAAGCATTCCTGTCCTAAGGGACATTTAGGTGGTTTTTAATTTTTTTTTGCTATTCCAAGCAGCCACACTGGATCCTTGCCGACTCCACTGTGAGCACGAGTGTATGTGGATCATAGGATCAGGACTTGGGAGGGATTTCTGGGTCTGAAGATGGGGAGAGATTTCTGTGCCACTGGCCACATCCCCAGGAAGGATGAGGCACCCTCCACAGACCTTCTCAAGCCTCAGCGTTCAGAGCCCGGTTCTAGCCTCTCTCCCACACTGTCTTGTGTTGTTAGGCAGCTGCTCCTTGAGAGAATCCCGTTTCCCACCTCAACTGTGAGTTCCCAAAGGGCCCCGCCAGGGATGTCTCTGGGGACAACTCAGTACAACATAGGAGAGTGAGTTTGGCAGATTAGTGGCTGCTGGGCTGAGGCTGATGCTCCCCACCTTCCCCCCTTTCAGCTGGACACCCTCACAGCCCACAGCCCCCTCCTCAACCCCTGTGAGATGTGGAAATGAGCCACAGGAAGTCAAGGCCAGCTGTTCTAGCTGGGGGTTCTATGTGTCCCACCCCCATTCCCTCCCTAGGAGAGAGCAGTGAGTGTCCAATGGCTGAGGCTTGGGCACCCTTTCTTCCCCGGCCCCCCATTCTCCACCACAGGCCTCTCACCATCCACAGCACCCTGTGATGGCAAATTCTCCTCCTGCAGCCCCCTCCCCACAGTCACCATGCCCCCAGGGCTCTGCCCTCAGCCAGGGAGCAGACTGGTCCCTTCTTTTGAACCCCGGAGTCAGCGTTAATAACTGCTTATCCGCATTTGCCTTTCTCAAAGAGCCTTAAGATAGCCAACTAATCTGCCATGCTGGCGTGTCAGCCGCTGCATCGGATGGGCTGGAGATGGACTGGGAAGGGCCCGGGGTGGGACTGCCCCAGTTAGCCTCTATATCCAGCCGCTCCCGCCTCACAGAGGTGCAGAGGGAGAGAAGGAAGGGGCTTCAACACCTCTCTAGCCCCTGCTTCACAACAGTGAACTGATATTGACACTGCAGTCTGCACTTAGTGAAGTCTGTAGAGGCTGTTCATACTCACTGGCAAGTAGGTCTCCCCACAAGCTTCTGAGGGCCATTACTCTTCCCATTTTACAGATGAGGACGCTGGGGTGGGCCCTGCCTGGGAAGGGGCTCTCCTGGGCTTCTCTCACTGCTTCCTTCTTTCATCTCCATTCCTTTCACAAATACATTCCCTTTCCACCTCCTCTCTGAACCCGAAAAGGGAAGGGAGGCAGGAGGAATTTCTACATTGGAAGGGGAGGAAAGGGGTTTTCACTGGGTGCAGGCTGGATGGTGGAGGAGTCAGGAGCTGCAGTTGTTTATCAGTCTTTTCTGGGATCAACTTGGGGGTGAAGGGGGAAGCATGGTGAGAGTGCACTGTCAGGTTCAACAGGCTCCTGGGAGCTCTTGGGGCAAAAACCCTCCCATCAGGAACCCACTTATCAACTCTCAGGCAACCTCTGGCCCTGCCACCACTATAGAAGTCCAGTGTGCCTCAGTGCCCACAGATCTTGAACAGCTCTCAATAGCCTCTGAGCACCATTTCTGTGCCTATTGGCCCCACCAAATTAGCTGAGGTGTTCTGGCATTCAGTCCTTTCAAGGAATACGTATTAGCCTCCACTTATATGCTGGACACTGAGAACCAAGCAGAAACAGAACAAAACCAGGCTCCTAACCTCATCTGAGCATGGGGAGCCTGCCCCTCAAAGAGCAAATATATGTGACTCTGTCAGGGAGTGATGGGTGCCAAACAGAAAGGGAAACAGGAAAAGGGGTCAGGGTCTGTGTGGGTGCAGGGCTATGCTAAATGGGGTGGTCAAGGGAAGTGTCTCTGAGGAGGTCTCATTTGAGCAGAAACCAGAGTGAAGGGAAGGAGCACACCATGCTGATAGCAGAGGTGGGGTGGGGGTGCCGTTCTGGGAAGAGGAAAGACCAGTGCAAAGACCCTAAGACAGAGTGCACCTGGGGGGCTAAGAAGTAGTGAGGGGACCAGTGAGTGGGGCCAGGGGAAGACTGGAAGGAGATAAATTCAGGGGGTGGAGACGGCAGGGGGAGGTCACCCAAGGTCTGGAGGATCCTGAAAGATTTTGGTTCACAATAAAGTTGTGAGCTCTCTCAAAAACTGTGGCAGAAATTCCTGGAAGCTGGACAAAAGCAACAGATTCTTTTTCCTCTGGAATCCTTTTCTTGTTATCTTGGGCCATGGAAACAATATGGTCATTTCCTCCTCCTACTCCTCCTCCTCTTCCTCCCTCCCCTCATCCTCCTCCCCTCAAACCTGCCCCTGACCTTGTCCCAAGCTGGCTTGCCTGCGTACAGCAGAGGCAGTGGCCACCTCCTGGTTGCAGGCAGAGGACAAGGCCAACAAGGGGACGGGAGGAAAGACGCCCCCGGGAGAAGCAGGCGGCAGCACGAGGGACGACGTCACGGGGGCCTCTGACCGCTATTCATTTCAGTCCCCGGGTGTCTCCATCAATAACAGTCTGCCAGTGACCAGGAGGGAGGAGGACGGGAGAGGGAGGAGGAGTGATCTGGGGTCTGGAGGAAGGGAGACATGAGACAGAGAGGGAGAGAGATTTCTCCGAAGCTTCTCCAAGCCTGAGGCAGGAGTTGGAGGTGGGGAAGGCAGAGGGGGCACTGGGAGCTGAGAGTTTCTGTCTCCCAGGCTTTTCTCCCTGTTTCCTTCTTTCATCTCCGTTCCTTTCACAAATACATTCCCTTTCCACCTCCTCTCTGAAGCCAGAAAGGGAAGGGAGGCAGGAATTTCTACATTGGAAGGGGAGGAAAGGGGTTTTCACTGGGTACAGGCTGGTTGGTGGAAGAGTCAGGAGCTGCAGAGGACACCGGGAGCATTCTGTGGCCGGCAACCAGAGTCTAAAGCAAGCCTGGTGACAAGGGCTGACATAGGTACCATACTGGCACCAGCAGCCTGTGGGCCTCATGAGAGGAGGGCTTGGGCCACGAGGTCTGGCACAGAGCCTGGCACAGAGCGAGCACTCAGGAAATAAATGGCCATGGCAATGACCAAATGGCTGGCTGTGGAGACTGGCTGGGGATGGACTAGACCAGCCAAGGAGGGCTGCCTGGAGTAGGTAGAACTTGATCAGATTCTTGAAAGATCAATGGGTTTCGGAGAAGTGAACATGGGGAAGAGGGGTATACCAGGTGAGGAGGTGGTGAGAGCAGAGGAATGCGGGGGCAGAAGGGAACACAGGTTGTTGGGGATGTGGCCTTGGATAAGATCACGTGAGAGAGAGAGGAACAAGAGAGGCAGCCATTCCACAGGGTGCCTTCTCTGGGGCCATGGGTGGCTTGAAAAGGTCTGAGGTGACTGTTCACCAGAACATTCAAGCCTGCTTCCGCCATAGTGAGCTTTTGGGCTTTCCCCATGGTTTTGAGCCTTGCAGGCCTCCCAAGCCACCTTCAGCCACATCTGCAGGCAGAGAAAGAAGGCCTGACACTGGGCATGCTGGACAGCTTATGGGAACTCCCAGAAAGACTCCCCCATCCCCACTCTCTTGGCCTTGTCACCACACCTAAAGGACAGCACTGAAAAGTCACCCCTTGAGTATATTCTTCTGTCAAATCCGGATTCCCTGGCGAGGAGGTGGGGTGTGGCCCAGTTAGAATTAATCAGTGGGAGAGCTAGACTGAGCCTTCTCAGTTCGCAGGTGGGGAGACTGAGGCCAGAAAGAGGATGTGATTTGTTAAGGTCACCTAGGGAATTAAAGGCAGAGCAAGGGTGGTCTAGTGCTGTAAGTCGGTGGCCTGGATATGCCCTAGAAGCCCTCTGACTTGGAGGGGTGTGAAGACCATCTGTCACTGCAAATCAAACAACAGGGGTTGGGACAGGGGACACAGGGTACGTTTATTTTATTAGGAGGGCCTGGCTTGGGGTCCTCCTTACAGACTGAGCCTTTATTTGTAAGGCTTAGAGGAGCCCTCCACCATCCCTGAGGGAGCAGCGCCCAGCACTCCTACCGGCCAGAAAGACAGCCCATGGTCAAGTGTGGCTAGAGGTGCTGGGGGTGAGGGGTGGAAGCTGCCCCTTCTAGGAAGCGTAGGGGCTGGCGCTGAAACAGGGCAGAGAGGTCTGAGGCACCAGGGTACGGGGTAAGGAGAGAACCGTAAGGAGAGGGGGGTGTGGTGGGGGGAAGATGCAGGGTGGGGAGACTCCGCGGAGGGAGCAAAATAGAAAAGCAAAGGGAGGTACGAGAGGCAGACAGCCGGGAACACCGAGAGGCAGAGAAGCTCCGAGAACAGTGCACGGGAGAGAAAGAGAGGTGGGGACAGGGACCGAGCGGCAGGGAGGGGCGGGAGCCTGGAGGGCGGGCGGCAGGGCGCGTCGGCGGGCCCGGGGGCGCCCCACTGACCCTTCTTGGCGCTTGCTTTCCTCCCCAGGCTGCGCCTTCCTCACCTACTGCGAGCGTGAGTCAGCGCTGAAGGCCCAGAGCGCGCTGCACGAGCAGAAGACTCTGCCCGGGGTAAGTGGCGCCCGCCGTGGCGCAAGCGGCCGACGCGCCGACAGGGGGCGACTTCGGGAGGCCGGGCGGCGGCGCGGCGCGCGGGGAGAGGACGGCAGGGCGCCCGCCGCCCCGCCTGAGCTCGGGAGCCCGCGCGCCCCCCCAAATCCCTGGGCTCTCGGCCGTCCGGGCCCAACGGGATCCGGGACAGGGGCCCCACTTGGCCGTGGCCGTGAAGTTCCTGCGCGGGCAGCCTGGGGCGGGGGAGCGGCGCGTCCCGGGTCCCCGGAGCGGGAGCTGCCTCCGCCGGGCCCGCGGGCCGCGTGCGCGATCGAGTCCGCCCATCGAGTCGACGCGGGCCGCTCTAGTGGGGGAGGAGGGGGCCGGCGTGGGAGGGGGCGCCGCAAGTGAGATCACCGCGGTTTATTTAAGGAGCCAGCCCTCGTCTTTGATAAACTATCGCGCCTCGGCCCTGGTTTATAGCTTCTGTGCGGGGGAGAAGAGAATTATTTATGGCCCCCCTAACTGGGTGTGATATCAGCCATGGCTATTATCGAGGCTAGTTCATCACCATAAAATAAGAAGTATTCTTCGGGTCAAGGGTCTGCGCGGTCTCTCCTGTGGGTTCAGAGAGATGGGGCGGTGGTGAGGGGGGAGAGATATACGGCTGCTGAGTATCTAAGGATAAATGGAAAGATGTGTGTTTGTGGGCATAATTTAAAGATTTTCTAAATATAGTGTTGACGCTTATACAATGGACACTGCAGGGAAGCACATGTGTTCTATAAGTATGCACACCCATGCTTACACATGCATGTTTACATTCTTACCAAGCCAACCGTATGTAAACACACGTTTCCATTTCTACCCCACAGCGGGAAAGGTTAACCAGGTAGACGGAGAGAAAATGCAACCCCGGGCGGGGGCAGCCTTCCTTTGCATCGAAGATCTTTCTTTACTCGTTTAGGGGTGGGGAGAGCTGAATTACACAGGGCCTTCCTTCCATTAAGACAGCCTTTGTATTGTATTTTGGTATTTGTGATTGCAAAGCACGGGGCTGAGTCATCTTAATAACATACCCACAGATGCAAATATATGGAAATCGAGCACCGCACAGATTTTGTGTGAAGCCCAGCTCTGGCAGGGTGGCCATTCCCCAGTTGTTTTTTCAGTTGCGCGGCTACATGCACATATATTATAGTAATTACTTTCTGGGTGCCCTCTGTAAGACGGCAGAAATATGCCTCACATCGCCCCATGTTATGTGTGAAGCATAAAGCCATATTGTAGGATAATCAAAGGCTTCTGAGAAAGGTTTGTGCTGATTAATAAAGTGTTTATGGTACTTTGTTTTGGGGGAGACTGTGACAGATATTTTAGAGCCACCCAAATGGAATAGAAAATACCACATTGTTATGGGAGGCCCTTCATCAGCTTGAGAGAGATTGCTAGGGAGTTTCATGGTGGCTAAAAGCCGGAATCAGAAGGGGAAACAGAAAGAGAGAAGGTGAGAGGGGGAGGTTTAGGATTTTGAAAGGGGAGAGGCTGGGAATTGGGAGTATTTCAGTAGCAAGTGTGGATTGTTGAGGATCTAACATTAACTTGTGGTTGTTTATTTTACATATAATAGAATAGCTAAATGATGGAGTGTATTAGTTCTTTAATAATTTATAGAAATACTTTGATGTTGCAGTAATTACATTAAAGGTCACATATCAAAGGTAATTTGGTTGAGCAGCTGTGATGGTTTCTCAGAAGCAATCAATATCACTGTCCGTGGTGCTGATTTCACCAAGGGGCCTGCCAGATTAAAGAAGGCTTATTACCAGGCAGAAAGGCCCAGGGGAAATCAGGAGCACATTGGAGCGACGCGCCAGCCCCCTTTCCACCCATAATTAACACTGTTCCCCATAATCTGTGCTAATCCTTCATACTGGGAGATCCAGTGGCATTTTTCTGAAATCACAAAGACAAGTTGAGTAAGTCTGAGGGAAAGGGCAAAAAGAAACGTGAGTGTATGTTGGGACGGGGAGGGGGGAAGATAGATAGAGGCCAACAGCAGAGCTGAAACATAGCCTAGAGTCCCCTCGAACACCATCCCTTCTTCAAAGGCTTCACAGGGAAACTCATGGCCTCAAAAACCTCATCAAACAATTCTCGGGGCAGGCACGCCCACCAGAGGGAGGGGCAGGAATAAAAGACCGGATTGCAGCTCGAAGTTCCGAGGGCACATTGTCTCCACACAAACCTGCATGCAGACAAATGAAACACAAAATGACCAAGTAAAATTATTCTTTAAAGTAGAGTTGTTTTGATTCCAGAAAGCAGACCTGGTGTTATTGCTGTTGGTTGGTTCTCTCCTTTGAGATCAGAGAAAGTGTGCCACTAGCAAATGCAGGGACGGGACCAAGCCAAATGCTCTCACCCAACCAAATAATAGGCGATCCTGCCAGCTGTGGCTGTGTTCATGGCTGCCTGTTTCGGTGAGAGACAGAGGGGGACTTCTTCTTGTCTGGGGTGACCACACTAGGTGCCCCAGCAAGCACACTCTATGTCTGACTAAAGAGAATGAAATTGAAAAAAAAGAACCTGGAAAACTGGTAACCTCAGCAATTTAGGCACTTTTCCAGACTTCAAAATCCATTAAAATCAATCCATTAAAATCAGCCCTCCACTTTCTCGCTGAGGAGAGAAAGAGGAGAAAAGATAGTACAGGCAGTCTATGCTGTTTCTAGTGAGTTATGGAGCTCGCATCCTGTTGCCAGCAAGAAAAATAATCCCATTGCTGTCATACACACACACCACCACCGTCACTATGAGCAACAATAACAAAATGACAGAGACAGAACTAGAGGCACCCCTAGCACATGTCTTCATTGGAGGCCTGAAAAGGGAAGCTGACATTTCTCTTGGGATCAGTGGAAGCTCAGAAACCAGACCACAGTGGCTGTTCTTACAAATCAGTGATACGTGATTCCCAGTATCCCTGGGAACCAGCCTGAGCAGGGCCCTCTGATGGCTGATGGAGTCATCCCTGGACCAGTGGCACAAATGGATTATTATTTTTGAGTTTGGCATGTTTTAGTAGAATTAGATTATTAAACTATGAAGCTTCATCTGGGTCTTTTTGAGCACTGCCTTCTGCCAGAATCCAGGCAGAGTGACTCCCTTTTTCTAATCTCTCTGCCTCTCTCGCCCTCATACTCTTGATCTCACTCTTTCCTGACTTCCTGTTCTTTTCCTGCCCATGCTCCTCTATTCACAAAATTTGTTTCACTATTCACAGGGGACAGTCAACATGGGGCAGTTTCTCAATCCATCAACAAGTATTTCCTGTGTGCCAGACGTTCTGTAAAATACAGAGATAAGAAAAACACATCCACCTCCCCGCTTGGAGTTGACCACCAAGTTGGGGATGGAAGCCACACACACACACAAATATCTACATAGTCAACAATACAAGACAGCACATGTTACTATAAAATGGGTAGTGTGGACAATTGTTCAATAATCACAGTATTTTTAAGTGCTTACTATATGACAGGCATGATGCCAAGCACTTTACCTACATTGCCTCATTTTATCTTCAAAACTACGCTATGAAGAAGATGTCATGATTATCCCTCACAGAGGAGGAGATCGAGGTTTGCCCAAGGTCACAAAATTGATAAGTGGCCGAGCCAGGACCAGCACTGAGTCTGCTACCAAAGCTCAGGATACCTGCCTCTGCCAGTGCCACCGGTTGCTTTAGGAATTTAGAGAGAACCAGGATGACCATGGAGTGCAGGAGTGACTCAAAGTTTTCATTCAGGATATGGGTAGGGTGGGAGTAAAATGAGTCAGATGGGAGCACTGGTCCGAGAAACGGCCCAGAGTCGAGGCACACACAACAGGCCAGGAGCCAGGTGACTCACACAGGGCAGGAGAGGCCCACTCTGAGAACCACCTGGGGCCTGAGTGTGCACAGGAAGCCTCTTGAAAGAAGTCTGTTCCTTAAAATCTACCCCTGAAGCTTTGTCGCAGCTCCTCCAGCCATTGGGACTTTGTGGGGAATCGTCTTCCAGGAAGAGCCCTTCTGTTTCCAAGGTTGGGAATACAGGGTCTCAAGGGAGATGCTCAGATGAGAGAAAACCAGGTGCTATGACAAGCTGTGGCCAGCACTTTTGCTCCTTTGGTAGCAGAAAGGGCTTCTCACCAGGGCTGGCAGGGGAAGAGCTGGGTCCAGCCAGTAGGAGGCAAGGAAGCAGTGGGAATTAGAGCTGGTCAGGGATGGGGGTGGGGGAAGTGGGAGCTGTATCTCCTTGGTAAACATTAAAGTTCCAACTCACTAGTCAAAGATTGGCTTTTGTGTCCTCATTCCAACAATCCTAGAATACAAAGCAAACTAACACACTCCTCCCTGCTGTCTCCCCCTTCCCCTCCCCTCGCGTCAGCCTGGCAGACATGCAGAGTCCCGCCATCACGCCTCCTGACTCAGGTCACCGCGACTCAGGATGGGTCACTTCCATGGAAATTCAATGTGACCTTCTTTGAGTTTACCAGGAAAGATGTTAAAGTGGGAAAATTCTTTTCAGAGAGCTCAAATGGATTTCTAGCACCGCTATCTCAGACTGTCTCTCCTTTCTATCCCTTCTTCTCACTTTTCTCTTTCTTAATCCCATTTCCTCCTCCTTTCTTTCTTTTTCTTTTTCTTTCTTCTCTTTGTGCCCCCATTTTCTCCTCTCTTCTCTCCCTCTGCCCATTTTCCTCTATCTCTCTCACCAACACTTTCTTCTTTTATCCTTCAGACTTGTCTCTCCTTTCCCTCTCCTCCCTCCCTCTTTCAACTTTGGCCCACCCCACCTCAACCCTGACATCCACAGGAGGCTCTGGTGGGGCCCCCATCACCATACGGGGGCTTCCCTGGCAAGGCCCATCTCCCTCCCTGACAGTCCTGCCATTGAGGGATCCATCTAATTTTATGTACAACTGTAAAGATGAATGATAAGTAGAAAGGATGAAGGCAAGAACAAGATGAATAAATTATAAAGGGCAAATGATGACAAGACAGGGGTCCCCAGAGACAGTGATATGATAACAGAAACTAAAGACGAATTTATGATGGATGTAGTTAGCATGTATGGAGGCTGTTAATTCTTCGGGGTAGTTTTACAATTTCTAGTGATCGGTGCAATCAAAGCTTTTCATTTTAGAAATGGGATGTATTTCCACTTGTTTGTCCTGTAGGCACAGTGTTGGTTTTTGTCTCTGAACAGTGAGTCTGGGTCCCATCAGCACCTGCATCTTCCCTCCCAGCCCCTGCCACCTTCTGTTTCTCTGCAGAGATCATCTCAGCCAGATCCACACACTCTTCCAGTTCCCCGGTCCTGTTCTTCCTCTTGCTGAGTGTATTAGCATGGGACTGCTGCAACAAAGCACCACAAATTGGGTGGCTTAAACAACGGAAATGTATTGTCTCGCAGTTCTGGAGGCTGGCAGTCCCAAATCAAGGTGTTGGCAGAGTTGGTTCTTTCTGAGGGCTGTGAGGGAGAATCAGTTCCAGGCCTCTCTCCTCGCTTCTGGGAGCCTCAGACATTCCTCAGTTGTAGATGGCGTTCCCTCTGTGTCTTTGCATCATCTTTCCAATGTACATTGTCTGTGTCCAGACTTCTCCTTTTTATGAAGACAGCAGTCATATCGCGTTAGGGCCTGCCCTAATGACCTCGTCTTAACTTGATCATCTGCAAAGACCCTATTTCAAAGAAGGTCACTTTCATGGGTCCTGGGGTTAGGACTTCAGCATCTTGTGAGGGGAACACAATTCAACTCATAACACTGAGAAAGGGGCTGCCCTGTGGCTCTTCCACAGTAGGGAGGATAAAGGCCTACAATAGTGTCTGAGTCATGGGGGTCGCCCAGCCTTTCCTCTGTATCTCACCTGGATTCATGCTTTTTTCTTTCTCTTTGGGAGAATGGATGATATATCTTTCTTCTTTCTCATATTCCCTGAAAAGAAGTACTCATCTGTCCTTTTAGGGCAGTGGCTCTCAATTTTGCCCTGCGGGGGACATTTGACATTGGAGATGCTACTGGCATCTAATGGGTAGAGGCCAGGGCTGCCGCTAAATATCCTACAATGTACAGGACAGTCCCACAGCAAAACATCATCTGGCCCCAAGTGTCAACAATGCCAAGGTAGAGAAACCCCATCCCGGGCCTAGGGTGGGTAGAAGGTGGGACAGTGAGGCCCTGGGGCAGAGCGTTCCTCCCTTACTTGCTGGTTCTCATTCATTCAGGGAACAAGCCCAAAGGTCCTTAGAGTGTTACAAGAGGGATGACTTGTGAAGAGGCAAAAGCTCCAATGGTGTGAGCACCGGGTAGGTGGGGAGTACGGGCAGGAGCAGAGGGCAGAGTCCACCTCCGGGCATTAAGGATCATTTGTCGCCTGCCGTTCACATGCACCCACGTCTGCAGGGCAGACTTGACCCAAGGGCTTAGCAGTTTCAGCACCGACTCCAGCTCAACTCTCTCCTGGGTTAGGTGAATGGAGACTTTGCTATAACAGAGCTGGGACCAGAACCCAGGCCTTGAGACCCACTCATGTGGGGCATTTCTCCAGCCCATACCTTCAGAAGAGCCCCCATCCCAACAGCAAACCTGCTTGGCAGGCATGTGCCCTAGCCAGGCTTTCCAGCCAAACAGGACCTTCACCACAGAACACCAGCCTGGGCTCATTATACAGAAGGGAACACCAAGGTTCCAAGAGAGAAGCCCAAAGCACTTTAAATCCAGGTACTGAGGGACAGATGGGTATAGGGGCTACATCTGTGATGCCTTCGAAACTTGCCTCTGCTCTTCCACGTTATCCCTTAGCCCAGCCCCCTGTCCCACTGTGTTCATGCAAAATCTTTTCAATCTCCTCCCCACAGAGACATCTCAAAGTCCTCCTTCTCCCTGGGGCTGTGCCCACAGTCTTCCCTCCTAGACGGCCCACTTTCTCCTTCCCTGCCCCAACCACTGTCCTGAGGGTTCCACATTTTTCAAGCAAGTGACTCTTGACTCTCATAGGGGCCTCATCTTCTCAGTGGCCCCCACGACATAGTCCAGGCCTGCCATGGGCTGTGCCCAGAAAGGCTCCCTAACAAGTTGATCTGAAAGAACCAGAGAACCTCTGTGCCTGCAGTCATCATACATGACTTGAAGGAAATAAACAAACAAGAGGGCACATGAGATAATAAGCAGAGGGAACCTGGGCCAGGTCCAGCCTGCCACCAACAAGCCACGTGGTCTGGGCAGAGCAATGAGCCCGGACCCTCCCTGGACACACCATCTAGACTGTGAAGGAGGCGGTGGGCCAGATCGCCTCTCAAGACCCTTCCAGCTTTCTTTATATTTCTAAGAATAATGAGCTCAGCATTACTCACATTACTTAAGACAACAGGGAGAGGAGAGGAGAGGGGGAGAGCAAGGACGACAGTGTCTCCTGCTCTCCACTACCCGACGCCATTGGTGACAAGTATAATAAAGCGTGGGTCAGATATGTCTCTCCCTGACGCAGAGCAGCCAGACTGCCTGCTCCCCAGGGCTGGGGCTGGATTCCTGATGGTACCCCCACCCCTGCCCTCTGCTCAGGTCTCATTCTAAGGACACCAGACAGGCATTTTGCAATTTTCACACTGCCCCAATGTGGCTTGGATCACGGCTGCCATCACCCAAGTCAGCGGCAGCAGCGTTTACAGATAGCCTGCCCCCTGCGAAGTTTGGTTGTGGGAGGGAGGGTGTCTGGCATCGGACAAAAATAAGTAAGACACGGCCTGTTGCAGAAGGAGTTTATAATCTGGTTTGGGAGGCAAGTGTGAAGACAGCTCATGATCCAGAAAATATCTTTAGGGGCCCCAAAAATGGTAGTGAAGGGAAGTGCCCAGGAGTTCAGATGAGAGAGATGGCAGGATAAGCCAACATGCCCTGCAGGAGCCCACACCACCACAGTGGCCTTCTGCTTCCAGGCCCTCACCCCTCTGATGCATTCTTCAGAGGCTGGCCAAGGGTGTCATTGTAAAATAAAGGTCCCACCACCTGCAAACCACCCAGGCTTCTGTCACCCACAAGATTCAGCCAGGGCAGACACCATCCTGGCCACAAACCCTCCAGATGCACGTAGCCTTCCTGCAAGCTCCTCTTTTTCCATGTCATTCCCTCTGCCTGGAGAGTTTCCATTCATCCTTGGAGGCCCAAAGTCAACATCACTTCCTCTGAACAAATTCTCTGCCCCGCTCGGGGAGCTTTCCAATCCGTCCCCATCCAAGCACCCAGCACTGCCCTTGGGGCCCAGGCTGCTCCATTAACTCCAGAGTTCCCATCTTGGATTCCCAGCCTGTACCTGCTTTCCTCTTTCTGCGCCTGTGCCTGGAACTGACCCAGAGCAAGGATGGGCGGGAGGGAGGCAGCTCCCCATCTGCTGAGCGACCTTGCTGGCCTTGGCATTTCCAGAGGCACCAACAGATCATTCTGGCATCTCCTATTCCAGCCATATCACCTCTATGCCCCTCCAGAAAGTCTTCAGCCTAGCTCACCCTGCGGGGGTGCATTTGGAAAGAGGAGAAAGCTTCGCTCTCTGGTCATGGATGTAGAAAGGAAGTGCTGTGTGGAAGGTGCTTTGGCCCAGGCATTCGCCGCCGGTGCAGGTGTGAATGTGGGCATGTGTGGAGCGAGGTGTGTGTCCACCGGAGCGAGAATGTGAGGCTGCCACAAGGGCTGTGCCTGCATGAATCCGTGTGAGGCTGCAAAGGGTTTGTTGACCTTTCGCCAGAAAACGAGGCTGAGAAACAGAATGTCTGTGTGAGCTCCTGCTCCGGGATGGATGTGTTTTAGGATTGGAGGGTTTCTGCTGGGCGCATGTGTGTGGGCGAGCAGAAGGACACGTCTTTGTTGTTGACCTGCAGGGATCCGGAACTGTGGGCTGCCACATGCCATCAAAAATGGGCAAGCCTGGGTGATAATAGAAAAAAATGGCATTGTTCTTTATTCTTTAATTCCTCATGAAAACGGCTGTTGTAAAGAGGAAAGGGCTGGAGTGCAGGGGAGATAAGGTCTCTCTAGGGCGCCGTAGTTTACTGTGGTTCAAGCACCCTTTTTTTTAATCAAAGGCATTTGTGGTATGTTCCCATGAGCCCACCAGGGGGCGCCATGTGGGTGGCATCCCCTTCTGGTGGCTGAAGGAGCACAGTGTGTTTAATGGTGAGCCTGGTGTGCCCAACCCTGTGCCCAGCACAGAAGAGGCAAAATGATGCCGAACACTCGGCTCCACCCTTCAGAACACTGTCAGCCTGTGCAGAGGACACCAACCAACTTGGGGCATCCACCCAACCTTTCCAGGTCTGAGTTCCCTAATTTCTATCATGAAAATCACATGTGTGCGCCCTTTATATGCTGTGGATTGCTAGAAATCATCCAAGTTGTATTATTAATGACAAAACAATGATGCGAGTGGGGATGACCTTCGGAGTCCTTTGCCACAATAAAGTCCTGTGACTCCTAATTCACAGATGAAATAATTAAGAGGATAATAAAAATATAGAATGGCTCAAGTATGCAGTTTGGACCATATGTCCCATTATATTTCAGAAGAGAGCTGGGATGCCCCGAAAGGACTCCATGGAGTGGGGAGGACAGAAGTTGGTTGTGTATGTAAAGGGAGAGGAACTCGAGAAATGAGTAAGAGGAGGAAGGCTTGGGGAGCCAGGTCAGTGTGAATTTTCCTCCTGGAATTGGGAGTGAGAACAGGGAAAATGTGTCTGGAGATGGAGGAGGCTTTTCTCACACTGCTGTGCTTCAGAGCCTCTAGCCCCTTACAGCCTGTAGGCTCCAATCAACTCCATGCAGATCAGTTGCTCTGAAATCCTGCAGGTGCTGGGCATGGCTTCAGGCCCCAGCAAGTCTCCAGCTTCCCCGCTCCCTAGAAAGGACCTGCCTCCTCCCAGCCTACCCACCAGAATCCTCCCAGGGCATCAGGACCTAGCCCCAAGCTCCCTTCCTCTGTGATGCTCCTCTAGGTTGCTCTAACCAACACTGATCTCGCCCTTGCCTGAGCCTCTGCAGGTCAACAGCACCGGAAGTCTAAGCCCTGGCTAAAATGTGGACATCAGATCAGCATCACTGGGGTCTGTTAGAAATGCAGAGTCTTGAGCTTACTCTAGATCATCTGAGCCATGTCACTCAAACAGCAGCCACCACCCTTTAACAAGATCCCTAGGAGATTCGTGGGCACAAGAAGTTCAACCACCACTGGCCTAATGTTAGGCTTTAAAGGATATTGTCTTAGTTGGAGCGCCCCCAGAAGCAGACTGTAGACAAGCATTTGAGTGCAAATAGCTTCTTTGTGGGGTTGACCCCAGGAACTTGGGTCAATAGTGGAGACAAGGAAGAGAGGAAATCAATAAGGGGTGTCTTATCAGGCAGACCAGCTTCCACTGCGGGTGTTGCTGAACCCCACTGGGACTCTAGAGCCAATGTCAATCATACTCCTTGGAGTCATCCCACCCAAGGGGCCAGAGAACTGGGGTATTCATGCACCAATTTCCACCAGGCTGTGGCCGAGGTTGTGCCCAGGGGTCTTCCGCTTTCTAGCTTTTCTGGCTTGCTGCATGCGTGGGCAAAGTGGGCTCCACAGTCAAAGGAAGCCCTCGAGCTGGAAGTGCTGGTGCTGGCAGTTGGAAGTCAACCCACTGTCACTGAGGTGGGGAAGAGAAGGGGTCATGGGCAGGACACCACCTACATCTACTGCAGATTGAGCCTTGTGGCATCATCCCAAATAAGAGAGCAGATCAAAGAATCTTGTCTCTCTAACTCCGATGACAGCTACCAATCACTGTGTACTCGCTACAGCCAGACACTTCACAAATATTATCTCATTTATTTAAGACAGCATCACCCAGGTCTTAACCAGGCCTTATTAGTGCTATTGTATGGAAGAGGAAACTGAGGCAAAGGGGCTTGCTCAGACCAGAAAACCATGGAGAGATCTGGCGCCAGAGCCCATGCTCCTTCCTCCTCATCCTAGGGCACTAACCCTGTGGAAAGCCAGAGCTGCATGAGGGCAGGAACCGTCCCCGTCACCCCAAGGCCACACACCAGGTTCTTCTGGCAGGAGACTCTGGCATGATTGCTAGACACCCAGGGGGCCCTGTGGGGCAGGGCAGTGGCCCTCGAGGTGTCACCACACACCTGGCCTACCTCTGCATTGGAGAAGTCCTGTTCTGAATGGAAGGCAGAGTCTGATTCCATCCCCAGCTCTGCCTGGAGCCTTACTGTGTGCCCTTGGGAAGCCATTTAACCTCTCTGAATTGTAATTTCTAAGTGGCCACCCTTCCACTTAGAAATTCATTTGGCTGCAGTGGCCTCAACAAATAACACTTTGGGTTTTTTGCACATCACAGAGTCTGGGGCCTCGTGTTGCTTCAGCAACATAACCATGCAACAGCAACAACGTAACAGAGTCCTTCTCACTGCTGTCGGAGGGCATTGCATCTGTCATCAAGCAGAGCAGGTCCAGCTGCCTCTGTCCCTTCTATCGGGAATGCAAAAGGTTTCCAAGAGGTCCCCTCTCCAGGAGACATCTAAGTATGTCTCATTGGCCAGAGCTATGTCACAGGGCCACCCTAGCTGCAAGGAAGTCTGGGAAAGAGGATATCTTGCCAAAGACTATGCACATGTCTTCCATGAACAAATCTGTGCTTCTTCAGTGAAGGAGAAGGGCCGGATAATATTGGTGGGACCTGGAAGAGTCTACCCTCACACAGCCTGGTGGAGATGGTCAGGGGTTACAGAAGAGCAAGCTGGCTGGAGCAGCAGCCACCCCCCACACACGTGCCGCATTTGCCTTCAGCTTAGATCACACCCTGATGCTTCCATGAGGATGCTGAGTCAAGAAAGCAGTCTTAGGGTGTGGACAAGAGGAGCTTCTTCATGCAGCACTGCTAACTCTGCATGTTTATTCCAGCTACTGACATGGTTTCCAATTCTGTGAGATTCATAAGGGGGAAGGGAATAAAATTTCAGCTACCCTTAGGTAGCATATTTGCGTCCTCTGTGTCTTTCTCGAGTTTGTGCCCTTCTGTGCCTTTGTGTGTGGCTTAAATATTGAAGAATCAAAGGCTGCCACGCCAGCAGACAGCTGTGCCACATCACAGGCATTCCACAGGCAATTCCTCACTCCCACTTTTTTGACAGTTGCACCAGTGGTCTCACACCCTCTGAAAGTGGGTCGGCCGGCTTTCAGGGCCAGCAGCAATGGCACCAACTTTATTTTCAGAGACTGAAGCAGGACCTCTTTTGTAAAGGGGTGTGGGGTGAGGTAGGGGTGCTCTGTGCAAAGCCTGCTCGGATTGACCTTCCTGGTAAACTTCAGCATGGCTGAGAGCCAGGAAGGAGGGGACCAGGGATAGCACGGGCTGGCCTGTGCTGCCCTCTACTCCTGAGGCCCTCCCTCATAGCCTCTGCCAGTGGCCTGGGCTGTCCCACAAGGTAGTGAGCCTCTGGTCACAGACATGTTCAAGCAGGCTGAGTCGCAGGGTTCGGGGGTTGATGCAGGTAATTCCAACATTGGACCAAATCAGTTCTGGGGGGCGAGTTAAGATCCCATGATTTTATCTTAAGTTTTACTAGCTTAACCATCATAAATGCCCGCATAGAACCAGTCCCAGTCCTCAGCCCCAGCCAGTTTGGCTAGGTCCCAAATTCCCTAGCCTCTAGCCTGGAGTAATCCTCATTTCTCCTTCAGGCCTCCCAATTTCTCCCTTCTCTGAAGACCTTCAGGCCTTAGAGGCGAAACCCTCCATGCCGCTGGGCAGGCTCATGCCTTAAATTTAACAACCTAGCCTCCAATCCCAGCTCCACCACTCTGAGCTGTGTGACCTTGGGCTAATCACTTAACTTCTCTGTGCCTCAGTTTTCTCATCTCAGCCCTGGGGTGCCAGTAGTTCTTTCATCCAGGAGCAGTTTATGGATAGCATGAAGCATGCAAAGCTCCAAACACCCTGCTGCTCTTGCACACAGGAAATGTGCACAATGACAGTTTCTCTACAGCTGCCACTCTTGCTTCAGTGATTCTGTCTCCAAGAAAGGAGTGAATCTTCCTACCTGGCCCCTTCTGATCCATCCCCGGCCCCTGGCTGCCCAGGTCTGGAGGGCAGCCAACGCAGGATGCGTAGCAGCAAACCTCCCAGCTTTATAGCCTAGTGCAGGGCTGGCCGCAGGGAGGGGCCAACAAACCCTACCACGCTGAATGGAAACCACTGTGAGAGTGGCAGGCAGGTCCATAAGGACGCTGGAGCTGGCCCTGCCAAGGCCTGGCTGTGCTGGAAGAGGAGGGCTCAAGATCACCACCTTCATGCCCCCACAAGAGGTGTTTGTTAAGTTTGTCTTCATGGTTTGCACAATCCCCCACATGAGGCCTACATCATACCTCCTTCTCCACTCCCTGTTCACCATTCTTCACTCCAAAACACAGCAGCACCCCTGGAATCTGGGTGAGCACAACCCAGAAGATTGAAAACCCTAACCAGGGAGAGCAGGAGCAGAGTCATGCCCTGGACACCCTCATGGATTAAGATGGTCCAGGAGGCCCTTCAAGGCCGAGAGACAGAGGGTCTGAAATGAATATGCATTCAGCCTCTCCCAGCAGCCCTGACAGCTGGCATCCAGCAGCTGGAACGGCTCAGAGCCTGGGAGAAGGTTTGTAATTCAATTCAGTAAGTGTTTCCTGAGCACCCACCAGGAGCATAGCCCCGCGCTAGGTGCTGCTTGGCAGGTGGAAGTGAGTAGAGGGCAAGAACCCTGCTGCCCCTGGGGCTTCCCTCCTGCGGAGGAGAGAAGATGTACATGCCAAGCAATTAGAGGACAATGGATCGAGACTCCAGACTGCAATTTAGAGCTGGGAGTGGTTTGGGAGCGCTTCCAGGCAGGACTGCTCACTGAGTGTCACACTGCCTGGGCAAGATCGGCAGGATCTAGGTGGATGGAGGGGGCTCCAGATGTCACTCCAGTGAGGTGACAGCAGGGGCAAAGGCAAGGAGGAGGGAGAGGACAGGGGGCGCTGGCTGGAGTTCAGGAAGGGCTTGGGGACGGGACTTAGCATGAGTTGGGAAGGCCTTTCACATCCCACTGAGGAGCTTGTTCCCTTTCCTTTGGGTTCTTGGGAGCTCATGAAGCTTCCTGAGTAGGAGAGTGTCCACCTCCACATGGTACATAGCATGGTCTGGATGGTGAAGGCCTGTGCCAGTCCTGATGAGAGGACTGAGGTGAGGAAGTGACATCAGGAACAGGAGCTGAGGCCAGTGGAGAGCCTGCCTCAGTCCCCCTTTCCAGGAGCAGCCTCAATGGGCACAGGCTGGCAGGAGCTACTCACTTGGTTTCGGGCAAGTCCTGCTGGTGGAGGGCTGAAGGGAAACTTGGCTCCCTCTCTGCCCTGAAGCTGGTGAGGGCATTGCCCTGACCACTTGAACACTTGTTGCACCTGAATGAGAAAGTCTCCATTCAGGGCAGGCTACGCAGTGCTGGAGAGGTTTCCAAACCACCTCATCTCACTACCACACGTAGGGATTTCTTTGACATTCAGATTTATAATAAATGTAAAGAAAGAGGCTCCACCTCTCTCTCTCTCTCTCTCTCTCTCTCTCTGTCACACACACACACACACACACACACACACACACACACACACACACACACACAGAGTCATGAAGAGTCAGGATCTGCCTGGGATCCATGTGTTGCAAATGCTCCCTGGGTGATTTCACTGCTCCTCCAGCTTCAGAAACCCTGTGTGCTCCTCTATTCTTTGTCCAGCATTGTCAGAAAATACTGATTCCTCCTCTTGGGCTAGAAGAGTTTGATCCATGAGGAGGGCCCCACTCTGCAATTATGTTTCCCTCCTGAGGGTCAGAGAACCTCAGAAAAGTGGAGTGGGAAGGGACATAAGCATCACTTGCCTAGACAGTTGGACACAGCGCTGCTGGGATGCCACATTTGGGTCTGTTCTCATTTGCAACATGGCCTTTATCTTGAAAAGGCTCCATGATTGATGACCAAGTAAACCTACCCTAATTCAGAAGACCTGGGGAGGACACCCATTTCCATTAGCATCCATATTATGGGGTGTGCTCAGTGAAGTTTTATTACTTTTGAGTAGACAACCCAACAGTGCTTCCAAGTTAATGTCCAACACTGCTTTAATGAACAGATGCAAAGCCTGTGTAACTAGCACAGTGATGAAGTGACACAGAGGATTCGTAAGCCACTTGCAAACACTGGTCTTAGGTTGACAACATATTCCTGCACATAGAACTTCGTCTACACTGCTTATTTGCCAATCAAAATTTTTGATAGATTTTTCAAAGGCCAACTTTACACCTAAAGTCCAAATTACCCTCTATTCTGACTCGGTAGCATTGAAATCTACAAAGACTTCAGCGAACTCCTTAAGTATTCAGTATCTAACAGATGCAATGAACTTCTGGTGGCCAAGGCACAGAGGGTCATAGTTCTTGCAGAAAGCCTTTCCTGATGGGCTTGAACCCTCATTCTCTGGCCATCCCCCAGGGATTCACTGGGGGCTGTCCTGCGTTATGAAGTGGCGAGGTGGGCTACCTCCCACTGATGCCCCTTAGTACTCTCAGACCCCATGGAGCTTTGCTGTTGGTTTGCGTGCTCCAGCCTGCACCGTGCCTGGATGTTCCTCAAACTCTTCTAACTCCTGTTAAGTCAGTGGGCAAGAACCTGATCCATCACTGATAGATAAATCAATGGAAGAAAACCCGCTATCTGGCCACTGTTTGAGCCCTCCCTCACTCCTGCCCAGAGGTTCTGAGAAGACAGTATGTGCCATCTTCTTCTATTCTTATTAAACGATTTATCTGGGGGAACTTAATATTTTCTTTTAGGATAAACTGAGCTAATGCGATGTGCTTGTTTTAATTTGCAAGGTTAACTGATCTAATTATCTGTGGCGTTTAGTTAAATCCTTGTGCCTGGGCCGGCTGCAGGTGTGGGCTTTGAATCCTGCCAACAGGAAATCTCTTAAAACGAACTGATCTAACTCAGCGGGTCTGCTGGTATGAGGGATTTTCTAATAATGCATGAATTTATTAACAGCCAAAGATAAATAGAGGATGTATTTACATTAAACAAATTCACATGGAACTGTCTGCTGCTTCCCCGGCCCCCTCCCAGCAGATGCATCCCCCAACTCCACATCACTGTCTGTGCCATACAGGAGGAGCAGAGAATGACTCTGAGGAGCCCCATGCAGCTACAAGTAGATGCCCCTGCCGTCATGACACGAAGGGGTAAGCAAGTCAGGCAAGGGTTAAAGATTAGATTTTAGTTGGCCCCAGACTCCAAAGGAGCCAATGGTGTTGCCCTGCTCCCTAAAAGTTGACACAGTCTTGCAGTTAACAGGTACCTCCCTCTAAAGAAGGAAAGTGATGATCCCACTTTCCCTAGGCTGGGAAGATGGCCCCAGGAAATCTGAGTCTGGAACTGAGTGCTACACTTTTAGAGAAGTATGTCCAGAGAAGGTGGCCAGGACAGGTGATATGGTTTGGCTCTGTGTCCCCACCCAAATCTCATCTCAAATTATAATACCCATAATCCCCACGTGTCAAGAGTGGGACCTAGTAGGAGATGATTGGATCATGGATGTGGTTTCCCCCATGCTGTTCTCGTGATAGTGAGTGAGTTCTCACAAGATCTGATGGTTTTACAAGGGGCTCTTCCTCCTTTGCTCATTCGCTCTCTCTCCCCTGCTGCCATGTAAGATGTACCTTTGCCTCTGCTTGCCTGCCACCATGATTGTAAGTTTCCTGAGGCCTCCCCAGCCATGCAGAACTGTAAGTCAATTAAACCTCTTTTCTTGATAAATTACCCAGTCTCAGGTATGTCTTTATAGCAGTGTGAGAATGGACTAACACAACAGGAGAAGGAAATCCTTCCTCCTGAAGCTAGTTGAATGACTGATGTCATCCATCTTCCAGAAAACAGCCTTGGCAGATATAGGTGTGGCCAGCTTGAGGTGGCAGGAGGAGAATCTTGGGAGGCAGGTAGAGGGGACTCACCCCACACAGATGTCCTGAGAGCCTCCTGGCTTCCCAACCCCTGCCCTGCCATGGCCCTGACCCACTAGTAGCTGCCCCAACCTTCTTCTGGAGCTCCAGAAACCCTCACAGAGGCTAGGCCTCTGAGGCCAGCACTGTTCAATGGGAGTGGAATTATTACTCCAGAAATGCACTTTGCTTGAAATACCGTTGAGCTGCATTGTTTGAAACACAGCTTCAGGATCAGGCCAAGCAACCAAAGACGCATTTGAAATGCATTTCCCATTTTCTAAGGCCCAGGCCCCCTGACAGCCCGAGTCACTTAGTACTGACCTGTTTTCAACTAGCATGGAGCTCTCCCTCTTCCACATGAACGATCCTGGATAAAATTGTACTTGCAAAGGCCCATGTAGAATATGCACACACGTGCAAGATGTACTTGCGCACATACAGATGCAGCTGCACACTCATCACTCAAACACACACACATGCACGCACATACACACAACAGAGTACATGCCATATAGGTGCACACAAAAGTATGTGTACATAACAGGTGATGTGAACATATAACACACATGGGAGAGGCACATGACATCCTACACATGTCCACATGTGGGCACACGAACACACAGGTACACACACTTTCTCAGACTCCTTTGGAATTGAAAGAGAATGTAGCTCTTTAGGGACAGCTGAAGATAAACTCTTGATTTCTGATTTCCAGAGCAGTTTGGACAAGGTCCTCTGAAATGCATTAAAATGCTAATCACAGCATCTGTCTGAACTCTGGCAGCTGTGTGACTTGGGGGAAATGGAAACAGAATGGATTCTGAAGGCTGGGACTCCTCTTTGACTCTCCTTCCCTTGCTCTCTCCTTTTTCTCTCCACTGCCCTCCTCTGCCTGCTCCCCTGTGGGCTCCACCCAATACCATCCTCTGTGCCACCTCATCCTCAGCCTGGTCCACGTGGCCATTGACTCTGCCCGACTTTCCCAAGTGCGTGGCTCCCATTGCTAACAAGTAAAGCCACCGCCCTTCTTCTGGCGGTGTCCAAAACTCCCTGCTGTGGAGTTGCCCCAGCCCATGTGCAGGATGGTCAAGGCCGAGTTCCAGACATGGCCTGCATCCCAGAAATGGCCTCTTGCCCTCTGGGATCTCTGTTCTCCCCAGGTGAGAGCAGAGAAAGTGCCTGCTAACAAGTTACCTGTCCTGTAACAAGGACAGATGGTAGAAGTACTCTATTTAACCTAAAAGGAGGGCACTCTGATGTGGAATGTCAGGCAGTGTACTAGGCAGGGCAGGGAGAATGTTTTAACCAGAGTAGCTTTCTGATACCCCATAATGACCCGTATAGTGACAAGGGATGGGATCAGGTGGGGGTCTGAGACTCACACTCCTGAATACCCTTCACTGACTCAGTCACTCATCTTGTGATCATTAGCTCCTCCCCAATCCCCACCGCCTCCCACTCTGACCTCAGGATCTGGGACGACACTGGCTTCTGACTCCCCCACCCGTGAGCATGTGGCTCCACACCCGCTGAGTGGCTCCACTAGTTTCCTTTGCCTGGCATCCTCCTATGTCCGCCCCAAGCTCCTTCCAGCAGGTCAGTCCTTGGCCAGCATTCCAAACTCAGCTCACATGCCACCTTCTCCAGGGAGCCTTCCCCAATCTGGATAAGGCTGGATAAGATGCCCTCTCCTGCATGCCTAGAATTTCCTATGCCTACCTCAGTTTACCAGAGTTTAACATGACTGCTCCACCCTAGACTGTGCTCTCTTTGAGGGCAGGGACTGGGTCCTACTTATTCATGTGGACCCAGCATTGGCACAAGGCTGACCTCCTAAGTTCTCAGTAGCTGTGAGGCTATTGAAATGCTGTGGGTGGCTGCATGGGTACATGAACCCTTGGGACCAGACCCACTTTGTGGGAGTCCCTAAGCAGACATCCTGGAAGTTGTCTGCCCTTTCTGCTGGGACCTAGAATGGGCTCTGGTCAGGCTTGTATAAGTACAGACCTCACACCAGGTTTCATGCGCCCACATCCCCACCCCCACCCCATGAAGATCGAAGCTCCCAGCATACCACAGTTCCATTTTTCCTTTTAGGCATCAAACTGTCACTTCACTAAACACCATCTGGAGACTCCTGGCCTCAGCCCCTCACTTCTCCCAAACTCTTATTAATGTGATGGGTGTTTATTCCTTCTTCCTCCTCTTCCACTTCCTTCGGAACATCTCAGCTCTGTGGCCTGCAGACATTCATCTTATCTTCAGGGAGCTCAGCTCCGCTGGGGAGGG
Source organism: Homo sapiens (assembly GCF_000001405.40). Taxonomy (NCBI): domain Eukaryota; kingdom Metazoa; phylum Chordata; class Mammalia; order Primates; family Hominidae; genus Homo; species Homo sapiens. The sequence continues at coordinate 37,466,175 of NC_000018.10, read as the reverse complement.
CTGCTGTCTCGCGCTTGGCTTTAGGCAGCTGACAGTGATCAAGAGCAGACAGAAAGAGCAGGCGCGACTTAGCTGGCCCCTTGTGGAGCCTCATCCCAGCTGGCCTAGAAAGGGGGATGGCAGAGGCGAGCTGAAGAAGGAACCCGGTTAAATGTGGTCCACAGTGGCCTTTGACTCTGCCAGCACTCCAGGACCCTCCATGGCTCCCTGGTGCTATCAAACAAAGCCCAGATTCCTAACCCCAGCTTCTGGGCTCCCATGATTCTGCTGCCAGCATACTGAGCTCTCTTTTCCTTCCTGTGCCCATGTTGTGGCTCTCATCTGAATGCATCCCCTGCCCCAATTCTTGCTTGTCCTTGAAGGAGGTGTTCATGTCTTCCTCCTCCATGCAGCCTTTCTTGACTACCCCATGCATACCAATTCCCTTCCATTACACTTACTGCATAACCACATTATTTTTGCTCAGTGCTCCAATCCACATTGCACTCTGTTTTATATTATGAATTTTATCTCCCTGAACCTACACAGACTCCTCTGATGGTACCCACAGAGCCATCCCAGCTCTGGGCACACAGTGGGCCCACAGTCAACCCCCACTGTCTTCAAGCAAAGCAGACCTGCAGCAGTGACCCCACTGAGACAAACCTCAGCTCTCTGAGGGTTGCCCAGTGGCCTTTGAGGTGCTGGTACACAGAGCCCTCCCCCAGTGTCCACATGGAGGCTGCCCATTCCCATCTTCCACCATAACCCGGCTGGCACTCAGGGCCAGCTTTCTTCCCCTGGAAGAGCATTAAGCTAATGCGTGTTGTGTCTCATTAGTGACATTCTGTTTGTGCCAGGGCCAGGCAATCTGATGGGTGGTTGATTGGATATTCTGTTTATTTATGGCAGGAAAAGCATTCTTTATTGAGGACTGGGCAGCACATTTCTGTCCCCATGGCACTAAGATCCTCTGGAAATCAAGCAATTGTAAATTAAGACTAAATAAATAATATATAATAAGCAATAAAGATTGCAGGCCTCCATGCAAAGAGCTTTCCTAAGGCATCTCCCCAACCTGAAGACACTGGCCGTCCCAGAGCCTGGAGGAAGGTTGACAGGAATTGCCCTCTTTAATTGATAGGTGAGGAAACTAAGTAAGGCCTGTGGAGGTTAAGAGACTTTCCCGGAAGCAGGATAATGGTGATCCAGCACATGGCAGCATCCTGAGGAGTCAGGAGACCCAAGGAGACTCCTCACAGACCTGTCCATTTGCTGAGATTGCACACAAGGAAGTAGTTATCCCGGGAGAACATCTGAGAACATCAGCGTGGACTTTCTTCCTCTGTCTCCTTTCGGGCAGCATTGCCAGTGTGGGTGGGCCAAACTGGCTGAGTTTAGAAGTCTGAAGATAGCACTGTGGCCCTTGCTCCCTGTGAACCAGCCAGGGCAGGCTAAAATTTGGGCTTCTCCACTCCCCATCTGTGAGATGCCTCCCCTGGCAGGGCTGCTCCATGACCCACAGAGTGCCAGGGGCTCCGAGATTCAAAGGCTGTGATTCTCAGCCAGCCTGTCTGAGAAACACACCTCCACACCCAAAACAGCAGGCCAGCCAGGGCACCCAAGCCCACCCCAGGCAGAGTCCTGAGTCATGGGACAGAAATGGACAAAGCTCTGATGTCTCCCCTGAGGGCTCACATATGGTCCAAGTGTCCCACCATGCAGCCCCAGCCAGGGGCCTAGAAAGGGCTGCCTGAGTCATTCTGCAGCCAGAACAGTGGGAGGGGAGAGGCTAGGCATCGATGGGAGTCTTTAAGAGCCCTGAGCTGGAGGCATCAGAAAGGCCTCCCAGATAGAAAGGCAGTGTGTGGAGCTTGGCTGTACAGATGCGATCTACATTTCACTCAGCCCAGACCCCTCTCCAGCCAACCTTCCTGCCTTCCTTCACTCCTTTTCTGCTCTTCTTCTTCATCCTTGCAAAAACTAATTGTCTCTCTCACCAGCCCGAGCCCCGTGCTTTCCAGAGGTTTATGCATGAAACTAATTATGCACCGCTAATTTAGAAGCTAGCAGCTTTCCCGTTACCGTTCATTTGATTTGGGGTGTTCTGCTGTGTGGCATTTCTGTAAATACGCCACAAGGCTGGGGGCCTTTCAGGGAGGGCAGCCTGAGTTCGGGGTCAGGAGGAGGGGCCTGGGAGTCTGCGGGTGGCAGGTGTGGTATACTTCATGAGGGAGAGGGGACAGGAGGGCGCCATTACCATAAACCAAGGAAGGCCTCATTAGCAGCCCTGGATGGCCCTGCCAGGAGGTAGGAATATGACTGTAAAATGTCACACTCAGTTGGGTGGGGACAGATTAGAAAACACCCACAAAGGTAAGAAAAAAAACCTCCAGGTTGACAGGAGTGTTTAGAGGGCCTGGACGCCGCAGGCCAGGAGCTGGGACCCACTGAGCAAGGTTGGGGCTGGAGAGGAGCAGTGACAATAAGAGTGGTCATTGCCCTGGAAAACTCCCTCCAAAGAAAGATCTCAGGCCCAACTGGGTGAAGGCACTGCAGTCCTGGAGGGCTGGCATCGTAGGGTCCAGGAGGGAACAGGGGCAGGCAGGACCCTTTGGCCCAGGTCCAAAGACTTCTGTTTCCACTTCCAATTATAGCTTCCTTTGTGACCCTAGGAAGACAGTTTAATCTCTCTAGGCCTTGAGATACACTTCTGGAAATTGGGAAGAATCATTTCAAAGTTGATCACGGGGTTTGGTAGGGACCCCATGAAATGAGAGATCTTAAAGAGTTTTTTGTGAATTACCTGACACAGTCCACAAATATGTCGGGTGCCTCTGAGGGCCCAGCAAGGGCTCTGGGGAGTTGCCTGGGCTCTTGGTTCTCTGACCTGCTGCAGCCAGGCCTGGTGCAGCCATGCCCGCTGCCATGGACATGTGAGGCTCAGTCACACAAAGCTCTGAACTCTCAGGAGGGCCCCTCACTTGGGTTAATGCTCTGCAGTCATCATCTTGAAATTCTTAATCATTTTTGAACTAGGGCCGCCACATTTCCAATTTGCATCTACAAATCACATCAGACCCTGTCCTCATGGAGAAGGTTCTCTAGGGACTTCTGTGCATTCATTGTGTCTTCTGGAAAAGGAGCTCCCTGAGGACAAGAGCTGTGTCTTCTCCTGTGTTCCCCCAGAGTGCAGGTCCACAGAGTGCTCAACAGAGAACTCAGGCATTTCAAATGGCTCTTACACATGGTACACCTTGCATTATCTAAAACAAGGGTGCCCAATCTTTTGGCTTCCCTGGGCCACATTGGAAGAAGAATAATTGTCTTGGGCCACACCTAAAATACACTAACACTAATGATAGCTGATGAGCCAAAAGAAAAAAATCGCAAAAAAAAAAAACCTCATAATGTTTTAAGAAAGTTTGCAAATTTGTGCTGGGCCAGGGGTTGGACAAGTTTGAATAAGTCAAATCTTGTCTATCTATCATGCACACTGCCCTTTTACTTCCCTTCATGGCCCTAGCAAGCATCTTCCAACAACCCTACTCCCCTCTCCCAGCAAACATGAGGGCCCCAGCTCTCACTTCAACATAGAAGAGTAGATGTCAGCACCTACTGCAACAGCGACTCATGGATGCTGACAACCCCACTGTTGACTCCAATCTCTGGTGGCTAGGAGCCTGCCTAGCTGGCAGCTCAGAGATCTCAGGGTGCATCCACCAGGGAAGGATTGGGAGAAAAATCGGACAATGCCTGCAGGGCCTGTGGACAGACAGCCAGACAGAAAGGCCTCCGGAGGAGCAGACACAAGGGTGAGGAGAGGAGATGTGGCACCAGGAGTCACCAATGGGAAGCCCAGCTTGCTGCCTAAAGGGAAGCTGGACAAACTGCTCTCTGGAGGCTACTGAATACCCCCAGGAGACCGTGATGCTAGCTTCTCCTTTTCCCTGCTCGAGACCTCCAGGCAATGCCAGAGAGGCCTTTCTGGGTCAGGGGTGGGCAAATGGATACAGGGGCAACCCCCAGATCATCCTCCTACCTCTGCTGAGCTCTCAGGGTGCTCCAGGGAGTCAGCAGGGCTCACGGTGGGGTGAAGCTTATCACCTACTCTCCTCTGCTCTGCCACCCATTTGCTGTAGACCAAGTATCAATTACTGTCTCTGTGCCACATTTCCCTCATGGGTAAGATAAACTTGGTCCTCCCAGGAGCTCTTTCAACAGTACCACTATGACCCTCCCATTTTCCCCCAATCATGCCTTGTCCTTCTCAGCATCCTCACCAACAGTCAGACATACGCAGCTTCTAATTCCAATCCAACCAGAGCACCCATGTGGCCTTGTAGCTAGTCTCCTACCTGCACTGGCCTCTACCTCCATATCTGCAAAATGAGCATGACAATACGGTCCTTTGCAGGGCTGCCAAGACGAGGGGGAAATGGCAGCCACTCACTGAGCAGAAGCTACTGCTGGGACTCGGTGACCACTGACCATTCTGGCGTACAGCCACATTGCTTAGCAGGACAGCTCTGGCTGCCTGAGATGCCTTGCCTCCTTTCACCAGCACTAAAATCCACTCCATCTGATATGGTTAGGCTTTGTGTCCCCACCCAAATCTCATCTCGAATTGTAGTTCCCATTATCCCCACCCGTTGTGGGAGGGACCTGGTGGGAGGTAATTTAATCATGGGGGCGGTTCCCCTCATGCTGTTCTTGTGATAGTGAATGAGTTCTCACAAGATCTGATGGTTTTATAAGGGGCTTTTCCCTCTTCTGCTCAGCACTTCTTGCTGCTGACATTTGAAGAACGAGTTTGCTTCCCCTTCCACCATGATTATAAGTTTCCTGAGGCCTCCCCAGCCATGCTGAACTGCCAGTCAATTAAACCTCTTTCCTTTATAAATTACCCAGTCTTAGGTATGTCTTTATTAGCAGCATGAGCACAGATTAACACGGCACTCTTGACAGCAAATCTCAAGCCCTGCCTCCACCCTGGGGCTTGATAACTCCCATAGGACTCAATGGGGAATCAGCCTCCACACCTGTGGTGAACTAGTTGCTTCTGTGGGGTGGCTCCTGTCTTAGATACCTTCTCCCAAGCCTCTCATACCGCAGGCATGCAATAGACAGCAGGGAAGAGCTGTTGAGTGAAATGGACACACTGTGTGAATAACACTCTTGGCCACCCACACTAGCATGTGATGTATTGTATGGCATTCCTTGTCTTTGATGCTGGTTTTTCCTTCCCTTGATGGAATCTCAGTGTCATTTTCCAGCAGGTTTTTTCCTTTCCCATAGCAAACCTTAAGAGACCCACCTCCCACATCCAATCAACCCACAGCTGTTACTTGGTGTTGATGCCAAGTTTCCAAGACTGCCAGAGAGGCAGGCCTCATGCTGAGCCACAGTGACCAGACTTCTGTGGGAACCAGTGTTGAGTAATGGTTCAAATGGTAACCAGCATTAGCAAATAGTTCCTGTGATAATTGCAGCCTAATTTGTGTGTGTGCACATGAATTCGCATGCATCTGTATGCCATTAGCACTCTGAATTATCTCCTGAGCAGCAGTGCTTACCTTGGGGCCCTGTGGACAAAGCCAACAGTGAGACATATCTAGAGCTCAGTTTCTTCTAAGAACAAAGGACAGGAATAGCAAGATTTCAAGGAGAGGAAAGAGTTTGCTTGCAGACCATTCTGTGTTCCACAAGCTGAACTTCTGGCCATTCCATAGCACAGAAGCAGAGAAAGTCAGGAAAATCCAGACCTCATCACTGTTAGTAGTTGGGCTGCACGATGTCCTCAGCTGCAACCTCCTGGAAAAGAAACAAGGGTAATTCAGGAACCCCTCGCTCAGCATAAGAGCTGTGTTCCTGGTTGGACTACAGAGAGGACCGTGTTCCATTTTAAATGTGTCCAGGGAGTTATTTGAATAACTCCTTATATAAAGTGGGTGATCATCTCTGGACTTGAGTTTTCATATCACAGACTTCCTAAGTACAGAAACTTTTAGGGTTAAGATCTCTACACAGACCCACTCATGTTCAGACATGGCGAGCCCTGGGGCCATGGTGATTCTTAGGAAACTTCCCAAAGAAGCACCAGTGATATTGGGTCTATTCCTTCGACTTCCTCCCCCTTGGCCAATACTGCCCATCCATTCAGAATTTGAACTGCTAGGTTTTTGTAACAAGTACCTGGGAATTGCTATTTGATTTTCCTTTTGGTTTTCTGAAAAGTCTTTCAATATGATAAACTGCACATCATGCCATTCAAACTCTGCCTTCCAAGGACGTATGTATTTAGAAGAAAGCATCTTCACACACACACAAAAAACAAGTTGGTGTGTTGTTAGGGGCTGAGTGTCCAAAGTCTATGAGGATAGATTGGGGTGTTCCAGTAATGGCCAACGACAACCTTGCACAACAAATGCCAAGACCTCCACCCGCTCCCCACTGAGTGTGAGCACAGCCAACCCAAGGCAAAAGCTGCAAGACAGAGCTGCTGAAGATCGGCATGCATCCCTCCAGACTCTGAGGCCAAGGTCACATGGCCCACAGGCTCATGTGTGACAGGAGTTTGGGTCACACGTGAGCTTCATGGAGTTGAGCTCATGTGTGACCCAAACTGCTGTCCAGTCCTCATTCCTCCCACTTCCAGCACATCACATCCATGAATCCTGTGGATGACTGTGGTTATGAAAATGTGAGGACTCCATGCTAAGAAGAGAGTGAGTAGATGGAAGGACATAAGATCCTACTGAGACAGAGGTGAAGAGAATTCAGGTAACTGACTGGAAGTTCAAGAGCTCTGAGCAAAAGAGATGAGAGAGTTACCTACACAGACCATTAACTCTGGGAGAGAGAGAACACAGAGCATTTTGGCTTTAGAGAGATGACTGAGTCTAAGCATGGAGCCAGTGTCATGGGGACAAACTGGGACCAAAGAGAATGATGTGGAGCATGAACTCAGCAGCTCAATCCAAAAACCTATGAGCGCAAGAAAACACTTTAAAACCCTGTGGTATGGCCCCACATCCTTGAAAATTCACCACAAGGCAGGTAGTCCAGGCATAGGAGGTAGAATCAGAAAGTGTCCCAGGGCTCTGTCATCAGCGATGAGCCCGGAAAGCAATGTCAGACTCACAAGTAGCAGCAAGTTCTCTGACCAAGGCAAGCTTTGCAAGAAATGAAGGCTCTGCAAGCAGAGCCAAGCTCTCCAGATAGCAACAAGCTTTGTGGATACTGATGAGCTCAGCCTGCAAGCTTAGCGTCTACAAAAGACAATAGATTCTACAAAGAGTAACTGGTTCTAAAACCAGCGAAGAACTCTGCAAGCAAGGAGTAACTCTGCAAACAACAGGCTCCACAAACTGCTATGGGTTCTGCAAACCTTAATGAGCTTTGTAAGCAGTATCAGGCTCTGCAAACCCCGAGAAACTTTATAAGTGGCAGCAAGCTTTGCAGATAGTGATGAGCTCTGCATGTGATGCCCGGTTCTGCAAACAACAGACTCTACAAACAGCACAGGCTCTAAAGCCAGTGACGAGCCCTTCAAGAAACAGCTGGCTCTGCAAACAGCAATAGGCTCTACAAATGTCAGCCGGCAGGGATGAGCTCTACAAGTTATAACAGAGATACTGCAAACTGTAACAAGGTCTCCTATGTGTTGGTCCCCAAAAATAGCAGGTTGAAGAACCTCATTCCATGCCAGGAGGTGAAATACCTGGCCATGCAGTACTCCTTCCACATAAGCCCAAAGGTGATAATGGAGCCCTCTCTTCAGCAACATTTGAATGGAAGGCCAGTCCCCACCATGGGGAAATCTCCACTAGTGGTACATCCTTACTAGGGCAAAGAAAACTCCCAGAGGCAAGAGTTCTAGTGTGCACCTGGAAAACTCAGGGGTGGTGCTAGGGATGGCAGTGGAAGTGGCCAAAGCAGATACTCACATCTGCAGAGAAAAAGCAGAGCCCTAATGGGAAAAAGAGCTCCAGAGACAGGACAGCCTCAGCCACCAGCACAGAATGCTGCCACCCCCACTTCATGACCTTAGCCGTCCCGGGAAAGGGCTCCTTGCTCAAAATATCCTGCTGTCTGGCCTGTCTTTGATGCTCGAAGTCCCATCATTAAAACTTATACTGTTAGAGTTCACGCATGACCCTTATTGGAACGAAATCACCACCCACCCACCCACTCTGCCAACACCCTCAGCCTGACACCTCGGTGTGAATCAGCTCGTCACATCCTCTCCCTGGTGATAGACATCCAGGAGCAGCATTTGAAGGTGTGTGGGAGCCAGATTGTGCTGGATCCTTGGAGCATCGGATATTATGCTAGAAAGGACTGGAGGAGGAGTGGGCAGGGATAGAGGACAGGGAAACAACTTGGGGGTCAGGCTTGAAAATGGAAGGGTCACATTTCACAGTCCTGCCAGGCCACAGCCTCCTGGGAAAGCTGGGCTCAGAGGATGGAACAGGCCAGTGGGCACCAGTGAGTGGGAGAAAGGAAAGGAGGAGGAAGTGGAGATGGTCTTCGGGCTGCGGGATGTAAGGTCTTCTCCCAGGCTGAGCTCCCAGACCCTGTCAATAGCAGGAAGCCTTGCTCAGTTAATTAATGAGGTATTCAGGCTGACCCTTGATCTCTGGAGCAACTCAAGGGCTTTGTGTGGCTCCTATTAAGTCCCTGGATTTGTTCAGCAGCTGCCTGGGAAGTGGGTTGGTGGAAGACTCCTTTCCCCTCCTCTCTCCAAGTTCTGCACACTCCCAGATGCCCAGCGGCACTCTTAGCCCTGGATCTTGGGGTGTAAGGGTCCCAGAAAGAGCTGACTCTGTGTCTGGAGGGGGCTTTCAGGAGGACTGGGATATTTTCAGGGAGACCACTCTGAGGAGGAGGAAGCCCTGCTAGATTCAGCCATGGCCTAGCTGGCAGCGAGGGGCCACGATCAGCCGCTGGTGTCTCCTGAAGACAGCTCCAGTCAGGCTCTGGAGGCAACAAAGGCCACAGGGAGCCAGGGCCTTGTCCCAAGAGGAGAACCAGAGACACTCAGAGGCCCTCCTGCTCTTTAGGAGGCACCCCGGCTTCTGCAAGCACCCAGTGATAGAAGCAGCCACCTCCTACTTCCACTGAACCTTCCAGATGGGGGCAGGTCTCAGAAGCCTCCTCAGGAAAGACATCACCAGGGAGGGAGCTTCTGGGAGGCCCAGTGACAGAAAGCCTGGGAGAGGAAGATCAGGCTGTCCCATCCAAAGATGAGGAAGGGAGTGGAGAAGTGGAATGAAGGCTGAATCTCTAAACATGCAGGCCTGGGGCTGGAGGAGTTCCCGAGGTGTGGTCTCAGGAAATGCCTCTGGCCTGGTAAAGATGATCACTAGACTGGCAGCCCAGAGAATGGCATGTGGATCTTTGCCTCTCACCTGGGCATGGCTACAGTGCATCAGGAATAGGCCCCAGATTGAGCATCCGCAGGAGGGTACAGGCCTGGCTCTGTTATTCATGGCTGTGTATCACCTGATCACCTGGGCCTCAGTTTCCCCAGCTATAAATGGGGGCTAAGAAGACCCATCCTAATTTCGACCCAAAGGAATTCAGTCAGAAGATGGCAGCAGAAGCCTTTTGGGAAAGATGTGGCCCTGCAGATAAGGGAGTCATGTTCATCATGGATCTGAGTGGCCCTGAGCCCTTTGACAGAGTCCCCTTTGGGACTACACGCTGTCAGACGTGCAGGGCTGGACGGAGCAGGACAAGGCAGGTTGTTAACCCAGGTCCTGCACACAGAGAAGCAAAGCCTCACTCCTCAATCCATATAGGGCAGGCAGAGTCCTGGGCCTGCAGAAGCAGGCTTGTCCTTTCAGGGTCTCAACAAGCCAGCACTACGGGCCACCCCACCGAGGCCACTTCCAGAGTCCTTACCAAGCCCCACAATGGAGGGTTCTTTTAAGGCACAGAGGTGGAAACAAGGCCTCAGAAGCAAAAGGCCAGACCAGGGTGTCTGCCCTGGAGAAGGAGGAAAAGGCCCAGGGATAACTTGATGGGGAGAAACCAGGGGCAGCTGTGCAGCCAAAGAGGAAGGTGCCAGCACTGAAGCAGGACCGAGGCTCTGGGGTTCCCTCTGCCACAGGTGACCAAGGGTAGGTATGACACTCCAGAGGCCTCAGGAGGAGAACAGAAGCCACGGGGCCCAGATTCAGCAACAAGAAGTCACTCAGTGCATTTCATGCTGCTAGAGATGGGAGAGTGAATGAAGAGTGAGCCCAGCCCTCAGGGACCTTCCCGTCTGGGGGTGCAGACAGGCTCCAAAGGAAGGAGGTTGCGAGATTCTAGGATGGAGGCTCCTCTGGCCCTCAGTGGCATCAGGGTGAGGAGACCTCTCTACAGAGCCCTGGGAGAGCCCGGGGGCCCAAACCTCGGCCTGTCCCAGCTGCGGGTATATGATCAGTCATTCTCTGTGGCAAGATTTCCTGCAGTGACCCAGCTTGTAGACCTTGTCTATGACCTAAAAGCGTGTGTCCTGCAGATCTGCTGCAGGGATCTGCCATCCACCTCCATCATCCTTCCCTGACTGCCCATGCTCACATTCTGTGTCCACAGCCCTGATGTCACAGGGCTGGGGCAGAGGCACTCTGGGCTCAGCCCTGTCAGCCCTGGCTCCCCAATTATGGGCCTGGAAAGAGAGGGGCTTCTCATTGGGGAGCCCCAAACCACATTCCTTCCTGCCCCCTACAGCCCAGGCCTTGGCTGTGCTATCCCACAAGGGTACAGTGACACCCTTGGTGGGAAGTGGACATGAGTTGGAAGAAGAGGAGAGAAGGGAGAAGAGGTAGAATAATAAAAAGCAGAGGAGGTCTCACTCACAAGAACCCTCTGAGCAAATTAAGCCTGAAGACAAAGGAAGAAAGAATTAACTTTGGCCCAAATATTGGATGCTCTGCACTTGGTATGGTTCATCCTTTAGAAGGTGTGAGCAGATAGGCCTGAGAAATTCTCTACTTCCCATCCGCTCCTCCCACCTCTCAATGCATTAAATCCTTAAAACAAAATGAAGGCGCTGCTGTTTTAAGGAAATAAAAGGCTCTCGTATCCAAAAGCCCAGAGGTTTTGAGTGGAGAGGGAGAGAAATACATTTGAATGTGGATTTTTTTTCCCCTAAAGTGCCACTTAGCAATGCACAGACTGGGCATCCCTGAGGGAGAAGGCTCTCACTAGGGAGATGGGATGGGACTTTGGCCACGGCAGAGCTGACTCTAGGGATAGGGACCCATGTCCTCGTGCTGGAGACACGTCACAGAGAGGAAAGGGCTGTAAGTTAACTGATGGCTGCTCTCCTCATTAGGGGCCGTAGCACATCCAGGGCTGGTTCCTGTGCCTGGTACAGTGAAAACAATGTGTTTAGTTGACTCTTTAATTCCCAAGGTTAATCATGTTATTTTTAAAAAATATATTTTATTGTGTTAACAACCGCCAGTGGAGATAGTTAATTAAACAAAGTGTGATGTTGGGAGTAAAATATGCTTTGCAGGCGGACTCTTTTTCCTGATGCCGGATGGACATTTCCATATTGATGGGTGGTCATAATACAGCCATCACATATCAGCATGGTTGTCCTGAATACCTTGCTTATTGCGGGGGTGTGAACAAAGCTGTGGGTGAACACAGGGAAAATTAAGCTACATTCCTGCCTTCAAGGTGCTCACAACAGATAAGGTCACAAGATGCATGACAAGAACCATGTGGGGGCTACCTGTAAAGGAGGTCAGCAAAGGGTTGGCTGTCCCCCACCCAAGCAAGAGAGGGTCACTGGAGGAGCCTAAAGGTCTGACTTGGGTCATTTGAATGCGGCAAACTTCACTGGGCTCCCAGGCCTCCTTCATAGAACAGAGCCCACCTGCCTCCTGGCATGGAAAACAGGAGATGCTCAGAGTTGAGATGCATCCTCTCGTACCTCCCAGCCCCTTTCAGGCAACGAGAAACTACTGCCCACCTGTTGGGATGCAAAGGGATATGATTTGCTTTTCTGCTTCCCAGTGCACAAATCTTTGCAAAGCTGTTTTTAGTTATTTTTTAACCTGAATTATAACTTCCTTTTTCCAAATATGATAGGTCTGTCTGGAGGCAAGGCAATAGGGGTTTTTTGCTAGAAAGACAGATGAGTGGAGAGGAATGCTGGCTCATTGGAGAAGGCAGCTCAGTCCAAATCCAGGCAAAACCCAAGGTCAGCCTGAAGAACAAGACTTGGGTTAGATCAAACAGGACGGGGGTGGAGGGAGCGGGGAGAAGGAAGAAGAAAACCAGCTGCTGCCTGTGGGGAGTTCATGAGTCCTGCTGGAAAAATAAGCTTCTTTATTTTACCTTATGTATTATTAGGTGCCAGGGTGGTACAGAGGCTCATATCGGCATTTTCTCTTCAGACTACCCCTGTTCCCAGGCTGCTGGCCATCCAGTGACTGCAGTCTGCATTTGAGGCCCTGATGGGTCATCTGCACCCTGCCCTCAGCCTGAATTCCACCCCAGGCAGGCCAGCCTCCTCACCATTGACCCCCGATGCTCTGTGCCGAGTCCCACCTCCTTGCCATTGCTCCTGAGGTTCCCTCCACCTGAAATGACCTCTCTCCATGGAAATCTTTCCCAGTTCAAGGGTCGGCTTTTTCTGTAACCCCTTTCTCTTAAATCCCATAGCCCTTAAAGTCAGGACAGCAGCCTCCAGCCCCAGTGAAGGTTTGTGGCAGGGACCAGTTCCCCCAAGAGTGTCACACGGTCAGTACTCATAATCCCCTCCTTGGGAGCTTTGAAGAAATGTGACCCTGAGAGTTACTGGGGCTGGTTAGAGAATGTTCAAGAAAATTAGCATTGGGCTAAAGGTTAGGGAGTACCCCACAAACACAAGCTGTTTTTCCTGAACTGCCTTATCATATTCATTCATCCATTCAGCAAATGGCAAGAACACACACATAATGTGGTCAGTTTTGTAAAAAGAGGGCGGTGCCTTTGCAGGCCAGGAAGAGGTTTCCCAGAAGTATGAGCAAATATGTTGGACCATAAAAGGAATGGTATTGCTACAGGCAGAGAAAAGGAGGGGGCCATTCCAGGTAGAGGGAACCCGGAAGCAAGGCAGAGGCCAGATGTAGAAGCATATTCAGGAAGTTGAGGCAGGTGTGTGAGGGGCAGCTGGGGGTGGTGCCTCATCTGGAGGGTCTGGAATGGCTGGCAAAGCCAGGCAACATTTTTCTGCGGGCTGGAGGAGACTTTTGCATGGAGCAGTGAGGTACCAGCCCTGAGTTTCAACTCCCTTGGGGTGTGAGGGTTAAGAAGGGGTGGGGGCAGTGGGTACTTGGCTCAGGCTATGCTGGGATCTCAGCCAGAGATGTGGCTATGCAGAGGCGAAGGAGATGAATTCTGGAACCATTTGGGGGTTGAGAAAAGGGAGAAGTCAGAGTGATGAATTAAGATAAGAAGCACTCATATTTCACACCTTTACTTATTTACAAATATGTATGGAAAGCCTACTAACCAGGGTCTGTAAGAGAAAGAGGATGATTCCTTGAGCAGTGTCCAGCAGACCTGGGGACATGGTGGGGTGGTGCTCTGATGCAGAGACACCGTGACACAGACTCTCAAGCAGAAATCCTTTCCCAGAGAGTTCTGCTTCCAAAACAATGCATGAGGTGACATTTTAGCCCCTCAAGCCTATGTCCCTACCCCAGGCAGGAGGTGCTGGCGTCTGACAGCCCAGGGAAAGAGAAACTGCTTGCCAGGGCCTGGGGTAGGACAGCCACAGGCCTCTGGGTCCACCTTGGGGTTCCTTGAGCTTGACCACCAAGAGCTGAGTTGCCTGGCTGGGCAGGCACCGCCTGTTTCCCCATCTGTGCAGAAATGACAGTCCTGGCCTCAAGGGTTGTGAGAAGACACCACGGTGTGTTAGAGTTCTGCAGTTCTACTCACAGCACCTGGCATGTGGCAGCCACTTAATAAGCAGTAGCTGTTATTACTCCTGCTGCTATTATTGCCATTATTACATTACCAAGCGTGGCTCAGGGTGGCGTGCATTCAGCCGACACCATTGCTGGCAGAGATGAGTACCAGAGATGCTCCATTCTGGAAAATCTTGCCCCACATCCCACTGTCCCTGCCTCCTGGCTGATGGGTAGGCAGCACATGCCAGCCCAGAGAAGGGGCCCGTGGAGGCAGGGAGCCTTGCCCAGGTGCTGGGCAGAGGAGGGCTCAGATCCCAAGAATGGAGGGGTGGGCAGAAAGTGCTGGGATCCCCCGCCCTGGGCTCATCTCTAGGTTTGCTGGTGGAGGAGGGAATTAAGCAGGCCCATCAGATCCAGGATATGAGAAGCCCACTCCATTCCAGGCCCCACTGGATGGATGGCTGGGGTTGGGCTGCTCAGAGGATGGAGTGGGTGATGTGAGGGAACAGCACCAGCAGCGGGGCTTCTTGGGCCGCTCAGCGCTGTCCCACGTCATGTCTGATGGCTCTTCAGGGTGTGCTGACTGGGTGCTAAGTACGACTGCCCTCCCGGAGACCCCTGTCAGGAGCCACTGAGCTGTGAACACGCGCTAGCTACTGTGTGGCCCAGCTCGGATGCCAGCAGAGGGTCCTGTGGAGGGAAGTGCAAGGCAGGGATGTGGACCAAACCACAGACACACACACACATACATACACACATGTGCATGTGCACACATGCGTGCACAAACATGCAGTGACACACATGCACATGGGTACATACCTGCATACACATACATACTGCACATGCACATGCACACACACAAAAGACACATGCATACACAACCACATGCACAGAGACACATGCACACATACAGCATACACACACGCACAGATACACACAGACACACAGAAGCACACACGTATACACAGACACACTACGTTCGTACTCACAGACACACACAGCCCACACCACACTGTCCACCTCCCTTATCAGGCTCACATTCCTGGCCCACAATGGGCCTGTCCCCATTGGGATTTCCTCAGTGTCCCCCTCCTCCTCCCAAGGGAGCCACCACTCTGTCCCCTACTCTGCCCATGTCCTCTGCAGTGGGACGGGGGGCAGCTGATCCTGCTGGTTGTCCCATTGCAGAGCCTGGTCTCTGCAGCCCTTCCCTCTACCAGGGCCACCACCATCTCCATGTCCCTGGGGCTCCTTCAGATAGAAACTGCAACATGTGGGCTGCTTTGCATTGACAAAGGCGCCCACAGCCACACTCAGGGCAGTGGGTGGGGCTTTGGCAGGTCCACAAGTGAAGTGATGAGGCCCAGAGCACAGCCTTCTGAGCCAGGTCCCCTCCTTCCCACTCCTGAAAAACCAGGCCAAGGCTAGTGACAGAGGAATGTGTTGTCCCTTGCTAGGAGCCTGTGCATTGTTATGCTGGACCCAGGAACGTCCCAAGGAGTGACAGGTACCACCGAGGCCCTGCAGGCAAAGAGATGGGCTGTGCACCATGGGGGAGGGGAAGGCATCTGGGGAGCCCATGAGGTGAGGCGGGTGCCCCGTAGGGTCAGCGAGGCTGTGCTGCCCGGAGGCCCCAGCGGGAAGATAGGGAGGGCAACATTCCAGCCATGGAGATCATCAGGGATCGCCATGGCAACGGGGGTGCAATTAAGGCCTGTTTCAGCTGGGAGCAGCTGTGCGCACTTTATCTGCCTTGAATAAGGAGCAAGGGAAAAAACCTGGGGAGGGAAAGGGGGCGGGGAGACAGAGGGAAATGGCAGTCCTTTGCAGGCCTCTTCCTGTTCTGAGAGAAAGAAGGGGGTGCAGGGGAGAGGGAGGGAGGGAGGAGAGAGACACCGAGAGAGACCTGGACAGGGAGACAGAGACACAGGTGCAGAGATCGACAGAGAGAGACGTATAGCACAAAGAGAGGGCGAGAGAGAACGCGTTTTTTTCCAGCCACAATGGGACCGCTCAGCCTGCTTCTTCCTCCCAACACTCACACGCATACACACATACATAACACACATACATAACACACATACGAAAATATACCCACATGTACTCCCATACAAACTTGTACCCTCCCACACACACATATAAATACACACACACACCCTCTAGCCTCTGAGCCTTCCCTGCTCCCTTCCCCTCCCCACGCCTGGAATTTTCTTCCCCCACCCTGGCCCCTCCATAGCATAGGCTTGCACTTCTGGGCTCTGGGAAAACCCTGTGTCCCTCAACTCCTGAAGTTGGGTTTTCTCCTTGTTAGTGCAGGGACTTCAGCACCCACTGCTCTCACTGCCTGTCCTGGGCTCATGGCGTCCTGGGTGTGGAAGAGTGAAAGGTGGGCAGGGGGTGGTAGCCAGAGCCAAGGGCCTCCAGCTAAATAAGGGACACACCTTGAGGTTACAAATTCTTGTCTGGTTCCCACATGCCCCAGGGCCTTTGCATGTGCTCTGCCTATGCCTGGAAAGCTCTGCTCTCAGATGCTCACTTGGCTCACTCTCTCACTTCCTTCCAGTTTCTTTTCAAATGTCACCTTATCAGAGAGGCCTTCCCTGGCCATTTTATCTAAAGTAGCTCTTCCTTCCCCTTACTCTGCTTTACTGTTTCTGTGACCGTCCAACCAGTTACGCCCTGACTTGCATGTTCATTGTTGGTCCCCCTCCACTAGACCGTGTGCTTCAGGAGCAGGGAATTTGTTTACCGCTGTATCCCCGGATCTGGAACAGGGCCTGTCACTCAGTGGCATAGGGCTTCTCAAAGAACCCTGCAAGCTTAAATGAGTGGGTGGTAGAACTTCTCCCACCTCCCTAGAATCCCATAGCCAGCCTGGAAGCAGAGTTGAGATCAAGCTCCCAGCACTGTCATGCCCCTTTCCCTGGGCTGCACGCTTCTTCCTTTCCCTGTCCCCCATGATCCCGCTGTCCCAGTCACACTGGCCCAGTAACTCTCAGTCAAAGGCAACCCATGCTTCCCCATCCCTTAGGATGACATCCTTCCTCTTGCCTCAGGACCCAAATCGTTCTAAAGCATTCAGATGCCTCCTCCTCCTTGCAGCCCTCCCTGATCTCCAATCCTGAAGCCATCTCTTTCCTATGAACACCTAGGCTACTGAGCTGGGGCAACCAGCTGTGGGTTGGTGGTCCGGTTTTGCTACTGGCAAGCTGTGACTCAGCAAGTCATTTCATCTCCCTGGCATTGTTTCTTGGCCAAAAAGGCAAAGGAGCGTGATGCTGTCACTAAGGGTTTCCTGCTTGGACAAACCCATTGGGGGAGCTCATGAGGCTTGGGCCATGCTGGCATCAAACAGTCAGCTGGCTCTGTGTCTGCGCCTGGCCAGTGGCTGTGGCGTGTGGGCCCAGAGGGTGGGCAGGATAGCATCTGCTGGGCCATGCCATGGGAGGGTGAGTAGACACATTCTGAAGAGCAAGGTCCCAGTACCAAACGGAACTTTCATCTCCAAGGAACCAGGCAGTGGGCTGAGCACTTCTTGGGAAGCGCAGAGTCTGGAGATGGGGCACTCGAGGCTGCCAGACCCATGCAGGCAGTGGGGTGGCCACATCTATTCCTGGCAGTGCCCTTGAAGGCGGTCAGAGCAGCTCACGGCAGTTCCCGCCAGCCTCCCAGATGCCAGGACGCTGTCAGGGGCCAGCACCTGCGCAAGACGGAAAGGGTGGGGATGGCTGCCACTCCCCATCCCCAGCCAGTCAGCAAATGCGTCAGAGCTGGACATGCCCTGCCGTGGCACTGAGGTCACAGCCGGGAGGGGACAGCATAGGGCCATACCGTGTGAAGGCAAGGCCTCGCCAGGGGGCTCAGCTGTCAGTGGGGCTGCAGTCAGGGAGGCTTCTGTGCAGCCGTGGGCTGGAGGCACACCTCAGAGGACTGGTGACTGGTAGGGAAGGGAAGGACTTCCTCTGTCCTCTGCCAGCACCCAGGGCCCTGGCCCCGTCCTCCTCAGAGAACTCATTCCTGGAGAACTGCCCGGGCTTCAGGCTCCAGTCATCATGCACAAGCCTCAAGGCCTCAGTGACAAGAGACCCACTCCCTCCAGTTTGAACCGGGAAGCAAATTCCTGCTGATGTCAGCACCACTGAGCATCCAAAAGTTACCTGTAATGACTATGCGATGCTCTGCACAACTGGCCATTCGACTGCCTCATGGCTCTAGATCATTTTAATTTGGGAATCACTGAATGCCACCGTGTACTCAGACCTAGGCTTATACCAATGTGGCTCTGAGGAGAGATACGTCTCATTTGTGTCAGCAGGATGGAAGCAAGGGAGCTGCAGGGAGCCCTGGATGGCCCCGGAGGAGAGGTGGAGGTGCTTGGGGGATGGTCACCCAGTGGTGCTGGCCATCTGGCTGTTAGGGTTCTCCACTGGCTCATGTGGAATGAATGAACAAAGATGGGAAGAGGCACTGAATAAGTGAATGAATCTCCCACAAAAAGACAGGCAGTCAATAAAAACTCAGGAACATTGGCCCAAACCCGAACACCAGGGCAGGTAAGAATCAGAAAATAAAGTCATGCCCCAGATGGGTAGAGGGTGCAGACACCCACCCCTCAACCCAGGGCCCATGTGGCATCACAGCTGACCTGCAAAGAGGGCTCTGAGCCCTCCAGCAGCCAAGGATGTGCTGGGTGGGCCAGGGCCCCTGGGGAGCTCCTGGAGGCTGGGGAGCGAGCCTGCACAGAGAAAGAAAAACGGGTCGCTCCCTCCAGCTGCAGGAGAGGAAGGCCCAGTTCGGGTCAATGGGGATTGGAAGGGGTGGTAAAGGAGCACGGGGTGCAAGTGAGGCCCCGACTCTGACAGTGAGCACTGGGGAACTGTGGGAAGTCACCATCCTTCCCTGTGCAGTGTCTGTAGTGACACCTGAAGCCCTTCCCAGGGCTATGGGGAGGATGCAACAAGATAATGCACTCAAGCCGCTTCACAAACCAGCATGTGAGGGTGAGTCTTGTAATCAAGAGGGAGCCTCTCTGTGACGTGCTCTGGATCACATGAATTTGGATGCCAAGTGTTTGGTGATTGGCTTCTGGGCTCCAGAGCCCTTGGCCCGTTGGCTGCACAGGCACCCACTGTGGCATTTCATTGGCCTCACAATAATGAGACCCTGCCCTTTATCGGATTATTTTTTTTTTCTTTTCTTATTCCACTTTTAGCGACTATGGCAGGATTTTATTGCATCTCCTCATTTCTGCAACTGATCACACACTGCTGGATAGTCAAGGAAGGATATTTTAATGGTGAATGAATGAGTGAGTGAATGAGTGAAATCACTCCTATACTTGCCAAGGATCTCCTATTTGGCAGAAGCTCCTTGAGGGAAAAAGAAAGGCCAGTGTGTCTTGTGCAAATTACAGGGCTTTGCACACAGAAAATGACCAGTAATGTGGTACTGACTTAATTGTGCTGCCCAGCAACACCATGGTCTTCTCGTGAGTGGCTCCTGACACCTGATAGACTCTCTGAAAACAGGCTTGACAGTGAGGGATGAGGGGAGAGGAGAGAGGGAGCTCAGGAGAAGGGAGAGGTAGAGAGAGGAGGAAGGGTGGGAACCAAAGAATAAATGATTATTTGAATGATTAAAGAAATATTAGCTAATATTTACTGCATGCTTGCTGTGTGCCAGAAACTGTGTCCAGTGCATTACATGGACTCTCATTTAACCCTACACACTGGGGGCTGGGACCATCTTCCAGGTGGTGAAGCTGTCACAAAGAGACCAGGGACTTTAATCAAGGGTATACAGCTCATGAGTGGTAGAGCCAGGACTCAAATATGAACCTGTGGAAACTACAGTCCAAGCCTTTCCTGCCCTCCCTCACACAGGGAGCCCAACAGCACCCCCAGTTGAGGACCCTGGGGGGCTGCATTGGTCACCCAGGCCTGGCTCGACCCCTCCAGGCTGGGGCTGTGTCACTGGCCTGGAGAGCCCCTGGCCTACAATACAAGGTCCTTGATCTCCAAATCCATCCGTCTCTTGCACATGGGTAATGAGGGTTCAAAAGTGTGGCATGGCTGTAGCATTTATGCAGTCTGCAGACCCTCCTCATCACATGCACAATCCACCTGGACACAGCCCCACCACCCACGTTAGTCCGCTCCTGCTAAGGCAAAGCATCCATGTCTGTGACCTTCTCTGGAGCAGCAACCGCAAGCATGAGGGGAGGATGGCGCTAACAAAGCCTGGGTCAAAGTCCGGGCTCTCGCCACTCTGAGCCTCCTTCTCATTCTCTGTAAGGTGGAGATATTAATACCTGCCTTGAAGGGTTGTGAAGAGGATAAAAGCTGGGTCCACGTGGGGCCTGGCATAGCGTAGATACTCAAAGGGTAGATGATAAGGAGGAGGAGGATGGTGGTGGTGGGAGACAGAGAAAGAGACCTGCGGGCACACAGGCGACATGAGGCTTCCAGGCCTCCCGTGGCCATTTCCCTGTCTGCCTTCTCTGCCTCTTCTCCTCTTCAGCTTCTCAGGGGAAGCTCTATGGGAGACACGGAATGCATCGGACTTATGCCTCCCTTTCTCTTTTGGAAAGAGTTGCCTTCTTTCCAACTGTCCCGTCCCTCTGCCCCTCCCTGGGCCTCTGCCTCCCTGCATCTGCCACCCCATCCTTGCGGGCATTGTCTTCATGCCTGCCTCTCTCTCCCTGCTCCCCCCTCCTCTGCTTAATCATCTTAATCATTGTGTCCTTGTAACTCAGCCCCAGGCTGTCTGGCGGCAGCACTACCCCACGAGGTGACAACTCTGAGTCACACACACATTTGGATGCCAGCACTGTGACTACCGACCCCAGACCCCAGCTGCAGGCCCCAGACACCCCTCAGGGACTCAGCAGCAGACCCCAAACCCAACTCAGGGACTCAGCCTACCGAAACACCGAGAAACCCTTCCAGGCTCCATTTCTGCTCCCCTGGGGGAGAATAGAGAAACAAGACCCTGGCCGCGCTCTCTGGGGCAGGATGTCCAGCAAAGGGCTCAGACTGGCCCCTCTGCTCCCGCTTCTGCAGCCCAGGGTCTCTGAAGTGTGGTGGGGAGGGGAGGATGTAGGATCCTAGTCTCTCGCCAGCCTTTCTCAGCCTGTCCTCAGCACCAGGCCACCTAAATCAGCCAGAACTAGAGGTGCTGGTTAAAAGGTAGGTTCCTGGGTCCTGCCCTCAGGCTATGTCTTTAAAAAGTGCACCAAAGTTACAGTTACATGCCCCCTCCTCCTTTCCGAGCAGCCCCACCCAGCCTCTGTCTGCACCTGAAGCTGGCAGGCTGTGTGTGCCCTTCTGCAGGCCGCAAGCCCAGGAGCCCGCGTCACGCACACAGGATGTTCCAACAGCACCCTCTCCTGGAAACTCCCTTTATTTTCTGAGAGTCAACTCAAGTTCTTTTGGTGACCATACCTAGTGTCTCTCAGAATCTTACTCCGGGAGGGAGGTACGGGGAGGCAGAAGGGAATGGGGAGCCTCGTCTGGAGGGCCCCTCCTGAGCCTGTCGGGGCCATGGACAGTGCAGAGAAACACCCCATACCCAGGAACTAGCCCACCCCTGCACCTCCCCACCTCCCTCCTTCCTCCTCTGAAACTGCATCGTTCGCGTGTGTGTGTGTGTGTGTGTGTGTGTGTGTGTGTGTATGCATGCTAGAGAGAGAGAGAGAGAGCATGTTTCTCTTGGAGAAGGGCAGCTTTGTTTATTACGGCTGTAACCTTGGCTTTTGGGTAGAGCAGGGCAGTGGGAATCTTTGGAGCCTGGAGCAAAGAATTTAATATTCATAAGTGACCTCACCATAAATGGAGTCCAGCACCCCCGAAGGACTCACAGATGATGCCCGCTGCCTCCTCCCACGGTTGCCTCTCTCAGGGAGTTCGTCAAAGCGTCCAGACACAGCTCCTGCCCGGCTGCCTACAGTGTCTCCAGACCTATCTCGGGCTCTGGACTCCTGAGCTGCAGTCCAGGACGGGGATGCTAGGGGGGATCCACCCCTACCCACACAGGGGGTCTATACAGGTGCCTGGATACCAAATGCAGGGTAAGCACCCTGGGGTCAAGAGAATGGGCTCAGGGTCAGGGTCTCACACATAGTAGGAACTTGGGACATCAGTATAGTAGGTTCTGATCGAGCATTTTGCATATGTTAACTCATTTAATCAGCACAGCAACCCCAATTACAGATGAGAACATTGAGGCAGGGAGAAGTTAGTAACTGGCCCCAGGTCACACAGCCAGTACGTAGCAGTGCTGAGATTCAAGGCCAAGGATTATAGAGCGTGAGGAGAATCTCACAGATACACGTCAGGCCCATATTCAGTTGCAGAAACCTCTAAATTTTTAGCATCTATTTTAGAGCTTGACACTCAGAATATGCACACTGAATATTTGTTGAATTGACATCTCGCTGGGCAGAGTGAGCAGTAAATATCTGGCGAATGGAGGGCGGATGAATTATGCGCAAAAGGGATTGAGCTTGTGAACACAGAAGGAGGCTCAGGATTCCATGTCAGTGACCACCCCCAGCCCCGACACAGAGAGGGAGAGGGAGAGGGAGCCGAGGAATCAGGGTCTGCTCCCCACCCTTTCATACCAATGAAGATGTGGGCAGGGAAGCCTGGACCCTCTTCCTGAGGCCTTCCAGGGGAGCCTTGGAGCCACTCTCCAGCCATTCAGGGATGAAAGCCTCCACCCACACTGATGATGTCATTGTCCTGCTTTGAGAAACGCTGGCTGAAGCCCCTCTGCCAAAACACTTCGGCACATGCACACACTTCGGTGGTGGGGAGCTCTCTCAAACCTTGCAGCAGGCCATGGGCCTCCTCTCCTGCCAGCCCAGGGCCTTTATGCAGAGGGAGTGTGCTAGAATCAGTATGGGGTAGCACAGGGCAGATGGTGCAGTTGGGAGACCCTCCCCCCACTCCCCTGTTTATCTAACCCAGAGCCTGCCTCTTGTGTTTATTTTTAACAAGCAGAATGATGGTCCAGGTCTTTTCTACTTTTCCACTTTTATAAGCAAAGGAAGGAGAAGAAATAAGTCTCAGGAGGCGGAGGGACAGAGACAGGCTAGGGCGTTGCCCCCTGTGAGGCTCTAGGGTTTAGCTCTAATCCACAGAAGACACGTCCCCTTCCCAATCCCATCCCCACTCCCGTCAGGTTCTCACCCTCCAGGAGCTCCCATTTGGGAAGACAAAAGCTACGCACTGGAAACAAGTTGCCCCTTGTTTGGCCACACGTGCAGAAGTCAGGGGAGGCTTAGGGATGGGTAGAATTTTGAAAGCAAAAGGTAGTGGGAAGTAAGGGTGCAGACAAGACTAGGAAGATAGGTGCAAACTAACCCAGAAGGCAGTGTGGTTGGTAGCAGGTACTGTGTAAGAAAAGGAAGGAGAGCTTAACAGGACGGAGAGGGGGAGATTATGGAGCCCTGCCCAGATGTTCCTTAGAGAATTCTACAATTGCAAGGCGCCTCCGTAAGACGTCTTGTTCATTCCCATACAGGTGGCTCAGGGTTCCACAGCCCTTCTTGCAGACTGTGCTACCAGCGGCCGAGCCTCTTCTTAGCAACTGTCCAGAGACGAGGCACAGCACAATCTGTTTCCTTGTATTGGAAATGTGCCCGGTGGACTGAAAGCAACCTTCCCGGGAGTCGCCATGTGGACTTCCCATGGGCTCGCTGTGCTGTTTGGGCCAAGCCCCCTTCAGCAGTAGCATGCACTGTGATGACCCTCACCCCAGCCACCTTCCCTTCCTCAGCTATTGACAGCCATCCCTTCTCCCTTTCTAGAGGGTATCTTGGCCCACCCAGCCATTAATTTGCAAATGGGCCATTTCTGCTTCAAAGGGAAAAAAATTTTTTTTCTGAGATCTAGTTTTTAAGTATTCTCAAATGACTAGTGAGAATCAATCTGAGATCTAAGAGTTTGGTGCGTATTGAGTGTGGATTCTCAACTTCCATCTTTATTTCTTTATGTCACGACTTGGCAAGCAGGTGGATGAATGTGGGCCTGGAGGCATGGGTCCCTACAGAAGCCATGTTCGTCATTTTTTTAATTTGTTCCTTCCATTGAGCTGCTGCTGCTGATTTTTATCCCTTTCTTCTCCTCCTCCATTCACCCTCCCAAAGCCCCTGGGTAATTCATCCTTTGTCCACAAGTCTGGCCAGGCCCAGCTTTGTGCCAGCAGGAGCCAGTGGGGCACCCAATAAAGGAAATGCCCCAGGTAAAGGGTGACACACCGTGTCATCTAGGGTCTTTGCGGTTTGGGTGACGCACTGTGTCATCTAGGTTCTTTGCGGTTTGGGTGACGCACGGTGTCATCTAGGGTCTTTGCGGTTTCGGTGACGCACCGTGTCATCTAGGGTCTTTGCAGTTCAGGTGTGGAGATTCAGGGGAGTTCTGAGGAGGGGGAATGGGTGTGAGTTGCAGTCGTCAGGAGGACTTCCTGAGGGAGGAGGACTGCACTGGGCCTTCAAGAATAGAATGCTCCCCAGGCCACAAGCCTAGTGGTGAGTGGGGAGGCAAGCTGGCTGCCACTCCTGAAACCCTGGGTGGATAGGTGTCCCCTTCTGTTTAATATGCACCTTCCCCAAAAGAGGGTGATCTTGCAAGATAGAGGGTGACCACAAAGCAGATGGTCTGACTCAAGATAATAGTCCCTGGCTGCCACCTCGTCCCCATGGGGGCTGGACTAGGCTGCCGCAGCCAAACCACCCTGACTCTTTCTACCCCTCCTACCTAATTGCCCCATTACTGTAAATAATATCTTCCCATCCGAACAATTAGCCTCCTCATTTTGAAACTCCTGGTTTGTTTTTTCTGGTTCTGAGGCCTTAACATTGGAAAATACAAACATATCCGGCATCTGTCTGCCGTCTCCCAGCAACCATCCCAGCCACTAATGCACTTACAGCCCCCACAGGCCTGCTCCCCAGTTCCCATCTCCCCCGTGTGTGTACACACACACACACACACACACACACACACACACACAGCATTGTTGAGTTCTGGGAGGTAGGGAGGAGCCAGCTCCCTGGCATCTGGAAAGCAGACAGGGAGCTGGCTGGCTGGAGCTTCCTTCAGGATCTGCCCCACCCTCCGTGGCTGGGAGATCTTTAAAAACAAATCCCAAGCCTTCCTTCAGTGGATGTCCAGAGTCACTGGTCCAGCGGGGAGAGACAGTCTGAAAATGATCTCAAGGCAAGAACGGTCTAGGTATCAGCAGCGGCAGATACGGTTGTGGTGGTAGTAACGTTGACAACAAAAATAATGCATCCACTATCTAATATTCACATTCCTTGCACCACTTTACGGATCATCTTTAAGTCCATCCAATCCTTTAAACAAGCTCAGGAGATCAGGGGAGAATTGTTATCTCCATTTGCAACAGGGAAACCAAGGCCCAGAGGGTCTGTAGTTTGTCCAAGGTCCTTGGAGGATAAGCAGGGGAATGGCTAGTTAGACAGATGGGTAGTTAGGTAGGTAGATAGGTGGATGAGTAGGTGATTGCAAGGGGTAAATAGGTTGACAGAAAGACTAGATGACTGCAGCCAATATCCTCGCTCTCCCCTCCAGGCCACTCATTGCAATAATCACCTGCCCCACAGGATACAGTTAGTTGTATTTTAAATTGAACCGGTGCCATTTATTAATTATTCCCTGTGGGCCCCACCTCCTCCAAGGAAGGAGACACCACTTCTCCTCTGTGCCTCCCTTCCCTCCTGTGGCTGTATTTTTGGAGCTGAAGCTGAGGACATCTGGTCTGACATGGAGGAAATGCTCCTCAGATGGTAGAAGAAGTGAAATCAGGGCTGCCCTGGGACAGCGGGCTGAGCCTGGATGCTTCACACTGGGCCTGAGACAAACTGGGCACCCAGCCATGGCCAGCAAGGCCTGGTGGGGCTGAATGGGAGCAAGGACGTGCCTGCCCTTCCTCCTCAGTTCTCTAGGATGTCCTCGGAGCTCCAGGAGGAGAGCGCAGCCCAGCCTCCCCTCCTCCCCACCTGGTTGTTAGTTCCAGCACGTTCCCCCTCACCGAGGCCCCCCAGCCAAGGCTGCCTGAAAAACTCCACCGGGAGCGTGTACAGGACACCTTGGGTCTAATGTAACATTTAATGGCCAAATCTCCCCAGGTCCCTGCATTAATACAAAACTGCTTTACTCATTCTAACCAGACAGAGTCACATGGCTAATGGCTCCAAGGCTGAGCCTGGGCAAGAGGGAGGTGATGAAGGAAGCAGGAGCCATCAGCACCTTGCTGTGGCCTTGAGTGGCAGAGGTGGGCCATCCCCAGGACCAGAAGTCATTGTGTGACCTCTGAGGACAGGACCCTGTAGTGTTCATGTCTACCTCCTAGGAGCCTAAGGCAGGGCTGTACTACACATCAGTCATCATTTAATACACATATAAATGTCTTGGGGACAAATGTTTCCCCAAAGAAATGCAAGACAGGCATACACTAGCCCCTGCCCACCCTAAGCCAGAGATGATATGATGCTGTCCAGCCACACAAACTGAGCCCTGCCTCCCACACCGGCCTGAGGGGACTCAATTGGTTCCTACCTGGGAGCTCCAGGGATATGGGGGGACAGGAGAGCTGGTGGGGGAGAGCTTCCCAGAGAAGAGTGACTAGGCCAAGTTGTGGAGGTCCCCAAGGGCTCCAACATGGTCCTAGCCCCCAAGGTCCTTGGAGTGGTCAGGAAGACAAGACTTCTTAGGAGAAGAAGGCACACAGTGTCAGAGGAAATAAGGTCATTTGGACACTGATAGCAGGGCTGTGGATGTCCAGGGGTGTGGCACAACCCTCATGAGCTCCTCAGTATTTCAGACGCACACATGCACACACACACATGCATGCATGCATACATGCACACACATGATCAGAAAAAAGCCCTCCAGAAATTGACCTAATTTGGTTGTACTTTCAATTTATGTAAACCCCACTTTCATGGACACTGAGGGACAAGAGAAACTGTCCCATGGCCATCCAAGTACTTCCAGATTGTATCCATGCCTCCCAAACCCACCGCCTGCCCCTCTCAGGGTAAAGCAGAGCTACCCTCACTCCAGTACTAACTGCAGCCAGGCCTGCCTCTGGCCAGCTGCAAAACCTAGTGAGAGTCCCTTTGCTTCTCTGGGCCTCAGTTTTCTCATCTGTAAAATGAAGGGGCGGGCCTGGAGAGTCCCTGGGGCCCTCTGCAGTTCCAGCATCAGGACTGAGGAGGCTGCTGGGCTCTCAGGTGGAGGCAATTTCCCAGATCACTGAGCCCCACCTGGCCACCATTGTGTGAGGCCTCCCCTGGGCATTAGCCATCTGGAAATATTGCCATCCATCTTTCTGAATATCTGGTTAAAACACTTACCTAATCCTAACCTAATCCTTTCAATTTGGGGAGAGAATTGAAGAAAAAAAAATGCAAGCAGCCTGAAGCCTGAATGCTAACAGATGGGTAAAAAGTATGTATAAATTACACCCGCGGCTGTCAATTCAAGCTCTCTAGATAAAGTGATATGAAAGGTGTTTCATTTATAGGGGAAATTAATTGCCAGCTGTATGACTGGATGGTGTGAAGAAACCACAGCCACACGATGTGTCCCGTATATTTTTTCTGGCTGGATTCAGTACCTTCTGTGCCAACGGCTCCTGCACCACTCCAGACCTGGAAGGCACCAGGGTAAACATGACCCTGAACCACTATTCCAAAGTTAGGATGCAGCCAGGGAAGCTTCAAACATGGTAGGGTGCACGACATTGAGAGGTAGGGTGCCAGCCCCTCCTGCTACCAACCCTGGGTCTCAGTGTCCTCATCTGTCAGGACAGCTGCTTAAACTGTATCTACTCTATCTACTCTGTCAGCATCCTGGGCACAGGATCACATCCCAGTCTTCTACATACCTTCATCCTGCCTTGCCAAGCCCCTTGCCCCACCATGGATACTCGGTCCATTTCAAGGGGTAACACTGACATCTGGAACACCAGTCACATCATTTAGTCTGGAACCAACCCACTCTTCACTGACAGTCAATCACTTGACCTTTCAGGCTTCAGTCTCCACATCAGCATAGTGAGGTTGTCTTAGGCAACTTGGGCTGCCATACCAAAAACCACAGACTGAGGGGCATACAAACAAGACAATTATTTCTCACAGTTCTGGGGGCTGGGAAGTCCAAAATCAAGGTGCTAGCAGATTCAGTGTCTGGTGAGGGCTCTTTTCTGGGCTTGCAGACAGCCGCCTTCTTGCTATGTCCTTTCATGTTGGAGGGAGACTGAGCTCTGGTCTCTTTCTATTCTGTTAAGGACACTAACTAATCTCATCATGAGGGCCTCACCTTCCTGACCTCATCTACACCTAATTAATCTCCCAAAGGCCCCACCTCCCAATACAGGTTTCAACATAAGAATTTGGGTGGCAGGGGGACACAAACGTCAAGTCCTTAACAGAGGCACTTAGCTGGAAGGTCCACAGCTCCCAGTGCTGATGTGTATTCTGACTGTTAAAGTTCTCATTATCTCTGTCTCTGGCTGTGGAGATCAGGAGGCTGAGAAGACAACTCTACTGGGAAATAGAGGCAGCCAGGACAACTCCTCTGCCCACCTGCCTGGATGTGTCCTCGCCAGAGATCCTTTATGGGGAAGAAGTGTGCATCACAGGAAGAGACGGCAGCCACTCTAATGCCTTACCTTGGTCCTCCAGGACACAAGATGGGTGGGAGTGGGGAAGCAGAGTGCTGGCCAAGCCAAGACCATTTATGCCCCCATTCCCCCAGTTTCCATAGTATCTCCCCCACAACCAACCCCACCAAAAGTGCTCTCTGGATCGTTTGGTGAAGATATCTATATCCCCAGAACCATTTCTGAGAAGGGAAGACTGCAATGCTGAAAGGCTTCCCGGCTCTCAGAGTGCAGGGCCCCTGACACTAGGACCTTGGCACCAGTGTGCTTGCCCATCCTCACCCAGTCCCCATCAACCAGGAGGAGGGGTCTCCCAGCAGCCTCCAGCTTGGGAAATTGCTTCTGGTTCCTGCTTCTCCTGCCTTCTCATTCTTCTTTCTTTCTTGGGCATGGGGTGGGGCAGGCAGAGCTCAAGGTGGGGCCTGCATTGAGAGTCAATTTGGAGGTACACACTTGTAGCCACCTGCCACCCACTGGGGAGCCTGGCCCCCAGCTATGCTGCATGCAGCCACTCTGCCAGCTGCCTGACAAGCCCCTGGGGTCTTTCCATTCTGGCTGGGGAGGGGGTGAGTGAGAGGATTTCTATCCTGTGCTCCCCCCATTATCAGAACTATTAAGACAATGAGCTAATATTCTACTCAGATTTAAATAATAAATTAATCTGCATTATATTGAGGAGGCCTGAGAGAGACTTAATTATCTGGTGTACTTTTGGGTGGAAATGAAGGTTGGGAATTGTGCTGGGAATAGACAAGCTCCCTGTGATCACACTGATGTGGGAGTTTAGATTCTGGGGCTCCTGGGCAGAGGTACAGAAGTGCCCCGACTTCCCTCTAGCCCCAGCCATTCCCTCCAACATGGGGAGAAGGCGCCTCTATTTCTGACCATCCCTTCAAAGGGCTGCAGGAACAGTTTCTGAATTGTGTGTTCTCCTGAGCAGGCAGCCTAGGAAGTGAAGAACCAAAGCCTCTGTATAGCCTGAGCTGCTTGCCAGGGAAGTGCTGGGGCCACCTGTCCCCCTAAGCAAACAGGAATAACAGAAACTCCCCCAGAGGGCAGAGGTCAGCCCTGGCTCTTGATCCCCCCTCTGCAGCTTCTTGCTGTGTGACCCTAGGCAGCCTGCTTGATTTACCCCAGCCTCAGTTTCCACATCTGTGTAATGAATATGATACCAGCTCTGTCCAGGGTCTCTAGAGGATAAGACACTGCAAGGCGAGGAGCTTTTAGCACAGCACCCCGGGCAGGAAGCCCTCAGGAAATGGTAACCGGTGTGCCTGCAGATGCTGTCTGAATGAGGGAGCATTTGAGGGCATCTCGAACTGCTCCCGAGTTCGTGGTTACCGTCTTAAACAAACGTATCGGTATACAGTGCTGGAGAGTTGAGCCACGCTCTTCTCTTAAGCGAGCCAGCGCCAGGCCTGTGGTTAATTTTTCTCCCTGGCTGGTTCCTGCCGCTCCCTGGGAACGGAGCTTTTCACACCCTGAGCCAGCCTGCCCGAGAAAGGACTATTTTCAGCCCAGCAGCTACAGCAACAAAAATGTGAAGTCATTCCTGCTGCCTCCAGCTCACCCCTCCCTAGAGAGGTGAGCAGAGAGGTGCGGGCCCTGCAGCGGGGGTCCTGGAGTGCCCACCACCTGCTCCAATCTGTAACCCTAGGGAGACACCACTCTGTCCTGGGTTTATTCCTCATATCCACTAGTTCACCTCTTCTCCTCCCTATAGGCTCTCTCAAGGTCTGGGGTCTTGCCAGGCTCTGCCTGGGGATGTGGCATCCTACAGGGCTCTGACCCTCTCTGGAAGACACGCTAGGGTGGGCTACAGTGCTGAGGACTGGGGTGTCAACTGAGGCTGAACTGACAGGGTGCAGCCTCCCCTGCTGAGAGTCGCCTGGGAGCCAGTGCCTTGTTGGGACGTGATGAGGTGGGGGCAGGAAGAAGGCACCTGAGTGATGAATCATTGCAGAGAATCCAGGGAAGTGGGTGTTGCTGAGATCCTGAGCTGAGAAGAGCTTGATCATTTGTTAAGTTCAAAACCTGGCAGTTGTCTCAGTCTGCTCTGCAAAGAAAACTGGGGATCAGAGACCCTAAGCAAGAGAGAGAAACTCAGTGGTCAAGAGAGCTGAAGCCTGAAGAGAGGTGCTAGGAGCCAAAAGGGGCAGCCCCACCCCAGACCCAGACTAGAACCATTGACAGCAGGGCAGCAACATGTCAGACACACCCAAGACACACGTGCACACACACACATGTGCACATGGACACCAGACAGGCTGGGGAATGGGCTGCAGGCTGGTCACAGGTCAGCCAAACAAGCCCTGGGCCTCCTGCAAGATATGTAATCTTTGTGGCTTCTAGATGCTCACAGAGAAAGTAGAACTGGAAAAATTCCACCTGTCTCAGCTGAGCTAAAAAACGGGGTTTGTTCACAGTCAGGTCAGAGTAGTGAGTCCTAGGAAGTGGGATGTGGCAAGGATCACCTTTCCCTGGGTTCTCTACCCCCAAAGGGGAACCCAGGGAAGCCCAGACAGGGGCTGGAAGAGAACAGTTACTAGAGTGGGCAGGTGACCTCCCTACATCCCCTGGATCCCCCCCTCCTGTGGACTTGCCATTTTTCTCCCCCAAGAGTTTTGGAGGGGGTAGTCAAAAGATCTGAATTTCCCCCTGCAATAGGGAAGACAAGATGCCCATTTTCCCTGCTCAGGGCTTCAACTGGGAAAAGGAGGGGGTGCAGGAGGAAGGTGTTTGAGGGTGTACTTAGGAGCAACATCGCAAATCAAACACTGGGAGGACTTGGGGAGTTGGCGAGGAGACCAGATTCTCCTCCCTACTCCCTACACTGAAAGGGCCGTGGGACAGGCAGGCTGCCCTAGGTATTTACTGATCGCATCTGTGGCCTCCTGACATCAACAGAGTGGCTGCTGTAAGGCCAATCCCCATGCAACCCGAAAGGCCCTGGTTCCTGGTGCAGCTGCTCATTCACCCCACCAGGGAGGGGTGGCACAGCAAACCCCCGGCTCTCTTCCATCTCCTCGCTGCTCTTCGCTGGTGTAATAAGGTGGCTGCACCTCACTCCCAGAGGAGGTTGGGCAGGGGAAATGATGGCACAGCCCCCTGTTTTAGACAGGGGCCACTGAAGCGCTTTTGCCCCATGAAGGTGACTGGTACCAGCCCCTGACCAACAAGCCGCAGAATTAGCTCTGGGCTTCCGGTCCTTGGAAGTCAAATTTCAGTGGTCACAACAGCAGTTAATAGACCAAAAATGCCAGAAACCAGCCTCCGGGGCTTTCCATGAGCCCAGCAGCCTGAGGTGGGTGCTTTCTCCTCAGAGTAACCCAAACCCTCATTGTCTGTACTCCTCATTGGGCAGCTAATCGTGTAGGGCCTTGAAACATTGCTTCTCTTTTTATTCTGAACTATTAGTTAACTCTTGGAGTATTAATTTACTTTTTATGGTTTCTGTTTCAGAGTTTATGTGCAGCTTCCCGTCTCCCCAACAAAGCGATCAGCTCACCAGCGTCAGATACCAAGCCCTGTTAGTCCGGCCCTTGGCACCCAGATGCCTGTAGGGCCTTAGGTGTAGGGAGCACTCAACTAAGATTTCTCTGTTTAAAAACTTCTGCCACACAGGCCTGGGTGTGGGAAGAATAACTAAATAAATAAAAATAAACACTTCCAAACTCTGCCTCTTGTAGGGATTTTGAGGTCTAGGGAGCTAGCCAGTCTCAAAGACTGGTTGCCACAAGGCAAGCCATCTTCCCAGGCTCCAGACACTGCCACCCAGTCTACCTCCCTGCGTCTCCTTTCATTCTCCAAGTGACAGAATCGTGAAGACTTAGAGACCACCTAAGAGGTGGTCCATCCTCAGACTCACTCTCAGAACCTTCTCCCCGTCTGCTTACATACTCCTCCCCACAGGGAGCTCCTCACTTGCCAGGTGACCCCATTCCATGCTTGGCCAGTGACAAGATGCTCCAAGACAAGGACAATCGTGGCCCCGACCTGGCACTTTGAGATAACTCCCAAAAACAAAAGCTCAAACGAAAATGGTTCTCATGTTAATAGCACCATCATTTGCCTACCGTGTGCTCTGTGCTGTGCTGAACACCGTAGGGGCACAGAGAGGCAGAGATAAAATCCTTGTCCTCAAGCAACATTCAGTGTAGTTGGGGGCCAGAAAAATGTACAATAAAAGAATGATGACCCCACAGAGAAGACATCAACTGCTGCATTGTATTGGCAAGAGCAGGGCATGGGACATCAGGCTGCAGTGTCCCCAGGCCACCTTTAACCATGGAGAGGTCTGAAACAGCTCCTTCCCTAGGCAGGCCCATAGTCACTTTATCTGTGCAAAAAAAGGGGTGGGCCCAAATGATCCCATAAGTGCTTTCTGGCTCTCACGTTCCTAGGGACACAGTCACTTCTTGGGGAAGAGGGGGCCATTGTAGGAGGCACTGAACTTAAGAGAGGTGAACGGGGCAGCACCCCACTCATGGGCACATCCTAGCCACACTTTCCCTCACTGCTCACCTCCCACAGGCGTTCAATCCACTCATTGGTTTTGTATCATGTTGGAGATAGGTGTGTGTGGCAATAAGATTCCTGTGTTGCGCATACCGTGGATTGGGACAGGAGACAGGCATTAGAAGCCTGCTGGTACTGCAAGCTCACTTCTGACCAGGAGCAAATCAAAAGAGCATGAAATAGAAAGAGGATGAAGGAGCTGAGAGAGCATAGTAAGAAAGTTATTCAAGGTAGGAGCTCAATCCAAGAAGGCTTCCTGAAAGAGGAGAATGTTGAGGAGGGTAGAAAACAGTAAATGTGAGGCACTGGCCAGGTCTCCAGGGCAGCAGTGCTGGCCTCTCCAGGTCCCTGCCTTGAATAATGCCACTAGCCCTGAAACAGGAAGCAGCTTCTCTGTTCTCAGCTATGAGATGGTCACATGATGAGGTCCTTGCAGACATTTTTGCCAAACCACATGAGTGAGAATATGTTGTATTCTCCTGCGCATCTTTCATTTCAAACATCTTTGCTTGGCATCTTACAGCTCTCCCCAATCTCTCTGCCCCCAGGATTTGCTTTGCTTGGTCCGGGTGCAGCGTTCATTGTCTTTGTTGTTTATAAAGTTGAAGGATAGTGTGCCTACCATGATTTCTCCTATCTGTTGTTCTCTTATTTCTCTAATTTGGTCTTTTCAAATAAATCAGTAGAACAAATGTCCTCTTTCCCATCCCACCTCCAAGCTCCCCCTCTGGGCCCAGGTGGGATGTGCTGGGAGTTGGGGGCCTCCTCAGATGGAAACCAGTCTCCGGGCCTCTGGAGCCTGTGCCCCCACATTGGCGGGTGGCCCTCACAACAGCACCCCTTCTGCTGCACAGAAGAGAAGGTGGGATCCACCTGAGGGGCAGAGGCCATCAGTGCTGGCTGCTTCTCAGCCAGTGTGTTTGATCTGGAGGCTAAGGACCCAGCAGGAGTGAATCCAAAGAGAGGACCAGGTGGGACCCAAAGCTAGGCTGCCAGGGCTCCCAGCCTCACAGCCTCCCAGCTCAGGCCCAGAGACAGCAATAGACAGGCATCTTTCATGCCTCACACTCCTTGCAATCAGTGGAAAATTAAGTGTTCAAGGTGGGGGGACCTATTTCACGCTTTTACAGCTTTTCCACAGAACGAAAGCCAAGGACTCAGGGGCTTAATTATGTGGGCATAGACAAGCTGCCTCCTGGGACCTCAGTTTCCTTATCTGTAGATTGGGCATGCTGGTACCTGCCCAGACGGCCTTGCAGATGCATTTGGAGGATGAGATGAGAGTTAATACAGTGACATTTTGAAAAACCTAAAGTCCTGTGCTCAACTGCCAGGGAAGTTTAACAATTTAATTTTAATATGGTGACTGTGGCTTATTGAGTTTTCACATAACTTAGAAGGAGAGAAAGGGCCAGGTGCAGTGGCTCACGCCTGTAATCCCAGCACTTTGGGAGGCCGAGGCGGGCAGATCACGAGGTCAGGAGATCAAGACCATCCCGGCTAACATGGTGAAACCCCGTCTCTACTAAAAATATAAAAATAATTAGCTGGGCGTGGTGGCGGGCGCCTGTAGTCCCAGCTACTCAGGAGGCTGAGGCAGGAGAATGGCATGAACCTGGGAGGCGGAGCTTGCAGTGAGCTGAGATTGCACCACTGCGCTCCAGCCTGGGCGACAGAACAAGACTCCATCTCAAAAAAAAAAAAAAAAAAAAAAAGGAAAGAAAGGAGAAAGTGGCTGTGTAATAGCAAAAGAACACAAAAATGAGGAGATGATAAGCCCACCAGGAAAAGAAGATGAGATGATAAGACCTCCAGGAAAAGAAGCAATT
Source organism: Homo sapiens (assembly GCF_000001405.40). NCBI lineage: Eukaryota > Metazoa > Chordata > Mammalia > Primates > Hominidae > Homo > Homo sapiens. Next base: position 37,431,248 of record NC_000018.10, on the reverse strand, counting down.
GTTTTCGGCATAATGACTTTTTAATCAGTCAGTTGGTCAGTTTTAATTAGGCACCTACTGTACGCCAGGGAGTGAACTAGATGGCACAGTCAAGCAACAGAGCTGTCCCCAGACAGAGGAGAGCAAGGAGGGCTCAGCGGCCCATCCTCACCTCTGGCTCACCCACAACACCCAACCACAGCAGCACCTAGAGTCCTTTCCTCCCTATACTTGCCCCAGGACCCAAGCCTAACCCAGCAGCCAGGCCTAAGGCCAAGTTCCCCAGACCAGGGTTGTGGGAGGGAAGAAGCAGGCAATGGATGGGAGTGTGGGGGAGGCGGCCTTACCCAGAGACACCTACAGCTATAAAAAGCACCAGCGCCACCTCCAGACCAAGTGAGACCTGCTAATGTGCCAGATCCCCATGGGGTAAGGAGAAGGAGCAAGCACTTCCCCTGGGGTGGGAGTGCACTTTGCTCAGCCCTGGGAGACACAACTAGAGGGGGCCTGACAGGCCACTTCCTTAGCTACCAGGGGGCCCGAGCCAGGAGGAGGCATCTGACAGCAACTTAGGGGTGCCCTGCTCAGTGCTCCCCCCATTCTGCTCAGAGGAAGCTAGATGCACACACTGCTTCTGCAGCCTGTCATTTGCAAAAACCAGGCCCTAAACCTCAGTTATCTGGTCGTTTCTGTGCTGGGTTGGGCTTGTGCCTGGCTTTAGGTTTTGTTTAAAGCCCCAGCAGGCTCTAGCCTGTTACTGCGCTACACACCATCCTTGCTGGCTTCACCCTCCCTGCCCCGAGGTTTGTGTGGAGTGGGGGTGGAGGGCCCACTGCAATGCTATTACAGTATTTGCATTTATATGAGGCACAGACCCCAAGTCTCCAGTCTCTGGGTGCTTTTACAACTCTGTGTATACATAATTTATTTTTGTTGCTATTTAATCAGTCTTCGTGTTGAGATGAAAAGTTTCCAAGGGGCCCCAGGTTATTATGCAACTTGCAATTCCACCAGCATTGACTGAGTGGATGGGGTCCCCAGTCCGTGCTCAGCTGCAAAGGTGGGAGGCATGGGACTGGGCAGGAGGCTGTGTGGTTCCTGCCCACAAAGTCAGCTCAGGCTGAGGTGGGGTGGCGGATGGCAGGGTACAGAGCCAAGGTCTACCTCCCCCAAGAGGGGTGGCCAAGAGAGAAGTGGGCAGTGAGAGCCGCACTGTTCCTAGGGAAAGATGCTGAAGGAGGAGGTGCCTGAGACAAAGGGCGTGGCCAGTAGGAGGAACTAGCTGGCCTGGACTTCCTGCTTCAGAGTCAGGAGACAGATTGGAGCTGAGCAGGGATTGGAGCAGCTAAGTGGGAGGCAGGAAGTGCAGGTGTGTGCCTGACACAGGAGTCAGGCAGGGCAGGATGAGGCCCAAGTGTGGGGTCTTCCGTAGGGATCAGTCCTAAGAAGAGATGATGAGGTTGTTCTATTTTCCTCAATAGGCTGTAGAGGAGAGCCCCTGCGCAAGGCCAAACGGAAGCCCTAGCCTCATCAAGATCTCCACTCAATTCATTTTTTAAATGGAGTGGGTTATAAATAAATAACCAAACAAAGAGGCAGTGGTGTGTGCTGAAGTTCTTGCCTGTGTCTGCTAGAGCTGAGGCCCAGGGAAGAAGCAGTCCCTGCATGAGGTAGCACTACCCACTTGGAAACTCCAAGACCTCTGACATAGACATGCAGCAGATGCTGCATGAAACAGACACACCCAAACATACACAGAATGTATGCAAACACACAGGTATTCAAAGACGCTGGCACACATAGGCACACATACACACTCACAGACATGCACACACAATGAGACTATAGACACACACAGACACAGACACACCAGCAAACACAAAGAGGCAGATAAAATGCACACAGACATACAGAGCACACACAGAGGCACATACACATGCTCCCCAACACACACACACACAGACTTACACATGCACCTTCCCAGCTTTCAGGCTCTTCTCTCCTGGCCACACCCATAGAGGGTCCTTGTAACCAGAGAAGGTAGGTTGTCAGGAGTCAAGGTAGAGAACTACATTTCAGAACAAGTACTCAGAGGAACACCTCCCACGTAGCCAGCGATGGCCCCAGCCCCTGTTATAAAGTAAGCAAGCACCCAGTGTTCCGATATTCCTTACCATGGCAGGAAGCACGACTCCCTCACCAAGATACGGCAGCAGAGACAAGGGGCATCCATGCCTCCTCTACGATGCAATTGCTCAGGCCCCTGCAAACATTATTGGGAACCACCACTCTAGATCCTGGGTGCCCAGGTGAATAAGACACAGTCCATGCCCTCGAAGGGTCACTGGGTTCAGCAAGCACTTGCTGTGTGCCCTCTGGATGTCAAAATGATGTTTGTGGAAGAGATACAGAAATAAAGAAGGCCTGTTCTCAGCCACTAGGGAGTGCGGGGTGTGGGCTGGAGGGATCAGGCACACTTCCTCCTGCAGGGCGGCTGCTGCTCAGAACACATGGGGGCCCTACTTCAGTAGTCTCCTTCAGGTCTTCCTGCCTCATACAACCCTACTGACAGTAAATCTTCCTCTGAGTGCTGATTTAAAGTTGGTACATAACTGAGATTCCCTAAAAGGGAATTCGATGATCCTGTTTGGGAAAACTGAAATCATAAGTCCTGTCAAAGGCTTTTGTGTCCCATTAGCTGTACTGGAGTAGGTGCAGCCCCTTTGGATGTGTGAGTTCTGATGCAGCTACTGTGGAGTGACTCCTTGTAGACGCCCTTGGAAACACAGCCACACCCCAAAAGATGCACTCCCATAGAAAAACCTCTCTGCTTAGCACCTCCTTCCTTACAGAGACCCAGAGCAGGAATGTGACTTCACCTTCCTCCCTCATCCCCTGCCTGCCCTGGATCATGACCCAAATGTCAGCCGGTCAGGTTCAAGCTCCAGTTCCACACCGCCCCCTCCTTCACCTCTCCATGCATTCCTGAGGACTCAGCCACTGGCCAAATCTTTTACTTTCCTCTCATCACCCTGATTATTCCCTGTTTAATTAAAATTTGCTTCAGCTAATAGGCCTTAAATTAGTATTTTCAAATATTGACATCTACAGGACCCTTATTCATTATTTTTGAAAGCTCTAGGGCTAATTGCTTTACCACCCACCAATTAATTACTCATTCAGTGGACAGGTAGCTGCTGCTCCCAGAACATGGACAGACATACTTGCAGGTAGGTGAAACTACACATAGAACAGGTGCACACAAGCATGTATGCCGGGGTGTGCACATGCACGCACACATACACACACCGTAGACACTTTCTCCAGTAGAAGTCTGGCCTAGTAAAATCCAGTTGTGCATATATTTGGGGACCAGGAGGACAGCAAAACATTGTATGGGAGACCCAGGTCTTCAGTGCCAGGCCATCCCCTGTCTATCTATCAACCATGTGGAGAACTCTGCAGGACTGGAGGCCTCTTTGTTCTTCCTTCAGTGCAGAGAACAGCAGCACTGAGAGGAGGTGATCAAGGCCGAGGAAGGTCCCAAAGATGGCAGCTGGAGCTAGTAACCCAGGGCCTTGAGCAGGAAGGGAAGCCCTTGAAAGCCAAACAAAGAGAGTGATGTCTCCACATGTAGCTGGGGAACCTGCAGGGAACCATGCAAGAGGAGATGAGGTCAGGTTGGGGGTCAGGGCTGGGGAGCCTGCAGAGAGGGACAGGCCAGGGCTGTAAGGGTCCCCAGAGGCCACGGAAAGGACACTCGAGTCAGGCCCAAGTTGGCTTCCCCCACAGTTCCCCGAAAGGACCCAACTGTGGACATCAACAGATCCAGAAAAGGTCTAGAACAGTCCACAGAGCAAATCCCCCATGCAGCCCTGGGGAGAGCTGGGTTTGGCGAGTTGGGTGTTTTTGCCTATGGGAGTCCATTGGGAGGGGGCCCCTGTTGTTCACCACCATAGCCACCTGTGCTATTTCCTGCCTGGGCTATTGAAAACTTTACAGAAGAACAAGAATGTGTTCAGGAGGCCACCCCAGAACCCCTCCACCTCCTACCCCAGGCCAGCAATCCTGCACATCTGCTTTGGGTTGGAGGAGGCAAGCCCCACGTCCAGCTGATGAGAGGAGAAGCCTTCATTTGAACAAGGGCCTTCTTCCTCAGGCTCCCGCCAGACTGCGCTCTATGCTGCTGCCATGGTGGGCTTCACCCAGGGTGCCCAGCTTCCCCCCCCCCCGTGTCCCTGCTGCTGCCAGCACCCGCCAAGTCTGAGCCTCAGCCCCCTTGACCATCTTTTTTTTTTTTTTTTTTACTCCTTGTAAACAGTCTGGAGTGATTGGGATTAAAGTCTCTGCAAGTCATTGGTATCGCTTTTCGGGAGAGCCAAGTAATCCATGGGGATTAAAGAAGCAGCCGTGCTCATCTCTCACAAATGCATATCTGTCAGAGGCATTGACCTGTTAAAATAATGAATTTAATGTGCAGCAAACCGCACATGGCAGCGGCGACGCAACATGGCCTGGCAAATTGTTTTCCACGTGTTCTAATGAGACTTTTAAGGGAACAGGGCCGCCTGGGCAGGCTGCCCCGCCCCCAGCCCTCCCGCACCGCACCCTCTGCAGTCCCACTCCTGGAAGGAAGAAGGAGGCTGGTGCAGAAGCGATCAGCCCCGCCTGCGCCCACCCCACTTAGGAAATGCAATCATTCCACTCAATTTCTGCAGGTTTATTATTGGCTTTGTGGGCCATTTGTGGCTTCCTCCAGTGGCTCTCCCACAGCTCAGCCCCTGGGTGGTCATTGACAAGGTCCTGTGTGACCCTGGGCCTCTCTGTAAGGCTCTGTCACAGGACAGTCTGTGTCCCCTCCCCAGCCACTGGAAGAGTGGCCTAGCCACCAACTCCTAGGACCAAAGCTGGGGTCTGGCAAGGCAGGCACCCAGGTCAATGCTCTCTTTTTACATAAGGGGAAACTGAGGCTGATAGAGGAGACATGACTTACCCTCAGTCACCTAGAGTGTCCGTGGCAGACAGAAGACCAGTGTCCCGATATTCTTCCCCCTGCCCAGTTCTTTGTCCACTTTACCCTTCCCCCGTATCATCCTCCCCATGGCCAGGACCTGTGCTTGGGGGCAGGTCCAGCTGGAACCTGTGGAACCTGTCCAGTGCTACTGGGGGGAAAGGCCCATAGCCAGAGTTGGGACTACATTGATTCCAGGGCAAGGGCTGGGGCTGGGGCTATATCCTGGTCTGATCCCAGTGGCCACTGTCCCTCACCACCAATGAGCCTGTTTCCCCTCCAGGCACTGTCCCTGGCAGACTTGGCAGAGAAGCCTCTCCCTCCCTGGCTGATGTCCTCTCTGGGGAATGGAGGTGCTACCCCCAGCACCTAACAGAGAACCAACTCTCTTGGGGACCAAAGGTCCCCTAATCAGGCAGGCCTTGATGGTAACATGTCCATCTTCCAAGGTGTCTTCAGATGGCAAGGACCATGGCCCAAGGGCTTTCGCCAAGCAGCTGTAGTTTCTGCAGATGTCAAAGGTCAAGTCTGTGCCAGGGGAGCTGGCTCCTGGCCCTAGAAGTCTCCAAAGGAACCTGCTTTTTTCTTTCTTGAATCTCTATGAGCTTTCTCCCTGGTGGACGAGTGCACAGTGTCTGCTCTAATGAGGTAATTACGAATGACTTAATAGAAAGGCAGTGCACTCTCCTTTTCCTTCGTTCTTTTATGTTTTTTAAAGAAATCATTTGATTATGAATTCTTTGGGTCTCAGGTATTCTGGCATGCATTAATAAACCCACAGTTAGGAGGCAATCTGGGAGCCAGGAGGGCTTCCTGCAGCAGCTGCCTCTCAGAGACCCCTCAGGCACCCTCCCTGCAGCTGGCTTCCTGTCTGTGGTTGACTCAACAGGGAAGGGTTAGAGCCCCGGAGGGGCCTTGTCTTCTTTGTTCCAAAGCAGATACATTAATGGACACGTACACAGCATCCCTATTTCAACCTGCAGGACTACAATCCTGTCATCAGCCCACACACGAGGCCGGTAGCATCATGGTCAGATGATCCGTTTGTCCAGTCATGGCCGAGCACCTTCAGGTTGCCCAGTCCTGGGCCTGGCAGAACAGGAAACCCAGAGAGTTGTAATAGATTTTTTCTGTCCTCCAGAATCCCAAAGTCCTGCTAGGAGTCACACATTCACAAATGACAATTGGGTCCCACAGCAATATAGGATGTGACCAAATGCCCAGAGAGGGGCAGAGAGCTAAGAACCTGCCTTGGGGACCACAGTGGCCAGAGAGCACTGTGCGGGTGGGGCGAGAGTGGAACAGGTGCAGGTTGAGGGTCAGATTCAGGAGAGAGGATGTGCTTAGGACTAAAAGAGCACAGGAAGGAATAGCAGGCAGGTAGCAAGAGTGTGGCAGGGTCAGGAGTGTGTGGAGCCCAATCCCCTGGACTTCGGAGCTTAGATGGGGAGGTTGGACTACTCATCTAGCCACAACACAGGATGAGTGAGAAGGGTAGGGGGAGGAGGCAGCCAAAGCTGGGCTGAGCTTAACACTGGTAACCACGTAGCTGGGGAACCTGCAGGGAAGGGCAGTGGTGCTCCCTCGGCCTCTGATCCTGTGTGACCACAGGCATTGCTGCTAGCAACTGGGAAGTCTTACCCCAGGCCACAGCATAACTGCACAAACCCAGTTACCAGCATGCAAAATATTGCTTGTAAATGCTATCGGGTGCTCAGAGTGCCTGAGGGAAGAGGTGCTTGGTCCTGGAGCTAGGCCACGACCCTCCAAGGCAGGCTGTAAGGCCACACGGGGTGGAAGGCCAGAGCTCCTTCTCCTCCTTCTGCTCTCTGGGTATTGCCACCAAGCCCTGTACCTGTTCTGAATCCCTTAGCACCCCTTTCTCCTTGGCAAACCACTACCATTTCATCCCTTCTAGACTGCCCTCTGCCCCCAGCCTCCCGTGACAGCCCACCTCTCCTTGGCTCCATACGCCTGCATAGAGATCTTGTCATTCAGGGTAAAGTCTACCAGCATGTTAGATAAGCCCTCTTGGGATAAAGTCAAGAGCCTCTCGTTCCTAGGCCAAGGGAGCTAACAGCAAATCAGGCCCTTGCAGGAACCACATATTAGAGAAGGGAGCTATTAGGTTCGTGCAAAAGTAATTGCCATGATTTTCAACGGCAAAAAACACAATTTCTTTTGCACCAACCTGATAGATCATTCCAAGTGCATGGAGCAGGAAGTTGTCTCAAAAGGCCAGACAGCATGAGTCCTAGAAGGCTTCTCGGTGGCGGAGACCTCTCCCCAGGACTTAGAAGGGTGGATAAGGAAGAAACTCAGAGATGAGGAAGAGATGGCATGGTGTACAGCCAGTCTGGCCAAAAATCTGTTCCTTATGGAGCGAGAAGGTGGGAAAAGCATGATGAACCCCCAGTCAAAGATCTGTGAGCCTCTCAGCTATGGTGCATCTCCCTGAAGCCTCCCAAAGCCATTCTCCTGAAGGTTTCAAGTGGAGGCAAGGAGGAGAGGGAGCCTAGGGAGGCTTCCTCCCCTTTCCTAGAGGGCTTAGGGATGAGTGAGGTGATGGCCTCAGGAGACCAAGGCCATGGCTGTCACCAGGATTTTGGTAACTCCACTGTTTTTGCTTCTCACTAGAATAGCTTCGCCCACCTGCCATTGCTGGGTTGCCCTGGGGCCTGGAAGAAGAACACCAGGCCAGGGACCTGGGAGGAGTGAGAGGACAGTCACCCCTGCTCTCCACCAAGAATGACTTCAAGGGTGCCTCACTCAGGCCCCTCCTTTTACCAACAATGTCTCTGAGCTCCTCCTAAGCCCACCTTTGACCCCGCCTCCTCCAGGCAGTCTTCCCATCCCACTCTGGCCCCACAAGGACTCCTTTCCATGTGAAAGCCAGTCCCCCGAGGAGTCAGCACCACATAAGACCTGAGGAGCCTGGTCAAGCTCCCAGTGCTGTTTATTTCATGAGAAAGACCCTGGCAGCCTACCTGGACGTGGATGAGCCAAGGACAGGGCACACCTGCATCTGTGCCCCTTGTCCTCAACCCATCTTCCTGGAACACTCAGCACTGCATTAGGCATTTCATTGACTTGCCTGGAGCTCATGAGCCAGTCTCTCTGTCTCTCTGACTCTCTCTGTCTGTCTGTCTGTCTGTCTCTCTCTCTCTCTCTGTCTCTGTGTGTGTGTGTGTGTGCGCGCGCGCGCATGTGTCTATGTGTAGAACCTGCACAATGTTTAGGCACCGCTAGCTGCTCCCATATCCTACCCAGCCCCATGAAGAAGCAGAGAAAGTGGCTTTGGAAATGAGGTGGAGGGATGGGCACTGTACTGAAGAAAACAGGGAAATTTTGCGTTGTGCTCATGGCAGAAGCGAGAAGCATTCATGGGTCATTTCTGCTGGGGAAATAGGACGAGGGATGACTTCAGAGCCTTTTCATTGAGAAATCAGGAGTGGGGGTAGTCTCTGGCCAGCTTCCCTGGCATAAAATAACAAGGCATGGCTTCCCTATGGCCACGAATGTAACAGGGCAACTGTACAAAGGCAGCATGCCCTAAACCCAGGGCTCTCTCTCACTTTCATGCATGTGCTGGCACATGCATGCATGCACACATGTGCGCACACTCTGGCCTGCTCTTTCTCGGGCACACATTCACTCCCACATGCTTAACACACACATCCATCTCTCAGTTCTTCTTCAGGTACAGCTGCTCCCTCCTCCAGGCTCCCAGGCTCCTCTCCTGGTTCCCCCACTTATTCCTGACACTTGCAGGGCTGACTTTGCTTTTTGAGTGTTGCATTAAGAAGTGCAGGGGCTTGGGGTCAAAGCTACAAGTGTGCTGGGGGAGGGGAGCTGGGAGCCAATCAGCTCCTCCTTCCTCCCTGATAAATGTCTTGTTTGTTTCACTGACCACATGGCCGAAACAGGGAAATGCAGCTGTGTTTCTTATTCAGCCACAAGGGTGGCCCCTGACTGGCCATCATAGTTGGGAGGCAGCTGCCATTCTCCCTGCTCCCATCTCAGTGGGAGGAGAGGAGCCTGCAAGAGCTGCCTGGGGTCTGGAATCTGGTCCTTACACAGGCCCCACTCAGGCCCTGGCCTCTTCTGTGATCTCCTGGGAGAAGTCGCCTCCCCACCACATTCAGTTTCCTCACTTGTCTAGCCAGTGTTATAATTTGTTGCCCCAGCACACAACTGAGCGCCGTGTCTTCCAGCAAGAGGGATTTCAGTTAGACAGGAAGGACCAGCTTTTGAAAATGAGAGTTCTTAAGGGCAAGGCTCCAGGAATATCTTTTCTCCGTGTTTGCTCACATTCTGCTGCTTTCTAAAAAGACACCGCGTGGGTGACCAGAGGGAGGTGTGAGGATTGCCTTCCGAGGAGAGAATCAGGCCATGCTAATCCATGCTGACTGAGGAAGGCTTGAATTCACATCCGGTGTTTTACAGCTCACATTTCACAGGCTGCGCGTGACTGTCCTGGAATTGGCTTGGCCATTCTTTTGCTCCACAAGCCCACTCTCAAAAGAGAGAGCAATGACCGAACTCAGTCACCCTCAAGCCTGAGCCTCCGATCTGTTTATCACTTGGTGGGCTCCCATGAGCCCCCACTGTGTGCTCAGGCCACAGGTACCCCAAAGAAGAGGGGCACGTGCCCATGGCAGCAGGCAGCAGGTCACTGTCTGGCTGGGAGACATGACTCACACGCATGACACAATCAAGGACAGGGGTGGCCGTTAATCAGGGCAGGAGGCTGGGGTTGGACTCCTAGGCTGCCTTCTTCATTGTAGGCAGAGATGCATTCAGCTGGCCTACCACAGCTAAAGAAGAAAGCTGTGCGGAGCCCAGGGTGTTAGTGATAAAACCGCCCTGTGTTTAAGGAGGCTGCACAGCCCCACAGCCCCTGTGGCCAGGCCAGCCAGTGCGCAAGGAGGGAGAGAAGGCAGCTGAGTAGGAAATGCTTTGGCCAGGGAGCTGGGAGCCCTGTGTTCTAATCCCAGCCCTACTCATAACATGCTTCGTGTTCAATCTCTCTGAACCTTAGTTTCCATCTCAACAGACTGAGAGAGTGGGGTTAGCCCTGCCCCATGACCCGGATAGGGAACTGTGAGACACTTGGCAGTATGTGAATGGGCCTATGCCCGGAGAGGGATGTTGGGGAGGGGATGGGGAAGAGGCAGAAAGATCAGGACCAAAGACTCAGCAGCTCCTACACTTGAGTCAAGGAGTTGGAAAGGAAAGAAGAGGAGGAGGGAAGAACCTTGGCTACAGAGACTAGGAATGTCCTAGGTTCAAGCCAAGTTCTTACCTGAATTGGATGGGAACAGGACTACAAAACATGGCATGAGGCTCTTAATGGGAAAAGCAAGGTCATTTGGTCCCTCAAGGCTGCCAGGTAGACCATGAGGCAGGGCTTCCAAGAAGCTGGGAGTCTCTGATCCATGGGAAGGCAGGGCACTGGAGAGATTGGTGGCTTGTGCCTGGCTTGCAGTTTGTGCTCAGAAAGCTCTCTCTGTGGGATGCAGGAAGCCTGTGGCTCCACCTTTGTGGTGAAGCAATGATTCCACTAGCCAGGTTCCAGGCCCCATGCTTGGAGAACGAGTCACCTGTTCTCTAGCAGAGGCTGGGCTATCCTGCAAGCACCTGCACCCTCTCCCTGCCACAGCCTGCCAGGCAGACATCCCCACAGCCAGGAGGTAGACAGAGTGCCCCTCCACCCAGTGCTCCCAGCACGGGTCCCACCCCCACACGTTGGCTCACACAGTTCCATGCATTTCCCTCTCTCGCCACCCAGTTCAAGTCCCACCTCCTACACAAAGCCTTTCCTGAGGATTCCCGTTCACAGCCATTCTCAGCACGCCACACTATTTCATTCACTCCTCATCGGAACTGTGAGCTAAGTGCTGTCATCCTCTTACCAGATAAGGAAACCAAGGTGCTGAGACATTCAGTGGCTGCCCAGTGTTCCATGGCTAGTGAGCGGTAGAGCCAGGTTTTGCAACCCCCAGGTTCTGGCTGCAGGGTCTGCACCCTAACCATGAGGCCACACTGCCTCTCCCAGCTGCTGCCTGCTATCAGACACTGGACCTGAATTAGCCCCTGCAGCTCCTTCTATTTTGAGGGTCAAGGTTCCCCCACCACATAGCAGGCCACTTTTAGGCCAGGGCTTGGATGGCCTCGGTCCACCCTTCCCACCCCCAAGCCTCCCAGCAGGGTGTCAAAAGCATGTGGATCAATGTGTTGCTGGATACCAAGAGCAGATGGCTCACATGATGACTAGATGTAGCTGCCAGAACCCCGGAGTGGCCGTTTTGTGAGTCCTTCACAGAGGACACCCTTCCCGCCGACCTCGGGCCACCACAGGGCTAGATTCTTCCCCAAGATCCTCGCTGTCAGCCAGGCTGGCCTGAAGCTGAGGGTCTCCTGAGGAGCAGATGGGCTGTTAACCCAGACAGGACTGGTTCTCTCTTTGTCCTTAAAAAAATCCTGTAGGGACCCTCCAAGTGTGGAGCAAACCCTCATCATCCCCTGGGTCCTCTACTTTGGGTACCGGAGGGCGTCCCTGAGGGTTTTACAGTCTTGCCTAAGCTCTCTCCACCCTCTCAGGAGAGGAAGGCCAGGCTGACCACCTGACCAGCATAGGAGAACGTGTGTCCACATGGCCGCCTCCCTCCCTTCCCCCTGACCACACCCTGAGGCAGCTCCTCTCCCCATCCATCTTCCAGGAATGCCACCATCCTTCCTGGTCCGATGCCAGTTCCCAGGCCTGACAACATTCCATCTCCCAACATTCCTAAAGCAGGTGCTCAGGGGGTGAGGTTTCCCTGCAGTCGCATACCTCAACTCTGGCCCCATCTCTCCTGCGTCTTTTCCTGACTCACAGAGTGCCAGTGGTTCTCCAAGTAGAACATTCCAGAAGGACTAACCTCCTCCTCAGTGCATCTTTCTTGAGTTGTGACCCTGAAGATACTTCTGGAATTATTTTAAAGAAATGCAGTTTCACCACTTAAAAGTCCAATTCATTTGTAAAATCCATGTAATCAAACAAAAGAGTAAAACCGATATTGAATAACAATCAGTCTGTAACATTGACTTAGCCCCTTCTGGGTGCTTGGCTCTGCACTAGGTGCTGAGGAAATAGAGAGGAACAGAGCAGTGCCCCACTCTTGAGGAAGATGGGATCCTGTATCTATGAGTTCACTGTTGGACACCCCAGCTCCAGCCATACCAGAGGACACCAGCAGGTCTCCCACTCTTCATCCCCAGAAGTACACCTACCATGTGCACCTATGCTAGACTAGACACAGGCACAGCATGAAATGTCAGCTCAGTATTCCAGAAGAAATTATCAAGCACACCTAACCTTTGCTCAGACAGAAAGCCTGGCTCTCAGAGAATGCACACATCCCTGAGAGCAGGCACCCATTCAGTGATTTGAGAAGCTATGAGCCTTTGGCAAGTTCCTGAATCTCTCTGAGCATTAGTTTCTCCTCTTAGAAAACTGATCAATGATCTTCCTCCTGTCTGACATGTGCTTTACAGTATTTTTTGATTAGCCTCAGCAATTCTACGAGACAGGCAGAGTATGTGTTATTATTTTGGAAATGAGGAAAATGTAAGCGAGGCCAAGTGACTTGACCTAGGTCACACTGTGGGAGGAACACAGCCAGAACCCAAACATTCTGGGTCCTTCTTCACTGCTTTTTCCAGGGTTGGGCTAGGTGATTTCCAAAGTGTCATTCACTGTGAAAATGCTATGACATTGAAAGGTTGAGGCAGCAGGGTGTGTATGAAGCCAAGTCTAGGAAGGCCCCAAAACTACAGACAGAGGCTCAGTGGGGGGCAGGTGGTCCTGAGAAGAGAGAGCAGAGCCACTGGGGAGACAAACACCAAGAGTGAGCAATGGGGATATGCTGACTGCTTGTGGTTTACAAGGGTACAGAAATCAGACCTGCCCGTGCTTGACCAAGTTTGAAACCTCCATGCTACAGTCATTAGATATTTTACCAATGTCCCCCACTGCCCACCTCTGGTTTGTGTATTCAAAAGCAATTGCCACCAGCAAAGCTCAGTAGTGGGACTGCTCACCTTCCCCAACCATGTGGATTTCCAACTTGGTGGGGAGAGGACAGAAAGAGAACTGGGGAGGAAAGACAATTGGGGCCTTTCATCAGATCACTTTTGCCTTGAAAGATAGGTGGATTTTCATGATGCCCCTCACTGGTAGTGCTTCCAGGAAAGCAAGCATACCAGGAAAGTAGGCAGGTTCCAGTCTTTAAACTGAGGGTTAAAAGCAAGTGTTCAGGAACTTGAAGCTCAGTTGACCCCAAACATCCTTCAGACCCATAAGCTATCAATCACATGACTCATTATGAGCAGGTGATGTTTCTTACCCCACCCCTTTGTGGGTCTTGGCTCTGAATGGTCTTTGCAGGGAGTCTAGGATATCCAGAGGGTCTAACAGCAGCTACAGGACATCTGGATGGGGTTGACATGGTCAGGATCTGGCCAAGATTAGAATCAGACTGGCCTTCACAGTCCTGGTGAGGATGGCATCTGCAGGATACTGTCCTACTGACCCCGTCTCTCTCCTATTTGACCTGATGGGCCCTGGAGCAGCACTTTTCCTGGGAGAGCTGGTGGTTCCAGCTACTGGCCAGTGCTGCAAGAAGCACCTCACTGGATCACTGCAGGACCTGCCCTACGGGCTTCCAAAGGGAGATAGCACCACTTGGCCAACAGAGGGGCTTCATTGAGTCTGCTGTATTCTGCTGGGCAGAGTCCTGAGAAGATGTGGGGAAGGATCTTGAACATAGGGAAAGGGAGACTTGCCCACAGGTTAAGTCGGAGAAATTGGTAGGCAGGAGAAGTGGAAAGGCAGGGGAAGCCCAGTGCTCTGTCTCTGGGCCATTGGCTGGAAAGGATCTGTGGCTGGAAGAAGGAAGGGGTTAGAGGCAGCTACCTGCTCCCCAGTGACTGCTCATTGCTGAACCATCCCTATGGATGGGCATGTTTACCCCCCAGACCCAGCTCCCAAGCAGCCCTATCTCCTGCACTTGGAGCCCAGTCAGCAAGTTCTCCCTGTCCGTAAACTATACAGAGGTGCAATTGTGCAGGCCTGTCAGGATGCCTGGGCAGTTTCCCATCACAGGAAGACTTCATTCTTTATTTTCTTTTCCCTTTTTTTCTGTTTTCTTTTCTTCCTTCCTCTCTTTAATGATTTCCTTTCATTCCTTCTTCCTTCCTGCTTTCTCCTTTCCTTTCCTCTCTCTTCTATTCTCCCTTTTGCATTTCTTCTTGTCCTCCTTCCTTTCCTCCTCCTTTGTCTACTTCCCTTGCCCTCACTTCCTCTTCCCTTCTCTGTTCCCCAGAGAGATGCTACCACCTCTAGCATTTCCACCTGTCTTGCTTCTGAGCCTACCTGATTGCAGAAGTGCATTCCCGCCTTCTCAACACAGGACAGATGCAACAGGGAGCGTGCAGCCCAAAGAGGGAGAGGAAGACCACAGCCTGTTCACAGGGCCAGGACACACTGGAGTCTCCCATCCCCTAGCTTCCTGAAGACCCAGCCCTGGGCTTGATGCATGAGAAGACAGAGAGGCCCCCCAGGCTGGCTGAGCAGTGTGCCCAAGGATCCCCTGGGTCCTGTTTTTAAAGGCTGATTCCAAGGCCATGGTCCCAGGATACTGATTCCATATGTCTGTGGTGGGGCTCCAGCATCTTCCTTGTTAAAGTGCAGACCAGATGATATGAAGCAGGTACCAAGATGCTTTGGGGAATCTTGGGCTAAAAAGACAAGACACCCATGTGAAAACCATATGCAGTCAAGCTAAGGACTAGAGATTTCCAGGATGGAAGCTAGAGGCTTAGAAAAGCTGGGGCTCCTGGAGGTGAAACCCAGGAGCTGGGTTCTGACAGGGGGAGGATCTGCATGGGTTGTCAAAGAAGGGAGGATTACAGGCAAGAGCAAATTATTTGAGTCAGATACTTCAAATGGCAGGCAATATATTGGATGGATGGATGGATGGATAGATGAATGGATGGATGGGTGGATGGATGGATGGACGGATGGATGGATGGATGACCTCAAATGGCCCCAAGGGACCACTGGGCTCTGCCTTGCCCTGTGTATTTGGTGTCTATGGTTTCAGGCCAGGGCTCTAAGTGGCACGAGATGCTCCCCAAACCTCTCGCTCTTCCACTTTCCACCACCCTTTGCTGTTTTGCCACCTTCTGAAAGATACCAAAGAGAATGAAGGTTAAATCTGACCCTTCCTCCTCCCTGCCCCACCCTGGGCCCAACATTCAGAGAAGAGTTAAGTGACAGAGCCTCGTTCTCCTGTATGAATTAATAATTGATTCAGTAACAAATCACTAATATTGCAGTAGTCGTGGTGAATAAGATAATGAATGTGTTCTGTCCAGGGAGTGTCATGTTGTGAGGATTCAGCTGAAATTATTCATAAATGTGCTACTTTTCCTCATCTCCAACTACTGCTAGTTTAGCTCCTCTTTTTAATCTTCCCAACCTGCCACATTCGATGGTAGAAATCGTCAGGCTCCATATACAGCAGAATATTAAGGGGGAACTGCCAAGGCATTATGTCAAATTTCAATAGGTAATAAAAACAAAGTGCTTGAAGACCATTTTCCACTTCTCTTAAAGTTAAAAAAAGAAGACTTCCAAAAACCTTTCTAGATGGGCACTTTCTCCCATCATTGGGGGGAAAAAAACCTGAGTTCAAGGTATTCAGAAACTTGGGTATGATCCCCACTTTACCACAAAGTTGCTGCGTGACTTTGAGCCAGTACTCAACCATCCTGGGCTAAGTCTCCAATCTCTAAACAAGGGGTGCCTCCCTGCTTTTCTCCTGGGTGTCATGATGTAATTGTGAGGTGATGGGAAAGAAAGTGTTCTAGGCCACTAATAGATAGCTAGGCTGGATTTTCTCCACTATCACACCCTACACCAGCCAGGTCAGCAGGTTCACTATTCTCTAAACATGCCTTCCATGTGGCCACCACAGAGAGGGCCCCTGCCCTCCTGTTCACCCTCCATGTCTCTTCCCTTCTCCATCTGACCCAACCAGCACTCTGGGCTCAGTTCAGCCACCACTTGCTTCATGAAACCTTTCCTGATCCTGCCTGACAGACATATTTTCTCCTACTCCACATCTCCCCAGAGCACCCTGGCCCACTCTTACACATACCTCTTACACTGCTTTCCACATACCATCTTCCCTAGTAGACTGCAAGCATCTCAAGAATGGAAGTTGTCTTCTACATCTTTGAGTACAATAAGAAAGGAGAAATATTTGTAGAATGAGTCCACTGGTGGATGAGTGGGGAGATGGATAGATAGATGAGTAGGTGGGTGGATCGGTGGTGGATGAGTGGATGGGTAGATGGATGAGTGGATGGGTAGATGGATGAGTGGATGAATGCTGGATGGATGGATGAATTAGGGCCGGGCTTTGTGGCTCACACCTGTAATCCCAGCACTTTGGGAGGCCGAGGTGGGTGGATCACGAGGTCAGGAGATTGAGACCATCCTGGCTAACACGGTGAAACCCCATCTCTACTAAAAATGCAAAAAATTAGCCGGGCACGGTGGTGGCTGCCTGTAGTCCCAGCTACTCGGGAGGCTGAGGCAGGAGAATGGCATGAACCTGGGAGGCAGAGCTTGCAGCCGAGATCGCGCCACTGCACTCCAGCCTGGGTGACAGAGCAAGACTCCGTCTCAAAAAAAAAAAAAAAAGAAAAGAAAAGAAAAAAAATGAGTAGATGGGTAGATGGATAGATAGAAGAATGGGTGAGTAGATAGTTGGATAGGTGGATGAATGGATGGGTAAGTGGGTGTGAGTGAATGGGTGGGTGAAAGAGTATACATGCGTAGATGGATAGGTGGATGGGTAGATAGATGGATGGATGAAAGAATGAATGGGTAGGTGGGTAGATGGGTGAGTGGAAGAGTAAATGGGTAGATGGAGGCATGTATGCAAGTATGAATGGATGGATAGATAGATAGATAGATAGATAGATAGATAGATAGATAGATAGATAGATAGATGAATGAATGGAAAAATAAGAAACTTGAAACTGGCATTATACTGTTTTCAGTCAATGAGCAAGTGTTTGCCGAATCCCTGCCCTGCCTTCATGGTTATCTCTGCTATGTCAGGTTGGAAAGCAGAAAGGAAGTGTCAATGACTTGACACTGAGAGTGCTTAGAACAGGATGATGGTGATCAGACTGGGTTGGAGAGTGGAGATCATGACATCACAGTTGACAGACCCTTAAGATGGGCCTTTTGGAGGCCTTAATGTGGCCCCTCACCCTACAAAGGAGACTTATGGTACAGAGAGTATAGACATTTTGCTCAACTATACAGCAGGTTGGAAGGGCAAGATCCTGGGTCTCCAGACCACCATATTGCAGTTCTTCCTTCACACCAGAGGGCACTGCACATAAGGGAGGATGATAGGCTCCTTGGAGAGGAGGAATGGGGCTCTGGAAGGATGTGGGACTTGACCAAGTAAAAAGCACTGTCAAGTGGTTAATTCTGATTCTGCCAAGAAATGAAAGAGGATGAGGTGCCCTCTCAGGACTCAACCAGCTTCAGTTGACTGAGATTTTTTCCATAACTGGTCCATGGGGTCATCTGGATTAGGAGACCAGACTAAAGAGGAACTGTAGAACAGGCGATGCCCAAAATACATGTCACAGGAGTGGAGGGCATGGAGGAGTGGGAACAAAAATTGTCTCATTTCCTGTGTGGCCTGTTTTCAGGCCCTCTGTACAAACACACCCCAATCAAATCAAAACCTTTCCAACATGCCCCACAACATACCCTTACACAGCCTTAACCACGGAGCTCCAGAGCAAATGCTGACATTCCACCACCCCCTACACACACAGATGCTCACCGACATAGGTGAACACACCTACAGGAACCCACATGAACAAACGCAGAAATGCACCCCTTAAAACACACATGTCCACCCACACGTGAACACACGCAGACACACAGACATGAAGAAACAGGCATACTCATCCAAGCCTTCATTCTGAGTAAGTTATTAAAAATGTAGACATCGCTGGCTCCCAGGGTCAATATGTTGTTTTTAAATTTAAACATGAATTTCCATTTCATTGAGCCTCCAGGGCTAACAAGATGTGCTGTGACAGGAGCAGCTAGCTGGAAAGGCATGATTGAAGAGCGAGCCAATAATGTGTGTGCACAGCCTGGGCGGGGAGGGGAGCCCCTCTGCCCAGCCCCCGCAGCCTTCTATAAGCCATGAGCAGGCAGTGAGTATCATTACTACTACTCAGCACTGAGTTCTGACCCAATTCACCAACCAACCTCACACCGAGAACAACTGAGAACCTCACACACATTGGCGCGGGGAGTGGCAGCCGCTCAGTCCAGTCAACACCTGAAAGTGGCCCTGAGGCCATCTCTGCCTCCATCATTCTCATTGGCCTTTCTCATCCCAATATTAGCAGCCAACCAAAATTTCCAAAGCTAAGAGAGCAGAGTGTGATGCAGAAGTAACATCCATTCATTCACCCGTCCATACACACATGCACTCATCTATCCATCCATTCACCCATTCATACACACATGCACCCATCCATCCACCCACCCACCCATCCACACACACGTACCCGTCCACTCAACCATTCACCCATTCATACACACATGCACCCATGCACCCACCCATCCATACACACATGCATGCATGCATCCATCCATCCATCCATCTATCCACCCATGCATGCATCCATCTGCTCACCCATCCACCCATGCATGCATGCATCCATCCATCCATCTATATTCTGTGAAAATTCAGGCCTGGACTAAGGACTGTGGAGGTGAGGGCAAGAAGAAACATGCTGTCTCTGCCCCCTGGAATCTCCACTCTTATTGGGATAAGATGTGTTTCTCATTGAACCCCAGCTGTACCCTCTGTATCCTCAGACAGCACCAGACACTCTGGTTTATAACATGCCATAAGCAGTCTCCGTCTCTGGGCTGGAAGTTCTGCAACAGAAGGTATCATATCTGTTTTGTCCAGCAATGGACATTCGGCTCCTAAGCCACAGTAGGTACTCTGTGAATCTTTGGCAAACTTGAATGGGTTAAATTCAAATCTGGACGGCTGACTCAGAGGTCTTATGTGGTTGTATTCTTCCTCATCCCCCAGCATGAAGGAGGGAAGAAAATAAAGAAAACACCACAGCAAAGAAAAGGGTGCTGAGTGGTCAGGATCTGCTCCATGGAAGAGGTGGATAGGGAGATGACCTTGCTTTTGGTATGCCAGGCGGCTGGAGGGCACAGTTACCCTCCTGCAGGAGAAACAGTGGCTAGGAGCCCCTGGACACGGGTCCTGGCTGGGAGGGAGGCACAGTTGGCACAGCTGAACTAGGCCTTGAGAGGGCCTATCTAGGCTAGCAGGGAGCTGCACCACTTCCCCATGCAGCCCGCCTCATCTCCTGCCTGCCACTGCCCTTCTCGATAAGCTGCTGAGCTGCCCATCTCTGAAGCCTGGGGAGAGCCCTGCCTGGTGCTGGCTGCTCTCTGGGTTTCAGGGAACTTTGATTAGGCTGGACTTGGTGGATTCTGTAGGATTTTAGGTATCTTGTGTGTTTTAAATGCCAGTTAATACCTAACGTTCTTCACCCATCAGAAAGTGAGAAGCAAGTAGCAGCAGTGCCCCTCATGAATAAGTCACCCCATGGCCTCACCTCCTGGAGATGGTTTGGTCAAAGCCAGACCCTATTTTTCTTGCCATGCACACACACATACACAGATACCCATGGGACCAGGTGCCACTGGCTAATGTGGGACCATGTTCCCTCACCCTCACACAGCCTCAACAATGCAGCCACATGCCCACATAAACACACACGTCTCCCACACATTGGGATGGGCTTTCCCTCTCTTCGAGACTTCTGAACTCTGAATAAATTTCAAAACTCTTCCCTTAAAAATCAGGCTATTTGGGCTGGGTATAGTGGCTTATATCTGTAATCCCAACACTTTGGGAGGCCAAGGTGGGAGGATCACTTGAGCTCAGGAGTTTGAGGCCAGCTTGGGCACATAGTGAGACCCGTCTCTACAAAAAAATACAAAAATTACCCGGGCATGGTGGCACACACCTGTAGTCCCAGCTACTCAGGAGGCTGAGGTGGGAGGATCTCGTGAGCCCAGGAGTTTGAGGCTACAGTGAGCTATGATAGTGCCACTTCACTCCAGCCTGGGTGACAGAGTGAGACCTCGTCTCAAAAAAACTCTTGGTTTCTGCCTTTGGGAAGTAGTGCCTCTCCCCATCTCTGGATCTCACGGATGCAGAACTCCAGGATCAAGGGAGCAGTGCCCCTGCAGGGCAGCTGGACCATTCATTTCCACTTCAGGCCTTGAGGCCAACAGCAGCCCAGCCCTGGCAGGGGATTTTACAGGCACATGTCCACCTCAGGCTGCTTGTGTGCCCTCCTTGCATCTGCGGTGACGGGGGTGTGCAGGCTGACTCACGCACCCTAAGTCACTTGGTCATACATGCACACAGGCATACAATATGCGATTGCTGGGCACACTCTCACCTTCACATGCCACATCCGTCTACCCCAACACACACGCCAAAAGCGTAGATGGCCTATGTGCAGAGACAGCTCTCACCAGCATGCACACTGAAGGTGGCTGGCACAGCGTGTGCAGGGATGCCCACACGCACACACGAACACACAGGCATGATGTCAAGCCCTATCGTCGGGTTTGCCAGCCCGAGGTTCTGGTAGCCCAGGTGTGGAGTGGGTGGGCCGGGGGACAGCGTGCCCACACTGGCCTGCAGCCCTGGACCTTCATGTGCCCAGGAGTGGAGGCCCAGGCCTCTGGCCCTTTAAACATCCATTTAAAGTCTCATCTCTCAAATAATTCAGCAGAGGCATCAGCCAAAAGGGCACACTCTCCTTTCCTTGTCTTCAGGAGCAGAGAAGGAAGGAGACAGGGGAGAGAGTAGATTAATTGGGCCTGGAACAGGAGCCAGGGATTGTGTAAGCCTAGGCTGCCAGGGAGGCAGGGGCGGGGGTAGGGAGAGTCCAGCTTTGCTCTTCTCCTCTTTCTGTCCTTTTCCTGTCATGCTCTCCCGAGAACCTCACACACATCGGCACGGGGAGTGGCAGCCGCTCAGTCCAGTCAACACCTGAAAGTGGCCCTGAGGCCGTCTCCGCCTCCATCATTCTCATTGGCCTTTCTCATCCCAATATTAGCAGCCAACCAAAATTCCTGAGAGAGAAGAGCTTTCAGGCTGGGCCCAGTGGGTGTGCCTGGCCCTGAGGCGCTGCATGTGAAGGGTCACTTTGTAAAGCAAACTCTGTCTGCAGTGCCCCAGGGAGCCCAGAATGGCAGAATGGCAGGTGGTTGGGCCTGGGCAGGTAAAGCATGAAACCTAAAGCAAGAAACCCATCTGTAAACAGAGCCCTGTCCCCTTGCTAGGTCTCAAGTATAGACCCAGAGTCCTGACACTTCTGTCCCCTCCCTACCATGTCCCTCAGCTCCCCCTCCTGTCTTTGTCACCTGCCAGGTTCTGTCACCCATTCTCTTCACCCCCCGCCAGGGTCTCCCTCACTCTGGACACTCCCTTCCCTGATGCAGCCCCCCACAC
This sequence comes from Homo sapiens, assembly GCF_000001405.40. Classification (NCBI taxonomy): domain Eukaryota; kingdom Metazoa; phylum Chordata; class Mammalia; order Primates; family Hominidae; genus Homo; species Homo sapiens. Next base: position 37,409,597 of record NC_000018.10, on the reverse strand, counting down.
TTGGCTTTCTGGACCTCGACAACAGGGTGCAGGCTAGGGTCTGCCTACCCACTTTTCAGAATAGCGTAGAGTAAACCAGATACACAAGGGATGAGCAGACAGATTTCAGCTCAGTGAAGAGCGTGCTTACAGCAAGGGGTGTCCCAAAACACAGCAACCTCCTCTGCAGTAACTGTCTGCCCAACCCTCCCCCACAATGAGGCATCCTTGGGGGACTGCAATACCCCCAAGATTCCTCCTAGCTCAAACATGGTGAGTTTGCCCCTCAGTAGGAAGCAGTGCATCACATCCTGAGGGGGCCCTCCCCATTGGCTGCCCCCTGGCTCCTAGTTCTCAGGCCAGTCATCAAAAGGGCAAGAGGCACCAAACCCATTCCAGGTTTTGGTCAGTCCTCCCAGAAAGCTGGTGGGAAAGTGTTTATTCATGTGGGAAATCAAATCGCCAGGGAGAGCCACATTTCCCAGCACATGAGTATGTAGGTCAGGCTCAGGGTTTCTTCCGCATGGCCACCCTTTGGGTATCTGAGGACAGTCAGCAGTCCTGGCCCCTGCCCCCACACCCTGAGCCTTCATTTGGAGTCATTCAGTCAACCCATACGTTCTAAGCACCCGGTGCGGGGGATCCCATGATGAATTGACAGACCTTTCTGCCTGCTGTCTGGAAAGGGACCCATGCAGGACTAGGACATGGCATCTGTGCTTCCTAAGACCAGAGCTAGGAGAGAGGTGGGCAGGTGGAGAGGGAGACAAACACCCCCACACACCACGGAGCAGGCGGCGATACCTGTACCCTGAAGAGCTGGGTGGTGGGACAGGACCAAAAAGAGAAGCCCGTGTTCGGGGGAGGGTGCGCCGGGTGTCCCCAGCCTGAATCCAGACTCTCAGACTTAGGAGCTGTGGCTGGGACTCAACAAAGGGCAGCTGTGAAATTCTGAGAAGAGCCAAGGGGAAAGGAGCCGAGAACTGGGTCTTCCCAACTCTGCCTCCAATTCTAGGAAACGGGAAGAATCATAAAGTGAAGTGTGATGAGGCCTTCAGATTTGCCAGACTTGTATGGAATCTCCAGGCTTCCTCCTCTCACATCCTCCTGCACCGCGCCCCCCCCCGGCACCAACCAAAGGGGGAAAAAAAAAAAAAAACCTTCTTGATTTTTCCATGTGTGTAGTCAGGGTAGCTGAGAAACAGCAGATTCTTACGTTCCTGGAAAGTTGGGTGCTTGGTCCCTTGCAGTCCTTTGAAAGATATGGTTCAGGGTCTTCCTAAGAGAAAGACAGTAGCCTCAACTCAAAGAAGGAGGCTTCCTGAAGGATGGGTACCTTGCTCATAATTCCTATCATGGATATAGAATTTTAATAAATAATCCTGCTTACTAATAAGAACAAAGGAGCCACTTGTCTTCCCCAGCCCATCAGTCTAAGAGCAGGAGACCCTGGCATGGGAGAGAGGAGGGCGGTGAGGTGGGAAAGAGGAAAGGTAGACAGAGCTAGCATCCAGTGATTCAGAGCTATTCCAAATTCCACTTTCTGCCTTCCAGCTGCATCCCAGCCGCTTCTCCTCACTAGTATTCTGTGCCAGCCAAATTTCGGTACACACAGTGTTGCGGTTTAACCAGTCCTTTTAAAAATCCTTTTTTTTCCCAAAATCAATGTAAAAATATTCTGTGGTACAGAGCAGATTTGATTAAAAAAGGAAAAGGTTGCCTGAAATATGCCCCCCAAAAATTGAGCTAATGGAAATCTCATTCATTATTTAATCTCCTGCTTATCCGAATAGGACCAGAATGGAATCCAATATGGCATGTGCAGTGTTGTCCTGGAGAGCAGACAGAAGGCAAGGAGCAGGGGAGGGAAGGACAGATGCAGACCTGCCATTTCACTTCGTATATTAAACCAGACTGCAGGCTGTGAACCAGGTTAATAACAATATTTATTGTTATTAATGCCTGAACATCCTAACGTGTGCGTTTGTATGTATGTGTGTGGGTATATGTGTGTATATATATACACATATACCCACACACATACACACACATATATATACACATATACATACATATATACACACATGTACACACCTGTACACATGCACACACACATATTTATCTGGTATCCATTCTCTTGTGTTACACTGTGATTCATAAGCTGCCACACTACTGGACTTTATTAAACACAGATAAAATTTGTCTCATCCAGCAACAGCCCATGAAGTGATGGGACCCAGGAATGGCCAGGCAGGTGCCATGTCTGCTCACTCATGCTGGGCTGGCAAAACCTGCCTCATTCTAAAAAGAGCTTGGCAGGAACTGGAGTAAATATCCAGCAGCCCTCTCCCTGGAGTGATGTTGTTGGGTAGGGACAATGTTTTCGGAGAGTTTCCCGTGTGCCCAACTTTATGTACACTGGTGCCTTTAACCCCCATAGCAGTTCTGCAGATAATATCATCCTCTCTGTCTTGTAAGGGAGGAAAGTGAGGCACAAAGATGTAAGGAAACTGGCCCAGGTCCAAAGAAGAGTAAGCAGTAGGTCTATTAGATCCTAAGGTTTGTTTTCTTTTTTCAATAAACCATGCTGTCTTTCCTGAGGTCTAACAAAGTGAGGTCTGACCTTCCACCTTTGCTTGGATGGATGATAGACACATCAGCAGCTCTCCCAGACGTTCCATTTTGTTCAGACTGGTCTCCTTCACCCGCTCCTAGACAGGCCCACCTTGAATTCCTGGCTTTCCCCATTCCCCCACTTCCCCACAACCCCATAATACCTTTCCTGGCTTTCTTCCAAAGGTCCAATTCCTCTACCTGCCCTACCCAACTTCTATTCCCTGAGGTCTAGCTGCTGAGCATCTGATGAGTACAGGGCCCTGCACTCAAAGGCTGCATATAACAGGCAACATTAGGGGTTTTCCTTTTCTTCAACCCTGGCCCACAATGGAGCAACCAGGAAAATATTTTCTTCTTTCAATGTGCTTTGTGCTTGGGTAACAAATGGGTCAGGTATATTGGGACAACAGTTGCTCAGCAAAAGGCCACCCTCCAAGTTGTCTATCTGTAGATGATTTATCATGCAGGTCCTCACTGGCCGCACTGCTCAGGTTCCCCCAAGGTCCAGCAGCACATTCACCCTCTTTTCCATTCCAGCAAGCCCATAGCGCAGGACCGTCAGCCTAAACCAGATGGATAGGGACGTATGTGGGAGGCAGAGAGACCTTTCCCGTAGAAGGCATGTTTTTAGTGAGCTATCCTGTGGGCTTATGCTGGGGAATCTCTCCTCCCTCTTCTGCAGTCCCACTGACCAAACTGAACTGGGGTGCATGTGTGGGGCTCCGAGGATAGAGATGGGATGGGTGTGTCATCCCATCTCTACTGACTGCTTTGCCTCCTTTAAAGCCAACCAGGGACAGCTTTCCTTTACTCCTCATATTTTTGAAATTCAGTTTGGGCTGCAGGGGAGTTTAAAAAAAAATAAAAATGGAGCAGGGCACCAAACACCCTATGAAACAACTCAGCGAGGCAGTTTCTCCAGCGAACCTGCGTCTTCTATCTTCTGTGACAAAAAGATTTATAGCAATTTTTTATTAAAAAAGAGAGAGAGAAAGAGAGCTGCAGATAATCAGATCTGAGGCTCAGAAATGGGAGCGTGGGGGTGTTATGCATGTAAGTTATTTTAAAATATATGTTAGGTTCGTGATGGATTTTTCCACTCCCGGCTGGAGGGGGGCCAGCCCAGCCCCCCACCACCACCCCATGCCTGGCCTGAAGTGATGGAAATGATGTGTGAAGGGGACAGACAGAGACAATGGGACCTCCCCCACTAATATCTCACAGGCACTCTCCCTCCACAGCCAAAGCCCACCGCCCTCTTCCCTCAACAGGTAGAGAGGGGACTCCTGCTTTTAGCGGGAAGAACATAGCCACAGGTTCTTAAAACTGAAAGCAATCTTAGGGACCCTCTGGTGTTGAGCTAAAGGCCTATTTTATAAATGAATTAAATGATGGTTATAGAGAGAAGGCTTCCCCTGCATTTTGGAACACAAAGATGGGCCTTGCTGGCCTTGTTGGTAAGGTGTACACATCTCTCTGCTAGTTCTCTAAATCTTCTCAGTCTCCTGCATCCCGGGGCAGAGCCCCTCTTCGAAGGAAGGGTAGAGGCAGGAAGTGGCGTGTACACCACAGAGAAAGAACTGGGCAGAGGTGGCGGGATGGTTACCCAGTCCTGAGACTGAGCAGAGCACACCTTGGGTGCAGAGATCTGAACTAGCAGAGGAAGGGGCAAGGGCAGGAGGGTGGGGGAGATGTGATCATCCCTGTGGATCATGCCCCTGCCTGAGGAAATTCCTCCCACACAGGGAGGCCCAATTCCATGGGACCTGTGGACAACACTGCCAAATGACTAGACATTCAGCTGTTAGTGAAAATGACAGGATGACAACGTGGAAGAAGTGTCTGGAAAACATGTCCTATGAGGAATAGCTGGAGGAACCAGGAATCTGAAGGAAAGGACACGGGGGGGGTTGGGGCCTGCTTTCAGGCCCAAGCCCAGCCAGCTCAGAGCAGAGAGTGGCCCCGTGGGTGAACGGCTGGGTGCAGGTGTATGATGGACTTTTTTTTGTTTTGTTTTGTTTTTTTACAAGGAATGTTTGTTTGGTGGGACAAATAGCAAAGACATTTTAGAGGGTGGGACAGAACTAATAAGAATGCTGAGGCAAGGAAAAGCATGCGACAAGGGATGGGCAGTGCTTAACCCCAAAATGAGTGCTAATGGTGGCATGCCAGCCTCCAGAGCAGATTAACAAGGAAGATGCTAGAAGGAGGGGCTTTCTGAGTGCCTTGGACCTCACTGTTAGGGCAGCCACACCTCCACACTGGTCTTGGTCACAAGGTGTACACTCTCCATCCTGGCTCTCTGCTTTCTTGGGGTGCCTCTGAATCCTCTGTGAGCCGAGCTCCCCAAGAACCAAAGTGTATGGGGTGAGAGTGCTGGAGCAGGTCGAGCCAGGTGGGCCTGGCTGGAGTGATGTCCAGGCCCAGGCACAGCCCCCATGTGAGATTCCCATGGCTTCGGGAGGGCCCTGGGCATCCAACTGTGCACTTGCCCCATCAGGCAGGGCCTGGACTCCTGTTTTCCAAGTTCCCTGCCCTGTGTCTATGCCCCAGATCCTACTCCACCACTTTGCCAGTGAGTTAATAAGCTGAAAACAAACACTTAACTCCAGAGGTGCCCTGCATGAAGGCACTCCAGGATTTGGAAATGGGGGGCCTCCTCTTCTGTGGGGTGTAGTCTGGAGACCAGAGAACTCCTCCACTATGTGACTGAGACCTTCTGCTTCCCTTTGGGTTCAAGAACCGGGCATGAGCTGAGCAGGAGCTTCAGGGGTTGGGGGATGTGCTCGAGGTCACGTGCCTCAACCTCTCCAAGTTGTAGCTGTCTTGTCTATAATGTAGGGTTAATGAACTTGCTGGCTCAGGCCTGCCCATGGGGCTGTTTGAGGAGTAACTGTGACAAGGCATGTGAAGGCCTGGCCGGGCCCCAGAGGGGAATCCGGGAATGGTGGTCAAAGATCCCACTTCAGGTGGAAGATGCTGACTGTAAAGCACCCTGAGTGCCTCCTGGACAGATGGCCTCACAGCGGGGGGCAAAGCCATGCCAAAGCCAGCCATGGGCACTGAGAGCCCTGAGGTAAGGAAGTGGACCTCTGAGAATAGGAATGAGAATTAGGGCTAAATCCAGGGGAGTCTGTGTAGCTGAGACCATCTCAGAAGAGGGTATGAGCAGCACTAGCCCAGGAGGCCCAGTGGCTCTGTCCCAGCCACAGCATCTGCATGAGCCTGCACACATCATTTCATGTGCGCTATGTAAACTCCGACACGTATCACTCACGCTTCTGCCTAGGGCCGCCCTTCTGCAAAGGGGAACACACACCTGCGCTGTCCTGCCTGTCCCACGCCCTCTCAGCCCCACCTCTAGAGGACTGCACACCGTCAGGCACAGCTGGGCCAGGCCGCACAGCAACCCGGGCCCCTGCCAGCACACACACCCACCACCCCCTCGCCACATGCTGTCACACGGAGTCACATGCAAACATGGAGTCACATGGCCCTGTCCCTCCACTCCAGCCATTTGTCCCCAGCCCTCCCTGTGGGCCTTGTGTGACTGGAGGAGGAGCACAGAGAGCCACAGGGGAGGGGTGGCCTCGCCTCCATGGAGGGTGACTCCTTGTGTTATTTTTAAACATTCCCCTCATTTGCTAAATGAGGCTTTCGCTCCCAGGCTCCCTTTGAAGCGGCTGCTCCTCTTATGGAGGGGGGCAGGGAGACAGTGGCCTGACAGATGCTTAAGAAATTATAGGCGAAACTTGCTGACTCAGGCCCGAATTATGTGCTGTCCCGGGACTGTGTTTAGTCCAATGAGGACTGCTGGCTGGCCCGCCCTCCCCCAACCCCAGCCCTCTTCCTTCTCTCTCTGCCTGTCTCCCCTCCTCGCCCCATCTCTCCCCTCACTCTCACTGTCTCAGATTAGGCATCTTTGCCACCTCCTCCTTCCCTTCCTCCCAGCCCTCCTTCCTGGGGCTGGAGAGCCTGCCCAGTGAGGGAAAAGATGCCACCCCCACGGAGCCACAAGAAGCCACATGGGGCCCTGTGCATGCCAGGACTGGGGCCTGTTCAGGCCATGCATGGAGGGTGGGGAGGGCAGAGGAAGGCTGGGGGAGAAGGGCCCAGGGAAGGCTCCTCAGAAGAGGGGTCCTTGAGCTAGGCCTGCAGGAACCTTGAACTTGTTAGGCTGTGGAAGGGCACAGGGCTGCCCAGAAGAGAAGGAACAGCCCTGGCCAGTCCCCAGGGCAGAGTAAGCTAGGTGTGGACAAGGTGGGAAGCTCTGTTATGGGGGGAGAAAGATCTTTTTGAATTTCAAAAGTTCCTTTTGGCTTGAACTTTTACTTACTCTTTGGCTTACTTTTTGTCTTTCTCTTTCACCTTTTCCACATTCAGACTCTGGCTCTTTGCTGGAATAAAGAATGACAAAGAGCTTCTACCCTCACCCTACCCCACACCTACTTTCCACCTGCCACCTCCAAGCTAGAAGGATTGAGAAGGGGCTCCCACTCAGAACACAAGGACAAGAAGAGGGGGGTCCACCCAGGCTCAAAGGGGTTAGAGAAGGGGCAGCTCCCTGGGGTCCCCCTGACCCTGGAACCCTGGAAACAGATAGGTCCATGGAGGTGAGCAGTGGTATATGTTCCAGGCAGGTGCAATAGGAGCGTTTAGGAGCAAGAGCGAGCATCCTTGGGGCCCCAATGCCTCTTCTCCCATGTGGGCAACCTGAAAGACGGATGGTAATTAAACTGGAATGCAAATTAAAGTGGTTCAGACCAAACACTTATGGATTCACCTCAGCAGCCTCCCTGCTCATCCCCAGCGGATCATGTATTCACCGCCTCAGCATGAGAAGGGGCACATCCCCTCCAGGTGGCCTCAGAAATAAAAAAGGAAGGAAGCCCAGAGGTAGAGTCCAGATGCCTGGGTTTCAAGTGAGGGAGTTGGAGGCCCAGAGAGCTGCAGTGATTTGTCCCAACTCCCCAGCAAACTGATGGCATACTCAACGTTAGGTTTTAAAGGCAGACAGCCCCAAGGAGACAGTGGGCTATAACCAGAGAGTGATGCACCTGAATAGGCAGGAAGACCTGGGGTCTGGCCCAGGCCTCCTTATGGATCATGCCAGGCCCCAGGTCAAGCCAACTCAGGGCTTGAAATGCAATATCCCTTTCTTGAGCCGAGTAACCTTGCAGCCCCTAGGGAAGTGAGAGGCCAGCCCTGTGTAAGTATGCTTTGGTGGGAAGAACGCTGGATGGTGTCCTTGTCTATCTCCCCATTCAACTATTAGCTAAAGGCTGAAGGATTTCTGGCTCATGGCTGGTGTCAGGGAAGTCTCAGATCCATGTCATGGAGTGGTAGAACATTGCCTGAGCTGGGCTCTGTGGCTCACAGGCTGGGAAGTCTTAGGCAAGCTCCTGGATGTTTCTGTGTCTTGGTTGCACTCTCAAGAGAACTGGCTCATAAGGCTGTTCTGAGGACCAAATGATTTAATGCATGGACAGCCCTTGACCTGTGCTCAGTGACCTTCAGTTAGTATTGGTCTGTAAGATGGCCGGATCACACTCTGAAAGGCACTTTCCTGAGTCCTTGCCCCACAAATGCAGAGCTCACTGCCTCTTCCATGAAGCAGTGTTGCTCATCAGGAGCCCAGGACAGGGCCTCCACACAGTAGGTGCTTGCTGAGCTGCCAGACACAGCCAACCACATGAAAGGTTTCATCAGCTGGCCTTGCAGTTCAATTTTAAAGGAGAGGATGACCTGGTGGGAGAAGGGAAGTTGCAATGAACATCTCCATGTCCGTCGCTTTCTTTTCTGAGTGAAGAAGACCTACCTACAACCATCTGGGGGTCCAGCAGAGGAGTCACTGGAGCCTGAGCATTCATCCCAGCTGCCAGTCCAGGCCCCCATCTAGGCCCTGCCTCACAGCTCTCTGGGAACCAGTAGAGCCCAGCAGAAGCAGCCAAGGAAGGACCCCCACACCTACTCTATTCTCAGAGCCAGCCCCCAGGGCCCCTGCCAGGCCCAACACTGCATCAGAAGGGCCCAGGCCCCGCTGGGATCAAGCTGTTCCCATAGTGACACACAAATCAGCCGCCCTCAGCCCTGTCATTTGCCAGAACCCAATTCATGAGCCTCTAATCAATAATTCAGGCGTCTCCATCTGTGGAAAACTCGGATTTGGCCTAATTTCTCTCATAAACAAAGAACATCATCTGCTCATAAGAGTAAAATAGACACCAGTCAAATTTCTCAAAAACTAGAGATTCCCATGAACGGCATTCATTCTGGGTCTGGGATGACAGAATCCAGCTTGCCTTTGTGAATACTGTGGGCAGGCTGGGTTGAGAACACAAAGCCTGGTGTGGGAAGCTGGACTGGGCAGTTGGTTCAATGAAGAAGAAGAGAATGTATTTTAAGTGCTCCAATATATGGTTTGAAGACCAACGGATGGACCTAACTACCAATGATTCTTCTCCGTTTACTGGAATTGGCCCTCTGATCTGTTTCTAAGTAGTATTTGCTGAAAGAACATGAATGCAACAAACACATTTCTTTGGAGATATTCTTGAGCCCAGGTGTGTCAGTCAGGCTTCTCCAGAGAAATAGAAGCTATATACACGTGTGTGTGCACATGTGTATGTATATGTGTGTGTGTACATGCATACATATATATACATACACACACATATACATATATACACACATATATAAAGGTTTATTAGAAGGAATTGGCACATGTGATTGTGGGGGCACTGGCAAGTCTGAAATCTATAGGGCAGAGCAGCAAGCTAGAAACTCTCAGGCATGAGTTGAAGCTGCAGTCTTGAGGCAGAATTTCTTCTTCCTCAAAGAAACCTCAGTTTTGCTTTTAAGGCCTTTCAACTGATTGGATGAGGTCCACCTGTATACCCTCCTTTTACTTCAAGGCAAATACTGGTAGATGTAGACTGTACACCTAGATTTGTGTTTGATTAAATAAGATGCATGCTACAGCCTAGCCAAGGTAATACATAAAACCAACAATCTCATCAGTTTGCCTCCGGGATTTGCCTTTCCCTCAGCATCTATTCTCCCAGTGGACCTAAATCAGTGAGGCTCATCTGCCTGGGTGAGAAGCGAAACATCAAGGAATGATTGAGCCAGAGCAGACCCTGGAAAGGATGTGCTTAGGGAAATTGGAGCCAAAATAACTGAATTGATTTGCCCAAGGTCACATAGCTAGTTAGATGGGCAAGCGTCTTACTGAATCAGGACCACAGTAGGCTCACCTGCCACGTGAACCAACCATTTTTGCCTGCCTGCCTCCAAGTCTAGGCAAGGTCCTGTACTACAGGTGTGCAGCTGTTACAAACCAACCCTGGTTAGTGGACAACTGGTGGGTGTATCTCAGGCACTTTGTGTTTCTGTTATTTGGACCCTTCTAGAGCGACTGTTGTTCAGCCTGTTAGTAAAAGCCCCCACAGGATACCAGGCATTGTGTTGGTGATTGTCGTAGTCCATTTTTTGCTGCTATAACAGAATACCTGAGAGTGGGTAATTTATAAATAATAGAGCCTTATTTGGCTTACAGTGGAGAGGCTGAGAAGTCCAAGGGCATGGAGCCAGCATCTGTTGAGGGCTTTCTTACTGCACCCAAGGAGGAAAAACAGAAGGGGACACAAGTGCATGAGGCAGAGAGAAAAAAGGGGGGCAAACTCATTCTTTTTATCAGGAACCCACTCTCACGGGAACATTCTAATGATAACGGCATCAATCCATTCACCATGACAGACCCCTCATGACCTAATCACCTCTTAAATGTCCCATCCCTTAATATCACAATGGCAATTAAATTTTCAGTATGAGTTTTGAAGGGGACAAACATTCAAACCACAGCAGTGATCAACAAGTATTTCTGAACAAAAAACGACTGTGAGCATCTCCTGTGCGTTATTCACCTTGGGCGCCCTATCATTTGGCACAGTGCCTACTACAATAGAAATGCTGACCTGAAAGGGGTTTCCTAGACTGAGAAGCAGTGGGCAGGCCTCACCCACAGGTGGGAAGACAATTGGCAGGACAAAGCAGTCACGTGTGAAGCATGGGCAGTTTGAAATCTATATGCACCCCCGGGATCTCTGTAAATCCTCTCAGCCACTCGAGGGGATGTAGCCACCTCCATCTTACAGTTGAAGAACCTAGGACTTGGCAGGAGAAGGGATTTGTCCAAGGTGGCTGGGTCCATGGTGCGATCTCGAGTGATCGCAACACAGTGCCCTGCCTGCTAAGCTCCACCACTCTCCGGAACCCCCACGCCTTGGAGAGAAACAAAGGCCAGAGGCCTCAAGCAGTGTCAGTGGCTGGTACGTGTCCCTGGCCCTTTCACCAACAGGCCTCCTTGGGAGGACCTCTGTGGGCCAGGGAGGAGGGTGAGATGGAGGGATGGGCTGCAGCCTTATGTCTCAGCAGAAGGCCCCTTTGACGGGCCAGTGGCCTCACTCCTGGGCCACAGCAGGAAGCCTCCTCCCACTGCCCCGAGGCTAGGATCTTCCTCAAGATCAGCAGGATGTCTGCTCCTCAAGGTCCCTCACGTGCCAGAACCACATCATGGAGCAGCTATGTCTGTGAGGCACAGTCCACGAAGGGAGATTCCTTCTCTCTAAAGGTCATTGTCCACAATAGAACAGTTCTGCTCCCGAAACCTACCCTCCCAGGACAGGACTTTCACTGTCATCCTGGCCCTCGTTTGCCCACTTTTCCAGCCCCCTCTCCCTTCTGACTCCAAACTCCAGAACTTTAGAGAAGGAAGTAATTTGGCCTGGACTATTATTGAAAGGGAATGGGGGAAGGGGTCACAGGCTATAAAAGCTCTTCTGCCTCCTTCACTCTCTCCCAACAGCAAGGGCCGGCAGCTCACTTGACACACCTGTCCTCCCTGAAGGACCTGCCCTTCACATTCCGGATGGGCTCAGGGCCCCTTTACAGCCCCACTGCCACAGCTGTTGCCACTGACCCGGGCCTGAGTGGGGAGAGACCAGAGGGAGGAGGCAGCCCTATCGTCAGGATAGAGGGTGAGAGGAGCCCCTGCTGGAAAGAGCAGAGATGACCTTGTGTTGGAACAAAGCACATCCAAGGATCCGCACCCCCTTGCCCCCGCCCACTCCACCCAGGGTCTGGGGATGGAATTCCTGGGAGGTACAGAGCTCAGATTCAGAGATTTGGGTTCGAGCCCCAGCTCCACTCTACCCCAGCTGAGACTGGACTTCTCTGATAAAAAGCCAACATACCCACCTCACAAGCTTCATGTACAGCCAGTGCTACTTACAAATATACAGTGTGCCATAAGCCAGGAGCTGGTCATCCGTCAGGCATGGTTTGCCCACCCTGGGCCTGGTTTCTGGGCAGCATGACTTGTGCAGCTGTAGAGGAAGTGGCCAGGAGTAGCTCAGAGCCCAGCCTGCCCAGCCTCCATCCCTCCCCACCCATGGACTCCCCAGGACTCCTCCATGCAGTTTAGGGATCCCAACCAATCCCTTCAATCTGCAGATGAGAAAACCAAAGCCTGGAGCTACCCAGATGGTCCTGGGTACCCAGGGCAACCCAGATGGTCCTGCCCTTGCCCAGCCCAGCTGCAGTTTAGAATGGAAACTCCTGGGGGGCAGGGATCATGGCTTTGTCTAGCCTGGCCCCAAGCCCCAGGCCTACCACAGGGCCTGGCAAATCTCCCTGAATAAATGAGGTCTGCCAAGATGCCCTGTGCATGAAAGCATCTCTTTAAATGGAGGGTGAGGGGCTGGTTGTGCAAGCACCGCAAGGAGTTCAGGGAGTCGAGAGGCAGAACCAAGCACTGAACAGCTGCTTTGTGTCTGCAGAGAGGACAGCAGCAGTCCTTATAATGTCTGGGAGGCATGAGGGTTTGTGGGGAGCTGGGGGTGACAAAGGCAGTGACATGGGCTGAGCCGCCATCCGCTCACCTCCCCCCTGGGCTCTGGAGGCCCAGTGTCCAGCTGCCACACAGGCAGGCACACCAATAGCTTGGCCAAAATGAAGACATCCAGACACAAGCCTGCACCCTCAGAGACGGAATCCTGGCTCTTGCTCCTTTAATTAAGAAAAACAAAAGATATGAGCAGGGTGAGTTTGCCTCAAACATGCTGGGGAGGTACAAAGGATAGGTTCTTGGCTTCCTCTAGGAGGGCTGTCTGGGAGGAACACACGTGGTGGCTTGGCTGTGCGGTCACTGAGACTGAGGTCATGGGTTCACACCCTACAAGGTGTGGGGGAAAGAATCCAAATCTCCTATCCCAGACTGACCCCAATCATAGACTCAGAGTGATCCTAGTTTTCTCCAGTCACCCGCCTCATCCATGCTGTCTCTTATAAGGACACTGGCAAGACCGTGCAGCTGCATTCACTCAACCAGGGCTTACTGAGCACCTACTATGTACCAAGCTTAGTGCAGAGGACACAGCTGTGAGCAATGGAAACACCTTGCTCTCACAGCGGCTCACCTCATCAGCTTTTATCCCTGACTCACTCACCGTGGTCTTTTATTTGTTTCTGTTTGTCTGTTTTTAATCCTTCTGAAAACCTATTCCCATCTACCATCTTGAGACATGTTTTCAATAGCCAAAAATTTACAGATGGAAAAAGGGCAGCACAGCTAGGACAAGAATTTGGATCTCCCATCTTGCAGCAACACATTGTTCAAGCTCTGTAGCATGTGCTGTGTGGTCACAGGCTGCACAAGAGCACTGAGGCCAGGGGCCACAGTGGCGTGTGGCTGTTGGCAAGGCAGGCAGAGGTACTTGCAACCTCACATCCACTAGCACATCCAAATGCATCTTTGCTGAGTCCTGAGAGAAATGTGACAAGTCAGAGTCTTCTTGCAGTCTTGTACTTATGGACAGAGAGAAAGAACCCACAGACTAGACAGAATCCTTAATCTGGTCGGGGACCATGGGTTGGATTTACCTAGACAGGCAAGAATGGGGAGAGTATCAGAAGGGGGGACCTATGAAGACCAAAGATGCCAAGGAGGAGTGAGTGAGACAAAATTGCCAGGGTCCATGAAGGGAGCCGAGCAAGAAGAGAGCAGGTGTGGCTTAGAGCACGGGAGTTAGATGGATCAGTCTAGCTGGATGGGGCTGGGAGGGCCTTGGATCCCAGGCTGGGGAGTTCACACCATGGGGAGCTGAGTGCCCCAAAGCCAGCCTCCTTTCTCCTCTGGCTGCCATGTGGGGGCCTCAGGACTGGGTCTGGTAATTGTGTGTGCTATTTGGAGTTCTCAGCACCTGGCAAGCCAGGCTGGCCCCCAACAACCAAGAGGTCAATTGGATTGGACTTCAGCGCCTCTACCACTTGACAGAGTCGTGCCCCCAGGCAAGAAACAAGATGACAGATTCTCTCTGTGAGATGGGGACCCTAGCATCCACCCCTCACTCACCTGACCCCTCAGGGGCTTAGTGTTTTACAAGAGGATCCCAGAGAGAACTACTGATCTCAAAATGACAAACTGCTATAGTGGACACCAAGATACTGTGGTTCCCTTCCCCTAAATCTCCAGTGAGCACCTGCTATGCATGAAGTGTGCGGCGCAGGAACGGGGAGGATACAGAGGGGTCAGCTCAGACTGCAGCTTGCAAGAGCCTGGAAGGGAGAGGAGGGAACGTGTCTGGCCTTTAACACACAGCCCAGCCCGCCGTGGGAGCAGTCATCACCCACCAAATGAAGTAGTGCAGGAGGAAATGGTGGGGGAAGCACACAAAAAAAGCATTCTCACCAGGACCGTGGGTTGTAAGTGCCACAGGAGAAGTGCAACATGACTGCAGGAGAAAGTGAGCCTCTGCCTCCCTGTCCACTAAGGCTCTGCCAGGGAGACAGTGAACATGGCATAGACGAGGTGACATGGTGAGGGGATATGTAGACAGAAATAGTGGTCGAAGCCCAGGAAGATATGGGAAACCCATGGCCACGGGCCTTGGACAGAATTTGAAGGTTGGCAGTGGACAGGTGAGACTTGGATCTGCAGGGGTGGGTGGCAGACTTACTCTGGGGACAGTGAGTGGAGGCCGGGTGGGGGGTGGGGGGCGGGTCTTGGGCATGGCAGGAAGGCTGTGGAGTGATGGCCACCAGACAGGCCTGCCAGGGAGGGAGTGATGCTGGAGCACCCACACAGCCTAGGGCCTAGGAGGTGGCCCCAGTGGCCACTGCAAGAGCAGGTCAGGAGCTGCCCTGGTCTGGGGGGAGTGGGTGGCTGACACTTGCATCCTGGAGACAGCAGACTGCTGGGTGTGGCAGGCCTCCTTCTGGACCCTTCAGTCCTCCCACCTTCTCACCCGTGTGACACCCCCCATGTCTGCAGTGGAGTGGAGGGGTGCTGGGGCTGTCGTGGGAGGGCCCTGGCATCGCCTTATGAAGACATCTGTGTCTCTAATGAAAAGTTACCCGTTGCCGGGCAGGGGAGAGACACAAATCATTAGGAATCAATTTAGCTCTGGCCAGCCATCTGCCTGGGCCTCACTTTGGGGGAGCCGGCCGCTGCCTCATCACACGCTCCACCTCCCAGCCCAGCCAGGAAGCACGCGCGGCCAGAAGGAGGCCCGGCTGCTGGACCAAGGGCAGCTCACGGCCTGCCTGGTGCCCGCATGGTATGCCCGTGGACGCCGGCCAGGTCTAAGGTCACGGCGGCTGCACGCGAGCAGGAGGGGAGAAGCCGCCCAATTCCGTCCCCCAGCTTCCTGCCTCCCGCCCCGCGTCCCTCTCCCTGCTCTGCGCTGCCCGCGCCCTCCGCCCCGCCCCTCGCGCCTGTCCAGAGTGGGAGGTGGCGGCTGCCGAGCCATCTCTCTGGCCATGGTCACAGCTCGGTTGCTATGGAGGCCGGAACCCCGCTGCCCCGCCCCCGTCGGGCCGGTCCCCGAGCATCTGCCGCGGGCCCCTCCCGCGGGTCTCGGAGCCCAGCGCCGCCCAGAGGAACGCGCCAGTTGTCGCGCGCGCCCTGCGGCCCCCGACAAGCTGGCAATTTGTTGTTGTTTGTAGAGTGCTTTTGTCATGCAAATCCCAGAGCCGACCTCTGGCGCTCCGCTCGGAGGAGGTGGGGTGTTTTTGCCTTTTTTTTTTTCCCTTAGCCTTTGCAGTTGGAATTATTGGTGTTGCTTAAAATTAAAAAAAAAAAAAAAAGCCGCGTAAAGGAATATCACTTAATTTCATTTGAGTGTAGCATTTGTCGCTGTCAAGTGTGCTCCGCACCTTCAGAGATTGCTCAGATTGGGGATGGGTTGTTAGTTAAAAGGTGAAGGAATCTGCCTAGATGGGCACCTGTCACCAAGAGAGACTCAGGTACCGGGGCTGGAGCACCAAGTCCCAACTCCAAAAGCCAGCCCCACCCAGTGTAGCCCACACCTCCTCTCCCCACCACATGCCTCTGTGGGACTTGGTCCCCTCGGGGGATGTGGGGCTGCAGGCTGCTGGCAGAGCCCTCCCTCTGTGAGCAATGAGTTCCCTGCAGGACTCCAGGCAGCCCAAACCCAGCTTTGCCCACCCAGACCTGGGCCCAAGTGTCCAAAGGGCTGCTTCTTGAAAACCTGAGCCACCCCGTCCACAAGTTCCTGAGCAGCCCCTCCTGAGGGTGAAAGTTGGGCCCCAGCCAGTGCCCTGGAGAACAACGAATGAATGACCCCTTTGTGTAAATTTACCCCATGCCCTGTTTCCATGGCTCTGAGTGGCTTTGAGCAAGTGCCAGGTACATCCCATCAGGAGGTCTGTATCTGGGGTGGGTCTTCCCCACTGGGTGCCAGGCCAAGCTGGGCACCCCTTGACCAGGAGGTAGCAGGAGGGCATCAGGGTATCCCCGAGAGGAACCAAGCCATCTCCTCAAGCCTGTACCCTGTCCCTGCAATCCATGTGTGTGTCCAACACACCGCAGTCCCTGTGTCTCTCTAACACACCGCAGTCCCTGTGTCTCTCTAACACACCGCAGTCCCTGTGTCTGTGCAACACACTATGCCTAGGCATATGCTGGTGTCAGGCCCCATGCTGGGCATGGGGCACCACAGGGAACAGACAAAAATAAAATCTGCCCCCTTGGAATGGAATGACATGGGAGAAGGGAGATAATCTACCGATAAACAATATCAATGTAGGCGCTGATAAGAGCTTTGAAGAGGATGAAGCAGATGACGGGGGAAAGGGAAGGGGCTGTTTGAGATGTGGTGTCAGGGAAGCCCCTACTGAGGTGACTTTGAGCTGAGACCTGAGGGACCACTGAAGCATGCTCAGTAGCACAACAGGCTAGTTTCTTTCTACAACAAACAAAATCCATCTGAGTTTGTGAATTGCAGAATGCTTTTTTAAGCATTTGGGTCCAATGCTTTGGGGACCAGGAATTAAATGGTCTGCTAGGGAGTGCTGCCATACTGCACTAGGTAGCATCTCTACTTTGCTTGTGGGCACAAAGGAACTTTGGAGGTGAAGGAAACAGCCTGTTGTTGGAGGGAAGGCAGAGCATGGCCTTGCAGTGAGCGCTGCCTCTTCCCCGCTCCTCTCAGCTCTGGGTTTCTAGTTCATCCGAGTGGTCAGCGGTCAGATCCAGTGTGAGGAGCACTAAGCAAGAGGCTTCACCACATCTTCTTTCACAAGCTGTGCACCTAAACATGGAGGGTTCAACAGTGCTTTCGGGGGTTGCCCCTTATGCAAAACAGATGGCCCAGTGCAAGCACAGAGCAACGCAAGCTAAAAATGGGGATGGCTGTGGGTGGCTTTCATGGAGGTACCCTGGGGTGCAACTAGGTCTTCTCTCCGTGACGGAGCCTGTCCTAGCCCCAGCTCACCAGCTCACAGCTCTTCCCCAGAACTAGCTTGTTCTTGGGGGAAAACCTTTCTTTCTCCCACTTCCCCCACCACAGTGATGAGCAGATATGGGTGTGTGAAGCTGAGTCATCGTCACAGAAGTGGAAGGGAGCAGAGGCTCTCAGCCCCCAGGGTCTCCCTGAATTCGGTTCTGGTGACCCAGTTGCAGGCATTATGGTTTACCCCTCTGGTTCTCAGCCTTGCACACTAAAAGCCACCCTGGGACCAATTGTGCCTTGGATCCAGGCTTTCAGGGTGGGGTAAGACAGGCGAAACTCCGCAGCTGAAAACGCCTGGTGCCGACTGCCTGCTCCTGTCTGCGCAGAGCACACTCACTGCAGCCTCTGAGCTGCTCGGAGCCTTATCCTAGCTGTGCCTCTCTTGTGTCCTGAATCTCCCCCCAGACACTCAGTGTCCTGCCATCTGCCCTTGGTGGCATCCTCTCTGACAATCAGAAAACAAGCTCTATGCAAGGCCCTGAGGGGATTCAGGCGAGAATTCACTACGTGGACCAGCCAGCATTTATTGAGCATGGACCCTGACCTGGTCGCCATGCCATGGGTCAGGACATCAAGACAACCAAGGGAAGGCATGGTCTGATGGGGGAGATAGACACATGAACAGATCATGGCAATGACAGAGACATGGGGTGGAGGGTGCCCAGCCCGGAAGACAGGACCACTCCAGCACAAAGACTGTTCGACCACATGGGACCTTGGCAAGTGCTACCTTGAGCCAGGAGGGCCCAGCCTGCATTCAGACCCAGCAGAGCAGGCTGCCACTGCTGCAGAGCTTCAGAGAGCAGACAGCTGCTTAGGCAAGGGATGCCAGGGTCCATTCCTGCAGGCACGGGCAAGGGTGCTGCTCCTTAGAGAGGGGCAGCTTTGCCGGGGCATGTGTCCATGTGTCCTAGATGGTTAAGAAAAGGTTTGGGGTCCCTGACCCTCTGCCCCCTCAGGAGACAAATATGAACTAAAGGCAGGGGCCTTTCACCAAGAGGCTTCTCTCCCTGCCTGCTTCTTATGCTTGCCACCTGCAGGTTGTGATTTAGGGACCCCTCCCCAGGGGGTCCATCCCTGTCCTCTCCTCCCTACGTCTCCTGTCTGGTGGCACCTCAGGCCGGCCAAACGAGACCAGACATGACTGAGGCAGGCAGCCTCCACATTCAGGGCTGCTGTGACAGCTGACAAAGTTACAAGGACGGGGACAGGAGGGAGGACGGGTGGCCCGCTCCCTGCAGCGGCTGCCCCTCTGCTCCATTCCATTAGGATTGATCAGGCTGGGTCAGGGGTCTGCTGGGCCTGCACCGGGCACCTGGAGCTTTCACGATGACTAATAGCAGTGCTGCCACTGCTGTGCCGGCCAGCAGCACTGCCCCCCCTCCCCGCCCCATCACCACCACCAGCCTTCCCGTCCACCCAGCTCTTCAGCAGGTAGTCCACCTTCAGGTGCCACCCATGCTTGGCTCTTGTTCTGGCTGCTGCTTTAATCATCCACCCATTCACTCAGTCAGCCAGTCAGTAAGTATTTACTGATTACTCCCCAGAGATTTCTGCCCAGCCCCCTGCCCCCAGCTTAATTCTGCTCACCAGCACTGTTGCCAAGCCCCCTCCACCCTAGCACATGACAGGTGCTCTCACCATCACCTGGACAGTAGGAGTGCCGCAGTCAACAGGCCATGCCTTAGCCAGCCCTGCATGCCCAGCAGAGGGAAAAAGAGGAGAAAATCCAGTAACTGCCCTGAAAGAGCTACCCTCCAGCCGGAGTGAGGAGACCCACATGCACAAAACTACTAGGAAATCCCAGCCAGGGCATGGCCAAGAGATGGCCGAAGTGACAGGCTGGGGGCTGCCACACGTGGCTCCCAGTTCTCTCATCCCCAGGGCTCTGGGAGCTGTCGGGGGCGTCCTGGAACCGAGAGGAAGAATCAAGTGGAGAAACTGACACGACACGCAGCCACACTCCTTCAGGCGCCTCCATAACCCACGCTGCAGGCTCCCATGTGGCGCACGCTCATGGACATATGCCACCTACAGCATGTGGGGAGGGGGCGTGGACAAGGTGTCCTAGAAGCCATCCTGGAGCTAGCAGGGGCAGAGGGGCCATCCCAACAGGGCTGGCTGGCAGAGAGCTGCTGTGCCTTCACTCCTGGGTGAGACAGAACAGGCTGAGGCCCCAAACCCTGCACAGAAGCAAGCCTGGAGCCCCAGAATATTCCATGGGCCCATCCCTGAAGGATCTGTGCAGCGTGAGTGAGCGTGAGGAGTCCAGACTGCTTCCTGACAGTGTCCCTGAGTGAGACAGTCGTGCATGACTCTGTGCCTGTGTGTGTTTGTGACCAGGGTGGATTCACTGTGCATGGCTTTATGTGCCAGATTCAGTGTGGGTGGGGGCAGCATTTTGCGGTATACTGGAGGCTGTGTCTATAAATTTCTGACTGTGTGCACGCTCACACTCCTGTACGTGTGACGCTCAGTGTGACAGTGAGGCTGCAGGGAGGGCAGGATGCGGTGACCATCCTCAGGGGTGTGTGTGGGTGCACGGGGGAGTGGACATCTGTCCTGTTTTCTATGCTTCCCACCTCCCCCAAGCATACCCAGAGGTCCAGCCATGGTGAGCAGACCACAGCCCAGCACCCCTCCCACACACATTTTAATCAATTTGGTGCTTTCTTGTCAAGAAGACAAGCTATTTGCTTCCTGAAGATCAGATGGTGATGGATGAAATATAGGGAATAATTAAATTAGCAGTGTAATGGTGGTGCAAGGCTCAATTAAAAAAATATTTCCATTGTCATAAAGTCTAGCCATAAATTTTAGGAGCCCTACATTCCGGTGGCCTGCAGTGCTTGGCAGCCCGACTGGCTGCCCTGTGGGTGTGGACTCTGATCTGATCTAGGGAGGCCCAGGGAAGGGCTGGGCTGCTTGAAGGAGATTGGTATCAGTAATTTGAATGTCTCACCGTGCCCCACCTGGTCCCCATCTCGTCACATCTGAGCAAGACAGCGACAGCCTGAGAGCAGCCTCTGGTGCCTGCTCCATGTTTCAGGTGCATCTCCAACTCTCAACCATAGTGACCCCTCATTTCCTCTGTGTTTCTTCTCACTTTAAGCCAACCATCAGGAACTTGGGGTGGGGGCTAACTCCCACCCTGTTTCACCAGGGCAGGACCCCAGTCTGTTCATGAGGTGCTGGGTGGTGCCTCCGAGAGCCTTCACTGGAAGCCTCAGAAAGAGCCATCAAGAGGTGCACAGGAGCACCCAGGAAGTCCCTGGTAACTAACCGATGGATGACATGGCCCAGGTCACCCTTCAGGGCACTGCAAAAGGTCTCCTGGACAAGAGGGTCCAGGGTGACAAGGGCTGAGGTGCTCCAGGCAGAAGCAGAGGGTGTCGGGGCTTAGACTGGAAGGGCATGCTCGGGAGGCATCCTCAGCATGTTCTGTGGAGGCTCTGGGAGGCCCCCTACTCCCATGTAAGTTGGACTTTTTGGCTTCTCCCTCCCCACCGCACTTATTGCAATAACTACTTCTCGTATGGCCCATTATGCTAATGAATGACAGCAGCAGACCTAGAAGGGTGTTTGCTGCTGTCTTGAGCTCATTAGTAACCGAGAAATGCAACAGGAAAGCTAGAGAGGGCATGACACCAGGTTTAACCAGGGCCAGGGCACCACTGGCCTTGGGGAGGGAGAGGAGGAAGAGGAGGAGGATGGGAGAGACTGGAGGAGGAAGACAGAGAAGAAGGAGAGAGAAGGAGGGGGGAAAGGAGGAGAAGGAGGAGGGAAGGGAGGGAAGAGGAGAAGCAAAGGGCAGAGGGAGACAGAGGAGGAGCTGGGAAAGGAGGAAGCGTCAGAGTGCAGTCAGAGGCCACAGGTGGCCTGTTTGGGGAGAAGGGACAGTATTCCCTACCCCATCTCTTCACGCAATGGTGCATGACTTCTGGCACCATTAGGACCAAGCCTGACAGATGTGCTGAGCTTGGCATTGAAGACCTCAGCCTCACCTTTCTTTTTCCCTTTAGAGAAGCCCCTCTCACACCTCAGGTGATCCCTCCTCTCTCCCCTCAATGAAACCTGCCCCAAAGGATTTACCCAAATCACACTGCGCTGTACAGTACCCTCCCCCCTCCCCCAACTCCTGCCTTCCACCGAGTGTGGCATTAAAGCAGGGACAATGACAATAAAGGCCACAGAGGGCCACAGAACCTCATCAGCTGGTGGGAAGGAGGAGGGTCTGGATGAATACTAGGGAGAAAGCTGGCTTCCCCCAGCCCCAGGCCAGGTGAGATGAGGCCCTACTTTCCTCTGTTCTGATGAGAGAGTGCAGGGGGCTCCCTGCCCTTGGCTCCTTCGCCAGGATTGGGGATGCTGTGGGCCAGCACCAAGATCTACTGGGATTACAGCTGGAAGGAGCAAAGGGTCAGACTGGAAAGCAGGACATGAAGATCTGCTCAGGATGCTGCAAAACAAAGTCCCACCCGCAGAAGGGCTGCTAGGGTACAAGGAAAAACCTGCAGCTTCAGCCAGCCCTGGACTCTTCCACCAGCCTCCTGAGGCCAGAAAAAGCCCCAGACCAGAGTCCTCAACTTTACATCGAGACTCTGGGTTTGTCCAAAGGAGTTGGAAGAAGCAACTGAATTCAGTCCTCTCGGGGTGGAGACTGGCAAGCCGGACTCAGCTGGGCCCAGCACGAGGTGGGCCCTGGATCCTGAATCTCCAGGATTGAACAACAGCCTCCCGTGAGAAGAGGGGCGCTGGAGGTCAAGGAAGCAGTTGGCTGCGTGTGGTTCTGGGTATCCAGGCCTCATCCCACCAAGGCAGAAGCCAGCCAGGGTCCCAGGGCAGGTTGTGAGGGCCCCTTGCTGCTCTGCTGGTTTGGGGAGGGAGCAAGGCCTGGCCCAGAGGCATGGGTTCAGCTTCACCATGGGGTTCAGTTGGCCCAGCCCCCCACTCGGGATGGCCCTGGTTGCCGGGAAAAGGCAGGGAGGAAGGGGCAGCACAAAGTAATGCCCAGGACAAGGAACCAGGGGAACTTGGGGGCCATCTGTCTCTTCTTACTGCTAGAATCTGTACCATGGGCAAGGATCAAAGCAAAAGCCCCACATCCTCCACTGAGGCCAGCCGGGGCTGGGGAGCCGCCTCCACAGCGCAGCAGGCTCAGCCCCGTGCGTGCCGTCTCTCTATCGCCAAGAGAGCCCCAGGACCAGTGAGAGGCACAGTCCATCATTTCTGCCTGCCAGTGGCTTCTTCTTCAGGTCACTGAGAGAGAGTACAAACTTGTCCTACAGAAGACAATAACACCTTTTTAATGCTAAGAGAATTCACAGAGCCCCACTCTGTACATACCCTGAGGTATGAGAACAAAGTGAAGAGGTGAACATGCAGTCAAGGGCTTCTTCTTTGAAACCCTAGAGAGGAAACTATTTAGGAAAAGAGAGACTATTTAGGACCATAACAGTTAAAGATTATTGAGAAAGGGACTGAATTGTACCTAGGTGTTTTTTCTTTATAGGCTTGTTTTAGAAGACTTTCCAATCTCGTTTAATGGCACCATGTTCAAGTTAATTTAATTCAATCAAAAGTTCTATTTTGACTTTTTCTAAGGATAATTAGTGGGGAAGCGTGTGTTCTCACTCTCAGTTAATGGCACCATCATCTAGACAGTCTTTGAGTCAGTACGGCTCTCCGCCTCACTCTCCTCATTCCCATCAGCTGGTTCTCCCTCAAGCTGGTTCTCCCTCAAGCTGGCCTCTCCACACAGCACTGCCTTCCCGTCTCTCCCCACGACCGCAAGGTATCCTCGCTCAGCCTCCTACCACTGTAAGCCACCACTCTCACCTTATTTCCTCCTTACTTACCTCATTCTGATGTTGCCACCTCTGTAAAGGCTTCCTCTTCATTGAGTTAATTATTCCTTTCTCTAAGCTTCCAGAACACTGTTTATTTCAACACATCACATAATAATTGTCATCCTCTTTGTACATCTGCAGGTCCACAGAGCAGACATTCTTTAGGGGGACAGCGGGGTATGTGCCTGGAATATAAGAGTAGGCAAATTAAGGTGGCAGAAGAGTGAGAAAAATCAATACATTCATTCATCATCTCCAGGTAATATGCCCAAAGCAAAAAGAATATACCAAGGTAGATTCCACCACCTGGTGGCCATATTTAGAATTGCAAGTTTAGTTTATTTGGATTAAATTAATTCTTAAATCTAAACTTTTGAAGTTTCAATAAATGTCACACTTGAGCACTATGAGTGTAGTATCTGAAAATAACAGCCTTGTCATTTCACAGACTTATATGAAGGTAAAATGTGTTAACTGATGAAAGTACTTTGGAAAATCAATAAATACATATTGAAAATAGTCCACATGTGGGGTCTCTGCCAGGTACTGTGGAGCAGAGAGCTCCCATGTAGATGGGAAAACAGGATTCGCACTTGAAACCACTAGAGAAACAAAACTGTAGGTGTGTGGCACAATATCATAGAAAAAGCATTCTGGACAGGAGGTCAGGGAGGGCTGGCTCCATGCCCAAGGCAGGGTTTGCAGAATGAATCAGGTTAGAATAAAGCCAGTAGGCAAGAGGGTATTGTGGGCTGGGGGAGGTGGAGGGGAGGGGAGACATTGGCTCAGTTAACTACTGGCCTAATTGACTACTGACTAATTGATTAACCAGGTGGCATGGACAAGCTAAGATGGGGAGAAACTACAGCCAGTAGCAACCCCTACTTCCCTTGACATGCCTATCATTGCCACCACCACGGCATTAATCTAGTTAGAGGTGATCACATTTTCTTTCTTTTCTTTCTTTCTTTTTTTTTTTTTTTTTTGAGATGGAGTCTTGCACTGTTGCCCAGGCTATAGTGCAGCAGTTTGATCTCCACTCACTGCAACCTCCGCCTCCCGAGTTCAAGCGATTCGAGATTCTCCTGCTTCAGCCTCCGGAGTAGCTGGGATTACAGGCACATGCCACCACACCCGGCTAATTTTTTATATTTTTGGTAGAGATAGGGTTTCACCATGTTGGCCAGGCTGGTCTCGAACTCCTGACCTCAAGTGATCCACCCGCCTCAGCCTCCCAAAGTGCTGGGATTACAGGCGTGAGCCACCACGCCCAGCCTAGTGATCACATTTCCTTAACAAAAAAATCAGACACACAGCCTGACAAATATAAGTGTGTATTTATGAGGACAAAGGGAGAAAAGGCTTGGAATGAGGACTGACCCAGCAAATCAGAGACGTATGGTTCCGTACTCATTAGTAAGTTTAATGAGGGATATGAGTCCACTGAGGAGGGCAGGTGGCTCTGGGACAGGCAGGACTGGCCACCTCACTGGGTGACCTGTGTGAAGAATGGGTCCTGGTCCAAGAAGGAGCAGATAAAGCAGGAGGGGCTCCTTAGCCATTCTGCTCATGAGTAAAGGAGCTCATGATGGCAAGTGGGATGACAGTAGCCACTCTGGCCAGCTGAAGTGACCCGTGATGTTCCCCATTTATTTCTCCTACCACCTTCACTTTGCTCTGCTTCCTGACACCACCACCCTCCATAGGCTAAGGCTTCTGCAGAGTCCCTTTCCTGGCAAGGCTCCCAACATGGCCCAGGGGACCTCCAGGCCAGTGTCCCAGGCCTGTGTCTACATTACATTCTGAACCTGCTGAGTCTCGGTGCTTTCCAGTTCCTCCGCTGCAGGCTGGCTTCAGTCCCTGCCCGCCCCTGTCTGGACAAGCCACAGGCCCCCAACAGGGCCCCTCTACACCCTGCCCCACCTATGTGTCCTCCCTCCCCTGTCCTCATCCCCAGTCCCTCTGCCTCCCTCCCTAGAGCGGAGGCCGGCCTGAAGACAGATATTAATGTGCAAATTAGCACAACCCGACTGGGTCCAGATTGCCACTTAGAATTTGCATATTAATAAATGTTTTTGTGACAGCATTTAGCAGCTCAGGAAGGACAGAGTGTCTCCCCTCCCCCAGCCCCATAAATGAGATAACAAGCCTGGGGAAGCCAAATTTGTCCCCCTCCCACTAGCCAACCTGTACGACTTCCTCTCGTCAATCAATCAATCCATGTATCTATCTCTCTGTCACCCCCGCATTGAGCGTCTCTGCCCAGTCTCCCAATTAGCCATGCAGGAGGCAGGACAAGCTCAGCACCGTGGGGAGCAGTGGAGGAGCCGTCAGTGCAGCAGGGTGTCTGGAAGGAGGAGGAAGAACCAGCCTCCACGCACCGCCCCCCACCCCCTCACCGCCACAACCCACAGGGCAGACATGGTGGATTTAGGGAGAATTCCTGCTTTTCCAATCGCTGAGGGTCTGCCGCCTTCCTAGCCAGCAAGGAGAGGAGCTCAGGAGTTGGCAGGGTCCCTGGACTAGCCCACCAGAGCCCTGGCCCTGTGGCTGGTCCCAGTTGTAACTTGTACAAGACACAGCACCCCTTTGGGTCTCTATTTCCTCTTCTGTAAAATAGGGTTAATACCCGACTTCCCTGCCTCACAAGACTATCATGGGAATCAAACGAGATGTGGACGTGCTTGGAAAAGAAAGGAGTGGTTTACAGATGCCACATGGCATTTGGCATGGGAGGAAAAATTCCTGGGGCTGCATATTACAGACTTCTGTATTATACATGAACCATCTGGAAATTAAGTATTATGTATAACAGAGTTTTCAGCTGGCTGAGGATTGCCTCCTTCAAGCATCAAAACTTTTAAACTTTCATTTTAACTGCTTGAAGGAAACATCCTTCTAAAATGCACCCCAAGCTCTCGGTTTCCTTATTCAGTATAAAACCAAGTTTTCCTCCTGCCCCCAGTTTGTCTCCATGCAGGGTGGCGCTGTCAGGATGCCCAGGACAGGGACAGGGCCATTTCCTGCTGCAGCACCACCCACGTCTCCCTGCTACCTTCCTGAGCCTCCTGCTTCACCCAGTGGCCGCTGCTCTGCCTGGTCTGCCAGGCCTCAGCCTTTCTCAGCGCCTCCTGGCCTGTATGATTAAATCAGTGGCTGGGTACAGTGGCTCATGCCTATAAGTAATTCCAGCACTTTGCAAGGCCAGAGGATGGCTTGAGCCCAGGAGTTGAAGACTAGCCTGGACAACATAGTGAGATCCTATCTCTACAAAAAATAATACATACATACATACATACATACATACATACATACATGTATGTACTATTACATACATAATATTGTTATGTATATAATAAAATTGTTAGAGCTGGCAAATCAGCTCTAACGATGGGAACTGGAATGACCAGGCCACCCAGGAGTAGGAGTGGGCCACACTCTATCCAGGGTCAGGGTCAGGGCGCTTACATTTCTGTGGAGGGGGGCAGGTGAGCAGCTTGTCAACATTGTTTGTAAACTGGCAGTTAATAGCCCTAGAGTGGGCTTTCTATGAGCAAAGTGCACAAGAGTTTTAATACACGGACTGTAAATATTTTACGTTTGTTGAATCAATGAAGGGATTAATAAACCCTAAGGGCCTTCATGACCTACTTCTCAGTTCTGTGTTCATTTGTGTTCTAGAGAAAAAGGCAGCCTGCTTGCTAGTTTTGTTCTGGATAGAAAAGGCATGACTCAGGCATGTGTGTACACATGCACCCATGTGTGAATTCACCACCTTTGCCTGGTGAAAGGGGTAAACAGGGGCTCTGGAAGCAGTGGGCCAGCAGGTCTGCATTCTCCAGTGCCCAGGATACATGGTGAAGAGGGAGGAGCCCCTGGTCTGGGATCATCGTACCTAAGACAGAGCCTGGTTTGGTTATGGACCTGCTGTGTGTGTGTCAGGAGGGCAGGTCTGAACCTCTCTGGACCTGTGTTTCCCATTCTCTGAAAGAGCTCCTGCTAAGAGAGGCAGAGAAGGAGAGTGGTTAGAACATGCTCAAGAGCCAAACTGCACATGCTGACTGCTGATGCCAGCTCTGTGGGCCTGGGCTAGCTGCCTATCCTCTCTGTGCCTCAGCTTTTCCATCTGTAAAATGGGATGGTAACATTCCCTGCCTCATAGTGAAGTGGAATTCTGTCAACAGAAGTCAAGCACTTAGAACAGTCAGTGCCAGCACATGATAAGCTCTAAGTAAATGTTTGCTGTTTTTACTTTTGCTTTAACTTCCCTACCAGGTCAATTTAAGGACCACCAGGTTTAACATAAAGAGTGAGCCTTTAACTCTAGTTACAACTTTCAGGCCACCTTCCCAGTCCAAGGCTCCTCCTCCCAGGCCTAGAGCACATGAAGGCCCCCTTTACAATCCCTGGGTTGTGTCTTCTTCCCTGCTTGGCTCCACTGGGCCCATCAGTAAATATTCAGTAAGACTTGCCAGTGGTAAAGCACTCAGGGTGAGACTGGGACCGCACAGGAACTTGCTAGGAATTCTCATAGATGCAGGTAGTGGGCCAAGCCAGAGGGAGAGCTGGGGCTGACAGGAATCTGAGCCTTGACCCAGAGGGCAGCAGTGAGGCATGGAGGTCTCCTTAGTCAGCAAAGCAGCTAAAGACATCCTTCAATCACAGTCTAAAAACTCCAGCATCCGAGTCCTGGCCTGGGTAGTGGGAAAGATGAGGACAAATAGAGAAAACCATCCCTGCCATCAGAGAGACCCCATTCAAATGGGGGTTTTGCCTCCTCTATCTCCCATTCTAAAGGAATGTTCATGTGAAGGAGTGTTCAGTCCCTACCCTAGGGTGCCTGCAAGGCTCCCACCTCAAGGAGCTTCCTGCCTTCCAGAGCCCCCATATAATGTGATACAAGCATCAGCATTCTGGGAGTTCAGAACTCAGAGCCAGGGGGCCTAAGTCAAGCAGAAACAGAACATGAGGGCCTCCTCCATTGCCCTTTAGAGCCCAACTTAGAGAGTACCTCCTACAGGAAGCCTTGTCTGATTTTGTGACATAATTGCCTAATAGATTGCTTACATTCTTTACTCCTACCTGGCCTCCTGCAGTCTACGACTAGACCTTATTCCAGTACTAGTGTACGGCCTGGCATCAAGCATGCCCTTGATACTTATTGTTGAGTGGATGAATGGTAGGTGGATGGATGGATGGATGGATGGATGGATGGATGGATGGATGGATGATGGTGGATGGCTGATGGTAGATGGAGGGATGATGGATGTATGCATAGAGGAATGGATGGATGGATGGTAGATGATGGATGATAGAGGAATGGATAGATGGATGGATGGTGGATGGTTGATGAATGGATACATAAGGATATATGGTGGGTAGATGATGGATGCATGGATAGAGGAATTCATGGATGAATGGAGGAATAGGTGGATGGATGGATGAATGATGGATACTGGATTGATTGATAGATGGATGGATGGATAAATGGATGGAGGAAAGGATAGAAGGATAGATGATGGATGGATGGATGGATGGATGGATGGATTCATGGAGAAATGGATAGAAGGAGAGATGTTGAATGGATGGATGGATGGATGACTGGATGGATAAATGGATAGAGGAATGGATAGAAGACTAGATGATGGATGGATGGATGGATGACTAAATCAGGGGATGGATGGATAGATGGATGGATGGATAAATGGATGAAGAAATGAATAGATGGATGAATGGTGGATGAATGGATGGATGGATAGATGGATAAATAAATGGATGGAAGAATGGATAGATGGATGGAGAATGGATGGATGATGAATGGTGGATGGATGCTGGATTAATAATGGATGCTAGGTGGAAGAATGACTGATGGTTTACTTGTAGATGGGTGGCAGGAGTACCAGAGGCCAGAGTACAGAGAAGGACGTGAGTGGGCAATTGGGCAAAGACATGAGAATGGGTTTGGGAGGAGTAGTTGGGAGAGAGAGCTTGAACATAGACCTTCAACCTGAGGCATAGGAGAGAAGACTCAGCACCACATAAGCACTGGGGAAGTTTCCCCAGAGGGACAGTGACAGATAAAGTGGGGAGTTGGGGGAGTGGTGCTTGTCAAGAAGTGGGAGGGATGGCAGCTGGTCCAAGAGGGAGGTGAGAGCAGGTGAACTTCTCTCTGCATCTGAGAAATCACAACAGCATTGGGAGTGCCAGCCTGGCACCAGTAATTCAACCTTGGGTTCAAATCAAATACAGGACAACTGGACGGGAGAGTGGAGGCACCAGCCACAAGCTGAAAGGGCCTGGCTCTGGTTCAGTGAAGAACATGGACAGAAGGTCTGGTCCTGAACACATGAGTCCCTGAAACCCATCCACCCTCTGAGTGGAAGGGTGGGTCTAAGGGTGAGGAACCCCGGAGCAGGAAAGCATCTTGGCCTCCCTCACTGAGGTTCCCTGAATATCAGATGTTTAATCCACCCCTCTGCCTCTCTCCAACACCATGCTCCATGCACACAAAATGGGGAGCTGGAGGGAGAGCAGGAGTGTGTCACCAGATCTCTCAAGCACTCTCAGGAGAACCTCTCCAGCTCTGCTCATGTTTCAGCACAAGCAGTAAGTCCTGCCCTGAGTCTGACCTTTATTCCTCTTGGTGCATTTGTGAGCAAGGAAGCAGAGGGAGCCCAGTTTGAGGTCCCAAAAGACAGTTCTCAGAATTTCTTAGAATTTTTCTAGGCTAGGGAGATATCAAAGGATTTCTCTGGCTTCCATGGGACCCCAGATCTTGCTGGCATATACAGGAGCAAAGGATAGTACCTTTTTTTTTTTTTTTTTTTTTTTTTGCTTATGGCCTCTTATTTGTGATGCCAGAGCTGGCCATTATGAAGGTGATTAAATTTAAAGACACTGCAGTAAACTCCAGCCTACAAAAGGCAGCCAGCATCATTAACACGTAATTGGAAGCTAAGCTTAATGAGGTAAGAGAGAAAAAAATAATACTCCCAATCCCTTTTAGGATGGCAGCCCACCTGAGCTTCCACACTAGCACCTCAATAGCATACCCACGCCAGGGCCAAAGGGGAAAAACAGAGTGAAGACAGCCTCTGCCTTAGGGAGTTTACTGTTTATCCCTGCTCTCATCCAATCCTCCATTCAACTAAGTGTTTCACAGCACCCACTAGGTGCCTGCCTAGGCCAGGCCCCGGGGGAGGCAGGTGAACAACTGGATGAGGCCCCAGACACCTTGCTAAGGTCTGCAGGGAGGCTCATCTCCTAGCCTAAGCAGGACAAGCAGTGCAAGCCCCCAGGTGAGGAAGAGCCAGCAGCATGGTCAGACACAGACAGGAAGACCAGGGAGGGTGGGAGCTCCTGGGAGACCTTCTGGTGAAGGGGATGTATCAGCCTTGCAGAGAACAAAAGGCTGGTTGATACCATGAAATTAGATGCTCAGGGATGCTGGCTGGCTGGAGCCCAGCCCGGCCTTCCTGCCCCCTCCCATGCTGCCCCATCCATGCTGTCCCCAGGGCCTGCTTTTGACTCGTGGGGCAGTGCACCCCCACAGCTACTCCTTCCTCTGTGAGCCTGGGCAAGCCCCACTCTGGTTGCACATGAGCCAATCAGCTCAGACCGGCTTTCCCAGCATTTGTGGGTTTTAATAAGACCCTAAAAAATAAAAGCATGGCTTACCCCCAAGTGCTCTTTCCCTTTAATTTGGGGTTTCTAATATATATGTGTTTATTTCATGGCAATGAATGCTTCCACGGGACTTGCCTGTCGCTAGTGTTGTCTGATTTATTTCCTCTCGACGCTCTAAGAAGGATGCGGTTGTTAATAACAATAATGCCGCCCATCTTACAGCACTCTCTGCTTTTCGGGGCATTTTAAAATCCATTATCCTATTTAATAGAATTGTAGACTCACAGGGAAATTGTAAAGTCGGGGGAATTTGTCCTTGGCCACCCCTATGGCCCTCTCTGTGCCTGCCCCCTCCCTGGGCTCCCTGGCCTCCCTTCTGTGGGGGTGGCCCAGCCCTGCGGAGCCACTGTCGGGCCATACCCCACCTCCTGCGACCCAAGCAACAAGCAAGGGGTGGCAGAGAAAGCACCTTCCGCTCCTGGGGTGGGCGTGGGGCGAGCAGTCCTCTCGTAGCCTCTGTCCAGGGAGTGCTGCTCTCCAGAGGAGGGGTCCACCATGGGGAAAGAACTGGGGAGAGGGTCAACCTGTGGGCAAGGTGAGTGGGAGCTGCTCTCTTTCGTGTCTTACAGTGAGGACCAGGGGTGTGACTATCTTCCCCTACCCAGCACGAGGCTCCTGGAAGCCCAGCCAGCTCTGACGTAGGGGCGCAGGGAGGAGGAGAAGGTCCCCGCTGGACTCAGGACCTCTGCTTTCCACTGCCTTAGAGGTTCTCTCCTGTTGCCTCCTCTGTGGCTCTCCTGTTCCCCCTAGTCCCCCATCTCCTTCTGAGAGCACTGCCTATCTTCCCTTTCCGCCCTTGCCCTTCCATATCCCAGAAACCCACTTTCCTCCAGTGGCATCAGCCCTGCCCCAGAACGAATGCATCCTTCCCAGCAGGGTCCAAGGGGAACCAAGCACACTCTAGAGAAGGGTCCTGCCTCTGACCCCAACCCCAAAGGCAGAGTTCGACTTGAGTAACTCAAGACATGTCCCCAGGAACACACCCGTCTTCCTGAAAGCCCAGTCGCAAGCTCCTGGTCAGAAGCCAGATCTGTGCGCATTCATTTCATGTTCTCCA
Source organism: Homo sapiens (assembly GCF_000001405.40). NCBI lineage: Eukaryota > Metazoa > Chordata > Mammalia > Primates > Hominidae > Homo > Homo sapiens. The sequence continues at coordinate 37,377,597 of NC_000018.10, read as the reverse complement.
TGTTCTCTCATCACCGTGTTCCCAGCTTCCCTCTCATTTCTAAGCCTCAGGAACGACCCCTCAGCTGGCACTAGCCCAGCCTGCCCTGCATCTGGGGCCAGAGCATTACAGTCACCCAGGGAGCTCGTGAGAAGCATCCCATGCCTGGGTCCCACAGACTGGTCTGGTTGGATTTGTCTGGGAAGGGGGATTTTCTTCCTTCTGTTTCTTTTTTCTTGTTTTTCCTTGATGCTCCCAGGAGGTTCTAAAATGCAGCCAGGGTTGGACTCCACTGAGGCAGTTTTTTGGGACATGTAGACCTCAGGGTCCTGCAGAAGCAGGAGGCCGTCCTCAGGCAGTCTTACCAGGCAGTGGACAGCCCCTGCACCTGCCAGCCCTGCTCCACCAGCCCAACCACTGCCTTCCTGCATCTCAGGATGCCTTTGTTTCCCTGGCCGCTCCCTTCTCCCTTTTTTCTCCTCACATCTCCTTTTTCTCTCTCTCCTTCTCCATTTCTTTCCACTTTTGTCTTGCCTTTTCTCTTCCTTTTTTATTTCTCCTCCTTGCTTTAGTTATCTTCCTCTGTCCTCCCTCCTCCACCTCCCCTTACCCTCTCCCCTCCACCCTCCCCTGTGCCCACTCCCCCATCCCTGGATGCTCCCTGCTGTGCCCCCTGCTGAAAGCAGACTCATTATTAACCCAGGTGTACCCAGAGGTAGGGAGGGGCTCTCCTCTGCTCTGCTTTCAAATTGAGCAGAGCTTCTCTAACAGAGCACATTGCAGAATTCATCCACTAGCATGAACTGAACTCCAGTTTACGATCCCAACCCTTGCCAGGCCAGAGGAAAACAGGACCTACCCTCCCTTGCACCCTGAAAGGTGAGCCTGGCAAGCACTGCAGGCTGCATTGTGGGGGCCCCAGGGCCTTGCCTATTTTCCACCAAGGTGAGGCCAGACCCCAAGATTCCTGCGTTCACCCAGAGCCCCACACTCCTGAGGATGATGGATTATGGCAGAACAGAAATGGAGGGGGGCCTTCCTGGGGTTCTCTCAAGCCCCCAGCACTGCAGACACGGAAGCCTTGAAGGCCAGAGGAAGACTGAGCTAGGACCAGAAGAGTAGGGGAGCACACCCAGGAGAGAGCAGAATTGCAGAAGAAAGCAAGAGGTGGGAATGGATGCAGGGTTTGCAGGGGCAGAGAAGTGGCCTGGCTGGGCTGCAGTGTCCCGGCTAGGGAGAGAAGAACACCAAGCCAGGCAGGGGCTTGGAGCGGATTACAGAAGCCTCATGTGCCAGGAGGGAGGACTAAGCTTGATCTCCTGGGGGATAGGAAGCCAGAGGAAGGTAGTTGGCCTCTTGAAAGGTAGATGGCCCAAAAGGGACATGGCCTGAAGAGGTGGGAGGCTGCCATTTGGGAAAGGGCTGGCCAGGCACTGCCCTTATTGAGAAAGGGTGAGGGCTGGTCAGGAAGAAAGAAGGTGAAGGCAGCCTGGGATGGATACTTCCAGTGCCCTCCTCATTAAGAAGCCTGGCTCTGCTCCTGACAAACCTGCCCAGGAGCCTGTGCTCAGTAAAAGAAATTGATTACTTTCCATTGCAATTAACATCTGGTCCCGGGTCACATCGTTAGGATAATTTGTTACAGGAAAAGCAAAGGAACTAGTTACCCAGTAATAAAGTTCTTGTGGACCCAATTAAAAAGGCCTCCTCCAGCCCATGGGGAGGGGCTGGAATGGGGAAGGCTCCCCAGGCCAGGGTCTGGGACCGGGGAGGACGGAGAGGGCAGTCATTAGAAGTAGATGCTTGGGGGTGGAAGAGTAGAGGAGTTGGCTGTAGCCCTAAAGGAGTTGGCTGTAGGCCGGCTGCATCCCACACACTCAGGCCTCGAGCTCCCAGAGGCCAGGTGGGCAGTGGTACAGGATACTGGTAGGAGCCAGGGCTCTAGCTCAGACTCAGTTTCACATCCTGCCTCTGCCATCTAGGGAAGCCTCTTCCTTCTCTGGGCCTCAGTTTCCCTCTCTGCAGTCTGGAAATATTAAGTTTCCATCTCACAGGGGTGGGGAGGGTTAAGTAAGCTATAGGGACCAAGCTCTTTGGACAGCATCAGCATCGGAGGTCAGGAAAAGCTGACTTTGGTGGGGTGGTTCAGGCATTTATCCCATGCCAGTGGGGGGCTCCCTAGGATGTGTCCCTGCCCCCTTGCTGAAGGAACCAGCCCTGAAGGCCCTGTGGTGACCTAGCTGCTGCCCTGGTACTGGCCCCGAGAGCCGTCCAGCCGGCGTCATCGCTTACTTCCTTTGGTGTTCTTCAACCCCATCACTGAGCACTTTTGTAAATGCCCCCCTCCCAACACACAAAGTTACCTTTGCAATTCATTTGTTTGCCAGGCAGGCAGATTTATGGCAGGTATCTGTATAAATATTTATACTCTGCGGCAAGGAGGTTTTGGAGGACGCATGAGCACACACACATGCACCCACGGGCTCTCATGCCCCCACCCCAACCTAGACACAGCTTCCCCTGCCTAGGCCAGCTGCAGCCAATGGAAAAGTGATTCTCACCCTATACACACACCCAACCTGAGGACACACATCACAGGCCAGACAGGCCGACACACCACAGGCAGACCGCACGACACAGACAGAAACACACTCATGCACACACCATGCTCCAACTGCAAGAGTGCCTGCTCACCTGGGCCCTGTCCCAGTATTGGCCCTGAACTACATGACCTCATAACCTCCTCCCACCATTTAGAGGATTGGAGGATGGGGCTGCAGCTCAAAGAGGCAGGGCCACTGGCTGGGAGTAGGAAGCCGGTAAGAAGCAGAGGGGAGATTTGAACTCAGTGCTGGGTAAGGACAATGCTTATCCACTCTGTGCCTCCCTTCCATGGGAGAAGGAACCGGGCAAGAAGGGACACGATGGTCTTCCTAAGGCTTTTCCATCAGAGACTGACTCAGAACAATGCCCCCACGTCTTCCAGAGTGCCTGGGAGTGCTCACCCTCTGTACACATGGTGGCCAGACCAGGGGAGCCCCTGCTTCTGCACACTGGCATGTCATTGTCAGTCTGCATATTGTCATTGTCAATATGCAGACCTGGCCACCCACAACAGGCAGTGAGCCTCTCAGTTGCCAGTGAAGTTACGGATCAGAGAGGAGTGGGCTCCTCAGGAGGCTTCCAGAAGGGTAGGGAATATGGATGTTCCAGCCCCAGCTGTGGAAGTTCGGAGCCGGATGTCAGAGTGGAGATGAGCTGCATGAGCCCCTGCACCAGGCAGTGAGGACCGCCCTGTGCACTGGCAAAGGGCAGCACAGACCCCAAACTCGCTGGGTGCAGGGCTCAAAGCCTCACCTCCTGATTCTACAAATTAGTCACATTGAGGCTTCAAAGGGCTGAACTAAGGAAGGGTGCATGGTGAGGTGGAGAGTGAAGAGGTGGGGACCTGCGGGGAACTTCTCTGCCCAAGCTGGGTCTGGGACACAGTAGCCACCTGTGATCTCAGTGGCTGGGCGGTGGGGTAGCCACCTTTCTGGCATGTGAATTGCTGTGGATTTCGGTAAAATGCCCACTCCAGTGCATCTCTCACCTCCTACATTATCCTTCGGATTTTTCATTTGGTGAGAGCTGATGTATGGTGACTCCTCACTCCCCAATATCATTATTCGATTAAAGCACATCTTTGAGCCAGCAACTGTAGATCATCTGGCTGCTGGGAGTCCGCAGGCAGCTTGACAGAGGCTGTGGTATTGGGAATGGGTCCTGTACCTGCCCACCTGGGCCTCTCACGTGCCTAGTGGGAGCACTCCCACGAGGGACCCCCATCCTCTGCACATTGCTGGCATGATGCCCTGCCTGGACAGCCTCCCTGGACCCTCCCCAGGCTGCTTTCCAGCCCCTCCCACTGTTAGAGTCTGAAACCTGGCAGGGAGGTTTTGGGACAGAGCCCACTCTAGACCTGGCTCGCTCTGGGCACATTACCGACCCTCCCTGTGCCAGTTTCTTAATCTGTAAAATGCAGGTCCTAAATGCTCCTCTCACATGACTGGGGTGAAGATCAAGTGGAAATACACACACCCGCTGGTCATCACTGATGCTAACCATCACCATTGCCATTAGCATGTTCTTTGTTCCAACAAAGTTCCCCAGGGAGCAGAGGCTCTGTCCTGACCATGCCCAGTGCCCCACCGTCCAGGGTCTCAGGTAGTGATGGGCCAGGATGGGCTGTTTGTGGTCAAGTCAGGTAGGTTGTATAAGAGCCTGGTCGTCCCCTCCACATCTGAAATCAGAAGGGCAGGGCTCTGGGCACATGGCTGCGCCTGTGAGACACCCTCAGTCGAGACCAGCTTGCTGATGCCCTGATTGATGGGAACCAGCAGTGAGAAAGGGCCAGTCTTCACCTGGCTCACATTGGAGCTGGCAGTGGCATGCAACAGAGAGTAGAGTCAGTGGCCCCAGCTCTGCCACCACTCACCAGGGCGGCGTCCACTCCAGCCTCAGTCTCTCTGGCTTGCCTTGGTGTCTCATCTGTAACATGGGAATCACCTTTTCCCTGCATGTCTTCCTGGCTTGTTGTGAGATGTAAGTGGAGTTACCAGGTAAAGGGAGTGTAAGGGTGTCGGTTGTTGAATGGAGTCTTCTTGGCTGAAATCTTTAATGATTGGGGCTCTTGTCCCTCCCCTGGCATATTCCTCACCCCAGCCCTCAACAGGTCACACTAATTCACATGCTAAGGCAGGACCCTGCCCCACCCAGAGAACATCCTTCTCTTTTTTTTTTTCAGGTTAATAAGTAAAAATTATTTTATTTCATTAAAAATAATCAGTATCTTATCTGGAGACTGGGTAATTATTAAACATATACCCAGTTGAGTCTCATAAGTAATAGCAAGTCATTTAAATCTATGCTGTGTTTGTTTATAAATGGTTGTTTCCATTGAAAATATATGGTTATTTTTTTCATTGTGATTTCTTGTTTTTTTATTATTATACTTTAAGTTCTAGGGTACATGTGCACAACATGCAGGTTTGTTACATATGTATACATGTGCCATTTTGGTGTGCAGTACCCATTAACTTGTCGTTTACATTAGGTATTTCTCTTAATGCTATCCTTCCCGCCTCCACCCCATCCCACGACAGGCCCCGGTGTGTGATGTTCCCTGCCCTGTGTCCAAGTGTTCTCATTGTTCAATTCCTACCTATGAGTGAGAACATACGGTGTTTGGTTTTCTGTCCTTGCGATAGTTTGCTCAGAATGATGGTTTCCAGCTTCATCCATGTCCCTACAAAGGACATGAACTCAGCCTTTGTTATGGCTGCATAGTATTCCATGGTGTATATGTGCCACATTTTCTTAATCCAGTCTATCATTGGTGGACATTTGGGTTGGTTCCAAGTCTTTGCTATTGTGAATAGTGCCGCAATAAACATACGTGTGCACGTGTCTTTATAGGAGCATGATTTATAATCCTTTGGGTATATACCCAGTAGTGGGATGGCTGGGTCAAATGGTATTTCTAGTTCTAGATCCTTGAGGAATCTCCACACTGTCTTCCACAATGGTTGAACTAGTTTACACTCCCACCAACAATGTAAAAGTAGAACATCATTCTCTTTCTAAGGCTCGGTTGTCTATGTTATTGTTCTTACAAGCTCCAACTGCACATTGAAAAGAAACCATGCACACATTAAGAAGAGTGTACTCAGAGCTGCTGAACTGCATGCATTCCCAGGCTTGTCATGTGGCCTTTCTGGCCCAAGAACCTTGTTCTTCCTGGGCCCCTGAGTCAGGCATAAGCCTCAGTCACCCTTGATACCATCCCCAGGGCCTGGGCACTGCTTAATGACTGCCCCAAGCCCTCTCTGGCTGTTTTTATTCCATCCTGGGCCAGCCCTGTGGTCACATTCACAGGGGTAGCCAAGGGCCTTGATTGCCCCCTCCCAGCTCCTGGTGGCAAGACCATGCCTCTTCTCTCCCTTTCTCAACAACGAATCAAGAAAGCCTACACTAGGAGCCTGGCATTGCTCAAAGGGCTTCTCTAGAAGCAGATCATGAGAAGCCCCACTCTTCAGTCTGAGGACATCTCTGGAAAGGAGGGATCTTTCTATCAGGAGAGGAGCTGCTACATTCCTGCAGAGAAGGCGCTGGGCAAGATGGCCACAAAGGGCTCATTTCTCCTCGAGAGTCCTTGCACATCCCCTGAGGCCAGGATCCCTGGGCTTCTGGCCAGTTATTGGTCCTAAGGACCCACAGAGCACCCTGGGGCCTTGGCCACCTGTGAACTGCTCCAGGGCTGGCACTATGAATTTTTCAGCTTGGTCCTGCCATAATCCACATTATCAATGACTTGGCTAAAGATAATGTTGGTTAGATTGACTGAATCTTCAGATGACTTAAAGCTGAGAAAAATGGTGCATCCCTTAGATGGCAGAAAAACAGTGCAACGAGATCTTAGCAGATGGACGTGATGGGTAGAATCCAACAAGACGTAGTTCAATAGGGAGAAATATGGGGTCTTTCTAAGGCTCGGGGCTGAGGATCTAAGTACAGAGGCAGGGACAGGCGAAGAACACAGCTGCTGTGCCCACGGGCAAGTGCTTCTCCTGACAGCTCAATAGGAGGCTCCAGCAGCATTTGGCTGCCCCGGATGGAATTGCACTTGAGACTGCTTGAAGACACGTGTGACATCCAGGAGGAGGTGTCAGTCACAGTCTGCTCTTTGCTGTTTCAACCAGTTCTGGGAATAATTGAAGAACTGGGTAAAAATTACACAAAAACTAAGTTCAGAGGAGAGTGGTTAGCACGCTGAAGGATTTTACATGATTGACACGTGACATTTGGTCACAGAGCCAGCATTGTGAAGCTGAGCAGGGCCAACTGCGAAAAGGGTCACTCCAGGGTGGTCCTAAGGAAAAGGCTTGTTTCTGGGGCTCGAAAAGACAACAGGAGGGCCACCTGCGGAAAGTACAAGCAGTCAGATTTTAGGCAAACATTAAAAGCATGCTACTTTTCATTGCTGTGCAAGGAGTATGTGGCCACTCTCGTGGGGTTAGATCATCATAGGCAGATAAACTGGATGCCTCAAAGCAGGGGTCACTAAGTGGGACTGTTGTCAGGATGTAGGGAGGCTGGATGGCCTCAAAGTTCCCTTGTAGAGACATCTGGGTTCTGTGATTCCTACTGGGTCTGGAGAAATGCAGGGCACCTCCAGCCTGCCATACCCCTTCTAAGTGTAATGATTCCAGTAACACCCAAGACCAAGGTGGGAAGAGTGGAGCCCTCCATTTCCGAGCAGTAGAATGGATCTATGAGTAACGTAAGCCTGGGGAAATGGCCCCCAACCAGGCAGCCATCCTCTCCTCCTTCCCCTCGGGCTCGGGAAAGCAGGACAACTAGTCCCTCAGGAGGCATAAAAGGACACTAAGGCCAGAGAACCTTTCTGGGATAGGACCTATTGGATTGGAAGCTGGGAACAGTCTGAGGGTCTCTTGCTTGCTGGATTTCTCTGTCCCTGTCCCTGTGGTTTCAGGCTGTAGGTACCTCTGCTTCAGAGGAATACTAGGCTGAGGCAAGCCAGAGGACTAGGCTGGGCTCTGAGGAGAGGGAGCAAAGGCTTTTGCAGTGTCAGCTCAGCAGAGGTGAAGAGGGGCGTTTCGGCTTTCTGCAGTTTGCACAGCCCAAGGCCCCAGAGCCAGGAGGAGACAGGCACAGCTCTCATGCAGAAGGCACAGTGCATGGGCACATTTCCTGGGCAATATCTCTTGGGATCTGTTGTGCTGGCTGGGCACAGAGAGTATGAACACAGAGATGAGCGTATGGCCTGGCCTGGCTGGAACAGAAAGTGAATGGTGTTAGAGACAGCAGTGATTCTACGAGAGTCACTGGGATCAACTGTGAATTCCAGTCCATAGGATTTAAAGTTAATTCTTTGGCACTGGGAAGCCATAGCATGTCTTTGAGCTGTTGAGTGGTGGAGTCAAGTGTAGGTGTAGCCCTATAAGCAACGAGGGCAGAGATGGTGAAACTAGAGAGGAAGGAGCAATCCCAGAGTGTCTAAAGAATTGTAAAATTATTTCAATGTGCCTGGCCCTTAAGTATACGAGGAGAGGGTGTGGACAGGATGCTGTTGAGGTTTCAGAAAACCCAGGAGCAATCCTTACATCCCTCACCCACCTGGGCAAAGGTGACATTTGGTCCCCAGAGCCACTCATAGGTTCCTCCAAAGACCCAGAGAGCCAATCCTCTAGAAGATACTGTAGCCACAGTGAATTGGGGGCAAGGAGGCACCTGGAGGCAATGACTGGGAGAGGGTTTGGGTCCCAGTAGACCCTGAGAGAGAGCCCAGCCTCCCGCTGCCCACCCCCCCACCATACACTGCAGTGTTCTGGGAGAGATAGTTATAGGTTTACATGTTCGGGTGTTGGGAGCCCCATGGTGGAGGCTGCAGATACGGAAAGGAAAAAGAGTTTTGGCCTTTTGGCTAATGGGAGGGCCTGGGGGCAGGAGGTTTCCATCTCCCTGGGGAAGCATCTCAAAATGAACCTTATTCAGGCTTGTTCCTTCCTCCCCTCCCCATTCTGGAATCCACCTTAGAGCTGCCCAAGCAAGCACTCAGCCCCCAGGAGGCCGATCCCCCGGAGGTTTGCAGTGCGCATGTGGTCATGTGTGCAGGCTTGTATGCACCAGGACCACACATCTCCCCCAAACAGGGATGCCCAGGTGTTCACCCAGGTCTTCATGTTTGCACACAAATGGTGCATGCCCACCTGCACCGCCACAGGCACAGACTGTACAGGTGTGCATGGGCAGCTCACTGGTGTGCACACGGGGCTGTTCCATAGGGACACAGGCTAGACAGACCTGGGCTCATTCACTCGTGTGGAAGGGGAGGAGGATGCTGTAGCTGCCTGCTCCTTGCACGCTGAGGTGACCCCAAACCCTGGGGTCAGGCAGGAAAAATGACTTTGCTGGCTGAAAGTGACAGAGGCTCACTGCCAACACAGAGAAGGAGGAAGTTTATGGCAGAAAATTGGATTTGAAATCAGACCAGGCCCCTGGGAAGAGGTTCAGTCAGAGACAGCAGCAGACAAGACGGGACAGGACCTTGGCATGGGCAGTGGGAGGGGAGGCCAGCCAGGAACCAAGCGGGAGGGAGACAGTGCCCTCCCTACCCCTCCCTGGGGAGCCATCAGGCCCCTGCTGTGTACATCATTGTGGGGAGGATCAAGGCGGAGGGCTGACAGGCAACAAGGGCTGAAGAGAATTCCCCCTGAGTTGTGGTCTAGAGTAGGGAGACGGGCAGGGAGGAGGGAAGGATGGGGCTGAAGAGGGAGATGGGGTCAGATGGCAGATTCCTCCACATTGTGCTCAGAGGAAACCAAAGCCTCACAAAGTTGGGCTGGGGGGCAGGGGAAGGCTGAGTTCTCGCCCGAAGGATTGATGAATACTTGAATGAATGCCTGTATCCTGGGACATATATAGTGTCACCATGCCCAGGTCTCCTCCACAGATGGAGTCACTGAGACCCAAATGACCCACAGGCTGTGTTCAGGTCGGTGCTGGAACCTGGCTCTTTATACCCAGGGCTGGTTCCCCTCCCACCTCCCTGGGCTGCACCGCACCATGCCGCCTCCTCTCAGCAAGCCCACCCTCCCCCTGACTCTGCTGGAAGATGGGCTGGGTGTGGGGGGTGTTAACACAGCCAAACAATTAACTGGAATCGCACAAAGGAAAGGTGGGGAGAGGGACACTCTTGGCAACGCAGCAGCGTTAGGAGAGATGGATGAACTTTCCCACTTCACCGGCGCCACGGAGCTGACAGTAAATATCAGAAGTAATGATATTGACTTTAAGGTATTATGGTTCCAAATGTCACTTGTGCTTTCGTTCTCTTTCTCTCTTTTAAGAAAAAAAAAAAAGAAAGAAAAGAAAAAAACACAGTCTCCCCGACCTGATTTGCATTTTTCCTTCCTCTGTTCCTCTGTTCCTACACCTGGGAAGGTAGAGACCATCCTGCACATTGCACCTTCCGGGCACCCAACACCAGATCTCATTAGGAAATTCAGCCGTGGCCTTCCTGTCCTTTTTGTCCCAAGCATCTTATGCAGGACAAGAAAGGCCTTCCCAGAGCATCCTTTCCCTCTGTCCTCCCCATCCCCACCCCTGCCCCAGCTCAGGAACCCACTGCTGCCTCCCAGGGCTGGGAGAATCAAGCAGAGACTCAGGAGCCCACAGCTCCTGGCCCCAAACGAACTGTCTCCAGTGACATCTCCCCACTCCCCCGTGTCTGCCTCCAGTCTGGCTGCTCCATCCTTCCCACCCCCTCTCTTTGACTAACACTGTTTCCTTTCTGTCCACCTGCTCCATGCTCTCCAACTCTCTCGTCACACCTCCTCCAGGTAGCCACCACCACCATCACCACCACCACCACAACCTGAGCCCTAGCTCCTCCTCTTCCTCCTGCAAACACCTTAGCACATTAACCCTGCAATGCCCCCTCCTCAGGTGCATGCTGGCCGCATAGCTTGCCAAGTTTCTTCTCCCAGATCTCACCTCTGAAGCCAGGTTAAGGCTTCTGGGATGCCAGCCTCCCCAGTCTCCCACTCCTTTTCAAGATGATCCCACAGAGCTTGGCTTTTTCAATGGTGTTTTCTGTAAATACCTCTTAAATGAGAAACCAAGAAGGGGCCACCCAGAAGAGGAGCTCCATGGGGCACGGGTAGATGGGTGGAAGCAGAGAGAAGTGAAGAGGGTGGGATGGGAGTGGAGGGCTCCACCCAGACAGGGAGGCTCTGGATGTAGTGGGAAAAATAGAAGCGTGGAATTTAGACAGGTCTGGGATTCAAATCCAGGTGTTCTGTGACCCCAAGGATGCTACTTACCCTCTCCAAGCCCAGTCTTCTTGTCTTCCAATGATAGTGGCGATGCCTCCCTCCCTGACCCTCCTTGCCTAATGGAGATCAGGGGCTTCTCATACAGATGAGAAACTCCACCTTCTCCCAGGCTCCATCTCCATGGGAACCAAGCCTCAGGTCCTACTGAGCAGGGAGAGGACCAGACAAGGGCCCCAAACCGGAGTGTGGGGAAGAATGGGGTCTGAGTCGGGCACACTGCAGCCCCTGCACCTCCCCTGACCGGATGAGCCACCCACCTCTCAGCCTCAGTGCTTTGCTTGCAAAAATGGAATAGGAGCCATCTAGTGGGACTTGTGTGAGGTTCGGAGTTGGCAAGTGGAGATGAGAAGTGAGGGCCTGGACACAGGAGAGCTGACATCTGGGTGTGACTTGAGTGTCTTTGTGGATGTTACACATAACTACAGTGACAGTGAAGACCTGGCCACACTGCTGCTCTGTGCTATAGCAGCTTTCTGGGTCTGCGCTATAGCTTTTCCAGCCCCAGCCCTACCCTGTTGAGTGCCTCGAGATCTGGTTTGGGGAAGCAGAGACCATCCTCCTCAGCATGGTGTACACAGAGAAGAACATGGTGGTAGATACCGCTTCTCCTTTGTGAACATCTCCAGTGACAGAGATCATGGCCTTTTCAAGATGCTGTATTCCATGGTCAGTCTTAAAAGCTAGAAAGTTCTTCCTTAGGCTGACCTAAAGCCTGCCTCCCTCTAAATTCCTACTGAAACTTCCAGGTCATGTTCACACAAAGGGTCAATAGGGGGCCCTTGTTCCTGATCACTCAATTGATTATTTGGGCCCATAGGCAGGATTTTACTATTGTAAAGTATGAACACTATGTCCATATTGTACTATGTCCATCATCTTTCAAGAGTTGATCTGGTGTCCGGCTGTTGCCTTAGTTTTAAATTTGCCCCATCCCAGGCCGGGTGCGGTGGTTCACACCTGTAATCCCAGCACTTTGGGAGGCCAAGGCGGGCGGATCACCTGAGGTCAGGAGTTCGAGACCAGTCTGACCAACATGGTGAAACCTGGTCTCTACTAAAAATACAAAAATTAGCCGAGTGTGGCGGTGGATGCCTGTAATCCCAACCACTCAGGAGGTTGAGGCAGGAGAATCGCTTGAACCCAGGAGGCAGAAGTTGCAGTGAGCCGAGATAGCATGATTGCACTCCAGCCTGGGTGACAGAACAAGACTCCATCTCAAAAAAAAAAAAAAAAAAAAAATTGCCCCATCCGCCTTCAGGGATCTGTGAAGAAATTCTCTCCTCTGCCTCATCCAGGTCCCACCCCAGCCCTTGGCTCCTAGCCTCAATTCACAGGGGGTGGGCGACATGCTTCTCCCTTCGAATGAGGTTTCATTATGTTCACTCCATCGGGCTTGGTAGAAGGGTATTCAGAAAGGGCTCAATCAACTCTCCATTGCCCAACTTTGAGGGTGCTTGAGACCCACACTGCTATCTTCTGTGGGCTACTCTCCTGCTCAAGAATCTGCAGCTGCTGCCTGTTGTCTTTGTGTTGAGCCTTCAAAGCCCTTGGTATTCTAGCCTTACTCTTCCTCTCCCTTTAAAGTCCCTTTTGCTCAGCATCCACCCCTTACTTCAGTAAAATCATTCTCTGCTGTTGCCCATCCTATCCTATAAATCATTCTCCCAGCAACCTCTCCCATCATTGCTATCTTCCCAAATCTTCCTCCTCCTTTAAGACCCAGCCAGATTCTCACCACCCCAGGAGACTTCTTGTAACTGCCCTGGTCCCTGCTGACCTTCCGTCTCTCCTACCTCCTCTAGCACCCGTTGTCTGCCCGTCTTGAGCTCCATAGTCACTGCTACAGCCTTCCCTGACCCTCCTTCCAGTCTACAGAGGGCAGAGGTTCTGTCTTCTGTTCTTTCTATTTTCCCATACCCCATCACTGAACTGCATAGAAATCATTCATATTTAGCTTTGGAATACCTTATGATGAGAGCATTTGAGTATGGTTCTACTTATAAGCAGTCTGTTTCTCTTCCTAATTCTCAGTTCTTTAGGACTAACCAGAAAAGACTGGGCAAATCCTCTCCATGGACTGAGCAGACACCTGGGCCTGGTGGATAGTATGCACTGCTGAGTTCGGGGTCCCCAGGGAGATGGAGCCCCAAGAGAAACCCCATCCAGGCTCATGATTGCAGACCACAGCCATGCCTCTAGACCACAGCCTGGAGCCTGGAGCCCCAGTGCTGGATCCTCAAATTACTGTCTTGGGATCCTTGTGTTCCATGCTGTCTTCCTCAGCCCTGGCCTGAGTGCCTGACATTCCAGCATGTGTTCTAGAGCCCAGGCTGGGAATGGGGCCAATTCCTGAAGTGGCTGCCAGGGAGAAGTGAAAGGACACTTGTCATTTCTCCTGCCCCGGGGAAAGGACCTTGGGTTGAGAAACAGCAAAAACCAAGAACATTATGTCTGTAAAGAAGCTGGTGGTAAGGGGAGAGGAGAGACGGGTGCAGGAAGGAGGGAAGGAGGCCAGCAAGGGAAGGGGCACATGCACCCACTGACTGCTCCCCAAGCCTAAGTGCAAACAGAAGCTCCCATCGTGCCTCATTGGAAATCCCCTGGAAACATTCCCATTTAAAGGAATCTGAGGACAAGGTATTGCATAGAACAAAGACCTCCACCAGGCAAAGAGGCTGTGCCCCTATCCCTTTTTCAGGCCTCTCCTCAGAGGGCCCCTGGGTCTTAGAAGCAATAGGTTCCTGGAGACACAGTGACAGATGTGGTCCCCACCTGTCAGTCCACACCACTAGCCGCCTCACTGCAGACAGATGGGTGCATCAAGGACCAGGCAGAGGAGGCCAGAGAGTACCCAGGGTCCTGAGCATAAGACAGGGGCTGGAGTGGGGCAGAGAAAGGCACAGATGTGGGAGGGAGGGGCACGTGCATAAAGGGGACCAGGCACTGTCCAGGGGGCGTGCACAAAGATTCAGCCCACTGCAGGATAGCAAGCTCAGAGCCTGCATCCCAGTTATGAAGAAGCCATGCTAAATAACATGCCTTGATTAACCAAGGATCATTCAGGTCACTGAAAACCCATACCCTATGACACCAAAATCTTACCATTCTTTCTATCATCCTCCTGTAAGTAAGGTGGCTGGCAGCCAACAAGTTCTACTTCTACTAGCATAACTCTCTGGTAACGTCTGCCACCTGCCACCCCTCATTGTGTCCCGATTTTGTGTGCTAGGACCACACAGCATCAATAGAGTTAGAATTCTGCCTAAAGTAAGAGTTGTAAGGCTCTAAGAGAAGGCCTGAGAAGTCTCTCACGTGAAGAATGTTTGTACTTATTTTCATCATGTTCATTTTGGATACCTGGAAAAATGTTTCCTCCTTTCCTATTTGTTGTTTGTGTCCTGGTAGGTGATAAATTTCTGTACATGAAAATATTGCCTTGATGGGAAGTTCTCTTCCTTTGTCGGGAGGCTACTAATGGGATTTTTTTGAGCATGAAAGCCTACTCAGCACCTCCTAACCTCCCCCACCCTCGTCCCCTCCCCACACAGCCCCCAAGACCCTCCCAGCAGACCCTGTAGTGCACCAGGAGGGTCTTTGCTCTGGTGGCTGCTCAGCCAGGCTCCTGGGGTGAATTCTCTTCAGGGGTGTGCCCAAGACAGAGAGGGAGAAGAGAGAGTGGGAGAAATGAGTTTCAGGGAGAATCAGAGAAGAAAAGCAAGGAAGAAACCAGAAGAATCTAGAGAGACCCTACTGTGTGCCAGGGTCCTTCCTGTTATCTCCTGAGGGGCCTGAGAGGGAATAGCATCTCTCTGGTCCAGACCTAGAAGCTGCCCGAACCAACACCTGACCACCTGACCCCTGAACTGAGGTGTGCAAACGTGTAGAGCAGATTTGTCAGAATGAGATGTGAGGGAGGCCCTGGAAGGCAGCAGATCAGCAGGGAGAGCCGAGGTGAGAGCAGGTGACTGGCAAGAGAGGGAGAGAAAGGCCACAGTTGACACAGGATGGGGAGGAAGGTTCAGAGTTCAGCGCGGGCAGGGCAGGGCAGCCAGCGGGTGCCCCAGTGGCCTGTTCGAGCTAGGGTACCCATGGAGAAGTCCAGAGCAAGCCTGCTCCCCAGGCTGCAGCAGCCCCGTGACCCTCCCTGTGTCCTGGCAGAAGGGTGCCCAGCCCGGCAGAGTCTGCACTGTGCTCTCTGACCACACCCAGCCCGTGCCCCAGCCCCCCAACCCTGTCCTCGTCCCGCTTTGTCCTAGGAGCCCCACAGCCGGCCAGCCCCATGCCTGGAGCTAACAGGGCTGCAGAATCGCCAATCCCAGAAGAGATGGGGCTGCCTCCCAGGCTTGGCCTTGACCTTCGGCTGCCGCCGGGGAGTGATGCGTCCGCAACCCTGACTTGATTAACATTTAAATGCCATTTGGTAAGAGGAGGAGGAGGAGCGGGGCTGGAACAAACAAACCTCAGAGCTAGAGCTGGAGCTGGAGCTGGAGCTAATTACTGGTTAGGGCACCTGGGCTGAGGAGCCTGCACCTCAGACGCCAAGTTGAAGATCTGTACTTGTCCCTGGGGGTCAGGGTGACTGCAGGGCTGGGGATGTGGCCAGGCCTCCTCCCCTCATCTGCCCTGGGCCCTTTGCTCATTTCACCAAGACTGAGGGACAGCCTCCATCAGCACGGGCCGGACCCCAGGACCCAGGTGAAGGGGACCACAGGGCTCCTCTGACCGTCCGCTTCCCACTCCAGCAGCCTCTTGGCCTGGCCTCAGTGCCCCTGGGTACCCTCTGAAGCTTCTTTTGGTCTTCCCTCCTGCCTTTCTCTTCCCGGTGCTCTCAAGCGCTGGGAAGGAATCCCCCGCCCCCCTCCCTAATGCCTCCCCAGCAGGGGCTGCCACTAGAATGGCTCTAATGGGCCAGGTTGCTCCCCCGGCTGGGCATCTCCGAGGGTAGTCTTCCCAATGAGGCTGGAGCAAAGGCTTTAAAAGCCACTTAAAACATCCTTGATGAGCAGGAGTGACCCCTTAGGAGGGAAAGAGGCGGGAATAAAGCTGAAGGGAGCTGCAGGGCTAGTCCGCTTCCCCACCTCCACACTTGGGTGGGGCCCAGGCACTGCTCCAGGCCACACCCTGGAGCTGAGTAGGGGTGCAACTGTAAACGAGGCAGCTAATTTTGTTAACAGCCAAGACTCTCGATTTGCATATTCAGGAGGAGTGCTGCCTTTGGAAGTCGTTAACACAAAAGTCTAAATAACTTCGCTAATGGGGCAGCTGCATGCGGTTACCCCAGGCTTGCCAGCCTGGCCAGCCTGCCAAACCCCACCCCAGCTTCCCTGGAGGAACAGGAACCCGTCAGGCAGCTGGATGCATTGGACGAGAGCTACGGTTAGCTGGTGAGCCACAGGCACAACCAAAAACCCCATTTAGCGACTTTAATCCTGGTGCGTCTTTAACTCTCCACACCCAAGTTTAGCTCTTGGTTTAACTCTGCCCTTTGGGTTGATATGTTTGCTGAGCCAGATCCAGGGCAGAAAATGCAACACTTGCAAAGATCAACACCCTTGTGGAAACCCTAAAGTACCTGTACAAATGACAACTGGCTTTCCTGTATGAATGGCCTTCACAAGCAGAATTGTCAAGGCTTAATGTATGTCCAGCATTGCTGGGGGCCCCAACATGAGTGGGGAGGGGCATGGCTGCTAAAAGTAACTAGAGTTTAATGAACACCTACTGTGGGCCATACCTGTGCTAGGTCTTGTTTTATAACATGTGCCTTCCTTGATCCTGACAACCCCACAAAGACAAAGATAACAGGCTCATATGTAAATAAACCCCACTTTGGAGACCCAGCAAGGGTGAGGGATTTTGTCGCAATCACATAGCTCCACGCATTAGAACTGAGATTCAGTAATGGGCGTGTCTGGCTACAAATCCCAAGCAGTTCCCCCTCTGTCCCACTGGTGGTCCTCCTGAACTCACCCACACATCTGCAGATGCCTGTACAGAACCCAAATATCAAGCCAGCAGAGGAGCCTTCCCTGCCCAGAAGAAGCCTGCAGGCATGAAGAGTATAGCCCTGCAACGAGACTGCCTGCCTCCAGACAGGCTCTGAGCAGACCAGTGCATAGCTTCGGACAAGTGATTTCACCTATCTGGGCCTCTGTTTCCTCATCTGTCCTCATTTTGGGGATGATTTCAGTAGTACTGCCCTGCTTGTCATGTGAAGGGCGAGAAGGGAGCTTGGCACACAGTAAGTGCTCACTCGTGTTATTAACTGGGGATCCCCCCACTCAGGGGTCCACTTGAAGGGCTCTGCAGAAGGCCTTGCTCACAGGTTGTGCTCAGCAGGCTGGTTCCTGTGCAGCCGGTGGGTGCCAGTGTCAGGGGAGGTCCCTGGCCCAGCAGTGATAAAGTGGTGCTTGCCCAGAGCCCTCAGGTCTCTGGGGCCCTCTGAGACTCCATCCCTGGATCAGATGTTTAGTGTCCATGGTGGTGGTGGCCAGAGATTGCAAAGAGGACTTCAGCAGGCAAAGCTGAGCAACCAGAAACAGGCAGCTGCAGGTTAAAAGGCAACAAATGCCCGGCATGGTGGCTCATGCCTGCAATCCCAGCACTTTGGGAGGCCGAGGCGGGTGGATTGCCTGAGGTCAGGAGTTCGAGACCAGTCTGGCCAACATGGTGAAACCCTGTCTCTACTAAAAATACAAAAAAATTTAGCTGGGCATGGTAGTGTATGCCTGTAATCCCAGCTACTTGGGAGGCTGAAGCAGGGGAATTGCTTGAACTGGGGAAGTGGAGGTTGCAGTGAGCCGAGATTGCTCCACTGCACTCCAGCCTGGGCAACAGAGCAAGCAAGATTCCATCTCCAGAAAAAAAAAAGAAAGCCCAGGCATGGTGACTCATGCCTGTAATCCCAGCACTTTAGGAGGCTGAGGTGGGCGGACCACGAGGTCAGGAGATTGAGACCATCCTGGCTAACAGGGTGAAACCCTTTCTCTACTAAAAATACAAAAATTAGCTGGGCATGTTGGCACGTGCCTGTAGTCCCAGCTACTTAGGAGGCTGAGACAGGAGAATGGCAACAACTTCCCGAGCACAGAGGGCTCATGCTTATAATTCCAGCACTCTGGGAGGCCAAGGCATGAGGATCGTTTGAGGCCAGGAGTCTAGGAGTGTAAGACCAGCCTAGGCAACATAGCGAGACCCTGTCTCTACAAAATATTAAAAATTAGCCAGGCCTGGTGGTGCGCAGCCCAGCTATTTGGGAGGCTGTGGAGGGAGGATCATTTGAGTCTAGGAGTTTGAGACTACAGTGAGCTATAATCCCGCCACTGCACTCCAGCCTGGGTGACAGAGTGAGACCCTTAAAAAATAAATAACTAAAAAGGCAACAAATGATGGCTCTGCTGGAATCCAGATGGCCCAGCACTGCTCAGCTCCACACCCAGAGGTGACCACTGACCAGCCCTTCTTTGGCACCTCTGAGATCCTCTCACATGGGCTGAGTCTTCAGGGTGCCTGACCTGCCTTTTGCTTATTCCTTTGCCAGGCTCCCTTGTCGCCCTTCACATGACATCACCCTTTCACTTACTTGACAGGTTTGTGTTTTGTTTTGTTTTGTTTTGTTTTTTTTGGAGACAGTCTTGCTGTGTCGCCCAGGCTGGAGTACAGTGGGGCGATCTTGGCTCACTACAACCTCCACCTCCTGAGTTCAAGCAATTCTGCCTCAGCCTCCCAAGTAGCTGGGATTACAGGTACATGCTACCATGCCAGCTAATTTTTGTATTTTTAGTAGAGATGGGGTTTCACCATGTTGGCCAGGCTGGTCTCGAACTCCTGACCTCATGATCCACCTACCTCAGCTTCCCGAAGTGCTAGGATTACAGGCATGAACCACCCATGCCCAGCCTCTTGACAGGTCTTTGCTGAACTCCTACTCTGTGTCAGGCCACAGGGAACAAGTTCGGCACACTGTGTGCCCTCTTGGAGCCTGCAGTCCTGCAACCTGAGGGAGGGACTACAGCCTACGCGCTTTCATGCATGCGCCTGCATCCTGCTCCTGTGCCAACCTTGAGCAAAGATTCACAGCGAGGTGTAAAGCACCTGGACTAATTCAGGAGAACACAAACAGGTCAGGGTGGCCTTGTCTTGGGGGTACCTGCCTCCCTGCCAGCCTTCCCCAGCCCCCTACCTATCCATGTCCTGCTGTAGCCATATTGCACACAATGTCTTATCCTCTGTATTAGTCCGTTTTCACGCTGCTGATAAAGAGACATCTGAGCCTGGGCAATTTACAAAGGAAAGTATAATGGAGCACTCACAGTTCCACGTGGCTGGGGAAGCCTCACAATCATGGCGGAAGGCAAGGCGAAGCAAGTCACATCTTTTGCGGATGGCAGCAGGCAAAGAGAGAGCTGTGCAGAAAAACTCCCGTTTTTAAAACTGCCAGATCTTGTGAGACTTACTCACTATCATGAGAACAGCACAGGAATGACTTGCCCGCATGATTCAATTACCTCCCACCGGGTCCCTCCCACAACATGTGGGAATTCAAGGTGAGATTTGGGTGGGGACACAGCCAAACCATATCATTCCACCCCGGCCCCTCCCAAATCTTAGGTCCTCACATTTCAAAACCGATCATGTCTTCCCAACAGTCCCCCAAAGTCTTAACTCATTTCAGCATTAACTCAAAAGCCCACAGTCCAGAGTCTCACCTGAGACAAGGCAAGTCCCTTTCGCCTGTGAGCCTGTAAAATCAAAGGCAAGCTAGCTACTTCCTAAATACAGTGGGGGTACAGGCGCTGGGTAGATACAGCCATTCCAAATGGGAGAAATTGGCCAAAACAAAAGTGCTAAAGGCCCCACACAAGTCCGAAATCCAGTGGGACAGTCAAATCTTAGAGCTCCAAAATGATCGCCTTTGACTCCATGTCTCACATCCAGGTCATGCTGATGCAAGAGGTAGGTTTCCATGGTCTTGGGCAGCTCCACCCCTGTGGCTTTGCAGGGTACAGCCTCCCTTCCAGCTGCTTTCACAGGCTGGTGTTGAGTGTCTGTGGCTTTTCCAGGCACACTATGCAAGCTGTTGGTGGATCTACCTTTCTGGGGTCTGGAAGATAGTGGCCTTCTTCTCACAGCTTCACTAGGCAGTGCCCCAGTAGGGATTCTCTGTGGAGGCTCCGACTCCACATTTCCCTTCTGCACTGCCCTAGCAGAGGTTCTCCATGAGGACCCCATCCCTACAGCAAACTTCCGCCTGGGCATCCACGCGTTTCCATACATCTTCTGAAATCTAGGCAGAGGTTTCCAAACCTCAATTCTTGACTTCTGTGTACTCACAGGCTCAGCACCACGTGGAAGCTCCAAGGCTTGAGGTTTGCACCCTCTGAAGCCACAGCCCGAGCTCTACGCTGGCCCCTTTCAGCCCCAGCTGGAGCAGCTAGGATGCAGGGTGGGGACACAGCCAAACCATATCATCCTCCTTGCCTTTTCGCTTGCTGTTCCCTCTACCTGGAATGTTCTCAGACCTTCACAGGCCTGCGGGCTCCAAGCTCAAACCTCAGCTCCTCTGGGAACTTTCTCTGATGCTGCTAGACCCTCTTCCAAGTCTCCCACTGGGCTTTGTACAAACCTATGTAGTCCCCATGGGCATTTCAGGCTAAAAGGCATGGGTGTGACCCAGTGAAGCGAGTGGTGGAACCTGGGGCAGGTGGATGAATGGGTAGGAGAGGGGCTGGAGGCAGCTTGGGCCTGGGATCCTGCAAAAGGGGCAGAGTACAGGCCTCTGGGAGAGGAAGAGTGTAGGAAAAAGTCCCAGGGGAGGCTGCAGAGAAGTGTGGGGCATGGACACCTGAGGCTAAGCAAGGTGCCGAGTGCCTGGCATAAACCCAGGCTGCCGGTAGAGAGATCTGGGTCAGGGTCAGAGAGACCAAGGTCAGAAGGCAGCCTAGCTGAGGACTCAGGCAAGTTACTGAAGCTCGCTGCATGCCATGTGCCTTTCCTTTAATAGCTTTTGGGATTATTGAGAGGATGTGGCCAAAAGCAGATGTCAAGCATAGCCACTGCCAGCCCAGGAGGGCCCCTTCGTTGATGTTGGTCCCTGCAAACACTGGGGTCCTCCTAGTGCCCAGGGACCTGAATCCACTTCTCCCTCTTTACTCTCTGCACCTCTGACCTCCCCAGCACCTCTAACCTCCCCAGCACCTCTGGCCTTCCCAGCACCAATGGCCTTCCCAGCACCTCTGACCTTCCCAGCACCTTTGACCTTCCCAGCACCTCTGGCCTTTCCAGCACCTCTTTCATGTCCTTGTCTCTTTCTGGGCTGCCATTCCACACCCAACCGTTCTCTCTTTCTTTTCTGCCCCCCACCCTTTTGTCACTCTCCCTTCAATTACTGTAACACAGAATAGAAGAATATTTTATTTGGTGTCTTTATTAAATCAAGTTTTATGTTCACTGTTTTTCATTTTAAAAGCGGATGAGTGCCACATACTATTTTTTCTTATTAAAAAGCAAAAACTCAACTAAGTGGCTTTGATGGCCCCATGGTGGTTCTGTCCATTGGTCAGTGGTTCCTAATAGAAAATGGAAAGGTGTGGGTATTCTCCTTGGCCACTGGACTGTCACCTGAATCAGAAAATAAACGGCCTCAGTGCACCCATACTACCATTTCCAGAGAGACCCTGGGGCCAGGCCAGGGCTGGGCTGGGCTGGGCTGTGCTGGGCTGAGTGCCTGTGGCTGACGAAGACAGACTGCAGTGATGGCTCAGAACAGATGCCTCCAGGGCATTCCGAGGCCCCATCTCATGTAGGTATCCCCACTGCAGCTCCCTAGCAGAGGCCTGCTGAGTCTTGGCTCCTGGCTGGTTTGACTCCAAAGGGCAGTGGCACAGAGCCCAGGGAAGCCAGTTTTGGAGGTATGGCTGAGTAAAGGTCTCAGAAACCACCTCCTCCAGGGAGACTGCCTGGCCTGGTCACCCACTCTTCATCATGGCACTCTCTCTCTTCAGGTCTGTGTTTTCTTTCTTTTGTTTTTTGGAGAGGTGGGGTGGGTGGGGATGGAGTCTCACTCTGTCGCCCAGGCTGGAGTACAGTGGTGTGATCTCGGCTCACTGCAACCTCTGCTTCCCGGGTTCAAGCGATTCTCCTGCCTCAGCCTCCCGTGTAGCTGGGATTACAGGTATGCACCCCTGCGCCCAGCTAATTTTTGTGTTTTTAGTAGAGACAGGGCTTCTCCATGTTGGCCAGGCTGGTCTCAAACTCCTGACCTCAAGTGATCCACCTGCCTCAGCCTCCCAAAGTTCTGGGATTACAGACGTTAGCCACTGCACCAGGCCAGGTCTGTTTTCAGTTTAAAGTTTATAGCTTTCCATGTTACACCACATGTACCTGCACACACAGAGATATACACTCAATACCACATGCATTCCTGGACATAATCAGGCAATCTCATCTTCTCAAACATATTCACATGTGCACACACTCACAGATGTACAGACATCAGTAACAAGGAGCACATTCACAGACACAACTCTATGTCCTGTATGTGCACACCTTACATCCCCAAGCAGGCTCACACTGTCTCTCTCCCAGAGTCACATACAGATTCCATCGTGTCTAGACACAAAATCAAGCATTTGCAGGCACAGGAACACAAATGCACATGCGTGTACACATATACACACATGCACATATGCACAGTAGGCACACACGTGATCAACTTCATACCCTCAGAGCCCTGCTCTCAATGTCTGGAGAAAGAGCTGCTGAAAACCAAAGGCTTCTTCCTTATGGAAATATCTCTCTCCATAGGCAGAGGCCTCACTGAGGCCTAAGTGCTACTTCCCTGGCTCCCACCACAAACCAGAATTACCAAAATGATCTGAACAGCAGGGTGAGCATTTAGAACTTTTGCAAACAGGTTCATCAATGGCTCCTTGCGGGGCAGGAAGGCTGGAGAGAAGGCATGGTGGGAAGGCCTAGAGGGCCCTTTTCCTCCTGAAGTCCCCCATCCTGGGCCTCTGCTCACCCCAGAGTGCACCCACCTCTCCTGCAAGCCACAGTGTAAGGAGTCAGGGGAGCAGAAGCCAACGTGGCACCACCCCAACCCCAAAGGGCTCCAATTTTAGAGCCTGGTCCCAAATTCAAAAGCGTTTGCTGAGAGAATACATTTTTACCTACCTACGGGAACCAGAATGTTTTCAAGTTCACATTTGTATGCAGCCGAGCATGGGTCTGTGGAAGAAATTCCTTGGCCTTGTACTCACAGAGGTGGCTCTCAGTTCTCCCAGGCACCCCAGATTGGGACAGAAAAGCCCAGGCCCTCTGCGCCCCCCACCAGTCCCCACAATCAGAAGCATGGGCTTCATTTCCCCCAGCAATGAACTTGGAGGTCTGACAGCACTGGAGCAAGGCTGAGCTTGTTTTCCCTTACTCTGCATGGCCCTGGAAGGTCACTCACCTAGACTTAGTTTGGCCATCTGTAAAATGGGGATAACGGTGCTTCCTCATGCAGCTGTTGGGAAGGGAAGTGAGCTCCTGGCACACTCCCTAGAACACAGCAGGTGCTCAGCATAGTTCACTTCCTCCCCTAAGGGCCCAAGTCCTAAGGGAAAAAAGTAAAAACTCACATCTCCGGCTCTGACCTTTGTCCTAAGAACTGGTCCCCCCACAGGCCAGGCGCAGTGGCTCACACCTGTAATCCCAGCACTTTGGGAGGCCGAGGCGGGCAGATCACGAAGTCAGGAGATAGAGACCATCCTGGCTAACACGGTGAAACACCGTCTCTACTAAAAATACAAAAAATTAGCTGGGCGTGTGGTGAGTGCCTGTAGTCCCAGCTACTTGGGAGGCTGAGGCAGGAGGATGGCGGGAACCCAGGAGGTGGAGCTGGCAGTGAGCCGAGATCACGCCACTGCACTCTAGCCTGGGTGACTCCATCTCAAAAAAAAAAAAAAAAAGAAAGAACTGCCCCCCCCGCCCCCACCAGCCCACTGGTCTCTTTGGCATTTCTACCTGAAGTCTGGGCAGGGTTAAAGGTAAACTCATCATTCCCCCTCATCCCCAGTCCCCCACCTTTCCCCCAGCCCCACCTAACATCCTTATTACTGTCAAAAGCATCACTGTCATGGAATCTTCAAGTCCCCTTGAACGGCTCCTGGTCTCTCCTGCTTGCTGACCCAAGTCCCCACAGTTCTTCCCCCATGCCCTATTGCTGCCAGCTGCCTCCAAGCCCTTTGCAGGATGTTCCAATTGGTTCTCCCAGCTCCACACCAACCTCCCCTTCCCCCACATCCACTGCTCTCCTCAGCACCCAAGCCATCACCTCAGACCCTTCCACAGGGGCCAGCCCCGTCACTCCATTGCTGACCCCTGGGATTGCTGAATCTGGCCTCACTGGAAAGTTTAACTATAAAACCATATGCCCAGTTGAGCTTACCCCTGGTCCCTAAGCCCCCCAAGAAAGGGTCTTTTATGTATATATATATATATATTTTTTTTTTTTTTGAGACGGAGTCTCACTCTGTTGCCCAGGCTGGAGTGCAGTGGCGCAATCTCGGCTCACTGCAACTTCCGCCTCCCGGGTTCAAGCAATTCTCCTGCCTCAGCCTCCCAAGTAGCTGGGACTGCAGGCACGTGCCATCACACCCGGCTAATTTTTTGTATTTTTAGTAGAGACAGGGTTTCACCGTGTTAGCCAGGATGGTCTCGATCTCCTGACTTCCTGATCTGCCCACCTTGGCCTCCCAAAGTGCTGGGATTACAGGCGTGAGCTACCGCGCCCGGCCAAGAAAGGGTTCTTGTTCTCCCAGCCTCTGGTGCATTCGGGCACCAATGGCAAGGCGCTGTTCCACCCCGTCCCACTCTGCACCTTGGTGTCTGTCTCCCCAGATTCACAGCTGCCTCCTCTCAGCTGAGTCCTGGCATCTCTACCTGGGAGACTTTCCTGCCTAAATTCCCCATCCACCTCCAAGTGGCAGCTTTCATCCCCCGCTTCCAATGCTGACCTCCAGATTCTGACCTAATCTGGTGGCTGAGAATAGTGATGAAGGGAACACCAGCTCTAGGGCCAGGCTGCCTGGAATCCAAAGCAGATACTTAAAATTCTTTTTTTTATTTTTAATTTTTTTTTTTAGAGGCAGGGTCTCATTCTGTGGTTCAGGTTGGAGTGCCATGGTGCAATCATAGCTCACTGCAGTCTCGAACTCCTGGCCTCAAGGGATCCTCCAGCCTGGCTAATTATTTTTTATAGAGACTGGGTCTCACTATATTGCCCAGGCTGGTCTTGAATTCCCGGGCTCAAGTGATCCTCCCGCCTCACCCTCCCAAAGTGTCGAGATTACAGGCATCAGCCACAACATGCAGCAATACATTTCCCTTCTGCAGGCTGGGGAGGAGGTAACATTGAGGACAAATGTAGTGTGTGTAAGCTCTCACGGCTGTGCCAGCATGAACTGACAGCCATCATAGTCCCCTTGCTTGGTGGCTTGCACTGATGTTCTCCTCCTGGCCTTGCCCAGAAGGAGGGACACCTGCAAAGGTGTGGTCTGGGCTTCTGCCCTTGCACACCCAGGATAAAAATTCCCAGTTTTCAGAATAACAAGATGTTTAAGATGGAAGGGAGGAGGATGTTGGCAGCACCACATTGCATGCATCCCTCGTTTAAACTGTGATTGTGGACCAAACATTTAGAGACCCATGTACTCAGACAGACTTCACTATGCTAACTTCATCTGCTGGCCACTCCCTTGGCTGCCTAGAGCTGCTTCCCCTGAGTAGTGAAAAATATTCTTGAAAGCTGTGTTTCTGGGCCAGGTTCGGTGGTGGCTCACGCCTGTAATCCCAGCACTTTGGGAGACTGTGGTGGGCAGATCACTTGAGGCCCCAGGAGTATGAGACCAGCCTCGCTAAGATGGCAAAATCCTGTCTCTACTAAAAATACAAAAAACATTAGCAGGGCGTGGTGGCGTGCACCTGTGGTCCCAGCTACTCAAGAGGCTGAGGCAGGAGAATTGCTTGAACCTGGGAGGTGGAGGCTGCAGTGAGCCAAGATCGCACCACTGCACTCCAGCCTGGGCGATAGAGTGAGACCCTGTCTCAAAAAAAAAAAAAAAAAGAAGAAGAAGAAAAAGAAAAGAAAAAAGAAAGCTGAAAACTGTGTTTCTGGACACTGGCTCAAAATTGAATATAATATCAAAGTAAAACCAGCCCTTTCATATCAAAGGCAACCTGGCAATTAGAGTTGAGGACACAGATGACCAGTGGGAAACCTGGGCAGTAGGTTCAGGGCAGGTAGAGTCATTCTGGTATACGTTGGGCCCGTGGGCCTGAACAGGCACGCAGGAGGAGAGGGGAGAGGCATCGTTTCTTGGAGAGGAGGCCACATGTACATAATGTGTATGAATGTATATAATAATCATTAGCAGCGATTCAGCTGTCTGCTGCTGGTATGCAAGATAAATTGCATTAATCAACACGATGCCTTCAGAACTTTTGGCGAGTCGTTTCTTTTGCTAATTGGGCCACTTAAACTAGACTGTCATTGCACCAGGATCTCCGGCTGTCAAGACAATTACTGGCATGTGCAAGCCCCTCCCTTCCAGCCCCCCTCTCCCCCACCAGCACCTTTGCGTTTTTAAATGTAATATTAATGAGAAGAGCTATACTAATTACCTGGCCAAAAATAAAACCCTGAAAGAAGGGGGGAGGTGGGTAGGGATGTGACCGACAGGGAGACTTGGGTAACCTTGAAGGCAGTATGAGAAGCTCTCTGAGTGGGGGCTCCCCAGAGACCCAAGACTGGCCCAGGCCAGAGCTCCAGGCCTGCTCCCCAGCTGTTGTGGAATCCTGACCATGCCCTCTCCTCTTGGTGACCCTCAGGACTTCAGGCCAGATGCACCATGAGCCCTGGAACTGGGGATCCCAGAATCCTGGGGTCTTAAGTGAGATAAGCCTGTAGTCCCACCATCAGACATTTGGAGCCTGCTAGACTCGGAGAGATAAAGGGACCCTTGCGAGGTCATCTGATTTTAGACTCATTTCCCAAAGAGACCAGCAGAATAATCCACTGATCAGTAAAGCCAAGTTCAGATTGCCTAGCTCAGTAAAACAGAGCAACCCCACCTTGGTGGCCTCGGGAAATTTCAGAAAGGGGAGGTTAGGGGTCTGTTTGAAGGTGGGTCCTGCAATGTGCAGTATTGATTGGGATCGGACAGGCTCTGTGACATAATCCTTTAGAAACTGGTAGACAGAGCAAGGCCAGGGTTGAGCAGGTGAGGATGAGTAAACAGCCATTCACAGGCCAGCAGATTTGTCCGGGTGAGTGAGCTGTTGTCCTGAGAAGAGGAGCGCGCGTGGTCTATTACTCAGAAATTTGGATTTTCAGGAAGTTCTTGGAACAAAGTTATTTGCATCTTTTGCTTCCTGGATGAGAATGTTCTGGATAGTCAAGTCATGTTCACGTAGAAAGTCTTGGTCGTCATATGTTAAGCTGTGTGCTGCAGGCAGTTTGCTAAAGTGTCTGCATTTGTCAGAGGAGAATGGGGCTCTGTTCCCATCGTGTGCCTGTCCCTGGTTGCTGAAGGCCCCTCATCCACCTCACTGGACATAAAATTCTATGGATTCTTGCTCCTCTATCTGTCCCAGGCATGTCCCTCTCCCAAATTGCACTGCCACAGCCTGCTTCGGGTCCTCCCTGCCTGCTTATCTCTCCTCCTCCTGGAGGCTGCCAGTGTTTACTAAAAAGCAAACCCAGTCACGTCGCATGTGATCGAGGGGCCACCGCTTGCCTCTCCCCTCACCCATCCCTTGCCCTGTGAACTCTGGCCGGCTCCCCTTTTCAGTGCAGCCCCTCACCTTTCACTCCACTTACCACAGGTCCTCTGTCTCTGAGCCTTTGCACCTGCTGTCCTGCTGCCCGAATGCCCTTCTCAGCCTCGTGCTGCTGGAAAACTCCTGTTTGTCCTTCAGGAATCAACTGCACCAGCCACCCTAGAGCACATCCTTGGTCACTCACAGCTCTGTGGTTCCGATGGGCTGGCCCACGCTGCTGTCTGGGTCTTAGCTCACCTGCATTATTGGTTTACAGGTAGAACCTGTGTCTTATTCAGATACACCCTAGCGCTTGGCACAGGGGCTGCCTGTCCTTCATGCACAATAAGTGCTTTGGAGTAAATGAGTGTGTCTTTTCCATTGCCTTCTGAATAAAAAAAGAAATGATTCTTTAGGCCTGCCATAATCTGTCCTGCTTTAATTTAAGCCTATTGTGTCATCTCCTGGTTCCCTCCTTCCTCCCTAAACCCGCTACAGAAAGAATCCAGCCACGGTAGGGAAGGCATCGCATCTCCAGGCTGATAGGCCCCTCCAGGGCCTCTGACTTGGACAAGGAAGTTTCCAGTTTCTCCCCCCAACGTGTCCCTCTTCTTTGAGAGCCTAAACAGATACCCACAGATAGGAGGGACATCCTGGTGGCTATCCTTGATGCGAGTTCAGGTTGGGAGGGCAGGGCCCACCTCAGAAAACTGGGAACTGCCGAAACCGCCTGCGCTATCTCTGAGTTTCCGAACACTGTTTCCATGAAGTGTGAGTTACCTTCAAACTGTGTCCAGCACCTCCCCCTGCTTCATCCCTGACTTTTCCCAGGGCTCTCTCCAGGCCCCATGGATGTGCTGCCGTTGCACCCTGCGATCTCCAGCTCATTCCACCTTTGGAGAGTTGCATTCATCAGCAAAGCAGGCAAGGTCAGGGGCCAGTTTGATCAGCCTGCAGCCTCTCCCAAACCCCCTGGAGGCATGAGAGAGGGGAGAGAGACCCCCCAGTGCAGCTCCCCTGGGGGAGTCTCTAAGCAGCCCCAGGGTGGCCTTGAGTGACTGCTTCTTCCTCTCCCCTCTCCTAGAAGCAGAGGATGGGCTGGGCCTTGCCTTGGGGAGTGTGTGATAATAAAAGCTCCTGGAAGAAAAGGAGGAAAGGAGGTGTGAGAAAGTAATGGAGGAGTGAGGAGACCAGGAATGACCCCCGATGGGTTTTGTTGTTGTTGTTGTTGTTGTTTTGGAGGATAGAAACCGCAAAAGCCAAGACCAGGAGGAGGGAATTTTGCTCCCATCCCCCCACCGTCCCACCCCACCTCACTGCTCCAAGACTTTCAAGGCCATGGTCCTGTCCCTTGCTCTCCAAATCCAGGCAGATAGAAAATGGAAGATCCCACTTGAGCCCCTGGCCCCAGAGGCTGTGTCATAGAGAAGCAGGGTTGTGGAGCAGATGGTCCGTGCCCGGAAGCGCCTGATGTGATGTGGGATGGACAGGACCGGGGGTGCATTCACATCCCTGGCCGGAGGGAGGAAGGCTTCAGTGGGCAAAAAAGGAAGGGACCAAAGAAGCCCTTCTTTCTGGGTAAGCTGGGAGTGCTCTGGCCCAGGAGGCTTTTCAGGGGCCTAGTGTGTGCGTGTAGCTCCTGAGCCTCACCTCACCACGTGAAGGGCATTTGACCCTGCTTAGCAGGTGGGGAAATTGTGGCTAAGAGGGGTCAAATAGTAACTGATCTCTGTGCTCTTTCCAAAAGGCTGTTTAGAGAAGGAGGCGCAAGAGAGAAGAGCAAAATGCAGAGGTAGACAAAGGCAGAGACGGAACTGGGGATGCAGGGCACAGGGCCAGGCGGGCAGGAGACCAGAGGCCCGGCCTGGAGGAGGGTCAGTTGCTGACCTCAGGCACCAGGCCCACCCATAACCACCTGCTTGTGTTTCTCAGGGTGGGAATTGAGCCACCTGGTTGGCCCCTTCTGAGCTGGGAACGTGGGAGGTATCTCTCTCGAAGAAGAAAATAAAGGGGAGCCCTCTGGGAGGCCCATCTTGGATTGAGCCTTAATCCAAGGACACAGGCCACAGCAGCCAGGTCAGCAGGGCCAAACCAAGCCCGTCCTCTTCCTCCCTGCAGGGGGCTTCTGGCCTCTCACCTGCTGCAACCCCCTGTGTGGTGTGGGACTTGCCCCCTGTGTACCCAAGTCCTTGGGTACCCTGGATTTGGCACCCCTCTACTTGGCTCCTCCTGCCAGGGTGCCCAGGGGCAGGTTTGGGGCTGGCTTGATGCCCGCAGACATGTGCTCAGGAGAAAGGGAAGTGAGGGGCAGAGCTGTGAAGGAACCTCCAGCAGAGGGTGTGCGGCCGCCCTGGGTCCTTCATGCAGGTGACGACCTGCCCCGAACTAGAGAGGTAGGAAGGGACCTGAGTGGCTGTGAGGCAGGGCCTCTCTGGGACACTTTCCAGAATAAAAGCAGACTCAGGCACAGAGAGCCAAGTGTAGGGGTGGGGGATGGGCCTGCAAACCCCTTAGTAATAAATGAATAATTGGCCCAGGGTTCCCCTGATTGAGGGACACGGCTTCATGTCAGCATCTCCCACACAAGGGCCTCGGATGAATCTTCCCTTCGTGGCCACTGTCACCAACCAACTTGGGCGTGGCGTGGGGGGTGGCAGGGAGACCTTGGAGACTCCCTGTGCACCCCTCCTCCACGCTCTGGGGCTCCCCATTCTCTTCCTGGTCAAGTTTACAGACAGACTTCCCACCCTCAGGGTCATCTGAGGTATTGGCCATTGTCTGTTCAGACTTCGCTCTTGTGAGCTTGGGCCTTTCTCCTCCAACACCCTCCATCAGCAGGTCCAGGAGGCTCCCTCTCCAAGGCACCTCCCAGACCCACCCACTGTCCCTCCCCCTTCAGCCTTGGCATATGAGCCCTCACTCTCCCACTCCCCTTCTTCCCCTCCTCCCTGTTCTCAGAGGCTCAGGTCAGCCAGTCCCTTCTCCAGATCCACCAAAGATACCCCGTCCACCACTCCCCAATGCTGCTGGAAGACAGACACCCTGGGATGGGATCATGGGGCCGCTGACTTCCTCATCCCAGCGGTAGCATGAGACATGCTGCCCCCATGGCTGCCCCAGGCTTCCTCCCTCCTGCCAGGCTCTGCCAATCCCCCAGGGCTTCTGCACAAGCAGCTGCCATTGCCCAAACCCCTTCCACCTACTCCTCCCCAAACTGACTCCAATCCCGAGCCTCGCCCTCAATAACCACTCCTCTGCGATGCTTCCTCCAACTGCCCATTTAACTGGGCACCCCTTTCTTCTCTGCCCTGGTTCCAGCAGCACTTTCCTAACTGAACATGGCTCATGTACCTGCCCCCCACCTCCTGGCGTGTCTTCATCCACACAAAGAACCCGACTAGGTGGTCCATCCATATCTGGTATGTACTAGGTGCTTGCTGAACCCCAGTCGCAGAATGACTAAAACAAGTCAATTCTAGGATACCAGCTCTGCAACTGGCAAACCTGCCCTGCCTCTGTCACACTCTGCATTCATTCCCCACTTCTCCCCTGGAGCCTAGAGCTCTTTTTTCCCCCTGGGCTCCCTACAGAGGCTCCTTCCCTGTGACCTATAGCATTCTGGGTATGTCCCCTCCCAAGGGATATGCACATTGGAGGGGACCAGTGACTCATCCACTAAAGTGATGCCGGAATGCAGCTGCACTAGACATTGGGGCAGGCCAGTTGGAGGAGGTGGGGGCAGGCACTGTTCTTGACATAGGGAGCCCTCATCCTCCAGCAGACATAGAAGGAGGCTGCAGGCTGGTCCCTGCTCCACACTACAGAAATGGCCTCTGTGGCGGACCAGCAGGACAGGCACAGCACGGTTCTCCCCAGGAGGGCGCCATTTGGAGTAATCAGTTTTTTAATTACTAGTAATTAAGTATATGTAACCTGCCCAGCTGCCACTCCAGGAAATGGGACAGAACTCCTGGGGGCTCCGGGGGCCAGGCATGCACTGGGAGCCTCAGAGCCCATTCAGCCACCTCAGCACTGAAGAGGGTGGGTAGGTGGGTGGTTTTGGGAGTGCTAAGGTATGCAGGAGAGACCCAGGAGACTGGAGAGACCTCAGCCTCAGGGTAGGCTGTGCCTTTCTATATCAGGGGTCCCCAGCCTCCCTGGGGCCTGTTTCCATTCTCCCTTCAGCCTAGAGCAGCAGGACACCTGCTCAAAAGGTTCTTGAGGTGGGGTTCCCAACCAGCAGCTTCCTCCCCCAGAGCCTCCCAGGCCTTCAGCCACTCCAAAGGAGTCCTCCACTGAATTCCCCAGGCTGCCACTCCACCCATAGGAAAGTCTGCCCCACCCCACCCCAAAGCACTCAGTTCATTTTAATGTCTACTGAGCATCTACCATGTGCTGGTTGCTGCAACCGAGGTCTCTAAGGCCATGCAGCCATCCCTTAGGGGAGCCTGTGTCCCCCACCCCACCCCCGACACCCAAAGCTCACAGAGAGGCTGGCTGTGCCCAGGGCCCAGCTCTTGGCTGCTGGTCTTACCCTCTGTTCTGCCCTCTCCCTGCCCCTCTCTCCACTTCGTCTCTCTCCCACTCCTCCACCTTATGATGCTGTCTTGCATTTAGGGTCTTTTGCGGAACAATTAAAATGAGTGAAGGGAACCTTCTTGCTTTCTTGCAGTTCTTCTTTGGGGAATGGGCTGGTGTGGGTAGCCCCTGCTGAGATGACACCTGGCCTAACCTAACGATCCTTTAATTAAACCCATCCTTATAGGAGCTCTGTACACCAGTCCTGGGGACTCCAGCCCCTCCAGAGACAGAGCCTCCCGAGGCACCCAAACTTTTCTGTCCGCCTCCACAGCCATTCTCCAATTCTCCACCCCAGCACATTCTACATCCTGCAAACATGGACTTGGGTCATCTCTGGACAAACAGGAAGTGGGTTCTGGCAGGTGGAGCAGAACTGGGGGCTACAGGCATTGATGGGATCAGGGAGGGCACACTCCCCTCTTAGAGTCTGCAAAAAGGGCAAGGATTTTCATGTGCATCTCTAGGGGGATGAAATCCAGGATGCTGCAAGGCCACCAGCAAGCTGGGCTGCCAGGGCGTGTCCCCTCCCCTTGCAGCCGTTCCCGTCATCTGTCAAACAGGAATGGTGACAGCTTCTGTCTTCAGGTTCACGAGCGTCTGCATGCCTCTGAAAACCCTCTGCCAACATGTAACATGGGGTTAGTGCATGGATAGCAAGACATGATGAAAAATACAGAAAGCTGTGCACATATGCATGGTGACTCTGGCTCCTTTTAACTCCAAGGGAACAAGCTTTCATGGCTCACACCAGAGCCTTTCCTCACCTCGGCAAAGACCAGTTCTTCCAGAGTCTACCTGTAGTTTCTCTTGCTATAGCCAAGGTATAATGCTACCTTTCAATACTTCCTAGAAAGCAAATGGCTTAACTTTGGATTTTAAAACCCAGGGAGCCACTGTACTCACTGTTACTTCTTTCTCCCCTGACCCCCTGTCTCTGCCCCGTGGCACCCCAGTGCTGTGGCAATGCCTGCCAAATTTCCAGGGAGTCACTTGTTCTCTGTTTCACGGGTTGTTCTGTGTTTCACGGGTTGCTTGCCATGTGTAAGCCACGTCTGTCCTCAGCACTTGCTCTCTGGACCCCATGGGGCAGGTCAGTGGGGAAATGTGCTCCTCAATGATCTGGTTTTTACCTGGTGTTACTGTGGATGCCCAGCCCCATCCTACCCTGCAGAACTCAACCTCTCGAGGAAGGCTCCTGAATGAGCCACATCAAGCCAGCAGTGGATGAACAGTGTGGAGCTGACAGTCCTAGGCAATGGGTGATCAGAAAAGGAGCAAAATGGGGGTAAAAGGTTGATGCTAAGAGATCTAATGGGCTTCCTGGAGAAGGGGCTTCTTAGACAGAAGTCTCTGAAAAATGGGGAGGAGTTTGGTTGCAGAGAGACCATTCCTGGCAAAGGGAACAGCCAGGGTGAAGGAGGGAGGGAAGAACCAGCCGTGGTGAGGGGTACCAGAGAGTTGGAAGTGGACAGCCTGATAGGAGTGAAAGGTGAGGGTTTGGGAGTGGGGAGTCTGGATGGGGTCTGCTGCAGCACATGTGCACACTTGTCTGCACACGTATTCTTAGAGAGCCAAGGTTCGCAGGGCACGGAACACGAGCAGCATCCAGCTGTCATGGCAAGGAGGAGGATGCAGCATGCCCAGACTGGCCACTCTGAATACACGCACAGGTGCCCAGCTTGCAGTCAGGCAGTCCCTTCCTGCACTCCTACATATACACACGCACCCCCACATATACACACGCAACCCCACATATACACACATATGCACCACATATACCAGGGGTGGGATGGGAGGTGGGGAGGCTGAACACAAAGCCGAGCCTGGCCGGCAACCCTTAGACTGCACCCGGCTGCCATCTGGTGGCTGTATGCAGCTCTGCGCCCTCTAAGATTTCAGGATTTTGGAGCCTTTGGGATGTCACACCCAGAAGTGGCATCCCCCTCCCCACCCCGTGTCTACACACACACACACACACACACACACACACACACACACACACACACAGAATCAACACCCATTCTCAACACAATGGCCCACACCCAAATGCACACAGGGCCTCACAACAAAACTGCTGCAAACACAGGGACACAGACGCAGTCATTCCCATGCACACTTCTTTTCTACCTCTTCTCACCAACTAAAATTCAGAAAGTAAGGGTAGAAGACACTGCTGCTAGCCCAGCACAGGCATAAGCACAGCAAGCTTCCCTGTGTTTCCAGAGGCCTTGGTCTGTTCTTAGCACACCAGCGATTCTCACCTGTGGTCACACGGTGCACACCCTTCCAGCTCCCACATCTACCTGCCGCCCACACGTTTCATTTCCAGGATCTCCTCCTTCAGTGTAAGGACGGGAATGGCTCAGTGGGCAACTCCCAGTGGGGGTCATGTTCCCACAGACACCCACATGCCATGGGGACCGCCAGGGACATGACATAGGGGTTGGGGGGGACACCACCCACAGAATCCTTCACGCTGCAACCCAGGGGGCTTCCTTGCACTAATGGGAGTGGTGAGATTCAACTTTTTTTGCATTAGTTTTTGTCCCATGTAGCTCACAACACATCTTTATCTACATTAGCTCAATATGGATTATTATTTCCCCCATTCTTTCCCACATGGAGGCATGGAGGTTCAGGGAGGTTAACTGGCCTAGGGTCACACAGCTAAGAGATGCCTGCAGGAACCCAGGCTCCCCCACTCTGCTTGGACCCTGGCCTGCACTCCCTGGGGAGACCTGAGGCCCAGTGGAGCTGTTTCCAGTCTGGGATGAGGAAGGGGCACAGCTGCAGAGCACAGGGGAGGGTGGTGCCCACTCCTCACTCCTGCCCTCCACTGCCTCTCAGAGGCCTCTCACCCTCCGAGGCAGGCCCCCTTCCCCACCAGGCTGCAGCATCAGGAAACAGAACATGGGGTCACTTTTTCTGAGCCCGGCTCTCAGACTGTTCCACCCTTGCACTCTCCAGGCCTAACCTGCTCAGAGAAGGTTGCTATCTTTATGGGGCCCTAGGGACTGCTGGCAGGAACAGAAAACTGGGGAGGAGGTGGAGAGGCTGCCATGTGCCCAGCGTGTGTGTGTGTGTGTGTGTGTGTGTGTGTGTGCATGTGCTGTTATCTTTCCCCAATCTGAATTCCTATGTGGATACAAAATGGCCACAGCCCTACCAGGACACAATTGCCAGGGATGGCTCTAAGAGACCAAGTTAAGGGGCTGGTGGAGAAGAAAAGGTTGTGTGTGGCACCAAGGATGAGCTCCACTGTTCTCCTGTCCTCCACCTGAGAGGAGATTGGGACACACACACACGCACACACACAACACCAAGCACCACAGACATGCAACCTGCAGACATCCATTTACAGATAGATCACAAACAAGGAGAGTAAGCGAGTCTTAGCAAGGAGACCCAGATGAGTCAGAGAGTTGTGGGATTAATCAGGAGAGACTTCCTGGAGGAGGAAGATCTTCAGCCTAATGGCATCAGGGATCCATTAGAACGATAAGTGCCTGCTGTGAGGCAAGCATTGTTGGATTGAAACCTTCACCATCCTAGCTCCTAGGAGCACTTCCTTTTGTCATCATACACTCCTAGAGTCAAAAGGAACCTAAGTGGTCACTGGCCCAACTCCACCCCAGGCAGGGTCCCCTCTGGAGCATGCTGGACAGCAGCCCATAGGTTCTGCTGGATAGAGCACAGTCATGGGGCAGAGGACACTCTGAGCTTCCAGGCAGCCTGTGCCCATGTTGGACCAGGAGTTCCTGCGTGAACTGTCTGCAACGTCCTGACCCCAGAGCCAGGTGGAAAGCCCTTATGCCCTCCACTCACTGCCTTCCAGTGGGATGCCCCTGCACCTGCTCAGGCTGAGTGGCCCCAGTCTCCTTTAACCCTCCTCATGTAAGGTGAACATACTTCTCCTGTGTCTGAACACGCTGCATATTTTGACCTAAATGCCACATCCCCATGTGGGCTGTGGCCCAGACCACTCCCACTGTCAGCAGCACATCGCATGCTGAGCTAGCTGCCCAGTGTGGGCACTTTCCTCCCAGTCTGCCCCTCTGGGATCCCAGGGCTGCTGATTACACAGACCAGAGCCCAACCTGCTGTCCCCTCCAAGGCCCCCTGGGAGGACACACAGCCACACCCATGGAGCCTGGTTATTCAAACCATGATGAATCCATTTCCTGCACATGGTAGCCAAATCCTGCCCTGAAACCTCACTTCCTATCTAAGTGCCCTACTGAATCCTCACTGGGGAGTCTGAGTGGTTGGTGCCCTTCCCTGCTCACCAAGGTGGTTCTTTTCACCATCCCTACTTTAAGCAATTATTCTAAAGAAGAGAAGTTAGGCATTTCCTGTATGAATGGCTGGGGACTGAACAGTGGAAGCTACAAGTGGCTCAGACGTTAGCTTGATATCACTGAAACAATGTCGAATAGATGAAAACAGCTGACTCATGCGTGGAGTGAGCCTCCAGTCAGCAGAGGCATTCAAACCAGGGTTGCCTGTGAGATGCTGCCAGTAGCTTGTGCCTGGTAGGATTAGAGCCCTTGCATCTTCTCTGTGTCTGTGATTCACTGTCATTGTCAACTACATCAGCATGGACACGTTCTTCAAAAATAAGACTTCTTTAGTTGTGACTATCTGAGAAAACCCAACACACCTCTGCTCAGGGATCTCAGGCTGGCCGCCCCTGGTGTAGAAGACAGAAAGCCCACTGACCACTGGGGTCCACCCTCAGGCCTGTGGGACTGGGAGACGAGAGGGAACTCAGCCCAGGAATGGTTGTTGAGTGAATGAATGAACAAGAGAATTAATGAATGATCAGCCACAAGACCATGTCCCCACTGAAGCTTCTTCCTGTCCCAGGCTCATCCCCAATTCAGAGAACCTACAGGCTCCCCTTGGACTCCCCCACTGTATTAAGACCCAGCCCAGGACCTTGTGAGGAGCACTGTCATGTTGGTCTGGGTACCCCAGTGACATTATCACCTGCTGGAGGAGCCCCAACTCAGTCAGGGCTGAGCCCAGCCCAGCTGGCAAAGGCACAAGGCTGAGAGCTCGGAGAGCCACTAACCAGCTTCTCACTCTCACTTAACGTGGCATTTCTGAGGTCAGGATGGGTGCCCCAGCCTGGTTGTTGGCTGCACTTCGGCAAGATTTCCTGAGGCTGGGGTTGGTAGGAAAATGTGTGCGGACATTTTCCTATCAGTGCCCCCCAGGCTGGGCATTGTGGTGGGAGTCAGGAAAGGGGGAGACCCCATTTCAATCACATGACAATGGAAGCTGCTGAGGCTGTTAAGGAGGAAAGGGCTTAACGCAGCCGTGCTAATAAGGATTAATGCGCTGATGGCAGGTGGGGTGCACTCTATGGGGGAAACAGCCGGACACACAGAACCCCAAGTCACTGGCAATCCCAAGGCTGGGAGTGGCTGCACCTTGGGAAGTTCAGCGCCTACCCTCTCCCCTTGCCTTTGCCCCCTGCCCCCCTCTGCTATGTGTTCATTCATTGGCAGGGGCATGACCATGCGTCTACACACGAGAAACCCAGCAAGATGCCTCCCAGGCCTTTTTTTTTTTTTTTTTGAGACAGAGTCTCAGTCTGTCACCCAGGCTGGAGTACAGTAGTGCGATCTCGGCTCACTGCAAACTCCACCTCCCAGGTTCAAGCGATTCACTTGCCTCAGCCTCCCATGTACCTGGGATTACAGATGTGTGCTATCACACCTGGTTATGTTTTGTATTTTTAGTAGAGATGGGGTTTCACTATGTTGGCTAGGCTGGTCTCAAACTACTGACCACAAATCATCCACCTGCCTCAGCCTCCCAAAGTGCTGGGATTGCAGACATGAGCCACTGTGCCTGGCCACCTTTCAGGCTTTGCACACACATGACTACATGTATGAGCACACTCATGCTCACACAAATGCATCCACCTATCCATCTGCATGGACCCACATAGCCGAGCTCTGGTGAGCATCCTCCTTCCTCCAGGCGCAAGCCAAGCCCCCACTTTCTGGTCAAGGGATCCATTTGGGGGACAAACACTCTCCCTCCCCCATACAGAAGCAGTGGCTTGCCAGCAGGGTAAAATTTATCATCATTATCCTAATATCATCTCCAGGCTTGGCAGTGGCAGCAGCTAAAGAAAATACCAAGGCTTAACTTGGGGTGTGCAGGAGAGAGAGGCAGGAGATAGGAAATATGATTTATGATGGAAATCAATGCAAT
Organism: Homo sapiens; assembly: GCF_000001405.40. NCBI lineage: Eukaryota > Metazoa > Chordata > Mammalia > Primates > Hominidae > Homo > Homo sapiens. Next base: position 37,339,108 of record NC_000018.10, on the reverse strand, counting down.
CATAATACTTTGTGCTTATAAAATTGGGCTGCGCCTCCTGTGCCCACACAGCCCGCATCAGCTCTGCCTGTCAAAGGAGGCTAGGAACCCTGGGCTCTGGGACCAGGATGGATGCAGAGACCCAAACGATGGCCATTGCCCATCCTCTTGCCTGGTCTTCCTTGGGGCAGTGGGGGTTCAGGGCATTGTCCAGAGAGAAAGGTGGAGGGAAGAAAAAGGACGTCAAGCTGGCCCTGGGGCACAGCGCTGGGCATGGTTGCCCATGTGGCTTGTTCTGCTCTCAAAGCCACCCTGTGAAGGTAGATCACACACACCACACACACACACACACACACACACACACACACACGGCTCCTGCATTTTCAAGTCCATTAAATGAAGCAAGAGCACAGAGAGCTTAAAATCTTTTATTTTGAGTTCAGGTCACCGGTAGTCATGGCCGAGCTAGTCATGCTGTTCCCATGACATCACGTGGCCTGGTGCCCAGTGGAGCCCAAAGATTGTAGGGGCCTGCCATGACATGGGGTGTGAGGGGCCCCTAGAAGGCTCCACTCCACCCAGAACAGCCCCCCCGCCACCCCAGCACCCAGAATCCCATCACTAGCAGTATCTCTTTGAGCTAAGCAATATTTTTTACTGGTTATATGATGGTGGTAGTGACAGTGGTGACAGTGACAGAGGTGCTGATAATGGTGACAATGATAGTGGTGACAATGGTGTCAGTGACAGTCATAGTGACAAGGTTAAGGTAACAGATGGTGGCAGCGACAGTGGTGGTGGTGGCAGTGACAGTAGTGGTGACAATGATAGTGGTGACAATGGTGTCAGTGACAGTCATAGTGACAAGGTTAAGGTAACAGATGGTGGCAGTGACAGTGGTGGTGGTGGCAGTGACAGTAGTGGTGACAATGATAGTGGTGACAATGGTGTCAGTGACAGTCATAGTGACAAGGTTAAGGTAACAGATGGTGGCAGCGACAGTGGTGGTGGTGGCAGTGACAGTAGTGGTGACAATGATAGTGGTGACAATGGTGTCAGTGACAGTCATAGTGACAAGGTTAAGGTAACAGATGGTGGCAGCGACAGTGGTGGTGGTGGCAGTGACAGTAGTGATGACAATGGTGACAGTGACATGGTGGTGGTGACAGTGGTGATTTTCCAGATGTTTGTTGCAAACATGGGGCGGGGGTCAGGTTAAACACAGACAGGCATTTCAGGGAGAACTGGAGATAAACTTGTTTCTGCTTCACAACTTTTCTAGAAGAACTAAACCAAGAATCCTGTCCCTGGCACAGTGGCCTGGGAGAGCATAGAGGTGGAAGTAGGTAGAGTGACTTTTCCTTCTGGTAAACTTGAGCATGAGCATGCTTCTGTCACTGAGTGGCAAATCTCGCACCATGTGACAAACCATTTGTGCTGAAGATAAAGGGGCCGGGGTGATGGGAACATGACTTCCGAGGCAGAGGACGCTGCCATCTGGAGATGAAGCCTCAGTCACTGAGGGGGCCTCCTTGCAGGGGCATTTCCTCCGCAGGCCCTCCGGAACATGCCAGGGCTGCAGTCAGATGGGTGGGTGAACAAATGAGGGAGGGAATGAATGAATGCCATCAGGAACAGCTGCCTCCTGGTGGCACCTGCTGAACTCAGCAGCCGGGAAAGAAATTAGACCCTGGGAAGGAGGGTCCTAGCTAGAGAGCCGGGTCTCTGGGGACACAGGAGCTGTGCTAAAGGTGGGCAGTATTGAGGCCAGGCCATCTCAGGAAAGGCCCTCAGGTGGCTCTGAAGATGGGGAGAATCTCAAGGGGAGGGTGTGAGGCTCACCATGGGAGGCAGTGGGTCTCGCCAGTCTCCCCACCACATCCTCCTCTCCCTCCGCTTGTGGGACACTGGAGCCCAGGCCAGTTGGGCCCACACCGTTAGCTTCCTGTCCTGCTCACCAGACCCCAGGGCCACCGCAGGCCTGTTTCTGACCAGTGTCTCTGAGCCACTGAGGAGGAAGCAGAGACAGGAGATGCTGCCCGAGCAGAAAGGATGTAGCATGGAAGGGTCGACAGGCAGACCACCAGGCCTGTGAGCGCCAGGCATGGTGAGTGGAGCACAGCCGGAGGCGGCCAGGGCCCAGGAGGGACAATGAAATGGAAAGAAATGAAGTGGGACGCAGCCGAAGCCTCGGGTCCGGGTCATGGGGCCAGCCCGGCAGCCCCGCCGGGGGTTGGGGTGACAGCACTGGCATTTCAAAGGGCACCCCAGGGCCAGCGCCTGCCTTGACGAGACCTCAGGAGCTCGATAGACTTTCTAAACCTAATTAGTGTTTAATGGCCTGGAGAGACGCCGCATCCACCGTCATCGGCCACGCACGCTGGCCAGCTTCAGGTTCTTAATTAACCTTTAAGGAGATGATCTGCTGGTGGCCGCCTCAGGAGGCCACATCCCATCCCTGCTGGCATGCACGTGTGCCAGGGCCTGTGGGCTCTCTGGGCACACTGTCACACATATGAGTCTGAGGGTGACCCCAGCCACTCCCTCATAGCAGGCTTTTGGAAATGGCAGGTGGACAAATTCCCACTGAGGTGTCCTGGGGGCCTGGGCTTGTGGAGGGGAGGCCATGCTAAGAACTACACAGGATAGGCCACATGGGGTGGCTCATGCATGTGATCTCAGCTTTGGGAGGCCAAGGTGGGAGGATTGCTTGAGCCCAGGAGTTCAAGACCAGCCTGGGCAACAGAGACCCCTTCTCTACAAATAATTATTTTAAAAATTAGCTGGGCGTGGAGGTACATGCCTATAGCCCCAGCTACTTGGGAGGCTGAGGCAGGAGCCTGAGCCCACTGCACTCCAGCCTGCGTGACAGAGTGAGGCCCTACACAGGATAGAGAAAAGGAGAGAGGAGGAGACTGGCAGCCACCACAGCCGTGAGGGGCGCATTCTGGCTGTGAGCCCTCCCTGAGCGAGGCTCCTGGGGCTGGCTGTGGGGCATGTGGCCAGCAGACTGAGGAGATGAGCTATGATCTGGGGAGGTGGGGGCTGCTCCTCAGGGCTCAGAAGTGCGCTGCGAAGAATGTCACAGGAGGCTGAATGCAGGACCATCAAGACTGAGAGTATGAATGGCTGGAATAGAGTTGGAGTCCAAGCTAGGGGAGCAGAAGGTATTGGAGGGAGGGAGTTGGGCCCCTGGGCAGTGGCGGTGATGTTCCTGCCACAGCAGGCTGCGGGTGTCAGGCCTTGGGCTGGAGGCCATGCCAGGGAGAATGACCAGTCATTCAGCATGTATTGAGGAAAAGGGAGAGGATGGCGGTGGAGATTTTGGAATTACCTCCAAGGGAGTGAAGGTTGAAGAGAGCCACAGGCAGAGTCTCTAAGGGGTAGGAGAGTGGGGCAGGTTTAGGGGCAGTGCACCTGTGAAAACCCTGATGTTCAGGGGTCGAGGAGGACCTGAGCCACCTGCCCAGACACAGGCCAGGGAGGACAGGGAATTCAGAGGAGAGCTAGAGAGGGTACAGTGGAGGCCAGCAGGGGGCCACGCCTGACCACACTCCCACACTTACACAGCACGCACATCACACACCATACCTACACCCATTCACCCCCACACCTCCACACACACACACACACACACACACACACACTGCATGCACTGACATGCATACTCACACATGGACATGCACACACATGCATTTGCACATGCAACACACACCTCCCACACTCCTAGTCACCCATTTACATGGCCCACCCACATCCTTGCACACATACTCACGTGCAGACCCCTCACCATACACTCCAGCCCTCACGCACACACATTCACACCCACACCTGAGCCTGACACCCTTGCAGGCAGTGCCCGTGACCTGGAGACCCTGGCGTGTTTCAGGAGGAGGGCCGTGATCGATGCTTATTAATGAAGCTGCCCTGGAGATGGCTAATTGATGGCGGTGCGCGGCTGTTGTCTGGAATTTAACCCGATTCGTCATTAGCCTGTTGGAAGCTGGAGAGCTGTGTTAATTAAGGCCAGGAAAAGAGACTTGGACGAGCTGGCGGTGCAGGCTCATGTTAGAAAACGGGAGAGCAAGGGGCAGAGGGAGAGAGGGGGGAGCAGAGGGAGGGAGGGAGGGAGGGAGCGAGGGAGTGATTAAATCTAAAGCCCAGAGACAAAACAAATTCTAAAAAGCAAATGTCGGTGCCATTTCTAGGATGACTCAGGTTTGTGCTTGGCCGGCATCATCAGGCTGTGGCGTAGGGATTAAGAGCAATTTCCTCTCGATTTGTCATTTACTTGGTGTGGGCTTTGTTTTTTCTTTTAACATGCCTGGGGACTCTTTCCTGCTCTCTCCAGGCCTAAGATTGAGGCCCGGGAGCCACAGGAGAGAGAAAGGAGCTGTCCCCCCCGGGTCAGGGCAGGGTGAGGGTGGAACCAGGACACCTCTCCTGGCCGTGGAGAGGCTCAGCTTAGAAACAGAGTCCACAGTCCGGGGGGAGTGGAGGGAACAGTTACACAGGGGAGGGCTTGGAGGGGGAAGGGAGACTGGGCCCTGGATAACACAGACAAGGGTCTCCGTCCAGCCGCCGGTGGCCACAATGCCACCCCCTTCTCACTCCCACCCAGCCAGTGTGCTCTAAATCTCCTAAGGCAGTGGTCCCACTGTGGGCTGGGAAGGGCCAGTCACAGCTGGAGAGATCCCCTCGCCAGGCCCAGGACCCCACATCCGAGGGCTCCTAGATGGTTGTGAGCTGTCAGGGTGACAGGCCCAGAAACCCAGTGGTGAAGGGAGGCCTGGGAGTTTAGAAGAAAGACACTGAAACCTCAGGGCTACATAGTGGCCCAGCACTGGGGGCAGCCTCTGGAAGATGGGCTTGAGTTGCCCAGTGGGGCGCTGGTACCAGGCAGAGTGGATGAGGGAAAATGCATGGGAGATGAGTTGGGGCTAGAAATGCCTCCTTTCTAATCACTAGAACTGGCCATCCTGGATTACGACGCCCCATGCAGGAGGGAGCCTAACTCCAACACTATACGTATGTGAGCAAATACCCAAGAGCCACACATCAGAGGTAAAGAACGCACTTTCAGGAGAGTGGGAGGCCAAGTGCAGGACTGCATGGCTGGGCATTCAGGGAATCAAGCAACAGTGCACAGCCAGCTCCCAGGAAGGATGGACCCGGTGCCCTCCCAGCAAGGCCCTTCTGGAGACTGGGTGGTGGCTCCCTCAGGGAAGAGACACTCATGTTGCTGTGCCATCCAATTCTATAGAACAGGGCCTGGCACACAGAGGTGCTCAGTAAACACTGGATGGATGGATGGATGCATGGATGGATGGATGGATGGATGGATGCATGGATGGAGGGATGGATGGATGCACGGATGGATGGATGGATGGATGGATGGATGGATGGAGTTTGTGGCCCATCACAACAACAGCTTCAGTGCTGGTAGACCAAGCAGAGAGGGCAGAGCTGGGGCAGGGTGGAGGAGAGGCAGCACGGGCAGAATGGAGCCATGAGAACCTGAGTTCAGGGTGCATCTTGCCTCTCCATGAGGCGTGGCCTCCCTACCCCATTCTCAGCTCTTCCCCACAGAGTCCAACATCTTCAGTTCAGCAGAGTCCAAAAGAGCCTGGGTATTCCGGAGTGGAAAGGGAAAAGTCAAATGTTAGGTATTCCTCAAAAGTGATGGAAATACTAAGAAAGGCAGGGAAGATGTGAGAGGAGGAGGAGAAATAGGAAGAGGGGAAAGAGGGGAAGAAGGGAGAGGAGGGGGAAGAGGGAGAGGGGGGAGAGGAGGGAGTGGAGGGGGAGGAGGGAGAGGGTAGCTGTCGCTTGTTTCCTGGGCTCTTACTAGGTGCCAGGCACGATGTTCAGAGCTTGGCCTGAGCGATCATGTTTAATCCCCTCCACACCCCATGAGGGGATACGTGGATATGCCTCTCAGAGGTTAAGTTAACAGCCCCGCCTTGTATGAGCAAGTATATGGCAGAGCTAAGACCGAAATCCAGGCCTCACAACTAAATCAGGGCCTGTTTCATCAGAATTATCTATCCACTACTGTTATTTAAAAAATTGCACACCCTCACTCCCCCACCCTGAAGAGGGTTAGCGACCCAGCCGACCATGCCGGCTAATTAGCTTGGTTGCCACGGCAGCAGATCTTAATTAAGACCACAAGGATCCTCCCACCCTTGCCAGTGCAGCCCTGGCGTGTTCACAGGAGCAGCAAGATGGACGTGGGGCTTGGAGACAAAGAGCCCTCTGCCCTTGGCAGTGAGGGCCTCAGGGAGCTCTGGCTGAGAGGTGGGGGCACGTCAGCCCAGCAGCAGCATGGTCACGGGTCCACCAGTTCCATCTTGGTGATTTTCATCGTGTCCTTCCACCTTACCTGCCACGCGCTGGAAGCTTCTACCCATAAATATGGCTCCAAACCCCTAGCAGGGAGGGGCTCCCTCCTTCCCCCTGGGAAACCAGCAGTGTGCTTGAGGCTGGGCCTCTGGAGGGATCTTTGACCACTGTGAGGGGCACCTCTTTTGTTTGTGCCAACCCAGCCCTGCCCCTTAGGTGAGGGGAAGGCATTTTGTAGAGAGATAGGAGAGGGTGGAGGCTCGGAGAGGGATGGGAGAGAGTGGGGAGAGCAGAGAGAAGGAGGAGCAGGCAGCCCCCGCCAGCCCACCAGCAGGCTATGTCAGGGCCGCTCACTGCTTCTTTCTGGACACTGCTGAGCAGAGCTGCCTGTTGCATAGCAACTGCCCGGGCATATTTGTAGGGGGCTGGACCAGTGAGGCTACGTGGGCTGCAAAGGGTGCCACCTGGACCGAGACCACTGCGTCCCACCCCACATCCTGCAGACTCTTTGCAAGTGGACGGTGGACAAGGCTAGGCTTGGACTGGAGTGAGGGGTCATTCTACAACCAAGAATAAAAGGCAACCTGGGGAAATTTGGGCCAATTCATCAAGCACCTCCTATGTACAAGCTTTAGGCTCCTGTCTTCCCACAGGTGGGGAAGGCACCTGGTGCCAAGGTTCTGCTGGTCATTCTGGAACTGAACAAACGTTTGCTTGGTGTCTTGGGCACCTCTGTCCAGTCACCTCTGACTTCCTGCACCTCCTGCACGTGCAGCTGCCTCCTTGCTCTTTCCAAATGCAGTCCTAGTGTGCAATGCTGTCTGCAAACTAACAGGGGCTCCCGCTGCCCACTCTACAAGCTCAGGCCCTCCATGGCCACACCAGATCCTCTGCGGCCACACCAGATCCTCCCCACCTCCACCTGCCTGCCTGTCCTCCCACCCTCGGCGACTTGCCGCACACCCTTTCACACCCCACTGGCCCTTCCCTCCACTCTCCTCCAGGTCTTTGGTGGTTATTCCCACCCCCACCCCATCCACACCCTGCCCACCCCATGAATTTGCTCACCTGATTCATCAGGTTTCAGGAAGGACTGAAGGATGTGAGCCCTGTCATGAGGTCAACAGAAGGTCTGGAGCATGGGAAGGACTTGAAAACCCTCTCTCACTGCAGTTCGCTCATGCCTCTGAGACCCGAGTGCACACCCCCAGCCAGGCACACAGCACCAACCCACACGCCTGGTTCCTTCCACCCTGACTCAAAGCCAGCATGTCCAAGTCCAGCCTGAATCCCCGCCATATCATTATCATACTCGGAGCCTGTGCAGCTTCTCAGCGACCTTCCCCTCATCCCCTTGAGGGCTACTTTTGACAGAAAGTGAGTCCAGAGGCGATGACTGGAAAGGCGGTGAGTGTAACTGGGTGGACCCAATCACAGAAGGCTTGCTGGAGGAGGAGGCAAAGGCTTGTGACTTCAATTGCAGACACAGCTATGAGAGGAGAGGTGAAAAATGGAATGCAGCCAGTATGGGGAGATGGTGAGACATGTCTGCAGATTACCCTGACACAACCTCAAGTGCTTTGTTCAAGGGACAGGGCGTTGGGGGAAGAAGGGACAGCCAGCCCCGCCCAGGCAGCGCAGCGCTGGAAGTCTGAATGGAGAGGGGTGAAGAGCTGACAGGGCCTACGTGCCGGTATGTGTCCTGACCCAACAAGCATCAGATGGCCTCCTCAGAGTGGGGAGTGGGAGCAGAGACCAAATTTATTAAAAAATCTTATCTGGAGGGTTTGCATTTTAATAGGCTCTGGATTTGCATATTTTAACAATAACCTCCGGTTCTTCTGTCTGGTCGGTGCTCACTGGCTGTCTCTCTAAATGATGATCGCCACCACTTCAATAAACCCTTCCTAATCCAAAGGTGCAACGCGCCACTTTGCTGGAGGAGGGAGGATTAAAGGGCCTTTCTCTCTGGGCTGGAAACAAGACTGTCCGGTGGTGACCCAATTCTGGCCTCTGGGCACTCTTGCTGCAAGGGCACAGATGAGGCAGGAGGGAACGAGGGTCATGACAGGGTGTGATGGAGGATTCAGTCATCATTTGGTCAGTACCTCCTGACCACCTACTGTGCATTGGGGCCATGCTGGGCCCTGCGTGGGCATCGGGAACTCCTCAGGGTGGAGACAAACAGACAAACAAATCCATATATCTGTCAGGTGTCTCTGAAATCACTGCTGAGGGTGTCCTGGAGTCAGAATTTTATGCTGACAACAGATGAGATTTCTTGAATCTCTAACCCCTCTCTATGGAACGCACCATATGCGATTTATTAAGGAGGTAATTAAAGCATTAATATATTTACAACAAGCTAGAAATAATGTGTGCCGCTTCTGCGGTTCCCCTGGGATCCAGTCTCACTAGGGCACTGCAGAAGCCCTCAGGCAAGGGTTCATTCTTTCCTCCCACAGCGACTCCAAGACTACTAAGCACAGCCCCTGGAATTCAACAGGGCCTGTGATTCAGACCCTGTCCTCCTGGGGCTTTAAACAAATAATTTCATCATTAATTAATTTGTTAATTACAATTTGCTAAGCGCCGGGAAGACAAATTTCTGGTGGAGGGCGGGGTCTCTGGAGAGTAAACCCACCTTTGATCCCCACAAGCTCACTGGTGAGTTCTCTGTCCTTATCGAGTTGGTTGCATCACCAGGCTTTTATCCCTATGGCTGAAAATTCTTGGTCTATCCCCTCAAAATTGCACAAAGCTTATCTTTAAAAAATGGACTGATGATCTTTCTGGAGATAGCACTAATGCACAGACCTGGGCAATGCTTAAAACACCTGATGATCCACAAAACGCCTGATGTCTGGTGGGGCAGATGAAGATGGGGACCCAGAAAGGCACCCCCAGGTCAGCGTCATGGGCAGGCCACCCCATGTGGCCACACAGGGCCCCACACTCAGAAGAGTCCTACTCTTGGGTTTCGTGCTCTGCAGTCTCCATCTTGAAATTCTTAACACTTTATCTTTGAATGTGTGCTTTGCAAATGAAGTCCATGGGGCTTGGAGTCTCTGCTCATGCATAGTTCAGCCTCTCTCTACCTGCCAGGTCCACCCATGTCCAGAGTCCCACCTGCAATCATTGCTGTACCAGCCAGCAGTGGCCTAGACACAGGTTAAGGGGATCAGGGTTGGTCACGTTCACCCTGTGGTAGCCCAGGCTGGCCGTGCTGTGCCACATCTGGCCAGCCAAAAGAGGCCATGACTCAGCAAAGATGAGTCTATTGCATAGATACCTAGCACGTCCCAGGCACAGAGTTTACAATACCCTTGAAAGTTTCCTGTCCACTGTGGGTTAGGACTGAGAGCCCATGGGAAGAGGTGATGTCTGGCTCGACTTCTCAGAGCCTACCCTCAGCTGGGGCTTGACACATCAGTCCATGGCCAATGAGAAGGGACCCCGGCAGTCCTCAGGCCCAAGGTTGCAGGTGGGACTCCAGGGGCCTGTGAGGGCCCCTGTGTCTGAGGCAGAAATCCCTTGGAAACTTCTCCTGCCTGGGGGACCTCTCTTGTAGGCTTCCTGAGTTTGGCTTGCGTTTCCAGCTGAAGGCACCCTCCAGGCATAAGCCACAAAATACAAACTGTGAAATTTTGATGACTCTGCATAGGAGGTAAATGCCCTGATATTTGCATTTAAAACTGGCATTGCACAAAATAAAGATGAACTGTAAAGTCTGTGCTAATAATTTAAAATTTATAGTTTTCTTTACTTGAAATGACATCAAATAGCAAATAAAAAAAATACCACGACAAATTGAGAGAGTGAGCAAGACCAAGAAGGAAAGGCTTTATATTTTAGTACTTTAATGACACTTTTTATTTTGGCGCTTGGAACAAGGGGTCCTGCAAATTATGTCTGTTTTCTCAGAGCAGTGATGCTGGTGGGATTAGGGCACAGTGAGCTCTAGCGTGCGGGTCTGCTGATTCACTGTTTCCATGACCATCGTGTGTGCTGGGGTGGGGTTGGAGGGCAGAGCATAAAACCTGAGTTATCTGGGTGGATAGGAACTGGTGTTGTCCTAAAGCACCAGGATAGATGACGAGCAGGGCCAAGTCCACACAAGCGCGTCCACAAGTAGGTGGGCAAGGACTGCCCCTCCTCAGAAACCACACAGGAATGGGGAGGTAAGAGCTGCCTTCCTGGTGAAGGCTGCAAATTATGTCTGTTTGGGGAAGATATGAATCTGTGTCTCCAGGGGTATTCCTCCAAAGCTTGGCGAGGTGAGCCCTTCTGCTGAGCAGGGAGCCAGGTATCTTCAGGCTCCAACACGTCCCAAAAGGAACCAGAAGGACCCTCAGCTCTGAGGTTTGAATAGTCACTCTGGAGAGCATTCTGGCCATCCCATGGGCCAGTCACCTCGGCTGCCAGCGCCTATCCTCCCTCTCCCCAGCTCCCTGCGGGGCATCAGTCCCCACCTTCCAGTGCAGGCTGACCTTTGCTGAGAACCTGCTCTTGCAGATTTCTTTCATGATCTCGTTCAATGCGAATCCCCCTGCTTCTGCCACAGTGAATTCTTTTAGGATGTCTGTGATGTCACATAGCACTAATCAGTTGCACACACGTACTCCAGGGAAGAAGCACAGTCCTGAGGCTGCCTCTGGGGATCCATGAGTAGGGGCCCTGATCTCCACTCTTGTTTGTGAAGTAAGTCTCTCTCCATCTCCATCTTCTTTTCTCTCTCTCCCTCCCTCTCTCTTTCTCTCTGTCACACACATGCACACACGCATGAGAGAGAGAAAGGAGTAGTGCAGGTTCATGTGTGACAATCAGGAAGCCTCCCTGTAGGAGGTGAGCTTCAAACCTAGACTTTGGGGGAATAGGAGGGTTTGGGTGCAATGAGGAGTGACAGGGAAGCTTTCCAGGTGGGGAGAAAGTCAACTCCATTATTTCAGAGACAGCACTGGGTGAGGGGGCCCTGCTGGGGCCCAGCGTGAAGCAGAGGGCACAGAGGTGGACAAGAGGCCAGCTCTGAGGAGGGCCCATGATCCCATGGGCAGTGACAGCTGTCCCGAGGGAGAGTGAGGCAGGATGAGTGCAGGAGTGGACCCCCCCTTGCCTCCCCGCTCCCCCCTGGCTTTTTCAGCTTTGGCTTTAAGCAGGCATCAGGCAGTGAAGGACAAGGGAGGCTCAGCCCCATCCCAAACCTCCAGGCCAACCCTTAGGACAGTGGTTGCTGCTGAAGGGGAAGCCAGGTGAAGACATTCCCCTCCTTTGGTGGCAGAATGCAGTTGGGCTCCACACCCCACACACAGGCTGGCCCTGCTCTGGCAGGGTGCTCATTCCAGCCTCGGGGAGTCCTAGTAAGGTAGGGGAGAAGAGACGTGTATAGGCAGGAAAATGTCGCTCACCAGCCCAGTGAGCTAGCCCAGGTCATACCAGGACCAGGAAAGGAGTAGTAGGAACTGGTGGGGTGAATCAGAGCCACCTTCTCAGACAGGGAGGGGCCCCTTGCACCCTGGTCCTCGGGAAAGGAGGCAGCAGAGACCTGCAGAGGCTGGTGGGAGTAGACTTGGCAGCACAGAACCAGAACCAGATGCAAGAGGAGGCAGGGGAAGCGGCGAGGTTGGGAGGGAGTCAGGAAAGAGCAGCTTGGCCTGTCTTTCTGTCTGTCTGCCCACAAGCCACAGGCCTCCCCTTCCAGAGGGAGCCACACTGGACAGGTGAAGCCTTTCGACCAGCTCAATCATCGTATTTATTCTAATTGTATCATAATCGTCCCCAAGGAGGCTGGTTCAAATGAGCTTGACATTATTAAAATTTTAATGCCCAGTTTTCATAGCTGAATGAATATTTAAAGGGTATGTCCCAGCTTAAGTTATGATGATGAAGAAATTAATGGAATGTCTTGTTTAATGCATGGATATGTGTTGATGCAAAAAGTGGCAGAGGGATGGGGAGGGGGAAGGGAGGCAGAGCCTGAGCGGAAGAGGAAAGGGGCCATCCACCTGCCCACCCCCTGCCGCAGGTGGGAGCAGAGACAGCTCCAGATCTGGGCCAGGCCCACTCGCTCCCTAAGAGGGGCGCCCGGCTGGAAGTAGAAACACAGTCCACAAGGGTTTGTGATGTCCCCGGAGGACTGACCCCAGGAGCCTCCAGGGAAGCTGCAGGTAGCTGTTCCTGACCCAGGGAAGGCAGGCCTGGCTCACCAAATCCCCTTCAGGCACCTGGAGGAAGACACCAACTGAAGGCCACAGGGCCTCCATGGGGACACTGAGGACATCTCTGAAAGAGAATCAGCAAGGAAGGCTCCTGCACCCCAGCCCAGATTCCCAGCAGCCACAAGCCACAGGGCCCTCCGGGGAGGACAGCGCACTGGTGGAGAGGAGTAGCTGACAGAGGAGCAGAGACGGGGGCAGGAAAAGCACCAAAGGGGTCCTGAGGCCATGGCCAGGGTCCCAGGGGGCAAAGTTACAAGAAGGGCAAGGAGATGGCAACTGGCCTTCTGGTCTTCCTCCTGATCTCACTCCTGGCTCTTCCCTCCTCTCCTGGCTCTTCCCCTGACCCCTCTGCTCTCCCTTGCCCTCGCCCTCTCCGGCATTCTCTTCACCTCTCCCCTCGCTCTGTCGTCATGCTCTGCCTTGTTCTCTCCCGATCTCTGCAGCCTGGCCCGGCCTCCTCTCCCAGGACAGATGTGCTCCATCCTCCTCCCTCTTCAGGGCAGAGTCAGGGCTGAGTGAGGCTGGCCAAGGACCAGGGGAGGGAGGAAGGTTTCTCTTCAGGCCAGGGCCACCTGTACAGAGCCTGCTCCAGCTGAGAAATCTTCCCGACCAAGACTGACACTTTATTTCTGCTGAGAATTAAGAAAGCACAGGGCCGTATATTATCTCACCATCTAGCCCGGCACCTCTCTGACAAGCCCCTCAAAGGCTGTCTGGATGCTGACCACCATCAGATTATAATGGCACATGGAAAATGACCCCAGGAGCCATGGCTGCATGGGAACCAATTCCGTTCTCCTTTACCAATCTGTTTAGAGCACCCCATAGGTGCCTAGCCCATGGCTGAAGGCAGCTGGGAGGCTGGATGAGACTCCATGTCCCTGCTGTCAGAAAGCCCACAGTAAAACTGGAGGGAAGCAGAGGGGCCTGTGTGTGAGGGGTGAGCCCAACAGCACGCCATGGAGGAGGTCTGCCTGCACCATCCAGGGCCCGTCTGGTTGGGAGGGCTCCTGCAGCAGGGATGTTAGGCCAAAGCATCACAGGTGCCCAGATGCCAAGGACAGTGGGCTGGCTGCCTGCAACTGGGGTGGCATCTAGGGTGGAAGCCTCCAGACACAGGGAGATTTCATTTGCCCAGTTTAATTTACCATGGAAAATGGGACCCGTCATTTCAGAAATAGCTCTATCCTGGCCAGGCGAATCCGCAGGACTCACCCCAGCTGCTCTCAGGCCCGACTAGAGAAGACTGGCTGTAAAACACAGAAACAAGGTGCCAGGAAAGGAGTCTCCTCCAGTGGTCCCAGCCTTCCTCCCACACAGGATGAGGCCCCTAGGGATGTGGGGTCTGCCTAGCATGCTCTGGCCCTAGGAATGGAGTCTCCTGCCTCAGGAATGGCCTCACTCCCCCGTTGGGACAGAGCGACAAAGCCCAACAGATTCTGGTTCACACCCCTGTGCCTGCCCCTTCTCAGCCAGGCCTTCCTCCCAGCCTTGCAGGGGAAGCCTGAATTCCCCATCTGGCTCCCTGCTCTCCTCTCTTTCCCCCACACTCCTGGCCTCTGCTTGGAACTTTCCTGGACCATCCCAAGCCCATTCCACCTGTTCCCAGCATCTCTTAAATGAGTAGGCAGATGTCAGGAGTCCTGGGTTCATCTTGATATCACCATTTACAACCTTTGTGACCTCAGGCTAACTTCTTAACCTATCTGAGACTCCATTTCCTTGACTGAAGTTAGAGATAATCTATTTGCATACATCACAGGAGAAGTTGTGATGATCTAGCAATGCGATCAGTATAGCAGCTGTTCCTGTTCTCAGGGGTGTTATGGATCCTTGGGGAGGCCTGGGTCACTTAAGCACCACCTCCACTTGCAAGTCAATTTCCAGCCTTGAGTGTACCTTTTTAATGGAAAACAGGGAGCTCCTTGTAGTACCCTTCCCAATGGGGTACCAACCAGGCTTCATGAACTAGGGGGCTTATTCGTTGGCTAGAGCTGTCATAGCAAAGTACCACAGACCAGGTGGCTTAAACAACGGAAATGTATTTCTCACAGCTCCGGAGGCTGGAAGCCCAAGATCAAGGTGTGGGCAGGATTGGTTTCTGGTGAGGGCTCTCTTCCTGGCTTGAAGATGGCGGCCTTCTCGCTGTGTCCTCCTATGGTTTTCTCTCTGTGTGCACATCCCTGGTGTCTCTTCCTCTTCTTGTGAGGACATCAATCATATGGGATGAGGGCCCTACTCTTATAACTCCATTCAACCTTAAGTACCTCCTTAAAGGTACCATTTCCAAATACAGTCACAATGGGGGTTAGGGCTTCACTGTATGAATTTTGGCGGGACACACTTCAGTCCATACAGAAGCTAAGTGGACTAGGCTCAAAGAATGAATAGACTGTCAAGAGGAGGAGGCTGGGAGGGACAGCAGGGAGCTTGAAGGCCCAGGGAATGGACTTGGGGGAGGAAGGTGCCAGGATGTGTGGTGGGAGTGGTACAAGAGGTGGTGGGGCCAGATTTTGTGGGGTGGGGGTCAGGCAGAAAAGATGCTTGATTTGCTGGCCCAAAGAACCTGGCCTCAATCTCCCTTTATGGAATGGGTACTTTTCCCACTTACTTCCTCCTTGGTCCTCTCCTCCTGGAGCAGCTGAGGTCAACTGAGATAAAATATGACAAAGCTAAAGGCCGTTGTGTTGGTAGCACTCATGTGCCTACTCATCCTGGCTGAATCCCAGCTCTGCCGCTCCTCAGAGCTTTGTTCTTCTCATTGAAAAGATGGATATAATAATCCCTACCTCAGAGAATTGTAAAATTACATAAGCAGAAAAGCTGTAGAAATCTGTCCAAGAGAGCATCAGGGCTGGAACTGGGTCCAGGTCAGTCCTTAAGACCTGTTTGGGGGAGAAGAATGCTACAGGTTTCAGGGAAGGGAAGGCTAGGAGGGCGGGGCATTCCAGGAGGACATGGCAGCCTAGGAAAGGGTGAGATGCTGAGTCCCAAACAGTACTGGACAGGGAACCAGGAGCAACCTGGCTCCCTCCTGGAGCCCCTCTCCCATAGCCAGATGCCTGGGCGGCCTTCTGGATCTTTCCCTCAAAGACTGGAAAGGAGCTCGTTCACAGGGAACCCAGGAACTTCATTACGTTCCTCCTTCTTCTCCCTGTGATTGGAATTTGCTGTAACATGGCAGAGTTCTCTGCTGCCAGGGCTTGGGAACAAAGTATCTTGCTTCCCCTCAACTCCATAAGGGATGTCAAGTGGGGACCTGGTGGTGAACAATGACACCCTCGCCCCTCTCGGTGGGCTGGCCCTGGCATCCTCCCCTGCTGCCTCTGGCTACCTGTGCCTCCTTCCTTGTCGGCTGCGTCCTGCCTCCCATCTCTGTCCTTCCCGGCCACGGCTCTGCCCTTCCACTGGCCTTGTGCTCACCTTGCTGAGTCACAGGCACCCATACTCCCCCACCCAGTTGTCCTGACGCAGCCAAAACTCACTTCGAGTCCTAGAGCAGAAGGTAGGAGGAAGCTTGTGACTGGCTGGTCCAGCCGCTGTACGGGAGGGAATTGGCAACGGAAGGTCTCAAAGCGCAGGACAGACATGCAGAAATCACCCCACAGGCCCCACTTCCCAGCCATGTCCTGCCACGTGGTGGCCTTGGGAAGCACCTGAATGCCTCTTGGCCTCAGCCTCTCCATCTCTAAAATGGGGGTGTTTGTACCTGCCCCACTACCTCTCTGAGTCTGAGTTTGTGAGAGAAATGCAGATGCAAGAAGGGCTCAGGGAGGTGCGTAAGGGCAGAAGCACTGGTGAAGACATCAGGTCAGAATCCGCTGGCGTGATCCTCCTCACGTTTGTTGCTTAAACCACTCTGAGACCTCCGGGCTGTAGAGCCCACCCTGGTGCCTCCCGGTGAGCCCTGAAGCCAGGCAGCCAAGCCCGGGATGCTTGGAGTCCAGAGACCCCTAGTGCCCTGAATGGGCCATTGACACAGATCCCCGAGAGGGAAGAGAGAGGCCGGCGGCTAGGGGAGTCAGGCATTGCTCTCCTGTCCTCCTGGCACCCAGACACCACAGGGGACAAGTAGCTGTGCCCACTCCACGCACTCCCTGAGAGAACAGCCCTGGCTGCAATATGGAGCCCCAGCCCTGAGCTCTGCTTTAACCATGGAGCTGGACGGCCCAGAGCCTTGGCCACGCCTGACCCATAGGCCACTTCTGCGAGCTGGTACGGGCTGGGATCAAGCTGGATGCCCTGGCCTGGGTGGGGTCCATCTGCAGCCAGTGACCAGCTCATTTCCATAAAGGCAGATGTTTGAGTGAACCAGGGCTGAGCCAAGGGTGTGCTTTGGTGACACAAAGGCCTGTGTGACACAGAGGGACAGGCCAGCATTTCTGTCAACCTCAGATTCTGATATCAAAGGCTAGTAGGAGCTGCTGCTCGGAGTAGGAGGAGGAGGCATCTCAAAGTCTCCTGTCCAGAGACACCCCCCTGAAAGAATGGGGCCATGGGGCCGTGCCGTCGAGGGGAGACGGGCAGCACTTTGGTGAAGGTGTGTGTGCTTGCAGCAGCATGTTGTGGGAGCGCGTGTCTGTGGGTGCAGTCTGTATACTCGCATTCACCTGTGCACCTGAGTGCTGGGTGTCTGTCCCCTCACCCGCAGGCCTGCTATAATGCTGTCCCCCTCTGCTCTGTTGCAGATGAACCGGCCGATCCAGGTGAAGCCTGCGGACAGCGAGAGCCGAGGAGGTAGTAGCTGCCTGCGCCAGCCCCCTTCACGTGAGGGCCCACTTGTCTCTGCCCCTCCCCCTCCCCCTCTCACTCCTCCCTCCTTTTCCCGACGCAGCAAGGCGATGCAGCGACTCCCCGCCTCCTCCTCTTGCCCCTCTGGGGATCTCGTGGCTGAGGGTTGGGGACAGAGCTTTGGAGCTCTGGGTGACTGGTGTGGAGAGAGACAGGAGGGAAGGGGGGTGTTTGGGGTCTTCCAGACGGTGCGGTTTATGCGTCTCTGAGTAAACAAGTGCCATGTCCCAGGATATTCTTCTCCCCTCCATTAAAACACCCAAAAGGGTGTGCCCACCTCGATGTGGACAAGGAAAACCCCACCGTGATGGGGCTTGTGCAGTTAGAAGGGAGACAAGAAGTGGTCACAGCTGTGCTGTAGGAGGATTCAGGCCAAGGAGGCAAATCTGAGTGGTCCATGGGAGTGTGGGCACTCAAGGCCAGCACTGAGGCAGAGATCCTGGAGATAGAGGCAGGCAGTCAGACAGGTGTCTGGAAAGGGACAGAGGGGAAGGACACAGCCTCACTCCACAGACGCTTGTCCTAGAATGTGGAGCCCACTGGAGACTGGCCGTGGAGAGCCTGAGTAAGGGAATGCAGCACCTTGAGGCTCACCGCTGGAAGGGTTAGGCAGACGGCCAGCCAGGGGCAGCTCCGTCACCAAGTGACAGCATCCTCTTGGCACAGTGCCTGTGTGTCTGTACTGCCCCCCCCATCCCAGCCACAGGGTTAACCAGGGCCCACCCTAGGCACAGCCCTGGCCCTAGGCTCCCCTAGATGAGATTCAAACATACTCTGACATTAAAAGAAAATGAAAGGCAAGGACATGGCAAAGAAAATACATCCAGCATCCAAGATCAGGCCTCCCCTACCCGGGCACCAGCTCCTCCTGCAACAAACTGCCCCAGTGATACAGAGCCCATCACACCTCACCTGTGGGAGAGAAACAGACTCCCCAGCCCCATAGGGTAGAAGAATGTGCAGGCCCCTGCCAGGTGCCCTCTTCCTGGCCCACCTCCTTGGGAGAAGGGCATTGTCCTTCTTGATCACTAGTCCCCGGCACTCACACTGAGCCTCATCCCCTCTGGGCCCTGCCCAGACGTTGCTCTGAACTGAGCTCTCAGCCACTTCCCCGGAGAAGGGGGCCAAACGGAGGCTCCGAGCAGGTGAAGGACCCCCGAGTAGAGACTCTGTCCTCTCCACCATCTAGGGCCCCCAGCCCAAGTTCCCACAGAGGCACAGCCAGGCAGTGAGCCAAACAGCCATACAGAAGTGAGACACTCCCAGAGGACAGACGGGCGGTGGCTTCCTACCTCCAGCCTCCTCCCACTATGGGAGAGACCTTGGCTGCTCTTCCGCCAGAGACAGGAGCAGCCCGGAAAGGGTTTAGAAAAATTGAGAACACCCATGAGGCCACCAAGGGGAGCGTAAGGAGTTGGGGCCTTTTTTTTTTTTTTTTTTTTTGAGATGGAGTCTCACTCTGTCGCCCAGGCTGGAGTGCAGTGGTGTGATCTCGGCTCACTGCAAGCTCCGCCTCCCGGGTTCACGCCATTCTCCTGCCTCAGCCTCCTCAGCAGCTGGGACTACAGGCGCATGCCGCCACACCCAGCTAATTTTTGTATTTTTAGTAGAGATGGGGTTTCACTGTGTTAGCCAGGATGGTCTCAATCTCCGGACCTTGTGATCTGCCCGCCTCGGCCTCCCAAAGTGCTGGGATTACAGGCGTGAGCCACCGCGCCCAGCTGGAGTTGGGGCCTTTTGTTGCCCTGAGAAGGTGACATTAGGTACAGCCTCCAAGGTGGCCCCAGCCTACCCTTCCCCCCGCCAGGGCTGGGGTGTCCAGCATGAGGGCCCAGGTAGTAAGATGGGACAGCCAGTCGCAGCTGCCCTCCACCTCCCAGCCAGGAGCTCTTGGCTTCTGCCAACCCTGCCACACCCTGGGCTCTGGCCCAAGTGTCCCTGTTCACCACCCTCCCCTGGCCCAGGCCCAGGCCCAGGCCCAGTGCTCTGGGTTTCTCCCTGCTCTTTAGATCAGCCAGGAACCGAGGAATTTCTCTCCCCCTCATTTCTCAGAAAGTTTACCGGGAAATCAAGGGCAAAATGTCGAGCAGGTGAAAGCTACTTGCAAATTTGGAGAGCCAGTTGTCCTGGAGGGTGCTGTGGTGTGGCCGCTGGTGATCTGTTCATCCTTGGGGCCTGTGCCTGCTCAGAACACTCCTTCATCCCCTCAGTCAGGCCTCTGCCCTCCAGCCCCAGCAGGGCACTGACTTAGGCACAAGGCCTCTAGGACTCAGGCCCCCTCCCAACCCGGACCTCAGATCCTACCCACTAGGGCTTGGGCTGGTGTCTTGGGGCTGCCTGAAGGGATCCCATGCCCCAGGGCATAGACGCACCTCCTCACACCAATGGAGTGCTCTGGTCCTAAGGACCCCGGTAGTCAAGGTCCAGTTGGTTGAGGGTTAGAGATGCTTCAGGCGTGAGGGGCCCACGTGAGCGAAGCCCATGTGGTTTGTGCTGCCTGCTCCTGTCCCTTCCTTGGCAGTGAGAGGAGTGCCATCCTCACTCAGCCTCGTCCAGGGCACATGAGGCCCACAGCAGTGCGAGGGGTGTCTCCTGGAGACCGTCACCCAGGCACACAGTGACTCACCTGCAGCCCCCAGTTCACACGGCCCGGCCAGGAGGCAGTGACACACGGAAGCTGTCATGGATGGGCAGGAAAGCTGGGATAGTAGGTGCCAGCAGCAGTTCCGGAGAGGAGATCCCCCAGGCGGGGGCAGCCAGAGGCCTCAGGGGAGGTGGCCCTTCTGGTCTTGAAGGTGGGAGATCCCACAGCTTGAGAAGGGGGGATGGCATGAACAAGGGCCACCGACCCAGGCCTCTGAGGGCCATAAGGAGGTGCCATCTGGTGTGGAGCAGGCAGGTCAGAGTCCAGGCCATTTTCTCCAGCACTGGAGAGGGATGTCTGGAATCCCCTCTGCCCAGCAAGGCCGTGCTGGGCTCTAACTCAAACCTTTCTCTCCCTGAACTTGCCTCAGAGGCAATAGCTCTCTGACTCCAAGATGCTAACCTCATCGGCTTTCTCCCATATATCTCCTGTGGCTAACACTCGCCCCAAACCAGATTACTCAGCTCTTTTATTCTTCTTGCAGTAGAAAGTGGGGGGGGGGGGAGGTGTAGGGAAAGCCAAACCTAAACATCTTTCTATTAATTGCATATTCAATATTAAACAGTGAGATGGCCCTGAGTCAGCACTATCACCAAGCTGTGTGGTTTTTTTTTTAAAAGAAAGTTAGTTTAAAATAATTTAATAGCCATTAAATACTTCTGGGGAGAAGGGGAAGGGGGGAGAAGTGAACATTTTAGAAGATTAAAGAAATAGGCAACAGGAGAGGGGAATGGAGAGAAGGAATGGGAGAGGGGTGGAGGAGGTGGCATGACGGCAGCGGGCAGGAGGAGAGGAGAGAAGGGAAGGAGGTGAGAAAAGTAGAGAGGTGAGGGGATAAGCGGCAGGAGGAGGAGGGGGAGCGAGGCCTTGAAGACAGTGGGTGAGGGAAGACTGGGGCACAGTGGTGCGAGGGGAGCAGAAGCCAGCAGTGGCCGCAGAAGGAGGGGGAGGGTCAGCCCCAGCCCTGGCTCAGCAGTGAACCAGGTTACGAGTCCCCGAAACCCAGAGGACACAGGACACCCATCCACAGCTGCCCTCCAGGCACACTTGAATGCTCATAAGCAGCACAGAAAGATGTCTTATCTGCTTAGGATTTGGGGAACATGCGGGGCCTTTGGCCAGGGGGCAGGAGGAAGGCTTCTCTCCACCTCGCCCAGCACAGAGCAGGCTGCAGCCCACTGCATGGCCATATCGTGGTTCCACCTTCTCATCCCCCATCTCAGGCCTCTAGACACATTCCCGGTCACATCCACCCACACACATGAGGTGTGGGGGTGTCTAGGGATGGGCATGGCGGAGAGTTGGCAGGTCTGTGTGCACAGGAGAGGCTTTGTAACTTTCAGGGCTCCTGTCTCTGACACACATGGATTGCTGGCTGAGGCTGACAGGCCACTGTCCTATCAGGAGCAGTTCAGGGAGCTCTTTTTTCTTTGGTGTGAGGGCAGTGCCAGCCTTGCCTCTGGAGGGGTTGGAGTGGAGATACAAGTACAGAGGGAAGTGGAGCTGGCTGAGTGCTTGGCTGGAGCAAGCACCAGGAAGAGTCCAGGAAGAGTATAGGATGCAGTTCTTGTTTTTGTGGAAGGTTCTTATCCGGAATGAGCTCCAGCTGAGGCACACCACCTTCTCTGGGCCTCCATCTCCTTACCTGGGGGTCTCAGGAGTCATTATCCACAAAGCTGTTATTTACAGAACACTGACTGAGTGTTAGGGATTTTATGGAAATATGGTTTTGTTTTGTTTTTGAGATGAAATGAAACTTTGCTTTTGTTGCCCAGGCTGGAGTGCGATAGCACGATCTTGGCTCACTGCAACCTCCGCCTCCCGGGTTCAAGTGATTCTCCTGCCTCAGCCTCCGGAGTAGCTGGGATTACAAGTGTGCGCCACCACGCCTAGCTAATTTTTGTATTATTAGTAGAGATGGGGTTTTACCATGTTGGCCAGGCTGGTCTTGAACTCCTGACCTCAGGTGATCCTTCTGCCTTGGCCTCCCAAAGTGCTGGGATTATAGGCATAAGCCACCGCGCCCGGCCGGAAATATGTTTAATTTATACAGCAACCTCAAGGTATGGATGTTCTTGGCCCCACTTAAAGGCACAAACCAAGGCACAGAGAGGCTAGATAACTTGTTCCAGGGCACACAGACAGAAAGTGGCAGAACCAAAATTCCAACTCCTACCTGTCAGCCACCAGAACCCAGATTACCTATATTCCTCTCACTCCCAGGAGGGCTTCTCGGACTCTGGGTGGCCTAGAGGCAGTGGGAAGACACCACAGACATTTGTCTCACCTTTAGGCCCATTCTCAAGGTGGCTGAAGTGAGAGGAGCAGGGTTCCAGGTGAGGGAGGCAGGGCTAGGCTGGACAAGGAGCTCCCAGACCTACTCATGAGACATGAAAGACCAGGGTAGGAGTGGGTCAGAGAAGAGAGAATTCACTGTGGCCTGGAGCAAGCAGGAAGGGCTTCCTGGAGGAGGTGGGAATTAGGAATTAGATCAAGAGGTGGAGAGCTGGGATACAGTGAGGACACAAAGTTAAAATGGGGCCTCGAACACAAGGCCAAGGGGTTGGGCTTGTCACCATTGGAAGCAGGAGCACTGATCCTGGGCAAGAGATCACAGACAGAGAGAGGGCTGGAATGTCCCTGGGCAGGAAGAGAAGAGAGAGGGCCCCTGCTACCACCACCAGGATCTGGGGTTCCAATTAAGTAGGGAAGGAAGGCCAAAGAAGAGCCTCCCCAGGAGTCATCTGTCTGCATGGGGGATCCAGTTATCCCCAAAAGCACACTGGAGCAAGTTGTATTTAAACTCAGATTTATCCCCAATATAAGCAAACCAATTCATTAACCAGTGATGCTGGCTGGGGACAGAGCCAGGTGGAGAGCAGGCCCCTCCCTGCCTGCCCTGAACATGGCAGCTGGCCCCCTCAGAGGTGATGATACCTCCCTAGGGCATGCGCTGCAGTGTCCTATGCCTCCTGGCAGGCAGACACACCCCACCCCAAGACCCCATGCTGGGGTCTTGCTCATGCTGGCTCATGCTCAGCTTCTAAATGGAGTCTCCATGGGTGTCCCTAGGAAGCTGCCCTGCAGCCCTGACCACTTCCTCTCCTCCCAGGTCTCAGTCCAGGTGACAGGACAGTTCCCCCACCAAGGTACCTCCTGCAGCCAGGTTGTAGGGCCTCCTTTCAGGGAGTCAGAGATGAGGGGGTAGAGGCTCTGACTACCATGGCCTCAGGCAGCCAGCTTGCTTGGAAAGCTCCTGGGCTGAACGGATGTGTGTGCCCACCCCGCTTAGTGGGCCGAAGAGGATCAGCAGCCAGACAGGGGCCCTGAAGGAGGGGACGAGTGGCTGATACCTGGGTCAGGTATAGCAGACTGCAGATGCGTGCTATCTCCCCTGTGTCCCTGGGGAGGACGTTTCTTTCCCGCCTCCCTGGGTGCATGTGCGGAACTGGGCGTGTGTCTGCAGTGCCTCTGTCAGTGACCATGAGTGCATGGCACACTGGGGGGTGCTCCATGGGAAAACTGTGTGACAGCACCCTGGGGTCCTCCAGACACAGAGCAGACAAGGCCCACTTTGGCTAAACCCCAGTGTGATGGTTACTGCTAGGAGGTGGGGACGGTCTTTGATGATGCTGGCTGGGGTGGGGCACAGACTGGGACCACCAGGTTTTATCTCATCAACACGAAATGACAGAAAAGCCAGCAAGGTGGCTGGCTGGGGAGAAGTTAGAAACCATGAAGAGTTGGGAGGAGAGTCCTGGGAAAGAGGGGACTTGAGGACTCCCTAGGGGCTGCCACCTGCCCGTGCTCATCTTGTCTGTGTTTCTGGGCCTGTGTCTGCCTCTGTCTCTGTCTGTCCTGTGGGCTCCCTTTGTCTCTTTCTACCCAGTGGCCACATGAGAACCAAGTGGAAGCTCTGTTCAGCAGGGCCTTGGGGATAACAGGCCCAACTCTTGTCTCCCAAGGCACAGGCTTGGGAGGGAGCGGGTCTAGCACTGGGGAGTCCATCCAGAGGGAACACAGCAAGAAAGAAAACCACCTTCCAGGGTCTGCCACCCTCTCCAGGAACCCAGAACTGAAAAGCACACGACACACAGACACACACAGGTGGCCACCTGCACAGCAGAATCGGGCCCGATTGCATAGAGAAGCTGCCAGATGAAACCACCGGCCGACAACACACTTCTGGCTGTGGCAAGTGAGGCCCGGGCTGGAGGTCCCACCACTGAGAGGCTCCCGAGTCTCTCCCTGGTCAATGGGAGCCTATTTTCCTTCAGGGGCTTCTATCAGGCCCAGGGCAGATCAGCAAAGCAGGCAGCTGAGAACTGAACCCAGGAGAAGCAAGGTAGGCAGGTGAAGGCAGGCAGGGCTGAGCTGGCCGTGAGAATGTCCTGTTGTTCCCCCCACAAGCTGCAGGGGAGGCTGGAGGACGGAAAGGGGAGCAGCCTGGGGCACCAGCCAGGAAGGGGGCCCTGGCAGGGTGGTGGCAGTAAGCTATCTGCAGAACCCCTGGGACGTTTCAGAGGGTGAATGAACATCTTTTATGTTCCCCTACCCTCCCCAAGTCCTGCAGAATTGCTCATCTTCCTCCCTTGGCCTCTGTATCTGGACCTGGGAGCCCATGCCCGTGTATCTTTCTTTCCTTTTCTTTCTTTCTTTTTCTGTCTGTCTTTCTTTCTTTTGAGACAGTCTCACTCTGTCACCCAGGCTGGAGCGCAGTGGTGCTATCTAGGCTCACTGCAACCTCCACCTCCCAGGTTTAAGCGATCCTCCTGCCGCAGCCCCCAGAGTAGCTGGGATTACAGGTGCCCGCCACCATGCCCAGCAAATTTTTGTGTGTGTGTATTTTTAGTAGATACAGAGTTTCACCATGTTGGCCAGGCTGGTCTTGAACTCCTAACCTCAAATGATCCACCTGCCTCAGATTCCCAAAGTGCTGGGATTATAGGCGTGAGCCACCGTGTGGCCGGAAGCCAGTGTTTCTTCCCTCCCTGCACTCCTGCATCTTGTGTCTCTGTGTCCCTGTCTCTCAGCCTGTCTCTGGTGGTACCTGGGCAGGGTGAGGAAGGCATGAGAGGGTTGGGGTCAGGTGTGACAGCCTGGGAGGCATCCCTGAGACAGCTGCTGGCCAAGTGTCCAGCGTTCCTGCAGCCTTTAGGTGCTCCCAGCATACTTCACAGGGTCTTCAGGGCATCCCCCCTCACCATGCCAGCACTGATGTGGCAGCGGAGTCCCGCTGGGCCAGCTAATGAGGTTGGATACAATGTGAGTGACTGGGCTCCCAGGCCCTCCCTGAGGCCACGTTCCCCACCATAAACCCGTGGCCGATTGCATCCTCCTGGCCCCTCCACCATCTGTAGCCCTATCGGTTCCTGCGGCTTTTAAAATCCTATTAAATTCCTCATTACTCCTCCGAGCATTATTTTATTTCTAAACAGACACAGACAATGTGTTGTCTGCAAGGGCTTCAAGGGCCCCACCAGCTGTGGAGTGCGGGCCTGGGTGGGGGCAGCGTCCAGTGGCTGCGGTGGGACAGGCTCTGGGGCATGGCTGGGGAGACCCCTAGCCACAACTGCTGACTTTTGGTACTGGGTTTCTCCCTTCCAGAATCTTCTAGCTATTCTCTCCCACACTAGGAAGGCAGTTTAGCGAGTGTGCAGATGAACTGGATGTGCAAGCTGGCCCCGCTTTACAAAAATTCAATATACAGAAGTGTCAATTTTCCAATCTTAGGAGTCAGCGAGTGACTCACTGGACAAAAGCATCTGGGTGCACAGAAACTTCTCAGAGCTCTGCTGAGGAAGCCCTCGGCCCAGGCAGGAGGGGCTGCAGAGAAACATCCAGAGGGCTGGGACCACAGCACGTTGAAAATTAATCTGAAATTACGCTGAGTCCATAAGAAACTAAGAGCCTCCTCCCAGGTCCAGCATGTCCTTACCCATTGATTTGGTGTTGGTTTGGACTCTGCCTGGGAGACCCTGGGATGAGCAGAGCTAACCCCACCCCAGCATGGAGGGTGCAGTCTGAGAGAGAAGGCGTCCAGTGACTGAAGGAGAAGGAGTCTGCCCCTCAGAGCCGGAGACCCCCACCCTCACCTGCCCACCTGCTTCCACACTTTTCTGTCCCACAGAGGCCTCCGAAAGGTGGGCTGTGTGTGGGCTCCACTTGTGGCCCCTGTATATGTGTTTTGGGGGCTACATATCCTTGTTCCAGACCCTGCTCCAGACCTGGACGTCCACAGCTCATCACCATAGCCCTTCCACAGCCATGTCCTTGGCCAAGGGTCCTGGGGAGGCATCACAGGAAACCAAGGGGAGTTTGGATTGGGGAATAGTTATCTGCCCAGTTGGCCAGGACACAGCACCTCCTAGGCCTGGGGGGTGGGCAGGAGCCCTTGTGTCTACCCTACCCCTACCCTATGAGTCTGTCTCTCACCCAGCTTCCATTTTAAAACATTTTTAAGAAGTAAAACAACTCCACAGCCTCTTTCAGTCTCCTCTCCATGCCTTGGGCTCCTGCTTTGCCTGCCTGTCCTGCCCTATCCCCTACCTGAATTTCTCAAGCTATAGGTGGGCATGTTTTCCCTTGAACACCAACCAGTGCCAAGCGTATGTCCTGACAGATCTTTTGTATACTTGAATCCCAGGTTTATTGGGGGCTGATGTTTAAGAAATGACATTACAACACAAGAGGTTTGTGTGAGACATAAGACAGCATGGCCGGGCAGTCCGTGGTGCTCAGACAGGCGCTGTGCAGGTGGTTTGAAAGTTTAGGAAGGGCTGAAGGATTAGCAACTGGCCAGATTAGCAACTGGCCAGGCCCAGCTGCTCGCCCAGGGTATGACTTCCTTGATGGTCAGGAAGTTCTGTCACCTATCTGACCACATTCCCTGCCATTTTTGCTTTAGCATTTCCAGCCATTAGGTTCCCTAGATCACAGTGCAGCATTTCTCTGCCCTGGGGTTTTATTCTCAATGATCCCTGTTCCTTCTTTTTTTTTTTTTCTTTTTTTTTTTTTTTTTTTTGAGACGGAATCTCGCTCTGTAGCCCAGGCTGGAGTGCAGTGGCGTGATATGGGCTCACTGCAAGTTCCACCTCCCAGGTTCATGCCATTCTCCTGCCTCAGCCTCCCGAGTAGCTGGGACTACAGGCGCCCGCCACCATGCCTGGCTAATTTTTTGTATTTTTAGTAGAGATGGGGTTTCACCATGTTAGCCAGGATGGTCTCGATCTCCTGACCTCATGATCCTCCTGCCTCGGCCTCCCAAAGTGCTGGGATTATAGGCATAAGCCACCGCGCCCGGACGATCCCTGTTCCTTCTGACTTAATTTTTTTTTTTTTTTTTTGAGACGGAGTCTGGTTCTGTCGCCCAGGCTGGAGTGCAGTGGCATGATCCTGGCTCACTGCAACCTCCGCCTCCCGGGTTCAAGCAATTCTCCTGCCTCAGCCTTCTGAGTAGCTGGGATTATAGGCGCGTGCCACCATGCCCAGCTAATTTTTTGTATTTTTAGTAGAGACGGGGTTTTACCATCTTGGCCAGGCTGATCTCGAACTCGTGACCTCGTGATCCACCCGCCTCAGCCTCCCAAAGTGCTGGGATTACAGGTGTGAGCCACCAGGCCAGCCCTTCTGACTTAAAATTTAAGAGAATCTTTATCTCCTTTCTTTCTTAAGCCCCTTTGTAAAAATAAGTTTTAAAAAGCTAGGAAGCCTCTTCTATTTACACAACTGGACCCAAACAGCAGCTGCGTGAAGAATTGGTCTTCGTGGTTGGGGAAGGAAGTGGCTGGTGGGGAAGAGTTCCCAGAGAGGGCCCTGCAGAGGCACCAGCGGAGCAGGCACACATTATAAATACGTCTGTAACTCCTGCCATAGGTGCGAAAATATAATTAACTGCAAACCTGCTGAATTTAAATGGACTTTAGATTTTCAGCTGTGGGAGGGGGTGTTGATTGATCTGCATTTTGTTTTTGAAGTTTTTTTAATCCATTTGGAAAGTTAAGTTGAGACTCGCAGCTCCTCGACAAATTCCCTGTGGCCCCGGCTAATTTAGCAAAGGATTGTTTCAGGGGAAATGGGATATTAATCATAGCAAATGGGCTTCTGGATGATATTTAAAAGCTGCCTCATGCCTGTGTGCCCAGGAATAGGAATGACAGAGAGAAGGCACCACGGCCTTCTCGTGTCCCATCCCATCGCCACTCCCATGTCACTACCGTCTGGCCCGGCCACTATGTGAGCGTGGAGGAGAGAGACCCCCACTTCCTTGGGAGATGGGCGAGAGGAGAGAAAGTTCCCAGGCAATCCTCCCAGGGCTAGGTGGTGTCCTCCACACAGCACAGAGTGAGCCCTGGTGTACCAAGTGAGCACTGAGTGAGCCCTGAACGTGATGTATCCAGCGTCCCCCTGGCCCCGGCACACCGCACTGGGAACAGCCTGATAAAACACGGGAATGGCAGGGTGTGCAGGGACAGGTGATTGGGGGGAGGGACAGGAAGAGGGATGAGACGGCATGAACCAGAGAGATCAGAAGTGGTAGCACCTGCCTGGCCTTCAGAGGGGAGGAGGATCTGAGCACGGAAGAGCTCAAAGAGCAGAGCTTCCCGAGTGGGAAAATAATCTGAACTAAGGCAGGCTTGGAAGACCCCAAGAGGCCAGAATGGGGGGCCTACTTTGCAGGGGAGCAATGATTTCCAGAAGCTGCTTTAAATGGATACATTTAGGTAAAGGGAAGCCATCTAAAGCTTTTGGGCAGGGGAGTTATGTGATAGAAATGGAGTTTTGGAAGCAGTCGTCTAGGCCTGCTGAACTGGATAGAGGGAGGGAGCGAGAGCAGGCGGGGAGCAGGGACCTGGCTGGGCTTCACTGCCCGCCAAGCCCTCTGGTCCCAGTTCCATCCCCTTCTCACAGTGCTGTCTTGCCCCGAGAGCTGCATCATCCTATTGCAAAGTGGATGGTGACACCCCTTCGGAGCTGCCACGGGAGAAACATAGTTGGTGAACTATGGAATCTTCCTTGATGACAGCTGTTGAAGTTGTCATTTTATTTTTATAGTCCAGTCCATGGGAAAAGAGAGGAGGTGGCAGGGGTGATGACCTCTGGCAAGGTTTGATTGACAAGTGCAAATAGAAATCATACTGCCTGGGGCCACAGCTATATTGAGCATGTGAATTGCCAGAATGGAATGGGATAAGGAAGGCTTCCTGGGGGTGGTGATTATGGGAATGACAAGTCTACTGAGAGGACAAATCTGGACTGTGTCACAGGCAAAGGCATGAAAACAGAGACAAGCAAGGCAAAAATGTGGCATCCTAGATATTTCAAAGTAATGAAGAAATGGTTTGGCTGAAGAGCAGGGTCCACTTTCTGGAATAGAAAGACCCAGATTTGGTAAACCATGAATCTCATTGCTGCTGACATCCCAGGGCGCGCATACCTCTGCTCGTGCACACGCGCATAGTATCTGCATTTGGGGGACGTCGTCTCTTCTCATCCTCTAGCCCAAGCTTACCAGGCCCATCCTGGAGTCTTGTTTCTCTAGTTCGTTCTCCCATCCAGTCTTCCTGGTCATGCCCTGCCTCTGTTAGCGGGATCTGCTTTTTCCCTACCCAGCCCAGGACAAGGCACATGGGGACCAATTACTGCCTGTAGCAGCAGCTGCTAGGGCTCTGGAAGGAAGGTAAATAGAGCCAGTGGGGCCTCAATCCTCTCATTAAGTCACCCCAGAGCCTCCAATAAGAGTGCCTTGAGCCTTACAGCAGCCCTGCACAATTGGGTGAGGATCACTCCCATTTTATGGAGGGGAAAATGAGAGCTTGGAGAAGAGAGGTGACTTCCTCAACAACACATGGCTAGTAATCAGCCTTTGCACCTCTGTCTTTCTGGGCAGTCTTCCAAGCCTTGCTGTCCTCCCTCGGATCTGTGCTGGGGTGCTGACACCTAGAGGAAGTTCTTCCAGCATCAATACCAACCATCAGATCCATTAAGGATGAGGATGGGTCCTGCCTCAGTCTTCAGGCTGGGTTCTTTAGCTTCTCATGCCCCCACCCCACATACCCTTTGGCATGGGTGGGTAGTAGGGGTCCTCAGAGAGGGTCTGAGGCTGGACCTGCCCAGGTCAAAGCCCAGCCAGGTGTCCTCAAAGAGGGTCTGAAGCTGAACCTGCCCAGGTGCAAGCCCAGCCAGCAGCAGGATGAGCCTGTCTGTGCTATCTGAGTGTGGAGGGTCAGCTGGGAGGAGCAGGTAGAGAAACTCCATGTATGCCCAGGTTGAGAACCAACCTGACCAGGCATGGCCTTGTCTGTCTAGGGCCTGGCAATGACGAAGGCTTTGCAGAAATCTAGAGGTCAGCCGGGACCCTTATCGGGGAAAATCCATGATCCCAACGTCCTAGACACCAAATCCTGGCACTGGGTGACTGGCCTAGATGTCTTAGGAGGCTTGAGGCCTGCACATAAATGGCCAGTTGCAAATAACTTTAAACTTCGAGGGACAGTCCTTGCTCCTGGAGAGCTGATGGGCGATGACAGACAGATACATGGAGGAGATGTCTTCAAGCCTCCTCTGTGCTCTGGGCCCTAGAGAAGCTTACAGTCTGGGGGCAGGGAGATCAGCCGGCAGCATGCTGAGCATCCAATGAGTAGAGGAGACAGCACATCCTGCATGGCAGAGGGGTGGCCTGTGCCCGCTGGAGCAGTCAGGGAAGGGTCTCTGGAGGACAGTGTCTGCTGCAGGGGGTTCCAGGCTGAAAAGCTGCTGAGACCAGGAATGCAGAAGCCATGGCTTAAAGCCTGCCCAGGGCAAAAGGAGGAAACCAGTTGGCCAGAGAAGAGGTTTCAGGGAACGCCAGGCAAAGGAGTTTGGGGTGGGGAGGCAGTTCCAGAAGATGATGGGGAGTCTTCGATACCAGAGAGGGAGTTGGTGATTGACAGAAGCTGGACTTAGGAAGACAGGTCACCTGCAGGGATCACTGGAAAGGGAATTAGAGGGACCATCCAGAGACCAATGCAGCCTCCAGTCATGAGGGGTTGGGCAGGGGGCAGGAGAATTAGACTGTAGGTTCAGGAGCCCGTCATTGCTATGAAATGTATGCCCCAAAGCCATCCCTGCCCTGCCCAGGACCTGCTGCCTCCAGACCTCCAGGAACATGCATACTTTCAGGCGCATGTCTATCCTCAGAAAGTCATCTCTGACCCTTCCCACCTGCCCAGCTCCATGTTGTTGGTCAGAGCTTTCGTCACGGTACACCCCACTGCAATGCTTTGTCCAGCGGGTCCCTACTGGCCTTCCCAGCTCCAAACCCTTTCCCTGCCCTCTGTCTGAGCCTTTATGTCAGTTAACTCCTGTCTCTCACAGAGACTGTGCCCTCCTTGAGGGCAGCCAGGTCTGGCCTTCCACAGAACCTGGCTGGCCACCAGGCCCCACAGCCTCCTTGTGCTTGTACCATGAGGCCCATCTCTACGCAGACGTCCTCCCTACCTTCAGGCTCTCTGCTGGTCTAAAAGCAGCCCCCTCTGTCGTCTCCCCACCCCCCAGCCCACAGGCATGGGGTGGGCAGTGGGGCCGATGCCACTGACATTGGCATTCTCCTTGTGGCACATCTTAATAATTTAATGGCTATTAGCAGGGCCGCTGTGGTGGTGGGGGAGCGGGGGACGGGGGGAAGATTTATAGAGAGAATTCACTCCAGGTTGGGGTTTTGTCTTCCTCTGTTTTCCTGGCATTTATCATGCATGTTTTAATTTGGATCGGAGAGTTGCTACCATCTGGCCATTATCACAAAGAAATATTCATTTTCGCTGAGTGACACAGGCTCCATTCATCACAGAGCGTGCTGATTGCCCCACGACTGTGGGGCTGTGATTTCTCCTTCATTTGAAATGAACCTTGAGCTATGAGAAGGTCCAATTTGCCCAGAGCAGAGGCACAGGGCAGGTGGCTGCCACTGACCCTCACAGCCAGGTGGGCGGGGAGCACCCTGGGGGACAACCAGGCTGGGAGTGGAGTACAAGCCCCCTTCTGCCATCACAGCCACCTACCTTCCCTCACCGCTCCTGGGGAAGACTTGGTGGCCCCCTCTGTCTCACCCAAGCCTTCTGACAAGCAGCACTCCCACCTGCCCCCATGCCTAAAGTGGCCAGACCACAGAGGTGGCAAACGTGGCTCCTCTCCCCTCTCCCTGGGCCCCAGCATTTGAGAAATGAAGCGATGCTGTCCTGTCAAGTGCAGAATTTGCTTCGGCAATCTCGCCCTGACGGAGTATCACTGTAGCGGTGTCATTTCAGGTCAGAGCCGTGTTGGGGACAGAGGGCCCTCCCCATTCTCCTCTCCTTACGTTTTGGTGGCACCATCAGCGCTGGGCCCCATGGGAAGAAATGTGTCGGCCTCCAACTGGGACATTTCCTTTTATCCGCTCACCGCTCACCACGGCATGCCATCGGGGCCACTGAAGGGCTCTTGTCAGTGATTGGCCAGAGTCCAAGCACAAGGCTGGGACCCCCAGGCAGGGGCAGCACAGAGCACCTCTTGACTGGGCTAGGCCACACCCAAAGCCACTCAGTGAGCAGCCACCCGGCTCTGCCAAGCAGACAAAGGAGGAGAAAATCTCCTTTCACACATTTGAAGTTGGGAGTCAAAGCACTCTGAATTTGTTGGGCCCATTCTGTGTCCCCTGTCCTGGGGCAGAGGTAAGAAGTAAAAATCAACACATCCACAGCAAGTCACCCACGAGCCAGGTGGAGTCACTCACAGGCATGAAGACATCAGCAGAGCAGTGCCCCCGGCCCTAGCATTAGACACGCCAGGAGGGGAGTGACAGAGTCCAAGACGACTTCACAGGGCGCCTCTGCTTTGCCGGAAGGCAGATCTGGCAGGAGGGCTTCCATCTACAGAAGTCCCTCTGCCCCAGGGCTTGACAGTCAGTCCTCAGGGACTGCCTGACAGTCTCTGTCCTAGAAACTGTGGCCACATCCCAACCCTGAGGCCCTGGCCCCCCACCAGGACCCAGGTTTGCTCAAAACCCAGGGGGCTGCGCTGAGTCTAAGGGAAGGCCTGTGCGAGCTTTGATGCCTCTTCCCCATCAGGGCAGAAGCCCACTGGGTCCTGTCCTTCTGTCCAGTGCGCCAACTCAGCTGTAAGCAGAGTGGGTGCCCCATACCCCCTCCAATTCCCAGGCCAACGTGATTCTCGGCCTCAGGGTGTTTACAGTTGGTTGGAGCTGAGGGTAAAACCAAGGAAACAATTAGAAGAGAGGGACAGATGTAGAATCAAAGCACTAAGTTGACCATCAGTGAGGGCCATCAGGTTCAATACCAGACACCAACCTACCTTAGTAGCCCCCTGGAGTGGGCCAAGGCCTTCCTGTGGGTCAATGTGTTTCTTTTTCCCCCAGACCATGACTTAGGTATCACTGCTCCATTGTATAGATGAGGACACTGAGGCCCATGAGCTCACTTGCTGGGGTTACCAGCTGGTGGGTGGTGCACTTAGGAAGGAGCCCAGGCCCATCTGATTCTCAGGCCATCTGACTCCCAGCACCACCCCACTGTGGGTCTGGGAAAACCATGGGTGACTTTGTGTAGGAGTCAGCATTTCAACTGGAGGGGATAGCAGAGTACAGAGGCCAGCAGAGGCCGGGATGGGAGCTGTTACACTCTAGACAGAGGAACCTGCCTGCCTGTCCTACACCCTAGTTTTCTATCCCGGCACTTGCTGACCTAAATTAGCTGTCCACAGTCTGATCCTTCCTCCTCCCTTCCAGCAGACTGGGTGAGTCTCCACCGTGTTGTGGAATGTGGAGCGGAGACATTTGCTAAGAGGGACAAAGGAGGGTGCGCGGCGCCCCAAGCCCCCGCGAATGCTGGCACCACCCCTCCTCCTCTGAAACTCATTCAGTGACACCAGCAGCTCTGAAACATCTGCTCCTCCATCCCGGACCCGCAATTTGAATAAATTACCCCAACGTGGCGGCAGCCTGTTATTAATGGCTCGAGTTTTATAAGATGCTTTAGTTTAATAACACTGTAGCCCAGTGTTGCACTTCTCCCAGATATTTTTATATTTCACCCCTTCTCCTCCTCCTGTTCCCCTCCACGCTGTGGCCACCTCCAAGGCTCTGGTCCACATCCCCACCAGTCCCTTTGCCACCACCATCCCTGAGCCATGCTCCCCCACCTGGGAACCCTATTCCTGTGGAGGCCAATTGGGACCACTGCTGGCTCCTGTTTGGGACTTCCAGCCCCCACCTGCTCCCCCTCCCTTCTGGACCCTCAATTTTCTTTGTGGACAGCCTCCCTTTTGCGGAGAGCCACCCCAGGGCTGATGGAAGGGGCAGCACTGCTTAGTTGGGTGCTCCGCTTCTACTTCCCCCGAAAGGAAGCCCATAGTGGCAGGGCGGCTGAGGGCAGGGAGACACCACACAGTGCTGTCCCCAGGCCTGGTTCTGTTCTCCTCACCCCACCTCCAGAGCTCTGCTGAGCTGGGGGACCCAGCAGAAGCCTAAAAATGAACCTGCCTCTCCCCAGGTGGACTGGCAGTGGCCAAGGCTTGAAAGAAGCTGAAGCTCATTTCTTTATTCTTGGCTCTTTGTTCTTCATTCTTTGGTCGGTTTGTCCTTGAATTTATGCCCCACACACCTCCTGCATGAAGCCCTCCCAGGTTACCTCCACCCACTGCCCCACCATGGGCCTTTTGGCTGTTCCTACAATCCCAGCTATATCCCTTCCTCACTGCCCTCTGCAGTGTCTTCTCCCCATAGTCTGGAAGCCTGCTGTCTCATGGAACCCCCTGGGGCCTGGTCAGTGTCTCACCCATAGCCAGCCCTTCTAGAATATTTTGATTCTGATTAATAGCAGGTGCTCATGCATGTGTTTTCCGTGCATTGCTTCCACAAGCCTGTGTGAAGCATCTGTGTGGGCGATGCTTCCGGCAAAGAATGGATGCCTTCACTGAGGGAGAATGTGAGCCCAGGTTGCGTGGGTTTGTAAGTTGGGGATATAGGGTAGAAAATGGTGAGGTTCAGACAAATAGCCAGTGTATTCATGTCCCAGTCTGTTCAAAAAAATTCAGAGCACAACTGATGGGCAAGAAATGCCAAATGAAGGCTCCTTGCAACATTGGCCCTGGGTCAGGCAGTAGTGGGTACAGGCCTAGGCAGGTGTCTGGCACTTACCATGGGGCTGGGGCCCAGGGAAGCCTTCTCCTATGATGCTACCCCCAGGGACTTGTCTCCAGGAGGGGTTGGGATGCCTACGGCCAGGAGGGCCACAGAATGACAGTGTCTGGAAACAGAAGGAAAGGACATGGGGTGGGGTGGGGAGGAGGTAGAATGTCCCGTCAGACAGGAGGCCAGACCTGCCTCATCAGAGGGTCCTGTGAATCCCCCAAAGCCCACAAGGCTAGCCTGGGAGGGATTTTGGAGGACGCTTCCATGCCAGGGCCAAATTTAACTGTGTAGTTCCCTGTTCCTGGGGACCTGGAGAGCCAGCAGTGACCAAGACGTGGCTCTAAAAAGGAGGACGTGTTGCCTCCCTTTTTTTCTCCCCACCCGCCTCACCTCTGCCCAGCCTAGTTCTGAGGACTGCAGATCCAAGCTCTCCCCGATTCTCATTTGGTCTGATATTACTGTGGGGACTGCCTTTTGCTAAGAGCCCCACCATTATAACATAATTACTGCTGAAAATGACCTTTAAAATATACTTTAAATTCAAAATGTCTTTAAACCCTTCACTGAGCACCATTTTTCAATTTCAACGACTGTTTTCCTTTTTGTGGGGAAGTGAAGGGTGGGGAGTGGAGGAAGGAGACCTCTGCCAGGATTTCAAATATTAATCTCTCCCTGTTGCAGAGCAAGCTTTGCAGGGGGCCTGGGTAGGTGGGAGGAGGGAACAGAGCCAAATCCCCTTAGCCCTCAATGCCTGTGGGCTCTGGGCCTCCCAGGGGCCACGGCTCTGCTGCACTTCTGTCATGCCTCTAGCCAGAGCAAGCCTTCACCCAGGGGGTTCAAATGAGCCAAAGGAAGTGCTGAGAACAATGGTACTTTCATGCCTGTTCCTTCTCCTCTCTTCCACCATCTTTGCTTCATTCTTTCTCCCCTCCTACAGTGTTCAGTTCCCTGCTTGCTAAGCACCCTCCAGGGGCCCCCAGTTTCTGCAGGAGATGGAGCCCCCTTCCCACTCTCCTCTCCCACCCCTCCTCTGTGCCTGGCCTAGCTGTGCACCCTGTCCCTCAGACAGCCTGTGCTCCTGGCTGCTCCTGACCACTCTGAAGGAAAAAGTGGACTAGGAAGCAATGCTGTTGGAGGGAGCTGTTGCAACCAGCCAGCCTGCCTGCTCCCCGCACCACCCTCTGCCTCCTGAAAGCTCACCCTGCTGGTCTGGGAGAAAGTCTGACTTTCAGAACACACCACACACCCTAATAAAGCTTCAGGCTCACATTCTCCATCCCCTGCAGCACCCAGGAAACTCTGCTGTGCCTCCCACCTGGAAGCCTGGGGAGGCGTCAATCCTCACCCATCCATTTCCCTCCCTCCACCTCCCCACCTCCAGGAAAGCTGTGTTTTCCAGTGTCATCCCAGCGTCTTCAGATGTGGTCACTGATGTGCATCCTCCCTCATAGGTGTCCTCATGTCTGTCTTCCCTTTGTGCAGCTTGTGCCCTCATCAGAAGGGGCTCCCAGGGGCCATGTTGCTGGCTGATGTTGGGGGCGATAATTCCCATCCAATAAGAGGGGTGCCTGCCCCAATGATCAGGGGACAGAGGCAGTGTGAGGCCTTCTGGCCACTTAAAGGAAGCACTTTAGGGGCTCAAGTTGTGTGGATACAGACAGGAATTCTATTCTCCCCACACACTGGGGCTTAGCCAACTCCAGCAGCAGGAGAGGATAGGAGAAGGGGAGGGGAGGGGCTCTGATGAGGTGGGGCATTGGACAGGTAACTCCATCCACCTGTGCCAGGAAGGGGTGGCCGGTGGGCATTCTGGACAGTTCTTCCAGTGTATTCTTGGGAGTTTTATTAATACGGCCCAAATTCCCATAAGCATCCAACTTGTTCGCTGTGAAAGTCAACATATATTCCAAAGCCAACCAAAGTGGTTTGCATGCTGTTCAACCCTTTGGATGGCCTGAGTTTTTCGATGTTCCCCAGTTTTGAATGACACCTGCCCAGAGCAGGCGGGAGGTCTGGACAGTGGTGGTGAGGCCAGTAGAGCAGGGGGAAGGGGAAAGGTGGGTGGCATGGCATGCCATGCCAGAGACCTACCTGCTCCGTGGACAGGAACTTTCCCACACTGTGTCATATGTATTGTGTGGATAAGATCAATTAAGGGCTAGTGACTGAAATCACTTATGGTAGCAAAACAGCCACTCAATGAGCCATTAGCCGAGTGAGGCCTTCCGGCTCTTTAAAGGAGGTACCTTCAGAGCCTTCACGCTCCCAGCAGGGTCCAACAGAGAGCGGTGGTTCAGCCTGGGCTCCAGCTCTGAGCACCTCTGCATCTCCAGGCTCATGGAACCTGAGGAAGGGCAGCCCAGAGGAGGAGAACCCCCAACCTGGAGCAGGGCTGAGCTGGGAGGAAACACATGGTCCAGCCCCATGCCTGGCACGAGGCAGCCCCCAGTGCAATCAGATGGAGGGAGACACCTGTCCCTGGGACTTTGTGGTAGCTGTCCTGCTGGGGGAGGGCTACTTCTGGGGCTGCGGGGAGGCAGCCATCTTTGCCGGGTATGCTGGGCTGGACACTGAGCCATCACAGGGACCCATGCCCCCATCTCTGCCGTCTTTTAGTGTCCAGTCTGGCGGAGGATAGAAACAAGGAATCAGGCAGGGACAGGGGGCTGTGGCAGCACCTGCAGTGGCCTCTCAGTCTAGCTGAGGCAATAGGACCCACTGGGACCCCAGGCAGTCACACTGACATCCTCTCCAGCCCTCACCTCCCACATACACTCCACCAAGCTTGGCTGCTTTGGTGCCACAGTTTTGCTCATCTGAACTCTCCTCCATCCCTGCCCACTTGGAGTATCCTCTGTCTCCTGGACAACTGCCCCCTTCCTTTCTATCTGCCTGCCTCCTCCTGTGTCTCCTGCCCCACCACTGCATTCTCTACACAGTGGCCCAATCAGATGCTTTGGTCATCCTCACTTACATGGAAGTCCAAGCCTTTTACCACTCCCAGCCCTGCTGCCTTAGTGCCTGCCTGAATCTCTTGCTCCAGGCGCCTGGCCTCATGGCTGTTCCTCAAACTTACCTGCTCTGGGCCTTTGCACTAGCTGCTCCCTCTGCCAGGCACCCCCAGATGCCACTGCTGCTCACCCTGTCTCAGCTTCTGTGTCCCTCTACCCACGACCTGTCCTGACTTCCAACCTAATGCAGCCCCAGCTCCTCCATCTGCTTCCTTGTTTTATTTTATTCATGGCATATATCACTACCCTGATTGTTTCTTATTCATTATCCATCCCTTGTCACTTAGAGATGAGCTCCGTGCAGACAGGGACTCTTTGTTCCTCTCTGTATCTTGGCAATTTGCACAGTGCCCTGCCCAGAGCAGGAGCTCAGGAAATGAATGGCTGAATGCGCAGGACAGGGACCCACAGGGCAGTGCCATAAGAAAGTGCTGGAGGCCAGGAGCAGTGGCTCACACCTGTAATCCCAGCACTTTGGGAGGCCGAGGCGGGAGGATCACCTGAGGTCAGAAGTTCGAGACCAGCCTGGCCAATGTGGTGAAACCCTGTGTCTAATAAAAATACAAAAATTAGCCAAGTGCGGTGGCAGGTGCCTGTAATCCCAGCTACTCAGGAGGCTGAGGCAGGAGAATCGCTTGAGCCTGGGAGGTGGAGGTTGCAGTGAGCTGAGACCATGCCACTGCACTCCAGCCTGGCCAACAGAGCAAGACTCCGTATCAAAAAAAAAAAAAAGTGCTGGAGCATGGGATCAGATCACATGCAACAAGCAGGCACAAGGGAGTGTGGTGTGTTCAGTGAACACCTACAACAGCAGGGATTATGTGAATGGGGCCCCCAGGCCAGGTGTCCAGGGTCAGAAGTGAAGGCGGAAGACCCCACCTTTAAGGAACCTCAAGAAGCATGGGGTGGGGGCAGTTTCAGGTCTGCCTCATGGGCCAGGGAAGCTGGAGAAGGATTCCTGGAAGGGGAAGCTTGCAATGATCCAGAGAGCTGGAGGGTCTAGATGGTGGGGGTTGTGGCTCTGCACTCCAGGCCCTGGGACAACCTGACCAAGCTGGGGAGTATGGGCCCGGGAGCTCTGTTCAGCGTGGGAGAGATGGGGGTGGGGACCATGCTGGCTGGCTGGACCCTGGAGGGGGAAGGGAAAAAGCATGGGAGCACAGGGCAGGGAATGTGACTCACTCAGCCTGGCTGGCTTCCAGAAAACCCTGTGCAATCAGCCAGAGAAACACATTTGAGAAAACAGAATTGTGAGAGTAACTTTGAGGCTTTGGTTGCCATGGGAACATATCTGTAAATACTTAACTGCAAACATTAAGTGACACACAGGGAAGAGAGAGGCAGCAGTGCTCACGCCGCAGGAGACAGCCGAGCCCGCAGTGCCAGCCTCTCCTGGTTCTCACACCTTCCTCCTGGGGCCTCTGGCCTGGATCCCTTGTCCCTGTGAGCCCGACATTCTGAGTGGGAGGGTTCCACGTGGCCCAAGGCTCCCATCCTGTCCCAGTTCTGCCCGGCCCCCATACCAGGCCCCTGGGACCCTCACTCCCAGGAGCATCCCTGCCCAGAGGTGACTGGGCCCTGGCCATCCCTTTTTCCTCCCCTCACTTCTAAGGGATGGGCCAGTGAAACAACATATAAACAACATATAAATCAAGAAAATATTTGCAACAAGTAGGCTTAAGAGACACAAATGTCTTGCCTTCTGGAGCCCCCAGCCTAGCTCATGGTCTGAGGCTGGCCCCTGCTGCAGTGCCTCTTCTGGTCTGCCTCTGTTTAGTGCCCTCCCCCATGGTGCGGTGACTGAGTGGGGGCCTGGGAGGGAGTTCACCCCAGGAGCCCTCTCTGCCTGGCCCAGCATTGCCTGCTCGGATCCTGCCTACTTGCTCTTAGCCTTTCTGGGCCACAGATCCCTTTGGGGAACTGAAGCAGCATTTCATTCTTCCATTGAATTGTTCCACAGAAGGTTAGCAAGCACAGCCACCTGCCAGGCCCTATGCTAAGTGCTAGGTGACCGCTGCCCTACTGGGACTTACAAGCTAGGGAAGAGAGCAGAAAGTATGCTAGAACCCCAAAGGAAAGCCATGACTACAGCATGTTAGCAGTGTTCCTGGTCAGGACCGGGCCCCGCTTGGCTGGAGCGGAACTGGGAGTGAGGGGAGAGTAGCAGGAGAGAAGGGGAGGATCCTATCAGATCTTGTAGACTGTTGTTAAGACTGGATTTTTTTTTTTTTTTTTTGAGATAGAGTCTCACTCCGTCGCCCAGGCTGGAGTGCAATGGCGCAATCTCAGTTCACGGCAACATCTGCCTCCCAGGTTTAAGCGATTCTCCTGCCTCAGCCTCCGGAGTAGCTGGGAGGTGTGTGCCACCACACTCAGCTAATTTTTGTATTTTTAGTAGAGATGGGGTTTTGCCATGTTTCGCCATGTTGCCCAGGCTGGTCTCAAACTCCTGACCCCAAGTGATCCACCCACCTCGGCCTCCCAAAGTGCTGGGATTACAGGTGTGAGCCACCGCACCCAGCCAAAACTGGATTTTATTCAGAGTGGAACAGGGATCCACCAGGGGCCTTGAGTAGAGCAGTGACATGCACTGTCTCATTCTGACTGCTGTGTGGACACAGAGGACAGTCAGGAGGTCACTGCAGTCACACAGGAGAGGTGGACATGGCTGGGACCAGAGTGGTGGCTGTCATGGTGAGAAAAGCTATGATCCTTCTCCTTGGAAGAACCAGCATCTGCAGATCCTTGGGCCATTTTATACA
Source organism: Homo sapiens (assembly GCF_000001405.40). Lineage (NCBI taxonomy): Eukaryota > Metazoa > Chordata > Mammalia > Primates > Hominidae > Homo > Homo sapiens. The sequence continues at coordinate 37,298,198 of NC_000018.10, read as the reverse complement.
CACTCTCAAGATATTCCTGGGCCCCAAGGCTCAGCCATCACTCCTTCCTGCAGCCCTGGGTTGAGACCCCAGCCTCCTGGGCCTCTCACCCTAACTCTAGCAGACACCTTTAATCCTTAGCCCATTCGTGGAGCTGAGGCCAGCAGATCCCTTGAGCCCAGTGCAGACCACAGAAGGAGGACAGTTAATAGTAGAACTGTGCACCATTGGTGGCTGCGCCTCTGGCCAAGGGACTCCTGCTTCCCAAACACCCAACAGTCTCTGCTGAATGCCTGGAGAAGGCAGCCTGCTAACTTGACGGCCAGAGGGCACAGGGTCTGGCATCTGGGCCTTTGCATGGCCCAGGCCCCACCGATGAATCTCACAGAGATTACAACGAGCGAAAGAAGCCAGGCACAGACAACTAGATTAATGTACGAAGTTTTAGAACAGGCAGAACCAAAAAGTGGTGAAAGACGTTCAGAGCACTGGGTGCCTTTGAGGAACCTGCCTTTGGGGACCCTGCCTGGAAAGGGTCATGAGGGAACTTCTGGGGAAACGGAAATGCTCTATATCTTCACAGGGGTGTGGGTGTCCACATTTGTCAAAACTTATTACATTATATCCTTAGGATGTACGCATGTCACTGTTTGTAAATTTTATCTTAAACAAAAAATAGACCTAGAAAGGATGACATATCCCAGATAACGCTAGGAGAGTTTGCTGCCTAGGAGGACCTTTCCTCCTGGGGACAGTGGTCCCGCACCTTGTCAAGGGCTCTGAGCCAGCTGCTGCGGGAGGACCGTGCTCTGATGAGGAATGCATGTGAAAGCGTGAGAGGCTGACTGCTTGGATAAAGTGATCTTGCATTTTAAAAGAGAATTCTGAAGACAGCAATGCTTACCCCAAAGAGATGAGGCTCTAATGGTGGGATTCAAGGCCCCTTGGCAGATGGCAGGTAGTGGCCTCCCGGTGCCCTCGCCACCTGCTACATTTCACTGATAGCAGGTGATCTGCTTATAACTGTGATGGGCCAGGGAGAGGAAAGGGAGGGAAAGAAACCTTATACCCATTCCACCCCTTCCAGTGGCCTTTCCACTGGCCTCCCAGTTCACTGCACCCCCTGATGCCTAGCCTGGCCTTCAATCTCCCCTGCTCCCCTCTTCTCTCCCTGCTCGCTGTCAACATCTCCCTAGTTGATTTCTGGTTGTAGGCCTGAGCTGCTTGCCCAGTCTGGCCTCAGTCTGGTGTGTTCCTCACCTGGCCCAGTTAAGGCCTCTGGGTGGGAAAAGGCTGGAGTGGAGATTCTGCTCCCTGGTTTGGCCCTTGGGGGTGAAGGGGCGTCCTCCTGTTCACTGCTAACTTACCAGCCCCAGAACTGCCACCTAGCCGAGACTGACAGTTCAACAGCTTCCTTTAGGAAACAGGAGGACATAGAATGATGCTGGACCGTCAATGGGGCCCACAGTTAGGGCACTGGTGTGGGCTGGAGCAACAGGCAGGGCTGTTAGCGTTTCAAGATTGGGGAGGACTGCCATCAGCAGGGGAAGGGCAACAGAGCCAAACCAGGATGCCCACAAGTCCCAAGGTGCCAGGACAAGGCCGGAGTTGCATGTTGTCCTGGACTAATTATTAATAGTGTTCCCTTTCAAACCAATGAGGGTCCTGAGGGTCCTGGTTTGGGCAATAAATTATATGGTCACCCAACACATTAAAAACAAACCGGCCAGGCGCAGTGGCTCACACCTGTAATCCCAGTGCTTTGGTAGGCCAAGCCAGGTGGATTGCTTGAGCCCAAGAGGTCAAGGTCAGCCGGGGCAACATGGCAAAACCCTGTTTCTACAACAAGTACAAAAATTAGGCAGGCATGGTGGCATGCACCTGTAATGCCAGCTGTGGTCTCAGGAGGCTATAGTCTTTCTGTAACACCTGTAGTCTTAGGAAGCTGAGGTGGGAGGATGGCTTGAGCCTGGAAGGCAGAGGCTGCAGTAAGCCATGAAAGTGCCACTGCACTCCAGCCTGGGTGACAGGGCCAGACCCTGTCTCAAAATAAAATATGAAACAAACAAGCCAAAAAGATAGTTGAATGGCCAAGCCAAGAGGCAGGGATGCCTATGGGTGTGCCAAGTCACTGGAATGAGGATTTTTGTGGGGGACAAGGAGAAAGGAAGGAGATAGCAGAGAGGAAGGGGACAGGGCTGAGGGTCTCTGCACATGCCGAGGACTTCAGAGCTCCTCACAGAGCTCCTCTCCAGCTGAGTGGGATGCACCAATCTCACACTACCACATCTGCAAGAGAAAGCGAAGACCCACACAAGTGACACCATTGGGCACAGGTCACACAGCCTGCTGATGAACCCAGGCCCTGACCCCCAGTGCAGTTCCTCTTCCTCTCGCCGCCAATGCTGGAAAGATCAACTCTAGGTTTCACCTGGGTGCCTCCCTTCGGATGCTGTATGTTGGAGACTCCCCATGCCCACACCAGGATTTCGAATGGGGATGTGAAGTACAGATCATATTCTACCCATTACTAACTGTTTGATTGTAGGTGAACTTCTTAACCTCTTTATGTGCCTCCATTTCCTCCTCTGTAAAGTAGCAATAACAATAATATTATTTCTGATGACTGGTGCATTGCAAGAGTTCCAAAAATAGAAGTTGTCTTCTTCCCAGATGCCTCCCTGCCTCCAGCATGCTCTGAGCCCTCTTGGCATGGAGTGGTCTCTGACCTGGGCCAGTATGTTTAGACTCATCACCACTTGACACAGATCTACTGCTGCTGAATTCAAGGATAATTTATGTCTCATTTCAAAAACAAACCCCTTATCTACCTGCCACCCATAATCCTTTCAGCTTGTTAGCCACACCATCCCAATCTGGATTCAAGATCTGCCAAACCTGGGCTTCTCAGGCATCAGCCAGGCCTTTGGCACCAGTGACCACTGGATGACATCTTTGAGGAAAACAATAAGAGGAAAAGGGGACGTTTGCAGCCCTCCTCATTCATTCGGGCAGGGGCAGGGATCTGGGACAAGCCAAGCCAGCATCCAGGAGAGGCCCAGGGACTGGTGCTTTCAGGGCGCCCCCTCCTGGAGGAAGGTGAGGCACAGCTTGGGGAAATGCCTCCTCCCTGCTTTCAAGTCAGAGCCCCAGAGACAGAAAGAGAATTGCAGTTCACCTACATGGTCCAGAAAGACAAACAACACATTGCATGTCTTCCTGCCCGAGACCCATCAATTCTATCTACTTGAAAAGCAGACTATAAACTAGCGGAAAACAGAGAAGTTTACCTTCTGCATTTCTTCCATCTTCTCTAGCAAAGAGGCTGGTCTTCAGGATGGGAAATGTTGATAAATGTCATAAAAAGAGAATTAATATCCAAACAAGTCAAGGAGATCAAATCTGGCCCCATAAATTAGGTTGTATTTCTAGGACAGAGCAAATTGAGCCATGGCCTCAGGTGGACAAATGAAACGGGTATTCCACTGACAGAGCTGCTGCAGGTCACTTGAGACACTGTGGAGACAAGAAATGGACAAAGGTCCAAGTTTTTAAAAGGTGAAGAGGCTGGATTCTAAAAATTAGCAGGCTGGCGATCTTGAAGACAATTTTGGCTAAGTTCTAGAATAAATTCATCAAACTGATGGCTTGAGAGCATTTGGGGGAAAATGATGGTGACTTAGGAACCACAGTGGTTCACCAGGGTGAGCCAGAGCAAGGAAGCTGGGTGTCTGTGTTGGTAAGTGGGTGACCCATGCATAGGAGCAGGGCCTAAGCTGGCATCTTGTCACCTACTCGGGGCAGATGGCAAAGTTGCCCAGAGTAACTCAGAGCTGGCTGGACAGAAAGGGAGGTTCCTGGTGACATCTATGGCCATGGCCCTTGTCTCTGGTACCCTCCTGTTGAACATTTTTATCAAGAACTTCTCAAAGGTGGGAGACATAGAAGCTGATTTTAAAATGTGCTGATGACCTGAAACTGGTCCGGAGGATGAGATGAAGGGTAATACATTCAAAATCCAAAGACATCTCCCCAGCAAAGTTCTCATTCTAGACACAGAACCGTGGGAGTCCCCCAGCCTGCCCCCACCCTCACCCGTGCCACAGTGGAAGTACAGATATTCAACAGCTTCCCTTCTAAAGCCCCAGAATCTGCACTCCTTTTGGGATGGGGGGTATTGGAAGATTTCTGGAAACTTTGTGAAATTGTTTATCTGGAAGTTGTCAGTCAGGTGGTTGGTGGGTCAGGTGGTTGGCTATTTGGTTTGCTAGTTGGTTGGTTTTAGTGATCCCTTCCTCCCTGACCCCCATATGTTTGATGTGGTAAAGAGATAAGCACACTTTGGGGTGCCAGGCTCTTTTGAGAATCTGATGGAAGCTCTGAATCTATTCTCCAGGAGAAATAGCCATAGACATGAATTGGTGCTGACCATTTCGAAGACTTCACAGTCCCCTCTAGCCCATCAGATAACCTCTTAGGATACCATAGATTTCTAATAGCCAGTCCCTGCTAGGCGACTCACCTGGAAGTCATTGCACCTCAGCATGACTTGGCCTGTCCCTTCCTTCCTGCAGGAATAAGGACAGTGATCTCACAGCCTACAGTGTCTGGAGTGGGTTAAGTAGTCTTCTCCCCAAATTTGCATCCACCCAGAACCTGTGAACATGGCCTTATTTGGAAATAGGGTATTTGCAAATGTAATCAAGTTAAAATGAGGTCATACTGGATTCATACTGGCCCTAAATCCAATATGATTGGCATCCTTAGAAGAGGAAAGAAATTTAGACACAGACACAGAACATACAGAGAGAGCACCACGTAGGGATAGAATCAGAGACTGGAGTGACGCAGCTACAACTAAAGAAAGCCAAGAATTGCTGGGAAACACCAGAAGCTAGGAAGGGGCAAGGAAAGAACCCCACTGGAGACTTTAGAGATAATGTGGCCCTGTCCAAACCTTGATTTCTGACTTTCAGCCTCCAGAACCGTGAGAGAATAGATCCGTGTTGCTCTAAGCCACCCAGTTTGTGGCATTTTGGTATGGCAGCCCTGGGAAACTAAGACTGTGCCCGAAGGAGCCTGGGCTGAGGATGCAGGTCCCCAAGGGGTTTCCACAAGCCCAGTGGGCCCACATCTAGGCTTCCACCCCTCTCTCACCCCAACCCCCTTTTGTGGGGTCCTGCTGGTCCTTCTATCCACCTGAACCACTGCCATCAGACAGCCCTGAGTTTTGCCTATGAGAGGGTTACAGGCCACTTGAAGAGAAGTTAAAAATCCCAGCACATCCATCATAATAAGTTTTATTACAGCCTGCCAGTTTAGACTAATGACTAATTTACTGTATAAAATACCAGCAGTGTATTTTTTATTTTGTTAATTAATTATATCAAACAAAGGTGAAATTTATAAAAGTGTCCAGAAACGGTGCACATTGCAAAATCACCTTGCAGCGGGAGATGAAATTATTACTAACACAGGATCAAGTTATTACTGTATTGACTTAGTTACTTTATGACTTTGTAATGGATTTCTTCATTATTTTCTCGGGATTGTGGCATTCTGATTGCATTAAAGTCTGTTAATCTATGCAAATATCATTAGGCACCACTAATAACCGCAGCAAGTTTCCTCCATTCCAGGGACTGTGCTAAGTACCTGGCCTGCCCGCGTCACTTCCGGTGTCAGGGAGAAAAGCCAGGCAGGAGGAAGTTCTCCTGGGACACCCCCTCCACCCACAGTCTTCCCAAGGCTGAATGAGTGGGCACTTCTGTGGGGCGATTTAAGGGCCCCAGGAAGGTCTCCTTGCCCTGAGCCATCTCACATCTGCCCCCACTTGCCCCCAAATGTCACCACAATCCTCCACTTCTTTGGATTAAGGCTTTGGACAGTCTTGTTAAAATGTACCTGTACTGGAATGAAAAACTAATTGATGCAGTATCCACCATTAGTGCCTGGAACTGACAAGGTGTTCAGTGGGAGTGTCGTAGTCCATTTGGGCTGCTATAACAAAAATACCATAAACCAGGTAGCTTATCAACAATAAATCGATTTCTCACAGTTCTGGAGGCCAGAATGTCCAAGATTAAGATGCCAGCAGATTCCATATCTGGTGAGAACATCTTGCTGTAATTGCACGTGGTGGAAAAGAGGTGAACAAACTCCCTCAGGCCTCTTTTTTTTTTTTATAAGGGTGCTAATCTCATTCACCAGGGCTCTGTCCTGATGATCCAATCACCCCCACAAAAGCTCCTCCTCTTAATACCATCACCTTGGGGTTTAGAATTTCAGCGTGTGAATTTTGGGAGGGCACACACATCCAGACCACAGCAGGGAACACAGGCCTTGCTGTGTTGGGACAAGGAACTGGTCAGTTCCACGAGGGTTAGAAAGAGGCTGAATCTGATTATGGGTATAGTAGAGTTGGCCAAACTCAGATGTTCTAAGGGACAGCTGTGGACCCTGGAGACTTAAGAGGGATGTCCCCAATGTGGTGGGACAGAGGAGGTTGATGAGTAGAGGGAACCACCCTGTGAGCAGCTGCTGAAAGGATTCTACAAATCAAAAGGATTCTAAAAACCCGTGGCCTCATGCCCAGGCCCTCAGGTCAGCCCTGCGGCAGTCCTGATCATCCCATTCTGTAGCTGAGGAGAGAGACTAGGCTGAACCCCTGCCCCAATCACAGGGCTGGTGGGAAACCAAATGCAAGCCTCCAGCCGTTAAATCCAAGGTGAGTTTCACATTTTATCTTCGCTGAAGGCAGACCCTGACCACACCAGGGTGCGGGGTAGAAAGAGATGCATATGCAGGTCCAGGCTTCCTGCCCAACCTTGAGCTTTCTGACATGAACCCTCCTCTTGAGTACATGGGTTACAGTCACTATTCATTCTCACAGTGCTTCCTGAGCTTGTGTTGTGAGGCAGGGATCACACTAGGGCCTCCCAGCAGTGGGAAGATGCACAGCTCCCAGCCTCACATCACCAGAAATGCCGACTCATGTTCATAACTGAAAATTGCCAGGCACGGTGGCTCATGCCTGTAATCCCAGCACTTTGGGAGGCCGAGGCAGGCGGATCACCTGAGGTCAGGAGTTCGAAACCAGCCTGACCAACATGGAGAAACCCCATCTCTACTAAAAATACAAAATTAGCCAGGCATCGTGGCACATGCCTGTAATCCCAGCTACTCAAGAGGCTGAGGCAGGAGAATTGCTTGAACCCGGGAGGCGGAGGTTGCGGTGAGCCAAGATCATGCCATTGTATTCAGCCTGGACAACAAGAGCAAGCAAAACTCCATCTCAAAAAATAAAAATAAAAATAAAACTGAAAATTGTCATGGATCATGTTGTAGAGGAGGCTGAAAAGGCTGATGGAGAAAGACAGACAGGAGGAGGAGAAGAGGGGAAGACACAGCTCTCAGTCTAGGCCTCCAGGCAATCATTTTCACTCCCTTGGTTATTACTATCTTAGTCGAATCAAAGGATAAATTTGAAGATTAGGCCCAGAGGAGGGCAGAAACTGGGCTCAGGTTGTAGTTTGAGGTGAGTTTACTAACTATAAGTCTGGGGTGGTCCCTGCTTCCCTCCCACCACAATCCTTCCCTCTAGATAGGTAATGTGCGCTCTTGTGGGTGAGATGCGCTAGGCCTGGAATTCAGCTGCGGCACTTTCTCCTGCTCAAGCTCCCGCTGCCCTTCTTGGATCAGCATTTCCAGACTTCTCAAGGTTAAGGAGCCATTTTTAACATCAAAAATTCATCAGTGCCCCCCTTGACAGATGTTTTACTTTGAGTATCCATTGTTTGAGAGAATGCAAAATGACAAAACTCCACCTTGAATTCAGCAACGCTTTTAAATGGATTTGTATTTTTAAAATCACAACATCATCTAGATGCATTTGAAAAATAGTCACATATACCTGTGGATGAAGCTTTCTGATGCAGCCAGCAGACAAAGCTTGAGGTGCCTGGGACCCATGTTCAGGGGGCTCCACTGCCCTGGGCCATCCAGCTGCTGTGCATGGACAGGGAAGGAGAGTTGGGGCTGGCAGGGAACATTCCCTCCAGCCCAGCCACCTTCTTTGGCCTCCCCAGCTCAGCACCATCATCACTCACCTCCCAGACACCAGGCTGCCCTTAATTCCCCAGCATCAAGCCCTCTCCCAGCCATGCCCCTCCATGCTGCCTCCTCCACTTCTCTTCCATTCTCAGGCACTCGAGGCCTAAAAGCTTATCAGATCCTTGTGATCACAAAGGACACTTTCTGGCAAAATCAGTCATGTGGAGGTGACCAGAGCCACCACATTTCAAAAACTTCCCTGAAGAGGGCAATGCCCAGTCTGCAGGCTTAGAACCCAAAAGATGAAACTCCAGGGCTGTGTAATACTCCATGTCACACAACAGAGAAGGCGGTGCAGCCACCAGAGATACCCGGTCCAGCCTCACCTGCGCCACTTACTGCCTGGGGGAGCTTCCACCAGTTTCTTAGCTTGTCTGAGCCTCAGTTAACTCATCTATCAAACAGTACTCTCATCATATTCTACTGGAACATGGTGGTGAGAAGTGGACAGGATGTGTGGAGATGGCCAGCTGGCACAGAGCCCACTGTCAGGACATCCAAAGGGCAGCTGACAGTGTCCCTGATAGCAGAGTCTGGCTGTGGGGGAAGGGAGGTGGGGGGACGAGCTGGGGCGTACTAGCTAGCAAGCGGGGGCCTTCACCTGCTTCCTTCACTCCCAGACCACCTGCTCCTGGCAGAGCAGCCCCACAGTGCTTGTCATCCCCAGAATCCCCTGGAGACTTGTGGGTGGGAGGACTATGTCTTGATTTTCAAAATACAATTCTGGAGCACTTGAGCTGAGTAACGAAGCTCTTTGCATTCTGTCCTCTGAGCTCCCATCCCCAAGTTTCCATCCTTCTCCCCACCCTTCCCTAGAGAGGCAGTGCAGCCTGACCTCAGTATCCTGTGGCCTCATCCATGAGGACACTGCAGCATGGCAAACTCTTCCTGCTGCTCCACCGTGTACTGCCCCCTCTGCCAGCCCCCATCCCTTCTCACCCCACGATCCCCCATCATGGTCTGCCCTCCACAGCTGGGCCGCTCAGGCCCTAATTTGGAAGCACTTTTCTTGAAGGATCAAGTCTACTTCCTGCATCTCCTGACACAGTCCCTTGTGCATAGTTTGTTGAATACTGACTGCCGGACTGAGTGGTGAATAGCAGGAGAGGTCCAGGGCAGCCCCAGAGCTGGCGTGCAGGTTTCTGAGACAGAAAATTCTCTTGTGCCACTCTGTTAAAGGAATTTCACGGTAACCAAATATTGCCACCCTTAAGAGGCAATATTTCTGTTCTCTATTCTCTAACAACAGAGAACAGGCTCCTCTGTTGTTAGCAATGCCAGTCACATACCAACAGATAATATGTTGCCACCCTTCAAAATGGTTGGTTCTCTCAGGAAAGCAAACTCTCCCCCTCACAATCTCATTAGTCATTAGAAAGAATCAAGGCTTGCAGATGGTGCAGCCCTTCCAGGTGCCCAGAGCCGCCTGCCCTCCTGAGCTCAGCAGGGCCTCATGACCATCCTCTGGTGAGCAGGGCAGGGGGATGCCTTCTGCGTGTTAGATGAGAGCTGGAGAGCTGGGCCACCTGGTTCAAAGTCTGGCTCTGCTGTGAATTAGCTTGGGGATCCCCAGCAAGTTGGTTGCCAAGCCTTTCTGTGCCTTCGTTTCCTCATCTGTAGAATGGGGAACAGTGGTGCCCACTTCATAAGGTTAAAGTGGTCTGAGCTGTGCTTGGCCCATGGTGTGTGCTGCCATCATCCTCTCTGAGGGCATGGTCTTTGACCAAGAGAATGAATGCATGGAGCTCTGCATAAACCATGTGGGCCAACACCTGCCGTCTCACCACAGGGCTTAGGAGCAGTGCTCCCTTAGGAGCAGGCACCTATAAGGGAGACATCCCTCCGCGCAGGAAGGGAGGACCTCATTAGGTGCAGTGGAGGCTTGAGAGGTCATTTCAGCCTGCCAGTAGGTTCAGGAAAACGTCAAAGAGAATCTTCAGGTGTCCACAGTAAACCAGCCCTATTGAAACCTATGTTAACTGCAAACCCATTGGCAAATGTAGAGATGCAGGGACCTGTGTTGAAAGAGAAGCTGGTTCAAGATAGGTCTTGAACAGAAGAGCATTCCTTGTTATTTTGAGAGTCAGCACCCCAGCAGGTGTGGGTGGTTGTGACTGATTTTCTGACCTTTGCATTTAGACCTCATTACCTGAAGTCCTCAGAAGCATCCTGGCCACCCATCCATCCACATTTACCTATTGCTATTTATGTGTCATCCATCATAAATCTATCTGCTTTCTGCAATCATTTTTCTTTCATCTGTGTATCTATCTATCATCTAACATTTAATCTGGATATCTAGCATCTATTAATCATGTCTACCATCCATCCATCTCTATGTCTATCTGCAGTCCATTATCAGTCATGAGTTAATACACCGTGTACTTAAGCATGGGCCCTCTGAGTTCCTTGGGGTGGGCAGCAGGGAATCCAGGAGGGCCATGGTGGCTGGAACAAAGTGGAATAGAAAGGAACCCAGAGGCCTGAGAAACAGGGGCCTGGGATTCCCCACTCAGAGCAGGGCTGGCTGGTGGATGGAGGGGGAAGGGGCACAGGGGAAGAGAGAGGAGGAAGAAGAGGGGGCTTGCAAAGCCCTCAGGGGCTAAGCCGCGTGCTGACCTAGAGAGGTCCCCTCACCCCGCCTCCCGAAATTAGTTCAACAGCTTTACAGGGTGACTCCTGAGCAATGGGAAGGATGGCCAGGCTCAGGCATGTGTCAGGGCATAGAAGGTGGGTGCTGCCATCCCTGCACCAACAGGGCCCAGAATTTTGCAGTCTGAAGGGCTCTATCCCAGCAGGCAGGTGGAGGGCCAGGGACGCAGTGCCTGAGGAGAGACGAGCAGCCTGGAGAAGACCAATCCCATTGCATCCCTTCCCTGCCCTGCCTGCATGTTGGTATCACCTGAGAAGCTTTAAATAACCAAAACCAGAAATACTGACATCTGGGCTCCCAACCAATCCCTCAAATCCGTATCTCGGGGGCCAGCCCGAGTCACCTGGCTTGTCGAAGCCTCCAGGTGATTTCCATGGCAGCCAGGGCTAAGGACCTCTGTCCCATGAGATCTAAGACACCTGTTGTTCATCCCTGAAGGGCTGTCCTGAGGGCGCAGGGGCAGCCGCTGGTGCTACAGGGCAGGACTTGGGCTCTGGAGGCACATAAGACAACGTTCTTCTGGGCTCCCTCCTGGGTCTCGCGGGGAGGCCAGCAGGCCTTCTGCAGGTGATCAGGAAGCATCATTCCTGCAACTGGGTGGTAATGGAGGAGGCTGGGCCAGGTGGCCTCTGAAGACCCACTCCCAACCCAGGGTCGCTAGAGGTTCTCGGCACAGTGTTCAGGTGTGGGGAATGGGCGTGGTGGCTGCAGCCGCCAGATCAGTCTCTCTTCATTCCAGTGTGACTCCTCCCGGGTTAGACAAGTAAGGAGGATGCTGAGGCCTTGCACCTCCCCGGGAAGATGGCCAGTGGGCTGGTAGGCAGCTTCTCTATTGCTGTTCATCCACAGAAAGCCAAGCCCCACTGTCAATATTAAAAACGGGCTGTGGGTCAGAGGGGCAGGGGGTTTGCACGGCCGCCCCCAGCACTGAGTTTTTCACTGTGTCTCTGGCGATGGCGGGAGGCACCGAGGAGGCCCATGCCCACTCACCCTCTCTGTGCGACTGTGGAAATTTGGGTCACAGCTGGGAGGATTTGAGGCCCCATAAGGGTCAGCCTGTGGCTAATGTTGGAAAGTCTGTGGCCAGGTGGTCTGCAGGCAGCGACCACTGCCCCACACACAGCCTTATCACTGTGCAGCTCTGCGCCCAGCTAACGAGCCCCCGCTCCATGGTTAATAGAGACAAACAGCTCTAAGTGAGTCTTTTATTTCTTCCCTAGCATTTGTGGCCACCTGGAGTAGATTCTTTGCCCTGTCAATGAGAAGCTTTTAACACCATTCCTTGGTCTCTCCTCTTCTTGCCCCTCCTGCCCTGTAGACCACCCTGTCCTCCTCCTCCCCTGCAGAAACCTCCCCCCGCCCATGCTGGAATAGCCCTGCTTTGTCTGTCTCCTTGAAAGCCGAGGACAAACTGGCCATAATTTATGCTCCCGCATGATGTAAAGGAAAAAAAAGCCCCATTATGTTATAAATTATCCTGCGATGGGTGAAATGCAGGAGAGTGTGCCAGACGCCAGCGGAAACCCCATTAGACAACAGAGTTCGGCTGCGAAAAGTCCCCACAGAACTCCAGGGCCGTCTATCGTGTGCCGTGCGCCTGGTAAGGATAATGTAGCAGATCAAATGTATAATCAGTTACCTGGAGAGATGGCTGCGCGCCACCACCCCAGCAAAAGGTGACTTCTACATAGAGCCACTGTGGTGTCCCAGGCTCCTGCAGAAAGGCCTGACTCAAACTCACAGGGCAAGGGTCCGAAGGCCAGAGAGGGAGGCAGCAAGGGGGCAGGTGGGGACAGTCCCCAGACCCCTCACCTGTACTGAATCCCAAGGCTCAGCTTCTCCTGATTCAGGGTCCCTAGGCCAGCTCATCTCCTCTCAGAGCGCAAGAGATGAGAGTGAAGGAGCCATTCCTGGCCCCCCAGAGGGTGGAATGAACAGACCCAAGTTCTGGCTCTGGTTCTGCAAACATACTGCAAGCCCCTCAAAGGCACCCCTACAAACCCCTTTCTCAGGTGCCACACCTCTGCCCAGAACAGGCCCCAGGGGCCAAGGACGGGCTTCAGGCATGGAGGGGGTAGTGCAGTTAGAGGAGATTCTGCCAGCAGGGCAGACTTCCTGCGTGACGACGAGAGAGGACATTTTCAGCCCACATTCAAGGGAGGGGAAGGCCAGAGGACTCAAAAGGAAAAACTTTACCTCCTCGAGCACCTAGGAGACTTCAAGACAGGCAGGCTGTGATCAGAGGGATGGGCAGGACTGGGGAGGGACTGTGAGGCCTAACTGGGACCCCAGGCAATGGGAATCCCATGAGCCCACTCCCTTGCAGCTAGCAGCAGGCTATGGGTGCCCCACCCACTCACCCCTTGGGGCTCTCAACCAAAGCCCTAGCTCTCAAAAAGCAATGTGGTTATTGGGCATTTTGCCAGTGGTCTGTGCAGAGATGGAGGGGTGGAGAGGGAAGAGAGGGAGTGAGAACTCCAGGCGGTACCCTCCTCTGCCTGGGGGGAAAAGGAAGACCCTCAAAGCTCAGCTCGGTCCAGACCACCTGGGGCTGAGTCCTGCCTTCACCAGTGACTGGGTGTGATTTCTTGGGAAAGATATTTAACTTCTCTGTGCCTCAGTTTCTTCATCTGAACAGTGGAAATAATCAAATACCTGCCATACCTGTAAAGTGCTGCTCTCAGTGTCTGGATCATAGTAACTGGGGGCGAAATGAGAACCATTGTGATTCTTCTTGTTGATCTTACAACCACCACCTGGAGGACTGAGTCAGAGCCGCAGCCATGGGCAGGGCATCTCAAGCTCGGGGGAGGGAGGTGGCGTTGACTGGGCTGAGCAGTGCTGGCTGGGGCGGCAGGGGTTCTGTGATGTGGGAGTTGGGTCCTTCAGGCTCTTGTCATGTAGGGCCTGGGTGACGTTGTGTTGGGCCACAGGAGCAGCCATGGGTGCCGTGGATGAGGAACCAGAGGGAGCCAAGGGAGGGCATGGTGCACTGTGAGGCCAGGCGCAGGCGAGAAGAATGGGCCCAGGGTTGGAGGCCCAGGCCAGGCTCCCAGAGGTCAGAGGAGAGGGGCCAGGCCTTTTGCCTTGGGGAGGTGCTTAGATCAGGGTGGGTGGGAGAGGAGGAAGGGGTGTGTGTGTGTGTATGTGCATTGGGGTGTGTGTCTGTGTGTGTTATGTCTGTATGTTGAGGTGTGTGTTGGTGTATCTGTGTGTATGTGTATGTGCATCTGTGTGTGTATGTTGGTGTGTATCTGCACATATGTATTTGTGTATGTGTTGGAGTGTATGGGTGTGTGTATCTGTGTGTGTATGTGTATCTGTGTTGAGGGGTGGGTGCTGGTGTGCATATTGGTGTGTGTATGTTAGTGTGTATGTCTATGTATGTGTTGGGGTATGTGTCTTTGTGTGTTGGTGTGTGTGTGTTGGGTGTGTGTGCATGTTGAGTGGTTGGGTTTGTGTGTTGGGATGTGAGATGGGTGTGTGTCTATGTATGTAGGGGTATATGCGTGGTGCATGTATTGGTGTGTGTGTGTGTGTATGTTGCCACTTCCTCCTACCACACACCCTTTCACACTCCCTGCTTTTGCACGTGCTGTTCCCTGGCCCGCAGTGCCCACCCCTTGCCTCTCCCACAATGCAAACCCTGCCCATGGATCATTCAGGGTCCAGCGCAGGCCTTTTAGGTCTTTCTCAGCCCCTCATACCTACAGGGCTCATCACTCCATGCTCTGTTCCCGCAGTATGTCCAGTGCCTACTCATCTCCAGGGAACACTCATTTCCTACCTTCTGAGGATTCCTGAAGGTCAGCTCCTTGTCCCTTGCACCCATCACCATGCCAGTTTTATAGCAGCCCCACCCCCAATGCTCATTGAGCAAATGGATTCATTTATTCATGGCAACATGTATTTATTGAGCATCTACTACATGCCCGGCGATTTAGGAATTGGACCTTGCTGCATGAATGAATGAACATGGACATCTCATTCATGGAGGAGAGAGGTCAGAGGGCATGGAGTGTGTGTGCCTGTGTAGCCCCTTACATGATATTACCAGACTTGGCTTGTTCTCAGAGTGAGGGGGAGCCACCACAGGGTTTCAGCAGGGGAGAGACAGGGTCTGCCCTGGATTTTAATGCCCCCCTCTGCTGTTTTGTGGAGAGCAGACAGCAGGGGCTTGGTGGGTGTCAGCACCGAGAAGGTGACCGTCATGCCTGGGTGGCTCCAACCTCAGGGTAGAAGGAGGAGGGATGGCAGACCCTGAAGTATCTGGAAGGCAGCGCTGGCGAAGGAGTGCAAGTGACGGGGACTCCAGTCTCCTGCCTCTTCCACCCCAACATCAAACAGCACCAGGACCGGAGGAAGCCAAGCAGATCAAGGCCAGCACTGCCTCCTTGGGGGCGGGGAAGAGCAGGTGAGGGTCTTCATTTGCATCCCATTGCAGGCCCCCAAACACGTCCTGATCCCAGCAGCCTTTGATCTGGTTTGATGTCTCCTCCAGCCTTCTTCCCAAGCAGGAAGGCTTTTATCCTCAGAGGCGGCTCCCAGCCCAGCTGGCTCTAGCACAGTGCAGTGGAGGGAAGGGGAGTGTGTAGCTCTCCACTGGCTCAGGCTCAGAGCCATCCTGAGACCTGGCCCGTGGTGACCCTGTGTCTCAGGTGAAGGAACTGGCTCTTGGGAGGATGGCCAGCCTGGTCACATAGCTGCAGGTTCTTGACTCCAGTGTGGACAGTGGTGCTGGAAACTGTCTGCGCCGACCTGATCAGGGGTAATTGCTGGGTTCTCAGCCTCCAAGGATGGGAGTGCAGACCCCTGTCCCTATCCACTGCATCCCTACTTAGAAGGCAGTTCTGCTGCTGTATGCTGCCCCCTGGGGCAGTGAGGTGGCTCTACAAGGGCTGGCAAAGGGGAAGAAAAGGAAGCCTCTGGGTTTTGGGGTGGAGTGGTCAGGCAACCTTGAAAACTGCACAGATGTAGATTCAGATGAGTTGCTTGTCCCTTAGGAACCATGGGTGCTTGACAGATCTGGATTGGGAGAATTCATGGAAATGCCATGTAGGGATGCTCAGTACCTTTAGGGGAAATGTCTGTTTTTGCACAACCCATGTAGACCTCCTGGTGGAGGCTGGAGAGCATCTCAGTGGTTCTCAAAATGCTGTTGGCTTCTCTGACTGACCTGGGCTGGCACAACTTTGCTCAGTTTGATGTCCCTGGTGGTCCTCTCTACACTCCCAGGGGTGGGAGTGGGCATCACCCTCCTGCCAGCTGGGGTTCCCATGGGTGAGCAGTAGTAATGGTTACAACATTCACAATAACTGGCACTTATTGAGCCTTTTCTCTGTGCCACGCACGTGCTAAAAACCTCATTTAATTCCAGACCTGCCTGGGGAGTTATATGCCTTGCCTGAGCCTGCACAGCCAAAATGTGGTGGAACTAGGATTTGACAAACAGCCTCAGTTAGTATCTGGAGGACACCATTGGCCTGGCCCTCCTGTTGAGTCAGGTGTGTCTCCCTGTCCCTTGCTACTGAAGGTCCTCCCTGATCCACAGGTAAAGTTAGAGAGGGGGGCATGTCCTTCACCCTCAGAGTCACTGCCTGCGGGCCCAGAGAGAGTAGAAGACCCTGGGATCCAGGAGGCACCCTGGGGGGGCCACTGCATGGGATGACCCTGGGCTCCAGACTCTGCCTGGCAGCTGAGGAGCAGATTCATGGGGTGCTCTGGTCTCTGGGCTCTTGCCCAGTCCCTGTCACTCCCCAAGACCAAAGACTCCAAAGCAGGAAAGAGGCCTCCAGCTCTGTCATCATGAATATCTGGCATTTTCTCTGCACCCCCAAACTGCTGCCTTTGAGCCTCCAGGTCTCCTAGCAGCCTCTCTGCCCACCCCACCAGCCACTAGACCTCAAAGCCATGTACTCCCCACCCTGGTCCCTGACCCCAGCATTCTCCCCAGCTCAGTAGCCCCCAACCTTCCTTCAGCAGCTGGAGGGAAGAGAATAGTAAAAATCTACTGCGGTAATAAAAGGCATTAACCATCTGAACACTCGCCCACAGTGCCCCTGCAACCGTCTATCCTTAAGCAAGAAATATTGTTTAATGCTGATGGTAATGAGTGAATCAAATTGTGAAAATTAAACTGGAATTTGAGCATTAGTGCCAGGATGCTGGCATTTGGCGAGTCAAGTGGTAGTGCTGTTACCTCCCTCCTCACCACTCAGAGGCCCACTCACCCTGCCCGGCCAGCAAGATGCTTCCCACGTGGCTAGGGTGGGGCAGCAGAGAAGGCACAGCCCTGAAACATCCCCGTTAGGGGTTTGTGCTAATCCTGAGGTTCCACTGAGGGTGCCCTGGGCTTTCCTTTTAAAATACAAATCCTTTCAGCCCGAGCCCCATCCTTCCCTGATACCCTGAATACAGTGAGCTCAGGAGTTTTTGTCTCCCTCATGGAGGGACCCATGGGAGGATGCAGGAGGTTCTGGCAGCCAGATTCCATTGTATTTCCGTTAGCACCTGTCACTTCCCCGGGTGTCACCCAATGCTTTTTATAGGTTGTGAACCAAAGCTCAGAGTTAGACTGGGGTTTAAGGAAAATTAAAAAGAGTCCTGAAGTCAGAGGAATGGGTGATGTATGCGTTGGTGGAAAGGAAAGCAGTCAGGAGGCAGGTGAAGAAGCAAAGTCAAGCTTCCTCAGCGTCCCCTTCTTGCAAAGCTGCCACAGGCAGGGACCACTTGGAGCAGGTGAAAAGGGCAGCCGAAGGCGTCCCTCCACCTCTCCACCTTTGCTCAAATTCTGGTGTGGGCTTGTTGTCCCTGCATATGTCCCATGCACTTCATAACTCCAGCCCACCTCCTCCTGGAAGCCATCAGGGTGTAGCTAGTTTCTCCTCCCACTTCTAGCCTCTTCTGGCCTTCATCCCAGAGTTACTGAATGTATCTATCAGGCCTTTGTTCTCTCATCAGGGGCTCCAATGAAGAGGCTCTGGGCCCATAGACCAAAGACTCTGGACTCTCCAGGGATCTCAGAGCCATGCACAACTCTTTCTTCCCAACCCCTTAAAAGAGAAAACCCAGAAGTGCTCCCAAAACTCATCTCAGATCCTCTGTTCTAACAATTCCCAGGCACACAGTGAGTGCTCAATCAATGTTTGCTGAAGGGGCAGCCAGAGGGGAGATGCAAAGTCAGGGGTTTTGTCCAGCCCCTCCTGAGGTGGCTGTAAGCATCTTCACCTGACACAGAACTGGAAGCTTCTCCTGTCCACAGTTTTATCATCTTCCCCCAGCCCCAGCTCCTGCGCAGGTGGGGTGGTGAGTACAGACTCTGCCTACTCCCCTATGGTGGTTAGACATCTGGGGACAAAGAGCCAAGATGCCCTCTCTGGGTCCAAGCGGGGCTGGGATGAGCACCTACGTCCTGTTGCCCAGCCCTCTGGGGAGTCACACTCCTGTTCCACAGAACCCCAGATGCTCCCTCACACCTGCAGGCACAGACACGATTTAAAAGAGCAGATGGCAGCAGCAAGGGCTTTGTGATCATGAAATCAAGGGACCCCATGAGGCTGGGTTGAGTCTAGGCTCCAGCTATGGGCAACCTCCTGTGCATCCTGGGGTTCCTTCTCTGCCCCAGCTTCCTTATCTGGAAAAGCATGAAACCCTTGGTGTTATCCGGGGTCCTGCCCAGCTCTGCCACTCTGTGGCCTTGTTCTTCCAGGTGCAGGGACAGCAGTTCTTGGGGCCACAGTGTGCCAGCCCTGCTGGCCTTTGTCTTGTTTGGGGACTTGTGTATTGTGGATGGCCTGTCTCTCCACCCAGATGCCAGTTCCAACGAGCAGCTTCGTCTCTCTTGTTTACCACTGTAGAAGCAATGCTTGGAACAGAGTCCGGCACAGAGAAGGTACTCAGTGAACAGCTGTTGAGAGACTGTAGAACATGCTTGCTCCCCTTGCTCTGCCCCTTGACCAGGAGGAACCCGTGAGGCCTCAGTCCCCGCAGCTCAGGTCAGCGGATTTTGTTGTGCTCACTTTCCAACTCCCAGGGCTGAGCCCCTGACCTGAGCTGGGCTCTGTCAAGAGAATTCTGGGCTCCTAATGCCAGCCTCCAGTTGCTCACCACATCTCTGGGCCCCCAGGGGGTCTCAGCAACCTCTCACTCACTCTTCAGCCCATCCCCTCACTAACTCTGAGGCCACTCCTTGCCTCAACACCTTGGCCCAGCCCAGCAGCACCTGCCTGAATGTGTCTTCAGAGGGGCAGCTCCCCAATACCCCGACTATGGGAAGCAACAGGCTCAGGGCTGAGGGCTCACCAGAACATGGGGACCACCAGAGCCTCTCCATTACCAGGGGTCCCAGCTTAGGCAGCTGGGCAGTGGCCAGGGCCTTCTCTGCCTGTACCAGGAGTCAGGGGCTGTGTGGATGGAGGAGGAGGGTGGGCACGGGCTGGGGAAACAGAGTCATTCTCCAAGACTCTTGCGAAACTGGCATCAGACCCAAGACACCAGCCAAATGGTACCGTTGGTTATGTGATGCAGCTTGAGACAGTGCCTCAGGAAAGCGGACAGAAAGGAGGTGGGCAGAGTGGGTGGGAGACAGGGAGATGTTGTCCATCTCAGCTGGCCAGCCACAGCCTCAGGATCTAGTCCAACCTGTTGCTTCAAGTGTGTTCCCCATCATAAGATGTGGCTCCTCTGACTTCTCCTCTCACCCTCTTTGACCTCTGCCCTCTCACAGCAGGGGTGACCTTCCAGGCCAAACCAAGGCAGGGCGAATGAAGGGAAAACAGCACTGCATTTCCTCTTCCTCCTGCACGGAGAAACCCAAGTAGGGGCCATCGCCATGGTAATTACCTCTTGGCAGGCGCTGGGACCCTAGCCACCACCATGACAAGAGCATCTAATCATACCCATTTCATAGATCCCAAAACTCAGTTGTGGAGCAGGGGAGCGGGAGGGGGAGTCAGTGGGCCTGGCCCACAAGGAAGTCCACTCGCAAACTCAAAGTCCCTCCAGCCCCTGGTCTGAGAGACAAGCCTTAGAATCACTCGCACAAGCCACAATACCCAACTGGAGGACGGTGCAAACTGAACACATTTGAGGATCCTAGAAGCAGACATTTGAGTTGGTTGTGGTCAATCCATGACTACCTGGAGGAAGTGAGTCTGAAGCTGGGTGTCTTTGGTATCTTGCAGCCCTCCAGAAAGGTAAGGGTGGCTATAGTTTCCCTGGGGAAATCCAGATGGGGAGGAAGAGGGGGAGCCTGGCAGCTTATATGTTTAGAAAGGCCTCTAGAAGGAGGCGCTTAACTGAGAACTGCACAGTAAAGGAAAATTTCAGGGGAGGGGAACGAGGAATTAGGAAAAAACAAAAAAAACCCAAAACCGGCAAAAAAGGAAGTGGCTGGATAGAAAGGCACATGTGGATGAATTTTAATGCAATCAGAAAGCTGTCATAGCAATAATAAAGGAATGCATTCAGACGTCAGGAGAGGCGAAGGCGAGGAGCTGCAGTCTCCGCATGTAAATCAAGCTTGGGCAGAGGAGGTGCGTTCCCTTCCTTTCCTTTTTCTGTCCAAGTGAGGAAGTGGAATTTTTAGCAAGAGGGCCAGGGATTAGCAGGGGCGGGGTTCCATTTCTAAGTCTTTCTGGAAACCCAATTCGATTGAGCCTTTAAAAGGCACTAAAGGTTGAGGGGGAGGTAGGGAGAACACTGGGGGCTGTGCCTGGAAAGAAGAGTTTTAATTACTCCACAAAAGAAGGAAAAGCTCCCATTTCACTTCCAGTAAATTGCTGTTGCTGCTTCCAGGAGTCAAACATAATGGCTCCCTAGTCTTTCCTCTGTCTCTGCCATCTTTCCCCCCAGCCCTCTTCTCCCAGCTCTTTGCCTCTGATTCTCTTGTCTGTGTTTCCTGCCATTTTCTCTCCCCCACTCCCTTTCTGCGCTGAACTCTATCTCCTCCCATCCCACTTCAGCTTTTCTCTTCCACCCTCCCTCTCTCTCTTCCTTCTCCTTGTGCCCCAGAGCCTGGAGTAAGTGGGGGAGGGCTGCACGCAGAACCCTGGAGATGGGGTGGGGGTGTGCCCCAAAGTCTTGCCAAGCCAAAGGAGCCAGAAGAGCAGCTTGAGGCAGGTAGTGGGGCCTGGGCTCTGGGGTCCAGAGCTTTAGCTGAGGCCCACCCTGTTGGAGGGCCAGCTGGTGTTTTTTGACGAACAGCTGGTAACAGGGACCAGTAACTGTGCCCTACAGGTTATGCGAGGAGCTGGGACCTGGTACCACATCATCATTGAGAACTGGCCCAGTGCTGAGTGCGTCTGGACTGAGGAGTACCAGCAGGGCAGAGGGCAGGAGGACTCTGCAGGTGGCTTGTGGAGGGCAGGGGCCTGAAAGCCTCCTCTGCTTTGCTTCAGAACCTGGGACAGACCCTCAGCTCTAAGTGAACTCTCCTGACAATTTGGGCAAGGTGGGGGTTCTCTGGGAAAGAAGGTACCAACCACCTTGAATACAGAAGGACACAGGGTCCCTGAGTGCCCATGTGCTCAGAGGAAACCATGAACACATGGCCATTTGCAGTTTTGGGGTCTGCATTTCTGCAGCTTTGGCTGTGTGTCAATCATGTAATCATCCACAAACATCTAGCGAGTGCCTGCTGAGTGCAGCCACCCCTGGGACTCTGTTCCAGTTCCTATGGCTGCATACCAATTTAGCCCGAAACTGAGTGGTGTAAAACAACCATTTATTTTGCTCATGGATTCCATGGGTCAGGAATTCACAGGGCACAGCATGGAAGGCCTGTCTCTGCTCCAGGATGTCTGGGCCTCAGCTGGAAAATTCAAAGGCTGGGAGCTGGAATTATCCGAGGACTCATTCATTCACGTGTCTGGTGGTCGATGTTGGCTGTCAGCTGGGGCCTCAGTTCCTTTCCATGGGGACTCTTCTGCATGGGCTAATTGGGGGTTCACAGCATGGTGGCTGGCTTCCACAGAGCTAACAACCCCCCACCCCACAAAACAGAGGCAAGTGGAAGCTGATCTCTTTTATGACCCAACCTCAGAAGTCACCTGGCATCACTTCTGCCATTCTTTATTTGTTAGAGCAGTCAAGGGGAAGGAATACGCCCCCGGACTCTCAGTGAGAGGAGTGGCAGTCACACTGAAGTAGCAGTATGTGGGCTGGGGCTGCCTTCTGCAGTCATTCACCAGCTGCTGCAGGTGGATACAGCCCCATGCGTGCATGCTTTGTCTCCCTGAGCACACAGCATGGGATCAACAAAGCACCTGATACTCATCCCAGGTGTGTGGGGGCTGCTGAGGCATCTTCAGGAACAGACGCCCCCAAAGTGTCCAGGGTCGAATTTTGCAGCGTGAAGAAATAGGAAGAGCCAGACCGAGGAGGGCGCATCCAGATGGAAGAAAAAATATGTGACATACCAAGGAGGTGTGCCCTGGGATGGCACAGGACAGGCAGTCATTCATTCTTTATTCACCTCATCACTAAATGGAGGGCCTCCTGTGCTCCAGGCACTGCTGCTTCAGCAGAGAGGCCTGGTCTCTTTCCCCAGTGAGCATCCCAGGGAATGGGTGGGAAAGGAGAGCTATACGGAAACCCACAAAGTAGTCATTGTCCTTTGACATTCCGGCCACAGGGATGGGGGCCTGAGACAGAGTAAGGGAGGGATAAGAAGGGGCATGGGTGAGGAGGCAATACTCAAACTGAGACCTAGAAGAAGAGGACTGGACCTTGTGATAAGTGCGCTCCAGGCAGGGGAACAGCATCTGCAAAGGCCCGAAGTCAGACCCGCCAGTTGTGATTCATTTTGGAGCCTGTAGAGGATAGCATGTGAGACGAAGGAGGAGGGGAACGCAGGCTGCCCGTGTGCTCTAGTGAGGGGTCAGCCCAGGGTCTCTGCTCCTCAGGGTGCAGCCTGCCCTGCAGGCGGGAGGAGGCCGAGTCGCTGCGATCCAGCTCCTGCCTGCCACAGCTCTCTCCGCACCTGTCCCGCGACTGTGCGCTCCTACCCCACCTACTTCTCTCCCTCGCCCCTCCCGCTCCGACTAAGCCCCGCCCCCGTCCCCCTCCCCCGCACCTCTCCCCCGCCGGCTCCGAGCCCCCGCCCCGCCTCCCCGGCTCCTCCCTTTCCCTGCCGCTCTCCCCCTCCGGCCTTGCCCTGCTCCCGCGCAGCCCGGTCCCTGGCCCGGGTAAGCATCTCCTAATTTTGTTCTAGAAGATAGAAAACTCTTCGTGGGCATGCTCAACAAGCAACAGTCCGAGGACGACGTGCGCCGCCTTTTCGAGGCCTTTGGGAACATCGAGGAGTGCACCATCCTGCGCGGGCCCGACGGCAACAGCAAGGGTGCGCGGGGCGGGGCCGGGAGGGATGCCCCGGAGGGAGGGGCGAGGCGGAGGGAGACCAGAGGGCTCCTCTGAGTCTCCGGGGCCATCGCCGTCTGTCTCTGGGCTTCTTGGTGTCTCTTTCTCAATCTCTGCCTCACCCGTCTGCGTTCACCTGGGATGCGCCCTCTCCTCCCGGCCCCTCCCTGGCCCTGCTTCTGGGTCCCAGCTCGGCCTCTCGCGTCCTCGCAGGGTGCGCCTTTGTGAAGTACTCCTCCCACGCCGAGGCGCAGGCCGCCATCAACGCGCTACACGGCAGCCAGACCATGCCGGTGAGTGCTGGCCCCTTGGGGCGGGGGCGAGGGCAGCGGCGGGCCGAGACCCCAGCACCCGCCACGCCCCGCCGGCTGTCCAGTCTCCCCAAGAGACAGGAAAGCATGACCCTTATTCCGGGCCTCAGACAAGGACGCGGAAGCCCAGGGATGTTAAGGAACTGGCCTGAGGTTACCCAGGTGGAAAATGCCCGCGGTGGGGTTCACACCTCATTCCCCTGGGCGAGCGCCGATGCCGCCTCCTCCAAAGCGCCCCGAGGAGCGGGCGGGGTGGGCGCAGGCCAGAGGCACCGACAGCTGCGGGCGGAGGCTCTGGAGCAGGTGGGTCTCACGCGCCGCCCCGGCCGCAGGGAGCCTCGTCCAGTCTGGTGGTCAAGTTCGCCGACACCGACAAGGAGCGCACGATGCGGCGAATGCAGCAGATGGCTGGCCAGATGGGCATGTTCAACCCCATGGCCATCCCTTTCGGGGCCTACGGCGCCTACGCTCAGGCAGTAAGTGGCAGCGCGCACGGGCAGCGGTTCTCAAGCTCACTCCCCTGGGAGCCTCAGAGAGCGGGACATGAAACCGAAAATACTACTCTATCCCTTGCCCTCTCCCTCCAGAGTGAGGAGGGGCCGGGAATGAACCCATGAACCTGGGGGGTTTAACTTCAGAAGGGTTTGAAAGAAGGCTGGCCCAGTTGGGGTGGCTGCCAGGAGGAGGTGGGCTGCTGTCTTAGTTCTAAGGGGCAGAGCTGAGAGAGGCCCCACAGAAAAGTGGGTTACCCTGAGCCTTTTCCTCTCAGCCAGATCAACGTTGAACCCCAGGAAGCACAGATGAGAGGGTGAGGTTCAGGTCATTGGTTGCAAACCACCCCTACTCCATGGAACGGTGACTTCAGGCCTTCTGGTCTCTCCTGGCAGGGCTCCTGTGAGGTGCCCTAAAGCCCTACACACCCACACTTCTGATATCCCCTCAGGCCTCTGGCCCACCTACTTCTTTCTTCCACATGGGGGCCCACTCTGTCAGCCTCTCCCGGAGCTGCCTGCAGACTGGTAACCACAGCTCCCATGTGGGTGGCACTGAGGCAGGCCACGGTTCTGGGTCTGAAAATGCAAGCTTACCTCACTTCTGCAGTACTGTCCGCCTTGGCCACATTCCGCAGCCTCCCCTGTCCGCACTCACCTTTGTGACAACACTAGGGGTGCCTGGGGTTCTATTCATAATTCTCCTGTCACTTCTACCAACAGACTCCAAATTAAAACCATTCTGGACAGAAACCTGTGCTAAGTGAGTTCTGCAGAGGCTCATCCAGCATGTCTCTAGTGCTTTGGATGTCACTTCCCCACGAATGACAGGCTGTACACAGGGCTGACTAGCACCCACAGAGCCAGTCTCCTCCTCTGCCCCTAGCAACAACTTTGGAGTTCCAAAGACCCTAGCATTACTTTTAAATACAGTCATCTCTCAGGGTGGTGGACTCTAATAGCTGTTGAGGTACAGGGCAAGAATGGGAGAGGCATCAGGGCTTTCTGGAGTGGTAGTTGGGAGCTTCTGGGGCTCAGAGCCTGGGAGATTGGTCTCCAGGAGCTGAGGCCCCTGTCGGGGAGGGATGCCCCCTGGAAGCACGTGATATTTTTTCCACTCCCTCTGCCCCAGCTGATGCAGCAGCAAGCGGCCCTGATGGCATCAGTCGCGCAGGGCGGCTACCTGAACCCCATGGCTGCCTTCGCTGCCGCCCAGATGCAGCAGATGGCGGCCCTCAACATGAATGGCCTGGCGGCCGCACCTATGACCCCAACCTCAGGTGAGCTGGCAGGTGCCAACACGCGGTCTGGCCCGGTGGGAGAACAGCTGGCCCCAGGCTGGGACCTAATTTCAGCTACCAGCGGACCATTCTGTGGCAAAAGCACATAGTGTCTGGGCCCGAGAGGACTTGCCTTCTGGCAGTTTGTCTCAAAAATGTTCTAATCCATGGGGATCCAAGGGAAGATGAGATATGGGACCCATGCAGTCTACCGTGTGATTTCAGGGTGGGGTGGATTTCTCTCAAGCTGTTTAACCTTATCAGGAAACAATGTATCTTGATGTTTACCAACAAGAGACCTGGAAAGAAATTGACATGAAGACATCTCCCTGTGGTGTCTATGATGAGAAGAGCCTTGGCCATTCTGTGGCCTTGTTCA
The DNA here is from genome assembly GCF_000001405.40 of Homo sapiens. Taxonomy (NCBI): domain Eukaryota; kingdom Metazoa; phylum Chordata; class Mammalia; order Primates; family Hominidae; genus Homo; species Homo sapiens. The sequence goes on along the minus strand of NC_000018.10, from coordinate 37,272,636 downwards.
GCCCCTGGCCCAAGCACAGAAGGAACCCATTTGGGTGTCGTCTTTTTTTTTTTTTTTTTTTTTTCATTTCCCTTTAACCCAATCTAGACTCACTGGCTTTTTCTAAGACAACTATGCAACAAGCTAGAGAGAACCACAAGAGTTATCAAGGGACAGGAGTTTGGAAAGAACCCAGCTCACAAATCATGTTTTTGATTGAATCTTGGCTATTGTCCAGTCCAGTGAGTCTCAGCTGTTGCAGTTATGCCCCCGAATCCCCAGGACATCTGGCAATGTCTGGAGACATTTTTGATTGTCACAACTGGGAGTGGGGATTGCTACTGAAATCTAGTGGGTAGAGGCCAGGGATATTGCTGTATGATCCTACAGTGCACAGGACAGCCACCACAAGGAACTATCTGGCCCCAGATGGTAATAGTGTCAAAGTTGAGAAACGCTAGTCTAGTCCTAAGGGCTGGTCCTGCACCCCAGGCTCTTATTCACTGAGCTTCCTTGGCTCTCTGTGCCCAGGCCACAGCAGCAACTTTCCTAACATCCAAGAGCTGTTCCTTTCCCAGGTGAAAGCCAAAAAGACTGTGCCATCTCTGGGCTCAACTTGAACACTACTCTTCACCTCTGATCCCCAACTTCAAGGGATACACATGAGCCCAGGCAGTGGCCAACCTCAGGTCCACATTCTCAGAGGGACCCTGCTTCCTACATGAGAGGAAGGCCCTTTCCAGCCTCTGGGCTTTCAGTACAATCACCATAATATCCACATCTCAGGTTCCACCCACTTGGCATAGGGAGGACACAGGGTATTGTCATTTGACCCCAACTTTATTCTCACCATCATGACCACTACTATTGCTTCAAGTGGAGGAGGCCAAGGTGTCTACTTTGTGTATGAGCTAAAGCTGAGTCTGGGCTCTGTAATAACCTCTCTGCCTCAGTACGAGAGAAGGCCAGAATTAAGACCTACTCCATCTGAGCAGAAAAACTTCCTCCTGGAGAGGCATATCAGCCCCCCAATGACCAAGTAAAGACCAGCTCATCCAGCCTTAGCTGAAGAGAGTAAGAGCACTGAAAAAGACTTAAGGAAGGCCAGGTACGGTGGCTCATGCCTGTAATCCCAGCATTTTGGGAGGCCGAGGCGGGTGGATCACTTGAGGTCAGGAGTTCAAGACCAGCTTGGCCAACATGGCGAAACCCCAACCCTACTAAAAAATACAAAAATTAGCTGGGCCTGGTGGTGCATGCTGGTAGTCCCAGCTACTTGGGAGGCTGAGGAAGGAGAATTGTTTGAACCCAGGAGGTGGAGGTTGCAGTGAGCTGAGATTGCACCACTGTACTCCAGCAACCTGGGCAACAGAGCAAGACAAAAAAAAAAAAAAAAAAAAAAAGGACTGAAGGAAGACCAAGTGTGGTTACAGTCAAGGGCACTGAGAGTAGTCTATGTGCTGTCTAAGGACAAGCCATCAGGGTCAGAGAAATCTTATTTGGGCAGGTGGAATTTGGAGTCTGCCTTGAAGGATAGATACAATTGGGATAGGTGAAGTCACTTCATATAGGGAGATAAGCCAAGGCATGGGTCATAGATAAGATTGAACTGGTATGTGAGGTCCAAGTCTATCCGCAGGTCCTTGGAAACAGTTGAGTGAAGCTTTATGGGTGGGCCTTCCTCACCTTTGTTCTGCTTGCCTCCCCTCCTCCTCCACCCTTCTGTATGCCTGGAACCAGGTGGCAGCACCCCTCCGGGCATCACTGCACCAGCCGTGCCTAGCATCCCATCCCCCATTGGGGTGAATGGCTTCACCGGCCTCCCCCCACAGGCCAATGGGCAACCTGCTGCGGAAGCTGTGTTCGCCAATGGCATCCACCCCTACCCAGGTAAGCACATCTGTCAGCACTTATTTCCGTATGCAGCACATTCTTTATCCATGCTGTCCCTGCCCTTGCTGTTATAACAAGATGTGGCTCCTGCCCTCTGTCCATTCCTTGATGAAACCCCAAGTGTGATCAGAGAGGGCCAGCCTCCCATCTTCCTTCAGGGAGCCCGTGATGGAAAAAATGAGACCAAAATCCTGCCCTTGGGGATATGTCATTCTGATCTGGGAGACAGATCCCCATTCCAGGTGCTCCCTTAGGGAAGAAAGGAGACTGGGTGCAGTTGTACAACCATGTAGAGAGGCCAGTAAGTGCAAAATAATTGAGTGTGAATTTAACCTACAAGAAGTAAGGGGATAGAAACTAGAAGAACAATCAGGGTTAGTGTTAAGTAGGAAAAGACTCTTTGGGAAGGAGTGGAGGGAGGTATAACGATTGGCAGTCTGTCTAGTACAGACCAGTCCATCCCTTGGTGCACACAAAAGCGCGATCATGGTGCACGCAAAGCGTGATCAGCACCATGGACAGGTCAGCACCACAGACAGCCCAGCACCTTGGACAGCTCCTAGACTATTTTTTCAAATAGTCTGGCACACGGAAAGATCCAAGAGGCCTGCTCCTGATTACCTTTTTTCCTCAAACTTAGCCGTCCTCACAGGGTGAGAGTGTCCAGTTGGCCTGAAGCAGCTCTTCTCCCTGGTCTGGAGAATGGGCTGCTATCAGGGCAGGGAAGCTGGGCCCAAAGCCCTCTAGTAAACTACAAGGGAAATGTGCTCCCGATGTGGAGTGCCGCCCCGCTTCCTGGAGGCAGAGGATGAGGTTAGAGTCCCCGTAAGTATCAGTAAGTACTCAGTTTGTGCTGTGAAAGGGGGGCCCAAGAAGTAGAGCAGGACATGGACCTATCGCCTGGGAGGTCAGAGTCCATTGGGAACACAATCTAAGTCTGCAGAATGATGAGACAATATGGCAGAATTAAGTTTGATCATGAGTGAGTGTTCTCAGACTTGAAATGCTAAAGATCCCAATGAATGGACAGTTCTGTAGGCTAAAGAAGCCCCAAAAAGCCTTCCCAAGGAGGAAACTACCATCGAGCATTAACAGATGGGCAGGAATTGGAGAGGTGAAGATGAACAGGGAACACCCTCCTTTGGAGGGACCTGCCTGGCAAGAGTGGAGGTGGTAAGGAGATTGGCACACACGGCAGGCAGGCCAGCCCAAGGTGAATTGGCAGCAGGGGCTGGGTCCTGTTCCCCACTCTGGGTGCCCATCAGAATCCACTGTGGGGCTTTATACAACCACATAAGCCCAGACATTCTCATTTCCCTGTCTAGAGTGCAGACCAGGCATTTGTAGTATATAAAAGTCCCACTAGCAGCAGAGTGCAAGGTCACTGTACTAGAGGGAAATAGAGGAGAATTTCCTGACTTTGAACTTGGAGTTTTCCTTAATCCCATTCCCCATTCCAGAGCTTGCCCCATAATATATCCCTCAATCCACCAAGAAGAGGCCAGAGGAGTCTAGAGAGTGAAGTGATGAGGCTCTAATGATCTGGAGTGTTGTTTAAGGATGATGACCCCAAGCTGGTAGGGTGGCAGGGTGGGGCTGTGCAAGCTGGGGGTGGAAGAGATCCCACCAGTCTAAGGCTCATGGGCTGGGAGATGGCATCCCCAGCACATCTGGGTGGCTTCATTTCCCACCCCTTCCTGCCCACAAGCCCATCTGGATCTCTGGATCCTGATAAACCTGCTCCTTCCCAACCCCCTCTGGCATCTGTGAGCTATTTCCCTCATGGAATTTGGAAATGTTTCTTCCCCTATTTGTAACAATCTGCCACATCTCATAAACAATTCCTTGCCAGAGCAAGAGGGAGGGAGGGATGGAGGGAAGGAAAGGAAAAAAGTAGTACATTAAAAAAATTAATTTACCATCTTTAAATGCGGAGTTTGGACCCGCTGTAATGAGCGAGATCCTTCAAAATGTTCACTCTTTGGCAGTTACTAATGAGGTCGTTAGGCAGAGAAGTAGAGAAGGGTCTCATAAATGCTTTTTTCTGTTTCCCTGCCCCAGGTAGCTTTTCTGATCTCCCCTCTTGGGTTCTTGCTGGATACACACAGTGTGGCCTTTACTGTCACATAAACACCCTTGAAGGGGTGGCTCTTGCAAACATTAAAGATTGTTCATTCATTCTTTTCATCATACTCTGCCAGATGCTTATGATGTTCCTGGCACTGTGCTGGCAGCTGCCATGCAAATCGTGCAGGTTATATTTTGCATGAGGGCACCAAACTGTATGCCCAAAGGAAGGGGCACCCTTTTCTAATTTGCATAAAGCCACTGCATGGATGAATAGCTGGAAAGACCAAGAGCACAATCCGGACGTGGTTCTCCTTCTATAGAGCTTAGAGGCTGGCAGAGGATAGGGGCAGAGGGAAGGCAGAGAGGAGACCACCCTCCCAAGCACATCACACTGAGGAGCCCTCAGCGCCAGTCTCTACCATGGGGGAAATAGAGGGACAGGGTGTGGGACTGGGACAGCCCCAGGCAGGAAGGAGCCTGCATTGTGGCTCATCTTCAGCTCCCCCCATCTGAGCAGAGCCCCCGTGGGTCTGACTCCCCTGCCGCATCCTGCTCCTGGGGGCTATAGAACCTACTGTCCCACTGTCTCTAGGGACCTCTGCCCCAGGCTTTTCCCTGGGCACCCCTCAGGCCCAGGTGCTCTTTTTCTTTTCTTTTGAGACAGAGTTTCACAATTGTTGCCCAGGCTGGAGTGCAATGGCATGATCTCAGTTCACTGCAACCTCCGCCTCCCGGGTTCAAGTGATTCTCCTGCCTCAGCCTCCTGAGTAGCTGGGATTACAGGTGCCCACCACCATGCCCACTAATTTTTTTGTATTTTTAGTAGAGACGGGTTTTCACCATGTTGGCCAGGCTGGTCTCAAGCTCCTGACCTCAGATGATCCACCCACCTCGGCCTCCCAAAGTGTTGGGATTGCAGGCATGAGCCACCGTGCCCAGCCCAGGTGCCCTTTTTCTAGTGGAGGTTTAGTGAGATACTCAGGGAAACGTGCTCAGGAGGGAAGTTGAGGCACTCTCCCTAGACTAAAGGTCCCAAAGCCTGGCATGGCCACTTAGCTTAGCTGGCCTGAGTTGACAGGCGGATAAGCCCAGATAGTTTCTTCCTGCCACATCGTGTTATCCAGTTTTCCCTCAAGCATCCTAGGGCTCCATCCTCCCTCTGGGCAGTCCCTGCCTCTACCACCTCTCTGGGCTTCCAAAGCCAGCCCACTCCCACATTAGTCACCACCAGCCTTGGTCGCCAAAACCAGTGCCTACTGCTGGCCCATGCTTCAGGCTTTTGCCCACAGCTTCAGCAGAGACAGCAAAGACAACAGAAGGGAACCAAGCCTTTCTCTCAGCCCAACTTCCCTGAGTTTCTTGCCAAAGTATCTGTACAGGGGACCTCTCTTCCCACTGGGCAGGAGACATCCCAGGGTCACAGTGTCAGAAGACAGGAGGAAGGTCCTTGGTCTCCTGGTTCCTCGGTTCTGCGGGCAGCACCCCTCTCCCAGTTTGCTGGGAAGACCCTATTTGCGTAGCTGGTCCCTGCTGAAAGGAACTTAGCCATGGGCTGGGGGTGGAAGACCTCCATGCCTGGTGCAGCTTCCCTGACAGTGAGGGCGCATCCCTCTGTGTGAGCAGGCACAGTGGCCCAGGAGGACAAAGTGGTAGTGTGAGGCCTTCTTGCCCTTTCTTTCACCCACTGGGGGCTGCCAGCCCCCTCCCCTTTCCCCACAGCCCTTCTGCAGGGCTGGGCCCCTTGTGTGTCCCCCCCCACCACCAGCATCTCAGTGTTGAGGCTTCCTTGGCATCTCCTCCCCAACCCTCCACAGTGCTCTGCATGAGCCCCCATCTTACCCCAGCCCTAGGCCAACTGCAGCTTGCATCCCCCAGCCAGGGTGGGCAACTGTCTACCCTGCCAAGAGCCCTGGGCTAGGGAAGGTGACCCCCAGAGGGTCCAGGCACTCAGGGTTTCTGTCTCGGATGCCCTGCCCCAGGGCACAGCCTGCAGTAGCCAGAAAAGGCAGTACAGCTACATCATTGTCCCCATGGGCATGAGGGGAAGGGCCAGTGTGGTGGGCACTGCTGACCTCTGTCCCCTTGGCTCCCTACAGCACAGAGCCCCACCGCCGCGGACCCCCTGCAGCAGGCCTACGCCGGAGTGCAGCAGTATGCAGGTCGTTAGTATCCACGCGTCCCCACGGCTCCTTCCCCAACTCCGTTTATCTCTCCACGCCTGTGACACCAGTGCCCCCTCAGGCCTGGGGCCAGCACTGCATGGGGTGGGGAGAGAGAGTGGAAAGAGGGAGGGCTGTGCTGGCAGAGACCCTCCAGGCTGCCTTCTTGTCAGCGGGCCACCGAGAGTGCCCCTGCAGTGGGGTTGGGCAGAACTTCAGGCAAGTGGGCAGGCCAGGTGGAAGTTTCACCCTTGCTGGGCAGTTACCTGTCTTTGAGGCCAGATTTCCCTTCCCCATGGAGCTTCCAGGGCCACTTTGCCCAGGAGCACCAGGTCTGACACCAGCACCACAGGCGAGGCTGGACCTGGATGCTGCCCACCATGGGCCACAGTCACTGGCCCAGGAAGCACAGATGCCTGGTTTGAGAGAAGGAGGGCCTCTAGAAGAGATGCCGTTTCCCCATTCCCTTCCTCACACACTGGCAGCAGGATGGGGCCCCAGCAGGTGTGACAGGGAGCAGAGGAGGAGAGGTGGGAAGGGACAGCCCTGAGTGAGCAGAGGGCCTGGGGTCACTGAGCCTAAGCCGAGCTGTCAGCCAGGCTTCTCTCTTTCTGTCACCCCTGGACTACACAGCACCCCATCATCATCCCTGCCTAGCCTGTGTCCTACTGCCTGACCTGATCAGGGTCTCTCTTCCCTGTGCTTAGAAGAGCCAGTGCTGTCTCCCATGAGTGCAGTGGGGCTACCTGGCAAGGGGTGAGGGGACTGAGGTGAAGCTGGCCTGGCACATCTGGAGCCCAGAGGAGGTGCTGTCACCTCTTGGGTCCCCTGAGCTCTGACTTCAGGCTCTGTTGCTATGGGAGCCAGGCCAGGCAGAGGAGGGAGCCGGCCACTCCTGTCCTACCTCAGGCCCTTTCCAGTTGGACAATCAGGTTTATCCAACTCAGTCCTCTGCCCCTGGGGACTACCCCCTGGCAGCCTTCCCAGAGGCCAAGTCCACACCTCAGGTGGCCCCCACCTCCCACACAGGTGCCGTTTGAGTGGGAGTGAGGGCCTGCCAGCTGGAGTCAGCTGTGGCTCAGAGAAGTGGGAAATCCTTCCTGTGGATTCCAGGTGGTGTGGGGTGATCTTGTCCAGGCCATTTTGGTGTTTTTAATTATCCATGATTCTGTGTTATGCACACATGTGGTTCATCCACTATTTGAAATTCAACTTGCCTCCCCCAAAACATACACACACACACGTGCATGTGTGCATGTAATGTATGCACACATGCACTAACACCATGTACACAAGTGCACGTGCGCGCACACACGTACACACACGTACACACCCACACACGTGCATGTACACATGTAATGTACACGCACGCACACACATACACCCACACACATGCATGTATGCATGTAATGTACACACACACCCACACACTTGCATGTATGCATGTACTGTACACACACGTACACCCACACTTGCATGTACACATGTAATGTACACACACACGTACACACACATCCCCACACGTACATGCATGTATGCATGTAATGTACACACACGCACACACACACGTACACACACCCACACACCCATTTCCACTCTTCACCTTGCAACTCCTCTGTTAGTCTGGGAACTGAAAGCTGGCTTTGTCCTAAGTGGCTGAGTGGCAGGGCGCTTTTTGGCTGATCTGCTTTTACTGCCTGCACTGAAATCTCTCTCTTTCTTCCTGCTTCCACTCTCTGCCTTGTCGCCGGCTCTTGCTTCTTGTCTTGGGCCTCCAGCAGCTGCCTACCCTGCTGCCTATGGTCAGATAAGCCAGGCCTTTCCTCAGCCGCCTCCAATGATCCCCCAGCAGCAGAGAGAAGGTGAGTCTGCAGGCCAGCTCCTGGGCCCCTCCCTCCCCCTGTTGTCCCCAAAGAGGCTGCTCACCTGGGCCTTGGGCTGGGGTGTGCGTTGGAAAGGTGACCACGTTTGTGTGCTGTGTTGAGGTGGGCAAGGGAAGACAGCAGTGCTGTGAGGAGTGGCGCTCTCCAACTTAAGGGTAGAGGTCCGCTTCTTGTGGACAGCTCTGTACACCAGAGTGGTGTCTGGCCCAGGGGCAGGGGCCTGGACAGAATGCCCTGAGGGCTGGCAGGTCCCACACGAGGCACCTTTCCTACTCCCCTCAATCATTGCTGCTGGCCTGACACAGAGCTCACATATCAAAACCTTGGTCTATGAGAACCCCTTCTGAATGGTTGGGTTTGTGTTTCTTCCTTGGCAAGCCCTTGAACCATCCCTTAAGCAGAACCTAGCAGAGGTTAGGCCTGTGTGTACCAGTGCAGGCCTTGTCCTTGACCCAGGGAGTTTCTGGTCTTCCAGAGGAGACAGAGGCCCATCCTTGGGGTCTTCACTGGAGGGCCTACCACTGTGTTCCCAGGGAGAATAGCTGGGAGATGAGACTCCAACAACATGGTGGTTTGCAGAACCAGCTCTGATAGCTGTGTGCATTGAGGAAAAGATGGTAACCAGGCTGAGAGGGTCAGGAAGGGAAGCCCCAGAGGAGGTGGGGTCCAAGAATCCCCCTCCTCTGGTGGGCAGGATTTGGCCAGTGGGGAGGGTGGGGAGAAGTAGGAGTGCTCATGGCTGAGGGGAATGAGAGAGGGAGATGAGTTTATCACCCACAGGAGCTGTGCCCTCTGGGTGACCAGGAGAGGCAGGTGGAGCTCCCAGGGCAGGACTGCGTGGGCAGGGTGAGAAGAGATGAGAATGCCCCAGTACAGGCCTAGTGGAAGAAGGGGGTGATCCTGGAAAGCTGTGTCCCAAGGCCCTGGTGTGAACAGGGCAGGACAGCAAGATCTTTGGGTCAGATGCCAGGGATCTCGGAATGCCAGTCAGTGTCTTCCCATCCCAGTGCCTAGGTACCCACATAAGCAGGAAGACAGGAGGCTGGATGAACAGGCGCACCGTCTGGGACTCTGTGGGCCTGCCACAGAGAGCTCAGCTTGAGGGGGCAGGACACTAACAAGGTCCCATCCTCTCTACCCCTATGGAAATGGTCACTGGGTAGTGAGGCACCAAATCTGCCCCTGCAGCCCATGTGGTCAGAGCCTTCCGATGGCCTCCAAAATCCTGACTCATAGCCCCTGCAGCATAGTGTCCTGGAGCCCTCCGATGTAGGTTAGTCCTGGAAAGAGCCTCAAGAGTCTGCTGGTCCAACATCATTTGACAGGCCCCAGTGCCAGACAAGTCCCTCAGACCCCAAAGAGGTGCCACAGCCTGCCTGGCTGAGAGCCTGGCCTTCAGAGAAAACCCTTTTGGGTGGGACTCTGGCACCTCCTTCCCTGTGAATCTGAACAAATCACTCTATCCCCTCAGCCTCAGTGTCCTCACAGCAAAGTGAGGAGAGTGGGGAGCGTTCTCTGGAGGGGTGTGAGGACCAAGCCGGCTGAGTCTGCCCCCAAACTCCATTCTCAGTGCACACTGCCCTTCCTTTACCAAGCTACCACCCCTTCCAAGGCTGTGCATGAGGCATACCACCCCAGCTCACACCCAGCAGGCAACTTCTGAGATCAGGGGCATCAGGGCTTCCCATGCCCAGGAAAGCCAAGTTACAGGAACCCAGAGGGGTGCACAGGAAGGCCCAGCCCATACCCTGCCTCACGCTGCTGCAGCTGAGGGACACTGGGCTACCACTGGTGAAGTGGGGGTGGGGGTGGTCCCCTCATCAGGCTGCAGCCCTGGGCCTGCCTTGCCCTTGCCTTCCCCACAGTCCAAGCCTTCATCAGTAAGACCAGGGCCACAAGGGGTGGGGTCCAGGAGTCCCCATGTTGCCCGCTCCAGGTCCAGAACAGAGAGCTGTGCCTACAGGCCCTGATATCTTTTCTCCCACTGGTGCCATTGTCAGCTCCCTGAATCACTCTGGCCTATTGGCTCAGGGGTCTCTAAATCCTGCCCCACCCTTCACACAGCCGTAGGTCAATGGCACCCTGCCCAACACACATGACAGCCCCTACTGCAGGCCTTAAACTGAGGCCCCCATGGGCCCTCCTGCCCCTCTCCCACCCTACACTCCACCATCCCATATGTGTAGCTCTGAACTCCTCCTCATTCCTTCTCTCCATCTCTGAGCAGCTGCAATTCCTGCCCCCCCCTCCCCCACCCCACACACACACCTTGCTCCCTAGTCTAGGCCCTCTGTGGCCAGTCCTGGCTCCAGCCTCTCCTTGGGGTGGCAGGATCTGCTGCTATTGTCCCCATTCTCCCAGGCCATGGTCCATGGGTTGAGCCACCCCAGGGATGCAGGGGATGGGGAAGAGTAATGCACGATACCAACAGAGCCGCACAGCATGGGCGGGTGAGAGCGCGGCACTGGGAGTGGTTTGTCAGGAAGGCTTCTGTGGGTCTGGAAGGATGAGCAGAGGTTGGCAGCACATAGAGCTGGGGAGGCAGGAGGTCCAGGCAGGGGGAACAGCGGGATTAAAAGTGCAGCTGCTGCAGAGTCCAAGGTGAGCATGGGGCCAGGGAGAGACAGGCGCAAGGTGGGCTGGAGCCTGGCCAAAGCCGTGTCCCACAGAGTTGTCCGAGTCATGAACAAGAAAGAAGGCTGTGTTCCTCCAACCCTGCCAAGAGTTGGCTTCTTTATGTCATGGTCCCCTCCCCATGTGGAATGTCATGGAAATACCAGGATATTCTGGTGGCAGGGGAGGACCCTTCTGCCACCTCCTCATCTTTGAGCTGAGCCTGAAAACAGACAGATGCCTGAATTCCCCAGAGGCCATCTGCCCCACAGATGGGATGAGGTTGCCCTCAGGGATGGCTGCCGCAGCGGCTCTGCCAGGGCTGCAAGGTGGTCAGGGGTAGCCGCTTTCTGTCTCTGCAGCTCCGCTTCACCATTTCTCAGAAGGCTGGGCTGGACCACATTGGTCTCTAAAGTCCTGCCAGCTCTGCCATCTGCATGTTCTGTAATCTGTGAATGAGGGAGTGCAGAAGGGCTTGGCGGTAGCTGGAGTTAGACAGCGTGTGGGCTCACTGTCCAGGGGAAGGGACTAGAGCTGCTGCCCTGGCTTCTTCGTCAGGCCTGGGCTAGAGAGTCATCCCTGGGGCTCCGCCACACACCGCGCATGTGGGATTGAGCCTGCGGGCCCTGTCTGTGAAGGCTCCTTATCTCTAAGGAGAACAGATGTAGCTTCCACATAAAGCAGCTTGCAGAACTTGAACTCAGAGCCAGGGCCCCAAGTCAAGGCAGGTGTCAGCATGGGCTGGAGCAGTCAGGGCCTGGAAGAGTGAGGATGGGAGGAGGAAGGGAGGTGTGGGGGGGGCTGGAGGGGGCTGGGCAGGAGGACACAAGAAGGAGCATGCCCCTGGGAGCAGCCAGTCTGGTTGGAGAGAAAAACCTCTAGACATAAAAGAGAAAGAGCCCCACCCCAGAGGATGAAGTGTGGATTCGGGCATGAGCAGGGAGAGGCTGGAGGTTCTTTCAGAGAGGGAGGGTATGGGGAGCTGGGGGCCACCAAGGGCACATTCACAGGGCATGAACCAGTGGGAAGACAGCATGGTTGGAGGGGACAGGGTGAGGGGAGGGCCACCAGAGCTCGGGGGTATCCAGCACCAGGAACCCCTGGAAGGGGGTGAGGGAGCATGTTTGTGCCCGGTTCTGAATGCGCCGTCCCCCAGCAGGATGCCTGGGAGCCAGCAGTCCAGGGAGGGGAGGCCGAAGGGCTGGGGTGGGCAGAGGGCACAGGGCGAGCACCAAGGAGGGAGGAAGCCAGTGGCTCCTTGGGCAGCTTTAGGGGTTGGGGAAATTTTTGTTCTAGGCTGTGGACCTTGAGGGAATAGAGATAGATGGAGAAAAGGAGGAGAGTGGAAGGTAGAGGAGCAGAAGAGAAGGTGCAGAGTCTCTAAATCGAACCTTTACTCCAGAACTGGGTTGTCTGGCAGCCTCATGGCTCCCAGAGAACAAGGACGGTTGGCTCTGGCGTGAAAGCCATGCAGCGGCCCATGTTGGTGCCTTACAGCCTTCACTGTTGAGCTCATGCCTAGGTTTCCAGCAGCCTCTGGTCAGAACCTTGCTTCTTACACAACACTAGGTGCAGTTGGTTCCTTCCCATTCCCACCACAGCTTGGACACCATCATTGAAATGACCACAAGTCACTTTAAAAGATGAAATTATATGTGGCATATGCTATCTAAGACGCATCTTGGAACGATTTCCATTTTAAAGAGTTAAAATTGAGCATTTTGACTATTTCAAAAGAAACAGGTAAATGGTTAGTTATTGGGAATTTTAGAAAGCTAAAGCCCTGCATAGTGTTCAGGGGATCTGGGATATTGAGATTTTTGGTAGCAAGAGGGAAAGAATTCACTCTATGGAGACAGGCTAGGCTCATGTCCTGGCTCCAGGCCCCTCCCAGCTGTGCGTGTTTTGGCAGGTGACTTAACCTCTCTGGGCCTCACTTCCTCATCTGTGAAGTGGCAATGATGATAATAATGTCACAGGGTTGCTGTAAGGATTAAGTGAGTTAGAGACATGTAAAGTGCTCAGAACAGCCTGACACATAGTTTGTGCTGCTGAAGTCGCAGGGCTGTTACTGTGGTAACGAAATGAAGAACCTTCATGTCATGAGGCTGGAGGGTTCCCTGGCTAATCATAGAGCCTCAGTTGCAGCGCTTCCTACGCACCTACACAGGAGGAGGCAGGATAAATCTTGGTTTCCTGGGTGTGTGGAACTGGGCAGGACAGTTGGGCCATCAGGGGCAGATGAGAAAGAGAGGCTGCAGGCCAGGGGGAGGATGGGCACCCCAATCCCAGAGTCTGAGACTGGCCTGCGAGAAGGGAAAGTGGGGGGTCTCCCCAGCACAGGACTTGGCTGCCCCAGGGGATGCCCTGGTCCCCCCAGAGCAGGGGCAGGGCAGGAGGGAGGCCTCCCGGATCTCCTGGGCCTTCCCTATCTTCAGCACCTGGTTTCCAGAGACACAGCAGTAGGTCGACTCCGCCTCTGGAGCCCTAGGGTTTCTAAGCCTCTGCTACAGATCCATTTTATAGAAAAGGCAACTGAGGCACAGAGAGGTTCAGTGACTTGCCCAAGGGCAGAGCAGAGACCGGAGCTCAGACCCGGGGCTCAGCATCCCTGCCTCTTCTGGGGCGCCCTTGGATCTGGAATGAGACTCCCCCTCCTAACCTTGCCCCCACCCCTCCCTGCTGCGCTGCCTAACTCGCTCACCTCTCCTCTGTCTCTCTCTTCCCCCACCCTGCCATCCCTCCTCCCCCGCCCACCCCCTCCCCTCACCGCAGGGCCCGAGGGCTGTAACCTGTTCATCTACCATCTGCCCCAGGAGTTTGGGGACGCTGAGCTGATGCAGATGTTCCTCCCTTTCGGTAATGTCATCTCCTCGAAAGTGTTTGTGGATCGGGCGACTAACCAAAGTAAATGCTTTGGTGGGTAAAGATAACAAACCAATTAGCTTCACCTAGGACAGGGCGGTGCTCGCACCAACCTACCGGTGTCCGACTGCTTTTAACCTGCTCCTTCACATTGCCCCCGCCCCAGCTGCTCCATGGCCCTCACCAGCCTCATCTCACCCTTCTCTCTCCCACTACTCCTTTTGCTTCTTGGCTTTCCCTACCCACACAACCTGGCTCCCCATCTCCCACTCCCGGTCCAAGAAATGGGTTTCCTCTTCCAGACAAATTCCAACCTACTGAGAAGGGAAAGGGGCCACCTTGACAGGGGTAGGAGGGGCAGCAGGCAGAGCCCAGCCACACCCATTCCCCCAGTAGCCCCTCTCCTCTCATGGTGAGAGTGGCCTGGCCTGAGCCCGAGGCTAAATCAGAGCGTGACACCTGGGCAGGGCAGTCACCTAGCCAGGCCCCTCTCCTGCCCACCCCTTCGCCTCCTCTCTCCAGCTCTCTGTCCTGCCCCAACTCCTTCTCTGTCTACCCTGCTTTTTGCTCCCCTCCTGCCCTCCCCACTCACCTGCCTCAGGCCACCAGAGCTGGGCATTGTTGAGGAGTCAGGAAGAGGAGACTGGTCCCTGCCCTCAGGAAGCCTAAGCGCTGAGCTTAGATGAAAATTATGTTTATAGCAGTGAAATCTGCGAGGCACCTAATAATGAAACGACAAGGAAGGCAGATGGATATAAATACACAAAAAGGAAGGGAGGGAACTCCACGTGGGGAGAATTGGATGAGGAAGGCATGGGGCTGGGGTGAGACGAGCCAGAGGACAGTGAGAGGGAGACCAGGCGCGGGGGTGTGGTGTCTGTGCTGGGGGGTTTCCACTATGCAGAGGGGGGTGTTTCACGGGGTGTGGTAGGCAGTGGAAATGGTGGGAGGTCCTTGAGCTGAGAGTAATAAAAATACAGTTTGCAGGAAATGTGCTCAGGGCATGGTGTTAGATGGGAGAGGGAAAACTCGAAAGCATCCAGAAGTATGGCTGTCAGATAAAATATAGATGGCCAGTTAAATTTGAATTTCAGATAGACAAAGGATACATTTTTAGTATAAGTATGTACTTACAGTAAAAAGTATTTATTGTTGATGTGAAGCTTAAATGTAACTGGCATCCCGTGTTTTTATTTGCTAAGTCTGGCAACCCTATCCAGCAAGCGTCAGACCTCCTCCTGGAATTTCATATCACCCTTTCTCCTCCACTCCTCCTTGTTGCCCTCCGACCTCCTCATCCTTCTCCTTCATCCGTTCCTTCTGGGCCAGACCCTTTCGTAAGTCATGAGGACTGAAGAGTCCAGTCCCCAGAGAGCCACATATGGAACCAGAGCTGAGTCTGCCAGACACTCAGTATCTCCAGGCTGACCCCCAGATTCTGGGGCTGGGAGGAGAGAGTAGGAGGTTGAGTTGCAAGGAACCCAGGTCACAGCTTGGGGGTGGTGGAGGGGAGAGGAGACAGGAGTGCAGCATCAGGAAGCGCATGTTAAGGAGTTTCCAGTCTGGAGTCCAACCTTCTGGAATCATGAAGGGCTTGAGGATTCGGAGCATGTTCCCCAAAGTAGTCAAGATCTTTGCACCATTGTCCCTTCCCCTCTGGAGCTGCCACAGGAAACTTGTGGTCTTTCAATGGCATGGAGTTGCCCCAGCAGCTCATTTCTCTCTGGGTGTGGAAAAACAAAGCAGAAGCAAAAGACAGGGTTGCAGTCCTCCACTCTTTGGTATTTCTCCTTATGAATTACAGTTATGTATGTAAAAACAACAAGCTGGAAATCAGTTGCATCTGCTCTTTAAGGAAGTCCCAAATGTTACATAAATGAGAAGAGCGCTGCTGAGAGCCCAGGAAGCTCTGGGCGCCTCTGCTGGAACAGGTTTAGTCTCCAGCCATAGCTGGGCTTGGCATATTTGCACCATCCCGGGTGTGGGTGCAGTCCGGCTTTCCAAAGGCATTTCCTTGCAGTCTGCTCTAAGCACTACCCTCTTTAAGCTGTTAGCCCACTTAAATTAGCCAGGACTACAGTTTTTTTTTCTCTCTAATTAGTATACCTCTAATCTAGCTCTCCTCTCTTGAACAAATTTCTGATGTCGAGCATACCAGCCCTGAAAAAAGGACAGACTCCTGAGATGCTGGTCCAGCCCAGCTGTTCCTGGTTAAGCCACTTGGGTTCTCTCTCTCACCAGGCAGCTGAGCTTTCTGCCAATATCCCAGAGGCCTTTAAAGTGAAACCTAGGCTGGGTGCAGTGGCTCATGCCTATAATCCCAGCACTTTGGGAGGCTGAGGCGGGCAGATCACTTGAGGTCAGGAGTTCGAGACCAGCCTGGCCAACATGGTGAACCTCCATCTCTACTAAAAATACAAAAATTAGCTGGATGTGGTGGTGTGCGCCTGTAATCCCACCTACTCAGGAGGTAGAGGCAGGAGAACTGCTTGAACCCAGGAAGGGAGGTTGCTGTTAGCCGAGATCACACCACTGCACTCTAGCCTGGTGACATAGCAATACTCCGTCTCAAAAATAAATAACAAAATAAATAAATAAAAATAAAATAAAGTGATACCTAACTTCAGCATTCCCTCATGGACAAGTCATTTAACCCTGTGAGCCTCAATCTCTTCCTTTGTGAAAAGGGGATTTTAATCATCGCCCCAGGGATGCTGTGAGGGAGCTTACCCAGGGCAGACCCTCAGGAAGTGCTAGGTCCCCTTTGTTCTTAAAGTGCTATTTTTGCTATAAAAGTGGCCCTATGTTAAAGTGAACTCCTCAAAGGCCACATTCACTCTTTATAAGCACATGTGTAAATTTATGAGCAGAATCTTCCAGATACCTTCATGAGGGCATGTCTAGCACAAATGTTCCTATGTTGGAAGGAGGGCTGGGGGAATACCATAGGGGGATTCTATCTGCGGGCCTTCCCACAGGGCCTGGGAGCAGAAACCTTCTGAGGATAGGAGGAGGGAAGGAGAGGTAGCTCTGGAAGAAGGAAGACGGTCCTGGAACCATGAACTTGGGAGACAGTGCCCAGAGCCCTGCCACAGGGGCCTCCAGTCTGCAGGGGAGGGACCCTGCTCAGACTGCTAGCCAGTTACTAACAGTTCAAGGGAAGAAAAATTCCCTTGACCCTGGACTGCTTCTCAACTCTCGGGCTTCCGAGGACCTCTAAACTCTTCCAGGAAGGCTGGGCTTCTGCCCTCCTCCAGAACTTCCTCTCTGCCCTCCCCACACAGTGGTTCTGCCTGCCGCTACGCCTGTGCCCTAGACAGCTCCTCCAGCCCTTTTTATCTTCTTTCCCCTCCCTTCTTTGAGCTCAGGTGGATGATGAGAAGAATGAGGGGCAGCATGTCCCCCATAGTCAGGCTACCTTGTCCTGGCAGGGACAGGCTTTTGTCCAGCCACCTTCCTTATTCTGGGGAAAGCAGTATCAACACACAATTCACATATTTGAAAACTGCTCTGGTTTACTAAGTACTTGACTTTTACTTGACGTAACTTGACTTTAGTGATTAGACATACAGGTCAGCGGAGGTGGGGACGGGCCAGGAGGGGCTGAGGGGAGCTGGTGGAAATATGGCTGGAGGCGAATCTCGTATGGATCAGCTGAAATTCTCCCTATTTATTCTGGTATCTATATTTATACAGAGGTTAGTTTTGTTGCTCTGGGCCCAGCTCTGACCAATTGTTGCGCTTGTTCGGCTGTAGGAGCAAACTTGAGCAAGGCAGGAAGGAGAGGAGAGAAAGAAAGAGACGATGGAGGCAGCATCTGGGGCAGAGGGAAAGAGGGAAAAAGAACCAGCAGGTAGGGAAAGTGAGGAAGGGCTCTCTTTCTTGGAGAGAAGTCCCAAGGCAGGCCCGAGGTACCACAGACAATAAACTGAGAAGACGGCTTCTACTTCACTCCCGGGTGGCTGTGCATCTCTGTCTTATACCTAATGGCCATTTGGGGACCATTACGCAACGGGCACGTTCATGGGAACGCCTCAGTATCTCGCCAAGCTTTCATATATTTTGCAGGATCTAAGTCCTTTTTACAGGAGAAAAGGCCTCTAAAGTCGAATGAATTCAAGGAAATACTAGATTAAACAAAGCTATAAAGGTTCATTTACTACAACTCGGTGAGGGAGGGGACGTTATTTGTTGATATGCTGCACTGGCCCAGTGGGCCTGGCTCTAAACCTCCTGACCACACAAGCCCTTTCTCGAGGAGCACCTATTAGGGCCAGTTTGGGAAATGCTGATGTAAAATGTTGTCTGTATGAAGAGATGCATTCAGAGTTCCCCAAAGGTGACTTCTGACCTCATTTTGGGAACATGACCTGTGCCCATCTGGGACCTGCGCGGTTGGGCCTGGGAGCCGCAAGGTTCTGCATGCCATCTGGGCACAGGAGTGAACGCGTGGGAAGCGCTTCTGCACGGAGGGCTGTGGCCTGATTTGCACTGATGGTCTTGTGACTTGTTATGGACATATCAGCTGGTGCGTGCTTAGTCCACGGCGCAGGGCGTGGAGAAGAGAGGTGCCGACGGCGCCCGGGGCGAGGTGACGCCCAGGGCCCACCCGGAGCCTGGCGGGGCGGGCAGAGGCCGGGAGTGGGGGCGGAGGGCCCGCGAGGGCTCAGCCTCTGGGCCTCCTCCGACAGCCGGGCACCTGCGGTGGCGAGGGGGGCGGCCGGGCCGGCGGTGGAGAAGTTTCTCGGCGGCGCCTCCCTCCCGGCCCCTCGCACTCGTCTCTCTCCCCAGGCCGGCACCCTGTGCCCGCGCGCTGCCAGGCCCCCTCCTGTCAGGGAGGACAGTGTCCAATAAACTCCTCCACCCGCAGGTGTGTCCGCCCTCTCCCGCCGAGGCGAGGGCTGAGGTGCCGGGGCCGGCGGGGGTGGGGGGCGGGCGCCTCTCCCAGCGCCGCCCGGCCGCGGGCCCCACTTGGGGAGCGGGCGCCGGGCGAGTGACGCGGCCAGAGACTAGGCGCAGGTCAGCGAGCCGGGTCCCCGCCAGCGCCTGCCCCCGGAGGGGCCTAGCACGCGCGCGCGGGCTGGAGAGGGGCGGGCACCGGGGCGGGGCCGGGGGCGGGGCCCGAGGGGGAGAGCCTCAGGCCCGCCCCGCCCCCCTGTCCCCCGACCCCTCCCCGCCGGCAGCGCCCCGGGCGGCCCCGTGGAAACCCAGGCCCTCGTCCCTCGTGTCTCGCCAGGCTTCGTGAGCTTCGACAACCCGGCCAGCGCGCAGACCGCCATCCAGGCCATGAACGGCTTCCAGATCGGCATGAAGAGGCTCAAGGTGCAGCTGAAGCGGCCCAAAGACGCCAATCGCCCGTACTGAGCGCCGGCGGGAGCGTCCCCCGGGGGAGACCAGGACTCGCACAGGTAACCGGGGGCGGCCGGGGCGCGGGGACGGGGGTTGGGAGGGAACCAGACGGACCCGCCGCCTCCTCCGGCCTCCGTGGGCCGGACCCTCACTGGTGCCTTGGACCCGCTGCGCCCGGCTCAACCTGCTCCTCGCCCTGCTCCTCGGGCCAGGCGCAGAGCTGCCGTCACCCCGGCAGAAATGGGCCTGGCCATTTCCCTGTGGCAGGGCCACCAGGGGCAGGAGTGAGGGAGCCACTCCGGGCGGGTGAGGCGAGCCCTGGGCCTGCGCCTCCGGGTCTACATTGGCAGTCCTGTTGGCCAGAGAACCCTGGGGTGAACAGGTGGCAAGCTCAGGCTGAGGGAGGTTGGGGGCAGAACAGGCTCTACCCAGAAGAGCTGCAGCCGCCCGCGGGGCCTGCTCCCAGACCCCCGGCTCTCTCCTCCCCAGTTCTTCCAGGAGGGCTGGTAGCCTTTAGACACTTGACCCCTGCACCCCTGTCTTTCCCCATAGCTCAGTGAAGAGAGGAAGGACAGGATCTTTCAAAGGGAACTTTACTAAGAAACAAAGCAGGATGGGATGAAAGCTGAGGAGGGTGATGGTACAGCACTGAGATCCCGGGCCCTGCCTGCCCCACACGGGTCATGATGAGTGGTCGTTGTTACCTTTTCTGCTGGGCTGGGTCCTGCCTAGGAGCTGAAGACACAGTCAGCCACGCCTCTTCCAGCCCACGTGTTCCCCTGAGCAAAGTTCTTCCTGCAGAAAGAATGGGGGGAGATTCCCCAGGACATCAAAAGTCAACCTTCAGAATGGTTTCCCCCAGTGCTGTGGCTCTTGCAGCCTCGGCTTCTTCACAGAGCAGAGGTGAAGGCTCCTTTCGGGCCTTTCCAGCTCAGCACCCTGCTGCCCTCTGACCGCCCCTCCCTGCCCATGTTCCTCCATTTATTCAGCAGTATTGTGTGCCAGCTACTGTGTTAGGTACTTGGGGTTCAGCAGTGAGCAAGATTGAGAAGGTGGAGACAGACAATAAACAATGACGTGTGATCAAAGAATATGATCTAGTATGTCGAGATTGTTGGCTACAGTTAAACCACATGGTCAGTGTAGATCTCACTGAGGAAGTGAATTGGAGCATAGAAGGTGAGGGAAGCAGCCATGCCCCCGCCTCTGAGGGAACAGTCAGTATGGAGGCTGCAAGGTGGGGCTGCAGAGTGGAGTAGGAACAGCAAGAGACTGGGTTGCTGGGAGAGTGAGGAGGGCCACCTGGTGTGGGGCCTTGAAGGCCACTGCGTGGACTTTGGTCTCTTCTCTGAAATGGGAGATGGAGAGAGCATTGGAGAGTTCTGAATAGGAGAGTGATGGGTAACTTGCATTTCAGTGGGGTCACCCTGGCTTCTGTGTTGACAATAGCTTGTAGGGGGCCAAAGCATAGGTCTACTGCACTGACCACTCAGTCCAGTGTCACAGCAGTTGATGAGATGTGAAGGAATTAATTTCTAGGTGTATTTTGAAAGAGGAGCCAAGGATGAGTCCCAGGCTTTTGGCCCAAGTCACTGGAAGAACAGAGGGATTGGGAGAAAGATCAGGCATGTGAAAAATACACATTTGAGTTTCACAGTCCAGAGTTTGGGAGGGAGGTCTCCAGCTTCCCAGTCTCCCCTCAAATCTTCCACCCAGTGCTGGGGTACAGATACCAGCAGAACACCCTTCCTCCACCCAGAAGTAGCAACTCTCACCCTCAGAGAGCAGGGGCCTTCTCTCTGGGGGAGTGCTTGTGCCTCCACTCTCTGCAATCCTGGAAAAGCAAAACCAGTCTTTCCTGCCTCCTGGTTTCCCATCCTTGCCCATTTCTGGCTTGTTTCCCATCCTTGCCCATTTCTGGCTTGTGTCCAGATGCAAACACACATGTTATTCAGAGTTTGGGCACCTTCTTGTGCCAGGCACTGGGCCCAGTGTGGGGGATGCAAGGATGAATGAGTCACCATCCCTGCCCTCGAGGAGCTTCTGGCTCTGTGCACACACAGACACCAGGAGGCAGCTTGCAGATGGGGGCATTTCCATAGGAATGGAGGGACGGTTTCGTGAAAGCAGCTTTTTCTGTATATAGGACACTTTTTCTTAAATCAGCATAGCTCTGCCATTAAGGTGTGACCTGGGTTAGGGTGCTTGTCCTCTTTGGGCTTCTTTTTTCTCATTAATGAGACTAAGGTGTTAGAGTCAACTAGAGGATTTGGGGGTTAGGGGGATATGAATCAGGCAGGGTCATGTCCCGAGATTCCAAGGGGCACCCCTGAAAGTAGCTTGTCTTAGCCTCCTTGGCTCAAGCCAGGATAAAACCTCTAGGTTAGAAGAATTCCCAGATGAAGGAGTGAGAAGGCAGGTTTATTGTTTGGGATATAAGGTCAGAAGTGCCCACAGGGTTGAACCAGCTGGCATTCAGAGTTGGGGTGGGGGCTTGGGAGGAGTGGTTTAAAACACAGAGTCGGTTCTTCCACCAGGGCATGCAAAGGGCAGAAAGATTAGAACCCTAGACCTTCACACAGTGCTTACCATGCACCAGGCACTGCTCCGAGAAGTAACAACTAGGAGATGTTAACTACATAGCTACAACTACCTATAAGGTAGGTAGTGTTAGTATTTCCATTTCACAGATGGGGCACAGAGAGATTAAGTAGCTTGCCCATCAGCTAGTGAGTCACAGAGCCAAGCTTTGAAGCCAGGGAGCCTTCTCCCCTTCAAGTGAGGAGAATGAGAAGCCCCACCCTACCCTCACCCCAACCTATTACCCCAGAGTACCCTGAATGTCCTGAGGGAGTACATATGACACCTCACTTTTCTGGGGTCAGCCATCTAACCACCTCCTTTCTACTAAGCAGTCCTTTAAAAAACTACTATGTCACATAACTCCTACAGTAAGGTTGACATTTAATTTTCATTTAGACAGTATTTTAACGAATGGTGCTGTCAGGCTTCCCAGCCCAAGACTGTTGGAAGCTCTAATAGAAGGCGGTTGCTAAGAAGAGATAGAGAGCTTCTCAAGGCAGCCTTGGGGACTGCCTTGAGGCAGTGGCTCAATGAGAAGTGGCTGCCCTCGGACTGCCAGCGAGGGAGGAAAAGGCACAAAAAATCAGCTAAAATACTGCCTGGTATCACAGGCCAGTAAAGGGTATTCATTTGTGCTGAGGCCTGAGCTGCAGCCCCAGGTGCTCAGAAGGGCAGGAAGCCTGAGCAGGGGCCGAGGGACCAGCCATAGCTGGGAGCAAAGTGGGAGGTGGAAGGGGGACCTCAGGGCTAGGGCAGCTGCCCCATGGTGGTGCAGGCTTTCTAAGGCCAAGTCAGAAGGGAGTGGGGACAGACCTAGGGGAGGGAGAAGGGCCTAGGCAGGGCAGCTGTGGGGAGTACAGTTGGGCTTTGGTTCCATGAAGCAAGGTCCTGAGTGGGGTGGGATTAGGGTTGGAGTCAGTGACTCTCCTTCCTGGCGGGTTTTCTGCTTCCCCACTGCCCTACCCCTCTGGTGGCTTGGGTTTGTTGTCTTGTGCTAAGACTGGAGTTTCTCTAAGCAATCTTTGCCAGGAAATAAATAAGGAAGGAAGCAAAGGCAGGAAGAGTAGGCAAAAACATGCATGTGGCCAGGTCCATAGCCAGCGGGCAGAACACACCCAGCCTGGCCCCGCCCAGCTCAGAGATTGGCCTCTGAGCCCCTTGTTCCGCCACTGCTTACCAGACACACTGGGCCCCAGCAGCAGGCCAGGTTCTCAGACTTCTAGCACTCCAGTTCTATGGCTGGAGAGTGCACCAAGCATCTTGTCCTGACCCCAGTGAGTCCTGTGACTCTGGCTCTGAGTATGCTTTTGGAGAGTGTCGGGTCCAGGCTTTGCAGGCACAGGTGCTTTGGGTCTGACCTATACAGGGCCAGGCTGTAGCTTTCGGCCTGGCCCTCCTTTGCTTGAGACCAGCTGATTTTAGGACCTGAGATCTGAATTGGTTCAGCTTGGCCATAATTTCCTCACCCAGCTCGGTGAGTTGGACTTCACCATGCCGGTCAGTGATCCCACTGCCACACCTAGGGCTGTGCTCTGTGAGCCTCCACCCCGAGAGTGGTCGGGAAGGGGTCACCCTGCAGGCAGAAGAGGAGCTGCTGCCTAATGAAGACAGTAGCCAGCTGAGCCCGTGGAGTCTTGGGGGCTCCTCAGGGACTGAGTGTGAGGGTGTGTTATGTGTCTAGGGCCACACATGTGTGAGAGATGAGGGTATGTGTGAGGAAGTTCCCTAGATTGAGCTTTAGGGACAGGGGCTGTGTGCTATTCAGGTTTGTGCTGCAGTACACAGGACAGTGCCTGGCCCTGACAAGCGGTTGCACTCTAAAGCTGGGAGAGGAGCAGGCAGAGTGGGAAGGAGTAAACGCCCATGAAGGGCTCAGGGCTGGAATGGAGGGAGAAAGAGGAGAGTCCCAGGGAGTCCCTGAGTTGCAGTTGCCACAGCCCCCATCTGATGGCAATACCCTCCTTAGTTCCTTAGGCCTCTTCTCCCGTGCCAACGGGAGCTGCCCGTTGGCCATCCTGGGTGGGTCTAAGGGCTTCTGGGAGGAGTTGGAAGTGGCATTTCAGGACTTGGTGGGCATGGGACGGTCCCTGATCTGGGGGAAGGAGATCCAGTGTTGGAAGAGCAAAGAACCCAGCCCTGGTGGGCAGGCAGGCTGGGGTCTGCAGAGGAGGAGTCTAGGGTGCTTCTGTGAAGGTTGAGCTGGAGGCCGGGCTTGGGCTCAGCTTCTTTGCCCCTCATCCACAGTGATATTTTAAGATCCCAGGCCTCCCTTCCTCCCTCCCTCCCTCCCTGCAGGAAAGCATAAAGCTGAGAGTGAAAGTCTGCTGTATGTAGAAGCCTGTGGACTGGAAAGCCTGCAGATCAACCTGGCACACAGGCCTTGGCCCAGGCCTGAGTGCCACAGGGGAGCAGGGAATCCAGTGCAAGCTCAAGATAACTATGGGGAGGGGTGGAGCTAAGGACCCCAAAGGGGCCCAGGTGCAGCAGAGGACTATGAAGTGGTGAGGGGTGGAGAAGTCAGCCGAAAGTTGAATCACCTGATGATTCCTGATAGCGAAGAGAACTCATTCTCAACTACTTAGGGCTCCACCAGGAAAGAAAGCTGAAGGTTGGGGCCTTGCGGTGGGCCAGGCTGGAAAGCTGTTCCTGGAGGGGTATGGGGTGAGAGGGTGGGAAAAGAGGATGGGGTAGGGAGGAGGGGAAGTCAGCAGAGCAAGAGTGGGAGCAGCAAAGGCTGGAGGCGCTCGCCTCTGTGCCCCCTGCAGGGGACCCTCCAGCCTTGCACATGGCCCCCTGCAGGGCACCCTCCAGCCTTCCATGTGGCGCTTTTATGGGTCAGGGCTGCAGAACCTTCGAAGGGCTTCATGTGCCTAGATGCAGCCTCAGTTTGGTTACACAGGCCACTTGGGAGCAAGGCAAAGAGTGTGAGCAAAGAAAGAGGGTAAGGCAAATGCAAGATGAACTCAGTAGTGCCAAGGCATGTTTCTAGAATTCCAAGAACATTGATGAATTTTACCCTAAATCTCAAAATGAACCCTGCTCAGGTTCTGAGGAAAGTAATTTGAGGTGGAGCAGAAACGGGGGAGGGCCATAACCTCCACAGTGGGTGCCCTTGCAGCCTTCTCTAGGATGGTGGCCAGGGTGGGTCCACAGGGTGGGAGGGCCGAGCTGCTGCCAGCCTGGGTGGTACTATGGCAGCAAAGCATTTTGTAGATGGACCCCGTGGACACAGCAGTTACCATAGCAAGCCTCTGACCTACCCAGCTGACCAGGGCCACCTTGACAGACATCCCCTGCTGGCCCACAGGCTGTAGTCACAGAAAGCTGAGGAGGGAGGGAGCGCCACCCCTGGGGGAGAGAAAGAATCAAGGGTGATGAAAAGCAGAGCGCCTGCTCCCTGAGATTGCTTGCTGGCCAAGGTGGTTTGAGGGGCTGTTTTATTTTTTTTCTGGCCCCCTTGCCAAACCGCCCATGCCCCCCTCCCCAACGCATGATGGATGCCCTTAGTGGCCCTGTGTGAGGTTCTGCTTCTGTTCACAGTGTATCATGTGTCTGCATAAACAACCGTGTGTGTGTATGTGTGTATGTGTGTGCGTGCGTGTGTGTGTGCGTGTGTGTGTGTTGATGTGCCCATGTTTGTCTGCTGGCTTCCTCCATCCTTTGAGTTCTTTTCAGTTCTCTTATGATTTGACTGCTGTTCTCTCATCAGAGCTTCTAGATTGATGCTGTGGTCTGGTGCTGTATAAATATATTTTCTTTTTAATTTTGTTTTAACTTCTTCCTTGCCCTCCTTCACCCAAATCCCAGCCCTCCCTGCCCTCCCACACTCCCCAACCCCACCTGCCCTGCCCCACCTCTTCCTTCCCCCACCCACACTCTCTTGTCCTCTCTCTCTCTCTCTCTACATATATAAATATATATATAAATCTTTTCTTCTTTTGTCATTCAATCAAATTCCAACAACCCAACCAGGGCCAGTCAAATCCACCACAGTCTCGCGCTGAGCTAGGAATAAAGTTCACGTAATCACATGAGAGTGGAGAAAAGTCCCCCATCCGTAAGTTCAAATCAACTCAAAGTTCACAGTGTGACATGATGGCGTCATGTAACAAGGCTAAGAATCGGTTGCATGACAATTGCCGTCAAGTTTCGTGGAGGTGCTGTGATTGGAGCGTTTTTCTTGGATGTTGTATCAGTTGATGATTGGCCAGTCATGATCACACGTGCATTTTCTTGACTTTTGTGCTGCCACAATCTTTTTTGCTGTGCTCATTTTCGTTTCGTTCTTGGTGCTTGCAGTGGTTTTACTTTCTGTTGTTTGGTTTTTCTTGTTCAGCGTTTTTTTATGCTTCTCTAGATGTCACATAGAGAAAAAAACAAAACAAAAGAACAAAAAATAGTCAAAATAAAGATGAATTCCTGAATTATCAAACATGGGATCATTTACCTGTGCAAACCATTATTTTTTTCTTAAAAATAAGGAAAACATCTTAAAAATATCTATGCGTGGTTGATTTACTTGCACTTGAAAATATTGTGATTTTATTTTTTTCTAGAAATTTGGGGGCCTTTTTCAATTGACACTTTCCTAGGTCTGGTCTTTTTCCAGTTAGGCTATTTTCAATCTCACTTCAAAGGGAAAAAAAACAAAAACAAAAAAACAAAAACAAAATATCTACAGTAACAGAATGATAAAAAAATTCTAAACCAAAAAACTAGAGTACAAAGCCAGAGGCCTCTGCAAGAGAGCCCGGTAACAATTGTAAGGTTTGTATTGTAACCACTTCTGCTAAATTAAATGTGGGGAGGGGAGGCTGGGGACTGGGGGCTCGGGAGGGTTTTTTTTGGTTGGTTTGGAAGAAACAGTACTAACAAAAGCAAAATGCACCTTTTTGTTTACAACTGAAAAAGGGTCCTTGACAAGTGTTTTTTAATTTTATTATTATTTTATTTGGTGTTGTAATTGTTTAGACTGCTGTGTACGGTTTGCTGTTTGTTGAATCAACAGTGTGAAAAACCTGCCAGCATGGATTGATATACGCATGACGTTGTCCCCTCAAGTGGGGGCTTTGCAGTTCTAACTTTCTTGATGTAACCAGTCACCCCCATGTATAAGTGGAAGCTGCTTGCTAGAATGGAGATGAGTCTCATTTGTTAATTCACAATGATTAAGCATTCGCCTTCTGATTCTAGTCAGATCATGATTTTTTTAAAGCAAAACAAAACACCAAAAAGCCACCATTCAAAACAAAATCAAGCACTGTCTGAGTTAATTTATTTAAGTTTGATAATTAAATCTCTTCTGACCTTTTTTAGGTTTTCCCATCCACTCCCTTGAAGTTCTGAATTCCTCTAAATTCCCTGGCATGTATGAGAAAAGTATTATGTGTGTGTATGTGTGTATATATGCATATACATACACACATATCCATGTATATCCACATATGTGCAGGTGAATATATTCTACACATATATCCAGATATACATATATATACACAGCCTCGCAAATAGTTACTGACCCCGGGAAAGAAGTGGTTGGCTGGAAGCTGGGCAAGGATTCTACAAAATTTGAGTCACGGATGTGTCTTCCTTCTTTCCCTTGAGCTGGGAGGAGTGGGCTGGGCTGCTAGATTTTTCCTATCTTGTTTGCTAGGCTTCTGTATACATATTGTATCTGGGCTAGATCCCTCAGAGACAAGTTTAATTATGAATTCATATCCCGCAGTCCCAAATTCTCCCCTTAGATGTAGCTACCCCCAATCCAGAATGCTAAAGTAACCCAAATCAAGAACCTTCTCCCAACAACGAAACCTCAGCTACAACCATCACCACTAGACCTCCCAGTGGTTTCTACTCTGAATAGAAGAGTATATTTCTTTTTAATGTATCATGATCATGACTAATTCTCATACTGGTCTCTCTTCCTTCCCTCCCACCATCCCCTAGAGCTCCCATCCTAGCCCCTGAGGCAGGTTCCTATTGGTGTTTGGATGCTGTTTGTGTTTTCCCTCTTGGCTTAATCAGCCCTGATTTTCTTCATTTTAGGGCAGGATGCTGAACGGGCTACATTAAAAAACAAACCTCTCTCTATATATATTTATAAATGAGAACTGTTGGATGACACCTTTGACATATCAGCCAATATCAATCAAGCTGAAGACTCCAGACACTGTCTGTGTGACTGTAACATTTCTTCAAGGAAAGTATAGCGTCTATGGAGTTCAGAGGGCACGTGTTTGGGGGAAAATATATATGACATGAAGAAGAAGATGAAGAAAAATGAGAAAAAAACACACAAAAGGCAACTTTAAAACAAAATATCACGAGCAGACGGGGAGGCTGAAGGGCTGGGAGCTGGGAGGAGACGCTGCTTACCGATCCCGGGGCTTTTCCAGCCCACGGGCGCCTGACGCAGGCTGGGGCAAGTGGTGCGTGGGGCCTGGTCCCCAAGGGGCGGCTGAGAGGCCGCCACTGAGCATCTCTATCTGTCATTCCTTTAGCTATTTAGGGACCAAAGGACCAAACTTTTTATTGCAGATGTGTAGCTCTATGTCAAATAGAGGGGGAATGGAGGACCCCCTCCTTCCTGCCTCATGGCTGTTCTTGAAACAGCTTAGAGCGATTCTATGAAAAAATGTAATAAAAAATTAAAAAAAAAACAAAAAACAAAAAAAACAACAAAAAAAGGAAAAATAACGCTTCAATGCTTTTAAAACAGCAAGATAATAGTTCTTTGATACTTTGAGAGGCGCTTTGATGACCCTCATCCAAGTCTATGACACTTTCCTATGGTTTTCTGTATTCTATGTCTGGATGGAGCTGTTAAAAGATGAACAAATTGGTGGATATTTGGGGAAAGCAACACAAATCTTAAAACTCACCCGTGAAGTGTGAGAAAACAAGGAGGGGAACAAATGGGACTTACCAAGCAAGGTCATTGTTGTGAAAAGTCTGTAAATGCTTCTAACTCTTCCCCCTCTTAAAATCATAATAGTTGTACAGAATTTTAAAAAGGAAAAGTTTAAAATACCTATATAATAGAAGAAAAATTAGAGGAAAGCAAAAAATAAAAAAAAAAAATAAAAAAGGAAAAAAAAAACCTATAGAAGTTAGCATTACTGCTAAAATCCCAGATGTTGTAGGACTGTACTTTTGTAGAGTTTAGACAGAGCATCAATCCCTTCTCCCCGCGAGTGCAGTCGGATGCCGTTGTCCCCAAGGGCCAGGCCGAACTCGCCCCACACCTGCGGGCGCCTGGCTGCCGACGCCGGTGGAGGCCACGCCGTCGGTCGGGAACGGTCGCGTCGCCCGGGTCGCCGCCGCCGCCGCCGCCGTCATCCTCGCCTCTCGCTTCCCTCTGGGAGCTGCGCGCGCTTCACTCACCTTCCGCTTCACTCGCCTTCCACGCTTGCTCCAGAGACTTTCCGGGCAAGGGAGAACTGGGAACTTTCATCTTAAAACAACTAGACAACACACACACACACAAAACCTTAAAAAAGAGAGAGAAAAATAAACAATCTTTGAAGAATTTCTGAAACTGTTTACAAGGAATTTTGAAAAACAGGGATGTTTAAATGATGCCGGCTCTGTTTTTCTGTAAATAAATTTGCATATTTTGTAGGACTTTTAATTGTAATGATAGAGAAAAAAACAAGGAAAACTATTTAATGAAAGCACGATATTTATCTTTGGTAAATGACTTTAGAGCAGTTAAAGACATTGCTTAAAAAACTCAGAATCAGAAAAAACACTGAATTATTTAAGAACACATATATTTTAAAGTATAACATATTTATTATAATTTATTTGCACCCTTGGGAAGATTGCTTTGGCATTCTGCCTTGATTCCTTCTCATTGATGTCCAGGTCATCTGGAGGCCGGGGGTTCTCAGACCTACCAGTTTCCCTTTAGAAGAACAAATTTCCAGTTCCTCTAGGGCCTCCTGCCTTTCCTTTCTTTCTGTCAATTTTGTTGTTGTTGTTGTTTTTCATTTTCTTTTTTTCTCTTGACTCCTCCTTTTAGGATGTCCAGATGTAAAAAAAAAAAAAAAAAAAAGAAAAAAAGAAAAAAAAAAGAAAACAGCTGCAGTTCAGTACAACTGCTCTTTTCACACTCAACTCCCTAAAACTCCTTGTAACCTTCTGTAACTATTGGATGACGCTTTCTCCAGCTTAGCCCTAAATAAAGCACAGTTTAAAAAAATATTTCTTCATTGGTCTGTGCCTCTCGGACTCTGGCCAGCTGTGCCTCACAGCCCCAAGGCTTGCCCACTGGAAGTAGCTTTGGTCCTCTTTATGGAATCTGCCACACAGGCCCTCGTTCTGAGCCTCAGCATGTGAGGCTCTTCTGGGAGGTGATGGGAACAATAAAAGGAGGTCCTGTTCCACTCTAGGAAGAATCTCTCTGGACTGGTGTGTGTCTCTGAAAGTCCCCACTGCAAATTCATTCTTCTGGGTTCCTGGCAGAGGTGGCCACAGTGTCCAAGCAGAACAGAAAGGAGGCTACCTAGGCCACCCGACCTGAAGGCCGAGCAAGTGTTGGGTTGGGGGGGGAAGTTATGTGACACCTTAGGGAAGGAGGCAGTGGAGGGAAGAGGCCACAATAAAGGAAGAAGGATGAGGATGCAACTCCAAATTTACCAGCAAGCATCTTGCTCTTGGCCCCACACCTCCCGCTGCTTTGGCAGTTTGCAGGGATGGAGAAAACAGGATTCTGGGCCCTCAGTCAGGGTCCTGGTGGGGGCAAGGATGTAGAAAGAAGAGTAGGGGCCCTCCCCTGGGGCGTTTCCTGGCATGCTGCCTGTCCTACACTTAGATACGAGCTGGAGAGAGGTGTCCAGACCCTGAATGCCAGGGTGGGAGGGAAAAGCATTCCGAAGGAGGAAGAACACCACGCAGGACTTGGAGAGGGGCGGCAGGCCTCTGGAGAGGAGAGCCCAGACAGCTGCACACCAGCTGCATGCCTTCACCCAGTCCTGGCCTGGGACAGACCTTCTCAATCTTCACTATCCCACCTCCTTCCCTTCCCCTGCCCTCAGCTCTGCAGTCTGGTCTAGGAACGGGCAACTCTTTCCCAGGGCCCCCACCTCTCTCCACTGCTGAGACAGGAGGGCTGCCAAGTGAGGGGCAGGGAAGCTGCAAGGTTCAGATGCCTGGAGGAGAGAAGACAAGGCCCCAGAAACAAGGGTCATTGACTGCCTGTCAGTCTGTGTCCCCCTGTGGGAGATGGGGAAATGGCTTCGGTCCCCACCTGTCTCCTCTGAAGGAGGGTATGGAGAGTAGAGCTCAGAGCCCCAGCTACAGAGCAGTGCCTGGATCCCATGCTCCATCCTCTCCTCCCATCTCTCTTTTCAGGGCCAGGGGCCAAATCTGTGCTTCTGATGTTGGCCTGTGATGCATTAGGCTGGAGAGAAAGATCTTCGTGTATCAGCAAATAAGGGAAGGCCTTCCAGCCTTGACCTAAATGTGGACATGGTTCCGAGAGAGGGACTGAGGAGACCCTGAATGTCCCCTAAACTAACCCCCTTTTGCTGTTCAACAGGGCTGCAAGTCCAAGTGACAGCCTGCTGTGTCCATTCTAGGGAGCTGCACTTCTTGGAAGAATTAGCTTCAAGGGGCTGGATGTCAGACTGGGTATTATTCTGCCCTGAGAAGAATGGAAGGTGTTTTCTAAGAAATTCTCTGGGGAGTGGGGAGGTGTCTTTAGGTTTTGAGCCTCCGACTAGTCAACACGGTGATTTCTGTTGCATACCTGCAGCTGAAAGAGGACAGCCTCAACCCCCAGCACCCCCTCTTACTCTTTCAGACCCCAGGAAGCCTCCCAGAGATCCCCAAGTGACCTCCCCAGACCTCTCCTGTTTGTGTCCACCTCCCCACTGTGTACCCTTGTCTCTGGGACATAGCCCTCCCCTACCTCCACTTAAAGTGTTGTAGCTAAGGGCTTAGGCACCCTGGGAGCTGTCACCAGAGAGATGGGCTGTGAAGCCAGCCAGGCAATTTCGCCCTCTTCCGGGTATGGCTGACTGAGAGGGGAGCTGACAACACTGGAGCCAGATATGAACATTCCAGTTCTATAAAAGAAACCTTCAATGTAAAAACCACGCACCAGGTGACTGATACATGCATAGCACACTTAAGAGAGAATACAATTTATTAACCTCTGGGGAAAAGAGATTCCTTGAAAACTTGCTGGAAACTACTGGATCACTTTGCACATGATTATGGAGAGAGAGCTCAGGGATCCCTGCAACTCATCCATCACTCCCTGGTTAAGAACTCCTGATTTGCAATGTTAGTTAAGAGAACCCAAGACAAAATTCTTGTTGATTTCTGCTTCTATTCTATGGCTTTTATTCCTTTGCTATTATCCTATATGCAGTGTGTGGCTTCTTCATAGCACCCCTATTTGTAAAAGACCTTTTGCTTATTATTAGAAACTTTTTATTTCAAGCACAAGAAACAAGAGTAGAGACACTTGCCTAAGGAATCCCTTAGGCAAGTACTCACTACCTAGCTTCAGCATACCTCAACTCCAACAGTAGTTTGACAAAAATCCCAGGTATCAAGTCATTTCATTGCTAAATGCCTCCACTTCCCCTTAATGTTTTCCATGCTGCATTGATGTCTGCCAGCTGGCTCTGGCCTGTTGGGCATCTGTAACCTTGCTGTGGCAGCCGCTGGGGAACTTGGCCTTCATAGCCTCACCACAGCCTTATCCTGGGGTGGAACTGGCTCCTGGTGGGAGCCCCAGGCTTCTCTCCAGCACCTCCCCAGGGCAACTGCACCTGTTCCCAGCAGCACTTTCAAAGTCCTTCCAGCTCTTCCTCCAAAGCTTTGTAGTCACAGCTTCTCTTTTCTCTTTCTTCTCCTTTTATCCTCCTATCTCTGTGATGCTAGTATGAAAAAGTTATGTTTATATGAGACTTTTCATTTAATGCTCCCATCTCCCTCTGTGTTTTTCTAAAGATCTGACCTTTTTCCTGTTCTGAGCAGGATTACACCTCCGTCCCTCATGCTAAGCACTGGTAGAGAGAAACACAAGACATACTAGAGCTTCCCCACTCATGCAAGCACTGCCAAGGCCTCCATCCTCCAGGACTGCTGCTAGTCATCTGGGCAAAGCTGCAGATCCCCATAGCACAGGGTCTGCAGGGCTAGTGTTTGAATTACAGTGGATAAAACACAGATAAACATTCCCCACCTTGCTTGCCCACTTGGTAAAGTGGATAAGGGACATATGGCAGTGAGCTTAGGAAGCCCAGCCCAAAGTGACAGCATCAGACTTGGCTGTGAATGCCATTTGACTATTTACCCAAATGGAACCCACCCCCAAATAAAAATTATTAGCTACCATTGATGTACTACCTTCAACAGACTAGTGAGTTCTGGAAGTTGGATATTCAGTCAATATTGATTCATTCCTGCATTAATGAGTGAATAAGGAAGGAAGGAATGGACAAATTACGGACAACTGAAGGCATGTCCCAAAGAGGCAGCTGTTCTGGAAATACTCTTTAAGTAGTGACAGCACGTGGAATAAGTGTATAGTCAACACACCCTCCCATCCCCAGATAAATGCTTGCAAGTATAAGATTTTTATTTTAACTTTCTAGTTTCCTCCCCCTACTGACCCTCCCTCCATTTCTCTAAGCTGCCCTCCCTTCTCTCCTCAAGTTCTCCCCTTGGTTACCCCCCAGTCTCTGGTCCCCAACACTCCCAGGTGCCCCGGGACTTGCTAGTGACAGAGTGGAAGCCTGGAGAGCCAGCATCAGCTCCCCAGGGCCCTCTGTATCACCCTTTCTCCCTCTTCCTGCCAGCCTAACTGTTTGCCTCTTCAGGAAACTCTGAGCATCTCCATCTCTGCTTCTGCCCTTTGTGGAGCTCTAACCAGGACTTTCCCAGACTAGCAGAGGAGATGGAAGGATTAGGGTATCAGAGTGAAAAAGGCATGGACTTTGACTTCAGACCAGGATTAAAATCACAGTTCTCTCTAATACCTTCTGTGTCACTTTGGAAACATTACTTAACCTCTCTGAGCCTCAATTTCCTTATCTCTAAAATGGGGATAATATCATCCCCGAGAGTGTTGAGAAGTGAACAAGAGACAGCCACACTCAGCTACATTCCACCCCAAGGATTATCAGAGTGGCAAATTTCTTACAGCATAGATACTCAGAATGAATGGCTCAGGCTGCGATCTCATCCTCCTTCCCTTTTCTTAATTCCATTCTATTGACAATCCACCTCCCAACAGAAGCAAACTTGAACTTGACACAAGACCATTTTAGGTCATTTTTTTGTGAAGTCCAGTCAGCATATGCCACTCCCAGAGAATTCCTGTCATGCCGAGGTGCACACACCTCTGCCTCTCACTGCTCTTTCCAGGGACCCCAATTAGCTGACACTCCTGCGCCCCTGCTGCTCTCTTTGCCCTTTCCTTTCGCAAGAGCATTCCCAATGCAACTGTGACTGCTGCTGTCTGCAACCTTCCTCCTCTGGGCTCACATGGCCTCAGGCTGCATACTAATTTGGTCTTTGCATTTTAAAATTTTTTATCTATTTTTTTGAATAATGTATTCATATATTTCAAAATTCAAAACACAGGAAAAAGGAAACAATGAAGTTCTTCCCACCCCTGAATCCAGTCATCCATTTCTCTCCCTAGCAGCAGCCTGTGTTGCCAGTTCTTGTTTACCCTGCTCTTTAAGTGTGTGGGCATGGAGTGTGTAGGTGGAAGGAACTCAGCTGTCATCCTCATTTTCAGTGAGGAGACCCAGAGCCAGGCAGTGATGTGCCTAGGCTCCTGTAGCTGCCCCATGTGACTCCCAAGAGGTGAGCCCAGGCCTTGGGATGCTCGGGACCCACTGACTGAGCAGAGGCATCAGGGCCATCCAGTTCCACTCTTATCATTTGGGCATCATTCATTGAGGCACGGGTGTAGCTGTCATTTATGGGGTGCTGCTCTGTACTAGCCACTGCATTAAGAACTGCTTAGTTATAATCTCATCGAATTCTCACAATAATTCTATGATGCAGATGATATTACCCTACTTTACAGATGCAAAAACTGAGGCTCAGAGAGGTTAAGTCCCTCACCTAAATTACCCAGAATCAGCATTCAAGTCCAGGTCTAGCTGCATGGCTGTGCCCTTGATCTCTACATCACATCTCCCTCAGTTATAAACTCTCTGCACAGTTACTCCCCTCCAGCCCTTCTCTCATGTCTCCTACTCCCTTCTTTCTTCTGATTTTTTTTCTCAACAACCCCAATTTCACCTTTAAGAAATGACAGCATCTATATTGATCTAGGTACCAATCCTTTTCTTCCCTTCTCTCCTTGATTATCTTCTCTCCTTGATAGAGCTGGAGTTCTTAAAGGTGAGTGAGTAACAAGTTAGTAAACGTGTTGCTAATGGGTGCATAAGTCCCCCTCCTTGGTAGCACTTGCTGGTTGTAGGGACAGACAGGAGCTTTTATTATTAACAAGGAGAGAAAATTAAATTGTAATAAATATAATATTTATTAACATTTTATGGAGCTACCTGAAGTTCAAAAGCCTTTTGAGCTGTGTCAGCCATTTCCCCCAGTACACTTAACACTGGAGAAAATGATAAGCAAATTCTTAAGATCAGTGCAAACTGGAGGTGCTCAACTGGGTTTGCATTGATTTTAAGAATTTGCTTATAAAAAAATTAAGCTTATTGCTGGAGGTGGTGGCTCATGCCTGTAATCCCAGCACTTTGGGAGGCCGAGGTGGGAGGATCACGAGGTCAGGAGATCGAGACCATCCTGGCCAACGTGGTGAAACCCCGTCTCTACTAAAATACAAAAAATTAGCCGGTCGTGGTGGCGCATGCCAGTAATCCCAGCTACTCGGGAGGCTGAGGCAGGAGAATCGATTGAACCTGGGAGGCGGAGCTTGCAGTGAGCCGAGATTGCGCCACTGCACTCCAGCCTGGCGACAGAGTGAGACTCCTTCTCAAAAAAAATAAATAAATAAAAAATAAAAAAAAATAAGCTTTTTAAAATAAAGGGGAAAATTCAGCCATTTGTGAAGGCCCCATACTTCACTAATTGAGGCACAAAGATGCCTCTTGTCTTCAGGGTCTCCAACATGATTCATTGTTGCTGTTGCCTCTCTGTCCTTACCTATTCCTGGGGCCCAGCTCAGGGAGCCATGGGCATTGGGATGGCAGGAAGTCCAGAGGGCCCAGGAGCTGTCAACCTTGTTTCCCTTCCATTTCCTGCTCTCCTCATGGGAACCAAGGAGGGGCTTCAGGATCAGGACAACTGTGGGTCATTTTCACCCTGCATGGGCAGGATGTGGGCTTCTACTAAGGAGATCCAACACACATGCCCCAAGCTTCTCACTGTACTCCCGTCCTACACAGGGTCTCAGATCCCATTGTTAGGCCTTTTTCTTTGGGTTAGACCTGGGCCTCATTAGTTCTGCTTTTAAAATGAAAACTACCTGGGCATGGGGAGTAATTTGTTCCCTAACCTGCTGAACCAGTATTTATAGTGTACCTACTGAGCACAGCACTGCACTAAGGATTAGAGGTGAAGAGATGAAGATAGCACACACTGGGTACTTTCCAGGCCCAATGTGAGGTATGTTATGGGTATTATCTCTAATCCTGTAATTCTGCAAGGTGCTATCACCCTACCTTACAGATGAACAAACAGGCTTGGATAAGGTAGGTAACTTGCCCCAAACCACACTGTAAGAAAGTAATGGAGCCAGGATTCGAAATCAGCTGCACTAATTCCCCCATGAGGTTCCTTGACAAGCAAAAGACAACTGCACACTAGCCTGTGGGAACTGTGTTGGGGGCCCAGGACAGCCCAGAGGAGGGAAGGCAAGTGGCCCTGTCTGGGAAAGTGGAGACACCTGGGTCAGGTTTTGTAGGGTGAGCGGGTGTTACACGGACTCCATGGGAGGGGTCATGAAGGAACAAAGGACCCCAGACCGTCTGAAGAACTGCAAGATATTTTAGGTAGGCTGGGAATATGCTGGGGGAAGACACAGGCCTTGTTTCAAAACAATCTACCTACTTGTCATCTGGACACTGTCCTGGCTACTTCAGGGACACCATTCCAGTTAACCTTCGCAGCAATCCTGGGCCCTATTTTACAGATGAGCTTATATGCTGTATGAAAGTCACGTGAACCCCAGAACTGGGATTTGAACCCAGGTCTGCCCTATGGCAGACGCCGTGTATGTAATCTTCATATTACATTGGAAAAAGCTACCTATTCAAGGCACATATTCAAGGCATAATGGCTCCTGCCTCAAAAGCCTCCTTGCTGACTGTGCTTCCAAGCCTCAAACAGAGACACACAGCCTATCCACAGGGCAGAAAAGTGAAGTCAGGCCAGTCCTGGAAAGGCTCAGATCTCTCTGGCCTCAGATCCCTCCTCTGCAAAGTGAGCAGGCAGCCTGGGTCTCAGGGATTTGGCCCAGCGTCAGTGTCCCTGAAGCTCTCTGCCAAGTGCCGGGAAAGGGCACTGGAGAAGAGAGGTCAGAGGAGATGCATGACTGTGAGTACCCTCATCCTTGCTCTGGGTATGACAGTCACCCTGGAATGAGGGAGCTTGGCAAAGGGTTTTATCCTCCACTGTATTTTGCTCTTGATTCTGGGCAGGATCCAGCTCCTGCCTTGCCCTCAGTGCTGAGTGACCTTAAGAATCTCTGGGCTCAAAGCATCCCCTTTGAGAGTATTATGTGTCTTCAGCATTGACTTCAATATCTGGCATGGAGTAGGTGCTCACCAGTGTTTGCTGAATGCATGAGAAGAGGTGGGGAGTGGAAGCGGGGATGCCTTCCACAGGCCTCTTCTGAAGCACCCTGGGCCTGGCCCACTCTTTGCAGGGCCCCTCTGCCCCATGTTGCCCTAACTCTGAACAGGGATCAAAAGAAAGCCTGGTGGTTCAGGTCTTCCCAGTACTCTGGGAGCTCCTGGGATGACAGGCATTCGGGGCAGGGTCTCACTGGGGCCCTCAAATATGGCATATGGACACAGATTCTCATGCCATTCCAGATTTCTGGCCATCCAAATTCTCCCTGTCCTTAAGTCCTAGTCCAGGGTCCACCTACTCCAGGGGGTCTACTGGAAACAGAGCACCTGTTTTCTGACTTTCTAGTGCCCTGAGTGGGAACCACTTCACTGGGCTCTTGTTCCCATGCTGTTGTGTGTTGCTTTGTATGTAGTTCTTGGCCTACCTAATGGCCCTGAGGATCAGAAGTAAATGGTCTCTGTTTCCAATCTGTCTCCTAGGAGTGGACTGGTCAAAGAGAGTAGGCAGGGGCAAAGTAGAAGACTAAGGATTTAAACGCAATGTGCTGAAACATCAATGGATGATAAAACAAGTGGGTAAAAAAAAAGGTATGAGAAACAATATTTACATAGCCTCAAAGTATACCCCCACAAAATACTTATACATTACAAAGGGAAAGTTAGTAATTTTATTATACAAGGAGAAACCTGGCAGATACCACCTTAACCAGGTGATCAAAGTAAGTATCATCTGGAATGTAATATGTAACAAATGCTATCATGGGCCTCCTGGTCAGATGTGTTCAAAAGGAGACAGTGTCACTTATTCTTGCTGAGAATGCATAACCAGAATCTAATCATAAGGAAACAAGACAAACCCAAAATGTTCTATGAAGTAAATGGCTTGTGCTCATTTAAAGAGACAAGACAACTAAATGTAACTTGTGATCCTTGGCCAGAATTTCTTTCTTTTTTTTGTTTTTGTTTTTTGGTTACAAAGGATATTAGTTCAACAACTGGCAACACTTAAATAAGATCAGGTACTGTGTCAGCATTGATTTCTTAATTTTGATACCTGTACTGTGGTTATATAAGAGGCTGTCCTTGTTTAGGAAATATATACTGAACTTTTTGGGGAAATAAGGATATTAGGTCAGCAATTTACTCTCAAATGTTTCCAGAAAAAAGTAATAATACAGTGTTTATATGTGTGTGAGAGAGTATGATAAAGCAAACAAGTTAAATGTTAACACTTGGGGAATATGAGTAAAGGGTATAAAAGTATTCCTTGTGTTATTTCTAAAACTTCTCTGTATGTCTGACTTCAAAATAAAATGTATGAAAAAAATGGCTTGTTTGAACATTAGCTGGGTTAGCTTGGGGAGAGCGGTCAGTCACGTGGACCGGGCATTGCAGAGACCAATCCCCACCTGCTTCCTTCCTCAGACAATGCGCTGGGTAACATCAAAGGAGAGACCCCCAAACATAGACATGGAAAGCTTGCAACCTCGGCAGTCACAGCAGCATGATCAGGCCACCATGGTTTCTCCTCCAGCCCATTAAAAACACACTAGCCATGGCTCAGAAACAATTGGGGATGCCCTTCCCACCCCATCCCCAGGGGCAGCCTGACTGGCAAAACAAGAAAATAATATCACTAATTGTTCAGTTCTGAAGAAAGGGACAGATTTGGAAATACTAGACGTGGAGGATGGAGGCTGGGGTGGGGAGTACGAGAAAGAAGGGCAGGAGTTACCCATAGGCACCCCTCATGGAGGCAGATGGCCATGTGGACCACAACTGAGGTCCCAACCCTGGAACGGCTCTCAGCTCTGCCTGATGCTGACACTCCTCAAGGCTGAGATCTGGAGAGCCAGGGCCATTGAGGCAGAGGTGTCTTAAGAAGCCAGGACCTTGTATGAGGGACGAAGTTCTAGGCTGATGGGAGAAACAGAGGTAAATGACATTCTCAAACCAGGGCAAGTGTGGCAGTGGGGTGCCCTGCTGGAGGCACTGCCTGAGGTGGTGACATGCGCGGGAGGCAGCGATGGTTGGGAGCTGGCAGGCCCAGCTTCC
Source organism: Homo sapiens (assembly GCF_000001405.40). Taxonomy (NCBI): domain Eukaryota; kingdom Metazoa; phylum Chordata; class Mammalia; order Primates; family Hominidae; genus Homo; species Homo sapiens. The sequence goes on along the minus strand of NC_000018.10, from coordinate 37,233,390 downwards.
CAGCTCTGTCTGGCTATCATGGAATCCCCCACTCTCCATGCTTCAGAGGGGCCCACTGCCCCTTGCCAGCCTCCAGATAAATTATAGACACCTGATATGTATAAAGAGGTTTGCAGTTGTTTACTCAGCAGGTGCATGAGCATCCTTCCATCAGATCCCTACAGATACTGTGCCAGGCAAGGCAGGCATGCATACATGTGCTATCTATGTTTTGCAGACAGGCACTGAGTGGTGAAGGGACTTGTGCAATGTCACACAGCTACAGAGCAAGAACTTAAACCCAAGCCTCTGATGGAACACTAAGTAAACTGTTGCCAAGGACTGCAGTCTATGCAGGTCTCATGGGCCTATGCAAGCATGAGCCTTGCTGCTCCTCCAAGTTTAAATGCCAAGCCTAGCATTCAAGGCTGTCCATGAGCTCACTACCTTGGGGTTCTTTTCTCCATGCCTTTGAACACAGTGCTTCTCTGCCTGGGAAAATTCTGATTGAAGACCCTGACCCAGAGGTTACTGTTCAGGGCTCTGTGACTGCACTGACCTCAAGGAACTCTTAATTGCAGCTCAACTTGACCTTCTGCCTCACTGCCCTGTCCTCTGCTGGAAGTCTGGAGCTATGTTGCTGAACTTTGGTTAGCACATAGTGGACAATCAGAAAATGCTTCAGAATTCACCCAAGACCAGTGATTCCTGAATTTTTTTGGGTCACAGATCCCTTTGAGAATCTGGTGGAAGGTATGAATCTTCTGATCCAGGTGAGCTCTCAGGTGAAGAGTGAGGTGAGGAGAGGGTGCTATATGCAGGGCAGCTCTCTGCCCAGACTGATGTTCCTGGCAGGGCTTTGATATCATGAGGAAAGACCGCTTCTCTTTCTAACACAGCCTCACTCCCACACCTGCCCCTGGACAGGACAGCGCAGAGGGCAACTAGGGTGCCCCATTTCTGTGCACAAAGGCTGTCCCTAAGCTCAGGTGGGAGATTGAGGGGATGCAACCCCTCAATGCCTGTTCCTTCCATCTGGCTAAGCAAGCGGAGAGGCAGGGAGAAGTTCTGCTTGTGATCACTGCTCCAAAGTCCTTTCTCAGACTCATCCCTGCTCAACTGCTTTTTTTCCCCTCCAACACAGTAAATCTCCTTCTATTATTCTCCAACTTGTAGTAAGCTGTGTCATTTTGAGAAGAAATACATAATGGTATATTAGAAGAATCATGGATCTTCTCATTCATGCTTAGAAAAAATTTATTACAATGTAAGAAAGTCTGAATAGCATGAATTTATTATAATGATTTAACACTTCTAGCACTCGAGTTAAAAATGCCCTTCCATAAATAACTGTCCCTGGAAAACATAGCAAATTTACACAGTTTACCATTTCCCAATGTTATATAAATCCAACAAGCTTAAATCACCTGCAGCTGAGAGAAGAACAGAGGAAACCAGAGCTGTGAAGTTCATCCCATCCCAATGGGCAGCAATGAGGAGTGAGAGCCAGTCTCCCCTCCTCCAGCTCCCTCATCTCAGCATGGGACTGGCCAATCTCAGCACTCAAAGAATGGGGAGAAGAACAGGGTGGGGCAGTACCTGGAAGAATCAAGGAGGGCAAACACCACAGTCTTACAGCTGCAGAACAGGTGAAGGGCACGGGCCTAGGGCATCCTGGAAGACGTCAGGCCATGGGCCATTGTTTGTGTGCTGGTGCCAAGGAGGTGTCAGTTAAGGCTGCTCAGCTGTGGCCTGCAAGGAAGAAGGGAGGGAGAGGCCAGCTCTGATGTCCTGGTCAGATCTTGAACAGGGCCTGTCCTCTGGCCAACCACCTCTTCTACTTTCTTACAAATGCCAACGCTGCTTTCTACTCCTGGGCCTTCTGGATCCTCCGTGTTCCAAGGACCTCCCTCTTGGCACTCCCTCTGGCTCCACTGGACACCCTCCTCACCCTACTTTCATGGACACTGTGGCCTCATCATTCTTGCTTTCATCTGGGCTAGTTTCCAGATCTAGGTCAGCATTCCAGGCACCAAACCTGTAAGGCAGAAATGGTCACTTCTCATCTTAATAAATATTTTTATGCATTATTATATTCGAGGCTTAGAGAATATAGGCAACTTGCCTAAATCTACACAGCTCACAAGTGGTAAGGCTGGGTTCTCCAAAGTGAATATATGTTTTCTTTGAACACTTTACATTCTAATAGGGCAGACAGTGCACAGAGCAATATGGGACAGATTGAGGTGGGCTATAACAAAGGCTCTACAGAGTACTATGGGAGCCAAGAGTATATAATGATGCCTGAGAGATTAGGAAACCTCCATGGAAGTGATGATAACTGAGCAAGGTCTGGAAAGATTCATCCAAGATAGAGGGACCTGGAAAAGTCACATAGGCAGGAAACAGCAGCATGTCCTTGGGAGACGGCCAAGAGTTGTGAGCTGCAGAGGGGAGAAGGGAGGGGCAAGATGCTGACAGTTCCGGTGTGCCACTCTAAGGGGTGCACTCCTTTCCTGTAAGCAGTGGGGAACTTGTGTATTTTAAGCACTGAAGTTACAAATCTTAGATTTGTAAGAAAGAAAATGCTAGTGAATGTGGAAGATAGGACTGAAGCGGGAGGAAAGGAGGTGTCTTCTAGCCCCACCCTCCCCAGTCCTCTGAGTATGGCACTTACTTTCTACTTGCTTTAGAGAGCTGCAAGAAGGCTGGAGTAGTCCAAAGGGTACTGGACTTTGGGGCCACAGAATTGTTAAATTTTCTTCCTCCCTCCTATGTGCCTACCCATCCACCTATTTGATAAATAATGTTTGGGAGCCTATAACGTGCCAGGAACCATGCTGAATTCTGAGGAATTAGTGATGAATAAGACTGATATCTTTTTCTGGCCATCCTGGGCTTACGGACTAAAGGAGAAATCAGAAAAGTAAACAGGCCATTCCAGCACAGTAAGTATTGTGATAAAAGATGTACAGAGGGCTGAGAAAGCTCCTAAGGTCAGGAAAAGGGTATTACAGTGCCTTTAGAAACTACTGGAAGCTCAGTGTGGCTGAAGCACGGAAGTCAAGAGGAATAGAGTGGGAAAAGAAGGGGCTGGAGGTCTAAAGGCTGCAGTGGGCCATATCACCAAGAGCCTTGTGCAGTATGTGCAGAAGTACAAACACAGAGGGCAGTGGGAAACTAACTAATGCTTTAATCCAGGTTGTGACATGATATAATGACCTGGTGGCTTTATGGAGAATAATAGGTTACCCTTGCTGAGTGCTTATTATATTCTATGCTGAACACTCTACCTGTGTTAGCTCATTTAACCTTCACAATAACTTCATGAGGTAGGTTCTGCAATGATCCCCATTTAAAGATGAGTGAGGCAGAGAGAGTTACATGTTCTAGCATGAATCCAGGCCATAGGGCAGGAAGACCAATAAAGAAACTGTCGTACTAGAGAAGCATCAGCAAAGAGAGAGAGAAGTGGGTAAGTTTGAAAATAGGAAGTGGACTTGATACTTTTTTTTTTTTTTTTTTTGAGATGGAGTCTTGCTCTGTCACCCAGGCTGGAGTGCAGCGGCATGATCTTGGCTCACTGCAACCTCCGCCTCCCGGGTTCAAGTGATTCTCCTGCCTCAGCCTCCTGAGTAGCCGGGACTACAGGTGCGTGCCACCACGCTCAGGTAATTTTTTGTATTTTTACAAATACAAAATACAGAGATGGGGTTTCACCGTGTTAGCCAGGATGGTCTCGATCTCCTGACCTCATGATCCGGCTGCCTCGGCCTCCCAAAGCCTGGGATTACAGGTGTAAGCCACCGCGCCTGGATGGACTTGATACTTCTTGAAGATTGACTAGAAATAGGAAAGAGAAGGGAAGAAGTAAAAAATGACCCTCCCACCCCAGTTTCTGAGTCTGAATTCTATTTCTGACTAGTTGATGACCTTGGCAAGTTTTGCTAAACTTCATTTTCATTATTGGTGCAAAAAATCACCCTCAAGTTTTAGGTGTGCATAGATGTATACCTGGCCTCATTACATAAAGGATATGATGTAGCTTACAAGAATAACCCATATAATGGGATGATTTTGAAAACTATGAAAAAAGGCCTCATCTCATAAGGATTGAATAAGATGGTGCACAGGGCCCAGCCAAGGGTGTGGCACACAGTTAAGTGCTTCAGGAGTTTTCGATGCTTGCCTGGCACCCACCGGCCTCCACTCTACATGCCCAACATTCTGGATTCCTCTCCTCCTCCCACACGGTCTGGGTTTTCATCCTTCTTTCCTAACTCTATCACTTCCAGGTCATTACCCCACAAAGACATACAGGCATACCTCAGAGATATTGTGGGGCTAGTTCCAGATCGCCACTATAAAGCATATATCACAACAAAGGGAGTCACACAAATTTTTTGTTTCCCAGTGCATATAAAAGTTATGTTCACACAACTGTAGTCCACTGTAGTGTGCTGTAGTCCACTAAGTGTGCAACTGTATCATGACTAAAAACAATCAACACATATTAACTTAAAATCCTTTATTGCTAAGGATCATCTGAGCCTTCAGTGGGTTGTAATCTTTTTTTTTTCTTTTTTTTTTCTGAGATGGAATCTTGCTCTGTCTCCCAGGCTGGAGTGCAGTGGCGCAATCTCAGCTCACTGCCACCTCCGCCTCCCAGGTTCAAGAGATTTTCCTGCCTCAGCCTCCTGAGTAGCTGGGATTACAGGTGCCTGCCACCATGCCCAGCTGATTTTTATATTTTTTAGTAGAGACGGGGTTTCGCCATGTTGGTCAGGCTGGTCTTGAACTCCTGACCTCAGGTGATCCACCCGCCTCAGACTCACAAAGTGTGGGATTACAGGCGTGAGCCACCATGCCGGGCTGGGGGTTGTAATCTTTTTTTGCTCACTGAGGGTCTTGCCTTGATGTTGATGGCTACTGACTGATCAGTGTGGGTTGCTGATCAGTGTGGCTGTAGCAATTTCTTAAAATAAGACAACAATGAAGTTTGGCACATAATTGACCCTTCCTCTCATGAAAATTTCTCTGTAGCATGTGATGCTATTGGATAGCATTTTACCCACTGTAGAACATCTTTCAAAATTGGAGTCAATTCCTTCAAACCCCGACGCTGCTTTATTAAATTTATACAATATTCTAAGTCTTTTGTTGTCATTTCAATTATGTTCATAGCATCTTCATCAGAAGTAGATTCCATCTCAAGAAACCACTTTCTTTGCTCATCCAGAAGAACCAGCTCCTCATCTGTTCAAGTTTTATCATGAGATTGCAGCAATTCAGTCACATCTTTAGCTTCACTTCTAATTCTAGTTCTCTTGCTATTTCCACCACATCTGCAGTGACTTCCTTCATTAAAGTCTTGAATCCCTCAAAGTCATCCATGAGGGTTAGAATCAACTTCTTCCAAACTCCTGTTAATCTTGATATTTTGACCTTCTCCCATGAATCACAAATGTTCTTAATGGCATCTAGGATGGTGAATCCTTTCCAGAAGGTTTTCAATTTACTTGGCACAAATCCATCAAATAAATCATTATCTATGGTAGCAATAGCCTCAAAAATGTATTTATGTATTTCTCAAACAATAAGATGTGGAAAGTTGAAATTACTCCTTGATCCATGGGCTGCAGAATGGTTGCTGTGTTAGGAGGCATGAAAACAACATTCTTCTTGTAAATATTAATCAAAGGTCTTGGGTGACCAAGTATATTGTAACAGTTATATTTTGAAAGAAATCTTTTTCTCTGAGCAGTAGGCCTCAACAGTGTGCTTAAAATATTCAGTAAACCATGCTGTAAACAGATGTGCTGCTATGCAAGCTTTGTTGTTCCTTTTATAGAGCATGGGCAGAGTAGATTTAGCATCATTCTGAATAGCCTTTGGATTTTCGGAATTGTAAATGGGCATTGGCTTTAACTTAAAGTCACTAACTACATTAGCCCCTAAAAAGACAGTCAGCCTGTCCTCTGAAGCTTTGAAGCCAGGCATTGACTTCTCCTCTCTAGTTACGGAAGTCCTCAATGGCATCTTCTTCCAATAGAAGGCTGTTTAATTTACATTGAAAATCCATTGTTTAGTGTAGCTACCTTCATCAATGATCCTAGGTAGATCTTCCAGATAAATAACTTGCCGTAGCTTCTATATCAGCACTTGCTGTTTCACATTATACTTTTACATTATGGAGATGGTCTCTTTCCTTAAACCTCTGCTAGCTGCAAGCTTTTCATCTATAACTTCATCTCTCTCAGCCTTCATAGAATTGAAAAGAGCCAGGGCTTTGCTCTGGATTAGGCTTTGGTTTAAGGGAGTGTCCATACAAAAAGTTTTGCATGGGCCTGGGCGCGGTGGCTCACACCCGTAATCCCAGCACTTTGAGAGGCCGAGGCAGGCGGATCACCTGAGGTCGGGAGTTCAAGACCAGCCTGACCAACATGGGGAAACCCCGTCTCTACTAAAAATACAAAATTAGTTGGGCGTGGTGGCGAATGCCTGTAATACCAGCTACTGGGGAGGCTGAGGCAGAAGAATTGCTTGAACCCGGGAGGCGGAGGTTGCAGTGAGCTGAGATTGCGCCATTGCACTCCAGCCTAGGCAACAAGAACGAAACTCTGTCAAAAAAAAAAAATGTTTTGCATGGATCTTCATGGCAGCATTCTTCATAATAACAAAAAAAAAAAAAAAAAAGGGAACAACCCAAATGTCCATCAACTGATGAATGGATAAACAAAAATGTCATATATTCATATGATACAGTATTATTTGGCAATCAAAAGGAACCATGTATATGTGACAGCATAAATGAACCTTGAAAACGTTATGCTGTGAAAGCCAGTTACAGAAGACCACATAGAATATGATTTCATTAATATGACATGTCCAGATATGCAATTGTATAGAGACAGCAAGTCAATTAATGGTAGGCTAGGGCTGGCAGTATGGAGGGTGACTGCTAAAGGGTATGGGTTTCTCTTCGGAGTGATGAAAATGTTCTAAAATTGATTGTGGTGATGGAGGCAACTCTGTGAATATACTAAAGACTACTGAACTGTACACTTTAAATAGGTAGACTGTACAGTATTTGAGTAATATCTCATAAAGCTATTACCAAAAAAAAAAAAATTTAAAAAGGGCTTTCGTTGCTGATTGGCAAGGAGTGCTGAAAAGTCAAGAGTGAAAACTTGACTTTGACTCGTCTCTCTTTAAACTGGGCTTGGGTGAAAGCCAGTTTGTGAGGTGTTAAGGGGCAATGAATCCAAGACTGCTCCCTTTAGAAGTCTTGCTGCAAAAGGAAAGAGAGAACCACAGTGGTGGAAAGAAGGGATGATAAAGTTAGCTGAAAGTCTGGGCTATTCACAGGGTATTTTTTTCAAATTAGGGGGGATCTTACACTTGACTGAAGTCCCTTGATTCCCAGACTGGGTCTCCAGATTCCTAAACACCCAAATGGTGTTACCAGTAGTCCATGAGCAATTTTCATTTTCAGTTTGGGAGCTGTTTGAGTAATGATTCTGTTCCTGCTACCTGTGCCTCTGAGGGGCAGGTGCGAAGTCTCCGTATTCAGGTGCAGGTGCCAGCCTGGGTTGGGGAACAGGGGGCAGGACAGGGTCTCTGTCTGAGTTGAATCCACAGGTGTGATCTCAGAATTGAGCACTTTAGACACTGAAGCCCTCACATACATTCTTCCAGCAACTAAAGGCAACTAGGCAGGGCCATTTTTCTTGTCTTAAAGTGCTGTGATACTTCTTCCTTGCTGAGCAGCTATGGGGGTAGGCACAGAGAAGGGACTTACAGGTGCAGAGAGACTGAATGTTCTGTTCCAACAAGCACAAAATCTAGAGGCGGCTTGGTGTTCACGTGATGTGAGTGAGCAGGAGCCACAGCAGAAAAACCTACTGGGATGTGACAAACCATTTCCTTTCTCTCAGTCAACGACAGGCTCCTGCTGTTTTAACAAGTACTGAGGAAAATAACATTTTGATAACCTGCAGGTCTGCACTTGCTTTCAAGCTATGCCTCACTGATCTGATGAGGGATGTTCAAGGGACAATTCAATATCAAACCCACATGGGGAAAATAGCCATAGAGATGATTTATTAACTTGAAATCTCATACGTACATAAACATTTGCTCATATTCAAAATACACTCTGAGCTGAGGATAAATCGTGAGTTGGAAGGAGTCCGCCACAGCCTCCATCTCTCTTAGCAGACTTCGTCCAGCTCTGCCCCATCAGGCCTCTCCTCTCCCCTGATTCTCTGGCCAGAAGATCTCTATTATGAACTTGGTGCCGGAAGCAGGGACAAGTGAAGAGTAGCTCTGAGGGAGCAGAAAGAGTCCCTCTCTCCCCATGACATTTGGGGTGCTCTAGAAAAGTCCCCATCATGGGGATCAGGTTTGGATAAACACAAGTTTGCCTCCTGGAAAGCGGACTGTTAGCAAAAGCTTTTCTATGATTCACTTTGGTTCTCTGCATCAAGAACTGTGGGCCTTACTTAGGGAGTTCAAAGGACATGCTGTGTCCTTTTCCATTTTGTAAACATTGATTGGTTTTTCTCTCACAGGAGTTGGGCAGCAGGGTGGGCAATGGTGAGGCACTATCCGCAACGCCCTCGGCATGTGTCCAGTCTTGCTTTGGGAAGTGTCTAGAGGCTGGACGAGCAAATCCCAACCAGTCAAGGGTGGGAGACTTGAGACGGAGGAAAGGCAGATTCCTTTGTGCCAGATCCTTTCTCTTGGGATAGTCTGCAACAGCTTTGAGGCTCTGTAACAACCTTTCATTCATATGTATGTATATATTTCAAAGTAAATTTAAATAGATTAAAATGTTAACATGTACTATTCAATTAATAATGAAGACATTAGATTATATACAAATTTACATCCTATTGCCCTTGCACCAACACCAACAAAATGTCCATTAAGTTAGAAAAAGGCAACTGGTGATGAGTTTTGCATGTGAAAAATGTATTGGTTGATATTCTGCTGAAAGCCCATCTCTGCTTTTCCAAATTGGCCATTCATGGAGAGGCAAAGAAGCAATAAAACTCCACTCTGTGGCTGTGACCCCCAAAAAGCCTTTAGTTTAGACTCTGTTTACGATTCTTCTAAAGGCAAACAAGCTTCTTCAAGAAACTGTGATCCTTTTCTTGATCCTCTGGCATCCTCTCACTCCAGAGTTTTAAGGACACTGGAGTCTGGAATGGGTGACTGTGGGCATGGGAGTAGTCTATGGGAGTCAAGTACACTTAAGCTAGTCATGACACAGGGGGCAAGGAAAAGAAAGTTCTGGCAACCTAACTTTAACTGAAAAAATGGCTGAGGGCTCTTAGTTTGCCATCCACCCATTTCTGCCATACCACAGAAAGCTCCACACTCCAAAGGCTTTTTGATATGGGATGAAACCGATTTGGTTACTCTCAGAGGTGAACTTTATAAAGAAATTTTAATCTGTAATGATTTTCCAACTTTTTAAGGGAATGATTATAACTAGTTAGTCTTGACTTTATATTTATTTCAGAAGAAAAATATAATATTAGTGGGCTCCATTCTTTTCTACTCCAAAGAATAAAAAACCCCAAGTGAAAGAAGGCTGGGTGGAGGTGACAGCGCCAGTCTCAGCCTGAAGAGACATGAGCTTTGGATCTATCTGGATAAGGAGGCTGCTCAACAAGGCTTTTCTAGATTGAAATAATCTAGTTTTAATTAAAAGAGTAATTCAGGGAAGCCACGCAGACTCGCTGCATGCAGGCTGCCCTGGGTGGTATGACTTTGTCTACCAACACTGACTAAGTCTTACTCCCAGTTTAGTTGGGGTTGGTAAAAAGGAGAGAAAAAAAGCCACACCCTCCAGATCAAATAAAATTCCCAAGTAATACACATCTGGGAACACACCCTCCCCTTGCTTTCAATGACTGGAGAGTTTTGAACTCTGGCTAAACCAGGATCATCATCCCCATTAGCTTGAGAGGCTACTAGGGACCACTGCAAGCTGAAGGACCCATCTCAAGAGCTCTGTGGGAGAAAAGACAGCAGACAGGATGAGGTCTGCACTGCATAACTTCCATAGGCTTTCTCTGGGTCAAAACGAGGCCAGTGAGAAAAAGTAGGGAGACCCTGCTTGGGTGGTGGAACATACTCTGGCAAGTAGAGATGGTTCTTTGGGGCCACGAGCAGAGCACCTGTGAGGCCTGGTCAGCTTGTATCCTTTAATCCTCGTGGAGGAAAAGGGAGGGCCAGAGGAAGCCCATCAGCTTTGCAGCAGCTTGCATCACTCTCTCTCTAGTGGCATTTTCCGTAGACATAACCATGGAAAGTTCACAGGAGCACGTGTGATGGGGGGTGGGGGGGTGGGGTGAATAAGCTGAACACTTGGGTAAATAAAAATACCTAGGGATTGTTCTTATTCATTCTGGGATATTGGAGGGGTGGTCACCCAAACATTGGTAGAAGAGTGCTTCAGGCTTGTGCCTCCACTGAATTTCCCCAGGACTAATCACTCCCTGATGTGATTTAGTGCTGCTTGCTCCCAAGGATTGGCTGGGTCTCACCCTCCAGCCCATTGAGCTCTTTGGTTATGGGATGGGCAGCTGCCAGGCTGATGGCTACTGAGACTGACTCACAATTGGCTCTCGTGTTGTTTGTGATGGCAGGGGCACCAACTCCAACTTCAGAATTAAAGGACCACTTACAGAAATGTAGTAGTGAGAGAACAGGATGAGAAAGATGAGAGAGTCTGCCTTTCTGAAACTGCTTATGTTTCAAAGGGGTTACTTTTAAATCAGAGGGATTTTTCAGTGGAAAGGTTTTTCTTGTATATAAAAGTGAGTCAGCATTTTCTAGCAGAAGTTTGAGAAGGAAACACTCTTGAAATGAGGCTGAATATGCAATGGTTTCCACCACGCAGAAAGTATCCTATGTTAATTTTCTAATCTGTTTAGCATATAAAAGATACCATCTTCCATTCCTACCCCCTTAGTGTGTTATCGAATGCCTGGTCTGATTGAAAATAACCTGGGTTGTTAGAATGATTTCTATATTCAATACGTAACAGGATGCTAGTGAGACAAGTCCCCGTGAAAGGAGAGACACAATTACTTTGCAATGAAATAATTTAAAATCCTAGATCAGTATGTGAGGAAACCCACAAATTTCCTAAGAAAATTTTGCAATATGTCAAATGAAAAATATATCTTCCAGAATCTGATTCTCCTCCAACTCTTCAGGGGTTCTGTGCATCCCCATCTTCTTCCGGGTTGATTTTAGAGGACTGAGTCGGAAAGTACCATGATTCCAGGCCCCAGCTTCTCTGGAGGGATAGCGCTGAGGTTTGGGCGCAGAGTTTGGGCTCAGAGACTGAACCAAATCCAACAAAGATGTCTCATACCTGTAAGACATATAACCCAGACAGGAAAGGATCAGATTATTAGAAAATGAGAATTCAAGAAGCCCAGCAGAAATGGGCTGTCCAGGGCAAGAATTAGATTACAGATCACATCATGCATAAGATGATGCTTAAGGGAATTTTTGTGAAGGTAAACACCAGAAGGACTTGAAGAACCTAGGCCCTGCTGCCTGTACATAAGCTCTTCTCTTTTGCTGACCCCTAACATTCCTTTATAACTTATGAAGAGAGATTGTAGAGTGGGAAGAGTAATCATGATAACAGTAATGATATTAACAGTGACATTTACTGCAGGCTTACTGTCAGGCACTGTTCCTAACACTACAAATATTTAACCTTCCTATAATCCTCTAATGAACCCTAGGAAGTAGGTACTATACTACTCTCATCTCCATTATAAACATGCGGAAATTAAAGCTCAGGGAAGTAACTCATCTAACAGAAAGCAATTACACAGCAGAGTCTAGAATTGAACCCAGGTGGTTTGTCTCCAGCACTCTCATCCAGGACACTAAAGCTGTCTGTCGAAATCTTCACAGACAGACACGCTTGGTTCAAATCTCTGTTCTACCATTTGCAAGCTGTGTAATATTGGGGAAGTTATTCAGTGTCTCAGTTCAGTCTTTTCATGTGTAAGAGGCTAGCAAAACTCCAGTTAGGATTAAATGAATTCATTGATATAAATGAATACATAATAGGCACTGAATAAATGTTAGTTCCTTCCTGTTAACCCCCTTCCACTTTTTCTAGAAGTTTGGGAAAAGATTCTAAATCTATAAAGACATCCCTCCAAAGAAAGACTGCCTTGTGTCCAGCATTCTTTTCAGAAAGGGTAAGTGCAGAGCAGCTTAGAGGTAAAAAAACATTCTGGGGGCCGGGTGAGGTGGTTCATGCCTGTAATCCCAGCACTTTGGGAGGCCGAGGTGGGTGGATCACTTGAGGTCAGGAGTTCAAGACCAGCCTGGACAACATGGTGAAACTCTGTCTCTACTAAAAATACAAAAATTAGGCGGGCATGGTGGCATGTGCCTGTAGCCCCAGCTACTCAGGAGGCTGAGGCAGGAGAATCGCTTGAACCTGGAAAGTGGAGGCTGCAGTGAGCTGAGATCGTGCCACTGCACTCCAGCCTGGGCAATAGAGCAAACAAACAAACAAAAAACCAACCAACCAACCAACCAAACAAACAAAAACAGTTTGGAGTACCACATAGGGCCCTAAGGGGATAGCTGGGGCCAGAACCTAGCTCCAAATTAATGGTGGTGACAATGGCAGAAGCAGCAGTGGTGAGAGGCTGGGTTGTCTGTTTCCCAAGCCCATCCCTGTGGCAAAAATGTCATCTTTCTGGCCTGAGAACTGGGATAGGAACTGCTAGCATTAAGTATAAATGCCAGTAAATTATTAGAAAATAAAAACATACACGTGGACATTACAATGAAGCATATCAGAGATATATTAGAAGCCTTCAAAGAGTTTAGAATCTCTGGTTTTAAAAACTGCTACAACACTGGAAAGCGAACATCCACAGGTTTGGAAATAAAAATTAAAGATTGTTGCATTTGATAGGAAAAAACCCACTATTCTCATATGCAATTTCTAATGAACCAATTATTAATGAGGAATACAATTTTTAAATTTAATTTTTCTTTGTAACTGAAGATGCTGCTATAGAAAGCATAAACAAGCACTGTGAATTATAGACAAATCATTAAGTGATTTTTGGTTTCTTATATGATCTTTATATGTTACAGAACATGCTAGAGAAAACATTAAAATGACATCATAGAGATTTGTATTTAAAATTAAATTCCAACATGTATGAAACTAATGTGTATGAAGAGTTAAATCTTTTTAGAAAATCTGATCCCCAAGAATAATCACCTCTATATAAACTAAAATTCATATTTGGAAATACTTTATTAGAAATCTATGCAAATGTTGGCACAGCCTACAAAATACTCTTAGCAGCTCCACTGTCAGTTGCATCAACAGAAAGATCCTCCTCAAAATTAAAAATTAGAAAAAATTGGGGGATACAGTTCCAAGATGGCTGAATAGGAACAGCACCAGTCTGCAGCTCCCAGTGTGATCGACAAAGAAGATGGGTGATTTCTGCATTTCCAGCTGAGGTACCTGGTTCATCTCATTGGGACTGGATGGACAGTGGGTGCAGCCCACAGAGGGCAAGCCGAAGCAAGGTGGGGCATCACCTCACCCAGGAAGCGCAAGGGGTCGGGGGACTTCCCTTTCCTAGCCAAGGGAAGCCATGACAGGCAGTACCTGGAAAATAGGGACACTGCCACCCAAACACTGCGCTTTTCCAACAGTCTTAGCAAATGGCACACCAGAAGATTATAAACCACACCTGGCTCAGTAGGTCCCATGCCCACGGAGGCTTGCTCACTGTTAGTGCAGCAGTCTGAGATCGACCCGCGAGACAGCAGCCTGGCAGGGGTAGGGGCATCTGCCATTGCTGAGGCTTCAGTAGGTAAACAAAGCAGCCAGGAGGCTCAAACTGGGTGGAGCCCACCGCAGGTCAACGAGGCCTGCCTGCCTCTGTAGACTCCACCTCTGGGGGAAGGGCAGAGCTGAACAGAAGGCAGCAGGAACTTCTGCAGACTTAAACATCCCTGACAGCTCTGAAGAGAGCAGTGGTTTTCCCAGCATGGTGTTTGACCTCTGAGAACGGACAGACTGCCTCAAGTGGGTCCCTGACCCCTGTGTAGCCTAACTGGGAGACACCTCCCAGTAGGGGCCGACTGACACCTCATACAGCTGGGTGCCCCTTGAGATGAAGCTTCCAGAGGAAGGATCAGGCAGCAATATTGCAGTTCTGCAATATTTGCGGTTCTGCAGCCATCTGCTGGTGACACCCAGGCAAACAGGGTCTGGAGTGGACCTCCAGCAAACTCTAACAGACCTGCAGCTGAGACACCTGACTGTTAGAAGGAAAACTAACAAACAGAAAGGAATAGCATCAACATCAACAAAAAGGACATCAACACCAAAACCCCATCTGTAGGTCACCATCATCAGAGATCAAAGGTAGATAAAACCACAAAGATGGGGAGAAACCAGAGCAGAAAAGCTGACAATTCTAAAAACCAGAGTGCCTCTTCTCCAAAGGATCACAGCTCCTCGCCAGCAATGGAACAAAGCTGGACAGAGAATAACTTTGACAAGTTGACAGAAGTAGGCTTCAGAAGGTTGGAAATAACAAAATTCTCCAAGCTAAAGGAGGATGTATGAACCCATCTCAAGGAAGCTAAAAACCTTGAAAAAAGATTAGACGAATGGCTAACTAGAATAAACAGTGTAGAGAAGACCTTAAATGACCTGATGGAGCTGAAAACCATGGCAGGAGAACTACGTGACGCATGCATAAGCTTCAGAAGCTGATTCCATCGAGTGGAAGAAAGGGTATCAGTGACTGAAGATCAAATGAATGTGTAACGCCTAACCTTGTTTTTTACTCTAGCTCACTACTTTAAATTTTCCTTTTTTTGTCTCCTTAATTGCCAGCCATGTTTCCCATATGAATACACTCTCCCTGGCTGGGAAAGCCGGACAAACTCCATTTGACCTCTTGATTTACAAGACATTAAGGGCTCCTTACCCAACCCCCTTCCTTAAGGAGTTAACCTGTGTAAGCAGATCCTCAGCATTTCAAAGGAGCCCAATTAACTGGTAAGATACTGGAGCAAACAATGTATGAAGTTCCCAGGGTTTTGCTCAAAGAGATAACAACACAAAGCCTTGAGTTCCTGTCTGGCATAGCATTTATATCTAACTATAATGAAGGATTTAGAGCCTTGCACCTGGTACCCTTGCTCTTTTTGTAACCATTTGTCTTTTAAATTGTTCATTTCTCTGTAACCATTTGCTTCTTTTGATTCTTGCATGTTTTTACTTCTGTAGAGTTATTGCATTTAAGTCCCCCTCCCCTTCCTAAACCTAGGTATAAAAGTTAAGCCCCTTCATCGGGGCCAAGAGAATTTTGAGCATTAGCCATCTCTTTGGCCGCCGGCTTAAATAAAGGACTCTTAATTTGTCTCAAAGTGTGGCATTTTCTCTAACTCCTGTGGCTATAACAAATGAAATGAAGCAAGAAGTTTAGAGAAAAAAGAGTAAAAAGAAACGAACAAAGCCTCCAAGAAATATGAGACTATGTGAAAAGACCAAATCTACGTTTGATTGGTGTACCTGAAAGTGACAGGGAGAATGGAACCAAGCTGGAAAACACTCTTCAGGATATTATGCAGGTGAATTTCCCCAATCTAGCAAGGCAGGCCAACATTCAAATTCAGGAAATACAGAGAACACCACAAAGATACTCCTTGAGAAGAGCAACCCCAAGACACATAATTGTCAGATTCACCAAGGTTGAAATGAAGCAAAAAATGTTAAGGGCAGCCAGAGAGAAAGGTCAGGTTACCCACAAAGGGAAGCCCATTGGACTAACAGCTGATCTCTCGGCAGAAACTCTACAAGCCAGAAGAGAGTGGGGGCCAATATTCAACATTCTTAAAGAAAAGAATTTTCAACCCAGAATTTCATATCCAGCCAAACTAAGCTTCATTAGTAAAGGCAAAATAAAATCCTTTATAGATAAGCAAATGCTGAGAGATTTTGTCACCACCAGGCCTGCCTTACAAGAGCTCCTGAAGGAAGCACTAAACATGGAAAGGAACAACCGGTACCAGCCACCGCAAAAACATGCCAAATTGTAAAGACCATCGATGCTAGGAGGAAACTGCATCAACTACGAGCAAAATAACCAGCTAACATCATAATGACAGGATTGAATTCACACATAACAATATTAACCTTAAATGTAAATGGGCTAAATGCCCCAATTAAAAGACACAGACTGGCAAATTGGATAAAGAATCAAGACCCATCAGTGTGCTGTATTCAGGAGACTCATCTCACGTGCAGAGACACACACAGGCTCAAAATAAAGGGATGGAGGAAGATCTACCAAGCAAATGGAAAGCAAAAAAAAAACAAACAAAAAAAAAACAAAAAAAAAGCAGGGGTTGCAATCCTAGTCTCTGATAAAACAGACTTTAAACCAACAAAGACAAAAAAAAAAAAAAAAAGAGACAAAGAAGGCAATCAAAGAATGGTAAAGGGATCAATTCAACAGGAAGAGCTAACTATCCTAAATATATATGCACCCAATACAGGAGCACCCAGATTCATAAAGCAAGTCCTCAGAGAGTACAAGGAGACATAGACTCCCACAAAATAATAATGGGAGATTTTAACACCCCACTGTCAATATTAGATAGATCAACGAGACAGCAGGTTAACAAGGATATCCAGGACTTTAACTCAGCTATGCACCAAGCGGACCTAACAGATGTCTACATAACTCTCCACCCCAAATCAACAGAATATACACTCTTCTCAGCACCGCATCACATTTATTCCAAAACTGACCACATAGTTAGAAGTAAAGCACTCCTCAGCAAATGTAAAAGAGCAGAAATCACAACCACGGTGCAATCAAATTCAAACTCAGGGTTAAGAAACTCACTCAAAACTGCACAGCTACATGGAAACTGAACAACCTGCTCCTGAATGACTACTGAGTAAATAACAAAATGAAGGCAGAAAGAAAGATGTTCTTTGAAACCAACGAGAACAAAGACATGACGTACCAGAATATCTGGGACATATTTAAAGCAGTGTGTAGAGGGAAATTTATAGCACTAACTGCCCACAAGAGAAAGCAGGAAAGATCTAAAATCAACACCCTAACATCACAATTAAAAGAACTAGAAAAGCAAGAGCAAACAAATTCAAAACCTAGCAGAAAGCAAGAAACAACTAAGATCAGAGGACAACTGAAGGAGATAGAGACACAAAAAACCTTCAAAAAATCAATGAATCCAGGAGCTGGTTTTTTGAAAAGAAACAAAATTGATAGACCAATAGCAAGATTAATAAGGAAGAAAAGGGAGAAGAGTCAAAGAGATGCGATAAAAAATGATAAAGGGGATATCACCACCGATTCCACAGAAGTACAAACTACCATCAGAGAATACTATAAACACTTCTAAGCAAATACACTAGAAAATCTACAAGAAATGGATAAATTCCTCGACACATACACCCTCCCAAGACTAAACCAGGAAGAAGTTGAATCCCTGAATAGACCAATAACAGGCTCAGAAATTGAGGCAATAATTAATAGCCTACCAACCAAAAAAAGTCCAGGACCAGAAGGATTCACAGCCGAATTCTATCAGAGGTACAAAGAGGAGCTGGTACCATTCCTTCTGAAACTATTCCAATCAATAGAAAAAGAGGGAATCCTCCCTAACTCATTTTATGATGCCAGCATCATCCTGATACCAAAGCCTGGCAGAGACACAACAAAAAAAGAGAATTTTAGACCAATATCCCTGATGAACATCGATGCAAAAATCTGCAATAAAATACTGGCAAACCAAATCCAGCAGCGCATCAAAAAGCTTATCCACCACGATCAAGTTGGCTTCATCCCTGGGATGCAAGGCTGGTTCGACATACGCAAATCAATAAATGTAATCCATCACAAAACAGAACTAAAGACAAAAACCACATGATTATCTCAATAGATGCAGACAATGCCTTCAACAAAATTCAACAGCCTTCATACTAAAAACTCTCAATAAACTAGGTACTGATGGAATGTATCCTGAAATAATAAGAGCTATTTATGACAAACCCACAGCCAATATCATACTGAATGGGCAAAAACTGGAAGCATTCCCTTTGAAAACTGGCACAAGACAGGGATGCCCTCTCTCACCACTCCTATTCAACATAGTGTTGGAAGTTCTGGCCAGGGCAATCAGGTAGAGAAAGAAATAAAGGGTATTCAATTAGGAAAAGAGGAAGTCAAATTGTCCAGGTTTGCAGATGACATGATGGTATATTTAGAAAACCCCATCATCTCAGCCCCAAATCTCCTTAAGCTGATAAGCAACTTCAGCAAATCTCAGGATACAAAATCAATGTGCAAAAATCACAAGCATTCCTATACAGCAATAACAGACAAACAGAGAGCCAAATCATGAGTGAACTCCCATTCACAATTGCTACAAAGAGAATAAAATACCTAAGAATACAACTTACAAGGGATGTGAAGGACCTCTTCAAGGAGAACTACAAACCACTGCTCAATGAAATAAAAAAGGACACAAACAAATGGAAGAACCATTCCATGCTCATGGATAGGAAGAATCAATATTGTGAAAATGGCCATACTGCCCAAGGTAATTTATAGATTCAATGCCATCCCCATCAAGCTACCAATGACTTTCTTCACAGAACTGGAATAAACTACTTTAAAGTTCATATAGAACCAAAAAAGAGCCCGTATTGCCAAGACAATCCTAAGCAAAAAGAACAAAGCTGGAGGCATCACGATACCTGACTTCAAACTATACTACAAGGCTACAATAACCAAAACAGCATGGTACTGGTACCAAAACAGAGATATAGAACAATGGAACAGAACAGAGGCCTCAGAAATAATGCCACACATCTACAACCATCTGATCTTTGACAAACCTGACAAAAACAAGAAATGGGGAAAGGATTCCCTATTTAATAAATGGTGCTGGGAAAACTGGCTAGCCATATGTAGAAAGCTGAAACTGGATCCCTTCTTTACACCTTACACAAAAATTAATTCAAAAAGGATTAAAGACTTAAATGTTAGACCTAAAACCATAAAAACCCTAGAAGAAAACCTAGGCAATACCATACAGGACATAGGCATTCGCAAGGACTTCATGACTAAAACACCAAAAGCAATGGCAACAAAAGCCAAAATAGACAAATGGGATCTAATTAAACTGAAGAGCTTCTGCACAGCAAAAGAAACTACCATCAGAGTGAACAGGCAACCTACAGAATGGGAGAAAATTTTTGCAATCTACCCATCTGACAAAGGGCTAATATCCAGAATCTACAAAGAACTTAAACAAATTTACAAGAAAAAATCAAACAACCCTATCAAAAAGTGGGCAAAGGATATGAACAGACACTTCTCTAAAGAAGACATTTATGCAGCCAACAGACACATGAAAAAATGCTCATCATCACTGGTTATCAGATAAATGCAAATCAAAATCACAATGAGATACCATCTCACACCACTTAGAATGGTGATCATTAAAAAGTCAGGAAATAACAGGTGCTGGAAAGGATGTGGAGAAATAGGAACACTTTTACACTGTTGGTGGGAGTGTAAACTAGTTCAACCATTGTGGAAGACAGTGTGGCGATTCCTCAAGGATCTAGAACTAGAAATACCATTTGACCCAGTGATCCCATTACTGGGTATATACCCAAAGGAGTATAAATCATGTTACTATAAAGACACATGCACATGCATGTTTATTGCAGCACTATTCACAATAGCAAAGACTTAGAACCAACCCAAATGTCCATCAATGATAGACATGATTAAGGAAATGTGGCACATATACACCATGGAATACTATGCAGCCATAAAAAAGGATGAGTTCATCTCCTTTGTAGGGACATGGATGAAGCTGGAAACCATCATTCTGAGCAAACTATCACAAATGCAGAAAACCAAACACCGCATATTCTCACTCATAGGTGGGAACTGAACAATGAGAACACTTGGACACAGAGCGGGGAACATCACACACTCGGGCCTGTTGTGGGGTGGGGAGAGCGGGGAGGGATAGCATTAGGAGAAATACCTAATGTAAATGACGAGTTAATGGGTGCAGCAAACAAACACAGCACATGTATACATATGTCACAAACTTGCACGTTGTGCACATGTACCCTAGAACTTAAAGTATAAAAATAAAAAAAATTACAAAAAATTTTTGTAATCTCATTTGCTAAGAGTGACTGATGTTGCTTTTAATTATATCACCTAAAGTTGTTAAAAGTGTAAATTCTGATGACCTAATAAATGAGTTTGGGCTGGGCACAGTGGCTCATGCAGTGTGTGCAGTGGCGCACGCCTGTAATCCCAGCACTTTGGGAGGCTGAGGCAGGTGGATCACTTGATGTCAGGAGTTTGAGACCATCCTGGCCAACATGGTGAAAAACCCCATCTCTACAAAAATACAATTAGCTGGGTGTGGGGGCTCGTGCCTGTAGTCCCAGCTACTCGGGAGGCTGAGGCAGCAGAATCGTTTGAACCCAGGAGGTGGAGGTTGCAGTGAGCCAAGATTGTGCCAGTGCACTCCAGCCTGGGCGACAGAGTGAAACTCCATCTCAGAAAATAATAAATAAATAAAATAAATAAATTTGAAGGAAAGTGAGCCAGAAAAACTTAAGGTTAATCAAGTTATCACATTAATAAAGTATTATTATTTTATCACATAAAATTATGATACCCAAAATACAATTTTTTGCTATCTGTAGTTTTTAACCATCCATATATTACTATTACCCTTCATGCTTTATCGGTGTCCTTTTAAAGGAAAAAGCTTTATATTCTAGCACCTTTAATTGCACTTTTTCCTTCTTCTTTCTGAACAAGGGGCCCCACATTTTCATTTTACACTGGTCTGGCAAGTTATGTTATTGGCCCTGCCCTCAAGTCCTAGGCAAGATTCGACTACTTTCTCAGGCATGGAAATGTCATGACATTTTCTATGGTATGAAAATCTGTAAATTCAAATCCTTTCTGGCAGATTTTTCTTTTGCAGCTTTTATTGTCACAGAATGAAGGCAATATTTCAATACAGTTATCTGTCATTCAAAACAATGGTTTCTATGTTCAATCAACACATTCTTTGTTTAAGGTGTAAACCAATGACTGGAGTACTGCTTCTAGGAAATTTTGCTTATAAGCAGGACAGACCTACTTCATGCTCAAGGAATGAGCTTTGTTTGAACTTTCCTTTGACACATATGAAAATCTTGTGGTATATCCATCTCTTAATATATAGATCATTAAATGTTTTTTAAAATCAAACAATGGAAAATCTACACTTTTCTATCCAATTTCATGCTTAAAATAGCTAGGGGGGGATACTCTGAGTGAGAAAATAATCTGCTGCTTTCTCTATTAAAAAATAGAGCCAAAATAATTGGGAAACAGTAAATATATCAGAAATAAACCTTTTAGAGGTGCAAACTGAAATCCAGAGCAACAATAAGAATTTGTGTTTAGTTTAAAGACTGATACAATAGGCACCAACATATTCAATCATTTGAAAGAGAACTGTGGGCTTCAAATTCTTTCTGAGTACTCATTACTATGAAATATAGTAAAAAAATTTATAACATGGAAATAATGACCCACCAAACTATAGAAAATTAGATCTGACATATTAGGATAAGTTATACAATAGCAAATTACCTTCAGAATTCCAATGGCTTAATACAGTTCAATTATTTTTCATGCTCATCCTGTACACTTAAACTAGGTCCAGGCAGACAGTGGTTCCATCGCCTAGAATGTGGGCTTCTCAATTGTCTTGGCAGGAAAAGAGACTGAAGAACTGTGCACAGGCTTTCCATAGCATGCAAGTGACAAAATATTCCTTATATCTGACTGGCCAGAACCCAGTTACGTCTCTCCAGAAGGAAAGGAGAACTGGATATTGGCAAACACTACTAATGCCTGCCCATGGAGGAATGAGTCTTAGACATAATTTGGAATAATTTTCTTATTTTATTGATGAGGAAACTGAGGTCCAGAGAGGTATAAGTGAACTAAATGGAGTCACAGAGCAAGTGAGTGGCAGAGCCAAGTGGTTTTTAACCCAGGCCCCTTGACTTCCCAGACTAGAATGTCTTCAATCTTTCCATCAAGAAAAGTAAGAGGTGACACTAAAGCAAAAGCAAAAGAAGGTTACTGTTACCAACTACATTTTATTTTAAAAGTATAGCGTAACTAGTTGTAACTGAGCTATCTTTTCCTCCAACAAATTAATCTACTCAAGTACAAATGTTTATCTTTATGATTATGCTGTTATCTTAAAAATTCCACTTCTCTCTCTAGGAGCCACATTCAATCATAGATTAGACTGTGGCAGAAGAATCAGAAAGTGTGTGGTAAGCAGGGCTCAGATTTCAGTTGTACCTCATTGCTAATTTTGTTCAATAAGTTTATTGACAGTACTTTTGTTATCAGGAAAGACTAAAGGATTTGGCAATTAAGAAGCAACAGAATACCCAAGATTATTCCAAAAAGCAAAGCTTGAGAAATGACCCAATTTAATACAAGAATTATATATGCAATAAAGAAAAATAAAAAATGAATTCCTATGGGATTTTACACTAAATGTCAGAAAAGAGCAGTGCATTTATCAGGTGTCTTCTGTGAGCAGTGTGTTTTACTCTGCTAAGGAGACATGTGATAGGAGACTATAAAGTTGATTAGCTTGGCCTGATCCTGCTGGGGCTGTGTGGTAGTCAAATAATTTAAAGGGACACACAACTTATCCAGACCCATAAAGTACCATCCCTTGAAAAACCCAGATGATGTTTTAGCCATAGGTATTAACTATATTGGCCTGTCTTACCTCTGTACTTCACAGAGCCAGTACGCATGAGTTACCTAGGCACACAGGCTGAATGTAATAGCCTCATTAAGGAGAAGTGATAAACAAAAGGCTTATCTGATCTGCTATGCCAGTCCCATCCTGGAGGTAATTTGGACCAAGCTGGAGTGGCATTAATTCTGTCTTCCTAGAGCTCTCTTTCTAGTTTCGTTTACCTCTGAACTAGCAAGATAACAAGACAAAATCCAGAGGAGGACGTAGCCTCTGCTGATTTGACTTGACTCCACGTTACCAATTCAAGAAAGGCCAGTTTGACATGGTGTCCAAGAACATTAGCACATGGCCTAGAAACAAACTGATTTCAGGGTCCATCCATGGACTGCAGCTGATGAGAAACTAACGATGTTACTGGACCTTTCCCCTCCCATTTCCTTTTTTGATTTTTTGTGATTTCAGTAGACATCTCCTGATTTTCCTTCCATACCACCAACATCCTCTTCCTCTCTTGCCTTTTAAATGAAAGAATGCCCCAGGGCTCAGTCCTTTGCTCTCCTATCTTAGGTGATGCTATCCATTCTCATGGGATTTAATAACATCTATATGTTAATGATGGCTAAATGAATAGCTCCAATATCAACCTTGCCCCTGAGTTCCACACTCACATTCCCAACTGCTACCTGATATCTTTACTTGGAAGTGTAATGGGCATCTCAAACTATCCAAAACAGAACTCTTTTTTTTTTTTCTCTGAATCCCACTCCTCTCAATCAACCCAGTGGCTCAGGCCAAAAACCTGCTGTTATTCTCAATTCTTACCTCTAGGCCTTTGCATGTGTTTCACCCTCTGTGTAGGATGCCTTCTTTCAGATCTTTGCTTGCTCTCTCCATTCAACAACGTCTTTGTTTAAATGTCACCTCCTCAAAGAGGCCTTCTTTAGCCACTCCATCCAAAATAGCCATCAATCCACAGTCACCTTATTGCTTTATGGTTTTTATTTTCTTTGTATCACTCAATACACACACACACACACATACACACATTATATATATATATAGCCTATTGCCCCAACGGTATGGGCTCCATAAGGGTAGGGTCGTTATTTATTTATTGCTGTTATCTCCATGCAAAACATGGTATCTGGCACAAGGTAGGTGCTCAGTATTTGTTGAAAAACAAAAACAAACAAACAAACAAACAAAAAACACAGGTCTTACGGCTTAAGGCTCAGCACCTTCCGTGGGCAACTTTTTAAAAATCTTTAGACAGCTCATCAATTTATTTCAAAGATTCTGAAAAGTGTTACCCATCCATCAATTCTTCTTTTACAAAAAAAGGATGCTTACACATATGATGTGTGCAAATTACTTTTTTTACTTAATATATTGGGACCATTTTTCCATATGATATTTTTACATTATCTTTAATGACTTCAGATTACTTCACCTCCTGGATGTGCTCTGATTTACATTAATACAACCAATACCCTGTTAAAGAGTACTTAGGTTAGGTCCACAAGTCCTTCAAGACTAAATCAACTGTCTCTTGTTCCTTCAGCCAATTCCCAGAAGGTACTTCCCATTCCAGTCCATCATAGGTTAGCAAGCTACTGCTAGTCCCATGATGTTCTGTAATATCTCTCCCTTTATTCCCAGCCTTCCTCCTCACTCCCATTGCTTCTGGAGCTTTTGCTTCACAATATACACTGCTATATTGTGCACTCTTTTTAGATTATACCTTCTATCTCCTAGCTTTAATTGAAACCTGGCTCTTTCTTCAGGTCAATGCTTCCTTTACATCCGTCTGAGTGGAAATCATTTATATTAAACATGTGCTATATATTTCAGGGTCAAGAGGTAGGACTGGAATCATTTCTTTTGGCCAGTCTGTCATTATACTACTATTTTCCTTGAGGATCCTGTCGTCTGCTCTGTCATCCTCAACTTCTCTTCATCTGTGAACACACTTTCTCCCAATTACTGAAGATGTTAACACCTGATTCACAATATTCGCCTCCAATTTAACCCTGACCATCATCCCTGCTAATGTCAGCATCACAAGAATGACACTCAGTCAATATTCTGACATCTTAGTTTTTTGACCTTCTCTCAATTCAAAAGACTTTAGTGGCAAGCCTTTCCCATAGTCCTATCCTAGAACTTGTCATAAATTAAAACTACATCTCTTCTGAATTCAGCAACTCAAATATCCCAAGTACTTTCTGATGCCCATAGATTATCCTTCAAGCTTGGTTTTTCAGCCATTCCTACTATCTCTGCCTGCTGGTCTCACCAGACCAATGTAGGGGGAGGAGGGAAGGTGGTAAAAAGAAAAGAAAGTTTTATCTGAGGAATGTGAGCTCCTTTAAATTTAAATTTTAAAAAGGTGAATTCTGGCCAGGTGCAGTGGCTCACATCTGTAATCCTAGCACTTTGGGAGGCTGAGGCAGGAAAATCACCTAAGGTCGGCAGTTCGAGACCAGCCTGGCCAACATGGTGAAACCCTATCTCTACTGCAAATACAGAATTAGCCAGGCATGGTGGCACATGCCTGTAATCCCAGCTACTCGGGAGACTGAGGCAGGAGAATCGCTTGAACCCAGGAGGCGGAGGTTGTGGTGAGGTGAGATCACGCCATTGCACTCCAGCCTGGGCAATGAGCGAAACTCCATCTCAATAAATAAATGAATTTATGAATGAATGAATGAATGATGAGTTCTCTTGCACCACAGGCAATTGCTCCCTCTGACCCATTCACGTGCTCCAGGTGACTGGAGAGTTTGCAGAGATGTTTGGGCTGTAGCCTAAGATGTGAAGTGGCCTCACAGGGCATTCCTCACCAAAAGAACATTTTTAGGGACTCCTCCCTTTAGGGACTCTGGACCCTCATACCTCTGAGCATTCTGCTGCCACCTGGCAGTTAAAGAAAACCCAAGACACATAAGAGGGCGATTTACAACTATTGGGTGACACCTAGAGGAGTGATACTCCTAAGCAGGACACTTTGACCTAAAACATATACATGACCTTGGTCACTTTTGAAAAGTTCCTAAATTATGGGAAATCAAGCTTCAAAATCTGAGCACTCTTTTTAGAAATGCTAGCTGGGTTTATATATAACACTTATGGGATGTCATGTTGTAAATATCTAGGAAAGTCAGGAACGACCTAACCAGGGGTGGTCATAAGCTGCAATAGCCAAAATGGGGATCTTTTGAAATGGCTAAAACAATTTATTTGCATGCACAATTGGAAAAAAGGCTAGTTTTAGAACCAGACAAATTGATGGGGGACGTACTTCCAATGTCATCTAGAAACTTCTCAAAGAAGTTTTGAGAAAATTGACTCAAGGTAAACAAAGGATACCTGAAACTATTTCTGAATTAAAACAGACTTCAGAGGCTTTCTCCTTTTTACCTCCAACTACTCTTTCTTTTTCTACCTTTTTGCCATCATATTCTCTCTTATCTGAACTCCCCTGTTCTGATTTGCCTTTCCACTTATCACCACTGCCTAAGGAAACTCTCCAGGTCTTTTCTAAAAATGTAGCTTGGAAAAGAATTCAGCATTGTACTCAAAGGTCAGATGAATCTGTACTTTATTATTTTCAAAGGTTTGAAAAAACCTTTAAGCAATATTCTAGATGGCTGGTGCTAGCCTCCAAGATCACCAGAATGATTTCTTTATAAATTCTATTTTCCTCAATGGCTTAAATGAGGACTTGGTTATCTTAGTTAAAAGACACCAGCTTTATTGGGTGAATATATAAATACCCATGAGTTTTTAAGCTTGGCAGATCAACTTTCTAAAACTATTCAGAAAGAAGAAAACACTAAGGCCCCAGAGATCATGAATTTGCAACTACAACAACTACCTAGTCAAACGAGGCCTTTTAAGAAAAGATAGGTGCCTCTTTCTAATGATCAAAGAGGTGCTCGCTTCTATTACAAAATGCCTGGCCATTTCAGACAAGATTGTAGAAAACTTAAATGACAGCAGGAACAAAAAGACAGGACCCCCACAAGATGAATAGGGTTGCTCTCTGAGGATCCAAAGGGGGCTTTTTGCATTTCTGACTAATACCTAGGAGAAACAGAAATTGTTATAAATAGAGAACAGATATGTTCCTCATAGATACTACCATAGGGCTACTACCATAGGGCTACTCTTTCTGTCCTCAACCCTACCACCTTAAACCGTCCTCTTCCTCAGAGTAATGAAATTATACAAATGGCAGGGGTATCTACTCAATGTATGAGTGCATACAAATCCCAAACCTTAGAATTCCAGGTAGGCTCACTCAGTGGTCTTCTTTCCTTTCTGCTTGTTCCCTTGGCTCCCAGATGTCTCTTAGAGATTTGTTTTGGAATTTTACAATGTATACATTTCCTTCTCTCAAAAGGGGGAATATATTTAAATTAGGAATAGAAGGAGCAAACAGAACAACTACAGAATGAGAATGAAGTTACTGAGAAATACAGATCCAACAAATATTCTTCTAAGCAAGGACTAAGGAATGATACCAATGATTTACTGCAAGCTTTGCCAGACCATTTATGGTCTCAATATTCCACTGAAATTGGTAACATATATTCAACCACCCCCATTAAAGTAGAAGTAAACCTGAGTAAACCTTTACCCAATATTAGACAATACCCTTTTAATGCCCTGCTGGACCTCATGGTCCCCTATAGATGTAAATCTTAGCATGTGCTTGAAACATTAACATTTGGGGAATTAGTTAAGCAGCATTCCAGCTGAAATCAGATGGAAAACCGAATTAAAATTATTTAGGCCACCACAACATTCCTTCTCTCAGTGGATATCTTTAGTTCAAGAGGGAAACATTTATAAGAATTAACTTGCATTATTTGTTTTAAATTATTTGCATGACTTTTGACCTTTTGGAGTACCTATTTGTGTCCTTTCTACTGAAGAAAACCGAACTGTTCCTCTCTAAAATATGGGGGATTATTGAGCTAAAAATGTTGAAAATGCATGGGAACATTCTGTCCCCTCCCTTGTTTGTCTGATGGCAGGACAGAAATTTAGAAAGAAATGGGTTTTGTTGCCTGTCTTTTCCCACCTAAAGAGAGACCCCTTTATAAGGCTTGCTTATTAGCTTAGAGACAGCCCCAGAGAATCTAGGAGCAGACTTTACTCTTCCCATAAACTTACCTTCTCACATTTTCCCACCTTTGGCACTATCCCCACGGCAGCTTTTGTTCTCCTGTTTTACTGCCTCTTTCAGTCCTCCTTCTGGCCTTAATGTGTAGTCAGTCAGTCAGCTGAGGAGCTGAGATCCCAGATGATATGGTTGGACAGAAATGTGGGTTGTACCCCATTTTTGGCTAGTGAGACTTTGCTTTCTTTCAGCTGTCTTTGGGACTGTTTCTGGATCTATTGAGGACTGCACTGCACCTCTTTGGAGATGACTTGTGCGTCCTTGGTAAAGGCATAACCTTGGTTAAGGCTTATTGGTTTTGTTGAGTCTCTTGAGAAGGTGCCTTTGGTTTAAAACAACAACAACAACAACAACAAGGTCAAAAGCCATAAATAGTGGTTGTTTGTCCTGGCTGAATTCTGATAAAGAGATTTTAAAAGAATTTTAAAAAAAGCTCTATGCTCAGAAGTCAGCTTAATTAAAAGCTGATATTCAGGGTATACTTTTTTTTAAAGGCCTTTCTGCATTTTCTCTTTTGGATCCTGTTTCTTGAGAGGTGTTTTTTTTTTTTTTTTTTGACTGAAACTCCTTTTTAATTATGTGTTTGGTCTCTCTGCTTCCTTTCATATTGATATGATTTTAGTGAAAAAAATATAAAACTTCACTGGCCTTTTGGAAAGCTTAAACTCTTTCTCTGTGCTTTGAAATATAAATTTACTACCTTATGCTCTAAAACTCAGTAAGGGCTTTGGCCATGTGAGACTTTAGCCTGTTCCATTTACAAATGCACAGTTTGAATCCAACTATCCTTTTAAACTGGGGAGTTTTAATGGTTTTATGACTAAAAACTTAAAATCAAAGCTATAAAGTCTTTGTATTTTTATGTATACCTGTGTACATGTCTGTTTGTATATTGTCTATGATACCAAATTGACTTATAAATAAATGAGCATTCATAAATAAGCCCAAATACTTTTCAAGTTCACGTGACTTAGTAATCTTTGGTAAATAAAACTAGTTTAAAAATTGTTAGAATAAAATAGGCATGTTTTCTGAATTGTCAGTATTAAATATAATTCAAACATTTTGCCTGAGTCTACTGGTTTGACAGGTTTAGGTTGTCTCTGCTAGATGTTTTAAGGTCATAAAACTCTTGCTTCTCTGGTATTTTTAGATACGTCCTTGTCTGTGAGCTTATGTCTTAAAGCTCTCTTAGAATCTAGGTTCACCGGCCAGGCGTGGTGGCTCACGCCTGTAATCCCAGCACTTTGGGAGGCCGAGGCGGGCAGATCACAAGGTCAGGAGATCGAGACTATCCTGGCTAACATGGTGAAACCCCATCTCTACTAAACATACAAAAAAATTAGCTGCGTGTGGTGGCGGGCGCCTGTAGTCCCAGCTGCTGGGGAGGCTGAGGCAGGAGAATGGCATGAACCCGGGAGGCGGAGCTTGCAGTGAGCTGAGATGGCGCCACTGCACTCCAGCCTGGGCGACAGAGCGAGACTCCGTCTCAAAAAAAAAAAAAAAGAATCTGGGTTCTAGGTAGGTAGCCATGGAAAGGCCTGAGGGCATATGTATGACCACAGCACCTAGGCCAACAGCTGCAGGGCAAAGCCAAACCAGTATGCCCTCCCTGGCCTGGCTGTGCCTCCTGGCCATGCTGGGAAGGGTCAGATATACCAGATGTTATCCTCACAGACCTATCTTTTGTCTTGGGCTCTGTACCTGGTACTTAACATTAAAATTGCATACTTCCTAGGCTTTTCACTGAAAATTAGGGTTACTAGGAGTTAACCTTGTAATTAATATATGTAATTAAAACTACTAAAAAATAGAAACATTCTATATACAGAATATATAAGAAAAGTCAGATGTGTTTTTGGTAAGAAAGGTTATAAGAAAGACGAGGATTTTTTTTGTAATTTATAAGTTATTTAAAGGTTACTTTAAGTTGAAGCAATAAAAAAGGAATGATAGATAAAACCAAATGGATATAGAAAGTTGGGGAAAGAGAATGGGAAAAACTATAAAAGTTTATAAAATGTTTATGAAATGGAAAAAACTATAAAAGGTTTATGAAAATCTTATCTTGTGTGGTCAGAGCTGACTGAGATTGGGTGGATCTGTTTATAAGGTTTTGTTAAAATTAGTTTTAATATTAACAATACATTGATATGAAGGTAGAATTTAGTTTTCTCTTTTGAATATGATTTTCATACAGCATTAATAAGATATAATAAAAGATTTTGGTTTACCTTTTGAGTAAACTTTAAAAAAAAAAAAAGGAAAAGGGGGAGAAATAGATTCTGTTTGTGTCATGCTGTATTTATTAGGTCTCTTTGATTGTTGGGAAAACTGAGTCTCTTCTCTGTCCAAGAGTAAAGGTTTTTGCTTTTTGAAATCTTTGAATTATTGCTTTGGCTAAATGAATAATCATTAATTTATAATGACCTGTGATCTTACTTTTGATATCAAATGTTTTAAACCTTTGCTATTTGACATACTTCCCCAAATCAAATTTACGTTAAAATCATGCAAGACACATTGTCAAATAATAATGGTGTTTAACCTTGAGTCATATTTATATAAATATGTTATTAATATGCATTCCAAAATTGTATGATATTCTTAAATTCTGATATGTCTTGGTATATGTCATCAATCATATTGGTGATGATTATATTAAACTGTTGTTTGCCACAGAAATCACCAAATTTCCTTGTTAATTGTGTCTTTAACCACGGCTACTCTAAGTCTTTCATCATCCAGTGACAATTATTGTTTTACTATGATTCTTCCCAAAAAGTGGTTTACAGTTAGCTACAGTCCAAAATTTGCTTTTTCTTCAAGGAAATTCATGGAAAAGACACTGACAAGTACTCTTGAATACAAGTTTGTGATAACTTTGGAGATCATACCATTGGACCAGGTAAAACCCTTCAGAACTCTAAATAAAACAAACAAACAATAACTACAACAAACTGATGGGTTTACAAAGATTACCAACCCAATATAAAGCAGAGCAGGAATTAATTACATAGGACTGAACTGATAGAGGACTGAAATAATTTTGTTATAACCTTTCATTTGAAACACTTCTGATTCTTTTTATATTTGTTTTTTTGGAATCAAGAAAATTTTCTTTTGAGCCATTCATAGCTTAAAGCAACTGGGTAAAGTATGCTTTTGTTAAAAAAAAATGGAAGCATTTACCTTTCTCTAGGCCTGATTTCTCCAGAATTTGGAAATTATTCATGAGTATTCTTATTTTATGGCAATATAGTTGTTCACATAAGTTCAGTAAGAATGTGTTCTCTATTGTAACAGGTCACAATTGGAAATGCTGGTTATTTCACCAAGGCGTTGACGAATATCATATTTTTAAATGTGACCAGACTGTTTTGAGGAAATGAGGTTGCTTTTAGAAAGCCAACAGACTTGGTAAAAGACTGGTCCAGTACCTTGTCAATACAGTTCCCTGATACAATACAGAATCCCTACAAGGTTCCTGACCTTGAGATAAGTAAATAATGCCACTTTCTGATAGGCCAGGAATCTCAAGATATTCTGGGGACCTCAAGAAGAGTTCACCTATTTTGTACATGTATTACAGGCACAGTCTGATGGTGAATCCTTGGCTTTGCTTCTTAGCCTTGAGAGGTTTTTAAAAGTCTAATCTAAAATTCCTTATTAAAAAGTTCCAGTAAAGCCAACTTAAAAGAATACTATACGGCCAACCACTATTCTTACTGCCCTTTATGCAAACAATCATACCAGGTATAGTAAGACTAAAACTTATTTTGCAAATAAGCTGGCCTTACTATGACTTCTCTTTGGTAAAAAAGGGGAACTGGAGAGAGAAAAATTATATTTCAGAAGAAAACTATAACATACCTGTTATAGATTCCAGCCCTGCTTTTATTATTTTTCTACAATTTAGACTGAATCCTGAATTATTTCCTGGCTACAAGTCTCTAGAAAAAAAAGAACCTGATTTAAATTTTCTTTATGATGTTTTTTCATTGGCACCCTAGTAGAATAGATTATTTTTCCATTTTAGCATACAGATTTTCTTTTTGATTGTAACCTTGTGTGCAATGTACTTCTACCATTCAAATTACTAATGTTATGTATCTCTCATTGTTTTACTTTTGAGAAAATTATAATCATGGAATTATAAAGACTAAAGATGTTTCAACAAGCAAGAGCAGTGATATAGATCAAAGATTTCACTAAGATCTTTTTGCCACACTGTGATGTCATCCCAATTTAGATTTTGGGTGCTCCTAAAAATTCCTCACTGAGACATCTCCCCTTCCCCCTTGACTTGGGATGGGACTAATCAGAAATGAACCCTCCTGGCTATAAGAGACACCTTGATACTAATATTTTGACAATCAATGCTTTCAAGAAGAAAGATTTTTGATCAAAAGGGGGAACTGTGGGTTGGGGGAGGGAGAGGGAAAGAAGACAAGAAATTTTTATCTGAGAAATGACAGCTCCTTTTTTTTTTTTTTTTTTTGAGACGGAGTCTCGCTCTGTCGCCCAGGCCGGACTGCGGACTGCAGTGGCGCAATCTCAGCTCACTGCAAGCTCCGCTTCCCGGGTTCACGCCATTCTCCTGCCTCAGCCTCCCGAGTAGCTGGGACTACAGGCGCCCGCCACCGCGCCCGGCTAATTTTTTGTATTTTTAGTAGAGACGGGGTTTCACCTTGTTAGCCAGGATGGTCTCGATCTCCTGACCTCATGATCCACCCGCCTCGGCCTCCCAAAGTGCTGGGATTACAGGCGTGAGCCACCGCGCCCGGCCGACAGCTCCTTTTAATTATCGGGCCCAGAGAGGCACTGGAATGAAAGAGAAGTCATGTGACCCTTGGGCTAAATAATCATCTCTTAAAGCCACTTGCTAGGTGGACTCTAAATTAACAGACACCAAGAAGCCATAAAATGCTATACACTGGATACCATAACTAACACTCTACAGTTCAACAATGTATAGTCAATCACTATTCGATGTTATCAATGAGAATGTAAACCAATGAGAATTCCTGTCAAACAACTTTGTATCAGCCCGCTCATTGTTTCTTTTGCCTTTAAAAACCTTCTGGTAACAACTAGTAATGGAGCACTCCCCAAGGCAACTTGGAGGTGTGTCCTGGGCAGCTGTCCTCACTTGGCTCAAGTAAACTCTTCAAATTGTATGTTGTGCCTCAGGCTCTTCCTTTTAGGTTGGCAGCATTAATTCAAACAGAGATTGTTCTAAAAACTGGGAATAAACTGGTGAACAGGATAGCCAAAATCTCTCCCACTGGGACATACTTTCTTCTCAACGCTTCATCCAACTTATACCTTATCTAACTTAAATTTCACGGTTCAGCATTCCAGTCATTCTTTTTAAAAATGTTCTTAAAAACATGTCCTCCATGAAAAGACACTTCTCAAAAGAAGACATACCTGTGGCCAACAATCATATGAAAAAATGCTCAACATCATTGATCATTAAAGAAATGCAAAATCAAAACCACAATGAGATGCCATCTCATACCAGTCAGAATGGCAATTATTAAAAAGTCAAAAAATAATAGATGCTGGTGAGGTTGTGGAGAAAAAGGAATGCTTTTACCCTGTTGGTGGAAGTGTAAATTAGTTCAACTATTGTGGAAGACAGTGAGGCAATTCCTCAAAGACCTAGAAACAGAAATATCATTTGACCCAGCAATGCCATTACTGGGTATATACCCAAAAGAATATAAATCAGTCTATTATAAAAACACATGCACATGTTGTTCATTGCAGCACTATTCACAATAGCAAAGACACGGAATCAACCAAATGCTCCTCAATGACAGATTGGAAAAAGAAAATGTGGTACATAAACACCATGGAATACTATGCAACCATAAAAAGGAATGAGATAATGTCCTTTGCAGGAACATGGATGAAGCTGGAGGCCATTATCCTTGGCAAACTAATGCACGAACAGAAAACTAAATTCTTCATGTTCTCACTTGTAAGTGGGAGCTAAACGGTAACACATGGACACATAGAGGGGAACAACACACACTAGGGCCTACCAGATGGCAGAAGGTGGGAGGAGGGAGAGGATTAGGAAAAATAGCTAATGGATACTAGGCTTCATACCGAGGGGATAAAATATTCTGTACAATAAACCCCCATGACACACGTTTACCTGTGTAACAAACCTGTACATCCTGCATATGTACCCTTGAACTTAAAAGTTAAAAAACAAAAAACATGTCCTCTGTCTTCTTGATCTCTCTCCCCAAATATGGCAAAGACACAACACTGGAGAAATCCAAATATCTTTCTTTTCTGTGAATTATAGTTGTGTAAGTTAGTGCAGATAAAATGAAAACAAAAACAAAACAAGCAAACAAAATCAGGTCCAATATAGACACAAAGTCACCAATCTTATGTGTGTGTATTAAACAGTTTCAGACAAAGTGACTAAATTTCTTGAATCAGCTGTTTTGCTCTCCTCATTTCCCCATTTCACTATTTACCCTAAACAGATG
This sequence comes from Homo sapiens, assembly GCF_000001405.40. NCBI lineage: Eukaryota > Metazoa > Chordata > Mammalia > Primates > Hominidae > Homo > Homo sapiens. The sequence continues at coordinate 37,198,803 of NC_000018.10, read as the reverse complement.
GCCTTGCTTCCCACTTCAGAGAAAGCAGAGGTCATCAAACAGAAATTGCCGTTACACTATCAAATTTACAAGTCTTTCATTTTGGCACTCATCATTTCTTCCTTTTACATTGAAGGACATGATCCTTCTCTTAGATAAGGGCAACCACTTTCTTTGTGCTTCTTAGGAACCTTTTAGTAATGCATATCTGCTCTAGAACTTTCAATATTTTATTGCTTACTGGATAACCAAGAGCACTTAAGAAGTACTCTCCTTTCCATAACCAAACCATTTCTCAGTTGATTCCAATCTGGCTTCTACCTTCTACCACTCCAATAAAACTGAAATGATCAAACTCACCAATGACCTCCCTGCTGCTAAATCCAATAGATTTTTTATAGTCCTTATCTTACATAATGACACTGCAGCATACAATGTGGCTGCATCACTTCTTTATCTTATGAACTTTAAACTGTTTTGTTGAAGTAAAACATAGAGAAAAGTATATCTATTTAAAGTATGCAGCTTGGTGATTTTTAGTTTATTTAGAGTTGTGCAACTATCACCATAATCTAATTTTAGAACATTTTCATTGCCCCCAAAAAGACACGTTGTACCCATCAACAGTCACTCCTTACTCTCAAGCCCCTCTCAGCCCTAGACAGTTACTAAACTACTAACTGTCTCCACAGATTGGCCTGGACATTTCATATAAATAAAATCATATACTATATGGCCTTTTGTGACTGGCTTCTTTCACTCAAGGTTTATCCATGTTGTAGTATGTATCATTACTTCATTCCTTTTTGTTGCCAAATAATACCCCACAGTATGAACACACCACATTTTATTATCCATTCATCACATGATGGACATTAAGTTGTGTCCACCTTTTTTCTACTATGAATTGTGCTGTTATGAACATTCACATATAAGTTTCAGCATGGACATCTATTTTCATTTCTCTTGGGTAGACATCTTGGGGTGGGATTGCTGGGCTACATTGTAACTGTATGTTTAGCCTTTTAAGGAGCTTCCAGAGTGTTTTCCAAAGTGGCAGTACCACTTTACATTCTCATCAGTAGTGTATGAGGGACCTATAAATATCAGTATGTGGAAATGTTTTTCTTGGGGCCATTAAGCTTCTTTAGAAAAGAATCCTTCAGTATTCTGCAGAGAGGAAGATGTGGTCTAGTTCTGCAACAGGGAAGGAAGCTAACCTTTCAATTTATAGACTTTGAATTAATCTCATTTTCAGCCCTCTCATCTTCCAAAGTACACAACATTCCTGAGTCTTTTCTTCTCTGTTTCTCCAGAAAATTAATATTCTGCCTGGGACTAATATCCCATATATGGAATGGAAAATGGCCATAGTGGCAACAGGATTGGATTTTTTTATTCTTGCTTTAAATTTCCACTTCATACCATTTTTGCTTCTACCCCACACTTTCCATTGTTCATGTTGCTCCTAAGTAGAAGGAAATAAATAATAAGGTCCGAGCAGAAATAAATGAAATTGAGACAAAAAATTTTTAAAGATCAACAAAACAAAAAGTAGGTTTTTAAAAAAGATAAACAAAATCAACAAACTTTTAGCTAGATTAAGAAAAAAAGAGAAAAGACCTAAATAAATAAAAGCAGAGATGAAAAAAGAAACATTTTGCATCCCAGCAGGGCTCTGGGGGAAAAAACCAAACAGACAACTGACACCACAGAAATATAAAAGACCATTACAAACAATTATGAATGACTATAGGCCAATAAACTAGAAAACCTAGAAGAAATAGAGAGGTTCCTGGACACATACAACATGCCAAGATTAAACCATTTATAGAAAACCTGAACAGATCAATAATAATTAATGAGATTGAAGCCATATTTATATGGCTTTTTGTAAGTCTCCCATCAAAGAAAAGCCAAGAATCTGATGTATTCACTGCTGAATTCTACCAAACATTTAAAGAAGAACTAATATCAATTCTACTCAAACTATTTCAAAACATTGAAGATGAGAAAATATTTACAGTAATTCTGCAAGACCAGCATTACTCTGATACCAAAACCAGACAAAGACACAACAAAAAAAGAAGACTACAGGCCAATATCCCTGATAAACATAGAAGCAAAACTCCTTAACAAATACTAGCAAACAGAATTCATTAAAAATATCATTCACCATGATCAAGTGAAATTCATCCCAGGGGTGCAAGGATGGTTCAACATACTTGATTCAATAAATGTGATATATCACGTCAACAGAATCAAGGATAAGAACTGTATGATTATTTCAATAGATGCTGAAAAGGCATTCAATAAAATTCAACATTTCTTCATGGTAAAAACCCTCAACATATTAGGTGTCAAACATACCTCAAACTAATAAAGGGCATATATGACAAGCCCACAGCTAATATCACTAATATACTGAATGGGAAAAACTGAAAGCTTTTCCACTAAGATCTGGAACAAGACAAGAATGCTCACTTTCACCAGTTTTATTCAACATAGTATTGGAAGTCTTAGCCAGAGCAATTAGACAAGAGAAATAAAGGGCATCCAAATTGAAAAGGAAGAAATTAAATTCGCCTAGTTCACTGATGACATGTTCTTATATTTAGAAAAACCCAGAGACGTCACCAAAAACTCTTAGAATTGACAAACAAATTTAGTCAAGTTGCAGGATACAAATTCAACATTCAAAAATCAGTAGTGTTTCCATACTATAATAGCAATCAATCTGAAAAAGAAACTAAGAAAGAAATCCCATTTACAATAGCTACAAAAAAATAGGAATAAATTTAACCAAAAAAAGAAAGATCTCTATAAGGAAAACTATAAAATACTGATGAAAGAAATTGAAGAGAACATTAATAAATGGAAAGATATCCCATGCTCATGGATTGAAAGAATTAATATTGTTAAAATGTCTACACTACTAAATGTGATTTACAGATTCAATGCCATCCCTATCAAAGTATCAATGATGTTCCTCACAGAAATTTTTAAAAATCCCAAAATTCATATGGAACCACAGAAGATCCCAAATAGCTAAAGAAAGCCTGAGCAAAACAAAAAGCTGGAGGGATCACAACTAGCCAGTATCTAACTTTGAATCGTACTAAAAAGCTATAGTTACCAAAACAGCATGGTACTGGCATAAAAACAGACACATAGACTAATGGAACAGAATAGCAAACCAGAAATAAATCCACACACTTACAGCCACTCATTTTAGACAAGGGCATCAAGAATACATACTGGGGAAAGGACAGTCTCTTTAATAAATGGTGTTGGGAAAACTGGATATTCATGGGATCTCCATCTTTCACCATATACAAACATCAACTCAAAATAGATTAAATACTTAACTGTAAGACCTGAGACTTGAAACTATTAGAAGAAAACATTAAGGAGATGCTACAGGACATGGGTTTGGGTAAAAATTTTTTGGGCAAAACCTCAAAAGCATAAAGCAATAAAAGCAAAAATAGACAAATGTAATTATATAACACTAAAGAGCTTCTGCACAGCAAAGGAAACAACAAAGTGAAGGCTAGGAAGGGAAGAGGGTGGAGTAGGATGAAGAGAAGTTTATTAATTGATACAAAATTGCAGTTAGATAGAGGAATAAGTTCTAGTATTCAATAGCACAGTAGGGAAGTTATAGTTAACAGTAATATAGTTCAAACTAGCTAGAAGAAAAGAATTGGGAATTCTTTCCCACCACAAAGAAGAGATAAATGTTTGAGGTAATGGATATCCCAGTGACGCTGATTTGATCCTTATACATTGTATATATGTACCAAAATACCACATGTACCACCCAAATATGTACAACTATGATATATCAATAAAAAAGCAACCATAGGCTGGGCGCAGTGGCTCATGCTATAATCCCAGCACTTTGGGAGGCCAAGGTGTGTGGATCATGAGGTCAGGAGTTTGAGACCAGCCTGACCAACAGGGTGAAATCCCATCTCTACTAAAAATACAAAAATTAGCTGGGCGTGGTGGTGCACACCTGTCATCTCAGCTACTCAGGAGGCTGAGGCAGGAAAATCGCTTGAACCCGGGAGGTGGAGGTTGCAGTGAGCCGAGATCCCGCCACTGCACTCCAGCCTGGGCGACAGAGACTTTGTCTCAAAAAACAAAACAAAAACAAAACAAAACAAAGCAACCATAACAAACTATTATAGGAATAGATGCAGAGTGAAATAATTAAAGATAAATCTATAACCAGTTGAAAGACCAAAAAAATCATTTGTATGGGAGAATTTTCTGCCTGGAAAAAATGCTACACAACCTATGTTAAAAGACTAAAAACAAGCTTGGAAAAACATTTTGACATATTACAAAAAGGATTACTTTCTTCATATGTAACAAGCACCTATAAATAAAAAAGAAAAAGACTAATAACAGTGGAAAGTGGACAAAAAAATAGAATACTTTGCAGAAAATATAAATGACTGAAACATAAAAGTTTATTCTTTGCAATTGTAACTACAAGATACTATTTTCACTTTTCAGACTGGCAAAGTACCAAACTTTTTGATTACATTGTAAAAGGTGTCAGAAAATAGACACTTTCAAATATTGTAGATGATACATGAGTTGTACGGCCTCTATTAAAACAAACTGGTAACATCTATCAAAATTTAAAATGTACTTATCTATGACCCACAATTCCATTTCTAGGAATTTATCCTACAGATATCCTCACACATGTATAAATGATATATATAGGAATATTCATTGCAGCAGTGTTTGCAATCACAAAAGAGTGAAAATAACTCAAATATCCATTCTAGTCGACTGGTTAACTGCATTGTGGTACGTGCATATAATGGAACACTGTGCGGCAACTTAAAAGAATGAGGTACATGCATTCATCTATACAGCTAAGACTGTATATGCATAATTATCCCTGAAAGGACATGCGGGAAACTAGGAGTACCTATATCCAAGAAGGGTAGAAGGGTACTTGGTTGAGAGACTGAGATGTGAGGAAACCCACTTTTCAGAAAATATACCCTATGAATTTGTTCTTTTAAAATAAGGCAAAAATTTTCAAAACAATTCAGTTTTCTGTTTCTCACAAGTGAGTATTTAACCCAGCTGGACATGAAATACCTTAATAGGTTCCTTCCATAATCCGTGTAGCCTAGCATTTTGTCTAGGAGAACAATATGAAGAAATGATTTGAAAGGAAGCAGATCTTTGTGGAGATTCCTGGGCTAGGAATAAATAAATTAAAATGTCCATGAGTGGTTCAAGGATTAAATAGGTTGTTAATATTCATCTGAAATTCTGAAACTGTAAAAGTTTTTCCTGAGTCTCAAAGTTTTTTCTTAACCTTTTTGGTAGCAACATTTGACCTAACTCTAATTTACATGGTAACAAAATCTGACCCAAACTGATGAGACTATACTCTTTGTTTATTCCATTTAATATGAATAATCACACATTATGCTGTAACCCATATGGTTTATGTATATGCTACCTTTTAAAAATTGAATTCTGAAATATATTTCAAAATTAGACTAGAGACTAGAACTGATTGGCTCCAAGAGTTTTGGATGAGGGACTGTAGGCCTGTATCGTTTTTCACCCCGGCTGTTAGTCCCAAGTTAAGTCTTCATACATATTATCATTAATATAAATAACTTTCCAAAAGTTACTCTATCCTCTTCTTCAACAATGCCCACCAATCAAGGTTCATGGCATGCTTGCTCTTGGCTTTTTTGTTGTTCTTTGGGAGGTTTGGTGAAAGACTATCACTGTGCAACAATGAACTTGATCTCAGAGATTTTGATATGAAAAGCAAATTTGGGCAAATTTGATAATTTGTGCAAGTATAAAAATAAAATTATTTAAGAAGAATTTCTTTTCTTCCTTTATTTCTTTTCTTCCTGTGTGCAGACAAAGCTACAGATATATTTTTAAAAATTACCTCCTTTGATCCCCATGCCTGTACTTCCAAATACTGGGAAACTTAAGATATCTTAATCATTTTGTAGCATCTTAATCACTTTGTGAAATTATGATGTTAGATAATGGCCATTTAATATAAGATGTTCTATGGAATTGTAACTTCCTACTAATTGTTAATTAAAGCCTAATTAGTATGGCTGGAAGGCAGTATGATAAGTGAAACTTACAGATCCTAACCTTGATTGTACTGAGAGACAAGCACTGTTGGACAGCTTGGAGTCAGAGAATATTACTTGCTAGGCTCCAGCAGGAAAAGCCGTAAGCTGACTGCTGGAGAATATAGTGTAGAAACCAAAATCATGAGAAAGAAGTGCCTGCTTTGTAAATTCTATGAGGTCAAAATGATGCTAGTTACTCTGTTCATCAGTGTGCACTTTAGAGAGTTCAGGGTGCATATGGATATACATCCATTCCATTTTATGCTACACATTATTGAAAGCACATTCCATAACATAAATAATTCATCAGTGCAGTTTGAAGTTTAAGATTACAAAATAGAATGGTAGTGTTCTATTTTACAATTTTTTACACTTTCAAAGAGAAAGACAATATGGATAGATGGACTTTATAACCTTTAATACAAACCTATCACAGAGAACAACCCAGCAGACAAGAAACACCCTTGCCCCTCCACACACGCAACACACATACACACATACACACACACACACACACACACACACACACAATTTCTTGACTTATCTTTAGATGTAAGTAAAACTAGATGTTCAGGGCTGTTTCAGTGGGGACAGGATGAGCTGGAGGTTAAGGTGTTTTGCTCGGACTTAGTGCTACAGTTGAAGCTGGGAGACTAGAACTGATTTGTGAGCAAGCTGAAACCAGAGTTCTTTGGAAGAGACCTGAGATTCGTCCAGTTTAACACAGCAGATTATACCACTCTGCCCTCTGGTCACAAGGAAGCTGACAGAGGGTGCCAAAGGGCAAAATCATGAAAGAGACAATAGTGAATACACAAAGACCTCACTCCCCTTGTTGATAAGTATAGATGGCTCCCAGAAGAGCCATTATTTAAATAGATGGTCAGGATTGTGAACTCAAGAACTGTTTCCCTAATTCTTGATACACCTGTACGTTTGGGTTAATACAGTTAATGATTCCACTTAGTACATCAGATGAAAATTAGAGATGGGGGAACATGCAGCCTTTTGGGATAGATAAGATCAACCATATATGGGTCAATCATATACAGTGTGTTTCCTGGAAAAGGCAGACACCCAACTTCCCTGTTCAATGAAAAATGGAAGACTGTGAGTGAAGCAGCTGATATACTATGAATGCAAGCCATGATGGATTGGCTTTACAGTAACCAGGATGTTCTCCCAAGGAATATACCTCTGACTCAAATATGATAGAAGATGTGACTAGACTGTACCTAAAGTTACTCCCAGGATACTTTAAGGCTAGGAGAGAATAAGAATTAGTGCAGGCACATGTAAAAGAAGACTCTAAAGTGCTACTTGCTTGCCACTTTGAGAACAGTAGTATTTCAGTGAATGGATATGGTAAACACAATGTAACGTATGTAATGAAGTCTTTAAATGCACATGTATAAAAGAAGTTAAATTTAAAAAAAGAAGAAATAGTGCAAGAAACTAGACCTGATTTATTGTCCCTATTTCCTTTCATAGGCTTTACTGATGCTAAGAAAATTAGAATGATTCCGCAGACAGGGAGGAAGGGAATGGGAGTCAACAGAGAAACCAAGTGTAGCCACATAGGTAGAGATATATTGATTGTTGTTAAACAAGAAATGAATAAAGCAGGAATGGATGGGAAAGAAACCAGAGTTTTAATGGACCATTACCAAGATTGGGGACCAACTAGGGTTTCTCCCAAGTGCTCTAGCAGTAAAAAGACCCAGACAGACTCACTATCTATCCCACTTTGAAAGAATTTAGAAACTTTCATAACAAGGAAAAGCCCAATGAATTTGTTATTGAAACACAAGAGGTGTCACTAGGAAGGAGTGAATTTGATGAAGATCGATGGGGAGGCCAGGGTCTCCTGGTTCATTATAGTTGACACTGGGCCAGCATAGTAATTAAACCTCACATCCCTTGTTTGGGTCAAAATCAATGATAAATTGAAGGAAAGAGATAAAGAATGAATAAATGGGGTATGCTGAGATAAAAATCCAACATTATTTTGGTGTCTCACAAGAGGCTCAGAGAAAGAATAATAACTTTCTCTCTTTCTTAGCTCAAACTCTGGATCCCAGAAGGGTGAAGAAATGTGGTTTGCCAAAGCTGTCCGTGCTTCTGGAAACTGACAAAGTAGAACGACAACCAGAAAACTCGCGCAGCATCCTCCAGGAAATGCCTTTGTTCTGCATTACTCCTAACCAGAAAGATTCCATTTAACCATTTCTTCCTCTACAAAGAAATTCATTCTAATTGCTTGATTTAACTTTAATATATATTTTTCTCACCTCGAAAATACAGGTAGGAGTCATTTTTAGAATATAGCACATATTTTATAGCAGTGATTTTTAATATAGACTAAATTTCTGTATAGATCCAATTGGAAATATATTCATATTTTGTAGCATTCCTAGAGTAAGTTATGAGAGAAACATGTACATTCTCATTCCAACAATTCAACCCTGGGGGACCAACTACGGTTTCTCCCAAGTGCTCTGGCAGTAAAAAGACCCAGACAGATCCAGCTAAAAGGCCAATCCAGGCAATTTTATTTAGCATACTGATTTCCCACCTACCTCTTTCTTATTTATTCATAGAATGGCGAACATAAGGAAGAGTTTTTGCTTTTTTAGTTTCCAGATATTTCACAACTTAGGAAAACTTTATCTAAAGAAAGAGAAGTGCATAAAAAGTGAAAGAAAAAATAACTGGAAGGAAATATACTAAATACTAAATTATTAACAGTGGTATATACAGTGGATACAGTATATACAGTGGGTAGAGTAGGATTATAGGTAACTTAAATGTTACTTTAAAAAAATCTATAGTACCACTGCAATTGTCCCAAAGAAATATAAGTGCTTAAGTGATTGCTAACAAATCACTGGTATCAGTTTCCTTAAAAACTCATTAGCAAACAGATTCTTGAATAAACCCTCCCTAACCCATATAAATAGCCCTCTAAAGAGAGATTATAGTTGGTTTTATGAGGTGAATGCTGGGTGCCCATGCCTTAGCTAATTAATCTTATTCAGCACTTTAAACCTGACTTGGGGACCATGGGCTGAAGTTGGTGGCAATAAAGTAAACTTGAAATAGTTTGTAATAGGCCATACAGTATTTCATAATTTTTGCAAAGGCTACATGAATATATTTCTTAGAAATTAATGTTAAATAGCTTATGGTATTAAGTTATAATTTGAATTCTATACTATCTTCATCTTAAACCTCTGATATGAAAAATTCTGAATACAGGCATTTGATTTCATTTTTAAAATAATTTATTTTAACCAAATATCCAATGTAAATAATAAGGTCTGACTTTTTTTCCCACCATGTTTGCTATTAACCTTTTCTAGACTTGTCCTTATACTGATAGCTTTCCCTACTACATTTGCTTCTCTCTTTCAAATAAATAGTTGTGTGAAGGAGAGATTGCTTTTTATACCTAAATACTTGAGGATATCTTGTGTTACAATCAAGAAATCTATGATAATCTGTGCTAATGAAACAGTCCTAGTAACCAGGGTTAACAGAGAAATGTTTTCTTCTTTTGAGCCTTCGGACTATCCTCACCCATATGGAAAGCCATATTAGCTGAAAAGAATTCGTTTTTTTTCCTCCTTTAATAGCAGCTTTTGCCAACAGATTTTTACTCAACTCTAGAGATCTCAATGGATCAAATTTACTTTCTTTCAATCTGAAATGAATGTGATACAGGGATTTACTCTTCATGCAACAACAGGAGCAGAGAGAGCATAAAAGAATGTGAAGTCTGCAAGGCGTGAAATTAAAATTTTCACATTGATACAAAAGATACTGCTGAAGTAATGATATAATGTTATAATCCTGCTATGAAATCTTCCAGTTTGAATAAAAGTCAATGCCATGTGACCTAACATTGATACAGCAGTAGAAACATTTTGCTGTTCACAAAAATATTTCTATCCAAAGGAAAAAGACAAAAGAATTAGGGAAACCTGTGGTGAGGACTGTGGTGAGGCATAAACTTACTGAAGGAGACAGTTCTGGAAAAGCAATGAAGCTCTAGCAGCGCTGAAGCAGGAACAAAGGGAAACTGTAATCCTGGCTGAGGAGGCCCCTCTAGGAGCATCACAGCAATTCCCAGCAACTCCTAACTCTCCCATTGGCCACAGAGGTTCCACTGTTCTAGTGGTTTCAGGCCAGTTCCAGTCTTTGTTCTGCCACTAATTATCTTGTTCATTTGTATATCGGTGGTTTGTATTACCATTATGATCCACTCCTGAGATGATGCATCACTTCAGCTTTTACTAGAATCTGGTTCTTCCCCCACTATTCTATTTCACCCAGAAGACAGGAGCTGGCTGTGGGGTATTATCAACTGGTCTAGAGAGAAGTTTTATTTTAGAGGCAGCACATTTCTCAGTCATGAGCCAGACTGTGAAGACAGCAGGCACAGGCTGGATGGAATGAAGGGATGCTGACTAAGGACTCCCCTCTGAGCTATCTGGCATAGCACTTATGCCTATCTGTGCCAAGACAGCATCACTTCATTAATGGAGAACACTTAAATGCATTCGAGTGAAAGTCCATACTTTCATTTGAAGCTCAACGCCAATTGCTCTTGAGCTTCAAAACCAACTGGGCATCTTTCTTTCATGGGTAATCTATCTTACTTTCATTAGGATTTGTATACCAAGGAGCTCATTTATATTCTATAAACACCATTTGTGGTGAGTCCATTCAGTATCTGGTAGGTCATGTGTCCCAGGCAGATGTTTCCAGACTTCATTAGGTTACACCAGGCACTAAGTACATGACTGTGGTGACTTCTGTAAGGTAGACATCTTCCAGGACATTGGAAAGAGACAGCCCTCGGTAAGAAACAAGTTGAACATCCCTTTCCTAGGCAGGGATTGGCTTCCATCTTGGCTCTTAAAAATGCTTCATCAGGGTTGCTCAGAGCCCAAGTGGGGGGAAAAAACCCTGAGGTACAATTCCTAGTATCCTTTTATTTATTCAAAGTAAAACATTAAAAAAAATCCTCCTAGCTAAGGAAGGCTTTTATCTTATCTTCTTTATTATATATTACTATTTAATATGAGCATTAATCCAGGATATCTTTCAACTGTCAAAATGTAGAAAGGATGGGTTATTCATGTATGTTAAGAAACACAACTGTACACAAGGCTTGTACAAGACATGCAACTGTATACAATTTTGTCTGCTTTCTATCTTGCTATGCAGATATTTGGCTTGAAATTTTCTTTTTCACTCTAATTATTGGCTCTGGGTTTCAAGTAGCCCATGTGGTGAGAAGAGCTTGATGCAGGGTCCCTATTCTAATACAAATCCCAACGCACCTCAGAATCTCCCAGCTTTCCCATCGGAAGAAACAGCCTCTCACGTACAACATTAATCACTCTTCCCTTGTCTGCTAAGAGGCTTATGTTCCAGCCAAGTTGATCATTTATTAGGATTTGGGGGTGGGTTCCAAGCAACACGATAATAAACTTTTTTTTTTTTTGAGATGGAGTCTCACTCTGTCACCCAGGCTGGAGTATAGTGGTATGATCTCAGCTCACTGTAACCTCTGCTTCCCAGGCTCAAGCGATTCTCCTGCCTCAGCCTCCTGAGTAGCTAAAACTACAGGTGCCCACCACCATACCCGGCTAATTTAGTAGAGATGGGGTTTTGCCATGTTGGCCAGAGTGGTCTCAAATTCCTGGCCTCAGGTGATCCGCCAACCTTGGCCTCCCAAAGTGCTGGGATTACAGGTGTCAGCCACCATGCCTGGCCAATGATAGGCTTTTAATCTCAGTAATAGTCATACTTTTTTCAGTATGCACCCATGACAACAAGAAAATCAATGAAAGCCTTAATAAGCAAATAGGAAATGTGTTGGCCAATTGCTGTTGAGCTTCAAAACCAACTTGGAATCTTTCTTTCATGGTAAGTCATTCTTTCTTTCGTTAGGATTTGTACACCAAAAAGTTAATTTATATCCTCTAAAAAGGCATAGTAAAGATGATTTGGTGAGAACATAGATCCAGAAATCTTAAGCCTAATGAAAATAACAATGTTCATGCATTTCCCTTCATGGTTTTTTTTTTTTTTTTTTTTTTTGATAGGGTTTCACTCTGTCACCCAGGCTGGAGTGCAGTGGTGTGATCATGGCTCACTGCAGCCTCTAACTCCTGGGCTCAAGTGATCTTCCCACCTCAGCCTCCCGAGTAGCTGGGGCTACAGGCGCACACTACCATGCCTGGCTAATTTTTTAAATTTTTAGTAGCAACAAGGTCTCACTATGTTGCCCAGGCTGGTCTCAAACTCCTGAGCTCAAGTGATCCACCCTCCTTGGCCTCCCAAAGTGTTGGGAGCGTGAGCCACTGCACTCAGCCTCCTTTTATGCTTACAAAGACAAAAATTAGCTGGGCATAGTGGCGCAAGTCTGTAATCCCAGCTACTCGGGAGGCTGAGGCAGGAGAATCCCTTGTACCTGGGAGGTGGAGGTTTCAGTGAGATTATGCCACTGCACTCCAGCCTGGGGGACACAGGGAGTACCTGCCTCACAAAAAAAAAAAAAAAAAAAAAAAGACATCCTTGAAGCCCAAATTGAGGTCATCAGTCACACTGAAAAATGTAACTGTATATCAATGTCAGCTACATGCTTTGCCTTGGGGAAAGAATGTTCAGAATTGTGCCTAATAGTATCAAGAATGCCACTAAACAAATAACTTTCAAATATAACTGTTTAACGATAATTTTTATGGTTAAACTCATAAACGGTTACAGACAATATAAAATGCTAAAATGAATTTCCGCACAAGAAATAAAGAAAAAGTAAGCTGAAGGAGAAAAACAGACAGTCTTTTTTTTTGGGGGGGAGGGCATACCCCATTAAGATGAAAATGTTAAATATATTAAAAGTGGTATGTGTGTGTGTGTACGTGTGTGTGTGTGTGTGTGTATATATCAGTAGGTATATACGTATATATATATTTAAATATATCAACAGTGTATACAAAAATGTCCAGCTGAGCTGAAGATACATTAGCCAATTACCATTAACTACTTTATTCTATGTCTTCTCCATTATAAGTAGTCTTGCTGATAGTCTTTGATTTACACAGTGGCATTCTTGGATACTATTAGGCACAGTTCTGAATATTCTTTCCCCAAGGCAAAGCATGTAGCCTACATTAATACACAGTCATGTTTTTCTATGTGACTGAAACCTCAATTTGAACTTCAAGGGTATTATCTTTTTTTCTATGTCTTTTGGTTGGTGTCCTCCCTATAATATAGTAAGATTTGATGTTTTCCAGACATGATTTTGTTTAAAATTTAAAAAGTAAACCTTCAGTATGTTCACAGAGCATAATCTCAAGACCTGTAAACTGTACCGGGTCCCTTGTCAACGGGGTGGTGCTTCCTACGGAATTGCTCTGTGCCATGCTGTGAATGACATGGTGTCTCTAAACTACTGACCAGCACAAAACCCAAACTTCTTTTTTTTTTTTTTGAGATGGAGTCTCACTCTGTCGCCCAGGCTGGAGTGCAGTGGCGCGATCTCAGCTCACTGCAAGCTCTGCCTCCCAGGTTCACGCCATTCTCCTGCCTCAGCCTCCCAAGTAGCTGAGACTACAGGTACCCGCCACCACGCCCAGCTAATTTTTTTTTGTATTTTTAGTAGAGATGAGGTTTCACCGTGTTAGCCAGGATGGTCTTGATCTCCTGACCTCGTGATCCGCCCGTCTCAGCCTCCCAAAGTGCTGGGATTACAGGCATGAGCCACCACGCCTGGCCAACCCAAACATTTTTAATGGGAAGTTTAAACCATGTTATTCTGAAATCAATCATTTAATTATTTTTAGAAATGTTCATTTCTTCATACTTTATTCTCCAAATGTGTAAATTACTCTGAAATCAAGAGACAGATGTACCAGTTTTTGTGTTGATTTTTACCTCTAAACAAAGGGTAAGGTTCAGACAGATAGGACAGAAGCCTGGAAAACTTAGGTTCCATGTGAAGGGACTTTTTCAAAGTTTTGCTGCTAGCGAGCTGTGGAGGCAGGATAAATCCAGATCTTCGGCCTTTAACTCTAATGCCCTTTCCTCTAAGCTCTGCTCACTGTCAACATGCAATGATTTTAACTTGAGAAAACCCAAACAATAAACTAGCTGCAGACCAAAGCAGAGGTTTAGGAAAAGGTCTGTGATAGGGCTGAACATAAGATAATGGAATGGCTAAGCAAAGCATATCTGATATCCTCATTGATACCGACATTGTCTATGCAATTAACTCCCAGTGCAAACAACATGTTGACACTGCTCACACTCGGGAATCTGCTATTATCTTGTCTGGAAATACCCTGAAAGCCAAGATGTTTTCTAATCCTTACAAAATGGAAAAACCTTAAAATAGGAGAAAATACAAGGAAGTTCTGGGATATAAAAGAAGTACAACTAGATGTATAAGCTGGGCAGAAGCAATGGATTTTTTGGAGATGTGGTGAAGACATAAAGCAAAATAGATGTCTACTGGAATGTCATGAACTGGTAAGTTAAAAAGAAATATTCACTTTGTTTATGACCATTCACTAATTCATTCACCCAACAAATATTTATTTAATGTCTATTATGAGCCAGGCTCTGCTCTAGTGCAGGAATGAAAAGAACAGAAAATAATAGAAAAAGTACTCATGCTCATAACGTCCACATCCTTTGTGGGGCAGGAGAGGAAGGGGGAGAGACAAACAATAAATAAAACACACTAGTAAATTACATGGCATATTAGAAGGTGATTAAGTACTATGGGGAAAGATGAAGCACAGATGAGAAAGAGAGGTAGAAAGTATCAGGAATGTTTCCTTAGGAAATTTTCTCTTAAAACTTGCTGAGAGTTCCCTCACAGAAGATGGGTCCATACAAGCTTTTCATAGAGAAGACTGACACCAACAATATGTCTTAGTAATTAATCCCCAATTTCAACAGTTTAAATTGATAAGTCAAGTTCTTTAAGGGCTTCTTAGTTTTTTCACTGCAGGCTTATTGATATACTTTGATAATCCCTTGGGAGGAGGATAATGATGACTAATAAAAATTGCTAATGGAAAGAAGAGGCCCTGGGCTTGGGTAGGGGACAGAAAAAAGAAAGGCAGAATGTTGGTGTGCTGGGGTTAAGAAGTAAGGAGATGTGCAGCTCCAGAGCAGGGGCTTCCAAATATGTGTCTTTAGACAAAGTGCATCAGAGTCTTTTTGAAAAATCAAAAATACACATCACTGGGGCCCATCATGGGCAATTGTGATTCAATGAATCTAGGATGAAGCCTAGAAATAAGTATTTTTTAAAGATTCCTAAGTGATTCCAATATGCAAGCAGATTTTAGAACCACTGCTCTGAAGGGAATTAAATCCTTTCAGAATCTTATGAAATGGCTAATTATGAGGACAAAATCAATTATCAGTAACTTTGGTCAGTCCTTGAGTGACCCTAGAAACAGATATCCCAAAAAAAACACACACAATATCTTAACCCTATCATCTAGACAAGAATCTTACTTCCTAACCTCCTCTATTTAGAAGAAAAACAAATGGAGGGGAAGTCTCAAAACATTGGAAAATTTGCCAACATTGCATAAGGAAAATCCTTTGAATGCAGGGTCATTCATAAACATGTGGCTTGCTTCTAAGCCACATTTTGGCAGAGGCACTGTCACTCAGGGCATTTGGCAGAGGGGCCAGTATCATATCACATGTATTGTTTTAGATGCCCAAAGAAGTCTTGTTTCCCAGAGCACAGAAGAAAGCTAACACTGAGTGCCCAACATGGACAAGCATCAAGTTAAAGGCTTTGCATACATAGTTGAATTTAATCCTATGAGCAAATTTATAAAATAGCTATTAATATTCATATTTTCACATAAGGAATTGGGCAAATGGAGGTAAAGTAACAGGCATATTTGCAAGGTCAATATAAAAAATATAATCAAACTGCCCACCTCTGAGATGAACCTAACCCTATTCCTAACTCTTTGTTAGGGGATACACTTATAGTTTGGAATCACAAGAGCAAGGTCCAAATCCTAGCTTGTTCCTGATTGCTTGAGTGACCCTGGGAAGTTCTATAATGACAACTACTATTTATGGAGCACTTAGCCATGCACCAGGCCTGTGCTACGTACTTTACATAAACTATCCTACTTAATCATCATGACATACCTATGAGGGAGATATTATTACTCCCATTTTATAGATTAAATTAAATGATTTGTTCAAAGCCACATAGCTAGCATTCAAACCTAGGCCTATAAACCACAGAGTTATAATTATTACACCTGGGCTCTTAATTGTTCTGTAATTGTCTCTTGGAGCTTTACTTTCTTATGGTTGTAAGGATTACATTAGGTAACATATAAAGTAATTTTTATAAAAGCATTAAAGTGCCTAAGGAAGAGACATTAAAAATATTTCTTAAAGTTGAAGTTAAGGGAATTTGATAACCTTGGACCAAATGAACAACTCTAAAATGGCAGTTCATGAGGCTAAAAGCTGTGAAATGACAGCAGGAACTGGCAATACTGAACAGATGTCACCATTCATAGCAGTTTTCAGAGTTCAGTACCCTGGAGAAGACACAACAAGGAAGGATAATCCTCATCTATTGCTGGGTTGACAAAGGAAATAAGATATTTATGTCATATGGGCCAAGAGTAACTTTAGGGTTTTTGCAACTACTTGGAACTACTGAGTGTAAAATTTTGAAATGGGTTTGTCCCCTATAAATGTGTTCCCTTTGTCTTCTTTTTAAACATTGTTTCTAAAATTATGGAATATAACATTGTTGTAGAACATTTGAAAAATCATGTGAAAAGTAAAACAGCTCTTACAACCTCCTCACCCAGAACTTAGGTCTTTAGAAAGATTTCCTGAAGCCAAGGAGTAGAATTCTATCTCAGTGAGTAGTAAATATAAGCTGTTGTAATGTACATTTTCCCAAGTACAATATATTCTTTCTATAGTAAGAATGTCTTGACAAGCTTCTTCAAGCTGAATTCACTTCTTGGAATTTGCTACATCGTTATTATTTCTGCCTAGCCTATTTGTCTTTATTTTCCTAACTTACACACTATAAACCAGTGTGTATAAGAGGAATGGATTCTTATATTAATGGCTTTTAACAGTGGGAATTACAGTATTAGCCCAACATCATGACTTAACTAAAAGCAGTATCTTTTCATCAAACACCTAAGAATTTCCATGCATTCTATTGTTCTTGGTGGTACTGCAGTGGCCTGGAATTCCAAGTTATCAACCCAACTAAATGAAAATCCTTTTGAATGGCTGGGCTTTTTACCCTCTTGGTTAAACATGGGAGACAGGCATGTTTATAGCTTCATATTTTCTTTTACATGCTCAATACATTATTTTCTGAAGTTTCCAGATTAGTCCGTTTTACTATAATCAATTTATGTGCATCATTTCATTTGGTTTTAATTTTATTATTTACAAGATACTCAAAATGGAAAAGTTATGGTTAATGTTACTTTGTGTATAGTGAATAAACTGTTACTCTGAGGGCAAGGAAAGCTAAAATTACAGTTCTCAGCCTTACAGCTCATACTTTAAAAAGTGATTTTGGAAAAATGGGAATAAATTCTATCTGATATTTTGAAGCTGAGCTTTAACAGTCATTAAAAATCTTGACAATAATATGTAATTTGTATGAACATATATTATAAATGGATATATCTGTATATGCCCAATGTAATACCTGATACATAACTGGCATTTAACGAATAATAGCCACCATCATCACATAGGGTCATCACTCATATGCTCTATTATATACACGCAGCAAGGTTTGCTATTCAAACCTACTATGAAAACCCCAGCAGAGGTTTGTGATCTTAGTTTATCTTATTCCTCTCTCCTGCTAGGAGGATAATACATGATCATTTCCTCTGCTAGGAACATCAGAAAACCTGGTTGAGTGTTTAAAATATTTAGGTAAATGTATATGTGAGAAGATAGTCTCATTAAAAAAAAAACGGTTTTGTTACTGTTAGGATTCTGGACACAAATGCAAGCAAATATTGCAATCTGACTGCTATGCATAATTGAACTACAACACCTCCACTTCTCTGTGTAACTAAGTTTCTTTCTATCAAGTTATAAAAACAAAACAAATTCCAATGTTAAAGTAAGTTTGTCTGATTCCTACCCAAAACCAGAATTTTATCAGCTCAGTGCTTACACGTCAGAATCAAATCCAAGTTTCAGCCAGAATGGAAGAATGAAAAAACTTTGAAAGTTGCGATTAGAAAAGCTCGATTCATGTCTTCTTTTCTGCTTCCTACTATGTGACCTTGGTCAGTTACTCAGTCTCCTTTAGTTCTTATTTCCTCATTGTCAAATCGGATAATACTACTACTTACCTCACCTTACCTCACAGGATTGTGATGCAATTTAAATGAAATAACGTACCTAAAATCATTCTGCCAATGCTAAAGTACTATGCTAAGAATTGTGAACAGGCAATTATAAATTTCAGTATTATATTTTTGTTCCCAGTATAAAAATGTGTGTGTGTGTGTGTGTGTGTGTGTGTGTGTGTGTGTGTGTGTGTGGCTTTTGAATCCCATGGCAGCTGTCAATCCAGAATTCTGTAGCTGAGATAAAATAGATCACTGTTACAATCAAGCAGATCATATTTATGTGACTTTCCCTTCTCTTCAATTTGAATGGTTACTGGCAGTGTGATATGGGAAACGAAATAGTGTCTGACCTGCTCAATGGGCTAAAGCCTTGGTTTATAACCCACAGAGAATCAAGAGTAACATCCTCTTTGTGGCCCAGCAAAGGAAAAAAACACCATCAGTTGTTCTGGTACTTTAAAGGCTGTGCCATCATATCTGGAGCTGGAAGCAATTGGATTTTCATGTTAAGTTACTTAAGATAACAATAAAGATAAATAAATAATGTATTCACAACAGAGAGAAGATTCCTTCCAGACTGGGATTGGTAGAGTATGGTCCCAGGTTTCAGATACTTCTGAGCCTAGTTCCTGGCTCTCAGTCTCAGTGGGCCAAAGATCACACAAGCCACCTTCTAGTCAGCTGTGTTTAAACAGCTGCCTTGTGAGCATGGCTGTGCACAGGCAACTGTACTATAGAAAGCTCAGCAAGGCATGAGCTTACAGCAAAATTTTCAGAACACATTAAACATATGGTTGACAGCAAAGCAAGGTTTTAAAAAAACTCAAACTAAACTATTAACACAATAACATGGAAATAAATCTATGTACTTACAGCCAACTGATATTTGACAAAGGTGTGAAGAACATACAATGGAAAAAGGACAGTCTTTTCAATGCTGGGAAAACTGGATATCCACATGCAGACATGCAGAGAGTGAAACTAGACTCCCTATCTCTCATCAGATACAAAAATCAAATCAAAATGGATTAAAGGCTTAAATGTAAGTCCTGAAACTATGGAACTACTGGAAGCAAACAAAGAGGAAAAGCTCCATGACATTGGTCAGGAAAATGCTTTCCTGGATATAGCCTCAAAAGCACAGGCAACAAAAGCAAAAATAGACAAATGGGATTACATCAAAGCTTCTGCACAGCAAAGGACACAATTAACAGAGTGATGAGACAACCTGCAGAATGGGAGAAAACACTTGCAAACTATCCATCTGATAAGAAGTTACTATGCAAAATATATAAGGAACTCAAACAACTCAATAGCAAGAAAATAAAGTGACTAAAAAAATAGGTTAAAGACCTGAATAGACATTTCTCAAAGGAAAACATTAAAATGGCTAACGGGTACATGAAAAAATTCTCAAAATCAATAATCATCAGGAAAATACAAATCAAAACCACAATGAAATATCACTTTGCTCCTGTCAGAATGGCTGTTACCAAACGGACAAGACAAGTGTTGGCAATGATTGGAGAAAGAAAACTCTCATATACTATTGGGTCGGAATGTAAATTAGTACAGCCATTATGAAAAATAGTATGGATGCTCCTCAAAAAATTACAAAAAGAACTACCATATGATCCAACAATCCCACTGCTGGGTATGTATCCAAAGGAAATGAAACCGGTATGTCAAAGAGATATCTACACTTCATGTTTACTGAAGCACTCATAATAGCCAAGATATGGAATCAACCTAAGTGTCCATAAATGGATGAATGGATAATGAAAATGTGGTATATATACACAGTGAATACTATTCAGCCATAAATAAGAATGAAATCCTGTCATTTGTGGCAACATAGATGAACCTGAAGCATATTATGTCAAGTGAAATAAGCCGGGCACAAAAAACAAATACTGAACTGGTTGACTTGGCCTCAATTGCTTTCCAACAAGCAATCTCACTTGTATGTGGGATCTAGAAACGTTGATCTCATAGAAGCAGTGAGTATGATAGTGATACTAGAGGCTAGGAAGAGTGGGAGGTGGGGACATGGGGAGAGAGGGGTCATTGGGTACAAAGTTACAGTTAGATAGGAGGAATAAGTTCTGATGTTCTATTGTGCAGTAGGGTGACTATGGCTAACAATATTGCATTTTATTAGGTTGGTGCAAAAGTAATTGCAGTTTTTGCCATTATTTTTAATAGAAAAAAAACCACAATTACTTTTGCACTAACCTAATGTATTTCAAAATAACTAGAAGAGAGGATTTTGAATGTTCTCACCATAAAGAAATGATAAATGTATGAGGCGATGGATGTGCTAGATTCTCTGATTTGATCATTACACAATATATACATGTATTGGAACACCACAATGTACCTCATAAATATGTGTAATTATGATGTGTCAATTAATAAAAATAAACTATTTTTTAAAAGCCCCCAAATAATTTATCAAGTCCCTCAAAGTATGTACTCAAGTATTTCCCAAATCCTGTCAAGAAAAAAGAAGCTTCACAAAATCAACACCTCTCCCCACCAGTAACTCAAAAAGAAACAAAACAAAATAAAACAAAACAAAAACCTTTAACGCTTTTGTGTTGTCATTAAAAACTCATCTTTCTTTAAAAAAAAAAGCTAAAAAAGTGAACAGTACATCCTAGAAACAGGCTAATTCCAGTTCCAGTTCTGAAAATTCACTAGTTGGGCGTGATTTGGTGAAATCTCCCTTTCTTTCTTCACATCTTACACACAGACACACAAAGGCACAGGGAGAGCACCAGCTGTAACTGTTTGTAGAAGTCATAGAAGAACAGAAAGAAGTGACCTTAGTAACCTTTTACTTCAGGGACTGAGAATCTAATCCTGCTACTGTAGGCCTGGTGTGCCTCTGCTTATCAGGGTCCAACAATCACTGTGTCACCATATGACTGAAAAATACAAACTCCACCAATATTTTTAAAGGTGACAAGATTTCTGTTGCATTGAGCAATCTCAGAAGATACTATCTTCATTTTAATATAAAATGTATCAGATCTACACATCTGAATAGAAAAAGACACCAACATATCAAGGATATACAGCTGTAATAGGCCTTCTTTCCCAGTCAAATTTGAAATAAAAGACCTGAAGATCCAAGGCTACATTAATGCAAATTCTGCCTGTTGCAAGTATACTTTTTGATTAAATTGGCATACATCAAGTACAATTAGAAAGGCTATTTATAACGAAGAAATACATAATTCTGCATCTTAATGTAGATGACAATTACAGCTGATGGTTGCTAATTATCATTACTTCTTTTGCTTTGAGTGTTATATATTTCCTGTATGATCTTTATTGTTGACAATGGACACACCTAATTCTAGAAGGCACAAAATGGTTAATTATCAGTTATATCTGTGCTCATAACACATTCATTTGAGAAGCAAATGGTAACTTGCCCAGCTCTGGCTTCACACTGGAGACTAAAGGATCAAGTAGACTTGGTAAACTCTGACTCATTCATTTGGTAGGAAAGGTATTTATTTAAGTTTCTTTTAGAGCCAAGGCTCACCTACCCTGAGGTGTTCAGAATGACAGGGAGAAAGCCCCTCAACTCCTCTTTCCAGGTGGAGTGGTCTGTGGGGCATTGCTTGTTCCATTCAAGCAGAAATGAATGGTACATTTAATTCAGCTTCACCACCCTCTTGTGCCAAGATGACCACTGTGCTTATTCTCTTACGCAGCTTAGGGGTGTGTGATCAGTGTGGAGAGCCAGAAGTGAAATGGAGAGAAAGAAACACTGCAGCTTTCAGCACAGAAAACTATAATGCCCCCTTTGCTTATGCTGTAAATTACATATTTATTTTGTTAGCATGAGATAGATGAATATTTCTACATACAAAGGTGCCCAGCTAAAATCAGGATAAGTGATATTGATGTCTTATGGTCAGTATTATTGAACCTTAAAAGCAATAAACTTTATGAGTTAATAAATATTATATTTGCAACATAGTTAACATTCCTTTACTGTCTCTAGCACTTATTACACATTGTAACTGCAAGTCTACAATACATTATTCATATTTGGGGTGTCACCAAGTGATGGATTGCTGTAGGAGAGGTTGTCCTTTAAATAAATCAACAAATAAAAATGCAAATGTTAACATTTTCAGCCACAACTTTTTCCATCTTGAATGGGGAATGAAAATTTTACATAATATTGACAGCCAGCAGTGAGAACAATTAACAACCAACACTGTGAATGAGAAAGATGACTCTGCCACACCTGTTTTTTTCACCTGCACATGGAATGAAATGGAACTCTTCTAGGTATTTTCAGAGAACAAAGGAAAACCTGTCTCCCACTGGCATCTGTCTCACCCCCATCCTTGTTTGCAGGTCTTGAAAATTCTTGGAATTTAAGGTGGACAGGGGAAGAGCTTTTACTCTTGTTCCCTTTGGTACTTTCAAAGGTTTGTTGAGATAAAGAACAATAGGCTCTTCTCTTACATTAAGAGTTTGCATGTGACTGATATGTAGTCTATTTAAAAAAATGTCTTTTCTACACTTTGAAATAAAAACAGTACAAATAATCCTGATTCTGAAATCTGGAAAGCCACCACTATGCCTTCTTGGTAACTGATTTTCATAGTACTCTGATTTTTTTTTTTTAACTCTGCAATTCGTGTAAGAGACCTGTATGATGTCATCATGCATTTCTAAAGATAAAATATGGTGTGCTACATGTTGTTTTATTAAGCCAAATGCTCGTTACATAGGAAGCTTCTGAGAATCTATATTTAGCTGATCTGCAGTATTAAGGACAAATAGATAATCCTTTTTTAAAGTCTGTAAATATGACTCTTCACAGCAGTTTTAACCTGGGCTTGTAAAACTCTACAATGTTGATATGATCCATTCCAAAAATGTGTGCTGAGGATGTTTTATAAAACTCTTACTGGGGCAACATTTTATTCCATTTTTTCATACTTCCCTCTAAACTGAAATGCAACCATCAAAAACAATATATTAAAGTGGTGTTAAAGATCTCATTTTAATCTTTAACAATAGGAAAATTCACTAAGATTGAAAATCCAGATAATCTTCCTTCTTTACCTCTAATTCCTCCAAATGAATCCCTCAAGGTGAGCTAGGATGGAAACCCTCTGAGCACAAGCTTTCAGCCACAACGTTAAGTGATCCAAAGAGGAAGCTCCATCAACATTTCAGAAACACAACTTATTGTGGATCTTTGGAAGAATGCCAACAACAGTAGCATTAAAAATAAAAGAAAGCGGCTGGGCATGGTGGCTCACACCTGTAATCCCAGCACTTTGGGAGGCCAAGGCGGGCGGATCATGAGGGCAAGAGATCGAGACCATCCTGGCAAACATGGTAAAAGCCTGTCCCTATTAAAAATACCAAAAAAACAGATCACAAGGTCAGGAGATCAAGACCATCCTGGCTAACACAGTGAAACCCCGTCTCTACTAAAAATACAAAAAATTAGCCAAGCGTGGTGGTGTGCACCTGCAGTCCCAGCTACTCAGGAGGCTGAGGCAGGAGAATGGCGTGAACCTGGGAGGTGGAGCTTGTAGTGAGCCAAGATTGCGCCACTGCACTTCAGCCTGGGTGACAGAGCGAGACTCTGTCTCAAAAAATAAAATAAAATAAAATAAAATAAAAATAAAAATAAAAATAAAAATCCAAAAAAAAATTAGCCGGGTGTGGTGGTGGGCGCCTGTAGTCCCAGCTACTTGGGAGGCTGAGGCAGAAGAATTGCTTGAACCCGGGAGGTGGAGGTTGCAGTGAGCTGAGATCGCACCACTGTACTCCAGCCTGGCGACAGAGTGAGACTCCATCTCAAAAAAAAAAAAAAAAAAAAAGGAAGAAAGCAGCAACAGTGAAAGGATGCGGCAAACTAGTTAAATTCTCTTTTTGATTGTGTGTGGCCTCCAAAATAGAGAGGTTGTCATTGTCAACTGTTACAATATTTAAGATTACGAGGTTTGGAGTCTGAAATGCTGGCTTTGCCTGTTGTTAGCTATGTGATCTTAGACTGTTCTTCAATATCTCTGAACTTTAGTTTCCTAATTTTAAAAATGGGGATAATAGTGCCACCTCATAAGGTTGTGAAGATTAAATTAGACAATGCATATAAAGGGCTTGGCAAGGTGCTAGGGACATGGCAGATACTTAATAGATGGTAGCTATTGTTATTATCTTTTGTGTTGGAGTCATTTCTCAAAAGTTCTTTAAGATGCTTACCTTTCTAGCTCCAGAATTAAAGGAATGACAAAAAGAGCCAAAATACGATGAACACACTGTTTCCTAGGTTTGGCTTCTGTGGAACAGCATATCTATAGGCACTGGACTGGAATACAACTTTTTAGAGGAGGAAGAAATAATCTTTCTCTTCCCTTTGAAATTACCTCAAACCAAAATAATAAATTTTAGAGCACATCTTTAAAATCATCAGACTTGAGACTTGTAATTTGGGCATTTCTACTTTGCAAAGCCAATGGACTTCAAATTAACTACAAATTAAGTCTTAACATTTATATTCAATTCATCGGATAAGCTGCTATGAATTTAAGTGCTCAAAACCAATCATATCCCTGAAGAAACATAAACCAAGCCCTTTTGGTACTGACGTTTACATATTCAGCCTTAATTGCATAATGTGGGAGTTGGTTCATTAGACATGGGAAATTTAAAATAAGATATTTCTTTCCCTGACTCCAGAAAAGGCTGATCAAATGCTTAACCCTTCAAATGTGTCTGGTCTTAAGTTAATGTTGGTATTCCTTTAACTAGTACAAAAGCCACTATAATGTTCAATAGCAATGATTTCAGCTAGTTAAACTTATAGTCTAAATGTATAACTTTTCTGTGATAAATTAGGAAAGCCCTGCTGCTAAACAGACTTTCTGGTGAAGGATAGGTTTAGCTTTAGGTTTCTATGGAAGCCCTTACATTACCATGATCAACTAAGAAAGTGCATGTATAAAGAAAAGGACTCCATGTGGTTCAAACTGGCCAAATCTAGATGCTTCAAAAGAAGGACCTCTCTTGAGAAAGAATTACTAAGAGTTGTCAAGATTTTTCCCTTCCTTATTAAATAAACTTCAAAAAAATGCTCTCATAGGGAGAATATTAAAAACTAAAGAATCTCTGAAGCTTACCGGGAGGTGGTGTGCTGTAATGATGGTGAGGCTGTGGTGACAAAATCCTTTAGGCTTCCTGTTGGCATAGGAGATGTAGACGCATCTTTTCTAACTCCTGTCACTGTCCCTATATGAAAAATAAAGAAAATAATTTGGGCATTCAGTAAAAGAAAATGGAAAAGTTCACTCTTAGTAAATTTATAAGACATTATAGGAATGTCCAAGCTTCAAAGGTAAGCCACTTGTTTCCCTGAAATGTAACAATGGCATATGAAAAACTCACTTCAGTTTTGTAAACATGGGAAATCTATAATGCGCTTTAAGAAAATACATTTTTGCAGTGACAGAGTAACTAGAGATTTTGTTTTTAAACCTGATTGCCTAGCAAAGCCCTGCTGATCTTGGTTTACTGTGAAAATGCCCAAGGAGGTGGGATGTTTTATTTTGCTCCCTTTAACTTTCATAAGAAAGATTCCAGCACTTTGTAACTCTAAACCCTCCAAATTAAATTGATCCTCTTTAAAACACTTTCAAGATATATATAAGTCTTGAAAGTTTCTTTTAGAGAACTCAACATTGGCTAAAACACATGTCTTAATTGGAAGAGATGCTCAACTAATATTCATTCGAGTGCCATGGGAAAGTTCCTAAGCAATAGTTTATCCTCCCAGGAACTGCCTGACTTGGCCTCAATTCCTTTCCAACAAGCAATGTTTAGTTTGTAATTACTTTTCTCTTCTGGAGTGCTAAATAAAAAGATGGTATGGACAGAAATATTGTTTTTATTTTATTTTTCAGTTATTATTAGTTTCTAAACAACATAAAATATAGCTATATTTATCTTGGAAGACTGTAAGAATCACATGCAGTTTTTCTTCTGGTTCTCTGAAAACTGTTATCCGGGATGCATGAAGTTATTTGGGAAGATCCACTCTTTGACAAAAAGGAGAGTATTCAAATAACAAAAAGCTTTGGAGTGCTGGGAATACCAGACCCTAAAATGCCAGGAGTGCAGTATGCTAACTTTGGGAATGGCAACAGGTTGCGTGCAACCTGAAATCATCAGGCATAGAGAAGGCTAGAGTCTTACAGCTATAGCGATTAGCGTCAAAATGATCACCATTATCCTTGGCTTCAAAAACTATACTCTTTATGTCAACTATTCTCTACTCTGTTTGTTCGTTTGTTTATTGAGACAGGGTCTCACTCTATCACTAGGCTGGAGTGTAGTGGTGCAATCCCAGCTCACTGCAACCTCGACCTCCTGGGCCCAAGTGATCCTCTTGCCTCAGCCTCTTGAGTATTTGAGACTACAAATGTGTGCCACTATGCCAGGCTAATTCTTTATTTTTATTTTTGTAGAGACAGGGTCCCACTGATCTATTATGCGTAGATGTAAAAGACCAGCCTCTAAATGCACAATTCATTCTTCTTTATATATAGAAATCTGTGGTACCCTCAACCCAAACAAGTACATATTAATACTGGCCAGTGCCAGGATTAAGCTCAGGCTTAGTTTATGGGGAGGGAAAGGAAGGTATGAGAGTAAGGACACAAGACACTCTTGACTATCACATAAAGAGACATAGAGGATGGGCTCAGTGGCTCACACCTGTAATCTGAGCACGTTGGGAGGCCAAGGCAGGAGGATCAGGCCAGGAGTTGAAGACCAGCCTGGGCAACATAGCAAGATCCTGTTTCTATAAAAAATAAAATTAGCCAGGTGTGGTGGCATGTGCCTGCAGTCCTAGTCCCAGCTACTCAGGAGGTTGAGGCAGGAGGATCCCTTGAGCCCAGGAGGTTGAGGCTGCAGTGAGCTATGGTCATACTACTGCACTCTAGCCTGGGCAACAGAGCAAGAATCTGTCTCAAGAAAAAAACAAAACCAAAACCACAGATAACACAAGGCAGTATAAGGTAGTAACTGCTAACACATACTATATGCTTAGTGTATATATAAATTTTATTGAGGTATAATTTGAGTATCATAAAATTTACTCATTTTAACTGTAGAGTTTGATAAATAGTAACTTTATATAGCTATGAAAGCATGGCTACAAGCCAGTTTTTATTTTAAATTTGCATGGTACTTAGATATTTCTTTTTAAAATCCAGTTTTAGAATATTTCCTTGTTCCAGAAGGTTCCCTCTTGCCCATTTGTAGGTAATAACTGCTCCCGGCCTTAGTCTGGTCCTAGCCCCCTCTCTATCTCTATTGTTTTACCTTTTTTAGAAATTATTTTTTATTTTCATAAAAACTCTTTGAAATAATATTTTTATAACAAATTTGCAGATAAGGAAAATAAGCCATAAAGAGCCTATGTGATCTGCCCAAGGTCACCGAGCTATAAGTGATGGAGCTAGTATCTATGTCCGAGATGACCTGAGAGCTTTGGCCATTATGCTATGCTGCTGTAATAAGTACTATGAAAAGTCTGAGGAATTAAGAAATGGGAGAGTTCACATTTGGCTATAGGATTTGGGGAACATTTGATGCAGGAGGTAGGATTCTTTGATAGGAAACAATGACGAGCATGAAATGGGAGACAGAGAGTTACATTAGCAAAAGCATTAAACTGAAAACCTCAAGGCTAAATATTTCATTTAGTCAGGAAATATTTATTGAACATCACTATGTCCTTGTACCCTGCTAATCACTTTAAATGTATCATCTCATTATTAATCCTTACAACAGTCTTTAAATTATATTAGTGTACTTATTTTATAGATAAGGAAGTGGAAATTGTAAAAAGATCAAGCAGCATGTCCAATATCACCCAGCTGGTAAGAGCAAAGCTGGATTTTGAATGCAATCAAGGTCTGTTTGGCTCTGTATGGCAAACTTGTAAGCATTATTTTAGAGGGACTCAAAAATAAAACAGTAACAACAATGATTAAAAAAATACCAAACTGGTCTTTGGAGAGATTAATTTTGAGGCAGAATTTAGAATAGAGTGGAACAGATAGAACAAAGTCAGGCAAAGCAGTTCACTACTAATACAATTGTCTGGGTAGAATCCTGGGTGATGTAAGAGGAAATTAAGACAGACAAATAGGAGTAGAAACAACTGAAAGGGATTTGTGAGTGAGGTGAAAGGGAAGAAGAAATGCTTGGTAGTGACAGAATATAAATATATTTTTGGTCACTATCACAGAATACCTGGGGACAATTTAAAGAAGGAATTTTAACAGATGGTCCAGGGATTTTTATAATTGAAGAATGTACTTCAGGAATGTACAGATACCTCATAATTGTAAGGCACAACAATGTATATATGTGTGCTCATTTATTTTTCTGAAGAAAGAAACCATATCTTTTACCAAATTCTGAAAGGGTATGGGACCCTGAAAAGGATAAGAATGATTGCTGTAAAGCACAGACCAAGTTTAACTGTTCTTTTTTATTAATTCTCTAAGTTCTATTCCTTATTGCGTTTCCAGAAAGCTATACATCAGCTTTTAATTGTATTTGTTCCATTTATAAATTTTATTTAATATTAAGTATACCAACAATTACAGTTATGCATATTCATGGAACTCTATATTCCTGTATATTTAAACACACACACACACACACACAAACACAGACACACACACACAATAACAACATATGCTTAAAAATAAATAAAAATGCTGGCAGAGTGCCATGGCTCAGGCCTGTAATCCCAGCACTTTGGGAGGCCGAGGCAGGTGAACAATGAGGTGAAGTGTTCTAGACCAGCCTGGCCAACATAGTGAAACCCCATATCTACTAAAAATACAAAAAATTAGCTGGGCCTGGTGGCAGACACCTGTAATCCCAGTTACTCAGGAGTCTGAGGCTGAAGAATTGCTTGAACCCAGGAGGCAGAGGTTGCAGTGAGCCGAGATCGTGCCACTGCACTCCAGCCCGGGCGACAGTGCCAGACTCTGTCTCAAAAAAAAAAAAATATAAATAAATAAATAAATAAATAAATAAATAAAATGCTGTTAAGAATATTACTAGGCTAATTGATTTCATACATAAATGTGTATGTTTATATACATGTAATATATGTGAATGCATTTACATAAACACGCACATATATTTTCACATGCACAGATGGAATTGATTATAATGGATCATGTCCTATTTAGATATAACTGGGTATATTTCACGGCAATTTTTTTTTCTTAGAGTTCAATGTTTAAGAAAACTCTGTTTCTGGGCCCTTTGTTTTATTTTATATTTTTTAAACGGCTGAGCCATATTATCTATTCAGTTTAAAGAATAAATTATAAAGACAAAACCAGTGTAACCCATTCCCAGCTCAAGAAAGCAAGCCCTGGCAGCACTACCACCCAGATACAATACCAATATCCATCCCCAGTCACAATTCCTTCTTGCCTCCAGGGGCCCCAACTATTCTAATAATTATTTCCTTCTATTCTTTATAGTTCTACCATTTATGTGTTTGGTTAAACATGTCATTTAGTTTTGTTGCTTTTGAACTTTAGAAATATGTATATTATTTTTGAGACTTCCTTTGCTTAAATTGTCTGCAAAATTTACCTATGCTGATAATTTTTATGTACTGCAGTTTCTTTGTTTTCTTTGCTAAGTAGTATTCCATTGTATGCATTTATGACTTTTTATCCCTTCTGCTATTGAGGGACATTCGGAGTATTTCTGGTTTGGAGCTATTATGAAGAATGCTGCTGTGGCAGATGCTGTCAGTTATCCACCAAAATGTACTCCTTCCTTCTTCCTAGGTACACAGCTAGATTATATTCCCTAATCCTCCTTGTAATTACGTGTGGTAAGGTGGAAAGCCAGTGGACATTATATGTGCCACTTCTGTTCTGTCCTATAACAACTTTTCATGTGTATTCTTCCAATACCTCTCCTTGTCCTTGGTGACCTACTATGGCAGAGTCAACAAACAATTTCCTATAAAGTTGGGCAGATAGCATGAAAGAATGTTGGATTTTGTCAAATGCTTTTTCTGTGTAAACTGAGATGATCATGTGGTTATTCCTTCATTCTATTAATGTGTATTACGTTGATTGATTTTTGTATGTTGAACTGCCTTTGTATTCCTGGGCTAAATCTCACTTAGTTATGATGTATAATCCTTTCAATATGCTGTATTCGGCTTGCTAGTATTTTGTTAAGTATATTTTCATCCATACTCATAAAGAATACTGGTCTATAGTTTGCTTTTCTTGTGACATCTGTCTCTGGCTTTGATATCAGGGAGGGGGGCAGGGAAGTGCAGGGATGAAAAGGGCAGGGTCCCTGGTGAGGGTTCCACCATTGGGCCTGTGCCCACAGACCAAGGTGAGGACAAGCACTCCTGCTTGGCACCCAAATGTTGCATTTTCCAAGACCACCCTGGCCTGCCACCCCCACATCCTGTGCCCATAAAAACCCCGAGACCCTAGCAGGAAGGGACAGAAGCTGCTGGATATCAAGAGGAACACACCGGCAGAAGAGCACACAAGCAGCTGGACATCGAGAGGAGCGGAAGAACATACCAACAGGCACCAGCAGACACTGGCAGGCCATTGACCGGTGGAACGATGCAGACAGCGAGGGGAATTTGGCCAAAGCGGTTGGAAGAGAGTCCAGCCACTAAGCAGCCCAACTCCAGGGTAAAACTACCTTCCCACTCCATCCCCCTTCTGACACCCCATCCAACTGCTGAGAGCTACTGCCACTATTAAATAAAACCTTGCATTCATTCTCCAAGCCCACGTGTGATCCAGTTTTTCCAGTACACTAAGGCAAGAACCCGGGATACAGAAAGCCCTCTGTCCTTGCAACAGGTAGAGGGTCTAATTGAGCTGGTTAACACGAGCCACCTATAGACGGCAAAACTAAAAGGGCACACGGCAGCAAATGCCCACTGGGGCTTCAGGAGCTGTAAACATCTACCCCTAGACACTGCCATGTGGTCAGAGCCCCACAACCTGCCCATCTGCATGCTCCCCCTAGAGGTTTGAGCAGCAGGGCACTGAAGAAGCGAGCCACTCCCCCATTACACAACCTGCGAGGGAGATAGGGGAACTTTTCCCATTTCATTAGGATATATTCTTTCCTCTTACATTTTTTGGAAGAGTCTGAGAAGAATTTGTGTTAATTCCTTAAATGTTTGGTAAAATTCATCAGTGAAGCCATCTGGTCCTGGGCTTGTTTTGTTGGGAGGTTTTGATTACTGATTCAATCTTTTTACTTGTTATATAGGTCTATTTAGATCTTCTATTTATTCTAGATCATCTGACTTTTTGATGTGTCTATTGTTTGCCTCATTGTTATTTATTTTTTTAAACCCCAGGTGCCAGTGGTGTGTTCATCTGATTTTCAGTGTTTTCAAGGAATGTCCTATATGTAGCCACTCTCTGCCCAGAGAAAGTTTAGTCAGACAAAACAAAGGCAGGCTCCATGTGTCAGCCCTTTAGGGAATCCACAGACAGGTTAAAACAGAGAAACAATCCCTTGAGAACAGGGTCTGCTCTGCTTCCTCAGAGGGCAGATACTAAAACATGGAACTCAGGCTGCCATCTTTTAGACTGCTGACACGCTGGGAAGAGGGGAGGGCAGGGGCACCCAATCTTTTGGCTTCCCTAGGACACCTTGGGAGAACTGTCTTGGACTACACATAAAATACATTAATGATAGCTGATGAGCTTAAAAAAAATCACAACAAAAAAATCTCATAATGTTTTAAGAAAGTTTACAAATTTGTGTTGGGCCACATTCAAAGCTGTCCTGGGCCACATATGGCCCACGGGCTGCGGGTTGGGAAAAGCTTGGGGTAGGGCAAGACTAAGTTAACACTAAAGTCCTCCTACAATGCTTCAGTAGCCTTTCTCCTGGCTAAGAATTGGTTTTGTTTCTGTAAATCTTTCACTATCCTCCAGAGTTCTGATAAGGTAGCTTCTGACAGTTTTTGCAAGATTTTTCAGTGTTTCTTGGGAGAGATGAGGCCCTGAAGGTACCTACCACACCATTTCCACTGATGTTTCCTGATGCATTTATGACACTAGCATAACTCTGATACCCAAAGCTGACAAGGTCATTACCAAAAAAAAAAAAAAAAATTACCACCCCAATATCTCCCAATCAGTGTAATCATTAAACTACCTTCTGAGAAGAAAAAACATAACATGATTGTAAGTACAGAAAAAAAGATTTGATGAAATTCAACACCCCTTTATGACAAAGACTTTCAGCAAACTAGGAGGAAACTTTCTCAGCCCGATAAAGAGCATTTTCAAAAAGCCTCCATCTGCCCTGGCGCGGTGCCTACCTGAGGTCAGGAGTTTGAGACCAGCCTGGCCAACATGGTGAAACCCTGTTGCTACTAAAAATACAAAAAATTAGCCGGGCGTGGTGGTGAGCGCCTGTAGTCCCAGCTACTCGGGACCCTGAGGCAGGATAATCACTTGAACCTGGGAGGCAGAGGTTGTGGTGAGCCGAGATCATGCCATTGCACTCCACCCTGGGAAACAAGATCAAAAACTCTGTCTAAAAAAAAAAAAAAAAAAAAAATTAGCCGGGTGTGGTGGCACACACCTGTAATCCCAGCTACTCAGGAGGCTGAGGCGGGAGAACTGCTTGAACCTAGGAGGTGGAGGCTGCAGTGAACCGATATAGCACCATTGCACTCCAGTCTGGGCAACAAGGGCAAGACTGCTTCTCAAAAAAATAAGTAAATAAATAAATAAATAAATAAAAATAAAAAAAACCCTTCAGCTAAAATCATACTTAACGGTGAAAGACTATCTTTTCCTTATAAGGTTGGGAACAAGGCATGGAAGTCTACTTTTCTCATTGTATTCTATATTGTAATAAAACCCCTAGATGGTCTAAGGCACAAAAATTAGAAAGAAAGTGGTTGTTATGGACTTAGTTGTGCCTTCCCTAATTAATCTGAAGTCCTAAAGACCAGGACACCTCAGAATATGACGATATTTGGAGACAAGACCTTTAAAGAGGTAGTTAAGTTGGATGAGGTCATAGGGGTGGGCCTGAGAGTGACTGGTGTCCTTATAAGAAGAGGAAGCGTTCCCTGGGATGCACGCACAGAAGAGGCCATGTGAGGATGCAGTGAGAAGGCAGCCATCAGCAACCCAAGAGGAAAGGCTTCAGGAGGATTGACTAGAAAAGAGTATGAGGATTTATTGAAAATGGAAATGTACTATATCTTAATTGGGGTAGTGGTTACACGGGTGTACATAATTTTCAAAATTTATCACACTATACATTTAAGGCCTCTACAATTTAGTGTATATACATTAAACCTCAATTAGAATACAAGACAATAGAACCCTCCCCGTCCATATTTTCTTGACTCCTAAGGCAGCACTTTTTTATTTTGATTTTGATTTTTAAGACAGAATCTTGCTCTGTCACCCAGGCTGGAGTGCAGTGGAGTGATCTCGGCTCACTGAAACCTCTGCCTCCCAGGCTCAAGCAATTCTTCTGCGTCAGCCTCCCAAGTAGCTGGGACTACAGGTATGTGCCACCACACCCAGCTAACTCTTTCTATTTTTAGTAGAGACAGGATTTCACCA
This sequence comes from Homo sapiens, assembly GCF_000001405.40. NCBI lineage: Eukaryota > Metazoa > Chordata > Mammalia > Primates > Hominidae > Homo > Homo sapiens. The sequence goes on along the minus strand of NC_000018.10, from coordinate 37,164,561 downwards.
TGTTGGCCAGGCTGGTCTCGAATTCCTGACATCAGGTGATCCGCCTGCCTCAGCCTCACAAAGTGCTGAGCTTACAGGCGTGAGCCACCACACCCAGCCAGTGCTATTTTTAAGAGCCCACTCTACTGATTTCTCTTTGACATTACCAATTGATCACCATAAGAACTCTGAAGAGACAAACATATATTTTGCTTAAAATCACTAAATCACAGCAGGTACTGAGGTGAAAAAGTCTACCTGAGTAGGTCCTTATTTTGGGGAAACAGGATAAGGGCATCGAAAGAAAAATCAATATATACAATGTTATGTTAATTCATTCAACAAATGTTTAATGAGTACCTACCACACCACATGTTAAGCAATGTTGTAGGAGATGGGGATACAACAGTGAACATATGGAACTTATATTCTGACGGAGAAGATACAAAACATATATAATAAAAAAGTAAACTATATAGTGTTTTGAGAAATTTCTTTCCATTTTAGAGAATGGGAAATGTAGACCCTCTGGTTTAGGTGACAATATTTCATATATATTAACATTAACTCTTAACACTAGTCTGTTATATTTGAATTCCTTTTTTTAGTGGACTAGCCAGGAGAATTTATTCTACATATCTGGGTTTATTCATAGCCCTCTACTATGCTTGCATACTATGTGCTGTTGATAAAGACATCAACTTTTAGCATATCTTCAGCTGAGATTTCTGGGAATCAGAAGTAGTATCTTAAGGTACCCTTATGGATGAACAAATAATAATGCTCTTGATGGTAATAATAAAAGAAACATGAGAAATGCTCCTTAGAGGCAAGATAGAAATGATTTCTGTACTTTGGACACTCCAATTGTTCATTTCTTTAAGCATGTCACCTACTTTAATCCATCTGGAGTTATGAAGAGTACTCACATCATTTTAAGCACAGGCTCACTTAGAGGAACAACTAGGAGCTTCTGAGATTATTCTTTACTTGAGTCTAGAATAATCATCTTCCAGTAAAAAAAAATATGTGTTTGGGAGTTACTAGGGGACCTCAACCAGTGGCAGCTGCTATATAAAATCATATAACCTAAGAAAACCCCAAAGACAAAATGAAGGGCACAATCTCTACCATCAGGTAAATCAAAATTACCCTAGGTTCAGCCTCTGCCAACATTTTAAGGGAATTTAGAGATTCAAGAAGGAGGAACAAAAAGGAGGAAGGGAGCGGCCAAAGTCAGGTTTTACAGCCTGACTTAGGAATGGGCAGTGCCAAGGTCAGAGGTTTAACATTTCAGTTCTGAAAACTGCGCACTCAGTGGCTTCACAGCCTCTGCTAGCCCATCAACATAACAAGAAAAAAATGCCCTCAGTTTTGAGGGCTCTCATAAAAGGGAATATCGATGATTGCTCAGGAAAGGGGGGTTCTAGGCAAGCTGGTGGAAAACGTTTTGAGGCTACAAGGGAGGAAAAAAGAGGAATGAAAATCAGGTGTTTCCAGATTTATGCCTTTTAAAAGTTCTTACTCAAGTTTAGATTTTCCCAAGTATTATCTCCCTGTTTGACATTGCTCAATAAAAGTAACTAAAACTGATGAACAAGTCTATATATCTTAAGTGTAATTTTGACAATACTGTACATATCTTTGCTATCGTAAGGTTGTTTCTTGAGACAATAGTCTGGTCTTTTTTTTTTTTTTAACATGTTTAGCATCATAAAGCTGGCAGAATGGTGAGGAGGATAGGAGAGGTAAGGGAGTAAGATACTGGTAATAAAGATTAATGGTCCTGTAGTAAATGTCCTGTGTAGTACTTAATGAGTAAAGGATAACAGCAAAAGAAACAAAAGATGTAAGACAGAAGAAAAGTATATTAAAAAATTCAGACACACTAAAGAGGGTAAAGCAATTAAGAAGGTGATGAACCAAGCAGTGTAACTTAGGTGATTAGTGCTAGGTCATCAGCCTTATGATAAACAGGGTTTCCAAGTCTACTGTGCATCCATGGAAAGTTTATATCTCCCATTTGGTTGGGTGCCACAGCAAATGCCAATGCAATAACTTTGCCCTGTACTATAATCTGCATACACTAGCTGTGCAATGGGCAGAATGGCTCAAAGGGGCAACTTTAGCCTCTTTAATGGTCATATAGATAATAATTTTGCTAACAGCTCCATATTAGAATAAAAGAAAAGGAAAATACAAGGCGGTCTTTTTCATGAGTAGAAAAGAAAGTCAGTAGTTCCTGTGAATGCCTTAAAATAAAAACTCTTAAAAAGATGAAAAAGTTTCTTTTTTTTTTTTATTGCAACACTACAACCTTCCCCCACCCCCACAAAAAAAGGGGAAAAAAAACCTAATGGAAGAAAAAATAAAACCATGAGTGAAAACTATTCCTGAAAACTTTGCAGAATTGTAACAGCTTTCTCTTGGTTAAATTGATTGGTATAGCAACATTATAAAATGACTATTAGGATTCATTGTGCACAACAGAAAGTGCTGAAATGTCAGCAGACTATACAGCAAAAAGTAATGGGTTCTGAACCCCTGTTAGTCAAAAATGATTTTGTTTCAAATTAGAAATTGATTTTTTTTGGACACAAGACCTTTTCAGGCTTCTGGCTTCTGTAGCTAGGCCCAGGAGAGATTAACCTCCACCACAGCAAGGGCTGGCCTGATGATATCTTTCTCAAAGTGCCTTTTCAATTGCTGCTTTCTACTGTTGCTGTGGTTTTAACCAATAACACAAGTTATTTGTTCTTTTGCTATTCCACTATATTTTTCTCATTTTGCCATTTTATCTTAGTGCTGCCACGCAACACAAATTTGAAAACAAGTTAACTGAAGACTATGTTAAGCCTTGCAGTGTAACCACCACACCAGTTGTGACTAGTTCTTCACTCTCCAAAGTGCAATGACTAAGAACAGAGGAAGCTGAGGTAAGAGTTTTCCATTTCTGAAGGACTGCTAACAGAGAAAGTAAAGATTCTACCTCATAAAGTTTCTTCAATTTAATTTTTATTTTTGGAAGCAATGTCTAAAAAGAAGCTTCTAAGTTGTTCTAAAACAATGGAAGTCTACAAAACCTTTCTTTGCCTTATGTCTAACAAAATGTACTTTTGCTTTTATTTCAAATTGTGGATAGTCCTCCCTCCCAAAATTTGAACTAATTATCATTTCTCAATTATGTGGAAGAGGATTAAACAATTTCTAGATTAATCACAATCAAACCCAAAAAGCATGACAGAGCTAGTAGCAGATGAAGAGAGGCAGGGAGATATACACCTGCAAGATCTCACAAAGCACTGCCCAATTTTCAAATAAATAAATGTGAGAGTGGCTACAGAGATTATGAAAAGTAGGTTGCATGACACCAGAGGTAGAAAGGTGCTGGCCCAGTAGGAAAACAGGTAAATAAGAAGGAAATCTGGGTTAATGGTTTTGAGAAGGGAAAAAAGACACTAGGAAAGAGGTGTGAGCAGGAGAGGGCTCAGAGGTCTTTTTGGTCTTTTGTTTCCTGTACATCTTTTCTGTACAATAAAGCTCAGACTTGCTCCATTCTTTTCCAAAGTCGTTCCTTTAAGGATGCCAGGAAAGATTAAGCCAAAAGCCTCTCCAGGAACAACTGGGAAACAAATAAATTTGCTTCACTCAACATTTAACATAGTTACTTATAATTGATTTCTTTAAAGTCTACCACATATAACAGGAAGTATTATTGACACTTAAAAGACTGTTAGGCAAAAAATGCTTTAGACTTGTGAGGTTTTGCTTTAGTCACAATATGGGGAATTGTCCATGACCTCTCCTCCACCCTCCCCATGTTTCCAGTCAATTGAGGATTAACTGTAGTTGTTAGGGTTTATTTTTCCAGGAGAGATTTATGTTCAATATCTTGCCCTCTTTACTCACTTGGAACATTATTTTAGTCTATGACCATACTTACTGCTGACTAATTCTTAACAGTTATTGCTTGCAAAAAGAGGGACAAGTTGGATACAGTTTTTCATTCCAGTATTCTAAGAAAAACACAGACACAATTCACTAATCTAGTAAATGTGTTACCTGTGGCCTTGCAGGCACACTTCAGTGTGTAAACATTTAACTTTTGCTCAGCATTGTAGGAAATCATCTGAAATTCATTGGCTAGCAACTACCTTCCCCTACCAGTTTCTCATTTTGCCACTACAGTTGTTAAACTTACCTCTTTGGGGTCTACATGTATCTTTCTTTTGACATGACCACTGGGCATCATCTTTCATATGCGAATGAAACCCAACTGTCTTCCTCTCCTTCCTATTCTCTCCACTGTTTGGGGGGTCTTGGTGCTTTTTAATAGATGATGATGTTCCAAGCAGCCAGCCATCACAGTTTGACTTCAATAAACTGAAAGAACAACGATGAATGAACTGTTGAAGGCACAGAAGGGAACACAGAGCACATAGATATTTAAATTCAGTATGGGTTGAAATGCAATTCATTAAGAACTCTCTTTATCTTACCTTTTATTGAGGTATAATTTAAATAATTTACTCAACGTCTATTTTGTGTCCTGTCACAACAATTTTGGAAAAGAAATGGCCTTTATTCTCAAAAAGCTTACACTGGGAGTTGGGGAAATAAGATTCAAACTGATGAAACAGCTAATAAAGTCACAGAATATGACTAAGAACCAGGCTATCTATAGAAATAAAAAGTATGCTAAAACAGGACTTGCATATCTAAGATGTTTTCCAAGTACTAAAAATGAACACTAGGGATTAAAATATCACCAATGTGCCTCACACAAACGCGTTTGTGTTTCTAATTTTCAATTGTTATTAGTATTTATTATGTACCCAGAGTACGTAAGGAGTAGTGTAACAGTGCACGTAGAAGAACTAGACTCCATACTTACATAGTTTCATTAAAAGGTCAACAAGACAAATATAGAATAAAAGGCATTTTAATGAAAATGAACACATGTACATATTTTCTTCTCTAATAAACCGTGTTCCCACCATTAGCATATTTCCTCTTATAATATTTTCTTATTTTAGGGAAAAATATTCTAATGATGTGTTATCTCTCACTATTCCACTCTTCCCTCTTCGTGTTTGTTCACAACAAACTCATGACACTTTGGTTTTGTCTTCCCCATGCCCATAAACAATGTGAAAATTAAAGAAAAAGACATGGAAATGCATAGAGGCAGCTACTCAAAAAACAAGATTCTAAAATTAAAACGTTTAAACTCCCCAGAAGCAAAGGGAATCTCTAGACAAGAACAAGCTGAATGGAGTGTTGCCAGGTCTATCACTTACTCCAGGTGGCCTTTGACCAGGATTCAAATCACATAATCTTCTATAAATGTCTCTGGTTTATATCGATCAGAATTTTTAGCAGTGTTTGCTCATATCATAATTTATTAACAAAAACCAAGAAAGTAAATGGCTTTATGTTCAGAATTATATAAAGAAAATAAAATCATTAGTTATATGGCTTTATAAAGTAGGCACAAGAAAATGTATAAAAGTGATACTCTTCTTTTTTTTTTAAATCAGAACACAGAGACCATTTTCCTCTCAGACCCACCAGAAGATGTATAACTTAGGGTTATACAAATTGCACTCACGGAACAGGGAAATACGGAAAATAAAAGTACCTTATTGTGAATGTTATATAAATTTACGTCAACCCAGAGGCCCCAAACCCAGGCAAATCCAGTGACTACATCTCTGCTTGTTCTGTAGAAAAATGAATGTGACCCCAACCATTGGCTTCCCCAAATTTGATTCATTCTCAGCTCAGCCAGACTCCCAATACTGACTGCCTTCTGCTTCTTTACAGCATTTTCACAGAAGCTTTTCTGTACCTTTATTCAAAATTCCACCTTGGTAATCCTCCATCACAACTGGAAACTTGGCTTCTAATTTCCCTAAAATAAAGATGACTATATGAAAAATTTCTTCCTTCATTTGTATTTATTTCCATATTCACCCATCTACTATTCCTCTCTTCATGTCTCAAAAAATTTTACCTTTTATTTGCACTCTTGATACCATCTTGACCCATCCCCTCTGTGACTATGGCCTGTCAATCATCTCTTTTTCTTATAACTCACAAACTCCTCCTCTAAACTGGATTTTTTCCTAGGGCTACAAACAAGAGCAGATCCTCCATTAATACCCAGTGTCAGTGAGCGTGTGGGGACAAGAGCACTTTAATACCTATTGCAGGAACCACAAATGGGTATCACCTTTTTGTGAGTGACTTGTCAACACAAAATGAAAATGCATCCCTCTTTCAACAGTTCTACTTTTATCCCACACCTGAGGCCAGAAATTTGAGATCGGACTGGGCATCACAGCAAGACCCCATCACTAAAGAAAAAAAATTGTTTTAAATTAGCCAGGCATGGTGGCATGTGCCTATAGTTCCAGCTACTTGGGAAGCTGAGGCAGCAGGATAGCTTGAGCCCAGGAGTTTGGGCTTATAGTGAGATATGACCATGCCACTGCACTCCAGCCTGGGAGACAGTGAGACTCTGTTTCCAAAAAAAAAGAAAGAAAGAAAGAAAGAAAAAAAAAGGAATTTCTCCTGCAGAATTACATGAACAACAGCATGAGAATATTTGTTTAAGGATAATCACTGGAGAATTATTTGTAATAGTGAAAAACTGAAAGCAAATATCATTCTATAAGAGAATGAATAAATTATGGTACATATTAATTATAAAGAACACTATTCAGCCATTAAAAAGAATGAGGTAATTCTTTTTTTTTTTTTTTTTTTTTTTGGAGAGGAGTCTCACTCTGTTGCCCGGGCTGGAGTGCAGTGGCGCAGTCTTTGCTCACCACAACCTCCACCTTCCAGGTCAAGTGATTCTCCTGCCTCAGCCTCCCGAGTGCTGGGACTACAGGCACACACCACCATGTCCGGCTAATTTTTGTATTTTTAGTAGAGATGGGGTTTCACTATGTTGGCCAGGCTGGTCTTGAACTCCTGACCTCGTGATCTGCCCACTCGGCCTCCCAAAGTGCTGGGATTACAGGTGTGAGCCACCACACTTGGCTAGGATGAGGTAATTCTTTACACTGATGAGAAGAAACTTCATGACATGCTATTAAAATAAAAGCAATTTGCAATTATAGAGTATATAATGTGATCTCATTTTTATAAAAATAAAAATATACAAAAATATTTTTAAAGTTCTGGATGGATAAATGTCAAACTAGAAGGGAGTAGAAGAAATAGAGGGAAGAGTTTTATATTTTAATTTATATAACTCTGAATGTTTTAATTTCTTCCAATAGGCATGCATTTTATAATTTAAAAACAAACAAAAAACTCTCACCATGTCCCTTCCATTACCATCTCCTCTCTCCTTGTCTGCTGAACGTCTAGAAAACAATAATTTATTCTAACAGACATACCGACTAGAACTTGTTTTTAAAGAACAAATCAAAAGGCCTTTCTTCTTTGAACAGTCTTGCTTGTTACTAGATCACCCTACAGAAATTCAAGAAATTCAAGAAAACATTTTTTCTTGAAATGTTTTCTCCCTTGGTCTTCATAACACATTATCCTGACTGGTTTTCTGGTTTTAGGAGACTTCTTCCTTCCCCTTAGATGCAGACATTGCAAAAGTCTGTCCCTGTCCTCTTCCCTCTTAGTACTTTCTTGGTGATCCTTGCCACACCTCTATATCTGCAAGTACGATTTCTAAACAGATTCTTCTAGTTCACAGTGCTTGCCAAAACTGCTGACCTGATCAAGTATCTGATGAAAAGCTGTAAAGCGATGTCTATTCCTGCCTCCCAAACCAACTCTTGCTAAAGCAATCCAGTATCTTTATCTTGAAACTACTTCCTCCTTCTGTTTCCATTCTCACTTAATGATATCACCATCCTCCCAGTCACTCATAAGAAATCTCAGTTGTCTCAACTTCTGCTCTCCTTATTCCTTTTTAATAAATTTCCTAATCAATCATTCACTTATATATTCATCAGATATTGACTGAAGAACACACTTTATGGGCCTGATATGTACTGTGAGACTGGGCTGGGCAAAATGGAAAACAAACATTTACAGAGGACTTATTTTATGCTAGGTGCTGGGTATACAAACATGAGAAAGCCCTCGTTCCCATTCTTTTTTTTTTTTTTTTTTTTTTTTTTGAGGCGGAGTTTCTCTCTTGTCACCTAGGCTGGAGTGCAATGGCACAATCTCGGCTCACCACAACCTCTGCCTCCCGGGTTCAAGCGGTTCTCCTGCCTCAGCCTCCCGAGTAGCTGGGATTACAGGCATGCAATCCCATGCCTGTAATTTTGTTACATGCCCGGCTAACTTTGTATTTTTTAGTAGAGATGGGGTTTCTCCATGTTGGTGAGGCTGGTCTCGAACTCCCGACCTCAGGTGATCTGCCCGCCTTGGCCTCCCAAAGTCCTGGGATTACAGGTGTGAGCCACCGAGCCCGGCCCAGCCCTGGTTCCTATTCTTAAAGAGATTTTAGTGGGGGAGACAGACGTGGAAACAGAATTTTTAATACCATATGCCAAATGCAGTAATTCAGGAATATACTGGATGTTATGAGAGTGCAAGGGCAAGGCACCTAACTTTATTTGCATAACAGAAGAGAGATTCCTGAAATACTCAAACTTAACCTTGAAAGATAAGGAAAAATGTAAGAATGTTCTAGGTAAAATAAAAAAGTATTAGCAAATATACCAACAAATGAAACTTCAGTTCATATTTTGGGAAAGTTAAATAGCTAGGTATTGTTACAGCATTAAACTTTGGGTGTGTGGTAGGGAGGAACGGAGATGAAGCAGGTAAGACAGGGCAGGTCAGATCATGAAAGGTTGCGTTTTCCATGCTGAGGGGCTTGAACTCTATCTTGTGGCCAAGGTGGAGTCACTGAAAGGCTCTCAGGAGAAAAATGATATGATCCAACCAGAATTTATGAAAAATTACTCTGGCACCATTTAGAGAATGGGCTTCAAGAAACTGGATGAGTTGGAAGGCTGCTGAAACAGCTCTGGTGAGAGATGAAGGTTTGCAATAGAGAAGCGGTAGTAGGAACGGAAAGACATAGTTTAAGAAATATTTAGGATTTAAAAAGGGTAGAACTTGATGTAAGAGAGAGGGAGAGAAAAGTCAAGAATGACTGCCAGAATTTTGGGTTGATAAGCAATACAGAGGAGGATTGGGGAAGGGTGGGAAAAATTAACTGCAGCTTGAGATGCTTATGGAACATCTGAGAAGATATTTCAAGAAAGTAATTTGATCAGTAACTCCATGGCTTTTTGCTATTGGCTAAGTGAGTTTAGAGGTGGTAGAGTTGAGGGAGGCAGAGTTGAGAAAGAATATGCTTCAATTTCAATTTCCTTGGTGTAGGAGGAGATACAGTCATTCTTGTGAGTGAGTAAAGCAGGTATTGAGAAGAGAGGTGAAGGTTTGGAGTATGTATTGAGGGAATTCGAAATAGAAATGAAAAGAAAAAGATTTTCCTGAAATGTTGAGGCCCTAACAGAAATAGAAATCATCCATTTGTAGCAGGGCTCAAGTGCAGAGATTAAAAAGCAGAGAAAGCAGTGTGAGAGCTCAATCTAGGGTTAGGATTTTTACTGGGACAATGCAGCAGACTGGGGGTCAAGGGAAATAAATATATTAATGTAGTATAGGTCAACCATTCGGTCCAGGAAGAAAGTGAGGCAACAGGGACTGAAAAGACTGGCAGAAAAATGAGGGGAAATAAATAATTTAGATATCCCTTTAAGGTAAAGCGAAAATAAAACAGCAACAACACCAGAAATATAAAAACCCTTGGTATGGTGTATGTGATAAACATGAGAATATAAGCTGTAAAGAAAGAGGCTGGGATGGCAGAGTCAATGATTTTTCTGATGAAACCATGGTGGGTGATAGCAAGCTCTGGGTGTCACCATGGATGATGCTGGAGTGAATTGAGGAACGCAGAAATTCTTTAGCTATGGCAATGGATACATCAACCATATGGATATTGGGATCTCACAGAATGATGGTAGGAGTTATGGGGGAGAAAGTGACTTTAAGTGGGACGTCAAGGTCCTAGTGAGATAATGATGGAAAACAAAGGATGGAAAAGGATGGACTGCTGCAGTAAAACTAGACATATATTTAGATTCACATAAATAAAGAGATATGCAAGAAAAATGCTGGCACTCCTCTCTCTGTTGTTTATCAAATGTGACAGAAAGAATGGCCTCTAATAGAAGTGGTGCTCTCAGAAAAGATGCTGATTTTAGGCAGTGATTCACAGCTTGGCAATACATTTAAATAATCTGGGGAATTTTTAATAAGAGCGATGGACTGAGTCTCACCCACTTGTCGAAACTGAATTAATCAGTCTAGGGTGGGACCTGGATATTATTTGCTTCCCTCTCTCACTCTCCTCTCCTTTTAAAAAAGTTCTATAGGTGATTCTAATGTTCAGATAGGATTGAAAATTACTGAGTTATTGTGAAGAGTGGGAGAAAACAGTCTTTTAGAAAAAGGCAGATGAAAAGAGTGCATTTCCTAGGAAACACGGATTCTCTAAGGCACCTGTAGGAAATCCTCGGGGGACAGCAGGAGGGAAAGGGGTGTCAGTGATGTGAGGAAAACCAGGGGAAGAAAGGTAGACATTTAAGCGAATAGAGTATAAGAGAAAAAACAGCACATGAAATACTCAAATTTTGGCATGAGTCTTTTTTTTTTTTTTTTTTTAAAAGAAAAAGAACAAGTCCTTGATTTAGAAGACCATAAAATCTAGGCTGGAGAAACAGATAGATACCTCTTAATTCCTCCGTTCACTTCCAGTGGCCTGATTCAGGTGCTGGCCATATCATACCTAAACAATTGCTATATTGTCCAGTTTCTGAACCAGTCCTGGAATCAGCCATTTCTTTGAAAAGGTCTGGTACCTTGTATTGGGAAAAAAAAAAAAAAAAAAAAAAAAAGCTATTGGATTGCCACAGCTCCCAAGTCCTTGCTGTGAACACGGAAAGAGAATACATGTATGTACCTATATAGTCATTTCTATATATAGGTATATATAGAGGGAAAAACATGCGTTTATACAGAGTTTATACTAATATCTTCAAAATTCCAACTCTAAACCAACAGGGTTCATTTTAGCTTCTTCTCTTTCCATAGATATATCCTTTCTCCAACAATGAAAAAAACTGGCTGCCATTTTCTGTAATATAACTGAAGTGGCATCATTCATCTGGGGTAATACCCAAGGTTTGTTGCCCTAAGCCAAGGAAATCAATGACGCAGACACACAAGGAGTGAGTTTAAGAGTGGGGGTTTAATAGGTGAGAGAAAGAGAAAAGCTCTCTCTCCTGCAGAGAGGGGCTCCTGAGTGGGTATTCTGGTTCCGTGGTTAAATGCATGGGGTTTTGTAGACAAGCTTGAGGAGGCAGTGTCTGACTTACATAAGGCCCAAAAGATTGGTCGGACCAAGTGTGCCATTTTCACAGTGCATGAAGAAGGTGGCTGCCCCACCCTAATTTTTTATTTTGCAGATGGGCTCTCTACCTTGCCAGCACCATGTTGCCTGTTCCTTTACTGTACATGTGGTTGACAAAGAAAAGTAAAGATGGAGCCTCCATGTTGAACATGCCTGGCCTCCAGGTAACCTTTTCCTATTGGCACAGCTGCCAGCATTTACCTGTGCAAGCTTCCAGCTTGGTTATCTATGTCTGCAACTCGATTTTTCAGGCTGCTCTTTGTTGGAAAACAAATGATTTGGGGGCTGCTTTTTGTTAAAAGGGAAGCCTTACTGAGGACTCTCTTACCCTCTCTAACTGCTTAAATAATTTCTTTTTAGCCCTGTACCATAATTACTTACTTAATACTTTTGTATTAAAATAATATTCTGTCACCACAGCTATTCATCCTTTACCAGCCTACTCCTCTCACACCACATGCTTCTGGGCTGCTTCTGCCAACGCGCCACTGTATGGACACTCTGGACACTGCAGGAGACAAAATGTGCTACCCAACAAAACGAAGGATTGTTGGGCTCAGGACAATTAAGAAAAAGCAAACACAGGAAAGCTCTCTGCCCTCCCTTTTATCTGCCTAAAAGCTGAACACAAACTTACAGAGACAAAAGGTACCCTGCTCGCCTTCTACTAGGGAGAACAAAGGTTAAACACTGAAGGCAACTTTAGACCCTTATCATCTGGAGACGATACCAGGGGAATCTATATTAACAGGCTTTACCAACTAGCCTTTATCTGTCATTTAGTTTCCTTGACTCAATTTGCTACCTTTAGGAACTTAAAGTCCTTTACCTTTGTCTCGTTACTTTTCTAAAATTCTACTGTTCTTTGTTGAAGATGCTATAAAAGCTGGAATGAAAACTACCTCTTTGAGAACTACTAATTTTCTGAGTTTCTTCCATGTACATATGAAACACACGTGTTAATGTATGTTTGTTTTTCTCTTGCTAATCTGTTTTTTTTTTTTTTTTTTTTTACATAGGTCCATTCCAACTAAGAACCTATGAGGACTGAAGAAAAAATTATTCTTCCCCTACAACCCATTCCCACCTAGCCATGACTGGGCTACTCCTAAGGAAGCTCTCTTCATCCCTCTGGGTAACAAGACCCCCTGCAAGGCCAAACTCCACATAGATACCTCCTTCTCATTCTGCTCAAGCTCCAACACACAACACCAGTGCAGTTCCCATATGGAAGCCCTCCTCACCGTGCAAAAGTTCTGATATTCTATGCCTAGCTGCCCTCTTCTATGGATGCCCTTCTCATACCACTCGCACTTTAATGCCTCAAGATCAAATTATTTTTTGGCTAGGATGTGAGGTAGGGATCAAGGTTCATTTCTTCCCCATATTTGTATCCAATATTTCTAGCATTACTTGTTTAAAAAGCTTTCCTTTTTCTACTGAATTGCTTGGCACCACCGTCAAAAAACAGTTGAGCATATGAGTGTGTGGGTCTGTTTCTGGACTCCATTCTTTTCCATCGATCTATTTATGCATCTTAAGGTGAATACCAACCTGTATTGATTACATAACTTTAATTTACATACCTAAAATTAGGTAGCATAAGTCCTTCAATTTAGTCTTCTAGAATAACAAAGACTGTCACTGCTATTCTAGTCCTTTCACATTTCCATATAAATTTCAGAATAAGTTTGCCAACTTCTATAAAACAGTATGTTGGTATTTTGACTGAAATTGCATTGAATCTAAGACTCAGTTTGGAAAAAAATTTTGATATTTATAACAATACCGACTGGTCAAATTCAAGAGCATATCTTTCTTTCCATTTAGTTTTCTTAAATTTGTCTCAGCAGTATTTTGTGGTTATCATGTAGAGATATTTTGCTTCTTTTGCTAAATTTATTCTTCATTATTTGATGGTTTTGATGGTACTATAAATGCTTTTATTTTCTATGCTAATTACTGTTATTATATAGAAATAAATTTTATTTTTATACATTGAATTTGCATTCTGTGATTGTGTTAAATTCACTTAATTCTAGTACTTGTCTCTGTAGCTTCCTTAGTATTTTTCCATGTATACAATCATGTTATCTGAGAATAAAGACAGTTTCACTTACTTCTTCCCAATATCTTTCATGCCTGATCACACCAGAACCTCCCAGACAATGCTGAATAAAAGTGGTAAGAGTGGACATCTTTACCCTGTTCCTAAAAGTGTTTGTTATTAAAGAGATGTATCTCTGTTGACACTATCATTTTTCCAGCTTGATGAGAGGTCTTTTTTTTCTTCCTATAATGAATAAGCACTGGATGAGTTATGTCAAATGCTTTTCCTGCATCTGTTTGAGATGAAGTTTTCTTTAATCTTTAAAAAGGATTAAAATATTTTTTATTATGTTAATATCACAAATTACATTGACTGATTTTCAAATGTTAAGCCTATTTAGTCAAGCTGTATTATGCTTTTTACATATTCCTGAACTTAAATTGCTGATATTTTGTTAAGGATTTTTTTGTGGGGTTTTTTTTTTTCTGCATTTGTGTCCATGAATTTATGTCCATGAGGAAGACCGGCCTGTCATTTTCTTTTCTTCTAATGCCTTTACCAGGTTCAGACCTCACAAAAGAAGTTGAGAATAGTTCCTTCTTCCTATAGTCCAGTGGTTCTCAAGTGTGGTAGGAGGACAGAATGTTGCCACACAGAAGGCATATGGCAATGTCTGCAGAGGTTTTTGATTGTCACAACTCGGGGATGCTATTGGCATCTAGTGGGTAGAGGCCAGGGATGCTGCTTAACATCCTACAATGCACAGGACAGCCTCTCACAACAAATAATTATCTCATTGAAACATCAATAGTACCAAGGCTGAGACACCCTGTTCTAGTCTCTGAAATAATTTGTGTAAGATTGATATTATTTCTTCTATAGATACTAGGTAGAATTTGCAAGTGAAGTTTTGATGGGTGTGTAGTTTTACTTATGGGAAAGTTCTTAACTAGAAATTAAATTTCTTTAACAGATATAGGGTTATTCAAATTTTCTACTTTTTTGTACCAATCTTGGTATATTATTGACTTAAAGGAATTTATATTGTTTAAATTGTCAAAAGTGCTTGCAAAAAATTGTTCACAACATTCCTTCATTACTTAAAAATATAATTAAAACATATAGTGATATATCCTTTTTCAGTCCTGATATTGGTAATTTTTTTCTTTTCATAGTAGGTTGATCATCTTGAAAAGGATTATTAATTTTATTTACAGTTTCAAAGAATCAACTTTTAGTGTTGTTGATTTCCTGTTTGGTTTTCTTTTTCACTGCATGACTTACCAAAGAGTAGCTGCTACAAGGTTGAAAGCAGAATAGAAATACAGTCACAGACTCTATCATGAGGTTTCAGTCAACAATTGACCAAATATATGACAGTGGTCCCACAAGATTATAATATCAATTTTTTACTATACCTTTTCTATATTCAGGTACACAAATACTTACCATAGTGTTACAACTGCCTAGAGTATTCAGTACAGTAATATGCTCTAATTAGATCCCATTTGTCAATTTTTGTTTTTGTTGTAATTGCTCTTGGGGATTTCGTTATGAAATCTTTGCCTGTGCCTATGTCCTGAATGGTACCACCTAGATTTTCTTCTAGGGTTTTTATAGTTTTGGGTTTTACATTTAAGACTTTATCCATCTTGAGTTAATTTTTGTATATGGAAGGGGTCAAGTTTCAGTTTTCTACATAAGGCTAGCCAGTTCTCCCAGCACCACTTATTAAATAGGTAATCCTTTTCCCAATGCTTGTTTTTGTCAGGTTGTCGAAGATCAGGTGGTTGTAGATGTGTGGTCTTATTTCTGTGTCTTCTATTCTGTTCCATTGGTCCATGTGTTTGTCTTTGTACCAGTACCATGCTGTTTTAGTTACTGTAGCCTTGAAGTACAGTAGCGTGATACCTCCAGCTTTGTTCTTTTTGCTTAGGACTGTCTTGGCTATATAAGCTCTTTTTGGTTCCATATGAATTTTAAAATAGTTTCTTCTAATTCTGTGAAGAATGTCAATGCGGTTTAATGGAATAGCACTGAATCTATAAATTACTTTGGGTAGTATGACCATTTTCACAATATTGATTCTTTCTATCAGAGCTTCTGCACAGCAAAGGAAACTATCATCAGAGTGAACAGGCAACCTACATAGTGGGGTAAAATTTTTGCAATCTATCCATCTGACAAAGGTCTAATATCCACAATTTACAAGGAACTTAAACAAATTTACAAGAAAGAAACAAACAACCCCATTAAAAAGTGGGCAAAGGACATGAATACACACTTCTCAAAAGAAGACATTCACGCAGCCAACAAACATGAAAACAAACTCAACATCACTGATCATTAGATAAATGCAAATCAAAACCACAAAGAGATACCATCTCATGCCAGTCAGAATGGTTATTACTAAAAAGTCAAGAAACAGCAGATGCTGGCAAGGTTGCAGAGAAATAGGAACGCTTTTACATTATTGGTGAGAATGTAAATTAGTTCAACCATTGTGGAAGACAGTGTGGCGATTCCTCAAGGATCTAGAACCATTTGATCCAGCAAACCCATTACTGGGTATATACCCAAAGGAATACAAATCATTGAATTACAAAGATAACATGTATGCATATGTTCACTGAGGCACTATTCGCAATAGCAAAGACATGGAATCAACCCAAATGCCCATCAATGATAGACTGGATAAAGAAAATGTGGTACATATACACCATGGAATACTATGCAGTCATAAAAAGGAACAAGATCATGTCCTTTCAGGGACACAGATGGAGCTGGAAGCCATTATCCTCAGCAAAATAATGCAGGAACAGAAAGCCAAATACCGCATGTTCTCACTTATAAGTGGGAGCTGAACAATGAGAACACATGGACACAGGGAGGGAAACAACACACCGTGGGGCCTGTTGGGAGGTGTGGTGGGGGGAGGGAGAGCATTAGGAAAAATAGCTAATACATGCTGGGCTTAATGTCTATGCGATGGGTTGATAGGTGCAGCAAACCACCATGGCACACATTTACCTATGTGACAAACTTGCACATCTACCCTAGAACTTAAAAATAAAAATAAAAATATAAAGAAAAAAATGCCCTACAAGTTTGTAGCCTAGGAGCAATAGGCTACACTATATAGCCTAGGTCTATAATAGGCTAGGTTTGTGTATGTATACTCTATGATGTCTGCACAATAATTATTAAGACATTTCTTAGAACATATACCTATCACTAACTGACACATAACTATATAGAAATGCTACAAATTGGGCAATACTACGAGAAATTTTAAGTTCTGACATAGAATGGAGGGATATCTTAATGTCCTAGACTTCCGCTAAGAATACTAGAAAGCCCACATACGAGAAGAAGGCTTATCATAAACTTCTCTAACAAAGACCAAAATCAAGCTTCAGTGAAATGTACAAAGAAGGAGTTTGGAGAGTGAGTCCTACCAATTTAGAGGGGCTTGGAAAACACCCCAGGCTTTCCAGAGATCTGCCCTCACAAAGCATAAAACCAAACCTATCCAAGTTCAAAGGTGACTAACTGGTAGCTACATTGCAGATGTGGGCAAAAACCAACACTCTTCAGAAAATGATAATAAAATCCCTATCTATAATGTTTCATACATAATATTCAGGACAAAATAAAAAATTACCAGACGTGAAAAGAAACAAAATGTTAACCACAGTCAAGGGAAAAAAAAATCAATCAATTAAAATCAACCAAAAGATGGCCCACATGTTGAACTTGGCAGGTAAGAACTTTATTTAAATTCACGATTATAAATATGTTGCTGGCCACTGTCTTTGTCTGTTTTGTGTTGCTATAAAGGAATGCCTGAGACTCATTAATTCTTAAAGTAAAAAGGTTTATTTGGCCCACAATTCTGATGGCTGGACAGTTTAAGATTGGATATGTGCACCTGGTGAGTGCCTCAGTCTGTTTCCATTAATGGCAGAAGGCAAAGGGGAGCTGTACTGTGCAGATAGTACATGGTGAGAGGTGGGAAGGAGAGGGGTGAGATGTCAGCTCTTCTGAACAACCAGCTTTCATGGGAGCTAACAGAGTAAGAACTCACTCACTCCTGAGGGAGTTAATCTACTCATTAAGGTTCTAATCCCATGACACAAACACCTTCCATTAGGTCCCATCTCCAAAACTGGGGATCAGATTTCAACATGAGATTTGGAGTATTAAGATCTAATGTATATGACAATAATGTCACAAAGAATGGGGAAGTAAATATAGGTTAGCAATAAAAAAGGCCTTACATTCTACGTAAAGTTGCACAGCGTTAACACTATGTAGACTGTAGTAAGTTAGGGACACATATTGTAATCTCTACAGAAATCACCAAAGAAAATGCAACGCCACATAGCTAATAAGATAATAGAGGAATTATCCTGAAGGAGCTAAAAACAGAACTACCATTTGACCCAGCAACCCCATTATTGTGTATACACCCAGAGGAATATAAATCATTCTACCATAAAGACACATGCATGCCAATGTTCACTGCAGCACTATGCAAAATAGCAAACACATGGAATCAACCTAAATGCCCATCAATGAATTTAAAAAATGTGGTACATATATACCACAGAATACTATGCAGCAATAAAAAGAAGAAGATCATGTCTTTTGTGGGAACATGGATGGAGCTGGAGGCCATTATCCTTAGCAACCTAATGCAGGAACAGAAAACCAAATACTGCATGCTCTCACTTATAAGTGGGAGCTAAATGATGAGAACACATGGACACAAAGAGGGGAACAATAGACACTGAGGCCTACTTGAGGGTGCAGGACGGGAGGAGGTAGAGGAGAAGAAAAAATAAATATTGGGTACTAGGCTGAGTACCTGGGTGACAAAATAATCTGTAAAACAAACCCCCATGATACAAGTTTCTATATAACAAACCTGCACATGTATCCCTGAATGTACAAGTTTAAAAACCGAAAAAAAAAGTATTATCCTCCCATTTCCCCAAAAAAAGGAGCAGAAAAGGAGAAACAGCAATGAATAAACAAAAAAAGATAAACTAATAAATTGGGAGCGGGGGAAGCAAAATGGTAGACCTAAGTTCAACAGTATCAATAATTAAGTTAAATTTAAATGGATTAAGCACTCAAATGGAATAGATTGTCAGACTAGAGAAAAATGCAGAACAAAATCACACGTTGTTCACAAGAGTTAACACTTTAAAAATAAAATAATAAATAGGTTAACATAAAAGGATGAAAAGAGATAGGCCCTGAAAACAGTACACATGAAAGGCTGGAATGATTATATAATATCAAATACATTAAATATTAAGCAAGAGTGTTACCAGAGATAAAGAGAAATATTTCATCATGATAAAAGGGGCAAATAATCAGGTAGACATAATAATCATAAACACATATGCATCTAGAACAATGCTTCAAAATACATGTCATAAAACTGATAAATCTGAAGGAAAAAGTAGAGAAATTAAAATCATATTTGGATATTTTAACATTTCTTTTTTATCAGTTGATAGTACCAAAAAATAAACCCCCTGAATTCAGCAGGCTAAAGAAGAAGTGAACAATACTATTGATCAATTTGATCGAAGTGACATGTACAGAACACTACACTCAACAGCAGACTATACATTTTTATAAGTACACATGGAATACTGACCAAGACAGATCACACGTTGTGTTATAAAATAAAGTTCAATACATTTCTAAAGAATAAAAACTTACAGAATATGTTATCTGACCACACTGGAGTTAAACTAAAAATAAAAAAAATCTAGAAAAATCTCTCTAGTATTTGGAAATTATTTAACATACTTTTTTTTTTCTTTCTTTATTTTTGTGAGACTGATTCTCACCCTGTTGCCCAGGTAGGAATGCAGTGGTGCGATCATGGCTCACTGCAACCTCCACTTCCGCTGAGCAGCTAGGGCTATAGGCATGTACCATCATGCCTGGCTACTTTTTGTATTTTTTGTAGAGATGGGTTTTCACCACGTTGCCCAGACTGGTCTCAAACTCCTGGGCTCAAGCCATCCACCCACCTCAGCCTTTGAAAATGTTGAGATTACAGGCATGAGCCACCAAAACCGGCCTATTAAACACACTTCTAAATAACCCATAGGTAAAGAAAAATCACAGGATAAGTTAGTAAATATTTTTTAAGGAATGATAAAAAATATAACATATTAAAATTTGAGGGATAAAGAGGCAGTACTGGCTGGGTATGGTGGATCACGCCTGTAATCCCCACACTTTGGGATGTGGAGACAGGAGGATAACTTCAAACCAGGGGTTCAAGACCAGTCTGGGCAACATGGCGAAACCCCAACTCTACAAAAAAATACAAAAATTAGCTGGGTGTGGTGGTGTTTGCCTGTAGTCCCAGCTACTCAGGAGGCTGAGGTGGAAGGACCACCTGAGTCAGGCGAGGTAGAGATCCAAGATTGTACCACTGAACTCCATTCTGGGTGACAGACTTAGACCCTGTCTCAACAACAACAAAAGAAGCAGTGCTTAGAGGAAAAATAATTTCAGTGCTGGTATTAGAAAAGAGTTTAAAATCAGTGATGTAATATTCTATCTTATGAAGCAAGAAAAGGAAGAGCAAACTAGATATAAGGTAAGGAGAAGGAAGGAAACAGTAAAGAGTAGAAATCCATAAAATAGACAAATAAAAACACAAAAGAAACATAAAATTGGCCTCTTGAAAAGATTAATACAAGTGGTAAACCCCTCTACCAAGACAAACTAAGAAAAGGAGAAAACTCAAGTTAGGAATCAGAGATGGTATCACTATAGAGCCTACAGACAGTAAAATGACATTAAGGTTATATCATGAACAACTTTATGCCAATATATTTAATGAAATGAATGCACACATTTTTTAAAAAATATAACTTGTCAAAACTAACTCAAGAAGAAAGAGAAAATATGAGTAGCTTCATATCTGTTACAGAAATTGAATTCATAATCAAAGATGTTCCCACAAAGAAAACTGCCCAGATAGCTTCACTGGTAAATTTTATCACATATAAGAAAGAAATACTGCCAATCCTACATAAACTTTCAGTATATAGAAGAGGAGGAAATACTTTGCAACGTATTTTGTTACTGTGTAATACCTAAGTTATTATAAAATAATATAAAATGGTACCATATCACGGCCAAGTTAGTATTTTTTCAAAATATAACATTGGCTTAACATTCAAAAATAAATTCAGGTAAGTGGTACCACTAAAAGAAAAAAGGAGCAAAACCACATGATTATATCAATAAATGCCGAAAAAGCATTTGATAAAGTTATGATTAAAAACTCCCAGTAAACTAGGAATAAAAGGAAACTTATTTCAATTTTATAGAGGACAGCTACCAAAAACTTGTATTTAACATTTTACTTACTGGTTAATTACTGAATGCCTTTTCCCTAAGATTGGGAACAATATAAGGATGTCTTCTTTAACACTTTCATATTGTTTTGAAAGTCTTAGACAATAAAATAAGCAAAAAAAAAAAAAAAAAAAAAAGAAAGAAAAAAAGGCATAAAGCTTGGAAAGGCATCAATAAAGCTGTTATTATTCACAGGCAATGAGATTGTGAATTTCAATATCCTAAGGAATCTACAAAAACTTAAACACTGGTAGACTACATCCATTTAACAAATTGCAATATATAAACTAAGTCTTCAAAAACCAATAGTCTTTCTATATCATTAAATTCCACAAAAAATGTGTAAGACTGGTAAACTGGAAACTATATGGCATTGCTGAGTTAAATTTAAAAATATCTAAGTAGGCCGGGCATGGTGGCTCACACCTGTAATCCCAGCACTTTGGGAAGCCAGGGCAGGGAGATTACTTGAGGCCAGGAGTTCGAGACCAGCCTGACCAACACGGCAAAATCCCATTGCTACTAAAAATACAAAAATTGGCCAACTGTGGTGGCACATGCCTGTAATCCCAGCTAGTGCAGAGGATGAGGCACGAGAATTGCTTGAGCCTGGGAGGCGGAGGTTGCAGTAAGCCAAGATCATGCCACTTCACTCCAGGCTGGGGGACAGAGCAAGACTCTGCCTTAAAAAACAAAAAAAAAACAAAAAAAAAAAACCAAAGTAAATCCAGAAATAAACTATTTTCATGGACTGGAAAACTCAATATTTTTTAGGGTGTCAGTTCTCCCCAAATTGATTGAATCATAATTCAATTTCCTTAATAGAAACTGATAAACTAGATCTAAAATGTAGAGAACCTAGAACAGAAAAAATAATTTTTAATAAAAAAGTAAGGCTTGAAGGTTTACTATACCTAATTTCAAGATTTACTATAAAGCTCAAGTAACCCAGTGTGTGGCATTGATATAAGAATGGACATACAGATCAATGAAACAGAAGTCCATAAATCTGTGTGTGTGGGGTGTGTGTGTGTGTTTGTGTGTGTGTGTGTGTGTACACATTCAACTGACCTTTGAAAATGTATCAGGCAATTCAGTGAAGAAAAAAGTTTTTTTCAGCAAATAGTGCTGGAGAAACAGAATATCTGTATGGAAAAGAATGGGGCTGGGTGCGGTAGCTCACGCCTGTAATCCCAGCACTTTGGGAGGCTGAGGTGGGTGGATCGATCACCTGAGGTCAGGAGTTCGAGAACAGCCTGGCCGACCTAGTGAAACCCCGTCTCTACTAAAAATACAAAAATTAGCCAGGTGTGGTGGTGTGCGCCTGTAATCCCAGCTACTCAAGAGGCTGAGGCAGGAGAATTGCTTGAACCTAGGAGGCGGAGGATGCAGTAAGCCAAGATCACGCCACTGCAATCCGGCCTGGGTGACGGAGCGAGACTCCATCCCCAAAAAAACAAAAACAAAAAAGAAAAAGAATGAACCTTGAGCCCTACCTCATACTACACACAAAAATGTACTTAATATAGATCATAGACTTAAATGTAAAAGTTAAAACTATATAACTTCTATAGCAAAACACAACAGAATATCTTTCTAACTTTCATCAATATTAAAAATTCCTGCTCTTCAAAAACACCATTAAAGACATAACAAGTTAAGTCACATACTGGGAGAAAATATTCACAATACATCTGATGAAGACTTTGTATCCAAAATATTCAAAGAACTCTATGTTCAATAATTGAGTTGTTTATCCAATTAAAACTGGTTAAAAGATTTGAACAAATATTTCACAAAAAGTTATATGAATGGCCAATAAACATCATCAGGAGAACTGCACACTAAAACCACAATGAGATGCTATTTCATATCCATTAAAATGTTTAAAATTAAAGTCATAATACCAAGCCTTGGCAAGGACATGGAGCAACTGGAATTCTGCTGCTTTGCTGAGAGAATTGTTATATAGCTTTGGAAAACAGTTTGGCAGTTTCATGTACAGTTGAAAATAAACTTACAATATGATACAGTAATTTCACTCCTAGATATTTACTTAAGAGAAAGAAAACATGTCCACTAAAGACATGTACACAAATGTTCACAGCAGCTCAGTTGTCTTTTGTTTTGCCAAAATTTGAAAACAATCCATATGTCCATCAACAGATGCACTGATAAACAAGTTGTAATATACTTATACAATGAATTACTTCTAAGTTATAAAAAAGTAATGGAATACTGAAACACGCAGCAATTTGGCTATATCTCCAAAACATTATGGTGAGTAAAAGGTATCAGACTTACGCATATTGTATGATTCTACTTATATGAAGATTTAGAACACACAATAATATTTCAAGTGATATATAACAGATTATTGGTTGCATGGGCTAGGGATCTTTGGAGGGAAACTCATCAAAAAGTGGTATAAGGTGCTTTGTGGGGTGATGAATACTTTCTGTTGTAATTGGGGTTTGGTGTTAAATACACAAGTATATTCCTTTGTTAAAACACATCAAGCTTGATATGTGCCTTTCACTGAATGCAAGTTATATTTAAGTAAAGTTGATTAACAATAAAGTTGAAGACAAACGCAGAAAAACTTTCACCAAAGAACTTTTAAATATACTGAGATGTATCAAAATTAAGAACTATGTAAATTATTTCCTAAACTAAAAGCACCCAGATAACACACTGAAGAAACATTCACTGACCAGGTACTTTGAACCATTCATTGTGCTAGGCACCATAAAGTCAAAACCTAATTGTCAGATGATCAGTGTTTCTTATCAGTTCACACAGTCTAGATAAAATGCATACAATGAATTATTTGTTAATAGAACAACATCATTCACTGATATGGATGGAATTATTAGAAACAGTTTTCTGTCATTCTTATTTAGCATCTGATGGAGCTGTTAAAAGTGATGAAAAAATAATCAATATCAAGATAGCAGAAGACAGGTTAAATCCCTAGCATTTAGGCTTGCTACACTGTAAGTCACCCTTAAGTTCCTAAGATTTTACTGAACTCTATTTCCATATTTTAATATTATAAAATACTAAATGAAAATTTTTGAGTAGCCCTGATTTAGGGTGGGGAAAGAAAAAACATTCTCAGTTCTTGAAGTTTAATGAAATTCTGGTAATTCAGAGCACCTTGAACTTTTCTTGCTATTTTGCCCAAATCTTATATCGCGATAGTCTGTCTGAGCTTTAATGGCAAATTTTAAATGTCATTCAGGACCAATTGAATACCATATGTATTTGCATTCCTTAAAAAGTAGAAAAACATTAACCTTTTGTTTTATTGAATTAAAATGCCATGGAAATGCTGTTGTAGTCTTGGGAGACTGAAATACTTTTACAAAGAAGAATAGCTGTCATTTATTAACACAAAGAACAATTACTTGATAGGATGCCTTCTGACAAAGAGCAGATTGGTATTCTCATCATAGAAAAGGCATTATAAAAAAAAAATCTAGCCTAGACCTCTGAGACTTGAATAATTTAAAGCTGCATTTGGTGCAATTTGAATTTTTCTTTAGGGAGGCAAAGTTAAATACCTTTAATTTGTTCTAATTATTTCAAATTTGCAAGTTAATTATGGCTGATCATTAAATAACAAAAAGGACTATCATCTCCATAGAGTTTTACCTCCTACCCTCTGCATTACTTAAGCTAGGTTTTAGTATGCATGAATTAACTTTCTAAATAATCACACAGTTTGACTAAATGGCTCAGTAAAATGAGCTCTGATCCTCCGAATAAGCATTAATGGACATTAGAAATGCTACTGGGACTCATGTTACTTACATTATAAGTATTTTTAATGGGGCCTTATTTACTAATCTTTATGTACTGTTCAAGTTAGAACACCATATAGATACATTATTCTGCTTTACTGGAGGAAAAGTCTCATCTTTGACATAATAAAAACAAATGTCCATTTAACCCAACTAAATTCACGTTAAAATTAATGCAGGGATGAGACAATGAGATTTAACTTGTTTTAGTTAGTCGCTCATCTCAATAAATCAATCTAGCAAAAATCGTCTACTTGGTCTGTAAATGAAATATTACAGATCTACTGATGTGCTAAGTGACTCAAGTAGCAAAGGCAGGTCCAATAATAACCATAAACTAGCATTTAAATTCCACCTGCTATTTGAAAGGAAGAATTCATGATTTCTTAGGTTGTACTACTTTCTAGTTACCATTTCTGGGCATACTTGGCTGCCAATGAATACAAGCCAGGTGTCACATACCATACTGCTTAGAACTCGTCTTAAAGATAATTTTCCTAAACATCCCAACTAAATCTTCATATTTCTCTGCAATGGACCTGTGAATGAACAAAAATTTTGAGACCGAAGTGTTTAAAGAACAACATTTTGGCCGGGCACGGTGGCTCATGCCTGTAATCCCAGCACTTTGGGAGGCCGAGGCGGGCAGATCACGAGGTCAGGAGATCAAGACCATCCTGGCTAACAAGGTGAAACCCCGTCTCTACTAAAAATACAAAAAAATAAAAGTTAGCCAGGCATGGTGGCGGGCACCTGTATTTTCAGCTACCAGGGAGGCTGAGGCAGGAGAATGGCGTGAACCCGGGAGGCGGAGCTTGCAGTGAGCCAAGATCGTGCCACTGCACTCCAGCCTGGGCGACACAGCGAGACTTCGTCTCAAAAAAAAAAAAAAAAAAAAAAAAAAGAACAAAATTTCATACATGAAATATTCCATGTACTGTCAAATCTTTCTGCCTTCCAACTCCAAAATTATCAATATAAATTTTATTTCCATATATCCAATAATATTATCTGACAGCCTACTATGTGTCGGTTCTGTATTCAGGCATGGAGGTACACAAAGGAGTAAATGACTACCTTTGGACATTTACAGGTAAAAAGGAAGAAATAGGCAACTAAACAATGAATACATAATGTGGCAGGTGTTACGATGGCAGTATGCAAAGTGCTACATGAAGCAGGTAACAAAAACAGGAAGCTTGCAAGAAGAGGAGAATGGGGGCGGGGTCATGAAGGGAGTGAGGTAAGAAAAGTCAGTAAAAAGGAATAATAATTTACTAGTATTTATTATGCAAAGACACTGGCATGGTTCCTGGCTTCAAAAAATGTGACCATCATAGTGATTAATTTACTTATGCCAAATCCCTTAGATGTACTGGGTAGAATAATGGTCTCTGGACAACAATAGATAGAAAGATGTAACTTAGATGTGTGGTGTAGGAAAGAGAAGAGTCTCACCCCGAGGAGCACTAAGGGCAGCAGAGTGGTTAAGAACATTAGCTTTGGTGTCAGACAGAACTGGCTATTCTATAGCTATTTCTAAGTTCTGATAGATGTAATTTCTTAACCAAGTTACTTAACCTCTCTGGGCCTCATTTCCTCATCTATAAAACAACTTATTAATAGTATGTAACTCACAGAGTTGTTGTGAGGATTAAACGAATTAATATAAGATGTATAAAAGAATGCTCAGCACATATACACTACCTAAATGCTGGCTTCCATTATTATCATTATTTATGTTACTATTAAATGAGAAAACATTTAAAAGGCTTAAGAGCAATATCTAGTACATAGAAGGTGTTCAATAAGTTATTATAGACTAGCTGAAGAGATAGATGTTATAATTGCTGAGAATTATAGAGAAAAAGTAGGTCAGGGGCGGGGTAGAGATAATTGGATTGGATCTGGAGATGTTGAATTTGAGGGATGTGTAAATCACTTGGGCTAGTTATATTATCACACAGTTATAAGGACAGGTTTGGACCTCAGGAGGGAAAAGCTGGGACCTGAGATAAAGATTGTAGAGTTACTGGCATAGAGATATGATCTAGCCATGGGAATGAATTAAGTTTCCCACAGAGAAAGAGGTCTATTGAGAAGGAGAAAGAGGATGAAACTGTCAATATTTAAACAGTATGCAGAGGCAAAGGAAGCAAAATCCAACAGAGAAATAATCTCCAATAGGGAGATAAGCAGAGAAAGAAAGAATAGTGTCAAGAAAACATGGGAACGAGAGAGATATCAGAAAGGTTAGCTATGTCACCTACTATTGAGAAGTCAAGTAAGATGAGGATTAAAAAGTAAAAAGATTTGAGAATTAGCAGGATACTAGTGACCATCGGAGCATGGTTTTAGTTGAGTGATATAGTAGACCAGGAATAAATGGAAGGTAAAGAAACAGAAAATACAGCTTATGCTCTCAAGAAATATGGAAAAAAGAAAAACATGGGGCAGTAGCTCAATAGCAAGGCAAAAATGAGGGTTTTTTTGTTTTGTTTTAAGGAGAAGGATCCTTGAGCAAGCTTATAGGCAGAAGAGAAGGAATGAGAGTGGAGAGGAAGGGTCTGAAGATGTAAGAGGTACTGATGCAAGAGACATTTGGATTTGAGATCTCTGGGGACCTCTAAGCAGTATTCCCTGATGGGCACATTAAAATATGAACTCCAGAGAAAGGCAGGTGCTTCACACAAAGATGTGATCCTGGTATATAATTAGGGATTAGAGCAGATCTCATTTTGAGTGAAGGTACACTTCATACTAGAAGGTGTTACTAGATTTTAATTTGCTCCTTTACTAAAAAAGAAAAAGCTGGAATTTCATTAATTAAAATATCTTCAATTCTGTCCAGAAGCAGCAGCAACTGAGGGAAAGTTAAGAAAAAAGAGGATGATGATGAAGCTATACTAAATAAAACACTCTACTGTAGTGATCACTAAACAGCTAAATTAGCGTTCTATTGCTCAAATCCTACAAAGACCTTGAGAATTTCTGTATGACCTTCAACAAATAAAATAGCTCTTTAAGTCAGTTAATGTCTATTTCAATGTAGAATAAGTCCTTTTAACTTTTTAATGTAAGACAAGGTAAACATATGGGAAGACAAAAATGTCAGTTCAATATAAACTAAGGAAGACAGGTATAAACCAAAGTACGAAGATTGTCCACTACATGATTAGTTTCCTAAGGGCAGAGACCAGGCCTTACTCTACTCTGAATCCCTGGCAATGCCTTCCATGTGGAGGTACACAGACAAGAGGCCCAACATACATATACTGATGAAACAAGTATAATTTGGAGGACATTTATGGGATTAGAACAATAGAACTCTGAGTTAGTTGTTAGCTCTTTCTTGTATTGTGGACCATCCACAGTCATTCTTAGATTTATAATCCATATTTTAATTTCATTCAAGCATGTACTTATGAAGCTTCAAAAATCTGGCACAAGACGAGAAAGACACTATGAGGATATATTTACAGTATGCCAAAAAATATCTTGCAAATGAACCATGAATATAATACAAAATTTTAGAACTGAGAGTAGTCCAATATATGGTACCAAAGTCCTATAAATTTATAGGACCTCATGTTGGTTAGTTAAAGATTGTGGCTGAAATCTCCTTTAAGAAAACCAAGGTCCACTGGTGAATCAACACACACGGCCAGTGCTACTGAAGATACAAGGTAAGGACCAGCCTACGTGTCTATCTCAAAAGCAGTGGTTCTTAAAGTGTGGTACAAGGATGCAAAAAGTATTTTCACTTTTTTCTTACCAAACTTCAAACTATACTATAAGGTTACAGTAACCAAAACAGCATGGTCCTGGTACAAAACAGACACATAGACCAATGGAAAAAATAGAAAACCCAAAGATAAAGCCACACACCTACTGTCATCTGATCTTCAAGAAAATCAACAAAAATGAGTAATAGGGACAGGAGTTCCTGTTCAATAATGATGATTGGGTAACCGGCTACCTTTTACCATATACAAAAATTAACTCAAGACGGATGGAAGAAATATTTAAATGTAAGACCTCAAACTATAAGAATCTTAGAAGAAAACCTAGGAAATATCATTCTGGACATCGGCCTTGGGAAATAATTTACGATTAAGTCCTCAAAAGCAATTGCAACAGAACAAAAAATTGACAAGTGGGAACTAATTAAAGAGCTCCTGCACAGCAAAGGAAACTATCAACAGAGTAAACAGACAACCTACACAACAGAAGAATATATTCACAAACTATACATCTGACAAAGGTCTAATATTCAGAATCTATAGAGAGCTAAAACAGTTAAACAAGCAAAAAACAACCCCATTAAAAAGTGGGCAAAAGACAGGAACTGAAAAGAAGACAGACAGTAGCCAAAAAACATGAAAAAATGCTCAGTATCACTAATCATCAGAGAAATGCAAATCAAAACCGTAATGAGATACCATCTCACACTAGTCAGAATGGCTACTATTTTAAAAGTCAAAACACAACAGTTGCTGGCGAGACTGTAGAGAAAAAGGAACACTTATACACTGCTATTGTGAATGTAAATTAGTTCAGCCACTGTGGAAAGCAGTCTGAAGATTTCTCAAAGAACTTAAAACAGCACTACCGTTCGACCCAGCAATCCCACTATTAGGTGTATATCCCAAAGAAACAAATCATTCTGCCAGAAAGACTCATGCACTCACAGGCTCACTGCAACACTATTCACAATAGCGAAGGCATGGAATCGACCTAGGTGCCCATCAGTGGTATACTGGACAAAGGAAATATGGCAAGTATACACTATGAAATACTACACAGCCATAAAAAAGAATGGAATGATGTCCTTTTTAGCAACATGGATGCCACTGGAGGCCATTATCCTAAGCAAATTAATGCAGGAAAAGAAAACCAAATAGCACATGTTCTCACTTGTAAGTGGGAACTAAACGTTGGGTAGTCTGTACATAAAGAAGGTAATAGACACTGGGAACTACTAGAAGGTGGGAGTGAGGGACAGGGCAAGGGTTGAAAAACTATTGGGTACTATTCTCAGTACCTGGGTGATAGGGTCATTTGTACCCCAAACCTCAGCATCACAAGATATACCCAGGAAACAAACCTACACATGTGCCCCTGAATCTAAAATAAAAGTTGAAATTATTTTAAAAAATTTAAAAAATATTTTCACAATAATATGAAGGTGTTATTTGCCTTTTTCATTCTCATTCTCTCATGAGAATATAGTGAGATTTTCCAGGAGGTACACAACATGTGACATCACAGAAGAGTGAATGCAGAAGAAATGAGAATACAGCTGTCTTCTTTTAAGCCAGAGATTAAAAAGATTTGCAAAAATATAAAACAATGATATTTTTCTAAGTTTTTTTTGTAGGAAATATTGCAATTTTTCATAAAAATATATTGTTTATAATAGGTTTATTACTTTTAAATTAATAAATATTTACATATTACAGTAAACATTAATAGATATGACATTAAACAGATACGACCTATATAAAACTTCTTTGGGGTCCTCAATAACAGTTAAGAATGTAGCCAGGCGCAGTGGCTCACGCCTGTAATCCCAGCACTTTAGGAGGCTGAGGATGGCAGATCATGAGGTCAGGAGTTTGAGACCAGCCTGGACAACATGGTGAAACCTTGTCTCTACTGAAAGTACAAAATTAGCCAGGTGTGGTGGCGCGTGCCTGTAATCCCAGCTACTCGGGAGGCTGAGGCAGGAGAATCGCTTGTATCTGGGAGGCGGAGATTGCAGAGAGCCGAGATCATGCCACTGCACTCCAGCCTGGGCTATGGAGCAAGACTCCATCTCAAAAAAAAAAAAGAATGTAAAGGGGTCCTGAGATCACAATGCTTGAGAATTGCTGCTCTATAGCATGATAAATGATGAGTTCATAGAAGTAATTATCAATATGTTCTTTGGAAAATACAATATGGCATCAATATGAAAGATGCCAGAGATCAATGGCAAGAAAAACTTGTCATGCGAATGTTTTTAATTTTAAAATTTAGTATACAGAGGCCGGGAGTAATGGCTCACACCTATAATCACAGCACTTTGGGAGGCTGAGGTGGGCCGATCACGAGGTCAGGGATGGAGACCATCCTGGCTAACACGGTGAAACCCTGTCTCTACTAAAAATACAAAAAATTAGCCAGGCATTGTGGCAGGCACCTGTAGTTCCAGCTGCTCAGGAGGCTGAGGCAGGAGAATGGCGTGAACCTGGGAGGCGGAGCTTGCAGTGAGCAGAGATCGGGCCACTGCACTCCAGCCTGGGCGACAGAGCGAGACTCCGTCTCAAAAAAAAAAAAAAAAAATTACTATATAGAAAAGTTGACTTTTGGGGGTGTATATAGTTCTATGAATTTTAACACATGTATAGATTCTTTTAACCATCACAATCAAGATACAACATAATTCCATCACCCTAAAAAACTCTACTATTCCAGTGCAGTCACAACTTCCCCTCCCTGACCCTAACACCTACAGCCACTATTTTCTCCATTGGTAGTTTTTTTTTTTTTTTCTTATTGCCCAGGCTGGAGTACAATGGCGTGACCTCCACTCACTGCAACCTCTGCCTCCCGGGTTCAAGCGATTCTCCTGCCTCAGCCTCCCAAGTAGCTGGGATTACAGGCATGCGCCATCACACCCACCTAATTTTGTATTTGTAGTAGAGATGGTGTTTCACCATGTTGGCCAGGCTGGTTTCGAACTCCTGACCTCATGATCCACCCGCCTCAGCCTCCCAAAGTGCTGGGATTACAGACGTGAGTCATCGCGCCTGGCCACCATTGCTAGTTTTATCTTTTCTGGAATGCCATGGAAATGGAACCAAACAGGATAGAATTTTTGAGACGGCTTATTTTATTCAGCACAATGTCTGTAAGATTCATTTAAGTTGTTGCATGTATCAATATTTCCTTCCTTTTCATTGCTGAGTAGTATTCCATTTCATAAATTTACATAGTTTATTTCACCTTCACCCACTGAAGAACATTTGTATGGTTTCCAACTTGTGGCTACTGCAAATAAAGTTGCTATGAGCATTCAGTTAACTAAAGGCAACTCTTAACATTTCAGTCAAAGGTAAAGTAAGAAATCTTCCAGCCCTTACCACTGATAATAGCAGTTTGAAAAGGAGCCCTATTCCTATATTATCAATAAAAGTCTTGTGATAAACTTTAAAAATACCATCCAAAGTTCCCTAAATCAGACTATGTAATTTACCTTAAGGGAATGCATATTCCCCATTTACTGAAGAAAAGTCAACTTACCTCCCAATATGCTCCTTGATAATTTACCAGGAGTTCCAATTCCAATTGGCCCTTCTCTTCTGCCCATGCAATAGATGGACGTAAACCTCACCTGACCAATGTGCATTACAAAAATAACCCATTCTCTGGCATTTACAGAATAATGTTTTATGTTTTGACTACTAAATAAAGCAACCAGCAAGAGGATTCCTTGTCTCCTTGGAACAAGCAGTACCAAAAATCTCTCTGTAGGGCTTTTGTTATTACACTCGATAACAACAATCAAGCTGATAAAGTAACATGTAGAATCAAAGAAATTTCTATAAAAATTCTAAATAAAGCATGCTACAAGACCTTTTGTTTTCGGATACACAATATGACCATGAGTATATACCCACCATATTCCATCACAGGGGCCTCAAAAATGGCCCTTGGACATAGATAGAAGGCAGCTTTGGGTAAATAAACAGCAATTCTGAAATCTCTCCTTTTTTTTTTGCCATTGGGTCCTATTAATAAAACCATCATCCACTAAAAGTAAATAAGAATATAATAGAAAGCAGGGCAAAAATAAATTAATAGCATTTTAAAGAGATTTTAAGAAAACACTTAAAAGGACACATAATAGAGCAGCCAGCTTTGAGCTGTAAAATCCTGGATTTCTTGTCTTTTGTATGGGCTATGTATGCCCTGGCATTCATTTGACCCCAGAACCCTCCAACAGTATGAAAAGCCTCAGAGTATGAATAAGGATAAAATGAGAGTCTCTAGTTACCCCCGAGTGTGACTAGTTTAAATCAATCATGCTACCTTAATGTTAACAGTTATATATAATTTACATGATAGTCTTTTTTTTCCTCATATAATGTTTGTTGCTACAGGCACTACTGTATAGTTGCCAAATGAACCATAGTTTTAAAATTCTGCAATTTGAAACTGTTATCTGTTGAGCTGTGTTGTGCAAAAAGGCTTCTGTGTCTGTGCAGCAAGTGTATTTCACCAAAAATGCTCACTGTTAGGTGTGATGCTGGGTTGTTTATTGGGTAGACGCAGGGGGTTGCTAAATATGAATATATATAATAATCACTCAGGCATGAAAAAACAAACTATATAAACTGCAGTTTATATAGTTCATTCATTTGGAGATGCAAACCTCTCTTACAGTGTTGAAAGGTGCTACAAACACAGAATCAAAGGATCACAAACTATGGTCCACAAGGTTGACTTCAGATGCACTACTCAGCCATCATTGGCACATACTTGCTCTAGAAAGCGAGGGAAAGTTTGACACTACTTTGAATCTCCAGTGGCCCTAAAGATAGGCAAAACTATTTGCTAAAGATAATGACAAAAACATTACAATAAAATGTTACTGAACATAGTCATATGTTAACAGAACATGTAAGTCTCACAAATTAAATCACACAAGTATAACTCAAGCATAGAAAGGATCTTGTCTAGTTGTTCCCAAACATTATCGGAATCACCCAGGGAGCTTTCTGAAAATACACATTCCCAGGCCCTACCCCTATTGTGATTTAATCTATTATTTTAAAGATTTGACGTGATGAGTAAATGCAATTAGGAATGTACTAAAATTTTATATAATTCATATTATTAATTACCCAATAAAATGATACTGGGGTTATGACAAATAGGACAGGATGGAGCACAAAGCCCTGGAACATATGGCCAAAACCAATCCCCCAAACCCTAAAAGGAAATCTAGAAAAAAATCAGTGTAAGCTTCGTTTGAGTCACAGGGCTCCAGAGATGAAATCTTCTAATTGTATTATGAAAAGACACATACTCTTTTTTTCTTATCCATGGGGCATTTTAAGAGCTCTTGTTCAAATGCCTTTGTGAAATCAGGATTATTTTTTTCTACCATATTTCTCTTATCTCCCAGTTCAGAAACCTTGTAAAAATGAACTAAGACTAGTCTAACATTTCTTTTTTCTTTTTTTTTTGAGACGGAGTCTCACTCTGTCTCCAGGCTGGAGTGCAGTGGAGCAATCTTGGCTCACTGCAACCTCCGCCTCCTGGGTTCAAGCCATTCTCCTGCCTCCGTCTCCTGAGTAGCTGGGATTACAGGTGTGCACCACCATGCCCAGCTAATTTTTGTATTTTTAGTAGAGACAGGGTTTCACCATGTTGGCCAGCATGGTCTTGATCTCTTGATCGCGTGATCTGCCTGCCTCGGCCTCCCAAAGTGCTGGGATTACAGGCGTGAGCCACCGTGCCCGGCAGACTAGGCTAACATTTCTTTTGGTGGTAAATCATTTAAAAAGTAAGTAATATATGTATATGATTAAAAACTTTTAACACTACAGCACAGCATAAATGAAATTAACTTTCCTGCCCTATGCTCAATTTTATTCCCATTTGTTTCCTTGTGAGTTCTTCCTGTGGTTATGCTATATATTATACATAAAACTCACAATGCCATATATTATCCATAAACCTCTATTTCTTAATTAATCAGCTTAGGAGGCTTTCCATTTCTTTATAGGAAAGATGAGTATTTAGCTCAGACCTCTCCCTCCTCTCCTCATATCTCGCTTTACTAATTATATCATTTAAATTCTATTAGTTAACAAGACATACTTCAGTAACATACTGAACCCTTTATTTCTTATTTCATCAACTTTAATTGGTGAAATTCTCTCTTAATTCCACACTAGGTAGGAGGAAGAAATTCGTTCTCCACACTTCCTTCCACCCTTCTTCACAGACTTCACCTCTGGCCTTCTGTCAGCTATAGCATCAACTCTACATTGTTGGTATTCACATTTCCTCTCCATTCTGCATACAATTCTTTCCTGTGTTTGTCTATAGACTAACTCTGAAACTAAAAACCAATAAGTATCATTTGCCATATTATGATTATGTAAATATTTACTATTGAAGAAATTAGGGTGGCTAACTCTGAAAAGAAAATGTAATCTAATCTTCTCAATCTCTTCCACCGGAAGAAAGAAATCACAACCTTAGGGTCAAATAGGCTCTCTATTCCTATACTCCTTCAATTTCTCAGAATCATGCCACAAATTAAGTTGTTTCATACCTGTACACTTTTGTTTAAATTTTGTTTTCATTGGACTTACTAAATATTAATTAAAAAAGCAAAATGAAAATAACTATTGACTTTTTGCTTATCATGTATATTGCTACGCTGTTTGTTTTGCAGTAGGTTGCATTCCATAAAATGGACACACTGTAATTTATGCAGTCACTCTCCTAATGATGGAAATTCAGGTTCTTTTCACGTGGTTTTTTTTTCCACTGGAAATAATGCTGCCATAAAAATACTTATCCACATATTTTGTTTTGATAATTTTACTTCCAAGGAAAAAATTATAGGAATGGAATTGAGGTCAATAAGCAGATTCATCTTTAGGGTTTTTTTTAATATTGAGGTATGGTATAATAAATCAATAAAATTTATCCTTTTAAAATACAAAGTTCAATGAGTTTGACAAATGTATACAGTTATGTTATCAGCATCATAATCAAGGTACAAAATACTTCCATCACCTCAAAAGTGCCCTTAGGTCCCTTTGCAGTCATTTCCCTTACTCCATCCCCAGCTCCTAGCAAGCACTGATCTGTTTTCTGTCTGCATAGTTTTGCTTTTTCTAGAATTGCCAATAAATGGATCATACCATATATGGTCTTTTTTGTTGTCTTTTTTTTCCCATTTAGCATAATGCTTCTGAGGTTCACCCATGTTGTTACACGTATTACGTGTTTGTTCCTTTTTGATACAAGGAGTATTCTATTGTATGGATGAACCAGTCTATTAGTCTATTATACATTTGCCAGTTGATGGACATTTGGCTTGTTTCCAATTTTTGGCTATTAGAAACAAAACTGCTATGAATATTCATGTACAGGTCTTTGTGTCCTTGTTTTTCCATTTGTCTTGGGGAAATACCTAGGAGAGAGATTGTTGGGTAGTAGGTGAGTATGTTTTATTTGATTAAAACTTCCCAAACTATTTTAAAAAGTGGCTGTATCATTTTGCATTCTCATCAGCAACATATGAGAGTTCCCATTGCTCCACATCCTCATCAGCATGTGGTGTGGTATGATTAGTGATTTTTGTTTGTTTGAGACAGGATCTTGCTCTGTCACCGAGGCTGGAGTGCAGTGGCATGATCTCGGCTCATTGCAACCTACGCCTCCCAGGTTCAAGGGTTTTCGTGCCTCAGCTTCCCGAGAACCTGGGATTACAGGTGTGCACCACCACACCCAGCTAATCTTTTTGGTATTTTTTTAGTAAAATCAGGGTTTCTCCATGTTAGCCAGGCTGGTCTTAAACTCCTGGCCTCAAGTGATCCACCAACCTTGGCCTCCCAAAGTGCTGGAATTACAGGCATGAGTCACCATGCCCAGCCTAAGTTGTGATTTTTGTGTTACAAAAAATCTTTGCATAGCCCAAGGTCACAAAGATTTTTAAAAATATTTTCCTCAACTATATTGTTATAGCTTTTAGCTTACATATTTAAGTGTGAGTTAAATATATAACTGTGAGTTAATTTTTGTATATAATGTCAGGTAAGACTCAACTTTTTTTTTTCAATCCACTGATCCAATTGCTTCAGCATCATTTCTTTCCTCCATGGAATTATTGTGGCACTTTTGTTTTAAAAAATATCAATTGAACATATATATGTGGGCCTATTTCTGAAACTCCCATTCTGCTCTACTGATCTATATGTTTACTGTTATTTCAGTACTGAACTTTATTACTGCAGCTTTATAGCAAGTCTTGAAATCATGTAGTGTGTTCTTTATAAAAAAATTATTTTGGGTGTTCTAAAGTCCTTTGTATTTCCACATAAATTTTACCGTAAGCTTTAAATTTCTGTAAAAAGCTTGCCAGGAGTTTGATTTGGATTGCATTGAATCCACATATCAATTTGTTAGAGAATTGACATCTTAATGACACTGGGTTTCTGATTCATGAACCCGGCATTGCTCTCCATTTATTCAGGGGTTCTTTTTAAATTTTTATTTTATATTATTTTTGTTTTTTGTAGAGATAGGGTCCCCCTACATTGCCCAGGTTGGTCTTGAACTCCTGGGCTCAAGGGATCTTCCTGCCTCCATCTCCCAAAGTGATGGGATTATAGGTGTCAACCACTGCACCTGGCCATGGGTTTCCTTCACCTCAGCACTGATTTTTAATTTTCAGTGTACAGTTCTTGTACAGATGTTATTAGATTTATCTGTATGTATTTTATATTCTTTAATGGTATTATGAACGTGTGTGTTTTTTAAAAAACTGCAACTTCTAATTGCCCTTTGCCAGGACAGAGAGATAAAATTCATTTTTGTATATTCTTGTATTCAAGTTTGTTTAGCTGAACCTGGTTAAACTCACTTAGTAGTTCTAGTAACTTTTTTGCAGATTCCTTAGAATTTTCTAAGTAGATAATAACATCATATGTGAACAAAGTTCTACTTCCTTTCCAGTAATGTAGCCTTTTATTTCTTTTTCTTGCCTTTCCTTTTAGTGCAATGCCGAATAGAAGTCAATAGAGTGAACATCTTTGCCTTGTTTCCAGTCTTAGTAGGGTACGGTGAAGTCTTTTACCACAAAATATTTTAACTGCAGGTTTTTTACAGATCAGTCTTACCAAGTTGAGGAAGTTCCCTTCTATTACTAGTATATTGAGAGATTTTTTTTATCATGAATGGATGTCAACTTTTTGCATTTGTTGAAACAAATCAGGTGGTTTTTCTCTTCTAGCCTGATGATATAGTAAATCATATGTATGATTTTCAAATGGTAAGTTAACTTTGTATTCTTGGATAAAACCAACTTGGTCATAAAATATTTGTATACAATGCTGGATTCAACTTACTAATATTTAGTTGAGGATTTTTGTGTCTATTTTCATGAGAGATATTGGTATGTAGTGTTCTTTTCTTATAATCTTTGATTTTGGTATCAAAGTAATGGTGGCCTCAAAATGAGTCTGAAAGTATTCCTTCTTCCTTCATTTTTTTGCAAGAATTTTTATTATATGTTCCTTCAATGTTTGGTGGAATTCGACAGTAACGCCATCTGGGACCTAAGCCTTCTAGGACCTAAGTTTTCTTTGGGGGAAGGTTTTTTAAAACTATGAATTCAACTTCATAGATA
Source organism: Homo sapiens (assembly GCF_000001405.40). Lineage (NCBI taxonomy): Eukaryota > Metazoa > Chordata > Mammalia > Primates > Hominidae > Homo > Homo sapiens. The sequence continues at coordinate 37,126,432 of NC_000018.10, read as the reverse complement.
TAATCTGATCAGATATTCACATTATCTATTTTTTCCTTAGCTACTTTTGGTAGTTTTTGTCTTTCAAGAAAATTTTCTATTTCATCTAAGTTATTGAATTTATTGGCATAAAGTTGTTTATATGACAGGTTGAGTATCACTTATGTGAAATGTTTAGGACTAGAAGTGTTTGAGTTCTTTTGGATTTTGGAATATTTGCATACATATGAGATATTTTGGGATGGGATCCAAATAAAATTCATTTATGGTTCACATATACCTTATATACAAAGCCTAAAGGTAATTTTATACAATCATTTTAATAAGTTTGCACACGAAACAAAATTTGTGCACACTGAACCATCAGAAAACAAAGGCATCAGCCACTTATGAAGACAATCTGTGGTTAACATCACTATCATTTCTGACTCTGAAATTTATATGCTACTGATAAGCAATCATTTTTTGCACACATTCACGCACAAGTACTTAACAGTAAAAAAAATATGACATACCATTAACACAGGGAAAAATTAATATGTTCAGGGTAACTAAGCAGCACAGTAGCAACATCAGAATATCTGTACCAACTGTTCAACAATAGCAACTGCAAGCTGTGTGTGCCTGTGTTTTGACTGCAACCTGTCACATGAGGTCAGATGTAAAATTCTCTGCTTGATCTCATATCAGAGCTCACAAAGTTTCAAATTTTGGACCACTCTGCATTTCAGATTAGGGATGACCAATCTGTATTTCCTTATTAACTCTGTAATATCTGTAGAAATGCCTCTGCTTTCGCTCTTGAGATTGGTAATCTGTTGTCATTTCCCTCTTTTCTTGATTGTTCTGAGTATAGGTTTGCCAATTTTATTGACACCTTTAAAGAACTAGCTTTGGGTTTCATTGATTTCTCTATTATTATTCTGTTTTCTAATTCATTGATTTCTGCTTCTAACTTTATTATTTACTTCTGCTCATTTTGTGTATAATTTGCTGTTTTCTGGTTTTTTTAAGGTAGAATTTCAGATCACCAATTTAAAACATTTAAACTTTCTAATATAAGCATTAAATGCTATAAGATTCCCTCTAAACACTGTTTTAGCTGCACCACACAAGGTTGTTTGTTTGTTTTTTGAGACGGGGTCTTACTCTGTCACCCAGGCTGGAGTGCAATGGTGCAATCATGGCTCACTGCAGCCTTGACTTCCCAGGTTCAGCTGATCCTCCTACCTCAACCTCCTGAGCAACTGGGACTACAGGCATGCACCACCATGCCTGGCTAATTTTTTGTAGAAACAGCATTTCACCATGTTGCCCAGGCTGGTCTCAAACTCCTGGACTCATGCAATTCACTCACCACGGCCTCCCATAATGCTGGGATTACAGGCATGAGCCACCACGTCCAGCCCACAAGTTTTTATATGTTCTGTTTTCATCTTCATTAAGTCATATGTTTTCCATTTTAACTGTGGAGCCAGCTTGCTTTACAAAATATATTTTAACAGATAAACATTTTGCCATTTTTCCTGCCACTGTTTAATTTTTGTCAATATGAAGAATGAGAAGTGACACCTCACTGCTATTTTCCTTGATGCATAAGAAGCCAGTCATGTAAGAATGTAGGGATAGATCATTCCAGGCAGAGGAAACTACAAGCACGAGGGGACTGGAATGATAATAAGCTTAGCATATTAGAGGAACTGAAGGACCACTGTGGTTAGAACATTCTGAGCCAGAATGGCAGTTGAATAAAATGAGGTCAGGGAGGTATGCAAAAGTCACAACATGTATGGACTTGTAAACTAGGATAGAGTTCAGATTTCTATTTCAAGTATGTGAAATAGAGAAGTATGTAAAACATACTGAAACAGAAATAATCCTTGAAATTGACATGACCGTGATGCACATTTTAAAATGACCATTCTGACTGCTTTGTATAGGATGGATTGTAGGAGTTACAAGTAGAAACAGGAAAATTGGTCAACAGGAAACCACAATAATCTGGGTGGGAATGGCGGTAGCTTGGATTAGAATGGAAGTCATGATAACGGAGGGATGACGGAAACTAGATAATTTTGGAAATAGAGTCAACAGGACTTACTATAAACTGTATGGTAAGAGGTGAGGGAAGGAGGGAATTAAGTCAAGGTGGTTCATAAAATTATTTGCTTGAGCAACCAGGTACAAATCTATTTGAAATGAGTGAGAAGAAAGGTATAAGTTTGGATTTTCCAAACATCTCTTTTTATTTTTTATTTTTGTCCACCAGTATTCTGCATTTTGTCTTAGCTTAGCATTTTGCAACCTTAGTATTTAGTCAACGAGGCATTCTGGAGAAGAAACTGGTAACCATATGTGTTCAATATGCCTTCTCAGATCATAAATCATTTTAGAACTAACCATCATGTTTGGAATTAATGTCTACTGCACTGGCATATAGTATACAGAATCTCTCTCTTAAATTTATACATCTCTAGCCTCCTGGCACCTATATGGTTTTCCACAAATCTTCAAGGTTACTAATAAAGGATTAGCAAGCTTATTAACAGGAACCTTTACTATCCTGACATGTATGTAAACTAAGCTGCAAGAATTGAATTTATATATCTTATTTACATATGTGTGTGTGTATTTTAAATAAACACCTCACCTATCCTTTGCTTTAGTTTTCTTGTACAAACGGTTGTTCCACTCTTTCTAGACCAAAGATCATTTTCTTGAAAGAAAAGGAAAAATTGAGTACTGTTTCAGTCTCTTTGATGCCTAACCTCAGTTTGTTATTAATCCTTTAAACCAAATCACATACTCTATTTTAGCCACCCATGGCATATTTTAAAACCCTAAACTTATTTTGGGATTTATTAAATTTAATGTATTCTTACTGTTCTTTGAAACTCTCTTATGTCCATCCTTATGCACATCTTATTTGTATACCACCATCTAAAAATTTTCTCTTAATTTCTCAATAAATTGTATTTGCATGATTAGAATTATATTTTTGATAGTTTGTCAGCTCTATTGACTTTTCTCCCTTTGAGTTGCAGGTCAGAAAATCAAGCTTCTCTTTTTTTTCACTTTTTAAAAAGTTTTGGTTACATATCTAATTATGATCAATTTTTAATTTGTTTGTCATAACTAGGCTGAACATGACAACTCTACTGGTTGCCCTCATCTCCTTTTAGAATGTGAAATGCTAACAACAGGCAGTCAAGAATTCTTAAGAGTAGAATAAGACATTCAGTTTTTCTTCTCTCTTTGATTTTGCTGAAATGCTCTCTAGTATACTAACAAGTGAGAATGCTTTCTCTCTTCAGTCTCACAGCCATCCTGTGAAGTTTTCTTTACAAAGGCTGGGGAAACCAAGGGTTAGCAAGGTTAAATATTTGCTCAAGTTCTACAACTAGCTATTGGCAGAGCTGAGAGGTAATCCCAGGTCTCATTCCAGAGCTTGAGCTATTAAATCATTGCACTGCACTGTCTTATAACATACATTACTACTTCAATACCCTAACAGGTCTGCTTTCTAAAGAGGCAGTACAAATTCATTATTTTTAAAATCAGCTAGAAACACAAAATCATCAACCGTGTTTTCTGTGTCTTCCTGGTCATCACTCTTTCCTTCACTTCTCAAGCTCTTCACAGAAGTTGTTTCAAACCTTCAACCTCACTATCCATCAGCCCTATATGTTCCTCACCTCCCGTACTATAGTAAGCAGACCATCTCACCTCCTGATTCACAGAGAAAATTGAGAATACCACATGGAAATACCCTTACTACCTGCTGGCAAACCCATCAACTGCAACATAGTTGTCCTTTCCACATTCCCTCCTATTACAGTAGTAAAATCTTCCTTCTCTTGACTGACGATAATTTTTCCACCTGTGATTCAAATTCTAGGTCCTATATCACTGGGATCTCCTTTGATCAATAATACCCTCTCCTGTATTTTTAACATCTTCATATTGCTTCCTTGTCATCTACATTTAAATATCTTTGTGACTTACTTGACTTAACAAAACCCACCTTTGACTCTAAGTCTGCATGCAGCTACAACTCCCTGCTTCTTCTCCCCTTCATGGTTAAGTCCTGTTGTCATTACTACTTCCTCACCTCCCACTCAATCCAAAGCCCATTATCTTCCATTCTCACTCTCTCTGTTACTAAGTTCAATGGACACGTTTTCATCCTTATCACATAACCCTTTAAGCACGACACAATAATTATTACTCTCTTCTTGAAATTCTTTTTCCCTTTGACTTTTATGACACAATTTTCTCTTGGTTTTCTACCAGTCTTTCTTACTGCTTGTATTAGTCTCCATTGCAGACTCCTCTTTCACAGCTAATTCTTGAAATATTGCTATTATTTGGGATTCTATTTTAGCTTCATGTCATGTCATCTAAATGCACTCAAATTCTAAATGTTTAAAAACATCATGCCAACCAAATACTATATACTATGTCTGTAAGTCTGATTCAGCCTTGAGGCTACCAGTTTCAGTTTTCTGTAATAATCTCTCTTGGAGACTATTTGGGTATCCTTGGTTTCAATGGCCATTCATATGTTTTACACACACACATACACATTCTCTGTCAAACACCTCCTTCATTCATGCATTCACCTAAATAACAAATAGGAGGCCTGCATCTCTTCAAAAAACTTAAGGTCCAATGAAAGTGTTTTCATTTTATTTTCAACATGTCTACTATCCTAAATAATATGTTCAGAGTTTTATCCTACTAACTCTTCTATATTCACTTTAACATTGTCTTAACTAGGAAAGCTAGCTTTTGATGTTCTTTCCAGTCATTATATAAAGTAATTCACCTACAGCTAAAAATCATTTTTCTAGTTGTCTGAGGACATGATCCTATACCTCAAATCTATGTTTGTGATATACAGTCACATCGTGATTCCCAGAGAATTATTAAATTTGAAGAGTCTCAATTGGTTATTTGTAACGATAGATGGATAGATAGATCGATAGATGCATAGATAGATAGATAGATAGATAGATAGATAGATAGATAGATAGAAGTCCTAAAATGATGGCACACTTTCTTTAGAATTATGTCAGGTTGACATTACATTATCTCCAAATGGATATAATCGAATCTTCAACTAACCTGATGAATTCTTCTTATAGAAGACAATAGATTTCCTTGATTTTACAATAACTTAGAAATTTTCTTTGCCGTTTTCGTGTTTTTCAAATGGTTGGATATATACATAATGCTCACCAGATTTATTCTCTTTCTGTTCCTCCTCCTTTACATATGTTTATTTAGTTCACACATTCATAAAATGAGACAGTTGGACTATACCTTTATAGGCTCTTTAAACTCTAAAACTTTAAAAATCCAGCTTCATGGTTTTGGTTTTTATTCTTTTCATTATAATTTTTCAAGAAGCAAAATCTCTGTAAGTATGATAGAATAGAGTTTGTCTTTCCTCTCTTTAAGCTGTCATATTTTCCACTTACCACTTACCTGGCAGTGCTTTTGCCCACTTAAGAAAGCTAGAAATTTCTAAAATCTCGATGCTTCTCAGAATCTTATACTTTCCAGATTCCTTTTATATTAATTTCTTCATTCTCTCTAGAAACTCTTCAAACTTTCTAATAAAGTGGAGCTTTAAAAAAGTATCCATTTTTTTGGTTTTCTCTGAAAGACACCTGCTTGCACATAAACCACTTATGATTCAAAGACCAATACAGCAAAATTTCTGTAGTAATAGAAATCAGAATAGAAAACTACTTCACAGCTAGGAATTTCACTTTCAGGCAGAACTAGAGCCTCTCTGGCTCTCCTTGAGAGTTTCTGGGCTGGTTCTCTGGATGAACTACCAGACCTTCTTTGTCTTAAGTAAAACTATTCATCATTTCTTACACCATCCAGCGCTTCTTTACCAACTTTACTAACAAAGTGACAAAGATTATGTAATCTTTTTATCAAACTACCAGGAATTCTAAATAATTACTCATCTCTTCTCATCCCCCTTTCTTTCCTATAAGGTCAAGTTGATTTTTTTTTCACCATTCCATCTCAGCCAAAGTAACTTCTGTGTATCATTTTACAAGGAAACAAATAACCAAATAAATGACAAAACACCTGACATTACTGTTCTCATGCAGGGCATTAGTAAATGTCACTGGGAGTCAGCATAACTAAATTCTATTTGCAATCCTATCTTTTCTTATTGCTAAAGTATTGTAGCTACCATTAGATCACAGACTAATTGGTATGTTGTAAAATCAAGATGAATTTTTTTTTAATCTATGCTTCCCCTGCCTCTGATTCATTTGCATATTATATTGTCTTTACACCTTTGGTTTTTGAAAATAAAGTGTTCATTTTGGAAGAGTTTTAGATTTCCAGGAAAGTTTCAAAGATAATCAGGAGAGTTGCCATATACCCTTCATCCAGTTTCCCCTGAAGTCAATATCTTACAGTACTACATTTGTCAAAACTAATGACATTTTTACAGGCTCATCTTTCCTTTTCTTTGCCCCATCCCTACAATAAACCATTTCTCTAAGAGCTTCTTTTATTGGAGAATGGTATTTAGAAACTGGTATCTGGGTGCTAGGCGAACTCACTGCAACTGGGTATGACTGCTTCAAGGCCCTCTCAGCAGACAAAGGTAGGAAATACATACCATGTATATTAACACAAATCTATACTTATTGTTGTAAATGACCACTGTCATTTTATACATACATTCACACACACACACAAACACACACTATGGACTAAATTGTGGGCTCCCCATCCTCATTCATATATTGAAGGCCTAACCCCCAATTTGATGGTATTTGAAGATGGGTCTGAAGATGTAATTAGGTTCAGATGAATTCATGGGGAGGTGGTGGCAGGATTAGTGCTCTTATATAGAGAGACACTGGAGAGCTTGCTTGCTTACTCTCTCAGCCATGGTGGACACAGCAAGAAGGTGGCCATCTACAAGCCAGGAAGAGAGCCCCAGTCAGAACCCAACCATGCTGTCACTCTGATCTTGTACTTCCAACCTGCCTAACTGTGAGAAAATAAATTTCGGGTTGTTTGAGCCACCCAATATATGGCATTTTTGTTGTGGAAACCCAAGCCGACTAAGACAATATATAAACATGAGTACATATAATGTCTTTTCTCTAAACTAGTACCACAGCATTCATTCAAGCTTTATCTCCTTGTTTATCTATAACTTTCCTTTATTTTATTTTCAAACTGATAGGCTGTAGCTATCACTGAAAGAGACATTTACTCTATATATGGATTTTCCTTTTATGCACATAATACTTTTGCAAAACCACCATCCATGGACTTACAGAGTGTTTTATCCACAATATTGGCAGTTCACATAGCATTGTTTCTGATCAAGAAACTGCCTTCAAAGAAAATGAAATATGGTAATTGACTCATGTTCATGAAATCTTCTGATCTTAGCATATCCCCCATCATGACAAAGCAGCTGTCTTGAGAAAATGGTGAAATGTCTTTCTGAAGACCCAACAGTGCCAACTAGGTGGCAATGGCTTGTGGGACTAGGGAAAGGTCCTCTGGGATGCTCTAAATCATTGTCTAATATATGGTGCTGTTTCCTCCGTAGTTAAGGTTCACAGGCCCAAGAAAGAAAGGATGGAAATGGAAATGGCTCCAACTAACCATTTCCCCAGCTGACCTGCGAGCAAAATTTTTGCTTCTCTTCTCAATGACTTTAGGGTCTGTTGGTCTAGAGGTTCCAAAGGGAAGAATACTTCCAACAGGAGACACAACAATGATTCCATTGAACTGGAAGTTGACACTGCTACCTAGCTACTTTGATCAATTCAAGTCTCTGAATTAAGAGGCAAAGAAGAGGGTACTATACTGCTAGGGTGACTGATCATGATAATCAAGGGGGAAATAGGTTGCTACTACACAAAGGAAGAGTATGTCTGGAATACAGGAGGATTCCTTAGGACATCTCTTAGTTCTATGTTCTGTGAGTAAAGTCAATGGGAAACTACAACAACCCAATTCCTGCAGGACTATGAACGACCCAGCCCCTTCAGGAATAAAGGTTTGGGTCACTACACTAGACAAAGAACCATGACCAGCTGAGGTGCTTGCTGATGGCAAAGGGAATATGAAATAGGTAGTGAAAGAAAGTTATTATAGGCTGGGTGCAGTGGCTCACACCTGTAAGCCTAGCACTTTGGGAGGCTGAGGCGGGTGGATCACTTGAGCTCAGGAGTTCAAGACCATCCTAGGCAACATAGCAAAACGTCATCTCTACAAAAAACACAAAAATTGGATGGGTGTGGTGGTGCACACCTGTATTCCCAGCTACTTGGGGAGCTGACGTGGGAGGATTGCTAGGGCCCAAGAGGTGAAGGCTGCAGTAAGCGGTGTTTGTGCCAGCCTGAGCGACCAAATTGAGAATGTGTCTCAAAAAAAAAAAAAGAAAGAAAGCAATTATACATACCAGTTATGGCCATGGGACCAGTTGCAGAGATGGGGACTATAAGAGCTATAAGTAATTCTTTATTCTTTGTTATGAATATGTTAGTATATATATATATATTTTTTTTTTTTAAACCAACTACGTCCGTTTTCTTCCCTTTTGTATCCCTCTATCATCTAACGTGAGATGCATTAAAAGTTAACTTTATATCTGAGCATTTTACTTACAGGATATCAAGGACAAGAGTAAGCATCACCCAAGGACTTTGCGTCCTTTTCTGGGGAAAGGGTTAGCATGTTTTCAGGAGTATACAGGATAGTTGTATCATCTTAGGTGGAAGTATGATGTTTTTAATTTTTTTTTAAATAATACTTTAAGTTCTAGGGTACATGTGCACAATGTGCAGGTTTGTTACATATGTATACATGTGCCATGTTGGTGTGTTGCACCCATTAACTCATCATTTACATTAGTTATATCTCCTAATGCTATCCCTCCTCCCTCCCCCAATCCCATGACAGGCCCCAGTGTGGGATGTTCGCTACCGCTGTGTCCAAGTGTTCTCATTGTTCAATTCCCACCTATGAGTGAGAACATGTGGTGTTTGGTTTCCTGTCCTTGCGATAGTTTGCTCAGAATGATGGTTTCTAGCTTCATCCATGTCCCACAAATGACATGAACTCATCCTTTTTTATGGCTGCATAGTATTCCATGGTGTATATGTGCCACATTTTCTTAATCCAGTCTATCACTGATGGACATTTGGGTTGGTTCCAAGTCTTTGCTATTGTGAATAGTGCCACAGTAAACATACGTGTGCATGTGTCTTTATAGCAGCATGATTTATAATCCCTTGGGATGGCCGGGTCAAATGGTATTTCTAGTTCTAGATCCCTGAGGAATCGCCACACTGTCTTTCACAATGGTTGAACTAGTTTACAGTCCCACCAGCAGTGTAAAAGTGTTCCTATTTCTCCATATCCTCTCCAGCACCTGTTGTTTCCTGACTTTTTAATGATCACCATTCTAACTGTTGTGAGATGGTATTTCATTGTGGTTTTGATTTGCATTTCTCTGATGGCCAGTGATGATGAGCATTTTTTCATATGTCTGTTGGCTGCATAAATGTCTTCTTTTGAGAAGTGTCTGTTCATATCCTTCACCCACTTTTGATGGAGTTGTTTGATATTTTCTTGTACATTTGTTTAAGTTCTTTGTAGATTCTAGATATTAGGCCTTTGTCAGATGGTTAGATTGCAAAAATTTTCTCCCATTCTGTAGGTTGCCTGTTCACTCTGATGGTAGTTTCTTTTGCTGTGCAGAAGCTCTTTAGTTTAATTAGATCCCATTTGTCAATTTTGGCTTTTGTTGCCGTTGCTTTTGGTGTTTTAGTCATAAAGTCCTTGCCCATGCCTATGTCCTGAATGGTATTGCCTAGGTTTTCTTCTAGGGTTTTTATAGTGTTAGGTCTAACATTTAAGTCTTTAATCCATCTTGAATTAATTTTTGTATAAGGTGTAAGGAAGGGATCCAGTTTCAGCTTTCTACATATGGCTAGCCAGTTTTCCCAGCACCATTTATTAAATAGGGAATCCTTTCCCCATTTCTTGTTTTTGTCAGGTTTGTCAAAGGTCAGATGGTTGTAGATGTGTGGTATTATTTCTGAGGGCTCTGTTCTGTTCCATTGGTCTGTATCTCTGTTTTGGAACCAGTACCATGCTGTTTTGGTTACTGTAGCCTTGTAGTATAGTTTGAAGTCAGGTAGCATGATGCCTCCAGCTTTGTTCTTTTGGCTTAGGATTGACTTGGCAATGCAGGCTCTTTTTTGGTTCCATATGAACTTTAAAGTAGTTTTTTCCAATTCTGTGAAGAAAGTTATTGGTAGCTTGATGGGGATGGCATTGAATCTATAAATTGCCTTGGGCAGTATGGCCATTTTCATGATATTGATTTTTCCTGCCCATGAGCATGGAATGTTCTTCCATTTGTTTGTGTCCTCTTTTATTTCATTGAGCAGTGGTTTGTAGTTTTCCTTGAAGAGGTCCTTCACATCCCTTGTAAGTTGGATTCCTAGGTATTTTATTCTCTTTGAAGCAATTGTGAATGGGAGTTCACTCATGATTTGGCTGTTTGTCTGTTATTGCTGTATAGGAATGCTTGTGATTTTTGCACATTCATTTTGTATACTGAGACTTTGCTGAAATTGCTTATCAGCTTAAGGAGATTTTGGGCTGAGACGATGGGGTTTTCTAGATATACAATCATGTCATCTGCAAACAGGGACAATTTGACTTCCTCTCTTCCTAATTGAATACTTTTATTTCTTTCTCCAGCCTGATTGCCCAGGCCAGAACTTCCAACACTATGTTGAACAGGAGTGGTGAGAGAGGGCATCCCTGTCTTGTGCCAGTTTTCAAAGGGAATGCTTCCAGTTTTTGCCCATTCAGTATGATATTGGCTGTGGGTTTGTCATAAATAGCTCTTATTATTTCAAGATACGTCCCATCAATACCTAGCTTATTGAGAGTTTTTAGCATGAAGGGCTGTTGAATTTTGTTGAAGGCCTGTTCTGCATCTATTGAGATAATCATGTGGTTTTTGTCTTTGGTTCTGTTTATATGATGGATTACGTTTATTGATTTGTGTATGTTCAACCAGCCTTGCATCCCAGGGATGAAGCCAACTTGATCATGGTGGATAAGCTTTTTGATGTGCTGCTGGATTCGGTTTGCCAGTATTTTATTGAGGATTTTTGCATCGATGTTCTTCAGGGATATTGGTCTAAAAATCTCTTTCTTTGTCATGCCTCTGCCCGGCTTTAGTATCAGGATGATGCTGGCCTCATAAAATCAGTTAGGGAGGATTCCCTCTTTTTCTATTAATTGGAATAGTTTCAGAAGGAATGGTACCAGCTCCACTTTGTACCTCTGGTAGAATTCGGCTGTGAATCCGTCTGGTCCTGGACTTTTTTTTGTTGGTAGGCTATTAATTATTGCCTCAATTTCAGAGCCTGTTACTGGTCTATTCAGGGATTCAACTTCTTCCTTGTTTAGTCTGGGAGGCTGTATGTGTTGAGCAATTTATCCATTTCTTCTAGATTTTCTAGTTTATTTGCGTAGAGGTGTTTATAGTATTATCTGATGGTAGTTTGTATTTCTGTAGAGTCAGTGGTGATATCCCCTTTATCATCTTTTATTGCATCTATTTGATTCTTTCTCTTTTCTTCTTTATTAGTCTTGCTAGTGGTCTATCAATTTTGTTTTGTTGATCTTTTCAAAAAAACCAGCTCCTGGATTCATTGATTTTCTAAAGGGTTGTTTGTGTCTCTGTCTCCTTCAGTTCTGCTCTGATCTTAGTTATTTCTTGCCTTCTGCTAGCTTTTGAATGTGTTTGCTCTTGCTTCTCTAGTTCTTTTAACTGTCATCTTAGGTTGTCAGTTTTAGATCTTTCCTGCTTTCTCTTGTGGGCATTTAGTGCTATAAATTTCCCTCTACACACTGCTTTAAATGTGTCCCAGAGATTCTGGCATGTTGTATATTTGTTCTCATTGGTTTCAAAGAATAGCTTTATTTCTGCCTTCATTTTATTATGTACCCAGTAGTCACTCAGGAGCAGGTTGTTCAGTTTCCATGTAGTTGAGCGGTTTTGAATGAGTTTCTTAATCCTGAGTTCTAGTTTGATTGCACTGTGGTCTGAGAGACAGTTTGTTATACTTTCTGTTCTTTTACATTTGCTGAGGAGTGCTTTACTTCCAACTATGTGGTCAATTTTGGAATAAGTGCGACGTGGTGCTGAGAAGAATGTATAGTCTGTTGATCTGGCGTGGAGAGTTCTGTAGATGTCTATTAGGTCTGCTTGATGCAGAGCTGAGTTCAATTCCTGGATATCCTCGTTAACTTTCTGTCTCGTTGATCTGTCTAATGTTGACAGTGGGTTGTTAAAGTCTCCCATTATTATTGTGTGGGAGTCTAAGTCTCTTTGTAGGTCTCTAAGGACTTGCTTTATGAATCTGGGTACTCCTGTATTGGGTGCATATATATTTAGGATGGTTGGCTCTTCTTGGTGAATTGATCCCTTTACCATTATGTAATGGCCTTCTTTGTCTCTTTTGATATTAGTTGGTTTAAAGTCTGTTTTATCAGAGACTAGGATTGCAACACCTGCTTTTTTTTGTTTTCCATTTGCTTGGTAGATCTTCCTCCATCCCTTTATTTTGAGCCTATGTGTGTCTCTGAACGTGAGATGGGTCTCCTGAATACAGCACAATGATGAGTCTTGAATCTTTATCCAATTTGCCAGTCTTTGTCTTTTAATTGGAGCATTTAGCCCATTTACATTTAAGGTTAATATTGTTATGTGTGAATTCGATCCTGTCATTATGATGTTAGCTGGTTATTTTGCTCGTTAGTTGATGCAGTTTCTTCCTAGCATCAATGGTCTTTACAATTTGGCATGTTTTTGCAGTGGCTGGTACCAGTTGTTCCTTTCCACGTTCAGTGATTCCTTCAGGAGCTCTTGTAAGGCAAGTCTGGTAGTGACAAAGTCTTTCAGCATTTGCTTGTCTGTAAAGGATTTTATTTCTCCTTTGCTTATGAAGCTTAGTTTGGCTGGATATGAAATTCTGGGTTGAAAATTATTTTCTTTAAGTTTGTTGAATATTGGCCCCCACTCTCTTCTGGCTTGTAGAGTTTCTGCCCAGAGATCCGCTGGTAGTCTGATGGGCTTCCCTTTATGATTAACCTGACCTTTCTCTGTGGCTGCCCTTAACACTTTTTTCTTCATTTCAACTTTGGTGAATCTGACAATTATGTGTCTTGGAGTTGCTCTTCTCGAGGATATCTTTGTGGCATTCTCTGTATTTCCTGAATTTGAATGTTGGCCTGCCTTGCTAGGTTGGGGAAGTTCTCCTGGTTGATATCCTGAAGAGTATTTTCCAACTTGGTTCCATTCTCCCCGTCCCTTTCAGGTACACCAGTCAAACGTAGATTTGGTCTTTTCACATAGTCCCATATTTCTTGGAGGCTTTTTTCATTTCTTTTTACTCTTTTTTCTCTAAACTTCTCTTCTCACTTCATTTCATTCATTTGATCTTCAATCACTGACACCCTTTCTTCCACTTGATCGAATCAGCTACTGAAGCTTGTGCATGCATCACGTAGTGTTTGTGCCATGGTTTTCAGCTCCATCAGGTCACTTAAGGCTTTCTCTACACTGTTTATTCTAGTTAGCCACTCATCCAATCTTTTTTCAAGGTATTCAGCTTCTTTGCGATTGGTTCGAAAATCCTCCTTTCACTTGGAGAGGTTTGTTATTACCGATCTTCTGAAGCCTTCTTCTCTCAACTCGTCAAAGTCATTCTCTGTCCAGCTTTGTTCCGTTGCAGGTGAGGACCTGCGTTCCTTTGGAGGAGAAGAGGCGCTCTGATTTTTAGAATTTTCAGCTTTTCTGCTCTGGTTTCTCCCCATCTTTGTGGTTTTATCTACCTTTGGTCTTTCATGATGGTGATGTACAGATGGGGTTTTGGTGTTGATGTCCTTCTAACAGTCAGAACCCTCAGCCACAGGTCTGTTGGAGTTTGCTGGAGGTCCACTCCAGATGCTGTTTGCCTGGGTATCACCAGCGGAGGCTGCAGAACAGCAAATATTGCAGAACAGCAAATGTTGCTGCTTGATCTTCCTCTGGAAGTTTCATTTCAGAGGGGCACCCGACTGTATGAAGTATCAGTCGGCTCCTATTGGGAGGTGTCTCCCAGTTAGGCTACTCGGGGGTCAGGGACCCACTTCAGGAGGCAGTCTGTCCATTCTCAGATCTCAAACTCCGTGCTGGGAGAACTGCTACTCTCTTCAAAGCTGTCAGACAGAGACGTTTAAGTCTGCAGAAGTTTCTGCTGCCTTTTGTTCAGCTATGCCTTGCCCCCGGAGGTGGAGTCTACAGAGGCAGGCAGGCCTCCTTGAGCTGCGGTAGGTTCCACCCAGTTCAAGCTGCCTGGCTGCTTTGTTTACCTACTCAAGCCTTAGCAATGGCGGACGTCCCTCCACCCACCTCACTGCCACCTTGCAGTTTGAACTCAGACTGGTCTGCTAGCAGTGAGTGAGGCTCTGTGGGCATGGGACCCTCTGAGCCAGGCACGGGATATAATCTCCTGGTGTGCTGTTTGCTAAGACGGTTGGGAAAGCGCAATGTTAGAGTGGGAGTGTCCCAATTTTCCAGGTGCTGTCTGTCATGGCTTCCCTTGGCTAGGAAAGGGAATTCCCCGACCCCTTGTGCTTCCCAGGTGAGGCGATGCCCCACCCTGCTTTGGCTCATACTCCCAGGGCTACACCCACTGTCTGACAAGCCCCAGTGAGATGAACCAGGCGCCTCAGTTGGAAATGCAGAAATCACCTGTCTTCTGTGTTGCTCACACTGGGAGCTGTAGACTGGAGCTTTTCCTATTTGGCCATTTTGGAACCTCCAATAATCATTTTTAATGTTTTTATTTGAAGGTTAAGTATGGCTTAAGATGATGTGTATGAGTGCCAAGTTGACAAGTTATGGGCTATGATGGTCTTCTTTATGTGTCAACTTGGCTGGACTAAAGTTCCCAGTTACCCAATCAAACACTAATCTAAGGGTTGCTGTGAAGGTATTCTGTAGATGTGATTAAAGTCCATAAAATCCTAGGTAATCAGGATGGGTCTGTTTAATTTCTTGAAAAGCCTTAAAGGCAGACCTGAGGCTTTCCTGAAAAATGAAAAATTCTCCCTGTGGATAGCAGCTTCAGCCTGTTCCTAAGTTCCAGCCTGATCTTCTTGATAGCCTGCCTATGGATTCAGACATGCCTAGCCAGCATGGACAGCTGTGTAAGCAAATTCCTTGCAATATATCTTATAATATATATCTCCTACTGGTTCTTTTTCTCAAGTTGACTCAGACTAATACAATACTCCACCATACCACGTAACAAAGAAAGTCTTTCCATCAAATAGCCCAGGGCTCAGGTTCACGGTTAAAGGATTAAGGCTTGCACACACCAAGTACCAAAGGACACAATGCCAAATTGCAAAAGTAATGCAGAAATCAATCCTCTTCACTACAGGAGCAATGTGAAAAACAAATATAGTTGAGTTCAATGTAAACTTTTTTCTGTAGGATTATTAAAAATTAGCACTCTTTCATATGTAATTGCAAGTTCTTCTGAGACGGCAACCACCTAAAACAAACCGCCATAAGCCAATAAGATTGCAACCATGTTCTCAGACACTTTATAAACAAAATGTATGCTCAGAAACAGTAATTATTTCTTTTCATCTATCTTCACATAAACTTTTGCCCATCCTATCTATCCAGAAAATTCCACAAATAAAAGAATGTTTGTTAAATTTTTGTGTTTGTTTGTTCATCCTAAGTGTATCCAGTTGTGCTGAATCCCAAAATCAATGTAAAGAAACTATTTCAATGCAGTTAGAAAAGCAAATGGAAGCTATAGTTATCTAAAAATAAAAACCTTTTATGGCATCAAAAATTTTATATCCTTTCAGAGGGAATTTCTGTAATTTCTGAAAACAAGAATAAATAAATTGACTTAATAATTACTTCTTAACCTTGCTAGCTTCACTATTTACAGGCACATAAAGGTCTTATAGGCAAACGTGATGCTTTGATAAAATACTTTTGGCTTCTATCTATTTTGCCTTATTCCTTAACTCTCACCTCATACTGCAAAATACCTAATGTACAAATATTTCAGTAGTATAAGTGAAACACTGCAATACATTTACAGATTTTTTTTTCATTAACAAAATCTTGGCCTGGATATATTTTATCAATTAGACCATAATATCCAGTAACAGTCTTTTGGATTCTACCAAAGGTCTGATATGACAACTAAATATGCAGTTGTAGGCTGCAGACTAATCTCCATTTATTGGAGCCTCGAAAAAAATGTTGAAAAATAAGTGATTTTTTTTTTTTTTTAACCAGCTGACATCTTCAAGTCCACTGCTTTTCTCTGTCTCCTGGGAAATAATGTTCACTATCTAAGATGCTACCTCTGGTCCACAGTGTGACAAGAGCTCCGTTTCAGATTGGAGCAGAATAAGCAGTTACTGTGTAGAAAGAAATCAAACTGCTCTCATTCCAAATAAATTTGGGAATGAGGTTATCAAAGCAAGCAGACTCAACTGGCAATGAAACTTCCAACTCTCCAATCCCACCTATATTATTTCTTCTAGGAAGAAAATTACTTTCAAAAAGATTTGTGTAAGTATGTTAGAACAAAGGCTGAGAACCACCAGTACTCTGTCTATTCACGTGCAGCAGATAAAGTGTAATGTTTATACAATTTATTAACCAGCTTCTTGTATTTAATAAGTGGTAGCAGCAACATTTTTCAGGAAATTTCTCTAATTTCTATAGATAATGCTTTCTAACCCCTACTTTCATACACATATAAGTCATGCCCTAGGAAAAAAGAATGCAGTCAGATAATCTAACATCCTGAAAAAAATCTATGAATTGCCATTTGAGAAAATATCCCACAAATTATGTACTAATATAACAAATATGATTGAAAAATTATCTAGAGACAAAAACATGTAGTTATTACATACAAAAAAGCTAATTCTTAGGCTATGCTATGCCATATACGAGGGGTAACATGTTTTATTTTCCCCTTTAAGTGTCATCAATCTACAATTAACAAATGATGTTTATACAACAGCTTGGGAGAACCCTAAGTAGCCTTACATTTCAGTCTATTAGCTATCATTTTAAAACCAGTGTCTGCATATGTTTATTGCAGCACTATTCACAATAGCAAAGACTTGGAACCAATCCAAATGTCCATCAGTGATAGACTGGATTAAGACAATGTGGCACATATACACCATGGAATACTATGCAGCCATAAAAAAGGATGAGTTCATGTGCTTTGCACGGACACGGATGAAGCTGGAAACCATCATTCTAAGCAAACTATCACAAGGACAGAAAACCAAACACTGCATGTTCTCACTCATAGGTGGGAGTTGAACAATGAGAACACATGGACACAGGGTGGGGAACATCACACGCCAGGGCCTGTCAGGGGGTGGGGGGCTGGGGGAGGGATAGTATTAGGAGAAATACCTAATGTAAATGATGAGTTGTTGGGTGCAGCAAACCAACATGTAACATGTATACCTATGTAACAAACCTGCACATTGTGCACATGTACCCTAGAACTTAAAGTATAATAATAAAAACAAAACAAAACAAAACAAAAAACACCAGTGTCTGTGGCAAGGGTAAAGAAGTGAGGTGTCCTAGTATGGAATGTAAGAATAAAGCTTTGCTCCTAAAGGCTATGTAAGACCATGCTAAGGCATGGAGAGAACAGGTACCAGACTGGTGATGTGTTAACCATCTCACTTATTGTTTACAATGAAAAAATGCGTAAGTTGATTTAATAACATATATTTATTAGAAATTTATATATTTTAAACTGTTCATTACAAATAATTTTTAATTTCAGTTTTTATTTTAGATACAGAAGGTACATGTGCAGATTTGTTACACGGGAATATTGCATAAGGCTAAGGTTTGGAGTACAGATCCCATCACCCTGGTAGTGAGCATAGTAACCAACAGGTAGTTTTTTAACTACCCGCCCCCTCCCCCAGTAGTAGTTCACAGAGTCTGCTGTTCTCATATTTAGTTTATGTGTGCTCAATGCTTAGCTCCCACTTATACATGAGAACATGCAGTATTTGGTTTTCTGTTCCTGTGTAAATTTGCTTATGATAATAGCCACCAGTTCCATCCATGTTGCTGCAAAGGACATGACTTCATTCTTTTTTATGCATAGTATTTCCAGGTGTATATTTACCATATTTTCTTTATCCAATCTACCACTGATAGGTACCTGGGTTCATTCTATGTCTTTGCTATTGTGAATAGTGCAGTAATGAACGTACAAGTGCATATGTCTTTTTGGCAGGATGATTTATTTCTTTTAGGTATATACCCAGTAACAGGAGTGCTGGGTCAAATGGTAGTTCTGTTTTAAGTTCTTTGATAATCTCCAAATTGCTTTCTACAGTGGCTGCGTTTACATTCCCACTAACAGTGTACATGTGTTCCATTTTCTCCACGGGCTTGCCAGCATCTGTTTTTTTTTTTAACCTTTTAATAATAGCCATTCTGACTGGTGTGAGATGGCATCTCATAAGTCAAACTCTATCTTCACTGATGATGATTCTATAACTAGAAAATCCTAAAGACTCTGCCAAAAGGTTTCTAGAATTGATGAGCAGCTTTAGTAAAGTTTCAGGATACACAAATCCATGTGCAAATATTAGTGCCATTTCTATATACCAACAATGCCCAGGCTAAAAATGAAATCAAGAACATAATCCCACTTACAATAGCCACAGTGAAAAATGAAATACCTAGGAATGAATACATCTAACCAAGGAGGTGAAAGATATCTACAAGAACTACAAAACACTGGTGAAGGAAATCAGAGACAACACAAATAAATGGAAAAACATTCTATGCTCATGGGCTGGAAGGATCAATATAGTAAAAACTGTCATACTGCCCAAAGTAATTTACAGATTCAGTGCTATTTCTATGAAACTACATATAATTTTTAAAAATAGTATTACTAGTCACCAGGACATAGGTCTCATAAAGAGGATTTAGATAGTATTTATTCTCATTTGTTTTATCATATCTATTATGAATACAGAAAGGGATTCTGATAAGCCATCTTAGATAATTCAGTTTTGTTTGTTTGTTTGTTTTTTAAGACAGAGTCTCACTCTGTTGTCCAGGCTGGAGTACAGTGGCATGACCCCGGCCCACTTCAGCCTCTGCCTGAGCTCAAGCCATTCTCCTGTCTCAGCCTCCTGAGTAGCTGGGATTACAGGTGTGCACCACCATGCCTGGTATTTTTGTATTTTTAGTAGAGATGGGGTTTCACCATGTTGGCCAGAATGGTCTTGAACTCCTGGCCTCAAGTGATCTGCCCGCATCGGCCTCCCTAAATGTTGGAATTACAAGCATGAGCTACTGCACCTGGCCAAGAATTCAGTTTTTAAAAAGCGATTCCCAACTAGTGTAAGGGGTAAGTGGCAGGAAAATCTTGAGGAGAAAAGGGGAAAAGCTTATGTACTCTAAAAGTAAGCAAAGCTTTGTAACATTATTTTGTTCTTAGTGACACTTAATTCGTTTTGGATTTTGAACAATACGAAACACAGGGAACAATTTTTAAAAAGCATTAGTGAGATATAATTTATATACCATGAAATTCACCCATTTAGAGTGATTTTTAGGCCAGGTGCAGTGGCTTATGCCTGTAATCCCAGAACTTTGGGAGGCCAAGCCAGGCTTGAGGTCAGGAGTTCGAGACCAGCCTGGCCAACATGGTGAAACCCAGTCTCTATCAAAAATACAAAAAGGAGCCAGGCGTGGTGGGGCACGCCTGTAGTTCCAGCTATTCGGGAGGCTGTGGCAGGAGAACTGCTTGAACTTGAGAGGCAGAAGTTGCAGTGAGCCAAGATCTCGCCACTGCACTCCAGCCTGGGTGACAGAGCGAGACTGTCTCAAAAAAAAAAAAAAAAGTGATTTTTAGTTGACAGTTGTGCAATCATCCTTAAAACCTAATTTCTAATGCCCCTAAAAGAAACTTCATATCCATTGGCAGTTGCTCCTAGTTCCCACTTCCAGCACTAGGCAATCACTAATATACTTCCTTTATCTCTGTATTAGCCTTTTCTGGACATTTCATACAAATGAAATCATAGCACGTTTTCAAGGTTTATCCATGTTGTAACATGCATTAGTACTTTTTTCTTTTTATTGACAAATATTCCATTGCATGGATAAATGACATTTTATTTATCCATTCACCAGCTGCTGGACATTTTGGGTGTTTCCATTTTTCAGCTATTATAAATAGTGTTGCTATGAATATTCATATAGACATTTTTGTGTGGATGTATGTTACCTAGGAGTGGGACTGCTAGGTCACTTGGTAATTCCATGTTTAAGGGATAATTTTTATATTTATTTAAAAAATACCTTTTATACTATAATTCTTTTTTTTTTTTTTTTTTTTTTTTTTTTTGACACAGAGTCTTGCTCTGTCAACCAGGCTGGAGCGCAGTGGAGCAATCTCTTCTCACTGCAACCTCTGTCTCCTGGGTCCAAATGATTCTCCTACCTCAGCTTCCCAAGTAACTGGGATTACAGGTGCCTGCCACCAAGCCAAGTTAATTTTTGTATTTTTAGTAGAGATGGGGTTTCACCATGTTGGCCTCAAACTCCTGACCTCAAGTGATCTGCCCAACTTGGCCTCCAAAATTGCTGGGATAATAGGCATGAGCCACTGTGAACAGCCTTTACACTATAATTCAAAAGAACCTGAGAGAGAATAGGACATTTCCAATCCTTGAAAATGCCTCTATTATGGAAGTTATGTAACATTCAATTAATAGCAAATACTTTTCTGCAGTAGTGCTCTTTTTTTTTTTTTTTTTTTTCCTTCAAAAAGACAGAGTCTCATTCTATCATTGCCCAGGCTAGCGTAGAGTGCAGCATTCATAGCTTACTATAACTTCGAAGTCCTGGGCTCAAGCAAACCTCCCATCTCAGCCTCCTTATTAGCTAGGACAACAGGCATGCACCACCACACCCAGCTAAATTTAGAGATAGGGTCTTCCTGTGTTGCTCAGGCTGGTCTCAAATTCCTGGACTCAAGCAATCCTCATGGCTTGGCCTCTCAAAGTAGTGGGATAACAGGCGTCAGCAACCACACCACGCCTAGTCGTACTCTTACTGAATGTCTCTGAACACAATTTTACAATTTTACTGATGGTTTCTAGAGTGTGTAGGGTAAACAACAACAAACCCCACTCATGTTAATCAGTCATGTTGCTGAAGAATTTTCAAAGGGACATTGAAAGAATTTTCTCTTTTTGCCCGAGCAATTCTTTAGGCGAAAAGGTTAGTTGTGGGTTACAAATTGCAAAGAATTAAAGAGAAGTCAGAAAGAAGGGGGAGATAACCGGAAAAGAGTTGCTATGCCAGTTATCATTGATAATTAGAAATAATTGTTAAATGATACTGCCACACTGATCTCCAAAATGGCTCTAGTAATTTGCATTCCTAGCAATAGTGTATGATACTGTTTCTCCACACTTTTTGATATGATTAAAATTTTCAATTTTGCCAATTTATTGAGAAATGTTCTTTCATTTTTTATTGTTACATATTAATCATACATATCTATGGGGTACATATATTTTGATGCACGCATACAATGTGTAATAACTGAATCAGGGTATTTAGGATATCAATCACCTCAAATATTTATCATTTCTTTATGGTGGGAAAATATCAAATCTTCTAGCTATTTTGAAATATAAATTATTGTTAACCATAGCCAGCCTCCTGTGCTATCGAATGCTAGAACTTATTCCTTCCATCTGTGTGTTTGTACCCATTCATCAATCACTCCTCACCTTCCTCCCACACCACCTTTCACAGCCTCCTGTAACTAGCATTCTACTCTCTACCTCAACTTTTTTTAGCTCTCACATGAGTGATATCATGCAGTATTTCTCTTTCTGTGCCTGTCTTATTTCACTTAAAGTAATTACCTACAGTTCCATCCATGTTGCTGCAAATGACTCATTTTCATTCATTTTTACAGCTTAATGGTATTTGTGTATAAATACAGCACATTTTCTTTATCCATTCATATGATGATGGACACAGGTTGATTCCATATCTTGGTCATTGTGAATAGTGCTATAATAAACACGGGGGTGTACGTATCTCTTTGATAACTGATTTCCTTTCCTTTGGATAAATATCCAATAGTGAGATGGCTGGATCATAATGTAGTTCTATTTTTGCTTTTTTGAGAAATCTTCATATTGTTTTCCAAAATAACTGCATTAATTTCCATTCCCACCAACAGCGTATGGGAGTTCCCTTTTCTCTACATTCTTGCCAACATTTGTTATGTCTTGTCTTTTGATAATAGCCCTGCTAACTGGGGTGAGATGATACTTCACTGTGGTTTTAATTTGCATTTCCCTGATGATTAGTGATGCTGAGTATTTTTCCATGTATCTGATGGCCATCTGTTTGTCTTCTTTTGAGAAATACCTATTCAGTTCTTTGTCTTTTAGATGGGAGTGTGTGTGTGTGTGTGTGTGTGTGTGTGTGTGTGTATTTGCTATTGAACTATTCCTTGTGTATTCAGGATATTAGTCCTTGTCTGATGAATACTTTGTATATACTTTCTTCTACTATACAGGGTTTCTTTTCATTCTGTTGATTGTTTCCTTTGCTATACAGAAACTTTTAGTTTAATACAAACCCATTTGCCTGTTTTTATTTTGTTGTCTGTGATTTTAAAGTCTTAGCCATAAAATCTTTACCAAGACCAATGTCCTAAAATGTTTTCTGTATGTTTTCTTTTAGCACTTGTATAATTTCAGGTCTTATGTTTAACTCTTTAATCCATTGTGAGTTGATTTTTGCCTATGGTGAGAGACAAGGGTCTAGTTTCATTCATACGCATACGGATATCCAGTTTTCTCAGAATGGTTTATTGAAAAGACTGTCTTTCCCCAATGCATGCTCTTGGCACCCAGTCAAAAGTAAGATGGCTATAAATACGTAGATTTATTTCTGGGTTCTCCATTCTATTCCACTGGTCTATGTGTCTATTTTCATACTAAGACCATGCTGTTTTGGTTACTATACCTTTCTAATATACCTTGAAGTCAGGTAGTGTGATGTAACCTTTTGCTCGGTATTGCTTTTGCTATTTGGGATCTTTTGTGATTTCATATGAATTTTAAGATTTATATTTTATATATGTGAAGAATGTCATTAATATTTTGACAGGGATTGCATTGCTCTGAATAGTGGAGTCATTTTAACAATATTCTTCCAATCCGTGAGCATGGACATCTTCCCATTTATTTGTGTTCTTCTCAATTTCTTTCAGCTTGCTTGGTACTTTCCTCGTTGAGGTCTTGAAACTCCTTGGTTAAATTTATATCTGGGTATTTTATTCTTTATTGTAGCTATTGTAAATGGGATCACTTTCTTGATTTCTTTTTCAATGAGTTAATTATAAGTGTACAGTACAGTATTTGTTTATCAGTTCTAAGAGTTATTTTGGTGGTGCCTTTAAGTTTTTCTATAAATAAAGTCATGCTGTCTACCAAGAGGGAATATTTGACTTCCTCTTTTCTAATTTGGATACATTTTCTTTCTTTCTCTTGCTTGATTGGTCTGGCTAGCACTTCCAGTACTATGTTGAATATGAGAGGTGAAAGTGAGCATCCTTGTTTTCTTCCAGGTTTAGTGGAAAGACTTTCAGCTTTTCCCCATTTGGTGTGGTATTAGCTGTGGGTTTGTCATACATGGCGTTTATTAAGTTGAGGTATGTTTCTTCTATGCTTAATTTGTTGAGGGTTTTTATAATGAGATATATCAAATTTTATGAGTTTTTTTCTCTGTCTATTGAGATGTCATATGGTCTTTATCCGTTGTTTTGTTGATGTGATATACCACATTTCATTTTCCTTCAACTTTTAAGTTCAGGGGTGCATGTGCAGGATGTGCAGGTTTGTTACAAACGCAAACGTGTGCCATGGTGGTTGCTTCACAGATCATCCCACTACCCAGGTATTAAGCCCAGCATCCAATATGTATTCTTCCTGTTGCTGTCCCTCCCCTGAATCACGCCTGACAGGCCCCAGTATGTTCTTTCCCACATGTCCATGTGTTCTCAGTGTACCACATTTAGTGAATTGCATATGTTGAAGCATCTTTGCATTCCTGGCATAAACCCCACTTGATCATGGTGCACTATCTTTATGATGTGCTATTGGTTTTGTTTTGCTAGTATTGTCTTAAGAATTTTTACATGTATATTATCAAGATTAATGGTCTGTAATTTTCTTTTTCTGTTGTAGCTTCATCTGGTTTTGGTATCAGTAATACTGGCCTCATAGAATGAGTTAGGGAGAAATCCCCCCTCTCCAATTTGTTTTGAATATTTTTTAAAGAATTGGTGTTTTTTCTCCTTCACTTATGAAGCTTAGTTTGGCTGGATATGAAATTCTGGGTTGAAAATTCTTTCTTTAAGAATGTTGAATATTGGCCCCCACTCTCGTCTGGCTTGTAGAGTTTCTGCCCAGAGATCAGCTGTTAGTCTGATGGGTTTCCCTTTGTGGGTAACCCGACCTTTCTCTCTGGCTGCCCTTAACATTTTTTCCTTCATTTCAACTTTGGTGAATCTGACAATTATGTGTCTTGGAGTTGCTCTTCTTGAGGAGTATCTTTGTAGCATTCTCTGTATTTCCTGAATTTGAATGTTGGCCTGCCTTGCTAGATTGGGGAAGTTCTCCTGGATAATATCCTGCAGAGTGTTTTACAACTTGGTTCCATTCTCCCCGTCACTTTCAGGTACACCAATCAGATGTAGATTTGGTCTTTTCACATAGTCCCATATTTCTTGGAGGCTTCGTTCGTTTCCTTTTATTCTTTTTTCTCTAAACTTCTCTTCTCGCTTCATTTCATTCATTTGATCTTCCATCACTGATACCCTTTCTTCCAGTTGATCGAATCGGCTACTGAGGCTTGTGCATTCATCATGTAGTTCTCGTGCCATGGTTTTCAGCTCCATCAGGTCCTTTAAGGACTTCTCTGCATTGGTTATTCTAGTTAGCCATTTGTCTAATTTTTTTTCAAGGTTTTTAACTTCTTTGCCATGGCTTCGAACTTCCTCCTTTAGCTCAGAGTAGTTTGATCGTCTGAAGCCTTCTTCTCTCAACTCATCAAAGTCATTCATCATCCAGCTTTGTTCTGTTGCTGGTGAGGAGCTGCATTCCTTTGGAGGAGGAGAGGCGCTCTGATATTTAGAGTTTCGTTTTCTGCTCTGTTTTTTCCCCATCTTTGTGGTTTTATCTACCTTTGGTATTTGATGATGGTGACGTACAGATGGGGTTTTGGTGTGGATGTCCTTTCTGTTTGTTAGTTTTCCTTCTAACAGTCAGGACCCTCAGCTGCAGGTC
Organism: Homo sapiens; assembly: GCF_000001405.40. NCBI lineage: Eukaryota > Metazoa > Chordata > Mammalia > Primates > Hominidae > Homo > Homo sapiens. Next base: position 37,100,941 of record NC_000018.10, on the reverse strand, counting down.
TGTTGGAGTTTACTAGAGGTCCACTCCAGACCCTGTTTGCCTGGGTATCAGCAGCACAGGCTGCAGAACAGCGGATATTGGTGAACAGCAAATGTTGCTGCCTGATCGTTCCTCTGGAAGTTTTGTCTCAGAGGAGTACCTGGCCGTGTGAGGTGTCGGTCTGCCCCTACTGGGGGGTGCCTCCCAGTTAGGCTACTCGGGGGTCAGGGACCCACTTGAGGAGGCAGTCTGTTCGTTCTCAGATCTCAAGCTGCGTGCTGGGAGAACCACTACTCTCTTCAAAGCTGTCAGACAGGGACATTTAAATCTGCAGAGGTTTCTGCTGCCTTTTGTTTGGCTATGCCCTGCCCCCAGAGGTGGAGTCTACAGAGGCAAGAGGGTCTTCTTGAGCTGCGGTGGGCTCCACCCAGTTTGAGCCTCCTGGCCGCTTTGTTTACCTACTCAACCCTCAGCAATGGTGGGCGCCCCTCCCCCAGCCTTGCTGCTGGCTTGCAGTTTGATCACAGACTGCTGTGCTAGCAATGAGCAAGGCTCTGTGGGCATAGGACCCTCCGAGCCAGGCACAGGGTATATTCTCCTGGTGTGCCGTTTGCTAAGACCATTGGAAAAGTGCAGTATTAGGGTGGGAGTGACCCGATTTTCCAGGTGCCATCTGTCACCCCTTTCTTTGACTAGGAAAGGGAATTGCCTGACCCCTTGTGCTTCCTGGGTGAGGCGATGCCTTGCCCTGCTTCGGCTCACACTTGGTGCACTGCACCCACAGCCCTGCGCCCACTGTTCAACACTCCCCAGTGAGATGAACCTGGTACCTCAGTTGGAAATGCAGAAATGACCCGTCTTCTGCATCGCTCATGCTGGGAGCTGTAGACTGGAGGGCTAAATGCTCCAATTAAAAGACACAGACTGGCAAATTGGATAAAGAGTCAAGACCCATCAGTGTGCTGCATTCAGGAAACCCATCTCACGTGCAAAGACACACATAGGCTCAAAATAAAGGGATGGAGGGAGATCTACCAAGCAAATGGAAAACAAAAAAAGGCAGGGGTTGCAATCCTAGTCTCTGATAAAACAGACTTTAAACCAACTAATATCAAAAGAGACAAAGAAGGCCATTACATAATGGTAAAGGGATCAATTCAACAAGAAGAGCCAACCATCCTAAATATATATGCACCCAATACAGGAGTACCCAGATTCGTAAAGCAAGTCCTTAGAGACCTACAAAGAGACTTAGACTCCCACACAATAATAATGGGAGACTTTAACAACCCACTGTCAACATTAGACAGATCAACGAGACAGAAAGTTAACAAGGATACCCAGGAATTGAACTCAGCTCTGCACCAAGCAGACCTAATAGACATCTACAGAACTCTCCACCCCAAATCAACAGAATATACATTCTTCTCAGCATCACACCACACCTATTACAAAATTGACCACATAGTTGGAAGTAAAGCACTCCTCAGCAAATGTAAAAGATCAGAAATTAAAACAAACTGTCTCTCAGACCACAGTGCAATCAAACTAGAACTCAGGATCAAGAAACTCATTCAAAACCGCTCAACTACATGGAAACTGAACAACCTGCTCCTGAATGACTACTGGGTACACAACAAAATGAAGGCAGAAATAAAGATGTTCTTTGAAACCAATGAGAACAAAGACACAACGTACCAGAATCTCTGGGACACATTCAAAGCAGTGTGTAGAAGGAAATTTATAGCACTAAATGCCCACAAGAGAAAGCAGGAAAGATCTAAAATTGACATCCTAACATCACAATTAAAAGAACTAGAGAAGCAAGAGCAAACACATTCAAAAGCTAGCAGAAGGCAAGAAATAACCTAATCAGAGCAGAATTGAAGGAAATAGAGACACAAAAAACCCTTCAAAAAAATCAATGAATCCAGGAGCCGTTTTTTTGACAAGATCAAGAAAATTGAAAGACCACAAGCAAGACTAATAAAGAAGAAAAGAGAGAAGAATCAAATAGATGCAATAAAAAATGACCAAGGGGATATTGCCACCGATCCCACAGAAATACAAACTACAATCAGAGGACACTATAAAAACTTCTACACAAATAAACTAGAAAATCTACAAGAAATGGATAAATTCCTCGACACATACACCCTCCCAAGACAAAACCAGGAAGAAGTTGAATCTCTTAATAGATAAATAACAGGCTCTGAAATTAAGGCAATAATTAATAGCTTACCAACCAAAAAAAGTCCAGGACCAGACGGATTCACAGCCGAATTCTACCAGAGGTACAAGGAGGAACTGGTACCATTCCTTCTGAAACTATTCCAGTCAATAGAAAAATAGGGAATCCTACCTAACTCATTTTATGAGCCCAGGATCATCCTGGTACCAAAGCCTGGCAGAGACACAACAAAAAAAGAGAATTTTAGACCAATATACCTCATGAACATCAATGCAAAAATCCTCAATAAAATACTGGCAAACCGAATCCAGCAGCACATCAAAAAGCTTATCCACCATGATCAAGTGGGCTTCATCCCTGGGATGCAAGGCTGGTTCAACATACACAAATCAATAAATGTAATCCAGCATATAAACAGAACCAAAGACAAAAAACACATGATTATCTCAAAAGATGCCGAAAAGGCCTTTGACAAAATTCAACAAGGCTTCATGCTAAAAACTCTCAATAAATTAGGTATTGATGGGACATATCTCAAAATAATAAGAGCTATCTATGACAAACCCACAGCCAATACCATACTGAATGGGCAAAAACTGGAAGCATTCCCTTTGAAAACTGGCACAAGACAGGGATGCCCTCTCTCACCACTCCTATTCAACATAGTATTGGAAGTTCTGGCCAGAGCAATCAGGCACGAGAAGGAAATGAAGGGTATTCAATTAGGAAAAGAGGAAGTCAAATTGTCCCTGTTTGCAGATGACATGATTGTACATCTAGAAAACCCCACTGTCTCAGCCCAAAATCTCCTTAAGCTGATAAGCAACTTCAGCAAAGTCTCAGGATACAAAATCAATGTGCAAAAATCACAGCATCCTTATACACTAATAACAGACAAACAGACAGCCAAATCATGAGTGAACTCCCATTCACAATTGCTTCAAAGAGAATAAAATACCTAGGAATCCAACTTACAAGGGATGTGAAGGACCTCTTCAAGGAGAACTACAAACCACTGCTCAATGAAATAAAAGAGGATACAAAGAAATGGAAGAACATTCCATGCTCATGGGTAGGAAGAATCAATATTGTGAAAATGGCCACACTGCCCAAGGTAATTTATAGATTCAATGCCATTCCCATCAAGCTACCAATGACTGTCTTCACAGAATTGGAAAAAACTACTTTAAAGTTCATACGGAACCAAAAAAGAGCCCACATTACCAAGTCAATCCTAAGCCAAAAGAACAAAGCTGGAGGCATCGTGCTGCCTGACTTCAAACTATACTACAAGGCTGCAGTAACCAAAATAGCATGGTACTGGTACCAAAACAGAGATATAGATCAATGGAACAGAACAGAGCCCTCAGAAATAATGCCACATATCTGCAACTATCTGATCTTTGACAAACCTGACAAAAACAAGAAATGGAGAAAGGAATCCCTATTTAATAAAAAGTGCTGGGAAAACTGGCTAGCCATATGTAGAAAGCTGAAACTGGATCCCTTCCTCACACCTTATACAAAAATTAATTCAAAATGTATTAAAGACTTAAATGTTAGACCTAAAACCAGAAGAACCCTAGAAGAAACCTAGGCAATACCATTCAGGACATAGGCATGGGCAAGGACTTCATGTCTAAAACACCAAAAGCAATGGCAACAAAAGCCAAAATTGACAAATGGGATCTAATCAAACTAAAGAGCTTCTGCACAGCAAAAGAAACTACCATCAGAGTGAACAGGCAATCTACAGAATGGGAGAAAATTTTTGCAATCTACTCATCTGAGAAAGGGCTAATATCCAGAATCTACAATGAACTCAAACTAATTTACAAGAAAAAAACAAACGGCCCCAACAAAAAGTGGGTGAAGGAAATGAACAGACACTTCTCAAAAGAAGACATTTATGCAGCCAAAAGACATATGAAAAAATGCTCATCATCACTGGCCATCAGAGAAATGCAAATCAAAACCACAATGAGATACCACCTCACCCCAGTTAGAATGGCAATCATTAAAAAGTCAGGAAACAACAGGTGCTGGAGAGGATGTGGAAAAATAGGAACACTTTTACACTGTTGGTGGGACTGTAAACTAGTTCAGCCATTGTGGAAGTCAGGCAATTCCCCAGGGATCTCGAACTAGAAATACCATTTGACCCAGCAATCCCATTACTGGGTATATACCCAAAGGATTATAAATCATGCTGCTATAAAGACACATGCACACATATGTTTATTGTGGCAGTATTCACAATAGCAAAGACTTGGAACCAATCCAAATGTCCAACAATGATAGACTGGATTAAGAAAATGTGGCACATATACACCATGGAATACTATGCAGCCATAAAAAATGATGAGTTCATGTCCTTTGTAGGGACATGGATGAAGCTGGAAACCATCATTCTCAGCAAACTATCGCAAGGACAGAAAACCAAACACTGCATGTTCTCACTCTTAGGTGGGAATTGAACAATGAGAACACATGGACACAGGAAGGGGAACATCACACAGCGGGGCCTGTTGTGGGGTGGGCGGAGCGGGGAGGGATAGCATTAGGAGATATACCTAATGTTAAGTGACGAGTTAATGGGTGCAGCACACCAACATGGCACATGTGTACATATGTAAAAACCTGCACGTTGTGCACATGTACGCTAAAACTTAAAGTAGAAAAAAAAAAAGAATTGGTGTCAGTTCTCCTTTATAAGATTGATAGAATACAGCAGTAAAGCCACCCAGTTCGGGCCTTAATTTTGTTTGGGAGGCTTTTTATTACTGGTTCAATCTTGTAACTCATTATTGGTCTGTTCGAGCTTTCAATTTCTTCCCGGTTCAATTATGGTACACTGCGTATGTCCAGGAATTTATCTATTTCTTCCTTTCCAATTTGTTAGAATACAGTTTTTCATAATAGTCTCTAATGATTCTTTGTGTTTCTGTGATATCAGTTGTAATGTCTTTTTCATTTTGATTTTATTTATTTGGGTCTTCTTTTTTCCTTAGTTAGTCTTAGTTAGTGGTTTATCAACTTCATCTTTCCAAAAAATACAATTTTTTTATTTCATTGGCCCTATGTATTTTGTTTAGCCCATATTTCATTTAGTTCTGTTGTCATCTTTATTATTACCTTCCTTCCACTAATTTTGAGTTTGGTTAGTTCTTGCTTTTCTAGTTCCCTCTTAGCAGGGCTTTTTCTGTATCCCATAGGTTTTGGTATGTTATGTTTCCATTTTCATTTGTTTCAAGAATTTATATCCTTCTTAATTTCCTCATTGACACAATGGCCATTTGGGAGCATGTTGTTTAATTTCTGTACATATGTACATTTTTTTATAGTTCCTCTTGTTATTGACTTCTAGTCTTACTCCATTGTGGTGAGATAAAATATTTCATATGATGTTGATATTTTTAGATGCTGAGATTTGTTTTGTGGCCTACTATATGGTCTATCCTGGAGAATGTTCTGTGTGCTGACGAGAAGAATGCATATTCTGTAGTTGTTGGATAAAATGTTCTGTAAATGTCTTTTATGTCCATATGGTTTATAGTGCAGATTGAATCAGATGTTTCCTTGATTTTCTGCCTAGATGATCTTTTCAATGCTGAAAGTGGAGTGTTGAAGTTCCCAACTATTGTTGTATTTAGGGCTATTTCTCTCTTTGGATCTAATAATGATCCTTTATATGTCTTGATGCTACAGTGCAGGATGTATATGTATTTACCATTGTTATAGCCTCTTGTAGAATGGATGCCTACACCATTATATTAATCTAATGACCTTGTTTTTCTCTTTTGATGTTTTTTTTTTTTGACATAAAACCTATTTTGTCCAATATAACTATAACTGCCTCTGTATGCTTTTGGTTTGCATTTAAATGAAATATGTATTTCCATCCCTTCACTTTATTCTGTGTCTTTACAGGTGAAGTTACTTTCTTGTAGGCTGCATATAATTGAGTTTTGTTTTTTAATCTGTTCAGCCAGTCTATATCTTATTGAGGAATTTAAACCAATTACATTAACAGTTGTTAATGAAAAGTGAGGAATTGCTCCTATAATTTTGTTATTTCTTTTCTGGTTGTTTTGTATATCATTTGTTCTTCTCTTTCTTTTTTGTTATCATTACAACTTGGTGCCTTTTTTTATTTTTGTAGTGGTAACATTTGGCACCTTTTGTTCCTCATTTGTGTATCTGCTTCATTAGTGACTGTTATACCTGTGTATGTTTTCATGATGGTAGACACTGACCTTTCACTTCTAGATGTAGAACTCCCTTAAGCATGTGAATGAGAGTCATGAAGGATTCCCTCAGTTATTGGCTGTCTGTGAAAGACTATTTCTCCTTCATTTTTGAAGGATAACTTTGCTGGCTATAGTACTCTTGACTGACAGGTTTTTTTTTTCCCATCAGCACTTTGAATATATCATTCCATTCTCTCCTGGCCTCTAAGGCAGGGGTCCCCAACCCCCAGGCTGCAGACCGGTACCAATCTCTGGCCTGTTAGCCACTGGGCCACACAGCAGGAGGCGAGTGGTAGGCAAGCGAGCATTACTGCCTGAGCTCTGCCTCCTGTGAGATCAGCAGTGGCATTAGACTCTCATAGGAACGCAAACCCTATTGTGAACTGTGCATGCAAGGGATGTAGGTTGCATGCTCCTTATGAGAACCTGTCTAATGCCTGATGATCTAAGGTGAAACAGTTTCATCCCAAAACCATCCTCCCCACACCCTGGTCTGTGGAAAAACTGTCTTCCATGAAACCATTTCCTCATGCCATTTCCTCATTTCCTCATGAGACCGCTGCTCTGTTTCCCTTGACAAATTCACTGTTAGTCTGATGAGGATTCCTTTATATGTGACTTGATGCTTTTCCTTGCTGGATTTTTAATTCTTTGCCTTTGCCTTTTGATAGTTTATAACATGCCTTGGGAAAAACCATTTTGGGTTGAATCTATTTGGGGAACTTAGGGCTTCCTAAATCTGGATGTCTAAATCTCTTGTAAGACTTGGGACATTTTCAGCTACTATTTCATTAAATAAGTTTTCTATACTTTTGCCCATCTCTTCTATTTCTAGAACTCCTAAAATTAGAATACTTGGTCCCATTATGTGGCCCTATACATCACATAGGCTTTCTTAACTTGTTTCTATTCTTTCTTTTTTGTCTGACTGGGTTATTCCAATGACAGTTTTCAAGTTCAGAAATTCTTTCTTCTGCTTAATCTAGTTTATTGCTGAAGCTCTCAATTGTATTTTTAATGTTATTCATTGGATTCTTCAGTTCCAGGAACTCTACTTGGTTCTTTTTTATGATACTGATCTCTTTGTTGAATTTCTCACTCATATCATCAGTTGTTTTCCTGATTTCTTTGTATGTTTGTCTGTATTATTTTGTATCTCATTGAGTACCTTTAGTATCATTATTTTGAGTTCCCTTTTTGGCATTTCATAATTTCCTTTCCTTGGTATCTGTTCCAGAAGAATTACTGTGCTCATTTGAAGATGTTATGTTACCTTGCTTTTTCACATTTCTTGTGTCCTTATATTGATATCTGTGCATCCAGTGTAACAGTCATTTCTTCCAATTTTATGGGTTCACTTTTATAAGAAAAGGGTTTTTTCTATAAATATATTTATAGTGTTGGCTGAGTAGGGTGCTTTGGCTTTGATTCTGGGTGAGTGCAGTAGTGTAGTCTTCATGATTTTTAGCTGTAAGTGTCAGCAGTATCTGATAGCTCCTCAGTGGCTTAGGCTGTGGTTGTCTGTGTAAGCTGTGGCAAGGGATTAGTGTTGGTGGTGGCTGGATGAGTGTGCCAGTCTCAGTCTCCCCATTGATTTATTCAGGCACTGAGAGTGGCAGGTCTAAGCAGGCCATACCTCGAGCATCCAAGTGGCTTGTTCTAGTGCTGACAGTGGCAACAGTTATTTGGGCAGGCAGACAGGTCCTTGGGCCCCTAAGAAGCATGTCTGGCACTGGCAGTGGTAGGCCAATCCTCAGGCCCCTAAGTGTTGTGTCCAATAGCCACTGGTGTCAGTGATGGGCTGAGCAGGCCAGTCCTTGGGATTCTGGGATATGTGCACATTTGCCAGTGGTGAGCAGGAATGGTCTGTCCTTATGCCACTGGATGACATTTGTGAGTGACAGTAGTGGTGGGTATAGTAGACCAATCTCCAGAACCCTGGAGATTGTGTGCAGGTGGCAGTAGGCAAAGAGAGCCCTATCCTCAGGTGCCCACAAGGTGTGCATGGGCATCAGTCGTGGCAGGTGGGGTGGCTCTATCTCCAAGTCTCCCAGATTGTGTGCACAAGTGCCATCAGCTGCAAGCAGAATAAGACTGCAGGACTCACAGTGGTACATGTGGGCACTGGCTTCAATTAGTGGGGTGGGTCAATACACAGGCTGACAAATGGTATGCTAGAGTGCCTCTGGCAACGGTGGTAGATGGGGTGGGTCTGTTCTTAGGACCCTGGGTGTGAGTGCAGGCACCAGTGGCAGCAGGTAGGGTGGACCTCTCATTAGGCCTTCCTATGGTGCACTTGGCTGTAGGCAGCAGGGAGCAGGGTGAATTAATCCCCGGGCCCCTAAAGAATGCACGTGTGCCAGCAGCAGTGGGCTGGGTGGGCATGTCCTCAGATCTCCCAATGGTGCATGTTGGCAACAGCTGTGACAGGTGGGTGGGTCAGCCCCCAGGCTACCGGATGGCATGCCTGGGCACTGCTGGTAGTGGGTAGAATGGGCCTAGCCTAAGGTTTCAGATGGCATACGAGTTGGCCAGTCCCCAGGCTCCCTGAAGGCATGTGCTGTTCTGTGGTCCTGCTGTTGGAGGAAGCAAGGTTGCCATCAGTGGCAGCATCCCTCAATAGGCAGCTCTCAGGCTATGGGGAGCGCATGCTTTGGCTCCCTTTGTCCTGGGGCCAGCTTCCTTGGTGTGCTGAACTGCCTGTTCCCTAGGGTGTAGGACAATATGTGGACAACAGTGCTGGATATCTGGCTTCACTACTGGGTCCAGCCAGCATCATGACAATTTAGCCCTCTAGAAAGATGTGGAGGGATGTCAGCAGGGCTCCAGAGATGTGAAGATGCAGGGGTTGTTGGGACCTAAGGCAGAATATAGTTTGATGGAGGCTGATCTCCTAAAATGGCAGGGAGGTGCAGCTGCTTGAGTCTCAGTGGGTACATGGGACCCAGTATCAACTCTCTTGATGGAACAATGCTGTTGCATGGGCTCCAAGTAGCTGCCTATACTAGTCTTAAGGCCCATAAGAACTGAAGAGCTCTCCTATAGCTAGAATTGCAGGAGTCCACGGTGGGAATGTGGACCAATAGAAATCACTTGCTAACTCTTTCCCTATAATGAAGGCAGAACTTAAAGAACATGGTGGTGATTTACTTCACTTTTTTTCCCAATGAGGAGTTCTTCCTGGTGTGAGCTGATCCTGGCCAGACTGGTTGCTTTGCTTCTCTCTCCTTCTGTGCCTCAGAGGTTCCCTGTGACTTCCCTGTTGAATTCCAGTGCTTCTCTCCAAGAAGCTCTATTTGACACTTAGTTATTTATTTACTGTTTTGATCCTTCTTTGTAGAGGAAGTGAGTTCTGGGTGACTCTAGGTATTCATTTTGAACTATTCTTTTGTGTTTTGTTTTCCCTGATTAGTTGCAGAAGGTTTTATATACTTATTATTTGGATTTACCTTTCTGAGAGTTGCCTATTTAAGGTAGTTTATCTTATTGATTCAAGAGAACGTCTATATTCTGGATGTATTACTTCGTATTCATCATCTTCTGATGATTTCTTATTATACCTTCAATTGAGGCTATTTCAAGTTTATCAGCATCCTCCTCCCCGATGTTCTCCTCATTGCCATCTTTCTTAGGAGATGACTTCCTTTCATACTTAACTGAGAAAGATTGAGATTTAAAAAATTAGTGCTCCAGTCAAAGAGATGGACATGCTCTAAGGTCTAGGGGCATCTGGGCATGTATGACCTAAATTTAAATAATTATGACAAAAATATAAGACTATACACTTGCTTCCAAAAAAATGTCCTAAATGCCTCTGAGAAGACCATATACCTTTCAAAATCATACATTATAAGGATTTCAAGAAACTCTGGCAAGTGCTTCCAAGTCTGACAGTCATTGGTAAGCCAAGAATTCTCACACAGCAGTCCTTAATTATTTCATCTAATGTGAGGTTGAAAGAAGTAAAGACAATGAATTTAATGTCTATTTGATTCCACTTGCTATGGAAATGATGTTGTCTCCACTAACACCAGGAACAGTTAGAGATAAGTCAGGGGAGAATACTATAGAGCCTTGAGAAGCCTTTGTAGAATTATTAAACAAAAATGCCCACTAATTTTAGAAAATACAATCAAGAATGGTTACGAGAATGATCCATTTACTTTGTACCTTGCAGGCTCTTTGGCTTTAACACTAGAACTCCCTAAATAAAATTTAATTTCAAGCAAATTTTATTTATTTGGATATTTAAATTATCTTAGTATTAAAAATACTGTTTTTAAAATATTAAACTTAAGTGAGGCATTAAGAATTTGGGACTAAAATAAATGAGATAATGAGAAAGTGAAAACTTTTTTTATAATTAACAGTTCATTTTGAGTTAATTATAGACAATTACCAAAATCTAATTGCAATTTATTTCCTATTGTCTGTGGGAAGAATCCCAGGCAAGGGAATTTACATTGCTGCCTTCCTGCATAAATGCTAAAGAATGAAAATAAATAATAAGTGAGGCCTTAATGACAAATAAGAGCAAATGGTAGGGCACAGCTGAGCCAAACCATTGGAAGATAATTATCACATGAAAGATGGTAATGATTTCAAAAGTCATAAGTTGTTTCTAAGTCCTCCGGTTTCTTTTTTAGTTAGTTTGTTTGATGCTAATTTATTGCTTACACAAAGATGACCCTTAAAAATGAACAGTTTTGTAATTTTGCATACTCCAATAAGATGTGACCATTTTTGTACTTTTATATAATACTGAGCAATTCAACAAAAATTTTTATTGTTAAGAAAAGAAAAACTACCTTGCTAAGTGCTTTGGATGATATAAAAAGCCACTACCAGGCAGGGCTCAGTGATTCACGCCTGTAATCCCAGCACTCTGGGAGGCCAAGGCAGGTGCATCACCTGAGGTCAGGAGTTCAAGACCAGCCTGACCAACACGGTGAAACACTATCTCTACTAAAAATACAAAAATTAGCCGGGCATGGCGGCGTGCACCTGTAGTCCCAGCTACTCGGGAGGCCAAAACAGGAGAATTGCTTGAACCCGGAAGGTGGAGGTTGCAATGAGCCGAGATTGTGACACTGCACTCCAGCCCGGGTGACAGAATGAGACTTCATCTAAAAAAAAAAAAAAAAAAAAAAGCCACTACCTTCAAGTACCCTAATAGTAGAATAACGCAAATGTACAAATATTTATCATCTATACATAATATAAGGACTATAAAAGAAATGCAAAGAAAATATTTCTGGAAGAGATACTATTTGAGATAAGTCACAAAAGACAGTATAGAATTTTGATAGGCTAGAGATAGGGACCTATCCTCCCTACCTCAAACACACACATACACACATATACACGTCCCCTCCCCCACCACACCCTCCTAGGAAATTATTAATAGAACATGGATACCTTTGGGGCAGAATTACTCTACTTACTATAGCTCTGATAAATAACCATTATGTACTGTTAAATGAGAAAAAAGTGTTCAATTTGATTTCAAATATATACACATGTTGTATATATTTGTAAGCATAAAGAAAGGTTTAGAAGGATACATATTAGAGTGCTAACTCTAATTCAACCAAGACAGTCAGGACAGACAACAGAATAAAAAATGAAAAATGACTGATACTTTCTTAATATGTCTTTGATGTTTTACTTTTTATAAGAGATATGTTGACATTAAAAATTTTTTAAAGTTCCATTAAAAATTTTTAAGGTGGTTTATGAAACAAAATTTATAATATAAAAATACATACTCATGAATAAATAAGAAATAGTAATACATACAAAGATTACCTCCAGATGATGAGATTATAGGTATATTTTATTTTCTTCTTTAGTATTATCAGAATTTTATATTTCTTTCTACCATAAGCAAGTAAGAAAGTGAATCAGTAAAGATACAGATAAACATGAATAGTATTAAAAATAAAAAAATTAAATTAAAAAATACGTATGAACTAAAGAAGAACTATAATGTCCCTATATAAAAAATATGAACATAGGAAGTGAAAATTCCACAAAGAAACACAAAGCATTAATAAACATAGAAAAGTGCTCATTCTAATTGAATACAGAGTGACTGCAAATTACAAGATTCCATCTTTCTGCCTACTAAATTGCCAAATATGGTTTAAATATACAAATAAGTATTGGAGAGCTAATTTACATGACTGATTGAATACGTATCTCTATTCTCTTCTAAAACCACTGAAAATTAATATTAAAAGAACAAAAAAGTTATAAAACCTATGAAGCTGCAAAGTGAAGACAGCACAACAGAGAAGAGATGTTATAGAATTTTAGAAGGCTGGAAAGCAGGTGTCTCAGTTGAAACTCAACTAGCCAAGCAGAAAAGTCAAAACTGAAATATCTGCTAGCTGGGGTTGAAAAGATGCTGTAAGCTGAAACATGTCAGAGAACTCCTCAAAGGCTCAGAGACTGGAGGAAGCAGGTAGAAATGCAGATGGTAGTGAAAGCACAGCTGATTTAAAGTCTCTATAGCAGTGAAAAGCCAACGTGTCCTCCTCTATCTGTCCCCATTGTATGAAGATGACTGGAGGTTTATCCCCCAGGAGAGGCTGAAAAAGAATGACCCTGAACTTGGGGCCTGAAATACATTGAGGGCAGAAATCCATATAGTTAAGAGGGAGATTAAATGAAAGCCTATGTAACAAGTGATGAGCCCATTTTTTTTTACTCCCCCTGGCTCCCCACATTGGCATGAAAGTTAAATAATGCTTCTATCCCTTATTCTCACACCTGCAAGAGATTTATCCCTAGGGAAACTGATCATCCCAAGAGAAGAAAATCTATGGATAGTAGCAAGTAAGAGTCCCCAGCGTGCCTACCTGATCATGGTGAAGTCCATTAGCTGACAAGCTCTGTTCATAATATACTGAGAGCTTTTCACAGATTTTTATTGTTTTGCTTCACAATATAGGTGGATCATCAGACATTTGTGGAAAAAGGCAATCTGAACTTGGTGAAAATAGACACAATTCAGCAGGAAGAGATAAAACTTCAAAAATTATTACGAATATTCTCAGAGATAAGACAAAAACATTGCATATGTAAAATGAGAATGAGTTCTTATTTTAAAAAATGGCCTTTCTAAGAATAAGATGTTTTCAGAAATTAAGAATTCTAACACTGGGTGCAGTAGCTCATGCCTATAATCCCAGCTCTTTGGGAAGCTGAGGCGGGTAGATTACTTGAGCCCAGGAGTTTGAGACAAGCCTGGGTAACATGGCAAAACCCCGTCTCTAAAAAAAATACAAAAAATTGGTTGGGTATAGTGGCATGCACCTGCAGTCCTAGCTACCTGGGAGGCTGAGTGGGGAGGATCACTGAGCCCAGGAGATCAAGAATGCAATGAGCTGTGATTGTGCCGCTGAACTTGAGCCTGGGCAACAGAGTAAAACCCTGTCTCAAACAAAGAAACAAACAAAAAAACCTGATATGAAATATAGGAGAGAAAAATAAGAAAATCAGAGTTTATTCTAACAGAGTCAACATCTCAGTAAGATGAGTTCTCAAAAGAGACAATACATTAGCAAAGGAAATTTCTCCAAATTGAAGAAAGTTTGCCAGTTAAAAGATTCTGCATGAATGGAAAAAGGTGTAACTTATGCATATCAGCATACATTTTTAGAATTTTAGAGAAAGATAAGTCCTAATAGTTGTGATGGGGAATAGGTCACATAAAAAGATCAAGAATCAGACTGCAACACACTTCTTAATGGCAATACTAGAAACTAGAAGGTAATAGAATACAACCTTCAATCCTTTCTGAGGAAAACTACTAAGTCAGAATGCTATATAAAGCTAAACTATAAATTAAACATGAAGATTGACTAAAGACATTTTTCAGAGGTGTGACACAAAAAGATTACTGCCTCTGCACTCCTACAGTAAGCTACTGCAGCGCATGTTTTAGTAAGATGAAAGGGTATAAACCAAAAAGAGGATAGCATGTGATCCAGGAAAAAAGGAATATAAGATAAAAAAGAGAAAATTTCCAGGATGATAGGTAAGGAAATTTCAGATGAAATCACTAGACAAAATGCCTAGAGAATAATAAAGTTCATACTAGAGCAGGATTTTATGGAAGTCTCCAGGAGGGATATCTTGTAAATTGTAATTGGTAAACACTGTATATATTTATTGTATACAAAGTGATGTTTTGATATACTGTATGTATTCATTGCAAAATGATTAAATCAAGCTGGTTAACAAATCCATCACCTTACATATTTATATATTTTTGTGGTGAGAACACTTAGCATCTACCCTCTTAGTAATATTCAACTATATGACATGTTATTATAGCCATAGTTACCATGTTATACAACAGACCTCCAGAACTTATTCAAGCTCACTGAAACTTTGCAGTCTTTGAGCAAAGACCAGGCCCCCAACCCCCCAGGCCCTGGTGACCATTGATTCAACCTTTTTGGATTCTACATATAAGAGAGATCACACTGTATTTGTCTTTCTGTGCTGAATAAGGCATTTTTAAACTCCAGAGAAAATAATTATACAAAATTAAATTTAAGAATAGTAGATAGTTCAGCTGTGCATAAAATATTTACAATCTTATAAATATTTTGATATAGATATATTGAGAGGACAGAAGGAAGGAAACAGCACGTGTGGGGCTATGTTATATATGTAGAGAGAAATATGGAGAGAGGGAGGAGAGGGAAAAAGGGAGAAAGAAAGGTAAAGAGAGGAAGATAAAAGGGAGAAAAGGAGGGAGCAAATAGATGGTTATCAGTGAGAGCTAAATCATCAATTTCCATAGCAGAAAGTCAATACTTAATGACTACATAAGTCTGTTATTCAGAAATATGGATATAAATACTAGAAGGAACAGATAAAAGAGGAAACATCTAAAACAGTCAAAACTGCTTGTAGGAAGAGGGACGTCAGCAAGATGGCAGAATAGGACTTTCAAGGACTCGTCCCTGCCCCTCCCATCTCCCCCATCAGAAACATCAATTTGAATAACTATCCACCTAAAAAAATACCTTTTTAAGAGCTATGTAAACCAGGTGAGAGATTATAGCACCAGGCTGTAGCACAAAAATAAGAAGGAATGTATTCAAAAGGGTAGGAAGAACAGACTTACATTACTGGCAGCACCCTTTCCACAAACTCTGGCAACACAGTAGAGAGAGATACCCTCTGTTTGGGCAGGGAAGAGAGGGAAGTGAGAACCAGACTTTGCCTCAGACGCTAACATCAGGCCCACCTCAGTAAAAGCTAGCGTTGGGCAGCCCATCCCGGTCCCAGACTCCAGGCCAATACTACATAATGAGCATTCAGACCTGCCTCAGCACCAGGTGAGATCCTGCTATTCCAAATTCCAGGCCTGCCTCAGATTCCAGACCAGCCCAGAGCCAGGTCAGTCCACAAAGCCCGAGTTTACCCCCGCCCCAGTCTAGATTGGCATCCCTGACCTCAGGCACCAGACCTGCCCCATGCTAGGTCAGTCTTTATAGTCTCAACCTGAGGCAGACCTAGGCCTGACCGCATAGAATCCAGTGCTGGGCTGGCTCCACAGACCCAGGATCCAGGACCCAGGTTCAAGGCCTACCCTTTAGCTCCAGGATCCAGATTGATTGTTGCAGACCTAGCCGCTAGGCCAGCAATCACACAAAACAGTTTGGCAATGTGAATCAAGGATCGTAAAAAGATTCATATATACTTTGTACTAGTAATTCCACTTACAGGAATCTGTAACAAGGAAATAGGTAGAGATAAACTTAAAACATTTATTTAGAGAAATGTTCTTCAAGGCAAAATTTATAATAGCAAAACCCTGTATTATCCGATAACAGACTAATAGATAAATATTGAGCACAGCTGCCAAGCAATACGTATTTGTTGAATGAATTAATGTTTTCACAGAGTATTTAATAAGATCAGAAAATATGATACAGTGAAAAAAGTAACATAAAATTCTGTATAAGCATAATCCTTAATACTCAATATAGACTATAATACCGCACCAAAAAAAAAAAAAAAACAAAAAACAAAAAAGAAATAGTAGAAAAGGGCTCAAAAGATTCTCTCAAAGTTGTAGGATTATGAATGATTTTTATTTTGTTTTTCATATTTTTCTATATTTTTCAAAATTGTATAACAGGAATGTACGTATTCATATGGTCACAAAACTGTATTAATCAACATAGAGCTATAAAAGTATACCAAACGTATCCTAAATATTTATGCCCTTAAGATTCTTGTTTTAACTGAGACTTCAGGTTTACCTTGGTCCAGAGTCACTGCCATTCATATCCAGTTTGAGTTCTTGGGGTTTAGTAAGCTGTTTTTCAGCAACCAGTTCTCTCGACTTAAACAGAGCCTGAGCTTTTAACCTGTAAAAATTAATTTAAAAAATTTCTAATCTTGTGAAGCCTGATAACCTGAATGATAAATTTTGGAAAACCATGCTCTTTCAGCTAGATCCCCAGAAATTATTTTCCAATTAAAACTTAGTCAAAAATAAATGAGTAATTCTTAAATATACATAAACAAACACAAATTGATTTCATAGTAACTTAAATTTTCTTTAAAGGAAAGGTAGGGAAGATTAAGTTGGTTAGAATATCATTTAAAAATTCAAAATTATAGATACTTCAATAGGAGCACTTTAAATCTCTGCCGCAGAAAGTTAATTCTTCCCTCTATTCATTGTAAGCAAGTGTACTGCGATCACCAGTGTCTCAATGTGAATTCTAGTAACTCTAATTATCACTGACCCTGACCAACATTTATATGGGAAGCACCCACTTCTCATACTGACATTTCAAAGAATTAGGGGTACAGCTCACTAACCAACATATTTTCCCTGAGTCAAAGATGAATTCTTCCAAAAGAACTGGAAGACACTGTATCCATCAATGCTTACTTAGCCCTACACTGACATGTACTGAGGAGGGAAAGCCATGGAAAAACTCAGCCAAAAGGTTTTCTACCGGGAGTTGAGTGTTAATCACTGGTATCAAATATGTGACACTTATTCTCTCGGCTTTTAAGAAATGTTCTCTGGTTATCTGTAAAAGTATATTCTTTAACTATGAAATCAAACTCTGAAGTGTAAAAACATTATTAAAACAATATTGTCATTTTCATCATTGTCAAAAGACATGCCTATAATTCCAACTAACTGGTTGGAATTAATGTACAAAGTACATGGATTAATTCCCTTCAGGAGCTTACAGCTTAAGACTAATATTTGGTGGTGACACATAGGTAGGTAAATGTAGATGCAAAATGCCCAAATCAGGGAATTATGAGAAAAGTGAAAAAATGGCAGCAATAATATCAGTCACAGTAGCCTCTACAGCAGTAGTGATGATCTTGATGACAGCAACTACCTTCAAGGAGTACATTTTATATATACTATTGTACTGATCCTCACAACCACTCTATAATGTAGTTACTTTTACCATTACCTATTTATAAATTACTAAAGTGAGGGCTGGGCCAGGCACATAACTCTCTCAAGGTGACACGTTTTTCACTGGTGAACACTGAATTTTATTACAGTTAGGTAGAGAGTACATGTATTAAGGCATATTGTTAGAGTGGGAGACAAAGGTAAATATTTATCATTAGCCTTGATTTTTATTCATTATACATACACTACTTTGCTCCAAAAATGATTTAAGGTGGTTCTTGGCACAATCATGAATAATATTCTGGATAAATCTTCTCTGATCAGTCTGGAAAGTGACTCACAAAAATAATACCCTTTCGAAAGTTGTTATCGGCAATCATGTAGTAACAAGGTGGCAGAATGAATCATTAATTACAATTTAAGTAAATGCCAATGTCATGCCAAATTTATTCTAAAATGACAAGCTCGTCCCAAGATTCTGAACTACTATAACAATTCTGTGCTACTCATTTGGTATTCAATTAGATTGCCTTCCCAATATTTTTCCTGAACATCCTGAGCACTATAAACAACAGCTTGTGTATAGCAGATATTAATTCATGAATTTAGTTGAAGTGAAATTCCCTGGGGCCGGGCGGGGTGGCTCACGCCTGTAATCCCAGCACTTTGGGAGACCGAGGCGGGCAGATCACCTGAGGTAAGGAGTTTGAGACCAGCCTGGCCAACATGGTGAAATCCCATTTCTACTAAAAATACAAAAATTAGCTGTGCGTGGTGGCAGGTGCCTGTAATCCCAGCTACTTGGGAGGCTGAGGCAGGAGAATCGCTTGAACCCAGGAGACAGAGGTTGCAGTGAGCCAAGATCACACCACTGCACTTCAGCCTGGGTGACAGAGTGAGATGCTGTATCCAAAAAAAAAAAAAAAAAAAAAATCCTTGGGGCAGGTAAATGACAAGCTTAGTAAAGATATATAAAAGTTAAAAGTATATATATATAAAAAGCGTGAGATTATGTGTAATATACCAAGCCAAGATCAAGTCTTGCTCATTTTAATACTCCTCACATAGAGTTTTGTGCAGAGTAGAGGGCTTAGTAAATATGTGCTCAGACAAGGAGAATGAAACTAAATTACAGAACAACATTACACATTAAACAATAAGGTGCTGATTTTGGACATATTCAATAACAAATTATTAGTTATGTGAAAAAGAAACCAGACCCAGAAATTTTTAGTGGGATTTTGACCGTGTTATAATGAAGAGTCGGGGTGTGGATAAATGGAAAAGTAGGACAGAGATATTTAAATCGGAGGAAAAGGTATGGCTTGAGAAAGAAACATGAAGGATGCACTGAAAAGATCTCAAGGAAACAAATCTGCCTTTTGGGAAAAAAACTTTATTTCTTAGGAAAAGTGGGACAAATGGGTAGAGAAGTGGTTCCAAATTATAAAAGGCTTCAAATACTAGGTTGAATAAACATAACCTAATACAAAATTATCATGGGTTTTTAAAATTCAGAAGTGGCACAATAAAAGCAATGTCTTAGGAGGATTCATTTGAGATAGATATTCTTGTTATATGATATTAATGTGCAGAAGGTTGAGTTTCAGATGACCCAAAGTGATAAAATTACATAAACCTAAAAAGCAGGCCAAAGAGTAGGGCAACTTTCAGCCTAGAAATATAAATTGTGATACTGATTAATTAAATGGATAGATTTATGGTCCTAGTTCTGGGTTTCACCAGCTAACTATGATAAAACATGGTGGCAGTAGGCAGGATAACTAGAGGTGAAAGCTGTTCAATTAAAAATGTCCTGGCGGGGCACGGTGGCTCATGCCTGTAATCCCGGCACTTTGGGAGGTCAAGGAGGGTGGATCACTTGAGATCAGGAGTTTGAGACCAGCCTGGCCAACATGGTGAAACCCTGTCTCTACTAAAAATACAAAAATTAGCCTGGTGTGGTGGTGCGTGCCTGCAATCCCAGCTACTCGGGGAGGCTGAGGCAGGAGAATTGCTTGAACCTGGGAGCCAGAGGTTGCAGTGAGTCGAGATCACGCCACTGCACTCCAGCTTGGGTGACAGAGCCAAACTCCGTCAATCAATCAATCAACCAATCAATCAATGTATGTCTTGAGTCTCTGTTTCTCCGGGCATCTCACTTGGATTTGGATTTTTTTTTTTTACTGTCTTGATTGGAAAGAACTTTGTTTTAGGATGAGAGCAACATAAGGATACATGAAATGGCAGAACTACGACTGGGATGAACAAAGGCACCAGAAACCAGCATGATTAGTTCTTTTTTTCTTTTTTTTTTTTTCAGACAGAGTCTCGCTCTGTCACCCAGGCTGGAGTGAAGTGGCGCGATCTCGGCTCACTGCACTGCAACCTCCGTCTCCCAGGTTCAAGCAATTCTCCTGCCTCAGCCTCCCGAGTAGCTGGGATTACAGGTGCCTGCCACCATGCCCGGCTAATTTTTGTATTTTTAGTAGAGATGGGGTATCACCGTGTTAGCCAGGATGGTGTCGACCTCATGACCTCGTGATCCACCCGCCTCGGCCTCCCAAAGTGCTGGGATTATAGGCGTGAGCCACCGCGCCCGGCCCAGCATGACTAGTTCTAAAGGTGGCCAGTGTTACAGCTGGGTACTGTCTGATGGTTTGGATATATTTCCTTCACAAAGGCTAACCAAGAAGACTGAAAATGACCCAAAGTAAATAAAGTAAAACATTAGGGCTCCTAAAGCCAGAAAGCAAATAACTCTTCCCAAGGATAATTCCCATCTAACCCAAAGGTTGCATTGTAGTCAAATGCCAACCACTTTCAAGTAAAGGAACTCAACACACAAGATGAGAACATGGTCAGCTTAAACTGACAATTGGCATAAAGAGATCTGGGTTCTGGAAAGATCTCAAACTATTTTATGTGAGTAGTTTTCCAGATGGTATACATTTTTAGAAGTTAAAAAAAGTAACAAATTTCAAAGGTAATGACAGAAAACAGGCATTCTCTGCCTACCACCAGAGTATACTGTGAACCTTCCTGGTCATCTTGCTTTCTTAAGTACTTTTGTTCAATCCACAAAAATCTAACGTTTGAATAAAAATAATAAAATATAACTTGATAAAATTTAATTGACATAGTTACTGCATAAATGAAATTGGAAGAAAATTAGAAATCATTAGACTTATTGAACTGTTTTTTTTTTTTTTTTTGAGACAGCCTTGCTCTGTCACCGAGGCTAGAGTGCAGTGGCCCAATCTCAGCTCACTGCAACCTCCACCTCCCGCACTCAAGCGATTCCCGTGCCTAAGCATCCTGAGTAGCTAGGATTACAGGCGCCCACCACCATGCCTGGCTAATTTTTGTATTTTAGTAGAGACAGGGTTTCACCATGTTGGCCAGGCTGGTCTCAAACTCCTGATCCCAGGTGATCCACCACCTCGGCCTCCCAAAGTGCTGGAATTACAGGCATGAGCCACCACACCTGGCCTGAACTTTTACATATGTATTTGCTTTCCATTATTTAATAAAAATCTCTAGGGACTTACAGTTCTGAGACATGATGAAATAGCTGCACTTCTTTTTTTTATTTTTATTTTTATTTTATTTTATTATTATTATACTTTAAGTTTTAGGGTACATGTGCACAATGTGCAGGTTAGTTACATATGTATACATGTGCCATGCTGGTGTGCTGCACCCATTAACTCGTCATTTAGCATTAGGTATATCTCCTAAAGCTATCCCTCCCCTCTCCCCCCACCCCACAACAGGCCCCGCTGTGTGATGTTCCCCTTCCTGTGTCCATGTGTTCTCATTGTTCAATTCCCACCTAAGAGTGAGAACATGCAGTGTTTGGTTTTCTGTCCTTGCGATAGTTTGCTGAGAATGATGGTTTCCAGCTTCATCCATGTCCCTACAAAGGACATGAACTCATCATTTTTTATGGCTGCATAGTATTCCATGGTGTATATGTGCCACATTTTCTTAATCCAGTCTATCATTGTTGGACATTTGGGTTGGTTCCAAGTCTTTGCTATTTTGAATAGTGCCGCAATAAACATACGTGTGCATGTGTCTTTATAGCAGAATGATTTATAGTCCTTTGGGTATATACCCAGTAATGGGATTGCTGGGTCAAATGGTATTTCTAGTTCTAGATCTCTGAGGAATCGCCACACTGACCTCCACAATGGTTGAACTAGTTTACAGTCCCACCAACAGTGTAAAAGTGTTCCTATTTCTCCACATCCTCTCCAGCACCTGTTGTTTCCTGACTTTTTAATGATTGCCATTCTAACTGGTGTGAGATGGTATCTCATTGTGGTTTTGATTTGCATCTCTCTGATGGCCAGTGATGGTGAGCATTTTTTCATGTGTTTTTTGGCTGCATAAATGTCTTCTTTTGAGAAGTGTCTGTTCATGTCCTTTGCCCACTTTTTGATGGGGTTGTTTGTTTTTTTCTTGTAAATTTGTTTGAGTTCATTGTAGATTCTGGATATTAGCCCTTTGTCAGATGAGTAGGTTGTGAAAATTTTCTCCCATTTTGTAGGTTGCCTGTTCACTCTGATGGTAGTTTCTTTTGCTGTGCAGAAGCTCTTTAGTTTAATTAGATCCCATTTGTCAATTTTGGCTTTTGTTGCCATTGCTTTTGGTGTTTTCGACATGAAGTCCTTGCCCATGCCTATGTCCTGAATGGTATTGCCTAGGTTTTCTTCTAGGGTTTTTATGGTTTTAGGTCTAACGTTTAAGTCTTTAATCCATCTTGAATTAATTTTTGTATAAGGTGTAAGGAAGGGATCCAGCTTCAGCTTTCTACATATGGCTAGCCAGTTTTCCCAGCACCATTTATTAAATAGGGAATCCTTTCCCCATTGCTTGTTTTTCTCAGATTTGTCAAAGATCAGATAGTTGTAGATATGTGGCGTTATTTCTGAGGGCTCTGTTCTGTTCCATTGATCTATATCTCTGTTTTGGTACCAGTACCATGCTGTTTTGGTTACTGCAGCCTTGTAGTATACTTTGAAGTCAGGTAGCATGATGCCTCCAGCTTTGTTCTTTTGGCTTAGGACTGACTTGGCAATGTGGGCTCTTTTTTGGTTCCATATGAACTTTAAAGTAGTTTTTTCCAATTCTGTGAAGACAGTCATTGGTAGGTTGATGGGAATGGCATTGAATCTATAAATTACCTTGGGCAGTACGGCCATTTTCACAATATTGATTCTTCCTACCCATGAGCATGGAATGTTCTTCCATTTCTTTGTATCCTCTTTTATTTCATTGAGCAGTGGTTTGTAGTTCTCCTTGAAGAGGTCCTTCACATCCCTTGTAAGTTGGATTCCTAGGTATTTTATTCTCTTTGAAGCAATTGTGAATGGGAGTTCACTCATGATTTGGCTCTCTGTCTGTTACTGGTGTATAAGAATGCTTGTGATTTTTGCACATTGATTTTGTATCCTGAGACTTTGCTGAAGTTGCTTATCAGCTTAAGGAGATTTTGGGCTGAGTCGATGAGTTTTCTAAATATACAATCATTTCATCTGCAAACAGGGACAATTTGACTTCCTCTTTTCCAAATTGAATACCCTTTATTTCCTTCTCCTGCCTAATTGCCCTGGCCAGAACTTCCAACACTATGTTGAATAGGAGTGGTGAGAGAGGGCATCCCTGTCTTGTGCCAGTTTTCAGAGGGAATGCTTCCAGTTTTTGCCCATTCAGTATGGTATTGGCTGTGGGTTTGTCATAGATAGCTCTTATTATTTTGAGATACGTCCCATCAATACCTAATTTATTGAGTTTTTAGCATGAAGCCTTGTTGAATTTTGTCAAAGGCCTGTTCTGCATCTATTGAGATAATCGTGCAGTTTTTGTCTTTGGTTCTGTTTACATGCTGGATTACATTTATTGATTTACGTATATTGAACCAGCCTTGCATCCCAGGGATGAAGCCCACTTGATCATGGTGGATAAGCTTTTTGATGTGCTGCTGGATTCGGTTTGCCAGTATTTTATTGAGGATTTTTGCAGCAATGTTCATCAAGGATATTGGTCTAAAATTCTCTTTTTTGGTTGTGTCTCTGCCTGGCTTTGGTATCAGGGTGATGCTGGCCTCATAAAATGAGTTAGGGAGGATTCCTTCTTTTTCTATTGATTGGAATAGTTTCAGAAGGAATGGTACCAGTTCCTCCTTGTATCTCTGGTAGAATTCGGCTGTGAATCCGTCTGGTCCTGGACTCTTTTTGGTTGGTAAGCTATTGATTATTGCCACAATTTCAGATCCTGTTATTGGTCTATTCAGAGATTCAACTTCTTCCTGGTTTAGTCTTGGGAGGGTGTATGTGTCGAGGAATTTATCCATTTCTTCTAGATTTTCTAGTTTATTTGCGTAGAGGTGTTTGTAGTAGTCTCTGAGGGTAGTTTGTATTTCTGTGGGATTGGTGGTGATATCCCCTTGATCATTTTTTATTGCATCTATTTGATTCTTCTCTCTTTTCTTCTTTATTAGTCTTGCTAGCGGTCTATCAATTTTGTTGATCCTTTCAAAAAACCAGCTCCTGGATTCATTAATTTTTTGAAGGGTTTTTTGTGTCTCTATTTCCTTCAATTCTGCTCTGATTTTAGTTATTTCTAGTCTTCTGCTAGCTTTTGAATGTGTTTGCTCTTGCTTTTCTAGTTCTTTTAATTGGGATGTTAGGGTGTCAATTTTGGATCTTTCCTGTTTTCTCTTGTGGGCATTTAGTGCTATAAATTTCCCTCTACACACTGCTTTGAATGTGTCCCAGAGATTCTGGTATGTTGTGTCTTTGTTCTCATTAGTTTCAAAGAACATCTTTATTTCTGCCTTCATTTCGTTATGTACCCAGTAGTCATTCAGGAGCAGGTTGTTCAGTTTCCATGTAGTTGAGTGGTTTTGAGTGAGTTTCTTAATTCTGAGTTCTAGTTTGATTGCACTGTGGTCTGAGAGACAGTTTGTTATAATTTCTGATCTTTTACATTTGCTGAGGAGAGCTTTACTTCCAACTATGTGGTCAATTTTGGAATAGGTGTGGTGTGGTGCTGAAAAAAATGTATATTCTGTTGATTTGGGGTGGAGAGTTCTGTAGATGTCTATTAGGTCCGCTTGGTGCAGAGCTGAGTTCAATTCCTGGGTATCCTTGTTAACTTTCTGTCTCGTTGATCTGTCTAATGTTGACAGTGGGTTGTTAAAGTCTCCCATTATTATTCTGTGGGAGTCTAAGTCTCTTTGTAGGTCACTCAGGACTTGCTTTATGAATCTGGGTGCTCCTGTATTGGGTGCATATATATTTAGGATAGTTAGCTCTTCTTGTTGAATTGATACCTTTACCATTATGTAATGGCCTTATTTGTCTCTTTTGATCTTTGTTGGTTTAAAGTCTGTTTTATCAGAGACTAGGATTGCAACCTCTGCCTTTTTTTGTTCTCCATTTGCTTGGTAGATCTTCCTCCATCCTTTTATTTTGAGCCTATGTGTGTCTCTGCATGTGAGATGGGTTTCCTGAAAACAGCACACTGATGGGTCTTGACTCTTTATCCAATTTGCCAGTCTGTGTCTTTTAATTGGAGCATTTAGTCCATTTACATTTAAAGTTAATATTGTTATGTGTGAATTTGTTCCTGTCATTATGATGTTAGCTGGTTATTTTGCTCGTTAGTTGATGCAGTTTCTTCCTAGCCTTGATGGTCTTTACATTTTGGCATGATTTTGCAGCAGCTGGTACCAGTTGTTCCTTTCCATGTTTAGTGCTTCCTTCAGGAGCTCTTTTAGGGCAAGTCTGGTGGTGAGAAAATCTCTCAGCATTTGCTTGTCTGTAAAGGATTTTATTTCTCCTTCACTTATGAAGCTTAGTTTGGCTGGATATGAAATTCTGGGTTGAAAATTCTTTTCTTTAAGAATGTTGAATATTGGCCCCCACTCTCTTCTGGCTTGTAGAGTTTCTGCCAAGAGATCCGCTGTTAGTCTGATGGGCTTCCCTTTGTGGGTAACCCAACCTTTCTCTCTGGCTGCCCTTAACATTTTTTCCTTCATTTCAACTTTGGTGAATCTGACAATTATGTGTCTTGGAGTTGCTCTTCTCGAGGAGTATCTTTGTGGCGTTCTCTGTATTTCCTGAATCTGAATGTTGGCCTGCCTTGCTAGATTGGGGAAGTTCTCCTGGATAATATCCTGCAGAGTGTTTTCCAACTTGGTTCTTGGAAACTCTAAAAAGCAGAGCACCTCTCCTCCTCCAAAGGAACGCAGCTCCTCACCAGCAACGGAACAAAGCTGGACAGAGAATGACTTTGACGAGTTGAGAGAAGGATTCAGATGATCAAACTACTCTGAGCTACAGGAGGAAATTCAAACCAAAGGCAAAGAAGTTGAAAACTTTGAAAAAAATTTAGATGAATGTATAACTAGAATAACCAATACAGAGACGTGCTTAAAGGAGCTGATGGAGCTGAAAGCCAAGACTCAAGAACTACGTGAACAATGCAGAAGCCTCAGGAGCCGATGCGATCAACTGGAAGAAAGGGTATCAGTGATGGAAGATGAAATGAATGAAATGAAGTGAGAAGGGAAGTTAAGAGAAAAAAGAATAAAAGGAAATGAACAAAGCCTCCAAGAAATATGGGACTGTGTGAAAAGACCAAATCTACGTCTGATTGGTGTACCTGAAAGTGACAGGGAGAAATAGCTGCACTTCTGTCTACCCCTGTACAACTAAAAATCTTAGACATTATACTTGAAACAAACATAAGAATACTGTAAAAGGTGAGAAACAGGGGCAGAAAAACAACAATGTGGTGAGTTTCCCGGGCTTTGTTTTTGCCTTAGAAACCTTGAATGTGGGAGAAGCTGGCAACCTAGAAACTCCAAAGTCATAGAGGAAAAAACAGCCTGCTCTCTCTGTCTAAAGGATCAGGAAAGGAGCAGTCTATATCGACAAAAAACTTTTAGACAATAACTGTCCTACTACAGCCAAACATGGGAAAAACTGTGGTCTCATTTTCCCCATTCCCACCAGCAAAGGTCCAGTGGGAGGCTAGACGTCCATTTTCCAATGGTTCAATGAGACATCTTAAATCTTCACTGGGGTGGTGTTAGAGAACCAAGATCAGTATCTCACACCATAAACTGAAAATGTCCAGAATGCAATAAAAATCACTCATCATGCCACAAATGAAGATAATCTCAACTTGAATAAGAAAAGACAATCAGCAGAAACTAGTGTCAAGATCACATAAACGTTGGTATTATCAGATAAGAATAGTAAAGCATGCATCATAAAAATGCTGCAAAAAGCACTTATGAATACGCTCTTTGAAAGGAAAAGAACAGCAAGTCTCTGAAAATAAAGAGAAGACATAAAGAAGAACTAAGTGGAAATTTTAGCTCTGGAAAATACTTAAGACAACTGAAAAAGACAATAAGTAAAATTTGAAAACTCAATGGACTTGCTCAAAAACAGAATGAAGAGGACAAATGAAAGAACCAGAAATTTGAGAATAGAACAAGAGAAATTGTACAGTCTGAACAACAAAGAGAAATAGACTAAATATACACAAAAAAGCCTAAACAGAATGTCAGAGACATGTGGAACCTTTTAATAATTGCCATTCTGACTGGCGTGAGATGGTATCGCATTGTGGTTTTGATTTGCATTTCTCTAATATGATGTTGAGCTTTTTTTCATATGTTTGTTGGCCACATAAATATCTTCTTTTGAGAAGTGTCTGTTCATATGCTTTGCCCACTTTTTGATGGGGTTGTTTTTCCTCTTGTAAATTTGTTTAAGTCCTTGTAAATTCTGGATATTAGACCTTTTTCAGATGGGTAGATTGCAAAAATTTTCTCCCATTGTGTGGGTTACCTGTTCACTCTGATGACAGTTTCTTTTGCTGTGCAGAAGCTCTTTAGTTTAATTAGATCCCATTTGTCAATTTTGGCTTCTGTTGCAATTGCTTTCAGCATTTTCATCATGAAGTCTTTGCCCATGCCTATATCCTGAATGGTATTGCCTAGGTTTTCTTCTAGGGTTTTTATGGTTTTGGGTTTTACATTAAGTCTTTAGTCCATCTTGAGTTAATTTTTGTATAAGGTGTAAGGAAGAGGTCCAGTTTCAGTTTTCTGCATATGGCTAGCCAGAGATCATGTCCTTTGCAGGGACATGGATGAAGCTGGAAGCCATCATCCTCAGCAAACTAACACAGGAACAGAAAATCAAATACCGCATGTTCTCACTCATAAGTGGGAGTTGAACAATGAGAACACACGGACACAGGGAGGGGAACAACACACACCAGAGCCTGTTGGGGAGTCAGGGGCAAGGGGAAGGAACTTAGGGAATGGGTCAGTATGTGCAGCAAACCACCATGGTACCCGTATACCTATGTAATAAACCTGTACGCTCTGCACAGGTATCCCGGAACTTAAAGTAACATTTAAAAAAATGTGGAGCCATAACAAAAGATTGTAAATTTATGTCATTAGCTAGCCAGAAGAGGGCATGGGGTTCAAAAAGTATTAGAAAAAAATAATTTAGGAAGAAAACTTCCTAAATTTGGCAAAAGACATAAAACTATAAATCAAGCTGATCAAAGTCCTTATAGGATAAAGAAATCCATGTCAAGACATATCACAGTAAAATTTCTTAAAACTAAAGACAAAAAAATCTTTAAAAAGCAAAAGAGAAATTATATTTTATGTATAGAGAAAAATAGTGCAAATGACTGTGGAAAACATCAGTGGAGAGAAGAAAATGCCACATTTGTCAAGTGCTGATAGAAAAAAAAAAAGCAACCCTGTCAACTCAGAATCCTATATTCAGCAATGGTAGTACCCTTTAGAAGTGATGTGAAAATAAGAACATTTTCATATGAAGCAAAACTACAGCAGGCTTACCTTAAAGAATAAACAGAGATCTAAAAACAAAACAACAAAAAGATAAAAGAGGAAATCTTGGAACATCAGAAAGGAAGAACAATAGAAAAAAATAGAAACACAGATAAATATAATAGATTTTTCCTCTCTTCACTTTTCTAAATTATTCTGTAACTTATTTTAAATTTGATGATTTAAGCAAAACTTACAATATTTTATGATGTGTTTCTCAATGAGAGACTCTGTTTAGGCTTTTTTTGGTTTAGTCTATTTCTGTTGTTCAGATTGTAAAATTTCTCTTGTTCTATTCTCAATGAGAAACTCTTTAAGACAATTATAAATGGGGGAGGGTAAGGGAACTTAAAGGGAGATCAAATTTCTACATTTAATTTAAACTGATAAAATATGACACCAGTAGACTTTGATAAGTTATGTGTGTTTAACAGAATACTTAGAGCAACCAATAAAACAAATCTATTCAAAGAAACATACTCAAAAACACTACAGTGGTTCCTTGGTATCCTCAGGGTATTAGTCCCAGACCTTCTCTCATACCAAAATCCCATGGATTTGCTCAAGTGATGTGTATGTATATATAATCTTTGCACATCCTCTGGTATAATTTATATCATCTCTACATTACTTATAATACTGGTAATACCTACTATAATGTCAATGCTATATAAATATTTGCTATACTATATTTTTTATTTGTAATAGTTTTATTGTTGCATTATTTATTGCCCCCAACTATTTTCAATCCACAGTTGGTTGACTCCAGGGATATGGAGGGCCAACCATATGGGAAATCATATACACTTTACATTAAAAGTAAGTGTCTGGGCCGGGTGCGGTGCCTTATGCCTGTAATCCCAGCACTTTGGAAGGATAAGGTAGGCAGATTGCTTGAGCCCAGGAGCTCAAGACCAGCCTGGGAAAAATGGCAAAACCCTATCTCTACAAACAATGCAAAAACTAGCTGGGCATGGCAGCACGTGCCTGTAGTTCCAGCTACTCAGGAAACTGAGGCAGGAGGATCACCTGAGCCCAGGAGGTCAAGGCTGCAGCAGTGAGCCATGATCGTGCCACTGCACTCCAGCATGGGCAACAGAGTGAGATCCTGTCAAACCAAAAAAAAAAAAAAAAAAAAAAAAAAAGGAAGAAAAAAATCAAAAACAAAAAAGGAAATATCTGAACATAACATACCAATTAAAAGAAACTGGCTGACTCAAATGCTGTGTCTAAGAAACTGAATTCAAAATCACAACATATATAGGGTGAAAGTAAAAGGATGGAAGAACACACATCTTGAAAACCTTAATAAAATGAAAGTAAGAATGGCTATATTAGCATCAGGTAAAGGAGACTTTAGATAAAAAATTTACGAGGTAGGTGGATCACCTGAGGTTAGCAGTTCGAGACCAGCCTGGCCAACATGGTAAAACCCCATCTCTACTAAAAAATACATATATAAAAACTAGCCGGGCATGGTGGTGGGCACCTGTAATCCCAGCTATTCGGGAGGCTGAGGCAGGAGAATTGCTTGAACCCAGGAGACGGAGGTTGCAGTGAGCCAACATGGTGCCACTGCACTCCAACCTCAGCGACAGAGACTCTGTCTCAAAAAAAAAAAAAAAATTACTGGGGACAGAGAAAGACATTACATAGTGAAAAGATGGTCGATCTACCAAGAAGACATAGCAAACTTAATGCATAAGCAGCAAAGAACAGAAGTATAAATATTTAAAACAAATACTAATAGAACTAATAGGAAAAATAGATATATCACAATTGTACTTGGAGATTTCAAAACGCCTCTGTCAATAATTGATAGAAGTAGGTAGAAAATCAGCAAGAATATAGAAGAACTCAACAATACTGTCAAATAATAGGATACAATTTACAGAACACACCACCCAACAGCAGAATACGTATTCTTTTCAAACATCATGGAACATATATCAAGATAGAGCATGCCCTAGGGTCCTTAAACAAACTTCAATAAGTCTGAAAGAATGAAAAACATACAGTGTGTTATGTGTGCACAGTGGTATCAAACTAGAAATCAGAAACAGAAAACAGGAAAATCTTTAAGAACTTGGAAACTAAATATAACACTTCTAAATAACCCATGGGTCAAATAGGAAGTTTCAAAAGATACCCCAAAAACACACTGAATTGGATAAACATGAAAATGCAACATATCAAAATTTGTGGGACATAGCTGAATCAGTGCCGAGAAGGGAATTTAGAGCACTAAATGCTTCCAGTAGAAAAGTGAAAAAGTCTCAAACCAATATGCTTCCACCTTAACAAATTAGGAAAAAAGAAGAGCAAAGTAAATTTAAAGCAAGCAGAAGGAAGAAAATAATAAAGAGCAGAAATCAATGAAATTGAAAACAGAAAAACAATAACAAAAACTAAATGAAACAAAAACCCAGTTATTTGAAAGATAATTAAAATGAACAAACCTGTGGCAAGGCAGATTATCCAATAGATAATTTGAATAGCCTTGTAAGTATTAAGGAAATTAAACTTGGAATTTAAAAAGTCTCAAAAAATAAATTTCCAGGTCCAGATGGCTTCACTGGAGAATTCTACTAAACATTTAAAGAAGAATTAACACCAATTCTACACAATCTCTTCCAGAAAGCAGAAGCAGAGCGAACATCTCCCAACTCATTTTATGAGGCCTGCATTACCTTGATACCGAAACAAGACAAGGACACAGGGGAAAAAAGAAAAAGGAAAACAACAGAACAATATCCCTCATCAAAACTAATGTAAATAGGCCAGATGCAGTGGCTCACGCCTGTAATCCCAGCTACTTGGGAGGCTGAGGCATGAGAATCCCTTGAACCCAGTAGGTGGAGGTTGTAGTGGGCTAAGATCATGCCACTGCACTCCAGCCTGGGTGACAGAGCAAGACTCTGTCTCAAAAAAAAAAAAAAAAACTGATGCAAATATCCTCAACAAAATATTAGTAAATGGAATTCAGTAACATTTTAAAAAATCATACATTATGACCAAGTGGGGTTTATTTCAGGGATGCAAGGCTGGTTTAATATTTAAAAATCTATGTAATTCACCATATTAACAGGGCAAATAAGACAAATCACATGATCATAAAAGATATTTGACAAAATTCATAAAAGGTATTTGACAAAATTCAACACCTATGATAAAACTTTATATAATCCGTAACAGAAAAAAAAGATAAATTGGACTTCATTAAAATTAAAAATTTCTGCTCTATGAAAGATCTCATTAAGCAACTAAAAAGGCAGAGTCAGGAGCAGTGGCTCAAATTCCAGCAGTGGCTGTAATTCCAGCACTTTGGGAGGCTGAGGTGGGATAATTATTTAAGTTCAAGACCAGCCTGGGCAACAGAGTGAGAGCCTGTCTCTACCAAAAGAAAAAAAAATTAAAGATAAAAAAGAAAAGACAAGTTACAGACTGGGAGAAAATATTTGCTATTCACATATCTGACAAAAGACATATATCTAGAAGATATGAAGAACTCTCCAAACAGCAAAACACCCAAATGATCCAATTAGAATATGGGCAATACTGAAGAGAGAATTTACTGAAGAAGATAGGAGGGCAAACGTGCACACACACAAAAAGATGTTCAACATTACTAGCCATTAGTGAAATGCAAATTAAGACTGCGATGAAATGTCACTATACACGTATTAGAAGAGGTAAAATAAAAATTAATGAGAATACCAAATGCCAACAAGGATGTGGAGTAAAGAAACATTATATAATAATAAAACAGCAATTTATCTTTTGAAGCACTGTTCTTAGGAAGAATTGTTAAGGGAAGAACAGCCTACATGTGGATAGGTGTATGAGAATTCATCATTCAACAGGTCATGCTTCATGGCCAGAAAGGGTTGAATTTAGAAGACTCCCATCACTTGTTATATTTTATATTATGGTGGGTAGACATAAATTCGGAATGATGACAGCTAATCTCACTGCTTTACAATCTAATTCCACACCCCGAAATCTCAAGCTTTTACTTAATGCCTAATATTGTCCACAATGATATCAAACAGCAAAGGATTCTGCATAATGGCAAGATCATTTTAAAATGTCTTTGGAACCCAGCAAAAATTACACCAGACTGCTCAGAAATAGATATTCTAAGCTATCAATTTGGAAGACAAGGTAATCTTTGAAGTCTTCCAAAGAATAAAGGGGAATTTACTTAGTAGACATAACTGATATGCATCTCGAGTAAGCCAAGATCCAGAAAAACCTCTGGTTCTACCCATCTGCTATAGTATTACAACAATTTTACACTGTGCTCTCCAAACTACAGACATTGCTAAAAGAACAGGCAGGACTTGGGCAGGCGCGGTAGCTCATGCCTGTAATCTCAACACTTTGGGAGGTCAAGGCGGGTGGATCATGAGATCAGGAGTTCAAGACCAGCCTGGCCAAGACAGTGAAACCCCGTCTCTACTAAAAATACAAAAATTAGCCGGGCATGGTGGCGGGCGCCTGTAATCCCAGCTACTCGGGAGGCTGAGGCAGAGAACTGCTTGAACTCGGGAGGCGGAGGCTGCAGTGAGCTGAGATTGTGCCACTACACTCCAGCCTGGGCAACAGGGCGAGATTTCGTCTCAAAAAAAAAAAAAAAAGAACAGGCAGTACTCACCAATTGTAATCCAGTCGAGACTGGTGAAGCTGCTGCTGTTTTAGAAGAAGCTTTGTCTCCTGCTGGGCCAGCAGATGCTGAAGGCGCTCCTTTTCAATTTCCAGTTCCATTTTCTGAAGCATCAGTTGCTGCTTTCTATCTTCTGAGATCTGCTTTTTCAAAGTTTCAATGGGTTGCAGTGCCCCACCACCATGCACCAGAGATGCCCAAGAAAGCCGACAATAACTGCATGATTCTGGATGTGTCTTAGGATGTTGAGGGGTCATGTTTGTAGGATGGCTGTCATGAACACGATCTGCAGCAAGTCTATGACCACAGCATTGACTAGGAGTAGGCTTAAGATGTGGACATTCCTTCATGTGCAATTCTTCTTGTGGCATTTTCTCTGTTGGGACTGCAGGTTTTCTCCCTGGAGATTCACAATTACATGTTGTGGTCTCTGATGGTATCTTATCTAGATCATCTTTGGGATGATGAAGGGTTACTGGTTTCAAAGAATTATTCCTAAATGCTATAAGGGATTCTGAAGCTGAATCCTGGACTGCAGACTTAGGTCTTTGCTTGGTTTGATAGTAGGTCTGTGGTCTGGCTATGCTCAAGTAGGAACCATCCAGTTCCACAGATGAACACTGGAGAGTGCTTTTTCTACTGGATACCTAGAAAGAACCACAAGATCACCTGTCAAATAAGAACACAACAAAACAAGTTCTTTCGTTTGGTTTTTCAGAAATCAGTGATATATATTTACCAAGCCAAAGCTGTTGTTTTGTCTTAAATATTAAATTATAGCATTCACACAGCTAAACAGACTTGTGCCCCAAAGCTACATCCATTTTCAAACAACCTACCCTTCAGTAAATCTATATAAAGATAAGAAAAATAAGTTGCTGCTACATGTTGCTTAAGCATGATCTTTGGTGATTTCTGGAGTTGCAAATAAAGAGAGTTACATAAAGTCAATTTTGAGAAGAGGTGAAAGCCTTAAACATGAACATCGTAAAATGTTTACTTTTGAATACTGAGCCAAGGAATCCATTCAGTCACTTTAAATACTCTTTGGCCATTACACAGCATGAGACTTGATGTAAAACATTTCACCTTATACTGAATAGAATGTGATTTACTGGTAGAATCTTGATGAGGTTTTATAACTATCTTTACAGAACACAGATAAAACCAACCACTTTCAACAAAATAGGATTCTAATCAAAAGCGTTATTTAAATACAAAAAATACTTAATTTCATCTACAAACATAAGTGATTTTTCAATCTATTCAAGTGATTAGTCTGATAGAACTCGGGCAGAAAGGAAGCAGTTGCAAATTATCTCTGACATGTCAATAGAGTCAGATTTTCCAACATTTTAGCTGTAAGTCTGTTCTGTCAGCGAGAACAAAACTTAATCTGTATCAATGATTCTCAAACTTTAATGTGTAGCAGAATAAACTGAAGGGTGCTTGTCAAACATGAAACTATAGCTTCATCCCCAGAGTTTCCAAATCTTTCTGTCGGAAGCAGAGTCAGAGAATTTGCTCATGTTGCTGATCTGGGACCACACTTTGAAAACTATTGGTCTATATCATGGAACACCTCCATCTGCCTTACTGTTGAGCTTGGCCTGGGAAGGTTGAGTTGTTATACTTAGCTCATCTCTGAACATCGCTGACTTAGTATAACTAAGCAGCTTTTCTTCACAGTGTATTTCAGAAACATGGTGTATCTAGATTCCACGTTGTCCAAACAGAAATATTATAGTTTAATGTAAATGTTGCATGTGTTTCAAATGAGCAACTTGCCCATGAAGGTAGACACTTGTAATTAACAAAATAATGAAAGATATTAATGTGTAAGAAAGAAACTTAATCAAACTAAACTGAAGGAGGTGCATTTCTGAAAATGAATCCAGCTAACGATCAGACTCTTCCAAGGGTAGCCCTTTATAACATAAAAACTTCCCTTCAATTTAGATCTGGAGCACAGCAAAAAAGGGCCTCCAAGTCCAATTACTTAACTAGCAAGATGGGTTGTTTGAAAATGTGTTATTCCTAGCAGCTGTTATTTCTTTTGAGCAGCCAGAGTATAACCTTTAACACAAATCTGAAAGGAACAAATCCACTTGTGGAGAGGCCTTGTTTTCCAAGGCCTATTTACTCTAGATATACAGATTCAGTCTTTAGTGAAAGCTAAAGAGAAGGTAAGAGAAAGAAACTAAGCAGACCTAAACAAGTGAAATATCTGACAGCTTCCACTAACACTTCCTCTTCCCTCAGGCTTTCATTCAAGGCCCACTTATGTTAACACTGTACTTTCTTGCCATTTTCTATTTCTATTCAAACAAATCCAAAAAATCTTCTGTGTATTGAACACTTATATTAACCAAACAAGCAAAAATTCTTAATCTTCTATCCATATCCTCTGAAATAGTCTCACTTTTCACACACAATTATTTGCATGCTATGGGGAAGCTTATTTGCTCAATGCTGCAAGAGAAATATGAGTTTTTCAGTAAACAAATATATTACAACTACTGTATTAGTTTCCTACTGTGGCTATAACAACTTAGCACAAACTTTGTGGCTTAAAATAACACAAATGTATTATCTTACAATTCTGGAAGTCAGAAATTAGAAATCTGTTTCACTGGGCTGAAGTCAAGACGTTGGGAGGGCTAGTTCCTTTGGCTCTGAAGACAGAATCAGCTTCCTTGCCTTTTTTAGCTTCTAGTGGCCACCTGTATTTCTCACTTTTATAGCCCTTCCTCCATCTTCACGGTGTGTCACTCCAACTCCTGCTTCCATCATCATCACACACTGCCTTCTCCTCTGACTCCTTCTGCTCCTTCTTAGAAGGACCGCTTGGATTTGATTGGGCCTACCTGGGTAATACAGTTAATTTCCCCCTCTCGAGAGCCTTAATCACATCTGCAAAGTCTCTTGCATTACAAAGTCCCTTGTGACACATAACGTGACATTCGGGAATTAAGACATGGTCATATTTGGGGGGGGGGGTACTTTCAGTCTACCATGCCTATTTTTAAATAAAAAGTAATTTAAAACAATTGAAATAGCTAGCTACTCCACAGACATAAAACAAATGAATGAGAATAAATGAGATCCCTAGTATAAGGGGAGAAAAATCCCACCAATTTATTTCGCAATAGTTGCAAATGATGGACTGATGGGTAAAAAGTATCAACTAACAGAGATACACAGCAACATCATGTTTCTTATCCTATGATAAAAGAATGAAGGGTATTACAGTGATTAAGATTTTAATTGAATGACTGTAGTAATGCTAAAGGATTTCTATTTAAATGAGAATGAAGAGAAGACTTGCTCTTCTTCAAAGAACACAGGCAATCCTGTACAGCAAACAGATGACAAGCAATAGAATATGAACCAGCGCTAGGCAAAATTTCTAATAAGCTACTTCACAAAAAAATTAATTTATTTTACATCTAAAGGGAATCTCTAGTCTACATTAATCTCTCCTACTCTGAACTTCTATAGTACTTACTGCCAGTACAAACATTTAACATTTATCACCTGCTACTTAGTATGGTAAACTATCTTTTACTAAAAGGTCAGAAATTACTAGATATATATATATATTTCAAATGACAGGTAAGTTTTTAAAAGATCCAGAAACTTAAATATTTTATATTATATATTCATATCCAGGTTTTATAGTCTCATTTTTGTTTCATAACATTATTTACATATGTCCATTTTTAGGTACTGACATATTCTACACTTACTTTAATGGTACTAACTGTGAAATTATCCACAAAATCAAGTATTTGGAATAAATTAAAAAATTTTTTTCAGTTAATGTTTCCTGTTTTTGAGAGGTAGTACAGCTTAATGATTTTAACGAATGCTTTGCCTAGAGAGCAATGCTCTGTCAATTACCTGCTTGGTTACTGTGCATGTGTAATAGGCAGAATTCTAAGATGCTCCCCGTGATTCTCACCCCCTAGTGTACGCAACTTTTATTATCTTCTTTCCTTGAGTGTAGGGAGGACCTGTGAATATGACAGGATATAAATCCTGAGATTATATTACATTTTATGGCAAAACAGACTTCATATGTAACTAAGGTTCCTAATCAGTTGACTTTGAGTTAATAAAAAGGGAGACTATCCTGGGTGTGCTTGATCTAATCAGGTAAGCCCTTTAAAAGAAGGTCTTATCCTGCTCCCTCATCCCCCACCCCACATAAGGTTGGAGATTCTTCTGCTGGCCATGAAGAAATAAATTGCTATGTTGTGGGCGGGCCAATCAAGTGGCAAAAACATCTGGAGCAGAAAGCAGTCTCCAGCCAACAGCTAGTAAGTAAATGGGACATGTATCACATAGATGTAAGAAACTAACTTCTGCCAATGACCATGTGAATTTGGAAGAGGACCTTGAGCTCCAGATAATAATGCAGCCATGTATACATATGTAACAAACCTGCACGTTGTGCACATGTACCCTAGAACTTAAAGTATAAAAAAAAAAAAAAAAGGAATGCAGCCCAGCTGAACTTTAATTGCAGCATTGTTAAGAACCTAGGCAGAGGACCCAACTAAGTTGTGCCCATACTCATGACCCACAGAAACCGTTGTGAGGTAATAAATCTGCATAGCTTTAAATTACCAGGTTAGTGGTAATCTGTTACACGGCACTATAAAACTAATACAGCACATTACTCAAATTGCCTAAGCAATTTGAGGTTGCTCACCAGTAAAACACCAGTTTTACTCAGGTTCCTCACCAGTAAA
This sequence comes from Homo sapiens, assembly GCF_000001405.40. Lineage (NCBI taxonomy): Eukaryota > Metazoa > Chordata > Mammalia > Primates > Hominidae > Homo > Homo sapiens. The sequence goes on along the minus strand of NC_000018.10, from coordinate 37,062,779 downwards.
ACAGGGATTAAAAAATGCATCTATTGGCCGGGCGCGGTGGCTCACGCCTGTAATCCCAGCACTTTGGGAGGCCGAGGCAGGCAGATCACGAGGTCAGGAGAACGAGACCATCCTGGTTAACACGGTGAAACCCTGTCTCTACTACAAATATAAAAAATTAGCTGGGCGTGGTGGCAAGCGCCTGCAGTCCCAGCTACTCCGGAGGCTGAGGCAAGAGAATGGCGTGAACCCAGGAGGCGGAGCTTGCAGTGAAACAAGATTGCGCCACTGCACTCCAGCCTGGGCGACTCTAGAGTGAGACTCTGTCTCAAAAAAAAAAAACAAAAACAAAAAACAAAACAAAAAAAACCACATCTATTTCAAAACTGAATGTGGTGGTGAGAAAGATGGGCAGTTATCAAGGGCACCAATTTATAAAATTCCAATTTACAAAAAAGAAAAAAACCCACTCATATTTCTTTCAAGGAGAACATTGTATGTGGTGTGTAGATGAGGTGGGGGAGAAATCCCCAAAGGCCATGTTCAGTTACAACAGGTTATATCTAAACTTCTTCTAAAGTGAATGAGTTCAGTAACTTACCTTTATTTTGCTAAAGTTGAGTTTGCAAGTCAGGCCAGAATTGAATTGCTTAACAGAGAAGTTATTCATTTTTCTCCTTCATACAAAAGATATCACTCTACACTAACATGTTGCACTGCCTTTTAGGGTTCTTGTAAGGATTAAATGAAGTAATACATATAAAGCGCGTGGACCATATCTAACATAAAGTTAGTATTCAAAAGAATGTTTCCCATTATTATTATTAGTATGATTCTTCTCATTGAATTCTGACTCAACAATTTTGAAGGAAAGAGCTATATTTATCACTCTGTATGCACTGCACTAGGGCTTGTACACAGACATTCTCAACAGCATATGGTCTGCTATAAAAGCTTAACAGAAAAATTCAAGATGGGGTATGGGTCACAGTAACTAAAGGAAGAGGAAGACAATAGAAATTGAAAACCCCCTGTAAGAATCTGAATATAAAAAATTAAGCTATTTTATTAGTAGAGTTGAAGACAGATGTTGCCTTTAGGACACAAGGAAGTAACAATGGGCCTGAATGAAATAGATGTATTTTTCTTTCTGGAGCTGCTCCAGGATTTCTATACTTGCAAATATAACTTCTCTTAACTAAGGCTTAAACCAACACGAACTCCCAAATGGCTGCCTCTGACATACGGGTTTAATGTGATTGTCTTCCGAGATATAACAGTAACTTAGAAACCACAATTTTTTTAAAACATTGAGGCGTAATTTACAATAAAACGCAAAGATCTTCAGTGTACAGCTTGATGAATTTTTATATTTGTATCTATCTGTGTAACCATCACCTAGATCAAGTTATAGAACATTTCCATTACCCCAGAAAGTTCCCTTGTGCCCTTTCTAGTCGATAGCACCTCCTCAGACTCCCAGGGATAACTATCATTCTGACCTCTATGACCAGATTCATTTTGCTTATGCTAAACCTCAAATAAATGCAATCATAGAGTATGTCACTCTTTTGTGCCTGGTTTTTCTAGCTCAACATAATTTTTTAGCTTCTTCTATGTTGTGTGTTTCAATAAATAGTGCATCCTTTTTATCACTGCGTAGTATTTTTCTTTCTCTTTTTTTTTGAGACGGAGTCTTGCTCTGTCGCCCAGGCTGGAGTGCAGTGGCACGATCTTGGCTCACTGCAACCTCTGCCTCCTGGGTTCAAGAGGTTCTCCTGCTTCAGCCTCCTGAGTAGCTGGGACTACAGGCACACACCACCATGGCCGGCTAATTTTTCTATTTTAGTAGAGACACGGTTTCACCATGTTGGCCAGGATGGTCTCGATCTCCTGACCTCATGATCCACCTGCCTCGGCCTCCCAAAGTGCTGAGATTACAGGCGTGAGCCACAGCGCTCAGCCCGCTGCATAGTATTTCACTGTATGAATATATCACAATTTATTCATTCTCTTGTTGATGGATATAAAATTGTATCTAGTTAGGGGTTATTATGAATAAAGCATGTATGAATAGTCTTATATTAGGCTGGTGCAAAAGTAATTGCGTTTTTGCCATTAAAAGTAATGATAAAAGTCTTTTTTTTTAGATATATGCATTTATTTATCTTGGCCATAGTGTAGGCATACGTTTAACTTTATTAGGCACTGCCAATCCAATAAGTTTTCCGAAGTGTTTATTTGATTTCATATCCCACAAGTGAAGTGTAAGAGTCCCAGTTGCTCCGCATTCACGTGAACACTTGGTAGTATAAGTGTTTTTATTTTTAGCCATTTTGGTGTGTGTGCAGTGAAATCTCGTTGTGGTCTTATTTTGCATTTCTCTTATATGTCATGATGTTGAACAACTTTTCTTATGCTTTTTGGTCATGTGAATGTCTTCTTTTGTGAAGTGCTTGGTGAAAACAAGACCTTTAAATAATTCAAAATAAGTGTTAAAGAGATGGAAAATAAAAAATGAAGGTCAAGGAACAACTTTGTACAAATTATTTCTCTAAACAGTCACCTTCACTGACCATTGAATGCCCTACATTTTCCAAGAACAGCCTGTCATCACATAGGCTATTTATTATTATTATTATTATTATACTTTAAGTTCTGGGATACATGTGCAGAATGTGCAGGTTTGTTACATAGGTATACATGTGCCATGGTGTTTTGCTGCACCCATCAACCCATCATCTACATTAGGTATTTTTCCTAATGCTATCCCTCCCCTAGCCCCCCATCCCCCAACAGGCCCCAGTGTGTGATGTTCCCCTCCCAGTTATGAGTGAGAACATGTAGTGTTTGGTTTTCTGTTCCTGTGTTAGTTTGCTGAGAATGATGGTTTCCAGCTTCATCCATGTCCCTGCAAAGGACATTAACTCATCCTTTTTTATGGCTGTATAGTATTCCATGGTGTATATGTGCCACATTTTCTTTATCCAATCTATCACTGATGGGCATTTGTGTTGGTTCCAAGTCTTTGCTATTGTGAATAGTGCCACAATAAACATACATATGCATGTGTCTTTATAGCAGAATGATTTATAATCCTTTAGGTATATACCCAGTAATGGGACTGCTGGGTCAAATGGTATTTCTGGTTCTAGATCCTTGAGGAATCGCCACACTGTCTTCCACAATGGTTGAACTAATTTACACTTCCACCAGCAGTGTAAAAGCATTCCTATTTCTCCACATCCTCTCCAGCATCTGTTGTTTCCTCACTTTTTAATGATCGCCATTCTAACTGGTATGAGATGGTATCTCATTGTGGTTTTGATTTGCATTTCTCTAATGACCAGTAATGATGAGCTTTTTTTCTTATGTTTGTTGGTCACATAAATGTCTTCTTTTTAGAAGTGTCTGTTCATACCCTTTGCCCACTTTTTGATGGGGTTGTTTTTTTCATGTAAATTTGTTTAAGTTCCTTGTAGATTCTGGATATTGGCCCTTTGTCAGATGGCTAGATTGCAAAAATTTTCTCCCATTCTGTAGGTTGCACTTAGGCTATTCTTAACTCAGAGCTTACTATGTAGTATGCCAAATGTTTTACATATTCAACGTTAATTCTGTAAGGTAGTTATTATAATTACCATTTTACAGATGGGAAAATGAGGTTCGATGAAGCAATACAACTTTCCCAAGGTCACATCAACATTGCATGTGAGATATGGGAAATATCTCACTCTGTTACTTCTGTTACTCTATACTGTTCCTTCTAAAAAAAAAACCCAACTTCTTTAACGTGAAATATAATAAACAGAGAAATGTTTACAAAACAAATATGAACAGCTCAGTAAATAATCACAAGGCAATACCCATGTAACCACTATCCAAGAAAAAAAAAACACAACTTGCACACAAAAGACCCTCCTGGCCCCACACAGTTAGTACCCTCTACCTCTCCAGTCAAAGGGAATGACTATTCTGACCTTTAGGGGAGTAACTTCTTTGCTTTGAACCTTTTGTGCTTCAACATCCATACTAGAGTTCAGTTTTACTTGTTTATTTATTTATTTATTTTATTAAAATTTTTTTTTAGAGACAGAGTCTTGCTCTGTCACCCAGGCTGGAGTGCAGTGGCATGATCTCGGCTCACTGCAACCTCTGCCTCCTGGGTTCAAGCAATTCTCTTGCCTCAGCCTCCCAAGTAGTTGGGACTACAGGGGCACGCTGCATACCTGGCTAAATTTTTGTATTTTAGTAGAGACAGGGTTTCACCGTGTTGCCCAGGCTGGTCTCAAACTCCTGAGCACAGGCAACCCACCTGCCTTGGCCTCCCAAAGTGCTAGGATTACAGGCATGAGCCACCATGCCCAGCCTACTTGTTTATTTTTTAAGTATAAATGGAATCATATGATATATATTCTTTTGTGTCTGGCTTCTTTCATCTAACATTATATTTGTGAACCTTATCCATGATGTTGCATGTAGCTAGAATTTACTGATTTTTATACCTATCTTGCAGAGGAATGTGGAGTCCTGATAAGTAAGCAACAACGAGGAAGGGGTCTCAGGTGGGGGAAAACAATTGCTCTGAGAGACAGCTAATCACAAACAAGCTGCTGGGTTAACCACATCTCTCTGCACATAACCCAAGCAGCACAACCTCATTCCACATGTAGCCCCTACAGAACAACCCTAGAAAGCTTCCCTACAGTCCCTGACTCTTTGCAGACAGCCCTTCTCTGTCGTGTTGTCTGTTGCACCCCTGCAACATATATCCATACTTTCTCTAATAAATCTGCCTCTCTTTACCTATGACTATCTTGGTAAATTCGTTCACCGCCTGTGATGCTGGCCTCAGCCAAGTGCAACTACGACAAGGTCGGCAAACTTTTTTTTTGTAAAGGGCCATACAATAAATATTTTTGGCTTTGCAGGCCATGAGATCCTTGTCATAGCTGCACAGCTCTGCTTTTGTAGTGCAAAAGCAAGAGAGATAATACATGGACAATGGTTGTATCTGTGTTACAGTAAAACCTTATTTATAGGCAGTGAAATTTAAATTTCATGCAGGCCAGGCGTGGTGGCTCATGCCTGTAATCCCAGCACTTTGGGAGGCCGAGGCAGGTGGATCACGAGGTCAGGAGATCGAGACCATCCTGGCTAACACGGTGAAACCCCGTTTCTACTAAAAATACAAAAAAAAAAAAAATTAGCCAGATGTGGTGGTGTGCACCTGTAGTCCCAGCTACTCAGGAGGCTGAAGCAGGAGAATGGTGTGAACTCGGGAGGCGGAGCTTGCAGTGAGCCGAGATCGCGCCACCGCACTCCAACCTGGGCGACAGAGTGAGACTGTGTCTCAAAAAAAAAAAAAAAAAATTCATGCAATTTTCCAATTTCATGAAATATCCTTTTCCCCCAACCATTTAATGATGGTTCTTTAAATGGAACCATCATTAAATGGCTAAGAAGTAAAAATCATTCTTAGCTCATGAGTTGTACAAAATCATGCAGTGGGCTATATATGACCTGCTGTAGTTTGCCAACTGAACTTGATGATTATACTAAATATTCTTTCAATTGAAGAATCCTATGAATAGGCATTAAATAATTCTATGAATATGCTCAAAACCCAGTAATAAAAGTGAACAATATGACTTGAAATGTACTACATATTTACATTTTTTTCTATGTAATAAAAATGAGCTACATGAATGAACAAATGACATTTAGCAGAAAAGCATGTAGGGGGATATACATAGGCTACAAAAACAAACTGTATTTAGACAGGAAAAAATCTATAGATTACAACAGATAAAAAAGTTAAGTTCACAGTGGTAGCATATTAGGATTTGTCTTATATAGGCTGGGCGTGGTGGCTCATGCCTGTAATCCCAGTACTTTGGGAGGCCAAGGTGGGTGGATCACTTAAGGTAAGGAATTTGAGACCAGCCTGGCCAACATAGTGAAACCCCATCTTAACTGAAAATTAGCCAGGCATGGTGGTGCACTCCTGCAATCCCAGCTACTTGGAAGGCTGAAGCAGGAGAACTGCTTGAACCCAGGAGGCAGAGGTTGCAGTGAGCCGAGATCACACTACTGCACTCCAGCCTGGGTGACAGAGGGAGACTCCATTTCAAAAAAAAGAGAAAAGGATTTGTCTTATACTAAAGATACCACAATTTTTGGCTACTAAAAATAACTTCCATCAAGGGCGACTTCTAACATGGTGTGCTATGGAATCCACAGCATAAAACAAAGATGAGGAGAAAATGAAGGTATCTTTGGTTTACGACAGAATTGAAGCATAATATTTCATAACTTGGGTAGGCACAGGCTAATGACTAGATAAAAGAAACTAATGACAAAAGAACAAGGATTAAAAAAAAAACCTGTGAGAGACTTGGTTTGGATACAATGAAGGATTTTCTAATATTGAAGATAAATAAATTTCTGAGTTAGAAAAATATTTTCTAAATCTTTAAGATAATTTTAAAAATACAATGTTTTAAAGACTGCATAGAAAACAATGCCTATTTATAAATATGTATATGATCTTGTATACATGTATGCACACATACACATGTACATAAGCACATATATGAACACATACCAAAAATCACATACTATTCTTATGATAAGCCAGGATTTTCTCACGTTCTCACATGTCAAAAAACAATTGCAGTATTACTTTGTGAAATCCCATCAACAAGTAAACAGTGATGTTCTATAAGTTTCTGTAAATCATTTTTATAGGCCTGGTCAGTCTCATAAAGAGGTGAACTAAACTGCAGTAATAATTTCTTATAACAGGTTGTTATTAACTTTAGATGTTTAGGATGTGATTACTTCCAATGCATTTATGAGTTGTTCACCACAGGATTACTCAATAGTACCAACAGGTCTTATTGCTATTCATTCTCTAATGATAAATAATAATTTCCTATCCTGATAAGCACCCTATAACAATCCTCATATTCCCACTTACAGCCTTATAAGAATGAATAAATCTCAGTTTTGTAACTTCAAAATTTCCCTCTCTGCTCTTTATTCTATTGAGAAGTCAGTATTTCAAGACCTAAATAAATATTTCTAAACCTAAACTACTGTGTGGGCCAGGTCGTTGTATCTCCCAGAGCATCTGGAGTTAATGTAAAAGAAGGCACAGAATGACATGATGCATTTTTAACACTAGGCATATATGGACCAGTCGTCAAGTTGACAGAAAATATGTGATGCAACAGCTGCACTGTGTGGTTTGCCAAAGTCTCATCCCAAATAAATGTTCATTTTCCCCCATGCAATTAACTCTCCTCTGCTGGCAGATTTTGCTAGAAGATCATCAAGGTAGATTACCTTCTAAGCATATGAACTAAATACTTACAGGTGTTATATCATCAGTTGCAACTTACAAACTTCTGCATTTAGCAAGACATCCAAGCAAATGAATCATCTAATTCATGAATTATTTATAAGAAATTCACAGCATGCTCCTGGCATCATCCATGGCCTTTTCCAGGTCATATGACACCAATTAGAGCTGAATTTTAAATTATTCAATAACTTGAACTCTCTTGTCATTTAACATATAGATATCAATGCAGTAAACAAGTTAGATCTAATGGGCCCAGGAGGTTTAAGCTCCTTCACCACTCAGCAGCCGAAGCTGTAGGCCATCAATGGAAGAGAAAATAACAGAATGGAGCAGTCAAAAACATTTTCTAGGCTCTCATAACTTATTCTAGTTCCCATAGGGATTGCAGCACAATTTAGGAATACTGAATCTGAGAGACATTAAAGTCAATAATTATGGAATTTAAAAGAATATAGGCACACAGAAGGCACACAATAAAGTGTAAATAACAGAATAGAACACTAGTAACACCTACCAAATGTCAGAACAGATGCTAGGATATGTGTACCTCTGGCCTGTCAACATTTTTAACAGTAACTACCAGATTCAGAAAAGGCTAAATCTCATAATCTTTTTAAAAAATAGATTCAGGGGGTTCATGTGCAAATTTGTTATGTGGATGTACTGCATAATGCTGGGTTTTGGCTTCCAGTGAATCCATCACCCAAATAGTGGATGTACTACCCAACAGGCAGCTTTTACAACCCTTTTCCCCACTCTTCCACTCCCATTTTGGAGTCCCCAGTGTCTACTGTTTCCATCGTTATATCCATGTGTACTCATTGTTTGGCTTCCAGTTAAAAGTGAGAACGTGTGGTATTTGACTTTTTGTTTCTGTGTTAATTTGCGTAGGATAATGGCCTCTGGCTGCATCCATTTTCCGGCAAAGGATGTGATTTCATTCTTTTCTATGGCTGCATACTATTTCATGGTGTATCTATACCAACTTTTCTTTGTCTAATCCACCATTGATGGACACTTAGGTTGATTCCACACCTTTGCTATTGTGAATAGTGCTGCAATAAACATATGAGTGCAGGTGTCTTTCCTGATAAAATGATTTTTTTTCCTTTGGGTAGATATCTAGTAGTGAGACTGCTAGGTAAAATGTTGGTTCCAGTTTTACTTCTTTAAGAAATCTCCATACTGTTTTCCATAGGGGATGAACTAATTTACATCCCCACCAACAAGTTGTAACTGTTCCCTTTCCTCTGCATTCCAACCTATATCTGGGTTTTACATTTTTTTACATTTTAATAATAGCCATTTTGACTGATGTAAGATGGTATCTCATTGTGGTTTTGATTTACATTTCTCTGATGACTGGTGATGTTGAGCATTTTTTCATGTTTCTTGGCCACTTACATATCTTCTTTTGTGAAGTGTCTGTTCATGTCGTTTGCCTACTTTTTAATGTTTTTTTTTTTTTCTTGTTGATCTGATTAAGTTCCTTATAGGTTCTGGATACCAGACCTTTGTCAGATGCATACTTTGCAAATTCTGTATTCTATTTGACATGTTCTGGCTCTGTGTACCCAACCAAATCTCATCTTGAATTGTAATCTGAATTGTAATCCTCACGTGTTGGGGGAGGAACCTTGTGGGAGGTGACTGGATCATGGGGGTGGTTACTCCCATGCTGTTCTCGTGATAGTGAGTGAGTTCTCACAAGATCGTGAAGAAGGATATGTTTGCTTTCCCTCCCACCATGATTGTAAGTTTCCGGAGGCCTACCAAGCCATGTGGAACTGTGGGTCAATTAAACCTCTTTCCTTTATAAATTACCCAGTCTTGGGTATTTCTTTATAGCACTGTGAAAATGAACTAATACTATTCTTAAGGCTGTCTTTTTACTCTGTTGATAGTTTCTTTTGCTGTGCAGAAGCTCTTTCATTTAATTATGTCCCATTCATATATTTTTATTTCTGTTGCATTTGTTTTTGAGGTCTTAGTCATAAATTCTTTGCTTAGGCCAATATCCAAGTGTGTTTTTCCTATATTTTCTTCTAGAATTTTTATAGTTTTAAGTATCACATGTAAGTCTTTAGTCCATCTTGAGTGTATTTTTATATATGGTAAAAGATAAGAGTCCAGTTTCTTTCCTCTGCATATGGCTAGCCAATTTTCCCAGCACCATTTATTGAACAGGGTATCCTCTCTCCATTGTGTACCTTTGTTGACTTTGATGAAGATAAGTTGGTTATAGATGTGCTACCTTATTTCTGGATTCTGTTCCATTGGTCTGTGTGTCTATTTTTGTACTAGTATCATGCTATTCTGATTACTATTTCCTTGTAGCATAGTTTCATATCAGGTAATGTGATGCCTCCAGCTTTGTTCTTTTTGCTTAGGACTGCTTTGGCTATTTGCACTCATTTTTGGTTCCATATGAATTTTAGAACTGCTTTTTCTAATTCTATGAAAATGATGTTGGTAACTTGATAGGGTTTGCACTGAATCTATAAATCGATTTGGGCAGTATGGTCATTTTAATGATATTGATTCTTCCCATTAATGAGCATGGGATGCTTTTCCACCTGTTTTTGTCATCTCTGTTACATTTCAGCATTGTTTTTTAGTTCGTGTAGAGATCTCACTTCCTTGGTTAGCTGTATTCCTAGGTATTTCATTTTTGTGTGTGTGGCTATTGTAAATGGCATTGAGTTCTTGATTTGGTTCTCTGCTTGAACGTTATTGGTGTATAGAAATGCTATTGGTTTTTTGAATGCCGATTCTGTATTCTGAAACCTTAGTGAATTTGTTTATTGATTCTAGAAGCCTTTTGGAGAAATCTTTAGGGTTTTTTTTTTAGATATAGGATTATGTCGTCAGTGAACAGAGATAATTTGACGTCCTCTTTTTCTGTTTGGATGTCTTTTATTTCTTTATCTTGTCTGATTGCTCTGGCTAGACTTCCAGTACTACGTTGAACAGGAATGGTGAGGTGAACATACTTGTCTTGTTCCAGTTATTAGGGGTAATGCTTTTAACTTTTCTCCATTTGGTAAGATGTTTGCGGTGTATTTGTCGTAAGTTCCTCTTTTTATTTTGAGGTATATTCTTTAACACCTAGTTTGTTGAGGGTTTTTATCATGAAGAGATGTTGGATTTTATTGAAAGCTTTTTCTGCATCTATTGAGGTGATCATATGGTTTTTAATTCTGTTTATGGAGTGAATCACATTTATTCATTTGCATATGTTGAACCATTGTTGCATCTCAGGAATAAAATCCACTTGATTGTGATAAATTATCCTTTTGATGTGTTGCTGGGTTTGGTTTTCTCATATTTTATTAAGAAAATCTCTACCTATGTTAATCAGGGATACTGGCCTGTAGTTTTTTTTTTTTTGAGACGTAGTCTTGCTGTGTCACCTAGGCCAAAGTGCAGTGGCGTGATCTTGGCTCACTGCAACCTCCACCTCCTAGTTTCAAGTGATTCTCCTGCCTCAGCCTCCCAAATAGCTGGGATTAGAGGCACCCAGCACCACGCCTGGCTAATTTTTGTATTTTTAGTAGAGATGGGGTTTCACCATGTTGGCCAGGCTGGTCTTGAACTCCTGACTTCAGTGATCCGCCTGCCTTGGCCTCCCAAAGTGCTGGGATTACAGTGGGAGCCACTGCACCCAGCCTGGCCTGTAGTCTTATTTATTGTGTCTTTGCCAGATTTTGGTATCAGGAAGATAATGGTTTTGTAGAATGAGTTGGGGAGGAATTCCTCCTCCTTGATTTTTAAAAATAGTTTCAGTAAGATTCGTACCAGCTCTGCTTTGAACATCTGGTAGAATGTAGCTGTGAACCCATCTAGTACAGGGTTTTCTTTGATAGATTTTTTATTACTGATTCAATTTCATAACTCGTTATTTGGTCTGTTTAGGATTTCAACTTCTTATTGGTTCAATCTTGGGAGGGTGTGGGTTTCCAGGAATTTATCCATTTCCTCTAGGCTTTCTAGTTTGTATGTATAGAGATGTTCATAGTAGTCTCTGAGGATCATATGTATTTCTGTGGTATCAGCTGTAACGTCACCTTTGTGATTTCTGAGTGTGCTTATTTGAATCTTCTTTTTTTTCCTTATTAATCTAGCAAGTGGTCTATCAATTTTGTTTATCCTTTCAGAGTCAACTGTTTCACCGACCCTTTTTATATGTTTTTTTTTTTGCTCTCAATTTCATTTAGTTCTGCTCTAATCTGTTATTTCTTTTAAACCTTATGTTATTTAACCATTACTACATTTCGTGAAAGTTGAAATTTTTTGAGTTGCTATAAAAATGACGAGACATCATGGAACAATTGACAGAATACTCAATGTAGGGTCAAAAGACCTTGATTATAATTCTAATACTATTAGTTAGGAGTTCTGTTGTTTTAGGTAAGTCCCTTTACCTCTCTTAAGCATGTTTAGTCATTTGTAAAAGAGAGGGTTGGGTTTGATTATCTCTATGGTTTATGCTACGTTTAAGAGCTGAAAAACACCAGGATTAAGTTGCTGTACATCAAGGAAATGAAAGAAAAGAAAAAGGCTAGATGAGAAATCATACCAATCAGTAAACATTCAGCTATCAATGAACAGACTTAGAGCAAATTACTGAATATGTCTTGGTTCTATTTCCTCTAACTCTGTTACTGCCTTATGTGATTCACATGCTGAATAACTTAAATCAGCATCACAATTTATATATCTGGTCATTCAACCTGAAAGAGACACAACTGAAAGTTGAAGAAGACAAACGTCTAATTGTGAGGATATTTATTTTTGATAAATATTTTGATGGGATTTAAAAGGGACAGCCATTTACCACAGAAATATGTAACAATGGTACTGATTCAAATCATTTTCACATATATAAATGTAGTTGCCAAAAGAAAAAAAGCAGTCTTATACATGGTTTTCTAAATGTATATGAGAAAGAAAAGCATAATGCTAGTTTGAATTATTTAATGCAGATCAGAAAAAGGTGAAATAATTTTAAAGAGAAAATGAGACAGGCAAAGACAAGGGAACCCCATGGAAGAAGTGGTGAGAACAGTCTTCAGAGGTATAAAATAAAAACAAAACATAAAGGAGAATAAAGCCAACTAATACTAAGATTCATTTAAGGACGCAACATAAAAAAATGATCTATAAGATGTATAGACCTTTTTTCTTTTTCCTTTTTTTTCTTTTTTTGGTGCCACCCTCTTGGTTTGGTTTGTAGAGAGTATCCTGAGGCTACCAAGCAGCACTCCCAGGGACCATTCACTGACCTCTTTTATGTCCTCCAGTAACAATCAGGCTCAGGAATAGAAACCAGAACTTGGTATAGACAGATGTTTCAATGGGTTCTTTTAAATTCATTCAAAGATGAATTTGTGTCATATGAAAGAGAGTTTTAACAAAAAATTCTAATACATTTTCTAGAAAACATAAAATTAACACTATCTGCACAAACCCAGCTGTCCCTGCAGGGGAGATCAGAGTTTATATTGTATTTATGCTATTGGTTAAGGAAAAAGTACGTACACTGTATTTCTGAGACAAACAAGTGAAAATAAACTCTCTGAAAAACAGTATTTAAGAAATACCAAAAAGTATAACCCACACTCTATTTGTAGACAAATAAGACAGACAGAAGACCAAACTGTTATCCAAGATTTCCCAAGGTGAATCACAGCCTTATTACTAAAGATCAGAGTCTTTCTTAAGCCTGTATGTTCATTTCTTCCTTGTGTAGGTGGCTATAGATCAGACCAGGGATATTAAAGAGACTGAGTGAGAAGCATTTCTGAAGGCACAGAGAACTACCAAACCGAAGAGATTTAAGATGGCTGTCCTTGGAGGGTTAGCCTTTCCTTGGGGGTCTCAAGATTGTTTAGAAATCTTAATCTTTTAACTAACATTGTGACAAATCCTGACTTTTAAAAATTTAGAGTATTGTTTATTAGCTAGTTTGGTTTACTGTAAAAAAAACAAGGGAAGATATTTTATTTAGAAATAAAAATAAAATGAGTTTCCTAGTGCTCAAATGCCCTAACTTCTTTTTCTGGTCTTCAAAGTTCTACTCATGATTCAAGGCTGAGTTGGCATCATTTTCCTCCATTGTGGTTTTCCTATGTCCCCAGTTCAGACTAGTTGTGCCTTCCCAGGCACCGCAAGAGCATTTCATTCCTTTATTGTTGAACTTTTTTCATCCTGTTCCATGACAGTTAAGTGTTAGCTGTTTTCACATCTCTAACTTTCCTTGTGATGTTTAAGTATTTATTTACAGTTCTCTTAAACTGTGAACTCTTTGAGGGCACAGACCATGTATGTTTTATTCATTGCGTTATCCCCAGTAAGAGACAGCAGTGCACAATGCACAATAAATAATGGTTTTTGCATAGATTTTGGCACCTCTCCAATATACTGTATGGAACTTGGGGATAAAGAAAATGTTACTTTCAACCTCATATTTCAATAACACCATTCTTTACAATTAAAAGACACTTAAATTAGTGAATATTTATTGAAAGAACCAACAAGCAGGAAGCAGGAGCAGCAACAGCTAAATGGACTAACTTGTATCCTAAGGAACTTAACAGGTAACTTATCTTAAAATGTATTTAGTGTATTCCAGCAGCCACTCACAGTTTATAATTTCTCAGTCCAAGTGTTTACAGACTGATAAAAAGTTCTATGAACACAAGGAAAATTTCAACTGTCTTAAACAGAGGCCATAAAAATAGGGATCTTTATGGCTTTTTAGTTTAGATCAGTAAAATAGCAAATTACTAGGGCAATTTTTGCTTTTGAAATGAGAATTTAAACGTAAAGCACCATTATTATATTGCCTTCTACAATGTTCCATGAAAAGGGTTTAAAACTAGAGATTGTATTGGATGACTAAAAAATATGTGCTGTATCAACCTAGAGTAAGGATAGGCAAATAGACAGGTTGTAAGACATAATACTTGAATAAAAGGCAACTGCCTCAGGACTCCTACTTTGTTGAGTTGTTAAAAAAAAAAATCAGCCTTAACGTAAGTGACTCTCACATCATAAAGAAGGATAGCACATTTGGAGACATACAGCATTACATTCAGAAGAGAGATTTATGGAAATCTGGGACAAGCAGGGCTTTAGAAAATGTAAAGTTAATTGCATTTTCCCCTAAATCCTTTTTCAGTTAATGTCGTTATCCAATGTGTGAGAAGACACTACCAAACAAATACAGTCTTACAGCTTATTCAAAAATACTTAAAAATAAATATTTTCCTTCTGTTCGCTTATTTGAGTGCTGCTCTAGTACCAAATGGGAAAAGAAAGGATTAAGATGCTGGACATTTTGGAAGGAATGATTTTTTTTCAAGTTATTAAATGGAAGGTACATAGGAATAGCCAAAAGTTTTGTAGCCAAAGGCCAAATCTTGTATATTTGGCCAGCATTATAAGGGAGTAGTATGCATAACCAAAATATTATGAATAAACACATTTGGTGTCATTATACTCCCTCTTTAAAATTTTATCCAAAAGTATAGGCTGCCACCTTGAGATGAGCGGGCAGGATGGGGATCTGAAAGTATCTGCCGGATACTGTGCTAGGTGCCAGGCTTGGTAAGTCAGAGTCCCAACTCTCACAGCCCTCAAATTTTGGCAAAAGGGGAAAACCATTTTACGTGATAAAGTCTATCAAGAGTGCTATATATAAAGAGCAGCAGCAGGGGAATTAGTTTTGCCTTTAGTGAGGGCAAGGAAGTTGAAAAAGTTTCATAGCAGAGTTGACATTTATGCGAAATTTTGGAAGACAAATTGGAATTAATAATAAAGGTATATGTGAGGGTGTGAGGTGTAGGACATTTCTGGCAGAGTGGAAAATATTAGTTGAAGACAGGGATGATGAAAATAAATATGTAGGGTGAACTCTAGGGAGTCCAGAGCATAGTGAACAGGGCAATGGCAAATAGATGCAGCCAAAATTTTAGGAAGGAGCCAGTATAAAAATGGTGTCAGTGCCATGGAAGAAGTTTCACTTTTAATTCCTTATGCCCATCTAATATAGTAGATGGCCAATGAGCCAAGTGATAGGCAGTGGAAGGAAATGAAATAATAAAGGACAGATTATCTCAGTACCCAAAGGAATCAAAACACGAAGTTTACATGGAGAGATAGTAGAAGACAAAAAGGAAGGCCTACAATAGACCACAAAACTAACAGCCTAAACTGAAATAATTGTATTAAAATTAAAATGTTCCAATCTGCAAGTTATATTGAACAATCTTTGGAGATTCAGGAGACTAGGCAGATGGTAGATACCTAGCCAAGGCACAAAAAGGAACCACACATTCTGTCACCCAGGCTGGAGTGCAGTGGCGCGATTTCGGTTCAAGTGTTTCTCCTGCCTCAGCCTCCCGAGTAGCTGGGACTACAGGCATGTGCCATCACACCCAGCTAATTTTTTGTATTTTTAGTAGAGATGGGGTTTCACTGTGTTGGCCATGCCGGTCTCGAACTACTGACCTCAGGTGATCCACCCGTCTTGGCCTTCCAAAGTGCTGGGATTACCTGTGTGAGCCACCGCGCCCAGCTGGAACTACCTTTTTATGTAAAAATCAGGCACCAACAACCTTTCTAAAATTTGTAGATTAAGTACTCTATAAAATTTCTTCAGGGTCTAGGAGAGCAAAATTCTCAAAATGTTTAGGCACAATCTATTGCGGATAATAATGCAATTTTTGCATACTTCCTGCAAGAATGAATGATAGGAAAAAATATTTTTTAAAATTAGTTTGAAGGCACTGAAGTGTTACCAAGGTGTTGAGAACATGAAAGAGCCAAGATTTCAGATAGAAGGTAAGCAAAAAAAGATGACCTTAACATTAGTCATTGCTTTTCTGTTCAAGACATTTTAAAAGAAATTTAATTTAAAATGTAAAAGAAGTGCTAGTGGAGGAGCCAAGAGGAGCTTTAAGTAGTCTCACAGGGTTGGAAACAACATTTGGATTTCAGGGCTTACCAAGAAAGAGAGAACCTGTTCAAAAACCCAAGGCTTTCACGTTTATTCTTAGATGAAAAGCCATCTAAAAATAAAATAAAAAATAGAAAAGCCCTCATCAAAACTAACATCAAACATTAAATTAATTCAGTCCCTGACTGAGTTAGTCATTTTTCTCAATGATAACAGCCAGACTGTTAACTGAAATATAATTTATGGCTGTTGAAATTATTAACAAAAATTTTTACAAAAGTTTCAGTCCATGAAGATTATAAACAAACAAAAAACCCAAACATAGCCCTTCACCACAGACCATTTAGTTTGGGATGCACTGACCTAAATTATCTAGAATACAGTCAGTTCAGGTGTAAAACATTGTTCTGAAAAGGTGGACCTGTTTCAACATGATTCATATATTCGAGAAAAATCTGAACACAATGCAAATTTCATGTTTGCTTAAACACAATTCTTTTTGGCAAAACACTAGGTGAACACATAGACTTGCACCCACCTGATATGAGCAACAGTGGAATTTACAAAATTGCACATCTGAAACAACCAACATTTATCTTGGTTCCTCACATGTGTTATACTACAAAGTCATACCATGCTATTCTTTCATATTTGTGAACTTTGGAATGTAAGAAAATACTCAATTAACATCTCCCAAATGCCTGAACATCTTGGTCAAAACCATCAAACAGTACATGTAAAAGGAAGGCTTCAAATATTGAGAAGCCTGAAATAGTAAAGTATTCTGAAAGAAACAGGAGAATCTGATACCTGCTGAGCAATAAACATTAAGGAATCTGCATTGAGGATTATCAGACAACTCAGCAAAAATTTGTTTTAAGATTATGACTGATATAACTTCAAGTACTATGAAGTCAATAAGGAAACAGTCTATGAGATGACGGAAACTTGCAGAACAAAAAATTTTTAAAAAAGAAAACAGCCTAAAGAAAAAAAAAAAGAAATGGAATGCTTGGTAAGCATTTGAAATGAAGACCAAAGAACAAAATAATTGATTTCACAAAAAGGAAGCACTATTTATACAGAAAGACCTTAAATGTAAATCATTAATCTTGTAGAAGTGGCTCCTTTTCATGCTAATAATACCTGGATTAGTGGTTTCAAACAGCACTGCAGCTGCTTGGTAAGGCTACAAGTGTAGCTGAGAAGTTGCAAAAATTTCTAGCAGCCATACAGGAGTTAACTGAAGAAGGCTACACGTTGGATTAAATTTTCCATTTTGTTAAAACAGGTATTTATTATAAAGGTATACCTCAAAAGACCTCTATTTCAAATTCAAAAAAATATCCCTCAGGAATTAAGGAGAAAAGAATTCTTACTGAGATTTTTAGTGCTAACTCCTAACCCAGGTCAATCTTCCAAATCTGGTAATATAAATTTCTTTCTTCTCTCTGAAAACCCAACTTCCACTACTTGACAATAACTTACAAGATACAACTCTTATCATACCCACTTAAACTTCAAGTCTGTTTCAAGGTGGACTGCCATACTGATTGTATATATATTTATCGTATTTATTTTTAACATTTTAACAAGTGTGAAACTTTGCTGCTATTTTCATAAGGTTCTCATTTTTTTAAACTGTTGCTTTGAATTTTTTTTTTTTTTTTTGAGCCGGAGTCTTACTCTGTCGCCCAGGCTGGAGTGCAGTGGCGCGATCTCGGCTCACTGCAACCTCTGCCTCTGGGTTTAAGAAATTCTCTGCCTCAGCCTCCCAAACAGCTGGGATTACAGGTGTGTTGCCACCATGCCCAGCTAATTTTTTTTTGTATTTTTAGTAGAGATGAGGTTTCAGCATCTTGGCCAGGCTGGTCTTGAACTCCTGACCTGTTGATCCACCTGCCTTGGCCTCCCAAAGTGCTGGGATTACAGGCATGAGCCACCATGTCTGGCCTAAAATTTTGAGTTTTTTGGCCCAATATCATTTCCCACACAAGCCTTGTGTTTTTTACTATGTGGTTTTGCATAGCTTGGTTATTTTTAGAAATATATATGTCATCTTATAGGAGACCTGAATATACTCCTTTCCTTTACCACGTTCCTATCAGCTCCAACTCCCAATAAAGGAAGGGAGATGACGGATAGGATCCATAGTTACTGTTCTTGAAAAAAATGTCTGCATTCCCCATAATTCCAGGAACTACCACTATAAATCTTAATGAAGATGAAAAGGAACACTTTGAATCAATAGTCTAAAATTCCCTAGAATTATAATAAAACAATTACATTATAATCAAACAATGGTCTAGGAATTCCCTCAACCCCAACCTCAAAAAGTGAATGCTAAACAGAGCTTTAAGGAAAGTTGAGAAGCAAAAACTTGAAGTATTTGGTCTATAGTTTGTTAAATTAAACGTGAACACTATTACACTCGATGTTTGACATCTGAGATATCTTAAAATATGGTACTTTCCTCCATAAACCCTGTGTTTTTATTGTATGATTTTGCATACCATGGTTACTTTTAGAAATACTTAAGTTACCTTATAGCAGAACTGACTGGATGAGGCAGGTAGGTGTCTGGCAGTCAGATATTTAACAAGGACACTGGGGAACGAGACAGCAACAGGGAGTCTTGATAAGCTTCCTATATACTGGGTGGCATAGAAGGAGGAATACATGCTCAAGTCTGTGTGCACATTCAGTACAGACTAAAAGAGGGCCTTAATTATCTAAGTGTCTCTGTTTGAACATGATATCTTGCTCAAATACAGAGAAGACATGAGAAGGAATAGCAGAAAGTAAAGGCATTGCTCAACTCTCAGACAGGATCAGTGACAAAGGGTTGAAGCCAGAATGACTTGAGTTGTTAGAGCAAAATTTATTAACAATAATCATCTGTTTTCAAATTAAGCTATGCTGACTCAGGGCAATCCTCTATGAAGCTAGGCTTAAGAGAAAAAAAAGGTTGAGTAGTGACATCAGTGGACATATGTTGCAGGGGAGACAAACCCTACAGAATGCATCCAGGCAAGTCACTAAAACAACAAAATGACAGCAATAACAACTTTCGAGAGAAAGAATCAGAAGCCTAAGATGTTATAATATATCACATCAAATGTCCAGTTTTCAAATAAAAAATTACAAGAAGTGCAAAGAAACAGAAAAGAGTGACCCATACTTGGGGGGAAAAAAAGCCAATCAATAGAAAGTGGAACTGTTTCTGAGGGAGCCCAAATATTGGACTTGTAAAGAAAAACTTCAAAGCAGCTATAATAAATGTGTTGAAAGATCTAAAAGAAAACATTTTAAGAATTAAAGGTAAGTACAACAATGGCAACAAATAGACAATCTCAATAAAGAGAGAGAATTTTTTTTTACAACAAAGAACCAAATGGAAATGCTAGCATTGAAAAGTACAAAAAATTAAGTGCAAAATTCAGAAGGTGGTCTCAACAGCAGAAGGGAAACAGCAGAAGAATCAGTGAACTTAAAAACAGATTAATAGAGATTATTTAACCTAAAGAGTAGAAAGAAAAAAGAATGATAAAAACTAACAGTCTCAGAGACCTGTGGGAGACAAAGCATATCTAGATACATGAAACGGGAGAGCCAGAAGAAGAGGAGAGAGATAAAGTGTCAGAAAAATATTTGGAAAAGTTATAGTCAAAAACATCCTAATTTGACCAGAAAAACATTAATCGGCACATCGAAGAAGCTCAACAAATTGTAAGTAGGATAAACACAAAGAGATCCACACCTAGATAAGTCCTGGTCAAACTATCTAAAGCTAAGACAATGAGAAATTCTCCAAAGGAGCAAGGGAAATGACTCTTCACACACAGAGAACATTACATTTAACAGCTGACATCTTATGAGAAACAATGAAGCCAAAAGGCAGTGGGATGACATATTCAAAGTTTTGAAAAAAATAAACTGTCAACTAAGAATTTTATATCCAGCAAAACTAACCTTCAAAAATGAAGGCATGAAGGCAAAATAGACATCCACATATTTAAAAACAAAATAAACCAATGACAAAAAGACTGAAAGAATAGCTGCTGGTAGAGCTGCCTTTATAAGAAATGCTGAAGAAAATCTTTTAGGTTAGAAAGAAATTACACCAGTTACTTGAGTCTACAGAAATAATGAATACCAGAAAAGATCATCTTGTAGGTAAAGGTATATATGTATTCTTAATTACCTTATAAGACAATTACGTAAAATAATTAAGTATAAAACAGTATTGTTGGGATTATAACATAAATATATGGCTAGGTGCAGTGGCTCATCCCTGCAATCCCAGAATTTTGGGAGGTCAAGGTGGGTGCATCACTTGAGCCCAGAAGTTCGAGACCAGCCTGGGCAACACGGTGAAAACCTAACTCTACAAAAAACAAACAAACAAACAAACAAACAAAATTAGGTAGGTGTGGTGGTGCATGCCTGTAGTCCCAGCTACTTGGATGCTGAGGTGGGAGAATCACCTGACCCTGGGAAGTTGAGGCTGTGATTGCACCACTGCACTCCAGGCTGGGTGACAGAGCAAGTCCCTGTCTCAAAAAATAAAATAAACAAAACATAAAAATATTATCTGTATGAAAATAACAGCACAGCAAATAGAGGAGTAAATGTTACATTGAAACAAAGTTTATATTTTATTGGAATACTGTTGGTATTCACCTTAAGAAGACTGTAATAGGTTAAGAAGCATATTGCAATCCCTAAAGCAATGATTTTTAGAAGCACCAAAAAACAGTAAAGGAATTTAAATGTTATACAAAATGTGTATACACACACACACACACACACACACACACACACACACAAACACAAAAAAGGCAGTAAGGAAGGAGTACAAGAGTAAGACATCGATGGGCATATAGAAAATAAAACAGCAAAATAGAGGACATAAATCCAACCATATCACAATTACATTAAATGCAAATAAATTAAGTCATTCAACCACAAGACAAAGATTGTCAAACTAGATAAAATAAGAAGGTCCAAATGTATGTGGTCCATAATACATTTCAGATTCATATATAAATAACTTGAAAGTAAAAGGATGGAAAAAGATACATCATTCAAATAGTAAATAAAAGAGAAATGAAGTAGCTATACTAATATCAAACTTTAAGCTTGAAACATTACTATATATGAAGAAGGTCATTTCATACTGATAAAATGGTAAATTAATAAGAAAGACATAATAATTATAAATATATGTAAGTCTGACAACTGAGTCCCAAGGCACATGAAATAAAAATTGACAAAATTGAAAAAGAAACAACTTTATAATAACAAGCATCAGTCTTCAATATACCATTTTCAATACTTGCTGGAACAACTAAACAAAAAATCAGCAAAGTATAAAAGATTTGAACAATACTACTAATCAACTTGACTGAACTGTTATCTATAGATTGCTCTACCCAACAATAGCAGAATACACATTATTTTTAATAACATATAAAATAGTCTTTAAAAATTTTAATTTTTTTAAAATTAAAAAATTTGTTAAAAATTTACAAATTTAAAAGAATTGAAATCACAGAAAATATATTCTCCAATCATTATAGATTTAAATCAGAAATCAACAACAACATTTTGGAAAAATCCCCAAATATTTAAAAATTAATATACATCTAAAATCATGGATTGAAAAGGAAGTCAAAGGGGAAGGAAGAAAATATTTTCACTGAGTAAAAATAAAAACAATGAATACCAAAATTAATATTTAGTGCAGCCAAAGCAGCATTTAGATTTATAGCTTTAAACATCTATATCAGAAAAGGAAAAAAAAAGATTTAAGTCAATAACATAAGCTTCTAAATTAAGAAGCTAGAAAAAGAACAAAGTGAAACCAAAGCAAGCAGGAGAGAAAATAAAAATTATTAGAGAAAACAAAAACAAAATTGGAAAAAAATCAATGAAATCCAAAGTTAGTTTTGGAAAAGATTAACACAATTGATAAACTTTTAGTTACACTTATTAATAAAATAAAACAAGAGACAGATTACTAAAATCAGGAATTAAAGAGGAGACCATAAAGTCAGACTGCTGACCTTATAGAAATTGAAAGAAATACTATGGAAAATACATGGCAACAGATCAGACAACTTAGATGAAACAGATTACTAATAGAAGGTAAGTTACTGAATTTAACTCAAAAAATATAGAAAATCTGAATAGACTCGTAAGTAGTCAAATAGTCAAAATTTTAAGATGGCCCACATGATCTTCATCTTTGTTGCTACTAACCATAATTACATTGCATCACATGGCAAAAAAAGATCATTCAGATGGACCTAGTCTAATCACACAAGCCCTTAAAACAAAAGTTTTCTAAGAGTGGTGGCAAAAGGGAAGTCAATGAGATTTGAAGCATAAGAAGGATTTGACCTGCTGTTGCTGGCTTGATGGTGGGGGCCAGGTGTAGAGAAATGTGTGCAGCCTCTATTAAGATGAGAGTGGCCCTCAGATGGAAGACCGCAAGGAAAAGCAGACCTCAGCCCTACATTGCAAGGAACTGAATTTTGCCAAAACCTGAATGAGCTAGGAGGCAGATTCTTCCCAAGAGTGTCCAAATAAGAGACCAGTTTAACAGACACCTACATTTCACGTCTGTAGTATCCCCAGTGGAGAACCCAGTGAAGTTCAACCGGACTTCTGACCTACAGGACTAGATAATTAATAGATAATATAATGAAAAAGCTGCTAAGTTTGTTATAATCTGTTTCACATAGAAAACTAACAGGCAGGGTGTGGTGGCTGATGCCTGTAATCCCAGCACTCTGGGAGGCCGAGGCGGGCGGATCACGAGGTCAAGAGATTGAGACCATCCTGGCCAACATGGTGAAACCCCATCTCTACTAAAAATACAAAAATTAGCTGGGCGTGGTGGCGTTCGCTTGTAGTCCCAGCTACTCAAGAGGCTAAGGCAGGAGAATTGCTTGAACCTGGGATGAGGAGGGTGCAGTGAGCCGAGATTGCGCCACTGCACTCCAGCCTGGCAACAGAGCGAGATTCCGCCTCAAAAAAAAAAAATTAAAAACAAAAACAAAACCTAACAGAACCTCAAAGAAAAAACTGAATTGGTATTGAAAAAAACATTTCCACAAAAGAAAAAACTCAGCCCTAGATGTCTTTACTAGTTAATTCTATCAAATATTTAAAGAATTAACAATAATAATCATTCACAAATTTGCAGAAAATAGAGGAGGAAATACTGTTAAACATATTATAAGAGACAAGTATTACCATAATACCAAAAATATACAAAGATCTCACAGAAAAACAAGGACCAATATATTCCTAGGAATGTAGACCTAAAAACTGTCAACAAAATATTAGCAAATGAAATCCCATATAAGAAAAAAGGACTTATATACAATGATCAAGTGAGGTTTATTCCAGAAATGTAAGGTTGGTTTATTGTCAAACAACTAATTCATGTAATGTATCAGCAGAATGAAGAGCAAAACCCCAAAACCAAAAGATCATCTCCATGAAACAGAAAAAGCATCCAACAAAATTTAACATCTACTTATGATAAAGACTCTCAAAAAACTAGGAAGAACACAGCTTTCTCAATTATAAGATAATCTATAAAAAACCTGCAGCTGTATGTTTCATTTAATGTACTTAATAGTGAAATGGTAAAAGACAATGCTTTTCCTCCAAGATCAGAAACAAAACACATATGTGTATTCTTACGTCTTCTGATCAACACTGTACTAAAAGTTCTATTCAGTGCAATAAGGCAAGAAAAAAAAAGACATACATTATGAAAAGAAAGTGAAACATTTTATTCACAGGTGCCATAATCCTTTATGTAGAAAATCCTAAGAAATCTATAAACAAAATGAAACTACTGAAATAATAAGTTCAGCAAGGTCACAGAGTACAAGATCAATTACACAAACATCAATTATATTTTTATATACTAACTATAAGCAATCTTACACAAACATCCACTATATTTTAATATACTAATTATAAACAATCTGAAAATAAAATTAATAAAATTACATTCAGAATAGCATCAAAATGAATAAAATTTATAGGAATAAAGTTAACTAAAGAAGTATAAGACTTCTGATATAGGAGTTAAAAAGAAATTATTTAGGCAGATAGTGAGGGTAAGAAAGTCCTCGGTAAGGTTTCCTTTTTTATAAAAAGCAGCCCCAAGTTATTTCTTCCCAAACGAAAAGCAGCCTGAAAAATCAAGCTGCAAGCATAGATAAGCAAGCTAAAAGCTTGCACAGGTAAATGCCAGCAGCTGTGCCAACAGAAAAAGGCTACCTGTGGGCTAGGCGTGTTTGACATGGCAGCCATCTTCCCTTTTCTTTTTTCTTTTTTTTTTTGAGACAGAGTCTCACTCTGCCACCCAGGCTAGAGTGCAGTGGCACGATCTCACCTCACTGCAACCTCTGCCTCCTGGGTTCACGCCATTCTGCTGCCTCAGCCTCCCGAGTAGCTGGGACTACAGGCGCGTGCCACCACACCCAGCTAATTTTTTGTACTTTTAGTAGAGACCAGGCTTCACCGTGCTAGCCAGGATGGTCTCAATCTCCTGACCTCGTGATCAGCCTGCCTCGGCCTCCCAAAGTGCTGGGATTACAGGTGTGAGCCACAGTGCCTGGCCCATCTTCCCTTTTCTCAACCATATGTATAGTAAGGAGCAGACAACATGGTCTGGCCAGGTAGAAAACCCATTTGTATATTAAAAAGATTAGGGTGGAGGCTGGAGATGGGGTTTCACCAGATTGGCCAGGTTGGTCTTGATCTCCTGACCTCAGGTGATCCACCTGCCTCAGCCTCCCAAAGTGCTGGGATTACAGGCGTGAGCCACCATGCCTGGCGAAAGACAACCTTCTTTCATATATTTAGTAATGTTTATTGGATACTGACCATCTATAAAGTGTGTTCTAGGTATTGTGGAATCATCAGTGAATACAAAGAGCCTGCTCTAATAAAAACCCATATTCTAGTGGAAAGAGACAAAAAAGTAAAAAAACTAAATTATGAGGTCAATGGTAAGTGGTATAAAGACAATAAAAATAAAGCTATATAATGAAGGGTAATTGGGGTGAATTACAGTAACTAAATGAACCCTTATGGCCTCTGGTACTTGCCTTAGGATTTCTTTCTGCCATTCTTACAAGATCCCACTTACTAAGATATGTAACCTGTCATTAATGTGAGAGAGCCACCCTCCAACTTTATCTCATTTCAGATGGGCCTTTTAGAGTCGATTAGCTGAAAAGTCATTTGATTTGAGGAAAGATTTTTTTATACAAATCCCTATATAATAGTTACGGCAATATATAACCAATGAACAGTACAGTTTGTAGAAAACAGGTAAAAATAAATAAAATTTACTAAAGACAACAGAAAATACAAGCACTTCAAATACTGGGCCAGATGTTGCTTTCTTTACTGCTAAGAGTGATGATGAAAATTCAAAAAATTACTACAAGAAAATTTTAATATATGGTTTCTTAGGGTCTGTATATCATTGTGAGGTATAACTCTTCAGCATATTTTGGCTGATGTCATAATTAGGATGATCAAGCTATTTTGTTATTTGCAACAGCTTGAAAAGCACAAAAAATAAATTAGTTCTTTAATCTAGACTAAATTTGAACCAGAAAATGGGAGGCCCTGCTCACAGAAAACTGTCCTAAAATGTGACTTCAGGTGTGTATGTGTGTGTGTGCATGTAAACAACACAAAGCTGAACTTGCATGACAGTTTTCATGTGGAAAGAGGGTGGCCTTTGGGCATTTAAACTAGGAGGACAGCCCAGGCAATGACCCCAAATAAAAAGAGCAGGTGGCTGTGAGCATGGACCAGGCTTACTGGCAACAGTCTTCATGTTTCTGCGTGTCTCAACAAGAACTAATCAACTCAAATTGTATGGAATAGCTGTACATGCCAAATAGTCATCATCTGTTTAATACAGACCATCTGTCCAAATGAGTTGTATGTAAAAGGCTTCTACCAATCAGTCTCACCTAGGAAGACTGGCACAACTTCAATAAAGATAGACAGCATTCAGGGTCTATATCAGGCTTAGTAGCTAAGTCCTAATGATAGAGTGGTTTAAATGAAACCTTAGTCCAGTCTGTTTTTAATTACTTTGTGAACAAAAACTTTCTCTTACAGAGAGAAGGTCAGGACAAACTGCTTCTTTCCTATAAGTCTCTAAATTTGGATGTAACAACGTTACCTTTCAATGCTCCAGAAACAACTCAAACCAAGTGTGGTTTCTTTCACAGAGCAGTTTTCTGAGCAAAGACGCAAGGCAGCACCAAGATCTGTAATCAAATGCTTACGTAATAAGGTGACCCTTTTTTTGGCCATTACTGGGACAACAGAAGTAGCCATTCAGATAATACCTTTCTACTATTCTTAAATCTAAATCTGACTCTAAACATAGAATTATCTTCTCTGAAGGCATACTTTGATTTGAGGCAAAGGCAGGAGAGAAAGCTTAGGTGGCATGGAGAAGTAGTAAGGAATGGAAGAGAACAGAGAGGAGTAGAAGAAAGGAGAGAGAGAAAAAAAGAGTAACACTTAAGTCAGAAGAAGTTGTATTGATAAAATGTCTCACTTTAGTACATTTCAAACTGGTTTTATAACCCTTTTAAGCTTAAAGGACTCTTTTATTGTGTGTGCTGAAAACAGCATATTTGATTATCTTACACCAAACCAAAATTAGTTTAAATCTTCTTAACACAGATCAATCTCAGAAAAAAATCACATCATACAAGAATGGATAAAACTATAATACGGGAAGAGATTCGGGGACGTGAAGTTGAGTTTTGCTTATTTTCTATCTTGGAGACTCTTCTCTATTTTCTAATGCTGTGTTATTTAAGCACACTGGTCATTTCTTTTGATAGAAAATATTTCTAATCCTATCTGCCCCAATGAGATAATTTTGGAAAACACATCCATAAAACTGCATGTAAAAGACTCACCAGCAATTTGAATAACAGATGACATTTCCATTACACTAGCACAGAGGTTCTCAAACTTTTGTGTTCATGAAACTCACCTGGAAGGTTTGCTAAAATGCATATATCTGGGCTCCACCTCCAGACTTTCTAATTTAGTAGGTATGGAGTAGGGCCTGAGGATTTGCATTTTTCAAAAGTGCCCAGGTGATGCTGATGCTGCTGGACTGGGGAACACATTTTGAGAACCACTGCACTAGCAAATACCTTCTAGCATCATGATGGATTCCACCTGGCTATGGGAGGTAAGCATTCACTTCAGATGTTTTCAGTCCCTCACCTGATACAATGAGGTGCACACAATTTCCTTTCCTGCTCTGGCCTCCTCCCCTATGACTGGTCTATATCTACATATCTATCACCAATTATCCTTTTGAGAATACTGGAACAAATAATTCTTTTCCATTAAAGTAAATACCCTCTGTCAATAAATTATCTTTTCCTTAAAGGTCTTGCATGGTGGTCTATAGGTAACTAATAAAAGAAAATCAAATGGAGTCTTTTCTAATTCTTATGCTTTCCTCTCTATTCACATTTTATATCCATTACTTTTCAATGTACCTTTAGTCCTGCACAGTACCACGTTACCTCATATTGCTTTTTTGTTTCACAATGTTGACTGAATGTTTTACTTCCTAGTTCATCTGAATTTGCTTTTATTTCAAGACCAAATGTATTTATGACAAGAATACAAAGAAACCATTGGGATGCAGAGCATTTTTAACCTGTTAGTAACTATATTTCATATTTCTTTATTATTTAAGAGTATTAATAGATATTTACAAAGCACTGTACCATTGCAAATGAGATATATCTGATGAAAGCACCTTCTACTGGGTGAACTCAAGGTTATTTGTATTAAGAGTTAACTGTAATTCAAATAAGGAAATGTTAATAAAGCTAAAAGACTTGCCCAAAGGAACTTAACCTAGAGTAAAACCAGTAAGTTTGATTCCCAGCCTGAGAGCCAATATTTCAGAAAATAAATGTTTCTGTAGTTCTTATTCAACTCTTTATTCCATTTTATTATTTTAGGCTCTCAAAATAAATACTTTACAAGACTCCTGTTATACATCAGTTTGGGCTCTCTTTAATTACAAGTTACAACAAATCTGATGAAAGTGTAGTTTCTCTTTCCCTAAATTTTCCCATTTAAGTACTTTTTGGCCCAGGAGGTTATATACCTTTTTTTGTATTACAACTTCTTTAAAACAGCAAAAATCATTTAATACTGTAATCCCCATAAGTTTTATTACTATGCACTTATTATGCCCATGATACACTTTCCTCTCCATAAAGCCTTTGTTTTCCTAAGACTAACACTAAATTTGTATGCTAAAATTCAACACATTTAAAAGATGGTTTCAATGAGAATTTTTATTTTGGAGTATTTTGGAGTAACAAGGAACACACTTATCTACCCAGGAGAAAAAATTAGAAAATTAGACAAAATATACAACTGGTCTGAACAATGCCTGAAACCAGTTGTTTTATATATTCAGACATTTTATACGTTCAGCTATTCAGGCACTGTATGTATATGATCCCTGAAAGAAGGCAAACAAATGAGCTAAGCCCTAAAATAGACATAAATTTTTATTTAGATAAACAGTCCAGACTATCGTTCAGTGAGAGAAATCCTAAGCACAGCATAGAAGTCTTGCTGCAGAGTTCCGGGAGGTTGAGGTGGCCAGAAATGGCATGACAGAATCCTTAGAAAAGAGAGTGCTACACAGAAAAACAGTTGAGTAATCAGCACAGAAGCCTTCTTGAGTTTTGCTAAGACTGCACATATGTAGAGTGAAACTCAAACTGTTTAGAAAATTGTTGTTACCAGGGAGTTGTAAATGAAACACTTCCCAGAAGTCACACAGTACAAGGAGATGTTCAAGTTTTGTCTAGTCAGAATGGTTGATCCCAGGACACTCGATCTTACTGAGAAACCAGAAAGAGCTAAGCAGTTGTTAGAGAAAAGACTACCCTACAGACTAGCCTTAACAAAGCTTAAAAACAAGTCTTAAAAAGATCTGATCTACCAACAACTTAAATGCCTGTCAGAATAAACATTGTAAAGGAAGACAATAAAATCAAGATAATCATTAATGTAACATCTATGTTGATAAGCATCTAATAAAAACTTACAACATATATGATGAAATCTGACTAGTAAGTCAACAGAAAAACACCTGGAGATGACAAATGATAGAATTAGCACATGAGGATTTCAAAAGTCCTATTATAAATAAGCTCATCATAATTAAGAATTTAAAGGAAAACATGAATGTAATGATAATAAAAGATATTTAAAATAACCAAATGGTATTTAATAGGTGAAAAGTAAAAATTTGACATTATAAACGCATGCAACATCAAGCACATCATTATCATATTTCTAAAAACTAGTGAAGAAAGATCATAAGAGTAAGCAGGCTTAAAAATACATTGCATACAAAGGAAGAGAGTAAGAATGACGGCAGAATATCATTTATTTAAAAAACATGCAGCTGGGCATGGTGGCTCATGCCTGTAATCTCGGCACTTTGGGAGGCCGAGGTGGGTGGATCGCCTGAGGTCAGGAGTTCCAGACCAGCCTGACCAACATGGAGAAACCCTGTCTCTAATAAAAACACAAAATTAGCTGGGCATGATGGCACATGCCTGTAATCCCAGCTACTCGGGAGGCTGGGGCAGGAGAATCGCTTGAATCTGGGAGGCGGAGGTTGCGGTGAGCCAAGATCGTGCCATTGTACTCTGGCCTGGGCAACAAGAGTGAAACTCCATCTCAAAAACAAACAAACAAATCATGAAAGCCAGAAGAAATGAGAAATGATACAATATTATGAAAGTGATGAATAGAAGCAAAAAAAAACAAATTGCTAAGTCAGAAAGAAATTCCTTTAAAAACGAAGTGAAATAGATACGAAAGATGAAAAAAGTTATTCCAGAAGAACTGCATGACCATAAACAAACATCTATCTCCAGGTATAAATAAAATGATACTAGATGAAAACTAGGATCTATAAAAATGAATGTAAACTGCTAGAAATGTAAATACAAGCAATATTTTTCATATCTATTTAAAATATTAATTTAATGCAATAATAATAAAATTGTGGTGTATACAACACATGTAGAAGTAAATTATGTGACAATAATAACAGAACAAATGGAAGTGGGAAATGGAAGCATTCTTTTATGCAGTTATACATTAGACATCACACATGATCTGGTAAATATTACTTGAAAGTAGACTTTTTGTTTTTGAGACAGGGTCTTGCTCTGTTGCCCTGGCTGGAGTGTAGTGGCACAATCACAGATCACTGTAGCCTTGGCCTCCTGGGCTCCAGAGATTCTCCTGCCTCAGCCTCCTCAGTAGCTGGGACTACAGGAGTATGCTACCATACCTGGCTAGTATTTTAGTTTTTTTGTTTCTTTCTTTGTAGAGATGGGGTTTCACCATGTTGCCCAGGCTGGTCTTGAACTCCTGGAGTCAAGCGATCCACCCGCCTCAGCCTCCCAAAGTGCTGCAAATACAGGTGTGAGCCACCACACCCAGCATAAAAATAGACTTCTAAGGGTTCATATTGCAAACCTGGAAAAACCACTAAAAAATTAAACAAAGACAGTGAGTATAGAATAGAAATAACAAACACTAAAACTAAACAATTATTTAAAAGAAGGTTAAAAAAACCCTAAATATGAAACTGAAAAATCAGTGAAAAATAGAAAATAAATTAAAAGGTGATATAACTAGACTCCATCAAGTTGATAACTGCATCAAGGGTAAAGGATCCAAAGAGTCCAATATAAGTCCAGAGACAGTCTGGCTAGATTATAAATCAAAAGCAAACTATGCACTATCTATGAAAGCCCTACTTTAATTATTAAAGACAAAGGTGGAGTAAAAGTAGAAGGACTGAAAAGGACATATTCCACAAATACTAATTATAAAAAAGCTGAAGTGGCTATATTAATAACATATTAGGTATATTTCAAAAGAAGTGATAATAACAGGGATAAAGAGGCATGTTTGAAAGTGATAAGAAAAGTTAATGCACCAAGACTATATAATAATCCTAAATTTGAATGAATCTAATAGCTAAATTCAAGATACATAGTGGAAAGACGGAAAGGAAAAAAAACCCCACAATCATGGTTGGAAATTCCAAAGATCTCCCTTAGTAACTGATGGAAAAAGTATACTAAAATTCAATAGGCATACAGAAGACCTGAACAACACTATAAAGGTATATACCCAAAGGATTATAAATCATGCTACTATAAAGACACATGCACACATATGTTTATTGCGGCACTATTCACAATGGCAAAGACTTGGAACCAACCAAAATGTCCATCAATGATAGACTGGATTAAGAAAATGTGGCACATATACACCATGGAATACTATGCAGCCATAAAAAATGATGAGTTCATGTCCTTTGTAGTGACATGGATGAAGCTGGAAACCATCATTCTGAGCAAACTATCCCAAGGACAGAAAACCAAACACCACATGTTCTCACTTATAGGTGGGAATTGAACAATGAGAAGACTTGGACACAGGGCGGGGAACATCACACACTGGGGCCTGTCGGGGGGTGGGGGCATAGGAGAGGGATAGCATTAGGGGAAATATCTAATGTAAATGATGAGTTAATGGGTGCAGCACACCAACATGGCACATGTATACATATGTAACAAACCTGCACGTTGTGCACATGTACCCTAGAACTTAAAGTATAATAAATAAATAAATAAAAAGAAAGAAAAATATTGACCCTACTGATAAACAGAATACTATATCCAATAATTGCTGATTATATTATTTTTCATGCAGATTAAAGATTTACCAAAATTGGCCAGATCATATGATATGGTGAATAATTTCAAGCCTCAATAATTTCAAGATATTGAAATTGTGGAAGACACATTTTCTGACAATAAGGGAATTAAATTAGAAATACATTACAGAAAGCTGTCAGAGATTGGGCAATAACTGGAAATTAAGAATCTTATGACTATAAACTGTTCAAAGAGGAAATAACAAGAATACTTAGAAAATATTTTGAAATTAATCAAAATTAAAACAATAAAATATAGCTAATGGAGTTCTTAGAGGGAAATTTATAGCTTTAAATGTTTATATTAGAAAAGAAATTACATTTCAAATCAATAATCTAAATTCTCGTCCTAGCAAGTTAGGAAAGAAATGCAAATTATAACTGAAAAAAATATGAATGAAGGAAAAATAAACATAAGGGCAGAAACAAATGAAACAGAAAAGAAACAACAGAGAAAATCTAATAAAAGATGTTTTGTTAAAAAAAATCAATGAAATTGATCCAGAAAATAGATGTGCATAATAAAAATCAAAAATGAAAAAGTGGCAAATAGATACAAGTGCCACAGATATTAAGATAATAAAGGAATGTTATGCATGCTGAATTATACTACATATAACATCCAAAATGAAATGGACAAATTCCTTGAAAGACAGAAACTACCAAATTGACTGAAGACAAAATAGAAAATCTTAATATCCCACATAAATTACAGAAATTGACATAGTAATTAAAAATATTCTCACAAAAAAGTCCATTCCTGATGGCTTCAGTGGTGAATATCAATCATTCTAAAAAGAAAAGGTCATGGATCAACTGAGAATACGGAAAAAGGAGAAAACAGTTTCCAGCAGATTTACCAAAGCCAGAATTACCCTCATCCCAAACCAGACAAAATTACCAAAAGAAAACAGAACTACAGATTAATATCCCATATAAATATAGATGTCTGCACTTGGTACATACTCTAAAACTGACCACACACTCAGACATAAAACAATTCTCAAAAAACTTGACACGTACCTGGCAACACGGTGAAACCCTGTCTCTACAAAAAATTAGCCACTCATGGTGGTGCTTGTCTGTGGTCCCAGATACTCAGGAGGCTGAGGTGGGAGGATAACTCGAGCCCGGGAGGTGGAAGTTGCAGTGAACTGAGATCATGCCACTGCACTGCAGCCTGGGCGACACAGTGAGACCTTGTCTCAATAATAATAAGTACAATCAGAAATGACGAGGCAGACATTGCCACCAATCCCAAATAAAACTCTCAGAGACTATTACAAACACCCCTAGGCACACAAACTGGAAAACCCAGAAGAAATGGATAAATTCCTGAAAATATACAACCTCCTAAGATTGAACCAGGAAGAAACTGAAACCCTGAAAAAAAAATATTGAGTTTCAAAATTAAATCATTAATAAAAAGCCTACCAACCAGAAAAAGCCCTGGGGAAGATGGATCCACAGGTGAATTCTACCAGACATACAAAGAAGAGCTGGTACCAATCCTACTGAAACTATTCCAAAAAATCAAGTAGGAGGGACTTTGACCCTAACTCATTCTATAAGGCTAATATAATTCTGACGCCAAAATCTGGCAGAGACACAACAACAAAACACTTCAGGAAAACATCCCTGATGAACATAGTTGCAAAAATCCTCAACAAAACACTAGCAAACCAAATCCAGCAGCACCTCAAAAAGCTAATCCACCACAATCAAGCTGGCTTTATTACTGAAATACAAGGTTGGTTCAACATATGCAACTTAATACATACGATTCATCACATAAACAGAACTAAAACCAAAAACCACATGATCACCTCATTAGACACAGAAAAGATTTTCAATAAAATTTATCCCTTCATCTTAAAAACCCTCAACAACTAGGCATTGAAGGAACACACTTCAAAATAAAAAGAGCCATCTATGATAAACCCACAGCCAGCATCATACTAATGGGAAAAAGCTGGAAACATTACCCTTGCAAACCAGAACAAGACAAGGACATCCATTTTCGCCACTCCTATTTGACACAGTAGTGGAAGCACTAGCCAGAGCAATCAGGCAAGAAAAAAAAAAAGGCATCTAACCAGGAAGAGAGGAAGTCAAACTATCTCTTTTCACAGACTATATGTTTTTATATCTAGAAAATCCTAGTCTCTGCCCTAAAGCTCCTAGATAAACAACTTCAACAAAGTTTCAGGATACAAATTCAATATAGAATAATCAGTAGCATTTCTGTTCACCAACAACATCCAAGCTGAGGGCCAAATCAAGAATGCAATCCAATCACAAAAACCATACACAAAAAATAAAATATTTTCGAATACAGCTAATCAGGAAGGTAAAAGATCTCTATAAGAATGATAAAACACACAGATGGAGCTAGAGGTCATTACTCTAAATGAATATAATGGAGGAACAGAAAACCAAATACCACATGTTCTCACGTACAAGTAGGAGCTAACATTGAGAACACATGGGCATTTTTTCATGTGTCTGTTGGCTGCATAAATGTCTTCTTTTGAGAAGTGTCTGTTCATATCCTTCACCCACTTTTTGATGGGGTTGTTTTTTTCTTGTAAATTTGTTTGAGTTCTTTGTAGATTCTGGATATTAGCCCTTTGTCAGATGAGTAGATTGCAGAAATTTTCTGTAGGTTGCCTGTTCACTCTGATGGTAGTTTCTTTTGCTGTGCAGAAGCTCTTTAGTTTAATTAGATCCCATTTGTCAATTTTGGCTTTTGTTGCCATTGCTTTTGGTGTTTTAGACATGAAGTCCTTGCCCATGCCTATGTCCTGAATGGTATTGCCTAGGTTTTCTTCTAGGGTTTTTATGGTTTTAGGTCTAACATGTAAGTCTTTAATCCATCTTGAATTAATTTTTGTATAAGGGGTAAGGAAGGGATCCAGTTTCAGCTTTCTACATATGGCTAGCCAGTTTTCCCAGCACCATTGGTTAAATAGGGAATCCTTTCCCCATTTCTTGTTTTTGTCAGGTTTGTCAAAGATCAGATGGCTGTAGATATGTGGTATTATTTCTGAGGGTTCTGTTCTGTTGCATTGGTCTATATTTCTGTTTTGGTACCAGCACCATGCTGTTTTGGTTACTGTAGCCTTGTAGCATAGTTTGAAGTCAGGTAGCGTGATGCTTCCAGCTTTGTTCTTTTGTTTTAGGATTGACTTGGCAATGTGGGCTCTTTTTGGTTCCATATGAACTTTAAAGTAGTTTTTTCCAATTCTGTGAAGAAAGTCATTGGTAGCTTGATGGGGATGGCATTGAATCTATAAATTACCTTGGGCAATATGGCCATTTTCACTATATTGATTCTTCCTATCCATGAGCATGGAATGTTCTTCCATTTGTTTGTGTCGTCTTTTATTTCGTTGACCAGTGGTTTGTAGTTCTCCTTGAAGAGGTCCTTCACGTCCCTTGTAAGTTGGATTCCTAGGTATTTTATTCTCTTTGAAGCAATTGTGAATAGGAGTTCACTCATGATTTGGCTCTCTGTTTGTTATTGGTGTAAAGAATGCTTGTGATTTTTGCACATTGATTTTGTATCCAGAGACTTTGCTAAAGTTGCTTATCAGCTTAAGGAGATTTTGGGCTGAGAAGATGGGGTTTTCTAGATATACAATCATGTCATCTGCAAACAGGGACAATTTGACTGCCTTTTTTCTTAATTGAATACCCTTTATTTCTTTCTCTACCTGATTGCCCTGGCCAGAACTTCCAACACTGTGTTGAATAGGAGTGGTGAGAGAGGGCATCCCTGTCTTGTGCCAGTTTTCAAAGGGAATGCTTCCAGTTTTTACCCATTCAGTATGATATTGGCTGTGGGTTTGTCATAAAAAGCTCTTATGATTTTCAGATACATCCCATCAATACCTAGTTCATTGAGAGGTTTTAGCATGAAGGGCTGTTGAATTTTGTCAAAGGCCTTTTCTGCATCTATTGAGATAATCATGTGGTTTTTGTCTTTGGTTCTATTTATACAATGGATTACATTTATTGATTTGCATATGTTGAACCAGTCTTGCATCCCAGGGATGAAGACCACTTGGTCATGGTGGATAAGCTTTCTGATATGCTGCTGGATTCGGTTTGCCAGTATTTTATTGAGGATTTTTGCATCGATGTTCATCAGGGATATTGGTCTAAAATTCTCTTTTTTTGTTGTGTCTCTGCCAGGCTTTGGTATCAGGATGATGTTGGCCTCATAAAATGAGTTAGGGAGGATTCCTTCTTTTTCTATTGATTGGAATAGTTTCAGAAGGAATGGTACCAGCTCCTCCTTGTACCTCTGGGTAGAATTTGGCTGTGAATCCATCTGGTCCTGGACTTTTTTTGTTGGTAAGCTATTAATTATTGCCTGAATTTCAGAGCCTGTTATTGGTCTATTCAGAGATTCAATTTCTTCCTGGTTTAGTCTTGGGAGGGTGTATGTGTCGAGAAATTTATCCATTTCTTCTAGATTTTCTAGTTTATTTGCATACAGTTGTTTATAGTATCCTCTGATGGCAGTTTGTATTTCTGTGGGATTGGTGGTGATATCCCCTTTTATCATTTTTTATTGCGTCTATTGGATTCTTCTCTTTTCTTCTTTGTTAGTCTTGCTAGCGGTCTATGAATTTTGTTGACTGTTTCAAAAAACCAGCTCCTGGATTCATTGATTTTTTGAAGGGTTTTTTGTGTCTCTATTTCCTTCAGTTCTGCTCTGATCTTAGTTATTTCTTGCCTTCTGCTAGCTTTTGAATGTGTTTGCTCTTGCTTCTCTAGTTCTTTTAATTGCGATGTTAGGGTGTCAATTTTAGATCTTTCCTGCTTTCTCTTGTGGGCATTTAGTGCTATAAATTTCCCTCTACACACTGCTTTGAATATGTCCCAGAGATTCTGGTATGTTTTGTCTTTGTTCTCGTTAATTTCAAAGAACAACTTTATTTCTGCCTTCATTTCGTTATGTACCCAGTAGTCATTCAGGAGCAGGTTGTTCAGTTTCCATGTAGTTGAGCGGTTTTGAGTGAGTTTCTTAATCCTGAGCTCTAGTTTGATTGCACTGTGGTCTGAGAGACAGTTTGTTATAATTTCTGTTCTTTTACATTTGCTGAGGAGTGCTTTACTTCCAACTATGTGGTCAATTTTGGAATAAGTGCAATGTGATGCTGAGAAGAATGCATATTCTGTTGATTTGGGGTGGAGAGTTCTGTATATGTCTATTAGGTTCACTTGGTGCAGAGCTGAGTTCAAGTCCTGGATATCCTTGTTAGCTTTCTGACTCGTTGATCTGTCTAATGTTGACAGTGGGGGGTTAAAGTCTCCCATTATTATTGCGTGGGAGTCTAAGTCTCTTTGTAGGTCTCTGAGGACTTGCTTTATGAATCTGGGTGCTCCTGTATTGGGTGCATATATATTTAGGATAGCTCTTCTTGTTGAATTGATCCCTTCAGAAAAAATGCTCATCATCACTGGCCATCAGAGAAATTCAATCAAAACCACAATGAGATGCCATCTCATACCAGTTAGAATGGTGATCATTAAAAAGTCAGGAAACAACAGGTGCTGGAGAGGATATGGAGAAATAGGAACACTTTTACACTGTTGCTGGGACTGTAAACTTGTTCAACCACTGTGGAAGACAGTGTGGCAATTCCTCAGGGATCTAGAACTAGGAATACCATTTGACCCAGCCATCACATTACTGAGTATATACCCAAAGGATTATAAATCATGCTGCTATAAAGACACATGCACATGTATGTTTTTTGCATCACTATTCACAATAGCAAAGACTTGGAACCAACCGAAATGTCCAACAATGATAGACTGGATTGAGAAAATATGGCACATATACACCATGGAATACTATGCAGCAATAAAAAATGATGAGTTCATGTCCTTTGTAGGTACACAGATGAAGCTGGAAACCATCATTCTCAGCAAACTATCGCAAGGACAGAAAACCAAACACCGCATGTTCTCACTCATAGATGGGAATTGAACAATAAGAACACTTGGACACAGGAAGGGGAACATCACACACCGGGGCTGGTTGTGGGGTGGGGGGAGGGGCAAGGGATAGCATTAGGAGATATACCTAATGTAAATGATGAGTTAATGGGTGCAGCACACCAACCTGGCACATGTATACATATTTAACAAACCTGCACATTGTGCACGTGTGCCCTAGAACTTAAAGTATAATAAATATATATATATAAAATAAAGTAAATAAATAAATAATAAATATATACATAAAAAAAGAGAACACATGGACACAAAGAAAGGAATAACAGGCCAGGCATGGTGGCTCATGCCTGTAATTGCAGCATTTTGGGAGTCCGAGGTAGGAAGACTGCCTGACCCAAGAGTTCATTCGTTCAGGACCAGCCCGATCAACATAGCAGTACCCCATCTCCACAAAAAATTTAAAAAATCAGCAGGGCATGGTGGAATGTGTCTGTCCCAGCTACTGTGGAGGCTGAGGCAGGAGGAGTGCTTGAACCCAGGAGGTTGAGGCTACAGTAAGCCGTGTTCATGCAACTGCACTCCAGCCTGGCATCAGACCAAGACTTTGTCACATACACAAAAAAGAAGGGAATAATAGAAAGAAGGACTTACTTGAGGGTAAAAGACTGGAGGAGAGTGAAGATTGAAAAACTATCTGTTGGATACTATGCTTATTACCTGGGTGACAAAATAATCTGTACACCAAACCCCCATTACATACAATTTACCCATGTAAGAAAACTGTATATGTACCCTTGGAACCTAAAATGTAAGTTGGAAAAACAAATAAATAAATAAATAAATACAGATGATGTTCAACTGTCATGGGGGGACACTGCAGAGATAATGAAGTAATCAGTTGCTTCTTGCCACTCTGCTGCCAAAGTGTCCACATACAATCCTTGTCAGCTGTATGGAAAGTAAACCCAATGGTTGACAGGTCTTCCCAGATGTGAATAAAACAAAAATGAATCTTCTTTCAGAAATGTAATATTTAATAGCTTTGAGGTAGAACTAAGAATGGAAAAAGCTACAATCAAGTTTACTGCCATCTTATGCAGTAAAATGACACTAAAACTCCAAAATAGATTCTAACCGGTCTCTCCCTGTATGAAAAAAATACGAAGATCTTCTACATTTGCAATACAGAAAAGGAGCCTGGGTAACATAGTGAGATCTTCTCTCTTCTAAAATTAAAAAAAAAATTAGTCTGGCTTAGTGGCACATGCCTGCAGTCCCAGCTACTTGGGGGGCTGAGGTGGGAGCATCGCTTGACTCCAGGAATTCAAGGCTGTAGTGAGTCCTGCTCATGCCATAGCACACCAGCCTGGGCAACAGAGCAAGACCCTGTCCCAAATAAATAAATAAAAATAAAATAAAATACAGAAGAAGTCCAAGTGTGGTGGCTCATGCCTGTAATCCCAGCACTTGGGGAGGCCAAGGCAGGAGGATCACTTGAGCCCAGAAAGTTGAAGCTACAGTGAGCCATGATTGTGCCACTGCACTCTAGCCTGGGCCACAGAGTGAGACCCTGTCTCTAAAAAATAAGAAGAGAAAAAATACACATGAGGAGAGTGTGATTGTTTATAAGATGTTAGCAGTGGTATTCAGTGACTGTAGAGTTTACTTATTTACTGTAAGAGACTTGTATAGCAATATACTCAAATTATTTTCCTGAGGGACTAAGGAAACTCTATCCTAAAGCCAACAGAATGTGTGATGGCTTAAATTTTCATAAATATTTTTTCATCTTAATATGATTCTCATCTGTCCATACAACAATTTCTTAACAATTTAATGAGAGCAAAACCGCAGTAGAAGAATGTCTCTAGTTCTTATTTTCAGATTAAATATAAGAAATTGCAGAAGCTATGGGAGTAAATTTGACACTATGATAGGTCTCTAGATTCCTTAAACAGCCATGTAAAATACAATGTATGAAGCAAAAGGAATTATAAATTATTTTTCAGAGTTTTTTATTGGAAGATATATGCAATTTAACACCCAAAGGTCTTCACTTTCCAGGTCATATTATTAAATATCAGCCTTCTGTAAGGGAACTTTGCTGTCACACCAGTTAACAGAACAATGCCCCAGCCTGTTCAGTTTTCCAAAAGGATCATGTAGGTCTCCTAAAACTATAATTCTATACTGAGACTTCAGACACTTTTCCTTTTAAAGCCATAATTCTAAAATTTAAACTGGGAGTATAGTGGGTGATTAGGGTCTAAACCACGGTTCTAATCCTGTTTTCTTATTATATGAGTTTTAAAATATTAAAATCTATACCTTCCTTATCTGAATACTACTCATTTTTCATCCATGAAGAAATTTAACCAGACACTCTATCAGACTAAAAGAGAAATGGACAATTCTTATGTTCCTGAGCGTTAACAGCCGGTCTGCCTTTCTTAAAATCCTCTCCCACTTTAATTTCAATGAGGCACATGCTAAGGTTCCTGCCAGGTCAAGTGCAAAGTAAATTCCTCAATTTGTTTGTTTTATTTTATTTTATTTTATTTTATTTTAATTAATTAATTAATTTATGAGACAGAGTCTCACTCTGTTGCACAGGCAGGAGTGCGGTGGCACGATCTCGGCTCACTGCAAGCTCTGTCTCCTGGGTTCACGTCATTCTCCTGCCTCAGCCTCCTGAGTAGCTGGGACTACAGTCACCCGCCACCATGTCCAGCTAATTTTTTGTATTTTTTTGGTAGAGACGGGGTTCCACTGTGTTAGCCAGGATGGTCTTGATCTCCTGACCTCGTGATCCATCTGCCCCGGCCTCCCAAAGTGCTGGGTATTTTTTTTGGTTTTAAGGAGCAGAAAGTTTAATAGACAAGAAAGAAAAGAGAAAAAAGAAGAAGCTCCCCTGTACAGAGACAGAGGGAGGGGGGTTCCAAAGCCAAGAGAGGAGACCCCAATTCCTCACTTAAAAAAATATCATTTAAGGAACATTCATGTTCTAACTGCTTCATGGTAACTTTCAAGAAACTATTGTAAATACCAAAACAAATGCAAAGAAATCCTAATAAATAATTCATAGAAGCTGTGAAATGCCATATTGAGAGTCAGAATTTGGTTGTTGTGCTAAGGGCATTTTTCCTCTTTAAAAAGAAAAGTTTCTCATACAATAGGTTTCATTATAAGAACATATTGATTGAAACTAGTTTCATTGCCACTAATGTTCTGCTTAATTTTAAAGATAACATAATATCGAACAGAATAATGTGTTCTATTAATAACATTTTATTGAAAAGAATAGGCTGATTTATTGCATTTGTTTGTCCAAATAAGTACACAGATCATATGCTATAAATCTTCTTGAGTCTAACAGAAGGCTGAGATTCAACTTGATAAAAATAAAAAGTTATCATAAAACATAATGAAAAATCCAATTTGAAATTAAACAGTGCACTGCCCAGCTTCATGCTTTGTTTAGGGTCTGAAGCTTGTAATGAAGATGAAAGAGCAGCTCTAGTATAGTTAAAATGGCTATTGTGAGTCTTCATTTGGGGAGTCCTATACAAATAATTAAAATCTGTTAGGGCAAGTCTGGTCATTTAGCTTCTCAGGCAATTCACTCTAATCTCATTAAAGGTACACTTTAAAATGAGGCAGCTTATTTTTTATTTCAAAATACTTTAAAAGTTGAATTTTTATTCTGTGGGGGTAAGAAGGGCAGAAATTAACACAAGACTTGTGTTCACAGACTAAAGTACTTTTCCCTGAAGCTTTAGTTTTGAATGAGCCAACTCAGTCATTCCTACGTGCGTATGTGCAAACAGGAACATGGACATACACAAACTATTTCGAGCAGATGATATCTGAAAGGATGCCATCAGGCCATTCCTTTAAAAGGTGATCCATACACCTTCTGGAAAGCAATGTTTGCATTTCACAGCCAAGAGACAGGATTAAATTCTATTACATATTTGCCACTGATTCTACATAAAATTGATCATTTATCTGTAGCTGATTTCCTTTACAAAGGAAGCTGGTACAGTTCTCTTACATACTGTTTACCATTCTGAAAAATTCCTGTTCGTCTAAATTTATATACAGTATTCTGAATATTAGGAAATCTAACATGCGCTGTAAACTTTCAAGTTAATTTTGCATGAGAGAAGTTATTTAACTATTTTTAAGAAATACTTACGTTTCGGCTGGGCGTGGTGGCTCACGCCTGTAATCCCAGCATTTTGGGAGGCCAACATGGGTGGATAACCTGAGGTCAAGAGTTCAAGACCAGCCTGGCCAACATAGTGAAACCCTGTCTCTACTAAAAATACAAAAATTAGCCAGGCGTGGTGGCATGTGCCTGTAATCTCAGCTACTTGGGAGGCTAAGGCAGGAGGATCGCTCAACGCGGGAGGCAGACATTGCAGTGAGTCGAGATAGCACCATTGCACTCCAGCCTGGGCAACAGGGTGAGACTCTGTCTCCAAAAAAAGAAAAAAAAAAGAAATACCTATGTTTCACCTGCTAGCTGTGTCCAGCAGCCTTAATCACCCCACCCCACCTGTGCAGAGATCTTCGTGCAAAAGGGCCCTCTGCTCCGTGCTGAGGCAGATCTCCACGCATTTGGAGCATCACTCACCTGGACCAGTAGACTGGCCCCCATCCCCCACCCTTCCTGTGTGAACATCCTGGTACAGGAAGACCCTCTCTCCTTCATGCCCAGGCAAATCATCAGACATTTGTTGTACCCACTCATCTGTTTCAGCAGCCTGAGCCACCTTACCTTTCCTGGACAT
Source organism: Homo sapiens (assembly GCF_000001405.40). Lineage (NCBI taxonomy): Eukaryota > Metazoa > Chordata > Mammalia > Primates > Hominidae > Homo > Homo sapiens. The sequence continues at coordinate 37,019,829 of NC_000018.10, read as the reverse complement.
AGGTCATGGTATAGCGAAACCCTCTACACTCCATGCCCAGGCAGATCTCCAGGCATTCAAAGAAACTGCTTGCCTCTTCCAGCAGTCTGAGACACTCCACACCTCCTATGCAGAGATCTTGGTGCATGGGGCCTTCTCTGTTCCACGCCCAGGTGGATAGTCAAGACATCTGGAACACCCACTTGGATTAAGAGTGTAAGTTGCTGCCCATCCCCATGCAGAGAACTTGGAGCCAAGGAGGTTTCACAGTTCAATGCCTAGGCACATCTCTGAGCACATGGTGGCCATCCCCGTAGGCACTGGTGCTTGTGCCTGCCATCAGGGGATCTGTAGGTGTACCTGCCTGGTCCAGATCTGTTGTTCCTGGTTCTTGCCTCCCGGCACCGTGAGGTTGATCAGGGAGCTCACACCACTGTGCATTCCATGAACCAGCTCATTGCCTAAGGCAACAGAGAACTTCTGCCAGTAAACAAGGATCAAGTATACACCCAGTCATATTGGCTGCAGCAAGCTCTGACCTATAAGTGCCATCTATGGGCTCGTAGGATGAACTGCACAGCCAAATATAAAACCTGCCAAAAGAAGTGCACAGGGCTACTGAAGCAAAGCCAAAAGCCAAAAGACCCTACTCAGCATTCTCCACAGTCACACTCGGAGGGGGGTGGGGAGGAGGGGGCAGGAAAAGGTAAAGAAAAAAATAAAACAACAACAATAACACCATAGGAAAAAAGAAAATATCCTGCCTGCACAAAAATAATTACAAAAAATTAGAAGTGCCAGCATCATCAGATGAGAAGGAATCAGAGCATGAATTCTGGCACTATGAAAAATTTGAATGTAATGATACCACAAAAGTACTGAACTAACTCTCCAGCAATGGTCTGTAACCAAAACAGAAACTTAGAAATGGCAGATAAAGAATCCAAAGCATGGCTTGCAAGGAAGGTCGATGAGATTCAAGACAAGGTTAAAAATGAAAACAAAGAAACTTCTAGAGCAATCTAGGAAATGAAAAAAGACATAAAAATCATTAAAAAAAAAATCATTCAGTGCCTCTGGAATTGAAAAACTCACTTAAGGAATTTCAAAATACAAATGAAAGCTTTATCAATAGACTGGACTAAGCAGAAGAAACTGTTTCAGAGATTGAGGACTGATCTTTCTAACTAACCCAGTCTGGCAAAAGTCTGTGAGAACCTTGGGATTATGTAAAGAAACCAAACCTTCCAATTATTAGCATTCCTGAGATAGGATAAAAAGGAAACAATCTGGAAAATATACTTGAGGAAACAGTTCAAAAAAACTTCTTTAATTATGCCAGAAAGGTAGACATGCAGACAAGAAATCCAGAGATCACCTGGAAGATACTATACTAAATAATCACCAAGGTATATAATAGTCAGAAGGTTCAAGGTCAATGCTAAATGAAAAAAATCTTAAAGGCAGCTAGAGAAAAAGAATGAATCACAAAAAAAGGGAACCTCATCAGGCTAACAGTGGGCTTCTTTGCAGAAACCTTACAGGCCAGGAGAGATTGGGAGCCTATTTTCAGCATTCTTAAGGAAAGAAAAAAATTCCAGGGAAGAATATGACATCCCACCAAACTTCAGTTTGTGCGGTAAAGGAGAAATAAAATCTTTTCCAGACAAGCAAGCACTAAGGAAATTCATTACCACTAGACCAGCCTTCCAAGAGAGCCTTACGGGAGTTCTAAGTATGGAAACAAAAAATGATACCTGTGACCACAAAAACACACCTAAGTACATAACCCACGAGACTATAAACCAAAAACACAATAGAAAGTACAAGGCAACCAGCTGAACAACTTCAAGATAGGATCAAAACCTCATATATCAATATTAACCTTGAATATAAATGGTCTAAATGACCCACTTAAAAGGCACAGAGTGACAAAGTTGGAGAAAAATACAAGACCTATACATCTACTGTCTTCAAGAGATCCATCTCACACATAATGATACTGATAGGATCAAAGTAAAGGATTGGAGAAAGATGTACCGCATAAATAGAAAACAAAAAAAGAGAAGGGGTCACTATTCTAATACCTGACAAAACAGAGTTTAAACTAATAATCCTAAAAAAGGACAGAAAGGCATTCTATAACAATAAAGGGTTCAATTAGATAAATCTTAACTATCCTAAGTATAGATATACACAACATTGGAGCACCCAGATTCACAAAAACAAGTACTTCTAAACCTATGAAAAAACTTAAACAGTCACACAATAGTATTGGAGGACTTCAACACCCTAGTGACGGCATAAGACAGATCACTGAGGCAGAAAACTAACAAAGAAATTCTGGACTTAAACTTCACACCTGAACAATTGGATGTAATAAAAATCTATAGAGTACATGACCCATCAACCACAGAATATACATTCTTCTCATCTGCATACAGAACATACTAAAAGATTGACTACATTCTTAACAGTAAAGCAAGTCTCAATAAATTAAAAAAATTGAAATCGTATCAACCATACTTTCAGACCACTGTGGAATGAAAATAGAAATTATTATAATATCAGAAGACCTCTGAAAACCACACAATTACATAGAAATTAAACAACTTGCTCCTGAAGGACTTTTGGGTAAATGACAAAATCAAGGCAGAAATAAAAAAATTCTTTGAAATAAATGAAAAAGGAGACATACCAAAACATCTGAGATACAGCAAAAGCCATGTTAAGAGAAAAGTTTAAAGTCGTAAATGACCTCAAAAAGTTAGGAAGATCTCAAATTAATGATCTAACATCACACCTAGAGGAACTAGAGAAACAAGAGCAAACTAATCCCTAACTGGCAGAAGAAAAGAAGTAACTAAAATCAGAGTGGAACTGAATGAAATTGAGGCCCAAAAATCCATACAAAGAATTGATGAAACCAAACATTGGTTATTTGAAAGGATAAACAAGATTGGTAGAATGTTAGCTAGATTAATAAAGAAAAGAAGAGAGAAGATCCAAGTAAGTACAAACAGAACCAACAAAGGTGACATCACAACCAATACCACAGAAATACAAAAGATCCTCAGACACTACTGTGAACACTTCTTCTCACATAAACTAGAAAATCTAGAGGAAATGGAGAAATTCCTGGAAACACACAATCTCCCAAAATTGAATCAGGAAGAAACTGAAACACTGAACAGAACAATATTGAGTTTTGAAATTGAATCAGTAATAAAAAGCCTACAAACAAACAAACAAAAAGCCCCAGACCAGATGGATTCACAGTTGATTTCTACCAGACATATAAAGAAGAGCTGGTACCAATTCTACTGAAACTGTTTTTACTAAAAATCAAGGAGGAGGGACTTTACAAAGCCAATATCATCCTGATACCAGAATCTGATACAGATACAATGAAAAATAAAAACTACGGGCCAATGTCTCTGATGAAGACAGACATAAAAATCCTGAACAAAATCATAACAAAAGTTAATTCACTATGATCAAGTAGGCTTTGTTCCTGGGATGCAAGGTTGGTTCAACAAATACAATTTAATAACTATGATTTACCACATAAACAGAATTAAAAACAAAAACCATATGATCATCTCGATAGATGCAAAATAGCTTTCAATAAAATCCAACATCACTCCATGATAAAACCCTAAAGTAACTAGGCATTAAAGGAACATTCCTCAAAATAATAAGAGCTATCTAAGACAAAGCTACAACTATCACCATGCTAAACAGGCAAAAACCGGAAGCATTCCCCTTGATAACTGAAACAAAACAAGGATACTCACTCTTACCACTCTTACTCAACATAGTACTGGAAGTGCTAGCCACAGCAATCAGGCAAGAGAAAGAAATAGAAGGCAATCAAATAGGAAAAGAAGTCAAACTCTCTCTCCTCATGGACCATATGATTCTATATCCAGGAAACCCTAAAGACTCCATCAAAAGGCTCCTGGAACTGATAAATGACTTCAGCAAAGTTTTAGGATACAAAATAAGTTTAGAAAAATGAGTAGCATTTCTATACACCAACAATGTTCAAGCTGAGTGCTAAAACAAGAATACAATCACATTTACAATAGCCTCATACACACAAAAAGATACCTAGGAATACATCTAGCCAAGAGGTGAAAAATTTCTACAAGGAGAACTACAAAACACTGCAGAAAGAAATCACAAGTGACACAAACAAATGAAAAAACATTCCATGCTCATGGATTAGAAGAATCAATATAGTTAAAATGGCCATACTGCCCAAAGCAATCTACAGATAGACAGTATTTGTACCAAACTAGTCATGTCATTTTTCACATAATTGGAAAAAAAACTACTCTAAAATCATATGAAACCAAAAAAAGAGCTTGAATAGCCAAAGCAATCCTAAAGAAAAAGAACAAAGTTGGATGCATTACACTACCTGACTTCAAACTATACTACAAGGATATAGTAACCAAAACAGCACGGTACTGGTACAAAAACAGACACGTAGACCAATGGAACAGAATAGAAAACCCAGAAATAAGTCCACACAACAAGAGCCATCTGATCTTTGACAAACTGACAAAAACAAGCAATGGGAAAGACTCCTTGTTCAATTAATGGTGCTGGGATAAGTGACTAGCCATATGGAGAAGAACAAAACTAGATCCCTACCTTTCACAGTATACAAAAATTAACTCTTGGGAGGCTGAGGTGGGTGGATCACGAGGTCAGGAGATTGACACCATCCTGGCCAACATGGTGAAACCCCGACTCTACTAAAAATACTAAAATTAGCTGGGCATGGCAGTGCGTGCCTGTAATCCCTGCTACTCAGGAGGCTGAGGCAGGAGAATCACTTGAACCCGGGAGGCAGAAGTTGCAGTGAGCCGAGATCGTGCCACTGCACTCCAGCCTGGCGACAGAGCTAGACTCTGTCTAAAAAAATAAAATAAAATAAAATATAAACTCAAGATGGATATTTAAATGTAAGACCTCAAACTGTAAGAATCTGATATGGTTTGGATCTGAATTTGATACGGTTTGGGTGTCTCCACCCAAATCTCACATTGAATTGTAATTCCCAGTGTTGGAGGTGGGAGGTGACTGTATTATGGGGATGGATTTCCCCCTTGGTACTGTCCCAAGTTCTCATGAGATTTGGTTGTCTAAAAGTGTGTAGCACCTCCCTTGACCCCTCTCTTCCTCCTGCTCTGGCCATTTAAGATGTGCCTGCTTCCCATTCATCTTCTGCCATGATTGTAAGTTTCCTGAGGCCTCCTCAGAAGCAGGTCCTGCCATGCTTCCTGTACAGCCTGAGGAACTGCAAGCCAACTAAAACTCTTCTTTATAAATTACCCAGTCTCAGGTATTTCTCTACAGCAATGCGAGAACAAACTAATACAGAATCCTAGAAGAAAACCTCAGAAACATCATTTGGGACATGGGCCTTGGGAAAGCATTTATAACTAGGTTCTCAGAAGCAATTTCAACAAAAACAAAAATCAAAAGTTGGATCCAATTAAACTAAAGAACGTCTGCAGAGCAAAAATAATTATCAAAAGAAAGCAGACAATCTACAGAATGGAAGAAAATATTTGCATGCAATGCAACCAACAGAGGTCTAATATCCATAATTTGTAAGGAATTTAATTCAACAAGCAAAAACCAAATGCCATCATAAAAAATGGGCAAAAGACATGAATGGACACTTCTCAAAAGAAGACACACAAGTGGCCAACAAACATAAAAAATTCACATCATCACTAATCATCAGAGAAATGAAAATCAAAACCACAATGAGATACCATCTTACACCAGTCAGAATGACTATTAGTAAAAATGTAAACAAAAAAACAGATGCTGGCGAGGATGCGGAGAAAAGGACTGTTCATACACTGTTGCTGTGAATGTAAATTAGCTCAGCCACTGTAGAAAGCAGTCTGGAGATTTCTCAAGAAACTTAAAACAGAACTGCCATTCAACCAACCAATCCCATTACTGGGTATGTATGCAAAAGAAAATAAATCATTCTACCAAAAAGGCACATGTACTTGCATGTTCATCACAGAGCTATTCATAATAGCAAAGACATGGAATCAACCTAGATGCCTATCAATAGTGAATTAGATAAAGAAAATGTGGTACACGTATACCATGGGATACCTCACAGCCATAAAAAGAATGGAATCATGTCCTTTGCAGAAACATGAATGCAGTTGGAGGCCATTTTCCTAAGTGAATTAATGCAGGAACAGAAAACCAAATACTACATGTTCTCATTTATAAGTGGGAGCTAAATATAAGGCACTCATGGATATGAAGATGGCAACAATAGACACTGGGGAGTACTGTGGGGAGTGAGGGGGATGGGCAAAGTATGAAAAACTGTTAAGTACCATTCTTAGTATCTGGGTGACAGGATCGTTTGTACCCCAAACCTCAGCATCATTTAATATATCCAGATAACAAACTTGCACATGTACCCCATAAAAATAAAAGTTGAAAACAAAAAGCTCTATGTTCTATGTTGATTACCATTTTATATATGAGGAAGTCTATAGATTATTTAATTTTTCAAAGGTCATATAAGTAGTAAATTGTGGCACTAAATATTATACTTAGGTGATCTAACTCCCTAGTTGAGCTCTTGTTCCTAATTCCAAATACTAGTGCCTTGCTACCCTATCCTGTCTCTGAAAGTCCACAGGACTGACCATCCAGGTGCTATTTTAATATGATGAAACTATAATTTATTAACTAACACCAAAATGGCCTTAAGATGTTAATGAAATTTCTAAATATATGTGATTGCCACCCAGGGAGTTACTAACGTCAGCAGAAATAAACAATATAGAGAATTACCTCCCTATTATTTTTACCCCATTTCTTATAATGTTATGAGCCTTTGATATTCCACTGAGTATAAACCCCCATGCTGTCCCAAAAAGGGACATAAACTTTTCAATTCTGAAACAATAAAATAAAATTTTCAGGGAAATTAAAAGAAAGAAATAGCTATGCTTTTAGCCAAATTTAAAATCAGTATTACAAAAACTGCAATATAGATTATTAGCTTTGCTATAGGATACATTTAAGAGTCCAATGTTAAAATAACCAGAATTTATTAAACTACACTCCAGAGTGCAATTAGTCTCTAGCTTACAGAACACCCACAGCCTGGTTAAATCATTCATCTACTGTGTAAGATACCATAATTTGTTTAAACAGTCACTTATTAATGCAAAGTTAGATACTGTGTTGACTACTGAGGCTTGGTTCACTCTACTTCCCTCCATATAATTATAAAATTTGGGAATCTATAAATCATATATTCCACACTCCCTTGCAGCCAGAGCTCTGTGGAAGTCAATTAGGTTCTGCCTATTTCACATAATTTTGGAGGTTTCCTTTTTGTTACCACTGGCAAGCACAATGGTGAAAACATAAAAATTCTTCCCAGCAATGACATCCCAGGGAATACATTTTAGTTTTCTGGGTAAGAAGAAGCAGTTGTGGAAGCAGCAGAAACACCAATGACTTGTTGGTCGATCTGGCCTCTAAATGCCTAGATTTCATGGATGGGAGTCTATTCTCTAGTTTCCTGGGTGTTCAGAAACAGTTGTGAAAGTGGCAAATAGATTGCTTCTGATTCCAACACAGCTCCAGTGTTGGTCTCAGAGAATTACTGTCTTAGTATATTAGTTCTATATTGTTCTGAAGTCACTACTGGAAGTCTAACCTAGAACCCGCTTCTTCGTTCCTTTCAAAGATTTAATATACTTATTTTCAAGTATTACATTCCTTCCTGTCAAAATACCTACAAAGGTAGTTTCTATTTCCCATCCTGAATCCTGACTGACAATCTTTTGATATTACTAAAAATGCGGCCTTTTTTTTTCTTTTTCTAAATTCAGGTACAATTTATACACAGTAATATTCATCTTTCTTACTGTATAATTTTTCAAGTTTTGATAAATACAGCTGGGTAATCATCACAAAAATTAAGGTAATTCCATCACACTAAAAATTACCCATGCTCCTGTGTAATCAACCTCTCCTCCAACTTCAGCCCATTGATTTATGTCTCTGTAGTTTTCCTTTTCTGGGATGTCATAAAAATGTATTCATACAGTATATAACCTTTTGAGTTTGGCTTCTTTCACTTAGCATTTGAGATTCATGTATGTATACTGTGCGTGCCAAGTTATTTCCCTTTATTGCTGTGTAGGATCATTTAAATTATTTCCTTTTTTTAGTGAATATCAATAAAGCCACTATAAAGACTCACATACCAGCTTTCATGTGCAGGTACATTTTCATTTCATTTGGGTAAATACCTACAAGTTAATTCAGGTGAAAAGTAGACTTGGATTAGGATGAGAGCAGTGAAGTTGGTAAGAAATGGTAGGACTTGGGATTTATTTACAATGAAGAGTGCACTGGATTTGGTGATGGATTGGATCTGGAGTGCGAGAATAGAGAGAAGTCAATTATGACTCCAAAGCCTTTTTTTCCTTAAGAAATAAAAAGAATGGGAATGCCATTTACTGAGGTGGATAGGTAATGTAGTGGCAGGTTAGGGAGGAAAATCAAGAGTTCAATTATAGCTATGCTAAGTTTGAGATATTAGTGGACAGATCACATATGCACTGTTTCCTTAATTAGACTGAAACCCTTTAGGGCAGAATCTATATCTTTTACTAACATACGGTTTCCTATAATAGCAAGGGAAAAGATTAGAAGATTTAGGGGTGTTTTTCAGCCCCTAAATTTCTGCAGTGAGAGCTAGGCTGTCACAGTTGTAAACTTACAAGTGCACTAAGCTTCTTGTATCTCACAAATGGCTACTTGTAGCATAGCTATAATTTAAGTGAATATGGTACTGCATGCATATAACCAAAAAATTTTACCACTTTCTTGAGAGCATGAAGCAATTTCATGGTTAGAAAATTTTTCTATGTTGAATATTTCATTTTTTTTGTTTCTGTCAATTATTGCTATATACACCTCTATCCTCTTAAATCAGACAAACAGCTTTAATTCCCTAAGTCACAGTGTGGTATAATCTCAAATGACAGTATCATTTTAATCAGGTTCCAAGGTTAGACATAATGTTTAGCTTTGATGTTGCCTCAGTAATCAGAAAGGATCTCAAAGAGCCCAACCAACACATTAACTCTTATTCTTCCACAGTACAGACAATGCTTATCTCCATCACCTTCCCTTTAGTGGATCTGCAGTGAAGACTAAAGCACTTTGTTAAGTCCTTATGTGATCCAAGCTAAGCAGAGTGACCAAATTCTGGCACCAGAATGAATACATTTAATAGCAACAGAAAATTGCCTCATTAAAGAGATCCACAAAATGGTATCAATTCCTTTTAGGATATCTTTTTTTTTTTTTTTTTTTTTTTTTTTTTAGATGGTGTCTCACTCTGTTGCACAGGCTGGAGTGCAGTGTCACAATCTCGGCTCACTGCAATCTCCACCTCCTGGGTTCAAGTGATTCTCCTGCCTCAGCCTCCCGAGTAGCTGGGACTACAGGTGCCTGCCACCATACCCAGGTAATCTTTGCATTTTTAGTAGAGATGGGGTTTCACCATATTGGCCACAATCGTCTCGAACTTCTGACCTTGTGATCCGCCCGCCTCGGCCTCCCAAAGTGCTGGGATTACAGGGGTGAGCCATTGTGCCCAGCCTTAAGATATCTTTATTCTCTAAGCAAGAGGCAAATTTATTACTGTAGCCCAGCAATTCTGATATTTTGCAAGATGTTATGCTCTTCTACTCAGCAAGTATATTTTCCATGATACGCTTTGCTCAGCTATATCATGGTAAGCTTTTCCTTAGTGTTTCTAATGCCTAAGGCCTTTTCATAACAATTTCTATTTCAGCTGCCTAATTTTTATGACTAACATTTTCTGAATAAATACTCTCAGATAATTACGAACTATGTATGGGAAGAGAAACTCATTGGCTTAAACAAATTAGGTACAGGTATTTTCTTTTCCTTGTAATGAAGTCTCTGGAAGTACAAAATCTGGGGCTATTTCAGCAGCCTTACAATGCCATCAGGGACTTCAGTTTCTTTTATCTTTTGGCTCAGACACAGACTATCCATCTTATATCCATAAAATCGTTGCTCAATCTCCAACATTAGAACAACATTCCACAAAACAGAGGCTTTCAAATTGACCTGTTGATATTTGGACCAGATAATTCTTTGTTCTGTGGATGGTCTTGCACACTGTAGGATGTTTAGTGATATCCCTGGCCTCAACTTGCTTGGTGACAATAGTAACCCCCAGTTTAACCACCAAAAACATCTCCAGATATTGCCAAATTTCTCCTGGGGGTCAAAATCACCCCTAGTTGAGACAGCTGCTGGAGAAAAAAAGAGAATGGACAAAAGACAAAAAGAGGAATAACAGTAGTGCCTGCTATATCCACTCCCTCTCCCTGGCCCTCTATCCTCTTAAGGCGATTTCCTAGAAGCTCTATGGAAAAACTTCTTACATCTCACTAGCCAGAACTGTACCTCAGTGCCACCCCATCTGCAAAGAAGGTTGAGCAATGTAGGTTTTAACTAGGGACACTGTTATTCCCAGTAACAGTGGCATTAAGAAAGAAAGATAGTAAAAAAATGGATAATAGGTAAGAAAATGGCAGTCTCTGTCACAGAAAGTGTTTCAGTACCTTATTTTCAAGACAATCTCCTACTCTTTAAATTGACATTCTTGACTATATACTTGCAGATGCTCCTAAGATTTTTAAAAGAAGGTGTGTCCTCATTTGTGTCTTATGAAGAACTTTTCAAGAGGACACTTTGCAGAAGTTGCCTTTTCCTTTGAGAACTGTTTATACTTTCCTAGTTCTGTTTATGTAATCTTTTTCCTCTCCTTCTAGGACTCCAATGACATAAAAGTTAGACCTCTGATATTATACCAAAGGTCCTTAAGGCTCTTGTGTAACTTTTTTTTCCTCTCTTTTTCCCCTTCTTAAGACTGTATCCAGTTTTAAGTTTCTATTGACCTATCTTCAAATTTACTGACTCTTTCCTTTGTTACTCCATTCTGCCAATTAAACCACCACTGAATTTTTTCATTATGGGTATTGTATTTGCCAGTTCCAAAATTTCCATTTAGTCCTTTTTTATAGTCTCTATTTCTCTGCTGAGAACTTCTATCCATTAATTTCAAGTGTATTTACCTTTATGCTATCGATAACTGCTATAATAGCTGCTTTAAAGTCTTTGTCTGATTATTCTAAAATCTGGTTGACCCTGGAGTTGTGATTTCTTAATTATCTTTTCTCTAGAGAGATGGTTATAATTTTCTGGGTTTTTTTTGTAGGTAGCACTATTTTGAATTATATCCTGGACATTTAAAATGTTATGTTGCGCAGGCTATGGGTCCTATGACTTGTTATAATCCTATAGAGCATATTTTGTTGTTGTTTTAGCAGAAAATCAAGTAAGTTTGGTTTACACCACGAGTTCTTTCTCACCTCTGAGCAGTGGTTCTAATTTGAGTTCAGTTCAGTTCTCAAAGCGTTGCTACAATGCTTTGGGTCTGCTTTGTGCATGCATAGCATAGTACTTGTGTTGCCCATACACAAAATGAGGGAACACCCTTCTCCAGAGCTTTCTTGTCTGACACTTCCCCCATACTCAGTGGCCCAAAGGGCCCCTTTTCCTGGTTCCTCTTGTGGCACTGCAGATGCAGCTTTGCAACTGGGTCTGTCTTAGGTTAAAGCTGGTAAAGGGAGAAAAAACTTGGAAACTGCCCCCAAACTCTTTGGAATGCTAAGCTCATTTACTTGGTTCCTGTGGTGCAAGAAAATAAGATTTCTATCAGTTTTAGTTTCCAGTGCCACACTGTTGCCTTCACAACTGAAGGCAAAACCATAAGAAAAAAAGAAAAGAAAAACTTTCCAAACTAGGAAACTCATTTCCATACAGGTTGCCCCTTTAAGTTTTGACTCCTCACCACCATCTGACTGCTTTTGTTTACTTATACAGTTGCTTTTATATTTTGTCCAGACTTTTTAGTTTTAATCAGCAGAAGGGGTAGGCTATAGTGGGCTTATCCCATGTTGGCAGGAAGTTCTTCATGCTTTATTTTGAATTATCTTTCTTGCAGCCAAAAGCCTTTTGGTGGCTTCATTTAGTTAGAAGGTTTTATTGCTATTCTTACTTTTTAGAAACTTGTCTAATTTTATTTCTCATCAGATTGGCTCCTCTTCTATTTATATTATCATCGAATTTCTAAGAATTTTCCAGAAGTTATGACTTGGAAAACCACAGGCACTTTGAAATTTTAGAGTATATATTACCAGCACGCTTTCTTGCAACTGTTCTCATTTGTTTTATTCTTGCATTCATTTGCTCACTTAAATACTTGTTCTTTCAGTTGAACAATCAGAACCTTCACAAGCACTATACTGATATTAAAATAAGCATGAGTGATGACAACATTAAGATCACCTCATGCCTTCTCAATACACAATCATGTATATAATGCCAGCAAGGAGGTATCTGCTGAGAGTAGCCACTCAACAAACTGATGTGTGGCCAGCTATCTTTGCCTTATTGGTTAAACCTCAAATGCAATTTTCCAGAATACATACAGTTTGAGGTGCCAAGAAGCCAAGACAAAAGGATTTGTTTACTCAAAGGAGCTTGATGTCCTGTTGTTCTGGACTACAAGTGTCCTTTCCTTAGGATTCAATGGCATGCCAGATGGAAGGTAATATTTAGAATTGAAAAAGGAGACTAGTGGAGGAAGACAGCTGGTGCTGTTTTTAAAAAGTCTTAGCAACAGAGGCTAGTCTCAAGAAATCTTAACAAATAAATGAAGTAAATGATATGTAACTGCATCACCTAAACCAATGCCTTTGACACTTTTGTTATTACTCAGGCATTGCTCTTTTGAGTTTTATTGTGAGTCATAACAAAAACTGCATAAGCAACAGCTACCATTTGTTAAATAACTCACTTTGTGACAGGTACTCTGTCATGTTTTTGATGTGCCTGATTGTAGAATAAAGACATTTTCACCTGATTGCCTCTTAAAATGAAGGTTACAAATTTACAGAACTGAGAAGACACTTACAGATTATCTTAAATTTTTAAAGCTTTAAAAATGATAGAAGGGGAACATCACACACCGGGGCCTGTCATGGGGTTGGGGGAGCGGGGAGGGATAGCATTATACCTAATGTAAATGACGAGTTAATGGGTGCAGCACACCAACATGGCACACGTATACATATGTAACAAACCTGCACATTGTGCACATGTACCCTAGAACTTAAAGTATAATAATAAAAAAAAGTCACAGAAGAGATACAACTATTAAATAAATAAAAAAAATAGAAGAATGTTTTATATAACTTACTACAAACTAAGAATTTGTTTTAAATGTAACCTTTTTGGGGGTGTAAAATAATCTGACGCATTTTAGAAAGCTGATACTACTTAGCTATGTTTTATTGTTTTATGTGTAAAATTTTCTCCTTGATCAGTATTTTGTGAGACTCAGACAAATCTACTTTTCTTAATTCTGACCTTTTACTCTTGACTTTTGGGAAAAAAAAACCCATATGTTTACACATTATACATCTTCACCACTAAAATCACATTTTGCAAAATAAATTTGACTTTCAGGTTTTTTTAAATAACTACTTTTTTTAATTTGTACAAATTTATGGCATACATGTGATATTTTATTATGCATATATAATGCCTAGTGTTCAAGTCAGGGTATTTAGGGTATCTGTCACCTGATTACAATACATTTTTGTTAACTATAGTCACCTTACTCTGCTCTCAAACACTGAATTTACTCCTTCTAACTTACTGTATTGTACCCTTTAACCAACTTCTCCTCATCCTCCCTCCTCCCCTCCACTCACCATTCCGTCTCTTATCCTTCTGCTCTCTACTTCCATGTGATCATATTTTTTGGCTCCCACACATAAGTGAGAAGATGATGTGATATTTTTCTTTTTTTGCCTACCTTATTTCACTTAAGATAATGACTTCCAGTTCCATCCATGTTGCTGGAAATGACATGATTTCATTCTTTTTATGGCTGAATAGTATTCCATTGTAGATATACTACATTTTCTTTACCCATTCATCTATTGATGAAAGCTTAAGTTGATTCGAATATCTTTGCTTTTGTGAACAGTGATATAATTAACATGGGAACACATGTATTCCTTTGATATATTGATTTCTTTTCCTTTGAATACAGACCCAGTGGTGGCATTAGTGGTTCAATTAGTAATTCTATTTTTAGTTTTATGAGGAATCACCATACTATTTTCCTTAGTGGCTGTACTACTTTACACTCCCACCAACAGTATAAGAGTTCTCTTTTCTCTGCATCCTTGCCAATATCTGCTACTTGTTTTTTTTTTTTTTAAATAATAGCTATTCTGACTAAGGTAAGATGGTATGACACTCTGGTTTTGATTTACATTTATCTGATGATTAGTAATGCTGAGCACTTTTTCATATACCTGTTGGCCATTTGTTGGTCTTCTTTTGAGAAATGTATACTCATGTCCTTTGCCCACCTCTGTTTTTTGAATTTCATATCATCTTCAAAATTTTTTGTTTCTATAGGTTTTGGGGAAAACAGGGGTAATTTGGTTACATGAGTAAGTGCTTTAGTGGTGATTTGTGAGATTTTGGTCCACTCATCACCCAAACAGTATACACTGAACCATCATCACTCACTCCCCTCCCACCCTTTCCCTCAGGTCCTGAAAGTCCATTGTATCATTCTTATGCCTTTGCCTCCTCATAGCTTAGCCACCATTTATAAGTAAGAACATACAATATTTGGTTTTTCATTCCTGAGTTACTTCACTTAGAACAATAGTCTCCAGTTCCATCCAGGTGGCTGCAAATGTCATTAATTTGTTCCTTTTTATGGCTGAGTAGTAATCCATCATACATATATCACAATTTATTTATCCACTCATTGACTGATGGGCATCTGGGCTGGTTCCATATTTTTGCAATTGTGAATTGTGCTGTTATAAACGTGCATGTGCAAGTATCTTTTTTGTATAATGACTTCTTTTCCTGTGGGTAGATACCTAGCAGTGGGGATTGCGGGATCAAATGGTAGTTCTACTTTTAGTTCGTTAAGGAATTGCCACACTGTTTCCCATAGTTGTTGTACTACTTTACATTCCTACCAACAGTATAGAAGTGTTTTCTTTTCACTGCATCCACACCAACATCCATTATTTTGTGATTACGGTCATTCTTGCAGGAGTAAGGTTGTATCTCATTGTGGTTTTGATTTGTGTTCCCCTGATCATTAGTGATGTTGAACATTTTTTCATATGTTTATTAGCCATTTGTATATATTCTTTTGAGAATTGTCTATTCATGTCCTTAGCCCACTTTATGATGAGATTGTTTATATTTTTCTTGCTAATTTGTTTGAGTTCCCTGTAGATTCTGGATATTAGTCCTCTGTCAGATGTATAGATTGTTATATAGCGAAAAAAAATACTTAGGAATACACCTAACCAAGGAGGTGAAAGACCCCTACAAGGAAAATTACAAACACTGCTGAAAGAAATCATAGATGACACAAACAAATGGAAACACCTCCCATGCTCATGGATGGGTACGATCAATATTGTGAAAATGACCACAGTGCCAAAAACAATCTACAAATTCAATGCAATTCCCATCAAAACACCACCATCATTCTTCACAGAACTAGAAAAAACAATCCTAAAATTCATATGGAACCAAAAAAGAGCCCGCATAGACAAAGCAAGACTAAGCAAAAAGAACAAATCTGGAGGCATCACATTACCTGAATTCAAACTATACTATAGGGCCAGAGTCACCAAAAGAGCATGCTACTGGTATAAAAATGGGCACATAGACCAATGGAACAGAATGGAGAACGCAGAAATAAACCAAATACTTACAGCCCACTAATCTTCAACAAAGCAAACAAAAACAGCAAGTGGGGAAAGAACACCGTATCCAACTAATGGTGCTGGGATAATTGGCAAGCCACATTTAAGAGAACGAAACTGCATCCTCATTTCTCACCGTATACAAAAAT
Organism: Homo sapiens; assembly: GCF_000001405.40. Taxonomy (NCBI): domain Eukaryota; kingdom Metazoa; phylum Chordata; class Mammalia; order Primates; family Hominidae; genus Homo; species Homo sapiens. The sequence continues at coordinate 37,003,754 of NC_000018.10, read as the reverse complement.
CAACTCAAGACAGATCAAGGACTTAAATATAAGATCTGAAATTATAAAAATTCTAGAAGATAACATCGAAAACCCTTTCTAGACATTGGTTTAGGCAAAGACTTCATGACCAACAACCCAAAAGCAAATGCAACAAAAACAAAGATAAATACATGGGACTTAATTAAACTAAAGAGCTTCTGCACAGCAAAAGGAACCATTAGCAGAGTAAACAACCCACAAAATGGGAAAAACCTTTGCCCACTTTCTAATACAAGTTTTTTTCCTGCGGAGATGTTTGCATTCCTTGAACATCCTGGATATGAGTCCCCTGCCAGGTGAACAGTTAGCAAATATTTTCTGTCATTCAACAGGTTGTCTGATTACTCTGTTGATTACTTCTTTAGTGCCGTGCAGGTTTTTAGTTTAAGTCCTATTCGCCCATTTTTTATTTTGTTGCCTGTGCTTTTGAGTTCTTATTCATAAATTCTTTGTCTAGACAAATGTCCAAGAGAGTTTACCTGAGGTTCTCTTTTAGAGCTTTTTTATTTTGGGTTTTAAATTTAAGCCTTTAATCCATTTTGAGTTGATTTTTGTGTACATCGAGAGATGGGGGTTCAGTTTCATTATTCTGCATGCAGTAATACAATTTTCCCAGCACTACTTTTGAAGAGAATGTTTTTTCCACAATGTAAGTTGTCGGCTTTGTTAAAAATCGGTTGTATACTTGGCTGATACTAATAAGTGGCTTATTATCTGGGTTCTGTATTCTGTGCCATTGGTCTATATGTCTATTTTTAAATCAATGGCATACTATTTTGGTTCCGATGGTCTTACAATATATTTTAAAGTCAGGTAATGTGACACCTCTTTGCTCTTTTTGCTCAGGATTGCTTTGGCTATTTGGGCACTTTTGTGTTTTCATATGAATTGTAGGATTGTCTCCTCTAATTCTTTGAAGAATGATGTTATTTTGATAGAAATTGCACTAAATCTATAGATTGCTTTGGGCAATATGGTCAACTTAATGACATTAATTCTTCCAATCCATGACCGTGGGATGTTTTTTGTTTCTTGTGTTGTCTTCAATTGCTTCCATCAATATTTTACAGTTTCTCTTGTAGAGAACTTTCACATCCTAGGCTAAATTTATTCCTAGGTATATATTTTTTGGAGCTATTGTAAATGAGATTGCCTTATTTCTTTCTGGACTAGATCATTACTAGTATACTAGTATACTAGATCATTACTGCTACCTGCCAGGTGCAGTGGCTCACATCTATATTCCCAAAACTTTGGGAAGCAAGGTGGTAGGATCACTAAAGACCAGGAGTTCGAGACCAGCCTGAGCAACACAGTGAGACTCCATCTCTACAAATAAAAAATAAAAAAATTAAAAATTATCCAGACATGGTAGCACATGCCTATGGTCTTAGCTCTTCAGGAGGCTGAGGTGGGAGGATCACTTGAGCCCAGGAATTTGAGGCTACAGTGAGCTATGATCACAACAGAATGAGATACTGTCTCAAAAAAAAAAAAAAAAAAAAGAAAAAAAAATGAAGAAAAAGAAAAAGAAATGCTAGTGGTTTCTGTACATCAATTTTGTATCTTGTAATTTTACTGTCTCCATTTATCAGCTCAAAGAGCTTTTTTGATGGAGTCTTCAGGTTGTTCCAGATATAAGATAATATTATCAGCACTACCAAGGAACAATTTGATTTCCTCTTTTCCAATTTGAATGCCTTTTATTTCTTTCTCTTGTCTGAATGTTCTGGCTAGTACTTCCAGTACAACTTTGAATAAAAGTGCTGCAAGTGGGCATCCTTGTTTTGTTCCAGTTCTTAGAGAAAAGGCTTTCAGCTTTTCTCCATTCAATATGATTTTAGCCTAGGGTTTGTCATACATGATCTTCATTATTTTGAAGTATTTTACTTCTAACCTGGTTCGATGAAAGCTTTTTATCATGAAGGGATGTTGAATTTTACCAAATGCTTTTTCTGCATCTATTGAGATGATCATATACTTTTTGTCCTTCATTGTACTGATGTGATGTTCTACATTTACTGATTTATGTATGTTGAGCCATCTTTGCATCCCTTGTGTAATCTCATGTAATCATGTTTTTCATGTACTGTTGGATTTGGTTTGCTAGTATACTGTTGAGGACTTTTGTGTCTATGTTCGTCAGGGATACTAGCCTGTAATTTTCTTTTTGTGTATGTCTAAATTTGGTATCAGGGTAACACTGGCCTTGTAGAATGAGTTAGGGAGAAATCCCCTCTTTTCCATTTTTTGGAATAGCTTGGGAAGAATTTATATTAGTTTTTCTTAATATGGTTGGTATAATTTGGCTGTGAATCTATCCAGTCTTGGACATTTCTTTGTTGGGAGACTTTTTATTACTGACTCAATCTTGCTCAACATTATAAGTCTGTTTAGGTTTTATATTTCTTCCTGATTCAATCTTGGTAGGATGTATGTTTCCAGGAATTTATCCATTTCCTATAGATTTTCCAGTTTTTCAGCATATAGTTATTAAAACTGGCCCTGATGATCCTTTGTATTTCTGTGGTATCCATTGTAATGTCTCATTTTTCATTTCTGGCTTTGTTTATTTGGATCTTCTCTCATCTTTTCTTAGTTAATGTAGTTAGCAGTTTATCAATTTTGTTTATCTTTTTTAAAAATCCACTTTTCATCTTGTTTTTTAAGTCTCTATTTCATTTAGGTCTGTTCTTATGTCTATTATATCTTTTCTGTTAATTTTGGATTTGGTTTATTTCTACTTTTCTAGTTCCTGCAAGAGCATTGGTTAATTCTTAATTTTTAATCATTCTACTTTTTGATGTAGGCATTTATTTCTATAAAATTCCCTCTTGGTGCTGCTTTTGCTGTATCCTACAAGTTTTGATTTGTTGCTTTTCCATTTTCTTTTGTTTCAAATCTTTTTAAAATTTCCATCTTAATTTATTCATTTTCATGATGGTCATTCAGGAGCATATTGTTTAATTTCCACGTATTTGTATAGTTTCCAGAGTTCCTCTTGGTATTGATTTCTAATTTTATTCCATTGTGGTCTGAGAAGATACTTGATATGATTTCATTTCTTATTCCATTGTGGTCTGAGAAGATACTTGATATGATTTCATTTCTTAAAATTTTTTTGAGTTTTTTTTGTGGCCTAACATATGGTCTATCCTGGAGAATGGTCCTTGTGCTGATGAAAGGAATGTATATTCTGCAGTAGCTGGATAGAATGTTCTGTGTTAGGTCCACATGATCTAAAGGCCAGTTTAAGGTCAATGTTTATTTGTTCATTTTCTGTCTTGATGATCTAATGCTGAGAGTGGGGTGTTGAAGTCCCCCACTTTTACTGTATTGTAGTTTATCTCTTTCTTTAGAAGTAGTAATACTTGCTTTATGAATCTGAGTGCTCCAATGTTGGATACATACATATTCAGAACTGTTATATCCTCTTGCTGCATTGATCCTTTTATGATTATAAAAAGACCTTCTTTGTCTTTTATTACTATTTTTGACTTAACGTCTGTTTTATCTGATACAAGTATAGCCACTCCTGCTCACTTTTGGTTTCTGTTTGTATGGAGCATCTTTTTTCGTCCCTTTACTTTCAGGCTACCTGTGTCTTTACAAGTTAGGTGAGTTTCTTGTATGCAGCATATGGTTGGATCATTTTTTTTTATCCATTTAAATATTCTGTATATTCTGAGTGGAGAATTTAATCCATATAAGTTCAAGTTATAATTAATATGATAGGCTTTGTTCCTGTCATTGTTAATGGTTTTCTGATTGTCTTATATATTCTTTGTTCCCTTCTTTTCTCTTAGTGTTTTTCATTGTGGTTTGGTGGATTTCGGTGGTGGTATCATTTGTTTCTTTTTTCTTCCTCTTTTGTATGATTGCTTTACCAGTGAGTTTTATACTTTCATGTGTTTTCATGATGGTAAATATTTGATAAATGTTCGTCTGTCACTTCCAGGTTTATGACTCCCTTGAGCATTTCTTGTAGGTCTGGTCTAGTTCTAGCAAATTTCCTCAGTGAAATATTTTATTTATCCTTCCTTTATGAGGACTAATTTTGCTGGATACAGCAGTCCCAGGTGACAGGTTTTCATTTTGTTTTGTTTGAGCCCTTGGAATATATCATCCCATTCTCTTTGAGCTTGTAAGGTGTCTGCTAAGAAATCCACTGTTAGTCTGTTGGGATTTCCTTTGTAGGTGAGCAAATGATTTTCACTTGCTATTTTTAGGATTTGCTCTATTTTTTATTTCAGACAGTCTGACTTTAATGTGCCATGGAGAAGTCCTTTTTGCATTGTATCTGCCTGGCAATTGCTGAACCTCTTGCATCTGAATGTCTAAATCTCTTGCTAGACTTGGGAAGTTGTCACCTATTGTCTCATCAAATAGGTTTTCTAATCCTTTTCTGCTTTGCTCTTTAAAATACTGATAATTCAAATATTCAGTGTCTTTGTGTCCCAAATATCCTGAAGGCTTTGTTCTTTCTTTTTATTCTCTTTTATTTTTATCTGACTAGATTATTTCAAAAGACTCATCTTTAAGTTCTGAGTTTGTTCCTTCTGCCTGATTTAGTCTATTTTTGAAGCTTTCAAATGTATTTTGTATTTCCCTCAATGAATTCTTTAGTTCCAGAATTTCTGTTTGGTTCCTTTTAAAAATATCTTTTGCTTTCATAATTCATTCATATCCTGAATTGTTTTTCTGATTTCTTTACATGATTTTTATGTTTCTCTTGTACTTACTGAGCCTCTTTAAAATCAGTATTTTGAATTCTTTATCTGGGATTTTGATAACTTCTTTTTGATTAACATCAACTGCTCCACAAGTATTGTAATCCTTTGAAGGTATCATATTTCCTTGCTTTTTCATGTTTCCTGTCCTTACCTTGATATCTGCACATGTGGCACAGTAGTCGCTTCTTCCTATTTTTGAATTTACTTTTCTAGGGGAGAACTTTTTCCTAAAGGTGTATCTATGATGCTGGTTGGGTAGAGCACTTTGGCTTTAATTCTGGGTGCATGTAGTAATGTAGTCTCTGTATGATTTCTTTGGCTGTAAATGGTGTTAGTGGTATCTGATTTCCTTAGGGGCTAGGGGGTGGTTATTATGGAAGCTGTGGTAAGGTTGTGATGAGGGAGGACTTGGATTCCAAGTGAGCTGGCCTTCAGGCCATAGTGGTGGCAGCGGTGGACTAAGCATGCCTATCTTTGTGCCACAGTACAATGTACCCTGGCACCTGCATCGGTGGTTATCAGCAAGCCAATTTTTCGTCCTTCATGTGGTTTGTTTGGATCCCAGCAGGAGCAGTGGTGTACTGGACAGGTAGGCCTGGGTGATTGCAGCAGCAGTGGCAAGACAATTCTGTGGTTCCTGAGTGGTGTGCATCAATGTTGGTGGTGACTGAAATGGGCTGGGCACACCAGTCACCAGGCCCACAAGTGGCGCTTATAGGTTGGTACCACCTGAGGTGGTAACCGCTGGAAGTTTAGGCCCAATTTCTGGCCTCTAGGAGCAGTGCTTGGCTGCCTAAGGTGGTGGATTGGGTTGGGCAACCCCCAGGATCCTAAGCTATGTGCTCTGTCTTGGAGGGGGACGCAAAGTTGAGCTGGGTGGGCTTATACTCAGGCTCTCCAAAGATGACAGCAGGCTATACCTATGGTGGGCAGGGTGGGGCGACCCTCAGCCCCAAGTCAGAGCACATGGGTGAGGAGAAGTAGGAGCCACACTGAAGCTTCTGTCACTGAATAGGATGAGGCCAGCCTTGGTTGCCACAACCTAAGCCAGTGGGTGGGGAAGGCACATCCTTCTCATACCCCAGTCCTGGTTGGGTTCACTCCCCAGCTCTGGTAGTGGTAGCCCATGCCCAGCTGACACCACAGTACCAGCTGCAGAGGCCCCACCGTATCTCACAACCAAGTCCCAATGGAAATTTGTGCTCTGCTCACTTACCAGCACTGGCTGCTGTGGCCCCCAGATTGCTCATTTTACAGCCCTGGCTACAGGAGCCCTACCAGCTCTTGCCCGAGTCTCAGTAGCAACAGCCTGAGTTTCCCTAACACCTTGGTCCTGGTACTGCTGGACCCTAGGACAGCATGTAGTCTGCCAAAGCTAGGTTTGAAAATGGTGCCTTGCTGTAGCCACTCTGGTCTCAGAAAGGGTGTGGGACCCAGTGCAAGCTGCCTCCCTAAAGCAGTCCCAACCCATGGTTTACTGGCAGCTCCCTGTGTTAGTTTCAGAGGTTTGGAGGATCAAGGGGCTCTCCTATAGCCAGGATTGCACAATTCCAGACTAGAGTTATGGGCTGCTGGAATTCTCTCACTCACCCTTTCCCTGTGTTGGAAAGTCACTCTTAGCTGCCTTTTACGAAAATCATAGAAGCTAGCTGTACAAACCAAACCACAAAATCTTAATAAGAAAGGAAGAGAGGGAAAAAGGGAAGAATTAAATATACTCCTTCCTAAATCACAAGTGTTAAATCATCAAAATGAAAAAGTAACTATTCATAGTTAAGTGTTTGAACTAATGAAGCCAGACTCCTAATGGGTCATACCAGTTACAGAAAGACGAAAATATTTCCTGAAGGACTGTCTACTAGTCTTCCTTTAAAAGTAATTTTTTTTTTCACAGGTGGGGATGGAGAGGAGTAGAGAAAGACAGAGGCAAACCTAGTAAGAGGCAAGTAGTTTCATACTAGAAAGTCAAAGCATCAATCAGAAACGTCACAGTAGCTTCCTTCTATTTGAATGTCTCATGGTGTCACAGACACAGACAGAAAAACAAATCCAATGCGCACGTCCACCTTAAAGACAGGCAGTGTTCTAACAGATCTAAACGTTTACTTCTAGACATAAGAAATTTTCTCCTAAAAACTTGCCAAGATAATACATGCTAACTTCAGCCTCCTAATATAGTGAAGACTGGATGAAATACATGTGGTTTTCTCTCTTGAAATTAGAAACATTAAAGAAAAAGTACAGCAAAAGAAAGAAGGTATTTTAGAGACAATTCTTCAGCTTTTCTCAATCTGCAAGTGTTAATGCCAGAACTCTAATATAGAAACAAAGAACACCCCCTTCCTCCTACTGCCCTCATCCCCATTTATTCACTTCTTCTTGGCAAGGGTTGGTATACTAACTAGAAGCCTTAAACGATGGTAAGATGTTTATTTTTCACATTATCTTCTCAGAGCTTTAAGGAAAAAAGAAAAAAAACTCAAATATTTACTTACTGTTTTTAAAATTTAGAGCCCTTTTAACAGACTCAGTAATCAATCAAAACAATCATAAACATTTTAATGTACTTCAATAACAGCCAAACAATAGTGTTAGAATCGTGGCTCTACTCATTACAGCTGTAGTAACTGACTTTCAGCAAGTTATTTAATCTCTCTGACCTCCATAAAAGAGATAATAATGGTGCCTACCTCATGAGGTTAAACTGAGAATTACATGTCTATATATAAAGAGCTTAAAACAGTATGTGGTATAGAATAAGTGCATATAAGTGTTGACTATTATTGTTGTACTGATGTTATTAAAATAATTATGAGTCTAACAGGGTAGAAAGTGGGAAAAAATGAATTTTAGAGTCAGGTTTGAGGAGTGTGCCTAATAATACCTGTGTAACCTTGGGCAAGTTACTTAACCTTAGCAAAGCTATTTCATCATTTGTAAAAAGGAGACAACAATACCTACTTTTAACATTTTGAGGACTAATAAAAGATAATGTTTGTAAAGCAAGTAGCATAGAGAAGTGACCAATAAACAAAAGTAATCATTATTATTGCTGTCAGCCAACTTCTCCCCAGACAATAAGGAAGTTCTTCTGTCCCTTGTGGAAGCTGTACACTTTACTTTGAGTTCTAACAGGGAAACCGGAAAAATGCAAATTTAATTTTACTAAAAATCACTAGTGAAAGAACTTTCCTACACCCTAGAAAAGGAGGAATAGGAGAAAGGCATATTTATCTAGAGTTTTTCCAAATCCAGTCATCTGACAAAGTACAAGAAATAGTTGCCCCGCTAGAGGTTTGAGTAAAAACACATCAACACAGCAGTTCATTGTATATGCAATTTTAAGAGCAGTCATGTCATTTTATTGTTTTACTACCGTGTCAGTAATTCTTCTCTGTTGAATTTTTTCATTTGAAACTTGTAAAAATAAAATCAGAGCTCTGATAAAATTGGCAAATTTTTACAGTAAAGGAATGGCAGAAAGGAATGTAAAAAAGTACAGACATGCAGGGATGGACCGAGAAACTGGAAAAGATACCAACAAAACTTTGAATGTTAGAAAGTGGGTGAATGATGCACACGTATATTTATTGCGGCACTATTCACAATAGCAAAGACTTGGAGCCAACCCAAATGTCCATCAATGATAGACTGGATTAAGAAAATGTGGCACATATACTCCATGGAATACTATGCAGCCATAAAAAGGGATGAGTTCATGTCCCTTGCAGGGACATGGATGAAGCTGAAAACCATCATTCTCAGCAAACTATCACAAGATCAGAAAACCAAACACTGCCTGTTCTCACTCATAAGTGGGAATTGAACAATGTGAACACGTGGACACAGGGAGGGGAACATCACACACCGGGGCCTGTCAGCGGGTGGGAGGCTAGGCGAGAGATAACATTAGGAAAAAATACCTAATGTAGGTGATGGGTTGATGGGTGCGGCTAGCCTCCAGGGCATGTGTATACCTATGTAACAAAACTGCACATTCTGCACATGTACCCCAGAACTTAAAGTATAATAAATAAATAAATAAATAAATAAATAAATAGTGGGTGAATGAATTGGTAACTGATTTAGCATGAACAAATCAGAAACCTAATTCACAAGTAGGCTAACTGCTATTGGCTCAGGAATTGGAAACACTGGATATTACCAGAAATGAGAGTAGAGGCAAGGCTGAAAAGAGGTGAGATGATTAGAAGTCTATTTAAGAAGGAGACAGTATGCTTTAGAAAGAGGTAAGCTATTAAAAGGTCTTTAAAAGAAAAATATGTATAAGCTAAAATAAGCAGAATGAGTCAGGAAAACACTCTAGACTATAAAAACTACATGCAGAATTAAACAGATCACAGTTTTTCAGAACTAGGGCATTAAAAAACATGTGATGCTAGGAGTCAACCTATGCTCTGCCACTTTAGCTATGCAAACTACAGTGCTTAAGTTTTCACTTCTAAATGAAGTAGTTGGATGAGATGAGTGGTTCTCACCTAGGGTTCACATCAGGATCACCGAGGGAGGGAGTATCTTCTAAAGAAATACATGTTTGGAGTCCCGTCCACTGAGATTATGACTCCTGGTTATGTGTTATAGAAAAAGCTCCCCTTCCACTGAAGAAGATGATCTAAAAAATTCTTTCAAATTTCAATACTTTATACTTCAAATATCAAAGAAAAATAGATATAATTGCATTCATTCAACAGAAACCATTGTGAGCTTTCCTTTAGACTAGCTTGAAGCACACCAGGGACAGGCACAGAGGAGTAACAATATGAGATTTATTCCACTAATCAATGTTTCTTGAATGAATGAAAGTATCTGTGGTATTGTCATGAGTTTAATTTTCTAACTCAACTAGGTTAATTTTAATTAAACTACTACAGGGTATAAATTTTCTTGAAATGGAAAATATTCCTAAGTCTATCCTAGATGTCCAACCGACTGATATTCCTCAGTTTCTCACAATTGTTGTAATTCTTTCATCATAGAATTGTAGTTTTAGCTTTTCTTTTTTTTTTTTTTTACTCTTCTATTTGTAGTATTTGAAAAGTAACAAATGAACACAGTACTAGAAATATAAACAGTTACGGAAGGAAATAACATAGAAAATAAAACACCTCTGTTTGTTACTCCCAATACTACTCCATAGAGATAATTAAACCCTCTTCTCCATTTCTGACTTTAATCATCTTAGTGTTACCCCCAAAACTTTAAATATGATTAGACTTTTCTTTCTTCGGTTACAATTACATATTTATTAAGCAAGATCCAGTGATTTCCTCCCAATGACAAAATTTGCCTCACTTATACTACATCCTTTAAAGTTTTTATAGTTATGTCTTTATATGTCTTTTATATCTCTACAGTTATATCTTTATCTTTAGTTCTTAAATACATTACCTTTCAAACTTTGGATAAGTGTAATATCTACTTGATCCATTACATTACACTATATTTCTTGAATTTTCTTTCTGTACAGTGAGAAAATCAGTATACCTTCCCTTCACTATCCAACTTTTAATAGCTATACCATTTATTTCCCACCATCAAGGTTTTAGCATTTGTATTATATTCAGAGATTGGATCTTCCATGCTTTGTTTACAGATTTATTCTGAAAACAAAAGTCTACAAACATAAAATATATAAATACTTGTCACTACAGAAACAGGATATGTGATTAGTCATAGAGTGTAAGATGTCAGACTATGGTTACTAAAACAGATACTTGAAAGAATGTTCTAAGTGTAGAGGCCAATGGAATTTCCTTTCTAACATTCAACTCCTTAGAATCATGCCTCATTTTAGTTTGCTTCATCTTGAACCATGACTTCCTTGTTCAGCTTTTCATTTTTACTACTTTTTTTTGTTTGTTTGTTTGTTTTTTTGAGACAGGATCTCACTCTCTCACCCAGGTTGAAGTGCAGTGTTACGATCTCAGCTCACACTACCTTGGCCTCCTAAGCTCAAGCGATCCTTCAACCTTAGCCTCCCCAGGAGCTGGGACTACAGGTGCACACCACTCCACCCAACTGATTTTTTTGGTATTTTTTGTAGAGACGAGGTTTCACCATGCTGCCCAGGCTAGTCTCAAGTTCCTGGGCTCAAGCGATCCACTCGCCTTGGCCTCCCAAAGTGCTAAGATTACAGGCATGAGCCATCACACCTGGCCTGTTTTTATTAAATTTTAAGTACCTCTTTCTTTCAGTTGTCAGGAATACCTGCTACACCCTCTGCCAGGAACATTCATCCTCTGGCTCTTTATGTGGCTGGTTTCTAATATTTGAGGTCTCAGCTCAAACGTTATCTCCTCACAGAAGAATCTGAGCTGTTTGATCACATTATGTGTAAAAATGCTCAATTACATACTGATTTCCTCTTAAGTAGCTTCTTTCCAGAACTGCTGCATGGCTGTGCTCCAGCAAAATAAAAAAGGACCCAGGAAAGAGGAACATGCAACATTTAAGATACGCAAAACTAAACCAAAAGTATCGTATAAAGAAAGGCCACATATAGCAAAAAAAAAAAAAAAAAAAAAAAAAGAAAGAAAAGAAAAGAAATTGGACCTTTGCCTCGCATCAATTCCCAGAATTAATTGCAAATGAATTAGAAACCTACATGTAAAAGATAGAACTATAAACCATTTAGAAGACGATGTACAAGAATATTTTATGCCTTGGAGGAGAAAAGGACCCAAAAAGCACAAACCATAAAAGATAGGTAAATTCAACTACCATTAAATTAAAAATTCCATTTATCAAAAGCAGCATAAAGACAGCAAAGAAACTATAAACTGGTCAAAGATGGCTGTAACACACATAACCAACAAAGGTTTAACATCTAGACTATACGAAGAACTTTTACAAATCACTATGAAAAGACAAATTACTAAAAAGAAAAGTGGGCAAAAACTTGAAAAGACATTTCACAGAAAGGAAAATGACAACATACCTATGAAAAGATGTTCAACTCCACTAATAATCTGAGAAATTCAAATTAAAATCACCATTAGATGCCATTTGTGAGAGTCTGTTATGGTGGTGGCCCCCGAACAACTACAACTCCCAGTAGTCCCTTCTGGCTAAGCTGTCCATTTTAACCCACAGATACATTCCCAGCTCTGGGCCCAATCTGTAAAAAGACCTGGCAGCTTCCATTTTTGCACTCTGGGTAAGAAGTCTAGCTACTTTTTTGGATAAATCATGTGAAGACGCTACACGAGGAGAGAGGCCCTGAACCAACATAGAGGCCCAGCCATGGTAGGGCCATAGCTAACATGTCAGCTGCATGTAGCCACATAAGTATGACCACAGGCACAATCAGCAGAAGAACCATACAACTGCACCTAGCTCAAATTCAAGAATGGTGGTTATCTAAGATTTGCAGTGGTTAAGCAGTAATAGATAACTGAAACTGAATTCATTTTATTGTTTTCATCTTCAAAAATCTGAAAGATGAAAAAACTGTCAAATATCCTGAGGAAAATAAATCTACCCAGTAAAGTCTCAAGGTTTTTGTTTTGTTGTTGTTGCTGTTGTTTTGTTAGCATACAACTACCAGGCATTTGTGGTTAGTTAACAGAATTCATAATATTTATTATTAATAAGTTTTTTGGCACATGGAAAGATTAATAAAGAAGAAAAATTTTGAAGACTCAAGTAATACAAGCCAGAGTCTAAATCTTAATCTGCCAACTATAATGAAATGATTAAACCATGTTAAATCTAACAGAATACTATGCAGCCATAAGAGAAAATGCAAAATAGGTTAAGTGACAAATACAGAATTCAAAATTGTAAGCACACAACTATAGGACTATGTTTTTCAAATACAGGTAAAAATCATAAGGGTTATGGATATTTTCCTTAACCTTTGTTTTTCAAATTTTCTATAATGTAACTTACTTTTATAATTTAAAATATTTGCTTTTTAAAATAAATTAAGGACCAATAAATAAATAGGAAGAACAGACAAGAATGATGAGCAAGGAGAGCTATTAATTCTTTGGAAGATCTAGAAATCACAATTAACTGTTTATACAAACAGCTATCTCAATTGAGGGCAAGGCAAAGGCTGCCATTCTCATTACTAATATGTTATAAATGTACAAGTGACTTTTTCTCTCAACGTAGCACCTATAATTCAAAATCTACCATTTAAAACATTTTTTTATACTCTTTGAGTGTGCATTTCCATTTTAGGGAATTTAACAAACAGAAACACAAACATGTTCAAAGTTACATGTACAAGGATGTTCACTGCTGTATTCTCTGTAATAGAAGAAAATTAGAAAAAAACACAAATATATATATATATATATATTTAGACGGAGTCTTGCTCTGTTGCCCAGGCTGGAGTGCAGTGGTGAGAACTCAGCTCACTGCAGCCTCCACCTCCTGGGTTCAAGCAATTCTCCTGCCTCAGCCTCCCGAACTGGGATTACAGATGTGTGTCACCATGCCCAGTTAATTTTTGCATTTTAGGAGAGATGGAGTTTCACCATGTTGACCAGGCTGGTGTTGAGCTCCTGACCTCAAGTGATCCGCCTGCCTCAGCCTCCCAAAGTGTTGGGATTACAGGCATGAGCCACCATGCCTGGCTCAAATATACATTAATGTATATATAAATTGACTAAATAAAATTTAGTAAGATTAAATAAAATATAATATGTCCATACACTAAAACACTGGGCATGAAAGAGTATGCCATTAATATATGTTATTCATGTACTCCTTGGGAAAGTAAATAATATACTTTATTAAGTAAGAAAATAAAGTTGTAAAAATTAAATGTATAAGATTAGACCATTTTTCTTAAAGAACTGGACACTGTATAGAAACATACAGAACAATAAACATTAATGTTAATAGTAGTTATTGCTGAAGGAGAATACAGAACACTTAGAATTAAGACACCATATATTTCTGAATTCCTTCCGAAGACCAGGATGTATTTAGTTTAACAATAATGAGGAAAAAACTGTCTTAAAAAGTAGTATACTGGCTGGGTGCGGCGGCTCACACCTGTACTCCCAGCACTTTGGGAGGCCGAGGCAGGCGGATCCCAAGGTCAGGAGATCGAGACCATCCTGGCTAACAGGTGAAACCTCGTCTCTACTAAAAATACAAAAAATTAGCTGAGCGTGGTGGCGGGCACCTGTAGGCCCAGCTACTTGGGACGCTGAGGCAGGAGAACGGCATGAACCCGGGGGGCGGAGCTTGAAGTGAGCCGAGATCGTGCCACTGCACTCCAGCCTGGGCGACAGAGCTAGACTCCGTCTCAAAAAAAGAAAAAAAAAGTAGTAAAAAGTAGTATACTAACAACAGATCATCTTAAAAAAATATATCATTTGTCTTCCTTGGCTCATGGGCACACGACTAAAAATTTCCCCAGCTATTTCTGGATTTCCTGGGGCTGAAGGTCTCTTCTTAATGATTTAAAGAAACCAAAAAGCTATGTTGGATGGGAATAAAAGCAGAAGAATTTTTTTAAAAAATTAGAATCGGAGCTTCTGTTACTTCCTCTGCATTCACCTCTGTTCTCTAACACACTGTCCTACCCAAGAACAAATGCTAGTCCAGACAGGCCACAGCTCTAAGTTTACGCAGGAATTCTGATGAATCCAAATAAGAGTATAACATTGTAATCCACTTTATAAAATGTCTTTTCTCTTGTGCTTTTAAAGCAAATGAACACTGATGGCTACAAATTTTATTCTTAGAAGATTTTTAAAAATCTTTTTTTCACCAACCTCATTTTTATTCTCAAAGCACCCAATTTTGGTGAATAGATTGCCCCAAGACTGAGAGAAACGAAAAACAAGTGTGATAATCTCTTAATTGACAAAGTATTCAGGCTGAATGTCGTAGGCATAAAAGATGAATAACTCAACATAAAGGCATTACCAAATAGGCAATATTCTCGGTTTTCACCAGAATCTACTTCACAATCTAGGTAAAATCAATTACAGCAATAGCATGATAATAACAGGGAAGTGAACTGTCATAAAGCATTTACTGCATGCTAGGTACTGTTCTTTTTACATTTATTAACTCATTCAATTCTAACTGATAATGTATTAGGTATATTCATCACATTTTCCCCATTTGCAGATGAGGAAATTGAGACTTAGCAGTGTTAACTAATCTGCCCAAGGTAACAGTAAGTTGTAAATTATATAAACAGTATAAATTATATGTATAGGATGATACATGTATAGGTAACAGTAAGTTGTAAAAATTATATGTATAAGATTAACCTATTTTTCTTACTGATAGGAACCCAAGCATATTGGCTCCAAAGTCTATGCTCTTAACTGGCATTCTGAAAGAATCCTTGAGAAATGAGCAGAAAAACAACTTGTTCACTAAATAGCAAGCCCTAGAGCAAGACAATAATTAAAAATCAATATTCCCAAGCATGGCTTAAGAAAGTAGAATAATGCAGCTTGCCAAACGGTCACTTATAAAATCTTTCACACACACAAAATGGTTTGTAAATAACTATGAACTGTATCTTAGAATACAGCCAAATGTCTAACATTCCCAAGTTACGATGACAGGTGTCTGTTTATTGATCTGGATGGTAATAATTTATTGCAGAGTAAATCAATGAAGTTTGCACAACATCTACCTGTAGCCTGTTAACAGGCATGTAAAAAAGAGTTGAAACATGGAAATTTCAGGTTTTACAGGGCTTCTTCAATCTATATACACTTATATAAAGATGTCTCATCTAAAAACATTTAAAAGTCGAATTATCTGGAGAAAATATTCATATAAAAATTATTTTCAGAAACTGGTATTTAGCCTAATGCCATTAGAATTGATTGCTCATATATGTGAACGTCATTCCAGTTTCTGCGGGTTTCAAAATACTAAGAGTGACATTTAAAGCCTGTGTAATGTGTCATTAAACATATATTAAAATGGGAACATTTCCACTTTGTCAGGAATATACAATTTGTTAGGATAACGGCTATACTAACTGCTTACAAATTTCTGTTGTGAGTATTAAATATATCATGCACTGTAAAATATATTTTAGGAGAAAAGATAGAGCTGAACTAGGGCTGGACAATTGCTCTGATCACAATAAGGCCAGGCAGCTAGAACCTTAAAGAAAAAATATGCAGTTCTTTTTTTTTAAAAAAACAAAAACAAAAAAAAACAGCATTACTGAGATATGACTGACATGCAATCACCTGCACATAAGTAAAGTGTACAAGTGGGTAAGTTTTGCCATATGTATCTATCCAGGAACCATCACCACAGTCAAGACCAAGAACATATCCACCATCTCTAAAAGTCTCCTTGTGTCCCCTGTAATCTCTTCCACCCACTCCACTATTCCTGAATCTGTCCAACTATGCAAGCACTAATCTACTTTCTATCATTGAAGATTACTTTGCTTTTTCTAGAGATTTATATTAATAGAATTATACAGTATATAGTCTGCTAAGCCTAAATTTTTATTTTTTTATTTTTATTTATTTATTTATTTTTTTTTATTATACTCTAAGTTTTAGGGTACATGTGCACAATGTGCAGGTTAGTTACATATGTATACATGTGCCATGCTGGTGCGCTGCACCCACTAACGTGTCATCTAGCATTAGGTATATCTCCCAATGCTACCCCTCCCCCATCCCCCGACCCCACCACAGTCCCCAGAGTGTGATATTCCCCTTCCTGTGTCCATGTGATCTCATTGTTCAATTCCCACCTATGAGTGAGAATATGCGGTGTTTGGTTTTTTGTTCTTGCGATAGTTTACTGAGAATGATGGTTTCCAATTTCATCCATGTCCCTACAAAGGACATGAACTCATCATTTTTTATGGCTGCATAGTATTCCATGGTGTATATGTGCCACATTTTCTTAATCCAGTCTATCATTGTTGGACATTTGGGTTGGTTCCAAGTCTTTGCTATTGTGAATAGTGCCGCAATAAACATACGTGTGCATGTGTCTTTATAGCAGCATGATTTATAGTCCTTTGGGTATATACCCAGTAATGGGATGGCTGGGTCAAATGGTATTTCTAGTTCTAGATCCCTGAGGAATCGCCACACTGACTTCCACAATGGTTGAACTAGTTTACAGTCCCACCAACAGTGTAAAAGTGTTCCTATTTCTCCACATCCTCTCCAGCATCTGTTGTTTCCTGACTTTTTAATGATTGCCATTCTAACTGGTGTGAGATGATATCTCATAGTGGTTTTGATTTGCATTTCTCTGATGGCCAGTGATGATGAGCATTTCTTCATGTGTTTTTTGGCTGCATAAATGTCTTCTTTTGAGAAGTGTCTGTTCATGTCCTTCACCCACTTTTTGATGGGGTTGTTTGTTTTTTTCTTGTAAATTTGTTTGAGTTCATTGTAGATTCTGGATATTAGCCCTTTGTCAGATGAGTAGGTTGCGAAAATTTTCTCCCATGTTGTAGGTTGCCTGTTCACTCTGATGGTAGTTTCTTTTGCTGTGCAGAAGCTCTTTACTTTAATTAGATCCCATTTGTCAATTTTGGCTTTTGTTGCCATTGCTTTTGGTGTTTTGGACATGAAGTCCTTGCCCACGCCTATGTCCTGAATGGTAATGCCTAGGTTTTCTTCTAGGGTTTTTATGGTTTTAGGTCTAACGTTTAAATCTTTAATCCATCTTGAATTGATTTTTAAATTCAGCTGAATTATTTTGACATTCACTCATGTTACTGAACGTATCAGTAGTTGCTTTTCATTGCTGAGCAGTTTTCCATTATATAGATATACCACAATTTATCAGTTCACCTGATGAACACTTGGGTTGTTTTAATTTGAGGTTATAAAAAAAAAAAACCTGCTGTGAATACCAGTGTGTAACTATATGCTTTCACTTCTCTTGAGTAAATACCTAGCATAATGGTTGGATTATATGGTAGGTGTATATTTTGCACTTTCTTAAAAAGTTAAAATATTTTGCAGGGTAGTTGTACAATTTTACCTTCCTCTCAGCAGTGCATAAGAGTTCCAGTTCCTCCAGATCCTTGCTTGATAGGGGAAGCCTTTTTAATTTTGGTCATTGTAATAGCTATGTAATAGTATATAATTGTGGTTTTAATATTCATTTTCCTAATAACTAATGTTGAGCAACTTTTCATGTGCTTTTCTCAATGGTTCTTTTATGGATTGTCCTTCTGGTGTTGTATCTAATAATCTATGACTAATCCACGGCTGCAAAGATTTTTCCTGTTTTCTTTGGAGGGTTTAATAGTTTAGGTTTTATACTTAGGTCTATGATCCCTTATGAGTTAATTTGTGTTTACCGGGGTATATGGAGCCACAGTAATTTCTTTTTGCATATGCACATGAAATTGTGACATATCCATAAGGATATGGACTCGTTGAAAAGAATATTCTTCCTCCGTTGAATGTCATTTGCATCTTTGCCGAAAAATGAGTTAGGCATATTTCTTTGGGTCCATTTTTGTATTCTCTACTCTGTTTTACTGATTTGTCTATCTTTACACCCATCCCATATTGTAGGTTTATAATAAGATTGATAAGTAGTATGAGCCCTTTGAATTTGTTCTTTTTCAACATTGTTTTGGGTTTTCTAGGGTCTTTACATTTCCATATAAATTTTACAATCAATTTGTCAATTTCTACAAAAAACGCTGGCTGAGAATGCGACTGGAATTGCACTGAATCTTTATTTTTTGAGACAAGGTCTATCCCTGTTGCACAGGTTGGAGTGCAGTGGTGTGATCCTGGCTCACTGTAGACTTGAGCTCCTGGGCTCAAGCAATCCTCCTGCCTCAGCCTCCCAAGTATCTAGGACCAAAGGCCACCATGTCTCAGTAATTTTTTAAACAGGATTTTGGAGAGAAAGGGTCTGGCTGTCTTGCTCAAGCTGGTCTTGAACTCCTACCCTCAAGTAATCCTCCTGCCTTGGCCTCCCAAATGCTTGAATTTTAGGTGTGAGCCACTGTGTGCCCAGTCCTTCATTGAACATTTAGATTACTTTGGAGAGAAATAACATCTTAACAGTATCGTATGTCCTTAACCTCATGAACACAGGATATTGCTTAATTTTTTTTTTTTTTTTTTTTTTTTGAGATGGAGTCTTGCTCTGTCTCCAGGCTGGAATGCAGTAGTGTGATCTCTGCTCCCTGCAAGCTCCGCCTCCTGGGTTCAAGTGATTCTCCTGACTCAGTCTCCTAAGTAGTTGGGACTACGGGCATGCACCATCACACCCAGCTAATTTTTGTATTTTTAGTAGAGATGGGGTTTCACCATGTTGGCCAGGATGGCCTCGATCTCTTGACTTCATGATCCGCTTGTCTCAGCCTCCCAAAGTTCTGGGATTACAGGCATGAATGAGCCACCACTCTCAGTCTTTTTATTTAGGTGTTCCTTAACTTCACACAGCAATATTTTGTAGTTTTTAAGTGTCTAGGTCTTTGACATTGCCACATTTATTTCTTTTTATTCCATATACATAGAAGTGTTTTGTAAATGGTATTGTTTTAAATTTTTGATTTCTACTTGTTCATAGCCAGGACACAGAAATACTACTGATTTTAATACACTGATGTTGTATCCTATAACTTTGTGAAATTCACTTATTAGTTCTTGTAACATTTTTTTGCAGATTTCATTGCATCTCTATGTAGATGGTCATGCTATTTATAAATAAAGAATATTTTATTATTTGCTTCTCAATTTGGATGTCTTTTATTAATTTTTTCTTGATTTATTACATGGTCTGAAACTTTCAGTACAATGTTGAATAGATGTGGTAAGGCTGAATATCCTTGCGTTGTTCCTGACCACTGGGGGAAACCATTCAGTCTTTCATCATTGAGTATGATGTTATTAACAGTTGTAAAATTTTCATATAAGCTTTATCAGGTTGAAAAAGTATCCTCACATTTCCAGTTTGCCAAAGGTTTTTATCACTAATATATGTTAGACTTCATCTAAAAAAATTTGGACCTATTGAGATGAATATATGGTCACTCTTTTTTAGCTTATTAACATGCTGAATTGTGTTAATTGGTTTCCAAATGCTAAATTAAACCTGTATTCCTGTAGTAAATGGCACTAAATAAGGAAATATTATTGTTTCTAAAATATTGCTGCATTTGATTTGCTAAAAATTTTGTTTAGAATTTTTGCATGTAGATTCATGAGGGATATCAATTTTTTTGTCTTTGGTTTGCATATCAGGGTATTACTGGCACCACACAATGAATTGTTAAGTATTTCCTCTTCTATAATTTTCTGGAAGACTTTATGTAGAAAATAGAGTATTTCTTCCTTAAATGTTTGGTAGAATTTACCAGTGATGCCTCTGGGCTTTGAGTTTTCTTTGTGAGAAAGCTTTTTAACTACAAATTCAATTTCCTTAACAGATATAAAACTAGGTTATCCTTTTTTTTTCTCTTAAGTATTCTCATAACGGCAATTACATCAAATTGGTTGATAGTATTTTTGAAGTGTTCTACATCCTTAGATTTTCCTCGTTCTATTAACCATTGAGAAGGTGGTAATGAAATCAAGTATAATTGTGGATTAGTTGGCTTCTCTTTGAAGTTACATCAGTATTTGCTTCACGTATTTTAACTCTGTTTTTTAAGTAGATAAAAAACAGTAATACTGATCCCAGTAATACTCCGTGTTCCACAATCTATTTTGTTCTATGTTCATACAGTTACTCCAGCTTTCTTTTGGTTACTATTAGCAGAGTACATACTTTTAGGTTATTTCTTTAAATTTCATGTGGGTTTCTGACAGGCAGTTTATATTTGTGTCTTGCTTTTTCCCCCTTAAATACAATTTGACAGTCTCTGCTTTTTAATTGCGGTGCTTAAACCACTGAAAAATAATGTGATTATTTATATATTAAGTTGAAATCTATTATTTTGATTTCTATTTGTCCCATCTATTGCAAGCGCTTTCTCTCCTTTTCCACCTTTTCTTAATTTTTTTAAAAAAACCAGTATCATCCCCTTTGTTCATCTATTTGTTACAATCTTGTTATTTTAGTGGTTGCTTTAAGGTTACTATTATACAGCTTTAGCTTATCACAGCCTATCTTCAACTGATATTACATCAGTTCACATATAGGATAAAAACCATACAACAAAATACCTTCATTTTTCCCTTAATGCAATATTTCTTATACATTTTACTTATATATATTTGTTAAAACCCCTAAAGTGAATGTCATTACTTCCTTTAAAGAGGCATTTACATTTAAAATGACTTATATAATAAAAAATATTATATATTTACCCATTAGGTTATGTTTTGGTGCATGCCATTAGTTTATGTATATTTCCATCTGGTATAATTTTCCTTCTTTATGAAAGACTTCCTTTAACATTTCTACTAGTGTGGACTCCTGGTAATTATGTTTTTCTGCTTCTATATGTCTGAAAATCTCTACCTTGATTTTGGCTTTTAAAGTTTTTTTTTCTGGGTATAGAATTTGATGTTGACATTTTTTTAAAAGTACTTTTAAATGTTGCTCTAATGTGCTCTTGTTTGCACTGTTTCCTGCAAGAACCTGCTGTCATATTTATCATTTTTTCCATTGTATGCAACATGTATTTTTTTTCTGGCTACTTTTAAGATATTTTTGTTCATCACTGATTTCAAGCAATTTACTTTTGATGTGCTTTGGTATACATGTGTTTAGATGCATCTTCTGCATGTGTTTGAGGTTCACTGAGGTACTTCAATCCATGGGTTTATAGTTTTCATCACTTTGGAAAATTTTTGGCCATTATTTCTTCAAAAGTTTTCTGCTCACAACTCTCCTTCAGGAACTCCAGTTATATATATTATATATATATATTATATATATTTATTTATATTTTTATAATATATTTATATATTATATAATTATATTATATATAATATAATATAAATATATATATTAATTAGATCACTTAGAGTTGTCCAACAACTCAATGATTTTAGTTAAATCACTTTTTTCTGTCTAACTGCTATATCTCCAACTCACTCATTTTTTCTTCTGCAATGTCTAATCTCCCATTAATCCGATCCAGTGTATTTTTGTTATTAGACAGAATGATTTTCATACACAAAAGTTCAATCTGCTGGGTGTGGTGGCTCATGCCTATAATCCCAGCACTTCTGGAGGCTGAGGTGGATCACTTGAGACCAGGAGTTCAGGACCAGCCTGGGCAACAAAGTGAGACTCAATCTCTACCAAAAAAAAAAAAAAATCAAACAATTAGCCAGGTGTCGTGTTGTGCACCAGGAGTCCCAGTTACTTGAGAGGCTGAGACAGAAGAATCCTTTGAGCCTAGGAGAAAGAGGCTGCACGGAGCCATGTTCACACTACTGCACTTCAGCCTGGGTGACTGAGCAAGATCCCATCTCAAAAAACAAAGAAAGAGTTCAATTTGTGTCTCTTTGGTATCTATATGGTACTATTTGTCTTTATAAACCAATGGAATATAGGTATAATAATGGCTTAATAATCCTTGACTGTTAATTTTATTATCTGTGTCAATTCAACTGATTATTCTCCTGTATGGGGATTGCATTTTACTGATTCTTTGCATGCCTACTTTGAATTCCCAGTGTTGTAAATTTTATCTTCTTGGGTATTATATATTTATGTATTTCTCTATTCTTGAGGTTTATTCTGTGACAGTTTAGTTACGGTTTATTCTGTCACAGTTTAGTTACTTGGAAACAGCTTGATTCACTTAGATCTTTCTTTTCTGATTTGTTGAATCAGTGTGGAGAGGTGCTCAGCCTAGAGCTATTTATTTTCCATGACTAGGACAAAAATCTAACTGGAATATTCTACCCAATGCCCTATAAATTATGAATTTTTCTCTTGCTGATGGGAACAAGCACTATTCCCAGGCATTATTTTACTAATAAGAATTCTAAAATAAATTCCATCTCTACAAGTGCCCATTATTTGTTCCTCACCAATTAAGTTTTCCTTGTTAGTTGGTGTATTAGTCTGTTTTCATGCTGCTGATAAAGACATACCGAAGACTGGGCAATTCACAAAAGTAAGAAGTTTAAATGGACTCACAGTTCCACTTAGCTGGGGAGGTCTCACAATCATGGCAGAAGGTAAGGAGAAGCAAGTCCCATCTTAAGGGGATGGCCTGTGGCAGGCAAGGAGAGCTTGTGCAAGGAAACTCTCCCTTATAATACTGTCAGAACTCATGAGATTTATTCACTATCATGAGAACAGCATGGGAAAGACCAGCCCCCATAATTCATTCATCTCCCACCGGGTACCTCCCATAACACATGGGAATTATGGGAGCTACAAGATAATATTTGGGTGGGAACACAGAGCCAAACCATGTCAGCTGGAATTAACTCCAGAATAATTGTACTTCTCATTACTTCCTTTCACTTCACTTAGGCCGGTAAAAAAATCACCAGATATTCTAAATGTATAACAGTGAGTCTTCTAGCATATGCCCAATTGTTGTGGAAGCAGCCATACGACATGCCACTGCTCTCTGGTATTGCTCAACCAGTAAACTGGGCCTGGAACATTCTCTATATGGAAGCTGAGCTGTTGCGTGTCCCCAAATTCTCCTTCCTTATCAAGAGAAACATCATATGGACCCTGACCAGCCCCACCAGTATATCTGTCCCTTGTGGGAAGGGAACTAGGTCTTCACCTGCAGCATGAGAAGTGTGCATGTAGTAGTCTATTGCCCTGCACTGGCTATAAGGAGGGACTCATTGGCCATGAGAGACCAGCTGCCTTAGTGTATGTGTGCTGCAATAAGAGAATACCACAGGCTGAATAATTTATAAAAAAAGAGAAATTTATTTCTCATAGTTCAGGAGATGGTGAAATCCAAGATCAAGATGGAAGTTTTCAGTAAGGGCTGCTCTCTGCTTCTAAGATGGCACTTTGAATGCTGCCTCCACTGGTGAGGAGGAATGCTGTGTCATCACATGGCAGAAGGCAGAAGAACAATAAGGGAACCCACTCCTTCAAGTTCTTTTTATAACAGCATTACTCTGTTCATGACGGTGAGACCCTCATGACCTAAATATAATACCTCCCATTAAGCTCCACCTCTCAATAATGTTGCACTGGGGATTAAGTTTCCAACACATGAATGTGGGGGAACACAATCAGACCATAGCACTGGTATACACTATAGACAGTGATCTTGCTGAGTCTCTTCTCCTTTCTTTGAGTAAAGTATTGTTCCAATCTGTGACATGTGGGTTGAGTCTTCCTTTGCAACTCTGAACCCACTGAAGATGCAGTGGGCTGAGGTCTATGATCTCCCATTTCTGGTGATTGGCATTGTTATGGTTGCTACCAAACTCCATGTAGTGGGAATCCTCACTTGGGATTGGTAGCTGGATCTTCCTGCTTGATACCAATATTATATATTGCAGTTCCTATTACTATAATCTCTTATTTCTATACCAGCCTTTATTCTGTTTTTATGGCAGCATCATTTACTTCCTATTCTGTGGACTCCCACAGTTACATCACTTCCATATCTGTTTCCTATTATCTTCATCCAAATGCTTTTAGCTGTGATCCTACCTGAAGAATAAAAGTTTCTTTATTCTTAAATTACTCAGAAGTATGAGTTGACATTGATTTAGACTAGATTTAATGGTTAAATTTACTTCTTAGTCTGCCCATATAATCATCACAGTTTATATCTATAATAAACATAAAACCTTCTCTGAGGTACTGGAGGTTCAACTTTAAGGTTTCTAAGTCTTAAGAGGCACACCAATAGGTATTCATATAACCTTCTTTCTTTTTATTTTATTCATTTTATTTTTAAATTTTATTTTATTATTTTTAGAGATAGGGTCTCAGTCTGTTACCCAGGCTGCAGTGGTACAATGGTGCAATCATAGCTCACTGTAGCCTTGAACTCCTGGGCTCAAGTGATCCTCCCACTTCAGCCTCCCGAGTAGCTGGGAATACAGGTGTGTACCACCATGCCCAGCTATTTTTCAAATATTTGTAGAGATGGGGTCTGGCTATGTTGCCCAGGCTGGTCTTGAACTGGCTTCAAGTGATCCACCTGCCTTGGCCTTCCAAAGTGCTGAGATTATACACATGAGCCACAGTGCCCAGTTCATATAATGTTCTTTTAAGGCAATACTAGTCAGCCGCTTTAAGGAAAAAATAAATCTGTCTTTAAAAACTCAAATGCAACTATGGGACTACAATCTTGAAGTACTGGGCAAAGCAAATGCCAAAAGAAGAAAATGTGGCAAGGAGAAATAGGAAAGAAGATCTGGTGCTCTCATGTACAAGAAATATAAATGGCCACATGAGGTGAAGGAATAGGCATACAGTATACTATATTTCTATTAATCTCCTAATGACAATAATGATCACCAAAAGAAGACAGTAAAGAGACTAGATATAAAGAAAGTTAAAAATGTGTTAAAAGTTCCAAGTCTGAATGCCAACTGACACATTTCTCATGAGCAGAAGAGTTACCATAGCTGGCCTGAACCTGCTACCCTTAGAATGTCCTGCTTACACAGTTGGCCCTTCGCTGGCAATATGCAAACCGATTTCTGAACTGTTTCCACCAATTCGTAACTGATATTCATATCTTACTATGCCTAACCAGTTTATACAAACAACTTGGTTCATGCTGAACATCTGTTTTCCCTCTGGGAGTCTGGAAATTGATATACAGTAGAGGGTGCCTATGTGACCAGCCCCCAACAGAAACTTTAGGTTCTGAGTCTCCAGTGAGTCTCCCTGGTAGATAACATTTCACAGTAGTTGTCAGAATTCACTGCTGGAGGAACAAAGCATATATTGTGTGATTCCATTTAGAGATGAGTCTTATAAGATTGCATGGGCTTTTCTTCCAGACTTTACCTTTTCCCTTTATTCCTTTCATAGTAATAAATCTTGGCCAGGCGCGGTGGCTCTCACCTGTAATCTCAGCACTTTGAGAGGCTGAGGCAGGCAGATCACTTGAGGCCAGGAGCTGGAGCCAGCCTGGGCAACATGGCAAAACCCAACCTCTACTAAAATTACAAAAATTAGCCAGGGAGGGTGGCACACACCTGTAATTCCAGCTACTTGAAAGGCTGAGACATGAGAATCTCTTGAACCTGGAAGGCGGAGGTTGCAGTGAGCCAAGACTGCACCACTGCACTCCAGCCTGGGGGACAGAGTGAGACTCTGTCTCATAAAATAAAAAATAAAATAAAATAAAATAAAAAACCTTCACAGTGAGTATGACTATATGCAGAGCCTTCTGAGTCTTGTCAATCACTAAACCTGGGGGTTGTCTTGAGAACCCTGAAACACCTTGTTTCTGGGTTTGATTAATGTGGTCCCTTGTTTTAAAAACAAAAAAATGACGTTAGGGTGGCACACAGTTCCAGTTGGGTGTCCTTCTCTATGAGATAGTGCCCTGAGTACTCAGACAAATTATCTGAGAAAGACGGCACCAAGTAAGAGTAGACATGTAAGAGTATCGGGAAACAGCAGTCACTCAATCTGTCAAGCAGGCCAGAATCCATCAAACATTTATTTCATACCCAAAGCAGAGCAAAATGCTTAAGGCTACACATTTTTGAGAGCTCTGAACACTGTGTAAAGGTGTAAGCTGAACAGAGCAATAGATTGACAAAATCAACAGAGCATTAAACTTAAAAAGTTATATCCTGACTCAGTCTGGAAGAACTGAAGCTACCAACACAGTTAGCTAGCCAATGAGAAAAGGATTACCTCACGATGCCAATGACAGGCCTTTAAGGATACACAGTGAAAGAATGAAGAACAGTGGATTAAGCCTTCAAGTTGTTCCTTTTGCCCATCAGTGCTAAACAGTGCTGTAATTGGGGAGACACACAAATTACCTTGTGTTTCTACTTATTTCTAGCCTATTCTCTAAACGTGCTGCCTCCTTAAGTAGTATGTTTCTATCTGAATGATTAAAAAGCATGACTATCACGCTTAAAAAAGGTATTAGAGTAACCAAGAAGATACCACACTGTAGGGGGTATTTATCAGAGCTTCCTTTTAATCAATACTCCGTATGAAATGAAATAAATTTACTTAGAAAAATTGAATCATTGATATGACCTGGGAGATTGAGATCATATAACAACACAAGTCAAATAATAAATTCCAAATCCTAAATTAATCTGACTGCTCCACTTTCAGAGATTTCCTTCTGCTCAGCATTCTTAAGATTTAGCATCACAAAGTTAGAGCTGGAAGGAATCTTAGATAACATCAAATCTACGCAGGTATTTGAGAAAATAAACAATGTACCACTCCTGTGTTATTTAGAATATAGTATTCTAATTAATTATAATATATAACAATTGTAATATAATATAATCTATAAACAACGTAATAAATATTACACTGTTTTCTCATCCATCCATCCATCCTTCCTTTCTTCCCTCCTTCTCTCTACATATCTATCATATCTCTTTAATCAGGCTAAGTCACTAAAAAAGAAGACATGGATCTACTTTGAGATTTCGGTGGCTACTGTTGTAACCTGTAAAAAGCAGGAACGCAATAATTTTATTTCATTTTGATACTGAAATTTATATTACGTTTGTTTCACAATTATTCAGCAAGGTAAAAACATATGTAATATATCACCAATTTTTTCTGAAAAACACAGATCTCACCTGAGCTAACAAGCCCAGTCACGACTAGCTTACATCTCCTTAGTCAACATATTCATTATAGGAACTCATACATTTCTTATATCCAGGCATTAATTTCTGTTCCAGAACTACACTGTCCAAAATTATAGCCACAGGTGTCTATTAATATTAAACAAAATTCAGTTCTCCTCAGTCTCATCAGTCATATATCAAGTGCTCAAGAGCCACACATGGTGAGTTGCTATCATATTGGACAATGCACAGACAGGACAGTTACATCATCAGAAAGTTCTGTTGAGCAGTACTGCTCTGAGAGATTTCTTCTTTCAGGGTAGTTTGATTGCAATTGATTTCTATGTCTTTCTCTGTTTTGTTTATATCCCATGACATGCCTAATCCAGAGGACTTCTATAATGGCAAACTGTAAATATCTAAGATAGACATAAAGGTAAATCATAGGTACAAAATTAAAAAATTTAAAGGAACTATAGAGGAGGAAAAATAATTTTATCTCTATCCTTCATAGTTCTTAACTGGGATTCTCTGTAACAAAAGACAGACCAACAAGAGAAAAAGAAACAAAAAGCTTTAACAATTAAGGGAAGAAATGATTTAGTATTCACTGAATAATAAAAGTTAAAAAATCGGTTGGCAAGAGGGATTAAAATTTAACTTTGTTAACAGGCAGTTGAAGGAAGTTAACTTATGAGAAGACTTAACTCCACAAGTAGAAGCACAGTCAAATATTACATTTTCTGAGGTTTTATCTGTTTACCTGAAGGGTGCCTGGCAAATTGCTTTGTCAGCAATGCTCAATATATATGTCAGTATTCCCATCCAAAAAAGGGAAAAGGGTGTTTAGAATTGTAGCTTGTAGGCCGGGCGCGGTGGCTCACGCCTGTAATCCCAGCACTTTGGGAGGCCGAGGCGGGCGGATCACGAGGTCAGGAGATCGAGACCATCCCAGCTAAAACGGTGAAACCCCGTCTCTACTAAAAATACAAAAAATTAGCCAGGCGTAGTGGCGGGCGCCTGTAGTCCCAGCTACTTGGGAGGCTGAGGCAGGAGAATGGCGTGAACCCGGGAGGCAGAGCTTGCAGTGAGCCGAGATCCCGCCACTGCACTCCAGACTGGGCGACAGAGCGAGACTCCGTCTCAAAAAAAAAAAAAAAAAAAAAAAATTGTAGCTTGTACTTTGGTCCTTGGATCAATAACTTAGCTTTGAAAGAGTTCAATGGATACCAGTGACTGATATCAACATAATATCAAAGGATAACCCAATCCTCTCTCTCTTCTGCACTCAAGACTTTTTATCTCAGCATGGTGATACTAACTTTGCAAAATCCAGTACTACTAATCTGGCTGTTTATATACCATGACCGATAGAACTGGTTCCAGATCAAGACTTGCTGTTCCAAGAGCAAAAATTCACTCATACTTTGTCTGAGACAATCTGTTTAGTACTAGATTATACTTCTTATCACACAATGCCCTATGACAGATGGCACAGTTTTTGAGCCAGAGTCCATTAGAAATAAATGAACAATAGAAAAATCCTTCTGTGATGCAGAGAAAGGGAAATGCTTATATACTGTTGATGCGAGTGTAAATAATTACAACCTGTATGGAAAACAGTATGGAGATTTCTCGAATAACTAAAAATAGAACAACAATTCAATCTAGCAATCCCACTACTGTGTATCTACCCAAAGGAAAAGAAATAATCACATAAAAAGATACATGTACTTGTATGTTTATTGCAACACTATTCACAATAGCAAAGATAAGGAATCAACATAAATGTCTATCAATGGATGATTAGAAAAAGAAAATGTGGTATATACACAATGGAATACTATTCATCCGCAAAAAAAGAATGCAATTATGTCTACTGCAGTAACATAAATGGAACTGGAGGCTTTTATCTTCAGTGAAACAACTCAGAAACTGAAAAATACCACATGTTCTCACTTAGAAATGAGAGCTAGATAATGTGGAATAATAGACATTGGAGACTCAGAAGAGTGGAGGCTATGAGGGGGGAGCAGATAATAAAAAAAAATTACTCAATGAATATAATGTACATTATTCCGGTGATGGATACACTAAAAGCCCAGACTTCACTACCTACATAATATAGCCATGTAACGAAACTATACTCATACCCCTAAAATTTATACAAATCAAAAAAGAAAAAAGCCTTCTTCTGAGATGGAGAATTGAGAACAAATGTCAAACAGTCAGATATAAGAGCAAACAACCCTGATTCCAAAAAAGGTGACCATAAACCTAAATTTTGCAGTATATTTTGACCACTGTGCCCAATCATATCTAATTTAGATAACACATAAACTTTAATGTTATTAATATCACATTATCAGTTTAAATACTTTTCAGGTTTCATTTTGAATCTGTAACCTGCTGGTAGAAAGTATATATCTTCAGGTCAATAACCAGGTATTAAGGTCTAGATTACACTGAAAAATAGAATTTTTGAAGATATATATGTGTGTGTGTGTGTGTGTGTATGTGTGTGTGTGTGTGTATGTGCGTACACACAATTATATATAAAACTGTGTCCCTGGTAGCAATTATCAATCAATCAGAAACCACTAACTGGAAGACAATAGTAAATATATGTCTGTAATGTCGATTTGGTTTTCAACTACTCTGAGACTTGTAATATTTCACTGAGTAATTATTTATTATTATTCAATTTAGCCTGACATGAGGATTCAGAATGGGTACGCACAATTTTAAATGGAGTGTATAGAGAACGATGCCTTCTCTCACATTAGTAGCATCTGGGCTACAATAACTTGTGTCATTATCTGAATAAATAAATGGCCATAAAACATAAAAAGCAAAATTTTTTATTATTATTATTTTACTTTGAGTTCTAGGGTACATGTGCACAACGTGTAGGTTTGTTACATATGTATACATGTGCCATATTTGTGTGCTGCACCCGTTAACTCGTCATTTACATTAGGTATACCTCCTAATGCTATCCCTCGCCCCTCCCCCGACCCCCCAGCAGGGCCTGGTGTGTGATGTTCCCTACCCTGTGTCCATGTGTTCTCATTGTTCAATTCCCACCTATGAGTGAGAACATGCGGAGTTTGGTTTTCTGTCCTTGGGATAGTTTGCTCAGAATGATGGTTTCCAGCTTCATCCATGTCCCCATAAAAGACATGAACTCATCCTTTTTTATGGCTGCGTAGTATTCCATGGTGTATATGTGCCACATTTTCTTAATCCAGTCTATCACTGATGGACATTTGTGTTGGTTCCAAGTCTTAAAAAGCAAAATATTTTTAAAATCCAATAAAAATAATCCATTCTACAGATTAGTCAGCTACCACGGCAGCATCTTCAACACAAAATTGATATATTCACACAACAGACAAAACTTTAGATAACTGAACAAAACAGAATTTTAACTATCACCTTGTTGGTAATATCTTTTCCTGTTTCAGGCTCAATGTGTGTTCCTCTGTATTGTTTAAGTGTATGCACCAATGGCCCTCAGGTATATTCCCAGCATTTAGTATTTTATACTCCAGAGGGGAGGAAGAGAAGTTTGCTTACTGGGACAGGAACGGGACAGGAGAGACAGGTTGGCTGCCAGAGAACCCGCTGGATATAGGGGACACCCTATCCATGAAAGACCAATGCCATCATTGAAGCTGATCTTGCTGTTTCTTTTTTATGTAAGTTAACTGTTGTTTCATCCAGTGCTTGATTGCTTAGTGTTTTCCTTGGCTACTCTGACACCAAAAAAAGTAGGCCGAAGTTTTGGAACTTACATTAACAATGGCTAGCATTGTGATGATCTTTGATCCTTCTGTGGTTAGACCCCTCCCCCGACATGGTAACCATATACATGATATTCTGCTCTTCCTCTGTGTTAAAAGGCAATACTTCTGGCTATTATTAATTATATAAGGGTAAATTATATAGTGTGATCCACTGTTGAAGTTCAGGTATAAAAAACACTGCACCTAAAGAAGAAAAAAACTGGTGCTGAGAAAAATCATTAACTGAAACTAGGTTTTACAAAAGGTATCCTGAATGATGGATTAATGTTTAGCTTAATTTTTGTGCATGGTGTGAAGGGTCCAAATGTATTTCTTTTCGCATGTGTTCAATTGTCCCATCATCATTAGTTGAAAAGATTATTCTTTCTCCCCATTTAACTGCCTTAGCACTTTTGTCAATAATCAATTGACCATCATTGTTAGGGTTTATTATATGGATTTACAATTTTGTTCCACTGATTAATATATCCATTCTTATGGCAGTACTGTACTGTCATGAATACTGCATGTATTTTCTTTTTAAACTTTTATTTTAGGTTCACTGTACATATGCAGGTTTGTTATATAGGTAAACTTGTGTCACAGGGCTTTGATGTACAGATTATTTCATTACCCAGGTAACAAGCACAGTACCCATAGTTATCTTTTTCTTCTTCTCTCCTTCCTCCCACCCTTTACCTTTTAGTAGGCTTCAGTGTCTGTTGTTCCTCTCTTTGGGTCCATATATTCTTATATTTAGCTCCCACTTACAAGTGAGAACTTGGTTTTCTGTTCCTGTTAGTTTGCTAAGGATAATGGCCTCTTGTTCAATCCATGTTTCTGCAAAGAACATGATCTCGTTCTTTTTTATGGCTGCATAGTATTTCATGGTATACAGTACCACATTTTTTAAATTTATTTTATTTTTGAGATGGAGTTTTACTCTTGTCGTCCAGGGTGGAGTGCAATGGTGTAATCTCAGCTCACCACAACCTCTGCCTCCTGGGTTCAAGCGATTCTCCTGCCTCAGTCTCCCAAGTAGCTGGGATTACAGGCATCCACCACCACACCTGGCTAATTCTGTATTTTTAGTAGAGACAGGGTTTCACCATGTTGGTCAGGCTGGTCTTGAACTCCCAACCTCAGGTGATCCACTGACCTCGGCTTCCCAAAGTGCCTATGTCGTGAATGGTATTACCTAGGTTTTCTTCTAGGGTTTTTATGGTTTTAGGTCTTACGTTTAAGTCTTTAATTCATCTTGAATTATTTTTTGTATAAGGTGCAAGGAAGGGGTCCAGTTTCAGTTTTCTGCATAGGGCTACATAGTTTTCCAAACACCATTTATTTAATAGGGAATCCTTTCTCCATTGCTTTTGTCAGGTTTGTCAAAGATCAGATGGTTGTAGATGTGTGGTGTTATTTCTGAGGCCTCTGTTCTGTTCCATTGGTCTATATATCTGCTTTGGTACCAGTACCATGCTGTTTTGGTTACTGTAGCCTTGTAGTATAGTTTGAAGTCAGGTAGCATGATGCCTCCAGCTTTGCTCTTTTTGCTTAGGATTGTCTTGGCTATGCAGGCTCTTTTTTGGTTCCATATGAAATTTAAAGTAGTTTTTTGTAATTCTGTGAAGAAAGTCAATGGTAGCTTGATGGGGATAGCATTGAGTCAACAAATTACTTTGGGCATTGCGGCCATTTTCATGATATTGATTCTTCCCATCCATGAGTATGGAATGTTTTCCCATTTCTTTGTGTCCTCTCTTATTTCCTTGAGCAGTGGTTTGTAGTTCTCCTTGAAGAGGTCCTTCACATCCCTTGTAAGTTGGATACCTAGGTATTTTATTATCTTTGTAGCAATTGTGAATGGGAGTTCACTCATGATTTGGCTCTCTGTCTATTATTGGTGTATAGCAATGCTTGTGAATTTTGCACACTGATTTTGTATCCTGAGACTTTGCTGAAGTTGCTTATCAGCTTAAGGAGATTTTAGGCTCAGACAATGGGGTTTTCTAAATATACACTCATATCATCTGCAAACAGACAATTTGACTTCCTCTCTTCCTATATGGATACCATTTATTTCTTTCTCTTCCCCGATTGCCCTGGCCAGAACTTCCAATACTACGTTGAGTAAGAGTGGTGAGAGAGAGCATCCATATCTTGTGCCCGTTTTCAAAGGGAATGCTTCCAGCTTTTCCCCAATCAGTATGATATTGGCTGTGGGTTTGTCATAAATAGCTCTTATTATTTTGAGATATGTTCCACCAATACCTAATGTATTGAGAGTCTGTAGCATAAAGGGGTGTTGATTATTATCAAAGGTCTTTTCTGCATCTATTGGGATAATCATGTGGTTTTGTCATTGGTTCATTTATGTGATGGATTATGTTTATTGATTTGCATAAGTTGAACCAGCCTTGCATCCCAGGGATGAAGCCAACTTGATTGTGATGGACAAGCTTTTTAATGTGCTATTGGATTTGGTGTGCCAGTATTTTATTGAGGATTTTCACATCAATGTTCATTGGGGATATTGGCCTGAAATTTTCATTTTTTGCTGTGTCTCTGCCAGGTTTTGGTATCAGGATGATGCTGGCCTCACAAAATGAGTTAGGGAGGAGTCCCTCTTTTTCTGTTGTTCAGAATAGTGTGAGAAGGAATGGTACCAGCTCCTGTTTGTCCTCTGGTAGAATTCAGCTGTGAATCTGTCTAGTCCTGGGATTTTTTTTGTTATGTCTCTGCCAGGTTTTGGTATCAGGATAATGTTGGCCTCATAGAAAGAGTTAGGGAGGAGTCCTTACTTTTCAATTTGTTAGAATCGTTTCAGTAGGAATGCTACCAGCCCTTCTTTGTACATCTGGTAGAATTTGGCTGTGAATTTATCTGGTCTTGAGATTTTTTTGGTTGGTAGGTTATTACTGATTCAATTTCAGAGCTCATTATTGGTATGTGTAGAGATTCAATTTCTTCCTGGTTCAGCCTTGGGAGAGTGTATGTACCCAGAAATTTATCAATTTCTTCTAGATTTTCTAGTTTGTGTGCATAGAGGTGTTCATAATAGTCTCTGATGGTTATTTGCATTTCTGTGGGGTCAGTGATAATATTCCCTTTTTCATTACTGATTGTGTTTACTTGGATCTTCTCTCTTTTCTTCTTTATTAGTCTGCCTAGTGGTTTATCCAGCTTATTAATTTTTTTCAAAAGACCAGCTCCTGGCTTCGTTTATCTTTTAAATGTTTTCTTTGTGTTTCAATCTCCTTCAGTTAAGCTCTGATTTTGGCTATTTCCTGTCACCTCTTCCTTTGGGGTGGTTTGCTCTTGCTTCTCTAGTTCTTTTAGTTGTGATGTTACGTTGTTAATCTGAGGTCTTTCTAACTTTTTATGTGGCTGTTTAGTGCTATAAATTTCCCTTTTAACACTGCCTTAGCTGTGTTCCAGAGATTCTGGTATATTGTACCTTTGTTCTCAATCATTTCAAAGAACTTCTTGTTTTCTGCCTTAATTTCATTATTTACTCAAAAGTCATTCACAAGCAGATTGTTTAATTTCCATGAAACTGTATAGTTTTCAAAGATCTTCTTGGTCTTGAATTCTATTTTTATTGTACTGTGGTCTGAGAGAGTAGCTAATATATGATTTTGGTTCTTTTGCATTTGCTGCAGATTGTTTTATGTCCAATTGTTTGACCAATTTTAGATTATGTTGTACTCAGTGCAGATGAGAAGAATATATATTGTGTTGTTTTGGGGTAGAGAGTTTTATAGATGTCTATCAGATCCATTTGGTCCAGTGTTCAGGTCCTGAATATCTTTGTTAATTTTCTGACTTAAGGATCTGTCTAATACTGTCAGTGGGGGTGTTGAAATATCTCACTATTATTGTGTGGAAATTTAAGTCTCTTTGAAGGTCTCTAAGAACTTGCTTTATGAATCTGGGTCGCCTTGTGTTAGATGCAAACACATTTTGGCTAATTAGGTTTTCATGTTGAATTAAAACCTTTGCCATTATGTAATGGCCTTCTTTGTCTTTTTTGATCTTTGTTTTCTGATTCTAGGCAAGATGTTTAAAGTCTGTTTTGTCTGATATTAGAATTGCAACCCTTACTTTTTTCTGTTTTTTATTTGCTTGGTAGATTTTTCTCCATCCCTTTATTTTTAGCCTACGGGTGTCACTGCACATGACATGGGTCTCTTGAACACAACATACCATTGGGTCTTGCTTCTTCATTCAGTTTGCTACTCTGTGCCTTTTCACTGGGGTATTTAGCTCGTTTACATTCAAGGTTAGTATTGATATGTGTGGATTTGATCCTGTCATCATGTTGTTAGCTGTTTATTATGCTGATTTATTTGTGTGGTTGCATTATAGTGTCACTGGTCTGTGTACTTAAGTGTGTTTTTGCAGTTGCTGGTCTTTCCTTTCCATATTTAGTGCTTCTTTCAGGAGCTCTTGTAAAGCAGGTCTGGTGGTACCAGGTACCAGGTCTGGTGGTAGCAGGTCTAGCTAGGTTGGGGAAGTTCTCATGAATGATATCCTGAAATATGTTTTCCAAATATGTTTTCCAAGTTGTTTCTCCCCATCTATTTCAAAGATGCCAATGAGTCATAGATTTGGTCTCTTTACGTAATCCTATATTTCTTGAAGATTTTCTTCATTCCCTTTCATTCTTTTTTCTTTACTGTTGTGTGACTGTCTTATTTCTGGGATTCCAGATGCCCATGATAAGAGTGAGTTGCTCCTTGCCTGTTCAACTCACCCACTCCACAGGAGTCACTGAAGGCCATGAACAAGTCCCAGTGTGCAGTAGCCCTGTGCAGGGTTCCCAGCTTCCTCCCCTTTCAGCCCAGCATCTGTTTCTTCCTTCTGCCCACTCTCAATGCCTCCCTTCTGAAGATCTGCTAGGAGTGTACCAGTTTTCCTGATGTCCCAGTCCTTTGGTGGGAAATGTTCCTCCTGCCTGGGTCTAGTTGGCCATCTTGGAGCCCTCTGTGTGTATTCTTCCTCTATTTTTCCAAAACAAGTTACCATAAATGCAACAGCTTAAAATAACCCAAATTCATTAGCTCACAGTTATGTAGGTCAAAAGGCCAGACCAACTCAACTAGGTTCTATGTTTAGTTTCTCACAAGACTGAATCCAGGTTGTCAGCTGAGCTGTGATCTAATTTGGAATATCTGAGGAGGAAACTGATTCCAAGTTCATTCAGGTTGCTGACAGAATATAGCTCCTTGTGGTTGTAGGACTTAAATCCTTATTTTCTTGCTGTTAGCCATGAACTATCCTCAGCTTTGAGCCCCATTCATCTTTAAAGCTAGAAATGGTAAGTTGAATCCTTCTCATGTTTCAAATCTCTCTGATTTCATCTTTTACTCTCAGCTAAAGAAAACTCTCTGCTTTTCTTATTTATTAGATCGGGCCTACCAAGATAATCTTTTTAAATATATAACATAACATAGTCACAAGAGTGAAACCATTTTGCCAGGGGGCCAAGGTCATGTGAGCCATCTTAAAATTCTACCTACTATACCATAGCTTTAGAACAAATTATGAAACTGAAAAGAGTAACCCTCTACTCTTCTCATCGTTCTCAAAATTGTTTTGGCTATTCTCACTCCTTTGCACTTCCATATAAATTTTAAGACTGTTTTACCAGTTTCCACAAAAAAGGAATTATCAAAATCTGCTGGAATTCTGATCAGGATTGCAACAAATCTACAGATCAATTTGGGAAAAACGGCCAATCCATGACCATGGAACCCATTTCCATCTATTTAGATGTTCTTCAGTTTCTCTCAGCCATGTTTTAATGTCTTCAGTGTATACGTCTTGCACTTCTGTTAAATATATCCGTATTTTAATTGTTCATTGGTAATCAACAGAAATAAAATTGATTTTTTACATATTGATCTTATATCCTGTATCCTCGCTGAACTCATTTATTAGTTCCATCACCTTTTTTTGTGGATTTCTTATGATTCTCTATATGCAGGATGATGTTATTTATAAATAAAGACAGTTTTACTTCCTTTCCACTAACTTAATTCCAGTATATGGAAAATTCACTCTAATATAGCTCCCTCCCTTCTCATCTCCCTTGTGCAAATGTATACACAAATGTACACACACACACGATCTTTATATCTTGTAAGCTCAATACAGGATTATTATTGTTTTATTCAGGTGTCTAAAATTGTTTAAGGAAAAGGAAATACACATCTTTATTGATGCTTTTTATTTCTTTGTGTGGATTTGAGTTACTGCCTTATGTCATTTTCCTTTCATCTAAACAGACTTCTATTAGTATTTATTGTAAGGCAGGTAAACTAGTACTCTTAGTCTTTCTTAATGTGGAAATGCCTTTATATTACCTTCAGTTTTGAAGAATGATTTTGCTTGATTGCCACAGTTTCCTTTTCCCTCAGCTCTTTGAATAAGCTGTTGTACTGCCTTGTCCTGCATTGTTTCTGTTGAGAAATCTGCTGTTATTCCTATTCTTGTTCTTTCTTTGTTTGTTTGCTTTTGTTTACCATGGCAGGCCTAGCAAGGAACAATTCTTGTTTTACCTACAGACCTTTTAGTCTGTGAGGAGTTTAATAGTATAATGTGCCTCACACCTTCTTTAGTTTTTTGGTTTTTTTTTTTGTCAATTAGAAGTATGACGATGCCTCTGGATTGTCAATAAAATCTAGGCTTATAAGTGGTATTATAACTTGAAGATAGCCTAGTATTAGATAGAATTAAGACATATATTACACATTAAGTACACATTAAAAAGAACAAAATAAAATTAGATAAAATTTTAACCAAAAGAATATATGAAAGTAGTCACAGAATAGGAAGTAGTCATAAGACTGTGTGTCCCTAAGTACTATAAAACTTTTTTTTTTGGCCAGGCACAGTGGCTTATGACTATAATCCCAGCACTTTGGGAGGCCAAGGTGGGTGGATCACCTGAGGTCAGGAGTCTGAGACCAGCCTGACCAACATGGTGAAACCCCGTCTCTACTAAAAATACAAAAATTAGCCAGGCGTGGTGGCCACCACGCCTGGCTAATTTTGTGTGTGTGTGTATTTTTAGTAGAGACAGGGTTTCATCATGTTGACCAGGCTGGTTTCGAACTCCTGATCGCCTTTTAATAACACTATAGAGGCAATAGTGATAACAACCAACAACAGACATTAAATTTGTAGTAAGCAATGACCCATCTTTAGTACATTTCAGATTCTTGACCAGTCTGTGACCCAGACCTACTAAGAAATATGGAACAAGTAATCACAGGGAAAATAAAGAAGTTTCTCTAACAAGCCTTTTACCAGATCAGAGGAACTGAAATTCAATATCCATTGCCCATGGCTAAAAAGTAATTATTTTACCAATTTTAAGGAAATAAAAGAAATCCTAAGAAAATTCTAAAGCTACTTTATATCTACCTGCCAAAATAATGCAGAGTTAATAAAAATAGTAAAATAGGCTGACCTACCAACATTTTCAAACTGGAGTAGAAGAAGCTATTCAAAATGCTGCCTAGGCTTTCTCTTATTACAAACAGTACTGAGGAAATACGACAACTTTTGTAAAATGGTATGGGCTACAAATAAGACAAAAAAGGAAGTTATGAGCATCATAAGTGAAGTGACACTAAGTTTAGATTCCAAAAAAAA
Organism: Homo sapiens; assembly: GCF_000001405.40. NCBI lineage: Eukaryota > Metazoa > Chordata > Mammalia > Primates > Hominidae > Homo > Homo sapiens. The sequence goes on along the minus strand of NC_000018.10, from coordinate 36,964,895 downwards.
AAAAGAAGTAACACACTCCTATAACAAGAAAAGGCTATAAAATGTACATTGACCAAAACTATGGTTATTAGACCCTACCATGTTCAAGACTAGGATTGTACTATAGCTAAGTACTATTTATTAAGATAAGATAATGGGGTAATATACACACATCAAATAAACACTACAACCTAAATAGAACAAGTGAAGAACCTCTCTAGAACCCACTATGAAGAACCTATAATGCTGAATAAATTACAAAAGAAATGTAGAATGTATTTATCTTTAAGAAAAGGAGAGAAAGAGGATAGGGAGAAAACAAGAAAAAAAATCACCTTGTAAATAAAGCCAACTTGTTTTCAAGGAAATGACAGATGTCAAAAACAAAAATCATAAGCTAGGGCATTCTTCTGGAGAACTGTGGATTTAATAAACTACAAGCAAAACCATAATATGCTATTTAAGGCACAGAGAGTAACGAATACAAACAAGAAACAGAAAAAGTCTCTCAAAGTCAAAGAAATGCCTCATGAAAAACAATCTGCTGCCATCGTCATCATAAAATCTGCAGGTGAAATTTTTAAAAATTTGAGAATAAAATTTTATGTTTTATCTGACATTGTGGCTCCTTGCAAGGAAAGAAAATACTTGCCCACCATCTCTAGCATATTTGTGCTCTAGAGTTTAAAAATCTGTATGTCAGATTAAGAGCCAAGGAGAGTTAGTTATAGAAACAAGAATATCTAAAGCCAAATTTTAACCATTTTAGTTATCTCAAATTTTTCTTGTCTTTCCTTCTTCAACAAACTATAGTGCCAGACTGGCTTGGTTCATATCTTGGCTTTGCCAACCTGTTAGCTGTATGACCTGGCTGATTCATTCATTCTGCCTCTGGGAGAGGCATAAAACAGAGATAATAACCTACCTTATTTCATTGAGTTAGGATTAAATGATTTAATATGTATTAACATGTAGTATGTACTACATAAATGTTTGTTAAATACAAATTAATGAAAAAGAAATATTTCTTAAGCCAAGACCTATGTTAGGCTCTGAGTGTACAAAAACCAATGCAACAAGATGCCTGTTTTCAAAAAAGCTGGTAAGGGAGATAGATGAATGATATAACAACGATTACAAAATAACAAAAAAGGTGACATTACAGAGATGGGCACAGTCTATCTGCAAGTACATAAATAGAACATGTAACTTCATGACAAGGTAAGTGGGAAGTGGGAAGAGAATTAGGTCAGTGTCATCACTGAGGTTTACAGTATTCACAATGATGCCGTTACTGCAAGGAAGTAGCCTTATTGGGCAAAACCCCCAAGAAATCACTAGCTTAAATACAAATCAGTAACACCTGAGAAAGTTTTATTTTCCTCCAATTTCAACAGTAAATAGAAAAAGAGTCTTTTCCACATGTCTTTAGGATCCCCTGGTGACTATTTCTTCACTATCAGCTCTGTATCCTTAAGATAAGACTATTAATACTGGTAAATGAAAGATTGCTCCATCTCCCTTCCCACATCCTTGCCAAATGGATTGGCCTTCCGTTTTGTGCCCTCTTCACACATCTATGTCATGCAGGAGCAGTAAATAGAAACGCAAAACCAAAGGTCTGAAATCTGATCTTCACACTACCATTTTCTCTTACCCCCTGAAAAGCAATAGGCAAGAGCCACCTTAAAAACTGCCTGACTTGTTTTCCGTGTAGCAGGGAAACTTCACATAAACAATAAAAAATAGATGCCACCTTCCTCTGCCTCTTTTTATCAGCTATGTTTTAAGAAAACAGAACAGAAGAAAATATTTCAGATCAAAATACAAACAAACCATTTATACTTTGGCTATTTCAATTTTGTTGATCTTTTCAAAAAACCAGCTCCTGGATTCATTGATTTTTTGAAGGGTTTTTTTGTGCCTCTATCTCCTTCAGTTCTACTCTGATCTTAGTTATTTCTTGCCTTCTGCTAGCTTTTGAATTTGTTTGCTCTTGCTTCTCTAGGTCTTTTAATTGTGAAGTTAGGGTGTCAATTTTAGATCTTTCCTGCTTTCTCTTGTAGGCAATTAGTGCTATAAATTTCCCTCTACACAGTGCTTTAAATGTGTCCCAGAGATTCTGGCACGTTGTGTCTCTGTTATCATTGCTTTAAAAGAAGATCTTTATTTCTGCCTTCATTTCGTTATTTACCCAGTAGTCATTCAGGAGCAGGTTGTTCAGTTCCATGTAGTTGTGCCGTTTTGAGTGAGTTTTTTAATCCTGAGTTCTAATTTGATTGCACTGTTGTCTGAGACAGTTTGTTGTGATTTCTGTTCTGTTACATTTGCTGAGGAGTGCTTTACTTCCAATTACGTAGTCAATTTTAGAATAAGCATGATGTGGTGCTGAGAAGAATGTATATTCTGTTGATTTGGGGTAGAGAGTTCTGTAGATGTCTATTAGGTCCGCCTGGTGCAGAGCTGAGTTCAAGTGCTGGATATCCTTGTTAACTTTCTGTCCCATTGATCTGTCTAATATTGACAGTGGGGTGTTAAATTCTCCCATTATTATTGTATCAGACTCTAAGTCCCTTTGTAGGTCTTTAAGGACTTGCTTTATGAATCTGGGTGCTTCTGTATTGGATACATATATATTTAGGATAGTTAGCTTTTCTTGTGGAATTGATCTCTTTACCATTATATAATGGCTTTCCTTGTCTCTTTTGATCTTTGTTGGTTTAAAGTCTGTTTTATCAGAGACTAGGATTGCAACCCCTGGTTTTTGTTGTTGTTGTTTTCCATTTGCTTGGTAGATCTTCCTCCATCCCTTTATTTTGAGCCTATGTGTGTCTCTGCACATGAGATGGGTCTCCTGAATACAGCACATTGATAGGTCTTGATTCTTTATCCAATTTGCCAGTCTGTGTCTTTTAACTGGGGCATTTAGCCCATTTACATTTAAGGTTAATATTGTTATGTGGAATTTGATCCTGTCATTATGATGTTAACTGGTTATTTTTCCCAATAATTGATGCAGTTTCTTCATAGCATCAATGGTCTTTACAATTTGGCATGTTTTTATAGTGGCTGGTACCAGTTGTTCCCTTCCATGTTTAGTGCTCCCTTCAGGAGCTCTTGTAAGGCAGGCCTGGTGGTGACAAAATCTCTCAGCATTTGCTTGTCTGTGAAGGATTTTATTTCCCTTCACTTATGAAGCTTAGTTTGGCTGGATATGAAATTCTGGGTTGAAAATTCTTTTCTTTAAGAATGTTGAAGATTGGCCCCCACTCTCTTCTGGCTTGTAGGGTTTCTGCTGAGGGATCCACTGTTAGTCTGATGAGCTTCCCTTTGTGGGTAACCCGACCTTTCTCTCTGGCTGCCCTTAACATTTTTTCCTTCATTTCATCCTTGGCGAATCTGACAATTACGTGTCTTGGGGTTGCTCTTCTTGAGGAGTATCTTTGTGGTGTTCTCTGTATTTCCTGAATTTGAATGTTGGCCTGCCTTGCTTGGTTGGGGAAGTTCTCCTGGATAATATCCTGAAGAGTGTTTTCCAGCTTGGTTCCATTCTCCCTGACACTTTCAGGTACACCAACCAAATGTAGATTTGGTCTTTTCACATATTCCCATATTTGCTGGAGGCTTTGCTCGTTTGTTTTTACTTTTTTTTCTCTAAGCTTGTCTTCTCACTTTATTTCATTAAGTTGATCTTCAATCACTGATATCCTTTCTTCCACTTGATTGAATCAGCTATTGAAGCTTGTGCACACATCACAAGGTTCTTGTGCCATGGTTTTCAGCTCCATCAGGTCATTTAAGTTCTTCTCTACCGTGTTTATTCTAGTTAGCCATTCATCTAACTTTTTTCAAGGTTTTTAGCTTCCTTGCAATGGGTTAGAACATGCTCCTTTAGCTCAGAGAAGTGTGTTATTATCAACCTTCTGAAACCCACTTCTGTCAACTCATCAAAGTCATTCTCCAGCCAGCTTTGTTCCATTGCTGGCGAGGAGTTGCGATCCTTTGGAGGAGAAGAGGAGCTCTGGTTTTTAGAATTTTCAGCTTCTCTGCTTTGGTTTCTCCCCACCTTTGTGGTTTTATCTACCTTTGGTCTTTGATGTTGGTGACCTACAGATGGGGTTTTGGTGTGGATGTCCTTTTTGTTGATGTTGATGATATTCCTTTCTGTTTGTTAGTTTTCCTTCTAACAGTCAGGTCTCTCAGCTGCAGGTCTGTTGGTGTTTGCTGGAAGTCCACTCCAGACCCTGTTTGCCTGGGTATCACCAGCAGAGGCTGCAGAACAGCAAATATTGGTGCCTGATCCTTCCTCTGGAAGCTTCGTCCCAGAGGGGCACCTGCCTGTATGAGGTGTCTGTTGGCCTCTACTGTGAGGTGTCTCCCAGTCAGGCTACACAGTGGTCAGGGATCCACTTGAGGAGGCAGTCTGTCCATTCTCAGAGCTCAAACGCCATGCTGGGAGAACCACTGCTCTCTTCAGAGCTGTCAGACAGGGATGTTTAAGCCTGCAGAAGTTTCTGCTGCCTTTTGTTCAGCAATGCCCTGCCCACAGAGGTGGAATCTGTAGAGGCAGTAGGCCTTGCTGAGCTGCGGTGGGCTCCATCCAGTTCGAGCTTCCCGGCCACTGTTTACCTACTGAAGCCTCAGCAATGGTCGACGCCCCTCCCCCTGCCGGGCTGCAGCCTCATAGGTTGATCTCAGACTGCTGCGTTAGCAGTGAGCAAGGCTCCGTGGGCATGACACCCACCCAGCCAGACACAGGAGAGAATCCCCTGGTCTGCTGGTTGCTAAGACTGTGGGAAAAGCCCAGTATTTGGGTGGAAGTGTCCTGTTTTTCCAGATACAGTCTGTAATGGCTTCCCTTGGCTAGGAAACGGAAATCCCCCAACCAGAAGTGGGTCTTTAGGGCTTATTTCACATCACATCTGGCAGGGTTCTGAGCATTCATTTAAGTATATAATACATACCATTTGGTGATAAGTGTACAAACGCTTATATAAATACTCTCCTACATACTTATGTGATTAATATATGTATGCAAGCATATGCAAAATATCCTAATATTCTCCAATTAAAGTTTTTATAAGTCCACAATTAACTTTCATTATTCTAAAAAATAAACATGAATTAAGAAAGGCTTATTTGTGATTTCCATAAGGACAATGAGTAACAAACAGCCCACCTGATCTTCATTAAGTAACAGAGCAGTGTTTTCTTTACCCTTCTGGCTGTGCTTTCATACAACCAGAAGCTTCCCCACTGACCCACACAGACTGCTTCAAGTAATCATTCCTTACCTTTGGGTCCAGGAACAGGAGGAGAAAGGAAAGGGGGAGGGAAAGACATCAACTCAATCACACGCAGTGGCTACATGTTTTAAAACAATATTATATACTGGGAGGAAATTAAGATAAAAAACAAATGGCTCTTCTGACATCTTGCTGATCCACTGAAGACAAGAAAAGTAAAATTAAAGATGCTTACCTGCTGTTCCTGCATTCTAGCAGCACCAAGTTCTGAGAGAGACATGGTGAGCTTCTCCTGTTGTTCTGATAAATATTTCTGATACAGGCTTAGAAGTTCTTGGCATTCTCTATACTGTAGCTGAAGAGGTGAGATTGCAAATTAAGGGAAAAAAACTGAAAAATTGATTCAAACTGCATCCATCAATGCTGCTTTTCATATTCCAATAAACAAAACAGAACCAGAAATGCAATCATATTTGGCGAGAGTCATAAGTATAAAGTCTTCAGATAAAAGTTACATGTATTTCTCCCCGAAAATCATAAAACAATACTTCACAAAGAGAGTAACAATGAACATCCCATTTGAAAATAAATTTATTCCTCGATTCTTTAAATTTGAATAAAAACAAATGCAGATACATGCAAAGGAACCCCTACCTCACACCATATTAAAAAAACAAAACAAGCTGAAAATGCATCATTGATCTAAACGTAAGAGTTAAAACTATAAAACTCTTAGCAGAAAATATAAAAGTACATCTTTGTGACCTTGGATTAGGCGATGATCACTTAAAAGTACAAGTAACCAAATAAAAAAAAAAATAGACAAATTAGACTTCGAAATGTAAAATGATTGTGTTTCAAAAGGCATTATTTTAAATTTGAAAAAACAACCCCCTGAATGAGAGAAAATATTTGGAAATGACATGGTAAAGAATTTGTGTCCAGAATATATACAACTTGTACAACTAAACAATAAAAAGATAATTAGTACAATTTAAAAGTGGGCAAAGGCTTTGAATATACATTTCCCAAAACAAAATATGCAAATGGCCAAGAAGCATAAGAAGAGATACTCAACATAGCCATTAGGGAAATGTAAATAAAAAACACACTGAGATAACATTTTGCATCAACTAAGATGACCATATCCAAAAAGACAAACAAGCACTGACAAGGATATGAAGAAACTGGAACCCTCCTACGTAACTAATGGGAACATAAGACTGTGCTGCCACTTTGGAAAATAAGTTAGCTGTTTCACAATGTTAGAGAATTATTTTGACATATGACCCAGCAATTCTACTCCTAGGTATATACTCAAGAGAAGTGAAAATATGTCCTGAAGAATATTAAATATATAAGCAAAGAAAACTTTTTAAAAAACATATGTACACACAAAAACTTGTATATACATATTCAACATGGCATTATTCCTAATAGTAGAAAAGTAAAAACAATGTCAATGTCCACTGATAAAGAAACAAAATGTGGAATATTTATAAATGGAATATTATTCAGCCACCAAAAGCAATGAAGTACTGCTACCTGCTACAACATGGATGAACCTTGAAAATATTATGCTAAGTAAAAGAAGCCAGACACAAAAGGCCATATATTGCATGATTTCATTTGTATAAAATGTTCAGAACAGGCAAATATATACAGACAGAAATAGATTAGTGGTTGCTAAGGGTTAGGGGAGAAGAAATGGAGAGTAACTGCAAACAGGTATGAATTTTGGGGGAAAGGTAATAAACATGTTCAGGAATTACAAAGTAGTGGTGTTTGCACATTTTTGGAATATACTCAAAACCATTTAATTATATAGTTCAAAAGGGTGAATTTTATTTTACATGAATTACACACAATAAAGTTATTATTTTAAAAAATCAGTATGGGGTACAAGTAATAACACTGTTCTGGTAAGAGTACTGCCAATTTACACAGAAAGTTCCTAACTATATTAAACATAAAGAGAGTATAATTTGATGTTTTTTTGTTAAGTTTTTCAGTTAAGTCAATATTTCATTAATAAAACCATCACCAGGAAATTTTCTGAACACATACCTCCCTACTTGTTTTATAATTTTATAATTTGGTACAAAGAACATGGCAATTTAACCTGGGGTACCCTCTCTCACAACTCCTAAAAATTGCCAGTTGTTCAAGATGAAAATACTAAATTGGAAAATGTCAGCTAACTTTGCAGACCAGTGCCTGGGAGACAAATAGTCCTACCCAAGAGAGAGCTCTGTTCCTTATTTCTCATTATGGTAATTTCCTCCCCAGGCTCTTTTTCCCTTCAGTACATTTTCAAATCTCCCCTTAACACTTACTTATGTATGCTGTTGGTATAAAAATTACTATCCAATGGGATTTATTCTGTATACATACTTTTACAATAGGTCATCACGATTAAGGGTCGAAATATTAGTTTTTAAATGTCAAAATGGTGTCTGGTTTCAGTATTCCTTAACATTTTCATAACCTAATCATTGCTTCGGGGCAGATTCTTGCTCTAATAACTTTTGCCAATCATGACTGCATAAATAACCAATTGCTCCATTATTCTCATTATTAACCTTTAACAAAAAAGGAGCCAGAGGTAGATGATAGAAGAGGAGCTGGTTCACAGGGAAAGGACAGGTTACTAAGCTTAGAGAATACAATAATTAGGAGAGCTTGTTGAATACTTGGCATCTTAAATAACAACAATAGTATAAATGGTAGTCTAAATAGGTTTTCAGAGTCAAGGTACATTGGACTAGGCTGGTTTTACATTTCCATGGAAAGCAAGCTCTAAAAGATGGGAATGATTTGTGGTGGTCCCAGGAGTCTCTGCCAGCTATTATGTACACAAAGGAGATTTTTATTCTCGCTGTTACCACAGGCAGTAATTTTTATAGTAGGTGAACATATTAGTCTGGTCACAGAATACGAATTTTACTCTGGAAAAATCAAGCACAATTATATAGCTTAGGAGTAAAATGTCAGCGTTTGAAACAAATTATAGGCAAATTCATTTAAACACATGCTATGTGGGAGAATATAAAAACAGGTAGTCCTACCTTTATCAATTTTTAATGTCTTTCTTGATATAGCAGATTTCTAAATGCACCCCCCCCCCACTTCCTTCCTCCTTAGCACAATGAGACTTCAATCTTCCATCTGGAGAGAAAGATTTATGTTAGGAAAATGCGGACAAAACGTCCTTCTCAATGATTTGGGGGGTACAATGAAAAAGAACATATATTTAACTCAATCCTGGCCGAATGACAGAAAAGAATGAAATAGATGTTGAAAACCAAACTTAAGGGAAAGTGTACACCAAACCATGACACAAATTTAGACACTGTAGTCTGCCTAACCACCTTTTAAGAAGTGGAAGACAGAGCAGTCATTGCAACCTTTTCAAAGAAATAAGTCTTCATGAGGTAGCACAAATAAATAAATATAAATTAGTATTAAGCAAGATTACATCAAAACCTAACTATCACATTAATTAGCTGAAATGGTTGTGGAAAATAATCATGTAGTAAAGCTTAAAATCTTAACACTAAAATGCATTAGATAGATAAGTAAAAGTAAAGATAAGAGCAGAATGAATAAGGGGATGAGTGAAAGAATAAAAACTGTGTGAGAGACAAATCACAGGTGGAGAGTGGAAGGGCCGGAGATAGGATATACTACTAAGAGGCTGCCAAAGTAAGGAAAGATTATTTTAACTGAAATAATTCCCCTGGCCTATCAGAGTTCACCCCCACCACTTCACCTCACCCTTGTCTCTGACACCTGGGATGCTTGGACTGGCACTTAGTAATCTTGACCTAATACAGAACTAAATGTAGAGAGGCCCCTGTGAAAAGACAAAAGGTAAATCATTAAATTAAAAAAAAAAAAGATTCTCCTTTTTTGGAGCCAAGATTCCTTGGAAAAATGGCTGAACCCCATTTTGGGGTAGAGAAAGTATAAAGTAAACTTGAAACATCTTGTTGTGCTGTAAAATGCAAGAAAGTGTTCAAAGACAAATAGATCGGGGCTTGTCACAAGAGTAGGAGATAGCAGCCAGGTGCGGTGGCTCACGCCTATAATCCCAGCACTTTGGGAGGCCGAGGTGGACAGATCACCAGGTCAAGAGATTGACACCACCCTGGCCAACATGGTGAAACCCCATCTCTACTAAAAATACAAAAATTAGCTGGCTGTGGTGGCAGGCACCTGTCATCCCAGCTACTCGGGAGGCTGAGGCAGGAGAATCGCTTGAACCCAGGAGATGGAGGTTGCAGTGAGCCGAGATCACTCACTGCACTCCAGCCTGGCAACAGAGTGAGACTCCATCAAAAAAAAAAAAAAAAAGAAAAGAAAAACCAGGAAAATTAGCCGGGTGTGGTGGTGCCTGTAATCCCAGCTACTTGGTAGGCTGAGGCAGGAGAATCACTTGAACCCGGGAAGCGGAGGTTGCACCGAGCTGAGATCATGCCATTGCACTCTAGCCTGGGTGATGAGAAACTCCATCTCAAAAAAAAAAAATAGGAGATAGCCTTAAGGGGATGCCTATTAACCACATTTGGGAAAATTTGAGCACTGAAATAAATAATTACTCTAATTAATAGAAAACTGAATAAATAAAAATCCACAACTTCATGGTAATGCTGCAAAAGGAGAAGAAAGGATGGATAAAAAAGCCAAGTCACACCTGTAATCCCAGCACTTTGGGAGGCCAAGGCGGACAGATCACCTGAGGTCAGGAGTTTGAGACCAGCCTGCCCAGGCATGGTGAAATGCCATCTCCACTAAAAATACAAAAAATTAGCCAGGCATGGTGGTGGGCGCCTGTAATCCCAGCTACTCAGGAGGCTGTCGCAAGACAATTGCTTGAACCCAGGAGGTGGAAGTTGCAGTGAGTTGAGATCGCAACACTGCACTCCAGCCTGGGCAACAAGACCAAAACTCCGTCTCAAAAAGAAAAAAAAAAAAAAAAAAGTGAAGTCTTTCTTTACAGAAGAAAGCAAACTAATTACTTAGAACAAATGGTCAAAATTTTAAATCACCATTTTAGAACGCCCAATGTAATAACTAATTCAGGCAAAGATCATTAAAGGATACTAAAACCATTAGGTGAAATGTTAATGAGTTAGATATTCCTAAGGTGTCATAATTACTTACAGCAAAGAAGAAAATGCATCTTTCAATGGTACAATCTGGTGGTCAATACTCAAAAGTAAATTAATTCAGGATCTCTAATAAATAGAAAAACAGAAATTATGTATGTCCAATTGCATGAAATAGGCATCATCGCTTATGTTTTAATCTGAACCTAATCAAATTTGTAAATCTAACTTCCACTTCACAGAATTTAGAAGGAATAAAGGAATAAATTAAATGATGCTGTAAGAAACAATCAGACTTGGGAGGCCGAGGCGGGTGGATCACGAGGTCAGGAGATCGAGACCATCCTGGCTAACAAGGTGAAACCCCGTCTCTACTAAAAATACAAAAAATTAGCCGGGCGCGGTGGCAGGCGCCTGTAGTCCCAGCTACTCGGGAGACTGAGGCAGGAGAATGGCGTGAACCCGGGAAGCAGAGCTTGCAGTGAGCCGAGATTGCGCCACTGCAGTCCGCAGTCCGGCCTGGGCGACAGAGCGAGACTCCGTCTCAAAAAAAAAAAAAAAAAAGAAACAATCAGACAAATTCAATATATGGGAGATTTTGCAAAGCACTTGGCCTGAACTCTTCAGAAGGTCAGTGTCATAGGGGAAAAGGTTTGGGGTAGGAGGCCTATTTTAGATTAAGAGACCAAAGACACAACCAAATGCAACCCATGAAGCACAACTGAATCCTTGTTCAGGGAGAAAAATAGAAAAGACATTATTGGGACAACTAGAAAAATTAGAATATGGACTCAATTAGAATTAATATTATGGAATTACTACTAATTTTATCAGTTACCATAAGTTGGTTTATAAAATAAAATCTTCTCATTCTTATGAGACAAGTCTGAGGTAGCTAGGAGTGACACTTGCCACTTCATTTAGTTCTGTATTAGATCAAGATTACTAAGCACAAGTCCAACCATCCCAGGTATCAGAGACAAGTGGCATTTCCCGTGACACTCAGAAAAATAAGCAAATAAATTTTTATAAAATTTTATATCTGTAAGTAAATTTACAATTTATATAAATTTCTATTACATATGTATATATTTCTATATTTATACAGATCTATATACATTTATATATCTATCTATCTCTATCTATCTATCTATCTATCTATCTATCTATCTATCTATCTATCTATAGTTGTTGGCATTGGCTATATCTGCTTTGCCCCCTCTGGTGTGTATTTTTATATAATATAAATATTTGTATATAATAAATATAAATATATTTATTTATATAGCATATATTATTAAATATTACACTATATATTATAAATATAATAATTTAATAATTATGTTTATATACAATTATATATGCATATTAAATATTTATATTTATGATATATGTATTAAAAATACACACACACGAGAGGGGGCAAAGCAGATATAGGCAATGCCAACCACTGAAATCTAGGTAGAAGGTACACAGTGTTTCAATGCCATATTGTCAACTCTCTATATATTTGAAAGTTATCATAATAAAACATTGCAGGAAAACTTTTTTTTTTTTGGTTTTGGTTTTTGTTGTTTGCTTTTTTTGTGTTTCTCTCTTTCTACTATTACTCAGTCTCTTCTTGTCTTCCTACCTCTACCACAAATTATCATGTGAGAAGCAGAAACTTGAGCATCAGGTCAGCCTCCTAAGAGTTCTCTACAATCACGAGTCCTTGGTCAGTAAGTCAGGTGACAAACTGTTACTATGATCTGATCATATACTAACCAGAACTGTCCTTGGAGCCAGGGAGAGGCACACACAAGACAGCGAAAAGGCCATGCAAAAAAGACCCGCCAAGCTTTCTTCCAGTCATTTAACAAATGTTTTCTGAATACAATGTAACAGGCATAAGACGTACAAAGGCAGTACTGTGGATTCAGTAAACGCATAGACTTAGGTGTCAGTCCAACATTCTTGGCTCAAATCGTAACTCTGGTACTTAGTAATGATATAACTTAGGGCAGTTAACTTCTCTGACATCTTCATCTGGGGATAATATCTACCTCACCTCACAGGGCAACTGCAAATGTAAATGATATAAATAAATGAAGAACACTTAGCATAGTGCAGGGCACAAAGTATATATTCAATACATTTTTTAAAAAAAAAAGACATCAAGGCTTAGAGAGAGGGAGAGATTTAAACAAATAAGGATAACATGTTCCAGGAGAAACATTTATACACTAGAGTACAATGGAGATTTTAAAAAGGTGGGGTGAGTAGTTCACTTTGACCACACTGGAGGGAAGTTAGGAAAGGCTCCAGAGAACATGTGACATTGAAAACAAATTTTGGAAAAGAAGTATATAGATGTACCAGGTAGGTAGGCTGTGCAGTACCCCTGGCTGAGAAATCACCAGGATCAAAGGAAAGAAAAAAATGATCAATATGTACATTAAGAGAACTGCAAGAAGCATGGCATGGATGGTTAACTGGTCCTGAGTGGGACAGAATGAGTGAAGAGGCTACAGAGATCAACAGGGGCTAGATCTCAAATGTTACCCTAAGTTGTTTAGATTTTATCTCTATTTAAGTCACTGATGACTTACAGCTAATTTGCATTTCATAAAGATACCTCTGGTAGGAGAGTAAAGGATGGATGAGAGGGCTTAAGACTAGAATAAAAGCAACCAATTAGAAAATCACTATAGAAGTCTAAGCAAGAGATGAGAGGGGCATGAGCCGGAGTAATAATGGTAGAAAATAGGGATAAGGGGTTAAAAAGGGACATTTAAGGCAATGTCAGCTTATGAACTGGGTGACAAGATGTATGAGCAGATGTGTGATTCCATTTATAAGACAGAGAATGCAGAATAAAGAAAAGATCTGGGGAGAGTGCAGCTTTAGAACACAGAGTTAAAGATGCTTGGGAGAGTTTAGTGGAGATAGCGAAGAGGGGACACTTGGATCCCTGGGCGTGAAATTCAGAAAAGAAGTCTGAGTAGAAATAGACATTTGGGAGTTAATCACTTTATATGTGGTGGCTGAAGACATGAGAGTGGGTAAAATTGTCCAGGGAGTGTACAGGTTTTGTTTGTTCATTAATTCACTCATTCATTCATTCAACAAATAAGTCTGTAAGGGCAGGAATTTTTGTTTTGTTTACTACTGAATTCCTTAGCCTACATAAGTGCTCAATAAATATTTATTGAATAATAAATATAATGAGTACAGTAACATCTGAGACTGAATGAGATGCCAGACATACAATAATGAACAAGACTAACACTATCTCCTTTAGGGAGAAAGAATGGCAGGTAATCAAACACAAAGAAAAACAAATGAAGAGTAATGACAAGAACATTATGTAGTGCTGTAGGAACACTTTCTAAAAGGACCCAAATAGTCAAGGAGCCAGGGAAAGCCTCTTAGAGAAAGGAATGTTCCAACTGTGAGACGAGAAGGAGGCCAATGTAACAACAAGTAAAGGACAGGCAGAGAAAAAAGATAAATAACAAAGATAAATAAAAAGATGAAGTCGACTGTGTCCAGTGCTGAAAAGCAGCCACCCCAGTTAAAGACTGAGTTGAGAAGCCATTGGTGACCCTTGCAAAACATCAGTTTGACATTACTTGGTTGTCCATCATCTCCCCCGACTGTTTTGGTAGATGAACAGTTAGGCTATTTTCTTGTCAGGGAGAGAAGCTTTACAAAAGAGAGATGTTTTATTCAGGATCATCCTCGGGTAAGAATCTGAGGTAAGGCCATCTGGCTCCAACTGTAAAGCAATCCATTACTCACAGACTTTGGGGGAAATACTGAACCCAAATATTTTCACTATGGCAGGTACTTCCTTTACTCTGAATGCCTACAAGCCATATATTAAGATAGCATATCATTCTAGGCATAACGTTCTGCCTAGAATGTTTTGCCCGCCCTTAATCCTAGATTCCTACTTGTCCATTAAAACTTAATTTTTATGTCACCTCTTCCTCCAAGCTTTCACTGACCTCCCAGGCAGAGTTAAGCACCTTTATCATAGTAAATACCATAAAGTTAAAATTATTTGACTATATTACTATCACCTGAAGCAGACTGTGTTTTCCTGGAAATCGTAGTGTACTAATCTTGGTATCTCTTCAGCACACAGCAGGCACTTTAAAAATGTTAGAGGAATGAGTATAGAAATAAAAGTAAAGGAGCTCCTATTGAATTTTCACGTTGGTTTTGAGTTTGGAATGGAAACAAACCATAAATAGACAATGTGGCCTTTAAACCAGCCAAGAAGATGCTTAAAATATTGACTCATTAAAAACTAAAATGTTTTCTAACCTAGCAAGATTTTCTCATCTTAAATATGGTTTCTGACCACGTCAAATTCCTCACCTTACAATCATTTTCTTTTCTCCCTTTTGAAAAAAAGAGTACACATTTTCTGATATAAAAATTGAGGTCTAAATTATATATCTAGTTTAGGACTCATTGATAATATATGCAACTGAAAATGGATTGTTTGTAAAAAGAAAAAGTGATTCCAAGATCAAGTGGTTCACAGGGCTAGGTAAGAATTTCACATAAATATTTACACCTGTTTATGAAGCTGTGATCTGTGCAAGAGCACAAGCCACTGATACAAGTCTGAAATCTTCCATTTAACTAAAAGAAAAATTTATGGCAAATTCGGTGTATGAACATGTTATTTTTCAATTTCCTGATGACAGTAATCCATTGGGGGAGGGTAATAAAGCACAAAACAGTGGAAAACTCAATGCTCTGGACACTTAAAGATGGAAACAAGACTCAAGTGACCCACTCAGACTCTTCTAGACTGTAATTCATTCTGTTTGATCACCTGAACAAAAACATGAGCCACGGAAAGATAGCTAATTAGAGTATTTAACTAGCTCCTTTAGAGTTATCTAAGTCCCTACCTTATTTCTTGCAGAATTGCAAATCAAGATCGGGGGGTGGGGGGGGGGGAGCTGGGTAGAAACAGACTTGAAATTGAGGTGCTTTACATTCTGTCTTTTTCTCAGGTCATTAGACCCTATGGATTTTAGAAACTACCTACACAATGGAGACCCAAGGTTTATTTCTCCAACTTTAAAGGTAAGGACACTTATTTAAATGTTTAAATCCAGACACCCTAAAAAGCAGGCTATCAATGTGCCAGATGGACCAGAACTTTGATTTCATGTTTTTATAGTTTCCTTTTCACAAAATAAGAAAATATAAATTTTCAGCATTCACTGTAGACATTAAAGGTTGAGAAAACATTTCTATTAAAAACCATGCATTTTCTCTTGCTTCTAACTTGCTTAAAAATTTATTTTTTGTTTAAAAGTTCTATGTTTCAGCTGGACCCGAAGGAGAAATATTTTACCCTTTTGGAAAGGCTGCTTTAAAGCAATTCAGCCTTTCATGGGTTACAAGAACTACCTTAGAACTGTAGAAGAAAAAAAGCTGCCATCATACCTCTCCCCCAAGAAGCTTCCTTATCAAGTGAACTGCACAACAATAATTAACACTTAAAAACTTCCAATTTCAAAAAGGGAAAATTCCTGACAATATAGACTATGGAAAATGGTCTGCACACTAAGCTCTCCAGACCCCAAAAGGCTGATCAGTGAAGTTGTGTGAATAATGCTTTGTGAAGCATAGTGAAACATATCAGGCTGAAAACTACCAGCTCCAAACACGAGAAACAGACTGAAAGCTCTTTAAAAAAAGTCATGTCGCAGTGGCTTACGCCTGTAATCCCAGCACTCTGGGAGGCCGAGGCGGGCGGATCACCAGAGGTTGGAAGTTCAAGACCAGCCTGACCAACATGGAGAAACCCCGTCTCTACTAAAAATACAAAATTAGCTGGGCGTGGTGGCGCATGCCTGTAATCTGAGCTACTCAAGAGGCTGAGGCAGGAGAATCGCTTGAACCCAGGAGGTAGAGGTTGCGGTGAGCTGAGATCGTGCCATTTTACTCCAGCCTGGGCAACAGAGTGAGACTGTCTCAAAAAAAAAAAAAAAGGCGTGGTGGCTAATGCCTGTAATCCCAGCACTTTTGGAGGCCGAGGTGGGAGGATCACGAGGTCAGGAGATTGAGACCATCCTGGACAACATGGTGAAACTCCATCTCTACTAAAAATACAAAAATTAGCCAGGCGTGGTGGCGCATGCCTGTAATCCCAGCTACTCAGGAGGCTGAGGCAGGAGAATCACTTGAACCAAGAAGTTGGAGGTTGCAGTGAGCCGAGATCGCACCACAGCACTCCAGCCTGGAGACAGAGTAAGACTCTGTCTCAAAAAAAAAAAAAAAAAAACAAAAGACAAACAAACAAAAAGTCATGTCATTCTACTTCCGATCTTCAAACAGAAGAGATTTGTTCTTACCATTAAATGAAAACATTTCATGAGCTATCCATTTCAATACACATGATACCTCTCTTTCTTCATACTCCTGCAAAAATAAAACTCTAAGCCCCTCAACTGACTGAATGAAGGCCGCTCTTGGCCGAGGGCATTCCAAAGTAAACCTGAAAAACAAGTTCAGGCCATGATGGGAAGGGGAGGTCAAACACGCCTCATTATACCCTCATCCCTTTGGAATTCAGGCACAATTGACCAACATTAACATTAAAACAGAGATCTTAAGACTGGCAAAGCAGTCTCTCTGCAGCAATGAGATATCAAATTCCAACCTGACTCTAGTATAGAGTCAAGTATATGATAGATACCAGGCCCTGAAAAAAATCAAAGTGTTTTACCCCAAAATATATTTCTTTGACATATTTTGAAATGGTCCTGCAAAGCTATCTCTTGTGGGGAAAATCTACATTATGTTGAGAATCCTCCTCCCTTTCCAGTTCTTCTGTTCCTGAAGAGATTAGCTGCCAGTCTAGCACCTTTGAAACATTTGAACAGAAAACACTTGCCATCAATTGCCTCTAAGGGTGGCCACCTATGAGGCATAATAAAAACCTGCAAAAAACCTTGGTCTCCACAACCCCTTATCTTTACCCAGACACTCCTTTCTATTGATTCCTGGTCTTTAGATAATAACTTAACTCTTTTGACCAACTCCCAATCAGAAAATCCGTGAATCCACCTATGACCTAAAAGCCCGAGTTGTCCCACCTTTCCAGACTGAATCAATGTACACTTTACATGTATTGATTTATGTCTGCCAGTAACTTGTCCCCCTAAAATGTATAAAATCAAGCTGTCACCCAATCACATTGGGCACAGGTTCTCAGGACATCCTGGGGCTGTGTCACAGGCCTTGGTCACCCATATTTGGCACATAATAAGCCTCCTTAAATGTTTTACAGAGTTTGACTCTTTTTATCAACATTCCTATATTTGTCTCCTTGAACTATTTTATCTTACCATGTAATACAATTCATTTCTGGTTTTTTTAGGAGACGGAGTCTTGCTCTGTCGCCCAGGCTGGAGTGCAGTGGCGTGATCTCGGCTCACTGCAACCTCCACCTCCCAAGTTCAAGCGATTCTCCTGCTTCAGCCTCCCGAGTAGCTGGGATTACAGGAGCCTAACAATTCATTTCTTAGTGGAAATGTAAACCGAGTTTAAGTGGTCCCTCAATCTTCTTTCTCCCACACGAAGCAATCCAGTGACATCAAGTGTTCCTCATATACAGTATTTCATCTTCCAGTGCTATCATTTTTATGCTTGTCATCTCTCCCTTCTTCAGAGATTTCATCAGAGTTCTCTTTTAAGAATAAGATACTATCATCACCTATTTCACAATTAAGCACCTATCACCAGGAACGGATGCCTGAACCACAGTATCTTTGAATAGCTCAGTATAACCTCTACTTGAAGGTGAGGGACTAACATTATATTTAATTTAAAGAGATTATATTTAATTCTTATTAAAAGAAAAAACCCATTATGTACTATTATTAATCTCATTTTACAAATAAATCTGCAGCACAGAATGGTTAATAACTTATCCAAGGATAACCTAGCAGTGAGCTGAGATTTAGAATAAAGTCTTAGAACCACTAGAGCAGCATTCCTTAAAATGTAATGTACAAAAGAATTACCTGTGGGTCTTGTTGGAAAGCAAATTCTGATCCAGTAGATCTGAGGTAGGGTCTAACAAGCTTCTGAGTAATGCTGATGTTGCTGGTCCAGGGAACATACTTACGGTATGCGTATCAATCATCTCTAAGAACCCTCTTTCACACCAGTGAGAGGAGGCCCATCCTTCTCCTTTATGTTGAAATGTAATACATTATTGGACTCCTTTGCTTCCTCCCTTTAAGTCATTCTTGGTATGTCTTTCTGTGTTTATTTTATCTGTTTTGGTCAACTGTTTTTGTTTTGGAAGGAAGCATATAGAAAGTAAAATAAGAGATGTAAAATAATCCACTTTCTTCTTTAAAAGGAAGCAGCATTCTGAATTTTTAGGGCAGTGTAACATTTCTATTTTGGCTAACTACTGAAGTATAGGTTGAATATCCCTAATCTGAAATCCAAAATTAGAAATACTCCAAACTCTGAAATGTTTTGGGCATGAACATAATGTCCAGAAGAAATGCTCATTGCAGCATTTTGGATTTCCGGATTAGGGATGTTCAACTGGTAAGTATATTGCAAATACCGCAAGATCTAAAAAAATCCAAAATCTGAAACACTTCTGGCCTCAAGAATTTTGGATACAGGATATTCAACATGTAATAACAATTAGCAAATACTACCTGTAGTGCTTAAGAATTTATACTGGGGGAAGAGTCCATGAGAAGGAAACAACCACACCCTCTCTCTTCTATTTCCAAAAAGATACTCATCTTCTATATCACCCACCCACACTTTTAAGCATAAGTTTACAGTATCATTTCTAAATTCAGTTTAACATTGCTAGACCATTAGCTATGGCCTTGGGGAACAGCATTCTCACCAGAGTTGCAAGTACTCTGTAATGTAGTATGAAAATATCACCCAGTATTAATAATTCTAAGTGAAAATCAAACACATTCAATAAAACTGTATTAACTGAAGTGAAAAAGGAGAGTTCTTATACAATGGAATCACAGTTATCATCTTAAGGTTAAAATTTTAAAAGTAGTAGGAATATTTCATTACTTGTCTCTTTGAAAATGACTGAGGCTATTGATCACACATGTAAATTACTGCTCAGAGAAAAATTAAGTAACTTCGTGGGGGGGGCGGTTATTGTCTAAACTCAGCAAATGCCACAAAGACTAAGGCAAAAAAAATTTTATGAACAACTTTACTTCAATGGTTCTTAATATAATTAAGCTTATGTGGACTGTTCAGCAGAATGATTCTGAAACACTGGTAAAGAACCAGATTTTTTGTTTTACCCTCCATTCAAGAAATGTTATAGAGGAATAGCCCAAAAATACTCAAAGACAAAAGTTTCACAATATCACTAAAATCAAGGGGCTAGGTTTTACTTTACTATTTTAATACTATGAATACTACATAAGTTAGCCCATAAACATTTAAAAGAACAATCCCTGAGCCAAAAGCTTTTTGCTACTGTCCATAAGCATTCATGTTTATCTTAAGAAAAGCCTTTCTCAAACAAAGCTTTCTTCTTAAGCTGCCAACATCTCTCCCTCTTCCTCATTATTACCAAAGTTCTCAAAAAATTAATCTATATTCACAGTCTCTGTTTCCTCAGTTCCAGTTTACTTTTTGGCCCTATATGTTTTCCATCACTCACTCTATTTAAACTGGATTCTTGACAAGTATTCTTTAATCTATTAATTGTTAAATGTAACAACCTGATTTGGGGTTTTATCCTCTTTGCTGGTCACTTCCTTCTTCAACAGATCTCCTCTCCTGGTTTCGCAGTTACTGGTTCATTCTGTTTCTTCCTTACTGATTGCTCCTTAAATCTCTTTCACTGATATCCTTTTCTTTACCCATCATTAAATGGACATACTCCCTAAGATAATGTCCAAGAACCTACTCTGTTTGTGCTACTTCCCCATGACCTTGTATTTTTTTTTTGAGACAGAGTCTCACTCTGTTGCCTAGGCTGGAATGCAGTGGCGTGATCCCAGCTCACTGCAAGCTCCGCCTCCCGGGTTCACGCCATTCTCCTGCCTCAGCCTCCTGAGTAGCTGGGAACAGAGGCGCCCGCCACCATGCCTGGCTAATATTTTTGTGTTTTTAGTAGAGATGGGGTTTCACCGTGTTAGCCAGGATGGTCTCGATCTCCTGATCTTGTGATCCGCCCGCCTTGTCCTCCTAAAGTGCTGGGATTACAGGTGTGAGCCACCGCGCCTGGCCCCCATGACCTTATATTCTACCACAGCTTCAAATTCAATACAGAGGCTGGAGATCCCCAAATTTCTACTTCTTAGCTATTCAAGAAAAACAGTATGACATGAGGTTCTACAGCAGTCCCATTTTACAAACATGATTATTATCCAGTAGAGTATGCACACATATTTGGTACTATATAGTTTATGAAGTGTAGGTAAGACAATTGATAAACATCCAATTCTTCCAATCATTTTCAGTATTTTCAAATCATAATGTTGAATTTTTACACTTAAATAACAAGAGTTAATGCTCCAAGAAAGTTTATCGTCCTACTACTGTTTACAGCATCATGATAATAGTGTTAAATGATGTCACTTTTTAACAGGAAAGTGCTAATACATACCAGTTACATTTTAAGGAAACATGAAATTTACTTTACCAGAGAATAATATCTCATGATTAGTTCCTGATTTGATTACTCTTTGAAGTGAATCCAAAATGGCATATGGTATAATACAAATGAATTAAGTTAGGATAACCTATATATAATAAAAGAGAAACCACACTGAATAAAGTTAAGGACTATGTTATCCATCAAAACAAAATTTCTTCTTTTTCTCCAACTGGCATCAATTAAATCACAGTATTATTCAGTTTTCCAACACCCAAATGACTTGTTTTCTAGTTCTATCTATACCACCTGTGCAAAAATTGTTCAAAAATAACTTAAAAGCAATGAACAATGCTAAATAACTCCCCACTCTGGTTAAAAACACTGATATGATCTATTTATATTAATCAAATAAAGATTACAGGTATTGCAAGACTACTGGACTTAACATTATCAGTGATGAAGCAGTTTATCTTTATCTGGCCCCTAGTTCAGATAATGGCTCTGAAATATATAAACCATGTAGAATGACAGACTGTGTTTTAAGACACACAGATCACCACTTGGGCATCAGCAGGTATCAATGCTGAGCAAGTCAACACATCAGCTAAGAAAGGTTCTATAATGAAAGTAGTTGTACACTTAAATAAAATACTACAAACAAAATTTTTGTTCCTTTATAAAAGGCAAATCTATCCTTTCATAATAAATATGCATACAAAGTTGGATTACAGCAATCATTATAGCAAGGGTTAGGTACTATTTATAATATATGACATTCCCTTTCAATATACATGCCCCAAACAAACAAGGAAGGCACTCTGCCCAGGTACATTGTTAGCTCCTTCAGTGCACACCAAGTGTTTTACATAAAGATGTCTGATGGGCCCTGATTCCTATACCCAGGGAGCAGTCTGCATAACACTGTAACAAATTCTAATAAGGCTAAGGGAATTAAATTTGCTTTGGCATCATTTCTAGGGCTGATTCCTGGAATAAAATTTGGGAATGTTCTGTCTCTATGAATTGGTAGAGAAATTTTAAATTAACATATGTGTCGATCAAGTCACCTGTTAAATCTCCCTTTTATTAAGCAGTAAGAGTCACAATAATATAGCTAAAAACATTCGCTCCCCAGTATACAGACATAATGTCTCAGCTATATGATGGCTAATTTCTACCATACACAAGAGATCAATTAAAAGTGAAATGCAAGGTCTAGTGGGTGGCACAAGACTAAGCCACAGAAAGGGTTACTCCTATTAAAAATTAATCTGGATTTTGTTTTCTCATTAAAAAATACATTCAGATTATAAAATGAAAACAAAAGCAACACTGCACAATTTAGCTGTCTTTTTCTACCAAATTGCTTATAACTGTAACTATAAAATGATAATTTACCATACGTATAGCTGCAAAACTAAGAAAAGCACTCGTCAGTGGTGCTGCGATTTGTGAACCTACTACTCCCCCTACTGCCTGTGGAACTGAATTGCAGTAAAATTAAAGGTTTGTTCTATGTCTCTAACAAAGCGTGAAATTTCATATACAGTCAGTTCTGCTACACCACTTGTTCAGAAAACCAAAATTCGTTCCTGTGCATTTGATGTATTTGGAAGCAATTTGAGCATAACGTGAATATCACTGTGAGAAACACCAGGTGCAGGCAGAAAACTACATCTAGCTGACCAAGCCCAGTAGAAATATTTAAAATATGCGCCAACAGGCCTCACATCTTAAATATCTTCCAGCTATTTCAGTTCCCTTTGTGTTATAAGCCATACCTACTAATAGATGGTGTTACAACTTTATATCCCACTTCAGCAACCTTCCCTATACCATTTTACAATAACTCAGAAGCTGCAACCCTTTCAATATTAACTTCCACAAGCATACTTCAGTTTTTTCAAGGCAAAGTACCATATTTATTGTAGTATTTATGAATTTCTTTATAACATAATGCATGTACAACTGTTCTATCATTTTTATTAGGTTCTTTTTTTTCTTAATGTTTCACTAAACAATTTCTTTTTATTGTTGTACTTCTAAACCTATTTTTCCCATAAGCTTCCTGGGGTCTTTAGTAATGATTCTGCATGGTATGGTGATTTTTAGAAATGCAAATGTCTCCTTATAGCAGAACTGACCATACAGTAGTAAAATGTAAATGCCTCTTCTATATTTGTGAATAGGGTAAGAGTAATTATGAATAAATATCAAAATTTTATAATTTTAAAAAATGTGTTTTATATGTCTATTTCCATGAGAGTATTACTGACTTTTTCTATCTCATTTAATTAATTAATATTTATATACATGTTTATTTATTTTGAGATGGAGTCTTGCTCTGTCTGTCGCCCAGGCTAGAGTGCAGTGGCGCAGTCTCAGCTCACTGCAACCTCCGCCTCCTGGGTTCAAGTGATTCTCCTGCCTCAGCCTCCCGAGTAGCTGGGATTGCAGGCATCCACCACCAGGCCTGGCTGGTTTTTGTATTTTAGGTTGAGATAGGGTTTTACCACGTTGGCCACGCTAGTCTCGAACTCCTGATCTCAAGTCGGCAGTCCACCTCAACCTCCTAAAGTGCTGGGATTACAGGCATGAGCCACCACACCTGGCCTCTATCTCCTTTTAAAAAGGCTAGAAAGGCTCTCTCTCTCCTCAGGTACAGAGCTTTATAAGAATTCAGGAGAAAAAAATTATACATGTATGTGTGGGTATACATATTTTTAAATATGTTAAAGTATATATATTGAAATCTGTCCCTTTTGCTATTCAAACTATTAATCATACCAAACGGTTTGTGTCCCTGCTCTAATTTGACAACCAAGATCTTTCCAGAAGCCTGAGGTGAGTAAACGTCCAACTGACTCAAAAAATGGGATGATTCCTTATTTCGCGTTCACTTATCATTCAAAATCTGAATTGGTCAAAAGTCGCATAAGAAAAATGAGCACTCGGCTGTGCATGGTGGCTCATGCCTATAATTCCAGCACTTTGGGAGGCCGAGGCGGGTGGATCACAAGGTCAAGAGATCGAGACCATCCTGGCTAACATGGTGAAACCCCATCTCTACTAAAAATACAAAAATTAGCTGGTCGTGGTGGCATGTGCCTATAATCCCAGCTACTCAGGAGGCTGAGGCAGGATAATCGCTTGAACCCGGGAGGCAGAGGTTGCAGTGAGCCGAGTTCGCACCACTGCACTCCAGCCTGGTGACAGAGCGAGACTCCGTCTCAAAAAAAAAAAAAAAAAAAAGTAAAATGAGCACTCTATTTACCAATGATGAATGCAGCTTATTATAGGCTTTTCAGTCTTCTGAAAAATACAGGCATTACATTCATATAAAAGGGAAGTCAGGATAAAACTTCAAGAATTCATAGCCTTTCACTTAGTTAATAGTCTTACATCAAATGCTTCACAACTACAGCAAGCTTTGTCAACGGCATACCTTTCTTATCAAAGTACACTTCATGAATAGTTGTCTACACTGGGTTTAACCTTTCTATATAATCAACCTGCCATAAAAAGAGAAAAACTTACTGTCAGGAAGGAAGTCTAAGTGTGGTCCAGGGACAGCAGCACTGGTATCATCTGGGAACTTCTAAGACATGCAAAATCCTGAGCCGCACTCTAGATGTGGATTCGATTCTGCATTTTATCAAGCTGCTCAGGTGATTAACGTGTACCTTATAGCCTGAGGAGCACTGGTTAACAAGCACTGTCTAAACCACTATGACAAAATTCTAGGTTCCATTTCTGCCCATCTTGCACTTCTGAAGTCAAGAAAAGCAGCTTTTCTGTCTCCAAAGTCATATCTTTTTATAAGAAATTAACTGGAATGTTCATTTTTTAAAATGTGCCATTTTATCAGTCTTTCCCACCTTGTTAGAATACAGTGTCTTTGGACACAATGGATAAAAAAATTCAACTATTTCTCTTTCAAAAGATATCTGAGATAAAATTGACTAAATATGTCTAAATGTTAATTCCTAAAAAGACATATATAAAAGAATATATAAAATAGATATTTTTTCATATATACATGTAAAACAGCAGACATTTGTTCAATAAAAACCGTGGTGATCATCTCAATAGATGTAGAAAAGGCATTTGACAATATTCAACATCCTTTCATAGTAAAAACTCTCAACAAATTAGGCACAGAAAACATGTACCTCAACACAATAAAGGTCATATATGAAAAGCCCACAGCTGACATTATACTCAATGGTGAAAAGTTAAATGCTTTTCCTCTAGGATCAGAAACAAGAAAAAGATTACCACTACACCACTTTTATTCAACGTAGTGCTGGAAGTTATAGCCAGAGCAATTAGACAAGAAAAAAAAGTAAAAGGCATCCAAATAGAAAAGGAAGAAGTGAAATTTTTTGTTTGCTGATGATATGACCTTATATTTAGAAAACCCTTAGAACTCCACCAAAAAAAATTTAGAGCTGATAAATGAATTCAGTCAAATTGCAGAACCCAAAACCAATACACAAAAATCAGTAACACTTCTTTACACTGACAACAAACTATCCGAAAAAGAAAATAAGAAACCAGTCTTATTCACAATAGCATAAAAAATAAAAAATAAAATACTTAGGAATAAATTTAACCAAGAAGGTGAAATATCTGTTATACCAAAAATTATAAAACATTGAGGAAATTGCCGATGACACAAATAAGTGGAAAGGTATCCCATGTTCATGGATTAGAATTAATATTGTTAAAATGTTCATACTACCCAAAGTGATCAACACATTCAGTGCCATTTTTATCAAAATTCCAAGTCATTTTTCCGAAAAACAGAAAAATAGGAAAAACAACACCCCAAATCTGTACTACAAAAGACCCCAAATAACCACAGTAAGTTTTGAGCAACAAGAACAAAGCTGGAGGCATAACACTGTATGACTTCGAATCTATTACAAAGCAAGAGTAATCAAAACAGCACGGTACTGGCATAAAAACAAAAACAAACACATTAACCAATGGAATAGGATAGAAAACCCAAAAAATAAACCCACGCATTTATGGTCAACTGATTTTCAGCAAAGGTGCCAAGAATACGCTATGATGAAAACAGAGTCTCTTCGATAAATGGTATTGGGAATACTGGATATCCACATGCAGAAGAATGACACTAGACCCACTATCTCTCACCATATACAAAGATCAAATTAAAATGGATTAAAGACTTAAATGTACATCCTAAAACTACAGAACTACTAGAAGAAAACATAGAGGAAATTCTCTGTTGGTCAGGACAGTGAATTCCTGGATTTGACATCAAAAGAACAGGCAACGAAAGTAAAGATAGACAAATGGGATTACATCAAAGCTTCTGCACAGGAAAGGAAACAACAGAGTAATGAGACTATCCACAGACTGGGAGAAAATAGTTGTAAACCATACATCTGATAAGAGGCAAATATCCAGAAAATAGAAGGTACTCAAACAACTCAATAGCAAGCAAACAACTCAATCAAAATATGGGCAAAGGACCTAAATAGACTTTTCTCAAAAGAAGACCTACAGATGGCCAAGAGATAAATGACAAAATGCTCATCATCACTAATCATCAGGGAAATGCAAATTAAAATAACAATAAGGTATTGCCTCGTTCCCCTCAGAATGGCTATTACCAAAAAGATGAAAGATAACAAGTGCTGGTGAGGATATAGAGAAAAGGGATCCTGTGTGAACTGTTCTTGCGAATGTAAATTAACAGAGCCATTATGGAAAGCAGTATGGAAGTTCGTCAGAAAATTAAAAATAGAATTGCTATGTGTTCCAGCAATCCCACTTCTGGGTATATACCCAAAGGAACTGCAATCAGTGTGCTGAAGAGACACCTGCACACCCATGTTTATTAAAGCACTATTTACTACAATAGTCAAGACACAGAATCAACCTAAGTGACCAAAGAAAATGAGAAATATATACTATACAGAATGGAATATTGATCACCCATAAAAAAGAATGAAATTCTACCATTTGCAGCAACATAGATGAAACTGAAGGTCAATATGTTAAGTGAAATAAGCCAAGAATGGAAAGACAATATTGCACATTCTCACATATGGGAGCTAAAACAGTACATCTCATGAAGATAAAGAGTAGAATAGTGGTTATCAGAGGCCGTGAAGGGGTAGTGGGGAGGTGGGAATGAAGGGAAAAAAAGGATATAAATGTAAGTATTACTACAGAACTATACACTTAAAAATGGAAAGGATGGTAAATGTAGTATATTACCTCAATTAAAAAATAGGTATATGTAAACATACTTCTTAATTATTATTTGTCAATTAAAAATTAAACAATTCATATGTTTGTTGGCCACATATGAATGTCTTCTTTTGAGAAGTGTCTGTTCATATCCTTTGCCCACTTTTTGATGGGTTGATTTTTTTCTTGTAAATTTGTTTAAGTTCCTTGTAAATTCTGGATATTAGACCTTTGTCGGATGGGTAGATTGCAAAAATTTTCTCCCATTCTGTAGGTTGCTTGTTCACTCTGATGGTAGTTCCTTTGCTGTGCAGAAGCTCTTTAGTTTAATTAGATCCCATTTGTCAATTTTGGCTTTTGTTGCAATTGCTTTTGGCGTTTTTGTCATGAAGTCTTTGCCCGTGCCTATGTCCTGAATGGTATTGCCTAGGTTTTCTTCTAGGGTTTTTATGGTTTGGGGTTTTACATTTAAGTCTTTAATCCATCTTGAGTTAATTTTTGTATAGGGTGTAAGCAAGGGGTCCAGTTTCAGTTTTCTGCATATGGCTAGCCAGTTTTCCCATTACCATTTACTGAATAGGAGATCCTTTCCCCATTGATTGTTTTTGTCAGGTTTGTTGAAGATCAGATGGTTGTAGATGTGTGGTGTTATTTCTGAGGTTTCTGTTTTGCTCCATTGGTTTATATGCCTGTTTTTGCTATCAGTATCACACTGTTTTGGTTACTGTAGCCTTGTAGTATATAGTTTGAAGTCAGGTAGCATCATGCCGCCAGCTTTGTTCTTTTTGCTTAGGATTATCTTGGCTATACAGTGTCTTCTTTGATTCCATATGAAATTTAAAAGAGAAATGCAAATCAAAACCACTATAAGACACCATCTCATGCCAGTCAGAATGGGGATTATTACAAAGGCAGGAAACAACAGATGTTGGCAAGGCTGTGGAGAAATAGAAAAGCTTATATGCTGTTGGTAGGGATGTAAATTAGTTCAACCATTGTGAAAGACGGTATGGCGATTCCTCAAGGGTCTAGAACCAGAAATACCATTTGACCCAACAATCCCATTACTGGGTATATATCCAAAGGAATATAAATCATTCTACTATAAAGACACATGAACATATATGTTTACTGCAGCACTATTTACAATAGCAAAGACATGGAACCAACCCAAATGCCCGTCAATGATAGGCATTGTGGCACATATACATGATGGAATACTATGCAGCCATAAAAAGGAATGAGATCATGTCCTTTGCAGGGACATGGATGAAGATGGAAGCCATCATCCTCAGCAAACTAACACAGGAACAGAAAACCAAATACCACATGTTCTCACTCATAAGTGGGAGTTGCACAATGAGAACACATGGACACAGAGAGGGGAACAACACACACCAGGGCCTGTTGGGGGTGGGTGGTGAAGGGAGGGAACTTAGAGGATGGGTCGATAGGTGCAGCAAACCACCATGTCACACGTATACTTATGTAACAAACCTTCACGTTCTGGACAAGAATCCCATTTTTTTTTTAGAAGAAATAAAGGGAAAAAATTAAACAATAAAAAACAAAAGAAAAAACCCTAGCAATACAAATTTATGCCACATGCCTAGGGCATATTTGATTAATTAGATAAACATTTTTTAAAACTGCAGAGTTAACATTTTCTTCCCTAGTTGTATATAAACACAACAAGCTGAGTATCCTGGCTATATTTAATTAAAATCCATAGAAGAAAGGCTTAATCACAGCATCTTCATAACAGTTGTCGTGATAGGACTAATTATAATAGAGTTTTACTGACACCCATTATTATATCTCATTAATACATGCAAATTGCCACATAATTTAAAATGCCAAGAACCTAGGAATTCTTTGATCAAATGACCTTTGTTCTTTCAAGTTACCTCTCCCAAACTCCTTATATGCGCACACACACACACAGTATATACTTAACACAGACTAGGTGGGCTGCTTAATTAGGACAAGCAGTGCAAAGTACTGAGGGATACATCCTTTTCCTTCCTAATCTGTTTCTCACAAATACGTCTGTATGATGAAGAATACTATGAAAGGATCACTCCCCACCCCCATAAAAACAACAATAACATCAAAAAGAGTGAAACAAAGACTAATATAAAGCCAAAACCAAACAAAAGCCAAAATCCCCACTCATCAACTATATGGTTTTATGATAGCATAAGGCATTAATGGCCATATGATATCTGGAATGGCAAAAAATGGCATAATTTGGGCAGCTTTTAACCAGACAGGGGAAAATGCCCTTGTTACTTAAGACATAAGCTGAAAGGCTTATACCAAAGGAGGTCTAAATATGCTGTTTTATTAAGTGACTTCACATCAGGGTAAAAGGAGAAGAGGAAAAAGGGAGGATTTAGAGATCTTATTTCCAGTGGCTGATTTCTACTCAAAAGATTCTGTCTAGAAAGATTTAGTAGGCCATCACCTTCTGTAACCAACCATTCAAGTCTACCACTGCAGTGCAAAGTAGCCAGAGACTGTATGTTATCAAATAAATGTGGCTGTATTCCAAGAAAACTTTACTTACAAAATCAGGCAGTAGCCTGGATAATTTGGCAAGCCTTGCTCTAGCCTAACTGAGAACTAAAAAGACTATAGCTGTAACTTTCCCAGGGTTTCCAAGAGAAACAGATTGAAGAAATGATGAGTAAGAATTACGTGGTCTCTGGAAAGACAACAGTGTCTAAGATCACAGTGATTGGTTTTTAAAGTGATTTGCCCTTTGAGACCTAACTTGGACCAATATGTAAATAAAAGCACATATTTCTTATAAATCTTATACTGCCATAACAAATGAAAATGTAGAGGTAACAAAGACGAAGCAACAATACTTTTCCTTTCTCCAAGCTTTGTCTTTGTCACCTCTAAACTTACATTTATTAAATTAAGAAATAATTATCCTTCAAAGGGTAAAAGTTAGTCTCACAAAAATGGTAATATGAAAAGAAAGACTAAAAAAAAATTTAGAGGAGAGGGAGACGATGGCCAATGAGACAGAGCCTGGAAGCACTGCTCCCACTGAGGGAGACCAAATGGACATGGATGAAATTGGAAATCATCATTCTCAGTAAACTATCGCAAGGACAAAAAACCAAACACTGCATGTTCTCACTCATAGGTGGGAATTGAACAATGAGAACACATGGACACAGGAAGGGGAACATCACACTCTGGGGACTGTTGTGGGGTGGAGGGAGGAGGGAGGGATAGCATTAGGAGATATGACTAATGCTAAATGACGAGTTAATGGGTGCAGCACACCAGCATGGCACATGTATACATATGTAACTAACCTGCACATTGTGCACATGTACCCTAAAACTGAAAATATAATAATAATAAAATAAAATAAATATGAAAAAAATATGGAGTAAACAAACATACTCTGAGCCAATTTCCAGAGAGGAAAACATCAAGAGTTGAGAGGTGACACAGATACCAAGAGTGAGGAGGGAGGAAGCTGCCTGCACAGGGTTGTCAGATGCTAGTTCCCAGCCCTAAATGGCTCCTAAGCGGTGAGTGAAGGGAAAGATGGGCAGTCCACTCTTGCTGCAGACCTCTGGGATCCTAGCTGCAAGAGATCCCATGACCCCCCATAGATATCTGAACTGGTAGGGGGATCATCCTGGAGAGTTAGGAAGAGACAGAGGTACAACCTGTGCAAAATGCGGGGACTTTTACACACGGGGCAGCTGCAGTGTAAAATGGCCACAGGCGCCTATCCCCCAAAGTTCTCCATCTCCCCAGTTAGCTCTAGCCCTAGTCAACTGCAAGGCCAAGAGAGAACAAAGCTGGCTTCCACTGGATTGGGGTTCATCTGTTCTGTAGGCTCTCCTGACTGACAGCCCTCTCAAGGCCCCTGCCTGGCTGCTCCACAGGAGCGTGTGTACAATGCAGCCTCCCCTGCCCAGCCTGGATGCTTTATCTGCAGCTCTATCTAAGTACTTTCTCAGTGGCCAGGAAGCACCCTGGATCCCCTAGAACAGCTGGTGCCCAACCCAGAGGGTGTGGAGGACAGAACTGTGGGCTGGTCCTGGCACCCCAGGGCTGCATTGTGCAGCTCAGAAGTGCCAAGCTGAGATCTGTGGCTGGGACTCAGTTACTTTCAAAACACTGTGAAGGGTGAAATGTGCAAGGTGGTAGGCTGGCACAGGAGGAGGGTGTGCCTCCAGGTGCAGGGCTGGTCTGAGAAATATGACCCATCTACTAGCCATGTTATCTACCCAAGAGGGCCCCGTGGCCTGGAACACCTAACAAAGGAAACTTGAGCACAGCACAGCATAGCACCACTGATTGGAGGGGGCCCCACCAAGGCCCGGGAGCAGATCTGGTGAGGGGGTTATCTCTCTCTCCACCACCACCACCACAGAGCAGGGCTGCAAACACATGGAAATACAAAAGCCACACAGTTAAGAAATAGATACATATACGTTTATAGAAATGTAGAAATGTATTTATATTTATATTTTAATATATGTATATATTTATAACAAGAGACCTTCAATGTATTTGTTATTTGTTTTCCTTAGAAATTGGGTCAATATTCATTAGTCCTATATATGTGTGTTGAATGCAAATCATTAAGGTGAGATTAGGGCTACAGAATTGACAAGGTATTTGGCAAAAAAAGAAAGTCTCTTCTCAGAGCAATTCTTGGTACCAAAGCCAAAGTTTAAAGAACACTAACTTTCAAAAAACGTCATCCTTTTGTATTTGTGTCCGCTAATTGTAAACTTTCCTGAAATCTGTGTTTTTATTATTTTTCTTACCAACTACCATGAAGACAACATTGTTTACTAATATATAAACAGCTGAATAGATTAGGTACTGATGCCTATGGAGAAGTGATAGAAACCCCACTGCGTCTTTTAATCCAAGCTTAAACCAAGCAGTGACAGATCTACTTTATAAAATAATAATCAATTAGCAGGAAAATTGATCCTGAATAGTTGAGAGTTTTGGAGACTTCTTATATGACTGAACAATGGGACTTTAGGATTTGCTATGGAGCAATCCAAAAAGTAGCTCTGCATATGCTATGGAGCTACCTTCCCACATTTACTGTTCAATTTCATTTCTCTTTCAAGGTAATTATAATAAATGTCAATTATGGAAATACTTAAATAAAATCTTGGCCATGCACAGAGGCTCACGTCTGTAATCCCAGCACTTTGGAAGGCTAAGGTGGGTGGATTGCTTGACCCCAGGAGTTTTCATGATTAGCTTTCAACAACATAACAAAACCCAGTCTCTACAAAAGAATACAAAAATTAGCTGAGTGCAGTGGCATGGGCTTCTGGTCCCAGCAACTTGTGGGGCTGAGGCAGGATTCTTTGAGCCAGGGAGGTCGAGGCTGCAATGAGCTGTGATCATGCCACCACACTGCATCCTGGGTGACAGAGTGAGACCCATTCCAATAAAAATAAAATAAAATAAAATCTCAAACTTTTTCATTTGAAAGATGGACTACTGGAAACGTTTATGATCACTGAGGTGTCTAATACGATCTTTGTCATAAAGACAGGAGCATTATAAGCTCACTTTCAATGAAAACTTACTGATTTTGTTCATATTATATATCTTTTTCTCTATGCTCCCTTGAAGATGTAAAATAAACTGATAGAAAGTATGGAAAAGGCCATTAAATGTAAGTACATATGGTTTACCTGTTTTATAACTGATTTTGTTAAATTATACATCATACTTTCTGTGAAATATACTATGCAAGGTAGAATTCTATGCGCAAAATCATTCTTACAGAGAACATATAAAGCATAAGTAAACTATTCAATGTTAAAACAAATAAAACTAAAAATTAAAAAAATGAAATAGCTAAGCTTGGTAATTTTCAAAAATTTGCATCACAGTATATATTCCCTAAAGCAAAAAACAACAAAAATATTGTGAAATGGTACATTTCTGGCCACTTTATATCTAGTTTAAAATAAAAGTTGGAGAGTAAATTAATATTTCACATATTTAAAATGAATAAAAAATTGAAATATATGATAGTGCTAAGCAATCTTAAGAATGAGGTTAACTAGAAATATAAGTTCTCTCACTACTTGCAGAGAAAAAGGTCAAGATACCTAGATCAGCAGTCCCCAAGCTTTTTGGCATCAAGGACCGGTTTCATGGAAAACAATTTTTCCACAGACATTGTGGGGTGGTATGGTCGGGGGAACAGTTTGGGGATGAAATTGTTCCACCTCAGATCATCAGGCATTAGTTAGATTATCCTAAGGAGCATGCAACCTAGATCCCTCGCGTGTACAGTTCACAATAGGGTTTGCACTCCTATGATAATCTAATGCTGCCACTGATCTGACAGGAGGCAAAGCTCATGCAGTAATGCTCGCTCACCAGCTCTCATCTCCTGCTGTGCAGCCAGGTTCCTAACAGGTCACTAACCAGTACTGGTCTGCAGCCCAGGGGCTGGGGACCCCTGACCTAGATTCTCTTTATAAATCCAAATTGGAGCCAAAAGATTTCTTTATTGTTTGGGAGTTTTTTGCCTGTTTGTTTGCTTTTCATTGGATTGATGCTGAGTAAAAGCAAGAGGAAATCCACAGTGACAGTCCTAGTGACTGCCCTATGCACAATCAATGGAGGAATATACTGAATGACATAACATAAAGACAGTAGGTAAGAAAAACTGGAAACTAAGGCAAAAAGTAGAGCCCTAAGCTCAGAAAGAAAAATGTTCACTTTAATAATTACAATTATTATTAGTTGCTATGGAATTATTATAGCACTAATGCCCATAATATTCAGATTCATGTTGGAATGATGTGCTCTTTTTTCATTTCATATTTAAATATAAGAAGAATTAGGGCAAAAATGAGTGGACATTACTTTTATCTAATTTAATCAAAAGACAGAAAAATAATTACAAAGTAGATCCTGTAACTAGGATCTACTTTGGAGCACAGTAGGAGACCAGTTGTTCTAAGACTACAGAATCAAAGCATTATGATGCACAGCTAACCTTATTACAACAGCACATTTTATAACCATCTTTGTAAGAATCAAAATGCCCATTAAAGAATATACTCCTATCCATTCATGTATTGCTACCATTATTTTTAAAACTACTATTGCTAAATTCAAAATGAGAACAGACAGTTGTATAAATATGAAGTATTTCTTCTTAAAACTATTTAACTCACCTATAAAAATATGTCATAAGAAGGGAGGCCTGTGCTGTTTAGAATACAGAAAGTCTCAAAAGAATGTTGCTTCCACGGTAACAATGAGAGCCAGATAATCTGCTAAATTACTGGTAACATTTTTGGACCCATAGGAAAGTTGTGGTTACAAGGCAATCAGGTAAACTGAATTCCAAAGGATGATATGCCATTCTAAGGAGAGAGAGACAGGACAGAATGCAGAATGCAGAATGCAGAACCTGAAACCCTGAGGAAGAAAAGGCCATTAAAGGCAGATATGAATAAAACAGCTGAAATTTTCAACTAATTCTTGAAGGCTAAGTGGGAGCTACTGTGACAGTTTAGACATTTCTGGGAGCAACAAACACAAGAGAAGTATGTACTGTCTCACTAGATCTTTCTCACAGGTCTCTACCAGTGGCTTACAAGAAATAATGAAGGTAGGACAACAGGCCTGAGAGTCCTTCTCAGTAGTACATGTGTACAAAACTCTGCCCACATCTTAGATCCTTCTCTCGTAGAAAGCAAAGGCTGAAACTACTAAGAAAAGGTCAGAAAACACTACCACCCAACTGTCTTACACAGTTTGGACTGCTACAACAAACTACCATAGACCCGGGTGGCTTACAAACAACAGACATTTATTTCTCACAGTTCTGGCAGCTGGAAGTCCAGGATCAGGGTGCCAGCATGGTTGGGTTCTGGTGAGGAGCCTCTTCCAGGCTGCAGACTGCTAACTAGGCCCTATATTTCCACATCAGAGAAAGAGGGCTAGAGAGCTTCCTGGAGCCTCTTTTATAAGGACACTAAATGAGTGCTCCATCCTCAAGACCTAATTACCTCCCAAAAGGCCTTCCTCCTAATAAAACAATGGGGGATAAGATTCCAAAATATGAAATTTAGGGGGACACTAATATTCAGTGCATAACACCTACCTATGACCAGGGACAAAAACACTAGTAAAACCCGTCAGTACTCCAGGGCCCATGCTAAGTACAAGGTGGCAGAAGCCCACCACTAGAGAAATTCAAAGTCAGGTACATTGAAGGCAACTACAATTAACAATAAAACTGAAATTCACTTCAACTATTGACTAGAATAACTCAAACCACACACTAAATGCCTACCTGATAGAAGAGAGGTGCCCATTTCTGAGCATAAATATGACCTATCTCAGTGTCTGCAGTTCTTTAATACAATGTCAGACATTAAAGTAAATGTTAAGGAAAAAGAAAAGAAACAAAAGCCGGGGTACAGGGAGGGTGGAAATTCCATCAATATTCAAGATAGAAACTAGTCAACAAAAGTAGATTAAGACATGACTGAGACACTGGAATTAGCTAAAGGGAACTTTAAGATAATTAAAGTATTTAGTGAAAAAGATGGGCACATGCATGAACAGATGGGGAATTTCAGCAAAAGGAAGCTGTATTAATAAGAATCAAATGGAAATGCCTGAAAGAACACAACATAAGAAATAAACATTTCTTTGACAGCCTTATCAGAAGCTGGATACAGTATGGGAAAGAATATAAGAACTTGAAATTAAGGCAGCAGAAATTACCCAAAATGAAACACAAAGAAAATAAGAATAACAGACTATCACAGATCTGTGGAAACATATCAAACATATAGTTGGATTTTCAGAAAGACACAGTGAGAGAAGGGGGCAGAAGAGATAATGGTTATTAACTTTACAAAATTAGTGAAACACAACAACACAGACCAAAGAAGCTCAAAGAACTTCAAGCAGGATAAATGCATGCATGTGTGCACATGCGTGCGCACACACTCACACACATTCTCTCTCTCTCTCTCACCCCTATACATACCATAGTTAGATTGCTGAAAACCAAAGCCAAAGAGAAAATGTTAAAGACATCAAAAAATTTTTGAAGTACTAAAACAAAAGTGTATCCCCCCCAATGGCAACAATATTTCACATTTGTGAGACTTGAAAACTACAAACAATAAAAGCAACAACAGATATTGTACTTACTAATCACTAATATACCAGACACTGTTCTAAGTGTCACGAAAACCCAGAGGTACAATTATTTTCATTTTACAGATGAAAAAACTGAGATACAATAAAGTCAAGTAAATTACTCAGGATCACAGAGTTAGAAGCCATAGAACCAGGACTTGAATTCCAGCAGTGTCACACCAGAGTCCATACTCTTAATCACTAGCCCATTCTGCCATTTCCACACCCAAAGGGGTCAAGACCTTTATCTTCATCCCAATAAGGCACCATAGACAGCAATAATTAATATATTGCCAGCACTATCACCACCACCATACTCACATACACATTCTGCCCAGTCTATGCTCTTAAAACAGAAAGCAACACTGATATAAAAAAAATAAAAAAAACAGAAACTACCTATATCCCTACTGGGGTTGGGGTTGGCAGTAAATATTAGCACAGATTACACATTTCTTTCTAAATCAGATAAATGCTTTCTACGCCATAGAAAATCTGGGCTTTAAGTATTATATATATGTATTTCTGTGTTGAATTACACCCACTTGTTCTTACGAGGGCACTCCCATCCGGGACAACTTCTCTCTTCCCTTTCTTTTTCTCTTTCTCTCTCTTTTCTCTTTTTCTCTTTCTTTCTTTCCTTGTTTCCTCCCTCCCTTCCTTCTTTCCTTTCTTTCTTTTTCTTTCCTCTCTCTCTCTTCCTTCCACCCCACTCATTTCTTTCTTTTTTTCTTTCTTTATTTGAGACAGGGTCTCACTCTGTCACCCCGGGTGGAATGCAGTGGCATGATCACAACTCAGCTCATGGCAGCCTCAACCTCTCAGGCTCAGGTAATTCTCCCACCTCAACCTCCCAAATAGCTGGGACTACAGGCACACACCACCATGCCCAGTTAATTTTAAAAAAATTTTTTTTTGTAGAGATGAAGTTTCGCCCTATTGCCCAGACTAGTCTCGAACACCTGAGCTCAAGTGATCTGCCTGTAGCAGCCTTCCAAAGTGTTGAAATGACAGGCGTGAGCCAGTGCATCTGGCTTCTTTCTTCCCTTAAAGCACAGTGAAAATAATCATATCAAGGAAAAAGTTATTACTATTACCAAATTGTTCCTGCTCATTCTCTAAGTAACAATTATGCCATAGTGCTATGATTATTTTAATAAGCTTTTTATTTTAGAATCATTTTAGACATAACAAAAAAGTTGCAAAGATACTACAGACAGTTCCCATATACCCTTATTCAGTTTTCTCTATCATTAGTATCTTACATTACCATGGTATATTTGTCACACCTGAAAAACCAACATTGTTACATTACTGACCCTTTTATGCTGATATGGTTGGATATTTGTCCCCTCCAAATCTCATGTTAAAATGTGATTCCCAATGTTGAAGGTGGAGCCTGGTGGGAGGTAAATGAATCATGGGGGCAGATCCCTCATAAATGGCTTAGCAACAATCCCTTTGGTGATGAGTTATCTCTCAGTTTGCAGAGATCTTGTTGTTTAAAAGAGTTTGGGACCTCCCCATTGTCGCTGTTGCTTCCACTCTTGCCAGGTGCCGTCCTGGCTCCCCATCACCTTCTGCCATGACTGTAAGCTTCCTGAGGCCCTTAGAAGAAGCAGATGCCGGGACAATGCTTCCTATAAAGCATGCAGAACCATGCGCCAATTACACGTCTTTTCTTTGCAAATTACCTAGCCTCAAGTATTCCTTTATAGCAATGCAAGAATGGTCTAACACACACCCACCCTGTATTGCACAGTAGCTTAAAAATAAATTAGTAAAATGAAAGAGAAGATATAAATGTTGTATAGAAGAATTTCAAATATATATGAACATTCTCTGCCTTTAGGAGGTGGACCTTAATACCTATCTTCTACTCCAGAGAGTGGTTTAGACTTAGTTACTTCACCTGAAGGGTAGAGTATGGAAAGGGAAAAATAACACTACAGTGGAGAAACCTGGAAAATACTACTTAAACCAAGTGATCAAAGTTAGTATCACCAGTACCTTGTGGGTATCATGTGACCCTGATACGATGTGTGAGAATGGTACTGAACCTCTGTGGTGTTCTTTCCAAAAATAAATAAATAAATAAATAAATAAATAAATAAATAGAGAGAGAGAGATAGAGAAAGAAAAAGGAAGAAAGTGAGTGAAACCAGTTTTCCTCTTTCCCATTAATAACACAAAGTTGCCTGGTGCTGCCATCTGCTATTAGAGATTACATCTCTGGAGGCTGAGGAAGGCATGATAGCCAGGTATGTAGAAATAAGAATTATAAATTATTCTTGCATAGACTATAAATATTCCCAATTTCACAGATAATCTATCCTTCCTCCAATCAATTAGCACCCAAGAAACTTAACCCTTTCGAACAAGAAGCTTGCGTCATAGTAAACTAAACATGAAAATGTCTATAAAGCCCCATTCTCAGAAGACCTGCACTCAAAAGTTACAAAATCTGAAGGTTTCAGAGAACAACAAAACAATACTAAGAAAAAAAAAAGTTGAGATAACTCCTAAAAAAAGAAGAAATCAAAGTGGAAAGGGGGTTGGAGAAGAGAGGAGGAGAAAGAGAAGAAACTAGATGAAATAAATACTACCTGCAAAATTAAGGGCTCCAAAGAAGACATTTGTAAGAAATATATAAGAAGACCCAGGCTGGGCACGATGGCTTACGCCTGTAATCCAAGCACTTCGGGAGGCTGAGGTGGAAGGATCACTTGTGGCCAAGAGTTTGAGACCAGTCTGGGCAAAAGACGGAGACCCCATCTCTAAAAAAAAAATTAAAAATTGGCCAGGCATGGTGGCATGCACCTGTAGTCCCAGCTACTTAGCAGGCTGAGGTGCGAGGATTGCTTGAGCCCAGGAGGTTGAGGTTGCAGTGAGCCATTGATGGCACCACTGCACTCCAGGCTGGGCAACAGAGTGAGATCCCATCTCAAAAAAAAAAAAGAACCAAATTTTTTTGAAGAAGGCTAAAATG
The DNA here is from genome assembly GCF_000001405.40 of Homo sapiens. Taxonomy (NCBI): domain Eukaryota; kingdom Metazoa; phylum Chordata; class Mammalia; order Primates; family Hominidae; genus Homo; species Homo sapiens. Next base: position 36,925,511 of record NC_000018.10, on the reverse strand, counting down.
TAACTAATGTAATTAGTTTCAACAATGATCTGTTTATACTGTACAAAAAGAGAAAAAGAAAAGGTTCCAAATTTGTTTAGTGTATTCTAGATCTGCCCAGGAAGAAGGTATTCAATTCATGGTCTACAAAACACCAATATTCTATTTCTTTTCCTCAGTCAGCTCAGCCCTTCTTCTTTCTTGGCTCATATCTCCACTGTTCATATAATTCCAGTGGGTCCTCCAGAATCCGTAGTATTCTGCCATTATATATCTTTATTATCTTCTGTTTTTACCTAAAATCCTCCCTCCCATTTCCTTACCTTAAATTATATAGAGATTTCACAAAAAAACTAATCACAATTCTGTAAACTTCCAAAAAACTTTACAGAGTTTACAAAATACTTTCTCTCATATTACCATACATAATCTTTATAATAAAAACACCATGGTGTATTATCATTTTACATATGAAACAAATATAACTTACAGGTCTGAAGGCCGTATCAGTTCTCCCAAAGGGTACGCCCAATGACCCTTTACAAATTCACCTCAGCATGAAGGTCTGAATTTGCTTGGTGTTTCAGGATACTACACTTCTGAAAGGTCCCAAATGACTTCCTGTTCAACAAATCCAATATATGCTTATGGTTCTTTTATATGACTTCTCTGGACCAGCAACCCTCCTTGAAATGTTATCTTCTTTGGGTTCTTTTGGGAACCACTCTTTATTTTTTTTTCTCTAGTTACTCATTTTCATTCTTATTCTAAGGTCCTATCTTTCTATACCTAATAAATATTGGGGTGTGTCCTTGGCTTTGATCTGTACATGCTGCATATTCTCTCTGGGCAATCTTATCCAAATTCAAAGCTTCAAAAAGCCAACTATATTCTGGTGATGCCCAAAAGCACATATCTGATCCTGAGTTTTACCAACTCCAGACTCTTAATTAAATTGGGCCTATCTTTAAAGATAATGTGGCCAAATGTATAGTCATACTCGTTTTCTCTTTTCAAAGTCTGCTTTTCCCCACATAAGTCCTATCTTGTCTCTATATGCTCAATCCAGAAATCAGGGTCATTCAGATTCTGTTAGCTCCCACATCAAATCCTCCTATCTTTTTTTCCTCTAAATAGCATTCAAATGTCTCCTTCCTTATATGCTCATTGCCTCATTATAGCTTAGTCCTTACCACCACTCTCATCTGGACAACTTGGCTGTTAGAGAGTGAGCTCCTGAATACTGATTTCACCCCTCAAATCTACCTTTTATCCTGCCCCCAGAAATATTATTTCAAAATATTATTTCAAAACATTATATTGAGTATAATATTCCAAAATATTATACTCAAAATCAGATCAACTCACCAGCATCTACCTTCACTAATCAAAACCAAACAAACACAAATCAGATCAACTTACCCTACCAGCATCTACCGTCACTAACCAAAACCAAAAATCACCTCTCTACCCTAGCTGGTGTCCCCTAGGGTAAATCCAAACACCATTGCCACTGAAGACACTCAATGGTTTGGAATCAGTTTGCCCTTCCAGCATAATTCCCTTCCAACTTGCCTTTGCAACTTCCATCTCACCATTGCAACCTACACTCTCATCAAATCAGAACTCCTGAAGTTTCCTAAACACATTATGATGGCTCTGTCCAGTAGAACTTTGTTGATGTGAATGTTCTTTATGTTCTACATAATACCAGTCACATGTAGGTAAATGATAACTTAAAATGTGGCAAATGTAACAGGTACAAAATTTATTTTACTGAATTATAATTAATTTAAATTTAAATTGTCACATATAGCTAGTGGTCACCATACTATACAGTGTAGCTCTATGCTTGGTATTTCTGTGTATCTTGGGATATGTCTGTCTGTCTAGAATGTTCTTTTCTTTACACTTCGCTTGCTGGTTTTTAACTACAAATACAATTTCTTTAATGATATACAAATCAACTTATCTATTTATCCCTTTCATGTAAATTGTAAAGCTTATATGTATAAAGTTACTTATAATAATCCCCTTTTTTTAAGATCTATAGAATCTGTAGAGATGAGACCTCTGTCATTCCTAATTTGGTAATTTGTCTTCTCTCTTCTTTTGACTGATTAATATGACAGAATTTTAACAATGTTATTATCTTCTCAAATAGCCAGGTTGGCTTCATTGTCTCTATTGCTTTTCTGTTGTTTGTTTCATTGATTTCCTCCATGATCCTTATTATAATCCTGTAAACTTCTGGTTTCATTTGTTTTGCTTTTACTAGTTTAAGGTGAAAGCTGATTTTACTGATTTGGGACCTTTCTTCTTTTCTAATGTAGGATTTCAGTGGTAAAATTTCCCTTTAAGTACTGCTTTAGATACATCTAAGTAATTTTAGCAGGTTGTGTTGTGTTTTCATTTTCATTTAGTTCAAAATACTCTCTAATTTCACTCTGGATTTCTTCTTTGATGTATGAAGTCAAGAAGTGAAAAGTAAGAAAAAATTAAAGGAAAAAATCAATCATAAACATCTTCAATACTTATTGACATGGAGGAATACTATATATAATATTAAAGTGTATCAATATATTGTAATACCTTGCAAACATTACCTATTGCAATACTTTAATAACAAAAGGCACCAAGACTCTTCTCAAGGCAGTACGTAAAATGACCCCCAAATAATCCCTACTACGAAAAAAAATTCTAACCTAAGTAACTTGAAAAATGAAACTCGAATATCTCATATACTCATTACCTCAACACTTGTGTTCCCCATTAAATACTAAATGATCCACCTTCTTTAGACTTCTGTTGAGTTAAAAAGTTTTTTATTTTAAAAAGCTACTCATAAAACGAAAGAAAAAATTATCTGTCCAGGTCTAAATATAAACATTTTTAGTAACCAATTCAGAATGGCATTCATAGGCCAGCCAAGTAAATCAGAATCAACAACAAAAAAAGCATCCTACAATAAAACCACACAAACCCCTGTGGCAAAATATAAACAAACTTTTCAATAACTGAACCAGAAAGAATGTTTAATATGATGGATTCTTCAAAAAATTTCCCATGATGATGTGGGAATACCCAAATATAAAATCTATTATTGAAAAAAATCAGCATATCAACTACATGCTTCAGTTAAAGAGCCAGAACAAGTTGCCAACTGAGAGATGGTATTGGGGAAGGTGGATAGACATGTTTGAATCAAGTTCAAGTACGGAACCATACACAAAATAAAAGGAAGACAAGGCAGAGCCTACCTACTTAAGAATTGTGTGGTCAAGAGGGAGACAACTACATTCTAGACACAGCAAACAAAGACAACGGCATTAATACTTGGAAAAACCTAAGAATAGTATTAAATGCTATTCCTATCCTGCTAAAATCTAGGTAATCTTCAAGAGAAAATTAAAAGGGAGTGCCATGACTTGACTAGCTACATATAGGTTGTCTTTGTTTAAAAAAAAAAAAAGTATTCTCTGGAGGCTGAGGCAGGAGAATTGCTTGAAGCTGGGAGGTGGAGGTTGCAGTGAGCCACGATCGTGCCATTGCACTCTGGCCTGGGGGACAAGAGCGAGACTCTGTCTCAAAAAAAAAAATATTTTCAAAAATTCCCAAACCACTTCTGAAATAAGTACTTTAAAATATGAGAATAAGGGAAAGCAAGTACTAGGGGTGGGTTCTTAGAATAAAACACAACCATAACTAGGGAGCTTGACAAAATTCAGTAACTGATATGAATCTTGGAAGATTCTGATAGTGAAGAGAATGAACCACACAAGTCATAGTAAATCTGTAAGTTGGATGTCTGTTAAAAATGTAAAGAAAAGGCCGGGCACAGTGGCTCACGCCTGTATTCCCAGCACTTTGGGAGGCTGAGGTGGGTGGATCACGAGGTCAGGTGATCGAGACCATCCTGGCTAACACAGTGAAACCCCGTCTCTACTAAAAATACAAAAAAATTAGCTCGGTGTGGTGGTGGGCGCCTGTAGTCCCAGCTACTTGGGAGGCTGAGGCAGAGGAATGGCGTGAACCCGGGAGGTGGAGCTTACAGTGAGCCGATATGACGCCACTGCATTCCAGCCTGGGTGACAAAGCGAGACTCCATCTCAAAAACAAACAAACAAATAATAAGTAAAGAAAAGTATAACTCCTAATTTTATAGGCTATTTTTCTTCTCTAATTCATCTTCTGTTGTTAATTTATGAAATTTAAAATCAAAGATGGCTTAAAGTAAAAATATATCTAGAATTTCATTCAACCTGACCTACAAAAAAAAAAAAATAACCCTCTGGTAATGATGACCATAAATACTGTCTTTTCAGGAGCTTCTGCTTCCACCCAAGATGAATAAATTGGGACAAGAATTGTCCTCATGCTATAAACAACTAGAAAAATGAAAAAAAAATGTATGAAACAACAGTTCCAGATGTTGGAGAAAGGACAGAGGAGGATATGCTGCCAGAGAAAAGGTAAAAAAATTGGGTGACTCGATCATCCCAGCTTGTTGCCTAAAGGCAGTTGCCAGGCCACAGCACAGTGAAAGGAAATACTAACGGAACCTGGTGGTCTTGCTGAGTTACGCAGAGAGACTGGCATGCATGGAAGCTAAGGATGCTAGCTAGACTTCACAGGGCAGAGTACTAGAGAGGGGAAAGCTGCACAGAGAGCTCTGAGGGTCTGCAAAGGGATGCTCTCATCTTTGGCTGAGTATTAATCCATATACTTATGGAATGAAACACCTGTGGCCAATGAAAAAAAACACTGGAAAGCAGAAGGCTGAACAACTGCCAGAGTTCACACAGGGTCAAAACCAGGTAGCACTGTCATCAGCCAGAGTACAAAAACTATGTAATACACAAGATATTTGATAGGGTCCTCAGAGAGGCCATATCTTAGAAATGGGGCTAAATTAGCCCCAGGATAAAGGTTGACCTGGACACATTCTAATAAAGCTTTAATGCAAGACCCACATTGATTCCAAATGATTGTGTGAACAAAGACTAAACTTTGCAATCCTAAGCAAAAAGAGCAAAACCAGAGGCATCACACTACCTGACTTCAAACTATACTACAAGGCTATAGTAACCAAAATGGCACAGTACTGGCACAAAAAAAAAGACACATAGACCAATGGAACTGGATAGAGAACACAGAAATAAAGCTGTACACTTACAACCTCTAATCTTCCACAATGTTGACAATAATAAGCAATGGGGAAAGGACTCTCTATTCAATAAATGGTGTTGGGATAACTGCCTAGCCACATGCAGGAGAATGAACCTAGGCCCCTGCCTTCTACCATATACAAAAATTAACTCAAGATGGATTAAAGACTTATAAGATCTCAAACTATAAAAATCCTAGATAAAAACCTAGGAAATACCATTCTGGATATTGGCGTTGGCATAAAAATTATGACCGAGTTCCTACAAGCAACTGCAACAAAAACAAAAATTGACAAGTGGGACCACTGCCCAGCAAAAGAAACTATCAACAGAGTAAATAAATAACCTACAGAACGGGTGAAGATATTCATAAACTGTGCATCTAACAAAGGTCTAATATCTAGAATCTATAAGGAACTTAAGAAGTTAAACAAGCAAAAGCCAAATAACCCCATTTTTAAAAATGGGCAAAGGACATGAACAGACACTTCTCAAAGGAAAACAAAGATGCAGCCAACAAATATATTTTAAAAAGTTCAACATCACTAATCATTAGAGAAATGCAAATCAAAACCATGAGGTATCATTTCACTCTAGTCAGAATGGCTATCAATAAAAATAAAAAATAAAAGATGTTGGTGAGGTTGTGGAGAAAAGGGAATGCTTATACACTGCTGGTGGGAATGTAAATTAGTTCAGCCACTGTGGAAAGCAGTTTGGAGATTTATCAAAGAACTTAAAGTAAAGAACTACCACTCGACCCAGCAATCCCATTACTGGGTATATACCCAAAAGAAAATAAATCGTTCTAACAAAAAGACATGTACTTGCAACACTCTATGTTCCTCGCAACACTATTCACAGTAGCAAAGACATGGAATCAACAGTGGACTGGATAAAGAAAATGTGGTACTTAAGTATAACAGACTAAGAACTCATGATCACAAGGCAGGAATTGTTAGACTGTATAAAAAAGCAAGACCAACCCCCATAAAATACACACACACATACATACAGCAAGATGTAACTATATGCTGTCTATAAGAGATACACTGAAAATAAAACAGACAAGTTGCAAGTATAGAGAATGAAACTAGACATACTGTACAAACAATAACCATAAGAGAGTTTTGTGACCATATTACTATCAAACAAAATGGATTTCATGAGAAGTATTAACAAGTATGGAGGAAAATTTCATGATGATAAAATAGATCATATATGTATAATAATAATAAAGGAATAAAACCCTAGTAACATTGTTTCAAATGACACTATCAAGTACCTTAATGCAACTGACAATTAAATTTAGAAAGCCCTACCCCAACAGCTGTAAAATATACATTATTTTCAAGTGCACAGAGAATATTCATCAAGATACACTACATACTGGGCCATAACACAAGTTTCACTAAATTTTAAAAGGCTAAAATTATACAGAGTATCTAAACACAAAGAAATGTTAATAACAGTAAAAAATCAGTAACAATATACTTCAGAATAACTCATATCAAAGAAGGAATAAATTATGTTAAAATAATTTAAACTGAATGATAATGCAAATATAGTACTTCATAATTTGTGAGATACAGCTAAAGCAAAGCTTAAATGGATATTTATATCTTCAAATGCTTATTAAAAATATAGAAAGGCCGGGCGCAGTGGCTCACGCATGTAATCCCAGCACTTTGGGAGGCCAAGGCAGGAGGATCACTTGAGGTCAGGAGTTCAAAACCAGCCTGGCCCACATGGTGAAACCCCGTCTCTACTAAAAATACAAAACAGTTAGCCAGGCATGGTGGTGCGCACCTGTAATCACAGCTACTTGGGAGGCTGAGGCAGGAGAACTGCTTGAACCCAAGAGGCGGAGGTTGCAGTGAGCCAAGATTGCACCACTGCACTCTAGCCTGGCCGACACAGCAAGACTCCGTCTCAAAAAAAAAAAAAAAAAGGCTTAAAAACAATGATCTTCATTTGCATCTTAAGTTGCTAGAAAAAGATGAGCAAATTAAGCCCAAAGTAAATGGAAGGAAGGAAATAAATACTAGAGCAGATATCAAGAAAATAAAAAACAAACATGAAGGAAAAGTAAGAACGTCAAAAGAAGGCTTTTTGAATATAAATAAAACTGATAATACTCTGCAAGACTGATGGAAAAGGGGAAAAATCAGAGACTGATTGGATACAAAAAAGGGGGGGAATATTTATTACCAATATAAGGCAAAAAGAGGATGTGTTACTACAGATATGACACAAATCAAAAGAAAAATAACAGGAGTCCAACTTCCTGTAATGATGAAGTCGTCTCACAATATTTGAACCAATCCTCCCATAGAAAACAACTTAGAGCTCTAGACATAAAAACTCTTAAAAAAAACAAAAACAAAAAAAAACACACAACTGTCTAAAATCGCTGGAGATGAGCCAGAAACAGGAAAAATGGGAGGGGAGGTGCCAACTAGAAGGGACTGACAGTGGGTGAATTTTTCATTCTTATGACTTTTTGCCTGAGTGTAGGCCTCAGTCAATCCTGAGCAGAAAGGCTAAATCTCAGATAAAAACAGTCTTATCTGTTGTTAAATCAGAAAACAGAGTTAAGGATGACAATGTCAGATGGAAACTGAGGTGGGATATTGAAGGAAGGAGAAAGGAACTGCACAAATCCTATATATTAAATTCTGTCTAAATCTCTGTCTGGCATATACATACACAGAGAAGTCTCCAGGCAGCTCAGTTAGGACTAAATGAACTAATAAAAAATTTCAGCTACTGCCCAATTTCAGAAAACAAGAGTTTGGAGTTTGAATTCAGGCAAAACAAAACAAAGTTCAAAACTCTTCAGAGGCCTGACACTGTGGTTTGAGCCTATAATCACAGCTACTCAGGAGACTGAGGCAGGAGGATTGTCTGAGGCCACAAGTTCAAGACCGACCTGAGCAACATAGTGAGACCCCATCTCTAAAAAGAAAAAAAATTTTAAGTAGCTGGGTGTGGTGGCACACAGCTGTAGTCCCAGATACTTGGGAAGCTGGGGAAGGAGGATTGCTTGAGCTGCCAGGGTGACATAGCAAGACCCTGCCTCTTAACAAACAAGACAAAACAAAACAAAAAAAACCTCTTCAGAGGACTACAACAGAATATAAACTGTCTACAATATGTCATTCATAATATGGAGGAGATATTCCAAATTACAAGAAAACATGACCCATGAAGGAAATCAATGGAAATGAAAGACTTTGTTATAAAAATGCTCTGACCTTCCAACCATTCTAGAAGGAGGATGTTATGAGCAGGGATTTTTTATTCTCATTATTTTTAACCCAGTGGACTCTGATGCTAAGATTTTTTTTGTTTTTGCTTTTTTAACCTAGGGAATTTTGTTTTGTTTTGTTTTTAATAGTGGACCTTTTGACTCCATCACTTTTCTTTAAAAAAAAAAAAAAATGAAGTGAGCTGGGTACAGTGGCAGATGCCTATAGTCTCAGCTACTTGAGAGGTTGAGGTGGGAGGATTACTTGAGCCCAGGAATTTAAGGCCAGCAAGGGCAACATAGCGAGACTCTGTCTCTAAACAAACAAACAAATAAAAAATGGCAGCTGTTTTAACAAATACGTAAGAAACCACATTCATTAACTGCTGTCAGGAAAGAATTTTCCTCTCTGTGCCTCCTTACTTATCTGTACGATGGAGATGATAATAGCTCCTGACCCACATGTAAGGATTAAATGGGTTTATTTCTATAAATTGCTTAGGACAATGACTGGTACAAGTGATCAGTAAATGGTAGCAGCATTTAAAAAATAAAAAACAACAACAAAAATGACCCAGATTTTGGAGTTATCTAAAAGAGATTAAAAGTAGCTACTATAATTATATTCATAAAGAATAAACAGATGAAGAAAATCTGAACAGAAAAAGAAAAACTATAAAAATAACAAAATGGATACTTTTAAATCGAAAAATTCAATATCTGAAATGAAAAATTTCACTGAAAAAGCTTCTAAAAAGAAAACTGGAGATGTCAGAAGATTGAGTCAGTGAGCTTTAAGACAGATCAATATGCATCATCTAATCTAAGAAACAGAAAGACAAAGGATTTTAAAAATAAACAGATTCAATGAATTTTGCAACAATATTAGCAGGTACATATATATATAAATTGGAATCCCAGTGTGAGAAAAGCAAAATAAAAAGTTGGAAAATATACTGCAAGAAATAATGGCTGAAATTACCCCAAATAGTTGAAAGATATAAATGTTTATGTTCAAAAAGCTCAGTGAACCTCACAAAGAAAACAAAACTACATTTAGAAACATACATTGAAAAGACAACACATTACACATGAGTGAAAAATGATGTGATAAATTCTAATGGGACACACTTATCAGAAACAGTGGCTCTACCTGTTTGTATTCACCCACTCACTGAAAGACATTTGAGTTGTTTTCATTGTTGGCAATTATGCATAGTGCTGCTATATACATGTTTCTAGAGTATGTTGTGTGATCATAACTTTTCATTTCTGTAGGATGAATGCCTAGGAGTGGGATTGCTGAGTCAAAAAATAAGCTTAACTTTTATAAGAAACTGCCAAATGTTTTATTAAAATGCCATGCCATTTTGTATATGTATACCATGAGCAACATATGAGAATTTCAGTTCCCCTGCATCCCTGACAGTATTTAATATTGTCAATATTGTTTTTTACTTTACCTATTCTAGAAGGTGTGTAAGATAATACTATCTCATTGTAGTTTTCATTTGCATTTCCCTAATGAGTAAAGATGTTGGACATGTTTTCATGTGTTTATTGCCGTACTATGCTGTCCTTGGTGAAGTGTCACTTAAAACCTTTGCCTTTTTGTTAGATTGTTTTCTTATTGTTGAGTTTTCAGACTTCTTTAGATATTCTGAATATACCTCTGGATATTAATTTGCAAAATTCTTTTTCCCCAACCTACGGGAGAATAGTTTTTTTCCCCATTCTCTTTAACAGTATCTTTCAAAGATAAAACTAAAATCCAATTAATCATGTTTTTTCTTTTATGTATCATACTTTTGGTTTCATATCAGAAAATATTCCATAAGCCAGGTCACCACTGCAACTTTGTCAAAACCACTGACCATATTTGCATGGGTCCAGTTCTGGAATCTCAGTTTTGCTCCATTAATCTATGGATCTGTCCTTTCACCAGTACTGTACTGGATTACTGTAGTGTTACAGTATGCCTTACAATTGGTTAGTGTGAGTTTTCTAACTTTTTTCATCTTTTAAAAAAGTGTTTTAGCATTCTAGCTCCTTTAACTTTCCATAAAGATTTTAGAATCATCTTGTGAATAGCTGCAAAGAATCTTGCTAGGATTTTGATTGGGATCTCCTTACCAATCCAGGATAATTAACATCTTCACTATGTTGAATCTTCTACTCCATGAATGTAGTCAATCTGTTCATTTCTTTCATAAGTATTTTGTAGCTTTCAGCATACAGATTCTCTGTATATTTAATACCTGTTTCATTTTGAGGTAAAGTATCATAAATGGTGCTATTTTTAAAATTTCAGTTTCCAATTTTTCCTTGTGATAGATATTTGTATGTTTTTCTTAGATCCTGTAATATATATATTTTTTTATCTAACTTTTTAAATGAGACAGAGTTTCCCTCTTTTGCCCAGGCTGGAGTGCAGTGGCATGATCTCGGCTCACTGCAACCTCTGCCTTCTGGTTTCAAGCAATTCTCCTGCCTCAGCCTCCCAAGTAGCTGGGATTACAGGCACCCGCCACTGCGCCTGGCTAATGTTTGTATTTTTAGTAGAGATGGGATTTCACCATGTTGGCCAAGCTGGTCTTGAACTCCTGACCTTGTGATCCCCCCACCTCAGCCTCCCAAAGTGCTGGAATTACAGGCATGAGCCACCACGCCCGGCCCTGGATCCTGTAATATTATTAAACTCACTTACTTCTGGGAGGTTTTCTTATTTTTGTTTTATAAAATTCCTTGAGGTTTTTATTAAGATAATCAAAACTTAAAGCTAATACCTAATCCTCTTCTCCCACCAGGTCCAAGATTTTCTGCTGTCTTATCACAGCGCCTTCCCTTATGGAACACATGTTTATATGCTATGGCACACAAAAAAGAGATAGATTTAGCTGAGCAGGCTTTGTTTCTTGCATTTCTTCACTCCATCTGTATTATATTTACAGATAGTATGGTAGGAAAATGAAAAACTAAAGTGGCCACACAAATCGCCCTAAGAATTTGTTATTATGAGCCTTCCTTCTTGTATATTTTCAGGTAAAATTTATACCACTTAGATGGTACAAGATGACAATCTAGATTACAGAGATTACCACATGACAGCATCCACAAAGTACATGAAAAAAACTCAAATCTACTTTGGATAAACCTACCTTAATCACAAGCCTCAAAAAATTCCAAAAGATAAAATCACAAAGCACACAAGCAACTGATGGTCAAAAACTCAGTAAAAACACAGGAAAACACTGATGGTGACCCTTCTTCAGATTCCACTTCTGACACCATTTGTCAACTTAAGTAACAGAAAGAGGCTCAATAAAAGAAAATTATATTTATTTGGGAATAGGGCATTGCAATGGAAATACACATGCCATTGTAAACTATGTGCATATTCACAGAGGTAAAGGAAAAAAGATTTTTAAAGGGAAAATGAGCAGGATTACATAATTGTTTGGAGACAATAATCCTTGGCTACAAGGATCAATAACAAGGATGACTATTAGTCCAAGGTTGGGCAGGCAGTTGCTTTCCTCTAAGTAGTGTGTGTGTGTGTGTGTGTGTGTGTAGGCAGTTGCTTTCCTCTAAGTGTGTGTGTGTGTGTGTGTGTGTGTGTGTGTGTGTGTGTGTGTAAGGTTGTAATTGCCTTTGTACATCCAGGAAAGATTTATGGAAGAGCCTCTTATCAAAAAAAAAATGAATCCCCAACATACACAGAAAATCTACAAGGTTCTTAAAAAATTTTTTTTTTTTTTTGTAGAGACAAGGTCTTACTATGTTGCTCAAGCTGGTCTCAAACTCCTGGCCTCAAGTGATCCTCCCACCTTGGCTTCTCAAAGCACTGGGATTACAGGCATGAGCCACTGTACTAGGCCCCAAAAGTTCTTCAGAACATTACATAAACAGAAACACTGCCAGTTTAAATTGAAAGGGGGAAAGAGAAGACAAAATTTTAAACAAAATTTCAAAAAAGACTCTCAGACTCCCAAAATACCACAGGCAGGAAACAGGCTGATGAAACTGCTCAGCCACAAACATGTGCCACCTTTCATGAAAAAGGAAGGATGATCTAAAGGGCAGAGCCCTGAGCCCACAAGTGTGGACCCTCAAATCACAGAGGATGTTTTTCCCAGGCTGGATTATGAAATTGACTAAAACAGGTAACTCCATTTCTCCTTCTATTTTCTCCTTTTTTGAACGGGAATGTTTATAATTGCTATCCCATCGTTGCCCCACCATTTTGGGAGCAAATAACCTGTCTGAATTTCAGAATTTCACAGATAGATAGGAACTGTACCTTAGGAAAGATCATTCTCAGACTCTCACCCATGCCTAATCTAGATGATTGAGTTCATACGGTTCGAAACTTTTGAGCTGATAAGATTTAAAAGAGATTTTGGACTTTGAAATGATGCTGCAATGGGAATGCAGCATTAGACTTTGGGAATGTTGGGATGGGGTGAATATATTTTGCATGTAGAACAGACATAAATCTCTGGGGGCCAGAAGGCAGACTGTGGTAGGCAGGCGGAGTAACGGTACACCCACAGATGTCCACATCCTAATCCCCAAAACCTGCAAATATGTTACATTACTTGGCAAAAGGGACTTTGCAGATGTGATTAAATTAGGAATGAGAAGATTATCTGGGTAAGCCCAATGTAATTACAGGAGTCCTTATAATAGAGAAGAAAAAGAGAGTCAGAAAAGGAGATGTGATGATGTTAGATGTTGAAGTGATACAGAGCCAGGAGCCAAGGAATATGGGCAGCCTGAAGAAGAGACAGAAAGGAATTTTCAAAACAGACTTCTTCCCTAGAGCCTCCAGAAGGGTAACAGTCCTGCTGACACCTTGATTTTAACCCATTGAGATTGATTTTGGATTTCTGACCTCCAGAACTGTAAGATAAGAATTTCTTTTGTGTTAGGCCACTAAATTTGTGGTAATTGATACTGTAATAGGAAGTGAATACATATACTTTCAAGAATGCATATAAACAGAAAATTTTAACTTGAAGATTAACAGAGATTTGAAGGGGAAAAGGGTGTTTCAAGGTCTTAGCAATAATCAACTAAAGAATATTAAAATTTAAAATGTATAGAACTATGGAGAAAGAATAAGTATTTTTTTCTCACTCAGTAAAGCCTTCAAAAATTGCTTAGATTTTCCTATTCCCAGTAAAATATTTAACAGTAACAGTAATAATTATAATAATGATAATGTCAAGGAGCTCTTTCTGACTGCTTATGCCACACCAGGCACTGTGCTAAGCCTTTACATGCATTTGTTACAGCATATAATCTCAACTGTATAAGGTCGAAGCTGTTACATATCCACAGACCATAAAGGGATAAATTGTGGCTTTAAAAAGTAATTTGATCAGGTTCATGCAGCTAAAAAGGAATATATACTTGCGTTGAATCTAAGTAGGTCTTGTACTTTTTTCCAGCACTATACTACATGGCTTCATAGTATGTTTTTCACTGAGTCTGTGTTTCTTGTCTCAATGCTTTAGAAAGCAGATGGCTTACTCTGTAAGAAAGTAAAGTAGTTTAAAAAAGCAGGTACTCTACATGGAATGCTTTTGTACAAGGTTACACTGAGGTAGTAGAAAGTTAAACCTAAAGAGAAAATAGAAATCTGGTTAATTGATATATAACCAAGGTCTGTTTTTATTTAAACACTCATTAGTATTCTCTCCTGCCTCGGAAAGCTAAGTATTTTAGAGTAAAGAATGTCATGCCTTTTGATGGCTAACAAGAATTCATAGTCACAATTCGAATTCCTAATTAGAGTATTCTCATAGAAGAGGTAGAATAACAGGCTAAAAATGCCAAGACCTTAGGAATCACTGTAAGGTGATTCTAGTAATTTTTATAAACTAAACCTAGGCATTAGTTTACTGTCTTATAAAGTTATCTTTTCATCATAAGATAGTATATAAAACTAAGAGGGCTTTTGGTAGATCTGGGCAGCCTCCAGCATAAGGCTAATTTTCCCTCAGAATTTCTGCCAAACGGAGGATGCAAAAGGGAAGAGGGTAAAATGTAATCTGTGGGTCGTCAGTCAGGAAAGCCACCATTGGAGAGTAGTAGTGATTGAAAGGAGGTACAAGGGGAGCTTTGGGGTACTGATAATATATAGCACATATCTACAGTGGGCAGCTAGGAGGTGGATTAGTTTCAGACTCTTCATTCTTTTCCTGAGTATATTTCTCATGACGATGACAGAAAAGCAAGAGGGCAAGCAGAAACACTCAATGCCTCCTGTTAAAGCACAGGTTTAAAAAGGAGAACTACAAACCACTGCTCAACGAAATAAAAGAGGACATAAACAAATAGAAGAACATTCCATGCTCATGGATAGGAAGAATCAATATCATGAAAATGGCCATACTGCCCAAGGTGATTTACAGATTTAATGCCATCCCCAACAAGCTACCAATTACTTTCTTCACAGAATTAGAAAAAACTACTTTAAAGTTCATATGGAACCAAAAAAAGAGCCCACATTGCCAAGACAATCTTAAGCAAAAAGAACAAAGCTGGAGGCATCACGCTACCTGACTTCAAACTATACTATAAGGCCACAGTAACCCAAACAGCATGGTACTGGTACCAAAACAGAAATATAGACCAATGGAACAGAACAGAGGCCTCAGAAATAATACCACACATCTACAACTATCTGATCTTTGACAAACCTGAAAAAAACAAGAAATGGGGAAAGGATTCCCTATTTAATAAATGATGCTGGGAAAACTGGCTAGCCATATGTAGAAAGCTGAAACTGGATCCCTTCCTTACACTTTATACAAAAATTAATTCAAGATGGATTAAAGACTTAAATGTTAGACCTAAAACCATAAAAACCCTAGAAGAAAACCTAGGCAATACCATTCAGGACATAGGCATGGGCAAGGACTTCATGTCGAAAACACCAAAAGCAACGGCAACAAAAGCCAAAATTGACAAATGGGATCTAATTAAACTAAGGAGCTTCTGCACAGCAAAAGAAACTACCATCAGAGTGAACAGGCAACCTACAGAAAATTTCTGCAATCTACTCATCTGACGAAGGGCTAATATCCAGAATCTACAAAGAACTCAAACAAATTTACACAAAAAAAACAACCCCATCAAAAAGTGGGTGAAGGATATGAACAGACACTTCTCAAAAGAAGACATTTATGCAGCCAACAGACACATGAAAAAATGCTCATCATCACTAGCCATCAGAGAAATGCAAATCAAAGCCACAACAAGATACCATCTCACACCAGTTAGAATGGCGATCATTAAAGTCAGGAAACAACAGGTGCTGGAGAGTATGTGAAGAAATAGGAACACTTTTACACTGTTGGTGGGACTGTAAACTGGTTCAACCATTGTGGAACACAGTGTGGCGATTCCTCAAGGATCTAGAACTAGAAATATCATTTGACCCTGCCAACCCATTACTGGGTATATACCCAAAGGATTATAAATCATGCTGCTATAAAGACACATGCACACATATGTTTACTGTGGCACTATTCACAATAGCAAAGACTTGGAACCAACCCAAATGTCCAACAATGATAGACTGGATTAAGAAAATGCAGCACATACACACCCATGGAATACTATGCAGCCATAAAAAAGGATGAGTTCATGTCCTTTGTAGGGACATGGATGAAGCTGGAAACCATCATTCTCAGCAAACTATCGCAGGGACAAAAAAACCAAACACCACATGTTCTCATTCATAGGTGGGAATTGAACAATGAGAACACGTGGACACAAGAAGGGGAACATCACACAACGGGGCCTGTCGTGGGGTGGGGGGAGGCGGGAGGGATAGCATTAGGAGATATACCTAATGTAAATGACGAGTTAATGGGTGCAGCACATCAACATGGCACATGTATACATATGTAACAAACCTGCACATTGTGCACATATACCCTAGAACTTGAAGTATAATAATAAAAAAAAGCATATTAGCTATCACTTCAGCTTTATTCTATTTGGTCAGAGTAAGTTATACTCAAAGTCAACAGAAGGGTAAATATATGAATCTTCAAAGCCATGTGGAAAATTTGATATAGGAAGCAGAAAAAGAACTGGGACCAAATGTACCACATAGACTCTGATTCAATTCTGGCACTACTAAGTAAGCCTAGGATAAGAAAGCTTACTCCAATTTGGCTTTGAAAACAGGGATTCTTCTGTGAACTTAAATTATAAATAATGTTCATTTCATAATGCTGTACATTATAAAAAGGGGGAGAACTGCTCAATTAACATAATTTATTGTAAATAATTCACAATTTTATGTTTGTATACAAATAATAGGTAATATATATTCTGGATTCACACAGCTGCAAATTCTGCTCTGCAATCCTAGATAAATATATTCACACTGGTCACACAGTCTCCCAAGTTAGTTTGCAATAACATGGTAATAATTAGCTATTAAAAATCTTCATGGGCCAGGTGCGGTAGCTCACACCCATAATCCCAGCACGTTGAGAGGCCGAAGGGGATACTGCTTGAGCTCAAAAGTTCAATCAGCCTGGGCAACACAGTGAGACCTTTCTTTCCACACACACAAAAATTTAAATTAGCCAGGTGTGGTGACACGCAACTGTAGTCCTATCTACTTGGGAGGCTGAGGCGAGAGGATTGCTTGAGCGAGTGAGCTAGAGTTGCAGTGAGCTATGATTGTGCCACTGCACTCCAGTCTAGGTGACAAAGCAAGACCCAGTCATGAAAACAAAAAAAATTTTATATGTTCCAGATAGCTGAATTGTCTGTAAGTTGCTAAAATAAATAAAAATAAATTACTTTAGCGTCTTAAGAACAATGTCTCCCTCTAGTCAACTACAGGACACAAAGCTTAAGAAATGACAAACAGCAACTCCTCCATAAGAAGAAAACAACTAAGTTTTATGCATTCCTTTTTTAAGTTAGAAAGAAATTTGCTGTTTTTATTGCAAGTTAGTTAAAACTGATATAATTTAACGAGCCAATTCAGTTAATTCTTAAATTCCTGTATTACTCCAACTTGAGACATATAAATAAAGACAATGATAAAATTTTAAAAATTCCTTGAAAGACAAACTACCAAAGCTTACTCAAGAAAAATTGGGTAATCTGAGTGGTTCCATATGGATTAAATCCATACAAGGCCTGTAAGAAATCGAATTTGTAGTTAAAAATGCTTCCATTAGAAAGGGGAAAAAACTCACTCCAGGCTCAGAGAGTTTCTTAGTAAATTTTAACACGAATTTAAGAGAAAAGATTAAACTCATTCTATACAAACTCTTGCAGGAAATTGAAGAGGGGGAAATGCTTCACAACTCATTCCTTCAGGCCAGCACTATGATGCTACAAAACTAGATGAAGTCATTCCAAGAAAACTAATGACTGTCTCTCATTAAGCAAAAATTCTTAACAATATATTAACTAATAAAATCCAGTAACACATAAAAGGATAACATTTCAATATCAAGTGGGCTTCAGCCCAGAAATGCAAAGCTGGTTAATATTCAAAAATTAATCATCAGCAAAACTATATGATCAGATCAATTTACACAAAAAAAGCTTTCAAGAAAATTCAACATCCACTTGTAACCAAAAAGTATCAGCACACTAGGAATAGAAAAGAACTTCCTTAATCTAAATAAAGGTATCTATGTTAAACTTATAGCTAAAAATCATACTTAATGGTAAGAGAGTAATTTGCTTTTCCACTAAGATCCAGAACAAGAAGAGGATGCCCTTTACCACAGCTTTTACTCAACATTGTACTGGAAATTCTAGTTAGTGCAACAAGGCAAGAAAAAGAAATAAAAAGCATACAGATTAGAAAGGAAAAGATGAAACTGTCCTTATTTACAGATAACACAATTGCTCACATAAAAACTGCAAAGAATCTACAAAAAAAACCTCATAAAACTAAAAAGTGACTTTAGCAGTCATTGGACACAAGATCAACATAGAAAAGTCAACTTTATTCCTTTATACCAGGAATGAAAATTTGGGGTCTGAAATCTTCAAAAAATACAAAGAAAAGTAGATAAAATATGACAACAGACGTACGGTCTGCAAGCAGAAAACTACAAAACACTCACAGAAGAAACTTCTTACATCTAAATAACTTGAGAGATGTACCACATTCATGAATTGCAAAGTTCAATATTAAATCCAATTCTCCCTAATTGATATATATATTCAACACAATCTCAATCAAAATTTTACAGCATCTTACAAAGCTAAACACAGTGTTACCACACACTTCTGCTATCATGCTCCTAGGTATTTACCTAACTGATTGGAAAACTTATGTCCACACAAAAACTTGCACATGAATGTTTACAGTAGCTCTTTCATAATTACCAAAAGCCAAAAGCAACCAAGATGTGCTTTAATAAATGAGTGCATTATTATTACACACTGCATGCTTATATCAAAATATCTCATGTACCCCATAAATATATATATCTACTAATGTACCACAAAAATTAAAAATTAATAAAAGTAGAATAGCAAACTATGGTATATCCATATAATGGACTATTATTCACTCTTAAAAACAAATGAAATATTAGGCAATGAAAAAATATAGACGAATTTTAAATGCATATTGCTAAGTTTAAAAAGCCAGTCTGAAAAGGCTAAATACTGCATGATTCCACTTATATAGCATTCTGCAAAAGGCAAAAACTATACAGATTCCAAATAAATCAGAAGTTGACTGAGGCTTGGGGAGAAGGCAGAGTTAAATAGGTGAAGCATAGAATATATTGTAAGGTGGTAGATTAGTTCTGTATGATACTGTATGGTGAATACATAACACTTTGTATTTGTTAAAACACAATTTTGCTGCAAAAAAGTGAATCTTAGTGTAGGAAAATATTTTAAAAATCATTTAGGAGATTGGAGGATTCTAAGGTGGAATACAAACTACTAGCTATATTACAAATGTATGTAATAACCTCATTGAAAGAGGGGAGGAAAGCTGTTGACCTAAGTTAACTTTAAAAAGTGAATGGTGATAGTAAGACTAAAGGTAGAAGGAAGTATACATTAGCACTGTAGTTTATAAGTTGTTTCCCATGTAAATATGAGTTAATAATTCTAAAATCACTATAAACCTATACTGGCACTGAGCAATTAAATAGATGGCAGAAGTTGGGAGGCAGGGTTCTCACTGAATGAGAAGTTACAGACAAGAAAGGCAAGAAAGCTAAAATAATCCATGTCTAAATTAATTGGCATTGAAGACATCAATCTGAGCTCATGTTTAGCTGCCAACTTAACACTCTGGTCATCAATCTCCATCTGCCATCATGATAATGTGAGCACTTGTCAGCACTATGAGATGTTGCCCAATAATTTCCAGATATGGAAGACAGTGGATGGGCTGTATCTGGAGGCAAAAAGGAAGGTGGTCAGTAGAACAAAGGGTAACTCAGTTCATTGGTAGAAATGACAGTATAATGACAGTGGAGCAACATTTTTTTAAAAATTGAACAGAAAAGTACAACTTGCAAAATAAAGACGTTTTTGTAAATTCAAAAGCAATGAATTCATAGCTACAATAACTATTAATGAAAGTCTGCCAGACAGAAGGAATAACAAAAATGTGGACTATACAAAGTCATGCAGAGCACAGGAAGTAAATTTATTTTCCTTATTTAAATATCCTTACAAGGCCAGGCATGGTGGGTCACGCCTGTAATCCCAGCACTTCAGGAGACCGAAGCAGGCAAATCACTTGAGGTCAGGAATTCAAGACCAGCCTGGCCAACACGATGAAACTCATCTCTACTAAAAACATAAAACTTAGCCATGCCATGGTGGTGTATGCCTCTAGTCCCAGCTATTTGGGAGGCTGAAGCAGGAAAATCACTTGAATCCGGGAGGCGGAGGTTGCAGTGAGCCAAGATCATGCCACTGCACTCCAGCCTGGTCAACAGAGCAAGACTCCGTCTCAATAAATAAATAAATAAATAAATAAATAAATAAATAAATAAATAAATATCTCCTTACAAGATAATTATTTAACAAAAATAAAAATAAAATACGGGTATAAAATTAAAATGTATCTTGATAATAGCACAATGATCAGAAAGAGAAAAATAGTATTATACTATCATAAAGTAGCTAAAGTAGTATAAGCCATCACTGGAAGGTTAATTGATTTGTTAAAGGTGTATAGATACGCCTTACAGCAACCACTAAATACAGAACAGAGCCATAGCTAATAAGCCAACAAAAGAGATAAAATAGAAAATTTTAAATATTCAATTGATCCAAAAGAACACAGAAAAAAAGGAAAAGAGGAACAAAGGTCAAATGGAACAAACTAAAACAAACTCAAACCTAACTGTATCAAGAATCAAATAAAATGTAAGTGTTCTAAATATCCAAATTAAAAGTATAGATGTCAGATTGGAATAAAAAGCAAGAACCATGTATGATCTGGCTATAAAAAATGCACATTAAATACAAAGGCACAATTAGTTTAAAAGTTATAGCATATAAAAAGATACACTATAATAACACTGATCAGAAGCTAGAGTAGGTCAATAAACTTTAGGTAATGTAGATTTTAGGGCAAAGAATATTACCAGGAATAAACAAGGTAATTTCATAATGATAAAGGGGTGAATTCATTAGGAGAAGATAATAATCTCAAACTTTGTGCATCTAAAAATGGAATTTCAAAATATAAGAAGACAAAACTGTGAAGAGAAATAGATAAATCCACAAATATATTACACTCAGAGATATTAATACCCCTTTCTCAATAACTGATACAACAAGTAGGTGAAAATCAATATGCATATAGAAGCTTTGAACCACACTTCTGACAATTTCAGGATAATCCACTTCCATTAATATTATGCTATGTTAATATAGCAGCAAATATAATGCTATGATAATAACGGTAATAATAGCAGCAATATACATGTTAATAGAATAGACTCCACATCCCATCATCATCCAAAGCTACAAATTTGTGAGATCTTAGAAAAGAAAGCAAAAGCAAAAGGATATATTTCTCTACTGCCCATGTCTTTTACATTGTTTTTTCCAAGAAATGAGTACAAACAATGCTTCAATGTACAGATCACCTGGGGATCTTATTAAAACACAGATTCTGAAAAAGTGAAGTCTGGCATGAGGCCTAAGCATCTGTATTTCTAACAAGCTCCCCATATTGTTGGTGATGCTGACATTGCAAACCCATAGACTATGCTTGTAATAGCAAGGAACTAGAAGATGGGAGGAAAAAGAGTAAAGATGCCAGGGTCACTTTAGCTTTGCACACCTCTGGAGAGTCAATGACAGAAAATAAATAACACTTTTTGAATGATTCTAATGTGCTTAGTCATGGTACAAAGCATTTAATACTCATTCTTTCATTTAGTCTCCACAGTAAACCTGCTGGAATGAATACTATTATTTACTCCTCATTTTGCAGAGAAGAAACTGGAATTTTAGCGAGGTCAGTGATTTGCACACAATACAGAGTTCTCTACCTGCCTTAGCAGAGCACAGGTGTTTGAAGCACTAAATGAACTCCATGGAAATTTTCTATTCCCAACATTTCCCCTAAAGTCACCTCAATTTTACATTTCCCTTTCTTTTCAGTCCTTCTGCCCTTCCCCACTGGAAAGACCTAATCATTTAACCACAAAACTGAGCAGAGAACTTTCGCAATTGAACTGGCAAGAATTATTTTAAATACATGGCATTAAACTTCTCTTGGCTGATTTTTTCCATTGTATTTTAAACAGATATTTAATATTCTGCCTTTAATAAAATAAAATTGGTACAAAATTCAAGGCAAGAGATCTGAAAACTTCAACTTTCACTGTAATGTCAAACGAGACCTACTGTTATTCATCTAGCTGTTACAGTGATGATTAAATGAAAAACATGAATATACCACACACACTGATGATTTGGGAATGAAGCAATATTCTATATTATTCTAAAATATTCCATGATAAACATGTATTTTTTTAAAGTCAGGAAAACACAGGTTAAAATTTTTTAATTGAATAAGGCATTAATTATTAAGTAGCCCCTAAGCTCCCATGTCCTTAAATACTAGCACTAGGCATAGAGTTAAGGAAAGATTAACAGATATATATTTGTAAATATCTCCAGAAGCTACAGAATTCTAAGGGTAATTATCCTAACAATGGAAAAAATAAAGAAAATACATTTGGTGAAAAATCAAATATTCAAATTAAAGTTTCAGTGAAAAGATGCAACACAGAGGATGCCAAAGAGTCCCCACAGCCTTGTAGAATAGGTGGAGCTCAGGCATTTAAGGGTGCTGGAGCTTTATTTCTAAGCACTTTCATCATCTCTAAAAAAGAGGTGGTAATTGTGTTTCCCTGGTTATAAAAGAGGAAATAAATATAACCAAGCAGGTAAAGTTCTCCCAATTGTTTGATATCTTATGGATAATACCTGACTTTGTCTAGAATATTTAACTTTACAAAAAACATACAGAGAAGCTGTCATAAAACATAATGTAGAATTATTTTTTCCTCTGAGGTCAAGGATTGAAAACCAGTGGCATAGCACTTAAAACACACCTCCTTTGCTGTCTTGAAGGTGGTAAAGTGTTACAGCAACAGAGATATTCAGGGACAAGTTGTTAGACTAAATATCACGGCACGTTAATACTAAAAAGGCAAATGAAATTTTCATTTAAATGTTAAACTTTTTTCCAGAAAAAGAAGAAATCTGTAAAGGGAGAAAAAATGTAAATGGTATTTTTTGGTGACAGAATGCGTTTCTTCAGCTTTGTGGCAAACTGCCCCTACCACCACCCCTCCAGCAAAAAAAAATTGTTGGTGAAGAACGCAATCACAAATAGCTTTATAAAGAGATGAAAATATTGCCTCACTTCTAAGTGAGGCTGGATTTTCAGAATTTTTTTTTTTGCAACTTTCATATGATGTCCGGTCTGGCAACACATGTGGCAAAAATGAAGGCTACATTTTTCCCTAGATAGAAGAGCACATCCAATGTTTCCAACATGATAGTTCAGAAGATTCAACAACTGTGAAAAGTGCTAATCTCAGACCATTTTAAGAGATTATAGAGAAAAAAATGAAAAATCTGGAATAAAAATAAACAGCTATGAAACTCCACCTCTATAGTAGTTTCTTCAAAATCCTTATCATATTTCTTGCCTGGCAACTCCTCAAGAAACAGAAGTCACTGCAAAAATTATGTTGCCTCCTGACCTGTTAAGCCAAATAACACTTCTATCCAAATAATCCTTTTATGCTGTATCAGTTTTATGCTATATCAGTTCTAACATATTTTTAGCAAGTAATTTGGGGCAGGAACTCCTCTCAAAGCTGCTTCTTTACCCAATCTTTCTAGACTGCCAACCTTGCATTTTGAACTGTGCAGACTCAGCTATAGCACTGCAGGTCCATTAAGAGTCAATAGTAAAATGCCGCCCTGAGCTGTCAGACATAAGAAAGGAAAAGGTCCACAAAGACCAAAAACTGGCAGTGACTTCATGTTCACTGTCTCACTGCCAAAAAGATCTGAATCAACTCTCAAAACAATTCTTTAGTTGGTGGTTCTTGTTTAAAATTTTCCAGACATCTGACTGACAGCATTCACAAAAGCATCCACAAGTGTTGGAGAAACAAAAGCTAATAGTGCACATGGACAAGCTGATAGTGCTCCAAAAGGCAGAGAGTTTTGCCATAAATCTATCCTTCCACATTAGTTCTGCTGTCACATTTGACATGCCTCCCCCACCAAGTGACTCATAATTTTACAATACACATTTTTTAAATGTAAACAAAAAGCTAAGATGCCCAAGAACATTAACATAACAGCTTCCACCATAAGGTATTACAATCAGGGTTAAGTGACTAAAGAAACAAAAATATAGAGAATACTTTAAGAACTAACACTGTGGCCCGACATATTCAAAGCCACTGAAAAACTCGCATCTCAAGATCAACATTTCAGAAGCAGAACTCTAAATATTCATAAGGAACATGATATTTATCAAGATTCACCTCTTCATTCAAGACAACAAAACCAAACCTAGTCAGGTATATAGTTATTCATAATGAAGCATTTTGAAGAGACAACCAGATTATAACATTTAACCGTGGAAGTTTTATTTCATAAACCCATTTATATAGAGACAGGCTCTGTATCTAAAAGTGTGGATTTTTTAAAATTTCCTTTGCCATTTAGGGGATGGAAAAGCATCCCTGATTTGTATATTAAAGCACAAGCATCTGTCCTACTGATGATATTCTAGGGAAGCACATTAGCATAAAATTTAACGATGTCAAATAAGTGGATGTGAAATAGGGACTGCGTAAAGACACTATTTCCAAGGCTGACAGAAACATCACTGTTTAGAAATGCAAATGAAACCATTATGTTCAATAATTATATGAAAATATGAACAGTTCAGCATGTTTTCCAGCCCTGATGGCGGTTAATGGGATGTACGCTTATGTAAATAACTACTATTAAAACTAATGCTGAAAAAAACTAATAAATTCATACTAAAGCAACTGATTTAGTATGCTCTTAAACACCAGCAGTGCTCACTTATTAGAAAAGAGTGCATTATTATGTTTAGAACTCATTACTGCTACAAGTCACTGCAACTCCATCAATTACCATGCATTAATGAAAATGGGACACATACAAAAAAAATTATTGCCTCTCAGCAGTTTTCTTTGAAGACAAAATCTAGGGGCATTACCATCATGGGCCTTGTAGGGAACTTACCCACATGATAATCTTTATTACTAAAACAGTACTTCCAACACTATCATCTCAGGGTATTTTGATCATGAGAAGGGCTAACCTTTATGTAAAATTATCAACATTTTACAAGATTGACCATTTTAACACCAATAAGAAAATTTTAATATTTGAATTGCATCTCTAAAAACTTTTACTAACATATATTTGGCACATGGTTTGTTTTTTCGGAGAGAGGCTAAGAAATGAAAGTATATAGTGGTAATCATAACAGTGTAGATGATAGATGATTTCATTCCAAGAAACTGTCTAATATAACAGAAATCCCATTGTATTCTACACTTAAATCTCAGTGAATTCTGTGTAACTAAAGGATTTAATTTTTAAGAACAAGCATTAAATTTCATTCTTGGCCACAAGCTGGATTTTCTTGCAATATATTAAATATTAATACAAGATATTAAGAAGTTAAAAATTCTTGTTCTTTAAAATTAAAATTTAGCTAGCACCTTACAGCAAGAAAATGCTTACAGAGCAGGAATTCAAATATAGAAAATGTGCCTTTGCTCTTACTCTACTTCTGCCAACTTTCCCAATTTATTCTATTTCTTTAACATATGTAATTTAACTGATCCACTTCATTCTTTCCTAGCAGTCAGGAAAACAGAAAACATTTCAGCATCTTTTAAATGTGAAATATATGTGCTAAATCTCAAATGCAGTCCAGATACATATCATGAGTATATGTATATTTTTAAATTATAATTGCCACGTCAGTCCAATCATTTGCAGTTTTAGCTCACATGCTTATTCACCTCCTGAGAAGCTTTTATTGCAATTTAGATATACTATCACCAGGTGGCAGTAGAGTGTCAGATTATGCAGATTCAGCACTAACGGGCAAGTTTTCTCTTGAGTCAGATCTTTTCTGATCAAGCAACTCTGATTTAATAATTCATTCACGTAACATGTATTTATTTACTGACTACATACTGAGCATAAGGTAGTGTATTAGAATCTCAGTATACAATAGTGTACAAGACAGAAATAATGCCTTATGAAGGAAACAGACAATAAACATATACTAAAAGTCAAGTGCTATAAATAATCAGTGTCCATTCATGATTAGTAAAAGCAAAAAAACAAGAACAAAAATTCTTGGCAAACTAAGAGTAAAAGAGAAATTATTCAATGGGATATAAAAGGCATCTACCAAAACCCAAAAACCCACAGGTGACATCAAACTTAAAGATGAAATATGTATTTCTTCCTGAGATACAGAACAAGATGAAGATGTTCTCTTCTCATCACTTCCAGTTAATACCTAATTGGAGGTGTTGCAAGAAGGCAAGAAAAACAAATAAAGGGCATAAAGATTTAAAAGAACTAAAATTATTTTCATTTGCAGATGACACGACTGCAAATAAAATCCTAAGAAATGTGTAAAGCAACTATTAGAATTAATAAGTGAGAATTTAGCAAGGTCAAAAGATATAAAATCAACATACAAAACTTAATTGTGTTTTTAAGTTCAACAATGGAAAAACAAAATTAAAATCAAAGTTAGAACAAACTTTCCAAAATTAACAGACTCTGTTCTGCTGACTAGAATTGCAAATCATGGTGAAGCTTGAAATGCCAAGACTTTAAAAAAGTGTGGCTCCCTATAATCTGCGGCGTCACTATACCAGCCTAAAATTGCTGGCAGCAGATGAGTTTTATATGAATAAGAAATAAACATATATCTTTTTTTGAATACTGTCACTTTGGCCTTTCCTGTTATCTGTGCAAGGAAGATTGATCCTGATATAGTTTCATAAAACATTCTCAAGTTGGTTCCATCTAATCAGAGCCTTCTCAGCTTGATTTCTGCATTATTTTCCTTGAGATCTCTTCTATGCCTTGTCAGAACACATGATGCTAAGACTCTTTAGCAATTCCTAGCTGACTTATTTTTAGCAACAAACATCCTTACAACTGCTTCAGAAAATTAAAAGGGATGCTCCTCAAATAATCAAAAAAACTTTTTGCTTCAAAAAGCATATTATCTTTTCAAAAACCAGAAAGCTAGTTACTTTTCAGGCAACAGAAATCTGAATGAGGACTCTAAAGGCAAAACAACAAAAATCTTCAAATAGAAGATAACATCTGAAATAAAAGATAACATTTGAAAGATATATATCAAATATGTCTTCACATCCACTTTTTATGCTGTAAATTTTTTCAGGCCAAGAAAATATTTTATCATCTTTATATTTTCATAGAACTTCATAATTCTAAAACAGTTACATATTTTGGATCATTTGATAAACCTGTGTGATAAATAGTTCAGTTTCCAAAATACTATTGGCTTCTTATTTCATTGAGATAAATCATATTTGAGACATCAATTTGTAATTAACTAAAGATTTACCAATAGGGCTTTCCATATAATTTTTTTAAATTTAATAAGTGGGGGAAAAAGCTGCCTTAGCAATACATCAAATTACTTCTCTGCCATGCCAAGCTACTATATAACGTTATACAAAGAATATACTTCTAAATGTTGTGACATCTCTAAATGATTAAGCTCACTATCATATTAAAGCCTCCTCTCACCCCATTTTCCTCTATACTGCTGAACTAGTCCTTGTGGTTTTAGCCTGTCTCACTGATGCCTTGGGAATATTATAGTAAGACAGAGGTGGCTACTTGGAAACTTTTCTCTGAACTCACTAATAACTATTCTCTTGTGTCACCATATCATAGGCTGTCCTTATTGTCAACTTTTCTCCCATGCAAATTTCTCACTAGGGCAATTACTATATCCAACCTCCATTTCTGTTGGTTTTATCTCTCTCTCTCATCTTCTTTTCTCCTTTGCCTCTTGACACTTTTCCTGTGTTTATCAGTTTTTGTGTGAAACAAAGTCTCATAGATACAACCAAAAAAATAAACACACACATTATAACAACTATTTGAAAAACTGACCGGTTTAATTGAAACCCAGCATTATCTTTAGATGCCTGGATTTTCCAGGCCACATTTATTTACAAATTCAAAAACTGCTTGGGGATGTTCTGATGGAAGAATTCTTTCTCCATTTGGCTCTGCTCTTCATAAGCCTGAGGGTTCAAGAAAATAAGATGCTCAATAGCCTGGGATTCTGTATTAAGAAAAGATAATAAAACTGGGGGAAGATGATAATCCTTACCATCTTCCATAGGAAGATACAATTCAGATATTCTGTTGACTTCTAATTATTTCATGAGCATAATTATATTCACTACTTCTGAAAAATTAGTTTTGAAATGCAAAATCTTGAGTACAATTTTTTTTAATGTTACTGCATAAGTCTCTAACTTAAGTGAGAGTATTACCATCTAAATCATTTATTCATAAGTTAAGGCCATCCTAAGGTTAAGAATACTAAGACAAATTTGCTACTGATTAATAATAAAGTCACTCACTATATTCTTCAAATGTAAAGCAATTACAAGCTGTGGTATGGCAAACAGATGTAGCTGAAAAGAGTACATCAGATAGCCCTTTAAGGAAAATCAGTAATGTAAAAGGCTAAACAATAATCCTAAATAATACCCTGAATGATAATTATGAGATTGATTTATTTAAAGTCTATTTCTTCATACAAGAACTGTTGAAACTTTCCAAAGTAATTTTAAATGATGCTATACAGGTTTAGTACCATTTATCCAGAACAGAACCATCACTGAAAAAAAGATAATTAAACAAAGATGCAGCAAATAAATGTTTTTTGAATTTCAGTTTGCTGAGCTTATTTACATGTGGGTATCAAAAAGAAATGAAATCCTTAGCCACTAGAGCCAGGTGAGAAGCCCCAATCCACATTTATTTGAACTGCAGTGTCACTCACTATAAAGCAACATAGAAGTTGCTCTCTGAGGATGTTAAGGTTCCACGTCTGGAGCCTTCAGTAAATCGAAGACATCAAAACCAAAGCAAAATCAAGCTTGGAAAGTTAAGCTATTTTTTTAATTATAAAATGAGTACATCATATATATTAAAAGGGTCTTAGCTAGTAAGGCAACAAGATTGCCAAAAATCAAATCTCATCAAAAAATAATACAAAATGATATTTAAAAATTATTGTTCAAAAATGTATTAACACCCAACCAAGAAAATAAAGCTAAAATGATCAGAGAACGATATCTGAAAATACACTAATATTAGAAACACTACCCTCCACAAATACACTGAAAAGCCTTCTAAGCTGATAATTAGAATAAAAA
Source organism: Homo sapiens (assembly GCF_000001405.40). NCBI lineage: Eukaryota > Metazoa > Chordata > Mammalia > Primates > Hominidae > Homo > Homo sapiens. The sequence continues at coordinate 36,896,091 of NC_000018.10, read as the reverse complement.
TTACCAAAGAACTAAGTACATATTAAGTACTGCCTTAGTCTGCTCAGACTGCCATAACAAAATACCACAGACTGGGAGGCTTAAACAACAGATATTTATTTTCTCACAGTTCTGGAGGCTGGAAGTCCAAAATAAGGTCTGATCGGGTTTGGTTTCTGGTGAGGGCTCTCTTGGCTTTCAGGCTTCTACCTTCTTGCTGTGGCCTCACACAGGACAACGTGGGGGTGTGGTGTGTGACAGAGAGATCTCTCTGCTCTTCTTCTAGGACAACAGTCATTGGATTAGGGCTCTACCAGTATGACCTCATTTAACCTTAATTGCCTCCTAAAAACCCTATCTTCAGCTACATTCTCACTGGGGGTTAGAGCTTCAACATATGAATTTTGAAGGGACACAATTCAGTCCATCGCAAATTCTTAAGTAACAAATAAATACATAAGCAAACGAACCTTGCTAAGCCCAGAATAGCAGGCAAAGGGGCTGAAAAGCACCATCTCTTCTCACACTACTCCAAAAAATACATGTTTAGCAGTTAGATAAACTTATTAGAATTTTTAAAAAATATTTGTCTCATTCTTACAGAAGAAAAGCTGAAAATCAGAAAAGGTGCTAGAAGATATGAAGCAGATCTTTAAAATCTCTTCCAGCCTTAAAACAAATCCCAAAACATCCCTTCACATAGACGCCCTTTGGCACAACAGTATCTCCTTTTCCTCGTGGCCTTCACTTTCTCACCCCTACTCTAGCCTAAAGCCTTTGCAAAGCAGCTTATTCTTCTAAAATGTCATTGAAATGCTCCTGCATTCAATGACTTACCAAAGTCACAAAAGTATAAAGTAGCTGATCCAAGATCTCTTATAAGTTTTCTTACTAAAAATCCAGGACTGTTTCAAGTACACAACAGTGCCCAAAGAACCATAAGAAGATACGCAAGTTAGGGCAGCTGGTACAGGTATGAATGCTAGGAGCCAAATACTATTTTTAAAAATGTACTGGGGAAGATGACTTTAAAAATTTTTGAAGAAGGAAATTAGTAAAACAAGCAATGACAAAGAAACAGAAATTAGATGTAATAAGTAGGAAAACCCAATAAGTCTTTCTTAGCTGGTATGTGGGGGCCATAAAAATGAAGGTCACACATGTTACTTGACACTAGTAATGGAGGGCTTGAATGTCAAAATCAAGAATATGCATTTGGTCCTTTAGGCCATAAGAAGCTGTGGAATGGTATGAAAAAGCCAAGTGATGTAATAAAAACAGAACTTAAAGCCAGACACAGTGGCTCACGTTTGTAATCCCAGTACTTTAGGACACCTAGGTGAGAGGATCGCTTGAGCCCAGAAGTTCGGGACCAGCCTGAGCAACATAGGGAGACCCCGTCTCTACAAAAATACAAAAATTAGCCAGGTGTGGTGATGCATGCCTCTGGTCCTAGCTACTTGAGAGGGCTGAGGTGGGAGGACTGCTTGGGCCTGGGAGTTAAAGGCTGCAGTGAGCCATGACTGCACCACTGTGCTCCAACTAGATGACCTGGTAAGACCCTGTCTCAAAAAAAAAAGAAAAGTAGTCCTTAAGAAAAATTAATCTGGCAACTGTAATGGAATGAACTCTTTCAAACGACAGTTGGAAACAATGGAGGCAGGCACACAAGGAATGAAGTCAGGTAGCAGTGAAAATAGCAAGGAATAAGGTTTCAAGGGAAAATGAGTAAGACCTGGTGACTGAATGGAGATGTCAAAATATAAGAAAATTGCTTAAACATTCTACATATCTGGATTTTCTGGTAACTTAAGGTATATGCTTTTGAATACCAAAAAATTTTTTAACCATCTTTGGATAAAAAGCACCATAAAATATATTACACATTTTTATAAAATTGTGCTTTAAAAAGTAAGGCTTATTGATATTTGTATCGTTCACTGCTACAGAGAAAATTTGGTATAGTGAAAAAAGCAGAACACTTGGTGTCAAGAAATTTCAGTCTTAGCTCTGCAATGGGCTGTTTCATTACCTTTCCAGACCTGTAAAATGATAGAAGAGTATCTGCCTCACCTAAGTTAACCAGGCTATTATGAAGATTAAAAATGCGTAAGTGAAAGTGCTCTGTAAATAGAAAAGCAATATAAAAATGCAAGATGTCTTAGTAATAAAAGCACTAATACTTCTAATAGGATAAAAACAATTTAACACTGTCTTGCCTCCGAATACCATGTTGTATTTAATATATGACGTCCTTGAGATATATCTAAGTGGGCAGAGTTCTAGGCTGCTGTGTATTTTTAGTTCTTCTGTGTTTTTTAATAGTTTTTCTATCAACTCCTCTGTCAACTTCTATAGTCTCATAGCAGCTCTATTCTCTACTTCTAATTTTCTGCTTTTAATCTGCAATGAGCTTTAAAACTAGACACCAAATAGTAAGTTTATTATTATCCATATGACAGCTTTAGAAACTCTCATATAAGAAAAGTTCTATTGGGTGTGGCGGCTCATGTCTGTAATCTTAGCACTTTGGGAGGCCAAGACGGGAGGATCACTTGAGCCCAGAGGTTTGAACCCAGCCTAGGCAACATAATGAGACCCTTGTCTCACATACACACACACACACACACACACACACACACACACAAAAACACACACACACACACACACACACACAAATAGCCAGGTGGGGTGGAGCACACCTGTGGTTCCAGTGACTACGGTGGCTGAGATGGGAGGACTACTTAAGCCCAGGAGATCCAGGCCGCAGTGAGTCCTGATTATGCCACTCCAGCCTAGGCGACACAGCAAGATTCTATCTCAAATAAATAAATAAATAAGAAAGAAAGAGAGAGAGAAAAAGAGAGAGAAAGTAAGTTCATACATACGGGACTGGAGTGGGTGAGGAGTGCCTCATTTTATTCTTAATTCCTGGATGAATTCCAAAAAAGTAAAGTGTAAATATAACTCATTATTAAAGAGTAACTTAACCCCTAGAGACTCTTATTGGGATGAATTTTAGTATATGGTTACATTTATATAATTTCAAAAAATAATTTTGACTTTTTTTTAGATTCAGGGGTACATGTGCAGGTTTGTTACATGGGTATATTCATGATGCTGAAGTTTGGGGTACGGTCACCTAGGTAAGTAATAGTCACCCAATAGTGAGCATATAATTTCTTTACTTTCTAAAAACTTTTGTCACAATTTCTCCCTGTGGTTAGCATTAATAACTAAATATTTTTAAGAGAACAAAAATAATCTTTAAGAATAGTTTAGACAACAATAAAATAAGTAACAATCAGTTCTTTCTTTAAGCATGCCTATCTCTCTGTAATACAAATGGAAAGAATCATTCAAACTGTTAGTCTGATATAAAATGTCATTCCAGGACAATTTATAATAACAATGCTCCAAAATCTGCTAAATTTGTACAGCAACATAGAGTAAATAAAATGGCCTCAAGAAATACAACTTCTGTAGTATTCGTGATGATTATCAGATCAGTAAAACAGCATTTTCTAGGGCTTGTTAAATGGAACGAAGTGGCCCTATCCAAGTACATAATATATTCTTTCACTAAATAATTCAATTTGTAAACAAAAAAAACAAAAACCCAATACTTATTCAAAACAAAAAGGCCAAGATTCATCAAAGTTGATAAGGTGTTTATATTAGTACACCACACTGCCAAACACCAAAATACCCTTTCTTCTTCCATATCCCTTCTCTTCTATTTACAGTCTTCTTCATTTTAAGAACTTTAGGTTTTTTACTTTCCCAAAACTATTTCAAAGACTAGAACATCTGCCTTCTCTTCTAAAGGGCCAGAAAGATACATTAAAAAGGAGAGACCTTTTCTCTTGAAACTTACATTCTTTTTTTGTGAAAATTTTTTCTACCTCTCCTGACATACCACTCCACCGAGATCTATGATACAGCTTCCTGCAGTATGGTTCCTATCCTTGTTAAAAGTCTAACAGATGATGGTGACAAATCATGGTAGTCTGGCTCCTATGCAGGGATGAGATATATAGTTAAATACAAAGCTTTGGATAGCTCCAGCGTATTACTGTTATTTGCAACGAATGATTTCTTTCACATAATCATATAAAAATCTTGTGAATTTTCTCTTACCTATTTTCAGCACAGACATTATGGGATCTTTGGCTCATTCTTAATACAGTCCTCAGAAAGATTAAGGCTAGTTCCTTTAATGTAAACTAATATTTACTAATGTAATATTACTAATGTAAATGAATATTTGATCCAGCAATCCCACTACTGGGTATCCACCCAAAGGAAAACAAGCCATTATATGAAAAGGACACATGCACATGGATGTTTATAGCAGCACAGTTCGCAATAGCAAAAATATGGGCCCAAGCTAAGTGGCCACCAACCAATGAGTGGATAAAGAAAATATGGTATACACACAATGGAATACTACTAAGCCAGAAAACAGAATGGAATAATGACCTTTGCTGCCACTTGGATGGAGCTGGAGGCCATTATTCTTAATGAAGTAACTCTGGAATGGAAAACCAAACATCGTTATGTTCTCATTCATAAGTGAGAGCTAAGTTATGAGGCTGCAAAGGCATAAGAATGATATAACGGACTTTGGGGACTCAGCAGAGGGGGGAAGAGTGAAAGTGGGTGAGGGATAAAAGACTACATACTGGGTACAATGTACACTGCTCCAGTGACAGGTGTACCAAAATCTCAGAAATCAGTTATTAAAATAACTTGTCCATGTAACCAAAAGCCACTTGTACCTCAAAAACTAGTGAAATAAAATAATTAAAACAATTTTTAAAATTATATGTATTTCTTGAATATAGAGTGGTATTTAAATATATGTACATAATTCATATTTTCACTTTTTGGACTTCTGATTAACTTAGGGTTTATTCTGGTGTGTGGTATGAGGCGTGGGCTCCAATTGTATCTCTTTCCAAATGACTCTCCAATTGTCACAATACTATTTATTACAAAGTCCATCCTGTTGTCACAGTTGTGAAATGCTATCTCAATTATATTCTTAATTTTCGAATGTAATTGGATTTACCTTTAAACTTTCTATTCTGCTTTAGTAGGCTGGTTGTTTATTCATCTACCATGTTTTGATAGAGACCTAATCACTTCCTTCTCGGCTCTTCTTTATGAGGCTGATTAGTTAATTTTGCATATTTCTCTACATGAATTTCATAGCCAACTTGTCTAGCTCCAGAAAAAATCTCATTCATATATATCTTTTTGGAGAATTACATTACACATATATGAACTAGGAGAATATCTGATATCATTTTTTGTTGAGTCATCCACATGAACAAGGGCTGTCTTTCCATTCGTTCAACTCTGCTTTTGTCTCTCAGGAGTCTTTGAAATGTTCCTCATAAAGGTTTTGTACATTACTGTTAGGTTTACTTTATTTTTGAGATGGAGCCTCACTTTGTCACCTATGCTGGAATGCAGTGGCACAATCTCGGCTCTCTGCAACCTCTGCCTCCCAGGTTCAAGCGATTCTCATGCCTCAGCCTCCCGAGTAGTTGGGACCACAGGCACACACCACCTTGCCCGGCTAATTTTTGTATTTTTAGTAGAGACGGGGTTTCACCATGTTGGCCAGGCTGGTCTCGAACTCCTAACCTCAGGTGATCCGCCTGCCTTGGCCTCCCAAAGTGCTGGGATTATAAGCGTGAGCCATGACGCGCAGACATATTTTTTTTGTTGACATTTTAAACTTCTTTTTCTGCCATTTTATCTTCTGACTGGTTATTACTTTTACATAGATAATATCATTGATTTGGATATGCCAAGTTAAGTTTCATACCACATGCAAATAAAGGTGATTTTGCTTTTTTTTTAAAAAAAAAAAAAGAAGAAGAAAGAAAAAAAAGCTAGTTCCTTTAAAATTCTTTCTTTGAAGAGCAAAGTTTCTAAAATGACCACCCATGTAATGGGCTCAAGGATGTGAGCTACAAGCACCTTTCTAAACCCCTTCAATTTACTAAGCCCTAGTCAGAGAGATAATAGAAACAGACCAGAATGTGGAAAACAAACAAACAAACAAAAAAACCACAACTCTGTCAGTTTGATTTCTGGGAGAGGAAACTAAAACTTGGTTTCCTCCCAATGAGCACTCAACAGGTGCAAGTGGTACAGAGAGGTTTTTCCTTCCAGAGAGATCAGAAGATAAAGCAGAGGAAAGACCAATTTCATTCTTCTACTGGGCTACTAAGCAGCCTAACCCTTGCATAATCTAATGAAAATCAACAAAATCCCAGTGAAGAAAGGCACAGAAATGAGAAACCTGGGTTAGTCATCTCATCCCTCATCCATATTAATAATAGTAAAAATGAGAATTGCAATTTTTTATTCAGTGGCTACTTAGACTAGGTCCTTTACACATATAATGTAAAGAATCTATCAAATTCCAATAGGCCTGCAAAGAAGGCATTTTAGTTATCTACATATTATAAACAAAAGACTCAGAGAAGTTCAGTAACTTTCCCAAGGGATCAGATAGCTACTCAGTGCTAAAATGGGATTATGACTCTAAATCCCACTGTGCTTTGCTGTCACTTCCCTTTGCTATGCCAGTCAAAACAGTGAAGTCAGCAAACATTAGACTTTAGTACTTTTCTAATATAAGCTTTTTACCACCGCTCACCATTGATCTGAGTCATATGTTCTAGAAATACAATTAGCTTAAATATTAATCAAATTTTATAATGGCTACATCCTCTGTGTCTTACACTATTACATGCCAACATGTTTCAGAATTATTGTTATTGTACATATTTCTCTTTAAGTTTCAGATTTATCTTTCTTTTCATACTCATCCAGCCAAGCAAAAACCTACTAAGTTCATCAGACTGCTTGGCTTTGTAAATGGCACATTCATTTACATGGTTAAGTTCTCCAGAAATAAACTTTCTTTGCTTAAAGACTGAATGTTACTAAGACTTTTTATGTTTTAATAATAAATTCACAATTTTCTACAAGAAGAAACCCTTCAACAGGCTGATCCTGATGCAAACACATAAAATATCTTTTCCTTTTTACTAAGGCACTAGTCTGTGTTTGTACAGCTGATCAATAAATCAAGTTACTCAAACTTTTAAAACAAAAACCCCATAAATGTTGGTATAATACATCTTTAAAATGCCAAAAATCAGAATTAATGGATATAGTTTCTCACACAGAAACAGATTTTAAAATGATCTGAAATTATCTGATTTCATGTATATGTAAGAGTCTGAATCATTCATGTATGATAGGTAAATGTATCTGTAGTTAAAATTATATTATTTTAAATTATAACCTTGTTTTATGTTTCTAAGTTTTATAGAGCTTTATGTACTGTAAAATCATCTATATTAACCTTTGACAGGTTTATTCTGGTAAAGGAGATTTGCACCTGAGCAATCTACTTGGAATAAAAACCATAAATGTCATTTAAAAAAATCATGTCCTTTCTTCCATGATAATAAAGTTTTATAAATACTACCTATATTTTGGTGATTAAAAAAAACTTAAACCAGTTTTACCAACCAAAATATTTTAATTTTTGACAATGATATACCATTTGCTCCAATCCTTATTCACAATAATAAAGAAATGCTTAGGCCAAATTCCTTTTTACTATATGTAATATAAGTCTGACTATGCCACATGACTAAAAGTCTTTGACTTTACTCACATATCTTTTCCTTTCCTTTCTTAGCTTATAAGATAAATCATGAACCAGCAAACCTTTACTGAAGAGTCAAATAATAAATATTTTAGGTTAGGAAAGGCATAGGGTATTTGCTGCAATTACTCTGCAGTTGGTGCACAAAAGCAGCCATGGACAATACATAAAGGAATGAGTATGGCTGGAATTAGCTGGCACACTACTGGATGTGGCCCACAGTAGTAGTGTTCTCCCCCCGAGTTAAATCATGAGGAAAACATGAAAAATAGTGTCACTGCAATCACCTAGGTATCATAATATTTAGCCTGACAAAAGAAACCATTCACAGCCATGCTAAGTATAGACTGGTTTAGCACTGAATAGAATTAATCTTGACCCAGAGAGTGCTAAATATAACAGTCTACTTGAGTTAGATTCTACTTTTCCAGATAACCACAAAATTTTCTTAAGTATTTTACCAAACAAGGGCCCACTCTAATTGTGCCCAGGTTTTCTAAACTGTCTACTACCAATCTCTCTCACCTTTCCCCAACTCATCCCAATTCCACTGTATGCTATAGATTTTTTTGTCCCAGGAAGGTTAAAGCATCACCACCTCCTCTCCATACAAAGAGTGAATTGTATTTCCCTTACCTCTGCTACCAGAGTTGGGGGCTGAATTCATTTCCAGTCTTCTTCTCCAGTGCTGCCTTCTACTACATAACTTGGACAAGCTAAATGCTCACTTTCTTAGCCTCCTTTGCAGCCTACCATGGCCACATCATAAAATTCAGGACTTTTATAAATATCATATAAAAGACCACTGGGTGGGGAGTAGGGAGTGCTCTCATAAAGTTTTTATGTTTTTAAAAAGAGGGAGAGGGAGTCATAATTACCAGGACCTCTTCCCCTTTTCTGCCTGCCTTAATGGAAATGTAATGCCTAGAATTGGAGCAACCATTAAAAAAACCTGAGAGAATTGTAAAGCTGCCAGCACTGAAAATGTTAAACCACTGAATCTCCATAATCTCCAGAGTACTTGTTATGTGAGAAATAAAGGAGCCTGTAAATTGAATTTTTGTTGCAAATGAAAGCATTCCTAACCTACCATTTCTAAAAAATGCTAGGACCTGGAGTACTACTCCTCAAGTAGAAGAGTAAATAAAACTGGCTGAGCACTTTGTTATGAATTCTGACTAAACAGCATTCCTTTAAATCTAGAGAAAAAAGTAGCAGGAAGAAAAACACAGAAGACTATCTTGAGGGTCAACAACCAAGGGCAATGAAGTCAAAGTGGGCCAAAAAAAAAAAAAAAAGAGAAAGTTGGAGATGATTATCCAAATGCTAGAGATGTAGAAAAAATTAATAATTGAAAAAGCACTCATCTAGACTTGTGAGGCCAACAAGCCTTATTCATGTTATACTCAGCAAATCAATTCTGAGAATTCTGATTGTATTAATTTCCTATCATGAACTCCCACTGCTTGGAAAATAAAAGTTCAGGACTCTGTTTTTATAGCTACAGTCTTGTATTTTTCAAGCTAATTATTGTAATTTATCTTTATGCTTCCATTTCTCTGGTATTCACAAAGGCATAGTTACTGTCAATACAAGACCATTTTCGACATTTGCAGAATCTTTGAAACAATTATTAACAATCAAGTTAATGATGATACCGCCAATAAAAACAATGGTGGTTTCACGCATTCACACACTAGTTTAGCTGGCAGATCCATCACTCTAACTTTAGGGACTTCTCTTCTACATCCATATTGCTGCATACAATACCCAAAGATAAGTAATTCTACCTATTCAAAAGAAAATTCAGAAATAGCTTATTTTAACACACCCCTAAAATATGTTTTTACTTTATCTTCTTACAAATAATGCTATAGACACACACACACAAACACACACACACACACACACCCCTCTAGGTCTAAACCCAATAGTTTTCTGCTCCATAAGAAGGATTTGGCAGCATTATGCTGCCGTGTAAACACTTACCAATTACAACATCTATACAGTAAAAACAATTTTTTTTTAATTTTTATGATTTCAGAGCAGAATTCCTAGGACTGTCAAAGCTTTAACTAGAAAGAATACCAAATACAAGGAGGTTCCAGCTCAATTACAGCAGTGCAACAGAATTTAATAAAGTTCCAACACTACACTTCAATGCCCAAATTTCTTCTTGTCCTTTTTAGTTGACAAGTATGTGCTTAGCAGCCTAACAGCAGCAGCAGAACAGCTGGATGGCCTTATCAGGCACAAAGGAAGCTATAGCACATATTGTTAAGTGACGTTCTGATTGCCTAGAAATGGCAGCACATGCAGATTTACTCCCTGTTACAAATTAGAACAATTATTTCTCTGGAGTTTACATTGTCTTCATGAAATAGTCAAACTTCTGGCCAGGCACGGTGGCTCACACCTGTAATCCTAGCACTTTGGGAGGCCAAGGCAGGCAGATCACCTGAGGTCAGGAGTTCAAGACCAGCCTGGCCAACAAGGTGAAACCCCGTCTCTACTAAAAATACGAAAATTAGCTGGGCCTGGTGGTGGGTGCCTGTAATCCCAGCTACTCGGGAGGCTGAGGTAGGAGAATCGCTTGAACCGGGAGGTGGAGGTTGCGGTGAACTGAAATCGCACCATTGCACTGCAGCCTAGGCGACAAGAGCGAGATTTCGTCTCAAAAAAAAAAAGAAATAGTCAAACTTCTTGAACGTTAAAAAAGAGAACTTTCAAAAGGATATCTTCCCTTTCTTTGATGATCAGTTCATTCTGTTCTTCCAACTGCCTGATCTTCTTCTCAAATGACTCCTGCTCAGCTTTCAGTCTTTCCTCTGTCACTTCCTTTTCCTCACTTACTCTGAAATAAAAAAAAAAAAACCTTTAACATCTATCAGAATAAAATTAAATATGTGCCTACAGCTGCAGTTTACAAAACCAGACTTCTTCCAAAGGTATGCCGAATTCTTCAGGAACACTCTGTTCTGTTTTGTTGTTGCTTTTTAAAAAACTTAATCTCTCATAAGGCAATCTTTTTCACCTCTGTAATAAAAGATCCATGCAATTTTTACATTAAAAATGTTTTCAATCATCAGAGATATCTTAAATATGCAAAGTCCTACAAAGGATGCAGGTGCCAAATTATAATCCAGGACAGAAATATATTCCGATTTTTAAAACATGGGTTTCATTTTTTTGTTACCAAAACAGGTACAATCAATTGATTTTGATTTACATTTTGTATAAGTTTATTTAAATCCTATTAATAAAATAAACAAAATATGTACTTTAAATATTTTACTAAATATACATAGGCAATTTTACTTTTTCCTGGTACCAATACCCAGCATTCTTTAGTAGCATATAAATAGTATGATTAAATAAAAAGATGACAGTAACATAAAGGAAGGTTTGCAGTACATGTATTCTTAGTCCAAAAAAAAAATTATAAAGTTAAAAACATGGACCAAGAAAATGTTTAACTCTGAAAAGGATTCCAACTTAATCATACCAAAAAGGGATGACTTCTGACAAGAGCACAGAGAGAAAAAACAAAAATTTAAAAACAAACAAACATGAACAACACCAACACTTTATTTACAATTCACTGAAGTATATATTGGGACAATCCTATTTTCATTCTACTCTGTGTGCAGAGACATTAACCCCAAATTTCTCTGTTACTGGTACTTATTTCTCCAAAGCTCATAGAATGCACTTATCCTATAAGATAACAGGAATAGGTGTAAGTGAAACCCACAGGGAATCTAAACCTTTTCTTTGAGCTACTAAATTTACTTCTGCTCAGAACGCTACTCTACTAGAGCAATTTCTGCGTAACATGAATCCCATAGGTTTTCCTCTTGCCTGCCCTCTGTTAGAGATATTGAAATCAACAGGATAACTGAAAATTAGAATCATGAATGTTCAAGAGTTGATTGTATCTTATCTTTGAAATAATTTGTGTCAAAGCATATAGCACATAGTAGTGCTCAATAAATAGGGTGATTTCTTCTCGCTTATCATAGCATTCAAGTCATTTTCCCTGGCCTATATATTATTTATGTTTAGCATACCACTAGGCCCATGAATGGGACCCAGGCCCTTCTTTCAAAGAGGGTAATCTCAAAGACTGATATATTTACAGAGAATTCAGACAACTAAACAAATACATACACATGAAGAGAATTTATACTCTGTTATCAGGTTATCCTGCTTCCTTTGTTCCTATCTCTTTACAATGCCTTCCCTTTTCCTGTTATTACTCTCAAGCCCACTTGCAATAACATCTTTCAAAGTAACTTTGACAAACTCTGCTTATCTCTCTGGGCATTATTAATCTTACTAAGAAAGAAAAAAGGCTAGACTAGACAATTTTAAAAATTATTTCCCACTGAAGTTCCAGAATTTCTTTCACTATATCATAAATATTTGACACTGTGTGTGTATATATATATATATATACTTTATAAATATGGAAAGCATTTGTAAAGAAGAAGAAAGTTACCAAACATTTGGTCACGGAACAAGACATACCATACTATGATTTAGGCAAAAGCCATACCAATAGGATGACAGAGTAATAAGTAGATTACAGAAATATTAAAAAGTATAAAGACCTGAAATTTGGCATGAGACTACAGAAATGCAAAACAAAGTGATGAATCTGTAGGATGATGCATAAAACAAAGAAATGAGTGATGTTGTATATAGGTTGAGTAGCCCTTATCTAAACTGCTTGGGACCAAAAGTGTTTCAGATTTCAAACAGTTTCCAATTTGGGAATATCGACATTACCCTATGGGTATGATGCAGGACTTTTCTTTACATTTTAAACAGTATCTTTACAGAGCATGGAATAAGCAAACAGTGAGTAATGCAAGGAGGTCTTGTTCCCATGTGGGACACTGTGAGGGACCTGCTGTTGGCATGCCCAGCCTGCTCAGATGCCTTTGTAGGATTGCTGGCATAGGAGAATTTGGGCATGCTCAAAAATGCTCTATCACAGCTACAGGTGTTTTGGGAGGGTCTTTTTTCCCTTGTGGAGGTACACTAAATAAACTGTGTGCTGTATGCCTGTGTTTTGACTGACTGTGACCTGTCACATATGGTGTGGTGTGAAATTTTCCACTTTTAGCATCACGCCAGTGCTCAAAACATTTTAAATTTTGAAGCATTTCAGATTTCGAATGTTTGTATTAGGGATACCCAGTCCATATTGTGAGGAAAGAATAAACACTGTCAAGGTAAGAAAATATGTAACAAAATCCCTCCCAGTTTAGAATGGTAAAATCTTGAAGACACGACGAAAGAAGAAAATCTATAAGTAGATATGGAAACATTTATTTTCATTTATTTATTAAAAGGTATTTAGTGAATACCTACTAAAGGAAAAAGTAATCACAATAATTTTATTCAGTATAGAGTTTCCAAAAGGGATCTAAAAAATGGCTTTCTGTAGTTTCAATCCCATTCATAAAAGCCATATGTAGATATGAAGAATGTCCCAAAGATTTTTTTCTTCAACAAACAATGCTCCATGGTCATAGAAAACAGTAACAGAAAAGCAGATCACAGGTTTACCTTAACATTAATGTAAATGCACAGATTATCTCTAGAGCCCAACCAGGTCAGATATTCCATAATGTCAGAGTCTGTGATGAGCTTTTCCCAAAATGTATTCTATCCAGATAAAATGATTCTTTTCTAAATTTAGTTTCTGGGGTATGTTTGAAATATTTGTTGCTACATTATTAAGCAGGGCTTTTTCTTTTTAATCTTTTCTGTTATGCTGCTATGATTTGACTATCCTTTAGCAATTATTAAGCCCTGGAAGGCTACAAAATTAACAAACTGTATTAAGAACAAAGAGCAACATTTTTTCGATAGGCCTATCTAAAGATATGCATGGCTTCTTTGTGGTCCATTAGCATACTTAATATGAGCAAGTATATTAATATAGATTTTAAATGCAGAAGACCTGCCAATAAAGCAACCTCAAGATTTGATATTCATTATGAAATCTGTCTTCTTACGTTCAACAGTATTTCCAATGAAGTATATGTAACAAGAAAATATTGGGTATCATGGTCTATATTTTTCATCTAAGTATTCTCAGACCACAAAGTAAAATAAAAAGACCTAATTCTGTATCTCATTTTAAAGCACAATAGTTAGTCCTCACTTCTCCATAGTTTCACTTTCTATGGTTTCTGTTACCTGATGTCAACAGTGGTCCAAAAACATTAAATGGCAAGTAGCAGAAATAAATAATTCTTAAGTTTTAAACTGTTAATAAAAAAGACAGATAATAACAAATGTTGACAAAGCTGCAGAAAAACGAAAACCCTTGTACAGTGCTTAGTAGGAATGTAAAATGGCACAATCACTTCAAGTCTGGCAGTTCTTCAAAAAGTTAAACACAGAGTTACCATACAACCCAGCAATTCTACTCATAGATACTCAAGAGAAATGAAAACATATGTCCACATAAAAACTTGTACATGTAGGTTCACAGCAGTATTATCCACAATAAAAGTACAACAACCTGACATCTATCAATGGATGAATAGATAACCAAAATGTGTCTATACAATGGAAAGTTATTCAGCAATAAAGAGAAATTAGGTAGTAATACATGATACCTACCATATGAATAAACCTTGAAATCACTATGCTGAGTTTTAAAAACTGGTTTCAAAAGATCACATATATGATTCCATTTTTATGAGATATCTAGAATGGGCAAATCCATTGAGAAAGAAATTAGAGCAGTGGTTGTCTGGGGCTAGGAAGGATTGGTGGGAAGTGGGCAGTGAGTGCTAATGCATATAGGGCTTCATTTTGGTGTGATGAAAACATACTAAAACTGATTGGGGTGATGGGTACACAACTGTGAATACGCTGTTTAAAAAATGGAATTATATATTTTATTCCTACTAAGGAATGACCTTCTTCTTTCTTTTTAAGTAAAGTTTAAGTAGTTAAAAACTCCAAGTGAAATAAGAATTTTTAGATGAAAAGTGAAATGCATAAATTTCTATACAATGAATAGGGTAGATTCGATATTAAAAATGGAAATAACAAAAATGAATGTAAATGCAGAAAAAAGATTAGATATAAAGAAAACTTATAAAAGTACACACTGTTTTAAAAACTCGAAGAATAAAACCCATTTTTCAAGAAACAAAGGATAAGAGATAGTATGATACACAGTACTTAAAGCTGATCAGATATTTGATTATTTACATGCTTAAACTGGCAACCAAAAAAAAAAAAAACAAGTTAACTTTCTAATACTTACTGGTTATCACTTTTAGTTCATAGATACTCATTTTATAATGCAGCCATACCTTGATACCAAAATTTGACAAGGGTATTATGAAAAACAAAAACTATAATCCAATCTATCTGATAAGTATAGCTGAAAAAAATTCTAAAAAACAATTCACAAGATGAATCCAGATATATAAAAAGATAATATGTCTAACGTGGGTTTACTCCAGGAAGGCAAGATTTGATTAACAGTTGAAAATTAACTTATGTATTTCACTATGTTAACAGAATAAAGGACAAATCTCATATGCTCATCTATAATAGCAGAAAAGGCATTTGTCAAAATTCAATCTATTTACAATAAAAACTCAACAACCTAGGAACAGGAGAAACTACCTCAATCTAATAAAAAGAATCTTTTTTTAAAAAAAATCCTACAGTTAACATATGTCTGAGGGTAAAAAAAAAAATTTGTCCCTCCCTACCTTTGCACTTCAGGAATAAGGCAAAAATGTCAGCTATTACTATATCCCCTCTGTTCATTATTGACTGGACGTCATAGCCAGTGCAATAACACAAGAAAATAAAATGCCTACAGACCAAGAAAAAGTAAAATTTTTATGTGCTGGTGACATGATTGTATACAGAAAATATTAAGAAATCTCCAGGCAAGATGGCCAAATAGAAACAGCTCTGGTCTGCAGCTCCAGTGAGACCAACGCAGAAGGTGGGGGATTTCTGCATTTCCAACTGAGGTACCTGATTCATCTCACTGGGACTGGTTAGAGAGTGGGTACAGCCCACGGAAGGTAAGGATGGTGCATTACCTTACCCCGGAAGCGCAAGGCATTGGGGAACTCCCTCCACTAGCAAAGGGAAGCCCTGAGGGACTGTGCCATGAGGGATGGTGCTGTCTGACCCAGGTACTATGCTTATCCAACGGTCTTCACAACCCACAGATCAGGAGATTCCCTCGGGTGCCTACACCACCAGGGCCCTGGGTATAAAGCACAAAACTGGGTGGCCATCTGAGCAGACACCAAGCTAGCTACAGGAGTTTTTTCATACCCCAGTGGTGCCTGGAACACCAGCAAGACAGAACCATTCACTCCCCTGGAAAGGGAGCTGAAGCCTGGGAGCTGAGTCACCTTGCTCAGCAGATCCCACACATACAGAGCCCAACAAGCTAAGATCCACCGGCTTGAAATTCTCGCTGCCAGCACAGCACTCTGAAGTCAACCTGGGACTCTCCAGCTTGGTGAGGGAAGGGGCATCCACCATTACTGAGGCTTGAGTAGGCAATTTTCTCCTCAGAGTGTAAACAAAGCCAGTGGGAAGTTTGAACTGGGTGTGGAACCCACCACAACGCAGCAAAGCCACTGTAGCCAGACTGCCTCTCTAGATTCTTCCTCTCTGGGCAGGGCATCTCTGAAAGAAAGGCAGCAGCCCGTCAGGGACTTATAGATAAAACTCCCATCTCCCTGGGTCAGAACACCTGGGGGAAGGGGTGGCTGTGGGCGCAACTTCAGCAGACTTAAAGATTCCTGCCTGCTGGCTCTGAAGAGAGGAGCAGATCTCCCAGCATAGTGCTCAAGCTCTGCTAAGCGACAGACACAGACTGCCTCTTCAAGTGAGTCTCTGACCCCCATGCCTCCTGACTGAGAGACACCTCCCAGCAGAGGTTGACAGACACCTCATATAGGAGAGCTCCGACTGGCATCTGGCAGGTGCCCCTCTGTGAGGAAGCTTTCAGAGGAAGGAGCAGGTAGCAATCTTTGCTGTTCTGCAGCCCCTGCTGGTGATACCCAGACAAATAGGGTCTAGAGTGGACCTCAAGCAAACTCCAGCAGACCTGCAGAAGAGGGGACTGACTATTAGAAGGAAAACTAACAAACAGAAAGCAATAACATCAACATCAACAAAAAGGACACCCATGAAAAAAAAAACCCATCCAAAGGTTACTAACATCAAAGACCAAAGGTAGATAAATCCATGAAGATGAGGAAAAACCAGCACAAAAAGGCTGAAAATTCCAAAAACCAGAATGCCTCTTCTCCTCCAAAGGATCACAACTCCTCACCAGCAAGGCAACAAAACCGGACAAAGAATGAGTTTGACGAATTGACAGAAGTAGGCTTCAGAAGGTGGGTAATAACAAACTCCTCTGAGCTAAAGGAGCATGTTCTAACCCAATGCAAGGAAGCTAAGAACCTTGATAAAAGGTTACAGGAACTGCTAACTAGAATAACCAGCTCAGAGAAGAACATAAATGACCTGATGGAGCTGAAAAACACAGCATGAGAACTTCGTGAAGCATACACAAGTATCAATAGCCGAGTTGATCAACCAAAAGAAAGGCTATCAGAAATTGAAGATCAACTTAATGAAATAAAGCATGAAGACAAGATTAGAGAAAAAAAGAATGAAAAGAAACGAACAAAGCCTCCAAGAAATATGGGACTATGTGAAAAAACCAAACCTACATTTGATTGGTGTACCTGAAAGTGATGGGGGGAATGGAACCAAGTTGGAAAACATACTTTAGGATATTATCCAGGAGAACTTCCCCAACCTAGCAAGACAGGCCAACATTCAAATTCAGGAAAAACACAGAACACCACAAAGATATTCCTCGAGAAGAGTAACCCCAAGACACATAATCACCAGATTCATCAAGGTTGAAATGAAGGAAAAAATGTTAAGGGCAGCCAGAGAGAAAGGTCGGGTTACCCACAAAGAGAAGCCCATCAGACTAACAACGGATCTTTCTGCAGAAACCCTACAAGCCAGAGGAGGCCAATATTCAACACTCTTAAAAGAATTTTCAACCCAGAATTTCATATCCAGCCAAACTAAGCTTCATACGCAAAGGAGAAATAAAATCCTTTACAGACAAGCAAACCCTGAGAGATTTTGTCACCACCAGGCCTGCCTTACAAGAGCCCCTGAAGGAAGCACTAAATATGGAAAGGAAAAACCAGTATCAGCCACTGCAAAACTCTTTGGTATGCAAAAACATACCAAAATGTGAAGACCATCAACACTATGAAGAAACTGCATCAACGAATAGGCAAAATAACCATCTAACATCATAATGATAGGAACAAATTCACACATAACAATGTTAACCTTAAAGGTAAGTGGGCTAAATGCCCCAATTAAAAGACACAGACTGGGCCGGGTGCAGTGGCTCAGGCCCGTAATCCCAGCACTTTGGGAGGCCGAGGTGGGTGGATCGCAAGGTCAGGAGATCGAGACCATCCTGGCTAACATGGTGAAACCCCGTCTCTAATAAAAATACAAAAAAATTAGCCAGCCATTGTGGCGGGCGCCTGTAGTCCCAGCTACTCGGGAGGCTGAGGCAGGAGAATGGCCTGAACCTGGGAGGCACAGCTTGCAGTGAGTCGAGATCGCGCCACTGCACTCCAGCCTGGGCGACAGAGCAAGACTCCATCTCAAAAAAAAAAAAAAAAAAAAAGACACAGACTGGCAAATTGGATAAAGAGTCAAGACCCATCGGTGTGCTGTATTCAGGACACCCATCTCATGTGCAAAGACACATAGGCTCAAAATAAAGGGATGAAGGAATATTTACCAAGCAAGTGGAAAGCAAAAAAAAAAAAAAAACCAACAAAAAAAACCCACCAGGGGTTGCAATCCTATTCTCTGATAAAACAGAGTTTAAACCAACAAAGATCAAAAAAGACGAAGAACGGCATTACATAATGGTAAAGGGATCAATGCAACAAGAGCTGACTATCCTAAATATATATGCACCCAATACAGGAGCACCTACATTCATAAAGCAAGTTCTTAGAGACCTTCAAAGAGACTTAGACTCCCACACAATAATAATAGGAGACTTTAACACCCCACTGTCAAAATCAGATCAACGAGAGAGAAAACTAACAAGGATATTCAGGACTTGAACTCAGCTCTGGACCAAGCAGACCTAATAGACATCTACAGAACTCTCCACCCCAAATCAACAGAATATACATTCTTCTCAGCACCACATAGCATTTATTCTAAAATTGACCACATAATTGGAAGTAAAACACTCCCCAGCAAATGCAAAAGATTGGAAATCATAATAAACAGTCTCACAGACCACAGTGCAATCAAATTAGAACTCAGGATTAAGAAACTCACTCAAAACCGCACACCTACTTGGAAACTAAACAACCTGCTTCTGAATGACTACTGGGTAAATAACAAAATGAAGGCAGAAATAAATAAGTTATTTGAAACCAACGAGAATAATGACACAACGTACCAGAATCTCTGAGACACAGCTAAAGCGGTGCTTAGAAGGAAATTTATAGAACAAAATGCCTACATGAGAAAGTGGGAAAGATCTAAAATTGACATCTTAACATCACAATTAAAAGAACTAGAGAAGCAAGAGCAAACAAATTCAAAAGCTAGCTGAAGACAAGAAATAACTAAGATCAGAGCAGAACGAAGGAGATAAGAGACATGAAAAACCCTTCCAAAAAATCAATGAATCCAGGAGCTGGTTTTTTGAAAAGATTAACAAAATAGATAGACTGCTAGCCAGACTAATAAAGAAGAAAAGAGAGAAGAATGAAATATACACAGTAAAATATGATAAAGGGGATATCACCACTGATCCCATAGAAATACAAATTACCATCAGAGAATACTATAAACACCTCTACACAAATACACTAGAAAATCTAGAAGAAATGGATAAATTCCTAGACACATACACCTTCCCAAGACTAAATTAGAAAGAAGTCGAATCCCTGAACAGACCAATAGCAAGTCCTGAAATTGAGGCAGTAATTAATAGCCTACCAACCAAAAAAATAGTCTGGTCCCAGGACCAGACTGATTGACAGCCAAATTCTATCAGAGGTACAAAGAGGAGCTGGTACCATTCCTTTGGAAACTATTCCAAACAATAGAAAAAGAGGGACTCCTGCCTAACTCGTTTTATGAGGCCAGCATCATCCTGATACCAAAACCTGGCAGAGACGCAACAAAAAAAGAAAATTTCACGCCAATATCCCTGATGAACATCGATGGGAAAATCCTCAGTAAAATACTGGCAAACTGAATCCACTAGCACATTAAAAAGCTTATCCACCAAGATCAAGTCAGCTTCATCCCTGGGATGCAAGGCTGGTTCAACATACACAAATCAATAAATGTAATCCATCACACAAACAGAAACAATGACAAAAACCACGATTACCTCAATAGATGCAGAAAAGGCCTTCGATAAAATTCAACACCCTTTCATGCTAAAAACACTCAATACACTAGGTACCGATGGAATGTATCTCAAAATAATAAGGGCTATTTATGACAAACCCATAGCCAATATCATACTGATTGGGGAAAAGCTGGAAGCATTCCCTTTGAAAACCTGCACAAGACAAGGATGCCCTCTCTCACCACTCCTATTCAACATAGTATTGGAAGTTCTGGC
Source organism: Homo sapiens (assembly GCF_000001405.40). NCBI lineage: Eukaryota > Metazoa > Chordata > Mammalia > Primates > Hominidae > Homo > Homo sapiens. The sequence goes on along the minus strand of NC_000018.10, from coordinate 36,875,683 downwards.
CAGGGCAATCAGGCAAGAGAAAGAAATAAATGGTATTCGAAGAGAAGAAGAGGAAGTCAAATTGTCTCTGTTTGCAGATGACAGGATTGCATATTTATTAAACCCCCATTGTCTCAGCCCAAAAACTCCTTAAGCTGATAAGCAACTTGAGCAAAGTCTCAGGATACAAAACCAATGTGCAAAAATCACAAGCATTCCTATACACCAATAATAGACAAACAGAGAGCCAAATCATGAGTGAACTCCCATTCACCATTGCTACAAAGAGAATAAATACCTAGGAATACAACTTACAAGGGTTGCAAAGGACCTCTTCAAGGAGAACTACACACCACTGCTCAAGGAAATAAGAAAGGACACAAACAAATGGAAAAACATTCCATGCTCAAAGATAGAATCAATATTGTGAAAATGGCCATACTGCCCAAAGTAACTTATAGATTCATTGCTATTCCCATCAAGCTACCATTGACTTTCTTCACAGAATTAGAAAAAACTACTTTAAATTTCATATGAAACCAAAAAAGAGCCCATATAGCCAAGACAATCCTATGCAAAAAGAACAAAGCTGAAGGCATCATGCTACCTGACTTCAAACTATACTACAAGGCTACAGTAACCAAAACAGCATGGTACTGCTACCAAAACAGATATATAGACCAGTGAAAGAGAACACAGGCCTCAGAAATAATACCACACATTTACAGCCATCTGACAAACCTGACAGAAACAAGCAATGGGGAAAGGATTTCCTATTAAATAAATGGTGTTGGGAAAACTGGCTAGTCATATGCAGAAAACTGAAACTGGACCCCTTCCTTACATCCTACACAAAAATTAAGATGGATTAAAGACTTAAACGTAAGACCTAAAACCATAAAAACCCTAGAAGAAAACCTAGGCAATACCATTCAGGACATACGCATGGGCAAAGCCTTCATGACTAAAACACCAAAAGCAATGGCAAACAAAAGCCAAAATTTACAAATGGGTTCTAATTAAACTAAAGAGCTTCTGCACCACAAAAGAAACTATCATCAGAGTGAACAGGCAACCTACAGAATGGGAGAAAATTTTTGCAATCTATCCATCTGACAAAGGGCTAATATCCAGAATCCACAAGGAACTTAAATTTACAAGAAAAAAACAAACAACCCCATCAAAAAGTGGGCAAAAGATATGAACAGACACTTCTCAAAAGAAGACATTTATGTGGCCAGCAAACATATGATAAAAAGCTCATCACCACTGGTCATTAAAGAAATGCAAATCAAAACCACAATGAGATACCATCTCACACCAGTTAGAATGGCGATCACAAAAAAGTCAGGAAACAGATGCTGGAGAGGATGTGGAGAAACAGGAACACTTTTACACCATTGGTGGGAGTGTAAATTAGTTCAACCATTGTGGAAGACAGCGTGGCGATTCCTCAAGTATCTAGAACCAGAAATACTATCTGACCCAGCAATCCCATTACTGGGTATATACCCAAAGGATAATAAATTGTTCTACTATAAAGACACATGCACACATATGCTTATTACAGCACTATTCACAATAGCAATGACTTGGAACCAACCCAAATGCCCATCAATGATAGACTGGATAAAGAAAATATGGCACATATACACAATGGAATACTATGCAGCCATGAAAAAGAATGAGTTCATGCCCTTTGCAGGGACATGGATGAAGCTGGAAACCATCATTCTCAGCAAACTAACACAGGAACAGAAAACCAAACACTGCATGTTCTCACTCATAAGTGGGAGTTGAACCATGAAAACATATGGGCACAGGGAGGGGAACATCACACACTGTGGCCTGTAGGGAGATGAGAGACAAGAGAGGGATAGCATAAGGAGAAATACTTAATGTAGATGATGGGTTGATGGGTGCAGCAAACCACCACGGCACATGTATATCTATGTAACAAACCTGCACGTTCTGCACATGTATCCCAGAACTTAAAGTATAATAAAAAATAAAACCAAAAAAAGTTTTAAAAATTGGGGAATCTACAGAAAATATATTAAAACAAGCAAATTAAGGAAAATCAGTTATTGTGGTAGGTAACCTCTACAATACAAACCAGTGATCCCTGTTTCCTGGTATTCATGTCCTTCTTTAATACCCTATCCTCAAGTATAGCCTTGATCTAGTGACTCTCAAAATTGATGAGATGTCACATCTCAGCTTAGTTTACAAAAAGATAGGGACTACTGTCTTGTTTACTCTTGCTCATTCTGATGGAAGCCAGCTGCCATGTTGTAAGCCACCACAAGGAGAGGCCCTGAAAACATGTTTCTGCAAATTGCAGGAAGGGTAATCATTGCATGTGGTAGCACAATGTTTACCAACACTATCATGTTTAATAATGTGTAGAGTAGGAAATATGCCAAATGATCTGGGTGACTGATTTACTTAAGGAGATTTTCAAGTACCTGCTGAAGATGCCACCTGGTTTCTTTTTGGTGCTTATAGTAAACTGGGAGAAGAAAGAGAGAAATTGAAGGAAAGATTATTAAACCAAAATGAGCCAGGACTTCATACTCAGCCTGCCCATAGCGAAAAACATGCTAAAATTAAGAAATGTCTTCTGAGAAAATTCCAAATCTGGAAGAATACCTGGAAAAACATGCTCTAGAGATAAAAGCAAGGATGAATCTTTCATTAAGACCTCAGAAAGATCAAAGTTGATGCTTCAATACAGTCACACAAAAGGCACTTTAAAGTTATTAAAGTTGGGCCTCACAAAACCTTTCAATCAAACAATAGGGCCTCCAGGAAGCTTACCGGGGTTTTAAGTTGCTAAATTTTGTGATAATGTATTAGGCCACCATAAATAACTAATACAGATTTTAGCATATTAATCAGTTATTTTAAATTCCTCATCAGATTGTTTCAACATCTATGCCATAACTGCACCGGTGTCTGTTGTTCTCTTTGTATGCATGTTGTTTTCTCTAACTTTTCATATGTCTCATATTTTTATTGCTATCTGGACATCTTGGGTAGGAAGTAGAGACTGAAGTAAATAATTTCTATTCTTGGTAATGGGCAGACTTTTCCTTTGGCTTGGTTTTTAGTGTAGGAGTTGTGTTACTTTAACAAATGTTAGGCTGGTTTGAGGTTTATTGTTGCCATAGTTACCCACAGTGCACCACAGGTTTCAAATTCCTTCAGGCATAACTTCCCTTCAGGTGGGCCAGATATTCCTTCTCAATGTCTGCTTCATGTTCAGCTTTATGAGTTTCCTCTTAGAGGGTCCATCTAATGAGTTTCTCATCAGTATTTATCTACTACTTTTACTAGATACTTGTTAGTCTGATGGTGGGGGTCCTGGTTGAGGTGATATTTTCTGTTATTCTAATCAGGCCTGTGCTAATCAGACTCATATGCCTAGGGTCTTAGAAGTGCTCCTGTTCCTCTTCCATAGTTCTTGGACCAGCATATAACTCTGCCCTCCCCACAGGTTATTTTTTGCCTCCCCCTGGACCCTCCTCACCACCTGGACCCAGCCCCAGCACCACCCAGTGATTTTTACGAGTATCCTAAGGATAATAGTTTATGTTGCTCGTCTTCCTGAAACTATGTTTTTTGTTACACAGGGAAGATAGAGGAGAAGGACCCAGGAACTTTGTTTCTTTTCCATGGCAACTACTGTTTCCTTCCCCCAGGCATCGAGCAAGATTGATGCTTGATCAGGGCTCTCACCAAGTGGGGCCTAAGAAGAAAAAGCCTGCAAGAGAGTTCAAGCTCTCCCATATTTGCTGCCCAAGGGGCCCTCCACTCTTACCTGCCCACATGTGGCCTCCATCAAGCTGAAATCTTACCCATTTCCAGCTGTGTCTGCTGCAGTTTAGCTGGGACTCACACCTGTCTTTCCCTATCAGCATAAGTCTCCTTAGATTTCTGCTTGGTTGGTTGCCCTTCAACCTTAGCTCTCTGTCAGTTTCAAGAAATGTCCTAGGCTTGCGGTCTCTTCCACCTTCTTTTTAAATTGTAATACTGGCAGCAATGTTCTTTACTGTCACTTAGACATACCTACATAATTATTTACACATACCTACCTACTTGCTTACATATTCATTTGTTTTCACTCTTATGTTCCCAACATTTCTTATTTCCAAGGCTGGAACAATTTTAGCAACAAAATAAATAACAATATTAGATTATAATCAATAGAACTATATTAATTAAAGAAAAATAATTTCACAGTGGAGAAACCTGCAGACACCCCCTTAATCAGGTAATCAAGTTTAACATCATCAGCAAAAAGGCATGTCAATTTCAGGTAGCCCCTGATATGACCTATTGAAAAGACACATCACTTCTGTTGTTTTCTTGCCAAAAAATGCATCATCTGAAGTAGAGATGGAAGTAAATTAATTTCCATACTTGATAGCGAGCAGACTTTTCCTTTGGCTAGATTTTTAGTGTAGGAGTTGAGTTACTCTAACAGATATTAGGCTGATGTGAGGTATAATGTTGATGTAAGTTATCCACAGTGCACTGTAGGTTTCAAATTCCTCTAGGCATAACTTCCCTTCACGTGGGCCAGATATTCCTTCTCAATTTCCAATTGAGAGCTAAGGTTGAAGGGCAACCAACCAACCAGAAATCTAAGGAGACTCATGTTGACGGGAAAATACAGGTGTGAGCCCCAGCTAACCTGGGGCAGCCACAGCTGGAAATGGGTAAGACGATTTCAGCTTGGTGGAGGCCAAATGTGGGCAGGTAAGAGTGGGGAGCCCCTTGGGCATTCTAACACCCATTTGAATTGAATCAAGAGAAAACACACAAATCTGTATTAAAGAACATTCTACAAAACACATACGTGTCAAGGTTATGAAAGACTGAATTGAAGAAGACTAAGGGGATGTGACAACTAAATACAACTTGAGATCTTGAATTGACTATTGAATGAAAAAAGTGATATTAGTGAAATGACATTGGTGAGATATGAGTTTAGTTAATAATACTGCACCAATGTTAATTTCTTAGTTTTGATCACTGTACTTCTGTAATGCAAAATGTATGCAAAGCTGGGCAAACCTTTCCGTAAGTTCTAAATTACTTCAAATAAAAAGTTAAAAAGAAATAAATCCCACCCAAACATACGCAGCATATCTATGGGAGGACAGGAAGGGATGGATTGTCAAAGAGGAATTTTACTTCATCTGCTACTATTTTATTTTAGCTTTATTTTTTAATGGAATAATTTTAATATTTATATTACCATAAGTAAATTAAAATTAGAAAAGTTATATTTCAGAATGAATAAAGATGCAATGTTTTGGCCTCTTCAAGAGCTAACGTAAAATATCACTCAAGGGTATACCAGTATCTTAGATTAATCAATTACTCTAAAAACTACCAAAACAAATTCAGTATTACTTGACAAAAACTGATCATCTCTTCCAAAATGCTTTGAAACATCAGATCACAGAGCAAAGGATCACTAATTGTTTTTCAATCAAAACCTGAAAATTTATATGGTAAGAATAACACTTTCAGGCCGGGCACAGGGGCTCACACCTGTAATTCCAGCACTTTGGGAGGCCGAGGCAGGCAGATCACGAGGTAAAGAGATCGAGACCATCCTGGTCAACATGGTGAAACCCCGTCTCTACTAAAAAATACAAAAATCAGCTGGACGTGGTGGCGCGCACCTGTAATCCCAGCTAGTTGGGAGGCTGAGGGAGGAGACTCTCTTGAACCCGGGAGGCAGAGGTTGCAGTGAGCCCAGATCGCGCCATTGCACTCCAGCCTGGTGACAGAGTGAGACTCCGTCTCAAAAAAAAAAGAATAAACACTTTCAATTATAAAGTACTAACCTGAGAATACTCAATTCTCAAATGTCCTAAATTCAAGCCACAGTTCCAATTTTGAGGCAGTAACCTAAATAATTGCCATATATATATTTCTGGTTACCTCTTCTCCCTTCCCTTAGCTCAGTGATACTTCCTTTCTTCTGTTCATTTCAGGTCTAAGAAGCCTAAATTCACTACAACAGGCATATAAAAAGTAAACTATGAAAGAGAAAAATATGCACATGAACATGAAAACTGCCTGAGAATAGCTATAGCATACACTTGCATATCACATGTACCTGTAGTGGTAGCCTTTCAGCTTTTCATAACCAAAATTTGACTCAAGCATAATTCTGAGTAGATCTAGCAAGGTCACAGGAAATTATCCACATGTACAGCCTTTCAGCTTTTCATAACCAAAATTTGACCCAAGCATAATTCTGAGTAGATCTAGCAAGGTCACAGGAAATTATCCACATACTACGCAAAAGAAAAAAATGCTATAGAAAACGAACTTCTTTTAGGAGGTAGGGTCTGGTTAGAACCAGAAGAAATATTGTTAAGTGTACACTAGTTACTCAAAAGATATTCTTTTGATACAGAGCTCAGAACAACCACCTGAAAATGGATTTTGGCATACTGCCTATAGTGTAAATTCCACTAAAATTCAGAGAATGCCTTTCTACCTAAAACAAATTCAAGGTTCCTTTTCTTAAAATTTTCTATGTAATCCATTATAAACAGTATTGTATACTACTCCCTTGACCCCAAACAAAATCCATAAAGGCTTCTGGTGGGAAGACAAAAAAAAAAAAAAGAAAGAAAAAAACCTGAGTCACTGAAAAATTAGGCCCTCTAATTTTCATATTGTACGCAATCAATGTACATTTAATTTCAACAAAAAAGTTACGATCAGTTTAAAAAAATAAAGACCAGAATAAATATAAAATAATAATGATTTATTCATTTTACAACGGGAAAGTAATGGTGCTACACTTTCTATTTTTCTTCTGAGAAATGTCAAGTACAAATAGCAAACTGTCCTCTGGGAAAAATCAATGTATCTGGGTCTAAAAAAGAACCATGTCCTCAAATGAGTTAGTGCCCAAGTATTCACTGGGGAACAATGCAATACTTGACAGTATGGGCTTAGGACATGAAATACTGGATGGTTTTTTTAAGGCTTCTTAGAACATAGCTCATATACATCAAAAATTGCAATTGTGGCCAACATTGTTCTAAAACTTTGAAACTTTTTTCCTTTAAAGACCAGGTCTACAGTACAATCTGTGCGGTAGTCTATGGTACCTCTCCCTATCTTAAAAAGTCTCAGTAACAAAATGCAAATGCATGTATAGAGAATTATCAGCGTCTTTCAGCACAAACTATAGTATTTTGCAAAGCCATTCATTTTTCAAGTCTTCAAAAATGACACTGCTTTCCCCAGCTATGCAAACAATTCATTAATTTTATTGAAAAAGACCTTCTGAGGTCACTTAATTTTGCAATCTTGTACAAAAAGAATTCTTTCTATCCTAATACCTCCTAGAAAGATCAATCAATATTCCACTTATCCTTCTGCAAATGTAAATCAATTCTGGACACCTCAGGGAAACCCCTTCATTTACTTTAAACCCATATATCAACTCATCCCTTAGCACTCTCTTCTACAAGCTAAATAATTCACTATACCCCTAATTTCTCTTTGTGGCTTCTGTCTTTCATTAGCCCATAAATTCAGACTCACATTCGTATTCTATTCTTTTATTAGCATGGCTAAAACAAGCAAAAAAGTTTCCTGAGCATATACAGATTATTAAGGAGACATCCATAGATTACTGAAAACCATATCAGGCACTTTAATCTGTTTTCTTGTCAAGTGGCGCAAATGGCTGAATCACATTAAAGTTAAATTTAATTATGAACCAGAGATTTCTTTATTTTAGTCTATGGGGCCTAACCAGTAAGTCTTTCTTTAACATAAATTTCTAATTTGTTTTTATTCTTAGACACATAATATGCTGAGCTTGTTACTACTGTCTTTCACCCTGTTTGAATGCATCAATTGTTCCGTCTAGTATACCAATTCTAAAATTTATTTATATCTTTTATTCACTTTTATTTTCACTTTTATTCACATTTATATAGGCATCTTTACTGTTCTTTCATACATTGTACCCATAAAAATACTAACTAAAGAGGACCTCACAGAGAAGACTTCAATTAAACCCTCCAAGATACATGAAAGCCACTCTTGGCCATGCTCTTGTAAGAATGCTTTAAACTTCAACCACACCATTAAAAAGAAGTTATAGTTTTTGCTTTGACTTTATGCTGCATGTCACTCTGTAATTGAAAAACATGCTGTATTAGGCCATTCTGGCGTTGCTATGAAGAAATACCTGAGACTAGGTAATGTATAAGAAAAGAGGTGTCATTGGCTCCTGGTTCTGCAGGCTGTACAGAAAATACAGTGCTGGCATCTGCTTCTGGGGAGGCCTCAGAAAGCTTTTACCCACAGCAGAAGGCAAACTGGCACTTCACATGGTGAAAGCAGGAGCAAGATGGTGGGGGAGGTGCCATATACTTTTAAACAATGAGATTCTGTTGTTGTTTAAAAGCTAAACCATTCATTTCTCATGATAGTGAGAACAGTGAACTCACTATCACAAGAATAGCACAAAGAGGATGGTGTTAAGCCATTCATAAGAAATCCACCCCCATGATCCAATCACCTCCCACCAGGACACACCTCCAACGCTGGGGATCACATTTCAACATGAGATTTGGGAAGGGACAAATATCCAAACTATATCACATGTTATTTGTTTTATATGTTGTGTTGAGAGCTGATGAATATTATATCCTTCTGAAAATATGCTTGTCATATGACAGTGTTGGGTACCAAGCACTCTGAGTGACTTCTCCAAAATAGTGTTAGTGGATGTGCACAACAGTTGAAACTCTTTAAGTATGCTATACTTGAATATGTCATAGGAATATATAAGTTTTTCTAAATCTTCTGACATTTTTCTCCCACTTGGTTTGACCTTTAATATAAATTAAACATCTTTCATGCCTCACAGCTATTATTTTCTGAAAAGATGTAAATCAAAACAACTTTTAAAACTTCAGCCTCCTAGTCATTCTCTATTAATACTTTTTTATGATTCTCTATTTATCCAAAAGTTGACTGATTAAAAATGCAATATATCAGGCAAGATAGGCAGAAGACAAAAGAAGCAGAGGGTTTGTCTTATTTTATATGATATAATTGGGAAAAAAGTATATAAATATAATGTGTTTGTTCATTAACAAGGAAATACACTTAATGTCTTTACTCAAAGAGATCACTTTTTTCTCATCTGAAATTTGAACTTTCACTCCTTTTTTTTAAATTTATTTTCCACTTTCCTTTTCCTCCTGAACAATTCTAAGACCATAATGACAAGCAGAGTCAGAATCTGAGGGGGATAAAGAGAGCATCTGTACAGAAGAGTTTCCTGGGGTGGGATGTTGGGGCTCAAGCATCCCTTGGCTGACAAGGGCATCCACATATCGGGGTGGTCTAATACCAGCCCAATGTCAGAACCTAAGTAAGAGAAGAAGGACATCCATGTGGAGAAGCAGCCTAGCATGATTTGGCAGAACCAAAGTAAGGTGAGGTGGGTGTCCTTGCAGGAGGACTGGGGTGACTGAGCATAGAGATTCAGAGCCCAAGCATGGGGAGGAGCGGATCTATGCAGGAGTTGGTAGTGGGTACTGGTGAAGATTAGCCAACAAACAGTTAACTTGAAACAGGGTATTAGAGCTCAAGGAGGATGAGGACATATACTCAGCGGGGCAGCCCCATGTGTAGCATCAGAGCCCAGGCAGAGAGCAGGGTTATACTCAAAAACGGGCAGTCTGATGTGGAATGACAAAGCCTGAGGTGGGTAAAGAGGACATCCACACAAGGGAGCAGACCAGCAGGCAGAGTCAGAGCCAGAAAAAGGGTAAGGAGGACATGACCACAAAGCAGTGGCCTGGTGTGGGATATGACAGTATAAAGTGAGAGGATGGTCCAACATGAAGAGTCAGAACCAGAGAGGCATAAGGAGGGCATTTAGACAGAGTGTATCCTGAACTGGTGTGCTGCAACACAAGCAGGGAGAAGAGGGCATCCATCAGAGGGTGATGGACTGAAACAGGAGTCAGAGTTTCAGCAAAATAAAGATGACTTCTGTGCAGCAGAGGGAGTAGCAACACAGATAAAAAGATTAGTTACATACAGGATTACTAAACAAAAAAACGAGGGGGGAATATATTAAAGCTAACAGGAAGCAGATCTCTCGAAGTCATCCAAGAGAGTTACAATTATAAATGTTTTCTTCAAGCACTTATGAACATTAACCAAGATCAACTATATACTACATCATAAAACAAGGCTCAAAATCATTTTAAAAGTTATTCTCTATTCATAATAGAACTAAGCTAGAAATCAGTAATAGAAAGACGAGAAAAATCTCCGTATGATTGGAAATTATATGGCATGGTTCTTAAAAAATTGTGGATCAAAGAAGTCTCAAGGGAAATAAAAAAATACATAGAATTGAATGAAAATAAAATCAAAGAAGAATGAAATAAAAATGAAAACAGAACGAATTAAAATAGGTAGGGTACAGTAAAAGTAGTGCTGAGAAGAAGGTATATAGCATTAAATGCTTACATTGAAAAAGAATGATCTCTAAGTTCCTACTATAAGACATAAAAAAAAGAAGAGGAAAATAAGTCCAAAGCAATGAGAAGGAAGGAAATAATAGAGATAAGAGTGAAAAAAAATCAATGAAATAGAGAACAAAAAATAGAGAAAAATCAACAAAATAAAAAGCTAGTTCTTTGAAAAAAAAAAGTCAATAAACTAAACCTAGCAAAACAGAGGTAAAAAAATAAACAAATCACTGTCAGAAATGAAAGCACAGATCCTGAAGTCATTAACTTAAAAATTAGCTTTAAAAAAAGAAACAATTATTGAAAACCACAAGCTCCCAAAGCTCAACCAAGATGAAATAGACAACTTGAATAATCTGAAAGCCATTAAAGAAACTGAATTTTTAACTAAAAAGTTATATTAACTCTCTAAGCCTGGATGGTTTCAGTGAATATTTAAATAAGAATTAGCAACATCTTTCCACAGTTTATTCCAGAAAATAGAAGAAGACTTCCTAACTCATTTTGAGGCTAGTATAATACCAAAAACAGACCAAGACAGTACAAAAAAAAAAAAAAAACTACTGACCACTTTGATATAAAAATTACAAACAAACTAATAGAAAATCAAATCCTACAACACATAAAAACAATTATAACTCCTGGCTAACACAGTGAAACCCCGTCTCTACTAAAAATACAAAAAATTAGCCGGGCGTGGTGGCAGGCGCCTGTAGTCCCAGCTACTCAGGAGGCTGAGGCAGGAGAATGGCGTGAACCCAGGAGGCAGAGCTTGCAGTGAGCCGAGATTGTGCCACTGCACTCCAGCCTGTGCGACACAGCAAGACTCCATTTCAAAAAAAAAAAAAAACAATTATAACAAGTGAGGCACTACAGGTACGCAAGGCTGATTCAACTTTCAAAAATCAATCAATGTAATCTACCATATCAATAGGCTAAAGAAAACTCATGTAATCATATCAATCGACAGAGAAAAAGCATTTAACAAAATTCAGCATGCAATCATAATAAAAATCTTATAAAACTAGGAATAATGGTGATAGGCTGAATGCCTTCCACCTAAAATCAAGAACATAGCAAGGATGTCCTCTCTCATTATTCTTACTCACATAGCACTGGAAATTCTAGTTAGGACCAGAAGTTTAGAAATAGAAATAAAAGAGATACCTATTGGAAAGGAAGTCATAAAACTGTCCCTATTTGCAAATGACATGATAGTCTACATAAAAGAATCCCAAAGAATAAACAGCAAAACTCCTAGAATTAATAAGTGAGTTCAGCAAGGTTGCAGGAGTCAATATCAACAGACAAAATTCAATCATATTTCTATACACTATCAACAAAAATGTGAACAGCAGAATCAAAAAATATAATACCTTTTACAATTGCACCAAAGAAAATTAAATACTTAGATATAAGAAAATATGTATAGTATCTTTATCCTGAAAATTACAAAAAGCTATTGTAAGAAATCAAAGACCTAAATAATTGGAGCAACATACCATGTTCATAGATGAGAAGACCCAACCCAGCAAAGGCAGCGATTCTTCCCAAATTTGATCTATAGTTTAATGTAACACCTATTAATATAACAGCAGAATTTTATGTAGACATTAACAAGCTTATTCCAAAATTATTGTGGAAAGGCACAGGACTAGAAGAGCTAAAATAATTTTGAAAAAGAATAGAGTAGGAAAAGTCATTCTACTTAGTATTAAGGCTTACTATAGTGCTACAGTAATCAAGGCAGTTGACAGAGAAATAGACACATAGGCCAGTGGAACAGAAAAAAGAACCTAGACAAAGACCCATATGAATATGCCAATTTCTGACAAAAGTGCAAAAAAGATTTCAACAAATGGTGCTAGAATAACTGTACATCAATTGGGGAAAAAAAAAAAGAACCTCAACCTCACATGTTATTCAAAAGTTAACTCAAAATGGATCATGGGCTTAAAAAGGGAAAAAACACTGAAAAACTGGACCTAGTTAAATTCAAAACTTTTATTCTAGGAAAAATTCAGTGAAGGGGGATGAAAGGCAAGCTACAAACTAGATAAAAGTATTTGCAAAGTACATATCCAATAAAGGATTTTTATCTAGAACATATAAAGAACTCTCAAAATTCAAGTTACAACAACAAAAAAATTGCAATAAGAAATGGGGCTAAAGGAATGAATAGACATTTCACTGAAGAAGATACAGATGGAAATAATAAGCACATGAAACAATGTCCAACATCACTGCCCATTAGAGAAATGCAAATTAAAATAGAGATGGGATATCCCTAAGCACCTACCAGAATGACTAGAATAGAAATTAATTATAACAAATGTTAGCAAGAATGCAAGAAGACCTCTTACATTGCTGTTGGGAATGTAAAATGGTGCAAAAATTCTGGAAAATAGTTTAGTAGCTTCTTATGAAACTAAACATTAGTTACAGTATCCCAAAGAAATTAAAATGTGATGTTCACACAAAAACCTACATATGGATGTTCATAGCAGCTTCATTTATAACACTGGAGACAACACAAATGTCCTTCAACAGGCGAATGATTAAACAAACTGCAGTACATCTCTATCATGGAATACCAGTCAGCAGTAAAAAGGAACAAATTATTGATACATGCAACAACATGAATGGACCTAAAGAGAATTATGCTGAGTTTAAAAAAAAAGAAGTCAGTCACAAAATGTTACATACTGTATGATTCCACTTACATAGCTTTCTTGAAATGACAAAATCATAGAGACAGCTGATTAGTGGTTCCAAGAAATTAGAGAAGGCAGATAGGAAAGAAAGTATTTGTGTCTATAAAAAGATAGCATGAGTAGAAAAGAAACTGTTTCATATCTTGACTATGGCAATGGTACACAAATCTACACATGAAAAAATTGCACTGAATTAAAGACATACACAAATAAATACATGTAAAATTGGCGAAATCTGTACACAATTGATGGATTCTATCAATGTCAATTTCCTGTGATATTGTACTGTAATCAAAATATTACCATTGGTTAAAAACTGGGTAAAAGGTACATGGGCTTTCTCTGTATTATTTCTAACAACTGCAGGTGAATCTACAATTATCTCAAAACAAAAAGTTGTTTCTTTTTTTAAAGTAACATCTTATTTCATTTTTGTTTTGGTGAGTCCTGGATTAGAATAAAATAAATGGGACTGGACACAGTGACTCACGCCTGCAATCCCAGCACTTTTTGGGGGCCAAGGCTGGTAGATGGTGTGAGCCCAGGAGTTCAAGACCAGCCTGGGCAACATGATGATTTTTTTATATCTATAAAAGAAAAAAAAATTAGTTGAGTGTGATGGTGCATGCCTGTAGTCTCAGCTACTTGGGAAGCTAAGATGGGAGGAATGCTTGAGGCCAGGAGGTTGAGGCTGCATTAAGCCATAATCACATCACTACTTCAGCCTGGGCAACAGAGCTAGATCCTGTCTAAACAGAAAAAAAGAAGAAAATAAATATCCATGAGTCTGATACTGATAAAAATAAATAACAAAATAAATACTGTAATAAATAAATAGGGCAAAAGGGAGAGCTCATCCTTAAATATGAATTCCAATTAATAAATGCAAAACAAATAAAGGAAATATAAAGTAACCATTAGAACATCACTGTAATAGTTGCAGGCAAGTTTCTTGGATGGATGCTTATAATGGTGGGTAAAAGTTTCAGAACAAACAGTATATTTGAATAGTCTCAATGGATCTCCCCCAGGATATTAATTAATTACACAGAGAAAAATAATAACTTTTCAGGGGAGAAACCTAGCACACTATACACTGGCCAACTGACAAAAGTTAAACCACCAGTGATAAGACATATCAACACATCAACCTCATGTACACCCGATATAACGTATCAGAAAACAATATAATCTTGAGAAAAAAAACAAATGAAAGGAAATACTACAAAATATCTGACTAGTACTCTTCAAAAGTGTCAAGACTTGGAAGGCAAGATAAAACTAAGGAATTGCCACAAACAGGAGGAGACTAAAGAAACATGAAAACTGAATGTAAAACAGGATACTAGAACAGAAAAGAACATATTTGTTTACAAAAAAACACTAGTCAAATCTGAATAAACCCTGTAGCAATTAATAGTACTGTACCAAGGTTAATTTTTTATAATTTCACCATGATTATTCAGGATGTTAACATTAGACAAAGCTAGGGGAAGGGAAGAGAACCCTCTGTACTATTTTTTAAAAAATAGCTTATTGAGATTTTTTTCCATATCATAAAGTTCACCCATTTAGAATATCCAATTAAATGGCTTTTAGTATATTTTACAGAGTTCTGTAACCATCACCATAATCTAATTTTAAACATTTTCATTCTGCCAAAACGCTTAGCAGTTCATTTTCTATTCTCTCACCCTGTGATATTTTTACAATTTTTCTGTAAGCTTAAAATTATTTTAAAATATTACAAAGAGCAGTGACATTATGCTGAGTTAAAATTTAAATATACATGTAAACACACAGAACTGTAACATGTAACATAATTTATACCAAGAAAGGAAAATGTGGCTCATGTGTTCTAACGTTCTTGCACTGTTTAGAAAAGCTAAAAGTGCCAATTAATATTCAACGACTGTGATTAGTCAAGAATGCATACTACAATTCTCCAGGGTAACCAGAGGTTCATTTAACAACAATGAAAAAAAATGCAGCTATAATTGTATAAAACTAATAAATATAGAGTCAAACACACAAGGCAAAATTGATAAATCTAAGAGAAGTCTCAAATCACAGTGGGAAACTTTAAAACTTCTCAGAAATTCATGAGTTAAAAAAATCACTAAGTAAATAGAAGATTTGAATATAATCAAGATGACTTAATGAATATAAAAAGAACAACGCCCTCAACAAGCAAAAACATGTATTCTTTTAAACATATATGAACGTATTCAAAATACGACCACATGGTATGCTAGTAAAGCAAGTTCCAAGATTTTTTCAAACTAGTAAAATCACACAAAATACATTCTTTTCACAATTCAATTCAGATAGCTATCAAATATACACAGAAGATCCCCAATTTGTTTACAAATTAAGAATTAAGCATTTAAATAAAACATGTCAAAAATTAAAGAAAATTTTTAAATGGATGACAGTAAAATATTACATATCAAAATATGTGGAATAAGAAAACATTTAGAGAGAAATAGTTTTATAAGTACACATTAAAAAAAAAAGGAAATGAAAATCAATGAGTTACATATCTATTATAAAAAGTTAGGTATAGAAGAATAAATTCAACTCCTGTAAAAAAAAAAATGGACAGTAAAGATAGAATAAATTCAACTCACATTAAAAAAAAAAGACAAAAATAATAAAAAGCAGAATTTTTCAAAGCAAAAAATACAAGAAGGCAGAGTGCAGTGGCTCGCACCTATAATCCCAACACTGTGGGAGGCTGAGGCAGGAGGAGAGCTTGAGCCCAGGGGTTCAAGACTAGCCTGGGCAACACAGCGAGGCACTGTCCCCAAAAAGAAAGAAAGAGAGAAACAGAGAAAGAGAGAGTGAGAGTGAGAGAATGAGAGAGAGGGAGAGAGGGAGACAGGGAGGTAGGGAAGGAAAAAGGGAGGGAGGGAGGGAGGGAAGAAAAGAAGGCAGGAAGGCAGGAAGGCAGGGAGTGAGGGAGGGAACTGATCATTTTTTTTAAGGCACATCATTTAGATATAGACATTAAAAAATAATCAACTCTGAACAACTTTATGCCAATATATATGAAAACTGAAAAAAATCCAATAATAAAATTGAGAACAGAAAAAAGAACCCAACAAACATAAATTTAATAAAATAAGAAAACAAAACAAGGCCATCAAAACTCTTCAGGTGATGAAAGAAAATTAAAAAATAAAGGAGACATAATGAAACAAGAATAGAGAGGAAACTGCACTTGTTAAAATGAACAATGAAGGTGGGGAGAAGGAGTATAAAGATACACACAGATATTAAGATATAATTAAAATAGTTTAATATTGGCATGCAAATGGATAGAATTATAAACACACAAAAGATTCAATTGCTTATGCAACATATCATAAAAACATAGAAAATTTAATTGCCCATGAAGTTGTATGTATAAAAAAAGACTGCATCTCAATCCAAGGGGAAAAAATGAAAAACTTAATAAGTGGTACTGGAATTTTTGGAAAGTCATATAAAAAATTAAATCTATTCACTAGGAAAAGTTACAAATGGATCAGAGATTTAAGTGTAAGAAAAGGCAACCATAAAAGTATTAAGAGCAAACATGCATTAATCAACCATAGTAGGTCATGCTGGTATCATATGCTGATGATGCATCATGTGTGATGGAAAGGGCACTTCACCTCTGTGGAATTCGTCCCAAAAACCCAGTCTAGTCCTAGAAGATATCAAATCCCAAATTAAGGAGCAGTCTACAAAAAAACTGACCAGTATTTTTCAAAAGTGTCAAGGTCATGAAAAACAAGGAAAGCTATATATATTGGGGAAGATTAAGAAGATATGACAACTAAATGCAATGTGGCATACTGAATTGGATCCTGGAATGGGAATAGGTTAAGGGTTAAAAACCAGGAAAACCAAAACAAAGTTGATAGGCTAATTAACAGTACTATACCAGTGTTAATTTCTTAGTTTTAATAAATATATTATAGTTATATAAGCTGTAGATGCTAGGGAAAGCTGAATGAAAGCTAAATGGGAACTCTCTGAACTATCTGTTACTCATCTGTAAGTCTAAAATTATTTCAAGATAAAATGCTTAAAGAAAAAAATAAAGTATACCATGCAAATGCTAATTTTAAAGAAAGCTGCCATGGATATATTAACATCAGAAAAAGCAGACTACAGGACAACTAATATTAGCAGGGATGAAGGGGGCATGTGATGATAAAATAGTCTATCAAGAAAATATAATAACTGTAAAAGTGTATTAATCTATTATCACAAGTTCAATGTAAGTGAAGCAAAAATGACAGAAATGAAAGGAGAAACAGACAAATCTACAAGTATAGCTGGAGATAATGGCATTCCTTTTTTGGTAATATGTATACCATATATAAAGAGAAAGAAAATCAGTATAAATATTGAAAACTTGAATAAAACTATCAATCAACTTGACTTAATTGGCAACCATAGACCACTATAAACAATGATAGAATAAACATTATTTTCAAAAGCACATGAAACATTTTTCAAAATTAAGTCATAGCCTAGCACCATAAAACAAGTTTCAATAAATATAGAAAGGCCAAAATCATATGGTCTCTGACCATAAAATAATTAAATTAGAAACCAATTTTTTAAAAAGTTTTCTGGAAAATCCCCAAGTATTTAAAAACACCACCATGGAGGGGTATCATTACAAAACATAGCAGAGTAGGGGGCTCCAAAAATTTCTCTTCACTGAAGTGACTGTTAAGCTGGCAAAAACTAACAAAATCAACTTTTTCAGAACTCTGAAAGCTAATCAAAACTCATAGTAACCAGGGGAGTTCTTAATGAGGAAAGAGGCTGGGAAATTTTGGTAAAAGGATGGTATGGTGCTTTCGCTTGTCCACTTACCATTCATCCCCCATTCCCCAGATCAATGGCGGCCGCCAGGATGATGGCTCAATCTTGGTGAGGCTTGCTGGTACTAATGGGACAATATGGACCTTGTTATCAAATATTTGTGGTTATTTATTTTGACCTGATAGACTGGCAGAGAGGCTTGCTTTTGTGTCAGCTCCTTCAGGCTAGAGCAGATTTCCAAGCATTGTCTGTCAAAATCACTTAAAGATGACATATACTACTCACAGATACCTGGCAAAAGAGACAGCAGGTGGGACAAGTAGATGGACTAAAAAGTTTAGGAAAGAGAAGAATAAAAAAGAACCTATTTGGTAAAATAAGGGCTTCGAGTGGCTTCCACATACACCAGGGAATCCAGAGTGTAATGCATATGCTGATAGCCATAGCCATGCTCAGAAAAGACCTTATAAAAGGTACATACCTCTGGCTGATCTTTAGGCTCAGTGCAAGCCTCCTTGCCTTAGCAGTGCAAGGAGGCTAAGGGAGAGTTGTAGACTAACTGGCTGAACGTTGAAGGAATACATCAGATTAGAGCCAATCTAAAATGACTGAGAGAGTATGTTTTTCTCTTTTTGGCTTCAGTGGTTCAAGGTCAAGTCACTGGCTGACATTGAAATAACAAAACAAAGACTTCAGAGACTACATGACAAGGAAGTCTTTGTAAAAATAGCCTGGAAAAGTCACTAAGCAAACAGGCAACAGCAGACCTCAACAAGCAACAACAGCAAACTCTGGGAAGCTGAAGGAAATCTAGATTTCCACAATTACCATATTATAACATTCAAGATGTTAGTTGTCAATAAAAACTATAAGGCATAGAAAGAAATAAGAATTTTTGACCCATTAATAGGAGAACAAGAAGTTAATAGAAAGCTACATTGAGATAGCTTACATATTGGATTTATCAGGCAAAGACTTGAAATCAACTGTCCTGAATACACTCAAAGAACTAAAAGAACTATGGTCAAGAAACTAAGGAAAACAACACCTGAACAAATAGAGAATATCAATAAAGAGAACAAAATTGTAAAAAGGAACCAACTAGAAATTCAGGACCTGAGAAGTATAATACTCAAAATTTAAAAATGACCAGAAGAGTTCAGCAGCAGATGTGAGAAGGCACAAGAAACAATCAGCAAACTTGAAGGTGGGACAATTGAAATTATTCAATCTAAGGAGCAGAAAGAAAAAGTGAAGAGAGTTTAATGGACCTGTGGAATGACATCGAGGGTATCAACATGCATATAATGGAAGTCACAAAGGAAGAAGAGAGAAAGAAAGGCAAAAAGGCATACCTGAAGAAATAATGTCCAAAAAACTTCCCAAATTAGATAAAAGACATGACTATACATCCAAAAATGTCAACAAACTCCAAGGAGGATAAAAAAAGAAATCCACACCAAAGCATATTATAATAAAACTGTCTAAAATCAGACAAGAGAAAATCTTAAAAACAACAAGAGGGAAATGATTCGTCATACACAAGGAATCTTCAATAAGATAGTCAATTCCTAATGAGAAACCATGAAGGCTGGAAGTGGCAGAATGACATATTTTAAATCCTGAAAGAAAAAAAAAATCCTGTTAACTAACAATCCAATATCTGGCAAAACTATCCTTCAAAAATGAAAGGAGAGCTGGGACAACTGGATATCTTCATGCAAAAGAAAGATAGTGGATGCCTCTATCACATTATATATAAAAATTAACTCAAAATGAATTAACTACTTCAATATAATAGTTAAAATATAATAGTTAAATAAATACTTAAATATAATAGTTAAAACAGAAGAAAACACAGGGATGTAAATCTTCATGACCTTGGATTTTGCAACAGATTCTTATATCTGACACTAGAAACACAAGCAACAAAATAAAAAATAAAGAATTTAGACTTAATCAAAATTCAAAACTTTTGTATTTCAAAGGACACCACCAAGAAACTGAAAAGAAAACCCAAAAGAATTGGCAGAAAA
Organism: Homo sapiens; assembly: GCF_000001405.40. NCBI lineage: Eukaryota > Metazoa > Chordata > Mammalia > Primates > Hominidae > Homo > Homo sapiens. The sequence continues at coordinate 36,855,577 of NC_000018.10, read as the reverse complement.
TATCTGTAAGTCATATAATCTGATAAAAGTCTAGTAACCAAACATATAAAGAAACATTATAACTCAACAACAACAAACAATCCAATTAAAAAATGGAGAAAGGACTTGAACAGATATTTCTACAAGAGAGATTCACAAATGGACAACAAGCACATGAAAAGACCCTCAACATAAACAGTCATTAAACAAATACAAAACAAAACTGCAATAAGATATCATTTAAATCTAAGATAGCTATAATATAATAAGTGGAAAATAACAAGTGTTGGCAAGCATGTGAAGAGACCAGAATCCTTGTACATTGATGGTAGAAATATTAAAACACTCTGCAGCTGCAGAAAACATTTTCACAGCTCTTCACAAACTTCAACATAGAATTACCATGCAATCCAGCAATCCCATTCCTAGTTGTATACCCAAAGGAATTTGAAAACGTACTCAAAACAAATCCTTGTACATAAATGTTCATAACAGCACCATACACAATAGTCAAAAAGTGAAAACAAACAAAAAGGGCTATTAACAGATGAATAAATCAATAAATTGTGGTAAAACTTTACAATAGAATCTGATTTAGCATAAAAAGAAATGAAGTATTGCTACACATTACAACATAGATTCACCTTGAAAACATTGTGAAAGAAGCCAAACACAAAAGATCACACTATATAATTCCATTTATATAAAATATCAAGAATAGGTAATCAACAGAAACGGTAAACTGGGGTACCAGGGGCTGAAGAGAGGAGAAATAAATACCGTTTATTTATTAAATGAGTGTGAAGATTTTTTTGGAGGGATGAAAATGTTCTCAAACTAGATAAAGATTGTGGTTGCACAACACTGTGTATATACTAAATGCCACTGCCTTGTGTACTTAAAATGGATGATTTAACATTATGTGAACTTAACTCTCAAAATTTAAAAAAAGGTGGGGAGAATGGGAAAATTAAGATATTCCCAATGGAACAAAAGCTGAGTGAGTTCATCACTAGTAGACCCGTCCTACAACAAATGCTAACAAGGGTCCTTCAGGCTAAAATGAACAAATATTAAACAATAACTCACAGCCATCCAAAGAAATAAAGAAAACTGGTAAAGGTAACTAGATAAGTAAATACAAGAGTCAGTAGTATTGTATTTTTGATATGGAACTTCTTTTACTTTGAATATGATTTAAAAGACAACTTAAACAATAATTATCAATCCAAGTTAATGAGCACCATATTAATTCATTAGGGCTGCCTTAACAAAGTACCACAGACTGAGTAGCCTGAACAACTGAAACTTATTTCCTCCTATTTCTGGAGGCTAGAAGTCCAAGATCAAGGTGTCAGCAGGATTAGTTTCTTCTGAGGTCTCTCCCAGATGCCTGCCTTCTTGCTGTGTCCTCACATAGTCTTTCCACCGTATGCATGCATGTCTGTGTTCCAATCTACTCTTCTTATATAGGTAACCGTCATGTTGGATTAAGGCTCACCCATATGATCTCACTTAACCTTAATAACCACTTTTAAGGACCTGTCTCCAAACACAATCACCTTCTGAGATACTGAGGATTAACACTTCAACATATGAATTTAGGGAGGACACAATTCAGCCCATAAAAAGCACACAGTGGGCCGGGTGCAGTGGCTCACGCCTATAATCCCAGCACTTTGGGAGGCTGAGGTGGGTGAATCACCTGAGATCAGGAGTTCAAGACCAGCCTGGCTAACCTGGTGAAACCTCGTCTCTATTAAAAATACAAAAAAATTAGCTGGGCTTGGTGGCGGGCACCTGTAACAGCTACGCGGGAGGCTGACGCAGAAGAATCACTTGAACCCAGAAGACGGAGGTTGCAGTGAGCCAGGATTGTGCCATTGCACTCCAGCCTGGGCAACAGAGCAAGACTCTGTCAAAAAAATAAAAATAAAAAAAATAAAAAAAAGCACACAGTGTATAAAAATGTAACTAATGACAATAACAACATAGGATAGAAGATGCAGCTGTGTAGAGGCAGAGTTTTTAATGTGCCATTGAAGCTAAGTTGGTAAAAATTCAAATTAGAGTGTCACAAATTTACTATGTTAACTGTAAACCCCAGGGTAACCACTAAGAAAATAACTTTAAGAATATATAGAAAAAGAAATGAAGAGGGAATGAAAATGATACATTAGAAAAAAATCAAACAGAAATGACAGTACTATTGGGGTAACTGAGGAACAAATAAAGAAATGTCTTTTCATACACATATGCAAAATAGTCATTTCTTCTAAGTAATTACTTTAAATGTAAATGTGTTATACTCATCAAATAAAGGGTGGAGGTAAATCTTTAAAAGTCATAATCTAACTACAGGATCTTTAAAAATCATAATCTACAGGTTTATATTCCCCAGAAGATAATCACTTTAAATCAAAAGACACAAAGGTTGAAAGTTAAAAGGTGGAAAAATTTATTCCATTCAAGTAACATGCAAATATTAACCAAAAAACAGTTTAGTTTGCTATATTAATATCAAACAAATAGGCTTTAAAACAAAGAATGCTACAATAGGCAGAGAGAGTCAATTCCTCAAGAAGATACAAAAATTATAAAAATATACACCAAACAGCACCTCAAAATATATGAAAATATTAACATAGCTGAAGATAAAATAAACAGTTCTAGAATAATAGAGAATTAAATAACACACTTTCAATAACATATAGAACATCCAGACAGAAGAAGAATAAGAAAGTGTGGCAGACTGCCACAGTTACTACTTGAGACTGTCATTACAGCTGGTACTACTGTTACTGTTTGAGACTGCCATTACAGCAGTTACTACTGTTACTGCTTGAGACCGTCATTACTAGACTGAACATAGGGATGAACATAGAAATGATAACAAAAAACAAAAGAAACTGTTTTAAAGAAGGGTCCAGGGGAAGAAAAGAGCTCCCTGCTTCTAGTGAGCAAAGGTAGCCCCTGAGCTTCCACAGCCCTTCGTATTTATTGGGTAGCAACAGCAGGGAGGAGGAGGTAATGATTGGTCAGCTGCTTGATTGAACACAGGTTCATGTTATTGCTAACAGGCTTCAGATTTGCCTAATCACAAGAAACACTTGTGCCTAGGTCGTGACTGCCCTCAGCATTACTACTGGGCGACAGACGCAGTTTGTCAGTTTGCTAACATTCTGCCTTTATAAGAAACAGTTTTCTGTTTACTCACATAGCCTCCAGTGGTATACTGAGTTGATCATGACCCTCATTCTTTCAGCCTGTAACAAGAAAGGACTTGAACAACACAATAACCAGCTAAACCTAAAAGACATACACAGAACACTCAACCAAGTAACAGCTAAATACATATTATTCCCAAGTGCACATGGAACATTCTCCAGGATAAACCACATGTTAGGTCATAAAACAAGTCTCAATATATTTTAAAAGACTGAAAACATACAAAGTACCTTTTCCACCACAATAGAATAAAATTCTAAATCAAGAACAAAAGAAAAACCAAAAAAATGCACAAATATGTGGAAATTAACACACTTTTAAACAATCAATAAGTCAAAGAAGAAATCACAAAGAAAATTAGAAAGTATCTTGAAATGAATGAAAACAAAAACACAACATACCAAAACTGTGGGATGCAGCAAAAGCAGTGCTCAGAGGAAAATTTATAGCTATAAATTCCTACCTTAAATTAAAAAAGAGATCTCAAATCAGTAACTTAACTTTACACCTTAAGGAACTAGAAACCAAAAGCAAACTAAGTAAAAAGCCAGCAAAAGGAAGAAAATAAATATTAGAATAAAGACAGAGAACTAAAAAAAATACAATATATAAAAACAAAACTTGGTACTTTGAAAATATCAACAAAATTGACAAATTTTTAGCTAGGCTTATGAAGAAAATAAGAGATAATGTAAATAAAATTAGAAATAAAAGTGGAGACATTATTACTAACTTTACAGAAATAAAAAGTATTATAAGAGAATACTATGAACAATTGTATGTCAACAAATTAGATAACCTAGATAAAATGGACAAATTCCTAAAAAACAAAAAAAATTACCAAAACTGACTCAAGAGCAAACAGAAGATCTGAATGGACCTATACCAAGTAAAATGATTGAATCAGTAATCAAAATCTTCCCAACAAAGACAATCCAGGGACCAGATGGCTTCACTGATTAATTCTACCAAACACTTAGAATGAACAGCAATCCATCTCGAACACTTCCAAAAAACATAAGGGAAGGAAATACTTTCTAATTCATGTTATGAGGCCGGCATTACCTGATGCCAAAGCCAGATAAAGACACTATGAGAAAAGAAAACTACAGACAATATCCTTTATGAATACAGATTCAAAAATCCCCAACAAAATGCCAGCAAACCAAATCCAAAAGCATATTAAGTGATTTTATAACATAACCAATTGGTATTTATCTCAGGAATACAAGGATGATTCAACACAAGAAAATTAATCAATGTAATACAGCATATTAGCAGAAAAAAAACCACAAAAACATGACCATATCAATTGAGGCAGAAAAGCTTTTGACAAAATCTAAAGCCCTTTCATGACAAAAACACTCAAACTAAGAAAAGCATGAAAGTTCCTTAACATGGTAAAGGGCACTTATGAAAAACCCACAGCTAACATGTTACTCCACTGATGAAAAACTGAGAGTTTTCCCACTTAGATCAGGAAAAAGACAAATGCCTGCTTCTGCCACTCCACTAATCAATGTACTAGAAATTCTAGGCAGAGCACTAAGGCAAGGAAGAGAAATAATGAATGCTGGTGCAGTTCAACTCAGTCCTGCCTGGGACATGAATCATCCTTTGGCCAGCATATCCACACTGTATAGGCGTTAGTCATGTAGCATCCCTCTCAGTTATCAGATTGAGCTATGACAGTGCTTGTGGTTAAGTAACTCTTATTTTAGTAAATAATGGCTCCACAGCACAAGAGTAGTGATGCTGGCATATTGTTCTTATTGATCTATTTAATTATTAGTTATTGTTGTTAATCCCCTACTGTGCCTAACTTATAAATTGAACTTTATTATAGGTATGTAAGTATAGGAAAAAATATATATATAGGATTTGGTACTATCAGCAGTTTCAGGCATCCACTGAAGGTCTTGGAACATATTCCCTGATAAGGGAGACTACTGTATATAGAAAAGCCTAGAGAATCCTCAATAAATAAATAAATAAAACTATTACAGCTTATTAACAAATTCAGTAAAGTTTCAGAGTACAAGATCAACACACAATAGCTATTTGTGTTCCTCTACACTAGCAATGAACAATCTGAAAGGATACTAAGAAAACCATCTCATTTACAAAAGCATCAAAATGAATAAAATAAAAAAGGTAGATAATTTAGATTTCTCTACCTTTTCTTTTGTACTTCAAAGAATACCACTGAGAAAGTGAAAAAACAACGCACAGAATGGAAGACATATCTGTAAAGCATACATCTGATAATGATCTATCATCCAGAATATCTAAAAATCCAGTTATAATAACAAAAAAGAAAAACACCCCAATTTTATTTTAAATGGGCAAAAGATGTGAATAGACATTTCTTCAAAGAGGATATATACAAATGGCCAAAAAGCACATGAAAAGATTTTTCAGTATCATTAGCCACCGGGGAAATGTAAATCTAAACCACATGATACCACTGCATATCTACTAGCATGGCTATAATCCAAAAAATGGTGACAAGAATGTGGAGAAACTAGAATCCTTACACATTGACAGGAATGTAAGATGGTTTGGCTGTTGTAGAAAATAGTTTGGCATTTCCTCAAAAAGTTCAACGTGGAATTACCATAAGACTAAACAATTCAGCTCCTGGGTATGTACAAAATAACTGAAACACATGCTCAAACAAAACTTGTACTCAAATATTCATGTAGTTTAAATAGCCAAAAGATGGAGACAACCCAAATGTCCATCAAAGTATGAATGGATAAACAAAATGTGGCATATCCACACAATGAACTGTTACTCAGCCAACCTTGAAATTATTCTAATAGAAAGAAGGTGGACAGAATAGGCCCCATATTCTATAATTCCAGTTATATAGAATAACCAGAGTCAGCAAATCCTTAGAGACAGAAAACAGATTAGAAGCTGTCAGAGCCACAGGGAAACAAGAAAATGGGGAGTAACTGGTGAACAGATAGTTTCCTTTGGGATTATGAAAATGTTCTAGAACTAGAAAATGGTGATGGTTGTATAACACTGTGAGTATACTAAATGTCACTAATGATCAATTTATGTCATGTGTATTTTACCACATTAAAAACACACACATATTATTTTCACTTAAATGATGTGGTAAAATTCATGGCTATAGAAAGTAGAACAGTGGTTACCAGGGGCTGGTGAGAGGAGTAATGAGGAGTTGTTTAATGCACATTGCGTTTCACAGAAGATGAAAGAAGTTCTGAAGACTGGTTGCACGACAATGTGAATGTACTTACCACTACTGAACTGTACACTAAAAAACTGGTTAGAATAGTAAATTTTATGTATATCTTACTGTAATTTTAAAAATTAAATTAAAATATACTAAGATATTTCATGAAAACTACAAATATATTTAACAAAATAACAGGTAATCAATTCAACAGAGTAAAAATAAAAACAAAAAACAAAACATGACCAAATGAGGCTTAAGCCAGGAACACAAGGTAAATTAAACATTCAAAAATCAATCAATGTAGTTTACCTCATTAACGGAAAAAAGAATAAAAATCACATGTTCAGCAATAAAAGATAAAAAAAAATTGACAAATTCTACTCCAATTTATGACTAAAGATAAAAACTCTCAATAAACTAGAAACAAAAATAAATTTTCTCAATTTGATAAAGAACATCTATTAAAAAATGTACAGCTTACATTGTACATAATGGTGAAAGATTTAAGATCAAGAACAAGAAAAGGCAAAGACGTCCATTCACCACTTTCATTCAACATTGTACTGGAAGTACTACCCAATGCAAAAGGGCAAAAAAAAAAAAAAAAAAAAAAAAGCATCTATAGATTGGAAAGGAAAAAAGCAAAACTGTTTTTACTTGTAGATGACATCTTTTATGCACAAAATCCAAAGGATTCTACCAAAAAACGACTGTAACAAGCAAATTTTAAAAGGTTGAAGGATACCAAGCCAATATATGTTAAAAAAATCTATTTTTCAAATGAGCAATCAAAAAATTGAATATTGAATGTATAATAAAATTTCTAATAACACCACTTACAATAGTATAAAAGCCATAAAAAACTTCAAGATACATATAACAAAACCTATAACCTGAAAATGACATATCACTGCCTAGAAAAATTAAAGAAAATTTAAATACTTAATAGATAACTTTTTGTAAATTGAAAGACTCGATAATGTTAGTTTTCTTCAAATTGATCTGTATGTCCAATAAACTTCATCCAAAATTCCAGGAAACAATTTTCCTTTAGAAATTGACAAGCTGATTCTAAAATTTACAGTGAAATGCAAAGGACCTCAAAGAGTCAAAATAATTTTCAAAAATAAGAACAAAGCTAAAGGATTTACCTGATTTTAAGACAACATAAAATTAATCAAGTCAGTGCAGTGCTGGCATAAGGATAGACATATACATCAGCGAATGAAACAAAGAGTCTAGAAATAAACCATGCATGTATGTTCAATTGAGTGTGACAAGGAGGCTAAGGTAATTCTGTAGGAAGTCTTTTCTAACATAGAAAAACAACCTTTGCAATTTGTGATAGGCAGAATTTCATATATAGAGCACTAAAAGCCTGGACCACAAAAGGAAAAAATTGATAAACTGAACTTTGTCAAGATCCAAAATTTTATCAAAAGAAAGCATTAAGTTAATTATAAAGGAAGCTGCAGACTGAGAATAAAACGCATATTTGACAACTCATATACAGAATATATAAAGAACTCTAATACCTCAATATTAAGAAGAGAATGTGATGGGTAAAAAAAGGGGAAAAAGATTTGACAGACACTTCACTAAGGAAGAATGACACATTAGTCATGTTACTATAATGTGATTATCACACCAATAATCACATTAGTCACCGGTAAACACTAATTATTTCTACAAGGAGAAACCACTACACTCATTAGAAGGGCTAAAATTTAAAGAAATGACAATACCAAGAGTTGGTGAGTATACAGAATAATGGAACTCACATAAGTTGCTAGTGGAAATGTGAAATGGCACAATCACATTGGGAAGCGGTTGGGAAGTTTCTTACAAAGTTATAGACACACTTAACATATAATTGAGCATTTACTGAAGAAAAATAATTATGTTCATGCAAAAACTTGTGCATGAATGTTTGTGGAAGCTTCATTCATAAAAGGCAAAAACCTGAAGAACCCAAATGCCCATTAATAGAAGAAGAGATAAACAAATTGAAGTATGGGCCTATGATGAAATACTATTCAACAATAAAAAATGAGTACTCATACACAACAACTTGAAAACAACTAAAAACATTATGCTGTAAAATAAGCCAGATACAGAGGTCAAATATTGTATGATTTCACTTATATGAGTTACATAGATTAGTCAAATTTATAGAGACACACAGAAAAGTGATTACTAGGGGCAAGAGGGAAAGGAGAATGAGGAGGTATTATTGAATGGGTACAATTTCAGTTTGTGATAAAAAAAAGTTCTGGAGATGGATGGTAGAGATGGTTGCACAGCACTATGAATGTACTTAATGCCATTGAACTGTACACTTAAAAATGGTTATGATGGTAAATTTTATGTTAGGTGTACTTTACCACCCCCCATCCAAACCATTAGGTAGAGGGAAAAAAGACAGTAAAAGAGTATATACTGTGTGGCCATTTATATGTTGTGCCAGAATATGTAAAACTAAACTATAATAATGGAAACTATATTAATGGTTGCCTGGGATGGGGGAGAAAGGGGAAACAGACTGTAAAAGGTCTAGAGGAAACTATTTGGAGTAACATAAATGCTGTATATCATGAATAGGAAATCTTGTATATCTTATATTTGTCAAACCTCACTGAAATCTGCACTTAAAAACTGGTTCATGTTATTGCATGCAAATTGCACTTTGACATATTTATAAATAAACAGATTGATAAGCAAGCCAGTATGCTTGATAAAAAAATAAAATGCAACAGAATAGAAAATAATATAGACTATTCTTTCTAGAAAAAAGGTTATGTCTTGTAATGCAAAGAAGGTAGTGACAAGGGGGAAATATATAGTGAAAGGAGCATTTTTAAGATAAAAGAGACGTAAGTATACTTAACTATTTCAAACCAGATTGAAAATTCAGAGGGAAAAGAACATAAAAACTGGGAATGTTTTGTTGCCACTGCTTTATATGAGATTCTGTTCTCTACATTCCCACGTCAATCAAACAGTCTTGCAAATAAGAAAGCAAAGAAAACAGTTTCAAAGTATGAGTAGACAAAAGTAGACAAAGTAGACTGAAATATCCAGTAGAGGAAACTCAGCAAATTTTAAGAAATGAAGAACAAATGATTCCCATATACTTGTACGTTAATAGTAAATACAGTAATAATGGGGTTCTTTAGCAGTATATAAGCAGATTTTTACTAATACTGACATTGTACTAACACACTGACCTTCTATAAAGAAATTACAAAAAAAGAAAACCTAGCATATTTTGTAGGAAGTAGAGGGTTATTAAATACCAAAATGACATTGTTTTTCTATGTCAGAAAAGACTTCCTACAGAATTACCTTAGCCTCCTTGTCACACTCAATTGAACATACATGCATGGTTTATTTCTAGACTCTTTGTTTCATTCGCTGATGTATATGTCTATCCTTATGCCAGCACTGCACTGACTTGATTAATTTTATATCAAGTCATATATGTCACTTTTTCCCCTTTTTTTACCCATCACGTTCTCTTCTTAATATTGAGGTATTAGAGTTCTTTATATATTCTGTATATGAGTTGTCAAATATGCGTTTTATTCTCAGTCTGCAGCTTCCTTTATAATTAACTTAATGCTCTAATATTTCAGGTATTCTCCAAGCTTGGCAGCTCAAATGAAATGGGTCAGCAGGACAATAATGGCAACGTAGGACCATTAACAAACAGAGTCAAACAAATAGCAATAGCTTTTCAATACCATCAAAACATATTTAATAACTCCTCATCAAAGGACTTATTATGTAGTAATAGCCTCACAAGAACATCACCTTCAAATACTGAGGATAACAATGAAATGTTTTCCCAATAAAAGAACACTGAAATTAATGAAAACTCTACTTTAGAAAATAGGGCAGCCAAAGAATTCTAATAAAAGAGATTACTACTTATCTCAGGTAGCATATCAAATTCAGACTAAGGCGTGTACTTTGAATTCTCACACCCTGTATTCTGGCTCCCAAAACATCACTTTTTTATAGTCATCTTTGATACCCATGATTGTATGACTTAGAGTAAGGTAATTTTTTAACTTCAGTCTTTTTAAAAACCTCTACAAACTTTACTTTAAGGCTTCAACACAAAATTTGTTCAAAACATACCTAATATTGTTATCTTTATTTGCAATTCAGTGATAAAAAGTAGTACTATTTTATCAACTTTTATCAACTTTTAGGTATGGTCTCTCCGTAAATTTAACTTTTACAATTTATATTCATCTATTTCTCTATAGATACTTTCATTTATTAAGTACCTTTTAAGACCCCCAAAACTGGGCATGTATATTTGACAAAGAAATTACACATACAAAGTAGATGAGCCTCATATACATCACTAATAAACTGGAATAGTACTCCCAAACAGCTAAGTATCAAAATTCAAAATCCATCAATTGAAAAGCATTAGGAATTAGCAAGGCAATAATAGATATTCTTGTGAGTGAAATATTTTTTCTTCAGATGCTGAAGGAAAAATCAAAGGTAACTGCTACGCCTCTGATTACAACAATATCAACCTACTTCAACAGTAGTTTCTAAAACTTCCCTCAATAGATGACCGCTACAAATATTTGCATCAAACAATTGGGAAAGTTAAGTAAATAAGAAAATGTAAATTGGAAAGTAGTTTGCTTTTGATGCTTCTTTTTTAAGCTTTTTGAGAGGATTCTGACATCACAGAATGTCTTTTTTCCAAAACTCTTTGCTACCATAAGATCAAAGATATTAAGTCATCAAAATATATTTGCAATTTTCTGTTTTCAATAAGAGTTGTCTTTTGTATAATAAATCATTTCATATAAGGTTTTATCTCACCTGGCCAGTTCTTTAATTAAGTTTGCAATGCGTCTTTTGTCTTCAAGACATAAATCCTTCAATGATGCACTCTTTATTTCTCCCCTGCAGGAATTCTTAAAAAAAAAAAATTTAGTTACACTTTTTCTAAAACCAATTTTTAAAGTCTTTTCAAGAAACCTAGGTGCAAGGTGAAATTTCTTAGATATCTTTTCTCTGGTGCAACACTATCTACCTGTTTCAATTTAAACCTACTGTGAACTAAAAACAGGCTAAGGAACTGACTGTCCACTAGGACACTTCATGAGATTTACACAGAGAAGCAAACAGAAAGTAAAAGCAGATATCCCCTGCTTAAATACTGGGGTTTATTAGGAAAACAACTTTCCCTTTGTGAATGTCATAGAAACAAATACTCAACAGAAGATACTGAGAACTGTTATTACACCATAGTCCCCACGCTGCTTAAGGGTATACGAAGATTAGCAGCAGAGGCACCAGTTACTAAGCATTCAAAATATCCTAAGGTTCATCCCAAAGAGTACTAAACCAAAGAGTAATAATAGCAATAGCTAACAATTACATCTAGTGCTCACTTCATGCCAGGAATATTGTAAGCACTTTGTACTTACTATTCCATTTTATTTGCACAACAACGCTATTAAGTATTAATAGTTACTATTCCTATTCTACTTTAAGGGTACATATCCAGGATTATAGCAATTAAATAGCAGAATCAAGACTTAAACACAGGTTCCAGAGTCTGTGCTCTTTAAACACCATATTATTCTAATCTTTTGTGCTACAAAAACTTTTCCCCAGCACCTCAGCATCATTAGGAGGGGTCCTTAAAGACATAAACTCAGGGAGTCACGAAGGAATCGTAGGTAACATGTAAAAGGAAGGAGCTGTAATCCTTGGCATTTGCGCAACCACCAAAGTTAAGTTAGTCCAATTACCTCGGGTAGCCAAGAATAACTGAAAACACCTAAAGTGAATTCTGGAAATAGTAATAGCCGAAGGTGGGAAAGAGAGTAGGGAAAAAAATGGAGAAAAGAAGATGATAATAAAATAAGCTTTGGTTTTAGAAATGCTCAATGTAAGATGCCAGCAAACCATTCATGTGCAAACGTCTAGGCAGGAAGCTGGAAAGGTAGGTCTAGCTTTCAAACTAGAGAAAATCATAAAGATTTAAAAGTCAGTGTATGGTATTATGGATAATGTTAAGATTTTTTATTATTCTTTATACTTTTCTATGTTTTAAATTTTTCTTTAATAATTATGTATTTAAAATTAAGAAAAAATATTAGTATTTTAAAAATCATCTACAAGTCCAGGAAAATTGGCATTTGATTTTAATTTCAATTTAAGTAATTGGATTTTAGTTTAATTTAAAGTGGCATTTGAAAGGACAAGTGGAGAATCAGAAGCATATAACATTGTAGGAGAAAACAAGAAAGAAAAAGTTTCAAGAATAGTGTGGGTTCAACAGTGCTAATGATTAAAAAAGACAAATAGACTGGGGGAAGAAGGCAATGGATTTGGCAATGGAGGAAGTTGCTGATAACCCATGAAAAGACATTTCATTAGTGATGTGCTGAGTAAAAGAACAAAAGAGAAATCTTTGTAACTAGGCAAAAAAAAAAAAATAAATAATTAGTGGCATTGTGTTAACAACAGCAAAAATCTGAAAAGGCAAATGTCTATTAACTACAGAATAGTAAAACTGTGGCTGGCATATTGATACAATGAAATTCTAGAGGTACTGGTAGCTATGATACTAACTTTCCCCCTCAAAACTACCCTTCCACCCTCTGCTTTGAGATGCTAAGTCTAAGACTCTGGAAACACCATTTCTCCTTCGCCACCTGGCACTCTGTTGAACTCTGCCAACACAAAGAACTAGATGAAGACCAGGAAGAAAGAAGGAAGGCTACTTCCTTCCTGTTACTGACAGTGTCACCCCTGAGTTCCTTACCCTGGCAAGTACTGCTGATTCCAGTTTGCAATTTTTTCCAGCCCTTACAGAACCAGCCTTTATCAGGCCTCCTCAGAAATGGCAGTACCAGCCGGGTTGGTGTCCCATCACCAGAGGTCCAAGTTGCAGCTTTAAGGGGCCCCTCCTCTAAGCTTCTAAGTTTCAATAATTCCGACTTATTCTGCCCTCTCATCCAGTTCTAGAGATTGTGGTTGTTTCTTATAGTTACTACTTTCATGATACTTTAATGTTCCCTTTTTGCCTTTTTGGTTCTCGCACTATTCAATAATTTTTCTTTTAAATATTCTAAGTTAAAATAACTGACTAAACCCCGAGACGGTGAAAAGAAATGAAATATAACTACATACAACATAAAGAAATCTCACGTAACATTGGAAGAGCCATAGAGGGAAAAAAAAACAAGAAATCTCATAAACATAATATGAAATAAAAAGCAAATCACACAATACAAATGGATATGAGCTCATTTATATAAAGTTCCAAATATATATGAAATACTGTTTCAAAAAAAATGTATTTACACTGTAGGACAGGGCTTGGTAAACCATGGCTGCAAGCCGAATCTGGCCCACTGGCTGTTTTTGTAAACAAAGGTTTATTAAAACGTGCTCATTCATTTGCATATTGCTTATGGCTCTTTTAATGCTACTGTGGCAGAGTTGAGTTGTTGAGACAGATGTTACAGCCTGCAAAAGTTAAAGTATTTACTACCTGTCCAATTTATAGAAAAAGTCGGCGAACCCCGATATGGAAAAACAAAAGAATTATAAAGTTCAGGATACGAATTACCAAAGAAGAAAACATGATGAGGAAAGGCCACATATCTACAGTCACTTGACTTACAACAATGGTATCATTGCAATTCAAAGAAGAAAAGAATCCTCTTCCCAGTAGATGGTGTTGGGCCAATACTGACAGTCTATTGACCCAATACTGGCAGTCTATGGGCCCAACACCATCTATTGGGAAGAGGATTCTTTTCTCTCTGAATTGCAGTGAATCTTACTTTACACTACATGTGCATATTACTTCCTGATGAATAGTAGGCTTAACTGTAAAAAATAAAGCAATATGGCCACAAAAGAGAGAGGGAACTTGCTGCAGAGTATAATCAGCTAACAGCCTCCAGTTGCCAAACCTTTGGGATCCACTGCACTGTTCATACCAACACCAATGACTGGGAACAGTAGAGACACTAGAACTGAGCTATTTCTGATCCAAATGGCATCCTCAAAAGGCAGTATTTGCTCTGGGGTTCCTCACTAGCAAAAAGGACACTTATCTCAGATTGCATGGCAATCTGAAGTCTGAGGTTCTTCCTAGTCAATCTTCCTTCTTTTCCTCTCCTGTCACAGGTGCCAGACTGTAGTGAAATCTGAAGATTCCTGCTCATTCTACTCTTTATGCTTTATAAGCTTTTCCTTCATTAAATCTCTTCCATTTCTAATTCCATCTCGCGGTCTGCTTCCCAGAAGACTTGAACTGACCTAATTACCACTGTGAAATCCTTAATGAATTAAGGATACTCAACATCAATACCAACAAAGACTACACAGAGAAAAAAATCACAAGATGGCTGGGCACAGTGGCTCATGCCTATAATCCCAGCACTTTCGGAGGCCGAGGTGGGTGGATCACGAGGTCAGGAGTTCAAGACCAGCCTGGTCAACATAGTGAAACCCCATCTCTGTTTATACAAAAATCATCTGGGCATGGTAGTGCGTTCCTGTAATCCCAGCTAGTTGAGAGGCTGAGGCATGAGAATTTCTTGAACCAGAACCCAGGAGGCAGAGGTTGCAGTGAGCCGAGACCATGCCACTGTACCTGGGCTACAGAGCCAGACTCTGTCAAAAAAAAAAAAAAAAATCACAAGACATGCTCTTCAATGGAAAAAAGGAAAAGAAAAAGCAAACCACCATTTCTAGTTTTAAGAAAAAGCACACATAGACACATATACCCCCGACAATGTAGGACATCCTCTTCTAGCCCAGATGGAGTAACAGGGACCAGATTTACCCTAGTTTCAGAAAACAAAACAAAACAAAAACCTGACAAAAAAACAGGAAACAATAGTTTTCATTGGATAGCAGGCAACACAGAATGATCACTGGAATTGCAGAAACAAACAAGGCGAGCCCTACAACTGTCCCAGCTAACTGCTGTGGAGAGTTTTCAGGGCTAAGGTAGGTAAATCCAGACAGAGCCCAGCAATCTCCCTGAGTTGAAAAGATACAGCTGGGAGTCCAGGAAAGCCAAGGTTTCTAGTGTTTGCAGAAACACTAGAAACCTTGCAGGGCAAAGTAATGCCAAGGATAGAGCTGCATAGGAGAGCTCCAGGGATCTGCAGAATCCCTTCGCGTCAACTACTGAGCACTGACCAGCATATGTATGTGAGAAAACTACTCATCCCGGGGAAAGAGCCCAAAATGAACAGTGGAAACAATTTCTGTAGCTAATACAGCATAGGAGAACAGTCTGTTCCCACCAGCCAGAGGGGAAAACCTTGTAATTTAAGGGGCATCAGGAAGAGTATTCAAAAGAGTATGGCCTACAATGGGCAAAATTACCCCTATACTAAAAGCTGCTCTGGCACCACCTTTAAAAGCTCAAAATGAAGCTTGGAAAGAATCAAATTGCTTCCAAATAATTTATCACTGTCTCAGAACCCAAAAAGGCAAAATGCATACTGTCTTGTGACATCCAATAAAAGACAACCAAGCAGGCAAAGAAGCAGAAAAATACAGCCTATAATTAGGAGAAAAATTGCTCAATTGAAACCTATCCACAAATGACTTGGATGATAGAATTCATAGTCAAGAATATTGAAACAGTTATTATAACTATGTTCCATATGTTCAAGAACCTAGAAGAAAGCATGTCAAGTAGCGACATGGAAGATGTAAACAAAAATAAGAGACTGAAACTGAACTTCTAAAGATAAAACTACATTGTTTCATATGAAAAACACACTGGATGAGATTAGTGGCAGATTAGACATTGCAGAAGGTTAATGAATTTGAAGACATAGCAACAGCAATACAAACTATCCAAGGATAAACAAAAAAATTTTTTAATGAAAAAAATATGAACAGAGGATCAGAGAGCTGAGAGGGTAACTTCAAGAGGCCTAGTATTTGTGCAACTAAGGTCACTAGAAAGAGAGGGAAACAAAAATATCTGGAGAAACAATGGCTGAAACATTTCCCAATTTGATGAAAACTATAAACCCACAGTCCCAAAAAGCTCAACAAACCTCAAACAAAAGAGATACTTTAAAAATTACTCCAAGGTAGGATGGGCATGGTGGCTCACACCTGTAATCCCAGCACTTTGGGAGGCCGAGGCGGGCAGATAATGAGGTCAGGAGTTCGAGACCAGCCTGACCAACATGGTGAAACCCCATCTCTACTAAAAATACAAAAATTAGCCGGGTGTGGCGGTGCACGCCCGTAATCCCAGCTACTCAGGAGGCTGAGGTAGGAGAATCACTTGAACCTGGGAAGCGGAGGTTGCAGTAAACCAAGATCGTGCCACTGCACTCTAGCCTGGGCGACACAGCAACTCTGCACCTCAAAAAAAAAAATTACTCCAGGGTATACTATAACCAAATTGCTCAAAACCAGTGATAAGAAGAAAATCTTAAAAGCAGCCATATTTAAACACATACACACAGAAAAATAAGGAGGAATAAAAATGACAGCCAACTTCTTAAAAACAATACAAGCCAGGCAACAGTGCAGCAACATCTTTAAAGCACTGAATGAATAAAACTATCAACTCAGAATTTTATAACCAGCAAAAATATCTTTTGAAAAGGAAAGAGAAATAAAGACTTTTCAGACATACGTGAGCTGAAAAAATTCTTTCCTAGCATACCTGAACTAATGTTAAAGGAAGTCTTTTAGGAAATCTGGATACACGTGAAAGAATGAAAACACCAGAAATGGTAACTACATGAGTAGATTTAAAAGACTTCTGTTGCATTTGTAAAATTTCTTTAAAAGGCAATTAAAATAAAATGCATCCAAAATGGAATAAAGGCATCCAATAAGAATATGTGAACTATCTCTATTCACAGACAACTTCATCTTATATAGAGAAAATGGTAAGGAATTCACAAAAGAACTATTAGATTAGAAATAGTTTGATAAAGTTGCAGGATACAAGATCAATTCACAAATCAACTGAATTTCTATATACTAGCAATAAACAATCCAACAGTGAAATTCAGAAACAACTGTGTTTCTAATAACATCAAAAAGTATAAAACATTTGCTGATTCTATAATGCCTATGGAAACACTGGGACCCAAAATAGCCAAAACAATCTTGAAAAAGAAGAAGTTGGAGGACTTATACTTCCTAATTCCAAAAATAAAAATATAAATCAATGGAACAGAATACAGAGAGTCCAAAAATAAACCCTTACACTTATGGTCAACAGATATTTGACAAGGGTGCCAAGAAATTCAAAGGGGAAAGGACAGTTTTTTTAACAAATGGTGCTGGGACAACTGGATATCTACATGCAAAGGAATAAAGTTAAACTACCACCTCACCCCATATACAAAAATTAACTCAAAATGGAATGAGAACTAAATGTAGGAGTAAAACCTTTAAAATTCTTAGAAAAAAAATAGGCACAAATATTTGTGACCTTGGATTAGGCAACAATTTCTCAGATATGACACCAAAGCAAAGGAGACAGAAGAAAACACTAGATAAACTGAACTTCATCAAAATTTTAAACTTCTGTGCTTCAAAGAACACCAATAAAAAAGTGAAAAGGCAATGCATAGAATGAGAAAAAATATTAGCAAATAATGTATCTGATAAGGGACTTGTAAATGGAATTTAGAAAGAACTCATAACTTAACAGTACTAAGACAAATAACTCAGTTAAAAAAGGATATGACTAGATATTTGTCTGACGAAGATACACAAATAGCCAAGAAGCACATAAAAACATGCTCATCATCATTTAGTCATTAAGGAAATGCAAATCAAAATCACATTGAATTACCACTTCACACCCACTAGGGTGGCCATCCTCAAAAAAGATGGACATAAATGTTGGCAAGAATGTGGAGAAATCTGAATCCTCATACATTGCTAGTCGAATGTAACATGGTGTAACCACTTTAAAAAACAGTTTGGAATTTTGTCAAAAGGTTAAACATAAAACTACACGACACAGCAATTCACTTATAGGTATATACACAAGAGAACTGAAAATATATGTCTACACAAAAACTTGTATATGAATGATCATGGAAGAATTATTCATAATAGCTAGAAAGTTGAACATGTCCATTGACTGATAAATGGATAAACAAAATGTATATTCAGACATAAAAAGGAATGAAGTAATGATACAGAATAGATGAACCTTGAAATCATTATGCTAAATCAAAGAAGCCAGTCACAAAAGGCCACATATTATGTGATTTCCTTTTATATGCAACATCAATAACAAGCAAATCTATAGAGACTGAAAGCAGATTAGTGTTTGCTAGGGGCTGAGATGACTGGGGAATGAGAAGTGCCTAATTGGTATGGGGTTTCTTTCTAGAGTGATAAAAATGTTTCGAAACTAGATTGTGGTGATGGATCCACAACTCTGTGAATATAAACACATACAAAATCAAAATAATAAACTGTACACTTTAAAAAGGTGAATTTTATATGCAAATTATATCTCAATTTGAAAAAAAAGAGAGTTGACTAAAGCAAATGTAATATGTATTTTGGGGTCTGTGCACATAAGTAAAATGTATGACAACAATATCAAAAAAGTCAGGAGGTGAGAAATAAAGTACAGTGTTGAAAGGTCCTTAAACTATAGGTAATGTGGGAAAATATCACTTGATAATAGGCTATGATAAATGAAAGATGTATACTATAATCTCTAAAGAAGCCACTGAAATAATCCAATCAAAAGTTATAGCCAATAGGACAAAAATATGAACTTAATCTAAAAGAAGGCTATTGTTCAATGTAAAACAAATCAACCATTATGTGAAAAAACATTTTTTAACTTTTTTTGATAAGAACTTGCAAATTCAACTATTCACACCCCAGTGTGAAGTGGGTACACTGGTACAAGTAACGTAAAGTAGGCCTTTTGATTCAATCACAGTAAAATCCTGTAGTAATAAATGAGGCACTGGAAATATCTTTGAGAACATAATTCACAGACTGAAAAAAGTTTTCTATAAAAGGTCTGATAGTAAATGTTTTTAGCTTGTGGGCATGCAGTCTCTGTAGCAACCCTGCTATTGTAACACAAAAGCAACCATAGACAATTATGTAAAACAATGAGCACAGCTGTATTCCAAAAAACCTTTATTTATAAAACAGGCAGAAGGATTTGGTCCACAGGTTATAGATTCCAGAACATTCATATACAAGTTTTGTGTAGACATCCTAGTGAGTGTGAAGTGGTATTGAACAACTCTGGTTGCAGAGGGAAAATATAACAAAAATTAAAGTAAAATAAACTGGTCAGATAGGACATGTGCCAAAGGAATGCACCGATACTATTACTATGCCTAGTCATTGATTTGTCCCTCATCTTTACGAGGGTTCATCTATCAAATAAATTCACAAGAATAAAAATCAAAAAGGATGCCTAATTAAAAAGCAATTCTCATCAGTTTGATTTACCAATGCCACACAGATCAGAATGTAGTTCTTTTGAGACATATCAAGATAATACATTATCATGGCTAATGCTTACAGCAAGTCAGATGTTTTGGAGCAAAACCCTTGAGTAATCCAGATAATTTAGGCTCAAACCTGGCATCATCAAAGGATCCTGGAATCCTCTGTATCTTTTAAGAATGTTTGTTGATCACCTAGTATACTTTCAAAGGTTCTTCTACCCTTTTTGGTCAGCACTCATAAAGACTGGAGAGCAAGGAAAAAAAAAGACGAAAAAAATACTAACCTGTTCATCTACTGAATCTCCTGTGCCTTTTAAGGACTCCATGGAGATTGAAGCATCAGTCACCCTGGAAGTCTTAAGTTTAACATCAGCTTTTGGACTCATCAGCTTGTGTCTTGATCTGACATTTCCTTCAGCAGAAATTCCTAAGGATTTCCATTAAACAAGATTTCAAAATTATACCTTATTATCTTAAACCCTCCCCCATCAACTCCTTCCTTGGAATCCTCTACTTTAAGGGACCTGATGGAGGAAACTCTCTTACTTTATAAACTTAATTTTAAAGCTCTTAATATATGAATCATAAAAAGAATATGTTTTAAAGAAATACACTAAAGATTGAATTGAAATTTGTTTTTATATTTATTTTTTTAAAGAGACAGGGTCTTCCTATGTCTATCCAGGCTGGACTTGAACTCCTGGGCTCAAGCAATCCTCCCACCTCAGCCTCTGGAGTAGCTGGAACTACAGGATCAAGCAACCACATCCAGCTTAACTGAAATATTTGTAAAGGGTACTGTAAATATTCATAAGTCACATTAAAACCAATAAATTACGATATGCCAAATATATGTTAACTTAGGGGAAATCAATGATATTTTTCACCCTATATAATGAGGGTGCCTTCAATAGTTGCTTTACTACCATCTAGTTACAACCATTAAACTTGAAGTGCCTCTTACATATACCCTGTATCAAGCAGTAGTCACACTTTTATTTGAAATATTAAATTTGGCTATCATTTGTAAAAGAAAAAATAAGAAAAGAATCTTTTGCCCCTTGCCACATGAAGTGTTCTACAAGTTCATTAAAAGCTGATTGGGCCAGCCAATCCCAAAGATAAGCCAGTATTTCAAACCTTAATAGGGTTATGACAAATATTCAAAAAAAACAAATTTTAGGTTTTGATGTACTGCTCTGCATTCAGTTATTTATACCCGCAACATTGTTCTAATAGCTTTATTTTCTTCTAACATTTAAGGACCAAAGTAAGCTTCCCAAATTTTAACATAGAAAATCATACCTGGAACGTATACTACTGATTGTTCTTCATCAGAAACTACGCAGGAGAACATGAAGGAAAATACAATAATATTATCCGGCATCCAAATGCTGCTTCTGTTCTGTATACCTCTTATAATTCATAATTTCTTTTGACCTGGGAATTTGTAACTAACTTTTAAAAACAAAGTTAGAAAGCAAAGTAATTGAATTAAAAACAAAGTTAGAAAGCAAAGTAATTGAATTAAATGTAGCAAAATTAATATTCTCTAAAAGTTCACCTTTATATATTCACAACTACACATCTTATAAAAATCTTGGAAGGTCTTGTTCCATGAAACTTTTATCCACTCTCAAGTGGGTTACCCTGCAATATATACTCTACTATTAGGTTCCTTTCCTTTTGTAAACAAAAACTTAAGTGCTCCAGTTTGGTCATTACTGAGGAACTGACAATTCTGAAGAGTAAATAATTTCAAGATAGACTTTAGCTTTGAAGAACAAACACTGAGGGCAAGTCAATCATGCAAACACAAAGACATTATTTATTCTTCTACAGTGTATTCATAAAATATCCCAAGAAGCCCTACTATTTAAAAAGTAGAAGAAATTTAAGACAAAAAGAACTATTTTGAATTTCAAAAGGAGAAATTTAGAAAGGCTATGATTATAACACACTGTTTTCAACTGTCACCTTGATCCAACTCAACTTTTCCTCTCCCAGGATTATTGCAATAAGCTCCTAACTGCTCTCTGTCACTTCTGTGCATGTTCCCTTAACAGCCTATTTTTTCACACAGTGGTTAGAATGATCATTTTAATAGTTATGTCATTTCTAATTTAGATTAAAAGCCAAAGTATTAACAACAGCCTGCAATGCTCAAGATCTGATCCCTGTAACTTGTTACATCTCTGATCTCACTTGCTACTATTCCTCTCACTCATTCCTGGCTTTCTTATAATTGTTAACAAGCTATGCAAGCTCCTACCTTATAGCTTCTGCAGGTATGATTTCTTCTACCCAGGAAGCTCTTTCCTCAAATATCTTCATGGCTCACTTTAGGACTTATGTCATATGTCATGTCATGTCACCTTCTGATTGAAGCTTTCACTTCCTAACCATATAGGTACTTGAAATTGCAAAACTCTCTCTTCCCACAACCTACCTACCTCCCGCTACTATCTGCCTCTTTCCTGCTTTATTTTTTCTCCACAGCACCAATATCATTGAACATAGGCCAGGTGCAGTGGCTCACGTCTGTAATCCCAGCACTTTGGGAGGCCGAGGTGGGCATATCACGAGGTCAGAAAATCGAGATCATCCTGGCTAACACGGTGAAACCCTGTCTCTACTAAAAATGTAAAAAAAAAAAATTAGCCGGGCATGGTGGCGGGTGCCTGTAGTCCCAGCTACTCCAGAGGTTGAGGCAGGAGAATGGTGTGAACCCAGAAGGCGGAGCTTGCAGTGAGCTGAGATGGCACCACTGCACTCCAGCCTGGGCAACAGACCGAGACTCTGACTCAAAAAAAAAAAAAAAAATCATTGAACATATATTTTCCTTATTCATGACCTGATCTCATCTCACTAAAATGTAGGCACCAAGAGGGTAATGATTTTTGTTTTATTTTGTTCAGTGTTGTACCCTCAAACATAAAAGAATGTCTGGCTCCATCTATGAAAGAATAAAATTGGTATTGATTTAATTTTATGAGGTGTTGTCCAACAACCTTATATGTTATATTTCTGTGATTCTAAATATGCAAACAAAACTTTTTTTTTTTTTTTTTTTTGAGACAGAGTCTCGCTCTGCCACCCAGGCTGGAGTGCAGCGGTTTGATCTCAGCTCACTGCAACCTCCACCTCCTAGGTCAAGCAATTCTCTGCCTCAGCCTCCCGAGTAGCTGGGATTACAGGTGCCCGCCGCCACACCTGGCTAATTTTTTTTGTAGTTTTAGTAGAGACGGCCGTTTCATCATGTTGGCCAGACTGGTTTTGAACTCCTGACCTTGTGATCCACCTGCTTTGGCCTCCCAAAATGCTGGGATTACAGGTGTGAGCCACCGCAAGCGGCCAACAAAACCTTTTACTTTCAGCTACATCCATGACAAATTTATTTTCAAATATATAAAACTCTAAACAAACTACTTCAATATTTTTAATAACAATATTTGAAATTGCCTCTATCCTTTCTAATAATTTGTAATGTATTTTCATCTCATTATATTAAGAACCCAAATATTTACCTCCTTCAAATCTAGAATTTCCCAACAAATGTATATTTTATGGGGAAGTCAAACAGACACATTATATACCAAATGTATAGTGGGCCTACTAGTGGGTCATTTCTAGATTATTTATAATACCTAAAACAATGTACATGCTATATAAATAGTAGTTAAATTGTACAGTTTAATTTGTATTTTTTTGTGTGCTATTTCTTTTTTTTCTCAAATATTTTCCATCCACATTTGAATGAATCAGCAGATACAGAGGGCTAACTGTAATTAGAAACCCAGGCAGAAGTGGTAGAGAGGAAGATGCACCTCTATCCCAGACCTCCAGGATTTGAAGGAAATAAGTTCAGTACTGCCCATTCTACTCTAATCTGCTGAGTTTTGCCAGCAATACATGTATATGTAATTATTATCAACCACAGAGACTTTCTGGGCTAATATATTATTTTTACCACAACATACAGTCTTTGTTTCCATTTGAAAACTCAACAGCAGAGATTATACTGCAATGTTTTGACCAGGTCACTTGCAGTTCATATTTTTTAATATCAAGTCCATGATATTGCTAATGGTAATACACTTGAGTGCATTTAAGCAGTCAAATTTAGGTACTGCTGAAACACTAACTCATTCTGACATTACTAGGAACTGTAATGAAGGACAAAGGCAACTTAAACTGAAGGAGCATATTTTGCTGGAAGATTTAACCCATAACATGACAACACCACACACTCATTGTTTACAGATGAGGTACTAAAACGTTCCTTGTGCAAAACAGCACTGCTGAATCATACTGTGCAGGAGATGTATAACTCACAACAACAACAATAAAAAAAAAAGGTGCCATTGAGTCACAGATGATCTGTCCTCTCATGATGGAAACATCAAGGACTAAGAAATCTCTCCATCACATTTCTCTAAATGTTTAGGTGAAGTATTGAAAATCTTTTTTCAATAGTGTGAAAAGAATACCAGATTATAGGTACTTACTTTTTGGTCTTTTTCTATTGAAAATTCTACTATAAAGGCTCTAGGGTGGTCTGGGAAATAATCAATATGACAAAGGAATCAAGATGCAAAGACATGTAACTAAATCAAATGATTAATAACTATCATTATGCTTTTCAGCAAATATTCAGTAACAAATTTACATTTGACATTGCTTACAGTGACATTCTCTATGGAGATTTAAAATGAAAATATCTGAGGCTCGATGTTAACTGGTCATTACGTGGAATAGTCTGAGGGGAAAGGTGACACTAGCAACTTTGCAATTCCTTTCATACATCTGAATTAGATCTTATAGGATATAATCGCCACCATTTTTCCCCTGTACAATTTCAATTCCTCACTATCTATGAGAGGACGAATATTTTACATTAAATGTTGGGAGTCAGAATACAAGAGATAACGGAGTATATATGACTTCTACATAAAATAGGGGGTGATATAACTACATGAGTAAGTGAAAGTACTGGGTGCGAAGACCAAGAGCTTAGGTTCAGTCCATATATCTATTAATACACTTATTCAGTCCCATTGCAATAGCTTGTCCCCCCCCCAAACCATTGATTCTATATTTGAACAGTACCATAGGATGCTATAAGCTAATAACCTTCAAGTATCTCCTCCATCACA
This sequence comes from Homo sapiens, assembly GCF_000001405.40. Taxonomy (NCBI): domain Eukaryota; kingdom Metazoa; phylum Chordata; class Mammalia; order Primates; family Hominidae; genus Homo; species Homo sapiens. The sequence goes on along the minus strand of NC_000018.10, from coordinate 36,830,504 downwards.
AAATTATGTCAATGCAGAAGCAGTGTTTCTTGAGAAAAGACTTATCCCAATTTCCTAACTTCCTAATTCAGCCCAGTTGTCCACAGTGCACATATTCTCTTCTGAAAGGTAAAGGAAAAAATATTTAATTTGCACACTGCACTAGTATGCTTTCATCCACAGTGTATGTACATGATTTCATTTGCTTTTCACCAACCTATCAGAGACAAATGGTAATTATGTCTAGTAAGTGCAAACACTAAACACGAGCAGCACAGAATACAAACATATCCCTCTCTCTACACATGACACTAATCCTAGTAACTCAACAAAGGAGTTGATAACACAGTTTTGTAAGTTTCACTGGGAGCTAAGAAGAATGCCCAGTGATTCTGCCAAAGGTAACAGCAACGCCTCAATTAATGCCATCACCAATCCTAGCAAACACAAAAAGAGCTGCCTCTGCAAGCACTCAGTAACACAGATTGCCGTCCCTCTTTCAAGTAACCCCTCTAAGGAACGTGAAGTAAATTATCAGGACCAAAGCTCAAGCGAGAAGAGTCTACCTACTCCAAGGAAAGAAACACTCCTGTCACACAAACATCTCATCACTGCTGCTGAACTGGTAATACTACCACTGGACTAAAAAGTTCCACTGCTTCTCCACCTCACAACGATCCAAGAACTTCAATGACTGCCAGTGACCCGCACTCCACAAGTAAGTCAACAATACTTCCAGGCACAATGATTCCCATCTTACGCAGTAACCAGCACCACCAGACCACATCCCAGTAACCAAGCTCCACACCTCTCCTAAAACCCCAGTATTAAAATACATCATCACTGGAGGGCCTTTTAAGTCCGAAAGGTCCTGACTTGCTCCTAGCAATGCAGACTAAAGACAATCCTAAATCAAAACAAAAAGGCTCCCTGTCCAGCCAACACCGACTCCTCCCTCAACTTCGAGCTAGCTCCGCACACTCAAGTCAGCCTGGGGGCACTCTGACAGGGTGGGCAGAGGGACCTCGGAGGGCCATCTCAGCCCTGGACTGAGCCTGGACTCAAGGCTATCTTTCTCGAGCTCACCGGTAGTGAGCGCTGGGAAGCATCTGAGCCGTGTCCCCACACCTGCAGACAGTACCAGTCTCTCGGCCACCTAACACCCAAGCAAGGGGAGAGCCCAGCACCTAGACTGGGGCCGAGCAGCACGTCCCCATCCCCGGGGTTAGTTCGGAGCTTCTCCTCCGCTCTCGGACTGCCACGCGACGGCTCGCCCCTCGCCGTCCCGTGGAGGGCGCCGGCGCCCCCTGTCAGGCGGGCAAAGGATACAGTCCCGGCTCCAGAACGCCGCGGCACTGGGGCGGGAGGGGCCCGCCACGTCCGCCATCTTGAAACAACCGCCACTCGGGGCGTCGCGCCTGGGCCGCCACGCCTCGGCCTGCAGGCTCGGTCCCCATTGGCCGCACCACGCAGAGGCCCGCCCCCGCCTGCGCGGCCGGCCCCTGCGGGGCGAGAGGGTGGGGGCGAAGGGGAAGCTACGTCCCGGAGGTGCGGTGTGGGGCACCGGGCGGGGCCGCGGGAACCGGCGCCCCACGGAGCTGCTGCTGTCAGACCAACCCCGGGCCCCCATCATCACTGCGCCGCGCTTTCAGGCGCCGAGAACTACCGTTCCCGGCATGCCATGAAATTGGCCTCGGCGCTGAGGCGGGGTCCGGCCCTCCACCCGCTCCCGCCGCGCGCGAATCGCGGTCGCGAGCCATGGAGGAGGAGGCATCGTCCCCGGGGCTGGGCTGCAGCAAGCCGCACCTGGAGAAGCTGACCCTGGGCATCACGCGCATCCTAGGTGAGGAAAGGGGGCACGGTGCCGAGAGGGTGTGGAGGAGAAGGAAGGAGGAGCGGAGGGATGAGGTGCGGGGTGAGCGGTGCGACGCTGGCCCCAGAACAGGAGTGGACATCGCTGCTGGGACTTCCGTTGTTACAGAGGAAAGTGGGGGACCTGGGTTTGTGATTAGGCCTTGAAAGTGTTTGCCAGGAGTGTTCGGAGGCAGAGCTGGGAAGCCTGAAGTTTCCCCCACTCACCGCCAACCAAGGTCCCACCCAGGAAGGACGGGCAGAGACGTGCAAAGGGAACACAGCAAGCACCTGACGGTTGGGAAGTTGGATCTCCCCCTAGGAGGCATTCTCAGCCAGGGCATTATCCCCGAAACCCAAGACCTTTCTCTGGGGGAAGTAATGCACCCGACCTCCCAGGGCGACAACTACGTCGGGTCTGAAAGGAATCCAACCTTGCACCACTGAATGACTCAGAGTTTTTCTTTTATCGAACATTTCTTTGTTTGCTTGCTTGTTTGTATTTTGAGACAGAGTTTTGCTCTTGTTGCCCAGGCTGGAGTGCAATGGCGCGATCTCGGCTCACTGCAACCTGCGCCTCCTGGGTTCAAGCAATTCTCCTGCCTCGCCCAGCTATTTTTTTGTATTTTTAGTAGAGACAGGGTTCCACCATGTTGGCCAGGCTGGTCTCGAACTCCTGACCTCAGGTGATCCACCCGCCTCGACCTCCCAAAGTGCTGGAATTACAGGCGTGAGCCACCGCGCCTGGCCTATCAAACGTTTCTTTAGTACTCACCACTATGTTAGACGTGAGGTTAAAAATATGAAAAAGACACAGTTCTGTGAAAAAAATAAACAAATGAGGTCACTAGGAGTGTGAAAAGAGGTCAGTAATCTGTTACTCAGAGATGTCACAGAGGAGGGGACTGATCTTACCAGGGAAGTTAAAGAACATGTCACAGAGGAGATGATGCTAGATTTTGAAAGACATATAGGAGTTAGCCAGAAAACTAAGGAGGAGAAAGGTCTTTTAAGAAGGCTGAAAAGCATGCTTCAGTGCCTTCCCATCACAATTATAATAAAATCCAAATGTCTGTACCATGACCCACAAGTCCCTGTAAGATCTGCTCTCATCTCTTTCTGACTTTGTTTCCACTCTTGCCCACATGGCCTTCTAGCTGTACCTTAAACACACTAAGCGGGTTCCTGCTTCAGGGCTTTTGCAGTTTGCTAGTCCTTGCACCTGGAATTATCTTTCTCTGAATGTCTCGCTTCTTCAGGTCATTCAGATCTCTGATCAAATGTCATTATTTCAGAGAAACCTTCCCTGAATATAGTTCGAATAACCGCCGTCTTTCTTGCTCTCTCTTTCCTTACCCTGCTTTTTCTTTTATTCTTATAGCACTTTCACTACTTGAAATTATGTATTTGTTTGGTTGATTTTTAAAATTTGTGTCTCTTTTAATAGAAGTCCAAGACCAAGTGTGATTTAGGAATGAGTGGTTTTAACATATGAAAATCAATTAATAGCTGGGCATGGTGGCCCATGTCTTTAGTTCCAGCTACTGGGGAGGCTGTGGTGGGAGGGTTATTAGAGCCCAGTTCAAGTCCAGCTGGACAACATAGCAAGACCCTGTCACTAAAAAAAAAGAAACTTAAAAAAAATCAATTAATATAATACAACTTACTAATAGAATAAGACAAAAACTGCATAATCATCTTAATAAAAAAAGCATTTGACAAAATCTAACCTTTCTTGATTAAAAAAAACTCAACAAACTAGAAATAGGATGGGATAGAGATAGAATTTCCTCAACCTGATGAAGGACATCTATGAAAAACCCACATCTAACATCATATGTAATGGTGAAAGACTGGCAGCTTTCCCCTTAAAATCAGGAACAAAAATTGTATTAGGGTTCCCCAAGATCACACCAGATTCAATGATTTGACGCAAGGATTACAGGACTCAGGAGATAGTCCTACTCATGGCTATGATTCATTACAACAAAAGGATTTTGGCAGCCCGATTGGCAGACCTTTCTGAGGATTATTGTCTCGGGCCTGCTATGTTCACTCTTTTCTGCATGGCAAGAATTCCACTTTTATCACTTCTCTTCAACATTGTACTGGAGTTTCTAGCTAGGGCAATTAGGCAAGAAAATGAAATAAAGACATCCAATTGAAAAGGAAGAAGGTAAGCTATCTGTTTGCAGATGACATGATCTTGTATATAAAAAATCCTAAGGAATCCACACACACACACACACACACACACACACACACACACAGCCTATACACCAGCAATGAACAATCCAAAAATAAAACTAAGAACAATTCAATTTACAATAGTATTGAAAAGAATAAAATGTAGCTGGCACAGTGGCTCACACCTGTAATCCCAACACTGGGAGGCCAAGGTGAGAGGATTGCTTGAGACCAGGAGTTGCAGACCAGCCTGGGCAACATAGCCTTTATGAAATATTTTAAAATTAGCCATGTGTGGTGGTGCATGCCTTAGTCCTAGCTACTCAGGAGGCTGAGATAGGAGGATTGCTTGAGCCCAGGAGTTCGAGGCTACAGTGACCTGTGATCACACCACAGCACTCCAGCCCGGGCAACAAGAGTGAGACCCTATCTCAAAAAAAATAAAAGAATAAAATAGGAATAAATTAACACAAGATGTCCATGACTTATGTACTGAAAATTACATAAGACTGTGGAAAGAAATTAAAGAAGACCAAAATAAATGAGAAGACATACCATGTTTATGGATTGGAAGAGTTAATATTGTTAAAATCTGTTACTCCCCAAATTGATCTACAAATCTCACATCTCCAGTTCCCATCAAAATCTCAACTGTCTCTTTTGTAGAAATCAGGAAGCTAATTTAATCCTAAAATATAATATAGAAATGCAAGAGACCCAGAGTAGCCAAGATAAACTTTTCTTTCCAAAACAGGAAAAAAGTTCCTCTTACTCACATTTCCCTATACTATATTTGAGATGATGGAAAAGTTCTGGTGATGGTTGTACAACAGTGTGAATGTACTTTATGCCACTTAACTGTACACTTAAAATTGACTAAAATGATGATTTTATGTTATGTGTATTTTAATACAATTTAAAAAATTTAAAGCCACAGTTGTCTTCAGAGTGGTAGTGGCATAAAACTAGAAATGTAGATCAATGAAATAAGATTGAGAGTCCAAAAATAAACATCATATTTATGATTCATTGATTTTTTTTTTTTTTTTTTTTTTGGAGACGGAGTCTCGCTCTGTCGCCCAGGCTGGAGTGCAGTGGTGTGCTCTTCACTCGCTGCAAGCTCCGCCTCCCGGGTTCTAGCCATTCTCCTGCCTCATCCTCCCGGGCAGCTGGGACTCCAGGCGCCCACCACCACGCCTGGCTAATTTTTTGTATTTTTAGTAGAGACAGGGTTTCACCATGTTAGCCAGGATGGTCTCGATCTCCTGACCTCATGATCCACCTGCCTCGGCCTCCCAAAGTGCTGGGATTACAGGTGTGAGCCACCGTGCCCGGCCTGATTCATTGATTTTTGACAAATATGTTAAGACTTCTCAATGGGAAAAAATAGTTTTTCAACAAATGGTTCTGGATTTCCACATGTAAAATAATGAAATTGGACCTCTACCTCAAATTATATACAAAAATTAACTCCAAAAGTATCTTAGACCTAAATGTAAGAGCCAAAACCATAAGACTCTTGGAAGAAAACAGGCCTTAGGTTCCTTTTTTAAGTGACATTGAGTTAGGCACTGGATTCTTACATATCACAAAAGCATAAGCAACAAAAGAAAAATAGATAAATTGGGTTTAATCAAAATTTAAAATGTTTGTGCTTTTAAGGATATAGTCAAGAAAGTGACAAAACAATCCAAAAAATAGGAGAGGATATTTGTAAATCATATATATGAAAAGGAACTTACAGATCTGCAAAGAACTCTTACAACTCAAAAAAAGACAAATAATTCAATTTTAAAGGATCAGGGTAGACATTTCTCCAGAGATACACAAATGGCCAGTGAGCACACATAAAGATGATTATCACCATTAGCCATTAGGGAAATACAAATCAAAACCATAATGAGATTTCACTTCACACCCACTAGGATGGCTATAGTCAAAAAGACAGATACAGCAATTGTTGGTGAGGATATGAAGATATCATACACTGCTGGTGGGGATGTAAAATGTAAAATGGTACGGCAGCTTTGAAAACTAGTCTGGCACTTCCTCAAAAGATTGGAGTTACTGTATGGCCCAGCAATTCCATTTCTGGATTCCCTTTCTGGATTTCATTTCTCCAAGAGAAATGAAAAGATATTTACATGAAAACACTTGCATACAAATGTTCATAGCTGCATTATTCATAATTGTCAAAAGTGCAAACAAGCCAACATCCATCAGTTGATGAACGTGATATATAAAATGTGATATATCCATATAACAAAAAAATTCATCCATAAAAAGGAGTGAAGTACTGATCCTACAACATGGATGATCTTGAAATGAAAGTGAGAGAAGCCAGTTGCAAAAGCCACATGTATGATTCCATTTATATGAAATGTCCAGAAGAGACCAATCTATAGAAACTGAAAGTAGATTAGTGGTTGCCAGAGGCTGGTAGGAGAGGGGACTGCTAATATAATAGGTATGGGTTTCTTTTGGGGGAAAGGATGCATAACTCTGAATATAAAAATCACTTTATAAATTATGGTATGCGAATTATGTCTCAGTAAAGCTATTTTTAAAAAGGAATTCTAAACACGGTACTATTAGAATTCCTACTCTAATCCACAGGACTGTGAAGATGATGAGATACCACACCTTGATTATGTTACATTAAATGGCAAAAGCAAGATTATCCAGGTAGGCCCAATCTAATCACATAAGCCCTTTAAAACAAGCTGTTGGCCGGGCGCGGTGGCTCACGCCTGTAATCCCAGCACTTTGGGAGGCCGAGGCGGGCAGATCACGAGGTCAGGAGATCGAGACCATCCTGGCTAACACGGTGAAGCCCCGTCTCTACTAAAAATACAAAAAATTAGCCGGGCGTGGTAGCGGGCGCCTGTAGTCCCAGCTACTCGGGAGGCTGAGGCAGGAGAATGGCGTGAACCCGGGAGGCGGAGCTTGCAGTGAGCCGAGATCGCGCCACTGCACTCCAGCCTGGGCGACAGAGCGAGACTCCGTCTCAAAAAAAAAAAAAAAAAACAAGCTGTTAACAAGGAAGTCAGAGAGATTTGAGGTAGGAAAAGAATCTGTTACGCTGTTGCTGACTTGAAGATGCATGGGACCTTTTAACAAGGAATGTAGGTGGCCTCTGCAAGCCGAGAGTGGCCCCAGCTGACAGCAAGCAAGGAAATGGAAGCTTCAGTCCTGCAACCAAAAGGAATTGAATTCTGTCAGTAACAGGAATGAGTTTCCAAGATGACCCCAAGCTCCAGATGAAAATAGAACAGCTAAAATACCTATCAGCACACCTGGTGTAAGGAAAGACCAGTGATTTCAGCCTAAGTAGAGAAGCCAGTCATGCCGTGCCAGGCTTGTGAGCTACAGAACCATGACTTAATAAAAGGGTGTTGTTTAAAGCTGCTAATTCATGGTAATTTATTACTCAGCAATATAAAACATTCCCCCAAATGTTTGAAAGAAAAGAGCAAATGCTATGCACGTCAAAAAGAAACACAAGTGTAATATAGCACATGTAATTATGGACTATTATTATAGAGTTTAGACCAAACATAACTGTCATAACATAAATATAAATGGTCATGGCTGGGCACTGCGGCTCATGCCTGTAATCACAGTGCTTTGGGAGGCCATGGTGGGAAAATCACTTGAGGCCAGGAGTTCAAGACAAGCCTGGGCAACATAGTGAGACCCCTGTCTCTACAAAAAAAAATTTTTTAATTAGTCCAGTGTGGTGGTGTGCACCTGTAGTCCCAGCTACTTGGGAGGCTAAGATGGGAGGATCACTTGAGCCCAGAAGTTCGAGGCTGAAGTGAGCTATGATTACACCACTGCACTCCAGCCTGGGTGACAGCAAGACCCTGTCTCTTAAGTATATACACATAGGTTTATGTCACCTATTAATAGAAAAAGATTTAAACCTGACTCACAAAACCGTTATTTGCTATTTTCAAAAACATACCTAAATCAAACTAAATCAAATGTTAAATATAAAAAGATGGATGCATGTTTCTGGGATCCCACAACCACCCACACTTTTAGATCCACCAGATCCACTGCAAGGACTCACAGGACTCAGAAACAGTTTTAGTCCCAAGTATAATTTATTACACTGATTAGCAGGGGGAAAAGACATAGTTAGAATCTAGAGGAATCCATGCACAGGCTTCTGAAGTGTTCCCTCTTGTCAGTGGTCACATAGAATACACTTCTTCCTTAAATAGTGAAATTCAACAATATATTTGCAGTGTTTCTTCCCCGGAAAGCCTATTTAAGCCTCAACTTCCAGGGGTTTATTGAATGCTGGTCACGTTGGCAAAACAACCAGTCACAGCTCTCAAAATTTCAGCCTCCTAGAAGGATAGCTGTGGAATCAAAAATTGTTACTGCTTTTGCTGCTGCCGCCACCACTACAACTTCCAGCCCTCTGAGACCAAAACACCTGTGAAACTATGCGAGAAGACCTGGTCTCCCCATTTGTTCTCTCCTCATCTGCTGATTCCCTTCTTCCAGGCTTTATGAAAGTATGTTTCCATGCAGGCATCCCAGTCACCAGAGGGAGTCTAACTGCACTGGAATGTAGGAAATGAGGTCTTTAGCTAACCAGTCTAAAATAAAGGAAAGCACGCCAGCGGGGAACAGGAGGAGGTGTTAATTGAGCCAGTCTGCAGTAACTGCCACATCATCCTTCAAGGCCCAGATCAGCTGTGTGCAGTTTCTGATGTTTTCTATCACTCACTCAGTCTTTGTCAACCTCCCTCTGCCTTCAACTCCTGTGGCTCTGACAGTCAATGTCACCTAGTTTAACACATAATTACATATTATCTTGAGTTTTCACTTTTGTTTCATGTTTGTCTTATATATCTAACTAAGCAATAAGTTTCTTGAAACAGTGTCTCCTACTTAAATTCCTAATCTCTAGCATTAATTTCCCAAAGCTTAGGACATAGCAGGTCCTCATTAAATACCTCAGAGAGACTGTTTTTCACTAGAAAATATATTCCAGTTATCAATCACTGGATAACAAATCATCTCAAAACATAGTTTGCTTGAAACAACAATTAACTGTCTCTCCCAGTTCTGTGGATTGACTGGACCAGCTGGGGTAGTTCTCATTTGGGGTCTCTCAAGTGGTCGCAGTTAGATAGCAGCTGGGACTGGAATCATCAAATGGCTTCTACACGCTAATGTCTGCCCCCCTCAGTACTTCTCAGTATGCCCTCTCTCTCCAAAAGAGTAGCTTGGATTTAGTATGTGATGGCTCAGGAATCAAAGAAAGGCAAAGAGAGACTGCCAGTTCTCTTAAATTTTAAGTCCAAAACTGGTACACCATTTTTTCACAATATTTTATAGGGCAAGGCACTCACAGGCCAACTCCAAACTCAAGAAGTTGGAGAAATAGACTCACCTCTCAATGAGAAGTGCTATGGGCATGCAGGGAAGGAAGGAATTGACAGCACCCACCTTTGGAGTAAGCTACCACAGAGAGTTTTAATCCACGGCATATCTAAAGATGTGAGTTTCATCTCTCTTACTCTGCCATGCAGGTTATTCCAGCCAGGTGGCTGACAAATGCTTGTCATTGGTCACAAAGGCAGGACAGGGAGAATGGCTATGCCTATTCAGATATTGCTTCTCATATATGGCATCTTGATAGGCCAAGAACAATGTATAATTTCTATTGCTTTCCAAACATCCGCAAAATGTTTTTAGTTATCTCACCAAAATGATAGGCTACTAAGACAACATGATAAAAACAGCATTAGGTTTGGTGTCCACAGCTTTGGTCAGAGATTTCATTTTATGAATTACTTAACATCTTTGAACCTCGGTTTCCTTATCCTTAAAACGAGGGTAAGGATACCTGCTTTACAAGATTGTTGAAAGATTAAATAGGATAATTTATGCCCATTTCCTGTAACAGAGAATTATACAAATGGAATTTATTGCATGCCCTTCTCTTCCATATCCCCAACACCACCTCCTCACCAATTCTGAAGTACTGTGTCGGATATAGGAGTCTCTACAATGGATACTTCCTAAGCAACTTACTATCTGAAAGTTATTAAAGTCAACATGTTGGCCAATTACCTTGCCATGGGAGTATTCCAAGCTTAAGTATGACATGACCACATCTGCAGTAGCATCACAGTAGTTTTGTCTGAACCTATAACCCTTCCATGGAGGCCTGTTATAAACAGTAAATAATTGTATGTGTCCTCTTTCAAACCCAAGGTCTATTTTTACTTACTGAAGGTAAAGGGAAGTGAAGACCCATCTAAGGTCATACAACTAGTAAATGTATAAAGCAAGACTAGAATAGGTAGAGTCTAGAATTCTTAGTTCCTATATTGGGCTATTGCTGCATCCCAAGATTTGAGTTTCTGGCAACTTGGAGGAAATTTTATAATGCATAAAAAGGACACTGGCTTAATTATAGGATCAGTGAACCACATAAAATGATTAGAAGTTTCTGCCATATTCCTAGAGATTTTAAAAACTGAAGCTACCCTCCTGTGTCAGCCTCCCAAGTAGTGGGGACAACATGTATGCACTGCCATACCTGGCTACATGTTGTTCTTTTTATGAGGAGGGCACCAATCATTGGACTAGGGATCTACTCTACTTCAGTATGACCTCATCTAAACTAATTATGTCTGCAGTAACTCTATTCCCAAATAAGGTCATATTCTGAGGTACTGGGGGTTAGGACTTCAATATCTATTTTTGTGGGGGTGGGGACAGAATTCAAGTCATAACAGCTTTTATGACAAATTTTAAGTCTTGGATTAAGGACTTCAGAATCTTGAGTCTGCATGGCCACAGACAAGTGGAGAATGTTGGAGGAGGTATTGAACTCTGTAGTATTCCCAGGTGGCTTCTGCTCTCCCTCAGAGTGAATGATAGAACACAGCTCCACAAAGAGAAGCAGACCAGATTATTTGGAGACCTTTTCCCGCTTCAAGGATTTAGAAATATGACTTAACTTTTTTCTTAGTATATTTTTGGATGGAATCCATTTTTTATGTTAACCCAGCTTTGAAATCCTAGACCTCACAGAGTAGAAGGTTATGTTCAAGATGAGTTTTATTTAGAAGAAAAGTTAATAAGCAAGTTTTATGTCTTATAAAAGTTAATGGGTTGCTATTCTTTATTTCTTTTCACTTTATCCTGAGTATATAGATTTAGCTCACTGAGAATTTCTGTGTGAAATCATTAGGAATCTACAATCTCTGTTTTTTGTTCAATAAGATTAATGACTGAGCAATGACAGTATAGAGCACAGTCTGTGGATATCCTTTCTATCAGGTAGACTACATTGTCCTAGGTTATGGGACCATGCCTTTCAGAGGCCAACCAGTTCTCTGCTTTCATTACAGGGGTAATAAGTGTTCATGAGAAGGATTGGATGTTCTTAAGAGCAGTCATCAACAGTTAGTCAACAACTAGCGTAGAAATGTATGACAGCGGACCAATTGCAACTCTACAGACTCTTTTTTCTCTTCCAGAATCTTCCCCAGGTGTGACTGAGGTGACCATCATAGAAAAGCCTCCTGCTGAACGTCATATGATTTCTTCCTGGGAACAAGTAAGTGTTGCCACATGAACTCTACCTCCCATCAAAGAGAGGTCAGTGTAAATGTCCCTGAGAAGGAAAGATTAGGGGAGGAAGAATATTTACTCAGACCACAGCTGCTTTCAAGGTAGAGTTTACCTTTTCTATGTTCCTGTTCAGCCCACTTAACAGTTCCTTTCATTCTATGCCACTTACCCAGCATGGAGTGTTTCCCCTGAGCCCCACTCTCCTACAGAAGCAGTGGACATTCAAAGTTGTGTACAACAAAGCTAAAAATCAATTAAGGAAAAGAAAGGATATGTGTTAATAAGTGTCATGCTGTCCAGAACATGATTAAGTGTTGCACATAACTACTAAGCAGATTAAAAGCTAATGCTTTCCAACTTTCCTCTGAACTTCAATTCGTTTATTCAATAAAAGTTTTAAGCTTCTACAGTGGGCCAGACATTGTGCTTGGTGTTGAGCCCTGGGGATTAAATGGTAATATTTTTTTTTTTTTTTTGAGACAGAGTCTTGCTCTGTCTCCCAGATTAAATGGTAATTTTTTAAAAGGCACTGTTTTTGCCTCTTGATCTTACTGCCTAAGACATAGTATAGATTGTTATGAATGTAATTACTAACTGGCCTGAGTACTGTGAAAGAGAGGTAAAGGGAGCATTGTCTGGAGACCTGCCCTAGTCTAGAGGTTGAGAAAAGTTTTCCCAAAGAAGCAATAAGAAATTGTTAACCAGGTAGATGGGATCTAGGAAGATGGGACTTTCAGCCTCTATGAAAGCTTCAAGATGGGAAGGATTACATTGTTCTGAGATCACAAAGAAGGAGCACAGGAGAGCAAGGTAGAGAGAGCTCAGCAAGGACCAGGACATTTAGGGCTTCATAGGTCTTCAGCAGTTTACTCCTTATCCTGGAAGCAAAGGGGAGTCATTGAAATGTTTTAAGTAGGGAACTTTGAAGTTAGATTTATACTTGAAAGGACCACTGTGGCTGTAGAGTAACAAATGGATTTGACTGGGGCAAGTGGCAACAAATTGCCCTACCATTTAATAAATACCTGCTAACACTTACCCCATAAGTCATTCCATACTAAATGAATAATAACCCTGCAAGGTGGGTATTGGTATCTCCATTTTATAGATGAAGAAACAGAGGCTGAAAGAGTTTAAAGAATTTGGCCGGCACAGTGGCTCATGCTTGTAATCTCAGTGTTTTGGAAGGCCAGGGCAGAGGATTGCTTGAGGCCAGGAGTTCAAGACAAGCCTGGACAACATGGCAATACTCCAGCTCTACAAAACAATAATGTTAATTAGCCAGGTATGGTAGCACACACCTGTCCTCCCAGCTATTGGGGAGGCTGGGGTGGGAGGATCCTGTGACCCCAGGAGGTTGAGGCTGCAGTGAGCTATGATCACACCGCTGCACTCTAGCCTGAGCAACAGGGCAAGACCTTGTTTCATTTAAAAAAAAAAAAAAAAGAAAGAAAGAAAAATTTGTTCTGAGTCACATAGCTACCAAGTGGCAGAGCCTCAATTTGAACTTACAGTTGCCTGCCTCTAAGAACATGTCCTTTCTGCTCTACCAGCGTGCCCCTCTGACAGAGGACAACACCATGGGAGTCTTGCCCTCAGCAGGCAAGCAGTCCTGCCAGCCTGACTCCCCTCCCTGGGCTGAGCCAGCAGCAGCTTTTCTGGCAGCTCAGTAACTGGGAGTTGATCCAGGACCTCAGCTCAGCAGCATCCCAACTCTTCTCACTCAGCCCCCACCTCCATTTCCACTCATAGCCCATCATAGGAAAAGAAAATTCCAGAACAGTGGCTATGAAACTCTTATTGGCTGATCCTGTCAACACCTGTTCCTGGTACTTCTGTGACTATGCCAGTCTGGCCTCATTGATGTTGTTTTGTTTGTTATGAATAACAGTAACAGAAAAGATATGATGGAGGACATTTCTCTTGATTCTTTTTGGGCTTAGGTCAGCCCTTTAGGTATTAGTAGAACTGCCAGGCTGGCGTGGTGGCTCATGCCTGTAATCCCAGCACTTCAGGAAGCCGAGGCAGGCAGATCACGAGGTCAGGAGTTCGAGACCAGCCTGGCCAATATGGTGAAACCCCGTCTCTACTAAAAATACAAAAATTAGCCGGGCGTGATGGTGCACGCCTGTAGTCCCAGCTACTTGGGAGGTTGAGGCAGAAGAATCGCTTGAACCTGGGAGGCGGAGGTTGTAGTGAACTGAGATCGCACAACTGCACTCCAGCCTGGGCAACAGAGCAAGACTCTGTCCCCACCCCCAAAAAAAAGAACTGCCTCAGGGCTCTTTTGTGAGAGTCAGATCCTCGTGTTTTCCTGTCTGCTGAGGACCTGGATTGGAAGGTGAGAGGACAGGAATGCCTTGTCTAGGGTGGAACACTATTATGTTGCTTTGGAATAAAGTGATTTCTGAGGCATATTCTTCCTTGTGTCTTGTACCATACAGTCCTTAGAGCTCTTTAAGGAGAAGACTTTACCCATTTATCCCAGTTTTACTTATACTGTAGTTTCTTCATTTGGAGCTGCCTTCCATAGCTGAGTTTCAGGGATAGAGTCTGCAGGGGATCTCTTGGGATCTAATCTGCCTCCTGGACAATGCAACTTTATTAGGTTCCCTTTTAGCTTAGACTGACACTTAGGGAAATGCAGTTGTAGTGCTAGATAAATAGCCATCAGAGGTCTAAAAGGATTAAGGGGTAAGCATGAGAGAAAGAGATTTTTAACTAACTGAGACAATTAATGGAACATTTTCTTCAGACATATTCATTTGGGAGAATACTTGTGAAGGTACCTAAAATAATCAGATACGTAGATTTGGAATTTTCCTTTGAGTTCTTTAGTTAAAATATCTCAGATCTAAGTTCAAATATGCCAAATCTAATATACAAACAAACAAGGTGTGGTCGTGCACACCAGTAGTCCCAGCTACTTGAGAGGCCAAAGTGGGAGGATTGCTTGAGGCCAGGAGTTCAAGAACAGCCTGGACAACATAATGAGACAACTCCTCAACCCCTGTCTCTTAAAAAATAAGTAAGTAATAAAAATTTTAAAAATAAGATACTAACAGTATTAGGATCAGTAATATAAAAATGTTTCTTTCACCTGAGTTTGGCATGTCGGGGCTTGTAAAGGCCTGGGATGCTTGGAAGATAAGATAGCCTTTGGGGTGTGTACCTTTTGTTTTAAGATTCCATTTTTATGTAACACTTTTTTTCTGATTATGCTAAACAAAACAGTCAAAAAGGTGTATTGAAAATACAAAAAAAAAGTCTCCTAGGATTTTCCTACCTAGACATAACCACAGCTGGTGTATTTTTGGTTATGTGTGTGGGTGGAGGGTAGGCATTGGGATCCCTTACAAGTCCATGAATGGGAAGTTGTCCGTGGACTCCTTGAAGTGTATGTCAGATATGTTTTTTTTGGGAGGTGGGGGAAAAGGCTTTTTCAGATTCTCAAAGGGACTCATAACCCCAAAAAGTTTAAAACAGGTTTTTGTATAATTTTTTCATTCAAAATGGGGCAATACTCAACATGCTATTTTCTTACCTACTTTTGTCTCCTAAGCAGTGGAGGGTAGAAGTTTTGGACTGCTCTGTAACTCGCTTGTCTCACTTTCTCACCCTAGAGGTTACTGAAGAGCATGTTGACACAGGAGCAGGCTTGATAAGCCACCCCTGCTGTGTGCCTGCTTCCAGAAATGCCTGTACCAGAGAAGCAGGAGGATCCCAAGGGGCTGATAATTCCTACTTCTCTAGAGAACTGACCCTAGAGGCCTGTCTCCTTGGAGACACCTCATTTAGAGCCCAGCCTCCATCTGGTGTACCTGGTGATCACAGCTGCATAAATACATTCAGATAAGGCCCCTAAGAAGGGGCCCTTTGCCCTTTTGGGCTATATTTGCCCAAATATATCCAGAGCTTTGGAATAGCTTCCAAATAGAGATCCCCTGCAGACTCTATCCCTGAAACTCAGCTATGGAAGGCAGCTCCAAATGAAGAAACTACAGTATAAGTAAAACTGGGATAAATGGGTAAAGTCTTCTCCTTAAAGAGCTCTAAGGACTGTATGGTACAAGACATAAGGAAGAATATGCCTCAGAAATCACTTTATTCCAAAGCAACATCGGAATAAAGTGGAAGCTATTTCCAGAGCTTCCTCTGGGAAGCTCACTGAGATATGTTATACTAGTAAGGATATGGAAGCATTTTGATGTGGGAAAAACACACTGGAGTAGAAGTCTTATGCCAGCTCTGGACCCTTGGCTAAGTAATGTAACTTCTCTGGATCTCATGTTCATCATGTATAAAATAAGTAATTTGAAATCAGTGTTATTGAAGGACTCGTCCAGGTGTAATCTAGTCTTTTGTGATTCTATACTGCAAATCCAGGAAGAAAGATTGACAACCGAAACCTAAATGATCATATACCTGCTTCAGTCCCCTGAGGTTGGAGGGAAATATGAACAACCTTTTTCCATGTTTATATATTTGACCATTTTTTCTTCTTAAATACACAATTTCAGTTTGTCTGCCTCTGTGCAGTTGTATGATTCATGTTCATTGTGCCTGCTACCTGCCTTTTGTCATGATGGTCCATAGTAAGGCCCAGTGTCTACACTGAGCTTTTCATCTTTCAAGCACCAGGAAAGCATCTGCCTCTTAGTTCTCATAACATCCTGGTGCCAGAAGAGTTATGTTATTATTAAGCATTTCAGTGACATTTCATAGTTGCAGACGGCTTTACAATTCTTGATTGGTTACACCCTCCAATCCCCAGATAAAAATTCAGTTTACTGATGGTGAAACCATGGCCCACAGAAACCAAATGATTTGGCAGAATATCTCCTTTTTTTTCAGACTCAGTTTTTCTACAGTCTACAGAGTGGGTTCTGAACCTTCTTGAAGATCTGTTTGTTACACGCCCCACTGTGAATTTATGATAAGCATTTCCAGTAGAAGAAATCATCCTGCGACACCATGTGACTAGTGACCCCCTCACTTCATGCTCTTACTCTGCCTGGGAGATTCTCTGTGTTCTCCACCAGTCAACCCTTCTCTCTAGCACTTCACTTCTTTCTCCTGGCAGCTTCCCCATAGGGGCTTCCCATCTCTTTAAAATTAAAAACAAAAAACCTTCAACGTATATCTCCTTCTAGCTATTTAGCTATTTGTTGCTTTTCATGCCAAGTGTGTAGAAAAGTTGTCTACACCAGGGGTTGGGAAATGTTTTCGTTAGAGGACCAGATAGTTTATGCTCTGGCGTTACAGTCTCTGTCACAACTACTCATTTCTGCCATTGTAGCTGTGAAAGCAGCCATCAAAAGTACTGAAATGCATGTGTGTGACTGTGTTCAAATGAAACATTTTTACAAAAACAGGTGACAGGGTGGATCCAGTGGCCATAGTTTACAAATTACCATCCTTCCTTCATTTCTCAGTTATTCATCCTGCCACAGCCTCTCTTTAGCCATCACCATTCTTGGATACCATTCTGTCAAAATCACTAGGACCTCTTCATGGCTAAAGACTTACTTCATCTCACTTGGTGTGGCTCCTGCATGCCCCACAGTTAGCCACTCCCTTCTCTGCTAGCCTCTCCTCCCTTGGATGCAGAAGCAGAACTCTCTTGATCTTTTCCTTCCTCGCAGACTCTTCCCTCCTAGTTCTCTTTGCCCCTTCAGCTCCACAACACTTACCTATTAAACATTTATCTCTATTTAAATTAGGAATATGTTTGGCTTAAGGAAAGATAAACTAGCAATAGCTTAAGCAAATAGGAATTAATATTTTTCATGTATCAAGTCCTGAGGTAGACAGTTGCAGTTGGTTCATCAGTCCTGACAATGTTAAGCCGTTATCTCTGTAATTATTTTGTCCTTTTTCTTTATGGTGCCTCTGAGTAGAAAAAACACACACTGTTTTTCCTCTCCTGTTACTCCGCAACAATCAACACAGAAAATTTCCATGACCAAATGTGTGTGTGTTGCAAGGGGGAGTTCCCAAACACATCAACAAGCTATCAGTTCTGCAGTGAATACCAGCTGGGTGTCCTCCAATTCAGTTCCGACACTGTCTCCCTGGAGATAGCATCAGATCCCATAGGTTAAGGGCTCAGTCTCACAAGACTGCCCTCACTTCCAATGCCAATTGCAAGTCCCAGGTTGTTTTACCTGTGCTTCTGACCCACCAGCTATAAATTGGGGTTCCCATGACCCCCTCCTCAGGTTCAATTAATTTGCTAGAGTGGCTCACAGAACTCAGAGGAACACTTACTTAACATTTACAGGTTTATTACAAAGGATACAGATGAAGAGATGCACAGAGCAAGGTGTGGTGGGAGGGGCGTGGAACTTCCCTGCCATCCGAGAGCACGCCACACTACAGGAACTTCCATGTGCTCAGCTGTCCGGAAGCTCTTCAAACTCTGTCTTTTGGGTTTTTATGGAGGCTTCATTATGTAGACATGATTGATTAAACCATGGGCCATTGATAATCAACTTACCCTTCAGCCCCTCTTCCCTCCCTGAGGTCAGGGGGTGGGGCTGAAAGTTCCAACCCACTGCCTGCCTTGGTTGTTCTGGTGATCATCCCCCATCCTGCAGCTACCTTGGAGATGCCAGTCATTTGTCAACTCTTTAGCACACAAAAAGATGTCACTTTGGAGATTCCAAGGATTTTAGAAATTGTATGCCAGGAATCTGGGACAGAGACCAAATATTTATTTCACAATATCATAGTGGCAAAATAACTGCTACAGTCTGAGCTATCATTTCCAAGCTCAAAAAACAAAAAAGAGGTAAGGGATGTGGCCAGGCATATCTGTCACCTTTTAACAGGACAGTGAAAGTTTTCTTAGAAACCTTCTGTTTTGGACTTGTGTTTACATTTTAATGTCCAGCAGTAATTGCAGGAGGTTCTGAAAACAAGTATTTAATAGGACACATTGCCATCTCAGACAAAATGAAGGTTCTGCCAAGGAGAAAAAGGAAGGTGGATTTGAATAAGCAATCCATGTGTCTGACACAGCCTTCTCTGCCCCTTCCCTCATTTCTCTTTCTGTTTCTAGTGCCCCACACAGTATTTATCCCATAATAGATACTTAATAAATGTGAAATGAGTAAGTGAATTAGATAAAACGCAAAAGTCAGAAAGAGTGTCGAGCCTTCCCAAGGTTGCCTAACTTCTTTTCCACAAGCAATCCTTAATTGCATTCCTGAGACTCAGGCTACCACACCCACCATCTCTGAAGCAGAGCAGCTGTAGATGCAAAGGCTTCCCCCACTAATTCCCCCAGTGGTAGAATTTTGATGATTATATAAACTTGAGGGTATTACTCTTCTGAAGGTTGCCTCATATGAGCTCTGTCAGACACACAGCTTCACCAAGACTTGTGGTGCCTCTAGACAGGCCAATATTTATATATTTTTTTCTTCACGTATTTTTAGAGGGAGACTAATGGTTCTGTGGAGAAAGGATTTTGGAAAAAGTATGCTACCTTTCCTTTGGCTGTTAAGCAATGCAGCTCTGGCCCCAAACTCTCATACCCTACTCAACAAAACAAAAGGGTTCAGTTAACCAAGCCCTCCACCTCTCCTAAGGTGGGAGTTTGAGAATATATTTGGGAATTCTCTTGGGGATCTCACACCATCCCTCCACAGCTCATCCAGGTTTTCCTCCACTTCATGGAATGTCCTCCCTGAGAAGAGTTTCAGGAGATGCCGTTGTGCTCATTGCCACAATTTCCAGCAATGTTCTCATGCTCCTTGATGGACGTCCTGGGCAGCTCTTCACCTGGCCATGGTTGCAGACCAGCCAGAGAGCCAGCTCAGCATGGACCAGCACCTACAGAGACATTGATTTCTGTCCTTTGGGCCCTATGCTGACCTGATCCTGCATCTGCTCCCTAGTTGGGAAGTGGCCTCTAAAAGTGAGGGGAATAATGGGGTGCAGGATTGTCCAGGAGTAGAAAAGGTGAGTAGAAGGCAATGGACAGCCCCTAGCCCTTCCCTTGAGGCCCAGTGCTATTGGTTTTCTGGAATCTTGTTGATAGCTCCCAAAACAAAAAAGTGGCTCAGGTCCTTCATCTGATGAAGTAGTAACAGAGCTTGTGATGGACTCTTTCTAAAGTAGCTTAAATAAACCATTGTAGATTATCTCAGGAGAAGAAAAGAAAGATTAAAAATTAGGAACTATGTGACAGAATCACCACTGGGCTAGAGATTGCAGATACCATCTTGATGCAATCAGCTGTTAGTTCAGATACCAGTCGTTGTTACTCTCCCTTGTTGGCTTTCTCCCCAGACCCTCTCTCCAATCCTGATATTACCCTCCTCCATTCACTTTCTGCCGATCTTCCTCCTCCCTGCCCTCCTATCACACCCCCCAAAATATAGCCTGGGCATGGATCTGTGTGGGAAGAAGCCCTCTGATGTGGGCAGATTGCTCCCTGTGGAAAAGCAAACTCTTTTCAGGTTGGTTAGAACAGAAATTTTAAAACGGCAGTAACTGAGTCACTGGCCAGAAAAAAAAAATGGTGAGATACGTTAAAATTAGGAGAGGTTGTTTACTTTTCTCTCCAACCTTAAAGGACTGAAGCAAGTATGTGGTCATTTAAATTTTGGTTGTGAACCTTTCTTCCTGGATTTGCCCCACTCAGAAGAGCTACATGCAGTAGGAAGGCTGGAGAACTGCAGGCCCAGCAACTGCCCCAGGGGTGCTTGGGGCAGAAGGGTCTGCAGCAAAAAGCAGCAGAGTCAGGGCCGCTAGTCGTTTAAATTAGAATGACAGTGAGGGATTGATGTTTTTCATGAATTTGGTTTACTTGAATATTTTTATGTATATTAGTATTTGAAATGTGTGTTAAATATTTGATTTCACAGATTTTTTTCTATTTGTATGAATTTTGAATAATTGTAAAAAATATTGGTATAAAATAATACCAAAACTTATTTCTTGGGTGAAATAAATACCATAACAAATGTTATAATTACTATTAATTACTGGAATTATTCAGCCTGTCTTACATATGAACAATGCCAAATAGTCCACCTGCCCTCAGCCTGGATCTCATGGAATCCCCATTAAGAAAGGCGGATAGACAGTAGTTTCCTTGTCTTCACCACTAGATGGCACTAGTGATCAAAATGTCAGAGCAATGCTGTCCTTTTGGGGCGACGAGAGGAGCAAGGACCTTGCAGAACACTGGTAACTGTAGGCTTCCTGTACCAGGGTTTTAGGAGTGGGAGAAAGGCATTCTGCAAGTGCATTTTTTCTTCTGAAAGCACAGATAATGTGGCCACACAGGAGGCACTAGGAGCAAGCCCATTACTCCTAATAATAGGAAAACAAATTAGTCCAAGGAGTCTGAGTCTCTTAAATTTCACATTTATGAGACTGGGTACTAAATAATGGACACAGAAAAAACAAAACTTGATCAGAACATACATTTTAGTTCATAAATAAAAGAAATTTAAAACCTGTTTCATTAAAATGACAGCTGTTGTCCATTTAATAATCTAAAAACATGCTTAAAATCTCCGGCAAGCTTGAAGCTTTCTCTTTATCTATAGTTCCTGAAGATGCTGTGGCTGTGAATAATAATAATTTCCTAGTCTCCTCTCTTCCTGTCAAACTCACACCCCCTCGTACTGCCAGTGTTCTGTATATTAAGTCTTAGAGTTTATTCTTGAACCTAGATTCACAGAGTGATGTGTTCGTCACTCAGCTACTGGCAGAGTTGGGAAGTGAACTCAAATCGTCCTTCTACATGATGCTTTCCCATGCATTGGGTACCTAGAACTGACTGACAGGATGACCTAATGCAGTCCTGACATAAGCAGTTGTCGGTATCACATCTCAGAAGGGTCCAGTAAGCCACAAGCTTGGATAGTTATTAACATGTTGCCTCTTTGCCTCTGTAACTACATCAAGAAGTCACTCTAGGGGGCCCAGGAAATGAATTGGAGAACTCATCCTTTGCACATTCCAGGGATTTGAGTTGGCTAGGGAAGACTGGTCATACACACACACAGATGTGAGTTACTTAGAATGTAGGGCTTGTTCCTGGTATCTCCTGAAGGGATACTAAGTTTCTTCTTTGTTCTCTCCAGCAACGGTTTGGATGATTTCATATCCATGGATATGTGAAATATTTGAGTATATATGGTTACCTTCTAAGAGCTGTCAGAACTTAGACATTGCATAAGTTTTCTGGAAATGATATACTCTTCACTTTGTTTTTTTTTTGAGATGGAGTCTCTCTTTGTCACCCAGGCTGGAGTACAGTGGCACAATCTCGGCTCACTGCAAGCTCCGCCTCCCAGGTTCATGCCATTCTCCTGCCTCAGCCTCCCGAGTAGCTGGGACTACAGGCGCCCGCCACCACACCCTGCTAATTTTTTGTATTTTTAGTAGAGATGGGGTTTCACCATGTTAGCCAAGATGGTCTCCATCTCCTGATCTCGTGACCCGCCCACCTCGGCCTCCCAAAGTGCTGGGATTACAGGCACTCTTCACTTTTAAGATGCTCTCATTTGTCCAATAATTTGTTTCAGAAAATAATATATGACCATGGGTCTGATATGTACGGCAGTGATTGCTTTGCTTGAACATTGTCAGACTTTACCTAGGACTTCCCCTCTTGCCATGTTCCCCTGTCTCCTCTTCAGCTTGTTCCCTTTGAGCTCCTTTGCCAGGTGGCTGCCCATTGAGGCATTATCATGGCAGAGCAGGTACCTGGTTTGCATTAGCTGCTGAAGAAAAAAAAGGCAAACTGGAACTCTGCTTGCAAGACCCCAGTGCCTCTCTAATAGAGTTTTGTAGGTGACTATCAGAGCCTTCCTATTTCAGGGACGTATAACATGCTAAACGTGTCCCCAGTGCCTTAAGCCATAGCCCTGTACCCTCTTTCCCAGCCCTTACCTAACACTTAGCTGCTTTGTGATTCTAGAAGAATAACTGTGTGATGCCTGAAGATGTGAAGAACTTTTACCTGATGACCAATGGCTTCCACATGACATGGAGTGTGAAGCTGGATGGTGAGTCAGCCTCCTTGTAGGAGAACATTTCCCTGGCTGAGAGATTGAATGGGACAACTCTGAGGGCCCTTCGACTTTTGAGTCTTTGAATCTGGATGGTTTTCATGGGTGCCCCTCAAGTGCCATGTCCAGAAGCTGTGATTATGTCCCAAAACTAACAGATGCCATCATTGCTTCACCCACCACAAATCCCACGACAGTCTAGCAGTATGGAACTGGAAGTTCAATTTAGAGGATTCCTGTAGGAATAGGGTAGAGAAAACCATTAATTACTACATAAAAAACCCTAGCCACCTCAAACTTAAAGCCTCAGAGGGCTCTACCTCCAAGCAAACCCCTCAGGGTAGGCGGCAGTGACAGTCTCTAGTGTTGATGAGGGGGCCACTTATCTCTTTCAGGCTCTTCCTTTATTCCCACCATCATAAAGACCTTAGGGCCCTAATCCTCAAACCAGAGTCTTCGCTTCTCTCCTTCACATCACCTCAGCCTAAGTCACCAGCTACCTCAATTCACAGGCTGCCATCTTTTGTCTAGGACAAAACATTTTTGTGTGGATGTGGGAACTCACAAGTTTGTACATGTCAGATTGTAGGTACTATGTAGGCATAAAAGGCAGTGCTGAACATTTAGGTGAAGACTCTTGAAAACATTTCATAGTCTAGAAAACCCTGTCCAGCCACAGGAGCCCAGCCCGTTCGTGGCACAGATTCCCCAGCCCCTCCCCTCCAGTTCCTCCCCTCCAGTCCATTATTGTCTCTGACTCCAACCAGATCTACTTTGGCCTTGGGAAGTACCCTACATTTCCCCACTGCTGTCCCTAAAAATGCAGTGACTTCTGTTGTACTGCAAATCTACAGAGCAGACTTCTCCCCTTTGTTGCCTCGGCCTTCTACCTACACACCTGAGTTCTGTTTGGGTGATTTCCAAAGCCTTCCTGTCTATCTTGCACTGCTGGTCAGAGGTACTTTTTTTTTTTTTTTTTTTTTTTTTTTTTTTAAGATGGAGTCTCACTCTGTTGCCCAAGCTGGAGTACAGTGGCGCGATCTCTGCTCACTGCAACCTCCGCCTCCCAGGTTCAAGAGATTCTTCTGCCTCAGCCTCCTGAGTAGCTGGGATTACAGGCATGTGCCACCACACCCGGCTAATTTTTGTATTTTTAGTAGAGACAGGGTTTCACCATGTTGGTCAGGCTGGTCTTGAACTCCTGACCTCATGATCCGCCCACCTTGGCCTCCCAAAGTGCTGGGATTACAGGTGTGAGGCACCGCACCCAGCCAGAGGTACTTTTTTATAGCTTGCTAGTGAATATTGAACATTAGCTTTTATCTTAGAATCATTTCCTCCTTTGGCTTAGAAACCATCCTTGTCACCAGCATCAGAACCTTCTTTTATAGCATGGCCGTGGCTTTTGGTGTCTGGAGCAACAGAGAGGGGACAGAGACTAAACCAACTGACAGACTTTCCCTGGCCCACATCCTTGCAACAGGCTAGCCCCTTTATATGCCTGCTTCAGAGAATAAAATTTTATGAATGAGTCCCAGTTCATTATTGCAATACCCTCTCTAATTTAATCTCCCCAAGCCCAGTCTTCTTATCCCCATTTCCATACCCATGATATACTGAACAGCCTAAGTCAGAGACAGAAAAGGCAGCAGAGGCATCTTCTGATGTTTGCCTCTTTAGTGGTCTTTTATTCTTAGACATTCCATGGTCTTTACACAGGTTGTTTTATTGCTTTAAACCATTCCAGTTTTTTCAGCAAATAAAGAAAACATGGAGCTTCCTAGTCTGTATTTACACCCTAATCACAGAAGACTAGAACCAAGCAAGAAGACTGCCAAATTCTCATCACTGAGTAAGGGAAAATGATAAAGAGAAGGGGGGAATTTTTTTTTTAATCATGAAAGCTTATAACAAGAAGAATAGAAGGGGTCCATTATATAATCAAAGCTATTACTCCTTCAGAAAATGTTTATGCAGAATACTTGCTAAACAAAGGAAAGAGGGAGCAAAAACATTTTAATGTCCTTTACCCTTCAAATGTCCCAAAGCCCAGATTTCCCAGTTCTTTGTTGGTATTCCCTTTGAAATTTTTCTTCCACTCTACCCTAATACATACAATGGGGGCTCTTCATCACCCGTGGCCCCCAGTTCCTTTTTTTGTATGAAAGGTTGGTACTTTGGAATATGCAGTGAGTAATCCTCTTCTTCCCACCTTCCATCAGATTCGTCAGCCATGGGGCGAAACAATACCTGGGCTTAGGTTATTCAAGCAGAATCTCATGATAACCATTGTAACTAGGCTGTTACTCCATGTAATTCTCCTTAACGCATGTTCCCCTAGAGCACATCATTCCACTGGGAAGCATGGCAATTAACAGCATCTCAAAACTGACTCAGCTCACCCAGTCTTCCATGTATTCACTTCCTAATGCACCCACTCTGGCAGACCTGGAGGACGATACACATGAAGGTAGGAAGATACCAAGGTTGGTATCTTTGTTTCCAGCATCCAGCTCCATGCCTGGCGCATAGTAGGTACTTAATGAATCTTGGTGCATGAATGAATGTTAAAGATTAAACCTCACTCAACATTTCAGTATCAAGAGGATTCAGGGAACATGACAATCTAAATACAGCTCCTTTCCTCTCCATTTTTACCTCCAAGCTCTTTGCCACTTCTGAGTGAAATGGCTCATAAGTCAAGTGGCTGCTAAAACCTAGGAGCAACTGGGTATAAGTGAGGACTTAGTCAGAGTTGTGTTTGGTCGCATATAACAGATGTAGTTACAATGTTTAAATAGCAATTTATTTTTCTCATAACAAGAAATCTGGAACTAGGCTGATGTCGCTGCTTGAGAAAGTCAATGATAAAGTCTCCCTCTGGCATTGTGCTGCACCAGGCTTTGGATATGGTTTTCATCCTTATGGTTGAGGAAGGTGGGCTTTTCCTGTCAGGAAAAAAGATGAGTAAACGGCAAAGGGCAAAATACCTGGCTGTTTGCAGAATCTCTCCCTTTTGATCAAGAAAACAATGGTTTTCTCAGCAGCACCTCCTAATAGCTATTAGAAGAGTCAAATGGCAACCCAGGTTGCCAGGGGTCTGAGAAGGTAAATACTTTTAGTTGTGCAGTATGGCTTCCTTGAACAGAACTGGGCTTTCATTAAGAAAGAAAGGAAGAACAAATAGTGAATAGGCAACTAATGTCTCCAATACTAAGACCTTGGGGTTCACTAAGCCCTGGCAGAGAAAACTGATGTAAGGCTTTCTCCTCCGATTGGATGAGCAATTGAAGAATAGTACCAGAGAAGTTCGGGGGCAGAGGCTAGACAGTGATGGGCCCTGGAAAGAGCCTGTCACACAAAGACTTGTGGAATTTCCAGGGGTAGGAAAAAGGTCTCACTGTCTTTATATGTATGGGGTGGGCTTCTCTAAAAGGTGAAGTAGTCAAATAGGTGGGCTAAGTCTTCCCTGCTCTTGAGGCTGGAAGAGAAGAGGTAGAGTAGGTAACAGAGAGGCTTCATGGGATCACATTGTTCCACATACAAATGGGGATAAAAACCACTTGGCCTTCCGACACCTGCTAGATTCATGCATTTTAGGATAGTACAACAAGTATACCTAAGTCTCATTAAACCTAAATGGAAAAACAGTGACTTCTGTCAGGGGACTCAGCAGTCAGAGAGAGGATCATCAGCAAAAAATAGAATACACAGTAAGCCGGGAGCAGTGGCATGAGCCTGTATTCCTAGCTACTTGTGAGGCTGAGGCAAGAGGATCACTGGATCCCAGGAGATTGAGGCTGTAGTGTGCTATCATCACCTCTGTAAATCGCCACTGATCACCTGAGCCCACGAGTTTGAGGCTGTAGCATGCTGTGATCACACCTGTGAATAGCCACCACACTCTAGCCTGGGCAAAATAGTGAGATCCCGTCACTATTTAAAAAAAAAACACAACCAGAGAAATAAAACTGCTAGAGGACACAGATAAAAATCTAAGAACAAGAATACTTAAGGAGATTTAAGACAACATAAAGACTTTCTATGGATAAAAACAAAGATTCTCAAACAATTGACTACATGAATTGAAGAGGAGTATATGTATTTTATTGAGACCTGAGTTAGCCTGAAAAATCAAGTGCAAGAAATATCTTAAAGCATAGATGAATAAATTTAAAAGAGGGGAATTATGAGGGAAAAGGTAGGAATTAAGAGAAGTGGAAAATAGATTCAGGACACTTTCCATTGGAATTATGGGTGCTCAAAAAAGAGAAAATAGATGGAAAGGCAGTAAATACATACTAATAAAAGACACCTCTCTGCAGATGGAAAGGGCCCACCTAGACCCAAGTTGAACAGATGAGAAAACACAGACACTGATGCATATACTGATGTGGAGAAAATTACAAGCTTCTAGGCAAAAATAACAAATTACTTGTGAGGGAATAATAAGCACACTGACATTAACTCAGCAGATGAGGACACAAAACCCCATGAATGAGAACCAGCACAGATAACAGGTAACAGATCAGCAGTGGTTACCAGAGGCTTGGGGTGGGGAGGCTGGACAGGGAAAGGGGAAACGTTGGTCAACAGGCACAGTTTCAGTGAGACAGGAGGAATAAGTTCTGGTGATCTATTGCACAGCATAATGACTATAGCTAATAATGTATATTTCAAAATAGCTAAAAGAAAGGATTTTAAATGTTCTCACCGCAAAGAAATGATAAATACTAGTGGTAGATATGCTAATTAGCCTGATTTGATCTTTCCACAATGCATATACATCTTAAAATAGCGTGTTGTTCTCCATCAATATATAAATATATACAATTATTATTTGTCAAATAAAACAATTAAAAATAATTGTCAATTAAAAAAATAAAACTTTAAAAAAATTTTAATCAAGAAAAAAGAGGGCCGGGTGCGGTAGCTCACACCTGTAATACCAGCACTTTGGGAGGCCGAGGGGGGCGAATCATGAGGTCAGGAGATCAAGACCATTCTGGCCAACATGGTGAAACCCCGTCTCTACTAAAAGTACAAAAATTAGCCAGGCGTGGTGGCGGGCACCTGTAATTCCAGCTACTCGGGAGGCTGAGGCAAGAGAGTCACTTGAACCCAGGAGGCAGAGGTTGCAGTAAGCCAAGATCATGCCACTGCACTCCGGCCCAGCAACAGAGCAAGACTCCATCTCAAAAAAGTAGCAAAAGAGATCCATTGGTACAGCTAAGAGTGACGTTATTAGATACAGAGTACAAAACGATATGCTTATATGCCCCTGTGGAGGTAAAACCAAACTAAAATTTCAGGGAGGAACTGAAAACGGTGACATTGTAGATTTGAAAAAAAAAAAATTCGTATATTGACATTGTGTTTATAATATGGCAGAATCTCTTTTACCAGAGCAAGACTCTGCAGGTAATACTCTGTACTCTGGAAGAATTTTAAAAACGTGTCTTAAAGGACTGGAGAGTAGTCAAAAGCAGGCAGAAGCTGGAATGGTGTCTACAGTTGGCAGAAGGGAGCCACATTGAGTTTTCTGTTCTTACAACTTTTCAACTGAGGGCAGACCTCAGTCAGCACCAGGCAGGGCTGCCAAAACTTGGTGGGAACATATCAACTGGACTTTTTATTTCATCCAAGATGGAGTAACAGACCAGATTTATCTACCCACCTGGAGCAACAATGACAAACAACAGACAAAATATATAAAACAGTGATTTTCAAGCACTGATATGAAAAATGCAGTGGTTTGGATTATTGGTGGCTAAGACATTGCAGAAGAAGAGACTAGAGAACTTCAACACATAATAGAAGCTATCTAAAGTTACACAGAACAAAAATTATTTATAATGAAAACAGCATCAGTGACCTGAGGGACAACATATGGTATAATGTATGTGTAATTGGAGTCTGAGAAGAGGGGTCAGGGGCTAGCAAATATTTGAAGAAATAACGGCTCAAAAGTTTACCAATCATGGGAACTATAAATCCACGTATCCAATAAGCTTAATAAGCCAGGAACAAGAAACACAAATGATAACAAGAAACACCATAATCAGATTGTTCAAAATCAAAGATAAAGAGAAAATCATAAATGCAGCCAAAGGGAAAAGACAAATTACATACAAGAGAACAAAGATAAGGATAACAGCATATTTCTCCTTAAAAGCAATTCAAGTGAGATAAAATACTCAAAGGAAAAAATAGGTTGTTCAGTCATTCACACCTGTAATCCCAGCACTTTAGGAGGCTGAGGCCAGAGGATCACTAGAGCCCAGGAGTTTGAGATCAGCCTAGGCAACATAGCGAAACTCCATCTCTACAAAAAATTTAAAAATTACCTGGGTATGGTGGCCACACCTATGGACCCCAGCTACTTGGGAGTCTGAGGCAGGAGGATTGCTTGAACCCAGGAGGTCAAGGCTACAATGAACCATGTTCACATGTCACTGCACTCCAGCCCAGGTGATAGAGTGGAGACCCTGTCTGTCTCAAAAAAATAAAATAAAATAAACCTAGAATTCTATACCCATTAAAATATCTTTCAAAAACAAAGGACTTCCAGTCTGTCTCCCTGGATCTTAAAAAGTCCTTTTTGAAGAGCAATCTGGCAACATCTATTCTATTGCAGGGAATCTGTCGCATATAATGAAAGCACCAGAATATAAGGGCATGTACAGAGAAGATTATTGTAGCATTCACAACCAAGTAATGGTAGGCAAATGCCTATCCATAGAGGAATGGTGGAATAAATGAGGGTACGTCACTCCCACAGACTATGAAATAGTCATTTAAAAAGAATGAATTAGAGTTATGCCACATGACTTAGAGGGCTTTTACATGGTTCTGACCGGGCGCGGTGGCTCGTGCCTGTAATCCCAGCATTTTGGGAGGCCAAGATGGGCAGATCACTTGAGGTCAGGAGTTCGAGAGCAGTCTGGCCAATGTGGTGAAACTCCGTCCCTACTAAAAATACAAAAATTAGCCAGGCGTGGTGGCACATGCCGGTAGTCCCAGCTACTCGGGAGGCTGAAGTAGGAGAATTGCTTCAACCCGGGAGGTGGAGGTTGCAGTGAGCCGAGATTATGCCATTGCACTCCAGCCTAGGCAACAGAGTGAGACTCCATCTCAAAAAAAAAAAAAAGAAAGAAAGATTCAGATAATGTGTTTGCTATCCCACTTTTATAGAATAAACAATCTCAGGAAAGGAAATGAAGTTATGTCAGCATCAAGCCATTCAGATTGCTCTGTGGTCCCACTTCCAAGAAGTTTGCTTTCTCATGCCTCCTTTTCCCAGATTCCCTGACATTGTCTGTTGCTGATAGAGAAACCCAGACAGAAGGCCTAGTCCATGAATGAGATTAGGGCTTTAATTCAAATACAGAATTTATTTGTAAATACTACTTAAGTATATGTCTGAGATAAGGCTTTTTCCTTCTGTTTTTTCCACCTAGCAAAGTTGGATATATAGGTATGTGTTTGAGTTGAGTTTGTTTGAACATTACCATTAACTTCTGGGTTTGCAGCCAGTGATGATCAGCCAGAGAAGCCTCACTTTGACTCTCGCAGTGTGATATTTGAGCTGGATTCATGCAATGGCAGTGGGAAAGTTTGCCTTGTCTACAAAAGTGGGAAACCAGGTAAGAATTGTTTACAAGCGTGGTCCCGTAGTTTGGCTAGGGTCTTGCCTGACCTTGCTTGTCAGCCATGGCTCAGGAGACACATACCTCCTTGGCCTCTTGAGATGCTCCCAGGTTCCTTGTGTGTCCCAAACCCAAAAACCCCTTTGGTTCTCTCTGAGCATCACCCTTTGGGCTAATTATTAGTCCTTTTATCCATCTTCATTTGTGAGTTATTGCCAAATAGTTGATGAGATTAGAATATGGGAGTAAAAACTAAAAGAAATAGGCATTTTGTTAATAGACTCCTACAGCAAGTTCATGTACTAGATAAGCATCCAGAAAACACATTATCTTTTATACTTCTATATCTAGGCCAATTAACAGCAATAAAAACCTGAATTACTAGACCAAAGACCCCTGATGGGAAATTAAAAGCCTCTCTGCCCTCAAGCAGCAGCTGCCACCTAGCCCCCTAACAGCACTTCAGACCCCAGCCTAGGGACTGTGAAACTACAGAGCTGGACAATGGCAGCCCTCTTCAGCTAGCTGTCTGGTAGGGGTGAGAGGATACAGACACCAGGATTTACCTCTGGGGCAAGGAGAAATCATCCAGCCAGAGGAATTGTTGCAAAGTAGTCATGGAGCTGCATCTTGAACTGTGGGGTAGGAATTAGATACCGGGTGGGGAGGAGGATTTGGTGGAGTAAAAGAGACAAGGGAGCATCCAAGCAAAGGGACAAATGGGTAAAAGCCAAGCCATGGGAAAGTACAATTGATTTGTGGGGAATGACAATTCCAATTCAGTGGGCCACATGGTTCATGTAGGGGGTGAGGAGGAGATTAAGCTAGAAGGCTAATTGCTGTCTCTGATGCAGAGCTTTGAAAGCAAGCAAAGGAGTTTGGACATAATGTGGAAGACAGTGGGGAGCTAATGAAGGTTGTTTAGTAAAATGGCAGGGATCATGACTACCAGCAGTTTTGGCAAAGAAAGAGACTGGATGGATAATGGAGGGCACTTAGGGAGATATTATAGCTATCTAGACAGCAGAGGAAGTAAGATAGGCTTGAAGTAGTAAGAATGGAAAGTCACAAACTGGGAGGCAGGACATCACAGTATAGGCAAGACTCCCAGGAGTGAACTGGGCTAAGCTCCTTCATGGTGGTTTTTTGTGGCACTTTTTGTTTTTCATGGCACCGATAGAGACTTCTTCAAAAAAACCTAAGCCATTCAGTGTTTTTCTCTCTCAGGAAAGCTGAGACCACAGTATTCCGCCCCCCTACCGGGGGAGGGGAATGCTATGACACACAGAAAAGGAGTAGCTGCCTAGATAGCCTGACTGGACTTCCAGATGGTCAGAGACCAGCAGATAGATCAATCTACTGATCTAGCAAAAATTTGTAAGAGTATCAAAGGAACTAGTAAAGTGGCCACTAGAGAAGGAGACTGGAGGGTTAGAAGTGGGGCAGAAGGGGAACTTTTACTTTACATTTTCCATTCTCTCTGTTGGGATTTTTTTTTAAGGCCATGAGTATAACCTTTTACAGTTAAAAAGAAAAAACTGTTAAGCTATTCTTTATCTTTTACTTCCTTTGTCTTCTACTTCAGCATTAGCAGAAGACACTGAGATCTGGTTCCTGGACAGAGCGTTATACTGGCATTTTCTCACAGACACCTTTACTGCCTATTACCGCCTGCTCATCACCCACCTGGGCCTGCCCCAGTGGCAATATGCCTTCACCAGCTATGGCATTAGCCCACAGGCCAAGGTAAGGGAGGAACACCTGCCATTGTAAACTATGGTATATTCCAAAATCTACTGAGGAAATGGTTACATTGCAGGTTCCCAACTTCCCTATCTGATTCAGGAGATCTAGGGTGGGGCCCAGGAACCTGCATTTTCAATAAGCAAGACAGATGATTCCAATGGACAGCCTCACTTTACTCATCTAGTTAAGTGGTTCCCAAACTTGACTGATTCTCAGAATTAACTGGGGAGTTTTATTTTTAATGAAATTCTGTTGGATAGTTTATGTCCCATGACTTGTTCTGGGTTGGCAGTACATGCACCCAGGAAGAGTGAAAAGTCAGATTCTCACTCCCCTGTTCTCCAAGTGTGCATCCCCAGTGGCAGCTGCTATTACGAGTTTCCTGTACGCCCTTCCCAAGATACTCATTGCACATAAAGCATGCATGCACACTTTTGGTGTTCCTTTTTTCTAAATCTCAAGTGTAATGTACTGTCAACATGATTCTGCATCTTGTTCTTTTCACATAACACTCCATCTTGGGGCTTATTCCCTTTCAGTACATTTAGGGCACTTGTCCTCTTCAGTGGCTACAGAGTATTCCATTGTGTGGGTGTGCCTCATTTATATTACAGGTCTGGTCACCATTTCAGGCATACAGATGCCAGGTATACAACCTGGTTTGAAAACACCAAGTGTGGCTGGAAAAACTTTTGACTAGAATGAGCTCATCTGGGCTCCTTCGTGGTGGTTTCTTGCAGCTATAAATTAGCAGCAAATTAGGAACTCAGCTCCAGCTCACCTTACTGTGTATGTATTCATCTAGTAGGCTTCATTTTCTTCAAATGTCACATAATTATAACATTTATCTGGTCAACATTGAGAGGCGGCTGTGATTTAAAAGGTAAATAAATGTGGATGCCCTTTGCCCTCAGCTGCCAAAAAAAAAAAACAGTAGGAAACAGAACACCAACAAGATACAGCATCCCTCAGCAGAGGCCCACACTAGCCTCTGTCTCCTGCCTTTCCTGGGGGAATGGTGCTGCCAGAATCCACCTGATGGGGAGTAGCTGGTTTGAGGGCAGAACAATAGACGCTGTCCTCTAGTGCTTTGGGATCTAGCATCCCAGGCTCAGGACTCACTAAATCAGAAGGAGGTGTGCTCAGATTCTTAGTTTTCATACTGCATTTATCTTAAAGGTCCTGAGACCTCATAAAGCAATGTGTCTATCTTACCAGAGGTTGATGGGATCTGTTATCACCTCCACTTAAAGGAAGAGCAAATAGATTTTTAGGCAGTTTTTCATGAAAATGTACCTCTGCCTCCTGTTCCCAACTCTCCTGCATCCCACAAAAAGAGCACACAGAATGGCATTTTTCCTTTGAATTGTGACCTTGTCTTCCAATTCTGCCTTACAGCAATGGTTCAGCATGTATAAACCTATCACCTACAACACAAACCTGCTCACAGAAGAGACCGACTCCTTTGTGAATAAGCTAGATCCCAGCAAAGTGTTTAAGAGCAAGAACAAGATCGTAATCCCAAAAAAGAAAGGGCCTGTGCAGCCTGCAGGTGGCCAGAAAGGGCCCTCAGGACCCTCCGGTCCCTCCACTTCCTCCACTTCTAAATCCTCCTCTGGCTCTGGAAACCCCACCCGGAAGTGAGCACCCCTCCCTCCAACTCCCTACCAGCTCCAGAGTGGTGGTTTCCATGCACAGATGGCCCTAGGGGTGACCTCCAGTTTTGCGTGTGGACCGTAGGCCTCTTTCTAGTTGAATGACCAAAATTGTAAGGCTTTTAGTCCCACCGACATTAGCCAGGCTCGTAGTGAGGCCTCCAGAGCAGGTTGTGCTGTCCCCTGCCTCTGGAAGCAATGGGGAATTTGGAATCTTGTGTAAGTGCCCAAATAAGTCTGAGTGCTTTCCTCTTCTTCAACACTCAACCCTCAATCCCTTAGCACTGATTGATTAGAGAGGTCCCCCAAAGAAACCACTGGTTTTGACCCATGAAGCATTAGAACTGCATTGTTCATTCAGGAGCCACTAGTCACATATGACTATTTAAATTTAAAGTAAATTGTATGAAAAATTCATTTCTTCAATTGCATTAGCCACATTTTGAGTATTCATGTGGCTGGTAGATTCTGTATTAGCACAAAGATATGGAACATTTCCATCACCACAGAAAGTTCTGTTGGACAGCACTGCATTAGAATATTTTCATACTGCTCTTCCTCAATTAATTTTTGTTGTTAATGTTGATGTCTTCATTGGATGGGTCATAATGTTCCATGAAACCTCTCAAGTACACAATTGTATGTTCTTTGTATCCCTTACCACAAATATCTCGCTCTGCTCATTTCTTTTGCAGCTTCCTATAAAGTTTGTCTTCCTCATCAGTTTCCAGTGAAGTTTCTTGCTTCCAGTTTTGTGTTATGATGTTTGTACACGTTCCACAATTATCTTCCTTATTAACTTTTTAAAGAAGGTGTACTTCTGCTATACTTTATTCTTACCATTTAAAAACAAAAAATTCCCAAACATTGTTTTGCACAACTCTTCATAAAGAAAGAGTTTTAATGGTGCCAGACACTGTTAACAGAAGCTTTCCACCTGCTCTGCCTGCCTCTTCACAGCTCTGAGTTGTCCAGCCTCACTTTGCCTGGTCCCTGGCCATCCTTAGGACAAGCAGTCTCCTGCTTAGAACAGGGTGGGCTTCCAAGAGTTCCTTTGGAAGCAAGTTGCCTGTAATTCAGAAATCATTTTCCCATTGACATATGGGGGAACCTCTAGCCCACATATGCTTAATATTTGACACAAGATAAATCTGACATACCTACTACATTTAATGAAATTTTTACAGAGAAGGTTGCTCAGATTTTCAATTAGGAATGCCTATTTATTTCCTCCCTCTACAGTCCTGGCTGTGGGCAGAAGCAAGGCCTTCACCCTGCTTCCCAACAGGGAAAGTGGGGAGTCACCCACCTAGCCCCAAGTTCTTTGGGTGGCTGCAGTTTTTGTACTGAAGTCCCAGAGGTTAGAGAATTAGGAGTTTTGAGGAATGAGGTGCAGGGGCCTCTACCATCTGCACACTTCAGTCCCAGCTGGCTCATTCTCTTTCCTGACTTCTCTCTACCCCGGTGATTGGCCAGACTTCCTTCCTTTGCACTGTCTACCTGCTAATCGACCCAGGGTTTCCCTCTTCCAAACCCACTGGGGAACTAAGAGCAGTCCACAGGATTCTCCACATGCACTTTTGCTCTGAAACATGTTTATTTTGATTGTTGACAATAGTGATAGATATTCATGAGAAAGCGCCTTCGATATCTCCTCCACCTACCACTTTCCATAGCCCCTGAGGAAAACCAAGGTGAAGAGTTAGCCTTCAAGGATCAGGGCAAGCTCTAACTGGCTGCTTCCCCATATTTGTAATAGTTCAAAGTCTTGAAATATCAGCGCTTAAGAGTCTTTGGGAGCATAAACTGAGCTTCGTATTAACAGCTTCTTCATTTGCTTTAAAATAGCGAGACCTCTTACCTTTTCAATCCCAAAACTAACCACTTATAATTCAGTGTGGTCATTTAAACGTGTGTGTGTGTGTGTGTGTGTGTGTGTGTGTGTGTGTGTGTGTGTGTGTTTTAACCATAACATGACTGTCACATATTCTCTAGGAGACATTTTGGCCCTTTTAGTTGTTTAGGTTATTATACTTCAAGGATTTATAAATGTGCAACAATTCATGGAGTGGCAGAAAAGGATATAGAGAGACCAAGTTGTTGAGGACAATAGCTGGAGTTTAGTCTTCCAGAAGTATTTTTCTTGCCAGAATTGATCAAAGGAAGAGCCAACGGCACTGGATAGGAGATTCTAGCATTTGGCTGCTTCTCCAAGACAAGCGAGGTTAGAAGGGAGTTGAGAAGTTATGTCATCTTCCACTGCAGCAGATACCCCTTTTTTAGTACTTGGAGATCCCCCGAATCACAGCATTTCTAAATCAGCCCTGGATTCCACAAGTGAAGCAGCGGAGGAACCAGGAGGTCAGCGGTGTCACTCAAATCTGTGGCAATCAAGTGGGAGTTCTCAAAAGGCTATCAAAGGAAGGGGGTTATGATAAGGAAAGGCTCAAGACCTGCCTCAGAAGGAGTGAGCAGGGAAGAGCAGGACTGACTCCACTCAGTGCAGGATCCAGTACAAAATGAAGATGTGAGGCTTTTGTGCAAACAGCAGGAAAACATTACCTTTACAGGTACTAAAATGTAATGTTTTTCCTTTCTTCCATAGTGTCTTTCTCAACTTGTTATGGCTGTGTTTTTTATTTGCTACTTAATGCTGTTCTAACTAAAAACTTAAATGTTAAATTCCTATCATGCATTTTACTATTCATCTTTATATTGTGCAATTCCAGTTTTAAATGAAAATATGAGCACTTGGCCAGGCACGGTGGCTCACGCCTGTGATCCCAGCACTTTGGAAGGCCGAGGCTGGTGGATCACGAGGTCAGGAGATCAAGACCATCCTGGCTAACACAGTGAAACCCCATCTCTACTAAAAATACAAAACAAAAATTAGCCGGGCGTGGTGGCGGGCGCCTGTAGTCCCAGCTACTCGGGAGGCTGAGGCAGGAGAATGGCGTGAACCTGGGAGGCAGAGCTTGCAGTGAGCCGAGATCATACCACTGTATTCCAGCCTGGACGACAGAGCAAGACTCTGTCTCAAAGAAAAAAAAAAAAGAAAAAGAAAATATGAGCATTTACTCATGCAGAATCACCAAAATTACACAATTTGTATTTTATAGCTTATGTTTACATACTGTATGCATATGTATTTCGTTCTTGCCACAACAGTAGAAACACTGTACAAAACTAACTCAACTGTTACTGTTTCACTTCTTAGTATTTTCAGCATAAGTGGTTGGCTAACACAGGAATGTATATGAGTAAAAAAGGATATGATAGGGCTCCTTCATGAATGACATAGGTCATTCATGTTTCTTAGAATGCCATTGCCTTCTTTCTGTGTTTGAAGCCAGTCTGGTTCAGATGGGAAGTGCAGCCTGTTGGGGCTCTCAGCATCCCCCACTTACTCAGTTATAGATATAAGATGCTTACTTTGTACTCACTTTGAATCTCTTCGAGCTCTGACACATCATGGGTCCAATGGAGTTCTCTGCTCACAGGGGATCACAAAGGCTACATGTGAATGGGGCGGTAAGGAACACTGGATATATGTTGCACATGTCTCCTCCGCTCATGCATATATTCTGTTGTCCCATCAGACTTCACTTACAGAACACAGGTTCAAAGATAAAATACTGCCAGAAGAGCACTAAACTAAGTGTGAGGCCCTTCTGAGTATGGGCCCTGTGTGACTGCACAGGTCACCCACCCATGAAGCTGGCCCTGGTAAAGGAGGAGGGGAGCGCTTCTGGCAAAAGACCCAACAACAGGAGGTTAAGTGGGTTAAATTGGGAAAAAACACCCAGGAAATTTATGTTTTGAAACTAAAGCAATTAAAATGGAAATGGGCTATATTATAAATCAACTGCCCAGGAAAAAGACATTATGCTGGAGTCACAAAATGAGAATAAATGGCAGAATGCCTCATGATGCATCGATGTAGCTAAGATTGTACATAAAGTGCTACATCATCATGCTGCTTGCAGGGAAGTAAGCAAGCCAAAGATAGGAATGAAAAGGGGCAGCCTGCACCTGATAATCCACAGAATCTAGCCCTTAAAGCTGACATGCACCAATGCCACTAGAATCATGTGTAGAAAGTAAGATACCCAGATCCCCCTCCAGACATACTAAATCAAAATTGCCAGGAAAGGTTCCAGCCATCAAGATTTTTAATCAACTGAAGTGGTGACAATGATGCTCACCAAATCTGAAATTTGTTACTTAATGGGTCTGGGTGGTTTTGCTTTTATTGCATGGAGAATAATTCAAAATCTGTTTTTATTCCAGTAAAGCATATATAATGACTAGAATAGAAGGACCAAGGGACCTTTTTAGTTTCAGCATAAATGCGTGTATTTTTCTAAACCTTTTATTATGGAGAGTTTTTAACATTTACAAAGATAGAAGAGCATAATGAATCCCCATGTATCCATCATCCAGGTTCATCAATTGTCAACTCATGACCAGGCATGCCGTAGGTAGACCCATATTTACTCCTTCAGTTTTGTTTAAATAATTCTATTCAATTTATCTATTGGTTTTTACACTACACTGCTTTATGTTTTAGCAATTGCTCTAAAGATTATAACTTTTTTCTGTCCAATAGCCATTCAGAGAGTCCCTGGTAGCTATATTTGTCTAGTAAAGTCTGGCCCCTTCATTACAGTTAATTGGACACGAAGTGGATTTCCAATTCAAGTTGACTGTGCTCTTACCCTTGGGATCTTGAGATGAATTTCCCTATTTTTTTTTTTTTTTTTTTTGAGACAGGGTCTCACTCTGTTGCCCAGGCTGGAGTGCAGTGGCGCAATCATGGCTCACTGCAGCCTTGACTTCCTGGGCACAAGCAATACTCCCACCTGTTTCTCAAGTACCTGGGACCAGAGGCACACGCCACCTGGTTAATATTTTTATCATTATTTATAGAGATGCAGTCTCCCTATGTTGCCTAGACTTGTCTTGAATTCCTGGGCTCAAGCAATCCTCCCACCTCAGCCTCCCAAAGTGCTGGGATTAGAGGCATGAGCCACAACACCGAGCCAGATATCCTTCTTTGGCTTAAGCAACCCAGACTGGATTCTGTTTTTCCAGCCATGCATTCTCTTGTTAACACACATGGCCTCCATTATGGAGTTAATTGTGGCCATTAAAAAAGCTAATATATAGTTGAGAATTCAGGAAGGTTAGCTCCTCTTTTGCCCCTTTGTTTCCAGCCATTGACTTTCTATATTACCTATCTTGCCCTGCTCTCCTGAACCACTCTCTCTCTCCAAAACTCCAGCTTGGTCTCCTCCTGTGCTGTTACACCTAGAGTTTCCTCCCAAGGTCCAGCTCCAGTCCACCTCCACCTCAGGGTTCTGGGAAGCCCTAGCCCACAAGGAGAACCCTCCTTGAGGTGAAGTGCTTCATGCCAGTACCACTCAATTAACTTTTGGTCACCTTGCCTCTGTCCTCTGTGTCTTCAGTGTGGAGATGGTATATTAATCCATTCTCACATAGCTATAAAGAACTACCTAAAGCTGGGTAATTTATAAAGAAGAGAGATTTAACTGACTTGAAGTTCTGCAGGCTGTACAAGAAGCATAGCTGGGGAGGCCTCAGGAAACTTACAATCATGGCTGAAGAGGAAGGGGAAGGGGAAGCAGGCACATCTTACATGGCTGGAGGAGGAGGAAGAGAGTGAAGGGGGAGGGCTACACACTAGTAAGCAACCAGATCTCGTGAGAACTCACTATCACAAGAATGGCAAGGTGGAAATCACCCCCATGATTCAATCAATCACCTCCCACAAGGCCCCTCCTCCAACATTGGGGATTACAATTCGACATGAGATTTGGGCAGGGACACAAATGCAGACCACATCAGATGGGGACTTCATGTTACTCTGGAAAATCCATTGCTACTTAGTATGGAACCCCATGAAATATTAATAAACCTAAAATCAGTTAATACATAATCTTGTGCTAAATCAAGAACTGCTTCATACTTCAGGATAGACCAGTAGGAACAGACAACAAGCAAAATTGAGAAAAAAGTAAAAATGCTGTTAATTTAAATGTTTATGCAAATTATGAAAAGATAGTCACTACTTTATTTTAAAGGCAGGATACCTAAGGTCAGCCCACAGACCATCCCTGTCATAAAACTGCCATAATGCAAGATGTTAGCAATGTTCCAATGTCTTGGCATCCAAACATTGTCTCCCAGACTGCCTCTTGCCACTTACTAGCTGTGGCTCAAAACTCTTATCGGACAGTGTACCTTTGTGGTTCTGAAAATGGGATCTTTGTAAACTCACATCCTTATGTTTCCTATAGCTCTTAGCACCCAGGCCTTGTCCAATACCATCCTTGATAAATGTAGCGAGCATTATGAAAGAAACCATCTCTCTGGATGCTTTCAGTATCCAACCAACTACATAATCTCACATGGATAAAATCTTCTGTGAACAGGATTCCCAGGTGATAAGGGTGAAGAGCAGTAGTGAAGACCAGCCAGAGGGTGACATGGTGAAAACATATACCACCACCACAAGAACTGAAATGCTGCTTTTTAAAGCATTATTGTAAGGTGGATTTAGCTGTTAAACAGGTGTGTTCTGCCATGGCATGTATTGTAATCACAGGGTTATACTCACAGGTCTGATGTGGACTCTGCTGAGGAGAGACTGTATCTTCTAGGTGGGATATGTCAAGAGAGAAGAGTGTATATTTGACAGTATTGACTTCACATAGAATTCTCCTTTGTGGACAAGAATTCCCAAGACTCAGAGCACAATGTAGACATAGTGTATTAGTCCATTTTCACGCTGCTGATAAAGACATACCCAAGACTGGGTAATTTTTTTAAGAAAAAGGTTTAATGGACTTACAGTTTCACGTGGCTGGAGAGGCCTCACAATCACGGCAGAAGGCGAAAGGCACATCTTACATGGTGGCAGGCAAAGAGAGAATGAGAGCCAGGTGAAAGGGGAAACCCCCTTATAAAATCAGCAGATCTTGTGAGACTTATTAACTACCATGAGAACAGTAGGGTGGAAACCATCCCCATGATTCAGTTATCTCCCACTGGGTCCCTCCCACAACATACGGGAATTATGGGAGCCACAATTCAAGATGAGATTTGGGTAGGGACACAGCCAAACCATATCACATAGTTTCTTAGACATTGTTTGATCATCTTGATGGAGGAAACTGCAGTCCAAAGCAATTTTATACAAAACTAAATTTAACATAAAACTTCCTGTGTACAAAATGAATAAACAGCAACAAAGTACATATAAAGGTATATTCTCTCAGACCTGTGCTAATACATAGCCATAAACTAAAATAAAAATTTAAAATTCATTCCTCAATCTCCAGCCACATTTCAAGTATTCAGTAATCACATATGTCTAGTGGCTACCATATTAGTTATATATAGAACATTTCCATCATCACAGAACGTTCCACCAGGCAGCCTTAGTTAGAGCAAGCACGGCTTGTTTTATATTATAATTTTCAGAATAATTCTGGTGAAAAGCCATTTTATACTATGCTATAGTCAACAAAGAATAAGGATATTTACCTAATCTTAAGACTTTTTTTTAACCTAAAACACAACATCCTTTTCTACTTTACATATTACTTTTGCAGCCATGGCTCATAGGAAAAGCCAAGGATGAGTTAGCCTGCTGCTACCCATTTTAGCTGCAGAGTGGGCTGTGCAGGTTCTGAGCTTTCCCCATGTGATAGTCAAAGACCCCAAGGCAGCCCCAGCCTCTCTAGGTCTCTGCACAGTCTCCAGTGTGGAAAGCTGTGGGAAAGGAAGGAGCAGGTTCTAGGTCTTCAGGATTTTCTGCATCTTAAAGCAGCTCATCTCCTTTGCCCTCCTAGGGAGCAGGGGGGCCTAGCTTTGGGATCGTCCTCCTAGCCTCAGAAATAATTGTTCAAGAAATAACATTTCTCACACAAAGGATAAATGTTTGAGGGGATGGATACCCCATCTTCCATGATTTGATTATTACACATTGCATGCCTGTATCAAAAATCTCATATATACACCTACTATGTACCCACAAAAATTTAAAATTTAAAATTAAAAACAAAACAAAACAAAACATGTTTTGAGGTAACTGGTACTCCTCTGAAGACCAGCTAGGTTAATCTTTCTTCCACAGCATAAAGACTAGAAAAGAATATGTCCCTAGGGCAGGGGCATAAACAGCCTGAACATAGTTGAGTGTAAAGGAGAAACCCCATCCCTCAAGCAAAAGCTTCAAGTATGGAACACACTAAAGACAAGATTAAACCTCTGGAAAAACAGCTTACCTTTACCAAGGCCCCAGCGCCCAGCTTTATACTTTTCAACTTTATTTTGAAAACGAGGCCATCTCATGGGACAGAGACGGTGATATGGATGGTACTTGAGGGTTTGTGTTTAAGTGCCTGGTGGTTCCAGGCCACATCTGCTACCACACGTGGTTCTAGACCCTGGCTACACAGGTTCTGGGACATGGTGTTGGGGCTCTAGAATGTATGTTTATTGAGCAACTCAGTGTTCATCAGAAAAAACTCAAATTTCCTGTGAAAATTAGATTCTAAAATAGATGGCTGTGGCCTTAATAACTATCTTCACAAACCATGTTTTTAGGCCATTAAAAAATGGTAATCCGTCTTCAATATAATATCAGAAACAGAATTCAAGCACAAGACAAATTCAAAAATCTGTCTTACATTTGTTCACAAACACAAGTCCATATAGTTTAACCCAACAGTGAACTTCTATATGTGTGTGTATACACACACAGATAGATTGACCAATAGATAGATAGATAGGTTTAGAAAGTTCTAAATTACCACAACCCTTAGAATTTCAGGCAATTTTTTCTTCCAAAGACATAAATATTATTTTTTCATAACACCTGCTGACAGAGGGATAGCTAGCTGGATTAGAGTTCACTTCCTTCTATTGAGGTGGCATTTCTGAGGATGTGTTGCATCTCTGTGAATGAGCTCCTTTAATTCTCACAACATTCCTAATCGCATGCCTAATCATCTAAGCCAAGAAAGCCTCTGAAGTTGACTGAATTGCTCTATTCTGTAGCCAGTTTACCACCTGCTGCTGTGTGCTGAGTTCCAGTAAAATCACCTTGTCTAAATAAGTGTATCATCAAGGATCCCTCTTTTCAGGGACTGGATAAAATGGCTACAAGAACTGTCCCAGGCAGCCAGCTCTTCCTGTATAAATACCACGTTTTTATTCAGTTCTTATTTGAAAATTGCGATTTAAAAAACTATAATTATTCCCTTGGGTACATGACAAGTGTTTTTTTGGAAAAGCAACTTTATTTCCTAGCCCATTGCCCTGCCCAAAAGCATCTGGCTGTTCCCCAGTGGGATCGCTCTCCCCAAAGAGCAGTGAGGGCTTAAAAGCATTTTTAGGCAGATACTATTAGGGGCGAAGTCTCTCTCTGAAGGGAAACAAAATTTTTGGTTAGTTTTCTGAAAGAGAAAAAGCCAAACCCTCTGCTTAGCTGGGCCAACTGAATAGTCCACATACTGCAGTGACCTCTCATAGTTCAGGAAAACTGCTGCTGACACAGAGGAACACAAGGCCCCCTATTACCTTGTGGCTCATTTAATGTGCTACCTGTAACATGCTAT
This sequence comes from Homo sapiens, assembly GCF_000001405.40. NCBI lineage: Eukaryota > Metazoa > Chordata > Mammalia > Primates > Hominidae > Homo > Homo sapiens. The sequence goes on along the minus strand of NC_000018.10, from coordinate 36,787,146 downwards.
GCATGCCTCTGGAATATCTTTAAATTCTGAACCAAGACCCATGTATTCCTATTTCCATCTGCACCAGATAACTTATAATATCAAAATGAATAGAAGAAAATGTGTTCACTGGAAACTGGCTGTTGAGCCCCTCCAATGGGAGCTGAGGAGCTGTGTCTCTGCAGGCATGGGGACTGGCCACAAGCAAAGAGTCAGCAGCATGAAGCCCCGGAGCTGTAGCGTGTGCAGCAGGCGCCAATCCAACAGCATGGGAACAACAGTGTCGCAATCATTCCTCAGTTATGGCAAGAATGTGCTATTTTTCACTGTTAGGTGTTGCTTCTGAGAACTACAAATAAAACTCTCCAACCAAGTGAACAGACTCTCTGCTGGCCAAGGGGACTCCAGAGAACCTTAGAAACTGAGTTTCTGACCATAACAGGATGGGAGGTCAGACACACCTCATCATACCCCCTCCCTTTTGTGGTTTTAGACACAACAACTGATCAGCATTGATATTAAAAGAGAGATCATAAGACTGACGGAACAACTTTGTGACAATAAGATACCAAATAATAAACAGGATCTAAAGCCATGTCAGCCAAGGGTTAAGTCATGCACCCCTCCCTACACTTAAAGAATAAAACAATTGGCCAGGCGCAGTGGCTCAGGCCTGTAATCGCAGCACTTTGGGAGGCCGAGGCGGGTGGATCACAAGGTCAGAAGATCGAGACCATCCTGGCTAACATGGTGAAACCCCGTCTCTACTAAAAATACAAAAAAATTAGCCGGGCGTGGTGGCAGGCACCCGTAGTCCCAGCTAGGAGGCTGAGGCAGGAGAATGGCGTGAACCTGGGAGGCAGAGGTTACAGTGAACCGAGATTGCGCCACTGCATTCCAGCCTGGGTGACAGAACACCACCAGACGCTAACTGACCCCTTATTCTATCAGCCATAACCATGCTTTGATTGGACAAGACATTTATTTCTGTAACTTTCTCCTGGTAAAAGACCACCAACCATGGACTGGTTCTGGTCAGTTTCACAGAGGCTGCATACTTGAGTGCCTTCCTGTCTCTGCTTCACCTTTTGATGTATAGGGCTTAATGGTAATACATTTAAAAGTCTCCACCCCTAAGAGAACATGGGCCATATGTAACACGTTTTTTCAGTACACATGCGTTAGGACCACCTTCATAAATATTCATAGCTTCTCCTGTAACTGTTGAGTATGTATACTTGGCCAACCCATTCAGCATAAATCCCTGTTCTACCCTCCTGTCCCTCAAAGTGCCTGTCTTTTGGTTGACCCTTTATAAGAAATAGTTTCCTCTCCAGAGTTACAGATCCTATGATTTTTTTGTTGACACTTCTAATTATCCAGCCTATATAATTTTCCTATACATATAATGCTGTAGTTTTAAATGACAAAACATTCTGGAATCATTGTCACTAATCCAGTAATTAGGAACAGTCTCTACTGTCAACAACTGAACTGTGTTTGAAGTACAAATTCCCCAAAATCCTAAATCTTAACTTCCTCAAGTGGATCATCTTAAACAAAAATTATTCTTAAAGACAATAGTGCTCATTAGGAGAATAAAATGGGCTTGGCCCTCCCTCGAGAAAGTATCAGCAATCCAAATAACCTCTCACCATATCCATTCACCAATCAGAGTGGGAAATGACTCTATCATCAAAGCACAAAAAAAGATTTTGCACTTCTGAACCTTTCCGATTGGTGCTGAACCTACATACACGGATGAATGGGTGGATGTGGGATGGATGACCAGTTATGTATAATTGATGAGAAATTTGTACATGACTGCCAACCTTGAACAAAATTTTCAGCGTTCAGGAAATTTTTTTTTGAGACAGAGTTTCACTCGTTACCCAGGCTGGAGTGCAATGGCGCGATCTCGGCTCACTGCAACCTCTGCCTCCCTGGTTCAAGTGATTCTCCTGTCTCAGCCTCCTGAGTAGCTGGGATTACAGGTGCATGCCACCACGCCCAGCTAATTTTTGTATTTTTAGTAGAGATGGGGTTTCATCATATTGTTCAGGCTGGTCTCCAACTCCTGACCTCAGGTGATCTGCCCACCTTGGCCTCCCAAAGTGCTGAGATTACAGGGCATGAGCCACCACGCCTGACCAGGAAAATTTTAAGGTACAGTGCTTCAACCCTGTACACGACTAGGCCTCCAGGAGTTTTCAACTTGGTCAAGGTAGGACTGGCTGGCTCCCAAGTCAGTCAGCCCAGTCAGACTGGGCTGCATATTTTGTGCCCCAAAGCATAGCTGACTATTGATATTCAACTAGCAGCTGTCTTAAGGTTTCTAAAAGAACAAGAAAATAACCAGGAACTAGTGAGACAAGCCAGTATATATCACGTCTTATCTTCTGTCATTGGAGAGTTATTCAATATGTCTCATCCTCAGTTTCTTTATATGAAAAATGAAAATGCAGAGTGGCTATAAGGATTCTATTAAATATGAAGTGCTCACACAGAGATGGCTTCAATAAATAATATTTTAGCTATTTTTAGAAATCACTTAGAAAGTCCATTTTCCCTCCACAAATTGTCTAGCAAACACAACTGATTTTTCTACCAAATAGACCACCTTTTTTGACAAACTGAATGGTGCATTTTAATATCATATACCTTCACTGCATTTGCAAAGGCATTTCATCCCCTATCTTAGGCAATTTGGTATTATTTGTACTTATCTGATAAAATGATTTCTGATTTTAAAAATCTAGATATGGCTGCAGAGTGGTAGATGAATTAAAATTTTAATTTCAGTAGATGACTCCTTCCCAGGCCCCAGGAAAGGGCCCTAAGGGAAGGACCATGACTCTCCTTTTTCCCAGATGAATCCCAAGTGCCTGGCGCACAGTTACCTCCATAACGGGTGCGCGGTGCACATTTGGGATGGTTGTATCATTTCTTAGAGGATACCGTGAGGAATCACCACAAGCTTGGTGGTTTATAACAACAGAAATTTATTTTATCATATTTCTGGAGGCTAGCAGTTCAACATTAGTTTTATTGAGCTAAAATCAAGGTGTCGAGCGGCTGTGCTATTCCTGGAGGCTCCAGGGCAGCACCTATTCCTTGCCTTTTACAGCTCTTGGTGGCTGCCAGTGTTTCATGGTTTGTGGCCATGTCACTCCAATTTCGTCTGTCTTCACGTTGCCTTTAGTGTGTATCAAATCTCACTCTGCCTTTCTCTTATAAGGGACACTCATGACTGGGTTTAGAGAATACCCGGATGATCCAGGATAATCCCCATATATCAGGATCCTTAATTTAATCACATTTGCAAAGACCCTTCCTTAGAAGGTAACATTTCTAGGTTCCAGGGATTAGGACCTGCTACTGTTAGATGGCTGTCATTCAACCTGTTACAGTGGTATTTGGTGATACACCATCTTAGGTGTATCTATGAACACAGAAATAGTGGATTTGGGAGCCATGGACAATGTGGAGACCACTCACAGACCAGGAGCCTGGAAACTAAGTCTCCTACTCCTGGCCCCTGTTCTTCCCCCTGCACTGTGTTAACAATGGACTTGGAAGAAAACGAATCTGGGTCACTGGCCCTCCAAGGCCCTGTGCACCCTCCCACTCCATCCCCAGATCATTAAGTTGTTTTTTAAACAGAAAGAAAAAAACCTTAATATTCCAAAGAAACCCAAATCCAGACACCTTTGAAAAGTGTTGCCTTTCTTTTCTGGCGGTTTTGTAATTTCAATACATACTAGGACATAAGTGCTAAGACACAGGGGCAAGAACACCTATGGTAATTACCAGGCAGATGAGGAATAGTATCTTACAAGTGTAAGGTACTATTCACTTTCATGCTTCTTGAAGGTCTTTTAGAAAAATTTAACATCCTGAATTAAAAATTGCTCATAGAGGCTGTCAGAATGAGTGGCATCAAGAGAGGGGAAACAAGCAACAGGAAACATCCTTTAGTTTCACTAAAAACTAATGAACCACTAAGTTTAACAACGCAAATTGATTTTTCTTATAGGCTCTTTTAGGCCTTTTTGATGGATCTAGTCCTCCGGTGGATTTAAATAATCCAAGAGGAAGAACAGGAATCCGGAGCAGAAGGTTCTAGAGCTCCCGGGACTCACTGGCACACCCCGACTGCTCCTTGACATTTGTGGACAGGGCTCTGGGTTCACCTCTGTCCCAGCATGTCTGTCCTGCCACTGAGCTGGCAGGCATTTCCGAGGGTGAAGAAAAAAGAGAGAAGTGGCAAGAGCTGGCCCTTTATACCACTTCCGATGTTCCTCCCATGTTACTGGGCATTTTTCAAACGTTCATTTCATTTCCAAATGTTTAGTGAGGGACTCAATTGCTGCCGCCTCCTGGCTTTCAGGGCAGGCAAGGAAGCGGCAGAGATGTCTGGGCACACAGTGTGAAGGCAGCTTTGCTCAAACATGTCCTAGTTGATCAGTTAATTGATAGTGATTAAAAACCAGCTCTGCCTTGGGGAATTATTACTGGTTTTGCGAAGTTCTCAAAAACATCATCTTCAGTCTCTAACTCCCACTCCATCTCCCCACCAAAAAAAGAGAGAGAAAAAAAATACCCAGTGATTTCCAAACCTATCTTCACATTAGAATCGGGGGGAAGGAGATGAGAAGATCTTTTAAATGTTCCAAAGTCCAGGCCACACTTCACACCAATTAAACCACAATCTCTGGTGGAGGGACAGAAATATCAGTAGTTCTTAAAGCATCCAGGTGAGTCCGATGTGTAGATTGGGCTGGGAATCACCACCCTATCTTATTCTCATACTGCAGTGGCACTATTCAAGATGCTGGGCCCAATAAAAGAGACCCTTTTTACTTAGCTGAAAGCAAGAAATTAGTTGACCTTGCTTGCTGCTTCTGTGAACTTTTTGATCCCTAAAACAAAATTAAGATTAGGTTTATTCAATCACTTCCTTCTAAATATGACCTTCCATTCTAAAGCAACAACTCAGCAGAATACCAAGGACCCTCAGGAGGACATTGACATATTTGTTCACTAAACAGTGTGACAAAAATACAGCTTCCTTTTGTCTGTGCATCATTATCTCATGTCATACAAACATTCCAAATCTGCATTCAGTGCCAAGCAATAGGCGAACACTCTCACAAACTATTAAACCATAAGTGGAATATTGTACCTGTTATTTAGAAGCATATGGAAAATGACTATTAATACCCTATGTATTCTTTTCAATAAGGTGATTAAACACAACCGTCTATAATGTACAGACCCAACTCTCGCAAGTTCCAGGCTCTCCTGGGGTGTTCACATCCATCATGTACTATTTGACAAATGTCTGCTTCAACAAGCTCCCTGTCTCCGTAAGTGGGGTTAGAGCAGAGAGGGGAACACAGGCACAGAGGCCTATGGGGAAAATATAGTCTTTGGCTTTTTAAGCAATGCTACTGCACATTGCCTATAAATCACATATCCCCAGGTTCAGGAATGCAGAGTCGCAGAGGCTATTTTATTTTTTTGGAGACAGAGTCTCACTCTGTCACCAGCTGGAGTGCAGTGGTGTGATCCTGCAACCTCCGACTCCCTGATTTAAACAATTCTCCTGCTTCAGCCTCCCGAGTGACTGGGATTACAGGGATGTGCCACCACACCCAGCTAATATTTATATTTTTAGTAGAGACAGGGTTTCACCATGTTGGCCAGGATGGTCTCGATCTCCTGACCTCGTGATCTGCCCACCTCGGCCTCCCAAAGTGCTGGGATTACAGGCGTCAGCCACCGCACCCGGCCTACAGAGGTTTTAAAAGTAGGACAAAGGTGGAATTAGTGACCTGATGATTTTTCAACCCCTCGAAATACCTGCTGCAATGGTTTACCTTTCCCTGTTTTCAGAGACAGAGGTTCCTCACAGGGAACCATGTGACCCCAGGCCAAGGGGCTTCCGTGGAGGGTATGACCACCATCTGGGTCTCAGACCCCTCAGTATTGCTCTACAGTTGCTGAGAGCCCCTCCCAGTGCCTTCCCATCTGATCTCAGCTGTTGATGACCTGCGCTTGAAAAGCATGCATAGTAATGTGCCACAGAACAGTGATTTGGTTCACTATAGACCACATATATGCCAGTGGTCCCATAAGATTATAATGGAGCTGAAAAATTCCTATCACCAGTGACATTGTAGCTGTCATAATGTCATAGTGCACTGCATTACTCACGTGTTTGTGGTGATGCTGGTGTAAACAATTTATGCTGCCAGATGTATAAAAGTGCACAGTAATGTCCCAGGCCTTCACATTGACTCACCACTCACCTGCCCAGAGCAGCTTCCAGTCCTGCAAGCTCCATTCATAATAAGTGCCCTATAGAGGGGCACCTTTTATCTTTGATACTGTATTTTTACTCTACCTTTTCTATGTTTAGGTATATTTACAAACACAAATACCGCTGTTACAACTGCCTACAGTATTCAGTCAGTGACATGTTCTTACGGATTTGTGGCTTAGGAGCAACAGACTGTATCATATAGCCTAGGTACATAATAGGCTGTACCATCTAGGTTTGTGTAAGTATAGTCTATAATATCTGCACAATGATGAAACTGCCTAACAACACATTTCTCAGCACATATCCCCATCATTACGTGATGCATGACTATACTAAGCATGCGATTCTGAGGCTCTCTGTACACAAAGCTTTACATTTCCATTTTGTTTTGGTGATTTAGTAAATTTTTTGAGAAAATGAATTTTGACATAAGAGGCCAATGAGTGAGTTGTGGAATAGTTCAGATTTGTAAACTGCTGCTCTCATTTTTGCTTCCATATCAGGATGGGGCAAAACAAACCACACAGGTAAGGTGATAGATGTTAGGTTAACAACAGCTAACACGTCCTGTAACAAGGACTTAGGCCCAATTATAAAAGGAGTTTCAAAGAGCACACTGTTGATGTTACTCACTCTATTAACAAAATACAGCCCAAAGGATCTGAAGGCCGTTCCAAGCGAGGGTGCTTCTGAGGACACTGAGAAGAGTTTTGCCATTCTGAAGAGGCGAGCCTGTGGAACTGTTTAAGGTCCTGTTCCCAGAAGAATAAAAGTTTCTCATTATGGCATTAAACTCTATTTATTTAGTATTTGAAACATGGTGTACATGTATGTATTTGTATAAACATTTGTTACATCTAAAATCCACAACAGGTAAACAATCTGTGCTTTCTTTTGTGTACAAGTTTGGGGTTTACATCTGGATATTTTGGTGTTGTGGAGACTCAGTCTGTGAAGCTAATCAGATTGCCTCATATTACCATAATAACTGTGACAGAAGTGATTTGCTCCTTAAAGGGGCTGTTCCTTGCCCAGAAAAGGTGTCACACTTTTGAACTAATAAACCGGGTGTCACGGAATCAAGAGAAACACAGCTGACACGATGGAGAAGGTATGTGCAGGGGACTCCTGGAGATCCAAGTCAATGCGTAGCAGGCAACACAAGCCATGGGGTGACGCTGGGAATTGAGCTCTCCCTTTTCAAACTGTTGGATGTGAATATCAAGTCTCCCCAACCCCACCTGGAGGGGTTTCATCCAGCAAGAGCTTGCCTTCTGCTCAGCACACTCCTGGGAGTAACCTATGAGTGTCACAGCTGCAACTCCGAGGTGCCAACCAAGCCCAGGGCTCTGGCTTCTTCTGGGGTCAGGCCGCTCTTCAGGGTTCTTCGCACTGCAGTGGTGGTGCAGGTCACACCCAAAGGGATGAGAAGAAAAGGAAGTATGAGCAGCAAGGCACAGGGCAGTCAAGACTCCAGTCCCCCCTTCTCCCCAGGGACTTCCAGAGAAGCCAGAGGGTTCACACTCTGTACCTTCCTGCTCTTGCTGAAGTGCCCTGCAGTCTGTCTGCCAGGACAAAAGTTTGGGGCTACACAGGCTGGCCTAACAATGCCACAGGTGCTGATTTGGAGGGCCGAGAGGAGTGATGCGGGCACTTATAAAGAGGAGAGAAAGGAGGAGAGGCTCACCCTCACGAGGCTTCTGAGAAGGGGGTGAACTGCAGAAGTGCAGAGGGCAGGAGAGACCTCAGCATCTACCCAGTATGAGGAGTGTATCAGAGCTGGGAAGGTGATTCCAGAGCAGGGGAAAATGCAAGCTCCACTAATACAAATGAGGTGAGGCAACCAGTGCACAGCGAGGGGTTCCACAAGACCCAACAACCTCACAAATCCAACAGACGACCAACAATAGCTGGGGACATGCTCAAGACCCACAGAGCAAGTGCATGAAGCCAGGGCAAGGGGCAGCAGTGAGGACAAATCTCTCCATGAGTACTGTGGGTCTTAGCCTCAACTCACTAAAAGGCCTCTAGAGACAATAATTAAAATAACCAGTGGCTCCTCGAGGAATGGAGGCTAAGGAGCAAACTGCCAAACTTATTCTGGCTGGAATTGGTGGCTGTTTTCTATGGAACACACAAGACTCAAGAATGGCCAATGACCACTCTCACTGGGGGGTTGCAGTTGGCAACTGGAGGGATGCTCATATTTAACTGACTTAGAATTGGCTTGTGTTTAGCTTGGCATGATGGTATTCCCATTGTTTAGTATTTCAATTTCAACATCAAAATAAAGGCTGGATAAGGGTGAATGAGGAGGTAGCTGCCTCACCCAAGACAAGTCTTCATTTGAAAGGGTGGCTAATTACATTTTCCTTAATTTACAAATTGTATTTGACCCACTGTGTATTTCTTTAAAGTTCGCACAGAGTTTGGGGTATTCATTTTCAGAAGAGAAACGTTATGGATCTGCCTTCACCCTAAATCCCTAAATCAGCCAGAGTTCCTGAGATGACCAGGGCAGGCTGTTGATCAAAGTTCAGAGAAAGTAAGCTCACCTTAATGTCTCCCCAGTTCCTTTGCCAACTCCCCTCATCTACTCCCCAGAGGCCAGGGCCCACCTCATGCATCTGCAGGCCACACCCCATGGTCTATGCCTTCCCATCATCCCCTAAATATAAGCTCACTCAGCCTGTGGACAAAAGATCTGAAAGACCTATGTCCATGGCAGAATCAATGGGGACTAATACCTATTATGAAAATAAAGGGCTCCTTCTCTTCCAGGAATCAGCACTTGGAACAGGGGTCAACATAATATCCATCAATTGGTCAACCAACAAATGATTTATTGAGAACCCATTGTGTGCTCAGCATTTAACTCAAAGAATCAAAACACAGACATCAAGTATGGGTTTTTAGAGAGACATGGGATATGTGGTGAGGGGTTCTCTCAAATCGTGTTACTGCAACTACTGTATTTCCAAGCCTACCTTTGGGCCCTGAAGCAATCTATCTGTAGCTGTTCTTGCACTAGCTCCTCTTTCCCCCACCCCTGATCCCTTGGCCTCCAGACTGAATGTTTGGCTCAACAAGACAAAATGTTTGGCTCCTAAGTCTCAGCTGGAGACAGATTACATTCAACTGAGCAACAGAATTTGTTCTATGGGGCAGCAATAAAAATACTAGTTTGTAATAACCTTTTATGTTCTTTAAAGACTCCTTAGAGTGTTTGTTAAAGAAAGATAATTTTAACAACAGTAAATAAGATAAAATATCTCTCTTGACAAGAAAGACCTCTTGCTGCAACTTCTTAACCAAGATACAAAATACTTCCTTAAAAAGTCCATGCTGGCCGGGCACAGTGGCTCACACCTGTAATCCCAGCACTTTGGGAGGCTGAGGCAGGTGGATCACTTGAGGTCAGCAGCTTGAGACCAACATGGTGAAACTCCATCTCTACTAAAAATACAAAAATTAGCCAGACATGGTGGCACACATCTGTAGTCCCAGCTACTCGGGAAGCTGATGCAGAGAATTGCTTGAACCTGGGAGGCGGAGGTTGCGGTGAGCCGAGATGGTGCCACTGCACTCCAGCCTGGGTGACAGAGCGAGGCCCCATCTCAAAAAAAAAAAAAAAAAAAAAAGAAAAAGAAGAAGAAGTAGTTCATGCTGCACTAGCTGGGCATCTTAAAATTTCACCAGCCACAGAAGGTGGTGTGGACATCAGTCTATGAATCTTTGTCCATTTAGGTATATATTGTGGCTGAATGACTACAGAAGACCCCACAGATATTTTACCCATGAAGGTATTTAAAGATGCTTAACAATTCTGTTTGCACATTTGCTTTAGTCCTGTAACTGCTCAGTTCAGTTGATATAAATATTAATACTCGAATAAGGGCCCGGTCACCTTACAGCTCATGTAACAATCTTTTAATAGCTTCGGACATTGAGCCAGCCTATCTGGGACAGGCTCAGAGAACAGAACTAAAGGTACCTTTATGGGTCTTGCTACCTGACAGCACAGAGCCTGTGCCCTCTCCCTCGTGGGTCTACTCATGGTTTGGATATTCCAGACCCCTTGGGATGCTGCTTCACCCTCTGGTCTGGGCTCATGTGTCCTCTGCTGTGAGGGAAAAGCCAACATAGGCTTCATTCCCTTAGCTTGCCAGATGTATCCCTGAAAAGCGAGTATTCATGGAAAAGTCTTCCCCATTTATGAAATTCTACTTTCTGTGGACCTCCATGGCAATTTGAAAAAAATTCTCTTAGATATATGTTATCCCCTTGGTGTAATGAAAAATACCTGAGAATCTGAAACCTTCCCTTTGTTAGCCAAAGTTAATTCACCTCACCACTTGAAAGACCACGTGAAATGAAAGTAATCAGCTAAAATCAGTCTTACACCCAATTCAAGTCACACGCGACAAGAGCCCCTTTGGGTGTTTGGTCAACCATCTGTCTGCTGGTCAGTTTCTTTGCCATTCATCAAACATCATGTACATGTACACCCTGAGCCTCTGCGATGGGAGCCTCTGGGGAGAAAGGCAGGGGCCTGATGGGGACACAGTGTGGGGAGAAACACTCAGGGCAGCAGATGGGGTCCAGCCAGGGAGCTGGCTCTCAGAAAGTTTCCAGAAAGCAAAAAAAAAAAAAAGGCTGGGGACATAAGAGAACAAAACAAGGGGGCCAGCAAACAGGTGCTGGCAGGGTATGAAATGGTACACAGCAAACTTCCACAGCAGAAACAACTCTGCCACCCAGTAGAGAGGCTTCTCCAGCACTGTGGCAAGGTCGGCTGGCTGCGGATGACACCTGGGCCTCTCCCGACTCCTCATTTCCACTTCCCACTCAAATGCTCCAGCTGAATCAAAGCTGCTCTCCAGCCTTTCCCACGGGACGGCCTCCCCTCAAAGCTCATAACAGAGAACAGACTGGAAATGTTTATCCCTGTCTGCCTTGCAACTCTGCCATAGATGGCATGGGTCACTCTGAAGGCACCAGCAGCCACACTGCACCCCAGGCCCTGGTGACAGTTCTCACGGTGTCAAAGTGATGGTGGAAGAATCTGATGTGGGGTGCCTCTGCTGCCAGCATGCAGCACAGGACTGTCTGGGGACTCAGGAAAAACACCCAAGTTCTTTTTCTTCCTCCCTAGAAATGAAAACATTAAAAATTCCCACAAAGGGCTCACAGGTGACTCTACTAAGATGAGTCGCATCCGAGAACAATGGCAATGGCAGCCACCATTTACTGAGTGTTTACATGGGTTGTTTCACTTAATCTTTATGGAAACACTGTGAGATGGGAACTCTTGTTATATCTTCAATAAGTGAGCAAACCCGGACCAGAGAACCTGGTCACTGGCCCAGGGCTCACACTTAGTGGTAGAGAAGGGTTTGAGCCGACTTTGGATCACAGTCCACACTGGAAACAGCTGTGCCCTGCCGATGCTTGGCAGGACAGTTCCTGACCATCTTTCACATCAACAGGAAATCGACCCAACTTTACTTTCAGGTGACAGAAATCCATCTGTGCGCTTTCACCTTTGCAGCACTGAGAGATGTTATTTCGGGGTTTTTTTGCACATAATTATCAAGTGTAATTTGAAAATCGTTTTTTGGTTTTTTAATCCCAAAGATCCCAAAGATTTTCTACCAGGTGTACTGGGAGCAATGTGTCTAGGAGTCTAGTTGACTAACATCAGAACTTCAAGATGCCTTAAATGTCCATGTCTTGTGGCTGGGAGGTCCCGGGCTTGGCCACTGTTCAACACCGTCCATTCACGCCCTCCTTGTTCTGAGTGGACGTAAAACGGCAGGGCCAGATGTGCTCCCTAGGACTTCCTTTTTTTCCACATAAAATCCTGTCCATTATATGCACAGCCTTCCCAAATGGAAGGATGTTCTACAAAATAACTGGCCGGTAATTTTCAAAAATACCAAGGTCACAAAGTGTCCTCACAGATTAGAGGAGACTAAGCAGACATGAGGGCTAAATGCAATCTGGAATCCTGGGTAGGATCGTAGAGCAAAAATAGGACCTTCGTGGCAAAACTGGTGAAATCTGAATAAAGCCTACAGTTCGGTTAATAGTACTGTACCAGTTTGAATTTCCTGGTTTTGCTAAATTGTCCTACTATTTTTGCAACTTTTCTGTAAGTCTTATATTTTTTCAGAATAAAACGTTGAAGCGATAAAACCCAGAACAACAACAAAAAGCAGACATTCCCAAATCTAGTTGACTGAAATTCAATTTCTTGGACTCACCCCAGACACACTGAGCAAGAGTCTTGGGGAGAGGCTCAGGCACTGCATTTGAACCTTCCCTGGGTAATCAGATGTCCAGGTTTGGGGCCCCTCACTTAAATCACTGTCATCTGAGATGCAGGAAAAGGCGGGGTTTTCAGGACAGTGACAGTCTGTGGTGACAAGGTTGAAGTCTCCTAGTTCCATCTAACCCAAGATGAAGTTCACTGAGGCTGAGACAGCACTCAGAAATACTCATGGCATTAGGCGCTTTCTGCCATCACTGGTCTGGCTGTGGCTTCCTTGGCCTTGCAGAGCCCAGCCCATGCCCTCCTACTATACCTGTGGCTACATTAGCATCCAGTACTCCTGAAGACTCTTTTTGGTTCCTAGGTAGGAAAGGAACAGAAGGCAGTCAGTTAAAATGCGAACACCAACTGCCTCCTCCTATGAGTCATGTTGGAGGTGGGCAAAGGGAGAGTTTGGCCCGAAAGGAAAAATAAGTTCTGCCAATTGTTTTCTGGGACAATCTACCTAAACTAAGGATAGAAAGGAAAGGCAGCTCAGGAATCTACAGACTTGAGTTTTCCACAATATTTTAAGTTCTGGGCAGGACAAAACTGCCTTTCCCCTTCCCAGATTAAGTCGAGAGTGTCAGCCCTCTGCCTAGGTTATCTCAACAATGCTAGCCAAGTGCTATGCTGACAATGCAGCCTTTATGTGCCAGTTGCAAGCATTCTGGGGGTAAAAAAGAGTGGTGAAGATCTGTCTGGGCTACTAATTGTAGCAGGCCAGAGTGAAGTGGACAGTGTGGTGGGGAGTGAGGTGGGTGAAAAGAGCAGACAGTTGGGTCGGGATGTGCACAGCAGACCCTAAGCACCTTCAGGCAGCAACGAATTCCCATCAGCAACTTGTCCCTTGGGCAGCAGTGAGACACAGCCTGGAAGGGAAGAAAGGTGGCGGGAACCTGTCATAGATGCCTCGCTTAACCCCACAACCGTCCCAGGAAGCTGGCACTACTGCCTTCATCGTACAAAAGATAACTGATACACGGTAAGGGCCAAGTCACTCGTGAGACCCAGGCCCCATCCCTGCTGTGGGCATGTGTGCATTCCTGAGCATGGAAATGGATTCCATTTGAACTTGGCAGCAAAAATGATGAAAGACGGAAACATCCTTCGGTCAGGTGCATGGCACCTCCCTGAGTACCACCATGGGAACCCTATGCCTCCCCTCAAAAAGGCTCTCAGAGGTAGGAAAGACAGGTTCTTGGATTCGTCTTTTTACTGCTCCTTCATCCTTTTGAACCTGGCACTCAGGCGGACACTGTGGGGGGGACTTACAGACAAGCCTCCTCTTTAATGTGTCAGTTCCCCCTGTTTGGGAGGGTGATTTGTCTAAAAGTGAAACCACCAGAGAGCCATGTAATGCATCTTGCTTCTTGCATCTGCCTCTCTAACCCCGAGGCTTCCACCTGAGTCCCGACTTTCTGACTTAGCATATCAGTGTCCTGGCCTCCAGCCTGGCCCTGCTCTGGAGAGAGGGATGCCCTCTAAAAGGCAGTGACTGTCCACCTGGGTTTAGGGAAGAGACCTCAGTTCTCTCTTGGACTTGTTCTGTTTATCCTCTTGTCCTGTGTCTTGTGCTCATGCATAGGTACCCTCCGCTGTCTTTACAGGAGGGGCCAGTCCATCTTTAATCAGCTCTAGAAATTAGTAGGTGCTACTGGAGATCCTTGGATAGAATCTGGGGCAGGGTGGGCACCCGAAGTAAGCTGGATCAGCCATTTCACAGGCTAGAGATCACCTGGACGATTTGAGACATTTTACTCAATGTGCCCCTGATTGGCACCAGCTGGGAGAGCAGCCGACCTGAGCCATGGGAACCTGTGAATCTATTACGAGGCCCTTGGCTATCCCAGCTGACTGCAAAGTTCAGGCTTCAGTGGGACGTTCGGCATGTGTGGGCTCAGTCACCAGCATCAAACATGAAAGCAGACATTTAATTATCTCTGATCCTCGAGTGGCTTGCCTTGCAGGCCATAAATTTCAAGGTTATGGGATGGATTCTGTTTTGTTTCCTGCAAGAGCAGAACTATTATTGTCTTTAGCCAAATGAGTTATGGCCCAAATATGTTGGTTATTCATTATCCACTTGCCTCATTGCCATCATTAAACAAATCAAATACAGCACTGTTTCAGCATGAGGCCCAAACCACTAAACTTCACATTGATTTTGCAAATTGCTTTTTGTTGTTCCTTTAACCTCTGTGAAAAGCTGGAGTTTATCATCCCTTTATAACAGAAATCAAAGTCTAACTTCTCCCTTCTTAAATTTCTGTTGATAGTGCCATTACTAATAAATTAAGCCCATTACAGATAAACACATACATGCTGTGCTGTACTTGTTATAGTAACTGTGTCACAGGAAAAATGTGTTTGGCTAAATAAAAAGAATATATGACTGTTTTGCATAAAATTGAAATGAAAACGATACCATAGGAAATTATTTTATGTCAACAACAAAAACAGGCAAAACATCTCTCTGGCCAGATTGAAGAGGAAAATTAATTATGACCGCGTTATTGTGCCCAGTGACATTATGAGTCTAAGAATTTGGATCTCTGTAGACCAGAGGATGGGGCCATGAAGACTTGGAGGAGAAGAACATGCTCTGGGCCTCCAAGGACCAGCCAGTCCAATGTCCCATGCTGTCTCCTGTCTGAGGTCCCTGACCCAAACCTTCCAACCCTCTGTCAGGGTGCCATGCACCTGACAAATGGGACGTCTCTGTCTTCACAGCCTTGGTCCAACCTTCTCCCTTGGCCCACCTCTCCATGGCTCTTCCCAGCTCCTCCCCATGGTGAGCCCTGCGATGAGGTTGCCCACACCAGAAAGACCAGGAGTTAACTGGTGCGCAGGTTCCTGCCATGTGGTGACCTTGAAGTAGCTATTGGCCTCCTTGAATGAACTAACAGGAAGCCAATAAAGGGCAACTACTGAAGATAAACTACTTAAGACCTCAAAAAATCTTTTGGAAGTTTCATTTCAAAAGCTATTTAAGCAGATTTCCTATCACAAAAAAATGAGCCAATGATATAGACAAACCATACACAAAAGGAGAGATGCAAATGGCAATAGGCTCAGCCTCCTCAGAGTGAAGGGAAATGCAAATTAAAACCACAGGAAATGTTATTTCACAGCCTGCAGATAGGCAAAAATGGAAGCGTTGCCTTGGCCTAGAGCAACTGAGATGCAGCCTGGAGTGTGAGTGTGGATTAGCCTCGCCCCTTCGGAGAAGAGTTTCCACTCCTGGTCTCATGCCCCGGTGCTGTCCATCTTATTATGAACATGAATCACCTGGGGATCTCATTAAATGCAGATTTGAATCAGTTGCCCTAGAAAGGGGGCCCATAAATCTGCAATTCCAACAAGCCTCCAGGAGACACACGTATTGTCTGAGGTTCAACTTTGAGTTGCGAGCCCCTAGCCAAGTTCTTTCACAAGTGCACCAGGAGACAGCAAAGAATTCATAGTAGCAGTGAGAATATAGGAAAATATCAGAAGAAAGAAATGTAAAGGCCTTAGATATTGATGTTGGAATCTACAAACATATTCTTGAAGATGTACAAGCCAGTCTCCCTGAACGATAGTTTTCCATTTAAAAAATGAAATAAACGTAGTGGAGAGCAGAGGAAGGCATACAATAAAGAGAGAGCCCACACCTAATGCCACTAATCCAAGGGGCAGGGACCCACACCTCAAGGCCTCACCCCTGAGGTTCTGAAGTAGTGTGTGTGGGTGCAGCCCAGATATCAGGAATTTAAACATCTCTGCAGAACATTCTAATGTGTATCCAGGGTTGAGAACCACAGCTCAAGAGCCTTGTTACTCACAGTGTGTACCAAGGGCCAGAAGCATTAACCTCATCTAGGAGCTTGTCAGAAACAGATTCTCAGTCCACCCATCTTACTGAATGAGAATCCCATTCCCTGCTCCTCATCCCATCCCTATCTGCACCCCCACCCCAACCTCAAGTGTTATTTTCCTTTCTGGGGAAAAATTCTCATCAGAAACGAAAGCAGATCATAGGAAAGGAGCAGGGGACCACAGGAATGTGGGTTAGTGTTCTGTATCCTGGAAACGTGTGTAAATGGGTCAAGCAGAACCACTGGGTCCAACATACACAGGCCACACCCTGGTCACCTCCTGTGTGAATCTCAAGGGTGGAACAAGTTTGGGGCTCTCTGAATTTGAGTACTTACTCAACTCCCTGCCTAGCTGGACTCATGCTCCTTTCACTTTTGGGAGAAAACAGGAGGAAGCCACTGGCTTCTTTCCTTGTCACTAACCCTTATTCTCAGAGGCAAAGCCAGTGGAGACTAAAGCAGCCTCTAGAGTGACCCAGCGGCTGGCTGAGTGCTCTTCTGAAACACTCAAGGCCACAGCTCATGCAGGGAGATGTCAAAGGATCTACAGGAACCTGTTTCCCTATGGAGCACTGTCCCTGAGAGGGGCAGACAGAGGCAACCCCACACCCATGAGTTGGGTGGGCAGGAGCAGGCAGTAGGTTCAGACCAAAAAGGAAAATCAGTCACTTTGATTTAGTTGAATCCTCTATTTGGTGGGAAAAGGAAAAAATGGTCAACCTAGGCCACGTTAAATATTTCAAGCATCCCAATGACCATCAAATCCCTTGCTACCCTAGTTTTTGCCTTCAACATGCTTGTGGGCAGCGATGAACCCAGGAGAGGCCAGTCTCCAGCCCCACAAGCGCCCCCTGGTGCTGGGTGCAGGGCAGAAACACAGCCTCCAGCAGAGCATCTTAGGCTGGACTTGACGATGGGCTCCACTAGCCCATCGTGCTCACCCCTGGTACACCACAGACACTTAAGGACTTTTCATACCTTCCTGGGAAGAAAGTATGAATTGAGAGAGGCCTAGCCACCAATGGCAGATACACTGAACAGGTGTGGCTGCAGCTCCCCTCCTCCACAATGGCCAACGTCAACAGCCAACCCTGAAACTTTCTGTGGATGAGTGCAAGTAGGCACTCTGGGAGCCACTGACAATTCACTGGAGCTGTGTCTCCACCTTTCCCAGTTCACGTAGAATGGGAGGGCAGATCCCTGTAGGGGTGAAGGCTCGCCCCTCCTTTAATGCACTCACAAGATTTCCGGTTGGCCCGGGATCGTTTCCTCTCCCTCGGCACCACTCGCTGACTGGGCACTTGGGTGGCTGACTTGACGATGCGGTCCATGATCTCATCAGCTGCATCATCTGTGACATTGGGCGAGTCATCAGTTCCCATAGTCCAGGAACTAGTGGATCCTAAAAATTAAACAGCCAGAGTGCACAACATACTCAGAAGGAAAACACAAAAGATATATGCAGCAGTATTCCTCCAAGCAGTTGAGTTCTTTCAGCAACAGATCACAGGGAAGGCCAGAGTTAAAGCCCCAGAGCTAGTGATAGATCCAGAGGGCTAACCTGTCCCCACTGCAGGGAGCACCACCATAACTCGTGACTGCTACCCTGCAGGCTCTGAGCAAACCCATACGCGGGGCACTTATTTCATATCACCCTGTAACACAGCTGTGTATCTTGTCTCTCATTATTATTTAACTCTCCAACCCAGGTGTGTTGTCTTTACCTGCCAGGTCCTGTGATCACCTGAGGGCAGATGACCCAAGCCACACCCTGCTACACAGCCATCAATATCCGGTGATGCACATCTAGTAATGTAGAGACTCACTGAGGGTCTTACTGGGTCAGCTCTCTATCAGTGGTTGTATGTGCCTAGTCTGTCAGCTGACCCTAACTTCTCGCTAAGTAGAAAGAAATAGATTTTATAATACACAGTTTATCTTTGAATTATCTAGCCTTTAAAAATTGTAACAGGATTGCCCTCTTTAACCAGCAAAGGGGTTGGTAACTTAAATTTTTCTCTGGTACATAAATCTGCTCCCTCAACATTTTCTGTAGTTTATAAATAACTACATATTAAAACAAGTCAGAAGAAAGCATCACCAAAACATGGGTCCCAAGTACAGTCATCCCTCAGTATACAGAGGGATTTGTTCCAGTACTCCCAAGTATATCCAAATCTGTGCATAATCAAGTTCCACAATCAACTCTGCAGAACTTGGGTTTACAGCCCTCTATATACATGGGCTTCGCATCCTGCAAATACTTTATTTTTGATCTGTATTGTTGGAAAAAATCTGCATGTAGGTAGATGTGCTCCATCAAATCCAAGTTGTTCAAAGGTCAACTGCAGTGTTAAACAGTTAGAAATTAATGCTAATGTAATATATCCAGAACTACATCTTTGTAATTGATCAGCTTTCTTGTGAAATCTCTTCTATACGATAGTGAATATACGTTGCTACAAGAGGAAAGATGTACAATATGCTCAAAATTGTTAATTTCTACCATCTACACTTCATTTTATAGTAGATGCACAACAACTTCAAAAACCTGTAGGTGAGAATTATCAGAATCATTGCCTATGGCACACAAGTAGCCCCAGCCTGACTAAAGTACAACACAAGGGAACTGCCAGCCTTTCCCAACTTGGAGGAAAAAAATGTTAATAAATAGTTAAAATGTTTGAGTTCTCCCACACTAATTTTTTTTTTAAGTTTTGGTGCTTACAACCACCTGGCTGGTAATGAATGAACCAAGAAAAAATAGATATCAATGGAAATGGTTGGGAACAGTGGATCACAGTTCAATGGACTGTGATTTTCATATATATGTGTGTGTGTGTGTGTAGTTGACATATTGCTGCAAATACACACTGTGCTATAAAGTAGTCATAATTTCTGATAGTAAAATTCATGACTGAATTAAATACATAAATATTTCACACTTTGCAAAAGGAGAGCCAGGACACCAGGTGCCCTGTCACCTGCATGTACATAAAACCTGTGGCTATAGAACAATGATGTTTTCCAATGGTAAGATTTTTGTTGGCTGGGTGCAGTGGCTCACGTCTGTAATCCCAGCACTTTGGGAGGCTGAGGCGGGCAGATCGCTTGAGGTCAGGAGTTCGAGAACAGCCTGGCCAACACAGTGAAACCCCATCTCTACTAAAAATACAAAAATTAGTCAAGCATGGTGGTGTGCATCTATAGTCCCAGCTACTCAGGAGGCTGAGGCAGGAGAATCTCTTGAACCCGGGAGACAGAGGTTGCAGTGAGCTGAGATCACGCCACTATGCTCCAGCCTGGGCAACAAAGTGAGACTCTGATTTCCGTTATTACTGATACAGTTTTTTTTTTTGGTTTTGCTTAGCTTTTATTTTTTAAATGATAGCATACCTACAGCATGAGCACATGCAAAAACAGTAGATTGTACTTTTTGTGCTTATACCCAAAGGAACTTGATCTACTTGCTATTAGGCCAGTTTTTTTCAGCATTATAAATCCTTTAAAAAATAGACTCTTTTAAAAAATAAACTGTTGAAATTGCTGCTGAAAGTCTCTGCATTCTCAGAATGGTCACGGTATTTTAATTGGAAATAAAAGTCCTTATAATGCCACAGCTTTTAGACTGGGCCTCTGCAGATCCTCTGAACAATGGTCCTCCTCAGAGTAGAGCAATCAATCATGCAATTGTGTTTTACCCCGCAATTTCCTGTTTTCCCTTTTATCTATTGATTTATAATTTTGTCTTATCTTAAAATGCCGAAATACCTTCTAAAAACATGCAAAGCTCAATAAATTGTCTTTGCTCATAATACATTTGCAGAGCACTGGGCCAGAAATGAAGGCATCATCTAATCTTCCCTCTGAGAATTACCTATACTTTTCCATCTTACACAATCCCAGGGATCTTCTGTCAATGTAATGTGTCAGGAGATGCTTAAAGGAAACATCTTGCCCTAGGTCCAAGATTGTCAACTCAGTTTTATGATGACTTCATTCTCTCACGACTTCATTCCTGGTTCTACTTTATGTCCGCTCCTCTTGGTTATATCCTCACTGCCTGATTACCATTTATTTCCATTCTTCCTAGTCATGTATACATTCCTCTTCCTGGAACCCTTGCACCCACACTGTAGCCATCAGGGTAATACTGCACACACATTTTACATACCCAAGGGACCATGTAGTAGTAAGTGTTAGCAAGACATTTGAGATGTGGTGGAGAGGATAAAGCAATCTAGACCATAATAGCACAATACCACTTTACTTTTATTTTTCTAAAACATGAAAACTGAGATTTGAAAGAAAGCACTGAAATTTGTTTTTCCCCTTATAGAAATCTAACCTAAAGAAAGAGTCTACAAGGAAAACACTTAAGTCAAAATGGATATTCTACTGTTTTAATGTAAAAAGTTTGCTTTCATTTCTGAAAGACGATTTCTCTGAAGATAGACTTCTGTGGTTGAAGTTTTTTGTTCTGGCAGTTTAAAGATATCATTCCTTTTTTTTCTGGCTTCTACAGTTCCTTTTGAAAATTGAGCCATCATTATTATCATTGCACCATAGGAGGCAATGTATCTTTCTTCTCTGTTTTAAAGATTTTATCTTTATTTATTTATTTATTTATTTTAGCACTTTGTCTATGGTATGGTTCTCTTTGTACTTACTCTTCTTGGATTTCCTAAGTTTCTTAAATATGTTGGTTGATATTTATCTGTTTTGGTAAATTCTCAGCCATCTCTTCAAATCTCTTCAATCTCTTCAAATATTGCTTCTGGTCCATCTTTTTCCAGTACTCCAATTACACATGTTAGACCATTCAACTGTGTCCCTCAGATCTTATATTTTATTCTATTCTTTCCATTTTTTCTCACTATGCTTCTGTTTATACATTTTCTATTAACCTGCCTTTGAATTCACTAATCCTCTTTTGCTGTGATCAGTCTCTGCTAAGCCCATCCAATGAGTTTATTTCAGATATTTTGTTTTGTAGTTCTGGAATATCCATTTGATTCTTATTTATAGAGTCTAATTTGCTATTGAAATTATCTACCTTTTTACCCACTTGTCTATGTTTCCTTTTAGTTTTTATTTTAACATTTATAATGGTCATTTCAAGTCCTTGACTGTAGATTTCAACATCTGAATCACTTATGGGTCTGCTGCTATTATCTATTTTTCTTCTTGATTTTCAGTCATATTTTCATGTTATTCCTGTGGCTTGTAATTTTTATTACACTGGACTTTGTGTATAGAAGAACGTAGAGACTGAAGTCAGCATTATTTTCCTCCAGAGAGTCTTTTCTCTGCTATTAACAGATACAGTGAGGTATTGAGCTGGGTTTAGGCCAGACAGCAGCTTTAATTAACAATCAGTCCACTTCCCACCTCTCTTTTTCTTGAGGCCAAGATCAGTAAGTATCTGTTCAAGGTGCTTACTCTAGCCTATCTTTGTCTCCTCAGTTTAAAGACTGCAGGACATCTCCTTCAACATTTCTAGCACAGCATCACCCGCTGACCTTCCTCCCTCCAACCCCCATCCCGCAGTGCTCCATTTAGCAAATGTCTCATGGAGAAAATCATCTGCATTTTAGCCTCCTCTCAATTTCAATCTCTTGTACCAGTTCATACAGCTACTACAAATTCTGCTGGCTTCTCTTTCCCATTAGAGTCACTCCACTACCATAAGCCCAATCCTCAGCTTGTGCCCAGATTTGGCAAATGCTCACAGAGAGGCAATGTCAGCTCACCTCCAATTCTAGTTTGTCTAGTCCTCTTTCCTTTTACAGTTCTCTAATGTTTTTTCAAAGAAGGCTTTATTATTTTTACTTCTAGTTGTTGTAGCAGGTGGGTGGCTTGCCACTCCATAACACATGCTGCATGAAAGCAGAAGTCTCCCTTGAGATTGGCATTAATGTGCAGAGAAACTGAACAGCCTCCCATTCTAATCCCTTTCATACGCCAGCAAAGATGACCCCATGTTGTACAAACCCACCAACATCTTTTCTCGCTATCCTTTCTGGTCAGGAATAGATGTTTCTTTTCCTTTAAAATTGGTACAACCTATTTATGTTCTATTACTGAGATCCACCCCCTAAGAAGGCTTCAACTGCACTCCTCCTGCATCCACCAAGACACAGGGGCTCAAGACTCTGGTCTGATGGCTGGGGTCACCATGGTGCAGGCATTAATGTTCACCTTCACATCCCTGTTGGCCATGTTTAGCCTAGCATACAAAGCCTGCAAGAGCTGCTGGGCAAAGACAAGCTCATACATGGGATGTCTTAGGCCTTTTTGGGTGCCACAAGGTAAAAGTGATACCCCTTGCCATGTCCCCCAACACTGCAAAACGATTTCTCATCCTTGTTTTATGCTGGCTCTACACTGACAGTCTCTATTGTTCACCATTTAATGAGACTGTTTTCTTCACTTTCTGGCCTTCCCCACCTTCTTCTCTCCTCTTCTTTCTTGTTTACACACACTCTCTCTCCAATCACTTCCTGGAATGGAGGTCTTTTACAGACAGCACTGGTCAAGAAGAGGGTACCTTTCCTTCCATATAGCAAACCAGACAATCAGAATGTATCCCACATAAAATCAGGGTTTTGGTTCTCCTCAGCTGTGTCTGTCTGCTCTTGGTCACTAAAAGGCTACCTTTTCATTGCCAAAGCATAATATTATTTTCTTCTCCCAATTCCACATCCAAAACTATCTATGGAAATTACAGTTTTGGAAAGAGGTTTGGAAAGACCCGATCTCAGAGAGACTAATTATCTTTAATTCTTTGATGTAATAATAACATATGCAAATACTTAGGGTGTCTGGGGATCAAGGCTGTAGTAAAAGATATGATTTTTCCACCCTGTCATCTGTGCCTCAGTTGGTGTAACACTGGGGCAGGGAGGGAGGAAGCCCTTCTTCAAGCATATTTTCAGCTGTGCATCAAAGTAGAATCCATACATATATATATACACACAGAAATATATAATACATATATATTATATATAACGTGTATAATACACATATATTATATATAACGTGTATAATACACATATTATATATAACGTGTATAATACACATATTATATATAACGTGTATAATACACATATTATATATAACGTGTATAATACACATATTATATATAACGTGTATAATACACATATTATATATAACGTGTATAATACAATATTATATATAACGTGTATAATACGCATATTATATATAACGTGTATAATACGCATATTATATATAACGTGTATAATACGCATATTGTATATAACGTGTATAATACGCATATTGTATATAACGTGTATAATACGCATATTGTATATAACGTGTATAATACGCATATTGTATATAACGTGTATAATACGCATATTGTATATAACGTGTATAATACGCATATTGTATATAACGTGTATAATACGCATATTGTATATAACGTATAGTACACATATATAACGTATATAATACACATATATAGCGTATATAATACACATATATATAACGTGTATAATACACATATATAACGTGTATAATACACATATTATATATAACGTGTATAATACGCATATTATATATAACGTGTATAATACGCATATTATATATAACGTGTATAATACGCATATTATATATAAAGTGTATAATACGCATATATAACGTATATAATACGCATATATAACGTATATAATACGCATATATAACGTATATAATACACATATTATATATAATGTATATAATACACATATATAACGTGTATAATACACATATTATATAAAATTTAACATATTATATATTATGTATATAATATATATGATTATATATTTATAATATATATAAAATATATAATACATATATATATATATTTTGAGACAGAGTCTTGCTTCTTCGCCCAGGCTTGAGTGCAATGGCGCCATCTTGGCTCACTGCAACCTCCACCTCCAAGGTTCAAGCAATTCTCCTGCCTCAGCCTCCCCAGTAGCTAGGATTACAGGCATGTGACACCACACCCAGCTAATTTTGTAATTTTAGTAGAGACAGGGTTTCACCCGGTTGGCCAGACTGGTCTTGAACTCCTGACCTCAAGTGATCCACCGACCTCGGCCTCCCAAAGTGCTGGGATTACAGGCGTGAGCCACCGTGCCCGGCTGATGCCCTATATTAAAAGGTAAACACCAAAGTCCAACATTAAGACAGAAGAAAAGAGAACTAGAGTTAGTAACACTGTAGTCACATGAAGTGAGAAAACCAGTCAGTAATTTAGTAAAAAAGACTGAAGTGCCAATCTGCTTGGGAATCCCACAAAAGCCCTAGGGTTCTGGAGCACAGCCTGCAGGTCCCTTTGAGGTCCTCCTTGGACAGCAGTTTGTGGCTCTTTGGTTCATAGGAAACTACAATCAGCCACATGCGTGGTGTGGTAATGACTCACCTTCTTCTCAAGAAAACTCAAAGCTGCATTTATTTTTTCCATTATGTTGAATTTATCATTACTACCGTTATTTTTGTATATTTAAGAATGTTGACAACAGCAAGATTCCAAAAAGCACTAGTTAGTGAGCAAAGCCTATTAGAAGTCACTGAAGAGCCTCCTCAGGTTTCTCCAGACTGCAGCCCTCCAGATTCTAGCTGCCTTTCTGCCTGCATGTTCATTAGAGCCTACGAAAATGTCTGGTGGGCGCAATATTCATCTGTTCACTCACTACTGCATTTCTGTGATGTGTATGGCAACCCACAAACCAGCTTACCTGGCATGCTGTTTTACTTGCTCTCCCAGCATAATTACTACTAGCACCCCCTTTCACACTCCAAAGCATCCCAGCTTGGACAAGATTATATGGTTTCTTCTAGCTGCACGCATAGTGTGTGCTAAGCAAACACCGAGAGAAGAAAGCCTGTCTCCAACAGTTGATTCTCCTTAAAGTTGACCATCTTTAGTAGATCTAACTGGGGTCTCTGGAGTGCATGGAAGAGAAAGAGTGGCCTGGTGATAGGGACAGTGCCCAGAGGATGAGGTGAATGGGAACGGGACAGGCAGAGGAGCGGGCATCCTGAACTGAGGGAGCAGCATGAGAAGAGCGGGGACTCTAGGACGAGCAGCGTGCGGAGAAGCGCCGCGGTGACCATGCAGGGTGAGGGAATGCCAAGCTTGGGAGATAGGACAGGACCTGCCTACAGGGGGCCTCCAAGAACAGTGTGAATACTGTGGGCTTCACCCTGCAGGCAGTGAAGAAACCCAGGAGGGTCAATGGGTTATCAGGCCAGACCAGGGAAACACGAGGAAACATTCACAGATGTCAAATGCATCTTAATCCCTTCTAATGATAAAAACAAATCTGGAAACTCGAATCTGGCCGCCATTTTGAAGTTTTAGTTTTTGTCTCTGCCTAAGGATGTGAAAAAGGGACAAAGGGGTAGTGCTGTAGGGCAGGGTTGGCAACCTTGTCCTGTGTAGTAGATGTTTTAGGCTCTGTAGGTCCTACAGTGTCTGCCACAGTGGCTCAACTCTGCCAAAGTAGCCACAGACACTACACAAATGAGTAAATATGGCTGTGTCCCAACAAAACTTTATTTCTAAAAGCAGGGGGAAGGCTGGATTTGGCTTGCAGGTTGCAGTCTGCCCACCCCAGCTCTCCCTCAGGAGGTCATCCCCGGTAAGGATTCCCTCTGTGTAAAGTGAGGTACTCTCGTGGGAATGTTTGTTTTGGAGATGAAGCTATTGAAGGTGGGTCAGGAAGACGCTAGTGAGGGAATGTGTGTGGTTAGGTTGGCACTGGAGCCGAGGGCCAGTCACAGCCGTGGACCGCAGCCTGCGATGGAGACCGGACCCCCCCAGAGCGGCCAACCTGAGAAGACAAGACGAGCCCCGCGCAGCCAGGAGTTACCTCGGCTTGCTCGGCTGCGTGTGCGGACGCCCAGCGCGGGGGTGGCGTCCTCCACGGAGGGGGACGAGGTTTTCAGCACAGCCTTCATGTTCTCGTGCTCAGCCGCGTCCTCCGCATAGCTCAGACCCTGCGGCTGGCTTGGGGGCGCCGGAGAACTGCCGGAGAACTTGCCAGACTGCAAAACCAAGGGGAAGTTAGCAGGTGAGGGAGACTCCCCAAAAAGACAACTCAAGCTTCTAAAACCCGTGGTTGAGGAAAAGCTCCTCTCCTCTGTCTTGTTTTGTTTGCAGACACATTCATTACGGCAGTCACTGAAGTTAACTAATGACAAAACATCTGTGCCTACAAGAAGATCTAATATGAGACAGAAAAGCCCCCGGCCCCAGAAGGACCACCACCCATTCATCCATTGTAGCCGTCTCTGTCACTCACTCAGATCCCCTCAAAGGGTGGCTGTCAGGAGCAACTGGCATTGGCTCTGGGAAGGTCTAAAACCAAATGTGTTTCTTACACCAAAGCCCTGATATAAGAATTGAAATGAAATATGCCTTGTTAACCAAGCATATTGAGCTTTATTTTTTTACTTAGTGTCAGAAAGCAGTTAAATTTTTCTTAAGTATCACTTACGATGGTAGAATTACAAAAGTGGGATTCAATCACAGAATCCTAGCATGTTAAGAGTTGGGAAGAATTCTTCTAGACCTAGTCCCACCTTGCTTTTATGGAAAAGGAAACTGAGGCCCTTCAAGAATATGTGGCTTGCCAGGGACCCCAAAAGAATTGGTATCAGGGCCCAAAACAGAACAAGACACATAAATTCATGCTGATTTTCTCTAACTGAACAAAAGGTCAGGACATATATATTTTAAAAGAGGTATGCTGGAATACCATACGTACACAATGCCGAACACCTGGATGAAGAACAAAAAGTCAGATTAACATTTGCAAAGAACACCTCCACAGACTGCTGGCTTCCTTTGTCACCCAGTGTCTCAGGCATGGCAACAGGGTTGGGGACAATCTGTGGCTTGTAGCATCTACACGGCTCTCTCCTTATTTTCCAGGGCCAATTAGCCCCCTTGGTCTCTGGTTCTCGCACCTGCATCCAGGGTCTAGGGAAGAGCCCCTGCCATCTGCCACTGCATGGACGTTGGCCCATGGGAGCCATTAACACCAGCAGAGGAAATGGTCACACATCAGAGGCTGCCTACTGGCTGGGGACAGAGACTCTAGCCTGGCCCTTGGCCACTGCCCCACTTCCTCTTTGATTTCAGGACTCTTCATGTGGTTATTCCAGAATCTAGTTCTCATATTTAAGTTGCCAAAGGAAAATTCTCTGTCCACTTTTCCAGCAGCAGGGAGAGACCTGCTAAACCTGCCACTTGTGACATGGTTACTGATTAGCTGGGCCTCAGGGACAGCTCGGAAAATGCATTTAACCCTTCAGTCCCTGGCAAACGTGGCATGATGAGAGCCCCTGTCAGGTGGTTAGTGATCACACGAAAACCAACCAGAAAAATGTCCATGCATTGTTTAAAGCACTGAATGGTGCTGACACTTCATGCTGATTATGTTAGGTTAGACCAGAGCATACATGAGGTGGTAAAATGTGGCATTCTTCATGTTCATAAATGGTCATACCTCAACTTCCTCCTCCTCATCAGTCTACCCGAGAGGACAGGACAGGACAGGACGGAAAAGACAGAAGGGATTCTTAGAAGGCACAGAAGTCAGCAAAAAGATCATCGCAATGTCACATAAAATTCCAAGTAAATAAACTGGTCACCACAACCAGGATACATCCTCTTGAGTTGGGAGCTGCCAGGCCCCACCCTCTTGTCCTCATCTGGACACTCCTTGTGTGAACTCCAAGATCACCCATGACCAGAGGGACTCACACGGCTCCGGGCCAATCTTCTGGGGCTGTCCCTGAGGTAACAGTCAGCTAACTCGATTCCCTGACCACCACCAACGTCACTCGCAGCTGTGCATCGTGCTGAGAGTGTCCTGCTCTGTGAACCATATGGCTTGGCTGGCCACATCCTTATGAACCCATCACGGCCTGACAGTCATCAAGGCCCCTCTAAGTGGACTGGCTTCCATTTGCTTGGCTCTGCCTGTCAGCTGCCGGCCCTCCCATCCCATCCCGAGCGCAGGATCCCTCCCTGCCCAGGCTGCTGGTTCTGGGCTACCGCTGGTCCTTCCATATGCAGGCCAGCCAGGACAAGTGAGACAACTGCTCCAGCAGCGTGTTCACATTACTCTCTCCTCAGGAGCATGAAATTAATTTATTTTTAACATCTCACCTGTTTCTCATGGGAGCCACCTGAACTGACTCTCCATACTTTTAATTACTTTAGCACTAAACTGCTTTAAGTTACTTTAAATAAAATATCTCTCTTCTAACATAAATTGAGAGTGAAAAGTCATGTCAATCTCTTGATCATAAATTAAACACACTTTCAATTTAGGAGTGTCTGTGAGGTTACAGGGCCAGGCCAGCAAATCAGATTGAAGTGTTTTGAGAATGAACTATGCTTTTGGAAGTTAAAATGACAAACCACTTCCAGTCCGTAACATTCCACGCTGCCTCATCCAAATGGCATTGTGACAAGAGACAACAGTCCTGTTCCATTACTCTCTTTTAAAAAATTCTTACAGTTTATTTATATAACCTGGGATGGCTGGCATTTTTCCAGAAATTCACACATGTTCAAGGTGCTACATATATAAAATATTGGCCCGCTCAACATCCCTAAAAGTAATCATCATTCCCTTTCTATAGAAGAGGAAGCTGGCATTGAGAAGGGTTAAGGGTCTCACCCAGGATTACCACTGCCCTCCAACGTGGGAGGCCTGGGATTGACCAGCCTGGGTTCTCACAGCCCACCTCACGAGTGTGAATGCGGCAGAAAGGCTGTAGGTGCCTCGTGTTGCCTTGTCTATGTCACCATTTGCTCTAGGACCAACTTTGTACACAGGATGAGGAATTAGTTGCTCAGTGATCCTGGCCTGGGAGGACCCCTGGATGATGAAAAGGAAGCCTTCTGAATACCCAGAAACGGGGAGAAGAAGAGGGATAGGCACTCAGGAGCTGGTGCGTGGGGGCTGCAGATTTTACCCTCAGACCTCTCATCTCTAAATGTTACCACTTGCATCCTCATTTTATTCAGCATGTACATTCAAGGTGACTTACTACAAACAGTTTTCTCTAAAATCTCTTCTAGCTCCAACGTTCAGGGGGTCCGTGATTCTAAGTCTACTGTCTGGCTTTGTTTTCAGTGGTTTAAGTTGTGTATATGCCATTTTTAACCAGGTTATGATGTCCTTGGGATATAAGCTTTTCTTTATACTCACATCTTCCTTGGTGTCCCAGGCACTGCTGGATGCACAATGAGCCCTTAATAATTGAGTTGGAAAAACCCAAGGCTGTAGTTTTCCTTAAGGGACAATATCCTAATGTTCCAGCAGAGGGCAATCCTTCTACATGAATGATGCCACTTTGGCCATTAAAAACATGGACTAGGCTGAGAATGAATCCTGACGAAGCCTATCCTGTCCAGATTTTAATGGGAATTTAAATATTTTTGAATCAAACTCTAGAAACATTCACCTCTGTTTATGATTGGGAAAGCCAAATGTTTTAAGAGAAAGAATTTAAAAATTAGTGGGATCTGTAAAAAATCTCAAGAATTTAGCAAGAAATTTTGATGTGTCCACATAACTATAAGCATATTCGGCTTGTATGTGTCTCATAGCCACAAAATAAGCAATCTCTTTTTTTAAACTTTCAAAAATAATACTATGAATAAAATGTGGGCCACAGTTTGCCCAAGTGGATCCAACATGCTTCCTGGGTTGCTGTCTTCCAAGAGGCTGTGGATCCTACTGAACTGAGATTTCAGGAAAGGATACAGAAGACTCTTGGCTGATGGCACTGGAATTCAGAACTGCTTGGGTGCAGGGTAGAGCTGTAGAAAGGGCTCCTTCTGCACAAAAGTGACCTGAGCACTTCCTAAAGGTCCAGAAAATTCCAAGAAAACAAGGAGCTTACACAAAGGTGGATGGTAAGAGAAATGATTATCCCGTGGTTCTTAAAATTATAACAAAATTGCTAAGTTAATGTGTCTGGCCTTCCATGTAAGTCAGACCCTCAGGAATGTGGACTTCTAGAGAGCAGTAACCAAGTGCCCTCTGCTTGGCTGACTACATACACACATGTCTGTGCACATAGGGCGGCTTCAGTGAGGTCTTCCTAATTGGTTTTCTTCCTCCCCCAGCAAAAATCTGCCTAACTAGGGTTCAGTTGAAATGTGTAACTGCCCAGATGATGGCACGCCCTGTGGCTTAATCCTTTCCTCATTCCATTCCCTCTATTGCCAGAAGTCCATGTGCTACTCAAATGCACGCACAGATGGGAGAAATCCATGGGCAACAATCCAAACCATGAAAAAAAATCACACTCTAGAGTCCTTCAACAAGTTCCAAATATGACCTGTCAATATCAAAAAAGATGACTTTATTATCGTTGAGTCTGTTCAAGAAAGAATAAATAGTGACTAAAGGAGGATTCCCAGAAAATTTCAGCCTTTTGCCTGGAACTGACCTTACAGTAATGGATGAGGTAAGTGAGATGCTAGCCTGGTTTTTATGTTTCGTAAAGGCACATTAAGAAAAAGGAACCTGCACTATGTACCTCCGTTGGTCTCTGGCATCGTCATGCATCCCTTTACCCTCCACTTTACTGAGCATCTGTCATCTGAATATCCACTGCCCCCCAAGACCTAGGTAGGCTTGGGGCTGAGACAGGAGAGATGGGGAAAGAGCCCGGGAGCAGGGGAGACATGTAAGTGTGCAGGGGCTCCCCAGGGTGCTATGGGGAAACTCCTACTGGATTCACTGTCCTCTGGGAACTCTTTCCACCCTGATGTCCTGTGATTCAAGGGACTGGCAAGAGCCCATTAGATTGTATCTTGGAGCAATCACATCAGTTTATTCAGATGCCCACAATGGGTGGTCCATGTGTCAACTGATTGGTTACACAGCACCGTTATGATGATTAAAATTCTGAATCAATGCCCCAATCAGTACATTTGTCTTTCTATGATAAGCGGCATTATCTTTTATATTTTACTTGTCTTCATCCAACTTTACCCACATCACAGAGGACAAAAATAGAATCAAACATTTAATGTCATCAGCAACATGCAACACACCAAAATGGGTTCCATGTTCCTCTTCTAGCCACACGTTCTGAACTTTACATCTCCTAGCTCCTTGTTATTTAGCAGATTTTCACAGAAATGGTGGAGGAGTACTTTAAGAGCACTTTTTAAAAGAGATAATTTTTTATAGTCAAAAAAAAAAAAAAAAAAAAAAAAAAAAGCACAGCTTTTAACTGTGGGGAGGATTCCTGACTGATCTTACTTTGAAAACGAATGACATAAGGAGAGGGATTGTGTGAAACTTACATCGGTGATCATCTTCCCTCTGGTCTTATTTCTCTCTCTGTGGTTGGCCCGTTTCTGTTTCTGCTGCAAAACCCTTTCCCTGGTTGTGCGATACTCTAGTGCAAATTCACTAATAATCCTGCAGAATTTGTTTATGTTCACTTCCCGAATTGCATAAGGTGGATGGCCCATAAAGAGTAAAAAGGAGTGGAATCTGCAAGGAAAAAACAGTAATAGCAATGACTTCCGTTTTAAGAAATAAAAATTACTTGTCTAAAATCTCTCAGTAAGAAACCAATGTGAGAACTTAAAATAAATAATAATAATAATAATAATAATAATAATAATAATAATAAAGAAACCAACAAGCCACACTCTCAGTAAGAAGACACTGTCCTTCATTCCTGGGGCTTTGAATTTCAAGAGTCTTCTCAAGTGAAAATGCAAACAGAAGTTCAACTCACTTTCCCACTGATGGAGATTATATCTAGGTGGCAGGACCTCAACAGATTACTTTTTCACTTTGCGTATCTGTGTTTTAACATTTTTCTAAAATGGATATATGTAAAACTTTTGTAAGAAAAATGTTAAAGTGGTATTTTCGAAAAGTATTGCACCATTTCTAGATTATATGACAATTCAATAGGAATAAAGAAATGTTGCTTAGAAATTCTTTGGAATGAACACTTAAAATAGACATGAACATATTATGAATAACATGTTAATTCATAGCTTCTAAGTAGATGCTGTTTTCTGAGTAAATATTTTTAAACATTTCTTGTGATATTATATATAATATTAATTTAATTAGGAAACACCAAAGAAGCAGAAAATAAATTTATTTTAACTACTTAATTTGTAAACAAAAATTATTAAACATTATTTGTTTTAAAATGTTGTAAAAGAAATTACATGAGCAGATAAGTACCCAAATTTTAGTTATTAGGAAATGAGAAAGAACACAGTGGGAGACAGAGGGAAAGCTTTCTGTGGAACAAACAACATTACGCAAATGATACCACTATTTATAGACAAAAAATTTTGATCACTCTAATTTGCACAGCTTGAATATGGATTTTTTAAAATAAGGGACACTGGCTTACTCTTTTTGAGACGAATAATGAAGTAAACATACAACTTGTATTTAAAGTAAAAGGGCCTAAAAAATGCTATCCAAAACTACATGACTCTTAGAAGAAAATAAAGTAGAAATCTTCATGACTTTGGATTAATGTGCTTAGATATGATACCCAAAGCAGAAGTGACCAAAGTAGATAAACTGGACTTCATTAAACTTAAAAACTTTTGTGTTTCAAAGGATATTATCAAGACTAAAAAGACAATCTAAAAGATAGGAGAAAATATTTGCAAGTCATGTGTCTAATAAGGGACTTGTGTCAGAATATATAAAGGAATCTTACAACGCAACACTAAAAAGACAAATAAAAAATGGACAAAGGATTTGAATAGACATTTCTCCTAAAAAGATATGCACACGGCCAAGAGATACATGAAAAAAGCTGCTCAACATCACTAAGGAATACACATCAGAACCACAAGGAGACACCACATACACCCACCAGGATGGCTGTAATAAAAGAGACAGGCTAGAACAAATGTTGGTGAGGATGTGGAGAAATTGGACCCTTTCCACAGTGCTGGTAGGAAGATAAAATGGTTTAGCAGCCATAGAAAATGATCTGGCAGTTCTTCAAAAAGATAAACAGAGTTTATTACATGACTTAGCAATTTTTCTCATTTGCATAAAAAGAAATGAAAATATGTGTACACACAAAACCTTCTACACAAAAGTTCATAGAAGCATTATTCACAATAGCTGAAAGTGGAAACAACCCAAATGTCCATGGAAAGATAAACTAAGTATAGCATTGGATGGATATAATGCATGGATAAACTAAATATAGCATTTCCAAATAAGGCCCTGGACGACTAGCCCTATCACCTCTCTGACTTCATCTCTTGTGACTCTAGTTACACTGGAATCCTGGTTATTCCCTGAAAAAGCCCACCTCAGAGCCCCAGACACCATGTGTAGTGTGCAGGAGCCCTGGAGGGACACAGAGGCCAAGGAACTGAGAGCCTGCAGGGCCTGTGGGGAGGGGTGAGGAGGCCACTCCACAGGGTAGGACCACAGGCCTGACAAGGTATCCAGTACCAGCTGTTCCCCATGTGTAGAATGTTTTCCCTACTGACAGCTGCATGGATGGCTCTCACTCATTCCACAGGTCTCTGCCCAAAATACCACCTCCTCCGAGAAGCCTTCCATGACCACCCTGTGTCAGGTCACTACCTAACCATTTATACTCTTATTTTTTCTTCCTGGCTGTTATTACCACTTGACATTATATATTAGATATATGATATGATATTAGGATAGGACAGTACAGTATAATATAACAACTATTCAAGATCTGTATGCAGGAAGATTTGAGGGGAGAATCCATCAGCCTGCAGCTAGCTAACCACTTCACCTCATTCTAATAGATTAACATTCTGGGTCCTATTTTATACATAAGTACAACCCAAGATTCTTTATCCTACACTTTCTAGAGCATTGTTTTTGGATGCACAGGGAATCCAAACTTAACATATAAATTGGAAATGTTATTTAAGCATGTATTTTACAAACAAGGAGAGTAACAACAAACAAGTAAAGGTCTGAAAAAGATCCAGATATACATTTGAAAAGAGAGAAACTATGGTATTCCTTCAGAAGAACAAAAAGGATATGACTTTGAGGCCATAAAACTTTTAAGGAATTTTTTTCAGTTGAGTTTGTAACTTTTAGAATACATGATATGAAGATTGTATGGTTATGGGCAGGCTGGCCCCCCTAACCAGTAAGCCAAAGCACAAGTCAAACATCTTTGATTTGTTCCATCATCTGACTCTTACTCAAGCCTGCCACTGTCTAGCCCAGAATGGGAGGGGTGGACTTTGGGCAATGGCACACCAGTCTTGGTGTTTACTTGTCTTCTGCCTGTCTCTCCCCCTTGAATGGCAGTCCATTGCTGTAGTTTGCTAGGCCTCCCAGGAAGGCTTTTGATATGGTTTGGCTGTGTCTCCACCCAAATCTCATCTTAAATTGTAGTTCCCATAATTCCCATGCATTGTTTAGGGACCAGGTGGAAACAATTGAATCATAGGGGGCGGTATCCCCCATCCTGTTCTTGTGAGAGTAAGATCTCACGAGATCTGATGGTTTTATAAGGGCTTTCCCGCTTTGCTTGGCACTTCTCCTTGCTGCCGTTATGTGAAGAAGGACGTGTTTGGTTCCCCTTCCACTGTGATTGTAAGTTTCCTGAGGCCTCCCCAGTGGTGCAGAACTGTGAGTCAATTAACCTTCTTTCCTTTATAAATTACCCAGTCTCGGATATGTCTTTATTAGCAGCATGAGAATCGACTAATAACAGCTTTCTTCTCTTCCTCTCCCCAGTCCCTCTCTGTGCCTTTCACAGTGCAACTGTAGCCTAATGAATCTACAGGAGTGAGTGGGTGGGTCTGTACATCCAGAGAGTACAAAAGGATAAAAGGAAAGGTTAATATGCACGTTTAAGAATTAAAGACAAAACCCACATTATTATCTCAATAGACACAGAAAAGGCTTTCAATAAAATTCAACACCCTTCATGTTAAAACACTCGATAAACTAGGTATTGAAGGAACATACCTCAAAATATAATAATAAGGGCCATCTATGACAAATCCACAGCCAATATCATACTGAATGGGCAAAAGCTAGAAGCATTCCCCTTGAAAACCAGCAGGAGACACGGATGCCCTCTCTCACCACTTCTATGCAACATAATGTTGGAAGTTCTGGTCAGGGCAATCAGGAAGGAGAAATAAAGCGCATTCAAATAGGATGAGAGAAAGTCAAACTATCTTTGTTTGCAAATGACATGATTCTATATCCAGAAAACTCCATCATCTCAGCCCAAAAGCTCCTTCAGCTGATAACTTCAGCAAAGTTCCAGGATACAAAATCAATGTACAAAAATCACTAGCTTTCCTACACACCAACAACAGTCAAGCTGAGAGCCAAATCAGAAAGGCAATCTCATTCACAGTTGCCACGAAAAGAATAAAATACCTAGGAATACAGCTAACCAGGGAGGTGAAAGATATCTACAATGAGAATTACAAAACACTGCTCAAAGAAATCAGAGATGACACAAACAAATGGAAAATATCCCATGCTCATGAATTGGAAGGATTAGTGTCATTAAAATGGCCATACTGCCCAAAGCAGTTTACAGATTCAATGCTATTCCTATCAAACTACCAAAGA
This sequence comes from Homo sapiens, assembly GCF_000001405.40. Taxonomy (NCBI): domain Eukaryota; kingdom Metazoa; phylum Chordata; class Mammalia; order Primates; family Hominidae; genus Homo; species Homo sapiens. The sequence continues at coordinate 36,751,020 of NC_000018.10, read as the reverse complement.
CATTCTTCACAGAACTAGAAAAAAATTGTTTTAAAATTCATATGGAACAAAAAAAGAGCCTGGATTACCAAGGCAATCCTAAGCAAAAAGAACAAAGCTGGAGGCATCACACTACCCAACTTTACAATATAGGGCTACAGTAATTGCGACAGCATAGTACTAGTACAGAAACAGGCACATAGACCAATGGAACAGAATAGAAAGCCCAGAAATAAGGTCACACACCTATGACCATCTGATCTTTGACAAAGCTGACAAAACAAGCAATGGGGAAAAGACTCTCTATTCAATAAATGGTGCTGGGATAACTGGCTAGTCAAATGTTGAAGATTGGACACTTTCCTTACACCATATACAAAAGTCATCTCTAGATGGATTAAAGACTTAAATGTAAAACCCAAAACTATAAAAACCCTGGGAGACAACCTAGGCAATACCATCCTGGACATAGGAACAGGCTGACAAAGCAATCACAGCGAAATTTACCAAAAGCAATCACAATGAAAGCAAAAATTGACAAATGGGATCTAATTAAATTTAAGAAGTTCTGCACAGCAAAAGAAACTATCAACAGAGTAAACAGATAACCTATAGAGTGGGCGAAAATTTTTGCACACTATGCATCTGACAAAGGTCTAATGTCGAGCATCTTTAAGGAACTTTAATTTACAAGAGAAAAATGAACAACCCCACTAAAAGTGGGCAAAGGACATGAACAGACACTTCTTTTTTTGAGATGGAGTCTTCCTCTGTCTCCCAGGCTGGAGTGTAGTGGCACTGTCTCGGCTCACTGCAAGCTCCACCTCCCAGGTCATGCCATTCTCCTGTCTTAGCCTCCTGAGTAGCTGGGACTACAGGTGCCCACCACCATGCTCAGCTAATTTTTTGTATTTTTAGTAGAGACAGGGTTTCACCGTGTTAGCCAGGATGATCTTGATCTCCTGACCTCGTGATCCACCCACCTTGGCCCCCCAAAATGCTGGGATTACAGGCGTGAGCCACCATGCCCGGCCCCGAACAGACACTTTTTAAAAGAAGACATACATGTGACCAACAAGAATATGGAAAAAAAAAAGGCTCAACATCACTGATCATCAGAGAAATGCAAATCTAAACCACAATGAGATACCATCTCACATCAGTGAAAATGGTTATAATTAAAAAGTCAAAAAATAACAGATGTTGGTGAAGTTGTGGAAAAAAAGGAACACTTATACTCGGTTGGAGGGAGTGTAAATTAATTCAACCATTGTGGAAAGCAGTATGGTGATTCTTCAAAGAGCTAAAAGCAGAACTTCCATTCGACCCAGCAATCCCATTACTGGGTATATATATACCAAGAGGAATATAAATCATTCTACCAGAAAGACACATGCACACGAATGTTCATTGTAGCACTAATCACAACAGCAAAGACATGAAATCAACCTCAATGCCCATCAATAACAGATTGGATAAAAAAATGTGGTACATATACACCACGAAACACTATACATCCATAAGAAAGAACACGATCATGTCTTTTGTGGGAACATGGATGGAGCTGGAGGCCATTATCCTTAGCAAACCAACACGGGAACAGAAAACCAAATATCACATGTTCTCATTTATAAATGGGAGCTAAATGATGAGAACTTATGAACACAAAGAAGGAAACAACAGACACTGGACATGAAGGTGGAGGGTGGAAGGAGGGAGAGGAGCAGAAAAGATAACTATCGGATACTGGGCTTAGTACCTGGGTGATGAAATAATCTGTACAACAAACCCCCATGACATGAGTTTACCTATGTTAACAAACCTTCACATGTATCCCTGAACCTAAAATAAAAGTTAAAACAAATGCAGGTTTGAACATCCAAAACAAAATTTTCTTAGCCAGGAAACAGTTTCAAAAAGTAGGTTTTACCCAAAGAGACACCTTTTGAAACTTTTTGATCTGACATCAAAATATAAGTATTTAGGCAGGCTCATTTGCATGACTAAGATGATCCCTCTGGTTACCAGCTGTAAGGCCCTGAATAGGGTCCTTTCTGTGCCTCAGTTTCCCAATGTGTTAAGTTTAAAAAAAAAAAAATCACAGCCATCCTCAGCTATGATCCTGAGGACTGTTGGTGGGAGGGGGAAGGAAAAATGAGGCACAGTCCTTGGGGCTCTCAGTCCTCCATCTCAATTTCAACAAGAGAGTCCTGCTTTAATCAGTTCTACATACAGCGCTCCAGCTAAAGACTTCATTTGAACACAGGGTTCTACGGTTTAGATACTTTGGACTGGCCACTTCCGGGTACCACCTCCCTTTAGCCACGCCCCTTTTACTACCCACACCAAAACCACAGTGAACTTCTGGCTCCTCCTGGTCATCCCCAGTAGGATGTGGACAGGTGAGGCGGGAGCAGCCATCATCTGGGTGACCAGCTTACCAAGGAGAATGGGATAATCAGAGCAAATACTTTATAGCTTAAGAAATAGACACACCACCAAACTGAGTTTTTAATCTGTCTGGGATAAAATGGTTAACATAACCAAGCTCAACAGCTTTATAAGACATTCATAAAATTACTCCAGTTTCATGACGTTCCAAATAATAGTTGGTTCTCTCTCCGTGTGTGTGTGTGTGTGTGTGTGTGTGTGTGTGTGTTGTGTGTGTGTGTGTGTGCGCGTGCGTGTATTTTAAATGGGGAATTGCTTGCATCATACAAAGCATGGAGGGCCAAACCAGCTCACATTCCCTGCCTCTTTGATTTCAGTAAGAAATCTGACAAAATATCCTAAAAGTTCCCTTGAGGAAGGAAGGACAGCCAGAAGGTCTAGATAGATAGTCAGGGAGATTTATAGTTGAACAATTAAATTCCAAAAGAACTGACTGACGGATAGTTGTCAACCTGGAGGGAAGATTCTGCTTCTTATTTTTGTCCCGTCCAACTTTAAAAACTACTTGCCATTTTCTCAGTGGTCTGAATGGAGACCCAGGGAGTATGAATATCAAAGCAGAAACTGACACAAGCTGGGAGAGGGTTCATGTGCAGATAAAAGTATCAGGTTTTAAAAAGTTCTGTATAGGCTTAAGGAAGGTGAAAGAAGGAGATGAGGAAAGAAAGGAAAGGCAGGGAGGGAGGGAGGAAGGAAGAATGGGTGAGGGTCCCTCAACCGTGTTCTGTGACAAAGCAAAGGAGAAGAGAGTGGTAGCACATGGTAGGAAAGGCCCTGGCCTGGGAAGATAGAAGATCCAGGTTCTAGTCTTCGGGCTACCACTGCTTTCTGGTGGCACGGCCCTGGACAGCCATGGGCTGTTCCAGACCCCATTCTCCTTGTGGGCACAACAAGGTCTGACACATCACTGCTGTGTCTCCAGGGTCCTCTTGGATCCTGTGACTCTGAGGAGGGCTGGTCCAGAGGACAGTGCTGTGATGGAGCTTGGACCTCCCTCAGGTAGGCTGTGGCATAGCTAAGCAGCTGTTGGAGGATCTGTTACTGGAAGGTCCTCCGAAGGCCAGCTGCAGATCAGGTAAAGGAGGAACTTTTCTAACAAAGAGAGCTGCCTTGAAAGGGAGTGTCCTCTCTATAGGTGAAATTCTTCCAGCAGACCCAGAGATGCAGGGTTCAATTTGTTAGAAATCTTACAGACGCAGTTCCTGATAGGTAGGATTTTTGGATCAAATTATTTCTGAGATTCCTTCCAACTTTGAGGTTTGATGGCATTATATTATTGTGTAAGAAAAATTAATTATCCATGAAACTGTTAAACATCTGTATCATCAGTGTACTTGCTATGTACCAAGAATGTACAAAAAATCTGTAAATTTAACCATCGGCTCTTAATTTCCAGTACAAATTTTTCAATATGCCATTGTACTGATATTTCTATAAGTTCCTCAATCCACTTACCTGTTGATTATCCTTCTATGGACAATCTTTAAAATTATAATTCGCTCTGCACAGTCTTTCAGGAACTCTGACATCCGTTGTTTTAAAACTGGTTTCATTTCATGTTTTGCAATTGCCTTGAGGTGATCCCATGAAGCTTTGCATCTTCTCTCCATCTGACATAAATTATCCTGAAGTTGATCAAAGTCAACCTGAAAATCAGAGCGAGAACACTGCAAACACTGAAACCGCCGGACACCAGCCTGAACTGAGAGACAAAACTGCCTCTGGGGAGAAACAAACATCAAAACGAAATTCACATTTTGAAATGCAAACATATTTACAGCCTAAAAATTATTCACATGTGTATCTGTCATTATCTTGACATCACATTATTTAGTGATAAAACTGTTCTCCAAATGAACTTAATACATGTGTTACCTTTTTTGGCCATATTTAGAAATAAATCTTTGGGAACTGTAAATTAAAACATGATATCAAGGAACCCTAGTACAAGATGAACTAAGAAGATGTCTCATAAATTTTTTTCAGAGCACTCTTATTCTTCAGCGATAATATTTCTCTTAAAGTTGAGAAATGCACCCTAGTCCTATGAAGATGGCTCTGCTATGCTGGGGACCAACTAATGGGCAGCCAGCTTCTCTTCGTGATGATCTCCTTTATAATGTGAGTGACAAGTTGTTTTATTCACCTGCCCACTCACTCATTCCACCAACACTCATGGAGAAACTAGCATACACCAGTCTCTAAGCCAGGCATTGAACATAAACACAAATGCTGAATAAGACAACTTCCTGTTCTCAAGGAGGCTAACTGTACCCACAGGTGATTCCCAAACTCTGAAGGACACACAGACCCCACCAGGCTCGTGTGTGTGCCTGTGTGTGGGTGAGGGTTGCCAGCAGATGCACATCACACATGCAAGGGACAGATGTAACAGAGTGCTGGCTGTGTATTCAGGGACGTGCAGACAGGCTGGATTGCCTGAAGGAGACTGAGATGAGGTTTTCTAAGGTGATGATTTTATAGAATTTCCAGACTAAAAATTACATAAATCAGAGAGATTTTTAGTCATGAAAAAAATACATCAGAGGGCCACATTTAACAAAGGGATGGGGAAAGAAATTGTGAAGGACAGGAGCGGAGGAAGAAATAGGTAAGTGGGTGTGCTGAAAGGAGGGGACTGAGGTGGATGGAAAGTAGCTAAGATGGGAAAGGCTGTGTCCAGCAAGCAAAAGTCAGAGCAGCAGGAGGTGCGCGGGGTTGAGCACGAGGTGCGTGGAGGGTGTGGCGGGGATGAGCGGGAGGTACACGGGGGTCAGCAGGAAGTGAGCGGAGGGTGCAGGTGGGGGGATGAGTGGCAGGTGCATGGAGGGTGTGGCGGGGGGTGAGCGGGAGGTGCACAGAGGGTACGGGGTCGGGAGGGGCTGAGCGGGAGATGCGTGGAGGTGAGCAGGGGCGCGGAGGTAAGCCGTTGCTACTTAGGGGCCACTGACAGAGGCAACGAGCAGGGCCTTCTGAAGCCCACAGGGGACTTGCTGGAGTGACTTCAGACCTCCAGGCCCACCCTTAGAAGGACAATGAAGGGGAAAGAGTTCGCAAAGGTGGATTCTGTGAGGATCTGTGGCACCAACAGGATAAAGACACGCAGTGTCGTGTCTGGTGTGAGGCAGGGAGGCATGCAAGACACCGTATGTACTGGGCTTCCTGATGCTATTGCATCAGAAAGAGAAGGCGAGTTTAGGCAAAGCCCTGGGATTCAGGTATGCAGGGTTTCATGGCACTTTGGGGAAAATGATTTGTCTGAAACCAAAGGAATCCTGAGTCCAGATAGGAAAGGCTTCGCTTTCTCATGATACAATGAGGCTTAGAAAAAAATTCTGATAGGCCAGTTCAGGGTCCCCTGCTCGGTGCACCTGGCAGAGGCCAGCCTGTGGCTCTGGAGGTAGGTGGAGGAGGCTCTCGGCCACCAGGTCCCCACAAGCCAGGGCTGTGGCAGAAGGCAGACAGAGAGGGAGGGCCCCTTGAAGCAGGCCTCAGCAGCCAACCCACATCCTTCCCCACCTTTGCCCACCACTCTCTCTCTTCCTCTCATGCTGGATTCCAACACACCCCAGTACTTCCAGCTCTCATGCTCCAGCCAGGAGTGTTTCTAGAAGGTTCCTTCACACTAGCCTGGTTGCTGTGCCCTATTTAAGGGTATTTTCCACCCCTGCCCTCTCCCCTAGCGAGTTTCCTGTGCTCCTAAGACCTTCACATCTCCCAGTTCTGGTGTGTTTGGGATCCCTCTAGGAGTTGGTCAGCCTCAGTGACCCCCTGCACTAGAGGCAGCCAGGTGTCCACATACTGTGACTGTCTCTTTTCTAATGAAGCATAAGTTCATGAAGATATTAACTCTGCACTCGCTTTAAGAGCTTGCAGCTGAGGGCCAAGGCCATATACTGTTTACAGCTCTATAAAAATGTTCCCTCTGGGCAAGATCATAGGGACTGCCTATCTGTGGGGAGCAGGAGCCGGGAGGGCCCTGTTTTCTGGCTCCACACCTCACTGCAAGGTCCTATGGACATCTCAGGAAGAGCCAAATTGCATCTTTTTGACATGGTTGCCACCTAAGACAAGCTGTGCTGTTTCAGCGTTCTGGAGAATCCACCCTGGTGAGTAACACTGCCTAACAGTGGACGCAGGGTTTAGGAATGGGATGGCAGGCTTGCCTTGCATACCTTAGTAGGAAAGAATCTGACTGAGAACCAGAGATAGGAAAAAGATCTTAAAAGTTCATTAGAAATGCCACAAAACAAATCATATTCATAAACTCCAGAGCAGAGAATGCAGGCAGCACTTGGGCATTTTACTTAATAGGGCTCGTGTTCCTCGAGGATGACCGATAAAGATCCCGTGGCTGCAGCGAGACCAGGCCCACTCCTCAGCGTCCACAGACATACCTTGGCTGACCTGGTGATGGCCCCGATCTCCGAGTACAGATCGGAGCTGTCTGGGAAGTTTTCTACCACCATGGTGCACACATGGTGGAGAAGCGACTGCTTGTGCACTGTGTCTTTGACTTCTGGAACCTTCTCGAGGTAGCTTAACTCAAACGCTTTGGCCTGTTTTGCAAACATCAATAAAAGACATGTTTCAAGCAGGCTCTTAGAGAATAGCACAGGATGGTTAGGATCAATTCTTGGCTGCAGTCACCCAACATTCAGTTTCTCTGTGGCTGAAGCTCCTGGGGCCACATGCTCCATGATCCATGGCTGATCACACATGGGCCAGCCACCCTGAGAATGAGGGAGCCTCTAGCCCTTTCCCACCACAGCCATGAGCCATGTCCCAGGGCTCACCCCTAAATCAGGGTGCTGTGGGGCTGGGCTCTGACATCTGCCTATCTACTTCTTCCTCCCTTTGCCTGTTGTTGTCTACTTCCTGGACAAAGCTGAGCCAATTTTAAAAAGTTGCGTTTCTTAATAGCTAATGCATGCTGGGCTTAATACCTAGGTGATGGGTTGATAGGGGCAGCAAACTACCAGGGCACATGTTTACCAATGTAACAAACCTGTATATCTTGCAAATGTACCCCAGAACTTAAAAAAAAGATTTTTAAACAGTTGTTTTTCTTTAAGCATCAAAATGCTTATAAGCATGAGTATTTGAGTGATAAGCTCAGAAAAAAAATGGGGCAGAAGGAAGTTTTCCAATGTCAAGTTTGAGAGTAGTTACACTTCATAAAGAATCATGTGTGTGTTTTTCTGTTTTCTTATTTATAGCAAGACACAGATTGAAATAAATCGGCCCTGATATCTTTTTTTTTTTTTTTTTTTTTTTTTTTTGAGACAGAGTCTTGCTCTGTCACCCAGGCTGGAGTGCAGTGGTGAGATCTCAGCTCACTGCAACCTCTGCTTCCCGGGTTCAAGCGATTCTCCTGCCTCAGCATTCCGAGTAGCTGGAACTACAGGTGCGTGCTGCCATGCCTGGCTAATTTTTTGTATTTTTAGTAGAGACAGGGTTTCACCGTGTTAGCCAGGATGGCTCGATCTCCTGACCTCGTGATCCACCCGCGTCAGCCTCACAAAGTCCTGGGATTACAGGTGTGAGCCACCGCGCCCGGCCTAGGCCCTGATATCTTAAGAACAAATTCCTTCTAGATTTTCAGCAAGAAGACACAAAAGTCATTTGTTCCACTGTGCTTTGGGGAACCTGAGGTACAACCTTCATCAGCAATTGCTGGGCAGGGATTTTGTGACAAGGGGGGGCTACAGGATGAGGGATGGGGATGACTTACATTAGTTCCATTTAGAAAGTTCCCAATGGCTAAGAGAGTAGACAGGATAAAGCCCAAGGTTTTATTGTTCTCCAACTGGTCTATTCCTTCCTTCAGGTCCAGGAGTGGTTCTGCTACTTCCTTTCAGTTAAAAAAAAATTAGACAATAAAGAGTGTACAATTTGGGTTTACTTTGTTCTTCTGACTTTTTGTATAAGGGAATAACACACGGTGTTCTCCCCAGCACAAGGCAATCCCCCGCGATGGGCATTGCTCCTAGGTATGGAAACGTGTGGCAGGGAGAGCCTCTACTCCCCAGACCCTGCAGTGGAGACCAAAAGGACCTTGTGCTGGGGTGACAAGGGCTCTGGACTCCCCATTTCTGCCTTAGGGAATGCCCTCCTCTTACTCTCCTTTCTGGCTGTGGCTGACTCCTCGGACACTCTTCCTTCTCATCTTCCTTCGGCTTCTAGACCACAGTCTTCTTCTTTGCTTTTTGTCCTTCCAGGCAGATTGGCAATGAAAGTTGTGCGCTCGATGTCCCTGAACTGCCCCAGGCCTCCTCCTCCCCTCAAGGCACTCCACGGCTAGCCACCTGGCAGCCTGGGCTGCTCACTAGAAGGCTACTGCCCTCTACCCCACTGCTTTCATGATCACCCTCCCTCAGACCTCCAGCCTGCTCTGTAGCCTCATGGCCTCCATCTCCCCCACCCTCACTGCTGTTATTCTGTGGCCCCCACTCCTTTGTCTTGACTGAGGCTCTCCCCCAGCCTATATCCCAAAGCCAGGAAATCCAGCTTCAGTTTCTCCAGCCCAGGTCTTGCCAGGCTGACCCAGTGATCTGTTTTCTCCCTGATGTTACCTCCCTTGGCTAAAAAAAGTCACCTGAGCATGCTGTCTGGTCTTGTGACCCAGTCATAGCAGTCACCTCAGCAATCCCTAGGTGTCTTCCTCTCTGCTTGACTTCCTGATGAATTCAAATACTGTAGTTCCCTTCTAAAGTCCCCCAAACCCACCACCATCTGGCCCTCAGTACAGGACCTTGCTCCTTCCTTTGCCAGAAGATGGAGACCACACAGCCTCCCCACTTGGCTTTATTTTTTTTAGAGATGGAGGTCTCACTCTGTTGCCCAGGCTAGAGTACAGTAAGGTGATTATAGCCTACTGCAGCCTTGAACTCCTGGCCCCAAGTGATCCTCCTGCCACAGCCTCCTGAGTAGCTGGGACTACAAGTACATGCCACAACACCTGGCTAAGTTTTTAAAATTTCTGTAGAGACAGGGTCTCACTATGATGCCCAGGTTGGTCTTGAACTCCAGGCTTCAAGCCATCCTCCTGCCTCAGCCTCCCAAAGTGCTGGGATTACAGGTGTGAGCCACTGCACCTGGCTCACCTGGGCTATAGAATCTCTCTTCTGCAGACTTCCTCTCAACTAAGATCCCACACAGTTCACTTTCCATCTCCTCCTTTTCTTCTACACTGGCTCCTTCTGTTCAGCCTGCGAAAAACTCCCACTGCCCTATTCCAGAGAGGATGCCCATGTCCTCTGCTTTCTACTCAGGAGGAGCCTCCTCAAGCTTTCTCCATTAAGGCCCATTTCCTTCTGTTCCCCTCCCAAACTCTTGCAATAGGCAACATAAAAAGACCTGCTAATTGCCACAATCACTGGCAGTTTAGGTGATTATCATCACGTGGAAGGATTATAGGAAATTTTCTATATTGTGCTTTTCTGTATTTTCCATATTTTCTACAATGAGAATATAGGATCTGAAAAAAAAATGTAATTGTTTTGTTTTGTAATCAGTGACCTGGTGCCCACAATCTAGTGTCTGAGGCTGGCACCAGGCAGACACTTTAGAATCAGCCTTCATTGGCCAGCTGCTGATCACTTGGTGTACACACGACCTCCTCATTGTCAATTCACCCTCCGTACCCTATGCCAAGAATGATATTTCACTGCCTTAGTACTGATCAATGAAAAACTGCCTTTCTCAACACTGTGGATGTGGGATCAGCGGCCTCTCTTACAGAGAGCTTACCTTTTCTGTAGTTTCATAATCCATTTTGAATGCCCAGAGGTGAAGTCGTGCAGAGAGCTCGCTGATGGAGGACAGGGTGAGGAGGAACTGCTCTGCACTGCCCAGGGGGATTTCAGGGTTGGCCAGCTGAGCTTCCTGGATTTTCTGCTTCTCCTCATCGGTGGGAATCATCGTTAGAATTTTCTGGAAATAGGAGATGATATAGTATATTTTCTCTTAGTGATGGACCCTCCCCTGTCCCTTCAATGTTATAAAATTCATATTATAATTTTCCAACCAGGTAGTAGAGGTATGTACAGGTGTTATATTGTCATAAACCAAATATACTTGAAGCAACTTGACCCAAATTTTCAGGGTCTCACACACATAGGACATTCTAGGCAAGAAAGGGAGATGAGAGGTGAGAGAAAGATGAAAAACAAAACACAAGATTAGAGAACAGCTCCCTATTCCCTAGGAAGTAGAGTAAGACATGTAAAAAAGATATGCTTTGTAGCACTTCTCCTGCATTAATTTAAAAGCTTATAAAAATGAATCATTTTCAAAGAACTCAGATTGACTTTTGTTCATGTGACATATAATCATTTTAACTGTATTTCAAAACTTACATAGAAATGATAGTACCTTAAGTAATACTAAACTTAAGTCTGATTGCAGAAAAAATCATGACGGTATCCATAAATACAAGCTAATAAAAAAGTATACCTTTTTACTTCTATTTGTTTCTGGTAAAAATCAATTGTGGAAGGCAGAGAAGGCAAAAAGGCACCAGAATACTTATGATTCTCCTACGCTCAAATTCCTTTGTGATTACATTTTTTAAAGTAAAAATTCTCATGTCTACTCCTACTATTCCTATTGAACACCATATGGAAATCTTAGCCAGGCACATAAAAGAAATAAAAGGCATACAGACTGGAAAGGAAAAACCTGCTCATACACACAGATGTCATAATTGTCTGCATAAAAAACTATAAGGAATCTACAAAAAATTTCTAAAACAAAGAAGTGAGTTTAACAATGTTGTATGATATAGGGTCAATACACAAAAATCCATCTTATTAGTTCGTTATCTATACATTTATAATAAACTAAAATTTTTTTAAATGCTATTTACAGTGAAACGCATAGGTATAACTCTAACAAATCCTGTTAAGTGTCTTTATGCTGGAAACTAGAAAATGCTGATGAAAGCAATCGAAGATAGAAACAAATAATAAACACATGGAGAGACATACTATATTCATGGATTGAAAGACTCAACGCAGACAAGATGTTAATTCTTCCAAAATTGATCTATAGATTTAATTCAATTCCAATCAAAATACCAGTATAATTTTTTGTAGATATATGATGCAGGACAGGTGAGCCCCAAAACTGGGACTTAGCCTGGGATGGTTTTTGGCTTTAACCAGGAAAGAATTCAAGGGCAAGCTGGTGGTGATAGACTGAAATTTTTTATTGAACAGTACTGCTCCTTCTGGAGCTGGGCTAACTCCTAGGCAGTGTGCCCAGAGTCAGCAAAGTATGGGTTCTTGGCAACTGTATTTATACTCATGTAAATCTATTTTCAATTATATGCAAATTAAAAGCCAGGTCAACACAAATTGAGGGGTGGGTTGTTTAGAACTTTCTAGGAAAGGGGCAGTAAGTTTTTGGTCTTGCCCTGGAAAGGGGTGGTAACTTGTGGGTTGTTGCCATGGCATTTATAAATTGTCATGGCTTTAGTGGGAGTAGCTTATACCTATGAGCAATGAGGGCAGCTAAGGATTGCTTTTGTCACCATCTGTGGTTTTTGTCAGTTTTTTTGCTTTATCCCATCTGAACCAGATCCTGTTTTGGTCATCAGGGTTGGGACCAGAAAACAAGTCCTGCTGCTCTCCTACCTCATAGAGACAAGCTGATTCTAAAAGTTACACGGTAAAGCAGAAGAACTAGAACAACTAAATTTGAAAAAGAGTAACCTTGGAGAAATCGTATAACCTGACTTTAATAAATAAAAAGCTATAGTAATTAAGACAATGTGTCATTGGTACAAGGATAGACACCTAGATCGATGGGACAGAGCAGACAGTTCAGAACAGGACACATAAATGTGGCCCATTGATTTTGAAAAAGGTGCAAGGCAATTCAATAGAGAGAGGATATTATTTTCAACAAATGGTGTTAGAACAACTAGACTCTATATGCAAAAAAAGCAACCTCAAGTTAAACCTTACACTATACGTAAACAAACTCAAAATGGATCACAGATCTAAAAGTAAAATGGAATACTATGAAACTTTTAGAAGAAAACATAGGAGAAAACTTTTATAACCCACGTTAGGCAAAAAATTCTTAGACATGATACCAAAAAAGAATAAGATAATAAACCAAACTTTATCCAGTTAAAAACTTTTGCTTTGTGATAGACACTGTTAGAGAATAGAGGACAAGCTGTAGTTCCTCAAAAGATTAAACATAGAATTACCATATGATCCAGCAATTCCATTCTTGGATATTTATCCTAGAAAAATGGAAACTTACTTTGACACAAACACTTGTACATGAATATTTGTAGTAGCTTTATTCATAACTGCCAAAAACTGGACCAAGCTAAATATTCTTGAGCAGTGAATATATAAATTGTAGTAGATTCCCTGCAATGCAATAGCACTCGGCAATAAAAGGAACAAACTATAGATATGTACAATGACTTGAATGAATCTCAAAGGCATCATGATGAGTGAAAGAAGCCAGTCTCAAAAGGTTACATGCTATTTACAGGACATTCTTGAAAAGACAAAACCACAGTGATGGGGAATACATAAGTGGTTACCAGGTGCCAGAGGTGGGTTGAGGGTACAACTACAAAAGGGCAACACAAGAGTTTTGTTGGAAGATGGGACTGTTTTAAATCCTGACTGCAGTGGTCATTGCATGAATTTATATGCTTTAAAACTCAAGAGAACCATATACCAAAAAGTCGACTGCACTCTATATTAGTTCAAAAGCTAAAAAAATAAATAACAAAATGAGAAACAGGGCTCTTGACACCACAGTCTCTACATATGCAGATATTTACACAAGTGTGCATCAGGACGTATCTGGCTGGGATAGATGAGGTCCTGGGCTTGAAGAGGGTGTTAACAGGCAGAGCGGCCTTAGTTTATCAGAAGCCAGTGATGCAAAACTGCATTGCAGATGTGCATTCAGGCTGTAGTCAGTGTAAAGTTATCGAAGGTGAGCCTGAGGCACCTCCCTTCCCAACTTTCCCTTCACCAGGGCTCCAATCACTGAGGCTTCAGGTGGAGTTTGAGCATCTGGAGAGATAGGTGGTGGCAGTGTTCCTTGCTTGCCCACAACCTGGCACGTGTCCCACCTGTTCATGCAGATGGCATTAAGAGATAGCCAAGACACTTCAAGCAGATGTTGCCTCCTTAAAAACATGCATGATTTAAACTCAATTAGTCTTCAAAATAAATGCTTCTCTAAAATTTCTATTTTAATTTCCTTAGCACTGCCATTGTTTCTGGCATGACCAAAATTCCAAAATGAAAAACTGTCAACACTTTGTACAACCTTCAGAAGACATCTTCCTGTGATGAATTTTGTTGCTTTGTTCCTTTGAGAAAGCAGTTACTCTTCTTTTTGTTTTTCATTTCTCTAATTTATACTATTTGTTCAATGTTGAAGATTTATGAGGTTGCCACCTGCCATTTTATTTTTTTACACATCACTGACAATAAGAATAGCTGTAAGACAGTGGAAGGGCAGGTTAAAGCCACCTCCTATGAGCCCCTCCTATGAGCTGATGGCCCTTGTTTTTTGTGAGCAGATGATACTGTGATGATTATGAGGTAGTATTTTTAATTTGTTTTTCTAAGTCAGTAGATTTATTGATAATTGCACGATCATAATTTGATTTCACAGGAAAGCAAACATCAAACAAGACCAATATGTTGATAGGGATAGGAAGCAGAGAAATTCTAGGCAGAAAAGGGTGGGGTGCCTGGCAAAGGCCCCACCCTCAAGCCTGGAACTGTGGCCCAAAGTGAGAACTTTACATCCCTATTTTCCCACTCGAGTGTTGCCTTTTCCAAAACCACTCCTGGTCTGCCCCACCCCCATCCTGTACCCATAAAAACCCCAGGCTCCACTGGCAGAGAGCAGAGAAGGGGAGAAGAGGAGAAGCAGCAGGACATCAGAGATTGTCGTTTGATGTCAGAGAGAGGCAGCTTGACTTCAGAGGGATGGCTTGACAGCATTGCTTCAAAGAGGAGTGCAGCTGGGGATGGCCAGACTCTGGGGGAAGATTACTTTCCCATTCCATCCCCTTTCCAGCTCTCCTTCTTGCTGAGAGCCACTTTCACTGGCAATGAAACCCTCTGTATTCACCATCTTTCAATTCGTTTATGTGACCTGATTTTTTCTGGACGCTAAACAAGAGCTCTGGTGCCATAGATGCGGGCGCTAAAGGCTGTCACACTGACCCTCTGCCCTCACTGGTGGAGAGCAACCACCTCACATGAAAAGGCAGAGGGCCAACTGAGTTAACATTTAAGCCATCCATGATGGCAAAGCTAACAGTGCACACTGTACACATGCCCTGTGGGGTGTCAGGGGTTGCGGGTACTCCCTGCCAGACACCACTGCAGGGCCCACACGGAGTTTTGCTCCTGCTGGTGCCCAGAAGCACTTGCCCCAGCTCCTGCACTCACTCACCTGTGTGCTCCCACTCCCTAGAGGGGTTGAGAGCTGCAAGCTGAGTAAGTGAGGCACCCCCATCACAAGGCCCGTGAAGGGGTCACAGAAAATTTCCTGTTTCAATGTGATAACTTCCATGTTTTTAGCGTTTGCCTAGACAGCGTCTCTCCAGCATTGCTCTAAGTATATTTGCTTTTGTATCTGAAAGTCATGTATTTTGGAGAAAAATGCAGAAATCCCTTTTTAAAAATAGACGCCAATACTATTGGGTTTGGCCATTTCTTCTACCTGCACATGAAACTATAATGAGTAATCCTTTTGCCCTGTGAGTTTTAAACAGAACACTGGCTACAGCTTTGTATAAGCATCTGCCACAAGGATTTTGGTGACCAAAGTTGAAAGTTGAAGCCCTGAGGGCTATGTCTGGTTTGCATACAATATGCATATTTGCATGAGAAAATAGTGTTCTATCCAGGTAGTTACTTTCCTGTAGCAACTTAAAAAAAAAAACTTTTTAAAGCATCTTGATAGTATCTTCTTTCATTCTTATGATTATTCATTGAGGCACTTTAGGGCAGAAATTATTGTATCAAACACAGACAAAATGATTTGCCTGAAGCTAAGCTGGATCCACCAAGGCGGAGCTAGAGAAGAACCCAGGGGCTACCTCTAGTTTCTAGCACTAGCTCCATAGTTCATAGGGATTCAAATTAATAGTGAATAAATTCAACCATAAATGCAAATTAACAGTGCAGCTAAGCCACTCAGTCATCAAGATATTCTGGTTCCCTGGCACTGCTAAGTCAACTGTGACTCTCTGTGGTCAGGTTCCTCTGTGTGTATCCAGCACCTGCGCAGCTGGGCACCTGTGGACAGGAACTGTACAGGTTAAACTGCTTTCAAAGATGCTGTCATTTTTTATCTGTGGCCAAAGAAAACTTCTGTTTCTAGGATGCTGATTGGACTGGCAGCCAAGTTGGGCCAAGCTGTTTGGGACCATTCAATTGTGCTACCCTCTGAGTAGACACAGACTCTATAAAATTAAGAGAAGAAAGGAAAAGAAAATAAAAATCGTCATACTTCCATTTATGATAATTTGATGCCATTTTACTTGGGGAAATATCATTAATGCTACTTAGAGATGGCTGCAAAATGATTTTCTGGTTTAATACTCTTATGAAAAATGACTTCCTTAATGAAGTTAACTACTCTTTCAGGTTTTCATGACAAACCTGGATACATACCACTGGGTTGCTAAGCAAAGCCACAGGATGAAAACATTCTAATTACATTTAGGTACACAGAGCTTTCAAACGACCCCGTTAAGCCATGGTGCCAGGCTACAGTGCTTGCATCCGAGAAGCAGACAGTTTGGCTAAAGGCCCTCTGGGTGCAAGCCGGAAATCTCATTAACAAAGATCTGTATGTACCCAATTGCATCTCTTCTGAGTCCTGATTTAACTCTTGAACAAGCCTAGAGAACAAGCTCTGGGTATTGGTTTGGCACATGGATCTAGATCATCTCTGCCTCTCAGGTCCCTGAGATCAATGGCCCAAGATAGTAGGTGATGCCTGAGAGTGCCCTGGATGCCACATTCTCCAAGAGGGGTTTCGACTGGAGTCTTCACAGCTGTGACTGGGAAGTGCTGAGAGATCTACACAGTCTCTGGATTCACACAGGCAGCCTTTAGATCAGGGGCTCTCAACCAGGGTGATTTTGCTCCTAGGGGGCATGTGACAATGTATGGAGACAGTTTTGGTTGTGGGGGGAGGGTAGGTGTTACTGGCATCTAATGGGTAGAGGCCAGGGATGTGCTAAACATCCTATAATGCACAGGACAGCCTCCTACAACAAAGCACTGTCTAACCCAAAATGCCAGTAGCATTGAAGTTGAGAAACCTGCTTTAGAAGAGAAAGTAAAAATGTAACTCTGTGTCGTTGTGACTATGAATTTACTGAGGACTCACGATGCAATAAAATCTCAGTAAGGGCTACCAGTGTTTCCTGTGGCTGTGTCTCCTCACTTCAAATTGCTCTGTAAGTCAGCTACTCCTGGGTAGCAAATGTAGGCAGCACAGTGAAGAGGGCTGCGCTGCTGCATACATGTCTCTCCCTCCCCTTTCAGATTCCCTCTTATTCTCTGCAGCACACAAACCCAGGCCTGGAGGGCCCCTCCAGGGCCAGCCACCCCACAAAACCGCAGCCTGCATTCTGGATTCAAGCTTCAGAGCTTGTGTCCCCGCTCCCCGGCTCTCTGGCTCACTGGCTTGGGAGCCTGGGCACACACTAATGCTGGGACTCCCATTCTTCTTCACGTTGGGGAGCATATGTACCTCATAAGCTTTGAGGAGAATCTGTGGCAGGCGCCTACCTGGTGTCTGGCCCACAGTAAAAATCCTATGAAAGTCAGATTTGGTGCTGTGCTGCTACTCCCATATCCGTCAGCGTCATAGCTGTAATTATTCCTTCCTGGATCAAAAGGGTGCTCAACTGGAAACCAGCCAGACAAGAAAAAATAATAATTTGGTTCATTCTAGAATCTGAGTAACTTATTGTATCTGAAACTTTCCCCACCTGGGGAGAGTTGCATTTCAGGAAAGAACAAAGGCAAAACCAAAGGAATAAATTTCTCCTGAGGGACTTTCAAGTTCTCATGACAAGGAGGAGAAATATTTTTAAAGGGGTAGTTGTCCATCTATTCTTTTAATCAGGCTGGCTCTGGCTATCTTTGTAGCCTCTCTCCGTATGAATCTGAAGCTTTTGTGCTCTCTAAAGGACCTTGTTGTGTAAATAGGATGGCCCAAGAGCCACTGCCTTATCTCCCCTAGAGGAGAGATGTGGGAGTTCAGTCAGGGTGGTGGGAAAAATTGTAAGAGGATATTATAGAAAAGAGAAGCAAACCTTCTTGGAAGGCCAGGGGGGTTGCATAGCTCCAGTAAAAGATTTGGCTGAAAGCAGCTTAATCCTCTCTACCTTGAGTTGACAGCAAAAGAGCAAATAACAAGGGAATGTGGGGGAGTTTATCTAAACAGCTTGTTTACTCATGTGGTCCTAAGACCAACCCTTGATTATCTGTGGGTGCATGATTGCTCTCTACTGGGAGGTCGGCAATGTTAATTTCCCTCTAGTGGTATTTACTCAAGACCTTTGTCATTTAATCCGTACTAAATAAATGCAAACTTCACTGGCTTATGGGGCAGATGCTGCAGATTCAGGAGCAGAAGCCCCTTAGCCGCACTGACAGACAAAATATCTATGTCAGTGTAAGTCTCTCATCCGTCACTGGGTTAGGGTCTGCGGGGACACGCTTTGCACTTGGTACATCCAGGTCCACCCAACAGCAGGCCACTGCCCTGCTCATCCTTTGTTCCTCTAGGAGGGTCCCAGAGTGGGATGCATCACACTGAGGCCTGGCCTGCCCCTTCCTGCGATCTGGCAACTGCCTCAGTCTCTCTCTCTGTATCTCCCAGCTGTCGCCCACTCACTCCTTCATGTCCCCTGCTCCGGTCTGCCGTGTGCCCTCACTCTTTCGATAGGCTGGATTCCTGGATTCGAGTGGGCCCTAAGTCCAATGACTGGTATCCTTATAAGAAGAAGGAAGTTTGAACACAGAGGAGAATGCTGTTTGAAGACAGAGAACACACCTGGATATGCTGACTGGCTTTGCTGCCTGGCTTGGCTCCAGAGCTCAGGGAACAACTTCTTCTGCCAGGAAAGAAGTGCATTTCCCTTATTGTACCTGTTCCTGGAACAGGGGGTGTATGTTTCTCAGAGTAGAGCTACTTGAGCCTTATATAGGTTTTCTAGGGGTGCCATAATAAAACGCCACAAACTGGGTGGCTTAAACAACAGAAATGCATTCTCCCACAGTTCTAGAATCTGGAAGTCCAAAATCAAGGTGTCAGCAGGACCATACTGTCTCTGAAGGCCCCAGGGGATGAACTTTGCTTCTTCCCAGTGCTGGTGGTTGTCCACGATCCTTGGTATTCTTTGGCTTTTAAAAACATCACTCTAATTTCCACCTCCGTCATCACATGGCATTCTGTATACCTGTGTGTTCTCTGTCTTCAAATAGCACTCTCCTCTCTGTGTTCAAACTTCCCTCTTCTTATAAGGATACCAGTCATTGGATTTAGAGCCCACCTGAATCCAGTATGACCTCATCTTAACTTGATTACATGTACAAGACCCTTTTTCCAAATAAGGTCACATCCTGGGTGGGCATGAATTTGGGGGTCCACTATTCAATGCAGTTCAGGCCTCTAGTAATGGCTTTTCCTATGAAGGTCCCTTCCTTCCAAAGCATGAAGGCATGCCTAGTGGGTTGGGTGCAGACCCCTCTACGTACTGTGTGCCCACTGCTCCCTCCCATTCCCAGGGCCATGGGTGATTCTGGCCAGAGGCCCAGGCCCTTCCTCACTCTCAACTTTTCTATAGAAGGCTTGCTCTCCCTCTCTGGAGTCAGGCATCATTGGTTCTGTCCATGCCCAAGTGTCTCAAACAAGAAGATGAACCCCAATCACAGAGAGGCTTTAAAGGAGTCTGGGGCCCCCTGCCAATAGGAGGATGGGTTAGGTGCCACCCAATGCCACAAAGCAGTGTCCCCAGATCCCCACTCTGAC
Source organism: Homo sapiens (assembly GCF_000001405.40). NCBI lineage: Eukaryota > Metazoa > Chordata > Mammalia > Primates > Hominidae > Homo > Homo sapiens. The sequence continues at coordinate 36,731,529 of NC_000018.10, read as the reverse complement.
CCAGTGGGCCCCCAAGCTATAATACCCTTCTGTAGGAATTGGTGGGTGGGACACATCGGCTCTGCTCACTCTTTTCATTATTATAATAAGAGATTTAACCTGCTAAACTGGCACCAACCCACAGTGGAGGGAGAACGTGGCCTGTGGAAGAACATGAACCCAGGCCCTGCAGGTGAACCCTGTCTCCAGCTACCAGCTGTGCGGTCACAGCCATGCCACCCAGTGTCTCTCTACTTTGTGACATTCAGATCAACAAATGCTAAAGCTTCAGCTGGCTTGAGCTCTCTGGCTTATCAAATGAAATATGTCTCTCTGTACCCCAACAAATGCCAAGAGAGAAAGTTCTTACATGGATGTGCACATGTACTGAAAACCCTACCTTTGAAAGGTATGGTTTTTTAAACATACGTGGTTTAAAATGACATGAAACAAGACCCTAGTGGCTTCCCAAGGAGGTTATCATAGTCTTCTTCCATTTTGAGGTAGGCAGAATGTGGTCAGAGGCAGACTGGTAAATGAACCTGAGTGAAGATTGCTGAACTTCATAGGCAAAGTGAGACTCCCCCTCCCCTCAAAAAGTTTAACACGTGTAAGAATTATTAACCTTATTCAGAGTCTAGTTGAGACAGAAAGGCACCATGGATCTTTTGAAATGTGGACATGCAGCATATTATACATGCAGTATAAGATAAAATACAAATAATGCTTAATAGAGCTTCCCTCACCTCGATTCCTTCTTTGTTTAAGGCATACTCATCAAAATTCAAAATGGCGATCTTAATCGTCCTTGGAGGGGGCAGCACCGTCAGACCAATATTGATGGCGTTACTCCTCTTGGAATCCAGAACAATGATCTCTTGCCTTTTTCCATCTGCAGCAGTTTTCTTAGTGATAAAAAAGGAGAATCCAAGATTAATGCATCATCTTGGGTCCTTTCTGCATTTCATTATTAAAAGCACTCACTACTTATTTAGAGATGAAAACAAATGGCCCCAGTTCAGCTCAGAGAAGGACTGGCTACTGTTCAGCACAGAAAGTATCAGGGATTAGTTCTGAGATGCTGCCAAGCTTGGGTCAGCAACAGAACTTCAAGAGTCAGACACATACAAAAATAAAATGGATTTTCCTTCAATTGGGAAAATGTGATATTTTGCAAGAAAAAAAAATCTGTTTTTTCCATAGAAGCAGTGAAAACAAAATCAAAACCTTTCAGAATTCCTTTCTTGTGGGCTTTGAGGTGTCCGAATGTCTTGGTTGGCCTTCATACATATGGTGCGTGCCCAGAGAGAGCTGGTTTACATGCTGAGAAGAGAGGATCAATAAGGAGAATACAGCACCATTGGCCTGTCAGCCCCTCCAGATCTACAGCTGTACTGTCTCAAAGCCCTCACCTTGCCATTCAAACATTCCATGCCCCTTATACCAGAGCACCTCCACCTTTCCTGTGCACTTAGGCCTCTGTGCAGCTGCCTGGTAGATGAATGAAGAGGAGCCTTCCAAGGAAAAGAAAGGAAAGGGCATGCACTGGTGAGGATGAATAGGGGACGAACCAGCTTAGAGGCCTAGAAGGAGAGCAGGGAATAAGAAGTGTCCTGGCATTCTCAAAGCCCTTTTATGTGTGGCTTCCCAGGTGGCCTGTGTGGTCCTCAGAGGCAGGTCCTGGGCTTCACCTATCTCTGCAGCCAGCCCAGAATTAGCAAAAGATGGGAGCTTGGCAAGCACGTGTTATAAGCTGAATGTTTATGTCCCCTCAAAATTCATAAGTTGAAGCCCTAACCCCCAAAGTGATGATATTTGGAGGTAGGGCCTTTAGAGATACTTAGGTTTAGATGAGGTCACGAGGGTGGGATCCTCATGACGGGACTGGTGTCATTATAAGAAAAGACCAGAGTGCTACTAGTTCTCTCCCTCTGCTGCTTGAAGACACAGCAAGAAGGTGGCTGCTTACAAGCCAAGAAAAGTGCCCTCACTAGAAACCTAACTGGCCAGTACCTTGATCTGGAGTTCCCAGCCTCCAGAACTGTGAGAAATAAATTTCTGCTGTTTAGGTCACCTGTGTGTGGTATTTTATTATGGCAGCCTTAGCAAACTAAGACAGTGTCTGTGGGGTGATGAGTCAACCCTGTCACTGGCCAGAGCTGTGACCACAAGGCCCCCAGCTTTCCTCTTCAGCTCTCAGGAAGTTGGGTGCAGGTGGCACCTGGGGGCAGGTGGGAGAAGACTTGGCTCCACAAGCTCCCTGCTCTTGCTCAGGTTTCCTTTGAGGCAAACACACTTGGGAGGATGGCTATTTTGACTCATGTAACAAGTCTAGAGTAACAAAGATGAATGAGGCACTGTGGATCTCCTGAAGACACATTCAGCACAGTAATGGGGTGTGCTGCACCCTCTGTTGTTGAGGGAGCTCAACAGCAGAGCAACTGTAACTCACCTGGTGGTGGAGGGGCTCAGGGTCTGGAAGGGCTGACCCTTGGGCTAGGCCCTAAAGAATGTCTAGGATCTAGTCTGGGGACAGAAGACCTTCAGGAGATAAGAAGTGGCTTTGTCTAGGTTGTTAAAAACTGTCAGGGATGAGACTGGAAGTTTGATGGGGCCACATCCCAGAGGACCTGCTGACCCAGCCAAGCAGCTTCAACCACACTGTGCAGGCAGGTTCCCACTGAGCAACTGACTGCCACTCATCATCTGATCTCCTGCACTGAGGCCTCACCTTGTTCTCTAAAGCAGGGGCCCTGGCTAGGGCTGGGAGCAGCCAAGCCATCTAGAGAAACTGTTCTGCTGTAGCCCCAGGGACCGTGAGGCATCGAGGAGAAACAGGCTCAAGCCCAGCTTAAGTCCTCCTGGAACCTCCCAGACTTAGTTGCTAAATTTCTATTTTAGATCCTTAAATATGCAGTTGGGAATAAACTCAAACTTCTTCATTTAAAAAAAAAAAAACCCAACAACAACAACTGAAAACATCCCAGCTGTTTTGGATCCTGGTGATCAGGAGGGGCAATTCCTGTGGGTAGAGTTGTCAGCTTTGAACACTGGGCTCCCAGGGACACGTGGCATACATGCCTCCCCACTCTTCAGGGAAAGTGTTCTGTTCTACGTAGTTGACCTAAGAAACTTATCAGGAGTCCCTGGAAATTCTCAATTTAACTTTTAAATCTAATTTTATGTTGTGTGTGGAATGCTAAAGGAATGAGAAAAGTTTGACAGAATGTTAAATACAGGCAACAAAGAAGGATGTTACAACTAGCAATGCCAATACTGTGGTGCTGGAGGCCTGCTTCTCCGGGCACTGCTGGGCACCTACCCCAAATCCATGCCCTCTTCCCCACTCAGCAACAGGACTCTGATTTTTTTCAGGCTGGCAATGTGTCCATTAAATCAATTCCCTCCCTGGACCCTCTGCAACTGAAGCTGGCCCCATGACTTGGTTCTGGCTTTTGTTTTCCTGATTAAAAAGCAATAGAACTGGTGGGCCATGCCTTGTGCTCATCCCCCTTCTTCCTGCCTAGAATGGAGATAGGGGTCTGGAGGTGCAGTAGCAGGTGTCTTGTGAGCACAGGATGGCAGCAGGGATTCCCTGGGAACCAGTAGCCCTTAACCCCTCATCCACAAAACCCCATCACTCTAGGAGCCCAGCCAGCTCAACTGGAGTCTTTATGCAGATGACAAAATGAAGCCCCTTGCCATCACCCTGAGATTCAGCCCCATGGCAAACAGCTTGGGGGAGAAGCACTACTCAGATTCCAGCCTCATCTCTGGCAGCCAGTGTCCACATGTAGCAAGCAATTTGCACAGACCTACGTGGTGGCCCCGAGCCTGACATGCCCTTGGCCCCATTCTCAGTAGAGCTCAACTTACAGCAACACACATGCCTGCACACACCCCTCTAAGTCAGGGAGGGGTGCGCCACTGAGCACCCCAAGATCATGGGAGAGCTGTCCCCACAGAGGATTCTGCACATTTGCAGAGCACTTCCACCCATATCATGAAGGAAAGAATAAGCATTAAAGGAATACCTGAAATGGAATTATGCAAGCTCTAGATTTTAGCAAAAAGGTGCTTTAAGTGCTGTTCTTCATAATCAAAATAAACCTCCACCAGATGCTACTAAACACTCAAGTGTCATCTGGTTAGTACTGCCCAAGATGAGGGAGTGGGTTGGGTAGGGCTGTCCAACTCTCTCCTTCCCTCTGACAATAATCTAAAGCAGCACTTACAAGAGCAAGGCAGAGCTCTCTGTGCCTATATCCATGTCTAAGGATTGGCAGTCATCTATTCTGATCCATTTGAATTGTCCTTCTGAGCCAAAGCCTCAAGTCAGCAATAGTGAACTTCACTAGTCCTCCACATGGTCCTAAGACAGAGCAACTGTGGTCCACTCTTCCTTCCCAAAGCGTCTCATCCCCATCCATACTTCTCCATTCCCACCTCTCCACCCTAGGCCTGACCACCCAGAACCCCACTTCTCAGAGCAGCCCAGCACTCGCCTCCTGCTTCTGATCTCTTCTCTCCCTAACCCATCCATCCATCCATCCTACTCTTGCTAAAAGGAACTTTTCTGGTCAGGCACAGTGGCTCAAGCCTGTAATCCCAGCACTTTGGGAGGCCGAGGTGGGCAGATCACGAGGTCAAGAGATCGAGGCCATCCTGGCCAACATAGTGAAACCCCGTCTCTACTAAAAATACAAAAATTAGCTGGGTATGGTGGCACGTGCCTGTAGTCCCAGCTACTCGGGAGGCTGAGGCAGGAGAATCACTTGAACCCAGGAGGCAGAGGTTGCAGTGAGCAGAGTTTACGCCACTGCACTCCAGCCTGGGTGACAGAGTGAGACTCCATCTCAAAAAAAAAGAAAAGAAAAAAAAGAGGCACTTTTCCTTAGTGCATTCCTTTGGTCAGAAAGCCACAGTGGTTTTCCATGGTTTAAAATTTGAAAATAAGGAAATTGGTCAATGATGGGAAGAGGATATAAAGCAGAGGTCAGAGAAGAAAGAGTGGTCCTTGTGAAGGTTAGAAAATGTAAATGCCTTTCTTGAAGGGGATGGCATCCAGAAAGAGGGAGTGAGATGTGACGGGGCAGAGGTCAGACAGGTATCAGTAACAGGAGAGGAAGCAATGCCTCTAAGTAGGAAATCAGAAAGTTGTTCTGCAATTGATGAGAAACCAGACAACCCCCAAAAATACCCAAACAAGGAAACAAAGCAAAAAACCTCTTGTATCTTCTACCTGAAGAAAATGACAACATTTTCTTGAGAGTAATAAAAGAAGACTTGGATAAATGAGAAACCTCATGTTCCTGGATAAGAAGTTTCAACATCATAAGTGTGCTGTAGTTATCTCTTATCTAATTATATATATTTATATATGTAACATGTATATTTACATATATAAAATATATATAAAAGTAATACATATATTGGCTGTCCAATAGATATGTTACCTTTATTTTGCATATACATAATCCTATCAAAATCCCCATAAGATTTGTTTTTGGAGTTAGAAAAAAAAATGTCTAAAGTGAACATGAAAGAATATATGTATGAAAGTGTCAAACATGTTCTTAAAATGTAGAGTTAGATATAATATCTACCCAATCAGCTATCAGCTATATAGCACTGGCCCTAGAATAGTTGGAATAATAGAACAGAATAGAATAATAGTACAGAAAAAGCTCTATACAATGGTCCAGGACATTCTAACAAAGACACTAAGATTAGTGACCCAGAATCTAACATAAAAAGATCCATTTTTAATATGGAATCAGAAAAACTAACTTTAAGCCAAACAAACCGATATGGCGAGTGAACATTATGACAGGCTGGATTGACTGACATGTTCCTTCTCAGGAAGGGAAAAGGCCAGGGGAAAGCAGGAACCCAGGCTGATGTGGGAATGGCCAAGTGTCAGCACGGCACAAGTACACCACAGCCAGGAGATCCCCTTGCTGACTTGGGTATGATACCACCCTGCTGCCTGGAGTCTCAAGACATTCTCAGTGACGGTCCATGATGCTGAACCCTGCACAGGTACAGAAGAGGCTGAGAAACAAGCCCAGTCCCTGATGGTCTCTTTCTGATTGACTGTGTAAGCTTCCCTATATTTATCGCCTCTCTTTGATATATAATCCACTTCCTTAAACAGGTAATTCCTGAGTGCCTGCTGTTAGGTGCCTGGTTCTCAAGTGGGAACATTTCCATGCAGACTAACAAAAAATGCATACCTCTGGAGGGCCAGGATGCCCCCAACACCCATGGTCAGCTCTGGAGCAACAGGACATTGGGTTTTTTGTCTTAATTTGTCGATAAAAGAACAATTAGCCAAAGCTCTGCCCTCTTCCTCAGCAAGTTCCAAGAACTCTCAGGGAGGAAGTGATGATGGAAGGAGGTGCCTGAGCCCAGGCTCCAGGTACAGGATGCTAGACTAGGGGTTGGCTGGATGTGAAAACAGGAACAACTATCTTTGGGTGGTCAGCAAAAAGGCGGACATGAGATAGTGTGTGGGAAACCATGGCAGGGCCATCTCTGAACATGCTGCTTTCCCAAATATGTCCAGAAGTGCTCAAGGAAAGAGAGGACCTTGCTTCTTTAAGGGTGTAGGGAGAAGCCTGGGAAGCAGCCAGGCTCTGTTTTGGTTCCAGAAAGCCTAGTTAAGCTGAACGCCCACGGCAGAGCTCCTCCTTCGGAGCTCCAACTACCGGGAGCCTCCAACATGCCCGTAGTAGCCCTTCTCCCCTGGAGGAAAGACAGTCTCCGGAGAAAAGCTTCAGGATGAATGCCATGTAAGGCTTTTATTTGTTTTTGTTTTTGACTTGGCTAAGAACACTGCAGGGAGAGGGAGCAGGGGTGTGCACAGCCAAGATGAGGGAGAGGCAGAGGTTACCCTTTGTGGAAAGAGAGGCTGTCTAGGCGAGCAGGAAACTCAAAGGGAGCAGGAGGGCGGTCATTAAGGCAACTCAGGGACTGGGTCCAGCTTCTAGGAAGATGCAGGTGAGCCCCTCTAGGGTGAGGCTTCAAACAGACAGCACTCAAGGCTAGAAGAGTCACAGGATTCCTGAGAAGGGGAGGCAGCGACTGTCAACTGCCAAAGCTTCGGGAAGAGCTGTGCCTGTTCTCGGCAGCCCCAGATTCAGCTGGTGGGCAGCTACCTGGGTTGGGAGTCCGCTTTCTAGAACCAGCAGCCCCAGGAGGCAGGAGCCTGCAAACTCAGCCACTCCGTGGGGCAGAAAGTCACACATGGTAATAGGAATATTTTCTAGAACCGCTAAGCCAGATATTTAGGCTCGGCTGGATATAAGCACTGCAGAGCCACAAGTCTACCCAGGTGGATCCTTGGTGAGACACCAATCCTTGATGCACACAGATGGCAAAATGCCCATGCAGAGGAGATGCCCGAGTCAGGCTTTCGGATAGAACAAATTAAACCTCCAAGTAAAAGTATTTAAGAATCTGCAAGTAAAGACTCAAACTTGATTTGGAATGGTTATTGGAAAAGAGTGACCATCATGCAAGAGTGACCACAACCTAGTTTCAGTAGGCATCCTGGGAAAGAAAAAGACCTAACTTCCCCCTCAGAGACATTCCGTTTTGGAAAAAGAAGAGTGAGGATTCAGGTTGCAGTTAGGAAAAGAAGTGGAAAGAAAAATTTAAATAGTTAATAGTAGTCATTAAGCTTAAGGCTTCCTGAAATGTTGCCACATCATATTGCCCCTTTGCATTTTTAAAGAGTATTTTACTAGTATCAGAGGATGCACCCCAGAAGGTGCTGCAATTGATAATAGACACTGGGCTGAGGACTTGATTTATTAAGAGAGCTGCAGGAGGTTTGGGGAGTGCTGGTGAGTCTGAGAGCACTTCCATGAAAGGCGACAGACCTTTGCAAATGCTTCTCTGCATCACTGTTGGAGACCTTGGGTCGGGCTCAGAGAGGCAGAAGTTCTAGAAATGGTAAATCATCCCTCCTCGCTCCCTGCCAAAAGAGTGATGCCACAGGATATTTTCAAAACTGTCCGTTGAGAAAGTGACAGTTACAAGGATGCAATGACACAGATGTCACAAAGATGTGACAACTATGGAATTTTCCTAAAGTCTTGAAACAAGGGAGACGGGGAGATGTATAGGAAAGTATTAAGGCAAACCGCCCCCCATCCACACACCCACCAACACACACACCCTAAAATGAAAAACAAAAACAAAAAACTAAGCCCAAGCAAAGGCTGAGGAATCCTTAGTCAGAAATAAAATTTCTTGCCAGGTAAGGTTTGCCTTATTGTTAAAGGAAAGAGTATTAATTTCTCATATTTGCCCTTTGGGTTGTCTAGAGCAGAGGCCAACTGTTAAACAGACTTCCTGCATGAATTCAGTTTATTTGTTATCCTAATCCAGAGACCCAGGAGAGAGGAAGGGAGTCTCCATGCCCTCCAGGGGCTTTTGGCCCTGACATCTTTCTCTGGGGTCATTTTATTCTCCTATACGATTCACCACATCCTATAGGACCAGCAGGCACACACCAGAAGTGTCTGGGCACACTTCAGCCCTGCTGAAGTCCCAGAGCTGTGTTCAGAGTTTCTAGGTAGAATTCAGGTTTCTGAGGGGAATGTTAAATAACTTATTATGTCCTGAACTTGAATACAGCATAGGAGGATTTCTATCTCCTCTCAGGAAAATCAAAAGGGTCAGGGGGTGTCAATGTGGAGAGTGGTGGTGGGGAACACAGTGCTCCTTCAGCGCCTCATTTTTCACCTGAAATCAGTGGCTCATAACCTTGGTTGTACTTGAGAGTCCCTGAGGAGCTTTTAAAAATATACTTGGGAAGCTGAGGTGGGAGGATCGTTTGAGCCCAGGAGTTTGAGGCCGTAGTGAGCTATCATTGTGCCACTGCACTCCAGCCTGGGCGACAGAGTGACACCTTATCTCTAAGAAATAAAAATAAGAAAAATAACCCAGGCCAAGGCTCACCCTGACCTAATTTTTATTTAAAAGTTGCTGTTACTAGTTCAAATAGATTTAGAAACTTCAAGATAAATAAACTTCTCCAGATACATTCTGGGCTCCCTCCCTATGACAAACCTAATGAATGCAAGAGAGTAAGACAACATCAGGTCCCCAAAGTGGAAACTGAGTTCCACTCCATGTCTGTTTTGGTCTGGCTGTAACTTGGGGCATAGAAGCTGCCCTTTGAGAACAGGAGGGATTTTGCTGCCCCTGGTTAGGTACAAGGGTTGGGAAGTCACTTTCCTGGGGCTCCCCAGGGTGATGTCAAGCCCAAGGAAGTCTCAGGGCTTTCTGCCCTGACATCTTTCTTAGGGTCACTTTGTCTCCTATGGGGCTCACCACATCTTAGACCAGCAGTCAGAACATAATGAAATTTAGCACAGGATTTCTACCTTTTACCATAAAACACAATATGATTCATCTTATTAAAATACCATATAATTCCAGCTGATAGAGAAAAATTGATCCAATTCCAGAAACTATTTTGAAAGAAAATTAAAAATCGCATCTTTTCAGTCTTATCATTTTTTCATTAGGTGGTCACCCCAGCCTTAGATCTGGCTCATGAATCTTTGTTTTTGGGTGGCTTAGTCACAGCCATGCCCAATAACTCTGGTCTAATGTTACTTTTTTTGATGAAACCTAAAACCAATTCTCTTTGTTTTGTGCTGTCTTGTGAAGTCTATTTCACTCTACTTTTGTTGCATTTTATTTATTGTACTTAATTTAAAAATTTCTGAGCCAGAAACCCAAAGTGGCTGTTTACATTTTGATTTATGAAAACCACAGTCAAGGATTAGAAACAGAAATGAAATTGGTTATATCTACAGTGGTAACATATGCAAAATGGATTCAGCTCTCCAGTGTAATGTGGGGTTTGTTGTTTTTTTGCTTTTTTGAGACAGAGTCTTGCTCTGTCACCCAGACTGGAGTGCAGTGGCATGATCACAGCTCAATGCAACCTTGACCTTCTCAGGCTCAGGATATCTTCCCATCTCAGCCTCCCAAGTAGCTGGGACTACAGGAATGTACTACCATCCCTGGCTGTGTGCGTGTGTGTACATTTTATAGAGATGGGGTTTCACCATGTTGTCCAGGCTGGTCTCAAACTCCTGAGCTCAAGCCATCTACCTGCCTTGGCCTCCTAAAGTGCTGGAATTACCAGAATGAGCCACCCATCATGGCCAAAACACAGTGACGTGTTTTAATCCTAACTTGCATTCTTACCTTTTGTAACATTTTGTAAAGTAGCTCCTGTTCACATTTCCTATCCCAAAGACAAAGGTAGGGGTTTTTGGGTCTCATTATAGAACATTCTGGAATCAGTTTGGTAAACTTTTCGTCCAATATACCACTTTCCTCTTATGCTCCTACTTGATAAAAACTATGCAAACATTTGTCTATTAGCTAGGCAATACATTGTTCTAGAGGTCACTACCTGCTTCAGGCAATCATGGAACTTTGGGCTGAGACAAAAGAGGCTAGAATATTATCACGGACCAAATTGGCTGCAGTGGGACCAAGAGAAGGAGGGAGGTAGGTGAAGCATTAATTTTGGGCCTTCTCGAGGAAACTTTTAATCTTGTAAAAATGAAGCTAGGAGTGCCTTCACCTCCATACTTTTACTCCATTTTATTCCTCCCAATACTGAGTCAAGGGGCAGCTTCTTCCCAGCAACCTGATCGGGAACCACGAAAAGCCTAGAGGTGCAGCCAGCCAAGTGGGCAATGAGGGGAGGAAGAGGAGGAGGAAGAGGAGGAGGAAGAGGAGGAGGAGGAGAAGGAGCAGGAGGAGAAGAAGGAGGAGGAGAAGAAGAAGGAGGAAGAGAAGGAGGAGGAGGAGGAGAAGGAGGGGGAGGAGGAATATTCTGTCCAATTAGGTCAGTAGGTTGGAAGGTGGTGTCAGCAAGTCAGGTCATGGGTAACTTCTAGCAACCACAGACTGCTGTCTTAATCGTGGCTGGTCTTCTCCTAAATGTCAGGCTGCCTATAAGAATTGGAAGGGGGAGGCCAGGCGCAGTGGCTCACTCCTGTAATCCTAGCACTTGGGGAGGCTGAGGCAGGTGGATCACCTGAGGTTGAGAGTTTGAGACCAGCCTGGCCAACATGGTGAAACCCCATCTCTACTAAAAATACAAAAATTAGCTGGGTGTAGCAGTGGGCACCTGTAATCCCAGCTACTCAGGAGGCGGAGGCAGGAGAATCTCTTGAACCCGGGAGGTGGAGGTTGCAGTGAGCCAAGATCACACCACTGCACTCCATCCTGGGCGACAGAGCAAGACTCTGCCTCAAAAAAAAAAAAAAAAAAAGAATTGGAACGGGGCATGTGGATGGCTCGGCACCACTTGGTACCAGTCCTAGAAAGTCAGGACACAGACACACCAAGAGTGGGTGTCTGGCAACCCTTTCTTAGGTGTTATTTTCTGGAGAGGACAAAAGCTGGGTCTACTTTCAACTGAAGGACAGGACTGATTGGGCATGATTTTTTACACTGGATCCTAACGGTGTAGATTTGTAAATGAGAAAGCTTTAATTTTGACTTGAGGAGATTCCTGAGGCTGGAAATGATTTAGACTCATGCCATGAGTGAGTGAGAAACACACACTGGGGTAAACACCAATCAGTGAAGGGCAGCAAGCAGCTTAAGAATCCCAGCACATTTTGAAAGGAAGCTGATCAACTACAGCTCCCCTGGCTGGCCTGTCAACATCCCACAGCAGTGACAGGCACTAACTCTGTCACTGTGCTCCTCGTCTGAAGGGCTCACTTGTTCTGAGGATCCTGCATGTAATTTTGATACAGAATTGGTGCCCAAATGGCATTGCTGGAAACCTGACTCAGACAGTTTCATACTCACCCAAAAAGATGATAAATGCATGCAGCAACGCAGGGAGTTAAAATTAATTCATGATTATAAGCTCTTGCATGTTTATTCTAAATTATGCTTTACAAAGTGCTTTCTCCTACCCCTTATACCTTAAAAGAGGAGATAACCTTAAACCTGTTTTAAAACTGGAAAATATCCAGAATGGGTTTTTAAAAGTCAGCTAAGATAGGCGAAGAAGTCTCTACTAATGTAGGGAATTAGATATAAAATCTGTGATCCCATATCTTGCAGTTTATCAGTGTAAATTAACCATGACTTAACCTTTGGTGCCCAATAACTTTATGTACAGTGTTTCCATTGATAAAAGTGGTATAACATCTTTGTTACTATCACAGCAGCAGTGGCTATAGGACTCTCAAACATTTATCCAAAATACTAAATCTAGAGGCATGTGTAATATTGACAGGATGCCAAATATACGGCTGCTGGAAAACTAGATAGCTGCAGAATGCTGGCTTGATCAGGGCCAAGCCAAAGAAATGTCAGTTGGATTATTGCCTTTGAGCTTATTGGGTGGTTACAGATAAAGTTCAAACTACTACTATCACTCATAGTCAATGAAGGTAAGATTAAATAAGCATATCCCGTGTTTGGTGAGTCAGCAAGTCCACTTTCTCTAGTTAACATCAATATCTGCTATTGGGCTATGCTGACATTCCTTAGTTGACCATTTTTGTCTTTTCCTCAGGGCTATCTGGTTCTTTGAAAGCTCCTTTGCCTAATATAAGTAAGCTGGTGACCATGTTAGCTAATAAGGGTCTCTGACTCATGTAGCCTACACCTAGCATGTGGCAGAAGGAACACTATATTAAAGATCAAATTTTCATACCAATGGACTTTTTACCAAATAGCAAAAGCAATGCAAAATAGTATTTTATACAGAACGAATCTCTTCAGCCCTACCCAACTTCCAATCAAGAAGCATGCTGAAGACTAGCAGTACCTTTGAGACAGACAGTTCCTTGGATTTAGACTCAAACAGGTGCTCCAGTCTGGAAGTGTCCACCTTAATGGGTTCCAGTTTTGACCACAGGAATTCTCTGCAGCGTCGGTTGTTTTTACATGGCCAGTCAAAAGGCCGAACTTCATTCCAGAACAAACGGATGGTCTTCTTTTTCTTAGTGAATGTGGGCTGACCCCTGGGTACCTGGGACCACCCTAAGCCCTGAGGAGCGTTGAACACTGGAGGAGGAGGAACCAATAAATTACCAGGGACAGGAGGGGGAGGAATGCTGTCCAACAGGGGCGGAGGGGGTGGGGGCGGCAAACCCAGAAAGGTGGGTGGGGGTGGGGGAGGTGGCCCAGGGGCCTCCCTGTGACCCAGGTCCACATCTAGGACATCAATGTCATCCTCCTCCCCCAGGTCAGTGAAATCCATGTCTTGGATTCTGAGCTCTCTTGGATTGGCCATGAGCTGGTCCCAGATGTAATCAGACTCTGTCTTCGGCTGCACCGGCGCTGTTTCTGGGACCTTGTCATTGGGCTCAGCATCAGGGGAGATGGAACCTCTCCCCAGGTCCCCACTGTTGAATTTCTCAGCAAATGCTTTCACACTGCCCCGATTGTCCAAACAGCCGACATCCACCCTCCTGACACTCTCATCCTGGGTCTGAGAGTTGGCCTGCAGGGTGGATATCCTGGTAGCAAGGCTGGCTACCGCCTCTGCCTCCTGCTGGGTCCTCCCAGCCTCCCCATCCCCCTTCTCCTCATCATCCGGAGACTTCCTGTTATGGGCATACAGCATGTCAAGCATGAACCGTTTGTTGGTGAGGATGTCGCCACACTGTCCATTTACACCTGCATCCTGGACACCTGCGGGCCACAAACCTGAAAGTACATGGGAGAGAAAAATGAGAAAGGGGCAAGGGGGCCTCACTTCCATGAGAGAATCGATGAGAATAAGTGAGCCTGACACATGGGAGTGACTTCAGAGAAGACACTGCATGAGCAGTCAAAGCCGTGGCTGACAAGGCGCTCTTGGGCAAGAAGAGATGCTGCTTTATAGTCCCAAAGACCCACACCAGGACCCAAGACTCTTCCAGGCATGACGCTGCTCCTGGCTCCTACCTGGGCTCATGGGAGAAATCTTCCTCCTTTTTCCTGCCCACCCAAGGCAGCGGGTCAGGACCTACTCAGCCACAGGTAACTAAGGAGCCTCTGCCCTAACTTGAGATAGGGAGGCAAGAAGCCACTCCCTGGCCCCAGCAGGTATTAGAGAGCCTGAAAGATTACCTCTGTTTCTCTCCCCTACTCTAAATCTGCACTAGTGCAGCTCAAAGTGCCTCAAAAACACACAAACTGTGCCACTGATCACTCTTTAGGTTCACTCCTTATCACGGTCCCTAGTCTCCAGGGGGCTGAATGCTGCCTGGCAATCTCACCCACTCCTCTCCAAGGTGACTTTCCATAGCCCTCTCTTCTCTAACCTCCTAGCCCGTCTCATCCTCAGAGATAACCTTGCCTCCAAGTTCAGTGACTTAACAGATGAAGCCAGAAGGCATCTTCCAGAGCCTCCCTTCCACCTCTACTCTCCCACCTGCATTGACCCTCAGAACACAGCTTCCCTCCTGCAACTGCCTCATAAACATACCTCTTAGCAGGGGTCGACTGCCCACTTGTGCATTAGTAACCCACTCCAGAAATTCTCTGTCCTGTATTTCCCATGGCCTTCCCACTAGAGTCTTCCTTCTGGCACATTAACACATACACACACACACACACACACACACACACACACACACACATACACATATATAATTTCCCCCGTCTTAAAAAAGCAAAACCACCCTTGGCCCCACTCATCCCTCTAGCTATCACCTAACTTTAACTTTTCTCATTTCCTCATAAGAGTTGCTTTGCCCACTGCCTCCAATTTCTCTTTTTCTTTTCTCTTGGACCCAGTCAAAGGGAGCTATTGCTCCCACCACCCTTCTCAGCTGCTGCTTTCAGGTACCAGTGACTTTTGTGTTGCACTAGACACAGCCAACCACTCCCTCCTCCCTCACAGGGCTCCCAGGACATCTGGCTACTCCTTCTCAGTCTCCGTTGCTGCTTCCTCCTTATCATTAACCTTTAAATGTCCTTGGACCTCTTCTCTCCATCTGCACTCTTTCAGTCTCATCTAGTTTCAAGGCATTAAATGCCATCCATAAAATACCACCTTCTCCAACCCTGCTCTCCCCAACCTAAACTGCTTCTCCTGCAATCCTTTGCTGTCTCAGCTACGGCAACTTAATCCGTCTTGCTGCTAATTCCAAAAACCTCAGAGTCATTCCTGACTCCTTCTTTTCTTTCATCCTCCACATCCAGTGTTGCTGTGCATCTTGTTGGCTACACCTTCATGTCATATCCAGAATCCAGCTGCTTTTCTCAGCACCTCTGCTACCACAACCATGGGCCAGGCCAGCGTGGGTTCCTGCCTGCAGTACTGCAGGGGCGTCCCCACTGGACTCTCTGCTTCTAGTCATGTCCCTTGACAGCCAGTTCTTACCCCAACAGCCACATGATGTTTATAAAAATGTCTGATCATATCTTTCTGCTCAAAGTCTTTTAACAGCACCAACGTTCACTGTGAGAAAAGGCCAATGACATGACGTTCACAAGGCCTTCCATGATCCTTCCTTACTTTTCATTCATCGCACACCACCACCAACACTCCCTGACCCCCAGACACACATGCCCATAAACCTCGTTAGCTACAGCAACTTCTTCCCATTCCTAGAACTCACCAAGTATGATCTGGCCTCAGGGTGTCAGCCCCTCCTGGGATAAACTACACCTAGTTAATCACACAATTTTATCCTTGACCTCTTGTCTTTACTCAAACCATATCTTCTCAGTGAAGTCTTCCCTGACCACTAGTGAAAACTGTGCAATCCTCCCCCAACACTGTTGATCATCCTTTCCTGCTTTATTTTTCATCACAGCTCTTATGACTATCAAATCTGTCACGTTTTACTTATTTTATTGTCTGCCTCTGCCCTATCACTGAAATGATTATAATTACTCAATAAATTGCCTTTTTCATGGATGTAAACTCTGTGAGAACAGGATTTGGGTTTGTTTTGCTCACTGTTGTTTCTGCAACATCTGGACAACTGAATGAATGAATGAAGGAATGATCAGGAATGTTACTCCTCTGGGTTTGCCTCTTTGGGGCTTGTATTAGTCTGTTCTCATGCTGCTATAAAGGGCTGCCCGAGACTGGGTAATTTATAAAGGAAAGAGGTTTAATTGACTCACAGTTCAGCATGGCTGGGGAGGCCACAGGAAACTTACAATCACGGCAGAAGGGGAAGAAAACATGTCCTCCTTTACGTGGTGGCAGGAGAGAGAAGAATGAGTGCCCAGCAAAGAGGGAAGCGCCTTAAAAAACTATCAGATCTTGTGAGAACTAATTCACTATCATGAGAACAGGATGGGGGAAACCACGCCCATGATTCAATTATTTTCACCTGGTCCCTCCCATGACCTGTGGGGATTATGGGAACTATAATTCAAGATGAGATTTGGGTGAGAACACAGCCAAACCTCATCAGGGCTGGCAGAGCCAGGTAGTGAGTGCTTCAGTTCCATCAGCTTTCCAGGGCCTCAGTGGATCCTAATGTTGGGATGTGGCAGCAGACCCAGGCCTGGGAGGTCAGCATTGGGAGCTTCATTCAGCCGAAGGAACATCCCCCTCAAACACGTGGAGGGTGGGCCCTGGCTTGAGGAGGCATTGACAGGGGGATCACAAGGTCCCCCAGGATTTCCAGTGTATCTTTGTTCTCTGTCCTTGGTGCAACAATGGCTTAACCTGACCAGGGGACCTTAGGCCATCTCAACACCAGAACAAGGAGCTACTGAACCCTCTTTTAGGTTTTACAAACAAAATATCTTAGGAAATAATCACCATCAAAAGGAGATGAGATGCCATCTGAGGATAATAGCAAAAAATCTGGCTAGGTAGAGTTTCAACAACTGGTCAGATACTAGGGAGACCACTAGGAGGCTGCAGCAGATAAAGTGGCTGAGCCCTTCTTAAGAGACAGCCTTGCTCTTTCTCCATTTATTGGGAAATGTGAGCATTTTCTTATTTTGGGAACAGGGAAAATAATATAATCAGGTAATATTTTTTTTCTTCGAGACAGAGTCTCACTGTGTCGCCCAGACTGGAGTGCAGTGATGTGATCTCGGCTCAATGCAGCCTCTACCTCCCAAGTTCAAACAGTTTCATGTCTCAGCCTCCTGAGTAGCTGTGACTACAGGCGCGAGCCACCATGCCCAGCTAATTTTTGTATTTTTAGTAGAAATGGGAGTTTCACCATGTTGACCAGGCTGGTCTCGAACCCCTGAATTCAAGTGATCTGCCCGCCTCGGCCTCCCAAAGTGCTGGGAATACATGTGTGAGCCACCACGCCCAGGCAATCAGGTAATATTTTTAAAATGCCAGTTTTCTTGCTTATTCTCTTCATTAATTTATGACTCCTTTTATCATTCTGTAGTGACCCTCTTTGTCCTTAGTAATTTCCTTTGCTCTGAAATCTACTTTAACTGATGTAGCCATTCCTGCTTTTCTCTGATTTAATTTTTGCATAATATATCTTTTCTCAACTTTTTTTTCTTCCTTTCGTACCTAGTCCTACAGACTTTTTCCCCCAACTTTTAAGTTACAATCTACCTGTGTCATTATGTTTGAGAAGAGTTTTCTATATATGGTATATAATTGTGTCATTTTTAATCCACTCTGCCATCTATCTTTTAATTTAAAGGAATTACTGATATGTTAGAGCTTAAGTCTGCCACTTGTCTTATTTGTTCTATTTGTTTTAGTTCCTGTTTCTCCTTTGTCTTCTATGGGTTACTTGAATACTTTTTTTTACTTTAACAAATTTTCAAATTGATACATAATAGATGTTTTTGGGGTACATGTGATAATTTAATACATTCATATAATTTGTAAAGATAAAATCAATGTAATTGGGATATCCATCACCTTAAATATTGTCTTTTCTTTTTGTTACAAACATTCAAATTATTCTACTTTGAAATATACACATTATTGTAAACTATAATTTCCCTACTGATCCTATAGAACGCTACATCTTATTTTTTCTTTCAAATTGTATACTTGTACCCATTAGTCAACCTTTCTTCATCCCCTTTGATTATTTTTCAGAATTTCATTTTGATTTATTTATAGTGTTCCAAGTACATTGTTTCTTCTGGTTTTTGTAGTGGTTGCTCTAGGCATTACAATATATACACTAACCACAGTAAACTAGTATTGCTGTTTAACCACTCTGAAGTGTGGAAAACTTACTTCCATTTTGATACCGTTAGCTTCCCTACTCTGAAAGTATAGTTGTCCTAAGTATTCCTCTGCATACACAGAGCACTACATCACATGATGTTATAATTTTTGCTTCAACCATCAAGTACGATTTAGTAACTCATAAGCAGAAAGTCTATTTACCCCTGCTTTCACCCATTCTGTTGTCCTTTCCTTCCTGAAGTTCCAAACCTTCTGTCATTATTTTATTTCTGTTTGGAGAACCTCCGGTAGTAATTCTTTGAGGATAGGTCTGTTAGGGACCCACTCTTTTAGTTTTTCTTTATCTGAGAATGTCTTATTTTCCCTTCATTCTTAAAGGATACATATGAGGGATATAGAATTTATAGTTGACGGTTCTTTTCTTTTAGCACTTGCAAAATGTTGCGCCCCTTCCTGCTAGCCTCCATGGTTTCAGATGAGCAATGTGCTGTCATTTGGACTGGTGTTCCCCTATAGGTAATATGTTTCTTTCTAGCCTCTTACAAAATTTTTTTTTTTTTTTGGTCTTTAGTTTTCATAAGTTTGATTATCATGTCTTGGTGTGAATGTCTTTAAATTTGTCTTGTTTGGGGTTTGCTCAGCTTCCTAAATTTATGAGTTTATACCTTTTGACAAATTTGAGAAGTTTTGGTCCATTATTTCTTCAAAGCATTTTTCAGCATTACACTCTCTCTCCTCCCCAGATTCCGATGAATTGGCGTTAGATCGAGTCTTATTGTCTCACAGGTCCCTGAGGCTCTGTTCATGTTTTTCAGTCTCTTTTTTTCTGTCATTCAGAGTTCGTAATTTCCACTGATTTGTTTTTGAGTTGGCTAATCATTTCTTTTGTTGTCTCCAATCTACTATTAAGCCCATCCAGTAAGTATTTTTTTTTTTTGTTGTTACTGTGTTTTTCAGTTCTACAATTTCCCTTTGGTTCTTTTTAATATCTTTTATTTCTTTGCTGAGATATTTTACTTTTTACGTATTCCCTAAGTGTTTGTAACTGCTCACTGAAGCAATATCATTATGGCTGCTTCAAAATCCCCGTCACATAATTCCAATGTCTGGCTCATCTCAGTGTTGGCATCTGTTTATTGCATTTTCCCATTCAAGATGTGATTGCCTTAGCTCTTGAAATGATGAGTGATTTTTCCATTATGTCTTGGACATTTTATGCTTTATTAGACTTTGGCTCCTATCTAATCTATTAGCTGGTAGTCACCCTTTTTAGGTATAGCATACAGGTGCTGGTGGAGGGAGATGTTCAGCTCCTTGCTGGATCTTTCTGTCACCACCCCAGCAAGAGCGCTGACTCACACTGGCTCATTGCAGATGAGGAGGGTAGAACGTCAGTGCCCCCTCCCTTGGCCTCACTGGCATCTTCCCAGGGAAATTAAATCACTGACTCACATTGCCTTATTACCTCCAAGGGACGCGGGAGGTTCAGCTTCTTATCAGTCTCCATTGACTCTGGGTCAGGTTTTTCATTAGTGCCTGTCTAGGGTACAAGTATTAATAAGTAAAAAGCCTGTGTTCTATTCTGTTAGGCAATCCTTTTCCCAGTCCTTTGGCTAGGGGAATAAGTTTTACTTGGAGCTTCACTGTCATATAATTTAAGTCCAGAGGTTCCTAGGCAGTCTGCATTCTTCTTTCCACTTTTCACAGTCCTCCTCTGATTATTCTGGTATTCTCAGGGTGCTGCTATGTTGGTTGTAAGAGGGAGGACCCAGGAGCAATGAAGCTTCCCCATCTTAGCCAGACGCCTCTTCATTTATTCATCGATTGTTTTGTGAGACCCTGCTAGGAAGTGAGGACTCACGATGAATAGACAGACATCCCCACCCTCACAAAGCTGACATTCAAGTGGAGACAAAGGACAATTATGCAAGTAACTACAAAAAAGTAAAATGTATGTTATGATAAAGCTTCTCACATGCATGCCCTAAAGTAGAACACATTAAACAAAGAAAAATTAAACCACATAACTGGAATGAGACTTTTTCAAGTCCTACAAATTCATTTTTGACATAATCATTAGAAATACGTTTGAGAATAATTTTTTATCTCTAAGGTTGCTCTGTGATTTGACAGCACTCTGAAAAGCAAGAGCTATAATGACATAGCTGCCCGGACTCCACAGTGGCTGATGATGCCTGTGAGCAGTGAGATTTTTTAGGAACCAATAAGCTACAGTAAATAAACATGACCAACTCTCATAACAGCACTGAAGCAAAGCAGAAAAATCATTGCAAAGCCCTAATTTCTGCTTCTAAATACTTGGACATTGCCCACTTTGGTAGAAAGTCAGTGGTTCTTCACTGGGAACGGTTTCCACTTTTGGAAAATTGTCCTTCTTTGGAAGAATATTGGACAATCTGATCCAAGAAAGCCCTGTCGCCTGGTATATTTTTACTAATCCAATTTCTTGATATGTTTTAGGCCTGCTAAACCCAGTTATGATTAATAATTCTTAAAGCTATTCCTAATAAATAAAACATGATTTAAGACCAATCTGATCAATAAGACTTACCCTACACCCAGTATTATGACAATAATTACATTAATATGAATGATAAGAAGAATTTGGGGGACTAACTGTAATCTGACTTTGAAAGAAATTAAGTAAATATCAGTATATATAATACCTCTTGGCACATACATATTCAACCAAATGAAGACACTGGATTTTCAATGCAATAATTCCTAAGATGTAAACTAATAAAGTCTTTTATCTTCTTGTTTTTACTGCATCATAGTGACCAGCAATATAAAGCATAAAATCTAGTAGTATATTCTAACTGGGAAAAAATCCAAATAGTAACTATTTTAGACTACGCCATTGACTGACAGGTCTATTGGAAGACATTCTGGTTTCATTCATTCGTTCATCCATGCTTCTGAGACAATGTATTTTTAATCTAGGAATGAATAAGCCATTCATGGGTCATGGCACTGGTTGGCAGGCCTTTGTAGAGGTGTCATATTGCCCTTTGGGCCTAAGACATCGACTCGAGTGGGTGCCACTCATATGTAGCTTAAGAAAGGCTGGCCCATAAGACATGACTCCACTGGTTAGGAGTGTTTGTTGAGGAAGGAGGCATTCTACCACCTTGATAGCACACAAGTCATGGGTAGGAAAAGTAATCCTGTGGTGTCACAGATCATATGAATTATTCACGATTCCTATAACCCTCTGTGGCACCCTTCTCAAGTCCTTGGTGAGGTTCTTTCAGGCTAAACCAAACCTATAATCTAACATTCCATTTGGTCCCTAATTCTAAAGTTACCATTCATAGGAGAACTGAATGAGTATTAAGTGTAACATCAAAAAGATATACTTCCATAAGGAAAAGCATATACTTTATACAAAGAAAAGAATAGTTATGAGTGTAATATAGAAAACAAATTATCTATATTCCAGTACATCAAATTGACCTCAGTAAACTGTGTACAATTTTTTGGAAATACTCATTCAATCCATTTAAACAAATCTTTCCCAGTCTGAAATGTCCAGTCAAAATGATTAACACACTTCAGTAAACACATTTTTAAAGGAATAGATGACAATGTGACAGTTTCTAAACTTATATCAAAAACGGAAAAAGCCTTACTATTATCAACCTTACTATTATTCACAATGGAACAGTCAGGGGGAAGTGAGAGGTTTCTCTTCTGGGGCTTATTCCTCAGGAAAAGCCCTCCTTATCGGGGCCCTTTTCCCCAGGTGTGGAGGTGATGAATGTGATGGTGTGGCAGACAGTTTGGGGGCTGTCTTTCTACAGGGCAGAAGGCTGCTGGCTGGCTGCCAGCGTGGCCACACTCCTTGTCCCCAGACACTGGGTGACACAGCCACATGAGTGGGTTGACCCAGGTCACCTCAGAGGCCAGCCTGTGGACAAGCTCTTAGAGAACCAGCCCCTGCACCCCAGGCCTCCCTGGCACATGCCGACTGAAACAAGGGGCTTCATTTACCAGTTGTCCTGTCCCTGGAGAGCTTGTCCTCCTTCTCCTCCCTCTCCAACGTGCTGCTGGAGGACGAGACGCTGGAGGCAGAGCAGTTGTCCCTCTCGTTCACCCCCTCGTTCTGCCTCTCTTTTTCACTGAGGGAGGCTCTTTCTTCCGGCTCTTGCTCTAGTGCCTGCTCCACTTCAGTCTCTGCACCCTCGTGGGCAGAGGCTATGTCCTGGCCAGCTTCATCAGCAACCTGCCCCGCCCCTGCCTCTGCTTCCGGTTCTGCCTCTGATTCGGGTTCAGGATCCCCGGCACTTGCTGGTGGAGACAACAATGGAGATTATATTGACGACAGATTTCTTGGAAGGGTGAAGTGAGGTGAGAATGAATGTGAGGTTGATTTCTCTGTGGTGGACAGATGTCCAAAGATGGCCCCCAAGAGACCTATGCCCTGGTTATTCAAACACTCATCGAGGCAATGCTGTGAAGGGATTGTGCAGATGACAGGAAAGTCCCTAGTCAGTGACCTTACGATATGGAGGTTTACTAGATGAGTTGGATCCAATCAGGAAAGGCTTTTAAAGGCAGAGAGTTTTCCAATTGGCAGCAGAAAAGGAAGTCAGAGATTCGAAGCAGGAGAAGGATCTGCCACATCACTGCTGCTTGACAGGGAATGCAGGTGGCCTCTAGAAGCTGAGAACCACCACTGGTCAACAGCCTACCAGGAACAGGGACTTCAGTTCTGTGGGCACAAGGAACTGGATGTTGCTATCACCCTCAATGAGGCTGGAAGTGGACTCTTCCCAGAGTCTCCCAATAAGAGCCCAGCCAGCCGCAGCCTTAATTCCAGCCTTGTGGCAGTGGACAGGCAAGGTCAAGAGCTCAGCTGAGCTGTGCTAAACTTCTGACAGATGGAAACTGTGAGATAATAAACGAGTGTTGTTTCCAATCGCTATGTCTGTGGAAACTTGTTACACAGCAATACGAAACTAATATATAACCTTTTTGCCTGTTTAGGGAAAGAGAAACAAAATCCATGGTGGATCAAGCTGATGAAAAACAGCTAATGTGTCCTGAAATCAGTTGGCTGAACCAGTGAGGTTCATCACCCTTTTCTTGGGTTATATTTGCTCATAATGTGAAGTTAGTTTGAGATTTTGAAAGCAGTTTGGAAGAATCACTCATGGTCACAGTCTATTTGCAAACCTATCAACGCTGGAGATTTGATGCTGTCACTGAGGTAAGATGATCATGTTCTCACTCGTGTGACACTCTAGGGAACAGGGAAATGGCACAATCTGGCTTATGCTTTTTTAAAATTTTTTTATTTTTATTTATTTATTTTTTCTGAGCAAAACCCTCAGCTATGAGCTGTGGATGTGTAGCAAAATGATCGAGAATACACAAAATTCTGAGCCAACTGCCACACATGAAGGCTGGAGGAGGGTGGCTCACTCTTAAGGGAACTGCCCTCAGGCTGAGCAAAGCCCACTCTTCTGGAACCCTGGCAATGCACTCTAAGGGTGTGTGCTTGAACCCTAGGTACACACTGCTCAAAGCAACACAGAAATTCTGGCAGGGTCTACGCATGGCAGGGGCTGGAAGGGACCTGCCCAGATTCCATGAGAACACGCAGATCAGGGCAGCTCTCTGTGGAGGCATCCTGCGGCACCAGGTAATGGGCACGGCTGGCCATGGGGTGCACAGAACCAGCCCCCCAGCAGGCTGGGCATGGGCATTACTAAGGGAAAGGGACATTCAGGCCTCACTAGGCAGGGGGCCCAGCTAACCCCAGCTTCCCAGCAACTCATTCTTCAGGACCCACGGGGCCATCACCCCCCAATCCTTCATCTGCTCTCAGGCTGCCATCCTCTGAGGATGAGTCAGGGAGTTAGCTGGGCAGGGAAGATGCAGTGGAGCAGATGAAATGTCACCTTTCCTGATATTCCTGGGCAACTTCCAAATCCCACTCCTCCGTGGAAATGTCCCCAAGTGCCAGGTAGGAATTTGGGGGTGGAGGAGTAAATTCCTCTCCTTTGATTACAGGTTGTGCATCTTCTACTGGGAACTCCAGCCTGGGGCAGGAACCTGCTTCCAGGGAAGGCTGGAGGACATGGGGAGGGGCAGCAAAGACCCCCCTGCAGCTGAGGGGCTGTCCCTCCTGGGCATCCCAAGAGGGGAAGGCTTTAGGAACTGGAGATCTGAGGGCATAGTTTCCAGACAGAGATTCATGGGTGGCAGTTACAGAAGGAAGCCAATGGGCACACAGCTGTGAGGCCACGTGTCTGAGAATGAGAGCATCATACACTCTTCCTTAAAAGTAAAAACTGTGCTGGGTCATGGGATGGAGTGAACAGGCCTTTTAGAAACATTCCCTTTGGTACTGAAGGAATTTTTATGGTAATTTCTTTTTCATCTGATAATAGAGTATTTAGGAGAGATACAAAACCCCATTAATTTTACAAGCATGGCAAGAGCACAGCCTCAGCAGCGGCAGCGTCATCATTTGGTTGACAGAAAGCACATGTTTTTGCACACATGGACTTCAAAATAGCCACATCAAAACAAAAATGTGTTTCCAACAGCCCAGCATGTGGCATGGACTGAAGTTTTAATTGGTAAGCATATGGTGAAAACCAGCAAGGGCCCCTCCTGGCGGCTTCATTACAGACAGGGACATGGGGTCAGTTGGCTGCCATAAGCCTGTGTCTACTCACCACCCCAGGGATCTGGGCAAAGTAGGGAGGCTCTGTGATTGATGGCTATTTGACTTCAGCCTGCGGGTGTGCACTGCCATGTTCCATTCCACTGAACATGCAGGACTCTACCCAAGCAGCGGCTCTGGCCCTGATTAGGCTGCCTGGGCAGGTGTGCTAACAGACACGCGAGCTCTGGAAAAGCCACACTCTTGTGGGGGAGGAGTACAATTTCATCCCAATACACTAGGGCCTAACTTCTTGGAATCAGGTATTTCAATTTGTGATTTCAACCACTGGGGTGGTATCTTTTTTTCATGACTGCTGGGGAGGTAGTAATCGGCAAAGTCATCTCCTGCCCAGAATACATGACTCAGTGTCTACAAGGTCTGATTGCAAATCTGAGGCCATCCTAATGATGAACAAATTAAATAACTGTCACACACATTCAAGTCAAGCAAAACTGCCAGGGTCCACGGCAGAGCCCTTCTCTAGCTGTCTTAATCAAACACAGGAAAGTTGTCTGAGGGCCAAGACCTTGCCTTCCTCTCCTGCTGGAGGGCCCCAGCGTGGTCCTGGGGCCAGCGTCTGCTCACAGCATTCTTACTGATACTCAGGAAGCACCCAGGACAGCCCTGAGACTCCACACCGAACTCCAGAACATTTCTCCTCCCCTTTCCCATTATCTTTCAGCAGGATTTCCCTCACTCATACTTCTCTCCGTGCACACACACACACACACACACACACACACACACACACACACACAGTTCCTTCTGAGTGTCTCTAAGCCAGGTCTGCTGCCCTCTGGGAAAATGCAGGAAAACGTCTCATTTATACCCACCAAGTCCCGAGGAAACGGGAGAAACCATATAATCCTGTAGGAAAAGTCCTAAAGGGAGCTATGACCTTTGGCAACAACTAGGGAGAAAAGGTGCTTGTTTCCCTCCTAGGAATGTTTACAACTTCTCACTGTTACCAGTCCCAGAATTTAATGAGCCTTTCTCTGGCCTGAAAATGTGGTGTTGGTGGTGAAAGACAGACACAGCGACCCATGAGACTGACCTAGCTCTGTCACAGAGGCTAGAGAGAAGCAGATTAGAGAGGATCCTGAACAACCTGCCGTGATATCCGTGTGGCAAAAGTGAGTGAGCTCTGCCACCAGTGGGCACAGGGAAACCCCCACCTCTCAACTGCCAGCAGACACAATAACGAAAATACTTTTGTAAGAGTGATGGATGTGTAAGATAAAATGCACGGTGCCCTGGGAAGGCATGGCAAGGGTCTTTGGCAAGGCCTGGAACGTAAGTCTCTGTGGCAAAATGATGTTTGAGTCTCAAGGGGTAAAAATGAGTTAAAAGGGGGGAAATGCTGAGAATGCCCTGGGCAGAGGGAAGTGCACATGCAGGCACCCAGAGCCCACTGCGTGCCGGAGGGAATGAAAGCTGCGTGGCCTGGCAGGAGGAGTGAGAGGAGGTTTGGGTGGTTGTCAGGGGCCAGGGCAACCAGCGCTGTGTGTTGATGGAGGGATCTGGGACTTTACTCTAAGGACAGTGATGTCTGCTCTGTGTTTCATTTTGTCTGAGGTGAGCCCTGTCTCCACCTGCATCACAGGCAAGCAAGGCTTTCTGCTGGGAACAGCTTGGGTGTGCCTGCGAGCTGTGGAGTGAGGCCCCTAGTCAGTGTGGAATCAAGAGTCCACGAAGCAAACCTTAGAGAGAGAGACAGAGGAGGAAGAGGTGAACACCAATCAGTGGAGCTCAAGAGAAAAAGAAAATAAAAACACAGCACCACTGGAAGAACACATGGGTAAGGGACTGAGACTCTGAACAGCAGGAGGTTTTTCCATCCCAGACATCAGCTGGGGGAGGAACCGTGTTCACACCGGAGCGGGGCAGGGAGTTCCGCAGGGCTGCTGGCTCCCTTTGAGGAATGGTTACTGAGCACTTCACAGGAACTGCCTTCCGAAGCCCTCACGATCTCTCTATGGGGAGGGCTCTGGTATTACCCTCAGAAAGCTGAGGCCAGGAGAGAACAGTGAAGGCCCGTGCCAGGGTGGCCAGGCAGGAAGGAGCAGAGTGTCCCTTCCCCAGCATGTAATGCCTCTAAGCATCTTCAAGGGAGGCTCAGGAGTGACTGTGATACCCCAAACCCAGCAGGTCAAGAGATGCCACGGCTCACCATGCTTGTCCATAACCACCCTGGATGGAGGAAGGACACAAAGATCTGATTGCATCTCCTGGGCTGTGCAAGGGAGGAGGGGAACTGCAGGAAGGACTTGGGCCAGGTGCCCAGGCAACCCTTCTCCTAGCAGTGGGCGTGCATTTGGAAATAAAAGGAAGACATGGCAAGGAATGCCTGGTAACATTACAGGCATCCAAAACTGGGATCTGTCTTCCTGGGTCACAGCCCAAGAGCGCAGATCGATGGGGTCTCAGCATCGCTAGGATGCACTTAGCAAAGACCAGAAAAATGTGTTTGGCCAGAGCCTGCACTGACCTGGCTCCGAGGGCTTGCAGCTAGATTTGAAGGTTGGGGTAGGGGGAATAGAAGGGCCAAAGAAGAAAATCAACACTAAACTGCATAAAAGGATGTGGTAATGGATACTTTCTGCAAGGTGGAAGAAGTAATAGAAAAGAAGGGGTCCAGGGTATCCTCAAAGAGACATAACAGGGTACTGGGCTGTCACCAACCACCCTGTGGGGAAGGACCCATAACCAGAACACAGCCACTAAAAGGAATTCTTCACCCCAAAGAAACAGACATTACTGGAGTGAGTGGGGTTTGGGAAACCAGGATGGGAACCCATCAACATGAGAACCCATGGAAGGGGGGAGAAACTAAGTGCTTTTCTTAGGTGTAAGAATATAAAGGCTGCCCCGTCAGATGGAGAATGTGACCATGCTTTCCTCATGCAGGTCGCAAAATGAGGAGAGAAATGAGGAACGAGCCGGCCTGAGGACTTCGGCCAGCTGGTCCCTGTATGAAGTCCGCCAGGGCAGACCATCACTCACACAATCTTGTTTTCTTTGTCCCTCCCAAATCCCAACACCAACTCCTCATCTGGTCCCCAAAACCTCACTGGACATCAGGTCCTGCTTGCCTAAGTGCAGTAAAAATCAAACTTACTACATATTGAGCACCTTCTACACCCAGATGCTGTACCAGGAATCATATTACATCATCCTCTTTGGTTCCCACACCTACAATATAAAGTGAAGATTGATGTCCCCATGTGAGAAATAAGGAAACATGTTCAGAGAGGTTAAGCAACTTGCCCAGAGCTACACAGTAGGCTGGCTACTCTCTGACTGTTTGATCCATGCTCTGTTCTGCTCTGTGCCTGAGGATGCTGACTCCCGCACAGAACACCAGCTGTATTTGCTCTCCCTCTCCCTGGCTCAGCCCCTGGAAGTTCTAGCAAAGGTAGGAAGAAGGAAACTGGGATATTAACACCCCTGCTTCCTTCACGTAGGGCCTTAGTTTGGCAGAGGTTGTCAGGCCACTGTTTCTGTCCCTTGGTCTCTCTCCTCTGGCCACAACTCTTACCAAGTCCTAGTCATTCACCAAGTTTCTTCAGGCCTGAAGGTGGGAACAGTGTCCCACGACCGCTAGTCTCTGGGTGAAGCATCACCACATTTTGATGGTCCCATGACCTCCCTATACCTCTGTAAACAGTCCCTTCACTGAATATATTCAGCAACCCTCTGACCAACAGGACCTCACTGCTAAGCAGAGCTCATGCTAGCAGAGCTTGCATTTGAACCTGGATTGGCTGGACTGCAAAGCTCGGGCTGTTAATCACAGGGCTATACTGTGTGGTGGGTGACTTAAGCAATCAAGAAGTACATAATCATTCCTGGAATTAAGCGTGTACGCACACGTGCACACACACACGCGCACACACACACAGTGGGCAGGAATGTTTCAATGTTGCTTTCATCCACGTCCCTGACAGCCGAGTTCAGAGTGTCCAATTAGAATTTCTGGTTATGCAATTTTTCTTTGAAGTGATAAATTGGTGGTAGAAAGTTCTGAACTTGATACATCTCTGGGTGGCTTCAGTTGATTTCAATCTGTGGTAGTGTCTAGATGACTCTGCCAGGACTTGGCTTTCTGGCAGGTCTTATGAAACCAAGGGCTGGGCCAGCCAGTTCTATAATAGTTGCTCCAAACTGTGTAGATTCCAGGGACCTCCCCAGCTCAGAGCTAATAACTAACACGATTGACTACAGACGTGTGTTTTAATCACAGAAATCTGAAAAAGGTCCCAAGAGAAAAAAGCTTACAACTTTCAAAATCTTTTAGACTTTGCCTTTGGTGTTAGACCAGTTCTTCCTAGGTTGTTCACTTGGATTCACTCTAGAGCAAGGTTTCTCAGCCTGGGTACCTGGGTATTCTAGGTTGAATAATTCCTTCTTCTGGGAGACTGTCTCATGAGCTGCAGGATGTTTAGCAGAATCCCTGGTTTCTACTCACTAGAGGCTTCAGCACCAACCTTCCACTTCTCCTCTGCTATTGTGGCAACTGAAAATGTCTCCAGACACTGCCAAATGTCCCCCAGGAGAGCAAACTCACCCCTGGTTGAGAATCACTGCTCTACAGGAATAGTTGCATGAGGATGGGCACAAACTCAGCTTCACAAAAGAAATTCTACTCAAGCCTCACAAAAGAGACAGCTTATCACTTGCAAAATACTGATTCAATAGCCTAATTTTTATGCCTTAAAAGTTAAGCCATGCTTTGTCCTCAAGTTTCAGAGTTTGATTTTCCAGAGGTTCAGACCTAAGCCCCACTGAAGATGACTTCAGAGATGGCTTAGGCCTGAACCTGCTTGACCCGAACAATTTTGACCATGTATAGTCAAAATTACCTTCAAAAGTCCCTTTGGACAGTGCTACCTTATAGATCCCATAACTTCTCCATGGTTTTGACAATCACGGTTTTAATTTAGCGTCAGTGGAACTCCTTAAGTGCTGGGATTGCATTCATGGGCTGTGTTACCCCCAAATACAAATCTGTAAACTCTAAACTCACATTTGAAGCAGCAAATTGTTCATACGACAAGGGGCACGTTGGAATCAGGAATGGTTCAAGGAAAAGAAGAAAAGATCTATGCTCCTTGTGGTCATGCTCCCTCAGGGACATGCACTTAATATGAATGTTAGACAGGATTAAAAGCGCTATTTAAATTAGAATTTCCACTTCCCACTCTTGCCCCTCAGATTACGCTTCTGATTAAGTTCACTTGCTTAAATATGTATATAATGCTACTGTAGTATCATACAGGATAAAAAAGAAGCAATTTCAGGTTCAATTATTCTCATATTGATAACATATAGGGTGACTATTCTATTAGAGTCAGATCCTCAGAAAGAAATGGCCCAGATATGTCAACTCTCTGTAAAAGTTTCCTCTCTATTAATTATACCAACATCATTTATTCAGTCCTTATGGAGTGGCCTGCATAGTCAAAGATGTGTCCTCCACCCATGGCTCATGTAATAAATTTCTTCCTGGGTAGAGAGGAAACAGCTGTCTCTGCAGATTCATGAGTCTGCTTTCTTTTGTCATGCTTGACCATTCGCCAACTCATAACCCATGTACTGAATGCTTGTTCTGCTCCAAGCACTGGGAATAACAAAGGTGGGCACAGGCACGTGCCCTGCCCGAGGCACACGTAGATGCTTGGGAGGAGCAACTTATCACATGGACAGTGAGGTAAGCCCTGCATCCCAACTGTGCACAAGATGCAAGGGAAACACAAGAGAGGGATCAAGGGCGGCTTTAGAGAAGAGAAGATGCCTCAGCTCGATGAAGAGTCCAGGGGGCACCCAATGGAAGAGTGCACTCCAAGCACAGAGCATGGCATTTTCAGGTACTGACTGTGGTTTGGTGTGGATGGAGCATAACATTTGTTGGGGGGTGGCTGTGGTGGTTGGTACTGGGTACAAAGGGTCTTGAATGCCACATAAGATCTGAATTTATGTGGTAGATAATGGAGAGCCACCCGATAATTTTAAGAAAAGGTACAGAGATCTTTTTTTTAAATTGGGTTGCTGAGAAGAGCCTGGAAGAAGTGAAACCTATCAGAAGTGATTGAAATGGCCCAGATCAGAGATGGTTGAGGCCAGGACTAACGCAATGGCAATGAAGAGAAAAGAAAGAGGGCTGATTTGAGAGAAAACAACACAAAAGACACTTGGGGATTGATTGGATGTAAGGTAAGTGTTGAAGGAGGAATCAAAAATTATATGAATGTTCCAGCTTAAATGATTGGGCCACGAGAGATAGCCTTAACCAGGTGGGGACTAGAAAATATAAGCAGGTTTCGGGTGGGGGTTTCTGGATGAGAGATAGACATCACCTTCCATCTGAACAGCCCTCAGCCTGGCACTTGGTGGGTCTGAAGAGTTGGAGGGGCATTTAGTGGAGATGGCTGGGGAAGTGCAATACACACGCCCTGAGCTCAGGGAGGCCAAGGCTGGCAGTACAGACCTCAGGGATTCAAGGCATATGGGAGGTAGGTAAAAATCACAGGTGGAATGCGAGGGCCCAGTGAGAGGATGTGTATGAAGATAGAGAGGAGCTGGAGAGGAACTTCAGAAAAACCCACCACGTAGTGAAAAGGCAGAAGAGGAGTCAGTGAGAGGATTGCAACCAAACAATGAGAAAAGACTAAGACAAATGTTGAGAAAACAATGAGAAATGCACGCGACTCAAAAGGCAACTATCCTGTTTAGCCTGGAGATGATCTAGAGGACAAAGAGGCATCCAGAGGGGGATGGATCCAGAAAGTCAACAAAAAGCGACTTGAACTTCCCGATGTATCTGGCAGAGGCAGCCTTCTCACAGAAGTTACAAATTCAAAAGGCTCCAAAGATGCATATCATGCCCAGAGGCAGATGAAACACACTGCATGGTCACTGAACCCAGAGGTTCTCCTGAAAAAGTGTATTTCAGGTACCAGAAAGTCAACGTGAGTGTGTCTTGCCATACTGCAGGTGTTGTATCATTTTGAACAAATGTGTTCCAAAGATGGATGGGGGAAAGCAGGGCTGCTGAAGGGAAAGGGGGAGTGGTGGAGATAGCAGAGTAGTGATTAAGATCTTGAGCATGGACAAGGATGCTAGAAGGAGCCCCAGAGTTATTCTCCTTTGCTAATTTCCCCAGTCTCAGTCATTGTCTGGAAATTCAAAGTACCACTGTGGCTCAAGAACCCTCATTGTCCTGACATGTGGAGCCTCCTGACTGCACCTGAAAGCACTGACCCAAGGCTCCCACCTGGGATGAAAGGTGCAGATGTCTCACCCAGCCAACAAGCCAGATTCTCTGTGAGTGTCTCCAGATGCAGCAAACTTGTTCATCCCAAGTGCCTGCTCCAGGCGAGGTCTTGTAGCTCCTGAGGCACTTTCTTTTTTGTTAAATAAGAACAAGCTAATTGCTGTTCAAAACTTGAATTTTTTGTTTACACTAAACAGACTTTAGGATACAAATTTCATAGTAAAGGTTGATTTAAAACCATTATAATCTAATATTAGGAAACAACTATCTACAGCTCTCCCACGTTTCTTCAGTCTTGCAAGCAAAGGCATTGATAGTCTTTTCTGCACTATCTTTCTAAGGATGTGTGCATAGCAAGGAGCCTTAGAAGACAGGGTCTTCTCTTAGAAGATAGGGTCTCCCTAGAGCAAAGATCTGGTTGGTTTATTGCCCACTGTAATAAAGACAATGTCTCCCTCTGGGACAAACGGAAGGCATGTTTACCGCCCATTATAAAAGAGTTCAGGTCCCCAAGGCTCAGGGTTCCTTTCCCCAGGTTCCCCACAATGTGCCTGCATGTTTTACTGGGCCCTATTCACATCACCCTGTGGGAACTGAGGCTTGGGGAAATGGCACAAATGTTGATATTCTGGCTATTGCTATCACTAGAAGTAATGAAGTCCTTTGTCTCTGACCCAGGAATTTTGTGTCTTCTGCCAGCATCCACGGAATTGTGGCAAGGCAGCACATTAGCTTACAAATAGGGTAATGTTTCAGTTCCTTCATAGCTCTTGACACCTAATAGCTGCCTAGGAAATAATAATTTTGATCAGGTAATGTCCACCTCCCCTTCTCTTTTTTTTGGAGTTGGGGTCTTGCTCTGTTACCCAGGCTGTAGTGCTGTGGCGAGACCATAGCTCACTGCAGCCTTGAACTCCTGGGTTCAAGCTATTCTCTTGCCTTAGAAATAATGCTCTTCTTTACCAACTTTTCCAGTGCCATTCTATGCCTATCTTTACTTAAGGTATATACTTTGTCTACTTCAGAAGGACTCAATCCCAATTAATGTTTCCAAATATGATGCAAGAAGACACACTTCAGACAACTGTCATTTCTATGAGGAGAAAAAGGGAAATTTTTAGAGACTGAGAAATGGCAAGGCAGAAAAACTCGATGATTTGCAAAGGCTGCCCACAGCAGGTGTAGCAGGTAGGACCTCAGCCTTGGGTAGAGTTGCTGAAAGATTTTGTCCAATTGACAAAATGGTATCAAGTAGCAGCAGTCAGGTGAGGCAGGGAGGGAGGCAGCCCTGAGTCATAGAACCACAAGGAATCTAGTTTCCTGCCAATTCATGAAACACTGAACTGGAGGCATCCAAAAGGTTTATGCAAGAGAACTAGCATGCAGTGTTAGGCTGATGATGGACAATATTCCATTGCTACCGTGCCAGTTGGAAATAGGATACCAGATGTTTCTGATTTCTGCTGTGTGGATTAGATAACCTCAGAGAGTCCCTACACCTGAAGGAGACTCAGAACATCTTCCACAACGAAGATGACAAAGACAGTCAACGCTAACAATGATGACAGCCAAAAGGACAAATGGATGCCCACAGGAAAAATCATTTAGACAAACTAAACATTTCATGATACTCTATGTCTAAATTTTATTTCCAGGTTTGAGGATCAGGAGGCTACAGGAATCGCCATATTTACCCATACTTTAAATGCCTGCATCTGTGACAGGAAGTATCATTAACCTTTGTCAATAATGTCTGCTGGTGAGTAGGCCATGGCCATATAGGCCGTATATATCCCCAGGGCCAAACAATCAGACATTTGGAAATACCCTGGAATCCAATTACAGGTAGAGAAAAAAATCACTGTCAAACGTATTTTTCCTTGACATAAATAAAAATAATATAGTGTGGCATCATTTTCAAATGTATCTGTGATG
The DNA here is from genome assembly GCF_000001405.40 of Homo sapiens. Taxonomy (NCBI): domain Eukaryota; kingdom Metazoa; phylum Chordata; class Mammalia; order Primates; family Hominidae; genus Homo; species Homo sapiens. The sequence continues at coordinate 36,697,497 of NC_000018.10, read as the reverse complement.
TATTATTTCTGTGTGCAATATGGAGAGTATCAAGCTCATAATAAAATACTGTAGACATAATTTTGCTTTCATGGCTAGGTTAGTGGGTGAAAGCCACTTCTAAATTCTTGACAGCTGCTTCCTTCCACTGGGAAATGCCATTTATCTCCACCTGGCCTCAGGAGGGACTCGTTTACAAGAGGGAGCAAGGAGGGAACATAGTTCTAGCTCTCTAGAGAAGGCAGCTTAACCCCGGGATGCCCTCCAGGGACCACCATCAACATATGGTTTTCAGGTGAGTAGTTTCTCTCTATTCTGTTTCCATGAAATAGGTTACCTGGATCTGACATAAATTGTGATAAGAGGTTATCTGGCTATCTTGACTTTACTTATGGGTACACAGATTATTATTATTAGTTTTCATCCTCAGAGAAACTTTCTCAAGAATTATGTTGAAGAACTCTATCCTAATAAGAACACTGTACCTTTTCTGACAAAGAGAATCACTTAGGTGCTTTCAGAATCATCTATGAGTTTCTAAAAATAATAGGAAATAAACTTACTAAGTAGATATTCTGATGTCTACCCCCAGGGATCAGTGAAAATAAGGAAAAGATATCAAAGCAATGAATGAAGAGATGCCTTTCCATGTTTGCCCAAACTTTGGGCTGGCTGACTCCATTAATTCCAACACAGTGCAAACAGGAGCGTGTGTATGTCTTTCTTTCCCTCCCTTGGGCTGGTACTTTTAGAAAGAAGGAAAGTACTTAGACCATCATCACCAAGTCTAGGCAGTATGGGGACATACATCTGCTAAGCCCACAAGAGGGTCAGATGGAAAATTAATTCAAGCATGTATTGACTTGGTGGTGGGGATTAGGGGCATCATTCATACAAAAGTTATAGCAGATTAACCTGGGGAAGCTTTTGGCTGAGAGATCTCACTAGATGGCATATCATGCTATCAGTATTTATCATTAGCCTTTCCCTTTTAAAAAGTACGTTTTGTAAGACAAAAGGAAAAGGAGTTTTTAATGTTTTCCTATCTTCTTCTTTCAAAAGTTCTTCAGAATCTGAAACAGGAGTTATAAAAGAAAGAACCCATAAAGGGACCTGTACTCCTGAGGCACAGAAAATTCAATAACAAATATTAGTTTTTCCTTTTCTTGTAAATATAATTCTGAAATGTAGGCTGCAATTTTTGCAGATGTTGGTGAGAGGGTTAGCAAAGGGATGGTGTGGCATTAATATGAATAGCAATGCAAACATGGTAGAGCCATGACTCCATGACAAATGGCTGAGATGGGCATCAGAACACTAATTACACTCCCAGCACTGTGCCAAGATGGTCTGAAGCACAGCTTTCCATCTATCTGGGCCTCAGTAAAACATGGATAATAACATCTCCCCTACCTACCCAGATACGTTTGGGAAAAAGGGGCACAGCACTACAAAAATGTGAAGCGTATTATGATTGCATGTTCCCACAAGGATAAAGAGTGAAAAAGCAAGGCAATCCCTGGCACGTTTGGACATGCCAGGTGTTTGGTGCAGGACCAACATCTGGATGTGTGATTATATTTTTAATTCTTCCTCCAGATGTCAGGATACTGGAAATGCTAGGGATAAGCAAAAGGTTACTTTTGAACATTTGAAAATGGGACTTGGTAAAAAGAATATACTATTAATTGGATGCTAACAGAATGCTTCAAAGAATAAAGTAGGCTGAGAAAAACTTGGTGACACCAACTTTGCATTTCTGTCATAAAGGCCAATGTCTACAAAGCAGAAGGAAACCTCTGCGGTTCTTTCTGAGACCACCATCTTTTCATACACTTGCGATGTCCAATTTTATAAATCAATTACATATCAGGACAAGGAAGACTGTTTGCTCTTGCTGATTTGGATCCTGATTACTTAACATACAATGGACAGCTCTTCTAGATCTCACAGGAGCCAGTACTTTTGACTTTTTTCCAGGAAAAAAGCAAACAACATCAAATGATGCTAGAATTCTTGGTTATATGCAGATTCAAGCCCAGTATTCCTCTTTCAGAAGCAGGTATCATTTATTGTGTAATTTTGGTCAAACATTCTCTCAGTCTCTATTAATCCCTTCTCTGAAGAGAAAATAACACTTGCAAATATTCTTTTTTTTTTTTTTTATTTTTGAGACGGTGTCTCACTCTGTCACCCAGGCTGGAGTGCAATGGCACAATCTTGGCTCACTGCAACCTCCGCCTCCTGGGTTCGATTCTCCTCCCTCAGCCTCCTAAGTAGCTGAGATTACAGGCATGCGCCACCACGCCCGGCTAATTTTTTTGTATTTTTTTTTTTTAGCAGAGACCGGTTTTCTCCACGTTGGTCAGGCCGGTCTTGAACTCCCGACCTCAGGTGATCCACCCACCTCGGCCTCCCAAAGTGCTGGGATTACACGCAAGAGCCACTGTGCCCAGCTGCAAATATTCTTTTGAAAGCATACTGACATATCTTCCCCAAATGCATACTACACACACACACGCACACACACACACACACACACCCACGTATACATGAAATGACTATTTTCTGTATTCTTACTGAAGCTGAAATATTCTTTTGCAGTGGCTAGAATGGTCTCGAGTTAAACTGTAATTCAATCAAATACGTAAGAAATTATCTTTTGCCACAAACATCAAGGAGAGAAATTGTCTTTTGCCACAAACATCAAGGAGATTAAAAATTTGAGGACAAATGACATTTACAGACACTGTCAATTCCCTCTCAGCTCGGAGCTGTTCTGTACTTCACAGTTTAGACAATCATTCTGTAAAGGACGGGAGATACAACTTTTAGTTAAACGTCCCAGGATAAAGTGCTGAACCACAACTCTGCAGGAGGATATCTCTCATATTGCCTCTGGAAATACCACAACGTAGATAATAGCAATGATATAAGGCAGGGTTTGGAAAGCACACGGCTGTTATAGAACAGTCTCTTTTCTTGACTTTCAGAGTCTCAATATTTTAAGACCGACATTACTCATCCATGACTGAGCCATCTGCCTGGGACAATCTTCCATGGCTCAGGGATCGGGAGTAACGGGATGTCACGGGAAGCTGTGGAGGAGCCGGCCCGCTCCAGCAGAATGAGCCAAGGTTTGGAGAGCCAGCAAAGAATTGGACAGACAATATCGTTCCATTATATCCAGTTCTGCTAAGGTCATGGAGTCCGGCCTTGTTTAAATTAAACTTTATGCCATATTTAGTCAACCCTCCTAGAATTAAAAGCTTAATGCCTCTGCTGTCTTCAATTGGCTAAGTCTACATCAGGCTGTAAGCCATAACACTTGACTAAAGCAAACAGTGCTAGCAGGAGGGTTAGTCAACACACACTGTGTAAACGCTGCTGAGAACCATCCCTGTGTTAATGTGAAAGAAAACGGACCCACAGTATGCAGAGCAGGCAGGAAAACAGCTGATGCTCAAGGCTGCAGTGTACAATATCATCGCGCCTCTCCAAATAAAGTGAAGAAGACAGAATATCTCCCAGGAGAGCTTGCCTGTCTGTACATAAGGACGTACACACACACACCCACATCCAACCATGTGCCAGTAATTTTTACAATTTGAATTATTTTCCTTCTTCCATATTTACCTTCTATTTTCACTAGGTCCACATTTTTCTTTGCTTGCTGTAATTAATTTTATTCTCCTTCAGTTTAATTTAAACCAGACTAACAGTTCCTCGGGTAAGAACATTCGAATGTTGGTCACTTGATTGGGCAGACCCACATCTCAAAATGATAAAGTATTAAATGAATATTCCAGTATTTAGGATTAAATGTTAAAGTAAAGCTTATTTTCCATATTCTCCTTTTTCCATGGCCATACATTGACAACTTTGATGAATCATTTTGCTTTAATATAAGTGGCTCTGAAGACGTCTAGTTTGTTAGTGACCAGGCAGTTGCAGTCACAACCCCCCTCCCCCAACAAAGTGTACCCATAGTTGCTGTCTCAGTATTAGCCTGCAGGTTGAAATCATCACTACTGCCCTGAGGAAGCCTGTCTGATGTTAACCTGTTCATTTTCCCTCTACTCTCCCTGTACTCACCTTGGGGATGGTGAGGGGTTCCTGGGGAGGAGGCAGACACCGTGAGAGCCTCTTGAGAGTCTGAAGATGAGGGGCTATGGCTCAGAGGAGCCAGGCAGGCTGGGGCTGCTGGCGAGGTCAGGTCCAAGGAGAGGTCGGCTCTGCCCCGGCTCACACTCCGGCTTCTCAGCTCCTTCTCGTGCTCCTCAGCTGCCAACTGTTCCAAGTATTTGTATCTGAAAGTTAAATTCCAAAGGGTTTCCGTCAAACGAAAGAGGAGCCTGTGGCTGATGCTTGTTTATGGATGAAACACCTGCAGAATGAGCCGGTTTCCTGATGCACACAGCACAGTGCAGGGCTGGCTGGAGAGTCAGCCTGCCAAAAACACCCAGCAAAGCCAAGATGCTAATGATTAAAAATCCCACGTCACTCATAACCAAGCAAATTGGGGGAAATGGCAGCATCACACAGTCCCTAGATACTGGATCACTGCTGCAGAATCCTATCTTGCTCTTTTAGGGAACATTTGTAAATAAGCAAAACAGCAATAACCACCACCAAAAAGCCTCAAGAGTGATGGCTGAAAACCAAACCCCCTCGGAGCTCACAGCTGTGAAATGGGTGGGTGCCTTGGTGTGGCAGAGAGAAAAAAAATGCCCCCCATATACCAAAGGGGGTTGCTTGGATGAAGGCCTGCCTCTCTGAATTTCTGAACCTGCTTCAATACTAACAGCAATGTAACTGGAATTCACTTTGTTCTCTCAGTGCTGACCATGGAAACTTTTTTTATATTCTAAAATATTTCTGAGTAGGAATCAGACATCCAATAGCTTGAACCTGACGTCACATAGAGTTTATTCATCAAAGTCAGTTTAAAAGAACAAAGATACATCTGTTTTGCATTTCAGGCAGGCAGAACCCACTAACTGTTTATTAAGACCAGCTACCAATCATATTCCTCATAGTGCGCTTTATAGATCAGACCAAAATAACTTTGAAATGTGTGCCTCTTCCAGATGTCTGCTAATTTTACTCACCATTATTTTTTCAGAAATAAATTTATGCATTCAGCTGTAACAGGTTTCTTACTATCTTACCTACCACTAAACTTTGGAACAGCTTACTCAAGACGCTCACTTTGCATCTATCCAATTCACTGCTTCAGTTCCTCACAATGGGCATTAGACATGGTGTTCCTCATTTACCCAGATAAGAAAGGCAGAGCACATAATTAAAATATTTTAAAACAATGCATTTAAAAAGCATGCATTTTTTGCATCCCATCCTCAAGGTGGGTGTGGTTTCTCGATCTGTAATCCTCACCCCTTTTCCCTGCCAGCCCAAAGGCAGTCCACCCTTCGGACCACACTTGCATGCACATCTCCCTCCAGGAAGGCTGCCTTGACCACCACAGCTGGAAGTGATCTTGGCCTTGCCTCTGAACTCATGTCGGATATGTAGTCCCTTCAACTCAGATGGCATTTTACATTTACTGCCTGGCATATTTAGTCATCTGTTCACATGTGTATGTCTGTTTTCAAAAAGCAAATAATAGGATTTTCATGAACAGGAAGATTACCATCCTCTGTTCTTTCCCTCGGTGCCTTGCATTTGCAGGCTGATGGGAAGCAGGCAGAGCATGCAGGGAGAAGCCTGCAGAGTGGCACCCCACCTGCAGAGGTCCACCTGCAGCCCAGGATGCTGAGGGAGCAAATGCATCCCATTTCATTTTTGTGGGGAATGAGCTTGCATTCATGGTGAATCTCTGATAAAAGGTGTGTAGTGCATGTATATGTAGACACAAACACTTCAGGCTTGGCCAAGAGCACCACCTCTTGAGGGGTAAGAGAGGCAACAAAAGGAATGTGTTTGTGGCCTTAATTCGGGCCAGCAAGAAAAAGCCACTTGGCTGTGGAAGTAACAAGAACCTTGAAAGAAAACAATTTTAAGGGTAAGAGGCAGGGCCTCCAGCAGGTATGTGTTAAATGGGATGGTGGCAAGTTCAAGGCCAGAAATGCCCTAAGTCCAGGAGTTGTGAGCACAGGCATTCCCACACTGCTGCCACAGGATAAAGGGGCAGGCAAGAAATGAGTGCAAATAAGAGAATCTGGACAGGTCCAGGAATTCAGGAGGTCAGAATCCCACTGCAAGAAATCAAATGAGTCTGGAGTGGGTGGTGGTGATGAAGCCCTCAATGAAAGGCTTCCAGCCAGGAGGACATCCCACTTGCTGCATTCATTTTTGCTGGCTCATTCCTGGTCCTGGCCTTCTGCATGCCTCTCTGTGGGCAGCCAGGTGGGCAGGAATTTGTGGGGAGCCAAAGGGTTTAACCCACTTTCTGGGAGACTCCAGGGGCCACTCATCCCAGAGCCTGTATATATTTGACTCAAATGCTATTCCTGTGTACCCTTTGGCCTCACAGATGCCATCACTGAAGATCTGTAAGACATGGGAAGAGTTAGAGGTTTAATCTGAATTGTCCCAAAACATGATGTTTATGTGTTAGACAAAAATGGTAGAAGCAGAGGTAGAGGGATGGTGAGTTGTTGCTTCATGGATAAAGAGGTTCAGTTTTATAAGATGAGAAGAGTCTGGAGACTGGTTACACAACAATGTGAATGCACTTAATGCTACTGAAATACACATTTAAAATGGTTAAGATGGTCAATTTCATGTGATGTGCATTTGATCATAATTAAAAGTTTTTTTTTTATATGGCGGGGCAGAGAGGCATGGAGGTCAAGAGCACTAAACCTTTCTGAAAAAGCAGCAGCAGCGTTCATCTGCAGTGGCCAGAGTGGTGAAGGCGGTGGGCTGGTACGCGGAGACGGCCATGCCACAGGCATTTACGGTGTTACAGCTTAGCGACCCCTCCTGCCCCAGAAGAACCTCCAGCAGTTCTTGGGGAGGAAGCTGGACCTATGTCATGACCTTTTCCTAGACAATGACTTAAGTGCTATGGGGCCCAATAGTACTTGATCTGAGGACCCACCGGCCCATGCAATGACTGTCACGTATCCCTGCTGCCATGCGAAGCCACACTCAATCCACAGACCGACAGAGCCTCCTCTGTGGGAAGCACCGGGCTTTCTATCCACAAACCACAGCCCCAAGAAAAGACTTCCTACTTTTGCTGCCTTCATCCAAACATTCCCGTTTATCCTCTGCCTATATCATTTGTTTGTTCATTCATCTTTTCATTTATTTATTGAATGTTTGTCAAGTGCCTGTCATGTGCCAAGAACTGTAGTGGGCACTCACGATTTAATAATAAACAAGGAAAAATCCCACCCTCACAGAGCTCACAGTTCAGTGGGAGAGAGAGACAAATAAACCACTGGGATGAACTCCAACATCCGCCAGAGCTCAGTGGCAGGGCTGGTACTGCGGCTCAGTCTCTTTTCACAGGGCCCTACAGAAACTCTGCTTGACTTTAGATTAACCTAGACCTACTTACTGATGACTTTTCCTGCCACACTTCTATTTGGAAATTCTCACTTACATTAAAGTAAACTCTGGCTCCCTTTAACTTCTGCCCTGTTCTCAGTCCTTCTAAGCAAGGCTCAGAACCCTTTCTTACTGCTTCATTGATCATTTTCATGCACAATTTCCAAAACCCTAGCCCAGTTCCAACCTTTTCTTTGCACTTTGTTCCCATAGCCCCTGTTTGCTATAAAGCATTTCTTCTCCATGCCCTGCTGTCTCCCTCAGACTAACAAACCCAAACAGAAGTATCCTCCTGTGCTACCCCACAACACACCCCCAGCCTGGCTCATTCCTTACTACACACACTTCTTTTTTCTCCTTTAAATTATTTGTGAATGTCATTTTAATCAATCATTATCCTATAAAGCCTTTCTTCTAATACTTAAAAGGATGAGAAGTAGCATCTCAACAGAAACTTACTCCTGGTCTGCACCATTGCCAATAACATAGTTTGTCTGAAATTATGGAGTGAGATGATATGAAATAATATAACATGTATCCAGATGGTCACTACACCTCAAAATAAGATGACATTCATCTTGTTACAGTTACATGATACAAACCTCAAAAACCATCTGCTGTGACTCTGGCTGTCTTTTTCTGAGTCTTGCATTAAGGGTAAGAGATGTGGGACTTGACAAACACACATTGCTCTATCTGGAAGAGTTACTTTTCCTTATTTCTGTACTACTTCCCACCTCTGATCTCTACTAGTTTCCATTTCCAAATTCCATTATACTTGGAAATCTTACTTTTTCCTGGCTTAGTAGGAACTCTTAAAAGCTTTTGAAACAGGGATGAAAGTCTATATTTCCCCTAACTCCCATCTTCACCAGGTTATTCAAGAAGAAAACTAACAAGAAAAATGGCTGAGCCAAACCAAAGGAAAATGCGTGCCTGCTTCCCTAGACCTCCGTGTAAACAGAGAGGTGGCTTCAAGGGAAGAATCCCACAGTGGGCCTGGGGAGCACACTCCTGTGTCCAGGCTGATGGGCAGCCTGGGAGCAAAGACTATGGGCAGAACCAGAGGAGAGAGGAGAAGCAGCAACCTCCTCTTACGAGTTTGCCAGACATAAGTGAAGTCTTGTTTGGACAAAAAAGAGCAGTAAATAATATCCAGAAAGAGCTGGACTTCCGTGGTTTGGGGAAATTTTGAAGTCAGCTGAGCCAGTTCAGATCTTGACACAGCACTTAAACCACCTCCCCAGGAGCTGCCAAGCCTTGTCTGTGTGGACTTAACCTAACAGTCAAGTTGTTGAAAGCTCAAATAAGTACAGAATCTGGGGGGAGAACTAAAATAATAAAATTTAGTTCCTTATGCCTGGGCAGGAAGTCAACCGCATTTTCAGTGAAAGTATATGTGATGCCCTCTGATGTAAAAAACAGGTACTAGTGAGAAATATAAGCTTCCTATTTCTTTAGCAGCATGTTTCACTCTAGATTTGCCAGCCACAACTGGTTATTAGGATGACAATAATCAAATAGAATGTTGGAATCAAAGTAATGCCATCATTTTATTTAAGAGGTTGATCTAAGCATCTAATTCTTAAATTGAAGACAGGCAGTCTCCACTCTTCCCTGCCTCAGAGACTGTCCTGATGTATTTAGCTGGTGTTTAGAAAATTAGCACAATTCTACTTCTTATTGGCCCAGTCCAGAAATTGTTAGGTTCCCAGCTGGCTCCAGCATAAAAGGTGTTAAAAGCAGTCTTTCCATCTCTCCATGCAGTCACCCCACCTGGTGGTAGAGGGGACAACTGCAGGCTATAAAGAGCTGGGGGTGAAAACTTGTCTTTTGCCAGTCTACTTGTAAAACCAGTTTCCACTGTTTCTCTGCATTTATTAGACACTGAACATCTTTGTATCTTTTATTGAGATTCAAAGCATGTTGCCATTGAAATATACTACTGATCAACACCAGAGTTTTGAGCTGCTCTGTTATATGACCTAGGCTGGTTCGAATATTACAGCAACATTTTAATAACATACTTCTTAATCTTATAAAGTAATGTATCTCATATATGTTTTTCTTACAAAATTGTATACAAATATTCTGTGGATAGAAATTTAAAAATGTATTCATGCATTTTCTAGTTAGCATCACAAACCACAAAGATTCGTACCATAAATGAAGTAGTTTTTAAAATGAAAAAAAGAAATAAAGTAGTTTACAGCTTGAATATTTTAAATAAAGCTGTTGGTTCATTTACTCATTTACTGATTCCATATATTATTCCTAAGTCCCAACTACATGCCAAGCACTGTGGTGGGTACTGGGGAAATAAAGGAAATCTAGGCATTGTTCCTGCCATCGAGGAGCTGAGTACAGTTCAGTAGGGAGACAGGTAAGTGACCAGGCACATCCAGAAAGAGTCTCAGATATATCTAGTGCCCCCAGCTGCTGCCTGGCACAGTGTGGATACTAAAATATTTCTTGAAGGAGTGCTGACCATGTGACATAAAAGCATGCATTAGGAACATGTAGTCCAGGCTCAGCAGTGGTGGTGCAGGGTATTTCAAATATATGCCCTATGTCATTATGCTAACATAAACGTGCTCATTTGAAGGAATAGACACACTTAACCATGATGGCACCAAATGACAACTCCATACTTTTATTGGAAAATTTAGGTAACTAGTACACTCTGTTCTGCAAAATGCCAGCTATGTAAGGTTTTAGGTGAAGCAGTTATATTTTAATCGACAGTCTCTCTGCATGCTAGGTTAACAGTGCAAAGTCACATGCCATTTGTTACAATGGGAAAGAAGAAATATACAAACCTTTCTTCTCTTGCTTGCCTTTGCTCCTCTCTTTTGTCTAAATAATCTCGGCTAATGGAAATATGTAGAACAAACAAACAGGAAAAGAAAGTAACAGAATTAGATACTCAGAAAATTACCAATAAATTATAAACAGTATATCATGAAAGACTGGCACTGCCTCAGAAATGTAAAATGGTTGTAGCTGAATTTTTAAAAGTTTAAAGCCTGTACTTCAAAATTATTAAATACAATCGATCTTCAATACAATCACAGGGATTGCAGAAAACATAGGATTATTGGATTCACCCAGAAACACTACTAATTACTTGTTGGAAAGAATGTAAGTATCTGAGGAAAGAGAAGTTTTTAAAAAATCCATAAATAAAATACAGCAATAACAAGCAAGCAATAGCTTTTGGAGGTGATTAGCATCCAGTTGAGCTCTGGTAGCTTCATAACAGCCATCTTAAGAATTAAATCTAAGTTCCTTGGCCATTCTATGTTGCACTCCACAAGCTGAATATTCCTTCCACAACCCAGGATTTTTTTTTTTTTTTTATTTCCAGGATACATGAGGGGTGTGCAGGTCTGTTACATAGGTAAATGTGTGCCAGGGTGGTTTGCTGCACCTATCAACCCGTCACCTAAGTATTAAGCCCAACATGCCTTAGCTATTTATCCTGATGCTCTCCCTCCCCAATCCCCCCACTGACAGGCCCCAGTGTGTGTTGTTCTCACACAGAACAGTGAGAACACATGGACACAGGTCCCCTCCCTATGTCCATGTGTTCTCACTGTTCAGCTCCCACTTATGAGTAAGAACATGTGGTGTTTGGTTTTCTGTTCCTGCATTAGTTTGCTGAGAATGATGGCTTCCAGTGCCATCCATGTCCTTGCGAAGGATGTGATCTCATTCCTTTTTATGGCTACATAGTATTCCATGGTGTATATGTACCATATTTTCTTTATCCAGTCTATCAATTGATGGGCATTTGGGTTGATTCCATGTCTTTACTATTGTGAATAGTGCTGTAATGAACATACGTATGCATATGTCTTTAAGATAGAATGATTTATATTCCTTTGGGTATATACCCAGTAATCGGATTGCTGGGTCAAATGGCATTTCTGGTTCTAGGTCTCTGAGGAATCGCCACACTGTCATCCACAGTGACAACCCAGGATTCCTTCTCCACATCCATTACATTCTCAGTTTCTATTCTAGGATCACTGAAGCTCCTGCTTTGTTCCTTCTCTTTTGTCTGTACCCACAGATGCCCAAATTTTATGTTTTGTTTTTCTGTTCCTGCTGTTTTCTTAATTTTAATGTTTTGTTTTTCTGTTCCTGCTGGTTAGGTTCCAAATTGAATCTAAGTTTAAGACTATGTGGTTAGTCATCTCTCACTGGACTGTTTACTTTCTTGGAGAATCCTAACATCATGGTTTTCAACACTGGACCTCATAATATAGTTTAAATATTCTATTTCTTGGTGTACTGATAACTGGATATAAAGGGGCAGTAAGTTAGACTACAGCAGTGTAGGACCGGGAGAAAAATGCAACAAGGACTCAGATTTGTCATCGTTTATAAACATCCAACCTCATCACTTTCCACACTAGAACTAAATTTCCTATAACTCAGAAAGCTTAAGACCATATTCAACAAAAATGACAATAGATAAAGAACAACTTTTAGATGCTTTGCAAAAAGCACGAGGAGCATAAACAATTTAAATCAATGAAATGGCTGATAAAAGGTCAGTCATTTGGGTAACCTCAGGAACTACTTTAGAAAGCTTTTCCTATTTATTTTTTGAATTTCTTTTCATTCACATCCTCAGAAATATGGAACTGCAGTCACCATAATTAGTAGTTGCCTACGGTTGATTAGCATTCATTTTGGATGAGTGGAGGAGGGCCATTTTGCCAAGGTCTCTCTGTGTTCTTAAATGACAAGTTAGAATCACTTGAAATCAAGAGCAAATGGTTAACAGTTATTAGCATGGCCTCTGATGACAACCTTTCCAGGCCTAATTCTTACTCTGCCAACATATACATATGAATAACATAATTCCTGTATATTATAACACATGGGCAGGTGCAATGGCTCATGCCTATAAGTCTAGCACTTTAAGAGGTTGAGGCAGAAGGATCACTTGAGCCCAGGAGTTCAAAACCAGCCTGGGCAACACAGTGAAACCTCATCTCTACAAAAAAATACAAAAATTAGCCAGTAGTCCCATGTACATGCCTGTAGTCCCAGCTATTTGGGAGGCTGAGGTAGGAGGATCACCTGAGCCTGGGAGGTCGAGGCTGCAGTGAGCCAAGATGGTGACACTGCACTCCAGCCTCGGCAAAAGAGTGACACCCTGTCTCAAGAAACAAACAAACAAAAAAAACCAATGCACTCTTGTCCTATTCTCCTATACTTCTGGGACTCCGATGACACGAATGCTAGACATTTTGATGTTATTACGCAGGTCCCTACAGCTTTGTTCATTTTTCTTTCAATTTTTGTTTGTTGTGTTTAGTTTTCAGGTAGGAAAATTTCTGTTGTTCTATCTTCAGGTTCACTCATAGCAATGAGTTCACTTTCTTCTCTCATAGCAATTCTATTTGGCCCATCTGACAAATTTTCTATTTTAATTTTCCTGTTCTATATATATTTCCATTTGGATCTTTATATCTTTTATTTTTTTTTTACAGAGACATCTTTTCATTTGTTTCAAGAGTATTTGCCCTTACTTCCTAAAGCATGTTTATAATAGCTACTTTAAAGTCTTTAAATGTATAATATCTATGTCCTTTGTGGTTAGCCATCTTTTAATTCTCTTTTCCCTTTGAGTTAAAATTTTCCTAATTATTTTTATGATAAGTTATTTTGGATTGTATTCTGTACATTTTACATATTTTGTAATGAGATTTGAGGTCTTATTTAAATTCTACAAAGAATCTTGATTTTTGTTTTATTTTGTATTAGCAGGTAATCAACCGGGTTAAGTTCAACCTGCAAGTTGTAACCTGCCTTCAGACATTGGTTCCAATATTAATTCAGTTTTCTGGGATCTGGGTGGTGATCCACTCCCACTCTGTACTTAGTTCTCAAAGCCTATGGCATGCCATGTAGGTTTGAAGCCACATGTGTACAAATCAGACATGCATTCAGGAGTGCTCTCTTGATATCCTGGCTCTTTGTGGCTTTCCTAACACTTTCTGGCTCCTTGGGTTTCCTTTTATGGTCCTCCAGCCAGAAGGCTTGGGCTTTACTTTCCCTGTCCTGCTGCATACTTTTGGTAACTGCATCTGCATCTAGGACAATATAGCAGGAGGAGAGCAAAGTGATATGCCTAGTGATCATGGGGTCATAGCTCTTATGGTCAGAGGAAGAGTTCCCCTCTCTCCCATTTCAGGCAACTGCCTGGACACTGCTGCCATTGCTGTGCTTCTGTAGCAATATTGTTTGGGAGGCTAGGGTAGGAGATAAAGAAATAACAGGAATTCTCTACACTTTTATCTTTAGAAATTCCCTTTACTGTGCCTTGGTCTGGAAAAAGAGGACTTCTTCTGGGGTTCTTTTGGTCCAGATTTGACATACACTTCTAGGTTTGGGTGCCTTTGAGTACATGCCAAGTAATAGTGAAGGTAAAAAATGGTAAACTCTCACTGGTTTTGTAAAACTGAATTTTAGTCTCCCTTCCTAATTTCACCTGCTCTCTTTTATATTTCAGAGTTTTCAGAGTTTCACACATTCTCTCCATGACTTATGGTTGCATTCAGCAATGAAGGAGAGACAGGATGGAGTGAATGAATTCCATTTTCCCCAGAACCAGCACCCTGTTTCAAGAGGTTTTCAATAAAACACTTTGGATGTAAGCTAATCTCTGAATTTTCCATGTATTTCACTCAGATTCTCTGCTGCTATTTGGTGGTAAAATATGCCAATCTCCCAGAAAACCATAAATCAGGAAGCATTTAACCTGTTCCAGAGATTTAAAAAATTGGCCTTTCTAAAAGTGACAACTTCCAGAACTACCCTCATGAAAAATGGTGCATACAGAGCTGGCATTTCCAAATATCGTTTGGTAGAAATGTGACAGCTGAGGGTATGCTACACTATCTTGATGGGAAATGATGTTGGTTTACTTCATGCAGCCCATTCACCCAGTCTTAGAAAAATGAGGATTAGCATTTCAAAGACTTGGCATTTGTTTTCAAGAAGTAGTGACTTATAGTTAAGCAACTTCACAACTGTGCTCATATTTTGATCATTTTTACAATTACACATATACTTCTTGGCTTCAGAAAAGCACAAGTTATTGGCTGGGCATGGTGGCTTATGCCTGTAATCCCAGCACTTTGGGAGGCTGAGGCAGGTGGATCACTTGAGGTCAGGAGTTCAACAGCCTGGCCAACACAGTAAAACCCCATGTCTACTAAAATTACAAAAATTAGCCAGGCGTGGTGGTGTGGCCTGTAATTCCAGCTACTTGGGAGGCTGAAGCTGAAGAATCACTTGAACCCAGGAGGCAGAGGTTGCTGGGAGCCAAGATTGCGCCACTGTACTCCAGCCTGGGCAACAAAGTGAGACTCTGTCTCAAAAAACAAAACAAAACAAAACAAAAACACGTTATTAAATCTGTAAATCCTCATTAACAATGCCTTACATTCCTTGTAGATATAATGGGGAATAATTGATGGGAATATTGTTTGCCAAAGAAACTGAACTAAGGAAACAGGAGGTAGAGATGGGGAGAAAAATGAAAAGAAAGAATGTAGAAGCTATAGGGTAAATGACTTCAAAGGATTAAGGAGGAAGAGAAAGTATAGGAGGAGGTGGGGAAGAAAGGGGGAAAAGGGAAAAAGGATATAAGGAAGAGGAGAAGGAAGTAATGTGTAAGGAGAGATACAGCAACTGTTTTTCATTCCATAAAGCACAGCACAGCATGAAGCCCAGGGGATGGGTGTGAAGGAGGATGACCTGGAGAATGTGGAGAACAGGTGGACTGGCTGAAGGAGAAGCCGAGGCACACTGGGATCAGTGGGGACAGACAGGCCAAGATATGGAACCTGGAATGAGCTATAGCCAGGAACACATCCTTGAAGCTGTACAGAGACCAGGAGATCGGGGGAAATGGGCTGAGAGTAATCAACACAATGACTTTTCCCCCCACATAGCAAGAGATTATTGTTTACAAAAAATATTGAAGATTGTTACAGGGATCAAAAAGCAAACCAGAAAGTGGGAAAAGCATTTCTTTTTGGGCATCTGATAGAATATGAATAAAACATGAGGACCATTAGGAAGAGATGGCAAATTAAGTTAAGATAATTACACTCTCTGTCATCCGGAGGGCCTGGATAGGACGAGGTAGGTAATGGAGGGCCCAAGAATACATGAGTCCCTAATTGTATTTGGCTGACTGTGCTTCCTGCCATATGGTTAGAGAAACAAAAGCCATAACAAACCAGATCCAGCCTATTTCAGGTATGTCTTTCTCTTCCTTAAAAATACAGACAGAATTTTCATTACTTCCTTTAATGCCAATATTAAATGTATACAGTTGTAAAGTCACATGCCTTTAATTTTTAACTCACTATTTAAAAAAAATCTTAAGATCCTTCTTACCTGAATTTGTTTCTTTCTTCCCGCTCTATTCTCTGCAACCTTTCTTCTCTCTCCTGCCGCCGCCTCTCTCTCTCTGCTGCCAGTGACTCTTGGTGCTGCCTGAAGGATGATGTGAGAAGACCACTCGGTGATGACCTGGAGATACAATGAGTTAATGTTTCAGTTGCTTGGCCTGTGATTAAAAGTACTGAAGTAAGCACCAGTCAGACCTTGGTTAGAATTGAGGGTCTGCCGGTACCTAGGCAATGCTTGGGGAAAATCACTGAATGCCTCGGGTCTTCTTGTTTCAGATTTTTGTCTGTAAATTGGGGAAAAGTATCATACTGTGAGTGTGCTCGCAGGAGAAAAGGTGGTAACAGACAGAAAATAGCAAGCAACATGCTTGACATGTAAGCAGCCCTCAAGAATGGGAGTTATAGAAGTATTCCAGGAATGTATATACATTCTATATATATTTTACAGTTGGTCTATGTTAAGACGTAGATGAGCTAGAATCAGCTTTCAATCTAAAACTATTTTCTACCTATCTATCAGGTAATACATTCATTATTTGGGTAACAGGATCATTAGAAGCTTAAACCTCAGCATCATGAAAGATACCGATTAACAAACCAGCACATGTACCACCAAATCTAAAATTTTAAAAAAAGTGATTTTATAAAACTATTTTCTATTATACATGCACTAAAAATATTTTACTATATATCAGTCTCACAATACACTTCTTTAGAATAATTGAACAAGGCAATGAGATGACAGATGAGGACAAAAAAACTTGCAATGGGCTGAAATGTGAATAGAATTAAGGAAATTTCATTCTATGACATTCTATGTCAAGAAGCATCCAAGGACTCAGCATGGTCAAAGGACAGGCAGTGGTATTAGTAACATCACACAAGAGTCTGGACTGTTCACTGAAAATGTGTGTGAAAGCCTTGGAGAGAAACCACAGGGTGAGTATCACAGGAGATGTTAAATCAGAGAATGAGTGGGAGAAGAGAAAATCAAGTAACCGTATGACATATAAGGAAAGGGGTTAGCTATGTAAAGGAGTCTGATGGATCTCTGGAGAATAAAATCTGTTATGGACAATTGAGGCCTTCACTTATGGAAAAAAATCTCCAAAACAAAGAGAAAAATATTTATGAAATATATTTTGCCAATTTATTTATCCAAGGATATAGCTTGGGTAAAATCCTACCTGGATTCAGTGAAAAATATACCTGCAAGGTGGGGAACACAGATCTCAGTGCAGGAGAAAGATGTGACTTTCATATTACAGACTGCCATGAGTCCCACAGATGTTCTCCCTAGAAAAGGTGAGTCACCTATGGCTATCACTCATAGGTGGCAGGGAAAATGGAGGGAAGAAACCACCATCCCTGGCAGCTACAGGGAGGGAGTAACCAAATTCAATATTCCAGGCTCACTATGGAACTATTTCCATCAGCTCTGGACACTAAGGCATAGATAGAGTTTATTTATCTTCCTCATAAAATAAGTTCAGACAAACTTCTAACTTTTGTAAGCTATTATTATTTTGTGGGAATTCTTCCCTGCTGTATCCAGCCAAACCTAATCAACAATCAGAGTAAAGAGGTTTGTAATACCTCTTGCACAGTAATTGATAAAACTGTTATGCATATAATAGATTTGTTTAACCCAATTAATAAGTTTTATCTAATAGATTAACATGTATATAACCTGGTGCCCAAATGGGAGAAAACATATTCTTTCAAATATATAAGGACTACTCAAAAATTGACCATCAATTGTGTCACAAAGCTCAAGAATGAATGCCACAAACTGGTTTCACACGAGCTACCTTACTGATCATAATGCAACTGCATTGAAAATCAATAACAAGGAGATAAATTTGAAAAAAATCCATATAATTGGAAAAACTAAAACATGTCTAATAACTTAGGTCAGAAAAAAAAACATGGACAATTAGAATACATTTAAAGGGTACCATAATGAAAAAGCTGAATATGAAGTTTTGTAGAATACCTCTAAAGTAGTATTTAGAAGGAAATTTATTGTCTTAAGTATTTATATTAGAAGAAAAGAAAGAGTAAAAATTAATGAGTGATCAGCTCAACAATTGGAAAGGCAACAGTGGAATAAATTCAAAGAAGGCAAAAGGAAAAAAATAAAGAGCAAAGACTAATAAAATAGGAAAACGAAGGTGTATAGACAAAAATCAACAAAACTAAAAGCTGGTTTATAATTGTGAAAAACCTAATAGACAAGTTCCATCAAAATTATTCAAGAAAAAGGGCCATAAATGAGCATATTCAGGAATGACAGGTAAATACAATTATAGATATAGTGACCAAAAAACATTACAAAAATAAGGGGAAATTTTTATAATACACTTGAAAAATTAAAGAAATGGATGATTTTCTAAAAACATATAATTGACCAAATCTGATTGAGAAAGAAATAGAAATTTTGAATAGCCCTGTTAACAAAAGAAATTGAGTTAATTAATTACAAATATATTCACACCCATGAAAAAAAATCCACGAAAGTCAGATTTTTAATGTGATTTCTACTACTCAAGGAAGAGTTCAAGTTAGACATATGGAAAGTTTCAGACAACATAAAGAAGAAAAAATCTCCCACAACCCATTTTACATGATTCATATTACTCTGACACTAAAGCCAGATAAGAACAGTGTGAAGACGGCAACTTATATACTATTTGCAATTATGAACACCAACGCAAAAATCTGAAACAAAATCACATTGGGTTTGCCCAACAAATGTAAGGGTAATGTAAGATGACAGTATAAATGAATACAATTTACCACGTTAATAGTTTATTGGAGAAAAACCATGGCTACCTCTGCAAATGCAGAAAAAGCTTTAAATTCAACAACCATTTGTTTAAAAAAAAAAACCCTTTACTATGCTTAGTAATAGAAGAAAACTTTCTTAATCTGACAGTGGGTATTTGGCAAGGAAAATTTTAAAAACTAGAGTAAGTATCTTTTTTTCTTTCTTTCTTTCTTTCTTCTTTTTTTTTTTTTTTTTTTTTTTTGAGACAGGGTCTCATTGTCACTCAGGCCAGAATGATCATGGCTCACTGAATCCTTGACCTCCCGAGCTCAAGTGATTCTCCCACCTCAGCCTCCTGAATAGCTGGGACCACAGGCATGCACCATCATGCCCATTTAATTTTTGTGTTTTTTGTAGAGTTGGGGTTTTGCCATGTTGCTCAAGCTGGTCTCGAACTCTTGGGCTGAAGCAATCCTGCCTTGGCCTCCCAAAGTGCTGGGATTACAGGCATGAGCCACTATACCTGGCCAGTATCATTCTTAATGCTGAAATATTAAGAACAGTTTACTGTTAAAAATAATATAAGGATGTTTCCATCATTGCTTATATTTGACATTATTCTGGTGGTCCAAGCCAGAATACTAAGAAAAGTAAAAAGCATAAGGGAAGGAAAGAAATACAACATCACTATTTACAGATAATCTGACCATCTATAAAGATAATCCAAGAAAACCTATGTTATTTTATTAAGAGTCTAGCAAAGTTTCTATATATAAAACATAGAAATAGCAATTACATTTTTACATTAGCAACAATTTACCAAGTTAATCATAAGCTAACTATGAAATTACTTAACTAATAATATGAAAGACCTTTATAAAACCTTATTAAAAGACCCAAATGAAAGCTATATCACATTTATGTATTGAAAAAAATCAATGCAGTCAGGATGCCAATTCTTTTTTTCCAATTAATACAATTTCAAATCAATATCCCAAAAGGATTTTTCATGAAATTTTATGAGCTGAGTCCAAAATTTTTACACAGGACCTGAGGTTTTAAGGATAACCAAGACAATTTTGAGTAAGAACAAAGCAGAGCACTGGCCACATTCAATATGAAGCCCATTCTGAAACCACAATGATTGCCCGTCAAAGTGGTCTTGGTGCACAAATGAAAACATGGACGAATGGAGTGAGACAGTGAGCCATGACACAGACTCATACACAGATAGAATCCTGATTCATGTCAAATGTGTTATTACACATCTGTGGGGAAGTGATGGACTGTTTAACAAATGGTGCTGAGACAACTTTTAGCCATATAAAACAAAATACAGGCTGGGCATGGTGGCTCATGTCTGTAATCCCAGCACTTTGGGAGGCTGAGGCGGGATCACCTGCGGTCAGGAGTTTGAGACCAGCCTGACCAACGTGGAGAAGCCTGTCTCTACTAAAAATACAAAATTAGCTGGGCATGGTGGCGCATGCCTGTAATCCCAGCTACTGGCTGAGGCAGAAGGATCACTTGAACCTGGGAGGTGGAGGTTGCAGTGAGCATAGATTGCACCACTGCACTCCAGCCTGGGCAACAGAAGCAAAACTCCATCTAAAAAAAAAAAAAATACAACTAGTCCCACCTTATACCAAATATAAAAATAAATTCTAGATAGTTTAAGTGAAAAATGTAAAAGACAAAACTTTACAACATTGAGATCTCAAGATATGGAAGTTTTTTTAGACCAAAGAGCAACCAAAAAGGAAAGATTTGATAAATTTGCATATATTAAAATTTAAAATTTGTGCACATTGAAAGACTACATAAGAATAAAGAAGAGCAACAACCTGGGAGAAACTACTTGTAACATATATAAACTACAAAGGATTAGTATACATTGTACAAAAAGAACCCCTTCAAATCAGTAAGCAAAAGACAAACTACCCAGAGGAAAATGGGCAAAGGGTAATGAGCATTTTAAATGGCCAATACAGATATGAGTGATGCTCATCTTCACTAGAAATCAGGGAAAAGGAATGCAAGCAAAACCCACAGTGATATACTGTTTCACACCTATCAGATTATGGATTGACAAAAATTAATGTCTGATGACACTAACCCATTGGCACAGAATAACTCATACACTGCTTCTAGAAGTCGAAATTAATATAATCATTTTGGAAAAAAAAACACTTAATACATTTGAAGATGTATATATCCTAAAACCTAGCAATTCCACTTCTACGTTTATCTAGAAAGTAACTTTTGCATGCATAAAGAAGATAGACATGTATGGTAAATAATTCTATATGTTGCAGTGTTTTTATTGCTTGCTAGTGGTTAATTAGAATTATACAAATACCTACAAATAAACAAAATATAGTTTGTTTTTAGAAAGGAATACTCTACATCTGTGAAAATTAATAACTAGAATGATATGAACATAGGTAATTCCCCAAAGCAAAATATATAGATAGTGAAAAGTAGACTGAAGAAAAGAAACCATATTCTATCATTTCTATGAAGTTTAAATACATGTATGGCAAATCTACAAGCTAGTGATACATGTACATTTCATAAAAACAAAACCATATCTGAGAATAACAAACACCAAATTCAGTGTAGTGATCATCTCTGGGGAAGAAGGGAAATCAAAGGGATAAGGGTTTCAATGTTATATCTGATACTCTTTATTGCTCTATAACTTTCTAGATTTATCTAAAATTTTCTGTAAGTCCTGAATATATATTTTAAAGCCATTCTATTTCTCTTAAATAAATAAAAGTCCTTCTTAGGTGGATAATTAACTTGTATATCAAATATCTTTGAAACCCCAAGCTAACTGAACATCAATAGTTAGATCCAGTTCTAGAATTCAGAAACACAACCAAAAATAGGGTAGTTTATACAGGAGAATGATTTTAGGAGCCAAATAATGTCTTCTTAGCAGCTTACGTT
Organism: Homo sapiens; assembly: GCF_000001405.40. Lineage (NCBI taxonomy): Eukaryota > Metazoa > Chordata > Mammalia > Primates > Hominidae > Homo > Homo sapiens. The sequence goes on along the minus strand of NC_000018.10, from coordinate 36,675,831 downwards.
TTGGGGTCAGATCCTATTTTCTCATTCATCTCTACCCTGGCACATAGAAGAGCCTCACTGTCTGATGAATCAACTAATGATTGAATAAACAGGATGCATGAAGTCAGAATAATATGTATATGCTAGTCTCCGTGCTCCCAGACCCCCAGCCTATTCTCTAAGGTATGATAAGGACCTACAGAGGAGTTTTTTGCACTAGACCCTTCCCACTGGCAACAGCTGAGTGAATGCAGGGTGGGTGCCTGCCCCAAAGGCACCCCATCAAAAGGCAGGCTATCCAGTGGCATAGGAGGCTCCTGGCACAGAAGGCTGAGTTAATCATAGTCATGTCTCAGGGCTGTGCACTGGGAGAGAGATTGTGCATTTGAGAGAAGCAAAAGCAAAAGGGCCTGGAGGTGGGGAGGCCCTTGGTGGCCCTGTATGAGACCAAAGTGTGAGAGGATAAAATAGAGAAGGAGCCAAAGTTGTAGGGAGAAAAAAAAAAAGATGCCAACTGTATGAAGAGAGAAAGGGGGTGGCAGCAGGAAGCAAAGGAACAGAGGAGACCACGTGGAAAGGGACTGAGACATGTGAGTGGCAGAGCATCAGAGGACACAGCTAAGAACTTGCATGGCCAGGGACACCCAGCTTACCCTGATTTCTGGTGCACGGAGGTGGCCATGGAGGGTGGGGACATGATTAGCCAGCCTTCCCTAGGTGTGCAGGAGGCCTGTCCTATGGCTGACAACCCAGTGTGCTGACAATCACGGCAGTTCTTCCCTAGCCTCCCATCGCTGGGAAGACACTGAGCTCAAAGGGCCCTAAGATTCCAGGGAAAGGAAATACAGGACAACAAAAAGTAGTATTGGCATTCAAAAATCCCCAGAAGTAACAGTACATTTCAAGTTCAATTTTTTGAGGAAAAAAATGTTACTGGAAGAGTCAAATCCAGAGCAGTGTGCATCATAGAGTATTCTCAAGTCTTCCTCTTCTTTGCATAAGAGTTTGTGACATCTTATCCCAGAACTTACTCCCAGGGGCACGTGCTTGCATGTGACAGCTTTACATGTTTGTCTTCATGTGAAGTCTCGGAGCTGCCCCAAGATGCTCCCCTCACTGTCTCAGTTAGCGTTATTTGTATTCATATTCTCCTAGCCAAGTGACAGGGGTTCCAGGAACTTCAGCTCTCACTTAGCAAGTCACTGAAACTAGAAAAAGTTTTACTGACCTCCATTTTAAGAATGCAAGAAGAACCACAAAGGGAATTTAAAGTCCAACCAGACACCTAGTTGCTGAATAAATGCATCAAAATTGACAAGCAGCTTCACCAGTGAACAGGAAGAGCCATGGGAGGCTGAAACAAGAAGACTGCTCAAGGCCAGGAGTTCAAGGCCACAGTGAGCTATGATCACGCCACTGCATTCCAGCCTGGGTGACAGAGCAAGACCCTGTCTCTCAAAAAAATAAAAATAAATTTTTAAAAGAAGGGCCTCAAGCCTGTCACAAAATTGAGGGTGGAAGAGGATCTGCATCCCCTGGTATATAAATGTGGATTCAACCCTCAGCACTGTTTTCTAGTCATGAGGCTGTCACTGCACTGAGGCTGTGACAGAAAACACAGGTGCATCGTAAGTCAGGTGAACTTGAAAGCCAAGGCTTCAGTGTCACCAAAACTCAGGGCTCATTGTTCAGATTTCAGCACAGAAGCAATAGAAAGTTCCCTAAACCCAGTATCAGAATTTTTGACTTTCCTTCCTTTTGAAAATATACTCTGAAATCACAGTGGAAATCAATGGCAGACTGAAATTTTAGATCCAAATATTAGTTTAACACATATGTGAGGTGGAGAGGTAAAGTAAATGACTTACATTGTTTTTCTCATAGGAATTCAGCATTTCCATTATCCAAACTTGAATAATAAAAGAATTTGTTTCAGAAAGAACCAAAATATATATATCAGAGGGATATACATATCCCTCATATATGTGTTAAACTAATATTTAATATATATCCCTCTGACATATGTATCTCAGAGAGGGATTTCTGTCCGTGAAGCAATGGAATGGAAAGGGAGCAGGATGCAACAGAAGAAAGGGGTCCTAAGGCAGCTGTGGCTACTCACTCCCCACCTGACCTTGGGTTAGCTTCAGGAATGCCCTGCAGTTCCCTCCTTCCCGCTGAGTGTGGAGGACAGATCGAGGAACCCCTGTCCAGATCCCAGGCTAAGTTCACCCATAGTCTCCAGCCATTTCTTTGTGCCTCTCCCTCTGCCTGCTCTCTGGGAGTGTTCACTACTGTCAGGGACCCAGAAAACCTACTAAGTGGTGATTAGGAATACTTTACTCAGGTTCCCACTTTTTTTGAGAGGGAGAGGTAAAGTAAATGGCTTACATTGTTTTTTCTCATAGGAATTCAACATTATTTCCATTATACAAACTTGAATAATAAAAGGGCTGGTTTCAGAAAGAACCAAAATTACATACTTGATCATGAGAATAACTTCTTAGATTCGGAAATAAACAGTTCATTTGTTCCATAACACAATGGGGTTTTTTAATGCATAAACAGTAACCTCTCCTTTTTCTGACTTCTTGCCTTTTTAACAGAAAAGTGATTTGCCAGAAGAACGATACAAGACAACTAGCCCAATCTCCATCTTAGGTAGTTTGGAATGTCTCTTGGCTCTTAACAGAACAAACCCACTGCCCAGGCTGAGCAAAGACAACACAGACAGATGATCAAAAGCTGAGGGGGAGATTTTCTGTCAATGACAGTCTTTCTTTTTCGATGATGAGTTGGCACTTTGTTTATCTAATTACCTGCAAATAGACTAAACATAAAACAGGAAATCTTTATAAAGATAAGGCTAAGACAAATAGGAGAGATTAAAATATACTAGATTTTTCAGTTGCACTAAGCCCAGAAGAAAAGGATTAAAAAAAGAGGAAGTACACTAGTTTCACTTTTAAAACACTTAAGAACCATTCAAAATATAATTTAAGTCTGCCAGATAGCCTGCAATTACTTTTTGAACAAAGTGAGTAACTTTAAACTCAACAGTCAGCGGGTCACTCTTCTATTTGTTTATTGCACAATAAATCTTTAGCAGACGCACAGTTTCTTATAAAAATAGACACAGAATATTGCAGCAACTCCTTTAAAGAAAAAGCAGTCTCTCTCCATCCCCTTCAATCTAGGCTGAACGTGTGATTGGCTTTGGCCAATGTAGCAATCAGAAATATGATTCGATTCAAGCAGAGGCTTGAAAAGTATCTGCACGCCGGGGCTTGCTCCCATGTTGCCCTTGGGAACCCTACACCACTGCCATTTGAACAAGTCTGGGCGAGGTGGCTGGGCCGTGAGGCATGGTGCCAAGCTGCCCCATCAAGTCAGCTGATAGCCAGACAATTGCTAGATATCAAATGAGATGATCAACGACCGGCTGACTGCAAACACAAGTTAACCCGGCTCAGACCAGAGTAATTTTTCAAGGTGAGCCTGGCCAAAATTACCAACCCATAAGATCATGAGGTAAATGCATGGTTGTTGTTTTAAACCACCATGTTTTGGTGGTTTCTTATGTAGTTAAAAGCTGACTGAAACAGGATGGGTTTTGAAAATATTTTCTCTATTTCTGTCTGAGGAAGTTGGCACTTCATTGGCGGACTCCAATAAAATCTGAAATGTTGAAGCAATTAAAGTTATCTTACAATATGACCTATTAGCAAAACTCATATACCACTGTCCCCTAAAATGTCCCCTAAGATGGCCTCCATGCCAATCAAGCCACTCACCATCTTGCTTCCCAAAGAAGTCTAGTTCCTTTGCCTAGTGGTATCTCACTTCCTCTCTACCCAAGTTCTTCAAGACACCTCCCTTGATGACCACAGTGGACACTGCTCTTTATTTCTCCAGACTCCTGGATGTGTCCTTTCGGCACATCGTCACAAATGATTGGTTCGTTCCTTCACTGTTTTGTGAATGAACATTGTTTCTGGCACGGCTTACTCCCTTGTTGCCTTTGGGAACACATCAGAAGCAGTCCCTGTCGCCTGCTTCTCCTCCTTCCCCCACAGCAACTGTGTCTGAGTGCCATCAATACACACTGACTGAATTTTGTTGTCTACTTCAGTGATATGAGCAATGCCACAAAAACACATGTTGTAGCAAGTGGACAAATTTATGGACAATGAAACCTATCACTTTCGTGTTGCTTTTTTCTTTTGTCTCTCTTTACAGAAATTAGCTTTTCTAATAAAAGTTTCCCATAAAGTAAAAGTTGGCACACTGAACTCATCCAACTTTCTACATCTAACTGGAGTCTATTTCAGTGGTGAAAAAAGGAAAGCTCTTGGACTTCCATTTTCAGTCCATTTGGAGTAACAGGAACCAGATTTACCTGTACCTGAAACAACTAAAAACCAGAAAAAATCTATGAAACAGCAGCACTGAAGAAACTGGCCATCAGATGGTGAAGGCCAGTGATTCCTGAGAGATGAAAAGCAAAGGAGGTGTTCCTCATGATTGCCCTAGCTTACTGATTGGAGAACATTTGCAGGCTGTGGTGCATAAAGGGAAAACCCAGGCAGAGCCTGGAAGTCTCCCTGAGTAGAGGAGACAAAGCTGGGAGTCTAGAGAGGCCAATGGGGATAACACTGGCAGGGTAACATACCAGAAAGGGTCTATACAGAGAGAGAGAGACCTCTGTACATCTGCAGAAGGTTTCCCTCAAGTAACTAGGTGAGGATTGTTCAGCATATGCATGTAAAAAGTAATCTGTGGCCAGTGAAAGAACTATCCAAATGAATTAGAGCAAACAGTGTCTGGAAATTATATAAGGCAGAGAGTACTGCCTGTTCCCAACAGTTACAGAGAAAAACTTCATAATTCAGAGGGAACTGGTTAAAGTTTTAACAAGTGTCTTGCCTCAGTAGTGGAAATATATTGGACTAAACATAGCTCTGGTCCTGCCTAACAAAGCTAATTATGCAAGACCTGCAAGGATCAAACTGTTTCTGAGTTAAGCCCATCCCAGAACAAAGCTCAAAAATATTTATAAGAACACAAACACATCCAGCACCCAGCAAGATAAAATTTACAAAATATGACATCCAATAAGAAATGACCAAGCATGCAAAGAAGTACAAAAATACAAGCCATAATCAGAAGAAAAAAAGTAAATTATTTGAAACCAATCCAGAAATGACACAGATGATAGAATTAGTTGGGGAGAATGATAAAACAGTTATGACTATAGTCCACATATTCAAGAAGCTAGAGAAAATATTTAACATGTTAAAATATGAAAGGTATTAAGAAAGAGACCACTTGAAACAGTAGATTGTCACCACAGAAGAAAAATAATTAGCGAACTTGAAGACACAGCAACATAATTATTCAAAATGAAACACATTCAAAATGAAGCAAAATGAAAAAAATCAACAGACCACCAGTGAACTTTGTGGAAACTTCAAATGACCCAATATACATGCTATTAGAGTTATCAAAAGAAAGGGGAGGTAAAAAGTACCAAACATTTTTAAAGAAATAAGCACTAAGATTTTTCGCAATTTGATGAAAACTGTAAACACACAGATTCAAGAATCTCAAGTCCCAAGCGTAAGAAACATGAAAAAACTACACCAAGGCATATCAAAATCAAACTGCTAAAAACCAATGACAGAGTTAACCTTAAAAGCAGCCAAAGGAAAAAAATGATATGTTACATGCAGAGGTATAAAAATAAAAACAGAAGATTTATCATCAAAAACAATGTAAAGTAGAACAAAGTGGTGCAACATCTTTAGAGTACTGAAAGAAAAAAAAACGCTATCAACTTATAATTCTTTACCTAGCAATAACTGTCTTTCAAAAATTAAGGTGAAATATTTTTTCCAGACATATAAAAACAGGAATAATTCATTATCTAGACCTGCACTAAAAGAAATGTTGGCAGAAGATAAATAATACCACATGGCCATCTTGATTTACACAAAAATAAAAAAGAATTAGAAAAGATAATGACACAGGTAAATATAAGCCTTATTTTATTATTTAAATATATTTAAAAGATAATCAATTGTTTACAGCAGACATAATAACAATGTATTGTGGAGTTTACAACATTTTAAAGGTAAAATCCATGATCACCGTAGCATAAAGGCTGGAAGAAAAAAAATGAAAGTGTGTTGTTGCAGGGTTGTTATGCTATGCATGAAATACATACTATCACTTAAAGGTAGACTATGATAAATTAAAATGTATACTATAAACCCCAATGCAATCACTAAAATAATACACTTATTGCTAATAAGGCAACAAAAGAGAGAAAATGAACTAATCAAGAATATGCAACCCCCCAAAAGGAAGAAAGAATAAAAAGGTGGAACAAATAAAAAATATAAACTCAAACAAATCAATAATCACATTAAATGGTTTAAACACTCCAATTAAAAGGTAGAGATTATCAGACTGGATTAAAAAAAAGATTCAACACTATATTGCCTACAAGAAACATAAAACCTAATTTATGTTCAAATAATAAAAAAGATATACCATATTAATACTATTTTTTTTAAAGCTGAGGCTATATTAATACCAGATAAAGTAGACCTAAGAATCAAGTATGTTACCAGGTATAAAGGTCATTTCAAATGAAAGGAGTCAAGCCATCAGTAGGATATAACAATTGTAAATATTTATGCACCTAATAAAAGAGCTTCAAGATACGAGGGAAAACTAATAGAACAGCAACATATTTTTAAAAATCAAAATTATAGAATGCAGTTTATTACTCTCTCAGTAACAGAACAAGACAGACAAGCACTAAGGATACGGAATACTAGAACAATACCATCAACCAAATAGACATCTACAGAACATTTTACCCCAAAACATCAGGATACATATTCTTTTCAAGTTTACACAGTATATTTGCCACAGTTGATCCTATTCTGGGCTGTAAAACAAATATCAATAAATTTAAAAGTATCCAAGTCATACAACATATGTTCTCTGACCGCAATTTTATTAAATTAGAAATCAGTAACAGAAAGATAGTTGGAATATCCACAAATACTTATAAGCTAAATAAATACTTTAAAATAACCCATGGGGTAAAGACTTTTTAAAAATTGACAGAGAACTTAAGAAGCATATTAAGAGAAGATAAAAACACAACATATTAAACTTTGTGGAATGCAGCAAAAGCAATACTTAGAGGAAAATTTGTAACACTGAATGCCTATATTAGAAAAGATAAAAAGTCTCAAATCAATGACCTCATCTCCTAACTGAAAAAAAGAGCAAATTTTACACAAAGTGAGCAGAAGCAAGAAAATAAAACAAACAGAAAAACAGTATAAAAATTAAATGAAACCAAAAACTGGTTCTTTGTGGTCAAAAAAAAATTGATAAATCTCTAGCCAGACTGATTGGAAAGAAGAGAGAGAAGACACAAATTACCAATATTAAGAATGAGAAATACGATCACTGCAGATTTTACAGATACTAAAAAAAATAATAAGGGACTATTCTGAACAATTACATTCCAATAACTTTGACAACTTAGATGAAATGGAAGAATTTCTTGAAAGACAAATCTACTAAAACTCACTCAAGAGGAAATGGATGATCTGATAAGAATATAAGATAAATATCTATTAGAGGCATTGAATTTGTGGTTTTAAACTTTCCCTTGAAGAAAGCTCCAGTCTTAGATGTCCTCATGGTGAATTCTATGAAATATTTAAGGAAGAGCTAGTACTAATTCTACGCAGCCTCTTCTAGAAAGCTAAAGAGGAAGGAGTATGTTTCCCCTCATTTTATGAGCATTACTCATGTACAGCCATTGTGGAAGACAGGCAATTTCTTAAAAGCTAAACATCCACCTGCCATAAAACTTGGCAATTCTACTTTTAGTAACAACCATGCACTACTTAACATTTCAGTCAACAATGTTCTACAAGATAGTGGTTCCATAGATTACAATGAAGCTGAAAATGTACTATCACCTAGTGATGTTATAGCCATCATAACATTGTAGCACAACTACTTTTCTTTTTTAATAACGTTAGTGTAGCCTCAGTACACAGTGTTTATAAAGTCTACAGTGATGTACAGTAATGTCCTAGGCATGAACAGTAATGTTCATGCTTTCAATTCTGTAAGCTCCATTCATGGTGAGTACCCCACATAGATGTACCATTTTTTTCTCTTTAATACTGTATTTTTACCATACCTTTTCTATGTTTAGATACGGAAATACTTCTCACTGTGTTACAACTGCCTACAGTATTTGGTACAGTTACACGCTGCAAGGTTTGCAGTCTAGGAGTAACAGGCTATACCATATAGCCTAGGAGGACATCTGGGACTGGAGCTTTCTTCATGGGAAAGTTTACAACTACAAATTCAATGTCTCTATCTTTGTTTATCTTATATTAATTCATACAGATTATTTCATCTTCTGTGAGTTTTGGTAGTTTTTGTCTTTCAAGAAATTCTTCCATTTCATCTAAGTTGTCAAAGTTATTGGAATATAATTGTTCAGAATAGTCCCTTATTATTTTTGTATAGCAAAATTGCCCAACACTGCTTTTCTCAGAACATAGCCCCATCATTAAGTGACGAATGACTATATTTACCCAAGAGAAATGAAAGCACATGTACATACAAAGACAACCCAAGTGTCTATCAACAGGTAAACAGATAAATTATGGTTTATGTACACAATGGAATACTACTCAATCAAAAGAAATTGAAACACACAACAACATGAAGGAATATCAAAACAATTATACTAACTGAAAGAAGTCAACTCCCCTCAAAGAGTATATACTGCCTGATTACACTTATATAAAATGCTAAAAACACACATGCAAATGAATCTACAATGAAGAAGCAGATCAGTGGTTGCTTAGGGATGGGGAAGGGCAGCAATAATCACAAAGAGGCAGCAGAAGATTTTTGGGGTGATGGATATGCACATTATCTCCATTGTGGTCAGGGTTTCACTGTTGTACACATACGCCAAAACTTATGTGCTGTTTCTTGCGTGTCAATTTTACTGCAAAAGCTGTTTTAAAAAAATATCCCTTGGTAAGTTCAAGTTAAGTAAAATCTTATTTGCGAAAGATGCAAACCTTCGATGTTTCCTATTTAAAAAGTAAATTATCATCTCTGGTAAAATATTAACAAAAGCAAAAACTAAGTTCATAAAATATCTGATACTTGAAATTAGCACTTAATTCACAAGTAGATAATTTGATATGAAGACTTAGAGGTCAAAAATAATAATAAAATGGCATTGAAATGATGCTGAGCAATGAGATCGTCCTCACAACCTGGCTATGAAATTGAGGATCACCCTGTCTAATGATACAGGACAAGAGGTAACTCTAAGTTATGCCCAGTTGTAAAAGGCATTTGCTTGCCCTGAAAAAAGAAAAATTAAGAATCTTCCTTCATAGCTTCAGGGTCATATCCTAGCTCTCATGATGAAACCAGCAAGCCCCAGAGGCATCTCCAAGAAACAGGCAGCTTTTCTCATCACCACTGCTACAATCCTGAAGACAGCCATCATCAGAGACTGGATGTGGATTTCAGTCTCCCTCTTGCTTTCTATTCTCCAGCCTGTTGCACACACTGCTTCAGTGCAGATCTGAGCTCCTTGGCCATGGGAAGGAATAGCAGGGCTCACGCAGTGTGCTGTGGAGACTGGTCCCACATGGAGTCTCACATTACTGTGCTGGCTCATATCTAGAGCATGAAGCCATTCCTCCAGGCCCTGGCTGTTGTCATGCTTCAGCCTGTCCACTGGCCCCTTTGTAGGCCCTGACTTTGGCATACAGCAGTTCTTGCCAGTTCTCTCATTCCCTCTTAATTTCCACCCTCCATCTAAGACCAAGTGAGTCCTCCGGCCCAAAGGAGGTCAGTCCTCTCCTGTCACAGCCCCAAGTCCACCTGTTTGGCTTCACAATTTGCCAATCTCCTGGAAGCTTCCCAAAGCGCTGACTGCCACCAGCATCTCCTGTGTTACGTGGCTCCCAGGCCTTGCTGGCCAGGACCAAGGCACATTCTTCCTTCCCATCTCCTCTCTGCTTCTTCACTCCAGGCCAACTCACTCTTCTTTTGCACACTTGCCTCTTCTCTAAATGCTAAATTGATTCCAAATGGTCTCCCATCTTTCCCAGATTTGCAAAACCCTGTTTTGAAGAAAGATATGGACTCGCTCCATTTTCTTATCCCCCTCTTAACCTCCCTGCCCCCCCACCAGGCCAATCTCAGAGCAAATAGCAATTTGCCTTACATTAGTGACTCAGTTTCCCAGACCTTTTGCCAGGGGTATCCCCCACAACAACAGAGCACCTGTGCTAGGCCCCCAGTTTGATTGCCTCTCTCTTTTCAGCTCTCCTATGAAGGTTCATTTTCTTCGCAGCATTCACTGCAGTGGAAACTCTTTATTTGCAGATGATTTGCTCATCTTCTGCTTCTGCCACTGAAGTGTAAGCCCTGTGAAGTCAGGGACTGTGTCTGATTCAATCGATACACTCAATAAGTACTTGTTGAATGAAATATATGAGTATGTAAGACTTGTGTATCCTACATACATAATTTCCAAAATTAACTGGAAACTCAGTATCCTTCCATTATAACAATAAAACTTATTTAGTCCTCATTACTGGGCTTTGAGGGAAGGAATGGGGAAAGAGATAGGAAAACAAACATTCAGTGATCTAGCAATATACATTTTCTTTTTTGAGACAGGGTCTCACTCTGTCACCCAGGCTGGAATGCAGTGGCATGACCTTAGCTCACAGCAGCTGCCAACTCCTGGGCTCAAGTGATCCTCCTGCCTCTGCCTCCTGAGTAGCTGCAACCATGGGCATAAGCCACCACACCTGGGGTCTCTTTGTTGCCTGGGCTGGTCTCAAGCAATCCTTCCACCTCAGCCTCCCAAAGTGCTGGGATTATAGGCATGAGCTACTGCGCCCAGCCCAGTAATACATTTTTCTGAAGGAGAAATCTCAATCTCAATCTCTCTCTCTCTCTCTCTCTCTCTCTCTCTCTCTCTCACATACACACACACCCCTTTTTGCTCTGTGATCTTTGTACAATAATGGTACAAAACTAATGTAGCAAGTGACAACTGGAAACCATGGCAAAGATGGGAGTAGGAATGGTGGGAAAAAGTCAAGTCAGATCTAAAACATGTGTGGGAGAAAGAATCTCCAGTACCTGCTGAGGACCCACAGTCCCACAGCACAGCACAGCCCAGGTTCCCTAGGGCCCACAGTCACTTTGTGAACCTACCATTAGCGAGCCAGACCCCACTCTGAACTTACTGCATCAACAGAACCAGTGCTTCTCTTGCGTGCTTTGGATGTAACGCAATCAATTAATAAGGACCACATTTAGCCTTACAGGGACTCTTATTGTTTGTAACAAGACTGCTGTCAGGAACTAGTGGCAGGCAAGTGGGAAGACTGCTTCTGCGCAGTCCAAGGAGAACACAGCATCTTTGAATGGTGGGGAATCAGACCACATTTGTACTGCTTGTTTCCTACTGGCATTTGTGGACTGGGTGCCATTAACTGTGTCACATAGAAAAACAATGTCCTTTATCCCATTATTTTACATTCTATTTGGGATTTTCTCAGAGAAGTTTGTTTTTTAAAAATGTACTTTAATCAACCAATTTAATTTTTTTAAAAACTAGAACCCCATTGCACAATGTGGCTCTCAATTCCACTGACAATTTTTTTTTAAGTATTGGGTTGACCAAGTGATAGAACACAGCCAGCAAGCATCTGGGATCCAGCAAAACACCCAGATCACATATCCACAAAACACAGTCATTCAAAAACCCAAGTAGAACTTCAAGGCACATGTAGATGACTAGTGAGGTCAGGGAAGGAAATGATAAAAGCCAAAGCAGACAAGAATGGGAAGACACAAGCATGTGGATTCATAGGGAATAGACAGTCCACTTGGAATTGGCAACAAAGATGAAGAAGGCACAGGTACCCACAAGTTACACACAGGGTGGTAGTCAAAAGGCAAGCCTGGCAGGCCATCACTGGAAGAACTACAGTAACTGCCAACAGGCAGGAAATGCATGGAAACAGAAACCTGAATTCTGAGGGAGAAGTCTCCATAAACATGGTGGAGATAGGTGTTCAAGGGGATCACAGCAAGTGAGATTCCCATAAGAGAGAGCTTAAGCTGGGAGAAGCCACCACAGAAGCACAGAAGGCTTCCACTTTCCCAGCTTCCTAAAATATGACTGTTCTTTACTATAGCACTGTCAGTCACTGTACACAACCTCCTAAAAGCAGATGATGCAATAATAGGACTGTTCCATGGCAGCACATGACACAGTTGTATTCCAGTGACCATGAAGAAAGTGGTAAAGCCAAAAACTGGGAGGAAGGAGAGCTCCTGAGAGGTCAGCGTGGCTGATCAGGGAAGGCTGACAGCAGGAAGAGGGGAGATGCTCCTAAGAACAGTTTGAACACACCGATGCATAAACAAACCTCCCTTCCTGTTAGTATCTGACACACGGTAGGGAAACAAAGGGTTATTCAATACATGTTGTTGAATGTATGAAAAAGCTGAAGTTGGACCTCTGCCTCATACTATTTGCCAAAATAATTTCCAGATAGATAAAACATTTAAATGTGACAAAATGTAGCTACAGAAGTACTAGAAGAAACCAGGAGAAAAAAGGCTTTCTTCAGTAGGAACACAAAATCATGAAAATAGAAAAGATTTACTCATGAAATTGAATGTTTCTACATGGTAAACACACAATAAATGAAGTAAAAAAGAACAATGAGAAAAGTGATTGCTACTCTTATCACAGTTTATAAAGAACTTCAATAATACAATGAGAAAAAACAACTCAATGACCCTCATATGAGGCATCTAAAATGGTCAAAGATATAGAAGTAGACAATAGAATGATGGTTACCAGGGGATTGAGGAAAGAGGGATATAAGGAGTTATTATCTGATGAGTATAAAGCTACAATTATAGAAGTTCCAGAGCTCTCCTACATAACATAGTGCCTATAGTTAATAATAACATATTGACCACTTAAACATTGTTAAGAGGGTAGATCTCATGTTAAGTATTCTTACTACACACACACAAAAGGTTATGTCCTTTATCCATCCCTTATTATCCATTATTACTCCCTAACAAGATGTTGTTACTTATATCTGGGTTTATAATCTTACAGGAAGTAGGAAGAACTCTGCTGGGACAACTATGAGAAAGACAATTCCCAAGATCTTCTAAGGGCTCTTGACATTAATCTGAAAAACAGCCATGTCAGTGTCATTTATAGTAAACAATGGCATTATTACAAGTGGAAAAGAGAACAGAATGCATGGTTAAAGTGCATATGATCCTTTGGGTTTCAGCACAGCATGTCCACAGAGAAATCCTCTCTGGCGTCCTAAGTATGGGCCTGAGGTTCCTACAACCTCTTCCCACTGAGCACTCACAGTGCAGGATAGGCTTACTCTAGGTGGCCTCTCTAGTCCCAGAACAAGGACTGTCTTAGGGTACCTTCAGTCCCAGGGCTTGGGCGTACTGTTTCCTCACATTGACAAGGCAAGCCTCCAGCCGCCATTGATGAGAAAGTCCACAAGATGGAGATGTCACTACAGGGAAGGGAAGAGGATGGGCCCGGCCTTTCCCAAAGCCTCACAACCACATATGCGCTTGAGGTGTGGTTGTTTGCTTGTTTGTTTCATTTGAATACTTGAACACAAATAGTTCAAATATTCCTGTAGTTTTATTTTCTTTCACAAAGAAAACATTTAGAAATTATCTGCTCAAAAAGTACATTTTCAAAAAGTGAAGTGTTTTAAAAGTCTGCTTTCATTAAACAGTTGCATCTTGTATTCCTGAGGGCCTTTGCAGATAGTTCTGGTTTTCTCGTTTTGTTTTGTTTTCTCTTAAGTTCCAAACTTCATGAAAATATTACTCTATTTCTAAAAGAGAGCCCTATTAACAAAGCTATAATAGGAGATATGGAGATGGATTCATTTTAATATCCTTGACTTAATTTTCCATATTGTTTCTTCAGCACTTCCTTCCTATGTCAATTTATCATTCCAAGTTTTATCAACATCTAACACATGAATATACTTGTTGGGGAAGAAATGGAAAACTCCAAGCTCATGACAATGTCCACTTGCATTTCCAAAGTGGGCCGAGGTGCCTGAAGGGTGTTTTAGTTGGCCTGATTATCCCAGGACTTCAGTGAAGTAGTCTTGTTTCCAAATCAAGGGAATGAAGTTCTAGAACTTCCTAGTATTGTACAGGGCTCAGGCACAATGTTTATTAGTCAGGGGTATGATCACAGAAGACGCGCATCCTCATTGCAGAAATGTAACCATTATTGATAATATAGTTCCTTTTTGGTTTTAATAATATATGTATATATAAAACATACCAACCATAAATCTTACAAATTCTACTAAAGTATATATACCTCAGTAAAAATAATCACACATCTTAATGGGCAAAAAATACTTGCATAGGTGAAATTAGATTATGGGTGATATCCAAAGAATTCAGTTGTCAAATATGACAAAGAAAAAATTCAAACTATATAAAAATGTCTATTATCATAAGTGCAACTGATGTAATATTCTTGGGCGATGGTGCACAAGTATGATTTGGAGTTAGAAGATCCTCTTATTTCTTTTTTTTTTTCCCCCACTTACAAAACATAAGTAAAGTGGTAATACAGCCAGGTCCAGTGGCTTCCTGGTCTTAATAAAACTGCACATCTGATATGTCAAATGATTCATCATATGTTTTTTCAGAGCCACACAAGGTGACAGTGAAAAAGACAAGCAAATGTAAAGGAGGTGATAGACTCTTAGAAGCTACCGTACTCGCTCGTGGATAGAGTGATGGTAAAGAAAACCAAGTTCCTACAGCAACAGCGTACTGTAAGAAGGAAAGGAACTTAGGAGAGTCATCCCACCACTGCTGTTCCCCAGTGACCCCATCCCAATGCCAGGCTCTCTGAGGGATTTAACTCCAGAGCCTTCTTCAAGCCAAGGACTGCTGAGTCCACACCTCCCCAGGGCCTCTGGAACATCTCCCTGGATGTCAGACAGGCTCCTTGGACCACCCATGCCCCATGCTGGAAGTCTCCACCCAATTTGCTTTTCTTCCAGTATCGTCCCAGTTCCTTGTTTCTAACATCCATACACTCGTGCAAGCCTGAACCTCTACTCATTTTGCGTCTCCTCTTACCCTCCAGGCGGCAGCCAACTCTGCCAAACCTGCTGCTCCTGGCAAGTCCCACAGCCAGTGCCATGTTGGGCACGGTCATCTCTCTTGGACTCTGACACTGCCTCGCGGCAGCCCTTGTTCCTGCAGCCTCACCCCAGTGGCTTGTTCTATGCTACTAACAAATTAGAATTGGTTGCCTCCTGCCTCCTGTCTCCTGTTTCCAAACTTGAACAGCTCCAGTGGTCTCAGGATAAAGTCCAGCCTCTTCCCCAGGATGTTCAAGGCACTCTGGGATCCAAGTCTTTTTTGTTTTTGTTTTGTTTTTGAGACAGAGTCTCACGGTCACCCAGGCTGGAGTGCAATGGCACAATCTCGGCTCACTGCAACTTCCACCTCCCAGGTTCAAGTGATTCTCCTGCCTCAGCCTCCTGAGTAGCTGGGATAACAGGCGTGCACCACCACACTCGGCTAAGTTTTGTATTTTTAGTAGAGACGGGGGTTCACCATGTTGGTTGGGCTGGTCTCAAACTCCTGACCTCGTGATCTGCCCACCTCGGCCTCCCAAAGTGTTGGGATTACAGGTGTGAGCCACCGCGCCCAGGCTCTGGGATCCAATTCTACCATTCCTGGTTTAACTGCCCACCCTCCTTATCCCCAGGGGCACTTCAGCCAGTCCAGGCAGAGAAGGAGACACAGACAGGAGTCCTTCAGGATCCTGGATCTTCTAGCCCAAACCTGGACCTGGGATTCCAGTGGCAGAAAAGCGGGCAGAGGTTGGGGCTTCCCTTTCAGAACCTGGGAAGAACATCCAAGCCCAGGGCTTTGGTAATCTTGTGGGCCACATGGACCCCTGTCTGTATAACTTTATAACTTCACAGACCTCCAAAGTGTTCCCAAGCAGTGAGCAGCTAAGTCACCCCATCCTTCCATCAGTGTTTACTGTGGCTCTACTATTGCCAGGCCCCAGGCACTGTAGGGAACACACCAATGAACAGAGCCTGGTTCTAGTCCCTGAGGAGCTGGCAGCTTGGCAGGTGCAAGATGTGCAACGTCGTATCAGTCTGACTCCAATATTACTCACTTTGGCCCCAAATCTTACATCCCATTTGACAAGGGTCATCTGTATGGTGACCTTTTCAGGACTACAGGTAACTTCAGCTAATCCCAACAGGAGGTGCCCTAGGGTAAAGGACAGAACTACAGACAGGTAATGGTGTCTTCGGGGTAATCAAATGGTTACCTTATTATCAAGACCTAACTTAGCCCAAGTGTGCTCAGCCCAGGACCACACTGGACTGTGGAATCTGAGAGCTTGACACCGTAGGATCTACATGCCATCTTAGAAGTTAACAGTGACATGTGACTAGGCAAACCCCACTGGACCTCCCTTCCTCCCAGGGCTTAAGGTCTTGCCTGCTCTCAACCCAACCAAACCTCCAATCACCAGCAGCACTCGGCAAAACATACTTCAGAATACACATAGAAGAGGATCTAAATGTGGAACGCAGGTTGCTTTAAATTTGGGATTTGAGGTAAGTGATCTCTGATGTCGCTCATGTCTAGATTCCTGATGAATGAGGAGCTGCTGGAAGTTACATGCTATCATCTCCTACACTAACAGCTTCCACCAGATACACATGGTGGGCTTCACACAGCACTCCCGAGTGGACTTTTGTTTGCTCATCAAAATCACCCTCTAAGGTATGGGTTGGTGTAATTGGCATTTACCCTCAGGGTTAAATAACTTCCAAGTGAGTGAGCTGGAATCCTAACCAGTCTTCTCTAACTCAGCACTCTTGCCATGTGAGGGTAACTTTCTAACTGTTCTAAAATTACAGGTCTTACCTTTCCCTTGTAAACACATCCTTGGGCAATCATTTGCTTCTGGGAGTCATAATCAGTTAATTTCTGGTGGTCTAATACTCTTGCCAAGTTAAATTCCTTCCATGTACCCATACAATTCTTTTCTCTTCTGGTAGGTCCTGGATTAATTATACAGCACCTTAATGGGCCCACTACTTTCTGATTTACACAGATTTAATCATTCAATGGTGAAAACTGATGTGTATATAACAAATTGCAGAGCTTACGTAAAATCTAGAACAGTTTTTAAGGAATGAATCAAAACATTCACACAAATATTTTAGAAGACATTTTTATACTTTCTATGGAAAGTGTGTAGGGGGATGAGACGCTAATATTAAAATATCACCTCTAATAAAATATTTGCTTAGTAAATAGTGTGAAAGAAAGAGAAAATATTCCTGGCTTCGGACAATGTTCTGTAAAGGAAAATACTTCATGTTATGTCTTTTATTTATATTTTTCCTTTAACCACACTTAACCAAATTGATTCCCCTCACTTGAGGACTGTGAAGCTATCAGCGTGCTTGTCGAACTCACCTTTCCAACCTGGCCTCCTGTGGGGGTGAGACGGATGATGTGGGGGTGGTGGGCACACTGGATCCAGATGAGGGTCTTGAGGAGTGATAAGAGTTATTGCCAAAATTGCTGTATCTAAGAAGTGCAGAGGTTTAAGTTGGGGGGAAAAGGATAGAGAAATAAGTACAAGTCAGTAAATAAGACTTAGCAAACCATTTTAATTTTTGCAAGAGAAACAGGTCTGGAAATGCTACCACTGTTAGTGGTAATTCTACCTAAAGAGGTTTGTTCCCTGTTTTTTTCTGATAATTTCTCATAAGAGGAGTTTCCCAAAGTCTAAAACCATTAGGCAGCAAGATTTATGACAAAGGGTTTAAATAAAACCCTAACATTTCCTGTTTTTTAAAATGTACGTTAAAATTATTTGCTAACATAAATTAAAAATCCAAATCAATTTCACTTGAACCATGAAGATTTTTCTTGCCTCACATGGTGGCACAATTAGTGTTAATTCCATCACAGGTCTGTAAGAAATACCATATGGTTGGCTAAAGAAACATCTTATTTAAAATTCCACTTTAGTATTTCCATATCAATTTCACTGATTAAATGTAATCCCATCACATGTTCAGTGATTGAGGAGAAACTGTCCCCAGGCTTTCTGGACTGGCCTGCTCCTTAGAGGTGCATGTATTCATGTTTTCATCCAACATTTCCCCTGAACCAAAATTACAGCCATGAGGTTTACATGAGATTTGATGATTTTCCAGACATGTCTGACAAGTTAAATTTCAAGATCTGTAAAATTCTAGATTTCTGTTTTTCAGACTAGACGTCCTTTAGCAGACCATATTTAGGTATCATCACTCAGAGCACTCCCAGAAAACAAATCATTATTTGATGCCCTTGCATGGGCTCAGACACTCAGGATTACTTACAAATAATGAGGCTCAGAGAGCTTTGCCTCGCAAATCTACCCAGCCACAGAGCAGGACCCACCCCGTCCACCGAACTGGTTAGGGACACTGTATTAGAATGTGTGGGACCCCAACAGTCACTATAAGGACACAAAGAGCTTCTTGCACATGGAGAATCCAGTCCAAACGCCCATCAACAGAAATTGGAATCCCTTCTGGAAAGCAAACTGATTTCAAAATGAGTGTATCCTTCGACAGAGTAAGTCAACTTTTGGGAAGATAACATAAGGAAATAACCTTATAGTTATTTATATACTGAAAATGTCATACAGGAAGATACTTATTGGAGCATTATTTATCTTTTTTCTTTTTCTTTCCAGAAAGCTCCTGCAAATAGTGGAACATTATTTAGATCATGGTAGAAAACTAAAAACTACTTAACCAGGTAGAAATGTGGAAATGGCTACGAAAGTATGATATATTATTTGTCAATGGACTATTATGCAACCCTTAAAAATGATTACCAATTTTATAAGTGACAACACGAAAAATGATAATATAGGCTAAATGAAAACATCAGGATATAATATACACAGTTTGATCACAACTGTGCAAAAATATACTCAAAAGTCAAAAACTAAGTGTAGGAAAAACTATAAAAATGGGCTATTTTTTAAAAAAGAATAGAGAGATGAAATTTCAGTTTTCAATAAGAAATTTCATTATTATAATGGAAAATAAAATATTGATACGACCCGCATCTATCCTGTGCTGCTAATTCTGGTCAGTTTGGCTGTTGCTGTCCTTATTTATTTAGTGTCACATGGCTGGCATATTCTCAGTGCCAGACAGAGAGAGGCTCAGAGCATACCACTCTATTCCATTATCCTCTGTGAACACATCATCTTTGTGGGACTTGGTTTCTGAGTACTCATTTTCTCTTTAAAAACCCAACACTCTACATGTCAAACAGGTTAATTGCTTCTCCAAGTGAGTGTTGGTTTAATTTTTCAACAGGGTTCCCAAACCACAGGCCACATAGGAAGCACAAAAGCAAAGGATGAAAGGAACCTACAAAGGCAGAAATAGAGAAGGGAGAGAAAGCCAATGAGCAAAGAGGGAAAGAAACCAGGCAGCAAGCACTGCAATGAGGGAGGGGAAGGAGGCTGCCCCGCACGACACCTAGCACTCTCCGTGACGAGACCCTGATGCAGCCTGATCCACACAGGCTCCATGCCTGTGTCAGCAGCTGCCTGGATGCTCAGCTTGTCATCCTACTCCAGCAGCTAAAACAATTCCCTTCCCACCACAAGTGGACATCCTGCAGAATGTTTTAACAGGATCACTTTGCTAAAATTGTGTTTAAATGACGCTATGGAAATAAAACAAGCAGAATGTGTTTTTCCCTCCTTTGGTTTTCCTAATGTCTAAGCAATTAATTCAAATGCCTCATAGTCTAATTTTGCTTCTCAATTTCAGCCAAACTAACTAGATCATACAACTCACTATTCAGCATTTTTGTGTGTGTGTGTGTGTGTGTGTGTGTGGAGGGTGAGGGTTCTTTTTAATGACTAACTGGTCGGTCTTTATTATAACCCATTCAATCGCAGTCAACCACTGAGTAGTCCATCTGTGGTCACACAGACCCATGAAAACCACAAAAAGTGAACATCAGAAAAATCAATAGGAACAATACTTGTACAGTATCCAAGTTCCTGCTGGAGAAGTGATTTTAAAAGTTTACAAACTTTGCTCAGTTAAATCAAAGTCAACCTTCATTCACAAGCAAGCAGCTTTTTTTTTCCCCCACAACTTACGTGTATCTTCAACTGGACAGCTTATGTGTTTCTATTGCTCCCACCCCCACGACTATAAATAGCGGTGAAGCTTGCAGACCAAACGGGAAGGGTCTGGGGCCCAGGAAAGCCCCAACTAGGGCCGAGACCATCACCAGAAAGACCAGCATCACCACCGTGGGCTAACACACTCTCTGGGAAAGATGAGATCACCAACATATTTTTGTTCCAGTCAAATGTTCAGCTCCTAACTTGCACATAGATATTGTTCTTGGAAGGTGTAAGAGTCATGTTGGATTCATTCCGCAAAAACTGTGTGAAAGATAACAACAATCCTGGAACTGTAGACCTGGAAGAGACCTGCAGAGAACTTGTAGTTTCAAGGAATTCAAATTTGGTTCACTGGGATAGTATGATTGGGGTACAAAAAAAAAAAAAAAAAAGAAGGAAAAAAAAAGAAGCTCAGTTCACAACTCCTGGAGGTATACAAAGCCATTCTGGAAATCAGAGGAAATTAATTTTCAGATCCTGAAGTTCCATATCTGCTCTTTTTAAAAATGGATCTTCCCATGCTGCTCCTAGGGTCTCCCAGTCCTTTCCAGCTTCTCCTTCCAAAATCACCTTCCATTTTTAGAAAGAAAAAAAACTCTTGAGCAGGTGGAATCAGTGTGGGGCACTGCTTTGTGCTATAAGATCTCCATGGTACCAAGCAAAGGAAAATATCACTCCTGAGGGAATTCCTTAAGAAGTATGCTGGAGGGAGAAGACGGAGCTTTATTTATCCAGGGAAAAACTAGAAGCAAGGTCTCATGCCTCATCTCTGTCTACGTGCCCACCTGAGAATCAGCCCCAAAAATGAGACTGTTGTCAGGGATGCGTATGAGCTCGCTTATTTGAACTGAAACATGAAATCAGGCTTCTTCTGACAGAAGTTAAGTCTCATTTGACTAAGGACTGGCTTTGCCAAGTAGGTATACATAGGTGTTTTCCAGAATTAAATCAGTTAAATCTAAAGCCCCAAGGTTTTGAAAAAAATATAAAGCATATATACAATAGACAAATTATATCAACAATTTAAACTTATAGTAAAAAAAACTGTAGACAGGCTTCTCAAAACTTGGAGGGAAACTTCAAAATTCCTTCAGATATAGTAAGCAAAAATTGTTAACGATCATAGATCTAGATTAGCCCTCCTATTTATTAGGTGAAAGGTCTGATACCCATAAAGACTGGTCATTTTCATGGTATGAAGGAGCTTCCTTCAAGGTTCAGGTCCTATAAGCCTTCATTTAAAACATGGTGCAGCTTCCTGTTGAGTAGGGCACCCAGACTGGGGTCCCCGAAACACAGGCTCTGGCAAAACATCTTGCTGACAAGGACTTGCCTTGGCAGGGTGTGGTGAGTGCAGTAAGGAGAGAAAGTGACTGACTGCCTAAATGACAGACAGCAGCACCACGTACGGGTTAGGAAGCGACTCTGGAACAGGCTGCCTGGGGTTGAAACCGCCTCGCAACATACTAGCTGAGTGACTCTGGTCAAGGTACTTAGCCTTTCTGTGCCTCAGTTTCCTCAGTGTAGTAAATGCTTGTAATAGAACCTACCTCTCAAGGGTAAAGTAATAAAGTACTAATTTCATGGAAAATACAGGATGTGGCTCAAAAACAATGCTCAATAAATGTCAGCTATTATAATTAATCTAAGATGAAATGGTCATTAGAATGATCAACTATTGATTTTTGGACGACTGATTGTTCAAAATATGCCAACTCTATTCCCAGTTCCCCACTCCAGCAGAGAGCTCATAACGCAGGCAACAGGGAAAGGCATTAATACAGGTGGACACCTGTTGAACATTCTTGGGGGAGTTCTGATTTGCACACCTCCCTCTGCCCTCATCTCCATTTTTTATAAGATTTAAGTGTTCATAGTAAAATACGTAATTAATACCTATGAAGTGGTTCAAACTGTAATTGTGTGTCACGTTGTAGGAAGATATTAGCATTCTTTGAAAAGAAAAATGCATACATTAGAATATAAAACAGAAAGCTACAGAAAAGGGAAAGAAAATAAAGACACCCACCTATTAGAAGAGAAAGATCGGAAGTGGTAAGGCTCAGAGGCAGAATATGTGCTCAAAGAGAAAGAATCAGAGGAACTGTCAAAGGAAGAAAAGCCCGCTCACAATGTGGCACGGAAAGATAGCAAAGGACTTTGATACATTCTTCAGCGTCAAAAAGACTTCATGCCACCTGGCTTGGTACAAGATGTATAAATTTGGACACATTATACACATGTAAACCTTACATTTAAAAACCCATTACTAGTAATCATATTTTAACAAATGATCCCCTTAATTCAAACAGATGACAATTTTCTCTGCATCTTATGTAAACACTGGTCATTATTTAGTCAGGGGTCAGCAACTTAAGTTTATGCCACAACTGCTCCCTGCTTGGGCTGAAATCCACAAAAAAACATGGCAGAAGCCAAGCCAAGGGGTGCAGTTAACACACTGTGTTCTCCTCCCCGAGTTAATCTCAAACAAGCCTCCAGGTGAGCAAATCTACCTGTTTTCCTTCTGGGACTCTGCTTCCTTCTCCTTGGTGGACAGGGAGGAGTCCTCAAAGTCATAGGAGAAGAGGTGGAAGGGGCTGTGGGGCACGTAGGGCAGCTTGTCTATGGTCGGTGACACCTTCAGGGAGCCTGGTGTGGCGGAGGAGGGCCGAGCAGCTGAGGCAGGGGGTGACAGGAGGGCAGATGGGGTGGCCTCAGACCCAGAGGACCCACTGTGCCAGGTGGTCCCGCCTGCAGTGCCAACCAGAAGCGGCTTTCCCTGCGAGCTGGCATTCGAGACAGCAGGGAGGGCAGAGCTCTTGGGAGCAGCATCCCTTCCAGTGGGGCTCTGCCCTGAGGCAGCGCCGACCTTGCTGTTGGGCCAGCAGGGAGGAGGAGGAAGAAGAAAAAAAGATTTGGGAGAGAAGGAGCAAAGGTTAGGAAAAAGAGAGACAGGCAAAAAGCCACTTCTGTACTATTATCACTCACTTCAAAGTCAAGCTGTGTTTCTTGAACTGAAGCATAAAAGCCTGTCACCAGCAGCTTTGGTTTGCCCAAGCAATCCTGACATGCTGAGTTTGTCAAACCAGGAGGTAAGACTTATAGAGGGCAAGGAGGTGGCTCTCAGGCCAAACCTGGCCTCTAGGTGTAAGAGACTTTGGGAATTTACTGGAGCCCCAAAGACTCTTCTGCACCCGGCACCTCCCATGTTTCTCCCTGCTGCTGGTGTTGGCATCTGAATTTCCACGACTGGAACTTCATCTCTGTCTTGGTCAAATAGCAGATCTGTCCTCCTGCTAAAAAGCCCAACCTTGAGGAAGAGGTATCCCACAAAGCCATACACTTTAGTGACTGCTTCCAGAACCTTTTGTGACAGCAGGTATGGCTAAGAGAAAAGGAGAAAAAATGCCAGCGAGGAAGGCAAAGAGCTAAAAAGAGGGGCCAGGACAAAAAAGACAAATTTTGCCCGTTTCATACTTTCTCCAGGGCCTCCCACTACACCTGTGACATTCAGACGCCTTCAGACAGGCCTGATTCTGCCTCCAGGTATAAAATCCTGACCTCAGTCCCTCCACACACAGTAACTATGGGAGGTGATAGACATGTTCATTGATTGTGGTCATCATTATGCAATGTATACATATATCAAATCATCACTTTGTAAACCTTAAATATATACATTTTTTTTTTTTGAGCAGAGTTTTTTGAACAGAGTTTTGCTCTTGTTGCCCCCAGTGATCTTGGCTCACGGCAACCTTTGCCTCCCAGGTTCAAGCAACCCTTCTGCCTCAGCCTCCCAAGTAGCTGGGATTACAGGCATGCGATACCACACCTGGCTAATTTTGTATTTTTAGTAGAGATGAGGTTTCACCATGTTGGTCAAGCTGGACTCGAACTCCTGACCTTAAGTGATCCACCTGCCTTGGATTCCCAAAGTGCTGGGATTACAGGCGTGAGCCACCATGCCTGGCATTATATATAATTTTTAATTTGTCCATTAAATATTATAAAACTATAAAAAGAGCTTTCCATCTTCAGGGGGCTGGGTTTAGACCCTTGGATATTTTAACACATACATTTATAACCTGGGAATCTATGTTAAACTTTGCATTTTTCCAGTCCTCTCTCAGAGAAATTGACTCCCAGCCATGTTCGTGTGAACATGGAATGTGAGCTGTCTTCTTTCCCGCCTCAAATTCAGAGCTCTGCTTGTACATAAGGGCAGGCACCCAACAGTTTCCCTGGATTGATGGGAAGATGGACATGCTGTAGCGAGCTGAGGGCAGTGCCTCAGGCGGGGAGCACACACTAAGCAGAAGTCAGCAGGAAGCAGGGCAGCAGAGACACCAACCCAACAGAAGGAAGGGGAAATCCTTTACGGTCTCAGAAGTTTACGCCAGAGAACAAATAACATCCAGATGAAGGTTAATGAATACCTAGGTACTACCAAGATCAAGCTCTGTTATTTAACATACACATGTTTATTTCCTAAAACTGAAAAGCCTAATGGTCTCTGGTAAAGGATGCCCTCTGGCATCACTTTGTGGAGTCAGAGACTCTTCCAGGCATAAGATAAACAATCATCTACCTGTATAATAAAAATCCTAGGTAGAGACAGCACACCATTAACAGGGATGCCTTTGAAGGCCGCCTTTTCCAGCCAGATTCTTCCATCTGGTCTGAAGGTGCAGAAGCATGTGCATACCTGAGGGTTTAAGGGTTTGTGCAGGTGGGCAGAACATGCACCTTTCAGCAGATAGGGAGGCATATCCCTGTTTCAGTGATAGCCTACAGAATTTCCTACAGCTCATTTTCAACTGAAGGTGGGATGGCGACCAAACATCCTCCCTTCCCAGAGCACCTCTAAGTAATCAATCACTAGCTCTAAGCACGGCAGGGTCTCTGTTTCATGCTGATCTTTCCTGAAATGTGTGGCTAATTCTCTATCATCAGCTCATTCCTTTTCTCTCCACATCCTGCTGGCTTCTTCTCAGTCATTTCCAAATAGGGGCAAGCAATCATTAGTTTGTCAGTTCAGAGAAGATTCTATGACCCCCGGGCATGGCAGGAGTCTGTGTGTCAAATGAGCCCATCTGAGAACTTCTGTGTGCACTGCTAGCCTGGCAGATGAGGCATCAGTAGCAAAGACTCCATTAAATCTAAAGTTGGCAAAGATTTTACTTGGATTCATCCAAGATCCATTTGATTTTGCTTATTTGTAGGAAAAAAAAAAAAGTAAAAATGTCCATTTGCAGTGGCAATCAATTAAGTGAAGAAAACCATTCAATTTTAGAATTATTTCTGAATACTGGAAAATGAAACTACCCATGAGCAATTTTTACTGTTTTATACAGACATGATTTGGGGAAAATATCTACAGAATTTTAAAATATCTGCAAGGTGCCCATGTCTGTCAGCGTTGCCTGAGGATAGAAAGAAAGCACCATGCAGAGGAGGTGAGTAGATGACAGCAAACTCCCCAAAGGGCTATAGAGTTATATGTTAGTTGTCTTGGTGTGAAAATAAATACTGGGAAATTTTGCTATGATGCATGGGGTGAAAATTTTCCTGTTTGGATATAAAACAAACCTGAATCATTAATATAGTAGTTATCCACACATTTTAGCTAATATTGTGCTGGTAAAATCAGGAAGAAAGGAACATATGGAATTCTTCTTACTGCAATGCTGAAAGGGCAAGAATCTTCTTAGGGGAGATGAGCCTTTTTAGTCACCATCAATCTGGTTGAGCTAAAGCATTCAATGAGGGAGGGAAAGGTGAGGAGAAAACCAGTGATTTTTTCCATAAAGTGTGGTTAGGAAGGTAGGATTTCAATAAAAAGTGCAGTTCTCTAATGAAAACATGCTCAGGTATTTCTACAAAACCAGTGGTTCTGTGGCTCTGTGAACAGGGTAAGTAAGAGTTTGCAAGTGGGAGTCAATGAGGAAGGGAGGTGGCCACTAGAAGGCAGTGAACTATCATTAGGAAGGAGTCTCCCACTTTTAGTGTGAGCTTGGGAGGCTCCAGTCCTAGGTACCTGTCCTTGCCCTGACAGGAAGCATCATCCTCTCTCTCTTCTTCGGAACTGGGCTCCGTGATTGGCTGCTCCTCTTCCTCCTCCTCCTCCCTGAGACAAAGCCAGGAAAAGAGAAATGCACACAGACAACATGGAAAAGTGAGATGAGCATTACAGACAAACAGGAAGATGAAGCAAAAACAACAACAACAACAACAACGAAATAATAATAATTAAAAAAAAAAAACCACCCAGCTGGCTGAAATGAAGAAAAGCACACTCAGTCTGTTAGGAGACAAGAGACAGTTCTGAAATGTGGGACTTTAAACGTCGGGTGGAGATGTAAGAAAGCAGAAAAGGCCAAATTTCTTTGTCAAGCTGGCTAGATGCCACTACCCTGCACCCCCTACATGCAATTCACAGAAGCTTCTGGCCATGGGCAGACCTCCTCTGTGGTTTTTCTCCTCCACACAGAATCATCCAGTAAAGGTTTTTGGTGATGACCAGCTGCTGCAGCAACCAGAGTCCTCACATCTTTACTGCATCCCTCTTGATTAGAAATCACCAAGGGTCAGGCCAATTTGGCATGGACTAACTTCCACGGTGGACCTATGGTTTTGGTATGCCACCCCTTATTCTCAATGAATGGCCACCCCTGATTTTCAATGAGTGTGTTTCAGGGGTGCAGTTCCACTCCCACTTCAAGGGTAGCACATAGTCCAAGTGGGGCCAATTCATATCACACCTGGGGTTTCTCCTGGTACCATCAGGGATGACTCACTATAAGGACACCCTGAGTCCAAGAAAAACATAGTTGAAACTGGGAGAAAAGGAGAGGAAAGCAGTCCCCCCGACCATTTTAATGCCTGTATCCAGCAATTCTGGAGCTCTACCCTAGCCTTTCACTAATGGAAAATAATAAATTCTCGTTGTTGCTTAGGGTGGTTTCAATTGGGTTTTGTCCTTGCAGCTAAGTACAGACTAAAAACTTTAAAAACTGGGACATTCTCTTTCTCTGGTCTCTAAGTCCTGTCAACAACCGACTTATGTGGTCATGGTCCACATGGAACACCTGTTCAATGCCCTGCTGGGCTTCTCAATCCCTTGCCTTGCTGAACTCCAGTGACCTCCACCTTTAGCCCCTCCCACTCTAGACCTCACCATCGTACATAACTAGCCCACCTTGGAAATCTTACATCCAACCTTCCCACCCCTGACCACAAGCCCCCATTCACCCAAATCTCTCATTCCTTTCCTCTCACCCAAATTCTTCACCTCCTAATGCATGTGCATCCTCTACTTTCTCAATGCCCCCAGCATCTTCTTGCTTTCAGTCCTTACGGATCCACCATGTCTCACTCCAGGCATCATCTACCAGGATCTTTAACTCTGTCATCCCACTGTCCTTCAGCTGTTTTTTCCTTTTTAACCAACATATAAAATACATACAGAAAAGTACACAAACCACTGAATTTTCACAAAATAAACACACCTATCTAACCAGCACCCCCTTAATGCTCCTTTCCAATTGCTTCCCTCTCCCACCCCACATCAAATAGTGTAAGTTAGCTTTGCCTGGTTTTATTCTCCATCTAAAAGGAATCATAATCTGCCTAGCTTTTGTTCAACATTACAGCTGTGGGATTCATTGACATAGTTACGTATACTTGAAGATCATTCCTTCTTATTGCTGTATTCCAGTAGTTTACCCATTCTACTTCTGATGACCCTTGGGTACCCTTCAATTTGGGGCTATTTTGAATAGTGCTGTCATAAACAGTGTAGTACATGTCTTCTGGTGAACATATGTATATATTACTGTGTACTATATCTTGGGATGAAATTTTTGGGTCATAAGATATGCTTGGGTTCATCTTTATTAATAACTGCCATTTAAAAAAATGATGGGATGAATTACCATCCCCATAAGTAGTAGATGAGCATTCTGATTGTTTTACATTCTTGCCAAGATCTGATAATTTTGTCTATTTCATTTTAGCCATTGATCTGTGTGTAGTGATGTCTCACTGTGCTTTTAGTTTGCTTTCTCTGATGACTAATGAAGTTGGGCACACTGTCACACTTTTAATGTCCATTTGGATATGCTCTTCTTTGAAGTGTCCAAGTAGTTTTTTGCCCATTAAAAAAATGAATTTTTTTTTGTATTTGAAGAAGTGTGTTTTTGAAGACAAAGTTTTGCTCTTGTTGCCCAGGCTGGAGTGCAGTGGCACGATCTTGGCTCACTGCAACCTCTGCCTCCCGGGTCAAGCGATTCTCCTGCCTCAGCCTCCCAAGTAGCTGGGATTACAGGCACCCACCACCATGCCCAGCTAATTTTTTGTATTATTATTTAGTAGAGACGGGGTTTCATCATGTTGGCCAGGCTGGTCTCAAACTCCCGACCTCAGGTGATCCACCCGCCTTGGCCTCCCAAAGTGCTGGAATTACAGGCATGAGCCACCGCACCCGGCCGAAGAAGTGTTTTTAATATCATTTGCCCTTTGTCATTTATATGTTCTGTAAACATCTTTCCCTTCTCTATTGTCTTTCATTCACTTCATGTCATCTTTTAATAAGCAGAAGTTCTTAATAATGTCCTGTTTACCTTTGATGGCTAATGCCTTTGTGTGTTAATTTTTGTTGTTGTTGTTTACACCAGGTCTTAAAGATAGTCTCTGTGTCCTTCTAAAAGCTTCATTTCACTAACTTTCAGATTTACATTTGTAGAGTCCATCTCTAATTGATTTTTGTTATCATGTAAGATAGGGGTCAGATACATTTTTTTCCCTACATCGATACGCAATTGGCCCAGAACCATTTAGTAAAGGGCCTTCTCTCCACTTCAGTATCTTGTTCACAAATCAGGTTAATATACATTAAGATATATATTTGTAGATTTCTGGACTTTTTCTCACAAGTCAACTTGTTTTTTGCTGTACTATTGATAGGGATTATGTTGAATTTATATGCAAATTTGAAGAACTGACATCTTTGCTATGTTTTTTAATCTATGGTTGTGATATATATAGCCTTTATTTAGACCTAATCTTACTGCTATCTTAATTTCTCTTAATAGTGTTTAAATTTTCACAGAGGTCTTAGATATCTTTATTTTTAGGTATAAATTTGGATGCTACTGTACATATTATTGAACTCAATTTTATTTTCTATTTGTTGATAGTATATAGAAATAAACTTTTTGTAAATTTTGCTTGTATCCAGCAATTTTTCTAAATTTATTATACTGTTTCTAGAGCTTCTTTTAGACTTCCTCTGTAGACAATCGTTTCATCACTAAATAATGATGGCTTTACCTACTTCTTTCCAATTCATCTGCCTTTCCTTTTCCTTGCCCTAGTCCACTTGCTAGGACCTCCAACATTATGAAGAAATGGAGACAGTGATGCTTCCTTTTCTTGTTCCAAATCTCAGGGAAAAGTATAAGGTTTGTCATAGATTTTTTTGGTAGATAGCCTTCATTAAAAAATTTCCTTCTAATCCTAGTTTGCTAAAAATCTTTATTATAAACAAGTATTAAAGTTCTGTCAAATGCCTTTCCTGCATTTAAGATAATCATATGATTTTTCCTTTTTTCTGTTAAAGAGCTATGAAGACTGCTTTTTTAAAAAAAATGTTAAGCCAACCTTGCATACCATGAATAAACTTAATAAAGATAATACATTTTGTTGTAATGTATTATCTTTTTATATACAGCTAGATTCTATTTCTTAATTTATTAAGAATTTTTTACCTATTTTGGAAAGAGATTGATCTGTAATTCCCCTTTCTATAATGTGCTTGTCAGATTTTGAAATCAAGGTTATACTGGCCTTATAAAGAGGTAGGTAGAGGGATTGAGAATTATGTAACTAAGAAGGGAGAGATGGATCTGGACTCGGGGTGCCTCTAGCAGAAACAAGGAGAGCAGTGAGATAGCATCCCTCCTGTCATGGCAGAAGCCACAAACAAGCACATCTAAGCCATCCTTCCTTTTTTTTTGAGACAGAGTCTCACTCTGTCACCCAGGCTGAGGTGCAGTGGCACAATCTCACCATCTTGGTTCACTGCAGCCTCTGATTCCTGAGTTCAAGTGATTCTCGTGCCTCAGCCTTCCGAATAGCTGGGACTACAGGCATATGCCACCATGGATGAATATTTTTGTATTTTTAGTAGAGATGAGTTTTTACCATGTTTGCCAGGCTGGTCTTGAACTCCTAACCTCAAGTGATCCACCCACCTCAGCCTCCCAAAGCCACCATGCCCGGACTCAGCCATCCTTCTGAGCTTGGCATAGTATACCCTCATACACACCACCCCCTACCAGCCTCAGTCTTCTTTTCCTCCATGTGCTCCCACAGCTGCCAAACTATACCTACAAGCTCCATCATGAGGCCACCTTCCCTCAGCTTGATCAGGAGTTTGCAGGTGTTATTACTTCTGGTCCACACAAAATGCCCTCCACCTTGCCAACCGATGGGCCTCTCCTCTTTAAAACAAAACACTGAGCCCCTCCCTCCAAAATTCCTTGATTCCATTTACTCTCCCAGGTAGAGCTGGAGAGGTTCTGGAGCCAGACTGCCTGGGTCTGGTCTTCAGAGTCACCACTTTTGAGCCCTGTGACCTTGGACCCCACTTTACTCATCCCTACATGGGGCACTAACAGTACCTATCCCCTAGGAGGAATGCATTAATATGTAAAAGCACTTTGTCTTTTTGATCCAACTCTTTTCCAAATGGCTGTCTCACAGATATTTAAAGACAGCTATCTGAACCTACATCCCAAGCTGTCTTCTCTTTGGGCTCAACATCCTCAGATCCCACAATAAATCTTCATATGATGTATGTGTTGTAGCTTTGCTATCATAAGTGGCAGGGCAGAACCAAGGGCAGACAGCACAATGACCCACTTGGAGGGCCTACGTCCAGGATGCCCTATGACCAGATCACTGGCCTTGCCTATAATGCAAAGGGGTGGAGAAGGAAATATCCTCTCCTAGGGCACAGGACTTTCGAGGCTTGATTTTATTTAGTTCCAGTCTATGATAAAATCAGTCAAATGAAATGATTTTTATGCTAATAATATTTAAGACTGAATAATTAATTCTGACAACTTTGCTTTTTCTCAAACTAGATTTTCTTATAAAGCGTAACTTAATTGTGTTTATATTGTGCTAAGGAATTCTGGGTGTTTGGCCTTTGGCTTTCCAATACCTCCACAGGTCTTTTGCTTGTGATTGATAAGGAGTTACTCCAGGGCCCAGGCCTGTTCCAAATCCATTAGGTATCTTCCTTTTCACCGCAAACAGTCCCAGATTTGAGGTCACCGTTTTCAAGTTGGAAAAGCAACCCAGAGGCCTGCAGCCTGACCAGTTCTTTGGGGCGTAGTTTCCAACAAAGCCAATGTAATGCCTCGGATTTGGGTCTCAGGCTAATGGGTCATGTTTCTCGGGCTTCCAAACACCAAAAGGAAAATGAATGTTGCTGAGCTCTTTCAGAAACACGATACAAACATTCAAAATAATGTTAAAGTATGTTCTAAGACCAAAGCAATCAGAATGAGAAAAAGTTGAGCAATACACTGGGAGCAGACATTTGCAATATATCTAACAGACAAACTCAAATCAAGAATATATGAAAATATATTTTAAACTTCAAAAACACAACTATAAAATGAACAAAATACATGAACACAGCCAACAAACTGGTATGAAGAGATATTTTATTCTGATTATCAATCAGGGCACTATGAATTAAGGCCACAGTGAGATACCATTTTCTATCTACTTGGTAAAATTAGAAGTCTAATGATACCAAGTGATGAAAAGAATGCAAGTCAACTAATTCATATATTGTTGATACGAGGATATATAGGTTTAACTGGCAAAATAATTAACACTATCTTGTAAAATTAAACATTAATATCATGACCTAAAAGTTGTATTGCTATACCCTAGGGCAGCGATTCTGCACCAGGGTTATTCTGCCCCCAACCCCAGGGGACATTTGTCAGCATCTGGAGACATTTTTAGTTGTCACAACAGGGGTGGAGGGCAGGGAATGCTATTGGCATCTAGTGGGCTGACACAAGCATGCTGTAAAACATCCCACAATGCACAGAATAGCCCCCACGACAAAGAATTATTCAGTTCAAAACGTCAACAGTGCTGAGGTTGAGAAACCTTCCCTAGGGATACTGAAGCACCAGTGTACTAGGATGAGAGTCCAATAATGTTCTCAGCAGCACTATCTGTAATTGTCAAAAGCTGGAAATGACCCAAATGCCCTCTGAAGGGAAAAAATAGATAAAGATTGTGGTAAATTCCAGGCAGTGAAAATCCATATTGCCAGCTTCACGTGACAATATGGACGACCACCAGAAACATAACGCTGAGTGACCAAAACAAGTCCAAGAAGAACATACATTTTACAACAAAGTGCAGAAAATCAGAATTATATAAACTAATGTGTCATATGTGTGTAATACTTTAAAAAATACGTCCATTGAAGTACAGAAAAAAAAGTAAAAAAAAAATACTGAAAAAAACCCCCACAATAAAACCCCGTAAGACAGTGATAAACACATATTTAAGTATTGGTTACCCAGGCCTAGGGATGGGAGATTGGGAAGCACAGAGATGGAAGTTAGAAGTAACACCTTGCTTTTTAGGTTAGGTCATAGTCTCCTTGATGTTCTATTATATTCGTAAATATTTTATAAAATAAACTAGAAGATAATCATGCAAAGACCAGTGATGACAATGTGTCATGAACAAAGGATTATAATTAACCCAACTCTGTACAATTAGGATTTTTTTAATTTTTTTTTTTTTTTTTTTTTTTTTTTGAGACGGAGTCTCGCTCTTTTGCCCAGGCTGGAGTGCAGCGGCGCTCTCTCGGCTCACCGTAAGCTCCGCCTCCTAGCTGGAACTACAGGCACCCGCCACCACGCCCGGCTAATTTTTTGTATTTTTAGTAGAGACGGGGTTTCACCGTGTTAGCCAGGATGGTCTCGATCTCCTGACCTCGTGATCCACCTGCCTCAGCCTCCCAAAGTGCTGGGATTACAGGCATGAACCACTGCGCCTGGCCTACAATTAGGATTTTTAAAATATGTAACGAAACAATTTTTTTAAACTTTTATTTTAGGTTCAGGGACACATATACATGTCTGTTATATAGGTAAACAACATCACAAGGGTTTGTTGTACATATTTCTTCACCCAGGTACTAAGCCTAATATCTAATAGTTATTTTTTTCTCTTCCTCTCGTTCCTCCCATCCTTTGCCCTCAGGTAGGTCCTAGTATCTGTTGTTCCCCTCTATGTGTCCATGTGTTCTCATCATTTAGCTCCCACGTATAAGTGAGAAGAGGCAGTATTTGGTTTTCTGTTCCTGCATTCGTTTACTAAAAAAGCAGTGTAATTATGGGGCAAGGGCTTTATCTCCCTCTATTTAACAATTTTTTTTTTTTTTTGAGACCGAGTTTCGCTCTGTTGCTCAGTCTGGAGTGCAGTGGCGCAATCTTGGCTCACTGCAACCTCCAACCCCCGGGTTCAAGCGATTCTCCTGCCTCAGCCTCAGTAGCTGGGATAACAGGCATGCACCACCACACCCAGCTAATTTTTATAATTTTAGTAGAGATAGGGTTTCACCATGTTGGCCAGGCTGGTCTCGAACTCCTGACTTCAAGTGATCCACCCATCTCGGCCTCCCAAAGTGCTGGCATTATAGACATGAGCCACCGTGCCCTGCTTAACAAATTTTATTGAGCACTTATGTGCAAAGATGCTGGGGTGCAGTGGCTAAACAAAGTCCCCATCCTTGGATTACAGACCAGTGAGGGAAGAGACACTAAACAACTCACTGTAGCAGGAAGTATTCAACCCATGGGGCCCAAGCTACCCAAAAAGACTCTGCCATGCTGTTGAAGCAAAACTTGGCTGTTTAAAGCCAAAGAGGACCTGAGTAAGGGACAAGATGGAATTTTGTACATGACATTCCCTTGTGCAACATGTCTACTGACCTAGGATCAAGTCTAGTTTGCCTAGCTGACCTCTAATCTCTTATCACCTCTCCAACTTCGTCTTCCACTTTCCCTTCGTGAACCTCCTCACCCTAGCCTTACACAGTCTACTGATATATCAAGCTTCCACCCAACATCAAGGGCATTTCATTCTTGGAGTCCTTGCAAGAGCCATTTTTCCTGACTAGAGTTACTTTTCCTGCTCTGTTTCTCCAGGAGACCCTGCCCAGAGCCCTGGCTCCAAGGGACATCCAATAAGTATTTGCTGCCTGCTGCAGTTCCATGGCCCTGAGGACCTAGCACAGCGTTCGGCACAGAGGCTCTTGCTATGCATGATCCAAGGGCAAGATTGACAATTACTTGGAGATGACCTCAGAGATCTCCCCATGTTGCAGAGAAGAAGGATGGGGTCTGGAGAGGGCAAGACCAAACAGGTTGCCAGTAAGAACTCTGATCTCCTAACATCCAGGCCAGACTCCTTTATAACATGCCAGGCTACCCCATGAAACTTAAAGCAGAATCTAAACTGTTTTCATCACTGCACGGTTCCTTCGAAGCACGGTTCCTGAACCGTGCTTGGCAATCCTTCTTTCACACAGCACAGAGAAAAATAATGCCTCGTATTGGACAAGGCTGCGTACAGCTCCCAGAAGACCAGCCCAGAGCCCAGTCACCCCAGACTTGCCTGCTGTCCTGAAAGCCTGGAGGAGCAGTGCCTTATGACCCATTTGTGGCAACTAGTCAAAAAGCCGTCTTAAGGTTTAGATAAAATGCAGACATTTAAACTGTCCCATTTAGTTCCATAAAATGCATAGGACATATAAGATATTCATAGAAATATTTTGTTACATTTATGGTAAAGAACATGGCCCTCCAGTCTTGGTCTGCAGCCTTCTGTGTTACTGAATCCTTAAATTGCAGTTTGATCTTGGCCTCACAGTGACTCACACTTTCTGTTAACTTTAAGGCTGTTTCTAGGTCACCAAGGGCCCAAGGTAACATTTGAAAACTTCCAATTAGCAATCGTAATCAGTTAAGACAAATATCTGGCCAACTTGAATCAGTGATTTCACTTAAAAGTAGAGTTTTGTTAGCCATCAAGTTTTTTAAAGTTTCTGCAAAAGATTTTACCAGCCAAGAGAATGAAAAGACATCTAACAGAGCCCAGCTGTTGCTCTGATGTTTCCATGGTGAGAACCCAAAGTTAGACAGGAAAGTATTTATTGTCCCTGTAGCATGCAAAGTTTAGGAGGAGTATAAAGTATAGCTCATGGATCCCTAATATACCCAAGAAGCTGGACTATGGGCTAGTACCTTAATACATAAGCCATTATTTTGCTATTTTGTTTTAGAATCAAATAAATATTAAAGGGTCAAGCATATTATTTCTGCTGAAACATGGAGTAATTTAACATAATGGAATTCAAGTCTGCAGAGTACAAACATCAACAGAAAAAAAGCACAATTAGTAACTGGGGTTACAGATTTATTCAGGTGTAAAACAAATGGATCTAGTGATAACTACAGACTATGAGGCTTCTCACCAGTTTTTGTGTATACCTTGACTTTGTGTTTAAAAAAAAAAAAAACACTTTATTCTAAGCCACAGATATTCGTTGCTGGCACGATCTCGGCTCACTGCAAGCTCCGCCTCCCAGGTTCACACCATTCTCCTGCCTCAGCCTCCCGAGTAGCTGGGACTACAGGCGCCCACCACCACGCCCAGCTTTTTTTTTTTTTTGAGATGGAGTCTCGCTCTGTCGCCCAGGCTGGAGTGCAGTGGCACGATCTCCGCTCACTGCAAGCTCTGCCTCCCGGGTTCACGCCATTCTCCTGCCTCAGCCTCCCGAGTAGGTGGGACTACAGGCACCCGCCACCACGCCCGGCTAATTTTTTTTGTATTTTTTAGTAGAGACGGGGTTTCACCATGGTCTTGATCTCCTGACCTCGTGATCCGCCCGCCTTGGCCTCCCAAATTGCTGGGATTACAGAGGTGAGCCACCACACCCTGCCTTTTTTGTATTTTTAGCAGAGACGGGGTTTCACCTGTTAGCCAGGATGGTCTCGATCTCCTGACCTCATGATCCACCCACCTCGGCCTCCCAAAGTGCTGGGATTACAGGCGTGAGCCACCACGCCGGCCAATATTCGTTGCTTTAAATGTCCCTCAGAAGTTGACAGAGCAGAAGTTGACAGAGAAATTAGGATGAAGATAGGCTGCATTTTCCTAAGAACTGTGGAAACAGCAGGAACTAAGCATAGTCCCCTCATGAGATTTCAGGAAGGCAGCCTTCAGAGGCAAAAAACAGCCCTGCTCAGGGTCTTTCTTCAATCTGTCCCAAGACCTTGGTGGATCCAGGTCTTATTTCACCCTTAAAATGAAGGAAAATACACTGGAATGGAAGACTCCAGTTCTGGCTGTTATAACTAAAAAATCCAGTTGTGTGGACATGAGACATGTTTTGTCACTTCCAGAAGTTGTACAATGACTAATCTCATGTGTGTTTTTCACTTATGGGAAGAGACCACCCTCCTAAACCAGGACAAGCTCAAGGCTGTTGAGGGTGGTCTTGGGAGGTCCAGCAATGGGGGTGACTGACACTGTCTCTAATGCATGCCTCAACGCTTCCTGCCTCTCCACACCACTGGCAACCTCCAGCCTAGAGATTCGCATCCTTAAGGCATATTATTTTAAAAGGTGAATGCTCAGGCCCTCCTTTCAGAAACTGCATTCAATTGTTCTGGGGTAGAACCTGAACATGGGTTATTTTAGATGCTTGGCAGGGTTGAGACTACCCTGGTCTAAGTTATCAATGTTTCCCAGTAGCTTGGCATCAATAGCCACGACCTATGTCCCTGCTGCCACTCTCCCTTGCCTCCAATCCGATCCCCACCAAGCAGGCAGGCAGATAGGCAGCTTTTCAAATGTGCACAACTGAGCCTCACATGCTGACTAATAACCGGACTCTGTGCTGTGGTTTCCCAGGCCCTGCAGGA
Source organism: Homo sapiens (assembly GCF_000001405.40). Taxonomy (NCBI): domain Eukaryota; kingdom Metazoa; phylum Chordata; class Mammalia; order Primates; family Hominidae; genus Homo; species Homo sapiens. The sequence goes on along the minus strand of NC_000018.10, from coordinate 36,638,406 downwards.
CCTGGTCTGCTCACTGTGCAACCTCATCTCCACCCTATGCCACCTGTTTCTGGCCACACGCTACAGCCTCACCTCCCAAGATGCCTATTAGATACCCAGATATACCAAGCCCCTTTCTCCCTTTGCCATTGCACATGGCATGCCCTTGGCCTGGGGAGCTCTTCTCTTACTCTTCTCATCCTTTGGGACTCAACCTAAATGCCTGAGGAGGTTTTCTGGACCAGCCCCATCACACTTTTCTCTTTTCTAAAGAGTTTTTGCTATTTTTAATGAATATTTACTTACAGGAATTCATACTCCCTTTGAGAAAGGAAGTATGCTTATACTACTACTGATAACAGTTAAGTCTCCTTTGACCAGAAATAACCACTGTTATACATTTGGTGAATAAACATCTAGATTTTAAAAAAAACATATTATTCTACAATCTTTTTACATAGCAAATGATTTGACAACTACGTTAGCACTTCTGGTATTGGTATTGTGCATTTCTTCTACCTGCTGGTGGCATCCACAACATAAATCATCCAAAAGTAGACGTTTTACTGATCTAGCTAGTCCCCAATTGTTTGCCATGCTGTACCACAGGGATGCAGTAAGGCCTCTCCCTGTCCACATCCTTGTGCACTTCTGGAGGGTCTCCTCAAGGATATATTCTCATATCCCTGTAACCCTCTATCTACCACATGGCCCTGCTGGCTCGCTTCAAAAGCCCTCTTCTAAAGCTACTCATATTTACTTGCTATAATATTTGCACTCTGTCTTATGAAACTGTATGTTTTGTAAGGTTCATGTTCACCACTGTATTCTCAGATCCAAGAACATGGGAGGCACAAGGAAATAGGAGTTGGGGCCTAGTACGGTGCCTCACACCTGTAATCCCAGCACTTTGGGAGGCTGAGGCAGGCGGGTCACGTGAGGTCAAGAGTTCAAGACCAGCCTGGCCAACTTGGTAAAATCCCATCTCTACTAAAAATACAAAAATTAGCTGGATGTGCTCACATGAACTCAGGAGGCGGAGGTTGCAGTGAGCTGAGATTGTGTCACTGCACTCCAGCCTGGGTGACAGAGCAAGACTCTGTCTCAGAAAAACCCCAAAACAAACAAAAACAAAAATGAAATAGGAGTTAGATGAACAAATGAATATGATTTTGTTCCTTTAGTCCCAGAAGACAGTATTCCTGTCTCAACAAAATCAGTAACTGTAATATCAAAGGTCATAAGATGTCACTATTGACTAAGAAGTCTTTTAATGTAAGGCTACTCTGAAATAACACACCTAGTATTGGGGGCTTCTCTTCTAGAGATCTGGTGGCTTGCTCATTTACTTATAGACATGAGCTATCATGGATGTGGACCCAAGTCCATAAATGCAAACAAAAACAAAGGTAGAGTCCAAGGTACTTCATAGTTGTTTTTTCCTGATCTCATGATCAAAATTATTTGACCCTCCATTTGGAAGGCAGTTTTGCAAAGCTTGTTATGAATGAAAAAATATATAGAAAAGAAAAAATAGCTTCTGAAGTCTGGTAATTCAGTATGTGTTTCATACCAGAAGGCCTGCCCACATGCATGCAGTCGTGACATGCCCACCCCCACCATCCCTGCTCTATCCAAGGACCCCTGGGAGACAAATACCTGCACCCCACAGGCCCTGACCAGCCACCTCCTTATGAGGGCTCATCTCTAGTCAGTTTTTAATCTCATGTTTATAAAACCAGAACCACATGGCTGGAAAAAAAAAAAAAAACCTCAGGAATGAAATTATTTATCTGGGGCCATGTGGATATGGTAATTGAGTACTCCTGAAGTGTGATATAATAGTCTCTGGATTCCTCACTGAGCTATCATGTCTTTGGGAAGTATGCTCTCTCGGGACGATCAAAGGCATTTAGGCTACACAGAATCATCCCAAATGTGCCCAGGCTTTCTTTGGCCTCTTCAATGTACATCTTCAGAGTTTCACTTCCCTATTTGTTCAACCTTCATCAATGAAGAGTTACCACCAGGCTGCCTCCACAGGCTCTTATCAAGAAAAAATAATCTCATTTCTCTTTCCATGGCTGCATTTGATCAACCCAGCTTAGTACTCCTTAGATAGCCCCTGCTCCATCTCCAAAGGGATCCTGGGAGTTGCAGAGGGCTATAGAGAGAAATGCTTATTCTCTAGCTGGATGACCCACACCCATGCCTGCGTGGACTGCCAGCAAAAATCGAGCCTTAGAAAGTGCTGTGAACATTCAGAACACAGAGGAGAAGGTGCATCTTACAGGAGATGTGGGGTTTGGACAGGTCAAAGGGAAACTTGGCCCTGAAAGAAAATTCCCAAAGCAAGTAAAAGATTCAACTAGGAACTTGAACCTTTCCATCTGAGGTATGTTCGCTTCCATTCCCATAGTAAACAGCTTGTTTCTTCCAGAGCCCTCATACCACCTAAGTCCACTCTAGCCTGAGAAACAGTCACACTTGATGATAACTGATGTCAAGGTTCATTGACTTGAAATGTGGGTGATGTTCTCAGTTTCTTCATTTCATGAGATGAAAGTTCTGTACATTCTCTTGCTGGTTTTCCCCAGCCAGTTCTCTGCCCATGCAGTTTATTTTTCCTGGGTTAGGGCCTCTAAACTAGAGCTTCAACCATCACCTACAGGTATTGGAGTTCCAGAAGTGCCTATCCAACTGACTATGGGAATTTCCATCTGCCTGACCCATAGATACATCCAGGAGCTTACTGACTGGCCCCAGGTTACTGATTGCCAGAGAATCACCTCAGGCCCCTTTGTCTTTGTCACCATGCAATCCAGTCATTGTCCTACAAACCACAGCCTCCTGCATTCTCAGCACCTCCCTGTACTTTCCCTTCTCTCTTCCCCTGCTTCAGTCAGGCCCCCTCCACTCCTTCCTGGACCAGCGAAAGCCCTGCACCAATCTCTTTGTGCAGCCTGCTCTCCCCCAGTGAGTTCCCCATGCTGTGCCCAGAATGCTCCTGCAGAAACACTACACTGATTTTCACTTAATCATTTGAAATTCATCAGTAGCTCCACTTGGCCTTAAGGATAAAATTTTGCCAATTTCTTCAGAACCTAGAAAGATCCTCAGATTCAATTCAGGGAAGTTCAAACCCACAACAAATTTGCAATCTGGTCACAACGAATATTTGAGAAGCCAATCCCGCCCCAGATACCAGGAGCATTGCAAAGTAACTTCTTCCTCATGTCCCAGTGCCTCTGCCTTTATTCAATACAGTTCCTCCCATTTCCAAGCCCACTCTCCCAGCCTTCCCAGACCTCTTCTCTCCAGGCCACCCTTTGCTATTCAACACTCAGCATGAATCTCTTGGACACTGCTGAATCACTGGCTGTATTCCAATCATACTTTTGTCAGGAGGTCACCACACTTGTCAGTGAATCCCATTTATAACAAGTCACTTACCATCAGATAAATCTTCCCAAGTAGCTACTTGCCACTCATAGTACCAATGGTTGTTAATCTGGTTGTTGTGAAATCCTCTAGCATGTTTATGCGGGTGCACAAAATATTTTCTCCAATTCACGTCCATATTCATTTAACAATTACCTTAACAGAGTAATATCCGTGAATGCTTCAGGGCATGGATTGATGATAATAACAGCACTGGGCAAAGCACATATTTGTGTTAACTCTCCCACCACCGTATTAAGGAGTACAGGTACCATCATCCTGAGTTTACACACAACCACGCCTATGCCCTCCCCCACCTCACCTGCTGCTCCTTCACTGCACACGGCCAGCCTTCCTCCAGGAGCCAGGGCTGAGCAGGTCACCTGAGTTGCAGATTTTGTAGATTAACGTCATATAACACCCCATCTCACAGTATGTCTTTTGCTTGCAAATAGATTGCTCATTGCCAACTGCTTCCAAGAAAGAGATAGGGCTGCTCTACTATTCTGCTATTCTACTGCAGACTCAGGATGAATTCTCTAATCCTGGCAATGAAGTTTTGTGGACAAGGCATGGGAAGCTGTGCTGTCCTAAAACTTAGGCATGTAAACACACCTCCTTCCTGTCAAAACATGGGAAGATGAGCTCACCCCCCAGCACAGTTCCATAAGTAGGCTCCCCGATTTGCCCACTGCTTCCTGTGGCTGGTGGAAAGATGCCAAAACTCTTCTTCACTCCTGCAGGAAAATAGAAAACAACACCCCTCCAATTGCCTCCCTCCAGCTCCCACTCCAAAGGCACAGCCCCAAGGCTTGGCTACCCGCATCCTACCACCTGCTGGGCCACTAATTGGTATGCATCAGTTATGAGCCATCAAAAACTGAGGATGGCTTAGGTCTCTGCTCCTCCACAGCCTCACGATAATTGATAGTTAACTGTGGCTTCCTTTTAACTATGAGTTTCTGTTCTCTATACCTTCCCTTACTCCATCGCCAAGGTAGTGGTTACTTATGACTAACTGGAAAGCCTTGTTCCAGTGTTGCAGCTATTGCTCTGAACATTTTCAGAAGTCCCCTCTATAAAATGTCTTCAGTGCCCATTTATGAGAAAAACAAGCAAATCAGTAAGTATGATTTCAGGATCAAAATCAAACAGTGACTAAAAAACAATACAGCTCACTAAGATTACCAAGTTCCAGTAAAACATTTGCTCTGAGTGATTTTTTGCTTTCTCAACAAATCTAATTCATCCTCAAAAGATATAACATTCTCATTACTGAACACATTCTATAGATTCAGAGAGTACTTTCAGGTATGTTAGGTTCTGAGTGCAGGCTATGGACTCTGACTGCCTGGGTCCCAACCCAGCAGAGCCTCTGTAATCTGGGGACAAGCTCCTTAACCTCTCTGTGTTTCGGTTTCCTCACCTGTAAAATGGGGACGATACTCCTACCTTCTTCATGGAATTTACAATACATGTAAAATTGTTTAGTCCAATAGCCAGTACAAAGTTAATCCTCCATAAATGCTGGTGTTAGAATAGGTAGTTAGGCAGATATGACTAGGGAAGGAGAGTATCCCCCAACTCCAGGAATGTCAGGTGACCATCAAGTGATGGCCTGGCAGTTGTTAAACTGTCTTTTTAAAATAATAATTGGTCATAGCTGGTGCCAGTGAAAGGCGGTCTCCTAAGAGAGAAAAAACACATAAAGCTAGTGATCAGCAGCTTCCCAATAAGATCTGAGAAGTTGGGTGATTGGGCTCAAGCACACGCACTAAGAGGCAAAATGGCAGAGTTTAACTGGTATATGACCTTCCTCTAGGAACACTGGAAGATAAGGGGAAACTGCCTCAAGTGAGCATGCACACAACTTCAGTAAACACAGTGCACACGCAGCCCCTCCCAAGTGCCAGCAGGGCACTGCGCATGCGGACAGCCCACCTAAGGGAAGAATCAGGGTAGAAAAGACACAAACCCTGGAACCACATCAATGTATAAAACCCCAAGTCAAAGGCCAAAGAGTGCATCTGGATCTCTTAAGGCATCTGCTTGGCCCTCTTCCAAGTGTATTTTACTTTCCTTCTTTCCTGCTCTAAAATTTTTTAATAAACTCTCACTCCTGCTCAAAAACTTGTCTTGGTCTGTCTTTTGCCCCTCAGACAAATTCTTTCCTTCAAGGAGGCAAGAATTGAGTTGATGCAGACCCGTATAGATTCGCCACTGCTAACACTGGCTCCATCCCTACCTCTTCCATTGCTTACCTCCTAGACATGGAAGGAAGAAGAGCATAGCATTTTCCCAGGACAACGCAGAGGCTGCAGTTAAAAAGAGGACACACATTGCTGAGCAAGCATGATGCCTAAAAGCCACACGGGACGGGACTCACGAATTGGACACCATAACAAATATATTTAGTGCATGTGATGAGAGGTGTCAGAAATTCAGTTAAAAGACATTTGAAAGACAGAAAAAATGGTCAAAATATTAATATCTAAAATGTGTAAAGAATACTTATATTCTACTTTGAATCTGAAGGTTTTCATATTAAAAATAAAGACTAGTTGTAGGTCAATTAAAATAGGCAAACCATTCAGGAGACAAATGAGCAAAGAATATTTACAGGCAACACTAAGAAAAGGAAATGTTAATAGCTAATGAAGCAATTAAAGTTGTACAGCCTCAGTAGTAATAAAAAAATGCAAATTACAATGCTGAGGCATTTTTCACTTTTCAATACTACAAAAATTATGAAAATCTCCTAACATTCAGTGATGATGTGGGAAAATGGTGAGTCATATGCTGACGGAGAGTAAAACCATACAGCCTTTGTGGAGAGCAATATGGCAATATCAATATTTAAAATGTAAATGTCCATTGTCTCAAATTCTACTTCTAAGAATCTAAGAGTGCTAATGCTCACAAACGTGTATGTGCACCAGTGTGTATGTTCATTACAGCAAGTTTGGTATGAGAAAAAAACTGGAACCAAGCCATAGCAAAATGTATGACAGCATCATGGTATTATGGTATATCTATATATTGGAACATTAGCAATAATTTTTTAATGTACCATTAAGCAATAATTTTTAATGTATTGATATGAAAAATATAGATCCAATAATAAATACAGCAGTGTCCATTTACTAATGGCTTACTAATTGCCAAGTACTCAGCATGTATTTATTTCCACAGAATAACAGAAATAAGGGTTATTTAGGAGAATGGTGAGGACATGGACTCTGGAGCTAGACCACCTAAACTGTAGAACCAGCTCCACCATATATTAGCTGTGGGACCTTGGGCAAGGTGCTTCAACTCCCTGTGCCTCAGCTTCCCCTCCTGTCACACAGCATTAATTACAGTACCTATATCGTGACATAATAGCAAAAATGGAGTTTGTACACTTGCAGTGCTTAGCATACTGCCTGGCAGATGATTAAGTGTTCCGTAAAGGCTAGCTGTTGTTGTGGCTGTTACTGTTATATTCATCTTTGCACTATATGGTACAACTCTCTTCATTTTACATCACACAGTTGGCACCACATCTTTAAATCCTATCATTTTTATTTAAAAACATAAAGAGTTGCTATTTATTCAGTGCCTACTATGAGCCAATGGCCATATATAAATTGGCACATAGCTATTTTGGGAGAGCTGGGTTCTGAACTTGCCCTCCCATGCTTCAATACCTCCACATCCTATGCCCAAGACCACAGTGATTCTAAACACCCCTCTGGTGAGGATTTGTGGAGACTGAGTGCTTCCCACTCCTTAGGAGCGGTAGTCTGTTCTCTGCCAGGTGCAGGCTGAGCTTCCAGTGCTGGTCTCTGCACCCTGCCCCACAACAAACCCCTGCCAGACTTCTCCCTGCAGCTCAAGTGGGCTCTCCACTGCCGCATCAGTACTCCTGGCCTGGAGCCCACCTAAGCATGGTCTCTTTTGCTCCTGGAACCAGCTGAGGCTAGGCCACATCTTCTCTCTGCTGCTCAAGGGTCAAGTATGTCTGTAGGTCAGACTACTGTTCTCCTGACTACAAGCTCAAGGCTTGGCTACAACTCCTGACTCCCACAAGACCCATTTATATATCCTTATCACTTTGCATTTATTAGAATGAGGACTTCTGTGAAACATACATTAGTCAATTTTTCTGTAACCCTAGTGTAACTTACATGGAAAAAAATTAGCAATTCTTATATGTAACTTTTTTCCTTCTTGACCATCAGTTGAAAGTATCGGCAGCCAAGAGGAGAGTTGCCCACTGCTGCTTCTCAATGCAGATTCCTCAGCTCCACTTGAACATTTCTGGTGAGACTGTGCCAGGTTCCTCTTCCTCTGAACAGGTTCGTGAAGCCTGGATGTAGACTGTCACACCTCTCTTATATAATCATTGTTCTCTCTTGCCAACTTGTTTTATGCTGGTGTCACATTCCATTATGTCAATTTTTTGGAGTGATGGATGTGTATGAAGCCGATTAGAATTGGATTTGTTGGCATTTCAGTTACTGAGAGTAGCATGAGATTAAGTCAAGGCTTGGTCCCCTAAAAGTGTTCAAGCATATTTCCTGAGAATTTGAAGCGTGAAACTTTGCTAAACGGACTTAAAATCAAAAAAAAGACTCTACTGTAAACCATGTAGTAGCCCAGAGTAACCAGTCAGCTGTGAAAGACAATTCATATCTCATTTAAGGAATCTGTTTCCATGACATTTGTTTGTAAAATGCCAATGGATTTTTTTAAACTAGAAATATATTCTATAGATCTGTGTTTTAGCTGATTATATTCTCTGAAAAAGAGTCAATTTTGACCCATGCACATGAATATTTAAGGTAGGTGCACAGAGTTCCAAATGCTTCTAAGAAAACTACCCTTTCCAATAGCCAAAACACTCTCTATCTCAGCATCATGTGGATTACATAACCAACGATCTGCCTTCCCCTAAGGCAGAATTTCTCAGATTCAACACTACTGACATTTTAAAACAGATAATTATTTGTTTGGCAGGGGGCTATCCTGCACTAAGTAGAACAGCATTCCTGGACTCCACCCACTAGATGCCAGCAGCACCACCCCGTCCCAGTTATAACAACCAAAAATGTGTCCAGATGTCTCCTAGGTGGCAAAATCACCCCGGTCAAGAACCACTGCCCGAAGGGACCACTGGGACCAATCCCGGCCTGCACAGTCCAATCTTCCCTGGACTCATCACATAGTCCCCTCCCTCTCCATGTGTCCCTCAATCTGGCTTATCTCTTGCCCTTCTCCGACCCCTCAATCTTCCTCTGTGCCCTGGGAACTCATGATCAGCCATCAGCAAAGTCCCCTATAGTCTCTATCTCTTCATGGAATATTCCTTTGACTTCCTTGCTCTAACACCAAATCTAAGAATACTGTTCCCCATAGCCCTCACACATAACACAGTGGATTCTTCTCTCATATGCCACATACTCTCCTTTGCCAATTTCCCCCAACCTCCCTCAAGAAACCCAGACCCTTGGGACAGGGGTTGGCAAACTACAGCCTGTGGGCTACATCTGGCCTACCACCTGTTTTTATACGGCCTGTGAGCTAAGAGTGGTTTTCACATTTTTAATGGTTGAAAAAAAATCAAAAGAATAATATTTCATGACATGTAAAATTCAAATCTCAGTGTCTATAAATAAAATGTCACTGGAATGCAGCCATGCTCATGCCAGTACCAGTGGCTGATGGCTGTTGACGTGCTACAAAGGCAGAATTCAGTTGAGTAGTTGCAATAGAGACCGTCTGGTACTCCAAGTTTAACATGTTACTTGGCCCTTGACAGAGAAAGTTTGCAGACCCTGCTGCTGAGGCACGTGGCACTAGTCTGGACCCTCCACTCCCTAACCAGTTGTCAACATCCACTATCTGCCAGGTCACTCTTCCACGTATATTAAAATATACACATGACTGAAAGCTGCATGGCACAACTGTTAACATTAGTGACTAAATGAAGTTCAAAATTACTTCTATAGTTTGGAATGTTGTGTGGAAATCAGCAGGATGAAACTGAAAGTTCACGTGTTAAGTCCCATGCAGTGTTTGGTATCAGAAGGACTGACACACAGAGCAGGAAGCAGCCCTGTTTTTGTCAACAGAGGAAGAACCAGGATAAACAGAATAGTTCAAGGGCAGATGGGGTACCTCAGGAGAAAGAGCACCCATGCCTGGAAGTGTACCCCATCTCTTGGGAACTTGACAGAAAGGGCTCCTGCTTTGGGCTAAATTTTAAGAACTTTCTAGCACTAAGATTTTTTCCCCTTCCAATGAAATTTGTAAACTTTAAGTGCAAAGATGAAACTCATTATGACACACATGGTCCCATAAAGATGCTTTTAGTTGACCAATGACCAATAAACTTGTACCTTACTGGGCAAATGCTCAGTGTAGAGTTGTATTTCCTAAGAAACCAAAGCAAACAAATCTGAGTTCAAGCTCTTATTAGTCTTTATTAGAATTAAAGCACATAGCTGGCTTAAGTCTACAGGGAGACTAAGCATTTCTCTCCAAGTCTTTGAATTTTTGTATTTACCTCAAACAAAAAAATACCTACAAGGAATGTAAATCAAATTGTCTCTCTAATCATCTCGCTTGAAGAATATGTTTAGGAGTGGTTGGCTGGGATGTGGTTGACTGGGAAGGAGTCTGTATACTTTGGATATTAAGAGCCAAGGGCCCAGCCCTTGGTCATAGCCCTTAGTCCTGTGATTTGGAATAGGCACTTAGCCCCATCTGTTTTCTCACTTGTACAATGAGGTTAATAAAACCTGTCCTGTCTGAATCTTACAGAGGATGATCGTGAGAGTTAAATTCAAATGATGCAAAAGGACCATCTGAGTGGAGACTGCCCTATATTTTTTTAGAACAATATGAACCCCTTTCTAAAACATATTTCTCCCTTCTTTACAAAAGTTGGCATCACTTGGGTGACTGAGTTATAAAATCTAGCCCCAAATCCTTCATATGTGGCATCTGAAGGCATGTTGCTATAAGCTAGCGTTAGGTGCGGCCAGGGCGTTTGCAGGGATGAAGAGCAATGTGCATATATGTACATGAGGCAGCTTCTGTGTCTTTCAAGGTCTGCAGGGGACAGAACACAATGAGCCACTTGACTCTGAGGTACTGTTTGAGGCACAGATGTTGAGCAGGTGACTAAGCTATGCAGGAAGAAATCATTTCCCAATCAGCATTTCACCACTGCATTCCCACTATCGCACTCCCACCTCATCAAAATCATGCCGTCACTTTGGGGCCACAGGCAAAATCCCTCCAACAGGCTTCGTAAATGAAGTCACTTCATAATCATCAATCTAGATAGATAAAACATCACCTATCTTTACAAGCTGCAAAGTATATTTTGCTCAAATGCTACTAAATTAATGTTGAAGTAATAATTCCAGTAAAGTGAAATTCCAAAAAGAATGAAGCAAACAGCATTCAGAGTGGCATCTCTGGCCTCCTGTTTCAGATCCTACCGAGCCCAGCACTTCAAGACTGTGAACCGTGCCCAGGATGGTCCACTTCCGTATCATCATCCTTACCAGCCTATTGCAAAGCATTGTCACCTGAACTCACAACACAGGAATCCTCGAAAAGTGTAACAGCAAGAAACAGACAAGGAACAAACATGATGAAGCAGGAGAACACCAAGTACTACTGACAAGGTCCACCTAACTCCTACCCTCAGCATCTTCGGTGGCTTTATATACAGGCCTTTTTCAGAGGATTGTGTACAATTTCCTCAATTCTCTTCATGTTAACTTCTCAAGCCAGCTGGAAGAGAGCTTCGAGGGCTTTTTCTTTGAGAATTGGCTGAGTTTCTTTAAGATTCTAGATCACAAAATGCAATGCTCATGGTAAAGGTTCTCTTTCCTTAATATGTTTAGAAGTTTAGGTCTTCTTTTCACTAAAATAGAGCTGTACACAGACTCTCAGAAACATAAAAGCCTGTAGAGAGAGGGCATCTGGGGTTATGAGGTAGAAGAGGGGTGTCAACATAGACCATGGTTGCACATCTATCTCAAACCAGTCCCTCCTCCTCCTGGGATAACAGGTATCTGAAGGCATGGCCTGGGTCCTGCTCAAATGATTCCATGGGTATCAGATTGTTTGGGGCACCTCTTGGTGCTGGTGGGGTATTCCCTTAGAGATGGAGAGGAGGGATATATCTTGATCACTCTTTCTTAAGGTCATCCAACTTATTCTGAGTGATTTTCTTCCTCATAATGTAGCCTGGTGACCTAAATTTGACTCCCAGGAGGATCTCTATGATGAGGGAGGATGATCCAGCCAAGTGATATGAGCACTTCCTGCTTCCAGACTATCAGCAGCAGGATGGGAATGTGTTAGTCAGCCCCTGTGGATTTGGGTGGCAGAGACTGGAGCCTAAAGTCCCTCATCCCAGTGACCTCAGAGCATCCATTTGGGAAGATACAACTGGACCCAGACTCTGGAGCAGGCATGGCCAGCCTTTTGTTGTACCTCTATACTATAGAACCACTCTGGGTTTGGCAGATTTTGTCAAACTTTATACTTTAAATACATATAATATCTCATAGGATTGCCAATCATTCCATTTTTTTCTATCTACCATTCTCGGTCTTCCTCCCAGCCCAAACGTGAGGCTCAAAGGGACAGAGATCATACCTTTCTATTTATGTATCTTCATGGCTTCAAGTAGTCCTGGCCTCTAACAGACACTCAATAAAAATGTTTCAGACTAAATGATGGAATTAGTGTGTACTGAAATATATAGAGACAGCTATTTGGAAACTCATATGGGTTTTTTCTGTTTAACTTAAACCAACCCAGAGATATCCCTGTATTGTCAGGAGTATCGCGAGACTCTTCCAACCCCACATTCCTACAGTGGTTATTTCTAGGCCAAAGTTTTGTGTTTTGAAGTCTTTTCCATTTGATAAAACACAGCTTTTCTGAACAGATATTAACTGAGATAGTAAATAATATTTTTTAAAAACAGGTAGCTGAAAAACAGTTCCTGGGATTAGTAAGATGAAGTCTGTAAAAGTCGCCAGGGGCCACCCTGTGTGGGAAATCCACCGAGATGTTTGGCTGGTGGTTTAATGGTCAAGAAGAGGTAGGGAGCAATGCTGGGTGGGGGACAAAGTGGCCAGCAGGGAGGGGAGAGTGGCAGGCACCTGTGGGCTCTCTTTTGGATGGCATCCTTGCACCCCTCTCCACTGCCAAGTTAATGCTTACTTTTCACGCAGATCTCGCACTTGGTTGGGCTTGAAGCTGGGAGCTGACTGGGAGCAGGGACTGGTGGGGGCCGACAGGGTGCTCTTGATGCTCTGCACCGAGTGCCTGCGGCTCCTTCTGCGGTCCAGGCCCCGGTGCTCGCCTCCGCCACTGGAACACACGCTGGCCCTCCTCCGGTCCCGGCACCCACTGGGGGGTGGCTCCGTGGTCTCATCGCCATCCTCGTGCCTGAGCGCCACCTGGAAAAGCAGAGCACGCCCAGTGCAAGGTCAGGCTTGGCATCCTTTCACAGACCTCAGGTGTGACTGCATTTCAGGATTGCCCTAATAGGGATTTTTAACTCTGTCTTCGCAAACTGCACGCCTCAGCTTCCCTGCCAGGTCTTCACAACCACATGTGTCCAAGCCAAACACAGCCTGGGCACTGGAAGATGCCTGCCACTGTAGGTTCTTCCCATCAAACAGACACGAAGCGGGCAGCCAATATGACCAGTGAGTCTGAGAAATATTTTTGTAATCGGATAGGACCTAACTAACTCTGTACCCCAGCATTTCCATTTCCCGGGCCTTCACCATCTCCTTGCCCACCCGTGTCTCTTTTCTGCTCCATGAGCCTGAATCTCTCCTGAAGCCTAGTGGTGGCCGGTTCCCTATCAGTCTTGAGCTCGCTTTCCCAAAGAGGGTGCTCAGAAGTGGCCAGAGCCACAAGATCCAGGTGAATGGGAACTGGCCTCACCCATAAATCTTTCTAAGAGGACTAGTGCCACAGCAGGTACTGTTTAATTTCAAAATCTTGGCTGACAGCTGCTGCACTATCAGGCTATCACAGCAGCCTGGTTCAGGATTTGGAGTGGAGCCTGTAGTTTTACCAGAAGCTTGCAAACACAAGTCACAAAGATACACAACACAAAAAGACAACTCCTAGAATTAAGATTTGTTTTAAAGTTTCCTAAGAGTGACGCATATTTGTGCAGAAAAATAACTGGCTTGCACTTTGCCACTCCGGCTTACATGGGGAAATGTGAGCCAACTGGTCCCATACTCTTTCTTACCCTTTGCCTTTCTCCAAGGGATATTTTTAGCCCTGTGTCTAGGTGGCGCCCTCTGCAGAAGACCAGCTTTTCCATCTCTTAATCTCACTCTGTCCTGGATCTTACTTCATGGCTTTCTCACCTCCCATTAAAACTAACTGTCCTTCTGAGTAACTCTCCTCCACCTCTCTTCTAGCACCCAGCTCTGCTCCTTATCCATGATGACTCTTCGTAGCCAGGGACTCTATCTCTGGCCTCTAATTGTTATGCCTACGCCTACATTCTCTAAAACTGGACAGCAGAAAGAATACAAGTTTTGGTGTCAACTAGACCTTGGTGTGCATGCTGGCTGTGCCACTAATGAACCAGGTGTGCCCTGTCATAAATTACTTGTACCCTCTCTGGCTCACCAAATGAAGGTAATAGAATTGCCCTTGCAGGTTTGTGATGAGAATCACTTATGTAAAGGTAACTTGTGTAAAGCATCTAGGGTAGGGCCTTCTCTGTGGTACTCAATGAATATGACTGCCTTCCCCTATCCATTCTCTCACAGGAAGTGACCTAAGATGCCCATAAATTCCTTAATCACACAGAACTTCTGACTTCGCAACCATGGAATAACACAGTTCCAAGTCCCCAAACATGCAAGTTCTCCAGCCTTGTGGGTGTTCTTAGTCACATTTCACAACCCAGTCCTTCCATGTGAGAGAATGGAGAATATAAAGACTCAGATAGCTAACCACAGTATATGGCTTTAACATCACCTATGTGCAGAAAACCTAGCTATTGCAAAATCAGCTGCCCTCATGTGAGCTCGGCTGAGGCAAGGCCAGGTTAGCCACTGTCATCTCAGTTCACAGGGACATATCAGCACCTGAGATACACAAACCGTTTACCAGGAGTGTATCCACCCTTATCTGCCCTACCCTGTTTCCACCAGCTCAAGCTTTCACAAAATCTCTTCCATCTACATGCCAGATACATCTTATAACAAACTCCCATAGGTGACGATAATTTAACAGACTTTTGACTGTTTTACTCCCCTAGAATTCACCAAACATAATTTTGGGAGGTTTGAGGCAAGAATTGATAAAAGCTCTATCTTTACAAAATCTCATTGGGAATTCTATTTCCTAGGAGTATCCTTCTGCATTGTAACTGCAAGAACTAAAAAGAAATTAAGCATTTAGTTAAGCACATATGTCATCTCAACTTTAAAACTTTAAATGACATTCTGTGGGGAAAAGTTTGAGAACAACCACATACCTAACAAAGGACAGCATTTTTAAGTGTTTCTAGCCAATGTTTTTTTCATTTCTATAAATAAAAATTCTAGACCATTTGAACTTATTCTGACCTGATGTGTTGATTCTGCTTCTTATTAAGCACACATTTGGAATGATAAGATTAGGGGCTAAAGTAGAGTTAAGATATTTCTAATTCCTTGTCTAACCTCAGAGATCCAAGGATCAAGTGACGTTCTACTCACAAGTCCTTTCAGAGAGGCACACAGTGTGCATGAAGTGAAATCCACTTTAACTGCCCTTTGTCAAGGAAGGTAGAGATAACCAGAAAGTTTGAAGGCCAAGAAAAATCTGGAAAAATTATCAAGGCAACACCATAACATGGCATGCAGTTAGGGCTTTCTGAAGTTCAGATAATTAACAAAACATCAAGCTACTTAAAACAAGAAGAGTGCATGGAGGGAGCAAATGGGCCACAGAATCTTGGTAGACCCAAGGGTAGCCTCATGCTTGGCAGTCAGGGACAACATAACAAGAAATTGGAGGCTGCTGTTCACTCATGGTTTTGTTTTTATAATAAGAATTCTAGAGTCATCAGTGTCCAGTGATGACAGGAAGAGAGGCTTTGTTTGCACATGCTAGGCTACGGTGGCATTTCCAAATGCTTTCGGCTCTAGTGAGCACTACAGCTTAGACTCAGGAACACTGGGAGCTAGAAAACACCTGGAGAGTACGGCTTTTCACCCAAGGCTTATTTAGGACATGTGGTAAGAGTCAGACCTAATCAAATACAGCGCAATGAGTATCCTCCGTGGGAGCACTAAGTGAGATAGAGCCAGTCCTGCAAGACCTCTAACACTGTCCCAAGTAATGGAGTGACTCATTTGCTAGACCTCTCATCAAATACCTTCTAACTCTTTTAATTAAATGTAGAACGCTATTTGTAAACTAAAAACTTGGGCAAGGAGCAAGTAGGGTCCAGAATCCAGCCCTGACGGCTTACACATCCCCATGTAACCAAGAAAGCAGTTAGGGGCAACTTAAGGTGACATCTGTAACCACTTCTACCAGTCTTTGAGGCCACTGAATGATCTGAACATTCTTAAGAATTTTTTTCTTTTTATTTATTGTAGTAAAAATATTCAACATGAGATCTATTCTTTTATCAGATTCTAAGTGTACGATACATTATTGTTAACTAGAGGGACGATGTGGTATAGCACATATCTATAACTTATTCATCTTGCATTACTAAAACTTTATGCTTGCTGATAGGCAACTCTCCTTCACCCCCTCTCCTTAGCCCCTGGTAATGGCCATCCTACTCTCTGCTTCTGTGAGTCTATTTTAGATACCTCATATAAGTGAAAATATGCAGTATTTGTCCTTCTGTGACTGGGCCATTTCACTTAGCAAAATGTCCTACAAGTTCATCCAAGTTGTAGGAAATGTCAAGATTTCCGTCTTAAGACTGAAAATATTCCATTGCCTGTATATACCATATGTTCTTTATTGATTCGTCCATCATTGGACATTTTGGTTGGTTCCACACCTTGGCTATTGTGACTAGTGCTGCGACAAACATGGGAGTACCAATATTTCTCCAAAATCCTGATTTCAATTCTTTTTGATGAATATCCAGAAGTGGGACTGCTGGATCATATGGTGGTTTCATTTTTAATGCTTGAACAGTTTTTTTCTTTAACTTTGTACTGTGGAAATTCTCAAACACACACAAAATAGAGAGAAGAATATAGACTGTGATGTGCTCATCACCCATGAAAGCTCAACAATGTGGCTTGCTTTGGCCAATGGAACATCAACAAACATGATGCACACAGAAGCCTGAAAAGTGTTTACACACTGGGACTTGCCTTTTTGAAACACTGCTATCATGGGAAGACATGTGGGCTAGGCTGTTGAAGACACATGGCCCAGCCAACAGCCAGTACCAAATGCCAGGCCAAGTAGATAAACTAAGGCCGTCTTAGACCACTCAGCTCACTCAAACCACTAGATAACTGCAGCTGAGTGAAAACTTCCCAGCTGAATAAGGCTCAAATTCCTAACCCAAAACATCAGGAACAGGGATTGTTGTTTTACACCACTAAGTTCTGGGGTGTTTTGTTATGCAGAAAAAGATAACTGATACATACTTCCTATCACCTATGACAAGGAAGAATCTTCAGAGATTGGACCTATTAATTACTCTTAACAGTAATAGTTATTTCTCATCCTCTACAGTCTTCAGCCTTAAGATGCCTGACCCCTTACAAGGACACATTTTCAGAATCTAAAGTTAGAACACGTAATCTGACAAAATATTTTCTTTTCTGTCAATTTATGTATGTGAAAAAAATAATATGAAGCCATAAAAATTCAAATGAATTTAATTAAACATGGATCAAATCACCCTTCTGAAATGGAGTTAAATTACAGGAAATTGGGCCTGTTTCCAGCAAGTCCAAGACATAATGGCCACCAGATGTCCTTCTCTATTAGGAAGAATTCTAGAAGGCTAACCAAGCTCTCTGCAATTGCTTGAGAACATTCAGTCTTTTGTGAAAAAAAAAATTGGTTCTGCTTGTAGGCTTCGTTGCTGCCCTTGCATATATTGAAGTTGGTTGTCTTTTGGCAATGAATATATTTTTGAGATGCATTAACTTTCAGAAAGAAAGAAAAATCCCAACTCTGCCAGCTATCTAAAGGATTCAGTTGTCACAGCTTGAGTTATTACACAGGGCATCTGCCCCTTAAGGTGACTGCTTTCCAACTGAATAGCATCCTTCCTTCATTCAACTCAGCACCTGGTAGACACTATCATGAAATGTGTGGTATTTGAAGGAGACCTTCATTCAAGCACCTACTGAACTTCTACTTTGGGCAGCTGTGCTGCTGGCCCTTGGGGCTAGACAGAGGCATGAGACATATGGCTTAGAGTAGCTCAAAGGGAAACAGGTCGCACATTCTGAGGAGTGTTAAATCAGAGGTGTGGACACAAGGCAGCACCCTCTCATCAGCTATGAATGGCAGTAGGGGGACAAACAGAAGGAGCCCCTTCCATCTTGCCAAGGAGCCTTAGGGAAAGAGATGACATCTGAAGTGACTGCAGCAGCAGGAGTAGGAGTTTGATAACTTGAGAATAGGAAGAAAAAACACTCCAGGCAAAGAAAATAGAATGGATAAAGGAAAGTTCCCCAAAGAACCTGCCTTTCATGTTCAAAAACAGGAGAAGTTGAGTGTGGTTGAAACTTCAGACACATCTTGGGAATGGTGGAGATGAGGCCACAGAGGCACGAAGGCCTCGGAGTATGGAGGGCCCTTGTACCAATGGAAGGAATTTTGGTTTCATCTTACTGGTCATGAAAAGCTCATTCATTCGTTTTCTTAAACAGGAGAACAGCATAATGAGATTTGACTTTCAGGAGGATCACCTTGCTTTCAGCCAGTGGGAGTTTGGAATGGGGAGAAGGCCCTCATGGGATCTCAATGTCCCCCAGGCTCTGAACATGCTGCTCTCCAGGCCCTACCCCTGTAGCCACCCAGCCTCCTTTCAACCCCTGACACCTGCCATGCCTGACCTCCTCCAATGCTCTCCCTCATTCACTGTCTTTCATCAGGCCTTCCTTCCTTGCTGCTGCCCCTCTTTCTGGCCCCCACCTCATACCGTCTCTTTTCTTCATAGACATGTTTGCGATCTCAGATCCTCTGCTTACGCACGTTCTTGATTGCTGTCTGCACCTCATTAGAGTATGTGCCCTCTCAGGGCAGTGGTCTTGCCTGATGTGCTGGGTCACCAGGGCTAGAATAGTGCCTGGCACATAGCAGGTGCTCAATGAAGTTTTGTGGAATGAACAAAGTAATAGACAAGCAAATGAATAGGAAGATAGTGCAATACTTCAGGCAAGAAACGATGAGGGCCAGAGCTAAGGAAATGATCACAGGAATGGAGAAGAAGTGCTGTTTTCAGCAATCAAATTCCTAAATAAGGGGACACAGGAAAGAGAAAAGAGTCCAGTATAGCTCTAGCCTTGTAACTTGGGAGACTCCACTGTTTGCAGAGGTGGAGACATGAAGAGTCCGTTCAGAATTTTTGTTTTTGTTGTGGAAGAAAAATAAAGGGTTCATTTGGGGGCTGGTTGCATTTCATGTGTGGCTTTCAGGTGGTCATGTCAGATACAGTCAGAGCTTCCTTGGCATGTCCTAAGTCCTCTGCACCATCCTCTGCTAGGGGAATCAGCTACCTGCTTGCCTTAGACTAAAGAATGGAGGTTCTTTGGGGGCAGGTACAGATATTTTATCTCTGTATTTACAGCCCTAGCAGAATATGTCACATATAGTGGTCTCCAAGTACATGAATGAAATACAAGATGGCAAGCAGGCAGAGGAAAAGGAAGGTAGAGAGGCAAGCAGCCTTGGGTCCCAGAAGAAAGCATGGAGTCAAGATAGCGATGAGCCCCCAAGGCTGCTGACTTCACTAGGGTGAATATAGACAGACAACACAGACAGAGAGGAGGTCTGATAAGGACACCACTGAAAGGGAGGGGTCAGAAACAGAGGATCCAGGGAGGACACTAAGGGGGAACAATCAGAGAGATACCCCAGAGACATCTGGACACAAAGCAACAAGGCGCAATGTGCAGGAGTGGTCAGGAATTCTTTTATGATGCTACTATAACAGTGATGCTCCAACTGACAAACACAGCTTACAACAAAGGAAGAGGAAGGGGAGGTGGCAGGGATGGGGTGGGGAGGAGCTAGCTGCTACACACCAATCTTACTTATGAATACTAATGCAAACATTTTCAATAAATTAGTACCAACCAGAATTCCAACAGCACCTTTTTAAAAAGAACACATCATTGGCCAGGTGCGGTGGCTCACGCCTGTAATCCTAGTACTTTGGGAGGCCGAGGAGGGTGGATCACCTGAGGTTGGGAGTTCCAGACCAGCCCAACCAACATGGAGAAACCCTGTCTCTACTAAAAATACAAAATTAGCCAGGCATGGTGGCGCACACCTGTAATCCCAGCTAGTCGGGAGGCTGAGGCAGGAGAATCACTTGAACCCGGGAGGCGGAGGTTGTGGTGAGCCAAGATCGCACCTTGCACTCCAGCCTGGGCAAGAGTGAAACTCCATCTCAAAAAAAAAAAAAAAAAAAAAACCACCAAAAAACATCATTACCAAATGGATTGTATTACAAGAATGCAATGATGGTTAAAAGATGAAAAGAAATCAATTACTCAACTCAAAAATCCAGAAAAATAACAAGGTAAACTGAAAGAAAGTAAAAGGGATTTATAAAGATAATAGCAAAACATTGAGTTACAAAACAGAAAAGCAGTGCAATTCATATAAAAGTCAGAATTATTGCTTGAAAAAAAATCAACAAAATAGACAAACCATTAGTTAATCTGGAGGGAAAAGGAGAAGTCACAAACACAAAGTAAGAAATAACAAAAGGAAGATTACTAAAAGAGAAGAAATTTAAAATATTCATAACAGACTAATAAAAATTCCTTTGCTAAGGAATTTTAAAATACAGATGAAATGGCTAATTTCCTAGGAAATGTAATTTAGCAAAATTGATCCTGTAACAATAGGAAGTTTAAACAGACCAGTTTCCATAGAAAAAAATATAGTTACCAAAAATCTTCCCTCACTGTCCTCACCCCACACACATATATATTTAACATCACAGGCCCATGTAATTTTCCAACAGAATTCTAATAAGCCATCAAAGACCAGAATATGAAATGACACTTAAACATTTCCAGGGCTTAGAGAAGGAAGAAAAACTTCTAAATATTTTGATGCAGCATGAATAAAACTGATACCTAAACATCTTAACTATTGCACACACACACACACACACACACACACACACACACAGGGAAGTACAAGAACTCTCGTAGTAGCATTGTTTGTCAAGGCAACAAAAATTTAAACCACCTAACATCTGTTCAGAGCAGAGCAGATAAATAAATTGTGATACATTCGTCAGCAGTGAAAATGAACAAGCTGTTATCCATATATCAACATGGAACAGGTCTCAAAACTGCTGAGCAAAAGGGCATATTCTACAAAGAGTCAAAAGATACGATTCCATTTATAAAAAGCTTGAAAACAGACAAAATTCAATAATACATTGTTTAGGGGCAGACTGAGAAGAAGGAGCTAAAGCATCTGGCTGATGATCCTTTCACTCATCTTACAAGAAAGATGTTTCTGGGGAAAGGACACAAGCATGTGAGGACCTGCCTCACCTACCATAAATATGCGAATTAACTAGACTATCTAACAAATAAATTAAAGATATTTGCTGAGAGTTCTTATTTCTGGAATACCCTTAGCAGGATGTCCCTGGCTATGGACTACTTATAGTAAATAAACTCAGAATTATGGATTTGTGAGCCATGACTCTCTGGGGCATGAAGTAGAGATGTTTCCTAACTAAATGCTCCTTGCTGGGTGAGATGACCTTGTGAACCTCACTTACAGACTTTGTCTGTTGTTCCGGGTCAGAAAGCACACATCTGAATCATGAAAAAAGGACCTGGGGAGTCACAAGGGATGTCCCAGACCTCTCTCTGATCCATCTGCACCTCGATAGGCTATATTCTTGAAATTATTAGTACAGCCAGATAACTGGGAAAGATCTCTGATTAGCCAATTCTGATTTAGTAATATGATTATGTTAGCTCACAGAATAAGTGGTTTTCAGGTTAAATTATTTTTAAAGAAAGCAAGAGAATACTGGGGATAGGAGTAGTAGGATGACAATGAAGCGGCTGTCAGGACACTTCTGAGTTGTAATGTTTTAGTTCTTAAAGCTGGTACATGGTATTTGTTTTATTGCTCTTTAAATGACACAAATATGCTTCATTTGTGAATGATATACACTTGATGCTCAAATATTAGGCACATGTAATTCGACAAAAGAAAGATGGTGAACACAGTATAATTTCTTCAAAGTCTGGCATGAAGGGAAAGAAGTTGAGGAGGTGGCTTAAGAGGCAGGTAGGCTGGAGAGAAAATGTGCCCTGAAGCAGAGGATAGTTTTTAGATTCCTGGAGTTGGTATCAAGGCTATTCTTCACTACTCTCTCCCAGTTTGTTCACTGATGGGCAATTCATCCGCATCATGCTGGCCTCTGAATATACAGTGACCCTATGGAATCCAAATCTGTGGTCATCTGAGCCCCTGGCTGAACAGAATCTAAGAGATGGAAGGAGTTCCGATCGTGGTGGTGAGGGGGCTAAGGGAAGGAAATATCTGTGCTGGAAAAAGTCCATCTTCTACCTTTATTTAAACCAACTCTCTTGAGCTCTCTTCCTCTTCCATCTTTAGTATGCTTACTTTATTCTCCATCTTGTATCTTAGGAGCCATGAGAACATACTCCTTTGTCACCTACTGGCCTCCCAGGGCCACAGGTCAGTAACAATAAAAAACTGAGGGAGTGAGGCAGGGCTGGAAGAGAAGATGCCCAGAGCAGCGCACAAAGAGCTGGCCAGCTGGTGGCTGTTGGCAGCTTCAAGTGCTGCCAGCAAATATGTTGGGCCCAGTTTCTTCTCTCCCAAGATCATATAAAGATAATTCTGTTCTATTCCTCAACTTGTCACTTATTATGACAGTAACTTATAGAAAATAGTGAGTTATACATCACTCTCTCCATTTCTATCCAGTGAAGACCATAAGGAAATGGAAAATATCTTCCCTAGAGATCTAGCGGTGCAGAAAAATTTATGAATGAATATCTTCCTCATAACAGCATTTGTAATTGTGAAAACTTTGAAAATAATCTAAATCTGAAAAAATAGGGACTAGTTATATATATTATGGTATACACACAGATAGAATATTGTACTAAAACATTAAATTCTTAAACATGTAATGACAAGGGAAAATGTTTCCAACATGTTTGCTAATAAGATTCAACATGCAACACTATATGTAGACTACTATGTCCCTCATCATGAACACACACCCACATATACAAAAAAGACCAGAAAAATAGACCAAAATGTTAAAAATGGTTAGTAATAAAATCATGGGTGATTTTTTTTTCTCTTATGCTTTTTCATATACCAAAAATGCTTTTTGTTATTTTCCAAATTTTCATCAATGAGTATATATTATCTTTATAAGTGGAAATAGGAAATATTTTTTAAATGTATTACTATTAATAAGACTGATCAGTTATATCAGAAGTGGAAAAATACAACCCATAGAATGAGAGAAAATATTTTCAAATTATATATCTGATAAGGGTCTAGTATCCAGAATATAGAAATAATTCCTAAAACTCAACAATAAAAAAATCAAGGCTGGGCGCGGTGGCTCATGCCCTTAATCCCAACACTTTGGGAGGCCAAGGCAGGTGGATCACCTGAGGTCGGGAGTTTGAGACCAGCCTGACCAACATGGAGAAACCCCATCTCTACCAAAAACACAAAATTAGCTGGGCGTGGTGGCACATGCCTGTAGTCCCAGCTACTCAGGGGGCTGAGGCAGGGGAATCGCTTGAACCTGGGAGGTGGAGGTTGCGGTGAGCCGAGATTGCATCATTGCACTCCAGTCTGGGCAACAAGAGAAAAAGCTCCATCTCAAAAAAAAAAAAAAAAAAAAAAAAAATCAATTAAAAAATGAGCAAAGGATCGGAATAAATATTTCTCCACAGAAACTATACAGACAGCCAATATGCACTTAGAAAGAGGCTAAACATCATTAGTCAACAGGGAAATGCAAGTCAAAACTACAGTAAGATACCACTTCACACCTACTAGCTGGCTATAATAAAAATGGTGGACAATAATAAGCGTTGACAAAGGTGTGGAGTAACTGGAATCCTTATACAGTGCTGGTAGGAATATAAAATGGGACAGCCATTTTAGAAACCAATCCAGCAATTCCTCAATCAGTTAAAGATAGTTACCATATGACCAGCAATTTCACTTCTAGGTATAAACCCAAGAGAACTGAAAACGTATGTACACAAACTTCAATTCAACACAAATGTTCACAACAGCATTATTCATAATAGCCAAAAGGTAGAAATAACTCAAGTATTCACTAACTGATAAATGGATAAACAAAATATGGTGTATCCATATAATAGAATACTGTCAGCACAACTATGAACAAAGTAGTGATTCTGCAAACGTAGGTGAACCTTGAAAACACGCTAAGTGAAAGCTAGCCACAAAGACCACATTTTGTATGGATCCATTTGTCTGAAATGTCCAAAACAGGTAAATCCATAGAGAGAGAAAGTAGATTACCGGTTTGGGGCCATGGGGGACAGGGAAGAATGTAGAGTGTCTGCTAATGGGTGTGGGGGTTTCTTTTGGGAGTGACAAAAGCAATCTGAAATATGATAGTGGTGATGATTGTACAACCTTGTGAATATGCTAAAAACCATTAAATTGTACACTTTAAAATGGTGAATTTTGTGGAATGTGAAGGATGGGTGGAGGGCAAAACAAAACGAAAAAACAACCAGGGTCAGGCACAGTGGCTCACACTTGTAATCCCAGCACTTTGGGAGGCTGAGGCAAGTGGATTGCTTGAGGTCAGTAGTTCAAGACTAATCGGGCCCATATGGTGAAACCCTGTCTCTACTAAAATATAAAAATTAGCTGGTCATGATGGTGGACACTTGTAATCCCAGCTACTGGGAAAGCTGAGGCTGGAGAATCATTTGAACCCAGGAGGCAGAGGTTGCAGTGAGCCGAGATCGCGCCACCACACTCTAGCCTGGGCAACAGAGAGAGAGACTGTCTCAAAAAACAACCAACAACCAACCAACCAGAGGTGGAAGGTTATACAGGCCCCAAAGGCTCTTGCAATGACATACACACAGAATGCCACTGGTGGAATGTCCTCAGGGATTGCCTGGGTCATTGTATTCTTTAAGTTTGGGCCTAGAGGAATTCACTTTCCTGGTTGAGGTCATACCACCCAAGAGAAAACACATCTTCAGATCTGCCCCTAACTGGCCATGGCAGGACACTGGGATGATGAGGATCAGCAAGAAAGAGTGTCATTTCAACACTCTCATAGTTAAGTACTTTCAATACCGTGAGGGCATTTGACCTAAAATTAACCCACAGGGAACAGTCTGAACTCAAGTCAACAAGGTCCGAAGCCCTGATATGTAGCCCAAAGCAGAACCGGCGTCACGGGTGAGTGACCTGTGCTGTTGCACCAGCAGAGGAGAGAGGTACAACATGCATGTCTGCCATTCCTTGCTGCTCATGTGCACAGATTCTGGTAGACTGGTGATAGGCAGGAGTTCTGCGGGACTGGAAGTGAGTACAAGGTAAGTATGTTACACCTACAACTGGGCAGGCAGGGGCACTGACAGCCCTGGGGGCCATGTTTCCCTTCAAGATGGATTTGAGTGCAGACAGAAGACAACCCATGGAGCCTCTCATATCCTTTCTTACCCTGTTACCTTCCCATGTTAGACAACAACTTATGCTGAAATGACAACATAAAGAAAGGAAAAGATAGGGCAGCTCCTAGATCCTTTTTCTTTCAGCCCTTTCTTACTCTTTAGTAAGTTAAAGGCAGAGTGTTGGTAGAATGCACACACCCCAAGAAGTGATGTAAAAACAGTGCAGTCGGTTTCGTACTGTTTCTGCTGTTTTGGTAAGAACAAAATACACGTGCATATGGGAGCTACAAAATATGATTTAGGTAATTTGGCTGATTCTGCCTACAAGTTAAAGGCTCTTATATTTGCATTCTAAACTGACACTTCATAATATAAAGATGAATGGTAAAATTCATGGTAATAATTTTAAATTTTAATTTTTAATTTTTCTTTCCTTACGACAATTACATACCAAATTAGAAAATCACCATAACAAGGTGGGAGAAACCACAGAAGAAAGTGAAGAGTTGTTTCAGTATCTTTAACAGCACTTTTGCTTGAGTGTTCCATAAATGGTCCTTCATTTTCGTTTTGCATTGGTTGCTACAAATCATGTATCTGGCCCTGCCTGAAGTTCCACCCCACTCAGGTATAAGAAATGTGATTTCTGTCTCTATCTCTTTCTCTCCCCGTCTCCTTGAGTGAAGGTGCCGCTGACAAACGGCATGTTCTTTAAAGGAAAATAGCTAACCAATTTCCCCTATATCAAGGGTTCTTGAGCTTGAATATGCATCAGACTCTCCTGGAAGGCTTGTCATAACATGGTCTGCTGGGCCCTCAGAGTTTCTGATTCAGTAGGTCTGGGGTGAAGCCTACGATGCTGAGTTTCTAATAAGCTGGTGGTGCTCATACGCTTTACGCGTGGTCTAAAGTAGGCGCCATCTCAGCCTTTGACAATTGCCAAAGCTGTACGATACCTTACAAAAGGCATGGTCTGGTACCTCATAAATGTTGAGTTGCTCCACTAAGTCCAGGTCAGTCCCTTTCTTGTTCAAGTGCCTCTGGGACACAGCAGCAATGCCCAGCTCCTCCAGGCAGTCCACGACGTCGTAGAAGGTGTCTTGGTCTGGTAGTCCTGATAACGTCTGGAAGAAGAGAAGAACCAGCTACAGAGACACCACAGAAGACTGCCTTGAGGCTCTCAGGGCATTTTCCAATGCCTAATCCAGGCATATTGTTATAATCATGGCCACTAATCAATCCAGACAGATGACAAATTTATTTGAGCAAAAGCCTCTTCAGTGTGGCAGGCAGAATGAACCCCAATATTCTCCCCTCTGGTGTACAAGTGCTACATAATCTCCTTGGCTTGAGTGTGGGCTGGGCACTCCCATGAGAGGGGGGCACTCCCATGATTAGGTTACATTAGGTGGCAAAGGTGAGGGGATTTTGCAGATGTAATGAAGGTCCAAAAGCAGTTGATTTTGAGTTAATCGAAGGGGTGACTCTCCTAGGTGATAATCAGGTAGGCCCTTTAAAAGAAGGCTTAGCTCTTCTCTGAGCTGGACTGGAAAGAGATTATCCCACTGGCCTCGAGGCAGGAGCAACCACAACTTTCACAGAAGCAAGGAAATGAATTCTGCCAACTACATAGGCCTGGAAGAGGACCCCAAGTCTCAGATGAGACTTCAGTCCTGGGCGACACCTCGGCTGCAGCCTTGTGAGACCCTGGGCAGAGGACCTACTAAGGCCATGCCTGGACTCCCTGCCCCACGGAAGCTGTGAGATGATACATGGATGTTGTCTGAAGCTGCTAAGTTTGCAGTAATTTGTTACGTGGCAATAGAAAACTAACCTACTTTGTAATTAGAAACTCCTGTTAAGATCCATACACCAACAACTGGAG
The DNA here is from genome assembly GCF_000001405.40 of Homo sapiens. Classification (NCBI taxonomy): domain Eukaryota; kingdom Metazoa; phylum Chordata; class Mammalia; order Primates; family Hominidae; genus Homo; species Homo sapiens. The sequence continues at coordinate 36,611,190 of NC_000018.10, read as the reverse complement.
TTGTAACAATTTAATTTTATTAAACTGTATTTAAATTCAATAGGGCCTCCCCGTGGTCTATGAAATTTAGAAAAACTTGAGAAATTTCAAGGCAGCAATTAAGAGACAAAAAGAGAACCAAGAAAGAAAAAGCTGACTTCTCTTTGAATTCTACCTCTCTTAAGAGAAGGAGGGTATCTGAGACAAGGCCCTGGCTCACAGATGGAAGGAGCCTGAGATTTACTGCAAGCCCTTTATCTTATACAGGAGGGAGAGAAGGATAAACGCCTGAGGCAACAGGAAGCGACTGAAGACACTGGGATAAAAGCCTGGGCTCAGAGCTGCCATTCCAGTCTCAGCCTTTAGTCCCTACTTACTTCACTATCTTTGCATTTCTAAGAACAAGACACACATTCCAAAATTATTCTAAACATGATAACTTGCCTAGGAAGGAATAAGACCAACACTTCTGTAAAGATCATTTCATAGCACCAGCTTCTCTAACACTTCTATCTTGGGGCTATCAGTGTTGGAAAGAAGGCCTCTATTCATAACTCGAATAATGGCGTTTTCCTTTTTAAGCTGAGCAAAGAGGACACCAGTCACTGCTATTGAGATCAGAAACTAATGAAAACTAATTGTAATGTGATAGCCTAATTATTCAAGGCCCCGATAAGGACACAAGGCAGGAAGCTGTGAATCTGAAGCCATCATAAATAGGTGTTCACACTTGGGCCGCCACGCCACGTATGACAGCACACACCAGTGTCTACAGGAACCAGGCTAACCACATCGCACTGACAGGCAATAACGGTCATCAGGGCTGCCTTCTGCTTCCAACATTGATTGAAAAATTGCACATCATTCAAAGAATCCTATCATCCTTTGCTTTTAGTGAAAACTCTAGAACTTATTAAAAGATGAGAGGGAAATGACAATACCAGGCCCAGGCAGGGTGAACAATTAGAGATGCCCTAACTGCCAGCTGACTCTGCAAAATGCACAGCCTGAGGAATGCAGGTGAAGGGACATCTAGCATCAGAATTAAAACTTCCTACACAGCAGCGTGGGGGCCAGCCCCAGGCACAGAGAGAGGCCGCTGGTAGTCTCTTCACCTCGTTCCCCCACCTTCTTCTTCCCCTTTCACCTTTCTGGGAGTCAACTGAGGTTCTTTCACTCAGAAGTTTCCAGGAGGTTAAACTGCTAAACCTAATCCCCATTGCTTTAGCAAGTCCAACCATAAAGGGTGAGGGAATCACTGGTAAATAATTTAAAAATGAGAACTATAGAAGTAAGCAGGGGCCAGGCACAGTGGCTCATACCTGTAACTCCAACACTTTTGGGGGGTTGAGGCAGGTGGATCACTTGAGGCTAGGAGCTGAAGACCAGCCTGGCCAACATGGCGAAACCCAGTCTCTACTAAAAATACACAAATTTAGCAGGATGTGGTGGCACATGCTTGTAATCCCAGCTACTTGGGAGGCTGAGGCACAAGAATCACTTGAACCCGGGAGACGGAGATTGCAGTGAGCCAAGATCATGTCACTGCACTCCAGCCTGGGCGACAGAGCAAGACTCTGTCTCAAAAAAAAAAAAAAAAAAAAGAACTAAAAAGACTCGGGAAACTCTTGCCCCTTGCTCAGTAATAGGCCCTGAACTGAGGGTATCAGCAGGTCATTTGTCATTTCCGCAGTGAAAATATGGGCTTGAGCCAAGCCTGCGTACTATCACCTTTTATGCAGGCTGCGGGGGAAATGATGGCCTTCTGCCACTCACAAATGCAGCTTCTTTTTCCAGCTGTGCAAGAGGGTGCTATACATCTTTTAAAAAATTCATCTTTTTTTTTTTTTTGGCTGATTCTCTAATAGGCTCATCAAATTCTACCACACTTCCACCTGTCCCTGGGCCTCCCCTCCCAGTTCCACCCTGCAGCCTCTGCTGCTAAGTTGTCCACCTCTGACAAAAATGGCAGCTTCCCCAGGAAAGTCTGCGAGGTAAATGTTTCCTGATGCCTTCACCCTCAGACACTAAAGGTGCCGAGCATAGCTGCCTGACACTTGGTATCCCTCCTCCTGTTTTTTTCTTAGACTTTGTCTTGACAAGGCCTGTGACAAGTAAATCTTTACAAATCTCTCTCAGAGGGGGAAATTCCGTCCTAAAGGACATTCTTCCCCCTCCCTGGGTTTTCATTGATTGCACCAAGTCTTTCTTGTAGGATAAAACCATTGTGGCAAAGCCAGTACATGAATGTTCATAGCAGCTCTATCTGTGGAAGCCAAAAGCTATAAACACACAAATCTCCTTCAACAGGTGAATGGGTAAGCACATATGCATCTCTACAAGGAATACTACACAGCAGTGGAAAGGGGTTAATTAATATATTGCATATATTAATATATGCAATAAAAGATTAATCTCAAAAGGCATTATACTGACAGAAGCCAGCCTCAAAGGGTTACTTACTGTATGATTCCATCTGACATTCTTGAAAAGACAAAATTACAGTGATCAGAGAATAAATCAGTGGTTTCTCAGGATTATATATAGGAGCTCAGAGTGTCAGTATAAAAGGATAACATGGGGGAATACTATGCTATTCTTAGTCTGTATTCTAATTGTGAAGGTGATCCATCTCCATGTACATGTTAAAACTCATATAGCTATATTCTAGAAGGTGCATTGTTATGGTTTGAATGTGCCCCCCACCCAAAGTTCATGTGTTGGAAACTTAAACCCCAATGCAGCAGTGTCGGAAGGGAGAACCTTTAAGCAGTGATTAGGTAATGAATGGATTAGTTCTGTTATCTCAGGACTGGGTTAATTATTGTAGGAGTAGTTTCCTGGTAAATGGATGAGTTCAACCATCTTATCTTCCCTACAACCTCCCTCACCCTGTGTATCCCACTACGGGATAGCACAGAAAAGAAGGGCCTGGCCAGATGCCAGCATCTTGATATTGGACTCCCAGCCTCAAGAACTGTGAGTAATAAATTTATTTCCTTTATAAATTACCCAGCCTGTGGTATTCTGTTATAGCAACACAAAACAAAGACATAAAATTGATACAGAGAAGTGGGCTGTTGCTATAACAAATAACTGAAAACGTGAAAGCAGCTTTGGAATTGGGTAACAGGTAGAGGCTGGAAAAATTTGGAGAAGCAAGCTAGAAAAAGCCTAGATTGACTAGAGCATTATCTGGTTGACTCTGGTGGGAGCTCAGAAGAAGAGAATAGTTGTACGAAAAGTCAGAGCCTTCTTAGAGATTGCTGAAGTGGTTGGTAGAAATACAAATGGTAAAGCCAATTCTGAAGAGGTCTCAGATGGAAACGAGAATCAAGGTATTAGAAACCAGAATAAAAACCATCTTTGTTTTAAAGTGGCAAGAACTTGGCTGAAATATGTCAATGTCCTAGGGCTCTAATGAAAGTCAGAATTTAAGAGCAATGAACTAGGATACCTGGTGAAAAAAAATTCTAAGAAAAATATTGAAGGAGTTGTATAGTTACTCTTAACTGCTTATAGGAAGATGCAAGAGGATAGAAGTGATATAAAGATGGAGTTTATTAAAAGGAAAGTAGAGTAGAAAAATTTGAAAAAGTCACAGCTTGGCCATGTAAAGAGTAAAAAAGCATCTTTTGGAAAGCAAACCAAAGGCATGACCAAGTGACCATTTGCTAAAAGGATTATAGTATGGATAGAAGGGAGCCAGCGTTATTCACCAAGACGATGGGAGAAAAACTCCAAAGGCATTTCAAAGACCTTCTAAGCAAGCTAGGACCTTGAGGGCAAGGTTTCTGGACAGGCACCAGCGGTACCTCAGCATTCACTGCTCAGGGCCACTCAGGATCCTGCTCCCAGAATTCTGGTGCAGGATTTTTTGGCCACCCCAGCTGTGACTCAAGCAGGCCTTGCTGCTCTGGAAGGTACAAGCCATAAAATACATGGTACTAATTCTGCAGGTGTGGAAAATACAAGAGCCGTGGAGCCATGGTGACCTCAACCTAGATCTAAAAGAAGGTTATGGACAGCCTAGGGTCCCAGGAAGAGATTTGTCACAGGGTGAAGCCACTGTAGAAAGTCCCTACTAGGGCAATGCCTAGTGGAGCCACGGGAGTGAGGCAGCCCCCAAGACCCCAGAACTGTAGAGCTACCAGTGTGCAATCCAGCCCGCGAAAGCTGTAGGCATAAGCTCCAACCCAGGAGAGCTGAAGCGTGGGCTGAGCCCAGCAAAGCCATAGGGATGGGGTTGCCTGAGGCCTTGTGGGCTCAACCCCAACCCCAGTGTGCCCAGGATGTGGGACATGGAGTCAAAATAGATTATTCTGGTGTCTTAAGATTTAATATTGTTTTTTCCTCTCTTGGGCTTTGGACTTGGAACTAGTTATCCCTTCCTTCTTGCCTATTTCTGCCTTTTGGAATGTGAACATCTATGCCAGTTCCAACGTATTTTGGAAGTAGGTAACTTGTTTGATTTCAGACTCACAGCTAAAGGGAAATTTGCCCCAGGATGAATCGTGCCTTGAGTCTTACCTATACCTGATTCAGATGAGACTCTGGATTTGGGACTTTGAGTCTGTACTGGAATTCATTAAGACTTTGGGGCTAATGGGATGGAATGGATATATCTTGCACATGAGGAGGACATGAATTTTGGGGACAGGGGGCAGAATGCTATGGTTTTAATATGCCCCCCAAAGTTCATGCGTTAGAAACATAATCCCCAAAGCAACAGTGTTGAAAGGAGGTAAATCGGATGAATGCCATTATCTCAGGAGTGGGTTACTTACTGAAGGAATAGGTTCCCAACAGAGCGTAAGTTTCACCCCCTTCTCCTCTCTTCCCCTACAACCCCCTTGCCCTCTACCATGGATGGCATGGCAAAAAGGTCCTCACAAGATGCCAGTACCTTGATACTTTGATATTGAACCTCCCAGCCTCCAAAACTGTGAGAAATCGATTTCTTTATAAATTACCCAGTCTGTGGTATTCAGTTACAGCAACACAAAATGGACTAAGACAATAATTTTAAAACAATAAAAGTAAATGTAAAAACAAAGGCAACTACTCAGCATGTACCATCCAGGTTAGTTATCCCCTAGCCCCACTGAACAACTCCTCTCCCCATGGCTTCCTGGGGTCCTGCTTTCCCTGAACACCCTAAGCCAGCCTCACGGTAACCCCTCTTGTTACTCATTGTACCTCCCACCCCAGTGTGCTTTCTCCTATTTTACAAGGCAATCAGTTTTAGAACAGTTACCAGGATAGGACTTAGTGTCATTGTTTTGTTTGTCATGGAAATGTCCATTTTTAAAAATTCCATGTTATTAGGGGCCTTTATTTTGTTGATATCAATACTTAGAAACCACCCAACTTGCAATATAATTTCCCAGATTTCACAGTCTGAATGTTTTCCAGACCCAGATTAACATTTTAATTTGTTATTTTGTTTGGTATCTCAGAGGAGTTTACTCATTGGGCAACATGCATTACTACAATACAACAAAACAAAACAAACCCGGCATGACTTGTTTAACGCATTTATGCCGGAGGTTGCAAATTTTTTTTTTTGTGTGTGAAAAATTATACCTTGGTGATGACCTTGAGAAGCAGGATATAAATAACTCACACAAGCTTAGCGTTCCAATAACGGAACACTAGGCATAAATGAGTTAAGGAAAGGATTACATTTGAATGAATGACCTCAAGGATCTTTCTGGATGTCTCCTTGGCCAGAACTAACAAAGGATGAGAAAGAACTGCCAGAAGAGAAAGAGTAAGTGAGGGATTCCTGGACATCAAATGCCACAGAATGCCAAACAGAGGGTGACAGGCACTGGGTCTCTGCCAGTGATTAGCAACAAAGTACCACATTGTGTGGGTACTGCTATGATCATAAGAATAGCTGGGAATGGCCTTATCAATAAAATAGGTAATGTTACAATGGGGAACACTGTGGCAGTGTGAAAATTCCATTTTTGCTGAATTCGGTGTTTTCCAAAACAATGGCAGTGACTAAAAAGGACAGGAAATAGATGACTTTAATCCTTAGAAACCAACAGAAAATTGCTTCAAATCAAATGGTAAAATGAGCTCACAAAAAGATTTGAAAATAAAAGCAGAATTCTTAGGATTATGTTTCAGAAAAGTTGTGCCCATTTCCCACCAGGGTTATAGGAGTTTCCTGGGTGTTCATCAAGAAATGATACTTCATTAAAAGGCAATCATTGCCAATGTGACCTGGGAAACATGTCTTGTTGTTTTCATATGTATTTCTTTTGTTCTTAGTTGGTTTAATGTCTTTCATTTTTCTACTGAATTCATAATATATTTAGGATAACATCATTTTCTACCTTTCTTTTTGTAAACAATTTCCTAGTTTGTCATTTGCATTTAGTTATAATTTGTGATTTTCATTTTGTAAATAAGATCTTTTAAAATTTTATGCAGTAAAATAGTTAAATCTCTTCCTCTGGAACCTGTTTCACTGGTTTTATTTTTAAAATAAACGTTACCAACCACAGACTAATTAGTCTTCATCTCTCTCTCTCTTTTTTTTCTTCCTACAGTTTGCTATGTTCCATTAAATGCTTTAAGCTCCTTGGGGCTTACTGTGGTGTATGGTTAAAGTATGTTTTTGTTTACTTCCATTTAACAACACCTCTCCAATCAGTACCTAACCCGTCCCCACCAATGTTAACTAACTGTACAGTGAGTTGTTCTATACACTGAGGTCTGTTTCAGAGCTCCTCTGCACCAATCATCTGTCTGCTGAGGAAGGGGCCACACTACATTGTTGTAATCCTCAGAGTCTGCACATTTTACTCTCTAGTAGGAGAAGGTGCTCTTCATAATTATACTGCTTTCTACAAACTTATCCCCACTTCATCAGGGAAAATGTTTCTCCAGCTGTATTTCAGGAATGGACTCTGGATCTTTCTGAAGCCCTAACCATCACTGCAGATGGTCCTGCAGGCTCACACCCAGCATGAGCGTGTAAGGAGAGTACAAGGAAGGCCCATGGGGTGGCTGGCGAGGTGCCTGTGCTCTAAGGCATGTCGATCCAAATGGAGAAACTCCAGACCTGAGACTGGGCCTGTTCTGGGTCAGCATGGGCCCCCTTGTTTCAGAGCAGCACCTCTGAGGAAGAGCACCAAGGACCAAGACTGCCCTACAAGGTGGTGATCAGGGAGGGACGCAACAGGAGGAATGACAGCAAGAGGTGTGGTCACCATCACGTGAGACAAGTGGGACCTACCCCCAGGATTCCTTATCTCAGCCCAAGAGTCCAACTTCAATATGCAGTGGAACACGTGCACCTCGTGTCTTCCTGACATGTGAACAATTTTCTTAGAGTAAAACTTCATAATTTATATTCCCTCAAGGAAAAATGATTTTAAAAAATAATTTTGGCCAGGCACAGTGGCTCACGCCTGTAATCCCAGCACTTTGGGAGGCCAAAACGGGTGGACCACATGCGGGCAAGAGTTCAAGACCAGCCTGGCCAATATGGCTAAACCCCGACTCTACTAAAAATACAAAAATTAGCCAGGCATGGTGGCACGTGCCTGTAATCCCAGCTACTAGAGGGGCTAAGGCAGGAGGATCTCTTGAACCTGGGAGGTGGAGGCTGCAGTGAGCCGAGATCGTGCCACTGCACTCCAGCCTGGGCAACAGAGTGAGACTCTGCCTCAAATAATAATAATAATATATTATTATTATTATTATTTTAAGGGGCCAACTTGATAGGAAAAGCAGTCATAAAATTCTCACTGTCACTTTCCTGGATTTACTAGAAAAGACCAAAGCATGAACACACGCAGGCACCCACAGGCCTTCACAAGCACACACACCTGCACGCATCCACTCCACGTGTCGCATAAAGGATTTTCTCCCGTACTGCACACTGCAGCTGTGGTTCCAGCCACTGTGATGGGTGTACACATGGTGTGGCTCTTATTCAGAGGGAAAATTTTAGATTTTCACAATGTATTAGTTCCCTATGGCTACTATAAGAAAGTACCACAAACTAGGTGGCTTAAAATAACAGAAACTTATTCTGTCTCAGTTTGAAAGACTAGAAGTCTGATATTAAGGTGTCAGCAGGGCCATGCTTTCCCTGAAGGCTCTACAGGAAGTCTGTCTTTGCCTCATCCTCAATTGGCAGCCAACAATCTGTGGCGTTCCCTGGCTTGTAGATGCATTATTCTGACCTCTGCCTGTCCTCTTGTGGCTGTCTTCTTTGCATGTTCACATCGTCTTCCCTCTGTGTCTCTTTTCCTCTTATAAGAACACAGTCATGCTGCATCAGAGCCCACCCTCACAACCAGATTATATCTGCTACGACACTATTTCCAAATAAGCCCACAAGCACAGATACCAGGGGTCAGGGCTTTAACATATCTTTTTAGGTGACGCAATTCAACCCATAACATAGTCAACCAACCTTGTTCACCAAAGTCATTGCATAAACCAGTAGCTCCGTATCAACTCCATCTTTTTCCTCCAGGATTTCCATGATATTTGACCAAGGTTTGACCCCTATGAGTAAAGCAAAAATCATTAGAAACAGCAATTCATCAACATTCTTTATCTAACTCACATCACAGTTTATTATCCAAGGACGTATCCAGTGATGGCAGCGTCTTTCAGTCACCAAATTTCAAAGTGTGACATTATCCTTAGGATGGATTTGAGCATGCTTCTAATTGAGGATATTTCTTAGTAGGGAACCCTATCTCACATCATCTTTGTCCTTTTGGCAAGAGCATTGTGTACGCTTCAGTGTCTGGATGCTTACTTGCTTGAAAATTTCTTCATATTAAATATGTAATTTTTAAAAATCCAATCATTGCAACTCTGTAGGCCTACAGATTAGAAAACTCTTGGTAAGTACTCTAAGAATATCCATCAGCACAGAAGAAAAGGGGATGTGGAAGATCTTAACATCCCTCTAGCAGTGACTCAAAGAAATAAGTGACATGCCTGTCTAGCAAATATCTCAAGAACGGAAGTATATTACATCTACTCCATCAAGGCACAAATACTATTAAGTATCAGCTAGGTACAAGGTCTACTGGGCAGCTGCCCTCAATAGGTTTATAATCTAATGGAGCAGCTAGGCATAAGCCCAAGAACAGACACCAGTACAGAGCAATGGCTGAGAAGTGTCCAAGCATGCAGCTAAGCCTGTCACTGTGCAAGTGAGGTCTCTTGCAGCAGGGATGACTGCAGGGGACTTGGCACAAGAGATGACTGCTGCCTGGGCTCTGCAGGCGAAGGCTTATGGGTGGTTATTTCCAGGATCTAGGAGGGACAGGAGATACTCCGCATTCACATTCAGGACCACTAAGCCAAGGGCAAGACCAAAAAGAGGCACATAACACCTTGACATGGTTTTCTAGGCCCAAGATGAATATTTGAAGTGAAGTGAAATAAGAATTGCCTTGCTCTTGGCTTGGTGGTTTGCGACATGAAGCTCTTTCGTGCTTTCTCTATAAAGATCTCAAAGGGATATTGCTTATTTTTACTTGAGAAAAGTAAACTTGGAAATAACCTAAATACAGTAGTTTCCAAATGCTGGTCCTTGGATGGGCTATGTCAGAGCTGATTTTGGCCTTGAGAACAAAAGTTTCCCAAGGACCATGATAGTATCTGTCTTGTTGATCTCCATGCCCTTAGGACAGTGCCTGGCATATAGTACATGCTCAGTAAAATGTCTGCTGAATAGTGAATGGAGATCTCTGAGAAGGCAGGAAGTGGGTTAAGCTGAAGCAATTTTAAAAGAACCAGGAAGCAGATGCACACAGTAAGAAAAGCAGAGAAGACAGGATTTAAGGGGATTTGTTTAAGAGGATTAAACAAAGAATAGGTACCTACTTACTACAAGACGTAAAAGGCACAAATGTAGCTCAATATGGAGATCTCCTGGCTTTCCTAAGTGAATAGAAAGCCTTTTGCTTTGGCTAAGTTGCCCAGCCAGTCAGAACTGGGCAATCTTCTATGACCCTTGCTAACTGAGCACAAAGACATGTTCTTTCTCCTTTCACCTGCTGACTACTGAATTATCTCCTTGCTGATATTGATCATCAAACTACTTTGAAGTCCACACCACGGTGTAGTTGTTCTTCCAACCACTGCAAAGTAACCATCTCAGCTCTCAAGACAGTCAATCAATCTGATCAGCAGGCCTTGGGTCTCACTGTCCAGTTTAAGATATCTGGATGCCGCCATTTGTGTTTGTAACAGGGGCAGCTTCTAACATTCACATTTTGTATAAAACCTTGGCATAGAACACATGTTGTAGTGAGTTACCCATGCATGGCTCAAAGGAAGAATGTGCAGGGGAGAAAGTATCGAAACTAAGACTTTCTAGTGGTGCTAATGGACCCAGAACTACTTTTGGTTGCTTACTCTGGAGCCAAAGATGCGAAACAGGTCCTCAGGGAGCAAAGGCCAAGGAACAATGGCAGGCAGCCCAGAGAGAGAGGGAAAGGTAGCCAGACTACATTGGTACTCCCCTTAAACAGACACATGCACATGTGTGCATCTAATCCTTTATAATAAGAACACTCAAACACTGGCTTAATTTAACTGAAAAACGTGTTTTTAGCTGTGTTATCTGAGTCTCTTATTACCATCTAAGGATTTTAAGTCTGGAAATGTGCATATATTTGTACACTCTTAGGATGGATGTTCATTCTTTTTATTGTTTTGGGGCAGAAAATCGGAAATATTTACAATGAAGGTAAAAGGGAAGAAACATTTGGTTCAACAAAAATAGCCTTGGCAGGCCTCAGGCTAGGCCTGTGTTCAACACCAGCACTTGCACATTTCCTAGGAGCTCCTGTCAGAATTATGGGGTCCACTCACTCTCCTCATTGCCTTTGTTAACTCCCCACAATGTGTGTGTGTATGTGTGCATATGTGTGTGTGTGTGTGTGTGTGTGTGTGTGTGTGTGTTGCAGAGGAGAGGGTTCCTGTACTGGAATCATAAACCATATAATGCTAGCCCTTCACATAACAGAGAAAGAAACTGGATCCCAAAGGAGTGGGATGGAGGGGCTCAGGAAGCTCATCTGGAGCTCCTAAGGCCTCTGGGATGACTGTACCTACCTTACAGGATTACTGAGAATTGTCATTGAGATAAAGCACTTTGTCTTTTTTCCTTAGCGCTGCTGGAGTACATTAGAAGACAATACTTAATCATTGTCATCTGTCTCTCTCCAACTCCACTGCCCCCCACCCCCACCCCAAACACTGGAGTACAGGTTCTGTGAGAGCCTTTTTTCCTGATGACTGCAAGCACACAATTGATACTCAAATATGTGCTGAATAAATGGGTCCTATGTGAAGAATGTTTACAGTTGTGTCTGTTACATGATAGATACTCAAATATCAGTAGCTGTAATTGTAATGGTGGTGGTTGGTGGAGATACCCAGTTTACCCCCAGGTGGACCACCTGCACTGACTCCCCGGCCAGTCCTCTCTTAACCCAGATAAATAAATACACACAGAATCAATTGCTCAATACTTCTCCCCTCTTACTTTCCTAAATCTCCACATTAAATCTGAAGGAAAATAAGGTATTTAGCTCAGTGCCTCAGACATGGGTTGGTCTAACACGAAAACAGAAGCTCCTCACAGCATGTTCCATGTCTTTTCACATACTACATAAACACACTCAATGTGGATGCTTCTGCTATAAATAACAGTGGAAAGAGAGTTTGAGTTCTGTCAACCTGTAGCTTCCACTACACTTTACACGATCTTCACAGATAGATATACTCTTAAGCAGAAAGTAGAGATGGGATCGCTTGAAAGGATGGCTGAATTTTTTTCCTGCTAATCATGCGTGATAGCAGGAATTCTTATGTTTAAGAATTATCAAATGAAAAATTGAACTACTTCAAAAGCTCTGCTGAGCCAGATTAGTGGGACCTGAGATTTAGGACAAATTTCAACATGAGTTATCCTCTCTGGTCACTTGCCTCACCCTCTGTGGGAGAGGCAAACCTGTTCACTCAAAAGGAAGGACCCCATACCCAGACAGCAGAGGGGTGTCAATCAATTTCCTGTCAACCACCACAGGGAAGACCTTAAGGAAAGGGAGTCTCCAATATGGCAAAATGACAAAGCAAGGCTCTCTAAGGGCTCCCATGAGCCTTTCTCTCTTCCTGCCAGGCCCTGGCCACCAGAAAGAGAAAGTGACTTCAAGGTGCAAGCAAAGAGAAGATGATCCAGTGGTCTGATATTAATACCATACCATGCCCCACAGATGAACCTGAATCCACCTTTTTATCTCAGGCCCTGAGCAAAAGTGCAATAGCCTGGGTCAAATGGAACATTTTAAATTTTCCTTCTTTGGCCAGGCGCGGTGGCTCACGCCTGTAATCCCAGCACTTTGGGAGGCCGAGGCGGGTGGATCATGAGGTCAGGAGATGGAGACCATCCTGGCTAACACAGTGAAACCCAGTCTCTACTAAAAATACAAAAAATTAGCCAGGTGAGGTGGCGGGTGCCTGTAGTGCAACTACTCGGGAGGCTGAGGCAGAAGAATGGCGTAACGCAGAGGTGGAGCTTGCAGTGAGCCAAGATTGCGCCACTGCACTCCAGCCTGGGCGACACAGCAAGACTCCGTCTAAAAAAAAAAAAAATTTAAAAACAAATTTCCTTCTTCATAAACACTGATCACTCCTTACGCTGGACTTTAACCCCTTTGGCTTTTATCCCTGCTAACTGGCCCACTCTTGGCCCCAGACCAAATTGCCCACACTGCAGAATGAAGCCTTCTGGTTAGCCCACGTGCAGCATGCATGATGTTTATATTTATAATGCAACCAAAGGAATTTGTTCTGGACAACTTCATTTGCTTTAGGTAGTAATGATTTTTGAGGACTGGGAGTTTATTTGTTGGTTTTATTGCTGATTCCTTAAATCTGACAGTTTTCATTATCCGAAAGAAACTATTCAAAAAGACAACTGCTCATATGTCCACTCATCCCTGCTGAGGAATGAGTCTAAAGCCACTTTGAGAAGTAAAATTTATGATTTATAAACTTGTGCACAAATGGATATGCTCAGTTTACCCTAAATCACCTCTGGCACCTGTCTGCTCTCTCACCCAGTTGAGAGGGAACCGGAGAGCTGCTTCTAAACCCACTAGATGGAAACACACCTGGAAGTAATGTTGCTCTCTGCAGAATACCATGGCATATTTATATGTTTAATTCCATCATAGGATTCAGGAACAATTCTACTAGCAGTAGAATAGGATGACGTTATATGTATGCATTATAAAATCACAGCCAAGACCACACATGTCCATAAAGAAACATGCTATTGAGCCACACATGATAAGCTATTTCTGAGTTTTTTCATTAGTGCCATTCCTTTTTTTTTTTTTTTCAGCTGCTAGTGCTCAGCAGCAGACAGACAACAGCAGTTGCCAAAGGTTTAAGAAATTGTATAGACAAAAACTATAAAGCTGTCCAGGCACAGTGGCTCACGCCTGTAATCCCAGCACTCTGGGAGGCCAAGGCGGGTGGATCACGAGGTCAGGAGATTGAGACTATCCTGGCTAAAACGGTGAAAGCCCATCTCTACTAAAAATACAAAAAATTAGCCGGGCATGGTGGTGGGCACCTGTAGTCCCAACTACTCGGGAGGCTGAGGCAGGAGAATGGCGTGAACCCGAGAGGCAGAGCTTGCAGTGAGCTGAGATCGTGACACTGCACTCTAGCCTGGGCAACAGAGTGAGACTCCATCTCAAAAACAAAACAAAACAAAACAAAAACAAAAACAATAAAGCTAAGAAGACAATTCATTAGCTGTTTTTATTATTATTATTATTATTTTTACTAATCAGGAAAAGATGGCCATTGTTTTATCTTGATGGAGAGACTTGGTCTGACAGACGAGAATCTCTGGCTGGGGCTATGGATGGAGTCTTGGATATGATACACAAAGGCCTGGGTTCATTTCAGGATCATGCCCTCATCCATCACAACATTCCCTTTATGGGATATGAAGTTCAAGGAAGGGAACTCCGAGCTGGAAGCTCAGCAAAGCCAAAGGAGAACCCAGGTCATGAGACGTTGGCCCCTATAACCCACACCCATAGCAAGGGCCCTGGGGTTACCTGAAGCTTAGGACAGTAAGATGAAGAGTTTGTTAGTTGTCCTCAAGCAACCGCCAGAGTTAGGAGATGAAACACAAATCCTCCAAGGATGAAGGAGAGAAGCTGCTGCCTACCAGCTGCCAAAACACACACTGCTGACCTTATACCTAATTGACTGGCCTTGGAAATGCTAGACCTGGTTTCTGTGAAATTGGCATTCCTTATCAAGGATTCTGGGCCGGCCCCATGATCTACTCTTGGCCATAAGGGTCTTTCTACCTAGCAGCAGAGGGCAACATTTTGTGGCAGAAGAAACTTGCCTCAGCCTGGGAAACACCTTCCAGACTCACAGCCCCCGTCCATGTACTAGAGTTTGCCTCCCTAACACACCCCCAACAAAGAGACCTCGAGTTGCCTCCTTGCCTGCCATCAGCCATGCCTAGTGCCGACATCTATCTGCATGTTCAAGGGTATAGGAGCCCCAGTTAAAGGTCCTGGATGCTTTTCATTAACTTTCATTTAAACTTCTAAAATAACTCAAGCTACTTTCTTTCACATTTGGATTCAGCATTCAAAGGTGGGTCTGAGTAATGCTAAATCACAGACACAACTGGCTGGGCACGCTGGCTCACGCCTGTAATCCCAGCACTTTGGGAGGCCGAGGCAGGTGGATCACAAGGTCAGGAGACTGAGACCGTGCTGGCTAACACGGTGATACCCTGTCTCTACTAAAAATACTAAAAAAAAAAAAAAAAAAAAAAAAAAAAAAAAAATTAGCTGGGCATGGTGGTGGGCACCTGTAGTCCCAGCCACTCGGGAGGCTGAGGCAGGAGAATGGCGTGAACCCACGAGGTGGAGCTTGCAGTGAGCCGAGATCGCGCCACTGCACTCCAGCCTGGGCGACGGAGCAAGACTCCGTCTCAAAAACAAAAGACAAAAAACAAAAACAAAAAAAAATCACAGACACAAATGGTTTGAATCAAAAGTGCAATTTAGGCCCCTCGTTTCTTCCCGACACATCCTGGCTGGTTTATGCATAGTGTGCACGCACACACACACACAACTATAAGGAAATATACCAACAGGTTAACAGTGATTATCTTTGTTGAAACTAGAGGTGAATTTTTATTGTCTTCTTTAAACTTTTCCCAAGTTTTTATGATTGTAACAGTAGTATTACAGTTATAATCATAAAAAGAAAAAGTATTGTCAAGTTTTTGTTCTTGAGTCTTTGTGGGGATGATGATAATAATACCTGAGTCCTACTGGGGAAGAAAACAAACAACAAAAGACAAAAGGAGAAAAATCATTTTAATTGGGAAGCATTTTAATTCCAGGCTTCCCAATATCACGGGGTCCACAGCACGTTACACAGTAAACCAGAGCAGAAGCTCGTTCTTCGCCACGTGTTTGCAGCATGCCTGCTGGCTCTGGGCCAGCTGGAGTGCTGGGACATCACTCTGGGAGACAGAGACCCCATCCTTGAGCAGGCAACCCCGACTTGGAGAGACAGGGATGGGCAACACCACCACAGCAGAGAAGAGGTGCATACATGGGCTTTAAAAGCACATGCCCAAGGTAAGGGGGTGGGGGTACAGCCGAGGTGGGAGAAGGGGGTGGCAGCTGGGCAGGAGTTGAAGGGTGAAGGGTCCCCTTAGCCAGGGGACTGACTTTATGCTATAAGCACTGGGAAGCCACTGGCAGGTTTTGGATGTGACCGAACTGTTTGGGAGGGTGGCCAGGAGCATAGGTTAAACCTAGTGAGGGCCTGAGTAAGGCAGGGCAGGGGATGGAGGAGAGGAAGGGAGAAGGTTCTAGAAACATCTGGGGGTCATAAGCAATGAAGCGTAGAGGGGAGGGGAGGAAGGAGCCAGGGAAACCCTGAACAAGACAGGAAGAACAGGAGGAGGAGCTAGACTTCTGTGTTTCAGTGGCAGGAGCTGGGTAGAGGCAAAGACAAGCTCAGGATCTGACCTCTCCCAGGTAAGCTCATGAGCACTTTTCTTTCATTATCAAACCCCATTCCGGCCCTAAGCTTTGTGTGCTTACTATCCTAAAAAACGTTTCTTGCAGTGGGAAGTCCACATCTCGGGAATTCTATTAATTCTTATATCTGTCTCAAGCATGTACAACACAGAAGCCTCCCTACATTAGACACCTTCACCTTCATGACATAAGGGGGCAGGGACTACTCACCTCTTTTCGTGTCAACAGCAGTGACAGCCTGAATTAGGAGAGGTGCGTTGGACTCCGAGTACTCTACAAAGACGAGCAGCAGCTTCAGGGCTGTCTTCACCACCAGGCGGAACTGGCAGAAGAGATAAAACCATCACATCACTGCCAACAAGGCCCTGTGCACCAGAGAGCATCTTCCTAACCGCAGCGGGCACCCAGCACTTCCTAGATGAGACGCTCTCAGCAATTACACAGATTCCTTCACAGATCCTCACAATCCCTCATTAGACACCTCAGAAGGCAGGTGTTAGTACCATCCCCATTGTGCAGATGAGGAAACTGAGGTACAAAGTTCCCTGCCTGCAGTCACGCAGTAAAAAACAGCACCAGGACATGAACCCAGGACGCATGGCTCCAGAACTCACACCTGGCAACTCTCAAACACGAGTATGTGCTGAATCGATTACGTCTTCGTTTTACCCCAGCTATAACACTGTGAGGTAGACATAAGCACCATTCTTATTTTTCTCGTGAAGAAGCAGAAACAGCAGGTTAAACAAGTCATCCAAAGTCACAACAGCCAGCTTAGGTGGAAGGGAACCGGAACCAAGTACCCCATTCTTAAAGCCAAGCAGAGAAGGCCGCCTGGAGCCATAGAACCCCTACTCCCTGGATCCAGGGCTCAGCATTTGCCAGGAGCCACATGAAGCCCAGAGGCCTTCCCTCACACAGGCAGAAGCCCTCCCTCAGTATGCACCCTCGGGGAGGTCACAGGTTATTCACCTACAGAAAACCCCAAACCTCCCAACTGAAGCTGCCACAGATTTCTAACCCCAGCTTTACCAGCCCTGGGGCTGCGGCAGCCTTGGGGTCTCTGGGTCAGCCTCCGGGGCCCCTTAGGTGCTGCTGCAGGGACTTGCCCACAATTTTGCCCTTGACTCCACTTCCTTCCAAAAGCCTCCTCCTAAAGGAACTCATACACCTCCTGCAAATGGATTCAAACTGTGCAGCCGAGAAACAGCAAGGTTGCCTCGGGCTGTACATTCCACCCCAAGCTGCTGGCTTGTCAGTGGCCCCATCCCGCTATGGGCAAAATGCGCTTTGAGGGGGCTTATTTGCACTGTGGCTGCAGGGCCTGGAATGGCACTTGGCACAGAGGGAGCTGGAAGGTGTTTGTTGACTGAATAAATCAGTCAGTGACCAGGTCAATCAATCCATGACCTCTCGCCCACCCCTTGAGCCTGTATCACTGGTTGTAGCAAATCAGCTCCAGCTACTTCCTGTGTTCTGCAGCCCAAGGAAGATTCTGTGCCTCTCAGACACATCTGCCCACATCACAGTGTTAGGGGACATGGGTAGAATTTATAGGTAAATTTGGGGGATCCCAAAGAGGGGACTGTGTTGTGCAGTCCACAGGGAATAGCTTAAAAACACCACTCACCCCAAGTCATTCATCCACATTCATGCAACCCCTTTACCCCCTTGCTTCCCTCTCCTCTGCTGTCATACCTACCAAGCACACCATTTGTCTTTTCCTCAATTCCACATCTCTCTCCAGCCAGTGCCCAGGTGCTCAGCTCCCCTATATGAGGAAACTTCTTCAAAGAGGTGCTACAGCCCCTGGCTCCACCTCCTAACTTCCCACTGACTCATCACCCCAATATGATAGGACTTCCATCACCACCACTGGGATTACTTGTCCAGTGGCCTCCATGGTATCAAATCCAGTGGTTACTTCTCTGCCCATTTTTGCTCAACTCTCAGCACCATGTGACAACTAACTGCTCTCTCCAAAAACAACTTCCTCTGCCTCTGGGCAACCAAAGTCTCCTGAGTGGCTCCTTTTTCATTGGTTCTTTTTGGGTGCTCAGTCTCTCAGTGTGGGAAGACCTCTGAGTTCACTCCTCTTTACTCTCCTCCTCTCTCTTTCCACACTCTCTAGGTGAGTTCATCCAGTGCCCTGGTTTGAAAGTCCATCTAAGATCAGATGCTAAATATTGCACTCCAGGCCTGACCAAACTCCTGAGCAGGCATCATATAATCTCCTGACATCTCCACTCAGATGCTAACAGATTCACTGTGGCCAAAACAGAACTCTCAATTTTCATTCATGCTTACCCCCTTCCACCTACCACTCCCAGCCTGCTCCCTCCAAAGCCCCCACCTTAGGACAAAGCCCCACCACCCTAAGCACTGGGAAGGGTTTGCCTGCACTTCCCTCACCCCATCTCCACAGCAAATCCACCCACCAGTGCTGGAAGAGCCTAAGTGCTCTGGCCTGGTCCTTCTGAAGTCCATTCTCCAAACCGCAGCCAGAGTGAACACTGCACCCTCCTTCTCTCAAGCCTCAATCACTCCCCATCATGCTCAGGGTGCTGCCTGTCCCAGCAGGCTTTCTGTGCTGGCCTCCGCCAAGCCCTCTGATCTCCTTTCTTGACACCCCCTCTCCGGCCCAGTGCACTTCACATGCTAAGCTCTACAGTTGTGTGAGCGTTTTTCACACAGCAGAGTTCATCCATGATTCAGCGTCTTCTCACTGGTTATTCCTTCTGCCTGAAAGCCACCTGGAACCAGTCATCACAGGACTGACCTCATCCTTCAGATCAGAGAAATTCTCATTATAGAAAATGCCTTCCTGACTCTTTTACTTAAAGGAGCCCCTTGGTCACTAACACATCACCCTGATTTATTTATTTTTTTTGAGATGGAGTCTTGTTCTGTTGCCCAGGCTGGAGGCAAGTGGTGCAATCTCAGCTCACTGCAACCTCCACCTCCCAGGTTCAAGTGATTCTCCTGCCTCAGCCTCCTGAATAGCTGGGACTACAGGTGCGCACCACCATGCCTGGCTGATTTTTGTATTTTAAGTAGAAAAGGTGTTTTGCCATGTTGGCCAGGCTAGTCCTGAACTCCTGACTTCAGGTGATCTGCCTGCCTCGGCCTCTCAAAGTGCTGGGATTACAGGCATGAGCCATCGTGCCCAGCCACCTTGTTTCATTTGAGACAGGGTCTCATTCTGTCACCCAGGCTGGAGTGTGGTGGTGTAAGCACAGCTCACTGCAGCCTCAAACTCCTGGGCTGAAGTCATCCTCCCACCTCAGCCTCTCGAGTAACTGGACTATAGGTACATGCCACCACATCTGGTTAATTTTCTTTAAATTTTTTTTTGTAGAGATAGTGTCTCTCTATGTTGCCCAGACTGGTCTTAAACTCCTGGGATCCAGCAAACCTCTCACCTCGGCCTCCCAAAGTGCTAGGATTTCAGGCATGAGCCACTACACTCGGCCTTTTCTATCCACGTCCTTTATCATGACCTGAAATTGCTACAGACGCTTGTTCACCTACTATATGCCTCTGTTGCCTCTAAGAATGTAAGCTTCACAGCAGCGAAGAGGCTTTATCTGACCCATGAGCTGTTCAGTCAGCATATGTGTGAAGGGTAGGCCAGCCCGTCCTCTGAATCCATCCCTCTATGCTGTGTGGAGTGAGCCCTCCCAGCCCCCAGCCTCCCTTTCTCACCTCGTAGTAGCCCCCAGCAAAGCCAAGCCCCGCCTCCGCCCCAACCATTGCGATGAGGGCAAGTCATGCCCTGGGCTGCCATTCTGGAGGTAACCTCCTCCCCACACAGGGAGCTGAGTACTTTAGAGTGCTGGGAACTCTTCGGAGAGTATCTGCCCTCATAACTTGAGGCCCACGATTGCTTCTCTGCTTCTATTCTGTAGGAATAGACTACATTCCAGTGTATTTTTCTCAACTACACGGTTGGAGGTTGAAGGAGAAGGTATGGCATCACGAGTTGTGCTTTGTACGTTTAGGGCTGAAGAAATTTCTTCAAGTAAATAAAAAGACCTAGCAAGTTCAGGCTTGGCAACTTCCTCAGTGGGTGGACTATTATTATGTGGTTTAAGCCTCTAAATGCCTCCCCAGGAAAGAACCTGGCTGCTGCCCAACCCACTCCCCCCATTAGCTGGTCTCAGCAAGGCCCCTTAGCCCACCTCACAGAGGCTCCCTCTGAGTATCTCTGTGGTGAAGGGGCCTTGACCGATACGGTCTCAGGCACCCAGAATCCCTAAGCCATTCTCCTACATGTGGCTCTCTAATTAAGAAACCACTGTTTTCTAGCAAAGCCTCCTTTTTCTATTGGTCTCAACATGCCTATTCCTGTCTTTCTCTCCTCTGTGATACAGGCTCTGTTTGGAGCTTTTTTGGCACTGTAATTTGTTTTTTTAAAAAAATCCCCAAACATCTTCTGATGCATAATTTTAGGTTTCTATGAATTTGGCTTCTACTGAGTTTAAGTTTATGTGGATGTACCTTTGGAAGCTTTACTATGTAAATTAATAATAAGCATATTAGTTAAATCACTTTAGGAAAAAAGAGCACTAGAACACTAATTTTGTAGAAATGCATGGTACTAATTTCAAGGACATACTAACTCATCGTCAAAATATGTCCTGCAGGATCCTCCTCAGAAGTACCTTACTAGCATTACTGCATCAACTTGAAAGTAAAAAAGGTACATTCCATCAAAAGAATTCTATGAGCCAACCTCATTAATCCAGAAATCACTTACTCTGATGCCCTCATGTATCTGGAATGCAGTCAAAACCCTTGGAAGCTTGGAACAGCCACAGTGGAGGCCACACACCCTCTCCAAGTCCAAAGACACTGCTCATCCCATAGCTCTTAAAAATCCACCCTTGGTGCCCCTTGCGCTTATGTTAGACACATTTTATAATAAATGGAGTGGATATTAAGATTCACAGCCCACGTCTGCTGAGAAGAGGCAAATCGGGGAGGATAATGACGGAGAAGGAGAGGCAGGCCCAGTGTGGCAGCAAGAGAGAGTGTCACAAACGAGGCGAGTGGAACAAGCTGCAAGGATGCCAGAGCACACACCACAGTGTGGCCCAGACATGTCAGCAAAGCATCACTCCAATCTGAACTTTCTGATTTCCAGCTTTGCCTGGCATGCCTTCACGTGGTAACGAAGGGTTTCACTACAACTTACAGGCTCAAGCACCTGCCCATTTGTCCAGCACCGAGAGAAATCAATTGGAATTGATTCTCATTCTTATGGAGCATCCAAGGCCATGGAAGACACAGCAGTCACAAAGCAGTCACACAGGAGTACAGGGCAACAAGCAGGCAGCATCAGCATCAGTGGTCTCAAGACAACCAAGCTGGTGGAGAGGGAGTAGATTCGCTGTCTCTGGAGGCTCTGCACGGCCACTTACTAAGGCCTTTGCAGAAGGAGTTCAGAGCCTGCAGAGGGTGGACTGGCTGACCCCATGTAAGGTCCCTGCGAATCCAAGATTCTCTGCTTCTACTTTCAACAGCGTCTTGAGTGCCGGGTTGCTGAGGACAGATGCAAACAGAGAGCTTTCTTAGAGGACAGCTCCGGCATTGTAGATGAGAGCAAGGCTCAGAACTGGATCCAGCCAGCCCTTTCCAGCTTCCATGGAGCAAAAGAACCATGTGATGGCTTTTGGGGTCCTGTTCACACAAACAACCTCACTTTCTTTGGGCTGGAGAAACACACTGGAGCTCTAGATCCAGCCTTTGGGCTTTCTGTTACCTACATTTTCTTTAATTACAATCTAGGAAATACTAGTATTCCATTTTTAGTTGTCTGTTATAATAAAGACTATGTTTATGTTGTTCTAAAGCATGCAGCTAAATCACAGTATATAACAGAAATCTGAAATAATCCCCTTGCATACGGGGGGTGCAAAAGCAGGAATATACAGATGGCTGTGAATTGTTACACATTTCATAATGATTTAGCACATTTTGGGGGTTACTGAGCTGAGCTTTACTTTCTATTGCAGCTATCATTTTGCACTCTCAAAATAAAGGCTAAAAGCCTTCAGAGGACCAGAGATTCCTCTTGACCCAAGGAAGTAACATTTGTCAAGTCAAGCCTCAGTCCAGGGATTGAACCTCCATATTCCATAAATAACACAGGGCTCAATGTCAGCTCTGCGACAGGGAGGCTGGGCTGGAGGGAAGGGTAGCAGGATGGTGTCAACAAAGAGCCTTGTTCTTGCTGTTGTTTTATTTTCTAGGTCAACCCACAGGAAGAGTGTGGAGTTGCCTGTACAGAACCTGTGTATCTAGATTTCAGATAAAATGTAATCACCAAATATGTGGGAAGGTAATAAAAAGACAGTCTCTTAATACTTTTACACGTAAAAACAAACTGGAAGTCCTTTCATCTTTTATTGCACTTACAGAAATACAAGAACTATACTTAGCAGGTCAAATATGCTGCTCGTTAAGGAAAAATAAAAGAATTCCAAAAAATCTTCAAATTCCTAATTTCTCTTCTAAAAATTCAACAGCCAAAAAAGAAAACAATTTCCAAACCTCAAGATTGAAATTACAAAGGGGGTTGGAAAACCATGCTTCATTTTATTTGTTTCATTTTCCACTAAAACATCATAAATATATGTTATATAAATGGATGCTGGTTATTAAAACTGAATTCGAAAGTGGTAAGATAACTTGATCTATAAAGTTTTACCACATTGTTTACAAGCTCATCAGCACTTTAGAATATACAAGTATTACTATAAAGAAAAAAAGATCTCAAGTGACTTAGGATACAAACTCTTTATTTAAACATTGTATCTCAATGCCATATACTTAAGCTCAGAATTTCTGAGCAAGCAGCTCAGAGTGTGCCCTAAAGCCTTCGTAACTGGTTATCAAACAATCCAACAGACATCCCAGACTCCAAATCTCAACCTTCCCGACCTCTAACAGGTTATCTGTAACATGAGGTGTATATTACCAGAAATAAAGTATAGGCCCAAACATATTAACTAAGTACAGAACTCTGGGTCTTGTTTTGCAGGTGTCCTTCAAGGGAGAGTGTGGAGACTATGGTTGGCACATCCACCAGAACAGGAAGTCATGAGCACCGAACCCATGTGGTCCAGCCTCAGGGCCTGATGGCCAACCTGCTTATGACACAATGCAATTTGCAGAAGGTATAGTAACCAAGTGTAAGGCTGGGTAGCCCTTAGGATTTTGCTAGCGAACAGGAAATCTTACAGAATGTAAAATATAGCAGACAACTCAAAATAATTAAAAATAACAATAAATAGTGCTACAAATTGGCATTTTCTTCTTCTATTTTTTTTTCCAGCACCAGGCTGGAGTGCAATGGCGCGATCTCAGCTCACAGCAACCTCCACCTCGAGGGTTCAAGCAATTCTCCTGCCTCAGCCTCCTGAGTAGCTAGGATTACAGGCATGCACCACCAAGCCCAGCTAATTTTGTATTTTTAGTAGACATGGGGTTTCTCCATATTGGTCAGGCTGGTCTCAAACTCCCGACCTCAGATGATCCACCCTCCTCAACCTCCCAAAGTGCTAGGATTACAGGCGTGAGCCACCGCGCCTGGCTGGCATTTTCTCTATTGAGATAAAATTCTGGGGCTTAGATGAAGGTTGTGTTACCCCGGAAATCGCCTACATGACCAAGTGAATTTCTATCCTACCTTAACTCTGCTTACCTTTGGGAAATACGATGCCTGAGGTCAGAAGCTCCCCCTCCTGACTAAACTGGCTCCGACTGCTGGGATCCAGGGTGGCCGCTCACTTGGCCTCTGAAGAGTTTCTAACTTCATTATCATCTAACTCTCATGCAAAAGGACACTTCCACCAGCACCCTGACAGTTGATAATCACCATGACAACAATGAGAAGAAACCATAAAAGGACAAAAAGAAAAGTGGCATTCTACTTTGAGAAGTTCCCCCCACCATCTCCAGAAAAGACATGACTATTCCTTCCCTTGCTTTTAATGCCCCAACCCCTTCATTGAAGATGCCCTGTATCTGTGACTTCCCCACTCTCTCGAACTGAGGAGCTGATTTGTGAACCACGCTTCCACTTCTCAATTCCATGGCCATCGAATAAAGCCTGTACTGCTTGGTGCTCACTTTTGGTTTTGTGTATTGGCTTCACAGCACCAATCAGGGAAAGACCCCCCTTTTTTGGGGACTGGCTTTGTCAGTAAGAGCTTCTTTAAAGAACCATTAATAAAAGTGGGCAAGAGTCAGAAAACATCCACTTGGCTAACTTTCTCTTCAGATATTCAAGGTAATTATGAATAATTGACAAAATGTAACACGCGGCCAGGCACGGTGGCTCATGTCTGTAATCCCAGCACTTTGCGGGGCCGAGGTGGGAGGATCACGAGGTCAGGAGTTCAGCCTGACCAACATGGTGGAATCTGTCTCTACTAAAAACACAAAAATTAGCTGGGCATGGTGGCGCATGCCTGTAATCCCAGCTACTCAGGTGGCTGAGGCAGGAGAATCACTTGAAGCCAGGAGGCGGCAGGAGGTTGCAGTGAGCCGAGATCGTGCCACTGCACTCCAGCCTGGGCGACAGAGTGAGACTCTGTCTCAAAAAAAAAAAAAAGTAACATGCACATCTTTTATTGTTTACTAAGGAATACCAAAATCCCTGCACTAAGATATTGCCCGAAGGAGCATCTTGATAGTATATGCAGAATGAAATTCGTGGTTGAGGGAAATCAACAAGATTGGGTACTTTTCCAGTTGGCAGCATTCCCATTTTCAAATACAAAACTTCACATTCTAAGGAGGCTATGTAACTTGTCGCATAGCCCATTTCTGGAAGAAGTTAAAGAAAAACCCAGGTCAATCTGATTCTTTCCACTATACTATGGAGGTTCCCATCTTTCACTCTGGTGCAAAAACTTAAGCCTTGGGAAAATGTGACAAATATTATCTTCTGAGTAACAATAAAGGTGAAAGAACTCTCTTAAGTAAATAACCAGCCCTGGAAACATGAAAATGAACAGCTAAAACCCAGGTTTGGCAAATGTGCTGTTAGAAGAGTGTGGCAGGCAGCTCACATCTCTTTGGAGTAGGGGGAGAAGGGCTGGCAGATGGGGGCTAGAGTAGAGAGTGGCAGAACCCTGCAGGCTCCCAGAAGCCTGTGCTGCTTCTGGTACTCTTGCTCATCCAACTCTCCTAGAAAAGGGCAGAACATCTCTCTGGAAGGAACAGCATGCTGCCTACTTTGGTGTTTCTGCATTTCCCTAAATGTTCTTCCAGATTAGAGCCACCCACTTCTACTCTTCCTCCAACTGCTAAAACTCATCTGGTTGCCCTGGGCTACAGGGGCAGAAGAGTCAAAGGTGCACCCTTAGTTTCTGCTTCTTGCGTTCACAAAAATAATGTCTTTGTAAGTTAAAATTCTGGTTTATCAGCAAGCCTCTTAAGAATTGAGGAACCACAATCAGCTCCCTGAAGATGATCATCTCAGAGTGAATGGAAGAAACTGCTGTTTAGCCCTGTGTCTGGAGACCTGTCTGGACAGTGGGGCCCCCTCAGCCTGCTGCCCTCTTTGAGGCCTGGCCTGAATCACTTCTCTCTCACTCTGAGGTCTTCCTAAAACAATAACTAGTAAAACTTGCTTTTTCCCTTTTTTTTCCTACTGAGATTATTCTCACATGGGGGACTCTAACATATCAAATCAGTGAGAATGAGTGTTCTGGGTATGCACAGCCAAGTGGCCGGTAGAAGAGCAACAGCCCTAATGAAGAAGCTGGCACTTTATACCCACAATGACTCCAACACAAATATTACATGACTATGCCATTAAAACCCATGGAATTTTAGAAATCTCATCGAATATAATGTTGATAAACATGCAAAAATTCAAACACAACCTCATTCACTAAACATATTTTTATGCCATTAGAAACAAAGCTCTTTAAACACAGCACAGCATTGGAAACAATTCGATTAACAAGATGAGAAAAGTCGAATGAATAATAGTACATTCATATGACTGTATATTATGTAGGCATTAAATATTGTAGTTTAAAAATTTTGTAGTAACAAAGGAAATGCTTATAATATACTCAGAGTTAATTTTGTAAGAAAAATTTAAAAAATCAGAAGAAAAGGTACCAAAAAATGATGATCTTTATGTGGTAGTGTTTCTAGGTAATTTTTATTTTACTTTTTTTGTATTTCTAAAGTTTTATACAAAGAGAGTATGTTATTTTTGTAATCACAAAAAAATTCAGTAAATGTTTTAAAAAGTTATTTTTTACTATCAAGATTTCCATATTATACCAGTAAACTTTAGCTATTTTAGTTTTTTGAGAAGGGGTCTATGTGTTATTCAAGCTGATCATGAACTGGGATCCAGGGATCTTCCTGTCTCAGCCTCCCGATAGCTGGGACTACAGGCCACCATGCCCAGTTGCCATATTTTTTCTTTAATCTGTAATCATTAACTGAATTATAAAAAAATTAGTCTTAATTGAATTTCTATTAATGAAATATATTTCAATTCAATTAATGTGGGAATTATAAACACAACATCCAATATCAAGGATGGATTTAAGACAATAGTGCAATTCAAGGAACTAACTATAATGTTCTAGCAACTCCCTTTGCCTGGACCATATAGAATTTGCTGGCTGAGTACATCTCATGCTATTGCAGTATATTTACAGTGTTTTTATAATATTAACAATTGGACTTCTGGCTTCCAGCTGGAAAGATGTCGAGTGTCACTCCCAACCTAATAATAAGAGAGAGACAAACAATCTTTCACGCCATAACTTTTCTTGAGCCCATCATATACCTGGGGTTGCAGGAAAACCAAGTAGCCTGAAATCTAGGGAGGGAGAGTGTTCTATCCACCCAGAAAGGGTGAGAGGCCAGCAATGGACTATCATCTGAGGCAGGGTAGGGGAGGAAAATGAAGCCATTTATACAAAGCAGCAGGAAAAACTCAGGCTGGGCATGCTGGCTCACGCCTGTATTCTTAGCACTTTGGGAGGCCAAGGTGGGAGAATCACCTAAGCTCAGGAGTTTGAGACCAGACTGGGCAACATGGTGAAACCCCATCTCCATTCAAAACACAGAAAATTAGCTGGGTGTGGTGGTGTGTTCCCTGTGGTCCCAGCTACTCAGGAGGCTGAGGTAGGAGGATTGCTTGAGCCTGGGCTGTTGAGGCTGCAGTGAGCCGAGACTGTGTCACTATACTCCAGCCTGGGTGACAGAGTGAGACTCCGTCTCAAAATAATAATAATAGTAATAATAATAATAATAATAATTAAACAATAAAACCTCAGATAATAGTTTTAGCAAATTGTCAAATGTCAACTGTGGGCTACCATGAGAGCATAAACCCCTTGGAACTGCAGACACAAAGGGATTTGGCAGCCACCAGTAGGCTGCTCTCCATGGCACTCACAAAGAAGCTGGGGGCAGGGCTGGGACCTAAGAAACTTTCCCAGTAGTGCAGGCCTAGCGGTGCACAGCCACACAGCAGGCAGAACAGCAACAACCCTAAAGGAGGAAGGGAGCAGCCAGCACTGTGAAAAGGAGGGGAAACCCCAGCCAGAGGCTTCTCCTCTTTGAGACAAAAGCCTTAAGCCACAGGGAAGGTCAACAAGGTGGGGGAGGAGAAGGGAAAAGAATAAAACCCTGTACTCCTAGGGCAGGGGCAGGAAACCATACTGGGCATCTCCTGTTGCTTAGTGTTTTACGTCTTCTTCACTATTATCACTCCCATTTTGTAGATGAAAAAGCAACCCACCCCAAGGATGGTGCAGGCGTGTGTGACCCCAAAGCTCTGGCACTGACTGTCAGATGCAGCATATCGTGATTCCAGGAAGGCCTTGTGACCCCAATGAAGAAACACAGCTGGATGGTCAGAGTTCAACGGCTTCCCACTAATTGTACAATGACCCTAAAATGCCTTGACTGATCAGTGTCAACCTGCAGGCTGCACTGGTTTATGCATTCCTTGTCTCTGTCCCACTAGACATTTTCATCAATGGCATGGAAGATCTGCTTATTCATTTTTTGTTAAATAAAATTAGCACTAACAGTTAATAAGAGAAAGAAGCAGAACAGAATTCTTAATTATCTTGAGGCTGGAACTCTGGCCCACAATCAATGGGGGAAAAATGCAAGGCCCTGAATTTAAACGTGAATCAATCAATCGCAGACACGCAGAATGGAAGAAACTGGCAGATAAAAATGTGTGACAAAAATCCGGAAGGCTTAGTGGATTACCGGTTCAAACGGAGGCAACAGCCAAGGCTGCTGCTAAAAGATGTAATATATCAGAGGTGGGATTTGTGGAAGAATGACATCGCATCCCAGCTACCATATTACTATTCTTTGTACTACATGAACAGAAGAGTTGGTAACCAGTATGATGAGGAGCTGAAAATTATATCCCCAAGTACTATCTGTAGCAGCCATCAAGTTTAGCTTGGACAGGGTTCACATGGTAACTGCCTGTAAATACTTTGCTTCCACAGCAAGTCAGAGTGTCTTGTTCAACAAAACAATGCACAAGCATTTGGTTAATGACAGGTAATGCATGTCCGAAAAAGGAAGGCTTTCCACCAATTCCAGCATGCAACAGTATTCCTGGGCAACCTAGGCAAATGATTTGATGATCCCTCTGCATCTAGAAGTATGAGGAATGGGACTGATGATGTCAGGAACACCTTTAACATGACATTGCCATCTCTTCAAGGCTAGGATTCTATTATTTACATTACGTAACTTACAAAGGTCTTCAGCTCTCACCCCCATATTTGGGTCATCTGAGCAGATCACACAACAGTGACATGCCAGTGGCTCCAAGACCAGAGGGCTCACCGAATCTCCTCTCCTTGCCCATCAGCCAGTGTCTCCTGGGGCACATGGAGCACCAGGCTCCATGGCACTTAGCTCTCTTTGGGAATATTTCCTTCATCTCCAAACCAGTGTGTCCAAAGTTTTCTTGCCAACAAACCCCAATGTCCAACTCTTCTACTGCCATTGGCACTGCCATATTTCTAGCTGCAGAGTCAAACTGTGACCCCCAACCTTTGATTCCTTTTATTTTCCTATATCCAGAAATCTCCTCCTAGAAGGCTAGTCCTCAAAATGTCTCTATTTTTTCATTATTCTGTTTCCACTGCTACTCTCACCTCACAGCTGTGATACTGAGCTAACCCTTCCCACCCAGCTTTCCCATCCCTGTCAATTTCCCCTCCTCCACCACTCCATTCTACACACCACGTTACTTATTTTTTCTTCATTTTGCAGTCCTAAACAAACTTTCAGCAATGTCCCCAGTGTTGGGGGTGGGGTGGCTGGCGGGTGGGCTCATAGGTTCTCTAATGTATATGACAGAGAAAGAGAGAGCGCATGAGCACGAGCATGTATGTATGTGTGTGTACGTGCGTGCAAGGAGGGCCTTGGCCAGGGCTCCTCCAGATAGGCCTACATAGGAGTAGGGAGGCCTGCACACCCTCACACAAGTAGAAAGGAAGTCTGGAGACCTGTGATCAGCAATATGGGGCACAGATGGAAGGATGAGATCCAATGGGGCTGATGGGAACTTAGACAGAGCAAGGCAAGCTAACCTGGAGAGCAATGCAGACAGGGAAGCTTCCATGCCAGCGCCCTGAGGCACCCCTAAGAGGCAGCAAGGAGGTGAGAGTTTGCCAGGCTCAGGGCCCTGAGGCCTTCCCCTTGGGCCAAAAGAGGATCCATAGAGATAAAGAGACAGACTCTCTGTGCTGGGTGACAAAGGGCCATGCTGTATAGACTGAATCATCTTACTCCAATTAATTAGAATTCCAGATGTATGAAGAGAAAAAAATCCACATCCTGTGATAAGTCATGGGCCTGGCATCTGCCTCTTACCTCTGACTGGAGAGTTTAAAGATTGGCTCTTGTAAATAGAAAGAAACACTTTATTGAAAACACTTTTTTCTTTCTTTTAAAAAGTCATTATTTGGCTACGAATGCATTATTTTCTCCCCTGGCTATGAGTCTCAAATATCTGCAAATATGCATTGCATAATGAGCCTCTGGCAGGCTGCAAAATCACATCTTGTTGCCTTTCATGGAAGAAAAATGATGAATTATGAAAACACAGTGACAAGATGTTTCTGCTCCAGTACTTCCTTTATCAACTCTGTGACTGTATAAGGCAAAGGCAACTGGATGTCAAGGTAACCTTTCCAGGTTAAGATAAATCTGACTCTTTGTCAAAAGGAAATGCTAGGGCCCCTGGCTTTGCTGATTTCTTAATTTGAATTGGGGAAAACCCATTGCAGCTGTATTGACCAAACTGTATGTTTAAGGAGGAGACTGAGGCCTCCTTCTCAAAATCTAAGGGTCTTGGGTTGATGTATCTGTTGTTCTTTTCAATTTCTCATTATTCAGATGGGGGTGAGGGAAGAGTATCAGCAGACACTCTATTGGTTTTGTAAATAAGAGGTGATCTCATTAGAACTATGTAGACTGGAAATAAACTTGGCAGCTACTGCCTTTGTTAACTTTCAGCAACTCGCCTAGAACAGAGCACACCCTGCAGGGGGGCAGGAGACCTTCATGTGACATCACAGTTAGTGGGATGGGCTGTGGCATCACTGTTCCCCAGAATTCTCCTTTCCAACAACACAGTGAACTCCAAGGCACAGGCTGACTCTTGGCTCCACTCTCTTGTCCTCATTATGACCAGCACAGTGCAGAACACAGGAGCCAGAGACTATTCTAGACCTGCCTTTGGGAAAATAAAAGATGAAGACAGAAATCCACACAGATCCAGTGCTGACGGCCCAAATGGCTAGGGAGGAGGCGAGTGTGCCACCTTAGACAGAGGCCCTGAAGAGGCAGCCCAGAGTCCTGAACCACCACTGAGGAAGCACACACCGAGTGCACCGTGTAGGATGGGGAGGCTGGGAAAGCACAATTCCTACAAATGTATTTTTGAAACTTTTTAATTTTATAATTTTTCCATGTTATTTAGAAATGCAATAAAGATTTTCCTGTGTGTTTATTCTTTCCTGATTGTTTATTTTCCTTACAGAATGATTCCAAAGTAATATCAATATGATGCTGTTGCCACATCAGAGACTCTGAGCCATGGCATGCATTTCTGTTATTTCTGTTTTTTTTTTTCTCTGCTGCTCTTCTTCTTTTCCTCCTCCGTGGTCCTTCTCCTCCCTCTTTTCTATCTCTCCCTCTTCTTTTCTTTGTGCCTTTCCTCTCTTAGTCTATTTTTGCTGCTATAAAGAGAAATACCTGAGACTGGGTAATTTATGAAGAACAGAAATTTATTTCTCACAGTTCTGGAGGCTGGGAAGTCCCAGATCAAGGCACTGACTGTGAGGGCCCAGTCTCTCTGCATCCAAGATGGTGCCTGTTGCTGTATCTTCTGGAGGGCAGGAAGGTTGTGCCCTCACATGGCAGAGAATCAAAAGAGAGCAAATGCACTCCTTCCACAAATCCTTCTTATAATGGCATTAATCCATTCATGACAGCAGAGCTTTCATGACCTAAACACCTCTTGACACTGTTGCATTGGGGATCACGTTTACACCACAAAAATTTAGGGAGGCACATTCAGACCACAGCATTCTCTATGTAATCTCTCCCTGCTCACAGTGATTCTTCCCCATACCCATCCCACCTTCCCTAACCTTGCCCTCACTCTATTCTCTGTCTGGTGATGAGCTAACAGACTGTCAGTTTTTCTATTGTAAGCATGTTAGGTTTTATTTCCTTTTAGAAATAGGGCAAGTTGTTGGTGTTTTATCATGGCCATCATAAAACCATAAAGATATCTTAATTCAGCTGTGTCATGTACAAAAAGTCAATCTTTCTTGCAAAATCTCTTCCCATCTCCCTAGCTTTTATGTCCTTGAGACCATTCAGAGTGCCTTGGGGAGGGAGCAGGTTCCAAATGAACATGAAAGTTAGGGAGGCTTCCCAGCACAAGCAAGGAAAAAGGAGAAAAAACTGAAACAGGATATGAGATATAAATCTTCCCTCGGTCTGGCTGATGCAACCTAGAAAGCCCAGCATTTCACTCAGTGTCCAAGGTCACCTACATCAGTTTCAAAACAGAGTCACTTCCATTTTCCATAGAAAACAAAGCCAAACATTTTTTTTTAAAGATTTTCAATCTTCTGAGGGAAAGCATAGCTGTTTCTAATCTGAAATGGGGAAAAATTCTCTCATCAATAAGTACTAGAAAAAGAAAACCTGAGGGCAAGATGTGAGGGTCACCCACGGATATGGGACCCCATGGGGATTCGCATGCCAGTGCCAGCCACAGAGAAAAAGCCCTTCCAACCACACAAGGACACAATCACCAGGATTCTGAGAAGCCTGAGAAGGAGATACAGCCTAAAACTAGAACCATACTCCTCCCCAAATCAAACCAGGGCTGAGTGCTCCCAAAGGACAGCAGAATCCTTGGGAGGCAGGTGACTCCAGGGGTAGGGCCAGGGGATGGACTCCCCAGCAGAGCACAGCACTGTGAACAGCAGCCTGGAAAGGCTCACTCTAGTGGGGGTGGGCAGTGAACACAGGGATGGGGGACAGTCTGGGCAGACCACATGTGATATGGTTTGGTTCTCTGTCCCCACCCAAATCTCACCTTGAATTGTAATAATTCCCACATGTCATGGGAGGGACCCAGTGGGAGGTAAGTGAATCATGAGGGTGGGTTTTTCCCATGCTTTTCTCATGATAGTGAATAAGTCTTCTGAGATCTGATGGTTTTATAAAGGGTGGCTCCCCTGCACACACTCTCTTGCCTGCCACCATGTAAGATGTGCCTTTGCTCCTCCTCCGCCTTCCGCCATGATTTTGAGGCCTCCCCAGCCATGTGGAACTGTGAGTCCATTAAACCTCTTTCCTTTATAAATTACCCAGTCTCAGGTATGTCTTTATTAGCGGTGTGAGAACAGATTAATCCAATATGCTTTTCAGGGACCCTACAAAGCTATGCTGATTCTGTGACCTGTTTAATTCAGGTTCAAATTCTGTATCCAGGCCCTCAAGATCCCCCACTCCATCTGACCATGTTGCCCACTACAGCCACTCTGATCTCCATAACGTGCCACCCGTACAGCACTTTAACCTTGGTGCATGTGCACCTGCTCAGGACAGGGTCCCTTTCACTACTTCTCCCAAATCCCCCTGCAGTCAGGTCCCTAACACATGCTCCTCCACACCCCGGCAGAAACCAGAGAAGACTATGCCAGAGGCTTGCCCAGCTTTCGGCGCACCTGAAGTGACGGAATAGATCTGCTTCCTTGGCAGGACCTCCAGAGACCTCAGGGACCTGGCAGCCAAGGCGTGGCTGGTGGTGATGTGCCAAAATGCATGGGGAAACCAGCTAGGCTTTCATAATCAAGCACTATTTCCTCAACTACCAAATGGGAATTATATTACTTACCTGACAGTGGCCTCATGAGAATTAAATGAGATCACGCTTATAAAACACCTAGTATGGGCCGGATGTGGTGGCTCCCACCTGTAACCCCAGCACTTTGAGAGGCCAAGGCAGGTGGATCATTTGAGGCCAGGAGTTCAAGACCAGACTGGCCAACATGGTGAAACTTTGTCTCTATTAAAAATACAAAAATTAGCCCAGGGTGGTGGGTCATGCCTTTAATCCCACCTACTTGGGAGACAGGCATGGGATTTGCTCGAACTCAGGAGGTGGAGGTTGCAGGGAGCTGAGATCATGCTACTGTACTCCAGCCTGGCAACAGAGTATAAGACTCTGTCTCAATAAATAAAATAAAATAAAATACCTAGTTTGGTGCCTGGCAAATCCGTAATAAACATTGATTACTTTTATAATTGATGTTAGAGCTGAAAGGTAATCTCGGATTCTTTATCCATATAGGAATATGCATATACATATGTACAACATATAAATATATATGTACACACGAACATGAAATACAGATGGTTCACAGATCTTACATCTATGGTATAACTTTTTTTTTTTTTTGAGACAGAGTCTTGCTCCATCACCCAGGCTGGAGTGCAGTGGCATGATCTCAGCTCACTGCAACCTCTGCCTCCCGGGTTCAAGTGATTCTCCTGCCTCAGCCTCCCGAGCAGCTGGGACTACAGGCGCGTGCCACCATGCCCAGCTAATTTTTATATTTTTAGTAGAGACAGGGTTTCACCATGTTGGCCAGGCTGGTCTCGATCTCGTGATCCACCCGCTTTGGCCTTGCCAAGTGCTGGGATT
Source organism: Homo sapiens (assembly GCF_000001405.40). Classification (NCBI taxonomy): domain Eukaryota; kingdom Metazoa; phylum Chordata; class Mammalia; order Primates; family Hominidae; genus Homo; species Homo sapiens. The sequence continues at coordinate 36,576,846 of NC_000018.10, read as the reverse complement.
ACCGGTGTGAGCCACCACGCCCGGCCCTATGGTATAACATTTGATTAAATATTAAAAACCGAAGGTTCCAAAGGCACTTGATTAAAGCTTAAGAGAAGAGAAAAGAGAAATGCATTAAAATTTCATGAGCTATTTGCAATTTAAGTGTATCTTAAAATTTGTAGAGTAGTAATCCTCATTTATACTGTAACGGCTTGAAAAAAGCTGAATAAAATTTCTTTCTGCAAAACTGACTCAGAGAAAAAAGAAAGGCAAGTGATATGACAAGTGAACAAAACAGTCAACCATAACTTCCCCTTACCTTTGACCCAATGAGAGTGTACAGCCACTGAATGGTTTCATTGCGGTTTATTACTCCATTCATTCCATCCACATACAACATAATCTGGCCCAAAGCTACAGAAAACAAGAGAAAAAGGAGACATTATAGATGTATATAGAAATATAATCTTCAGTGATCATAATGCTGATCAAGATTTTCATACTTTAAGTACACAGTATGTTAAGAATCAAATCTGAGGAGAATTCCTGAGCTCTGAAATTAACTAAATCTCATTTCAGAGAGAAAGTGTCGAACACTAGAAGAAACAAGGGCTATTCCAGGCTCCCGGAAGATGCAATTAAGGCACCAATCCAGTGATTGTTGTTTCTGTGTGCCTTGATGTATAAATGCATGTTTTTCTGTTTCTATATCTGTGTGTAGTCCCAGACAGGACAAAGATATTCATGAGATGGTGTCTGGGTTGTGGCCTCCCACTGGGGCCACAAGGACAAACGAAGTTTCCAAAAGCAACCTGTCCAGTGCCCCAGTCTGTGGTCAGCAAGTCTTAGATTCTGTGGGATCATCCTGGGTTAATCCAATTTTATTCCAATAGGTCAGCAATAAATGCATAGTTAAATATTATGAGTAATTCCCTTTAAAGATTTTCAAGTAAAAACATCAGGTATCATGAAAATACATGATATCACACATTCGTCACATACCAAATCCTAAATTCTTAGTTTAGGAAAATATATAGTCACCATATACCATCATTATTCTCCAAACAGAAAACACTAGCTATGTTTTTTAAGTAAACATTAAACTCAGTTTTTCAACTCCATTATTATCAAAATAATCTGACTGATAGATAATGAACAAACAGAAGTTACATGCCCTAAAGGAAGGAGGACTCCACCAGTCACATCTAAGCTCCTAATCATATTTCACCCATAACTAATTGTCAGGGCATTGACATTTTTCTAAACAACATTTTTTATGCTGGTAACAGTAGAACAGCTTATTTTAGAAAATTAGAAAAATACAGAAGAATAAAGTGAAAATAATTCATGTTCCCATAAATTAAAGATAACCATTCTTAAAATATTGATGTATTTTCTTACATTCTTTTTTTATGCATTACAAACACACACAAAGTTTATATGTGGGTTGTAGGAAACATTCTACATGAAATACGTTGATTAGAAAGAGCAAAACAGAAAACAGTAAACACAAATTCTAAGTATGCAAATATATATGTAATATTAGAAAATGCATCCTATCCAACAGAAGATCAAATAAGAAAACTACATTAGTGGCTGGGCACAGTGGCTCATGCCTGTAATCCCAACACTTTGGGAGGCCAAGGCAGGTGGATCACATGAGGTGAGGAGTTCAAGACCAGCCTGACCAACATGGCAAAACCTTGTCTCTACTAAAAACACAAAAATTAGATGGGTGTGGTGGTGCACACCTGTAATCCCAGATACTCAGGAAGCTGAGGCAGGAAAATTGCTTGAACCCAGGAGGCGGAGGTGGCAGTGAGCCAAGATCGCACCACTGCACTCCAGTCTGGGTGATAGAGCAAAACTCTGTCTGAACAAAGAAAAAAAAAAAGAGAAAAAAGAAAAAGAAAACCACATTATTCTGAGAAAAAATATGCTCCTAAATATGTAATAACTCAAAAAATTTAAAAATTATTTGGACATATCCTTGACACAATAAGCAGTATATTTTGAGAAATAACAGATTCATAGTCTATTTAATGGTAAAACACTAGAGATATTCCTACTAATCAGAAATAATTTTTAAATGATGCTCATTAAACCCATGGATTATTTAACACTGCTATAGAATTTCAGGCAAATTTAATAAGATATGAAAAATGATAAGATACAAAATTGTTGGAAATACATATTGTCATAATTTGCAAGTAAAATTATAGATACAATAAAAAAATTCACAGAATTTATTACAAAGAGATTACAATTATAATCACATTTCTCATCCTAATGAGAAATCTGTATGCAGCATTTGAATGCAGCATATGAAAGTTTGATATAAAATTATACTAGATAAGTGGATCTATGACAACAAATATGTTAAAGAATAATTTCTTTAAATAGTTAATACAAACTAGTAAGACAATATTAAATGCCAATAGAAAAAAGGCATTTTATATGAGAGACAACAAACTTGTTTATAATAGCATGCAAAATTTTTCACTCTCACTATAATAAAACAAATGCAAATTAAAATAATAATAAGGTAGTGTTTTCACTCAAATTGGCAAAGGTATTTTAAAAAGAAATGATTATGTATCAAACACTAGAGAGGTTAAATAACTTCATGCATTGCTGGTGGTAGGGCAAACTGGTAGAAACCTGTAATAAGGCTATCTAGAACTATAATTATTTTGTAAAGTTACCATGTATTTAGCGCTCACTGTGTGCCAAGTTCTCCAGAGGGACTTTATAGGTATTATTAATAGAAAAGCCATATGCAGTGGGTATTTTTACCTCCATTTGGAAGAAGAAAAAACTGAGGCTCTGAGAAGTGAAGGGATGTGACCAAAATCTCCATCACTGCCTAAGTAGCAGAGCCCACTTCCAGCCAGGGTGGGTGAGCACGTATGTGTTTATACTAAGAGCCTCGAAGTCCTCTTCAAGCCCTTTCCCAGTCATCATGATTTGGGAAACCTATTCTAAGGAAATAGCTCTAAGTTTAAACAAAATAAAAAAGGAAGCAAAGGTGTTCACTGAAGCATTATTTAATATACCAAAATAATAACTAAAACACAAATACCTGTCATGGTCCTAGAACTCAGCGTACACAGTCATTTACCAAAGCTATGTCCTAACTTGTAAAATGTTTCTCATAAAATAAGTAAAAAGCAAGTATAAGTAAAAAGCAACATCACATAATTAAATAAAATAAGTAAAAAGCAACATCACATTATTAAACACTCAAATCTTCTTTTAGTTGAGACACGGTCTCACGCTGTCACCCACGTTGGAGCAGTGGTGCCATCATGGCTCACTGCAGCCTTATCCACCCAGGCTCAAATGATCCTCCCATCTCAGCCTCCTGAGTAGCTGGGACCACAGACACATGCCACCACACCAAGCTATTTTTTTTTTTTTTCTGTAGAGATAGGGTCTCCTTCTGCTATCCAGGCTGGTTTCAAACTCCTGGGCTCAAGTGATCCACCAGCCTTGGAATCCCAAAGTGCCTGGATTACAGGCATAAGCCACCGTGCCCAGTTATAACACTCCAATCTTCATGCATACAAAGAAGAAAAGGAAATCCATAAAATATTAACCATTGTGATTGAGTATATATTCTTTGGATGTATTTTTCCTATTTTCCCAGCTTTCTAACATGAGCATCGATTACTTCTGTAATGGAAAAGTAAAATATGTTAAAAAAAAAAAAAAGAACAAAAATAAGACTGAATAATGTGAGGTGTTACATGCTTTTGTTTTTAGAATTTTTTTACTAGTGCATCCTTTCTTACCACCACCACCCCCACCCTCCTGCAGAAAGATGCAGCCCCTACCTCATGGAAGAGCTCCAAGAATTCGGCACATTCTGCCCTATTTTTTCCCATTTCTTCCCTCCTTCCCTTCCCAAACAAACTGGCAAGTCTCCATGGAAGAGGAGTTTGCTCCACTGTCCTTTTCCCATTCTGAGTCCCGCTGCTGAAAAGGCCAATCCTGAGGTACATTTTGGCACCTTCCTTTAAATCAGCTAACCACACAGGGAGAGAGAAGGTAGACTCTTTAGCCTTCTGGAAGGTATATCCACGGGGAAGACTCTCCACAAGGCTGAGAAGCTGGGACTGAAGGCCTCCCCCCAAGAGCTCAGGGCCTCTGGTACTGGCCAAGTGCCCAAGAAGCCAGGACACTATTACAATGGGAGAAGGCAAACTAAGGTTTAAAAGCTGACTTGATCTGTTCCCCGCAACATTCTATTAACTGGATCATACTGGAAGAGGTGCATCACTACAAAGTTCATGTCTAATGGAATTCAAGTGTCCGATCACGCTAATTTTTCATATTTTGGTAATCAAATCTTTCCCACTACATCTTTTTTGTACCTACCCACTACTACTAAAGCAATCCGGCCTGTAAACCGCTCCAGACACGAGATGGCGCTAAATAGATTCATGTGGGTTAATATTGCACTACAAGCAGCAAAAACCCACCAACCTCAAACGTGGGCCTGAGAATAAAACCCACACAGAAGAACAAAACAGATGCCCTGAAAACACACGTCTGGGTCACAGGAGCCATGAAAATTCATGATTTGTGTTTTCAAGAAGAATGTGGAGGCTGAGACTGTCTATCAGAACACAGAGGTAGATGGCACCACAGGTCTAGGAAGAGAGCATTTCCTGTTCTGCCACTCATGGAACTTATTACACTCAAGGTATATTTATTCATCTTTCTGTGCTTCAGTTTCTTCATCTCAAAAATGACACGGCTATACCATACTATCTATTTTGCAGGGGTGTGGTGAGGAATGAGTTAGAACAGTGCCTCCAATGAACAGAAGCACACGCTGAACAACTCTCAAAAACAGAAAACAGGGAGCAAGCTCTCCAGGCTAACCTTACCCAGCTGTGGGTCATGAGAAGTGGTGGGAAAACTCCTTGCCTAACTAGAAGTCACAAAGATTTTCTCTTATGTGTTCTTCTAAAAATATGTAGTTTCTCCTCTTTATATGTAGCTCTATGATCCAATTTGAGATAACTGTTGTACAAAGAAGCATAGATTGAGGTTCATTTTTTTTTCATAGGTCCAACTAATGCCATTTGTTAAAGAGACTGTCCTTTTTCTATTTCATTGCTTTGGCAAATTTGCCAAAAATCAACTGGTTGTGTTTGTACGGGTCTGTTTCTGTCCCATTGGTCTGTCCAACCCTTTGCCAATGCCACACAATCTGGATCACCATAGCTTTAGAGTAAATGTTAAAATCAGGTAGTATGATTCTTCCTATTCGTTCTTCTTTTTCAAAATTGGTTCAGCCATTCTTGTTCTTTTGCCTTTTAATACAAATTCTGGAAGCAGCTTGTCTAAATCAACAACAACAACAAAATCTTTCTGGAAATAATGTTAATCTATAAATTCTAGGAGAACTGACATCTTTACTCTGCTGAATCTTCTAACCTATAAACCTGTTATGTCTATTTATTATACATCTTCGCAGATTGCTTTTATCAGTGTTCTATAGTTTTCAACTATAGATGCAATATATGTTTGTTTGGGATGGTATTTTTTGCCAAAATTATAAGTAGTTCACATTCTTTGGAGCTATTACAAACGGTGTTTTAAAAACCTTTCCATTCCTAATTGTTTATTGTTAGTATATAGAAACAAAATTGAATTTGTATATTGGCCTTATATCCTATAACTTTGTTAAACATTAATTCTAGGAGTGTTTGATTTTTTGTTTTGTTTTTGTAGATTTCCTGGAATTTTGTACATAGACAATAATGCTGTTTGTGAAAAAGAACAATTTTATTTCTTCCTTCCCAATCTATATCCCTCTTCCCATCCCTATTGCACTAGTGAAGACTTTCAGTATAATATTCAATGGGCGTGGTGAGAGTGAACACCCTTGCCTTGTTCCTAATATTAGGGAGAAAGCATTAATAATCCTTTACTATTAATTATGATGTTAGACATATGTTTTTGTAAATTGTCTTTTATCAAGATGAGAAAGTTTCTCCAATTTCTAGTCTGCTAAGAGCTTTTTGTAAATCATGAATGAATGAATTTTGTCAAATGCTTCTTCTACATCAACTGATATGATTGTGTTTTTTCTTCTTCAGATTGTTAATGCAGTAGGTTATACTAACTGAATTTCAAATACTCAATGAGTCTTGCATCCTTTTTGACCATGGCATATTACTCTTTTCATATATTGCTGGATTTGATTTACTAATATTTGTTGAGGATTTTTTGCATCTTTGTTCATAATAAATATTGTTCAGTGTATTTTATGTCTGGTTTTCATACCATGGTAATACTGACCTCATAAAATGAATTGGGAAGTGTTTCCTCCTCTTCTGTTTTCTGGAAGAGATTTTGTAAAATTGGTTTTATTTTATCTTTAAATGTTTGGTGGAATTCACCAGGCAACTGTTTGGGGCTGGAGATATTTTGTTAAGAAGGTTAACTGCAAATTAAATTTCTTTAATAGTTACAGTAATGGGGCTAGTCAGGTTATCATTTCATCTTGGGTGGGTTTTGGTAGTTTGTGGTTTTTAAGGAAATGATCCATTTAAGGAATTGATCCATTTCATCTAATGTATCAATTTTATGTGCTGAGAGTTGTTCATAGTATTCTGTCATAATTCATTGAAGTGAAGTTTAATCCCCTTTCATTCTTAATGTTAGCAATGCATATCTTCTCTTTTTTCATTTGTCATTCTTGTTGGTCAATTTTATTTTTCTTTTCACAGAATCAGCTTTTTGTTTCATTGATTTTCTCTATTTTTTTCTCCGCTTTCAACTTCATCAATTTCTACTTTTATTATTTTCTTCCTTCTACTTATTTGGTTTTATTTTACTTTTCTTACTCTAGTTTCTTAAGGTAGGTGCTTACATTATTATTTCCCTCTTTTCTAATATATGCAGGTAATGCTAGAAATTTCCCTCATGCATTGCTTCAACCACATCCCACAAATCTGATGTGTTGTATTTTCATTTAGTACAAAACGTTTGCTAACTTCCATTGAGAATTCCTCAACACATGGATTATTTAGAAGTGTGTTAATTTCTAAGAGTTTGGACATATTCATGTTCTCCTTCCGTTACTGATTTACAGTTTAATTTTATTCCAGTCAGAAATTACAGTATTTCAATTATTTTAAATTGGTTATGGTTTATTTTGTGACCCATGATATGATTTATATTGGTGAATGTTTTATGCATATTTGAAAGTAATATGTATTCTCTGTAGTTGGGTAGTGTTTTCTAAAGATGTCAATTAGAACTATTTGGTTGATGGTGCCATTCAGTTCCTTCATAGCCTTGCTGATTTTCAGTCTGTCAATTCTATTGATTACCAAAAAAGAAGTATTGAAGTCTCCAACTACAACAGAATTTTTTCTATTTCTTATTTCAGTTCTGTTTTTGCTTTATGAATTTTGAAGCTCTAGTTTTCTGGGTGACCTGATTCTTTTGTCATTATAATGTCTGCTTTGCCTCTAATTATTTTCTTTGCTCTGAAGCCTACTTCTTCTAATAATTAATATAGTCACTTCACCTTCTTTTGATTAGTGTTTGCATGTTTTTTTCTCCTGCATCCTTTTGCTTTTAAACCACCTATAGCATTATAAGTGGGTTTCTTGTAAGCAGCATTTAGTTGGGTCTTGTTTCATTTATTCATTAATGTCTGTCTTTTAATTACTGTGATTAGACCAGTCATATGTAATATAAGTACTAATGTGTCTTATTTAAGGTCTATCATTTCCAATCTGCTACCGAGCCCATCTGGTAAGCTTTTTACTTTGGTTATTGTATCTTTCATTGTAAATTTCGTTTCTAAATTTTCCATTGGGTTCTCTATATATTCTATTTCTTAATGAGACTTTCCATCTTTCTATTCATTTCAGGAATGTTCACTCTTACTTCCTGAAGCATTTTCATAATGGCTGCATTAAAAACTGAAAAATCAAGTATCTGTATCAACTTGGCCCAGGGGTGGTGATCTATCTTTTCCCATGCAAGTTGGGATTTTCCTAGTTCATTGCGCGCCAAGTAATTTTGGCTTATCTCCTGGATATTTTTAAAATAATGTTATGAAACTCTGGGTTTTGTTTAAATATTACAGAAAATGTTGACATTTTTGTTTAAGCAGGCAATTAACCTGGTTCAGTTTGAGTCACAAGTTCTGACCTGTCTTCTGTGGCTCTAATATCAGTTCAGTTTTCAGAGCCCTTGCCGTGCCATTTGGTTGAGCTCTGTATGTGTACTACAAAGTCGACAGTCTGGGGCCTGGGCAGTATCTATCTTGTTCAGTTCTCAAAGTCACTGCTATGCTGTTTAGGGTCAGATTCATGCATGCAGTCTGTGTGGAGCCCAGGGGTTCACATAAAACTTTCACGTGTGTGGAGCCCAGGGGTTCACATAAAACTTTCACGTTCCTGAGCTTCTCCTTCTCCATTATATTCCTGATACTTTTAGGTTCCCTGAGGCTCCCTCCACCACCTTTTTTTTTTTTTTTTTTTTTTTTTTTTTTTTTTTTTTTTTGAGACAGAGTCTGCTCTGTCGCCCAGGCTGGTGCCATCTCAGTTCGCTGCAAACTCTGCCTCCCCGGTTCAAGTGATTCTGGTACCTCAGCCTCCCGAGTAGCTGGAATTACAGATGTGCACCACCATGCCTGGCTAATTTATTTTTTTTTTTTTTTGTATTTTTAGTAGAGATGGGATTTTGTCCGGTTGGCCAGGCTGGTCTCAAACTGCTGACCTCAAGTTATCCACCTGCCTCAGCCTCCCAAAGTGCTGGGATTACAGGCTTGAGCCACCACACCCAGCTGAGGCTCCCCCTTCTTAGTCCTTCAGCCAGAGAGCTGGAGCATTACTTAACTTGTTCAGCCACTTAATTTCCATGACTATAGCTAGCCACAACTGGGGCCAAGCAGAAAAACAGAGAAGGAAAAACCAGACTTCTGTGAGTGAGTTTCCACCCCACTCCTCAGAGTTTTAGGTGCCCATATGCCCCTGCTGTTCTCACCATGGGATTACCTGGGGGAGAGGGGGCAAGATAACAGAGTGAGAAACATGTGAGACTCCTCCTACTCAAGCCAGAAATAGAAAGATCTTGAATTCTCTCTGTCCACACCCAAGTCCACTTCTGGGTTTTGCACTAATTTGAGTCCAGACCAGAGAATACCAGAAGAAAAATGTTAAAAGCACTGTCAGTTCAATATTCTAAGTTCTAGTCTTCTTCCCCAATCTGCCTCCTACCATTTACTCTTCAGAGTCTTCAAATAGTTGCTCTATTTTATCCTTGAATTTATTGGGAAGGACAATTGAATAGTTGTCTTTATAGGTTTTATAGTTGAATTCATCGGGAAAGACAGGGTCCTGTGTACTTACTCCATCTTACTCCAAACCAAAACTCCTCCTTGCTCTGTTTTTACAATAAGAAATCTAACAGCGATGTGGAAGGTGGCCTGGATGGAGCAACTCCTGGGCCCAGGGTCCATTTGCAATTCTGTCTCAGCATGCTAAGCCCATGGTTTGTAATCCTTTCTCTTCTTTTTCCCTTCCTCCATCTCTTCCTCCCTTCTTTACTTCCCTTTTCTTCTTCCCTTCCTTTTTAAAACTGGTAGCCCTTTACTGCAATGAACTGTTAAAAGGAAGCCTCACAGACAACAGCTAACTCCCAGATGCTTTGCTGGAAGCAGGACTGAAGGATTTTGACTTCCCTTCCCCCTCAGCACTAGATACTCCTCATCCTGCCTACCTCAGTAGGTCCTAAGGGACCCTGTTAACAGGACACATCACCCAGTCACCCAGGCTAGACAATGGAGCTCACTGTATACCTGCATTTTCAAATACCACTAGAAAGTTGTAAAAATCCATCTAATAAGACCAGTAATGCATATTTTTCAATAAATGAAATAGAACAGAAAACGCAGTACACTGCACTTATTAAGGGAAATATTGTTCTTATTTTCATTTTATATAAGTATAATTTTTTTTTTCCTGTAGGTCTCCAATCAGAAAACTTTGGAATCTGCTATTCCAGACTCCTTCCCTTTCCTCATCCTCCACCTTCAGTGAGTCACCCAATTCCCTTAATTGTTCCTCTGAGACAGGTCTTCTCTTCCTCTCTACTACTGCCCCAGGTTCAGATACCATGATCTCTCCTGGACAATAGCAACTGCGGGTCCTGGCTGGTCTCCCGCCTTTGATGCCCACTCCTTTTCAAATCCATAATAGATGTTCTTACCAATGACTTTTCCAAGGCATGAAATACTTCAGCTGAAGCTGGAACACCTTCTGGTTCCGTCTTGCTTGGGACAGGGCCCAGGGTCCCCACTACACCTCCAGCCAACCCTCTGGCCCTTCAGCTTCCTGCCCAGACCATCTGGGCTCCTTTGTCTCTGAACCTTTTGCTACCATCTGAAGGCTTTGACTTGAAACCTATCAATTTTCTGTAAGTTAAACATGCCTTACATTTAACAGAAGTCCTTACATATAAAATAAATAAATATTCATTCTACAAACAGAGCTAGACTTGATTTTTTAAAAATGTTTAAAATTTTTAAAAATGTTTTCTTAGAGATACATTAGAGATACATACAAGGATCCGATACCAAATTAGTTATTTGCCTGCTTGTTCATGTCCTGTCCTCCAGCCAAAGATACCAAAACGCCATTGATGAAGTTGAAAGACGATCTCTTCCTGGCAAAATCATCTGACTTTTTGCACAAACAGCTCTTAAATATTGCTGCTCTGTGTAATCTTTTAATCAATTCCTCATCCATTCTTCCTTTTTCTATATGACAGTGAAATTAAGGTTGCATGTGTTCTGTAAATGGGCACAGAGATATAATCCCGTTTAAGGGAGTTATCTAGTTTAGGTCTCAGCATTTTAAATGCAGTTTTTTAAAGCATTATTATAACTATAGATATATCACAACTTTTACCACAAACCAGCCCTTTTTATGTATGAGACAAGGCTTTGGTTTCAAAAACCAAGTGTCCACTTGCATATTTGAGGCCACAGAGTTCCACCATGAAACGCAAGATTCCTCTCACTGATGTGTGAGTATTTTGGCTTGTCTGTCTTCCCACTCTTCACTTCATTTTCTTTTACAGAAGCAGTATAAAGAAAATACTTTTCTGTTGCCATTCAATAAGATATTTTGCCATTTGAGAATGTGACTGGAAATAATTCCTATTTATTTCTACCAAAAGTACAGAAAAAAAAATAAATGAATGGTATGAAACATTAAAGAAACTTACCACAGGGCAACATTCTGCTATAAGCAAGTATCAGTGGTAACTAGGTTTTATTTTGTTTTGGGAGGAATGATCTGTGATTTGCACATTGGGAATGAAGATGGGGATACTGTAGGGTACAATCAGTTCTTCCATGAGCCCATCACTAAGCACCAAGATAGGCACTGCTTTCTTCAATTAGAACACAGGAGCTCTGAAAATGTGCAGTGAGTTTTTAAATCAAAGTAATCTCCAGAGAGAAAAACAAAACAAAACTATTAGTATCACTCACCCCTTATCTTCTGGGAAGGGCTAATTCATCTTAAAGAAGGGATTTCAATTAATTTTAATCAGACCATTAAAATTCATTCTTCTTAACTCTGAACTGGATTTGTCTACCCCTAATTTCCATTATTCACCAGAGCCCGCAGTAAGTATTAAAAAGAGGTTGATATTGTTGACATTCTTGGAACTAAATGAAGACCTTGGAGTCTAGTTATTATTCTTTTCCACTTAATTGTCTGCCCTAAATAACAAGCTCCGGTCCAGTTTTCCCCAAGGGCAACTGTCAAAGAAATACTCTTTCAATACCTATTACAGCATGAAAATTAAGGAGAATAAGCTGCCAATTCTAGGCTGGAGACAAGAATTTAATCAGCACAAAGAGCTCCAACAAGGTGTCAAAGTTTTGAGTCCCTTGCTGACATTTAGCAGCATTTGCAATGCAAATTTTTCTAAAGCAGTCTTAAATTACTACCCTCTCTCTACCTTAGAATGACCATTTTCTAAAAAAGGTCCCCCAAAAAAGTTGTTAAAAAAATCAGACCTAATATTCTCCCCTAACACTTACAAGCTTAACTCTTAGTAACTCTCAAAGGAGGGAGGGCCCGTCTCCCCTCCCTCCTCCCCAGGCCTTCCAAACAGAAACACTGACACTGATGTGCTTCTTTCTGATAGACCTTTCTTCCCAGCAGGACATTATGTAGCTAAGCTCTCTGCATCTTCTCCCATCTAATACACACAGAAGACTGGTTTGTTTCTGGCCTATTCATTCATCTTCCCAACAGCAGCAAAGTTTATATCCAAGATTCCCATGCTAAAGATTTAAAAGGAGCCCTCATCAGCCACCTGTACAGAAACAGGTGCTTCATTACTGCTGGGCTGTAGCAGCCTCAGTTACACCTATGCTCCTCACCCTCTCCCAGTCTTTCCCGTTCTACAGTCCCCCATATTTTAGATAAGGAGACACCAAAGGAATGAAGGAAAGTATAACAGATTAGCAAGTTTTGAACCTCTAAAAATTTTTGGCAGACTTCTAGGTTCTCTATGGAAAGTAAAACAGTCATTTTAATGATCTATTCTATAATGATCTTCTAAGACTTACATCCAATGAAATACCAGTGGAAGCACACAGCCTCTCCAAAACAGGTCACAGCCACAGGTGGAATGAACCAGAAATGGACTCTGCAGCAGGGTCAGCAGTGGCTGGACTGTCTCATTCGCGCTCATGTGTTCACCTGGGGTGTCACCTGGGGTGACACCGAGTCAGTGACAAGGGCTTGGCCAATGAACCCGGGAAAAGCAGCTCCTCCTAGCTTAGTGACGGCCCATGCAGGACACATACACTTAGGGCATCTGTCCCTGACTGACATCCCTGCTTACCAGGTGACAGAGACAATGAACACAAGGTGTAGAGACGAGTAATTAAGCCCAAGCAGAGTGGAATGGAGCTCATAAACACCCAGATTCAGAGAAGGGTGCAGCTGATATGAGCCTGAGTAATTAGAGGAGGATTCATGGAGAGGCTGACAAGAAACATACCTTAAAGGATGGGGCACATGTAGCTGGGAGAAGACACATGAGTTTCCAGGGCATGAGAAAAGAAAAGATACCAGAATAGTTCCCCTGATTTTTGCTTCTAAGACAGTACCGCATCAAGAAAACTCACGGGACTTAAACCCACGGAGAAGCTGGTTTGCATGTAATCTCCACCATTTCTTACTTCCAAAAACTATGGAGCTTACGCAGTCATAAGATGGAAGACAAGTCCAACCTGGATCCTGTATGGTTAGGATGAAATATGCTGATGTATTAGCACAGCACGTGGCTGATGGTTGGCTGTTCTTGATGCTGTTATGCTAATTAACCTCTCTGGACTTCAATGGTATCATCTGAGAGACACAAGGGTTTAACCCAAAGACCTCCAAAACTCCCAGTTCCAAGGTAACATTACTCGAAAGCCCCTGCGGGGGTGTATTATGAAGTGTCTGGCACTAGGGAGCAAGCTTTCACTAGGTATTTCTATCTGCAGTCTGAGGTTTCAGACATGATTCCACAAATGTGCCTTATTAATATACAACCCTTCAAAAATCAGTCCTCTGTAAAAATCAGAAATAGGTTTTTGGATGTTATGTAAAACAATTAAGAGTACATGCTAGTATATTAATTCTGTACTTCTCTCTATTTAGGATTTCAACACTTTTAGAATTTTAACTTTAAAAACCCTCAATTTACTCAACTTCCTTACTAAAATTTCACCAACCATGAAGACTCTGTGTCTAGAAGCACGTACCTGAGGGGACTCGTTGCTGAGCCCATGCAAAGGCCACATAAACTGTGTCCTGCGATTACATGATGGCCGGCATCCCAGGCCCTGACTGACAGGCTCAGGGTTCCTAGGCCTGTCCACAGAGGAGAATCATCACAGCAAAGCCTTAAACCACTGCCCCTCCTCACGCCTTGGATCTCACTTCCAGCACCTGATTGACCTGGGCATGTGAGTAGACCTGGCATTGGTGTTGGTCAGGGCTCCACAGGTGAGTCTCCTGTATGGCCAGGGATATAAGCCACTGCTCAATGCTAAACCAAACTATTACTTTAAAGGCTGTGCTTGAGTTATGGCTCTCCCCAGCAGGCTCAGCATCAACACCTGCTTCTCACCAAAACCAAGCTCAAAGGCAAACCCAGGAATAACCTAAGATTCCACGTCCTGCTCTCCAATGAGGCAGAGAACTGTGGATAGGTACGAAGTAGGAGGCACTGGTCCGCTTCAGCCCAGCAGGCTCCAAATGGCTGGAAATGGCATCTGAATGTCATCCATATTTGCTAAGCTGCACAGCTGCATGTTTGATAGACACGGTTTCAAAATTTCAACTCTTTAAACATTTTTAAATCATATCATGCAACATAGTAAATAATGTTTTTAAACAAGACAGTCCCTTACTTTCTTCTCAGAGGACTTTAATTCCTTTATTATAGACCTCTATAATGGGACTTTTTAAAAATGAAGATCCAGTGTAGTTGTCATGGCCGGGTGCAGTGGCTCACATCTGTAATCACAGCACTTTGGGAGGCCAAGGCAGGTGGATCATCTGAGGTCAGGAGTTCAAGACCAGACTGGCCAACATGGTGAAATCCTGTCTCTACCAACAGTACAAAAATTAGCCGGGAGTGATGGTGGGTGCCTGTAATCCCAGCTACTTGGGAGGCTGAGGCAGGAGAATCACTTGAATCCGGGAGGCGGAGGTTGCAGTGAGCCAACATTGCGCCATTGCACTCCAGCCTGGGTAACAGAGTGAGACTCCATCTCAAAAAATACAATACAATACAATACAATACAATACAATACAATACAATACAATACAATACAATACAATACAATACACAGTGTAGTAGTAGTCACTTGCCTACCATTTAGCGAAACCTAAATTCTTGGGAAGTATTACAAGCCTGCCCAACATATTTTTAATCATATTGGTTTTGTGTATTTTATGGCCTACAACAATACCAACACAAGCATAATGGTCAAAGAACGAGAAATCTTCCTATTGTGACCACACTCAGTCATCTCTGTTAGCTCTAAATTGATAGTGTACAAAGAAAAAAGATGGAGTGGGGGTAAGGAAGATTGAGGAGCTAGTTCCTAATGGGTATATAATTTCTGTTTGGGGTGATGAAAACATTTTAGAAATAAATAGTGATGATGGTGGCACAACATTATGAAGATATTTAATGTCATTGAATTGTACAAAAATGGTTAACGTGTTTTTATGATATATCCACAATAAAAAAGTCAAAATCAAATCATATCAAAAATAGTACTTCTCAAAAAACTAGCAGCCTAATAGCCACAGCAGAAAATCATAAACGCAACTAAGGCCTCCTGACTTGGACGTGTGCTCTAACAGTCCTGGGAGGTGGTTCCTTGTGCACAAACAGGTATGAGACTAGCCCAGCCCTATGGAGCTGACCCATGTGACAAGGCTGAGTGTCCCCAGACCTCACCGCCACCCATCCTGTCTCCTGGGCCAACACATTAGATTCCATTTATTTAATAGCTATTCCCCAGCAGCTGTAATTACGTGTTCATTAGAACAGAATTGTTTTGCCATCCTTATAGTAATTACTGGCTGTCAATCAATGACTAGTATTTTGCTTTCATTTCTGTAATTATATAAGCATTTCTCATGTTATCAGCTACTGAAATGGAATAAATACTTCAGACCATAAATTCTTAATAGGAGCTAGAAACATGAAATTTGATTCTTGGGAACAAAAACATCTTAGATATCACAAATGTGTACAGCCCTCCACAGGGGAAGAATACATAAACAGAATGTCTGCGGAATTTAAATTTCATGAGGGTTGGGGTATGGGGGTGATTCAGAAAAAAATATATGAAAAGGCACCTTAGGGGGATGATTCTGAACAGAAGGTTGACAAACACTGCTTTATACACTATAATTAAATATTTCCTTAAACAAAGAAACAAAAAAAAAAAACAGAAAAAAAAAAAAACAGCTGCTCTTTACACACACACACAAAGCTATAGAAGAAAGTTTTAATGAAAAACTACTGCAAGGCTGTGCTGCAGCCTCTCTCCAGTCTTTCAACCCAAACTGTGGCGATCTATGAGAGGTGTTACCCTCCTTTTGGCCCAAACTCTCTTAGCTTTTCTAAAGACTGACATACACACCCACTCATGCAAACAGTTGCAGCATTTGTTAAGCACCAGGCACTCTGCTAGGCCCATCTGGCAGGAATCCCCTTGGCCAAATGGACAGAGCACTGCAATGGTCAGGAATGGAGAATGATCAGACCCGTTACTCCACAAGAGCTTTGAAGGGAAGACATGGGAGGTAGGCCAGGCAAGTAGTGGCAAGTGCAGGCTCTAAAGCCAAAGAAACTTGTGTTTGAGGCCATCCCTACTGCCTCTTGCCAAACAAGCAATGTTGTACAAGTGATTTGACCTCTGGTACTTAAATTTCACCAGTGGAAACTGTTTATCAACATCCTCAACAGTCCTCATTCCAAGGTCTCGCAACTATGTTTTGGGGAAGCTCTGGCTTTAGTATAAGCTTGCTTGAGAATGGGCTCCAGCAGGTTAGATGCAAGGCCCAGACTAACTACCCTCAGACAGAAAGGAGCAGCAGTGAACAGCTTTCTAAGTCAAAGGACGAACTTAGGCAAGGTGTAACCCTGTTTTTTATGCTAATTCATCTACCCAACAAGGGGTACACACTCATTCACTCACTCTGGGTGCCCAAGGACGGTTCCTGAAAATTTGGACAAGCAAGCATGTAAAAAAGTCTGCTGCATGTGGAGTTTGATTTCAGGGATCCTAGAAAGAATTCACTTTCCAAAAGTATGCCTCTCTCAGCTTGCTGCAACTGTCTTTCCCAATGGATACCTGCCACAGAGAAAGGTAAGGGTCAAGAGTGGCAGTTAACATAATTCATGCTGTGGGACCGGGGGGCTAACAAAGCTTATGTTTCAGAGTCCCTCATTCAAACAGGCCCCTTCCCAGACCTTGGGAGGGGCCCTAGCAATGTGTTCTCATGGCCCTGTATTTTTATACAACTTGCACAGGGAAGTTATTTTAACAGCAATCACTTAAGGCCACGGGCTCTATCTAAGCTGATTTCATCACTCTCTCTCAGGTCAGGATATGATAATGATGAAAACCAAAATAGACATATCCTCAGGGAGGCACAAACCTTACACAAGGAGGGAAAAACAATCACTGTGCAGCTGTTTAAATGGCTTGTGTGTCCTGCCCAAGCAAGATGCTAAAATGTAGTGCAGAGGGGTATGGAAGAAGTAGTATTGGTGGGGGCTGTAGGTGAATGGTAGGTAATTAGTAAACAATAATCACATGCAAATGAAGCCTATTATTCAGAAAGGAGGAAAGGGCAAAGTCAGCTCGTCCTATTTTAACAGCTTCCTTCTGAGTGGAGGAGGACTGATGTCACCGGTCCCGCTGCTCAGTTCATCTTTAACTCATTCTTCTTTCTGCTGAGCCAAGAGAAGCAGCCGCAGAGAGGACTCTGGGAGGACAAACAACACTACTGAGTAGTCAGTTGTGGGTCGTCTTTCAATAGCAAGGTGATCAAACGCTGGACAGTTTTGAAATCTTTTGGGCTTTTCAACATCATCCCGCCCTGAAAACCTGAATAAGCCCCCAAAGAATCCAACTCAAGGATACTGTCAAAGACCAGGAGTAAGTGATGGTTGACAGTGGTCTAAGGAGAACGTCAGGAGAGAGAAGATACTACAATAGGTGAAGATGACCGAGTTGGTTGTAGCCAGGTGATTCTTCCTGTCCTGTGAAAACACTGGTGACAATAGAATAGCTTGTCAGAGGAGGCAGGGCTGAGGGCTGAGCACTGAGCAGAGCACAGGGGTCTGAATGTGGGTATGAGTGCAGGCGGGAAGCACTGCAACTCAGCAGTGACACCACTGACATGAAGGCAGCCCGTTCTCTTTGAGTTTTTAGTTCATAAGAATGTGTATACTTTTATAAAGTTCCAATGATGACACACCATGGACTATTTTAACATATTTTTAATACATTTAGTATTAGTGTTTTAAATGTTGAAAATCTTAGAAACTGTCATTTAAAATAAACCACTAATATTTCACTGCATAGATATGCCTTGATCTTAACCCCTCTCCTTTTTGATAAACATAGATTCCTTCTAATTTCTCATTACAAATAATGCTGTACAGAATGTTGTGTATGTAACATCTGTTTCCTTTTTGGAAATATTTAAGATATATTCCCAGAAGTAGGATTATTAGGTCAAAAAGTTTTATATATTTTGTAAATCATTGTACACTATCAACATATTTTAAATATAAATGTTTGCAAGACTTCCGCTTCTGGCCAAAAGAGGAATAGAGATCAAATTTCCCCTTCTGCCTGAAACATATAAAAAGCTAGACTAAATATAACTCTTTTCAAGACACTAGACAGCAAGCAATAACAGACTATATTCTAGGGAAAACAAAGGAGGTGAGCCCTCCAGTGGCCCAGCTTACTATGATACCTTGAGAAGATTCCCATAGCATCACACAGGGAAGGGGAACCCTGGCATAGCTCATCCAAACCTCCAAGTTGGGAGACCTAAGAAAGCAAGGTAGATAGAACTCTCCAAACAGACTAAGACAGAGCCACCTAGAAAAAAAGAGCCTGAAAATCTACCAAGGGTTCCTTCTGGGTAGTCAACAGAGTATTAATCAGTGCAGGAATGTACTTCAGTCAGGGAAGAACCTTTCCAAAAGGATTGGAAAGAAAAGTACCCAGCATTCATACACAGCTATTCCCACCAGCCAGACAAGAAAATCTCATAATTCTTGGGGCATAGGGCACAACAATCAGAAGGATCTTGTTTTAGTCATGGGGGCTAGCTAGCCCTAGATTCAATGCTTCTCTGGTTTCACCTAACGAATCTTAAAAATAATACCTTAAAGGATCAAACTGTTTACAAGTAACTGGGCCTTAGAACAAATGTGACAAATATTTATAAAGAATACAAAAATATCAGCATGCAATAAGTACAAGTCACAGTGTGTGAAATTCAATGTTTACAAGTAACTGGGCCTTAGAACAAATGTGACAAATATTTATAAAGAATACAAAAATATCAGCATGCAATAAGTACAAGTCACAGTGTGTGAAATTCAATAAAAAATTACCACACATGCAAAGAAGTAGGAAATTATGAAACTAGTTTGGAGAAAAATCAATTAAAACATATGGGAATTATCAGACAAGAACACTGAAATAATGATTATAAAGTATTCTGTATATTCAAAAAGTTAAGTAGTACATGAAAGATAGTAAAGACACCGAAATTGAACTTTTAGATGAAACCACAATTTCCAAGACGAAAATTACACTGGATGCGATTAATGGAAGATTCAACATGGAAGAAAAGATTCAGAAAATTGAAGATGTAGCAATAGAAACAAACCAAAATAAAAACACAGAAAAAATAATTTAAAATTTAAAAAAAAATTTAAAATAAATAGCATCGGTAAACGTAGCACATATTGGTTACTGGATTTCCTGACAGAGAGAAGATGAAGGAGGTGATACAAAAATATTTGAAGATATAATGCTGAATATTCTCAAAATTTGTTCAAAATTGTAAACCAACAGATCCAAGAGGAATAACAAGCCACAATTAGAAGAAACATGAAGAAAATCATATCAATTCAGCTCATAATCAAATTGATGAAAACCATTGATACAGAAGAACAGAAAATAGATGCATATGAAACAAAACAAAAAGATATAAGAATGGCAGCAAATTTCCTACTGAAGACAATACAAGTAAGAGGAAAATGGATCAACATATTTACAGCGCTGGAGAAAAAACCTGTCATCCTAGAATTTTATACCAGGTGAAAAAATATTTGAAAAACAAAGGTGAAATAAAGACCTGTTCAGATACACAAAGGTAAAATAATTCATCAACAGCAGACCTGCACTACAAGGAAATCCTTTGGGCATATGCAAAATGGTGCCAGGTAGAAATACAAACCTCCAAAAAGGAATAAAGAGCACTGGAAGCACTGGAAAAGATAACTACAAGGGTAAATACACGTTTTTTCCCCTTATTTAAAAAAACTCTTTAAAAGGTCGCTGGCTACTTAAACAGAAAAATAACAGTGTTCTGTGGGGTTTTTAACACTTGCAAATATAAGAGGTATGACAACAGGCACAAAGACTGGGAGGGAATACATGACACTGTTATTGTAAGTTTCTTATACTATACACAAAGAGGTATAACGTCATCTGAACAAAGCCTGTGATAAGTTAAAGATAAAAACAGTTGTGTCTAGTATCCTTGGGGGATTGGTTCTCTGATCACCCATGGATGCCAAAAACCTGTGCATACTCAAGTTCCATAGTTGGGTCTGCTAAACCACCAGAACAAAATGTTGACCCTCTCTCCATGTGGGTTTCATATCCAGCAAATATTGTATTTTTGATCCAAGTTTGGTTGGAGATGAGGAACCTGCTGATATGGAGGGCCAACTGTATTTACTGAAAAAAAATTCATATATAAGTGGACCACACATCTCACAGTTCACTCATATTGTTCAAGGGTCAACTGTACTATAAACCCTAAAGCAACCATGAAGATAATGGAATTACAGCTAAAAAGACACTATTTAAAAATCCTACAAAATAAATAATCAAAAAAAGGCAGAAAAAGAGGAAAATGTAACAAAGTACAGATGAGACAAACAGCAAACAAATAGTAAAATGACAGGTTTAAACCTAACCATATCATTAGTCACAATAAATATAAAAGATCTAAACAGATCAATTTAAAATTAGATTGGATAAAAAAGCAAGACCTGATTACATGAGTCCTACAGAAATGATCTTTTCATATAAAGAGAAAAAAATCAGCTAAAATTAAAAGGATGAAAAAAGAATATACCATGTTAATTGCTAATCAAAAGAAAGTTGGAATGACTGTATTAATACCAGGCAAAATAGATTTCAGAGACATGAATATTGCCAGAGATGAAGAATGTCATTTCATAATGATAAAGGGGTCAATTTGACAAGAGGATATGACAAATGTAAACCTTAAGCTCTGTTTGTAATAACAAAGCTTCAAAGTACCTGAAGCAGAAATTGATAGAACTAAAGGAGAAATAGTAAAACCTACAGTTATGGTTGGAAACGTCAACAATAATCTCACAGTAATCTATATAGATTACTGAAAGGAGACAGAAAATAAGTATATAAAAGACTGGAACAAAGCTATCCATCAACTTCACCTAATTGACATTTATAGGCTATTCCACACAAGAACAACAGAATATACATTCTACTCAAGTGCTCATGGACAGACCAGATTCTGACCCACAAAAACACTCTCGGTATATTTAAAGGATTGAAGTCATATAAAGCATGTTTTTTGTTTTTTTTTTTACCACAATGGAATTAAGGAATCAAGTTATAAACAAATAAAAAAACTCTGGTGTATCCCAAAATATTTTTGTAAGTAACACACTTCTAAATAACCCAGGGTTAAAGAACAAACCAAAAGAGAAATTAAAAGGATTGTGAAACGAATAAAATGAAAATACAATATATCAAAATGTATGGGATGCTTCTAAAGAGAAGTACCTAGAAGGAAATTTACAGCATTGCAAGTCTACAACAAAAGTCTCAAATCAATGAACGCAGCTTCCACTTTAAGAAATTAGAAAAATAAGAGCTGGTTAATCCCATGGTACACAAAATACGGGTAATAATAAATATCAGAGGAGAAATCAGTGAAATTAAAAAAGGAAACAAAGAAAATCAATTTGGTTCTTAGAAAAGACAGATGAAATTGATATATATCTAGCCAGATTAATAAAAAGAGAAGAAACAAATTACATATACCAGAAATGAGATTATTACAACTACAGATTCTGCAGATATAAAATAAGAAAATCTGAACTTTACACAAAATATTTGACTACTTAGATGAAATGCTTAAATTCCTTAGAGAGGTACAAAATAACAAAGCCTCATTCAAGAACAAATAGATAACCTGAATTGTCCAACATCTATTAAAGAAATAGAATTTGCAGTTAAATTTTTACCAGAAAGGGATCGCTAGGACTAGATGGCTGCATTGGTGAATTATAATAAATGTTTAAAGATGAAATAATACCAATTCTTTTTTTTATTATTATTATACTTCAAGTTCTAGGGTACATGTGCACAACGTGCAGGTTTGTTACATAGGTATACATGTGCCATGGTGGTGTGCTGCACCCATTAACTCGTCATTAACATTAGGTATATCTCCTAATGTTATCCCTCCCCCACCCCCACCCCACGACAGGCCCCAGTGTGTGATGTTCCCCTTCCTGTGTCCATGTGTTCTCATTGTTCAATTCCCATCTATGAGTGAGAATACGCAGTGTTTGGTTTTTTGTCCTTGCGATAGTTTGCTCAGAATAATGGTTTCTAGCTTCATCCGTGTCCCTACAAAGGACGTGAACTTATCCTTTTTTATGCTACATAGTATTCCATGGTGTATATGTGCCACATTTTCTTAATCCAGTCTATCATTGATGGACATTTGGGTTGGTTCCAAGTCTTTGCTATTGTGAATAGTGCCACAATAAACATACATGTGCATGTGTCTTTATAGCAGCATGATTTA
This sequence comes from Homo sapiens, assembly GCF_000001405.40. Classification (NCBI taxonomy): domain Eukaryota; kingdom Metazoa; phylum Chordata; class Mammalia; order Primates; family Hominidae; genus Homo; species Homo sapiens. The sequence goes on along the minus strand of NC_000018.10, from coordinate 36,554,155 downwards.
TAGTCCTTTGGGTATATACCCAGTAGTGGGATGGCTGGGTCAAATGGTGTTTCTAGTTCTAGATCCTTGAGGAATTGCCACACTGACTTCCACAATGGTTGAACTAGTTTACAGTCCCACCAACAGTGTAAAAGTGTTCCTATTTCTCCATATCTTCTCCAGCACCTACTGTTTCCTGACTTTTTAATGATCGCCATTCTAACTGGTGTGAGATGGTATCTTGTTGTGGTTTTGATTTGCATTTATCTGATGGCCAGTGATGATAAGCATTTTTTCATATGTTTCTTGGCTGCATAAATGTCTTCTTTTGAGAAGTGTCTGTTCATATCCTTCGCCCACTTTTTGATAGGGTTGTTTGATTTTTTTCTTGTAAATTTGTTTAAGTTCTTTGTAGATTCTGGATATTAGCCCTTTGTCAGATGGGTAGATTGTAAAAATTTTCTCCCATTCTGTGGGTTGCCTGTTTACTCTGATGGTAGTTTCTTTTGCCATGCAGAAGCCGATCCCACAGAAATACAAACTACCATCAGAGAATACTATAAACACCTCTACGCAAATAAACTAGAAAGTCTAGAACAAATGGATAAATTCCTTGACACATACACCCTCCCAAGACTAAACCAGGAGAAGTTGAATCCCTGAATAGACCAATAGCAGGCTCTGAAATTGAGGCAATAATCAATAGCCTACCAACAAAAAAAAGCCCATGACCAGATGGATTCACAGCCGAATTCTACCACAGGTACAAAGAAGAGCTGGTACCATTCCTTCTGAAACTATTCCAATCAACAGAAAAAGAGGGAATCCTCCCTAACTCATTTTATGAGGCCAGCATCATCCTGATACCAAAGCCTGGCAGAGACACAACCAAAAAAGAGAATTTTAGACCAATATCCCTGATGAACATCAATGCTAAAATCCTCAATAAAATACTGGCAAATCGAATCCAGCAGCACATCAAAAAGCTTATCCACCATGATCAAGTGGGCTTCATCCCTGGGATGCAAGGCTGGTTCAACATATGCAAATCAATAAATGTAATCCATCATATAAATAGAACCAAAGACAAAAACCACATGATTATCTCAATAGATGCAGAAAAGGCCTTTGACAAAATTCAACAACCCTTCATGCTAAAAACTCTCAATAAACTAGGTATTGATGGGACATATCTCAAAATAATAAGAGCTATTTATGACAAACCCACAGCCAATATCATACTGAATGGGCAAAAACTGGAAGCATTCCCTTTGAAAACTGGCACAAGACAGGGATGCCTTCTCTCATCACTCCTATTCAACATAGTGTTGGAAGTTCTGGCCAGGGCAATCAGGCAGGAGAAAGAAATAAAGGGTATTGGCCGGGCGCAGTGGCTCATGCCTGTAATCCCAGCACTTTGGGAGGCCGAGGCGGGTGGATCATGAGGTTAGGAGATCAAGACCATCCTGGCTAACACAGTGAAACCCCATCTCTACTAAAAATACAAAAAATTAGCCAGCTGTGGTGGCAGGCACCTGTAGTCCCAGCTACTTGGGAGGCTGAGGCAGGAGAATGGCATGAACCTGGGAGGCGGAGCTTGCAGTGAGCCGAGATCGCGCCACTGCACTCCAGCCTGGGCAACAGAGCAAGATTCTGTCTCAAAAAAAAAAAAAAGAAAAAGAAAAAGAAATAAAGGGTATTCAATTAGGAAAAGAGGAAGTCAAATTGTCCCTGTTTGCAGATGACATGATTGTATATTTAGAAAACCCGATAGTCTCAGCCCAAAATCTCCTTAAGCTCATAAGCAACTTCAGCAAAGTCTCAGGATACAAAATCAATGTGCAGAAATCACAAGCATTCCTATGCACCCATAACAGACAAACAGAGCATCAAATCATGAGTGAACTCCCATTCACAATTGCTTCAAAGAGAATAAAATACCTAGGAATCCAACTTAAAGGGCTGTGAAGGACCTCTTCAAAGAGAACTACAAACCACTGCTCAATGAAATAAAAGAGGACACAAACAAATGGAAGAACATTCCATGCTCATGGATAGGAAGAATCAATATTGTGAAAATGGCCATACTGCCCAAGGTAATTTACAGATTTAATGCCATCCCCAACAAGCTACCAATGACTTTCTTCACAGAATTGGGAAAAACTACTTTAAAGTTCATATGGAACCAAAAAAGAGCCTGCATTGCCAAGTCAATCCTAAGCAAAAAGAACAAAGCTGGAGGCATCACGCTACCTGACTTCAAACTATACTACAAGGCTACAGTAACCAAAACAGCATGGTACTGGTACCAAAACAGAGACATAGATCAATGGAAGAGAACAGAGCCCTCAGAAATAATACCACAAATCTACAACCATCTGATCTTTGACAAACCTGACAAAAACAAGAAATGGGGAAAGGATTCCCTATTTAATAAATGGTGCTGGGAAAACTGGCTAGCCATATGCAGAAAGCTGAAACTGGATCCCTTCCTTACACCTTATACAAAAATTCATTCAAGGTGGATTAAAGACTTTAGTTAGACCTAAAACCATAAAAACCCTAGAAGAAAACCTAGGCAATACCATTCAGGACATAGGCATGGGCAAGGACTTCATGACTAAAACACCAAAAGCAACGGCAACAAAAGCCAAAACTGACAAATGGGATCTAATTAAATCAATTAATTAAATTAATTAATTAAATAAATTAATCAAATTAAATTAAAGAAATAATACCAATTCTACACAAACTCTTCCAGAAAATTGAAGAGGGGCAAATATTTCCCAACTCATCCAATAAGACCAGCATTGCCACAACAAAATCAAAGATATTAGAGAAAAGAAAACTATACACCAATCTGTCAGGGACATAGATGCAATAAAAAATATTTAGCCAACCAAATCCAACAATATATTAAAAGGAAAATACAATGTGACCAGGTACAGTTTACCCCAGTTTAACAGTTTTAAAATAAACAATGTGGTTCACTATATCAACAAACAAAAAATGATCATTTCAATATATGCAGGAAAATTATTTATCAGAATCTAACATGCATTCCTGTTCTCAGCAAACAAGAAATAAAAGGAAACTTCCTCAACTTGATAAAGGACATCTCAAAAACCCCTGCAGATAACATCATACTTAATGGAGAAACACTGAATGCTTTTCTTTTAGGATGGGGAGTAAGACAAGGATGTCTACTCTTATCACTTCTATTCAACACTATTCCACATTATAGCCAGTGCAATAAAAGGAAAGAAAGAAAGAGCAGTTGAGATTGGAAAGGAAAAGGTAAAGCTGGCTTTATTCACAGACGACATGATCATCTGAGAAGATCCTATGGAATCTACAGAAAAGCTAGTAGAACTAATAAGTCAGTTTAACAAGGTTGTACAATACTAGATTAATACATAAAATTAAGTTGTATGTCTAAAAAATACAAATGAGCAATTTGAAATTGGAATTTTAAAAAATACATAAAAATATGAAATACTTATTGATGAATTACATGAAAGATATGTAATGTCTGTATACTGAAAATTATAAAACATTGCTGAGAGAAATTAGTGACCTAAATAGAGATATATCATGTCATAGATTAAAAGACTCAACATTTTGAAGATATCAATTCTCCCCAAAGTGATCTGTGGATTTAATACATTCCCAATCAAAGTCTAAGCAAGCTTTTTTTCCCCCTAGAAATTTACAGAAAAAAAACCAAAATTCTTATGGAAATGCAAAGGACCTAACATAGGTCTTTGAAAGAGAAGAACAGAATGGGAAGACTTATACTACCTACTTTAGGAGTTATTATAAAACTACAGTAATCAAAACAGTGTGGTATTGGCAATACGACAGGCAAACAGATCAATGGTATGGAATGAAAAGTTCAGAAACAGACCCATATATATATATATATATATATATGGTCTACCACTGGCCTATATATATATATATACACAAGTGATATATACATATATATACAAACACACACACAAAGTGATTTTTAGCAAAGATGTACAGACAATTCAGTCTCTGAGAAAAGGCAGTTTTCTCTAGATACTAAGGAAACTAAAGAAGTTTTCGCTAATAAAAGATAGAAGAAAAGATCATTTTTTCAATAGTTGGTGCTGGAACAGTTGTTTACACATAGGCCAACAAAAATGAACGACATAAAACTTTGATCCAGACTACATGTAAAGATTAACTCAAAATAGATCACAGTTATAAATTTAAAACCTAAAACTAAAACCTTCTAGAAAAAAAAATGGGAGTAAATCTTTGTGACCTTAAGTTAGATAAAGATTTCTTAGATCTGGCCATGGCCAGGCGTGATGGTTCATGCCTGTAATCCCAGCATTTTGAGAGGCTGAGGCAGGCGGATCATGAGGTCAGGAGATCGAGACCATCCTGGCTAACACCATGAAACCCCATCTCTACTAAAAATACAAAAAAAAAAAAAAAAATTAGCCAGGCATGGTGGAGGGCGCCTGTAGTCCCAGCTCCTTGGGAGGCTGAGGCAGGAGAATGGCATGAACCTGGGAGGCAGAGGTTGCAGTGAGCCGAGATCACACCACTGCACTCCAGCCTGGGTAACAGAGCGAGACTCCATCTCAAAAAAAAAAAAAAAAAAAAAAAGATTTCTTAGATCTGACACTAAATGTATGGTCCATAAAAGAAAAAAAATTATAAACTGAATTTCTTCAAAATTAAGAATGTGTGCTCTTTGAAACTAAGAGAATGAAACCCTGCTAAGAGAATGAAAAAATAAGCTACAGACTGGGGGAAATATTTGCAATCACATATCTGATAAAAGGCTTATATCTAGAACATTTAAGAACTCAAAACTCAGTAATAGAGAAATATTAAAAAACAATAATATCAAATAAGAAACAGAAAGCCCAATTAAAAATTGGCAAAAAGAGTTGAACAAACAATTCACCCAAAGATGATGGATGGATAGCAAATAAGCACATAAAAAAGATGTTCAACATCATTAGTCATTAGGCAAATGCCAATTAAAACCCCAGTGAGGTACCACTACTTACCTAGTAGAATGGCTAAAATTAAACAGACTAACCACACCAAGTGTTGGAAAGAATGTAGATGAACTAGACTCTCATACAACACTAGTGTGGATATGAAATAGTACAACTCCTTTGGAAGTTGTTTGGAAGTATTTTTTAAAGCTAAACAGATACCTACCTTATGATTCAACAATTTCATTTTAGGTATTTACCACAGAGAAATAAAAACATCTCCATACAAACACTTGTACGCTGATGTTCACAAAGGCTTTATTTTGAATAGTCTAAAACTGGAAACACCCAAATGTCCACCAAAACATGTATGGATAAAGAAACTCTGGTATATCCAGATGATGGAAAGCTACCCAGCAATGAAAAGGAATGAACTATGAAGACCATGCGACGTGTGAAAGAAGTATGCTGAGTGAAAGAAGCCAGACAATAAAAGGACATGTACTGTATGATCCAATTCATACACAATTGTAGAAAATACAATCTAATGCATAGTGACAGAAGGTAGATCAGTGGTTGCCTGGGGAAGGGATGGGTGGCATTGGGATAAAAGAGAATCCCAAGTCGTTGAAGCAGACTTTCTGGAGTACTGGATGCAGCCACTATCTTGGTTGTGATGATGGCGGCAACTGTGTACACGTATGTCCAAACATATCAAGATTTTATGCCTTAAGTATGTACAGATTATTATTGTCAATTATACCTCAAAGGCACATTCACCCACAGATCAGAAGCATCTGTTTTAAAATCAACGGCTGAACCTAACAAAAGAGAAAAATAAGTCCCCTACAAAACTAACAGGAAATATCACCATAACAAATTGATAAATTGCTGACTCTATCTTTGCACTCCCAGAGCTAAACACGGTGCCTGGCAAGTTGTTGATTATCAACTGATTTTTGCTGAGTGAGTGAATGTACAGAATTTTTTTTTTGTTTTTGAGACATTGTCTCACTCTCTCACCCAGGCTGGAGTGCAGTGGCACGATCTCGGCTCACTGCAACCTCCGCCTCCTGGGTTCAAGCGATTCTCCTGCCTCAGCCTCCCAAGTAACTGAGATAACAGGCATGCACCATCACGACCAACTAATTTTTGTATTTTTAGTAGAGACAGGGTTTCACCATGTTGGCCAGGCTGGTCTCTAACTCCTGACCTCAGGTAATCCGCTTCTTTGGCCTCCCAAAGTGTTAGGATTACAAGCGTGAGCCACTGTGCCAGGCCCAAAATTGTTTTGTGTTAAACATTAATCAAACCCAATCTTACTCCTCTGCTTTAATCCTGTTTTCTTTCCAGGCTTAGCTCAAAACAACCAACCTCACGAAGCAGCTGGCTACCCAGGCGCCTCACAGTGGCAGCGGACAAGGTGGCTGTGGGGTGTGAAGAACACAGGCTGCCTCCAACGATCTGCGGGTGAGCAGCTCCCACAGACACTGCGACGTTCCTTCCCGAATTTCTCTAAGGTTTCCTCCCTCCCGTGTTCTGTTCCCTTTTGTCTTATTGTATTCTGAAGGAACATAAATGCTTATGTTCCTTGTCCTTGGTTTTAAAATGAGATGGTTACAGCTGGGCACGGTGGCTCATGCCTATAATCTTAGCTTTGGGAGGCCAAGGCAGGCAGATCACCTGAGGTCCGGAGTTCAAGACCAGCCTGGCCAACATGGTGAAACCCCTTCTCTACTAAAAATATAAAATGAGATGGTTTAACCTGTGACAAATCTACCTCACAGAAAAACAAGAATTTTTTTGGTTTTACTTTTCAAAAAAGAGGAAAAATAAAACCCTTTTCTGCCTTTGGTGGCTCTCCTGTGAGTCTCGGCTGTGGTGATGTGCAACCATGGCCTTGGAGAGAGATGGGAAGGAGAAACTTTCCACTCAAGTCAGTGCCTCGAACCTGGGAATGCGCACCTAGGAACAGGCCGGCCTGGTGCTGCCAGGAGCTTGGCCTCTCCTCACCCACACTCTCATATGTCCTTCGTCCCCACAAGGATGCCACTCAGGAGCACAGAGCCCAGCTCCAACCTGCCCCTGAAGGCGGCAGGACACAGGGCCAGGATGCAGGACCTTCCCAGGGGGCAGCTTAGGGCAGATGGAGCCAACTCCACCCTCAGCGGGGTCAGCGCTGTGAGGCAGTGTGAATTGATGCTCTAGTCTGAAGCCAAATGTCATGGGCACATTGACTTTCAAGCCCTTAGATCTCACTACTTGCTTCGAGGTTCTATGCTGATTACCCCATAAATGGAAAAAGAATGGATGATTTGAGGGAGTCAACATAGGAGACCGTAAAGAAGCGTGAAGTGAGTGCTCTGTGTTACCATGAAATTCCTGCTAAACTCCACACGCTGCCTACGCTGTGTCCCCTCACAGCTCTGGTAACATCACTCCAAATGCATGATGTGCAGTGGGAATGCCAGAACGTGAACCAAAACACCCATCCATCTGAGTGCACTTGAGATCCCAGAGTGCAAGTAAAAACATTTGCCTCATCTTGCGACAGACAAACCTGAACTCTCATTAATTACCATTCCAGCCTGACACCCTCCCTTCCTGGTGCTGGATACGGAACAAGGGGAACTTCCTAGAGTCGCTCACTAACACCACTGTCTCTGAAGAAAACAAAAGATTAACACCTGAAAAATTAATATGCCGCTAAGATAGCCATTTTCTGTTGATTACACTAAAGCTTAAACTAACTAAATACTGCAAACATACATAAAGTCACTTTAAGGTGGCCCAGGTCAACCTTTTAAATGAAATATCAAAACTCTAAAGTACACATGTAAGGAACTGCGACAAAAAAAAGGAACTATGAGTCAAAACACAGATGTGGAATAAAAAAGGCCAAGGTGCCATTAAGTACCTTAGCAGTTAGTACATACCAGGGGTGGTAAACAGTCCCTATTTGTAGTAGCACTGAAAACAGAGGGTTGCCAGAAACATCTCAAGATGAACTGCGGTGGAATGTAACACCAGCCAGAGCCAATGCAGGCTGACAGGGATTTCTTCTTCCCATACACCTATGAAAAAGGGGTTCCCTTAAAGCACCAGCACTTACTTCTCCATGAGGAAAAGCCTGCCTTGGCACACCCACAGATTCGAGAAGGATTTCATACTGGTTGTTTTCCAAACGGCAAGCCGTACATTACATGTGGAGGGTTCTCTCTAGGAAAGAAGTTTCCAAGGTAACTCCTTACAAACTGCTAGCTCTGTTAGCTGCATTTCTGATAGTTGTGGGGGTATAAGCCAACTTTTTAAAAAGAATTTTTATATCAAAGTAGATTTTCTTTAAAGACCAAGAGATACGTAAGGTTTTTACTCATTTCCACATATCAAAAAGCAACAATTCAACAGTTCATTTCAATTCCTACTTAATGGAAATCAACCATCAGTATCGTTCAAATGTCTACTTTCCACTTATGTTCTGCTAAATTGAGCTGAGCTTCTCGCAACAGTGTTTTCACAGACAGAGATAAAGCATAATCCATGCTGAGGAAAATGCACTTTCCCTGCATACAACACACACACAGATATTTAGAAATTCTAGAACTTAAAAAGTTTCATGATAATCATCCCTCAGCTGATAACACTGACATGTTATCAACAGTGTTCCTGACGATTCAGAAACTGCTTCGAATGCCTTAATCCATTGCTTTTTACATTTTGGATGCAGATTTACCTCCAGCTGGCTCCATTCTTTGGGTGAAACATTACGTCTTCAAAGAGGTCTTCCTCGTCCACCCTGTATAAATAGTGTCTGCCCACCTTATACATGCCACCCTCTAGAAGCCTCACACCTGCTTTACTTTTCTTCACAGCAGTTATCACCAGCTGTCATTATTACATATATCCTTTATTGTTCCTTGTCTATCATCTTGGCCAGAATGGAAAGTTCCATGAGGCAGAGCCATGTGTGTCTTGTTCACCACTGTATGCCCAGTCCTGGCACACGGGGCACAAAATGAATTTTTGTTGACTTAAATCAAAGGTGAGGAGACAGGGAGAGAGGGGGAGAGATAAAGAAGGAGAGGGAGGGAGGGTGAGCATGGATAAATTTTAAATTCTGAAGTTTACACTACCAATCTACAAGAAGTTAATCTACAAGCATTGCCTCATTGACTCTTCATGGCCAACACCAGGTAGTCAGTATTACCCTAGTTTTAGAGATGTAAAAACTAGTGGCAAAATATTTAATTTTCCCAGGATTTTAATGTAAGAAATACCAACTTCTGAAGTTAGGTTGTTTGTCTAATTTTTGAAAAGTTAATACCATCTGTAAAATTTCTCTGTTCAAAGCTTTTTATATTGCTGGAAAAGTACCCATTGCTCTGTTCAAAGAAACACCTGGGAAGATGTTAAGAGAGGAGGAGGAGATGTCCCTGAGCAGTCCCACCAGAAAGGGGAGGGCGGCATCTGGCAGCCAAGCCCCAGCTTGTCCACACACACTCACCTGGTTTGTATGTTTTCCTCCAAAGCACACCGACTGCTCCGCATGCCAGGGTGGTTCTCCTTAATGCTTTCAGCCTGTGGCGACCTCTCCACCTCAACAAAACTTTGGCAAGTCCAGAGGCAGTGAGGGAGCCGACTGCCGTGACGGGAGTCTGCAGCCACCCAGCCCAGTGACTCACGTGCCCAGGCACCTCACACTGTGAGCTCCCTGGAGACGCAGCCTGATTCAGTAGGCCCGGAGAATGCCTGGGCTTTGGCCCCAACTAATAAAGCATTTACCCACAGACCAGAGGCAATTAGACAGGTAACAAACAAGAAGTAAAAAGGAAAGTCAACACAGAACAAGCAAACAGCATGTGCTCTTCACCCTTGACCACTCTGAGTGGTCCAAGTGTGGCCCTGCATGAGACACATGTTCAGGGAGATCGGGTGGGGAGGTGGCACCAGCTCCCGGCACTAACTCTGCAGAGAGCATCTCTCCTGCCAGGCAGTCTGCCCAGAAGCCCTGCCTTCGTTTCTAACCCGCAGCTGCTCTAATATTCAATGATGATACTGCCGAGAAACACATACACTCAGCCACCTCTCCAGGGAGCACTCCAAGAAGCTCTCACTCATGTGACATATTTAACGAACACATACCTTGTGCCAGAAGCCTATATAAGATGTTAAAACCATCTTACATGTTTTGTTTGGAGATTTAACTTGCTACAGCTACATTCAATCTCTACTGTCTGCCCCACTCCAAGGACAATTAATCTGGGTGTTCAGATACGAAGTTCCTAGCTTCTACCGCAGAAATAACTGAAAGAGATTAGAAATATGATCTTTTTTCCATAAACATTTTTATTTTAAGAAGTAGAACTGTTTTTGAAACACTCAGCACCAGCACTGGCACTGGCAGTAGTACCAAATGCTGATTTGAAGAGTAAAGAGAACAAGTTTTAGGGAAAACAGTACTTTGTCCCATTTTGGAGCTCAACTGGGCCTCAGTGTGAGGCCAGTACGCGGGGCTTGCTCCTCTACCTCACATCCCCAGTGGGTGACAGGGATCCTGGGTCTGCAGGACCTCAGGCCAGCTGAGTTTAAAAGGTTTTTTAGCATCAGGAAACTTCAAGAATGTTCTATTTTGTTCATCGTAGGTGGACTGATTAGGGTTTCTTCTTGGCTGTTCCTCCTGACTGTCCAGCACTGTCTTTTCTGGACAAAAGAAGGGGACATATATGACAGCGTATGGTCCAACCAGGCCATCAAGGAAAACACCATGCAATTAAATTTCTTGACCAAAAATTTCTCTGCTAGTGGATCTCTCTGAAAGGGGAATGTATTAGTCAAGATTTTCCTGAGAAATAGAACCCATAGGAAATGTATGCATATATACATAAAATATATACTTACATATTTATATAAAGTATATTGACATACATATAATATGTATATATACACACTATATATAGATTTAAGAAACTGGCTTACACAATTATAAAGGCTGGCAAGTCTAAGATCTGCAGGGTAGGCTGGCAGGCTGAAGATCCAGGAAAGAACTGATACCACATTTGGAGTTGAAGACTGTCAGGCTGGACGCTCAGGAAGGACCCATTGTTGCAGTCTTAGCACCGTCTTTTGCAAAATTCCTTCTGACTGATTGGATGTGGTTCACCCACATAATGGAAGGCAACCTGCTTTCCTTACATTTACTAACTTAAATGTAATCTCATCCAAAAACACCCCCACAGAAATATTTGGAATAATGTTTGACCACATATTTAGGGACATTGGTCCAGCTGAGTTGATACATAAAAATGACCCTCACAGGGAGCTAATGCACCCCACTTTCCCTTCGTCATTTTTTTTTGTGCTTCCAAATATATTAGGTGTTTTTTAAATAACATTTCTCTTAGCAAATACAGGTGTCCCAGCAAGTCAGACACTGTAAACCATCTTTGGCAATTTGCAAATTCATCCCCTTTAAAAGGAAATCATATGAATCTCAAGTTTAAGAATTTGTTGTTTAAATATGCCATTTTTTTCAAACTTTTGAAAACAGAAAAGTGTTTTAAGATAGTAACTGTTTTCCAACATAGTTCCTTTTCAGCAAGTTGATTTTGGGAAACAATAAAAAGATAATTCAGAGAATACCCTATATATTTAGCAAGCAAAAGCTATTTAAATGCTGGAGCCAAGAAACCTAATACAGAATACTCAATGAAATTGAGTGGCCTTTCCTTTAATTTTTTGTTTTGACTTGTAGAAAATATTAGTATTAAAAGGCCATCTACTGTTTTTATTAGAATTTTACTCAAATTAATGGTAATTTTTTAAATCCCTAAAAATAAAGATAAATTGAAGGGATTTGAGTTCATAACAGAGATAAAGGCATCTACCCCCACCCCTGACATCCATGAGATGAAAAACACATTAACCGTGGACATCATGATGGGTGATGCTTCCTGTATGGGATCTAGCTCTGATCCATTTAATTTGCCCAAAACATCTGCCTTCATAAAAAGACAAAGATGGTACTCACTCTCCAAAGAGCTGTAAGGAACACATTAAAGTCATCTACATTATACATAGCTATATCCATGGTAGGTTGGCCTTTTAATTCCATTGTTATAAACCGGGATCCAAATTCCCATTTGTAAAACAGCTTTGATGTGGGGCTGGTGAAGACTGGACTGGCAAGGGTGAATATTTCCTGGGAGCCTTAGATGCTGGCACAAATCTACCTCTCCCTGGGGCTAGTATACCAGCAAAGAGTACTTTAAAAGCATAAAGCATTGTTATCTGAAGATCTGAGTACTTAGAAGAAAGGGCATTACCTTCTCAGAATTCTCAAGGGGGATAAGCTGGAGATTTAGTTCAGTTCCATTCTGAGGTTCATTCCAATTCTGCCCCATAGAGAAGCATGTTAAATGCCAATTTTTAAAAGGTTGAACTTTTAAAAGGTTATAGGAAATCATGGACCCAGAACCTCAACTGCATGACAACCTCCCTGTTATCCTAACGTCCTGGGCTCATTCTGCATTTTACTGACTACTCACTTTCCACTTTATTTGGAAGGAGTAAACACATACATTTATATCTTGTTCTAGATTTTTGATTGCTAAAATTGAAAGCAAAAAAATAAATGTATAGCATCATTTCTTTTTCATTTTTTGTAGAGATAAGGTCTTGCTCGGTTGCCCAGGCTGGAGCAGTGACAGGATTGTGCTCAAGGGATCCTGGTGCCTCAGCCTCCTGAGTAAGCTGGGACCACATTTTGTTTTATTTTTTGTAGAGACAGGGTCTCATTTTGTTACCCAAGCTTGTCTCAAACTCTTAGCCCCAAGAAATCCTCCCATCTTGGCCTCTGAAAGTGCTGGGATTACAGGCATGAGGCACCACGCCCTGCCAACACTTTTTTTCTTTTTTCTTTCTTTTTTTTTTTTTTTTTTTTTTTGAGACAGAGTCTCGCTCTGTCGCTAGGCTGGAGTGCAGTGGTGCGATCTTGGCTCACTGCAACCTCCACCTCCCGGGTTCAAGTGATTCTCCTTCCTCAGCCTCCAGAGTAGCTGGGATTACAGGCACATGCCACCAGGCCTGGCTAATTTTTGTATATTTAGTAGAGATGGGATTTAGCCATGTTGGCCAGGCTGGTCTCTAACTCCTGATCTCAGGTGATACGCCTGCCTCGGCCTCCTAAAGTGCTGGGATTACAGGCATGAGCCACCACGCCCAGCCCAACATTTCTTTTAATAATCTCCTTTTGAGGCTATGCTAACAGGAAAAGAAACAAAACAGAACCAAACACATTTACTGTTGTTGCGGGTACACCAATATGGAGAAGAGGATTAGGGGAAGTCAAGACTAATGTAAGTATGAATGGGATTAGGTGTGCCCTGCCCCACAACATAGGCCCTGGAAGCAGAGATGCCAGATGGATTAACTACAGGCCCAGGAATTGGTATAAGGGACTTCCACCTTCTTCCTTGAATCACACTTTCCAGTCAATCACCCTTCCTTTTCACACTTTGTACAACTCTCCCTTCTCCCCCTATACTCTTCTATCTCACCCTCTCCCAATTCCCACTTAAATCACTGGGTGCCATTGAGTTAAGTAGAACCTGGTCAGGAAGAAGCAGACCTGGATATAGCAGCACTGTCACATATATCACTGCAAATGCATTAATTTAAACAAAAGTCCCCTAGGAGTGCTAAGTGGCATTTGGCACCATGAGCATTCTTTTCCCCAACTGCACCTCCAAACTGTCTACGAAAGCCCTAGCTCCAGCTTAAGCAAGCCCACCTTCTAGACACAAGGATGTCTGACACGGAAACACAACGTCTTTGTTCATGGAGGCATTTACTCTACTAACTTCCAGTCACCACAGTTCTGAGAGTCATTCCAAAAAGAAATGTTGAAGGAATTACATTTGGCTGCTCTGTGTGCTGACAAATATAAATAAGGTAAATAATTAGACATCACTGCTTTGACACGTGACATTACCACCATAATTGGAACCTGGCTGAATTGGGCATTCTTGAGATGCAGAATTTTCCCCTCTTAAAGGCCCTACAAACCTGTCTAATATCTCATGTCACCTCCACCCCACGCCTGCATTTCTTATGTGTGTCATCGAGGAATCTGCTTTGATCTCTGGAAAATATGCTTGTTGGAACAACATGATGAAAGGGATCATGATTTAAATACAGGCGACATGAAGCCAGAGGCAGCAGAGAGCCCACTTAATTCTTCAGGGCCTCTCTTTGTTGAGTCCAAGGCTTCAAGGGATGTGCAGTGTGTTTCCTCAAGCTACTCCCCTATTGCCACATCGGAACCAGGCCTCTTCCAGGACTTGCCTGTTCTGAATCATCACTGCTGTCCATTCTTGGGGACTTTAATGAGCACATCATCCTCCAATCCTGTACTTCCTACTCTAGAAATCATACTCATAATGGGTTCAAAAATAGTCTCAGAAAACATTGCTTTGGTTTTAATTTTCTCAAAATGGTGATAAACAGCCCCAAACAGGGTTTTGTCACCTCTGATTCGCCCACCTGCTGCTGAATTTCTTTCATCACAACTTGGCCAAGAGCCTGGGTCTGCCATTGAAAGGTGCCACTGAGTCCCCATTTTTGCCACTGCAGTGCCCACCTCCACAGCAGGTGTTCACTCAGTCTCTGCTCACCACTCCAGGCACGTCTGAGCAATGGAAGAACTGTGGCCTGCTTTCCTCTCTGGACGGTGACTGGGCCCCCATCTCACTCTAGACACTTTCTACGCAATGGCCTTGGTTTTGGCATCTGCACCTTCACCCAGAATAACTCCATGTCTTCTATACACGTGAATTATTCAAATAGTTAAAGTCACAGCATGCCCTGCCTAGCAAATCTTGCCCAAGTTCCCCTACCTACTTATTATGTCCTGGATTTCAGCCAACTCAGTCTATAGAATATAGTATGTAGTACTGAATACAGAATGAATTCAAAAGTGGGTCTGATCATCATAAAAAACACAAAGACTATGATATCACTTCGTTGAACATAACAAATGTAATAATCCAGCCTATGCTAATTGTGTGGTGTTTTCTTGGGTTGAGTATGGATAGTGGTCTTATAGAAGCTAAGCAACATAAGATGCGTACTGATTTTTTACTTTTTATGTTGAAATATAAATATACAGGAAATTACAAAGGTAGTATGGTGAGATCCCAGGTACTCTTCACCAGTTTCCCTCAGTGATTATATCTTACTTAGCTACAGTACTATATCAAGACCAAGCATTTCACTTTGGTAAAATGTGCATGGATAGCTCCATATCATTTTATCACATGCAGATTCATGTAACTACCACCCCAGTCAAGATGAAAAAACTATTCCATCGCCACAAAGAACACTCTCATGCTATTCCTTCATAATCACACACATTCCTACCTCCCACCACTGCCATCACTAACCCCTGTCAACTCCTATTTTTCACCTCTATAATACTGTTGCTCCAAGAATGTCCTATAAATAGCATAATGCCTTGGAGATCCATCCAAGTTGTATGTGCCAATAATTTCATTCCTTTTCATTGCTGAGTTGTATTCCATAGTATGGATGTACTGCAGTCTAACCATTAACCTACTGAGGGACAATTGGTACATTCCATTAAAGTAGTCAAAGTTATATGTATAGAGTCCTTGCATTAACCATTTGATACTGCAGAATCTGTAGGAATATACCCTATCCCAAAATATTCCCTGACATTAATGATTTGTGTCTTTCTTTCTTTGTGATTCTTGCTACAGGTCTATCCATTTTATTAATCTTTTCAAACAATCAACTTCATTTGATTTTCTCTATCATCATTGTTTTCAATGTCAGTGATTTCTGTTCTTATCTTGATTATTCCCTTTTTCTGTTTATTTTAGGTTTGTTTTGCTCTCCTTTTTCAAGTTTCTTGTGGTGGGAGCTTCTTCATTTGAGACTTATTTTCTAATATAGACATTTAGTTCTATAAAATGTCACCTCAGCACTGCTTTTGCTGCATCCCATAAGTTTTGATATGTTGTATTTTCACTCAATTCTATATTTTTTCCCCTCTGGAGACTTCCTGTTTGACCCATGGATTATTTAGAAGGGTGTTTTGTTTGTTTGTTTCCAAATGATTGGAGACTTTCCTCTTATCTTTCTGGTATTGATTTATAGTTTGTTTCTCTTGTGGTTGAAGAACACATTCTGCATGAGTTTAGTTATTTTAAATTTGTTGAGGTTTATTTTTACAGCCCAGTATATGGTCTATCTTGGTATATATTCCATGGGCCCTTTAAAAGAATGTGTGACTCTGCTACTGAGGGAAGTGTTCTGTAGATGGTGATTAGATCCTGGTTAATGGTGTTACTGACTTACACTATATCCTTACTGATTTTCTTTCTAATTATTCTACCAACTGTTTAGAGTGTTAAAGTCTTATGCTATAACCATGGATTTGTTATTTCTCTCTGCAGTTCTATCAGTTTTTGCTTCATGTATTTTGCAGCTCTGTTGTTTGGTGCATATTAGGATTGCTTTACTTTTTAAGTGGCCAGAACTTTTCATCATTATGTAATGTCCTTCTCTGTTTCTGGTAATTTTCTTTGCCTTATTTCAAACAAGCAGATGTGAAGGCCCTCAGTGCCTACTTGGCTTTCTCTGACACCCACCCAGCAAGGAGAAGAAAGGGTAACCATTACCACCAGGTGGAAGTAGAAGTCCAGGTTCCCCATGTGGTGTCCACTGGCTCCTGGGCAAGGGGGGTGCCCTTACCACCAGACAGGAATGAAAGTCCCAGCTCCCCATCTGAGAACAGCATGGAGAACCATTAAGGAGTGACTAAAAATGGTAGTAGAAAATCCCAGAATAACAGTCTGACATGATGGTGACAAATAGGAATGCTAAGAAAGCTGGAAAACTGGAGTATGTGGCGAACAGCAACAGAGTGACAGGATGTCTGCAAAGACTTCATAGGCTTCTCACCCTGGCGTAAAAATACAATTATCAGGGAGTCAGGGAGTTGGTGTCCTGTTTGGAGTGGAGACAGGCCATACTGACTACCTGGAAGCTACACCTGAAGCTATCCACACTAAGCCTGATGCAACAGACAAGCAAAGCAAGTGAAAGCTTTGGCTTTAAAACAAAAGGAAAATGAGAGAACTTGGACTTAAGGGAAACCAAGATCACATCAGATTTCAGTCAGGTTAGGACATCTGCATCAAGCTCTACTGATTCTATAAGTTTATTTTTCTCTACCTTTGTTTTTCTTTCCTTCTTGTCACTTCTAGAGAAGTTTCCTTTTGAAAAATTATAGTATTTCAGCTGAAGTAAGGGGAAAAAAGGAATATTCTTTGGGCATTTGTATTGGGGCAAGGAATGCTAGCAGAATTAGTGTGTCCCGACTGGCTGGGTATGATGCAGCCACTGCCTGCCACCCCATGGGAAGCCTCCATGCAGCAAAAAAAGCAGACAGGAGTGTGGGAACAAGCCCTTCCCTACTCTCCTCCCTCCTTTGATCCTAACCAGATGCTGTTCAGGCCCACTCTGCCTCAGTGGGGAGCCTCTGTGCTCAGGGTAGCTTCTCTGGCAGGTGGCTGCAGCATCAAGGAAGGGCATGTGCACATGTGCAGAGCCAGCACAGAGCTCAGATGCAGAAAACCTGCAGAGGGGAGCTGTGTGCAGAGCAGAAAGAGTACAGCGATGTGACCCCTGTCTACAGCCAACTACAGGATTCCTAAATGGGCACAGCGGGCGCTGACTTCTTAAATCCATTTTTGTTAATGACAGGAAGTCACCAAGACTTATTTATAAAATTACTCAAATACACAGAGCAATGGTTTAAAATCAAAGTGTCGCAAAGTTCTAAATACTAAGAGACTGTGAAATTGAGATGAAATTGTATTTGTATAAGACCAGACAGTTACCTTGGCCCCATCCATGGGGAGGAGGGATGAATTTTCTAAACAAATCATTTGTATAATTTGTATAACATAATCAAGGGTTGGTAAACCACAGCCCATAAGCCAAATCTGATTCATAACTTGTTTTTGCACAGCCAGAGAGCTAAGAATGGGTTTTTACAGATAAACATTTATAATCAATTTGATGACAGAAAACACTAACTTTGGACCCCAATTAAGTGAAATGTTATTTTCTCCCACCAAAATTTCATTCATATCATTGGTAAATCTGAGTTATAAAAACATTGTACTCAATTATTACTATTGTAGTTTGAATTTAGTCAATTAAAAAATCTGCAAATTTTCTTTCTCTCTTATCATAGAAGTACCTACTCAATAATCTCAGTTTTGCCTCTTGGACCAAAATGCCTAAAATATTCACCTTTTGGCTCTCTACAGGAAAAGTTTGCTAACCTCCAACATAAGTTAATAATATAAATAAACTGGCAAAAAAATTTATTGAATTATTAAATACAAATATTTAGTAGTATTAAATACTGTTACAACAATCACATAAAATATTAATTTTAATATTTTAAGTAATTTAATTATTGTTCATTAAAGCACAACTAAGCCAGCACTCAATGTGCCTACATGGTAACTATAACACATTTATTTTAAAGTATACTCCAAGTCAGATTTTCTGCTGTTGGATGGGTCTTCCTCTCCAAAGTGCTTCTGGCTTCAGGCAAATCAATTAACACTGGACCTGATTAAAGGATTCCTGCTGAATGCTTCCCTCAGTGGCCCAGCTTTTTACTACTGATGACCTTCCAGTCTTCAGACCTGAGCTTCACCCTTTACTTCTCGCATAAGAAACTAGGAAGTGACTGTTAGGGGAAGCGCTAGGAACCAGGGAAAGGGATGGAAGCTTTGCCCAGCCCTTGGGATACCAGCATGGGCTTGCAGCTCCAGGGGCAGACAGGGTGAAGAACCTCAGTCTAAGGACTCATTCTGGATCTTCCAATCTGGGATGACACTGTCAGTCTAGAGCATGCTATTTTCACTCTTAGAGAGTGAAAACTATATATTTCACCTAAGCAACTGACCAAGCCATGGAGCCTTGCATATAAGCTCACAGCCCAATGCTTCAGGGAGCACTGTTTTGGTAGTGCTACTTTTTTTGTTGATAACAGCAATATTTTTAAATCTGAAAATGTGTATTTCCTGGGATGGGGTGGCATGGAGTTTGAAGGAACAAACGGGACAAGTTAGTAAAACAAGAAACAGAAGAAGAAGAAAAACATTATAAAGACATCAAAGTGGCCCAGACTGGCCCAGTAGGGCCTCTGCCCCCATGGTGGGGTAAACTTAGGCAGATGTTCCTGAGTGTTTTGAATGGCCTTCTAAGCACAGCAAATTTATAGAGCCGAGTAAAAGCCAGACCTGGAGTTTGCAAGTTAGCACCAGGAAAACAAGCTTCTCTTTTGCTGGAGTGTGCCTCCAGAGCCACCTGGTTCAGCAGCGCTTTGTAAAACAGGGGAAAGGCAAGCTAAGCAGAACAGATTCAGTCCTCTACATCTTTTGAATGTACTGATCAACAATAATAACTGAAGGCAATTACATAGGCAGATGCTGGGCTTAACGAGCTACCCTTATAAAATCCCACCTTCTGGGAGGATTGCTTGAGCCCGGGAGGTGGAAGTTGCAGTGAGCTGAGATCGCAACACTGCACTCCAGCCTGGGCGACAGAGTGCGACCCTATCTCAAACAATAAAATAAAATAAAATAAAATAATAAAATAATAAAAAATAAATAAATAAAATAAAAGAAAATAGTCCCACCTCTGCCAGTCAGCCTTGTTGGGGACCAGTTCCTCTCAGGACCAGCTGCAGGAACAGCCCTTGCTCCTCATCAGCCCATCCTCTCAGACTCACCCTGTCCCAACCACAGCTGGCCATGAGACACTGTCTTCTTTTCTCACTCTTTAGAAACAACAGCACAGCATTACCCAGAGGCAGGCAAGGAAACCACACCCCTGACTTAGCTGTGGTTTTATGCTCCCCTAAACCACATAGGAGAAGCAGCAGCAGGGCTGTGATCAGTTTTTTCAGGCACCTGAAGGGCTTTCACTGCAATAGGAATTAGAGTTGGCTGCACGTCCCACATTCAGGGCCAAGAAGAGGAAGTTAGGATGATGTGGACTCTGGGAAGGAAGGACTTTTGTGGGTCAGAAGTGTCCACAAACAGGATGGGTCATCACCACTCTAAGGGCGGTGAGCTTCTTATCATTGGAGGCAGGAGGTCCACTTGTGTGGGAGAGAAGGAGCCATGGATGGGAAGTTAGTCCAGATGGCCTTCACACTGCCCTGCAATCCTGGCACACTCTGATTCTTAACTCTAATGGGGAAGATATTTCTCAAAAACACAAAGGCATTTTAGACATCATATTCCACTATTCCATTTTCTCCTTCCCTACTCCTGTCCTCAAACAATTACAAACATACCTCGGGGAGCCTCTTTCATCAGGTTTTCTTACCTCCTGATGTGTCAGCAGGTCTTGGAGGTCAGGGCAGGCTGTGCCATGGTTTCCCCAATAACTAAGACATAAGTCGTCTTCCCAGAAGGCCTCCAGATTCCGCAGTTCCACCCACCTGCCCAGTTATCAAAGTCATTGATCCTTACGAAGCTCATCGGGAGACCATTAAAAAGGCCCTCAGACCTTTTCAAGAGCAGCTGGGCATATAACAGCAGCCGGCCCCTCTGAGTCCATTCCATGCCACCTACAGCACCACAACTCACCATCCACTTTGAGGACAAGCACTTTTGGAGAAGGGCTGCTTCAGCAGCATGCCCCTTGAAGAGCACACGCTCAGGACATAGCAGAGGAAGGCCTCTAGGACCTGGCCAGCACAACCTTCTCTGTCCCAGCCCTGTCCCTTCTAGCTGTGTTAGTAGTAGGGCAGACACTGCCACAGCCCTCACTACAAGCCGCGATGCATCCAAATGCGTCGCACATGCTCATCTATTTAACACTACACCAAACTATCAGGAGGATACTTTCATCATGCCTGGTTTGCAGATGAGGAAACTGTGCCTCTGAGAATTTTGAGTTCCAAGCACTAACATCTGGCTGCCTATCTTCTATAAACAGCCCAGTTCAAGTTCTAAGGTCCTTCATGTGTTGAAGCTCCAGTAGACCCACCATGTCTGTGGCCTCGAGGAAGCATAATATTGTGCAGAGGGCCAAGTGGCTCAGCTTCACCTGGATCCTTACAAAGCCCCTCCCACTGTGGGAAGCCCAGGCAGGCAGGCCACCCAATGGGGCATCACGCTGGGGACAGCAAGTCAATCAAACATGGACATGGTAGAGACCACGTTAGGAAGGGCCTTGAATGACACAACGAGACACTATTTCATCTCCTCTAACAATGGTTTCTTGCCTTTAAACGTTTTAATGGAACCTTTTCCAAAAGAACTCTCCATGCAATCTCAAAATCTCAAACAGGTAAAACTGGATGTTCTGCGGTTGAGGTTAGAGGGTGATTTCTCTGCTTCCAGGTGTGGGTGGGACCCGGTGGGTCTCCGAGGGAACCCAGGATTTGTGGAACAACACGTGGTAACTACTGATTCTTCACACAAAGAGGGTTGGGAAGGATCTGAGATGACTCATGAGGGTTCTTGGAAGAGCTTCGGTTTCCATTCTCCTGCCAAGAGTAGAGTAGACAGGAGACTCAGAAATATTTCTGATGGGGAAGGAAACCAGAAGCTCCCTCTGCCAGGCTGAGCACAAGTACCAGTAGCCACAGCAGCTCTTCCTATGGGCATGACAGCCCAAAGACACCTCCACTGGTCCCCTGTCCCCCAGGTGCCACAGAAGCCACTATGGATGTCCCTTTTCTTCCTTCTCTCTTCCAGGGAGGGTGAGACTTGAGGGAAGTGGCCAGGGAAGAGGAGCGTATGGGTCCTGGAGTTTCCTAAACACACAGACCAAGACTAAAGACTGGATTGTGGCAATCACTGCCCTGTGTTCCCCGAACACTCACTGAGAAAGAGATACTCCATACTTTCTTGGTGTACTCCAAGTCTAGAAATCACAGAGCCTTGCTGATGTTCCAAATTACGGTTATGGAGAATAAACATTAAGAGGTACAACTTGAGGCCTGGGAGGAACTTAGGGTTTTCCTCCAATGGCTGCATGAAAGCCACGCCGCAGGGAGATTTTCTCCAGAGGCAGCTGTGCAGAGAACAGAAGCAGGCCAGCAGTGAGGCTGAGGGCAGGCAGGAGAGCAGAGGGAAAGAAATGGAAATGAAAGATATTTCAAAAGAAAGTACAAGACTCGGCAAAAGGATAAAGGGAATGCAGAGGTGCTGGGCTGGGCAGGGCAGGAGAGAGTTGGGGAGACTGTGACACGCACAGGAATAGCCCAGGCAGGAGCCAGCCTGCCTGTGGGCAAACTGCTCTGGTGTCAAGCATCCTGCCTCCGAGAGGACCGCAGGCTGTAGACAGCGGAAGACGTGGGACAGGAGCTGGAGGAAGAGCCAGTCCCAGAGAGTTCCACTTTGGAGACAGTTTTTCAGACTTATTCAGTCTATAAGCTGTTCCTGTGACTTCTGCTGTATCCATATGGCATTAAAGCAATGTTTGTTCGTATCAAACAGACTCCTTTGAAATCAGTGAGTCCATGTAATCTTAGGTACTGCAAATGCATCCCAGAGGCATTCTGTCCCTCCAGATGAGCCCAGTTGAGCTTTTCTGTGATTTAGGAAGGGAGGCAAGATGGGGCCAGCAGGCAGAACATGGAGGGGCAGCTCAGGATCGGGGAAGGGTCTCAACCACTAGAGTGTTTTGGACAGGAATGGCTGTGACTGTGAGGGCTGAAATAAGGGGCACAGTTGAAAGAAAAAGCAAAGGGACAAACTGCAAAGCCAAGGTTATCAAAGGGGAAAGAAGAGCATCCCTCGGGAGGGAGCAGGGGTGGGTTGCAGGCACTGGGCCATGGTCATGTGGCAGGCCCAGTGATGCACAGATGGAGACAGTGACTGCTTGCATCCTTCACAGATGGGTCTTCCTTCTGTTCATGATGCAGAAAGCACTCTGGCTGGGTTACATCTACAGCTCGATCACTGTCCAGCCACAAAACCACCAGCAAGTCACCAGAGCCCTCTAGACCTCAATTTCCCTATGTGCAAAATGAGGTTAGAGTAGGAGGCCTCTAAGGCACCTTCTGGCTCTAACATCCTGTGTCCAGCCAGGCCAGCCATTGGACACTGAACTAATTCAACCATGGTCACAGAGGCAAGACCCTTGGGGACCAGTGGAAATAGGCCAAGGAAAAGTCTTTTCCCAGCCCAAAGTCTCCAGTCATCTCAGTCACACAGTCACTCACCGCAGGGGCCTCAGGGAGAACAAGACTAAGAACAAAAGCCCCAGCTACTAAGAAGCAACCCAGGATGAATGCAAGACTCCTGTGTTCAGAAGTAGCAGTTCTAACCCGGGCTGGAAAATACACAGTATGTTATGAGAACATTATGAATAACCCCTTGACCAGCAATTCTACCCCTAGGTAAATCCTAGAGAAAATCACATGGATGCACAAGGAAATACAACAAGAATGTGCATGCTGGCATTGTCTGCAACTCAAAAAACCTGGATATTACCTAAATGTGGACCAACCAGAGAACTAATAAATAATTGCAGTACATCCATACAACGGAATACTACCCAGCAGTGAAAATGGACAGGCGAGAGCCATGATACCAGCATGGATGGATCTCACATCATTACACTCACTCATTCTCTCAACAATCACTCACAAACACAAGTCCTCTGTGCCAAGGTGTTGTTCTAGGCAGCAGGGACACTCAATTTAATAGATGATGCCCCTGCCCTAGTGGGGGTAGAGAGAAAAGAAACCACCATTAAGTAACACACATAGCCTGACAGACTATGTTGAGCCCTACAGAGAAGCATCAGGCAAGGAGAAGCCAGGTGGGGAGAAGGTGCTATTAATTGTTTAAGCAGTGGTCAGGAAAGGCCAAATCACGTACTGGTCATGCTTCTTATTTTAAGCTGAGTGGTGGGTGCACAAGGATTCACTTTATTACTCTTTATACCGTTTTCTAAGTCTGATATGTTTCAAAATGATTTTCATTACAAACACGACTGATAAGGGAAGTCATTAACAGATGAGAGTATACATAGTCTTCCACCTCGAATGTAAATGTATCCCATGTTCATAAGCCTGATTCATGTGTTCCCACCCCCCATGACCAAACCCCCTACCTTGGAAGGCTGGTCCCTCTCAAGCAAGGTTTTCAACATTGAGCAGTGTTCCTGGAACCCTCACAGAGCCTGTCGCTACCAAGCCCGGCAGGGAACCTTGTCAGAGATCTGACTTTCGATGCTGAACGATGGGATTCTACTCCAAATTAAGTGGCCTTTTCAAGGTTCAGACCACCTTAACCTTTTTAATTTTTATTTTTATTTTTTGAGACAGAGTCTCACTCTTTCACCCAGGCTGGAGTGCAGTGGCGCGATCTCAGCTCACTGCAACCTCTGCCTCCTGGGTTCAAGCGATTCTCTTGCCTCAGCCTCCCGAGTAGCTGGGATTACAGGCGCTCACCACCATTTTTAGTAGAGACAGGGTTTCACCATGTTGGCCAGGCTGGTCTCAAACTCCTGACCTCAAGTGATCCACCCGCCTCAGCCTCCCAAAGTGCTAGGATTACAGGCGTGAGCCACCGTGCCCAGCCCACCTTAACCTTTTTACATCTGTAAAACATATATATAAAAAAAAATCCCTAGAACCCTATGCCCATTTAGGTTTTCATATTAAAGAAAAAATCAGACAGCAAGATGCACTTATTCAATGAAGCCTCTCTTCTGTGGAAATATGAAGTTACTCAAGGAGACTGTTCCCAAATCTTAACCTAGAAACTGGAAAGAGACTTGGCCACTGCCTTGCTGTATAACACGAGCAGCAGCTAAACGAAGAGCATCAGACAAAATCACCATCAAACCCTATCAGTCTGATAAGGAATTTGCAATTACACCCATCTGTCCCTGAACGCTGCCATATTTCCTGAACCACCACAAGAATGCCCCATCAAAAGCATATTCAAGTTAAACAAGATGGCGTTTAGCTACATCTGCAGAGGCAATATCCACAACCAGTACATGCATCACCAACAGCTACATCTATTTATACAACTCCAAGGGAAAATGCTGCCATCTGCCCTCCAGAAACCCTCTTTGTAGCAAATGATAGTGATATCTGCTTGGGGTCAGAATCCTCTCCCAAGAGCATGAGCAGCTACCTGTGTTGTGTGACATTCTGTCCAGCTAATGCCAACCCACCCCCAGGGCAGTGAGTGTGCGAGAAATGAGATGGACAGTGATGTGGCACGGACTATCAGCACAGAAGCCCGTGTGAGAACAGGTGAGGTGGTGTGCAGTGGTCCCGTTTTCTAAAAGGGCAGAGCTGTACAACGAACGTCGTTCAGCACTCAAAATCTTCAAGGCATGATCTAACAACCATGTTCTTCTTTTAATGCCATAAGAAGATTAATTAACAAAGCCAGTGGCATTTTGCTGTGCGTGTGGCGCTGGCGTTGTGTAAACCTTAAGCAGATGAAATTGCCCAGTATCCAGAGGGCCACAGGGGTGAACTTACTACATTATCTGATGCCAAAAGGGAAAGCCATAAGGAGACACAGGACACCAGCTCAGATGTATCCAGGTTGTCACCTTGAAGCGAGGGACAAGGACATCATGAAATTGCCCTTCGGATCTCTCAGCATGGTGCCCTTTACATAGGAAAAAGAAGGTGAGCCATAGAAAGACAGGCTTTATTTCTGAGAAACACAGGGCTCTCTGATCAGCACTGCTCCCAGCAAACTATTCCAAATGCCCAGAGCCAGGCCAACTATTTCAGGTCCCGTTTTACAGTATGGCAGCCTTGATGGGACAAGCTAAGAATGTCAAAGTTCCATCTAATCATCCACACATGCACAGACAGCCTCTGGCTATGCTCAAGATCTTATCTTGTGGGGCTTTCCTTCTAGCTTTTGATTCTAAGACTTCTCTGTCTTATCCTAGTGCTACAGGTTTGTTCTCCCCCTACACCTTCAGGACAACCATCCCCAGCTGATTCCTTTATTGAAGGGCCTGCCATGCACCAGGCACTGTAAGAGGTGCCTGCTTGTGCAGGAAACAGAGGATCCAGGTGCAAGTAAGTGTGTGGTCCTCAGGGAGAACACCACCTAGTCAGGGGGAAGGGCAAGGGGCAAATGGTTATGGATACTCTGTGAGGGAAGGTCACATGCAGAGAGGGTATTTACGAAGGACTGCCCAGGAGATGAGTCATGGAAAGGGTAGGACAAAGGGTAAAGTCCTGCAGTGAGCTGAGATGGTGGAGGGCTCAACATACACAGAGATCAAGTGCATGGCAAATTCAGACAATTCCATGTCACTCAAATATAGATATTCCATGTCACTCAAATATAAATCCACCCAAATATAGATCCAGAATAGAGGGTATTCTACCACACTGGTGGTATATCTTGTCAATTCCATTGCCATGTGCCAGGTTCACGAACCTCCCCATGGCCAGCCTACATGCTGCAGCTCAAAGGTGCTCAGCATGGCAACTTTCAGGAGAAGCCATTGCACCCCAGGGTCTCAGACCCAGAAGCTGTCAGATAACAGTGGCCCTATGTGCCCACCACACCTGCTGTCACCCACATGGAGAAGAAACGATACAAAACCGTTTCTCCCTGCAGTGTCTTGCTGCCCGGTCATACAACCGCAAAGACAAAAAGTGAAGAGAGAAGAATCAGTTTTGTTATTCGAGGAGCCCATTCAGCTAGATGACAGGATGCACTGCTACTATCTCTCATGATACGGCAGATTGGAGAGCACTCACAAAGCACTTAGGGTGCTTTTTAATTAAATCCCTTCTTAAGAGAAATTATGCTTCTTCTCATTGCATGATTAGTCAGAAAATCAAATTTAGACCAGATGATTCAGATGATGATGTGCTTCTCTCCCTCGGCTTTAAAGAGCAGTACTACAACAGCATTGCCCACGAGTTGACCAGGCACAGCTCCAGAGAAGGTAGTCAGAGGGGCTCCTGATGGATGAGCCTCCCAGGGCCCCTCCACCAGGAATCAGAAGAACAGCCAGCCGGCCAGTGTTCCCCGGTCCACAGCCTCCAGATGCAGCTTCCAGGGAATATCTGCTTGTCCAAGAAGGTGGGAAAACTGACTGTTCTTCTTCATACATCTAGAAGGTTAACATCTCAACTGTAATTTACAAAAGGTTCAGCTATTCTTGGTTCCAAGCACCTTTCACGTGAGGACTTCGACTGATATAGAGGGAATCTGTAATCCACATGATTTCAGAAACAAAGTCACCACGTTACATATCTCCTTTATTTTCAAGCCTGATAATGCCTAGATACTTTTGTGCTGCTGTTTGCTTACACAAGAATGAGTATTTGATTCAAGTATCACATTTCATGTTTTATGAAATTCCCATGAAACACTATATATTAAGCTGATTCTATTTTTTAGAAAGCTGAATTATGGGCCAGGCATGGTGGCTCACATCTGTAATCTCAGCACTTCGGGAGGCTGAGGCAGGTGGATTACCTGAGGTCAGGAGTTTGAGACCAGCCTGGCCAACATGGTGAAACTCCATTTCTAATAAAATAAATATAAAAATTAGCCAGACATGGTGGTGAGGCTGAGGCAGGAGAATCGCTGGAACGCAGGAGGCGGAGGTTGCAGTGAGCAAAGATTGTGCCACTGCACTCCAGTTGGGGCAACAGAGCAAGATTCAGTCTCAAAAGAAAAAAAAAAGCTGAATTATGAAAAAGCAAACATCTTGAGTGACTAAGCAAAGAATAACTATCTTTGAAATAAATGATACAGGATTGAACTACTTAAAATTTATCAACCATCTTTAGAAACATAATGCTGATGCAAACAAAATTGAGGGGGGAAAAAAAGAATGATTTCAGGATTTTCATTCCATGCCTAACAAATACAGTGTTTTTGTGTCTATCCACTTTTACTTAGATGGCTCCTATGCTAAGCCACTGCCAAGTTCCTTACGACGAGGGGCCTTGGCCGAGCCCTTGGATCTCCCACTGCAGTCATCTGCAAATCATCTCCTGGATTAATCAATGAGTAAACAGGAGATGCAAAGAACACTGAGATAAGAGCATCTCTGAAGAAGAGCAAGGGTGGCCCAGTGCCCATGCTTGTCTTCATAGGTGAGATCATCCCAAGATCACCCAAGTGATCATCTTTTCCTAAAACTCAGCCCAATCTTGATAAAGCTACCATGTTCTCTCATGATGCTGGCATATTAGGAAACACCAAATTTTCTTATAAATTGCCTTCTCCATTAGTCACTCTTTTGTGTGTGGAAGAGAGTCCTTTATTGCAGTGGTCCTGGACATTGTCAACAGTTGGGAGACCCACATGAGAGGTCTGCACAGACCGTGTGAGAAGATCATGCAAGAAGAGGCAGGGGATCAAGGGGAATTCAGCTTGAATGGATGGCATGTAGTTGCCTAAGAAGCCCAGAAAGACAGTAAAAGGTTGCTGCCCTCATGATATCTTCCCTGATTCCCCTACAAAAGACCTCTGAGGTCAGAGTATTCTGTACCAAATTTAGCAAGTCCAGATGGCTTCGTGTTGTGATTCTTTGTATGTAACTATATTCATTTTCTAACTCTGTATAACAAATTGCTTGGCAGCTTAAAACAACATACATTTATCATCTCACAGTTTCCATGGTGCAGAAATCCAGGCATGGCCCGACTGGGTCTTCTGCTGGGGGTGTCTCACCAGGCTGCAATCAAGGTGTCAGTTGTGGTCTGATCTGAGGCTTGGGGTCCTCTTCCAAGCTCATGTGGTTGTTGGCAGAATTCATTTCCTTGCAGCTGTAGAACTCATGGCAACTTGCTTCTTCAAGGTCAGCAGAAGTCTTTGACTTCTAGACTTTCTTTTCAGGGATTCATCTATTTAGGCCCATCCTACCTAGAATAATCTCCCCTCTGACTGATTCCAAAATCCAAAGATTTGGGACCTTAATTACATCTGCAAAACCCTTTCACCTTTGCAATGTAACCTAATCATGGTTCCATAATATTTACACATCCGTTATACTCACAGGTCTGGCCTAAACTCAAGGGGAGGGGATTATACAGGGTCTAAACTGGGGGAAAGAATCTTCTGGGCCACCTTAGAATTCTGCCTATCACAGGATTTATGTCACTTCCCCTACTATATTATAAATTCCCTCCTGTTAGCACTTTATTCTTGGCTTGATGGCACAATTTCTAATTGTTTCGTTTGCATTGTTCTCTGCTACCCTTTACTCAGACCCCAAAGTGACTGACTCACATAAAGCAATGAGGTAGCACTTGGTGATGACTGAATGAACCAGTCAGCTGATCTTTATTTAGAAGCCCCCAACCATAGAAAAATCAGGGCCTACAAACTGACAAAAAGCAACGAAATCTAGATTTGGGGAAAGATCGATGTTTATTCAATCCTCCAGATTAAGATCTGGAAGAGCTGGGAAAAGACAGATAGAAAGACAGGCGTGGACCAGCAGGATGCACACATGGATGGAAACTGTGTGGACCATGTTGGGAATGTGGGTAGATATGAGGGAAGCCAGTGAATCAGCAAAGCAAGGGTGGGCTGCCTGTGCGCACTCTCCTCACGGGTACCAGTCTGCCTTGCCAGCCCTGCTTTGGTTTGATCAATGAGTCCAACTCCCTGGTGTTTCTGTGAGCCCTCCTGGCTTCCAGTCCTCAGGCTCTGGAGAAGCAGTAAGCTCACCATTGTCTCCTACGCCCCTGGCCTCACCATGTACATATGAATTCCTGAATATAAACTAACACTAGCCCTGCCAATCCTTCAAAATTCCGTAGATCACATGAATGCTAGTCACCCGCATCAACTTTTCTTTTCTTTTTTTTTTTTTTTTTGAGGTAGAGCCTCACTCTGTCACCCAGGCTAGAGTGCAGTGGCACAGTCTCGGTTCACTGCAACCTCCGCTTCCTGAATTCAAGCGATTCTCCTGCCTCAGCCTCCTGAGAAACTGGGATTATAGGCATGCACTACCTCACCCTGCTAATTTTTGTATTTTTAGTAGAAATGGGGTTTCACCATGTTGGCCAGGCTGGTCTCAAACTCCTGACCTCAAGTGATCTGCCAGCCATCGGCCTCCCAAAGTGCTGGGATTACAGGTGTAAGCCACCATGTCCAGCCGAATACAAGCCTCTTAATGACTAAAGATAGTTCACCATTGTTTTCAATGACTTGGCTGGGGTCTATGTCATGTAACCAGATAGCCTTCTTTGAAGCTGAAAGAAGACAACATGTGCTTGGTAACAGCCTGGGAATCCTACAGCAATTAATATGGAGCATGCAGAAGAGGGAAAGTTAAACAGCTCTGCTTTCATCCCTTCTGCTTTTTATATTTTACTTAGAATCACAGAATCTTAGAGCTGGAAGGGATCTAAGAGGTCATCCAGTACCACCTGACCCCAAGCCTAGCAGCCCCAACAGATCATCTGGCCTCTGCTACAGCATTTCCAGTGCAAAGTGATATATTCTGTTGTTGGAAACCTTACTGCCACACACCTGTTTGAAATCAACTCAAGAAACATGCTGAAAGTGCCTAGTATTTTCCAGAAGAACCAAATCATGTCTAGTATTCCTGCCCTAACTCTTCAGCTCTGAAGCTACTGACAGACTTCCCTAATCAGCTGTGGCGCTCTTTCCTGCTGATGCTGGATGTGGCCTCAGAATCCTCAGCAGACTGCTCCAGAAAGGCACCACTGATCAATTTATGTTGGCAAGAGAAATAAACTAATTTTCCAACTCTGTTCTTGGAGTTTGTCTTCAGTCAAAAACCACTGTCTTTTAACTCCTGCTCGTTGCTTTTAATCTGACTTTAAGGGCAACAATTTTGCCCCTCCTCTAAAAGCAACCCCTTATTTATCCAATGACATTTAACCTCTTCCCTCACTTAAGCCTTGCAGACTCAAGCCCAGCTCAAGGCCAACGTTACCTGGAAGGAGAAAAGAGGGCTGTAATTCTAGGAACATCAGCCCCAGCAGTTGTTTCAAGGAACGCTGGGGCCCAGACAGCACTGATGGCAGACACGACTCCAGTGTGGTTGGGGGGCTAGGGAGTACTAGCTGCCTGTGGGAACTGGCTCCAGAAACAAGTCAGGCCAAACTCCCATGTGAGTGGTTTTGGAAAGGTCCAGTTTTAAGCAGCTAGGGATAGAAGAGGCAGGGTAAAGAAAGCAAAGACGACAAGATAATGAGGTTGAAATAGTGAGGATACTGAAAATCAAATCAAGTAAAAGCCCTCCACATCACACTTGAACATGTGTCATATAATTGCTGTCTTCTCATTTCACATCTCCTGATCATGCACACACATTTCTTGGTATAAACTTTGTGCTTACCCGGAATCACCCATAAAACACTCAACAAGATCAACACAGCCATGGCATGGCTCTGGGGACTCCTCTCCCAGGCATTCATTCAATTGTCTTCCTCAACTATTTGTTGAATATTTATGAGGCACTCAGGAGCAGGCTGGTGCAGCTGCAAAGGTTGTGATGATACTACTCCCATCTCCAAGAAATCCACAGTCCATCTATTTCAGAGGCAGGTAAATAATTCCTCCACATACAAAACAGGCTGTACAGTATAATCCATATTTGCATGTATTTTATCTGTATAAATCATGTCTTATTTAAAATCAAGATATACACCCTAGTAGATATATATCCACCTACTGAACTAGTAAAATTATCAAAAAGAAAGTTTAGTACATCGGCATTTTTTGAAAAGTACCAAAACCAAATCACCTTGTGCTATACTGCTTCAGAAACAAGAGCAGGTGGACTAAAGCTTCAAATAAGCAAATTCCGGCTCTCCAATTACTAGTACAAATCAGCAGCTTTCTCACAAGTAGTGACTTCTCTTTCTCTGCAGATAGTCTATCATTCTTCTATTCCTTCTGTCAGCTCATTTTCACTGAGCTCTTAAAACATGCCTGGCTCTCAAGGATCTCACAGAACAAGGATGGAACCTGACATGCACGAAGGCTAATATGGTGCAGGGAATTAGCCTTGGGTTCCTGGTCCATAGTGTATGTTCACAAATATTTATTATCAGTGAGTCAAGACCAGGGTATGCATAGAGGGCCAAAATACTCGGGAACCAGGGAAGATCTCCTGGAGATTACAATATCTGAACTCCAATCTAAGGATGAGCAGGAAGCAAAAGATAATGTGTGAACCAGATGAAGATGGGTGAGCGAGGCCTTGTAGGCAGATGCCAAGGTCTGCAGGACAGAACATCACCCTCCCTGGGATGGCAGGGAGTGGCTGCAGTGGACTGCACCGACACACGAGGGCAGGACCAAAGTGGGCTCTACCCACACAGAAGGCCTGGGATTTCACCCTGAGGATGAGAGGAGCCACTAAAGAAGCTGAACCAAGGACTAAGGAGAACAGATCATGGTGCATGGTCCATCCATGCAACAGAGGGCAAAATGGGCCAAAGGGAGGCAGGACTAAAAGCAGAGAGACCCATGAGGCAGCTGGTAGAGCAGGTTAGGAAGGAACAAATGATGATCTGAACTCAAAAACTGGGTATAGACAGAGATGGAAGGACTTGAAAGGGAGTCAAGGTTTAGAGAAGCCCTAATTTGGTGGGTGATGATTACAAAGAATGAATGAGAGAAAGGGGTTAGGAGGACCCTAGGGTGGCTGAATTGAATGTGATGAATGATTACGCTTTGTTGGGATGATGAACAGAGCTGTGGAGGAACTGACTGGGGTATAAAAACATGGGTTTTGGGTTTGGGCATGGTGCAATGGAGATGGAGATACTGGTGCAATGGAGATGGAGATACCAGGGCACAGCTGGCTCCACAGGCCTGAGGCATTGGAGAGTAGCCAGGGCTGGAGGTCTTGGGCACATTAATGGCAGGGGAAATCACAGGGTTAGAAAAGGCGTGGTACCCTGCCAAGAGGCTGGCCCAATCTACCAAGAGCCCTCAAGCCTCCAAAATGCAGAAATCTATGAACACACCAACTGATATTTCCTCAGAAAGTCTTAGCTCCACCACCCCACCCACAAAAAAAGTTTTAATCCATGCTTGGGGCTAGGTTTAAATCTTGCTGTTGACATTTTCTTCTATCATAAAGCTGGATTCACAAATAGAAACCTTGTAAAAGAAGACCATGTGTGAGATAAAATTAGAGCCAAGGAAATAACGATTGTGCTTCAAGGCACACCTAGCCAGCAGCTCCTCTGGAAAAGTCTACTGAGCAAGGAGAGAAGGACAGAGTGAGGAGGCACATCTTTGGTATGAATAAAGTGGAAAAATTCCTGATGAACACAGAAGTGAGATTTGGTCGTGGAAAATTCCACACTCTCTGTGTAGGAATGGCCAAATAACTTTTTCTTTCTTCCTTCTCATCTCAGATAAAAGGAAGGAGAAAGAGACTTCCAGTAGAAACTAAAATTCTGGAGAAATCTCTCTGGCCAAGACTGAGACAACAATGGCTCTTTAAGCTGAAGCACTCGGAGGCATGATTGCAGGACATTGCCAGGGCTTTTTTTGGTTTGCAAAGTGGCCTGAATTTCTGGAAAAATGTGATTCCAGATTGAATGCAGGATGAACTTTAAGAAGCATCTAATCAACCTAAGAAGGAGTCAGATTAAGATGAAATTAGGACACTAATATTAAGTTAAACCATACAATTTTGCCCTTTCTGTAGGTAAAAAGTGGTCAAATACCAGCAACCTCACATGGTTCAGCCTAATGATGCTCCAGCTGGAGATAATGTTTGCCAGGGCTACCTAGTCTTTCTTTAGAAAGATGCTCTACATGAAGTATTTCTGTTACAACTGAATGCTTGCTATATTCAACAATATTCATAATTAACTTATACTTAAGAAAAATTACAACTTGAAAGAGGCTGGGCGTGGTGGCTCATGCTTGTAAGCCTAGCACTTTGGGAAGCCAAGGCAGGAGAACCTCTTGAGACCAGGAGTTTGAGACCAGCCTGGGAAACATAGTAAGACCTCGTCTTTACAAAAAATAAAAAATATTAGCCAGCCATGGTGGTACATGCCTATGGTTCCAGCTACTAGAGAGGCTGAGGCAGGAGTATCACATGACCCAGGAGTCTGAGGCTGCAGTGAGCTATGATTGCAACAGTGCATTCCAGCCAGGGTGATAGACTAAAACTACATCTCTTTAAAAAAAAAAAAAAAAAATGAAAGAAAAGCCTTACTCTTCATAAACTAAAGTTACCCAGAGACAAGCATTCACTAATCACAGGAAAAAATACCTTGGAAGAGAGTAAGAGGGAAAACCAAAATCAACCTTAGAGCCAAAGTGCTTAGGTAGAGTTAGAAGCTGATGGCAAATATCGCACTTGCTGCCCAATGAGGTAAAGGGCTCAGGGTCGTGGATGCTGCTTGCCCCACCCATGGAGTAGCCCAGCTTCCCTCTCTTACCTCAGAACAGAGGGTGTACAAAGGACACTTTGTCCCACCAAAGGTCAGGATCTGGCCCTGGCCTTGCCTTGCTTCCCCTGGCAGGAGCTCCTTGCCCACTTGACCCATGGTGCTCCTGCACACAGTGCTGGGGGCTGACAGCCATCAGGCCACAGACCACAGCAATGATGACTCAGATCATTCAGCACTTGCAGAAGAAGCACAGCGAGGAGCCTCCAAACCACCCTCCTCCAAATCTACCCAAATGACCAATGAGACATGGACAAGAGAGTCCCCGAGCCCTGAGACTAGGGGTAGGCCAACCACACCCCACTGACCTTGGCAGATCCATCCAGAAACACCAGAGAGACGGCAGCTAACCCAGGAGGAACAGTGGGGCCAGCACCCAGCTCCCTCCTGTGAGAAATGCAGCACTGCAGAAAGTCAGGCAGAAAAGCAAGACAAGGACACAGTATCCTGTGGCCTGGCAGGCCAGGGGAGAGCTATGAACTGTCCAATTTAAGTCCATTTGGGGTCCTCTGCACCCGTACAGGCTGGAAAGAGGAGGACACAAGTGCAGGTCTCAGCTACTCTCTGGCCCAGTTTCTTAAGAGGGTGCAGGCCTGATGCACAGTGACAGTGGGTGGCAAGAGGAGCCACAGACGGGACATGCAGAACACTCCAGGGAAGCATGTGTCATGACATATCAACAGCAACAGGGTGATTTGGCCTCCCTTCCCCTCCCAGGGAGTTACAGGCTGCAGCTTCCCTGCCCCTGACCATACTCCTGGGCAGTGTGGCTGGTTCACCCTGGAGGCCACATCCCTAACAGCATGCCAAGGAGACGTGAAAGAGAGGCCAGATGGAGGTCAGACCCAGCCAGGGCCCCAAGACACCTAAAGCAGAGGTTTCAACTACAGGAGGAAGAAAAAGCAAACACCACGTGGTGATTGCATCTTTCTGCTTCAAGGGCCACTTTCTCCAGCCCTCCCCAGTCCACATCCCACAGGGCCTGGGTCGGCTTAAGTTTTCAGTACTTCAAGAAAAGCCAGAAAGCTGTATTTTTATGCCAAATCTCCAAGTTTTTAAATGTTCATAATTCACAATCTTTAAACCTGTTAGATAGGGCACACAAAACACCTGCAGGTTCCATTCAGCCCCACAGGCTGCCAGTCTGCTTACGCTGCAGTGATTTTTTATTGGAAATAGTCCTGTTGTACCACTCAGCAAGAGGAGAGACATCAAATGAGGAAGGACTCCATTCTTAACACTGGCCTCAACCCACCTGGAGCTGAAGACACCTCCAAGACTCCTGGGTCATCCACATCAAAGCCTAGCTGTACAGCTACCATGATAATCTCTGAAGTCCAGACCCAAAGCAGAAAACCCTTCTGGCAAGAGGCAGGAAAGAGCTTCCTCCAAGCCAGCTGCATGGGACACAGGACCAGTGTCATGAGGTTGCAGAGAGTCAGGCTAGGTTGTTCCGTGGAAAATACAGTAGCCAAAGACCTAACCTTAGTTCAGGAAGCAAGAAATTCTTCCCCTTTGCTCCCATTTCCTCACCTTGGGGCTAGTTTGGTGCCTTCCCTGTAGTCTAAACCCAACCTCTGCTCTTTTTGGCATTTTATAAAGTGCCAAAATATAAACTTCAGTTTTTCTGACAAGGAGGATGTTAGTTTAATTACCACTTGATCATTTTGTGCCACTGCCTTCTAACATCATAAAATCTCTTTCCATGATATCTATGATATTTCCATTTCTGGTACCATCAATGCCAACAAACACCATCTGACCATACATCCTGATTCTCATTAAGGGATCCCCTAATATGAATGGCATTTGAGGATTTTTTCCTATAGTGGACTATAGTCAACTCTGGGACAGTTTTTCCAAAGAAGCCTGAAATCTGCATTTTTAAAAAAATATCAAATCTCCCAATTTTTAAATGCTGACAACCATTAAAACATTTAACAATATATGAGGGCAAACAAAATATATCTGCAGTTTTCTTCTAAAATGAAAAGGTTGAGTTAAATGCGTTTTAAGATCTTATCCAGCTTTTAAAATAACTGATACCGACTGAGGCGTTTTATGATTAATTGGTATTTTGGTTTAGATGAAATGACCAAATTAAATTTCTCCATGTAAAGCTAGCCCGAAGAGGCAGTTTCTCTTGAGTTACAGCCAGAAAGGGTAGCTGGTCTTACTGTTTCTATTTATCTCTCTCTCTCTTTTCTCCTCCAAAGCACAGTACATATGTGCAATTTCCAAACATACAAGACACATGCAATTCAGCATATAAAACATGCCATGCAGGGGACCCCACAGGGACCTGCTTCAAGACAGTGTGAATCTTGGTTCCATCGTCACAACCCCAGGGCCTGACATGGTGCATGGCCCATAGAGAAGGCTCAGTAATGTGTGCAGAAAGTTTAAGTTCCCAGCAATATACCACTCTAGGTCCTCCTTCTATAAGAATAATTGTGAGGTACAAAATTTCACAGTACACTTAAATTAAATACTGGCTATCCCAAAAAAACTTTAGATCATTAGCTACAACCACCCAGGAATAATAAGTCAGATAAATATTATTCCTCCACGTTGTACAGTTAAGACTTCTTCCCAGCAGCCTGCTCACAGCTTTGGACAGCACTTGCCTACACTGTAACTAAACCTATCTCTACCTCTCAGCAGACACATCCTCAAAGGAAAGCAGCGGATTCCTGGGCCTTAAAAAAAAAAAATGCTGAGAGGGGGCTGTGTATGCAAATAAAGACAAATAAAGAGTTCTAAAAGCAGATCTGGGAAAGTCCTGGATTCTCCACATGCTTTTGTTTCCCCTGGGGCTGTAGGACTCCCATGTAGCCACACAGAGCAGAGCTCCTCAGGTGGCTTCATGAGGGCACACTTCTCAAGACACTAGGACAATTAACCCAACTTACGGTTTGCAATATCATTTTTTAAAATGCTATCTTGACACAGCTTTTTTAAAAACAGGGTCTTGCTCTGTTAATCAGGCTGGAGTGCAGTGGTGCAAATATAGCTCACTGTAACCTCAAATTCCTAGGCTCAAGTGATCCTCCGGCCTCAGCCTCCAAGTAGCGGAGATGACAGGCATGTGCCACTGTGTCCAGCTTAACCCAGTTTTGAGGCCCTGGCTAGCGACCAGCCAGTTCGTCTTCTCCAGCAGCCCATTAAGTCTACACCCCAACCTTCTCCCACACGGGGCTCTCACACCTTGGGCTACTATACACAGGCCCTCGCCACTCCAGAGCCACTCTGAGCTTCGGGGCCAATCCTCAGCTGGCTTGCCTGTCCCTTGGAAGCCACAATGCAGGTGTTTGCCCACAGTCTGCCTCTCCCCCCACCTCATGGCCGACCTCTGTGCTTCCTGAGTGGCCCTGCATGGGTGCTGTGTCTTCTCCTCAGGGAACTGTGAATAAAATAACTGCAAAACTTTTCCCAGCCTCTTCTCTTGATCTGCATCTGCCCTCACCAGTCCCCACCGAAGACAGCACAGTTAAAACATGGGTGGACAAATAAAGAGGTAATTCAAAGGTTGTTCTTGATCGCAAATGTCCAGTGGCTGCCAGCAGTTATCAGAACCTTAAAAAAAAGCCTACGTGAGAAATTGTTCAAAGTCACAAAGGAGTGACTCCATGTATGAACTAAGGAAAATCATAGCTTCCCTGCAGGAAAACGCAAATGTCACGTCCCAAGAAATGTGTCATTTCCATCCCTCAGAAGTTACTTTCCTGGTATGAGCTTTGGTTGGTTACATCAAAATGTGGTGACAATTGGGCACAGTGCCCTGGTGACCAAGTCTTCTGAGACATAGGCATGCAAAGGCACCTCTGTTCTGTGGAAAGAAGGATGTCTTGCAGTAGCCTGAGTGGAGTGCTCGTCTTTCAGATAATGCATGGGGAGCCTTCTGGTCGCCAGTAAAGGGACACTATTAGAAAGGAAAATATGAAGGCAAGGCTTTGGTGGTGGCAATGGAAATATAGGGTCTCCTCACATTTTGGAAGACCTATCTGCAGCTAGGGCCTCACCTTCTTGGCATGTCATAGAAGGGCAGGCAGAAAAGCTAGAAAACAGAAGCAGCAGGTGGTTGACGGGCTCTCCCCTGGTCATGAGTGTTCTGAGACTTAAACATTCGGGAATTGCCTCTGGCACCTTTCTGATTCAGGTCAGAACACTGCAAAATAAATGGCTGTGGCCGGGCGCAGTGGCTCACGCCTGTAATCCCACCACTTTGGGAGGCAGAGGCGGGTGATCACGAGGTCAGGAGATCAAGATCATCCTGGCTAACATGGTGAAACCCCATCTCTACTAAAAATACAAAAAAATTAGGCAGGTGTGGTGGCAGGCGCCTGTAGTCCCAGCTACTTGGGAGGCTGAGGCAGGATAATGGCGTGAACCTGGGTGGCGGAGCTTGCAGTGAGCCCAGATGGCACCACTGTACTCCAGCCTGGGTGACAGAGCGAGACTCTGTCTCAAAATAAATAAATAAATAAAATAAACGGCTGTAAGCTTCATGGTAAATATTCACTAAGGTAGAGGATGTGGATGAAGTTCCCTGTATCAACATCATCTCCCATTGCCAGCAAGTACAATTCATACCCCTCACCACCAGGACCTGTGTTTAACCTGCCCATGCACAAGGATTCCCTCAAAAGCCTGCAGGCCGCTGGTGGGAGGGGCCTCACTGTGGCTCACCAGAAAAGGCTTTCTCAGCTGTGCTGAGTTTTCTTTCCGAACTCCCTCTATGCAGCTGGGACTCATAACCTCAAGCCCAAGCCTTTCTCTCTGTTGCCTCCCCTGTGGAGTCTAGGAAGGCACTCACTCTGCCAGCCTCCCGTGCAGCTACAGGGGGTCATGTAATCCAGTTCTAATCCACGTGAGGTCTAGGGAATGGGTGAGTTCTGACCACAGCGGGCAGAGTTGTGCCCCTCGCCTGGGCTTGGAGGTAAACTATTGCGCTGATGCAATAGAAATACACAAATGTGCTCCTAGGTAAGGGTCAGAAGAATGAGGATAAACAGAAGATGGTTATAATATTAGCTCTCTAGAGGTGTGTCTCTGTGTGTTGGGGATAACTTATTTTTTGGTAATGTTAAAATGATGTACACTTTAAACATGAACAAAAAATATATTGTCAGTGTGGACCCACTATTCAGAATTAGGTGATTACCTGTGGTTCAACATATGGGCATCCATATTATACCCGGAAAATAAACTAGAGGAAGCTCTCCCACCCTTATCTCTGCACCTTCCTCCTGTCTAGGTGTTAGACCAAAGTGAACAGACACACAAGAGTGAGAATCCAGGCCTGCACTCATCTCTTTAGACACACAGACGGCTGCGATTAGATGCAACATGGCACAACAGCTTTGATATAAATGTTTATATTATTAAGAATAGAGGCCGGGTGCAGTGGCTCACACCTGTAATCCCACCACTTGGGGAGGCCGAGGCCGGCGGATCATGAGGTCAGGAGAACGAGACCATCCTGGCTAACAAGGTGAAACCCCGTCTCTACTAAAAATACAAAAAAATTAGCTGGGCATGGTGGCGGGTGCCTGTAGTCCCAGCTACTCGGGAGGCTGAGGCAGGAGAATGGCGTGAATCCGGGAGGCGGAGCTTGCAGTGAGCCGAGATCGCGCCACTGCACTCCAGCCTGGGTGACAGAGCAAGACTCCATCTCAAAAAAAAAAAAGAATAGAAATAGCAAAATTCAGCAATAAAGCATCTCTCCTGACAACTTGTAATGGAGGATCTATTACAAGACCAGAAAAAGACTGAAAGTAGACAAAAAGAGCCAACTCCGCAGCCCCACAAACACTGCTGCACACACCATGGGTCAGCAAAGTGAGAGGCTCAGGAACTCTCACACACATTTGCCGTTTATCAAAATGAACAAAACAACACTGACTTGAAAAGACAACCTTAATTTTTTTTTAATGAGCCCTACGTTCTCTCTGTTGCTTTTAATTGCAGTGGCTCTACAGAAGAGGGGAAAGAGGGATGAAGGCTCTGATTGGCTGGAAAACGCCACAGAACATAAGGAAGCATTCTCGGGGCAAAACAAAACAGCTGAGATGACTGTGTCAGTTTGCTTGTCTCATTCAACTCCAAACACAGACATCTGATATTAAATCATACTTTTCATGTATGATTTTCATTCTTCCTTCACCCAAGAAGAAAAGAAAGGAAGGTTTTGGTAGTTTTATTTTCTCCTACAAGCGCTGAACATGCAGTCTGTGGGGTCACAGGCATAGATACAGAGGGGATGGCAGAACCCTGACCCGCCTGACATGCCTCAGTGCCTGGGCACAGCTGCTGCCTGGCACACTATGGGAATTGACTTTATTATTTAATGACTTCTTTGAGTCTCAATTTTCTTCAACTGGAAAATGTAGATAATATTGGACGATATAAAATTTCTTCTTTTGTAGGTCAAAACTGTTGATAGCAGCAATTTCATACGGTTCAACCTAATCATTCCTGCCCTGCCTATGCACAGGTTTGTTATTTGTTTTTTTTTTTTTTACAGGATCAAATGAAATTTATATGAAGGTGCACAAAAAAACCTATGACTATAAAAACACCATTAACTATAAACTGGAACAGGAATCAGTGCTTCAAACTCTACATTTGCATCGCTTTATAAATGAAATCAGAATCGCTCTTTAAAAGGCAAATCCCGGACCCGCTCAAAACTATCGAATCAGAAACAGG
This sequence comes from Homo sapiens, assembly GCF_000001405.40. NCBI lineage: Eukaryota > Metazoa > Chordata > Mammalia > Primates > Hominidae > Homo > Homo sapiens. Next base: position 36,512,992 of record NC_000018.10, on the reverse strand, counting down.
AAGACAAGGTGAAAAATATGCACTTTGACAAAAGCCCCAGGTGATAACTCAAATTGGGAGAAAATGTTTTTTTCCAAGAAATAAATTGCCCCCTTTGGTTTGGGGTGGCTTTCTGCTGAGATGCAGGCTTTACCCAAGCCCATTTAGTATGTCTCCTTCCTGGACAAATAAGACAGATTATAAAGAACCCAGTGAGTGGTACAGTTTTCCTAGTAAGCGTGTAAAATAACTCCAGGTGAAAGTCAGTAAAAATTAGCACAGTTGCTAATTACTAGGAACTGGTAAAACCTGTTTTACCTATGGCAGATGTTTTTTTGCCAAAGGGTGTCTTTACCACCTTACTCTCAAATCGAAGTCTTTTAAAAAGCTCTCAGTAGTTAAGTTCCTGAAGGTGAACCCAGATCCCCCCTGCAGCTGGGGCAGCTGCTGCATGCCCAGTCATGACTTACCCCTTAAGATGTAGTTCTGATAGTTCTGATCAGCCTCAGCTCCCACCTTGATCAAACATGTCAGACCTTCAGCCACTACAAATTCATGCACCAAATCCTTGTCATCCTGGCAGGAAAGAAAACAAAAATACTTCAAATACTGTCCCTGTCCACCTTCCATCCCAGCTGTGCTGCTAAAACTATGTACAAGCCTTTAAAGCCAGAATGGACCCTACAGATTGCTCTGCTGTATTCAAATGAAGCATATCAACTGTTGCCAAAAGAATTTTACAACCAGTCCTAACATTGTCCTTTGCCAAACACCAGTTATTGCTGCCTTCTGGGCAATCTAATAAAGATAAGGCAAATGAATCTCCTCACTGCCAGAAATATTTACAGTGCCTTGTTTTTCATTCTTCAAGAAACACCAGGCTCTACTCCCCCACGGTCCCAAGGGACTGGCCACGGAGAAGCTTGCTGGTTTTCTACTGCAGGAAACATTTGATTGCAGCAAAGACTATCAGGTGAGGAACTCAAAGCCACTAATGTGTTCCAAAGATAGCCCTTGGGACAGAGATTACAGAAAAGGCTCTTGCAAGGGCTGAGAACCACAGGAAGCAGTTTATCCAACCTCCAGTAGTTGTGCTGCCTGTAGGACAAGCATGGAAGCAGGGTGCAGGGTTGGACATTAACCTGGAGCAGCCACGCAATCCCTCGAAAGGACCGCCTTGGCTGGCTTGCAGACCTGATCACAGAAGGCAGGACATGGAAGAAACTTCAGGGGTCATCTCATCCGGTGGTTCTCAGACAGAAGTCTCCAGACCTATCAGCCAACAGAGACTGGCAGCAAGGGCATTGCCTAGGAACTTGTTAGCCCCACTACGGCCCTCCTGATTAGGAATCTCTAGCGGGAGGCCCTGTTTCTCAAGCTCAGAAGCAGGTGATTCTGAAGAGCTCAGACGGTTCTCACCCCAGACTCCTTCACATTAGAATCATCTGGAGAGCTTTAAGAAGGACCAGAAAGCAGGACCTTACCCAGATGGATTTAATCCAAATTTCTGGGGTGGGGCCCAGGCTCTATTAAATTCCCCAGGAAATCCTCAAGGGTTGCCTGTTCAAGAACCACTGATTTAATGGTAGCTTTTCTTTACAGATAAAGACACTAAGACTCAGGAGTGGCAAAAAGAAAAGAAAAGAAAAAAAAAAACATTGGCAAGATCATTTAACTAGCCAGACCCAAACCCAGTCATTTTTTTCATAGTACCAAGCTGAGAGGGATTTTTCCACCATTGTTTTCCTCAACTGAGATTGGGAGATTTCCTCAATTGGACAGTGCCTTGTCTCAAACGCATCTAGGATAAAGCTGAAACATTCATCTTAAATGATCACAACAGGGCAAAAATAAAAAACCTCAGTGATGTAAATGGTAGAAAGCTCAATGGAATAATGAAAGGTTATTATTATAGGAAAAGTCAGCAACCATGGCTTATCTCCAAAAGAGAAAAAATAATGTAGATGAACTGGCATAATTCTCCTGTTCCTACATGAAATCAGCCCCTTATTTTGATTTTTATGGCATTTTTCAATTATATGGATGGGGGACCAGGTAAATGTGGCCAGGCTCAGCAAAGGCTCCCTTTGAACCAGGAAAGAGCTCTTCAGGGTCAGAGCTGACCTGGGGGGAAGGGTGGGTGAGTGATGTCTGCGCCCTGAACGTAATGAAAGACAGCTGTGTTAACTCAGACTTCAAGATAATCATGGCTTTGGAAGAAAGAAAATGGGACAATATCATGAGTTTTTGGAAAATTACTTTACACTCATATGTATAAAGGAAATAAAAAATAATTCTCTCTCCCTCCATATCCTTTTCCACCAGCATATGTGAAAAGTGAACATTTAGATGAGCTCATGTCTAGTCAGAAAGTTTTTCCAAGCATGTAACAAATGTTTATTACTTTAACTAAAACTAGATTCACACATGACTTCATGGTGAAAAAGTGAGAACAAGCTCTCAAGAAACCACTCAAGCTAATCACTAATATTAATATACCAGAGAATTGACTGTCTGGCAAAGGCACTTGGAAAAAACACTGGACAGGCGAGACAGTGTTTATAAAAATCATTCAGAACTGAAATTTATGCACATATGTAGATAAGGCACTCAGGAAGGAGAAATTTATTGATAATTAATGTGGAAAAAAATCTTCCAAATTGGCAATGTGCTAGATTTTACACATATATCCTAAAATATATGAGCATTAAGAAATGATTTTTAAAACATTGGTTTCAGAATAGAATGAAATCAAAATGTTAACACTGATAGGTGCTTATTGCTGCATTTCAGAATTTTCTCTAATAGCCATATATTAAGCTGTGATCATTTTTTAAATGCCTATTGGTCAAGGAATATTCAACCCAAAGAGATGACCAATGCCTCTGTTTTTCAGACACTTACAATTTAGTTTGGAAAAGAACTTCCACACCTAGAAAACATGAGAGATGATGGAGACGCCGACCCACGGGTATGGAAGGTGGTGATCCATGCCCAGACAGCACCGCTGCCTGTGTAATCCAGTTAATCCCCCATGCATCGCTGCCCTGTGGTGGAGTGCTGTTTTTGCGCACATGTGTGTGGTCTTCCAAACAGACTATAAACTTCTAGTAACAAGCAGCTTCTTCCTTGCCTACATGGTGCCAACGAGGCTGCTCAAAAATATTTGCTTAATGACGGTCCTGGGAATTCAGAGAACAAACACTACAGAGTGAACTTGGTTGAAGTGATCTACAAGAGTCCAAGCATGTTTATTTTTTAATGTTTTCAAATCAGAGAACTTTAAACATATACAAAAGACAACGGAATAATCTAGTGAACCCCAGGTGCCAATCAACACATACCAACCCTATTTCATTGATCATCCTACCTGTTCCCCTGCCACATTAATCTGAAGCGAGTCCCATACATCACATCATTTAATTCATAAACATTCCAATATGTATCTCTAAACTACAGGAACTCTTCTTAAAAATATGCACTCACAAAAAATTAGTACTTCTCATTATCAAATGTCTGGTCAGTGACCAAATTTCCAACTGTCTCATAAATACTGTTTTCTTTTTTTTTTCTTTTTTTTTTTTTTTGAGATGGAGTCTTGCTCTGTTGCCTAGGCTGGAATGCAGTGGCGCGATCTCAACTCACTGCAAGCTCCGCCTCCCGGGTTCACGCCATTCTCCTGACTCAGCCTCCCGAGTAGCTGGGACTACAGGCGCCCGCCACCATGCCCGGCTAATTTCTTTTTGCATAAATACTGTTTTTCACAGTTTTATTAGGATCCAAATAAGACTCATACATGGCAGTTAGTTGATATGACTCTTGAACATCTTTTAATTCAAAGAGTTTTTTTCTTTTCTGTTGGAATTTGTGTGTTGAAGAAACCGGGTCATTTGTCCTGTACAGTAGCCCACAGTCCAGATTTTGTTGGTTACACCCCTGTGGTGTAGTTTAACATGTACCTCTGTCTTGGATCATTTATAAATAGTTTATTGCATATAGAGGCATGTAGATCCAGAGGTGATTTTTTTGGCTTGACCGCATCATTGATGGTAGTTTGTATTTCCACTGGGAGGCATGTAATACCTAGCTGAATCTCATGCTCATCATGTCAGCAGCTCTTGGGGCTCACCACATAGATCCATTAAATCATTCATTAGAGGCTGATGGATGGTAATATTCTCATTCTGTTACTCCCTCTTGCTTATTAGGTAGAATATTTCTACAAACAAGACTTCCCTTCAACTATTTGATCATCCTAAAGTTCATAAGTGACAAGGCAAAATAAATGTGAGATACTGAAACTTAATTCATCTGCAAAATAGTAAGCTAGTTTGCTAGCATCTTTCACCTGTTTTTTTTTTTTTTTTGTCAATCCATTGTTATTTTGTAGTGTCACTATGAATTCATCAATACAAACTTAGTTTGTGTGTTTTGATCCAGTGCAATTATCACCCTTACTGATGCTCACTGTTCCATCTTTGGCCAGCCAGTGGGAGACCCTTCAACTTGCTTCTGAGTTCTTTTGGAAATAATCCTAGACTATTCAATAGCTTTCTTGCTCTCTGTATAAGATGTTCCAAGTTAATTAGTTTATTTTATTACGTTTCCTACTCCAGACTTGGAATCAGCCACTTCTCCAAGGAGCTCTGGTGCCTTTTGGTGTTTCAGACCACAATCTCGTTGCTAGTGGTGCTTTTTGCTAATGAATTGATTATTGCTTCTAGCTTTTTTTAAAAAAAAAAAAGCTTATTTGCTTAAGATAATATACATGGGTTCATTCTGATATTTCCAATTAAATTCAGGAACACAGAGTTGTTAAACTTAAGAATCCTAATTTTTAAGAATGCTTAGAATGACAATTAGAATCTCTCGCACACACACCAGTCTCAGAATAGTAATACCAACACTATCACCACCAATATGATTATTGTAAACAGTTTTGTTGTGGTTGTGGAGTTTTTGGTGGTTCTTTTTGTTCTTAGGGTATATTTTACTAACACTGCACAAATTACAGTGTTTTTAAGTCACTTGGAATAGCTATTAGCTGTGTAGCTCTGCCACCAGCTCTCAATCAGGTGTGAGAGAAGTTAAAGCTGAAGAATGGAGACAATAGGCAGGCTGATAGACTAAATGAGGAAGGGGGAGGAGTGGTGTGAGCATGGCCTTCTGCTGGCATAAGAAGAGTCTAGCCCAACTGCAGTTGGGGATCTGAGTCCAAGAAGAGGACATAATGGAGGGTGAAGAAGTTTGTTGTGTTCAGCTTAGTATCAGGAAGACACACGTGGATACTCTGAAGTGGAGCTTTGGGAAAATTAATTAGTTAGCACAATATTTACCAAATTAGAGACAGGAAAGACTGAAGACAGAGACATCTTCTAGAAGACAATTCAAGTTACCCAGTCCATTCATTTATAGTTTAAGTAGTACCAGATACTATGCTAGGCACGAAAGGCCTGGCGATGAACCCCAGTGAGCTCACAGACTACCGTACTCAAGACAAGTGCTCTGAAGTATCTTAAGTTCTATACAGTTTGAGTATCCCTTATCCAAAATGTCTGGGACCAGCAGTGTTTCAGATTGTTTTTATATTTTGGAACATTTACATATACATAATGACATATCTCAAGGATGGAACCCAAGTCTGCACATGAGATTCATTTAGGTTTCGTATACACAATTTATATATAGCATGAAGGTAATTTTATACAATAGTTTAAATAATTTTGTGCTAGAAACAAAGTTTGTGTGAATACTGAACCATCAGAAAGCAAAGGTGTCACTATCTTAGCCACCCATGTGGGTGATCAGTGCTAGTTTGGCACCACCACCACTCCTGACTCTGAATTTATATGCTACAAATATGCAATCATTTTCCTACACCTATTCACAAATAAGTACTTAACAGGAAAAAAACATGACATGCCATTTATACAATGAAAAAGCATAACATGTTCCAGGTAACTAAGTACAGTGGCATCACCAGAATATCTGTCTCATCTGCTACAGTCTCCCCCTACAATGTTGTGTTTTGATTAAAAGGCTACTATACACTATATTTTATTTTGGGGGGAGAGAATAAACATCAAAAGTAGTTGAGGGTCCAGAAGCGAGTCCTCTAGGGATGAGGAGGCATTCTTCTGGATGGGCTTTTAATGTTTTCTCCACAATCATCTGCCTCATTAACAAGCGTTTTTGTCTTAGAAATCTTTGCTTTTATAAACTAATATGATTTCTTGTTCTGTTTTGAATGTGCACTGATCTACACTTCAATAAGCCCATCACATATTTTCGCCATGTCATCTCTAGGCACTTTTTCTACAGTGTTATCATCTTCATTATCACTTATATAAGATCACCTTGATTCAGAAACATTTTAGCTATTTCAATTTGCCATTGGTTCATGAATGAACAACTGGGGCCTCTTCACCAATGTTAAAAACTTCAATATCCACTTCTTCCAGCTCATTGATGGACTCTGAAGACAAACATGCAAACAATTTTTATATTTACAAGGAGGTCAGACATCATTTTCTTCTCACTTGACATACAGAATCCTTCAAAGTCACCACTTGTTCACCATCATCACTAAACATATTCAGAGGTTAGGGGTTGTGCCAGGCATGCACAGCTGTGTCTTTAGTCACTGTGTTTCCAGTGTTGGCAGTAGTATATCCTTCATGCTGAACATCCTTCATGCTAAACTGCTTTTGAAAACTTCACTGCTGCTAGCATGCTGTTCAAAAAAGTGTTTTTAACACTTATTCCTCATTGATCTAAGAATATCCTTTATTAATGGATCTAAGAATTGATTCCTCATTGATCTAAGGATATCCTAAATTAATGAAGTCACATTTGAGGGAAAGTACATGGCATAATCATTATTTTTTATGAGAATTTCAGCTGGAAGATCAGCAGAACAGTCGAGGAAAACAAAATCTTGCCATCATCATCTAGTCCAGCTTCTGTGAAGTAAGCATAAGTCCCCAGTACAAAATGTTTATGAAACTAATCAGAAAAGATGATATGGTGATCCATGGCTTTTTGTTAGCATAATAATGGAATGGTAAGAAATGCACTCTTTTAAAATAGTGAGGATGCATTTGCTTAGCACAGCAAAATTTCATTTATGTGTGCCTGCAGCATTAGCACAGCCCAGCATGGTTATTCTGTCCTTGGCACCCGTATTTCCCATAGGAGCTGTCTCATCAGCTCTAGTCAGTGTCTTTCTGGGGCTGTAACTACAAACAGTAATGTTTTTTCATCCACATTATAGACATGTTCTGGCATCAAATTTTCATCAGCAGTGACCTTGGCAAACTTGTCAATGAATTTCTCTACTGCTTTGTGGCCAGCAGAGCTTTATCACCACAAATCTTTAAAAATTTAATGTTGTGTCTTTTCTTAAATTTCTTCAATCACCCTGTTGAAAATATGCAGCTCCCTTCCATTTTCAGTTTATGATAGATCTTTGCTTGTTTAATGATCAGCATACCATTAAGTGGCATGTGTTCACTGCATCACTGATGGATCCACTCTATACACAATTGAGATCTTCATTTTTAGCTTCATGCAATGTTTTCCTATTTTTCAGTAACTTCTGCTCATTGCTTTCCACACAGAACTTCGACAGTTTATCCTTCTGTTTCTTCAGGTCATCTATGGTGATCATTCTAACACCATACCCTTTTGTAAGACAGTTCACACTTACGCCACTGCCCAGTTTCTCCAACAGCTTCATTCTGTGCTATAGGTATATATAAATGACTTCTCTTTTTTATCACTGTTACCCAAGGAGGTATCTGCATTCCTTTTGGACATTTTAACAATACCTTTATACCACAGAGCACAGAATAAGCAAACACACACAATGAGTAATGCATGTATCTCTTGGCCCATGTGGACATTGTGGGGAACCTCCCATTGGTGCATCCAGCCTGCACACATGCCATTTTATTGCCCTTTGTGGGCATGCTTGCATGGAGGGATCTGGGCATGTGTGGAAAATATATATCACAGCTGAAAACTGGCAGGAGGTTCTTTTTTCCTTGGGAATGCTAAATAAATCGTGTGTTGTGAGCCTGCACTTTGACTATGACCATCACATGAGATCGAGTGTGGAATTTTCTACTTGTGGCATCATGTCAGGACTCAAAATTTTTCAAATTCATTTCTAATGGATTTTCAAATTAGGGATGCTCAACTTGTACAACAGGTAAGCACAGGATACTTTTTATTTATTTATGTATTTATTTATTTATTTACTTTTATTATTATTACTATAAGTTTTAGGGTACATGTGCACAATGTGCAGGTTAGTTACATATGTATACATGTGCCATGCTGGTGTGCTGCACCCATTAACTCGTCATTTAGCATTAGGTATATCTCCTAATGCTATCCCCTCCCCCCTGCCCCCACCCCACAACAGTCCCCAGAGTGTGATGTTCCCTTTCCTGTGTCCATGTGTTCTCATTGTTCAATTCCCATCTATGAGTGAGAACATGCAGTGTTTGGTTTTTTGTCCTTGCGATAGTTTACTGAGAATGATGATTTCCAGTTTCATCCAGGTCCCTGCAAAGGACATGAGCTCATCATTTTTTATGGCTGCATAGTATTCCATGGTGTATATGAAGCACAGGATACTTTTAATGGTATTCGGAGGGACCCTAATTAGGGTGAGTGATCATTCTGAGAGGGCATCCCTAGCAGGAAGAGATACCAGAAGGAAAACTGAGATACATATAGAGTGGGTGTGGGGTAGCAAAACATTCTGGGATAGAAGTTGTAGGTCCAGGCCAGGCGTGGTAGATCACACCTATAATCCCAACACTTTGGGAGGCCTGGGTGGGTGAATCACCTGAGGTCAGGAGTTTGAGCCCAGCCTGGCCAATATGGTGAAACTCCATCTCTACTAAAAATATAAAAATTAGCCAAGCGTGGTGGTGGATGCCTGTAATCTCAATTAGGAGGCTGGGGCAGGAGAATCACTTGAACCTGGAAAGTGGAGGTTGCAATGAGCCAAGATCACACCACTTAACTCCAGCCTGGGTGACAGAGTGAGATTCCATCTCAATCAATCAATAAGTCGCAGGTCCAGGGCAAAGGTGTAGAACAGAAAGGGCATGCCTTACTTTTGGAGTACAACTTCAGGAGGAACTCAGGTTGTAGCCAAGGACAGAGAGGTGGGCAGCAGAGGCCAGATCAAGAAGGACTTCCATGTTATGCTGAGAAATCCAGACGTAACCCAGAAGGCAACATGGAACCAACAAGAGAGTAACTCCCTCTGGTGGGAAGCTAAGAATGGACTGAGTTAGGGAGGACCAAACACACACAGTGCCATGAATAGCTGCTGCAATTTTCCAGGCATGAACCAAGGCAGACCTCTAAACCCCAAGGCATTTCCGAGGTATGCAGTGTGGTGGAGCAAGGGTGCACCAGGTTCAAAACCATGGCTGTTGGAAGAAAAGAAAGAGGACTTGTCTGCAGAAATGTCAACACAGAGAAGGGACTCCGTGGTATGATTGAACACAGTGAAGTAAGAATGGGACAAGAATGTGTGGATGGGACAGATTTTGGGCCTTCCCTTTTGCCTATTCCCTCTCAAGCATGTAGAAATCTACTCTGGCTCTCACTGACAACTATCGCTGACAAAGATAATCTTTTAAGGATGTAGATGAGATGGGAACTGAAAAGAAGTAGAATGTAAACTAGAATCAAAAATCCTAACAGAAGAAAAATAATGAACCTAGACAGACGCAAGCTCAATGCAAAAACCATCTTCTCTATGAAACCATCTCCTGACCCTGCCTGCCCTCACATGGCTGATCATCTTGGGGCTTCTCTGCACACCTGTCCTAGTCCTCTTCATTATGTTGGTGACTTTCTCAGGGTAGGAATGGAGGGAAGGTTTAGGAGGCAACGATACTATGGAATCCAAGACAGATTTGCACAGGTACACAAGGGGGCATAGCCACAATAGCATGGTTTATAACAGCAAAACACTGGAAATTAACCATCTGCCAATAGAAGAATGAATAAAACAACTTGTGTTTTATTCATCCAATGCAATCTTCAATCAGAGCTACACCAGCTATGCCTACACCTATCCCATTCTCAGTAAGCAGAAGTAGGATATATATGCAACATGATCACATATGTATACAGTTCATACAAAAGAATATCACATATTGTTGGTGAATATTTACCATTAGGAAACATGCATGTGGGGGTAGGGTGGAAAGAGGTTGTTTGGGATGGGGGAGCATAACACAGGTCTTCAGTTATACCTCTAATAGGCTTTGCACATGTATGTTTATTGCAGCACTATTCACAATAGCAAAGACTTGGAACCAACCCAAATGCCCATCAATGGTAGACTGGATGAAGAAAATGTGGCACATATACCCCCATGGAACACTATGCAGCCATAAAAAAGAATGAGTTCATGTCCTTTGCAGGGACATGGATGAAGCTGGAAACCATCATTCTCAGAAAACACAGCAACAGAAAACCAAACACCACATGTTCTCACTCATAAGTGAGAGTTGAACAATGAGAACACATGGACAGAGGGAGGGGAACATCACACACCAGGGCCTGTCAGTGGGTAGGGGGCTAGGGAAGGGATAGCATTAGGAGAAATACCTAATGTAGATGATGGGTTGATGGGTGCAGCAAACCACCATGGCACATGTATGCCTGTGTAACAAACCTGCACATTTTGCACATGTGTCCCAGAACTTAAAGTATAATAATAGTTAAAAAAAAAAAAAACTAGAAGTAAATATGGAAAAATATGTGATAAAGTTACCTTTACTTTTTATTATGTTTGAAATATTTGACATGATAAAAATTCTCAACTGATATTATGACCTAATGTATATTGTAATCTAAATATAAATATTGTAATCTAAATTTGTCCTTCCTTTTCATAACAAGTACAGGTAGAAGCTTGCCTGTATCTAATTTCACAGCAATGTAAAAACAGGTAAGTACTTATTTTTTTCCTATTTACCTGAAATATCTGCTTCAGGGAGAAGAGGGCCCTTCTCAAATCTCGTCCGCTGGAGTTGTATAGTTTTTCTGAAATAAAGAATAAAACATATAAATTAATTAAACTGACTCTATTGACAGTGAAAACACAGACAGGATATGAATGATAACAAAACTATCCCTGGAAAGGTAATGAAAGCCTATTCATTTCATTCAGGATACAGACCTTACCCCCAACCATAAGAAGAATGTTGCATATACATATCTGGTGTGTGACAGGTGGCATGGAATAATGTGTAGATGGGACAGATTTGGGGCCTGCCCTTTTGCCTATTCCCTCTCAAACAGGTAGAAATCCACTCTGGCTATCACTGACAACTATCACCTAGATTTTTCACCCTCATCTCCCACCCTTCCTCTCTCCAGATCTCTATTTCCAGCTGTTTGCAGACCCTATTTTCCAGTTTATAAACTATTTCCACTTGATGGCCAACTATACCCAGAAAAACCCACGCAGCCAGAACAGAATCCATCCTTCTACCTCATGCCTCCCTTGCCTTACAGGCCCTGCACCCCCATGCTTTCTGCATCTCCTGTTCCTGGGGTGTGCTGGCTGCCTTGAGCGCTCCTCAGGCCCTAGGGTTCCCTAGGCAGCATGGGAGACCCAAGGGCAGCATGGCAGCTCTACGGACTAGCTGGCTCCTTCTAGTCACATGAGGGCCTCTGGGCAGGAAGCCAGCCTTAGCTCTGCCTGGGCCTGTTTTCTCACTCATGTTCAAGGATGGTTCTGGCCATGGGCAAGGCAGATGAAAGATCCCACTCTTGGAATTCTCTGGCTGAAGACTTGGGCTGACTTCCATAAGCCCACTGTTGAGCAGTCACATTTCAAATATATGAGTTAGACCAGGCCTCAGGAAGAAGGAGGTGAGCTTAATACAGGGCCCATCCTCCAGAGATCACCATGCAGCTAGAGAGACAGATGAGTATGCCACAATTACTAGCTGGCCAGAGTGATGGTGCTGCGAGGTGCTGAAGACACACCGGAGGGAGTCCTGTTCTGGTTATGCAGGACACCAAGGAGCACACATCCCGCTTAGCCTCCCAGCACCCACACTTGGTCCTGATCCAGGTGGCTCAGGTGTGCATAGGGTTGCATTCCTAGCACCCGATGCCAGACTTTTCCAATAGAATCACCCAACGCATGTTTACTGAGAACCTGCTGGGTACAGTTCGAGGCACTAGGATACCACAGTGAAGAATGGAATTATCAGGAGCAAAGGCTAAGTAATCAGACTGCCTGCATTCCAAACCTGGTATCACCATTTACTAGCTATGTGACCTTGAACAAAACACTTTACATCTCTAAGCCTTGGATTCTCCATCTGTAAAATGGGAACAGACAGTATTACAGGAAAATGGGTTCTGTGTTAAATTAAGCATGTGTACTATGGAGTGGAATGCAAAATATCATTTAAAGTGTTTAGATATAATAAAGGCATTCAAAACAATGTCACGTCATTGGCCAACCACCTCGGGCTTCAATTCTAGCCTAAAGGGATACAGGGCAGAGCCACATTCCCCCCTTGTGCAAGTGGCATGGAACAAATGGCCCCAGAAGAGTTTGCAGAAGTCTAGTGACAGAAAGGATATGCTGGTTTTTCACAGTGGCCCAGGAAATGGATAGGCCCCCACTGAGAGAGATTTAACAGGACACAGATAGGTAAAGCTCAGTATTTGCTTGGCAGTCATTTCTTCAAAGGTCTCCCTACCAGACATATTGCCTTCCGGCAAAGAACAGAGGGCTCCTGTGGAAACTCCCACTAGATGACATCACTTCCCCATTTAAACCCTTCAGTGGCTGCCCACCGCAGCCAGAATGAAATCCAAAATCCTTTGCACGGTCTGCCAAGCCCTTGGTCACACAGCCCCCTCCCTTGCTGTATTACAGACACTGTGGTTTTCTCTCACATCCTGGGGCAGTGCAGGCTCCTCCAAACTCACAACTTAATACATATTGCTGCTAAGTGGCAGGGGCAAGATACTGTAGGGTGGGGGTCTGGGGAGTGGTATGTGACTCCAAAGATTCCCTGTTGTTTGACCACTATGGAATCTACCACCTCTAAATACAATATGCAGCCCACAAACACTTGCTAATTATGAAGAGTTGTGATTAAGAGAAAAATGCATCACCTTTCTAAAAAGTAGGAGCCTAGAAAGCTCCAGAGGAATCAACCATCCCCAATCTGAACATCTAATTCATCTCTGACCCGAAGAAACAAGGCCCTGGTGACTCTCAGGCTGACCTCTAAAGAGTCTGTGTGGCCTCAACATATGAGTAATAAATAGTGGGTTTCCTACTGCATCACGCCTGGAGTAGAACCCTGGTCTCTGGGGTGATCACACTTCTTCCAGCTTTCACAGCTAACATCTGAGAATCCCCAAATCCCAGAGAAAAAGACTTTGTTTTTTGCTAATACTACTTCTAATAAATAAGAATAAAACTATCAAGTGAAAGCATGGGCCATGTATACCCCCAAAGAAGTGGACCAGATTTATCCTATCCAGGAAGAACATCAGTAGAAAAGAGCCAATTCCAGGTAACTCTTAAGTCAATAGGCTGCTGGGCACCGTGGCTCAGGCCTGTAATCCCAGCACTTTGGGAGGCCGAGGCAGGCGGATCACTTGAGGTCAGGAGTTCAAGACCAGTCTGGTCAACATGGTGAAAGCCCGTCTCTATTAAAAATACAAAAATTTGCCAGGCATGGTGGCACATGCCTGTAATCCCAGCTACTTGGGAAGCTGAGACAGAAGAATCTCGTGAACCTGGGAGGTGGGGATTGCAGTGAGCTGAGATCATGTCACCGCACTCCAGCCTAGGTGATAGGGCAAGAACCTGTCTCAAACAAAACAAAACAAAACAAAACAAAACAAAACAAAACAAAACAAAAATAGCAATAGGCTTGCATTAGACCTTCTTACTTGTTAGCAGATGATAAGCAGAAATATGCCATAAGTAGACTCAAAATATCACAGTTAAAGTCTCCTTTAGTTACTAGTGACATATTATTGTTTCTGATTCATCTAAATGAAGATCATCATTAGTTGTGTTCTGATCATTAAGGTTTTACTACTTGGTGCTGTAGTCAAAATAATCAGTTTTTAAAATACAAATTAAATATTAGAAAAAAATCAGCTGAGAATGACTGCTAATATTTTGTTGAAAATTTCTGCATCTATAATCATAAGAAATACTGGTTTATAGTTTCTTTTCTTGCAATGGTGTTAATATTGAGACAATGCGAATTTTGTGAGTTGGGGGTACTCCTTCCCCTTCTGCTTTCAGAAGGGATTTGTATAGACTTTGTGTTATTTATTCAATTTCTTCATTAATGTAGGGCTATTCTGATTATCTCTTTGTTCTTCAATGAAGTTTGTTCATTTGTGTCTTTCAAGGAATTTGTCCATTTAAGTTGTTAAATGTATGGGCATAAAGCTGTTCATATTCTCTGTCATCCTTTTATTAACTGTAGCAATGTCCTTTTATACCTGGTATTGGTAATTTGTGTCTTCTATTTTACTTGGTCAGTGACTAGAAATCTATCAATTTTATTTTAGCCTTTTTCAAGAATCAGCTATTGATTTCATTAGAGGTTTTTTCCTACTGCTTTTCTGATTTCTATTTCATTATTTCCTTTCGTTTGCTTTAAGTTTAGTTTGCTCTTCTAGTTTCTTCAGGTAGAAATTTAAATGATTTGAGACCCGTCTTGTTTCTAATAGAAGTATTTAATGCTATAAGTTCATCTCTAAGTACTGCTTCAACTGCTTCCTGTAAATTTTGATATATTGTTTTCATTTTCATTTATTTGAAAATTTTATTAATATTGAATTCAGAGGGGAATAACTTAACCTTGTGATTTTTTTGACCCATGGTTTATTAAGGTGTATTGTTTAATTTCCAAATATTTAGAGATTTTCCAGATATCTGTTACTAATTTCTAATTTAATTTCTTTGTGGTCAGAACATATACTTTATCAAATCTTTTAGACTTATTAAGGCTTATTTTATGGCCCGGAATATGGCTTATCCTGGTGAATGTCTCATGTACACTTTAAAAGAACATGTATTCTGCTGTTATTGAGTGGCTGTTCTATAAATATCCACTATATCAAATTGAGTAATAGTGGTGTCCACATCTTCTATATTCTTACTGACTTTCCATTTACTTGTTCTATAGATTAGTGTGAAAGGAGAGTTGAAGTCTCCAACTATTACAGTGGATTTGTGTATTTCTTCTTTCATCTTTATGAGTTCCTGCTTTAGGTGCTTTGAAGTTCTGTTGGTAGGTGTGCTTACATTTGGGATTGTTGTGGCTTCTTGGTGTATTGAACTTTTATTGCTATGTAATACCTCTCTTCATCCCTGTCAATATTCCCTGTTTTAAAGTCTACTTTTCTGATATGAATATGGACACTTTGGGTTAGTGAATGGTGTATCTTTTTCTATCCTTTTATTTTTAAACTATCTATGTAGAATTTCTTATATAGTTGCATCTTGCTTACATGCAATCTGACCATTGTCTTCTAATTGCTATGCATTCACTGTATTTTTAACCTCTGCGACATCACAACTTACTCTTCAGTGGCACTAGAACCAAAGACCTCAGGCAGGTTCTGACGCCATCTCAAACTCTTTGATAAACAGCATCCTTCTACAAATGCCAAAGATATCTCCCAGTGGTGCCAAAAACCTCTCCTCTTTTTTGCCAAATGTCATTTAATTAAAATAAACTACAATTTCTAATTGAGAAGTACTTTTCATTCCAACTATCTTTAATTTTCAAAACAAAACCTTTATAGTCATTTGTTTAAATTGTCTATTTCAAACAAAACTGAGTAAGAAAATATGTAGTACTGTTCCCAAATAATGATTTTTATTGTTTTAAGCAAGAGAATTCTCACTACAGACTTTGCAGATTCACAAATGTTAATGTAAGTTTTGTTTTTCAATATCAAAGCTCAAAAGAACAGCTAATCTATATAAAAATATTACCTATTTTGGCTGAAATTTCCCTTAAAATGCTTTTCTTTTTAATTCCCTATGGTATAAAGCACCAGACAAGGTCTTGATCAGAAATCCCACCATGTGGCATCTGTTACATTGTAACTTTTTTTATCCTTCATACAAATGGCTAGCAGTGATGTTTCATTTTTTGACAGATACCTTCTCTTGAACTACTGCAAACCTTTAATATTTATAAGCATTCAATATTTTAACAAATGTTATGCATTATTCCCTATATCACGAGAGCAATACTAGCGTCATCATCATGGTTGAAATAAAAGTAACAAAATATTTATTTAAAGGAATATTACTCTAGAGTACTGTCTTTGGAAAGACAATTCCATAATACATTCTCTCTCTACAAAGAACAATACTGTGGTTTAAAATGAAATCATAGTGCTTTATTAAAACTCAAAGCTACCTGCTATGTTTAAAACAGTGGTACCAAAAAGCCTCTCTGCCTAAACCTATCTTATTCTGTTGATTCGTAACATACATTTTAAGAGACACCTCAGTCTACCTAGAGGCTTAGGAAGGATTAGGATGCAAGGATGTTTGTAAATGACATATAATTTGTCATTTTACATGAGGTACAATTTCTGCTGGTAGAAGAGGATCCAGCAGGCATTTCACTATGTCAGACATCATGCCCAAACCAGCAACTTTGATGTGACAGCCCTTTGATGTGGTTCAAGAGAGGCCCACACAGACCAAAGGAGAAGCACTTCCTCCCACAGCCCAGGGCCTGGGTTCCTTGCTGCAGGACTAACAATGCCATGTGAGGTGTCCTCTGGAGCTTTATCTGCTGGGTAACATTCCAAGTTCAAGAAACCAGGCATTCCATTTGTGTTGCATCCAAGTTTCACCACACAGAAACTTCACCAAGGCTGTGCAGGCCTCTCCTTCAGCTGAGACTAGAATGTGAAGGGCTCAACCAGGAACGGTACCTGGCCTGCCAGATTCCCAAAGACATTCTTTACATCACTCTTGGATCCATTTCCTATGGAACTCCAATCACCCCTTCTTTAGAAGCAGCCTGTCTATGTAGATTCAGGTATTTTCAGTCTGGGTTATGCAGGTGTGTGCAAGGATTCCTCGAGGTAGGATGACTGACAGACATCGTGCTCCCTAGTTCTGCAATCCAATTCTCTACTCTGCAGGCTGTGCTCACTGTGTGGGTCTCCCACGTGTATATGTGGGTGTGTGTGTGTGCAGAGGCATGTGCACATATGACTTCAATCTGTGGTTGGCACAGCCTAGTTGCAGGTCCACTGACCCTCCAGCTACATGCAATATACTGTATAGACTGTCCTAACAGCTCCTGAATCTCAAGGAAAGGAATTCAAGTGTGCCCACTGCCTGAAAATCAGGCAAAGCAAAATAAAGTAGATTCCACATGTGGTGCAGAAGGGGGCTGTAGACTACCCTAAGCCAGCAAGAGGGCAGCTGCAGAGGCTTCACCTATATGCGAATCCCAAACTTTTCTCGTGAGTTCGCAGAGGTTCTCCTTGCTTCTCTTTGCTCACCTTGGCCATGAACACATGTTAGTGAGGGTAGTACAGCTCCAATCAGGGGAGGTTGCAGGGGAGCAGATGGTTCCTGCCATCCCAGACTCAGGTGGAAAGCTCTAAATCAGAGCATCAAGGAAAAAAAGGTGCTGAGCAACCAAGACATGACACTGTGGGTCCCTTCCTGGTGAATGTCAAAAAAGCATAAAAAGGCCGGGCACAGTGGCTCACACGTGTAATCCCAGCACTTTGGGAGGCCAGGGCCGGCAGATCGCTTGAGCCAAGAAATTTGAGACTAGACTGAGCAACCTGGTGAAATCCTGCCTCTACAAAAAAAAAATACAAAAATTAGCCAGGGGTGGTGGCCTACAGCCCCAGCTACTCAGGAGGCTGAGGTGGGAGGACTGCTTGAACCCAGGAGGTCAAGGCTGCAGTGAGCCATGATCATGCCACTGTACTCCAGCCTTGGCGACAGAGCGGAGGTGACAGGGCTGTCACATCAGAGTTGCTGGTTTGGGCATGACGTCTGACATAGGGAAATGCCTGCTGGATCCTCTTCTACCTACCAGCAGAAATTCTATCTCTTTCTCAAACAAACAAAAAAAAAGTATAACAGTAAAACTCAAAGCAGAAATGGGGGCTGAGATCAAACTGGAGTCATTAAGATTTGCCTTTCTCCTGAAGCTCTGGGACTGCCAGGTGGGAGGTGTGCAAAGAGGTCCCCCCAGCACAGCCCCAAGGGGTGGCCAGCAGCCAATGAGAGCTAAGGCTGCAGAAGGTCCTGGAGAAGTACTGCTGATTGCTGATTCCAGCAGCTGGGGAGAAGCTGGGGGCAGGCTGATTATACATCCCTTACTTTTAGGTTAAGTACAGCTTGCACTTGGCCAATAAATAAATGAAGAAACATATGCATTTTTTCTCCCACCGCTTCCAAATTAAATCTGCCTGGGGTATACTCATTTGGGTAGCATTAGCCTTTGAGTAAATGCAATTAGAAGCTTATCTTTGGTAACCACAAGAAGGTGTAATCAGAACATTATTTGTGGAAGTCTTTAGAACTGCCCCTCCATCCTTTCTTGCCATGTTTCTTGCCTTTTAAAATGAACTATGTCCCTTTAATAGTTGCAATCATGTATTATGCTGTAAACTAGCTTGTAATAACAAGAGTAGAGGGCAAAGCATTGGAGACCCCTGGGGACCATTCCTGCTTTGTCTCAAAACCCCTTTGTGGCCCACAAAGATCAGTGCTGAAAAGTACAGCCAAAGGGGTGCTATGCTTCCTGTTCAGCCAAGAGCACAATGAAGAAAACTTCAGTGTGTGGGGAAAGACAGACCAGAACATTAATTAGAAGGGCCCAATGAGAAAAATGAGAACCAATTTACATCAGTGAAAGAATATGTAGGGGGAGGAACAAAAATCCCCTTCAAGAACGGAAGTAGGGGAGTGAAAGATACATCTACAGTATCACGCTTTGGGGTCTATAAAAATCGCTGAACTGTGAGACTAATAATTACAGCACATGCTTCTCTCATCAAGTGTCAAATACATTAACGAAGCTCCCCGTGGGAAAACCTGGACCACGTCCCCAGAGCCTCTCCTCTGCTCAGGGAAGACAATAACTTTCCTTTTTCCCCTGGGCTGCTGCAAAGTATACCACGTTTCAAGAGGAGATTTATTCACAGGCGCAATGTCCAGGTCTACACTGACAGTCTGTTGGCAGCAGTTATTGACAATACAACCATCATGGTTTTTCAGGTGCAGCCATGAGAAATTAGCTCCTTATCTGCCAGGCATTTAGCTGTGTGCCATTTGCTCTTCAAACACCAGTCAGAGAGAGTTGGTGAAAAACAACTCTCTGAAACACGACCCAAGACAGCCTCTACAAAATGACTGGCCAGGCTTGGGTGACGCCCATTTCCCTAGCCAGGAAGCACGCAACCCAAGTTACTGTCAGCACTGAGTGAGGCAAGAGAATTGGACTCTAGACCTTGTTCTCAAGAACTCAAATGCGGCACGTGACAAACGAACCCCCAGGAAGCATGGCTCATTTCAACCCGCAGCCTCACTCCATTATTACCTGCTGATGTTTTCAAGAGAAAATGTGGCATCACGAAAACTTTATTTTACAGTGAAAAAAAATTGCTTGGTCGGACTTTGGAAATCTTATTTTCCTGTGATTTTGAAGCTTGTTGGAGTTATGGCCTCCATATACAAGTTGTAAAAAAAAAAAAAAAAAAGAAAAAGAAAAGAAAAAGTTCAGATACACAAGATGTTAATACAATTTCAGGGATATGGATGCCCAGAAACTTCCTGTGGTCTTTCAGGACATTCTGTGAACTGCAGGGTAAAAATCATGGACCGAATCCAACATCTTCATTGAACAGGTGAAGAAATGTAGGCAGAGAGGTACCATAGATGCTGGCCCCAGAGCTGGGACTGGAGCCTCAAGGAAATGCAGAAGAGTAACTGAAAATGGCTAACAGAAATGGAATTGGCCGTATGATGTGATTGTACAATAAAAATAAGGTAAACAACTGAGCCACTGAAACTCACTCACATCCTAGCCATGACATTTATGCCACCGTGTAAATTCAGAGAGAAAACACACACATGCCAAAGCAAAGGCTTTGCTTTTGAGAAGTCTGACTCATCCCTTTTGTCTGTGGGGATGACTGTGAGTAGTGGAGGCTTGAGGTACCCCCGATTTAGCCTGAGGATGAGGAGGCTACACGTGAACAATGACAAGGTCATGAGACCTGGTAAGACAGAAGACTGCTTAAGAAGAACTTATTGAAATCCCAATTCCCTTGGATTATAATCACATTTTAAATACTTATGAGTATATAAACCCTACAATAATCTTAATGATTGGTTATCTACTAGGTAGGTGCTATGCTGAGCATGAGGTTATAATTGTAAATGAAAACAGTCTCAGCCGTTGGTTTATCAGTTGTAACAAACGTACCACATTCATGCAAGATTTTACTAATGGGAAATTGGGGAAGCTGGAGGGGATATATGGGAACAAACTTTTGCCCAATACTTTTTTCCATAAAATTTCGCCTATTTGGGGAGACAGACATGTCCCCAAACCATGGCAATGTCATGTGAGAAGGTGATGGTAACACTAAGGGTTCCCAGAGGAAGGAGTGGCAGAACCTGTGAGCCTGGGGATGGAGAGTGGAGGTTCAGATGAGGTGACATGGAACAAAATGAACCACAGTGAGAAATGCTGTGCAAAGAGGGAAACTGAGGAAGAGAAAATAGTGTCCCCAGCATCTAATATGTCAATAAATGATTTAATTTTTAAGACCACGTGGAGGACTGGAAAGAACACGGGAGGATCAGATATCATCCAGATTCCTAATTCCCTCAACATCTGGCCTGGTCACAGCTTTACAGGTTAGCTAAACCCAAGAACATTCTGGAGTCTTGCTTTCTGTAAATGGGCCAAATACATAGCCCTACTCTACCATGTTTATTTGGCCATACTTTCACAGAAGATGTGAAAATCATATCCATATTCATAATGGCTAAAACTTCAAAGCATCCAAGATGTCCCCCACCCATAGAAGGTAAGGATACACAAACTAGTAACATCCATACAATGGAGTGTTTATTATTCAGCAATAAAAAGAAATGAGCTGTCAAGCCACAAAAAGACACAGAAGAAACTTAAATGTATATGGGAAGATCTGTGTACAGGTGCCCGGAGGAGGCAGCACCGTGATGCTGTTCCTCTAAAAAGTGAAAGAAGCCAGTCTGAAAAAGGCTACATACTACACATACATAGTGAACTCCATGACATTCTGTAAGTAGCATAACCGTGGAGACTGTAAAAAGATCAGTGGTTGCCTGGGGTTTGGAGGAGGGAGGGAAGGATGAACAAATGGTCCACAGGGGATTGTTCGGGCAGTGAAACTCTTATTCTGTATGATACTGTAATGGTGGATAGTACCATTATACATTTGTCAAAACCCATAGAATATACACCATAAAGAGTGAACCTTAATGTAAAGTATGGACTGCACTTAATAACTATCTGCCAATATTGGTTTATCAGTTATAACAAATGTATCACATTCATGCAAGATGTTACTAATGGGAAATTGGAGAAGGTTGAGGGGGTATATGGGAACAAATTTTTGCCCAATATTTTTTTCTGTAAAATTTAAACTACTCTTTCCCAAAATGAAGTCTGCTTAAAAAATTATATCCAAAGGCAAGCCTACAGGAAGTGGGAGAGTCCCCAGGCTCATGGAGGGCACAACTCTTTACAACCCCTTCCGCAAACACATGCAGCCCCAGGCCTGGGATTTGGCATTTTCTGCCATGAATCATCGCTTATCTGTCCATGCACACTTCTGTGATCTCCCCACACCAGGGCCAGCTCTCATCCACAGTGGTTTCCCTCCAGCCCCTGGCAGTGTCTGGCTGGGGTAGGTGCCTGGTGTTCATGCTGATGGGCAAGTGTATGTGTTCTAAGGCGTGAGTTAACCCGGGATTCCATAGATGAGCTTCAGACACATCTGTATCTACTCTGAGTTCCTAAAGGGAAGGGTACAAGTAATTTTTAGGACACTGGATGTTCCAGATGCTTCTTTGTTACCTTCAGCAGGCAATCCTAACTCCTCCTGTCTTTCCTTCTTTCAAACAATCACTGACCATTCATTCTGCAACAAGGGCTATGCCAAATGGGAGAGTAAAATGATGCATGGGGCAGAGCACTAGTTTTCAGGAAGCTTACAGTTGGCGGAGATGATGATTTGTCAACAAAGAGGACAGCCCAGTATTGCAGGAGCTGAAACCCAGAAAGGTGTCAAATGAAGGAGCCCTCCCCACTTATTGCAGGAGGCAAATGGCCTTCAAAGAGCTATTCACCAAGAGGCTGCAAAAGACTTTAAGTCATAAAATTATGTATGTGGTTGCTTGCCTGTCATTACCATCTGCTGAGCCCCACCCAGTTCCACACCCATTTGGTCTGGTTACCTTGGGACCCACTGGCCCCATCCTCATCTTTACTGAGGAGGAAAGCCCAAGCAAAGCCATTTATACCTCTATTCTGAATTAGTTCATAGGACACTATTTTTCCCTCTGAATTGGAGGGAATGAGTCAGCTTTGGGGCCCCAGCAAAGTCCACGTCCATTTGCTCCCATCTTTGCATTTCCAAAATTGTCCCTTTGTGGAAGCAAAATGGCCCAAGTCAGCTGATGAAGGCCACTTAATAGATCAAAATGCTGTTTCAAACCTGCCATTTTCCCTCCCAGAATCAAAGAATGGTAGAGAGTAAAGGGTCCTCAGAGACCTCCCTCTGCGGAGAGGTTGAACTGCTCACCCAAGCCATGGAAGATCTGTGTACAGGTGCCCGGAGGAGGCAGCACCGTGATGCTGTTCCTCTAAAAAGGCTGCTGACCTAGGTAAGCAGATGAGTGGCATCTCAAACGCAGTACAACTGCCCCGAGGCAGCCAGCAGTGTGAAAAACAGGTGACCAGGGACTTACTTCTGGCCTCTCTCTTCAGTCTCTATCTCAGGGCTGTCTCTCTGGGCCCTGAAAATAGCTTGGCCAACCGCCCTCCTCCCTTCTCCCTCTCTTTCTTTCTACGTTCTCTTTTCCCATAATTAGGGATCTGGAGAACCTTAAGGTATTTTCTTTAGTGATGGACTTTCATAATTCTTTTTCTTAATTTCCAAATTAAGTTGAAATATTTGAATTACATATTTTCTCAAGACTCACGTATTCCTTTTTCTAGTTCTATTTTTAACATTATTTATTTTTTGAGACAGGGTCTCACTCTGTCACCCAGGCTGGAGTGTGGGAGTATGAACATGGCTCACTGCAGCCTCCACCTCCCAGGCTCAAGTGACCCTCCCACCTTAGCGTCCCAAGTAGCTGGGACCACAGGTGTCTACCACCATGCCTGGCTAATTTTTAAATTTTTTGTAGAGACAGGATATCGTTACGTTGCCAGGCTGCTCTCAAACCACTTGGCTTGTGTTGTGATTACAGGAGTGAGCCACTGCACCCATCCTGGTTCTCTTTTAAAAACAACGAAGAACACGCACCCGAGTTGGTTTTGCTTGTGAACAGGGCATCCCTCTCCTGAGATGGCCATGGCACAATGGCTGTCACTGCCCTGCAGCTGGCCCTACTCACCCCCCTACTGGCAGGGCACAAAAAGAAAGGAGGCTTCCTAAACAAACAAACAAACCCATTCTCTCTCACTCTTCTGGAAGCATCCAGGGCTCCTGGTAGCATCCACAGGAAACCATCCCTTCCAGTTGGGTGTGAGGTCCACCTCTCTGGGGAGAACATTTAGGAGACAAAAACCACCCTAGCTCAAGGGCTGGAAACCACAACCACATACCACCCAGCCAGCCCCACACAGCAAAAACTACTTAGCCCTCTTATGGAGGCACCCACTGCAGCCAGGACTGACCTAGTGTTGGCCTCTGCTAAGCACCCCATTCTCCAGTCTCAGCTCAAAGAACCTGCCACCCTCGGCTCCTGAACCTGTCTCCCACCTGCTCTTGGGGGCCATTTTCTCTACTTCATCTATGGCACCAGCTGTCAAAGTCCTCATCCTGACACTGTACCTGTGCCTGCTTTGCACTTTGATTTCAGGCACCACTGTGCCATGGCCTTGGACAATACCACCATCCAGACTCCTAAATCCATATTTGCATTTCAGAGGAAATTCCTCTCTGCACCTAAGTTTTCTGATCAGTAAAACAGGATTTAAAATACACATTCCAACATCCTGAAGCCATGTGATGATGAACATGATCATGTTGGAAACACACCTGGCACAAGCTAGATACTCAGTAAAGACTACTTTTCTTTCTCTCTCCAGCCCCTAAGGCCTCAATGACATTTCTAAAAAATACCTAATGTCCTCCATACAGTGAATAGTCCAGTCCTTTCCTGGGCACTGCACTCAGGGCTATAAGATGCCTCCTGTCATCTGTCAGGTCTTCCTAACCAGGTGGTGAGACGGTCCCCTGAGCTCAGACAGGCCCCAGCTGGGCCCTGGGGGTCTCTCTCCAAAGCACAATCACTCCCCCAAAGAGATTGCCTCTTCCTTCCCGGGGTCAATGCCAGTTGATAGGGAAGATGTTCACCCTCTCTGCCCTAAACACTTTGAGAAAAAAGAAATGAGTATCTACTCCTTGGAGAGAAGTTAAGGATCATTAGCTGGGGTCAAAAGGGAACAACCCAGCATCAATCATGTCACTGTGCAGAGATGATAAAACTCAGCAGTTCACCTGCCCCAACCCATGGGGCCAGGGTTCTTCCTTTAAGTATTCTTCAAGATGGAAACAGCCACAAATCTATGGCAAGTATCACATAAAGCAAAGAAAATTGCATCAGAAAAAAGAATGGATATTTAAAACAACTGTTTTGATGGGAGTTTATTCAGTAATGAATGGGGAACAGAAGAACAACAGTAAAATAATATATACTGGCATTTTTACAAGTTCAGTACAGCTTAAATACTGGTTTTGTCTCATAACAAATTCACACCTAGCCTAAGGTTTGTACACATTAAACGGACAAGCTGTGTGTGGATCCTCCGTGGCCTCCTGACACTTTCCTCTGTATTTATTTCCAGGCTGTGTGTCCTCTGGTAAGGAGGGCTAAGCCAAGAGTGCCATGCAGTTCCAGCAAGTTGTCTCAGTGAAAACAAAAAAATGCAAAATACCAAACATAAGGTCTCTTCCCCTTTGTTGTGACAGCTGGGTGAGTCCAACACATTTGAGAACCTCACTAAGAAACAATGTGGATATAGCTTCAAAGTTCTGCCAGACTTCAATTGCAGAAAAGAGAAAGAGAACCTGGGGTTAGAACCTCAGCTAAATAAATATTTCTGAGCCTAATACCTAATCAGAGTATATTTCCTGATGAAACTGACCATTTCCCTCTGTCATCTCCCATGGAATAACACAGTTACAGAAGGGTCCATACAGAGAAGTGGGCAGGATGCAGTGGGAGGACAACCAGCAACAGGCTCAGGGGCCCAGCAGGGTGACCACAGCTCAGGCACTTACTGCCTGTGTGCTTTTAGGCAAGAACTTTAATATCTCTTGGCTACGTTTTGCATGTTACAATGTTAGAATGGCTAACCATAAAAAGAATGGTCATATAAGCTTATGGAGAACCTGGAACAACTGGAACCTGACGCTCTGCTGGTGGGATGTGAGATGCTGCAACCTCTCTAGAAAGCAGTTTGATAGTTGCTTATCAACTGAAATATACACCTACTGTTCAACCCAGCAATTCTATTTCTAGGACTTTCCCCAAGGAAAATGAAAATTTACACACATAAAAACATTTCACCAAGGTTCATAGAAGCTTTACTCAGAATGATTTTTAAAAACACCCTACTGGAAACAACTCAACTGTCCATCAGTTGGCAAACAGATAAACTGTGGTACATTATACAAGGGTGCACTAATCAGCAATATAGACTACTGACGCATGCAGCCTAGATGAATTCTAACAATATTATGCTAAATGAAATAAGCCAGACACAAAATACCAGATACTGTATGATTCCATTCACATAAAGTTTCAGAAAAGACAAATCTGATCTATAGTGACAAAGCAGACCAGTGCTTGCCTGGATTGGGAATAGCGGAGATTGATAGGGAAAATACATGAAGGAAACTATGGGAAAATATTTTTTGTCTTGTTTGAGATATAGTTGTCAAAAGGTGAACTGGATTTAAAATGTGTGCATTTTATTGCATGTGAATTACTCGTCAATAAGGTTGATAAAGAAAAGGAAGGTTGATTCTAGAGGATCTACAATTCAGTTTTAGTTCTAACTCTTAAATATTGACCTTAAATAACTTGTTTCCTTTCTAGATAATACCATCCATAAGATGTTATATAAACTTAGATCACTATAAAACATCCTTTGGGCTGGGGGCAGTGGCACACACCTTTAGTCCCAGCTACTCAGGAGGTTGAGTTGGGAGAATGGCTTGAGCCCAGGAGATTGAGGCTGCAGTAAGCTATAATCGTGCTACTGCACTCCAGGCTGGGAGACAGAGCAAGACCCTGTTTCAAGAAACAAAAACAAGAACATCCTATGAATATAAAGCAACACAAAAATCATTACTGACCATGAATGCATTGAGATAGAGTACAGATAATGTGAGCTGGTGACACAGAAACTGAACACCAAGTGTAGCCCCCATATGTTGTGACTGGGAGAGGAGAAGCCAGTTGGGGCCAAAGTGGTGGATGTAGACAGAACCATCCAGGAGAGAGCCAGTGTTGCACTCGGCAGCCATTTAGTGGCCAATGGGAAAATGGAGGAAGTTCTGTTGTGTTCACTACCAGCTGCTAAGTATACAAAGATGAGCAAAAAATGTGGTGGTGTTGAGGAACTTAGAGTCTAACAGGAAAGACAGAGTCCCAGGTAGATATGTGCAGCCTAATGCAGGAAGTGATGGAACAGAGGAGGGCCCTAGTCATTTGGGTAAACTCTGGGGAAATGAGTCAGTAATTCACGTGAATAAAGGCAGGTGCAGTTTTCCAGGCTGAGGGAACACATACAGTAGACACCAAAGAGTGAGACAGCCTGGCATTGCTGGGAACCTTTGTGGTCCTATGATGGGCAGCACCATTTCTTTCCTCTGCAAGAGACACAGGCTGACTTCTGGAATAGTTAATAATCACCCTCATGGTAGGTTGGCTGAGCAATGCTTTCCTGATGTTTCCTCAACCAACACGATGTTGTCCATTATGTATCATGCTCTGTGCTAGGTTTCAGGTTCACCTAGCATGTGGTGTCTTGACATGATAATGCCACTTGTCACTAAAAGGAAGAACACCAAGGGCGCTCTTCTCACAAGCTCCACTGGTACTTCATTGGGGTCTACTTGTCTCATCTGAGTCAGTTCACAGAGAAAACTGCTGGGGCAGCCCCTGGACTTTCACAGAATGGTGGGGAGCAGGGACTGGGAGCTGCTAAGAGAAACCACCACAGGCCCTATGGGTGGGCGCATGCTCACAGGCTTGCTGGCACACCATGCTCACTCTCCCTCCCTCCCTTTCTGAGTGGCTTCATCAATTCACACTGAGGTCTAAGCCAAGGGAGCCTTTGCAAGAAAGACTCGCAACCACAGGCCACTGACAGGAGAAGACAAGGAAAAGAGCATACCATTCTAACACCATGATCACCATGGATCCCAGCAGGCTCATCGCTGGTGGAACTATTTCAGGCAGAGAATGTGAACCAACCTCTGACTGGTACATGATAAGAGCCAGGACATATGGGTGGGGAAAGGGGAACTTAAGATACATTCACAAGAGATGAAGTTCTTGTTGGCTGTGAAGACCTACCACCCATCCACCCCCAAATGCTCAAGTGGCAGCCCCCACACCCCAACTCCTTCCCAGATCATTGTAGAGCAGATAGAAGCACGTGATCACCGGGAATGAAGTTGGCTCGACCACACCCTCTGTGTGGGCCACAATCTTGGTGGCAATTCAGCTGCAGAACCCTGAGGGTGGGGGGCACAGTAACAGACCAGGAACAGGAAGCCAGCCGGGACAGTGCCTTCACTGCCCCAGTGAGTTCTCCCTTAGGCTTCCCCTTCCTCCACACACACCAGAGCCACAGGCATGGAAAATGTCCTCAGTAATCTTTGTGGTCCGACAGCAGGGCCCCAGCCTTCACCACACCCCCTGGGGGGCTGGAGCTTTTCCTGTGTCTACATATGGCCTCAGGAAGAGACATGCACACCCGTCATTATACCATACTTAGAGGCTCCCTCAAACATCGACTGCAGAGAAAGGTGCCATTAGGACTAAACCAAGCACCCAAACTGTTGCTTTGCAAGGAAGCAGAGTTTTGTTTTTTCCTAGTCTGAAAATTATGAGGAGGCCTGTTTTTATATTCTCATTGAGACTTAAGGCTACTAGATTTTTAGTATTATTTCACCAGTTAATACCATATTTAGAGAATATTTAAGCAAAGTCAGCCTAAGTCAGAGAAGCACCTTTAGCATCTCCATGAACCAAAAAGGAATTTCAAGAGCAGCTCCTCCCTGGCCAGTCTGGTATGTGGCATGGGAGAGACATAGGAGTCCACGCACATCCTACCTTCAATTGCAAAGCAGGTCATCGGAGGTTCAGGCTACACATTTTCTGAGACATATATTAAAAGAACTAGACAATTGAACAGAAAAAGATGTCAAGAAGTCAACAAAAGGGAAGCAACAAGTGGCACAGGTTGCCTATATGAAGGAGCCCTCACAGCTAAGAATTATCCACAGCTGGGACTGTCACATAGGATTTTTAAATAGTCTAGCAGAAATACAATAGTTGATGTATGTGATATCTTTAATCGTCTCACACTTGAATGTGCACAGCAATCACCTGGGGAACTTGACAAGAACAGATTTAGCTTCAGCAGATCTGGGGTAGGGCCTGGGATTCCGCATTTCTACCAGACTCACAGTTGGTGTCCCCACAGCTGGTGAATGGTCCTGGGAGGATGCTCAGAGAACCACTGACCTCGGGGCATGTAGTTAACACCTGCAGTGCTTGAAGAGGTGGCCAGTTTGAATGTGAAGGAGTCCATGCCAGGAGTGGCTATTACATGTGCTTCTAATCCTGCTATCGACATCTGCTCCAGAGGGCTCATTAACCAGCATCAGAGATGACAAAATGCTTCTCCGATGGCGAAATGTATGACATTCAAGATATGTCATTGGCCAGAAAGGTTGCAGAGGCACATACATCCACCCTTTAATGACAATCTCTGTACCAGTTCTTCATATGAAAAATGGGTTAATATAAAACCTACCCTGTTCATGTGAAAATACTTGGTAATGTGTTTTACTAGCATTAATTATGGTTTTGTTCACCTTGGAATAAAACATAAAGAGCCAGTGGAGTGCAGACTCCTCTGACATATACACGTTCTTCAATACTCAGTAGATGGATAAAGTAATAGACAGCAATACACAAAAAGATACTGGGCTAGCAAGAGTAAAGAGTGGGTGGGATCTTAGTACCACTTCTTCTCCTTTCCCTCCTTGGTTCCAGGACAGTGGTTGGCTGTGCTGAGTGGAGCATCTGGCTGAGCCCGACTGTGCCTGGGAGCTTTGCCGTCCATCTGTCAGTGCCAACCAACACTGCTCCTGCCTCTCCATCAGCCACACTTTTCTGCTGGCTTAGTCCTGGGCTCAGGACATACCATAAGACCTGGGTCACTTCCAGATTAAGTTACAAAGTAGAATCTTTGTGACTGGCCTTCAAACACCAGAGGTCAAACCATCTGGCAAAATTCCCCAAAATCCCAAATTCTTCCAATCCTCCCACTCACAAAGCAGTCTTCCTGGCTGCTCCAGAGCCAGGATGGGGAGCCTTGGAGCTGCATTTGAAGTGAAGTTCCATCTCTCTTCCCACTATTCTGAGCCCACACAGGCATGGGTCTGGCTGGCTCAGAAAAGATTTCATCATGGCCCTTGGCTATCATTTTTAACTGCAGTTGAGTCATGCATTGTAAACCTGGCAGGTAGTCTACAATGTTCTCGTTCTCTCTCTCTCTCTCTCTCTCTCTCTCTCTCTCTCTGTGTGTGTGTGAGTGTGTGTGTGTGTGTGTGTGTGTTTGTTCACCGGATGATCTCGGAATAGACTCAATTCCATTCAAGTCAAACAAACATTTATTGGACTCCATGAAGTGTGAAAGAAAGATAAAAGACTTGCTCTCAGGGAGTTTGCAAACTAGTGTGAAAGCAATTACACAAAGTATAAGACAGGACAAACCAAAAAGTCCTGGTGACTCTGCTTTGGAGACCCACAGCAGAGGAACCACGGGGTCTGCATCAGTTGCTCAGGGTAGAACCCTGTCGCCAGCCTTCTTGCCTCTCCCTACTATACTCCCAGTCTCATCTGGCAAGGAATCCCACATCCAACCCTTTCTTACTACTGCCCTGGTACACTTCTGGCCTAAGCAATCATGCCTTGCGGGGCGGGGGGGTCACGCAGTGGTCACCCTGCTTCTCCCCTTGTCCTCATATAACCCTGATCCTCCAGATCCTTCTGGGTGAGACTTCCCTGGCTATCTAAAATCTCAGACGTGCACCCAAATATACTCTTCTTTCAGAAGCACGTGTCTGTTTTTCTCTCATAGCACTTATCATTATCACACTATGTATTTTACTGATTTACCTTATGTGCTGTCTCCCCCACTGAAATGTAGGCTCCATAAAAACAGGGATTTGTGTCTGCTTTACACACTGCTGTATCCCCAAGACCTTAAACAGTGACTGACACATAATAGGTAGGGTGAATGAAAGAACCAGTACCCTCCCCCTCCTTCCCTCTTCCTCTTATCTTATGAATAGGGTATTTGAAGTCTGTTTCCACCACCTTCTTTTTTTTATAATTTGAGAGCTTGAAATAATTTTCAGGATCTTTAAGACATAAGGTGTCAGACATACATACCTTCTGCCTAATTCCTTAAAACTCTAACCCATAACAAGCTCCCTTTACATCACTGTTCGGAGTTGAGGAAACATGAATTAATTTGTTCTCACTTTCAACTAGATTAACAGCAGAAGTCACAGTTTCAGAAAGACTGCCTCTGATTCAATAGTGCAAAGACTTTTTTTTTTAAATGGGTAGGAGGCAAAGGAATGTCTTTTAAAATGTCAGCCATGAGAGAAAAATACCTTTGTCTTTGACAGTTTATACAAAAATTGTGTTTAGCCTGCTTCCAACATTAATTCCCATGGTAATAAAAGTCAAATTTTTGTCATTTGTATTTTGTTTATTTCAAGGTGAGACACTATCTCAAAATACCAAGAGAGAAAAATGTCTGCGTGGTATCTGTCCATGGTACCAACGGAACCCAAATGTCCCCGTTTTCAGAACCATGTAAGAAAGCTCTGTTGCAACCAACTTGGGTGGGGAGGGGGTGAAAAGAGAAAGTGGGAAGAAGGGAGGGTGGTGACTGCTATCCTGAAAAAAAAAAAAAAGTTGTCTGCCTTTTCCCCAGCCCCCACTTTACAGCAACTTAAGGAAATTTTGCAATCCCACTAGAAGGACCATATGGTAATACTCCCTTTCTTTTCATTGTCTTCTCCCAAACCCTGCAGTCTTAGGGAGAGTTTTGGCTCACTTGAAGAGCTTGGTCCAAAAGGAGGCCTTTCAAGAGTAGATTATAGCCGCCTGCAGAAATTCCTGAGGCAATTTACTAAGAAAAGAGATGCAAAGAACAAACACAGAAAGCAACAATGACTCCACCGCTCCCCTCCTTCCTTCAGTCCTGTTGCTTTTCTCCTTCAGTGAAAGAGAAAAGCTGAGGGAAATTAAGGTTTATTTCCAACACCAGCTGGAGAATGCCTTATAAGCTTTTTAAAAAATGAGTTATGCTCTTTAAACGCAAAAAAAAAAAAAAAAAAAAAACCACCTCCCAATATGCCCAGCCTGGCCTACAGCACTGCATAAAAAAACTGTGGTTGGAAATGGCCTGAGTTTCCAGAGAACATGAATGCTTTCCTAATGCCATGAAGAAGGAAGTGCTCAAGGCAAGGGAAAAACTGCTGGAATCCCCATTTGGAGACAAAAGCAAGAAGAATGTGGAGGCAACTCATGATGTGGTGATGAACCTTAATTGAGATCATTACTGAAGCCTGCCAATGAACATGCAATACAAATCATTTACTAATATGGAGGTTGGTCTATTCTACTGCACCAGGCTGCTACAAAGAACAAATTAAGGACGAAATGCTATTTACCTGCTACAATTAGTTTTGTACATAATATCTTAGTGACAACAGTGGGCAATATGACTAAAGTTACTCTCCTACGTTTCTAGAGCCTTACAGAAACTGCAAACCTCCAGAACAAAGCTTAAAAAACTGTAAATGGAAAAGGCCTTTGAATAACTAAAATATTTGTCAATGTCAATAATGCCCTTGAAGGTGTAGGCAAGAGCCTCGTGCTGCATGTTCCTAGGTCAGAAGGACTGAAATTGAGTTCACTTTCCCTCTTCTGGGTAGACATTTCAGCTAACCCCAATTTCCCGCTAGCGAAACTTTAGATGGATATTGGACAATGACCATCTCCCTGTATGTGTGCAAATATTTCTGTACAGATTTAAATGTAATTTTTCCATGATTCTAATGTGCCTGGGGAACAGATGCTCCAACACAGCAAATGAAAAGCAGTGGACGAGGCAAGGTGTGGGATGGGCACAGTAGGGGCCCCTGGAGCAGCACTGAGGAGGAAAAGGTATGTGGACACCGGACCTCAGAACTGGCTGAGGCTAAGGGATAAACCGTCTTATACGGGGCTATCAAGGTGCCACTGCATAGAAGCAGGCGAGTTTACAGAAAGTACATTTGCTTAAACCCAGTTTGCAGAATTAATTTGTTTCTCTTTACAATTTACAAAATCTTAACAATTTGGCTGGCTGTAATTGTTTTAACAGCTAGTTCTGCCTAGTTCTGGGTGGCCAGTATTTAGAAATGGTTAATTTGCTTCTGATTCTGCCCCCTGAAGCTGCAGCTGAGGAAGAACTGTGGGAAGAATAGGTTGCAGGAAGAGTGGACCCTTTTCTCAGGGAAAATGCGTGGCAGGGCATCAGTGCCAGCCTACCTGGGCAGTAGCATGGAGGGTAAAGCGGAATGAGACTCGTCAGTCCATTTTACACATTTATGGATCTACTGATTACAGACATTCCCTCCTAAGCTCTTTCCAAACAAAGAAATATATCTAATATATTCACGCTATATAGTCAAAGAGTTCTTAATATATGTCTAAGAATAATGGCTATTCATATTCATCATATATTAATACATTCATTTGGAATATATATATATATATACTTTATAGTACACATTCCTAAAATGGCCCTGAGCAACTGAATGTTCCTTACATGCTACTGTTAGGACAGATGCAAGGCAATTACAATGTGGCAGAAATTTTCAAAAGCTGTAAACTTATGACACTACCAACATAGATGGCTACACACTTAATATTAAGCAAGCAAGGAAATCTGGACAAGTGATCACTGGGCAAAAAGGATGACAGCTCCACTGTATTGCAGCTCACTCCGGGACCCGGGTTTATTATGATGACACAGGAAGGGTTATATTATGAATAGGTTCAGTGTCCTTTAACAAACAAAAAGGCAATGTATAGTACCTGTCAGACTTACACCCAAATCAGATAAACTTCTTTAAATTTTTTCACATTTAAGGCATAATCTTTCATTTTCTTGAGAATTAATTTATGCATGTGGCTCATTCCCATCTCTGTAAAACAGAGGTTACCTACTTTATCTGTAATACATGTGAACAACTGAACAAAACAAAGACACACAGCAATGGCCACTGGAAAGGGACACGCAGGAAGCGAAGAGATGCAAAAGAACCTGGCATGCTTGTTATTTGCACTTGACTATCTGAAGTTGATAAAAGTCCATCAAATCTTGTCTTTTTATACGTTGTATAAGGTATATTTAGAATCCTCTCTTTGATATTTATACTTTGGGTGAGGGGAGAAGAAAATAAGAACTCAAGTCTTAGTCTAGAAGATCAGAATAACAAAGTATCTTCAATAGTTTGAAGGAGTCAGGGGGTGGAGGTGGGGAGGATTGGGGTAGGTAGCAAGAGTTAAGTGTGGAAGATTACCAGGAGTAACTTGGCTGGGACTAATGGGTAACAAAAAGGAGAAGAGAAGATAAATGTAACCGAAAGCCACCAAGCAGTTTTAAGTAGAGAAGTGGGATACAATCCAATGTACCTTTTAGAACAATCACTCTGGCTACATTCAATGTGGAGGTCATTTGGAGGGATTCAAGGTCCTTGATAAATATCTGTAAAGTGGACAGAAGGAGGCAGACCTGTTTAAGAAGAGGCTACATTGGCAGAGGGAGTGGGGATGGTTAATGGGTACAAAAAAAATAGAAAGAATGAGTAAGAGCTAGTATTTGATAGCACAACAAGGGGACTATAGTCAATAATAATTGTATATTTAAAAATAACTAGAAGAGTATGATTGGATTGTTTGTAACACAAAGAATAGATGGTTGAGGTGATAGATACCCCATTTACCATGATGTGATTATGCCTGTATCAAAATATCGCATGTATATCCCATAAATATATACCCCTACTGTGTACTCACAAAACTTAAAAATTATTTTAAAAGTGCTACATTCATCAAAAAAAGATGTGACAATGGCCTGGATTAAGGTATTTTGCCAACATCACAGGTGACAGAAAAGTAGCATTAAAAACCTTTAAATATCTCATTAACACCCAAGCATTACAACAACCAATTACTGCTCACCTTTCAGAACCCTCTGCTCAAATGACACCCCCACTACCATCATTCGCTGCCACCTGAACAGACCCTGCTATCTAAGTTGTCATGTTTTGTCTCCTGGGGCCTCCTGCCTCTCTTTCCAGAGCTCTGTTCTTTCAGTCTGTCAAAATCCTGCCCACCTGTTGAGAGGCATGGAGTGCACATGTTGGGCCAGGACATCTCTGCAGTCCTTTCAGCACTGCATGCCGTGGTTCTTCGTCTTCCCTGACCATCCCAGTCCAGAGACTCTGCCATCTTTGCTCCCTTACTTCCTGTGCCAAGAACCACACCCTGCCAAGTGAGCTCACTGTCTCTGTGTTGCCCACTTGTCATACATTTGTACCTTTAATTGGATTGTAGCATCTCAGGGCTATCAGGGATTTAAGACTTGTACTTTTATGTCTCCCATTAACACCTGGTACAGTACCTAGTCCTAGTACATTCCTTTTATTATTCCATGTATTTTTCCAGAGACTGGTGAGATGATAAATAGATATAGATAGATAGGTAGATAGGTAGGTAGGTAGGTAGGTAGGTAGGTAGGTAGGTAGGTAGGTAGGTAGGTAGGTGGGTGGGTGGGTGGGTGGATGGATGGATGGATGGATGGATGGATGGATGGATGGATGGGTGGGTGAGTGGATTTATATACACACACACATTTTGGCTATTTCCCTGTCACAGGAAAAGTCACTTGACTTCTTGGGTCTCAGTTATCTTCCCTTGAGCTTTAAGCCTAAGATTCAATGAAAAGTGATTAATATTCAATACCAAGCTAATCCCTAATATTTGTTTCATCAGATTATCCCCACTTTATAAACCATCATTGACTCTGTTTCCTGCCCCAGTCTAAATGCTTCCATCCAGCTTCAGGAACTGCACCATCCCAACCTCATCTCCCTCCTGCCCCAACTAAGGAGACAGGTCTGACCACCCTTGTGCACACCCCACAGGTCACCTCCTTCCTCACCTTCTCCTGGATGTCCCTGTCCTCCTCCTTATCTCTCCAAACTGGACACACCTTCAAGGACCTGCCATGAAATCCACCCTCACCAGATAACTCCTGCCCACATGGTCTTCCTCCTCTTGCAGGTCTCACAGCACACCAAGTTGTATCACCCCATTTATTTATGACACTGTATGGCAGTCTTACTGTGTGCAGGTCTTACTTCCTCAATTCATGGTTAGTACTTTTCTGACAAGATCTTCATCCTATGCTTCTTCCATATTCCAGCAGCTCCAAGAACATTCCTTGGTAAAGAAAGTGCTCAAAGAGTCCCTTGGCTTAACTGACCTTCATGCCCCCACACTGAATTGACTATACCCAGTTTGGATCTTTACACTTAAGAACAGTTGATGTGGGGAGGAAGAAAGGTCAAGAGATTGCTTTCCTTTGATGTATAATTCAATTTGCTTCCAGATTCCTAATTTTTCCCATGACTTGCTTTGAAGTAGCTAATCGACATGAAATTACTGCCTTTGATCGTGAGGATTCAGTGACTCATACTGGCTTAAGA
Organism: Homo sapiens; assembly: GCF_000001405.40. NCBI lineage: Eukaryota > Metazoa > Chordata > Mammalia > Primates > Hominidae > Homo > Homo sapiens. The sequence continues at coordinate 36,476,599 of NC_000018.10, read as the reverse complement.
GCTGACTTCAACATAATGAGCACTGAGTATCCTACGGCCCTTTCCTGACTATGGGGGGCCAAAAGACAGAGAACTTGCACCCACAGGTCTTAGGGTGATGGGATGCCTTCCCCGCCTCCCAGCTCACTCTTTCACTCTGCTGCCCTGCCTGCCCTCTGTGGGCATGAGGAGCTCGCCTGGTGCAGCCTAACAGGCCCCATCCCACAGTCCTGAACCCTGTAGCCAAGGGATGTAAGTTGGTAGAATAAAGAGATTCCTTCCTGCCTTCTGCTGGCATCACCTTCCATGCCCCTGGGAAAGATGGTCCTGCTTCTCAGGCCCTCTGACAGCCTGTGAGACGCTCCTTACAGCAGCACCCAGCGGAACAGGAGCTGTCGCAGCCAGCAAAACCATATGCCATGGGAGGCCAGGCACCACAACCAGGGCACTTCAGCATCCTTGGGACGCACTCAGCACTGTGCCTGTCAAAAAACAGGGCTCAGCAGAGGAGTAATAGGTTGATGGAATGAATGAGTAAACAAATGAACAAGCTTCATAAATTCAATATAATAATAATCACTATATTAGTGAAATGCTTTTAAAAATACATTTCTTGACCAATCTTTGGGTCATATTTTTCCTAAAATACCTAGTAATTGTACATTTTGTCAACATTTTTTACAGCTCATAGGTTTTAGATAACATTTTCTAGAGCATTAGTTTATATGTGTAGCTGTTCTTGATTACAAAAGCAATTCATTCGCACTGTGAAAAAATGCTGCAATTTACAAAAAAAAAGAATTACAATTATATATGTATGTATGCGTGTGTGTGTGTGTGTGTGTGTGTGTGTGTGTGTGTGTGTGTGTATGTTTCTATATATGAAGTAAAAGTCTCCTGTAATCCCACCTCTATAGATTTTGGTATACATTGCTCTATTTGTTAAATGAATAAATTAACATCATATATACATTTAAACTAAGCAGCATGAGTAACAGTTTCTGTACCTAATTATTTTAGGGAATGTTTCTCAGAAATTGCTTTATTGGTCTTGATTTTGATGGCAAGTCCTTCCCATTAGAATTCTCAATTTCTTTTGTGTTTATTGACCACCACACCCCACCTCCCACCCCGCACCCAACCCCTCCACGAGGAGATTCAGACTGCTTGAACTACCTATTTAAAAAGACAGCAGCCAGTGAGGAATGGCAGTCACAGCAAACAATAACCCTGGTGGAGATCTCCAAAGGAATCACAGGATGGCCAAAAATGCCAGCAGCCAAACTACAGGGTCCTTCAGGACACCATCTCTGCATGTAGGTTAGCCATTAGAGTGACACCAAGCTGCTAAGAGCTCCAAAGACAGGTGAGCACCCAAGTCCATCAAAACAAGGGGAAAAGCCACATCTGGGCTGACTGGGGAGATGAACCACCTGTGGGCTTCTGGGGTAGGCAGTAACACTGCCAGGAAATGCACAACCTTCCTCTCGTCCTGCAAGTCAGAACACTTTACAGATAAAACAAGCCAAGAAAGAAATAGTCCAAGCTCTTCTGTTCTCCAAGTAGAAGGCATTAAATTTTGCAGAGTGTGTGTGTGTGTGTGTGTGTGTGTGTGTGTGTGTGTGTGTGTGTGTATGTGTGTATTTTCAACCTCTTCAAAAGACCCTGAAAACTAGCTGAGCCCAAAACTAGCGAAAAGTCACCTGTACCCCAGGCAGCTTTGACTTCAGCTTAAAGGGAAACCGGCCAAACTTTCAAAAGTCCAGAGGGCTCATTCCAGCCAGAGGGCCCCAGGCCTCAGGAATTTACTCCCAGCCATGGCCAAGGGGCTTCTTGGCTCTGTGAACCGCTCCTGCCCCAGGAGCTCAGGCTGCATCAGTCTAACGCAAAGGTGATCTAAGAGGTGTGGTTGTTGAACCAACTGAGCCAGACCCTAGCCACCCATGTTTCTTCCGTGGGGTTTCCAAGGCTTGCCGCCACCCTACCTCACTCTGTATCCCACCACTCCTCAAATATGGACCTTTCCAGTTTCGGCCCTCCTGATCCCTCCTTTGATTCCAGGGACTGCCAGGCTCTAAGCCTCCAGCTGCAGGGAAACAGCTCTAGCCCTCAGTTTGCAGTTTGCCTCCAACTCTAAAAACTCAACATCACAACTGTTAGAGCATGGCCCAAACAGAAGCCAGATAGGACAAGAACCATCTTTAAAGTATTTGCCAAAATCTATAGATGTAGCATTGATGTCCAAATCCTTATTCTCTCCCTTCCATTCCATACTGCCACCATCATGCGCATATCCCTCCTGCAGGCACTGAACCAACTTATGGGACAAAAAGAAGAGAGCCATGTTCCTGTGCACGTGGTGGAGGAGTCAGTAAAATAAAAGGACAGGAAAATCTTTTGGAGTCTACTTGTCCCTGGTTTGTAACATCAACCCCAAATCAAGATACTTTAAGGATCTGAGTCCCTTCCAGGTCTTCTTACTGTTCTATGATGCATAAGTAGTAGAAGGAATGTTGTTTTCTAAATTCCAACTTAAACTGTTCAAGGTCAATGGAAGAAGAAAGTCAGGAGTAAAAGAATCAACTACTTAGAGAACCTGGATGTCACTGCCATATGAGCATATCCTACAGGAAGGGTGGGATGTGGGATCAGCAATGCTGGGATCAGATATGTTTCCCCAAACAGGTTCCAAGTATATTACTAATACCCAAGGATGCTTCCCAAAAAGTGTGTTCAGGAGTGAAAAGCCTCCTTTGCCAAGGCATTCTCAAAGCCAATGATATATTCCTATGGAAATGTTGCAGATTAAGCACAACTGGCACAGGGGACCTGAAGGCTTAGTAACATACTCTGAGAATGATGAAAGATGATGTGAAAATATCTTCCTTTCAGTTTCTTTTCTTACACTGAGTCAGTGTGGAAAAGCTGGTGTCTCCATATCTCATGTTTTGATGCAGTGAGGAAGTTATTGGAAGTTATTAATATTTTATAGAAAAATGCATTCTGAACATGTTCAGAAGTGATACTGAGGAATAAAAATTCCCCTCAACTTGAAATTGGGAATCAGGGCTCTAGCCCTAGCTGTGTGACTCACTAGCAGTTCTCAAACTTCAATGAGTTAACTCATCACCCAGGGATCAGGAATTGGGTGACAAATGTAGGTTCTGATTCAGCAGGTCTCAGGTGCTGCATTTCGTTTGTTTGTTTGAGATGGAGTCTCACTCTGTCACCCAGGCTGGAGTGCAGTGGCACAATCTTGGCTCACTGCAACCTCCACCTCCTGGGTTCAAGCAATTCTCCTGCCTTAGCCTCCTGAGCAGCTGGGATCACAGGCGTGTGCCACCATACTCAGCTAATTTTTGTATTTTTAGTAGAGACAGGGTTTCACCATGTTGGCCAGGCTGGTCTCGAACTCCTGACCTCAGGTGACTGCCAGCCTCGGCCTCCCAAAGTGCTGGGATTACGGACAGGTGGTGCATTTCTAACAAGCTCCCAGGAGAAGCTGGTGGTGCTGGCCCAAGGACCACACATGGAGTAGCCAAGATTAAAACATCTCATTTCATTTCACTGGGCTTGTGTTTTGCCTTCAAATGAAGGAGGCTAAGGATGGGCTTTGGTCATGTCAAAGGAGCTGTTGTAGAATCTTACCTGTTGTAAAATTCTACCTCTTTGGAGTGGATGCAAAGTGCTCACAACAATCACATGCAGACAGCACAGTGGTTCAAATTCCAGCTCTTTATGCCCCTTCAATGTTCACAGCAGTGTTATAATAGCCAAAAAGTGGAAACAACCCAAATGTCCATCAACTGATGAATGGATAGATGCAATGTGGCATATACATGCACTGGAAAATTACACAGCAGTAGAAAAAAAGAAGTATTGATACATGTTACAACATGGATGAAGCTGAAAAAACACTATGTTAAGTGGAAGAAGCCGGTCCCAAAAGACCACATATTATATGATTCTGTATATATGAATTGTCCAGCACAGGCAAAAGCACAGAGACAGAAGTAGATCAGTGGCTACCTAGGGCTGGGGAGGAAAAGATGGGGATGAGGAGTGACTGCTAGTGGGTATAAGGTTTTTATTTGGGGTGATGAAAATGTTCTGGAATTAGATACTGGCAATGGCTGCAAAATTTGGTGAATCTACTAAAAACCACTGAATTGCACACTTTAAAAGGGAGAATTTTATGGTATGTAAATTATATCTCAATAAGCTGTTTAAAAATTCTAGCTCCTTCACATGTTAAATATTTGATCTTAGACAAATTGGTTTTTTCTCATCCATAAAACAGGGATGACACAGGAGTATTCTACAAGGGACTATTGTGAGAGAGAGGTTGCCATTACCCTAACAGGCTTCCTCACACAAAGCCTTCAGAAGTATTCATCGAAAACACCACCAGATGCTAATTCATACTCGAAAGTTTATAAAAGCTGCATCTTAATAGAAATCATGTAGGCCAAGTAACTTATATATTTAAGATTACAGCAAAGTATGCACTATGGAGAAGTGGAATTTGCAATTAATATTCTTTTCAGTTTTGGTTAGAGACTTCCATTTTTTCAAGCAACATCATTATCTGAGTTTGAGGATTTTATCCTCTCAGCCAGTATTTGCTGACTTTAACCCTGGGAACTAAAATGGTTGGAAATAACAATTGGTTCTCCATCTGGATTGGATTCTTTCACAGGTATTTTGTCATTGCCCACAAACACTATGAAAATCATTACTCATATCATCTCGTTTATGTGAAACGTCCCCGGGATAGAAACAAAATTGTGCCCTGGAAGCTGCTTCCCTGAAACAAAAAACCTTTCCGCGTGCTGCAAAGAAAGTATCACTTATTCTGTGGATAGACAGACAAGCATTTGTGTGAGTAGCAGAAAACCAACTACCTTTAAACAGGGTCATTTTCCCACAGGGAAGTTCTCTTTTACTGTCTTTGCCCTGGTGATTCTAATTTCCTACACCAAAACCTCAAGAAGAACTTTCCGAAGTCAGCACTCTGGACAAAAGGAGTCTTTGCTTGGAGAAGTGCTGAATAGACCATTGTTCTGATCCTAATTGCCTGGACTTCTCTTTGTTCTAAGTGAGCCCAGTACTCAGGAGAAGTCCAGGGGCCACCAGGGCAGGGCAGTCGATCGACAACCACTTGCTGTGGACACAGGGTGACCAAGGAAAACAAAGGGGTGATATCCACGCATAACAATTTTGAAGCCTTCTGGGAGGAGGTGTAGCCTCAGGAAACCTTGAGAAAGCAGACAGTAAAGCAGGATGCAAGCTGGCTCGGGTCAGGCAGGACCCAGAGCTGGGGTGTGGGGCCTCAGGGAGAGACTGCACCTCAGAGAGGTGGCAGCATGGTGTTCACCAGCTCAGGACACTCCTATCAGCATTCACATGGCACGGGCTCATGCTCCTCTGCTTTGTGGGCTGGGCAGAGTACCAGGAGGAGCATCCTCATCTTCCCAAATGCACGCCCTCTCCAAAGCGCATACCCGCTGCCTTTTGTTTTAGGGCACAGCTGCATTTGCATCATTAACTCTGGGACACTGCGATCCCTGAGCCATGTGGGAGTAATTGTGGGCGTTCAAAGCCAGGAATGAAAGCCCTGAGGTCTCTGCTCTAGAGGAGTAAAGCAGGCCACCCACACAGGTGCCATCATGTCCCAGTTCAGCTGGGAGCAAAGACCCCACGGAAGGCACCATCAGTCCAGGGGCGAAGCTGCGGGTTACTTACCATTAACTCACCATTGCTGCCACCTGCCAGGCTCCCTGTCTGTTATTTCATTTCCAATTCCATTGCCTCAACCTTTTTATCCCTTATTGCCAGTGAGGACTTCAATATCCCAGCGCGGAGCGGGAATCTGAGCTGAGCCTGAACTAAATTTGTCTGCTTTTTGCCCCCCAGAGGCAGAGTGGCTACTATCATTTTGCTCACCAGGGAACAAACAAAGCCAATGATTGGATCCAGTATCTGTAAAGACTATCAAGCTCCATACCAGCTAAAACTCTATTAGAACGATACAATTACACACATATTGTATAATTATACAACCATATAGGTTTTAGTGAGCACAAGGACGTGAGAAAGTCCTATTAGGGAGAACTCTGGTGTATCCTATTCCACTCCCTCCCCCAGTTCCATGCCAAATCTTGGCTTCAGAAACATCTCAACAAAGCTCTCCTGTCACTACAAGACAACCGTCATAGACGTGAACGGTAAAATCCTTTGCCTCTGAGCTAATCCAGTTCCTTCACATTACATCTGGGGAAACTGAGGCCAGGGAGACTATAGGACACTCATTCATGTCACTAATATTTATTGAGCATCTTCTGTGTGATAGGCATCTATTCAGCATTGGGCAGACAATGGTGAGCAAAACCGGATGGGGGTCTGCTCAGTACAGAAGAGAAACCCCCCGGAGGCCTCCAGACTTCACAAGGGTATGCTAACTGCCACGTTCCTAGGACCTGCTCCAGAGGACAAGGCAGCCCAGGCATGGCCCCTGCCTGCCTCGGGCACCCCGCTCTCCTACCATCTGGAATTCCTGCCAGCTCTCTGCTACAGAATTTCCCCATGAACCAATTTCCTAAACTTCTAGGTCAGCCTCTTGATGAAGAACAGGAACCGGTTTTCCAAAGACTCCTTCCCACACATATGCATTCCATAATTACATAGATCAGGACACAAGGGGAACTATGCATGAACGTGGCTTGATTTGTGGAAATAATAATGCTTATCCTGGCTTAGCCACAGAGGACTGGAGCTTCCCCCGCAGACCCCGCCGCCACCCCCTTAACCCTCCAACAACTTTCCTAGGGCTTGCTAGCGCCCACAACTCCGGAACAACTTTGAACGCCCTTAAATCCTGGTCAGAGCACCAGCTGGTTTCACATTGAGATCCAACCAAAGGTGATGAGGCCTCACAACCCCCTGCCGAGCCTGACATGCCTGCCAAGTTATTTTTGTGCCAGCATCAGCTGCCTCTTGGTCGAGTGATAGCTGATGTCAAAGGGTTTGATTTCTGAGAGCTTATGAAGCAGTTGGGTTTTCATGTCCTAAACATGCCACTTTGGAACTCCCACTACCAAAGGATAATATGGTGAATACCTTGAAGAGAGCCCAGCCAGCCTGCTGTACATGGGATCAGGGGAGCAACAAATGCTCTGCAGCCCCCACCCCACCTCCCAGTTGGAGCACCGGGCAGGACAACTGTCTACACTGCAGTGGGCAGCTCGGCGATAAAAGCTACAAACTTGGCCTAGGATCTCTGAGTGTGGTTTACACGTGCCCCTTAATTTGTACCCAAATCCACCATAGGGGATATGTCTCCTTAAGTTTCATAAAGAAGGAGTAAACAGTAATCATCTGGCCCTGAGAGGGTCAATATTTGCTTATTGTGTATAGCTCTATACCTGGTGATAGGATGGGGGCTGGGGTTTAGGATGAAGAGGGTATATGTAAAACAGAAAATTACACCCCTGTTCTCAACAGGCATCACAGTGGTCACAGTTCTAAGGGGAAAGACCCCCAAGTATGGCAAGGGAAACTTCCTAATCAAGACTTGTATTACTCAGTTTCCTTCCTAGCTCTTGTCATAATTTGAAACTGACACAAGTGTTTGCTTGTTTACTTGTTAACTGTCCGACTCCTCTCCTTCCCTGAGCCCCAGGAAGGCTCAGCCTTGTCTGTTGTATTTTCCAGACCTGCCGCCTCAAAGGTTCTCAGTGTCTGTCGGTGGGATTACCATTGCCTGCACCCTTGCTAGCTCTCAGCTGGAGGTGGCTTGCACTCCCAGGTGTGGAGCAGAGGCTCACAAGGTGGCAGCCACAGCAGGGCCTGGGGTGGTGGCAGAAGGAAACCTGTGGGAAAGGCAGAAGATCTGGGGTTGGACTGAGCTCTGCCACCAACCTCCAAGTGGCCCCTTCACATCTCAAAGCCACAAATTCCTCCCCCTCTAAAGTACTAGGGGTGGATGGAGGTAAAAGCCAGGATCACTAAAATCCCACTGCCCCTGAAATTCCCTGATTGATTTGCTCAGGCTGGCACTCACCTTCCCTTCCACTGGCTCACACCCACAGGGCACAGCCAGAAGGAGCTCCGGGCAGCTCCCTCGCCCACGGCAGACTCCTGTGGCCTGTCTCCAGAGCCCCAGCTGTGCATTCCGGTGTTGCTGCCCCTATCTTATCACCCTCTTCTTTCTCCACCACCTCCGCCTTCCCTGTCCCCAGCTGACATCCCTGGCCATCTGGGCCCTTATCACCACGTCTAGCTGGCTATTCTTAGTGCCACATTTTTCCGTAACAGCCTTGTCCTCCAGGCAGCATTACCCAGGCGAGGGGAGAGGTAGCCACTTATCCCTATGGCTTCGGCACTGCAGAGTCATTAAGGTGGAAGGCACATCAGAGACCAGCCAGCAGCCTGGGTCCCTGTGGGGATGCACCTGGCTGCCACCAGGTCAGCATTCGACCCTTGCTTGTTCTCACTGCCTTTCTTCCCCTCTCGGCTCCCAGAAGCTTCGCATGGGAGCACCTGACTTCAGGCCACAATAGAGTGGAAGTGGGAAGTACATGGGAACCCCAGGGGCCACCCAACTATCCTGCTGTGCGGACAGACCTACCGTCTGCCTTCAGACTGTGCAAATCATTTGGGCTTTCTTGGCATTTCGTTTCTTAACATTTGGACCCACTTCTCGAGGTCTGCAGTGCAGGCACCCGTGCCACAGGCAGCACTTACCCGCAGAACGCCTGGAGCCACCTCTGCCCAAAGCACAGGAGCATTCATGTCGAGGGTTGAATGTTAAATAAACAGAGCCCATCTCTGTGGCAGGGCAACGCCCACCCCACAGTGCAAAGGCCAGCCCTAAGCACTGCTAGGATGCCGTGTGTGTGCCAAGCACTTCACACTTGCTCTTCAACGGTCCTAGGGTAGGGAAGGGTGTTTTCTTGGTTTTATAAACAAGCAAATGAGGTTAGAAAGCTCATGTGACCTTTCACCCAGCTCTCACCTGAGCTGGGATTTGAGTCCAGGCAGTCAAGGGATTTGCCCTTGACCCCCTTCGCTCCCTCACAGCACCCTCCTGGAGTGACGCTGGCGCAGGCTAGACCAATCTCTTGCCTCTGCCCTGGAAGGGAAGAAGGGGACCCCAAGCTGGAGAGCTTCTAGGGTAACCACAAGGTGGTATTAATGGCTATGTGGCATGCCTGGATGGTTCGCTCTCCCTCAGGAATACAGGGTTGGAAGGAGAGGACACTTCTAGCTTTAAAATGTTGAAGATGTTCTTCACACAATGGCTTTCTAACTTCTCCAGAAGAAAAATTATGCCATGGAGGGGCTGACAGTCTGTCAGAATTACTAGGAGGTGACTGGAAGAGAACAAATGAAAACCAAGGAGGGCATGTGAGGCTCCTAAGACGAAGGTGAAGGGTGGTGTGCTCGGCTCTTACCTTCCCAGGGTCTCTCGCAAGGAGTGCACCATCCTGTCCACCTGCTGTAAAGAGCTGGAGACTCGCTGGTCAGCAGGAGCAGTCAGGGCCTGAAGAAACCAGCCCACAGCTGGTGTCCAAACTGAGATGGGGCAGGGATCCCCTCTTAGGGGCCTGCAGGTCCCCCCAAACATAAGTTTTTTAAAATCTAGGGTCCCTTAAAGGGGAATTCCAGGTACCTACCTAGCCTTGAGAAGTTAATAAGCAACTTGGTAAACAAGGTAATAGTAGCCTAAAACAATAGCCAAAAAAAAAAAAGCTAAAATCACAAAACGTTTGGTTCCCCTCTAAAAACTAAAGATAACATCTTACTTAACGTATGTCTCTGAGTTGTTTTTCAGAAACTCTGACTCCCACCAAATGGACCTGCCAGCACACAGACCTCAGATAAGGAGGCTGACCTCTCACCACCATTCTTATTCTAAATTTCTTCCTGAGGGGCCTGGAGAAAGACCCACCCATGAGGTGCAGCTAACATTCTTTTCTGCTGACCCCAAGTTTTTAAACAAAGTTTCCCTTCTTTAACCAATTGCAAATCAGAAAATCTTTAAATCTACCAATGATCTATAAGCCCTCTGCCTCAAGATATTCCCCCCATTTAAAAGCCCAAAACCAACGTGTAACCTCCATGTATTATTGATTTATGATTTTGCCTGTAACTTCTGCTTTCCTAAAATATACCCCTGCCTTTAAAAGCCCTGACCTTCAAGCCATGGAGGAGGTCAGCATTTGAGCAACAGCTGCCTAGTCCTCCTTGCTTGTCTCCTGCAGAGAAATATCTCCCCTTCTCCTGCTGCAAACCTCAGTATAGATACCTGTCTTATTGAGCCAGATGAGTGGAATCCCATTTGGTTTCATAGCGAAACCCAGACAAGGGCTCACTGAGGACTTGAATGCAAATTCACCCATTTTCAGCAAGTCATGTCTCTGCGGGATAGCCTGAGAGTCTCCCTCCCTCTGGGATAACATGGACTGAAGTCATTCACCCTGGGGTATGGGCAGCTCTCTGCAGGAGAGTAACATGTATTTATTTATTCAGTAATGTCAGGATCACATGAGATTTGTATGCATTGGGGGTGGGTGAGAGGGCAGAGAGGGGAAAAGGGCATACAAGGAGGTGAGAAAGCCGGATTGTGGTCAAGCTACTTCAAGGACTTGCTCCAATTTTATGCTTTAGAATTGAGGTCAGATCTAATCTCAGACTCAGTCTGAGTAGGCGAAATGTCCCTATGCATTAAGAAGAGGGAGGAGAATCTAAGGTTAATGTAATTTAGAAGGATTTAGATTAGAGAAGGAAAAACCACCTCTCTCTGCCATGACCCTCATGGCAAGCAGTACAAATTGAACCCACCACGCCCACACACAGCCTCAGATCACCCTAAACACAGCATTTCAGAAATCTAGTATCAATCAATAGGCTTGGTCCTTGAAAGAAAACCTACTTAGGATCCTTGGTTTAAGTCAATGTGTGGGTGATCAATCTCTCACAAATGTCTGATGAACCTAGAATCATTAGGAAGCCATCAGCCAAGCCTTCCACCATCACACCCCTGGAAGCAGTGTCAGGGAGGAGCAATGGGCTAGAAAAGCCTTCCACAAGGGCGGGTGGGCAGCACTGCCCCTCCTGTACCAACCCCTGGCTCCCACCCCTGCGCTTTGCAGAAGCCAGCCCAGGCCACAGCCTCAGCCCTCGCCAGTCCAGGCCCAGGTCATTTCGGACCCATGGTTCTGGAGGCAGCCACGAACATCATTGCTTGTGCTCCTCTTAGGGTATGAGATCCGTGTCTAATTGTTTTTTTTGTTTGTTTGTTTGCTCTGTCACCCAGGCTGGAGTGCAATTGCATGATCTCAGCTCACTGCAACTTCCGCCTCCCGAGTTCAAGCAATTCTCCTGTCTCAGCCTCCTGAGTAGCTGGAATTACAGGTGCCCGCCACCATGCCCAGCTAATTTTTGTATTTTTAGTAGAGATGGGGTTTCACCATGTTGGCCAGGCTGGTCTCGAACTCTTGTCCTGAAGTGATCCGCCCTCCTCAGCCTCCCAAAGTGCTGGGATTACAGGCGTGAGCCACAGCGCCCAGCCATGTCTAACTTTTTGCCTAAGATTGTCATACCAATTTTTATATTTCTATTTTACTATTATTTAAAAAGTTGTAAACATCCCATGGCAGTTTGCCTGCGTGTGTGTGTGTGTGTCACAGAAAAAGATAGTCGGACACTGAAGGGCAGCTATCCCTGTGTGTTTTGGGGCCTATGGTACACAAGAAAGAAGGAAGAAAGAGGGGGGAGAGACAGAGGGTGGGAGCAAGAAGAGTGCTGAAAGATGAGTCTTTGTTCTTATTTCCTCTGAAACCAACCCTCTCCTCCTCCTCCCAGGACCTCCCTCCCCCTTTGCCTCCTCCTGGGCCTCCTTCCCTCCTAAGGACCCAGCCTGGTCTCCCTCTCTGACTGTGTCTCTGGCACTCCCTCTCTTTCTCCACTTGCACACAGATCCTTTCCCCTTCTGTAAGTTATCACATTGGCAGTCACCAAAGGAAAAGAAGTGCAATGTCTCTTAAGTGTTAGTTGATGGAATTTTTATCTTCTTGACCCAAGTTTCCTTGACTGGGCTTGACTCACTCCACAGGAGCCAATCCATCCCTGGCCTGAGCCTCCTGGGTGCTGGAGTCCAAGCTGTATGGCAGCATCACCCAGTACAAAGCATACCAAGCCTTAGAAGTATCCAGAGGTCTGCCCCGCTGCACATCTCAAATAGCAGTAAGCATTTTCTGGAATAATTTTAAGGGCAGCAAAATGTCCTTAGGAACTGCTCAAACGTTACTAATGAAAGGAATGTTTATTGCTCTAACTGACTTGTCCTTTGCTAATCCCTTCACCAGATACCTTTTATCAGAGAGGCATGCAGTTCATTTCTTCGACACGTCAATATTGACACAATCATCTGAAAACTCAAGTGCAGTGGCATGTTTCCCAAAAGAATTATCAACCTGGCCACAGATACGGTCCAAGTTGAATGTCAGCTATTGGAAGCATAAGGCTCTTCTGACTAAATAGAATTAAAGATGGTTGCTTTCTCCTATTTAATCTCATTGCAAAAACTACTTGTTCTATTATTGAGAACAATTCTAGCAATATTTTTGAGCTTAAGAAGCTATTTTCTGAATCAATCTTATGTTTGAGTATTTTATTATTTAACAGCAACCCAAATAAGAAAAAAAAGTTTTAAAGAAAAATAATTAGATTTTAATTTCTCCAACTTCTAGTGTCTCCTAAGCTTAAAAACACGAAGAAAGCACTGAGAACATTTATATTTTCTGCAAATAAATTGGCACTTGGGCCAGGTATGGTGGCTCATGCCTGTAATCCCAGCACTGGGAGGCTAAGGCGGGCAGATTGCTTAAGCACAGGAGTTCGAGAACAGCCTGGGCAACATGGTGAAACCCTATCTCTACAGAAAATACAAAAATTAGCTGGGCATGGTGGTGCACACCTGTAGTCCCAGCTCAGGAGGCTGAGGTGGGATGATTGCTTGAGGCAGGGAGACAGAGGTTGCAGTAAGCCGAGATAACACCACTGCACTCCAGCCTGGGGCGACATGGCAAGATTCTGTCTCAAAAAATATATATATTTTTTAAATAAACAAAAAAAATTTTTAAATAAACAAAAATATTTTTTAAATAAAAAATATATTTTTTAAATAAAAATATATATTATTTTTTTAAATAAAAATATATATTATTTTTTTAAATAAAAATATATATTATTTTTTTAAATAAAAATATATATTATTTTTTTAAATAAAAATATATATTACATATATATATTTTAGTGGCACTTGGGTTAAATGCTTGTCACAGCCTACAAGGTTTTCAGAAAATAATTCCTATTTATTCAATTCTAAATGAACAGAGATAATGGAAATGGAAGACAACCACCTAACTAATTTGGATTTTACTAAAATTTTAAATCTAAATTAGTTAATATGTGGTGATAAAATTCCCATTAACATAGTTGTCAATCTTTTAAAAAGTTGAGAAATCATGGAAATCAGAGTTGCAATGGGTTGGTATACAACTGGAGACATTACTATTTATTGCTAGACATTACTATTTGTCTTTAAACTACTGAGAAACTTCTAGATTCAGTAATTTCATATAAATTATTTTAGCCATCCAATACATCAAGATCAGATAAGTGGGTTGGGTACATAGCTCACATCTCATATCTATAATCCCAGCATTTTGGGAGGTCAAGGCAGTCAGATCACTTGAGCCAGGAGTTCAAGATTAATCGGGGCAATATAGGTAGATCCCATCTCTATGAAATATATTTAAAAATTAGCTGCAAATAGTGGCACACACGAGTAGCCCTAGCTACACAGGTGGTTGAGGCAAGAGGTTCACTTGTGCTTAGGAGTTCAAGGTTGCAGTAAGCTATGATCACACAGAAAGCTATGATTGCACCACTGCACTCTAGCTTGGGTGACAGAGCAAGACCCTGTCTAAAAAACAAACAAACAGCCTGTAATCCTAGCACTTTGGGATGCCGAGGCAGGCGATCACAAGCTCAGGAGATTGAGACCATCCTTGCTAACACAGTGAAACCCCATCTCTACTAAAAACACAAAAAATTAGCTGGGCGTGGTGGCAGGATCCTGTAGTCCCAGCTACTCAGGAGGCTGAAGCAGAAGAATGGCGTGAACCCAGGAGGCAGAGCTTGCAGTGAGCCGAGATAGCACCACTGCACTCCAGCCTGGGCAACAGAGCGAGACTCTGTCTCAAAAACAACCAACCAACCAACCAAAAAGCAAAACAAAACAAACACACACACACACACACACGAGAGAACTGAAGGAAGGTAGCTGGAGGGAAAGCTACTTGCATTCAAACTGGCTTCACCAAAGCCACAAGGATGTCTCCCTCTGTTCCTGGTGAGTGAACAACCCCACTGGTGGGTAAGTCTACTCACCCTCACCATGAGCCATGGTATAGGAAAAGTCAAGGCAGCTCAGCACTTTCTACTTTAAAAAAATCATAAAGCATCTGTAATGATAACAGATTTATATAAAATCATCCCAAATTTACCACAACTACTTTCACTTTTGCATATTATTCTACAGTGGATACTATGTTCTTAGACCTGAAAGTTATCTTCAAGATCTTCCTGTCCAACTTAATTTTATTGAAAAAGAAATGAAAACCTCAAGCTTAGAAGGGACTGGCTCAGGATCACAGTAATTGTGACAGGTCTATGACTAAGGCATAGGTCTTCCAACTCCTAGTGCCATACTCTTTCCACTACATCACCCCCTTCCTTGCTGGAATCCTGCTTGGTTCTTACCCAACAGACAGGCAGAACCCCAGTTCTGCAAGGAAAGCTACCTGCCCTACATTCCAAGAATTTATTGGTAAGTTAGTTACTTGAACTTGAAAAGAAATTTCCCTATGAAAGCAATGTTGCCTATGTTGGATGCATTCCCAGGCTAGCCCACAAAAGCAAATTTAGAAGCTATGAGAAGCAGAAGCGGGTAATCTTTGAACCCTCTGAGATTCTTGAAGTCCTCAAATACCTCTAATTGAGATTCCAATGCCAGCAATTCCACGAGCCAAGTCACTGTCAACCATGAGGGCAAAGAGGGTAAATTCAAAGGCTTTGGAGAAAAAAAAAAACACACACACAAAAAAAAACAGACTGAGCTCAAATTTGGGTTCCCCTAACCTTCACAGATAGTAAAAAACTTTATTCCCAGTAACAATCTAATAGAAAAGGGTGAGAATGGAATGAAAAAAATCCTTTCAGTCTTCAGGTGTGTGCCTACCATTATTGGTGAGTTCCTTCTCCCTTCAGGAACAAGTGAGGAAAGAGCAATGGAAAGAAGGTGCTGTGTTGACACAGGAAGGACAGCAGCCTTTCTCAGAAGCAGTGGCTGATAGCAATGGAAGAGGAGTGAGCAGGCTGGCCCCAGAGCATGGCACAGAAACAGAGGTGTATCTGAGGACCTGCAGCAAAGCCCCTTCTCAGCCCTGCCCTCCCTTACTCTGCAAGGGATCCCCTGCCGTGAGCTATTCAGTCCCTCCCTCTCAACCCTCATCCTGTGCTCCACTCTCAACCTGCATCCTGTGCACCGCTCCGAAGGTCTTGGCCCCCATAATTACCACTGCCAACAACTTTCATCTGCTATGCCCAGGGGTCAGCATCAGCACCTTGGGTTCCAGGGAGACCTCACTTTCAGCAGGTGAAGGGGGAGCAGGAGCATGTAGGAAACCTAATAATAATCTCCTCTGTGCCAGTCACTTCACAGGCACCTCTGTATTCACTTCTCTCAACAACCCTCTGACACAGGTCTTAATGTCCAAATTTGACCTATTAGAAAGTGATGTTTAGTGACTTGCTATGTGGTCATTAATATAAAAATAATGGGGGAATCAGGATTCAACACTACAACTGAGTGACCCCATGGCAGCAGTGGGACAGGGCCTTGTCTATCAACTGGCACTGTAAACACATGTTCCCATAAACTGAGCACACAGGTTAGGAGCTACTGAATTCCACTGCCCATGCAGTGTGTTGCACAGCTTGTGGGGCCTCTTCAGGAAGCAGCTTACAGTAATGCTCCCTGGAAAAAGGACCTCCGGGTTAGCACATCACACAATGATTGTATTAGTGCCTCACGTTTGCATGGTGATGTGTGGCTTACCAAGCCCCTGCTTGAAATAGCATTAGATTACAATCTGAAATATAAAATAGTCACAAGTCTTTACTGATATAAACAGATGACTCAATAAATACATACAATGGGAAGAATAAACAAATCTTCCATTCTGCCCTCAAATAACAGAGGGGTAAGTCCCATCCCTTGATTTTGGGCTGCGTATGGTGACTTCCTTCCAACAAGTGCAGCATAGAAAGGGGAGAGAAAGAGTAGCAGAACAGTGGGGGACAGTCTGACAAATGCTACCTCAGCCAGGTGCTTAAGGTTAACATCAAGTCGTAAGTCATGCTGACAGTACTAGTCCTTGATGGGATGTGGTGAGAATGGCACATTAGAAAGCATATAACCCCATTCTAATGATGAGAAAGACATGAGACAAATCACAATCGAGGGACACTTTACTCAATATCTGACCAGCACTGGACAAAACTAGCAAGGTCATCAAAAACAAGGAAAGTCTGAGAAACTGTCACAGCCAAGAAGAGCCTAAGGAGGCGTGACAACTCATTGTAATGTGGGGTCCTGGACAGAATCCTGGAAGAGGAAAAGGGCATCAGCTAAAAACAAAGGGAATCTAATGAAGTATGACACTCTAGATAACATTAATTGTGACAAAAGTACCAGCTTAGTGTAAGCTGTTAATAATAGAGGTAACAGTGTGGGATATAAAGGAATTCTCTGTACTATCTTTACAATTTTTCTGTAAATCTAAAACTATTTTAAAGCTATATTTTTCAAAATGAAAAAAAAATCAAAATGCTCTGCTTTTATACTTGATCATCTAATACCACGACCATTTGACCACAGCTTCCCTTTCTCCAAGGCCTGAGGATGACAGAAGTTGGCTAGAGTCTTCCCCCACACTGCAGGTCAGACAGGGCTGTCTGTGAAGGCCTCACCACACCGCATAATGAAGGTTTCATAGGAGGACCCAATAACAACTACCCCAAGGTACTCCCCTCACCTAAGGCAGCCCAGCCAGCGAGGCGGTTCGCCCAGCTCTAAGCTCTGGGTGTGAGCAGGGTTTGATTGATCACTCTCTCCTGCACTCCTCTTTGCAGTCACTGCTCATGCCACATCAGCAATGTACTTATTTTCCACCTTCTCTTTCTCTAACAATCCCCTTTGTCATAGTTGCCTTACTCTGTTGTGTATGTATCACTTATCTGCCCAACTAGACTGCAAGCTCCTCTTTCTCAATCAGGATGTCTTTTTTCTTATGATGGCTTCTGTTCCCCAAAGGGGCAGTAGATGGGGGTGTGGCCATAAAAATGCCCATTAATAGACAGTGCTGGAGAGTATAGGAAAAAGAAACACAGTGTGGGAAAGACAAGAACTAAAGAACAGCCTTCTCACAAGGCAGAAGTCTTAAACAGTGAGGAGACTTTCACTAAACTCCAGGCTGCTGATTAGGAACACTGCCCTGAAAGCCACCCCTGGGCAAAGCAGGGGTCATGGCAAAAGGCAACATAGTCAAATGTTCAGTAACAGCAGTGTCTGAAAAAATGTGTGAAAGGATACGTGCAGAAATAATTACACAGCTCAAAAATACGCCAAGTTCCATGGAGAGGTTGATTTTTCTTCTAGGCTGGAAAGTACTAAAATATATTTGAAAATTAAAAGAAAAGGGAGGTGGGAAAGATTCATGAAAGCTAGCTTGGCCAAGTCACCCCGATGGTTCAACAGAGCCACTTTGAGATTTCACTGGAGGAAAGTTTAAATTTTTCCAAAAAAAAAAAAAAAAAAAAAACCTAACAAAAAACAAACCAGAAAACCATGAATGTACTGTTAAAACACATGAGCCTGTCACACATCCCCTCATTGTAGCAGAAGATCCACAGGCCAATGGAGGGGCAGAGAAGAGGCCCCAGCTGAGGCAAGCACCTATTTTAATCCAGAGACACTCCCCATCCTTGGTTCTGGTTTTTAATCATCTCTGTGGCAACCCATGATATGCACACACTTGTAGAGGTGAGGAAGGGTAGGTGAGTGGTTGGAAGTACGTGCTGCCAAAAAAGTTTTTTAATAACTGTTAGGATCTCTTTTCTGTTACTCCTTATAAGGATACAAAGGGGGCAAGGGAGACATCAAAAATGCAGCCAGAGGGAACCACAAGTCCACTCTCCTTTCCTCTACTGCTCAAACTAATTACTGATAAGTTCCCACGTCCCTCTTCCTTCCTTCCTTCCTTCACCAACCAGAGTCATTCCGGTGAGTTTGTAAGTTTCCTCTGAACCTCCAAATGCCCCCAGAGGAAACTTCTATTGATCACTGACACCATACTTGGTTTAATCCAGAACCCTTTCTGATATAGGTGGGTGGGAAGAGAAGGAATAGAAGAGGTGAAGGAAGCCACCTACTCCTCTCCTCTCTGCTTCCCTCTTTCTCCACCTTTTTATGGAGTCTCAAGTGTTCTCTCCCTTCTTGGGGACTCCAGAATTTACCCCTCAGTATAGGTCAGAGGGCTTTCTATGTCATCTGAGTGTTAAAAATAGTTGCAATATTCATGAAATAAATAGCATGTAGATAATGAGGCTATAATTAGTCTACTGAGATCTTTGCCTACTATGTAACATCCGATTCAGCAGAAACAAAATTCTGCCTTAGACTATTTCCAGGCTGTGACATCCTGAGCTAAGTGAACTCTACTAAGCTCTGGGGATCTCTCTCAGAGAAATCAAGAAAGAGCAGGTACCAACTCAGAGAAAAAAACACTTCAGGAGTGGACATACAACTCTTCACCTGTTACAGCTGCTGCTGTGGTTGCCTTCACTCTAATACCATCAGGCAAGATTGGTCAACTCTTATGGAATCAGTTTCAGCTCTGCCAATAAAAGCAAACTACAAAAGCTGCTCCTTTCCCTTTTTTTCTTTTTGAAGACTGCCTTTTTACTGTTGGATTCAGACACCCTTCGTATTTGAATGTAAAACAAAATTTTTGCAAAAGTCAGATGTTCTGTACGGAAGCTTGTGTGTGCTACAGAGCTTGGTACCATATCTGAAGGCATTCTTCCCAGTGAACAATCCACCAATGCTGATGGCTGCCACTTTCACCAGGGTGCCTGGTGGCCCATCACAGGATGATCCTAACCCAGGTAAGTGATGTGCCCAGCTGCGCTTCAGCATATTACATTTATTAAAAAACGCAAGTCCAGCATTAAGTCACTCCTCACTGGCATTTTTAAATCCATATTGAAGTCTTCTGAGTGGGCAC
This sequence comes from Homo sapiens, assembly GCF_000001405.40. Classification (NCBI taxonomy): domain Eukaryota; kingdom Metazoa; phylum Chordata; class Mammalia; order Primates; family Hominidae; genus Homo; species Homo sapiens. Next base: position 36,457,202 of record NC_000018.10, on the reverse strand, counting down.
CAACACACAGCAAAATATCCTCAAGGTTCTCCTCACCTGTCCCTCTCAGCCAAGGCACATGCATCTCAGCAGCTGCTCCCTTAAAACCTCTTTCCTCCCAAAACATTATGGGCTTTTCCTCTCACTTCTCACCTTCCCACCTGCTGGAACCTGACTGGAGCTACACCCTCCACAGAGCCTTTCTCACATCTTCCCAAGCTTCATCTTCATGGTCCCACAAAACCAAAGATGCAGGTGCTAAACAGGGAAACACAGAATCCTCCTTAATTAAAAGGGAGATTCCTTAAAAGGTGAATACTTAGACATCAATGTTTTTCTTCTCAGACTCACACTTAGTCAGCACTAAATGGCACTGTGGCAAGTCACCCCATGACAGAGGGAGGATGACAGTCTCAGCTGTGTGGTCCTGCTTTACATGGGCAGGCAAGAGCTGAGGTGTGTACAAGCAAGGCTCTCTCCAGAAGCTTGGTGCAGTCCCCAGAGCTCAACCAGGAAGGCAGTAGAAGTGGGTCCCTCTCTGACCCCATCACTGACACTGTTGCCCGTGGGGGACACACAGGCTGGAACTCCTCCTTCCCCAGCCCCATCCAGTAGTACCCCAAGAACACCTAGGGCCTTGATGAGCAGTTTGAAAACTACAGGTAGATGATTTCTACAGCCCCATCCCCCTATTCCATTCTTACCCATGACATAGGAACACATACTGTTTTATAAGAAATGACCATTTCTTTTCCACTAATCTTCTAATCTATTACAATCAACTGTCCTTTCCTTCCTCTGTCTCTCAAGAAGATAAGAAAAACCATCAGCATATCCAGGCTACAAACCCCTAAGATGGTGCTGCTGATAAAGTCTACAGCCCGGACCCCAGCTCTCTAGGCAATCTTTTGCATTTGTTGGAAAACTACTCCCTTACAATCAATGTCAGAAGTTGATTTGTCACAGATCATGAAAGGTCATGCAAAGATGGAAAATCATGCATAGCTAAAGGATTTGTTTGAGGCCCATGGTTAATTATAATTGCACCAGGGGCCCAGAGAGCCTGGCTTACCTGTCACTGTTCAGTGCGCAGGACAAAAGAAGTTCAAAGGAACAGAAGCCCCATTAACTTCACAGGGGGTCTGGAAAACATCGGAAAAGTACAAGCCCTAGGGGATGGTAGATGTAAATGTCAGGGGACATTTGAGGTGCACAACTCGGGGTGCACATGGCCTTGACAGTATCTACAGGCAGACCTTCTGCACTAGGGGGCGGCATCCAAGAGATTCATGTCTGCCAAGTGGTTCCAGCCATTAACATGGCACCCGCTGAAAGACCAGGAAGGGAAGGAAGAACCAAATTTCAGGGGAAAACAAAAATAGATGAATATGCCACTCTTCTGAAAGCCACAGCCCAACCTGTTTATGAATTCTCCACTTAGGGTAGCTGCAGCCAGAATCAAAGCATGTGCAGTAAAGACTGAAATGTATGCTCCAATGACGGTTAACTCACCTCAGAGCCTGAGGAAGGCAGGGCCCATAGCACGGTTTATATTTTTAACTATTTTTTTTGAAAAATTTTTTTGGCTCTTTCCCATATGAAATACATTTATTTACCTGTGATCCCTAGACAGCTTTTTTTTTTTTTAATTAAAGGTTTAATGAACATTGCCGACATCTGTCTAAATGGAAAATAAATCTCTCCTAATAAAATTGTGCTAAAAAGTTCTCTTTTGAAAGAATCATAATAGATTGCCATAATATATAGATAGGATTAAAGCAAAAGAAAAATCTACTGTGAAACAATGAAAATGTTTCCCACTTCTTGTTGCTCCTATCCCATCCCAGAACTCGTCCCTAACACATTTAACTATTTTATTGATCAAATTCATACAATCCAGGACAACAGACTGTTGCTAGGATCAAGGCTGATAAGGCTGGAGGTAAGCCAGCATCTTGCCAGAAGCCCAGAGGAAGGTTTGCTGCAGGATATCTGCAGAGTGGAAAGGTATGGAGTAATTACTGTAAGTATATGCTGGAAAATTGATGAGAAACTGAAGTGACTTTGAGTTTAACATGGCAGATTGGACACATGCACTCCAATTTCAGAAACGTTGCTGACACCTCTGGCCAGCTGTCATTTCCTCTCCAGCTTTCTTTGTTCTTGCAGGTTTATGCCTTTGTTTGTTCTGTAAAGAGTCAACCTCATATTAGCGGGTTTGAAGAGCAAACAGAGATACATGGGCATGTGTTGGGACTCTGCAGATGAGAGAAAGGTGAAATCTAAGTGGGAGCAAAAGCAGCAAGTCAGTTATGGTGCAGACCTCCAAAGGGCTCAAGAACATGAAAACCGGTGTCTCTGAAAGCTGGGTGTAGGTGGCAGCTGAATATGGAACACCTGGTTGAAAGTTTTAAAAGGCGCAGTTAGATGCTGGAATATCCTCCCCCATGCCGAAGAGCCAGGATCAATCATAAGGCTAAAAAGGGGTCAGGGGAGATGAAGCCCAGACAGAGAGGTTGCAGGGGTGGGCTCCAGGTTAAACGTCTATGAGAAAAAAAAAAATGGAACGGACAGAATTTCTAGTGAATCCAAACAAACTGAGAAAAAAATATTTAGCTGTCTCAGAGTCCAGGGATAAATTCATCAATAGGTACACAATGCATATGAAAAATAAGGTAATTGTTAGTTCCAAGAAAACAGGTTCTACAAGAAAGGAAATGTAATCATATGAGGCTTGGCTGTGAGCAATATTGACATCATCTTAATAATGTGAACACTAGATTTGTAACTATATTGAGAGGGTAAGGGAAGGGTGATGAATGCCTGTGTGTATGCCTGTGTGTGTGCTCCTATATGCGCTCATGTGTGTGCTTCTGTGTGCGCTCATGTGTGCACAACCCCATATGTGTGGTCCCATGTGTGTCCCTGGGTGTACTGTGTGTACCCTCTTGTGTGTGTGCCCCTGTGTATGCCCTCCCATGTGTGTGCCCTCCTGTGTGTGTGTGTGTGCCAGCTCTCCATCTCCTTTCCTTCCCAGCAATGTGAGGGTCGACCTCAGGACCTGGAATGTCCCAAGGCCAAAGGTGAGAGCTGCCTGCTTATCTCAGCATTACAACACTGCCCGAGCTCTCATGATCCATATGCAAAATACATTGGATTTTAAAATGTGGTGGGGAAGAATAAAATAAAAGAAAGAGCGCCATCTTGGAATTCAACCACAATAATTTTTTTATTTTAAATATTAAAGAACAGAACAAGAACAGGACAGTAAGAATTGCTCAAACCAGTATAAGAGGACCTGCATGTGAGTCTTCAGAATAAAACTTCCAGAGTCATGTCACAAAACTGAGCCTACATTTCCAATCCCATCTCTTCTCTCAAAAGCCCTGGACTCCAGCCCTGGCCCTGAGGACACCTGCCGCATCCCCACACCAAGCCTCTGCCTGTGCAGTGCCGGCTTCTTTGCTCCCAGCCTCTGCCTGTGCTGTGCCAGCTTCTTTGCTCCCAGCCTCTGGCCTCATTCAAAGCCTGGCCTCCCCTGGCTCCCTGTTCCAGCCATCCCTGAGCCCCTTCATCATGCCTTGGACTCTGGACCCCTGCTTCAAGGCTGTGGGCAGTTGGCACATGCGTGTGACATTCATGTCCCCACAGGGGTATAACTGCTCCATGAAAGCAAAAACTGGGTCTGAAGCCTCTCCTGGAGGCTGCATTGCGCAGAGCACGTAGGGGCATACGCCCACTGTAAAAGCCATGTGCAGTGAGAGGCAGATTTCATTTGGAGTTAGTTGCAGGACTCCAGCTGCTGGATTTTGAAGATCCAGTTCCTACTTTCTAACTAGCTGTGTGTCCTCAGAGCTGACTCTTGAAGCCTCTTTTCTCAATTCTCACCTGGTTCACTTTAGTGTTGGGGAACCAAAACTGTCATGTAAATTAAAATCTTTGCCAAACTCAAGAAATTTTTATACCCAGAGATGCATTAAGCCAATCCCTTTACCCTAATGCCTCCATGGCAACTGACCAGACACAAAAAGCTAATAGAAAATGAGTATGTGATCAGAGCAACACCAAGCTAGAATTAGTTTGATCAAAAAGAACTCTGGCAAATATCTAGTATCTAGTCTGTATTTTTGATTTTTTGAGGAACCTTCATACAGTTTTCCCTAGTATCCAACTTCTGGGTATTTATCCAGAATTCAAAGCTGGACCTCAAAGAGATGTCTATGTAGTAGACATTGTAGACATTGTAAACAAAGAGATGTTTACAATAGCCGAGATGTCAAAAGAACTTCAGTGCTCAACAATGGGTGAATGGATAGAGAAAATATGGCATGCATATATATACACACATATATATACACATACATATACATACATACATATATATACATACACACACATATATATACACATACACACACAATGAATTATTATTCAGCCTTAAAAAAAGAAAATCCTGCTATATGCAACAACATGGATGAACCTAGGGGACATTATGCCAAGTGAAATAAGCCAGTCACAGAAGGACAAACACTGCCTGACTCCACCTCTATGAAATATCTAAAGTAGCCAGACTCCGAGAAGCAGAGAGCAGAATGGTGGCTGCCAGGGGCTGGAAGGCAGGGAAACTGGGAGTTGCTACTCAACTGACATAAAAGTTTCAGGTGTGCAGGATGAATAGGTTCTAAAGATCTGCTGTACTATGCCTATAGTTAACACCACTGTACTGTACACAGAAACAATTGTTAAAAGGATAGATCTTATGTTAAATGTTCTTACAATTATTTTAAAAGTGTCTAGTCTGCAAATGTTAAGATAAAGGGATAGCCATTCTGTTTTTCTTTTGACTTCTCAAATTTTTTTGGCTTCTTTTCTTGACTCACACTGACAACAAATGAATAATTCCAAGCCAGACAGGCCTGCTTTGTGGGTAGACTCATCATTAATTCTCCAAGAAAAACTACTGTTAGATTCTACAGTCCTGGAAAGTGGTACAAGTACGGAAAAGGCTCCCGAGATGCTTTTAAAATAAAAGTCTTAAGATACCCAGCATTTGTGGCACCAAAAAAATGCCAAGACGCACCCTCATAATTCTCGTAACTCGTGATGACAATGAGCTGCGATCCCAGCTTATGACGTGGCCGGTCACTGGGTCGGGAGATCCTCATCCCCAGGAGCCCAGCTTGAAAGAACTTGCAAGCAAATGGGGTTGCTGCTTGTGGAGGGCAAAGGGGGTACAAAAGTGGACAAATTTGAAAAAAAGGAGCCACATGCAGGAAAAGGAACTGGGGGAGCAGGACACCAGTCCAGAGGGCGGCTGCTATCTGTGCTGAGCCACTGCACTACCCCCCTCAGAACCCACCTCTTACTCTTAACCAGTCAAATTCATTCTGTATCCATGACATGACGGACAAACAGGAGCTCCACGCAGGATGGGACACCCCTGTTAGCCAGTAAGCTTGAGAGGTCCTGCTTCCCTCCCTCCCACCTCAGAGAAGCTGATTTCATCCTGCATGACTTCTCTTGCCTTGCCCTTGAGCAGGGCTCTGTTCCTGCCAGGTTGCCCTTCTGAATACTGCGGGTATGCAGAACCCAAGACACCGGAGGAGAAGGAAGAGGAGGGAGGCAAAAGGCTGAGGAATCACCAGACTGGCTGAGTCAATCTAGATAAAGAGGGCCACACCCAGGCAGAGGCTGGGAGAAAGGGCAAGCAGTTTGGATGTTGCCCTCTGGCAGCTTTGAGTTCCAATAGACACGGATAGAGAGAAAGGGGGATTTATGACCACTTCCAAGAAAGCAAATTACCAGTGTGAGTGCTTTTGAAATGACTTTTGGCCATTGGATGCTTTCTTTAACTGGTACTGGCTTCGTAAGGCTATACACAACACAGGAGTGGGTCAACTCTAGTCTGTGACATCAGCTATTTTAACATTATGTACCAAGTAGTTCTGTCTTTCCTGTATCTGTCATATTACAATTAGTGATGACCACCATGGAGCCATGAAATGTTCATTAGATTGATTTGGGATCAGTCATAACAAGGTCATCAGTATTTAGTTTTTCAACTGATTTTGCCATTATCTATTTTCTCTGGGAGTAAAGAGAAGAAATAAAAGTCATTTGCTAAGAAAATTAACAATGCAAATATTAACAATGTAAATGTGTGATATGGTTGGCTTGTAAAAAGAAATGAAATTGAAAGACTACTGTAGTAGGAATAAATAACGAACAGACATGATTACCAATTATTCTGATGTAAGACCTCAGAGACTGGAAGCCAGCTGCAGCTTTCCAGGGTTCACTGCTCAGTAAGCAGTTGCTTCACTTACTTAATTAAAAAAAATTTAAAATAAACAAATGCATGCTTTTGAAAAAGTCTCTGACACAGTCAGGCTTTTTTGTTTTTGGTTTTTTGTTTGTTTGTTTTGTTTTAAAAGACAGGGTCCTGCTCTGTTGCCCAGGCTGGAATGCAGTGGTGTAATCATAGTTCGCTGCAGCCTCAAACTCCTGGCCTCAGGGAATCCTCCCACCTCAGTTTCCCAAGTAGCTGGGACTACAGGTGTGCACCACCATGCCCAGCTAATTATTTTTATTTTACTTAGAGACACGGTCTCACCATGTTGCCCAGGCTGGTCTCGAACTCCTGGCCTCAAGAAATCCTCCCACCTTGGCCTCCCAAAGTGCTAGGATTACAGGCTTGAGCCACCGTGCCTGGCCTCAGGGAGTTTTCTTTAAAAATTAAATAAATAAATAAATAAATAAATAAATAAATAAATAAATAAACAAACTGGTCGTAAATGCTACTGGTCTAACACTCATCCTATCTTAACCACTTCCCTTTAAAACCCCAGGAATGGCCTGACCTCAGAGCCCCTGCATGCAGCCCTAGTCTTCTCCTTCCCACCAGGGAGCTCCGCTGGCTGCCTTCCCTCTCACGTTAATTCTGCTCCTTATTACTGGCTGCTCGTCAGAAGTAGAATTTTATTTCCTTTATCAAACTGTAAGAAAAATACAATTCAGTATTCTAAGTGAAGTAACTCAGAAGAGAAAACCAAACATCGTATGTTCTCACTCATAGGTGGGAGCTAAGCTATGAGGATACAAAGATCTAAGAATGATACAATGGACTTTGGGGACTCAGGGAAAGGGTGGGAGCGGGGTGAGGGATAAAAGATTACACATTGGCTACAGTGTATACCGCTCCAGTGATAAGTGCACTAAAATCTCAGAAATCACCACTGAAGAACTTATTCATGTAACCAAACACCACCTGTTCCCCAAAAACCTACTGAATTTTTTTTTTAATTTAAATGAAAAACATGGTTCAAATTCCGAAAAAGAAATATGGTCATTTTCATCATCATTACCATCATATATAATTTTTAGTGTTCATTCACCCAACCTGGGTGCCCATTTAATAATAAATCAATCATCAAAATGAACTTGGAAAACATCTTTCCCTAATACATCGAGAAAAATTTACTGAACAAACTAATTATTATGTATATCAGAACAAGAGGAACGGAATGCCATTTTTTAAATTCCAAGAATTCTTGCCAAGCATGAAACACTAAAAGTTGTTTTAGGCTGTATATTTTGCTGCTATTTTAGAAGGCATTTAGTTATCTCCTAGAGTAAAACTCTGTGGAATAAGCTGGGGAAGAAGTGAGTAAAAGTGAGGAAAGCAGTTAATATGGGGACCAAAGTTCTGGGGTCAGATGGACCTGTGTTCCAATTCTGCTTTCTGTCTCTCAGACATTAGGCAGGTACCCTTAAGCCTTGAAGTCTCAACCCCACACGAATAACATACGGATGACAAGGGCATATGCAGCATGGATGCCAAGGAAATGTAACAAAATTAGAATGATGCTCAGAATTATTCAAGCCATATACTTAATATTTTGTGCCTTCCCTATGTTTTACTTCATAAGAATAACAAATATTTAAAACATATATGTACCATTTCAATTATCTAGTAGTCAAACCAGAATTGCCTTTAAACACAGAAAGTATAGGCAGCTTCTAAGGTGGTGTGATTTGAGAGCCACTGACAGGCATACAGTGCCCCCAAATAGCTCCATCCTGTCCTTGCTGTGCAACCTGAAGCTCTACTATTAGGGATTAACTGCTTTGGTTAAAACCATGTATTTTTCAAGCATCTTTCAAATGCAAATACCATTGTGAAGCATCAGGGTAAAAGAGTCCTTTCTATCACTCCCCAGATAAAGGGGACACCGAGAAATGGCTGTCCTGAAAAGGAAAGTAGGGAGGGGGAGGAAAGGGTAACTGGGGGGCTCTGGGTTGAATAAAGGAGGACAGAGGCTGCATGTTTGGTCACAAGAGAGTGCAAGGAGAGAAGTCCCCAGAGGAGACACAGAGGCACAGCAAGGAAAGGCCAAAAGGACAAATTTCTCAACCGCAAGACCAGCTGTGGGTGGCCCCCCAGGGACAGCCAGAGGCCCAGGCTCCTTTTCAGCATCTCAGCAGGCTCCCATCCTGAGTTGTCCCACACAACTGGACCCTCACTGGCCCAGCAAGAAGCAGAAGGAGGAAGAGTAATTTGAGGTCCTGTCCCCCATTCTGGGCCCCAGGGGAAAAGGCTGTCCAAACAAAACCCTCCCTCACACAGAGGGAGGCGGGGAGCCTTGTGTATAAAATGCTTGGGAAGCCAAGTCAGCCTGGCCCCAGAGAGTCATGTGGGAGAGATGCAACCCACCACTGTCCACTGCCTGGCCAGCTGCATGGAGGCAGGTCCACAGAGAGAAGAGCAGGGCAGGGCAGGGCTGGTGGGGGCCTGCAGAATAGGGCTTGATTGTTAAAATAAATGTGTGACCCTGAAACAAATTTTAAAAATACAATGCAAAGTCCCAAAGAAATGACAGTTACACATCCATTGTTTTGGGCAATCTCTGGGATGGCTTCTACCCTACCCTTTATGAACCTACACAGAAAATACAGAGTGGACTCTGTCTAGTTTCCTTAACATTTTAGTAATTTCAGGGAGAGTCTTCCTATCACAAGTGTACTCACACTTGCCTTTTAAATTCAAAATACTACCAATTCCTTCTTCCTATTATAAGAAGCTTAGAGTGAAATGAAAATATTCTTCATGGCACCATCTAATACCACCATTATCCTTTTGTTGTATTTCCTTTCAATTTTTATACATTTGTTTCATCTTTTTGTTATTTATTTTTGAAAAGGAAATACCTTCAATTCACATTGTTCAAAAGTCCAAAGGCACAAAAGTCTACACAATGTTCTCTCCCCAGTCCTCCTGTCTCCTGGTCCCTCCAGCTGCCTGACTGCCCTCCTCAGTGAAAAGTAAAGTAACCAGTTTCCTGTTCATATGCATTTTAATGTGCTTATAAGGCAATTTTGAAACCTGCTTTTATTTACCTTAACAGCCCTTTTCCAGGTCGCTACACTATTAATGTTAACAATTACATGATATTCCATGAAGTTGATAATGTACTTAAACTTAACCTGTTGCAGTTAAACATTACGGTTGCTTTCAGATTTTCATTAGAAATAATGTTGCAATTGCCATTTTGGGGCACTGACTAGCTCTTGTCTGATTTGGGGTACTTCCTGAGGCTGGAGCCTCCAATCTCCCCCAGCCCTTTTGATAGCTGTGCTTAAGGTGAAGAGAAACCCATGGTCCACACCACACAAAGTTCTTCGGTACAGTCAACACCAGCCTTGCCACCCTATTGGGGGAAAAAACAAACAAACAAAACAAAACCAGCTCAGGCAGGAAAAACAAAACCCAACCAATTAGGCAAAGTCAAGCTGATGATGCCCAGACAGTACTGTCACATGCCAGGGCCCAATCACACGTCATGTCCCCAAATCAAGCACAAAGTCATCCTGAGAGATCCTCTGGCCTGGGTCCCTCAAACACATACTCATATCCCAGGGGATTTGCAGTGACACGAGGTTGACCTACAGAGTTAATGTGGTCCCTCCAGAACATCATTTTTACACAAAGGCCTGGAGAATGAGATACTGCATTTACAGTAATCACAGATACAGAGGCAGGCAGTTAGGGCCCTCCCTCAACTCTTCCTGGAGGTTGTGGTTTGAGGAATACTGCACCCCTTGTCTCTGGATTCTAAAGACACCTTGGTGTTTGATATAAGATCTATCTCAAATCCAGAAGAAAAGGAGTTGCCGAGGTGCCATTTGCAAGCATCTTTCAAGTGATCACAGCAGGTCCTAGGCAAAAATCCAAGGGCTGTTGGCCTCACCCTCAACCTCCCCAGCAAGGGACATGCAGGGTGGCCTTTCCCCTCCCCACTGCTACCCCAGTCAGCCCTCCTCTTATTCATTTTAGAAGTTTTTAGTGAAGGAGATTAAAGGCCAGACACTAGATAAATAGATGAGTAAGACAGACCACCTTTCAATAACTCATTCTACTGGAGAGAGATGCGTACATTTAACAACTATTAAAGCACTGATTTGCACTAAGGGCTCAGGGAGCACTGGGGGCAGGTGGGGGTGAGGGATAACAAGAACACGAGCCAAGTTTGCGTATGAACTGGCCAGTGCAAACCAGGCAAATTTCCTCCAGGACCAACCTTGGACAGGATGTGATTCCATGACCTCCCCAGCTGCAGCTCCTCCCGCAATTCTCTCTACTTACTTGCAGACCCTTACTGACTTGCAAAGCCTTTCCATTCAAAAAGGGTTCAATCTGGGACATGTGGATTAAAGTGTGGCAAAACTTGCCAATGAGGAATTAGGCCTGACCTCTCTGGGAGCAGTCTCCAATGCTGACGAGACAGCGCACTGGAAAAGCAAAAAAAAAAAAAAAGTCCGCAGAGGCTTGGGCTGCTGAGTAGGAGAAATTAATACATAGATCTAAAGCAGTTAAAAGCCAGCCTGACTCCGTGGCTGGCTCCTCACGTTGCTGGTGATTTCACCGCGACTAATGATGACCTGTCATTCTGAGAGCCCCCAGGGCCCTTATGCACTGAGGAAGGCCAGATTGCCAGTGCTCAGCATCCCTGAGCGCCAGCCGTGGAGGACCACAGCCTACCACGAGGTCTGGTTTTCAAACACTTGCTCGCTCCTTGGGGAAGAGCCCTGTATTCACAGCACAATTAATTGTGGACTATTTCTCAGGTGACCTTAAATCCTTTTCTATCTGCTGTCCTGGCAACAAGTTCCTGTCTCCAAAGCCTAACCCAGGACAGGGGCCAGGGAATCCATTCATCAACGGAGACCTGGAGGGAAGCCCTACTGATTTGGATGCAACAAAAAACCCTGGAGAATCCTGGAGTAGGATCAAGGTTTCTCAATGAATTTATTTAGAAGAAAATGGCAACTTCCGCTTCAACCTTACTTATGGTAAAGATCCAGGAAACTATAACCCTGATGGCTGTGGCTGACCGCAGCGAGGGAGCCTCGCTGCAACTACCTGGACATGCCCATGATTTCTGGAACCCACCAATGGGGCAACCTCGAATGGAAAGAAAAACCCAAGATGAGACAGAGGCCCAAACCTTCATAATCCTACCCTTAGCCAGTCCATCAAATATTGAGGTAAAGCAAAGCTCATTTTTATAGGAATTTTAAACACTGCCTCATGGTCAATGGAATGATTTAGAATATCTCTTCCTACTTCAAATAAATTGAACAGAATTAGGGAGTAGAGAAGGGAAATAACTTTCACAGGGTACCACTCCATTTACAATTTGTTTACTCCTCAGTCCAACCACATCGACCCCGCCAAACACCATGAAAAGTACTTTCCATACATTAGAATTTATTATTCTTATTTTTCAGGGAGGTTAAATAAAATGCCTGCTTAAGAATCATACTGCCAAAACTCAAAGGCAGGCCTAAAACCCAGAAGTTTTTAGCCCACACCTCATCACCAGCTCATGTTCTTTTCCTAACAGAAGAGATCACTGAATTTACCACCACAAGCAGCAGCTCATATGTCCCCTAGAGAGCCTGGAAAGGTATGGATTAACTATCTAAGTCCTGAACTGGCCTCAAAGCCTATTCTCTTTCTGCTCTACTGTGCTGATGCCTTTAGAAGACAGCAGGAGGAAAAAGCAGTAAGTGAAGTCCCCCACCTTCCAACAGAGCCACCCATGCCCATCTCTACAACCACTAACTGTTGTCATGCCCTCTACCTGGACATACATAGATCACAGCCTGTCTTCTTCAGATTACCTTACTACAATCTTTTGGAAGGAAATTTGGAAACATCTAAACTACATGGGTACTTTATCTTTTGACTTATCTTTTAGTTATAGAAATTTACCCTGACAATATACCTCCAACAACGTGAAAATACACATGCATGAGGCTATTCATTTTGCAGCATTGTTTGTAATTGCAAAATATTAAAAGCCTACATGTCATTACATAGGAGAGTTGTTGAATAAACTATAATACATCTGCATGATGGAATATGATGCAGATGTCATAAATAGAATAAAAAATATCTCTCTGAACTTATATGAAGTGATTTCCGGGATGTTAAAGTTTAAAAAAGGAAAATGAAAAAAAAATCTATAGCATGCTACCCTTTGTGTTAAAAAAGGCAATGAGAAAATATCCACATATCTGCTCATTTGTGCAATAAGAAATAACAGAATGATAAACCAGAAAGGAGACTAGTTATCTATAGAGGATGAGTGGAAACAAGAAAGGAAAGAAGAGGGGGAGAAAGAAAGAAGCGGGGAATGAGAACAGGATAGTGGGGTGAGGAGTAATTCACACTTCTCTGGTCTGCCTCTTTGTGTAATTCTGATTTCTAAAACCATGCTTATGCTTCTCACATATTCAAAAAATAAACAATTAAAATCAACCAGGATATGAGGAGAACCCAAAATGGAGTATGAGAAGTAACATACTCCATTTTGTGAATCTAACTGTATTACAAATAAATAATATAACCACACTGAAGGGGGCAGGAAAGAAAGAGAACTTAAGTAACTCTGAAAAACATCTTGGCTAGATACTGGAAGGCTCAGATTTGAAAAAAATTTACAATTCTTTTTTTTTTTTTTTTTTTTGAGACGGAGTCTCACTCTGTCGCCCATGCTGGAGGGCAGGGGCATGATCTCGGCTCACTGCAAGCTCCACCTCCCGGGTTCACGCCATTCTCCTGCCTCAGCCTCCTGAACAGCTGGGACTACAGGCGCCCGCCACTGCCCCCGGCTAATTTTTTGTATTTTTAGTAGAGACGGGGTTTCACCATGGTCTCAATCTCCTGACCTCGTGATCTGCCTGCCTTGGGAGTTTTTTCTACAGACACATAGGTTAACAATTCTGAAAATATATGTATTTGAAGACTGAATAAACAAACATTGTGGCTAATGGAAGCTGAGTTTCTTATTGATGAAGAGAGGAGCTACAAATAAAAGGGAAAGACTAGACTAAGGTCTGTGGGGTCAGATTAAAATAGGTCACATCAGTACAAACTCAGTGTTGTTAATAGAGACAGGAAAGTAAATATGCATATATTTGTATATAGCTGTATTTCCTAGCTCCGTGATCTCAGGAGGTATAAAACCAGCAACACCCCAGTATCAATGAGCACATCCAGCCTTCAAGATCTTGGTTTCTAAACACCGTTCTCCATTAAAAGGAAACATGGCTCCTTAGAGAAATGGCTGATTTCAGGATTGGGCAGAGAAAATACAAAATAAGCATGAAACTTCTTGAGATGCCAGAAAATATGAACATTCAAAAAATGTGATGAGGGAATGTTTAAGTGACACAAGAATCAACTTTAAAGATCTACCAATGGTCAAATCTGGAACAATTTGAGCAACAAAATAAGTGATGATAATACTGGGTTATAATCCATAGAATAAAACAAATATCCATGAGTTCATACTGATACAAATAAATAGAGATGAGAAGCTCTTCCTTACAGTAGAATTCTAATTAATAAGTACAGATGGAATCACAGAAACAGAAAATTACCATTTGGCAAACACTACAGTAATGATCGTCACAGGCAAGAATTATTAAGGGTTGTAAAAGCATGATGAGCAGGATGTTTACATAATTTCAGAGTATCTTATTGATTACAAAGGGAAAAACAGTAATTTCTTAGTGGAGAAACCACTACCCCAAGTAATCAAAGTTATCATCAGCGGTAATGAGAAACATTGGCAACACGTACCTCCATATACAATGAACTGAGAAGGGCATGACAATTCTGTGGCATTTTGTCAAAAATGTATAACTTGAAATCAATCACAAGGAAACATCAAACAAACCAAGCTTGAGGGCCATTCTACAAAATAATTAGCAGGTATTCTTCATATGAGTCAAGGTCATGAAATAAAAAGACTGAGGAACTGCCACAAACCAGAGACTAGGGAGACGTGACAACTGAAACAAAATGTGTGATCCTGGATTGGATACTGAACTGGACCTTGGAATAGGAAAAAGGGCATTAGTGAGACAGTGGACAAAATTTGAATAAAGTCTCTAGAATAGTTAATGGAAATGCATCAATGTTAATGTCTTGACTTTACTGCTTGTACTATGGTTTAAAAGATGTGAACATTTGGGGAAACTGAGTGAAGGGTATAAGGAAATCTACATATTATTTTTGCAACTTTTTGGGGAGCTCTGCAATTACCTCAAATGAAAAGCTAAAATATAAAAATAAACTTAAAAAATAAAATGATTCCACTAAATCCTCATTGCTTAAAAATTTGCCTGTATTTTTCTGTGCAACAATATAATGAAACATAGATAATAGGAAAAATGTGTGTGTCAATCCTGAGAAGTCCAAATGCCAATATCTTAAAGGCCAGTATTTTTAATAATTTTTTTAAGTCTCAGAGAAAATACCTATTTATGAAGAGCTAAGGAATAAAATCCACTAGTTTTGAGCTAAATATGGAAATTATCTTATCTTCTGTATGATAAACATTATCAAGAATATACCTTGAAAGGAAAAAAAAATCAACTGCTAGCCTCCATAGGCTATTTTCAGCTCAAAGAATGCCACATACTTAAAGGAAGTTTGAGCCACAACCTTGCAAACACATTACATGAAACAGAGCAATGGGGAAAGGGAATCTGGGAGAAGGGGAGCAGGGAGGGGGCATTCTCAGAACACATGGAATGTCCAGTGTCTGGAAGTTCCTAAGTATTCCAGTCTTTGGCAATGACACTTCTAAATTGTGAAAAATAATAACACTCTCTCACTATGACTCATAGAGGAAACAGTCTGTAATCAGTAATTTATTATTCTATTCCAAAGCTTTATTCACGGACTTTCATGAACTAAAGTCAGAAATCCTAACTTAGCATAATTTGACTTGACTTTTCTAATTTTGTTTTTGGGGCTTTTTAAAAAAATCATGCAACGTGTCACTGTAACTTGAGCAAGGTTCCTTCTAGCACTACCAACCAAATTCAGTGAGTCCACGATTCCATGAGGAGGTACATTTTGTTCCACGGGGCAGGCACTGCGTCTAAAATGTGATGAAGAGATGGCACTTGGCTGTGATGTCTATAATTAAGGAGCATCACGGCAATTACACAGCACAGCTGTTTGTGCGAAGCTTCCCTGTAACATGTGGTTTCCCAGCATATCATCTCTATCATAAGCTTAAAAATAAGAAGGAGCCTACCAGCAGACACAAAGCTAAGAATTCTGCCAGCAGGGACTCTGCCCACTACAACAGCCACAGAGACGTCCAGCAGTCTGCAGCAGGCCTCCTAGAAAACCTCCTGAAGCCTTCTGGACCCAATTCTGGCCTCCCTGTCTCCAGTCACACTTCCTGTAGACTCCAGCTTCAGCCTCGTCCTCATCCTCTATGTTCCCGTACAACTCTGAGCTTCCACATTTTCTGGCACTTACCACATTAAAGTAGAATTGGCCACTGACCACCCCTTTCTCCTCAGAAAGCAGGGTTCATGCCCACCCTTCTGAATTTGCCCAGGGTCTGACAATGCCTGGCTCATGCAGGTCCTCACCTCGCATTGGTGGGCAGGTGCAGCCTGTGGGAAGCACACCTCAACATCCAGCTCTGGGGCATATACCTGCTCACCTCACCCATTTTTACTGAGCTCCTGCTTGCTGGGCAATATTCTAGCTGCGAAGAATGTTGCAAAGACAAAGAGAGAAAGGAAGAGACTATCCTCCTGGAACTGAGGAATCTATAAGAGAGAATGACCTTACACACACAACCATGCAATTGGGGAAAATATTATAAAAAAGCAAAAAGTATAGCATGCTCTAAGACCATGTAACTGGGTGCCCTGCCAATTGCAAAAGCTTATCCAAGGCAATAGCAGGGCAGGAGGGTGGCGGGTGGAGATAATCTCAGCAGATAGTCACAGCCCCACCATTTAAAATACAAGAGGAAAAAAAATAGAGATGGGCCAAGTGCCCAGCCTCAGAGGAATGGCTACACATGGCCTATCCAGGCAAGCTAAGGGAATGCGACTACTGAGCCATTTAAAAATGACAAGCATGTGAACTATGTTGATTATGTGGGGAGATATTAATAGAGTTTATTATGTATTGGGTTTTTTCTACCATAAAGGTGCTTAGGTTCATTAAGAAAAATTTCAAAGCTTGGCCTCCACCACTCCTGCCTCAAGATAATCTTCAGAGTCCTGGAGCAGCACTGGTGGCCCTTGGGGGCTTGGTGGTCAGAGGAGCAGGCACAGGTGGCAGAATATGAGCAGTGGGAGGGCCGTGGAGGCCCGGAGGAGCCCCTTCATTTGACCAACGCAGACTCAGAGGAGGCGGGCAGCGCGTCCAGCTGGGACAGTGCCCCACGCCCTTTCCCTCCCCGACGTGTGGCCCTTTCAAGGAGCTCCTCAAATAAGGAAGGGGAGTGGGAGATCAGCAGCCACATCCTCTGTCAGGAAGAGAAGGCTCTCCCCAGGCGGATGTGGAAAGGCTTCCTGAAGTGCCCTGCGCCTGCTTCTGCTGCAGAAGATGACAGCTGGGCCGGTGCTCATTGGATGGCTGCCCGAGCTTGAGTGCTCCCCTTGTTTTTTGGGTAGTTTATTCCTTAGCTATTCAAAGGATGGTCCCTGGACCAGCAGCATCAGCATCACTTGGGAGCTTATTCGAAACAAAGAACCTTGGTCCTACCGGTACAGACCTACTAAAACATCACCTACATTTTAACAGGATCCCTAGAAGAGTCACTAAGATGGTGGAGGTTAAGTGTCAACTTGACTGGGCTAAGGGATACCCAGACAGCTAGTAAGACATTATTTCTGGGTGTGTCTGTGAGGGCATTTCTAGAAACGATTCACATTTAAATCTGTAGACTGAGTAAAGAAGAGCCCCCTCACCATTGTGGGGATGGGGAGGGCATCATCTAATCCATTGAGGGACCACATAGAACAAAAGAATCGAAGAGGGCAAATGCTTTCTCTGCTGGAACATCCATCTTTTCCTGCACTAGGATATCAGAGCTTCAGGTTCTCAGGCCTTTGGACTCTAGGACTTAACACCAGCTACCTCCCAGGTTCTCAGGCTTATGGCCTCATACTGAGAGGTTACACTGCCCACTCCCCTGGTTCTTGGCCATCAAACTCAATGACACCACTGGCTTTCCTGAGTCTCCAGCTTGCAGACAGCAGATCATGAGACTTCTTGGGCTTCATAATCACATAAAAAGTCTCCTCTTATGTAACTACATACATACACACACACACACACACACACACACACACACACACACACACACACATTCTATTGGTTTTGTTTCTCCAGAGAGCCCTGACTAATACAGTCACATGCACATTCAGATTTGACAAGTGCTGATTTAGTCCTAGAGTGTGGGAGGATTCATTTATTCATTACCCAAATAGTCATTGACTCCTCTGCTAAATCCTGGGGCAGAGCCAAAGTTCTGACAACATACCTGGAGGGTCCTCTGCAAGCGAAAGCCAGGTTGGCAAGTAATACAGCTGCCTTTCTACAGCCCCATGGAGAAAAAATACATGGCTGAAAAGCTTAAGATTTTTTGGGAAAGAAACCATAGGGTTGGGGATAGAACTTTGAAAGTCTTTTTAGAAAACTATATATTAACTACAACAATGAAGGAGCATTCAATAAAAATCAAGGGCCTTTTTCATAACTTCTTTCAGTAATAAGATGCTGTACTGTTTTTTTTCCCATTTAGCATCTCCTGCTAGCTAGAAGCTTTCACATTCTTTCTCGTCCAGAGTTTCCATGAGATGCTAGTAGATTAATTTTGTTTTGTTGCCTTCCTAAATGGCTTGTGTCTGCAACTGCCTGTGTTCAGCACAACTTTGGGTGCGAGGTAGACAGAGTCATCCCAGATGAGCCCAGTTGTTCAGGACAGGCTGCAAAGTGTCTAGGCCTCACCCTGAGGCCACACGGATGTCAGTCCAGGATCAGAACTGGTTTTCTGAGTGAAAACTCAAGTGCCAATGTGGAAGATGAGCTAGAGGAGTGAGCCTGAAGACAGGATGAAGAGCAGTGTCTTACAGTGGTGCAGAGGAGAGTGAGAGGGCCTGAGCCGAGGCAGGGCATGGACGGAGAGCACTGGGGCAGCAGACACCAGGTACAGGCCTCCATACCTGAGCAATATGTGGGGAAGGGAGATGGCCAGGCCTCTGGGTCGGGTGACTGCCCACAGGTTTTGCTGACAACAGACACACATAACAGTGGTCATGCTGAGTTTGAGGGGCTGCTAGATTTGACATCCCATGGACTGACAGAAGTACAGGCAGGAGGGGAGGGCCAGGGATCTGGGCAGAAGGGCTACTGAAGCCACAGCCAGAGAAGCTGCCAGAAAGAGAGAGGGAGAAAGCAGGGGAGCCGGTGGGAGAGGGAAGTTTTTAAACGACTGATGGTGAATGCCCTCCAGTGCCCAAGAGAAGGGGAGAACACAGCAAGAAAAAGCTCCCTGCATTTGGCAAGGAGGAGGTTGCAGGTAACCTGCAAGCACACTCCACAGCTGGCAGAGTCAGCGGAGAAATGCAGAGAGCTGAGGGGCCTGCTGGCTCCTCAGCGTGAAGGTAAAAGTAGTCTCTAAAAACAACCACCATGCTAGCCAGCTTGAGACTAAGATAAATAATATTTCTGGATAATACCCTCTATTGTCAAGTTTTCTCTGTGGAGCAATTTGAGGTCTTCATGGAGGTTCCTAACAGCCTTGCTGTGGAAACTGCTTGGAACAGATTCAGAGGCATCCCCTGCAGGCAGCCTCTGGAGGAGTGTGTGGGAGGGCAGTGCAGGGGATGCCACTGAAATAAAACTCCCAAAAAGAAACCAAAAACTCGGCCAGGCGCGGTGGCTCATGCCTGTAATCCCAGCACTTTGGGAGGCTGAGGCAGATGGATCACGAGGTCAGGAGATCAAGACCATCCTGGCCAACATGGTGAAATCCCATCTCTACTAAAAATATAAAAATTAGCTGGCTGTGGTGGCACGTGTCTGTAATCCCAGCTACTCAGGAGGCTGAGGCAGGAGAATCATTTGAACCAGGGAGTCAGAGGTTGCAGTGAGCCGACATCGTGCCACTGCACTCCAGCCTGGCGACAGAGCAAGACTCTGTCTTAAAAAAAAAAAAAAAAAGAAAGAAAGAAACCAGAAGCTCAATGCAGTGCTTCCCAACTACTAGTGTGGAAGGACATTTCAAGTCCATTGCTGACCAATGCTTTTGTAAAAAACAGTAAAAATAAATTGCCAGTAAAGGAAATAAAAAAGGATGTATAAGTACATGTCAAATATTTTAACATTAGACTCAATACACAAAATTGAATTTTAGTAAATATAATCTGAAAATATATAACTTGCAGAAAAAGGAAAGAATTAGACAATACAAACATAACAAAAGCAAGCATAGGCCAATCGATATAGAAGATCACTATTATTCTCATGTTTTGTTGTAGCACAAGCAAAAAGCTAATACTTGGCCAGGCATGGTGAAACCCCATCTCTACAAAAATACAAAAGTTAGCCAAGTGTGGTGGCCCACCCCTCTAGTCCTAGCTACTTGGGAGGCTTGGGTGGGAGGATCACTTGAGTCCAGGAGGCGAAGGATGCAGCGAGCCAAGAAGGCACCACTGCACTCCAGCCTGGTGACAGAGTGAGACCCTGTCTCAAAAAATCAAAACAAAACAAAAAAGCAAAAAAGCTAATACTCATACAATGAGAAAAAACATCATATACCAATATTCAAAGTTTTTAATAGGACAACTTAGCTTACCTTTTGCTTGTTAACTTATCTATTTTAGGTTGGATAAACCAAGCTACTTGCAGGGGCTAAGATATGTCTAAGTTGTTTCTGTATTTCATTTTAGCAACACTCCTAAGGACAGAAAGGAGTCTCACAGAGGTATGTTGATGAAAATAGGGAAAGAGGTTTTAGCATAATTTTGGCAAGCTCAGAACATTAATTTTCAACTTTTATCCAAAATGAAAGCAAATGCTATATTATCAAAACACACCTTGAATCTTTCAGTAGCTGCCAGTTCCACAATTTATCCTGTGCAGTTACGGCTAAATTTAAATTATCTTTGGTTGAAATCAGTAGCTACTACCATACATTTCCTAAACATAGATCATTTTTGGTAAAAAAATAAAATTCAAAATGCTTGATTAAATTCATAAGGTATTTGATGACAATGTTTCATAGATGTGCAATATTAAGATCATTACGTCACAAATCGCTGCAGTTAAATCATGGGACGTAACATAGCAATCTGTAGAATTTCTGTGCTTGTGAAACTGATAACTTTTTTTCTGCCCACTGATCTTTTATCCCATTAAAAAGAAGTATTGCATTCCTTTGTGCATGGGGGTTTTAATACCTCGGATAACAAACAAATAAGCAAATCTGGTTGTCTAATTCATTTGATCTACAGATTCACTTTCACTGCAATCCCAATAAATATCCCAGATTTTTTAAATAAAAAAAATCAACAATCTGATTATTAAAATGTATATAGAAATACAAAGGGCATAGAACAATCTTTAAGGAATTGAGAACAAGCTGGTTCCTTGCCTTCAAGAAATGCTAAGAACTTATTTCACAGTTTATTTTCCACAGAACTTTTCCATAGGTAACTGTCATACCTCAGCATGCAATATCAGTTTATAATTAGCTTCCATTTTAGCATATAAAAGGAAGGATAATTTTTAACACCTTTGCCTGTATATATTTTACAATTCTTATATCAGCACTAAGCAAACTGTTTAGTTTGGATGACATTTTTTTCATACCCAGACTTTCTCAGTGAAGGAAGGAGTGCACTGATTTGCATTCTGTTAAAAGCTCTTTAATCCATGGGGCTTCTCTAGAATATTTTTCTGTCGTTGCAATGATGCTGTCAGAACACACTATCCTGTACAAAACTTAAACTGCAGACCACTCTTGTTGAAAATGTAATTCTTCAGTTTTATATCATTCAGAGCTAGTTGTGTTTATCAGTAATAACGCTGAAAAGACTTCTTCCATCATATCAACATGATGAAATTACACACTTACTAGAAGAATTGCCACTTAGCAAATCTGTGCATTCTTTAACCTGTAATGAAAATTCCTTACTGACTCCATTTGTTCTATGGGTTGCTTTTCATATATCATTCTATATCATTAGCCAGTTTCTGAATATATCATTGGAAAGCGATGTCTGAGGTATCTTCTTTGCCATAGATTTACCCAACACTTCCACACAAACATTTTTGATGTAGTCTTACATTACTGGCTTGATCATTTGAATATTGGCTTTTTATTCTTAGCAAACCAAACTGTTACTTAGTGAGAAACCCACAAAGTACTAATGCTGATATATGAAATAGTGAACATTGGCATCAGTCAGCTCTTTAACTGGATTCTTTCTTTCAAAGAATTATTTTTGTTTTCAATAATTTGTTTTACATGTAAATACTATTTACATACAGATGGTCTTCTCCCTTCATTAGCACTAAATTCTCACAGAATAACATACACAGTGGTTTTAGCAGTTTATTTAGCTAATTATAGCTATAAAAATGAATATATGAATACTTCCAGGTATAACTAATATAAAATATTTTGCTCTTGAAATGACTTCCATTTTCACCATTTAGTTTACAACCCACTACTGCCTATTCAAGGAAACGGGTCTTTTCTTGACCAGAAAAAAAAAAAAAAAGTCCAGTGAAATTTATTTTGCCCTTCACCATCAGTAAATTAAGGTTACAAATAAATTAATATACATTGACCAAATAATATTCAACTAATAATATTAAGCATTAAATTAAGCTACTGACTTTATTTACATATGATGTGATTACATACACAGAAAATCCTAGGAAATCTATTTAGTAAAGCTACTAGAAATAATAAGTTTAGCAAAATTGCAGGCTATAAGGTTAATATAAAAATATCAATTTTATTTCTATATATGAGCAATAAAATTTGGAAATTTAAATTTATAATAGCATCAAAAAATGACACACCTAAGAATAAATTTAACAAAGTATTTGCAAGACCTGTACCCTGAAAATTATAAAACTTTGCAGGAAGAAACTGAGAAAGCTCAAATAAATGAAGATACACACCTGAATAAATAGAAGACTCAATATTATTAAGATGTCAGTTCTCCGCAAATTGATCTACAGATTCACTTTCACTGCAATCCCAATAAAAATCCCAGATTTTTTAAATAAAAAAAATCAACAATCTGATTATTAAAATGTATATAGAAATACAAAGGGCATAGAACAATCAAAATAATTTTGACAAAGAATTTGAAGACTTGTACTACTTAATCTCAAAATGTACAATACAACAA
Organism: Homo sapiens; assembly: GCF_000001405.40. Lineage (NCBI taxonomy): Eukaryota > Metazoa > Chordata > Mammalia > Primates > Hominidae > Homo > Homo sapiens. The sequence goes on along the minus strand of NC_000018.10, from coordinate 36,434,459 downwards.
TGGTAATCAAGAGTGTATAGCATCGGCCTAAGCATGAACACACAGAGCAATAGAACAGAATATGGAATCCATTCGTAGAACCACACATACACCGTCAACTGATTTTCAACCTACGTGCCAATATAAATCAACAGGAAAAGATAGTATTTCCAACAAATGGTGTTTGAACGACTATTAATAGACATCCATATCTTACCTCATCCATAAAAATTAAGTCAAATTGGATTATAGACCAAAATAGAAAAACTGAAACTATTAAATGTCTACCAGAAAACAGAGGATAAAATCTTTGTGATCTTCAGATAGGCAAACATAAAACATAATATAACATAAAAGAGTACACAGTGAATAAGTTCATTCATATGAAACTCTAGAAAAGATAAATCTAATCTAATCTAATCAGGAAGCCTATCAGCAATCGCCAGTGGCTTGGAAGCTACAGGTGGGGAGCGGAGAGGGCCTAGAGTGATTGAGAAGGGGTACAAGGAAATTTTTGAAAACATGAGCATGTTCTAAACCTCGATTGTGGTAGTGGTAGATACATGGGTCTATACATTTGTCTAAACTCATCATATTGTCAAAGTGGGTGCATTTTTCTGAATGTAAAGTATACCTCAATAAGGTTGATTAAAAATAAAATCCTACCTTCTAACCTATTTCTAAAACACAGGACCAGCACACAGATCACACACCATATGTAACTCATCACATGAGTCCAGCAATACCCAACCTGTCCTATATTTTGGTCAAAAAGATGTGCTTATTCATCACTGGCTTAGATACTGCGACAGTATTAAATTACTATAAATGTTTCTAAATGCTTACTCTCACTTTCTGTTCATATCTTGCTGTGATACGTACAGTTCTCCAATCAGCAGTGATTTATAGATCACACTGAGTAGCCTTGCACTAGACCACATGCCCAGAATATTCTAGATAGAATAAAATCCTAACGTGTTGAATTGAATAAATTTGTTAACCTATTTTCTTCTGCTAAAACTGGTCCTGAAGCTCATTTCCACACAGGGAGTTTGGTGAAATTCATAATAAAGTACTAAGTGAGTGAACTTGAGGTGGAAAGGAATTTAAGCTCTGTAAGGAAAATTGTTACTGACTAATCCTGTGTAATTCTTTGAGGCTTAAATGAGTAAATGTTTACAGGAGTATGGTAGACAGAATCCTAAAATGCCCCCCAAGACTCCCTTCTCTGCTGTACCCACTATATAATCTGGGTTAGACTCGTGAATGTGATGAGATATCATCATTGTGACTAGGTTAAACTATGTGACAACAATGAGGGAATTTTGCAGATGTAATTAAGTTTCCAAATCAGTTTACTCTGAATTAATCAAAGGCGAGATTATCCTAGGTGAGCCTGACCTAATCAGGGGAGCCCATTAAGAGAGACTCTGAAAGAACTGTACTTCCAGGGCAAGAGCAGAGTTTGAGCACATCCACCTCCTGATGTTCTACCAAGCCGGGGTCATAGAAATGATTATGTACAAGATTCAATGTGTGGGCTAAAGACATTAAGACATTTGAATAACTGAAGGAAATGGGAAACAGAAAGATATGGCTTTACATTTAAAAGGCAGAAAATCATAAAACCAAAAATAAAAGCTACGCTGTCCCTTGCTCCCAAATGAAGTCCAAACATATGATAAAGAGCAGTGAACAAAAGTCAAGACGCACCCATTGTTATATATGAGTTAAGCATCTGCTTTTCAAAACCAGCAAGAAGGAGCCATTTACTGTCCTCTGCAGTTGACAGTGACCCATGAGCTCAAGCACAGTCTTGGTCCTGCTTGCCTGCTTCCTCCCTTCCATGTGTGACCCCATCATGGCCTGAGAAGAATGGGCAGAACTGGACACCCAGCATACATGCAAGGGTTCCCTGAGTCACAGCTGCCAGGCTGCCATTAGAGGCCCATTCTAGAAGCCTGCTGGTCCTCCCCTCCTCCATGTGAGATTAAGTTGGCTGAGTCATCCCTGCCCACTTTGCTAGGAAAAAAGACCCCTTGAACAGAGTCTTACACTGGTGATTTTGTTTCTGATATCTTAGTCCACTGAAATTAAGGAAACAGAAAGCTGCATCTCACGAATTTCTTAACAGCAAACACCAAAGTTGACAGTCCTATTTAAATTTTTTTTTAAATAAAGAGCAAAAGAAAAAATCTTTAAACTAGCATCCAGCTGGCATTCTGTGGACTCTTTGTATAGTAGATTTTAAATTACAGATCAGAGTAAAACAACACGGGCAAAAATAAAGAGTAATCAGGGCCTCTTTCTGAAGAAAATCTCCAAGATGGCATGGCCCTGAAGATCCTTGGCTGCCCATGCCAGCTGTAATAACTGCTCTCCGTTCCCTGAGAGGCAGCGCTAGCTTGGTCAAACAAAGCTATGATTACTGAAAAGCAGAAATGCTCAAAAAGAATCACCAAAGGGAGACAGGACTTTTTCTTTAAATCTTTATATCTATGTGATGGAATTCACCTTCGGATTAAATGCAAACTGCATTATTGGGGACAGGTACCACATGTGATGTGCTTCCTTTGCACTCTCTTCAGTCACAGTATATTTTTCAAGGAACAACTGTATTTTCTCATCATAATTACATTCAACAAAACTCACTCTCTGCAAACAGTCGTGGTTACTCTTGGTTCTCTGGAAACTTCCTTGGGCCTTCCCACTTAAAGGATGGTCATATCACAGTTTCCTTTTATAGTATTACATAACCCAAATTATAGTGATAAACCCATCTCTAAACCATATGTTAGTGGCTTTAAAATTACAACAAAATGTACATTGTCCAAGTACTGCAGAATCTGATATTTGGAAGGGACCTTAGAGGCCACTAAATTCAGCTCTCCACCCACTGAAGCCATAGCTTCAATGCAGCCATCAAGGCTGCTCATACCCAAGTCAAATCTGTCCACCAGCAACCTCTACCCACAAAGGCAGTACTGCCCTCAGGAGCTACCTAGAATAGGCCTGCTCCTTCCTCAGGACAGACTTGACCGATGGAAACAGGCTTGCACACCCATGTGTCAGGTTTTCAGGCCAGGCTTCCCAGTCCCTCTTACCATCCAATACTTTCCTCCTGCATCCTTTCCAGGACACCTTCCAAACAGTCAGGGCTTTCCTGAGATATGGCTTACAGAGCATCACAGCTGTGGGCACTCCATGTCCCTTTAACAGAATATAAAGCTTTTAGGCCATCTTCTCCTACAAAGCTTTATATTCTATAAATGTAGTCAACTAAAACACATAGATCTTTCATATAAATGTTTGTTCAACTTTCTTTCCATACTCATATAATAAAATTTTTAGCCCAAGAGGCAGGACATGCATTTCCATTACGTTTAGCCTTTTTAGTTGATTTCAATTTATCAAGATCTCAACTTTGTGATATATAACATATCAATTATTTCTACCACCTTTGTCCTACAACATGTTAGCTATCCCTATCAGCTTTGTATCGCTTGAAGTTGTATTGAGTATGCCCTCTAGACAGAGGACACTGATTTTTTTTTAATGAAAACATGGCAGGTTTTTGGCATCCAGTTGGTCTGCCCATTCCATTTTGATAACTCAAAACAATAACAACAGATTGTTTTTAAACAAATAGTGACTCCATCTAACTCACGCTAACGTCTAGTCCAAACAGATATTTACAAGAGTCTCTTGCAAATCTATTCCACAAAACTAAATCTACCAGCCCAATATTATCCCCAATATGAGGCTGGCTTAGTAATACTCACTCCTAGCTAACCCATATTCATTTCTGGTAATTCCACAATCATTTAGAAATGCTCACGACTTTTCTGATTCAACTTTTAAAAATTACTTATTATCTACCATGTAATAGATTGTATAGATTTTACTAGAGATCACTGTCAGACTTGCAGGAATTAAACATTTTTAAAATTTTAAAAATTTGTTTGGCTGGGCACGGTGGCTCACGCCTGTAATCCCAGCACTTTTGGGAGGCCGAGGCAGGCGGATCACCTGAGGTCAGGAGTTCCAGACGAGCCTGACCAACATGGAGAAACCCCATCTCTACTAAAAATACAAAATTAGCTGGGCGTGGTGGTGGGCACCTGTAATCCCAGCTACTCAGGAGGCTGAGGCGGGAGAATCGCTTGAACTCGGGAGGCGGAGGTTCTGGTGAGCCAAGATCGTGCCACTGCACTGCAGACTGGGCAACAAGACCAAAATTCTGTCTCAAAAAACAAAATCTGGCTTATTTGCCCAACCCTAGTCTTGTGGCAAATGGAGATCATGCACAATGAAATAACCTGTAATTTAGATCATTAACACCAAGGGGCTGACATAGTCCTATATCTTTGTTCTCTTTCAAATGAAGACCCTTCAACTGCAAGAAGAGATGAAAACGTATCATTCTGAATCTTCAGCTTCACACCCAGAACCACAAGATCTCTGGAGAGAAGCGCAGAGGTTTGGTGCCCACATGAGGTAACAGGCACCCATTCCCATCAGTGAGCTTGCAGAGTCTGGTCGAACACTCCACCCCAACTTGAGAACAAGCCCCAGAAGTCCACCCACAGACCTGCCCGCAGATCTGCTCTCACCAGGCCTGCTTCTCACTTTTTCTTGCTGCAAAACAACAAGATTCCTCCCTAGTGCCAGCAGTTTCATGCTATCTTCTGGGTGGCGCAAGGAACAGTGGAGGCCTCTCCCCAAAGAAGTGCTTCATGTCTTCACACAGCTTCATGGGTGCGGAGCTGCTCCTCCTTCTGGCCCTCAGTTCTGCCATGTCTCCTTTCTGCCGTTCTGCATATTCATTTCCTTTTCACCTTGATCTCCTGATTAGTTCTCCAATCCTAAGAATTCCTTATCTGTGCTAACAAGCTAAAAATAGTCTTTAAAGCTGTTCTCTTCTCCCATGGCAAAGGAATGAAGTTCGCATGTGGCAAATAAAAATGAAGACTGCTTCAAAAAGGCAGATGGAGGCTCCTCCTTGACATACTAGCTGTCCATAAGAACTAAAGTCCCACATGCCCCCACCCGTACCTGGAGCCTTCCATAGGAAACTGGGTGTTTTCTACACCCATTGCTGGGGCTCTAAATCTCATTAATTACAAGTCTACTTAGTTCTTCACTTCTCTTTTCCTACTGAAGTTTATGAATTTAAGACTGGCAGCAATCATATTATACAAGGTATCACTCCATCCCCCTCAGACAGACACAGCAGACACAAACATTCTAAGGAAGCCCAGTGTCTCACTCTCACAGCACAGTAATCCACAAAGCGGATAGTCAGTCTGCCATGCTACTCTGCCAGACTTCCTGGTGGCAGGGACTTCTGGGGAAAACAATCCTCAATTTCTCATTGGACCTCAAGACCGTTCACAAGCTGCCACTCCCTAGACCAAAGCTTCATGAGGCAGTAGAGGGTACCTCTATCTTTACTCCAAGCAATGACGACAGTGGCCCCTTAATTAACATTCCCGACTGACTGCTGCTAAAACATATTTCAAGTTTCACTCCAGAAGCTTGGCGTGCCTAGCCAGCCCACACTGTCATCTGAAGATGTGTTTCCATAATCCTGCTTGAAAATGTTGACACCCAGTGACCCCATCTCTCTGGCCACAGCTAACCGGACCAGGAAGAACACCTGACCTAAGGGGACCAATCAAATTCCTCCTCTGAAGAAATATCCTGAAGTTGGAAAAAATAGTCAGTGATGGTCCCTGGAATGATCATTCTGCTGTCATGTTCAAAGAGCAATAAATTCTTAGAGGGCCCAGTCAGCAGAGAAAGTCAAGAGGTGTGGCACTTGCCCTAGGAAAAGAAGGGATGAGAGACCATGTGACAAGACAGGCAGACAGACAGACAGACACAGATGCCTGGCTCTCAAGAACTTCTGTTTCACATCCCGCCCCCAGCCCCACCCTCAGAAGCCTCGTTGCTCTTCTGGCTCCTCTTTTCCACGACACCCCTGCATCCTTGCAGTAAACCTCCCATACACTTCACAGGCCGGAGTGGGGCTGTGTTTCTCACAAGAGAGCATGAGCCTTCATTCTTCCTCCAAAGATGGAGGAAGGGGGCATTTTGCAATTTGTCAAAACAAAACAACAAAGTAATGGCCTCATCAACAAAAAATCCTTTAACGCTTACTACACAGACATACCTACCACTTTAGAAATGCTAGAGGACTCGGGGAGAGTATAAATATGATTCCTGCCCTCTAAGAATTTATCATCTGCTTGGGGAGTCAAGGTCAAGAGTAATCCAATAAATAATGAAAATTTTAAGGCATAATACATGCCTTAGAGGCGAGCTACAGAATAACCAAGAACCACAGCTATCAATGTTCCTGGCAGAGGCTAACCAAGAGGACAGAGAAGGTGAGCAGAGAACACTTCACTCAGGACCTAGGAGAATGCCTAGAATGTGGAAAGTCAGGAAAGCTAATGCATAAAATGTTAACATTTCCTAATTGCAAGCCAAGGAAGATACATATCTACAACATGCCTTGTTCAAAACCTATTTTGTATTCTAATTTCTAAGAATTTTCAGAAATGATTTTTTAAAACTAGCAATTACGTTCATTATGAATAAAAAATACATCCAGTGACAGTGCCTGCAATAGTTCCTAATTTACAATGACTTATTACCCATGTATCACATTTTTGTGGAATCATTTACATATCCATTCATCCATCCATCTACCCATTTCATAAACACTGACTGGGTGTACCAGGCTCTAAGATGGGCACCAGGAGTGCAGACATGAAAAAAACAGTCTCTCGATCCATGAAGAACCCTTAAGCCATTTGGAGAGTGATCCATAGCAGCTACTGGTTGCAACCCATTATTAAATCCGCAAGAGTGAAACTGATAAAGATCTGGGAAAGAGAAATGAGGCAACTCAGTTTTGCCTGAGGGATCTGGAGAAGTCTTCCCCAACATAATAAAACTTGAACTGGATTTTGCCAGAAAGAAAGAAGTTCTCCCTTTGGGAAGAGGGATGAACACTGCTATGTTATTATATGAAAACACACAGCATTCAGGGATGGAGAGGGGCCGCCTGTAGGAGTGGCCTGAGAGGTGATGAGAGACTGGCCACAAGAGAGGACATGCCAAGATTCATATTCTGCAGACAGTGGGAACCAAGAAGGATTTTTTTTTTTTTTTTTTTTTTTTTTTAGAGAAGCAAGATCAGTTCTAGTTTTAAGATGAATTCCTCTGCTGGCAGTGTGATCTTTCTCGTCTCATAGTTACCATATTTAAAATCTATGGCTCCTATCTTCTGTGACTAATTGCTATTCAACTTGCTAACTGCTTTTCTTTTAAATATAAGATCTCCATTATTCTAAGTACATATATATTTTGGTTAAGTCTTGGAAGAACTTAATCACTGTCTCAAATCTTCTCTTATATTTTTCTTAGAAACACACCTCGACTCAATGTGTGCCTTATTTAAAATGGAAAAAGCAAAGGCTGTGAAGACAGCCCTGCATTCAAATCTTAACAGTACCACTCCCTGGTTGTGTGTGCTTACTTCTAAGAATAATTCCTATCTCACTGGTTGGTGGTGATGATTAAACAAAACCATTTATAACTATGTGACTTAGGGCACACTCTTTGGGTTTTATGGAAAATGAAGATAATAACAGAACCAGTCACAGAAGGATTGTAAAGACTAAATGAGACAGAACAAGTAAAAACACTTACACTAAACTCATATGTGACAACTTCAGTTACTAATACAGTGTATGAGAAGCGACTAGCCCAGTGCTTACAACAAGGTAGGAATTGAATGAACATTAGTTCCTTCCTTCATGCACATGTCTATGCTTTCTGCTTTTGGGGTATTTTGGGCTCATTTCAATGTATGTGGGCACTTTCAAAGCATCTAGTTAATGGAGGGGGAGCCCACCACACAAGGCACTTAGGCACCTGCTCCCCCAGTCCCCACAATTCCTCAGGCTCTGCTCACTTGTGCACCAATCTCATGGTGATTTTCCACTGACAACTCCATGGCTTCTTCCTGGAAGGCAAGGGACAAATCTTCTTAACTGGTATCACCAAGACCTAGCTAAATGCTGTCAGCACCCATGAAGGCATGGGCTCTGCACCACAGTCCCAGGTTCACCAATTACCAGCTGTATCACCCCCATTAAGTTACCTAGCCTATCTGTGCCCCAGTTTCCTTATTTGAAAGATGAGAAAAATAACAACCCCTACCATGTAGAGCTGCTGTGAGGATGAAATGAAATAGTGTGTGAAGGCCGGGCGCGGTGGCTCATGCCTGTAATCCCAGCACTTTGGGAGGCTGAGGCGGGCGGATCACAAGGTCAGGAGATCAAGATCATTCTGGCTAACATGGTGAAACCCCGTCTCCACTAAAAATACAAAAAATTAGCCGGGCATGGTGGTGGCCGCCTGTAGTCCCAGCTGCTGGGGAGGGAGGCTGAGGCAGAGGAATGGCATGAACCCGGGAGGCAGAGCTTGCAGTGAGCCAAGATCGCGCCACTGCACTCCAGCCTGGGCTACAGAGCAAGATTTCGTCTCGAAAAAAAAAAAAAAGAAAGAAAGAAATAGTGTGTGAAGTGCTTCCCAGAGTTGCAGCACAAAGTCACATGCATATAAGTATGTGTCTATGTACACATATATATCTATTATTCCAACTACCAATTATAGGTACACACTCAACACATGCCCTCATTTACTGAGCATTAACCATATACATATATTAAATATGCATGACTGGTGCTAAAGCAACAATTCAATAACAAGAATTTTCATTAAAACAAACCCAGATCAAAGCATCATGTTTATACACTTTTTAATTTTTCCTATATTAAATTATTTTGGAGTCAAGCGCCACTGTTGGGGTCTCTTTTTTTCCCCACTATCTTTACTAAATGAACATAACCTTATATTCATGGATCTGGCCACTTTTGCTATTATTCTGATTGTTCTTACTTTTAATTGGCTTTGAATTAAAGGTTGTTAGAACATAAAGCTTTTCTTAAATACAAATTTTAAAAAGCTGGGTGACCTACATTCCACATTTCCATCCCTCCCCTTCATTGATAAGCTACGTTAGCCATTCTACGTCCCTTAACTATAATATAGCGGTCCCTCTTTATCCATGGGAATGTATTCCAAGACCTCCAGTAGATGCCTGAATCCTTGGATACTATGTATACTATATTTTTTGTATACATGCATACTTATGATAAAGTTTAATTTATAAGTCGGGCACAATAAGAGATTAGCAACAATAACTAATAAAAGACAACAATTGTAACAATATACTGTAATAACGGTTATGTGAATGCAGTCTCTCTCTCAAAATATCTTATGTACTGTACATCTTAGCAACCTCAGCATATAATTTTTTTCTTTCCTTATTAAGTCAAGAATTTTCACCTTTTCCCTAGGGGACGCACTTTATGGCTTCTCTTTGGCTTATCTGAATTGCCAGCATTACTAGTCTTGTGCTTTGGGGCCATTATGAAGTCAGATAAGAGTTACATGAACACAAGCACTGCTGTACCACAATGGCTCCGATGTGATAACTGAGATGGCCACTGGGTGACTAATGGCCAGGTAGTGTATGCTGCACAGAAACGCTGAACAAAGGGATGATTTCAGCTTAGGGACAAGGGCAAGAGATTTCATCATGCTACTCAGAACAATAGACAATTGAAAACTTATGAATTGTTTATGTCTGGAATTGTCCGTTTAATATTTTTGGACTGTAGTTGACCACAGGTAACTGAAAGCCAAATTGTAAACAAGGGTAGACTGCTGTAATTCTTTATTATAGAACATTAATTTACAACAGAATATAGTTAGAGTGCTATTTCCAGTAAATGATCTGAGATTCATTCATTCAACAAATGTTTATTGAGCCTTTCTTTGCACCAGACACCATTCTAGGTGCTGAGGACACCACAGTGAGTGACCCATCAAAAGGCTCTGCCCTCACGTACTGACATTCTACCAGGGAAGGAGGAGGAGAGGGGACAAGACAATAAACATGAACAATAAACCCAAGTCAATCACAGTCAGGCAGTTCTGTTATAATACAACATACACGTTGCTAAAAAAAAAATCTCACAATAACACCAGAAGGCATACGGGGAAAAAAGAGAGGAGCCTAATAAAAGCACAGCACAGTTTTATACACACTAAGTGGCTTAGAAATACATAAATACTACAAAAAATGTGGCACTGTACTGTGAAGAAACCAAAGTGTGCTTGTGGAAGTGGGCATCGGAAAGGCTTGTAATTGTGGGATGGATAGAGGATCATCAGGAATGAGAATATTGGAACTCCACATGTGGATGGGTGTGGCTCAAAAAATGAGACATGAACTGAGGTAGGTGGGAGATGCTTTAGGTGTGTGTAGGTGTGTGTTTTGTGTATTGCTGTGTGGCTTGGTTCAGCTGAAGGCAGTTTTCTGCATTCACCTAGAGCTTCTGCAAACAAAATTATACCAGCAAATGTGAAATCCACGTTATGCTCAAATTGTCCCCTAATATGTCAATCATGTTGAAACAAATACGGGTTTTACAAACAAGTGTTATACAGAACTGAGTGTATAAGGTGATGATTGCCGTGAAAAACAGCAGCAGGATAAGGAAACAGAATAGGGATTCTTGTTTTATTTTTAAATATGTTATTCTATACCACTGTATTCATTCTATGCCACTGTTAGTAAAAAACCCACGTATCAGTTGCATTTATGTAAGAGCCTGCAATCATTTCTCTTTCTTGTTCTCATGTCATTCTTCTTCCACCTTCAGAAGTGTGTACTGTTGACACATGGTGCTTCGACACTATGCTCACTGCACACAGCCCCTCTATGGAGCCTCCAGGTACTTCTACTATTGTTCACTATAATAAGGCAAGGTGGCTCGATGCATTGAAATGGCAGCAGAGGTTTTCCAATGCAGACCCCCTCCGCAGCATCCACCTTCTTTCTATTCTCAGAGTGTACTTAGGAATTCTCATCAGATTCACCATGACAAAATGTTGTTAGATGACCTTGCTTTTGTGGTGAAACAATATGCTGAGATGACATCAGCTGTTCTATGTACTTTGAGATCTTCACCCAAATTCAGTTCAGACCATTTCCAACCTCCTTTTCCACACCTGCTCATTTTCTAGTCAAACCCAATCTGATCTCCAATGAGATCCTAAAATTGTAATCATGGCATTAAATCATAAAAATTATAGCTTTTTAAAAATCGTAAGTGTATATTGCTCTTATCGAAGTTTTCATTACTTAAAAATTTTGAATTCATAGCAGAATAGCATAGCATAGCAGAATGAGGATTTGAACATGAAGTTTGGGGGGGGTGTGAATCGAGGGCCGGGGAGGAATCAAGGGTGAGGGGGACATGTGTACCTCCAGGAAGCAGAGCTCCAGGAATGGCAGAGAAACTGAAGCCACGAAGGGGAATGACCTAGGAAGGAGACAACAGGAGCACTCTGGTCTGTCATTTCTCAACCTCTTGCTGGGAGGTTTCCTTTCTCACATTAAAATGGTGACATGGTAAAATGTTAACACTTTTCTGCTCAGTTTCAAAAATACTAAAATTTTCAGCTGATTGCTCATCTTCCTGATACACCCTTCCTACAGGTTTGATAAAAATGGCTTCAGTCAATGCTTAAATTAATCAGATTTAATTTATCAAATGTTTACTTAAGGACGCTAATTAACGTTTTCAAAAATAAATCAAATCCTTTGTTTCTCAAAAAGGCTTTCTCAGCCAGGGCTACTGCTGGGGCACTGGAGAAAAGCAGCCCCTTAGGTCAGCCTGCAGAGTGAGGTGGACCTCAGACCACATTCACATTGATCGGCTGCAAATTGCTGGTGGGAAAGGGAATTAGAACAAGCCCTATGGAAGGCAATTTGATATCATCTATCAAAATTGCAAGTACACAGACCATTTGACCCAGCAATCCCACCTCCAGGAATTTATCCTCCAGGTAAACTTATACATGTGCAAAATGTCATATATGCAACGTTATTCACTGCAGCATTGTTTACCATGGCCAAGAATAGACAGCAGACTAACTATCCTTCAACAGGGGATAGGTTACATAGGATTCCTATATACATGGAACTGAATATTATTCAGCTGTTAAGAAATAGGAAGCTCTTTATTTACTAGTATAGGAAGAGCCCCAAGAAATAGTAAATGAAAAAAAAGTATATATGGTATGTTACCTTTATTTTTAAAAGGGAGTAAATTACATATATTTGTCTTCATCCACAAAAACATGTGGGAATTAATAACAAGGATTACATGTGGCGGCCAAGTGGGAAGTTTGAGGGAAGGAAGCAGAGAGCAAAGTCGAAGGTGAGAGGGAATAACAACATGAGATATTTTACTATAAATCACTGTGTACTTCTCAAAGTTGCAACCATGTGAATGTGCCACCTTTTCAAAAAAATTAAATATGGAGTTTAATTAAATAGCTTTTTAAAATTAGAATAAGGTTTGTATACATTGTTGAAACATCATTGCCACTCCAAAAGTTATGACTGTCTCCCAGTCCAGGAGAGAGGGCTTTGGGGTGCTATGCTGACTCCTTTACAGGTCTCTTTCTTCAGGTACCCACTCCCCCACACTATAGACTGCCTATCCACACAGGGGCTGCCACCCAGGAACCAGCATGGACCTGCTGTCCCCTAGAACCGGCATGTGATCCCAAACTACCACAAACATTCATGGCAGTCCCAGCTGGATTTCCAGGTTGCAAGTCACTGTTCTTTTCTTGTTGACTGCTGATTCTGGAGAATTATTTCAAAAAATCTGCCAGCAACACCCCTGGACCCAGAGCTACCTTTATACATTTTCAACAGTATATGTCACCTTTACCGCTATGAAATGTTTTCTAAAGAGAGAAAAAAAGTTAAGCCAATCACTATCGTCTTTTTCATTCTAAAATGGAAGCCATAAAAACCAATCATATGCAATCTCAGTTTTGTTTTAGGCTGCAAAGTTTAACATCCTTGAAATATCAACTCAAACTCTTGGATCAACTGAAGTAAAGTTTTCAGAGCCAACTAACTTTATAAGAATAAGGACAGTCTTACAAAAGAAGCTATCCAGATGCCTCATTGGTGACTGCTTGAATGAATATTTGGTAAATTCAAAAGTATCTTTTTGTTATCTAAGCATAAAAGTTAGACTTAGTTCAATTTGTGTGTATTTCCCTACACGTGACTATCATTGTGGCAAGCTACCCTAATCCATATTTCCATTTTAAAAAATGTTTTAGTTTTTGAAACATGCCCAGGAGCACATTGTTTTCAGCTTATTACCAGAATAAGTTCAACCAGAATAGTTTCAACTTTAGTGAAAACTAAAAACAGTTCAAGCACCCGAGTGCCAATTCTAAGACCTCTGACACTCTTTCCTGATGGCCACCACCAGACTTTGGCTGAGTCATGGCCAAATTTAACCTCACCATTTGTCTTCTGGGTAAGAGAGGGTGGGGGTGAAAGAGACAGTGATAAACATAAAAAATCCAGCACTACTGAGGAGTCAACAGCTGAAATGAAAAACTAACAAGAGATGTCTCCATTTACTATTTACACTCCTCAGATCATAAGCCTTCCTACTTATTATCCTGCACTGCCACCAGACAGTCCCCCATGGTCAGAAAGCCACCAGAATGGGCAAGGAATGTATCAACCATCTAAGTGAATCACAGATAAGCTAAAAGAAACTGGCCAAAAACTAGCAGTACCACCTGACCCCTCTCCTAGAAGATGGTTCTGACTTTAGGCAAACACTGCTCTTAAAAAATCCTATAATAAGGGAGTGAGAAATACTTAACATCAAATTTCTACCCAGTGTCATCTAAGGGCTGGTTGTTAAACCAGCTGTCCCGAGCCAACAAGGGCTAGCCATATGCAAAACTACTAGCTTATATAAGATCCTCATATCTCACAGTCACCTCCCGAGGCAGCACACAGACACTGGTGCATCACCAGGTGTGGGCAGGCTGGCACTTAGAAGTTCTTCAATCACACCAGAAGGGGTGCTACAGTGTCAGGTGGCAAGTGAGAGAGGAGACTGCAGATTGGCTCAGATGGAATGATTCATTTCCTGGGTGTTCACAGCTGGTTTATGACTCCAAGGTTGTAAGTTTTGGCCCACATGACATCTGACTGTATCTGATGGCCACAGACTATACCCTCAACTGTAGCTCATCTGCTAACAAGTGTACACCATCAATTAATTCAACAGTGACATGTGCCTGGCGCTGTCACAGAGGCCCGAGAGAGTGTGGACGGATCAGTATGAATCCAGTACAACTGTAAGGAATGCCCAGGGCACACTTCCTCCCTTTCCAGGCTCCGCATTCCAAGAGAAGCTCAGCTTCATAAAACACTGAGTCCAAGAGGAGACAGAAAAGTTAATCAAGTGTAACTTAGCAGGGTAGCCGGTTGGGAGGCATCAGATGCCTCCGGAAGTCATGGAAGCCAATACAGTATCTTCCTCAAGGAAGTGGCAAAGCTTTTCTCAGTCCTACTTTAGGTCTGCCCAGTAGACCATGCTCCAGAGCTAGCGCTCCTCAGCAGGCTAGCTCCCTGACTCAAGGATCTACTCTTCTTGATATGGAAAGAAGGATAAAAGAGAGCGCACTTCCTTCCCTTCAGCTGTGTTCCTCCCTGGCCACATGTGGCCACATGAGACAATGCTGGCCCAAGGAATCCCTCCAGTCTCTGAGGTCTGTCAGACACACTAACTCACTATTTATAGATGCCCCATTCACCCACTACTTAGGCACTTAAAAGAGCATGGGTTAGTCCCAACCCAGTGTCAGCACAGATGCAGGTTTGCTTTCTGCATTTGCTCTTACAGTAAACCTAAAAATTACAAGTAACAAGTTGCTACAGGGTTCCTATTGAATATCAGCATTCTTTCCTTCCATGGTTTATATAAATTCATGAAAACATGTGTGAAGCATCTGCCTTTTTATTTAAACAGAAAGCAAGAGCTCAGACTGCTGTGCTGTGGCATTTTATGTACAAACCCAACAGCTAAACTGGGAGCTCCATCCTTGGGAGGGGCACACTAGAGTTGGGTCACTACAGCTGCCCTGGCCACCAGCTGTCCAGGAGGCCTCCACTTGAACTCAAGAGGAATAGTCAACAACAGAGCAAAGCCAAATAGAGAAAAGTGGAATAATTCCTTTTGCCTGCACAGCTCAAAGTAAGATTCCAAAGTACCCTCTGACCAAGGAGAAGACGGCAAATTATAATTATTTTAAAATTCCTTTGAATGCATCCAATGTTATTTCACAACATTTTCCTTGAATTTGATACTTGGTAAAAATTTAACATCTTTATAGCCAGACCTACTATAAAAGTAATAGACCATGATTTTAACCTTGTAAGTTCTTTTTAGAACCATACACGTTTTTTACTCTTCCCCTCCCACTGTGTTAATTCCCCCCAGACCACTATTTTAGTCTTATTTATGAAAATAAAATTCCTATTTATAGAAAGAACATGCAGATTTATTTTATTAATTTTATTTTTAGACAGGGTCTCACTTTGTCGCCCAGGCTGGAGTGCAATGGCGCGATCTCGGCTCATTGCAACCTCTGCCTCCCGGGCTCAAGAATCCTCCCACCTCAGCCTCCTAAGTAGTTAGAGCTACAGGCACACACCACAATGCCCAGCTAATTTTTTGTATTTTTATTAGAGACAGGTTTCACCATATTGCCCACGGTGGTCTCAAACACCTGGGCTCAAGAGATGCTCCTGCCTCTCAGCCTCCCAAAGTGCTGGGGTTGTAGGTGTGAGCCACCACAACTGGCAAGAACATGCAGATTTTGATAAAAAGAATTCAACCTGTGACCTATAAGAAAAACTGAGTAGCAAAAGTCAACGTTTTGCCATGTGCCTTCCACACACACTTTCATCATCATAAACCTAAACTCCCATGACCTCAATTTCACAGAAGTACTCCCAAACCTTAAACAATCTAATTCTTAAATACAAAGCTTTCAAACTAACGTGGAATATCTTCAAATTGCTTTTGCAAAAGCAACCCATGAGCTTCCTACAAAATTTCAATGAGAGAATAAAGCATTGTATTCAAACTTTCCACCCCTAAATCTTCACTTGGAATTAGACATTCTAAATAATAACCTCTAAAAAATTCCTTTTCAGAGTACATGAAAATGTGAAGCTGTTATGGACATCTATACTCAGATCACCACAACCACTCTGAATCTAATCAGAAATGGATATGTTTGTCTAAATGGATTGAAGCCACAGCATTTCCAAATTCCAAATGGCAACCCACCCTGAAGGGGCAAGAGTGTCAGCAAATCAAAGTGAGAACTGACAAGTGTCATTTTTGCCGCAAAAACCAAACACTATGATTGCACCTCGTGATATGAAAAATTATATGCATTAATATGTCTAAGACATTTCCTTTTTATTAAAAGTAACATTTTCAGTCTAAATTTCTTAAATTAGTGGTAACAATTTAAAAACAAAAAGCTCTGTAAACCAAAAAATTTTCCAGGACAGTTAATATAAGTTGATTAGCTGCATTTCAAGGAAATGGAAAGTTGGTAAAAGAAATTAAGGCCAACATTATAATCTTCTCTAAGGCAGTTCATTTACTGAGTGGCTTAATTGTTTTTCAAATATCTGGGGAGGGGAAGTTGGCTAAAGGCTTCATATTTGCTATCGTCCTTTTTTAACAATCCCTCACTAGCACAGAAATATATGGAAGAGCAATATCAACAACAAAGTGTGTGATTATAGAAAGAGGCTTCTAAGGTATATGATCTCATGAAATAAAGCCACATATATATATTCTGATTTCCTACCATTCAACCCAGCAATCCCATTACTGGGTATATACCCAAAGGAATATAAGTCATTCTATTATAAAGACACATGCACACGTTCATTGCAGCACTATTCACAATAGCAAAGACATGGAATCAACCTAAATGCCCATGAATGATAGACTGGATAAAGAAAAAGTGGTATATGTACACCATGGAATACCATGCAGCCATAATAAAGAACGAGATCATGTCCTTTGCAGGGACATGGAAGGAGCTGGAAGTCATTATCCTCAGCAAACTAATGCAGGAACAGAAAACCAAATACCACCTGTTCCTACTAATAAGTAGGAGCTAAATGATGAGAACACATGGACACATAGAGGGGAACAATAGACACTGGGGCCTATCAGAGGATGGATGATGGGAGGAGGGAGAGGATCAAGAAAAATAACTAATGGATACTAGGCTTAATACCTGGGTGATGAAATAATCTGTACAACAAATCCCTATGACATAAGTTTACCTATATAACAAACCTGCACACGTACTCCCTGAACTTAAAAGTTAAATTTAAAAAATTACAAATATGTGTATATATAAAAAACTGTGCATGTGTATGTACGTGTGTGTATGTGTATATATATCTATATGTTCTGATTTCCTTCAGTACTTCTCACCCAAGAGCCAGGGTGGGAGTGGTGGGTGGGAATGAAGTAGAATTGAAGAAATAGATGCCTCTGGCTTTGAACTGCTTGGAAAAAGGAGACTGGGCTGGCAGGAGGAAGCGCTTGTACACTCTTCTAAGGACACAGAGGTGGCTTGAAGGCAAGGGAGCAGGGGCTGGCTTTCAAAGGTTTTAAGCGACAAAGTATCCCAATCAGATCTGCATTTCAGAAAGATCACCCTGCAAAGCATATGGAGGAAGGGAGAGCTGGGAGAGAATCCACAGGGAGAGCGATGCAAAAGTCCAACACAGAGGTGCCAAGAGCCCCAGGTTAAGCTGACAGCAACTGGAATGGAGAAAGGACTCATGGGCACAACCTCACAAATCAAAATTACATATCCTTAATAAGCAGAGAGTAGAAACTGAACAAAGTAAGTGCTATTGACCCAATGGCTGTGGAGGGTGTGCTAATGAGCAGATCATGGCTCATTCAGGCAACTGTGTCTGAGGCACAGGCCACAGCTCCAGGATGTGAATCGAGATGCCCACATGACAGACCTTACGGACTCATCACACTTCCTAAATAACGTTCAAGCCACCTGTTCATATTTCAGTGTAATCATAGATGGTTAAGAAATGACACCTGGGTGGGCATGGTGGCTCACGCCTGTAATCCCAGCACTTTGGAAGGCCGAGGCAGGCGGATCACGAGGTCAAGAGATCGAGACTATCCTGGCTAACATGGTGGAACCCTGTCTCTAATAAAAATACAAAAAAATTAGCTGGGCGTGATGGTGCACGCCTATAGTCCCAGCTACTCGCAAGGCTGAGGCAGGAGAATTGCTTGAACCCGGGAGGCAGAGGTTGCAGTGAGCCGAGATCATGCCACTGCACTCCAGCCTAGCAACAGAGTGAAACTCCATCTCAAAAAAATAAATAAAAAATGACACCTATGTATATGATATTCAGCTATTCAATGTGCTTGAAATATGTCTGAAAAACAAATTTGTTTCCAGTTGATTTGAGAGTTAAGCAGTCTGGAAGAGAAAGACAGTCATCTGGTTAGGTCACCAAACTTCATCAATCAAAGACCAAATTTCTTTCTCTCTGTCTTGCAGGGCTGCTGCGGCATGGAAAGGAAAAATGCCACCCTTATTATGTAGTCTTGGAAAAAGAATCACATGCCAATGGAATGAAAATGTCTGCCTGAAATTAAGAATGCAAAACTGAACATAGTCCAGAGTTTGGCATTTCTTTTAAGATTTGAGAAACATGCTGATAATTTTAATCCTACTGGAAATGACTTACCGTATGACTTGGGTTTCTGCTAAATATAGATTACTGCAGCCTGGCAAATTTTAAAATAATCAACCAATTAAGTTGCCTGAATAAAACAGTTCAAACAAAATGCAGCTGAAAAGGAACCATTTGTCCTCAGTGACAGACCAAATCATGTAATTTAAATTTTAATGATGTATGAATAAATCCTTGCGTGCTGACAAGGTTTTAAGAAGTCACATTTTCTTCTTCAGAACCACTTTTTCTCCCCTTTCTCTTGCTCTCTGACAGCCTAATCAATTCTCACCCTACACCCTATCTCAGCCTCACTGCTCCCTCCTAAGTCAATTTTGCTGATTTGTTGTGAAGAACAAAATGAGATCATAAACCTGACAGATATATATGTGAAATATGATTGAACAAACATTCAGGATGGGCCTCTCCTTTGTGAAAAGTGAATTAGCACTAACCACAGAATTCTGGCAGTGGACTCACCTTTATTCTCTTATGGCCCTAGTCATCAGGGTCTTGCCCCACCTCAGCCTGCACTGTCCATGAAAAATGGGCACTCGACAGAGGCCTCACACTTTCCCTGAAACACTGTGAGGCCCTCCTGGTGAGGGGACTCAGAAATGGAGGTGCCCAAAAATCCCCCGCTGTGGTCCTTGCTCCCCAGTTCCCAAACTCACTGCCCCCTCCTGCTAGCCAGGTCCCTTGGCTACTGAGGTGTCCATGTCTTGCCCAAGAAAATGGCCTAGAGAAAAGGGGCTCTGCCCACCCACCACAGAGGGTAAGCTAGAAGTCAGACAGCCCTGCAGGAGCCCCTCCTGCTGCCACAAGCCAAGTGATCTCTTGACAGCTTCAATCTGACCTTTGTGAGTTTCCATTCCCTGTGCCCCCAGAAACCCCCTGCCACCTGTCTGGCAGGCTGTGAGGGTTAAAACTCCTGAAACGTCCTACCCAGGCTCAGCCCACAGAATGTGGTCAATAAACAGTGGGGATGGTGGCTTCTACTGCCGCCACTGTTGCCATCATCATCACAGGCATCACAGCCACCAGGGGCCACGGGATCATCCCCCAAGGTCCAGCATATAACTGGCACCAATGAATGATGGGATGAGTTGATGCGGGTGGACAAGTGGCTGGGTGGCTGGAGCCTTCAGGTAAGACAGGAGCTTCTGTGGCATGATGGGCAGCAGCTCTCCTTGGTATTGCTGCCACCTTTGGCTCTGGAACTCACTCGGCTAAATGTAATAATGGATGGAAATGCACACTCCACCCTTACGTGTCCTTTATGCACTCTGGACGAAGCAGTAAGTAATAGGAAGAGATGGACATCTGAGGTCAGTAGGATTTGGTTTTCAATCTCAACTTTTAATAGGACTTTTATGTGAATGAGCTTTGCTTTCTTCATCCTAAAACAGAAATAACTTGCTCACTTAGGCTGTCATGAGGAGCAGCTAAAGTCACGGCGCATCCATGCAGCTACTCCTGTGCTTGATACATGACGGGTCCTCAAGAATTCAGTCATCTTTCTTTCCATCTTGTTCATCTCTGCTAGCAACTGCCTAGTGTGCCAAATAAGGTGGACCTGCTGAGTTAAATGTGCTCAGCTGAAAAACTATAAAACCTCAAGTCCTCTTTTGAAACTCTGAAACTCTTCTGTAAACCTTGCTTCTATAAGCCCAACTTAAAATAATTTTAAAAAATAAAATTTAAAAATTATATAGGCAAATCCATAGAGACATAAGGTAGATTAGAGGTTACATGGGCTGTAGGTGAGGGTAGAATGGGAAGTTAATGCTTAATAGTTACAGTTTCTGTTAGGGAAGATGAAAAAGTTTTGAAGACACTTTTTGGTGATGGTTGCACAAAATGGTGAATGTAAGTAATGACACTGAAATGTACACTTAAAATGGTTAAAATGGAATTCTTCTGTTATGTATATTTTACTACACTAAGAAAATGTTTAAGTTATATGTAGGGCATTGTGAATTCTGGAGAATAAGGGGAACATAGGTCTTTTGGTAACTCTAAGTGTCCCTTAGCATTGCCATGAATGAAGCACATAAATCCAGGCTGCCTAACATGAGGGGTGCAGCTGTGCTTGATAAATAGAGATCTGGTGTGGGACAGTTAATCTTAACTCCAAAAGCAACTTGCAATCCACAAGGAAAGCAGACATGGTCATGCCAGGCCTGCTGAGCAGCATGGGCATCTTCCTCCCTTCAGCAGGCCTGACCTCAGCTCACAGCCCAAAAAAGAACCCACTGCCATGTTCCTAGGTCCCAAATCCAGTGTGCCATGCTTTCAACTTTTTTACTAGAGGAAATATTAAACCTCTGGGAGGGGCCACAGACTCATGGGGGTGTCCATGTATATGTTCTGGAGATGGAGCTGAACACAGGCAAGGCTGAGCTGCGCACCCGGAAAATGAGCTTGTTCCCCTGAGGAGTTGTGACATCGCTGTCCACCCATCACCAAGGCATCTTTTCTTAAGGGTTCTTTTTCCAAACACAACCTGACAACAACATTGGTCTTATGTTGGAAAATATAAGGAACAGTCCACCTTTCTGACAAATTTCTGATGCCTTTTGCTGAAAACCAGGGTGCCTAAATGACACAACTGTGTTTCTGGGAAAGGTGCAGTTCTCTGCTCTGGCCCTGCCCATTGCCAGATCTTCAGTTGTGTCTTTTTGTTGAATGAAGTTTCACCATGTGCCCACCAGTGGGCAGTGGCCCTGTGAAGGCTCCAGGTAGGTGTCTAGGACACCAGTTCCAAAGCAACAATATGACCTCTGTGAGCTTCCATCCCCACCACTCCTTGCCCCAGAAACCCACTGCAACATGCTGCTAGGAAGATGAGAAAATTCTTGTTATCATTCATTCTTCATTATATATCGGCTTTTTGTACAATTTTCAACATTAGACTTCTATACCTAACATTTTTAACCTTAATTTTATTTAACAGCAAACATCCTTTAATTAAAACAAAAAAAGCCTGAAATGATTGTAGCAAAAAGTATTATGACTTTTATAAAATGGCTTTAAGAGCAAATTCTCTTTACCTTAAGTCTCTCTTTAAGGGAAGAAGAGGTTCATCTGGGCAACTCTTCTCCAGAATCATTTTTACTTTTACATGGGGAAAATCGCATAATATCTTTCCAAGACACATGGATAGCTTTCCCAGCTGTTCAAGAATAAATCTGATTTTAGTCCTTGTCACTTGTCAATCACCCTGATTTTAAATTATATGCATTGCAGCAACATTTTTATTTGTGTTTTAAAATTGGTATCACTTTTTCCCCTTAGAGTAAGCTATATTTCTATAAATTTTAGTTTAATTTAAAATACTGGAACTAAAGTAGTTTTAATTATCTTGGTAAGGAGCTTTTTCTCAAATTGTTCTCCAAGTGCAGATGTGAACATATATACAGAAGGGACTTGCATTCATACGGATCCCCTCATCACATTTGTTCTTGCTAAAGAAAGAGCAGTGAGTTTGAGCAGCTTTTCAATCCCCTGCAACCCATCCCCTAAAGCAATGACCCTGAGCAATATTAACTGCCCTCCAGCCCCGCCCCTTCCTGCCTGCGTGGGATGGGGGATTGTGGGAAACAGTTCTGGTTATAATTAGGCAAGCACTTTACACACACTTTACACAAAGGGCTCAAATCCTACTCACCACTCCAGTGGTTTGTTGCTCTGCAGATGGGCCACCAGGAAGAGTCTATTTTAGGAGCATCTGGTTGTAGGTGAGAGAAGAAAGGCCAAGGGAGGCGCCATTGCTTGGAGCAGCAGCTACCCAAAGAGAAAAAGCCAGTGGGCAGGTCAATCTCCCAAATGGCCACATGGTGGCCTTGTTTTAGGACTAGAGGCAGGAGAGTGCCAAGGCACTGGAATAAGTTAGGGGGCTTTCATTTTAAAAATAGGAATCAGAATCTTGGTTCTTCACCCTTTTTGAAAATTAATAACTACAGCATTCTCCTGGGCCACTCAGGCCAGGTGGTGGAGATAAACCCACAGGATCAGTTGCTCTATTTTGTACTGCAAACATTGTAAATGTGGTTACTCTATATTATACTGACAAAAATAAAAAGCAAATAAGGCAATTAACATAAAAAATAAATGAAGTAAAATAAGATGAAATGCAGCCACTAAAAAATAGGAACAAAAAGGTGTTTAGAGGCCAGATTTTATTGTCTTAAGAGCCAGAATTCAATGGTTAAATATCCTTTTATGAATGTTAGTTTCAAATATAGACAGATAAGAAATCAATTGATTCCTCATTCAGGATCACATAGTAACAAATGATACCCTTTGAGGAATTACATTATTTTGATAATTTTCTTCACAACGGATCCCAAAGAAATTTACAAAAGCACTTAAAAGTTTTAAAAGTGAAATTTAAAATGTATTTATTAACATCAAAAATATATGAGGATGGTCTTTTCAACAAATGGTGCTACAACAACTGGGTATCCATATGCAAAAAAAATTAAATTGGACCCCTACCTCACACTAAATACAAAATGGATCAGAGACCTAAATGTAAGAGCTAAAATGATAAAAGTCTTAGAGAAAAATTGAAGTAAATCTTCATGGCCTTGGATTAGGCAATTATTTCTTAGATATAAAACTAAAATTACAAGCAAAAAGAAGAAAAAACTGGGTAAATTAGATTGCATCAAAATTAAAAACTTTCTGTTTAAAAGAACATCATCAAGAACACAAAAAGGCAACCCACAGAATGGGAGAAAATATTTGCAAAGCGTATATCTGATAAGGGACTTGTATCCAGAATATATAAAGAACTCCTACAAAATTTAACAATTAAAAAAAAGCCAAATAACCCTATTTTTTAAGTGGCCAAGGATTTGAAGAACATTTCTCCAAAGGTGATATACAAATGCCCAATAGGCACATGAGAAGATGCTCAATGTCATTAGCCACATGGGAAATGCAAATCAAAATCATGCTGAGATGTAATTTCAAACTCACTAAAAACAGCTATAATCAACGAGACAGACAAAAACAAATTCTTACCACATTGGTAAGAATGTGGAAAAACTGGAAATCTCATACATTACCAGTGGGAATGTGAATGGGGCAGCTGCTTTGGAAAATCATGTGGCAGTTCCTTAAAACGCTAAATGTCGAGTTACTAACTGATCTAACCATCCCATTCTAGGTACATGCCTAGGCAATGTAAAAACACATGTTGACACAAAAACTTGTACATAAATGTTCATACCAGCATTATTCATAATAGAAACAACTCAAATGTCTATCTGCTGGTGAATAGACAAACAACATGTAGTGTATCCATACAATGGAATATTAGCCACAAAAAGGAATGGAGTACCAATGAATACTACAACATGGATGAACCTTGAGAAGTTATGCTAAGTGAACGAAGCCAGACACAAAAGGCTATATATGATTTTATTTAAAATGAAATATCTAGAATAGGCAAATCCACAGAGACAGAAAGTGGATTCATGGTTACCAGGGATTGGAGACGGCAGGGGGGAAATTAGGTGTGACTGTGAATAGGTGTGGTGTTTTTTTTGAGGATGATGAAAATGTCCTAAAATTGTAGTGATGGTTGCATAACTCTGTGACAATATTAAATACCACTGAATCAGACACTTTAGGTGAGTGAATTGTATAGTATGTGAATTACAGCTTGTAAAGCCCTTCTACTTCCGGGAGGTTCACAGCATCATGACAGGCATGGGACACCCGGGCAACGCCCTGTCTTCTGATCATCTCCTCTCATGGGCATTATTGCCCTGTTTTCTCCAACAGCAACATATTAGGTCAACAGAGGGGCAGAAGGGACGGTTAAGAGTGGAATAAGCCACCCCAAAGCCACCTTCAGGGCAGTGCTTCTTCCCCAAGCTGCCACTGTGCTGCCAGAGCAACCACCCAGGCCACACCCCCAGAGCTCTGGGGCCAAAGCTCTAGCTTTTCCACATACCAAAGTCTGTATCTGACGGTCAGCCCTAAAGACTCACTGCAAACTATGTCTTCTTTATTCATTCACTAAACATTTATTGAGTACCTACTGTATACCAGGCCCTGAAATGGGCATAATGCCTGGCACTGAGAACACAGACATGAGAGAAAAAGTCAATGGGCTCTGAGCCCAGTAGAGGGGGAAATGAATCAACAATAACACGGGAAGGTTCCTGGGAACACAAACCCTGGGCTCCCAGACCAGGGAGATGAAATAAAGGTTTGCTGGGGGAAGGAGCACTGAGTTGAATAGTGCAAGACAGCAACGAGCTAGCCAGGTGAGGAAGGTGAGGAAGGGTGATCAGACATGACAGCCAACAGCATGGATGAAGAGCTTCCGCTGCCTCGAACTCCTAGACTGTGCTATCAGTCTTAGAAGAGCTGTTTCTTTTCTCTACATGGATATCACGCCTGCATGCTTCAGACCAGCAGCTTAATTCTTACAAGGCAGGTGCTGAAGGAGATGTGCATGCCCCTTCACCCTGCTCAAGGAGAATTACCCCCCCAAGAAGGTTTCCCATGGTTAGCAGAGGATGGTGGTTCTGGTGGTCTCCTCCTGGAAAGGGAAGGAATTTGCCGGGCCGCAAGACTCAGCCCGGTGAGAAGCACTGGTCCAGAGTCCAAAGGCCCCAGTTCAAGTCTTTGTCCTGCCTTTTACCTGTGGAGTCACTGATGCTCTCAGACCCAGCTCCCCAGCAGGGGGAGTGAGCCCCTCCTCGCAATAATAATGAGTGATTCCATGACCTGGTCAACCTATCGCCATTGTGACCACTTGCCTCAGTCATTGCTCACACACTTATTCACACAGCCATAAATCAACCCATTCATGGTAGAGTCATGCGGCCCATCTGCTCCTGGGAGGTGATCCACCACATGCTCCAGGCTTGGCTCCTGGGCGCTAGACATCCTTGCGCTTCCCTTGATGGGAATACTCTTTAGCCCTGGCCAGATCCCAATGCTTCTACCCCTGGCTCCTTCCTGCCAACTCCTTGGCTGTGCTTGTGCCCATCACTGGCTGTCCAACCCCTGCTCCAAGTAACCACTGGCACTATGTCCTGGGTATGAGCCAACTCACTACATTGGTCTTCAGCTTCATTCCTCGGTGATGGAGCTACCTCTGTTTGCCAAGAAGTCTCTAGAAGGCATCTTCCCACTCAGTGCCATGAGACAGCCCTTCCCCTGTACCCCCCCATGCCCTTCACACCTCCTTCAGCTGCCCTATAACACCCATTAGCCTGGCCCACACCACTGCCACCTCAGGGCATTAACCCCTTAGCTTCTCAAACACTCCTCCCCGTGGGGCATGCAGATCTGCCCACCAATGCAGGACCTGCCCTACACACCCCACTAACTGAGACTGTGTCTCACCAGGTTGATGGACACCCCTCTTTATGATCAAGACCATTGTGAAGATTCCACATTAATATCACCACATTCTTGCATACACTTCAGCCTTTTCTTTCCTCCACAGCTGACCTTAATAATTAACAAGTAAATTCTGTTATTAGTTTGAAAGACTGGTGAATGGACAGGACAGAGGATTCATGCTAATGTGGCACCTGGAGAAGCTGTCATCCAGTGTAGCCCCAAGGGCTCTGGAAGGCGGTCTCAGGGGCACAGGGGTCTCCGCCCACAGGAAGTTGAGCAGCCAAGGCCACACGCTCCTGAGCCTCAGTCAAACAGTTCCAATATCATCTATCTACCTTACATCTGTACTCCCTATATCATATGAGAAAGGATTGTGCAGCTTGAAAACTATGTAACAATCATTGATCATCTACTAGCTCTCACTCAGTTCACCACAACCCTACAAGTATTATTATAAGTATCACTATTTTTCAGATGAGGACACTGAGGCACAGAAGTTAAGTAGGATATTCAAAGTCCCAACCACTGACTGACAGAACCAGGATTCAAACCCAGGCAGCTCAGGAATGCACACTCTGTATCCTACTCTACATTGGATGGATTCGTGTAGGGTGTCTGCAGAAGCTCACAGTAGAGTTTAGAGAAGCAGCCTAACATATAGGAAAATGTGTCTTCGGAGTCAGACAAACTTCAATTCAAATTCTTACTCCATCGCTTACGCTCAAGTCTTTGATATCTGGGAACCTTTTTGAACCTCAGTTTTCTTATCTATAAAATGGAGTGATGACACCTATTTTGCAAGCCTGTTAGACTTGGGTTAAACTGAAATCGTGAGTGTGAGGGTCATAACAAGGTGCAGAGTCCCTGGCAGATGTGCAACCAAAGCAGCAGGGCTGTTACCACCATCATTAGTGCTCACAAGCACCGGCAGACAGCAGGGAGCATGTTGGTGGGGAAATGTATATGAGGGAGGATCAATGAATTGGTAGAGACTGGAGCAAAAAGAGAATTTGTAAAGTACTACTTTTTAATATGGCTGCAGGTTGGAATCACCCAAAAAAGCTCTGTGGCCTTATAAAGCCCTCTCAAGCCAGCTCTACATTTGTCTGTTTAAAAAGCTTCACATGTGACTCTGGACCACATTCCTATGTGGTGGGGAAAGGGGAACTAGAGTAGTCCTTGGAGGAGGAAACTGAGAGGTGAGCAAAGACTGACAGGGAAAGCAGAGGACAGCAGGCATATCTTTACCACTGATCAGTTGGTCCAGACACATGATGCGATTACACTGTATACTAATGGACCCTGAAGCCCTTCTCTGTGCACAGCACTGGTCTCAGGCATGACTTCATCCCACAGCAGGCACAGAAGCAGGTGCACCTGGTCAACGTTTACTGGAGGGCGGATGCGTAGGTAAGCAGGTGGACAGATGGGTGACGTGGTAAGCCAGGTGAGAACACACACATGGTCTGATCACACACAGAGAGTACCCTAGTGGGGCCTGCCACTAATATGGGCTCCTGCCAACAGCCTCTTCTCTTTACCAGTCCATGAAAGTGGTTTATAGACTGTTCTGACTCAAGCTGCCCGCCAGAATATGCACTATCAATAATTCCAAAATTCCGCAATAACCTTCCAAATATAAGAGCTCCCAGTCCCCAAGGGCAGCTCATCTCAGATCAAATTCATTCATTCTAAAGTGAATATGACTGATAGGCTCAGGGCGGGGGGCAGATTTTCAAAAAGAGTTTGCTAACCCAAACACACCCCGTTTAAATGTCACCTGTAAAAGGCATTTGCATCCCTCTCTCCCCACCCCCAACCACTCCTAATCCTATGCCAGAAGGTCCGGACCCAAATGCGCCATCCTCATTCCCGCACATGCCAAGGCTGTTTTGAGGCCCATAAACGCTGAGAGGAAAACTCTTACAAGGTATAAAATCTAGCTCTCAAAAACGTAAGAGTAATAAAACAAGGCAAGAGGACCAGTATATTTGTGAGCTGTCTGACTCAGCTCAAATCAGTATCTTTGTGGCAGGCCACATTTCAGCAGCTGTATTTGTAGCAGCAATGCCTATTCAATGCCATATCAGTGTGACAGGTGACCCAGCACCAGCATGATGAGCATTCCATGAAAACTGGTCCCATTTCTCATTGCCTCTAAAAGCATCTGCAGGTGCCACCTTGCTTTAAAAAAACAAAAACAAAAACAAAAAAACAAAAACAAAAACAAAAAACAGGCAAGGCCACAATGTGAACTTAGGGCAGATCAAAGCTCATCAAAGTCCACACTACTGAAATGAATTTGACACCTCACCATTATCAAAAACCTACTAAGTGCTTAGCACTGCTGGGCACAGACCACTGAGCAGCTGATTCAACTTCTGGAACCCACAGGCAAACTTGAAATGCCATGTTTTAAATAGAAACAGAGCCTCACTTCATTTAACCGACAAAGGGGGAAAAAAAGGAAAATAATTATTATGCAATTCCCAGTATACATGAACCTTACAGCCACAAACAAGACTTATTCCTCCATGTGGACAAGAATCACATCTGTTCCATATTTTGGTATGTTCACAGTCATATAAACATGTCCTCACAGCTAGCTCTTTGGGAAACTTACGAAGCATAAATTCTTTGTTCATCCTGAGTTCTATAAACATTGGTCCTTAGCTTTATTCCATTTCTGTTTTTTGTTGTTGTTGTTATCCTATTTCCACCTGTATTTTATATATTCAAGAAATCCTACCTTGAGATGTCACACACCCATAAAATAATGTAGGCCAAAAAATAAAAACCTGAAAATTTAAATTGCATCCTGCAAGCCTTCCATGACTATCAATTTGGCTCATACGAGCCTGACACTTACCTCTACCTCCAAAGAAAGTGGAAAGGAAAGAAGAATATCTCCATAGCTTTAAAATATGATTTGATCTTTGAAATAAATCCTTCTGCAATTGTAAATGTTAATATAACTAGACAAATTGGTGGAATCGAACCTCTTCAACATTTCCATTTAATAACCCAGTGCTGTGAAGTGTTGTGAGGCCCATCTTACAGATGCACAAATTCAGGGCTGGAGAAATCAAAGAAAATAGCTACTAAATGGAAGAGACAGGGATTTAACCCTGAACTTTCAGCCACATGTCCATTTCTCTTTCTACCTCACGGGGGCTGATGTTTTATAAATAAGGAATGAAGTAAAGCCTTCACACAGAGCAAGGCCCCAGCTATGGATACCCCAAGGGCACTGGGGCTTGCCTTAGCTCAGTGGTTCTCAGCCCTGGTCACCTGGTAGGATCACCTGGAAAAACTTTTAAAGGACACCAATGACTCACAAAAGTCAGAATATGAAGAGAGCATTAGTGGTATTATCATCTATTAGATCATTGGTTTCATATCAGAGTATAAATGTGTAACTGATTTTACACTTCTAGTAATTGCTAACCAAAAGGACTGAAAAAAAATTCTAGCGACGAAAGCTAAAAGCACTCATAGTCACACCATAAGAACAGCAAGCATGGCAGCCCTCAGGTCCAAGGATGGAGGAACAATACCGCAAGCACACAACTGCTCAGCTACCCAGTGCATTTCCCTTGAGCCCCCCAATAGCCACTGAACTGGGTGCATGAGAATTGCACGAACTGATGACTCAGGCCTTGACATCACCTAGGGGCTTGTCAGAAATTCAGGATCTCAGGCCCCGCCCGAGACCTACCAAATCTGAGTCCCCAAGTGATACATCTGCACACTGGCATTTGAAAATCTGCCCTGCAGGCATTTGGAACCTAGCATGGGGTCAGGCCATATGCATGCATACTATTCTACAATAGCAACAACTTGCCTCCTTTTAGGTGTCAGCTGCTGGGCCAAGTCTTTCACACTTTCACCTCATTTAATTCATTTTATCAACTCCATAAGGAGAACACTACAATCCCTGATTTATGGATAAGGAAGCAGACACCTGGAGAGGTCACCTGAGGTCACAGAGCAGTAAGAGGCCAGGTCTGGATATGAACCAACATCCCAGGGGATATGTCACCAACACCCCAAGCAGGCAACACCTCAGCAGATGGCTGACCTGGGGCTAGTCCAGAAAAGCTTGTAGACTGAGAGAATCCCTACAGGAGGGCAGGACCAAGAGACAGGAAAGCCCAGGAGGTCAGAGAGGCCTGGGTCAGTGGCCAGCACTGCCCAAACCCTCAGGGAGCAGATTGCGGGAGGGAAGAGAGGAGAACGTAAGTTACCTAAACCAGGGAAGTTCAGTTTCTGCCTCTGTATGCAGGGGATATCAAAACCTCCCTGCTAATAAGGTAGAAATATGATCCCACAAGGAAAGCCTTCACACAGAGCAAGGCCCCAGCTATGGATACCCCAAGGGCACTGGGGCTTGCCTTAGCTCAGTGGTTCTCAGCCCTGGTCACCTGGTAGGATCACCTGGAAAAACTTTTAAAGGACACCAATGCCCACTCTACCTTCAGCAAGTCAGATCCCACTGGGCTGCCACAGGGTCCAGGCACCAGTTCTTTTTAGAAATTGCTCAGGTATCCCAATACAGTTACGAATATTCCCACCTTAAATTGAAATGTCTTTGACTGATAGTTGCTGGCCAGACTCTAGAACAATTCCTAATGGAATCCGTAATTATTTGGCTAACCTTTTCTTATGATTTTATGTTTTTGTGTTTTTTTACTAAAATC
The DNA here is from genome assembly GCF_000001405.40 of Homo sapiens. Classification (NCBI taxonomy): domain Eukaryota; kingdom Metazoa; phylum Chordata; class Mammalia; order Primates; family Hominidae; genus Homo; species Homo sapiens. The sequence continues at coordinate 36,403,610 of NC_000018.10, read as the reverse complement.
TCCAGTGTTTTTATGATGACTAAGAGTTAAAATTCTGCATGGAGTATATTTGTTTGGGGAAGATCAACAGTAAGATCCGTAAGTGATAAGTTCCATTCTGAGAGCATGTATGGGTCAAGTAACCCCGGCACACAGGAGGCCTTCTCAGGTTCCAATCTTAGTAGGTGGCACAAAAGGAGGACTTGCCACTCATCTTGCAGTTAATGTCAGAGACGTTTCTTTAAAGGTGGGAACAGAATTAGGGAACTTTGTGAACTAACTAGTTTTCTTCATTCTATTCGACACCCCCAATAAGCATGCAGATTCACCTTATGCAATGTCTTACTCTATTCTACCAGTACCATTCCAAAAGGTGGGTAGAGGGAGGAGGGAAGCTGCAGAGGACAGAACACACCCTAGGCCAGCCCCCTAGGGGAGAGAGGAAGGAGACACACATAGCTCCCTCAACTACTCTGGGGCTTTCCTGGCTGGGCTGGGGCCTGCTGCAGCTCTGGTCTTAGAGGATTTTCACTGAGCAGCTCCGAGAAGCACTGGATTCTGCACCCTGCACCCTCATGGCCCCCTCCCAACAAAACTATCCTCGAAGATTTTCACTTCATTGTCATGACTTAGCAACGTCTAACCAAGGAGAACTTTCCTATGGCCTTGCCAGCTTAAGCGTCTAACTTGCGTCACCGTTGGCCACAGCTTCAGCTCAGGCAAACACGCCTCTCAGCAGATGTGAAACAAAAGATGCTGCTATGTGTAAACCTTTGGTTTTCTGCAGCTGATGGAAACTCACTGTGGTTCTAGTTCAGATAATCTGAAAAGTGGAACATATTTGTTAAAGCCTTAAAAATCAGAAAGATAGAAAATTCCTTTCCACTCTGCACAAAGCCTTTTGTGACATAAGGGAAGGGAAAGGCTCAAACGGATCACACAATGTCACATCAAACAAGCAGTAATGGATGTCAGGGAAAGAGCACTGGACTAAAGTCGTGGAAAAATGGACTGTAGTCCTGGCCCGACAGTTGCTAGCTGTGTGACCTTGGACATGTCCCTTTTCCTCTCTGGGGTATTTTCATATGTGTGTGTGTGTGTGTGTGTGTGTGTGTGTGTGTGTGTATAATTGCATCACATTATATATCACTAAAAATATACATTATAATTTTTATATTGCATATTACATACTATGATAAAATATATAATATGTATTTCACACATATATATGAGAAAATATCCCAGAGAGGTAGTGGCATGGGTTATGTGTGTATATAAGGGATATAGATCAAGATGAGCACTCAGGTTCTTTGCTGTCATCAGCGTATTAATCTATAATGAGCCAGCTACGCTCAAGAAGGCCTCTTTGCTGCCATGTGAAAAGAAGAACAAGCAGTGATCAGCCTTCCTCACTCCTGGAGCTTCATCACTTTTTCTGTTTTTAAAAACAAAAGGACCACGCCCAGCCGACTCAGTACTTCTCTCGCACCTTGCCCGCCCCAAAGGCCACCACTCTTTGTTGGCTTATACTGTTCTCAGGGCTATAATTGAACAATCACAATTTTAAAAGCACCACATTTAAGTTTCCTGCCTTAAAAACAAAATGGAATTTTTAAAAAGAATATATGCAAGAGAAGTGAAGACATACGTCCACATAAATGCTTGTATACAAGGGTTCATTACAGCATTATTTATAACAGCCAAAGAGCAAAAACACAGAGGATGTGAGCAACCTTTCTGTGTAACTTACATATTTCTACTTGTAAATCAATGAATTGGTAAAAATGGTCCTTCAGGTCTGCTTAGCCAGTAATGACGGCCACTCTGTGCTACATACCGTGTGAGGGATAGAACATGAGGGGCCAGGTTAAGCACTGCCCTCACAGGTTTTCAACAGATGATAACTCAGAACACTTTTACTTCCTTGATTCCATCTAATCCTCCCAAAAGCCCAGAGAGCATAGAATGTTGTTGTACCTGTTTTACACATTGGGAAAGTGAGGCTCAGAGAGGTGCAGTAACCCAACCAAAGCCACATACTGGCTGGAGCTGATACACAGAGCAAGATCCTGGGAATCAGCCTCTTGGTCTAGTGCTCTCTGAAGACATGTGCCCACCCCTCCTTCTCATGCTCTTGGAAGTTGACAAAGGCATCCTTGCCAATGACAGGCTGTCTTAGTTCATTCAGACTGCTATAACAAAATACTTTAGACTGGGTAATTCATAAACAATAGAAATGTATTGCTCACTGTTCTGAAGGCTGGGAAGGCCAAGATCAAGGTAACGGCAGATTCAGTGTCTGGTGAGGTCTTGTTCCTTATAGGTAGCACTGTGTATGTGTCCTCATAGGGTGGAAGGGGAAAGTGGTTAACAAGCTTCCTTGGGCCTCTTCTATAAGAGGATATCAATTCCATTCATGAGGGTGGAACCTTCACCTCCCAAAGCCCCTACCTTTTGATACCAGTGCTTTGGTGATTGGATTTCATCACATGAATCTGGGGGGACACCAATATTCAGACCACAGCACGCCATGCATCACGTCCTGCAAAATGCTGGCCAAACTCTCCTTCTCCCTAACTAGTGTCCAGTGGCTCCCTGGAATGCAAGAGTGATCCACCCCTCCCTCCAGAGCAACAGGTCAGCCTTGCACTTTCACATAAAAGGCACAGAGAGTGAAGCCAGCAACCGACACTTTCCTCCATCTCCCTTCTATAACTCTCCTTCCTCGATGTCAAATGTCTTCACCATCCTGATCCTTTTTTTCTTTTGTGACCACTTATTCTGCTTCCGGGATGGGTCCTCTCCTCCTCTGTCCATGGAGAGAAAAAGAGGATGCCATCCCAAAGGAGATGGCTGTGGACACTCACTTCCTGGTTGCCTTTGGTTAGACCTCTGCTCCCAGCCTCCATCCCTGTTCCAGGGTAAGGCCTGCTCTCAGCTCTGGTGGATGCACTGAGTGAGAAGAACTCCACCCTCTTGGTCCCTTCCCCAGGCCACAGCTGCCACTGCCCCAATCTCATAGAGGACTCCTTCAAACCAACCACAGTCTCCTTCTCAGACCGCTCATGATTCACCTGGTTCACCCAGAGATCTAGGGAAAATTCAGCCTCTGGGTGGGGTCTGGGATTCTGCATTTCTAACTAGGTAATGTCAATGCTGCTGGCCTGGGGACCACACTTTGAGTGGAAAGTCCTAGAGGTCTCCAGGAAAGAGCTGTGGGGGTAGGGGCAGACAGGAACCAATTGGACTTACAAGACCATTGTCCTCTCCATTTAGAAGAGGAACAGGAAAGAACAACGTTTCTATTTTTCTTTTGGTAAAATTTATTGGAGTAATTACTTTTTTCACTCTATTTTTAAGGTCTTGCTTAAATACTGAGCTCTTCTAGAATGTAAAATTATCATTTATTCAACAGCATATTTCATTTCCAGTTCATTTTTTTCCATGGCTCTACAAACATACAAAAATAAACCTTGAAAACTAATTAAAATTACCCATAAACTCTACTGTTGAGAATCAGAGCTGGAGAAATACATTTCAGTTCACAGAAAGATGCATGGGGAGCTGAGGGGTGATAGATGTCTGCGGCCAGGATCCACACCTCACACCCTCTTCCTGTCCAGCTTTTGGGAACATTCTTACATTTTTATTTTCACCCAGTGAATGAAGGAACTCTATGATTCAGAAGGAGCAAAGTCAAATTCTGCCTGAACCCTCAGGCCTGGCCTGTTGGGCCAGCAGCCATCTCGTGCCTCTAAACTCAAAACTGTCCTCTAACTGTGTACTCACTTGGTCTTCCTCCCAGCAAGATGGGAGCTCAGAGCATCTTCCTGGCGGTGGCTATAAACAGTTGATCCTGGATTCCCAGCAATAGCTCTCTATAATGTTCTAAAACCAAATGAGCCTTCTGCAGCAGGGTCATCAATACTAAATGTGGAGCAAGAAGAAAAGCGGAGGGGGCTAGAAGGCCCTAGAGCACCTGAGCACAAGGCTAGCCAAACCAGCAAGGTGCATGCCCTGAGCCCCAAGGGCAGCCTGGGGTGGAGAAAATGCCTCCAGGAGCCACTTCCTCAGGGTCACCCACCAAGATAAGAGTGGAGCTCTGGGACAAGATGGGGACCTCAAAGACAGACTGCTACAGGATCTCCTAAGGGAGCTTTCAAATTGCAAAACAAAAGACACATATAACATCTGTGTGTGGACACTTAGGATTAATCCACATCAGAAAACTCAAATACATGTCTAGTCGTACTCAAGTGAGACAGCTCACAGACCCATAGGTGCAAGCTGGGAAGGGCAAGGCCTTGCATGGCCGTGTTCAGAGCTGAAATAATGAGTCATAGCCTGCCCCAGATGCTTGCCCTCCTTGGGACAAACGAACAGGACACTGAAATTGGGCCAGGCCAGCAATCTGGGGCCATGGAAAGGAGAAGCACCTGAGCTACACCTTCCAGTGCCCCATTATCAACACCAAGGAATGTGATGGGCCTGTTTTCAGAACAGCAGTGTCCCCTTCCTGGAAGGGTGGCGTAGATCTCTGCTTGCTTGATGTCAGATACAAGGTACCCAAACTCTCCTCCAATCCTGGAAAATAGGCAGCTTTGGACAAATAAGTCCTAGATCACAAAAATCTCACACTGTCTCCCAGAAGAATGAGTTCAGAGCTAGTCTCAACACCAGCCAGACCAAAAGACAGGGGATCCCAGCCTTCCCACATGCCACACATATTTCTCCTCAGATCCCCCCCATCCCTGTCCTATACCTCCCTCCTCACAACACACTGAAATGTACCCAAAAACATCCCTTTAGAGGGGGTCACAGACATACAATGTACCTGCATCATGGAAAATAGGCAGACTTTTACCTATTTTGGTAAATTGGAACTTGGAACAAAGGTTGAAGGGAACGCAAAGCACATGTGAATGAGTGGGATTACACTGACCACTCGCTTAAAGCTCTGCCTAGGCATGCACAGGGCACCAACCATACAGCAGGCACCCACCTGCCCTGGCTTGTTCCTGATATGCCCTGACCATCACAATGGAACAAATCATTGAGACTACACAACAGCTCCACTCCCCTCAGGCTCTGAGCACCTACTGCAACTGGAATCCTAACCAGTACTGAGTGCCGGCATTTTCTTTCTGAAAAAAACAGTGGTTATAGAATTACAACATGATCCAGCAATTCCATGCTTGGGTATATATCCAAAAGAACTGAAAGCAGCTTATTACCACACTTAAAAGACAGCATCTTAGGAAGTATTGCTAGAAAGGCAGGAAGGAGAAACATCTCTCTCCACCTACTGCTACTGCCAAGAGACTAAAGATCTGCACTGAGATGCCATCAGCATCCCAAGATATGGTGCAAATAGTTCAATTCATAGCACTGAATTGTTTTCATTTGCAGAACAGCATAAATGTAATGAGAAAAATATGTTAAGATTAAAATCATACTCAAAATATCCTTTTAACTTCCTGCATATTTATTCACGTTTGTGTTCAAGAATACAGCAGGAAAAACCCATTCATTTCTGGGTTGCCTATTAAAATATCCACTCTCTCCTTCTTACTAGAAGAACCCCAGTGTTTCTTTGGGTAGCCTAGTAGCCAGATAAAACCATTCAGTTCCATGACTCCTTAGCAGCTACCTGTATCCACATGACTAAATTCTGTCCAATAACATGTAAACAGAAATGTTCCAGTAAACTTCCAGAAAGCCTCTTAAGAGCATAGGGCAAGTCCTTCATCAACCCTCCCTCCTTTCTGCTGCCTAGAATGCAGAAGTAATGCCTAAAACTCAAGCAGTCAATCTGATCCCCCTGGAACAACCATACTAGCCCTAGAGTGCGGACCCCTAGTCTTCTAATTTTACATGATAGGAAAGGGCACTTCTCTCTTGAAGGCATTTCCTATTGTTTTGGGAGTTCATTATATAAAAGTAAACTGAATTCTAAGTAACCATTTTTAGGAAATTATCTTAAAAATCACCAATAAAGACAGGATTCTATAAAGATGGAGGCAGAGACATACTATTTGAATCTCTATATAAATCTACATTAAAATATAACAAATAATGGGTGAAGAGCATATGGGGTCTCTATACTACTTGTTACAAATGTGTGTGAATCTCAAAATAGTTTTTAGTATCTAAAACCCATCCTTTAAAAAAGCAACCAGAAAGCAAAACAAAAGCACCATAAGCAATATTTATAAAATGAAAAATGTCAAAATACAAATGGGTAAAAACAATTTCTACAAACACTAAAATAAAAGGGTAGAAGGACAAACCACCAACAGCCTGAGATATGCATGCTATTATTATCTGTTCAGCAGAGAGTAGAGGGAAACAATGAGACATCTGACAGACCTGAGAACAGGAGAAGCCAAAATAACCAGCAGATATTCACTGGAGAGTATATTAGGCTCATTTGAGAACAGCAGCTGAAACTGAGAGGGGTATTGACCAATCTAATGCTAGGTAAGTCAATGGTCCCATGGTTTGGACTAAAAGATCTGTAGCAATCTAGCTTCTATGAATTCTTAAAACTGGCCCCCAGGGATTCCTTCCAGGATAGGAGAAACTGCTGGGAGTGGAATTAAAACTCAGAAATAGTGGAGCAGTAATATAAAGGAAAGAAATGCTCAAAATAAAAGTGAGAGACAAGAATAGAGACAAGAAATCTCAGAATGCAATCAGTCATGTTTCTAAACCCTATGCTAAAACAATAGATGTCTGTGAAGTTAAAAAAAAAATGTGAACCAAGCCTCCTGCTAAAAGTTCAAGAAAACTGATTTTATATAAAAATGAGCAACATAAAAATATCAAGGTCAAATTTCATACAGAATTATTATAAGGAAGAAGAGAATAAGGAGTTTAATAACATCTGTACAGACAATTAAAGCATGTCAAAAAGTCATAGCTAAAGTGCCTAAAATCACACCTAAATTGTACCTAAAGTCATACCTAAAATCAAATTTATAACCTACCTTTTCAAAATAAGAGATACAAGCTAAGAACATAAATCAGAATTAGAAAAACAGAAATGAAATGAACAGAACTCAAGAATATCATTTGAATTTAAATAAATGAAAAGTCATTAAAGAAATGATAAACTAGGACAGAAAACTAAATAAACACAATAATAATAATGCTTCAAGAGATGCAGAAAGTTAAAGGGGGACATTTTTTCAAATCAAAAAGAAATGACAAAAGTGATTCAAGAGAAACAGAATCACTGCAGGTAGGCAAAGAAGGTCTAACACACACCTAACAGGGGTCCCTGAAACAAGGTGAACCAAAGCAAAGGAATAGAATATTGAAAACTATAAGAAAACTTTCCTAAAATTTTATATATAATTTGAAACCACATAAAAGATCCCCCATGTATTTGAGGATACTGACTCAGAAAGACCTATACCAAGACACAGTCTAATTACTGGACTTTACAGAAAAAAATAAATCTTTTAGGCAAAAATAACAAGGGACATAAAAGCTTATTATCATCAGACTTTTCAAAAGCAATACTTTATATACGAAAAAATGCAGTAACAAGGACATAAAATGTTGGCCAAGGATATTATACATGGCAAAAATCTTATAAAGCATACCAATAAACTGTTAACGTGCAAAATTTCAGAGACCTTTCTAAAGAATCTACTAGAAGGAGGGTCCTCAAATTTTTTCTGACTCCTTACCCTCTTCAATTTATTTAGGATCCCAAAGAGCTGTGTTTATGTGGGTAATATCTACAGACAAATTACCTCTTAGAAGTTGAAACAGAAATTTTTAATTCTTTATGAATTAATCAAAAATAGCAAACCCAGTATGTGCTAATGTACATACAACATATTTTAGAAAAAATAACTATTTTCTCAAACAAAAAAATTCATAAGAGTAACACTGCTTTTATTTTTGTAAATCCTTTTAATATTTCTCTTAGTAACAGCCAGACTCACATATCTGTTATACACTTAATTTGTTGTGATATCACAAGTCACAGAGGTTCTGGAAAACTCCATGCACTCATGTGAGAATGAAAGAGGGGAATAAATAAAAGGAAAATACCATCTTAGAATTATTATGAAAAAAAAGAATTATTATGAAAACATTTTTTTACATCAAAGACTCCCCAACTCGAGAATGAGTTTCAGACACACAAAATGACTAGAAAGATATCAACATAAAGATTGATGGTGAACTTTAAACATGAAGAAACCTGCAGAACTAAGAGAAAATGACAGCTAAAGTGAAGTGAGTATAGTTTACAATGGCTATGCATTCTGACAATGCAGATATAGATTTTTTTTTTTTTTGAGACGGAGTCTCACTCTATCACCCAGACTGGAGTGCAGTGGCATGATCTTGGCTCACTGCAAGCTCCGCCTCCCAGGTTCATGCCATTCTCCTGCCTCAGCCTCCCTAGATACAGATATTTTTAAATGAGAAGAGCAAACACACAAAAAAAGAAAAAAAAAAACCTAAACTGTTCTCAGTAGTTATATTGATGGTGGTAGTACTGTTATTCTGATATTTCTCTGAGTGTGATATAAATTTAAGTGGGTAAATATGGGATATTCTAATTCTATCCACTCTTGTGTTCTTGATAACCTGGACATGTAGGGGTAGAGAAACAAGATGAGGGTGTAATATAGAAGAGACTATGTAAAAACCTTGTAGCACAGAACTTGAATTTGAAGTATTAGTATGCTCTCATGAGCTACTTTATCCTAGGTAAATAAATATACATGTATACAACACGTATCTCCCAGCTTCTCCCATTGAGGAGGCTCAGAAACTATGACAATCCAGTAGCAGTGAACATCTGCAGCACTCAAATTGCAGTTTTGAAATGTTTTCTATTAACGACAACAACAACAACAAACTGGGCTTCCTAGAGACATAGTTGATTACAGGCCTGGGGCAAGTGATGCATAAGATGAACTGAAACATCTTGCTCTACCACTAAGAGAGGAAGCTAAAGAGAACACCCGTGATGATTCAGAAGCCTCCTTGGGTTCCAGTGGCCAAAAATGGGACAACTCAAACTTCAAGTACATTAAGTGCAACTGATTGAAACCCATCAAATACACTTAGATCTGTAAGTTCACAGTAAAAATCCTAGGTTTTCAAAACATGCATGGTGGGTGGTCCCCATCTAGTGCTGCGGGGTGGGGATGGTTGTTGGCCAGCTATACCGCTCTTTCCTCTTGGCTCCTTCCCATCCAATTAATTCTATATGCCATTTCCAGAATATTCTCCCCTGCTCAAAATCTCATGTCAATGATTCCTTATTTTCTATTTTGTAAAGTAAAAATCTCAATGTCTGCTTGTGAAGACTGTCTACACGATGACCTTAATAATGACTTTCATCTGGGAAGCCCAATATTTAAATTGATATTATCTTGTTTGACCATAACAATGAATCCATAAGACAGATAGCATGCTCCCCAGGAGACGGCTCAGAAAATCCAGGTCTCCCTCACTCAGCCTGATATTTCTCACTCCCCTACTCCCATACCAGTGTTCTTTCCTTCCTTGATCTGCCCAAGTAGGTTGGATTTGCTTTGTTAGCAAATTCACTCTGATTCTGCTCACGCTCATCTGTGTGTCTTTTCTCCCATGGTTCCCTCAGCCCCTTCTTGTTATTTAAATAAACCCTTCTAAGTTTTAATCAAGCCACTCACTTTCCAAGTCCCTTCCTAAGACTAATATATCTGTAGTCCCCGGGCTTGTGGATCCAAGTGGATTAACTAGCTCCCTGCCCTCACATAGGAAACCATCAGAACCCAGAGTTTTCTGAAGTTTGGGACCCTAATATCAACCCTGCAGTAGGATCAGTATAATTTAAGAGGAAGCCTTCTGGCCCCAATCACAACACCCATTTCCTTAAGCTGCTTAGAGAATTAGGCTCATTTCACTCCCCTTTGTATTCTCCAGGTCTAGTTGGGCACACAACTGGGACTCCAGGAGAATGGTTTCCTGGGGAAATGAATGACTGATTGCCTTTGTGTAGCCCAATACCCTGAATTGGTGGGGATTACGGACAGCTTCTTAGTCCCTCTGTGACTGTCTTGGGGCCAGCTCTAGAGCAGCAGTTCTCAACTGCAACCACTTTTGCCCTCAAAGGGACATTCGGCAATGTCTAGGAGTATCTTTTGCTGTCACAATTAGGGGCATTGCAACTGGCATCTAGTGGGTAAAAGCCAGGGATGCCACCAAGAATCCTACAATTCACAGGACAACCCCACCAAAAAAGAAGTGTTGGCCCCAAATGTCAATTGTGTCAAGGTGGAGAAACCTTGGAGAGAACAATACAAGGAAAGAGAAAGTGTCCAGAAGATCTGGACCCCTAAATGCAGTGATGGAAATATCACAGCATGCCACACCAGATTCAGATCCATCATAAATGCTTTCGCCATTACGTTTGTTTAACTCTAAAATTAAGCAGGCAGCCTTCTGCCCTGCAGCCGTCCCAGAAGCATGTGGCCAGCATGGCAGACACTCTGGAATGACCACATCACAAACTAACTGGAGCTGGCTGCAGCATTTCTGCCTACTAATTTTAATCTTTCTTTCTCAAAGGTCATGAATATTTTCAGACCTCTAAGCACAGGCATATTGTGGGCAGACTTAATATATGTTGCTTCCAGTTGGCAAAGGACTTCACTCACCAAAACCCTAAGCTGAGTTACAGGCTTCACTTTGGCCATGTCACTTTCCAAGAGACTTTCTCAGTCCATTATCCTAATTGGCAAATGATATGTAAGTACCAGAAGGCTGTGTGTCAGCAGTTATATTTATAATGAAAGCCTAATCTCCAAAAGAAAACACTAATTCATTAAAACCTCCTTTCCCATCTGCCATGACAGTAGCCAAAGGAAAAAGAATCTATGAGGTACAAATTAGCTGCCTGCGCATGAAACACAGACAAGATCAGACGAAGCGGAAGCAGGAGATATACCCTGCTTGGCCCCAGGAAAGTCCTGTCCTCACTCTACACAGTCTTGCCATGTCTCTAGGTCTCTAAGTGACAGCAGCTTGAGGATCAGAGCCTGGGAGGGCAGGAAGTAGACTTTCCTCTGTCCCCTACTCAGGGAGGGCTTTCTTAGCAGACACAGTTCAGCTTTGGCCACTACTCAGGGAGGGCTTTCTTAGCAGACACTGTTCAGCTTTGGCCACTATAAGTTATCAGCACTTCAGGGAAACTTGAGAGGGTTTTGGGAAGAAAAGGAAGATGACTCCACAGTCTGATATTTCAGCTCGGCTCTCACTATAATCCCACACTCTGCTGGCCTTATTATTCATATAGATATATTAAGACCCATCATGTGTTATGCATTGTGCTAGGGAAGCCAATTATAGCTACCCCATGCACAGTGCTTACTCTGTGCTGGGTGGGGGTTCTGGGCACCTGGCATGAATTCACTCATTTAACCCCCCAAAACCCTATGACTGTCTCATTTTACAGGTAAGAAAATGGAGCTGGTGAGAAATCGCCTGCTCAAGGTCATGCAGCCTCTAAGTGGTGGTGCCAGGGTATGAACCAGGAGGGCCAGCTCCAAAGTCCACCCCGCTACACCAGGGTCCAGTGCCACTGGGCAGGACAGCCAGAGCTTACGTGTGCGGTGAGCACAGCATGCCACAGGGCCTATGACAAGTGCTTTACATGCCCCATCTCAGCTGTGGGGGACAAAGAAGACCACAAGCCATTTTCCCTGTGGCATGGGGAGACATTTGAGCAGAGCCTAAGAATTGAGTAGGAGTCAGCAGACACAGGGGAGGCACCAACACAGTCAGGGGGCCACATGGTTTGTCTGGAAAGCCACCAGCAGAACGAAAGCTGGAGGGGCAGGAGGTGTCTCATCATCTCATCCAGGCCTCCAACCCACCCTGTAAGGTGTGCACACGATGACCAACCATGCCCTTTACAAGAGTCACCTGAGGCCTAGGAAGATTACAAGAGTCACCTGAGACAAGGGTCCTACTTAAGGTCACACAGCTGCTGAGTGGTAAACCCAGGGCTCAGCCAGGCATGTCTGGTTACAAACCCCAGGCTTCCAGGACATTGCTAAGATCCAGTATGTGCCTCACTCACTGCAGTTGTAGGCCTTGAATTTCCTGAGCTCTAATTCCCTGAACTTACCACTGGCTATGGTATATCCCCTGTAGGACCCTCCTATCATCGAGAAAAAATTCCCATGAACAAGGCTACCCCAGCCAGGCCAAGGGATCCCTGTCTGGACTCCAGGCACCTGCAAGCACCCCTGAAGAAACAGGGATCCTGGCATCTGTCCAGGAACAGACCAATCCTAAGAAAAATGGCCTCTCCCTGTTCCATGAGCCACCCCCTTTAAAAGTGGGTACACTTTGCCCCCCAGACACTAGGTGCCCCTATGGTCCCTCCATGGAATGTCTCTGACCCTTCAGCAAACTGCAGGTCTGCACCTGGTGACAGTGAAGTGTGCCCTTCACACAGTGTTGGCAGCATTAGATGAAACCTGGCCTTATGCTTATGAAGAGATGCTCCAGCAAAAGCAGCAGAATTCTGACTGGTGCCTACAGTTGGAGTGCTGGGCTTTCTGCCCCTTCAATCCTAATTACCCATCGGAGACAACGATCACTTTCTGGTGAATATTCATGGACTATCTTTCTGGGGCAAGAGGAAAGAAAACTAAGGCAGTGCATACCTGTCCATACAGGTAAATACTTGATCTTTCCAGGTTGGATTCATTTACGGATTACAGGTGATTGATCCATGTGGACCACTCGTTATTTCTCCCCACCCCCAAGAGTCTGACGGTTTAATAACTTCCTACTTCCCCTTCAAGGGAGTGGAGAATCACTCCAGGCGTAACAGGACCATCATCATGTGTTAAGTGTGGGTCTGTTACATCAGTCACTCAGGTAGGAAGTTTTCTTAAAGCAAGTTTGCTTCAAATATACACATCTCAAAACCATCACTTGTTCATGCCTTGACACACCAAGTCACAGAGGTCAGAGTGTGAGGTCTTAAATTGCCTCACGTTTGTTACATTATTCAAAAAAAGTGTTTTCTGAAAAAAATCCAGGTACAGAATGTGCTTGCAGAAAATCAAAACCAGCAGAGCTCAGCACAAGGACAGGGTGCATGCCAGAGCAGGACCCAGCACCAGAACAGGCTCTGTCTCCTCCAGAACAGCAGGCACCAACGAGGCATCTGGCTGCACACCCCAAACAGAGTCACATTTTATTTTAGACTCACTCCTATCTTTAACCTGGAATACTATGGCCTTAAAAAGAACAAAGCTCAGGGCACCTCCAGTTTTAATTTAGCTCAGCACAGCCATGCTCCTCCAAGCCAGAATCACTCACTGCATAGGGAAGAAAAGCAGGAGCAGCTGCCTGTCACCTGCCCAGTGGACACGTCCCCCTATCACCTCTGGACCCAGCTCATCTGTCTAGGCTGCTTGACAATTCAGCTCCATACCTACAGAGCAGGACTGGGGCTAAAATACCCAAAGCCTCAATGCCGGAGCCCAGTCTAGGGAGGATCTCTCTGTGGGGCTTCCTGGGTCCACAGATAACACTGATTTTTGCCTCCTGGATTAGAAGCAGATGGGAAAACAGGCACAGCAGATGGATAAAGCCTTACCACTGAGACAGCTCATGACAGAACCGGCCTTGCATCTGCAGCCTGAAGGGCTCCAGGCAGTTCTAAGAATGGCCACTGGCCTACCACAGGGGCAGGTGACCTTGAGGGTCCTCAGAATAGGACACTCATTGAAAAAGGAAGGGCTGAGCCTGCCCTACTCATTGCCTTCTCCCAGATTCACCCGTCTGTCCTCAGAAAGGAGTCTAGGGGAGTGCATAGAAGACACATGTCCTCCTGGGGATCTGAGGGGAATTCCCTGCTCTCTCTGGAATAGGAAGAGCAGGGTGTTGGGCTCCCTTGAGATGCACCCACCTCAAAGGAAAATGAAAATCCATATTACGTCATTTTAGGGTCTATACATAGAGAGAGCACATATTTAAAAAACAACAACAATAACAACAATGCTCCAGGAAAGGACAATAATTATGTACGTCCACTGAGAAATGGAAGTGAGGAGTATGCGGGACTGGCACTGAGTCCAGCCCAAAAGCCCAGTCACAGCTGCGTGATTGTGGAAAAGAATGGATTCTAGGACTATGATTATTTATGACCATTAATACTGAAAATCACAGGTGACACTGTTTGCAGAAGAACCCTGTGCATTCTCCACAAGTCAACTGACAAAGGCCCAGCAATGGGAATCCCAGGATAAAAGGCACCACAATGGCGGGGTGGGAGGAATATGAAGGTGAGTTCTTCAGTGTTGGGGTCTGGGAGTGTTGACCTAAGGGAGAAGAAAGGAAAAAAGGAAATGTACTTGCAGGCTGCCTGCCCTACTCTGACTTCCTCTTCTTCTTCCTCTTCTTCTTCTTCTTTTTTTTTGAAGCATCAATGCATCTTTATTCGCAAATAAAAGCTGCAGCAAGATGTCATCTACACATTTGTACAAAGATTCAGATGTCCTATATCATCACGATCCTCAGAAAACACGAACCCGTCGTGCAGGAACGTTGCAAACACTGGCAGGCTGACCGCTCATCTGCATTTGGCAAGAAGCGCCTATCAGGGCCCCCCCATCCTGCTCACGGTGCCCCCCAGAGGGAGCTGGCTTCCCAAAGCTGGAGAGAGCCCAGCCCCCAGGGCACCTTCCCTAGAAAACCATAAATACATAGATCATTTGTCTTCAAATTCCCATGGCAAATACCACATTTATAGGCAAAATGATACAAAAATATGAACTTAACAGAAACTTTAGAAAACCCTTATTCTCCCATCTTCATTGTTGGTGGTGGTGGTCTGTTTTGTTTTTTGCTTGTGGTTTTGGTATAAACTCCTTCTGTGGAAGAGGCAACGTGTGCCTGGGCTCTGCCCTCAGGACAGAGCAGGGTTCTCTTGGGAGGGGAAGGGACTCGGCCATCCCTGCCCAGGAGACCCTGGGGATGGATCTGCATTGGGAATGCCACACAGATCCTCCACAACCCAGGCTCTGCCGAGAGGAAACCATTATAAAAGAAAAGTAATCCTGAATCCTAAAAGACCCCTGGGGCATGCAGGTAAGTCCTGCTACACAAAACTGCTTGGCTGCAAAGAAGGCAAGATGGACATGAACACAACTGGCGCTAGCTATGGCCCAGACAGTCACAGTGGGACTGGGCTGGCCCTCTGACTCCTAGGCCTTCTCATGGGACTGGGTTACAGTCCCAGGAACACATTTTACCCATTTTCTGTCTATGTCTGAAAAAGAGCAGACCTGGGGAGACCAGTGGGGGCTCCCGGTGTTTCGCTTTTCCTGTTTAGCTTGGGCCCTGTGTCTGGTTCAATTTAAGAATCAGGACAATGTCAGAAAGATATGATATGCTATAGAATCAGAAGCAGAGGAATGAGGAGTATAATTAGTAATTTATGAGCAAATACCTTGGAGAAAAACCACACCAAAAAGGCAAAAAGGCAAAGATTAAAGTAACACACTTTCAAAGACACACAAAAGTGCTTCTTAAGTTTATATAGAGAGTTCTCCAATTTTTAAATAAACTATGTCCCCAAAGTTCAGTTAGGGAAACTAAGGCTCAGGACAGTTCCATGATTAGCTCCTAGAAACCCCAAATTCCTTCCTTAAGGCCCCTTTACCCTCCAACCTCTCCACAAGAGAGGAACAGCCTCTACCCCTTCCTGTAATGGTCACACAGTCTCACTGGCAAGCAGGAGTAGACACATCACACCACTGGCAAAGCAAGGGGCAATGACAGCACACGGTAGCACTAGAAGCCCAGGGGACATCCAGAGGGGTGGGCCAAGCCCTGCCAATGCGGGGTGGAGGAGCAGCAGGGAGATGGATGTGGGATGAAGTTCAGGTATCTAGCACACATTTCAACAACAGGTCTAGAACTCAGGGAAAGTGGGAAACTTCAAGTATGCAGCTGCTAGTTAGAATCACGAAAGTGGATGGAACTGCTTCATATATGTACTGCATTCACTTATGTGTCTATTTCCTTTACAGCACTTAACATAATAGTTACACCCACAGACACTGAATAAAGATTGATGTGTTATTTTGAGTCAGGAGGAAATCTGGGAACGTCTCACATTACAGTAACATAAATGATAGTGATGCTTTCAAGCTTACCCACAAGAAATTGCTGGATTTTGACAGTAATAACAACAAAGCTCACATTAATGAAAACCTGCAGGGCTACCAGATGCCAGGTTCTTGACCTAAGACACCCTCATGGCTCATCAGTCCTTTCCGCAGCTCACAAGGGAAGTGTGAGAGTCCCCCATTTTTGACAAAAGTGTCATGTCCCAAATCTAGCAACCTGATGATGCTAGCTCCAGAATTAGAATGCTGCTTCTCCCTAACCCACCATCTCCCCTCAAGCAGGACACCCCTGAGGGGGAACCAACACCTTCTGCCCACAGTCTGGGCCCCTGACTGAGCAAAACCTCACCCAGGACACAGTCCAGGGCACTTGCCTTTTTTGGGGTGGGGAGGGTATTTTTGGCTCCTAAGCCATTTGTTTAAGAAAGAAAAATAGATATTCCAAAGGAAGGCTGCCTTAAGAACTTCTATATTTTGAATATTTAATCTTAGATTCTAGGTACACAACATCATTTGGAGGTGACATCAGAAGTTCTACCCACAAGGCCCAGGTCAGTCGTCTCTTGCCTGGCCCATGAATGGGGTGCTGCACTCAGAACCCCACCTTCTCCAATCCCCCCAAGCTAGACCCCACAGCCTGGAGGCCCTATGAGTCCTGATGAAGGCCAGGCCTCAAGTAAGACCCCAGAAAGGACTGAACCTCAAACCCTGGGGACAGCCGAGGGGAGGCAGGGCCACACCTAGAACTTGCAGCCCAGCTGCCCTCTGAGTATCTCCACCACAGCAGTGCTGCCCTCCAGGAGCCTGGCATGGGCTGTTCCAGGCAATTTGTGCACCATCTCAATGCACACACCCTCACTGATCCCACTCTTCAAGATTCCACTGTCTTCCAAGACAAGCCACAGCACACACAGGTGACTCACACTGGCCTGGGCAATTCCAAGCCAAGACAGCTCCATGGGGCTCCTTTCAGTGTCTCTAACGGGCACGGAAATTGCTCGTTGTTTTTACGGCTTTCTGCTAAGTGATACGTGGCACTTTATTTCTTCCCAGCAGCCTCTGAGGCCCCTGAGCCGCTACCTGGTAAAGAGGAGTGCCCGGTCAGCCCACCCCTGGCCACCCACATCACCCTTGCCAACCCCAGCACCCATGCCCATGTACCCAGGATGCCCTGAGCCACCCATCAATGCAGGGAGATGAGGCAGAGGACGGACAGCTTCTAAGGTACCCCAGGCCAAACAAGTCATAAAAAGCTGTCCAGATACTGGGTCATCTGAGAAATGTATTGCCATATGTATAGTGAAAGTTTGCCATCACTAGCATGTTTCTTGTTGGAAAGACAAACATACAGATTGTATTTTTGGTGCAATTTGAATAGCTTATTAATTTGGACATTTTGTGAATATCAACTCATACAGAATATTTGGACTACTTTTTATAATGCTTAGAGCATAACGTTTCAACTTTAAAGTTATTATAGATATAACTAAGCACTTGGTGTCATGTTGTGGTGTTTTAATTCCTTTTCATGCGTTTGACTGCCTGGTCATGTGCACTCAGGAGCTTCCTCCTCCATGCCAACAGCCCCTTCCATCAGGAGAACACAATCCAGGAACACACCAAGATGGTGGGAAGTTGCCTTCATGGTCACAAAACCTACTTCATTTCCATGAAGATGAGAGCTTTTCAGTAAACATGCTGACTGTTCAGTGCTTGCCAAAACTGCAACATTCTAAAATGTATCAAAAACACGATAACTGGAGGCCAGGCCCAGTGGCTCACGCCTGTAATCCCAGCACTTTGGGAGGCAAGGCAGGCGGATCACCTGAGGCCAGGAGTTTGAGACCAGTCTAGCCTGGTCAATATGGTGAAACCCTGTCTCTACGAAAAATATGAAAATTAGCCAGGCATGGTGGTGGGCGCCTATAATCCCAGCCACTCACAAGGCTGAGTCAGGAGAATCACTTGAACCTGGGAGGTGGAGGTTACAGTGAACCGAGATCTCACCACCACACTTCAGCCTGGGCAACAGAGCAAGACTCTGTCTCAAGAAAAAACAAAACAAAACAGGATAATTGAAGAGAACCATAAAAACAACACCAATGCCAGCAGCTAAGCAGGAATTGTGGGATCAGGATCACCCTCAGGTCTTAGGTTGGCCAACTCCATTTTGTAAGAACAAGTAAAATTTTAATAGAAATTTATTGACCTAGTTTCAAATCTGTCGGCTGCTTAAAAAAGGATAGTAGCTAAAACACATTTTAAACACATTAATTGGGCGTTACTTGGTTTTCATATTTAAGAGTTCCACAATGTATTTCCCCAGTTTAATAGTTAATACAATTCTGTGATCCAGTTCTGGTTATGGAAGATGGGCTCCTTCAAGAATTGGAGGCAAGATATACATTTCAGTCCAGATCAGCTCTGACTCTACAAATAGATCAGACACTCTAAAGTCACATTCCTTTAGAGGAACTGGACAATCAAATTTTGATGGTGTTCTAATGGTTTGTAAGGCAACAAAACACAAAACTTTGTGGTGGTGGTGGTGGTGGTGGTGGTGGTATCTTCCACCACTTGCCAAGGGCTTAGCCTGGACCTGCACACTCACTATCTCCTTGACCATTTGCATCATCACCAGGAGGGAGGCACTAGGTCCCCCGTTCTCACTGTTATAAATAACAAACAGGTCTCCAAGGGGTGAGTAACTTTCTCGTGGACACACAGAGGCAGGTCTAGGATTTGAACCCAGTTTGTCTGATTCTAAAACACATATTGGCTTATTCTGCCCATTGTTTGAGCACACAAATCAATACTCAATATATGACTTTATTTTTAAAAATTGGATCTAACACCAATGAAATATTTCTTTAATCCTTTTTTTTTTTTTTTGAGATGCAGTTTTGCTCTTGTTGCCTAGGCTGGAGTGCAATGGCATGATATCAACTCACTGCAACCTCTGCCTCCTGGTTCAAGTGATTCTCTTTCTTTGGCCTCCCAAGTAGCTGGGATTATAGGCATCTACCACCATGCTCCACTAATTTTGTGTGAGGTGTTTTTTGTGTTTGTTTTTTTGTTTTTTTGAGACAGAGTCTCACTCTGTCGCCCAGGCTGGAGTTTAGTAGTGCGATCTCAGCTCACTGGAATCTCCGCCTCCTGGGTTCACACCATTCTCCTGCCTCAGCCTCCCAAGTAGCTAGGACTACAGGCGCCCACCACCACGCCCGGCTAATTTTTTCTATTTTTAGTAGAGATGGGTTTTCACCATGTTAGCCAGGATGGTCTTGATCTCCTGACCTCCCAAAGTGCTGGGGTTACAGGTGTGAGCCACCACACTCGGCCTAATCCTCACAATTTTTAAAGGCGATATTATCATCCCCTTTTGATAAATGAGGACACTGAAGTCAGAGCAGTGAGGTCACTTTTCCAAGGTCACACTGCTTCTCAGGGGCAGGTCTGATTCTAGAGCCTGAGTTCTCTCATCAGCCCAGACCTGTGCTATAGCATCAAGGGTTCAGATACCTGGAGCACAGTAAGTGCTCCAGAGCAGCTAGTGTTATTGGAGGTACCAGAGCACAGAGGTTGAACACAACACCCTGCAGTCAGGCAAACAGATATGGGTGCAAATCTCAACTCAGTCATATGCTCCTCATGGGACCTTGGCCAAGTGATTAGACCACTGCGTGCCTCAGTTTTCTCCTCTATTAAGTGGGAACAGTAATTCTGATTCATAGGTTACTGTTTGGATTAAAGGAGATACACTTGTCGAGTGCTTTGCCCAGTGCCTGGTAGGAAGTATAAGCATTAAGTGGTTAGTAGAAATTTCCCTTTCTGCTTTTATAAAAAGAAACTATTTTTAAAAGTACATTGCCCATCATAATAAAACAGAACTTTTCCATTTAACAATTAGACAGATGGGGACGTTAATCTGAGCTCTGCTGTTTAGCTCTGTGTCCCTGGGCAAGCTCCCAACCCTATTTGAATCTAGTTTTCTCCTCCTGTAAAGTAAGGATAATGTATGTGTCAGGACGATAAATGGAATCACCTCTGTTAAGCACCTTTCTCATAGCAGGTGCTCAATAACAGTAGCCAGTGGGGCCTGAACATAACTCAGCCGCAGCACAGCACCCTGAGAACTCCTCCAGCCTCAGATGTCCACATTATGAGAGCACTGTGATTCAGGACAGCACCAACTCTGCTTTCAGACAGAATCCTCAGACCAAAATTCCCTCGCCCCTTCCATCCATCCATTCCTAGGTGACATCCCAGGCCACACAAGTCACCTACCCAGGAGGAAGCCTGCCCAAGAACAGAACACAGCAGGGCTGGAAGGGCTGGCCAACGCTATCCCAGAACAGTGTGGAAACAGCCGCCTGCACAGGTCACCCACCCTGTTAATAATCAGACAGGGCACTCCCCGTGGAAGTGTGGCAGACCAAGTCTCCCTGACAATCACACACACAGACAGACCTGCATGACAGTCACACAGACAGGGCAGCATAGCACTCCAGTTACACAGACAGATTTCCACAGCACTGCCTTGACATTGAGCAAACAGTCAAACCTAGGGAAATCGGTGCCCAAACATCAAAGCTAGAAATGAAACATATGGTCAGTAGGAGCCTTGTATAGGCTTCTCCCTAACCTGGAGCAAGTCAAAATATAGAGACAGTCTTACATTCCTAGACAGGACCCGTCTCGGGTTGACAGAATCTGAGACAAGTCAAGGTAACAGAGGCAGCTGTTTGAATAGATTCATTGGAAAGTCTGAGACAGCTCTCCAGACCAAGCTGTAAAGGAGATAAGATAGAAACAATCACTCCAGTTCCACAGTAGACAGGCCTTGAGGGTACTGGAGCCCTTTTAATCAGACTTAGCAAGCATTTTTTGCCTCTGACCTTCTAGTTGAAACAAAATTAGTTACCAGTAGACTTAGGCAAATGCTATACTGAGCATGAGCACATAACCCCAACCTACACAAAGGACTAAGAAAATTGTAACACTTTGAATTGGTCTGGTGGAATTATCTCCAGCCTTCTCCCTGTATCCGGTTACAGCAATAAATTCCCTTCTTCCCTATTTTGTCTGCTTCTCGTTATTGGGCCTCGAAAAAACGCAGCCAGACCCAGCTTTGTTCCGGGAACAGAAGTGCTCTGGTGGGCAGTGACAGGAAGAGCCACAGCCCATCCCTAATGAAGAACCCACCTCTTCTTCATTCGCTCATCAAAGTCTGCCATCAACTTGTTACATTTGGGGACGACAGCATCCCACCCCATTCCCCAAAAGATGTGAAGCACACACTGCAATGCAAAGGCCACAAAAGCTGTTCCATGGAGCAGTCTTGCATCAGGTCGCTATCTCAAACCACCACCATCTCACCTCCAACCTCCCGGAGACCTGGGCCCCACTGCGATGGCTGGCACCATGGAGCCCTGCCCGGCATGTGCACAGGCCACGAACATGCACAGTGTGATTCCAGGGTCACATAACACCTCCCAGAGCCTTCCTTGACATGCTCCTGAAAATGACAGTCTACTCACTGCCACAGTTTTTTAACTCTCTATTTACTCTCACATTCTTCCCACTCCTTTGAGGTGATACCATGGCGTCATCTGTTAGCACATGGTACTTAGAGCTACTGCCTTGTATTCTTCTTCCTGAGAACAGGGCAAAGGAATCCATTTCTGAAGTAAACAAATCAAATCTAAGAAACACTGTCAGTACCTTGACCCTTTTAGCTTCTTTCTTTAACAACAAATAATTTGGGGTCTCCTTCTGAGGGTGAGACAGTATACTGCATCTGGCACAATAGGATCTACACCTTCACGTGCTCAAGAGCAAGTTGCCATCCTGCACAGAATCCAGACCTCACAGAGCTCAGACCAGGACCAAGGAACCAAACCCAGAACAGGGACTCGCAGCCTCTGCCTGGCACCCTCATCCTCCTCTCGGGCAGCTACTACAGCCAGCAGGGACAGAGTGCAGTTCTGATCAGGTGACAGACCCCATTTCCAGGGACTTCCCAACGTAAAACCAGAACAAGAGACCAGTGTCCAAGTGATCAGAGTGGAAGCATGGAAAGGATGTGGAAGCCCCAGCTCCATCTCCTAGGCATCTGCAGCCTGGCTCAGAAGGAATTTCAGCTGCATTCCCAAACATAGTCAGCTCTTTAAGGGTGAAGTCCATTTTTCTCAGCTGACTTACTTTCCTCTAAGACAATCTGTGAACCACACTGGAACTCAGCCGGAACACCATCCTTTGAAGCCTGCTGAAACTTCACTTAGGCAAATGTTTCTAAAGACATTTATTTAGATGTTTTGGCAGCACTTCCCAGACTTCTCAAACCAGAAGGGCTGCCTCGGTCTCGGCAATTGTATCTGTAGAGAAGGGCTAAAGATGATTTCAATGGCCTAAAAGGAGGAGCATCAGGCCAGTGCAAAGAACCTGGCCAGGGAATCGAAAGACTCCAGCCCTAGTCCCATGGCATCCCAGCCCCGTGGCCATGAGGAAATGCCTTGCCATTGGTGGACCCCCTTTCTAAGCCCCTGCTGTGGCTCAGGAGGGGTGGCAAGGGCTCTTGAACCTGTAGGTGGGAAAGAACCAAGCTGCAAATGTGTCAGTCAGTGAATGGGGCTCATGTGACTTTTTTTAATGGCTGAGGTAGACAGGATTTCTTTTTTAGCTTTCTTGTAGAGTTTATCTCAAACTAATAACCTTTGTAGCATTTTACAACTTTTGAAGTACTCGTAAATACATTATCTAAATTTAAGAGTGTTATTAAACTGACCATTGACTCTGAAAAGAAAGAAAGAGATACAGAGAAAGGAAAGGAAAGGAAAGGAAAGGAAAGGAAAGGAAAGGAAAGGAAAGGAAAGGAAAGGAAAAGAAAAGAAAAGAAAAGAAAAGAAAACAAAAGAAAGAGAGAGAAAGGGAAAAAGGGAGAGAGGAAAGGAGGCAGGGAGGGAAGAGAGGGAAGGGAGGGAGGGGAATGAAGGGAGGAAGGGAGTGAGGGAGGGAGGGAGGGAGGAAGGGAGATGACCGAAGTATTGACCAGTAACGTGGCTCTATCCCTTGCCCCAATGATCTCTCTACATCCTAGCAAGATAGTGCCTCTTCCTGCCCACATGCCCATAATCCAGTTACTGGGATTACAGATAAGTCATGTTACTTCTGTGAACAATTAATAGAATCTGTTTCCTTTTTTTCAATTATCCTAAAATAATGAGCAGAACCTTTTAACTTTTCTTCTTATTCTGTTGCTATTACTCCAGTATATGGGCTTGAGATGACAGCACTTGTAACAATTCTCCAATGCCTTTCTTTCCTCCTTTAAAATAAATCTTGAACTGGTAGCAGTTTCGCTGAATTATGAATGCTTTCTATATGTTTTTTTTCTGAGTTAAAATGCTTCCCATTAGGTATTTCTAATACAACAGAAATGTTGAGATGTGAAAAATACATTGACATGCACCCACTCCTCAAAGAACTTTCTTCAGCAAGACATTTTTGAACCATCCATCCTCCTTTTCAACTCCCACACCCTCTGGATACCAAAATTTCTATAAATAAGACAAAGCATTTTGTTTCCTGACATAAATTTTGATTGTCCAGTGCCAAAAATAAAGTTGTCTCTTCATGGGGACAGCCAAAGGCACTCAGAGCTGGTCACTAGAGCTCACATCACACCCCAGAAGCAGGCCAGACTTGTGAAAGGAAAGTATTTATGCAGACACTCTAGTCAAAACCAGGGTGGTTTCCCTATCAGAAGTTGTTTTCTGCATATAACTGATGTTTTGCTGGATAGGAACTTAGGAGTCTAACTGCCAGCACGTGATTTAAACTTATCTGGTAACACATGCTACAGGCATCCCTATCAATGGGACTTCATTCTCCATTATCAGTTTTGTTTGCCAGATTTTCATGTTCCTTGTTAAGTGACCAACCAGGATATAAACAATTACATGGACATTGAAGAGTAAACACACTGATAATGGCTCCAAATTCCATTATCCAACACCTCGAGATCCCTAGAGATGAAAGGTAACCAAGTCCTAAAGAAGCAATAAATAATTTAATTAAAGTAAAATGGGGAAAAGGCCAAATACAAATATGAAATGAAGCTGTCGTAAGAGACCCTGAGATATCTGCTTTCTTTCCTGTGATTCAATTCACATTGTTCCTGTCCATTTTCCCTCTCTTGGTGCTTCATAATTCCCAGAGCTGACCTGAGCTTCCAGCCCTATCCAGAAGGTTCCACGCTACCTCTCTCTCACAAGTGTGTGTCTCCTCTTTATTCATCCTCTGTATTTCTGTTTATCCGCATGTCTGTAGATGGTAAAGCCACTCTTTAAATTCATTCTTTAGTTGCTCTTTCCATTATGGTGAGAAATCAATCCCGAGTTATATATCATATGAATATAACGTGTGGAAAGACGTGTGACAGAACTGAATGGTTCCCAGCATTTAAGGACTAGACTTGGCCAGACACGGTGGCTCATGCCTGTAATCCCAGCACTTTGGGAGACCGAGGTGGGCAGATCGCCTGAGGTCAGGAATTCAAGACCAGCCTGGCCAACATGGTGAAACCCTGTCTTTACTAAAAATACAAAAAAAATAGCTGGGCATGGTGGTGCATGCCTGTAGTTCCAGCTACTCAGGAGGCTGAGGCAGGAGAATCACTTGAACCCGGGAAAGCGGAGGTTGCAGTGAGCTGAGATCACGCCACTGCACTCCAGCATGGGCAACAAGAGCAAAACTTTGTCTCAAAACAAAAACAAACAAACAAAAACTACACTCTCATGTATGTTAATAAACCTTAAAGTATGTTTTACATCCTTCCCATCTCTCTTTTTTTTTTTTTTTTTTTGTGGCAGAGGGGTCCAGGGGGGACAGGGGTTGGACACACCTGTCAATTCCAGTCTGATGGAAGGCCCCTTAGAGGCAGCTACCCACACAGAGTGCAGAGGCTGACAGGCTGACCTGCCTAAGAAATCTCCCTCAGCCGAGACCTAAGGGCCTTCTAGACACATGCACGCCTTGGGATCTGTCTCCTGGGAGCTGTGACAGATTAATGGGAAACAGATGATGTGAGGTTCTTATCTGATTAACCCACAGAGCTCATTCTTACCTAGAAAACAGAACCACAGGCAGAAACAGGTCACAGACTTGGGGTATAAAGGAGAGGAGGTTTTTTATTTTTATTTTTAAAGGACCAAGCACTGGGAGTCTCCTGCTGCAAGGGGAGACTCAGTGTCAAACCCATCTCATGCTGAGGCTGCAGTTGGCCACTCAGGAGCCTTTGCAACAAGATGAACATCTTTGGAAGAATGAGAGATGGTTTCCAGGGCTTCTGGAGAATCAGAGGATCCTGGCATCAAAGAACAGAAAATAGGAAGTGTGATGACTCAATGCACCTGATGCCACCAGGGAGGAGCACAGCAAGGACACTGTGAGCTTAGCCACCATGATGTCCAGGGACAGGGCAAAGAGGGTGTACCACCTGCAGCTCCAAATCTAAGCTGCATGGTAGAGGCAGGACAGGAGCAGAAGCAGCTTCTTGTGGAATGCAGGACAGAGCCAGCCAGAAGCCCAGGTCCAGGGCCTGGAGTCAATGAAAGCAGGGCAGGTGGGCTAAGAGGGGAACAGATGGCCAGGGGATGGGATGGGGGTGTCTCCCAGTCAGGGAGCAGCCAGCTCCCTTTCTGCAGCATACAGTGGACGTGTGGGGAGTCTGCCATGGAGTAGACCACAGAGGGCCAGCTGCATCTGTGTGGATCCTACAGCAAGCACCCAGAGGGGCCAGGTGCCCGAGCACACACGCATCACCATTCAGGCCTCATGTCTCTCAGCACACAGTGCTCCATGGGCCTCATCTTTACTAGCTAGCACAGAAACAGCACTCAGGTGCTGTCAGAACAAGAGTGTCAAAAAGACAATTTGCTGCTTCCCATAGGAAACCTCTAGTTTTTATGGAAATTCCAAACTGACACAGAGCCAAGAAGCAGTAAGGACCACATGGGAATCCAGCTAATTTTCCAAAGGCCACCCTAGGGGCAAGTGAAATGTCAGAAAAGGAAGCTAGAGGGGGGCCTCCCTGCAAGCCAGGAGGGCTCAGCCATGAGAAACCAGCTCAAATTGATTAGAGGGAAAGACACCCAGAGGTGGAGGAAGGTGGTACTCGGTCTGGTCAGAAAACACAGTGAAGTGGGAGAGAAGTCATGCTCAGATTCACAGGCTGAAGAAGAAGGGCAGAACCTGGAAAGGGTCTGGGAAGAAAGGAGAGGGGACAGTGGTTGGGGGTCATGAATTACAGTGCCATTCCCCACCCTTCGAATACAGAAGCCCAGGGACCCCTATACTGTAGCTACAGGAGGCTCAAGCACTGGACAAAACCTGCACCTCACCTGAGCTGCCACCTCATGGCACACATATGTACACCACCTCCATCACCACCAGTGTAAGAGGGTACCGATGCAGGATCCTTTCCCATTAAGACTGCACACAGCCTCAGGACCTTGCTCAACACAGCGCCCCAGGGAGCCAATGCTCCTAAATCGGCTGGCTGTGAGATGAATCCCCTTTGTTACTCTTGCACTAGGAGGTTCTTCTTGAGGAAATGTTGCACTGTTTATAATTCATCTCTTTGCTATAACAATGTAGTGCAAAGCACACGGCTGCATGATAGGGCCTGCAAGAGAAAAATGCCTTGCAAATTATACATTGATGGCTTTTGCTGTTGATGTTTCTGTTGCTGGAAACTGGCATTAATGGAGTGGCCTTCTCTCATATCATTTTCTTGCCTTTAAAAGTTGCCTTTGTCCCTGTGACTTGACCATCTGAGTAATTAGATGCATCTTATGCAGAGATCAGTTGCTTCAGCCCCCTTGACAGCCTCTGCCTGACTCATCTCTGTCCCTCACAAGCAGACCTCATCATCTCATAGGATTCTGAAATGCCTCTAAAGGCCCTTTGTGCCAGGATTCTTTCACAGCTGCAAGCATAAATGATATTTTGGAATCTTCACCCAAATTTTACACTTTTGTTTAACTCAATATTGGACACTTGAAAGGACAGGCCTCCTGGAACCCAGAGAATCAATCGCCAGGGTTTTACTTTCTAAATGGGAAGACAAAATCTGCTTCAGAAAATTGAAGCCCAGGGGTTTTTAGCCCAACAAAATGCCTTCAAAGCCAGCCAGTAAAAAACACTCACATATTAACTTTAGGGTCTTAACGACTTCAAACCTTATTTTTTTAAGTCCTAGATTCCATTCCTTACCCCACAATTCTTTAGTTCCTTTCTCTTCATGATGAGATTTAGTTATCAGAGCCAGTTGGCCCTCTGAACATTTTTCTGGTGTCTGGAAACAGGATCACTTTTCAGGGACCAAAAAATTTATTTTCTCTAGCTAACCTCATAAAATGCAGACTTCTCATGTCTATCATACGTCTTAATTCTTATCTGTAAGTGTATGCCCACGATATGACCATCAAAATTTTCATTTCTTTGAAAAGATCGAAGCTAGATTAAGAAGGCAAGTGCAGCGTTCGCTGCAATATCAAGTGGTCATACCAAAAATGTACAAAGAAATAAAAATTACAGTGGAGATAAAGCACAGAGGTACAAAAGTTTGAGGCCTCTCTCTATACCAAAATCTCATTCCAACCTCCGGCCAAATGCTTCAGAGCCACTACACTACCAGAAAAGACCTGCTTCAGCTGCTAGCTGTAACCATCGAAGCAGAGCCCCTGTGGCCTTCATTTTTCGTGAGGGTTGCTGGGCTGCTAACCATAAAGGCTCACCCACCACACTCTCATCCCAAAGGGTGCTGGATTCCAAAGTTAACACTGGAGAATTCCAAAAGCACCTCACCTCCAACTCATTAACATGCAGTCCTGGATTCTAAACATTCCTCTACTTAATAAAAACAGGAATGAAGGAGAAGAGAATGTAGGGTGAGGAAAGCATTATTTTTGAGACATTTACTTGATAGCATTTTAAGCCCAGGAGACAAACCCTGGTCCTGGATCCTTCCAGTCCAATCGTGGGTGGAAGGAACGTCTTCAGGGGAGTTGCATGTGGTGCGAGGCTGAGACAGCAGCCACTGTGCCCCAAGCCTGTAGCATTAATATTTCAACTATTTCTTCTGTGGTAAAGAGGGAAATAACCTTGAGAAGAAACAAAGACTAAAACAACAGATGTGAAAAAGGTTTATTTTCTCCTTGTCATATTTCCGATTGTCATTTTGACTCAAAATTGTTCCGGGTATTGTTTTCTTTATCCATAAGAAATCTCATCTAACACTGCCATTTGGAAAGGGAAAGAATATGTCACAATAGGGGAAGGTACTTCATCAACATGATTGCACACATTCCATTTTCTATACATAACCAAAGTATAATATTTAGTGCTAATAAACCTATTCCAGATCTTGCTAATAGTAGGAAATGGAATTTTAAAAAAGGCTTTTAATACAAAGGAAAAACTTTTCCTTTTTTAGGTGTTGCTGTTAGTTTATACGGCCAAATCCTCTCATCTGACATAATCAGGCCTAAGGCAATTAATGGTAAAAGCTGATTAAAGCAGAAAATCCTTTTGAAAACAATACATAAAAAAATACATAAACATAAACAAGACCTTACAACATTTTGAACTCGCAGCTATTGTGGCAAAACATGCCGGTCTACCTGTGATGAGGCACAAATAGTTCTCTGAATAAGGATCTACCCATTGGAATTCCATGTAGACTTTCTTTTACAACTCACTCCAATAACAAGGTCTGATTTCCAGTCTAGTTTCTTTGAAGTCCAGCGGAGCTGAAGATGCTTATGAAGAGTAGAATCCTCTTAGATTTTATAATATTCCCCCTCGCCTTTTATAGTTATCATAACACATTTACATTGACAGAAATGCTTCTGTAGTGACTAATTTTGAGTCTTTTCCAAAATAGTGAACTTTCAAAGAAGCAGTGACCTTTATGTAGTCATATTTAATTAGTTTATGAAATATTTGGTACTATTTCATTAAATTACATAATTCTGATAACCAGTGCAATTGGCATAAAGAGGTTTGTGAGCAAGCACACTGACTCCATAAACCCCAGGTCAACCCCAAGAGCAGGGAGCATGTGTGTCCTGGTTGAGTGTGGGCTTCAGAGGCTGTCGGTGCTCAGCATGCCACAGGATAAGATGTCACACATCTTACATCTATCACATGGGACGATAGGATACAGAAGTTCATAAGACAAGTCAATAACACAGAAGTTGTTTTTAAAAAATCCTGTACCTGAAATATTTGACTACATACTGCAAAGGAGTGAGTTTCCTTAAAAGGAGTTAGCTCATTTGGATTTGGATTGAGCTCATTTTCATGCAAGTCTGCTTTCTGCCACCTTACTATTCCTGGGAAAAAACAATTCATATTCATGTCCCAAATTTCTTGTAGTTATCAACTGTGTTTCAACATTTAACTTCAACACTGTTCAGTACATGTTACGTGCCTGGATTTGTTCTAGATCTGGGATGAGGGTAAGGGGGAAGTTTATCCAAAGTCGTGTCACAGACCTTTCCTTTAGAGAGACATGATTTATACATATGAAATCACTGGGAAAACACGAAGCAGGTAATAAAAAAGCCACGATTTAATATAAGTGCCCATATACATTGTACAGTTACTCAGTGCTACAAGCAGTTGAGAAGCAGAATAGTCAATATTGGCTGGAGGTCCTACAGATCTTACTTTGTTTCCAACAAGATTACCAATCCTCCTGACACCCTGACCTTTCAGTCCCTGAAGTTTGAGTCACCTGAACAATTATTCTTTAGCTGCAGAGTGAGGCAAAGGTTGTTACTCAAGACACTTGCAACCTCACCACCCTCCACACCAAATGAAGTGAAATCACATGGATTTCCCTCCATCTCCAGCCCTGGGTCTCCCCATCCCTGGGTCTCCAATAGGGAAGCAGAGTGAAGGAAGGACCAGAAATAATTTCCTTCACTCCACCCATGAATATGTTTTCGGGTATAGACTAGGACTCAACAGGATGATCTACGCTCTTTTGATTAGAGGATTAAATGAAGACCACACCATACATTAAACAAAAGCAAAATTACTCAGATACTAAAAACTTCTAGGCATAAAGTGAAATTTAGTTCCTTTTTTTTCCTTCTTATGACATTATATTCTTGCCGCAACTTGGCCCATTACCAGGAGGAAACTGGGCTTCCCGCAGCAAGCCATTCTGAACCACAAATATGTTTGCTTGCTTAAGAGCATCTTGCCCTGTATCCACACGTACCCTCATCCTGCACTGACCCAAGATTTTCCTTTTAGTCACCTGATAACAACCTGGAGCCCCAGACTCCACTTGCCCACAGGCATGCCTCACAGAGCCACCAGGAGGCACGTGAAGATCAGGTCAATGTGCTAGAGGCTCACAATGGCACAGTCCCCAGAAGAACCTCATCTACCCCAGCACTGCCAAAAGGCACCTCACCAGCAAGCTGTCTTACCTCACGCTCCAGTCACTAACCAAACAGCAGAGGAAGCTGGAATGAAACAGGCCTTCAAAAATCATTGCTGGAAATTGTTTCACTAAAACTCTAAGAACTCATGATAGGGGCTAGTGCAAACAGACAGCATAACAGTGAATCTTTATTTTATTCCCATAAGTCGCGTCTTTCATCATATGTTTAGTTCCTGAGGGCAGGTGTCACTCACCGATGCAGGCATGGACCCTCACAGACAGCTGCGTCCTTAGGATGATGCTGTGCTTCTTGCCCCGCCTAACGAGACAGGAGACAAAACAGGGGCATCAGAGGAGTCAGCAGAGACACCTCACATGCTGTCAATCCACGTGAAGGTTCTGACATACCCACTTAAGTGGGGATCCAGAGAAGCAGAGACCCACACTGAATAAGAATCTATCCTGAAATAATGTTGACATCACAGGACTTTCACAAAAATAAAATAAAGAAGTCTGACTTTGTTGGTTTGGCACATGCATCTCACTGCCAAGCTCCATCGATTCATTCCATCCACAGAGTCTGCACAAAGTCATGCTTGACCATGTTGGGAAAATTTTAAAATCTGTGTCCATGAAGTGAAATTCCTGGAATGTAACAACACAAATCTGCTTCATCATTCTCATGGCTATTTTTACCTTTTTGTGGGGTTGGGGGCAGATATAGGAAAAGGGAACACATCATGGGGTAATCAGAACTGCTTTACTGTGTATCAATTCAAGACTGTGTTGGCTTTTCTCTTGTACTTTTACAGGAAAATGGGAATCTACAAAAGAAGGCTTACAGACTACTTATTATCAGAAACGTCAATTTACACCACACCACATCTCACCTCTGCTTCCTTCTCACTGCATTTCTCATGAGGAAGGAAAAGGGCAGACCTCCCCAGGTTCCACTCCCACTAGGGCCCATTCTGCTTTATGCAGAGAGGAACCAAAGCACGGAGCAGTTGGTAGAAGGAGATAAAGGGGAGAAAACATGAGTCCTGGCTACCCAACAGGAACAAAGGCTTTGAGGTTTGGAGAAAAGGGGAAGGCAGTGGACAAAGGAAAAGCAGAGCCAGCCAACAGCATGGCAGCAGGTAGTGTGGCAGGGCTCTTGGAAGCGGGATTCCCTGTCCATCCTCACCTCTCTCCACCAGGGCTTAATGTATAACAGAATCTGGCAGTGCTTTCCTGCCTCCTGGTGTGTGGTTGTGTTGGAGAGAAGGGAACAGAGATCTCACCAAGGCACGCTACTAATACTGTGATTATGAATTCACAGTAATGACTACATCAATTACATTTTTTATTCATCTGACCAGGTAAGAGACAGAAGTATGGTTTAAACAATGGTTTGTTGATTCTGATATGATTTGGTTGTGTCTCCACCCAAATATCATCTTGAATTGTAGCTCCCATAATCCCCAAAAGTCATGGGAGGTAACTGAATCACAGGGGCATTCTTGTGATAGTGAATAAGTCTCATGAGATCTGATGGTTTGATAAAGGGCAGTTCCCCTGCACACACTCTCTTGCCTGCCACCATGTAAGATGTGCCTTTGCTCTTCCTTCACCTTCCACCATAATTGTGAGGCCTCCCCAGCAATGAGGAACTGTGAGTCCATTAAACTTCTTTTTCTTTATAAATTACCCAGTCTCGAGTATATCTTTATTAGCAGCATGAGAACAGACTAATATGGATTCTTTTAAAGAAAATAGGAAACCCAGCTGCATAATTGCAAAGCATGCAGTAGCCTCCAGCTGAGCAGCTGCTTCAAGTAGAGTCTGCATTCAGAGTCCCCTCAAAATTCAATGAGCCCCTCCATTTTCCTTTGTTCATTTGTTTTACATTTTTTATATGGAAGCCATTAGTCTCAAGAAGCTTGCAGCCAATACACGATGTCTACAGAAGTTCAAGATTCCTGTGAACACAGATTTCCACAAAAACATATTCTCCACAAAAAACTCTCACTCTCAAAAATCCTGACATGAACACTCCTTCAACTCTTCTGACCAGACCAGAAGAAAGTTTTGATTTAAGTGCACCAAATTGAATTATAGACAGCTTTTTGTTTGACTTGCCAAGAAAGGTTTTCTGGGGTAGCGGGGACAGCAGCTAGGAGCAGAAAATCAGTGAACCCCTGCCAGGGGCCAGGCTCTAACTATTAGAAACAGTAAATCCTAGTCTTCCAATCTCAAGGATTTTCTGTAATTCGCATTACCAGCAGTTATAAGTCAATGGTAAATGTCAAATGAATAGCAGACAAAGAACATGCTATAGATGCCCAGAGAGAGAAAAAGCATGAGCTGGCCAGGGAAGACATTTCAGAATGCCCCCAAGTTCTGGAGAATTTCAGAAAGAGTCCATTGGTTGCCCCTTCTTGTATCTTCAAACAACTGCAAAGTTGCACTTTGAGTGTGTGTTTCCCCACATAATTCTCTAGACCCACAGTGAGCATGTAGGGTGGTCACTCTGGGATTCCAGGCCTCTCAATAAAAACAATGACTGCCAAGACCCAGCAAGCCCACCATCCTGGAGGGGTCATCTTTTCCGGATGCCGAGAAACCAGGCAATTGGTTTGTTAAGCTAAACCCTAATGGAAATTAAGAGAGCATAGAAGAAAAAAAAAAGTCCTATTTTTTTTAGAAGTTTAATCACTTACAATTCCTCTGCTTCAATATTCTAGCTCCTACCTTATCTTCTGCTGTACACAAAATCCTATACATGAAGAAACCTGCATGGAACTGGGAAACAAGGATGGTGGAAGCAGGCTGAGGTGGGGAAGAGGCCCCAGATCCCAGGTTCAGAGTAAAGGAGGGGACCAGCTAAGGAAGAGGCAAGTGGGTGAAGAGTGTGGCCAGATTCAGCCAGGTTCACAACAGGGCATCTGTGACCTCTCACCCTTCCCTACCCCTGCTTCCACCCACCTCTGATGTAGGTACTACTTCTGTGTCCATTTTGCAGATGAGGAAAACAAAGCTTGTAGAAATGGTGTAACTTGCATACAGGGCTGGTGGAAACAGAAGCAGGGTTGAAAGCACAGAATCTGATTCCACGGTCACCTGCACCACCCTGCCTTTCACTGCACAATTGCCTCACTGTATAACCACCTCTAGGGCTTACAAAGGATAAAAAGAGTCCCTGGTTTTTTAGGGAACTGGTGTAACCTCAGTACTAAAACCTAACCAAAAAGACACACTGAAAATCTAAGATGCAAAAATCTAAGAAAATATTGAGAAATCAAATTATGCAATATGTAAAAATAATACAAGACCATATAAGACTCATCCCTTAGAGTTCAAGAATTAGAGTCCAATATAATAGTTTTACATGTATATAACATATATATTATATATACACATATACGTAAGTCTTCTTGACTTCTTAGGAAAACCTTATTTGGTCTTATTGTATTTTCACATATTGCTTGCTCTCTCTCTCTCTCTCTCTCTATATATATGTGTGTGTGTGTGTGTGTGTGTGTGTGTGTGTGTGTGTGTGTGTGTGTGTGTGTGTGTTTAAATAAAATAAAACAAAGGACATCCACCATAAGATCCCTTTAAATTTGGTAGCTTCCCTCCACCACTATATTTTCTAATTAGTTAAAACTGACATATTGGAGAAAGTTTCACTTTTATGTATTTCTTTTACATATGGCCATTTCCCTGCTACCACTGATTCTAAAAATCTTTTTGCTAAGTCCTTTGGCTTCTCTTAGGGAATTAATCATATCTGTTTAAAGACAATCATTTTATCCCTGCCTTTCCAGTAAATACACCCTTTTCTTCCTTCATGGCTAAAACTTTCAAAGGAAAATTAAAGAATCACAGGCATACTCCCTTCCCCACTATGGGACACTATGTCAGTTTCGGCTCAGAAATAATAATAGTTGTTAACATTTATGGAATGCTTATCATGCGCCAGATGAGGTTCTAAGTACTTTTTACAGATTTAGTATTCAGAAAATTTCTATGACGTAGTGATAGGGTTAGGCTTTGTGTCCCCACCCAAATCTCATCTTGACTTGTAATCCCCAGGTGTGAGGGAGGGACCTGGTGGGGGGTGATTGGATCAGGGGGGTGGTTTCCCCCATGCTGTTCTTGTGATAGTGAGTTCTCATAAGATCTGATGGTTTTATAAGGGGCTCTTCCCACTTTGCTTTCTCACTCACTCTCACCTGCCACCTGTAAGATGTGCCTTTGCTTCTCCTTCACCTTCTGCCATGATTCTAAGTTTCCTGAGGCCTCCCCAGCCATGCAGAACTGTGAGTCAATTAAACCTCTTTCCTTTATAAATTACCCAGTCTCAGGTATGTCTTTATAGCAGTGTGAAAATGGACAAATACAGGTAGATAACATTATTGACATTCTAAAGATAAGGAAATCAAGGCCCAGAAAAGTTAAGCAATGGAGCTGAAGTCACACAGCTAGAAAGCGACAGAGCTCAGACTCAACCCAGGCAGTCTGACCCTAGAGTCAGTGCCCCTAACATCTCCACAGAGCTGCCCCCCAGATGTGTGCTCCTCTCATTCATTCCCTCATTCTACTGGTGCCAATATCAGGCAGAAAAGGATGCTAAGCTGCTTACAGTGAATTCACATGGACAACCTCTCAAGATTTGCATCTTTAGACTATTATTTTCTGAACTCATACATACGTATGAGATGTACTCTATGAGATGCACAAAGTATATGGAGCTTTAAGACAGGAATATAGAAATCCTACCTGCATTTCCAGCCTGCTAGCCTGCCCTGAAGATTTCAGATTTGCCAGTCCCCACAACTGCCTGAGCCAATTCCTTAAAAATAAATATTTCTAGATAGATAGATTACATAGATGAGAGAGAGAGAGAGAGAGAATAGGAGCTGGTCCGTTTTCACACTGCTCTAAAGAACTGCCTGAGACTGGCTAATTTATAAGGAAAGAGGTTCAGTTGACTCACAGTTCCACATGGCTGGGGAGGCTCAGGAAATTCACCATCATGGTGGAAGGTAAAGGGAAAGCAGCACCTTCTTCACAAGGTGGCTGGGGAGAAAGCGGTGGGGAGGGATGGGGGGGTGACTGCCAAACACTTTTAAAGCCTAAGATCTCATGAGAATTCACTCACTATCATGAGAACAGCATGGGGGAAACTGCCCCCATGATTCAATCACCTCCCACCAGGTCCCTCCCTCCACACCTGACGATCACAATTTGAGACAAGGTTTGGTTGGGGACACAGAGCCAATCCATATCAGATAGATAGATATTCTCTTGGTTCTGTGTCTCTGGAGAACCCTGACTAATACAAAATTTGATATCTGCCTTCATAGGGCTTCCACATACCAAAGAGAGGCTGTCAGTATGTATTTACTGTAAGCACCTTAGCCATCCTTTTCTCCCTGATACCAGCATTCTGGGTTAGTTTTGCAGCTGCCACTCCTTTTGAGTCTGTGTTTTTGCAGCAAGATGAAGTGGAATGCGCCAAGTACCCAGAATCCAGTGACCCAGAAGGCAACGCGGCTCAGCTTGACCTTAATCTCCCCAGGGAGACTCGGATTCCTTTCCTATCAGCACAGCCACTGCCAGGGACACATCACCAGCTTCTGAACAGCCACTCTTTGGAGCAGGCAGCCACAACCAATGGGCTGCTCACAACCAAGGCCAAGGCCAAGGCTACCCAAGTGCCAAGGGGACTATCTAAAATAGATAAGCAACTCAAGGAAACCCCTATGGAGGCACACGCACCAGGGACACAACGGCACTACCGCTAAAAGAACTTTCTGAAACATCCTGCCTTCTCAGAATACACAGACTTCTGTTACAGTAATATCAGTGGCCTTGGGAAAAGTCTGGTTTAACCAACTAAGGTTCACAGAAACCTGCATGTTTCAGTTCTGACCCTGTGTCTCAAGGGAGCCTTTTTACAAGAGTAACATATAAAGCCCTTTGTGACTATAAGAACAAGTGCTTACATTATTTAATTGAGTGGTATAGAGACAGAAGCTTGATGACTTTCTCCAGCAACCAACAGTGAAATCAATGCTCCCAAGTACTCCTCCACTTAAATTAGAAGAAATAAACTATAGTTTCAGTCAAGGATAGAAACAGATGTTTCACCATCTGGCAAAAGTAGGGACAAGGGCCCCCTCAACAGTTGCCCCAGGAGTAAAAAGCTCTTAGTAAGCTTCTGGAGCTGTGGGGCTCAACTGGCACTCCATCTCAGGGATAAAGAGATGGAGGAGGATTTGAACCAGTCATCAGCTAGTAAAAGGACAGTGCTAGCTAAGATTAACTTGCCCAGAAGCTCAAAGTTTAAGCAAGAGAGGCAGTTGCCACTACATTAATCTCCGGGTGTGTTCTCTTCTCCCCTGGCAGACTGTAGAGGTAGAAAAACATCGACTCTGAAGCCAGCTGTGTGATCTTGGACAAGTTACTTAACCTCTCTGAGCCTTGGCTTTATTGTCTGTAAAATAAGATAATGTCTACCTTCTCCTGAGGGTGTGAGAATTCAATCAATCAATGCAAGTAACATGCTGTGGACATGGCTGGCATGTGATAAATGCTGAATAATGTTAGGTAATACCCTTGTTGATATTACTGTTCTTTCAGCCACTTTCTCTCCCTCGTTCCATTTGTCTTAATGTCTGAATATTCTCACTTTCTGTATGTCTCTTGCTTCATTTTTGTCTGCCTCTTCTCATTCCTCCCACCTCTCTCCTCATCATACCTTTTTCTCGTTCTCTCTTCACTGCCCATTCAAGAATCGACAATAATAATCCATTTGTTACTATTTGATGCTTTTTCCTGTTCTTCATTAAAGTTCCCATGATGTAGCATTTTAATTTTCTCAAGGGACTATACTAATGTCTGTGCCTCCTGTGTGTGCAACTCTAAGTGCGTCAGCCTCTGAGGAATGAGTCATCTACTTTAACTGGAAGGTGTGAGGAGTCCGAGACACACAGGGGACCCAGGTGGAAGCACCCTGGGCAACATGTGCTACAACCAAAGTGTGAAGTTTGTGCACTTGGGGAAAAGGGACCTACCAAAACAGGTCAACTCTCTAGATACCTTCTCAGAGAGGCCAGTCTGGTTCTCTCATCTTCCAGTTTCCTTCACCCTCACTTCAACAAGACATGAGGCAGACGGAATGAACTTTCTCAGTCAACTTCCGCTCAGCTAGTGTCCTCTCATCACAGAAGCTGGAATTTCTCCCCACACCTAGCCCGGCCGTCACCAGCTCAGTGTCTCTCTTCCATAGTCATTCCCTTACACGTTTTTTGTAAGCTTTAATGAGGTATAATTTAGGTACCATAAAACCCACCTGTTTTATGGATATAATCCACTGATTATTAGTATCTTCATAGAGTTATACAGTCATTACAATCTAACTTTTTTAACTTTTTCATCAATGCAAAAACACCCCCAAACCTTCATACCCATCTGCAATCGCTCTGTGTCCCCACACTCAGCAAGAGGCAACCACCAATCTACTCTGTCCCTCTAGAGATGTGTCTTTTCTGGCCATCTCATACAAATGAAATTAAACAGTACTTCACCTTTTGTGTCTGGCTTCTTTCACATGGCCTGTCTTCCAGGTCATCAGATATCAGATATATGATTTACAAACATTTTCTCCCATTCTGTGGCTTGTGTTTTCACTTTACCAATTATGTCTTTTGGGGATGCAAAAGGCTTTAATTTTTATGAAGTCCAAACTATTTTTTTCTCTTGTCACTTATGCTTTTGTCATATCTAAGACATGGAAAGCACATGTGGCAAGAACCATGACTGCCTAACCCAGTCATGGAGACTTGCTCCTGTTTTCCTCTGGGAGTTTCATTGTTTTGGCCCTTACACTTAGGACTATGGTCTGTTTTCAGTTCATCTTTGTGTCTGGTATGAGGTCCTTGACATCTTGATTAGCTCATTCTCTTGTCTTCCACCCTCACGTACCCTGTGATGGGACACAGCCCTTGTTCAAGCTGTTCACAGATTTCAGCTCCTGGGAAATCCTGCTGGCTCTCTTCACAGCCCCCAGTCTCTCCTTGCCAGCCTCTGCCCCCACCACCCTTCTGCTTTCTCCCCCTTCAGACACCCTAAATCTCCTGCTCACCACTCCCAGCCTTGCCTTGCTCCTCTCACAACTTGCCTTTGTGGCACAGTGTCCTCAACCGCCCATTCTTTGAAATGTCCTCTCTTCTTGCGGAGGCAGATGCTGCTGGTTACCCACTCAATACCCATTTCCCTTTCTGCCTTATAATGGGAATCCAATTGTGTTTGGAGTGACAATGTATATTCCACAATGTGGCACTCTACAATGTGGCACAGTTCTCATCAGTGAACTATAGATGGAAGTCACTGGTGGAGCTTCTGGAAAGCTCTTTAAAAGCAGCACACCCAGCCAGCACCAATACTGCTCTTCACTCTCCTCAACTAAGGCAGGGACCACTGGCTGTCACCTAATATTCATAGTGATAGCAGGAGAAGGTTAGCTGGATACAGCCCACTATTCACTGTGCCCTCGAGCGTCTGGCCAAAATCATATGAGTGAAAGCTATGTGCACACAGAAATGGGCGTGCACTCCCTTCGTCCCTTTCCTTCTTTCTAGGGGCTGAGATACAGATGAGATGGTAAGAGTGGAAGGAGCCACCTAGACCCAGAGATGGAATCCTTGCGGTCAGGATGCTATAGCTATTTTACAGTTCCAAAGAGGATTGCCTATATTTGGAATCTTATACAAGAAAAAAACTTTTATTTTATTTAAACTGCCACATTGGGAGATTTCTTGGTTGCAACAGAGAAGACTGCATCCTAACCAATACATGCCTCCCTGTCTTGATATGACAAGGGTGTGGGGCAGCTGCATTGTAACTATGATGAAACACGAAAGACAAAAGCCAGATCCTAAGGATGGTAGGGCATAAAGATAAAACAAGCCCAGGTTCCTAAGAGTATCATGGAATCAACATATTGTACTTGAAACTGTATAATTATCCACTGATTTTCTTAGAGTGGCTTTTGTTTTATAGAAAAATTTCATAGAAAGTAGAGCATGTTCTCATATATCCACACTGCCCCTCCCCACCCACCCATTTCTCCTATTAACATCTTGCATTAGTGTGCAAGATGTTAATCTGTTACAACAGATTAACTGATATTGACACATTATTAACAAGTCCATAGTTTTACTTTATAATTCACTGTGTTGAACAGTTCTATGAGTTCTCACAAATACATAACGTTCTGGATCCAACATTACAATAAAATACAGAGCAGTGACACTGCCCTAAAGATCCCCTGTGCTCCACCTGTTCATCCCTCCCTACCCATCTCCCAATCTCAACTCCCACTCCGGCAACAGATCTTTTCACTGTCTCCATAGCTTTTTGCCTTTCTCGGAATGTCATAATTTGGACTCACAGTATGTAGCTTTTTCAGACTGGTTTAACTTCACAATGTGCATTTAAGGTTCCCCCATGTCTTTTCTAGCTTGATCACTCATTTCTTTTTATTGCTAAATAAAAAATATTTCATGGTATGGACAAATACTATGGTTTGTTTACCCATTCAACTACAGAAGGACATCTTGTTTCCAAATTTTGGCAATTATGAAAAAAGCTGCTGTGAAAATACGTGCAGGCTTTTCCATGGACATAAGTTTTCAACTCATTTGGGTAAATACCCAGAAGCACGATTGCCAAATTGTATGGTAAGCCTACATTTAGCTTTGTAAGAAACTACCAGACTGTCTTCCAAAGTGGCCGTGTCATTTTGCATTCCCACCAGCAATGAATGAGTGTTCCTGTTGCTCCACATCTTTGCCAGCATTTGATGATATCCGTGTTTTTTTATTTTAGCCATTCTAAGGGGTGTGTAGTGGTATCTCATTTTTTTAAATGTACATTTTACATTATATTGACATGTAATGTTGGATATCTTTCTATATGCTTATTTACCATCTGAATGTCTTCTTTAGTGACATATCTGTTCAGATCTTTTGCCCATTTTTTAATCAGGTTGTTTTCTTATTAAATTTTAAGAGTGCTTTGTATATTTTGGATACTTGTACTCCATCAGATACGTTTTGCAAATATTTTCTCCCAGTCTGTGGCTTGTCTTTTCATTGTCTTAATATCCACTTTTTTTCCATGATAAAAATATAGTCAAAAATTTTAAGCCACTGTTATCTGGGTTCTTTGCCACATGCAGCTAAACCTGAGTCTCTTACTGATGGACAACACCTGGGTTATGGTTTCAATGGATCATCTGGGTGCTGCCACCTGGGTGACTGCTAACTTTCATTTTCCCTACAGCCAGGGACTGGTCCTCTCCTCACCTGCATCCTATGGCTGGCCCTCCAGGACACGACCTCCAGACTCTGTAGCTCCCTCCAAGGAATCACCCCTAGCCTCTCCAGTATTCCAGCCTTCTCACCTGGGTCCCCAGCCAACATTTCTCACTAGCCACCCCACACCTTGTGTGTGGCTTGCCATAACCTCAGACTAACAGGTATAAACCCCTCCTCCCCTTTTCAAAATTGCCTCCACTGTATCACCTCACTATTTCCCTAACTAGTCCACCATTCTGTGCACTATTCCCCTAATGCCACATGTCCATTCCATTCTCTTGTGTCCCTCTACACGAGCTGGCACCATGGCTCCAGATTCCCAGCCCCCTCCCTCCCCAACCCTGGGTGAGGCCCCAATCCACTCACCTTCCTCGGCTACCAGGTTTAGGTTCATTAGGCCACTCCCTGCTTGTCCCCCCAGGGGGTTACATCTGATCAAGGCCTCCCACTCCAAGTTCTTCCCACTCACCCCCACATAGCCCCCTCATCACTTAAGGAGTTCTGTGGGGGCTCTCTTTGCAGGTCATTTTTCTTCTGTCTGACTCCAACCCACATACCTACCTGATGTCATCTTTACCCTCATACATCCTTGCATTTAAAGGCATTTAGAACCTTTGATTCCAGTGTCCATTCAGCATGGGAGTTACTTCATTCTTGCCTGACTTACTGCAGCCTTTTCAGGAATGCCGTCTTTCTCACGCAGTGGTTCTCAACTTTGACTGCACACTGAAATCACCTGGAAGCTTTGAAAATCACCTCTGCCTGGGCCCACCCCTGAGTTCTGATTTCATGAGCCTGAGGCTGGGCGTGGCAGGGAAGGTTCTAAAGTTCTTCAGGGGGTGGCAATATTCTCCAAGACTGAGAGCCTACGCTGCAGGTTCCCAAACAAACATCTAACCACCTGGACAGCATTTTTCTTTTTTTTTCTTTTTTTTTTTTTTTTGAGACGGAGTCTTGCTGTGTCAGCCAGGCTGGAGTACAGTTGCGTGATCTAGGCTCACTGCAACCTCTACCTCCTGGGTTCAAGCAATTCTCCTGCCTCAGCCTCCCGAGTAGCTGGGACTACAAGCACGTGCCACCACGCCCAGCTAATTTTTTGTATTTTTAGTAGAGACAGCGTTTCCCATGTTGGCCAGGCTGGTAGCGAACTCCTAACCTCAAGTAATCCACCCACCTTGGCCTCCCAAAGTGCTGGGATTACAAGCGTGAGCCACCATGCCCAGCCTGGACAGCTTTTTTTAAAAAAGCAAGATTCTGAACCTCACTCCAAACCTTCTGAAGCCAGAACCTAGAGATCAGCAGTTCTGGCACCTGGAACTGGTGTGCAGGGCCTCTGGGCTACCCACTCAACCCAGCTGAACTCACCCCTAATGGCTCCTTTGGTTTTAAAGGGCCAGTTTTCTCCCCCACTGAGAGCAGGGGCAGAACTTGATGGCCTCCACTTTGAGCCTTGCATAGCACTATGAAGACAGGAGCTTGAACCTGTCACTGATTAGCCACAAGGCTTCAGCCAACACACCTGCACCCTCCACTCAGGATAACTACCTTAAGAGGAAAAAAAAAATCAGGGAACGTCTACCTTTCTTCCCTTCTGCACCCTCATCAGAATCTCTCTCTTAACATGGGGGTTTCGTTGGTTTCTTGTTTCGGTTTGGTTTTTTAGGTTCAGTAGATTTTTAGACTTATGTTCAAAATCTATTCTGTGATTTCCCATTCCACCAGTCTAAAATGCAGAGGAAACCTGGACAAATGTGTGAATGGGTGAGGTTAATTTTTGTATTATATCATAAGAAGAAGAAATTGCTTTCATTCCTTCAAACCTGATATTTTGAGAGGCAAAGACCTCTTTGAGAATCCAATGAAGGCTTTGAAATACCTCCCCACCAAAATCCCACAAACCCACAAACTGTACAGAAACCTCAGAGGTTCATGGGCCTCAGGGCCCATGATCTGCAGGCTGAGAAGTGAGGTGTCCAAGAATAACAGCAGAGCCAGTCCCAAATCCCCAGGTTCCCCTAAACAGGTCCAGCACAAAGCTGGCAGGACCCATGTACCCCTGCAGATGGGACTCTGCATGGCCCTTCTTAACCTTTCCCAGATGCACATCCAGCCATGATTTCTAAGCCACCAGCCTCACATAGACACATGGGCCCAGGGTTGGAGGACTACCAGCCCCCTTGGCAAATGAGAGAAAGTGAACAGCATGACACAGCCAGTAAGCAGCAGCTATCTTCACAGCCAACCCTGTGGCACAGGCCTGAAGGGAGTCATGCCAAGGAAAAGGTGAACGCCCCAAGTTACCTGAAGTTAGGAGCACCTGTGAATGTGTATGCCATGTCCAGCCACCACACTGGTCCTCATGATGTCCCTGAAACATCATGGTTCTCAGGTCCACTCTTGGCTCAAGCCACACTCCCACCTGGCTGCACCTTCCAAATACCCAAAGCCACCATATCCTCCAGGGCTTGCCTAAAAGCCCACCTTCTCCATGACAGTGCCCTGTGGACCCAGGCTGGCATTGGTTTCCTTTCAGAGACACTGAGGGTAGCAACAGGCAAAAGAGTGGAGGTTCTGGCCCAGCTCAGCCCTGTGGGCAAACCTCCATCGAGGTCTCTTAACTAAAAGTTGAGATCTCAGGGCACCTGACCTGCATAGAATCCTCTGGGTCTAAATTCCAGTGGTTCCCATTTCAATGTATCATCTTTCCAGAATTGGACTGTAATTATAACAGAGGCTAACAGTTTTGAGTGTGTATTATGTA
The DNA here is from genome assembly GCF_000001405.40 of Homo sapiens. Lineage (NCBI taxonomy): Eukaryota > Metazoa > Chordata > Mammalia > Primates > Hominidae > Homo > Homo sapiens. Next base: position 36,359,867 of record NC_000018.10, on the reverse strand, counting down.
TCAGGAACTAGTTAACGTTTTAGATACATTATCATATTTTACTTCGAAACAACCCAAAGAGGCAGTATTATGATAATATTGCCCCCAATTATAAGGAAACTGAGGTTCAGAGAGGTGAAGTTACATCCCCAGGGTCAAACAGCCATGAGACTAATGGTAAAGCCTGTGTCCCTAACCATTATGCTACACTGCTCTCCTCAGGTGCCAGAGACCCCATCAGGACCCCTCTTCATACAGGAAGATAAATGGGATTGGGCCATATTTTCCTTATTCTGTAAATAAATGTTACAAGTGTCCTCATTTTATGAACTCCTATCAGAGGTAAAGTGGCTTGCCCAAGGCCACACAATGACAACGTCAGGAAAAATAACCTGTAGGCTGCAGGCTTCTCTGTCTGCTGCACCAGGTCATGCTTGCTAATTTCCCTGGCCTCAGAAGGTGATGAACAGACCTGGCTCTATTTTCTTAGCATAATAATTGCTTTGTCCTTCTACTTTTGAAGGTCTTTCTCCTCTTCTCTGACTAGCTAGAGCCTGAGTGATAATTCTAAACAAGAAGTTAATTTTTAGTCTTGGCATAAAAGTGCAGGGTAATGGACAAGAACAAAGAAGCAAAATCCTCCAGCAAGGAAACTCAGAACACATGGTATGAAAAACATCACAATTTTCACACAGACTCATACATCTTCATTAGATGGCCACAATATTAGCAGACATTTTGCTATAACTGACACAAAGAAATCAAGAGAAAAAAATGGTATTTGCCATTTTCATACCTCCAAAGGGCAAATCTTAACTGGGAAGCAATTATATTTTAACTCCCACTCATGGGAGACACACAGACTTTGTCAAATGCCACACATCTAGGAGAGAACCTAAAAAGTCTATTTCAAAGATACAAACCCTCACTCTAGGGTGATTTGGGGGCACACTTGTCAAATGTGTAGCTATGCATGCCTATAATTCCAACACTTTGAGAGGCTAAGACAGGAGGATTGTTTTGAGTCCAGGAGTTCCAGACCAGCCTGGGCAACATAAGGAGACCCCGTCTCTACAAAAAAATACAAAAATTAGCCAGAGCAGGAGAATCATTTGAGCCTGAGAGATGGAGGCTATAGTGAGCTGTGATTGCACCACTGCACTCCAGCCTGGGTGACAAAGAAAGACCCTATCAAAAATAATTAAAAATTTAAATTTTTCTAAAAAAAATTTTAAATGTGTAGCTATTCAATATCTTTTGGGCTACCTTCCTCTGTAGTTTCCCAAGTCTTGAGTCCCACCTTCTCATCTTGCCATAATTCATTTTCCCAGCAACCCTAGCTACTAGAGTATAGAAATGGGATTCAACCTCTACCTATTGGATGGACTCATGGCCAAGTGATGATTCAGAAGGGAACAAAGTGAGAATACAAGAACCAGGATCTACTCTGGGGAGTTTATAGCAGGATGCCCTGGCTCTTTGGGAACAGCTGTGGAGGAAGTGCCAGCATCTGGAGACAGGTGTCGCCCAGGTGAACTGTAGTGTCAGTGATGGATGATGGCAGCAAAGCTGTTTCAACTGGAGACAGTGTTTTAGACCAGGACCAATTGTCCTTGCAGGAACCAACCTCATGCCACCAAAGGTGCCAATGTACATGCTGCATAGAACCTAAAGTACCTTTGCCCAGAAGCCCCTGGGATGGCAGAAGAGCACAGTCTTGGGAATTGGTCACATCTGTGTTCAAACTTGGCTTTGCCACCCCAGACATGTAATTTAACTTCTGACCCTTGGTTGTCTCAGATGAAAAATTGAGACAATAAAATCCAATTACATGACTAGTATGATAATTAATTATTAAAGATCTTGTGAATAGGGAGCCTAATATAGTACCTGGCACAGTAGCTGATCCAAAAATATTATTCTTCTCCCACACCCTTTATTCTTATTGCTTTTATCAATATATTAGCACTTTTTTTCTGAGCTGTCATCTCCAAATCATTCAAGTTTTGATAAGAAAGAAGAAAACAAAAACGAGGACAAGGTCCTCAAGCACAACACCACTAGAGACATTTTTCAAGCTGACAATGATCTACTCATAACATTCCCGGGGTCTGTTTGATCAATGAGCCATGAAGTCATCCAATTAGACTATCATCTAGCCTGCATTCTGACAACTTATATGAAAGGATGTCACTGTCAAATACTTGATAAAAACTATTGCAATGGAACATCCCCAAGTCTATCAGCCTAATAGTGTTAATTTTAAAAATAGCAATAAGTAGAATCTGGTGTGACTTAAGATACCACTCCCATATGCACAGCCTAGAGTGGTTTCCAGGATCCTTTCTCACATACTATTGGTGTGCCCTTACTACCACTCTGGAGACAAGAAGGGTATCCTCAGAGCATCTTGCTGAATCTTAACAAGGACCTTGGTCTTCTTGGTGCGCATGGCCATGCTATTCAGGAATCCATTCTGGCAATGCGCCATTCACCTGGACACTAGTATTCGCTAAGTGCCTGAAACATGCTGAGAAAATGCCAAATCCTGGACATTCAGACAGGCATGGTTCTGACCTAGTAAAGTGTTAGCCGCAGAGAAGAGGTGCAACTAGCAGCACAATCAATGATCATAAATTGTGAAGGGTGTTAAAACAGGGGAAACCCAGGAAGCCATCAGTACATACTGAAGTCAAATAGCTATATGAAACTAAGAAGGTTCCAATTTTTCTCCATTAATTGAGCTATTCATGAAAAATGAGAATTCCCAGATAGTATTCAGTGGACCATATTTTTAACTCGGGCAAAGTGGTTTCAAACAACTTTTGGGGGCTCCTGGACAACAGATTAAGATAGCTGAGCATTATTTGGAAAGTATCAGGGAAACTCTTAAGTTTCCTGAAGAGGAGGGTGATGAAATCAGAGATATACTTAGTTCGAGATGGATAAGAAGTAGGCTGGGTATGGTGACTCACGCCTGTAATCCCAGCACTTAGGGAGGCTGAGGGTGAATTGCTTGAGTTCAGCAGTTCAAGACCAGCCTGGGCAACATGACAAAACCCCATCTCTACTAAAAAATACAAAAATTAGCAGGGCGTGGTGGCACACGCCTGTAGTCCCAGCTACTCGGGAGTCTGAGGCAGGAGAATTGCTGGAACCTGGGAGACAGAGGTTGCAGTGAGCCGAGATCACACCACTACACTCCAGCCTGGGTGACAGAGCGAGATTCCGTCTCAAAAATAACATATATATATATATAAAATTAGCTGGGCACAGTGGCACATGTCTGTAGTCCCAGCTACTCGAGAGGCTGCAGTGAGCCGAGATCACGCCACTGCACTCCAGCCTGGGCAACTGGAGTGAGACTCTGTCTCAAAAAATAAATAAATAAATAAAAATCAGAAGGAAAAAGGTGGGGCCCCATCAGGGGCTATTTCAGTAATCTAATAAATATAAGAATGGCTGCTGATATGGGTATATTCCTAGAGAGGTTTCACTTTCTGTGCACATCTCTGATTTTTTATGTGCATATTACTTTATTCAGACTCACAGTATTTCTTTATTCAGCAAAAGTATTAAGCAATTCTAGGTATAGGCAAAAAGTAAGTTGACATTAACATAATTAATAATTATTTTTTCCACAGTAATGAGTTTAAAAGATGATACCGTATAAAACTATCTACTATAGCATCTGCTAAGAAACTATCCAGTAAATTATCATTGAATACAATATCTAAAATAGTTGCAAATCCACTAAAATCTGGAAAATATCCATTTATTTATTCACTTTTAGAGACAAGGTCTTGCCCTTTTATCCAAGCTGGAGTGCAGTGGCACAATCATGACTTACTGCAGCCTCGGCCTCCCAGACTCAAGCGATCCTCCCACCTCAGCCTCCCGAGTAGCTGGGACTACAGGTGTGAGCCACCACAGCTGGCTGGAAAATATCGATTTAATTGTGACATATGATTTTAAAATAACTTAGCATATAAATACCATGTGCTTGATTACCACAAATGTTCCTAGGAAAGGCTACTCCCGAGCACCCATCAAGAAAAGTTACTCAAAATGGAAACGGGTCTGCAGTCACCACTGATGAGTCACTTGCATCTCCCTCGTGTGTGATTGAGAATTAAGAGAAGGTCAAAGCCATGGTAGTTCCTCCTAAATACTTTAAGGCCTCAATGTACCCCCATTTCCTGGTAGGTGGGGACCAGTCAGCAGGGTGAACAGTTGCTCTTACCCGGCGTCATCCTGGAAGCCTTCCAACTCATCCCGCTGCTCTGCCAGGGTGGCCTCCAAATCCAGGTAGGCGCCATTGTGAGAGAGCTGCAGAGTACAGTCATCCAGCTGCAAGAGAAAGAGCCTGTTATACCCAACCTGCTCCTCAGATGGAGACTACATATGGAGAAATCACATCATGTTGCCCTCCTGTGTTTTGTAAAATCAAGCAATGTTCTGAAATGTGGATCATAACTTGAAGAGCTAGTATGTTAGTGCAAATAGATCGGGAACAATCTGTGTACCAAGTGGATGGATGAGGCATCTCTTAACAGAGTGACATCGACAGCATCCTCTGGGCCCTAAGCCACTGAAGGAGCCCTTTGGGCACTGGGCCAGCGCTTTTTTCCACTCTCAGGGGCACAGATGAGACCTGGCATTTCAAGAGTGGAAATCGAGATCACGATGCTGCTGTGACCATGGATTGAGTCACAGGGCTTAAAAGGCAAATTTGGTGGGGAAAATATGCTGTTTCCTTTGATTCAGTGAGGAGCCTACTGATTCAGATTCTATGGTCATACTCTGCACATTACAAATAATGTTGCTCAATAAAGTATTTTTACAATTGAACTGAAACATCCTCCAACTGAATGGCAATATACCCAAATTACAACATAGCACACAGGAAATTAAGTCTCTCTTGCTCTGTCACCCAGGCTGGAGTGCAGTTGCTCGATCTCAGCTCACTGCAACCTCCACCTCCCGGGTTCAAGTGATTCTCCTGCCCCAGCCTCCCGAGTAGCTGGGATTATAGGCATGCACACTGATCTCATTTTTAAAAATTTTTATTTTTTTTTTTTTGGCGACAGAGTCTCGCTCTGTCACCCAGGCTAGAGTGCAGTGGCATGATCTCGGCTCACTGCAACCTCTGCCTCCCGGGTTCAAGCAATTCTTCTGCCTCAGCTTCCCAAGTAGCTGGGATTACAGGCACCCACCACCATGCCTAGCCAATTTTGTTTTGTATTTTTAGTAGAGATGGGGTTTTGCCATTTTGGCCAGCCTGGTCTCGAACTCCTGACCTCAGGTGATCCACCCGCCTCGGCCTCCCAAAGTGCTGGAATTACAGGCGTGAGCCACCACACCCAGCCAAAAATTTTGTTTAACAAACATTTATATGTTGTTCATTATATTCTGGGCACTGTTCTAAACATTTGTACATGGGAAGTCAGTTGATTCTCTCACAAACTCTGTAAAATGAGTCCTCTGTAAAATGAGGACTCTGTAAAATGAGTCCTCCTCATTTTACAGATGAGGACTGTGAGGCACAAAGAGAGGCTATGTTACTTGCCCAATTCACCGTCTAGTAAATGGTGGAGCTGGAATTTGGATACCAGCAGTTTGATTTGAGGACATGGTCTCAACCACTACACTCTGCATCCTCTCTACAGCCCAAGACACACACAGAACTTGAAAATTTTGTCACGGTGCAAAATGCAGCTTGTATCAACTGAGTGTTCTGGTGTGACTGAGCAAATGTGTTTGCCAACACCATTCCCTTTTCTCCCCAGGCACACAGTCTTGCCTTAGAGTTGGGCTCTGGCTGCATAACTGAGTATTGATCAGCAGAATGTGGGTGAAAGTGAAGAAGGCCCCCAACAGGCTTGGCCATAACACCTCTGCACAACTGTCCACTTTTCTTTTCTTGCCTATGGCCAGATGCAGAGGAGCCAGAGGAGACCTTGAAACCTAGAAAAAAGCAGAGCCCCAAATGCAAGGAGCTTGGGTTCCTGAGTCACTGCATGGAAGAGAGCACTTTGCTGCCCAGATCCACTGACCCATCCTGGACTGTGACAGCATCAAGAAACGAGCCTTTGCTGTGCTAACTCATTAAGGTTTTGTGGTTGCTACAGGTAGCAGTTAGCATTATATTACATATAGAATGATTACTCTTAAAATAGAGAAAAATAATTTTACCAAAGAAGATTGAGATTAATATTATGAGGAAATCTAAACTTATACCCTCATGCTTGATTTCTTGAGCTGTAAGAGTGACTCAATTCATCTTCTTGCTGAGTTAGGCTATTATTCCAAAATGAAAGCTAGGGGAAAAGTGGAGACAAATATGTGGTTACTTTAAAACATCTAGATGAATGCTTGATAATCTGCTATAAGTGAGATTTCAAATAAGGGATTAGTTTTTGTTTTGATAGGAAAGTTTTGCTATTATCCTCAACAAGAGAAATGCAAACTGTCATCTTGTTTAGAAGCAGCATCTATAACAGGCTGTTAATTCTTGTTAGAAACCCCACAGTTCCTTGTTTCTGGTTATCCACAACAGAATGAAAGGAATTTCTTCTTTATTACTTGTGAGAAATACCTAGTTAAGTCATTTGAAGGGGTTAATCCTATTTGATTCACTTGTTTTATTTCTCTAATAGCAGACCATACCTCATAATTACTAAAGGCTTGATGGTGAATTTCAGCATTCTTGAGCAGCATCCTATAGATGGATCATCTGATTTGAGAAAGCATTTACTACAAACTGGCCAACCTGTCTGTACTGTAGTGTCAAAGGTGTGCCCAGGGTTTTGGGGAAACACACAGGAGCTGCCTCCCCTACTCTATGGAAGCAGCAGGCAGGAAGAGTTCCTGCAGAAGGTGTCTCCTGAGCCAACCATCACCAGTGGACTGAAATCAGACTTTATCTTTCCAGGTGGAAAATTCCAATGGAAATTGGACCTGTTGACACGTACAGTGGACCATGTGTCTGGTTGTAATCATTGGCAGCTCATTCTTGCTTTAATTTCTACTGCTGTTATTAACTAAGAAAGCTGATTTAGTGTGTTCAGCTGATAGTATCAACACTTTGCCTATTTTTAATCCCACATATAATCAACAGACTGAAAGATGGAATGACAAAACCTCTTTAAGCCATCACAATGTCCTTTTCCTCAACCCCTGGAAACACATGAGCCTAAAGAGAGAAGCACTGGGATAAGGAGTTTCTACTTCTCCTCAAGGAGGTCTGAGTCATTCAGAGCCTGTGATCCACACTCAGCCAGAGGGAGAGAACGAAGAGCAAGTAGCGCTGTCTGGAGAGAAGCCAAGCATACACATGAATGTGGCATAAATACTCCCACCAGAGCCTGTTTCAAGCCACCAATGCACAGTCGCTGAGCATGGGGTTAGAAAGAGGTGTGCAGCAGCTCACCAGTATACAGCATTTCTACCACACAGATCTGTAAGACCTAAATAACCTGGAGAGCAGAGGTAGCAGAATGGAGTAAAATAATTAGGAAGTGACACACTGTGAATGTCTATAACCTTTGTTTTTAATATAATCTGCTCAATTGTGAGTTTCTATAATTCTTATTTATTTTAAATTTCTTTTATTTTTATTTACTATTATTACTATTTTTTTGTAGCAGGGGGGTCTCACTGTTGCGCAGGCTGGTCTTGAACTCCTGGCATCAAGCAATCCTCCCACCCCGGCCTCCCAAAATGTGAAGATTACAGATGTGAACCATTGTGCCTAGCCAATTTAATTTTTAGTAATAGCTACATTTGAAAAGTGGCTCACGAAATTCCTGAGAATTTGACAATCAGTCTTGCAGGTCACCCAGGCCAGCACTAGCACATACTGCTCTTGGCCATTCAGTTGAGGTACCTAAAGCAGGGATAACAGAGATGAAAAGACTGACAGACCCTTACCCAGGCTTATCAGTCTCCACCAGCCCTGCCTAAGCCCTGTGCTCTTCTTAGACTGGAAGGAGGTGGGAATGTACTAGTGGCCAGCAGATGTAGCCCCATCTGGGCTATTTTGCATATCATTTCCATCTCGCATCTTCAGATTTTATTCCCAGTAGCCCAAGACAAATATCTCACTTTTCTGGACACTCACCCTGGCCTGCCAGGTATCTGCCTCAAGGCGCTTTGTGCCAGCCCCAAACTGTAACAGGAAGCCCCATAATCTCCCTAGCCTCTGACAGCAGAATCCCCAAACCTTAGCACAATGGCCTGTTCTCACCATTCCTCTTCTCACATTCTGGACAGCATAACTACTACCATTTCCACAGTTCAATTTTAACAAAATTATATGTCAGGCACAGGCAGGGCACCAAGGAACACATAATCACTTCCTTCCCTCAAAGAGATCGTTTAAGTATAACACACAAATCAAACACAGAAAAGAATAAAACACCATCTAAATCAACTGTCAAAATGGGTGGACGTTCATCCTCAGTTATATCCCTTCTGCTATCGTTAGCAGAGACCTAAGCATCCTCCATGGAACTGCCCGAGTCCCCCCTCCAGGATAGAGGCTGCCATTACCTCCTACGCCAGATGTCACAACCCGGATCCCTAATAAATGGGTGGGCAGGCCCATCCCATTTGTGCTAGTGAGTCCCTCAACTGAAAAAGAAAATAATTTGCATCTCTTTATCTCTCAGGAACTTCATGTGGAGTCCTCACAGCGGGGCTATAGGAAGAGGGGCTGCCCTTTGGGAGACAGGACATGTGTGTGCAAAGGGGATCCTAACAACACAGGGGCTGTGAAGACAGCAAACGAGTCAACACACACCACCCGAGCCATCCACCACACAAACCCCAGCCCATCATTACACCCGAGACACAGGAGATTAATATTTAAACCATCACATGAGCCAAGGAGGAAGAACACAGTGCTTCTTGGCTGGACCAATATGTTGAAAACAGCAAAAGTCCCTAAATATGTGGGGATGGGGTCATGTTTAGTTATTATTTTAATAAGCAAATTAATAGGTACACTAAATGAATTCCTCAATCTTGTCAGTGATAAAGAAGTAACAGTCATAAACTTTCCGAAGAACTAAAAACAATATGAATAGACAGTGAGTGGTGATTAATTCAAATCCAGTTATTACACAGATTTAGACAGATATATCAAAACTTTCCCTACAGAGCGAAAAACTCAGACACCTCCCTGCCAGACCAGTCCCCACCGGGGAATCTCAATTCTTACTTACACGGAGGCAACCTGATCCCATTCCTTGGCCTTTCCTGTCAAATGTCTTCCCAAGTGACTTAAGGGACCTGGAATTTCCTGACTCTGACAATTTTCATATCAACCCTGATCCCCTGGCAGCATGTCCCCTGCAGTCCTTTCTTGGCTCTAGGTTTGGTGGCCAGGACATTGCCAGGCACTTCAGGACATAAGACAAAGCCAGGAGCCATGGGGGAAGATAACATTACAGGGCTATTACAGAAGTACAGCGATTAAGGAAATTTAGGGGCAGTGACAGCGGTGCAACAGGAAGACTTCAGATTGGGTTGCAGGCTCACACAGATAGGGCTGTAAATCTGTGGCCAGGATTCTGGTGGGAGGCAGGGTGTTCAGCGGGCAGCCAGTCTCAGATCCACAGTAAGTGTCCTTCTAAATATCCAGGATTTTGTGCCACTCCGCCTGGGATAAAACACACCAATAAAGCAGGACCTCATTCTCTGGAGACATAGAAAGAGCCTTCCACTCCTTGTAGAGACACTATGCAAAGTCACTCTGGGGTTCTTTTGACTGTTCCAGCAAAGATAGTGCAGTCAAAAAGAAAGGGCAAGCCAGGCATGATGCCTCATGCCTGTGATCCCAGCACTTTGGGAGGTCAAGGCAGGCAGATCACTTGAGGTCAGGAGTTTGAGACCAGTCTGGCCAAAATGGTGAAACCCCATCTCCACCAAAAAACAAACAAACAAACAAAAATTAGCCGGGTGTGGTGGTGACACACCTGTAATCCCAGCTACTCAGGAGGCTCAGGCAGGAGAATTGTTTGAACCAGGGAGGCAGAGGTCACAGTGAGCCAAGATTGCGCCACTGCACTCCAACAGAGTGAGACTGTCATCTAAAGAAAAAAAAGAAAGGGCAGACTCACCATCCTGAAAAAACACCCAAACATCTCAAAGGAGGCTGATGTCACGTCTCGATTTATGTATTCTTTCTTTTTCTTAGTCCAGTGAACTAGCATGTTACTGGGGTAGCTTAATGATTATCTAGGTTTTGGCAGCAGGTCCACAGCGATCCATAGCCCAGGCAATAAAATTTCTGTGTAATCCTGAAATAGATTTGCACAGAACCGTTCTATAAATATATACTAGGGCTACTCTTTAAACTAATTTTGGTTATAGTTTAGAAGTGGGAAAACATTCTGATCTTAAAAAGAAAAAAGTAAACTTAATGGAAAGCGCAAGTGCTTATGGCACTTCATTGGTTCCCCCATCCCTGCATCCACATCCTCCCAATGTGATTTTGCAGCAAATTCCCTCTAGAGGTAGATTCTTCCTCTACTCCTGGAATCTGGGTGACCTGTGTCTTGCTTTGGCCAATGGACAGTGTCACGTGTGACCTGGCAGAGACTGGGGCTGCCCTCTCTTGCTGCTCTTGGAGCTCTGCCTCTATCTGAAGATGTTGGGGTTACCCACTGGAGGGTGAAAGACTCGGGCCTGGCTGCTCCTGCCACCCCCGCTCACAGCCTGCCAACTGCCACATGTCACGCGAGGCCAGCCTGGATGGCCAAGCCTCCAGATGACCCACATGATAGACACATGAGACAGCCCAGGAGAAACTGGCCAAACTGGGCCAAACCAGAACTTTCCAGTTGACTCACAGGCTCAGCAGCAACTTTAGGGTTCTGACTTTACGTCACCCTCCTCTTCTCATGAGCTTGCCACCTCAACCCACAGCCGACAGGGAAAACAACTTTCACACTCCACATGCTCTGCACCTGGATGGCAGGTGGGTGAGAGGTTTGCCCCCTTCGAGTTGCCCGCTGAATGCACCACGACACTGCAGGCTCAAGGCAGGGCTGGTCACTACCTGCCCAACCCTGACATGCCACAGAGCAAGAATATACCTGAGCCCAAAGTCCTGCTTCCCTGACCATCCCTGAGCCCAAAGTCCTGCTTGGGGCAGAAGACAGCAGCACTTGCTGGGTAAAAGCAAGGAAGGGGAGCCCAAACAGAGCCTGGAGCACCGGGGAGTGAGGGAGCAGTCAGCCAAGGACCCTCCCACACAGGAGAGGACACAGCAGGAGGCAAGAACACACGAAGTCCCAAACCCCCAGAGTGTGCTCCATGGATCCATGGAAATTCACTTTCAAAATGCAAATGGAAAGATAAAACTTGGAAGAATTTCAAGATAGCAACCTTAAGCACAGGACCCTTCTGACTCCATCAGTCACACGCCCACAAAGCTAGCCCCACTCTTGGCTCATAAATGAAGTGTTGCTGTGGACCCTACCTCTCTCCAGGGCCAGCTTGACTATGGGTCCCCTGAGTGCCCCACTTCAGGCACATACAGCTCTAAGAGAAGCCCAAAAGCAGTCAGCATGTTCCATTTGGTCAGTTGCAATACAGCTATGCCTGTTTCCCCCCTCAAATGGTACTTTTGTTGCTAGGCAGCCATGAAGCTTGTGGCTTCCTTGGATTTTGTGGTTCCTTTTAAATGGAGCAGAGACAAGGAACTGGACTTAAAGGACAAGCAAAAAATGTTAGGAAAGAGAGCTTTCCAACAAGCAGTGCCACATGTCCCTTTCACAAGTCTTAATAAAACCAACACAAAACTCGGTTCAATCATTCTAACTTTTATGGACTAATGATTCCCCCATAACCCATAACAACCATTGCAAAGGGACAAGATACAGGGCACGCACTCTGAGGTTGTCCTCTGCTATTTCCTAAGGTGATAGTGAGAATGTGGTATTCATTTCATTAACCTTCAAACTATACACACTTCTCACATGTATTCCTTTGTATGTATAATGCATTTCACATAAAAAATTGTAATTACATTTACATATTTTAAAAATACAAGTAACACTTGGTCAATTTTCTTAAGAGAAAGACTACATGAAATCAATTCACATGATATCAGAAGAAAGTAGTTCCTATTGGCTAACCCCAACAAATCATTTTTAAACTTTTAAGTTCTTAGTGGCCCATTTGGCCTTTTCTAAATGAGCACATCATAGTTACTTTAATAAATGTTTTAGGATGAAGTACAAAGATATCTTTGATGATCCAGCATATATGGGTTATGAAATAATATGAATGTATTTACTTTGAAAGCAGTTGGACTTTACTTTCTCAGAAATATTTAATAAGTTATGTTCTTTGTGGCCACCGAGCAAGAGAAGCAATGTCTTGAAATTGACTTAAGCAGTTTCCCAATAAGCCCAAGATTTCTATTTAAGTCAACAAAAGAGTCCAGCTCACCAACCAAAGGCAAGAGCCTCTATCAAATTCTGCAAGAAAGACAAAGGCCGGATGTCTCCCATTCAGAGCTTAAATTTAGAGGGAGTGATAGTCTGGTAAATAGGTAAACATTTGAATTATTTTAAAATATTTTGTTATCATTAAATAGCCAAAAATACATTAAACTTTCCCTTGAAAAAGCTGGAATATATTTTTTACTTATGTCTATAGGCACCTTTTGCCATTTTCCGTTTCACTTTATTCAAGTTGAAAATCGTATCAACACTATGTTTCAGGATTATTATTATCACTGGCTTGTTCACTCATTCAGATTGATAGTCCTTTCCTGTTCTTCTCCATGCCACACACTACACTGTGTCCTGGGGAGACACTGTGTCCATGCCACACACTACACTGTGTCCTGATCACCCAACAGCTGGTGGCAGTTCAGGAAGTGAGGAGCACAATGAGTTTGTTGCCTGTGTTGTTTCTGTTGTTTTCTTTAGGGTGGAATGTGGGGTGTAGGGACTGAAGCACAGTGGATGCAAAAGTCCTGTCACAGAGTGGGAGCAGTTTAAGGCAGTGAAGGGAGGCAGGCCACCGGCCATGGAGGGGGAGCCTCACTGCCCAAAGTAGACTAGACTTGATTCTAGGGCAATAAGAAGCCATGAAATGGAATGGCTGTGAGCAGATGTGTGCAGGACCAGCTTTGCAGTGTGGGGATGGAAGAGGGAAGACAAATGGAGAAGCCACCGCCAGGATCAGGGACAATTTCAATGTGGCTTGGACAATGGTGAATCCAGTGGAAATGGAGAGAAGGAAAGGGAGAGAAATGGTATAGGGAAGGAGGGCATAAAAGGGAGAAAGGAAAAGTTAGAGGATTGAGTGACTGATCGGATATGGTGGTGTCCAACATGGAGAGGCAAAATCTTGAGTTTCTTGCTTGAGCAAATTAGTAACTGGTGATACCATTTACCATTTGCATTAACATGGCAAACACTGGCCTAATAGCTGTTTGGGGGCAGGGAGATGGGATAAAATGAGGATCTGGTTTTTGGTTTTTCAGTTTTGTTTTTTGTTTTGAGGCAGGGTCTCACTCTGTCACCCAGCTTGGAGTGCAGTGGCATGAACAAGACTCACCACATCCTTGACCTCCCAGGCTCAAGTGACCCTCCTGCCTCAGCCCCCCAAGTAGCTGGGACTGCAGGTGTGCGTTACCACGTCTGGCTAATTTTTTAACTTTTAGTAAAAACAAGGCCTCGCCATGTTGCCCAGGCTGGTCTTGAACTCCTGGGTTCAGGCAAACCTTCTTCCTCACCCTCCCAAAGTGCTGGGATTACAGGCATGAGCCACTGTGCCCAGCCAAAATTGGGATTTGTTTTTAACGTGTTATGTCTAAAAATGGTGGTGAATAAAGAAATAGATTCAGGGGGCTGGGTGTGAATAAAAATATGATGGTTGAAATCCCACAGGTGCATTGGCATGCCGAAAGATAACTGCTTACTTCATGTGTCTTGAGAATCGGTAGTGGTATTCCCGTTTTTAAATTTCTGATATTGCTAACTGTGCTGTCTGAATTTTTTCTCTAATGATTTAGGAGAAGTTCTTTATTAATGTCTTTTTAAAGAACTATTGATTATATTGCTTTTCCTCTGTAAGTTTGTTTTCTAGCTCACTAATTGCTATTCTTATCTTTATTATTTTCTTCTGTATTCTCTGTGTTTGGCATGTTTTTTCCTAACCTCTAAAATCTTAAGATTTTCAGCCTTTCTTCTTTTCAATTATGTGCATTTAAGACTATAATTTTCACAAGACCTCATCTCTACTAAAAATTTTTTAAAAGTAGCTGGGTGTGGTGGTGCACACCTGTAGTCCCAGCTACTCAGAAGGCTAAGGCAGGAGGATCTCTTTAGTTCAGAAGTTCAAGGTTGCAGTCAGCTATGATCGTGCCACTGCACTCTAGCCTGGGCAACAGAGAGAGACACTGTCTCAATAAATAAATAAATATGAAAAAGACTATAATTTTCCTCTAAGTAAATTTTAGCTATAGTCCACAGGATCTGATGTGATGTATTTTCATTATGTTCGATTCAAAATAATTTCTAAATTTCACTGGGATTTCTTCTTTGATCCAAAAATTATTTAAAAGTATATTAAGTAATTTCCAAATATTTAGGAATTTTCTAATACCTTCTTTTATTGTAGATTTCTTGCTTAATTTCACCGTGATAAAAAAAAACATACTCTGTATGATTGGAATTCTTCGAAATTTCTTGAGACTTGTGTTATGGCCCAATACATGAAAATAATGCATCCTAACAGTTGCAGTGTTTGTTAAATGAGATGCTTAAATCTCTATCCTCACTGCTCTTTACCTGCTTGTTCTATAGAGAGGCATACAACTGTGAATTTTTCTATTTTTCCTTTTCATTCTGTCAATATTGCATTTATTTCAGTTATTAGGTGCAGACAAATACTTCCTAGTGGACTCTTCTAGCACTATGAGATTTCCTCCTTCTCTCTAGTAATATTTCCTGCCTGAAGAGTACGTCTGTTATTAATACAGGCATGCTACTTTCTTTTGGTTAGTGTTGCATGGATAGTCTTCTTTTAGTCCTTTACTTACAATATTTGGTACCCATATATTTTAGATGTATCTCTTATAAGTGGAATATAGTTTTTTAATCTAATCTGATAATTTTTAATAAAAATATATCAAAGACTGTTAATTTAAAATGATTGCTGATGTTTGAGTTCAAATCTGCATGTTTAGTATTTAATCTGCATGTTCTAGTTTCCTTTTTCCTCTTTTCCTGCCATATTTGGTTTAATCTACTATTCTTTATTCTTCTATATTCCTTTCTAGTATTCTATTTATTCCCAGGTACACATTCTTTTATTAAGCCTTTTAGTGATTTATCCTATAGATAATATGCCTTCCTGACTGAGCAAAAACTACTCTAAATTAGTGCCATCACTTCTCAGACAATGTTAAGGACACTAGACCACTTTAATATGATTTATACCTTTTTTTTTTGAGACAAGGTTTCATTATGTTGGAAGCACAGGTGTGTCCCACTGTGCCAGCTATACCTTTTGAGATAATGAGAAACGCATTTTAAATCCCATGAAGTAGTATTGTTTTGGGCAGTCAATATTCACTTAGATTTACCTTGTTTATTGCACTTCAATCTTTCCTGCATTTCTGTGCTTCTATCTATAATAATTTCCTTTTGCCTGAAGAACTCTCTTTAGTATTTCTTTAGTGAGAGTCTGCTGACAACAAAATTGGTCAGTTTCTGTTTCCTAGAAGCATCTTGATTTCACCCCCACTTTGGGGGTAACAGCTTTATTGAGATAATTTATACCACATAATTCACCTATTTCAAGTGCATAATTCTCCGGCTTATAGTATATTCACAGAGTTGTATATCCATCACCACAGTGAATTTCAGAACATTTTCATCACCCCCAAAATAAACCACAAACCCATTAGCAGTCACTCCTCATTGCCCTACACATATACCTTCCAGCCCCTCACAACCACTAATCTCCTTTCTGTCTCTATAGATTTGCCTACTCTAGACACTTCATGTAAGTGGAATCATACAATACGTGGTTGTCTTTGTCTGTTTTGTGTTGTTATAAAGGAATACATGAGACTGGGTCATTTATAATTTTAGAAGAGTTATCTGGCTCACAGTCCTGCTGGCTGGAAGACTGGGCATCTGGTGAAAGCCTCAGGCTGCTTCCACTCATGACAAAAGGCAAAGGGAAGCCAGCATGTGCAGAGATCACACGGTAGAGAGGAGGCAAAGGAGGTGGGACAGAGGTACCAGGCTTTTTTTTAACAGCCAGCTCTTGCATGGAAAAAATATGGGTAAGAACTCACTCTCCCCCAACCATGGGCATTAATCTGTTCATGAGGGATGTATCCCCATGACCCAAACACCTCCCATTATGCCCACCCTCAACACTAGGAATCAAATTTTGACATGAGATTTGGAGGGGACAACATCCAAACTATAGCAGTGGTCTTTTGTGACTGGTTTCTTTCACTAAGCATAATGTTTTATGGGCTTCATCTATGCTGTAGCATTTATTGGTATTTCATTCCCTTTATTGATGAATAATATTTGATAGCATGGATATATCACATTTTATTTATCCATTCCTCAGTTGATGGACATTTGGATTGTTTCCACTTTTTGGCTACTATGAATAATACTACTATAACATTTGTCTGTGTACAAGTTTTTATGTAGACATATGCTTTCACCTCTCTTGGGTATATACCTAGGAGTAGAATTGCTGGGTCATTAACATTTTAAGAAAATGTCAGACCGTCTTCCAAAGTGGCTGTATCATTTTACATTCCCACCAGCAATGTTTGAAGTTTCCAATTTCTCTACAATCTCACCAACACTAGTTGTTGTTTGCCCTTTTTATTATGGCAATCCTAATAAATGTGAAATGATATCCTATGCTTTTGATTTGCATTTTCCTGATGGCTAATGGTTTTGATCATCTTGTCATGTATTTACTGGGCATGTATATATCTTTTCTGGAGAAACAGCTATTAAAATCCTTTGCCCATTTTAAAATTGTGCTATTGGTCTTTGTTGTTCAGTTGTAAGAGCTTCTTATTTATTCTAATACAAGTCTTCTATCGGATATGTGATTTGCAAAAATCTTCTCCCATTGCATGGATTGTTTTTGACTTTCTGATGATGCCCTTTGAGGCACAGAAGTTTTTAACTTTGATAAAGTACAATTTACCTATTTTCTCTTGTTCTTTGTGCTTTTAGTGTCATATCACCTTCATTTTGAAGGACGTTTTGCTAGATAAAGAATGCTACATTAGTAGTTATTTTCCTGGAGTATTCTAAAACTGTTATTCCATTGCTTTCTAGCTTACATCATTTTGGTTTAAACATCAGCTAAGTCTGATATATCTCTTCTGAAGATAATCTATTTTTCTCTAGCTGCATTTAATACTTTCATTGCCTTTAATTCCCATGAGTTTTAATATAATGTGCTTGCATGCAGATTACCTTGTAATTATCCTATCTAGTATTCACAGCACTTCTTGAACTTAAAGTTTGGTGTCATTTGTTGATTTTAGAAAATTGGCCATTAACTCTTCAAATATTTCTGCTGTCCATTCTCCTTCTTTTCCCATTCTGTTATTTTAATACATATATTTTAGACCCATGACTCATATGCTTCTTATGCTCCTTTCTGCATTTTCCATTTTCTGCTCTTCACAAATTGGTCTTAATATCTTCTACTGACCTATATTCCAGATCATTAATTCTCCCTCCATCTGTGTCTAATTTTCTGTTGAACCATTTACTCCATACTTTTTTTGTATTTGTCATTTCTAAAATTTCCATTTGATTATTTATATTGTATTTCTCTATTTTGTTTTGTTAAAATTCCTTATCTTAATCTATTTTCTAGTATGTATTTATCACAATTGTTTCAGAGATTATATCTGATCATTCTGTTATCTGGATCACATAGATGTTTCTGTGGCCTTTTTTTCTTGGTCATGACTCTGGATATATCGAATAAATCTTTATTGAATGTAGTCATTGTTCATTAAAACATTTAGAGGTCCTGGATAATGTTTTCCTTCAGAGAGGATTTTCCTTAGCTTCTTGCAAGCCATAGGAACAGATCTCCTTAATCCAAACAAGGATTAAACTCACTCGAAACTGGATTTCAGTGTTTGTATGGCCTATTATGTGTGTGGTTAGCCCTTATTTCAATAGTGTAATCTTTAGGGGTCCCAATGAATGCCTGGAATGTTGAACAGAATCAGTCTATCTTGGTAAGACCCCATCTCCATTTTTTTCTCCCCAGCAGAATGAAACTACTATTAGCTCTGCTTAACTTCTCAGCCTCCTCACTTTCTACTTGCCTTCATAGACCCTGCACCTGCCGCTCATGAACAGGTAAATACATCAAGATGAAAAGCAACTTAGAATATCAGACTTAATGAGTCTGACCTCACTGAGTCTCCTTTTTTTCTGGGGTCTTGGCCACCTTGGTAGTTCTCCAGAGCCTTCAAACAAATGTTTTTGGTCCTCTGGCTAGCTTCTCCACTGTTCTGGGTAGAATATTGGTCTGCTACAAGCTAGTTCATTATAGCCAAAAGCAGAAGCCCAAACATCTAACTTTTAATAGCTAAAAATATTTACTATTCAATTAACACAAGTTAACATGAATTATTTAATCTTCACTCAAGCCTATGAGGATGGCACTATTATTATTTCATCTTTAATTGATATAAATCTGTAGCACAAGCTCACAGAACACTGTAATTTGGCCAAATAACTTGCCTAAGATTGACACAATTAGTAGCAACTGAACCTAAACGACCTGGCTCATGAGACATTGTTCTTAGCTGCTGCGCAAGAGAATACAAGGAAGAGGAAGAAAGGAAGGCAAAGGACTAAGTCCTCAGCAAACAACATTTAGAGGCTGCATCAAAGAAAAGGAGACTGGCCGGGCGCGGTGGCTCACGCCTGTAATCCCAGCACTTTGGGAGACCGAGGCAGACGGATCATGAGGCCAGGAGATCGAGACCATCCTGGCTAACACGGTGAAACCCTGTCTCTACTAAAAATACAAAAAAATTAGCCGGGCGTGGTGGTGGGGGCCTGTAGTCCCAGCTACTCGGGAGGCTGAGGCAGGAGAATGGCATGAACCCGGAAGGCGGAGCTTGCAGTGAGCCGAGATCGTGACACTGCACTCCAGCCTGGGTGACAGAGCAAGATTCTGTCTGAAAAAAAAGAAAAAAAAAGAAAAGGAGACTGAGCAGCAGCAGCCAGAGAGAACCAGAGGGAAAAAAAAAAAACAAGAGAAAGCCGTCATACAAACCAAGGGAAGAGTGCTTCAAGTAGAACATGGTCAACTGGAAAATGTGATGAGAGGTCAAGTGAGACACAGACTATAACATCTGGAATAATTAGGCCTAGTGTTACCAGCTGCTCAACCTTCAAACAATAAAAACCTTTGCCAAGATATGTATGCTCCAATCCCCACCTCCTAGTCTTCTGCAAACATTCACAGAGCACACAGCGGGTCCCAAGCGTATCCTGCTTATTTATTATTATCCTGCCTAACAAAGTGAGGCAGTGCAAATCACTCCTAGGTGGCTAAACTACATAACCAAATTCACGCACTTAAAAATTGAACAATTATTGGATAAACCACATAAATAGGATAACTCTTACTGATTCTCTTTAAATCATCAAAGCTCTTGCATAAAGCTTTCAAGGACTTTTAATATGTTATTGCTTTATATTTAAAAATCCCTGTTGTTCACATTCGTTCAAACAAGAATACTACAATGTATAAAGAAACTAAACATATGAAAGACTTTCAGTGTTATCAGAATGAAGAATTGGTGAAAGGGAGAGAAAGCAAAAACCTAGGGGAAGGGGTGCATTATTTCATTAATGTGAGCCACCAATAAAGTAGATCCAATAAGAACAGGGTTTATGCATAGGGTCACTCAGACCAGCTACATAATTTGTAGCATAAACCAAAAATGTGGGGCCTAATGTTCAAAAAGCAGGAAAAAAATCATTCTCCTTCCATCAGCAGTCTCTTTTGACCTCCCATGGTGTTTTTTAAAATCAGCTATTTACTATTGTACTTTCTCAGGCACGGGGATACTCACTGGACATATGTAGAGTTTCACAGGTGTCCACAGCCCCAGCCCCACCACTCTGCACATGAAGAACATGCCCAACCCCAACTCTCTCTGCACCTGCACCCAGGCCCCTGCTGGGCAAAGAGCAGCAGAAGTCCCTGGGCGGGGTGAGGAGTGGGCAGCAGACCACCCACCACAGGGAAGTAGGGAGGCAGAAGCGCCAAGCCCCTAGCACCTGCTCCACTGTCCCGTTGGCCTTTGCTTAAAAGACACAACTTCAAAAATAAAATTAAGAATTTCAGGACTATAGCCACATAGCATTAAATTCCAAGTGCAGAGCCCCCTTCTGCATATGGGGCCCTGTGCAACTACACTCGTTACACACCCATGGAGTCGGTCCTAGGGCAGGCCACCACTCAACACTTCCTGTTGGGTTCTGGGCTATGAGCCCGAAGCAGCCAGTTGGCTGCTGCCTGCCCTCATCTGCTTGCATTCCTGGATGGTGGGGCCCATAGAACATGACTTGGAATCACAAGACCCTACTGCCCAGTGCCCTTGCCATCCCTCCATCAACCTCCTGGGAGCATTCAAAGTGCAGATTCCTGGAACATACCCCAATATCCTAATTCTGTGAGTCTGAGCAGGTGGGGCCCGGGACATGGCACATTTCCTACCACCCACAGGTGATCTGATGCAGGAACCTGGGGCCCCACCCTGAGAAAAGGTGACAGAGACACCACCACTTCATCTCCCCTGGGCAGGGGGAGAGCAGAAGTCTCAGGCTGGGCTGAAAACCAAGAGCAGAAACTCAGGAATCCCAATCTGTTCAGAACTTCCCCTCTGTAGCCAGTGCCCGGCTCTCCTTCCTACTTTGTCACATTTATCCACACGGCACCCTTCAGGCTAAGTGAGTATATCCTGGGGTCTAAGGGTAGGCCCACTGAGATCCAGGGAAAACACACAAATGGGCCAAGAATCTAGCTCCACCTGGCATCTGTGATACGAAGGCCCAGGAGCAGAAGCCACACCTCAGGGAAGTCCAGCTGGCTGTGACTGCGGACTTCTAGGAAAAGCTTTTAAGAATACTAGAGGGTGAGCTGCCTGCTGGCCAGGAAAACCCAGAACTCACGAGTCATTCCATAGCATCCCCCAGAAAACAGCCCTTAAGGGATAAAGAAATCCAGCCTCAGAGCCAAGCTGGCAGCAGAATATTGGGCCAGCCTGTTATCTATCACAGCTGTGAAATGATGGGGCCTGCAGGACATCATGGTTCTGCAACTGGCAGAACACTGCCACACTCGGTGTGACCCACATGGCGTTTTAGAATACTTTTGGTTAGCTGCCAATAGTTAAAAGTAAAGGCACGGTACATAAAAAGCCAGGTTTCCAGCTTCTCTTGAAGGTTGGAAACATCCAGAAACCCTGGGCTGTCCTTTACAGCAGCCCCAGGGAGGCTGAGCTGAGCAGTACTGCCCTCCATTCCAAGCACAGGCTACCAAGTATCCAGAGCCACCTGCCTGCCTAGCTCATTTCTGCTACATATCTGGACCCTGGTTCACGTGACACAAAGATCTTTTTCCTCAGATGCAATATGATTAAATGTGCAGTTTCTTCATTTAGTTTCAACTGTACATAACACTAATGTTCTCTACCTGCCACATTCTCAATAACCAGAGGATTTCAAGGTCAGCAGCATGAAACCAGCAGTGTAATTGACTCTACTCCGTTCCCTTAGTAATTCATTAACTCTGTGACCAGACAGCCCTGGTTTAGTGATCAGCTGAAACCCCTCAACCAAACACCTCTACTTGTTGAGGGCTGTGCTGCCTTTAAGATCCTCAGAGTCCCAGATACCCAAGTCAGCATCCGCTGCCTCCCCTCTGTTTCCTCCATTCTGTCTCCAGAACAAACAGAAAGCCCCACTGTGAGATGCCTGAGATGCAGATTACGGGAGTCCTGTTCAGCAGTGATGCCTCCCCCAACCTGGCATCACAAAGTATAGGGTTGGTGTGAGCTATAATTAAAGACTGGTCCCTGTACTCCCTGCCACAACTTTTAAAATCCAATTTTAAAATCCACAGGCATCCATGTATTTCTAAATTACAACTTGTGCACTTTTAATCGGAAGAGAAAAAAAGAAAGAAAAAAACACAAGCATGGTCCTTGCTCATGAGCAGAGGACCACAAGTCTTTAGGACTTGTCTCCCCTGGAGCTCCAGGATGCTGAAGGATGGCCCTTCCAAAGAGCCACATGCAGGGGACAGCAAAAGTGAAACGCTGCCATTTGTAATGTCACATGCCCCAAGTAAATATTCCCTAAAAACCTCCACACATATTGTCATCTTCAGTTTGTGTTTGAGAAAGGTTTGGAGAGGAAAAGTCCACTCCTCTTCCAGGATTATTCACGTTATATACCAGCCCAGTGCAGGGCTATCACTGTGACCAGGTCTGGTGTGTTTGGGGATCGTATTCACTGTGCAGGAAGTACATTTCTATAACAAAAAATACAAATGGTCAGTACAGACTCTGGGAATGTTCCAAGTTAGCTCATTTGTGAGTCTGGAGAATCTGACCTTTAATATAAAAATTAACTTTTTTTTTTTTTTTTTTGAGACAGAGTCTCACTCTTTCACCCAGGCTGGAGTGCAGTGGCACAATCTCAGCTCACTGCAACCTCCACCTCCCAGGTTCAAACAATTCTCTGCCTCAGCCTCCCGAGTAACTAGGACTACAGGAATGTACCACCACGCCCATCTGATTTTTATATTTTTTGTAGAGATGAGGTTTCGCCATGTTGGCCAGGCTGGTCTCAAACTCCTGGCCTCAAGTAGATCCACTCACTTTGGCCTCCCAAAGTGCTGGGATTACAGGTGTGAGCCACCGTGCTCGACATAGAAATTAATTTCCTTTTTTTTTTTTTTTTTTTTTTTTTTGAGACGGAGTTTCACTCTTGTTGCCCAGGCTGGAGTGCAATGGCACAATCTTGGCTCACTGCAACTCCACCTCCCAGGTTCAAGCAATTCTCCTGCCTCAGCCTCCCAAGTAGCTGGGATTACAGGTGCATGTCACCACATCTGGATAATTTTTTTTTTTTTTTTTGTATTTTTAGCAGAAACAGGGTTTCACCATGTTGGCCAGGCTGGCCTCGAACTCCTGATCTCAGGTGATCTGCCCGCCTCGGACTCCCAAAGTGCTGGGATTACAGGCTTGAGCCACTGCGTTCAGCCAAAATTAATTTTCAATCTAAGGTTGCTGAGGATGGTCAATGAACATTTTAAACATAGTCTATTTTCTAGTGAGAATCCACTGTGAAATGTGAATTCACAGATTACCATCTATGAGATTAAGATCTGTCATCAGTCACCATCTTATTGGGATCTAGAGATACTCTACAGCTAAAATGCATACTATAATGATGGCTTTTAAAATGTCAAAATCAAAATTTTCTTCAGGCCCCAGAAATGGTCCAAGTGCTTTTGGTCACAGGCAGTGACACGTTTGTGACAGGACTCAACTCAGGTTCCTTTCCGGTTCAGCATTCAAGGTGAAGGGACTTGAGATTTTCTGGAAAACAATTCATACCCATCATCCTCATAGAGGTGCACACATGAGCACCACCGCCTGCTTATTTTACAATTTGCCTAAACATGCAGTTTCTTACGGCCACCACACGGTTTGGTTTTAGACAGAGAGTAATCCTTCCCAGATGTTGATGAGAAATGCTCTGGCCAAGCAGACACTGCAGCACCAGATGTGTGTGGTGTAAGAACACGTTGTATGTCCTAAAAGGTTGCCACAACGTTCATGCTGTTCTCCCAGCGAGATGCCCGTGCCGTCATGTGCATGAGTATAACCCGGTTTTCACACAGCCTCATGCACCCTCATGGAAGGTAATGGCTGAACAGGCAGGAACCATTCAGGCTTTAGTTCCTCTGTGCCTACTGTTCAGAGCCACCCCTGTCTAGCAACAGAGGCACGTGAGGAGCACAGCACAGGGGCACCCAAGTTTCTGCACACTTGGAGGCCAGGAACAGAGATGTGGCAGCAGCATCCGTATGAGGCAAGCTGGACACTTCCTCCAGGCAGCAAAGCTGGGCAATGGGGAATGCTGGACAGGTCTAGAAGCTTATGACTCCAAGGTCACAGCCATTTCTACTAGGCCAAGCTTGTCCAACCTGCGGCCCATGGGCTCCATGCTATCCAGGACAGCTTTGAATGCGGCCCAACATAAATTCATAAACTTTCTTAAAACATTATGAGATTTTTTTTAAGTTTTTTTTTTTTTTTTAGACGGAGTCTCGCTCTGTCGCCCAGGCTGGAGTGCAGTGGCGCGATCTCGGCTCACTGCAAGCTCTGCCTCCCGGGTTCACGCCATTCTCCTGCCTCAGCCTCCCGAGTAGCTGGGACTACAGGCGCCCGCTACCACGCCCGGCTAATTTTTTGTATTTTTAGTAGAGACGGGGTTTCACCTTGTTAGCCAGGATGGTCTCGATCTCCTGACCTCGTGATCCGCCCGCCTCGGCCTCCCAAAGTGCTGGGATTACAGGCGTGAGCCACCGCGCCCGGCCAAGTTTTTTTTTGTTTTAGCTTATCAGCTATCCTTTTGCGTTAGTGTATTTTATGTGTGGCCCAAGACAATTCTTCTTTTGCCAGTGTGGCCCAGGGAAGCCAAAAGATTAGACACCCCTGTCCTAGGCGACTGCCATGTGCATCCATGAGCCTAGCCCAGGCCCTGGAGATTTGCAGCTGCTCCCAAGGCCACAAGGGGTAGGGACAGGCCTCAGGCACACCTGCTAAAAGAAAGGGGCACACAGCCAGGGTGCTGGGCTGAAGGTGGCCCCTGGAGCACTTCAGAACACCTCTCACCAGCTGCCAGGCCTCCTTACAGGAATAAATTAGTCCCCTATCTTTGGGCCAGAGGGGCAGACAGGACGATTCCCTCTTTCCCTCTACCCTCTTTCAGTCACACTTTTATTCCACTAAAACCTAAATCAGATTATCCATTAGTCTTCCCAGTAAGTCAGAAAGTCAGTTTTCTGGTACAGAGAGCAGTCTTGGCCAGGAATGAGAGCTACATGCATAGTTTTTCATCAAGCTTCACTGTCCCTCAGGAAAGCCAACCATGGAGATTCCAGACTGAGACATTCTGATCACCGAATCAAGATTGAGCTCAGCCCAAAACACCCTTGACCTACCTCATTAATATTCTGGACACTCCAATCTCCAGAAAGAGACAATACCCTTACAGAAGCAGCAAATGCTTAAAACCCCCTGTTTGTGTCCTTAAATAGTTATTGAACATCTGTTCTGTGTAAGACATGGTGTTAGCTGTTGTTGAAAGGATGGCTTCTGTCTCAAAAACAGGTCATCTGAATAGCACTCCTCCTAGAACAAAAGTGAGACCAGCACTTAATAAGGATACCCAGAGAGGCTGCTCATGTCAGTGTCTATGGAAAGAGCTGCCTCTCCTTAACTTGGGTGCCTTTGCTTCTTGGGCTTTTCTGTATGTCCCATTTTTTTCCTAATGAATAAGTATTATTAAAAATGTAATCCATAAAAAACTGACTTATTTTAACACAATCAGAGTTGTTTCATCAGTGCTTGCTAACCTTTAAAGTGGATAGAAACTACCTACAGAGTTGGGGCAGGGCCAGGATTTTATGTTTCTAACAAGAGCCCAGTGCTGCTGATGTGGGGGGACCACACTCAACAGAGGTCAGAGAGAGAATGCAAGAGCTTGAGCAGACCTGCTGGAGGACAGGGGTCAGTCAAGGCCTCACTAAGGCAGCACATCTGACCTTGGCCAGGAATATGGATCTGATTCAAAAGGTACACATGGAGAATACAGGGCTGAATACAGATAAAGCACTGGGGGTTAAAAAAGAAAAGAAAAAGCACAGGTGGGACTGTGATGTGCTAAGTTGTCCATCCAGGTTGACTACTGGATAGAGAAGCAGTTCTCAAACTTAAGCATGGATAAGTCACTGGAGGGTTTCTTACAACAGAGTGCTGGATCCCACCCCCAGAGTTTCAGGATTAATAGGTTAGGAGGGGTGGCGGTGGGGTCAAAAGTCTGCATTTCTAATAAGTACCCAGGTGCCACTGAAGCTGTTGGTCCAGGAACCACACTTTGAGAGCTGTGGTTAAACAAAGACAGATGACTCTGCTCCACCCACACCCCACTGCAGGCAGGACAACTGGATTGTGTAAACGTGGTGGACTGTTCACATCTGGAAATGGCCATGACAGCTCACGTTAGATCCTGCCAAGGCAAAAAATGGTTATAAACCCAAAAAGGCAGAATTGTACATTCCTCTGGATTAGCTTTACAATGGTTTGGATCCTTTCCACCAAATTAAGTGAAGACTACATGGAATTCTTGCAGTTTGTAAACAAACTCCTGGAGAAGAATTCCAGTTGACAAACAACCACCCCTCCATGTCGGCAGGTCAAGTGTTCCAAGACAAAGGTAGCCAGCAGCAGCTGTCTTTACCTGACAGCCATCCTCTCTGAGACTAAATTTCCTCACTCCCTCCTTTGGCAAGTAAAAATTAGAACCCGATAAAGTCTAGAAAGTCATATCTCCCAGTGGAGACAGTGAGTTTCTTTGCCGATTATGGTATAAACCTGGAGGCACCATCAACTCCACTGCTCCAGGGAACCAAGGCTGGTGGGTGCAGTGTAAGTTTGAGGCTGCCATTGGCTAAGGGCAGTGTGGGAGACAGATGTGCAAAGAGAATGAAAACAATCTTTGCTCTCAAAATGTTCATAGCAAACATGAATGAGGCACACAAGTAAACAGAAGAGTACACAAGCCAAGAGGTGGCCTGCCCCAGCAGGCAGAGTCTGGCTCAAATCAGGGCTCCCCACCTTGGCTGCACTTTAAAACCACATGGCAGGGGGTAAGGGATTGGGAAGATGATGCCACAACCCTGATTCTCATCAACTAAGTCAGAATTTCTATGGCTGGGGCCCAGGCAGAGGGAGACTAAGCAAAACTAACGCTGGCAACCGCCTTACCGCTATAGGCATGCCCACCCACTCCAACCTGAGCCAGGGAGTTCATAGAGGCAGGCACAGAACCTGCCTAGCAGGTGCACCAATAAGAAAGATTCCTTCCAGGAACTCCTCAAGCTGTGGATGGGACCAGTTGTCTAGGACACAGAAACAGACACCGGTCAAGTGTTTCACACCTGCATTGGGTTGAAGAGAATGCAGAGAGGGGGGCATCCTCTGTGAGCCAGAGTTGACACTGCCAGAACCAAAATGGGGCAAGTTAAGTTCCTCAAGTCACATACATCTCTAGCAGGAGCATCTGCCTGCTCCAGCTCAGTTCCTTTCAGGTGGAGCTGTTAGCAGGCCTGTGAGAGAGAATCATGTCTCCTTCCCTCTAGGCCTCTGTCCTTAAGGCAAAGCCTTAAAGAGAAGCCTTGCAAGGAGAGCCAGCCCCTATGTGAGCCACACTCTGAAATAAATAGGGCCACCTGGAGCAAGGTGCCGCCTACATCCCCACAGACATCCTGGGGCCACAGCTGCTGCAGGGAAGGCAAACCAGGTATGCCAGTTAGCAAGGTATTGCCTCTCAGCTCCAAATTCATCCTTCAATACATACTCTGCAATAATGGAAGGAATTCCTTCAAGCATTTCTCCTTTACAGTGAGCACAATGTTAAGCTTTCTCAGAAGAGGACTCTGGCTGAAGGGAACACTGCAGGAGGAAGGGACTGGTGAGGAGGAGAGGAGGACATTCAGGCAGGGCTGTTCCTCAGCCTTACACCCAGAAGGTGCCCTCTTTCAGCAACCTCACAGCCCCTGAACAGCCCAGCGATCACCTCTCAGCATGCACAACTGGTGCTCTAGTCCACCCGCCCACCATTGCATTAATTCCCTCTGCTCACTCATCCCCTGCCCCCAGGTTTGTCTCCCATGGTCCTCCTATCCGTGTGCACTCCAGGCTCCTGCCTGCACCGGTGCCCCACTCCCCTGCATGGCCACACACCAACACCAGCTGCAGCTCCCCCACCCCTCCTGAGCTCTGGGAAGTTGCTTCCTGTTTGCCCCATGACTGCTGACCAGCTAAATCAGCGAACTTCCCTGCCATCCTCACCCAACCACACCTTCTCCAACAAGAACTGAACCCCTTCCAAAGTTGTCCTTCCTTTGGTACCTTCAGCCCTAGGGGACTATAGACTTTTCTTTGATCTTATAGTTACTCTTCTGGCATAGGTTAATGATTCTTCATATTAAACTTCCCTGTTTAGATCACTGTGTGGTTTCTCACTCCTGACTGGCTCCAGACTGCTGTAGCAGAAGAACTGCCCCTAATATCCATCCCACAGAAGCCCTACAGTTACAGTGGGGAGCTCAGGCCAGCAAACTCTGCCACGTTTATCTACTGACATCAGTATTCTCAGAAGAACAAGAGGCCTCGTATAAAGCAGAGAGACTCACTTCTAGTGCACTTTCTGGCAATCCAGTTCTTTTGTCAATTAAGTATATACAAAGGCTGAGAGAGGACTAAAACCCCCCTCTTGAATATTCTTAAACTAGTAGTCAATCCAAACTTTTTTTGAATGCCAGAGAATTTTGAAGCCTGTTTCAAATGTCAGCAGAGAAAATTATTTGTATGTTATTGTTTAGAGTTTCACCCATTTACAAAAGAAAATGGGAAAGATTTGGATACACACCTCTTTGGAGGAAATCAGAACAAGCAAAATATTACAAAGAGATTTGCGCCCAGAAGCAGGTGGGATCTGGCTATCATCAGAACAGGAATGGCAGGAGAGCGCCTGGGGAGCAGCAAGGAATGTCTCATCTAAAGGCAGGGGCAGGGCAGGCCAGCTCCCAAATGAGCATGCTCACTCTGGGCCACAGAGGTCCATGTGCCTTCCACTGATCTGATGCCATGCTTGCTCACTCACTCACTCACTCACTCACTCACTCATCAGAAAAAGATTCCAGCTCTGATGCTGCATTCACCAAGACCCCCTAACCCTGATGTGGTTTCCCAAGAAGTTCTTCCTCCTGGGAAAAGACCGTGCCCATAAACAGCAGGCTGCACAGCAGGAAAGTGACTATCTTGGCCTCCCTGCATGAAGCCAAGTCACCCTGCCTACCTCTGGTGGCAGCAGCCAGCTTTTCACAGGCTTGATCCCTCCTGGATACACCAGCCAGCAAAATGACGGATGGTCAGCCCTGCACGCCACAGTCCCCTGCCTTCAGCCTGCAGCAAGGAGCTACCCATTCCGGCAAAGCCCATCCCCAGAGGCTCTCTTCACATTCCAAGAGAAGAAACTTAACTGTAGGAAGGAAAAGTAACAAGGCAAGTCTCTCCTGTAACTGTGAGCATTATGGCTGAGCTGGTTCTCCTCAGGCAATGCACAATAAGTCCTTATATTTATAGAGCACTCGACAGTGCTCAGAATGCTTTCACAAATGTTATTTCCTTTTGGTGAAATCTCCTGCTACTTTGGGTATCTTTTCTCTCAGATGCTTTGTTTTCACATGTCAAGAAGCTTACATGTTATTCACTCCATGATGTAAGACATAGACGTAATGTTAGGGGTCACTGCCAAAGAATGAGGAGAAAACCTGTGACTTTTGCCCTACTCCATTTTAGAAAAACTAATAGGTCTGGTTAAGTTGGTTAATTTCAAGCTAGGTGTGTAATTCACACAACATGATTCCCTCCTGGGTGTACAGGGGGTATGCTAAGCCCTCCTAAACTCAGTAGGGACAGCTGTCAGTCAGTTCACAATGGCCAACACTTGGCCCCACACCTTCCCTGGTAGACCTGACTCATCAATCACTGCATTCTTTCTTCAGAGACCTCACTCCTAGATGGCACCCCAGGCAGGCATTATCAATTGATTTGATTTAGCATATGCAAGTGAAAGCTATTTGCCCTTTGTAAGTCTCAGGTTGATGGCAACGGGCCCAATGGTAACCTGGGCACCCTGCTTAGTTCTCTCTTGGAATTCCCTCTCCTGTTGGGATGTGGCTCTTGGGTCCATGCAGGCATCCTCAAGACATCTGTTGCATTGCTGGGAACCTGCTCACTACTAGGCAGGGCTACAACACCAGCTGGCCTCATCCTTTCCTTGAGCCAGTTCTTCTTCACAGCTGAAACTCATGTACTCCCTCTTTCTGCATCCCCCAGTCACATCCTGCATCACCACCCCACCCTACCCCATCACTGCAGCCCCCAGACTGAGAGGGCCATAGCAGGCCTGTGACTATACCCCAACACCTTCATCATCTTGAGAGAATCCTTTTAAAGATGTAAGTCTACATGACAATGACTCCACTCTAGGATCTTTGAAGTCTCTGGCACAGTGGCTACTTGCCATTACATACTGTTGGGTAAGGGAGTGGGTTCCAGGTGGGAAGAGCCATGAACACCAGGACAGGCAGCAAGAGCAACAGTACTTCACTTTGCTTTGCTCAGCGGCAGAATTTGGGGGTGGGGGTACAAGAGTGGTTCGTTGGGCGGACTGGTACAAATCACACGAGACAGAGGTGCTTGTGTACTCTTCTGTGGGTGGTGCAGATATACCAGAGGTTTCAGTGGGGTGGGACACAGCTGGTGTTGCACTCCAGGGTTCCCTGGTAGCTCTGTGGATAACTCACTTGAAAGGAAGCAACGGAAGTGGTTTTTAGGTAAGACCCTTGGGGCATGAAATCAGCAGACATGGGGGATTCGGGGCAAGAATCCCCCAATCTTTCCCACACTTTCTCTGTACTCACTCCATGGGCAACACCCGCCAGCCTGGCTTTAAAGACCAAGACCATCTATGCCTTGCTCACTCCCCACTGTATGGCTCCAGCCTGAACTCCCAACTTGAGAATCCATGGCCTATTTGACATCTGTACTTGGAATCCAACTGACAGCCCCACCTTAAACACACAAAATGAGGTCCTCATTGTCCCCATAAACCTGCTCTCCCACAGTCTCCCAACTCAGTGAAGTGCAGCTCTGTCCTTCCAGCTGCTTCAGCCAAAACCTCAAGTCAGCCTTGACCCCTCTCTTCCCACTTTCTACTGCAATCCATTGGGAAAACATGTGGCTCTGTCTTCATGACATATTCAGGAATCTCTGGGCTTCTCCCAACATCATCCACCTAGTGAGGCTCCCGGAAGCCACCCCTAATCACCCTACAGGCTCTCTCCACCCAACAGCCAGAGGGATCTCTTGTGGTATGAGTCAGATCAGGACACTCTGCTGCTCAAAACTCCCCTGTGACTGCCCCCAGTAAGCCCTACAATGACACAAAGACCCTACGGACTTCCCCTTCCCGGTCTCAGCTTGCACAGCTCCTCTTTCTCCTTGCTGCACTCCAGCCACTCTGGATTCCCAGCTGTGTCTCAAACATGCTAGGCACACTCCCATCTCAGGACCCTTGCACTTGCTGTTCCCCCCACCCAGAAAGCTCCTCACCCAGAGCCATGTGTTCTCCTCTCTCCCACCCTGTTGGACTCTGCTCCATTGCCCTGTCTTCAGAGTCCTTCCTGGGATACCCCACATGAAAAAGGATCCCTGTCACTCTCTGTCTCCTTCACCTATTCTTTTTATCTTTACCACCTGCCAAACACTTGTCTCCCACCAGATACCAGGTCCATGCGGTCAGGAACTTTGTCCTGGCCACTGCCCTCTCCCCAGTGCCCAGCACATGGCAGCTCTCAAACATTAGTAGAGGGTGCAACTTTGACATTTGAACAGATAAAGTGGAAAGCTTCCAGGAAGACAGGCAGTGATGCTGTTAACAGAGAAGTGGAAACACCTAAGGTTGTGGGGGGGCTTGAAGGGAACAGAACTAAAAACCCATGGGCCAAATCTGACCCATAGCCTAATTCTATAAATAAAGCTTTATTGGAACACAGGCATACACATTGGTTTAAGTATTGCCTGTGGTGCTTTCACACTACAATGGCAGAGTTGAGTCATTGCCACAGAGACTGTATGGTCCACAAAGCCTAAAATACTAAAATACTATGTGGCCCTTTGTAGAAAGTATTTGTCAACCTCTAGCACAAAGAAGTATTTTTCAAACTGTAAAAGTCATGCCACCCCTCCATCCCACAAGAAAACTGCTATAAACCTTCCAGGAGGTTCAAACCGCAATTTGAGAAAGAGAGAGAGATGATGGCAGTGGGGAGGAAAGACTTGGGTTCAGTGCCCTACACTGCTGTTCACCAGCTGTGTGACCTCACCCAAATTACTTCTCTGATGCTCTTCTTCTTTATCAGTGAAGTGAGAAATACTACCAACCACCTTGCAGAGTCACTGTGAGGAGTTGAGATTTTGTAGGTAAAACATCTGGCAGTGGCTCACAACATATTAGATGGGTGCAAAAGTAATTGCGGTTTTTGCCTTTGAAAGTAACGGCAAAAGCCGCACATTTGCACCAAGCTAATACCTATACAATAAGCCATTTTTTAAGAATTTACTGCATTCCAAGCATCATCTAGATGCCACTCCTGGATTAATTCATCTAATCTTCACAAAAACTCAAATGGGGCTCTGCCAGCACACCAGTGAGTTTTATCTTTGATGAATACAATTTTTAACAATCGAAACAAAGGTGATGAAGTCAATGATTTCAGCATTGTTGAGGGGGAAAGATCACTCTTGGGGAATTGGTGAAACATCTGAGCTGCCTTGGAGAGCCTCCTCAGCTGCTTCCTAAATTAGCAGGAAAATCTCCCAATTCAAAGAAACCTCATGACGTACTTTACAGAGATATCACTGAAAGCAACTGATTTTGTGCCTATTTTTGTCTGGTTCAAAGATAACCGGTCCCAGCAAGGGCAAAACTCTTGAATCACTGGATGTAAAATGCCAAAGTCCGAGCTGAGAAAACGCAGAGTGCAACATAGGCAGTTGGGCTGGGTATCTGCTCCTGGTGAGTCTCTCTTTCCTAAGCCAACGACGTTCTTTGGACTTTTTCACAAACCAAGTAATTCAGTATTGTTTTCTCAAGAAGTATAGCAATTTGAAGGACCTTTTAAATTTTTTATATTTTAAAAATAAAAGAGACAAGGTCTCACCCTGTTGCCCAGGCTGAAGTGCAGTGGTGCGATCATAGCTCACTGTAGCCTCAAACTCCTAGGCGCAAGTGATCCTCCCACCTCAGCCTCCGAGTACCTGCGACTACTAATTTTTTTTTAATTATGTTTTTGTAGAGACAGGCTCTCACTCTGTTGCCTAGGCTAGTCTCAAAGTCCTGGGCTTAAGAGATCCTCCCGCCTCAGCCTCCCAAAGTGCTGGGATTACAAGGCGTGAGCAACCGCGCCTGACCTGAAGTACTTTATAAGTGTGAAATATGTGGCAAAAAGTCTACACCATTTAAACATATTGTCTGTTAATTCAGTGAATAGAATTTTCAGTTCTGACTTCATATATGAGAAACAGCACTAAAAAAGAATCAAAAGCAAGTTCTATTAGGACAATGTTTTTAAGAGTAAATAAGTTTTTAACTTATCTGGTTAGCTTGAAAACAAGGAAGATATAAAGGAAAATTAGAAGTCAACCTAATTATGCCACTGGCAGGCATATTTGAATCTTTCTATTCCCATAAACTCAATGGTTTCTTGTTATTTCTTTCCTTGACTTTCCCATTACCAAGAAGGGGCCAGACTGAAAACCCCAGGGCTTGCAAAAGACATTTTTGTATTTTGACTTGACCACCATGCTCACAAAAGCTGGACATGGCTTGACTGCTGAGTGATCCCAGCCAATACCACTGCAGAGATAAACACCCTCCTGGAGGAGCCAATTATGCCCTGGCATGCAGGAATCAGTGTTGTTAAACCAAATGAGGTTTTCTTTCCCTGAAGAAAGTTTTTAAAACTTCTCGTTCAGATTCTGACAATGGAATTCTTGCCTGCTCAAAGAAGCCTTCTGCACTGCCCACTGGGTCTAGGTTCTACAACATTCTGAAGTCTTAGCATTTGTGTCCCAGTACACTAATTTACATCTGTCCTTTAAGTAAATGTTCTTTTGTCTTTTAATCTGTGGGTGCAGGCTGCCTAGCAAAAATTCTTACTCTTTGCAACAGAGTAAGAAGAAAAGAGAGGGAAGAAAGAGAAGGAGAAAGAGAGAGGAAAAGGAGCTTTTGGATTCCTTCCTCCAGCCCACAGCACCCTGCCCACCGCTAGCACCATCTATTATGGATAAAGCAAGATGGTGGAGCTCTAGTGCATCTGAAGGAGAGAAAGGGCCACAGAAATGGCTATTCTGCTGCTTCCT
The DNA here is from genome assembly GCF_000001405.40 of Homo sapiens. Taxonomy (NCBI): domain Eukaryota; kingdom Metazoa; phylum Chordata; class Mammalia; order Primates; family Hominidae; genus Homo; species Homo sapiens. Next base: position 36,325,534 of record NC_000018.10, on the reverse strand, counting down.
GGTCCTCAGGCTCCTCAGAGACCACAGTGCTAAAGCACTCGCTGCACTCAGGGATAAGGATAAACCTGCCACTGTATAACCTTCAAGTTAAAGTATCTGAAAAACTTCTAGGACTTTCTCATCACCTCTCCTCTTCCAGATAGCAAATTCCCAAATTACAAAAGCCAAGGTATTCTATACCAATTGCTTCCATCTATTTTTTAAGTAAACTTTATTATTTAAGTATAACACGTGTAGAAAGCTATATAAATCAATGAATCTCATAGTGAGCACATCCATATAACTACCACTCAGATAAGGAAATATTCTGCTTGCACTACTAGCACCCAGAGACCCCCACCACTCCCTGCCAGTCAAAACCCCCTCCTCTCCAAAGGTAAACTGCTATCTTGACTTAGAAAATTACAAATTAGTTTTCCCTATACTAGAACTTGATATATCAATGTGCATTATGTACTCTCCTGTGTCTAGATTCTTTCTTGCAACTATATATCTGTGAGATTCATCCATGATGTTGCAGGGATATAACCATACATTCATTTTCAGGGCTGTACAGTATTCTATTCTATGAATATTCTATAAGTATCAATTCCACTATTGATGAACATTGCATTGTTTCCATTTTTTTGCTATCACACAGACTGCTCTGTTTTGTATTATGTCTTTTGGGGCACATATATATACAAAGGTGTCGAGTTTTTATTTAGGTGTGGAATTGCTAGGTCACAGACCATGCATATGTTCAGCTTCATAACTGCCTAAGAGTTTTTAAAAGTGGGTATGTGGGTGTTCTTTTTGTTCCGCAGCTTTTCCAACCCTTAAGATTATCACGCTTTTACATTTTAACCATTCTGGTGGGTATGCAGTAGTATCACTATAGTTTTAATTTGCATTTCCCTGATGAATAAAGGTTACTGGTCATTTGGGTACCATCTTGAACGGAGTACCTATTCAAGTCTCTTCCCCATTTTTCTATTGGACTGTCATTTTCTTATTTAAGAAGCCTTTTATATATTTTGAATATGAGTCCTTTATTGAATATTTACACACACAAAGAGAGATAACACATAAATATCTTCTCCCATTTTGTGACTTGCCTTTTCACTCATAAGGGTATCTTTTGATGAACAGAAGATCTTAATTTTAATGTACTCAAAATGATCTTATTTATTCCTTTATGGCTAGTGTTTTTCTGTCCTGTATTGAAATCTTTGCCTTCTCAAAGTTGTAAATATATTTTCCTTTGTTATCTCCTAGGGGCTTTATTGTTTTACCTTTCACCTTTAAGTCAATGATTCATCTGGAATTGAGTTTTGTACATACTGCAACATAAGGGTCAAGATGCATTTATTTCCATGTGGATATCCAACTGACCTAGTCCCATTTAGTGAAAGGACAAATCTTGTCCCATTGCATGTGTGTGGCTATGCTTTGGGACTCTATGCTGTTCCACTGGTCTATTTGTCTATCCTTGTGGGACTACTGTAACTTTAAAGCAGCCTTTGCTACTTATGAATCAACAAATTCCTCACAGGGAAAATCAACAGAGAATGCTGGGCTCACTTCAAATAATTTTCCCTTTTTTTAGGGTCTTGACCCTACAAGTTCTGGCTAGCTGTTTAAATGTCTTCTTACATACTATTTAGAGTCTACTCAGCTTCTTCTAGTTGTTTTCAGAAGTAGGATTGGTCTACCATAAGCTAGTACTTTATAGCATAAAGCTGATGGGGGCTCTGTGCCCCTATGGGCATCAAACTGAAGTAGTCGAGGATGGTCTTGAGAAACAGGTAGGATTTAGTGAAGCCTGGGGAGAAGAGGTGAGATTAGGTGTGTGGCAACAGGGAGAGCAGTCTTGGTGACAGGAGTGCTTTACTTCCTGCTCTTAACTCCCCACCTTCTGTGGCCTTGGCAGTTTGTGCTCTGGAGAGAACAGTGTTGAGCTGAGCTAAGAACTGAAAGGTAATCTGGTGAGAAGTCCTCTGTCCCTGGGATCAAGTGCTTCACATCACCCAACCACAAGGAAACCCTGGGAATATGGGAAGGGGTGGGTAAAGGCATCCTGATGCCTGATGTGCCTGGGGCTATGACCCCCAAACTAGCAAAGGCCACAGCATTCCAGAAAATGTGCTGCATTTGGTGAGTAAAAGATGCTATTTGAAGCCTCTCCTCAAGATCTGCACTCTTGCCTTATGGATATTCCCATCTAGTGCAGTCTCAAAAACAAAAAACAAAAAAACAAGTGTCTTCTTTGCCCTGGTGTTACGTGGAGGCATTCCCCGTTGCTGGCCTTTGAGTTCCCAACTTCCCCTGTCAGAGACTCCCAGCCCTGACATAACACACAGAGGAGGAGCAGAGGCAGCCGGGTGCCCCCTTTCTGAGTGGGCCAAGCCCTGGGCTAGACATTTCCTGAGTCGAAGCATGTCAGGCTCGCAGCCACCCTCTCAGGCAGGCATGATCATCCCCACCTTACAGATGCAGAAACTGAAGCTCAGGGAGATTGCAAGCGTGTCTGTGGGATTCAAAGGCCATTTTTGAGCTGTTATGCTGCATAAAACAGGCAGCCAAAAGGGCACCCATGAGGGTTACCCTCCAGCCTGAGGGTTGGCAGGTGGCAGTGCCCAGCAGCCACTCCTGGCACTCAACAGACAGCAGTAAGTGTCAGTGGAATGAATGAGTGAGTGAATTAATGCCAGATCTGTTAAGACGAGGATGACCCTATCAGGGAAATGGGGAGGAGAAGGTAGAGGGATGACAAAGCCAGCAAGCACAAAGCAGCCAGGAATGCAAGGAGCTAAGGTGGACAGCAGGTAGGGACAAGACTGGACAGAAAGGACACCACCAGGTCACTAGCAGCTAAGAATGCTTCATGCTTTATGAAGGGGCACAAGGTTCCAGGTGCAGGTGATGAGCAGCAGCAGAAGGAATGACTGGCTGGATCTTGCAGCTCCAACCCACTGTGCCCACCAATCCCCCATGGAACCTGCCAACCCCGGCACCCAAACCTGCTCTTTCTTTTGGGTCCACAGGCTCCAGGATTGCCCCAGCTCCCTACTGGTGTACCTGCTCCTGCCTTACCCCTTCACCCATCCCCACAACAGAAGGGGCCTTACCTGAGATTCAGCAGAAAAGAAAACAGACAACTTACTGCCCTTCTGGAGATCCCCAAGAATGTTCCTCCCCCATAACCCTCTCGAGAGGAGGTGACTGTTCTCTGGCCTGTTCTCCTGGCTCAGTGCACCAAAGGGCCAAAAGGCCCACCTCCAGGCCTCCTGCTGCTCTTCCACTTTCTAGGGCTGTGCCATCCAGCTCTGCCATTCCTCCTCACACCTGACCTCAAGACCTGGCAACTGCTCACAGTCATCCCTCTACTCCAATTTCTCCCACCATCACAGAAGACGCCACCCTTCCAACCCACCCTCCACCTCAGTGGCCTTGCTGTTCCTCAGCCAGAGAGGGTGGTGAGAGGAGTCACGCTCACACTCCATCCCAGCTACCAACCACACAAATTCATACTCCAAACCCACCAAGAGATAGTGTCCTACAGCCAGGTGGCCCTGCCTCTGGCCATTGTCATAGGACAGCAAGGCTTCCCTGTCTCTCGGCATTCCAACAAAGGAGGCATCTGAGAACACAGGGCATCGCCTGCAGCCCCACGCCCTCCTCATGACTCACAGGACTCGGCAGAGTGAATGCAGGAAACAGAAAAGCAAGTCCTCTCCTCTGTAGATGGGAAGTGCCCCCCCTGCATATTCACCACTTGTTTCTCCAGCTGTTACAAATAGCACCACGCACGGAGGGCTCACAGCCCTGGTCACCGCTCCCAAGCACTGGGCAGTCCCCCAACCAGCCACCTGCAAGTCCCCCAAAGGAGTGTCTGCCACTCCCTCTCCCTCACATTCCCTGCACTTCACCCAGTGACTGGCATTTGGTGGGTACTCATTAGTTGATTTAAACCCAGGAGAAAGCAACACTCTATATACTCCAAAAGCACAATACATATTACCGAAGATCAGCAGCAGTCCCATTTGCAGAAAGCTCCAAGCCAGGAGAGAAAAAACAGAAATCACTTTATAAGCCCCATTATCCAGAAGTCATGCAAGCTGAGCTGTGTCCTGAGAAGAAATGGGTCCCTCCCATCTCCCCATTCCTGTCAACCCCCATACACATTACAGAGAGGGGACCCCCATCTCATTATTTACCTGACCACCTTCCTATAGCCCACACATGGGAGCACTGGGCTCAGCAAGCCCACAAGAGCACAGATGGGCCCTGGCCTCAACCTAGATAGACTATGGATGACACCACATCCCACCATGCACCTGGGCAGACACAATCACTGTCACCAGAAGAACGATGCAGAACCACACTGTTGGAAACATTTCTGTGTTCTCATTAAGAATATCTGCAGGTAAGAAAGACTACTGGATTTCCTTATGAAGTGATGCAAAAAAAAAAAAATCACAGGAAATCTCGAGAAGAGGTGGAAGGAAGGAACACTGGAGGTGTGGCCCCATTTTCTCATTTTGCAGATGAGGAAACTGAGGCCGAGGGAGATGGCACTGGTTACCTCCCAACACAGCACATACCTTGCCAATTCATTTTATTTATCATCTCTCCCACTTCAACCTAAGCTCCCTGAAGTTCAGGATTTCTGCCTGTTTTCTTCAGTGTTATTTCTCCAATGCTTAAAAGAATCCAGTGCTTAGCAGGTGCTCAATGAAAATGTGTTGAGTGAACAAAAAAATAAACACTACAGGTAATTACTCAGGTTCAGGTGCAATGCACTTTGAGGGTATCACACTGCTTCTTGACAGGTATTGATTCCAGAAAGATATACCAGGAACCCAGTCTTAAAAAGTGAAGCCCCTGCCAGGCTTTGGTATCAGGATGATGCTGGCCTCATAAAATGAGTTAGGGAGGATTCCCTCTTTTTCTATTGCTTGGAATAGTTTCAGAAGGAATGATGCCAGCTCCTCTTTTTACTCTGGTAGAATTTGGCTGTGAATCCATCTGGTCCTAGACTTCTTTTTGTTGGTAGGCTATTAATTATTGCCTCAATTTCAGAGCCTGTTATTGGTCTATTCAGGGATTCAACTTCTTCCTGGTTTAGTCTTGGGAGGGTGTATGTGTCCAGGAATTTATCCATTTCTTCTAGATTTTCTAGTTTATTTGCATAGAGGTGTTTATAGTATTCTCTGATGGTAGTTTGTATTTCTGTGGGATCGGTGGTGATATCCCCTTTATCATTTTTTATTGCATCCATTTGATTCTTCTCTCTTTTCTTCTTTATTAGTCTTACTAGCAGTCTGTCTATTTTGCTGATCTTTTCCAAAAACCAGCTCCTGGATTCATTGATTTTTTTAAAGGGTTTTTTGTGTCTCTATCTCCTTCAGTTCTGCTCTGATCTTAGTTCTTTCTTGCCTTCTGCTAGCTTTTGAATTTGTTTGCTCTTGCTTCTCTTATTCTATTGTGACATTAGGGTGTCAATTTTAGATCTTTCCTGCTTTCTCTTGTGGGCATTTAGTGCTATAAATTTCCCTCTACATACTGCTTTAAATGTGTCCCAGAGATTCTGGTATGTTATGTCTTTGTCCTCATTGGTTTCAAAGAACACCTTTATTTCTGCCTTCATTTCATTATTTACCCAGTTGTCATTCAGGAGTAGGTTGTTCAGTTCCATGTAGTTGTGTGGGTTTGAGTGAGTTTCTTAATCCTGAGTTCTAATTTGATTGCACTGTGGTCTGAGAGACAGTTTGTCATGATTTCTGTTCTTTTACATTTGCTGAGGAGTGTTTTACTTCCAATTATGTGGTCAATTTTAGAATAAGTGCGATGTGGTGCTGAAAAGAATGTATATTCTGTTGATTTGGGGTGGAGAGTCCTGTAGATGTCTATTAGGTCCGCTTGGCCCAGAGCTGAGTTCAAGTCCTGGATATCATTGCTAATTTTCTGTCTCATTGATCTGTCTAATATTGACAGTGGAGTGTTAAAGTCTCCCATTATTATTTTGTGAAAGTCTAAATCTCTTTGTAGGTCTCTAAGAACTTGCTTTATGAATCTGGGTGCTCCCATATTGGGTGCATATATATTTAGGATAGTTTGCTCTTCTTGTTGAATTGATCCCTTTATCATTATGTAATAGCCTTCTTTGTCTCTTTTGATCTTTGTTGGTTTAAAGTCTGTTTTATCAGAGACTAGGATTGCAATCCCTGCCCTTTATTTATTTATTTTTTGCTTTCCATTTGCTTGGTAGATCTTCTTCCTCCATCCCTTTATTTTGAGCCTATGTGTGTCTTTTCACGTGAGATGGGTCTCCTGAAATCAGCACACCAATGGGTCTTGACTCTTTATCCAATTTTAGGCCAATATCACTGATGAACATCGATGCAAAAATCCTCAATAAAATACTGGCAAACCGAATCCAGCAGCAAATCAAAAAGCTTATCTGCCATGATCAAGTCAGTTTCATCCCTGGAATGCAAGGCTGGTTCAACATACACAAATCAATAAATGTAATCCATCACATAAACAGAACCAACAACAAAAACCACAGGATTATCTCAATAGATACAGAAAAGGCCTTCGACAAAATTCAACAGCCCTTCCTGCTAAAAACTCCCAGTAAACTAGGTATTAATGGAATGTATCTCAAAATAACAAGGGATATTTATGACAAACCCACAGCCAATATCATCCTGAATGGGCAAAAACTAGAAGCATTCCCTTTGAAAACTGGCACAAGACAAGGATGCCCTCTCTCACCACTCCTATTCAACATAGTATTGGAAGTTCTGGCCAGGGCAATCAGGCAAGAGAAAGAAAGAAAGGAATTTCAATTAGGAAAAGAGGAAGTCAAACTGTCTCTGCAGATGACATGATTGTATATTTAGAAAATCCCATCATCTCAGCCCAAAATCTCCTTAAGCTGATAAACAACTTCAGCAAAGTCTCAGGATACAAAATCAATGTGCAAAATTCACAAGCATTCCTATACACCAACAATAGACAAACAGAGAGCCAAATCATGTGTGAACTCCCATTCACAATTACTACAAAGAGAATACAATACCTAGGAATCCAACTTACAAGGGATGTGAAGGACCTCTTCAAGGAGGAGTACAAACCACTGCTCAATGAAATAAAAGAGTACACAAACAAATGGAAGAACATTCCATGCTCATGTATAGGAAGAATCAATATCCTGAAAATGGTTGTACTGCCCAAAGTAATTTATAGATTCAGTGCCATCCCCATCAAGCTACCAAGGACTTTCTTCACAGAATTGGGAAAAAACTACTTTAAATTTCATATGGAACCAAAAAAAGAGCCTGCCTAGCCAAGACAATCCTAAGCAAAAAGAACAAAGCTGGAGGCATCACGCTACCTGACTTCAAACTATACTACAAGGCTATAGTAACCAAAACAGCATGGTACTGGTAACAAAACAGATACATAGACCAATGGAACAGAACAGAGGCCTCAGAAATAACACCACACATCTAGAATCTGATCTTTGACAAACCTGACAAAAACAAGAAATGGGGAAAGGATTCTCTATTTAATAAATGGTGCTGGGAAAACTGGCTAGCCATATGTAGAAAGCTGAAACTGGATCCCTTCCTTATACCTTATACAAAAATTAACTCAAGATGGATTAAAGACTTAAATGTGAGGCCTAAAACCATAAAAATCCTAGAAGAAAACCTAGGCAATACCATTCAGGATATAGGTATGGGCAAAGACTTCATGACTAAAACATCAAAAGCAATGGCAACAAAAGCCAAAATTCACAAATGGGATCTAATTAAACTAAAGAGCTTCTGCACAGCAAAAGAAACTATCAGCAAAGTGCACAGGCAACCTACAGAATGGGAGAAAATTTTTGCAATCTATCCATCTGACAAAGGGCTAATATCCAGAATCTACAAAGAACTTAAACAAAATTTACAAGAAAAAAACAAACAACCCCATCAAAAAGTGGGCAAAGGATATGAACAGATAATTCTCAGAAGAAGACATTTATGCAGCCAACAGACATATGAAAAAATGCTCATCATCACTGGTCATTAGAAAAATGCAAATCAAAACCACAATGCAAATCATAACTCATGCCGGTTAGAATGGCAATCATTAAAAAGTCAGGAAACAACAGATGCTAGAGAGGATGTGGAGAAATAGGAACACTTTTACTCTGTTGGTGGGAGTGTAAATTAGTTCAACCATTGTGGAAGACAGTGTGGCAATTCCTCAAGGATCTAGAACCAGAAATACCATTTGACCCAGTGATCCCATTACTGGGTATATACCCAAAGGATTATAAATCATGCTACTATAAAGACACATGCACATGTATGTTTATTGTGGCACTATTCACAATAGCAAAGACTTGGAACCAACCCAAATGTCCATCAATAATAGACTAGATAAAGAAAATGTGGCACATATACACAATGGAATACTATGCAGCCATAAAAAAGGATGAGTTCATGTCCTTTGCAGGGACATGGATGAAGCTGGAAACCATCATTCTCAGCAAACTATCACAAGGACAGAAAACCAAACACTGCATGTTCTCACTCATAAGTGGGAGCTGAACAATGAGTACACATGGACACAGGGAGGGGAACATCACACACTGGGGCCTGTCAGGGGGTGGGGGGGCTGTGGGAGGGATAGCATTAGGAGAAATACCTAATGTAAATGATGAGTTGATGGGTGCAGCAAACCAACATGGCACATGTATACCTATGTAACAAACCTGCACATTGTGCACATGTACCCCAGAACTTAAAGTATAATATAAAGAAAAAAAAAATGAAGCCCACCCCTAAAAGGAACAGAGCTGCAGAACAGCAGGCGCTGGGGTGGGCTCTTACAGTTTGCCTTATCGGGTCCATCCTCAAGTTACAGATTACTCTGAGCCCTAAATAAACTGATCGGAAACTACTAAAACATTAATAACACCAAAGGCCCTTCAATCAATAATGACCAATCAAAATGACCAAGATATATTTTGGAATATATATAGACAGCTCAAAAGGACAAGAGGTGACCTCGCTATCCATCTGAAGGATTTTAAACCCCAGTGACTCATGCAGTAGAATTTGGGCAATGCCCTTTTTGCTGGTGAACAAATGCTGGTGAAATGTGGTAGACCCTCTAGAGGAGCTCCAGTTTTCTCCCCTACACACCCCAGGAGGCAGAAGCAAAGTACCATCCTGGGCATGCATGGGGCTAAACTTCTCCTTGTCCCCTCACAGATTTCCCCTGCTTTGGCAACCTGACAAATACTGCCTAGAATAATGAAATTTAAACTGTTTAGACTTTGCAGAACTACATATGTTAATTTAATGGAGCTGGTACGTTCTGCTTTAGGGACCAGGTGGGTCAAGGAACTTTTTTTTTTTTTTAATGAGAGCAATGGCTCTCCGAGAAAGTGGGGGAAGAAAAGAGGCTTAAAGATACCAGAGACCTGAGACACAAAGAAATCTCAGGCCCGGGGCCACCCCTCCTTCTCCCCTCCCACTCCCCGAGGATTAGCTCTGCTCTTACTCATGGCTGTCTCAGCCACAGAACGGTGCGTGCAGTGGCAGCAGCGGGCAGAGAGCTGCCACTTCAGGGCCTAGCAAATCACAGCACTCATGAGGGCGCACCAAGCAGGAGTCACAGACACCAATCAGGTAACCAAAATTACATTTTCAAAAGTCGGGTCTGTGAGCAGACATAATGGGGTGTCTGCTTGAGTACTCGGCACTGCTGGGGTTCACTAGGACATCGCAGATCTGGGGTCCTCTCCCCCAGCCTGGTGCAAGGCAGGCTGCCAGAGGAATTCACATGGTGGGCATGTGAGCACACAGGTTCTGGGCTTTGATCTAAGTGCTCCCTCATTGCTGCTGTGAGGCCAGGCCTTTCACCAAAGCACTGTTCACAAACTCTAATGTTACAAGCAATATTCAAAATCTCAAGATGTTCCAGAGCCCCCCAGGACCCCTTAACCCCCACATGCCCTCTGCAGGAGCCCCCCAGTTTCATCCAAAAGGGAACCTGATAAAAACTTCTGTACACTGGGTGGAATAAGAGAATCAAGAGTCTCGGGGTGAGGGTGTCATATCAGAGGGGAAAGACTTTGGTCACAGGGAGCAAATCTGGGATCCAGAGCTCTTGGGTGGCCAAGGAGGCAGGCTGAGGCCAGGAAAGGCCTGGAAATGAAGAGAGACTGAGGTCAATGCCCTAAACATCTCCATGTAAACTAGTTTCTAATGAAACTCACTAAACATAAGCCAGTCACAATTTCCTGCAAAAGCACAGTCCCCACATTATGCACAGGTATCTTTCAAAAGTTCAATATGAATCGACTATGTGGAACTCTGAGTGCATTTTTCATAGAAATAAAGTGATGCCTATTAGGAGAGTAGGCTGAGACCAGGCCAGCCTGACACCATCATGGCCTATCAGTTCCTGGAGACGAGGCCCATGCTTTATTCTTTTCTGATTTCCAAGTGCTCTGCAGAGAACTTGACTTAGAATCAGAACTCACAGAGTTCTGCTCTGTGAGTCAGTGAAAGACTTCCTCGGACGTCAAGCATGATTGCACATTTAACTTCCTTGTGTGTTCCTCAGGAATGCAAGTGCTAACATCCTCGATTTTTAAAGGCACTTGGAGAACCACATAGATCTCCCCCACTTAGGCCTTGACCTAATGTACTCTAATATTCTAAGGAAAGTCAGGATCCCTAGACAAGGAGGCAGAATAGAAACAGAGCTGAAAGATAGACTCTGGTTTTTCATTTGAGGCAGGTCCCCAGGCTGCACGCATTGAAAGTATAAGATGCCCTGATGAGGGGGCTCCTTGGAGGGCCATCTGGAGGCCTTGGCAACTTTAGGACCCTTACTTGCCCTCAGCAAAGAGAAGATAAAACTCATTCAAAAACCAAACATCTAATACTCTAGCCCCTGAACTTCTTAAATATCTGTTCCCCTCCCATTGTTCCTACCACCTCCTCCTCTAAAGCTCTATTCTCTGATGTGACAGAGAAAGCCACATGTACTCGGCTGCATTCCTCCATTACTGCTCACATCACCTCTGTGTGCAATGATCAAAGTGCACCTTTCACACTCTAATTTCTCTAGTGCCACTTGCTGCTTTGCTTGTTTACACCATTTTGCTAATTGATAAAATGGCTGGTGATTTGTATCCCATGGGGATTGAGAAGTGATTCTCACACAGCTCTGTCATAGGCGTTGTCCCTGTGTAAAGTTGTGAAATGAGGGTTTTGAGCCAGGGTGACGTCAGAGCCCAGGATGATGAGGCCATGAGGCAGGGGACGCCAGTACTTTGCCTCACAATTCATCCATAACAGGGCTTTGGGAGGCATAAGAATTAAGAACAAACAAGATATCTAAATGAATGATCTTTTTTGTGGGCAGTGTTTTAAAAAGTGCTTACATTCTGAAGTTCAGAAACTCGAATGACAAATTCTTCTGACAGGCCAGGTGCAGTGGCTCATGCCTGTAGCCCCAGCTACTCAGGAGACTGAGGCTGGAGGATCACTTGAGCCTAGGAGGTCGAGGCTGCAGTGACCATGATCATGCCACCGCACTCCAGCCTGGGCAACAGAGTGCAACTCTGTCTCAAAAAAAAAAAAAAGACAAATTATTCGGACAAAGGATAACTTGCCAAATAAGAAACCTCCTGACTGCCCTGCTAAGGAGAGAGCCAGGTAATTATCTGCTGAATAAAGAATCTAGGTATTTATCACAGAAAAATGAAAACTTAGGTTCACACAAAATCTCTATGCAAATGTTTAGAGCAGCTTTATTCATAATCACCAAAAACCAGAAACAACCCAGGTGTCTTTCAGTGAGTGAATGGATGAACAAACTGTGGGATATCCATACCAGGGGAAACTGCTCTGCAATCAAAAGGCAGGAACTCCTGAAGCACCCAACAACTTGGATCTGAAGGGCACTGTGCAGAGTGAAGAAGCCAGTCTCAAAAGGCTACACACGAAATGATTCTATTCATATAGCATTCCGGAAAAAGCAAAACTACAGGGAAAGAAAACAGATCAGTGGCCTCTGAGAATGCACAACTACAAAAGGGTGGCCCGAGATAATTCTTTAGGTTCCTGGAATTGTTCTGTGTCCTGTTAGTGGTGGCAGTCACAAAAACTTATGCATATATGAAAACTCATAGGACTGTGCACCAAAAATAAAAGTGAATTTTACCAAATATGAAGGTTTTTTTTAAGTTCACAAATTCTTTGGCAATTCTTCCATAAAACAATGATATCTAATTCCCCCTTGCCCTTGAATGAGGGCCAGCCCTGGTGATTCACTTCTAACAAGTAGAGTACAGCCAGAGCATGTGGCTAGATAGGGAGAGCAGCACCCACCTGGACCTCTCACTTTGGAGCCTGGAGCTGCCACATAAGAAGTCCACCTACCCTGAGGACACCATACTAGAGAGACCCTGGGGAGAGACCATTGACATATGAAGAGAGACACCCAAGGAGCTCCCAGCTATTGGCACTTCCCAGCCCAGGCACTGGCCATATGACTGAAGAAATCTGAGATGATACCAGGGCCGGCCATGATCCAGCTGCACCCTCATGACAGACCCTGAGCCAGAACCACCCAAGGAACTGCCTTCAAATTCATGGCCCAAGGAAACTGTGAGAGATAATAAATATGATTGTTTGAAGCCACTACGTTTGGGGTGATTTATTCATAGCCATAGATAACTAATATAGGCACCCACATTTTCTGAGCAATCCCCATGTGACTGACACTTTCTCAAACATTAACTTATTTTCCATTCATTCAATAAATATTTATTGAGCACTTTCCATATGCCATGGATGACACATGGACCAGAGGGAGAAGCAGGTAGACTCCAAGAGGCAGGATAATCAACAGAACGTGATTCTGACAGAGCAGGGATTGCTGCTAGGGAGAGGTTCTCAGTTGGTTTGGGCAACTGGCTGGCAATGCTCCTCGCTGAGGCAGTATGGGTCTGTGGGAAGATGACAAGATCTGATCTAGATGCGGGGCAGGTTCAATGCCTGTTGGGACGTCCAGGACGAGCTGTTCAAAGGGCAGCTGGGTATTTGGCCTCAGAGCCCAGAGAGAGCTGAGCCAGGGGTCAGCTCTAGGGGGTCGTCAGAAAGCCCTCAAAGCCATCCAGGACAAAGAGGGTGACTGTGAGGAGGAGGTGTGGTCTTTGGACAGAAACCTGAGAAAGGCCAACATTCAAACAGCCAGAGGGAGCAGAAGGATTGAGAAGGACTAGAGAGGGCAGGTGAATACCGCACCATCAAACAGAACGGCAAGCATTCCTCAAAGGGGACCATCAGAAACAGCAATTGCTGCTGTGAGATTCTATAAGTCAAGAATGGAAAAGTGTCTACTAGATTTAAAGACAAGTACCTTAGCAAGAGTAGTTTTATTGCAGTAGTGACAGGAACTGGGAGGGTACAGGGCAGGGGGAAGGTAAGACAGTGGGGCTTAGACAGGTCTGGGAGGCTTGAGGGTTGAAGGGTGGAAGAAGGACAGCTGGGCCCAGGGCCAGGGAAGAGGGACTTTCTGGACAAAAGAGGCTTTAGCCCACCTAAATGCTAATGGGAGGATCTCAGAGGGAAGGAGAGGGTGAAGACACAGTGGAAAAGGGCTGGCATTGCCAGAAGAAGGGGCGCACCTGTCCCCCCTCCCCCCATCAGCAAAGAGGGCACAGCAGGGCACGTGGGTGCAGGTGGAGGTTGAGGCAGGCAGGGGCCAGGGCTGCATCTGAGTGGTCTGCTTTGTCTTTGCAGTCAAAGGTGAGGATCCACGTTGGGAGTGGGGACACTGTGGTGGGGGTGCAGGTGTGGGATGGTAAGAGGAGATCTCATAGCACAGCTGCAGGGAAGGGACTACAATGCTGGGAAAGGAACATGGCTCACCATTGCACATGGCACCTGGGGCTGGAGGCCACGCATGCTCCTGTGACATACAAAAAATATGAGGACCTTGTGTTTGTCCACAACAGCCCATGAGGGAGGTGCTACTGTCCGAAGATTTCATTAGAAACACGGAGCTCAGGTCTGTCTGACATGGAGCCCAGCACCATTTTGCCAGCCCTTGGTGTCATTTATTTGTGTTACTCTGTGGACCAGCAGAATCTGACATCAAGCAGACACCCAAGAACATCTGTGAAAGGGAGGAAGGAGAGAAAGCTCCCAGAAAGGGTCACATCGTAAGCCCTCACTGGCTAACACTTGATAATCAGCTCACCAGGAATTAGCAGTGGCTGGGACTATGAACAGCAGGGGTCCCCGCCCTCCCTGCCCAGACACATCCTGAGGCTTGTCCCTGTCTCCCTTCCTCCTCCCATGCTATCTACACAGGTGGCCTTTCAGTGACTCCCCATCCATCCATCTCCTTTCTTCTTTGCCCCAATTCTCTTTCTGTCATCTTTTCTGTAATTATTTTCTTCCTGTCTGTCTTTCCTCTTCCTTTCCTTTTCTGTCATGTTTCTATTACATGAAATGAAAATAATTTTTTATTCAGTTTGTGGTCATTGACAACAGCCTCTGCTCCCCAGTCAACCCCATATATTAGCTTAGCCCCGGGCCCACTGCTGCAGGCCACATCCCTCCAGGGGGCTATCTTCACCCACCCAGAGCCTTGGAGCCTGATCCTGACTCCCATATCCTACCTGTGTCTCACCTGTACCAGGTGCCCTTTACCTCCCTTTCACCAACTGAAACCCCACCCTCCTTCTCCACGAGGCTTTCCAGGCCATGCAGTCCACGTGGATTTTTCCCAAGTTGACATTTCTTTTTTTTTTCTTTTCTTTTTTTTTTTTTTGAGATGGAGTCTCACTCCTGTTGCTCAGGCTGGAGTGCAGTGGCACGATCTCGGTTCACTGCAACCTCCACCTCCCAGGTTCAAGCAATTCTCCTGCCTCAGCCTCCTGAGTAATTGGAATTACGGGCACCCACCACCATGCCTGGCTAATTTTTGTACTTTTTAGTAGAGATGGGGTTTCGCCATGTTGGCCAGGCTGGTCCCAAACTCCTGACCTCAGGTGATCCACCCACCTCAACCTCCTGAAGTGGTGGGATTACAGGTATAAGCCACTGCACCCGGCCCCAAGTTGATATTTCTATAGCCCCACAGGCCTATGTCACACTTTGACATGAGTCATATGCTGCCTTCAGTTGTTACTTCACTTTGCATTATGTTTATGCCTTACTTCCCCAGCCCATCATCATAATAAAGGATATCATTTTCACATTCCTGGGATCAGTAGCATTGATAGAAATAAAGCTTACCACATAGCCAAGCTCTACTCCCCAGCCTGTGTAAAACTAAGCACCAACTTGTTCCATTTAATGTCATGTCAACTCAGCTTACATTTTTCTCTGACTGTGTTCACTCTGCACACTTCTTTGGGTGTCAACACACATCCTTCAGGTTTATCTCTGACAGATGGAGACAGGGAGCCAGGCGGAACAACAGAAGCCATGTGCTGAGTTCATTTTTTCACCCTGTGAGGGGTGATTACAGTGCATTGGTCATGAACCAACTGATTTTCATTTTCTCACCTTTGAGACGGAGGCCCAAATGCCCCACTTGCCCTCTTTCAGGGTCATGAGAGGATCAGCCAGGCTAACCTATGTCCCAGTGCCTAGTAAACTGCACAGACATGCTGTGGTTCTAGTACTGGCGTATTCTGTAATGAATCACTGTCCACAAAAATGCACTCAGTTCTGGGAACAAAAAACCACTCGTATCCTTGACTATTGTTCTGGACAGGACTGCCCAACAGCTCTCCTTTCCCTGCTCCCAGGCACATGGTGCTGCTGAGGTTGGATGGAGGAGCAGCAGGAAGACTGGATAACCTCTCTCACTTCCGGGCACTGGCAGCTCAGACACTAGCCGCTCCCGGACTGCCGGTGTCTGGTGATTCACAGAAGCTGCGGTCAGGAGCCTGCCTGAGTCCTCCTGCAGCCTGAAGCTATGATCTGATATGGGAATGAGTAACAGATCCCTCCAAGGTGAGCACCATCACCTGAAATAAAATCTCCTACGCAGAGCCTCCACGGTTGGCAAAAGGCAGAATCTCCGTGTTTGGCAAGAAGGGCAGTTGGACTCTGCAGCCACCACTCCTTTCTCCCCAGGTCTACCTTCCTCTTGGAATTTCCCATTAATCAGAGCTGCTGCAGCCACTGTGGCCACACTTGCCTCAGGGACCCTCCCCCTCACACAAGCTCACAACGCTCTTCCCCTCGGCTCAGCATGGGCAGGAACGGAAAACAAGGCTTAGGAACAGTACAAGTGAGAGCACCTGGCTCACAAGCTGGTACTTCCCCATCGTGAACTGCAGGCCTTAAGTCTGGCCTGGTCTCCCTCCATAAGAGAAGACCCCAATACCCACCCCACCCACGAGAGCCCCCAGGCATGCCCACACCATCCAGGACAGCATGCCTTCTCTTGCCAACATGGGGCTTCCTTGCAAGCTGTACTTTCCTGCTGGAGGATCTAGCAGGGACTCAGTAGGGAGGCCAGAAACAAGTTTTTGATACATTGAAGAGTTGGTTCTACCACACTCACCTACAGTGTGGGGGAGGAGTTATAACATCCACAAATCATGGCGACAGTTTAGGGATCTGAAGGCTAAGGCTCCACCCTACAGACACTTTCCTATTGCTGCAATCATCATGTATATTAACATATGTTGCACTTTTTCCATTTAACATTCTTGCAAATATTCAAAAAAATATTTGTTGGGGCTTACTATGTAACAGACCCTGTCCTAGGAACTCTGAAATGAAAGGTAAGTTAATGTGCTTCCTGCTACTGGGGCTTTACATCTGGTGGAGGGACGCAGCCACAGGATGAAGTGAGACCCACAGTGTCCTGGGTCCGAAGGTGCTCAGTGCACAGCCCGGGTGTGTCTGAGGGATGGCCAGGAAAGCCTAGAATGAGTTTTGTTCTTCAAAATGGGTAGAGACAATGGGATACATACATGTAATTTATTCACGGTTTTAACAATCATCTCTGAATCCCACCTGGTGGTATTCTGAGTTCAAGTGTCAGTCTTGGAGGTGATACCAGCTGCACAAAGAAAGGAAGAAGTCAGGTTGGAGCTGGGCTTCATAACTTGGCCTGGCTCTTCACCTGCCCCAGATGGATTTAGAGACCATCTTTCCAGCTACCTCCAATGCTTAAAATGAGGGTAACTGCTCCTATCCAAGATGAAATCTTTATCCTTCAACTCAGCAACTAAACATTGAGAATTCGTCTTAAGGAAGTAATCAAATATGAGAAAAAATATTTATTTTTCTGCAGGTATGTATTATAGCACTATCTGTATTTTCCTTATTGGCAACTACCTAAACCTCCAATAGTTCAATCATTCATGCATTCATTTTACAAATATGTATTAAGTACCAAGCATGGACAAATTTAACATTCAAGAAGAAAGAGCACTTTCCCTCATGGAACCTGGGAACAATGGTTACATGGATCATGGTACATACATAGACTGGATTACCTAACTGTCATTAAAGATGATGTGCTCCAAGAATATTTAATGACTTGGGAAAGTATTCAGATATTATTATGAATAGATGTTAAAATTCTGGCAAGACACAAAAGT
Organism: Homo sapiens; assembly: GCF_000001405.40. NCBI lineage: Eukaryota > Metazoa > Chordata > Mammalia > Primates > Hominidae > Homo > Homo sapiens. The sequence goes on along the minus strand of NC_000018.10, from coordinate 36,307,890 downwards.
GTTAAGAGTGGTTCCCTTTGGGTGATGAGAAAAGTGATTTGTATTTCTTCAAAGTGCTTTTCTGTAGTCTCCAAATGTATCCATGTGTTCATTCTGTGACAGGAACAGATGCTTTGTTGTATAAGGGAGAAATCCTTGTTTGTTAGTCTTTCCTTCCCTGAGTCTAGCTTTGTCAGTAGTAACCTCTCTCCAGCAAAGTCATCCTGTGTCCACCCACACACACAGTTTAAGTGGACAGCTGCATGGAACTACAGTGTGAAGATACTTTAGAGTACAAGACACATGCACATCAATAAACACATACTGATCTGAGTAATAAAAACAGTCCACATTACACAGCTTTCTCATGGGCATAAAACAGCTCTTTACTTCTGCCACCACAGGGGAAGGTAACAGGTGTGGCACTTCCAGCAGCCCCCGTAGACACTATCTGCAGGTTGTAGGTCACAGATCACTCCATGACCAAACCCTGGGGTCATGGTTCTTGTGGCTTATCCACCCTATTTCCATCCTCTTGGGCACAACCAATTAATTTTCAAGGGCCATGTCCATCCCCATCTGTGGAGATATGAGGACCATCGCTCCAAATACAAATTAGGGAAAAATGGACTTCTAAAAAATAAAGCTCAGGCCAGGCGCAGTGGCTCATGCCTGTAATCCCAGCACTTTGGGAGGCTGACGCGGGCAGATTACGAGGTCAGGAATTCGAGACCACCCTGGCCAACATGGTGAAACCCCATCTCTACTAAAAATACAAAAATTAGCCAGGCATGGTGGCGCATGCCTGTAATCCCAGCTACTTGGGAGGCTGAGGCAGGGGAATTGCTTGAACCTGGAAAGTGGAGGTTGCAGTGAACCGAGACTGTGCCACTGCATGCCAGCCTGGGCGACAGAGCAAGACTCCGTCTCAGAAAAATAAAAAATAAAGCTCAAAAATAGGAAAGGCTATACTCCAAGGCCGGAGGGCAACTGGTCACTATGATACATGAAGAAGTCAGGAGGTGCTCCTAGCAGAGGCTTTACACAAGGGACTTCTGCAAGGAAATGGCTGGGATGAGCAGACTATTCTTCCTCCCTTCTAACTCTAAATCACGGTTATCCTCTCACTCAGTAAATATTTACTGTACACTCACTATGTGCCAGACGCTGTTCTAGGCTCTTGGGCTGCACCAGTAAACAAAACAGATTTAAAAAAAACAAAAACAAAACAAAAAACTCTGCCTTCATGGAGAAGTGGACCAACTACTCGAGGACTTTGGAGTTTGCCCTGAATGGCAAGAGGGCTAAGGGAGGTTTGGAGCAGAGGAGTGATATGACCTGACTCTTATTTTTTAAATGTCTCTTTCCTCTTTGGCTGGTCACACAAGTTGGTTGCCTAGCCTGTTTCTCTATGTTAAGATCACTGAATGGAACATATCTGGTTCTAACTTTTCCTCTCTTTCCATTAATGGCTATGTTCTAAGGCAAGCAGGAAGCCTCCACCCCACCAGACATCATCAAGACCTACTGTAAACTACAGTGAGTAAGACAGTGCAATGTCAGCACACAAACCCTTAGACAGACAATGGAGCCCAGAGCCCAGAAACACACTCGAGGCTGTGGGAGTGAGGCACCTCAGAGGGGCCACTGTAGACTGTGCTCCGAGCCCTCCACACTCTCCACCACTTGGACACTGCAAATGTCCTCTCTGTTGGCTGCTCTCCCAGGGGCTCCAGCGCCCATGCCCTTCCAGCTGCAAGCACATATGTCATGAAATCAGAGGACCACAGCCACTAAGACTCCCAGAAATAAGTTTCCTCCTTATTGTTCAGAAGGGTTAAAAGCTAGGTTTCTAGGGTGTAGCACCCTTAACAATATTTCATTTTGCTTTCATTTAATCACACTACAGACAGAGGAGGGGGACAGTATTCTATCAACGACTTGTCTCAACCCCAATGTCACCACATGCTCATTTTCATTGACTCTGGGAGGGTTGAAGAAGGTGACCTCAAATCATAAATAAAACCAAACAATTGTTAAAGTGATATAAAATGCAATTGGTATAAACTTCTTTAGTCAAAATTGTGGTCAGTGATTGGCTGCAGGCTGTGTGTGGCTCTGGTTTAGCCAGAGGGACCCTCCTCCTCGTTTTCTCCCCCAAGGACCACCCCACTACTCAGAGTCTCCAGCCTGTCAGTGTCCAGCCATGCAAGCTGGTAGTGTTTGCCCATCAATTCATTTGCTATACACCCCAAGCCACTCTTTGGCTCTGATCAAGCAGTCAGAAGATGCCTTGGTTATCTTCTATTCTGAGAACTTAAAAAAATCTTGGGCTTGTCCCACACACTCTGGTTACAGCTCTGGCATTTCATTCTCTGCTATAAAAATCAGTGCATGATGAGGCACCTCAGCACCACAGGAGTTTCCTTCTTGGTTTTCTCTTCTTCAAGAACGTTAAAGATATTCAAAGAGAAACTAATTTGTTTCATTTTTGCCAAGTCTAGGAATACCTTTCTATATTGAACTGCAAGTTGTTTAACATTTTCCCTTTTTTCAAGTTGATCAAAAATTTTAAGATTTTCTTTTCTAACATTAAACTCTAAACATTTTTCCTTGGAGTCTAACATTTTAACATCTAGATTACAAAACTAACTGGTGAAGAGGAGTTGGATGTTTCCAGTTTGTAAATAGATACAATGTAGATTCCATTTGTTACTATGTGTCTCTAAAAACAGAGAAACTTCTGGGTATATATTTTGCAGATTGGTGATAATTTTTTTTCAAAAAATAATTGATCTTCCTCCCTCTTTAACAGTTAATTCATAAATAAGTTTATCTGCCCATAGAAAATCAATGTTGACTGTAATTATAAGGGTGCCAAGGTATACAACTTACATTTTCATGTACATTAAAGCATCACTGCCATTCACTGTAAACTGAGAACCTCTTCTGAGGCATACTGAAGGCGGACGCAGAGCTGGCTCACTGGGAACTGGACAACACCCCAGTGTGGCTATGCAGGCATGTCATGGGCATCAACAGCCTTAGGAAACTGAGTGCCTTTATATATTGTTATCACTTATTATAGCCTTAGCAACTTCACAGTTTAGTAATAAAAATTTAGGAGCATATACTGAAACCACAGGTATAATATCTCTACCTTAGCATTTCGCTTACTAAGCTAATAGTTTATGTAACTGACAATTGTTTACTTCATCATGGGAATTGATTGAGCCTAGAAAGACACCCTGAACATAAAAAGACAGATGCCCTACACTTGTTTTTCTAAGATTCTAAGGAGAACACAACAATCAGGGTGGGAAGAAAAGTATCATTGGAGGTATGAAAAAAAAAATCCACTGATGGTTAGCTATCTCAGCCATAGAAAACACACTCAGATCATACAGTAACACTTAATGAAAGAGCTCTGATCCCAAGGGGACTATTGGAATTGTAACCTAATTTTTTTAGCTCTTTTATTAAAATATTTCAGTATATGCACAAGTATAGAAAGTAGTATCATGAGCCCTCCCCACATACCTATAATCCAACTTTAACTCACAGTCTATCCTGTTCCATCCATATATTGACTCACCTACTTGTCTCTTATCTGGAATTATTCTGAAGCAAATTCTAGACATCATATAATTTCAGTATGTATCTCTGAAAGCCATAAACTGTTACTTAAACCTAACCACAATACTATTATCACACTTTAAAGTTAATAATTTTAATATTAAACATCACTGCTCACATGTTCAAGTGATCTCAAATATTTATTTTATAATGTATTTGAATCAGCATTCAATCACAGCCACATATTACCTTTGGTTGATGTATCTCTTTAATCTCTTTTCATCTAAGGTTTCCTTCCACCTTTTTCTTTCTTTTGCAATTTATTTGTTGGAGAAACTGTAATTTCTCACAATCTGGATTGCGCTGATTGGCAAAGCTTAACATTCACTGTAACTTAATTTTCCCCATTCTTTCTAACTTAGTTCAGAACAAAGCTCAGAAACAGTCCCCCAGCTCCCCCTTCACCCCCAAAAATCTTCTGATTGTCTCTCTAATGGAGCAGATGCTGACAAACCCAAGACTCTGAAAATGGCCAGCAGAGGAGGACCCAGCTATGCCTCTAAGCCAGCCACAGGCAACAGCAGTGTTATTGAGAGATGAGGTGTGGAGGTTGCCTGGAGCAGGTGATTGCTGTCCTCTGAAGACAGAAAAGTTCCCAAGTGTTCAAAAGTATCATCGTCAGAGAGAGATAAAATATGGAGAGAAAAGGAGGGTGGGGGAGGGCTGTTCCTGAGTTGGCCTCAGCATGTTAATCTGTTTTAAAGTCGACACTATTAAGAACTAACATTTCAGAGTCCAGAGTGGGAGGGCAATGGCAGTCCTGTTGTTTTCCAGAGGGACTCAGGTTGGAGTCCGAGGACAAAACGCATAGACACAGAGCATCAACCCTGGGAGGACTTGCCAGAGCACAACCACTTAAATCACAGCACTGTGACAGGCAGCCGCATGCAAAGGCAATGCAGTCAACCCTACCCCACCCCCATCTGCACAGAGAGCATGGGCTTTGCTGATTTTCTAATAATGGGACAGAGTTAACAATAGGATTTGGAGGAAAAAAAAAGATGACCTTAAATCTTAGCTCCTTCACTTAAACGCAGTATAGCCCTAGGCAACCTGCTTAACCTCCTGTGCCTCAGTTTCCCCATCTGTTAATTGGGGATTCCTCATCTGCCTGCCTGCTAGAGTTGTTGTGAGGATAAATAAAGCTATACATGGAGACCTACAGTGCAGCCTCCAGCATAAGTTCATGACATAGCAGCCCCTTCCTTCCCAAAGATTGATGCCAGTCTATTCCAACCCAGATCGTTGCAAGAGGCCATGACAGCACCTGCTGGATGTCTGGCTAGGTTACCGATATGGTCTGTGGCCATGCATGAAACAAAGCCAACTGACCCATGAAGGGTTCAATCCCATGATCCTGATCTCAATAGCAAGGCTCCAACCAACTGAGCTAATTACAGTGGAGTCAGATTTGATTCTGCTTACATGGAGACACTCTTAGCTGTTCATACAACATTCTTAAAACAGTGTTGTCCTAAGATACTATGACACAACACACTTGCCAAGTTTACTAATGATCTCATCTTTTAAAAATCTTAATGTAATGTAGCAAACAGATGTGTCCCTTAAGAGGATTAAGGTGGAAATTCATTAGTGCAATAATACCAGTGGATTTGTGTTCTAAAACTAACACCAATCAATCAACTTAGTGCACATTCTATCTTAGCACTACTTAGCTTCGAGGGAAACACCAGAGAACTGAACAGCCAGGTCTTCTCCCTCAGGGAAGTTATCTGAGAACAGGGGAGACAGTGAGAACCCCCATGTACTGAGAGCCTGACCTAAATCACCTGTAATCCATGCTGTTCAGACTGCAGTGTGCACAAAAATCACCAGGCCATCTTGGTGAAGCATGTGTTCTGATTCAGCAGGTCGGGGGGGAGGGGCGGTGGCAGCACCTGAGTGTGCATTTCTAATACAGCCCAGGTGATACACAGCTCACACTTGGAGTAGCTAGATTCTATCCTCACTGCAATCAGCTGTTTACAGATGGGATAGCTGAGGCAGCGAGGCAACCACAAAGACAAGGGTAGTGAGAAAGGAATGAACACAGTACACTCAAGGCTAATCCAATGAGAGGATGCACGCTGAAATGTGGACAGGCTGCCTGGAAGGAGAACATTCAGGACACAAAAGTGGAGTCCTTAAGAGCTTAGACCTGCTGTCACATGCCAACTCGGAACTTCTCACTCATGTGACCAGGTGACTTCCTTCCAATCTTGGTCTCTCCTTCTATGAGCTGCAACAGTATCAGTACTTGGCCCTCGAATGGCCATGGGCTTGGTAAGCTGATGTCCCTCTAGGATGGTTCTCAGCTCAGGCAAATGCCTAGGACATGACAGCTATTATAACTCCACTCTGTCCAGCTCACTCCGGGCAACAAAACATTTCCTGAATTAAATCATTAAGTAATAATTGTCATTTTAACATGTACACTAAAAAAGTCACCAGTGTTTTGTAAAAATATTCTACAGTTCCAGTGTTGGCTATCAAAGTGAAAAAAGAATCCTTAGATCATTAAATGCCAGTAGCACAAATCAATCCAAACACATTTTAAGCTTTAAAAGGACTATGATTCTATGAATGCTACTGCAGAGGTTTTTCTAAATTAGAACTCCTATAATTACCATTTTTCTTTTAAAATATTAAGCCAGAAATAAACATTTACTTTTGCAGCATTTCAAAACAAAAACTAAATGTCTTGCTTAGCCCAACCTAGAACATATAACCATCAAAATGAACATCTCCCCAATGAGAATATGGCACCTGATTTGAACTTTTTGTTAGAAAACTAATGTTTATTTAATCATATTCCCTAGAACTACTATAAGCAGATGAAGTTTTTTAAAATAATGTATCAGTTTAAGAAATAAAAAATGATAAAGCATAATAAGCACAATCTCTTATTTTTGCATAAGATGACAATTTTATTAAATGAACAACTTCAACTTCTAATGGAGTCAGCAGACGTGAACTAAGTTACTACATCATTAGGTTAAGAAAAGATGTCCACACTCAAGTTTCAGCCAGGAAAGGCCTGACAGGTTGTCCAGTTCAAAGGTTGCCAGCACAGGAGAATCCCTAGGAGAGCTTTAAAAATTAGGACCCTCTGAGGGGGCCTTCTCAGCGCTGCCTACACAGGTACATTTACTTTAAGAAGATTCACCCAACTGCACACTTATACCCTGTACACTTTTTTGTATATGTGACCACTTCAGTCAAAAGTTTACTCCCAGCCAGGCACGGTGGCTCACACCTGTAATCCCAGAACTTTGGGAGGCCGAGGTGGGCAGATCACTTTGAGCTCAGGAGTTTAAGACCAGCCTGGGTAACATGGTGAAACCCCATGTCTACAAAAAATAAAAAAATTAGCAAGGTGTGGTGGTGCATGCCTATAGTCCCAGCAACACAGGAGGCTGAGGTGGGAGGGATCACCTGAGCCCAGGGAGGTCAAGGTTACAGTGAGCCATGATCACACCACTGCACTCCAGCCTAGGTGACAAGAGTGAGACCCTGTCACAAAAAAGAAAGAGAAAAAAAAAAAGTTGACTCCCTCAGGGGCTTGAATGTGCAGGAGAGCTGAGAGCACTCTGAGTGTCTGCCTGTCCCACGCTCATGCTTCTCCCCTCTTTGTACCACTGAGAATGCGCTCGCTGCACAGAACTCCACTTCTTGTCAATACCAGGCTCTGTGGGACCCGGAAGAAGCACGCCCTGTGGCCCAAAAAGCCTCACTGGTGGCAGGGTCCTGGTATGATAGCTCACCCAGGTCAACAGACCCCTCAATAGCTAATTCACAGCAGAGTTGATAACTATATGTTACCACTTCTGACTATGCACTCTGTGTCAGGCCAGGAATTCTGCCTCAAGGCTTTTACTCATTTATAACATTCACCTGTCCCCAGGCCTAAAAGTGCTTGGCCCTTGAAGGTGACCGGGTGAACCCCTCCAGTTAATGGAAGAGAAGCCCGGGAGGCATGGCTTCTGTCCACAGCCATATACCTGGTTCCCAGAACAGAACAGCACCGACGCCCTGAGTCACACAGGGCTGGTTTGAATCTCAGTTCCCCACTTCTAGCACAAAAAGTGGGTCATTTAGTCACTCTCCCTCACTTTCCTCATCTCTAAAATAGGGACAATCAAAGCCCCTACCTTATGGAGCTGTGTAGTATGAAAGGAAACCATGCATTCAGAGCCTGGGTGGGGCATACACTACATGCCAAGTGCTTGAAACTCCAGCTGTTTCTATCAAGGTGGATCATCCAATTTTAAGATTCTCTGATGGAAATTAGTATCATCTTAACAATATGAATGTATACCCAGGCACATAAATGCCCTGACTTCTGCTTTACAGAACCCTCATCAATAAAGTCGGTTGCTCACTCTGCTGTAGATGGGAAAAACAATGCCAGACATCTAAATATACTGCAGGGGTCTTCGGGCAAAAGATTCTGAGACTGAGGCTGGCTGGCCCCCAAAACAAAGGTCAAGGGTCTCTGTAGAACCACTTCTGGTTCTGTTCATTCCATAAGGGACACCTTAGAAAGTTCTGCAAGCCAGTGCAACTGCTCTGCTGGGGCTTCTAGTTGGGGGTGAGGAGGGGGGCAGTGGAGGAGCATCAGGATTTTCTCCTACCAGACCAGGATCAAGACTGTGGGGCTGTTCCATGGAAACATGAAAACATACTGCAGCTCCCAGCTTGAAAGGTCAACCCATGTATATAAGGTTTGAAATCCAAGGAAACCACTTCAAGGTCACAGGGCCACAATTATGAGCCTTTGGTGGTTTCAACAAAAGATCACTGTAATCAGAGACCGTAGTGGCCTGAATAATCATGATGTAGAAGAAGCTCTTTGAAAACTTTTCACTGAATCAACTAATTGAGAAGAACCAAATAATTTACAAAAGTGATTCTGATCAGCTGAATCCAGAATACATCACTCTGGATGATGACGACCCTCTGTCTCCCAATCAAATGTGCTTTTGTGGCCAGAGAGGTTTCCACGACTGTATCCGTCCTGAACCAACCAGGAGAGAATGAGATGGAAATGCCCCATTCCTTATTCCTGAAAACGTTACTAACTAAGTAGAGGAGGAAAGCACTGATACATTAATAGAGAGGAAACTACCACTGCTAAAGTCCACCAGTTTCCTCACACAACCAACCTCCTCCTCTACTTGCAAAGCAGGTCAACATCATACAGAAATCCGAGGTTTTTTTTTAAATCAATTTTGTTCTTTTGGGCATCAACGCTTATCTCTTCCAAATATGTGTTAATGTCGACCCTCAAGAAATAAATCATCTCCAAGCTTTGATATGAATCCTAGGCAGAAAAAATACTGGGAAGGTAATTTTGCAAGCTGCATTCAATCTGTCTAAGTGAGAGTAAGGGTTTTCCTAGGTAACGAAATGATTAGCTTTCAATACCCACCTCTTTGCAACAAATGCTTTGCAAGAGGCCTATCCTCCTGCAAAAGGTTTTATTTAAATAAAAATAACAAATAAAAAAAAAAAAACCTCTCTAACGGGTAGACTGAGCAGCCATTCTTCCCAGGGGACACTCATTTCGGGCTGCCAAGCTGAGGCTTTGTGAGCGCGCCGCCCCTCCGCGCCCCCGCCCCTCCTCCCACAGCGACTGCTCCTCCGAGGTTCCCAAGGCCACCTGCTTCTCAGAAGAAAAGGGGGATACCCTGAGCGCTATCGCAGTGTGCGGCCGGCGTCCCCGGCGGCGCCCCCGGGGGAAGGAGGAGGCGGTGTCGCCGGGAAGCGTGCTTTGTCGCGAGGGTCGCGTGGCCGCCCGCAGCGGCCCCAGAGGCCTGAGGGAGGTTTTGTCCCGGCCGTCGCTCAGAGCTCTCCTCTCCAAGGGACCTGAGTCTCGCGGCGCTCCGCTTCTTCCCGCGCCCCGCTTGGTGCCCGCCCGAGTGCCGAGGCCGACTGCCCGCGTCCTAGCCCCACCCCGCCCACCCGGCCGAGCTAACGGCGCGGCTCGGGGGAGCCTTCTCCATCCCGCCTCGGACCGGCTCGGCACCTGCTCTGCCACGCCCGCCCCCGGCTCTAGCTGTTCCTTCCCGCCCGCCCCGGAGGGTCCTGCGCCAACCAGCGGGTGCCTCGAGCCCTTCTGTCTAACGGGGAGGGGGATTTGCCCTCGAGCGATGGTCCCCCCGGGCCGCGCCCAGCCCAGCCCAGGGGGCCCACGAAGCCCCGGGACCCACCCCGGCGCGCACCGCGGCAGGGGGCTGAGTCCAGGGGGCCCAGCCCACCCCGCCGGGTCGTACCTTGTGCGGCGCCTGCAGCAGCCTATGGACCCCCGCCAGCTGGGTGCCGAGCGCGAGGTCCTCGCGGAACGTGAACAGCGGCGGCCGGCTGGGCTCGGGGAAGTTGGTGCTGTTGAAAGGGTCCGTGTCGTCCAAGAACTGCACCCGGCAAGCCAGCGTGGCCATGATGCATCCCTGCCGCGGGGGCGCGGGCCCCGGGGTTAGCGGGGCCGCGGGCCGGGACGCCCGGGTAGCTGCGCGCAGGGGAGGCCGCAGCCGCAGCTCGCTGGCTCGCGGACTCGCAGGCTCAGGCGCGCCGGGCTGCAGCCCGGGCTCCGGCCGCGGGGGGCGGGGCGGGGGCGGGGCCGGCGGGCCCCCTCCTTCCCCTCTCCCTCCGGCTCCTCCCCTCCTCCGGGTCCTCTACCCCCGGCCGGGCTGCCCCGAACGACCGGACCGCAGCCGGGAAAGTGCAAAGGAGACGGCTCGCGCGGCATCCGCAGCCCTGCGCCAAAGGCCGGCGGCGGAGGCGGGGCGGGGAGGCCGGGCGGCCGGACTCTGCTGCACGTGCGCCCCGCGGCCCAGGGCCGAGCTGCACCCCTCGGAGCCTGGAGGACCGAGTTGGGGAGTTGGGGGGTTGGGGGACGGGGAGACAGGCGGCCTTCTGACTTCTTCCCCACCCGGAGAAGGCTTAAGCCTTTCCAGATGAAGGCGGCGGCGGCCGGCTTCTGCTGCCCAGATTTGGAATACCCCGGCAGGGCACCAGGTGGCCAGGGAGCCGGCTTCGGCAGCAAGAGGGGTGGTGGCAGTGACCGGGAGCCCCACCTAAGGGTACGGGGAGGTTTCCCTTAGGGACAAAGAAGCTAAGAAAGAGGAGGGTGCGCCAGGGAACCCAGGCCGCTTTTAGGGCACAAGCCTAGAGTCGAGAGGCGTGGGGGCTGCGAGGCTTCGCTGCGGGACTCCAGCGCCGGGCCTGGACCCCGGGGCTCCCGGCGGATGCTGGTTAAACCTCTGCATCACCACGGCCTCTCCCCAGTTAGGCCGCCGAAAGCCCTAATTGGACCTTGTGGGGCCGCGGGGGCTTGGGGAGGTGGGAGCCCTTCTGGCAAGGTTCCCGAATTGCAGAGAGCCGGGGATGCCCTGGTAACCGAGGGACTGGGAAGGAAGGTTTGCGTCCTGCCCGCCCCTGCCAGGCGGGAGCGGCAAGACTCGGCGCTGCCTCCCACCGCTCTCCTCGCTGCTCACGGGCGACCCCCTTCGTTTTCAAGAAAAATTCACGGTTCTCCCTATTCCCAGGCCACAGCCAAGTTCCTGGTTCCTCCCCCCTTATATAGATCGCCCTCATAACACCCAGTCTCTCTTAACATCCGAGTGTTTTCAAGGCGACTCTATAACGCGTCTATCTCCCTTTCCTCTGGTTTCAAGGGAAAAGAAACCCTTATCCCTATTTAGCAGCCTCACCCACATCTTTAACCTCTCCCTCTCCGTGATCTCCCTCCCTGCCACACATACACACTTATGCCTGATCTTAAAATAATAATTCCACGACACTTCCGCTCCTTCCAGACGAACTTCTAGCTCTACTTTCTTTGTTATTTAACTCTTTGAATGAATCCTCTAGATTAGCCGTCCCCAATCTTTTTGGCACCAGGGACCGGTTTTGTGGAAGACGATTTTTCCACGGACAGTGGTGGGGTGGGGGTGGGGGGCGTTTGGGGGAGGAAGGGCAGATGGTTTCAGAATGAAACTGTTCCACCTCAGATCATCAAGAATTAGATTCTCATACGAGCGCGCTACCTAGATCCCTCGCATGCGCAGTTCAGAATAGGGCTCTCTCTGGCATGAGAATCTAATGCCTCCGCTGATCTGACAGGAGGCGGAGCTCAGGCGGTAATGCTCGCTCACTGGCCGCTCACCTGCTGTGTGGCCCGGTTCCTAACAGGCTACGGACCAGTACCGGTCTGCGGCCGCGGGGTTAGGGACCCCTGATCTAGACTGGATCTCCACCAACTTCCGCATCTCCTCACAGCCAGAATACTAAACGCACGAATTCTTCCCCTCTGAGATGGGCCGCCTGCACTTCCACCTTCACGTCCACCTCCCTCCTCACTGAGAGAGCCCTCCAGTCCTGGCCACCTCATTTCCTATCACTTTTCCAACCCGGATCCCAGCCCATCCTCTCAGGGGCCTCCTCTCCACACCCCTCCTTCAGTCCCACCTGTCCTTTGGGTACCTGGCTTGCTTCTGCCCCATCTACCAAGTGCCTGCTGCTAGTGGGACCACTCAGTGCCCCACTTCCACCCCAAAGCCCCTCAGCCTCTTACTCCACTGATGCTGCTGCAAGCTTCTGCCCCTTTCCTCGACTCAGAAATTAGTCAATAAGGTAAATAATTTCTCCAGAATGACTTCTAGCACCCTCTCCTCTTCATCTTTCATCTTATTTTCCATCTCCTCTCCATCTTCCATCTCCCACTTCTCAGAAGGTGACCAAAGTCATACTTTTCCTCCCATTCAAGGCTCTGCCCCCACCTGGACCCTGGGTCCCTTTCATCCCACTTGCTCTTGCCTGGGGCTCTATCACTGATCCACTCACTTCCACCTTCCTCCCCTGGCCCCTTACCCTGAGAACCAGGGCCTGCTTCCTGATGTGCAACTCTTGAAGCCACACAGGGCTCTGCACTTTAAAGGGTCCCAAATTGGTTTAATGTTTAGCTGTTGTTGTCTTGAATTTTTTAAATACTTTTTTAAGGAGTCCCGGCATTTTAGTTGTGCACTGGGCCCCATAAGTTATGTACTCAATCCTAATGAGAATAAATACTCAAGTGTTTTCCATCTTAAAAGCTGCATCTTTATGAAGCCCACTTCTCACTCTAGCTCCCTGGCTTATCTCATCATCACTTCCTAACCAACTTCTGAGAGAGAGCCATATTCATTTCTTAGCATCCTCATCACCTTTTCTCCATACCCCATGACATCTGGAAGGAAACCCCTTCCTGCCATTCTAAGATCATCAATGCCAGCCTAATTTTCTTACCTGGAGGACACCTTGGCCCTGCTACCCACTTTCTTGGCAGCATCTGTCACCATGGCACCATGGAAGATTCTTTTCTCAGACTCTTACCCCCTCAGCTCAATAGCTCTACCCACTGTAGGTTCTCCTCCTCCTTTGACAGCTCCTTCTCAAGTCTTTCTGGGCTTCATCCTCCTCTTGGTCCTGTTCACATTTCCTCTAGATTTTCCTGGCTTCAACCGTCCTCAACCTGCATGCATCCAACTCTATACTCACAGAGGAGTCCCTCTCCTCCCTTCTAGGCTCTGATTTTCACTGGGCAACTAAACATCCCTATCCTGGTTACCACATCATACTCAATTACACATTCAACCCAACACCCCAACCTGGCTGCCCATCCAGAAACTCTTCCACAAGGTTGCCGTCTGCCAGACTGCTTTACCTGCCTGTCTGCTGATTCCAATGCTCTCCAAGCCCTTGGAGCATAGAACACCAGAGCTATGGTTACTGTTAATTTATTGTCTGTGTTGTCACTAAAGAAAAAGCTCCTCTGGGCAACAACCATGCCATATTCAACTCTACGCCTACCACAGAGAAGACACACAATAAATGTCTAATGAATGTATCAACATCAAAGTCATCTTTGACTCCTGCATCTTGCGTTGGTCACTATGACTTGTTACTGAATCAGCCTCTAAAATATTTCTCAATTCTTCCCTTCTCTCTAGCCCTCACTTTCTATGCTAGTCTTCTAATGACTTCCCCAGACTTGCATCCTGCATTTGGTCTTCCACTGGCTTCCCCAGAGCCAGTGATCATTCTAAGATGTGTGTTTGACATATTACACCACAGGGTAAAATCCTTACATTCCAAACCCCTTAGCACAACTCACAAAGCCCTCTAAGACCTGCCTCAGTCTACCACTCCAGGCATATGGTTGGTCATTCCCAGCTTCACAGCCTGCTTTCAAGCCATGCCAAACTTATTACTCTTTCCCAGACATGCTGAGCTTTCTCATGGTGAGCATCTAAACCTAGAATGCTCTTGCCTATCTAGTCAGTCAGCTGAACCCACTTATCCTTCAATTCTCATTTCTAATGTCAACTCTTCTGGAGAGACATCTCCAACTCTACCCCAAACAAGGATTGTCTGTCTTTCTTCTGTGGTCTCAAATTACATATGCCCTTACTGTAGCACTTTTCATGTTACATTGTAAATGTATGCTTGTATATGCCTACTCCACTAACTATAAGATTTTCAGGATTGGAATTTGCCTTATTAAATTTTAATCTGAAAACTTCAGTGACTGGCACCTAAAATGAAACCTTCAGACTTTTTAATTATATAGGCTATCCTTAATTCTTTTAAGGATTTTTGCCTTGGCAAAAATTTACTAATTACTAATATTTTTTCCTCTAACAGCCAATTTTTTTCTCAGCCTAATTTTTAAATTATTTCTTTTTAGTAATGTAATGATTTATCTTAATTTAAAAGGCCAAGAGTAATAAAAAGTTATAACAAGATATCAGAAACAGACATCTGACCCTAGTTTACAACACCCCTTCTTAACATACACACTTTCCAGAGCCACTCGTTTCTAAATAGTGTGAGTACACTGCTGTACTTTGAGCTATCAATTTTAGATAATACACTGACCTTCTGTCATGCGGAGGGTTTTAGCTTCTTTATAGTCCATTTCCTTTTCCAATATTGTTCTGTCACAATGTTAGTCAAATTCTTATGCAGTGATTTTAAAATTTATGATGTTAATATTGTTCCTGTCTGTGCCAAGTTGTGTACAGGATTACATGCCCTTTCTTGTACAACTTTTTGTTTTTCCTCAAGTTAATGTTTGCCTCAATTTTTTTCATTTGATTATTATTTTTTCTTGAACAGCTGGCTAAATCATCTCATATCCTGCAACAGTCCTACAAATGCCTCTCTCAATATTGTCAAATAAGCTTTCAGTTCTATTCCATCCTCCTGCTCCAATTTGAAATGTGGCTCCCTCAGCCCTATCCTCCTGGATATTTTCTTGACTTTTCTCTTCTGCAGGTGCCCCTGGTTCCCAGCTCACTTATCTTATTATTTCTTAGTTTACACTCGCATTTTTTGTTAGTACATACTACAGTAGCTTTCTGAGAAAGGATGAAGTTTTGAAAAATTTTATGTCTCAAACAATCTTAAATCATTGTCCTAGCACTTGTCTTGGTGTGGCAGTTTTGTTGGCAAAGATGGCTACAATAATTCCTCCCACCCCTTGTATTCCCGCCATTTTCCAATATGACTTTGCCACTTCTCCTGTCACAAAGTGAAGTCTATCTCTCCACTCCTTGAGTTCGGGAGGCTTTGTGACTTGCTTTGACCAATAGAATATGGTGGAAGTGGCATTGTGTGACTTCTGAAACTAGGCCTCAAGAGACATTACGGCATCTCCTTTCACACTCTTGGAATATTGGCCTGGGACTACCATGTGAAGAGGCCAGATCTAGCCTAGGAAACCTGGTAAAGAAATTGCTACTGAAGACTGGAAAAAAAATGGTTACCTGAGTTATGCAGCAATTAAACAATTGACAGGACAATTGCCTAGAGTAATTTGGAAGATAGAAAATGTAACTAATGAGTTTATAAACTTGGCTAAGGAGATCTTTAGTCAGTATGTTGGAAGTATCTGTTGGGTACCTGTAGCTGCATATTACAATGAATTCTGTTTGCAAACAGAGTGAGTAGTTAAAATTTGCTGGGTTATAAAATAAACAATTTCTCACCCCCAGTTTCTCCAGTTAGTAAAAGACCTTCACAGTAAGAAATAATCTTGGTAAAGATCAGTTTAAAAATGTGGTTGTAGGCCAGACGCAGTGGCTCACACCTGTAATTCCCAGTGTGGGGAATTCCCAGTGTGGGAAATTCAACCACATTTTTGAGGCAGGAGGATTGCTTGAGCCCAGGAGTTCAAGGTTATAGTGGGCTATGATCATACCACTGCACTCCAGCCTGAGAGACAGAGCAAGACCCCATAGCTATGAAAAAAAAATGTTGAAATTCAGTTGTAAGACACTTTGTTACAGTCTCAGAGAGATTTAAGGTAGTGCCTAGCAGATCTTCTCATTTATACAAAAGAGCTTCTAAGAATCTTAAGGGTGTTGTTCCACAGCAGCATGACATGCCCAGAGGAGGAAGGATTATGTGTATAGTGTTTGGCACATGGAGTAAACCCTAGTAAGACTGATAGAAAATCCACAACATTTTTCAGATAGTTGTATTTATGAAAGCACTGTCAGCTTAGGCTAAAAGGGACTGAGATTGTTCAAAATAAAAAGAAACTTATGGAACTCCAACCTGAAATGGATAAGAAGCAGACAAACATAAAGA
This sequence comes from Homo sapiens, assembly GCF_000001405.40. NCBI lineage: Eukaryota > Metazoa > Chordata > Mammalia > Primates > Hominidae > Homo > Homo sapiens. The sequence goes on along the minus strand of NC_000018.10, from coordinate 36,291,642 downwards.
AGAATGAAATCATGTCCTTTGCAGCAACTTGGATTGAGCTAGAGGCCATTATCCTAAGTGAAATAACCCAGAAAAAGAAAATCAGATACCACATATTCTCACTTGTGAGAGCTAAACAGTGGGCACTCATGGACATAAAGATGGAAATAATAGGCACTAGGGACTCTAAAAGGGGAAGAGGAAGGAGGCAAAGGTTGAAAAGCTACCTATTTTGTTTACTGAATACCATCTCAATACTGTATTCACTGTTTGGGTGATGGTTTCACTAGAATCCCAAACCTCAACATTATGCAATATACCCACATAACAAAACTGTACCTGAATTAATAATAAAATAAAACTAAAGACCAGGCGTGGTGGCTTACACCTGTAATCCCAGCACTTTGGGAGGCTGAGGCAGGTGGATCTCCAGGTCAGGAGATCAAGACCATCCTGGCTAACACGGTGAAACCCCGTCTCTACTAAAAATACAAAAAATTAGCCGGGCGTGGTGGCAGACGCCTGTAGTCCCAGCTACTAGGGAGGCTGAGGCAGGAGAATGGCGTGAACCCAGGAGGTGGAGCTTGCAGTCAGCCGAGATCATGCCACTGCACTCCAGCCTGGGCAACAGAACGAGACTCCGTCTCAAAAAAAAAAAAAAAAAAACTAAAATTAATTAAAAAAAAAAAACTAAAGTAAGAAAGTTTCTCTGCTGCAAACACGGCAGCCATTACCTTTGGAAAAGGAAGGTTCTATCAGAGCATGGGAACTAAGGATCGTGGGGAACAAAAAACTTGGAAACCATCCCAGGAAGCAGAACTGGGCCGTAGTCTCCTGGAGTAAGAGAAACTGGCAACATGTGTCTGGCTGGAGTTCAGCATTGCTATGAATCAATGACTGCTGTGTGTCTTCCAATCTGTCTATTTTTTATTTTATTATTATTATTATTGAGATGGGTCTCACTCTGTCACCCAGGCTGGAGTGCAGTGGCGTGATCTTGGCTCACAGCAACCTTCACCTCCTGGAGATTCTCGTGCCTCAGCCTCCCAAGTAGTTGGGATTACAAGTGCACACCACTTCACCTATCTAATTTTTGTGTTTTTAGTAGAGGCGGGGTTTCACCAGTTGGCCAGGCTGGTCTCTAACTCCCGGGCTCAAACAACCCACCCACCTCAGCCTCCCAAAGTGCTAGAATCACAGGTGTAAGCCACCACACCTGGCCCCAGTCTGTCTATTTTTAAATGTGAGTGCCTCTTGAAGTTATTCTGTCCCAATTTCACCATTGCATATTGAGTGTGAAAGGGCTATACACTTTGTCTTTTACGGTAACAGGTCTCTGCATCAGAGCAGTTGTACCCGAGGAGAAAGTCCTCATCTGCATGCAGATTCAAATAATGGTTTCCTCACCACTTTCCCAGCCTCTGCCCCCTGCCCAGTCCTAAAACCACTGTCACACAATTTAGGGGTTTGTTATGGTAGCACTCTACTTCTAGGTACCAATTCCTGTTTTATTTAGTCTTTGTTGTATAAGAAACCACTCCAAAATGTAGTAGCTTAAAATAACAACCATTTTATTTTCTTTTGATTCTGTGGATCAGCAATTTGATCTGGTCTCACCTGAGATCGTTCATGTAGTTGCAGTCATCTAGAAGCTTGACTGGGACTGGTGGGACTAAAATAGCCTCCTTCCATGCCTGGTAATGTACGCTGGCTGTCAGCTGGCTGGTCCAGATGGGGGCTTCAGTTAGAATGGTTCATCTCTCCTTGGGTTTCTCATCTAATAGGCTAGACCTGGCTTCTTTACACTGGTAGACTTAGGATAGCATTCTAAGAGGTCAACAGTGGAAGCTGCAAGATCTCTTGAGACCTGGGCTTAGAAATTATGCTGTATCAGTTTTGCTACTCTTTTTTTTTTTTTGGTTGAAATAAGTTAAGATCAGCTTAGATTCAAGAAGTGGGGAAATAGATTCCACTCCCTGATGGGAGAAGTGAAATCACATTGCAAAGAGGTACACGTACCCAGATATGAAGAAATGTTGTAGTCATCTCTGAAACAATATAACACATATGTTATACAATTCTAGGTTAAAATGATTTTTACTCAGAATTTTGAGGCATTGCTTCATTGTCTTCTAATTTTTCTTGTTGCTTTAGACTATTTGTGCTGTGGTATAGCTGGCCCTCTGTGTCTGTGGGCTCTGCATCCATGGAGTCAACCTACACAGATTGGAAATATTCAAAAAAAGAATGAATGCTTGCATCTATACTAAACATGTACAGACTTTTTTTATTTGTCATTATTTCCTAAACAACACAACAGCTATTTACATAACATTTACATGATATTAGATATTATAAGTAATCTACAGATGATTTAAAGTATACAGGAGGATATGCATAGGTTATGTTAAATACTACACCATTTTATGTGAAGGACTTGAGCACCCACGGATTTTGGTATCCAAGGGAGGTCCTGGAACCAAACAACCATGAATATCAAGGGGCAACTGTATAGGTAACTCTACATTGTATAGGTAACTTTTTTCCCCTCTCTCTTTGGAAGCTTTTTGAACCTTCTCATTATTCCCAATATACTGAAATTCCATGATGAGGTGCCCTGGTGGGGATTCTTTTTCATTCATCCTGTTGTCATTTTGTGGATATTACTTAATCCAGAGATCCTGCTCTTTGATGCAGAAATGTTCTTATATCCTGTTTTTGATCATTTCCTCTCCACAGTGTTCTCTGCTTGCTCTTCCTAGAACTCCTATTATTCAGATGTTGGATCACTAAGCAGGTTCTCTAATTTTCTTAACTTTTCTGCCCTGTTCATCTCTCTGATTATTTTCTTCTACTTTTTGGGAAATTTCCTAAACTGTATTTCCTTTTCTTCTACTGAATGTTGTATTGCAGCATTCATGTTTTTACTTTTCAAGAATTCTGTCTTGTTCTGTGATTTTTCTTTTTAAAATATCTTGTTCTTATTTCCAGGATTTCCCTGATATTATTAACCACATTTTCTTTAAAGTTTTCTTCTTTTTGCTGCACTGTTTCTGTACACTTTGGGTTCTTCCTTTCTTCTTTTTCTTTCAGTTTTTTTCTTTTATAGTAGACACTTTCCTCAAATGGCATGATCCTTGGCTGTTCATCACATTGAAAGCCAACTGGGAGGCTGGGCAATGTGGCCCACTTCTGTAATCCCAGCACTTTGGGATGCCGAGGCAGGCGGATCACTTGAGGTCAGGAGTTTGAGGCCAGCCTGACCAATGTGGTGAAACCCTGTCTCTACTAAAACTACGAAAAATAGCTGGGTGTGGTGGCAGGCGCCTGTAATCCCAGCTACTTGGGAAGCTGGGGCAGGAAAATCGCTTGAACCTGGGAGGCAGAGGTTGCAGTGAGCCAGGATTGCACCACTGCACTCCAGCCTGGGCAACAGAGCGAGACTCTGCCTCAAAAAAAAAAAAAAAAAAGAAAAAGAAAAAAGAAAAGAAAGAAAGAAAGCTGATTGGAAGCTCTAGGGTATAATAGAGGCACTTTGCCTGATGGACTCCACTGCAGACCAAACCAGTGGACAAATGGCTTATTTCTTGACTATCTTTAGGTCTTTCCTCTGGGGTAGTTTACTTTCTCCAGAAAAATTTTAACAATACTGCCCTTTGCCCAGAACAAGAAAGGCCCCTGCCTTGGGCTCCATGCTTTGGAGGGCCTCATCCTGGCCCTGCTCCTGCCATCCTTCCCTATAGGGCAAGTCCACAGGACCAAGATGTTATGCCCACCTGGAACCCAAGCTGCTCTCTAGACTATTCTCCAGGCACCAGGACCTCAGATGCCCACATGACTCTGAACATGTCCCCAAGGCCTGTATGTGTGTGTCATTTTCAGAGCATCCGTAGGGGTGCACCCCTAAGCATGAAAAGGGGCTAAATGGCAGCTGATTGCAGGGGAAGGTATGGACAGAGTTTGAATGTATAGTCTCCAGTGTCTACACATCTGGGGTTCACGGCTCAAGGGTGAGAAGAAAATGGCTGTAGGCTATGGCTGGCAACCAGGAGCTGGACCAGCTCTTCCCATGCCATCGTGCTCCTATGCAGAGTGCCAAGGATTTTGTCAGAGTAGGAGGCTAGCACATATTTTAGTTAATATTTCTTATGTTTAATTTATGAATGTTAAATATTTAGACATATGACATATGGGTATCCATTTGAACTTTTGTCCTGGGCCCCACTGATGCTGGGAGTGAGCCTGCATCTTTCAGCCTCCCAGCCTCACTAGAACTGGGTGGGGAAAGATGCAGGGTCACTCTGTCCACTCCTCAGTTCCCGTTACTCTCCCCGCATTCTTGTCGTCAGGCACACTTCTACCTTCTCTAAATCCTGAAGCCACTCTGGTTCATTCTCCCTAGAGGCTGTACATGCTGCCTCCTTGGTCCTATGAAGGTGCCACGAACACAACAAGCTACACCAGGGAAGAACTGGAGTGTATGTTCCTTATGATACACTTGAAAGCCCAACTGCAGGGAACCTGAACACATGGATCTGCATGCTAGTGAAACACTGCACGCTTTATATTGCACATTTCTAGTGGAAAATACTATGACTGTACCTGGCAATATTTTCATAAATATTATCCTGGAATTCCATTCATATTCTTAGAAAATAATTTAGCAGGAGCAAAAAAAAATGAATAAATAAATAGCCATGTTCAAAAATAAGGTTTATTGTAGTATTAATTATAAAATTAAAAACTGGAAATTTATATGTCTATCAATATGAGGTATATTTGTATTACTTATAATACATGAATACAACCATGCATTATTTAAATGTACTTATGAAGACCATGTTGAAATACACAAAATCTTTAGAGTAAAACAGAATACAAATAGTGTACATTGACTTTAGCCACTGGAAAGCAATTGTATGGGGGTAGAAGGGTCTTGAGTGTCCAATTTTCGATTATTTTTTCTAAGGTAACTTCACCTTTTCTGGTTAAAAAGTTTTAGCTAGTTATCTATTTAGCTAAAAAAAAAAAAAAAAGTAAGGCTATTTTACCAAACTGTGGATAAATGTGACATAATATTTGCTGTGCCCCAGGAGGAAATGAGAGAATTTTTTTTTTTCTTTGAGGAGTTTTGCTCTTGTCACCCAGGCTGGAGTGCAGTGGCGTGATCTCGGCTCACTGCAACCTCCACCTCCCAGGTTCAAGCAATTCTCCTGCCTGAGCCTCCCGAGTAGCTGGGATTACAGGCACCCACCACCATGCTCAGCTAATTTTTGTATTTTTAGTAGAGACAGGATTTCACCATGTTGCTCAGGCTGGTCTTGAACTCTCGACCTCAGGTGAACCACCCGCCTTGGCCTCCCAAAGTGCTGGGATTACAGGTGTAAGCCACTGTGCCCGACCGAGGATAATAATTTTTGATAACCAGACATGCTTCCTGCAACAGAGAGCTTCAGCACCCAGGTGGAAAGGAAATCCCCAGGTCACAATGAATGGAGGACTCTGTCCTGACTGCAGCAAGTAGTGTCTCCGAGTGATGTCAAAACAATTTGTTTCCACCCATAAGTTGAAGAGGAAAGACCAGGACAGGTCTTCATGGGACCGTTTAGGAAGTTAACAAAAAGTGCTTCACTCTGTAAACTGCAAAAAGCACTGTAAAAGTAACCCTGGAGAGGTTGGGCGGCACTTAGATGGACAAGAAAAGGAGGCAGTGAGAAATCAGGCAGAGGCAGATTTATTACAAAGGTAACAAGGTTTCAGCTCAGGGCTGTTACTGTGCAGACTTCTTCCAAAGCCCCTTCTCTTCTCATGCAAGTCAATCTTTTTGTATCTAATTTTTAATTCATGGTTTTATATTCTTTGTTTGTTTCTGTTTGGGGTTGGGTTTTTATTGGGTTTTGGTTTGTTTTTTGTTTTGCAGGGTTTCTTTTTCTTTTTCTTTCGAGACAGGGTCTTGCTGTGTCACTCAGGCTGGCTCACTGCAACCTCCACCTCCCTGGCTCAAGCAGTCCTCTCACCTCAGCCTCCAGAGTAGCTGAAACCACAGGTGCATGCAGTCACACTCAGATAATTTTTAATATTTTATAGAAATGAAGTCTCACTATATTGCCCAGGCTGGTCTCAAACTCCTGGCCTCAAGTGATGCTCCTGCCTCAGCCTCCTAAAGTTCTGGGATTACAGGTATCAGCCACTGCACCTGGCCTGATTTTGTATTCTTTTCCTTAAAGATGACTTTAAAATTGCATGCATTTTAGGCTCACAAAACCTAGATCTGCTGCTGAGAATGGGCACTATATATTAAAGCTCTCTCAATGTACACACACACTCCACATAGATGCATTAAAATACTCTCTCTATATATACATATACACATCTCTATACATATTAAAACGTTTTCTATATGTACATATATTTATATATTTTTGTATACAGTCACACACCCACTCAGAAAGAGAGAGAGAGAGACTCTACCTAATGAAATCACCAATGCAAAGCAGCGTCCTTAAAGAATTCTAAGAAAAATAGGGAACCCCAAAAGAATGGTCGATGTAAAGTAGGTTTAAGTAATCTGATCAAGAAATAATTCAGAAACTAACTTTTAAACGACACCAACATCAATACTGAAAATCATCTGAAATCTGGTCCATTCAGTAACCCAGGCAGAGGGTCAGAGGTGTGATCATGTTTGCCATTCTTCTCTTTAGGATTTGCTGACCCAATTTGCACCAGTTTTTAGCCTCTTGAAGAAACAAATTCTGCACTTACCTAATGCTGCCAGCAGGTGGTAGACTTGGATTACTCAGGCATAATTATTTTGAGGCACTGAGCTAAAATACAAACTGGCTCATTTGATCTCGATTCTATAAGATAGATCCTGTGGTTTTCCTCGCTTTTCAGATGAGACATAGTAAGACTTAGAGATGTTCAATCACTTGCTCATATAGTATGATGTTTTCCATGATTTTTATTTGGAGATTTGCAAAGTGAGTTATGTAGAAGTTAATTCTGTCTGCACAAACAAGAGAATAGGGAAAAGACTAAAAACAAAAAGGAAAGACAGGCTGAAGGTGCCTGCCAGGTGGATGGATCCTAGCTTTCCTTCTGCTTCCAAGGATGTCCTGAACTCTTCCCTTGGCAAGAAGAGCCTCAGCCTTTCTTGGAGATCCGAGGTGCTGGGAACACTGCCTGCCCAGTGAAGGTTTCTGCTGCTTTCAGTGTCCTTGGATGGCTTGTTGTATCAGCATCCTCTTCAAGCACTAGCCAGCATTCGGTTCTAGCAGTGGATCTCTGGATCCGCTGGATCCCTGTAGCCTGTGCTGTCCTCAGTAGCTTACCCCTCCCTCTCGGATAAAAAAGAGCTGAGAAGGATGGGACACAGTTGGTCCAGAGGGCTTCTTCTGATCAGAGGGTCACTCCAAAGAACAAATGCCATCACTGGAGCCAGCCTTCCAGTGCCTAGCGTCTCTCATCGCAGTTGAAAGGTTGTGGCACACTCCAAATGCCTTTTCCTCTCTTCCCTTGCTGAAGGCCCTGGAGGCCAGAGGTAGTTGTTGGTGGAAACGGACATGGCAGCTTCTGTATGGACAGCATTCTTTTTTTTTTTGAGATGGAGTCTCTTGCTGTCACCCAGGCTAGAGTGCAGTGGCATGATCTCAGCTCACTGCAAACTCCGCCTCCCGGGTTCAAGTGATTCTCCTGCCTCAGCCTCCTGAGTAGCTGAGATTACAGGCGCCCGCCACCATGCCCAGCTAATTTTTTTGTATTTTTAGTAGAGACAGGGTCTCACCATGTTGGCCAGGATGGTCTCAATCTTCTGACCTCGTGATCCACCCACCTTGGGCTCCCAAAGTGTGGGGATTACAGGCATGAGCCACTGAACCCAGTTCATGGACAGCTTTCTGTCATCCCAAGGAGATGGCACTCTGACCATCTGTGGGACTTCCCTTTCAATCTCACAGGCCAACCTGGTCCCTGCTAGATGTACACCTGGCTCCCGAACCTCCCTGAAAGCGCCATTGTCCTTGTGATCATCTGATAAGAGCCATCTAGCTCACTGAACACGAGAACTGTGGGACCGTGCCCATGGCTTAAGCCTGTAATCCCAGTGTTTTGGGAGGCTGGGGCGGGAGGATGACTTGAGCAAGGGGTTTGAGGTTACAGTGAGCTATGATCATGCCACTGCACTCCAGCCTGGGTGATAGAGTGAGATGCTGTTCTATAAAAAAGAACTGTGGTCTTTTCTTTTCTCACAATCACCATCCAGTGCAATGGGAGGCACACAGTGGCCATCACAGCTCATGAACAAATCACTTGCTAATGCTTATTTTTACAATATTTTATGTGTATCAAAAAGCAATTTGTTTAATAAACAATAATGGCTTTCCTTGAGTGAGGTGAGCAAAAAAATGGATGCCTGAGTTAGAGGCCTGGGTTCAAAACCTAGCCCCACTACTTACGAGCTCAGGGTCCTAGGGCAAGTGACTTACTCTCTCCGTGCCTCTCTTCCCTCATTTCTAAAATGGAGATGGTAATAGTCATAGATTTCTCATAAACTTGTTAGAGAGGATTAAGTAATTTAATACCTGTGAAGTGCTTACAATGGTGCCCACAATGATCATTATTCAGCAGTTTATCACAATGGTGAAAAGGCAGACCTAGGTTCAAATCTTATCCTTGCTCTGTATAAGTCGTCCTCTGATCTTGATTGGGTCAATTAATCCCTCTAAGCCTCAGTTTCCTCATTTGGAAAATGTAGGTATAAATACCTACCCTTAGGGTTTTTGTGAGAATTAAATAAAATAAAAGTGCATGACTCTATATACATTCACAAGTAGAAAATAAATGTTATTTTTATTAATAAATTTCTTTAATAAGAAATAGTTTTTAATGTGCAAAAAAGTATGATCTCAATAACCCTACTCATCTTCAGTTACTGCAATCAAAATTCCAACATACTACTTTGTCACTAAGTCACTAAATGAGTTGTTTTTCTCCATGTTTTATGAGAAAAGTCATCGTGCTTCCACTGGTAAGAATTAATTATTGCTGAGTGAATGATTAATTCAGCATCATTAAGCAACTGTGTTTTTTAAAAAGGCTAATTTGAGCTATAAGCAAAACATGTGGAAAGGGTACAACTACTATAAATTCAACATTTTGAATAGATTTCTCGTAAATCTGCTGCTTTAAATGTTAAATAAACATTTAAAATTCATTGGGACTTCTTAGCTGAAGCCATGTTTTAACAGGATTTATAAGTTTTTTCTAAAATTGGGGACCAAACTCTGCGTGTGAAATCATTTTTAAATGCTTCCCTCATGGGAACTGTTGAAATTAGTGACTAGATTATTTTAATGGTTTCTGCTTATACATTGGTTCCACCCACTAGATCCTCACTCAGCTCCTTAAGAGCAGGGACTATGTAAAATGCATCTTTGTGCCCCCAGCACGAAGCACAGTGCTCGGCACTATGATCCATCAAGTTTCATTAACCAAAGCTGGTGAAGAAGGCCAGGAGAGGAGGGTAGTGAGCCAGAGAGGAGCCCAGGGTGGCATCCAGCCAAGATCTCAAAGGGATGACAAAAGGGTGTTCTAAACTCCCAACGAGCTGTCTGGAAAGGCCAGGGCTGAGCTTTTTTCAAGAATCCTGGAGAGCCACCACATATGGCTTTTCCATCAATGCAAAGAACAGAGTCACAAGAGCACTAAGAGAAGCTACACAGAAGGGCACGAGTTATTGGTGGCACGGGGGAAAGTCTGGAAACCTATACACCAAATCATTCAAGGTTAACTGTGTCTCTGATAGGGTGGTAGGATGAGAGGGTATTTCTTTTTGCTCATCTCTATTTCTACTTTTCCCACAATAAGCTTACATTTCTGCATCAGTTCATTGCTCTCGGTGACTCTTGGATCCATCCTCTGAAAGGTCTTTTCTTCTCCATAACACTCCTTGGGTTATGTCCTTCTGAAGTGCCCGTCTGAAAAGGGCACTTTGGAGAATGTGCACTTTTTGGTGGCTGAATAGCCTTATCTTTTTTCTTTCTTTCCATATGAAGTCTGAAGCTTAGAAGTTTTTTTTTATATCTTGAATAGTCAGTCCCTTTTAGTCCAGACTGGTGGCGCTTTTGCTAATACAGATCTTTCAAAACTAAATGGAAGGTTTTTATTTTGGTCAACTCTATGTATTAAAAATCACACAACAATTCTGATGAGGAAATATTGACAAGAATTGGGCACATCAAGCTTTTATGGTACTACACATTTAAAACTTTCTAGAAACCCAAAAGTGTACCTTATTTCAGAGTTCTTAGCTAATTATGTGATGGCCATGACCTTGATGTGGTTCTCTCCTAGCCTGAGTTTATTTATCTTCCTTAGAACTTTGCTGAACTCTGCAAAAAGGAGCCCCATCAATGTGATTTTTTTCCGTATGTCTTCTAACATATGCCATACGGTTGGCATATGGTCAATGTCTCAAAAGACAACAGGCAACAGATTGATAAATATTTTGCCGCAATATAATAAAGGTTATCAACCTTCCAATTTGAAATATTTGAGTCCTTACTATTCACTGATGTGGTACACATCAGGCACCACATTTTCTATCCGTCAGAATTCTTAGTTGGAAACAATAGAAACTAATTCTCACAAGACTAAGCAGAAAATAGGTGTAATAAAGGATATTGTGTAGCTCGCAGACTCCCCAGAGAGCCAAAGAATCAGTTTTGGAGATTGCATAGCTACTCTAAAGTAGACACCACTAAAGGCTCTGCCAGGCATCGCACCACAGATCGTACCGCCATGCTCACTGCCTCCATCACTACCACCAGTAAGCCATGGAGATTTTTGCTTTGCTTGTTAGAGCAGTTAGTATTATTTACACTAATATTTCTTCTGCTTGCTAAAAGGTGTGTTTAATTACAAGTGAATGTGGAATTTCTATCAAAATTGTTCTCTTCATTTACTGAGACAATTTGACTTGCTCCTTTAATCTCTTATTTTCTAAAAGTAAACCTCGGCATCCTTGAAATTAATACAACATGGTCATAATATATCATCTTTGCAGATATTACTGAACAAAGTTTGCTACTTTTTAAAGAATTTCTGAATTTATGTTCATAAGTGATAGGAGCTTATAATCCTCAGAAATGGCTATATGAATATTAGATAAATTGGACTGCAGAGCAAAGAAAATTTCTAAGGACAAAGAATATTACACATCAATAAAGGAATAAGTCCATCACGAAGGCATAGCAATCTTAGGGGAAATGCACCAAATAACATAGCTCCAAAATACATGAAGCAAAAACTGATGCAGCAGAAAGAAAAATATTAATAAGACAAATACACATTGTATTCAGAGATTCTGGCAACCAGACAAAGACAGTGCAAGAAAAGAAAATTACAGACCAGTATCCCTCATGAGCTTAGATCCTCAACAAAATATTAGCAATCAAACCCAGGAATATATGAAAAAAATAAAATATCAGGATCAATGGAGTTTATCCAGGAATAGCAAGACTATTTCAATATTTGGAAACCAATCAATATAGTCCACCATAATAACCACAGAAGAAAAATCACATGATCATATCAATTGATACAGTAAAACCATTTAACAAACTTCAAATGCCCCCATAATAAAAGTTATCAGCAGCCTAGGAATAAGAAAGCAACTTTCTCAACCTCATAAAATGCACCTACAAAAACCTTATAGCTAAATTATACAAAATGGTGAAAGATTGAAAGGCTTATTCCTAAAATCAGGAAGAAAGCAAAGATATCTACACAATACACATGCTTTTCAAGCACATAGAGTATCTATAAAAATTGACCATTTTTATGATGACTGTAAACCATGAACCATTTTTTTTTGGACAGGGCCATAAAGCAAGTTTCAACAAATTTCAACGATTGAAATCATACAAAGTGTGTATTCTGACTATAATGCCACTGAGCTAGAAATCAACCAAAAATAACCTAGAGAAACCCCATATGTTTGGAAATGAATAAAAACACACTTTTAAATAACCTGTGTATAAAAAACAAAATCACAATGAAATATTGGAAAACATTTTTATCAGAATGGTAACAACAATACTATGTATCAAAATCTGAGATGAAGCCAAAATAGTACTTAAAAGAAAATCTATAGGCTTGTAAGAATATATTAGGAAAAAAGGAGAATAAATTAATTAAGCATTCATTCCAATAAGTTAGTAAAACAACAACAACAAAAACAACAGTAAGTTAAATCCAAAGATATTAAGAGGGAGCAGGTGCTGAGGAGAGAGCCCCTCACTAGCTACCACATGTTCCAGCCAGATACCACACATCTCTATCCCTCAAAGAACCCTGACCAGCCTCTGGTGCAGTGGTACCCCTAAGTGAACTCGCCCTTTTGGAGGCTCACCTGATTACTCTCTATCAGCCTGCCAGGCAGACATCTGGAGCTGGACCTAGGGATTGGGGTTTTGTGGGCTAGTGTGGGCTTAGCAACATTCCAAGGATATGGACAAGAGATTGAAAGAGGTGTCAGGGGCAAGTCAGCATTTGCTGTCCACTTCATTCAGTCCTATTTCGTCCTAAAGTGTGATCCAACCGTTGAAGATTTGTACATAGAGCCATGTGTAATTGCTAGCAGTGCAGCAATGTGTGATCCATCAAGAGCAGCTTGGATATACTGGGATAAGAAGAGTTTGGAGTCATGAAAGAATAGCGTATGAGGAGCAAAGCAGGTTTCCCATTGGCCTTCTTAGTCTCTCATGGAGGTGGTTTTGAAGAACCATCTTTTTGAGAATAACATATAAATAAAATCAATGACAAATTCTCAGAGTAAAGCACTGAGCAAATTTTTCCAATGACTATGGTTGGAAATAAAGCTAATGTGGACATTGCAGTTAGATAACTCTTGAATAAGGACCACAGCTACTATGACATCTTAGGTAGGACTAGCTACATAATTTGTGGAACTCAGTGCAAAATAAAAATGTGAAGCCCTTTGTTCAAAAATTATTCAGAATTTCAAGATGGCAACAGCAAAATATTAAGCTCAGCAGTGCTGATCTTACATCCTGTGACTTTACTAACCTCACTTATATTAGTTCTAGGAGTTTTTCTCTTTTCTTTTAAAAAGCTATTTGGATATTCTACATAGACAATCATGTTATTTGTGAATGAAAATGGTTTTATTTCTTCCTTTCTAATCTTCCCTTCTAAATAATCTGTGTATAAAAGGCAAAATCACAATGAAATATTAGAAATATTCTAATGAAACATTAGAAAACATTTTTATCAGAATGGTAACAACAATCCCATACTTCAGCGTTCTGTGTATGTTTATTAAGCCACATTTGTAAATCACATTGTTCAAATCTTTTATAGTTTTACTAACTTTTTGAAGGCTATTTCTGTCAATAACTGAAAAAGATGTATTCAAATTTCCCTCTTGTGATTATAGAATTCTTTATTTCTCTTCTAAGTTCTTCCTATTATTTTTTAACGTTAGTTTCTAGTTGGATTAGAATATTCTTCCCATTTTGCTTTATATCTCTTGAGAGTTTGTTTTGAGGAACATAAAAATTTAGAAGTCTTTCTTACAATTTTTAAAAATTTAGGCTGAATTTGTTATATGTTTCCTTTTTTAGTCCTAATAATGTTTGTGCTTTTTTTTCTTGCCAGAGGTTTGTAGTATTTTTTAGGTTTTTAAATTATGTTTGTTGCCCTTTTGTTCTGTGTTTCATTAATTTGTTTTCTGTTAGTTTCTTCTTCCATTTTCTCAGAATTTATTTTGCTATAATTTCTCTAACTCTTTAAGATGAAGTTTTTAGGTTTCTCCTTATATAAGCATTTTAGGATATAACACTTGTTCTTTGTATTATTTTAGCTTAATTTGCAAATTTTTATGTATGATATTTTAATATTGGTATGTCCTAAATGTTTTCTAACTCCTATTATGATTTTCTTTTACTTATGAGCTATTCAAAAGTGTTTTAAAAATATTATGTATATATCCTAGTTATTTTTGTTTTTGATTTATAATTTGATTTTGTTGTAGTCAGAAAATGTGGTCTGTATACCTATTCTTTGAAATTTGCCCTAGGTCTAGGTAACGCACGGTCAATTTTCACAAATATTCCATGTAAAAATATGTATTTGCTCATTGTCTGGTTAAGGATTCTACGTATATTCACTACATGAAGGTTCCTTTATCATTTGTGTTCTTCACCTGTATCATGGCCTTACTAAATTTTGTTTGCTTTATTTATTGTTCACTGAGAGAACTTTCCCATCATAACTGTGGATTTCTCAATTTCTTCTTATAATTCAGTCATGTTTTGTTTCATTGTTGCATGGGCCTTAAGACTCTAGTATTGTGTTGCTATTGGTTTAAACTGTTGTATGTTCCTGGAGAATTTAACCCTTTATCATTATGTGGTCACTTTATCCCTAAACAGGATTTTTGCCTTAAAGCCAAATAATAAACCGGTGATAATTAAAATATCATTGCTTCTAATGTATCTATACCAGCTTTCTTTTGGTTAGTATTTGCCTGGAACATCTTTTCCCATTCTTTTACTTTCATCTTTTTTGTTTCCTTGGTTTGTCTCCTTTCTGCAGTATATGGATTTTTTTATATTCAATTTAACCATTCTGCTTTACTCCCCTCAAAACATACCATTAGTTGCTTACATTTATTGATATTACTAATATACTTGGATTTATATCTTCCATATGATTTTTCATTTATTGTGCTTTTTCTATGATTTTTTTCTCTTCCTGTCTTCTTTTGACATGATCAAGTATTTTTAATTCCATTTTTGCTCAATTTATTTAGAAGCTGTCAACTCTGTTTCTGTTCTTTTAATTCTTCTCCTAAAATGCTGACACACTTCTTAACAAAGTATCAATGTAACATCGCCATGGTTAGGAAGACCTGCTCAGAACCCGACTGTGCCAGATTGAATCACAACTCAGCCACACCCCACTGTGTCCCTTGGGAAGTCACTTTTGGCCTCCTGAGGGCCAGTTTTCCCCTTGGGCAAAATAGTGATGATGATAATAATATCAAACTCACAGGGCTGTTCTGGGGAATAAGTTAATTACCTAAAAAGGCTTAAGACCATGCCATGTGTAGAGCAGGCTTTTAAATTAACTGTAGTTATTGTTATTGCTGCTACGTTACTCACTCTCCTTCTAATACAAGAACTTTAGAATTCTTTAGCATGACCAATGACAAAACGTTACTTTTTGATAATTTGATTCTTTTTCTTTACTCTTTAATTAGTCATTAGTGTTACTATTATCGTTTCATTCTGTATTTTTATAATTACTCTTTTATCTATTTCTTTACTCATTATTTCTCTTTCCTTATCAGTCCTTGATTCTAAGTTCAACTTCCTTCTCCCTGAATTACAAACTTTAGAAGTTCTTTCAGAGGAGATCTACTTTGGGTAAACTATCTGAGTTTTTGAGACTTGGCCGGGTTCAGTGGCTCATGCCTAAAATCCCAGCACTTTGAGAGGCAGAGGCAGGCACATCACTTGAGGTCAGGAGTTCAAGACCGGCCTGGCCAACATGGTGAAACCCTGTCTTTACCAAAAAATATAAAAATTAGGCAGCAGTCTTGGTGCATGCCTGTAATCCCAGCTACTTGGGAGGCTGAGGTGGAAGAATCATTTGAACCCTGGAGGCAGAGGTTGCAGTGAGCTGAGATCACACCACTTCATTCCAGCCTGGGTGACAAAGTGAGAAACACTCTCTCTCAAAAAAAAAAAAAAAAAAAAAGAAAATATGTATTTTCCCCTTTGTTCTTGACTGATTGATAGCTTAGCTTCACTGAGCAGAAGACCCTAGAAGGACTGCGATTTTTCTCTCAGCACTTTGGACAGAGTCAACATTCTGTCTTCTGGTCTATTGTTGCTTTGTAGGAATTTATCTCTTTGCTGTGGCTGCAACTTAAGATTCTATCTTTGTCTTTTGGGTTTCTATGGTTGCATTACACTGTGCCTATCATGGATTTGTTTTTATGTATCATGCTCAGGACTGTGCTTCCTAAAGTTGAGAATTCATGATTTTCCTTAATTCTTAAAAATTCAAATGTTATCTTTGCCCTGTTTTCTCTACTTTCTCCCTCTGGGACTGATTTCAACAGTTAGTCCTGGTCAAGTCTCCCTCTCTTCATTCCCTTTCTTTGTCTCCTCCATGCCTTCTGGACATCCTCTTTAGATCTGTTTTCCAGATCCCTCTTCAGATGTGTCTCAACTGAAGCTCCCAGTCCCTGAGTGTTGAAATTCAATCATTAATGTTTTATTTCATGTTAGCTTTGATACTTTTTCAAACTTGCCTAATATCATGTTCTTTTCTTAAGTCTTTAATTACTTATTTTATTTCTTCATTTCAATATTTATGTTTGTTTGTTTTTTTGAGACGGAGTCTCACTGTCGCCCAGGCTGGAGTGCAGTGGCACGATCTCCGCTCACTGCAACCTCTGCCTCCCGGATTCAAGCGATTCTCCTGCATTAGCCTCCTGAGTAGCTGGGATTACAGGTGCCCACCACCACACCTGGCTAATTTTTGTATTTTAGTAGAAACAGGGTTTCACCGTGTTGGCCAGGCTGGTCTCAAACTCCTGACCTCAAGTGATCTTCTTATAATGCAAGAACTAACATTTACACACTTGTTCGTTTCCCCACTGTAGATTCAGTAAAAATGATGGAGTCTGTTGCAAAAACACCCTTGAATTTGCCCATCCTCTCGACCCAGCCCCCAGGTTTGTTTGCAGACCCTGTCAGTCCCAGCAGAACTAACGGGGACAGCCAGGCAGTCAGCATGGCCTACTTAGAGCCACGGAGTGTCTGTAGTACCTTGATGAGGATTCTGTCTTTAATACCAAAATGGGAGTCCTTCTTAGGAAATCAGACAACTACGTATGGTTTCAGACCAAGGTCCCTGGGCAGACCCGCCAGCCCGTGATCCAAGAGTCCCATGGGGCACTGGCACCAACCCCAGGAGTTTCAGGGATAATGAGTGTTGGGTGCTGTTGCACTCATGGTTGAGGAATCACAGCTTGTCGTAGATCATTTCTAGAAACTGCGCATAGATGTCTGGGATGCATTCCCTTCTGGGGTTGAATAGGAATTTGTAGTAGCCGACATCTGCACAAATCGCAGTGACCACATTTGGCTCTGTTCCAAGGGCACAAATGCATGGAGAGCCCAAGGGAACCTGAAACTTGGAGAAACCCCTTTGCAACTAAAGGATTTTGGAAGGAAACTAGCTGACACCAAATTGGACTGTTTTTTCCTCCCTGGGTCTTCAGCTGCAAAAATGTGCACTGTGCTGTGGTCACTGGATATGCAGATGAAGGACTCATCTTGATTGAAGTTAATGCAGAAAACATTAGCTGCTTGAGATCCTCTTCATAGTTCCTGGATTAAATGTCCTGATGAGGTATCAAATATTCTTATAAGGGTCCCTTTTGCGAGTGTGGTTGCAATTCTTGTTCCCTGCAGGTTGAGTATCATGCAGCTCAGGATGCCCTCAGGAGCGGGAATGTCCACAGGTGGCTTCTCTGTGCTGGCCCAGTCCACGAGCTGAACATGGCTCGTGTGCATGCCTGGCAAGGCCAGAAGAGAGTTGTTGCTATTGGGACAGAGGACAGAGGCCTTTAGGGTTTTAGGAGGTTTCAAAGATGTACAACTGATGGGGGTTCTGTGTGAGTGCAAACACCTTAATCATGGAGTCCAAAACAACCACAATTCTATCTCGCTGCAATTTGACTGCCTTGACTTCTGTAGCAAATTCTATTTCATTAACAGTCTTCTTTTTCAGTCATCTCAGATCATCACTTTGTTGGGAAGGTATTTTGGCTTTTTTCCACCAACAACTAAAGCTAAATAGTTGCAGCAAAATAACATTTCATTATGACCAACTCTTCCTCCTAGAAATTTGTTTCTCTTTTTATTTTAATGGATTGGTGTTATAGACTCAGAATCCGTTTTCCATCCCACAAGCAAGGCATCCGTGGTCTTGGCTGAAGCCGGTGTAGAGCAGCTAGTTACTGTGGGAGTTACAGGGTAGGAGGATCATGGCGCCACTGGGCTGGCCCTCCCATTCTCAGCGAGCTGCCTGGGGAGGCTGGCTGGCTGGTCCGGTCCCACCAGGCTGGTGCTAAGGCCGCCCCAGGAATGGAAGTTTCATAGTATTGTCTTTATGAAGACAAATTTCTCTCAAGCCTGAGCACCATTTGCCCTGAACAAACATGTTTGTTTTTATCTTCTGGAAATTGTGAATTTGTTGACTGTATGTTTACCGCCCCGCCCCTCCTCCCCCGTTTTTTTTTTTTTTGTTTTGTTTTGTTTTTGTTTTTGTTTTTGTTTTTGAGATGGAGTCTCACTCTGTCGCCCAGGCCGGAGTGCAGTGGCGCGATCTCCGCTCACTGCAAGCTCCGCCTCCCAGGTTCACGCCATTCTCCTGCCTCAGCCTCCCGAGTAGCTGGGACTACAGGCCCCCGCCACCATGCCCGGCTAATTTTTTGTATTTTTTAGTAGAGACGGGGTTTCACCGTGTTAGCCAGGATGATCTCGATCTCCTGACCTCGTGATCCGCCCACCTCGGCCTCCCATGTTTCCCCCTTTTGAAGATACCAGCATGCTCAGATTCAAATTTTAGGTCCACCTCTGACAAAATGCCTAGAATGTTATCATGTGACCCCACTCTGTTTATTGTATACATATTTTCCCTCCCCTCAAATGTTGTTTCTCCCTATTAAGGGGTTGTTATACTCCCAATAAATATATAAACCTACTATGTACCCACAAAAATTAAAAAATAAAAATTTAGAGGAAAAAAGATATTGTTATAGTACTAGATATACTTTTGCAGGCCCACATTTTAAAAAATGAATAAAGGTGAGAATAACTCAAAATTTAGTAGCTGTAATAAGAGAAAAAAATAGCTTGCTTTCTGAAAAAGCTACAAGGAAAATACAATTCATAAGTTCCAGACAACACCACCAGCTACCAACATAACAAATCTTTCAGCCTAAGGGCAGGTCCCTTCTCTCATCCATCTGCCTTTGGCGTAGTTACAATGACAGAGATGGTACCTCAGCAGGCTGGCACCTTTTCTTGCTCAATGTTTGCTTTTAATTTTTATTTCATTTTTTAAAAATTTTTATTTTTTTGAGACGGAGTCTCACTCTGTCACCCAGGCCGCTGTGCAGTGGCAGGATTTCCGCTGACTTCAACCTCCGCCTCCCAGGGATCAAGCAATTCTCCTGCCTCAGCCTCCCGAGTAGCTGGGATTACTAGTGCACACGACCATGCCTGGCTAATTTTTATATTTTTAGTAGAGATGGGGTTTCGCCATGTTGGCAAGGCTGGTCTCGAACTCCTGACCTCAAGTGATCCACCCACCTTGGCCTCCCAAAGTGCTGGGATTACAGGCATGAGCCACCACACCTGGCCAATGTTTGCTTTTTAAACAAAGCAAAGAAAATTGAGATGAATTGTTCCAAAACGTTTTAATTATCATGAATATCATAAGTCATACAAAAAAATAAAGAATAATACAACCAACACTCATGCACCTGCCATCCTATAGCTTAAACATACTATATCACATCTGACTATTACCTAGTCTGTCTTTCCCCAATTAGTGATGCCTCTATAGTGAGATCTATAAATGTTGGTTCTGTTTCTTTTGTTTCTGAAACTCTAGAACCTGTTCAGTACATATTGAATAAAAAAGCAACTTTTCACTGAAAGAGAAGGATAAGCGGACATCTTTCAACAGCAGAAAATGTATATCACTGCCTGTTCTTCTCCATCCACAAGGCTGAGGAGGGGATGAGGCTGACTCTCAATGGGGAGAAGTCAGCACCGCCACCCTCCTTAAAGGATTCTTGATGCTCACCAAACTATGCAAAAGAAAACCTCTCTTCTGGCTAAAAGGACCATGACGCGAATGCCCAGAAAGACAAGTTATTGTCTGTTCTCACCAAGTTTTTTTAAAAAAGGACTTTTTGTGACTCTAACACCAAGGTTTGGTGTTAGAATTAAATTCAAGGGACATGACATTGTCTTTGATTTTGTTATACACTTTGAGAAGCACATAAGGCTGAACTCCAGGAGATAAGAACCAAGGAGGGGACATAAAATCATAAATGTCCATAAACTCTGAATATGAAGCCACTCTACAGATACACAAAGTACATTTTTAGCTGAAACTTCATACAAGAAATATTGAAGGTAGACACTAAAGAAAAAATGCATTTAAAATTCATTTTAAATTAATAAAATATATTTAATTAATATTCAATCAATTAATGATAAAAATAGGGGCAGCTTTAAATAGTCTGTCAACAAATTTTGAGTATTGTCTGCTGACACTAGAGATATACTGGCACAGGACTTGTCCTCATGGAGCTTACAGTCTAGTGAAAACAGATCAATGTTAAATCAGTAATTATAAGTAGATAACCAAATAATAGTGCTGTAAAGGAGAGGATCTGCATTAAAATGTCTGAAATCAAAAGCTGGGCACAGTGGCTCACACTTGTAATCCCAGAACTTTGGGAGGCTGTGGCGGGAGGATGGCTTGAGCCCAGGAATTCAAAACTAGCCTGGGCAACAAAGTGAGATGCCATCTCTACCAAAAAGAAAAAAAAGAAAAAAAAAATTAGCTGGATGTGGTGATGTGTGCCTGTAGTCCCAGCTACTTGGGAGGCTGAGGCAGGGGAATCGCTTGAGCCCAAGAGGTCAAGGCTGCAATGATCTGTGATCATGCCACTGCACTCCAGCCTGGGTGACAGAGTGAGACCCTGTCTCAAAAAAACAAAAAGCCTGAAATCAGTCATGAAAGTATCTACTGCAAAAGGTGACATAGACGTGGATAAGAAAAACATATTCTTGATGACAAAAGTGACCTAATTTTTTTTTTTTTTTTTTTGAGATGGAGTCTTGCTCTGTCACCAGGCCGGTGTGCAGTGGCATGATCTCGGCTCACTGCAACCTCCGCCTCCCGGGTTCAAGCGATTCCCCTGCCTCAGCCTCCCAAGTAGCTGGGACTACAGGTGCATGCCACCATGCCCAGCTAATTTTTTGTATTTTAGTAGAGACGGGGTTTCACCGTGTTAGCCAGGATGGTCTCGATCTCCTGACCTCATGATCTGCCCACGTCAGCCTCCCAAAGTGCTGGAATTACAGGTGTGAGCCACCGCACCTGGGCAAGTGACCTAATTTTTGTAGAGCATGCCTTCTTACTTGTTTTCCATCATAATTAATATGATGCATTTGTCAGCGGAAGGTCTTGGAAATGGGGCAATGTGCCATCTGGAAAGTTCCCTCCTGCATGAAACTGGCCTGAGTAGGTGGATAAATCCATTACTTTAGGGCATTGTTCTCCTATCAGTTAGCTGATGAGGACAAGTCCACTCATATGATGTGGCAGTGCTGAGTCTTTGAAGAGGTTGCGTTTTTAATAAACAGTTCAAAACAATAAACCCCACCCCACCCCACCTAACTTCATTTGCCTCTTCTTTCGGTGATCTCAGGAACCAGAGTCAGAGTTGTACTTTTTACCCTTAACTCTTCACAGCACGTGAGTGTGCAATCATTAGGCTCCATCTCAACAATCCTTGAGAACAGAGCACACCTCATCTTTCAAATCTCACCTAGTGCTGGGAACAACACAAAGTCCTACAAATGTGATAATGAAACAAACTGACCCTGAATCCCACAGGCTCTGAACAGATACATTAGGGAAGCCTGAGCCTGGAGCCTGCTCTCCAACTGAGCAGCAGGAGAGATGGGGTGGCACAGGCTTTCAAAAGATGCAGTGGGCTGCAGCAGGCAGACATTTGGGGGAGAAGTGACTGGAAAAATACAACCATCCAGGGGGAAGATGATGAAGGGACTGGGTTCACACATGGACAGCAGGCTTCAGAAGGACGCCAGCAGAATGAATGTGGAGTGGATGTACTCACTCTGCATTGCTCCAGAGGACAGGGTAAGACCCCAGGCTGGAAGTCATGCAGAAGCAGATAAGGCACACACAAGCTCCGCACAGGGAGAAACTTCTTAGAAACTCAGCGGGATGGGTAACTTCATTAGAGAATGAGATTTCCTCACTGGACATTTTCATCTGGAGGCTGCAGGAGCAGTGGTCAAAGATGATACAGACAGGATTCCTGAATGCCAAAGTTCCTCCCTCGATAGGATTTGGAGGCTCTCGGGTGATGGACCAACACCATCCTGTGGGCTTGTGGAGGGGAGGATGACAACCTGCATAAGCACAGCCATCACTGAGTGTAACTTCAGGCTCGTGAGCCATCCTCAGTGCATCAACTCAGTGGGGGATGAGGACGGAGGCCAGGGATGGGAAGCAACAGGAAAGGAATTGCTGGCCTGTGCCTTTGCTCAGAATATAAATATTCTGGTAGAAACTCCCCTCAAGGAATGTGGTCACAAGTTACCCTCTGGGCCCCTGAGCATAAACCCACACCATCATGTACATGGGAGGAGAGGAGCACCTTCTCATACCCAGGATCACTGGGCATAGACTCCCTTCCTCACTACAAACGGGTTGGAGAGATCCAAAGATGCTCTCTAAAAACAAAGTAACAATGTGAGAAAATGGCAAAATAGGGACCCGCAGTAAGTTCAATCTTCCCAGTGAACTTCATTAAAAATTTCATCTGATTACAAGTGATTATACTTCAAATACCTACAGGAGCCTCACTGGATGTGGGTGCAGCATTCGTTCCTGAGGCCTCAGAAGTGCTCTCCTGAGCACAGCCAGTGCAAATTTGCAGGGTGAGAAGTCAAAGGCAGAAGGAAGCAGGTGAGAGCATTCCCTGCCTCTAAAGAAAAAGAGCTCTCCTTATTCAAAACATCAAGTTCTACTGAACCAAGTTGCAGATCTTAACAATAATAGAGATCACTGTAAAAGAGAAACTTTATGCTAAAAATTTTTTTTAGGAGGTAACATCCTGGTGTTTCTCAGATGCAGGTAAATCATGACCTTCCACATTCTCTTTCAACACAGGGAGCACCTGAGATCCTACAGACAGGAAACATGGGGAGGATAAATCCAATGATGCATGCATCAGGTACATGCCAAAGTTCACCTGTGAACAAAACAGCAACAACAACAAAAAAGGCTAGATTATTTTAGCAATTAAAATAACTTTGTAAATATTAATGTTTAACTAAAATCAAGTCAGATTTTTAAAGACATATACTGAGACTTGATATCTCCTATCTGTTACACAGTAGAATGCACTGGAACATTAAGAGAATCCTAACTTTAGACCCCAAAGATTCTCATTCTAAGGCATCCTTTCCCTGTGGTCACCCCACACCTCTTTCTTGCTGGGCACATCTCTGTCCCACATGCCCTGAACTTCCTGCAGAAGGACTTTCTTCCTACTCTCAGCTTGTGACCACCATCAGGCCCATTTCCTGTTTGCTGCCTGATGTAAAAGCCTTTTGGGGAAGACAGTGGCAGAACTCTGCATTTTCCTTGAGAAAGAATGATGCAAGTTAATTTTGTCAAATTCTCCTGAATAAGGATGGAAGGTCCAAAATGAAGAGTAGGTAAGTCTGCTCAATGTTAACCATCAATGCAAGTGAACCACTCAGGACCCTTTGGAGGACTTGACATGCTCTCCGATCTGTTAGTTCTTGTGATAACATCTGTTGGACACCCTCATGTTCCAGGCCCCAGGCTAGGGGATTGGGCCAATTCCTCATGATTTGTACAAATGTGGGTGAAAAGTGCAGCCTCTGCACTCTCACTGCAACTGTTCCGTAAATCTAAAATTATTCCAAAATTTAAAAATAAAAGGTTCATCATGCACATGAAAATTGCAGTGATGCTGAGAAACACTATTTTCATGGACCTTAGTATTGTATTTGTGCCTTCTTCTTTCTTCTCCTGGCAACCTGCATGGTGCAGGCTCAAGGTCCCCACACCCCAGACAACACAGCCTGCATTGACAGACATGCTGCTGTAACAGTCAAATGCACTACTCTGCAGGCCATTTCTATCCCATATTGGTAAGAAAACTTACATAAATCAAATGTCTATACTGTGAAACAAAACCCTGGCTTTGAAGAAACACAGGAAACAATGTAGCACATTTTACCATGAATTAACTTGCCAGCTTATTATTGGAAGTAGATACAGTGTTTGCATTATTTCTGTTAATTTTCAAGAATTGTTCTATGTAGCCTGACTGCTTTTCTTGGCTTCCTGGAATTCTTTGAAAACAAAAAGTCCTAACAGAAAGTATAAGCCTGAAAATAAATCTTTCTAAAGAATCAACACATTGGAAGTTCAGTTTCTATAATCTGGAATTCATAACAACACTTTGTTGTTTTAACCCTCAAGAAAATGAATTTCCAGGCTTAATGAATGTATTTCCAGTTTAATGAAATGTACTGACTCTTTCTATGCAGCTACTCTATTCACATTAAGGCACTTTACTCTTCATGAGCTCTCTGTGTTAAAGAAAATAATGATCAAGACAACAGAATTACTTGTTTTTTTTGTACTCCATATCTCTTCAACAAGATTGGAAAGCATAAAAATACATGAAGTAAAACAAAAAAAAGTGAGAACTTGGATGGAAAGGAAAAATAAAATGAAACTACAAACAAGGATAGGTTAATGGCAGCCCAACAGCTTTGGATGGGCAGCAAATCCCCCATTTAAAAAAATAACTCTGTGCTATTATGAACATAGTTCTGGTATTGATAACACCAGGATTGGAAACCAGGTGTCATATTTTGCAATCACGCTTACCTTTGTTTCACGACTCTCAGAAAGTTTTTGGAAAACATGCTGGTTTCGTTGCCCAGTTTGCTGGTCGATGCAAATCATCTGGCATCTGTGACAAGGCCCCAAAACCTGGCAGGTGAGAAGGAAAACACAGCGTTGCCACAAAAGTGACCAGAGCCTTGCACCTCAGAGGGAGGAATCACACAGAAATGCCCAGTCCCCTAACTATGGAGAGCCAGAACGTGGCACCTGTTCACCGTCTCTGCTGGGGAATCATCTGCATTTGTTTGTCAGCTAAAAGACCACTGCTTAAGGTCTTTGCAGACAAAGAAAAGAGGGACTGAGATCTTGACGGTTCTCAGGAAATGTTGGAGAATGGATTTGAGGAAGGAAAGCACTCAGTGACTGGGAAGACAAATTGGAAAAAGAGAAAAGTTGCAGAAAGCCAGCATGGTGGCTCACACCTGTAATCCCAACACTTCGGGAGGCAGAGGCGGACTGTTCACTTGAGGCCAGGAGTTCAGGACCAGCCTGGACATCATGACAAAACCCTGTCTCTACTAAAAATACAAAAATTACCCAGGCGTGGTGATGCATGCCTGTAATCCCATCTACCCAGGAGGCTGAGGAAGAAGAATCACTTGAACCCGGGAGGCGGAGGTGGCAGTAAGCCAAGAACGCACCACTGCACTGCAGCCTGGGCAACAGAGCAAGAAAGAAGAAAGAGGAGGAGGAGGTCGCAGAGCCAGCGCTGGCCCCTGTGAGAAGGTCATCAGAGAGAACTTTCATGTGTCAATGCCCGCTGACCCAGCAACTTCACATCTAAAAATCCAACCTAAGAAAGGAACGAGAAGCCCAACCACAGTCATGGACAAAGATTTATCCTCACATTGTTCATAATAGGAAAAACTTGTTAACATCATTAACGTCATATAGTGGAGAGAAATGGTTAAGTAAACCATGCTACATATATATGATGTATACGGTTCAGGCATTAAAATTATATCATGCACGTATTAAAAGGAATCTATAAAAACCTTTAAATAAAATGGGGAATTGTTTTTGTAACTGTAATAAGTAGGAAACAAAATTATTTTTAATATACATATCTGTATGCATATATATATATATATATATCCATACGTACCCACGCCTACATGCCACACATACACAATACTTAAAACGCATTGTTACAATTTCTTAATACAGGTCATACTGTCTGGTGGAGCTTAAAATCCCCCATAATATAAACATCAAAAAGAAAGCATGCAGCTCAGCAATAACGAGATGCTTCTTTTATTGCACATGTAAAAAGTGCAAAGGTACTTGATTTTCTTAAAACTATTTTCTCATAACCATTTTCTCCTCAGCTCACTCACGGGCAAATACAAATTATGCACTGAAATTAGAAACACTCACCTAATCTGGATGTGTCTTGGCCTGTTCCTGTTACTGGTGTGAAAGTTGCAGATACCAGGATGAAATCACTGATTAGACCCGAAGAAATTGGAGCCAGGATGGCACGAAGGCAGGGAGTTCATGCTTGCATTTCTGAGATAACGACTGTCTCAAGGACTTTCTAAAATAATCCCACAAGAAATTCCTCCATGTCCTTCATGCATCTCATGCTTTTCATGATCCATGTCTTGCATGTATGCACGTATTTCTAGACAGGGTTTATCACTAGACATTCTTCAGGACTGCAGCAGTTCAGATAAGATGCTCTTAAAGGAACATTTGCCCAGTAACAGCGTCTCCACCAATGAACTGATGCCAATTCTGGCTGTGAGCCCCAGGAACCAATAAATTCTGTTTTCAAGCAGCTTGTATGACTTTATTTTTGCCAATAAAAGCTTTCCCTTACTCTCTCCTCTTCAGGTGCACCTGTGGCTTGCCATAGCTATGCATCCTAGTTTATAATCCTTTTTGCTTACTCCTGAATAAATTCGTCACATTAGGAGATCATTTTCTCTGGTGTGTTTTTTAAATTTTATTTTGTTTTTGTTTTTAATTGGGAAAAGTTTTCAATTAGCAATAATCACACCTCAGAAAAACCTCATTGGCTCTGATACTGGCACTGTACAAAGCTCTAATTTTTTTTTTTAGGTTGACGCTCACATTCTGCACTGGGTACTAAATCAGCGGAAATATATGCTCCCTGTGGTACCGAAGTCAAGATTCCCAGGCCACGTAAGCACCCAGAACTTGCTGGAAAGGAGCTCTACCAAGGACTTGGCAAACCTGTGACCTCTCCAGATATCGTTTCCTTGTCTAGATTCTTGGCTGTATTTGGTGAGAACTACATCAGGGATACAAGGACTCAAGCCCAGGCCTGGCACTTGACCGTGCTCGAGAGTGGAAACTATCACTATTATACACGAGGATCCCTGCAGTGGAACGAGGCTTTTGTAACGCCACAAAGCTGTGTCCTCGAGGAGCCAGTGTGGCTCCTGCACCCTCTTACCTCTTACCTCTTTGCCTAGAAAACAGCTGATGCATGGGGCCAGCTCCTGCAGAAAGGATGCCAGGGCCCTGCAGCTTGCACCAGCCCCAGCCTCTAGCAGCCACCCGACAGGCAACAACTTCTGTAAAAATCCTGTCACTTCAATGAAAGGCCCTCTTAGAACAGTTTCTCAAACTAGCAGAAGAAAGGGGCATTTTCTGGACACTATTTTCTTTTACCTTTTTTTTTCTTTGTGAGGTGAAGTTTCACTCTTATCACCCAGACTGGAGTTTCACTCTTGTCACCCAGGCAGCTCTCTGCAAACTCCACCTCCTGTGTTCAAGCGATTCTCCTACCTCAGCCTCCTGAGTAACTGGGATTACAGGCACCAGCCACCACGCCCACCTAATTTTCATATTTTTAGTAGAGACGGGTTCTGCATGTTGGTCAGGCTGGTGTCAAACTCCTGACCTCAGGTGATCCGAGCACCTCAGTCTCCCAAAGTGCTGGGATTATAGGCATGAGCCACCGCACCCAGCCCCAAACACCAATACAAAAGAAACAATTTTCTTAAAAAATCTTCATTTTAAAGCTTCTTTTCTGGTATTCTTAGCAACTAGTATTTTTAAAATGTGTTTACTAGCATATATATTCATTAAAAAACAAGTCAAACAATACAGAAGCTTGAAGAATTAAAAGAGAAAGCACTCAACAGCAGTGATCCCCCTCTCCCCATCCACAGAGACAGGTGCTGCTCATGGGCTGCAGACCATCCCAGGACATCCCAGATTGTCCCCGGCCATCCTAGGACATCCAAACCATCCCAGACCATCCCAGACTGTGTCATGTAACTGCATACAACTGTGTATGTGCACCTGTGTAAACACACTCGCTGGGATCTCAGAGCCCACTTGGGTTTCTTTTTCAATTACTCTGCAATATGCAAGGACATCCTTCCAGTCAGGACATAGAAAGCCACCTCATCCTTGCATTTTGCAATTTTCACAATGGATGGCCTGGCATTCCATGGGTTGAAACACTTAGTTCTTCTCCTTTGAAGCCATGTGAATAGTTTCTAATGCTTTCCTGTGATCAATAATTTTGCAATAAAGGCCTAATTCACATAACTGTCTTTCCTTTTCATTTTTTTTGTAGTATCAGTCTCCCAAAATGAAATTATAAGGTCAACAGGAATAAAAAATATTTATGACTTGATGACATCCAGTAAAAAATTGTTTTCCAAAAGAGATGTGCTAGTTTCACAGTAATTGCTTCGGCACTGAGTATTATCATCAACAAACATCTTTTGAGCATTTGCTTTTTTTTGAGACAGGGTCTTGCTCTGTCACCCAGGCTGGAGGGCAGTGGCTTCATCATAGCTCACTGCAGCCTTCATTTCCCAGGCTCAAGCAATCCTCCCACCTCAGCCTCCTGAGTAGCTGAGACCACAGGGATGTACCACCATGCCCAGCTAATTTTTTAATATTCTGTAGAGATAAAGTCTTGCTGTTTTGCCTAGGCTGGTCTCAAACTTGTGAGCTCAAGTGATCCTCCTTCCTTGGCCTCCTAAAGCATTGGGATTTCAGGCATGAGCCACTGTGCCCAGCCAAGCATTTACTTTCTTGAAAGGCACAGTATTGCCAAGCGTGGTGGCCTATGCCTATAATCCCAACACTGGGAGGCTGAGGCTAGCACGTCACTTGAGCCCAGGAGGTTGAAACCAGTCTGGCCAACATGGTGAAATCCCATCTCTACCAAAAATAAAAAATTTAGCCAGGTGTGGTGGTGCACGCCTGTAGTCCCAGCTACTCAGGAGGCTGAGGCAGGAGGATTGCTTGAACCTGAGAGGCAGAGGTTGCAATGAGCCAAGATTGCACCACTGTACTCTAGCCTGGACAACAGAGTAAGACCCTGTCTCAAAAAAAAGAAAGGTGCAGTATTAACCATATCTTATGCTCTTTAATGCTCGTGCTGGACTAATGCATATAGCTATTATTGATTGACTGATTGACTGACAGGATCTTGCTCTGAGACCCAGCCTAGAGTACAGTGGGGCAATCTTGATTCACTACAGGCTTGAGCTCCTGGGCTCAAGCAATCCTCCCACCTCAAGGAGCTGAGACTACAGGCGCACATCACCGTGCCTGGCTAATTTTTCGTGTGTGTGTGTGTGTGTGTGTGTGTAGAGAGAGACGAAGTCTTGCTATGCTGCCCAGGCTGGTGAAAATAATTTTATACTTATTTTAATACTTGTATTAGCGTTTCTATGGGATAGATTTCTACAAGTGAAATTATTGAGTCAAAGGGCATGCATATTTTGATTTTTACTAGTTGTGGTCTATTAAGAATGGTGACCTAAAGAAAGCAAAGCCTGCTAAGTCATCTCAGAAAGGTTCCTTAAAGAGTCTTCCTTATATTTATGTCTCGAGATACCTGGAGAGGCACAGGTGCTACTGTTGCCAGGTAAGTTTCTGAGAGTAATCTCAGTCTAGTTCTAGTTCTCTTCCCTTTTTTTTCTTCCTTTCTTCCTCTCACTCTCCACCTATTTGATAATGTATATTTAGTGTCTATTTTGTTCCCAGCAGGATGTGTAACAGTAGGCATTTTTTTAAAAAACATGGCAGAGACACAGGGATAGAAAATAAGGAAGAGTAAGTAAGGATGGAGGGATGAGGGAAACGGCAGGAGGGCTAGTGCCTGAGATGGGCTTGTGGGAGAGAATGTAGGACATAATATAGATTGCTTGTCAAGGGGGAGCCACTGTCAGGGTAAGAGGAAGTCTAGGGAGTTAAAAACATCAAAAACATCATTGGAACATTTTATTGTGCCATGCAATTTATTTCCTATACCCCAGATCTCTAAAATTCTTTAATAAAGATTCAAATGACTGTTTACTGCTTTCCTAGATGTTAGAGTGGTGTTCCTTCTGAGTGCAGAGCCTGAATACAAGGTAGCTCGTTATAGTCAGTTTATACCAGTGGCTAATTACACTACCACAGGTTGAGTATTCCTTATCCAATATGCTTGACACCAGAAGCATTTTGAGATTTTTTTTTTAATTTTGGAATATTTACATTATATATCTCTGGTATACTTAACCAGTTGAGCATTCCTAATTTGAAAATCTGAAATCCAAAATGCTCCAGTGGTCATATTCTTTGAATGTCATGTCAGTGCTCAAAAAGTTTTATATTTTAGAGCATTTCAGATTTCAGATTTTTGGATTAAGGATGTTCAGCCTGTATTATAAAAATAATTTCAGCCCCCACTAAAGAACAGAGCACATTCTCTGGCATTAGATATTCCTTATCTCTTCTGTCCATTTCTTCCCTCAACAATTACTTATTGAGCACTGACTCTGGGCCAGTGTCATTCAAGGCCATAGAGGTACAGCAGGGAATAAAACAGACTTGGTCTCACCCTCCCACACACTGCAGGAATAAGCAGAACGTGACCCTGCGGCAGGTCAGGGGCATCCTTTCCAAGAAGGTGACATCTGAGCTGAGACCCTTGGACAACATGCTAAGCAGAAGGGATGGCAAGGGCTAAGGCAGGAAGGGTGGCTGTTTAGGGAACAGAGAGAAGGTCACTGTGACGGAGGCAGAGAGGGAAGGGGTGATGAGCTCAGAGACAGTGGCAGCATGGGATCTCGTAGGGCCTTGTCAACCATGTGAGGAGCACAGATTTTAGCCTAAGACCTTTCGCCTCTTTCTCATATCTTTGAAGCCCATAGCCAAAGGTTTTGGGAGTCCAAAGCCAGGGACAGAGGACATCGTGGTGGCTTTGCCTCTGACAATCTCCTTCCCAGCCACCAGCAAAGGCAGAAAAGGTGAAGCGTGTGGAAGAGTGGGTGGCCATGGGCAAAGAGGCACCGCCAGGCTTCTGGGCCTCCCTCCACAAGCTCCAGACTGCCACAAAGTCCAACAAGTTTCAGGAGGATGACAGTCTCATGACACAAGCATTCCAAAAAACCAGAGTTTAAGTCTGGACATAACGACAGCACAGAGGCAGTGTCGAGCCCTCGCACACCTTCTGTGGTGTGTGCGAAACTGACTGCTACCATCCTCTTGGGAAATAAAGGATGGATTATTCCATGGGGTGTCTTAGAAGGCTAAGCTTACATAACCTCCCACCAAGATTTTGTAGTTAAGAGACAAGGACTGGGAGGGAGTCCCACCTGCAGCTATCCAGGTCTGGGATTGAGGTCAATCTTCATTGACAACCCTGGAGGAAGGATAATAGAACTTCCCCAAACTTACCTGGAAACGCAAAGAGCCAATTGAAATCTCATCCCATTTCTCTTCTTCAAAAGCCCTTTTTCCATTGATAATAATATTGGCACGAAAACGCAAGCTGAGATCCTTCAGTGAGAATAATTCCTCCTTTCCATTCTCATCACTGATTAAAGCAACCAAAAAGAGTAAGTAGGGGGAGGATGGCAGATAATTGTACCACTATAATAATTCATCATGCCTGCCATGTAACACCTAACTTCATCAGCTCTACTGTGGCCTGTGCCCTGGATAATCAAAACAGACTTTTACCATGAGTGCAAGGCCAAGAGACACCCATCTGCTAAACAGGCATCAGGGCCTCCCCTGGGATACGGTCCCATCTCCAGTGAGAGTCCCACAAGAGCCAGGCAAAGGGCGAGCAGATCTTAGCTGAAGAGATGAAGGACTTTGGAAATCAGAAGAACAGAACTCCAGTGAAAAAGGAACTTCTGAGAACACACCAGTTCTATAAGGTGGGGCGGCATAAGGCATTTAAAAACCTGTCAACAGGCTTAATGATCAAAGACCTAAGAAGCACTGAGATCTCATTCCCTTTTTTCCCCCTTCTTTTCACAGGTGTTGAGATCTCACTCTTTTTTTTTTTTTTGGGTATTAAAACATTATAAATAAAGAAGATAGTATTTCCTAATTTCCATTCTATTTGCAGTGTAACATCTGCTATTTTTCTGATACCTTTTTTTTTTTTTTTTTTGAGACAAGGTCTTGCTCTGTCACCCAGACTGGAGTGCAGTGGCACAATCTCAGCTCATTGCAGCCTTGACCAAGATCCCAGGCTCAAGTAATTCTCCTGCCTCAGCCTCCCAAGTAGGTGGGACTACAAGCATGTGCCACCATGCCCAGCTAACTTATTTTTACTTTTTTTAGAGATGGGGTCTCACTATATTGCCCAGGCTGGGTTTGAACTCCTGGGCTCAAGTGATCCTCCCACCTCAGCCTCTCAAAGTGCTGGGATTACAGGTGTGAGCCACCATGCCTAGCCTATTTTTGTAACTCTTATTTTTGTAATTTTTATTTATTGCCATGAGGTTCCAAAAAAAATGGCCCTCTGCACCCCCCACCCCCACCCAGAAGAACGCACTGAAAATACATCTTAAAACTTCTCTGACAAAAGAACACATCCTGTATGATCCCACCATATTAAGTTGAAGAATGGGTGAAACTAGCTATGGTGAAAGAAGTCAGAATAGTGGTGACCTTCAGTGAGGCTGACTGGGATGGGATACAAGGGAGGTTTCTGGAGTACATTCTTAGCTTGATCTAGGTAGTGGTAGTTGCTGGTGAAGATCCAAAACACTTAATGTGTTTATCAGCAGATACTTTGCCTCATTCAACAGAGGAAGGGTGGCTGTTGTACCAGGAGATTGATCTGAAAATGATGGAGCATAGCCGTATACATCTGTAAAACTGTATTTAACTGTGTACTGATGACTTTTGCACTTTTTTGTGCTTCAATCAATTTTTAATTGCTTAAGTTGGTGTGAGGTAAATCCTCAGGCATGGTTAGAGTATGCGCCAGAGACAGGGTTGAAAGACTATGGGGTTGGGAAGGAGGAGTCCCAATCTCCTTTGAATGGCAAACAACGTATGAAAAGCCAGAGACCGGGATACCTGAGTCTGGTTTTGCCACTTACTAAGGGCAACTCCCACAACCTATGAGGACCACAATTTCCTCATCTGCAACAAGAGGATTAGCACTTTTCCAGTCCTCAAATCCTTTGATTCTGGATCAACTCTCTGGGTTATAAACCCTCACTTTGGGCTTCGTAAAAGGGCATGTTTTATGTCCAAAAGCTATCATGGTTAACATGTGCATGATAGAGTCCCTCAAATTTGCAAATAAAGCACAGAGAAATACCTAGCAGGGGACCCTAGCTCTGCTCTTGGATCAGCTGCCCAGCGGGTCCACCCTGCTATAAACCAGATGGTGGGGAACGTGGCCCCTCCTGGTAGGAACTGGGGTGACAGCAAGCCTCTCCCCACCTCCTATCTTTCCACACGAAGAACCCCAAAAAACTGCAGACCCACTTTTTCCAGGACTCTGGATGCCTGAGGAGAAGGGTCCCTCAGTGCCAGAAGAACTCAGTGAATACCCAGAGAACATGTGGCTGCATCACACTTTTGCTCTCAAAGATAGCGAGCTGGGCCACAGTATGAGAATGATGTTGTATATTTTCAACAATGGATAGAAACAAGAGTGACTACAAATAGCCCATCCCTGCAGAGGCGGACGAGGTGGCTTAGTCAGCTTTATTAAACTGTATTTGTATGTCTTTGCAAATATGTATGTGTGTGTACTTGACCACGTGGTGCAAGACAGTCACAGGACCCCCAGTTCACAGTGCTGTTAGGGGTGAGCCACTAACAACACTCATCTCTGGCCTGTGGACCAGGAATGAGGAGCCCGTCCCAGTCACCCTGTGGCATGAGAGCTGGGTGATTTTTCCTCATTGCCTGGCTACCTTGGGACTTCAGTTTGCTCTAAAGAACAACGAGAGGGTTGGCCCAACCATGACCCTTTCTGGAGCTGACCTCCCAATGCTGTTAGGGTCCTTGGGAGAGCACTGGGTGGGAGTGGGCAGGGAGGGGTGCTAATTCCATCTGTGGTGCATCTTTCAAATAAAGTGTGCCTGCAATTACAACTTTAAAAGCTTTCATAACCACTCTTTTTTAGCCTTTAAAATGACTGTGTGAAGTAGGGCAGAGATCCTCGGGGACAGGGGATAGTGGGAGGGTGGGCAATAAAAGTTAGTCAAGTTGGTGGCAATTCAATTAAAACAAACATTAAGAAATTGAATGATTAAACAGTGAGAGCTAGGGGTTCTCCATTAACCATCTTGAGGATATCAAAAAGGATCTTTGTAAGATAAAAGATAACCCTCTATAAAGATGAATGGAAGCTGGACAAAAGGGCCTGCTTACTTCTCAGGGCCTCAGTTTCTCATCTGTACATGAAGCAGGGCTGAACTTCATGACTCTCAGATCTCTCCGCTCCAGGCAGGTGCCAGGCCCTGCTCCCAGTGGCAAATGGTTATGCTTGTCTGCTAGTCCCGAGGTATGAGGTCTTACCTGGTGTTTAGTTGCCGGTGAAGTTCCAAAATACTGGATGTGTTGATCAGCAGATACTGTGCCTCATTCACCAGAGAAAGGGTGGCCATTGTACCAGGAAGTTGATCTGAAAATGATGGAGCATTTAAAAGAAGAGTTGCTTTCTCAGAATGCCAGTGAATCATGTTTCCATAGACTTGTATTTTTTTAAAAGGTAGAGACTATTTCTACAAGGGAAAAAAAGTGATGTCCTGGCAATAATAAAAATGTCCTAAGCATGGTGCATATCTCTCAATAAAGAGGCAAAAGGAGATTCTAGAATACTCTGTTTAAAATAACGTGGAGAAAATAACAATAAGGGCTGGGCACAGTGGCTCAGCACTTTGGGAGGCTGAGGTGGGAGGGTTACATGAAGCCAGGAATTCGACACCAGCCTGACCAACATGGTGAAACCCTGTCTCTACCAAAAATACAAAAATTAGCCAGGTGTGGTAGTACACACCTGTAATCCCTGCTACCCAGGAGGCTGAGGCAGGAGAATCACTTGAACCCATGAGGCAGAGGTTG
The DNA here is from genome assembly GCF_000001405.40 of Homo sapiens. Classification (NCBI taxonomy): domain Eukaryota; kingdom Metazoa; phylum Chordata; class Mammalia; order Primates; family Hominidae; genus Homo; species Homo sapiens. The sequence goes on along the minus strand of NC_000018.10, from coordinate 36,256,527 downwards.
CAGTGAGCCGAGATCACACCACTGCACTCTAGCCTGGGTGACACAGCAACACTCTGTCTCAAAAAAATTTAGAAAATTAAAAAAATAAAATGAAAAATGCTGAGATGAAATTGTTCCAGCAAATTAGACTTGGAGGCAAGACTTCGAGGAGGAGGGATGACAGCAGGCGCATCCTTTCCCTGGATAGGACGGAGCAAGGCAGAGAGCCCTGGTGAGGGCAAAAGGCCCAGGAAGAGCTTCTGAATCTAATCAGGGAAAAGCTGTTTGCCCTTGGGCAAGTGCCAGATATTGAGTTTAGAAATAGATAGTAGATGTTTAAAAACTACTAAAAGGGAGGGCTAGGCGCGGTGGCTCACTCCTGTAATCCCAGCACTTTGGGAGGCCGAGGCAGGAGGATCACCTGAGGTCGGGAGTTCAAGACCAGCCTGACCAACATGGAGAAACCCCATCTCTAGTAAAAATACAAAATTAGCTGGGCGCAGTGCCACTTGCCTTTAATCTTAGCTACTCAGGAGGCTGAGGCAGGAGGATCTCTTGAACTCAGGAGATGAAGGTTGCAGTGAGCCGAGATCACACTATTGCACTCCAGTCTGAGCAATAAGAGTGAAACTGCAAAACTGTCTAAAAAAAAAAAAAAAAAAAACTACTAAAAGGGGGACGAAACTATTGAAAGAAAATATTAAGTGTATTCAGAATAGCTGGCACCCTATCACCCAGTTCCCATCTCCCTTTGGCAGGCCCGGCATCACTATCATTATCCAAGATATTGAAGAAAAGGTTTGCCTGGACCAGGACCTACTGAGTTGTTTCCAAATCAGGTGTGTGGACCCCAGAGTAGACGCAAACGGATACTTTTGAGAGAACTGCCCTCCAGATCTGCCACTTGCATATATCCTCTTTGCTAAAACGGCTCTGCCAGAGAAGGGAGGTGCAATCCCAGCCCTGTCCACAAAGACCCTTCCTCTTTCACAGAGGAAAGGCCAAGGTCTCCTAAAGCACACTCCCTCAGGGACCAACAATCTCCAGAGTGGAAGACAAAAGCCCCATTCAAAACCCTGGAGTCCGAGCTGAGAAAATAAAAGTCTCTAAAGCTTGGGCAAATGATCCTCCTGTAGGTCAGATGGATTCCAATTATTTGCTCTCCACAAAACTGCAGGACCTAATTAAGTTGTCAAGAGACAGATGATGAAAGGCATTTCAATCTTAGAGTCCAGTGCTTCGGTCACATACTTCAGAAGCAAGGTTTGAGTGACACTGCACTAACGAAACTCCTTTCCCTAGCCCTTTATTTAAGCGTCTCAGAAGAGACCCGAGGCTGAGCACCAGCTATTCTGGCCATGAGTGACAGTCATTCATGGGAATAGGAACAAATGGCAGGGTGCCCAGCCACCTCATTAAGAGGCTCATTTTCGCTAATTTTTTTCTTACGTTTAATAATTATTTTTCAAAAGTTATAATATACTTATGTTGCTTTGATCAACTGTGTACTACGAAAAATTATGGGCTGGGTGCAAAGGCTCATGCCTGTAGTCCCAGCACTTTGGGAGGCCAAGGTGAGAGGACTGCTTGAACTCAAAAGTTGGAGACCAGCCTGGGCAACATGGCGAAACCCCATCTCTATTAAAAATAAAAAATAAAAAATAAGAACTCAATGCAGAAGAAATTTCCTAGCACTTAAACTCTTACAATCACAGTAAACTTTAAAAAATGTTTATCCATGTCAATTTATATACACATTTTAATTTCACAGAAGTATGATAGGGTAGTAGTCAATGAAAGATTTCCAAGCACAGAATATATAACACTAAGATAAAATTCTGTTGAGGGCATGGAAAGGAAATACAAGTTGCAGAAGGAAAAGGAAAGAAATAAAAGACTGACCACTAAAAGACAGTTCGTTCATATATATATGTGTGTGTGTATATATATATACACACACACATATATATGAAAAGGAAAGAAATAAAACTGACTATTAAAGGACAGTTTGTTCTCTCTCTCTCTCCCTCTCGCTCTCTCTCTCTCTATACACACACACACACACACACACACACACACACACACACACAGAGATAATGTATTTTGTAATGAATACTCACGAGATTCAAATTGTTGTGGTTTAAAAAAATGCTGCAGTATTGAGATTCTACTGGCTTTGTTGAAAAGAACAATGTACAAGTTTAAATTTAAAATGACAATGTTTACAATATACTGGAAATCACATCCTTTGTAGCTGTTTAAACTATTTTTAAAATTTAGATGACAACGTAAAAATTTTAGTATGAGTGAGGAATATAGTTTTAAAAAATCCTTCTAAGGTATACCAACTCAAAAAAACTGTTTCAAGACCAATGGCTTAGACTGCCAGAGAACATGGGACCCTAAGGGGTGTCCTCTAAGTGTAAACAGTCACAAGCTGACACTCCCTGATTCTGCATCGTGCAGGGAGCAGGAAGACAGGCTTTCTTCTTTCCTCTGCACCTACCACCTTTGTTCCACCAAGGCCCCATCTCCCACCAGGACAGTCCCAGCTGCCTCCCACCTGTGCCTTTACTGCCTGAGTTTCCCACTCGATGCAGCCACCTCGCCAAGTCAGGGCTGACTTTCTAACATAAGCAGTGTTATGAAGCTTCTCGGCTTAGAATCCTCCAGTGAGTTCCGCAGCCACAGGTAAAGGACTACTGACTCCTCAGTGGCACACTCAACCCTTCTCCCCATCTATCCCCCGTCACTCCCCTGCTCACATCTGACCCTCTAAACCCTTCTCTGAGCCCATGAATGCCAAGCCCTGCCATGCTGCTCCCTGGTAACCATCCCGCCTGTGACTGCCTGAAAAATTCGTACTCTCCTTTTTTTTTTTTTTGAGACAGAGTCTTGCTCTATCACCAGGCTGGAGTGCAGTGGCGTGGTCTTGGCTCACTGCAACCTCTGCCTCCTGGGTTCAAGCAATTCTCCTGCCTCAGCCTCCCAAGTAGCTGGGATTACAGGCACTTGCCACCATGCCCGGCTAATTTTTGTATTTTTAGTAGAGATGGGGTTTCACCATGTTGGCCAGGCTGGTCTTGAACTCCTGACCTCGTGATCTGCCCGCCTCGGCCTCCCAAAGTCCTGGGACTACAGGCGTGAGCCACCGCGCCTGGCCTCCTACTCTCCTTTTAAGTTGCAGCTCCAAACTCACCTCCTCCCTGAAGCCCTCTGTGACTCATTCCAGGTGTAGAGGATTCTGCCCTTCGCATAGACCTTTATTACATCTCTTACGTTGCAGCATTGCTATCTGCTGGCAATTGATCTCACCAACGGAGACTCCAAAGGACCAGGACTAAGGCTTAACTATCTCAGCCAGCCTCCTGAAACCCAGTAAACCCCAGGTAGGCAATGGGTGCTATGAATAATTGGCACTTAGAGATTTCACTGCTGCTCACTTCTCCAGATAATTTACAAGGGTGGTACACAGGTCCTGACAAATCCTACTCCTTTCATGCCTCTACCCCTGGAAATGCCTATTTCTCTCTCCCTTTAATCATGTCTCTAAGCTTATCCATACCCCAACCACCACCATCTAACTTCAATAAAATGAGTATAAATCTATTCCCCTTTTCTATCACACAGCAACTCAAATTCTTAACAGCTTATGGCGTGAAAATCATCAGAACTTTAAAAACTCTAAGTACATTACATCCTTTGACTCCTCTCTATAGCATACACTTTCAGGGATTTGTAGGTTAAACTATGCAGGGCCTTAGACCCAGTTTTCAGTCCATATATGGTCAAATGCCATTTGGTTTATTTATGTTTTAGAAACATGAAACATAAAATATTGCTGTCAGCCAGGCTGGAGTGCACTGGTGTGATGATAACTCACTGCAGCCTCGAACTCCTGGGTTCAAAAGATCCTCCCATCTCAGTCTCCCAAGCAGCTGGGACTACAGGTGCATGCCACCACACCTAGCAATTTTTTAAATTTTTTTTTGAGACAGAGTCTCGCTTTGTCACCCAGGCTGGACTACAGTGGTGTGATCTCAACTCACTGCAACCTCCACCTCCCAGGCTCAAGTGATCCTCCCACCTCAGCCTCCCAAGTAGCTGGGACTATAGGCATGCACCAGCATACTTGGCTCATTTTTGTATTTTTTGAAGAGATACGGTTTCATAATTTTTGTATCTTATTTTGCAGATATAGAGTCTTGCCATGTTGCCCAGGCTGGTCTTGAACTCCTGGGCTTAACCAATCCTCCCTCCTCAGCCTCCCAAAGTGCTGGGATTACAGGTGTGAGCTACCACACCCAAACTCTAAATGCTATTTGGATTACAAACTAGTTCCTCTGGGAACTGATCACTAGGCCAGGTAATATCTGAACAAACTGGTAATCATTCATTCATTCATCTAGCCATGTATTGAGCAACTATGTGCCAGGTGCTATTTTAAGCATGGGGAGACAGCACTGAAAAAAACAGGCAACAATCCCTATCCTCATAGAGATTGCTTACATCTACTAAAAGGAAAACAGAACAAAATAAGTGAGCAAAATATATAGCAAGAAGAATGTGAAAAAAATGTGCCACTGAGAAAAATGAGACAGGGAAGGTTGCTACGTTGCTGCAGATTCAGGTACAGGGTGCTGTTCTGAAGAGGGTAGTCAGCCAGGCTTCCCTAAGGAGGTGACATTTGAGCGGACACATGAAAATGATCTTTTCTGCACACCTGGGACTGTTAACTTTCAAAGTACTTTCATCTCTACTGCCTCACTTCATCCTAACAATGGCTTAAGGTGGGAAAAATTGTGGAAACTTTTGAAAGTCTGAGGAGCTGAGGTCTATAGAAGTTGAGGCACCATGGGGTTCAAGGATTCACCAAGGTCACGCCATTGATTGGTGATAGAGCTAAAAACTAGCAAGCCAGGTTTCCTTGCTTCCAGATCCAATCTGAGGACATAGCAAGCTATTAGGGTTTTTATTTAATACAATTGGATTAATTATGCTTTTGAACATGCAGGACTAAGGCTGAATGTTTGGGCAGAGGCTGGACAGCTGGCTTTATGCCCTCCTCAGCCTCCTTAAGAAGATCCTGGAGCCCATTTCGCCTGCTGACCTGGGGCTACTGCAGTAGGTTTCTGCTAAAGGCTGATGACCCCTGCTTTCCATACATCAGCAAGTCACCCGTAAGTGCAGTTCATGGGCTGTTTTGATGTGTGCAAGGGTAAGCCAGGGTTCCTGTTCTCTACGAACCAATTCAAAATGTAATACCTTTTCCATGTTTCTTCTTTGCATTCCTTTGAGAGTTTGAACTTTGTTTGATCAAATGACAAGGACGGCCAAAAAATGTTGACAACCAGCTTGAAATTTTTTCTCCACAATCATAAGTACTTACTCTGGCAAAAGAGAGAGAGAAAGAGTGAACTGTTACATAGTATTTATTTAAATAATAATCTGAATTGCAAAAAGTTTGGTTACAAAATAAAATAAAACAAAACATTGCATGAGCCCTGAAGGCAGCCTGAAGTGACAGATGCTGCAAGGAGATTTCCAAGGCAGGACGACCTGCCATCTGGGGCTTATGTGAAGCTTTCAGACCAAATAAAAAGCTTCAACATTTCTCCTGGAAAGACCTTTTTACTATTAATTATTGACACAGAGAACCACAAAGCTTAGAATGCTTAGAATTTGAGAACTTCCAGAGTGATATGTTGCTTTCAGAAGCCCTTGAACCCAGAAATATGTCCTATTTGTTCACTATGGGCCTGATTGAAATATCTTCTCTCACATGGACTGACGTGTTTGGTTTGTAAAATGAACACTGTGCCTGTGAGTTACAGATATAAGTACTGCATTTACCAATCTGGTGTTTGAAAACTCAAGAATCCTCTAGAATTTTGTTTATCCAAAATGTATTGTTCTGACTGAAAATGTGCTAAATGAATGTGTAAGTTGGTGACATTGGTGCAAGTACTGGTAAGAAGATGTAGAGTGTGCTTCACTCTTTAGCCTCCAAGGCATCCTGGGACCAGGGCCCAGGATTCTCCACTGTGTCAAGCACAATCATCACATCATCACCTTTGTGCTTTCCTGGGGGTATAGCCCTTCACACTCCCAGAGTGATCCTCTGCCTATCACCCAGAGCACTAACGACTGGGGTCCAACTTGGATGTAGCTTTAGCATTTAACATACCATTTCCTGCCTTGCATGACAGCATATGTTCAGGGCAGTGCACAAAGACGTGCAATATGGTTTGATACCATGCAGTATCACCATCTACTGAGCACAGACCTACCCACTAATGAGTGCATTGTGTTAACTGGTAGGCAATCAGCACTCTGAAGGTTTTTTATTATACATAAATCTTTAGTGAAGTGTTATATAGTTAACTGTTTTAGTATATGGGCGGGGGTGAAAGGGGAATTGGTTGGGGCTTAAGATAGGATAAATTTCCCAAGATTGGAAAATTTGCTATTCCACATGTATTCAGGTACAGATAAGATTAGATAACAAGGGATGCAGACATTTGATTTATTCAATAAAAAGACTTAGAAACATGTACAATCAATAAACAAAATAGCAATGCTATTACATTCAACCCCACTTTACATTTCCTAGAATTCAGTAGATGATTTATCATCAGCAAACCAGATTAGATAATAACCCATAATATGGGTATATAATCTGTGAGTTATCACCTGAAAGCTAGGTTTTAGAAACCTGAGAGATGTCTTGATAACCCCCCTCACCCTCAGCTTCCTTATCCAATCATCAGCTAGTTCAGGTTATTCTATTTCCAGAATACATACCTGCAGCTTCCTGACTTTCTCTCTGACCCTGGTCCAAGCCTCCATCTTGTCTCACCTGTGTTGCTAACACAGGTGCTTATGTGGCCTTCCTGCTTGCACCCCTTCCCCCTTCCAACTGCTCCACAGGCACCAGCTGGTCTTCTCAACATGCAAATCAGGTCTTTTCCCTCCCTATGAGGCCTCCTCTGGAGTGTTGCAGTGCCCTCCAGACTGTTCCTTCTGTGTCACCTTTTCTTCCCACCCCACACTGTCCTCTTGACACTGTCCCAGGCTCTGAAGGGAACAACATGGGCATTCTAGTGGGAGGGACTAAAGATCAATAAACAGATATATATTAACTTGGAAACAACAAAGGCAAAGGAGATGAATACAAAAGGGGAAATGAAGAGGGAGAGGTTGTTTTCTGTGGGTAGTCATGTGGCCCTCTGAGAAGGGGGCTTTTGAACAGAGACCTGTTGGAGATGAAACTGACAGAGGTGAGAGAACAGCCCTGTGGAGGTATAACTAGGGGAAGAGCACCAGGCAGAGGGAACAGCAAGTGCAAAGACCTGAGAAGGGAGCATGCTTGGGAGGTTTGAAGACCAAAGAGCCAAGAGTGTGGTTAGAGAGAAGCATGCAAGGGAGAAATGGACAGCAACTGGACTGAAGGGTAGCAAAGGATAGATTGCATAGGGCATTACCCTCTTCCCCCTCTGTGCCAGCCTGTCAATAAAGCTGAGATTTTCACGTGCTTCAGAGTCTCACCTGTCAGCACAGACCCTGCTTTGGCGAATCTGAGTCCGTTCACTATTTTCCTCAAGAGGCACCTCTATAGGCTCCATCCCTAATGAACAAAGGTTAAAAACAAATTTATCATTATGTAAAAACAACAGCTACTTGACTTCAAAATATACTACAAAGCTGTAGTAACCAAAACAGCATGGTACTGACATAAAAATAGACACATAGACCAATGTGACAGGATACAGAACCAAAATATAAATCCACACATTTACAGTCAGGTGATTTCTGACAAAGGTGTCAAGAACAAACATTGGAGCAAGAAGAGTTCTCTTCAATAAATGATGCTGGGAAAACTAGATAACCATATGCAGAAGAAGAAAACTAGACCCCTATTTTTCACCATATACACAAATCAACTCAAAATGGATTAGAGATTTAAATCTAAGACCCCAAATTATTAAACTACTAGAAGAAAACATTGGGGAACTGCTTCAAGACATTGGTCTGGGCAAACAATTTTTGGATGAGACCTCAAAAGCATCAGCCTCAAAAGCCAAAATAGAGAAACAGAATTATAGCAAACTAAAAAGCTTCTGCACAACAAGGGAAACAACAGAATGAAGAGACAACCAACAGAATGAGAGGAAATGTTTGCAAAGCATCCATCCAGCAAGGGATTAATAACCAAATAGGAAATCAACAACTCAACAGTGAAAAAAAACAAGTAATTCAATTTTTTTAAATGAGCAAATAATCTGAATAGATATTTCTTGAAAGAAGACATGCAAATGGCTAATCAATTTTTTTTTAATGTTCAACATCACTAATCATCAGGGGAATGCAAACCAAAACCACAATGAGATCTTACCCCAGTTAGAATGGCTATTACCAGAATGACAAAAAATAACAAATGCTGGTGAGGATGCAGAGAAAGGGGAACTCTGACACACTGTTGGTAGGAATGTGAATTAGTACAGCCATCATGGAAAACACTACTGAGGTTCTTCAGAAAACTAAAAATAAAAATACCGTATGATCCAGCAATCCCACTTCTGGGTATTTATCCAAAGGAAAGGAAAATCAGAGGAAAAAAAGAACAGTGGATAGGAGACAGGACTAATGTACAGCTCCCAGTTAGACAGACAGAACAGCATGTAGAGACTCACACTGTGAACTTTTGCTGCATGAACCGCTGCAGGAACATATCAGGAAAACTGATAGAATTCACAGACACTTTGAAAGAAGCAGCTTGCTGCTGCAAACACAAGATGGCCAAAAATTTGAGTTCCCAAAGTGTGAGAAGGTGAGAAGTTGGTCTCCGAACACACATCCCCATTGGGGAACCTGAAAATCCAGATGACAAGGGAAAGATTTACCCTTACCTAGAGCTGAAATGGATTTAGGCAGCCAAGCAAAATATAAAAGTAGAAGCAGCAGCAGGAAGAGCCCTGTAGGGACTCCTGGTCTCCAGCTTGAACCCCAGGAAAGCCATTCCTGGACTTATCTCACAGGGGTTCTTGGGGAAGGGAAGGCAGCCAGTGGAATTGGAGAGGGGCCACAGGGTGAAGGAAGCTCCTAGCTTGACTTTGTAATGATTTTAACTGAGCACAAACTTTCCTAAGTAGAATGCAGAAGAGGAGACAAATGGGAAGTAAAGATACAAGCGTAGAAGCTGCAGCCAACTGTCCTGGCAGGCAGGGAGGAGCAAGGCCTGAGAGCCCTGCTTGCTTTCTCAGCAGGAGGCTTGTAGCCTGGGGCAAGATCTCAGCCCTGCTTACCAGATGCCTGTACAGAAACCTCAGTGCTGCTGGGGAGGCACAGTGGGAGTGAGACTGGCCTTGCTGGCTGTGTGGGAGCTGGGTGAGGTCTTTCAATGCCAGCTTTCCCCCATGTCTCTGGAGACCTATTTGACACAGCAGAAACAGCCATAATTCCCCTGGGAACATAACTCCATTTGCCCAAGAACCAGCCCCCCACCCCCAGAGTGGCCACAGCAAGTCCTGCCCAAGGAGAGTATGATCTCAGACCCACCTAACCTGCCCCCACCTGATGGTTTCTCTCTACTTGCCCTGATAGCCAAAGACAAATGACATGGTCTCTTGGGAGCTCTATGGCCCTGTTCATTACCTGAGGAAGCCAAGTACCTATCCTAGCCAAGGCAGGGCAAAATTATATCCCCCTTCTACTGCTGCAGCTGGTGCTCTCTTGAAAGCAGCACCTTCTGGCTGGAGGCCAATCAACTCAAGCCATTACAGCAACTCATAAGAGAACAACTCTGCTCCAAAGAAGGAGAAAACAACAGCTAATTTCACCACCTGCAACACCCTGGTTAACCAGAGGTCCTGAGTCTGTCCATGTGACAACTTCACTGCTAGCATAACCAGCATTTGAGAAAACCACCGCACTAAACAAAACTACAACCAAGGACTAAAACCAGCACACTAAAACAAAACTACAACCAAGGACTCCCAACAGAGTCCACTTTACTCCCCGCCACCTTCACTAGAGCAGGTGCTGGTATCCATAGCTGGAAGACGTGAAGATGAATCACATCACAGGACTCTTTGCAGACAGTTCTTAGCACCACCCTGGAGCCCCAGAATCCTGCTAAATGGCTAGAACCAGAAAGGCAATAACAATCACTGCAGTCTGGCTTTTTAGAAGCCGTATCCTTAGAGGAAGGGGGAGAGCACCACATCAAGGGAGCACCCCTGGGACAAAAGAATGTGAATAGCAGCCCTTGAGTCCCATATCTTCCCACAGAAACAGTCTCCCCAAACAAGAAGTAACCAGAAAAGTCATTCTGGTAATATGATAAAACAAGGTTCTATAACACCATCAAAAGATCACTCTAGCTCTCCAGCAATGGATCTAAACCAAGAGGAAATCTCTGAATTGCCAGAAAAAGAATTCAGAAGGTTGACTATTAAGCTACTTAAGGAGGCACCAGAGAAAAGTGAAAACTAATTTAAAGAAATTTAAAAAAATACAGGATATGGATGAAAAAGTCTCCAGAGAAATAGATATCATAAAGAAAAGATGATCACAACTTCTGGAAATGAAAGACACACTTAGAGAAATGCAAAATACACAGGAAAGTTTCAGCAATAGTATTGAAAAAGTAGAAGAAAGAACTTCAGAGCCCAAAGACAACGCTTTCAAATTAACCCAATCCAAAAGACAAATAAAAAAGAATTTTAAAAAATGAACAAAGTCTCCATGAAATTTTGGATTATTTTAAATGACCAAACATAAGAATAATTGGTGTCCCTGAGGAAGAAGAGAAATCTAAAACTTTGGAAAACTTATTTGAGGGAATAATCAAGGAAAACTTCTCTGATCTCACTAGAGATCTAGACATCCACATATAAAAAGCTTAAAGAACACCTGGGAAATTCATAGCAAAAGGATTATTACCTAGGCACATAGTCATCAGGTTAGCTAAAGTCAAGATGAAGGAAAGAATCTAAAGAGCTGTGAGGCAAAAGCATCAGTAACCCAAAAGGAAAACCTAACAGATTAACAGCAGATTTCTCAGCAGAAACCTTGCAAGTCAGAAGGGATTGGGGTCCTATCTTCAGCCTCCTTAAACAAAATAATTATCAGCCAAGAATTTTGCATCCAGTGAAACAAAGCTTCATAAATGAAGGAAAGATAAAGTCGTTTTTAGAAAAAGAAATGCTGACAAAATTTGTGACTACAATCCAGCACTACAAAAAAAATGGTAAAAGAAGTCCTAAATCTTAAAACAAAACTTTGAAATACACCAAAAATAGAACTTCCTTAAAGCATAAAGCTCACACAGCTTATAAAACAATAACACAATAAAAAAAAGGTATTCAGGCAACAACTAGCATGATGAATAGAACAGTACCTCATATCTCAATAGTAATGTTTGAATGTAAATGGCCTAAATGTTCCACTTAAAAGAGGCAGAATGGCAGAATGGATAAAAATCCACCAACCAAGTATCTACTGTCTTCAAGAGACTCACCTAACACACAAGGACTCATATAAACTTGATGAAAGGGGTGGAAAAAGATATTCCATGAAAATGGAAACCAAAAGTGAGCAGGAGTAGCTATTCTTATAGCAGACAAAACAAACTTTAAAGCAACAACAGTTTAAAAAGACAAAGAGGAATATTATATAATAATAAAAAGAACAGTCCAACAGGAAAGTGTCCCAATTCTAAATCTATATACACCTAACACCGGAATTGGAGTTCTCAAATTTATAAAACAATTGCTACTAGACCTAAGAAATGAGATACATGACAACACAATAATAGTGGGAGACTTCAATACTCCACTGACAGCATTAGACAGGTCATCAAGACAGGTCAACAAAGAATCAATGGACTTAAACTATACCCTAAAACAAATGGACTTAACAGATATTTATGAAAATTCTACCCAACAACTGCAGAGTATACATTCTTTTAACTGGCACATGTAATATTCTCCAAGATGAACCATATCATGGCCATAAAACAAGTCTCAATACATTTAAGAAAATTGAAATTAGATCAAGTACCCTTTCAGACCACAGTGGAACAAAATTGGAAATTAACTCCAAAAAGAACTCTCGAAACTATACAAAGACATGGAAATTAAATAATCTGCTCCTGACTGATCCTTGGGTCAACAATGAAATCAAGATGGAATTTAAAAAATTCTTTGAACTGAATGATAACAGTGACACAACCAATCACAACCTGTGGGATACAGCAAAAGTACTGCTAAAAGGAAAGTTCATAGCAGTAAATGCCTACATCAAAAAGTCTGAAAGAGCACAAATAAATAATCTAAGGTCACACCTCAAAAAACTAGAGAATAAAGAAAAAATCAAACCCAAACCAAACAGAAAAAAAAAGAAATAACAAAGATCAGAGTAACACTAAATGAAATTGAAACAAACAAAAAACAACACAAAAGATAAATAGAACAAAAAGCTGGTTCTTTGAAAAAATAAACAAAACCAATAGATCATTAGTGTGATTAACCAAGAAAAGAAGAGAGAAGATTCAAATAAGATCAATTAGAAATGAAATGGGCAATATTACAATTGAAACCACAGAAATACAAAAGATCATTCAAGGCAACTATGAACACCTTTATGCACACAAACTAGAAAACCTAGAGAAGATGGATAAATTCCTGGAAATATACAACCCTCCTAGATTAAACCAGGAAGAAATAGAAACTATGAACAGACCAATAACAAGTAGCGAGACTGAAATGGTAATAAAAAAGCTGCCAACATAAAAAAAGTCCAGGACCAGATGGATTCACAGCTGAATTCTGTCAGACATTCAAAGAAGAACTGGTACCAATCCTACTGAAACTATTTCAAAAGGCAGAGACAGAGGGAATCCTCCCTAAATCATTCTATAAAGCCAGTATCACCCTAATACCAAAACCAGGAAAGGACATAACAACAAAAAAAGAAAACTACAGACAAATATCCCTGATGAATATAGATGCAAAAATCCTCAACAAAATCCTAGCTAACTAAATTCAACAGCATATCATAAAGATAAGACACCATGATCAACTGGGTTTCATACCAGTGATGCAGAGTTGGTTTAACTTACACAAGTCAATAAATGTGATATGCCACATAAACAGGAGTAAAAACAAAAATCATGTGATTATCTCAATAGATGCAGAAAAAACATTTAACAAAATCCAGCAACGCTTTATGATTAAAACCCTCAGCAAAGTTGTAGCCAGAGCAATCAGACAAGAGAAAGAAATAAAGGGCATCCAAATCGGTAAAGAGGATGTCAAACTGTCCCTGTTTGCCAATGATATAACTGTATACCTAAAAAACCTTAAAGACTCATCCAAAAAGCTCCCAGATCTGATAAATGAAGTTAGTAAAGTTTCAGGATACAAAATCAACGTACACAAATCAGTAGCACTGCTACACACCAACAGTGACCAAGCTGAGAATCAAATCAAGAACTCATTCCCTTTTACCACAGCTGCAAAAAAAAATTAAAATACTTAGCAATATACCTAACCAAGGAGGAAAAGATACCTACAAGGAAAACAATAAAACACTGCTGAAAGAAATCATAGATGACACAAACAAATGGAAACAAATCTGATATGGTTTGGCTCTATGTCCCCATCCAAATCTCATCTTGAATTGTAATCCCCACTCATAAAGGGAGGAAGGTGATTGGATCACAGGGGCAGTTTTCCCTCTGATATTCTCATGACAGTGAGTTCTCATGAGATCTGATGGTTTTATAAGTGTTTGGAAGTTCCTCCTACCCCCTTCTCTCTCCTGCCACCATGTGAAAAATGTCCTTGCTTCCCCTTCACCTTCCACCATGATTGTAAGTTTCTTGAGGCCTCTCCAGCCATGTGGAACTGTGAGTCAATTAAACTGCTTCCTTTATAAATTACCCAGTCTCAGATATTTCTTTATAGCAGTGTGACAATGGACTAATACAGTAAATTGGTACCAGGAGTTTGGGGCATGGCTACAAAGATACTTGAAAATGTGGAAGAGACTTTGGAACTAGGTAATGGGGAGAGGTTAGAACAGTTTGGAGGGCTAAGAAGACAGGAAGATGTCAGAAAGTTTGGAACTTCCTAGAGACTTGTTGAATGGTTTTGACCAAAATGCCGATAGTGATGTGGACAGTGAAGTCCAGGCTAAGGTAGTCTCAGATAGAGATGAGGAACTTGTGGGGAAGTGGATCAAAGGTCACCTTGCTATGCTTTAGCAAAGAGACTGGTAGCATTTTGCCCCTGCCCTAGAGATCTGTGGAACTTTCAACTTGAGAGAGATGATCTGAAATTGGAACTTATATTTAAAAGGGGAGGGTAGCAGAGCATAAGAGTTTGGAAAATTCACAGTCTGTGCTACAGAAAAGAAATTCAACGCTGCTGTAGAAATTTGCATAAGTAACCAGGAGCCAAATGTTAATTGCCAAAGCAATGGGGAAAACTGTCTCCAGGGCATGTCAGAGATCCTGGTAGCAGCCCTTCTCATCACGGCCCGGAGGCCTAGGAGGAAAAAAATGGCTTCGCGGGTCAGGCTCAGGGCCCCACTGCTGTGTGTAGCCTCAGGATTTGGTGCCCTGCATTCTGGCCACTCGCAATCCAGCTGTGGCTAAAAGGGCCAAGGTACAACTTGGGCTATTGCTTCAGAAGGTGCAAGCCCCAAGCCTTGGTGGCTTCCATGTGGTATTGGGCCTGTGGGTACACAAAAGTCAAGAACTGAGATTTGGTAACCTCCACCTAGATTTCAGAGGATGTAAGAAAATGCCTGGATATCCAGACAGAAGTCTGCACAGGGGTGGATCCCTCATGCAGAACCTCTGCTAGAGCAGCACAGATGGGTAATGTGAAATTGGAGATTCCACAGAGTCCCCACAGGGGCACTGCCTAGTGGAGCTGTGAGAAGAGGGCCACTGTCCTCCAGACCCCAGAATGATAGATCCACCAACAGCTTACACTTTGCACCTGGAAAAGCCCCATCACTCAACTTCAGCCCATGAAGAAGCTGCCCAAGGCCATGGGAGCCCACCTCTTGCATCAGTGTGATCTGGATGTGAGACATGGAGTCAAAGAAGATCATTTTGAACCTTTAAGATTTAATGCCTGCCCTGCTGGATTTCAGACTTACAAGGAGACTGCAGACCATTTGTTTTGGCCAATTTCTCCCATTTAAAATGGGTATATTTACCCAATTATTGTACCCCATTATATCTTGGAAGGAACTAACTTGTTTTTTCTTTGACAGGCTCCTAGGTGGAAGGGACTTGCCTTGTCTCAGATGAGACTTTGGACTGTGGACTTTTGAGTTAATGCTGAAATGAGTTAAGATTCTGGGGACTTTGTTGGGAGGAGCCAAGATGGCCGAATAGGAACAGCTCCGGTCTACAGCTCCCAGCCTGAGCGACGCAGAAGACGGGTGATTTCTGCATTTTCATCTGAGGTACTGGGTTCATCTCACTAGGGAGTGCCAGACAGTGGGTGCAGGTCAGTGGGTGCACGCACCGTGCGCGAGCCGAAGCAGGGCGAGGCATTGCCTCACTCGGGAAGCACAAGGGGTCAGGGAGTTCCCTTTCCTAATCAAAGAAAGGGGTGACGGACGGCACCTGGAGAATCGGGTCATTCCCACCCGAATACTGCGCTTTTCCGATGGGCTTAAAAAACGGCGCACCACGAGATTATATCCTGCACCTGGCTCGGAGGGTCCTACCCCATGGAGTCTCGCTGATTGCTAGCACAGCAGTCTGAGATCAAACTGCAAGGCGGCAGCGAGGCTGGGGGAGGGGCGCCCACCATTGCCCAGCTTGCTTAGGTAAACAAAGCAGCTGGGAAGCTCGAACTGGGTGGAGCCCACCACAGCTCAAGGAGGCCTGCCTGCCTCTGTAGGCTCCACCTCTGGGGGCAGGGCACAGACAAACAAAAAGACAGCAGTAACCTCTGCAGACTTAAATGTCCCTGTCTGACAGCTTTGAAGAGAATAGTGGTTCTCCCAGCACGCAGCTGGAGATCTGAGAACGGGCAGACTGCCTCCTCAAGTGGGTCCCTGACCCCTGACCCCCGAGCAGCCTAACTGGGAGGCACCCCCCAGCAGGGGCACACTGACACCTCACACTGCAGGGTACTCCAACAGACCTGCAGCTGAGGGTCCTGTCTGTTAGAAGGAAAACTAACAAACAGAAAGGACATCCACACCAAAAACCCATCTGTACATCACCATCATCAAAGACCAAAAGTAGATAAAACCACAAAGATGGGGAAAAAACAGAACAGAAAAACTGGAAACTCTAAAAATCAGAGCGCCTCTCCTCCTCCAAAGGAACGCAGCTCCTCACCAGCAACGGAACAAAGCTGGACGGAGAATGACTTTGACGAGCTGAGAGAAGAAGGCTTCAGACGATCAAATTACTCTGAGCTACGGGAGGACATTCAAACCAAAGGCAAAGAAGTTGAAAACTTTGAAAAAAATTTAGAAGAATGTATAACTAGAATAACCAATACAGAGAAGTGCTTAAAGGAGCTGATGGAGCTGAAAACCAAGGCTCGAGAACTACACGAAGAATGCAGAAGCCTCAGGAGCTGATGTGATCAACTGGAAGAAAGAGTATCAGCAATGGAAGATGAAATGAATGAAATGAAGCAAGAAGGAAAATTTAGAGAAAAAAGAATAAAAAGAAACGAGCAAAGCCTCCAAGAAATATGGGACTATGTGAAAAGACCAAATCTACGTCTGATTGGTGTACCTGAAAGTGATGGGGAGAATGGAACCAAGTTGGAAAACACTCTGCAGGATATTATCCAGGAGAATTTCCCCAATCTAGCAAGGCAGGCCAACATTCAGATTCAGGAAATACGGAGAACGCCACAAAGATATTCCTCGAGAAGAGCAACTCCAAGACACATAATTGTCAGATTCACTAAAGTTGAAATGAAGGAAAAAATTTTAAGGGCAGCCAGAGAGAAAGGTCGGGTTACCCTCAAAGGGAAGCCCATCAGACTAACAGCGGATCTCTTGGCAGAAACCCTACAAGCCAGAAGAGAGTGGGGGCCAATATTTAACATTCTTAAAGAAAAGAATTTTCAACCCAGAATTTCATATCCAGCCAAACTAAGCTTCATAAGTGAAGGAGAAATAAAATACTTTACAGACAAGCAAATGCTGAGAGATTTTGTCACCACCAGGCCTGCCCTAAAAGAGCTCCTGAAGGAAGCGCTAAACATGGAAAGGAAAAACTGGTACCAGCCGCTGCAAAATCATGCCAAAATGTAACGATCATCAAGTCTAGGAAGAAACTGCATCAAGTAACGAGCAAAATCACCAGCTAACATCATAATGACAGGATCAAATTCACACATAACACTATTAACTTTAAATGTAAATGGACTAAATGCTCCAATTAAAAGACACAGACTGGCAAATTGGATAAAGAGTCAAGACCCATCAGTGTGCTGTATTCAGGAAACCCATCTCACATGCAGAGACACACATAGGCTCAAAATAAAAGGATGGAGGAAGACCTACCAAGCAAACGGAAAACAAAAAAAGGCAGGGGTTGCAATCCTAGTCTCTGATAAAACAGACTTTAAACCAACAAAGATCAAAAGAGACAAAGAAGGCCATTACATAATGGTAAAGGGATCAATTCAACAAGAAGAGCTAACTATCCTAAATATATATGCACCCAATACAGGAGCACCCAGATTCATAAAGCAAGTCCTGAGTGACCTACAAAGAGACTTAGACTCCCACACATTAATAATGGGAGACTTTAACACCCCACTGTAAACATTAGACAGATCAACGAGACAGAAAGTCAACAAGGATACCCAGGAATTGAACTCAGCTCTGCACCAAGCGGACCTAATAGACATCTACAGAACTCTCCACCCCAAATCAACAGAATATACATTCTTTTCAGCACCACACCACACCTATTCCAAAATTGACCACATAGTTGGAAGTAAAGCACTCCTCAGCAAATGTAAAAGAACAGAAATTATAACAAACTATCTCTCAGACCACAGTGCAATCAAACTAGAACTCAGGATTAAGAATCTCACTCAAAACCGCTCAACTACATGGAAACTGAACAACCGGCTCCTGAATGACTACTGGGTACATAACGAAATGAAGGCAGAAATAAAGATGTTCTTTGAAACCAACGAGAACAAAGACACAACATACCAGCATCTCTGGGACACATTCAAAGCAGTGTGTAGAGGGAAATTTATAGCACTAAATGCCCACAAGAGAAAGCAGGAAAGATCCAAAATTGACACCCTAACATCACAATTAAAAGAACTAGAAAAGCAAGAGCAAACACATTCAAAAGCTAGCAGAAGGCAAGAAATAACTAAAATCAGAGCAGAACTGAAGGAAATAGAGACACAAAAAACCCTTCAAAAAATTAATGAATCCAGGAGCTGGTTTTTTGAAAGGATCAACAAAATTGATAGACCACTAGCAAGACTAATAAAGAAGAAAAGAGAGAAGAATCAAATAGACGCAATAAAAAATGATAAAAGGGGATATCACCACCAATCCCACAGAAATACAAACTACCGTCAGAGAATACTACAAACACCTCTACGCAAATAAACTAGAAAATCTAGAAGAAATGGATAAATTCCTTGACACATACACTCTCCCAAGACTAAACCAGGAAGAAGTTGAATCTCTGAATAGACCAATAACAGGAGCTGAAATTGTGGCAATAATCAATAGCTTACCAACCAAAAAGAGTCCAGGACCAGATGGATTCACAGCCGAATTCTACCACAGGTACAAGGAGGAACTGGTACCATTACTTCTGAAACTATTCCAATCAATAGAAAAAGAGGGAATCCTCCCTAACTCATTTTATGAGGCCAGCATCATTCTGATACCAAAGCCAGGCAGAGACACAACCAAAGAAGAGAATTTTAGACCAATATCCTTGATGAACATTGATGCAAAAATCCTCAATAAAATACTGGCAAACCAAATCCAGCAGGACATCAAAAAGCTTATCCACCATGATCAACTGGGCTTCATCCCTGGGATGCAAGGCTGGTTCAATATATGCAAATCAATAAATGTAATCCAGCATATAAACAGAGCCACAGACAAAAACCACATGATTATCTCAATAGATGCAGAAAAGGCCTTTGACAAAATTCAACAACCTTCATGCTAAAAACTCTCAATAAATTAGGTATTGATGGGACATATTTCAAAATAATAAGAGCTATCTATGACAAACCCACAGCCAATATCATACTGAATGGGCAAAAACTGGAAGCATTCCCTTTGAAAACTGGCACAAGACAGGGATGCCCTCTCTCACCACTCCTATTCAACATAGTGTTGGAAGTTCTGGCCAGGGCAATTAGGCAGGAGAAGGAAATAAAGGGTATTCAATTAGGAAAAGAGGAAGTCAAATTGTCCCTGTTTGCAGATGACATGATTGTATATCTAGAAAACCCCATTGTCTCAGCCCAAAATCTCCTTAAGCTCATAAGCAACTTCAGCAAAGTCTCAGGATACAAAATCAATGTGCAAAAATCACAAGCATTCCTACACACCAACAACAGAAAAACAGAGAGCCAAATCATGAGTGAACTCCCATTCACAATTGCTTCAAAGAGAATAAAATACCTAGGAATCCAACTTACAAGGGATGTGAAGGACCTCTTCAAGGAGAACTACAAACCACTGCTCAACGAAATAAAAGAGGATACAAACAAATGGAAGAACATTCCATGCTCATGGGTAGGAAGAATCAATATCGTGAAAATGGCCATACTGCCCAAGGTAATTTACAGATTCAATGCCACCCCCATCAGGCTACCAATGCCTTTCTTCACAGAATTGGAAAAAACTACTTTAAAGTTCATATGGAACCAAAAAAGAGCCCGCATTGCCAAGTCAATCCTAAGCCAAAAGAACAAAGCTGGAGGCATCACACTACCTGACTTCAAACTATACTACAAGGCTACAGTAACCAAAACAGCATGGTACTGGTACCAAAACAGAGATATAGATCAATGGAACAGAACAGAGCCCTCAGAAATAACGCCACATATCTACAACTATCTGATCTTTGACAAACCTGAGAAAAACAAGCAATGGGGAAAGGATTCTCTATTTAATAAATGGTGCTGGGAAAACTGGCTAGCCATATGTAGAAAGCTGAAACTGGATCCCTTCCTTACACCTTATACAAAAATCAATTCAAGATGGATTAAAGACTTAAATGTTAGACCTAAAACCATAAAAACCCTAGAAGAAAACCTAGGCATTACCATTCAGGACATAGGCATGGGCAAGGACTTCATGTCTAAACCACCAAAAGCAATGGCAACAAAAGCCAAAATTGACAAATGGGATCTAATTAAACTAAAGAGCTTCTGCACAGCAAAAGAAACTACCATCAGAGTGAACAGGCAACCTACAAAATGGGAGAAAATTTTCACAACCTACTCATCTGACAAAGGGCTAATATCCAGAATCTACAATGAACTCAAACAAATTTACAAGAAAAAAACAAACAACCCCATCAAAAAGTGGGCGAAGGACATGAACAGACACGTCTCAAAAGAAGACATTTATACAGGCAAAAAACACATGAAAAAATGCTCACCATCACTGGCCATCAGAGAAATGCAAATCAAAACCACAATGAGATACCACCTCACACCAGTTAGAATGGCAATCATTAAAAAGTCAGGAAACAACAGGTGCTGGAGAGGATGTGGAGAAATAGGAACACTTTTACACTGTTGTTGGGACTGTAAACTAGTTCAACCATTGTGGAAGTCAGTGTGGCGATTCCTCAGGATCTAGAACTAGAAATACCATTTGACCCAGCCATCCCATTACTGGGTATATACCCAAAGGACTATAAATCATGCTGCTATAAAGACACATGCACACGTATGTTTATTGCGGCATTATTCACAATAGCAAAGACTTGGAACCAACCCAAATGTCCAACAATGATAGACTGGATTAAGAAAATGTGGCACATATACACCATGGAATACTATGCAGCCATAAAAAATGATGAGTTCATGTCCTTTGTAGGGACATGGATGAAATTGGAAATCATCATTCTCAGTAAACTATCACAAGAACAAAAAACCAAACACCGCATATTCTCACTCATAGGTGGGAATTGAACAATGAGATCACATGGACACAGGAAGGGGAACATCACACTCTGGGGACTGTTGTGGGTGGGGGGAGGGGGGAGGGATAGCATTGGGAGATATACCTAATGCTAGATGATGAGTTAGTGGGTGCAGCACACCAGCATGGCACATGTATACGTATGTAACTAACCTGCACAATGTGCACATGTACCCTAAAACTTAAAGTATAATAATAAAAAAATTTAAAAAAATTGATTTTGGGGTACTGTTGAGAAGGCATGATTGGTTTTGAAATGTTAAAAGACATGAGATTTGGGAGGGGCCAGGGGCAGAATAATATGGTGTGGCTCTGTATCCCCATCCAAATCTCATCTCAAGTTGTGATCCCTAGATATCAAGGGAGGGAGGTGATTGGATCATGGGGACAGTTTCCTCCATGCTGTTTGCATGATAGTGAGTAAGTTCTTATGAGATCTGATGGTTTTATAAATGTTTGGAAGTTCCTCCTTTGCCCTTCTCTCTCTTGCCACCATGTGAAGAAGGTCCTCATTTCCCTTTGCCTTCCACCATAATTGTAAGTTTCCTGAGGCTTCCCCGGCCATTTAAAACTGTGAGTCAATTGAACCTCTTTCCTTTATAAATTACCCAGTCTCAGGTATTTCTTTATAGCAGTGTGAAAACAGGCTAACACAACAATACAAATGGACTAATGCTCATGGATGGCTAGAATCAATATTGTGAAAATGACCATGCTGTTAAAAGAAATATACAAATTCAGTGCAATTCCCATCAAAATGCCGTCATCATTATTCACAGAACTAGGAAAAAATGATCCTAAAATCCGTATGGAAACAAAAAAACAGCCCACTTAGCCAAAGCAAGACTAAGCAAAAAGAAAAATCTGAAGGCATCACATTACCCAACTTCAAACTATAATACAAGGCTACTGTTACCAAAACAGCATGGCACTGGTATTAAAGCAGGCACACAGACCAATGGAACAGAATAAAGAACCCAGAAATAAAGCCAAATACTTACAGCCAACTGATCTTCGACAAAGCAAACAAAAACAAAGTGGGGAAAGGACACCCTATTCAACAAATGGTGCTGGGATAACTGGCCAGCCACATGTAAAAACATGAAAATGGATCCTTATCTCTCACCTTATACAAAAATCAACTGAAGATGGATCAAAGACTTAAATCTAAGACATGAAACCATAAAAATCCTAGAAGGTAACATTGGAAAAACCCTTCTAGATATTGCGGTAAGCAAAGAATTCATGACCAAGAACCCAAAAGTAAATGCAACTAAAACAAAGATAAATAGATGGGACCTAATTTAAAAAGCTTCTGCACAGCAAAAGAAATACCCAGAAAAGTAAAGAGACAATCCACAAAGTGAGAGAGAATATTTGCAAACCACGCATCTGACGAAGGACTAATATCCAGAATTCTACAAGGAACTCAAACAAATCAGCAACAAAAACCAAATAATCTCATCAAAAAGTGGGCTAAGGACATGAATGGAAATTTTTCAAAAGAAGATATACAAATGGCCAACAAACATGAGAAAATGCTCATCATTACTAATTATCAGGGAAATGCAAATCAAAACCACAATGTAATACCACCTTACTCCTGCAAGAATGACCATAATTTAAAAATTGAAAAATAATCGATGCTGGCATAGATGTGGTGAAAAGGGAACACTTTACACTGCTGGTGGGAATGTAAACTAGTAAAACCACTATGGAAAACAATATGGAGTTTCCTTAAAGAACTAAAAGTAGAACCACAATTTGATCCAGCAACCCTACTACTGGGTATTTACCCAGAGGAAAAGAAGTCATTATATAAAAAAGACACTTGTGCACATATGTTTATAGCAGCACAATTCACAATTGCAAAAATATGGAACCAGCCTAAATGCTCATCAGCCAATGCGTGGATAAAGAAAATATGATGTGGGTATACAAACACACAAACACCATGGAATACTACTCAGCCATTAAAAGGAACTAAATAATGGCATTTGCAACAATCTGGATAGAGTTGGAGACCATTATTTTTAGGGAAGTAATTCAGGAATGGAAAACAAACATTGTATGTTCTCTCTTATAAGTGGAAACTAAGCTATGGGGATATAAAGACATAAGAATGACATAATGGACTCTGGAGACTTGCAGAAAAGGGTGGAGGGGAGTTGAGAGATAAAAGATTATCAACTGGGTGCAGTGTACACTGCTCGGGTGATGAGTACACCAAAATCTCAGAAATCACACCTAAAGAACTTACCCATGTACCTAAACACCACCTGTTTCCCAAAAACTATTGAAGTGATAATAATAATAATAACGAAGGAGAGGAAAATCAGTATGTTTAAGATATATCTGCATTCCCATTTTTATTGCAGCACTATTCACAGTAGCCAAGTTATGGAATCAACTTAAGTGTTCATCAATTAATGAATGGATAAAGAAAATGGTGTGTGTGTGTGTGTGTGTGTGTGTGTGTGTGTAATGGAATATTATTCAGCCATAAAAAAGAAGGAAATTATGTTATTTGCAGCAACATGGATGAGCCTGAAGGACATTATGTTAAGTAAAATAAGCCAGGCATAAAAAGACAAATACTGCATGTTCTCACTCATATGTGGGAATTTTTTAAGTTGATCTCATAGAAGTAAAGAGTAGAATAGTAGTTACCAAAAGCAGGGACGGGTAGGATAAAGAAGGGGATAGGGAGAGGTTGGTTAATGGGTACAAAATTACAGGTATATAGGAGGAATAAGGTCTAGTATTCTGTAGCACAATAGGGTGACTATGGTTAACAATAATTTATTAAATATTTCAAAATAGCTAGAAAAGAGGATTTTAAACATCCTCAACACAAAGAAATGATAAATATTTGAGGTGATGAATATGCTATATAATTACACTGATTTGATCATTACACTGATTTTATTATTACATATTGTATGCATGTATCAAAGTATCACATTGTACACCATAAATATGTACAATTACTGTATCTGTTCAAAATTAAAAAGGAATAACTGTAAATCAAAGCTCATTATTATGAAATATACAATAATTTTAAGGTCAGGCATGGTGGCTCATACCTGGAATCTCAGCAATTTCAGAGGCCGAGGCAGGTGGATCGCTTGAGCTCAGGAGTTTCAGACCAGCCTGGGCAACATGGCAAAACCCCATCTCTACTGAAAATATCAAAAATTAGCTGGATGTGGTGGCACATGCCTGTGGTCCCAGCTACTCCGGAGGCTGAGGTAGCAGGATCGCTTGAGGCTTGAGCCCAGGAGATGGAGGTTGCAGTGAGCTGAGATTGTGTCACTGCACTCCAGCCTGGGTGACACAGTGAGAACGTGTCTCAAAAAAACCAAAACAACAAAAAAAAGAATTTTAATGACACTAGAATTTGGTTGGATCAAGGAAGTGCCTGGGTCTTAGAAATCTTTTTATAACATGAAGACTTTCTTCATCATTATCAGTGCCACCAATAGTATGTGCACTGAGCAAGTTTTTTATGGAAGAGCCTGAATGGGGGCGATCACATCCAAGGCCCCAGGGACACTCTGTAAATTATTTTGAAAGATTTCTGTACTTCTGGATCATCCACATCGTGGGTCATTGTTCTCTAAGCTACCTTCAATCCTTTAGAAATAGACAGACAAGCATGAAGGCTCATTCTGTAAAGATATCAGCATAGAGTGTCAAATCTCATTAGCCTCTAGGAGTTAGCATCAAATTGGATTCCTGCATCAATCATCGTTATTGCTAAAAAACAAACAAACAAAACAAACAAACAAACAAAAAACTTACTATGTCACAGTAGAGTTGGAAAGCTAGTCTTTTTTCTATGTTATACACATCATATATATAAAGGAATGCGTAACATGCATAGGTAACAGTTCAAAATAACAATAATTAATGTATGTTAATATCCTGGGTACTTGAACTTGAACAAGAATAATTTAATAACAATGGGCTATAATCACTCTCACTGATAAAAACAGACACAAACATCACTAAAATATTAGCAAACCAAACCCAGCAATGTATTAGAAAGTCATTGCCAAGTGTACTTTTTCCTTAAGATACCAAATATATAGCTCAGTTATAGACAATCTAGTAATGTAATACATCATATTAATAGCTTATGGGAAAAAATATGATAAACAAATACAGAAAAAGCGTTCAGTAAGAAATAAATTTAGTCATGATAAAAATTTTGGCAAAATAGGAAAAGAACTACTTTAGCCTGATAAAATAAATCAATCAAAAACCTACAATAAACATCATTCTTATTTTTGAAACTTCAGAAGCATTCCACTCAAGTTGGTAATAAAGAAGAATGTCTTCCATCAGTGCTCCATTCCTCATTATATAGGAAAGATTAACAAATGCAGTAAGACAAAAATTAACAGAAATAAAAATGAAAAAGAAAGGTACAAAACTATCATTATTAGAAGATGACATGGAAATCAGAACCTAATTGACAGGCTCCTGAACCCCAGAACATGAAACCAGACTCACTGAAACTGGTAGGGAGATTTCCAGCACCGTCTCCACAGACACCTGGCCCACAGTGCAGTGCCATACAATCAGGAAGAGAGCCCCTCACTCTCAGCTTCACTCAGGGAAGAGAAGGGGCTGGTTTGTGTGTCTAGCACCCCAACCTTTCCAAGAGAGCTCCCTAGAGGACTGGCTTCTGTCTTCTCAGTCTTAGAGCTCTGATGGGCCTGGCACAGTGAAGCCACTCGCAAGAGAATGGAGGTAGCATCTTGAGCTCCCCAGTGCTCATCACACCATAAGCAGATAGAAAACATAGTTGCCTGATTATCCTAAGGGACGAAAGAGTTGGTAGTGACCCCCTGAATCTCTGGCCAATCTGATTGGTAGGGGTCTTCTTTTATGAGGCCAGTCGGTGAAGACTAGGAGAGTTGCTTGCTTTGTCTAATGCATAGACACAGGCTGGGCACAGTGGCTCATGTCTGTAATCCCAGCACTTTGGGAGACCAAGGTGGGTGGATCACCTGAGGTCAGGAGTTCGAGACCAGCCTGGCCAACATGGTGAAATCCCATCTCTAAAAATACAAAAAAATTAGCCTGGTGTAGTGGTGCACACCAGCTGTAAACCCAGCTACTCGGGAGGCTGAGGCATGAGAATCGCTTGAAACCTCAGGGCAAAGGTTGCAGTAAGCCGAGATCGTGCCACTGTACTCCAGCCTGGGTGACAGAGCAAGATGTCTTGAAACAAAGAAACAAACAAGTAATGCACAGACACCAACACAGACACTTGAGGAAAATGAAGAATCAGGCAAAGATGTTCCAAACAAAAGAACAAGATAAATTTCCAGCAACTGACCCTAATGAAACAGAGTAATATGGTTTACCTGACAGAGAGTTTAAAATAACTCTATAAAGACAGTCACCAAAGTCAAGAGAACAGTGCATGAACAAAATGAATAGTTCGACAAGGAAATAGAAAATGTTAAAAGTACCAGATAGAAATCATGGAGGTGAAGGACACAGTAACTGAACTAAAAAATTTATTATAAGAGAGGTTCAACAGCAGACTAGATCAGCAAAAGAAAAGATAAGCAAACTTGAAGACAGGTCACTGGAAATAATTCAGTCAGAGGAGCAAAAAGAAGTAAAAATTTAAAACAGTGAAGTAAGCCTAGGGGAATTATGAGACATCATCAAGTGGACCAATATATACATTATGGGAGTCTAAAACTTTGAAAAGAGTGAGAAAAGAAAAGAAAGCTTATTCAAAGAAAGAATGGCTGAAAACTTCCCAAATCCAGGAAGAAAATGGACATCCAAATTCAAAAAGCCCAACAGATACCAAATAAGATAAATCTGAAAAAATCCACGCCAAGACACATATAATCAGATTGCCAAAAGTCAAAAGGAAGGAAAAAGGCAAGGGAAAACTGACTTGTCATATACAAGGGAACCCTCATAATACAATCAGTGGATTTTTTTCAGCAGAAATTTTGTAGGCCAGACAAAGTAGAATGATATATTCAAACTATTAAAAGAAACAAACCTGCCAACAAGAATACCATACCAAGAAAAAGCTGAGAAAATTTATCACTACTAGACCTGATTTATAAAAAATGCAAAAGAAAGTTCCTCAAGTGGAAACTATAGGACACTAAACAACAACACAATAGCATAAGAAAGCATGAAATTTGCTATAAAGTAAATATGTAGACAAATAAATAATATTATGTTACTATTGGTAGTGGGTAACTCATTTTTAATCCTAGCATAAAGGTCAAAAGACAAAAATATTTAAAATAGCTACAAAAATATGTCAAAAATAAGTCAAAAGACAAAAGTATTAAAGAATAACTACAAAAATAGGTTAAAATATATGCAGTCCACAATGGCTAATGCTTGTAATTCCAGCTACTAGGGGGCTGGGGCAGAAGGATTTCTTGAGGCCAGGAGTTTGAAACCAGCTTGGGAAACATGGCGAGATCTCATCTTTTTTTTTTTTTTTTTTCAACTTTTAAGTTCCGTGGTACAAGTGCAGGTTTATTACATAGGTAAACTTGCGTTATGGGGGTTTGTTATACAGATTATTTCATCACCCAGGTATTAAGCCTAATACTCATTAGTTATTTTTCCTGATCCTCCCCATCCTCCCACCCTCCACCCTCCTGTAGGTCTCAGTGTCTATTGTTCCCCTCTATGTGTTCATGTGTTCTCATCATTTAGCTCCCATTTATAAGTGAGAACATGTGGTATTTGGTTTTCTGTTCCTATGTTGGTTTGCTAAGGCTAATGGCCTCCAGCTTCATCTATGTCCCTGAAAAAGACATTATCTCATTCTTTTTTATGACTGCATAGTATTCCATGGTGTATATGTACCACATTTTCTTTATCCAGTCTATTATTGATGGGCATTTAAGTTGATTCCATGTCCTTGCTATTGTGAATTGTGTCACAAATGTACGTATGCATGCATGTGTTTTTATAATAGAATAATTTATATTTCTTTGGGTATATACCCAGTAATGGGATTACTGGGTCAAATGGTATTTCTGTCTTTAGGTGTTTGAGGAATCACCAGACTATCTTCCACAATGGCTAAACTAATTTACAGTCCCACCAACGGTGTATAAGCATTCCTTTTTCTCCACAACCTCATCAGCAACTGTTATTTTTTTACTTTTTAATAATACTCATTCTGACTGGTGTTAGATGATATCTCATTGTGGTTTTGATTTGCATTTCTCTAATGATCAGTGATGTTGAGCTTTTTTTCATATGATTGTTGGCTGCATATATGTCTTCTTTTGAAAAGTGTTTGCTCATGTTCTTTGCCTACTTTTTATGGGGTTGTTTCTTGTAAATTTGTTTAAGTTCCTTATAGATGCTGGATATTAGACCTTTGTCAGATGCATAGTTTGCAAAAATTTTCTCCCATTCTATAGGCTGTCTGTTTACTCTGTTGATCATTCCTTTTGCTGTGCAGAAGCTCTCTAGTTTAATTATATCCCATTTGTCAATTTTTGCTTTTGTTGCAATTGCTTTTGCTGTCTTCACTATGAAACCTTTGCCCTTACTTATGTCCTGAATGGTATTGCCTAGATTGGAGAGAACTCATCTTTTTAAAAGTTTTAAAAATTTAGTTGGGCATGGGCCAGGCACAGTGGCTCACACCTATAATCCCCATACTTTGGGAGGCCGAGACAGGCAGATCACCTGAGGTTAGGAGTTCAGGACCAGCCTGGCCAACGTGGTGAAACCCCATCTCTACTAAAAATACAAAAATTAGCTGGGTGTGGTGGCATGCACTTGTTATCCCAGCTACCCGGAAAGCTGAGGAAGAAGAATCTCTTGAACCCAGGAGGCAGAGGTTGCAGTGAGCTGGGATCATGCCACTGCACTCCAGCCTGGGTGACAGAGCGAGACCCCATCTCAAAAAAAAAAAAAATTTAGCTGGGCATGGCAGCACATATCAGTAGTCCCAGCTACTCGGTAGGGTAAGGCAGGAGGATCACTTGAACCCAGGAGTTCAAAACTGTAATGAGCTATGATCATGTCACTGCACTCCAGCCTGGGCAACAGAGTGAGACCACATCTCTTAAAATATATACATATGTGTTAAAAGATACAAATATGGGCCAGGGGTGGTGGCTCATGCCCATAATTCCAACACTTTGGGAGGCCAAGGAGGATGGATTGCTTAAGTTCAGGAGTTCAAGACCAACCTGAGCAACATGGTGAAACCCTGTCTCTAAAAAAAAAAATACAAAAATTAGCCAGGCATGGTGGCATGTGTCTGCTTAGGACTTAGCTTAGGACTTAGCTTAGGACTACTCAGGAGGCTTAGGTGGGATGATTGCTTGAGCCTAGGTGGCAGAGTTTGCAGTGAGTCAAGATCACACCACTGTACTCCAGCCTGGGCAACAGAGCAAGACCCTGTCTCAAAAAAAAAAAAAAAAGATACACATCATGAATAGATGTAAATCCTGACAACCATACGTAAAGTATGGGGAGCAAAGCTTAAAGTGTAGAGTTATGTATGTGATTAAACTTGCTGTCAGCTTAAAATAGACCGTTATAACTCTAAGATATTTTATGTAAGCCTCGAAATAACTACACACCAAAAAAAAAAAGAAAAAACCTATAGAAGTTACACAAAAAGGAAAAGACAAAGGAATTAAAGCCCATTAATATAAAATATCAACAAAACACAAAGACAGCAAGAGGTGAAAAGACAGACAAAAGAACTATAAGACTAACAGAAAACAACTAGCCAAATGGCAATATTAAATCCTTATCAATAATTACTCTAAATATATTTGATTAAACTCTCCAATCAAAAGACTTAGAGTGGCTGAATAAAAAAAAAGAAGCATAAAAAGACATAAAAAAAAACCCAACTGTATGCTGTTTAAAAGAAACTGACATTAGGTTTAAGGATATACATAGACTGAAAGTAAACAGATGGAAAAAGATATTCCATGCAAATGGTAACCAAAAGAGAGTAGGAGTGGCTATAATTATGTCCATTAAAATGGACTTTAAGTCAAAAACTGTCACAAGAGATAAAGAAGGACATTTTATGATGATAAAATGATCAATCCACCAGGAGTATATAACAATTATAAATATATATGCACCCAACATCAGAGCACCTAAATACATAAAGCAAACATTGACAGAACCGAAAGGAGAAATAGACAGCAAAAGAAAAATAAATTCAATAATGGACAGAACATGCAAACTGAAGATCAAGGGAGGACTTGAATCATACTGTAGACCAAATGGACCTAACAAACATACATAAAACGTTTCACCCAACAGCAGAAGAATACACATTCTTCTAAGGCACACACGGATCTTTCTCCAGGATAGATCATGTTAGGTCTTAAAACAAGACTTAAAAAAAAAAAAAAAGACAATGAATTTAAAAAGATTGAAATCATATCAAGTTTCTGACCACAATGAAATGAAACTAGAAATAGTAGCAGCAAGAAAATGGAAAAATTCACAAATATGTGGAAATGAAACAACACACTCTTAAATGACCATTTGATCAAAGAAGAAAATTTTAAAAATTATAAAATACCAAAGACAAATGAAAACATAAAATATCAAAATTTATGGGATATGGCAAAAGCAGTACTAAATAGTAAGCTCATGGCAGTAAGTGTCTACAGTAAAAAAGAAGAAAGATCTCAAACAACCTAATTTTACACCACAAGGAACTAGAAAAAGGAGAACAAAGTAAACCCAAATTTAGCACAAGGAATGAAACAACAAAGATTGCAATGGAAATAAATAAAATTGAAAAATGGAAAACATTAACAAAACTAAGTTGGATTTTTGAAAAACAGAACTGACAAGCTTTTATCTAGACTAAGAAAAATAGAAAACTTGCCGGGCACAGTGGCTCACGCTTGTAATCCCAGCACTTTGGGAGGCCAAGGCAGGCAGATCACGAGGTCAAGAGATCGAGACCATCCTGGCCAACATGGTGAAACCCTCTCTCTACAAAAAGTACAAAAATTAGCTGGGCATGGTGGTGCGCACCTGTAGTCCCAGCTACTCGGGAGGCTGAGGCAGGAGAATCACTTGAACCCAGGAGGCGGAGGTTGCAGTGAGCCGAGATCGTGCCACTGCACTCCAGCCTGGCAACAGAATGAGACTCCGTCTCAAAAACAAACAAACAAAACAAAAAAAAAGAAAAGAAAAATTGAAAACTCAAAATCTGAAATGAAATGAGACACTATAAATAATGCCACAAAAATAAAATATTCTAAGAAATTACTATAAACAACTATATGCCAACAAACTGGATAACCTAGAAGAAATGAATAAATTCCTAGAAACATACTATCTATCGAAACTAAACATGAACAAAATAAAGCCTGAGCAAACCTACAACTAGTATGAAGATTGAATCAGTAATCAAAAACCTCTCAACAAAGAAAAGCCTACATCCAAATGGCTTCACTGCTGAATGCTATCAAATATTTAAAGAAGAATTAATACTAAATCTTCTCAAACTCTACTTAAAAACTAAGAGGAGGGAACATTCCCAAACTCATTTTATGAGGCCAGCATTATCTTGATACTAAAGGCAGGCAAAGACAACTGCAGGCCAATATCCCTGACGAATATAAACACAAACATCCTCAACAAAACTTAATCTAACAGTACATTAAAAGGATCATACACCATGAGAAAGTGAGCTTTATTCCTGGGATGTAAGGATGATTCAACATATGAAAATCAATTAATGTGACATACTACATTAACAGAATAGAGGAGAAAATTACATATTCATCTCAATGGACACAGAAAAAGCATTTGACAAAATTCAGCACCCTCTCATAATAAAAACTTAATAACCTAGGAATAGAACATGTTACCTCAAGATAATAAATGCCATATGAAAAGCCTACAACTAACATTATACTCCATGATGAAAAACTGAAAACTTTTTCTCTTAAGATCAGGAACAAGGCAAAGAAGCCCATTCTTGCCTCCACTATTTGACATAGTACTGGAAGTTCTAGTCAGAGCAATTAGGCAAGAAAAAGAAATAAAAGACATTCAAATTGGAAAAGGGAAGTAAAATTGTCCTTGTTTGATCAAAAAACATGATCTTATATATTCAAAAAATTCTAAATACTCCATTTTAAAAAACTGTTAAACTAATAAATGAATTCAGTAAAGTTGCAGGATACAGGATACACATCAACATGCAAAAATCTATTGCATTTCTATACACTAAAAACAAACTCTCTGAAAAGGAAATAAGAAGACCAATCCCACTTATAATAGCACAAAAAAAAGAGTACAATACCTAGAAATGAACTCATCTAGACCAGGCATGGTGGCACATGCCTGTTGTCCCAGCTACTCAGGAGGCTGAAGCAGGAGGATTGCTTGAGCCCAGGAGTTCAAGGCTGCAGTGAGTTGTGATCATGCCACTCTATTCCAGTTTGGGCAACAGAGTGAGACCCTAAATCTCTTTTAAAAGAACAAAAGAAACTTATCTAAGGAGGTGAAATACTCACATTCTGAAAACTACAAAACATTGATGAAAGAAATAAGACACAAACAAGAAATTAAACAAATGGAAAGGCACTCCATGTTCATGGATTAGAAGAATTAATATTGTTAAAATGTCTATAGAGCCCAAAGCAATCCGCAGATTCAATGCAATCCCTATCAAAATCGCAATGGCATTTTTTTACAGAAATAGAAAGAACGATCCTAAAATTCATATAGACCCACAAAAGATGACAAATAAACTAATTAATCTTGAGAAAGAAGAACAAAGCTGGAGTTGTCACAATTCCTGATTTTAAAATATATCACTATAGCTATAGTAATCAAAGCAGTATGGTACTGGCACAAAGACAGATACACAGACTAATGAAACAGGCTAGAGAGTCCAGATATAAATCCATGCATATATGGTTACATGATCTTTGGAAAGGGTGTCAAGAAAACACAATGGAGAAAAGATAGTCTTTTCAACAAATGGTGTTGGGAAAACTGGATATCCACATGTAAAAGAATAAAATTGGACCCTTATCTTACATCATACAAAAACTTCAACTCAAATGGATTAGAGATTTAAGCACAAGATCCCAAAATGTAAAGCTCCTGGCAGAAAACATAGGGGAAAAACTTCATGACATTGGTCTTGGCAATAACTTTGTGAATATGACACCCAAAGCACAAGTAACAAAAACAAAAATACACAAATGGGACTATATCCAACTAAAAAGCTTCTGCACAGCAAAGGGAACAATTAAAAAAGTGAAAAGGCAACCTGTGGAATGGGAGAAAATATTTTCAAACCATTTATCTGAAAAAGTAGTTAACCTCAAAGATATATAAGGAACTCCTACAACTCAGCAGTAAACAAACAAACAGAAAACCAAATAACCTAATTTAAAAATGGGTTAGTGGCTGGGCGCGATGGCTCACGCCTGTAATCCCAGCACTCTGGGAGGCCGAGGCAGGCAGATCACAAGGTCAGGAAATCGAGACCATCCTGGCTAACACGGTGAAACCCCGTCTCTACTAAAAATACAAAAATTAGCCAGGCGTAGTGGCGGGCGCCTGTAGTCCCAGCTACTGGGAAGGCTGAGGCAGGAGAATGGCGTGAACCTGGAAGGCAGAGCTTGCAGTGAGCCAAGATCGCGCCACTGTACTCCAGCCTGGGCGACAGAGCGAGGCTCTGTCTCTAAAAAAAAAAAAATTAAAAAATTAAAAAAAAAAAATGGGTTCAAGACCTGAATAGGTATTTCTAGGTATTCCTCCAAAGAAGATGTACTAATGGTCAATGGGTATATGGAAAATGTTTAACATCACTAATAATGAGGGAAATGCAAATTGAAATCAAAATGAGATATCACTCTACCCCTGTCAGGATGGCTATTGTCAAAAGAAAACAAACAAAAGACAGTAAGTAAGTGTTGTCGAGAATGTGGAAAAACTTGAGCCCTTGCAACCACTGGTGGGTATGTAAAATTTTTCAGTTAATATGAAAAACAATATTGAGATTTCTTAGAAAATTAAAAATAAAACTATCAAATGATCCAGTGATCCCACTTCTGGGTACTTATCCAAAATAATTTCAACCAGGATACCGAAGAGATATTAGCACTCCCAATGTTCATTGCAGCTCTATTTCCAATAGCCAAGATATGGATACAATCTAAATGTCCATTAAGAGATGAACAAAGTAAATATGGTATACTCATTTAATGGAATACTACTCAATCTTAAAAGAGATTCTGCAATATGTGACAACAGACAATTTAAACAAATGGGATAATAGGGCCAGCGCAGTGGCTTATGCCTGTAATCCCAGCACTTTGGGATGCCAAGGTGGGCAGATCACCTGAGGTCGGGAGTTCGAGACCAGCCTTACCAACACGGAGAAACCCTGTCTCTACTAAAAATACAAAATCAGCCAGTCATGGTGCTGCATGCCTGTAATCCCAGCTACTCGGGAGGCTGAAGCACAAGAATCGCTGAACCCAGGAGGCAGAGGTTGCAGTGAGCCGAGATCACGCCATTGCACTCCAGCCTGGACAACAAGAGTGAAACTCTGTCTCAAAAAAAAAAAAAAACAATGGGATATCAAGACTTATTCTATAACTCTAGTAATAACACTGGCCTCTTGGTTCAAGGAAAAATAAACCACGGGAACAGAACAGAACAGAACAGAACAGAACAGAACAGAACAGAACAGAACACTTACAGCCAAGAAACACAATCGTGAATATATGGAAATGTTATATATCACAAAAGTACAACTGCAAGTTAGTGGAATGGGAAAGGAGGAGGAGTAAGACTCAGGAGAGGTCCACAGGAAATTTCTGCTGTATCTGTAATGTCTTTTACCTTTTTTTAACCCAGCACCACAACTGCTATGTAATGTTTTATGTATGTACGTATGTGTGCTAAAAAAGAAAAAGGAAGAGGAGGAGGAGGACCTAAAGGAAATGTGGCCAAATGTTAAGATTTGCTAAAATTGAATGCTGTAATTGTGTATTATTCTTTATACCCGTGCTGTCCAACACTGTAGCATAGCTACACGTAGCTATTTAAACTAATTAAAATTAAGTAAAATTTAAAATTCAGTTCTAGTGTCCCACTAGCCACATTTCAATAGTCACAAGTGACTGGTGGCCACTAAACTGGACAAGGTATAGTTTGAACATTTTCATCACCACAGAAAGTTCTACTAAACAGAGTGGGCCTATACTTTTCTATTGGTTTGATCATTCATGTCACTCATAACAAAATCAACAAGGATGAATTAAAGCCTGCAGTATACATGATGATGAGTGAAGAAAATAAAAGAAACTTAAGTAAATAGGACATCATCTAATTAATATAAAGTTTATACTTTTTTTTTTTTTCTTTTGAGACATCATCACCCTCTGTTGCCCAAGCTGGAGTGCAGTGGTGCGATCTGGGCTCACTGCAGCCTCCACCTCTGGGGCTCAAGCGATACTCCTGCCTCAGCCTCCCAAGTACCCAAGTAGCTGGGATCACAGGCACGTGCCACCATGCCCAGCTTCTTTTTGTATTTTTAGTAGAGAAGGGGTTTCGTCATGTTGGCCAGTCTGGTCTCGAACTTTTGACCTCAAGTGATCTGCCCACCTCTGCAGTGCTGGGATTACAAGCGTGAGCCACCGCACCTGGCCCCTCTTTACCGTCTGATTGAACTGTCAGATCTTTCTGTCTCCCGAAATTTCCCAAAATCAAGGGGAACAAACTCTTTGTTGTGTTTCCTAGACACTATTTCCCTTACTTTCAGGTTATTTTACCCATTTTTTCCCTTGATACAAGGTCTTGCTCTGTCGCCCAGGCCGGAATGCAATGGCATGATCTCGATTCACTGCAACCTCCACCTCCCGGGTTCAAGTGATTCTTGTGCCTCAGCCTCCTGAGTAGCTGAGATTACAGGCACGTGCTCCCACACCCAGGATAATTTTTTTTTTTTTTTTGTAGAGATGAGGTCTCACTGTATTGCCCAGGCTGATGGGTTATTCTAACACTTGGTAGAGTATTTCATATGAATATAAAAGCTGCTGTTGGGAGCTGCTCTGTGAAAATGAAGCAGTTTTCCCACCTTTGGCTTTGATGACCATGATCCTTTGCCGCAAGTCGATGAAGGGCTGGATCAGGCAGAGCCGGGGTTCCTGCTTCTGACTCAGGCAAACACCATTGTGATTCACAACCATCCAGCTCCGGTCATATAGCAGCCCTTGGTTTCCTACAGGCCACCTGGTCACCTAAACAAAAAGGTAGACGTGTCTCAGGCCAGGGCTCCCCAAAGTTGGTCTTCACCTATTTGTACAGTGGCTACACAAACACAGATAGACTTCATGAATTCAGCACCTACACTGGAAGGAAGAAAGGGAGGAAGAGAAGAAACTAAAACAGAGAGGACAGTGCAAAGAAGATGATGTAGGAGCTGGATATCTCCCATTCAGCCTCCAGGTCCACACTCCACCCTTCTCCACTTCGAGCCATGTTTTAAGTAGGTAATGCCTGACATTCAGAGAGTACAAGAGTCTACAGTGAAAAGCAAGCCTCCTTTCCCAGCTGGCTCCAGCCATTGCTCTTTTTTTGCTGTTTTTTAATTTGTTTGTTTGTTTGTTTGTTTTTAAGATGGAGTCTTGCTCTGTCGCCCAGGCTGGAGTGTAGTGGTGCAATCTCAGCCCATTGCAACCTCTGCCTCCTGGGTTTAAGCTATTCTCCTGCCTCAGCCTCCTGAGTAGCTGGGATTACAGGCACCTGCCACCATGCCCGGCTAAGTTTTGTATTTTTAGTAAAGACAGGGTTTCACCATGTTAGCCAGGCTGGTCTCAAACTCCTGACCTCAAGTGATCCACCTGCCTTTGCCTCCCAAAGTTCTGGGATTACAGGCATGAGCCACCACGCCCACCCCTTTGCTCTTGTATATCCTTCCTTAGCAGTGGTGTCTGTCCAGGTATTTCATAATAGTATAGACATATTTTTCTACTAAAAATACAAAAAATCAGCTGAGAGAATTGCTTGAACCTAGGAAGCGGAGGTTGCAGTGAGCCGAGATCATGTCATTGCACTCCAGCCTGGGCGACAAGAGTGAGACTCTGTGTCAAAAAAAAAAATAAAATAAAATAATAATAATAATAAATAGCCAGGCATGGTGGCTCATTCCTATAATCCCAGCACTTTGGGAGACTGAGGCGGGCAGATCACGAGGTCAGGAGTTCAAGACCATCCTGGCCGACATGGTGAAACCCCATCTCTACTAAAAATACAAAAATTAGCCGGGCTTGATGGCAGGCGCCTGTAGTCCTAGCTGCTCTGGAGGCTGAGGCAGGAGAATCAATTGAACCCAGGAGGCGGAGCTTGCAGTGAGCCAAGATCGTGCCATTGCACTCCAGTCTGGGCGACAGAGCGAGACTTCATCTCAAAAATAAATAAATAAATAAATAAATAAATAAATAAATAAATAAATAAAATAAAATAAAGTGAGTAGAGCTGGGCGCAGTGGCTTATGTCTGTAACGCCAGCACTTTGGGAGGTTGAGGCAGGGGGATCACTTGAGGCAAGGAGTTCAAGACCAGCCTGATCAACATAGCAAGACCCTGTCTCTAAAAAAAATGAAAATTAAAAAGTAGCCAGGCATGGTGGTGTATGCCTGTAGTCTCAGCTACTCAAGAGGCAGAGGCGGGAGGATAGCTTGAGACCAGGAGTTCAAAACTGCAGTGAGCTTTGATGGCAGCACTGTATTCCAGCCTGGGAGACAGAGTGAGATCCCATCTCGAAAAAATAATAATAAGCAAATGAATAAATGGATAAAGTGAGTAGCAAGTAAGAAGTCTTTCAGCACAGAAGAAAGCTCCCTGAGAAACTAGTTTTAAACTGTTTCCCCAAAAAGATGCTGGCTTTTTCGAAGACCCGGAAGATAAGGTACAAATGTTCTTCCTGGTGGTGTGTTTCTCTAAAAGAAAAAAAAAAAGCCATAAAAGGTAAAATTAAATTTGACAGAGTCTGCTGATGGAAAAAATTAAAACCACCAGTTAGGTGGGTATAGGTATCAAAAGCTGACATCACAGAATAACAAGAGGCATTGATTATTTCTAACTTTGCTTGTTTTCCTTCCATCAGGGTCTCTGAAGTGCAGTTTCCCAGCCTACAGCTGACCTGTATAAGAGGTGTAGCCGTCCCACCAGCAGCTCCCTCCTGCTGCTCCTTCCACCATATCTCTGGGTTCACCTACCACAGATGCCAAGCCTTGTCGCCCCATCCTGCTTTTGCAAGATGGTGAGATCCTAAACTAATGGAGATGATGTTCTTTGGGTTGACCGTTCTGGTATAGAAGTTCAGCTGTGGAGCAATAGAAGCAGCTTCATGTAATTGTGAGAAGGGCCCAAGTTCAGAAACAGAGGCCCACATTGAGGAAAGGCTGCAGCATCCTCACAAGATGTCATGGTGGTTCCCTAAGCCATCTGGGGGTTTAGTTGGGAATAAACAGCTGTGGGTTACATTCTGTAAGTTTCATACATCCCCTCCACTTATTTCCTAAGCTACAAGACCAATTCAGTTTTCATCTCGTTTCTTCTTTGAACCTTTATTTTAGCAAGGATGTGCTTTCTCTGAGTACAGAGAGAATTAGTCCAATTTCGTCTCTGCTGGCTTCCTGCTCCTGCCCTTTGCAGGAGCGGTTGTCCACAGGTTAGGTTTTAACAGCACCAGCAAGTGATAGCATGGGTGCAATGTCCCTTCAATGAGGGCTTTTCCTGAGCCAGCTGTCTGCTGAAGAAGGGTGTGGACAAAGGCAAAGGTTCAGAGTTCCAACCACAGAACTAGTCATAGATGTCCCTGCAGTGCACACATAAGGGAGCCCAGCTACCCTCAGTAGTAAAGATGCAAAAAAAAGTAACATTATTTACTGATGCCACAATTTAGAAAAATTAAAATTTAATATTTTTAATATACTTTAAGCTTAAATAAAAGTAGTTACAGTTCACAGAGCTCCCATAAACGTTTCACTCCAATTCTGATTGTTGACTTTTCTAAATCATTTGAGAATAAGTTGCAAAATAATGTCTCATCATCCCCATAATACTCTACTGTACATATTCTAAGTATAAGGACACTCTCTGACATAACCCCAGTACAACCATCAAAATTAGGAATTACCATTGACCTGATATTACAACTAATCAATAGACTCCATTCAGATTCCACCTCTGCTGTCTGCATCGAATATCACGTTGCATACATTTGTCGCGTCTCTCTAGTCTCCTTCAGTCTCCTCTTGTCTTTCACAACCATGATATTTTTGAGAAGTAGAGTCCAGCTACCTTGCTAAATGTCTCTTAAGGTGGGATTATCTGAGCTTCCTTATTATTTCTGCATTTTTGGTAGGAATGCCTCAGGACCAACGCTATGTTCTTCTCTGTACATCCCAGGAGACACACCCCATTCATTTGTCCCAATGTTGGTGATGTCAACTTTTGCCACTTGGTTAACATGGGGTCTATTAGGTTTCTCCATTGTAAAATTCATCAATAAGTAGGCGGTACTTACTAATTAATAAGTATTTTATGGAGAGATATTTTCAGAATATGCAGATATCCTGTTACTTATCAAATTTTCATTCATTAGATTTAGCATCTATTGATGACTATTGCCTAAATCAATTATTGGCATGATGGTTGCAAAATGGTAGTTTTTAAAATTCTATCATTGATTTATTAGTTGGTATTCTATAGTAGGGTTGAGCTTCTTCTCTATTTATTCGCTAATTCATTTTTACTTTCTACTGGACTCATGGATTCCTGTGTTTCTCAAATGCTCACCACTCATCACTATCAGTACTTATTTTGATGTACATATTGCCAAAGACTTGGCCAACGGGAGCTCCTTCAAGCTGGCTCTTGTGTCCTTTTGACATATCTTCAGGTCACCTGGGCAAAGTGCTTAACCTCAAAACCCTCAGGCTCCATATCTATAAAATAGGGATAATATTACTATCTACCTCATATTTCACCATTTTAAGGATCAAATGAAACAAATAAACACATACAATGCTTCAGCACACAGCCAGCACACACATTCAGTGAAAGTTACAGCTATAATTAATAAGAGTAATGACACATTCACCACTCAGAAACAGGGTCCTCTCAGGAGTCCCCGTGAGCAGTCATGTTCAAAAGTCAGCACAGACCAAGAAAGGGAGAGTGAGAATGGCTTTTCTCACCACAACACTCTGATGAATGATTTTGATTTTTTTCATGCTTTTCTTCACTTTATCAAAAAATAGAGAGAGTAAACAAAGAGAAGACTTTCTGTGCTGCTGTGAAATTCCTTACCTCAAATGCAGCACAGGATTTGATTGGATAGAGATAAAGGTTAGTGACAACATGTGGCCCAAGGGCCCCCTCCAGGACTCCTGCAGCTTTCTCTGAAGGAGTCGGCTGGGTTCTGGCGACATCACACACAGGTGGGGCCACAGGCACAGCATTCACAGTAGACGAGTTGTTCCAAACCCTGGAGCCTGTGAGGGCATCTTCCTGAGGCGAGAGGCTACGTCTGCCCATGACAGCAGGTATAACATCAGCCTGGCTGTCTGCTGATGGGGCTCCAGTCTCCCCGGTGTCAGCATGGGCCTGAGGGACAGGCCAGTCCCCTGATGAGTGCAGGCGAGTGTCTATGATGAACCTAAGAAAGGCCTGGACATCATCCAGCGTCGACATGTATCCAAATGAAATCCTCACAGATCCTGTGGGCTGCCCATCTATGAGGTCCATATTGTCCCCACAGACATGACCAGCCTAGGATAAGAGGGAAGTGCATCAGCCAGAGTGACCCCTTTCTCATAGAGACACTGGAAACAGTTCGGCAAAATAAATTTTGTTAATTTTAAAATTAACCCAGGAAAACAGAACTGCAACATTAATATGTGCTGTGCGTCTGGGACATAGTTCAGCTCTCTACCTGCAGGGGACCACTTTCTGGATCTCATTTTGCTCAACTGTAAATTGGGACCAATATCAATCTCAAGGGGCCATTAAAAGTTTAATAGAAATACTTCATGGAAAGCATTTACCTAGAGCCAGGCACAGGGCTGGCTCACAGAGGTGTCAAAACACAGACTAAGGTTTCAGAAGCACCAAGGGGTCAACCTCAAGGTCTACCCGGGGCTGAGATGGGAGAAACATCACTGGTCACTCTCGTTAGCCTCTCATTACTGAGGGGAGGCCTGCATCCCTGAGAGCTGCCCCTTGACAACAGGGAAAGGCAGAGATGCTGCCCCTGCAAATGACCAGCCCCGGGCCACTGTGAAGGCCAAGGTCAGCTTGAGTGCCCCTGCAGGGAGATGGGGAAGAAAGGCAGGAGAATCTCAGTCTCCGAGCCCGGCTGCCTGGTGTTGGTCACAGGTCAGCACAGTGCATGGAGCAGTCCTGGACAAACCTTGGTGCTGGATCCGGGTCAGACACCCGAACAAATGGAGCCACAGCGTTCCATAGGACCAAATATTCTATCTGGAGCTGTGTTTGTGTTCTGAGCCTCCCTCTCCCTCTCTATTTCTTCTCCTCCCTCTCTCCTATCTCCTCCCTCTCCTTCTGTCCTATCCCTCTTTCTTTTTAAACAAAACTCAGTTCATGGTTAGTTGAGATCTAGTATATACAGTATTTCACAGCAACCAAAGGAAAATCAAATTAGAAACTCAAATCAATAAACACTCTTTGCCACTCAAATTATTCCTAATGAAATGGTTCAAAACAGGCTATACCCTGAAGTGAAAAACCTCAGCCCAGGGAAGAGACAGGGAGGGTGGGGATTCTGGGAGACGCAGAATCCCTGGAGCCCTAGAAGAGTTCCACACCGCACCCAACCCAGATGTCAGCTAACTCTAGCTTGGAGGCCGTACCTCAGGAGGGCTGAACCAGGTAAGGGCACATCCTCACACATCCCTTGTTAACACCCCTCCCTTGCCTTTAAATGGTTGGCCTCAAAGTAAAAAATGAATCTGAAAGTCTGCTATAGAGATAATATCTTGAAGCATTTTCTTTTTTTTCTTTTCTTTTTTTTTTTTTTTTTTGAGACTGAGTTTTGCTCTTTTTGCCCAGGCTGGAGTGCAATGGCAGAATCTCAGCTCACCACCACAACCTCGACCTCCCGGGTTCAAGCAGTTCTCCTGCCTCAGCCTCCTGACTAGCTAGGATTACAGGCATGCACCACCACACCTGG
This sequence comes from Homo sapiens, assembly GCF_000001405.40. Lineage (NCBI taxonomy): Eukaryota > Metazoa > Chordata > Mammalia > Primates > Hominidae > Homo > Homo sapiens. The sequence continues at coordinate 36,214,095 of NC_000018.10, read as the reverse complement.
ATAATTTTATATTTTCAGTAGAGAGAGGGTTTCTCCATGTTGGTCAGGCTGGTCATGAACTCCTGACCTCAGGTGACTCGCCCACCTCGGCCTCCCAAAGTGCTGTGATTACAGGCATGAGCCACCGTGCCCGGCTTCTTCTTTTTTTTTTTCTTTGGTTGGAGGGGGATGGAGTCTTGCTCTGTCACCCAGGCACTGGAGTGCAATGGTGCGATCTCGGCTCACTGCAACCTCTGCCTCCTGGGCTCAAACGATTCTCCTGCCTCAGCCTCCCAAGTAGCTAGGATTACAGGCGCATGCCATCATGCCTGGCTAATTTTTGCATCTTTAGTAGAGACAGGGTTTCACCATGTTGGCCAGGCTTGTCTCGAACTCCTGACCTCAGGTGATCCACCTGCCTCGGCCTCCCAAAGTGCTGGGATTACAGGCGTGAGCCACCGCACCCGGCCTTCTTGAAGCATTTTCCATTTGTATTCCTTTTCCTTTGTACATGCACAGAGTAGGCGTGGAGAAATGAGTATGCAGCAGCAGCCCCCACCCCAGACACACAGGCAGCAACAGGTGTTGCTGGGTCTCGCTGACCAGCGTCTGGATCGCAGAGCCCTGTACCAACCTGAAAATGCTTCCTGACCATCTCGTTGCTTATGCCCAGGTGCCTCTGGCAGGCCCCAGTGTTACAGAAGCAGCCAGTTCGCAGGTGGATGTTGTAAAGACTGGCCATTTTGTCCACCTGCGGATTTAATGTAACATGGAATGAGCCATTACCAACGTGCAGTTTTACTCTGAGAGATTCAGATCAGGATTTGGACCTCTCTTTCCTAATAATAAAATGATGATACAAGCCTGGAATTGTCCTCTAAAATGATTTATCACAGGTTAAACGTTGTATAAAATGTTTCAGTGGGGCTGGAGACAGTGGCTTCTTGGCATCAGCTGCACAGGGTTGGACCACAGAGCAGGCCCCGCGAAGTGTTATTCCGAGCAGCCCCGCCTCAGCTCGCAGCCTGGACTCCAAGTGTTACTGTGTCCATGCTGAGTATAATTGATTTGCTTTTCCTACTTTCTCCAACTTTCGGTTTAATCACAGAATTGCTTTTCAGTCCAGAAGTTCCCAAAGCTCTTTCCTGCCCTCTGAAGGCTCTGGGAGGTGGTTCTCATTCACATGAGCCCCTGGGATGTTTGCTCCAGTTCCTCCAGGCTGTGAATCAAGTACTCCATTCCCCAAGGGCCTGGGGGCCCAGTAAGAGTCCTCACCCTGGGGGCTCAGGCTGAATTCAGGAGGAGGAGTCACTGAACTGCATTCAGGAAAATAAACACATCTTGCTCAGCTGAGTGAGCCTTTGAATTTTTCTCCCTGGGAAGTCACATGTGGGGTGGCCAGAGGTCACCGTGTGGTCAGCCAGGGATCTTGGCTGGGCAACGATGCCTCCCACAGACCCTTATCAAGACCACGGCAGTCTTCACTTTGGCCATCTCCTCTGGTGTGTGAGAAGAAGCCATTCTCTGGGTTGAACTGAGGGGCTTCAGATGAACAATTCTGTTCCTTCACCCTTGGCTAATGGCCCACTGGCATGCAGACCTGCTAGTGAATTCAGGAGTTTCCCAGCTCTAAGGTGAGTCCTGGCAGCTCTACTGGGCCTGGCCAACTCCATCTCCAGGTCAGGTTTCCCGTCACAAGGCAACTACTAGGGAGACCCCCGACCCCCGTCCAGCTCCCACCAGGCTGAATTAGAGTCCCCGTGGCTGCCCCTCACCCACTCCCCCATATTCACCATTCCAGTTACTTTTGCTGTGAAGTAGGCCACCCAAACTAGGGAGAATAAAACAACAACCATTTTATGCAGCTCATGGCTACAGTGTGGGAAGAATTTAAACAGGGCATGGAGGAGATGTCTCCTGTCTGTCTCAAAATGTCTGGAGTCTCAGCTAGGAAGACTCAAAGTCTGGGAGTAGTTTGGCATCTGGGGGTTGGGATCATCTGGAGACTCCTTTACTCCTGGGTCTTTCTGGTCCACAGGCTGGAAGGGCTTCAGAATTAGGACCGCCAGCCACAGTCCTGAGCTTGGCGTCTCCATGTGGCTTGGCATCCTTGCAGCACACACAGCAGCCTCAGGGCTCGAGACAGTAGCTGACAGCGTAACTCCAGGCTCCAAAGCTAGTGTCCCAGGGAACAAAGCCAATAGGGCATCATCTCTTCTGATCTAGCCTTAGAAGCCATGCAGTGTCATCCTCCCGGCACTCTGTTAGCTATGAGCGAGTCACAGATCAGCCCAGATTCTAGGGGAAGACCCACAGATCCCCAGCCCTCCATGGAGGAGTGTCAAAGTCTCATGGCAGGAGAGGATGTGAGCAGAAGATGCTGTTGCAGCCACACTTACCCTTTGTCCTAATTTCCCTTTTATGCATCAGTCTCTTCTTGCCCTCAGCCCTGGGGAATCCCACACAGGCCCAGACTGTGCCCAGCCAGGTGAAGGAGGTTGTTTTCTATGGCAGGATGAGCACAGCATTCAGGGAGGACTGAGAAACAGGCCCAGCCACAATGCCCTGGAGGCTCCCAGCCCGGGAGCCTTTGTGCCCAACATTCATTGAGCACTTACTTTCTTCTGGGTCCTGTGCTAAGGGATGTATATATTGTGTCTCATTTAATCCTCATATCAACACTATAATCAGGGTATATTTTTATCCCCATTTCACAGAGTCTTGGAGAACTTAACTTGCCCAAGTTCACAGAGCTGGCAAGAGGCAGACAGACTCTGAGTCCCTGCTCTTAATCACCATGCAGTGACTTCCAACAGTGGGAGAATAAAATTAGAAGCCTGGATATACCAAAACAAGAACACAAAGCCTTCTCATAGGAAGCTAAATTCTTTACACATCCCCTGATGAAAAAGAGACAGCCAAACCCAGCTGATGTTTCCGAAGGCCACCAAAATCCCTGTGGAAATTCCCATATCGTGAAGTTCCCTGAACCTGAAAAAACCGTAACTGCACTTTCTTGAACTGGCACAGTTAGTCATGCCTTAGCCACAGAATCCATTCACACAATGAGCTTCCTCTACCAAGGCACAGAGGGAGAAACTCATCCTGTGTCTAGCCCTGGGGAATGAGAGTCCCCAGACACCCACACAGGCAGCCTCACACCCTGGTGATTCTTCTTCTTGGAGGCTTCTTCTCCACTACCAATCCCATGCCACTGCCACAGCACACACAGTTACTTTTTTTTTTTTTTTTTTTTTTTTTTTTTTGAGACAGAGTCTTGCTCTGTCACCCAGGCTGGAGTGCAGTGGTACAATCTCAGCTCATGGCAACTTCCACCTCTCGGGTTCAAGTGATTCTCCTGCCTCAGCCTTCTGAGTAGCTGGGGTTACAGGTGTGTGCCACCACGCCCAGCTAATTTTTGTATTTTTAGTAGAGACAGGGTTTCGCCATGTTGGCCAGGATAGTCTCCAACTCCTGACCTCAGGTGGTCCACCAACCTCGGCCTCCCAAAGTGCTAGGATTACAGGTGTGAGCCACCGCACCCAGGCACATTTACTTTTGATTCAAGAATAAAACTTATGTTACCAATGACCTAGAATAACATATTTAAGAAGGCAAACCTTTTGCCTCTGATGCATTTTCCACCTTGTCCCCTCCAAAAGCATTTAAAATATTGTGCTTCTTAGTAGTGTCAGGGCTGGTTCTGCCAGTACTGACAGCTGAGGGCAGTGGGGGCAAGGGGTCTGCACAGCTGCCATACTCAAGAGACCACCTGTGGCTGTACAGTGTCTGCCCTGAACACCAGTGAGGACCGACATCTCCCCCAGAAGAATATTGCCCAATAGTATTCTTTAGAAAGTTTATGGCTACTCAGAAAAGTGGAGAAAAAGATTCCTTGGGAAATGAATTTTGTTTGGGAAATCTAGGGTTTAACAAATGTGGATTGACTCCCTAACTCATTCTATAAGGACAGCATCATTTTAATACCACAACATGGCAGAGATACAATGAAGAAAGAAAACTTCAGGCCAATACCTATGATGAACATAGACACAAAAATCCTCAACAAAATACTAATAAATAGAATCCAGCAGCACATTAAAGAGCTAATCCAGCCGGGTACAGTGGTGCACACCTGTAATCGCAGCACCTTGGGAGGCCAAGGTGGGCAGATTAATTGAGCTCAGGTGTTCAAGACCAGCCTGGGCAACATGACAAAACCCTGTCTCTACAAAAAATGCCAAAAAATTAGCCAGGTGTCACTACTGGGTATCTACCCAAAGAAAACGTCATTATGTGGAAAAGACACACGCACACATGTTTATAGCAGCACAATTCACAATTGCAAAAATATGGAACCAACCTCAATGCCCATCAACCAATGAGTGGATAAAGAAAATGTGGTATATACACAACATGGAATACTACTCAGCCATAAAACGAAACAAAACAATGGCCTTTGCAGCAACTTGAATGGAGCTGGAGGCCATTATTCTAAGTGAAATAACTCAGGAATGGAAAATCAAATATCATATGTTCTCACTTATAAGTGGGAGCTAAAGTATGAGGATGCAAAGGCATAAGAATGATATAATGGACTTTGGGGACTCAGGGGGGAAGGGTGGGATTGGGGAGGGATAAAAGGCTACATATTGGGTACAATGTGTACACTGCTTAAGTGACGGATGCACCAAAATCTCAGAAACCATCACCAAAGAACTTATCCATGTAACCAAAAACCACCTGTACAATAAAAAACTATTAAAATAAATTAGCTGGGCATGGTGGCATGTTCCTGTAGTCCCAGCTACTCGGGAAGCTGAGGTGGGAGGATCACTTAAGCCAGGGAGGTCAAGGCTGCAGTGAACCAAGATCATGCCACTGAACTCCAGTCTGGGCAACAGAGTGAAACCTTGTCTCCAAGAAAGAAAAAAAAAAAAGAAGAAGAGAAAGTTAATCCACCATAATCAAGTAGGCTTTATTCCTGGGATGCAAAGCTGGTTCAACGTACACAAATCAATATATGTGATTTATTACATAAACAGAACTAAAAACAAAAACCACATGATCATCTCAATAGACACAGAAAAGGCTTATAACAAAATTCAGCATCCCTTCTGTTAAAAACTCCCAACAAACTAGGAATCCAAGGAACATACATCAAAATAACAAGACCCATCTATGACAAAACTACACCCAACATCATACTGAATGGGCAAAAGCTGCAAGCCCTTCCCTTGAAAACTGGCACAAGATAAGGATGACCTCTCTCACCACTCCTTTTCAACATAATACTGGAAGTCCTAGCCACAGCAATTAGGCAAGAGAAACAAATAAAAGACATCCAAATAGGAAGAGAAGAAGTCAACCTATCTCTCTTCACTGATAACATGATTCTATACCCGGAAAATCCCATAATCTCTGCCCAAAGGCTCCTAGAACTAATAAACAACTTCAGTAAAGTTTCAGGATACAAAATCAATGCATGAAAATCAGTAGCATTTTTATACACTAATAATGACCAAGCTGAAAGCCAAATCAAGAATGCAATCCCATTTACAATAGCCACAAAAATAATAAAATACCTAGGAATCCACCTTACCAGGGGGGATATCTACAATGAGAATTACAGAATACCGCTAAAAGAAATCACACACCACACAAACAAATGGAAAAACATTCCATACTCATGGATAGGAACAATCAGTATTGTTAAGATGTTCACACTGCCCAAAGCAATTTACAGAGTCAATGTTATTCCTATCAAACTACCAATGTCATTTCTCATGGAATTAGAAAAAAAAACTATTCTAAAATTCATATGGAACCAAAAAAGAGCCCAAATAGCCAAAGCAATCCTAAGCAAAAAGAATAAAGCTGAAGGCATCACACTACATGACATCAAACTATACTACAAGGCTACAGTAATCAAAACAGCATGGTTCTAGTACAAAAACAGACACATAAATTCAACGGAAAAGGTTAGAGAACCCAGAAATAAAGCCGCACACCTACAACCCTCAGATCTTTGACAAAGTAGACAATAACAAGCAATGGGGAAAAGACTCCCTATTCAATAAATGGTGCTGGGATAACTGGCTATAGATATGCAGAAGATTGAAATGGGACCCTTTCCTATCACCACATAAAAAAATAAACTCAAGACAGATTACAGGCTTAAATGTAAAACCTGAAACTATAAAAATCCTAGAAGAAAATGTAGGAAATGTCATTCTGGACATAGGCCTTGACAAAGACTTCATGATGAAGACTCCAAAAGCAATTGCAACAAAAGGAAAAATTGACAAATGAAGCCTAACTAAACTAATGAACATTGGCACAGCAAAAGAAACTATCAACAGAGTAAACAGATAACCTACAGAATGAGAGAAAATATTTGCAAACTATGCATCTAATAAAGGTCTAATATCTGGAAGCTATAAGGAACTTAAATCAATAAGCAAAAAACAAAGAACCCCATTAAAAATGGGCAAAGAACATGAACAGACCCTTATCAAAAGATGACATACATGCAGCCAATAGCATATGAAAAAAATGTTCGACATCATTAATCATGAGAGAAATGCAAATTAAAACCACAATGAGATACCATCTCACACCAGTTGGAATGGCTATTAAAAGGTCAAAAATTAACATATGCTGCTGAGGTTGTGGATAAAAAAAAACACTTATACACTGCTAGTGGGAATGTAAATTAGCTTAGCCACTGTGGAAAACAGTTTGGAGATTTCTAAAAGAATTTAAAACAGAACTACCATTGGCCAAGCATGGTGACTTATGCCTGTAATCCCAGCACTTTGGGAGGCTGAGGCAGGTGGATCGCATGAGGCCAGGAGTTTGAGACCAGCCTGACCAACATGGTGAAACCCTGTCTCTACTAAAAATACAAAAATTAACCGGGCGTAGTGGTGCACATCTGTAATTCCAACTACTTGAGAGGCTGAGGCAGGAGAATCAATTGAACCCAGGAGGCGGAGTTTGCAGTGAACTGAGATTGCTCCACTGCACTCCAGCTTGGGCAACAAAGTGAGACTGTCTCAAACAAACAAACAGAGCTACCATTGAATCCAGCCATCCCAATTCCTTAATTAAATTACTGGTATATACCCAAAGGAATATAAATCATCCTACCATAAAGGCAAATGCATGCATATCTTCATTGTAGCACTTTTCTCAACAGCAAGGACATGGAATCAACCTATATGCCCATCAGTGGTAGACTGGTTAAAGAAATGTGGTACATTTACACCCTGGGATACTACACAGCCACAAAAAAATGAAACCAGTCCTTTGCAGCAACATGATGCAGCTGGAGGCCATTATCCTAAGTGAATTAACACAGAAACAGAAACCTAAATACTGCATGTTCCCACTTATAATTAGGAGCTAAACATTGAGTACACATGGACACAAAGAAGAAAACCACGGCCACCGGGGCCTACTTGAGGGTAGAAGGTGGGGGGAGGGGAAGATTGAGAAACTACCTTTCAGGTACCCATGTAACAGGCCTGCACATGTATCCCCTGAACCTAAAATAAAAGTTGGAAGAACGCCGGGCACAGTGGCTCACATCTGTAATCCCGGCACTTTGGGAGGCTGAGGCGGGCAGATCACCTGAGGTCAGGAGTTCAAGACCAGCCTGACCAACATGGTGAAACCCCATCTCTACTAAAATATAAAAACTAGCCAGGCATGGTGGCACATGTCCGTAGTCCCAGCTGTTTAGGAGGCTGAGGTGAGAGAATCACTTGAACCCAAGAGGTGGAGGTTGCAGTGAGCTGAGATCACGCCACTGCACTCCAGCCTGGGTGACAGAGCAAGACTCCATCTCAAAAAAAAAAAAAAAAAAAAGTTGGAAGAAAAAATAAAATAAAAATAAAGTGCCAGGTACCTCCCTCACCCTCTCTCTTGCTTCCTCTCTGGCTGCACATACCAGTTCACATTTGCCTTCCTCCACAGGTGGAAGCAACCTAAGGTGTTCACCAATGCCCAATCTTCCAGTCAACAGAACCATGAGCCAAATAAACCTTTTTTTCTTTGTTAAAAACAAAATGTGGGCCAGGCACAGTGGCTCACACCTATAATCCCAGCACTTTGGGAGGCCAACACAGGTGGATCACTTGAGGTCAGGAGTTTGAGACCAGCCTAGCCAAAATGGTGAAACCCCGTATCTACTAAAAATACAAAAATTAGCCAGGTGTGGTGGTGTGTGCCTGTAATCCCAGCTACTCGGAAGGCTGAGGCATGAGAATTGCTTGAACCCAAGAGGTGGAGGTTGCAGTGAGCCAAGATCATGCCATTGCATGCCAGCCTGGGTGAAAGAGCGAGACCCCACCTCAAAAAAATAAATAAAAATGGGGATGCAGATGTGCTTTCAAGGAAAAACCAGCACCGTCTTCCAAACACCCAACGATTGAATCCATTCCCCACAGTGCTGCTCTGGGAGTAACATTTGGTTCCTGTTGTCCATCTGTGACACCCCGTCTGATAACCACCTACCACCATGCCTGAGTGCTCAGTGCAACTCTGGACATTTTAGTGGACCAGGAAGTGAAGTGAACAGCTTATTCTACTATGGCAAAGACCCAACAGTTTCCCACCTGCCATCAGAAGAACTGGCCTCTTTCTTCCCATTTGAAAGTTACCACTTTTGGCTGAGTAAAGAGGACTGAAAAACGAGGGTGAATGAAGGTGGAAAGGCATGTGGCTGAGGGCCTGGTGGCCTCTTCAACAGTGCATGGACTTTGTCACACTACATTGCTCTCGTCTGGAACTAGGATGAGTTGTAATAAAGTCAGCAGGATGGAAAGAAAACCCACCTGGGAGTAACCAATGATGTTCCCTTTGTCATCCAGCACATTAAAATTGATGATTGGGCCCTGAACCTCAGGGCTGCTGAACTCAGAATCGCTGTAAATCCGCACCACAGGGGCTCCATTGGGGTACTGGAGAGAGGACAGGGCCACGTAGGTATACTGAGCCAAGGTGAAGGTGTGCTGCTTTATATTCTCCATTCCACCTCAAATCAATCATGAAACACAAGAGAATCATGAGCTTTATGTAAATTCTCAATTCACTCTTTTTTTTTTTTTTTTTTTTGAGACACGGTCTCACTCACTCTGTCACCCAGGCTGGAGTGCAGTGGTATGATCACAGCTCACTGCAGCCTCAACCTCCTGGGCTCAGGTGATCCTCTCACCTCAGCCTCCCAAGTAGCTGGGACGACAGGCATTCACCACCATGCCTGACTAATTTTTGTATTTTTTGCAGAGATGGAGTTTCACCATGTTGCCCAGGCTTGTCTTGAGCTCCTGGGCTCAAGTAATCCACCTGCCTCAGCCTCCCAAAGTGCTGGGATTACAGGCATGAGCCACCACGCCTGGCACCACTAACTCACTTTTAAGAAAACAAGTTTGTTATAACTGGCAAACCTGGACCTCACATTAATAATTTTAAATGTGTGTAAATAGTGGATGGTACTGCCCTTGTGACAAATGTTTAGGTCTTCAGTACTGAACAACAGAATTTTTCCATAGGCATTCCTGTCATCCTCTTTTTTATACATAATGTTACTTAAACATTTAGATATTTAGACCCTTTGGTAACAGATCACAAAATGTATGTTTTTTCCTCTAAACATATTTTTGCTGTTTGTTTTTATTATTAATGTTTAAATCATTTTAACACTACACAAAGCAATGAAGAATACATGCTTCAACATGAATGAATCTTGGAAACGTGCTAAGTGAAGCCAGACACAAAAGGACAAATGTCGTATGATTCTACTTAGATGAGTTACCAAGAATAGGCAAATCCACAGAGAAAAAAAAGTAGTTCCAAGGGTTGGAAGGGGAGGAGGAAATAGAGAGTTATTGTTTAATGGGTACAGAGTTTCTGTTTGGTATGGTAAAGTTCTGGAAATAGATAGTGGTGATGGTGGCACGACATTGTGAATGTATTTACTACGACTGAGTTGTACACTTAAAAATAGTTAAAATGGTAAGTTTTATGTTATGTATAGTTTACCACAATTTTTATTTTTTAAAAAAGGAACAATGACATAGGAAAAAAATCAGGGTTTGCCATATTGTGGACTGGTACAGTCAACCTTTGCATTCCGAGCTACCTGGACCTGTTAGACACTGTCACCTGCAGTTTGGGGGCCCTGTTAATATCTTTCCTTGGAAAGTACTCACTACTCACTGCCTGTATTTATTAACTACTCCGTTTGTCCCAGATCATGCCCACTCACCTCCCTGCATTGCCATCAGGGCGACCCTCTCTTCCCGTGAATCCTGTCTGCCCCTATGTTGGGCTAAGGCTAAGGTTAAGGCACTGAAGGGTCCCATTACTGTGACAAAAGAGCAATGGCCAGGAAAGAAATCATGCCTCATGCGAAGACCATCGGCAGACACAGTGGTTGGGTGCTCATGGTTAGGCATCAGTATGACTTGGGTTAAATCCTTGCCCTCCTGGTTTCCAGCTCCCTGGCCTGGAAGGCGTTTAACCTCTCTGAGCATCAGCTCATTCATAGGCAGAGCTCCCCCGTGGGGCAGTGGGGAGGACCCAGAAAGGCAAGAGCAGGTAAAGGCCTCAGGATCTGTAACCATTCCCAGGACCCAGGGATGCTCCTCTCATTCTGTGAAGCTAGCAATCTCCTGATTTGGAATGTCTTCTACCTGTTAAAATGTTATTTTAGCTGAAAAAACAAAAAACAATCCAAAAACCCCACCTCATTCTCTTGCTCTCTGAAGTGGTTTTGAAGTTACTAGGAATCAAATTTAACTACATGGAGTGCCAGTCACTTCCACAGACTCTGTCTCCTTTACCTGAATCACACCTGTGCCAGAGCTCCCTCAAGGACACAACAGGAGCAAATTCCACAGGGATAGAAATGTCCACTGACCTGTGAGGCGCTCTAGGGTGTCAAATCCATGTTTTAGCGCGATAACATCAAGGAATGAGATGGTGCCATCTTCAAACCTATAACCACGGGGTAAGGAGAACAGGTCAAGCTGTGGTCAAAACAATCCATGTGCATTTCGTGGTATATAATGAGCTTTAGATTTTAGGCTTAGCTGTTGATGTGGTTTGGCTTTATGTCTCCACCTAAATCTCATCTCTAATTGTAATCCCCAGGTGTTGAGGGATGGACCTGGTAGGAGGTGATTGGATTATGGGGATGGTTTCCCCCTTGCTGTTCTCATTTCGTGATAGTGAGGGAGTTCTCACGAGATCTGATGGTTTTATAAATGGCAGTTCCCCTGGGCTCTTCTCTGTCTCTCCTGCTGCCTTGTGAAGAAAGTGCCTGCTTCCCTTTCCGCCATGATTGTAAGTTTCCTGAGGCCTCTCCAGCAATGCAGAACTGTGAGCCAATTAAACCTCCTTTGTTTATAAATTACCCAGTCTTGGGTAGTATCTTTATAACAGTGTGAAATTGGACTAATACCGCTGTAATCTATTAATACCTTCCCTCTGCTGTCTTATAAAACATTGCTCTCCCCTTCAGGATGGGGGCACTTTGTACACCAAGACCTGTCCAGCTGCCTCTGGCCCTGACCCACTCTGCAGTTTTCTTGGGCTGCTCTAAATTTCCTAGGGTGGCCAGGTGCAGTGGCTCATGCCTGTTATCTCAACACTTTGGGAGGCCCAGGTGGGAGGATCACTTGAGGCCAAGAGTTTGAAACTACCTGCCTGTGCAACACCCCATCTCTACAAAAAGCAAGACCCCATCTCTAGATAGCAAGACCCCATCTCTACAAAAAAATTTGTTAAACTAGCCAGTTATTGATTGACAATTATTTATTGATCAAATACTTAATAGATTTCTTAAAATAAAAGTTTTTTGTTTCTGTCAAGGGATGTACTTCGCTGAGTTATAAAATAAAGTTGAGAACATAGTCAAGGTATTTATTCAATAAACCTTTAGGTTGAGTATTAAATCTATTGAGTTCTAGTCCTAAGTTCACAAGAAAAAAATTGGCTTATAATGGTAAATAAATAAATTCAGCTTTCTGGGAATGTTGGCGTGTCATCTGTTGTAAAGTCATCTACCTGAATCAAAGGAAAGAGGTCTGATCCCCCCCAGCCCATTCATGCCCTGGCCCCCAGTGAGCTGCCCCACTTCTCCTGGCCTTCAGGTGCCCTTATTGGCCAAATTAAATTTGAGGTGTCGCTTTGTTCTGCCTGTAACTTACATTATGTTATGCCTGTCATTCTTTTCTCATTTGATTCTGTTACATGGTAAATTATCACACTTGGAGTCAAGAGGTTTTACATGAGCATTCCTGTTTTAGAAGCCCCCCAACTATGGACAAGTCCTAAATAAAAGAGGCATCAAATAGCCTCCTAACATTGATCCCTACCATTCTGATACTTCACCCATGTTAGCTCTAAAAGGACAATATTATCATTTCTTTTTTTTTTTTTTTTGGAGATGGAGTCTTGCTCTGTCACCAGGGCTAGAGTGCAGTGGGTATGATCTTGACTCATTGCAACGTCTGCCTCCTGGGCTCAAGCAATTCTCCTGCCTCAATCTCTTGAGCAGCTGAGATTACAAGCACCCACCACCACACTCAGCTAATTTTTGTGTTTTTAGTAGAGACGGAGTTTCACCATGTTGGGCAGGCTGGTCTCGAACTCCTGACCTCATGATCCACCCACCTTGGCCTCCCAAAGTGCTGGGATTACAGGTGTGAGCCACCACACCCGACCCAATATTATCATTTCTACTTTACAGAAAAAACATGAGGTGCAGAGAACAAGTCACATGTCCCCTCGCTGGTGTGCAGTGGAGCGGGGACTCATTCCCCAGTGGTCCAGCCTGAGGCTTACACAGCTAACACTGACTCTATCGTCAAGGCCATGGCCCTACGTGCAGGACCCTTGCGTCTGTGTGGGGTCTGTTGGGGATCTAAAGCCCTTCCCGTCTATGCCCCAGGCCTTCTCCGGACCCTGGAGGTGATTAGTTGCCTACCCAACCCTGTGTCCCCACTGTTGACCCAGCAGAACCCTGGATCAGCCACCATTTTCAGCCTTGACACACTCGACCTTACAGGTCCCAGCTGTTACCATTTGAAAGAGTCCTGAGCATAACCCACACCACCTGCCCTTGCAGCCTGGGGATGATGCATATGCCAACAACCCAGGCAGAGGCCTCTGGCATTTGAGGGCAAGTGACAACCTGCACCCAGACTCCCTCTGTAACTCACTCACAGTGGGGCTCATAGAGGTTGCCGCTAACACTGCCTCACAAGTCTGGGGGCCTCTGCTTTAACTGATTCCTCCTGCTAACTAGGTGCCAGGCTGAGCTGATCCTAGCTCCTGGAGAACCAGCTATGCTGTCAATGTGTGGGCAGACTTTTTCCAAATGGTGCCACCTTTTAAAGCCACTGGGTGCCACCTTTTAAGGCCACTGTTTCAACTGTTGCAACCTCTTGTCAGTGCTGAGGGCAGAGGCCTGGTAGCTCACCCTCCTTACCCCATGAGGGCCTTTTATCTCTCCTGTGTGCAGTTCTTATCTGCAGGCCCCAGTCCTCTCACAGCTCTGGAGAAGCCTCTCAAATGGGGGTAGAGTTCACTGAACACCTGTGTCACCTCCAGTCAACTTCTGCCTCCCAGATCTGAGCCCTGCCATCAGCCTGTCCCTGCCAGCAACCTGAATTCTGCTGACCCTCAAAGCCAGACCCACCTCTTGCATAATCCTCCAGGAGAAACAGGCCAGACCCCACCTTGCTGAACTCCTCTGACCCCTCCCCTGTGGCAAGGTTACCTCTGAGCTACCGACTGCCTCGGGATGTAGAAGTCTTCTCCTGCTAGGTACGCAGAGGCTGTCCCTCCTCCAAAGTAGGTCTTCCTCAGTAGAGGAGCCGCACGATTATGGACCAGCAGAGCGCCCAGGCCTGTAGGAAACCCGAAGATCTTATAGAAGGAGATGGGGACAAAGTCGGCCTGGTGAGCTGACAGGTCCAAAGGCGAGGTGCTCACGTAGGAGGCTGCATCCAGCAGCACAAACCACTTCCCAGGCGTGCTCACAGGGTGCAACCGCCCAGACTTGACCTCTTCTATCCAGGACAGGGGGTATCTGACTCCAGAAAAGTTACTCTGAGCTGGGTAGCAGAAGAGATGCGGCAGCTGGCAGTCTGGGTTGCTGGCTGAAGCACTACGTTCCTCTGCAGACCACAGGTCCTCTGGCCTGACCGGGGTGGATATGACATTTATAGCCATGGTCACGTTCCGCATACCCACTACGGAGGTGTGGCTGTCGGTGAGGTAACAGAAGCGACTCCCACTGCTCTCTGGGCCCTGGGACACCCATGGAAAGGCCTCTGCCACCAGTTTGAGAGCAGCCGTGCTCCCGGCAGTGAAGATCACAGTGTAGTCTTCTGCGGTGGTGTGGAAGTGCGCCAGGATTCTGGAAGAAGCACAGCATCCCCGCAACCCGCGGATCTCAGCCCCAGCACTGAATGTTTGCAGGCTGTTTTATTTCTATTAACTATGACATCTCTACCTTAATGGATAGATAGGTTTGCCACAGCTGCGAAATTAGGGCGAGGGCAATGGAAGCCGTGGGAACGAGTTCCAGTTGGCAAAATCCTCTTACCTCCCAAATATCACTGGATATCTCCAATTGGATATGTATGACAAAAAATCCACAATAAACTTAATCAGAGTTGATACTACTTTCTCTCCTTGGTGCTTTCTGCTCAGCTCTAACATAACAAGGTTTAAGTAGTAATCAACCTGTTTACATTGCTTTTAGTTTTGGCAACTCTAATAGCAAAACAGTATCACTTTCACATTTGAACTAACTTGAAATTGTGTGATTGGAAATTGTGTTAATAATTTTAAGGACAACCTGGAAATTATTTGCCAGATACTGTTATGTTTAGAAAGTATAGAGAGCTGTTTAACATACAAATACTAGTAAAAAAGGGGGGAAAAGGGAAAAAAGACAGGAAGAAAACAAGTTGCCTAATAAAACTTCTTATGAAAAGGAAAACCAGAGAAATAGTACTTTTCTTCTTTCTGAAAACAAGACCTAGGATCCTGGGTCACTTCCTGTCACTTTGGCACTGCAGAGTCTCTGGAGCCACACAGAACAGCTGTGTGCACCTCAGAGCCACCTACCTGTGTGTCTCATCTGCCCCACACTGCATCTACTCACCGCTGCCTTTCTGAGCTCTGACTCTGATGTTTCTCAACATACATGCATTGCCTTTTAGCCAACTGTGATCCTCCTGAAACCAACTCAGAACTTTTGTGGGATGCAGGCAAGTCCTAGGAAGGAAGTCTGTCTGCCTAGGTATGCCCAGTCAGGCAGGTGTCCCTGATGCTTACCTGTAGCGCACCTGCTCCACAGTGTCATGGGTGAGCTTGCTGCTGATGTTCTGGCTGTGAGGATTACCTGGCAGGTTACAAAGACAAGGCCACCAAGTCACTACTTAGGGTCGCTTCTTTTGTGTTCCTTCTGAATCCACTCCCTCAGTTTCTCAAAAAGCTCAACATAAAACTACCATATCACCTAACAATTCCACTCCTAGATTTCTATCCCTCAAAAATGAAAACTTATGTCCATACAGACTTGCATGGGAATGTTCGTAGCTTTATTCAGAAAGTCAAATTCTGGAAACAATATAAATGTCCATCAATGGGTGAACAGATAAACAAAATATGCTACATCCATAAAATAAAAAGTGATTTGGTTTTTTGTTCTGTCTTGCTCCATCACCCAGGATGGAGGGCAGTGGCATGATCATAGGTCACTGCAGCCTCAAACTCCTGGGCTCAAGCGATCCTCCCATCTCAGCCTCCTAACTGTGACTACAGGTGTGCACAACTACACCTGGCTAACTTTTTAAAATTACTTTTTGTAGAGATGAGGTCTCACTGTGCTGCCCAGGCTGGTCTTGAACTCTTAGGTTCAAGCAATCTTCCTGCCTCAGCCTCCCCAAGTGCTAGGATTGCAGGCATGAGCCACTGTGCCCAGCCAGGGAAGTTATTTGCCAATAAAAAGGAACAAACTACTGGCTATGCCATGAAAGAACTTCAAAAGCATGATAAATGAAATACTCCAGACACAAGAATATACATAATGCATGAATCAATTTACATTAAATGTCCAGCAAAAGAATTGTAGAGATACAGAAAGTAGTAGATTAGCAATTGCCTGGGGGTAAGGTCAGCAACAAGGATTAGCTGTAATGGGCATGAAGGATCTTTTCAGGGGAATGAAAACATCTAACTGATTTATAGTGATGATTGCATCACTAGGTCAATCACTAAAAAATCATCATTGGACACCTGAAATAGATTTTTTTTAAGAGAGACACAATCTTACTCTATCACCCAGGCTGGAGTACAGTGGCTGATCATAGCTCACTATAACCTTGAATTCCTGGGCTCAAGGGCTCCTCCTGCCTCAGCCTCCTGAATAGCTAGCACAACAGGCATGTGCCACCACACCTGGCTGATTTTTTAAAATTTTTGTTTTTTGTAAAGATAGGCTCTTGCTATGTTGCCCAGGGTTGTCTTGAACTCCTGGGCTCAAGCAATCCTCCTACCTTGACCTACCAAAGCACTGGGATTATAGGCCTGAGACACTGTACCCAGCTGGTAAATTTTATGATATAGTTAAAAAAAAAAATCTCTCCTCACTAGTAAAACCAAATGTGATCGGGAAGAGTATTTTAGAGCTGGAAGTCAGCTCAGAAGCAGGCCAGTGCAAGAGTCTGTTCTACATGTTCCAGACAGGTGGCTGTGGCTCTGTTTAACTCCAGAGAATGCAGTATACAGCCTCAGGAGGATGCCCTTTTCTCCAAGCATGAAGCAGAGCCATGAACGCCACTTAATCTAAGTCCCCACGTATTGCCCTGCAGATCCCACCACCACTGCTGATGCCTTTCCTGCAGAAATAATTGATCCCGGCCTCCAAATATGTGAAGGGGGCCACTGTGCTGCCCTTAGCCATCCACTTTCAAGGAGGAAGGCCCTCCTCCCAATGTCACTCTTCCTCTTAACTTCTAGTTTTGCTCCCTTCCTGGTGTCCTCACCAAATGTGTCCCAGAGTATCATGACCTCCCTCAAACTTAACCCCCAGACAGGCTTTGGTAGGGCCTGACCTATAAGACCAGGCACCAGCATTTCTCAGGAGCTACATGTGCTCATTAACGCAGAATTTGCCCTTTAGTTTTAGACTTTTTTTTTCCTCCAAAATACACTGAAAGATTGCACTGGATTTCTGGCCACTGCAGCTACCATATGTTCTGTTTCCACATTGCTAGTAACCTGTGGGACCTGGTAATTATCCTCATTGCCTTTCCTCTGCTTGGCTTTAGCGCTGCATCATTACCACCACCTGCAATCTCAACTCTGCCATCTCTCAGGCTTTCCCACGGTTATGGCTCTTGCAAAGGTTAAAGAAGGAGAATTACAAGAACCTTTGCAAACTGCAGATTAAAATCAGGATAAATCCCTCCTTGGCACCTTCCCAGAAGACTGTTCCCCAGATTTAAATATCTGCTGGCTGCCCAGAGCCAAAATCCAAACCCCTTAATGTGGCATAACAGAAGTATCCTGAATCGAGGCACTCTGGTGGAGGCTAAGGGCTTGGGCTCTGGAGCTAAACTGCCTGCAAACACAGCTTCTAGCTCCTCCAAGCTCCAGTCCTTCCTGTGCAGCCTCAGGCTAGTTACTTGCCCTCTCTGGGGCCCCATTTCTTCACCTATAAAACAGGAGTGATACCAGAACCTATGCCTCTTGGGTTGTTGTGAGGCTGAAGAGAGAAAGCTCATAGCGAGTACCTGATAAATGTTACTTATCGTTATTCTCATCACAAATATTACAATTGCTACTGCCACTATGATTTCAAGTTCCCTTTCCAAAGTATGTGAGATCATGTTGTGCTGCAAATAAATGCCACTGATGACAATGCCATTGCTCCTAGAACAAAGATCAAGCATCTACAATGCCCTGCACTGGCTTCTTCTCCCTCCCTCCCCATTCAGACCTCTCCCACTCTTCTCCCTTCCGTGTTCCTGGACTGGTTCCTGAAACCACTATGGGATCTTGGCTCAGGCTGTTACCCTGCCTGCTCGCACTTCTCCCCCTCTTGTCTGAGTGAATTCTGGCTCATCCTCCAGCATCCACTCCACTCCAAAGGAAGCTTTCCCTAGACATGCACAAGCCAACCCCACTGTCACTGCAGATACAGGCTGGCCTGGAACCAGGCACCTTTTGTCCATAGTCCTTCACACAGTTGGTAATCACATCTATTTGGAGTTCACTTAAGGTCTTGTCTTCCAGGACTAGATCACAGTGTCCAAGAAGAAAGGGATATGTTTATTTTGTTCCCATTATAGCACTGTCCCCCACACATCATAGTGGCTCAATGAACAGTTATAGAGTGAATGACTGAATTAACATCCCTCCTGCTGCCCCACTCTCTGCACTATACAGGGTCACTCACCACCACCAAATACAGCACCTTTGAATCTCTGTGCCCTTCCTAACACTGGCCTCTTCTTCTGGTAGTAACCTGTGTGTCTGTCCCTGAGCCAGCTCCCTCCATCCCGGCCACATGTTTACAGTACAGAATGACCCAGGGTGCTTGCCTGGCCCCTATCTTACATGGGGCTTATTCAGCTTTTTGTGGTCAGAATATTCCTGGCCTATTAATCCAGCGTTTAACATGCACAGGTATATCAGCTGCATGTAGTTGACTAAAACCTGTTTCAGGTGTTTTTCTTTACCATAAGTGTTTTCCATGAGATCACTAGTGAAGCTTTCGAGCTGGCTCTGGGAGAACAAGGTGGCACCTGCATGGTCAAGATAGACAGTTCCTGAAAGAAAACACAAAATAAATACTAAAATTTTACCTGAATCTGGTTTGTGTAAGCCCAACCAATGTCATCTAATGCATGCAGACGTAACATCAGGCCACTGACTTGTGCCTCTTGATATGTGCCTCTTAATCCAAGTGTAGGCATGAGCAGTGGAAGGACTGCACTTCTAATGCTGAAGGACTTTTAAAGCACTGAGAGAGCCCTCCTGATTAATCAGCTCTCTTCACTCTTTTGTGAACCTGGAACAGCATCCCACACAGAGAAGACGCCCAGCAGACATTCGTGATGAATGATGGCAAAGCTGTTTCACATTGTCACTCACAACCTATTCTGGAGGTTCTGGGAGGAGTCCCTGAGGGGAGAGCCCTGATCCTACTTTCCCACACTGCTCTGCACCCCTCAACACTAATGCAGCTGCAGAGCTTCCAAGAATACAAGGAATGCAAATGATCCATCCAACCTCTCTCTGAGAGAAATGCAAATTTAGATGAAAATGAGATACCGCGGATTACTGATCAGATTGGCAGAGATCAGTGGTTGGATTCCTCACTGTGTGAATGAAGCTGTGGCGAAACAAGCTCACTGGTACACGGCTGGTAGGAGGGTACACAGGTACACCTTTATGCTCAGCAATTTGGCAACATCAGTTCATGCTTTAAAATGTACACACCCTTTGACCTAGCAATTCCACTTGCAGGAATTCATCTTACAAATACCCACACTTTTGTGGAATGACCTGAATATAAGGCTATTCGACGAACTATTGCCTGCAATAGCAAAAGATTGGAAACAACTTAAATATCCATCAATGCGCTTTTAAAATAAACATTGTACACTAATAATAAGTACTGACATGAAACAAACTCTGAGATACACTTTCAAGTACATATAATGTGAAGAGATCCATTCATTCACTTATCAAATATTTTGTTTTGTGTAGAATGGGTTGTTTTATCACAGCTTTATTGAGATATAACATAAAATTCACTCTCTTAAAGTATACAATTCAGTGGTTTTTAACATATTCATAAAATTACATAAATACCAATTTTAGAATATTTTCATTCATTCCCAAAAGAAATCCCATATCATTACCAATCACTCCCCAATGCCTCCAACCCCAGCCCTTGATAACCACTAATCTACTTTCTGCTTCTCTAGATTTGCCTGTTCTGAACATTTCATGTAAAAGGAACCATACAATATGTGGCCTTTAGTGTCTGACTTCTTTAATTTAGCATAATGTTTTCAAGGTACGTCCACATTTTAGCATGTATCAGAACTTCATTCCTGTTATGGCAGAATAGTATTCCATTGTATGAATATACCACATTTTATCCATTCATCTACTGAGGAATATTTGGATTGTTTCCACTTTTGTGTATTATAAATGATTGCTGGTATGAATACTGGTGTACAAGTTTTTGTGTGGATGTGTTTTCTCTCATTTGGTGGGTTGTCCTTTCACTTTCTTGATGGTGTTCATTGAAACATACAAGTTCTTTTTAAGTTTGATAAAATCCAATTTGTCTATTTATGTTGTTGCATTTTTGGTGTCATAAGAAATTATTGTCTAATTCAACAAGGTCCTAGTGATTTATGCTTATATATTACTCTAAGAATATTATACTTTTAGCTGTTTCATATTTAGGTATTTGATCCATTGAGTTAATTTTTGAATGCAGAATGAGGTAGGGGTCCAAGTTCGTTCTTTTGCATGTTGATATCCAGTTGTCCCAATATCACTTATTGAAGAAGTTATTTCCCTCGTTGAATAGTCTTGGTATCTGTTGAAAATCAATTGACCATAGACATATGGGTTTATTAAATTAAAATTATATTTCATTTGTCTATATGTGTATACTTATGCCAATATCACACTGTCCTCATTCTGTAACTTTTTTTTTTTTTTTTTTTTTTTTTTTTTTTTTTTTTTGAGACGGAGTCTCGCTCTGTCGCCCAGGCCGGACTGCGGACTGCAGTGGCGCAATCTCGGCTCACTGCAAGCTCCGCTTCCCGGGTTCACACCATTCTCCTGCCTCAGCCTCCCGAGTAGCTGGGACTACAGGCGCCCGCCACCGCGCCCGGCTAATTTTTTGTATTTTTAGTAGAGACGGGGTTTCGCCTTGTTAGCCAGGATGGTCTCGATCTCCTGACCTCATGATCCACCCGCCTCAGCCTCCCAAAGTGCTGGGATTACAGGCGTGAGCCACCGCGCCCGGCCCATTCTGTAACTTTGTAGTAAGTTTTGAAACTGCAAAGTGTGATTCCTCTAACTTTGATCTTCTTTTTCAAGATTGCTTTGAGGTCAGGTGTGGTGGCACACACTGTAATCTCAGCACTTGGGGAAGCTGAGGTGAGTGGATCATCTGAGGTCAGGAGTTCAAGACCAGCCTGGCCAACATGGTGAAACCCCATCTCTACTACAAATACAAAAATTAGCCAGGCGGTAATGGCGTGCGCCTGTAATCCCAGCTACTTGGGAGGCTGAGGCAGGATAATCACTTGAGCCTGGGAGGTGGAGATTGCAGTGAGCTGAGATTGCACCACTGTACTCCAGTCTTTGTGACAGAGTGAGACTCTGACTCAAAAAATAAAATAAAACGATTGCTTTGGCTATTCTGAGTCACTTGCATTTCTATATAAATTTTAGAATCAGCTTGTCAACTTCTGCAAAAAGGCAGCTGGGATTTTGATAGGCATTTCATTGAATCTGTATATTAATTTGGGGATTATTGCCATGTTAACAATATTAAGTCTTCCAACCCATCAGTACAGGATATCTTTCCATTTATTTAGGTCTTCTTTAATTTCTTTCAATGATGTTTTACAATTTTCAGTGTATGTGATACTTCTTTTGATAAATTTTTTTCTGTGTATTTTATTATTTTTGATGCCTTCGGAATTGTTTTTCTAATTTCATTTTCATAGTATCTATTGCCAATGTATAGAAATTGAACTGATGTTTGCATATTGATCTTGTATCCTACCACTTGGCTAAATTTGTTTTTAAATTCCAATAGTTTTGTGTGTGGATTCCTTGAAATTTTTTATACACAAAATTACATTATTGGCAAGTAGAGATAGTTTTACTTCTTTCCAATCTGGATCCCTTCTATTTTGTTTTCTTGCCTAATTGCCCTGGCTAGAGCCTTCAGTACAATGTTGAATAGAAATGGTGAGAACAGGCACTTTTGTCTTGTTTCAAACTCAGGATGAAAGTTTTCAGTCTTTCACCACTAAGTATGATGTTAGCTGTGGGGGGTTTTGCAGATGACCTTTATCAGTTGGTTAACTTTTCCTTCATTCCTAGTTTATTGAGTGTATTTGCATTCAAGAAATATTTATTGAGCACCTACTATGTGTCAGGCATTGTTCTAAGTGCTGGAGACACAGCAATGAACAAAATAGAAGATAGCATGATAATGGCAGAGAAAGACCTTAAACACAAACTATGTCAAGTGGTGAGACATATGGCTCACATGTGTGTGTGTGTGTGTGTGCACACGTATTTTAAGTGTACTGGACACAGTGACTCATATCTATAATCCCAGGATTTTGGGAGGCCAAGGCAGGATTGCTTGAGGCCAGGAATTTGAGACCAGCATAAGCAACATGTGAGACCCCATCTCTATAGAAATAAATAGCCAGGCATGGTGGTGCACACCTGTAGTCCCAGCTACTTGGGAGGCTGAGGCAAGAGGATAGCTTAAGCCCAAGAGGTCAAGGCGGCAGTGAGCTATGATCATGCCACTGCATTCCAGCCTGGGTGACAGAGCAAGTCCCCGTCTCAAAAAGTGTGCACATGCACACATAAATATGGACAACCACTGGAAAGATACACAAGACATGAGTGACAGCAATTGACTCTGAGGTAGACACAGTGGCTGCAGCTGGCGTGAGAGGGAGGCTCCCTGGTGATTCTTCACCCTCCTTTGGCAACTTTTGAATCTGATACCACTAAATGTTGTATCAGTCCATTCTCACATTGCTATAAAGAACTACCTGAGACTGGGTAGTTTATAAAGAAAAGAGGTTTAATTGACTCACAGTTGCACAGGCTGTATAGGAGTCATGGCTGGGGAGGCCTCAGGAAACTTTACAATCTTGGTGGAAAGCGAAGCAAGCACATCTTCATATGGTGACAGGAGAGACAGAGAGAGACAGAGAGAGAGAAGGTGCTTGTGAAGGGGCAGGTGCTACACACTTTTTTTTCTTTTTCTTTTTTTTTTTGAGAGATAGGGTCTTGCTCTGCCACCCAGGCTAGAGTGCAGGGGCTCAATCTTGGCTCACTGCAACCTCCACCTCCCAGGTTCAGCCTCCCAAATAGCTG
Source organism: Homo sapiens (assembly GCF_000001405.40). Classification (NCBI taxonomy): domain Eukaryota; kingdom Metazoa; phylum Chordata; class Mammalia; order Primates; family Hominidae; genus Homo; species Homo sapiens. The sequence goes on along the minus strand of NC_000018.10, from coordinate 36,190,920 downwards.
GGATTACAGGCATGTGCCACCACACCGGGCTAATTTTTTTATATTTTTAGTAGAGACTGGGTTTTGCCATGTTGGCCAGGCTGGCCTCCCAAAGTGCTGGGATTACAGGTATGAGCCACTGCACCTGGCCAAAGAAAGTTTTTTTGTTTTGTTTTGTTTTTTTGTTTTTTTTGAGACAGGGTCTCACTCTGTTGCCCAGACTGGAGTGAAGTGGTGCAATCTCAGCTCACTGCAGCTCTGACTTTCCAGGCTCAAGCAATTCTCCCACCTCAGCCTCCACAGTAGCTGGGACTTTAGGCATGAGCTACCATGCCTGCCTAATTTTTGTATATTTTGTAGAGACGGGGTTTCACCATGTTGCCCAGGCTGGTCTTGAACTCCTGGGCTCAAGTGATCTGCCCACCTCAGCCTCCCAAGTGCTAGGATTACAGGCTTGAGCCACCATACCCAGTTTGTGCTACACACTTTAAACAACCGGATCTTGTGAGAACGCACCCTCACGAGAACTGCAAGGGGGAAATCCACCCCCTTGATCCAATCACCTCCTACCAGGTCCCTCCCCCAACACTGGGAATTACAATTCAACACGAGATTTAGGTGGGGACACAGAGCCAAACCATATCAAATGTATGAGCTAGTCCAAAAAGATACTTTTAAAACAATGTTCGCTTTTACTAAAGATTCAGAAATACAAAGGTACCAAACCAAAAGAAAGGCTTTTGTTCACCCAGGCATCAAGGCCACAGGTGAGACCTGGAAGCTGCTGGGGAGCATCTCACACTGTGCCACAGTCTTCTGGAGGGCCAAGTAGCTATTGGAGAAGAAGATGCTTTGGCTTTTGGTCCAATGGTTAATTTTGCAGGAAAAACAAAAGGGTGGGAAAGCTGTGTTAAATCACCCATAGATGTGATGTTAGGAGAAAGTCAGGCAGCATAGGGGTTAACAGTACAAAATCCAAGTCAATCAACCCAGACTTGAATCCTGGCTCCACCAGTAGCCATTCTGGGCCCCTGTTCTTTCATCTGCAGATGGGACAAAGGTTAAATGAGCTGCTATATGGCAGCATCCAGTCCAATGCTCGGGACACAGGTGTAGCTGTTATTAGAAACAGGTGAATTACCCCAAAGTTAAATGGCATCAGACCTTCTTCAGGAAAGAGAATTCCAGGGTCAGCTCTAGGTCATCCCCCTCCAGTTCTCTTTCCAGCATGGTGAGTGGTCATGATTCAGCACGAAGGCTTCCAGAGACCCTTGACACACATCCGTATATTCAATACTCTCCCTTCACAAAGGCAAGGAAGTTCCCATCCAAATCTTTAGGTAACACATTTCAGCACTTAAATCTTAAGCATTTAATTATTCTGAGCCACCACTTAACCAGAGTAATTCTCAAATTGGCAGAAAAACTTCATGAGGGGAGAGGAGGAACGAGGAAGAGGTGATGTTATTTTGGTTTGTTTTTTCCCGCCCTCTCTCTGTCTTGTTTCTAGGAGAAAAACAAGTGGACATGTTCCAAGACTCCCAGCAGTGGGAGGGGCGTCAGATTAGTGCACAAATGTCTGCTTTAACCGTAATGTAGAGGAAATACAAGGAACTTGCATTAAATAAAAGATGCCCACAACACTACCAGACATACAGTAAGTGGTAACGAGTTCTGAGGGCCAGCCTGGCTGACACATCCCAATTTTGCATTTGAGGGGAAAAGTACTGTTCTCTGAGGGACAAGAGTGAAACCAGGAGGGGACCAGAACATAGCTCTACTTTCCCAGGGTAGCATTGAGGGGAGAGGTTGGCCAATAGTGGGCGTGAGAGATCACAGCTGGAGGAGATTTAGGGGATTAAGGAGGTGCGGTGCTGATATAATTACTCAGGTAGCCTTGAAGAGTTGCTTCAAAGAATGGAGAGCCTCCCTCCCCAGCACCTGTAGGCATTCATAGTACCCCTCTATTTCTGAGTGGTAGGAAATTTCCATAATTAATAGTTGAGAGAGAGAGAGAGAGAGAGAATACGAAAGAAGGGTGAGGAGCTGTCTCCAGCAGGTGACCCTGCGAGAGGGAAGGATGAGGAGTGAATAGAGAGGTTGGCAGAAGGCACCCCCGTCTCCCTCCTGACTCTCCCTACTTAGGAAGCCAGAGGAGACACACAGGAGGAGGCCACAGTTCTCACAGCCCCCAAAGGGAAAACACAGTTACCCTCCACAACACCAGGAAGTGACCCGAAGCGCTGAAATCAGCTACCCGAGTAGTGAAACCTAAGTCATGGTTGCTGTTCTGCCCCCAGAAGGGGAGCAGTCACCAGTTGTTCATCGCGACAGAGCAGATACACTCAAACCCCGGTGCCCTGTGCCAAGACGTGCCCACTTCACCTGCACACCCTCCTTGACCATCCGGCACGCGGCCCTGGGGCTTGATGAAGCCCTGCACCCAAAGTCCCTGGCAGAGGGATGAGTCACGAACTTGGGCCCTGGCAGCAGAGGGCTGGGTCGGCCAAGGCCAGATGGAGCTTGATTTGCAATTTCATCAGCCTGTTCCGCTCTGAGGAAAGGCACGATGTGATCTTGGTGTTGTCTAATTCACAGGCTCGCCCTGTTCTTAAAGGTGAAATTGCACTGTTTGCTAATTCTTCTAGTCCCCCAGAGAACTGGAGCTCAGAGGGATTGTTCTGACGCTGTAAGAGTAAGGAAAATGAGGTTTCGAAAATCAAAGCTGAATACAGGCTATCCCAGAGGAGTCTGCAGAGCGCAGCCTCGGGAGGCCCCGGCCAAGAGGCCTTGGCCTCCCGGTCCCAACCTGGCGCGCCGTCAGAGGTGCTGTCCCAGCCCGGGCGCTGGCGGTCCACGCACCGCTCCTACCTCGGGAGGACATCCGAAGGGTCACGGCCGCTGGACATGCTGTCTTTTGCAACCCCGGCCCCAGCAGGCCCTTTACAGTGAGGGGTCTCCCGCAAGAGAGGGCAAGAACCATCCTAAGCCCCGCTCGCGGAGGGCGGGAAAAGGGGAAGACGGCTAGGTTGGTCCTGCCCACCGGAAAGTCGGAAGAGTAAGAGTAGCAAGAAGCCTTGGGGCTGCAGGTGGGACCTCAGGGAGCCGTGTCTACTAGGAGGACGCGTGGACACGTCCCTCCTGGAGTTTCGATTCAAAATGCGCCCGAATGAGGTAGCGCCGCTCTCACTAGGAGCAAAAGATCCGTCCACGTCGGTTCCAGAAACCTCGTGTCCCCCAAGCCTGCCCGCCCGCCTCACCTGCCAGGCGGCTGAACTCGCGCGCCCGCAGCTCGCGCAGGCTGCCCGGGCCGTAGCCGTAGGCTAGCCGCGGTGCGCTCGGGTCCCGGGAACCCGCGAAGGTCCACAGCTCCCGCCCTGACTCCGCCGCCGCGCCGGCCATGGCCCCGGCTAGTCCATCCAGGCCGGCCGGGCCCGGGAAGTGCGCGAAGCCGGCCCCCGGCGACTCCGCCCCCGCCACGCCTCCCAGGCCTCCAGCCTCCCAGTCTCTCGGAATCCGCAGCCTAGGTGTGGCGCCCCGACCGGACTTTCACTTCTGGCCAGCCCTTTCCCCACCTGGGCGCGGGAGCGGGTGCCAGTCTTTAAACAACCTCTCGATGGGTCCCACGAAGATGTTTCCAGACCCTTGGAATGCCAAGTTCAAGTTTAGCTATGTCTCGCGGAGAGGCCGGTGGAAGAAGCAACGAGGTGATCTTTCCTGCTTGGCATCGGCATCCTGGAACCCCGCGACCCTCCTCCTCGCAGGGGTCTCGGGACCCTCACCCTCTCAAGCGGGAACCGGCGTCTGGCGGGGGCGGGGGTGGGGGCGTTCTCGGGTTGCTGCTACCCAGCGGGGCGTGTGCTTGCCGTTTGTTAGAATGCGGCTGACCAAAGGGTAGAAAAGGGGAAAGATTAGGGATCCACGAGGCTAATAAATTCTCAGTGGCTGCACACTTTCGGAACCGGGAAGCTCGGGGGCTTCCCCCGGAGCGGGCCCTGCAGCTGGGATCCAAGTGAGCTGAGCTTCCCCGCCCTCCCAACCGCGTCCTGGGCCCTACTTCCTGCCCTTGCCTCCCCAACCCTGCATCCCGCCCCGCACTTCCCGCACGTGGGTGTGGCCGGGCCCTCTCTATTAAAGCAAGAGTGCCCTAGGACAAAGCCGCCCCTGTCCCGGACAGAGTGGAATAAGAGCGCCTCCTTCAATCCCCACTCGCGCCTGCACCCAGAGCACCTGGGACACAGCGGCTCTGTCTTGGAGAACAGGTGCCTCAATAGGGAGGGCCTGGCCAAACCTATGCGCGGGAAGTGCGGAGCGGGATGCAGGGGTGGGGCGGCAGGTGCAGGTAGTAGAGCCCAGGCATGCGGTTGGGGGGTGGGGGGAAATCTCACGTGCGATCCCAGGTGCGGAACCCGCTGCTGGGAATGGGGTGGAAGCAAAACAGGTACTGCACGCACAGGCGAGGTGCCTCGTGGGGGAATCGAATGTCAGGGATGGTGGACAGTGCGGATGGGCGGCAGGTGCTGGGGCTCAGGGGAGATAACTCAGAGGCAGGCTCGGTGGAGAACCCAAGGCCGGCGACCAGGTGCAGGCGGCCCACAGGCCCTGGAGGCATACAGCGGGGGGACAAGGTGGGAAGGAGGCCTATGCCCCAAGAGCTCAACCTGTGCTGCATCCAGGCCAGCTGCCACCCAGGGTATGGGCCGCAGATGCCCTAGGATCCTTGCTGATGCATGATGCATACCGGTGCCCAGCGTGAGAGCCATGGGAAGGCAGCACGCAGCCCTGGCTCTCCCGCCCAGGCCCCTGATACCAGGCCAGAGAAAGACCCGCCACTAAGAGCTCATTTCCCCCTGGCCGGAGACCCAGGGGTCTGTGGACTGCAGCGCTAGGGTCCATGCCCAGGTACCCATATTCCTCAGTGGCCTCTGCCCACTGACCACCCCCGCTCTCTCCCTCACTGCTGAATGTCCAGGACCTTACTCGACAAACACCCATAGTTGTTCGAGGAGGAGTTAATGTACTGATGGATGGATGCAGGCATTTGCTCATTGACATCACTGCCCACCCCACCATCTGCTTGCCTTCTGGCCATGCTTCAAGCAGGCACTTTGGATACTGGACTGTCTTCTGTGAATGTGGCTTTGGGCAGCACTAATAACAAGAGCTAGTTACAGGGCCTCACTGTGTGCCAGGCACTGCACTGTGTACACTCTTACCTGTCCTGGTCGTTCAATGATTAAATATGCAGATCTAGGAGGTGGCTCTTACAGATGGGGAAGCTGAGGCAGAGAGAGGCAGAATAACTTGCACACGGGCACACAGCTAGAAGACAAGCTAGCACCTGGGAAGTCAGTCTCCAGAGCCCAGGCAGGGAAGTGTGTTTTGCTAACTCTCTGGTGTGAGCCACCGTGGTTCCCAGGGCCTCAGTTTCCCCATCTAAGTTGAGAGGGGTGAGTTGGTCCTCCCAGCAGCTGTTCAGTGTGTCACTCCTCACCCATCCTTTTAAAGCCCTGCTTCCTGGTGAGAGTCTCCCCTAGGCCAGGGTTTCCAGGCATTCATTTGCATGAATCCCCTAGAGAGCCTATTCAAAGGCAGGTTCTGACTCTTTGAGGTTCTGTGTTTCTAAGTAGCCCAGGTGATGCTGATGCCCCATTCACGAATGGCACTCTGAGGAGGGAGGGCCTAGGTCATTTCCCTGGAAATGTAAGGAGAACCTCTCCTCAAGGAGTTCTACAGCCAACTAACAAACCACCAGTCCACAGGGGTGCTGCTTCAGACAAGCTCGCCTAGTGATGGATTGGAATAGGCCAAGTCAGTGCAGAACTCCTGAAGGTTATTAAAAATCACGGATCTACCATTAATCCAGAAATACTTTAAAGCAGTTGGCTATGCCCATCTAGGGCACTGTGTGCTTGGGAGGGTGGATGTGAAGATAGCACCTACAGCTGAGTAGGAAAATGAACCTACACTAGCCACAAGGCAATGTGGGCTGAGTGCCCAGGCAGCACTGGTTCAGGATGCAGGTATAGAATTGAAAGAGAGGAAGCGGCTACTTCCTAGCAAGATATCCAGGGAAGGTAGCCCAAAGGAGGAAGCCTTTGAAGTGGGCCATAGCAGTGAGCCAGTCAAGATGGGAGGAGGAGTAGGGAATGTGAGAAACACTGGGAGTCTTGGCCTCTAATTGGCACCCTTAGGTGCATTTCACCAAGATTCCCTGGGCCGCTCCTACCAGAAAGAGACTATCAGAAGTCAGATTGCTCGCTCTCACCCTGCCTTAAGCAGAACCTCTATCCCCACCAAGGAATGTCTGACCTGGGAGGAGGAGTGATCTCCTGGGCCCTGTGCTATAGGCTGCCATGGCCACTTCTCACCTGGTCCAGCTGCTGGCCTTGGAGCTTCCAAGCAACCTGAGCTGGTCCATGCTGAGTTCCCCAGAGGCCAGCTTCTGCACCTAAAGTTTACAGCTAGGTAGGAAAACAGCTCTTCCAACTCCCACTTGCAACCCTTTCTCACCTAAGAACTTGAAAAATTATGTGTCTATGAGCCAGTTGGGCAGACAGGTGAGATGCCCTCAATTTTGTACTTTAAATCTCTCCCCGTGTGAATCTTAGTCCCTGGTGCACCTCACTGAGCCTGATTCCTTACCTCCTGATGATGCTTCCCGAAATCCCCTTGCTCCCAGGTTAACAACTCCCACCCCCAGTGTCTCCTAGCAATGGGCTCCACTTGCAAGAATCTCTACTATATACAAAGCATTCATTCATGTATTCATTCATTCATTCATTCATTCACTCACTCAGCAGAAGATGAATGAGTGCTTGTCAGAGTTAGGCTTGGAGTTGGTGGTAGACAAACAAAGGAAAGGCAGGCTTTGGAACTAGAAAGTGCCCTATGAGTGATTTAGGTAGAACTATCCAATGGCCATGACCAGACTGGATGAGCCTGTGAGAATTGGGAGCAGGAAAACCAGCTATAACCTCTTGCAACTGTCCAGGCTTGAAACACTAGAAGATTCACTTGAAAATTACTAGTGCTTTTGGCAGGGGCATTTATTCAGTGTTCACTGGGCAGCTGTGCCCTGCTGCAAACATGGTAGGCACTGAGAAGACAACAGTCAGCAAGGCAGTCTCTGTGCCTGAGAGGCTCCTGGGATGAGGAAGGAGATAGGTTCATAGTCAGGTCACCCCTCCAGGCTGCAGAGCGCTAGAGAAAAGTCCTTCCCACAAAGGTCCAGGCTTGGGGTAAAGAGCCTCCCAGACCTGGGGCTGCTGGGAGACCTGCCCAGAGGGTCCTGGAGGAGGAGGTGGGGGAAGGAAGGCAGCATTCCATACTCAAAGGTCTAGAGCTGCAAAAAGGCTCAGAGAATTCCAGATGCAGGACTTTTAATGAAGCTGGAGCACAGACTGCAGCTCTGTGGGGATAAGTGTGATGGGGAGTGAGAGAAGTAAGAGGGGTCAGACTTTCTGGTACAGAGGAGAAAGCTGGCCTTGGTCTAAAAGGGACATGAACACCCTAGAGTCTCCTCCTGAGAGTGGCTGGATCGGGGTGTGCTTAGACCCCAGGCAGCAGTGGGGGAGGTGGGAGTGGGGAGGTTGCAGGCAGCCCTGCTGTCAGAGGCTGGGCAAAAGTCCTGGCGAAGAGCAGTGAGGGCCTGGTCTGAGGCCCAGATCGTGCAGAAGTGATGAAATTCAGGGATGAATGGGACGAAGGACTGGCCCAAGGTGACTTGGTGCTGTCAGATTGGGAGACTGAGTGGACAGAGGGAGTCTCAGGCATAGGGAGACAATATGGAACTCGGTCAGGACATCTCGGTGGAGATTCAGGGCTCAAAAGGGACAGAGTGTCTGGGGTTGGAGACTTGAGTCATGTGAGGGGCTTGTGGACAGGTCATCTCAGGAGCTCTGAAGTGTTTAGGGAAAGAGGCCAGAACCCTGGGGACAGTGGCACTTAAAGGGTCTCTGTCTCATGCCACAGGTGGGAAAGTTCAGTTAGAGAAGTGGGGACAGAGCCAGAAGAGAGCACCTTGGCAATATCTAAGGCCATAAGGCCTATTAGGACAAGGGTTAAACAATTAGGACAGATTGTTAAACTTGTTGGGTAGGTGGTATGCAGTGGCCTAAGCAGGAACAGCTCTATTATCCAGGTGGGGATGGCAGCTCCACTATAGTGGTCAAGTCCTAAATGGTGAGTAAGGGTAGAGGTTTTCCCACTGGTGAGCCCCCTGAAAACCTTGGCCTCCTAGTCTGGAAGATATTAGGTTGCTGCAAAAGTAATTGCGGCTTTTGCATCAAAATGGCAAAAACTGCAATTACTTTTGCACCAACCTACAGTTGGGGGCTGCAATTACGAGGAATCAAATTTCCCAACAAATATCAGGATAGGGATAGGTATGTCCAAGAAGGCTGAATTTGGTTTGGATAATGAAATTAACTTAAGTGTTTCCTACTAGAGTGAAATGCACACTTTTCCAAAAATGAGAGCTCACAGACCTGGATATCCTGGTACCTAGGAAGTCAGAAGAGGGCTGGCAAAGGAAGCAGTGAGACAGACATAGCATTGGAGCAAGTTTATCTCCAAAGACTGGCAGAGTGCCCTGGTAGAAACTGAGAGCAGTGGAAAGAAAGATCAGAAACCCCAGGAAGCTCCCTCCCCTAGAGTGACACAAGACCTTTCCTGTGAATAGAAATGAAAAGGGCAGTTCAACATCATGAAATGATTGGGAACAAGGCTCCATTATATCTAATGTTTGAAACAACCAAACCCACCAATACTAGGTAGACCACAGGACTGAGAGGGCAAAGGGCCCAGAGCAGCAATCTTCCTGGCGCTGTCTTCCTGGGGGCTCGGCTTCTCCCATGTTCATTCATGAGCAGGTCCACTGGGCCAGGCCAGCCCCTTCTTGGTCCCTTCTGTGCTAGCACCTCCCTCCTACTCTTTGCCCCCTACCCCTTTAACCACCAAGACAGGAATCTCAGATATTCTATTTACCGACTGGCAGATTACATTTGAGAATACTTCCTCCACCAGCCATCAGCATTATCAAACTCATTCATCCCTGAATTCAGCAAATATGTGGCAATACATATTTGCTGAATTCAGGGATGCTGTGGACAACAGGAAAACCATCTGATGCGCAGGTGTTTAGGCTTTAGCAGGTTCGTATAGGGGGCTTGCATTGGTTGCCCATCCTGTATCCATTGGCCCCTCTGATTTTGCTTTGGAGAACCACCCCACGTTAGAGCAGCTATGTGATCTCACTGGGACCTACTCTGCCTCTAGGCCAGCACAGGTGATCTCACAGCTTGTTACATCAGATGGGCAGGCCCAAGCCACTTAACATGCGGCTTTCCCCTGCCCACTGTGATTAGCTGAGGAATGGTCCAGTCAGAGTAAAGTTAGAGACTTAATGCTAAGAGTTATTTCCTTTGATACTAACAAGGAAAAAAGTAATGTAGGGGCTGTTTGCATTCCTCTTACGGCAATGAGGGAGAACGGCCTCAGGGGAAAGCTGCCATGTGGCCAGGCATGGTGGCCCACCCCTATAATCCCAGCACTTCGGGAGGCCAAGACAGGAGGATGGCTTGAGCCCAGGAGTTTGAGACCAGCTTGGGCAACATAGTAAGGCCCTGTCTCTATTAAAAATAATAACGGGCCAGGCCCAGTGGCTCATGCCTGTAATCCCAGCACTTCGGGAGGCCAAGACAGGAGGATGGCTTGAGCCCAGGAGTTTGAGACCAGCTTGGGCAACATAGTAAGGCCCTGCCTCTATTAAAAATAATAACGGGCCAGGCCCAGTGGCTCATGCCTGTAATCCCAGCACTTTGGGAAGCTGAGGTGGGTGGATCACCTGAGGTCAGGAGTTCAGGACTAGCCTGGCCAACATGGTGAAACCCCGTCTCTACTAAAAATACAAAAATTAGCCAGGAGTGTTGGCATGTGCCTGTAATCCCAGCTATTCAGGGGGCTGAGGCAGGAGAATCACTTGAACCCAGGAGTTGGAGGTTGCAGTGAGCCGAGATCACGCCACTGCACTCCAGCCTGGGCAACAAGAGTGAAACTCAGTCTCAAATAATAACAAAAGAAGAAGGCTGCCATGGAAAGGGCAGAGCTAAGCAAACTAGAGAAAGGAAGGCAGAGCCCATATCAAACTGCACCTGAAGCCTATCCCACCACTGAATTTTTCTCAGTCATATGAGCCAGTAATTCCTTTGTGTTTGAGATGAACTTCCTTACAATAGAAGGCATCTACCTGACACAGCATAAAACATACACAAAAATAGAAGATATAAGGTGACAAGTGCCATAAAACAAAACTGGAATAAAATACTCCGGAATTCAGAGGAAAAACAAAAAAGAATACTTGAGGGGTTTACCAAAGGCTCTATGGAGTTGACACGAGCAGAGCTTTATTTAATCATAATAGTACCAGATACAAATTACTGCTGTCTTATTTATATCCCAGGGACCAAACTAGTGTTTTTCATATATTGGCTCATTTAATTCTCAGAACAATCCTACACACTGGTTACTGTTGTTCTCCCTTTCTTCCAGAATGAAGCACCCCAGTTCTCTGCTGAGCACATGGGCATCTGCAATAAAGATTTAATTTCCCAGCTTCTCCTGAAGCTCGGTATGGCCACAACACTAAATTCTGCCCGAGGAGATTAAGCAAAATAGTATGGGACTTCCAAGAAATGTTTTTAAAGTCAGGGGCAGGCCTTTCTTCATGCCTTCTTCCTCTTTGCTGGCTGGAACGCAAAGACCATGGCAGGAGGCCAAGCAGCCATCCTGGAAGGTGAAAGCCTCATACTAAGGACGTCAGACAGCGAAATAAGAGCCTGGGTCCTTGACCCTGTAGACATCTCCCTCCCCATCCTGGTCTGTCTGCCTTGACTCCTTTCATATGAGAGAAATAAACTTTTAACTTGCGTAAACCAGAAAGAAAATTTTACAATTTTTTTTCACACACAGTTGAATGGAAGCCAGACTCATACACTAATCTCATCTCCACTTTTAGAGATGAGGGGAACAGCTTGCCCACAGTGACAGCCAGTGTGAGCTGGGTTTCTGTTGCCCAACTCATTGGGGTTCCAACCCTCACCTAGACTGCCCTATGAAATACCTAGAACTTGGTCAGGAGAAAAGATAAGAGGGGAAAATGTCAGCAAAAGCCAAAGACTAAGGGTAGCAGGGGCAGAAGTGAGAGTGGGAAGTGAAAGGTGATATAATTTCCCTATTCCACTGAGCAGGAAGAGGCTGCCTTTGCATCCCTCTGTGTCGGGAGACAGTCTGGGGACAGTCAGCAGGCACCTTGCTGCAGGAGAGCCCCTGCAAGAGCAGCCTTTGTGGAGCTGTCCCTTCCACCCCAGTAGGAGCTTCTCGGACACAGCATGGCCTCTCTCCTTCACTCTGGTGTCTTCACTCAGTACTGGGTCCCAGATTTTTTTTTTTTTTTTTTTTTTTTTTGAGATGGAGTCTCACTCTGTTGCCCAGGCTGGAGTGCAGTGGCTCGATCTCGGCCCACTGCAACCTCCTCCTCCTCCTGGGTTCAAGCGGTTCTCCTGCCTCAGCCTCTGGAACATCTGGGATTACAGGCGCCCACCACCATGCCCGACTAATTTTTTTTTTTTTTTTGTATTTTTAGTAGAGATGGGGTTTCACCATGTTGGCCAGGCTGGTCTCGAACTCCTGACCTCAAGTGATCCACCCGCCTCAGCCTCCCAAATTGCTGGGATTACAGGCATGAGCCACCACGCCCGGCCCGGGTCCCAGATCTCTGAGTCCACCAGAGTGGGGCTCAGAGTCCTCTATCCACCAACCACATGCAGCCATCCAACACGCTGTCTCTCTTCTGGCCTCAGCCTCATTGTCCTTGGAGTGCCAGTCTCTTGTTTAAGCATGGCAGAGCCTTAATACTGGACCATCCACTACATGCTAGAAGGGGAAGAACTCCTCACAATGTAACAATTTTTGTATTTAACTTATGGATATGCTCATTCTTTCTAAACAATTCTTATAAGGAAATTTTAAGTATATTAAAAAATTAGAATAGTATGACCACCCCAACACTGCCCAGCTTCATTAATAATCCACACATCTAAAACCCATCTAGTCCTTGACACACACACAATCATTATGAAACAACCCAAGACATAAATTGATTTCATCCATAAATACTGAAATTATGATTCAAGAGAACTTTTTTTTTTTTTTTCTTAAACCAAGGCTGAGGTGGGAGAACTGCTTGAGCCCAGGAGTTCAAGACCAGCTTAGGTAACACTGCAAAACCCAGTCTCTAGAGAAAAAAAAAACAAAACCAATCATAACCATAGCCCCACTGTCATATGTTTAAATGTTGTTTCCTTAATATCATCAAATATCCAGCCAGAGTTCAAATTTGCTTTGTCCCTTAAGCACATTTTTACAAGATTGATTGGCTAGTTCAGATCAAGAGGCAAACAAGGTTCATACATTGCACTGGATTCACACGTCTCAAGTATCTTTCAATCTCCAGGCTTCCCTTCCCTTCCCTTTTCCTCTTGTAATGTATTTGTTGAAGAATCTAGGTCCCTCTGTAGTCACTCCTCTCCCCATTCCCAGCCCCTGGTAACCACTTACCTGTTTTCTGACCCTATAATTTTGTAGGGCCCACTTTGTACTGATGTACTTCTGACTAGGTGTGTTTATGTTCAAGCATCAGAGCCAAGGCCCAAACCTCTACCCTGGCCCTCCTTCTGCTGTGGCCCAACTGTACCCAGAGCTGGGCTCTCCCGTCTCCCTGCCTGTTAATCCTAGAAGTGGGTGCCGAGGAGGGAGAAACAGGAAGGAGGGAGTTGGGGAGGGCAGCTTGTTACATGGACATCAGGGCTGTTCCCACTAGCAGCAACAGCTTTGTGTTAGCTTGGCTCCAATTTGAATGAAATATTCCAAGGCCATTTTCCCCAACACGTTGTTACCAAAAAAACTCCCAGCATGCAGAAAAGTTGAAAGAATTGTACAGTGAACACCCCTTAAGGAGTTTCTACCATTAACATTTTATTTAAAGGCTTTGGGACTCTGAAGTATAATGTTTGTGAAATGCTATGAGCCAGACCCTCCACACTGAAAATTCCCAGTGTAAATTAATTTGTTAAATGCTCTTAGAATTCCTGCAATAAAGAACACCTATCTAACCTTAGTTATCCCTGTGTTTCCCAAATATATCTTACTTTGGAGCACTTTTTTTTTAGTACCGATTTACATCCTGGGAAATGGTGTTTACCATGCTTTAAAAAAAACTGTGGTAAAATAAAGATAAGATTTACCATCTTAACCATTTTAGAGTGTACAGTTGAGTTGGCATACAGCATTCACATAACTTAACTGTGCAACCAATCCACAGGACTTTTTATCTTGCAAAACTGAAACACTATACCCATTAAACAACTCCTCATTTCCTCCTCCCCCAGTCCTTGGCAACTACCATTCTACTTGTTTCTATGCATTTGACTGCTCTAGATACTTCACATAAATGGAAGCATAGAGTATTTGTCTTCCAGTGACTGGCTTACTTCACTTAGCATCATGTCCTCAAGATTCATCCATGTTGCAGCACATGTCAGCGTATCTTCCTTTTAGAGGCTGAATAATATTCCACTGTATGAATATACCACATTTTGTTGATCATTCACCCACTGATGGGCACATATTGCTTCCATCTCTTAGCTACTGTGAATAATGGTGCCGTGAGTATGGGCATACAAAAACTACCACTAATATTTTACAGTGCTTGCTTCATATCTGTCCATGTGTCCGTCACTCCACCCATCATATTTTTTATGTATTTCATAAGTTACAGACCACAGTAACTTCCCTCAAACATGTCAGTATACATATCAATGACCAGCGTTCATTGTTTTTTTCCAAGTCATTTTGAACTGCCGTAGCAATGAGTAATATAGCCTCAAACGCACACATACACACACAACACGTGCGTCACTACAGAAAACTTTTCCTGGCAGACAGGAAAGGGCCCATTGTTGGTGATGTCATTTTAATTAAGATAAAACCACCACCACCATTTAGTAATAGCCTGGGGTAACAAGGGCTGCGTCACGGACTGCCACTTTTGCCATCCTGCTCAGAGCAGGGCCATGCCTAACCCGTATCTGGGGATTGCTTCAGATATTATGAATCGCTTCAATATTATGAATTACTACAATTCATAATAATTGCTTCAGATATTATGAATTACAATATGGTTCAAAGGTGCTTTAGCAGATGAAGACACAAATGTGTAAACACATATGAATTACAATGCAGACTGCCCAGATGTGTAGCAAGTCCTCTGAATGTTTACTAAACAGTAAGGTGATTCCAGAGGAAGATGCTTGAGGACAATTTGGGAAAACTGACAACTTGAAAACTCAGTCTCTCTAGGCAAGGCCTACTTGCAGATAACCTTGGGAGTTCTGTGCTGGGAGGAAAGCTAAAGGACTAAGTTAGGCCTCTGAATCTGCTCTGGAAGCCTGCATGCACTTGGGTCAGAACAAGCCCATGTGTCAATGTGGGTAAAGATTCCTCAGCTGATAAGCAGGAAAATGGGCAGGGCATTTTGGTCTTTGAGGTTCAAAGCTCAGATGCTCACTGCCTTGGTATACACGCACACACACCCCACCCCCCAGCTGACGGCACAAGAGTATACAGATGCAATAGTCTAAAGTACATTGTCCAAATATGGATGGCCATGAGCCACATGTGGCTATGAAGCACTTAAATGTGGCTAGTCTGAACTGAGATGGGCCCTATAAAATATTTCAGTAACAGGTTTTTATACTGATTATAGGTTGACATAATAATATTTTGGATATACCGTATTAAAGGAAATATGTCATTAAATTTCACCTGTTTCCTTTATTATGTGGCTACTTGAAAATTTTAAAATTACATATGTAGCTCACACTATAAAACACAGATTAGAAATATTGTATAGCACTGACCTAGAAACCTCCATTTAGGTAAAACATCTTAACCCCTTTGGAAGCAAAATATGTTAAATAACAGCATAAACTCCCACCAAGAAAATCCTCACCTTCCTCCTTTCAACACATTTATTATATACAGCTGTCACTGCATTGTCAATCTGCCAAATGGCTCTATGTTCCAACAGGGCTGGAGTAGTCCCCTGCTCACACCAGCCTTCACAATACTTCCCATGTCTTCCCTGTTAACCTCTCTCCACCCAGCACCCAGGCTCCCAACTCTCCTGGCTGCCTCCAGCCCTCAGCTGGCACCACTGACATGCTGTTTCCAGTACCCTTTTCTTCTTTCTGCATCCTCCCTGGGGGACATATATCCCTCATCTCGTGACTTCAGCTGTCACATAAATTCAAATGTTTCAGAACTCTATTTTTTACCTCCTACATCTGTCAGTTTAAATGTCAGGATATTTTACTTTCAGTAAAGCCCTAAAAAGACAAATCTATGTACTTTTAAAGAATAAAAGAAATGACTGGCTGCAGCTCAAACCTACAACTGCTTGCGAAACTCTACAATGTCTGGCAGATGCTAGAAAGAAGGGGATCAAGACAGAGCACACTTGGCGTGGTATGCTATCTATAGAAAATGTTAAAATAAAATTAAGTAATCTAGGTTTCCTCTCTTTATTTTCTACATCTACTCTCTGAAGAGGGCAATAAATAAGGAAATGTCCCAAAGAGGGACAAATTAAGTCCCAAAATAACACAAAATTGGGCAAATCCAGTCATGAAGAAAGAACAGAGGTTCTTAAATTGGGACACACAGAGGCAGGTCTGCAGGTCTAGGAATCTCTGAACATATGTGCAAAATTCTGGGTATGTGTGCATATGTTATATAACAAAGCGAAGGGTCCATATAGCTTTCATCGCATTTCAAAGGGTCTAGCACTGAAATAAGGACTACTGCTATGTGACTTAAAAAATGAAACTCAGGCTGGGCGCAGTGGCTCACGCCTGTAATCCCAGCACTTTGGGAGGCCGAGGCAAGCAGATCACCTGAGACGAGGAGTTTGAGACCCGCCTGGCCAACGGTGAAACCCAGTCTCTACTAAAAATACAAAAATTAGCCGGAATTGGTGGTGTGCCTCTAGTCCCAGCTACTCAGGAGGCTGAAGAAAGAGAATCGCTTGAACCTGGGAGGTGGAGGTTGTGACAAAGCAAGACTCCATCTCAAAAAAAAAAAAAACCCAGAAACTCAATTCAGTTATGAAGGTAAAGATGACCTGTTTACATGATAATATTTTAAGATACCAGTGACTGCAAGCATGTAGTTATTAAGTCCATTACAGTGCACATTTATTGACTCTGTGTATCTTCACAGTGTGATCTTCACCACAGCTTGCAAAGTGTAACCACTCAGCACCTTCTGCTTCCTTCTGTTCAGTTTTTCCACTGCAATTCTTCCAGCATAATTTTCTGATAGCCAGTGTATGACTTTGGCTAAAACAAAGATAGAGAAATCATGAAATGTTTTTCCAATTAATGGTGTAAACATGAATGGAAGTTAAAACCTGAAAATTGAAATGTACAGGTTTTAAAATCGCATCATTAACATTTTAGCCATTTTATTTTAACCTGGAAAATATTTTACTATATTTACTTAAAACTGCAAGACTAAATTTTAATCTTACTCACTGGCAATAACATCACCAAAATGAGCAAGACACAGACAATGAATCTCTGTCAAATGTTGTTTAAAAAAAAACAAAAAATAAAATTTTTTTAAATGAATGTTGTTTTAATGATCAATGGAATTTCATGAAATGGATATTCAAGTTAGTCTTTTAGATAACATTACTAAATTTATAACAATTTTAACTTTACAATATATTCTAGATTATTTTACTATTTTGACATCCCTGTGAGGTGGATGGAATTGCATTTTTACTACTGGGTAAAGAAAGACAATGACAGATTTAATGTACTGCACAATGAAAGAGTCTTGGTCTCCAGTGTGACCTCTAACTGCGTGACCTTGGGCAAGACCATCGTATTAATGCTCCCTACCCCCTACCTCCCCAGCCCTTTAAAAAGGCAGACCCAGAGTGTTACCAACGTATGTTAGGAATAAATCTCTATGAAAATACAACATCTTCTATAAATTTAACCTGCAAATTAGCTTCCCAAACCAAAAAGGAATAAAGTGAAAAACCTAAGTAGGTTTTAGGGCAATAAACACTGAAAACAATACCAGAGCACACACATTACACTTTCATTTGCTGACAGTCCCTGTCACCAGATGCATTCTCATGATTAAAAGGGAAGAATGAAGTCACGAAACCCATTTTAAAAATCAGTCCTCCTGAACCTATGCAACAAGATGACTGCGTGCCCTTACAAATAGTCACTCTGACTGCTGTGCCTCAACTGTTTTCTGAAATTATTCTAGAGAAAATGCTTCCATATTATGCAGACTATGATTTGAGTACTCTCAGTGATAGCTCATGTTCCTTTGAGGATGAATCTGACTGTTGAAAGCACCTGGAAGTAAGCTTTATAATAAATATAAATGGCAAGCTTAATAGATATAAATGGCAAGCTTTAAAAAGAGGAAATGATTGAAACAGGTAATATTATAAAAGGCATTATAATTTGTTTTCTTGCATCATTAGTAAGCTAGTTCTGAACACAATTCCTACAGAGAAGTTCCAAGAACATTTTAAGTGATAGCAACATCACTGGAATCTCAATTATTATGGATTAGAGTTATCTCATTTCATTAAAAGAAGGATTTGAAGTAGTGAAATCACGGAAATAAACATATGTGGTATAACTCTTTCCAAGGGAGCTACTTTGAGGAACATACTTGTTTGGCTATGTAAGCTTTGAGATAGTGGGTTTCTTTTTTTGGTAATGTCCTTTAAATCCAGAATATTAACATGTCATATTTAAGAAGATAGGGAGTTTGGCAAACCAACCTAAAGGGTAGTGTTTGCTTATATTACCTCTGTAAATCTTATTACTAGCAAAAGCTTTCATTTGAAAGGTACTTGGAACTTGGTAACTGAAATATTAGCAATCCAAATAATATATGTTAAGTCACGCATTAGTTCCATCTTGCAAATCCTAAGTCACCATAATGACCAAAGAAAAAAACAACCCCTTCAGACAAAAAACTCAAATTCTATACGTGTTCCCTTCCTGCACTTTCTAAGGGGCTTCCCACCAGTGTCCCACATGGTGGCCATTGAAGAGGTCTTCACACCAGGTTAGAGGTGAAGGGAGCACTGTGGGCAGGCAAAGTGGAAGGAAAGGGTGCCCAGGAAGAGAGAAAATTTCAAATGCCTGAAGCATGGAATTTCAACAGACTTCTTCCCTCTTCAGCAAGCCAACAGCACAAACTAGTTCAACTGCTAAACCCAGCCCAGAGAGGCAGGAGAGAAGCCATGGGGGCATGGCAATATCTCATTTTAATAAATATAATTATAATGAGCACTAACATGCTTGGCTGACATGGAGACAAGATCTGCTGGATGAAATATCTTAAGACATTGCTCACAAATCTCTCTCCATTAAGCACTCACCCTCATCATATTGTCATTTGAAATTGCTATTTGAAATTGTATTTTCAACAGTACAGATATACGAAGGTTGAAAAAGCCTAAGAAAATATAACACAGAATGATATTAGTAGCTTTCTGAACGTTTATACTTTTTTGGGGGGGACAGGCTCTCACTCACCCAGGCTGGAGTGCAATGGTGTGATTATGGCTTGCTGCAGCCTCAACCTCCTGGGCTCAAGTGATCCTCCCACTTCACCCTCCCAAGTAGCTGGGACCCACAGTCATGCACCATCACACCTGGCTAATTTCTTTTATTTTTGGTAGAGACCAGGGGTCTCACTGGTAGAGACCATGAGCCAACACACCCAGCCACATTTAGGCATTTTTAAAGAATAAAATGTGGGCCAGGCACAGTGGCCCATGCCTGTAACTCCAGCACTTTGGGAGGCCAAGACAGGAGGATTGCTTGAGCCCAGGATATGGAGACCAGCCTGGCCAACACAATGAAACCCCGTCTCTACTAAAAATACAAAAAAAATTAGCCTGGCATGGTGGTGCGTGTCTGTAGTCCCAGCTATTTGGGAGGCTGAGGTAGGAAGACTGATTGAGCCTGGGAGGCGGAGGTTGCAGTGAGCTGGGATCTTGCCACTGCACTCTAGCCTAGGTGACAGAGTGAGACCCTGTCTCACACACACACAAAAAGAATAAAACCTGTAAAAGGGTAGATTAAAAGTGATCCCTACTGTCTAGGTGGGTGGGATGGGGAGGAGGTTGTAAACAGCAGGTGCTCTATGCCAGCTCAGGTGGCAAATGCATGAGGCCCAGGGCATGAGCCTTGCTATGCCTGAAAGCTCCACTATAGGATCTTTTGAGGTAAAGGGCTCAATCATAAGGATACGACTACCAAAGTGCAATCCAGAATATTTTTAAAAATCACAAACATTTTGAATCAAATTAAGAATCTACTGTAGTCAAATTCTACAACACACCATTATGGAAATCACTTTCATCTCAAATGGTTGTTTATAAAAATAATATTATGCATGCAAGCAATTTGGTCAAGCAAACTTTTAAAAATCAAGTGCAATATATCAATTTCAGATTACCACATGTATCAATTTCAGATTACCACAAAACAAAGTGGTAGACACGACGAATACAGATATATGTCCCTCTCCATGAAAATGTGGCATAAAATTTGCCATGAAAGACCCCACAATTTCTAGTTAATCTGATGGAAACAAAAATAGGAAAGAAATACCTTTGACTTGTTTCTACACAGTGGGTCCAGTCATTTATTTCTGGAACTTGATCAGTCTTTTTCCAGGTATATAAGCAAATCTTTCCACACTCCAATCCTACTGCAACCACGTATCTGTTTTTAAGGGAGGGGGACAACAGTGATTAACTTAGCATGAAATTGTTATCTTCGTCATTGCTCTAAAGTAGTTCTTCACAGTGTCCCAACTGTCCCTGCCTTACAAAAGACTCTGCAGGCATCAGCCCAGGACATGCTGCACTGCTCTCCTGTGTCCTCAAGGAGCCTCCTCTTTACAGGGGCTGCACACAGATTTATCTGTGTCCTCTGCTGGCAAGGCCCATGAGCCAGTGTTTCCCCAGCTGGCTGTAGGGACCCTTGTTCCACTGAAGATGCTTGTTACAGAGAAAGTATTATAGTCCTAGATTTGGTGAAGTAAGAATCTTTGAGCCCCATTCCTAACCTGTATTTTACATTCTGAATCATTAGGTTCTATCAATTTAAAAATTATTATGAGAAACATAAGCATTTTGCAAAAGACAGTAACTCAGGCCAGGCACGGTGGCATACGCCTGTAATCCCAGCACTTTGGGAGGACGAGGCAGATGGATCACTTGAGGTCAGGAGATTAAGACCTGCCTGACCAACATGGTGAAACCCCATCTCTATTAAAAATATAAAAAAAGGAGCCAGGCGTGACGGCGCATGCCTGTAATCCCACCTACTTGGGAGGCTGAGGCAGGAGAATCGCTTAAACTCAGAAGGCAGAGGTTGCAGTGAGCAGAGATCACGCCACTGCATTCCAGCCTGGGCGACAGAGTGAGACTCCATCTCAAAACAAAAAAAAAAAAAGAAAAAAAAGACAGTAACTCAGAGGCTAGGAGAATTCACAAATGAAATGACATGAGGGCTACATATTAAGAAACCAAGTGGTCCTCTTAAAACTAAGCCCCACACAGAGACTGACCGTTGAGAAGGGTGGAGCACTGGGCAGACGCTGACAGCTGTCACAGCCCCACCCACGTCCAGGACTGAGGAGCAGGGGCCAATGTTGTGCTCAATACAGTCATCAGTGGAGTCGCACTCACCCCAGACAACCACCTAATACAGACAGATCACACACTGTAAAGCCTTCTCTTTGCAAGGTTTCTAGCCATGTACTACAGTTTCATCGGCAAAGATAAAACAAAGTATTTGCTCTGGTATTTTAAAAAATGCATCATTACATTCGTGTATGGTGTGCCAGGACTTGAGAGCATTTCAAGCATCAGAAAGAAGGCACGGTACAGCAGACATGCGTCTCCGAGAGCTCACCTTGGTCCAAAGACAAAGCGTTCCTGCCCAGAGACCACAGAGAGGTGTCTAACATGCCTTCTATACTCACAAATTGGTTCTGATCCAGTGGAGTCCCATCAGTAGGCTCATGCACTTCCCCAAGAAGCTACCACAAAATGCTTAAGAACTAATCAGCTTTTGGGCTGGGCGCGGTGGCTCATGCCTGTAATCCCAGCATTCTGGGAGGCCGAGGTGGGTGGATCACCTGAGGTCAGGAGTTCAAGACCAGCCTGGCCAACATAGTGAAACCCCGTCTCTACTAAAAATACAAAAAATAAGCTGGGCGTGGTGGCGGGTGCCTGTAATCCCAGCTGCTAGGGAGGCTAAGGCAGGAGAATCGCTTGAACCTAGCAGGCAGAGGTTGCAGTGAGCCGAGATCGTGCCACTGCACTCCAGCCTGAGCAACAAGAGTGAAACTCCGTCTCAAAAAAAAAAAAAAAGAACTTATCAGCTTTCTAGCTCTTCCTCTACACTGTCCATTGCTCAGGGAATCTACTCAGCTATGAGGAAAACCTGACCTAGATGATACCCCTCATGAAATGAGGCTTCCCTGGAAGCTCATGCCTCAAGGATGTGTGAATGGTCACAAAGAAATGGAGAGCAGGCTGAGCGTGGTGGCTCACACCTATAATCCTAGCAGTTTGGGAGGTCGAGATGGGTGGACTGCTTGAGGCCAGGAGTTCAAAACCAGCCTGGCCCACATGGTGAAACCCCGTTTCTACTAAAAATACAAAAAATTAGCCGGGCATGGTGGTGGGTGCCTGTAATCCCAGCTACTCAGGAGGCTGAGGCAGGAGAATCGCCTGAACCTGGGAGGCGGGGGTTGCAGTGAGCCAAGATCACGCCACTGCACTCCAGCCTAGGCAACAAGAGCGAAACTCCATCTCAAAAAAAAAAAAAAAAAAAAAAAAAAAAGAAATGGAGAGAGAAGTGAAGTGGACAACAGTAGCAAAATGCAGAACCAAAGCAAGATACTGAGCAGAAGGCTTTGTCTAAGCAAGAAGAAGTACATTTCAGAGAATGTCCAGCGAATGCTGCTTTGTCTGCTGGATCCCTGACCTATCCCTGAGAGTAGCAGCTGGACCATGTTCTATAGGCATGTGATATGGTTTGGCTGTGTCCCCACCCAAATCTCATCTTGAATTGTAGTTCCCATAATCCCTGTATGTTGTGGGAGGGACACAGTAGGAGGTAATAGGATCATGGGGGCGGTTACCTCCATGCTCTTCTCATGATAGTGAGTGAGTTCTCACGAGATCTGATGGTTTTATAAGAGGCTTCCCCCTTTTGCTCAGCACTTCTTTCTCCTGCCACCACGTGAAGAAGGATGTGTTTGTTTCACCTTCTGCCATGACTGAGTTTCCTGAGGCCTCCCCAGCCCTGAGGAACTGTGAGTCAATTAAACCTCTTTCCTTTATAAATTACCCAGTCTCAGGCAGTTCCTCATAGCAGCATGAAAACAGATTAATACAGTATGACTGTGGGGGACAAAAGCAGTCCTTCTTCCTCAGCATCAAGCACAGCACAGGCACACCAATGCCAAGAAAGAAAGAACAGGCAAATGAACAGAAGGGAGGGTCTGAGATGTAAAGTCTGCCATAGAGGTTGACATGTAAGTGTTTAGCCTGAGTGACACCCTGTCTGTGCTAGCACTCCACTTCAGTGATCTGTACCTTGTCTGTGACTAAAGAAGGCAGGGAGAGGAATGGCCAACACTAAACTGCTTCACCACCTCTAGTCTGTAGGAACAAAAGGATATTTTAAAGAGTATGAAAACAAAGGAAAGACCAGAGGTGAGGTGGACATTTCCCAGAAAACAAAGGTGAAGGTCATGTTGGAGAACATACTCTGAGGCTGGGTGTGGTGGCTCATGCCTGTAATTCCAACACTTTGGGAGGCCAAAGTGGGAGGACTGCTTGCGCCCAGGAGTTTGGGACCAGCCTGGCAACATGGCAAGACCCCATCTCTACACAATAAAAACATTGGCTGGGCATGGTGGTGAGCACCTGTAGTCCCACCTACTTGGGAGGCCAAGGCTGAGGTGGGAAAATTGCTTGGGCCCAGGAGGTCCAGGCTGCAGTGAGCCGTGACTGTACCACTGCACCCGAGACCCTGTCTCAAAAAAAAAAAAAAATTCCTAGCTACTTTGTTTTGACTTTTTTTAAAGCTTGGGTCAGTCATACTCCACCCACTTCTAGCACCAAATGAAAAGGTAACAATCATTTATTACAGAAAAATGTTAAATTCATAAAAGTAAGAAAACTAGAAAATAGTTTTTCCCTTATTCCCCTACCTCCCGCTGCCCTCCTAGTTTCTTGGTCTTGATTAATTTCATTTATTACTCTTCTTCCACTGGGACCATTTGATGAAGGTCATATGTCTGAAAGGTCTTCTCCTCATATTTTTGACATTTCAGAGAAATTTACTTATAGAATTTAACAAGAAAAGTCTTTTTTTATATGTACATATACGAAAAACAGAAAGGAATACATAGCTGATTTTTAAAAGCTGTAACAGAAAGGCAGGATTATGCATTTTTTATTCAAACATACCTATAAAAATATTATTTTTACATTTGAAAAAATATTAAATTTTTAAATAATTACCTTTTTGTCTCGACTCCCAGTGAAGAAATACTTGCTGTCAGGACTCCAATCACAAGACCAAATAATTCTACTGTGCACAGAAGTAATTTTGTTGGTGAAGGCAAAAAGACTAAAAACTGGCTCTGAAAGAAATATGTATACACTATTCACAAAGCAGAGAAAGCTGGGTTTTTACCTGTTAGGAAGTGATGTTTAAGTGCCATATACACCATATGACTTAATATTCAATTTATATGCACTGACTTTTGAAATAGACTGAAGCCAGGCAACCAACCCCTCACCAGAAGGCTGTGGACACAGCTATTTTTCTAGTAGGGAATGCTTTTGTACTGACTGGTCACTCTCTAGTGACTGATGACAAACATCTTCCAAACACTCAACTGAAGTTCAACTCACGCCTACAGAAGAAGCCTGAAGCTATTTAGCCTTACTCAAAGTAGGCAGATTTGCATATTAGGCTATAGAAAAAAGATTAATGCACCACTTAATGTTTAAAAAAAGAAATCTTAAGAAAATATTTTCCTTTTAAGATTTAAGTGTAAGGGAAGTTCTAGCCCTTATATGGACTAAACCTAACACACCTAACTGTTGGCAAGGCATGGTGGCTCACGCCTGTAATCCCCACACTTTTGGGAGGCAGAGGCGGGTGGATCACCTGAGGTCAGGAGTTCAAGACCAGCCTGCCCAACATGATGAAACCCCGTCTCTACTAAAAATACAAAAAATTAGCCAGGTGTGGTAGCAGGTGCCTTTAATCCCAGCTACTCAGGAGGCTGAGGCAGGAGAATCACTTGAACCCAGGAGGCGGAGGCTGCAGTGAGCTGAGATCATACCACTGCACTCCAGCCTGGGGAACAAGAGGGAAACTCCGTCTGAAAAAAAAAAAAAAAAAAAAAAAAAAAACCCTAAAAAACAAAAACCACATAACTGTTTATGAGGAGGGAATAAGAGCGTATCTATTATTACTCCATAATCCATAAAGATATAACAAATTAATAAATATGTTATTAATACAATTTTTTTTTGCAGGGGGACGAAGTCTCACTCTAATGCCCTGGCTGGAGTGCCGTGGTGGGATCTCCACTCACTGCAACCTTTATCTCCTGGGTTCATGCAATCCTCCTGTCTCAGCCTCCTGAGTAGCGGGGATTACAGGCATGCACCACCATGCCTGGCTAATCTTTACATTTTTTTTAGTAGAGATGGGGTTTCACCATATTGGCCAGGCTGGTCTCAAACTTCTGACTTCAAATGATCCACCTGCCTCAGCCTCCCAAAGTGGTAGGATTACAGGTGTGAGCCACCGCACCCGTCCAACTTTAACTTATTTTTTATTTTGTTAAGATGGGGTCTTGCTCTGTCGCCTAGGCTGGAGTGCAATGGCATCATCTTGGCTCACTGCAACCTCTGCCTCCCAGGTTGAAATGCTTCTCCTGCCTCAGCCTCCCAAGTAGCTGGGATTACAGGCGTGCACCACCACGCCCAGCCAATTTTTGTATTTTTAGTAGAGATGGGGTTTCACCATGTTGGCCAGACTGGTGTTGAACTCCTGACCTCAGGTGATCCGCCCACCTCGGCCTCCCAAAGTGCTGGGATCACACGCATGAGCCACTGTGCCTGGTGGACTTTAGCTTTTTAAACAGTAAATGCTGCATGTTAGGAAAAGATTAGTGATGCAAAAGAAAACAGTCTGTTCTAAAACATATTGCTGAGTATACTTTACAGTCCCTGGGTGTTCTCTAAAACACAAGAAACAAAGAGACCAGAAATATCACAAAACCAAACTGTATGCGAGTCTTATCAATGGAAAAATTTAAAACAGGATTAAACAATGCAAATATACTTTAAACACTCTCTAGAACTTATCCACCAAAAGAATCTGGGGGAACAGGAATAGGCCACTGACCCAACTACACAAAGGTTTTTAGTCCTCTTTTTTTTTTTTTCAGTTTATGCCAGGTTCAGAGTAGAATGTGGGTAGGTGGGCTAACACCTTGCTCAGGGGTCATTTATCCAGATGGATGCCTAATATGCCCTTCTCAATGAAGGAGGTGACTGGAGAGGGTAGGAAAAAGCTAAGGATAATGGTTTCCTCTACATTTCATAATTTAAAATAGTACTATATTAATAAAATAGTTCAGAGAGAAGAAACCACTCAACCATGAGTTTTCTTAGTTGTATCTTCATTATTCCTGTCCCATAAAATCCTAGCTTAGGATAAGTTATCCATTAGGCTTTGTGGTAGCATTCTATCACCATTTGCAAAACCTAACTTCCTACATACAGATGTTTATGTTTCTTGAACTGAGATATCTGAATGCATGCCATCTTGACTACATAATCACAAGTAGGTCAACCCAAATAAAGATCATCTCCATTTAAATCTTACAAGGAAGGTCAAGTCTTCCTCAGTTATCCAAGAACTTTGAAAGGCTTCAAAGACATGAGGCTCTACCCTTCACTCTGTTATCTTTCTCTTAACTAAAGCTGCTTAATGTAGATAAAATGAACATAACTGTTTCACTAATAACTTTCCCAATCAGAAGCTGTTTTACCGAACTCAGGTGAGATTGTATCCTGCTTTTTCCACAATGACCAGGTTCGATCTCTGGAAACAGCTAGTAAGAACTTCTCATTAGGTGAGAAGGCCATCTGCGTGACTGTCAAACTGTGGAAAACTAAATTCTGCACCTGTTTCCAAGATGTAGTGTTCCAAAGAATGATAGCTGCATGCTCTTTCTTAGCTGCCTATAGGACAGAGATGAAACAATGAAGCTAGTAAGTAAAAATAAACTGAAGAGAAAACATTTTAAAAACAACACATTGTTTCTATGAGTATATTTTATTTATCTGTTTGAATTCCAAAAAAAATTCCTAGGAGATAACATACTACAACCATTTCTTATCTCTGGGAAGAATTACAGATGATTGGGATTAAAAAAAATCAATCATCAGGGACTATAGTATCATGTTTTCTTTCTTTCTTTTTTTCCTTTTCACTGTAGCTCTCAGATCTTGAAAAATTATTCCATGATCAAAACTGTGACATGGAGGGGGAAAAATAAAATGAAAAACTGTGACATGAAGGGGGAAAAAAATGAAAATTATCCCAAAATAAAGGGTTTACTTTTAAAAAGATCAATCCTGAGAGAAATTAAAGACCTGAATGAATGACAGGCATATTGCATTCATATGTCAAAATACTCAATATTGTTAAAATTCTCCCCAAATTGATCTAGAGAATCAATGCAATCTCCATCAAAATTCCTGCAGGTATTTTTGCAGAAACTCTTAAGCTGATTCTAAAATGCAAAATAAAGGATCTACTATAGGCAAAATAACTCTATACTTCCTAATTTCAAGATGTATTATTAAAACACTATCGTTACTAACAGAGTATGGTACTGGCATCATATCAAAAAAGATCAATAGAACTGAATAAAGTCTACGGAACAGACCCACATATATGAACAACCGACTTTAGACAAAGGGACAAAGCACAGTGATGAAGGGGATAGTCTTTTAAAAAAATGATGCTGAAACTGGTATCTACAATAAAAGAAAATCAGTTTTAACCTATACTCCATGACAAATACAAGAGTTAATTTGAAAGTATCATAGGTCTAAAGGCAAAAGCTAAAAATCCATAAAACTCCTAGAACAAAACACAGCAGAAAAATCCTTGTGACCTTGAATCAAAGACTAGATATAAGAAAGACACAGCCTAATTAAAAAAAAAAATTGATAAACTGGACTTCACCAAAACATAAAACATCTGCTAGTTGAAAGACACTGTTAGGAGAATGACAAGCCACTGAGAAAAAATATCTACATAAGCACATGTGATAAAGTTGTATCCAGGGTATATAAAAAACTGTTCAGTGTCCATCAATGGATAATTGGATTTTTAAAATGTGGTGTATACACACACACACACACACACACACCCCCCATGAACTACTACTCGGCCATAAAAAACAATGAAATCATGTCTTCTGCAGCAAAATGGATTGAATTAGAAGCCATTCTCCTAAGTGGGAAATGACTCAGAAGCAAAAAGCCAAAAACCAGACATCTTTGCTTACAAGCAGGAGCTAAACAATGGGTATACATGGACATATGGCATGAAATAATAGTAGACACTGGAGAATCAAAAAGGTGGGAGGGGTTGAGGAATGAAATACTCAAGGTACAAGGTATACTATTCAGCTGATGGGTATGCTAAAATCCAGAGTTCAACAAGACACAATATATCCATGTAACACAGTTGCACTTGTACCCCTAAATCTATAAAAAAAACTTTAAAAACTTTTCAAAACTCAGTAAGAAAACAATCTAATAAATAAATGGGCAAAAGATTTGAATAGTTTCACCATATTTTCATATGGATAAAAATTAGCACATGAAAAGATGCTTAATATCATTAGAGAAATATAAATCACAGCCATAATGAGCTGCTACACACTTACTAGAACGGTTAAAGTTAAAAAGACTGATACTAAGTGCTGGTGAGGGTGCACAGCAACTGGAAATCTAATACACTGCTGCAAAAATGTATAACCACTGCGGAACACAGCATGTCAATTGTCTTAAAATTTTAAATATATATCTACCATACCATCCGGCAATTCCACTCACAGATATGTACTCAAGAGAATGAAAGCATATATCCATGCAAAGATTTGTACATAAATTTTCATAACTGTACCATGAGTAAAAGCCCAAAACTGGAAAACAACCCAAATGTCCATTAATAAGTGAATGGATCAACAAATGGTGGTACATCTGTACAAAGTAAAACTACTCAGCATTAAGAAGGCATGAACTACTGATGCATGCAAAAACATGGATAAATCTCAAACAATTATGATGAAAGAAAGAAGCAAAACCAAAAAAGTACATACTTACATGATCCTATTTATATACAATTTTAGAAAATGTAAACTACTCTATCATGACAAAAAGCAGACAAGTGGTTTCCTAGGGATGGAGGCAGGAGGGGAAAGGGAGAGGTAGAAAAGAGGAATTGCCAAAGAGCACAGACAATGTTGGGGGTTGATGGATATACACAGTATCTTGATTGTAGTGATGATTTATACAGGGATAAACATGTCAAAACTTATCAAATTGTTCACATTAAACATACCATTTATAGTATGTTAATAACCCTAAATAAAGCTGTTAAAAAATGTTTAGAGGATACACATATTGTTGTGAATCAACTTAAAAAGGGGGAAAAAAAATCAATTACAGGATTGACAGTGCCCTAAGTTAGAAACAAATTATCTGCTCAGTAGAAGCCCAGACATTTGAACTACTGAATTCCATTTTTCCCAAAGGCTCCTATAAGAGAAGGAAGTCCTCTCAGTACCATTTCAAAGAATAAACAAGTGGGGTAGGGGTGGGTGTAGGGGAAGCACAGCAGTATTTCTTATGATGTCCAAAATGCAGATCAGTGGCATAAATCCACATTAAAAGCAGGGACACAAGCCCATGCAGGTGGGCGGCTCTTATCATCATATTTAAAACAAGTAAATAAATTTCAGAAAATTTAAGACGAATGTGTGGGTTTCAGACCCTTCGGATAATCCTCCACAATTGCTATATCATTCCACAGGATATGGATAAATACTGAATGATGAATTCAAGACCATCCTTCCAGGTAAATGCAAAAGTCATCTACCTTAGGTCAGTGCCAAGAGTGTCCTCAAAAAACAGTCTGATGGATTTCACTCCAGGTTTCCTCTTCTCATTTCCCTGTGTCTCTATGACTCCAATTATTTAAAATTCATCAAATTTTTAGGTGTCATTTTGAGATATCGCTGTTTTATATACAGAGTCTCACTCTGTCACCCAGGCTGGAGTGCAGTGGCGCGATCTTGACTCACTGCAACTTCCACCTCTGGGGTTCAAGTGATTCTCATGTCTCAGCCTCCTGAGTAGCCGGGATTGCAGGTGTCATTTTGAGATACCTGATTAAATCACTTTTAGCAGGGAGGCACAGATAAACTCAAAATGTGCAGCTGAAACAGACTTAAAATGAAACCATAAGCTTTTGAAGAGACAGAAGGGTAAGAGAAATTGAGAAAGTAAGATTCAAAAAACCAAGCACTAGTGGCCTTTCACGTAGAGTTCTGCCTAAATCATTACCAAACTTGCAGGAGCCTGATGACCCAAATAACCTGTGACCAAGCAGAATCAAAAGTAAACTTCCCTACCTTACAAGCTGAGGCAAGCAGAGTCTTTGAACTGTTACAAGTAACACAAAATATTTCATAACCGTGCCCATATCTAAAATTTAAAAAGAAAAAAAGTACTATTAGCAAATGAATCTATTCTCATGCCACACAATTTTTGAAAGTAAAAAGAATAACATCAACCTCTCTAGCTAATATACAATTCTTTTAAGGAACATTGTATGTTTGTCTAGGCAAACATTTGAGAGAAAGACAGGGAGATGGGAGAAAAATGTCAGCTTCCTATAAGTAATATAACTCATTCAAACAATTAACATACAAGTTTTCACCTCCTACTTTCAACCAGCCAGTATCTAAACAATAAAACATGGAAAAGTCTTCATCAGGAACCATCAAAGACAAAAAGACCATGACTAACAACAAAACTTAAGTCTTTTTTTTTTTTTTCAAGGCAAGGTCTCATTCTGTCACCCAGGCTGGGGTGCAGTGGTGCAATCATGGCTCACTGCAGCCTCCAATTCCTGGGCAGAAGCAATCCTCCAGCCTCAGTCTCTCAAGTAGCTTGGGACTACAGGCATGCATCATCATGCCTGGCTAATTTTTTAAAATTTTTTGTAGAGATGGGGTCTCGCTATGTTGTCAAGGCTGGTCTCAAACTCCTGGCCTCAAGTGATCCTCCTGCTACGGCCTCCCAAAGTGCTATGATTACAGGTGTGAGCCACTGTACCCAGCCAAGTCTTCTTAATAAAGAAAAAATATATATTGTTATGCTTCTCTACTTTAAAAATAAGATGAATAAACAAAACTAATGAACATAATAAACAGTAATATAAAAATAAACGTTAAGGTTTAATTCTCATTCCTTATGAAGAGCCACTAAGAGATATATAGAAGAGGAGGAAAAAGGTAGGTAGAAGGAAGAAAAAGGAGACATCAGATTGTGGGGTGGGGAGGAAAAGTCAGAAGTTACGACAGAATCAGACCAAAGAGCTAAATACAGTTTAACTTACAGTTTTTGAACTTCAGGCCACAAAGTATTCTGCAGAAGATGATCCTCAGTGGGAGGCTCTAGAATAAATTGAAGCTATTTTTTTCTATGTAAAAGTGAATTCTATAGCACTTATTTAGGTCAGCAGCAATAGATAACATACTGTGTGTTCTAGCGATTTATTAAATTGTCTTTGTCACATCTTACCAGTAAGTATGGAGGGCTGAAAGGCCACCTGCTGATACTCAAAACCAGTACTAGTTAACAGCTCCTCTTCATCAGAAGGCTGAGAAGCTATATCTCCTAGTTTGAAGAAACACATCAAGAATATAGTCACTATTTTTATATCTCCTTCACTTGTCTCAATATTAAGGCCACCACATAGAAAGCAGTGGTAATTCAAAGTGGTGCAATTCACAGCTGTGTCCATGTGATTCCAAAGGCAAGAGTATTTCCATTACTCCAGTATTTTCCAAACATGCTCCTGGCAGCATTAATCAACTCCATAAAGGTTCTTTCCATTTTCTTTGATCTAACAGTCTCCAAACTTTTAAAACTACACAACCAACTCTTCAGGTTACCCACATTCTCATCTGTAGTTCTAACACCAAAACACATACTTTGTGGCAGGGCGTGGTGGCTCACACCTGTAATAACAGCAGTTTGGGAGGCCAAGGCAGGTGGATCACCTGAGGTCAGGAGTTCCAGACCACTCTGGCCAACATGGTGAAACCCTGTCTCTACTAAAAATACAAAAATTAGCTGGGCATGGTAGCACATGCCTGTAGTCCCAGCTATTTGGGAGGCTGAGGCAGGAGAATTGCTTGAAGCCAGGAGGCAGAGGTTGCAGTGAGCTGAGATCGCGCCACTGCACTCCAGCCTGGGTGACAGAGCAAGACTCTGTCTCAAAAAAAAAAAAAAAAGGGAAAAAACATGCTTTGTGAAAACTGCATCTACTTCAGTGGTCTGAGTGTGTACAAAGAGTACTTATCACGAAATAGGTGATAGAAAAGATATACTGTGATTTAAAAAAAAAATCAGCTGTAACAAACATTAGGTAGACATTACACAAGTGTATGACTGGGGTTTAAGTACCACTATGGGTTTAATAATTTTGAAGACAAAAGCCTTACCCTGAAAGACAGCTTTATTTGATAATCCCAATGCAGGGACAGTGGCTCCTTCTGGAAGATCACTATCTTGCTAGAATAGAAAATATAATATCTAAGTTATAAATGCTAAAGTTTTATTTGCTAATTTTAAAACTAAAAGTTACTGTTACTTCAGGCACTACAAAAAAGTCACGCTCATAAATGCTGAGAAACAGTTTAAAGACCATCTTGTGTGGATGTCTACCCGTACTTTCACTTCCTGAACCAACAATGCAATGCTAAGCAATCACTCTCCAACAGACAAGCCCTACCAGGCCTCCAACTCCCATGCAATCCATAAAGTCGGGCATCCTCTCATCCATAAAGGGACCTCATCGAACCATAACATTTCAATGGGTTTCAGGGTCTGACAGGAAATGCAGTGAGCTGAAAATGGAAGGCCCAGAGCTCTACTTCCAAGATAATCTCACAGGCACATCCCCTGATGATGCTCATATAAACACAGATGCTTCCCAGAAGGGAACAGTTACAGCATTAGTCATAGTATTTTCATTAAACATACCTAACTAACTGAGTATTTTAAAACTTCGTATGAGTGTCATTTGAAAAGGCAATATCTGCTTAGATTTTGCAATTTATATCAATCAAATTATTACATGTGAAAATATATGCTAACCATCAAAACTGGCACATGCTCATTTGCTAAGAGTGTTCTGTACAACTTAGACTTTAACACAGAAGCTGAAACTAGACACAAACATGAATAGTAAGAATTTAAAACCATCAAAAATGGCTACCTGGGACACAAGAAACAGTATGCTTTATCTCAGAAACAAAGAAAAACTAACATGGAAAAGAACAGTAAGAGGCATTCCTACATACCTATCCCAACACTTAGTATGGGAGCAAAACCCAAACGAGAGCAAGCAGCTCGCTACTCTACAGGATCCCTGTATCTTAGGACACAGAACTAAGTGTACAACTGGGACTAAGCCTCTCATGGAATCGTAAAACCCCATTTCAATTCCTAGAACTGAAGAGATCCTGAAACTAGCTGTCCCTCCACCTCCATACGCTTAGCTCTACATAATAACCACAATTAAGGCTTCCCTTTTGATCTTGTTCCTATTGTCCATTATTATTAGAAACAAGCATAACAGAATCTTAAATCCTCTTCACATAATCAAGAAAGCCTGTAGCATGAGGTGCTGAGTATACATTCCAGGAAATTTAGTTGGCTACTTCATTTCTAATGAATTCCATTTTCTTCTCCAGTCTTACTCACACTGGTGCTAGTTTCACTGCTTTCAGAGTCTCTTGGCTTCCAGATAACTCTCTTCCAAAATCCTTTTCATCACTCTTTGTGTAGGAGCCTCCAACAGCACCCCACAGTCAGACTGTGCCTGCCTCCCAAGTCTTCCACCATGGACTTTCCCCATTCTCCCCACTTCTATCCAGTCTTCAGTCCAACAGGTACCACAATAGCTCTGGCCTCCCCTTTGCTCTCTCTCTCTTCCCTTTGCTCTCTCCCTCTCTCTCCCCTTCTTTTTGCCTATCAAAAGGGTACTTATCCTTTTTGAGCTCAGAACCAAATTCGTGACTCAACTCTAAGTGAAGGACTGTATAATATGCACTTCTGTGTAACCTATCTTCCTACTTAATTTTCCTTCTTTCAAAATTACTTCATAATTTTTATAATCCATGTACTTTTATAAGTAGCTCAAATCTTTCTTAGAAGGGCGTATAAACATAAAAAAGAAAGTTACCCTTACAAAACCCAAATCAAGTCCCATTAAACATGTTCTCGTTATTCCAATACAATGACCTCTTCCTTCTATGAAATTTACTTTAGTACCATAAGATTTAGCAATTAACTGGTCTCATCTAACAACTGCAGATACATTAGTTCCACTGCCCCCTACCTCTACCCCTACCATACAGCTAGATGGTAATCTCCTTGAAAACAGTATCCATCTTTTATTTTGTTCTATTCTAGGTACCTAACACAGTGATAAAACATCATATTCATGTCTCAATTGAACACTAATGCAGCTTTGTAGTATTTTGAGCTCATTTGCTACACAAAATTTCTAGTTTTAGTATTTAAATTATTACACCCCACAGTGCACAAAAACTTTGTCACATCTTACATTAAGAAACAATATTACTTTCTTTCTACCCATATATTCCATTTAAAGCCTAAGGCAAAAATCCTTTTAAATTTAAAATGAAGTGACTAGATTTAGGTAAAATATTTAGAGAAATACTCACATTACAGAGCACATGATTCAGTGATTGTCCTGTAATGGCACAAAAATTTTCCACAAAATTCCGAGGTGCAGAAAAAACCCGAAGAACTTTTTCATCTGCTCCAGATACAAACTGAAACCGATTAATCATTGCCAAACATTTCAGGTCATACCCATGTATCTGAGGCCTTGCAATTTCATGCCAAGTCACCTGGGTAAAACGGGATAAACAAAAATGATCATTCAAAAGCTGAATTTTCAATAAGCAAATTATTAGATGAAAATTATTTACTATACAATGGAAATATAACCATGGGGCAAATATTCATCCATGAATAAACCACAACTGGGCAGTATTGGTAAAAATTACCAAGAGCCACAGAAAAATCACTCAAAATCATTTGACTTGTTTTTCAGTTGACTATAGATGCTGTTCCCAATGTTCTCAACTCTATTTATTTGAATCTACCACGTGTTACTCAAGCAGTAGTGTTAGTGGCAAACTTCACTAGCTCTTACGGACTGACCCACAGTCAGTTCCGTGAATTTCTATCAGAAACTGAAGCAGAGGATCCTGATTTTCTCTACCACATAGCAGTTCAAAGTTTACCAGTAGTGAAGTTTTACAACTGTTTGAGCTCAGGGCCAACACTTAGCAATTAACTGGTCTTATCTAATAATTACAGAAACATTAGTTCCACTGCCCCCTACCTATAGCCCTACCCTACAGCTAGATGGTAAACTCCTTGAAAACAGGATCTATCTTTTACATTTTGTTTTATTCTAGGTGCCTAACACAGTGAAAATTTCCTTAAACAAAAACTGCCCTCACTACTATTATCTAATACTATATGACTTCAGGCTTTTATTGTACACTTGATAATGCTTCCTAATGAATTAAACCTAAAATTACAAGACATAACGAAACTAGGCAACAGAGCAAGACCCTGTCTCTACAAAAAATCTAAAAATTAGCTGGGCATGGTGGCTCACACCTGTAGTCTTAGTTACTTGGGAGGCTGAGGCAGGAGGATCACTTGAGGCCAGGAGTTCAAGGCCAGCCTGAGCAACATAGCAAGATCCTGTCTCTACAAAAAACAAAAAATAAAATGTCCAACTGTTTTCCAGAGTGGCTGTATCATTCTGCATCCCCAATAGCAATGTATGAAAGTTCCAGTTGCTCTGCATCCTTACCAGCACTTGTTAATATATTTTTTACTTTAGCTATTCAAGAGGGTGTGTGGTGGTATCTCATCATGGTTCTAATTTGCATTTTCCTAATGGCTAGCGTGGCTGCCCTACTTTTCTTGTGTTCATGGATGTTTTCTTTTAAACACATTAGTAAAATAAGAAGAGGCCGGCTGCAGTGGCTCATGCCTATAACCCAGCACTTTGGGAGGCGGGGGGGGGGGAGGGGCGGTGCATCACCTGAGGTCAGGAGTTCGAGACCAGTCTGGCCAACATGGTGAAACCCCATCTCTACTAAAAATACAAAAAGAAGATGGGTGTGGTGGTGGGCACCTATAATCCCAGCTACTCGGGAGGCTGAGACAGGAGAATCGCTTGAACCTGGGTGGCGGAGGCTGCAGTGAGCTGAGATCGTGCCATTGCACTTCAGCCTGGGTGATGTGAAACTCTGTCCCAAGAAAAAATAAATAAATAAATAAGACATTTTACCTGTGATTGGTCTTTTCTCTTCCATGGAGCAAAAAGTCTAGTTGTCTGATCAGTACCAACAGTGATAATAAATTCTCCTTCTGGATCCCAGACTAGGTCTTGGACACCATCAAAGTGTCCTGAAATGACAATCTCTGGAGTCCACTCTCTCTGCAATGGAAGTGCTCATATCACATATCAAAATACTCAAAGACTACCACCAAAGTAAAGCACTCACGTCTGATAACAGAGAAGACTAAAGCCCTCTGGCAAGGTGAAAAGCTAAGTATACAAGATCGGATCACAGAATAATAGGATCCATTTTCCAATCAATCATGTAAGAGCTTAAGCATTCAAATATGTGTTGTATCCTTTAAATCAGTAACTGTGGGAAATTTCCCTCCATTCATCATTTATTGAGCAGCCAGATACTACTTAACCTTTCTGTGTCTCAATTATAGAATAAAACAGTTATAACAGCACCTACCTTCTAGGGTTATTATGAGGATTAAATGAGTTACTTTTGTAAAGTACACAGGACAATTCTAGTATACACTAGGTTCTATGTATTTATTAAACTAAATAAAAATTGTATAAAATGTAAAAATATTGTGTAAAACGAGTCAGTGGGTTCTGCATGTGGACCTGATGGCTTTATTAAGTAAAAAGAGTTACAGGTGTAGAGGACAGACAACTGAATCAAACCTAGTTGGTTCACCTACTAAGAAGCCTGCAACAACAACCATATAAACAAATAATGACAACAAAATATAGAAAATGTCATATGCCTGGTCCACAGAGCACCTTTTTGAACAACCTCAAGTGGGACTAAAACTTAACCTTTAGAGGAAAATTAAATGTGTATAAATAGCTAATAGGTCATTCAAAACCTAATCTGATGGATAAGTCTGTGACTAAACTATATTATGTCTGGCCAAAAAAAAAAAAAAAAAAGCCTGTGACAAAAAATGTTACTCCCTCTGTGAACAAAAACTGATTCTAAAGTTAGCACTAATGGGAGTTTACAAAAAGTTTTGAGCAATGGACAGCACTTTTGGACTAACAGTTTCCCACAGTAACAGTCCTGAAGGGCAGTGTTTGGCTTTTAAAAAATCGTCCTTGACTGTAACAATGTAGTGGGGGAGGCTACAAGTTGATGTGTGGGGGTAGAGGGACGTGGAAACTCTGTACCTTCAGATCAATTTTGCTGTTAACCTAAAACTGCTCTATAAAAAAAAAAAAGTCTATATAAAAAACAAGTCACTTTCAATACCATAAACCAATAAATGTTAAGTGTTTCCCTGAGTTCTGTGAGTCACCCCAAATTAACTGAACCTAAAGAGGGGGTCGAGGGAATCCTAACTTGAAGCTGGTCAGTCAGAAGTTCCTGAGGCCTGGACTGTGACTGCTGGGGTAGGGGCAGTCTTGGGGACTGAGCCCTCAACCTCTGGGATCTGACACTATCTCTGGGTAGAGAGTGTTGGAACTGAATTAGAGAACACCCAGCTGGTGTCTGCTGCTTGGTGTCGGGGAAGAAACCCCCACACATTTGCTCACAGAAGTTAATGATTGCTGTGGTGTAAGAGAGAGAGTTTTCCCTACATACTTAGTGAAGCAGGATTTGCTGGAAAGGCCCTGACTCACGGAATCGTGTGGTTTGGGAAGAAAAAGGATAAAAGGGTGGGGAATGAGGAATCTTTGATCATGTGCTCACCAATGGTATGAAGCTGCAGCTGTGTTGAGATCAGTTACTAAAGGTTAAAGTTACCAGTGGAATTTACGGATAGATCCAACTCCAAGAGTTGGTTCATTGGATACATAAGGAAATGCAAACTAAAAAGAAAAAAGTGAAATATTCAATCCAAAATTCAATCCCTTGGTCACTGTTATCTATAATGGCTAAAATGAAAGTACAAGAGGGTGCTGGATAAGGACTTGAGGCTGGACCCAGCTCAAAATGTGGGTGCGAGCTCAGGCCACCAGCCTCAAAGTCACCCACAAAGCAGAGAATTATGCAGGGACAACAGAAAATATTTCTAAGTCCTGTGGTTACCAAGAAGGTAGTCAATGTGGGGGAAGGGCAAAACCAAGTAACTACTGAAACCAAAGGGTGTAGTGCTAAGGAATTGTTCCATCTTATAGACTGGTATCATCAGTTTCCTGGGGAACCTTTGCTAAAGTGGACTATGAAAGTGATTAATTTAGGGGCAGTATCTTTGGTTTTAAATGCTACAGAGTGGAAGAGCATGTTTGGGTTGATGCAGGACCCACAGCTCACTAGTGAACAATCGTGGGTGGGGATATATAATCCAGACACACGGGAGATTATTCCTGAGGGAACGGCCAGCCAGGTGGACTGGATAAATGCCACTGTAAGGTCTGTTTACCCCCAAAAATGGGGACTGCCTAACATCATCTATAAATGCCAAGTGTAACACCCCAGATGGGGCAGCTAATATGCTTTGTATGCAAGCCTTGTGAGACTGGCTATGTGATGACAGGGATATTCACCTGCTGAATATGCCTGTTACCCAGATCACAGTAAATGCTATGGTTAAGGGGGTTCCTTCTACATGGGCACCCCATGTGATGGTACTCCTGCAGAATCAATAAACCGTTCAAGAAGCCTTATTAAACTTGCTGTCTCAGCTTCTCATGAGTCTTACAGATGCTAATAAAAACATTAGGTTGACAAGAAAACAGGAAAGGTAAAAGGGAGAGATTCAAAGGCAGGGTGGAAATCTTTAGATGGTTATTAAGAAACAAAGAATAAAATGGAAACTGATGGTGTTAAAACAAAGATCTTTGTTGTTTTTTTTTTTTTGAGATAGGGTCTCACTCTGTCACCCAGGTTAGAGTGCAGTGATGCAATCACGGCTAACTGCAGCCTCACCCTCCCTCCCAGGCCCAAGTGATCTTCCCACCTCAGCCTCTGAGTAGCTGGAAAAAAACCATTAAAAAACCAGAACTGGCTGGGCATGGTGGCTCAGGCCTGTAATCCCAGCACTTTGGGAGGCTGAGGAAGGTGGGTCACTTGCGGTCAGGAGTTGACCAGCCTGGCTAACATGGTGAAACTCCGTCTCTCCTAAAAATACAAAAAAAAAAATTAGCCGGGCATGGTGGTGGGTGCATGTAATCCCAGCTACTCAGGCGGCTGAGACAGGAGAATCAATTGAACCAGGGAGGCGAGAGTGCAGTGAGCC
This sequence comes from Homo sapiens, assembly GCF_000001405.40. Taxonomy (NCBI): domain Eukaryota; kingdom Metazoa; phylum Chordata; class Mammalia; order Primates; family Hominidae; genus Homo; species Homo sapiens. The sequence continues at coordinate 36,151,817 of NC_000018.10, read as the reverse complement.
AAGATCATGCCATTGCACTCCAGCCTGGGCAACAAGAGCGAAACTCCACCTCAAAAAAAAAAAAAAAAAAAAAAACAGAACAGAACAGAAGATACTAAATGGATCTGGATGCCCAACCATCATTTCTTCAGCCCAAAGAATTAACCATGCCTGGCTAATTTTTGTCTTTTTTGTAGAGATGGGGTTTTGCCATGTTGCCCAGGCTTGTCTCAAACTCCTGGGCTCAAGAGATCCATCCATCCACCTCAGCTTTCCTAAGTGTTAGGATTCCAGGTGTGAGACGCCATGCCTGGCCTAAAACGAAGTAGTAATACAACACTATCAAAGGCTGGGTGGACCAAAGGGAGTCCCGCCTGGTCTCCCAACATTAAAGGATGCCAAACCAGTTTACTGCACTTCTCCCAGTTTGGAGAAATGGTAAAAGCTGGAAGGCAGGGCAGGTCAGGGTGGCTCACACCTATAATCTCAGCACTTTGGGAGGCAGAAGCGGGTAGACTGCTTGAGCCCAGGAGTCTGAGACCAGCCTGGGCAACATGGTGAAACCCCGTCTCTACAAAAAATAGAAATTAGCCGGGCATGGCGGTGCCTGCCTGTAGTCTCAGCTACTCGGGAGGTGGAGGTGGGAGGATCGATTGAGCCCAGGAGGTCAAGACTGCAGTCAGCCATGACTGCACAACTGTACCCCAGCCTGAGCAACAGAGTGAGACACTGTCTCAAAAAAAGAGAAAAAAAAAAAAAAGCTGGAAGGCAGAGACTACAGTGAAAAATCTGATCTGGCGTGGGGCAATAGGGGGGGAAACTACTGACAAAAGGGCTGGAGTCCTTTGGCTCAACCCTTGGCAGCAAGGGACCCAAAGCTTTTTGTACAAGAAAGGGTAAAATGGTCTGGGGGTGAAGTTCCTGAAAACAGAACATAAAAATCTAAGGGTTAATAGGATTATGAAAGTTGGCATATTTGAACACACTTCATATGAAGTGGTTGCATCTCTTTTACCTGATTGTATCATGGGGCTGAACATTGTGTCTGATTGGGGAATGTTTCCCCTACCTGGTACTGTAAAACAGAAAGCATGTAAATCTGACCTTCAAGCAATATTAACTGGATATGCTAAATGGGAACCAGCAGAATTGCCTGAACCACACAATGCAGGGTAGAAGCTAGAGTGCTGGGAAGGATAAATTCTCCACTTCATCACCCTCTGTGAAACAGCTCCTCGAGCTTATGGCTAAAGCTTCTGAGTAGCTCCCAGCAACAACTACTGGGGTTTGGACTAGAGTATTTCCACTTGAGGGGCATTTACTGTCTTGCTATGAAACATTAGCTGAAGCTATCCCTATGACACCTGAAACACCCATACTGTCTCCAGTGATGTCAGAGAAACATTCTAATGGGGATGGCAGTGTCCGGAAGAGTTCCATAATAAAACGGAAATGCTTTATACTACCTGGAGAATGGAAGGAGGAGATACCCTTGAGCAAGGAGTTTCTTTTCCCCTAGAACTGACACTGGAACTGTGTGAAAAACTGCTGGATTCTGCAGTGTCAGATGAACAGCTCTCAAGAGCTGCTGGGTTAGTAGATGGCAATTCCAAGGCACATAATGCCAGAAAGAACTGCTCTGTTTGTCAGCAACAGAGACTGCTGATGGCTACAGGGCAGACTCTGGTGGGAAGGCCCTGAACATGGCTGGCAAGTAAGACTGATGCTAGTAGACCTGGGGAGCTATAAATGGGTCTTGACAGGAACTGAAACTGACTGTGTAGTAGGTTTTGCTTATCAAATGAAAGATGAAAATGCTCAACATGCCATAAAAAAACCAGAACAGAAGATATTAAATAGATCTGGATGGCCGACCATCATTTCTTCAGACCAAAGATACACTGTACAGCTCATAATGTCCAACAATGGGTAGAGATATCTCCTCCTTAGAGTCACAGTTTGACAGAGAAGTAGAAATGGACGATTGAAACATCGGTTGTCTAAAATAAGGGGAGATAAAAGCATGAAGGGCTGGCTTACACACCTTCATGAGTGTGTACTCACACTCAACATGAGTGGAACTTGAGTGTCCCTGCTAGATTTTTTGTTTTTCTTGTTGATATGGGGAAGGGGGTTGGGGAGGATGCTGGTATGACTATGCGGTTCTTACCAAAGGAGGAATACACTGGTAAAATGACTATATTTTTTTTCTTTCTTCCCCAAATCGCCTCAAAAAAATTTTTTTTTTAATTTATTTTTTCTCCTCTACCTGATGCAGTGGTCCAGGACCAGGCCTGCAACAACAAGTACTGGAACAGCAGGGATGATTTCTAAGCAAAAAAAAAAAAAACAAAACAAAACAAAAAACCCTGCAACTATGTTTCTAAGTCTTGTATCAAAATTCCTAAGGCATGACGGGAATGGGTTGTACGGTTGTACCTTCACCCCATCTAGCAAAATTAGGGCTAATGGTGAAAACAGCTACATTGCCTGGTGGTAAAAATAGCTCACTAGTTCTGCACCTACCTAACCTTATCCTGTCTGAACGTAGTAGACTGAGGAGCTACTTGCTTGACTTGTATTACTGCCAGCAATCTAGATCAACACAATGGCAATTCTAATGTGCCTTTCAAAGATGAAAAGCTTTGGGTATTAATGGAGAGAAGGAGAAATAGCAGCTGAGAGTAAAGAAATGAATAAATGGGTCATTGAGGAAAATTCAATATCACATTAACAACTCATAAGAGTCTCAAGAGCAAGAGATGACATTGTCTCTTAGCTTAATTATCCCAGATGCCTGAAAAAGTGAAGTTGTATATAATATTGACTGAGGCTACTCCTTCTGAAACCTGACAAGATTGAAGGAAATCTGCAAACCTGAGTGGCCTCAGCCTGGGAGACATTCATACAGTATGATGGACTGGACTAATTATTGACTGTGTGTGCATACACATTTTTTTTTTGAGACAGGGTCTTGGTCTATCACCCAGGCTGGAATGCAGTGGTGTAACCATGGCTCACTGCAGCCTCAACTTCCCAGGCTCACACAATCCTCCTGCGTCAGCTTCCCAAGTAGCTGCGACCACAGGCGCCTGCAACGATACCCAGGGCTGCAAGCCCATGGCTAATTTTTAAAATTATTGGTACAGACAGGGTCTCCCTATGTTGCCCAGGCTGGCCTCAAGCTCCTGGGCTCAAATAATCCTCCCGCCTTGGCCTCCCAAAGTGCTGGGATTACCAGCATGAGCCATCACACCCAGCCTATATTTTTTGATGTAAAGGATCCCTGGCCTGAGGGATCCATGGCCTGAGGTGTTAAGTACACTGGTTTTCTCTGACAAAACTTCCTGGCTCAAAACTCCCATAGCCCTTGTTACAGTCTTCACCTACAAAATTGGGTATATTAGGCTTCAGGGTCAGGCCTCTAATCTTCCCCACCTGTTTGACTGTGTGTCTTAAACCCGACCAGCTGGGCGCAGTGGGTCACACCTGTAATCTCAGCACTCTGGGAGGCCGAGGTGGGCAGATCACGAGGTGCTAAAACCATGAAGCCCCGTCTCTACTAAAAATACAAAAAATTAGCCAGGTGTGGTGGCAGGCACCTGTAGTCCCAGCTACTCAGGAGGCTGAGGCAGGAGAATGGTGTGAACTCGGGAGGCGGAGCTTGCAGTGAGCCGAGATAGCGCCACTGCACTCCAGCCTGGGTGACAGAGTGAGACTCCATCTCAAAAAAAAAAAAACAAAAACCTGACCATGAGAGGGTTCCACCCTGGGGGAAAAAATGCTGACGTCATGAAGCTGCCATAAAAACCAAAGACGACACAGTTCAGGGAGCTTCGGAGCTTCCGAATAGCTAAGCACATGGAGGTTCCTGGAGGGCGGCACAGCCAGGGAGGGCATGGGAGCTTGGCACCCCTTCTCCCATACCTCACCCTACACGTCTCTGCTTCTGTTTCCTTTGCAATATACTTTATAAAAAAAAGTAAGTGTTAATAAAAAACACAACAATAATAATAAAATAAAATACACTTACATAGCATCCAGTATGTGCCAGGCCTTGTTTTGCATATCATATAAATGTTAACTCATTTAAGCCTCATAAAAACCCTGCCAGTAGACCAGGTGCGGTGGCTCACGCCTGTAATCCCAGCACTTTGGGAGGCTGAGGCGGGGGGAGGGGCAGAATCACCTGAGGTCAGGAGTTCGAGACCAGGCTGGCCAACATGGTGAAACCCCGTCTCTAATAAAAATACAAAATTAGCCAGATATGGTGGTAGGCACCTGTAATCCCAGCCACTCAGGAGGCTGAGGCAGAAGAATCACTTGAACCCGGAAGGTGGAGGTTGCAGTGAGCCGAGATCACACCACTGCACTCCAACCTGGGCCAAAAGAGCAAAACTCGGTCTCAAAACAAACAAACAAACAAACAAAAACTGTCAGTAGGTAATATTAACAATCCACATGCCAAATGCAGTGGCTCACACCTGTAATCCCAGCACTTTGGGAGACTGAGGCGGGAGGATCACTTGAAGCCAGGAGTTCAGGACTAGGCAGGGCAACAAAGCAAGACCCTGTGTCTATAAAAAAAATTTTAGATATTAGCTGGGTGTGGTGAGGTGCACCTGTAGTCCCAGCTACTCAGGAAGTTGAAGCGTGAGGATGGCTTAACCCCAGGAGAATGAGGTTGCAGTGAGCTATGATCACACCTGGATGACAGAGTAAGATCCTGTTAAAAGAAAAAAAAAAAAAAAAAAAAACTACCCATGTTTTACAAATGAGGAACCTGAGACAGGGATTAACTAATGTCCTCAAGGACACATAGCTAGTAAGTGAACCCAGGCTGTCTAGCTCCAAGGGCCTGTGCTCTTGGCCACTCCGTTCTTGCTATCTAATTTTCCCAAGCTAGAAGCAGATTAGAAGCAAATCAGATTACAAAGTAAGAGAAGGAATGCTGTAGAGAGACAGTTACATGACTAAAGGGAGAAGACTACCTCTTTTTTTTTGGAGACGGGTCTTATTCTTTCACCAAGGCTGTTCTCAAACTCCTAGCTTCAAGCAATCCTCCATCTCAGCCTTTCAAGTTGCTGAGAAGAGCCACCATGCCCAGGTGTTGAACGTCAGTCACAATAAATGACTGACATTCATTCAATAATAGGGATCTAGCAGTCCAACAAGATATCCAATTATGTTAACTTTTTAAGAAGACAGGAAAGCTACACATTTCAGAAAAATTATCATTAAAAAATTCTATAGCTTAAAGGAATACAGTGCACTTACGTAGCAAATTTACCTACATGCAAATTTCAATACCTTAACAATGTCTACAGAAAAAAGTTATGTCACTTGAACTTCAAGTGCCTCTACTATGTTTCTGTAGAGTGTTATAAGCAAAATACTATTTACCTAGAATGTACTCTATTTGATTAGAAATGCTTTATTTAAACACTCTTTTCTTACTGGGTTAACTGTATTCTGTTTCCAAAGGTGCAACGCTCCGTGGAAAGCATGAGCAATGATCATGGAGCCATCTTCATTGAACTGGCAATCATAAAATCCCAAAGTATTCCCACCTACTTCACCTACTCGAACCTGTACAATAACAGACAGAAAACAATTCTTAATCAATAGTCTATGTTTCTCACAACAGAAATCGCTGATTCCAGAGACTGTTAAATTCCCACTATTTTAATGTACACAGTGAAAATTTGCAGGTCTATCAATATAGACTTGGGATTTAAATACAGAGTTCAAAACTTAATTTTCTGTTCCTTAAATATCCAACATTTTTACCTGTTCTAGCCAAACTCCTGACTCTTCATCTGGAGCCCAGAGAATCATGGTTTTATCCATGGAAGCAGATAATAATCTCACTGGCTGCTGTAGGACACCATCTAAAAAATAAAACCTAATCCCTTTAGGTGATCAACAATCATCATGTTTGTAGATGACCAGAAAAAAACAACAAACAACATGGGTACTGCAAGGATGTTCACTGCACATTATTTGTAATAGCAAAAAATTGCAAACACCACAAATGTCTACCATTAGAAGAAGAGATAAATGGGTTGTGGTATATTCAGACAACAGACTACTACCGTGCAATAAAAACAAATAACTAGAGCTTCACAAATCAATGTGGATACAGCTCCAAAACACGGTAAGCTAAAAAGGCAAGCTGTAATATCTATAATTCCAATTTTTTTTGTTTTTTAAATTACAGCAAACATAGCATAATGTAAGGAAGAGGTGAATGGTAGTTTGCCTAAGAATTAATTATTACTGTTATTGCCTTGGGGAAGAGGCCAGGGAAGAATGTGAGGCTATGCCTTACCTAGCTATACACCCAGCACCAGCCTGAACATGCACAGAACTGTCACTCTATAAATGGAGATAAATGGCAAAAGAAAGAAGGAGTAACAGTCTTACTTTCTCATAAATAATGTATTTCAGTGGTACCAACTTTGTTATTACTGAGGGTAAAGGATCCAGTGAAGTTGGCTTGAAAGTCAGTTTTTCTTCAATCCCATAATAATCAAGTGGAAACTTTTAAGATAAAAAGTTACTGGGGGTGTGGTAGTTTCAGCATCATGGCAGGAATTACACTTTTCCCACTTAGGAGTTCAATGTTCAATGGAACTGAGTGTCCAGCAGACCAGGAATGCAGTATTATACTTTGTCAACTTGAAAATGTCATGTATTTGAGATTTCTAATCACAGTAAAAAAATTCTCCACTTGATTTGGTCAGCTTACTGTGCCATAAGATTTAACTGGAGTAAGGGATATGTGTATGGTTTTCTTCCTACCTTTGTAAAACACAGGTTGCCAGTGAACTGCATTTACCCAGTTTTCATGACCGGCTAGCACTGTCTCCAGAGTAACAGCAAATGCTATTTTAACACCTATAACAAAAGCAATGAAGGTATTATTTCCTCAAAGCTCTTCTAAAAAGAATATTTCCATAACCAAGACAGTTGGGCAATTATGTAAGAAAAAAAAATTAGGACAAAATATGATAGTTGGGATTCAAAAAAAGAACATGCATTCTAAATTTCTTCAACCTCAACTGCTGTTCAAAATTATAGGAGAAAAAGTTATACATTTTTCCTTATATTCTGTTCTAGCTGGTCATAAATAAATATGAAGGAATATCTTATATTTTTACAATTTTCTGAGACAGCTACTTTTGTTAAACCACAATGAGGAAGGAAAAACAGTCATGCCAGCCTCTTTATTATCCTCACTCATTATAAGAATATAATAGCCTAAAATACTGATATGGTTTGGCTCTGTGTCCTCACCTAAATCTCATCTTGAATTGTAATCCCCCTAAGTCCCACCTGTCAAGGGAAGGATCTGGTGGGAGATGCCCTGTGAAGAAGGTGTCTGCTTCCCCTTCTGCTATTAATTTAAGTTTCCTGAGGCCTCCTCAGCTTTGCAGAACTGTGAGTCAACTAAACCTCTTTCTCTTACAAATTACCCAGTCTTGGGAAGTTCTTTATAGAAGCGTAAGAATGGACAAATACAAATCCCATTTTTTAAAAGGATAAATGCAGAAATAAAGATAATGAAATCAGTATTTTGACCTTTCAAACAATATAATGAAAATAGAAAAAAATTCATATTTGGGTATAGCTACTCCTAATATGCTGGTTATATCATTTTTTCGTTCTCCCCATAAAACTGTTACCAAAATCTCAACTCTGATGGACTTTACCACCAAGAATAGTAACAAAAAACAGAATACACCTAGGTGAACAATGTTCACTGAACTACCTTTATAACTGTCACATCCAAAAATATCTCTTTCAAATACAACATCCCAACAGGATCTACCATCCAGGGATACTGTTCTAAGGCTAGACAATAGGAAAATCAGAATTAAATATACTACTCAAATGGTGAGATTTAGCTTGTCTTTTATCATAGGCCAATAAAATGTGTAAGTAATTCACATTATTCCTTTAGGTCTTCCTATGCTAAAACTGCAAATTTAGTAATATTTTACAAATTACTTTAATGAGAAGCACTAAACATTATCCTCAGCAATTTTAAAAATCTTACTAATATGGTTTAGAAGAAAAATATTTCACATATGAAAAATGACTCATTCTCACATAAAAATAGGAAAATACAAAGTATCAGGCCAAGCATGGTGGCCCACACCTGTAATCCCAACACTTTAGGATACCAAGGTGGAAGGATCATTTGAGGCCAGTAGTTGAAAAACAGCCTGGACAACATAGCAAGACCCTATCTTTACAGAAAATTTTAAAAATTAGCTGGGTGTGATGGCGTAGTCCTAGCTACTCAGGAAGCTAAGCCACTTGAGCCAAGGAGTTCAAGGCTGCAGTGAGCTGTGATTATGCCACTGCACTCCAACCTGGGTAAGAAGTCTCAAAAAAAAAAAAAAAAAAAAGGCCAGGCACGGTGGCTCACACCTGTAATCCCAGCACTTTGGGAGGCCGAGGCGGGCAGATCACCTGAGGTCAGGAGTTCGAGACCAGCCTGGCTAACATGGTGAAACCCCATTTCTACTAAAAATACAAAAAAGTTAGCCAGGCGTGGTGGTGCGTGCCTGTAATCCCAGCTACTTGGAAGGCTGAGGCAGGAGAATCACTTGAACCTGAGGCAGGAGAATCACTTGAACCTGGGAGACGGAGGTTGCAGTGAGCCAAGCTCACGCCACTGCACTCCAGCCGAGGTGAAGAAGCAAAACTCTGTCTCAAAAAAAAAAAGAAAGAAAAAAGAAATTTCAGGTAGGAATCTGACAATTGTGAAAAACTATCCTTCACATAGGTGGGTGGTGAAAAAAAAATCAACCAACTAGGAGACCTAAGTATCGTTATATTGGATATTTTCATTATTACTCACTTTCATTTTCTATGGTAAAAGTATTTTCTTTCAGTCTTATGTTATCGTCATCCTGAGTTTCTAAAGATGTTGACTTTATATACAGCTTCCATATTCTTATCAGGCAATCTTGTGAACAGCTTGCTAGGAAAAGATCTCTACCTAATTAAAAAATAAGTTGTATTAATTTTAAAACATTATATTGTGAAGTTTATGTATAAGACTTTTTTGTCTATAATATATATATTTCCAGATTTTCCAGAAAAAAAACAATACTTTGTTTCCTTACCCTCCAATTCATTTGATCTATATTCATTTTTAATAACATTGACAAATATGCATACAATGCTAATACATGTTTACAACATGTAGTATATAGTCTACTAAGTTCTACAAAGAACTTTTCAAGAAGGTCTGCATGTGAACAAGACAGCTAATGTCATCTGATAAATACCAATTTATTTAATCATCTACCATCCAACTAACAACAGAAGAGATAAGCATCCTCCTTTCTAATTGGGACAATAGAAAAACATAACATACAAAGAAAACTTAAAAATTAAAACAAAAAAGGCTGCTTTCTTGGAAGTAACACATATTTGTTCCCATTGTATGTGCATTAGCAAAATTTCATACTGACCAAAGGCTGCCCATTCCACTCCTCTAATCCAATCCTCATGTCCACAGAGAGAAAGCACTTTCTGAAACTAGTAAGATAAAAATCATTGGGCTTGATGTAAGAATTTAACATCTTCATGTATACCAGTGACATCATTTGGTCTCAGACAGTCCTACTGCGTTGCTCTTTTACTGAGAACACTATTTGATTAGACAAGAAAAAGCATTCCTTTGGGAATGAAAAACCCATCACGTAATATCTAAATCACTAACTGGAGCACCTCTGAGTAGATAATATAATATTTGTAATCTCAAATATTTTAAATGTTTAAGATATAAAATGATACATACTATACATATAATATAGAAAAAAAGGTGGGTTGGGCAGTGGCTCACACCTATAATCCTAATACCTTGCGAGGCTGAGGAGGTGGGACTATCACTTGAGGCCAGGAAACTGAGACCAGCCGGGGCAATAAAGTGAGACCCTGTGTCTACAAAAAATTTAAAAAGTAGTCAGGCATGGTGATACACGCCTGTGGTCTCAACTACACAGGAGGCTGAGGCAGGAGGATTGCTTCACCCCAGGAAGTCAAGACTACAGTGACGCATGTTCTCACCACTGCACCAGCCTAGGAGACAGAACAAGACTCTGTCTCAAAAAAAAAAAAAAAAAAGTTGAATAGCTGGACTTTCACAACCATTTTTAACCTTCTTATAGAATGCAAAGAAATGAGTATCCTATTAAATAAATGAGTTTAGAGTTAACCAACCCCTTTCTAAATTTCTCTCCTTTAGTTTAACCACTCAAAATCTAAGTAAAGCTCAGAAGGGCAAATAAACACTACTAGGAATGCTTCACTGTAGGTATGTTATATCTCGTTTAAATCTTTAAGAGAAAAACAACTACCACAGCATCTTCCATCTCTCCTCCCCCACCTAATGACCTGTTTCCCCCTAACAACTCTGAGCCTGATGGTCAAGGCAGCGGTTACTTGGTGTTCAGAGTAGACAACCATCTTAACAGAGGACTGTCAAAAAAAGATTCTATTGGATTATTTTGGTTTAGATTAGAACATTCCCTAAAATTCTATAATCTGGATATAGTCTGTATTGAGATATAACTAAGCAGAATATAATTCCAGCCTCTTAATATAAACATTATTACCTGATCATTTTGTTGAGCAAATATGTGAATTCTGCAATCATCATTGCCACATGCTAATATTGGTACTGGGGGAAGAAAAAACAGGCTTCACTGTGAGTTCTCTATTCCACCACGTTATGATTTATCAACTGTACTGGATTGTAAGCTCTAAGTAAAGAATCCTGACTTCAATTTCCCACACCACTACACGAATAATTGAAAATGCTCAATAAATGTCTGCAGGAATACAATGAACACTCTAAAACGTTCTATTCAGTGGTTACTTGGTAAATATAATGACTATTAAATGAGAATCCAGTCCTTCTCTCCATTCTATGACATTTATGATAGAAGTGAAAAATAAGCTCAAGAGCAACTAGAGAGCATTTTCACCATGTCAGCCCAAAGACCAAGATGAAAAGTTGTTAAGACAACTAAATAATGAACAGCTACTATGAGCCCTACCAACATGGCTAATGCACACAGATTTAAGGGTATGTTTGTTAATTTGAGGACTTTATGTTTTGTTTGAAAACCTTATGTTTTATTTTGTTTAAAACAAAATAAAAGGCTGGGTGTGGTGGCTCATGCCTGTAATCCTAGGGCGTTATCCTTTGGGAGGCTGAGGTGGGCAGATCACCTGAGGTCAGGAATTTGAGACCAGCCTGGCCAACATGACAAAACCTTGTCTCTACTAAAAATACAAAAATTATCTGGGCGTGGTGGCATATGCCTATAATCCCAGTTACTCAGGAGGCTGAAGCAGGAAAATCACTTAAACCCAGGAGGCAGAGATTGCAGTGAGCCGAGATTGCACCACTGCACTCCAGCCTGGGCGACGGAGCGAGACTCCATCCCCCAAAATAAAAATAAAAATAAATAAAAGAGCATATAATTAAGCATGTGGCTAAAAAGCTATACAAGGCAATTAGCCAGGCATGGTGGCATGTGCTTGGAGTCCCAGCTACTCAGGAGGCTGAGGTGAGCTGTGATGGCGCCACTGCACTCCAGCCTGGGCAACAGAATGAGACCCTGTGTCAAAAAAATAAAATAAAAAATTTACAAAGCTACGCAAGGGGATCCAGACGCAGTGGCTCACATCTGTGATCCCAGCACTTTGGGAGGCCGAGACAGGAGAACCACTTGAAGCCAGGAGTCCAAGACCAGCCTGGGCAACATAAACAGACCTTGTCTCTACAAGAATAAAAAAATTAGCTGGGCGTGGTGGAGCATGCTTGTAGTCCCAGCCACTTGGCTGAGGTGGGAAAATCACCTGAGCCCAGGAGTTTGAGGCTGCAGTGAGCTATGATCACCACTGCACTCCAGCCTGAGTGACAGAATGAGACTTTGTCTCTAAAAAATAAATAAATAAATTTTAAATTTTAAAATTTTAAAAAGCTATGAAAGATGTGACTGTAAAATTATTTTAATAAGATAAAAAATCATTAATAATTTGCATTACCAAAGGGCAGCCCTGATGACTCTGCTAGATAAGAGACTTTTTCTAAGGACATGCCTTGCCACCAATGTGTTTTTCAAAGATTTTCTTACTTTAGATCAACTACAGAAAAAAGAAAAATAAAAACAATAAAAACAAAACTCCAGTCACTTGGCCTGAATGCAGATGGAAGAAATGAAATTCTGTTATGATGCCAGAATGTGTGCAGCTTCTCCTTCCACAGAGCCTTGCACAGAATGGAAGCGTAACATGAAACCATAGAGTCGCAGCTCCTGCTACAGAGGGCGAGAGAGGCTGGTGGCTTCCAGGCCCTGCCTCGTTCCACCTGGCCAGTCTTCCAGGTAACTGTGGAGGCAAAGAGGCTGACTCACTCACACTGGCTATTATCTTTGTAGAAGATACTCAAAGATAAATACAGATGGGTTTCACAGCAAAAGGGAAATTTTTCTGTTTGCAGATTTTAAGTGGTCTTGGGCAAAATGTCATTATTCGGGATGTGAAGGAGCTATCATTTTGAGAGAAATGCTCATATGCCATCTTCATTCAACACTTTTTCAACTTACCCCAGACCTTCACCTTCTAAAGAATTAGATTCTTTCCTCAAATTAGACCTATATACATCCACAGTATATTTGATAACAGTATCAATCTTGGGTACACAGTAAGTCATTTAAATTATCAATGGCTATCAAAATCCTAATAAGCCCCCCTTAACTTTATGTTCTATACTCAGATCATTTGAATATTATAAGGAAAGTATGTTATTCACATCTTGTTTCATAGAAACATTCAGATACAAAATTAAGACCCAATACATTTCTTTTAGGTTCTAATCATATGACAGTATGCAAATATACTGCCCTTTTAACATATACTTAACAGGATACTCACCATCAGTATTTGGCAAAAAAGATAAGCAGAGAGCCAAAGCAAATCCATTTCCAAAGTTTAAAGTCTGAAGGCACATTACTAAGAAATAATAAAAAACACAATGAACAACTAACTACCTCAGAGCTTATCCAACTAGACAGGTTGGATAGCATCATCACAGCCCCAGGTAGCAGAAGGGAGATGAGAGAAGTCAATCCTGAGCCCCCACTGACCATGTGAAGTTAAATGGCCAAATTTTAATGATGTTACAGACAGCAAAATGACTTACATGAAAAAGTCTTGGTATAGAGAATTTTAAATAAGTGCAAAAGAAAAATTTAGATTAGAATTATAGTATTTTTAAAGTTGCTCCAAAGTTGTAAAGAATTATATATATGCTCTTCTACTCGTCATTCATTTGTTAAATATTATTTCATTTGTCTGGATTATCATGTCTCCAAACCTACCTTCTGGACCCTTTTTAGACCAGAGTCGAACAGCAGAATCTGCAGCTGCAGAAACGATCAGTGTACATAATGCAGGATCTGATGTCCTCCTCTGGTAAACAGCATGCACCGCATAAACAGGTCCTTCATGGCCTTGAAGATGCACTGCTTTTAAAAGCTGAATCAGAAAGAATGACAGAAGCATTGTGAAAAAAAGGATTTTTTTTACCTTTATTTAATTGGATAAATGTGCCAATAAAATGGCTGAGCCAGAAATAGGTCCTCTAAGTTGAAAAGAATTTTTCAAGAAGTCTGTCTGACCATGTTAACAACACACAAAATGTGCATGCCCTGTGACACAGCAATCTCATATCTAGGAATCTACTCTGAGGAGACAATAGGTATTCTGAAGAATATAGGTCAACTTTGTGGAATGTTCCTCTTTTTGGATTAGTGTGATTTTCATTATGAAGAGATTCAGAATATACATTTTGACAGCATTACTACATAAGCACATCCCATCAGGAGGCACATCATTTCAGTTTGTCCAGGTTTTAGTGAAGCTAACCTTTATATTTAGTAGAAGTATTGTCTGCCAGGTTTTTTCACCGTGATGTTAATTTTTTTTTTTTTTTTTTTTTTTTGGTGATAATATGAGTATACTTTGGGATTGAATAAACATTCTATTCCTCATCAAACTTTTACTAAGTACTTTTAGCATCCACTCATGATACTTGCCTAAATCAAGTAGGGCTGCAAAATAGAAAAATAGCAAAGAGAAGTGGGAAATCCCATTGGCTTATCAAATCTATCTGCTTGCCATCAAGATTATTCCCTCTGGCATCCCTTCTACTGATGTTTTGGGTTTATCTTTTTTTAAGTTTCAAATGTGTGACATTCCACCACTTCTTTTAAAAGGTATCTTCTATCAACTGTCTGCTGAAATAGTGGTGTTCCTTAAATGTCTCTTCAGTTGTTTTTCCAATTATAATACTTAAAACAGAATTCTGCCACTAAAGAAGATGCACATAATACTCATGTATAAGGGTCTGTACACTAACTTTCTTTAGAATCATTAGCCTTTGACTTCTTGGAAAAAACACTTAAGCCAGGTGCAGTGGTGTGTGCCAGCAGTCCCAGTTACTTGGGAGGCTGCGGTAGGAGTATCACCTGAGTCCAGGAGTCCTTGGCTATAGTGCACCATCATCTTACCTATGAACAGCCACTGCACTCCAGCCTGGGCAACACAGCCAGATCTCACCTCAAAAAGGTTTAAAAAATCCTTGGATACAATAGAATCTCTATTATGCATAATTATACACACATAACTAGAGACGGGGAATGACATTCACCAGAAAGTTAACTCTGCTCAGATTTTGCATAGGTTTTTCCTTCTTTATACTTTTTGTATTTATAACCTTTTTTTTTTTAACAAGTCTGTCATTACCCCCTGAAAAAACTAAATCTATTGAAAATACTCATTTCACATCTTTAAGCAGTTATAGCTCAATCAGAGAATTTTTAAAAACATAACATGACAGAAGTGTGGGGTAGCACTGAGAAGAGTCTTGTAAATCTATATTCGTATGCCAAAAGCATTGAAAACAGATCAGCCCAAGTAAGAATAGTTTGAAAATTATTCCAAAATGACAGGAAATTCACAGAGACAGTTAACAGCATACAAATATGGGAGTAGAAATCAGAGCAAAGGGTACAGGGCCTGTGTAGTATAAAAGATACAGCATTTGTGTTGCTGATGAGCAAGATTAACTTCATAAAAGAACAACATAGTTGAAGAAAAAAACTTAAAATAAAAGTATATATAAAAGTCATTTCTGAGACCAGCCTGGGCAACAAAGTAAGACCCCATCTCTACAAAAACAAACAAACAAACAAACAGAAATCAGCCAGGCATGGTGTCAGGCACCTGTAGTCCCAGCTACTTAGGAGGCTGAGGTGAGCCACGATCGCACCACTGCACGTCAGCCTGGGTGACAGAGTGAAACTCTACCTCTTAAAAAACAAATGAACAAAAAAAGTCATTTCTTGATTATAAACATGTCCACTCACCTGATTATCCTCTATTTCCCAGTGAATCACTTGATTATCAGATCCTCCAGAAACTAATTCAGTAGAAGGGGCTGAAAAAAATTATATCTCAGTAAATATCTTTATTCATTTTTTCTGCAATTTTTAAAAATTTCCAAGCTACACCAAAAAACAATACCCCTGTACCCTCTACCTAGATTCACAAACTGGTAACATTTTGCCATATTTGCTTAATATCTCACTCTTCCTCTATATACATACACACACACCTTTTAGGAGGCAAACTACTTAAAAATAAGTGGCAGACACTGTGATCTCTGATCCTCAAAGACCATATATCTCCTAAGGACAAAAACGTTCTCCTATATTACCTCAATACAATTATCACATTCAAAAATTCTAACATTGATAAGTATTATTATATAATATACAGTCCATATTAAAATGTCCCAATTCTCTCAGTAATGCCTTTTAAAACTTTTTTTGTTTGGGATTCAGAATCTAAGGAAATACACTCAACATTTGGATATCAAATCTTTTTAGTCTCCTTTAATGTAGAATAGTTTCCTAGTCCCCCTCATTTTTGTGACAATGACAGTACCCAGCACTTGTTCTGCAGAATGTCCCTCAATCTGTTTGATTGTTTCCTCATGATTAGATGCAGGCTAAACACTCTTGGCAGGAACATTATATGAAACATTGTAGTCAGGTGCTACTACCAAGAATATGACTTATTGTTGAAATTAGAGACACACTTCAAAATAGATCTTTTAAATACTTGCAACTTCTCAGTGATAACAAAAGAAAAAGTAGTACCAAAAAAGGGGCAAATAACCTAATTTGGGTTTGGATTTTCTTTTTATTTGTTTCAGGGAAGCAGCTGGACTAAAGAGCATTAGATTTGAACTCAGAAGGCCCAGGTTCATGTCCTAACTCTGCTGCCAGCCAACTGTGATCATGGGCTTCAACTTCATGTGTCACAGCAATTGAGCCACTTAACTAACTATATGATTTTAAGAATGTCTATACATAAAAGTAATGTTAAAATTCAGACATATTAAAAATACAAAATGATATTAAAATTTTATATATCACCGATAAAGGGTTGGAAAGGCTATCTGCATTATCTGGCAGTTCAATGAAAGGAAATCAATCATAATAGTTATAGATTACAGTAATACACAAGCAATCCATTTTATGTAACCTCACTTTTAAACGGAAGATAAAACATACAAGCCTAAATTAACATTTTATAACAAACTCCTATACTGAAAGTCAGTCTTTGATGTTATCTGGTGGCAATTAATATAATTGCAATTATGTTTTATTATCCATACTAACAGGCATCCCTTGTACCATTTAATGATTTTTATTGACCTAACATGTGACTAATCCTACAGAAGCAAATAAGTAGCTTATTAAAACTTTTTTAAACATCATTTATAAAATCATAGCAAAGTCTTAATAATTCAGAAAATTTTGCATTTGTGCCTGGCTCAAAATGCCCTCAAATGAGTGTGTAATGAAAAATAAAACTAATTCAGAACCCATATCAAAACTACAGTAGATATATTTAAGATAACTAAAGAAATATCATAGGATTTTGGGAGCACCATCTAAAGGCAACTAATATTTTAACTGAAAATTCTGGAGTCAGAATCTTAGAGATGAAGAGACCTGGAGATAATCTTGTCCAGAAATTTTCATAACTTTTGGTCTTAGAATTCCTTTACAGTCTTACAATTTTTGAGGACCCCAAAAAGCTTTTGATTATATGAACCATATGTACCAATATTAACCACATTAGAAATTAAAACTGAGAAATATGAAAAATATGTGTTTAACCATTTACTTAAAAATAACAATGGGTTCTATGATGTGTGAACATATATAACATTTTGATGGGGAAAAACCCCAATGGTTTCCAAAACAAAAACTTAATGAAAGAGAGGAACTATTTTACATTCCTACAAATCTCTTTAACATATGATTTTATTAGAATATAGCTGGATTTTCATATCTGCTTCTGTATTTAATCTGCTGCAGTATCATACATCATGTGGCTGCTGGAAAACACTGTACATTCATGACAATGAGAATGAATACTGTGAATAACTTCTTGATATCATTATGAAAATAATTTGATCTCATAGGTCTTACAAACCTCTAAGACACCCTTGATCTAGTCCAATCTCTTACTTCTCACATGTTATTAAGGTGCAAACTAGGGTCAATAGAGATGCAATGTCTTGCCTAAAAAAGCAATAGCTGGCCGGGTACAGTAGCTAATCCTGTAATCCCAGCACTTTGGGAGGCTAAAGAGGGAAGACTGCTTGAGGTTAGGAGTACGAGACAAGCCTGGGCTACAGAGCAAGGCAGGAGAATGGTGTGAACCCGGGAGGCGGAGCTCGCAGTGAGCCGAGATCTTGCCACTGCACTCCAGCCTGGGTGACAAAGCGAGACTCCATCTCAAAAAAAAAAAAAAAAAAAAAAAAAAAAAACCCCTAAAAAACTAGAAAGGCGTGGTGCCACACACTTGTGGTCCCAGCTATTGCAGAGAACTCTGATGGAGCCGCTGCATTCCAGCTTGGGCAACAAGTGAGAGATCCTGTCTCTTAAAAAAATAAACATTCTAGTCTCCAACTAGTTGGCAAAAAAAAAATAAATAAATAAATAAATAAGTAAATAAAAGAAAAAAGAATAAAAAGAAAAACCAATAGCTTGTTTATGGCAGAAACAGACCAAGAAACCAAGTCTCTAAAACACAGCCTCAGTCTAGGCCCTGCTTACAAGTTCTTTTAATAAAGGTTACAGGCAACTGGGGAGGTGGGACAGGATCCTGCCAAAGTCTAGGGCTGCACTACCCTCATCCTAAGCACTGCTGTATAATCCAAGCTTCAACTGCTACGAAGTAAAAATACAGTTCAGATATTTCACTGGGAATACCATTTTTCTTGTTTCTCCAATTGCATAACATCATATAAGGTAATGCTAAATTAAGAGAAGTGATGAGAAAAAAATGGCTAACCTTATTTTATCAGAAAACAATTGAGATCAACTTTAAAATCTGGTTAATACTTACAGCCATCCTGTTTACAAATCCACTGTATGCAATTGACTCGGGCGGTGTGACCATTCAAGTTGGTAACAACAACCCTTTTCTTTAGAGAAGAAAATACAGTTAGTAAACTGGAATTTATCCTACAGAAAAATTAATAAATAAGTAAAAACAGATTTCAGTGTTTTCGATGCTAGTAAAAAGATCAGGTTTACATCAAACAGATTTGCCTTCTTCAATCTATAAACTTTTAACCATGGCTTAAGTCATCCATTCCTCTAAATCAGTCCTGCCTTTCTTGAGACTCCACATTCCCAGCATCCTGTCCTCCCATTACACTGAGCTCTCGCGTCTGCATCCACCCACCTGCTTCTGCTCACTCTCCTACAGTGCCCACATCCTTTTCACCTAGGCAGCCTGTCCTGACACACCAAACTAGACAAGCAGCTGCTTCCTTGTGGAAGTAGGCCTACTATGCTTGCACCAATCTGAGGGTTTCTCTGACCAAAAGAAAAAAAAAAAAGCCCTCCAATAGAAGAATCTGTGATTAATGGGTACAAGCACAGTTCACTTTGCATGCCAATGGCCAATGAGACGGTGGGTTTTTCAGACCCAGTGGCACAATGTCACAAGGCCACAACTACTAAGGTCCTCACACATCAGATTCCTGCAGGGCCTATTGCCAGGTTCTCCACAGATCCTCAACAGACTGCTTTCACCAACTTCACCCCACACTTGGAGGTCTCATACTTCACACACCATTAAAGATTTTAACTGTGACTACTGCACCTTCCTCTTTACAGCCCCTTTCTCTATCTGTTGTCAACGGCAATGGCTTTGTATCTGCTTATACGCCAACTAGAATTCTCATGGCTAAGAAAAAGGAAGAGGCAAATGTGCATAAACTAATATATTTCACATATAGGTTATTTGAGGCTGGAAAACAATTTACTGTACTTCACTGTCTCTCCCACTAGACTGAGAATTCCTTGGTGGCCACGCGCGTTATCACTCATTACCTTGTGTCATCATCACTCAGCCCAGGGCTAGCCCACAGATGGTCGTCGAAGATTTGCTGAATGAGCATCATTCCCAAAACTTTATTTTAGCATTTGAAATGCTTTTATTCCCATATTTACTTAAAAGCCCAATCGAGGCCAGGTGTGGTGGCTCATGCCTTTAATCCCAGCACTTCAGGAGGCCAGGAGTTGGAGACCAGCCTGGCCAATGTGGTAAAACCTGTCTCTACTAAAAACACAAAAATTGGCCAGGTGTGGGGGTGCACACCTGTAATCCCTGCTACTAGGGAGGCTGAGGCACGAGAATCACTTGATTTCGGGAGGTGGAGGTTGCAGGTTGCACTGAGCAGTTACTGTCACTACACTCCAAAAAAAAAAAAAAAAAAAAAAAGCCCGACCAGCAAATATTTAACAGGACAAAGTACTTTTTAGGCTCAACACTTCTTTGTCAATATGCTAAAATTCACTAGCTCAGCCACCAGGTTATCATTTAAAATCTGATGGAATACATGGAAACAAATCCATTCAACTGCTGCAAAAAGATGGGATTCTACAGCTGAATCAGAATTTCATTTCAGTGTGTTAAGTACATCAAAGCATGAGTATAATCATCTTAAAAGCAGATCTTGTCCTGTGATATAGCGGCAAGTTTGTCCTTGCAGACTTTACCAAGATGCTTCCTCTGCCGTAAACATCTCAGGACCGTGGGTTGACTGGCAAAGAGTGTGCCTTGCTAATTTTACGACGGAGTTGATTTTAAAAGGGTGTCACCCTGGCTCTCCCGGGCTCCTGCTTCCCTGACAACTCCACCCCTATGGCCGCCCCTCTTAGGGTCCTCCCAGTGCCCAGCCATGGCGGAACGGTGCCGCAATGCCGCAAGGCTCCGCGCTCACGGCGCTGGATGAGGAGACGCTGTGGGAGATGATGGAGAGCCTGCTGTGGTCTCTCCCATTCTACAGTCGGTCCTTGCCTCATGGTCCCTTTAAAGTTTACCCTTGTTTTTTGCACTTTCTCTTGCCATTCAAGAATGCAAATAACAAGAAACAAAAACCAGGAAGAGGCAAGCAAGCTCAAGATGGGGTAATGTGGTTACAAATATTTCATATATATATTTGAATCTCCAAAGGGTGTGAGAATAATGTTTTTTTGAGATAGGGTCTGGCTCTGTTGCCCAGGCTGGAGTCCAGTGGTGCGACCCCCGTCCACTGCAGCCTCAAACTTCTGAGCTCAAGCGATCCTCCCACCTCTACCTCCCGAGTAGCTGGGACTACAGGCGCACGCCACCACAACCAGCTATTTTTTTTTTTAAACTTTTTGTAGAGACTGGGGTCTCGCTCTGTTGCCTAAACTGGTCTCCAACTCCTGGACTCAAGCGATGCTCCCACCTCTGCCTCCCAAAGTGCCGGGATTACAGACATGAGACACGCTCCTGGCCAATAATGAAATTTTTAACCAAATTAATAAAGCCGTATGAACAGAAATACATATAGCCATCTCCTGCGTTGTATTTGAATTTTCAACATTTTACTTTTTACACTGAGCCTCCTTTTGAGATGCAAGACTAACTGTATAGACCAACTTAGCCATTGGGAATGGAGTTATAATGAATTCCGGGGAGCATGCAAAAACTATTCACTTGAGAAATATGGTGAGGAAAGCACCAAGAAAATAACCAACTGACTGGGTGAAGTCGAGGGAAGTCCCGCCTTATAATCAGTGCTTAGGATCCCCATCCCCTATGACCTTTCCCCCAAACTGACACTTTCTCTAAAATGTCCATTCCCGTAGCTAAAACACAGGTAACATTTCCTTGAAATTCAATACAACAAAAGTTCATTAACCAAAACTGAAGGAAATACTGAAATGAGATTGCACCTGTGGGATGATGGTTTTAATCTACATATAAATTTCAATTGTTTTAAAACCCAAATTGATTAACGGTACTACAGTTCCCAAGGAAGGCTTCAGGTAAGATGCTTATCATTCGGGTTTCTGCGTGGGACTAACAGGTTACTAGCAGCTCATGGGCAGCAATGACCCTAGGATGACGCCACGCGTGAGACGGCAAAGGGTGAGGGGTGAGGAGCGAGTCCGGCAGGTCCACTGGAGACTCCGAGCCCAAACCCCGCTCCCCTGAGCCGACCCGACTCGCCTCCTAGGTCTGGGGCGGCAACTAACAGCGCGCCCGGAGCACGTCCACAGGTTCAACCCGAAAAGCACAAGGGTCGGCCGTCCAGCGACCTCTCTTACCAGGGGGTCATAGAGCACCACGGAGCAGGACGTGCCAAAGGCCAGAAGTCCTCTGGGCCCAGAGCTCCAGTTCAGGACTCCCCGCACCCGGTTTGGGCAGCAAAACACGTGAGAAGTCTCCAGCACGGGTGCCACCATGTCGCCAACTGGTCAGCCGCACAAACAAGAGACGCGCACTTCCGCCCTCGGAGCGGAACTACTAGGGTGGTTTCTCCTGAGGCATCACCCAGTCCACGTTTCGCAGCCAGCCGAGGGCCAGACGGAGGCAGCCCCGCCCCCCTGAGACTCTCCGTTCCCACCGCAGGCTGGAACCCCTGTGCAAGGCCGCCGCTTTGCTAGCTCTGCTCTTGGACCGTGGCCCCGCTCCGCGAACGAGCCAGGCCTTTGTCTCAAGAGCGAAATCCGACCCGAGTGGCTCGGGACCCTCCCGAAGGACCCGGGGCTCATGTGCCTGGGGCAGCGTCAGAAACATCTCGCTGCCCCTTACGACCCGGCTCCCAGCAGCAGCCAGGGCTGGCCCCGGGGGCGCTGGCTAGCGAGTAGGGCCTCGAGGAAATGACCCCCAACTGCTTACAATGCGCTAGGGCCGCGCCACGCCCCCGCGGCGTCGGCGAACACACGGAAAAGCGGATCCGTCTGCGGAGCCGGGTTCCGGGGTCGCACTGCGCATGCCCTGCAGTCCTGGGCGAAGGGGGCGGTGGTTCCCCGCGGCGCTGCGCGCGGCGGTAATTAGTGATTGTCTTCCAGCTTCGCGAAGGCTAGGGGCGCGGCTGCCGGGTGGCTGCGCGGCGCTGCCCCCGGACCGAGGGGCAGCCAACCCAATGAAACCACCGCGTGTTCGCGCCTGGTAGAGATTTCTCGAAGACACCAGTGGGCCCGTTCCGAGCCCTCTGGACCGCCCGTGTGGAACCAAACCTGCGCGCGTGGCCGGGCCGTGGGACAACGAGGCCGCGGAGACGTGAGTCTTTCAGGTCCGGGAGCAGGGCGGCTGGGAGGGGAGCTCCTCAGGCCAGACAGGCGTGGCGGGGTAGGGGTGGTTCTGCGGAGAACCGGATCCTGCGGACCGGGCAGGGGGGCTACAGAAAGAGGATGCTGGGGGGAGCCCGCCGCAGGCGCCCACTCACCCTAGAGAGCCGGACTTCTTAAGGTGCTCAGATGGGCTTCGGGGTGCAACGGAGGATTTTTTGAGGAAAAGATCCGTACTTTTCATCCCATATTCGAAGAAGGGACTGACGTGTTTAGAAATAAAAAGCTTTTAGAAGAGAGCTTTGTGCCCTCTTTTCCGTTTTCTGTACTCGCCTTTTTCTCTAAGGCCCTTCCCTTCTGCTTTCCTTTTTCCTCCAGCACACACCAACTTGCAGGAAAGGAGATCCTTCAACGGGTCCACGACCGCGCTCAGCATCCTCCCTGGAGAAAGGCTCGGAGCTGTCCCCTGTGCTAGTCCCCTCCCACCCCGCTCCTCGCCTCTCTCCTGGGAATGATTTCTAAATGTTTATCTTTTACCTAGTAAAAGAATTCCCGAAACTTCAAGCCCCAAAGATTCCTCTTTCAGGAGCCTCGTTCTACGCCGTACCTCCATTTCCCACTGTTCCCTGTATGATACCTCGCACTTGTGCAACACATGAGTTTAACGAGTACTTGTAATATACATTCCTTCATGTGTTTTCCTCCTTCGCCTTGCAAAATAGGTTTTACCGGTATTTTAGATAAGGTAATGAATGCGAGAGCCCTGTCCAAAGAACAGCTGACCGTGGTAGAGCTGGATAGCCCCATGCTCTTGCTTAGTTGTAAACTTGACGTCTGCGTCTTTTGCTGGAGATGTGAGTTTGACCACCATCACCTCCACCGTTGGTGCTGGACATCCTGCTGGATCTGAATTAACTGAATTCTGGCTCTGCTTAACTGAATTCTGCTTTTCAAGCTCCAACTCAATTGCTTCCTCCTCTTTGGGGCACAGGCCTTTGGTTCCAAACACTACTGTGGATGATTAACAGCCTGTGATTAAATGTTGACTGGTTTGTAGTAACACAAGGATGCTACAGTGAGTTTTTCATGAAGTTCAGTTTACTTTAAGAATTCTATGTATGGACATAATGTGTCTGATTCATTGTCAAGTCGGAAAAAAGATTCAATGTGTATTTAAAGTATACACTTATTTGAGGCTGGGCGTAGTGGTCACGCCTGTAATCCCAGCACTTTGGGAATTGGAGGTGGAGGATCTCTTGAGGCCAGGAGTTCAAGACCAACCCGGACAACATAGTGAGACCTCGTCTCTAGAAAAAAAAAAAAAAAACTTTAAAAAAAAAATTAAGTATACATGTATTTGAGTATGCATAGAAAATATCCTGAGGGATACACTGGCAAAATTGAGCACCTTTGAGGATTGTGATTGGGGAAAGGGGTCTTAAATGGGCTTGTATGTAAGGAGAGTGTATTAGTTTAAAATTTTTTAAATATGTGAATTCTGAGATTATTATTTCTATTTTTTGGTGTTTGAAGGTTATTTTATGAAATGATGGTGATGATCAAGGTAGCTAGATTTCATTTCGTTCTTTTTTTTTTTTGAGACAGGGTTTCACAATGTTGCCCAGGCTGGTCACAAACTCCTGGCCTCAGGTGATCTGCCTGCCTCAGCCTCCCAAAGTGCTGGGATTATAGGCATGAGCCACCACACCCAGCCTAGATTTAATTATGAATCATTGGCCTCAATGATTCAAATAATCGTTCAAATAAATTCTCAACTTCAGTAAGCAGTTGATGGCTGTGGCCACATGGATCTCCCTTGTCTCTGAATTACTATTGCTTTTACAGTGCTAATGGCAGTCTCTTAGCACTCAGCTCTTCTCCAGTTGTTTCATGTGTTTTAGGAATGCAAGGGTAGAGCCTAGGACTCTAGTTCTTTCCATCTTCACAGTACCTAGCGTCACACTGGTCACACCACATGATGCTCTGGCAACTTTGATTATTTGATTACACATTAATTTTCAGTATGAGGTTTCTTAATTCAATTTGTTTTAGAAGTGAGTCAAGAATTTTTTTTTCCTGTCTTTTCTAGGAAGGCGCAATGGCGAGGAAGTTATCTGTAATCTTGATCCTGACCTTTGCCCTCTCTGTCACAAATCCCCTTCATGAACTAAAAGCAGCTGCTTTCCCCCAGACCACTGAGAAAATTAGTCCGAATTGGGAATCTGGCATTAATGTTGACTTGGCAATTTCCACACGGCAATATCATCTACAACAGCTTTTCTACCGCTATGGAGAAAATAATTCTTTGTCAGTTGAAGGGTTCAGAAAATTACTTCAAAATATAGGCATAGATAAGATTAAAAGAATCCATATACACCATGACCACGACCATCACTCAGACCACGAGCATCACTCAGACCATGAGCGTCACTCAGACCATGAGCATCACTCAGAGCACGAGCATCACTCTGACCATGATCATCACTCTCACCATAATCATGCTGCTTCTGGTAAAAATAAGCGAAAAGCTCTTTGCCCAGACCATGACTCAGATAGTTCAGGTAAAGATCCTAGAAACAGCCAGGGGAAAGGAGCTCACCGACCAGAACATGCCAGTGGTAGAAGGAATGTCAAGGACAGTGTTAGTGCTAGTGAAGTGACCTCAACTGTGTACAACACTGTCTCTGAAGGAACTCACTTTCTAGAGACAATAGAGACTCCAAGACCTGGAAAACTCTTCCCCAAAGATGTAAGCAGCTCCACTCCACCCAGTGTCACATCAAAGAGCCGGGTGAGCCGGCTGGCTGGTAGGAAAACAAATGAATCTGTGAGTGAGCCCCGAAAAGGCTTTATGTATTCCAGAAACACAAATGAAAATCCTCAGGAGGTAAGATGAGTGCTGTTCATTATTTTAATATACCTGTGTGTCTGTCCTGTCTCTGCTACTCTATCTCTAGTTATGAGGAGTTTAAAGTAAAAGTAAAATGTTGAAGTTATTGAAAAGGGAATTTCCACCTTCTCAGCAAGGCACTTGCCACAAAGCATGCCTGCTATGTTGTAAACATTCCCAATTCAGAACTTAGGGAACAGTTCTTTTGGTGAGCGTAGTGCTGCCTCCTACAATTTTTTCTAATACAGAATATAAAATATGTAGAGAAAGATATCAAGGCTATCTTTAGAGAAAGTCTATAAAGGTGAACATTATTAATAAAAAATAGAAAATGAGGGGTTGAAAGCAGGAGTTAGAATCCATATTGTAGGGAAAGGTGTGACTGAAGGGGCTGAAGACTACTGAGAATACCACTGCTGCCTCCTTGACAGAAGGTCCACCATGACTTGAGGAATGATTGAAATTGGAGCAGTTTCCATGAATGTCATGCTGGACAAGGGAAAAGTTGGGACAGTGAGGTTCTGAGTTCATGTGGTTTTTCTAGAGTAGACTTCCAGACTGTACGTAATTCACCTTGGCTGAGAGATGTCAAGAACAGGGAATTATGTCAAAAAAAAAAGGAACAAGGAATTAGTTGATACAGTTTAATAAGCAAAACTTTAGTACTTCATTCAAACCAGCATGTGACTGTACTAATTCTGGACTAATCCTAGTAGTGGCCATAGCCATAGCAGCCCTGGTGATAAAGTTTGCTCTGAGTTGTACCAACTGAGAATTGTGGTGGGAGTTGAAAATGTCTTTACAGAAGATGAGAAACTGGTACTAAAGCCAGTTTGGGGTTTTTTTGTTGTTTTTTTTTTTTTTTCTTTTTTGGCTGGGGGAGAGATTGCACAGAGGAGTATCTTCAAACTAAGTTTGTCATCTAATTAAATAGTTGAAAACATCTGCCTGCCGGTACAGGTTTGTTTTATTAACCAGCCTTGCCCTCCACAAGAATAATCTGCATAATTTAATATCCTCTCATTGCAGAGCATTACTTTGCCAGGTATGTAGACAGAACTGAGTTTTTGCAAGTAGAGTCATTACTAGAAGAGAGGCATGTCTTGGACTTGTTTAGGCCAAGTAGGATAGCGTTAGTACTGAAGCAACATATTTCTCAATCTCTGATGAGCCCCATTTTGAAATTAAAGCTCATTTCCTTAATACGTTTATACAGTGAGTTAACAGGCTTGTGAATCTCCATTTATCCTCATGCTTGTTCCACCTGAGGCTTTCTCCCTAGGTGACTCGTGATGTACTGCTTCTCTGATGAGGTAGAAGAGGTGGGATACCACTGTGGTGACATAGTATCGCCAGGTAGCTGGAGGCAAGTTCCAAAGTGCTCAAAACAGAAGTTGATTTTAATTTTCATTAACTCGAGAAAACGAAGTAGCATTAGTAAAAAAGGGTATTGTGTCATCAGACTACTCTAATGGGGATGGCTTTTGGTGATTTTCACTGCTTTGTTTCTTTCAGTGTTTCAATGCATCAAAGCTACTGACATCTCATGGCATGGGCATCCAGGTTCCGCTGAATGCAACAGAGTTCAACTATCTCTGTCCAGCCATCATCAACCAAATTGATGCTAGATCTTGTCTGATTCATACAAGTGAAAAGAAGGCTGAAATCCCTCCAAAGACCTATTCATTACAAATAGGTAAAATTGCCTTTTTTATGTAAAAACAATTTCAGTAGATTCATTTA
Source organism: Homo sapiens (assembly GCF_000001405.40). NCBI lineage: Eukaryota > Metazoa > Chordata > Mammalia > Primates > Hominidae > Homo > Homo sapiens. The sequence continues at coordinate 36,124,472 of NC_000018.10, read as the reverse complement.
TATTGTGCTTTTCCTTAGATTTGCATCAGCCTATTTGTTTTCCAGTACAATTCTGAATATGTCATCTTAGTTGTTCTTTGCCTTGAATGTGAAGAAAGCAAGGAAGGGTGTTAGCCCTGCCCTTTAAAAAAAAATCCCAGAAAATAAAATTTCAATTATGACTTCTCTGGGTTCATCCTACAAGAAGGTGTCAGGATCACCTGAAATTTGGGATTTTTATATCATGTCACACTGCTTGGGAAGAGGTCTTGGGTTCATTTATGCTGCTTAGAAACCTAATACTGATGCATTCTTATTGATAAGTGAAGCTAGGATAGGCTCTGCTATAGCGTAGGGTCTCATTGCTCAAAAGTAATGAGGAAGGAATCACTGCTTTGTTTTCTGAGGACATTATTGAATTCCTGGTTTCTTCCTCTTCTTTTCTTTCTTTTCCTTTTTTCTTAAAAAAAAAAAATTCTTTTATCATTTAGCTCTTATGGGAGTCTGAAAGCTCAGTTCCTAAGTGAGCTACAGTTCATCCTTGGTAACCATTTTTTTTTCCTCTTTCACCCCGACCTGAAGAATTTCCCATTAGAGCTATGCTCCTTACCTGGAGAGTTCTTAAGTACCAGTCAGGTTGTTCATTTGAGCCAACAACAGATTTCTTGGTTATTGTGCTATTGCCACAGTAGGTCCTATTTGCATTGAATTTGTGTGTTTTTAGCTTCTCTCCTTTTACGTGTTGCTTTATGCTACTCTCCAAAAGTCTTTCTTGTAGAGTTTATTAGTTGTATAATTTTTCTTTGCTCTGTTTTGTTTTGTTTGACAGCCTGGGTTGGTGGTTTTATAGCCATTTCCATCATCAGTTTCCTGTCTCTGCTGGGGGTTATCTTAGTGCCTCTCATGAATCGGGTGTTTTTCAAATTTCTCCTGAGTTTCCTTGTGGCACTGGCCGTTGGGACTTTGAGTGGTGATGCTTTTTTACACCTTCTTCCACATGTAAGTATAGTAATTTGTCCTGTTAGTGTTTGATTATTCAACATTGAAAAAAAAATGTTTTGGTTTATGCTAGAATTTTTTGTATAAAATGTTAGAAATTTGGTTTAGAAAAGCTTATTTTAAAATATATTTGGTAAGTGAAAGCTGTATTTTTCTGCTCGATCTTAATACATTTGTGAATTTTGCTTTCCTTTTACAAAACACAGACTAATTTAACTTTTTGAAACCCACTTAATAAAAAGAGACAAATTCTGCCTGGCTATTAGTACTGTGATAGACTGCAGCAATGTGAGTTATCTGCTTTATCTGTTAGTGTAATTGCCAAGAAATAAAATATGTGACCCTTTATGTACCCAAGAAACTTGGAGGTTTTCTTCAGAGTTGAATGTTTATGTATGTATTTAAAGATTTACACTTCATGACACATAAAACAAGTTTGGTAAAGTGAATTTACTTTTCCATCAGATATTTGGAATAGATGCTCAGTTAAAAAATATGCGTGTTTCATTCTTTAAATTCCCATTAAAGGTTTTCAAGTATGTGGGAAAAGGAAATCACACCATACCTAGAGCACTACAAATCTCATGTTCCATTCAGTAGTTAAAGAAAACTATGTTGCTCTGACAAGCTCTCGGACCACCAGATGGCAGACATTCGGGAATACCTACTGATAGAAAGTGGCGTGTGTATGGGGTGTACTCTGTGATCCCCCAGTATCTTAGTGTGTTCCACACCCGATTCCCTAATGTGCAATAGCAGTAGTTACTACTCCACTCAGTTACAGGCTGCTAGGGCAGTGCACCTGGATCTCGGGTACATGCCAGGACCCAACACACACACACACTAGGCTTCTTACAATGCTAGTGTGATGACATTGGTATGGGCTTTTCAGTTGGGAAAATAAGCAGTAGAAACTGTGCACATTAAGTCTAGTATTCCTGTTATTTGTGGCCATGGTAATTCGTCAAGCATTGAAAATGCTCACTATTTATATATTATGGGGGTCACTGGGAATGTATCTGAAGTACATGACATGCATTAAGTTCTAGATAGCTAGCTGCTCATTGGTCATTTTATTTTTAATGTCCTAAACTTCACCTCATCTCTGAAGTATCTGAATAATTGCATAACTGAATGATTTCAATTTTGACCTTACCTAGCCAACTTTCTGACTCGGTGTGTGAAACTGATGAATTTATAAATAACAAATTATTTTGCCTTCAGTCTCATGCAAGTCACCACCATAGTCATAGCCATGAAGAACCAGCAATGGAAATGAAAAGAGGACCACTTTTCAGTCATCTGTCTTCTCAAAACATAGAAGAAAGTGCCTATTTTGATTCCACGTGGAAGGGTCTAACAGCTCTAGGAGGCCTGTATTTCATGTTTCTTGTTGAACATGTCCTCACATTGATCAAACAATTTAAAGATAAGAAGAAAAAGGTAAGAAAAAGTATACCGAGTACTTACTATGCTTCAGATATTTATTTATAGTAGTACTCTAACTAGATTGTTAGAATAGCATGCCCAGGTTGTATGAGCTTTATTTGAGAGGGAGTTCAGTACCCTTGAAGTACTTTTTGGTCCCAGAGATATTTATGAGGAGCATTTCTATATCTTAATAGCTCTGAAGTTTTCTGTCTTTGCTATTCTTTTGAAACTCATGACAGGATAAGAAAAGCAAGGATGAACATCTGTATAAGTGACCAGACAAGGTACCAGCAGGGCCTTGAAGACCAGAAGCATCGTGTATACATGGATACACTATCAATATTTATTAGTAGTTACGATTAACTAATGTCATTAATTTCCAGTCACCCAGTAGCTAAATGTTCTGTTTTCTTTTAAAGGGTATGTGACTTTTACAGACTTGCCCTTTGCAAATTGGATCAGAAATGGTATGAAGTCAAACAATAGGCTCTTTCTTTCTGGCCAAAAAAAACCCTTTTGAGTCGCCTATGGTAATTTGCCACTTTTTATTTGATGTGATCAGGCAAGTCATTCAGAAGACTGTCAGGAGACTCTTAAAAATGATGTGGGTCAGGTGGGGTGGTTCATGCCTGTAATCCCAGCACTTTGGGAGGCCAAGGCAGGCAGATCACTTAAGGCCAGGAGTTCGAGACCAGCCTGGCCAACATGGTGAAACCCCATCTGTACTACAAATACAAAAATTAATCAGGTGAGATGGCGCATGCCTGTAATCTCAGCTACTTGGGAGGCTGAGGCACAAGAATTGTTTGAACTTGGGAGGCGGATGCTGCAGTGAGCTGAGATTATACCACTGCACTCCAGCCTGGGCAATAGTGAGACTCTGTCTCAAAAAATAAAAAAAAAAAAAGAAAAGAAAAGTGATGTGTTCATATCTCAACATTTTAGTCTAACCTAATACATCTGTACACTCATATTCTGGTCACTTGATATTGACCAGGATTTTCTTCAAGTTGGAGTTCCGTATTCTGTATCGTTTCTTTTTTTCTTTATCAGCCATGCTGCTTCATCTATGATTTCCAATTTTGGTTTCTCTAAAATTGAACAAGAGATTACACACTTAAAGCTATTCTGAATGTAGAATCTAGGTTTTGGAAATTTAAAAAAAAAATTTATTCAGTGGTAGCCTTACGTAATTTGATATCTTTTTTTAGCACCTTGCCTTTGAATCTTCCAAGTATTCAGCTTTTGTGTTCACGGAATTAAGTATCCCCTACCAGGCACGGTGGCTCACGCCTATGATCCTAGCACTTTGGGAGGCTGAAGCAGCAGGATTGCTTGAGGCCAGGAGTTTGAGAGCAGCCTGGGCAACATAGCAAGACACTGTCTCTACCCCCCAAAAAAGAAGTAACTCCTTACCATCATTTCATAGTTTGAGCAATGTGTAATTAAATTGTGCAATTACAGTAATAAGTATAACTGGCGTGAAGAGGTTTCAAAACTAACACAGTTGATTTTTGCTGAGCATAGAGCTCACTGTGGGAAACAAATGCATGTGTAAACAGGAGAGTGTTTACATACTAGGAGTATTTGCTCTTAGGGATTTTACGTTCACTGAAATCTCAAATTAAAAATTTTGAGCCTTCTCTTTAGTGGACCTAAATATAGAGGGAAGAAGTAAAATAAGAATAGCTTATTTATTCTTAATCAAGGAAGTCATCTTCTGTGTTCCCATTGACGCAATTGCTTCCCTTGGACTGTTTCTTAATGTTATTGAATAGTTTCTAATCTCATTTAATTATCTCAAAAAGAAAAAAAAAAGCTACTCATTATATGGTGAGTACTGGGAGCTCTTCAGGCATTTTTTACTTAGAATTTTCCTTAAGAGAGCCATCTTGCACCTCTGGGAGATCCCATGTATCATAGTTTTAGGTTATCTGCCATATATGGACTAGTTTATTCCTACTTCTTTAAGTCTTCTGCAGTTTTTCTTACATTTAAAAAAAAGATCAGTTTTCATTCTGGGAGACTTGGGGATTGGGTTGTTTTCTTCTTTTTTTAACTGTACATCTGGGTCAAAATGTCATAATTTATTTAACATTCTCATTTCAATTTCATTTCCAAATTTTACCTAAATACAGCTTTTCTTTTTTTTTCTTTTTTTAAGAAAACAGTATCTTTTTTTAAGAGACAGCATCTTCCTCTGTTGCCCAGGTTAGAGTGCAGTGGCATGATCATAGCTCATTGCGCTTCAAATTCCTGGATTTAAGCAATCCTCCCACCTCAGCCTCCCAAGTAACTGAGACTACAGGCTCATGCCACCATGCCCAGCTAAGGATAGCTTTTCTTTAACTTAGCCCTCTTTAACCTAGGACTCCAAGAAATAGGCCCTCTGTTATCTGACACAGAATAATTTTTTCTTTTTTAACTCTAGGTTATAACTCTAGATTGTTAGTGAGTTGTAAAATCAATCTGTATGTCATAACCAATATTTTTAAATGCAACAATAATATTATATATTACTATTTTACATTACATATATTAATGTGGGTCATAGTCAGAGTAGTTTGATGCACTCTGCTTTAAAATAGTATCTACTAGAATGTAAGCTCTTAAAAGCCAGGATCTCTCTGTCTTGTTTACAGCTCTGTCTCCAATGTGTAGAATAGTGTCTGGTACATAATCGATGGTAGTAAATATTGAATGTTTAAGGAGCATGAAACAGCAAATAAGCATAATTTCTAGATGAAGACTTCCCATAGGAGTTTTGCAAATGTTACATGTTCTCTTCCCTTTTTGGAATATGCTGAGTTTATCTTTTGTTAAAGGCATCCAGATATTAAAGTTACTTACTTAATAATTTTTAATCTAATTCTCTCAAAAAGAAAACTACTACTCATTATATTGTGAGTATGGGGAGTTCTTCAAGCTCGTAACAGGGCATTTTACTTAGGATTTTTCTTAAGAGATCCATCCTGCATCCCTGGGAGATTCTGTATATCATATTTTTAGGTTATAGGCCTTCTGCTGCTTAAGGTTCACCTTCTGCTAGTGAAGGTTATTGTTCATGCCGAAAACTAGAGAATCATCTCTGATATCCCCCTCATCCCCACATCCAACCAAGTTTTAATAAATATGTCCATGGTCTCTCCATTCCTCTCCATCTTTCTTGCTGTCATTCTAGTCCAGGCCATGGTTACTTCCCACCTGAGTGACAGTTACTGCCTCCTAATAGGAGCCTGTCCACGTTATTTTGTTTTCCTCCTTTTCCCAATCTAGATTTCACAGAGCGGGCAGTGATTTGTTTAAATGAAAATATGATGAGGTTGCACACCACTACTTAAAATCCTTCCTCCAGTGGCTCCATTAGTTTTTGGACAAAGCCCACTATTCTCAACAGAGTTCTATTGTCTGATCTCCTTTAGTTGCCTCAGCCTCATCTCTGGCCACCCTCTCTGACCTAGTAGGCCCCGGCCACCTTGTACTTCTTTGAGTTCCAGAACAGTGCTGGCCCCTTCCTGGTGCTACTCCCTGCCTGGAATGCTGCCTCCCCAACCTTCCCCACCAAATTCCTACCTATCTTTAGGTCTTGGTATAAGTTATATTTTTTCAGTGGCCATCTGGAAATTATTGAGGTCATGTTATTATACATTCTTAATAGCACTCTGTTCTTTTCTATTGTAAAATGTGTCAAAAATTATAGTCAAAGAAGTATATAATCATTACCTGTGTAAAACCCTCTCCCTGTGGATAGTAAGCTCCATGAGAACAGAGACTGTGGGGCTTATTTTATGTTCTGCTCCCAGCATTTAGCATAGGGAACACTGTGGGCCCTTAATACTTATGGAATGAAAGAATTGGTTAAACTACTTTCTAGAACAATTGCCCAATGAGAAATAAAGCACCAGCATAAATGATTTAAGATACCCTGAGTTCATTTATTTTTACAAATATTTAAGTACTTTCTCTGATTGAGGCATTATATTCAGGATAAGTGTAAAGATTTGTGTGTGTGTTTGCCTTTTTTTTTTTTTTTGAGATGGAGTCTCACTCTGTCGCCCCGGCTGGAGTGCAGTGGCGCGATCTCTGCTCACTGCAAGCTCCGCCTCCCAGATTCACGCCATTCTCCTGCCTCAGCCTCCTGGGTAGCTGGGACTACAGGCACCCGCCAACACGCCCGGCTAATTTTTTGTATTTTTAGTAGAGACGGGGTTTCACCATGTTAGCCAGGATGGTCTCGATCTCCTGACCTTGTGATCCGCCCACCTCGGCCTCCCAAAGTGCTGGGATTACAGGCGTTCGCCACCATGCCCGGCCGTGTTTGCCTTTAAAAGCTCTTAAAATCTAAGAATGTATAGACACTTGATATGGTATTAGAGCTTGAATGAAATCTTAGGTATGGTGGTGATCATCATATTCAAAGGTACTGCAAATAAGAAATCTGTTATTTATGTGATAACTTTTATTTTAAATGTTCTGTATAAGTAGATGATACACAGACACCATTGTTCAAACAGTGACCTTTACACAACATAAAGGCTGCTTGGACTTAGGGACAATATCTCTGGTATGGTATTTGGGATGGTTAAAAAGCCCAGTGATGAATTCAGGGTTAATAGAGGCTTGTTTTAAAAGAGAAATCATGTTAATGGTGTTTTATTAAAGAAAAGTGTTTTAATAACTAAAAAACTATAGTTTTAGGTTATAAAAAGTATGGGAAGTTTGGGGTTTCAGTGTGCAGAAGAGGCATGGAAGAAGCCAGGCAGGTGGTTACCAGATCACTAGATGCCTGAAGGAAATGCCCCTAGCTGGATTTTTTTGTTGTTTTTTGAGACAGTGTCTCCCTTTGTCACCCAGGCTGGAGTGCAGTGGCACGATCTTGGCTCACTGCAACCTCCACCTCCCGAGTTCAAGCAATTCTTGTGCCTCAGCTTCCCAAGTAGCTGGGAATACAGGCGCATGCCACCACACCCGGCTAATTTTTGTATTTTTAGTAGAGATGGAGTTTCACCGTATTGGCCAGGCTGGTCTCGAACTCCTGACCTCATGATCTGCCTGCCTTGGCCTCCCAAAGTGCTGCGATTACAGGCGTGAGCCGCCGCGCCTGGCCGGGAGTATGCATTTCTGACAAGTTCCCAGGAGATAGTGTGCTGCTAGTGTGGGAACATACTTAAGAGTAGATGACTGTGGGGGCATTCTGTGTGTTTTGCTTACCTGGTTATTGATTGAAAGCTGTACATATAAACAAATTACTGTTTTAAAGTATTGTTTTCCCTCACTATTTTAGAATCAGAAGAAACCTGAAAATGATGATGATGTGGAGATTAAGAAGCAGTTGTCCAAGTATGAATCTCAACTTTCAACAAATGAGGAGAAAGTAGATACAGATGATCGTAAGTTCTTATGCATAAATTTTAGGGCTGGAGGGAGTTCATTGCTGTATGATTTGCAGGCAACTTGACTATCTGGAAGAAATGGGACCATGTCCCTTGGTTTTGGTTTTTGCAGTATCTCATACTTTGTAAAATATTGCCAGTGAGTACATTGTTTTTGTATATTTACATTTATTTTTTCTGTAACTTTTTATTTTGAAGTAAATTCATATTCATAGAAAAGTTTAAGAATCGTACAAAGAATTCCTGTATCCCATTCACTCATATTCCCCAGTTATTTTACCACACTGTCTTTCTCTAGCTCTGTCTACACACACACCTTTTTCTTTAATTTTTTAGTGACTAAAGGGCCAGCTACACACACTTTTTTTCTAAACCATTTGAGAGTAAGTTATAGACATGATGTTTCTTTACTCCTAAATACTTATGTTTCCTAGGAAAATGGACATTCTCTCATATAACCAGAGTTTAATTATTAAATCAGGAAATTTATACTGATACAGTGCCATTCTCTGTAGACGTTATTCTTCCAAATGCCTTAATAGTGCTTTTTATGCCAACACTCCCCCAACCCCCACCAAAATATTGTTCCAGAGTACAATTCAGGATCAAATATTGCATTTAGTTGCCTCTACTTTTGGGTTTGTTTAGTATTTTTGCATGATTAGGTTGATCAGTTTTGGCAGGAATACCGCAAAATGGTACTTGTCCTTTTCTGTCACATGGTGTGCCACCTGATATGATTCTTTGTCACTTATTGGTGGTGGTAATTTTGATCACTTGCCTAAGGTTGTATCTACCATGTTTCTCCTGTTTTTCCTGAAACTTGGCTGTTTGCTTGGCATATCTTGTCGGACAGACTGAGTTAAGATTCATGTTTTCAACCCAGCTCCTTGCCATGATCTTCAAGGTCCCGCTGAGCCCACCACTCTCCCGCATTGTTCACTGTGCTCCAGCCCCACTGGCCCTCTTTTCACGCTGGGAGCACATAAGGCTTGTCTCCGGGCCATGCACTCACTATTCCTTGTACTTGGAATACCGTTCTCTGAGACCATTACATGCATTCCTCCTCTTGTTGTGCAGGTCTCAAATCAGGTATCTCCTTTAGAGGCCTTCCCTCAGCACCCAACGACAGCAGGCATGAGCCACTGTGCCTAGACCACACTGTTTTGATATATGGTTGTTGTTGTTGTTGTTGTTGTTGTTGTTGTTTTAATTTTTTTTTTTTTTTTGAGACGGAGTCTCACTCTGTCACCCAGGCTGGAGTGCAGTGGTGCGATCCCAGCTCACTGCAAGCTCCGCCTCCCGGGTTCACGCCATTCTCCTGCCTCAGCCTCCCGAGTAACTGGGACTACAGGCACCCGCCACCATGCCTGGCTATTTTTTTTGTATTTTTAGTAGAGACGGGGTTTCACCATGTTAGCCAGGATGGTCTCGATCCCCTGACGTTGTGATCCGCCCACCTCTGCCTCCCAAAGTGCTGGGATTACAGGCGTGAGCCACCACGCCCGGCCCCCTCTTCAGTTTTTTAAATGGACTCCAGTGAAATGTGTAATGATGGGGAGGAAATACCTGCCCTAGAAATGGACTGCAGTGTCAGGGATGGTTCCAAGAAAATTGATAACTATGTACAGGAGAAAAAAAATAACCTTATTGTGGCAATTTATTTTCCTTTGCACAGATAGATAATAAATGCTTCTTGGTGATGATGAAATAATTCGGATTCTCTGTTTTTTCCTTGAATTTTGCCTTCCAAAAAAGAGGAAGTCAGATGGCAGGATTATGCATGTTTTTTTATTTCTAATTTTCATTACTTCTCTAAGATATTTTTCTAAAATAAATATTTTAAATAACATAACATGTTTTCTAAAACAAGCAGGTTCTTCTCTTAGGATGAGGAAAAAAGTCATTTTTAAAAAGGTAGGGAGGCAGAAGAAATTGAGGGAGCATCTGAGAGGTAGTTATTGAAGGTTAACATTTAAAATCCATTCTTAATATTTGAGACCATTCCATTTCTGGAATTCATTAAAATCTTTTGATGTTTTTCATCAGTAATACTTTAATATTTAGTTCTGCAGATATGAAGGAGTTATCATGCTTTAAGATCTTCTGTTGACTTTTTCAATGAGGTTTGAAATGTCTCCAAGTCCATTAACAAAGCCTTCTAACTGTCCCCATGCCCTTTATGTTTATTCCTAGGAACTGAAGGCTATTTACGAGCAGACTCACAAGAGCCCTCCCACTTTGATTCTCAGCAGCCTGCAGTCTTGGAAGAAGAAGAGGTCATGATAGCTCATGCTCATCCACAGGAAGTCTACAATGAATATGTACCCAGAGGGTGCAAGAATAAATGCCATTCACATTTCCACGATACACTCGGCCAGTCAGACGATCTCATTCACCACCATCATGACTACCATCATATTCTCCATCATCACCACCACCAAAACCACCATCCTCACAGTCACAGCCAGCGCTACTCTCGGGAGGAGCTGAAAGATGCCGGCGTCGCCACTCTGGCCTGGATGGTGATAATGGGTGATGGCCTGCACAATTTCAGCGATGGCCTAGCAATTGGTATATATCTACATATTTGTTCCTTGTTGATTGATTCTGAAAATGTCACATTAAACACCTAGTCAAATTTTAACAAAGAATAGATTAGTTTAGATGAGGATATTAGTGACTTCCAAGATTATAAAAATGTTACTTTTTCTTTTACTACTTTGACAATGAAGTGCTCAATAAATGTTAGGTATGATTAAATGCTAGGAATTGTACCTAGCCCATTACCTAAATTGTAACTGTCAAAAGCTGTTCTTAAATTGCAAGGTCTTAAGATCAGTCTTTAATTTGTATGGTGCATGTATGAGATTTTTTTTTCTCCCTATACATTGAAGTTCCCTTATCGATAATATAATATTTATAAAAGTAAAATTATATTTTCCATCATCTTTTATGCTAAAGGAATCTTCATACATCTAAGTCCAGTTACCAGTCTCTATCCTATGAAGAATTATAGAACTTTTGCTAATAAATTGTTATACCACAATTGGGAGATAACAGAATACTTACAAATTTTAATAATTTAGTGCTGGAAGGAACCATGCAATTAGGCAGCTGAGGCCTGTCAAGGTGACGCCACTTGTCCAAGGAGGCTGTGCTGTGTTATAGCTAGGCCTGGCCTTGGCTCCCTGGGAGTCGAGTGCTCTTCCTCTTGTACTATATTATGCAGAGCTGAAACAGACAAAGGAGGAATGTCCGATTGCACAGTCGGCTGGGTGCGGTAGCTCATGTCTGTATTCCCAGCACTTTGGGTGGCCAAGGCAGGAGGATCGCTTAAGCCCAGGAGTTCAAGACCAGCCTAGACAGCATAGTGAGACCTTATCTCTACAAATAAAAAAAAAAAAAATTAGCCAGGTATGGTGGTACACACCTGTAGTCCCAGCTGCCTGGTAGGCTGAGGTAGATGGAACGCTTGAGCCCGGGAGTTTGAGGTTCTAGTGAGCTATGATCTCACCACTATACTCCAACCTGGCCAACAGAATGAAACCCTGTCTCTGAAAAAAAAAAATATATATGCACAGTCATGGTTTATAATTGATTGATTGTATAATATGTCAGATTTTTAAAAGGGGACGGCTATTTGTCTTAGAGTTTTCTCACTGAAACAGTGAAAGAATAAATGTAAACATCTAGTTACATAGTAAATTCCTCTGAGGCAAGTGAAACATGTTTATACCCTTGACAGGAGAGTTTTTTCCTAAACCTTTTAAACAGTTTATTTTATATTCTTGAATATGCCTTTTATATGGTAGCAGTTACTCCTCAGATTTGTATAACTTTATCCGCTCATTCTAAGGCCTAGAAAACCTTCCCTTCTCTTTCATGCCCGATGTGCTCCTTTGGGAAATTTAGACCTCATGGAATGTACTCTAAGATTTCTTACAAAGAAGATACAGAGTTGGTTTGGGAAACTTCTATTCATTCACAGCCAAAATACCATTTTCTTGTTACCTCATTTTGCATACTGATAAGATTAAAAAACACAAATTAATGTAGCCAAACTTTTTCTGATTGATTTTTACACAGGTGCTGCTTTTACTGAAGGCTTATCAAGTGGTTTAAGTACTTCTGTTGCTGTGTTCTGTCATGAGTTGCCTCATGAATTAGGTAAGAGAACCACATAAATTGTATTTGCCAAGTGGGTGAAATGTTCTAGTGTCACTGGCTTTTGCTAATGGTAGTTCAGCAAGCTTCTTCATCAATTTCATGCCTTCTCATAAGTCTGCTAACCAGCATACTGATGACATCAGGGATCATCTTCATACACACAAGGTGAATAAGACTACAGGATACAAAGGAATCATCTTCCATTAACAAAAGTTGAGAAAGAGAATCTCATTGGAATTGAAGGGAAGTGGATGAGTTGTGTTTTCAATATTGTTCTTCTTTGTCACTAGGCATTAAAACCTTCCCAAGTTCTGGATCCCAGTTCACGTCCTTGTTTTTCTTGTTTTGGAGATATATTCACACACATACCGCTGATGCCATTTTCACTTTTGTTCCTTGTTATATGTTCAGCCATTCCTTATCATCTTCAGCATCTATGTTCCACATTCAAGTCCCATGAAGCCCCTCTCTTATTTCCATCTTCATGTGTCTCTTTTCTCCTTTTATAATTGTAGCATTGAACTCTTCAGCTGTTTTTTATGCATTACCATTATCATTTGCTGATCATCTCATGTGTGTTCTCCACCCATTCCTCCCTTCTTTGTGGCCAAATTCCAAGCTCCTTGAAAACACTGCAAGACCACAATATTAAATTTTTAGTGTTTATCATTTTGACAAAGTGTAAGCCTTAAAAAATTTTTTTGGTTAAGGTATCTGGCCAGGTGCAGTGGCTCACGCCTTTAATCCCAGCACTTCGGGAGGCCGGGGCAAGGGGATCACCTGAGGTCAGAAGTTCAAAACCACCCTGGTCAACATGGTGAAACCCCGTCTCTACTAAAAGTAAAAAAATTATCCAGGTGTGGTGGCATGCACTTGTAGTCCTAGCTACCCAGGAGGCTGAGGCACAGGAATGGCTTGAACCCAGGAAGCAGAGGTTGCAATGAGCCAAGATCGGTGCCACTGCACTCCAGCCTGGGTGACAGAGCAAGATACTGTCTCAAAAAAAAGAAAAAAAAAAAAAGTTTGTACATCAAGTTGAATGATGAAGAATAAAAAGGAAAAACAATAGTTTCTACAGCTGTTAGGGTGATTTACTAACACTGCTTTAACCCTAGGTCATTCTTAATTTTGTTTTCTTTTCCCCCTCTCAAAAACACTGGAAAATTTTCTTAAATCTGGGAAGTATCTTGGTATGTGTCTTAAAAATGATTTCTCAATGACTTTTTCCTCCTTTTTTGTTTTCTGTTAAAGGTGACTTTGCTGTTCTACTAAAGGCTGGCATGACCGTTAAGCAGGCTGTCCTTTATAATGCATTGTCAGCCATGCTGGCGTATCTTGGAATGGCAACAGGAATTTTCATTGGTCATTATGCTGAAAATGTTTCTATGTGGATATTTGCACTTACTGCTGGCTTATTCATGTATGTTGCTCTGGTTGATATGGTAAGTTTTTAAGAAGTCTTATTACATTATTGACCAACAATAAAATAGAGAAAATATTCGGTAAAGCCTCATTTTTTTTCTCTCTTTTTGGGGGAGCAGGAAGTGGAATCTTGCTATGTCGTCCAGGCTGGTCTCAAATTCCTGAGCCCAAATGATCCTTCCATCTCAGCCTCCTGAGTAGCTAGGACTATAGGCTCAATAAAATATCTTTTTTTTTGGCTGGGCACGGTGGCTCATGCCTGTTAGTCCAACATTTTGGGAGACCAAACCAGGCAGATCACGTGAGGTCAGGAGTTCGAGACCAGGCTGGCCAACATGGTGAAACCCTGTCTCAACTAAAAACTACAAAAAAATTAACCAGGGTTGGTGGCATGCGCCTGTAGTCCCAGCTACTTGGGAGGCTGAGGCAGGAGAATCACTTGAACCCAGGAGATGGAGGTTGCAGTGAGCTGAGATTGTACTACTGCACTCCAGCCTGGACAACAGAGCAAGACTCTGTCTCAAAAAAAAAATCATTTTTTTAAAAAAGATTTTAAATGCAGTCATTATGAGAAGTGATTCTATATTCAGAAATTTGTGGCATATAAGAATATAGGTTCTTTAGAGTTTTTTTTTTTTTTTTGGATTGTTGATCACACCTTTATCTTGCTTAATATGTGTCCAGATTCACAAAAATATCTACATCCTTCTGATGTATCATTTTAGGGTATGATCTCAGTAATCAGGCAGTGAATTTTCTATAGATTTGTAGGAAGTCTAGGACAAGATGCATATTGTTGGCATGCTGTATACTTCAGAATGCTTAGTTTATTAATCAACAAAGGAGTCATATCTTTTTGTCACTAATGTCCTCAAAACAATCCCAACCAATCTTACCGCTAAAATTGTATTTTATTATTTTATTTTTATTTTTTACTTTGTAAGCAATCAAAGACAATATGTATCTTATATAGTATAAGGTTTTCTATCTCTGAACTAAAGACAAACTACATGTTATATCCAGTTCAGATATGCAGCCAGTAACTGAAGTAGGAAAATCAATATCGCTTTTCATTTTCCAGTGGAAACTGGAACCAATACAAACTTTTTCTTGCCCAGAACATCATGAGTAATCATTGTTAAACTGCTAGGAAATGCTGTGTGACATTGTTAGCTAGAGTCAGTATGTATGTAATCATGTTTTAAGGAATTAACTCACAGTATATCTAGCTACAAATAAAGCTAGTATACTGTCCTATAAATTTTTCTAAAAACTAATCTGTAGTTCTAAAAACTTAAATGTCACTCTTATTTTCCCTTACTTTTTTTTAAAGGTACCTGAAATGCTGCACAATGATGCTAGTGACCATGGATGTAGCCGCTGGGGGTATTTCTTTTTACAGAATGCTGGGATGCTTTTGGGTTTTGGAATTATGTTACTTATTTCCATATTTGAACATAAAATCGTGTTTCGTATAAATTTCTAGTTAAGGTTTAAATGCTAGAGTAGCTTAAAAAGTTGTCATAGTTTCAGTAGGTCATAGGGAGATGAGTTTGTATGCTGTACTATGCAGCGTTTAAAGTTAGTGGGTTTTGTGATTTTTGTATTGAATATTGCTGTCTGTTACAAAGTCAGTTAAAGGTACGTTTTAATATTTAAGTTATTCTATCTTGGAGATAAAATCTGTATGTGCAATTCACCGGTATTACCAGTTTATTATGTAAACAAGAGATTTGGCATGACATGTTCTGTATGTTTCAGGGAAAAATGTCTTTAATGCTTTTTCAAGAACTAACACAGTTATTCCTATACTGGATTTTAGGTCTCTGAAGAACTGCTGGTGTTTAGGAATAAGAATGTGCATGAAGCCTAAAATACCAAGAAAGCTTATACTGAATTTAAGCAAAGAAATAAAGGAGAAAAGAGAAGAATCTGAGAATTGGGGAGGCATAGATTCTTATAAAAATCACAAAATTTGTTGTAAATTAGAGGGGAGAAATTTAGAATTAAGTATAAAAAGGCAGAATTAGTATAGAGTACATTCATTAAACATTTTTGTCAGGATTATTTCCCGTAAAAACGTAGTGAGCACTTTTCATATACTAATTTAGTTGTACATTTAACTTTGTATAATACAGAAATCTAAATATATTTAATGAATTCAAGCAATATATCACTTGACCAAGAAATTGGAATTTCAAAATGTTCGTGCGGGTATATACCAGATGAGTACAGTGAGTAGTTTTATGTATCACCAGACTGGGTTATTGCCAAGTTATATATCACCAAAAGCTGTATGACTGGATGTTCTGGTTACCTGGTTTACAAAATTATCAGAGTAGTAAAACTTTGATATATATGAGGATATTAAAACTACACTAAGTATCATTTGATTCGATTCAGAAAGTACTTTGATATCTCTCAGTGCTTCAGTGCTATCATTGTGAGCAATTGTCTTTTATATACGGTACTGTAGCCATACTAGGCCTGTCTGTGGCATTCTCTAGATGTTTCTTTTTTACACAATAAATTCCTTATATCAGCTTGACGTCAGATGTCTGGTTTTCTTTTTAAAAAAAAATTTTTTTTACCATTGGAACCATTTTTAACTGTAGAGTTCAGTAGTTTTAAGTATATTCATGTTGTGCAATGAATCTCCAGAACTTCTTCATCCTGCAACACTGAAACTCTATACCCACTCAACGCCAACTCCCCATTTTCCCTTAGCCCCTGGTAACCACCATTCTACTTTCTGTTCCTAAAAAATTGAGCTATCTGAATTTTTAAATTATCATCTGGATTGTAGTATACTAATCAATTCATTTATAATATTGTATTGGGTGGCCTTATTCAATTTTTAAATTGTTTATCACAAAGGACACTTCAAAAAATATTGGTCCACAGTTTGTTTTCGGGTGTCTCTCTTTTTTTTTTTTTTTTTAACAACTGGACCTAAAGCTGTAGAAGAAGCATTATTAATATTCTACACTCTCAAGAGAGTCAGTGTTTTAATTCAAGATTTTTACGATGGAGAGCTTGTGATGAGACTCAATGCTTGAGAGAGACTCCAGGTATTATTATTTATAGGTCCTGGGAAGTACATGGCACATCTGGAGGCCACACACATGGAGGTCAGAGAATGCAGGCAGGGAAAGAGAGGGACATATGGGCCAGTGCCTTTATTGGGTCCAGGGCATTATTCAAACAAGTTTCCCTTGAGGAGTTTCAATTAGGTTGAAAGCAAGCAGGCATAAGTTCCAGGAGACCACTCTGTGACTGAGAGGTGGTCACTGTGACATATCCACACAGCCCATGTGAGGGTCAATGAGGCCAGACAGGCAAGCTGCATCTAGCTGTGCCATAGCAAAGTGGTTGACAGTGAGCAGCTGTATAAGGCAGCCATCTGGATGGACCACATTGAGGAACTGGGAGACATAGAACTGGAAACTGTGTCAAGGGTGACTGAGCTCTGCTTCTGTATGGGAAAGTCCAACTTATATTCCCAATGAGTGCCAAGGCCACATAAAATTATAAGCATTCACTACAATCAGTAACAAGTGGACAATACCATCCCCCCTTCATCTAGGGCTTACTGAGAGACCACGTCACCAACATTTCTGTTTCTCAGACCAAGCGAAGGGGATGGGTATCAGAATTACCTGGTTGGGGGTGCCTGCACAGATGAAATTAAGCATCCCCTTTGGTTGAATAGATTACTCTGCTTCAGAAACTCACAGACCTACCATAGTGCCACTGCTAGATCAGTGCAAGGTGAGGAAGTTCTTTTAATAACTGGAAATGCACCTCTAGGAGTGTGGTGAGCACAGAGACTTGTCCCTTCTTTCACAGAAATTCTGAAGGTAGAAGGTGTGCTGGACCAGCCCACAAAAACAGGATGAAATAGGAACTATGGTTCCCACTCCAGCTGGAACCTGTTAACGGGTATATGGAAGATTCAGATAGTCCCCATCACTCTGTGTCAGAGGATGGAGATGAGAGGAAAATGCAAAAGCTGTAGAATGTGGACCAAAGGCTGATTTTTGGGAGGGAACATAACTTGTCAGACTGGCAAAAAAAGTCACAAATAGAAATATCTTCAATGAAAAAGGAGATATAAATAGAGTAGATTCAAGCAATTATAAAAAATCAGCCTATACATTTGAGAACTTTTTGATACAGATTAGCTTTCTGGGAAAATACAAAATGTTCACTCAAGAAAAAAAAAATTATTACATCAAAATTCTCCCCTTCTCCACCCCAAACATAGGCCCAGTTTACAGTGTTTGACCAAAACTTCAAGACATAAATCCCTCATTTATCCAAATAGTTTCTGGGATTTAAAAGAGAAAGCTCATGTTAATTGAGGTTAGTGTAACCTTGATATGAAAACCACGTTAGGAAAGGCAATTTGCCTTGGACCCTGAGAGTACCTGCACTTTCCAGATATGTCGAGAATGTAAGGCCCTGACCACTCTTTGCCTTGGCCAGTTATCAGTGAGCAACCTTGAAGAATGAGGTTCTGGCTGGGCACGGTGGCTCACGCCTGTAATCCCAGCACTTTGGGAGGCCGAGGCGGATGGATCATGATGTCAGGAGATCGATACCATCCTGACCAACATGGTGAAATCCCGTCTCTACTAAAAATACAAAAATGAGCTAGGCATGATGGTGCGTGCCTGTAATCCCAGCTACTTCGGAGGCTGAGGCAGGAAAATCGCTCGAACCGGGGAGTTGGAAGTTGCAGTGAGCCGAGATGGCGCCATTGCACTCCAGCCTGGTGACAGAGCAAGACTACGTCTCAAAAAAAAAAAAAAAAAGATTCTGAGGCAAAGGGCAGGTGTTGTATAATATAAAGGAGGTAGATTCCCCAAGCCCAGTGTCCTTCAACTGCTATATGCCACCTAAACTCACTACATGTGCAGCCCCTGTCTGGAACGTTTCACTTTGCTCTTGTGGGATTCAGGGGTCAAGGGGAACTGATGTAAACTTCTTTATTGCTGTGAGCCGTAAGTTCTTTCTCGGTGACCCAGGAGTGTCACATCTTCCAGCATCCATGAAACAGTAACAGGCTAACTTGTAGTTGTAAGGTGGGCAAAATTTCAGAGCTGGACAAAACCTCATAGGAAAAGCAGAAATTAATATAGATAAAAGAATCCTAGATAAAATAGCAAATCAAGCTCAACAGTATATAATATGATTAGGTAAGGTGATCCCAAGGAATGCAAGGAATGGCTCAACATCAGAAAACCCATTATCATCATACACCATGCTAACAGATTAAAGAGAAAAATCACAAATTTAATAAAATATTCAGGATTAAAGAAAAACATTTCAGCATACACAAATAGAAAAAAATGTTTACGATTCAGAAAGTCTATTAAAAACTTGCCTTTTTCCTGAATACTCCCAGCCTGTGAAGTCAAGGGTTTAAGAATGAGCAGCAGAGGGGAGGGAAATGTGCAGAGAGGGAGGAACTACTGGTAGACCAGAAAGATAAACTATAATACAACTCATGGATGGAGCTTGACTTTCTCAGCTTGTCTGCTTACCTATAAAATACTATGAAAATTAAGGAGGTAGCAAATTGCTGCAGTTCCATAGCTATCATCATAAGCACTGAGTCACTGATGACTACAATTTTTTTTTCCTTTTTTAAAAATTGCAGTGAAATGCACATAACATAAAATTTACCATTTTAGCAATTTTTAGGTGTACAGGTCAGTGACATTAAGTACATT
The DNA here is from genome assembly GCF_000001405.40 of Homo sapiens. NCBI lineage: Eukaryota > Metazoa > Chordata > Mammalia > Primates > Hominidae > Homo > Homo sapiens. The sequence goes on along the minus strand of NC_000018.10, from coordinate 36,105,340 downwards.
CATGTTGTTGTAAAATCATTACCATCCATCTCCAGAACTTTTTCATCATCCCAAATTGAAACTCTGTACCCATTAAATAATAATTCCGCATTCCTCCCTGACAGAAAGCAAGACAGTGGTCCCAACCCCTAGTAACCACTGTCTTACTTTCTTCTCCTCTATATACTGGAGCATTCCAGATAGGTCAAGTAAGTAGGGTCATGCCATATTTCTCCTTTTTTGCCTGCCTTATTTCTCTGTGCATAATGTCTTAAAGGTCTATCCATGTTATGGCATGTGTCAGAATTTTATTTCCTTTTAAGGCTGAAAAGGAATGTGTATTAGAGTTCTCCAGAGACACAGAACCAATAAGAGATAGAAAGATAGGTAGATAGATAGATAGATAGATAGATAGATAGATAGATAGATAGACAGATAAGAGAGGATTATGGGATTATTAGGGAAATTGGCTCATACAGTATGGAGGCTGAGAAGTCCCACAACAGGCCGTCTGCAAGCTGGAGACCCTGGAATGCCAGGAGCATGGTTCAGTCCATGTCTGAAGGCTTCAGACCCAGGGATGCCGAGAGTGTAACTCTCAGACCAAGACCAAAGACCTGAGAACCCAGAAAGCCACTAGTGTAAGTCCTGAAGCCCAAAGGCCAGGAAGCCTGGAGTTGTTGCACAAGGACAGAAGAGAAAGAGTGTACCCCAGATCCCACAGATACACCAACATATTCACCTTGTCTCTGTTTTTGTTCTGTCTGGGCCCCCAGCAGATTGCACGGTGCCCGCCCACATTGAGGGTAGATCTTCCCTACCTAGTCCACTCAGACTCACATGCTGATCTCCTCTGGAAACACCCTCACAGCCACACCCCAAAATAATGGATTACCAGGTTTCTGAGTATTCTTTAATCAAGTTGACACCTAAAATTAACCACCACACATTGTAAGTGTATAACACATGGTGTTTATTCATTCATTGATGGACACTCAGGTTGCTTCCACCTTTGGGCTATTGTGAATAATGCTGCTATAAACATGTGTATACAAATAAGTGTTTGAGTCCCTGCTTTCAATTCCTTTGGGTATATACTCAGAAGAGGAACTGCTGGATCATATAGTAATTCCATGTTTAATTTTTTGAGGTATCATCATACAGTTTTCCACAATAGTTGTACCATTTTACATTCCACTAGCAATGTTTATATTATTTCTGTTTCTTAGGGTTCTTTTTTCTTTTATGATAACCATCCTAATGGATGTGGTGTCTCATTGTGGTTTTGACTTGCATTTCTCTAGTGATGTTGAATATCTTTTCATTTGCTTTTTGGCCATTTACATATCTTTGGAGAAATATCTATTGAAGTCCCACCAGGCCCCTCTTCCAACACTGGGGGTTACAATTTGACATGAGATTTGGGAGGGACACAAATTCAAACCATATCACCACATTTATGTAAGTCTGTTTTTTGTATCAGAGTAATCCTGATCACATGAAATGAGTAGAGAAGTATTTTTTCCTCTTCTATGTTCTGGAAGAGATTTTGTAGAATTCACCATTGAAACAATCTGGGCATGGAGTTTTATTTAAAAGTTTTTATCCATGAATTCAATTTCTTTAATAGATATAGGAACATTCAGGATACATATTTGATCTTGAATGAGTTTTAGTACTTTGTGTCCTTCAAGAAGTTGTTCCATTTTACCTCAGTTGCCAAATTTATAGCCATAGAGTTATTCATAGTCTTTGCCTATTTTCTTACCAGCAGTAGCTTCTGTAGGGATATCATTCATACTATTGCTAATGTGTCTTTTCTCTTTTTTCCCTCGTCATTCTGACTATAGGTTTATCATTCTCAGTGATTTTTTTTCAAATAAGATTTTGGTTTCATTTTCTCATTCATCTGTTTTCAATTGCATTGATTTCTGCAATTATCTTCATTATTTCCTTTCTTCCATTTGTTTTGGTTTTACTTTCGTTTTAATTTCCAATTTATTAAAGTGGAAGCTTAGAATATCGATTTGAAATCTTTTTAATACAAGTATCTAATACTATAAATTTCCCTCTAGACACTGCTTTACCTACAATCCCACAAATTTTGATATATTGCATTTTCATTTTTGTCTGCTTGAAAATAAGTTAAAAGGAGGGGGTCCTAAAAGGAGAGCTACCTGGGAGGCTGAGGTGGGAAAATCTCTTGAGCCCAGGAGTTGAAGACCAAACTGGGCAACTTAATGAGACTTTAAAAAAATAGGATAAGGAATACTGAAAAATTACACTTGCATACATTTGGAAACTTAGATCAAATGGACCAATTCCTCAAAACCCACAAAGTACCAAAACTCACCCAGGACAAATAAGCAACCTAAATAGCACTGTAACTATTAAAGAAGTTGAATTTATACACTTTGGGAGGCCAAGGCAGGTGAATCACTTGAGGCCAGAAGTTCAAGACCAGCCTGGCCAACATGGCAAAACCCCATCTCTACTAAAAATATAAAAATTAGCTAGACATGATGGTGCACACCTGTAGTCCCAGCTACTCAACTTGGGGGGCTGAGGCACGACAATCACTTGAACCTGGGGGGCGGAGGTTGCAGTTAGCTAAGATCATGCCACTGCACTCCAGCCTGAGTGACAGAGCAAGACTGTCGAAAAAAAATAAAAAGTTGAACTTACAGTTAAAACCTTCTGAAGAAGAAATTCCAGGCTGAGATGGTTTCACTGGCGAATTCTACCAAATATGTAAAGAAAAATGATAGCAATAGTACATGACCTCTTTTGGAAAATGGAAGAGAAGGAAACACTTCTTAACCCATTTTATGAGGACATTACCCTGATATCAAAATCAGACAAGTGATAGCAAAAAGGAGACAGACAAATTCCTAGGCAGACAGGGACAGGTCCCTGGTGAAACCCAACCTTCAAGCCAAAGACAGCCTGAAGCCTGAAAACCGAGCTGCCAGCTATGGATAGAGTCCGTGACTGGAGTGAGAACTTTCTTGATACATTTTAGCCGATCAAATGGTGCTTTTTCCAGCCCACCTATGGACCAATCAGCATGTACTCCCCCATTCTGAGCCCATAAAAACCCCACTTAGCCTCACTACCTGCTCTTGGGCCCCCTCTCTGCTGAGAGCTTTCTTTCTCTTGCTCAGTAAAATTCTTCTCTGCCCTACTCACTCTCTGGTATCCGTGTACCTTATTCCTCTTGGTCACGGGACAAGAACCCGGAACTTGCCAAGCTGCGAGCAGCAGGACTGAACAAGCTGTAACAAGACCCCATTCGTCAAGCTGTGGGCAGCAGGAATGAGAGAGAGCTGTAACATTTCTTGGGGGCAGAACTTGGGACTCCCCAGGCAAGAGCTGTAACACCCTTTGGGGCTCTGTGGTTACTGACGTCTCCAAGTTTTCAGGTGCCACCATGTTCCCCTCATCTAGATGCCAGTGCCTAATGTGGAAGCCATTCACAGCATGCCTGGTCCAGCCACAGGTTGAGTGCGGATCCCACAGCCTGTGTGGGATATAGGCCAGGGTGCAAGCCAAGCAGAGCCTGCTGGGTCGAGCCTGTAGAGTGAGCCCAGCAGGCTCAAGTGAGGTCCTGGACAGAGTTCATGGCAGCCAAAGAGATTTCCAGGTGGCAAAGTAGCACCGAAGGAATCCTATAACACTGAAACCCTCCTTCCTGCTCGCTAAGCAATGGGGGAGAAAAAAAACTGCTGGGCACCATTCCCTTCCACCTGCTGAACTACAAAGGCCACAACACAAGGACAGCACAAGAAAACTACAGACCAAGAAAAACCTCATGATTTTATCAATTAGTACAGAAAAAAATGTTTGATAAAAATTAACGGTAGGGAGGGACCAAGATGGCCAGATAGAAGCAGCTCCCATCTGCAGCTCCAAGCTGGACCAACAGAGAAGGTGGGTGATTTCTGCATTTCCAACTGAGGTACCCAGTTCATCTCACTGGGACTGGCTGGGTGGTGGGCGCAACCCATGGAAAGAGAGCAGAAGCAGGGTGGGGTGTCACTTCACCCAGAAAGTGCACAGACCAGGGAAACCTCCCTCCCCCAGCCAAGGGAAGTGGTGAGGGACTGTGCCACCAACCAGGGGTACTATGCTTTTCCCACAATTTTTTCCAATCCATGGATCAGGAGATTCCCTTGTGGCGAGGTTCCAGAGAAATAGGAACGCTTTTACACTGTTGGTGGGAATGTAAATTAGTTCAACCATTGTGGAAGACAGTGTGGTGATTCCTCAAAGATTTAGAACCAGAAATACCATTTGATCCAGCAATTCCATTACTGGGTATATACCCAGAGGAATGGAAATCATTCTATTTTAAAGGTACATGCACACGTATGTTCATTGAAGCACTACTCACAATAACAAAGACATGGAGTCAACCCAAATGCCCATCAATGATAGGCTGGATAAAGAAAATATGATACATATACACCATAGAATACTATGCAGCCATAAAAAGGAATGAGATCATATCTTTTGCAGGCACGTGGATGAATCTGGAAGCCGTTATCCTCAGCAAACTAATGCAGGAACAGAAAACCAAACATCACATGTTCTCACTTATAAGTGAGAGCTGAAAAATGAAAATACACGGACACAGGGAGGGGAACAACATTTACTGGGGACTTCTTGGGGAGGGCAGGGGTGGGAGATCATTAGAGAAAAGAGCTGATACATACTGGGCTTAATACCTAGGTAATGGGTTGATAGGTGCAGCAAACCACTATGACGCATGTTTACCTATGTAACAAACCTGCACATCCTGCACATGTACCCCGGAACTTAATTTTAAAAAAAGAAAAAAAATTAACCAGTTACAGCCTGAGTGTGGTGGCTCACATCTGCAGTCCCAGCACTTTGGGAGGCCAAAGTGGGAGGATTACTTGAGGCCAGGAGTTCAAGTCAAGCCTGGCCAACATAGTGAGATTCCCTCTCTACAAAGAAATTTAAAAATAAGCCAGACATTGTGGTGTGCACCTGCTACTAGGTAGGCTTTTGTTGGAAGATTGCTTGAGCCCAGAAGTTCAAGGCTGTAGTGAATTATGATCACACCACTGCACTCTAGCCTGGGCAACAGAGCCTGTCTCTTAAAAAAAGAGTTAACCATATATGATTAAGAAAAAACATATAGCTAACATCATACTTATTGGTGAAAAACACATGCTTTTCATCTAAACTCAGATATAAAACAAGGATGTCAGCTGGGCATGGTGGCTCATGCCTGTAATCCCAACTCTTTGGGAGGCCAAGGTAGGAGGATTGCTTCAAGCCAAGAGTTCAAGACCAGCCTGGGCAACATAGTAATACTCTGTCTCTATGCAAAATTTTAAAATGAGCCAGGTATGATGGCATATGCCTGTAGTCCCAGCTATTTGGGAGGCTGAGGTGGGAGGAGCGCTTGGACCCAGGAGTTTGAGGTTGCAGTAAGCCATGATCATACCACTGCACTCCAGCCTAGGCAACAGAACAAGACTCTCTCTAAAAGTAAAAATTAAAGTAAATTTTTAAAAGGACGTTCATTGGTAAAATAAAGTAAGAGAAATGCATATAGGCCCTTCTATAACTGAGTATCTTAGCTATAAAATGCATTTCTGAACTTTTTTGTCTAAACTCAGAATATGGGCTTGAAATGTACTTTGAAACTCTTTGTTTCTCTCCCCTTTCTACCAGACACTCCCTTGCACCATACACACTTATCTAACCATCTCCTTGTTTAAAAGTTCCAGGGACTAATCTTGAAACAAACCAGGCATGGAGGCCTTGGGAAATCCATCTTTTTAGGGGAGTCCATAAACAATTAGTTCACCACCACCAGACTGAAGTCAAGATAACACCAACAAGACCTCTGAATAGATGATTATTCAAGATAGCCATCAGAACAAGGCATGCAGAGCTGCACCCTGCAACACTCCTACATGATTCTCACAGCAAGTTTCTCTTTTGAAACTCCCTCAGTCAGCCCAAAAGTTTGAGATGATCTCTTTGTGACTTGAGCTCAGCTATCTCCCTCACTGATGGCATTTGAAATAAAGGTTACTTTTCTTTTACCATGCATTGCTTCTTGTGTTTTTAGCTTGATAGGTGGTGAGCAGCTGGACCTGAGTTTGGTTACACTTCTAGAACTAATAAGTGAATTGAGCTTTGTACAGGATACAATATCAACACACAAAAGTCAATTTTATTTCTGTTTACTGACAATGAGCAATTGGAAATTAAAATTAAGAAATAAAATTCCATTTAAAATTGCTCCCTCCAAATTGCAACACTTAGGTATGATTCTAACAAAACATGTAAAGGGTGTTTATACTAAAAACTACAAAATGCTGTGTTTAAAAAAAAAAAAAAAGAAGAAGAAGAGGAAGAAGAAGAACAAGCGGCCGGGCGCGGTGGCTCACACCTGTAATCCCAGCACTTTGGGAGGCCGAGGCGGGCAGATCATGAGGTCAGGAGATCGAGACCATCCTGGCTAACACGGTGAAACCCTGTCTCTACTAAAAATACAAAAAATTAGCCAGGCGTGGTGGCAGGCACCTGTGGTCCCAGCTACTTGGGAGGCTGAGGCAGAAGAATGGCATGAACCCGGGAGGTGGAGCTTGCAGTGAGTCGAGATCGCGCCACTGCACTCAAGCCTGGGTGAGAGAATAAGACTCCGTCTCAAGAAAAAAAAAAAAAAAAAACGCTGAATGAGAGATATGCTATGTTCATAGATTGGAAAAAAACATAATAAATGTTTTCATTTCAATCAAAATCATTGCAGGATCTTTTTAAGTATAGACAAGCTGATTCTTGAATTTATATAGAAAGGCAAAGGAATGAGAATAACCAAAACTATTCTGAAGAAGCATAAAGTTGATAGAATCATACTATCTGACTTTCAGACTTACTATAAAACTACCATAATCATGACTTGGTTGTTCTGACCAAGGGAAAAATATACAAATCAATGAAGTAGGATAGAGAGCCTAGAAATAGACTTACACAAATATAATCAACTTATTTTTGACACAGGTGAAAAGACAATTCAATGGTGTAATAGCAGTCTTTTCAAAAAATAGTGTTGAAACAACTGAACATTATGGGCAAAAGAACAAAATGAAAATCCAAACAAAACTTTATCCAAAATGGATCATAGATATGAATATAGAACCATAACACTTTTAGAAGAAAATATAGGAGAAAAATCTTCCTAACCTGGGGTTAGGCAAACTTGAACCAAAAGCACAATCCATAAAAGAATAAGTTGATAATTTGTTTCAGAAAAATTGAAAATGTTTGGGCAGGCGCAGTAGCTCACACCTATAATCCCAGCACTTCGGGAGGCCAAGGTAGGAGGATTGCTTGTGCCCCGGAGTTCAAGACCAGCCTGAGCAATTGAGCAGCATGGTGAGACTCCATCTCTGCCAAAAAATAAAAAAGTAAAAAATTAGCTGAGCATGGTGGCATGTGCCTGTGGGCCCAGCTACTCAGGAGGCTGAGATAGGAGGATCCCTTGAGCCTAGGAGGTCAAGGCTGCAGTGAGCCATGTTGGTGCCACTGTGCTCCAGCTTGGGCAACAGAGTGAGACCCTGTCTCCTCCACCAAAAAAAAAAAAAAATTGAAAATTTTTGTTTTGTCAGAATAGAAAAGAGAAACTATGAACTGGGAGAAAAATATTCGTAAATCACATATCCAACCAAGAACTTGTTTTCAGAATATAAAAACAACTCTCATAACACAATGGTGAGAAAACAAACAACCTAGTTCTTTAAAATGTGGGAAAAACTTGAATAGATATGTAGATATGTCACCAAAGAGAACACATGGCGGCACATGAAAAGAGTTCAATAGCATAAATCACTAAGGAAATGCAAATTAACACCATAATGAGCTGTCAGTATTCACCTCCTAAAATGGCTAAAATTAAAAATTCTGACAATATCAATATCCAGCAAGGATGTGGAGTAACTAAACTTTCATACATTGGTAGTGGGTATGCAAAATGGTACAGCCTCTATGGAAAACAATTTGGTAATTTCTTACAAAGGTAAATATACAACTACATTATGGGTACATTATGACCCAACAATCCCTCTCCTGTGTATTTGCCCTAGACTAATTAAAACTTAACATTTGCACAAAAACTTGTATAGCAGCTTTATTCACAATCACCAGAAACTGGAAACCACCCAAGTGTCTTTCAACAGTTGAATGGATAAATAATGCTGTGGTATATCTGTGTAGTGCAATACTACCCAGTAGTGAGAAGAATAAACTACTGACACAGGCAACAACCTCCATGAATACATGGTGATTTTGCTAAGTGAAAGAAGGCAGACTCAAAAGGTTACATATTACATGTTTCCATTTATATGGTACTCTGGAGAAGATAATATGATAGGAAGAAAAGATCAGTGGTTGCCCAGGGTTCATTTTGGGAAGGCTGTGACTGTAAAATACTAGCATAGGAGTTTGATTTTTGGGGGGCAGGGGTTGAGAGATGGTAATGGAATCATTCTGTATCCTGATTTTGGTGGTGGTTACACAAATCTATATGTAGTGAATCTCACAGAATTCTACTGCATAGGAAAAAAGTAACTTTTCCTAAGTTTTTTTCTAAAAAAGGATGAGGTGGATATTTCTCTTGATTGAACAATACAGTGTAAAATATTGAGTACACACCACACCTGGGTGTGGGTGTACTTACAGAAATTTTGGAAGGATACACAGTACAGTGGAAGACTTTTGTATTCTTTATACATTTCTTTACTTGAATCTTATTTTTTACCATCTTTTTTATTGTGGTAAAATATACAATAACATAAAATTTACCTTGTTAATCATTCTTAAGTGTACAATTTAGTGGCATTAAGTACACTAACATTGTTGTGCAGTCGTCACCACCATCCATATTCAGAATTTTTATGTCTTCTGAAAGTGAAACTGTGGATCCATTAAACAATAACTCCCCATTTCTTCTTTTCCCAGCCAAACACCATTCTACTTTGTCTTTCTGATTTTGACTACACATTTAAGTGGAACATACAATATGTGTCCTTTTGTAACTGGCTTATTTCACTTAATATAATCTTATCAAAGTTTTTTCATTTATGTTGAAGCATGTGTCAGAATATCACTTTTTTAAAGCTAAATACTATTCCATTGAATGCATATAACACATTTAGGATGTTATTTAAACCCATGCAGTAAGCCCAACTTAGTAGAACCAGTCTGCCACCTTGTGGAATTTTAACACAACTTCAAATTTTACAAATTGAGAAGATGACTAATTTAGAAATGATGCTACTAGTGTTCAATTACTAGCTATTTTTTTGGTGTAAATTTAAAGAACTAGTTTTATTTAACATAACTGTGCAAGAAGTATGTGAAGAGAAACTCAAATGCTGCTGATGGGCCAAAATATTTGAGTACATGTAAAGTTATTTCCTATTCTTGGATAGGAGGAATGGACTACAAACATGAATTAAGTGGTCATGGAGAAAGACGCAAATGGCTTTTTATCATATAAAAGCTTACATATTACAGGATTTCAATCTCACTCATACAAGAAAATGCAATTTAAAAATTGTCTACAAAAAATTGTAGACAAAACAAATTTATCTCCAAAAACGTTGTAGACAAAAAATTATCTACAACATGGATGAACCTTGAAAACATATGCTAAGTGGGAAAAGCCAGATACAAAAGAATAGATATCACAGTTGTCCTTTATTTATTTATTTATTTATTTATTTATTTATTTATTTATTTATTTTTGAGACGGAGTTTCGCTGTTTCGCTCTTGTTGCCCAGGCTGGAGCGCAATGGCATGATCTCGGCTCACTGCAACCTCCGCCTCCCGGGTTCAAGTGACTTTCCTGCCTCAGCCTCCTGAGTAGCCGGGATTACAGGCACTCACCACCACGCCCAGCTAATTTTTACTCCCACTTCATCTTAGCCGAAAACATTTGGCAAATGGGAAGAGATTATGAAGTAAGAAAAAATAGCATTTACTAAGGTCTACTATAGTCCTCTACATAATTCTACCCAATCCTCATAACAGCCTTACTATATAGGCCTTATTAGTTTCATATTGCAGATGACTAAAACGAAGTTTGGAGAGGTTAATTGGTTTGGTTAAAGTCCTAGAGCTAGTTGATGCCACAGAAGAAACTTAAACTCCTGTCTACGGTCTCCAAAGTTGAAAATTTGGGAGTTCAAGTTTGGCATCTTTACTTTTCCTTTTTTTTAAACAAGGTCTCACTCTGTTGTCCAGGCTAGCGTGCAGGTGGCACAATCATAGCTCACTACAACCTCAAACTCCTAGACTCAATTAATCCTCCCACATCAGCCTTCTGAGTAGCTGGGACTACAGGTGCACGCCACCATGCCGGTTTTATTTATTTATGTATATATTAGTAGAGATGAGACCTTGCTATGTTGCCCAAGCTGGGCCTTCCTGCCTTCCTTCCTTCTTTCCTTCCTTCCTTTCTTTGTTCTTTTATTGGGGACATCCTTTCTTAAAAGAGATTTTGCAGTCGGATGTCTGATGTCCTTTTTCTCCATTTCCTATGAGATGTGTGATTCCACTGTTAGAGATACAGCACATATCCTGAGCTACGAGGGGTTGGCTGACTGTAGATTTTCTTCTTCGCAGGAAAAGTACAAGGTTCTGGATAGGGAGGCATGAAGTGGCTGATATGCCTGCCAAACAGGCTAGGCTTGCTGGGCTGCACCATAAAATGCCAGGGTTTGAACAAAGGAGAAACATCCTACTATTCCAGAATTTGGCTGGAACATCCCCTGATCATTTTAGAGAAACACTGCCAAAGGAGCATGCTCATGGATGTGAGACAAAAGTCACAATGGATCCAAAAACTATTCATTCAACAAGTACTTATTGAGCCCCTACTATAACCAGACACTGTTCTGTGCAGTGTTTGTTAATTAGAAAAATAGACCCAAATCCTTGCTCTCATTGAACGTTTATTCTAGTAAGAATAGGCAGAGAGGCTGGGGTCAGTAGCTCACTCCTGTAATCCCAGCACTTTGGGGAGGCAGAGGTAGGAGGATTGCTTGAGGCCAGGAGTTCAAGACCAGCCTGGTCAACATAGCGAGACCCTGTCTTTACAAAAAAAATAAAAAAAAGAATAGGCGGACAAGAAGTAAGTTAAATAGATAAACAATGTAGTGTGCTAGAAAGATATTTTACAAAAAAAAAAAAATGTTGGGCCGGGCACAGTGGCTCACGCCTGTAATCCCGGCACTTTAGGAGGCTGAGGTGGGAGGATCGCTTGAGGTCAGGAGTTTGAAACCAGCCTGGCCAATGTGACAAAATCCTGTCTCTACTAAAAATACAAAAATTAGGTGGACATAGTGGCATGTGTTTGTAATCCCAGCTACTGAGGAGGCTGAGGCATGAGAGTCACTCGAACCCGGGAGGCGGAGGCTGCAGTGAGCCAAGATCATGCCACTGTGCTCCAGCCTAGGTGACAGAGCAAGACTCTGTCAAAAAAAAAAAAAAAAAAAAACAGAAAGAAAGAAAAGGAAAAAAAGAAAGAAAGAAGAAGAAACCACGTGATTTTTCTGTTCAACGCTTTGCAACAACTTCCCATCTCACTTATGCAAAGTAAAAGCCAAAATCCTGGCAGTGGTTTATAAGACCCTATTTGATCATTGTTCTCTCCTCACGCCCCATCTTACTGTCTCCTACTCCTCTCCTCTTTGATCACCCACTCCAGCCACAGGAGTTCTCCGTGCTGCTCCTGAGCCACCCCAGGCACCTTCCTGTCCTAGGGCCTTTGTATTGGCCATTCGCTCTTTGAACACCCCGAAATAGCTGCACGGGTCACATGTCCCCTCCCTCAGATCTCAGAGTGGCACCTTAGTAAGCCTGTTCCTAGTGAACCAAAATCCCAACAGCCATATTCCTTCCTCGACATTACTTTTCCACATGGCACATAGCACAACTAACACACCATATTATGCTTTCACCTGGTTCACTCTTCACTTCCACAGAAGCTCTGACGGAGACACAGATTTTTGTTTGTTTTATTCATTGCCCTATCCCTAGTGCCTGGCTTATATTAGGTGTTCAGTATGTCAATGCCTTCCAGCCAAAGACCACCAGGAACATACCTGTAATTGAACAAGTTGAGTTTTTGGCTTGTTGTCATGAAAGAGAATGTACAAGAGGGGGAACCATGGAATGGCTTGGTATGTTAGCAAGGAGGATTTGGGCTTAAGTTAGGTGATTTGGCAGAGGTTTCAAGGAAGTGAGGTTTTGCTCTGAATTGAATGATGCCAGGAAGCAGGAATAATTATCTGATTGGGTATTTTAATAAATTTTTTTTTAGAAGGGGGAAGAAGAGAGCAAGGCTAAGGATATAATTGGTAAAGAAGCAGCAGTTATATTAGCAGGAAGAGGAGGCTATTTTTGTGGTTTACACAGTGACTTTATTTTTTCCTGTTCTTGGATAAAATTTATGAAGTGGTCTTGTTTTTGTTTGGTTTGGTTTTTGTCTCACTTTACCGAGGTCATAGAGTGCCCTTGTCTGATGTAGGTGCTCTGTGAGATTGTTTATGTTCATCAGAAGAATACCATGACCTGTCTGTGATGCCAGATGAGCTCCTAACACCACAGAGGGCCAGGTGATAGAGCCAGGCCAACTGCACATGTCAGTGGTTGCTTTTCTCCTTTTCAAGTATGTATTTGTTAAATGATTGAGTGAATGATTATAATGGTAGTCTTCATAAACCTAAAAGGCTATCATGTGGAAGTAAAGTTAGGCTAATTTTATAAGAATTCAGAGAATAGAATTGGAACAATGGGTCCAGGCATGGGTGGCTCATGCCTGTAATCCCAGCACTTTAGGAGACCAAAGCAGGTGGATCACTTGAAGCCAAGAGTTTTAGACCAGCCTGGCCAACATGGTGAAACCCCATCTCTACTAAAAATACAACAATTAGCCGGGTGTGGTGGCACATGCCTGTAATTCCAGCTACTCAGAAGGCTGAGGCACGAAAATCACTTGAACCCAGGAGGCAAAGGTTGCGGTGAGTCAAGATCGTGCCACGGCACTCCAGCCTGGGTGACAGAGCAAGAATGTCTCAAAAAAAAAAAAAAAAAAAAAAGGATTGAGACACTGGGTAAAGTCAGACAGTCAGCAAGCTTCAGCTTACCATAAAAACTTTTTAAAAATGAGCCCCCCACCCCTGCAGGGAGATAAGTGTCAATTGCTTGAATTCTTTACAGAATCTGGAGGGGACATTGTAGAAGTGATTAAGGCACCACACGGAGTGCTAGAGCTAGATGTGATGGCCTCAGATTTCCTGAAGTTCTAGGAAGATCTGCCAATGCTTCCTTGGCCTTTCAGGGTGCTTCCTATGAAGATCTGAGCAAGAATCAGTCACTGGCTATCCTAAGATAAGGAAGAAGTTGTCCAGGCCTTTAGGATTTCGCAGAAGAGAAGTGAAGACAGATGTAGAAGCAAATATCTGCAGTGCAGTTCTTCAGGGCAGTTTTGAAGAAGTAGTTGCCACTGGGGCCAATTTTGCCCATATAAGACATTTGGTGATGTGTGGAGACATTTTTTATTGTCACAAGGAGTGAGGAGTTTGCTACTTACAAATAGTTAACAGAGGCCAGGTTGCTGCGAAGCATCCTCTAATGCACAGGACCACTTCCCACATCAAAGAATGATCTCTGGCAAAATCAGTCCAGGTTAAGCATTCCTAATCCAAAAATCCAAAATCTAAAATGCTCCAAAATTGGAAACATTTTTGCTGACATGATGCCACAAGTGGACAATCCATACCTGACTTTATATGATGATTTGCAGACAAAATGCAGGTGCACAACACACAGTTTATTTAACATCCCCAAGGGAAAAAAAGATTTTCCCAGGCCCCTTCAGTTTTGATACATCTTTTCCACACATGCCAGATGTGTATGTCATGTTTTACTATTAAGCACTTACATGTGAATAAGTGTAAGAAAATGATGGCTTATTGGTAGCGTATAAATTCAGAGCCAGGAATGATGGTAATGACAAGCAATCACAAATTGTCCACTTGGGTGACTAAAATAATGACACCTTTGCTTTCTGAGGGTTCAACTTGGTTTTATGCACAAAATCATTTAAAATATTGTATAAAATTACAGTACCTTCAGCATATATATAAAACATAAGTGAATTTTGTGTTTAGACTTGATCCCATCCCCAAGATATCTCATTATGTATATGCAAATGTTCCCAAATCCACAAAAAATCCAAAATCTTTAATACTTCTGGTCCCAATCATTTGCGGATTTTTGTTTGTTTGTTTGTTTTTAGAGGCAGGGTTTTACCATGTTGGCCAGGCTGGTCTCAAACTCCTGGTCTCGAGTCATCAGCCTACCTCGGCCTCCCAAAGTGCTGGGATTACAGGCTGAGCCACTGTGCCCCACACATTTAGGATAAGGGGAACAACTTGCAGTGCCAAGATTGAGAAACCATGGTTCAGAGGGATAGGTAAGAAGTTGTCAATACTCATAGAGAGGAATGGGTCATGCTGCTTCTAAGGGAAATGGGAAACAAATGGTCTTACAGAGGAGGTGATATCTGATGTGGGTTTTGAGGAGGAATAGGAAATCCTTGGTAAAGAAATGCTTACTATGTTCAGACACAATGGTTCAAGCCTGTAATTCCAGCACTTTGGGAGGTCAAGCCGGGTGGATCACTTGAGACCGGAAGATCAAGACCAGCCTCGCCAACATGTCGAAATCCTGTCTCTACTAAAAATACAAAAATTAGTCGGGCATGGTGGCACGTGCCTGTAATCCCAGCTACTTCAGTGGCTGAGGCAGGAGAATTGCTTGAACCCGGGAGGCGGAGGTTGCAGTGAGCCGAGATCACAGTACTGTTCTCCAGCCTGGGCGACACAGTGAGACACTGTCTCAAAAAAAAAAAATGCTTAATTTATTTTGGAAAAACATTCTCAAATATTTGCAGAGAATAAAATGCCTGGATATTGCTGCAAAATAATCCAGTAGGGACGGTGGTGGGTAAAACAGCAGAATTTGCCCAGGAATTGATAATTGTTGAAACTAGTGATGGATACATGGAAGTCCATTATACTTTTAACTTTGGTATATGCTTAGAAATTTCCATAATACAATTTCAAATTGAGTTTTCTTTTTTTTATTGTGGCAAAATATACATAACATAAAATTTATCATTTAAACCTTTTTCTGTTTGCTTGTTTTTTGAGACGGAGTCTTGCTCTGTCGCCCAGTCTGGAATGCAGTGGTGTGATCTCGCCTCACTGCAAGCTCCACCTCCCGGGCTTCAAGTGATTCTTCTGTCTCAGCCTCCCGAGTAGCTGGGACTACAGGCACATGCCACCACACCTGACTAATTTTTGTATTTTTAGTAGAGACAGGGGTCTCACTAAAATGTTAGCCAGGCTGATCTTGAACTCCTGACCTCAAGTGGTCTGCCTGCCTTGGCCTCCCAAAGTGCTGGGATTACAGGCATGAGCCACCATGTTCCGCCACCAGTTAAACCATTTTTAAGCGTACAACTCAGTGGCATTAAGTACATGCACAGTGTTGTGCAGCCATCACCACTATCTACTTCCAGAATGTTTTAATTATCTCAAACAGAAACTTTATACCCACTCAACAATAACTCTCTGTTCCCTCCCTCCCCTCTTCCCCCTACCATTGTTTAAGCTCTACTCTACCTTCTGCCTCTATGGATTTGCCTATTTGAGGTACCTCATGTAAGTGGAATCACACAAAATTTGTCCTTTTGTGTCTGGCTTATTTCACTTAGATAATGTTTTCAAGGTTCACTCATTTTTCACATGTATCAGAATTCCATTCCTTCCGTGTTTTCTTTCTTTCTTTTTTTTTTTTTGAGACAGAGTCTCACTCTGTCACCCAGGCTGGAGTGCAGTGGTATGATCTCGGCTCACTGCAACCTCTGCCTCCTGGGTTCAAGCAATTCTCCCTCCTGCCTCATCCTCCAGAGTAGCTGGGACTACAGGCATGTGCCAGCATGCCTGGCTAATTTTTGTATTTTTATTAGAGACAGTGTTTCACCACGTTGGCCGGGCCAGTTTCAAACTCCTGACCTCTCAGGTGATTCACCCAACTTGTCTTCCCAAAGGTTGGGATTACAGGCATGAGCCACCATGCCTGGCCAGAATTTCATTCTTTTAATGACTGAATAATTTTCCATTGAATGCACAGTCATGTGTCGCTTTATAACAAGAATATGTTTTTAAGAAATGTTCCAGGCCGGGCATGGTGGCTGATGTCTGTAATTCCAGCACATTAGGAGGCTGAGGCGGGAGGATGGCTTGAGCCAAGAAATTTGAGACCAGCCTGGGTAACATGATGAAACCCTGTCTCTACAAAAAATACAAAAATTAGCTGGGTGTGGTTGTGTTGCCTGTAGCCCCAGCTACTCGGGAGGCTGATATGGGAGGATCGCTTGAGCCTAGGAGGCAGAGGTTGTAATAAGCCAATATTTGCACTACTGCATTTCAGCCTGGGCAACAGAGTGAAACTCTGTCTGAAAAAAAAAAAAGAAACTATAAAAAAGAAAAAGAAAAGAAATGCACCATTAGGCAACTTTATCTTTGTCCAAATATCATACAGTGTACTTACACAAATCTAGATGATACAACTAGGCTATATCATATAGCCTACTGTTTTAGGCTACAAATCTGTATAGTATGTTATAGTACTGAACACTGTAGACAATTGTAACACAATGGTATTTGTGTATCTAAATCTTTCTAAATGTAGAGAAGGTACAGTAAAAATATGGTATGAAAGATTAAAAAATGGTACACCTGTATAGGGTACTTACCACGAATGGAGCTTGCAGGACTGGAAGTTGCCCTGGGTGAGTCAGAAAGTGAGTAGTGAGTGAATGTGAAGGCCTAGGACATTACTGTAGACTCTATAAATACTATACACTTAGGCTGCATTAAATGTGTAAAAATGATTTTTTTCTTGAATAATATATTAACCTTAGCTTACTGTACTTCATAAACGTTTAAATTATTTTTTGACTCTTGTGTTTTAAATACTTTTTTCAATAGTTTTTGGGGAACAGATGGTGTTTGGTTGCATGGGAAAGTTCTTTAGTGGTAATTTCTGAGATTTTGGTGCACCCATCACCCAAGCAGTGTACACTGTACACAATGTGTAGCCATCGGGTTTTTTGTTTTTGTTTTTGTTTTTGAGACAAGGGCTCACTTTGTCACCCAGGCTGGAGTGCAGTGGCATAATCTTGGCTTATTGCAACCTCCGCCTCCCAGGTTGAAGCGATTCTCCTGCCTCAGCCTCCCAAGTAGCTGGGATTATAGGCACCTGTCACCACGCCTGGCTAATTTTTGTATTTTTAGTAGAGATGAGGTTTCACCATGTTGGCCAGGCTGATCTCGAACTCCTGGCCTCAAGTGATCTGTCTGCCTTGGCCTCCCAAAGTTCTGGGATTACAGGCATTAGCCACCGTGCCAAGCAGCCACCATGCCCGGCTCCCAATGTGTAGCCTTTCATCCTTCACCCTCCCTTCCTGACCTTCCCCCAACAGTCCCCAAAGTCCATTATATCATTCTTACGCTTTTGTGTCCTCATAGCTTAGCTCCCTCTTACAAGTGAAAACATATGATATTTGGTTTTCCAACCCTGAATTACTTCCCTTAGAATAATGGTCTCCAACTTTATCCAGGTTGCTGCAGATGCCATTACTTCATTGCTTTTTATGGCTGAGTAGAATGCCACATTTTCTTTATCTACTCAGTTAGTGGGCGTTTAGGCTGATTCCATATTTTTACAATTGTAAATCGTGCTGCTATAAACATGCTTGTGCAAGTGTCTTTTTCATGTAATGACTTCTTTTTCTCTGGGTAGGTACCCAGTAGTGGGATTGCTGGATCAAATAGCAGTTCTACTTTTAGTTCTTCAAGGAATCTCCATACAGTTTTCCATAGTGATTGTACTAGTTTACATTCCCACAAGCAGTGTGAAAGTGTTCCCTTTTCACCACATCCACGATACCATCTGTTATTTTTTGATATTTAAATTATTGTCATTCTTGCAGAAGTAAGGTGGTTTCACATTGTGGTTTTGATTTGCATTTCCCTGATAATTAGTGATATTGAGCATTTTTTATATGTTTGTTGGCCATTTGCATATCTTCTTTTGAGACTTGGCTGTTCATGTCCTTTGCCCACTCTTTGAAGGGATTATTATTTTTTTTCTTGATGATTTGTTTGAGTTTCTTGTAGATTCTGGATATCAGTCCTTTGTTGGATGTATAGTTTGCTAATATTCTCTCCCACTCTGTGAGTTATCTTTTTACTCTGCTGATTATTTCTTTTCTTCTTCTTCTTTTTTTTTTTTTTTTTTTTTTTTGACAGTCTCACTCTGTCAACCAGACTGGAGTGCAGTGGTGGCACAATCTCAGCTCACTGCAACCTTAGTCTCCTGGGGTCAAGCGATTCTCATGCCTTAGCCTGCCAAGGAGCTGGGACTACAGGCATGAGCCACCACACCCTGTTAATTTTTGGAGTTTTAGTAGAGACGGGGCTTCGTCATATTGGCCAGGCTGGTCTCAAACTCCTGACCTCAAATGATCCACCTACCTTGGCCTCCCAAAGTGCCGGGATTACAGGAGTGAGCCACCGTGTCCAGCCTTCTGCTGATTATTTCTTTTGCTGTGCAGAAGCTTTTTAGTTTAATTAGGTCCCATTGTTATGGAATCATTGGAGTGTTGCTTTTTGGCTAGAAACCTCTGTGGCTGGTGGCACCTTTGCCCAAGTTTTGCTCAAACTCACTAGGCTCATTTTGCCCACTCAGCCTGGTAGGCTGCGCTCAGCTCACACTACCGGCCTGGATCACATGCCTCCCAAAGGCCCGGATCCCATGTCTGCTAAGGGTGAGTCAGGCATGGAACAGTGAGGGGTATGTGAGCAAGCATGGGGTCTGGCCACTGTGTACAGTCAGACATGCCAGCTGCTACAGCGGGGCAGGCGGCTCCACATGCTGGCATGGGCACCAGCTCTCTGCGAGGCTGTGGCCAGACCAGGCTCACTGCAAGCAGCTTCCATGGCTGGCAGTGGGGAACGTGGTGATACCCGGAAGCTTGGAGATGCCAGAAACCACAGAGCCCCAAAGAGGCAGTCATAGTTATGGCTCAGGGAGCTCCCAGGTATGGGCTCCCCGAAGGGCTGCAGCTCTTCTCTCCTTCTCTTTGCCTACAACACGGTGAGCAAGAGGCATGCTTCAGTCCTGTTTGTGCTACAGCTTTTTTACCCTTGACATTCAGCAAGTTCCAAGTTGTTGTCCTGCAACCAGGAAGAATGAGGTATGCAGGTAAGTGAAGGGTGAGCAAGATGAAAAGGAGCTTTATGAGCAATAGGACAATTCAGAGGAGCCCCGCAGGGAGCAGCTCCTTTCTGCATCCAGGGTGTCCTGTCAAATGTTCAGCTTTTAGCAGAGAGGGTAGCTCCTCTCTGCAGGCAGGTCATCCCAACAAGTGTTCAGCTCCCAGCAGAGAGGGTACCTCCCCTCTGCAGCTGGTCGTCTTGTCATCTGTCCAGCTCTGGCTGACCCCGGGGCTTTTATGGGCCTCAGAGGGGAGGAAGTGTGTGCTGATTGGTCCATGGGTGGCCATGGATGGGCCCAGAAAAAAGACACCACAAGTTTTCATTCCGGCGCTCAGGACTCGCAGCCCAGCCCCCAGCCTTCAAGCCCTCCCTGGCCTGAAGGTGGGGTCTCACTAGGGATCCACCCTTTTTCACCCAGAAGCCTGTCTCCCTCCTGCCACCATCCATGGCATCTAGGGTGCAGAGTGCGAGAGCTTGAGTCCTGCTCCTGGGAGGGTGGGCCTCCTGCTTGCACCATGGAGCATGCAGGCATCCCCAGCTGTGCCTCCATGCAGCCTGGGGTGGCAGCTCCAGGTCCTCGCTGGGCCCCTCTCTGCCCACCCCTCCATGCCCAACTGTGCTGCTCCCCCACAGCGGGGGGCTCCACCCAGCCCCATCATAGCAGCCTATCATGGCAGGCTCCAGGGAGCTCCCGCTGGTCCCTGATTCTAGCTGGCCTCAGGCCCAGCTCTGCCACCTCATCAGGCCTTCCCTGCAATGGCAGTAGGTGACAGCAGTGACGCAGGGCCAGGGTCCAGAGTGGCAGAGCCTCTGGGCCTGGAATAGGTCTTGCCTGGCCATGCAAGGGTGGGGGCAGTGCAGTTGGCTGCCTCAGGAACACTGGGCACAGGGGACCCACTGCTGCTGTTGCTGCTTTTGCAGCTGCTCCTGCCGCTACCACCCGCGCCCCCCCTCTGTAGCCCATGTGACAGCAGCGGCCACTCTAGATGGCCTGCATCTGCCATTACCATCTATTTATCTTTGTTTTTGTTGTATTTGTTTTTGGATTCTTGGTCGTGAACTCTTTGCCTAAGCAAATGTGTATAAGTTTTCCCGATGTTATCTTCTAGAATTTTTATGATTTCAGGTCTTAGATTGAAGTTTTTGATCCATCTTGAGTTGATTTTTTTGTATAAGGTGAGAGACGAAGAACCAGCTTCATTCTTCCTCATGTAGCTTCCCAATTATCCCAGTGCCATTTATTGAATAGGGTGTCCTTTCCCCACTTTATATTTTGGTTTGCTTTGTTGAAGATTAGTTGGCTATAAATATTTAGCTTTATTTCTGGGTTCTCTATTCTGTTTCATTGGTCTACTTGCCTATTTTTATACTAGTGTCATGCTGTTTTGGTAACTATAGCCTTGTAGTATAGTTGGAAGACAGGTAATGTGATGCCTGTAGATTTGTTCTTTTTGCTTAGTCTTGCTTTGGCTTTGCAGGGTCTTTTTTGGTTCCCTATGAATTTTAGGATGATTTTTTTCTAGTTCTGTTAAGAATGATGATGGTATTTTGATAGGAATTGCATTGAATTTATAGATTGCTTTTGGCAATATGGGTATTTTCACAATATTGATTCTACCCATCCATGAGCATTAGATGTGTTTCAATTTGTTTGTGTCATCTATGATTTCTTTCAGCAGTGTTTTGTAGTTTTCCTTGTAGAGATTTTTCACCTCCTTAGTTAGATATATTCCTAAGTATTTTTTCTTTCTTTCTTTCTTTCTTTCTTTTTTTTTTTGAAGCTGTTGCACAAGGGGTTGAGATCTTGATTTGGTCCTCTGCTTGGTTATTGCTGGTGTACAGCATTGCTACTGATTTGTGTATATTGATTTTGTATCCTGAAACTTTACTGAATTCATTTATCAGATCTAGGAGCTTTTTGAATGAATCTTTATGGTTTTCTAGGTATACGACCACATCATCAGCAAACAGTGACAGTTTCATTTCCTCTTTACTGATTTGGATGCCCTTTATTTCTTTCTCTTGTCTGATTGCTTTAGATAGAACTTCCAGTACTATGTTGAACAGAAGTGGTGAAATTGGGTATCCTGTCTGGCTTCAGTGCTTAGGGTGAATGGTTTCAACTTTTCCCCACTTGGTATAATGTTGGCTGTGAGTTTGTCACAGATGGGTTTTATTATCTTGAGGTGTGTGTCTTCTATGCCGATTTTGCTGAGGGTTTTAATCATAAAGGGATGCTGGATTCTATCAAATGCTTTTCCTGCATCTATTGAGATGATCATATAATTTTTCTTTTTAATTCTCTTTATGTGATGTATCACATTTATTGACTTGCATATGTTAAACCATCCCTGCATCCCTGGTATGAAACCCACCTGATCATGGTGTATTATCTTTTTAATATGCTGTTGGATTCAGTCAGCTAGTATTTTTTTTTTTTTTTTTTTTTTTTTTGAGACAGAGTCTCACTCTGTCACCCAGGCTGGAGTGCAGTGGTGCGATCTCGGCTCACTGCAAGCTCCGCCTCCTGGGTTCACGCCATTCTCCTGCCTCAGCCTCCCGAACAGCTGGGACTACAGGCGCCTGCCACAACGCCCGGCTAACTTTTTGTATTTTTAGTAGAGACGAGGTTTCACCGTGTTAGCCAGGATGGTCTCAATCTCCTGACCTTGTGATCCGCCTGCCTCGGCCTCCCAAAGTGCTGGGATTACAGGCGTAAGCCACCGCGCCCGGCCGTTAGCTAGTATTTTTTGACAATTTCTGCATCTATGTTCATCAGGGATATTCGTCTGTAGTTTTCTTTTTTTGTTATGTCCTTTCCTGCCTTGGGTATTATGGTGACACTGGCTTCACAGAATGACTGAAGGAGGATTCCCTCTTTTTCTATCTTTTGGAATAGTTTCAGTAAAATTGGTACCAATTTTTCTTTGAATTCCTGATAGAACTCAGCTGTGAATCTATCTGGCCCTGGACTTCTTTTGTTGTTGGCAATTTTTTAAATTACTGTTTCAATCTTGCTACTTGTTATTGGTCAGTTCAGAGTTTTTATTTCTTCCTAATTTAATCTAGGAGGGTTATATATTTCCAGGAATTTATCCATCTCCTCTAGATTTTCTAGTTTGTGTGCATGAAAACTAGTAGCCTTGAATGATCCTTTGTATTTCTGCTGTATCAGTTGTATAATAATATCTCGCATTTCATTACTAATTGATCCTGTTTGGATCTTGTCTCTTCTTTTTTTGGTTAATCTTGATAATGGTCTATAAAGTTTATTTATCTTTGCAAAGAATCAGCTTTTTGTTTAATTTATCTTTAGTTGTTTGTTTCTTTCAACTGTATTTTGTTCTGCTCTGATCTTTGTTACTTCCTTTCTCCTGCTGGGTTTGGGTTTGGTTTGTTCTTGTTTCTCTAGTGCCTTGAGGTGTGACCTTAGATCGTCTATTTGTGCTCTTTCAGACTTCTTGATGTAGGCATTTAATGTTATCAACTTTCTTCTTAGCACCACTTTTGCTGTGTCTTGGAGGTTTTGATAAGTTGTGTCACTATTATTGTTCAGTTCAAAGAATTTTAAGATTTCCATCTTGATTTCATTCTTGACCCAAAGATCATTCAGGAGCAGATTATTTAATTTTCTTGTATTTGCATAGTTTTGAGGGTTCCCTTTGCAGTGAATTTCCAATTTTATTCCACTGTAGTCTGAGAAGGTACTTGATATAATTCTGATTTTTATAAATGTATTGAGACTCGGTTTTTGGCCTACCAAATGGTCTATCTTGGAGAATTTTCCATGTGCTAATGAAAAGAATGTGTATTCTGCAGTTGTTGGGTAGAATGTTGTGTAAATATCTGTTAAGTCCATTTGTTTTAGGGTATAATTTAAGTCCATTTTTTCTTTGTTGACTTTCTGTCTTGATGACCTGTCTAGTGCTCTCAGTGAAGTACTGAAGTCCCCCACTATTACTGTGTTGCTATCGATCTCATTTCTTATGTTGAATAATAATTTTTTTATAAATTTGGGAGATCCTGTGTTAGGTGCATATATATTTAGGATGTGATATTTTCCTGTTGGACTGATCTTGTTATTACATAATGTCCCTCTTCGTCTTTTCTAACTATTGGTTGCTTTATGGTCTGTTTTGTCGGATATAAGAATAGTTATTCCTGCTCACTTTTGGTTTCCCTTTACATGGAATAGCGTTTTTCACCCCTTTTCCTTAAGTTTATGTGAGTTCTTATGCATTGGGTGAGTCTCTTGAAGATAGCAGATACTTGGTTGGTGGATTTCTATCCATTCTGCCATTCTGTACCTTTTAAGTGGAGCATTTCGGCCATTTACATTCAACATTAGTATTGAGATGTGAGTTACTCTTCTATCCACCAGGCTAATCGTTGTCTGAATACCTTGGTTTTTTAAAATTATTATCATGTTATTGTTTTATAAGCCCTGTGAGATTTATGCTTTGAGGCAGTTCTATTTTGCAAGGTTTTGTTTCAAGATTTAGAACTCATTTTAGCATTTCTTGTAGTGCTGGCTTGGTGGTGGCAAATTCTCTCCGCATTTGTTTTTCTGAAAAAGACTTTATCTCTCTTTCATTTAGAAAGCTTAGTTTTGCTGGATACAAAATTCTTGGCTGGCAGATATTTTGTTTGAGAACGCTAAAGATAAGACCCAATCCCTTCTGACTTGTAGGTTTTCTGCTGAGAAATCTGCTGTTAATCTCATAGGTTTTCCTTTATAGGTTACCTGATACATTTGCCTCACAGCTCTTAAGATTCTTTCCTTTGTCTTGACTTTAGATAACCTGATGACTATGTGCCTGAATGATGATCTTTTTGTGATTAATTTCCCAGGTGTTCTTTGAGCTTCTTATATTTGGATGTCTATACATCCAAATCACTTGTGAGGTCAGGGAAGTTTTCCTCAATTATTCCCTCAATATGTTTTCCAAACTTGTAGATTTCTCTTCTTTCTCAGGAACACCAGTTATTTTTAGGTTTGGCTGTTTAATATAATCCCAAATTTCTTGGAGGCTTTGTTTATTTTTTTAAATTCTTTTTTCTTTGTTTCTGTCTGATCGGGTTAATTTAAAGACCTTGTCTTCAAGCTCTGAAGTTCTTTCTTCTACTTGTTCAATTCTATTGTTGAAATTTTTCAATGCATTTTGTATTTCTCTAAGTGTGTCTTTCATTTCCAGAAGTTATAATTGTTTTTTCTTAATAATGTCTATTTCTCTGGAGCATTTTTCATCCATATCTTGTATTTTTTAAAAATTTCCTTAAATTGGTTTTCACCTTTCTCTGGTATCTCCTCGAGTAGCTTAATAATCAACTTTCTGAAATCTTTACCTGGCAATTCAAAGATTTCTTCTTGGTTTGGATCCATTGCTGGGGATCTAGTGTCATCTTTTGGGGGTGTTATAGAACCTTGTTTTGTCGTTCTACCAGAATTATTTTTCTGATTCCTCCTATTTTGGGTAGACTATTTCAGTGGAAAAATCTGGAACTCAAGGCTGCTGTTCAGATTCTTTAGTCCCGCAGGGTGGTCCCTTGATGTGGTGTTCTCCCCTTCCTCTAGGGATGGGGCTTCCTGTGAGCCAGACTTCAGGAAGTAATTGTTATTGCTTTTCTTGGTTTAGACACCCAGAGGTGCTACCAGGCTCTGGCTCTGGTCTGTTGCTGGAGAATACCTGTGAAGAGTCCTGTGATGCCATCTGTCTTCAGGTCTCCCAGCTGTAGATACCTGCACCTGCTCTGGTGGAGGTGATAGGGGAGAGAAGTAGACTCTGTGAGAGTCCTTGCTTGTAGATGTGTTTAGTATGTTGGCTTTCTCAAAAGCTGGTTATGCTAGCAGTGAAGTTGTCACATGGACAGACTCAAGATCACCAGTTGCCAGGATGTTGGAGGCAGTGGAATTAGCTGTTGTTTTCTCCTTCCTTGGAGCAGGTTCATTCAGTCATGAGTTGCTGTAACGTCCTGAGTTGGTTGGCCTTTAGACAGGAGGTAGCGCTTTCAAGAGACCACCAGCTGCAATAGTAGAAGGGGGATATCGGCTTGTCCTAAATTGGCCAGGTTAAGTATTCAGGTTTCTCAAGCAATGGGTGGGGTCATAAAACTCCCAAGAGTTTGTCTTTTGTGATCAGCTACCAGGGCAGGTAGAGAAATACCATCAAGTGGGGGGGGCAAGGTTAGGTGGGTCTAAGCTCAGACTCTCCTTGAGTGGGGTTTGCTGCAGCCACTGTGGGAGATGGGGAAGGCGGTTCTTGGACCAATGGGGTTATGTTCCAGAGGGGATTATGGCTGCCTCTATCACCAGGGAAGTGGGGGAAAGCTGGTAGCAATAGACCTCACCCAGCTCCCATCCAGTTGGCAAGGCTGTTCTCACTCTCAACATACCCAACTAACAGTGCAAGTTTATCTCCAGGCAGCCTGTGCACAGGACTCAGACCTAGTCCCAAGCTTTAAGTTTCACCCGCTAAGAAAGTAAGCATGGCTTTCAGCCATACCCCTCCCCATCCGCCCTCACTGTCAGCTGTGACTCCTGCTCTCCTTTCTGCAGTAGTTCCCATTTGCCCTGGATTCTGCTCAAGAGAGTTTGTGCCCAGTCAAAGTTATTATAAAGTTTAGCCGGAAACTACTTTCACCCTGTGACCCCTCCCAAATTCCACTGGCTGCATTTCCCGAGGGCCTCTGTGAGATATAGTCAGGGATGGCTTCCCTGGGCTCAAGCGGGAGAATGGAAGTGCCTACAAGGCTCTTCTCACTACTTTCATATTTCACACTAAGTCTGTTTCAGGTTTAAGTAAGGGTAAATCCTTCTCCCATAATCTGGACTTTCGGGTTCCCCAGTGGGGATGTGTGTTCAGAGGCAGCTTTTCCCCCTTCTCACCTTAAGAACTCACAGTTTTTCTCCTGTCTCACAGAATTTGCAGCAGCCTACTACTTCTTTCAAATGATCTGTGAATTCTTTTGGTTTTCCTGGTACATTCCTGTGGTTGTTCCTAGAGCAAAAGTCCATGGTGTAAGTCTCCACACACTGTTCTGTCTGTCCAAGTGGGAGCTGTACATCAGCCTTGTCTCCAATCTGCCATCTTGAATTCTTATCTCTAACTATTTTGTAATAACACTTAGCTTAAAATACAAACACATTGTATAGCTGTACACAAATTCTTTCTTTATATCCTAATCTTATAAACTTCTTCTTGCCAAAAAATTACTTTTTAAACTTTTTTGTTAAAAACTAATACACACTCTCCCTCTCCCTCTCCCTCTCCCCACGGTCTCCGTCTCCCTCTCCCCACGGTCTCCCTCTCCCTCTCTTTCCACGGTCTCCCTCTGATGCCGAGCCGAAGCTGGACTGTACTGCTGCCATCTCGGCTCACTGCAACCTCCCTGCCTGATTCTCCTGCCTCAGCCTGCCGAGTGCCTGCGATTGCAGGCGCGCGCCGCCATGCCTGACTGGTTTTCGTATTTTTTTGGTGGAGACGGGGTTTCGCTGTGTTGGCCGGGCTGGTCTCCAGCTCCTAACCGCGAGTGATCCGCCAGCCTCGGCCTCCCTAGGTGCCGGGATTGCAGACGGAGTCTGGTTCACTAAGTGCTCAATGGTGCCCAGGCTGGAGTGCAGTGGCGTGATCTCGGCTTGCTACAACCTCCACCTCCCAGCCGCCTGCCTTGGCCTCCCAAAGTGCCGAGAGTGCAGCCTCTGCCCAGCTGCCACCCTGTCTGGGAAGTGAGGAGCATCTCTGCCTGGCCGCCCATCGTCTGGGACGTGAGGAGCCCCTCTGCCTGGCTGCCCAGTCTGGAAAGTGAGGAGCGTCTCTGCCCGGCTGCCATCCCATCTAGGAAGTGAGGAGCACCTCTTCCCGGCCGCCATCCCATCTAGGAAGTGAGGAGCGTCTCTGCCCGGCCACCCATCGTCTGAGATGTGGGGAGCGCCTCTGCCCCGCCGCCCCGTCTGGGATGTGAGGAGCACCTCTGCCCGGCCGCAACCCCATCTGGGAGGTGAGGAGCGTCTCTGCCCTGCCGCCCCGTCTGAGAAGGGAGGAGACCCTCCGCCTGGCAACCGCCCCATCTGAGAAGTGAGGAGCCCCTCCGCCCGGCAGCCGCCCCATCTGAGAAGTGAGGAGCCCCTCCGCCCGGCAGCCGCCCCATCTGAGAAGTGAGGAGCCCCTCCGCCCGGCAACCACCCCGTCTGGGAAGTGAGGAGCATTTCTGCCCGGCAGCCACCCCATCCGGGAGGGAGGTGGGGGTCAGCCCCCGCCAGGCCAGCCGCCCCGTCCGGGAGGGAGGTGGGGGGTCAGCCCCCCGCCCGGCCAGCCGCCCCGTCTGGGAGGGAGGTGGGGGGGTCAGCCCCCCGCCCGGCCAGCCTCCCCGTCTGGGAGGTGAGGGGCGCCTCTGCCAGGCCGCCCCTACTGGGAAGTGAGGAGCCCCTCTGCCCGGCCAGCCGCCCCGTCCGGGAGGGAGGTGGGTGGGTCAGCCCCCCGCCTGACCAGCCGCCCCATCCGGGAGGTGAGGAGCCCCTCTGCCCGGCCGCCACCCCGTCTGGGAGGTGTACCCAACAGCTCATTGAGAATGGGCCATGATGACAATGGCGGTTTTGTGGAATAGAAAGGGGGGAAAGGTGGGGAAAAGATTGAGAAATCGGATGGTTGCCGTGTCTGTGTAGAAAGAAGTAGACATAGGAGACTTTTCATTTTGTTCTGTACTAAGAAAAATTCTTCTGCCTTGGGATCCTGTTGATCTGTGACCTTACCCCCAACCCTGTGCTCTCTGAAACATGTGCTGTGTCCACTCAGGGTTAAATGGATTAAGGGCGGTGCAAGATGTGCTTCGTTAAACAGATGTTTGAAGGCAGCATGCTCGTTAAGAGTCATCACCACTCCCTAATCTCAAGTACCCAGGGACACAAACACTGGGGAAGGCCGCAGGGTCCTCTGCCTAGGAAAACCAGAGACCTTTGTTCACTTGTTTATCTGCTGACCTTCCCTCCACTATTGTCCTATGACCCTGCCAAATCCCCCTCTGTGAGAAACACCCAAGAATGATCAATAAAAAATAAATAAATAAATAAATAAATAAATAAATAAATAAATAAACAAAAAACAAAAAAAACTAATACACAAACACACACATTAGCCTATGCCTAAACAAGGGCAGGATTATCAATATCACTGTCTTCCACCTCTACATCTTATCCCACTAGAAGATCTTCAGGGGCAGTAATATGCATGAAGCTGTCATCTCTTATAACAATGTCGTCTGAAACACCTTCTTTTTTATAAAAGACCATGAGGTCTGCAGGGGAAAGACAAAGGAGAGCTTTATTTTCTAAAAATGAGCAATCTGCAGATTGGGAGAGGAAGCCTCTGATATAAAAAGAAAGCATGCTCTGGAGAACAAAAAGGGGTTCTGGCTTAAATAGGGAAAGGTCCTGCTCCAGTCCTCAATCAGGTCCGTATACGCAAATGAGGAACTCAAACTCATTCAGTCCTGATTAGTTGAAAACAGTTGAGTCCCAATTTGGTAGTTTCCAAGCCCAAACCAGAAGTCTCTGCTGGATGCCCCTTTCAAGTGGTTGGTGGGAGTTTTCCCTACCACAGTGTCTCAGCTCAGAGAGTTTCCCTCTACAGGATCAAATGGGGTGTGACTGCCCTGCTCTCACTCACGATGGCTGTTGGGTTAGTTTCACTCCATATCCTGAAAAGCCTGCCTGAGGCTGTTTCACAGTTAACTCTTTTTCAGAAGTAGAAGTCCACTTTAAAATAAAGATAAAAACCATAGTAAATACACAAACCTGTAACAGAGTTGTTTATTATCAAGTGTTATGCACTGTACATAATTCTATGCACTAGACTTACACAACTGGCAGCACAGTAGGTTTGTTTACACCAGCATCATAACAAGCACATGAGTAATGCATTGCACAATGTTACAACAGTTACACATCACCGAGCAATAGGAAGTGTTCAGCTTCATTATAACCTTATGTGTCTGTCATTGACCAAATGTCATTAAGCAGCGCATTATACCATGTTTTGTTTATACATTCACGTTTGTTCAAATCAAATTTTATTTTATTTATTTTTTGAGACAGAGTCTTGCTCTGTCATCCAGGCTGGAGTGCAGTGGTGTGATCTTGGCTCACTGCAACTTCTGTCTCCTGGGTTCAAGCAATTCTCCTGCCTCAGCCTCCCGAGTAACTGGAATTACAAGCATGCGCCACCACTCCTGGCAAATTTTTGTATTTTTCACAGAGATGGGGTTTCGCCATGTTGGCCAGGCTGGTCTTGAACTCCTGGCCTTAAGTGATCCACTCGCCTCAGCCTCCCTAAAGTGCTGGGATTATAGACATGAGCCAGCCGAGAAAGTTCTTTATTTTGATGGTGGGGTGAAGTCAGAGTGCTGCAGGAAGAATGATGCTTGCCTGTTTAATGGATAGAAGGCAGTGGAAAATGGAATAGGAATGGATTTGGGAAATAGAGAAGTTTGGCCCTGCTGGAGATTCAAGAACATAGTGAGGGAGCTGTGGCAATGGGGCTGTAGAAAATGGTAGAACTGGATTAACATGAGCCTTGTATGCCATACTAAAAATATGGTCTTTATCTCATTTGCAAAGCGGAGCCAGTTGAGGTCCTTCTTCTGCCCCAATCAAAATATATTTATTATTTTCTCATTATACAACAAATACATGCTTGTAATAAAAAATTCAAACCATACTGAAGTATAGGTAAGGCGTGGTGGCTCACACCTGTAATCCCAGCACTTTGGGAAGCTGAGTGGGACTGACTGCTTGAGCCTACGAATTTCAGACCAGCCTGGACAACAGGGTGAAACCCTACCTCTATAACAAATACAAAACATTAGCTGGGCATGGTGGTGCATGCCTCTGCTCCCAGATATTTGGGAGGCTGAGAAGTGGGAGGATTCCCTGAGCCCAGGAGATCAAGGCTGCTGTGAGCCGTGATTGCGGCACTGCTCTCCAGCCTAGGCGACAGAACAGGAACCTGCTTCAAAAAAAAAAAAAAAAAAAAGAAAGAAAGAAAGAAAGAAAAGAAATATATACATTGGAAAGAAGAAATTGCCTGTATTCTTACCCATAGAGCTAGTCACTATTAAAAGTTTGATGTATGTTATGTATCAAAGCCCATGGGCTGGGTGCCATAGCTCACGCCTGTAACCCCAGCACGTCAGGAGGCTGAGGCTGGATGATTGCTTGAGCCCAGGAGTTGGAGACTATCCTGGGCAACACAGGGAGACCCTGTTTCTACAAAAAATTTAAAAGTTAGCTTGATGCACTGGCATATGCCTGTAGTCCCAGCTACTCTGGAGGCTGAGGTGGGAGGATTGCTTGAGCCCAGGAGGTCGAGGCTGCAGTGAACTATGATCGTGCCACTGCATTCCAGCCAGGGTGACATAGCAAGACCCTATCTTAAAAATACCAACCAAACAAACAAAAACCAAACCCACCAACCAAAGACCATAAGAACCATATAATGTTAAACAAAGTTTATTTAGTTTGCTGCAGCAAACAAGAATGAGAACACACCACAGCAACTATGGGGTGTGTTATTAAGAAGGAATTGGGAAGGGCTTATTTTAAGATTTAAGCTTGGAGGTCACTTCAAATAAATTCACATTTTTATACCTATGTATTAAGAATTAGTTCATAAATGTAATTGTTGCATCGTATATATTTTAAAAGGAAAATTGCATTTATACTTGGATATTATTTTATTTTAGGTTTTGAAATTTTTTAAAAAATGTCCAATAAATTTATTCTGATCAAAAAAAAAGATTTAAGCTTGTGTTGCGTGATTCTAAAGAGACTTTAGAGGTGCAGAGTCAGTTCTGGATTGGGTGCTGTGAGGAGCAGGAGCAATTTGGTGATTGGGTAGATCTTTGATCATTTTTATGTAGGAGGTCAGAGGGTTAAGATGGGGATAGAGATGTCACTGGCAAAGAAGCTGTAATTATTCATGTTAGTTATCAGAAGGAGATACTAGCAATTTTCATGGCTGCAGGGTGGCCTTGGCTCTGTCTTGCTCCACAACAGTCATAGAATGGACTTGCCTAATTATTGTTTATATCCTGTGAGAACAGTTTATGTTTCATTGGCAAGATTGCAGTTTAGCTGTCAGTAACCAGAGTTATCTTCTTACTTTCTCAGTACTCCCTTTTGACATAGCTCAAGTCAACCTGCAGGAATATGTTATTCCGTGAAATTCAGACTCATTGTCAAGATTCTATTGATTAGAAGATTGTAAAGAGAACATCATCTTTTGTTCAACTAAAGGCAGTACTTCATATTCCTTTTGTTGGAAGATGGGCTGTTGACTTATCTGACATGACAATGGCTCTGAGGCAGTATTTACATGCATGGGAGTATCAGCTAGAGCCAGCTAGAATACATAATCTCCTAATTTGTTTGTTTATTTCCTGGAACTTTTTAGGAATATTACATATTCCAGAGAAGTCTGTAGAGATGTAAGTGCATGATTTTTTTTTAAGATAGTACATGTTCCATCTCACGAGATCAATATTATATGAACACTCTGGAATTTATGTTGTTTAAACTGGTAAAAGTGCTTGTTAAAGTCCTTTCCTTTAAGGTTGTTATCTGATCTCCTCCAGAACCTAAAATATCCTGGTCTAAGATCGAAGGCCAGGCGTGGTGGCTCACACCTGTAATCCCAGCACTTTGAGAGGCTGAAGTAGACAGATCACTTGAGGTCAAGAGTTTGAGACCCGCCTGACTAACATGGTGAAACCCCATCTCTACTAAAAATACAAACATTAGCTGGGCATGGCCGTGCACATCTGTAATCCCAGCTACTTGAGAGGCTGAGGCAGGAGAATTGCAGGAACCCAGGGGGTAGAGGTTGCAGTGAGCCAAGATTGCACCATTACACTCCAGCCTGGCGACAGAGCCAGACTCCGTTTCAAAAAAAAAAAAAATCATGTATTTTTTTTTTTTAGGTGGCTGGTGAGACAGTGGCAGCTCATATCTATTGGTGATGAGACTAAACAGTTTCCCCTAATTATATTATGATTATATTTAACAGTATTATCGGAATAGATACTGAGAGTATTAAGATATTATGGATAGTAAGAGTATTTTTTAAACTCCAAAGCCTTTAATTTTTTCTTTTTTCTTTGTTTTTTTTTTTTTTTTTTTTTTTTGAGACAGGGTCTCACTGTGTCATCCAGGCTGGAGTACAGTGGTGCGATCACAGCTCACTGCAGCCTGGACCTGCTGGGCTCAAGAGATCCTCCCACCTCAGCCTCCCAAGTAGCTGGGACCACAGGTATGCACCACCATGCCCGGCTAACTTTTGTGCTTTTCGTACGGACAGAGTTTCGCCATGCTGCCAGGTTAGTCTTGAATCACTGGCCTCAAGCAATACATGTGCCTTGGCCTCCCAAAATGCTGGAATTTCAGTCATGAATCACTGCGCCTAGCCTTAAAGCCTTTAATTTAGTTCATAAAATATATTATGCTGGGAGCAGTGGCTCACACCTGTAATCCCAGCACTTTGCGAGGCCGAGGTGGGAGGATTGCTTGAGTCCAGGAGTTCAAAGTACTAGGATTGCTGGTGTCAGCCACCATGTCTGGGCTTAAAAAAAATTCTTTTTTTGTAGAGATGGAGTCTCACTGTGTTGTATACGATGGTCTTGAACTCCTGACCTCAAGGGTTCATTCCTGCCTCAGCCTCCCACATTGTTGGGACTACAGGCATGAGCCACTGTGCCAGCTAGCATAATATTTTTGAGGTTAATCTGTCTTGTATCATGCATTATTATTTCATCTCTTTTTATGGCTGAATAATATATCACACTGGTTTTTTGTTTGTTTATTTGTTTGTTTGTTTGTTTGTTTTTTGAGATGGAGTCTCACTCTGTCACCCAGGCTGGAGTGCACTGGTGCAATCTCGGCTCACTGCAACCTCTGCCTCCTGGGTTCACGCCATTCTCCTGCCTCAGCCTCCTGAGTAGCTGGCATTACAGGTGCCCGCCATCACGCCCAGAGAATTTTTTGGTATTTTAAGTAGAGACAGGATTTCACCATGTTGTCCAGGCTGGTTTCGAACTCCTGACCTCAACAGATCCGCCCGCCTCGGCCTCCCAAAGTGCTAGGATTACGGGCATGAGCCACTGTGCCTAGACCACACTGTTTTGTGTGCTTTTTTTGTTTGTTTTTGTTTTTTTTTGAGACGGAGTCTCGCTCTGTCGCCCAGGCTGGAGTGCAGTGGCGCGATCTTGGCTCACTGCAACCTCTACCTCCCGGGTTCAAGTGATTTTCCTGCCTCAGTCTCCAGAGCAGCTGGGACTACAGGCACACGCCACCACACCCAGCTAATTTTTGTATTTTTAGTAAAGACGGTGTTTCACCATATTGGCCAGGCTGGTCTCGAATTCCTGACTTTGTGATCCACCCCCCCCCCCGCCCCCAGCCCCTTGGCCTCCCAAAGTGCTGGGATTACAGGCGTGAGCCACCACGCCTAGCCTGATATATGTTTTGATATAACTGTAGCTTTGAAGTAATTTTTGAAATAAGAAACTGTGAATCCTCCAACTTTGTTTTTCTTTTTCAAGATTGTTTTGATTATTCAGGGCTCCTTTCAATTCCATATGAATTTTAAGGTCAGGTTTTCCATTTCTGCATAAAAGGCCATTGGTATTTTAACATGAATTGCATTGAATTTGAAGATTGCTTGGGGGTATTATTGCCATCTTAAGAATATTAAATCCTCCAATCCATGAACACAGGATATCTTTCTATTTATTTAGGTATTTGATATATTTCACCAATATTTTGTAGTTTTCAGGATACAAGTCTTATACTTCCTTGCCTAAATTTATTCCATAGTATTTCAGCCTTTTTTGATGTTATTGTAAATAAGATTTTTTTCTTAATGTCATTTTCAAATTATTTATTATCAGTGTATATAAATACAACTCATTTTTGTGTGTTGATCTTATATCCCACAACTTTGCTGAATTTGTTTATCATCTCTAAATTTTGTGGGTGAATTCTTCAAGATCTATATCTAAGATCATATCTTCTGTGAATGGAGACCATTTTACCTCCTGCTTTCCAATTTAGAGACAAGATATAAAAACGAGTCATAAGTATCTAAAGGTATAAATAGTTACAGTCAATATTTTGAAAATATAGCTATAAGTAACAACGTCAATAAATGTAGATCTAACATCCTAGTGCCAAAAGCCATGGTACATTCATACATAGAATGTTCTGGGAGCCTGGAGCAGGGACAGCCAGATTAGACTGTGGACCAAGGAAGACAGAAGAGTTGGTGCTATGACTGAGTCACGGAGTGCTAAATCTAGCTGGAGAGAGAGAATACATATATTAAATTGTAAATAACATAGACTAGTAGTGTAAGTGCTAAATAAGGCATTCAGTAATTAAAAAACACAAGGAAGGAATCTAACATTGACTGAGTGGAAAGAAAAGAAAGCTGAAATTTAAGGCAGAATTTAAGCTGAAATTTTAGGTAGAATTGAGACACAGAGGAAGACAGAGATAGAGAATGAGAAGAGTGGAAATCTCAGGTGAAGACACTGGGAGATGGGAAGTAGTCTTTGGTGGAATGGAATGGAATATTGTTGAAGATACTTTTAAGGTCTCAGGGGATAGATAGGTTTGGACAGCCTCAGTAGCTCACGTTCTATAATCCCAGCACTTTGGGAGGCAGGGACAGGAGGATGGCTTGAGCCTGAGAATTCAAGACCAGCCTGGGCAACATGGCGAGACCCCATCTCTAAAAAAAAAAATTTAAAAATAAGCTGGGCATGATGGTACACCTGTAGTCCTAGCTACTTGGTAGGCTGAGGTGGGGGGAATCACCTGAGCCTGGGAGGTTGAGGCTGCGGTGAGCTGTGATGATGCCACTGCACTCCATCCTGGGCAACAGAGCGATATCTTGTCTCCTTTTAAAAAAAAAAAAGATAGGTTAAACTCGAACTAAGTTAAAGTTAAAAACTAGGCTAAATAGATTGGATAAACAAAAAGATGTATAATGGAGAAAGAAAGAAATGTAAAGATAGGAATAGATATTGGAGTGAAAAGAGGTGAAGGAAGAGTGAACTTCACCTCTACAACGATATCTCTGAACCTCAGGCACAGATATACATATTCTGTTCCTACTTGTTGGAAGTTCTTTCTCTTTTTCTTTTTTCTTTCTCTTTCTTTTCTTTTTTTTTTTTTTTTTGAGATGTAGTCTCACACTGTTGCCCAGGCTGGAAGTGCAATGGCGCGATCTTGGCTCACTGCAACGTCCGCCTTCCAGGTTCAAACAATTCTCCTGCCTCAGCCTCCCGAGTAGATGGGATTATAGGTGCCCACCACCATGCCCAGCTAATTTTTGTACTTTTTGTAGAGATGGGATTTCACCATGTTGGCCAGGCTGGTCTCGAACTCCTGACCTGGTGATCTACCCACCTCGGCCTCCCAAAGTGCTGGGATTACAGGCTTGAGCCACCGTGCCCTGCCCTTCCTTTTCATTTTTTGAGACAGGGTCTTGCTCTGTTGCTCAGGCTGGAGTGCAGTGGCACAATCATGACTCACGGCAACCTCTGCCTCTCAGGTTCAGGTGATCCTCCTACCTCAGCTTCCTGGGACCATAGGCGCATACCACCATGCCCAGCTAATTTTTAAATTTTTAGTAAAGACAGGGACTCACTATGTTACCCAGGTTGGTGTCTAACTCCTGGGCTCAAGCAATCCTCCCACCTCGGCCTCCCAGAGTGCTGGGATTATAGACATGAGCCACACATCTGGCCGCAAAGTTCTTGAACGATGCTTGTCAAAAGATAGTTTAGGAATTCCTATGGTTTCTTATGTATCTTTCTGGAAGTTTCTTGTATTAATATTTAGGGCCAGGCATGGTGGCTTACAACTGTATTCCCAGCACTTTGGGAGGCCGACACAGAGGAGGATTGCTTGAGCCCAGAGGTCGAGACTGCAGTGAACATGACTGAACCACATACTCCAGCCTGGGCAACAGAGTAAGACCCGGTCTCAAAAAAAATTTTAGAATATGATGGTGTATGCATTAGATTAACAATGAGATTTCTGTAATTAATTTTTAACTATATAAGTAATATATTCACGTATTCTTTTTGTAAAAATGAAAACAATATGGACACAATTTAAGGGCTCCAATTCTGATCCTCTCCCTGAGACCAGTATTCATGTGGTGTGTATTCCTCCAAACCTTTGCCATGAGTTTACGTACTTGTGAACCCATATGAACTACATACCTTTAAACAAGAAGTGGTATACTATACTTTTGCTTCTGTAATTAAAAAAAAATCCAGCTGGGCATGGTGGCTCACACCTGTAATCCCAGCATTTTGGGAGGCCAAGGTGGGAGGAATGCTTGAGCCCAGGAATTCGAGGTTGCAGTAAGCTGTGATCATGGCACTGAACTCCAGTCTGGGTGAGAGTGAGGCCCTCTCTCAAAAAGAACCTCATAAAAACCCACTCAAACCCTTCCAAATCCACCATATCTTGGATTAATCCATATTTTAAACTGCTGCATGTATTATGGAATATAGACGTATCTGTGTAGACTGCAACAGTGAATGTTCCAATTTTTCACTGTTACTGTGTTGGACTGAACACCTAGAATAAGCTTCCTGGTGCAAACATGCTGGTGTTTTTTCCAGCACTGACAGCAATTAGTGAAATTGCTAGGAAAGAGTATTCTTATAATTTTTAAATTTTTATTCATTTTTCATTTTTGTGGGTACATAGTAGGTGTATATATTTATGGAGTACATAAGATATTTTGGTACAGGCATGGCAATGCCTAATAATCGCATTATGCAAAGTTGGGTATCCATCCCTTTAAGCATTTATCCTTTGTGTTACAAACAATCCAATTATCCTTTTAGTTATTTTAAAATGTACAATTAAATTATTACTGACTCTAGTCCCCTGTCATGCTATCAAATACTAGGTCCTATTTATATTTAGTCCTTCTATTAGTCCTTCTATTTAGCCCTCCCCCACTACCCTTCCCAGCCTCTGGTCACCATCCTATACTCTATTTAGGAAGGTGTATTTTTAACCGTAATTGGTCATGCAAATAGTCTTTAAAGTGCCTGCCCCAATTTATACCAGTTTACATGCCTATGTAGAGATCTGTAATCACTGCTTCTTTGACAGAGTTTCCATTAAGGAGGGTTCAGGCCTGGCAAACTCCCACCATGCCTCTGAGAGTAACCCAGGCATCACGCCCCTGTCCGCCTCCCCTGCACTTGTTTCGACTCCGCCCCTTCCGCCTGGCGGTTCCACTTCTCGGCCGCGCGTTTTCCCAGGGCTTGCAGCGGGAGGGGCGGGGCGTGGGTCCCTGTGACGTCACTGCCGGCCGGACGCCATCTTGCTGGTTTGCGGCCGGTCTTGGATGAAGCGGCGGCCGTGGTGAGAGCGTGGGGAAGGGTGGGGTGAGGGGGCGAGGCCGCAGCTAGGGCGGCGAAACTCTCCTCCCCTCGGCCCCACCGCGTGGGACGGCGTGAACGTGGTGTCGGAGGGATGTCAGCCTTCTCTGAGGCGGCGCTGGAGAAGAAGCTGTCGGAGTTGAGCAACTCGCAGCAGAGCGTGCAGACCTTGTCCCTGTGGCTCATTCACCACCGTAAACACTCGCGTCCCATCGTCACCGTGTGGGAGCGGGAGCTGCGGAAAGGTGAGTCAACCGCTTATGTCGGCCGCTTCCCACCACCCGGCCGGCCTCCAGGCGCCCCCGGGAACCCCGTTTCTCCAGCGCCCCCGGCTTCCCGGCGTCGGGATGCCAGCGCGCGGTGGTCTGCGGGCTTGGAGGAGCTGCGTGCACCACGCTTCTGCAAAGTCTGGGCTTAGATATTTATTGAATAAAGGAATGAATAATTAAAAAAGAAAACTCCGGTTAGCTTAACACGGAAACAGTAGCAGGGGGTTGGGACTCCACACCCAATTAGGGCCAGAAATTCAGGTGGTCAGGTATTTTTTTCATTCTGTGAATGATAATGGAGGATAAGGGAGGGAGAAGGTAGGGGAGTGGAAAGAAAAAGATTGGTGTGGGTTTGGGAGTTACTTCCGTCATTTCTGTAACGCAGCAACTTATTCTTGTGAAATTAATAGAGGAATAGTTTTAGAAGTCTAATATAAGAAGATGGGTAATGCAGTGGAAAAGACTCTGAATTTGTAGATTTTAGAGGGTCTCAATTGGGCAAGTTTCTTATAACTTCTGCGTTGCAGATGCCTTACCTGAAAAGGAGAGATTTAGAGTAAGTCACCTAAAGTCCTTTCCTATTCTATGATTATATGCCCTAATGCAGTGTCTTTGTTTTGCAAAACATTTGATAGTGTTCCTGTAAATGAAGTAAACTTTTTTGAGATGTCTGTCACTAAAATATTCAGAATCAGTTCATGTATGCAGAGCAACTTTGTAAAAAATTATCCTAGTGCGACTGAAAATAAAAAATTTCATTTGCTTAGTCTGAGCTTGTACTTTAATTCTTAATTCATTGGGTAGAGTGGACACTCTTCATTATTGTTGCAAACATCCTGATGGATATGATGGTTTTTTATCAAGTGTTAAAGGTTTTAACCGTTATTAATCAAAATAGACGCTTGCTTACTGAACCTTGTGAAAGCTATATGATGTATGTACGTAACAGCCAAAATGTGAGCCAAAATGTTGGCTGTATATAATGGAGACAATCTGTCCTTGTATATTGTTTGTGGTTATGAAAACGTCACCCATCCTTGAGAAGAAATTGATTTACAGCCTTGTTTTTCAGTTTATGTGTAAGTATGTGTGTATTGGCCCTGAATGAGGAATTCATCTTCTGTGAGTGGACGGAAAGGTTTCAGAAACACTGATATAAAGGTCTGGAAAGTAGCTGTGAACTTTGAAAAGTCAGGAATTAGCTTTGCTTTTACATTTTACTAGATTTCAGAATCGGTAACAGGTTTATCTTGTTTTTTGTTTTTGCAGAGAGCATTTAGAAACACATGTAATCAGTATAGGGTTGATACCCAGACTCTCTTAATAACTATTACAAATCAGTAAAAAAAAAAAATGGCAGTACTGTTTATAGGCATTTCACGTGAGGAAACCTGAAAGGTCAATAAATGATACTTAATCTTACAAATCAGGAAAAAGTAAGCCAGTGAGGTACCACTTTATGTTCATCAATTTGGCAAAATAATATGACAATATGGATAATTGTTGCAGAGAAACAGGAACTCTTATACCACTTGGTGGGAATGTAAAAATATGTAACTATTTTGTAGATCAACTTAGTTGATGAAGTTGGAGGTATATATTAAATATATCCTTTGACCTAGCAGTTTTCTTTCTAGGAATATATTCTAGAAATAAGTATTGTTCTCAAGAATTGTTTATTGCAGCTTCATAATAACAAAATTGAAAACAAGTGAGACCCTGCCTGTGCAACATAGTGAAACCTTTTCTTTACAAAAAATAAGAAAACAAAAAAACCATTCCATTAGTTTGAGAATGGACAAATAAATTGTGATATTAATAAAATGTAATACTATCGAAAAGTTCTCACGAATGGACTAGAGCTGCATGAAACAACGTGACTGAATTGAAAAACAAACAAAATCTTGAGCTAAGAAAACAAGGTACAGACGAATAATGCTATGGGGGTAAAGTCTAAAAACATGCAAAACAGTACTTCTTTTGTTTATAGATACCTATATTAAAATATGCATAGTAGTGATTAACACCATATTCCAAGATAGTGGTTGTCATAGTGTGTCCAGAATTGGTGGGTTCTTGGTCTCGCTGACTTCAAGAATGAAGCTGTGGACCCTCGCGGTGTTATAGTTCTTAAAGATGGTGTGTCCGGAGTTTGTTCATTCTGATGTTCAGACATGTCTGGAGTTTCTTTCTTCTGATGGGTTTGTGGTCTCGCTGGCTTCAGGAGTGAAGCTGCAGACCTTCACTGTGAGTGTTACAGCTCTTAAAGGCAGTGCGTCTGGAGTTGTTCCTTCCATCCGGAGTTGTTGGTCCCTCTCGGTGGATTCGTGGTCTCGCTGGCTTCAGGAGTGAAGCTGCAGACCTTCGCGGTGAGTGTTACAGCTCATAAAGGCGGCAGGGACCCAAAGAGTGAGCAGCAGCAAGATTTATTGTGAAGAGTGAAAGAACAAATCTTCAACAGCAGGGAAGTGGACGCAAGCGGGTTGTTGCTGCTGGTTTGGGTGGCCTGCTTTTATTCTCTTATCTGGCCCCAGCCACGTCCTGCTGATTGGTCCATTTTACAGAGAGCTGATTGGTCCGTTTTGACAGAGTGCTGATTGGTGCGTTTTATGATCCTTTAGCGAGACACACAGCACTGATTGTTGCATTTACAAACTTTTAGCTAGACACAGAGTGCTGATTGGTGTGTTTACAAACCTCTAGCTAGGCACAGAGCACTGATTGGTGCGTTTACAAACCTTGAGCTAGACACAGAGTGGTGATTGGTGCGTTTACAATCCTTTAGCTAGACAGAAAAGTTTTCCAAGTCCCCACCTGACCCAGAAGCCCAGCTGGCTTCACCTCTCAATGGCACTCGCCGCGGGACTTTGCGGCACCTAGCTTGGGCACTCTAGCAGCCCAGAGGGAGCTCGTCCCCCATCAAGCCCAGCAGGCACCCACCCGGAACCGCGCGTAGCCCAGGCTCCTGCCGGCGCCTCTCTCTCTACACCTCCCTGAGAGCAGATGGAGCCGGCTCCGGCCTCTGCCAGCCGCAGAGAGGGGCTCCCACAGTGCAGCAGCGGGCTGAAGGGCTCCTTGAGC
Organism: Homo sapiens; assembly: GCF_000001405.40. NCBI lineage: Eukaryota > Metazoa > Chordata > Mammalia > Primates > Hominidae > Homo > Homo sapiens. Next base: position 36,064,148 of record NC_000018.10, on the reverse strand, counting down.
ACGGCCAGAGCAGACGCCGAGGCCGAGGAGGCGCCGAGAGCGAGCAAGGGCTGCTAGGACGTTGTCACCTCTCAATAGGAGAAAGCTATCTAATATTTAATGTATTTAAGAAAATGGTGCAAATGTGGTAAAATTGTAAGATGTGCTTTTAGCAAGGTTTGTGATGTTTCCATATGTTTAAGTGTTTCATAAGTGGAAAACGTTAAAGCATATAAAAAGATGCTTTAGGAGGAGGGTGGTAGTGATGATAGTGTTGATAGTAACGGTGATGCTGATGAACATACCGCTGCCGCTTTAATCCTCATATTAGCCTGGGCTACTCTGCCAAGGGTTTCCTTTTCTTGACAGATGACTGCTTTTGCAGGGTGTAGCCTTTGTGTCCTTCCCCTTTCCTGCAGTTTTGCTCATCAACTTCAGGATTCTCATCTCCTGTAGTTTAATGATAATGGCAATCAGTTACTGAGTACCAGACATTCTTTTAGTTATTTTACCATATCTTGAATCACATTATTTCTGCAGAATAATTATGAAAGGAATCGATCAATCTTGAAAGTATATTACAACAAACTAAAGAAAATTAGTTGAACATTTTGTGTTAAGCTAGGCATTCTTTAGTTTCTCAAAGTGTGTAAAGACAAAAATGTGAGAGTGGGAGAAGCTACTGTTTAAAATAAAAGAATGAGCTGGGTACTGTGGCTCATGCCTGTAATCCCAGCACTTTAGGAGGCTGAGGGAAGTGGATTGCCAGAGCTCAGGTGTTCGAGACCAGCGTGGTCAACATGGCAAAACCCTGTCTCTACAGAAAATACCAAAATTAGCTGGGCATGATGGCGCAGGCCTAAGGAGGCTGAGGTTGGGGGGTCACTTGAGCCCAAGAGGTTTAGGCTGCAGTGAGCCAAGTGCGCCACTGCACTCCAACCTGGGCGACAGAGCAAGGCCCTGTCTCAGAAAACAAACAAACAAAAAAATATAAGAATGAATAAGTAAAATTATATATGTTAGATAATGGTAGCCATTCAGTTATGAAGGTTTCCCTTCTTTTCCTACCTTCCTTATCTTTGTCTCCTTTAAAGAAAGAGTTTCTGTTTGGAGGGATAAACTTCAAGGCCTTTGTGAAGACCAAAATGGCATACAATTTTCCTGATAAATGCAGTAAAGTGTAACCAAAAATGTAAGTGACCATTTTGTTACTTCTTTATTAAGATGTAATTCACATACCACACCTTTTATCCATTCAAAGTATACTATTCAGTGGTTTTTGATATGTTTATAGAATTGTAAAGCTACCACCAGTTTTAGAACATTTTTATTACCCAGAAAGAAACTCCATGCCATTTAGCTGTTGTCCCCAGTCCCCCATCTCTCCCAACCCTAGGCAACTGCTAATTTACTTTGCCTCTATAGATTGGACTATTTTTACCATTTCATATGAATAGAATTATATAGTATGTGGTCTTTTGTGTGTTTTCCATCCATGCTATAACATGGATGAGCCTGGAAAACATGTTAATTAAAAGAAGCCAGTTGCAAAAGACCACTTACTGTCCTTCAGTCTTTTCTATGGCCGAATAGAATATTGTATGAATTTAGCCATTCATCAGTTGATAGACGTTCGAGTTGTTTCCGCTTTTTGGCTATTATAAATAATGCTGCTGTGAGCACTCCTGTACAAGCTTTTTTTTTTTGTGGATATGTTTTCATCTTGGATACTTACTGAGGAGTGGAATTTCTGGGTCATATGGGAATCCTATGTTCAACCTTTTGAGGATCCACCAGGCTATTTTCCACAGTGGGTACATGTTTTTTTTTTTTTTTTTTTTTTTTTGAGACGGAGTCTCGCTCTGTCGCCCAGGCCGGACTGCGGACTGCAGTGGCGCAATCTCGGCTCACTGCAAGCTCCGCTTCCCGGGTTCACGCCATTCTCCTGCCTCAGCCTCCGGAGTAGCTGGGACTACAGGCGCCCGCCACCGCGCCCGGCTAATTTTTTGTATTTTTAGTAGAGACGGGGTTTCACCTTGTTAGCCAGGATGGTCTCGATCTCCTGACCTCATGATCCACCCGCCTCGGCCTCCCAAAGTGCTGGGATTACAGGCGTGAGCCACCGCGCCCGGCCATGTTTTTAAAATACATTCCTACAAGCAGTGTATGAGGGTCCAGTTTTTCTACATCCTTGCTAATATTTGTTATCTTTTTGATTACAGCTGTCCTAGTGGGTATGAAGTGGTATCTCATGATTTTGATATGCATTTCCCAGATGACTAATGACACTGAGCCTATTTTCATGTACTTATTGGCCATTTGGATGTTGTCTGGAGAAATGTCTATTCTGCCTATTTTAAAATTTGTCTTTTTATGATTGAGTTGTAAGTGTTCCCAATGTATTCTAGGTACAAGTATTGTATTAGATTCATACCACAAATATTTTCTTCCATTCAGTGGGTTGTCTTTTTACTTTCTTAATAGTGTCCTTTGAAGGTGACTGTTTTAAACTGTAAATGTCTCAGTCAATACTAGGCTAAATTTTAAAACTTAATATACATCATTAATTTATATTCATTTCTGTAGAAATATTGACCATGAACATACCTGAACTTAGAAACCAACACTAACATTTGGGCTCTTTTCTACACACACTCGCTGAAAGATCTCTATAAGAGCTGTACAAAACAAGATAGATAGGAGGAAATTCTTTGTAGTTGGTGAAGGTCACTGCCTTCCCTAGTCTAGTGATTGTATCCTTTGTACCAGCCTCTTTTATGTTATATTGGTGTCTTAACAAAACTGTAAGTGCCTCAACCCCTTAAAGTATGTTTACTCACCCTGTATTTATTGATTGTGTATTACAATGGTAAAGAAAACAAAGGGAAAACAGTTTATCCCTGCCCTCAGAATTTATAGTCTTGTGGTAAGGGCAACCAATAAACAAAAAATTTTAAATATAAATTTCGTGTTTAGTTCTTTGAAGGAGGAAATCTTTAGTTAGAGGGAAATCATCTCTGCAAGGTGACGTTTAATAAAAGACCTCTTTGAACAAGTTGCGGGGGTAGGGGGGCTTGGGCCTGCAGCCACTGGGAATATGTGAAAGTGCTGAGGTGATACATAGCTTTGGATGCAAAGAGCCAAACCTGGAAATGGTCAGCCTTTGAATGCCTGTTAACTTTGTTTCCTAAATTTTTTTTTTTTTATGAGACAGTGTCTCACTATGTTGCCGAGGCTGCTCTTGAACTCTTGGGCTCAGGTGATCTTCCTGCCTCAGCCTCCCGAGTAGCTGGGACTACAGGTGCACACTACCATGCTGGGCTTATTTTTTCTAGGGTTGGCAACAATTAAAATAATACATTATTTAAGGTTTAGATTTTCCTCCTATTTGTAATCATTTGTTGAAATCATCACTTTTTCAATAAGCTATGTTAGATATCTTTCAGGGAACTAATTACCATTTTATATTGTATTATAGGTTGGGGGGTTACATATTGGTTGTGAAGTAGATAGTGGGCTCCTTCAGGTTGTTTACCTATTTCAATTTTTAGCTCCCCAGCATACTGCGTTTGATGAAAGTTTTTAAATATTCGTTGAATTAACATTCGTATTCACTAATACGGCTTAAACTTGTAAGATGTGCTAAAATAAGTACTGTATATTCTTGGCTGTTCTTATTAATTTGGTTTTAGAAAAATGGAGAAGTGAAAGAACATTTTTCTTTTTTATTTTTTTTGAGACAGAGTCTCGCTTTGTTGCCCAGGCTGGAGTGCAGTGGCGCGATCTCGGTTCACTGCAACCTCCACCTTCCCGGGTTCATGCCATTCTCCTGTCTCAGCCTCCCAAGTAGCTGGGACTATAGGCGCCCGCCACCATGCCTGGCTAATTTTTTTGTATTTTTAGTAGAGATGGGGGTTTTACCGTGTTAGTCAGGATGGTCTCGATCTCCTGACCTCGTGATCCGCCCACCTTGGCCTCCCAAAGTGCTGGGATTACAAGCGCGAGCCACCACACCCGGCCAAAAGAACATTTTTCATTTGCTTTAAAAATATATAGCAATATAAATCCTAAAAATGAAGAGAGTCTGTTTTAAATTGACAGTTCAGTGGCTTTTATATTGTCTGATACTGTTACTTGTTTCTCTTTCAGAGTTAGAATTGAAAAAGTAAGTAGACAATGCTAGCACCTTCTAAGTTCTTATATTTAAAAGGATTAATGTTGTCAAACTGACATGGTGACTCCCATGTAGTCATCTTGCAGCTTCAATAGTTATAGTCTTTCTTAACACTTAAAAAAACTTAATTTCTTAAGATATCAAATATTGAGCCAGTATTTATTTCCGTGATCATTTCACTTTTTTAGAAGCCATTTGTTTGAATCAGGATCCAAGTAAAGTTCATTTATTGCAATTGATTACTATGTAAATAAAGTTCCTTTACATCTATGGGTGCCATCTGTCTTTTATTTTAAATGTATTCTTTGAAAAAATCAAATTGGTTGTTCCAAAGAAATTCTTATTCTAGACCAGGAATTTCTCCTACTTTCTGGTTTGAGGATCTCTTTACTCTTAAAAATTGAAGATTCTAAATCTTTTGTTTATGTGGGTTATATCTACCGCTAGTTACTACATTGGAAATTAAAACACTTAAAAATTTATTTAATAATTATTTGTTTTAAAACTATAATACTAAATCGATTCATGTTAAATAATATTTTAAAAATTTTTAATTAAGGCCAGGTATGGTGGTGCATGCCTGTAATCCCAGCACTTTGGGAGACTGAGGCAGGCAGATCACATGAGGTCAGGAGTTTGAGACCAGCCTGGGCAACATGGCAAAACCATGTCAGTACTAAAAATTTAAAAATTAGCCAGACGTGGTGGTGCACATCTGTAATCCCAGCTACTTGGGAGGCTGAGGCACAAGAATCACTTGAACCCGGGAAGCGGAGGTTGCAGTGAGCTGAGATTACTCCAAGCCTGGGTGACAGACTGTATCTCAAAAAAAAAAAGATTTTTAAAATTACAAATGGACACATTGTAATTGTATGTATTTATGGGATACAGTTTGATGTTTTGATAGATGTATATGTTGGTCTAATGATCAAATAAGGGTAGTTAGTATCCATTACCTCATGCAATTATCGTAACATAACATTTTTAATGAAAACCAATTATATTTGCTAAAAAATACCAGGGAAAGGAGTGATTATTTTACATTTTTCCAGATCTTTATAAGATCTCTCTTAATAGAAGCCTGCTGAATTCTCGTGTCTTTTTCTGCATTCAGTCTTGCTGTATCACATGACCTCTGCAAAACAACACTGTACGCTTGTGAGAGAATGAGAGTGAAAAAAGGCAAATAATAGATGAGCATTCTTGTGAAAGTAGTTCTGACTTAATTGACCCCATGAAAGTGTCTTGACCCCCTGGAATCCACAGACTGTTGGCTGAGAAGTGGACCATTTTCTGAATATTGATAATTAGATCAAGAGACTAGGATACATTGCTTTGCCTTAAGCAGACATATCCCTCTAAAATATTAATTCCCCAGAAAAGCAGAAACTGAATTTATAAAATTTCCCTTTGGCCCGTAACGTAATTTTATTTAGGTTCTCTTTCCTGTGACGTTAAGGTTTTTTAAAAAAAGTTGTTGATTTGATGTTTTTACATCTGATTCAACAAATTATCTCTACATTTCTTATAAAAATAAAAGTGTGTTCCTACATTAAACAAACAATCTGTAATTTTACAGGCTTTTTTTCTTGATAAAATAAATTTTTCATTCAAAATGTACAAGTAGAAGTTTCTTCTGTTGGTTTTCTGGCCGGGCGCAGTGGCTCATGCCTGTAATCCCAGCCAGCACTTTGGGAGGCTGAGGCGGGTGGATTGTTTGAGGCCAGGAGTTTGAGACCAGCCTGGGTAACGTGGCAAAACCCTGTCTCTACTAAAAATACAAAAATTAACAGGGTGTGGTGGTGCATGACTGTAGTCCCAGCTACCCAGGAGGCTGAGGTAGGAGGATTGCTTGAGTCTGGAGGCAGAGGTTGCAATGAGCCATGATCTGACCAGTGCAGTCTGGCCTGGGCAACAGAGTGAGACCCTGTCACAAAAAATACAAGAAGTTTCTTCTATTAGGTTTCTTTATTCAAGAAATACTTGTTGACCTCCTTACTGTCTTAGTGAACAAGGATGATTGAGCAGATAAAGGGACATACAGCTGTGTTCATGGAGCTTACATATCAGCCAGGCAAATGGACTTTGCCAAACTAGTAACTGCACAGTAATACAAAGGAGAAATGTAATTGGGAACCTATCCTAGTTTATGGAATCAGGGAAGGGTCCTTTGGTTTAAGATTTGAAGTATATGTAGAATTTACTAGGAGCTGTACCAAGAATATAGACATAGGTTTTAGCTGTTGTAATCATTTGAATGTGGTGTTATGTAGAACAGCATTATTTGACTTTTCAAATTGAACATTTCTGTTCATAAGTCCTTTCTGGAGGTAGACAGGATAATACACATTTAGATAAACTTTTATTTATTTATTTATTTTTTTGAGACAGGGTCTTACTCTCTCACCCAGGCTAGAGTGCAGTGGCATGATCTCAACTCACAGCAACCTCTGCCTCCTGGGCTTAAGCGATCCTCCCACTTCAGCCCCCTGAGTACTGGGACTATAGGTGCACACCACCATGCCTGGCTAATAATTTTTTTTGTATTTTTTGTAGAGACCGTGTTTGCCATATTGCCCAGGCTGGTCTCAAACTCCTGGGCTCAAGTGATCCTCCCGTTTTGGCCTCCCAAAGTGCTGGGATTACAGGCATGAGCCATGGAGCCTGGGCTAGATAAACGTTTAGTGTTTTATGTCTGAAAATAAGTGACTTAAGGTGTGTGTATGTGTGTGTGTGTGTGATATATATATATGTTTGTTGTTGTTGTTCTTGTTTTTTGAGAGACAGGGTTTGGCTCTGTTGCCCAGGCTGGAGTGTGGTGGCCAATCAAGGCCCACTGCAGCCCCAACCTCCCAGGCTCAATCAATCCTCCTGAGTAGCTAGGACCACAGGTGCATGCTACCATGACTGGCTGATTTTTTTTTTTTTTTTTTTTTTTTTTTTTGTAGAAACAGGGTCTAGCTGTGTTGCTGAGGCTGGTCTCGAACTCCTGGGCTCAGATGATCCTCCTGTCTTGGCCTCCCAACGTGCTGGGATTATAGATGTCAGCATCATGCCTCACCTTTTTTATTTATTTTTGTTTGTTAAAATGTATTAAGAGGATTATACAGAAAAAAGAAAAATAGAAGGACTATAATGATGAATTATTTATTTAGTCACCTTGCTGTCATCTGAGCTTTTTGGTCATTTTGGTTCTCTTGCATAACTTGTGGCTGTTCTAAGGTGCCTGTTCATCTTGTTCTCCTTTTTATAGCTTTTTCTTCTTTGTATCTGTAATAACTGGTAATTTTTTTTTAACAAAATGGTTTACCATACTTACGTTGAATGCTTGGATTTTCCAGGTGTATTTCTAAAAATACTTATTTAGTAGGTAATATGCAAATAATATGAAATTTAAAAGGCAAAAAAGGCTGGGCATGGTGGCTCACACCTGTAATCCCAGCACTTTGGGAGGCCGAAGTGGGCAGATCACTTGAGGTCAGGAGTTCAAGACCAGCCTAGCCAACATGGTGAAACTCTGTCTCTACTAAAAATACAAAATTTAGCTGGGTGTGGTGGCAGGCACCTGTAATCCCAGCTACTTGGGAGGCTGAGGCAGGAGAATCGCTTGAACCTGGGAGGTGGAGGTTGCAGTGAGCCGAGATTGTGCCACTGCATTCTAGCCTGGGAGACAAAGCAAGACTCCCATCTCAAAAAAAAAACACAAAAACCCAAAAGGCTGTAAAGAATGTTATATGGGTTCTTTCCATTCCTATTCCCTCCTTAACCATTTCTCTACCCAGAATCAGTCTGTTAACAGTTTAATGGCATTGCTTCATTTTAAAAAATGATTGCATTGTATTTCATTTTATGGATGTGCCAAAATTTACATAATTGTTATTCTGTTGATGAAAGTTTAGGATGTCAGTTTTTTCTATTAAAATTTTTCTATTAAAATTTATAAATTTATGTTTGTTAGTAAATATTCTAGTATTTTCTTAATGGTTTCAGGTGATGATTTAAGAGACCTTGATAGAAGTGCTAGGCATTAGTGTATCACACAATTTTGTGAAAAGTTCATTTTTACCTCTACCCATTTGAAATGCTACCTTAAGTTTTTCTGTGTATCTGGGTGTATTTTCATTCTCATTCTGTTGCATTGATCTGTCCACTCATGTTGCACTGTTATACTCTTTATTATGTTTTCATGTCTGATAGGACATCCACCCTCTCAGACATGCTTTTTTCCCTTCAGCAATTACTCTTCCCTGTTTCAGAGTTTTCTTGTGTATTCTTATTTTGTTTCTCTATATAAATTCTAGAATCAATTTGTTATTTATAAGAACAAATTTTTTGATATTTCTGGAATTATCACTTTAATTTGTTACGGTATCTGAAAGAATGTACGTCTTTATAATGGCAAATGTCAGGCTGAGAACTGTGCAGTCTTATTTTAAATGTGTATTTGTTTAAGTGATTTTCAGATGTCACTTCATGATGCTTTGTAAAAAATCTCTAAAGAGTATCATGAAATGCACATGTAAGTTTGAAATAATTGTCTAACTTTGTGCTAAATGTATCTTACTTGATTCTCGTACAGGCTAATAGAAGGAAGTATTGAAGGATTAAGTTGCATTATGAAAAAAGACTTAAAACTGAAAACATCAATTAGTTTTTCTCTAAGTTGGGAAATGATTTGTATTGATTGATTTTTGTGATGGCACACTTTGGTCCAGTTAAAGGAACATCATTTTGCTTCAGAGTATAGTTTAAAAATACCTTAGACATTTAATCTAGCAAATCATTTTTGTCAAGGACAGTATTTTTGCCAAACTATCAAAAAATTTCACTTTTCTTAGTTGAATATCATGAGGTATTATCTTGAACAGCATTTGTGATGGTTAATTTTCTGTGTCAACTTGACTGGGCAACAGGATGTCCAGACATTCAGCCAGCCATTTCTGGATATGTGTGTGGAGGTGTTTTCTGGATGAGATGAACATTTAAATCAGACTGAGAAAAACAGATGCCCTCCCTAGTGTAAGTATGCCTTATCCAGCCAGTTGAAGACATAAATAGAACGAAAAGGTTGATTCTTCAGTGAATAAGAGAGAACTTCTGCTGACTGCCTTTGAGCTGGGACTTTTTTTTTTTCTTTCTTTTTTTCTCCTGCCTTTGGACTCAAACTGAAGTATTGGCTGCTCTTCCAGGTCTCCAGTTTGCCAGCCTTCAGACTTGAACTACACCATTGGTAGTCCTGGTTCTAAGGCCTTTGGACTTGGACTGGAACTACTCCATTGGCTCCCCTGGGTCTCTAGGCTCTCCTGCAGTCTGAACTGCAGATCGTGGGACTTGTCAGCCTCCAGATTTCCCATGGCCAATTCCTTATTATCAGTCAATATTTCTCTCTCTCCCTCTCTCTCTGTCCTATTGGTTCTATTTCTTTGGAGATCCCCAAGTAAAAGTAATCTGAGCACTTCATCTAGATTTACTAACATTTTATTTATTTACTTACTTACTTATTTTGAGATGGAGTCTCGCTCTGTTGCCCAGGCTGGAGTGCAGTGGCATCACCTCTGCTCACTGCAACCTCTGCCTCCCTGGTTCGTGATTCTCCTGCCTCAGCCTCCCGAGTAGCTGGGATTACAGGCGCCCGCCACCACATCTGGCTAATTTTTTTCTATTTTTAGTAGAGATGGGGTTTCATCACGTTGGCCAGGTTGGTCTTGAACTCGTGACCTCAAGTGATCTGCCTGTCTTGGCCTCCCAAGGTGCTGGGATTACAGGCATGAGCCACCATGCCCAGCCAATAGATTTACTAGCATTTAATCGGTAAATCAATTAGTGTGGGTGTATAATTTGATGCTTTATATGGTGTTTTTACTTTCTGTCATAAATATGCTGATGACTTGATGATCTTTTTTTGTAGCCCCAGTCTCAGTGTCACTGAATGGCATTTCCTAAACATCCCAAACTCATTGTGCACATAAACCCTTTTTTGTCATCTTCCCCCATTCCCATTCCTCTTCCCTGTTGCTCTGCCTTTCCTATTTCAGTGAAAGGCATTACTAATCTTCTAGTTGCCTATGCTCAGAACTTCAAGATTGTTTCAACCCCTTCCTTCATAGTTTTCTCACCTTCAGCTTTTTTTGTTGTTGTTTTTGGCAGCATCTCCCTTTTCCTTTTTCACCCCACTGCCTAGGTTCTCATATTTACTAACATTCTTGTAGTAGCCTCCCAGCGGATCTCCTTGTGTCTAATCTCATTTACCTACTAGCTGTCCTCCTTACTCATGTTAACATAGAATTACTATATGACCCAGTAATTTCACTCCTAGGTATATGTTTACGAGACTTGAAAACAAATATTCAAACAAATACTTTATAAGAATTCTCATAATAGGACTGTTCATAGTGACCAAACGATTGAAACAACCTGCATGTTCATCAGCAGATGAATGGATAAATAAATATGGTATATCCACACGCTGGAATATTATATTCAGCTATAAAAAGGAATGAAGTACTGATACATTCTACAGTGTGGAGCAACCTCAGAAACATGCAAAGCAGAAGGCGGCAGACACAAAAAGTCACGTATTTTCATGTAATTCCATAATATATGAAATATCTAGAATAGGTAAATCCATAATACTCCGGGGGCTACAGTGAAGAGAGGAATGGGGAATAACTACTTAATGGGTGTGGGCTTGTCTTTGGAGGTGCTGAAAATATTTTGGAACTAGATGGAGGTAATGGTTACATAACCTTACAAATGCACTAAAAACCCCTGAATTGTATGCTTTAAAGTGGTTAAATTTATGGTATGTGAGATTCATTTCAGTTTTATAAATGATGTAAGTATCTTGTACTTTAATGTGTCTGTGTGCTTTTATATACTTTTTCTTTTCTCTATTTCTCCTCTATCCCCTAGTCTCCAGACTCTCATGACAACTCCTCTCTGCAGGTTTTTATAGTCTCTCCTGGGAAGAATTAATTGTTCACCCACCAATCATCCCTAGTTCTGTTTTTTGAGATGGGTTCTTTAAAACTTTTTTTTTAATTTAAACTTTAAAAATTTAAATTTATAATTTCAGTTAACCTCTTAAATTTGAATTGAGGTTGGGTGTGGTGGCTCACATCTGTAATCCCAGCACTTTGGGAGGCCGAGGCGGGTGGATCACGAGGTCAGGAGCTCAAGACCAGCCTGGCCAACATGGTAAGACCCAGTCTCTACTAAAGATACAAAAAATTAGCGAGGTGTGGTGGCACATGCCTGTAATCCCAGCTACTCAGGAGGCTGAGGAAGGAGAATCGCTTGAGCTCGGGAGGTGGAGGTTGCAGTGAGCTGAGATCGTGTGATTGCACTCCACCCTGGGTGACAGGGCAAGATTCCATCCCCCCCGCCCCCAACAAAAATGAATTGATACCAACTTATCTTCAATAGCATACAAAAACTCTGTTCTTCTATAGCCCTGTCCTCCTTTTATGTTATCACAAAGTACATCTTTATATGTTGTGTGCCATTTGATAAACATGTTTTATGCATTTGATTTTTAAATCACATAGGAAACAAAAAGAGAAGTGACAAACTAAAAATACAACAATATTGGCTTTTATATTTACTTAGGGAGTTACCTTTATTGATGTTCGTTATTTCTTATGGCTTCTAGTTACTATCTATCTAGTATCCTTTAATTTCATCCTGAAGGACTGTCTTTAGGATTTCTTGTAGGTCAGGTTTACTAGTAACAAACTCTGTCAGCTTTTGTTTAGCTTGAAATGTCTTAATTTCTCCTTTAGTTTTGAAGGATTGTTTTGCTAAGTATAAAATCTTGGTTGACAGTTTTTTTTTTTTTCTGTTAGGATGTTAAATACATTGTCTCACTGTTTTCTGGTCTCGTGGTTTCTGATGAGAAATTGGGTTTTAATCTTACTGAGACTCCTTGCTGCTTTCAAGATTCTCGTTGTCTTTGTTTTTGACTGATTATAATGTGTCTTAGTGTGGGTTTGAGTTTATCTTGCTTGAAGTTTGTTAAGCTTTTTGGATTTGTAGATTCACGTCTTCAAGTTTTGGAGTTTTCAGTCATTAGTTAATCATGTATCATTTCTTCATCCCTCTCTCTTGCTTTTCTTTTTGTAACTTCATAATGCATTTGTTAACTGGCAGATCCCTTAGGCTGTGTTCATTTTTCTTCATTCTTTTTCTTTCTGCTCCTCAGACTCAATAATTTTAATTGTCTTCAAATTCAGTAATTTTCCCTGCTTTTGACATTATCCATGGTGTCATGTACTTTTAACTGTTGTTATTATAGCATTTATCTATAATAATGTGTTGAATTTCTTATTATTGGAGGACTGAACTTACTTCTTTATTCCCTCAGAACCTAGCATACAATAGACACAATAACTATGTGTTGAATGAGTTACTGAATGAATGTTGGAAAGTGTGTAGAATCTGAGGGTTTTAGAATTGGAAGGGGTATTAGAGAATATTTGTTTTTTTCTTTTAGAACTAGTGTATGATTTAGGAACTTCTGGTATCTTGAGCCAAATAATGAACCCCCAGTTATATTTTCTTGGTTGAGAAAGACCTGAAAAATTTCCAGCCTTTTTAGTCTATTATATTGTTCCACCCTTTTCATACTTAACCCTTTTTAGAGCAGTAGTCTTTAAAATATGGTCAACAGACCCCTGTGGATCACCAAGACCCTTTTAGGGGGTTATATGGGTCCAAAAGGTCAAATGATTTTGATACTACTACTTAGGCTTTTTTGTCCTTACTTGCTATATTGACGCACGTCTTGATGATATAAAAGCATAGGTGGGTGAAAACCAGTAGCACCTAATCATTAATTAAGGCAAACTGTACTAGTAATCATTGTACAGTTTTCCATTGAACAACATAGGTCTGACCTTTGTGGGTCCATGTATACATGAATTTTCTTCCATACACAGCAAGACCACCAACTCCCTAAGTTTTGGGAGGGTCAAAAATTATATGCAGGTTTTTGATTGTGTGATGGGTTGGTGCCTGTAACACCTGTGTTATTCAAAAGTCAACTGTATTTTTAATGCCACACACCCACAGTTAAAAAAAAAAATCAGTTTTACCTAATGTGCACATTAAAAGCAGTAAAAAAAAAAAAGAAAAGAAAAGAAAAGAAAAATTGATTCTGGTGTGGTAGCTCACACCTGTAATCCCAACACTTTTGGAAGCTGAGGTGGTTGGATTGCTTGAGCCCAGGAGTTTGAGACCAGCCTGGGCAGCATGGTGAAACCCTGTCTCTACAAAAAAAAAAAAAATACAAAAATTAGCTGGTTGTGGTAGTGTGTGCCTGTAGTTTCAGCTACTCCCTAATGACTAATAATGGTGAGCATAGTTTCATGTACTTATTGACTATCTGTATATCTTTTTTGGATAAATGTCTATTCAAGCAGTTTGCCTGTTTTGAATTGAGTTGTTTTTTGTTGAAGTGTAGTTTTTTTTTTATGTATATTCTGGCTATTAGTCTCTGAGAAGTTTAATGATTTGCAATCCATATATGACACACATCTTGATGATACAAAAGCAAAGGCGGGTGAAAACCAGTAGCACCTAATCATTAATTAAGGCAAACTGTACTTGTAATCATTGCACAGTTTTCCATTGAACAACATACTCTGAGGTTGGAGGATCCCCAACTCAGGAGGTTGAGGCTGTGGTGAGCCATGACTGTGCCACTGCACTCCCGCCTGGGTGACAGAGTGAGACCCTGTTTTTTTTTTTTTATAAATATGTATAACAGAATTTACAATTTCAACCTTTTTTCTTGTACAGTTCGGTGGCGTTAAGTACATTCAGTTGTGTAGCACTCATCATTATCTCCAGAACTTTTTTCCATTTTCCCAAACTGAAACTTTGTATCCATTAAACATTAACTCCCCATTTTCTTCTCCCCCAACAACCCTTTTATTTTCTGTCTCTATGCACATCAAAAGCACAAGCAGAGACCACTTCATATCCATTAGAATGGCTATTATCAAAAAACAGAAAATAACAAATGTTAGTGAGGATGTCAAAACAAGAACCCTGGCACATTGCTGGTCAGAATATAAAATGGTGCAGCTGCTATAGAAAACTGTATGGCAGTTTCTAAAAAATTTAAACATACTATTACCGTGATTCAGTAATTCCACCTGAGTATAAACTCCTAAAGAATAAAGCCAGGACTCAAACAGATATATGCACACCCATAATTCCAATGTTCCACAGCAGCATTATTCACAACAGCCAAAAGGTGAAAGCAACCCAAGTGTCCAACAACAGATAAATGAATAAACATAATGTAGTGTATACATACAGCAGAATCATTCAGCCTTAAAAAGAAAGGATATTCTGACACATGCTACAACACAGATGTACCTCAAAAACATTATGCTAAGTGAATTAAACTAGTCACAAAAGAACAAATTGTATGATTCTACTTATATGAGACACCTAGAGTAGTCACATTGATAGGTCTGACCTTTGTGGGTCCATGTATACATGAATTTTCTTCCTTATGCAGCAAGACCACCAACTCCCTAAGTTTTTTGGTGGGGGGGGTCAAAAATTATATGCAGGTTTTTGATTGTGTGATGGGTTGGTGCCTGTAACACCTGTGTTATTCAGAAGTCAACTGTATTTTTAATGCCACACACAGTTTAAAAAAGAAATTAGTTTCTCCTAATGTGCACATTAAAAGTAGTAAAAATGGCCAATTTTGTTAAATCTTGATCCTTGAGTACATTTTTGTGTGTGTGCATTTTTTCCTTGTAAAAATAATCCATGGGAGGGCATGGTGGCTCATGCCTGTAATCCCAGCACTTTGGGAGGCCGAGGGAGGTGGGTGGATCACCTGAGGTCAGGAGTTTGAGACCAGCCTAGCCAACATGGTGGAACCCCGTCTCTACTAAAAATACAAAAATTAGCCGGCAGTGGTGGCGCATGCCTGTAATCACAGCTACTTGGGAGGCTGAGGCAGGAGAACAACTTGAACCTGGGAGGCGGAGGTTGCAGTGAGCTGAGATCATGCCACTGCACTCCAGCCTGTGCAATTCAGCTCTTGCTGAATGCACTTATTAGCTGTAAACGTTTTTTTTCATAAATTCCTTGGGGTTTGCTATGCAGATAATCATGTCATCTGCAAATAAGGACAGTTTTATTTCTTCATTTATAATTTTTTCTATTTTATTTCCTTTTCTTGCCCTATTGTACTTGCTAGAATTTCCAGCACCATGTGTAATAAGACTGATGAGAATAAACAGTTATTGCCTTGTTCCTGATCAACATTCGATCTTTCTCCATTAGATGTAATGTTAGCTGTAGGTTTTTTTTTTCTTTTTTTTTTTTAGGTGCTTTTTATCAAGTTGAGGAAATTCTCTATTCTTGATTTCTGAGGGATTTTATCATGAATGATTGTTGAATTTTGTCAGAAGCCTCTTCTGCATTAATTGATTTGACCATGCAGTTTTTCTTTTTAGTCTGTTAATGTGGTGCATCACATTGAGGTTCTAATCTTGAACTAGCTTTGCATTCCTGGAATAAATTACACTTATCTGTGTTGTAAAATTCTTTTTATATGTTGCTGAATTTTATTCACTAATATTTTGTTAAGAATGTTTACATTTGGCCGGGTGCGGTGGCTCACGCCTGTAATCCCAGCACTTTGGGAGGCTGAGATGGGTGGATCACCTGAGGTCGGGAGTTTGAGACCCACCTGACCAACACTGAGAAACCCCGTCTCTACTAAAAATACAAAATTAGCCAGGTGTGGTGGCGCATGCCTGTAATCCTAGCTACTTGGGAAGCTGAGGCAGGAGAATTGCTTGAACCTGGGAGGTGGAGGTTGCGGTGAGCCCAGGTGGCGCCATTGCACTCCAGCTTGGGCAACAAGAGCGAAACTGTCTCAAAAAAAAAAAAAAAAAAAAAAGGAATGGGTACATCTGTATTAATGAAGGTGGTTGGTCTATAGTTTTCCTTTTTTGGATGCTGTGTCTGGTTTTGATATCAGAGTACCATAGCACTAACTTCATAAAATGAATTGAGATGTGTTCCCTCTTGTAGAAGAGAGTGTGTAGAATTTTAAAGATTCTTTAAACATTTGGTAAAAATCTCTGGTGGAAACCATCTGGACCTGGAGATTTCTTTTTGGGGAATTTTAAGATTGCAAACTCAATTTCCTTAATTGTTATAGGGCTATTCAAATTATCTGTTTCATATTGAGTGAGTTGTGGTAGCTTGTATTATTTGAGGAAGTGGTCCATTTTATCTAAGTTGTCAAATTTATATGCCTAGAGTTGTTCATAGTATTTCCTTTTTATCCTTTGGATGCCTGTAGGGTCTGTAGTGATATCCTGTTTTATTCCTGATATTGATAATTCTTGCTTCCCTCTTGTTTCTTTGTCATTCTGGCTAGAGGCTTTTCAGTTGTATTGTTCTTTTCAAATAACCAGTTCTTTGCTTCATTTAATTTTTTCTGCATTTTTATGTTTTTGTTTTCATTGGTCTCTGCTCTAACCTTTATTATTTCATTCCTTTTACTTGCTTGGGTTAGTTTTCTTCTTCTTTTTCTAGGTTCTTGAGGTGGGAATTTACTACAGATTATTGATTTGAGACTGTGTCTTTTTTCATGTGTACCTTTGGTATTCAGAATTTCTCTCAGCACTGCTTTAGCTATGCCCCACAGATTTTTGTTATGTTGTATTTTCAACATATTTTATATGCTAGTTAAAGGATTTTTATGATGGCTCTTGCTTTATTTATTTATTTATTTATTTATTTATTTCGAGACAGGGTCTTGCTCTGTTGCCCAGGCTGGAGTATGGTGATGTGATCGCAGCTCACTGTAACCTCCAACCTCTGGGCTCAAGCGAGCCTCCTGAATAGCTGGGACTACAGGTATGAGCCACCATGCCTGTCTAATTTTTTAATTTTTATTTTTGTAGAGATGGGGTCTCACTATGTTGCCCAGCCTTGGTGGCTGCTTTAAAGTCTTTGTAAGATCATTTTAACATCTCTACTTTGTGTTGGGATCTGTTGATGGTTTTTTCCCCATTCTGTTTCAGATCTTCCTGGTTCTTGATATGGGGTGATTTTTTTTTTTTTTAGTGGATGCATGGATTTTGGGAGGTTATGTTATGAGACTCTAGGTTTTTTTTTTTCAGATGGGCTCTCACTGTCACCCAGGCTGAAGTGCGGTGGCACCATCGTGGCTCACTGCAGCCTTGATCTCTTAGGCTCAGCAGTCCTCCCACCTCAGCCTCCTGAATACCTGGGATTACAGGTGTGTGTCACCACGCCTGGCTGATTTTGTTTTTTTTTTTCTGTGAAGACGGGGTTTCACCATGTTGCCCCGGGCTGGCCTTGAACTCCTGACCTCAAGCAATCCACCCACCCCGGCCTCCGTATAGTGCTGAGATTACAGGCATGTGCCACTGTGCTTAGCCAAGATGGTAGATTTTACTTAATCTTAACTGGGTTTCTCTGACACTGCCCCATCAGGAGAAGGAGGTACTCTGGTACTGTTGTGTGCAAGTAGAAGTTCTGGCTTTCCAGTAGGTCTCCACTGACACCGTGGGGAGGGGAGAAGGAGTATATGGTCCCATTATTGCTGTACCATGGTGAAAGTCCTGTTGTTCCACTAGGCCTCCTGTGATACAGCCCAGTGGGGAGTGTTTCTTTATTGCTGAGTGGGATTGGAAGTCTAGGTTCCCTACTTTGCTTTCTCTGACACTGCTCTGGTAGGGATGTTGGGCTCATTACAGTACTGTGAGGGTGGAAGTCTAGGCTTACCGTTTTCTTTGCTGGTATGGGTGTGGCAGAAGATTTTTTCGATGGTGTTTGGCTGGAGCAGAGCTGTTTTTGTGTAAAATGTTTTCTGTTTTGCTGTTTTAGTAGAAAAATCATGACCTATATTAAAATTTTAATATAATCATAAAAGCTCTATCACACCTAAAAAAGTTAACTATGACTCTTGGTTATCTGAAGCCCAGTCCATGTTCAGTAGCCCAGATTTCCTCAAAAATGTCTGTATAGTTAGTCTTCAAAATAGAATCCAACAATGTCCACACATGACTTTTGATAAACAGGTCTCTTAAGTGCCCCCCCTTTTTTCCCATGCAGTTTATTTGTTGAGAAGACTGTGTCACATGGATTTTAGAATTTGTCTAATTTCATTTGGCTAATTCAGCCCTCATGATGTGATTCCCAAGGAATGTTTTATTGATTGTTGGTTGTGCATTTCTGTTGCATCACATTAGGAGACAAATAATGTCACATTATTCACTAATAATAGTTACTTAGACCCATCATTTCATCAGGTTGCAAAGTTGCGAATGTCTAATTCTTTCAGTCTTTCTGAATTTATTAGGTGTGATAGAGCTTTCAGTCTTTCTGGAAGAATTAGAAATTCTTCATTTACTATTTAGAATTCTCTAACAGTGGTTCTCAAAAGTATTGTTCCCAGGCTGCCAGCATCAGTATCACCTGAGAACTTACTGAAAATGCAAATTCATGAGTCCTTTCCCAGACAGAAACTATGTAAGCAGTGACCAGTACTCTGTTTTAACAAGCTTTCTTGGTGATTCCGAGGCACACTGGAATTTGAATACCTGTTCTACAAGAGCTTTCCTTCATCAGCCTTTGGTTATTCTGAAATACAGTACATATTAGGAAAAGCAGGGTAATTTTTTCCCTTTGTCAATTGAGTTAGTTTTTTTTGCGACCTCTATTTTTTAATATATATTTTTATTTTTGAGACGGAGTATTGCTCTGTCACCCAGGATGGAGTGCAGTGGTGCGATCTTGGCTCACTGCAACCTCCACCTCCCAGGTTCAAGTGATTCTCATGCCTCAGCCTCCCGAGTAGCAGGGATTACAGGCATGCACCACCACGTCTGGCTAATTTCTGTATTTTTAGTAGAGACAGGGTTTCTTCACGTTGCCCAGGCTCATCTTGAACTCCTGGCCTCAAGTGATCCACCCACTTTGGCCTCCCAAAGTGCTGTGATTATAGGCATGAGCCACCATGCCTGGCCTATTTTTTTTAAAAGTTATCATTTTGAACTCATGGATTTGTATATGTTTGTATTTCAGACTATTGTTTTTATTTTTGATGCCCTTTTGTCAGTGGCAGCCTCTTGGAAGATTGCTTGTGTCCTTTGGATACAATTGCAGTTTTTAAAATCACTTTTATCCTTTGTAGCGTGCCAAGATGTCCTTGGTACATTTTGTGCATTTCCTGCTTTTATTTGCCAGAGGACATGAGACTTGATCTGCTTTTATTTATTTTATTTTTTATATTTTTTGATACTGAGTCTCGCTCTGTCGTCCAGGCTGGAGTGCGGTGGTGTCATCTTGGCTCACTGTAACCTCCACCTCCTGGGTTCAAGTGATTCTTGTGCCTCAGCCTCCTGAGTAGCTGGGATTACAGGTGTGCACCACCATGCCTGGCTAATTTTTGTATTTTTAGTAGAGATGGGGTTTCACCATGTTGGCCAGGCTGGTCTCGAACTCATGTCCTCTGGTGATCCACCCGCCTCTGCCTCCCAAAATGCTGGGATTACAGGTGTGAGCTTCTGTGCCCAGCTTTGATCTGCTTTTATTAATGAAATGTTTTTTAGGGACCACAGTGTGGGGCTTGAGAGTGCTGATTGATTTCACTGTAATTTACATTTAATTACAGTTTCCCTTTGAACAATATGGGTTTGAACTGCCCAGGTCCACTTCTATGTGAATTTTTTTCAGTAAAAGTTACATGAGTGTGTCTGCCTTCCTTTCCACCTCCTTCACCCCTTCTGCCTTTGACACTCCTGAGACAGCAAGACCAACCGCTCCTCTTCCCCCTCTTCCTCCTTAGCCTATTCAACATTAAAATGACAAAGAGAAAACCTTTTTGATGAAAACACCTCCACTTAATAATAGATGTTTTCTTTCTATGATTTTCTTAACATTTTCTTTTCTCTAGCTTACTTTAGTGTCAGAATACAGTATATAGTTTATATAACATACAAAATATGTGTTATTTATGTTATCAGTAAAGTTTCTGCTCAGTGATAGTCTGTTAGTAGTTAAGTTTTTTGGGAGTCAGAAGTTATACATGGGTTTTTTACTGCACAGGGCGTTGGACCCCTTTACCCCCAATTGTTGAAGGGTCAACTGTACTTTAATAATTGTTTCATTGGTAAAATGAGGATAACTTACCTTGTAGGGTTGTTTTGAAGGTTAAATGAGATACATAATAAACTTAGAACAGTGCTCAGGTCATAAAAATTGTAGTCAATATTATTTCTTTCAATTTATTTGTAAAACAAAAAAGTTTTAGTCTCAATTTCATTCTAGAAGTGTAATGTGAATAAATGGGTATGGTGTATATTCTTCCATAACTGTTCCAGTTGACAGTGTATTTTATGGTGGTCTAATGGTCCAGGATGAAGTTTATTCTTCTCAGGACTTTTATAATTCATTTGTTGCATATACTGAAATTGAAGGTTTAAAAATTATTTTTTTCACAAAAATTTCTCAGGAATTTGCATTTCCTTTGGCCTTTTAGAATGGAAAAGATGTTCCTTTGCCTGGACCTGGGTGTTCTTTTGTTCTCCTTAACCAAGCATTGATACAGGAGAAGCCATGGATAAATGCACCTACAGGACAAAGTCAGTTGGTGGAGTACCAGGCCAGCACTATGCTGAAGCCTTTTTCAGCATGTAGGCTCAGATTAATCATGTAATATATAATTTGTATGTTTCTCTTTTATAACTTAATTCTTTGTTGGTAACTCCCCTTCTTCCCCCCCCCCCGATTCTTCTTGATCTTTCCCAAAGATATAGTTATTGTTTACTGTGTTTGTGTGTGTGTGTAACTTAATACTATGTCTTTGATATTTTTCCATATCAATACATCAATCGCTTTCATTTTTGAACAGCTGCAGAATATTGTGTAGATTGTATGGATGTGCCATGGTTTATTCAGTTCTTTCTCGATGCTGTCATGAATATCCTTAATGATTTCTTTGTGCATTTATGAGAAATATATCCATATCCATAGGATAAATTCTTAGAAGTAAAATTTGCAAGGTGAAGAAGGTATGTGCATTTATGTTTTCTGATAGATATTGCCAAGTCGTTTTTCTGAGAGGTTGTATTAATTTATGATTTAACCACCAGTGTCTGAAGGTATCTAAATTTGGTCATCTCACCCATACTTTTGTCAATTTTAGTTGGTGTCAGACTTTAGTCTTGGTCACTCTAGTAGGTTGAAAATGGTAGTTGGTTTTAATTCTTTAACATTTGTGTTTCTTTGTACTTCCTGTGCACATGTCTTGACTGTTTTTCTATAGGTTATTGCTTTGTAAGAACTGTAGAGTGAAGGAAGGAAAATGAAAATAGTTGAACTTCAATACATTTAAAAAACGTACGAATGAGTGCTAAGGAAGTTTGTCTTTCATAATCTGAATTAAAAATTGTTGAGGTTTCTGACAGCAGTGTAATTTTACATGTGTTCCCCTCTCTGCTGTGCTGGCTGAGGTTAATGATCAGAAACTAAGTTACTGGAACAAGTAATTAAAGCCACAGGTCTAGGCCAAAATGTATTCAGTAAATGTTGATCAAATTAGGAGCTAGCTGTTGGGTTTGATTCTGGTAGATTTGACAGTCATTGCTCTCAATGGAACTTAGTTTAGTTGTGAAGCACTACATGAAATAAAAATAATTATAGTTAGGGTAGATGTGCCATAGGAATAGTATGGAGTGCTATGAAAGCATCTCAGGGCTGCCTAACCTATGTGGGCTCGTTGGTCAGGGAAAACTGGAGGAACCCATTTAACTGAGGTCTAAAATATGGTAGGAGTTGGGGAACTTGGAGGATAGTGTTGGAAAAGAGTAGTGTAAATGGTGGAGACCTCTTTGTTTAAGGCCTTTGGTTCATATTAAGGATTTTAAAATGCTGTTTGGAAAACAATAGAAAATCTTCAAAGGCTTGTAAGCAAGAATTGACAGGATCCATCCCTACTGTGTAATTTGAAATGTGAACCTGAACTCTCCCAAGGAATAGGCTGCCAAATCTGAGACCTCCTGGCAGTAGTACAGGAGTACATCACCTCTACCCACTTTTCACCCACCTCTGCTGTGGAGAAGCAGCCAGCTGTGTCTGACTGAACTCTTTGTCCTGTCTGGGACAGATAGAATCCATTGAAGAATCATCTCTTGATATGCTTTCTGTGGCAAAGATGTTGACTAACTTAAAGCAGTTTTTGGCTGACAACCACCTATCCATCCATAGGAACACGTCTTCCCCACAATGCCACAGGCGGAAGGAA
The DNA here is from genome assembly GCF_000001405.40 of Homo sapiens. Classification (NCBI taxonomy): domain Eukaryota; kingdom Metazoa; phylum Chordata; class Mammalia; order Primates; family Hominidae; genus Homo; species Homo sapiens. The sequence continues at coordinate 36,041,679 of NC_000018.10, read as the reverse complement.
AAGTCTTGAAGTTGTTAGAATCTATAGGTTTTGGAAACAGGTTCAGAAAAACACTCTCAGGATACAAGTCTGCACAGCACAGACCTTTCATTTTTGCCTCAGAAAATGCTGATTTCCACAAGTGTGTGTTTTTAATTTGTTTGTTGCACTACATTTTAAAAATGAATGCTTAGGTATAAAATTATCTTAGGGTTAAGGAACTGAATTAGATCTATCTCCATGCTTTTCTGAACTAAAAGAAACAGGATTTAGTTGAGAGAGAATCTAGTAAGTTGGAGATAGGCCTGCTGTGGGGAGAGTGATTACTGCAATAGGACTTAAGATAGCATGAGGATACCAAAGAATTCGGAGAAAAGGGTTCTATAAGATGGAAGATAAGTTTAGGGCCTTTTAAAAGCCATACTTAAGAGGAAGTGCTACATAATTAACTCCTTGGTTTCAGGAGAGATACGTGGGGATTATTAATGAAAAATTTTTATGATTTTTAAAAATGTTTATAAATGGAGCCCGTGTAGGTGATAATTGAGAAAACCTGAAGATTATCCAGAAAGTTAGGAACAGGTTCCTTTTGATTAATTGTTCTAGTATATTTGAGACTATGCAGAAAACCTTTCTTCAATTCTCATTTGAATTTCACTCAACTTCAAGAATACTTAATGTAGTAGTATTCTGCATTAAACTCTAATGGGGAATTCTTTTTTTCCACCTGAAATTGAGCAGTGTTTGTAGTTCATTCTGAAAGACAATTACTGTAAAGAACTATTTAATTCTAGAAGGTGTAGTAAATATTTTCTTGTTAATTGCTTCCTTTTAGAGTGGAGGTGCAACAAATGAGAAATTCCAATTGGAGATTTTGTCAAACAGGAATTTACTGTAAGTGAATAAAAACACTTTTCTTCTATGTAAGTACCACTTGCCTAAAAAGCTTAGAAATTTTTAGGGATGATTAGATGTGGGTAAGGAGGTACTGCATAGAAAAATGAAAGGCAAAATTCCTGTGATCACAACTCTAGTTTTGAATTCTTTCTTCTTTCCTTGCCTATTGCAGTATTCTTAGTGTTCAGTGTTACCTACTTCTAGATTTCATGACGTACCTCAGGGTATCCCATTCACCCCTGCTCCCAAATTAAAACTTCAGTACTTCTCTTTTTGTTTATAAAATGAAGCTGAAACACTTGTTAGCTTGGTGTTTAGTTTAAGTCTTCCCTTCTTTGCAACTTTACACTTCATTATTCCCTCATATATAATGTACAGTGCATTCATTAGGTCATGAGGGGAGCTTCTTTCTGCCAAGAATATTCTTTTCACTAATGTTTCATAACACATTTACACATATGGCTTAAGTAGACTTTTATCAACTTGACCGTTGAGTCGTCTTTTATTCCTAGTAGCTAATGCGGTGTCTGTGAATGGTAGATACCAAGTAATTATTTGTTGACTGTATGAGTGGCATGAGATCTTAATCATTTATAATTATCCTTTAGTTAAATGCATTTATAGTTCCACCTAACTCAAACTTTAGGAAGATAATTAAATTACACTTAAAATTTGAGGATTTAATATGTGTATACTATATAAGCAGGATATATAGAATCTTTTTCTAGTCTATAGTCATTCATTTTACCAGGGAAATAAATGAGGATGTCTAGTAATTGTTAATAAATCTTTAATAGATTTTTGTTTCAAAATGACTTTTCTCCTGATTTTCTTGTACAAGACCTGTAGTAATGCTCATTCCTCCCATTGATATGTATGTGTATGTATATGTACATGTGCATATATTTCTGTTTGTGTGTGTGTATATGTGCATGTGTGCATGCGTGTGTGTGTGTTTCCTTATTCAATTTCCTGCTGCTGCTTTCCATGTAGAAGGTTTCCCTCGGAATGATGGTTCTTATGTTTATAGATAACAGGATTTTAGCTGTTTATTGTATTTATCAGCATTGCCATCTACTGTAGTTTTAAATTCAGTCTTCATAAACCATGGATGATTAATTTAGATTATGATATTTTGCAGCATATAAAAATGAGTATACATATGGTATGTACAATGTAAGAAAATAGGTAACATTTCTCCTACCACTTTCTACCATTATGAACAACTAAAACTATGAACTGATTATGAAGTAGTGGAACTAGAGATGACATTTTAATCCTTTCACTGAGTAAGTCTGTTTCATATTGTTTAATAGTCTGGACTCTGATTTCTTTTTGAAGCTTGTTAATTGATCTTTTAGATGAATTGTTTGTGGTAGGTTATATAACTGTCTCCTGGTTATATGATGAACTGAACATTTATTACCATGCCCCTTCTGGGGGATGTGCTCAACTTTTTAGGTAATTGTATTAGTCTCCTCTCACATTGCTATAAAGAACTGAGACTGGGTAATTTTTGAAGAAAAGAAATTTAATTGACTCACAGTTCTGCATTGCTGGGGAGGCCTCAGGAAACTTACAGTCATGGCACCCACCAGGCCCCTCCCCTGACATGTGGAGATTATAATTTGACATGAGATTTGGGTGGGGACACAGCCAAACCATATCATTCCACCCCGGCCCCTCCCAAATCTCATGTCCTTCTTACATTTCAAAACCAATCATGCTTTCCCAGTAGTCCTCCAGAGTCTTAACTCATTCTAGCATTAACTCAAAAGTCCAAGCCCAAAGTCTCACCTGAGATAAGGCAAGTCCCTCCCACCTATGAGCCTGTAAAATAAAAAACAAATTAGTTACTTCCAAGATACAACGGGGGTATCATAGGTATTTGGTAAATGCTCCTGTTCCAGAAGGGAGAAATTGGCCAAAACAAGAGGGGTATAGGCCCCATGCAAGTCCGAAACCCAGCAGGGCAGCCATTAAACCTTAAAGCTCCAAAATCACCTTTGACTCCCTGTCTCACATCCAGGGCACACTGATGCAAGGGGTGGGCTCCCACTGCCTTGGGCAGCTCCTTCATGGGATGATGTTGACTGCCTGTAACTTTTCCAGGCACGAATGCAAGTTGTCTGTGGATCTACCATTCTGAGGTCTGGAGGACAGTGGCCCTCTTCTTGAACTCCACTAGGCAGTGCCTCGTGGGGACCCCATGTGAGAGCTCCAATCCCACATTTCCCCTACGCACTGCCCCAGCAGAGATTCTCCATGAGGGCTCTGCCTCTGCAACAGACTTTTGCCTGGACATCCAGGTGTTTCCATATATCCTCTGAAATCTGGGTGGAGGTTCCCAAACCTTAAGTATTGCCTTCTGTGCATCCACAGGCCCACAATCACATGGAAGCCGCCAAGGCTTGGGGCTTGCACCCTCTGAAGCAATGGCCCAAGCTGTGCCCTGGCCCCTTTTAGCCATGGCTAGAGCTGGAGCAGCTGGGAGGTAGGGCACCAAATCCTGAGATTGCACAAAGCAACAAGGCCCTGGGCCTGGCTCAGGAAACCATTTTTTCCTCCTCGGCCTCTGGGCCTGTGATGGGAGAGGCTGCCATGAAGGTCTCTGACATGCCCTGGAGACGTTTTCCCCATTGTCTTGAGGATGAACATTTGGCCCCTTGTTACTTGCAAATTTCTGCAGCCCACCTGAATTTCTCTTCAGAAAATGGGTTTTCTTTTCTGTTGTATCCTCAGGCTGCAAATTTTTCGAACTTTTATGTTCCATTTCTCTTTTAAACATAAGTTCCAATTCCAAACCGTATCTTTGTGAATGCCTGGAACTGAATGCTTTTAAGAGGGCCCAAGTCACTTTAATGCTTTGCTGGCTAGAAATTTCTTCCACCAGATACCCTAAATCATCTCTTTTAACCTCAAAGTTCCACAGATCTCTAGGGCAGGGGCAAAATGCTGCCCGTCTTGTTGCTAAAGCATAGTGAGAGTCACCTTTATTCCAGTTTCCAACAGGTTCCTCATCTCCATCTGAGACCACTTCAGCCTGGACTTCATTGTCTACTTCACTATCAGCATTTTGGTCAAAGCCATTCAACAAGTCTCTAGGGAGTTCCAAACTTTCCCACATCTTTCTGTTTTCTTCAGAGCCCTCCAAACTGTTCCAACCTCTGCCTGTTACCCAGTTCCAAAGTGGCTTCCACATTTTCAGGTATCTTTACAGCAGTGCCCCACTACTTGGTACCAATTTACTGTATTAGTCTGTTCTCATGCTGTTACGAAGAAATACCTGAAACTGGGTAATTTATAAAGGAAAGAGATTTAATTGACTCACAGTTCTTCAGGGCTGGGGAGACCTCAGGAAACTTACAATCATGACAGAAGAGGAAGCAAACACGTCCTTATTCACATGGTGGCAGGAAGAAGTACAGAGTGAAGTGGGGGAAAGCTCTTTATGAAACCATCAGATCTCATGAGAACTCACTTACTAACATGAGAAAAACATGGAGGTAGCTGCCCCCATGATCAGTTATCTCCCACCTGGTTCCTCCTATGACATGGGATTATGGGAACCACAATTCAAGATTTGGGTGGGGACACAGCCAAACTGTATCACAAGTATATGTTATTTATGATTGTTTCTGTGTTGGTGTGATATATTCATGGGGAGAAGAAATAAGGAAAAAAAAAGTAACATTTTAGTGATGTGACCTATCATCTGCCAATTTGTATGGAACTTGCAAACTCCTGATTGAACAGGAAACGTTAATTTTAGTCTGTACTTAGCGTGGTCCCTGGTACATGGCAAACATTAAAATAATAAATGCTATTTAAATTGAATGGACGGTTTGGAAAACCGGTGTTTTTGGAAAGAACCCCATGAGCAACAGAAACATAGGAATTAACTAAGTCAGACCTGTCACTTAGTCTTACATTCTTTGTTGCCAACAGTGGCATTTCTTTGTGGAATTATGACATGGTTTGTTTTCCCTTTCTGTTAACTGTTTCTCTTTTAATAACAATTTATGGCTCTGTTATTTTTAAAAATATCAAAATTCATTTGGAAATTTTTTGTGTGATTTTCTTGGATTGCTTGCTGTGATTACCGCCATTAATTATTTGCTGTATGTATAGGGACACATAATTTTAAATGGAAGTAAATTTCTTTCCCTGAAAATTTAGGGAAGGGCATAAGTTGTGATGATTGCTGGGTATTTTTCATATTTTTGCTTGGTCCTACAAAGATAAAAGTGAAAATAGTATCTTGGTATTTGGACCCCATGCTCAATCACCTCATATGGAATTTGTCCTTTGGAAAACACTGGTAAATATATTTTTAAATCTTGTAAATTTTTATTTTAGTGTATATTGTAAAAGCAATTCTGAATTCTTTGAGAGATTGATATAACCCATGAATTTAAAAAACATTCTAGGGCCAGGCACAGTGGCTCACACCAGTAATCCCAGCACTTTGGGAGGCCTAGGTGGGAGGGTCACTTGAGCTCAGGAGTTCAAGACCAGCCTGGGCAACAAAGTAAGACCTTATCTCTACAAAAAATTTAAAAAATTAGCCAGGCATGGTGGCGTGTGCCTGTGGTTCCAGCTACTTGGAAGCTGAGGCAGGAGGATTGCTAGAGCCCAGGAGGTCGAGGCTGCAGTGAGCCTTTAGTCTGGGAGACAGAACTTGTCTCAAACAAAAAAAACAAAAACATTTTTTTTGTTTTTGTGGTAATAAATATTATTTACCATCTTCATTTTTTCCGTGTACAGTCCAGTAGTGTTAAGTACATTGTTGTGTAGCCAGTTTCCAGAACTGTTCATTTTGCAAAACTGAGACTCTGTACCCATGAATAATTTCCTATTCTCCTCCCATTCCCACAGCCTTTGGCAACTATCCTTCTACTCTTTTTTTCTATGAATTTGAGTACCTCCAATAAGTAGAATCATACAGTGGTTTGTCTTTTTTCATGACTCGATTATTTCACCTGGCATGATGTCCTGGAGATTCATCCATGTTGTAACATGCGTCAACATTTCCTTCTTCTATAAGGCTGAATAATACTTTATTGAATATATAATTCACATTTTGTTTATTCATTGATCAGTGGGTTAGGTTGCTCTTAACTCTTGGCTATTGTGAATAATGCTGCTAACATTGTAAAATATTTTTATTTCAGTTGCTACTTTTTGTTTTGCATTGTTTTATCTTTTTCTTCTTTTCAGTTGCTACTTTTGAGTCTCAAAGATTAACATGCCCTTTTAATTATGACAGGAAGCATGGTCTAGTTGTTAAGAGGGATTTGCTTGGCTGTTGGACTTTTTGGATTCCAATCCTGGCTTATCTCTTCCTCATTATTTCCCTGAGGGCAAATAATGTTTTTGGCTTTGTTTGTTCAGCTGCCAAATAGAGACATATTGTTAGGATTGAGATAATGTATGTAAAGTGCTTGGAATAGTGTGTAGCACATAGTAAAAGTGCAGTGAAAGGATTGTTTGTTCAGGTACCCATTCAAAAGTGATGCAGGCAATCTCCCAATTAGATAATACAAATTTGAGTTTCTAAACTCATTTGACACTGGGAAGGCAAAAATCTGGATTGAACAATACCAATCTATTTTGTGGGTGGGATTGAGAGGGCAAGGATGGGTACAAAAGAGACAGGACTGAATGTTAGGATAGGGTCCCGATATCTTAACCAGTTGTACACTGTGGTTTATCTAACCAGACAAGGAGCCTGAAAACCAGAAGCTGGTCTCTGTTATAGCCATCTCTTCTTATTTTTATTCCATGCCAGCAACTTGCAAAATCATGAAAAGTGGTAGACAGCAATTTAAACAGACAAACCAGGTTATACAGTGGCATGGCACAGGTTTGTAAAGTTTGATCAGTTGTGACTTAGTATATGAGAAGGTTGGGCTTCTGGTTGCTCCTCGAGAATGATGTGAACTCAGAGGTGACTTTTTAATATGTCAAATGCTTAAATTTGTAAATTGAATACTTAACATCTAGAGGACCACATGTAGCCTGATCAAGATTTTTGTCTTAAATCCAATAAGATAGCCCACATCAATAGGATACTGCATAATTGGTCCTGACCATAAGTTTCCTACACCACTGTACTATGGATGCCACAAGGTATGATGCTTCTGAATATAACTGTACTACATTGAGTGATTCAAATTTAATTCTAGTAAAATATAAGAATAGTATAAAATATTATGTTCAACACTGTTTTCCTTATGTATAATCTTATTTGAGTCATATTCAGTAGTAGTATGCTATTTAACATTGTAACCAGTAAAAATGTACTGTGGCCCACAACTGTTGAAATCTTGTCTATTTCCTTAGAGAAATGACTACACCCACAGAGCATAGTGAGTAGGGGAATATTTTTGTCATAATGAATTCAGTTTAAAATTTATGGCCATGTAATCTAAAGACAGAAACATCTAAACTTTTCCCATTTACTCTCCCTAGCAGTTAATCTATTAGCTTGGCAAATATTTATTGCATAAACAAAAAATAGTAATTGATTGAAGGGACATCTCTTTCAACCTGTTTTACATTTCATGCTCTTCTGTTGTTTCACAATAGCTTAATAATGATTTCGAATTAACATGTCTATTAAAACAATCCTAAATTCAATGTAGGATTTAGGGTGCCATCTTAATAACATGAGCAATCACCATCTTATTTTAAATGACTATATTTCATATAGTTTGTAATGGTTTTACTAAAATTTAATACAGGATAGAGTCACCGAGATGCATTTTTACATAGACATTAGTTCTGGCGATTTTAGCAGCAGTGACTGGTTAGTTTGGTAGTAAAATGAGAGACTAGGGTTGAAATGATACATAAAGGTTAGTAGGGTTATTTTAGTTCTCAAAATGCTTAATTTAGGTATTGAGAAAGTTTGTCCAAGTAAAGATGTTTTAAGTAGATTTTTAACTTTTTCTTATTTTTCAGCCAAACCAAACAGGAAGCTTACTTTTCTCTACCTAGCCAATGATGTCATACAGAACAGCAAGAGGAAGGGGCCAGAGTTTACAAAAGATTTTGCACCAGTTATAGTGGAGGCTTTTAAGCATGTTTCAAGGTATGATCATAGTTTTGGGTATTAGGTAATCTGTTTTAAATGTACCATATGTCCTTTTGCTAAAATTTGCCTTAAACTATTAAAATAAAAAGTAGGGAATATAGTTTTTTGATGCTTTTATTTGAAAAGACTTCCCTCTACATGGCATTTATAAATGTATTAAATGCCTTCTCTGAAGGAAAAATATTTTTTGAACTGTTGCTAAGGTGGGCCTTTGGAGTACTTGAATTACAGCTTTCCTTTAAGAGACCAGAACCAACTGCTATATTGGAATGAACTTCATTAAAAATGAATGAAGGTATTGAAGTAAAAATTTGTGTGTTTATAAAGCTATCAGTCTTGTAACAAATATTTCCATATACACTTAGTACTGTTTCTATTCTTTTTTTTTTTTTTTTTTTTTTTTTTGAGACAGAGTCTCACTCTCACCCAGGCTGGAGTACAGTGGTGCGATCTTGGCTCACTGCAACCTCTGCCGCTTGGGTTCAAGCGATTCTCCTACTTCAGCCTCGCAAGTAGCTGGAATTACAGGTGCCTGCCACCATGCCTGGCTAATTTTTGTGTTTTTAGTAGAGACAAGGTTTCACCATCTTGGCCAGGCTGGTCTTGAACTCCTGACCTCGTGATCCACCTGCCTCGGCCTCCCAAAGTGCTGGGATTACAAACGTGAGCCACCATGTCTGGCCTGTTTCCATTCTTTACTTGCCCTCTGGGTAATTTTGTACATCGCATGTATTTGGTTATTCTCCACACCGTAATGACTTACAGTTTTATGCTCCAGTCCAGATTTTTTTTTGTTCCAAACCTGTGTGCCCAATTGCCTTTTGACATTTTTACTTGTATGCGTCTCAAACATTTCAGACTCACTGTGTCTGATACAGAACTCATTATGTCCTTGCTTCCCACCGTACTTGTCCCTCCTGTAGGTTTTATACTCTGTGAATGGCAACTCGATCTATCCAGGTGCCTATGCAAGAAATTATGTTACCTTTAAACTCTTCTTTCTCCTTCAGTCCCCATATCTCACATAGTACACATTGACTCGGTTCTTTGGATTTCTTTCCCTTTTAGTTACCATAATGTATTTTCAGTATAATTTTAATGCCCTTTAGTATTGTTTAATTTCTTTAGAAAACTCGACAGAGTTGCAGAGCTGGTCATAATACTTCCTTGCCTTTGAGTGGTTCCCATTTGTTTTAGAGATGAAGTCTAAAGTCCTGAGCAAGACTTAAGGTGTTCCTTCGTGGCACTGCCTATCTCCCCAGACCTCTGTCTCGCATTTATTCCACACAGTCTATAGTCTACAGTTTAAGCTAAATTAACCTTTTTTAGTTCTTTCCGCCTTAAGTCTTCTATATATGTTGCCCCTCCCTAGAATTCAGTAAAATATTTATTGGCTGCATAAATATTTATTATATGCAAAACCCTGAGTAGTAGTGACCAAGACAGTTTTGTTCTACTGGAGCCTACATTTCATTGGATGACAAAGTTAATAAGTAGATAGACAAGTGAATGCATAATGTCAGATGACAAATGCTAGCAAGAAATACAAAGCAGGGAAGGAACTAGATAGTATGAGGGCGCTCAGTTATGTGATGAGATAAAGAACAACTATTTGGGGAAGGTGGCATTTGAACAAAGACTAAAGGAAGGGGTGAAATGAGCCATTTGACTAGGCAGAAAGGATTCTAGGTAGAGAGAATATGTGGCCGAAAAAATGAGATAGCTTATATGCTGGACATGTTTGAGGACCTTAGCAAGGAGATTTGTATGGTACTAGGTATTAGGGAGTGTGTACTGAGGGACTGCCAGAAAGCAGAGCATGTGGGCCTTATGGCCCAGAGTAAGGATTTTGGTTTTATTCTTGATGTGATTGGTAGCTCTTGGAGGATCAAGAGCTGTATAATCTGATTTACATTATTAGGATGCTTTGTACAGAATAGAGTAAAAGAGTAGAGGCTGGGAGAGCGTGAGAAGACTTTACAAAATTCTAAGCAAGAGATAGTAGTGTTTCTGTCTACAGTGATAGCAATGAAGGAGGTAGGAAACAGTTGGGAGTAGTCTGTTTTTCATTTCCCCATATGTCTAGTCTTAAGATCTCAAATTAAATATCATTTCCTTAAATACTCTTCCGGATATCTCTTAAACAGGGCCAGGTCTGTCTTAAGCACTTTGTTCTCTTTTGTGATACTTATAAATAACAACTGCCATAAGCTGCATTTGCATCTCCATGTCAAAGATAGTAACTGGATCAATAAGTATTTGTTGAATAAATTTAAAAAAATAACCTATGAGAAATCTTCCTTAGCCCCATGTCCAGGCCCCATTAGGATAGGAAATCCCTAGCAGCCAGTACTAAAACTTTTACAGTTTAAACTTTTTTTGGTTGTGTAATAATATGTTTATAAAATGTTTACTAGAAGCAAGCAGTGTGTCTAGATCACTTCACTTTTGAGCTGCTGGCCACATAGTGATGCTAAGTAGACATTTGGACAGTTTTTTCCAGGGAATGAATGTCTGATTATATTTAAAGTTACCGTTAACCTTTTCAATAACACTATGCATTGTTACTGTTAACATTTTTCTTTTTTTCTTTTTTTTTTTTTTTAGTGAAACTGATGAAAGTTGTAAGAAGCACCTTGGAAGAGTGTTATCTATTTGGGAAGAAAGGTCTGTTTATGAAAATGATGTATTAGAACAACTTAAACAAGCTCTGTGTAAGTGTAGAATCCTGATCTCTTACCTTGATCTCTTCATTAAAATGTATTCTTTCATTAATACTTAAATGTTCTTTCATTTCAGATGGTGATAAGAAGCCTAGGAAGCGAACTTATGAACAGATAAAGGTGGATGAAAATGAAAACTGTTCCTCTCTGGGATCTCCAAGTGAACCACCACAGGTAGAAATTTTACCCTGTTAAAAGAGTTACAAACTTTTACTTCATGTTGCCACCAAGCTTTATTAATTTCGTTTCACTTCTGTAAATTGATTTCTATTATACTTTTAGGTACAAGAAAGAAGCCACATGAATATCTCTTCCTCATTAACAAATTGCTTATGTTAAATGTAGTATGTTGTATATTGTATATTTTGCATAGAAATCATGTTTTGTATAGAAAGAGGATTTTTAATTGCCAAATATGGTTAGATGTGAGATGTTAGCTATTTAAACTTTTTAAAATAAAACAAAACATGCCTATTTTGTTATGTGATTTTTTTTTTTTGAGACGGAGTTTCACTCTGTCCCCAGGGCTGGAGTTCAGTGGCACTATCTTGGCTCACTGCAACCTCTGCCTCCTGGGTTCAAGCGATTCTCCTGCCTTAGCCTTCCAAATAGCTGAGACTACAGGCACGGGCCACCAAGCCCAGCTAATTTTTGTGTTTAATAGAGATGGGGTTTCACCATGTTGGCCAGGCTGGTCTTGAACTCCTGGCCTCAAGTGATCCTCCCACCTTGGCCTCCCAAAGTGCTGGGATTATAGGCATGAGCCACTGTGCCCGGCTCATGTATGATTTAAATACACTAAAATTTTCATTCTTGGACATAATCACTGCCCCTTTAAGTATTTTTGTTTTTAAATGTAAAAAGTAGTGTTAGAGTGGCCGGGCGCAGTGGCTCACGCCTGTAATCCCAGCACTTTGGGAGGCCAAGGTGGTCGGATCATGAGGTCAGGAGATCGAGACCATCCTGGCTAATATGGTGAAACCCCGTCTCTACTAAAAAATACAAAAAATTAGCTGGGCGTGGTGGCGGGCGCCTGTAGTCCCAGCTACTCGGGAGGCTGAGGCAGGAGAATGGCGTGAACCTGGGAGGCGGAGCTTGCAGTGAACCGAGATAGCACCACTGCACTCCATCCTGGGTGACAGAGCGAGACTCCGTCTCAAAAAAAAAAAAAGTAGTGTTAGAGTGATATATATGTGTTCATACATTTCTTTGTAACTATATAGAACTATGTAATTCTGTGGAAAAATAAGTTAGAATTATTATCTTAACACTCTGTGTCCTCCTACATGTTGGTATGGTATGGTATTCCTTAACCATCAGATTAATTCCAGAAAGACTTTTTTTTTTTTTTTTTTTTAAGTGGGCATTGAGTCTTTAAGCTTCCTCCTTCTATGTTTCAAACATGTAGGCGGGACAGATAAAGTGTAAAATGAGAAAATGAAGACATAACCATACTCTTAAAACAAGGCGAATGTATTTTCATGGGTTAGAAATTGTACACCTAACTTCATAGGTGAGACAAAACCTGGCTCCTGCTGAGCCCTGGTCCCGAAGCAGACATGGGGTTGCCAGAAATTAGTATCCTTTAAGGTCACAGGAACTCACAAGGGCAACAGGAACTCACAGTGCTCCGTGGGAGTTAGAGGACTGGTTCCAAATTCACTGAATAAAATCAGAGGCTGGGAGGAGCTCTTTCCCCCATGAAGGTGAAAGAAAAATACAATCAATTACTACCTGTAACTGTGGATTTATATTAGTCTCAGTACTGGAGAAGCAGAAGGAATCAGACCAAGGCCACGACCTGAGTCAGCCTACCTGTTTGTTCAGTGATAGGAATGCTGAAGCCCATTGGCCACTATGGACAAGAGCTTGAATAGAAAAGTGATAAGAATGTTACATTTGGAACAACCAAACACTAAGATTTATGTCTCTTCCTATTTGGTAATAACTCATGACAGAAAATCATTTTTGGCTAAGAGCCTCATGATTCTATGAACAGTGTTTTACCTAAGTTCTAGATAAAGGATCTGGTCTCCTTCCGCTCTCCCTGATGAAAGGGTAACCACAGTTGCATATCTTAGGAGTATTTTTAAGTAATCATCTGCCTCTCCTCTAGTACTTGTGTAAAATGCTGTTGCTCTTTGTTTTATAATGATCGTTTTTTAGATTAGTTGTGCTGCTTAATTATCAATGGTTCAGCTTTGTGGTCTTCATTTTTGTGTGTGTGTTATTCTTTATAAGAATGGCTAAAATCTCTTTGTAGGTTCCCGTTAAACTCATTTCATTCTCCTCTGGTAGGAAGTAGTAGGCTTAGTATTGTTTCAGACAACTTTGCTTTCTTATCTGATGCTTGATCAGGCATTGGGAACTTAGAATGTACTCATGTAGGACTGTGAAGGTGTGATGAGATCAGGTTGTAATTAAAGCATCAATGCATTGCCAAGACAATAAAGCCAGATTTCTTCTTAGAACTCCAGACAATTAGAATTTTCTAAGAATGATTTTAAAAATAATATATTAGTTGTGGCAAGATGAGAAACAAGCTTTCTGGTAATTGTTGTTACTCTTAAGCACACCTTAATTGTAGAGGGGATATATCTTACAACAAAATTATTTTTTAAAATACTGAAATTTTAAACACTTCTAATGAGTGAGCACACGTAGGATAGTATATTTCTTATTAGTTTCATTCATTCCTACCACATTTGATCATTTGTCATGTGCTACCCTTTTTTTCAAGGGAATAGTTTAAAAATCTTAATATATACACAGAATTACTAATATCCTATATTTTTTAAAGCATATGTGTAATTTCCTAGTGTTTCTGAATCTAGTATTAGAAATTAAGAAAGAAAGATGAAAAAGATGGGCTGGAGAATGGAAACTAGTAAAAATAAAATTTAATTGTTTTTCTTTGGAATAACTTTATAGACATTATGAGTTGTGAAATCACCAGCAAAGAGTTGCGCTTCCCTCCTAATTATAGCTTGTATGAAAACAGTGGAAGTAAAATATTTTAATGATAAAATAATTTCAGTACTGGTTAAGCAATATATATTAGTCATCAGATTATGGAATTTTGAAATATTTTAATCTTATTAACAAGCCATAGGATACTTGAAGATATCATATTTGAACATATTCTAGAACTACATTTCTCTTGGGCTTTAATTACAGCATTTAGAAATGAAATCTGGGAGACTCTTCTGTGTTGTAGTAGATGATTTGTAACCCTCTTTCCATAATATCCAATTTAATACTAAAAAAACTTCTAGTGTACAATGATAATGTAATGAATATATCATACATAAAACTTGTATTCTCTAGGTTGATGTTATAGCCTACCTTCTCTTTCACCACTGATGTATTTGCCATATAAATCCTCATTACCTCATTTTAGTACTCAAATAATTATTATTACTCTGTCTCCACCACTGGAGTAAGCTCTCTTCAAGGTCTAGGGCCTTGTCCTGTTTATATTTTCAACACCTAACATAGTATAGCCTCCTTTTTTCTTAACATATGAAAGAAATTGATTGTCTTCAAAAGCAGTTTATATTAGGAGCTTTGTACTAGTAAATAGCCCATAGGGATGAAAGAATATGAAATTAAAGTCTTTTGCACTTGTTTAAGCTCAATTTATTTTGGTTCTGAAGTTGTGTACTTTTTAGACTCTAGATCTCGTTAGAGCATTACAAGATCTGGAAAATGCAGCCTCAGGTGATGCAGCAGTTCATCAGAGGATAGCTTCTTTACCTGTTGAAGTCCAAGAAGTATCTCTATTAGATAAAATAACAGGTAAGAAAAGAAAATGTGATCCAGAACTTTTTTGGGAGTTGGGATGAGAGAACAGCATATGTCATTGTTTTTGTTGTATAATATTTTATTATCCCGTGCTTTTCTTAGATAAAGAATCTGGAGAAAGGCTTTCCAAAATGGTAGAGGATGCGTGTATGTTGCTGGCAGATTACAATGGCAGATTGGCGGCAGAAATAGATGATAGAAAGCAACTCACTCGAATGTTAGCAGATTTTCTTCGTTGTCAAAAGGAAGCCCTTGCAGAGAAAGAGCATAAATTGGAAGTGCGTAACCTTTTTCTTCTTTAGTGCTTATTTATTTAATTCTCTTTTTGTTAGGAATTTTAAAATATTTTAATCTATGTGCACATTTTGCATTTTTTAACATAGACCTTTTTAAGCAGTAGCCCAGGTAAGCTTCTCCTTGTATTAATGGTTTTTCTTCTACTTGAACCAAATTAATCTTGCAAGTAAACTTAGAAATTTGGAATTAGCAAAATTGATTGCATTTAAAAATTATTCTTGTGAAATTCCATGCAACTATAATTTATCTTACCAGTTTAACCCTAATGTATCACAGAAATAATAGGAAAATAGCAGGTGGCAGTCACTTGTAGTAGGATTTATTTAGTTTCTGTTTTGAGAAGATGTAGTCTTTTAGGTATACCATTAAGTCTTTAAATTACTCCCTTAATTCCACCCGCCAATTCTAATGCTTACATGTTCCAGCCCCACTCCCGGCTCACACTCTTAGGCAGAAATTCATTGCTCCTGTAAATTAAGTAATAATTAATACCGCTAATGAGAAATCTGGGAGTACAGGAGGTGATTTTAAAAAATGCTCGTATTTCCTTTGATTAGAGTAGCAATTGTTAGGGATACATGAGCCAGATTTGGTTTTATGTAAAAAAAATCTTTCAGTTGATGAGTTCTTGTTTAAATTGTATTGCTGTGGCAATTTCTTATTGTAATAATATGTAGGAGAATTTCTAATTTGAATCCCTTTATTTACAGAAAGCTCACTGTAAATTTGTAGGAATGTCATGGTACTACCCCATTAAGTTATTTTTATTAGTGTTTAGTTATTGATTCAGCAGTCTCTAATTGTGCCAAAAATGGTGCTTAGATTAGATTGCCATTGCTACCCATGGGAGCTGCTACTTAATTATTCCCACCTCAAATTCCCAGCTCTCAAGTTAGCACTACTCCTTTGCAATTTACTCCTTCTCTGCTCGTATAAATACCCTCAGATGATGATAGTTGGTGGCCACTATACCTTTGAAGAGGTTGCCCACTTCTACATGGAAAGGAAAAGATGGTTTTTTTTTTTAAAAGATGAATTTGATAATTAACTTGCCACTATTTCACCTTGTGATGAAACCTCAATTTTAAACATAGTGTTAATTGTTTTATTGTCCACAGAATTAAGGGTAAGTAATGTCATACAATTTTTGTCTTTAGTCTTTTAGTATGGTTTCTTTAACTTCTATTGAGCTTCTGTTGCAGATATTGGACATGGGCGTATCTTCTAACGATGTCGTCACCATTAGTATATTCTTCCTGCTAAAAATAAATATCAAACCCTGAAGCCTGTATTGTCTCATGTTTTTGAAAATTGAAGAGAAGACTGTAACTTTATTCTGCTTTATACTTTCTCACTTATGATGATGGTCATTTGTCACTGTTTACAAAAACAGAATTTATATTTGAAGTGTAACTGTAGAAAATAGATCAGATGCCACTCCCCACAACCCCCTTTTCCCCCAGTGCCTTCCAGCCACATTTCATAGTTGACAGTCATAGATTATGAGGCTGATGATAATAATAATGTTAACATTCATGTGTCAGGTACTATTCTAGGCACTTCACATAAGCAACTCATTTAATCTTACACAGCAGGATGTATTATCCACATTTGATAGATACAGAACTGAGGCACAGGAAGATTAAGTAACTTGCCTAAGGTCACAAAGAGCTAGTGAGTTGTTTGGAACGCAGAGAATCTGCCTCCAGAGCCAGTGCACTTCATCAAAAAGACACATTGCTTCCTGTTTTTACTTAAATCTAAGATTAAAGCAAATGCTAAAGTCCTATTTTTTCCAACTTTTTCTGCTCCCTCTCTTCTCAGAGGTAATCACTGTCTTGAAATAAAGCCTTCTAGGAACTTTTTTTGTTGTTCTTCTGCATAACTGGATTTTATATTATAAAGAAGAAATCACCTCAATTATGTTCAGCTGTTTTTTAACAAGTAAATACTCTTTACAAGTACAGAAATAAACTTGAAAGTTATTCCACAGAACTCTTTGTAAATTATCACTTAGAACTATGTTATTCCTTTGTAGAAGATGTGGAAATGATTTGAGATATTTAGACTTTTTTGTACCAAGTAGGTGGCATCACTTTGAAGTTGAGACTGAGAGGTGAAGATTTATGTTTTCTGAATCAGCTGTGATACTATCAAGTAATTTTCATCTATTGTGTATCTTTGAACATTAACAGTGGTTGACCAGATACTGATGTGTCATTTGTTGCTGCATTTTTGATAATGGAACATAAATTTAAAGTATCAGTTCGGGAATTGGCCATTTCATATTTCTTAAGGAAGCCATTATTAAAGCATGTGTAATGAATGAAAACATGAAGTGGTTTAAAATTTGTGTTTTAAGACAATCATTATTTTTGAAACTTCTGACTATAGTTGGTTACTAAGCAGAAGCAGATAACTGTTGGGCCGGGTGTGGTGGTTCACGCCTGTAATCTCAGCACTTTGGGAAGCTGAGCTGGGTGAATCACTTGAGGTCAGGAGTTCAAGACCAGCCTGGCTGACATGGTGAAACCCCATCTCTACTTAAAAAAAAAAAAAAAAAAAAATTAACCAGGTGTGGTGGTGGGTGCCTGTAGTCCCAGCTACTTGGGAGGCTGAGGCAGCAGGATCACTTGAACCTGGGAGGTGGAGGTTGCAGTGAGCTGAGATCACACCACTGCCCTCCAGACTGGGCGACAGACCGAGACTCCATCACGCGCGTGCGCGTGCACACACACACACGAGATAACTGTTAAAATAGACTATTAATAACTTTAGTTTACATTTATAATATTTAGGGATTGCTATAGGAATCATTTTACCATTATGAAGTTGAAAGTATTGCATAAACTGTTTTTCAGTTAGCTTATTATCTTGGAAGGCATACATGAATAGGAGAATTAAAATGACATTTTGACTTTGACATTGTTTCCTAGTACATACAAAAGTTATGTTTACAACTTTACTGTTGTCTAAGTATTACAATTACACTTTACTGTTGTCTAAGCATTAGGATTACATATAAAATTACATATAAAAAATGTACGTATCTTAGTTAAAAATGCTTCATTGCTAAAAAAGACTAATCATCTGAGCCTTCTGTTAGTCATAGTCTTTGCTGGTGGAGGGTCTTGCCTTGATATTGATGGCTGTTGACTGATTAGGGTGGTGATTGCTGAAGGATGTGGCTATGGCAGTTTATTAACACAGTGATAAAGTTTGCTGCATCAGTTGACTTCTTTCTTGAAAGATTTCTCTGTAGGATGCAGTACATTTGATAGCATTTTGCCTACAGCAGAACTGCTTTCAAAATTAGAAGCAATTTTCTCAAGCCCTGCTACTGCTTTATCAAGTAAATCCTTTGTTGTCATTTCATCTCCACTGGGAGTAGATTCCATCTCAGGAAACCACTTTATTTGCCCATCCATAAGAAGCAACTCCTCACCAACAAGTTTTATGAGATTGGAGCAGTTCAGTCACATCTTCAGGCTCCACTTCTGTGTCTCGTTCTCTTGCTATTTGCAGCAGATCTACAGTTATTTTCACCACTGAAGTCTTGAACCCCACAAAGTCAGCCATGAGAATTGGAGTAAACTTCTTCCAAACTCCTGTTAATGTTGATATTTTATCTCCTCCCATGAATCATGAATGTTTTTAATGCCATCTAGAATTGTGAATCATTTTCTGAAAGTTTTCAGTTACTTTGCCGATATTCATCACAGGAATGACTATGGCAGCTATATAGCCTTACGAAATGTATTTCTTAAATAGTGAGACTTGAATGTCAAAATTGCTCTTTTATCTATAAGTGGCAGAACACGTGTTAGCAGGCATGAACACTAGTCACATTGTACATCTTCATCAGAGCTCTTGGGTGACCAGGTATGTTGTCAATAGTAATTTTTTATTATTGTTATTTTGGAGACAGTCTCTTGTTCTGTCACCCAGGCTGGAGTAGTCATGCAATCACAGCTCACTGTAACCTCGAACTCATGAGTACAAGTTATCTTCCTGCTTCAGCTTCCAAAGTAGCTAGGACTGCAGGTGTGTGCCACCATGCCTGGCTAATTTTTAAATGTTTTGTAAAGAAGAGTTCTTGCTGTGTTGCCCAGGCTAGTCTTGAACTCTTGGGTCAAGCAGTCCTCCCACCTGGGCCTCCCAAAGTGCTGTGACTACAGGTGGGAATCACTACATCTGGCCAATAGTAATATTTTGCAGGTCTCAACAGTTGGCTTAAAATACTCAGTAAACTATGCTGTAAATAGATGTATTGTCATCTATACTTGTTTCTTTTATAGAGCACAGGCAGAGTAAATTTAGCATAATTCTTAAGGACTCTAGAATTATTCAGAATGGTAAATGAACATTGGCCTCTACTTAAAGTCGTCAGCTACTTTAGCTCCTAATGAGGGCCAGCTTGTTTGTTGAAGCTTTGAAGGCAGGCATTTATTTCTCTCTAGCTATGAAAGTCCCAGGTGGCATCTTCTTCCAGTACCAGGCTCTTTTTTCTACATGGAAAATCTGTTGTTTAGTGTAGCCACCGTCATCAACGACCTTAGCTAGAGCCTCTGGGTAACTTGCTGCAGTTCTTAGTTCAGCCCTTGCTGCTTCACTCTGCACTTCGAAGTTACGGAGACAGCTTCTTTCCATAAACCAACCTCTGCTACTTTCAAACTTTGCTTCTGTAGCTTCTTTACCTCCCTCAGGCTTCATAGAATTGAAGAGCGTTTGGGCCTTGCTGTGGATTAATTAGGCTTTAGTTTAAGGGAATGTGGCTGGTTTGATCTTCTATCCAGACTACTGAAACTTCCTACATATCACCAGTAAGGCTGTTTAGCTTTCTTCTTTGTGTGTACACTAGAGTAGCCCCCCACCTTTTTTTGAGATATTGTGTCACTCTTGTCCAGGCTTGAGTGCAGTGGCTTGATCACGGCTCACTGCAACTTCAACCTCCTGGGCTCTAGCAATCCTTCCACTTCAGCCTCCTGAGTAGCTGGAAGTAGAGGCATGTGATACCATGCCTGGCTAATTTTAAAATTTTTTTGTAGAGACAGGGTCTCACTATGTTGCCCAAGCTGGTCTTGACCTTCTGGACTCAAAACAGTCCTCCTGCCTCAGCCTCCCAAAGTGCTAAGATTACAGGCATGAGCCACCACACCAGGCCTGGAGTGGCGATTTTAGTTTCCTTCGAGAACTTTGCCTTTGCATTCACAGCTTGGCTAATTGGTGCAAGTGGCCTAACTTTTGGCCTGTTTTGGCTTTTGACATGCCTTCCTCACTAAACTTCATCACTTCTAGCTTTTGATTTAAAGTGAGAGACCTATGATTCTTTCTTTCACTTGAACATTTAGAGGCCATGGTAGGATTCTTAATTGGCCCAATTCCAATGTTGTGTCTCAGCAAATAGGGAGGGAGAGACAGGGACAGCCAGTCAGTGGAGCAGTGAGAACACAATGTGTGTGGATTAAGTTTGCTGTCTTAAATCACTGATCACAGATTACCATAATGCATAAGAATAGTGAAGTTTGAAATAGCACAAGAAATACCAAAATTTGACAGACACTTAAGTGAGCACATGCTGTTGGGAAAATGGTACCTCTAGACTTGTTTGGTGCCGGGTTGCCACAAACTCAGCTTATAAGAAAACACAGTATCTTGAAAGTGTATTAAAATGAAGCATGATAAAACGAGGTATGGCTGTATTTGATTTAAATTTAGAATTTGGTAAGATGCAGCTCTGTGGATGTTTCAAAGAAGCATGTGACTAGTTTCTTAATTTATATTTTTGAGGTCTAAATATTGTCCTAAAATATTTTATGTTTAACTGAGTTTTTTCAGGAATCGTGTAATCTTTTAGTTGTTGATAATACAAGTAATTATTTCCATCAAAGGGAAAAAGTTACTTAAGCAAAAGACTTAGCCCTGTTTATGGGCTCTGCATTTTCTGTCCTTTCTTTTTCATGTAATACATTATATGCATCTTACATGTCATTGTTTTCCTTTTAATATATGGATGTATGATAATTTATTTAACTGCTCTGTTCTCTGTTACTTTTTTTTTTTTAAATAGACAGGATCTCACTTTGTCATCCACACTGGAGTACAGTGGCAAGATCATAGCTCACTGTAACCTCACACACCTCCTGCCTCAGCCTCCCAAGTAGCTAGGACTACAAGTGTACCTCACAATGCCTGGCCAATTTTTTATTTTTTTGCAGAGATGAGGTTTTGCTGTGTTGCTCAGACTATTTATTTTTATTGCTTTTCTATTCTTAACAGAATTTCAGAGAACATCTCTTCAGTTAACTTTTCACTCACATATTGATCCGTTAATAATTCTGATAAATTTCTAAAGATGAAATTGCTGATTCATGTTAAAGACTTGATCCTGTTAACCAGTCTTATTGCCTTCTTTGATGATTTCTGAATATTATCTATAAGCCTTCTGTCCAAGGCCATTCATTTTCTCCAGAGGAAAACACACCAGATTTGCTGGTTAGATAACATAGGACATCTGTTTTTTGAACAGTGCTTTTACCTCTTAGCACTGTGATTTGGGTCCCTAGATGCGCACACTCTTTTGCTGAGCTTCTTATCTTCCATCTTTTAGTTATATGGGATAAGGGTTTTACCAGATTCGTGTAGAGTTTTAGTTGATCCTTCTTGTCAACCTTAAGACTTATCATTACATATTAAGGAGACTGGTACTGCAAAGTCCGGAACATATCCAGAATTCCTCAGGATGAATTACATTACTTTCGGTCATTATTTCCTGTTGCAGCTGTCCTCATCTTCCAACAGGTTCGTCCTTTCCATTCCTTTCCTTCCCCTTCCATTCTTTCAGATGGAGTCTCACTCTCTCACCCAGGCTGGACTGCAGTGGCGTGATCTCAGCTCGCTGCAACCTCTGCCTCCTGGGTTCAAGCAGTTCTCCTGCCTCAGCCTCCTGAGTAGCTGGGATTACAGGTGCGCGCCATCACGGCTGTCTAATTTTTGTGTTTTTAGTAGAGACAGGGTTTTGCCATGTTGGCCAGGCTTGTCTCAAACTCCTGACCTCAGGTGACCCGCTCACCTCGGTCCCCCAGAGTGCTGAGATTACAGGCGTGAGCCACCACACCCGGCCGTCCAACAGGTTCTTGACATTGGTATGCTGTGGTCCACTTTCCTCTGTGCTTGTGGATTTCTGCCTGTGTAAATTGCTTTATTATTTTAGTGACTTATTGGGAGGGAGCAGATAAACATGAGTTTGCTCTATCATATAAATGGAAGACTTTTTATGTCTTAATTAAGTAGAACTGTAACATACATGTTTCATAACTGCTGCCAAACCACCCCTGTCTAAGTGGTTGTCATGTACTACCTGGCTTATAAGATGATCTTCTGCTCCCTCTCATATCTCCCTACATCATTGCAACCATATGGATCTTTTAAGAAATCAGATCCCATCACACTCCTCTTTAGAAACTCATCAATGGGCCAGGCGCGGTGGCTCATGCCTGTAATCCCAGCACTTTGGGAGGCTGAGGCGGGTGGATGACGAGGTCAGGAGATCGAGACCATCCCAGCTAACACGGTGAAACCCCATCTCTACTAAAAATATAAAAAATTAGCCAGGCGTGGTGGTGGGCTCCTGTAGTCCCGGCTGCTCGGGAGACTGAGGCAGGAGAATGGCGTGAACCCGGGAGGTGGAGCTTGCAGTGAGCCAAGATCACGCCACTGCACTCCAGCCTGGGCGACAGAGCGAGACTCTGTCTCCAAAAAAAAAAAAAAAAAAAAAATCAATGGTCCCCATTACACTTTTGGATCTTATTTTGAACTCAGACACCATTTAACCTCATCTTGTATCATCTTGGCTTGCATTTTGTTTTTCAGGTATATCAAGCATGTTCTAAAATCAGAGCTTTTTGCTTTGCTGATTGTTAACAGAGAGGGACTGGAATGCTCTTGCCTCCTGCTCTTTCCTTAGCTGGTTCCTTTTCCACTCAGGTTTATATTCCTATGTCAAGTCTTCAGAGAGTCCTACATCCTTTTCTTTTGGTCCCATCTACTCATTCCTCTGGCCCCCTCTTCCCAACTGTATTACATTGTCATTTTGGTTTTTGTTTTTCTTCCATATTCTTTCTATTAATACTTTATATACTTAGTTTTCATGTGCACCTGCCACTAGGATGTGAGTTTCATGAGATGAACCTTGTTTTGTTTTTCATATTTATTACCATGCCCTCAATGCTTAGAGTAGTTTCTGTCTCCTGGTAGGCACTCAGGTGTTTGTGTTAAGTAAATGAATGCCATTAGAAATGTAACTTGGGGCTGGGAGCGGTGGCTCACGCCTGTAATCCTAGCACTTTGGGAGGCCGAGGCGGGTGGATCACGAGGTCAGGACATCGAGACCATCCTGGCTATCACGGTGAAACCCCGTCTCTACTAAAAATAGAAAAAATTAGTTGGGCGTGGTGGCGGGCGCCTGTAGTCCCAGCCACTCGGGAGTGTGAGGCAGGAGAATGGCGTGAACCCAGGAGGCAGAGCTTGCAGTGAGCCGAGATTGCGCCACTGCACTCCAGCCTGGGCGACAGAGCGAGACTCCTTCTTTAAAAAAAAAAAAAAAAAGTGTAACTTGGAAGAGGTATATATTTAAAATTGGTAACTTACTTGTAGCTAAATCAGAAAAGAATGATACTTTAATAAATAAAAATGATTGAAAGACACTTGAGGATTTTGAATAAAATTATATCCAACATAATTGGTTAAATCATTTTAGCAGAGTCCAGTACTTAAAAAGTCTTAAGTGGGCTGTGTGTTCAAGGCATGCAGTTTGTAGAGCTGCAGTTGAGCATTTTGAACAAAGGAGTAAATTATCGTCTTGAAATTGTAAAATTATTTTACCAGCTTGCATTTTTTCCCCTTCTGTAGGAGAATAACACTAACAATATGTGAGAATAACGTGAATAAGAAATGAACAGTAGTAATCCTTAGCATTGTATAAGTACTGAATTTGTAAAGAGTAATAGTGCCATCTAGTGGAAGAGCGGGAGCTACAGATGAAACCAGAGTCCTTAAGCCAGTGTTCATTCTTTTACGTTAAAGTATGTAACAGAGAGGAATTTACACTCTATTGCCCTTTGTGCCTGTTCACTCATTCATGGAATGGAAATGTAATATCAATACTAATGCTAATTACTGTCAAGAGAGGCATTCATAGAACTCTGATGGTTAAAACAATGATGCATATAGGCAGTTACGCTTTCTTGAGACGAAGTCCTTAATAAACTGCTAACAAAGATTACATTTTGTTGTTACTGTATCAGTTCTTAGAAGTGAGATGAGATTGAAAAGTAGTTTGGAGCCACATTGTGGAGGGCACTTGAATGTCAGGCCCAGTAGAGGTTGATAACAGGCCAAAGGGAAGAAAGGAGTGGTGGTGTTGGCAGTGTCTGAAAATGGTTATAGTTGTTGAGTGGATTAGATTGGAGAGAGATTAGCAGTAGGGAGACCAGATGCAACTTAATTAGAAAAATGTGCTCAGCAGTAAAAGCCTGAACTACAGTGGGTGGTAGCAGTGAAGTGTGTGTGTGTGTGTTTTGAGACAAGGTCTCACTCTGTTACCCAGGTTGGAGCTCAGTGGCACAATCATGACTGACTGCACCCTCGACCTCCCAGGGCTCAGGTGATCAGCCTCCCGAGTAGCTGGGACTACAGGCGAGTGCCACGACTCCCGACTAATTTTTGTGCTTTTTGTAGAGACAGTGTTTCACCGTGTTGCCCAGGCTGGTCTCGAACTGCTGGGCTCAGGTAGGTGATCCACCTGCCCTCGCCTCCCAGAGTGTTGGGATTACAGGTGTGAGCCACTGCACCTGGCAGTTTTTTTTTTTATTGCAAAAGTAGTACATGCTTATCATAGTTGAAAAACCATTGATAAGCACATGCAGATACCATCCAAAATTTTTATCACCCATTGAATACCTTTTGGCAAGATTTAGAAGGATAGAATCAGACTGTACATGTCATTTTATATAGTGTCTTTTTGCACATTTACTATAAAAATTTTCATGTGATTATAAATCTCATTTAATAGCTAAATTACATTGTTCTATGGAAGTAGTATTTGTTTAGCCAGCTAACTGTTTAGCGTTTATATTTCTTCCAGTTCCTTGCTATTGAAGAACAGTGCTTTAAATCACCTTTTGGCATTTATGTTACTTCCAGTTTGATACTGAAAACATTGCTCTGAATCACCCTTCAACTAAGTTTTGGCTTATCTGTGATAGTCTTCTCATAAATTCCTAGAAGTAAAATAATTTAAAAAAAGCAAAAGGAGATATGGTTTTCATGCTTGAGTTAGTTACAGTTTTAACAAAACAGGCCGGGCGCGGTGGCTCATGCCTGTAATCCCAGCACTATGGGAAGCCGAGGCGGGCGGATCATCTGAGGTCAGGAGTTCAAGACCAGCCTGACCAACATGGAGAAACCCTGTTTCTACTAAAAATACAAAAATTAGCTGGGTGTAGTGGCAGGCAACTGTAATCCTAGCTGCTCGGGAGGCTAAGACAGGAGAATCGCTTGAACCCAGTAGGTGGAGGTTGCGGTGAGCCAAGATTGTGCCATTGCACTCCAGCCTGGGCAACGAGAGTGAAACTCTGCCTCAAAAAAAAGAAAAAAGAAAAGATATTCTTTGTAATGACATGGGGTTGTGGAAATGGGAACTCTTAACATATTGTTGATGTAAATTCATTTGGTCCACTCTGTGGAGGACAGTTTGGTAATAAGTATCAGAAGCATTTATTTTACATAGTTTTTTTCTCTTTGCCTTTTATCAGATTACTTAAATGTATGTAGTGATTGAAAGTAACTAGTAGACCAAATTCTGGGTGCACAGGGATGGTATAGTTTTATTTTACTGTTTTAAAAAACTTCAGGTAAAATACACATAAAATTTGCCATATTAAGCATTTTTAAATGTATATAGGTCACTAGTGTTAACTATATTCACATGATTTTGCACCTTATTTCTAGAACTCTTCATATTGCAGAACTGAAACTCTGTACCTACCCATTCAACAATTTCTCATTTCCGCCTTCACCCAGCCACCAATTTTTCTTTCAGTCTCTGAATTTGGCTATTCCGGATACCTTATATAAGGGAAAGCATACAGTATTCTCTTTTTGTGACTGGCTTATTTCTTTAGCATAATGCCCTCTAGGTTCATCCAATTTGTAGTACATGTCAGAATTTCCTTCCTTTTTAAGGCCGAATAGTAATCCATTGAATGTATACACTGCATGTTTTCATTTGTCCATGGCTGTATACTTGGGTTGCTTCCACCTCTTGGCTATTGTGAATAATGCTGCTATGGACTGTTGGTGTACAAATAATATCTTTGAGGCCGGGCATGGTGGCTCACGCCTGTAATCCCAGTACTTTGTGGGTGGATTATTTTATGTCGGGAGTTTGAGACCAGCCTGGCCAACATGGTGAAACCCTGCTTCTACTAAAAATACAAAAATTAGCCGGACGTGGTGGCTGGCACCTGTAGTCCCAGCTATTTGAGAGGCTGAGGCAGGAGAATCACTTGAACCCGGGAGGCTGAGGTTGCAGTGAGCGGAGATCACGCCACTGCACTCTAGCCTGGGCGACAGAGTGGGACTCTGTCTCAAAAAAAAAAAAAAAAAGTATGTGAATGTGTGTGTGTGTGTGTGTGTGTGTGTGTGTATATATGTGTATATATGTGTGTGTGTGTGTGTGTGTGTGTGTATGTGAGACCCTACTTTCAACTTGTTGGGGGCATTTACTGAGAGGTTGAATTGCTAGATTATACATTAATTCTATTTTCAAATTTTCTTGAGAACTGACATACTGGTTTCCATAGTGCTACAACATTTTGCATTCCCACCAACAGAGCACGAGGGTTCCATTTTCTCCACATCCTCACCAACATTTGGTGTTTTCTGTCTTTGTTGATAGTAGCTATCCTAATGTATATTAGGTAGTATCTCATTGTGGTTTTGATTTGCGTTTCCCTAATAATTAATGATATTGAACACCTTTTTCATATGCTTATGGCCATTTGTTTAGCTTTGGAGAAATGTCTATTCAAGTCCTTTGCCTATTTTATTTTTATTTATTTATTTATTTATTTTCTTGAGACGGAGTCTCGCTTTGTTGCCCAGGCTGGAGTGCCGTGGCGCGATCTCGGCTCACTGCAAGCTCTGCCTCCCAGGTTCACGCCATTCTCCTGCCTCAGCCTCCCGAGTAGCTGGGACTATAGGCGCCCGCCACCACACCCGGCTAATTGTTTTTTGTATTTTTAGTAGAGACGGGGTTTCACCGTGTGTTAGCCAGGATGGTCTCGATCTCCTGACCTCGTGATCCGCCTGCCTTGGCCTTCCAAAGTGCTGGGATTACAGGCGTGAGCCATGGCGCCCAGCCTTGCCTATTTTAAAATCAGGTTGTTTTCTGTTGTAAGTGATGGTGTCATTTTAGGTTGATGATATTTGTTATAGTCGGGAACTAGAAAGAATTTGGAGACCATCTAACTGACTTTTTACTGGAAATGATTCTGGAATATTTCCTGAAAGATGAGATAGTTTAGCCAGCTTCCGCTTGGAAGTTTCTGGTGTAAAGGGAACATACTGTTTTGAGAGTAGTCTGTTCTATCTTCTGGACAATTGCTAGAAATTTATATGCTTTTTTATTTGTTTATTTTTAATATTTATGACACATGCTGGCAGTAATAGAAATTTATAAGCTTTTTAAAGAAATTAGCAAAAAATATTTGTCCAAATACATATATTCTTTTATATATGTATGTGTATGTAGGTGTGTGTATATTTATATACTCACACTGTGGAGAAAATGTGGAGTACCAAAAATCACAGGAAGATAATAAAAACCACAAATACTGAAAATGCATGACTTGAAACAATATCCCATTATCTGAGTTTCTCTCAGACTCCTTCCTTATGGTTTTTTATGGACCTGTTTTGTTTATAGGATTCTAGATAGATCATTTTGTTGGTGTTTAAGAAATTTTATTTTTGAAACGTTTTACTGTTTCATTATCGTTATTCATGCATTATTTCTCACATAAAATTTTACTTGATTCATGTGTCAGAAATGTAAAAAAACTTTTTTTTACTTGTAAAGATATTCCAGAAAAAAGAAAAATTACATTTTAATATTTTAAAATAAAGGATAAAAATAAAGATGTCATGAAGAGCAACAAAAATGGCGCAGGTCTTTGCATGTCTGAGAGTGGCTCTCCTTCCTGTTCACCCGTGGACAACAGCTTCACTGAATATCTTTTTGTCTTTTGGCCTAGATATTGTATTTTTTTCCTTTATCCTAAACTGACTAGCACCTATCTCGGATATTGGTCTTTCATTAATTTTGCTTGATATTTGATGTGCCCTTATATTGGGAAGACCCAAGTTGTCTTTTATTTTTGCTTCTCAGTTTATAGTTTTTTTCTTAAATCTTATTATAGGTATATTGAATGTTCTGAATCTTCACGCTGCTCATCTTTTGTTTTGCCTCACTTTTCTCATTTTCCTTCACTATTTCCTATGGTTTTGTTGTTGCCATTTTTTGTTATACTAATTCTTCCTTACTGCATGAGAACTCTGCTTGTCTAATGTTGGGAACTTAGATTTTTTTGTCAGATTTTTGTGGTCTCTGTTGAAGAAAGGGATTTATCATTGTGTTTGCTTGGCTAGTTCACAGATTGTACAACTCAGGTCAAGTCAAGAAGGAATCAGGAGTTGTAGATGTTAGTGCCAGAATTTGCTGAGTCAGCCCAGATCTGACTGGGACCTTGCCTCTATTTTTGCCAGCACACCAACCCCGCCATCCAATTATTCTGGTATTGTACTCCCTGAATCCTCCCTGTACCTCTGGAAACCACAGCAGTCACAGCTGTCCTTGTTAAAATGATTTGGAGTGATGACTAAAATATTCACACCTTCAGAGTTTGGCAAAGTCTTGTAGGAATGTTCGGACCTATATAATGTAAATGCAAAATACTGTTTAATTAGCCTACTAATAAACATTAATGAATTTTTACATCTTTAATTATTCTTTTGAATAGAGACTATTTAAACAAACTTCAGTAAATGCAGTAGTCCCCTGCTTATCCTCAGGGCATGTTTTCCAAGACCCATAGTGAATGCCTGAAACTTCTGGTGGTACTGAACCTTATACACTGTATATATTCATGTGTCACTTAACGATGGGATACATTCTGAGAAGTGCATAGTTAGGCATTTTTTCATTGTGTGAACATTGTAGCATGCACTTACACAAACCTAGATGGTATACCTACTACCCACTGAGGCTTTATGGTATAGCCTATTGCTTCTAGGCTACAAACCTCTATAGCATGTTACTGTTGTGAATACTGTAGGCAGTTGTAATACACTGGTAAGTATTTGTGTATCTAATAATGCCTTCTGGTATACCTCTTGAAGGCCCTGAGGCCATTTTACAGTTAACTTTTTTTTATAGAGTATATTCTAACAATAAAAAGTGTAGTAAATACATAAACCGGTAACGAAGTCATTTATTTTCATTATCAAATATTATATACTGTACATAATTGTACTGTACTTTTATACAACTGGTAGCATGGCTGTCACCACAAACACATGAGTAATGCATTGTGCTATGATGTTAGGATGGCTACACTAGGCAATAGGAATGGTCACTAGGTGATAGGAATTTTTCAGCTTCATTATAGTCTTACAGGACCACTGTTGTATATGCAGTCCATTGTTGGCCAAAATGTAATGCAGTGTATGACTGTACTCTTGTTTCTATACAGTCACATTGTATGGGGGTGGTAACATATACAACATGCTGGATTAAGGGATGATTTTTGTCCTGGGTGGAATGGACAAAAAGATGTAATTATGTAAGATGTAATTACGCTACTCAGAACAACATGCAATTTAAAACTTAGGAACTGTTTATTTCTAGAACTTTTCATGTAATAGTTTTGGACCAAGATTGATCTTAGGTAACTGAAATCATGGAAGGTGAAATTGTAGACAAGGGTGGACTCTTACAAAATCTTTACTGTGGCATAAATAGTTTATGACATTTATTTTTGCTGCATATAAGCTATTATTTTACTTATAGGCCCTGAGCTTTTTTGTTTGTGGAAGGTGCACATTTTTGGCATTGGCATTTTTTGCTTGTGTTAATTTTGGGACTATCTCAAACCTCTCTTTTTTAACATCTGCCATTGTTAATGTTGGAGATGTTCATCAGGTTCTTATATAATTAGTTTTTAAAATATATGTATCTTTTTTATCTTGCTGAATCAATGTTTTAGCTTGTCGAGTTTTTAAAAAACTTGACTTTTGTCATTTCTTATTTTGGCTCTGTTGGCTTTGTTTCTTCTGCTGATTTCTTAAGAATATATTTTAATTATAGAAAAAAATAAAATATTTTTACATGTTGAAGATATAAGGCCAGAAAAGAGGACAGTGGTTATTAACTTTTCCTGGTTGACTTTGGTCTTAAATTAGTTAACATTTGGATGGGCAGATTAGCTTTGTAGTGAAGAGTGGGGACTCTGGAGCAGTATTACCTAAGTTTCAGTCCTGCTTCACCACTTACTAGCTCTGTGACATTGGACAACACATTTGGCCTCTGTTTCCTTGTCTGTAAAATAGGGATAATAATTGTACCGACTTTATGTGGTTATTATGGGATTTAAGTGAGTTGGGTGCTTAAAACTGCCACACATACAGTAAATACCTCAGAGGTTTTAGCCCCCAACAAAAAAAACTTGGAGATTTTCTAGCTAGCATATCTCTAGCGTTTAACCAGTGAAATTATGTAGTTTTATGGGGATATTCTTGAGTTTTCAGATGTCTGTAGTATTTTTATGTCTATAGCGCAGTGGTCCTCCCAAAGAGGAAGTGTTTGTTTTGCTAGTTAAATCTTAGTATCTCAGTGATTGCAACTGGGTTCCCAAGTTTTAAACAATATGTTGAATCAGTTTTTTGAGATTCTGGCTTATCTGAGTCAAGCCTACTTGTCTGCTGTTTATGAAATCTATCTCCTTTCAACTGGAGGTAATAAAGTATTTGCTGTTTACCCTTTTGGCACTTCTTCATGATTTCTTGGAAGTAGTTGTTTCAGAAATCAAGTTGGTGCGAAGTGTTTTCTCCTCCCCATATTCCCCCACCTGCCAGTATTCTCAAATATGATTGATGAAGTTAGGACACTTGGATACAATTAAAGTGGTGTTTGTGCCATTTCCTTGCCTGATTTAGATTTTCACTCTCTTTTGTAGAGAAAACAAAAGACATTGATGTCCTACCCTTAACTTCTATTTTAAGGTGTTAGACTGAGTTGCAGCTTTTGTTTTGTTTTGTTTTTTTTGAGACAGGGTCTCATTCTGTTTGTTGCCCAGGCTGGAGTGCAGTGGCACGATCATAGCTCACTGAAATTTTGAGCTCCTGGGCTCAAGCAATCCTCCCACCTCAGCTTCCCAAGAAGCTAGAACTACAGGCACACACTACCACACCTGACTGATCTTTTTTTTATTTTTATTTTTATTTTTTATTTTTTTTATAGAGACAAGGTCTTGCTGTGTTGCCCAGGCCTGTCTTGAATTCCTGGGCTCAAGCGATCCACCTGCCTTGGCCTCACAAAGGTGCTGGCATTACAGGTGTGTGCCACCAGGTCTGACCATCTTCAGCTTTTCCTAGAATTTATAGAAAAGAGAATATATGTTAGAATATAATAAAGAATTACATAAAACAGTATATTCTGTCCTTATATTAAATAACTAACATATCATACCATATTATATAGTATACAAAATTCATATATTACAAAGATGTATGTAAATATATCTTACATACTACATTACATGTCTGTTGATGGCAAAGATAGATATAATGAAGGGAGAGAAATGAAATGGAGACGGGAATGAAATGGGGGAGAGACAGATGAAATGCAGGGGTTGAGAGGGTGCACTGTGGAGTTACAGAGCTGCACTGTTCACTAGGCAGCCACCAGCCACATGTGCTGTTTAACTTAATCAAAATTAAATAAGAATTAAAATCCAGTTTCTCAGTAGCAGTAGGCACATTTGAAGTGCTCACTAGCCACGTGTGGCTGTTAGCTACCATGTTGGGTAATGCAGATAAAGAACATTTCCATTGTCACAGTAAGTTCTATTCATAATGGTTGATAAAGATTGCCAAAAAGATAAGTATTGATGAAGTAAATAGAGACATAGGAAATGAAGAAATTGTATATGTAATATCTCTGCCCTAATAAGAGAAGAAATGCTGTGGGTGCCCCAGAATAGGCAGTATTCACAGAAGATGGAACAGTGACAGGATTGAGTTAAAGATTTCACATCCTAGCATGTACTGTTGTAAAGGTGGAAGCATTCACACAAACGTTCCATGTCAGAAGTGAGACACCTAGAAGCAGGAGGTTGGAACAACACACAGTGACTCCATTGCAGTGGAATGGCGGGTAAACCCCTCCATATCCTCCTTTCTTGGGCCAGGTAGCAATGTGAGGAGTCTGCCTGTGTTGGAGCTTGGAACGGGGGAAAAGGGCAGTATCTTCTCCAGGCTGATGAGGGCCAGGAGTGATTGAGATAATCAATATGGAAAACCAGTTGCTGGGATAATCCATGTTGAATCTTTTCCATCCTACTGACGGCCCAAGTAGGTTATTCATACAGTCTGTACTTTAAGTAAAGGTGGTTGAACCACTAAGCATTTTTGGAAAGACAATACATAAGAAAGAAAGCTCAAAGGGAAGAACTTCCCCTAGGAAATAGTTAATACAAAAAAAAAATTATAGTAATGTGAAATAACTGCTGAAAATGCCTGAATATCTAGAGTTTCCTCTCCCTACTCCCATACCCAGTTAGTGTCCATCAGAAAACAGGGTGTCCTTACAGCCGTGTGCTGAGAGTATCTTCACTTCTTATCAGCAAAGTAATGTTTGGGAATTCTAGGCAGGTAAGCAGGGAAACAACATAAGTAACAGAGTCAAAACCATAATGGCTGTGAAATGAGAGGAGAGTGGAACAAGTGAGATATTTTGTGAGATTTTGGAAAACTGAAATTGTGCTGATGTGGTTTAAACTTGATGTAGTAAGTGGTGCTCTACCATTGCACATAATGCATTCCTAAATATATATGAAAATGTCATACAAAATTTCAGCATCAAATGGGTATAAAAACATACAGAATTTCAGTATATCAAAATTGATATACCATGAGGGGCAGTTATTTTTTTCCTAGAGAGATTTTTAAAGATATATATATATACACACACAAGGTCTTGCTGTGTCGCCCAGGCTAGAGTGCGATGGTGCAATCATGGCTCACTGCAGCCTTGACATCCTAAGTTCAAGTGATCCTCACTACTCAGCCTCCTGAATAACTGGGACTACAGATGCATGCTACCATGCCTGGCTAATTTTTGTGCTTTCTGTAGAGGAGATCTTGTTGTGTTGCCCAGGCTGGTCTTGGACTCCTGGGCACAAGTGATCCTCTCACCTTGGCCTCCCAAAGTGCTAGGGTTACAGGTATAAGCTACTGCACACAGTCTAATTACAATTTTTAAAATTACAGTTATTGATGCTTTTTAAGCACCCAAGGAATAGTTTAAAATTAGTAAGATCTTAGGTAAATTATTAAAATACAGACAATGCCTTTTAAAAATGTAGCCTCTCCCAGCTAAATAGGAATAAGTAACTTTAGTAGTTAAGAGGAACTGGTCATCAAGTTGGGAAGTTTAGGTTATTTTTTGTTTTGATTTGTATTTTTCTAGAGATAGTCTTTCTATATTTCCCAGGCTGGTCTCAAACTCTTTGGACATAAGCAGTTGTGTCTCAGCCTCCTGGCTGAGACTATAAGCATGAGTCATGGCTCCTGGCAAATTTAGTTTTTATTTTTTATTTATTTTGAGATGGAGTCTCACTCTGTCGCCCAGGCTGTAGTGCAGTGGCGCGATCTCGGCTCACTGCAACCTCCACCTCCTGGGTTCAAGCGATTCTCCTGCCTCAGCCTCCCGAGTAGCTGGGACTACAGGTGCATGCCACCACGCCCGGCTAATTTTTGTATTTTTGGTAGAGATGGGGTTTCACCGTGTTGGCCAGGCTGGTCTTGATCTCTTGACCTCGTGATCCGCCCACCTCAGCCTCCCAAAGTGCTGGGATTTCAGGCATGAGCCACCGTGCCCGGCCAGAATTTAGTTTTTAGTAGATCGATCTGGAAATTATGATGTTGATTTTGGTGGTGATCTCATTTTTATCAACTTCCCTTAAATCTGTCAAGCAAAAATGTGTAACAGTTATATTCTTTTGCTTTTTTGTGAGATGTAAAGAAGCAGTGTCCTTCTCTGAATCCCTGCATTCCGATCACTGGAATCTTGATGCTAAATTCCAATTCTGAATCAGAAAATTCTCTTCTTTTCCTTTAGTATTGAACATACCGTGAGCCACCTGAATATTTGCCACTTAGCATGTCTGATATCTATCCTTGTTTCTTGTCACAAGTATCATCCACATTACAGACCCCGTTGTACAAAACTGAAATTCTGACTGTAACGCCATCATGGGATAGTTCTGACCTGCTTGCTAGTTGATATGTGAAAGCCTGAATTTTGCTTCAAAAAAGCCATTCAGGATTAACAGTGTATTGTGTAATAAAGTGGACTTTGTGTGAAAGTTGGAGATCCCTTGTAGATAATTCAGAACTACTGGAAGTTTCACAGTACACTTGTAAATGATGAAAGTGTTAAGAGTTTCCTTTGAGAGTAAAACACAGGGTGGCAAGGGAACAAAATCTGAAAGTAAAGAAAAGAAAAAAAAGACAGAAGAAAAACTAGGAAGAGTAAAGAAGACAGGAACACATAATACAGCTTTATTCATGCCTGCCAGAATGTTGTGTCCCCATCCAGAAGCAGGTGTCATATAGGCCAGATGACTCTTTTTCCTCGACTCTCTGTCTTAGAATGTATCATCTGTGGGAAGGAGGGGAGCATCTAGTTGTCTACTGCTAGTGAGCTAGGAGTTCTAGGATTGTCAGGTTCTAGGATTGTTAGGTTGGGCTTAGCCTGCTAGATTTTATTCTGTCTGTATTCCGGCATTGTTACCCCTTTCTGGCTAATCATCCAGCACCATTTCCCTCCATTTGAGGATTTATAGTCATAATTGGGCTGGGGGATGGGGGACTCCCTTTTTATCAGGTGATGCTGCCCTTGAAGCCTCCAATAGCTTATTAGTTTCAAGATTCTCAGAATTCTTAGGCCTCTCAAATTAAATTTTCCAGTACTACATAAAACATTTCTATACACTGCGGGGGTGAAAAACTACCACTCTCTATACCTAACTGAAACCTTGCTATGGCCAAGCACAGTGGCTCATGCCTGTAATGCCAACACTTTGGCATTCAGCCTTTGGGAGGCTGAAGTGGGAGGATAGCTTGAGCCCACGAGTTTGAGACCAGCCCTGGCAACATAGCGAGACCCTGTCTCTACATAATATTTTTTGAAAATTAGCTAGGCATGGTGGCACATGCCTGTAATCCCAGCTACTTGGGAGGCTGAGGTGGGAGGACTGCTTGAGCCTGGGAGGTTGGGAGTGCAGTGAGCCATGGTGACGCCACTGCACTCCAGATGGGCTGACCTGTCTCCAAAAAATAAAACCCTGCCATGGCACTTAAACTCCATTGTATGTGAGATGATACTCTAAAATTTAATCATAACATAATACTTATTTAGCATTAGCTCTGTGCCAAGACACTGTTCTAAGTACTTCTTCTATTTTCATTAATTCTGTGATTGTCATAGGTAGATGCTATTCTTACCTATTTTATAAATGAGAACAGTGAGGCACAGAAGTGTTAACATACTGTCTTTAAGGGAAATTTGAAAAAATACATTAAAACCATTTAAACAGCTCCTCACATTTTGATGTATTTCCTTTAGTCTTTAAAAAAAATCATAGATTAAAAATGTCATCGTAAACATAGTTGTAAAAAAAAGAAAAAAACACAGGTGTAGCCATGCTGTGTGTACAAAGTTAATTCCTGCTTGGATGTCTATCTTGGTTAGTCTCCAGTGAGTGATATATGGAGTAAAATCATGAACTGGTAATTGGGAGTTACGGGTTCTAGAAGTTACTCTATGAACTTGAATAAATTGTATACTATCAAGGCCATTTTTCATTTTCATGCTGTGGATTTCAAACTTAATGATTTATAAGACCTAGCTCTAAAATTCAGTGCCTTTAACTTTTTCCGTATTTCTGTCTCATAGTTGGATACTTCTGGGTACTTTAATTCAGCTTATAAAAGTGATATACAGAGTTTAAAATTTTCTTTCCTTGCCTCTTTTTCCTAAGAATTTTCCCATCATAAAACCAATACATAATTATTAGAGAAAATTTGGAAAATACTGAAAAATAGAAAAACTGCCCACAAATTTACAGCAATCAGTGAAAACCATTATTAAAATTTTCATATATTTTGTTTCATTATGTTTTCTTTTTTTGTTTTAAATAGTTGCAAATATGCAGTTTTTTTTTATTTTATTTTTTTTGAGACAGAGTCTCGCTCTGTTGCCCAGGCTGGAGTGCAGTGGCGCAATCTCAGCTCACTGCAAGCTCCACCTCCCGGGCTCACGCCATTCTCCTGCCTCAGGCTCTGGAGTAGCTGGGACTACAGGCGCCCGCCACCACGCCCAGAGAATTTTTTGTATTTTTAGCGGAGACGGGGTTTCACCGTGTTAGCCACAATGGTCTCGATCTCCTGACCTCGTGATCCACCCGCCTCGGCCTCCCAAAACGCTGGGATTACAGGCGTGAGCCACTGCGCCTGGCCATGCAGTTGTATTTTTTAAAAAGTCTCTGTGAAAGTGAGTTTCTTCAACTTAACATAGGTAGCCAGATTTATATTGTCTTCTATTTTTTAAATTTATTTTATTTCTTTACTTTTTTTGAGTCAGAGTCTCAATCTGTTGCCCAGGCTGAAGTGCAGTGGCAGGGTCTTGGCTCACTGCAACCTCTGCCTCCCAGGTTCAAGTGATTCTCCTGCCTCAGCCTCCTGAGTAGCTGGGATTACAAGTGTGTGCCACCGCGCCCAGCTAATTTCTGTATTTTTAGTAGAGACAGGGTTTCCCCATATTGGCCAGACTGGTATCTCTTTTCTTTCATTTCAAATAAGAGTGGAACTTTTTTTTTAAGGTCTGTTTATCTACATGGGGTTAAATAAGTTATACTTGTTGGACCTATTGAAAGAACTAGGCCTACATAACAAATGGAGCAGTGGGTTACCGAAAAGAATACTGAGGCTGGGCGCCGGCTCATGCCTGTAATCCCAGCACTTTGGGAAGCCGAGGTGGGAGGATTGCTTGAGACCAGGAGTTCAAAACCAGCCTGGGCAACATAGCAAGACCTTGTCTCTACAAGAAATACAAAAATTAGTTGGGTGTGGTGGTGTGCGCCTGTAGTCCTAGCTACTCGGGAGGCAGAGGTGGGAGGATCATTTGAGCGCAGGAGGCAGAGGTTGTAGTAAGCTGATACTGCACCACTGCATTTCAGCCAGGGTGACAGAGTGAGACCCCATCTTGGAAAAAAGAAAATAAGATTGGAAGTCTGTCAGTGTGCCATTGTAATTTATTGGTGGAGTGCTATCATTGGTAACAATATCATATAAATGTATTTAACCCCTCCTAGCTTTTGAAGTAAGATTCATGTTAGAGCTAGAATTTGTCTGGGTGCAGTGGCTCATGCCTGTAATCCCAGCACTTTGGGTGGATCACTTGAGCCCAGGAGTTCAAGAACAGCCTACGCAACATGGCGAAACCCAGTCTCTACAAAAAAAAAAAAAAAAAAAAAAAAGTCTGTGTCTGTCTGTCTGTCTCCCTCTCCCTCTCCAAGTGTGGTGTGGTGGTGCGCATCTGTAGTCACAGCTACTTGAGAGGCCAAGGTGGGAGGATCACTGGAGCCCAGGAGGTCGAGACTACAGTGGGCTGTGATTATGCTGCTGCACTCCAGCCTGGGCAACAGAGTGAGACTTTTTCTTAAAAAAACAAACAGAAACAAAACAAAACAAAAAAAACTTTAGACTTTATTGATAATTTTGATATCATTGCATTGAAGAAGTTTAACTAAAATACGAACCTCTTAATTATATCAAAGAGCAGAATATGGAAGTTTTAAATTTTTTTGAGTTGCCAACAGCTTTGAAAAATGCACATATGCACACGAATTTACTTAGAACTTCTGCTTCTGAAACTCACCCATCAGTAGCTAACTCACTTAAACCATGGTTAAGGTGCATTTTCTGTCGAGTAATATACTTGACAGGTCAGACCGTTGGTCTGTAACCAGTGCAAATTGAATGGAGATCACTGTGAAACACTGCATTTATTTCTTTATACCTTTCTTTGCCTAAACATTTCTAGTATAAATTCCCTTATTTTGATTTTCCAAAGTTAATTGCATCAGTATTGTCTGGACCTGGCTTGGCATTATTTAATGGGAGAAAGCACTGAACAAGTATAGCTATTAGCATGGTGACACAGCTAGTTTAGTGTTAAACTACACTAATAAACCAAGTGATCAGAATGTGGAAGATAAGTTCTGTTTCATCAGATGCTGGTTAAACCACAGCGGGATTTCTGTCTTCAACTCTGGATTCCATATTACCAAAATGAATTAACTTGCCACAGTGTATCCAGAGGCAGAGACAAGAACAAAGGGAAATGGAACTAACATTCCTTGGAGAACAGTTGAGGGAACTGGGGAGATCAGAGCTGGGGAGGGATATAAATTATGTGAATACCTATCTTCAGAACCTTTGAAAGCTATTAGAAAAGAGGATTTGGGTTTACTTCTGAGAGCAGAACTAGGACCATTGGATGTGTTACAGGTGACAAGACCACTCTGCCATTTAAAACTTCCTAATGTGTAAGGGCTATTTAATAAAGAGTGAGTCAGTCTCTGGCATCTACCTCTATAGCAGATCTTATACACAGTCTAACGCCTAACTAGATTAATAACACCTTAAACTATTGACTTGTTTACCTCACTATTACCTGATGTTTGGGTTTCAATAAGAAATTACAAGGCCTGCTAAAAGTCAAGAAACAGCCTGAAGAGAGAAAGCAAGTGTCAGAACCAGACTTACATATGGCACAAATTTTGAAGTGATGAGACTAAGAATTTAAAATAATTGAAATGTTAAGGGGTCTAACAGAAAAAGTAGGTACAATGCAAGAACAGATGGGTAATATAAGTAGAGAGGTGGAAATGCCCAGAAAAAATCCAAAGCAAATGCTAGGGGAAAAAAAATTACCGACACTGGGAGGCTTAGGTGGGAGGATCACTTGAGCCCAAGAGGTTAAGGCTGCAATGTGCTGTGATTGTGCCACTGCACTCCAGCCTGGGTGACAGAGTGAGACTGTAAAAAAAATAATAAGAATGTGTTTGATGGGCAGTTCAGCAGACTGGGCACTGCCAAGGAAGGAAGTGGTGAACTTGAAGACTAGGTCTATAGAAACTTCCCAAACTGAAATGCAAAGTGAAAACAGAATGGAAAAGAAGTCCCCACAAATAGAACAGCCAAGAATTTTGGTACCATTTGGAAAGGTATAATGTACATGGGCTTGGAATACTGGAAAGCAAGAGAATGAAGCCAAATAAATATTTGAGGTAAAAATAGCCAAGAATTTTAAAAATTAGTGACAGACACCCAACCACTGATCCAGGAAACTCAAGAGAACACCAAGCAGGATACCAAAATGCCTACAATCTCTACTTAGGCATGCCATATTCAAAGTACAGAAAATCAAAGTAAAACCTTGAAAGAAGCCAGAGGGGGAATCACCTTACCTTACCTGTAGCGTAACAAAGATAAATTATGGACTTCTCAGCAGAACCATGCAAGCAAGAAGATAAGTGTTGAAAGAAAAAACCCACCAACTTAGAATTATATATCCAATGAAATTATTCTTCAAAAGTGAAAGACAAACTAGTGAGTTTGCTAGTGCTGGAGGTGGTCAAAAAGAGGTCGAATAACAAGGACGAGAAATGTTGGGTTCAATGTTTGCCTAACTATATTCGGTACATAAGCTGTTAGCTCTGGAAGATGGTAGTATGTGTTCAGCAAAAATGTATTTCAGTGATTTTGAGGAATGTCGCAAACCAGATTGTACTTTTGGAACTTCACTCTGCTCAGATATGGAGGATCTGAGCAGGCCTGTAGCAAAGAACCCTATTTTTGCTTACAAACATAAGCCCAGAATCTCTGACTTTTGGCCTGCTTGTGAAAACCTTATGGAATGATGTTTCATGGAACACCCAATTTGGGAAACACCAGATTAGATGACATTTATGACAAATGAGAAATGGGATTCTTTATTAACTGGATAATATATGTACTAAGTGAGTGAGGCTAAAATGTTAGAAGATAAAGGTAACAGTATTAACTTCCTCATTTGAATTTGAGTACATGTGGAAAGACTGATTATGGAGGGTCATTTCTTTAAATTCCTTCTCTCTGCTTGATTTGAAATTTCAAAAACAGAAATAACCAAAGTTAAATGCTGCTTATCAGCTCCTGGCTTACTCTCTCTGCTCCATCCTTCCACCCTCAAGGTCAAAACATCATTATTAGGAGGTTCAGCTTTCCTGGCATTGGGCACCTTTTCTGGTTGAACTAGCCTGTTTCTGCCTTTTCCCTAGTATGTTTATGTTGCTGCTATTACTCTTGTTTAAGAAAATTTATCACGGGGCCTATATGCTGTTATTCATGGGAAAATGACAACTCTGCTTCACTAGTAGGAATGCCAGAGATGTTTTAAGGACAGAAGTAGACTACCTGATACAAGTCAGTGTTTCCTTATTGGATTTTGAGTTTTAGGAACATAACTAGTTGTCCTGTCACTGTTCTGAACCCTTAGTTGAACTTTCATTTGGATAACATCTTCAGAATACCCACCCCCAAAATAATTCCAGGATATGAGAGGGAGGTTAGCATAATGGTAAAGCATGAGGACTCTGAAGACAGATTATCTTAAGTTGGAGCCCCCTTTTGCCCCTGTCTGTTGACTTTGGGTGAAGTTTCTTAATGGTTAAATGTGGTTTAGTTTCATCATCTATAATACATGGTTAGTAATAATCTCTACCAGTGAAGATTAAATGGAGCACTTGGAACAATGTTTGGCATATAGTAAGCAGATGAGAAGTGTAGTAGCTATTTGGTTAGGGTCACAGTGTGGTATAATGAAATCTTGGAATACATAAAGTTTCTTTGTAACATCTACCCTAATAATTTAACATTACCGGTTTTTCAAAACCTAGTTGACAGGCATTGGGTTCCTTGCAGAAAACTTGATAAAATATCTTTTTCCACATGTTGTTAACAATCTGGAAGATTAATGAAACTCTGCAATAGTGGATTTCTTAAGAGAAGGAACTAAAGGAAGTGAGACAGTTCGTTAGATGATACTTACTTACATTAAAGTAATTCCCACCAAAAGGTAAAACTTCTGCAGTCAAGGGGGAAAAAATGACAGCTCCATCTGAGATGTATAGGATAACCTGTGAAAAGAAATGAGAAAGGATTGGCTATATTGGAGTTTATATTTTTAAAATTGTCAATTCCAGGATTAGATACCAAGCCAAATTTGAGCATTTGTTTCCCAGAAGGTGAGGGCAAACCACTGAGATCTTTATTTCCTTTGCAGTCTGTCCCCTGGGGATGGTAACAGACTTGACTAATCTGCAGTCTCAGAAACGCCCTGACATCATGGAATGTCTTGGCCTTATTAAAAAAAGAAAATGGGTGTGTGTGTGTTATATCTTGATTAATACTTCAGTTAATTTTTTCCTCTAATCTAGAAAAGGGCCCAATTCCAGGACATGAAAAATGAAGTAAAAGTAAATGGTGATGGATCCTAATAATGAGAACTGAAGCTTCTTAATAGTTCTATTGAAGGCAGTGGCTTAAGAAATACTTGTATGTTAACTTCTTAAAAGAGGCAAAGGACATTATACTACAGATAAATGAGGTCACCAGAGAAAACAAACTTTGCACCTTTTTTCTCTACAAATTCTGCTGTTTTTATCAAGAAATGGGTAGGAAGCCATAGGTCTGCAATACAGTAAGTATGATGCTTAGAATTGACCAAAGCCTTTAATTGACCACTAAAGATCCCCATATGGATGTGGTTGAAATTCTCTCTTTTTTTTTTGTCACAATTATGTAGGAAAGATAAAATGAATTATTAGCAGCATCTGCAAGAAAAAGGCAGCCATGTAAATATTTTAATTTCAGAAATATTATGTATTTAAAGCAACTAGAATTTTAGAACATAACAGGGTCAGCCCTAAAATGAACAAGAATTCCAAATTTCAGGAAATTTATTCTCTTAGATGTTCTTACTGCAAGGTGATTCTGATATCATCTCAGAATGATAACCACAATTATATAGCACTTCCTAATTTGAAAACTTCCACATAATTTGGCCACACAGCACTGTAAAATAGTACCCTTATTTTATGAAGGAGGCATCTGAGACTTAATTAGATAACCTTCAGGAGCCCTTGTCCAGGTTTACATAGGAAGTAGATTGAGGAAACAGTACTCCATCCAGATCTGACTTCATGGAGTGTTGACTGGGGCGTACTGTTAATACTCAGTCCCCTGCTGGACACTGCAAGTAATGTAGATATATAGAAAGTGTGTTTTCTAATTATGGGTATGAAATTAGAAAACAATCCAGTAGTAATTCAGAAATAACTTGTATAGTAGTATATCATAGGAAGTTAGCTTGAGGCCAGAGTCAGAAAAGATTCTATTGCAGTGTTTGGTCTTAATGTAGGACTTGAAAAATATATAAAATTTGGATCCTCAATATATACTTAGTATTAGCTGTAAAGAAATCTGTAATGGTGGTTCAGATTTCAAGAAGCTGTAGCCCACTTGCAGTGCACACAAGGCAAGTCACACCTCCTAGTTCACTAGTGTTGAAGTATTATAGCAGTGTAAAGAAGGCTTCTGCCCTTGGAAAGACAAGACAGACTTAACATGGATTACAACCAAACAGCGCAGAGATAGTTTCAGCTAGGAGCCTAGAGTAAGGATGCTAAGAACAGGGGAAGAGTTTTAGGCAAAGTGAAAATTTGCCTGGATTATGACAGATGGGCAAAATTTTGGAAGACTGGAGGGGCTTGGATATGATCAGTGGAATTGAGCCTTGGTATGAAGCTGGAACTGCAGAAACTGACATGAGGGTTGCTCATGACTGAGGTGATAACAAGCTTTAGGGTGGTAGTGGTGATACTTGTGGCAAGTAAAGGGTAAATTAAGGACAGAAAGGTGGGCCTTGTTGAATGAGGAAAACGGAGGAGAAGAAGTAAAGTGGCTTCGGTCAACAGAGTAAGAAGAATGAGGTAAAGCATTGGTTCCCAAATGCACCCATGCCATGGTGCCACCTGAGAACATTTATTTTAATAGTTACATTTTTTTTTTTAGTTTTTGAGACAGTTTCATTCTTGTTGCCCATGCTTGAGTGCAACGGTGCAATCTCAGCTCACTGTAACCTCTGTCCCAGGTTCAAGTTGTTCTCCTGCCTCAGCCTCCCAAGTAGCTGGGATTACAGGTGCCGCCACCACACCCAGCTAATTTTTGTATTTTTAGTAGAAACAGGGTTTCACCATGTTGGCCAGGCTGGTCTTGAACTCGTGACCTCAGGTGATCCGCCCGCCTTGGCCTCCCGAAGTGCTGGGATTACAGGCGTGAGCCACTGCGCCCAGCCCTAGTTACGTTTATTTTGATGTGTGAATCAAAACGAAAATGAGCACAACCAACCTGTGATTGCATGGATATTATTTCTTAGAATGAAGATGTTAAAAAATGAGTTGATTTAAATATTATGTAAATAACAGTGTAAGGGAGTCATGGTAAAGAACGTTATGAAGGATGGTAGTTAACTAATTGAAGTTTGGAAAATAGTGATTAAAAATTGGGAGAGGTGGTATGAGGAAAATTTCTGGGGTTCTGAAAAAGCCTATATCTTGATCTAGGTGTTGGTTACACGGATGGGTACACA
The DNA here is from genome assembly GCF_000001405.40 of Homo sapiens. NCBI lineage: Eukaryota > Metazoa > Chordata > Mammalia > Primates > Hominidae > Homo > Homo sapiens. The sequence goes on along the minus strand of NC_000018.10, from coordinate 35,997,782 downwards.
TACATACTAACTGAAGTATCTACTTAATAGTTATGAGTTTTATGTTGTGCCCCAATTTAAAAACTTTAAGTAGCTTTTGACTAAAGATGGGTAAGATGGAAAGAAGAGCAAAATTTGTAGTAGAGGAAAAAGGTGCAAAGTTGGTTTTCTTTGCTGATCTTATTTGTAGTAGAATAGATACTCAGTTACATTCATTTTATTTACATTCTCTGCTTTCCAAAAATAATTTTTAAAAGCGTGTAGCTAAATCAATATAAAGAAATTGCTTATGAATGTTGGGTGTTGAATGTTTTGCTTATGAATGTTGCATTTCTTAAGAGATACATATGTATATACACATGTGTGAAAGGTTTAACCATTCAAATGATAGAATTTTTTTCCCTCTTTTTTGACATTTCATTCATCAGTTTTTTTAAAAAGTGTATTCTATATATGTGATATGTGAATGGTCAATAGGATGTTAAAGCAATACATTGTTACATGGTCCGAAAATAGTAGTGAAAGTTGAGATATGAGAAAAGTCATTGGGGAATGTTCAATATAGTTTGGGATTTCAGCTGGCACTTGGAAGTATGGAAAGAAATTGGTATCCTGGACAGGTAAAGGAGGAAAAACTTGAACAAAATATTCTAAATAGGAATTTGTACTGTATTTGGCTTTAAGGGAATTTTGTTCATATTGGGCTTAATATCATAAAAATTCTATATAGTTTAAAATAACTTCAATATATTTGCTGTAGTGGCCATATATTATTTGTAATCTTAAATTACAGATAGTTCTTTTTTTTTTTTTTTTTTTTTTTTTTGAGACAGGGTCTCACTCTATTGCCTAGGCTGGAGTACAGTGGCACAATCATGGCTTATTGCAGCCTCGACCTCCTGGGCCCAGGTGACTCCCACTTTAGTCTCCTGTGTAGCTGGGACTACAGGTGCATGCCACCCATGTCTGGATAAGTTTTGTACTTTTTGTAGAGACAAAAAGTTTCACCTTATTGCCCAGGCTGGTCTCAAACTCCTGAGCTCAAAGCATTCCACCCACTTCGGCCTCAAAATGCTGGGATTATAGGTGTGATCCACTGTGCCTGGCCAGTATTTTTAACCAAGTTGCATCACAGTGTTGATAATACAACTGCTATTCTGGAAAACATCTCAAAATGTTTTTGGTTGTATCTTTTTGAATAGCAAATGTCGTATCATTTGACCAGAAATAACTAAGATCTATTAATTTATTCATCAATTTTGATGTATCAAAATCAATTATGTTACATGGTGCCTGGTGTTAATGAACCTTGAGCAGTTTATGTTCACTTTTTAGTAAAAGTTGAAAGATTTATATTACCTGAAGGGAAACCAGCGTGTTATCTTCAGTTTTTAAAGCCTCAGTTTTCTTATCTATGGAACGGGAATAATGATGCCTGTGTTTTAGCATTTTTGTGAAGATTAAGAATTATGCAAAACAGCTTTGATAATCTGGGAAAATGTTTAGTTTGTCCATCAGACTTTCTTTAAAAAAAAAAAGTTTTAATTTTAGAATAATTTTAGGTTTACCAAAAAACTATGAAGAGAGTATAGAAAATTCTCATACACTTCACATCCAGTTTCCCCTATTGTAACATCTTACATTAGTATGATACATTTGTCATAAGTAGTGAACCAATATTGACACATTGACTAAAGGCCACACTTTATTCAGATTTTCTTAATTTTTACCTAATGTCCTTTTTTCTGTTCCAGGATCCCATCCAGAATATCACATTAGATTTGGTTGTTCTGCTTCTCTTGGGTGTGACAGTTCCTCTGACTTTCCTTGTCTGATGACCTTGATAGTTTTCAGCACTACTGGTCACGTCCCTCATTTGGGATTTTCTGATGTTTTTCTCACAGCTAAAGTGGAGTCATATGTTTCAGGGAGGAAGACCATAGAGGGAGAATGCCATTTTCATCTCATGTCAAAGGAAATACTGTCAACCTGAGTGATAGTGTTGATAGGACCTTTATCACATGGCTTAGGTATTGTTTGTCAGGTTTCTTCTCTGTAAAGTTAATCTTTTTTCCCTCCTTTTCATACTGTACTCTTTGGAAGTCAGTCATCACATACAGCCCACACTTAAGAAGTGGGAAACTTTTCAGATATGAAATGCTGTAGGTGAACCTTTTTCAAATATCAAATTACAATGAATTTGTTATTGCATTCTTTTATAAGAACTTGGAGACAAGGCCGGGCACAGTGGCTCATGCCTGTAATCCCAGCACTTTGGGAGGCCAAGGCAGGTGGATCTCCTGAGGTCGGGAATTCGAGACCAGCCTGACCAATATGGAGAAACCCCATCTCTACTAAAAATACAAAAAAATTAGTGGGGTGTGGTGACACATGCCTGTAATCCCAGCTAAACTCAGGAGGCCGAGGCAGGAGAATCACTTGAACCCAGGAGGTGAAGGTTGTGGTGAGCTGAGATAGCGCCATTGCACTCCAGCCTGGGCAACAAAAGCGAAACTCCGTCTCAAAAAAAAAAAAAAAAAAACGAAAAAAAGCAAAAAAATTGGAGAGCAGATAGTCTTAGTTAAGGATAATTACTGAGTTATTCAGATAATGGATGTGAGTGGTATTGTTCAGCAAGCCAGTATTTTCATAAGAAAAAAGTGGGAAATTTTCCAAATACATGCTCACTTCTCTATCCTGGTATCTACTATTTTACTGCTCTTTTCATGATCCTTTTCAACATTGGTGACATTTCTGCATTTTGCTATTAGCTCACTTCTCTTCCTTCCTGTGTGTACTGTGATTCTTAACCAGGAGAGGGACGAGGGTCATGCCATCTTTTGGGTGGATACATTAGAATCATGGGGGGTAGTGTGGTATGATGGAAAAGATAGAAAATCAGATAGATTCATTATATGTATATTTTTACTAAAACCACAAAAAATAAAGTTTGATGAAATCTTGGCTCATGGTAGATGTGCAGAAGAGTAGAGAAGGGAGGGGCAAAATGATTGAGAAACGTTGTAGATTATTTATATAAACCTAAGTGGCTCATACTCTTCTCTTGGTTTTAGCTAGAATTTGTCAGTTATAAAGCCTAAATCTTTATTTGTAGCTCAGAATACTGTAATCACATTTCCAAGTGCCTACTAGAAATCCCATGGATAACTCACAGTTATCATGCTTAAAAATGAACTCTGTATCCTTCTCCAAAGGAGTTTGTGCCCCTCTCTGCTATCTCAGATAACAGCTCCGATATCCACCTGCTTATGAAGCCTGAACCCTCATTATTCCTCACAGCAGAACCACAACCAATTCCTGCTGATTTTTCTTTCTAAACATTTAGTCTTTGACATTAAGGTATTATTTACATATAATGTAGTTTTTAAAGGACATTGCTCTATCCTTACTACTGTTGGTTTGGTTCGGTTCAGGCCCTAGTCCTTTCTTTCCTGGAGAGTTGCAGTAAACTCCTAGCTGGGTTTCTTCCTTAGATGTTTCCTCATCTATGCACTCTCTAGGATGGTCCTCTCAGGACTTACCTGTGACCACATTTGGAAAGAGCGTGAATCTCCCTGCCTTGTGCCATGCACTGTGGTAATAGTGAATTGCCATGGACATATCTATTTTACTGCCTGCTACTTCCTTAGACCAAATCTTTGAGTCAGGACCCTGGAACTGAGATGGGTATAGTGGGAAGCTTTTCTCTGAGTGATACCCTGTTGTGGGTGCTGAGCTTTTGGAGAAAGGGAGGGGTGCAGCAGCCTGAGGTTGTCTTGGCTTGCCTCTTCTGCTGTGGAGCCACCTTCCTCATGAGTTGGGGGTGAGGCTTATCAGGGCCCAAGTATTCTCAGTCCTCCACGCATAAGAAGGAACTTCTTTTCCAGGAGTGGGGGCTGGACAGGAGGGAGTCCCCAGGCTCTTCCCTGCTCTATCTCAGGACTTAGCTTCAGCACCAGGTAGTTGGGGTAGGATGAGAGGCGCTCTTTCTGGGAATAAAACCCTCCCACTGGGAGTTGCAGGGAGAGTGATCCTGTATTCTTGGCTGCAGCAGTCTGGAGTGGACCCTCCTTGCTTAGATGGGAGGGCACAGGAAGGGAGCAGTCCTGCTTCAGACACCACAGACTCTGGCCATTCCTACTGAGTTTTCATAGATGTTCTTGCCAAATTTTAGTTAAGGTTTATGAAAATAAATATGTAATTTTTCTTGCCCAAACTCAAGAATACCTGAACATCTTATATGTCGAGGTTAAGCACATTAATGTTAGTCTTCTTTCTACTGGTGTGAAGCAACAGCTAAAGATTGTGGTTTTTCTTAATAATAATAGTTTACTAGTTATATATTTCCAAAGCTCATCTTTTGATGTGAAAACTCACACTGGAATAACCTTTTTAAATATGGCATTAACTGAGTATATATAGTACCTGGGTTTATGTAGGTCATTATTAGCTAGGAAGTTTTTTCAATCCCTGAATGCTAATGAAAGTGGTTTGATGTTACAGGAGTACAAGCGCAAGCTAGCCAGAGTTTCCCTGGTGCGCAAAGAACTCAGGTCCCGGATCCAGAGCCTGCCAGACTTATCTCGATTGCCCAATGTCACTGGCAGCCACATGCACCTGCCCTTTGCGGGAGACATCTACAGTGAAGATTGATGGACCAGCCTCTTTCCAGGTCCCAGGACTTTGCAAGAGATGGAGACAGGTTAGGTGGATAGTCCTGTAGTGTTATTTTTGTATATTGTTGAGAAAGAAACACTAACAAAAGGAACAACGAGTAATTTATAAAATTGTTTAAAATGTTGGTTTGTTTACTATTTTATTGGTAAATTAACATGACTTAATTTGAACAAAGTGATGATTTGTGTGTATTAATAAGCTCACAAATAGTGATTATTTTCAAAAGATCTTTTTGTAAATTTTTTTTTTGATCCAAGGCCTTGTGAGAAATCTCTTGTTTGTATTTCTTCAGGTATTTTCAATTGTTTTTCTTTATTTTCTTCAGCATTTAATCACTGTATACTATGTAATTCCTGAAGGGGAAGAACTAATTAGGAGTTGATTGAGACTTTATTATGGTATAGTTAGGACTTGATTGTAGAAGGGACTAAATGTTCCAACATAATCTTTACCCTTCTCCCCAAACAAAATATCAATTCTGTGTCTCTACATGCCTTTGATTCCTTAGAGGTCGGTAATTTAACATAAAACAGGGATGTCACTTTGAGGGGCAGATGAAAGTCTAGAGAACTGTTCCTTAATAGCATTGTAAAAGTTCCATTCCAACTGCCAGTGTAGATTTTAAAAGTGTTAAATAGTGACTCCCTTGATTAAACTGTTTGTAATTATTTGAGTAGATTAATAATGAAAATACTTTGGAAATAATATACATTTTGACATTCTACCAAGAGGACAACTTTGGTTCTGGAACTGGTTTCTATTTGTCAAATCAGTTTCCTTTTAACATAATTAATCCCTTTAACAAAAAGCCGTCTATGGGATTAAAAGACACGTGAAATGATACTTTTATTATTCCCTTGCTCATATAACTTTAAAAATAATACTTTTAGCTCTAATAGCTCAAGAACACAATATTCGTTAATGTTCAGTAAAGTAGCCTGAGACATTTTCAATGTTTCCTTAAGGTTTTTGAATGACTGTATATTTGGCAGTTAAGCAGTGCCACACTACAGGGTAGATATGGTAAATTTTATATTTGTATATTTACAGTTACAAAACAAATGTACTTTTACCTTTTATTTCTGACCCTGTGTGTTAGAGCAGTTGCATGCTCTCCTGCTGTTAAAAACACATTGTTAAGCTGTGGATTTGTACTCAATAATGACTTAGGATAAACATTTATTTTCATTCATTGCTTTACATACTAGACATTTTTCTTCTCTTTGTAAGTAGATTCAAATTAGATAGTCAATAAAACATCTTGAAAATCCCACAAGCCAATTATGTCTCTCTAGTCTGAATGGCTTCATTGTTTCTTTCTCAGTATTAGAAATTATAGTTACAATGAATTGCATATGAAGAAGGCAGACATTTATTTTTAATAGCCAAGTAGTTCTGCAAATAGTTCTTTTAACAATTTGACCTCTCTCCAAAACAGAGACACATATAAGTAGTGCTCATCCATGCACTACTAATAATACATGGCTTATTCCAAAGTTTTTAGTCAACTTTTGGGACTTGGGGTGCATTTTCTCACAGAAAGAATAGTAGTTAGGTTCCCTAACACTACCGCTGATAGCTCACCTGGGAACTGAATCCACCTAACCATGAATGTCCTTCACTTGTAACGTGGTTCACAGGTTACTAATCATAGATCCTGACCAGCATTTGTAACACTGCTCTAACTAGGACACAGCATGCAGCAGCCACACTCACACCCTGGGATGTCTGTGTACCTCTGTCCCTAGGTGTAGGAAATGGAAGAAAAAGATTCAGCCAAGTGGGGAGGTGACAGATGCACAATTATGAAACCTGGTTGTACATGTTATGAAAGTATACTAAGTAAGTTAGTTTTTATTATTAATGTGAAAGCAAAAACTTGTATGTTAACTTATTTTCAATATCTTGACCTTATTTATGATCTGCTAAAGTGGTGATTTATCCATTCAAAATATATATTTTTTTCCATTTAAAACTAATTTATAAACTATGTACTCCTGGGAAGATTTGAAATCTTTTAGAAGTTTGTTGAAATATTTTCACCATTTCAGACAGACTTCTGACTTAGATACTGATTTTAATGCCAGTATCTGCTCTAAATATTTATGATAAAAATGCATTATTTTTTTAAAGAGCTTGATGAGATTTGTGATAAGTGATAGTACTCAAAAACCTGAATCCCACCCCTCGACCAATCCTCCACAAACTTCAGTTGTTGGTTAACGTATTAACTGAACACAGACAATACAGTCTGATTTAGAAGTCATCTTTTCAGCCGTGTGATAATTAACATGGTAAGCCTTAGCAGCAAACATTCTTCCTAAAAGGAAGACTTCATTTTCTCAAGAAATGGGATTAGTTGGGGGTATTATAATACCAAATTGTAAATCATGAGCGTTTTCTCCACTGTGCACCTGAGGCAGATCATGCATCTTTGAGTGCAGTTTGGTCTGACCCCTCAAGAGAAAAGCATGGTGCCGTAGGGCTGCTATGGTTTGAATGGATGCCATCACTCTTTTCTCCACATACAGTGCAGAGAGCTGTCTGGAGTCACAATCTGAACAGATTCTCGGGCGCTCCTTCTCTCCTTCCATCACTACAGTAAGTAAAAGGACCATAGAGGGGAACCAGGAATCTGAGAATCAGCTGTGCTCAATAGCCAACCTCCCTGTCCAGATGCAGCTATTTTGGTATCTCCTATCACATGCACTCTGAATCAGGGTTTTTCTATAAGAAATCTTTCAGAATCAGCAAAAGTGGGGATGACCCAGGCATCTTGATTTGCAAAATCACAAAACTAAGTTGTCAGTTATCACTGTAGATGAGCAACTCATCTTTTTAAAGTATAGTTACTGAACTGATTCTGAGAAATCTTTAGAGAGAAAAAACTCAACAGTACAAATTAACTAATTGGGAAAGTTAGAATGTCCTTTCTGAATTTTTCATTAAAAAAATTACATTATCTGAAATAACATAAAGCTACTAAACTGCTTTGTATTCTATTAAGAAATAGCTCCTAAGGATGTAGTCTTGTTTCATAGTTGTTGCACTATATCAAAACTTAAAATGTAAGCCCAGTTCTTCTCTGTATAGAAAGGAAACATTGTGTTACTTAATGAATTATTTATACAGAGCATTTGTTGCCAACTGTTGTTCCAGCCATCCACACAGGAGTCTGTTCTGAGGTGGCAATAGCACATGGGAAGATGAACTTTCCCTGTTTGTTTACCCGTTCTTCTTTGGCTGTATCTGATGACAGTATAAGATGTTCTTAATAAAGTTTTATGTTCTTTTTGAAATGTGTAGGTTGTTTTGTGAATCTGATTCATTGGATATGGGGTGGGAAGGGGAAAGATTAATGGACTGGGAGGGAAGCAAAGTACTGGAAATAATTCTGATGTTATGGTAGAGAGACTGCTGAAGGAGGAGATTTACTTGGCCAGTAGTTCCCAAACTTGAGCGAGCATCAGAATTACCTAGAGCCAGTTTGTCCAACCTGTGAGCTGCACGTGACCCAGGACGGCTTTGAGTGTGGTGCAACACAAATTTGTAAACTAAAACATTATGAGATTTTTTTTTTAGCTCATTAGCTATCATTAGTGTATTTTATGTGCAGCCCAAGACAATTCTTCTTCAGGGTGGCCCAGGGAAGTCAGAAGATTGGACATCCCTGACCTAGAGGATTTATAAACTACAGATAGTTGGGCCCCACTCCCAGAGCTTCTGATTCAGTAGGTCTGGGGTAAGGCCTGATGGTTTACAGTTCAAACAACTTGATGCTGATGCCACTGGGGTTAGGGACCACATTCTGACAACCACTGCTCTAAACAAATTCCAGGTAATAAGATAATAAAGTATGGTTTTTATAATTATATAGCAAGTTCCTTATGGGAAAAGAACAAGATCACATATTCTTTTGTGGTCCACTGCTTAGTAGTGCTTTATTAAGTGCTTTTGAGTGAACAGATTCAATTGGTACTGTCAACCTCCTGGAGCCCATGCCCTTTTACCACTCCTTGAATTTAAAGCAAAACTGAAGATACTAGAAATCTGTGAGAATCTCCAGGGCAGTGTGTGCCATACTTTTTGGTAAACTCAATTGGAGCATTTACAAAAAGGATACATACCTACTGAGAAAATTTTCTGTGATTCTTACCATCATCTAAAAAGTTGGGGAAATGTAGTCCTCTGGCCACAGCACCCCTGGTTCTCTATTCCTGGGTGGCATCTGGTCACTTTATCTGAATTCAGATACTTCCCATTCCCATCCACTTTTTTGCTTCTGCAATAGGTTTTATACAGTGGAACCCATACCCAGAGATTCTGTTTCAGAAGATTTGGGATAGATGCAGAAATCTGCATTTTAAACAAGCTACTCAGATGATTCTAATGCAGGTAATTCATAGACTGCACTTTGAGAAACATGCCCTACAAAGCAATATATGGTCTATAACAGATGATAATGGTAGCTCACATATATGGTACTTACTGTGCACCAGGAACTGTTCCAAGCACCTCGCTTATCCTTTGTGGTAAATACTCTAATTATTCCACTTTTATATCTGGGCAATGAAAATAATGTAAGGTCTGTGTGACTCTGAACGAGTCAGATGGTGAAGATGAGATTCAAACCTGGCTCCAAGTTTGACTCCAAGCTGGTGCTCCTTAACCACTATATGATGCTTCCTCTTACACTGATATGTTCTGTTGCAGCTCCACCATCACCAAGTCTACATTTTGCATAACATTTCATGTGATAGTAAAATTAACGTTATCCAAGTATTCAAGCTAAAAAGCAAGATGTCAGCTAAACGCACTATTGAAGGATGGGGGCTTGTGAGAGGATGTTACACTTTTTTTTTTTTTTTTTTAGTTAAAATGTACATAGCAGGCTTGGGTGCGGTGGCTCACGCCTGTAATCCCAGCACTTTGGGAGGCTGAGGGTGGGTGGATCAGCTGAGGTCAGGAGTTCAGGACCAGCCTGACCAACATGGAGAAACCCCATCTCTACTAAAAATACAGAATTAGCCGGGTGTGGTGGCACATGCCTGTAATTCCAGCTACTTGGGAGGCTGAGGCAGGAGAATTGCTTGAACCCGGGAGGCGGAGGTTGCGGTGAGCCAAGATTGTGCCATTGCACTCCAGCCTGGGCAACAAGAGCGAAACTCGGTCTCAAAAAAAAAAAAAGTACATAGCAGTATATACATATGGTAAGTTGTAACCATTTTTAAATGTACTCTGGCATTAAGTACATTGACATTGTGCAATCATCACCACCATCCATGTCTCAAAATTCTTCATCTTCCCCAGCTGAAACTCTGGACCCTGTAAACAATAACTCCTCACACCACCCTCCTCCCCACCAGCCCCTGGCAACAACTGCTCTCCTTCCTGTCTCTATGAATTTGACTTCTAGAGGTACCTCACATAAATGGAGTTATAAAATATTTGTTCTTTTTAGGACTGACTTATTATACTTAATGTCTTCAAGTTTCTTCCATTTTGTACCAAATGTCAGAATTTCCTTCCCTTTTAATGCTGAATAATATTCCATTGTGTGTGTGTGTACACCATGTTTTGTTCACTCATCCATTGATGGACACTTGGGTTTGCTTCCACCTTATGGCTGTTTATGAATAAAGCTACAATGAATGTCACTGTACAAATATCTGTTTGAATCCCTACTTTCATCTCCAATTGTTTTTTTCAAAGCAATTATTTGTATTCACATCAATAAAGCAGAGTTACAGTGAACTATTGCTAGGGATATTCTAGACAACATATTTCTTCCAAGCCAGCAGGTTCGTTAGGCCAGTAGGATTAGCCTCAGATGGGAACTTGTTAGACATGCAAATTCTTGGGCCCCCAGACTTACGGAATCAGAAAATCTGAGGCTGGGGACCAGCAATATATCTTTTTAACTAGCCCTCTAGGTAATTATGATGACCACTTAAGTTCCAGGTCTGTTTTGGGAACCACTGTTCTAGGCATCCAACATGTTACCTCAAATATTCTTCTCACATATGGCAAACCTTTAGAGGGTGTAAAAGGACTTTTTGTTCCAATAAAAGCAATTGTAATAGCAGGCCTTCATGACAAGCCAAAGAAGTGCTTTTCATCTGCCTTATTTTTAAGTTGATGCGTGCAGAATGTGCAAGTTTGTTACATGGGTAAACATATACCATGGTGGTTTGGTGCACCTATCAACCATCACCCTGCATGCATTAGCTATTCTTCCTGATGCTCTCCCTTGTCATCTACTTTATTTTAAACTTAAGAACCCCATTCTCCACCTGGGCAAATTCCTCTATATTTTCTTATTTCATTTCTCTGTCTAGCACAGTTCTTTTAATTCTTCTGAGGATGGCAGAGTGAAAGAGAAACAAATGCAGTTTGGGGTCTGACCATCATCTGCCTTACCATAAAAGACTCAGTAGCCCTTGGTATGATTATACCACCACAGGTTTTTTGGATGACATAAAAAAATGGAAACTATATTTTAATGTCTCTTAATTCCAATAATTTGGAATTATTTCAGAGAAAGTGATTGATTGATTGATTTTTCCTGAGACAGAGTCTCACTCTGTTGCCCAGGCTGGAGTGCAGTGGCCCAGTCTCGGCTCACTGCAACCTCTGCCTCCTGGGTTCAAGCGATTCTCATGCCTCAGCCTCCAGAGTAGCTGGAATTAATGGGCACGCACCACCATGTCCAACTAATTTTTGTAATTTTAGTAGAGATGGGGTTTCACCATGTTGGCCAGGCTGATCTCAAACTCCTGACCTCAGGTGATCCGCCCACCTCAGCCTCCCAAAATGCTGGGATTACAGGCATGAACCACCATGCCCAGCCGAAAATCATTTATATACATCTTGTACTTCCGACTCTGCATTGAGTCATTACAGGAAGACCCAACAGAGGCTGAAAGGACCTCTTGTATGTAATTTTGGAGATTGGATCATTTGGGTTTTCTACATTTCATGAAGTGAATTCACGGATCAGGGTTTCTTTAACTTCAGTACCTACATGCCACTTCAAGAAACGATCATAAGTGAAAGTAGCTACCAAAGTAAGTCTGTCTTAGAACACCAACCTGCCTTCAATTGAACATAAACAACTAAAGATGTATCAGAAAAGTGTTGATATTGTTAAAGAAAAAAATCACTGACACGTTAAAATGGTAGGGAAAATTCTATTCAGGACTACAGCTATAGGTGTCAAGACTATCACAGTAAGGGAGAGAGATTGGGTTAAACTCAATATAGCAAAGACAGCTGGGGCTTTGTAGCCAGTGAGCAGAGTGAGGGGGTCAGTGGATGGAAAACTACCAAGGAGACATCATGGGTAGGGAGATTCTTGCTAAACTGACTTTGACAGGATTCTTGCTGAAGGCAGGCCAGAGTGGTCAGATATCAAGGGTGGAGAATTCTCACTAAACTGATTTAGCAGGATTCTTGCTAAAACTGGGCTAGGCAAGCCAAAGACAGAGCCCAAGGATGAGGCCTAGTTGAAAAGAGGGCTCAGAGAAGCCTGTCTAAAGAAGAGTCTGTCAGAATAATCACAACCAAAAAATTTTTACAAATACCCCAAAACAATTTGCCTGTATTATTAGTGGGATGTATTCAAAGGAGAACCAGTGTAGGGTGGGTGCTAAAATCTTGTTGGTCACCAGTGGTTTTATTGTTAGTATTGATATTAATACTTAATAGATACATTGATCAATATTCCATCTGCTCTTCTAGGTGTTTTTCATGCACCATCTCACTGAGACCTCAACAAAGTTTTTATGAGGTAGGTACTGTTAATATCTTCATTTTACATATAAAGAAACACTCAAATTGAGAATTTGTTGAAGATTACACAGTTAATAAATGGCACAGCCAGGTACTGTACCAGGGCAGGACTACAAAGACTACAAGCTTAAGCAGTAGGCTATACTACCTCTCGAGTAATTCTTAGTCATAATTAAGATTTTTTTTTTTTTGAGACAGTCTCCAAAACAACCGGAAGCTGTTGCCCAGGGTGGAGTGCAGTTGTGCAATCTCGCTTCACTGCAACCTCTGCCTCCCAGATTCAAGCGATTCTCATGCCTCAGCTTCCCTAGTGGCTGGGATTACAGGTGTGTGCCACCATGCCTAATTTTTGTATTTTTAGTAGAGATGGGGTTTCACCATGTTGGCCAGGTGGGTCTTTTACCGCTGGCCTCAAGTGATATGCCCACCTTGGCCTCTCAAAGTGCTGGGATTACAGGCGTGAGCCACCGTGCCTGGCCACGAATTTTCATTAAAGGGGTAATTGTATGATTTATCAAGTTAGAAAAGATACTATTATTTGGTTGAAGGGTTAAAACATTCAAGTAATGTTAAGTGATAAGATATGCAAACTTACGATTTTTTAAAGGAATTTATCTCTTCCAGTTCTGTCTCTGGCGTGGTCTAATGTAGCAGCACCATTACTGTTCCTGAGTAAAAGCATCCCGATCTTGGGTTTTTGGTATCAGTGTGAATTTCTGCTCAAAAGTAGCAAGATCTCTTGGACAGTGGCTGCTTCCATGTCAGGGGCTGAAGGAGTGAAGATGGTCCTGGAACTTTTCTTTGCAGAGAAGCAAGCAGGGGATGCCTTCAAAGTTCTGATGGAGCTGAACAAAGAAGCCAGCTTACAGCTTACTGGCCAAGGTTTAACAACTTGAGCATCAAAATGGAAAATACAAATTGTAATTAATTAAAACAAGTAGACTGTGAAAAACTGTTTCTATCATAACGTTTTTAAAAGAAAAATTGAGATATTCTTTTCAAATAACTAATATATACAAATTTATTTTTATTCTGAAAACTATTTCATTTTAAGTTTAACATCAGGACACAGAGAAGTGTATTGCACATATTCTAGTTGAGTTACTTATACCCTGGGGTTACGGCCCTCACAGAGCTCATACTGGGAGGCACACAGGCAGGAGACTTTCAGCAAACTCCTGTGTGAGAGCTGTGCTGGGGCGAGTACGGTGCTCCTCAGAAGTCCATTCTTCAAGAGGCATCTGACTCAGATTTGTGATCAGAGCTATGAGTATTTCTCTGTGTTACACAGCAATAGTTTACTAAGAGGAAAAAAAGTGCTAAGAGGATGGATCCTGTACAGCGAGAGGCTGAAGATGAGAAGGCAGGGCGATTCCATATACCATGGTCCTGAATCAGAGGGATGGAATCCCCTGGTGAATAAGAGGAAGACTGCCTATTATAACTGAACAGGAATGAGAAAATGAGAGGACACAACTTTAAAGCAGTGTCTGAAATGTGCAATTGTATTTTGAGACCCAGTTAATTCACTGGTACTACTCCTCGTGAATATGATCCATTTGGGAACATTACTTGGGAGTTCTAAAATCTGAGTAGGGACCAAATTAGAAGTCACCATTGTGTAAAAGGCCCAAAGGGCTGTGCTGAGGGGGAGAATAGTGCATACTTTAGAACTAGGGTATGTTGAAGATGATTTTGGCCTCGATTGTCATCAACTCCGTCATCCCAGAGTTTTTTGTGTCACCAAGGCACACCAATTTTTGTCCCCTCCTGCTGTTTTCCCAGTCATTCCTGTTGGCTTTTCTCTCTAATAGGGTTCTGCTTACCCCATACATCCCCTTCTGGCTGGTGAGGGTCTCCTTTTCATCCTCATGATGGCTGCCTTTAACTTAGGCTTGCTGGTCCACAGGGTCAGTGGTATTCTGGTCACATGTTCCAGGTTCCACAGCCCATGACTAGAAAAGTAGCCCATGGCTATACTGAGCTGTCTTCAGGATGCACTGCTGCAGCCAGTAGGATGCATAAGCATGTGACAGGCCCTATGGCAATATGGTGGAGGCCCAGGAAAGCCATGAAATTAGAGCTGCTTAAAGTCTGAGCCTATGTTGCATCTCTGCTGCTTCTCTTTACAGGATTTAAAACTTAAATGTCTACATTAAATTTAAGGTAATGTTTATTTTTTTAAGGATAGATAATTCACATAAAATTTACCTTTCCAATGTGTAGAATTGTGTTTTTAGTATACTCAGAGTTGTACAACCATGGTTACTATCTAATTCCAGAATATTTTCATCACCCTAAAAAGAAACCCCATACTCATTAGAAGTTGCTCCCCATTCTCCCTATCCCTCTGGCAACCACTTGTCTATTTCTATTTATTTTCCTATTCTGAACATTCCATATAAATGGAGTCACACAATATGTGGTCTTTGGTGTCTGGCTTCTTGCAATTAATACAGTGTTTTCAAGGGTCATTCATGTTCTAGCATATATCAGTAATTTTTTATGACAACATTACTATTCCACTGTATGGAAAAACCACATTTTTTTTATTCAACAGTGGCTGGACATTCAAAAAACACTCTTTTAGCTATGTTGAAATTTCTGTCTTATGCATATTATAAACACTACTGCCATGAACATTCATATATAGGTTTTTGTGTGGACATCTGTTTTCAGTTATCTCGGGTATATGCCTGAATGGAATTGTTGGGTCATATAGTAACTCTGTTTAAATTTTTGAGGAACTGCCAAACTTCCAAAGTGACTCCACCATTTTACAATCCTAGGAGCAATGTGTGATGGTTCCAATTTCTTTACATCTTCACCACTTGTACTGTGTCTGTGAGTCAGCCTAGTAGGTATGAAATATCTTTTCGTGTATTCAGTAGCCATGTTGGAGAACTGTGTTCAGATTCTGACCATCATCTTCTGTCTTTTTATTATTGAATTTTAAGAGTTCTTCATAATTCTGGATGTAGGTCCCTTATCATCAGATACAAATGCTTCTCAATTTAGGATGGGTTATGTCCTGGTAAACCCATCATAATGTTAAAAAAAATCTCAAGTTGGGGCCGGGCACGGTGTGGCTCATGCCTATAATCCCAGGACTTTAGGAGGCCGATTCGGGCAGATCATGAGGTCAAGAAATCGAGGTCATCCTGGCCAACATGGGGAAACCCCGTTTCTACTAAAAATATAAAAATTAGCTGGGTGTGGTGGCATGAACCTGTAGTCCCAGCTATTCGGGAGGCTGAGGCAGGAGAATCACTTGAACCCAGTGATTCAAGTGAGGTTGCAGTGAGCTGAGATTGCACCACTGCACTCCAGCCTGGCGACAGAGCAAGACTCTGTCTCAAAAAACAAAAAACAAAAACAAAAAAAACTCAGGTTGAACCATCATAAGTTGGAGGTCATTTGTGTATGATTTGCAAATATTTCCTCCCATTCGGGGGCTGACTTTTCACTTTCTTGATGGTGTCCTTTGAAGAGAGCACACAAGTCTTTAATTTTGATGAAGTCCAGTTTATCTGTTTATTTTTCTTGTTGTTGCTTGTGCTTTTGGTGTCATATCTAAGAAACCACTGCATAATCCAGGGTTATGAAGATTTACTCCTGTATCTTCTTCTAAAGGTTTTATAGTTTTATCTCCACACTTCAATTTTCAAATATTCTTTAGAAATGCCCAAAGACCTTTCTGCGAAACAGAAAAGTCAAGAATCCACAGTGTCCCTCACTTGCAAATGAAGTAATGTGGACAACTTCCCACCTGAGAGTTTCTATCTTTACTACTTTTTATCTACTTTCCAATCATGTGCTCAGAAAGGACCTTAGTTCTTAGTGTGGAAGAAGTAGAACTTATTAAATGTAGTAAGTCTTGGAATCTGCAGTTTGTGCTATGTGCTGGGCAACAAACTAGGTGTTGGGGGTACAAGTGAGACCACTCAGGTCTGCAAAGAGCTCACAGGCAGTTGGTAATGATCAGAAACAAGAAACTACAGGGTCACCAGAACTGTGAAAAAAAGTGGCCCCTCATAATGCAGTGGGGTTGGGGTGGAGGGCAGTCTCCAAAGTGAGACCTAAAGGAAAAAGCACATGCAGAGGCCCGAAGCTGCCAAGTACATGGTATGCATTGAGAACTGCAAAGAGCTCGCTATGACCAGGTGATCAGGAGCAAGACGAGTTCAAGAGAAACAGATGTTCTAGAGAGAAGTTAGTCAGAAAGGTAAAGCAGCTACCATGACCATTGTGTTGTGCCAAATGTTGTGGACACAAAGTGAATACCTGGCCTTTTGGTGCTGGCACCAGTTAGCACAATTTCATTTCATGCAACTATAAGAACAAGTTGTTAATCTTGGCCTTTGAGTATTTTTAATTGATAAATAATAATTGTAGGCCAGGCGTGGTGGCTCACACCTATAATCCCAGCACTTTGGACGGCCGAGACGGGCGAATCACTAGGTCAGGAGTTCGAGACCAGCCTGGCCAACACGGTGAAACCCCATCTCTACTAAAAATACAAAAAATTAGCTGGGCGTAGTGGCGGGCACCTGTAATCCCAGCTACTCAGGAGGCTGAGGCAGGAGAATTGCTTGAACCCAGGAGGTGGAGGCTGCAGTGAGACAAGATTGCACCACTGCACTCCAGCCCAGGTGACAGAGTGAGACTCCGTCTCAAAAAAAAAAAAAAAAAGACAAATAATAATTGTATATATTTATGGGACACAATGTGATGTTTCATTACATGTATACACTGGTGTAATCCAATCAGGCTAATTAATAGATCCATCACCTCAAACATTTATCATTTCTTTGTGGCGAGAACATTAAAAAACCCTCTTTTGGCTGGGCACTGTGGCTCACACCTGTAATCGTAGCACTTTGGGAGGTTGAGTTAGGAGGATTGCTTGAAGCCAGGAATTCAAGACAAGCCTGGGCAACAAAGTAAGATCCTGCCTCTACAAAAAATAAAAAAAATTATGGCTTCTTATAGTGGGAAATGAAAAAAATTAAAATAAAATATTAGCCAGGTGCAGTGGTGTGTGTCTGTAGTTCCAGCTATTCTGGAGGCTGAGGCAACAGGATCACTTGAGCCCAGGAGTTCAAGGCTACAGTGATCTATAATCATGCTATAGCACTCCAGCCCAGATGACAGAGCAAGACTCTGTCTCTTAAAAAAAAAAAAAAAAAAAAAAAAAAGGCCAAAAATCCTCTTTCAGCTATTTTGAAATATACATTAACTAGAGTCATCATGCTGTACAAGAGATCATAGAACTTATTCCTCTTAATTGAAATTTCCCCTCCCCCAACCACAGCCTCCAGTAATCACTATTATATCCTCTACTTCTATGAGCTCTACTTTTTTAGATCCCATGTAAATAATACAGTATTTGTCTCTCTGTGTCTGGCTTATTTCACTTAGCATAATGTCCGCTAGGTTCATCCATGTTATCATAACTGACAGAATTTCTTGCTTTTTAAAGGCTGAATAGTATTCCATTGTGTATATACACATTTACAAAAATCCATCCTTTGACAAGCATTTCTGTTGTTTTCATATCTTGGTTATTGTGAATAATCCTACAATGAAACACTGTAGGGCAGACATCTCTTTGACATACTGATTTCAATTCCTTTGGATATATATGCAGATATGGGATCATATGGTAATTCTACCTTTAGTTTTTTGAGGAACCTCCATACTGTTTTCCAAAGTTGCTGTACTAATTTATAGTATCACCAACAGTATGTTTCCTTTTCTAAGAAAGAAAATTTTAGTTTCCTATTGAGTGATCTATAATCAGGAATGTTCCAGATATTTACTTTTGCAATCAAAATAGGAATAAGGTTCAGGTTTTACTAAGATAGTTATGCAGATAATTGTGAGAAAATAAGGACCCACTTGATCCTATTCCTGAATTATCAACAATGCTATAGACACATGGAAGAAACCCTTGAGTGAATAGACCCTCTCATAAAGATCTCAATTTCCTTTTGAAAGACAATAACATAAATAAAAACTGCTGACTAAAGGAAGAAAAAACAGTAATGCCACTACTCAATGTATATATCTATCTTTATATACATACACATATATATCTATAGATATGTATCTACAAGGAACTTTCATATATTTTTTGATCCTCACAGCTGTCCTATGAGGTAGGCAGGTTTCAGGTATTCACACTAATGAGGTATTTTCCCCATAAACACTGAAGGATGCCAAGAAAAGTTTGCATTCAGATCTAGTTTCCATGTATTCAAAAAATGAATAAGAGTTTAAAAAGTTGTTTTACCAACTTTAGTTTCAGAATTGACATCAGGCATTTCTTATTTTAAAAGTCCACCCTTCAGAGAAGATAAGAAATTTCTGAAGTCCACCTTTGGAATCTTTTGGGATTCATTCTGACTAAGTAACATTTTTAGTTGAGAGAAGTGTTTCTTTGTTTTGCTGGTGTTCTTTGAGGAGCAAGTAGATACTGACTGTCCAGATGTAGGTGTTCTGAAAAGAAACAAAACCACACTTAGTTATACCAACAAATGACAATCATTTTCTACTCTTTTGTATTATGGCCATATACATGCACTGGCTATCCTCGGTGTATTATCATTTGACAAATCCCTGTTCAGTTAGATTTCCTCAGGAATTTCTGACAGAGAAAAGGGCAAGAACAAATGTTTAGGGCAAGAAAGTGTATTATGAATGGTTCAGTATTTTTTTTTTTGGAGACGGAGTCTCGCTCTGTCGCCCAGGCTGGAGTGCAGTGGCGCCATCTCAGCTCACTGCAACCTCTGCCTCCCAGGTTCAAGCAGTTCTCCCGCCTCAGCCTCCCAAATAGCTGGGACTACAGGCGCACGCCGCTACGCCTGGCTAATCTTTTGTATTTTAGTAGAGATGGGATTTCACCGTGTTGCACAGGCTGGTCTTGAACTCCTGAGCCGCCCACCTCAGCCTCCCAAAGTGCTGGGATTACAGGTGTGAGCCACCATGCCCGGCCGTGAATGGTTCAGTTTTGTTGGCACATAGGATGATTTAAGGCAAAGAAAGACAGGCAGACAGACTGGTGCCAGATAGGGCTGGAAAGCCATGCTAGAGCATTTATCCATATGCTACACAGTGATGCTTCTAATCAGAGCTATGCTCCAGAAAGATGATCACACTAAAAGAGTTTGATCCTAGAAGCAGGGAGACCCATGAGGAAAATCACTGCAGTAGTCCTGACAAATGGTGCATAAGGACCTGAACCAGAATATAGCAGCACTATGGAGAAAAAGGAGCAAAAAGATGAAAACAGGGAAGTAGGATATATAGAAATCGGTGACAAGGACCAAGGGAATAGGGATTTTTGAATGTACCTGTCATTTTAGGTCAAAATGTCCAGAAAGGTGTGTTCATTCACAGAATAAGGAACTCAGGAGGATGGACAGGTTTGAGTGGTTAGCTGTGGGGCAATGATGAACTAAGTTTTGAACATGTAGGGGACTGAAGTGGTTATATTTAGCAGGCAGCTGGAAATAGGCACAGGAGATGTTGGAAGTAGAGTAACATACCTAGAAGTCAAATGCATTGAAATGAGCATTGAAGATATGGGAGTATGTGACATTAGAAAAGGGTATGGAGGAAAAATGGCCAAGTCCTGAAATGCATGGCATATTTAGGGAGTATATATTAAACACAGGAAATTAGAAGAAAACACTTAACACTGGCAATTCAAAAACTTCATGGATTAAGATACCTGAAAACCGATGCTGGGCTCTTGCCTTTCGAGCCAGACATGTCATGATTTGGGTTTGCAGTCCTTCTCTCTGGTGTCTTCAGGCTGAGTTTACTTGTAGGAGTGGCAGGATTGCTCTTCAATGTTGACACAAAGCTTCTACTTTTACCATGATGTTTCACTGTTCTGTTGCATGTTTTACAAGTGATCAACTACCATAAAAATAAGAAATATCAGTCCCGTCATTTATCTTATAATTTAACCCCATAAACCACAGGTTCATTGAATTCTTAAATGTCAGGGACTACACCAGATACTATAGGGGTAAGTAAAATAGAGGCTGTCCTTGGGGAACTTGCAATCTAGTAGCGAGAATCAGACAAGACATTTTTTTTTTTTTGAGACGGAGTCTTGCTCTGTCCCCAGGCTGGAGTGCAGTGGCGTGATCTCAGCTCACTGCAACCTCTGCCTCCTGGGTTCAAGTGATCCTCCTGCCTCAGCCTCCCATGTAGCTGAGACCAGGCGCCTTCCACTGTGCCTGGCTAATTCTGTATTTTTAGTAGGCAGGGTTTCGCCATGTTGGCCAGCCTGGTCTTGAACTCCTGACCTCAGGCGATCCACCCGCCTCGGCCTCCCAAAATGCTGGGATTACAGGCTTGAGTCACTGTGCCCAGCCGACAAATTTTAAATGAGAAAATGTTCAATAAAAATGAATGGCTAAACATTTGTATTTAATTTAAAATAGGTTTTCAAAGATAATGAACTCTACTTTTTAAATATAAAACCATGTTTGGTGGGAATTTGGGAAGAGATGGGAGATAATACTCTTTAACATCTGGAGGAATGTTCTTTGTAACAGCAGTAAGCATTTAATATTTTTTTGCAGATGAACTTCAAGCCTCTTCCCAAAAACAACATGGCACAGTATCACTGGAAATTTAAGTAGCCCCTTCAAATCCTTAGCAATTTTGTAAACATAGGTCTAAAGTAACTTATACAACCAAATGAGTTGTTATACTCTCACACCTCTCCACTCCCATCATTAGCTCTAGAGGTTGTCTTTCTTTTCAAGATTCATTTCTCAAGAAATGGTCCATTTTCTAGCTAATTTCCTTTCTTCTACATATCTAATTGACTGTGCACAGGACTCAGCCCATGCCTCGGCAAATTAATACAAACTAGTTTAAGTGAGAAGTAGTTTGATGTTCATGAGCAGATGAAAATGCCAATGGAAGATCTGCATCTATCAAAGGTCTATGTTGCTTTACACTTTTTGGAAGGAGGCTGTATACAGGTTAAAATAAATCAGCCGGGCGTGGTGGTGGGCACCTGTAGTCCCAGCTACTCAGGAGGCTGAGGCAGGAGAATGGCGTGAACCCAGGAGGTGGGGCTTGCAGTGAACCGAGATCACGCCACTACACTCCAGCCTGGGCGACAGAGGGAGACTCCGTCTCAAAAAAAAAAAAAAAAAAAAAAAAAAAAATCAGAAAAACAAATACCTCTAGCACCTTTCTAGCTGACTTCTGATTAAAATACATTAGAATGTAAGCTTCATGAGGGCAAAACACTGCAAGATAGTGAGGCAGCATTTGCTGTCTTCCCATTTAAGAACATTTTCCAAATATGTGGCAGTAATGATTTTTGAAAAATACAATTCTCCAAGAACTAAGAAACCGAATTCCATACTCACTTCAATATTCTATCTCTTCTTTCTTTCCCTTTAACCATTCAATTTTATGACAAAGCAAAATGCACCTACCTGACCAACACTGGTAAACTCCTAAATATGACAATTTTCAATCCAAGTAATTGCTAATTATAGTCTTAGGCCAGACATAAGCTGTCATAATGTCCAGTGCCCGGCACAGTGATAGACAATAAGCAGGCACTTGAACAGTTGATAAATGTTAACATAAAATATGCAGGGATATAAAGTGTATTTGCTACTGGCCTCCATATAGTAAACCGTACGTAATCTGATTTTGGTTGTTTTATTCCATCTTATATCCCCAATATTAAATGTTGCTTGGCATATGATAGACCCTCAATAAAATGTTGAAAGAACAAAAGATGCATTCACCTTTGTTGGGCATACCTGTAAATCCACTCTGACATGGAGTGGGAGGACAGCTGAAGAAGTGACATGATACCTACATACATAACATAGTACTATCTGAAGCAAAGGAGCATTAACTGAAAAAATAATGTAGTGGTAACTGCAATTTAGGTGGAGCCATAACGGTCAGTTCAAGAAATCCGCACATTTGTGAAAAATAATGCTCAACAATGGGATCTCAAAACAATTGAGAGCTCACCATGTTTGGTTTAGGTAATCATGAAAAATAAAAGTAAGCTGTCCTTATAATGAAACACTAATCATTAGAGAAGTGTTTATGTATATATTTTGATAATCCAAATATACTACTATAAATCTCTGAGTTATACTGAGGCTGATTCTTAAACTGATTTTAAGTGAAAGAAAAGAAAATTCTAGTTTACTCATACATACTGGAACTGAAATCTTACCAATACACTTTTGGAGTCTTTGAACTTTTTCACCATTTTTGCTTCTTTAAAACTGAGTGTATAGTTTCTCGCTTCTCGATTAAGAAGTTTCTGTATTTTGGGTGTCAACCTGGCTTTGGGTTTGAGACGCACTCGAGAGTTATCCAGAACCAACAGCTGGAAACAGTATGGACACGTTTCTTCAAAAGTGCTCTTATCATCTAAAATTATACAAATGAAACTCACAATTCAGCAAATCAGAATATTTTGTTACCTCAAACTGTCAACATTTATAAAAAGTATATTGAAATTTAATATAAGCAGATACACATTAAGTAAACTCAAAATATGAAAATTTACAAAAAGATAAATTGGCAGTAATTTACCTTGCAAAATACTACAATTCCATCCATTCACTCCTTTCAGCAACAGATAGGCAAATCTCCAACCTATGCTAGCAAATCCTGTAGGCTTTAAAATATATCCTAAATCTAGCCACTTCTCATTACTTGCTACTAAGTTTTAAAAGGCTGTTATGTTTCACCAATTTTACCAATGCATTTACCACAAAATAACAAATTGCACTGCGATTTTGTTTCTTTTTTTAAATAATTAGCACAATGAATAGTATCTACTGTTGAGCACTGTGCTAAGTGCCAGGGATGCAACAGCACTTATAAAGCTAAAGACCACACTTAAACTTAGCTCTGCCAAATGTGAAACTCATTCATATTCACTAAGTGACAATTAAGAATGCCAGGCACTGTTCTAAGTGCTGGAGACACAGCAGTGAACAAAGGACAATTCACCGAGGCATACAATAAATATAACAACGTCAAATGTTAAGTGCTGGGAATAAAAAAGTAAGATAGGAGGGGGGAATAGAAGTATTGATGGAGTTACTGTAATTTTAAATAGGTGGCTAGGGAAAGCTTCATTGAGTGATATTATAGAGACCAGAGGGAAATGGAGGATTCACATGAAAGCAGATATGTGAGGCAAGAATCCCAGGCAGAGTGAAGAGTACCTGCAAAGGCCCTGAAACAGAAAAGCAAGGAGACCTAGTGTGACTGGAGTTGCGTGAAGGAAAGAGTACGTCAGAGAGGTATGCAGGTCTATGACACAGGGCCTTACAATCCTTTTAAAGGACTTTCACTTTTATTAATCCAGGAGAGAGCTGGTGATGGCCTGGAGCAGGGTAGTAGCAATGGATGTGGTGAGGAGTGGAGTGCAATGGCGCCATCTCCGCTCACTGCAACCTCCACCTCCCGGGTTCAAGAGATTCTCATGCCTCACCCTCTCGAGTAGCTGGGATTACAGGCGTGCACCACCATGCCAGGTAATTTTTTTGTATTTTTAGTAGAGACAGCGTTTCGCCATGTTGGCCAGGTTGGTCTCGAACTCCTGGCCTCAAATGATCCGCCCGCCTCTGCATCTCAAAGTGCTGGGATTACAGGGGTGAGCCACCGCTCCTGGCTGATTTTGGCTACATTTTAAAGCCAACAGGATTTGCTCGCATACTGGCCTGGGGGAGGAGAGAGAGTTAGGGAGTCAAGAATAGCTCCAAGGTTTTTGGGCTCAATAACTGTAAGGGAAGAATGGAATTATTTACTGAAATGAGAAAAACTGGAGGATCTTGTTGGGGGTTAAAGCTCAGGTTTTGGACATATTAGCTAAGTTTGAATTACTAGACATTGAAAAGAATTTGTCAAGAAGACATTCGGATATATGAGTCTAGAATTCAGAGGAGAGGTCTGCGCTGAGTATATACATTTGTAAGTCCTCAGTATATGGTATTTAAAAGCCATGAGATTGGATGAAAAACTGTCACCAAGGAAGCGAGTGTGCCTAGAAAAGAGGTCCAAGGGCTGAGTACTGGGCCACGACAATACTTAAAGCTTGGGGAGATTAGGAGGAACCAGCAAAGCAAATCGAGAAGTAATAAATGAAGAGGTGAACTACGTAATGACCTAGAAGCCAAGGGAGGAAACTATTTCAAGACTGATCAATGTGTCAAATGCCGCTAACAAAGCAAGACAAGGCACATTAAAGAATTTGGATTTTTCACGAAACCGAGACACATGCGGGCTTTGTTGTTGTTGTTTTTATGGAGGGAAGTGAGTCCATCGGCCTTATTTGAGCGTTGTGCGGAACAGAGGAAAGCGGGGCGACAAGAGCCCAAAGCACAAGAGACAGGCGTTCTTCTTACCGTGCGACGAAGTGTAGGCCCAGCTGTAAAAGAGAAAGAGACTTGTGAGGAGCAAAGGAACACCTACCCGCTCGCCTCCCGCTTCCCCTCCAGTCCTCTTACAGGAGGTAGCGGGCTTGGCCCGGGCAGCTGTCGTGCAGTCCCCGCGCTGCAGCCTCAAGGTAGTGCTTCTGTCTCATCGCCGCCGCCGCTGCCGCTGGCTCGCCGCGGGAACCAGGTGAGAAAATAGGGCGCCGGAAGTCGGCTTCCCAGCGTCCCCGTCGTTGGTGTCCGGACTCAAGCTGCTTCCGGAAACAGGCACCGTAGGCAGACAGGTTCCGGTTTCCTTCGCGTCCAGTCTGGCTTGGAGGCGTGCCCAGCCGGGAGGCGGCCCCACCCGCCCGCCGCGTCCCCGCCCCCTCAGTTCCACCCCTTGGCCTGCCGGGTCCTCTCAGGCACCCAGCGGAGTTTCGAGTCAGACTTGAGCTCGGGCGTAGCGGCTAGACCGGGCTGTGGCGATAGAGTCCAAAGGTGAGGCTCCCACCCGCCTCTCCATCTTCCTCCCGCCTCGCCTCCTCTCTGACAGCCCTTTTGTGATTGCCCTGCCGCAGCTTCGCCCTCCACATTCGCCGGGCGCGGTACTGACTGGTGCGCCGGCGGGCGGAAGCGCTGCCAGCAACGAGGCGGCCGGGAGGAGCGTCCCCAGTCCAGCCTGCCCTCCGCCTGCGTAAACGCTAGCGTTTCTCTTTTTGTAATTAAAGTGAAATTCACATAACGTAATATTGACCATTTTAAGGTGAACAATTCAGTGGCGTTTAGTAAATTTACAATGTTGTGCAAGCACCATTCTGCTATTTCCAAAATATTTCGCCGAAGGACAGCCAACTCCATGAAGCACTTACGGCCAATCCTCCTCTCCCTCCCAGGCCTTGGCAACCACCAGTCCGCTTTCTGTCTCTATGGATTTACCTATTCTGGGCATTTCATGTAAATGGAATCATACACACGACCTTTTGTGTCTGGCTTCCTTCACCTAGCATAATGTATCAGGTTCATCCACCTTGCAGCACGTATCAGTACTTCATTCGTTGTTATGGCTGAATAATATTCCATTGTATGGCGGTATCACAATGGTTTATCCATTCATCAGTTGAACGTTTGAATTGTTTCTACTTTTTGGCTGTTATGAATGAATGCCGCTGTGAACATGTGTGTACATGCATTTGTTTGAGTGCCTTTTTTCTGTTCTTCGGGGTATAATACCTAAGAGTAGATCTGCTGGGTTATGTAGTAATTCTGTGCTTAATGAGGGTTCCAGTTTCTCCGTATCCTCACCAACATTTGCTTTTCTTTTTCTTTTTTTTTTAAATCTAGCCTTCCTAGTGAGTATGATGTAGCATCTCATTGTGGTTTTGATTAACATTTCCCTGACTACTGATGCTTTTGAGCAGCTTTTCATGTGCTTGTTGGCAATTTATGTATCTTTGGCTGTTTAAGTTCTTTGCTCATTTTTTATTGGAGTTGTCTTTTTGTTGATAAGTTGTAAGGTTCTTTTAATGTGTATGTTCTGGATAGTGGACCCTTATTTAGCCTGCTTTATTTATTTATCTGAGATGGGATCTCACTCTGTTGCTCAGGCTGGAGTGCAGTCGTGTGATCACAGTTCACTGCATTCTTGAATTCCTGGGCTGGGTTAAAGGGTTCTCTTGCCTCAGCCTCCCTAGTAGCTGGGAACCAGGCACACTACCATGCGTAGGTATTGTTGTTGTTGTTGTTGTTGTTGTTATTATTATTATTATTTTGGTAGAGATGGGCGTCTCACTATATTGCCCAGGCTGGTCTTGAACTCCTGGGCTCAAGTGATCCTCCCACCTCAGCCTCCCATAGTGTTAGGATCACAGGTATGAGACACTATGCCCAGCCCATTTTTAATTTTAAAAGGGAGCTAAATTGGCTAGGCGCAGTGGCTCACGCCTGTAATTCCAGCACTTGGGGAGGGCAAAGCGGGTGGATTGCCTGATCTCAGGAGTCGGCGACCAGCCTGGGCAACACGGTGAAACCCTGTCTCTACTAAAATACAAAAATTTAGCCAGGTGTGGCGGCATGCGCCTGTAGTTCCAGCTACTTGGGAGGCTGAGGCACAGGAATCGCTTGAACCCAGGAGGCGGAGGTTGCAGTGAACCGAGATCACAGCCACTGCACTCCAGCCTGGGCGACAGAGCGAGACTCCGTCTAAAAAAAAAAAAAAAAAAAAAAAAGGCGGGAGGCGGGGGGCTAAATTATATAAAGATTTGTAAAGAGAAAGTATATATTTACATCTCTATAGGCATTTTAACTTTTTCCGAAGAAAAGTTATTTTCCCTGCTCTTCCCACCTTTCCATCCCACTTCTCTGAGGCGATCAACATGAATAATTGGGTGTCTCCTCTACCTATGTCCTTATACACTTAAGTACGTGTATAAATATGCTACCCCCCACCACTTACCACGACCACAACAAAAAGAAACAAACCAAACACACACACAAAACCAAAACCAAAAGTAAAATGTTAGTTCCTTACTGTATAACTTGTCTTTTTTCCTTAACAGCAGGCCACAGACATCTTTTCAAGTTAGTACATGCTTTTAAATAGCTGAACATATTACAAAATGTAATGAAACATAATTTAATTTATTTAATAAATAACCATATTTTATTTTCCTATTGATGTTCATTTGGAAAAAAATTCGTGCTTTGCTAGTTAATACAGTACTGGTGGTTTTATTTCTTTTGTCTGAATTCCTAAAAGATAAATTACTGGGTAGAATAATATGCACATTTTTTATATGCCAGATCATCCAGAAAAGGTTGTAGCAATTCATATTCCCAGCATCAATGACTAAGAAGGCTG
This sequence comes from Homo sapiens, assembly GCF_000001405.40. NCBI lineage: Eukaryota > Metazoa > Chordata > Mammalia > Primates > Hominidae > Homo > Homo sapiens. The sequence continues at coordinate 35,970,038 of NC_000018.10, read as the reverse complement.
GGTCAAATTAGATAGGTGAAAGGCAAATCCTCTTTTCATTTATCCCTTGATGGTTTGCATTTTCTCTTATGAAGAGAAATCTCTTGTTGGATTATCAGTTTTTAGAAGATCTTTTATTTTGGTGAAATTCACTTTCTGCTTGTCATATGTGATGCAATATTTTCTTCTTCCTTATCTTTGGCATAATTTATAACTTTTTAACATTACAAAATTTTGTATGTGATCAAACAAGTCACTCTTTTCATTATTGGATCTGGGTTTTCTGTGTGGTCTAAAAAGTCCTGCTTTGTCAAAGTTAGGCAACTAACTATTCAATTAGATTTTTTTGTTTGTTTGTTTGAGACAGAGTCTCACTCTGTTGCCAGGCTGGAGTGCAGTGGTGCGATCTTGGTTCCCTGCAACCTCCGACTCCCTGGTTCAAGCGATTCTCCTGCCTCAGCCTCCCGAGTAGCTGGGATAACAGGCATGCACCACCATGCCTAGCTAATTTTTGTATTTTTAGTAGAGACAGGGTTTCATCATGTTGGCTGGGATGGTCTCTATCTCCTGACCACATGATCCACCTGCCTTGGCCTCCCAAAGTGCTGGGATTATAGGTGTGAGCCACTGCACCTGGCTAATCAGATGTTTTTCTCATACTTTTCTAGTATGATTTCTTCCATGCACATATTTAATTGATATGAAATGTATTTTCACTTAAATGTAAGAGCATCTGACATTTTTTCAAAATGGATAGTAAGTTATACAAAAGCCCCATGCTAGGTAAACTAGTCTTTTTCCATTTGAATTGAAATAAAAATAATATGCAATGAGCACTGTATATGTGCCAGGCACTTTTCTAAGCATCTTAACGTGTATTAATTTATTTAATCCTCACAACACCACCATGGCATAGGAGAAATGCCACTACACCATATAGAAGTTCTGTTTTGTTTTGTTTTTTACATAGTTGTATCTGTTTCTAGGTCACTAATAAAGCAGAAAGAGGGAAAATGTGAAAATGAAATCCAATATGTGTGCATGTGCTGAGACCCCAGTGGCGCTAGAGGAATTAAAGACACACGCACAGAAATATAGAGGTGTGAAGTGGGAAATCAGGGGTCTCACAGCCTTCAGAGCTGAGAGCCCTGAACAGAGATTTACCCACATATTTATTAACAGCAAACCAGTCATTAGCATTGTTTCTATAGATATTAAATTAACTAAAAGTCCCCTATGGGAAAGGAAGGGATGGGCTGAATTAATTGCAGCAGGAACATGCCCTTAAGACACAGATCGCTCATGCTTTTGTTTGTGTCTTAAGAATTCCTTTAAGCGGTTTTCCGCCCTGGGCGGGCCAGGTGTTGCTTGCCCTCATTCCTGTAAACCCACAACCTTCCAGCTTGGGCGTTGGGGCCATTATGGACATGTTACAGTGCTGCTTCTTCCTTCCCACGGCTTGCAGCTGGTCTGTCCTCAGGTCCTGCTGGCTCTTCATCAGAAGTAAATCATGACTGCCCGCTTCTCTGCACCACCACAGCCACCCTCTTCTCTTGCCTGCACCCCTGCTATGGCCCTCTGCATTCGTTTCCTGCTTCCTCTTTTATCTCTCCCAGTCCAATTGAAACTGCCTTTGCAAAAATTAACAGTGAAATGATTAGCGTGAAAGAGATCTGACCTAACCAACTCCATCTTGCTTCTAACCTCTAAGCTGTCCTTGTTCATTCCCAGGAATTGGCTGAACTAATTTTGGGAGGAACTTAGTTTATAGTTTAACTTTGTAACAGCCCTTTATAGTTTGACTTTGAAATAAAGATGATATCAGCTCTTTCCCAAAACAAAACCCGTTCTTGCCTGGGGACCAGGCTGCCTTTGTAGGACTAACAAATTAGCTACAAGATTAGAAATTATGGTTTAGGAGCCATGCAGCTGGAGGCTGCAAGATTCTGATCCTCCTCAAATTGCTCCTGGGGATAATAACATCACTGTTGTAAAATCTAAGATCAGTGCTTCGTAATCTGGCTCAACCAGTTCTGTGATCCTCCACTGGAACAGAAGACAGCAAGAAAAACCCACTTTAACCCCCTATGATTTTTTTTTTTTTAAGCTCTGTTGTCCAGGCTAGAGTGCAGTGGCGTGATCTCTGCTCACTGCAACCTCCGCCTCCCAGGTTCAAGTGATTCTCCTGCCTCAGCCTCCCGAGTAGTTGGGACTACAGGCATGCACCACCATGCCCGGCTAATTTTTTAAAATTTTTGGTAGAGACGGGGTTTTGCTATGTTGGTCAGGCTGGTCTCGAACTCCTGATCTTAAATGATCTGCCCCCCTTGACCTCCCAAAGTGCTGGGATTACAGTTGTGAGCTACTGTGCCTGGCCATTAGGCCCCTGTGATTTCATCTTTGACCCAACCAAACAGCTTTCCCCACTTCCTAACCGCCTACCCACCAAATTATCCTTAAAAATCCCAATTCTTGCATTTTGGGGGATACTGACTTGAGTAATAATAAAACTCCAGCCAGCTCTGTGTGAATTAAACACTTTCTCTATTACAATTCCCCTGTCTTGATAAATTGGCTGTGTTTAGGCACAGGCAAGGAGAACCCGTTGAGCAGTTACACATTTTCCACATGGCAGACAGTGTGGCCTTCTTAAAATGTCAGTCATTGGCCAGGTGTGGTCACTCACAACTGTAAGCCCAGCACTTTGGGAGGGCAAGGTGGGTGGATCACTTGAGCCCAGGAGTTCGACACCAGCTTGAGCAACATAGGGAGACCCCGTCTCTACAAAAAATACAAAAGTTCGTTGGTCGTGGTGGCCCGCACATGTAAGTCCCAGCTATTCAAGAGGCTGAGTTGGGAGGATCACTTGATCCTGAAACACAGAGGTTGCAGTGAACCGAGATTGCTCCACTGCACTCCAGCCTGGGCAATAGAGTGAGACCCTGTCTCTATAAAAAATAATAAAATGTTAATTACTTTTTGAACATGGAATGTTCCTGCTCGGAGCCTCTCAGGGCTCCTTATTGCGCTTGGAACACCAGTGCCTCACCATGCTCTCCAGAGCCCTGTCTGGGCAGGTTGCTGTCCCCACCTCAGACTCACTTTGTCTCACCTGGCCACCGTCTCACTGCTCTTGCCACATTGGTCTTCTGTCTCCCAAACATGCCCTGCTCAGACCCACCCCAGTGCTCTTGCTGCTCTTTGCTTTGAATGAGGGTCCTTCCCATGGCTGCGTTTCCTCATCATTCCAAGGCGAGGCCTTCGTTGACTACTCCAATAAATAATTCCTCCCTGACCCCACCCAACAAGTCATTCTTTGTCCTTACTGGCTTGTATTGTTGTCACAGTAAACTTATATCTGAGATTACGTTATTTACTCATTGTTTACCTGTTCCCCTCCAGAATGAACCCCTGGCAGCTGGACTGTGTCTGTCCTGTTTGCTGTTCCATATGTGATTCCTAGCCCAGGGCCTGGACTCTATAAGGATTTGCTGAATGCATGAGTTCTTACAATGAGAGAGAGGCCCTGGGAGGCAGGCACTGTTGTCATCCCCACTTCACATGCACAGAGACTGAGGCTCAGAGAGATGGAGTCACTAGGCCAAAGCCATGCAGGTGGTGTGGGACCTGATCCAGCTCCCTCTGGCTCAGAACCCCATGCTCTTCCTACTGGTCCTCTCCTTGCCTCGTTTACCTGCTATAGACTTTCCAGCACTTCACAAGCCCTCAAGGGAAGGATGTGTTTCTGAGTCCCGGTTTCCCCAACACATTAATTTTCTCTGCATTATTTCCCTGTTCTAAAACTGGCACTAGGCGTCCATGTAAACTCCTCTGCCTAAAATATCAAGCTTTCCTGTAATTTCTTTTTAGCACCACTTCTCCTTTCTCTAGAAACCCTGTGCTTTATCTATTCCCTACCCAGGAATTATTATTTTTTTGGTTCAACAGGAAGGCAGGATGACTTCAAAGATCTGCTAGTGCACCTGGATTCTGGTTTTCTTACTATTCAGCTTCATGACCTTGAACAAACTTTACTCAGCTTGGCTGTGCCTCAGTTTAGTCATCTGGAAAGGAAGGGGATAGGACTATAACTAAATATAATTCTAGATCATTTTAAGTATCATCTGTGCACTCACGCAATATGTGCATGGAACGTGGAGGCGAGAGTACAAAAGGCATGGTGCTTGCCTATCGACATGAGGCCCCTACAACCCAGGGAAGGCCCGGTGGTCCAGGATCCAGTGCTGCTCCCCATGTGCCCATCTCACATGCTGCTCGGCACCAGCAGCCATCACCACTCCACTTCTCTCAAGAGGTAAGAAGAAGTTCTTAGAATCATTAAGACAAATTGATGCATATTTGACAAGCTAATTTTGATTTAAAAATAACTTATACCAGAGGGTCTGTTTATTTTCATTTATTTCCTTCAGAGACAGAGTCTCACTATGTTGCCCAGGCTGGTCTCAAACTGCTGGGCTCAAGTGATACTCCCTAGTAGGTGGGACTACAGGAGAGTGCACCATGCCTGGCTCCCAGTTGAGAGTCTCTTTAGAAGAATGGATTGTTGGCCGGGCGCAGTGGTGCATGCCTGTAATCCTAGCACTTTGGGAGGCCAAGGCAGGTGGATCACTTGAAGCCAGGAGTTTGAGACCAGCCTGGCCAACATGGAGAAAGCCTGTCTCTACAAAAAATACAAAAATTAGCTGGACTTGATGGGGTGCACCTGTAGTCTCAGCTACTCAGGAGGCTGAGGCAGAGAATCACTTGAACCTGGGAGGTGGAGGTTGCAGTGAGCCGAGATCATGCCACTGCACTCCAGTCTGGGCAACAGAGCAAGACTCCATCTCAAAAAAAAAAAAGAAGAAGAGGAAGAGGAGGAGGAGGAGGAAGAGGAAGAAGAAGAAGAAGAAGGAGAAGGAGAAAAAAGAAGGGAAGAAGAAAACAAAGAAGAAGGAGGAGGAGGAGGAGGAGGGAGCGTTAAACACATAAGCATGAGCATGTCAGTAATTCTGAAACAGTTGGGAATTCCTGTCACAAATATTGATGATGAAGGGGAAGAAAGAAAAGCCTGGGGAGATGTAGAAATGAACTATTCATCAATGATTTTATGATTTGGAGAAACATCAGTACTTTCTTGAGTGTCTACTCCAGCATCTGAAAGTCATCACAGCTTTTGCTCTATGTGGATGAATTTTGTCATCACACTGACTTAAATTCATCTTTGTCTGGTGTGCATGTTAGGAACTCTTTCAGTTCCACATAACTTTCACCAACTTGAGTTGGCCAAAGTCAGTCAAAAGACAACACTGCCGCTCTGTGGGTCAGGCCCGAATCCAGGCCCTAGAGCAGGCATTGTCCAGCTGAGTATAGTGGATTTTGGGTGAGAGGCAGAGGAAGCACTTGGAGTCCTGAGCAGAGCCAGGGATGAGGAAGGCCACCCCTGTGCCAGTACAGACTCAGAAGTGGGGATCAGTGCCCAGACACTTGCTCTACAGCCACCAGCCTTGTAGACTTGCTCTACTGTTGGCTGCCTGTTTTGGCTTCTGAAAGGTTTTTCTTTGTGAGATGTATACTTATGAATCATGCACTGCCTGTAGTAGTTAGGAGTTTAGTTTTCAATTTCATTCATTTTGCTCCTTAAAAATATCTTTTCATCATGGAAAATTTCAGAGGTACAAAAGTAGTAAAAACAGTGGAATGAATCCATCACCCACCCTCCATAAGTAATAAATAAATGGCCAGTCTTGTTTTGTCTGTACCTCCATCTACTCTTCCACCCACCTTCTGCCCCACTGTCTGTCTGGTTTTTTTTTTGTTTTTTTTGTTTTTTGTTTTTGTTTTTTTGAAGCAAATATGTATAGAGGTTTTTTTTGTTTGTTTTGTTTTTTGTTTTGTTTTGTTTTGTTTTGTTTTTTGAGATGGAGTCTCGCACTGTCACCCAGGCTGGAGTGCAGTGGCGTGATCTCGGCTCACTGCCAGCTCTGCCTCCCGGGTTCACGCCATTCTCCTGCTACAGCCTCCCAAGTAGCTGGGACTACAGGCACCCGCCACCACGGCCGGCCAATTTTTTTTTTTTTTGTATTTTTAGGAGAGACTGGGGTTTCACCGTGTTAGCCAGGATGGTCTCGATCTCCTGACCTCGTGATCTGCCCACCTCGGCCTCCCAAAGGGCTGGGATTACAGGCGTGAGCCACCGTGCCCGGCCCCTGTATAGAGTTTTTAGGGTAAACAAACTGAATGAGTTGTAGAAACAAACTAGAATGCTGTTGGAAAAAGGCACAGCCAAATAAAGGGTTGCCAATTTCAAATGTCCTTGGTCATATCACCCATTCCCCTAAAGCCATTTCGGTTCTTCCCCATGCCCTTATCATCCTATATCTCACCCACTGCTTCACAGAAAAACTAGAGTCCATCACAGGTATGTCATTTAGGAAGGGTCAGCAAACTACCAGAAGGGGCTCCAATCAGAGATCCGAGAAGTGGCCAGGCACGGTGGTTCACGCCTGTAATCCCAGCACTTTGGGAGGCCGAGGCAGGTGGATCAGCTGAGGTCAGGAGTTTGAGACCAGCCTGACCAACATGGAGAAACCCCATCTCTACTAAAAATTCAAAATTAGCTGGGCATGGTGGCACATGCCTATAATCCAAGCTACTCAGTAAGGCTGAGGCAGGAGAATCGCTTGAACTTGGGAGGCGGAGGTTGCGGTGAGCCAAGATCAGGCCATTGCACTCCAGCCCGGGCAACGAAAGCAAAACTCCATTTAAAAAAAAAAAAAAGAAAGAAGGAGAGAAGAGAGAGAGAGAGATAAAGAGAGAGAGATAAAGAAGAGAGAAAGAGAGAGAGAAAGAAAGGAGAAAAAGAAAAGAAAGAAAGAGAAAGGAAGGAAGGAAAGAAAGAATTCCGAGAAGTCTGTGGAGGGGGCAATCGAGACCTGGGCTGAGGGAGGTCACCAGAGACATAGGCTCCTTCAGTCTTCCTGCTCCAACATCCTTAGCATGTGGTCCCATCCTTGTGGTTGCAAGATGGCTGCTGAACCTCCAGGCATGGCATCTTTCTTCCAGGTGGAAATAAGGAAGTCCAGAAGCCTTTGCTCTTTTTCCTTTTTTCTTTTTTTTTTTTTTAGGAAGGGAAGCCTCTGATTCTTTCCCCAAATCTGAGTCACATGGCTACCTATAGCAGCAAGGGGTTCCTTGAAGGGGAGGATTTTTGCTTTTTAAGCCCCTGTTGCCTTGGTGCCTCTGTTTCTCCCTCCTGTGTCTCCATCCATGTACTGCAGTTTTGCTTCTTGCCCTGCACCTGTGTCAGCAGATGGAATAGATCTCATCCTCTATCTTACTTGGCCCTGGCAATATCAGCCATCCGTCCATCAGTTTCTGCTTGTATCTCCCTGTGCCTCTCCATCTCTGTGCTCCTGGTAATCTCTGTACAAATCCCCATCTGGTCTCTAAGTCATCATTTACATGTCTCTGCCTTTCTATGTAACTTTTTGTTTATTTTGGTTTCTTTGTCTCCTCCCTTTCTCTTTCTTTTCCCCTGCTGCCCTTTAGACTCTACTGTTAATAACTGACTGTCATACTAACCTATCTCAAAAGAAGAGGCAAGCGGGCATGCATGTGCCTCCTGATGGAAGAACACACTACCAACCATGAAGTAGTCTTGCCATTAAAATCAAACCTAAACCTGATCAAGCCTCTGAATCTAACTACCAAATGACAAAAAATGCAGAGGACAGAGGAACCTGTTAAATCAGTGGTCCCCAACATTTTTGGCACCAGGGACTGGTTTTATGGAAGACAGTTTTTCCACAGATGGGGGGCAAGGGGGTGGGTGGGAGGGGATGGTTTCAGGATGAAATTGTTCCATCTCAGATCATCAGGCATTAGATTCTCATAAGCAGCACGCAACCTAGATCCCTTGCATGTGCAGTTCACAATAGGGTTCGTGGTTTTACAAGAATCTAATGCCATGCTGATCTGACAGGAGGCAGAGCTCAGGTGATAATACTCGCCCGCTGCTCACCTCCTGCTTTGCAGCCCCTTTCCTAACAGGGCACTGACTGGTCCTGGTCAGTGGCCTGGGGATTGGGGACCCCTATGTTAAACCACACCAAAGGGATACAGTTTAGGAAAATCCAGACTGTGTGAAACTCCACATAAAAATAACTGCTTTTCTTCAACAAATAAATTGCAAAGCTTATTCTTGAAAAAAATATACAAGAATGGATAAGTACTCTCACCACAAAATGTTAACTATGTGAGGTGATGCATATGTTAATTAGCTAGATTTAGTCATTCTTCAATGTTACAATGTATATATACTTCAACGTGTGTATATATGTATATATATATATATCATGTGAATGATAAATACATATAATTTTATCTGTCAATTTAAGAAATAAATAAACATCCCTAAAAAATTGTAAAGCCAAAGAGAGAGAGAGAAACAATAAAAAGGGCTTAAAAGATCTATGACCACCCAGGCATGGTGGCTCATGCTTGTAATCTTAGCACTTTGGGAGGCTGAGGCAGGAAGATCGCTTGAGTCCAGGAGTGTGAGACCAGTTTCAGCAATATATTGAGACCCCATGTCTACAAAAAAAAAAAAAAAAAAAAAATTAGCCAGGTGTGGTGGCATGCACCTGTAGTCCCAGCTACTTGGGAGGCTGAAGTGGGAAGATTGCTTGAGCCAGGGAAGTTGAGGCTGTACTCAGCTGTGATTGCACCACTGTGCTTCAGCCTGGATGACAGAGCAAGACCCTGTTTCAAACAACAACAATAGCCCTAAAACACATAAAACATCTATCACCCATTTGCAATGTGTGGACCTTACTTGGATTCTGATTTAGACAAACTATAAAAACCATCATTTATGCTATTTATGAGACTGATGGGTAGTTGATAATACTAAGGAACCATTTTTAACTTTTTAGAGTTATCATGGTGTTTTGGCTATTTTTTATTTTATTTTATTTTATTTGTGTATTTACTTATTTTTTAGAGACATTGTCTTGCTCTGTTTCCCAGGCTGGAATCCAGCAGAATAATCATAATTCACTGCAGCCTGCAATTTCTGGGTTCAAGCAATCCCCCTGCCTCAGCCTCCCAAGTAGCTTGGACCACAGGAATGCTGCCACACCTGGCTAATTTTTAAATTTTTGTGTAGAGACAGGGTCTCGCTATGTTGCATTGGCTGGTCTCAAAGGCCTGGCCATAAGCAATCCTCTGGTCTTAGCCTCCCAAAGTGCTGGGATTATAGGCATGAGCCACCATGCCCAGCCTACGGTTATTTTTTGAAACTTGTATTTTAAAGATGTACACTGAATGTTTACAGTTGAAATAAGTTTCTGGGATGTGCTGCAAAATCATTTTGGAAGGAAAGAAAGCTGAGGGGATGAAAATAAAACTAGACTGGTATGAATTGACAATTGTTGGCAGTGAATTTGTTATATTTATTCATGTTTTATTTTAAAAACTTTATTCTGGAAAATTTCAAACATATACAAAACAAACACAATGTTATGATAAACCCTCATATATCCAACTGCCAACTTCAATAACTATCAGCATCTTGGCATTGGTTTCATCTGTACCTCTCCCTACTCCCCATTCAATTATTATAATTATTTTAGAAAGTTTTAGGTAAAATGTACCTATATTGAAATGTACATATCTTAACCGTACAAATTAAAAAATGAAAACACCCCTGTAAAGATATAGAATATTTCCATCACCCCAGAAGATAAACCACATTCTATCAAGATTTCTTTCACCTTGGAAGTTTCGCTAATATTCTTTCCTTTTGAACATCCCTTGAAGAAGCCACCACTGCCCCCTCTCTCTTTATCTCTTAACATATATTAGTTTTATCTTTCTAGAACTTCAAAAGTGGAGTAATATAGTACATACTCTTTCACATAGATTAGTTACAACTTTCTAGAACTTTACACTAATGGAAGAAAATAGTATGTACATCTTTTACCGTGAGTTTCATCCATCTTGTGTGCATCAGTAGTTTGTTCCTTTTTATTGCTGAGTAGTATTCCATTTTGTAAACATACCACATGCTGTTTATTCATTAACCTGTTGATGGACATTGGACTGTTTCCAGTTTTTGGCTATTATAAATAAAGCTGTGATAAACATTCTTATACAAGTCTTTTTGTAACCTATTTTTTCTTGGTTAAGTAACTAGGAATGGAATTTCTTAGTCAGAGGGTAGTAGCATGTTTATCTTCATTAGAAATGGCTAAATGGTTTTTCACAGAATTTGAACCATTTTGCATTCCCATCAAGAATGTATAAGAGTTCCAGTTGCTCCAAATCCTTCCCAACATTTGGTGTTGTCTGTCTTAACTTTTTTTTGTTTTTTGTTTTTTGAGACAGGGTCTCACTCAGTCATGCAGGCTGGAGTGCAGTGGGGTGATCTTGGCTCACTGCAACCTCTGCCTCCCAGGCTCAAGCTATCCTCCCACTTCAGCCTCCTGAGTAGCTGGGACTGTAGGCATGCACCACCACGCACAGCTAAATTGTCATTCTTAAATTTTAACCATTTTAGTAAGTATGGAGTAACATGTCATTGTGATTTCAATACTCATTCACCTGATAACCAATGATATTGGGCAATTTTCATGTGTTTATTGGCCATTTGTTTGACTTCTCTGTGAAGTCTTCATTCTTTTGTACATTTTTAAAAAATTGTGTTGCTTTTATGATCTAATTGTAAGTGTTCATTTTATATTCTTCATAAAAGTCTGTAGTTTGACTATCCATTTTCTTAATGGTGTCTTTTGATGAGGAGAAGTTTTTGTTTTGATGAAATCTAACTTATTACTTTTTTCTCTTATGGTTATTACTTGTCTATCCCCAGATCACAAAATATTCTCCTAGGTTTTCTTCTAAAAGCTTGAGTGTTTAAGTGTTTATATTTAGATTTATGAGCCATCTCAAATTAATTTTTGTATGGTATGAGTTATGGGAGCCCAGAACCATTATTTAAAAACCTACTTTTCCCTGTTAAATTTCTCTAGCACCTTTGTCAATAATCAACTGACCATTTAACTGCAAATTTATTTCTGGATATCCTATTCTGTTGTCTTGATCTATTTGCCTATCCTTATGTATACACCACAATGTCTTTTTTTTTTTTTTTTTGAGACAGAGTCTCACTCTGTCGCCCAGGCTGGAGTGCAGTGGTGCGATCTCTGCTCACTGCAAGCTCTGCCTCCCAGGTTCACGCCATTCTCCTGCCTCAGTCTCCCAAGTAGCTGGGACTACAGGTGCCTGCCACTGCGCCCGGCTAATTTTTTGTATTTTTAGTAGAGATGGGGTTTCACCGTGGTCTCGATCTCCTAACCGCGTGATCTGCCCGCCTCGGTCTCCCAAAGTGCCGGGATTACAGGCGTGAGCCACTACAATGTCTTAATTACTATAACTTCGTGGTAAACCTTGAAGTCAGGTAATATAAGTTCCCAGCTGACTTTATTCTACTTTTTCAAGATTGTTTTAGATATTCTAGATCTTTTGCACATCCATATGTATTTTAGAATCATCTTGTCAATTTCTAAGAAAAACCTATCGACATTGAGTTGAAACTGTAGATCAGTATGGGGAGGCATCTTAACAATATTGAATCTTTCAATCTATGAAAACGATATATTTCCATTTATTTAGGTTTTGTTTAACTTATCTCAATGATATTTTGTTATTTTCAATGTACAGGGCTTGCATATCTTTTATTGAATGTATTCAAACTTTTTCTTATGTTTTTGATGGTATGATAAATGAGATTATTTTTTAAATTCCATTTTTCCAGTTTTTTCTTTCTTTTTTTGTAGATATGTCTTAGAAGTCAACACTTTTCCAGTGTTTTCTACTAGTATATAGACATACTATTGATTTTTGTACATTGAGTTAGTTAAACTGATGTATTAGTTGGTAGGAGGAACCTAGTTTAACTGCTGTATTTGATCTAGAAGGTTTTTGTTGTTGATTCTTTAGGATTTTCTATGCCAATGATCATACCATTTTCAAATAGGAATGTATTTATTGCTTCTTTTTCAACTCCTTCCTTCCTTCCTTTCTCTCTCTCTTTCTCTCTCTCTCTTCCTCCCTCCCTCTCTCTCTTTCTTCCGTTCTTTCTTTCTCTCTTTCTTTTTTTTCTTTTTCCCTCCCTCCTTTCTCTCTTTCTTTCTCTTTTTTTCTTTCTTTCTTTCTTTCTTTCTTTCTTTCTTTCTTTCTTTCTTTCTTTCTCTTTCTTTCTTTCTTCCCTCCCTCCCTTCCTTCCTTTTTCTTTTTCCCTCCCTCCCTTCCTTTGTTCTTTTCCTGCCTTCCTGCCTTCCTGCTTCTTTCTTTTTTTTTCTTTCCTTCTTTCTTTCTTTCTTTCTTTCTTTCTTTCTTTCTTTCTTTCTCTCTTTCTTTCTTTCTTCCCTCCCTCCCTTCCTTCCTTTTTCTTTTTCCCTCCCTCCCTTCCTTTGTTCTTTTCCTGCCTTCCTGCCTTCCTGCTTCTTTCTTTTTTTTTTTTCTTTCTTTCTTTCTTTCTTTCTTTCTTTCTTTCTTTCTTTCTTTCTTTCTTTCTCTTTCTTTCTTTTTCTTTTTCCTTATTGAACTATCCAGGATGTCCAGTACAGTAGAAGCTGTAAGAATAGAGAACTTTGCCTTCTTTCCAATATTAGGGGAAAATGTTTAGCAATCAGTAGGAATTATCAGTTGTAGTTTTTTCTTTGTAGGTGCCTGCAATTAAATTAAACAAGTTGTCTTTTTTTCCTAGTTTGCTGAGAGTGAAAAACATTTTTTCATCATTAATGGGTATTGAATTTTGTCCAATGCCTTTTCTGTATCAATTGATATATTATTTTTTCCCTTTATTACGTTAATATAATGGGCTACAGATGTTGGAATTATCTGACAAAGACTTAAAGCAGGTATTATACAAATGTTCCAAGAGGCAGTCATGCACATTCTTGACATGAGTGGAAAGATAGAAAGCATCAGCAAAGAAACAGAAGATATAAAAGAGAAATAAAAGGACATTTCAGACCAGAAAAATGAAATAACTGAAGTAAAAAACTTGTTGGATGGACTTAAGAGTGGAATAGAGATGACTGAGGAGTTGGCAAACTTGAGACAGGATCAATAGAAATCATCCAGTCTGAACAACAAAGAGAATAAAGTGAAAAACAATGAACATACTTTTAGGGACCTGTACGAAAATATCAAAAGGTGAATATTCATGCCATCGGAGTAACAGAAATGGAGGAGAAAGATTGTTTGTTCTCAAAAAATATTTGGAGAGGCTGGGTGCAGTGGTTCATGCCTGTAATCCCAGCATTTTGGGAGGCCAAGGTGAGTGGTCACCTGAGTTCAGGAGTTCAAGACAAGCCTGGCCAAAATGGTGAAACCCCATCTCTACTAAAAATACAAAATTATCCTGGTGTGGTAGTGCATGCCTGTAGTCCCAGCTACTTGGGAGGGTGACGCAGAATTGCTTGAACCTAGGAGGTGGAGTTTGCAGTGAGCCAAGATTGCACCAGTGCACTCCAGCCTGGGCAACAGAGCAAGACTCCATCTCAAAATAATAATATAATAATAATAATTTCCAGAGTTTGGTGAAAGACATAAACCTACAGATTCAAGAACCTTAGCGAGCCCCAAAAGGATAAACAAAAGAAATTTGTGCCCAGAAACATCATAATCCAATTACTAGAAACTACAGACAAAGAACAATTTTGAAGGCAGCCCGAGGAAGCCTATGCATTACCTGTAAGGGGGATGAAGATTTAAATGACTGTGTTTGTTATCAGAAACCATGGAGGCAAGAAAGAAGTGACACATTTTTAAAGTGCTAAAAGAAAAGAACTGTCAATGCAGAATTCTATGTCCAGTGAAAATATATTTTGTGAATGAAGATGACATGGAGACATTCTCAGATAAAAGAAAATTATTTTTGGTGAATGTGTCATGTGCAGTTAGTTGCCAGTAAACCTGTTCAATTAATAAAGGAAGTTTTTCAGATAGAAAGGAAATGATACCAGAAAGAAACTTGGAATATCAGGAATGAAGGAAGAGTAACAGATGATAAAATTCTGGTAATATAATAACTATTCTTCTCCTGAGATGTTTAAAGTATATTTGACAGTTGAAAGCACAAATTATAGCATTACCTTATAAGATTTTAATGCATATAGATGTAATATGTAGATACCATAACATAAAAGGGGAGGGTGAATGAGTTAACATAGTGGTAAGATTTCCACCTTCCAGTTGGAGTGGTAAAATATTGATTCCAGATAGATTGTGACACTGTTCTGTATACTGTAATCCCTAGAGAAGGCATTTAAAAACCTATACCAAGAGATATAGTCAAAATCACAGTAGAAAATTAAAATGAAATTAAATAAAATTAAATAAATTATATATGTATAATTTATAAATAATAAAATAAAATGAAAATGAAAATGAAATACTAAAAAATGCTCACTTAACTAAAAACAATGCTGGAAAGGGAAAATTAGGGATAAAAAGCAAAAGGAACAGACAGGAAACAAATAATAACATGATATACCTAATTCCTGTTATTGGTAAATTTTGTTTTGTATCTTTTCTTCTTGATTAGTCTTGTGTGAAACTTCAATTTTATTAATCTTTTAAAAGACTTGCTTTTTGCTTTGTTAATTTTCTCTATTGTTTTTCTATTTTCAATTTTATCAATTTCTACATGGATCTTTATTCTTTCTTTCCTTCTACTTACTTTGTGTTTAGTTTGCTCTGCTTTTCCTGGGCTCTTAAAGTGGAATTTGGCTCATTGATTTTAAGACTCTCTCCCTTTCTAATATAATTTTTAAAGCTGCACATTGACCTCTAAACACTGGTATAGTTGCAGCACCTAAACTTTAGTCTGCTACTTTTTATTATCATTCAGTTTGAAATATTTTCTAACCCAGATATCTTATTTGACCCATATATTACTTAGAAGTGTGTAGTTTAATTTCTAAATATCTGTGGCTTTTCTAGATATATTTATTGATCTCTATTTTAATTCCTTTATGGTTAAAGAACATACACTGTAAGATTTCAATCTTTTGAAGTATACTGAGAGATATTTTATGGCCAATTTTGGTCTCTTTTAGTGAACGTACCATGTGCAATTGGAAAGAATGTATATTCTGCTATCATTGGGTATAGTGTTCTATAAATGTCAATTATGTTTAGATGGCCTATAGTAGAGTTTAGCAAACTCTTCCCATGAAGGGCCAGATAATAGACAGTTCAAGCTTTGTGAGCCATATGATCTCTTTTGCATCTCAATTCTGCAAAAGCTGCTATAAACAACCATAGACAATACATAAATGAATAGGGGTGGCTGTTTTCTAATTTTTTTTTTGAGACGGAGTCTTGCTGTCTTGCCCAGGCTGGAGTGCAGTGACACGATCTTGGCTCACTGCAACCTCCGCCTCCTGGGTTCAAGCAATTCTCCTGCCTCAGCCTCCTGAGTAGCTGGGATTACAGGTGCGTGCCACCACACCCAGCTAATTTTTGTATTTTTAGTAGAGACAGCATTTCACCATGTTGTTCAGGCTGGTCTCAAACTCCTGACCTCATGATCCACCTGCCTTGGCCTCCCAAAGTGCTGAGATTACAGGTGTGAGCCACCACGCCCAGCCTAAAATTTTATTTTTGAGATTTGTCTCATATACCATAATTCAACAATCCCTGATCTATAGTGCTTTTAAAAGATATTGTATATATTTACTGGGTTTTTTTTTTTGGTCTAGTTATTCTATCACTTTTCAAGAGCAGGGTATCAAAATCTTTCATTACGAGTATGGATTTGTTTATTTCTCTCTTTAGTTCTGCTAATTTTGCTTGTTATTTTTAAACTCTGATTTTAGTTGCATAAACATATAGTCACTTCAGATTTCTTTTATTATTAAAAACACATAACACTACTCACAAAGATTAAGAATAAAAAATTGTATTTTAAAAATACATAACATTAAATTTATTATACTAACCATTTTTAGCTGTATAGTTCAGTAGTGTTAAGTTTATTCACATTGTTGTCCAACAGTTCTCTAATACTTTTTCATCTTGCAAAAATGAAACTCAACACCTGTTAAACACTAATTCCTCCTCTCCTCCCCCCAGCCTTTGGCAACCACCTTTCTACTTTCTGTTTCTATGATTTTTGACCACTTTAGATACTTCAAATGAGTGGAATCATACAGTATTTGTCCTTTAGTGACTGGCTTATTTCACTTAGCATAATATTCTCAAGTTTCGTCCATAGTGTAGTGACAACAGGATTTTCTACTATTTTTTTTTTTTTTTGAGACAGAGTCTCACTCTATCACCCATGCTGGAGTGGAGTTGCGATTCTCCTGCCTCAGCCTCCCGAGTTGCTGGGACTACAGGTGCACGCCACCGCGCCCAGCTAATTTTTTTTTTGTATTTTTTGTGGAGATGAGGTTTCGCCGTGTTGACCAGGCTGCTCTCAAACTCCTGACCTCAGGCCATCCACCTGCCTTGGCCTCCCAAAGTGCTGGGATTACAGGCATGAGTCACCGTGCCCGGCTGGATTTTTTACTTTTTAAAGGCTACATAACATTCCACTGTATGTGTACCACATTTTCTTTAGCCATTGATCTGTTGATGGACATTTGGGTTGCTTCCACCTCTTGCATATTTTGAATAATGCTGCAATGGACAAATGGATATGTAAATATCACTTTGAGATCCTGCTTTGACGTTTTTTGGATACATACCCAGAAGTGGGGTTTGCTGGGTCATGTGGTAATTCTATTTTCAATTTTTGGAGAAACCTCTATACTGTTTTCCGTAATGGCTGCAGCATTTTACATTCCCACCAGCAGTGCACAAGGGTTCCAATTTTTCCACACCCTTGCCAACACTTGTTATTTTCTGTTCTTTTGATGATGGCGCTTCTTGTGGGTATGCAGTGATATCTCATTGTGATTTTGACTTGCATTTCTTTTATGATTAGTGATGTTGATTATCTTTTTGTATGCTTGTTGGCCACCTCAGGTTTCTTATTCTTTCTTTTTACACAGTGTATCCTTTTCTATTCTTTTACTTTCAACCTATTTATGTTTTTGCAGTTAAGAGTCATCTTTTGTGGATAATATACAACCAGGTCTTGTTTTTGGTTTGTTTTAAATCCAGTCTGACAATCTCTGTCTTTTTATTAGCATGTTTAGTGTATTTATGTTTAATATAGTCCTTTTATTTATTTATTTTGAAGACAGAGTCTTGCTCTATCCCCCAGGTGGGAGTGCAGTGGCATGATCTTGGCTCACTGCAACCTCCCCCTCCTGGGTTCAAGTGGTTCTCCTGCCTCAGCCTCTCGAGCATCTGGGATTACAGGTGTGTGCCACCACGCCCGGCTACTTTTTGTATTTTTAGTGGAGATGATGTTTCACCATGTTGGCCAGGCTGGTCTCGAACTCCTGGCCTCAAGTGATCCACGTGCCTTGGCCTCCCAAAGTGTTAGGATTACAGGCATGAGCCACTGTGCCTGGCCTAATTTTTTGTATTTTTGGTAGAGACGGGTTTTCACCATGTTGGCCAGGCTGGTTTTGAACTCCTGAGCTCAATCGATCCACCCACCCCGGCCTCCCAAAGTGCTGGGATTACAGGTCACCACACCTGGCTATATTTAATATAGTTATTGATGTTAAGCTGCGACATATTTGAGGGATCAGAGGGTAGATTCTGGTAGGCAGCTTAATGGCTACCTGAGGATGTCCACGTCCTATTCCCTGGCACCTATGAATACGTTACCTTACATGGCAAAAGAGATTTTGCAGATGTGATTAAGGTTACTGACTTAAAATGGGGAAGATTATCCTATCCTGGATAATCTAGGTGGGCCCAATCTAATCACACAAATCCTTAAAAGGGGAGAACTTTTCCAGGCTGGGTCAGAGAGATGAGATGGGAGGAAGAGGACAGATTTGAAGTGTGAGAGGAACTTGACTGATAGTTCCCGGCTTTGGTTTTGAAGATGGAGGAAGGAGGTCCCAAGCCAAGGAATGCAGCATGGGCCTCTAGAAGCTGGAATGACCCTCACCTCACGGCCAGCAAGAAATCAGGGAACTCAGTCTTACCCGAGTGAGCAGGAAATCGATTCTCCTCTGCAGCCTCTATAGAGAACACAGCCTGTCAACACCCTGATTTTGGCCCAATGAGCCCTGTACCTCCAGAAGTGTAACGTAATAAATTTGTGTTGTTTTAAGCTATTAAGCTGTGGTTAATTTGTTATGGCGCCAAGAGAAAACTAACATGACACATACTTCTCTATATATTCTTCCCTTCTAGAATTACCTCTTCCCAATTTTCCTTTTTTTTTTTTTTTTTTTTAGACAAGGTCTCCCTCTGTCACCCAGGCTGGAGTGCAGTGGCACTATCTTGGCTCACTGCAGCCTCCACCTCCTGGGTTCCAGCAATTCTCATGCCTCAGCCTCCCGAGTAGCTGGGATTACAGGTATCTGCCACCATGCCCAGCTAATTTTTTGTGTTTTTAGTAGACAGGATTTCGCCATGTTGGCCAGGCTGGTCTCGAACTCCCGGCCTCAGGTGATCTGCCCACCTCGGCCTCCCAAAGTGCTGGGATTACAAGTGTGAGCCACCACTCCTGGCCCCAATTTTCCAATTCTACTAGTCTCAAACTCTGTTTTCTGTCCACTTCAAGTCAATCAAGCGATGGCTCTCTGCAGCTGGAGCTGCTCACTGATTGGGGGTTGCCCTCATGTCAAAAGCCATAAACTCACAAATCCCAACAATTTTCATTCATTTTTCAAGGGTGGTTTTCCTACAGTTTCTGCCTTCTTTTGATCAATCTCTAATACCTTCACACATTATTTTAAAAATGCTTTGCTCAGATTGTATAATTTTTATTTTATTTTATTTATTTTTTTTGAGACAGAGTCTTACTCTGTCGCCCAGGTGGTGCACCACCTCGCCCACCTAATTTTTTTCTCTTGTTTGGTATTTCTAGTAGAGACGGGGTTTCACCATGTTGACCAGACTAGTCTCAAACTCTTGACCTTAAGTGATTCGCCTGCCTTGGCCTTCCTAAGTGCTGGGATTACAGGAGTAAGCCACGGAGCCCAGCCAGATTGTATAACTTTTATCTGCAAGAAGATTAGTCCACCGTTACCAAAAGCTGGAACCTCATTATACTCTTCTGCCTACTTTCACGTTTGCAATTTTCCATAATTTAAAAAGAGAAAAAAAATTTTAAACGCTCTAGTGGGATGTTTTAATTTTACTTATTCTCATTAATCTGAAGCCTAAAAATGAGTTGCTATCTCTTAATGTGACAGTTGAAATAAAAGAAACGGAATAAAAGGGGGAGTTTTCGAAGCCTTTGATGGGGGAGGAAAGACCCCAAGCTTCTCTCCTTAGAGGGAAGGAATCCTTACTTACAGGTTAGTTCCACCACGTGCAGTTCCTCACAGTGACCAGCAGGGGGAAAAAGTAGTTTTGCGTTTCCGATGGATCCCTGCGCCCCGCTGCCAATTCCCCAAGCAAAGGGAAGCGAGGGGAGAGCGCGGAGCCCCCGATTAGCGTTCGGAGGAACTGGCCTAGAGGGGCCACTCGGAGCGCAAAGGCCCCGCGAAATAGAATATCTATACGCCCAGCAACCCTCCCTTTCGAGGCGCACGGAATAAGTTGGCTGGAACTCTCCGCTGACCGCTCCGCCTGGGACTCAGGGTTGCAGCCGCACAGAGCTTCCTCCGGGGCGCCCAGGGCGGCGCGAGCAGGAGGGGGACCCAGTGTGGCCGCGCCCGGGAACTCGGGGGACCAGGTGAGGCTGCGCCCGGGTCCCAGTGGGATCCAGATGAGCGTACGCCCAAGCCCGCGGGGGACCAGGTGAGCCCGCGCCCGGGTCTGAGTGGGATCCAGGTGAGCCAGCGTCCAGCGTCTCCAGGGTCTGGGGCAGGGTCGTCGGGCTTAGGACTCAAGCAGTCAGCGGGCAGAATGGGTTGGCGTGGAGAGCCAGACGCGCTCAGGATCCAGGCGATGGGCCTGGGCATAGCCGTGTCTGCAAGGGCTGTCGTCAGGGGATCGTCGAGAGGACCTGCTTCTACCTAGTGGATTCACAGTACTACCCATAAAAATAAACCCTGCTAATGAGACGGTGTGTGGGAAGGGGGTGGGAGCATGGTCATTTTATTAGAGCTGAGCATTAATAATTTCCTTGAGGACCTTGGGCAAACTCTTTGTTTTGAAGCCAGTGGAGGCCTGGGTCAGTGTCCCTGAGTTCTGAGTTAACTGCGTGGACAAATGATGAGAAACAGCCATCACTTTAGGGATGTTTTAAGAGAAAGTCGGTGTGTGCTGAAACAGTGAGTTAGAGAGACTGGGAACAGAAAGCAAAGACCAGAAAGACAAGAAGCAAACATATGGGAAGTCAAAAAAGGAAATTGCCTGGAAATAAAGCCAGATGGGTCTGGCAGGAGTGCTGTCTTGGTTGACATCTGTGGGACATGACCCTGGACAGATCACTGGAGTCAGAGGAGGTCATTAATTAAGAATCCGCTGGTTATCCTTGGTGTTTTAAGGTTACCACGGTAGAAATAGAAACGTGTGCAGCACATAGTCAACAAGTTTTGGCAAATGACCAAATAAGATACAAACATTTAATTGGATTAGGAGATCAGTTGCAAAGTGTTGTGTTTCTATGCCATGATGAACATTCAGAGTGGAATCTCTAGAAAAATGCTTTGTGTAAATGATTAGACTGTAGGGCTAAGGTGTTGCAAAACAGTACAGTAAGTTATTTACTCTTTTTTTTTTTTGAGACGGAGCCTCACTCTGTTGCCCAGGCTGGAGGGTAGTGGCTTGATCTCGGCTCACTGCAACCTCCGCCTCCCGGGTTCAAGCAGTAAATTATTTACTTTTAGTCTCAATAATACTGTGTGTATCAGTAATAATCTAATTACATTTATTTCAAGAAGGTGTCCATTTGTTTTAGACAGGTAATTACTAGTTTAAAATAGATGGGAATATAAAACATTCCGATAATTTGAAATATAGGCTAAAGTCAAGTAAAACATTTGCAAAACCATACATGAAAATGGTAAAATAAGAGCAGACCAAGTTCAGCTAGTTTTCAAAAAAATATAGAATGCCACTCTTTCCCCTGTTCTTGTACTTGAGGGTTGAGGAGCTGTTTGTTGTTGCAGGCTCACACCTGTGTGTCCGAGTCAGGCCTGCAAAACCTGTGTGTCCCACTTCTCAATTTACCCAGTTCTGGGGTCCTTCTCTGCACACCTGTGAAAAGACATCTTATTCTTGTGGTTTAAAACTTGCCGGCCGGGCGCGGTGGCTTATGCCTGTAATCCCAGCGCTTTGGGAGCCCGAGGCGGGTGGATCACGAGGTCAAGAGATTGAGACCATCCTGGCCAACATGGTGAAACCCCGTCTCTACTAAAAATACAAAAATTAACTGGGCGTGGTGGCACATACCTGTAATCCCATCTACTTGGGAGGCTGAGGTAGGAGAATCACTTGAACCCGGGAGGCAGAGGTTGCAGTGAGTCGAGATCGTGCAGTTGCACTCCAGCCTGGGTGACAAGAGCCAAACTCCGTCTCAAAAAAAACCCAACCAACCAGCCAAACAAACAAAAACTTGCCTATACTGCTTGGTGTTTTAAAAAATTTGGAAGGGGGAGGAAAAGACAGGTTATTCTTCCATGAATCAGACACAGCAACTGAACCTCAATTGTTGGGGAGGGATTGATTGCTGAATGAAAAAACTAGGTGGGAGGCAGGAGGGGGTGGATATGATGACCTCATTTGAACTTTGCATGCTATTTCTTCTTAAACGGTGAGGAGTTTAGAAAAAGTACTCAAGCTTAGTTTTGGCGGAAAGGCATTAATAGTATTTTCTCAAGCAGTGTTTGTACAGAATTATTAAGGAGCCCCCTAACATTTTCTCATAAGCCCCCAGGAACGGATTCCTTGTACCTCAGAGGCAAGGTACTTGCCAATAAGCCTTTAGCTTGAGGCTTGCTGTAATATATTTTATAAGACTGTAATGGAACTTAGCAATTTAATCAGAGTATGTGCTTCTCGTTATATTCTTAAAAAATACAACGCATCAGCAAATGTTGCATTATGGGCTATGAAATTCCTTCTGTTAGTTGTTCACATTTTAGCCTGTGCCCACTGTGTTTTGTATGATGGACAAACCAAATAATCATTATGTAAGTAAGGTAGAGCTTTATATTTTTTCCAATGTGTAAACACTCTGTAAATAGGCAGTCCTTGGTGGGTGTGGCAGCTCCCCTAGCTCATCAGGAACCTGGACTCCTCTCTTTCTTCTCTGCTATCCTCAGTGTGTAGTTCTCATCTTTCAGGCTGCCTGGTGGTTGCAAGATGACTGCTGAAGTTCTAGTCATGACACTCATGTTCTAGGCAGGAAGTAGGAAGAAAGGGAGAAGGTAGCTGAATACAATTTAACAACTTCCATTTAAATTTTGTGGTAGAATGTCTGCAAAGATGGCTGCCAATAATTTTTGTAGGCTTAAGTCATTTTTTCCTGTCAAGAGGTATAGTCTGTTTCTCTTCTCCTTTAGTCAGGGCTGGCCCTATGACTTGCTTTGACCAATAGAATGTATTGGAAGGCCTTGCTAGGCTTTGCTGCTTCTGTTTACCCTCTTGGGATCCAGCTGCCATGTAAAGAAGCTTAGACTAGAATATATATATATATATATCTGGAATACAATGGTGTGAACACAGCTTACTGCAGCCTCAACCTCCCAGGCTCAGGTGATCCTCCCACCTCAGCTTCGATAGTAGCTGGGACTACAGGTGCACTTTACCATACTCAGCTAATTTTTTGTAGAGACAGGGTTTCGCCATTTTGCCCAGGTTGGTCTTGAACTCCTTGGCTCAAGTGATCCACCCACCTCGGCCTCCCAAAGTGCTGGGATTACAGGTGTGAGCCACCACAGCTGGCCCAGAGTAAACTATTGAATAATGAACAACTATGTGAAGAGAGGCCTAGCCAGTCCCCAGCTATTCCAAGTACCCCAGTTGAGGCATAAGTCACGTGTATGAAGCCATCTTGAGTGTACCAGTCCCAGTCAAACTCCACTTGATACCATGTGGGATGCAAGAACCACCCAGTTGAGCCCTGTCAACTTATAGAAATGATCAGAAATAGTAAATCATTGCTGAATTGTGCCGAAACACAATTAATTGGCTCTCCGCCTCCAAATACCAGATGGTCAAGAAGTGAAGTTCATTAATTGGGCTCTTTGCCATACTAGACATGTTATGAGTTTTTTACTACAGAGGAAGGGGATGGCTGTCTGGGATGGGGAGGAGTGATAACAGTTGGCCACAGTCACTAATCACAAGATGGCATCTTGGGACAGAAAAGGCATCTCTGGGACCCCAGAAGCAGGGTCCTGTGGGATTGTTACTCTCATGCTTTGGCATTAATGGGACTGGGCCACCCACAGAGGCTGTGCTTTTGTGTCCTGCCTCTGCCCTTCCTCTGCTCTGAAGCTTGCTGCCTCACAGTTTCTGTGCCTGGGTGACCTCAGGCCCCACTCTGTGCACACTGTGAGCTCCCAGCTCCTGGCTGCTGCCAGGTAGCCTAACTCCTGTTCTCAGAGAGGAAGTCGAATTGTATCGCTCCAATGTCCAGTGAGGTCACGCAAAGGTCATCTCTGGTTTCTGGATTGGCTGCACAGCCCTTATCCAGTCAGTTCTGGTAGGAGAGGGACATGGCTTCATGAGGGTTTTGCCAATAACTAGGGTTGTGGGAAGCACAGGCTCTCTTGGGGACACCATGCGTGTGGCAACTAATGTTCTCTTCCAGTTTTTTGAGCAGGAATGAGGCAGGGGAGGAAGACTGTGTGACATGGTGGATTTGCCTTGAGCTCCAGAAGAACTGGATCAAGTTCTGGCTACCTCACTTACTGGCTGTGTTACTTTGAGCAGGTTTTATAGAACTTTGCCTCAGTTTTCTTGAGGTGATTGGTACTCACTTCAGAAGTTTATTTTGAAGATTAAATAAGAGAATATGTGTAAAATACATAGTGTGTGCTCACCAAATGTAGCCATTATGTTACTATTTTGTTTTAATGTACATAAGCAACTGTGAGTCTCTTTTGTGGAATCAATGTTCCTTTAAAAATTAGCCATCTATCAAGTGATATTTTCCCAGAGATGTCCATTATACTATTGAGAGTTCTTTCTTAGTAGAAAATTTATTTCCAATGATATTACATTATTTAAAAACTTCTTTTAAAATATTGCAAAACTTTTTTCAAAATCATGACTTGAGAGGGAAATTTACTGGTAATATATTAAAGGTAACCAAAAGTCTCTCCATATTGTATATACCTGTTTTTTCTCTGTCTGGAGTGAGCAGTGGCAGTTTGGGAGTCTGGGCTCATGGAATGCCCACATGATCGCATCATGATCGCATCTGGTTCACATGATCGCATCATCGCCCAACATGGGGTGGGACTTAGACTGCCTCCCTGGGGCAAGGGCAGCTCGAGAGAAAAAGCAGCAGGTGCTTTGGAAGATAGGCTTTCAATTCCTTCGAGGCTGCAACTTAACTCAAGGTATGTGTGATCTTCCTGTGGTAAGGCCTTTAAAATTTTTGTAAAGTAGAGTCTCTCAATTGCTTATGTAATAGCAATGGACAGGGATGTTACAAGTTATTGATGCATTTATTTGATATTTTTTCTAGTGTTTATAGTGAGCACAGGTTTGCCATTCTGTTTATGGTGTATCTTTAAAATGACTGTTTGCATAACGTATTACTTCCATAAAGACAAATTCCTTGCAGAGGATTTTTTGCTCTTGTTAGACTATCATACTCTGTAAAAATGTAGGTATCACTATCTTTTCTTTTCTTTTTTTTTTTTTAAGAAATTGGATCATGCTGTGTTGCTCAGGCTGAAGTACAGTGATATGTTCATTGCTCACTGTAACCTTAAACTCGGGCTCAAGTGATCTTCCTGCCTCAGCCTCGCAAGTAGTCGGGACCACACGTGTGAGCTACAACACTATCATTCTTTAAGTTGGACACACCCTTAGTTGGTTGTGACATTTCTTTTTATAACTCCTGAGGGGCAGGTGGTACCACATATAGAAATTGATTTTGATTTTGTGAACTTGAGGCTGATGTGGGTTTATAAGTGCTGGTTGGAGACTGTACTCACATCTTAGTGCAGTCTGTCAATATGAGGGAAGAAAAACAATGGCTTATCCTAAAACAACTAGTTTTTACTATTTATGAGTAATCTACCCTTAGAAAGTTCAGACAGGACAGGAGGGTGTGAGGCCTCCCTCCTATTCCACTTGCCGGAGGTAGGTGGCTGCTGCTCAGAGTCTCTCATCCTTCTTTCTGTGTGTGTGCATTAACAAATACACATATGCATGTCTTGTTTCTATATAATGCAAATAGTGTCTCACTGTATGTTTTGTTATTGCATCTTTTTGTACATATCTAAATGTGTTCCCATTGCAGCATACATAGCTCTATTTCATTCTTTAAGCTGTACCATTGTATCCTCTTGCATGGCTGGACCACAATTGACCAATGCCATATGAAGATAATTTCCAAAAAGACTATGTTTAAAGCTAAATACTTCACTAGATTTTTAAAAATTATACAAAAAAAGCATGCCCACCATAGCATGTGTAACAAAGCAGAGACGTATAAAGAAAAATTCAGTAATACACTCTTTGCCTCTGATTGTACCCTTTGAGGTACAATCTGAATAGTTTGATTTGGAACTTTCTGCATCTTTCTCTCTGCTCAAATGTGTATGTGTCATGTGTGGAAATGTGCATGGACTTTTTTCCTATTATGTATTTGTTCAAAAATAAGCTTATTCTCTGGCCGGGCATGGTGGCTCACACTTGTAGTCCCAGCACTTTGGGAGACTGAGGCGGGTGGACCACTTGAGGTCAGGAGTTCAAGACTAGCCTGGACAACATGGCAAAATCCTGTCTCTACTAAAAATACAAAAATTAGCCAGGCATGGTGGCACATGCCTGTAATCCCAGCTACTCGGGAGGCTGAGACATGAGAATCGCTTGAACCCAGGAGGCGGAGGTTGCAGTGAGCTGAGATTGCACCACTGCACTCCAGCCTAGGTGACAGAGCTAGACTCCATCTCAAAAAAAAAAAAAAAGAAAGGCTTATTCTTTCTATATATGTCTCTAATTTTCTTTTATTTTCCTCCCTCTAAACAATATACCACTGGCCTATTTCTAGATAAGTAAGTATATGAGTAACTTATTCTTTTCCATGGCTGTATACTATTCATTGGTTCATTGGGACAGATATCATAATGTAGCCAGCCATTCCTCTATTTGAGATATTTAGAATATTTCCAGTTTTATTTTTTCCGTGATAAACAGTGCTAGTACTTTTATTCCTGTAGGAGAAATTCCTCAAAGTGTGACTCCTGGGCCAAAGGTGATGTATATTTCTAATTTTAATGGTTGTTGTCAGATTATTTTCCAAAAGATTGTAAAGATTTATATCCCCACCAGTGATATATGATATATGCATTTCCTCATATCTTCGTCAGTGCTACGTGTTGTTAGTCTTTAACATGTTTACCCATCTGTTCATATTGTTTTAATTTGAATTGGTCTTACAGTTAGTGGTGTTGGACATCTTTCTGGAGGCATGCAAGTTGGTTTGCCCATGTGTCTAATGGGTTTAAATGTGGTGACCTTTAAAAGATCACCTTCCAAGGCTAGAGTAGGACACAGCAGCATGGAGCAGGCATCATATTTATGGTGGGTGGGTATATGTCAGTTCGTGTCCCCTGGGTGGCTACCATCACCACAATGGGATGGTGATGCCCACCATTAACACCTCTTCCACCCAGCTGTGCTCCTGGGTCATCTCCATGGCTTCTGGGCTGCACAGTTCTAGGGGCCATGCTTATATGGTAAGTGGACAAGGAGTGGCAGCTCCCACAGACTCCCACAGATTGCGCCCTCTAGAGCTGTGCATTGCCAGGACCTTGGTCCTGCTTTGTGATAGCACTCACAAGGTTGTAAGTTAACCTCCATGTATGTGTGTGTTTGCCATCTTTTCAGTCATTGAGCTTGCTAAACTTTGATTCCCCATTGTTTAATCTAGTGCCTGGCACATCATCAGGCCTCCAAGTTGTTTGCTGATTGAGTGATTAAAAGTGTCTGCTAGATCTGGCAGGTTGTTTGGACACAGTGGCTCATGCCTGTAGTCCCAGCACTTTGGGAGGCCAAGGTGGGAAGATTACTTCAGCCCAGGAGTTTGAGACGAGCATCGTCAATTATAGTGAGACATTGTCTCTATAGAAAATGAAAAACGTAGCCAGGCACGGTGGTGCGTGCCTGTAGTCCCACTTACTCGAGAGGCTGAGGCAGGAGGATCGCTTGAGCCCAGGAGATTGAGGCTGGGGTAAGCTGTGTTCACATCACTGTACTCCAGCCTGGGCAACAGAGCAAGACCCTGTCTCAAAAAAAAAATAAAAAAAAAGCAGGTCTCTGAAAGTGGTGGGTAAGGGACCTGGTGTGTGTGTGTGTGTGTGTGTGTGTGGTGTGTGAGTGGGGTGTATGAGTGGGGTTTGTGTGAGAGTGGTATGTGTGTATGTGTGTATGTGTGTTTGTAGAAATGCCAGGCACTAGAACTGGGTTCAGGGGCAACTGAGAGGAAGCTCAACCCAGCAGGGTGGAGAGCTGCCCAGCAGCTCATGCCCTTTTCCCTCTACCCACTTCCCTTCCAGATAGTGACCTGTGAGGCCTCTGTGCTGTTCCCTCTCCCTCTGACTTGATCTTGGAGATGCCAGCCTTCTCTGAGAACTCCCTCCAACCCACAGCTCAAGAGGCCTCTTTGCACAAGGACAAGGGGATTATGTTAGATGAGGCCAATTATTCCCCCTACTATTAGTCCCTGCGAATATGGGGTCAGCAGACCAACATTTGACTTGTCTGTAGTTAAAAAGAAATTGTCCTAACCCCAAAGACAGAGCTCAGAAAAATAATGACTATTAATGATTAAAGGAGCTGTGTGTGTGAGCGCGTGTATGTGGTGTACGCATTTGTGTGTGGGACACATTGTGAAGGGATTGGGGGTTGGGGATCCGTAATCAAATGAACAACCAAAGCCAGACAGAATAACATTTCACTCATGTATTTATTTTCTTCTATTCATTCATACAACAGATTTTAGACAGGTTCAGTGCTCTCAACCTTTTTGAGGTCAAAAAAATTCTCTGATAATCTGATAAAAGCTATCAACATTTTCTCTCACAAAAGCACCCCTTACATACACAAAAGTGTTGCATACAATTTGGGGGGCTTCACCAATCCCCCAAGACCTCTAGGTTCCTTAGCCCTTTGGCTGTAACCTCGGAGGAGGAAAGATATCCTAGAGGTATCTGATTTCTTAAAGGACTATTACCACATTATAATTACTTTTTTTTCCCAAGAGCTAATTAAAGCACCCACAAAGCATTGAGATTTACTTAGTCAGCTGAGTCACAATGGAACAGTAAAGAAAGCGGGATGCAAGCGTCTGTTGCCAGAAGCACATGAATGCCAGGTGATGATTAGAAAAAAAATCTTATAAGAGAGATAAAAGGCATCGTTTTCACTTTGAACTTGAAAAACATCTACACTGCACAGAAGCATGTGGTCCAAGTTAAACGTGACAATAACGAACAACAGAAAAGAGTTCAGAGCTGTAATCATAGGCACTCAGAGCCGTAGAGACTTTTTAGAAGGTGCATAATGCATTTACCCTCAGTGCTTTCTTGTACATTTACTCCATAATTTTGCCATATTTTCCTATTCTAAAGCTAAATGTTTTCTTTATCATCACTTGATGGGAAAGGGCCCTGTATGATACCCACGCCAGAGGCCACACGCCTGCCAGCCCCAGGGACTGCTGGCAAGGCAGGAGCTGATGGGTATAGCTGAGAGCCTTCTAGAAAGGTGGATGGGAGAAGTGCAGGGGAGCCTCTTTTTCCATTGAGGGACTGTAATTTTCATACTGAGGCTTTTTTTTGCTTTTTTTTTTTTTTTGAGACGGAGTCTCACTCTGTCACCCAGGCTGGAGTGCGGTGGCACGTTCTCAGCTCACTGTAACTTCTGCCTCCTGGGTTCAAGCAATTCTCCTGCCTCAGACTCCCGAGTAGCTGAGACTACAAGTGTACAAGTGCATGCCACCATGCCCAGCTAATTTTTGTATTTTTTAGTAGAGATAGGGTTTCACTATGTTGGCCAGGCTGGTCTCGAACTCCTGACCTCTCAGGTGATCCACCCGCCTTGGCCTCCCAAAGTGCTGGGATTACAGGCATGAGCCATCATACCTGGCCAACCTGGGGTTTTCAAAACGTCCTCACCCTCCTAGGCGTTGGCTGTGAGTGACCTTTGCCGTAGGATTTGCCTATTTTCTTTTCTTGACTGTCAGTCAGTACCACCTCGACTGTCCAGGGTCTTTGAACACTAGTTTTCTGGATTAATAAACGTCAATCTGGCCGGGTGTGGTGGCTCACCCCTGTAATCTCAGCACTGTAGTAGGCCGAGGCGGGGAGATCACGAGGTCAGGAGTTTGAGACCAGCCTGGCCAACATGATGAAACCCTGTCTCTACTAAAGATACAAAAGACAATTAGCTGGGCATGGTGGCACGTGCCTGTAATCCCAGCTACTCAGGAGGCTGAGGCAGGAGAATCACTTGAACCTGGGAGGTGGAGGTTGCGGTGAGCCAAGATCGTGCCACTGCACTCCAGCCTGGGTGACAGGGAGAGACTCGGTATCAAAAAATAAAAATAAATAAATAAATAAATAAATAAATAAATAAATAAATGTCAATCCTTTACATCCACATGCCCTGTATCTTTGAACAGAAATCTTTCCAAAATCTCCCCGCATGTTTTGACCTCACTGAACTGAATAAATTGGTTTTATTCTGGGTAGGATGGGGAGGAAGCCCCAATGGGTTGGTTAGTGCTCTGGGAGTCCATGCTGGCTGAGAAGAGTTCCAAGGGTTGGGCTAATTACCTGTTTGCCTCTTTCTCACAGAAGTGCAAATGAAACTGTGGGGCATCTGACCTGGAGGTAGTTTAACGTGGCTGCTTTTTCTTCAAAATTAATCAATGAGTTATAAGCAGAAGCAATCTTTTTCCACAATGCATAACACTTTATTAAATGCCAGAAAAACTCCACCTTTTTCTTTTTCTCTGCCTTTCTCTGTGTCCTTTGATTTTCCACTGACTTCCCAAACATTGTCTATTTATGCATCTTGAACACAATGTATTTCTTCAGCCTGCTCTTCTATCTTACTGATATTGAAGTTGTTACAATATGCAGGAGATGCATCCTTCGCCATTTCGAGGTTTTATCCAAGGCCAACTTTGTCTGCTGAGTGTACCTTTGCCAACGTAATACGAGACTACAGTTCCTCCATGGCTTCCTTGATAGTTTACTTTTTCACTGAATTCCAAGCACAGGCAATATCTGAAAATTAGATTTTTAGTATTCTGAGACCAAAAGTCTCGTAGGATGCTGTGCCAGTTATCAAGCTGTTGGTTCTTAGCTGCAAAGCCACCCTGCCCTGCTCTGCTCTGTGAGGCTGGGGCTGCTACTCCGCAAATCCCATTTCTGCTTCTCCAGTAAGGCTCTGTCAATAGGGGGTGCTAGATAGAAACTGCAAGGCTGCGGGAGGGAGAAGGGACTTGCTGTGGCCTCCCCTTCCCTGCTTGTGGTTCCTGTGAAATTCAGCCCAATAATGATTCTTCACTCTGGCAGAGACAGTTCCTCCCATGGAAGCGACTGAATCCTGTTTTTCAACACTTGTAAAGCCAGTTTCATCCTGTCACTCTGAGAGACATCAGCACCTACCACCCAGCACTTCCGCTTCAGAGGTTTGAGTTCCAGACCCACTGGGCTCTTGTCCAAGCTCAGAGACATCAGCACCAACTGGCCAGTACCCTCTCCTCAAAGGTCTGGGCCCCTGTCCCTCTGAGCAGCTCAGAAACACCAGTGCCAGTGGAAGCAGCTTGCCCTCTTGTGACTGAGGTAACTAGCCTTCCCTTCCTGGAAAATTTTCTCATGAAATGTTTCATAAAATGAAATTCTCTAATAGCACTTTATTTTCTGAAAAATGTCTTGGTCCATAAGTTGAATCTCGGAGGTAAGAGTGATGGATACAAAAAGGATAACACTAACCTTGGACTCTTCCCTTGCTCAAGAGGAGCCCCACATATGCAGCAGTTGAGTCATTTGCTGTCCTCAGGCAAACCCCTAGGTCTGTAATAACCATTAGATACATTTGCATAAATATAATGCAATCATGAAAGTCTCTTTCTCAGCCATGCATTGACTTATACTTTGCAAAGAGCTGGTAAAAATGTGACACCTTGGAGAGCCTGGAAAAGATTAGATTTTTCCCTAGGCACCAAAGGTTCTGTTTTTGTTTTTTAATTTTTTAGTGGATACCTATAGCATTAGAATATTCCCTAAGAATCAATGTGTCCCTTTTTTCCAGCTTAAAATCAAGGGCATGTGCACCACTTACAGGGAAACTGGCAAGCAACAGTAAACAAACCCATTTTATCAGCTTTATATAAATACCCGAGAGAAAGAAATACATTTATCTGAGAACACCACACATTATCCAAGAACTCCATGGTCCAGTGATTCTTGTCATGACTCACTTTGAAATAGACAAGTCATTGTTTAGAAAATATGTAGCTCAGTCAGACATATTTGTTCATTGAAATCTTTTGCCTTTGGCTGAGCCCTGAGCCAATATTTCCCTGAAAACCTCTTCCTCCTCTGCAACTTCTTTCTCCAGAGCAGGACAGTGGTCAATGACTTTAACAATCAAATATGAACCTGCTGAGAATTTGATGAGATCCTTTCTGATCTCTGATGTCCTATAATGCAGATGCCTTCTCTTGCTTTAAGTTTCCTTTCTTGCAGAGCCTGAGACAAGGATGTCTCAGCTAGTTTATTTGGGATGTGATTCCCAAAGAAGGGAGCATGGGGTAGAGAGGAAGCAGAGGTTACCTCTAAAGTTGGTGGAGCTCGATTCTGTCAGGCCTGGAGTTAGCACACAGAAGGCCTCTCAGAACCATCTGCTGTAGGCCAGGAGCCTAGAGCATTTCTCCATTTGCTTCCATTGCCAATTGGTTGAAGGCTACCTGGGGCAGTTCACTATCTTGCACTTCTGGGCTGCATAGAGTGGGATTATGTGAGACAGCACAAGCTGGGGTTGGGGATGCTGTCACAGCTCACATGAAACTGTCTCCCACAGTTGCAGCTCCAGTCAGAGCAGGGTAGATGGGATGGTCATAGTCACCAGAAGTGAGCAGCTGGCTTTGGAGCTGGACTACCTGGGATCAGGTCCCTAGCTCCATCACTGATTAGCCATGAGATTTTGGGCACATAAACATTACTTTTCTTGTCAGTGTAACAGGGGTAATAATAGTGCTTACCTTATGGAGTGTTGTGATCAGTAAAGATTAGCTATGGTTATCCAACAATGCTCTCCTTGTTTAAACTGTGTGCAAATCTCCCTTTTATCTTTTAAGGTGGGCAAGACTTCTCGGTGTTTCTGTATTTCTCTTCTGTGCCAGCACATGCTCAATGAAGTACCCCTTCCCTTTCCAGTTGCATACTTTAGGGTTTTGCAGCTTAGCTGCCCTTCTGAGGACTCCCCCACATGGTTTCCCTCCTCCTTTTTCATCTCTCTGCTTCTCCACCTCCCTACCCTGTTTGTCCTCAGGGTACAGAGGGGCTGCAGAGTTCAAGCCCTCAGTGTGCCCTCCTGCTGCTGCTGACAACAACCCTGTGGGGCTGGGATCACATTGTACTTCCTTGAAAAACTCACTGCACCCCGCCCTACTTTCTTGCAAGTGCTGATGTAAACATTTCTCTGCCAGAATCTGATAACATTCTAACACTGCCAGTACATAGATTAATGTCAACACTTTTGGTGATGCTCTAAATACAGATAAGCTAAAGTGGTTCAGCTAATGTCAGCATTCAAGGGCCTAAACTTCCCAAACTGACTACAGCTGCTCTAGAGCTTACTTACTACTGCTAGGAAAAAGCGTCATACCTCCCAGCAAACATAGATATTTTTCTTTTTCAGATAGTAAGATACAGGTTGAGTTGAGTATCCCTTATCTGAAATGCTTGAAACCAGAAGTGTTGCAGATTTCAATATTTTTCAGATTTTGGAATATTTGCATTACATTTAGTTGTTCAGCATCCCTAAGTCAAAAAATCTAAAATTGGAAATGCTCCAATGAGCGTCTCTTTTGAGCATCATGTTGGTACTTAAAAAGTTTTGGATTTTAGAGCATTTCAGATTTCAGCTTTCCAGAGTAGGGATACTCAACCTGTAATAATTTTAACCTTGGCTGACAGAATGCTCGGAGCTAAATTGTATGTTCCAACCTAAGAGTTATACTTCACTGATGTTTTCTGATATATCCATCTTTTCCCCTGGATAATTAACTCTTATTTTATTATCCTAATATATAGGTATTTTGTTGTAAGCCATGTGAAATCCTTATAGAAGTAAGCAGTGCGTGAGTAGAAAATGATGCGTGAATTATTAGAGGTGTCATTGCCCCATGAAAATATACAACCTATGTTGGTTATATAGTCGTTCCTGAACACAACATCTTTCAAGGCCAGGATTTCTAAAACTCATTACATGAGTAGTTGGTAGTTTCCATTCTCTTTTGTTTAATATTTCAGAGGATATGTAGTATTTTAGTGAGGAGGTTTTGGGTGCAGGGTACTAAAAACCTAATCCAATGCACAGGTTTGAACATTAGATGGGATTCACTAAGTTTTTGCGACACAAATGCTTGGTGGGCTCCAGGTGTGGTTTGATCAGGGTTCTGGTTCTGTCTTAACTTCTCTTAGTTTCTCTTGCCCTGTGTGGGCTTTGTCTTCAGGCTGGCTTTCCTCGGCAGGGCAGGCCTGCCAGTTGTCTCTGATGAAGACATACTCTCTCTGCAGGAGTTCATCCCTGAACAAAATACCACAGCAAGGGGAGTGGGGGATGCCCTGATTGGGCTAGACTGGTCAGGCCCGGGCTGATGCTGGGATGCACGGGGGAGTCAACCCCACACAAAACCCAGGTGCTTCACAGTGGGGGTGGGGTGGGGTGGCAGACAGGAAGGGAGGTTTATTCTCACTCCATTGACAAGGCTGATGAAAAGAACCACTAGGAGAAGAGCTACTATAAAACTCTGCACATATAATTATTAGGGATGAACAATGCCAGGTTGTGCTTGATGGGCCTTCTAAGTCCTTTTGGAGCCCTCTCACTTTCTGGTAAGCCTTTAGACAAAATCTGCTTTGCGATGCCTCTAGAATGGGGCAGGTGGAAAGCTTCCTGCAATTACATTCCTTTTATATAATGTTTCTCCACCAGAGGTTTGCAGTTTTATAGGATTCACCTGCCAATTGGCAACTGATTTGAGACACGTTAGTGCATCAGCAGAAGTGGGGGACATGCCGAGGGAGCAGCCTGGTGCTTGGCGGAATGTATCCTCTAATCACTTTTCGCCAGAAAGACCCTTAAAGCAATTATACGCTTCTGCAAAGAGAACTGGAAAAGGGTTCTGGATACTTTCTCCTCTTAATTAACCAAAGAATATGCCAATTCTTTTTAGAAAGTAAACTTTTTTCCCTAGTAACTATATTGTCCCATATCTGGTTATAATTTGTGTCTGAAGTAAGTAATTAATAGAGGACTGCCAGAATTTATGAGAATAAGAAACCCCATGAGTTCACGCGTGCACACACACACACTCAGAGGACATTGATATAGTTTGGATACTTGTGCCCTACAAATCTCACGTTGGAATGGCAACCCCAATGTTGGAGGTGGGCCTAGTGGGAGGTGTTTGCATCACAGGGGTGGATCCCTCTTGAGTGGCCTGGTGCCATCCTTGCAGTAATGAGGGAGTTCTTGCTCTACCAATTCGCCCAAGATCTGGTTATTTAAAAGAGCCTGAGACTTCCTTCTCTCTCTTGCTCCCTCTCTCACTACGTGATATACTGGCTCCCCTTCACCTGCTGCCATGATTGGAAGCTTCTGAGGCCCTATGCTTCCTGTATAGGCTGCAGAAGCATGAGCCAAATAAACCCCTGTTCTTTATAAATTACCCAGTTTCAGGTATTCCTTTATTGCAAAGTAAACAGTCTAAGAAAACTGCTGTTTTCTTTACTTGTAATGTGCTTTTCACTGCCTAGCTAAAAGGAGACAATGGCCTCTGTAAAGCACCTTGTCATGGACAAGTGATGCTGGCATATCATTATAATTGTGACCTATGAAATCTTTGCCTATTCTCAGGTTTCAAATATTTTTCTCCTGACAGTTCTATATAGTATACCCTGCTTATCTGCTGGGGACATATTCCAAGACCCCCCAGTGGATACCTGAAACCATGGATACTAAAGAACTGTATATATACTGTGTTGTTTTCCTATATGTATTATTATAAAGTTTAATTTATAAATTATATTATATTATATATAATATTATATTATTATAAAGTTTAATTTATAAATTAGGCACAGGAAGAGATTACAGCAAATTATAATAAAACAGACAATTATAATGATATGCCAGCACCACTATTCTTGCACACTGGGGCCATTACGAACTAAAATAAGGGTTACTTGAACATCAGCACTGTGATGTCACGGCAGTTGATCTGATAACCCAGATGGCTACTAAATGACCCATAGGCAGGTAGCATCTACAGTGTAGATCCACGAGACAAAGGGATGATTCACATCCTAGGAGGGACGGGACAGATGGCCTGAGATTTCATCATGCTACTCAGAACAGCACACAATTTAAAACGTATGAGTTGGCCAGGTGCAGTGGCTCACACCAGTAATCCCAGCACTTTGGGAGGCTGATGTGAGTAGACCACTTGAGCCCGGGAGTTCAAGACCAGCCTGGGCAACATGGCGAACTCCTATCTTTACAAAAAATACAAAAATTAACCAGGCGTGGTGGTGCATGTCTATAGTCCCAGATACTCAGGGGGCTGAGGTTGGAGGATTGCTTGAGCCTGAGAGACCAAGGCTGCAGTGAGCCAAGACTGCGCCATTGCACTCCAGCCTGGGTGACAGAGTGAGATTCTGTCTCAAAAAAATTTTTTTAAAAAGGGATGAATTATTTATTTCTAAAATTTCTCTTTTAGTTTTTTGGATGTGAGTGGATGATGAGCCACATGTCCCTTTGGTTGGCTGAGGGTAACTGAAACCATGGAAAGCAAAACTGTGGTTAAAGGGGGACTACTATAATTTTAGCTGTATTATGTTTAGGTCTATCATCCATATTGAATTAATTTTGTGCATGAGTTGAGATAGGAATTGAGATTCATTTTCTTCCCCATATGGATATCTATTTTTCCAGCATCATTTCTAGAAAAGCGCTTACTTTTCCCATTGGAGCTTCGGTGGCTTTGTCAGTCATTAAGTAACCTTATAGGTGTGAGTCTAGGTCTAGGCTGCCTGTTGTGTTTTATTCATGTATTTGCATAAACTTGCTTTGTGTACATTAGCTTGGCTACTGGAGCCTCAAACTCAGGTTGTGGAAGTCCTCATATTCTGTCTTGTCAGTATTAATTTAGAGATCCTAGGACCTTAGTATTTCCATATAAATGTCAGAATCAATATGTCAGTTTCTCTGAAAACTTGACCTAATTATCAGTCAGATTGCATTGAATCTATAGATCAATCTGAGGAGACTGTATATTATAAAAGCATTGGGTTTTTCAACTTATGAACATGAAATGCCTCTCCATGTATTTAGGTCTTCTAAATTCATAGTTTTCTGCATAGAGTTATTAAATACCTTTTGTTAACCTTATTTCTAAGTATTTAATGTTCTAGATATCATTATAAATAAAATTGGTTTTTAAACTTTTTTTTTGCTGGTAGTAAATCGAAATATAATTGATTTTTTCAGATTGATCTTGTATTCTGTGACCTTGCTATTTTTACATAAATTCCTCAGGATTCTCTTTGCAAACAATGATGTCATTTATACACAAAGGGAGTTTTACTTCTTAATTTTCAATCTTTATGCCTATTATTTCATTTTGTTTTATTTTACTGCCTAGGACCTCCAGTACAATGTTGAACAGAAGTGGTGACAGTAAACATTTTTAGCTTGTTCTTGATAATAAAAGAGGACAATATTTCACCATTATCATAAATGGCAGTTGAACTTAGGGAAATAATGTTTCTGCTTATGAAATGATTACATATTTGTCTTCTCTTTCGTTTTGTTAATATGGTGGATTACATTGACAATTTAATATGTTAAATCAACATTGCACTCTTGTGATACACCTACTTCTTCATGGAATATGAACTTTTGCATGTATTTTTGTATTTGATTTGCTAGTAGTTTGTTTAGGTTCATGAGGGATATTCTGTAGTTTTCTTTTATTGTAATATATTTGCTAGTTTTTTGGTATCAAATTTATATAGGCCTCATAAAAGTGATTCAGACAGTGTTCTCTTCTCTTGTGTTTTAGAAAGAGTTTGTCTATATTTGATGTCATTTCTTTCTCAAATGTTTGACAGAATCAACAAAGAAACTATCTGAGTCTAGAATTTTCTTTGTGTGAAGATTTTTGATAATACGTTCAATTTCTTTACTAAGTATAAGGCTAGTAACATTTTTTCATTGTGTGTTATTTTTATTTTTCAAAGGATTATTCCATTTTATCCAAATTGACAAATTTATTGGCATAAAGTATTCATATATTGCCTTATTATGTTTTAAATGTCTATTGGCTCTATACTGGTGTCCCTGATTTCATTCTTGATATTGCTAATTTGTGTCTTCTTTTTTCCTTTCTTCGTCCAGGTAGAGGTATATAGTTTTTATTCGTATTTTTAAAGAACCATATTTTGGCTCTGTTATTTGTCTGTTGTTTGTCTGCTTTCTCTTTCATTAGTTTTGGCTTTATTTTCTCATGCCTTAGCATTTCTTATAATGTAGATCTGCCAGCAATGAACTCAGGTAGTTTTTATTTGCCTGAAAATATTTTTCTTACTTTCATTCTTGGAGAATATTTTGTTTGGATATCAAATTCTAGGTTGACAGTGTTCCCCCTACCCCCGCACTTTAACTGTGTGGTTCCATTATTTTCTGGCCTATGTTTATCTGATGAAAAGTTGGCCATCATTTATATTCTTATTCCCTTCTACGCAATTTATCTTTTTTTGAGATAGGGTCTCCCTCTGTCACCCATGCTAGAGTGCAGTGATGTGATCTCAGCTTACTGCAACCTTCACCTCTCAAGCTCAAGCGAGCCTCCCACCTCAGCCCTCCAAGTAGCTGGGACCACAGGTGCATGCCACCACACCCGGCTAATTTTTTTATTTTTAGTAGAGATGGGGTTTTGCTATGTTGTTCAGCCTAGTCTCAAACTCATGAGCTGAAGCGATATGTCTGCCTCAGTCTTCCAAAGTGCTGGGATTACAAGCATGAGCCACCATACCCAGACTTTAATTTATCATTTTTATTTGGCTGGTTTTTTTTTTTTTTTTTTTTTTTTTTTTTTTTCACAAATGGGGGTCCACTATGTTGCTCAAGCTGGTCTCGAACTCCTGGCGTCAAGCAATCCTCCCACCTTAGTCTCCCAAAATGCTGGGATTATAGGCATGAGCCACCATGCCCAGCCAATAATTTTTTTAACCTCTGATTTCAGAAGTTTGATTGTAATGTATATGCACACATACACACACACATATGTGTGTATATATATATATGCATGTAGAGATATACATGTGACATTGACAATTTTAATATGTTAAATCAACATTGCATTCTTGTGATAAACCTACTTGTTCATGGTGTTTTTTCTGAATATATTTTTGTATTTGCATATATATTTGTATTTGCATATTTTTTGTATGTATCTCCACATAGCATATATGTGTGTGTGTGTGTGTGTGTGTGTGTGTGTGTGTGTGTGTATATATATATATATATATATATATACATATTTATTTATTTCACTAAATTTGGGGACATTTTGGCCCTTGTTTTTCAAAAAACCTTAATTTTTGCTTCATTCTTTCTCTCTTTTTTTGGAGACCCAATTATATTTATGTTATACCTTTTGATATTATCCGATAGGTTAAATTTTTTTCTTGAGATTGAATTATGTTGATTAATCTTTTTTTCAAAATCACAGGTTCTTTCTTCTAACATTTTCAATATTCTATTAAGCCCATCCAGTGAATTTTTTATTTTACATGTTGTAATTGTGAGCTTGGTATATTTAATGTTTCTATTTCTCTGCAAAGATTTCCTATTTGTCAATTCATTAGGAGCTTATTTTCTTTGCATCTTTGAACATAGTTTCATTTGCTGCTTTAAAAATCTTCATCTGTTAAATCCAACGTGTTGGTTATATTAGGATCAATCTCCATGGGCTGCCTTTGTCTTTTGTATATGGAGTGCCATTTCCTGTTTGTGTGTGCATGAGTGTGCACACACACTCACCTGTATGTCTAGTGATTTTTATTTTATTCTGGACATTGTGGACAACGTGCTATACAGCCTATGGCTTCTCTTATGGTTCCTCTGAAGAGATTTAAATTTTTGTTTTAGGCCAGGTGCAGTGACTTACACCTATAATCCCAGCACTTTGGGAAGCCAAGGTGGGAGAATTACTTGAGCGCAGGAGTTTGAGACCAGCCTGGGCAACACAGGGAGACTTCCTCTCTACTAAAAATTAAAAGACAAGTTAGACATGGTGGCATGTACCTGTAGTCCCAGCTACTTGGGAGGCTGAGGCCAAGGATTGCTTGAGCCCATAAGCTTGAGGTTGCAGTGAGCTATGATTGTGCCACTGACCTCCAGCTTGGGTGACAGAGCGAGACTTTGTGTCAAAAAAAAAAGTTCTATTTAAGCAGAAAATTAACTTGGTTGAACTCAAATTCCAAAAATCTGTCATAGCTGTGGTGAGAAACAGCTGACATTTTGTCTAATTCTTTTAGTCTTACATAGGCTGCTTGAAGTCTGTCTCATACATGCATAGTTCAGGGGCGTTGAGAGATTTACAGAGTTTATATTCTGAATTTGGAGCTCCTCTTCCATGGCTCTCTCCTTTTAATGCTTTCTCTCAGCACTTTTCAGCTGTGGTGATAGCTCTGAGTTTTATCCTTTGATTTCCCCAAGCCAGTAAGACTGCAAGTTTCTATTTGATTTCAAGATGCCCTGGGAGGTGCCAACTGGGATCTTGCTGCCTTCAGGCAAGAAGCTGTGAAAACAGAAAACTCATTAGTGTGGGTCACTTCTTTGAAGGGCAGACTCCTGTCCAGTTTCTGTTTTCTTTTGGTCCCCTTTCAGTGCCTTTAGATTGTTATTTTTAGATAGTTTTAAAAAATATTTCTTCCAGAATTTGTAGTTGTTATCTGCAGATTGGTCTTACACAGACTTCCCTACCATTACCATGTCAGTTGTCTTTTGACTTTGTTCATGATGTTTTTTAACATTCAGACATCTTTTATTTTTATAAATGTAAATTAATCAATATTTTCTTTTATTGCCTCTGGATTTTAGGTCACAGTTCTTTCTTCACACCCAAGTTAAACAGAAATTCACCTATGTTTTCTTCTAGTGCTTGTATGGATTTGTTAAAAATTTTTACGTTATTTTCCTAATATATTCAGAGTTTGTGTATAAAGTGTGAGGTATAATTTAATTTTATCTTTTTACAAATGGTTAATTAGTTGTCCCAAGGCTATTTATTAAAAAGTCCATCTTTGTCCTAATGATATGAGATGTAACCTTTATTGTATTCTAAATTTCCATGTATACTGTGGTCTATTTTGAAATTTATATTCTATTCTGTCCACTCACTGGCATCTCACTGTTTTAATTAAAGAGGCTTTAATGTATGTTTTCATATAGGAAAGTGTTAGTCCTGACTTGTATCTTTTCTTTTTCATTGTTTTCCAATTTCTGTGCGTTTACTTTTCACTGTAAATTTTTAAACAGCCATATTGGGATGTAATTTACATACCACACATTTTACCCATTTAACATGTCCAATTTAATATTTTTTAGTATATTCAATATGTTTTGTATATTGAAAACATCATCCCCATTTAATTTTAGAACATTGTTGCCCCTCCTAAAAGAAACCCTATACCCATTATCAGTCATTCCCTATTCTTTCCCCTACCCTCCTCCCAGCCCTAAGCCATCACTATTCTATTTATTTTATTTTATTTTTTTTTTGAGACTGAGTCTCCTTCTCTTGCTCAGCTTGGAGTGCAGTGGCATGATCTCAGCTGACTGCAACCTCCACCTCTTGGGCTCAAGTGATTCTCATGTCTCAGCCTCCTGAGTAGCTGGGATTACAGGCATGCACCACTGTGCCCAGCTAATTTTTGTATTTTTAGTAGAGACAGGGTTTCACCCTGTTGGCCAGGCTAGTCTAAAGCTTCTGGCCTCAAGTGATCCACCCATCTCGGCCTCCCAAAGTGCTGGAATTACAGGTATGAGCCATTGCACCTGGCCTCTGCTTTCTTTCTCTATAAATTTGCCTACTTTGGACATTTCATATAAATAGAATCATATAACGTGATATTTTGTGATTAATCATATAAATTTTAGTGCCAACTTAGCATCATAAAAAATGCTTGCTGGTATTTTTATTGATATTTCATTAAATTTATAAATTAAGGAGAACTGACATCTTTATGATATAGAGTTTTCCTACAAGAAGAATAAGAGCTGTTTTTCCATTTGTTCAAATCTAGTTTTCTGTCATCAGGAATTTGAAATTTTCCTCATTTAGATTTTACACATTTCTTTTAAAGTTTATTCCTATATATTTTATTTCATGTTGTGTTGCTATTATAAATGGGATTTGCAGTACCATTATATTTTCTAACTGGTTATTGTTTGTCTTTTTAAAGACTATTGTTTCTAAAGGTTAATTTTACCTTCTTTTATCTTATTGAATTATTTTATTGTTTTAGTTGTATTGATTTTCTAAGACTTTCCAAGTATACTCTCATATCATCTTCAAATAGAAATGGGTTTACTTCTTTTGCAATTCTCTAAGTCTTGCAAATATCTAAGTGCTCTCCCTTATCTATAGGCATTGACTATTATCTGCCATACAATGTTGAATAACAGAGGAAATAAAAGTCATTCTCACTTTGTTTCTTATCTTAATAGAAATGCTCCTAATGGGAAACAAATCCTTTCGTTAGCATACACACCTTGAATGGCTTATTCTTGTCTGTTTAATAAATTAATATTTATTCCTCTGTCTCTTGGAGTTATGATTAACCTCAAATCTTTGCTTTGGATTCACAAATCCATTTTGTGACTCACAGTGATATTAGATTACATGGAGTCATGTTACAAGCTATATGTTAATGTACGAAATCTGTCCCAATGTCTCCAGCTTGGGTCACTATACTCTAAAAGACTTTTGCCAATTTAAATGGGTAAAATGTTATCTTTTTGGTATAATCACTCCAGAAAACTTTATGGCAGTATTTACTAAAGCAAGAACATATACTATGATCCAGCGATTTCCTCCTGTATATATCCCAGAGAATGACTGCTATGTCCTACAAAGAACATGGGTTAGAATGTCCATAAAACCTTTATTCATAATAGCTAAAAACCACAAACAATCCAAATTCTCATTGTAAGTAAAATGGATATGAGACAGGAGAGTTCCCTTGACCCCCACACAGGACTTACGACAGGGGTGGCTCATTTACTCGGCCACCATACTCAAACCCTTTGCAGGAGGGGGAGCATGCAGGTGAGCAGGTGCAGGAGCTGAGAGAATACCTTTGGGTACCAGCAGGAATGAGCTCTGTACTGGCCCGTGGCAGCATCTAGGGGTTGCCCACAATTTCTGGAGGCCCAGAGGGTATATGTTACAAACAATGCTCTTTTAGCCCTGCCTTCCGTCCCTTCCGTCCGTGAATGGCTTAAGTGTTAAACAGCTCAGTGAAGAGTCAGCGTGACAGCCTTTTTGGGTTCCCGTACCCAGTGCATCCTGAATTCTTGTCTGGAGTCCAGGAAGAATCAGGTTTACGTGA
This sequence comes from Homo sapiens, assembly GCF_000001405.40. Classification (NCBI taxonomy): domain Eukaryota; kingdom Metazoa; phylum Chordata; class Mammalia; order Primates; family Hominidae; genus Homo; species Homo sapiens. The sequence goes on along the minus strand of NC_000018.10, from coordinate 35,926,914 downwards.
ACAGATTAAAGCGTGGCGTATGTGGAGGATTTTATTGAGCAGTCGAAGTGGCTCTCAGTGGGATGGGGAGCTGGAAAGGGAATGGAATGGGAAGATAATCCCTGACCATCCCCAGCCAAACTCAGAACATTTGGATGCTTCTTCTTTCTCTCCTCTGCTGCACTACTCTGTTCCTCCACCAGTGGAGCTTGGGGTTTTTATGGGTACAGGGTGGGGGCTGTGGTGGGCCAGGGTGTTTTTGGAAAAGGTAGCATTCAGGTCAAAATGCATATTCTCATTTAGGGTGGCAGATCCAGACTTTAGAGTGGAGCCCTTGCCAGGGACCCTGCCCTTTTCTACACAGTATTTCCCTGCCTTCTGTCCATGTCTTATGATACATTCAAACAATGGAATTCTATGTAGCAACAAGAATGAACTGTCTGTACCTATTTGCAACCATGTGGATAAATCTCACAAGAATGATGAGTGAAAGAAACCAGAAACAAAACATCACTTACTGTACGTGTTCATTAACATAAAGTTCAAAGATAGATTAAAAAAAAAGTCAATGATTACAGAATAGTTACTGGAGGGGAGGGACAATTAGGGGCAGGTAATATTCTGCTTCTTGATCGAGTGCTGGTGTTCTGGTTCTCTTTTCATGATGATTTGTGAAGTTTTCTGCATGTATGTTATACTTCAATAATTTTTAAACTAAATTTAAAAATAAATAAATTTAAAAATTAAAAATTTTTTTAACTAAAATTTTTTCACCAAATTCCAAATGCCAGGGAATGGGGAGGTGACCTTTTCTCTTTTATGGACCTTTGGGAAGGAGACCCATAAAGTTAAGGAAATTCTCAATTCGTTGCACAACTGTCATTCTCCTCTTCTTTAGGACATATGAAACCATTGTGCCAATGTAGATCAGAACCTAGATGTTTAGTATTTGCTTTCCTTATGCACTTTGAATATTGCATCAGGAACTACTCTACTTCCAAGTAGGGGAGCCAAGTCCTTGAAAGTGGCTCCTGGTGGACACCTGTTTTCCAGAGGGATTGTTGTTCTTTCCTGTGTGCTGATTGTCAGTTAGGACACATGTGTCGGGTTCTATAGTCGGTAAACTTGTTTCAGGTCCAGAAATCTGCCTGGAAGAGCAATTTCAAACTTACTACAGTCAGAGTGTCAGCAAAAGCTTAGAAGTTTCCTCCAAGGTGGTGGCATACATCCACAGCTCCACCTGCCAGGAATTAAGCTGGGAATGTGGGAATGTTGATCTCTGTACCCTGAGTGGGCTTGGCATTCTGTAGCATTGCTTTCACCTAATTGCAATCTCAAGGCTAGACCATCAGGCTGAGTTGATGAGGACATTCACTTTGTGACACAGTCTTTGCTTTCCTGGGACCCTCAGGAGGAGAAATGTGGCCTACTTGAAGAACAGGACACTGGCACTTCTCAGCATGCCACTTATTTTTATCTTAACAACACTGTGAACCAGGTAAGCTTCTCCTTTCAGTGTTAGAAGCTTCTGAAAGCCAAATGTAAGGATTTAAACGTGTCTACAGGGCTTTACAGTATGCATTTTTATATCTGCTAATTCCTGGCTCCATTTTATACCCCTACCCTTGTTTCATTCCTTCTTTCTCACCTACTTTTTATGTGTCTTGATGTAGTTTATGTATATTTTCAGATTTGGCTTCCAAAGGTGTGCTAGAACCTTTGCACTTGTTAAATATTTAGGAATTTTGTGTGCCCCTTCTTTAACAGTTGATAGTTTGAAATCAGCCATGCTGGGAATACCTACACTATGGATATTGGCAAATGCTACAAAACAGACCTTACCCTAACCCAAGGGAGCCAGTTTACCAGCCCATCCTTGTTTATATCTTTTCTAGAAAAGGTGGAGTCCAAATGTGTTTTTAAAAGGTTTAAAGAAATTACCTACTTATTTAGATGCTGTATATTATTTAAAATCTTTCCCTTATTCTTAAGAGTAATGGCACTGTTTTGGGTCCAAAAATGTTTCAAGGGGAGTAGATCTATGAGATTGTTTTTATTGATAGCAAGGAAAAACTAAGATTAATCTAAAATGTGCTATCTAGTCAACTTGGCTGTAGTGCAACTATTCTGCAAAGGAGTATATCTACATCTGTTGATATGATGAAAGCTGTTTACATTTCTGTTTATCACATTTTAAGTTGTGTTCCGGAAGAGCTAAGATTCTGGTAAATCTAGCAGTATTGGAAGCAAGTTAGTATCAAGTTCAGTGTGTGATGGCTGCTAAGGGACCATTCAGTGCAAATTAGAAGTAATAATAGCTCCGGTTTAAAAGGGCAAAGAATTAGGGCTGGGAAGGGAAATGACTCCCTACAGAGGACAAGGGCTTTGCGCTGACAAATGTGAATGCTTGGTACACAGCTCTTCTCTCTGCTCTGTCAGGGGACAGAGAGCCAAGGAGGGGTGGCAACAGAACACGGGTGAGGAAAGCCACAGAGGAAAGCTGCAGTAGCTGCCAGCAGGAGTTCAGGCTGCTCTGCTATCTGACAAAGCTTAGAAAGTGGTTTACATTAGTATAAGTGCAAACAACTAATAGAAATCAAGTTTATTATTGAGAGTTGACTGCCCAGCAATCTAAAACTTCTACAGCACAAAAGAGAAGAGAAGGAGGTCCCTGCTGGTAAAATGCCAACCCTTGAGCCACAAACAACACTGAAGGCAGCTGGAAAGTGCCCCAAACCTGAAGCACCCCCAGAGGCATTGCAGCAGGATGGCTTGGTTCACTGACCACAGGAAGCGCTAGCAAGGACTGTGCACTTACTGCCAGGCACCTGACTGTGCTAACAAACTCTTCACTTTGCTTTAGCCACTTAATTCTCACAGCAGATGGTGAAACTGAATCACAGAGTGGTGCCCAGGGTGACTGCCCAAGGTACTGAGGACTAAACTCTGATTTTTATCTTGCCCAAATTCCTATCTATCTAAGGGGTCTGGGGAGTCATGCCATACAAATAATAAATTCTCATCAGATGGGTTTTATTTAACCCTGTATATCGTAACTTACTTTCCAATTTGACTCTGGCATAACATTATGAGACAAGGAAGAAAATCAAATACTTTACCCCAACACATGTTTCTTGGAATGGCCCTGCGAAGCTGTTCTTTATGGGGGAAAATTTGCGTCTGTAAAGAATCTCTATTAACATAGCCAGATTTCTTTCTTCTAGACCTTCCCAATCCTAAAGAGATTAACTAATACCTGTATAGAAAACATTTGTCATCTTTTGTCTCTAAGGGCAACCACTGTGACACTTCAAAGAACTTTGGCCTCCACAGTCTTTTATCTTGACCTGAACATTCCCTTTCTGTGGATCCCAGGTCTTTGGACAAACTCAACCAGTTGTCAACAGAAAATGTTTAAATTCACCTATAGCCTGGAAGCCCCCACTTTGAGTTGTGCCACCTTTCTGGACCAAACTAGTGCATTTCTTAAATGTATTTGATTCTGTCTCATGCCTCTGTAAAATGTATAAAACCAAGCTGCACCCCGACCACCTTGGAGACATGTTCTCAGGACCTCCTAAGGGCTGTGTCATGGGCCATGGTCGCTCACATTTGGCTCAGAATAAATCTCTTCAAATATTTTACAGAGTTTGACTCTTTGTCGACAGTACCCAGTAAATAGGAGAAGAAGCCAGGATTTGAGTCTCTGCTCCCTACTGCTCAGATTAAAAAGAAGGAAGTATTTGTATTGATGAGAGTGGTCTGAGATGCCAGTGATCAGGGGATGGACAATGGGTGCCTGAGGAATGAGGATATAAGTAGTATGAGAACAGTCAAAGAGAGGCCAGTGGCAGAGGCAGATTTGAGGACAAGACAGGAGACCCACAGCCTTGAACCAGTGGGAGACAAAACCCACCTAGAAATCCTAGAAAAAGCTGTCATCTACCAGCCAAATTATCCCATATATTCAGGCTATCGCTGAACCTCTGTCCTGCTCAAGGCAGCCACAGTTGTGGGATTTGAGGGGTTAGGTCAGTAGTAAAAGTTCCAGCCAAGGCTTACTCACTTCTTCCCTTTAGTAGCTCAGCAACATCATCATGTTCTGAGCGAGCCCATGCCAATTCAGGACAGTTTTCTAAAAAGGACCATGCTGAGGTGCATGGTGGATTATCATTGTGTAGGAGAACTCCATCAAAGCAGGGGATGGGGACAGAAATTCAGAGTCCTGGGGACAGTCAGGAGCAAGCCCAAACACTAAGCTAGACTTCAAGGAGAAAATGGAAATCTTTGTGTAAATGGAACAAGGTGAAAGTGGAAAATTTGGTTGGATGAGCAAGTGTTGGTTCTACCACATGCACTCCATGTGTTCATCTCTGAAGACTGCTACTGCTTAGCACAGAATACCAGGCACTGCACTCCTCACTGGCTGATATAAATTTTTGTGGATTACTGATCACATAATGATGAATCAAATCACCACACAAACATATTGGGGGCTAGACCTTGTTGAATTTGTGGAATTCTTAGCTGCCACTGGACAGAGCCTTGACTTCTGCAGGTGGCTTCGGAGTTTCCAGATCCAGCAGCACTAAAGGCAAGCTCTGGCTTCTGAGAAGTGAGCAAGATATCCTGGAGCTGGAGGGTAGCAACGTCCTCCTGGAGCACCCATGTCTTCTCTGAAACAGTTTTGAGATATAATTACGTGCCATAATATTTACTTGTTTGTTTTTCTTTTGTTTTGTTTTTATTTTTTGAGTTGGAGTCTCACTCTGTCACCAGGCTGGAGTGCAGTGGCACGATCTTGGCTCACTGCCACCTCCGCCTCCTGGGTTCAAGTGATTCTTCTGCCTCAGCCTCCCGAGTAGCTGGGACTACAGGCATGCGCCACCATGCCCAGCTAATTTTTGTGTTTTTAGTAGAGACAGGTTTTCACCATGTTGGCCAGGATAGTCTCAATCTCTTGACCTCATGATCAGCCCACCTCGGCCTCCCAAAGTGCTGGGATTACAGGTGTGAGCCACCATGCCCGGCCCATTCACCTGTTTTAAGTGTACAATGCAATGATTTTTAGTATATTTAAAGAGTTGTAAATATACTACACAATCTAATTGTAGAACACTTCCATCATCCCAAAAAGAAATATCTTGCCCATTTACATTGACACCCCTATTTTACCCCTGAGACCTAGGCAGCTACTACTCTGTGTTCTGTGTACAGTTTTATATGCTGATGAAACAGAAGATGTTTTGCAAACACAGCTTCTGCCCTGCACCTGGAGTGAAGCAAAACACAGAAAACTTAACTATTTTTGCATAAGCTGATGTTCCCATAAAAGAAAAAAATGTATTAGGCTTAACAAGTTTCATGTGTTAAGAGATACAATCACCTAATGCTTATCATCTTTTAATATATATTCTGTGAAAGATTAGTGAAACTCATTAACTGACTTGAAGGTCCAAACTTGTACATTGCTAGATAATTGTAGAGCTGCCTTTGAGAAAGTAGAATAAGTGCCTAGATTTTTTATTTGCTTACCATTTTCTTGTCCTCTGAAATTCCATGTCATTGATTTAACTTGTACCCTTGGGTGCTGCTCAGAATATGAGCTGCTATTACACAGCAGACTTCGTGAGAAAGTTGGCCCAATGTTTGAACTCCTCAGAACCTCCCAGATATACTTGAATCTTATTTCCTGTAGTATTAGATGGTTGAGTGTGGACCACTGTCTCCTTTCTCTGCAGGACCCTCTCCTCCTGCAATTCTCATCTTTCCCTTCTGTATTGTCAAGTTTCCCCTGTCTACTGGACCATTTGTGTCAGATGCAAGTTTGCTGCAATTTCTTCCATTTACAAAAGCCCTCTCTTTGATAGGGCTTCTCCTCCAAATACTGCCCATTATTTCTGATTCCCTTTTCAGAAAATTATCTGATGAAATAAGATAGCTGTCTAAGGTAGCTGTCCCCATATCTTTAATTCCCTTGAGGCAGGGCTTTGCATCTGTCACTCCACCAAAACAGGCCACAGCATTGCTGCCAGTGACCACATGTGGCCAGTCCAACAGTTAATCCTCAGCCTTCCATGGTTTATCAGTTGTATTTGACATGTTGATCACTCTTTCCTTCCTGAAGTACTTTTTCCCCTGGCCTCTGGAACAGCACTGTCTCTTGGCTCAGCTGCCTCACTGCTGTTCCTCTTCATTTTGCCACGTTGGCTACCACTCATCATTATCAACCACTTCAGGGTGGAGATTTCCAATGCTTGATTCTATACTTCTCTTCTCCTCTGCCTGGAACACCCTCCAGGTTATCTCATACAGGGTGGTGGGAACTTTAAATACTCTCTATGCTGACTTCCAAATTTGTATCTCCAAGCCTATCCCAACTCTCTTAAAATGAAGGGAGTTCAAGAGAGTTGTTTATGGAGATGCTGGAAATGTTAGAGCATCTGTCCTTGGACTGTTTCTCTTCTCTCTCTGCACTCCCTCCCTTAGTGGTCTTATCCAGTCCCATGGTTTTATTTTTTAAAAGTTCAGCTTATCCTTTTTCTTCTTTTATGGATCGTGCATTTGGCATTGCATCTAAAAACTCAACACTAAACCCAAGGTCACATATATTTAATCTTATATTTTCTTCTACAAGTTTTATGGCTTTATATTTAACATTTCAGTCCATAATCCATTTTGAGTTGCTTTTTTGTGAAAAGTGTAGAGTTCTATGTCTGTTTCACTTTTTGTATGTGGACATCCAGTTGTCTCAGCACCATTTGTTTAAAAGACGATTCTTTCTCTACTTAATTTGTCTTTGCCAAAGATCGGTTGACTACATTATGTGGATCTATTTCTGGGCTCTATTTTTCTCCCATATCTCGTGGCTCTCAATATCATTTAGATGCTGACAGCTGTTCACTTTATACACTTTATACATCTTGTCTGGCCTTCTCCTCTGAAGTCCACTGCCTCCCTGCTGTTACCACTGAATGCCTAACAGACACATCAAACTGAACATGTCCAAACTAGTGTGATCTCCTTCTCCCCCACCCAGCCTGCTCCTCCTCCCATCTCAGTTAATGGCAATTCCATCTTTCCTGGTGCTCAGGGGGAAAAAAAACTTGACTTCTCTCATTCTCTCACACTTCTCATCAAATCAGGAAATTCTGTTAGTTCTACTCCAAAATACATCAAGACTTGACCACTTCTCACCATCTCCATGGCTACCTTGCTAGTCCAAGCCCCCATCACCCCTGGCCTGGCTCACTCACAGCCTCCAGACTGGTCTCTCGGCCTCTGCCTTTGCTTCACTGTAGTCTGCTGTCCATAGAGCAGCTAGAGGGGTTCTATTAAAAGCCAGATGATAGATCACTTTCCTGCCCACTTCCTGCAGTGTCTTCTCTTGAATTCAGAGTAAGTTCCTGAGACCTTACAGTAGCCTCTCTGGCCTTTCTCACTTGCCCTCCCCACTCACCTCTGCAACCTCACCTCTGACTGCTTGCCCTTGTCCACTCAGCCCCAGCCACCCTGGCCTCCTCCCTGTTCTTTTGACATCATGCGTAAGTCCCTGCTCAGGGCCTTGTACCAGCTCCCTCTGCCTGGCACCTTCCCCAAGATATCTGCAGGGCCTGCTTCCTCACCCTCTTCAAGTCTTTGCTGAAACGTCACTTTCTCTGACCAGTCCATTTAAATTCCCCATGCCACTGGCACCCTTCACCCTCTTACCTTGATCAGTCCCCTCTCCCCTCTCCTCTAACATGTGATTTGTTTATTTGTAAGTTCCATGAGGGCAGGAGTTTTATGTCTTCGTGATATTCTCAGTGCCTCCAGCTGTGCCTGCTTCATCCTGGGTTATTGATACATGTTTGCAGAGTGAATGAATGATTGGCAGAAAAGGTGACTGGCAGGTCATTCCCTGGTTGACTGTCTGCATATGCAGCACACCTGTTGTGTGGAGGGATAGGAACCTATGAGAGCTGGTGTAGTAAGGAGAGGGCCACCTGCAGTGGAGCAGCCTACAGGCCTGCCCTTCACTGTGGCCAAAATGGTGGTGGCTCCCTGGCTTAACTGTCATTGAGTCACTGGCTGAGCTAGGAATGTGGGGTGTGGGAACTGCTGGGGGCTGGAGCTGGGGTAGTGGAGAAGGCTGAGTAGGGCAGGTCTGCCATGTTCCCGGGTGAGGGAAGGGAGTGATGGTGTGGTTCCTGCAGGCCTCTGAGGAAGCCTGTCTCACCCCTTGACACAACAGCATTTGGGTGCCCCCTTCCCCACAGGACATCAACAGCTAGCAGGGTTGACCTTGAGGCATTGGGCAAGGGAGGCTGCTTGTTCAGCTCCTTCTTGCCCATCCTTCTGCATGCCTCCCTGTACCACCCCTGCTGAGGAGTGGAGACCCAGAGGAGGGAAGGCGGGAAGGGGGAGCTGGCCCTCCAAGCAGGCCCCTCTGCACTCCTGACCCCCAGCTCTCTGGCCAGACGGGCGAGGAGGAGGAAACTTTGCTGGATGTGAGGTCAAGGCTGTGACATGGTAGGGTCCAAGCTCTATCAGAATGTCATTGAGGGAGGAGGTAAAAGAGCAATCCTACTGAGTGTGACTGCAGGCAGAGGTTGTAGGAAATAGCAACGTGTTATGTTAGTTAAATAAAGCAACTAAGGGAAAATAAACATTTTAAGGACTGAATTTGCAAATCCAAATCCATGAAGACCACCAAAGAGTCATTACCTTTGCTTCATGAGACAGCTTTATTCAAGACAGCAAGCAAAACAGGCCGGGTGCGGTGGCTCACGCCTGTAATCCCAACACTCTGGGAGGCCGAGGTGGGAGGATCACTTGAGGTCAGGAGTTCGAGACCAACATGGTGAAACCCCATCTCTACTAAAAATACAAAAAATTAGCTGGGCATGGTGGTGGGTGCCTGCAGTCCCAGCTACTGGGGAGGCAGAGGAAGGGTGAATCTCTTGAATGCAGGAGGCAGAAGTTGCAGTGAGCCAAGATTGTGCCACTGTACTCCAGCCTGGGTGACAGAGTGAGACACTGTCTCAAAAAAATAAATAAATAATAAAAAGAGATAGCAAGTAAAACAAAATCTAATATACCAGGCTAGTTTGAATAGGGAAACACCTTGAGAAGCCACAGGTCCTGGTGTCAGCCCCATGCTATTTTGCTTCCACAGGGACAGTCTCAGTCATAACCAGAGAGATGGCACTTGGCCTGAGTTCCCATCTCACCAATGTATGCTGGTGAACCCTAGGTCACAGAACCACATAACCCAATGAAATTATGTCTTTCATTTTGGAGCTGAAAGACATAATTTAGTTCAATTCTTCATGATACGCAAGATGAGACAGGCTCAGAGAGGTGGATGGCTTGTTCAGGATCACACAGCAAGTTGAGGGTTGTAATAGAAAGAATAATGGCCCCCAAAAATGTCCACATATGAATCCCCGGCACCTGTATATTCCCTTATATGGCAAAAGGATCTTGAAATGACAGGCAGGTGGCTAATCCTGGAGTATCCAGGTATAATCCCAAGTGTCATGTAAGAGGGAAGCAGAGGAGTCAGTGTCAAGGAGGGAATATGACAATGGAAGCAGAGATCAGAGTGACACAGTCACAAGCTAAGGAAGCAGGTGGCTTCCAGAAACTGAAAAAATGTCAGGATTACTCTGCCCTGAACAGTCTGATAAGCTCTAGACTGAGGAACAGCCTCCTCTGCTGGCAGGGTGAAGGGAGAAATCTGTGACTGTGTTTCTCACAATCTGAACTTTCACTGTGGACCTCTGGAAAACAACCACCCAAATAGACAATGAAAAGTGACACTTCACAGGCAGAGGTAGGTCAGTCTGAGTCCACCCAGAAAACACTCATGCTTTTCCAAAGAGGTGGTCTTCAGAGAGGGGCAGATTGCAGAATTATGAATACAAAATTAGTTATGAAAGTATTTATATAGAATGAGAAGAAAAACCTACCCAAACGGCAAATTTTTAAAAGCTGAAAAATACCTTAAATAGCACTAAATCTAGGAAAATAGCCTATTATTTTAATTAAGTCATAGCTTCTATGTTTTCTCCTATTTTTTTAGCTGCATACTCTTTGATTATCTATCAGATTCTATAGACAGAATAGAAAGATAATGCTTTCTATTTAACATATTTTTAATTAGCATATTTTCCTTTACAAGAATGATAAAAATTTATTTCACCTGGAACCACCAGACTTCATCAGAACAAGATGTTTCAAATATGTTAAAATGTGATCTGATGTGTTGGGATATAAACATGCAACTCCCACATAGACTTACTTGGTGTTGGTAGTATTTTCCAAGTCATGTCACACAAACACAGAAATTCTGACAAGTTTATTTCACCAAAAATGGGAAGAGTGTGGTGCATTTATAATTGTATAAGCTTCATTATCGAAACTATTACTGACAAGGAAGAACTTCCATTCTGAATAGGGTTGATGAGATCTGAATTTTCTGCTTATAATTTTACTCATCTTGATGATTCAAGGAATTTTCCAAAGATCAGCTTCTGCCTCTGTGCATTTCAAACCTGTTTCTCCTCCTACCCACATACTTCTGTTGCTGGGGGCCCCAAGATATGTTCATGTTACAATCTGACCACTGGCCCTCAATGCTCAGGGGCAGGCCAGGGGACTTGGCTCAGAGGGTGGCAGGACATTCCTGGAAGATGTTCTTGCATCAGGGCAGCTGGCAGTAACTGCATATGGAAGTAACTGCAAACCATGTAGAAGATCTCATTAAACCCAAACTACATGTGTCCCCAACTTTATTTCTCTTACTGCATCCCCTAAATGCTTGTGACCATTCCACCATCATCTGGCCTTCAGGTAATGTGACATAGATAGGGAAGGCTGGTGTAGAGTTAGGCAGTGTCTTACTCAATTGCGGTTAAAATATCTTACTTTTAGAAAGCTTATGGAAATTTATGACCGTGTTTCCAGGGTCTAGGAAGTGACCTGTACAGGTGAGGGACCTGAAACTAGAGCTTCAAGCCCTACCTAGGTCAGCCACAAGGCACCTTCTATGTACAGCATCAACCTACCTCCAGCTTCTTTGCTGCAGATCTACTTCTAGAGGTAGGTTGACCTTGAGACCCGAGGAAGTGGGGACTTGGTTTATATTCAAATAGACAAAAGGCCATTTAGAATGTTTCCCCCGCAACGAGGGACACTGTCTCCAAAACTCAAGCTTCCACCATTTGGGAGACAGAAAACTAATTGAAACTCTTACAAGTTTTTTCAGTATCTACTCATTACGATCAAAAAATTATTTTTCCCCCAGTACAAGCCATTTCCCTTCTTATATCTTCAAGAACACCTTGCCGATATTTTAGTTATCTGGTGTTACTCACTAAGTGAGTGTTTTGTAAACTGGGGCCCACACATTCTTGTGTGTGTGTGTGTGTGTGTGTGTGTGTGTGTGTTTTGGGACAGGGTCTCTCTGTCACCCTGGCTGGAGTGCAGTGGCACGATCACGGCTCACTGCATCCTCAACCTCCTGAGCTCAAGCGATCCTCCTGCCTCAGTCTTCAGAATAGTTGACACTGCACCCTGGCTAATTTTAAAATATTTTTGTAGAGAAGAGATCTCCCTATGTTCAGGCTGGTCTTGAGCTCCTAAGCTCAAGTGATACTCCCGCCTTGGCCTCCCAAAGTACTAGAATTACAGGCTTGAGCCAACACACCCAGCCCACACATTCTTTAAGATAATTCTAAAATGTTATGCTGAGTAAAATGCTACGGGTACTCTGAGAAGGTTTGGAAGTTTCTTTTAAAACTAAACATACAATTATCTTATAACCTAGCATTCTCACTCTTGGAATTTTTTTTTTCCCAGAGAAATGAAAACTTACATTCAAACAAAAATCTGTCCACAGATGCTCATAGCAGCTCTATAATAGCCCAGCTCTGGAAACAATCCAGATGTGCTTCCATGGGTAAATGGTTAAAGACACTGCAGTACATGCATGCCCGCCATGGAATTCTGCTCAGCAGTGAAAGGAGCAAACATTGATGCAACAATATGGGTGGATGTTAAGGGAATTATGCTGAGTACAAACAGCCAGTCCTAAAAGGTTGCATACTGTATGATTCCATAGATATAACATTTTTGAAATGACAAAACTATAGGGATGGAGAACATAGAGTGATTGCCAGGGGTTTGAGGTGTGTGTGCGGCACGTGAGGGAGGGGTGTGTGGCTAAAGAAGGGCAGCTCCAGGCATCCCTGTGGTGATGGAATTGGTCTGTACCTTGGCTGTGGTGGTGTATATATGAACCTACGTATGTGATAAAAGTGCATAGAACTAAACACAAAATAACACACAAAAATAAACACAAACAAGTGAGTGCATGTAAAATCTGATTAAGATGAGTGGATTGTATCAATGTCGATTTCCTGTTTGTGATGTTACTATAGATTTTACAAGATGTTACCATTGGGGAAACTGGGTGAAGCGTACATGGGATCTCTCTATTATTTCTTCCAATGGCATGTGAATCCACAATTATCTCAATAAGTTTAATTTTTAAAAAAGATTCATGGATATTTTGATAGCATAAAAAGATGAGTGTCCGTATATTCGAGATGCCCTGGGTGACCCCTTGATAGCTTTATAACCTAGTTCCCCTGCCGGACATCAGTACCTTCTTGGGCAACAGTGTTTATTGCCAGACATTTTACACCAAACAGTAACAACTACTAGTCAAGAACTGAGTCAAAGGACAGGTTCCCCAATGAGAGCAGGCCAAATGTCAGGTGCTGGTACAAACCAAGGAAGGTTTTGCAAGGCAGAACTGAGAAAAATTCTTATGGATCCCCATTGTGGATTTTATTATTATAATGCTACTTAAATACGCAAAAGTTCATATACAGCTATAAAGCCAAAACAAATGTCTAAACCGAATATAATAAAAACTACAAAACCAATAAAATTCAAATTAGTGGCATTAATCTAATGTGATGAATGATGCTGGTGTGCTGAAACTAAATTGCTGATCACAAAGAAGAGATTATACTGACACTGTTTCAGAGCTTTCCTGCCATCTCCATTCTGAACTGTGTTTCTTTACTTACAACTTGAACTTTCTAGGGATCCAGGGAGCAAGTAAGAAAAGGCCTCAGATCTCCCAGCACGAATATAACAGGAACTGGTTGTTCTCTACCTTAGCAACATGCATCTTACTCTGATACAGCTCTGGCCAACGTGGCCATCTAGTCTCCTGGCCCTTCCAAAGATGTATATGTCTGTTGTAGGTGTGGGAGAGACTGCTTCTGCAAGCTGTCCCCTTATGAAATGACAACGAAGAATCTGACAGTTATAGCGAGATGGAAAGATGATGAAAAGCAGATGCAGAAACTAAATATTTTAGCAATTGAGAGGAAAAGGCACAGTGCTGCTGAGAAAATCACAGTATGACTGCAGAGCACAATAAATAATATTTATGGTAATGACCCTGAACAATAAATGAAAGGTTGAATTATGTTGAGAATCTCATGTTTAGAAAGGCTAGGCAGTCCCGTTTGGACCCTTGCATGTTTTCAAGTTTTGGTTCTTCGGTGTGCACACTTCAGTTATCTCAAAACCTGTGCATTTGTGGACATTTCTTCCCAAGAGAGAGAAGGATGGCTTTGCATCTGTGTGTGTGTTTTGTGTGTGTGTGTGTGTGTGCGTGTGTGTGTGTGTGGTGGGATGGGGGAGGGGAGACTGAATTTTATGACATTCAGAACCAATGGCCTCGTGTACAATTAACAGTGCCCCCCAGCACTTAAGGCTGCTGATAATTGTCCCCTATTTCAGGATTTTGAGACAGCACATCCGACCTTCCGAGCTTTCATCTTCACACCTCTTTGCGCCTCTTATGACAGATAATTATGGTTGAGTGTGAGCGTCAATGGGAAAGCAGATCTCTTTATCTTCACGTTGGGCACTTAAATGAGCATTTTAAGGCAAATTATTAATAACTGTGCTCAAGAAAATGATATCAGTGAAAACTTCTGAGATACTGAATTGTATTATGTGTGCTGAAGAAAAAGGCTATTTCAATGATAAATAGGAGAATTTGTATGAAGTAATTAAATATTAATTTGTCCAACAAATATTTATTGCATACCTCAATATCCAAGATATCTTATTGGAGACCACAGGGTACACAAAGGCATACATGATTCAATTCCTAATCAAATAGAGCTTTACAACCCTGGAGTTTAAGAAACATTTATTGTTTACAAAGACCTGCAGTATTTTTAAAAAAGTCAAAAATGTAGGACAAGGTTAACACTTGAGGAGGTAAGAAGTGGGGTGTCTTTTGAGAAGGGACTCCTGCGTTGCCCTCAGAAGGGTGGACAGTGTGGTGAAGGGCAGGAAAGGGGAAGGGGAAGTGCCCCAAGGAGGAGAGGGTGTGGGCAGAGTCGTGGGGAATAGAGGCAAGCAAGCAGTTAATTCTTCCGGACTGTGAAATACCCATCGGGGAGTATGGCAGAGACCAGATGCTTTTAAGTAAGGCGTCTTAAATGCTGGGCTAAGGATTCAGCTTTATTCTTTGGGAAGTGGGGTAACTAATAGGTGACATGAGGGGAGACGATGAGAAGGGAAGCCTGATTAGGAGACCACTGCAGGGGTCCAGCTAGAGGGCCTGAGAGGGGAAGTGGCAATTTAAAAATAGTATCGGGGATTCTGACAAGGCTGTGTCAAGCAAAGTCTGGAGGAAGGTGAGCCAGCGAGTTACATTGTCATGATTTTCTGGCCTCCTGCAATGTGTTTGATAAGGATGTACAGGTTACAGCAGGGAAGGGGTCCCAGCCTCCAAGATAACCTTCTCTCTGTCCAGAGGGGCTTCCCCACCTTTAATATTCTGAAAGTAATTCACTAAATCTATTTTATATGCAGGCTGATATTTTGTAATTTTGAACTGATCCTACGCTCATATGGTTTCATAAGATGTGCCTTGGATCTCCAAGAGGGTAAGCCACACCTGCTGGGAGTCCCAAACTTATCACCAGAATTGGTCAGGATCTTTCCCACTTGCTAAGAGTGTGCTTGGCATACAGTATGTGCACAGCAAATGCAAAAGTTTATAGCCATGATTTCTGTGAAAGGCCTACCTCAAGTCAGACCCTCACTGATTGGTCTGTTCATTCAGCCAAGCATGCCAAACCCCTGCAACATGCAAGGAGCTATGCTACCTCTGTGACTGCCAGCCAGGTAACTGTCCCTTCTCTGAATTCTGCTCTCAGAAGAGTGTGGGCACATCCTGGATTTGCCTCACTGGCAAGTTCATCCTTTGTGAGACAGAGGGGGTGACGGGTTCATCTACTGAGTGGGATCTAGATGACCACCAGAGAGGTGTAGATGCAAGGTCATTTCTGTGGGGATCCTAAGGGGTAAGCCATCGTGTCATCACAAAATGTGTCATCATGAAGGAAACAGGATTGCTGTTTGTCTTGATCCGTTTGAGCTGCTGTATAAAAGTCCTATAGACTTATAAACAACAGAAATTTATTTCTCACCATTCTGGAGGCTGGGAAGTCCAAGATCAAGGTGCCAGCAGATCTGGTGTCTGGTGAGGATCCATTTCCTGCCTTGCAGATAGCCACTTTCTCATTGTGTCCTCACGTGGCTGAGAGAGAAAGAGAGAGAGGGATTCTCTCTCATGTCTCTTCATAAAGGCACTAGTTCCATTCATAAAGGCTCCACACTTATGACCTAATTACCTCCCAAAGG